>NC_000006.12:145070790-150070790 GCF_000001405.40 Homo sapiens | reverse complement strand
TTCCATATCTGAATGCATGATCTCTAGATCCCGGCCATTACAATAACATTTGGGCCACTTCTATCCCCATCCTGGGCAGGCCTGAGTCTGTTGGCCAGATGCCTGCAGCAGGGGTGAGTCAGGAGGGCCCAGGTGTGCACAAAAGCCCCTCCTCCTGTCCTGCTTGGGGCTCTCCTGCCAGCCTCCTTCTACCTTCCTCCTGTTCCCCCAGTCACTGGCCCAGGTCACCTGGCCTCGGGGTGGTGCTGCCAGGGCCTTCCCAGAGGCCTCCTCCCAGGACTAACCTGGGCTCCTGCCCCCAGCCCTGTACATGGGAGGCTCTTCTCACACACAGATCCTGGGACCCGCCAAGCTCTGCCCCTCCCAAATCTGAGAACTGCCCACCCTTGTGTGTCTGTTGTCCTCCAAACTACCCTCCACATGGCCCCTCCTGCACAGGGGCTCTAGTGCATCAGGCCAGAATCTTCTAGGCTCCTGTGTCCCTGCTCAGTCACAGAGGTGGCTGCCCTCCCATGACTCTGTCCTGAAGCAGAAACAGGCCCTGGGCTTTGTCCAGGCCTCCTCCTCTTTCCCACAGCCTCAGGACCCTCGGGATTGATGATCACCAGGTGCAGGTGATCCCAACATGAAGACTGTACGGAGTGGGAGGTCTGTGCCGATTTTTCTCATTCAATAGGGAATGGGCTGAGTGGCTGGGGCCTGAGTGGCACTCAAGATCTCTGTCCACTCCTCATCCCAGGCTAAAGCCCTCCCTTGCGGCCAAGGGCCACTGGGCCCATCACCTCCCTCTGGCTTCTGCCCACAGATCTAGATGTTTCCATGGTGACTGAGACGAGGATACACTCGGGTTGCCGCTTTGAGGATGGCTGCAGTCACCATCCAGGGACAGGGCAGAGATGCGCGTGCAGCCATGGATTTGCGTGTAGCTGGCCACAGATGGGTGTACAGCAAAGTGAGCCCCACGCATGCGTAGACCCTCCCTCGGCTTCTGCTCTCCATGGAAACACAATTGATCATTTGATCACTGATCACGGTAGGCCACTAGGGCTTTCTTTTCTTTCTTTTTTTTCCCAGAAGTCATAAAGGGATATAGAATATACTTTATTCTATATATATTCTATATATTCCTCATGCTTTTAGTGGAGAGGCAAAGAAGGTCTGCTCCGGACTGGGAAGCAGCTGCGCCCTGGACGGAGAGGGGCGGGGACTCCTTGGCGCAGGCTGAAGGAGGGCAGGTGTCGCTGGCGGAGGCAGTGACGGGGGGACACAGCCGCCACTGGATATCCCTGTGCAAGTTTCTTCGCTTTCCTGTGCATCAGTGCTTACATTGGGGTAATAATAAATGGTGTGTTAAAAAATTAAATGAGGCGGTCAAGAAGGAATCGTGTCCTGGCCCGCGCGGAGCCTGGGGTGGAGGGTAAGGGTTGGCCAGAGGGGGCCGCTGTCAGGCCACGAGCCCGGGGCGGGACGAAGCGGAGCCACAGCAGGCATAGGCTCCCCGGGTCCCAGCCTGGGGTGGGGCGGGGAAGGGCGGGACGGGGCGGGATAGGGCGGAGCATCCCTCCAAACGTGGGCAGGCGTAGGCTCCCCTGGATCCCGGGGCGGGACGGGACCGGACGGGGCCGAGCACACTCAATCACTAGCTGGCATGCGAGGGCCGAAGTGATTCATACGCTGGTCTCCACATCGACTGCGCCTTGTGTCCCGGGCGCTCCTGGTCTACAATGGCAGCGGCCGCCAGCCCCGCGATCCTTCCGCGCCTCGCGATTCTTCCGTACCTGCTATTCGACTGGTCCGGGACGGGGCGGGCCGGTGAGTTCGGGGATGGAGCCTAAGCGGGGCGGGGGCCAAACCTGGGGGGCTGTGGACTGCAGCGGGTTTCAGAGGAGGGAAGCCTTCTAGAAGGACCGGCGCGATCTCCCCGGACTGCCCCCACGCTCAGTTCCGATTCGCTGCTCTTTTTCGCCAGGTCCGCTTCCTGCGGCTGCTGCTTGCCCTGCAGAGCAGGAGGGGGGTCAAAGAAGGCGAAAAAAGAACCGCAGGAGGGTGGAGGGGCCAAAAAGCTGCAGAGGGCGAGGTGGGGAGGGGATCCCTGGTGCAACCCCGCAGCCCCACTCGTCCTCGGGAAGGAGAAACCAGAGCCCCCGGAACCCGAGCTGGGGTCAAGACATGGGTGACGCCAGCGTCATATAGAATAGTCACTAAGCAGACAGGAGTCAGCAAACCCTTTCTAGAAAGGAAAGGCTGAAGGCACTTTGGTCCTTGCTGGCCGTGAGTTCTCTGTCTCTGTGTCAAGTCCCGTCCCTTTGTAGAGCAACAGCAGGCAATGGCAACCTGCAAGTAAAAGAGAAACCTGAAATGGACCCTGTCCTAGGTTGCAGACTCCAGATGAGGGCACATGCTGTGTCCTGGCAATTGCTGCCCCATCCCCTAGGGTGTCATCTCTAAGTTGTGTAAGTTGAAGAGTCACAAGTGTGTCCTACCCTGCCTGTGGCTTCTGGGAGGTGTGGATGTGATGAATGTGAGGGGGAGTCCCATGGTTCGGGGCCTACTGCTCCCCTCCTTTGTTGCTGAGTAGCATTAACGGTCCCCAGGGGCCATTCAGGGACCCTCCCTGAAGCCTCAGGTGTGACCTGAGGGTGGGGGGGTGTAGCCATGTGGTGTCCTGGGGATCAGAGCCAACTGCTTGTGCAGCTTCTTGGTTCCCTGTGGCCCTGCTCCTGCCCATCCCAGGAGACCCACCTGTGTCTTCTCACTGTGGGGCCTATCTTCCTAATGACCTAAAGGGTGAGGAGCACACCCTGTGATGGGCAGCTCTGAGGCTGTGTGGTCACTGCCCTCCCATAGCTGGAGGCCCATCTCCACAGGGGCCCAGGACCACAGCAGGAGCCACTTTTAAATGAGGGGATTTCACTGCTGTGAGTGGCACAGCTTTGCTTCTGAGCACTAGGGGACCCTGTTGGATTCTGTGGTTGGGAATAGCCATGAAATCCACATAGCACCTTTTCCAACCACACATGCTTCTGGGATCTTAGGGAGTCCAGGGTCAAATAGCTGTAGTGGCAGGTCCAGCCACACCCCTCATCACAGAGTGTGTATGGCTGCATCCCAGCTATAAGAGCAGAGTTGAGTAGTGACAGGGGAGGTCATATGACCAGCACAAACTATAATAGTTACTACATTAACTACAAACACTATCCATTCCCGGTAGAAATCCAGGAAATGTGAAATTACCATTGAATGGGTCTATGAACCCAGCACATCCCTCTAAGCTGGACCTGACACAGAAGTCCATCTGTTACTTTGCCCCAAATGCACCTCATGAGTAACAGGGGAGCAAGTTAATGCTTCACATCCCTGGGAAGAGCTCGGATCACACACTGTGTCCACTAGGAGTGTCTGAGTATTTGCTGTTTCATGGTGTACAGTTACCAGAGTGACTACCCATCTGGCTCTGTGGGGGAGGCTGAAGGAGTCATTGCAATTGCTGTGGGGTTGAAGGAGCCCACCAGGGGCTCTGGGCTCTCCTTCTAGTAATGGACTCTGCGTCTGAGATGTGGCTCAGTTCTCAAAGCTGGGCGAGGGAGCTCAGTTATTTCCCGGGGTGACAACTTTCAGCCTCCTGGTCATCCATCCTTGCATTTTGTCTTTGTGGTAATTATTTAAATCTAGTAGTATCCGGGTGGAGTCTCCATCTCTTTTGGATCTTGGACCCTTTTGTTCTATGAGCCATGGGCATAGCTTTGTAAGACTGAGGACCCCAGCTAGCATTGTGACTTCTCTAATTATTTCCATCATTGCACCCTCCTTCCTGCTGACAGTTGACGGCCTCCACTTGAGATCTCTTATTTCAGGATTTTCCATCCCCATTACTACTGGGAGCCCATTTCAGGAAGAGCATCTCCTACCCCTGACCCTGGGCTTCAGCAACAGGCATCCCTGAGCTTCTTGACAGTCTGCTGCCTTCTCCTGGGGCCTTCTTTATATGCTAGGTAAACAGGAGTCTTCCAGGCTTCCCTTGAGCACAGAGGGTGAACATTGTTCTGGATTTTCATACTGCAGTCACTCTGGCATGGGCACTTCTCTTAGTATTTTGTTCCTTCCTGTACAACCTGCCACGTAAGACCTGGGTTTTCTGTTTCATGCGGTGTGGGTCATTCCTTTTTCCAAGGTTCCAAGGGCAACCTACTAGCAGCTGACCACATTCCAGGGAACTTACCATGTCTTGTTACCCATAATAAATGAACTCATCCTTATCCAATGTTAACTACATCGTACCCACTGCACCACGCTCCAACATCCTCAGGGTGCCCTCCCACACTCTCCCGCCTCTTGCAGTCCACCTGGGCTGCTCCTGCAGATCCTGCCATCTAAGTCCTTCTTCCTGTAGTGGGCCTGCCACCTCCCTGGCAGGGTCCTGTGCTGACGGATGTGAGTATAGGCCTGGGCAGAGTGGGGAGATAGACATGTTAGCGACCCATGGTTCCTCCACAGGCAGAGACCACCGTCCAGGAAGAGAAATCCATGCTCTGCCAGCCCAGCCCTTCAGGAAACCCTCTTGCTGTCACAGTGTTTGGGGTCTTTCCCCCACCCCAACACTCTCTGGTGTTTTTTTTTTTTTTCCTTAGACGCTCACTCTCTCTGGTATAACTTCACCATCATTCATTTGCCCAGACATGGGCAACAGTGGTGTGAGGTCCAGAGCCAGGTGGATCAGAAGAATTTTCTCTCCTATGACTGTGGCAGTGACAAGGTCTTATCTATGGGTCACCTAGAAGAGCAGCTGTATGCCACAGATGCCTGGGGAAAACAACTGGAAATGCTGAGAGAGGTGGGGCAGAGGCTCAGACTGGAACTGGCTGACACTGAGCTGGAGGATTTCACACCCAGTGGTGAGTGAAAGAGACCAAGGACAGAAGGGAGCAGACTGTGGGCTCAGGGGCTGTTCTGTGTGTGGGGAGAAGAAATTAGACATGGGACCTCCATGAAGCCCAGCAGCAAGGGCAGGACTTGGAGGAGACAACAGGACCAGATGAGAATGGTCTCAGCATAGGAGGATGTGGGACAGGGAAGAGAATTTGTAAACACCAGGGCTGATCTCTTTCTGATTGGGGCAGGACCCCTCACGCTGCAGGTCAGGATGTCTTGTGAGTGTGAAGCCGATGGATACATCCGTGGATCTTGGCAGTTCAGCTTCGATGGACGGAAGTTCCTCCTCTTTGACTCAAACAACAGAAAGTGGACAGTGGTTCACGCTGGAGCCAGGCGGATGAAAGAGAAGTGGGAGAAGGATAGCGGACTGACCACCTTCTTCAAGATGGTCTCAATGAGAGACTGCAAGAGCTGGCTTAGGGACTTCCTGATGCACAGGAAGAAGAGGCTGGAACCCACAGGTAACTGACAGGGGAGCACTGGGAGCATGTTGGAGATGCCATCGAGTTACACCCTTGTCTGTCAGTGTCTGAGTATGGTGGGTGTGGGTGTATGGGTGTGAGTGGGTGTGAGTCTATGTATGTGTGAGTGTGAGTGTGTGTTTGAGTGAGTGTAAGAACATGAACCCCTCATGGGGGCCTCCTCCTTGGGGTGCCTATGCTCTCCCTCCTGACTCCTCTTCCTCACTGCACTTGCTTTTGCTCCACTCACTGTGGATTTCTCACCAGCCTCAAAACTGTGGGCGTCATTGTGTTTCTAGACCTTTCTCCTTAGATTTCCCTCCTCCTAGGATCACTTTTCCTTTCCTCTCCCTTGGTTTGTTTCTGGAAATCCATCAAAACCACCTCGAATGGCAGCCCCGAGACTCTCCTGTCCCGGCCCTAGGGCATCACCTCCTCTTCCGCCACAGCAGGAGGGTGGGCTGTGCTGTCACCTTGCTTCCCTCAGCAGCTGTGTGAGCTCCCTGAGGACAGGGAGCACCCCTTCTCCCTTCCTACCCCCAGGACCTGTCACAGCGGCTGCCCCACAGCAGGGGAGACAAATCCTCTGCCTTCCCGGATGACCTGGGGTAGCAGGAGCTAAGGAGCCATCTCCTCAGATTTGGAGCGTGGACAAGAGTTGTCACTTTTGTGTTTCCCTTTCAGCACCACCCACCATGGCCCCAGGCTTAGCTCAACCCAAAGCCATAGCCACCACCCTCAGTCCCTGGAGCTTCCTCATCATCCTCTGCTTCATCCTCCCTGGCATCTGAGAAGAGTCATTTAGAGTGACAGGTACTGTGGGCAAAACTGTGAGGGGAACGAGAGACAGATGGGTGAGGTGGGAGGAAGGGAAAGGAGAATTTCCAGAGTCCCACCTCTCCCCATGGCCGGGACCTTCTCGTTCTGACATGAGACAGGTGAATGAGACCTGGTGTCGCCTGTTTGCAATGACCTGGGCAGCTCAACCTTGAGTTCTGATGGATTCTCACCATCAGGGCCAGAGGGAAAGGGAGGGACCCATATCAAGGCTCAGGGCCGGTTGAGTTCAAGAGGGTTTAGACAGTTCAGGCCTATTTCACAGCAGGTTTCTATCTGGGAAGGGTAGTGGTGTGTGGCCTGCAGGCAGCAGGAACTCAGGCATGGGCAGTCTGCACAGTAGGAGAGGAGTAGCATGGCCACTTCACCAAGGATGTCAAGGGAAGGGGTGTCCCTGGAGGAGGCTAAGAAGAGAGAAACCTGGGGGAATCCCAGGACGAGGGGGCTGTGAGGGCCTTGGCCCACCCAGTTCCTAAGGCTGCATTCCCAGAGAGAGCACCTTGAGTCCCAGCAGTTAAGGTGGAAGGTGAAGAGTAGAGCGTGTCCAGGATGAGGTTTAGGAAATGGCCGAGCCCCTTGGACCCATGGGATTCCTGGCTAGGCCCTGGGACGATGCCACTGCCATTCTGCCTCGTGCACACTCCAGATCCTGAGCCAGCTGATGGCCCTGCCTGGAGCAGAGTGGACTCAGCTAGGGCAGCTGAGCTGCTGCTAGAGGTCCGTGGTCACCACTGAGCTTGGCCAGGAATGAATGGGGCAGGGCAGGGACAGTCCCATTCAGAGCTATGGGTGCAGCTCCCAGGGTGAGGAGAGGCTGAGAGCGAAGGAGAAAGAAGGTTTGCCTACAAACCCACCCAAGGCCAGGGAACATGGATCCAGAGACCTCTCTTTGGACAGGGCTCCCCCAGGTCCTCTAGACCCTTCTATGAAAGGGAGGAGCAGGCCCTGAGTGAGGGTGCAGACCCCTCATTACCAGCCTCAGGTCTGAGCCCCTATGGGCTGTAACAGGACCTGGGCTGCCTCTGTGGTGTGGTGAAGGAGGGTGGAGGTTGGGAAAGGCTGCACAGCCAGGGGTAGGGTTGGAGGGAAAAACATGTTCCTTATCTGGGGGAGAAGCTCTGAAATGGGGAGGGCCTGGGAAGGATCACCCAGGAGAACAGACCCAGGTTTTTCTCAGCCACTTAAACCAATGCTTCATCTTTCCTCAAGGTGGAAGGTGATATCAAGAAGCCTCTGTTAGCCTGGTCTGGTTCCTGCTCTCCCTTCAGGGAGGCCGCCTGTCTACTCACCACTGTGCCTTTCTGGAAAGCAGGAGTTCAAGCCTTAGCAAGCCCAGAGGCCCCCAGCAGATGATGAGGACATTGTCGGCTCAACATCTCAGGCCACTCATTACCTTCGCTCATGATCCCAGCAGCCATTTTTCTTTTTTTTTTTTTGTTTTTTTTTTTTTTTGAGACGGAGTCTCGCTCTGTCGCCCAGGCCGGACTGCGGACTGCAGTGGCGCAATCTCGGCTCACTGCAAGCTCCGCTTCCCGGGTTCACGCCATTCTCCTGCCTCAGCCTCCCGAGTAGCTGGGACTACAGGCACCCGCCACCGCGCCCGGCTAATTTTTTGTATTTTTAGTAGAGACAGGGTTTCACCTTGTTAGCCAGGATGGTCTCGATCTCCTGACCTCATGATCCACCTGCCTCGGCCTCCCAGAGTGCTGGGATTACAGGCGTGAGCCACCGCGCCCGGCCAGCCATTTTTCTTAACACCTTCTGCCACTTTCTCTCGGTGCTAATGGATGGAATTCCTGCACAAGTTTTAACTGAACAAGAAATCCCAGCAAAAGGCATTTTCTTTCTACTTCTTTGATTGTGGAAAAGCAGACATTTCTCTGAAGCATGACCTTATTCTTCGAAACGGTATTGCTAGTAAAATAGCATGCAGGACTTCAGACCTCAGGGATCCTTTCCATGCACTGACCAAGAATTGTATTAATCCTTTTTATCATTATAGTTTTTTTACATTTTCTCATTCTGTCAACCATATTGGAGTGAAGTGGCATAGTCATCACTCACTGTAATCTCCAACTCCTGGGCTCAAGTGATCCTCTAGACTCAGCCTCTAGAGTAGCTGGGACTACAGGCGCATGCCACCATGCCTGGCAAATTGTTTTATATTTAGGTAGAGATTGGGTCTTCCTATGTTGCGCAGGTAATAAAACTGTGAAAATCCTGGAATATAAGCTAAGAAATACCAATGTGGACATAGGGCCTGGCAAAGATTTCATGAAGAAGACACTAAAAACAATTGTAACAAAAACAAAAATTGACAAATGGGACCTCATTAAACTAAAGAGCTTCTGCACAGAAAAAGAAACTAGCAACACGGTAAACAGACAGCGTGTAGAATGGGGAAACTATTTGCAAACTCTGCATCTGACAAAGGTCCAATATCCAGAATCTACAAAGTACTTAAACAATTAGACAAGCAAGAAAAAAAAACCCAATTAAAAAATGTGCAAAGACATGAACAGACACTTTTCAAAAGAAGACATACAAGTGGCCAACAAACGTGAAAAAATGCTCAATATCACTAATCATCAGATAAGTGCAAATCAAAACTGCAATGAGTTACCATCTCTTACCAGTCACAAAGTTGGAGATGGTGGTGAGGCTGCAGAGGAAAAGAAACAGACACTGTTGGTGGGAAAGCAAACTTGTTCAGCCGCTATGGAAAGCAGTTTGGAGATTTCTCCAAGAACTTAAAATAGAACTACCATTCAAGCCTGCAATCCCACTACTCGGGATATATCCACAGGAAAAGAATTCATTTTATCCAAAAGACACCTGCACCAATATGTTCATTACAGTGCTATTCTTACTAGCAAGGACACAGAATCAACCTAAGTGCCCAGCAACACTGAATTGAATGAAAAAAATGTGGTACATAAACACCATGGAAATCTATGCAGCCACCAAACACAGCAAAATCATGTCCTTTTCAGCAACATGGATGGAACTAGAGGCTATTATCCTAAGCAACCTAATGCAAGAACAGAAAACTACATACTGCATGTTCCCATTGGAAAGTGGCAGCTACACATTGAATTCACATGAACCAGAGGCACTGGAGATTACTAGACAGGTGAGACAGGAGGGGCACCTGGGCTGAAAAACCACCTGTTGGGTACCATGCTTACTGTTTGAGTGATGAGATCATTGGGACACCAAGCCTCAGCCTTCCAAAATCTACCCATGTAACAAACCTGTATGTGTACCCTTTAATCTATAATAAAGGTTAAAATTAAAGATTCGTAAGTAAAATAAAATGACATAGAGCCCTCCAAAAAATGGGGTTAACTGAGTGGAACGAGAGAACTTTGCACTATGAACGCTAACCCAGATCAAAAACTAAACTCTAGTCATTTAAAATAATCGTAAGTTGTATATGATGATAATTGTATAAAAGTTATACGTGAAAGTGCCAAACCCTAAAATTAAACACTGCATAATGAAATTATACAAGATTTCCATTTCCATCTTGTTCTTTATACCCTTACTTTTTTTTTTTTTTTTTTTTTTTTTTGCCAGTTTCAAGTGACATTTTTTTTGTTTATCCTCAGGAAATCCTTGCTGTCAGCCTTCTCCTTCTACACCCACCCCCTCCTTTTCCACCGTCCACATCAGCTCTTCCTCTGGTCTGGGACTGTGGCATTCTTGGCACTGAAGGCACAAGAGCTGCATTCAGCCTCAGGAGAGAGGAGGACACAGGGCAGGTTGTGGAGGTGGTCTCACCATTGGAGGGGAACCTAACAGCTTAGGCCCTCTATCACAGATGGCTGTGTTTCTCCACCAGGTTAGCTACAACCAAGCCAACCTTGCCCCTTTCCTCATTGTTTTTTTTCTAATTCTTCCCAACTCGTACTTGAAAATTTATATTCTTCCTCCTAATATTTCTTCGTATTTCTTGTCTGCACAATATATCCTGATTTATTGTGCCCAGAAAACAGTGGACTCACCATGTCCGTGACAGCTGCAAGGACACAGTCTCCACTCACTGGAGGGGCATGCTGGGCTTGGAGCCCCTCAAAAGCCCCTGCCCCAGAGAACTCTATTTGACTAGTCTGGGACTCACTGGAAAAGCCCCATTCATTGGGTTTGTCATTATTTGACCAGCTGAGGTCTCTCTCTAGGGGAAAAGCCAGATCCTCAGACCACTGGCTAAAAGCAATCATTCCAACTGTACAACCTCACCGTTTGCATGTGGGACAAACAAGAGACTAGTGGGGGAAATTGAGAGAAAGATTTGGGGAATAAGATGTGCATAGGGGCCGGCACGTGCCCAGGAAGCACCTGAGAAGGCCACATCTCTGACCTTTGGCTGACCTGGAGGCTGTGTGCAGGCAGGAAGTGGAGCTGCAGTGGTGACATCAGCTGCCCGCCTGAGTGCGGCAGGGGCAGGAGTGCACCACACACACAAAGCCCTCCGCACTGAGGAGAGACTTACCGGCTCAAGGCATTGATGCAAACCTCTATCCAACCTCACCTAACTGAGCAGAGACTTCAGGGTCCACCTGTGACAGGGAATACAGATGTTATAAGATCCATCCAGGAAAGTCAGTAAACAAGCAGCAGCAACACACCTTGAAGAGAGGGGACATCTGATTCTCAGAGATGCCACGTTGTATTCTTGTAAATGTTCAGTTTCATCTCAAAAAACATAAGATGTGCAAAGAAGCAGGGAAGGATCCCCAGACACAAACAAGGAACCAGCCCTTGGAACTGTCCCCAAGGAAGCCCAGCCATTGGCCTTAGTGAGTTACTTAATGTCACTCCGAGGCGATGGCAGTCAAGGGGAGACTGTGTGGAGGAGGCTGTCCAGCTTCCTTATTTCCATGGAGGACTCAACAGATGTGGTGCTAGAGACTGAATGTCTGTGTCCCCCCAAACCTAATCCCCAATGTGTACTAGGAGGGGGAAGTTTGATAGGTCATTAGGTTTTGAGAGAAAAGCTTTCAAGAATGGGGTTGGAGGGCCAGGCATGGTGGGGTCGTACCTGTAATCCCAACATTTTGAGAGCCTGAGACCGGAAGATCACTTGAGGTCAGGAGTTCAAGACCAGCTTGGCCAACAAGGTGAAACCCTGTTTTTGCTAAAAATACAAAAATTAGCCATGGTGTGGTGGCAGGCACCTGTAATCCCAGCTACTCGGTAGGCCAAGGCAGGAGAATCACTTGAACCCAGGAGGTGGAGGTTGCAGTGAGGCAAGATCGCGCCATTGCACTCCAACCTGGGCAACAAGAGGGAAACTTTGTCAAGGAAGGAAAGGGAAGGGAATGGGAAAGGGAAAGGGAAACTGAAAGGGAAGGGAAGGGAGAAGGAAGGAAGGAAGTTAGGAAAAAAGGAAGGAAGGAAGGAAAAGGATATAAAAGGAAGGAAAAGAAAGAGAAAGAAAAGAAAAAAGAAAACATGGAAGTAAATCCTTGTGACGTCGGGTTTGGCTAAGGCTGCTTAAGTACTGTATGCCAAAGCACTAGTGACGAAAGAAAAATAGTTTAATTTGACTTATTCCAATGGTAAAACTTCTGTGCTTATAAAAGAATGCCGTTTAGAAAGTGAAAAGACAGCTTACAGCATGGAGAAAAAATGTGCAAATTATATATCTGGTAAGGGACTGGTATCCTGAATCTATAAAGCACTCTTACAACTCAATATTATAAAGATAAATAATGCAATATAAATATGTGGAAAGGATTTGAATGGACATTTCTCCAGAGAAGTATACATTGGTCACTAAGCCCATGAAAAGAGGCTCAATATTAACAGCCATGAGGGAAACGTAAATCACACCCACAAGGAGATGCCACCTCACACCGAGTAGGAAGGCTGTCATCATAATCACAGTGAGGACATGGAGAGACTGGATCCTTCACCCCTTCCAGGGGCAGCGCGAAGAGAGATGGAGTCGGGGTGGAGTGTGGGCGAGAGTGTGGTCTGCAGGGCTGTGATGGTGAATATTAGGTGTCCAGTGTGGATGGTCACCATACCATGGACTGCCAGCGGGGCTAGAGGAGAGCAGGCGGGAGAGGGTGAGGTGACTCTGCGGGTGGAGCTCTCTGGCTTCTCTTTGCGTTCCCTGAGAGTTCTTGCTTCCTTCCTCCTTGGACATCAGACTCCGGGTTCTTTGGCCTTCGGGCTCTGGGACTTGCACCAGCAGTTTCCGACTTTCGGGGTCTCTGGGACATTTGGCAGGGGCTGAAGGCTGCCCTGTGGGCTTTTCTGGTTTTGAGGCTTTCTGACTTGCACTGGCCTCTGCTGGCTTGTCTCCTCCCCAGCTTGCAGACGGTCTACCATTGGACTTTGCCTTGAAATCGTGTGCACCAATTTTCCCTAATAAATTCCCGTTCATATATATACCTATATCCCATTGGGGCCGTCCCTCTGGAGAACCCTGACTAACTGGGGGTGGGGGGTTGTCCCTGTGTCACCCTCTCCCCATTTTCGGGGCGGGGGTTTCTTCTGGTTCTCCTGCCACCTGCTTCTCCTTCCCTTTTTCCCATCCTCTCTCTGAACGTACTTTTCCACACGTTCTGGGCTCAGGACGTCCATCCTGGAAGGGGCCTCAGCCCAGCGGAAGAACCAGGGACCCTGTACTGCAGGCGACGGGGTGGGGAAGGGGACGACTACAAGCTCCTGGCCCGACCCGTGGACCCTAAGGACCAAGTGGATCACGGGCGCCACCCACCAGCACCCTCAAAGCAAGCAGGAGGGGGATCCGCGTGGGAGCCGCTCTGTTGGAGCCCGAAGGACCCCAGCTGGAAGGTGACGTCTCCGCAGGAGCCAGGTGTAAAGTCGTCCCAGCCCCCCGCGCCAGGCTGTGGGAGGAAACCAGCAGTCACCTCTGATTTCCCCTCATCTCAAGCCCCAAGAAAAAAACCTTATCCCTGCCACGATGGGCTAGTCCTCCCACGTCTTCCAAAGGCGTTTCTGCCCGCGGTGACCCGCCCGGGGCCAGTCCCTCCCGGTGGGACATCCGCGGCAGCCGGGCGCCCCCTGTGAGGCATCAGGCTAGTGGGGACCCCAGCCTAGTAGTTCATCTACCTGAAGAGATAAAAGATCTTTACAGGAGAACTACAAAACACTGCTTAAAAAAAAAAAAAAATCAGACACAACACAAATGAAGGGAAAAAAATATTTCATGCTCATGGGTTGGAAGAATCAATATAGCTAAAATGGCCATACTTCCCAAAACAATGTATAGATGCAAAGGTATCACTATCAAAATACCAATATTGTTTTTCACAGAATTAAAACAATCTATTCTAAAATTTATTTGGAACCAAAAGGAAAAAAAAAAGTTCAAGCTGTCAAAACAATCCTGAGCAAAAAGGACATGTGGAGCTCGCACGGTTCCAACCCTCAGCCTAAAGTCAAGCCCAGAATAGATCAGCCTAAGCCCAGCCAAACCAAAGGTCCGGGAGAGAAAAGCAAATGCTAACTGTCTGTGACATTGAACTTCAAAGGGGCCTGTCACGTTATGTGGGTCATCCCAGCAACAATGAAGATATTTCTGTATCAGTCAGTCAGTAAATAATTATTGACAATGTGCTAGAAAGGTGGAGTGATTTGAGTAGATTTGCTCCCTATTCTCATAGAGATTACTTTCTAGAGGGGAAGACAGATGATGGATGAATAAATATAAATTATTCTATTACGTTGGTGCAGCAGTAATCTCGGTTTTTGCCATTAAAAGTAATGGCAATAAAAAGCAGGGAGGAGCCGGTGCTGCAGTTCATTAAAAGTAATGGCAAAAACTGTGATGACTTTGCACCAACCTGATAGAATAATTACGAGTGTGCAAAACACTGCAATGGGAAAGTTCCAAGAGCTAGAATCGCATCTAGCTTCCTGGAGTCAGGAGACAGGGGTTGGCAACCTAACCAAGGTTAAGTCCAAGTGATGGGGGCAGGCAGGGAGTGATATTTCAGTGGAGACTCCAAAGATAAATGGTAATTAGAAAAGTGAACCCAGACGATGAGAGAGGGAAGTGTTTCAGGCAGAGAGAATAGCGTGTGCAAAGGCCTATGTGGGGAGGATGTCGTGTGTTCATCGACCTGAGGGGTGCTCTGCAGGCTGGAACTGAGCAGGTTGAGAGGAGGATGGGGAGCCGGGGAAAGGCACCCCACGCAGAGGGCACAGCAGAGGCAGAGGCCCGGAGTCGGGCCTGAGCCTGTGTGGTTTGAAGAACTGACAGAGGCCTTTCTGGCAGGAAAGAGAGCAGGGCCGTGCTGGGCACTGTGGGCTGTGGATGGGAGCTGGCATTTATGCTCGAGTGATGGGAACGTGTTAGAAGATTTTAAGGAGGGCAGTAATATTTGGGGATAATGCGTATTCTGGGAATCTCAACAAACTAAATTCATAGTTTGAATGTTCATAAGACTTCTGCACAGGCAGAGAGAAATAAGATCATTTCTACAGCTGTGACATAAGATCATATTAAAAAATATTACTAAGTTTTTAAAGGTCATTTCAAATGGTGGATTTCTATCTTATATTTGAACACAAGTAGATTGCAAGGTTGGGGAAAGCAGAAAAGTTTCCTGACTTGTGTGAACATAAAAGAAATATCAATCTGAAAGCAAAACATTTATTCATTTACTTCCTCTGCAGTTTTCTTGACTGCTGAATTTCATAAGAAGGGATTGTTCATGAGGGTCATGGAGCTGGGGACCTGGGGAGGAGCTGGTGTTCTCCTAGTTTGAGGGTCGTGGAGCTGAAGACTCAGGGAGGAGCTGGTGCTGCTGTTCTAGTTTGAGTATCATGGAACTGGAGCACCGGGAAAGAACCCACTCATGTATTAGGGTAATAGATCTGGAGATCCGGATGGAGCTGGTGCTGCTGTTCTAGTTTGAGGGTTGAGGAGCTGGAGACCCAGGGAGGAGCTGATGCTACTGCTGTTCAAATCTGAGGGTAATGGAGCTGGAGCCTTGGGGAAGAGTGTTGCTGCCTTTCAGGTCTGAGAGTCATTGAACTGGGGCTCCAGGGAGGAGCTTGTGCTCCCGTTGTAGTTTGAGGGTCATAGAGCTGGAGACCCAGGGAGGAGCTGGTGATGCTGTTTTAGTTTGAGGGTTGTGGAGCTGAAGATCTAGGGAGGAGCTGATGCTGCTGTTCAAGTCTGAGGGTCCTGGAGCTGGAGGCCTGGGGAGGAGCTGGTGCTGTTGTTCTAGTTTGAGGGACATGGAGCTGGAAACCTGGGGAGGAGCCGGTGTTGATCTTCTTTGAGGGTCATGGAGCTGGAGATCCGAGGAGGAGCCGGTGTTGTTCTAGTTTGAGGGTCGTGGAGCCGGAGACCCGGGGAGGAGCTGGTACTGTTGTTCTGGTTTGAGTGTCGTGAAGCTGGAGACCTGGGGAGGAGCCAGTTTCGTTCTAATTTGGGAGTCGTGGAGCTGGAGACCCGGGGAGCAGTCGCTGTTTTTTTAGTTTGAGGGTCGTGAAGCTGCAGACCTAGGGAGGAGCGCTGTTGTTCTAGTTTAAGGATCGTGGAGCTGGAAACTCAGGGAGGAGCCGGTGTTGTTCTAGTTTTCAGGTCGTGGACCTGGAGACCTGGGGATGAGTGGTATTGTTCTTGTTTTAAGGTCATGGAGCTAGAGACCCAAGGAGGAGCCATTGTTTTTTTAGTTTTAGGGTCATGGAGCTGGAGACCCAAGGAGGAGCTGGTGTTGTTCCAGTTATAGAGTCGTGGAGCTGAAGACTCGAGGAGGAGCTTGTGTTGTACTAATTCGAACGTTGTGGAGCTGGAGATCCTGGGAGGAGCTGTGTTGCCCTTGTTTGAGGGTTGTGGAGCTACAGACCCAGGGAGGAGAAGTGTTGTTCTAGTTTGAGGATCATAGAGCTGGAGAACCAGGGAGGACCTGGTGTTGTTCTAGTTTGAGGATTGTGGAGCTGGAGACCTGGGGAGGAGCTGGTGCTGTTGTAGTGTGAGGTGCATGGAGTGGAGACCCAGAAATGAGCATTATTGTTTTAGTTTGAGAGTCATGGAGCTGGAGACCCAAGGAGGAGCTGGTGTTGCTGTTTAAATTTTAGTGTTATGGAACTGGAGAACCGGGGACGAGTTGGTGCTGCTGTTCTAGTGTGAGGGTCATGGAGCTGGAGACCTGGTGAGGAGCTGGTGCTTCTGTTGTTTAATTCAAAGGGTGGTGGAGCTGTAGACCAAGGGAGGGGCCGGTGTTTTTCTAGTTTGAGGCTTGTGGAGCTGGAGACTCAGGGAGGAGCTGGTGCTTCTGTTCTAGTGTGAGGGTTGTGGAGGTGAGGACCCAGGGAGGAACTTTGTTGTTCTAGTTTGAGGGTTGTGGAGCTTGAGACCCAGGAGGAGCTGGTGCTGCTGTGGTTTCAGGTTGAGGGTCATGGAGCTGGAGACCTAGGGAGGAGCTGTGCTGTTGTTCAATTCTGGGGGTCGTGGAGCTGGAGGGCGGGGAGGAGCTAGTTCTGGTGTTCTAGTGTGAGGATCGTGGAGCTGTAGACCCAGGCAGGAGCCAGTGCTGCTGTGTAGTTTGAGGATCGTGGAGCTGGAGACCTAGGGAGGAGCTGGTGCTACCACCATTTAAGTCAGAGGGTCATGGATCTGGAGGTTTAGAGGAGGAGTCCATGCTGCTGTTCAACTGTGGGTAGGATCCAGTGCTTCAGTTGAAGTCTGAGGGTTTGGGAGCTGGAGATCCAGGAAGGAGCCGATGCTGTTCTATTTTAAGGGTCGTGGAGCTGGAGACCCTAGGGAGAGGCTGGTGCCGCTGTTGTAGTTTGAGGGTCATGGAGCTGGAGACCCGGGTAGGAGCCGGTGCTGCTGCTGTTCATGTTTGAGGGTTGTATAGCTGGAAACCCAGGGAGAAGCCAGTACTATCGCTTTTAAAGTTTGAAGGTCATGGAGTCTGAGACCTGGGGAGGAGCCAGTGCTGCTCTTCAAAGGGCTCCTCCTCGGGTCTCCATTTCCACGACCTTCACACTAGAACAGCAGCAGCAGTTCCTCCCCGGGTCTCCAGCTCCATGACCCTCACACTAGCAGCACCGGCTGCACCTTGGGTCTCCAGATCCACCACCCTCAAACTAGAACGGCAGCAGCAGCTCCTCCCCGAGTCTCCAGATCCACAAGCCTCAAACTAGAACAGCAGCACTGGCTCCTCCCTGGGTCTCCAGCTCTATGACCCTCAGACTTGAGGAGCTGGAGACTCAGGGAGGAGCCAGTGCTGCTATTCTACTTTGAGGGTTGTGGAGCTGGAGACCCAACGTGCAGCTGCAGCTGCTCTTCTAGTTTGAGGGTCTTGGAGCTGGAGCCTTTCTGAGGACCTGGTGCTGCCTTTCAAGTCTGAGAGTCGTTAAGCTGGAGATCCAGGGAGGAACCAGTGTTGCTGTTGTAGTCTGAGGGTTGTGGAGCTGGAGACCAAGGTAGGTGCTGATGCTGCTGCAATTCAAGTTTGAGGGTGGTGAAGCTAGAGACCCAAGGAGGAGTCAGTGCTGCTGTTCCTGTCTGAGGGTTGTGGAGCTGGAGACCCGGGGAGAGGCTCGTGCTGCTGTTCTAGTTTGAGGGTCATGGAGCTGGAGATCCGGGGAAGAGCTGTTGCTGCCGTTCAAATCTGTGGGTCCTGGAGCTGGAGCCCTGGGGAGGAGCCGGTGCTGCCATTCATGTCTTAGGGTCATGGAGCTGGAAACCCAGGGAGGAGGCGATGCTGCTGTTCTAGTTTAAGGATCGTGGAGCTGAAGACCCGGACAGGAGCTGGTGCTACCGCTGTTTAAATCTGAAGGAAGGTCGTGGAGCTGGAGCCTTGGGGAGGTACCGGTGCTGCCTCTCAAGTCTGAGAGTCATTGAGCTGGAGATCCAGGGAGGAGCCGGTGCTGCTGTCATAGTTTGAGGATCGTGGAGCTGGAGATGGGAGGAGCTGGTGCTGCAGTTCAAGTTTGATGGCTGTGGAGCTGGAGACCTAGGGAGGAGCTGGTGCTACCACTGTGTAAGTCTGAGGGTCGTGGAGCTGGTGGCCCTGGGGAGGAGCAAGTGCTACAGTTGAGGGTCTACAGTTTTGAGGGTCAGGGAGCTGGAGACCCAGGGAGTAGCTGGTGCTGCTGTTTTAGTTTGAGGGTCTTGAAGCTGGAGCCTTGGGGAGGAGCCAGTGCTGCCTCTCAAGTCTGAGAATCATTGAGCTGGAGGGAAGCTGGTGCTGCTGTTGTAGTTTGAGGATCGTGGAGCTGTAGACCCGGGGAGGAGCTGGTTCCGCAGTTGAAGTTTGAGGGTCGGGGAGCTGGGGAGCTGGAGATCTTGGGAGGAGCCAGTGCTTCTGTTTAAGTCTGAGGGTCATGGAGCTAAACATGGAGCCAAATTTGGGGAAGTAGAGAGAGAGAGTCACAGGACGCCACTTGAAACTGTAGATGTAGCTGTACCCCAAGCAAGTTAAGCTTGGGAACTTCTCAATTCTAGTGATTAATACATTCTTTTTCCTCTTACACAGTTTGGATTTGTTTTCTGTCTCATGAGACGGAAAGACAATGATTAATACCCTTAAGAACTGAAAAGCTTAAAAAAACTAATGATGTTGGTAATAATAATAATAATAATAATCGGAATTAAACCATCATTATCCTGACTGACAGAGACGAAATTACACACACACTATATATATATTTTCAATCAGTTAGTAAAATAAAAAATGAATTGAAAAATAGACCCAAGCAAAGCTATAAAATCTTCTTTCATGGAGACGCAATGGAGGACAGAGATTAATCTGAGAGCTGCTGTTAATGGAGAAACTGAGAATTTACCATTTTTCCTGTGAGGTTTTGGTGCAGAATGATATTCTGTGAGTTCTGGCAGCTGAGTCACTTTGCACAGCCTGGTGATGCAGTTGGTGTCACAGAAAGACCCTGTCCCAGCTGATCCTGCCTCTCTGCTATGATGAGTGCGGCCTCTGATGCCCGACAACTGACTGTGTCTTGAGAGGAGACCAGGCCCATGAGCACAAGGGTATCCATCCATGGTGAGGTTCCATGGATGGAACACCATGGATGTTCCTGATGTTCCTTCCTGATGTGTATCTGCCATCTTGCTATTTAATGGATCTTTTTTATAATTGCCTTCTAAACATTGAACAGAAGAAAGTATTTATACAATATGGGTAGAATATCGACACGTTGGACACACAGGACCTCCACCAAGTTTAGGAAATAGAATCTGAAGAGACTTAACTTTGGATGCTCCCTGGAGGCCCCTCCTGAATCCCAGTCCCTTCCCTTGTACAGAGGGAGTCACTTTCTGCTTTAGTCTTTATTATTCCCATGCTTTTCTTCTTAGTACATTTCTTTCACCATGTATGTGTACATCCCTAAACAATATGCCATTTAGTTTTTGAACTTTCTGTTGTCTTTTTGAGACAGGGTCTTGCTCTGTTGCCTCAGCTGCAGTTTTTGAACTTTGATGTGAAGGAATTCTTTTGTGTGGCTGCAATGAGTCTGAGCATTTGCTTGATGTCTATTTTTGTCCTCCATTCTCTTCCTGAGACCCATCCACATTGACGTGATTCATTTTCATTGCTGCGTGATCTTGATCTCCCGTGGTATGAGGGGAACATGGGAAATGTCTTCATTTTCCTGTTGATGAGTGTTTGGCCAGGTTGGGGCCCTTAGGGCTGTGTTGCTAGAACGTTCTTGAGCATTTCTTTTGTACAGAAGTGCAAGTTTCTTCTGGTCTGTAGCTTTCAATTTTTAAAACTTCATCCCTGGTAAGACATGTAATTTTTCTCATAACCCACAACACACATCCTTTCATATACAAGTATACTAAAAAAAAAAAAACAAATTTACAACCATTCTTAGAAGGGGCTGAGTGTTCTTGTTGCTCTCCATTCTCCCCAACCCTTGCATTTATTGGGTTGTGGGGGTTTTGCCAGTCTAGTGGGTGTCATGTGATACCTCATCCTGTTAGGCTGAAACCCTCTTCATGTTTTTATTGGCCATTCCTTCACATTTCCTCTTCTGTGAAGGGCTGGTTCAACTCTTTTGCCCATTTTCCCTTTAGTTGTCTGAATTTTTGCCTTTTTCTTTTGTTATTATTATTTGAGATGGAGTCTCACTCTGTTGCTCAGGCTGGAGTGCAATGGCACGATCTTGGCTCACTGCCACCTCCGCCTTCCTGGTTCAAGTGATTCTCCTGCCTCAGCCTCCAGATTAGCTGGAATTACGGGTTGCATGTCAAACTCTCCCTTCTGGCTGGCAGCCTGTGCATCACTCACTCTTCATTTCTAGACCACCAGGAATTCGAATTCAAGCCTTAGCAAATCCAGAGGCCTCCAGCAGATCAGGATGACCCCATAGACTCAGCATCTCAGGAGCCTTAATCCCTTTGGCAATAATCCTATTGCTGGAATTTCTTAAAATGCTTTGCCATTTTCTCTTGTGCTACCTGATGGAAGAATTCCTGCCCTTAAAGTTTTAACTTATTGAAGAAGAAATCTCAACCAAAAGAACATTTTCTGTCATCTTCTTTGGTTGTGGAAAAACAGATGCTTCTCTAAACCATGATTTTGTTCTTCTAAAGCATTGCCACTGAAATACCATGGCCGACTTCAGAACACCAGGGATTCTTTTCATGTCGTGAATCAGAATTTTCTAATTTGTTCATAAGAAAATATATAGGCATGATTCTTTCCTTTGGTAATTTATCTGCTACTGATATTTAATTAAAAATATCTATTTTCTTTCTTTTTTTTTTTTTTTTTGAGAGGCGGAGTCTCACTCTGTGGCCCAGGCTGGAATGCAGTGGCGCGCGATCTCAGCTCACTGCAAGCTCCGCCTCCTGTGTTCCTGCCATTCTCCTGCCTCAGCCTCCCGAGTAGCTGGGACTACAGGCGCCCACCACCACGCCTGGCTAATTTTTTTGTATTTTTAGTCGAGACGGGGTTTCACCATGTTAGCCAGGATGGTCTCGATCTCCTTGAACCGGTGGTCCGCCTGCCTCTGCCTCCCAAAGTGCTGGGATTACAGGCGTGAGCCACCGCGCCTGGCCAAAAATCTCTATTTTCTAAAATATTTATTGACTTCTGAATTTTGTGTTATAATCCAGTAGAGAATTAATGGGATTTCATTCTTTCTTCATGTGATTGAGTAATAAGCTAGGGATTCCGCTAGACTCTTTGGGAAGAAGGTAACTAAACAACACTTCTAAATTACAGGACCTCTGACTGTCAGTCTTGAACATTGTCCTAATACTTGACAGACACCAATGTTCCTATTCTTAAAAGACGTGACTGGCTGGGCACGGTGGCTCACGCCTGTAATCCTAGCACTTTGGGAGGCCAAGGTGGGTGGATCACCTGAGGTTGGGAGTTCACTACCAGCCTGACCAACGTGGAGAAACCCCGTCTACTAAAAATACAAAATTAGCTGGGCCTGGTGGTGGGCGCCTGTAGTCCCAGCTACTTGGGAGGCTGAGGCAGGAGACTCGTTTGAACCCTGGAGTTGGAGGTTGCAGTGAGCCGAGATCACGCCATTGCACTCCCACCTGGGCAACAAGAGCAAAACACTGTATCAAAACAAACAAACAAACAAACAAACAAACAAAAACAGGCTGGGCGCGGTGGCTCACGCCTGTAATCCCAGCACTTTGGGAGGCCAAGGCGGGCGGATCACAAGGTCAGGAGATCGAGACTATCCTGGCTAACACTGTGAAACCCCGTCTCTACTAAAAACACAGCAAAAAAATTAGCCGGGTGTGGGGGCGGGCGCCTGTAGTCCCAGCTACCCGGGAGGCTGAGGCAGGAGAATGGTGTGAACCTGGGAGGCAGAGCTTGCAGTGAGCCAAGATCACACCACTGCACTCTAGCCTGGGCAACAGAGCAAGACTCTGTCTCAAAACAAAACAAACAAACAAACAAACAAAAAAACCTTTTTCTGGTTTGGCCCCAGTACACTACACCCTGGGCGGTGACGTTCCTTGTCATCCCTCAGCCCTGACCACAACTAATTCTATTAGAAGTAATCTCCACATCAGATTAATCTCTATTTTTAAGAGTTATTTTATTCCTCTGTGGACAAAAGATCAGATTTGGAATGTATAAAAAACTCCTTCAAATAAATAAGAATACATCTAATTCTCCTATGATTGGGCAAATGCCACGAGCAGTTCAGAGATTCCGAAGAAGCCCATGAAAGATTTGACATGTCCCACATAATCAAGATAACACACATGAAAGGACAATGCAATGCCCTCTCACACCCATTCTACTGACAGATGTTTAAATCTGTCTACACCAGGTGGTGGGCAGGAAGTGGAACATCAGAGACTTCTTCCATTGTGGGTAAGAGTCTATATTGAATCGTTCCTTTGACACAGACTCAGGTGATATCCAGGACAGTGGACACTGTGCTCATCCCACTACCCAGCAATCCGAGTCAGTTTCAGGCTCCAAGCATGTTCCAGAAAGCATGGAGATATTTGGTTGTTTACTTTGCTGTTGTTTTCATATTAAAAAGTTAGCAATAAAACATTCCACTAAAGTACAGCATGTTTTCTCATGTTGGTGTTAGATTTCTGTTTCTATGTCAGACTAGAACATCTGAACTAGCAAAAGATTAAGCAACCAAAACGCTGGATAAAAAGATGTTAAATCTTTCAAATATATTAATGAGGACCTCTGAGTGACACACAGGAAGAAGTACCACATCAATCCAAATCTCTCCTCATATTTCCAGAAATACAGAGGTCAAGTAATGGGGCAAATAAAACACCCTGATCTGTATTTTCAGTAAAATAAGTAGATAAAAAATGCCTAAATCCATCAGATCCTTGTTTGTAAAACAGATAATCAAAACAACTGGTGAACTTTGAGTGGTGTCTGAGCATGAGATGGATGTAACGTATGGATGTGAAATCTGTTTTGGTGATTGTATTGTGCTTATTAGGAGAGTGTCATGGTTGTTAGGAAGAACACTAAAGTATGGGGCATGAGGTGGCATCATTAAAGATGAGGCATCAGCGTGGCAGCTCGCTCTCAAGTAGTGCAGGCAGAGAAGTCCTCTGGATTCTGCCTGCAAATACTTTGCAATTCTTGCTTGTTTCAAATTTTGTTGTTGTTGTTGTTGTTGTTTACTAGTTGAAAATAGGAACTTAAGAAAAATGTACTTTTCAGAAACTGATGTAAAGATATAAATCCCTCAATAAATCCACTATGGTTTCTTCTCCTCCTCCGAAGCCAGGGCCTCCAGGTGTTTCCCTCTCACCCTCTGTTCTCTGCTTAAGGCAGCTTCTCCTCCCTTCTCCTCTCCTGCAGGCAACTCCTAGGTCCTTCTAGAGCCTGAAGCAGCTCAGCCTAAAACAGGAGCTGGGGTCATTCAGGTTCACAGGCCTTGACCCTCACTTGAATGCAGGAGCTGGCAGGAGGTGAGTCAGAGAAAAGGCTCAGCAGCTATTCTGAGATTAGATCAGCTGTCTTAGCTGCCTAGGTGTGTGCATGTGTGTGCATTGTATGTGTGTATGTGTGTCTGTGTCTGTTTATGTGTGCATGTGTGTTTCCATGGATTTTCTGGCTGGAACTCATGACTATAATAGGAATTTCCCACATATCCGCCCTGTCCCTTCTCACCTCCTGACATCTCTTCTTTTCTGATCCTCTATAGTCAAACCCTCCTGGCCTACTCCTGGTCCTATCTAGTTGCCTTCAGGCTTTCTGTTCTGGTGCATCTTCTAGAGGGTATCATATTTCCCACCAGCTCAGAGCCAGTCATGCTTTAAAAGTTGGGCACAAATGTCATCTCCCGTTAGGTTAGCCATACCTTCTTATACTAGGATTCTCCAGAGAAACAGAAGCAAGTGTGTGTGTGTGTGTGTGTGTGTGTGTGTGTGTGTGTGTGTGTGTGTGTGTAGCAGGCTAGAGAGAGAGAGAGAGATTATTAGAAATTGCCTATCGCCAATATGTGACTGGCAAGCCCACAATCTGCAGTGTGGGCCACCCGGCTGGAGACCCAGGAATGCTGATGGGGCAGGTGCAGTCTGCGGAGAATTTTTCTTTTTTGGAGAGGCCAATCTTTTAGATGTTTTCAAGACTTCCACTAATTAGATTCAAGCCCACCTCTGTTACAGGGGTAATCTGCTTTACTCAGCGTTCACCAATTTAAATGTCAATCTCATCCAAATCACCTTCCAGGTTGACATATCACATCACACCTCCCCAGGCTAAATTATTCCCCCCTCCTGTGTCCTGAACCCACGGTGAGAGGATTTCGCTGTGTGAGATCAGATTGAATGAAGAAAATGTGGCCCACATACACCATGAAAATCTATGCAGCCGTGAAAGACAACAAAATGAAGTTCTTTCCAGCTACATGGATGGACCTGGAGGCCATTATCATAAGCAACCTAACACAGGAGTAGAAGACCACATGCTGCAGGTTCCCATTTACAGATAGGAGCTAAACATTGAATACACATGAATGTAAAGATGGAGACACTGGAGATCACTAGACAGGGGAGCGGGGAGGGGAACATGGGCTGAAGAACCACCTGTTGGGTACCATGCTTACTGGCTGAGTGATGGGATCACTAGGACCCCAAGCCTCAGCCTCCCACAATTGACCCATATAACAAACCTGCATGTGTACCCCTTACAATAAGAATTGAAATAAAAAATGAATAAATAATTAAAATGACATGAGGCCAAAAAAAAATAATTAAGTGGTAGGAGCAAGAGAGAGCTCTGCACTATGAACTCTATCCCTGCTCTAAAAATATACACTCTAGTCATTTAAAATAATTCTAAGGTGTATGATCATAATTTTATAAAAATTACATATGATTACACCAAAACCCTAACATTAAACACCGCATGATAGAATTTCAGATGATTTCCACCTTGTTCTTTATACCCTTCTTTTTTGTCATATTTTCCAGTGATATTTTTTGTTTATTCTCCACAAGTCATTGCTTCCAGGTGTCCCCTTCTGCACCCACTCCCTCCTTTTCTACTGTCCACCTCAGCCCTTCCTCTGGCCTGGGACTGTGGCTTCCTTGGCACCGAAGGCACAAGAGCTGCATTCAGCATCAGGAGAGAAGAGGATGCAGAGAAGGTTGTGGAGATGGTCTCGACAAAGCAGAGAAACCTAACAGCGCCCAGTCTCTATTGCAGATAGCTGCGTTTCTCCACCATGTTAGCTGCAACCAAGCCAAACTTGTCCCTTTCCTGATTGGTTTTTCTCTCACTCTTCCCAACTCCCACTTGAAAATTCACATTCTTCCACCTACTATTTATTTCTACTTCTTGTCTTCACAATATATTCTGATTTACTGTGCCCAGAAAACACTGGTCCCACCATGTCTTAAGTTACCATCTAAAGTGTAGTGAATGAATGAACAAGAAAGAAGCCCCTGCCCCAATCACTGCCTCTGATTTATTCACTCACAGGATTAGTATAGCCTCAGCACCAACAATGGGCTGTGCTGCGGATGCTTCCCTGAGGAAAACAGACAAAATCCCTGCTCCAGTGGGGACAGCAGGTGAACGTAATGAGCAGGTGCATTGCATCGGGCATAGGAAGGTGACAGATGATTCGGGGGCGGGGAACAAGGTTGTGGGGAGGAAGAGTGGGAGGGGAGCCCCCAGGTCCTCAGTAGCCTGAACAGGAAGTTCTCCCAAGAAGGTGACCTGTGAGTCCTGGCTTCAAGGAGGTGAGCATTCCCTCAGGAGGCAGAGCCGGCGAAATGGCCTGGAGTGGTCCAGGGAAAATCCAGAAGGTGCCTCCGTAAGATTTTCAAGACAACCTTAAAACAAAGGCTGGGTGCGGTGGCTCACAGCTGTAAATCCCAGCACTTTGGGAGGCCAAGGTCAGTGGATCACGAGGTCAGGATATCAAGACCATCCTGGCCAACATGGTGAAACCCTGTCTTTACTAAAAGTACAAAACTTAGCTGGGCATGGTGAGGTGTTCCTGTAGTCACAGACACTCAGGAGGCTGAGGCAGGAAAATCACTTGAATCCAGGAGATAGAGGTTGCAGTAGGCCGAGATCACGCCACTGCACTCTGGCCTGGGGACAGAGCGAGACTCTGTCTCAAAAAAACAAAACAAAAGAAAACAAAAAACAAAACAAACAAAAAAGAAATACCGGAGAATGTATTTTGTAAGTAATTAGGACCAAACAATCAATATTTATCACCGAGCAATTTAATCATGATTTAAGAAAATATTTCACATGAATTGAAAAAGTAGTATGTTTATTTCGTGTTTTTTTTTTTTTTGAGCTGAAAGGGCCAGGTGTCATTAATTAACAGCAGTTTATACACATTTGTTTCCTTCCCACGGTTGTTTCCTTCCCAGGGCAGGCCCAGAGCCCTTGAGAAGCGCAGTCTCTGAATGAGGGAGGCAGGAACGCAGATTGGACACATCCTTGGCGGCACATCCAGCCCCAACAGTATACAATCCTTCAAGTTGGAATTCCGTTGGGTATTTGAGAGGGAGCAAGGTTGGGGGTAGAGAGGGAGTCTTCGACAGGACTCACATCTCAGTCCAGGCCTCCTCACTATCCAAGTCCATACAAGTTTTAGGACCCTGAGGGGCAACAATCAGGCCTACCCACCTCAACAGGGGCAAATTCTTCCATCTGTGCCCAGTTCACACACACCCGCTTCCACTGGTCGCACAGTTCAGGAGAATCACCCTTATGGTAAGACACAGACCACGTCCTCACTGCCCCTCCCCGGCACCTCTCTTCAGCGGCACCTGTGCAGGAACTGCTGGGAAGATTGAGACCTGCCTTCTAAGTTCAGCCACATGTGCCCTCATCCGCAAATCTTTCATCAGTGACAGGATGGAGGCCACACGTGGACCCAGGTGGACACCTGTGCTCCCCAATCCATCACACGCTGCCCTGCCTGCGTGCTGCCAGCGGCTGGTTCCCAAGCCAAAGCTCCAGCAGACCCCGAATTGGGACCTAAAGCCAGTTTGCATAGGCACTTGGCAATTTTTGGTAGGGAGGTGGATAAAAAAGTAGATGGGTGTGAGAAGAATGAAAGAGTTTCATTTGATAGACTGATTAGAGATCTGAAGTGATTTTACTTTTCTTTCCTTCACTTTAAGCAAATCATGAAATTTCACAGTCATTTCTGGGGAGGGGGCAGAAGGAAGGCGGTGTTAAGAATCATCGGGTCTGTGGGCCGTCGGTCCATGGAGGTGAAGGCAGGGTGGGCCCTCACTGGGGCAGCTGGAGGAGCACGGACCGCCCCGCCGGCAGGTAGGTGATGTTCCGAGAGCCTGAGAGCTGGTGCGCGATGTCCTCTGCAGCTTCCAGCTTGCTCAGCTCCATCAAGCTGTCCCCTGAGGTGGCCAGTTCGTTGGCAATCAGCTCAGCTTCCTTGGAGTCGCCCTCAGTAGAGATGATGGCCACCTTTTTCTGCTGCTCAGCCTTTTCCACAATTCTGGCCCTCTCTGCTTCCTGCTGAGCCACCTGTTTGGCTTCCACCGCTTCTGTGAACAACTTCTTGAAGGCCAGATGTGTCCAGGACACGTTGTCCAGGATGAGCCCAAAGATGGCTGCTTGCTCTGTAAGGTCGTCACTCACCTGCCTGGAAACCAGCTCTCTCTGGGTGATTAGTTCTCCAGCATCAAAACGAGCCACCACTGACTTGAGGATCTCAGTCATGATGGACGTCAGCACACGCTCATCATAGTCCTCTCCGGTGATGGCGAAGATGCGAGGAAGCTGGCTAGAGACGGGCCGGAAGAGGATGCACAGTGTGATGTTGACATTCTGTAAATATTTGCTACCAGTGATGACTGGCACAGTATGTGGTCGAGAACGGCAGTCAAAGATCATTGATTTCTGTACCCATGGGATGAGAAAGTGAGTCCTTTCCCTACCACAATGTCTGGTAATCCACAGAATCATTCAAAGATGACAGCTCTGTGCCCAGCATCCTTATTATATAAGCCTGACTTCACCATGCCTCCTGCAACAGCTAAGGCCAGGCCAAACTTGCCGATGGACTCAAACACTTTGGCAGCCATGTTTTCTTCTGCTGGATCCTCTCACACCTGTTTCCACTCTGACCTCCACAAGAATTCCCCCTATTTCATTCTTAAATAGACACATGTGTTTATTAATGGACATGTGTACCTGCTGGGCACTGAGCAACTTCTCAAACCTTGCAAGCAGATTGGACACAGCCATCCTTATTTCCTATTTCATACCGATTTTTGCAGAGGTTCTTGGTTTTTTATCACAACAACTGTTGAAATCACAGATTTTAAAAATACTATGTCATCTAAAGCAATGTTGCATAGTCTAATGTTGAAATTATAAAAAATCTTGGACTAGTACTTTCTAGTGTGGTCCAGCACACTATTTCAATAGGCCCAGAGGGTTTGCTCAAGGTGCGTTTGTGCCCTGAGCTCCTTGGCACACAGCTTGGGATCCACAGCCAAGGGCTACAGAGAAGACAAAACAGACGTTGACATCATGGTGGATGAGGGGTCCATAAAGAGTTCCTTTTTAGGGGTTGGGGCAGTTCCTCCCACCCTGCAGATAAAGATGCTCTGAGAGTAAAGAGCAGAGGGGTGCTCTCTGGTGGCCCAGCAGTTCTGCCCCACGGGAGAGGTTTCTCGTCTGCTGCAACGTAAACCAATAGGACTCTGCTTCATCCCAGAACCAAGGGGACCAGGAATGAAGGTCAGAGTGAGGAGCTGTCTGAGTGTTTCAGATCACACAGTGACATCCTGATTGACGACTTCAGAAATCCTTCATGAGCGAGGAGGCAGCCCCTGAGGTGACAGGTGAGTGGGCAGGATGGGCCAGACATGACAACTCTTGAGATGACACCCAGTTTCTTCTGTGTGTTTATGTGTCTTTGTGTGTGCACGTGCATTTGTGTCTGTGTCTCTATTTCAGTATACATTTGTGTATGTGTGTGTTTTTGTGTGAGTGTATGTGTATGTGTGGTGTGAGTGTGTGAGAGACTGTGCGTGCATATCTCTGTGTGTGTTTGCGTGTGTGTGTGTTAACATACATGTATGAATGGTGAATTGATTTCCTGGTTGATTTGCTGTGGATGGAGACAGGGACTCCAGGGGGGTTCCTGCCCACCCCTCCTTCCCTATCTTCCCTCCTGACATTCCCTCCTCCCTGTGGAAAGAGTCTACCCCAGTAACTGAGGTTTCATTACTACAGACTTCTCACAGATTCCCAACGTTCTATGATATTTGTACCCCCAGGCCACCTCCTCATCCTTGTCCCTCTGCCAGGTGCCCTGTTTTCTCTTCCCACCTGGCTATGCTGTATTCTTCCCATTCCCAAAAGAAGAGTCTGAAATGCCACCTCCCGAGAAGCCTCCATGCAACTCCCCAGGCAGAATGAGTCACCCCCTCTTCTGTACTCTGATAGCCCCAACCACCTCGAGGACATCACATCAGCAGGAGCAGCCACGTGGGTATTTGTTTCTGTCCCTGGATTCTAAGTTCCTGAAGGACTGGACACATCCATCACCCACATGTAAACCCAGCACCTAGCACAGTGGCTACCATACAATAGGGTTTAAGACACATGGGAGGAATCCAATCATCAGACTACCCCAGGGCTGCTAGAACTCAGAAAGGGATCCCCATCATTTGGGGGATTGGACGAAGGTCTTCATTTCTGTTCTTTCCAGCACCAACCTCCATGGCTCCACTCATCCCTACTCCTTCCTCCTGTTAAGATTGGCCAGTCAGGAGAGGTGTAGAGGCAGGAGCAGCTACACCTGGTCTCCTCCACCACCCACAGTGGGGTGCACCCTTGATGGGACCTGGTGAGCATGACAGCCCCTGAGCCATGGGGACCTGGAGCCTCTGCAGCCCCACAGAGACCAGGAGGAGCTGTTCAGCCACTTGCAGAGACAGCCAGAGAGTGCTTCAAGGACTGCATGGAGCTCTGCAGAAGCAGGGCGTTCAGGGCCCTCTTTTGAGGGGCATGAGATATTTAGGCAGGATCATGTCTACAAAAGAGGCTGTCACTTTGGCTTATCAATACTTTCACCTCCTTACCCCTTCCAGATCAGAGTGGGCGCTTTACTTGTTTTTATGGATTATTGTGTCAACCAAAATGAGAGGTTAGAATCAACCTAAAAATTTGAAACTTCTTCAAGATTTGACGAATGCACAACATTTTAATACCACTTCTATCTTTAGGAAGCTGTGGCTAAAGAAAACATTATATTATATAGCATTCCCCAAATTACTTATACAGAATTTTAAAAATCTACATAATGTCATACAACCATGTGAAAAGTAAAAACTAAAAAGCAATAACTTTTGGGGCCAGGAGTGGTGGTTCATGTCTGTAATCCCAGAACTTTGGGAAGCCAATGCCGAGGATTGCTTGGGGCTAGGAGTTGGAGATGAGCCGTGGCAACGTGGTGAGACCCTGTCTCTACAGAAAATTTTAAAACAGACCAAGTATAGTAGCATGTCACTGTAGTCCCAGCTCCTCAGGAGGCTAAGGTGGAAGGATCACTTGAGCCTGGGAGTTTGAGGTAGCAGTGAGTCATGGTGGTGCCACTGCACTCCAGACTGGGTGACAGAGTGAGAGCCTGTCTCAAAGAAAACAACAACAACAGCAACAATAACAGCAGAAATAACAAAAAAAAAATTTAAACTCCAATAAGCTAAATTGACAGAAGACTTGTGGGACCCAAATGACCAAATCATGCAATTTCTTACTTTTGATGTATTCAGGGGTATGCTGAGTGTTACTATTCTCAGAAGGTTACATCTCATGAAATATAATTTCCTCTGGCAAATCCACTCCTTAGTCCAGGTCCTCTGAGAAGCAGACGCCTACACAGGATTCATAAGGGGACTTCATTGGTGGAAACCCTGGGAGAACCGTTCAGCAGGAGGCAGTTCTGACACCAAGTGCAGGAGGAGGGACAGGAGGTGGGACAGGTGCATCCTACACTGCAGTGAATGGTGCTGGGACAACTGGATGCCACATGCAGAAGAATGAGGCTGACCCCTTCCTTACAGCACACACAAAAACTAGCTCTAGATGAATGGCAGGTGTTCACCTAAGACATGAAACTATGACAGTCTCAGAAGAAAGTAGAGCAGTAAATTTTTGTGACCCCGGATTTGGCTAATGCTTCTTAAGTACTGTATGCCAGTAGTGCAAATGGCAAAATAAAAGGTAGCTTAATTTCATTTCATGCTAATGTAAAACCTCTGTACTTCAAAAAGACTTCCATTTAGAAGGTTAAAACACTTTAAAAATTTAGAAAATGTTTGAAAATCCTATATCTGGTAAGGGGCTGCTATGCTGAATACATAAAGAACTCTTGCAACTCAACATTATAAAGCAAAATAACCCAATTTAAATATATGCAAAGGATTTGAATAGATATTTCTCCAAAGTGAGACACAAAGTGGTCACAAAAGAATAGAAAATTTTAGGCAGCAGTTTCAGGTGACTAGCAAAAGGAATTTGTTGAAATATCTGTTAGGCTCTGGGCTGATAAAACCCTAAAAGACAGGATGTGGACCAAGCTGGCTAGGAAAGAGTGGACCAAACATGGCCCTGGATTTGACCTAGGTTTCACCTAGGACCTCATTATATGCTCATTAACATACTAAACACACACCCACCAGTGTCCTGGCAATTCTGAGAATACCCATATTGGGTGTAAAAATGGGTGGCACCACAGTTCTGAGAAATCTCCACCTTCTTCCAGGAATTTTGATGAATATTCCACCCCTTGGTTGAAGAAACGCTGAAAGTTGGCAGCCCCAAACCCCCTTGCCCCTGCCTCTCTCTTGAGTTCCCCTGCACTCCCTTTACTTGAGTGTGTACTTTTCCTTTTACAATAAATCTCCATCCTTTCTCTATTTTCCTACTCGTCCTTGAATTCATTTCCTCATGCGGTGTCAAGAGCCCCACACCGGCTAGAGTCGGGGTCCCATCAGCGTTTGGGGACCTCCCCTTGCCCACTGGCATCAGAAGAAGAATGCAAATTGCAGTGAGCCCAGGAAAAGGTGTTTGGTGTTCACAGCCCTCAGGGAAATGCCAATCGCACCCACAAGAGGCATCCCGCTGAAATGGCTGATCCCAAACACAGTGAGGGTGGAGGGGGTGGGGCCTGCGTTCCTTACAGGGCAGAGAGCAGGAGACGGAGAGTCGGTGGAGTGTGGGGGCTGTGCGCGTGTCCCCCTCTCCCCACTTTCGTGGTGGGGGTTGCTCATTGTTCTCCGGCCTTACCTGCTTCCTTCCTCTCCCTTTCTCCCGCCCTCTCTCCGATCCTTCTTTTCCACCCATCCCAAGGTTTTCTCCGCCTCACGACGTCCATGCTCCGGGCCCCCAGCCCAGTGGAGAAACCAGGAGCCCTGGACCGCGAGCGGCGGGGTCGGGGAGGCGACAACGGGAAGCCCCTGCCGGACCCTGGACACTCAGGACCTAGTGCGGCCCGGGCGCCCTCCCGCAGCATCCCCAGGGCAAGGAGGATGGGGGTCCTCGCGGAGGCCACACTGCCGGAGCCCCACGGATCCAAGCGGGACGGTGAGGTCTCCACACTGAGCCGGTGGCAAAGTTTCCGCGAGGATGAAGTAGGAACCCCGTGCTCCTCACCCCACCGACCCCCGCATTTCCTGGCTCCTTCCCTTGCCGCTACCGGCGAGTCCTCCCAGGTCTTCCAAAGGCCGTTTTGTCCGGACGCTGTGGACTCGGAGGCCCGGGAGCATCGGCCGCAAGCGGGGCACCAACTCCGCGGTCTCCACTGGGCAGGACCCGGGTCCAGAGCTCGGGGACAGCGGGCGCCCTGGGAGGAGCGCGCAGAACTCGGAGAGGACGCGGCGGGGTAGAAACAGAAACCCCCAGGAGAGAACTTTCCCCGAAAGTCATCTGTGGTTGAAATCAGCAATCACCTGTAATGTCCCCCCTATGACAACACCGTTGGGTAAATTTCTAGAACCAGTGCCTCATCACTGCAGCAGCCTCGTGCGACTCTGCCCAGATTGCCCGTCCCCGGACTCTCGTAGCCCACAACAGATCAGGCGAGCTCAACTGGTGACCGTCGCCGGGGCTCCCGGCCCCACCCTTCCTTACTACTTCACCTCCATATATTCACGTGTATCAGGATCGAAACCATGAAAAGTCATGTGTGAAAGGCTCCCCCGCCCCTGCCTGCGTCCACTCTCATTGGCCACACAGACGAAACTTTATTGGATTCTTTTCATCTTTCCAGGGAATCTTTACTCCATTTCAAATGCATATGAATACATATTCTTCATTCAGACTTGGATATTTTTGACTCTTGATGAACCCTGTCACCTTGTCCCTCAGGAAGCCTGTACCAGTTTCCCCTCCCTCTGCAGTGGATGTTTCACCATCCTCTGCCCAAGCTGGGTCATCACAATCACAGACAAGAGTGTTACCAGCATTGCCATCCCGTGACATGAGACACTTTAAAGGTGCATTACTTTGCACAGCAATTCTGTGTCTGGAAATCTATTCTACACAATTGAATTGAGATTCATTCAAGCACACTTTCTGCAGCATTTGGTTTCTGTAAAAATAACTGACTGGAGACCATCTAGATCTTCAGACATAGACACTGGTTACATGTTGTGATGCAGTCATTCTATACAATGTCGTGCAGAGAAAAAAAGGAAAAGAATCTGTATGTGTGGGTCTTGGAACATCTTCAGAGTGTTTTATTTTGAGATAGAATCTGCATGCAGCAGAGTGCCTATGGGCTTATATTTAAAAACCAGCATTGATATGTATACACATCTCTATTGTTAGTAAGGAAAACAGTGTTTCCACAACTTATTGCTAATCTGTTTATCCATTTTAGGAAAAATCAATATAGTTGAAAAGCCATGGTGGCAGGAATTGGTCATCACCGATCCAGATTCTACACTGCCCTACAGATGATCCCAACTGAGGTTGCCAGAGGAACAGGATGTGGAATGCAGTCACGTTTCAGAGAGGAACGTAAAGTCAATCTGGACCAGGAGTCTTGCCCTGACCTCTGCCTCTTCACCCAACCCCCACCTGGTCAGGCAGTGCCCTAGAGGGGCTGGGAGGATGCTGGGAGGGCAGTGATGATGGGGAGCCAATGGTGAGAGCATGGTGAACACAGTGAGCCTGGACCCTGCAGTGTCTGGGAAGGAGCTGGTGTGATGCTGGGAGCATTGGGAAGGCAGCGAGCCTGGGCTCAGCACTCACTGCTCCTCCCATCTGGGACAGGATTGGGGTGGCTGATGAGAAAATTTTCCTGAGTAGCACAGTCCCCAAGCCTGGCAGAATGACTCGCCCCGATTGCACTCACAGCCAAGACCCACTTGGACCCTGGACCGATCTACCACATGGCATGGTAAAGGCAGGAGTATGACTACTACTGAGGCTTCTGCCAGGGCATGGGAAACAGCAACCCGAGGGGCTCAGACTACCCTGCACCCCACTCTCCCACACTGAGTGGGGAGAAAGCCTTGAGCCCAGGAGATTGAGGTTTCAGTGAACTATGATCGTGCCACTGCACTCCAGACTGGTCATACACATGCTCACACGCACAAATTAAATTGTGGCATGATACATGTAACATGAAAGTTTGCATCTTAACCATTTTTAAATGTAAAGGCATCTTTTTCAAAATGCAGTATTTCCACCTGCCTGAGCAATCCTAGGCCTTCCTCACCTGAATTTTTTCTTCCTAAAGCAAGGACCACTTTAAAACAGATAGTGTTAGCTTTCAATAGCTGTTGTAAAAAAATACTGCAAATTTAGTGGCTTAGCACAAGACATATTGATTTTCTTATGGTTCTGGAGCTCAGAAGTCCGAATGGTCTCAGGGGGATAACGTCACTGCGCTGTCAGAGCTGTGTTCCTTCAGGAGGCTCTCAGAGAGAACCTGTCTCCTCCTTTCCTTTTCCAGCTTCTCCAGCTGCCCACATCCATGGCACAGGACCCATTTCCCACCTACAAATGGAGCTCCACCAGGCTGGGTCCTCAGTGTGCCCTCTGTCTCGTTCTCCCTCTTCTGTCCCCATCTTCCTATATAAAGATCCTGTGGTTACAATGGACCCCTGGGAAATCCAGAGAATTACCCCATCTCCAGGACAGATGATGAGCAACCTCAGCTCCATCTGCAGCCTTCATTCCCCTTTCCATGTAACCCAATGCAGAGGTTCCAGGGACTCAGACCCGCATCTTGTCAGGGAGGTAGGGGTGAGGGTAGAATGATTCTGCCCAGCATCCATATCATATACTTTTTATATTTATCATTTTTCCACCTTAAAATGGCGGAGGGAGCAGAGCAATCTTGGAGAAGAGATTTTGCATCCTATTAAAATTAAGCATGCAGCTCATCCCTCTGCTTTTAGCACTTTGTAAGGCCAAGGAGGAAACATTGCTTGAGCCAGGAGGTCAAGGCTACAGTGAGCTATGATCACACCACTGCATGCCAGCCCAGGTCAGCCCAGGAGGTCAAGGGTGCAGTGAGTTATGATCATGCCACTGCATGCCAGCCTGGGTCAGCCCAGGAGGTCAAGGCTACAGTGAACTATGATCATACCACTGCATGCCAGCCTTGGTCCGCCCAGGAGGTCAAGGCTGCAATGAGCTATGATCTTGCCACTGCATGCCAGCCTGGGTATCAGAGTGAGACCCTGCCTCAGAAAATAAAATAGCATAAAATAAGATTAAAAGTTGTTTTTAATCCAATCTAGGTTGTGATAAATTAAGATATTAATTGCTATTCCCCAGGAAAACCACTAAGAAAGTAAGATTTTAAAAATAATCAAGGAAAAAGAAACAAAAGGAAACTAAAGTGATGCAGTAGAAAATATCTATTTAACACAAAGGAAGGAAATAATGGTGGAAAAGACCAACAGGAAAGATATAGGACACATGGAAAAGTAAGAGCAAGGTGACAGGTGTAAATTCTGCCTTAGCAGTAATTCCATTAACTCTCAAACTATTAAATACTCAAAAGCAAAAGCAGAGGTTGACAGAATGCATTTTATAAATGATCTAAAGATACAATATAGATCCAAAGATACAAGTAGGTTGAAAGTAAAACTATGAAAAAGATAAAGCACACCAATAGTAAAGAAAGACAGTTGAGATTGCTATTAACAATTTTTTGTCTGTGTTTCTAGAGACAGGGTCTTGATTTGTTGCCCAGGCTGGCCTTGCTCCTGGGCTCAAGCAATCCTCCAATCTCGGCCTCTCAAAGTGCTGGGATTACAGGTGTGAGCCACAGTGCCCGGCCTGAAATTAATAACATCAGGCAATATGGTCTTTAAGACAAAAATATTTTCCAAAACACTCTTTAAAAATGAAATGATCAAGAAGAAAATGACAAGGAAAATCAGAAAATACTTTAAGGTGAATTAAAACAAAAACACAGCATATTATAACTTATGAGAAGTAGCTAAAGCAGTCCTTAGAGGGAAATGTATTGCTGTCAGTGTGAATATATTGAGAAAGATAAAAGAAACAAAGGAGTAATCTCAAATTGAGAACCTAATATTTCACTTGAAGAAACTCAAAAAAGAAGCCATCTACTCAAAATAAACAAAGAATAGAAATTAAAAGTGTAAATAAATGAAGTAGAGAAGAGAAAAACATTGGAGAACTCAACAAAACCAATAGCTGAGTGTTTGAAAAGCTTGTTCATTGCCATTGGAGGTGGCTTTGATGGATTTCTAGAAACAGACCACAGAGAGGAAAGGAAAAGTAATTCTCAAGAGAGGGAACACTAAGGAGAAAGGTCTGAAAACACAGTGACACCCACAGTTTCGAGGCTGGTGAGAAATCCACAGTGAGTGGAGCAGAAGCAAGTGCAGTGAGGAAGAAGAGTCAGGAGGGAGAAGGGAGAGGAGGATGGGAGAGCACAGGCATGCCAGCATGACTAGGAGGAGCCTCCCATGAGGGGGTCATGTTCACAGTCGCACACACACTCACACTCACACACACTCTCACACATAAACCTACACCCCCCCCACACACACACACACAAGGGTGTACTTCAACGGCATCTCCAGGGCGCTCCCAGTGCTCTGCTGTCAGTTACCTGCGAGCTCCAGCCTCTTCTCCCTGTGAATGGGGAAGTCCATAAGCTAGCTTTTGCAATGTCCCTTGGAGACCTTCTGGAAGAACATGGTCACTTCCCTTCATTCTTCCACTTCTCTTTCTTCTGTCTGCCTCCAGCATGAATCACTGTCCACTTTCTCTTCTCTGAGTCAGAGAGGAGGAAGATCTGTCTATCAAAGTCTAAATGCCAAGATCCACTACTATGTCCATCACCTTCCCGCTCACGAGACATCCTGGCCTGCAGGGTGAGGGGTTCTGCCCCCTTGGAAAGAGATCAGCTCTGGTCTTGACAAATCCTGTGCCACCACCCTGTCCCACTTCCAACCTCCTGCTCTTGCTCTCGCTGCCATATCCTGTCCTTGCCTCTGGCCCTCTCGGATTTATATTGCTACAGGAAATCAATAATTGCCTCCAACCTACTACTGTCTGCTCCCTCCTGTCCTGGACCATTTTAAACTTATCCCTGGGTGTGTCATTCTCCAGCTGAATGTCCAGCAGTTGCTCTGTGAGCATGTCCACCACCTTTTTCAGTACTGGATTCTGTGCTTTCCAGGCCCGTGTGACATTTATTTTCTTCCGCAGGGAACTGAAGGATTTAACTGTGTTATTGCAACAGTCAGAGAGAAGAAAAATCTTTTTATCCACCTGACCTTGAACCTCGCACTACCGTGGTTCAGATCTGAACTTAGGGATGATGGTGACGTCATAGCAAAGAGAGTGAGGGCCTGAGCAGGAGAAATGTAGGTGACGGTTGGGTGGGAGTAAAAGGACAGCTAGACACCGCTCCCCCACACTGTGACAGCAAGAGGATGCCTCTGGAGAGATGGGTTGGCCAAGTAAGAAGTCCCCTCCTGGCCAGGCCTGGTGGCCTACGCCTGTAATCCCAGCACTTTGGGAGGCCGAGGTGGTCAGATCACCTGAGGTCGGGAGTTTGAGACCAGCCTGACCAACATCGAGAAACCCCATCTCTACTAAAAATACAAAATTAGTCGGGTATGGTGGTGCATGCCTGTAATCCCAGCTACTTGGGAGGCTGAGGCAGGAGAATCGCTTGAACCCAGGAGGCAGAGGTCGCAGTGAGCCAAGATCACGCCATTGCACTCCAGCTTGGGCAACAAGAGCAAAACTCCATCTCAAAAAAAAAAAAAAAAAAAAAAAAGAAAGTGAAAAAGAAGTCCCCTCTCCAGGGCTATGGCCTCCACCAGGTATAGGCGAGTGCTCCTCCCTTGCTTGAAGACAAGGAGGAGGAGGAAGACCCTGCCTGCTGAGAAACCACATGTCCCAAGAAATGTCCCAGTGCCCCTATGTCCACATTGTTAACACATGACCATGCCGGGGAGGTGCCTGGCCTGCTAGAGGAGGAAGGGCCTGGATGGCAAAGGATCCTTAGCAGGAGGTGGGAGAGGGGAGGGGCTGCCTCTGAGGATGCTGAACATGTTGAGGGTGGGGTGAGGACAGAATCCAAGTTGGATGATGGAGAGTTAATTATCATGGTCACAGGATTTAACATGTTGGTAAAGCACCTGGTGATGGTGCCCATCTGCTAAGAGGATGCATTCTGGCAACCTTGAACAAAGAGATGATCCATACAGCAAAAAACAGAAAATCCAGAACTTCTAAGGCAGGGAACAGAGCAAGGGATCAAAGAGTCAGAGAAGTGCCCATGCTGGAGGGGTCTGAGTGTGAAAATCCAGAACAATGTCCATCTACGGTGGTCATGGGAAGCCTGGAGGACTCCTGTTCACCCAACATATAAAGAAGGCCCTGAGAGAAAGAAGCAGAATGGGAAGAAGCCCAGGGATGCCTGTTGCTGAAGGCCAGGGTTGCAGACAGGAGATGCTGTTTTTGAAATGGGCTCCCAGGAGTAATGGGATGAAAAATCCTGGGCTCAACTATCAGTAGCGTGGAAGGTGCAATGATGGAAAGAATTGGAGAAGTCACAATGCCTGCTCGGGACGTAAGCCACAGAGAGCTATGCCAATGGCTCATATAAAACAAGGAGATCTGAGAGGCAAGCAACACAGAGACCCAGCCCGGATACAGCTGGATTGATATAATTATAACAAGTGAACATTAAACACAAGGATGGATGACCTGGAGGCTGAAACTAGGCAGTCTATTAAAAACCGGGCTTCTCTGACCAACTTGCAAAACCAAGCCACTTCTCAGACTCTGAAGCCATTACTAGAAGGAGACACCAGGTTCCAATGAGGAAGGACCTTTCAACCCCACCTCAAGTGCAATGAGTCTTTCTGGCCTTCCGCATAGATATTTATGGCCTCTAGAGTTTGCTGTGAATGGTGATTTTGTAAACTCTTAAAGGTTTGCAGGGAATATATTCTCTGTCATAACTACTTAACTCTGCTGTTGTAGCTCAAAAGCACTCACAGACAATCCATAAATGATGAAGGAGGCTGGACCTGTTTTGAGCATCCTAGGACCCAGGACACCCTAATCTCCTAGAGGTACCTGTGGTTGCAATTACTAATTGGAAAATCACAACATGGATGGTTAGTGTTACAGAGGCAAGGCAATGACACTGACAGCAGGGAAATCCCAACATTAAAAAGTGGCTCCTGTAGAGTACTGGCAGAGATGGGGCCTTTAGCCATGGGAGGGCAGTGATCACACAGCCTCAGAGCTGCCTGTCACCGAGTGTGCTCTTCACTCTCTAGGTCATTAAGAAGATAGGCCCCGCAGTGAGAATACGAAGGTGGTTATCCTGGGATGGGCAGAAGCAAGGCCACAGGGAAACAAGAAGCTGCACAATCAGTTGGCTCCTCTCCCCAGGACACCACATGGCTGCAATCCCTCACCCTCAGATCACAGCTGTGGTTTCTGGGAGGATCCCTGATGGCCTCCATAGAGCAAAGAAGCTACTCAGCAGCCAAGGAGGGGAGAGTAGGCTTCAAACCATGAAACCCCACTGCCATTACATCCAACCACCCAGAAGCCACAGGCAGGATGGGAACCACTTCTGATTCTTCAACCAGCAGCTGAGACACCACTTGGAGATGACACCTTAAGGGAAGGGGCACCAATTGCTGGGACACTGTAATCCATTTATTTGGGTCAGCAACCTAGGACAGTGTTCAAATCTGGTCCCTCTGTCATTTGCAGGTTGTCCTGGCCTGCTGTTGCTCTATAAAGGAACAAAACTTGACACAGAGACAGAGAAACCATGGCCTGCAAAGATCAAAGTGCCTCCCACCTTCCCTTTCTAGAAAGGTTTTGCCAACCCCTGTTTACATAGTGACTATTTTCTATGATGCTGGCTCCCCATTAGGAAGAACAGGCAGGGCTGGGACCCAAGGGAAGAGTGGATGCCTCTACTCACCAGCATTCCTAGGGTCACGAACAAAACAATGAAAGAATAAAAAGGAAAAATGAAAGCACAGACTTACTGAAATTAAAGTACACCTGACCGAGTGGTAGCTGGCTGGGGGAAGCCCCTCAAGAATGCAGCTGGTTACAGAATTTTCTGGTGTTGGAATACCCTTAGTGGTTTCCCATTGGTTACTTGGTTACACACTATGCAAATGAGAGAGTGGCCTGTGCCCAAGGGAACAATCAGAGACTGAAGTGAAGTTACAAAGTTACACCCTATGCACCTGAAGACTGGTTGCAGAAGGGGACCAATCAGAGGTAATTTCTGCTTTTCATCTGCAAGAGAGTTGAAAGTGGAGAGGTCGCGGATTGTCAAGGGAGTATCCTCTGGTCCTTTTGTTGCTTGGGCACAGAGAGGTGGGGCTCCTTTTGATTCACTTCTAAGAAGTCAGAGCAAATCACCCTTAGGTTCCCTACATCCAGACCCTATTCGCCTGCCTCACTGAAGCCTCCTTCAATGGATTTGGGGGTGAGGTGGGCCTATGGGGTGACGAAAGGTGACAAGGTTGGGTAGAGAGGGAGTAAAAGGATGTGACTTGGGTGGTGGCAGTGAACGGTGAGGGGAGGGGTGGGAAGTGTCTGCTGATCTCCTGGATGCAGGTAAGTGTCTGCAGCAAAGTGCAGGGGGAAGTTCAAGGGCAGGGAGCCCTGGGGGTGCTGGAGAGTTTGTGAGGTGGAGAGTGGATGAGAGCAGAGCAGGCCTGTGGCTGCTGAGGGCGGGGGTCTGGGGTTGACTCCCTGCGGAACCATCCACTTTCCCATACCCCTAGCCACACAAGGTCCCCCGCCTCCCGCACCAGACATGACCAGGGAAGAGTAACCTTGGTTTACAGATGCTCTCCGGCCCCAGCTGTATAGAATCTGCCAGAAAACATTTCATCCCTCCTCACCTCCCTCTTCCCCACCACTCCAGACTACAGCTTCCTGCTGCTGGCCAGGGCTCCCAGTTCCCAAGGGCAGGTGAGGCTGGAGAGGGGGCGCTTTGCCATCATCTCGCCCTCTCCAGCCCTCTCACTGCTCTCCTCCTGCCATTACTCCTTCGAGGACCAACACAGTGATGGTGGCCACTGCTGCTGGGAACCTGGAGCCAGGAGGAGGACAGCCCAGGAGGAAGCACAGTGGCAATGCTGAGTCTCGACCACGTCCCCCAGGCTTTTACAGGGCTAGGTTCGGCAGGTTCCCAACCACCAGCTGGAGCCAGTCCACGCCCCACCCACCTGCTCTTTCTCCAGATCCAGAGGAATCGCTCTGACCCTTTTTTTGTATCTGCCCCTCACCCCTTCTTTTCTCCTTCCCTTCCCTCCTGACCCTTCCTTTTCCCATTTCCATTCCTGATTTCAGGCTCGTTCCTTTAAACAAAGTTTAAAGGGCAAGGTTTTCCTGCCCCAACCACTCACAATTGTACCCTCTGGGTTCAATCAAAGGGGCTAAAGAGAGCAGCTTGCTGTCCTTCTTCAATAATGTTTTCTAGATTTTATCCTGCTGGGGCCCAGACCAGCTGCAAACCAAAGTTATTCTTCCTTGGAAAATCTTTGTGGCCGCCCAGGCAGGCATTCACATTTCCAAATTGTGCCAGCAGTGAGGTCTCCAACCACGATATCCTCACCTTCAGGCCTCTGGGGGTTACAACCTCCACTCCAGCTCCACTTCTGCACCTGGGGTTTTCCCCTGAGCCCCATTCACTCCCACAACTGTCTCATTCATTCAGTCATTTGCTCAGCCTCCAGCCACCCTTAAATCATGTTAGGCTTACCTGGTGATGGAGAGTAAAACCACCGTCCTCTCTGGGTCCAGTCTTTGCCTTCATTTACACCCATTCAAAGAGCCCCCAGGGCCATGAAGAGGCCATGGCATGATCGCAGGGCTCCAGCTGTCATCTGGTTGGGTCTGGCCTTTGCTGATGTTATGGAAGGCAGGGCTCACATGTGAAATAGGAAACCTTCCCTGAGTCCTTAGCATGTGCAAGGACAGGGTTCCTGGCATAAACTGCTCATTTCCTCTGTGTTCATAGTATTAATTTCCACATGTGGACATCCATGCCCAGAAAGGTGAAGAAACTTGCACAAGAATATTCAGCCACAATGCCAGCTGACTTCCATGTCTGAATGCATGCTCTCTAGATCACGGCCATTATAATCACCTTTCAGCCACGTCTATCCCCATCCTGGGCTGGCCTGAATCTGGTGGCCGAGAGTCTGCAGCAGGTGTGAGGCAGGAGGGCCCAGGTGTGCACAGAGTCCCCTCCTACTGTCACCTGGCTGTGCTGCCTGGGACTCTTCTGCCAGGCTTCTGCCTTCCTCCTGTTCCCCCAGTCCCCCGGTCACTGGCCCAGGTCACCCAGCCTCAGGGGTGGGGGCTGCCAGGGCCTTCCCAGTACCCTCCTTTCAAACGCTCCTGTTCCCAGCCCTATGCATGGGAGGCACTTCTCACACACAGATCCCTGGACCTGCCAAGCTCTGCCCCTCTCAGATCTGAGAACTGCCCACCCCCGTGTGTCTGTTGTCCTCCAGACCACCCTCCACATGGCCCCTCCTGGACAGAGGCTCTAGTGCATCAGGCCAGAAACTTCTAGGCTCCTGTGTCCCTGCACAGTCACAGAGGGGCTGCTATCCCATCCCCCTGTGCAGAAGCAGAGACAGTCCCTGGGCTTGGTCTAGGCCTCCTCCCCTTTCCCGCAGCCTCAGGGCTCTGGGGATTGCTGGTCACCAGGTGTGCATCCTCCCCACATGACAACTGTGTGGAGAAGAAGGTCTGTGTCTATTTTACTCATTTAATAGGGAGAAGGCTGAGTGGCTGGGGGCAGTGTGGGACTCAGGGGCTCTGCCCATTCCTTATCCCAACAGCCAGGGATCGCTGGGCCCCCCACCTCCCTCTGCCTTCTGCCCACAGGTCTAGATGCCTTCATGGTGACTAAGACAAGGGGGCACTTGGGGTTGCCCCTTTGATAATGAGTCCAGTGACCATCTAGGGGCTGAGCAGAGGTGTGGGTGCAGCCATGGATTCAGGTGTGGTTGGCCACGGATTGGTGTGCTGGAAAGTGAACCCCACACGTGTGTAGACTCCTCCCTCGGCTCCTGCTCTTCGTGGAAACACAATTGATTACATGATTGAGCAAGTTGTTCACTAGGTCTTTTTAGGAAGGGATGTAGTATATTCTCAAAGACCTCATGCTTCTAGCAGAGAGGCAAAGAAATGTGTGAGCAATTGTCACACAGGGAGATCTGGATGCACCCACTGTGAACCCAGGTCTCAGGGAGCAGGAGGGTGTTCTGTATTGTGGGAACATGCAGGACACACATGGGAGGGGGTATTTGTGCCCGGCTTTGAAGGATGGCTGGCTCTTTGCCCAGGGGGAAGAGGCCAGCAGAATGCGCTGACAGTTGGGAACCACTAGGAACTTTCAGTTGAACCTGCTCTGCTGAGCCCCCTGTGCCATCGGTGGACCTGGGCCAGGGCGGCTGCTGAACTGGGAGCTCAGAGGTAATCTCTCTGAGGAGCTTTCTAAATCAGCAAGCGTGTCACAGGTTGAGATTCTAGGGATGAGGTCCTCAATGCTGTCCTCGATTTTAATGAGCAGCCTTTTGGCCAGTCTGCACTGGGTGAAGCAGAAGCAAGACATAAATTGTTAAGATAATTTTTAAAGCTGCTTAATTTTGGTAAAAACATAGAACATAGAATTTACCATCTTCACCAATTGTTTACTATACAATATGTTGTTTTGAACCTCTGAAACCCTACCTGCTGTTTCTGTAATAAAACCTAGCCCAGGCCGGGCACGCTGACTCATGCCTGTAATCCCAGCACTTTGGGAGGCCGAGGTGGGTGGATCACCTGAGGAAAGGAGTTTGAGACCAGCCTGGCCAACAAGGTGAAACCCCATCTCTACCAAAACTACAAACAATTCGCCGGGCTTGGTGGTGGGCACCCGTAATCCCAGCTACTCCAGAAGCTGAGGCAAGAGAATCGCTTGAACCCAGGAGACAAGGCTGCGGCGAGCCGACATCGGGCCGTTGCACTCCAGCCTGTGCAATAAGAGAGAAACCCCATCTCCAAATACATAAATAGATAAAGAAATAAAAAATAAAACCCAGCCCGGACTGTAACCACGCCCACCGGGGACTGGGGAAGTAGTGGAGGGGACGCGAACAGGCCCATGGCTGTGCCCAGGGCGGGGTGAGCCAGGGACCCCGCGGCGCAAGCGGAAGGAGGGAGAGTGCCGCGGACCCAGGCGGGGACAAGGAGACGCCGAGGCCGCTGAATATTCCTCTGCACGTTTCTTCACCATTAATAAAAAATGCTATAATGATTAAATGAGTCTGTCGTGGAAGGAATCGTGTCCTGGCAGGAGTGGGGCCCGGGCACGAGGCCACCAAGCTGCCGGAGCGGGTGAAGAAGGGAAGGGACACTAGCATGGAAACTGGATTTCGTCCAGACAATGAAACGAAGAGGTGGAACGCGCCCAGTGACTACGCCCAGTAGCATTAAAATCTGGCTTTTCAGAATCGAGGTGACTCATTCCCCGGTACATTCCCCAGTAACTAACAGTATATAAGCCAGCCTTTCAGCACAGAGGTGATTTCATCTTCCAGGATCCACCTTGATTAAATCTCTTGTCCCCAGCCCTCCTGGTCCCCAATGGCAGCAGCCGCCATCCCAGCTTTGCTTCTGTGCCTCCCGCTTCTGTTCCTGCTGTTCGGCTGGTCCCGGGCTAGGCGAGACGGTGAGCTGGTGGATGGAGCCTAAGCGGGGCGGGGGCCAAACCTGAGGGACTGTGGACTGCAGCGGGTTTCAGAGGAGGGAAGGCTTCTGGAAGGACAAGGGAGATCTCCCCGAACTGCGCCCCCAGCTCAGTTCCCCTCCTGGGCTCCTTCCCGCCGGGTCCACTCCCCAAGGCTGTTCTTGCCCCAGTAGGGGCGAAAAAGAGCAGGGTGAAAACGAGGCTGGCAGGAGGGTGGAGGGGCCAGAGGGCTGCGAGGGCTAGGTGGGGCCCGGATTCCTAGTGCAGCCCGGCAGTCCCACCCGCCTTTCGGAAGGAGAAACCAGAGCCCCCCCGGGAACAGAGCTGGGGTCAGGACTGGGTGAAGGGGGGTACCACAGGGATACAATCACAGACGCCCCCACCAGCCACAAGCCTGCTCTGCTCTCACCTGCTCTCTACCACACAAACCCTCCAGCACCCCCAGGACTCCCTGCCTTTGTTTTCCCCGCACTTTTCCTGTAGACACTCACCTGCACCCAGGGGCTCAGCAGATACCCGCCACCCCTCCCCTCACCATCCACTGCCACCACCCAGGTCACATCCTCTTACTGCCCACCTCAGCCCAGCTGGTCACCCCTGAGGTCTCCCCATCCATGAAGGGTACCTCACCACCTCCTACACCACGTCGCACCTTCTGCCTCTTGCCTGAGGACACACCCCAACAAACACACCCCAAGCTCCCCTCAGAACCTGTGCAGGGGGGATGGGAAGCACCATTTCCTCCAGGATGACCCTGGGAACTCTGGTGAGTAGAGGCACCCACTTCTGCCCTTGGGGCCCAGACCGCCTGTTCTTCCTACGGGGGTGTCAGCGTCATAGAGAATAGTCACTGTGTAGACAGGGGTCAGCAAACCCTTTCTAGAAAGGGAGGAAGGATGCCCTGTGATCTTTGCAGGCCATGGGTTCTCCGTCTCTGTGTCCAGTCCTGTCCCTTTGTAGAGCAACAGCAGGCAATGGCAACCTTCAAAGAGGGGGGACCAGATTTGGACCCTGTCCTAGGTTGCTGATCCCAGATCAGGGGATTACAGTGTCCCAGTGCCCCATCCCCTAGGGTGTCATCTCCAAGTGATGTCTCTGATGTCAGTTGGAAAGTAGAAGGTGGCCCTACCTTGCCTGTGGCTTCTGGGTGGTGTGGATGTGATGGGAGTGGGGGTCCCATAGTTGGGGGCTTATTCTCCCCTCCTTTGTGCTGAGTGGCATCCATGGGGACCATCAGGTACCCTCCCTGAAGCCTCAGGTGTGAGCTGAGGGTGAGTGGGTGCAGCCACGTGGTGTCCTGGGGATCAGGTCCAACTGCTTGTGCAACTTCTTGGTTCCCGGTGGCCCTGCTCCTGCCCATCCCAGAAGAACCACCTGCATCTTCTCACTGCTGGGCCTATCTTCCTAATGACCTAGAGGGCGAGGAGCCCACCAGTAATGGGCAGCTCTGAGGCCTTCAGGAATAGGCATCCCTAAGCTTCATTCCATTCTGGTGCCTTGTCATGGGGCCTTCTTTATATGCATGGCAAAAGGCCCCATCTCTGCCAAGGTGCAGTACTCTACAGGAGCCACTGCTTAATGTTGCGATTTCCTTGCTGTGAGTGGCATTGCCTTGTCTCTGAATATTCACATGGAATCTCTGTTGTGATTCTCCAATTAGACATTGTGACCACATGTACCTCTAGGATCTTAGGGGGTCTTGGGTCATTGGGCACTTAAGGTAGGTCCAGCCTCGCTCATCATTCATGGATTGTCTATGGCTGCTTTTGAGCTTCAACAGCAGAGTTGAGTAGTTACAATGGAGAATATATTCCCTGAACACCTTTACATGTTTACAAAATTGCCCTTCACAGCAAACTCTATTGGCCATAAATATCTCTGGAGAAGGCCACAAGGACTCACTGTCCTGGCTGCAGGGTTAAAGGGTCCTTCCTCACTAGAAACTGGTGTCTTCTTATAGTCATGGGTTCAGGGTCTGAGAAGTGGCTTCATTCTGCAAATTAGGCAAAGCAGCCTCGTTCTTGATGGACTGGCTACTTTCAGCCTCCTGATTTGGTTTATCTCTGTTTCTTGTAATTATTTAAATCCAGCAGTATCCGGGGTGGGTTTCCATCTCTTTTGGACTTTGGACCCCTTTGTTCTATGAGCCATGGGCATAACTTTGTATAACTGAGGTCCCCAGCTGGCATTGTGACTTCTCTAATCATTTCCATCATTGCACCCTCCTTGCTCCTGACAGTTGACAGCCTCCACCTGGAATTTGGAATTTCAGAATTGTTCATCCCATTACTCTGGGAGCAGATTTCAGGAACAGCATCTCCTACCCCCAACCCTGGCCTTCAGCAATAGGCATCCCTAAGCTTCATTCCATTCTGGTGCCTTCTCATGGGGCCTTCTTTATATGCTGGGTAAACAGGAGTCCTCCAGGTTTCCCATAAGCACAGTGGATGGACATTGTTCTGGATTTTCACACTTAGACCCCTCTGGCATGGGCACTTCTCTGAGCCTGTGATCTCTCCCTCCACTACCTGCCTTAGACTTTCAGATTTTCCATTTCTTGCTGTGTGGACCATCTCTTTGTCCAAGGTTTCAGGAAGGCCTCCTCATAGCAGATGCATGCCATCACCAGGGGCTTTGCCAACATGTTACATCCTGTGACCATGATAATTAACTCTTCTTTATCCAACGGGGTTCCATCCTCACTCTGTTCAACCAGCACCAGCATCCACAGGGGTGGACCCACACCCTCTCCCACCTCCCGCAGTCCACGTGGGCTACTGCTGAAGATCCTCTGCCATCCAGGCCCTTCCTCCTCTCTTGCTAGAGAGGCCTGGCACCTTTCTAGCAAGGTCATGTGTTGACTGATGTGGGCAGAGGGGCAGTGGGACATGTCTGGGGACATGTGGTTTCTCAGCAGACAGAGACTTCCTCCTCCTCCTCCTCCTTGTCCTCATGCAAGGGGCGAGCACTCGCCTTAAACTTGTAGACACCACAGTTCTGGAGGGGGCACTCCTTCCTGGGCCAGCCCAGCCTGCCAGAGGCATCCTCTTATTGACACAGCGTGGAGGGGGGCTAACTAGGGGTCTTTTCCTCCCCACCCACCCCTCACCTGCCTTTCTCCACAGACCCTCACTCTCTTTGCTATGACATCACCGTCATCCCTAAGTTCAGACCTGGACCACGGTGGTGTGCGGTTCAAGGCCAGGTGGATGAAAAGACTTTTCTTCACTATGACTGTGGCAACAAGACAGTCACACCCGTCAGTCCCCTGGGGAAGAAACTAAATGTCACAATGGCCTGGAAAGCACAGAACCCAGTACTGAGAGAGGTGGTGGACATACTTACAGAGCAACTGCTTGACATTCAGCTGGAGAATTACACACCCAAGGGTAAGTTTCAGATGGCCCAGGACAGCAGGGAGCAGATACAGTGGTAGGTTAGAGGCATTTATAGTTTTCATGTAAAAATACAAAAGGGTCCTGGGCACGGTGGCTCACGCCTGTAGTCCCAGCACTTTGTGAGGTAGAGGTGGGCCGATCACAAGGTCAGGAATTCGAGACCGCCTGACCAACATAGTGAAACACTGTCTCTACCGAAATGCAAAAATTAGCCAGGCATGGTGGCGCATGCCTGTAATCCCAGCAACTTGGGAGGCTGAGGCAGGAGGATCCCTTGAACCCGGCAGGCAGACGCTGCAGTGAGCCGAGGTGGTGCCATTGCACTCCAGCCTGGGCAACAGAGTGAGACTTTGTCTCAAAAAAAAAAAAAAAAGCCAGGTGCAGTGGCTCAAGCCTGTAATCCCAGCATTTTGGGAGGCTGAGGTAGGCGGATCACAAGGTCAAGAGATCGAGACCATCCTGGTTAACACAGTGAAACCCTGTCTGTACTAAAAATACAAAAAAATAGCCGGGTATGGTGGCGGGCGCCTGTAGTCCTAGCTACTTAGGAGGCTGAGTGAGCCGAGATCGCGCCACTGCACTCCATCCAGCCTGGGTGACAGAGCGAGACCCTTTCTCAAAAAAAAAAAAAAAAATACAAATGGGAAGGTCATCTTACCCCTCAAGAGTCTAGAGGCAAGGCCAAGATGTAGCAGAGAGAGTAAGGCCAGCAAATTGTAAGGGGAACAGGATGGGGGTGCAAAATTTGTCAAGATCAGAGCTGATCTCTCTCTGATGGGGGCAGAACCCCTCACCCTGCAGGCAAGGATGTCTTGTGAGCAGAAAGCTGAAGGACACAGCAGTGGATCTTGGCAGTTCAGTATCGATGGACAGACCTTCCTACTCTTTGACTCAGAGAAGAGAATGTGGACAACGGTTCATCCTGGAGCCAGAAAGATGAAAGAAAAGTGGGAGAATGACAAGGATGTGGCCATGTCCTTCCATTACATCTCAATGGGAGACTGCATAGGATGGCTTGAGGACTTCTTGATGGGCATGGACAGCACCCTGGAGCCAAGTGCAGGAGGTAACAGGAGAAAAAGAAACGGGGATCTTAAATGAGATCAGAAATGGGGATCTCAAGAAGTTAGTTCTTGAGTTCAGCTTCAATCATCCCAGTGTACACGTTTATGTTAAAATGACCTCCTCGTCGGGCCCTCCTCCTGGGGTTACTGGCATGCCTGTGCCCTCCCACCCTCCTCTTCCTTCTCCCTCCTGACTCCTATTCCTCACTGCACTTGCTTCTGCTCCCCACACTGTGGATTTCTCACCAGCCTTGAAACTGCAGGTGTCACTGTTTTCAGAACTTTTTCCTTAGTGTTTCCTCTTTTGAGAATCACTTTTCCTTTCCTTTCCCTGGTCTGGTTCTGGAAATCCATCAAAACCACTTCCAACACCAGCCAGAGATCCTCCCCTCCCCAACTCTGGGGCATCACCTCCTCTTCCCCCACAGCAGGAGGGTGGGGTGTGTTGTCACCTTGCTTCCCTCAGCAGCTGTGTGAGCTCCCTGAGGACAAGACACACCCCGTCTCCCTTCCTAAGCCAGGACCTGTCATACTGGCTGCCCCACACCAGGGGGGAGGGGACAAAACTTTTGCCTTCCAGGATGACCTAGGGTGGCAGGAACTGAGGAGGTGTCTCCTCAGATTTGGGGCCTGGACAAGGGTTGTCACTTTTGTGTTTCCATTTCAGCACCACTCGCCATGTCCTCAGGCACAACCCAACTCAGGGCCACAGCCACCACCCTCATCCTTTGCTGCCTCCTCATCATCCTCCCCTGCTTCATCCTCCCTGGCATCTGAGGAGAGTCCTTTAGAGTGACAGGTACTGTGGGCAGAATTGGAAGTGGAGCAAGGAGCAGGTGGGTGAGGAGGCAGGATGGGGAAAGAGAATTCCCGGAGTCCCGCCCCTCCCCGTGGCTGGGACCTTCTCATCCTAACATGAGACAGGTGAATGAGACCTTGTGTTGCCTGTTGGCAATGTTGGCAATGACCTGGGCAGCTCAGCCCTGAGTTCTGATGGTTTCTCACCTTCAGAGTCCAGAGGGAAAGGGAGGGGCCCATACCAAGGCTCAGGGTCTGTTGAGCTTGAGAAGGTTTAGCAAGTTCAGGCCTGATTCAGAGCAGGTTCCTATTCAGGAAGGGTGTGTGGCCTGCAGGCAGCAGGAATTCAGACATGGGCAGTCCTCTTAATTGGGTTAGGTGCATCATGGTAGCTTTACATGAGGTGTGACAGGGGAAGGGGGATTCCATCTCTGAGGCTAAGAGAGATCTGGGTGTAATCCCAGGAGGAGGGGGCTGGGAGAGCCTTGGTACACCTAATTGAAAAGGAGGGAGTGCAGGGCTGCCTTCCCACAGAAAGTAGGTGGAAGGTGAAGAGTAGAGGCTGCTCAAGAGAAGGATTTTTAAAAAGTCAGTCCCATGTACCCGTGGGGTTTGAGTCTGGGCCCTGAGGCAGCTCCCCTGCCATCACACTCCTGCACACCCCAGATCCTGAGCCCAGTCATAGCCCTGCCAGGAGCAGAGTGGACTCAGAGGAAGGAGCATCTGAGCTGCTGCTGGGGTTCCACGGGCACCACTGGGCTGGATAAGGAATGGAAAAGGTGGAACAGGGACAGTCACCTTCAGAACTATGGGTGCTGCTCCCAGTGTGAGGTGATGCTCAAGAAGAAGGGGAAAGAAGGATGTTTGCCTGCAGGCCCACCAAAGGCCAAGGGCACAGGAATACAGAGCCCTCTCTTTGGAAGTCTGTCCCACCCCTTGCCATGTTTTAGACCCTGTCATCAGATGATAAAGAGGGCCTTGAGTGAGGGAGCGGACCCATCACTACCAGCTTCAGACCTGTGGGCCCCTCCACTCCATCCCCTGGTCAGGTGCAGGGCCTGGGCTGACTCTGTGATGTGACAAAGGAGGAAAGAGGTAGGTCCAAGCTGCAGTCGCCAGGGTTGGGGCTCAAGGGAAAAATAGGTCCCTTAGTGCAGGGGGCTCTGAGACATAGAGTGACTAGGGAAAGATTACCGTGGAAAAGTGATCCGGGTTCTCTGCCTCTTAAACCAACATTTGGGTCCTTTCTGAAGGTTAAAGATGATACCAAAAAGCCCCTGTGAGCACGGTCTTGATCAACCTCGCCCTTCTGTCTGGCCAGCTGCCCACCACCTACGGTGTATGTCCAGCAGCCTCCAGCAGATGATGATGACACCATGGACCCAATAGCTCATTCACTGCCTTGATTCCTTTTGCCAACAATTTAACCAGTGATTATTCCTAACATATTATGCAATTTTCTCTTGGTGCTACCTGATGGAATTCCTGCACTTAAAGTTCTGGCTGACTAAACAAGATATGTCAACATTTTCTTTCTTCTCTTTTTGTTTGGAAAATCAAGTACTTCTTTGAATGATGATTTCTTTCTTTCATTACTGACATGATTGTCAGTAAAACAATCATGTTAGACTTCAGACCTCCAGGGATTCTTTCCATGTCCTGAAAGAGAATTGTTTAATTATTTAATAAGAAAAAAATTTATATTAATGATTGTTTCCTTTAGTAATTTATTGCTGTGTACTGATATTTAAATAAAGAGTTATATTTCCCAAAAACCTACTGAGTTTAGAATTTTGTTGTATTACTCAGTAGAGAATTAATGTTATTTCATTTTTCCTCCATGATATGGAGTAATAAATGAGTGATTCTGCCAGACTTTGTGTGGAAAAAGAGAATCTACAAAACATGGCTGAAAAAAATCAGAGACAAAACAAATACATGGAAAAATATTTCATGCTCATGGGTTGGAGAATCAATATAGCTAAAATGGCCATACTTCCAAAAGCAATTTATAGATGCAACACTATCTCTATCAATACCAATGTCATTTTCCACAAAATTAGACAAATCTAATCTAAAAGTTCTTTGGAGTTAAAAAAGAGCCCAAATAGCCAAAACAATCATAAGCAAAAAGAACAAAGCCAGAGACACCACATAGCCTGACTTCAAACTATAATATAAGGCTACAGTGATCAAAACAGAATGGTACTGGTACCAAAATAGACACTTAGATCAGTGGAACAGAATAGACAGCTCAGAAAGAAACCTTCACACCTTTTAACTTTCAACAAAATCAACAAAAAAAGCAATGAGGAAAGAGTCCTAATTCAATAAATGGTGCTGGGATAACTGGCTAGCCATGTGTAGGAGAACGAAACTGAACCTCTACCTTTCACCATATATGTAAAATAACTCGACATGAATTAAAGATTTAAATGTAAGTCCTAAAACTATAAAAATCCTGGAAGATAACCTAGGAAATGCCACTTTGGACATACAGCCTGACAAAGATATCATGATGAAGACACCAAAAGCATTTGCAACCAAAAACAAAAATTGACAAATGTGACCTCATTAAACTAAAGCGCTTCTCCACAGTAAAAGAAATTAGCAACACAGTAAACAGCCTATAGAATGGGAGAAATATCTGCAATCTATGCATCTGGCAAAGCTCTAATATCCAGAATCTACACGGAACTTAAACAACTCAACAAGCAGGAACAAAATTCCAATTAAAAAATAAGCAAAGAATGTGAACAGACACTTTGCAAAAGAAGACCTGCAAGTGGCCAACGAACATGAAAAAATGCTCTTTGGGAAGCCGCGGTGGGCAGATCATGAAGTCAGGAGTTTGAGACCAGCCTGACCAACATGGTGAAACTCCGTCTCTACTAAAAATACAAAAATTAGCCAGATGTGGTGGTGCATACCTGTAACCTGTAATGGTGCATAGTCTGATGTTGGAACTATGAAATACCTTGGACTGGTACTTTCCAGTCTTTTCCAGCAGATGGCACTGTTCATCTTTCAAATATTTCAATAAGCCCAGAGGGTTTGCCAACAGCGAGTTTGTGCCCTGAGCTCCTTGGCACACAACCTGGGATCCACAGCCAAGGGCTAGAGAAGACAAAAGAGACATTGACATCATGGTGGAAGAGGAATCCATAAAGAGTTCATTTCTGAGGACTGGGGCAGTTCCTCCCACCCTGCAGATCAAGATGCCCTGAGGGCAAAGAGCAGAGGGGTACTCTGGTGGCCCAGCAGTTCTGCCCTGGGGGAGGATTCTCTTCTGCTGCAGTGAAAACCAACAGGACGCTGCTTCATCCCAAGGGGACCAGGAAGATAGATCAGAGTGAGGAGCTGTCTGAGTGTTTCAGATCACACAGTGACTGCCTGCTTGATGGCTTCAGAACTCCTTCATGAGCTGGGAGACAGCCCCCAAGGTGAAAGGTGTGTGGGCAGGATGGGCTCGACATGACAACTCTCAAGATGACACGCAGTTTCTCCCATGTGTTTCTGTGTGTCTTTTTGTGTGCCCGTGTATGTGCATGGCTGTGTCTGTATTTCTGCATGCATTTGTGTATGTGTGTCTCTGTGAATGTGTGTGCCTGTGTGGTGTGAGTGTGTGTGAGAGATTGTGCCTGCATGTCTCTGTGTGTGTGCATGTGTGTGTGTGTGTGAGATAACATGCATGTATGAATGTTGAATTGATTTTCTGGTTGACTTGCTGTGGAGGGAGTCAGGGACTCCAGGGGGCTTCCTGCCCACCCCTCGTTCCCTGTAGCCAGTAGCACAAATGGCGTAATAAAAGGTAGTTTAATTTCATTTCATGCAAATGTAAAACTTTTGTGCTTCCAAAAGAACTCCAATTAGAAGATTAAAAAAAAACTTCCAGAACGAGAGAAAATCATTGAAAATCATATATCTGGTAATGGACTGTTATTCTGAATATATAAAGAACTCTTCCAACTCAATATTACAAAGGGAAATAACCCAATTTAAATATATGCAAGGAATTTGAATAGACATTTCTCCAAAGTGAGACAGGTATACTACACGGTGGTCTCAAAAGAATAGAAAATTTTGGGCAGCAGTTTCAGGTGACTAGCAAAAGAAATCTGTTGAAATATCTGCAGTGGCTCTGGGCTGATAAGTTGCTGAGAAACAGCATGTGGACCAAGCTGACTAAGAATGAGTGGATCCAACATGGCCCTGGATTTGACCTAGGTTTCACCTGGGACCTCATTACATGCTGATAAACACACTAAACACACACTAGCCAGCTCCCTAGCAGTTCTGAGAATACCCATATTTGGTGTAAAAATTCGAGGCACCAGAGTTCTGAGAATCCCTGTCCTTCTTCCAGGAATTTTCATGAATATTCCACCCCTTGGTTGAAGAAACCAGGAAAGGTGGCAGCACCAAACCCCCTTGCACCTGCCTCTCTCTTGAGTTCCCCTGCACTCCCTTTACTTGAGTGTGTACTTTTCCTTTTACAATAAATCTCCGTCCTTCCTCTATTTTCCTACTGGTCTTCGAATTCACTTCCCCAAGCGCTGCCAAGAGCCCCGCACCGGCTGGGGTCGCGGTCCAACCGGCGTTTAGGGACCTCCCCTTGCCCACTGGCATCAGAAGAAGAATGCAAATGGCAGTGAGCCCAGGAAAAGGGGCTCAGTGTCCACAGACCTCAGGGAAATGCCAACCGCACCCACAAGGCGACGCCTCACCCCGCTAGAATGGGTGACCCCAAACACTGTGAGGCTGGAGGGGGTGGGGCCTGCGTTCCTTACAAGGCAGAGAGCAGGAGACTGAGAGTTGGTGGAGTGTAGGGCTGTTCCTGTGTCATCCTCTTCCCGTTTTCCTGGCGGAGGTTTCTCTTTGTTCTCTGGCCCTCCCTGCTTCCTTCCTCTCCCTTTCTCTGGTTCTCCCTCCCATCCTTCATTTCCAACCATCCCAAGGTTTTCTCCGCCCCACGACATGCATGCTCCGGGTCCCCAGCCCAGCGTAGAAACCAGGAGCCCTGGACCGCGAGCGGCGGGATCCGGGAGGCGACAACCTGACGCCCCTGCCGGACCCTGGACACTCAGGACCTAGTGCGTCCCGGCGCCCTCCTGTAGCGGCCCCAGGGCAAGGAGGATGGGGGTCCTCGCGGGGCCCACACTGTCGGAGCCCCACAGATTCGAGTGGGACGGTGAGGTCTACACACTGAGCCGGTGACAAAGTCCCCGCGAGGATGAAGGAGGGACCTCGTGCTCCTCACCTCAACAGGCCCCGCATTTCCTTGATCCTTCTGACACGGGAACCAAGGGTCCCTTGCCGCGACCAGCGAGTCATCCCAGGTCTTCGAAAGGCCGTTTTTTTCCGGACGCTGTGGACCCGGAGGCCCGGGGGTATCGGCCGGCAGCGGCGCACCCACTCCGGGGTCTCCACAGGGCAGGACCTGGGTCCGGAGCTCGGGCGAAGCGGACGCCCTGGGCGGAGCCCGCAGAAGCCAGAATGGACGCGGAGGGGTCGAAACTGAAACCCCCAGGAGCGAACTTTCCCCCAAAGTCATCTGTGGTTGAAATCAGCAATCGCCTATAACATCCCCGGTGTGTCAACACCGTTTGGTAAATATCTAGAACCAGTGCCTCGTCACTGAGGCAGCCCCGCGCGCCCCTGCTTGGGTTCCGCGTCCCAGGACCCTCGGGGCCCACAACAGATCAGGCGAGCCCATCCGGTGACCCTCCCTGGGGCTCCGGCCCCACTCTTTCTTACTTCTTCACCTACATATTTTCACGTGTTTCAGGATCGAAACCATGAAAAGTCATGTGTGAAAGTCTCCCCCGCCCCTGCCTGCATCCAATCTCATTGGCCACAGCCCGGAATGAGACATGATTGGATTCTTTGAATCTTTCCAGGGAGTCTTTATGCCATTTCAAACGCATATGTATAGATATTCTTCATTCAGACTTGGATATTTTTTGCTCTTGATGAAACCTGTCTCCCTGTCCTTCAGTTTCCCCTCCCACTATAGTGGATGTTTCACCATCCTCTGCCCAAGCTGGGTCATCACAATCACAGACAAGAGTGTCGCCAGCATTGCCATCCGTGACATGAGATGCTTTAAAGGTGCATTAATTTGCACAGCAATTCTGTGTCTGCAAATCTATTCTACACAATTAAATTGAGATTCATGCAAGCACAGTTTCTGCAGCATTTAGTTTCTCTAAAAGTAACTGACTGGAGACCATCTGGATCTTCAGACACAGACACTGGTAACATTTGTTGTGATGCAGTCATTCTATGTAATGTGCAGAGATAAAAAGGAAAAGAATCTGTATGTGCAGGTATTGGAAGATCTTGAAAATGTGTTATTTTGAGATAGAATCTGCGTTCAGCAGAGTGCCTATGGGCTTATATTTGTTTTAAAAATCAGCATTGATACATGTACACATCTCTACTGTTAGTAAAGAAAACAGTATTTCCATAACTTATTGCCAGTCTGTTTGTCCGTTTTAGGAAAAATCAATATAGCTGAAAAGCCATGGTGGCAGGAATTGGTCATCACCCGCCAACATTCTACACTGCCCTACACATCGTCCCAGCTGAGGTTGCCGGAGGAACAGGATGTGGAATGCAGTCACGTTTCAGTGAAGAACCTGAAGTCAAACTGGACCAAGTGTCTTGTCTTGATCTCTGCCTCTTCACCCAACCCCCACCTGGTCAGGCAGTGACCCTGGAGGAGCTGGGACCATGCTTTGTGGGCAGTGAAGATGGGGAGCCAATTTTGGGAGCATGGTGAACATGGAGAGTCGGGACCCCACAGCAACTGGGGAGGAGCTGGTGTGATGCTGGGAGCACTGGGAAGACAGGGAGCCTAGGCACAGCACTTACTGCTCCTCCAATCTGGGACAGGATTGGGGTGGGTGATGAGAAAAGTTTCCTGAGTAGCACAGTTCCCAAGCCTGGCAGAATGGCTGGCCCCGGTTGCCACTATGCCCAGCCCATCCTACACTTTATATTCTGTCAACAGCAATTTTTAAAACACTGTATCCAGAACATAGACAAAGATAACCAACCACATGGGGAGATAAGATAGCAACAACAAGAACCAGCTGAAATGTGCAACAGAGACAGAAAATACATGGAACCTCTAGATCAGTCCTCTGATAGAAATATAATGCAAGCCACAAGTGTGAGCCACACAGGGAATTTTAAATATTCTAGTGAACACACTGAAAAAAATAAAAAGAAACAGGTGAAATATATTTTTACAACATTTTTAACTCAATATGTTTTAACTAAATTTTTTTAACCAAAATGATTATTTCAACATGTCATCAATGGAAAAATGAATAATGAGACATTTGACATTTTCATACTAAACCTTTGGAATTTGGTGTGCACCATATACTGACAGTACTTCTCAATTTAAACTAGTTGTATTGCAAGCTCTTAATAGCCTCATGTAGCTAGTAACTGCTGGGTTAGACTTTGCAGCTTTAGATTTTAGAATGATCTTGCCGGGGGCGGTAGCTCACCCCTGTAATCCCAGCACTTTGGGAGGCCAAGGTGGGTGGATCACCTGAGGTCGGGAGGTCGAGACCATCCTGACCAACCTGGTGAAACCTCTTCTCTATTAAAAATACGAAAATTAGCTGGGTATGGTGGTGCGCGCCTATAGTCCCGGCTACTCAGGAGGCTGAGGCACAAGAATCAATTGAACCCAGGAAGTGGAGGTTGCAGTGAGCCGAGATCATGCCACTGTAATTCTGCGCTAACCAGCGAGTGAGACTCTGTCTCAAAAAAAAAAAAAAAAATTAGAATTATCAGGCACGGACTTAAAAATAAATTTTCCTGGTTTTCTTGCTCTGTTGTTGCTATGGCATGTGGTGCCTGCCAGTTACAGCTAAACAGTCAGTTTTGCTGTTTCTAGGCAGGAAAATGCTCGCATCACAAGTAAATGTCCAGGCATCCCAGGAGGTTTCTCTGGTAATGTATATTTTCATTAGTCAATTCCAGTCTTAAAGGTACAATTCTCCTGACTTTTTAACGTTTTCCTAGGGTGCCATCCTGTATGTGAAATCCAAAATTGATGATTTCTTCTCAAAGGCAGTGTTACCATAATTCACACCATTTAGATATATTATAAAAAAGTGTTTAAATCTATTTAACATTGTTCATTAAGCTTCTGTCAGAATCATAAAAACATCTTGTCATGCCTGATTAATTCAACTGAGTTCAGTTTTGAAACAGCACTGCTGTTCTACAATGTGCTATTTATTGTTTAAGCCTAGAATTCATTAGTGTTTCCAATAACTGAAAGGGATGGAGTATTTTACTAAGATATCTGTCATAAATTGTAATAAATTTAAGACAGTGGGCCGGTTTTATGAAATCTATAAAATACAGAAATGATAGGAAGTAAAAATGAATTTAATATAGTTCTAGCCCTCATTTTGTCTAAAAGCCAATGTTCAGTGAAAACATTGTTGTTTTTCTCTCCTGCAAACCTGAAGCAAGTAATGCTAGAAATGTGATTTTCTACAGAACTGACAGGTTGGTAAGATGATGCATGACTGAAGTAATATCATTCAACTATTTAACATTTATAGCCTGGGAACATGCCTTATAATACGGCCAAATGCCTACAAGTTTCAATATACTCCTAAAGATAAGAGACTTTAAGCTCCTATGTTCACAAAGGAGTATTGTCTGTAAATTATGTCTCAGTAAGTTTAATATTTATGAAAGGTGGTAGGAGAGAAGACTAACAGTAGCTGAATAAGAGAAAAACAATAAGCTTGTCTGATCTACAAGTGCATCTATGAAAAGGTAGGTTAAACTAGAAACCATTCTCCACCTCCTTGAGACTGTGACTAACAGCCTGGAACAGTACAAATCCACTGGATGAAGACAGGAAAGAAGCTCAGGCTTCTGGCTCCCTCACCCATATTACCCCAGAGAAACAATGGAAGGAAGAAGGAAACACTTGGCCAACAGACTACACAACAGCAACCCTGGTTGCAAGATAACAACGGAGTATTCTTTCTAAAATATGAAGGAAAAGAACTTGAGCTTAGAATTTTTTATCCAGTCAAATTCTCATTTAAATAGGAAGGTATCTTTTCTGTTGCAGCCATAACAAATTGCCACATACTTACCTGCTTAAATCAGTACATCTTTATTATTTCACAGTCCTCTAGGTTGCAAGTCTGAGATGGCTTGATTGGTTTCTCTGCTCCCAGTTCCTCAAGGTCAAGGTCAAGGTGTCCACCTGCTGGGCTCTGGTTGGGAGGTTCTGGGAAGCATCTGCTTCCAAGTGCACTCAGGTTGATGGCAGAATCCAGTCCTTGGACCTGTGGGACTAAGGTCCCAGCTTCCCTGCTGGCTGTCAGCTGCAGCCCTTCCCTAACTCCCAGAGGCCCCTCTCCAGTCTTGCTCATGGCCCCCACATCTCAGAGCCAGCAACAGTGCATGAAATCCTTCTCATGCTTAGAATCTGTCTGACATTGGACGCATCTTTCTTGGCTCCAGCCTGAGAAAATTCTCTGCTTTTTAGAGCTCATGTGATGGCACTGGGCCCACTCAGAGAATCCAGGAAAATCTCTCTATTTTAAGGTTAACTGATGAGTAGCTTTAATTATGACTGTGCAGAGCCTAGACTAGCGGTACCTAGACTCTCAGTACCTAGACTAGCGGTGCCTAGACTAGGAGCAGCTGGTTTCTCTAGGCCCCTCACCCCTTACTCTCTCCATCCCCTTCTTCCTGGCCCCCCTTTTCTTTCCCGTTTGCATTCCCACTTTCATACTCCTTCCTTCCTTGCTTAAAATACTGGATTTTCCTGCGGCTGGTATGCTCCATGCTCAATGAAACAGGCTAAGACAGTGGTTAGTTGTCCTATCATCAGTGTTTTCTATAACATATCGTTCTAGAAAAGGTACAGGAAACTTGAAGGGGCAGCTTCCAAATCCTACCCACTGCAGTGTATTAGAAATATTCGAAATTATAGAAAACCTGAAGGATATTTGCCTCCTAAAGATCCAAGTTGGAAATAGTTCAGAGGAAGGTACCTCAACAGCAAGAGAAACACAGGAGATGCGACAAGAGAACCAAGGAGGACAAGTGACCAAGGAATCCATTCCAGATTACTGTTATCTCACAACAAGGGGAAATGTGAAGTTAGGATCACAGAAACAAGGAAGTGTAGCTAAGAATAACCGAGAATTACAGCTAGGAAAATTATCAGGAAAATGGGGCTGGAGGTGGCACGTGAAAGGGATAGGAAAACATGCTGAGACTTCTAAAATTAGGAATAAAACAAAACCAATAATACCAATAAATGTGAATACATATTGGTATGAGTCATAGGTTAAGGGCAGCCACCCTGAGAAGAAAACTAGAATGTATAACTTTTAAACCAACAGAAAAGAACCCTCAGTATACTAAATGGAACACAGCTACGGAGGGGAAATGCCAGCATTAAAAAACACAATAAATACATGTGCACCAGGCACAGTGGCTCACGCCTGTAATCCCTGCACTTTGGGAGGCCGAGGTGGGAGGATCGCTTGAGCTCAGGAGTTCAAGACCACCCTTTGCAATATAGGCAGACCCCATCTCTACAAACAAATACAGAAAATTAGCCCAGTGGGTGGCGCATGCTTGTAGTCCTGGCTACTCGGAGGCTGAGGCAGTAAGATGGCCTGAGCCCAGGAGTTAGAGGCTGCAGTGAGCTATGACCACGCCATTGCACTCCAGCCTGGACAACAGAGAGAGCTAGTATCAAAAAAAAAATAAAAAATAAAAAAATGGCATAGCTAAATCCTAAACAGTAATAATTAACAATAAACGTGAATTACTAAACTCATCACATAAATCAGCGAAACTCCCAGGTTGGATTTTAAAATATCGAATAATATACAGTATTTTAAAAAGGCAATGTTAAATGTAAAGATTAAAAATAAAAGGTGCTGTATCTGCCAAGAAAGGCTACTTTGTTTTTTTGTATTTGTTTCTTTTAGCGACTACAATATGCTTTATAGTTCTTGGAAAGGACTCAGGGTTTGGCTTTAAATCAGGCTGCACGCTCTTCATCAGTCTCACATCTCTCTCCCCATGCCAGGCTGGCTCCAGCCTGCAATGCTGCATTACATTCCAGGGAGACATTCAGGAGCTTACAGAAGCCTCCCCTCCTCCTGGCCTCCCTGCAGTCCAAGAACCCCCATGACCCCTGTTTAGGGTCCAGCCTGGAACTCACCGACCCGACCCACCCTGGACCATCCTGGCACCAGGAACAGAAGCTGGATGCAGACACCCAACTCTGTGCCAGCACCTGTGCCACTGGGGACCTGGAGCCCAGGGCGTGACACACCCGGAGGAAACAGAGGGCCCCCACGTGAGTCACCGAGGCTCTCGATGCTGTCACAGCTCCAGTGGCCCCGCCCCGCCCACTTGCAACTCCAGGCCCTGGGGCTGGAAATACTTGGATCCTGGCTCCCTCTCAGACCCTAACCCTTCTTTTCTCCTTCACTTTCCTCCTGGCCCCCTTATCTTTTCCCAATGCCATTCCTGCTTTCAGACTCATTCCTTTTTTGCTTAAATACAAGATTTTCGGCTAGGGCGTAGTGGCTCACAGCTTTAATCCCAACACTTTCCGAGGCCAAGGCTGGCGGATCATGAGGTCAGGAGTTCGAGACCAGCCTGGCCAACATAGTGAAACCCCGTCTCTACTAAAAATAAAAATAAAAATAATTAGCCAGGTGTGGTGGTAGGTGTTTGTAATCCTAGCTACTGAGAAGGCTGAGGCAGGAGAATCACTTGAACCAAGGAGGTGGAGGTTGCAGTGAACGAAGATTGTGCCACTGCATACCAGCCCGGGCAACAGTACAAGATTCCGTCAAAAATAATAAAATAATAATAATAATAATAATGACAACAACAATAACAAAGGCAAGATTTTCCTGGCCATGGTGCGCCCTAGGCTCAGTCAAACCATATGAAGACAGCAGTTTGCTGTCCATCATCACACTATGTTTTCTAGAAGTTTCTATCCTGATGAAGCACCCCAGACTGGTTGAAAACCAAAGTTACTCTTCCTTGGAAAATCTTTGTGGACACCCAGGTGGGCATACAAATTTCCAAGTTGTGGCCGGGAGCAGTGGCTCACACCTGTAATCCCAGCACTTTGAGAGGCCAAGGCAGGTGGATCACCTGAGGCCAGGAGATCGAGACCAGCCTGGCCAACATGGTGAGACCCTGTCTCTACTAAAATTGCAAAAATTAGCCAGGCACAGTGGCAGGCACCTATAATCCCAGCTACTTGGGAGGCTGAGGCAGGAGAATCACTTGAATCCAGGAGCCGGAGGTTGCACTGAGCTGAGATCATCCCACTGAACTCCAGCTTGAGCAATAGAGCAAGACTTCGCCTCAAAAAAAAAAAAGTAGGGACATGGATGAAGCTGGAAACCATCATTCTCAGCAAACTATCCCAAGGACAAAAAACCAAACACCGCATGTTCTCACTCATAGATGGGAATTGAACAATGACAACACTTGGACACAGGAAGGGGAACATCACACACCAGGGCCTGTTGCGGGGTAGGGGGAGGGGGAAGGGATAGCATTAGGAGATATACCTAATGTAAATGACCAGTTAATGGGTGCAGCACACCAACATGGCACATGTATACATATGTAATAAACCTGCATGTTGTGCACATGTACCCTAGAACTTAAAGTATAATTAAAAAAAAAAAACTAAAACACGAAAAATGGGCAAAAAAATTTTACCAACCTCAATGCTGCCACCTTCAGGCCCCTGGAGGTTACATCCTCCGCTCCAGCTCCCCTCTGCACCTGTGCTATTCCTCCCAGCCCCACTCACTCCCACAACTGTCTCATTCATTCACTGGTTCACTCAGCCTCCAACCACACTTACATCATGTCAGGCTCACCAGGTGATGGAGAAAAAAATCATCCTCTGTGGGTCTGAAAAACATGCCTGAGTCCTGATTGCGGGTCTCGCTTTCATTTCCACCCCCTCACAGCACACTCAGGGCCATGAAGAGGCCGCGGCCTGGGTTCAGAGCTCCAGCTCTCCTCAGGGTGGGCCTGGCAGTTGCTGACTTCAGGGAGGGCGGCAGGGCTCACAACTGAAATAGGAGACCTGCCCTGGGTCCTTAGCATGTGCAAGGACAGGGTTCCTTGTAGAATCTGCTCATTTCATCTGTGTTCATAGCATTTGTCATTTTCCACATGCGGACATCCATGCCCAGAAAGCTGAAGAACCTTGCACAGGAATATTCAGCTGCAATATCAGCTGACTTCCATGTCTGAATGCATGATCTCTAAATCACAGCCATTACAGTCACTTTTGGGCCACTTCTATGCCCATCCTGGGCTGGCCTGAGTGTGGTGGCCAAATGCCGGCAGCAGGGGTGAGGCAGGAGGGCCCAGGTGTGCACAGAGGCCCCTTCTCCTCTCACCTGGCTATCCTGCTGGAGGCTCTCCTGCTGGCCTCCTTCTGCCTTCCTCCTGTTCCCCCAGTCACTGGCCCAGGTCACCCAGCCTCACGAGTGGTGCTGCCAGGGTCTTCCCAGTGGCCTACTTCCAGGACTAACCCGGGTTCCTTGTCCCCAGCCCTATGCATGGGAGGCTCTTCTCACAACACAGATCCCCAGACCCACCAAGCTATGCCCCTCCGAAGTCTGAGAACTGCTCACCCCCGTGTGTCTGTTGGCCTGCAGACCGCTCTCCATGTGGCCCTTCCTGGACAGTGGCTTTAGTGCATCAGGCGAGAACCTTCTAGGCTCCTGTGTCCCTGCTCAGTCACAGAGGTGGCTGCCCTCCCATGACCCTGTCCTGAAGCAGAGACAGGCCCTGGGCTTGGTCCAGGCCTCCTCCTCTTTCCCACAGCCTCAGGACCCTAGGGATTGCTGGTCACCAGGTGAAGTTCTCCCCACATGAAGACTCATTCAATGGAGAACGGGCTGAGTGGCCGGGGGTAGAGTGGGCTCAGCTCTGCCCACTCCTCACCCCAGGCTAAGCCCTCCCTTGCCACCAGAGGCCACTGGGCTCCCCACCTCCCTCTGGCTTCTGTCCATAGATCTAGATGGTTCCATGGTGACTCAGAGGAGGACGCACTCGAGTGTCCCCTTTGAGGATGGTTACAGGGACCATCCAGGGACTGAGCCGAGGTGCGGATACAGCCATGGATTTGGGTGTGGTTGGACATAGATGGGAGTGCAGCAAAGTGAGCCCCACCCATGCGTAGACCCCTACTATCGGGTTCTGCTCTCCATGGAAACACAATTGATCACATGATGGTTGATCACAGTAGGCCTCTAGGGCTTTCTTTTCTTTTTTTTCCAAAAGTCATAAAGGGATATAGAATATACTCAAAGACCTCCTCATGCTTTTAGTGGAGAGGCAAAGAAGGTCCGCTTTGGACTGGGGAGGCGGCTGCGCGCTGGACAGAGAGGGTCGGGGACTCCGCGACGCAGGCGGAGGGAGGGGGTGTGTCGCTGGCGCAGGCGGTGACGGGGTCACCGCCGCCACTGTATATTCCTGTTAAGTTTCTTCACCTTCCTGTGCATCAGTGTTTACATTGGGGTAATGATAAATGCTGTGTTGAAAAATTAAACGAGGCAGTCATGGAAGGCACCGTGTCCTGCCCCGCGCGGAGCCCGGTGACGCCGCCACCAAGCCGCGGGGCCGAGGTGGAGGGGGAGGGTTCGCCCGCCGGGGCCGCTGTCACGTGACGAGCCCCGGAGCAGGGCGGGGTGGAGCATGCCCAAACAAGGCAGCCGTCGGATCACGCCCCTTGGATCCCAGCCTGCGGCGGGGCGGAACGGGGCTGGACGGGGCGGAGCGGTCCAATTCACTAGCCTGAATGTGAGGCACCAGGCGATTCCTCCGCCCATATCCGCCTCGACCCCGACTCCCGTCCCCTGTGCCCCAGGTCCCCAATGGCAGCGGCCGCTTGCCCCGCGTTTCTTCTGTGCTTCCCGCTTCTGCTACTGCTGTCCGGCTGGTCCGGGTCAGGGCGGGCCGGTGAGTTCGGGGATGGAGCCTAATCGGGGGCTGGAGCCTAATCGGGGGCTGGGGCCAAACTTGGCGGGCTGTGGACTGCAGCGTGTTTCAGAGGAAGGAAAGCTTCTAGAAGGACCGGCGCGATCTCCCCGAGCATCGGCCCCCCCGCCCCCGGAGTTCCCCGCTGCGGCTCCTTTACGCTGGGTCCGCTTCCTGCGGCTGCAGCTTGCACTGCAGACCAGGAGGGTTTTTAAAGAGCGCGGAAAAGGCACCACAGGAGGGTGGAGGGGCCAACGGGCTGCAGAGGGCAGGGTGGAGCGGGGATCCCTGATGCAGCTCCGCAGCCCTACTCGCCCTCGGGAAGAAGAAACCAGAGCCCCCGAAACCCTAGCTGGGGTCAGGACAGGGGTGAAGCGGGGTTCCACAGGGATGCGATCACAAACTCCCCCACCAACCACAGAAATGCTCTGCTCTCACCCGCTCTCCACCCTCCAGCACCTGTAGGGCTCCGCCCTGGAACTTCCCCTGCAATTTGCTGCAGACACTCACCTGCACCCAGGGGCTCACCAGACACTTCCCACCATTCACCACTTCCTCACCATTCACTTCTGCTACTCAGGTCTCATTCTTTCACTCCCCATCTCAGCCCAGCCCTGTCACCCCACAGGCCTCCCTCACCTCCCCATCCATGAAGGGGCCCTTAGCACCTCCCCACACCAACTAGCACCTTGTCCCCTTTTGCCTGAGGGCACACCCCAGCAAACACACCCCAGGCTTTCTACAGAACTTAATGCAGGGGGGACGGGAAATCCCATTTCCCTCAGGATGACCCTGGGAGCGCCCGTGAGTAGAGGTGCCCACTTCTGCCCTTGGGTCCCAGACCCGCCTGTTCTTCCTACTGGGGAGCCAGGGTCATATAGAATAGTCACTACGCAGACAGGAGTCAGCAAACCCTTTCTAGAAAGAAAAGGCTGAAGTCACTTTGGTCCTTGCTGGCCGTGAGTTCTCTGTCTGTGTGTCAAGTCCTGTCCCTTTGTAGAGCAACAGCAGGCAATGGTAACCTGCAAGTAAAAGGGAGAGCAGATGTGGACCCTGTCCTAGGTTGCTGACCCCAGATGAGGGCACATGCTGTGTCCTGGCAATTGCTGCCCCATCCCCTAGGGTGTCATCTCCAAGTTGTGTAAGTTGAAGAGTCACAAGTGTGTCCTACCCTGCCTGTGGCTTCTGGGTGGTGTGGATGTGATGGATGTGAATGGAGGTTCCATGGGTCCAGGCCTACTGCCCCCATCCTTTGCTGCTGGGTGGCATCATCGGTACCTCAAGGCAATCAGGGACCCTCCCTGAAGCCTCAGGTGTGAGCTGAGGGTGAGGCGGTACAGCCACATGGTGTCCTGGGGATCGGGGCCAACTGCCTGTGCAGCTTCTTGGTTCCCTGTGGCCCTGCTCCTGCCCATCCCAGGAGACCCACCTGTGTCTTCTCACTGTGGGGCCTATCTTCCTAATGACCTAAAGGGTGAGGAGCCCACCCTGTGATGGGCAGCTCTGAGGCTGTGTGGTCACTGCCCTCCCATAGCTGGAGGCCCATCTCCACAGGGGCCCAGGACCACAGCAGGAGCCACTTTTAAATGAGGGGATTTCACTGCTGTGAGTGGCACAGCCTTGCTTCTGAGCACTAGGGGATCCTGTTGTGATTCTGCGGTTGGCAATTGCCATGAAATCCACATAGCACCTTTTCCAACCACACATGCCTCTGGGATCTTAGGGAGTCCAGGGTCAAATAGCCATATTGGTAGGTCCAGCGTCACGCCTCATCACAGAGTGTGTATGGCTGCATCCCAGCTACAAGAGCAGAGTTGAGTAGTGACAGGGGAGGTCATATGACCAGCACAACCTATAATAGATACTACATTAACTACAAACACTATCCATTCCCGGTAGAAATCCAGGAAATGTGAAATTACCATCGAATGGGTCTATGAACCCAGCACATCCCCCTAAGCTGGACCTGACACAGGTGTCCATCCGTTACTTTGCCCCAAATGCACCTCATGAGTAACAGGAAGTTAATGCTTCAGATCTCTGAAAGGAGGTTGGATCACACACTGTGTCCACCAGAAGTGTCTGGGTATTTGCTGTTTCATGGTGTACAGTTACCAGAGTGAATGCCCATCTGGCTCTCTGGGGGAGGCTGAAGGAGTCATTGCAGTTGCTGTGGTGTTGAAGGGGCCCACCAGGGCCTCTGGGCTCTCCTTCTAGTAATGGACTCTGGGTCTGAGATGTGACTCAGTTCTCAAAGCTGGGCAAAGGAGCTCGGTTATTTCCTGGGGTGACTCCTTTCAGCCTCCAGGTCATCCATCCTTGTGTTTTGTCTTTGTTTGTTGTAGTTATTTAAATCTAGCAGCATCCGGGTTGAGTTTCCATCTCTTTTGGATTCTTGACCCCTTTGTTCTATGAGCCATGGGCACACCTTTGTATGACTGAGGTCCCCACCTGGCATTGTGACTTCTCTAATTATTTCCATCTTTGCCCCCTCCTTCCTCCTGACAGTTGACGGCCTCCACTTGAGATCTCTTATTTCAGGATTTTCCATCCCCATTACTACTGGGAGCCCGTTTCAGGAACAGCATTTCCTACCCTCAACCCCAGCCTTCAGCAACAGGCATCCCTGGGCTTCCTGATAGACTGCTGCCTTCTCCTGGGGCCTTCTTTGTATGCTGGGTAATCAGGAGTCCTCCAGGCTTCCCATGAGCACAGAGGATGGACATTGTTCTGGATTTTCGTACTGCAGCCACTCTGGCATGGGTGCTTCTCTGAGCCTTTTGGCTCTTTCCTCTACACCCTGACTTAGAAGTTCTGGATTTTCCACTTCTTGCCCTGTGAACCATCCCTTTACAAGGTTCCAGGAATGCATCTTCAAAGCAGATGGGTGTCATCGCCGGGCTTTGCCAAAGTGTTAAATCATGTGACCCATGACAATAATCACTTGCTTATCTAAACTGAATTCTGCCCTCACCCCACCCACTGTGCTGGAGCATCCCAGGGCAGCCCCCACACCCTCTCCCACCTCCTGCAGTCCACATGGGCTGCTGCTGAGGGTCCTCCTCATCCAGGCCTTTTCCTGCCACAACAGGCCTGGCACCTCCACCACAAGGTCATGTGCTGACTGATGTTGGCACAGGGCAGGTGAGACATGTCTGGAGGGGACATGTGGTTTCATGGCTGCAGGAACCTTCCCCTCCATGTACTCAAGCAAGGGAGATGCTCTAGTCTTTAATTAGTTGACATGACAGGCTTGGCTGGGGCACATCTTGCTCTGCCAGCCCAGCCCCTCAGAGGCCTTCATTTGCAGTCACCATAAGGGGGAGGAGGGGTCTCAGATTCCACTTTCCTCCACACCAACCCTCTCCTGTGTTTTTCTTCCACAGACACACACTGTCTTTGCTATGACTTCATCATCACTCCTAAGTTCAGACCTGAACCACGATGGTGTGAAGTTCAAGGCCTGGTGGATGAAAGGCCTTTTCTTCACTATGACTGTGTTAACCACAAGGCCAAAGCCTTTGCTTCTCTGCGGAAGAAAGTAAATGTCACAAAAACCTGGGAAGAACAAACTGAAACACTAAGAGATTTCTCCCTTCTCTCCCACACAAGCACACTAAGACAAACTGAAACACTAAGAGATGTGGGGGATTTCCTCAAAGGGCAACTGCCTGACATTGAAATGGAGAATGTAATACCCATCGGTAAGTTTAAAATAGTCCAGGACAGCAGAGAGCAGACACAGTAGTGTCTTAGAGGCATTTATTGGTTTCCTGTAAAAAATAAATCAGAAGTTTGTGTCACCCAAGAGGTTGAGGAGCATGGGCCGGATGCAGCAGAGAGAGCAAGTCCAGGAGCCAGGAAAGGAAGCAGGGTGGGGCTCAGGATTTGTCAAGATCAGAGCTGATCTCTTTGCAATAGGGCAGAGCCCCTCATTCTGCAGGCCAGGATGTCTTGTGAGCATGAAGCCCACGGACACGGCAGAGGATCTTGGCAGTTCCTCTTCAATGGACAGACTTTCCTCCTCTTTGACTCAAACAACAGAAAGTAGACAGCACTTCATCCTGGAGCCAAGAAGATGACAGAGAAGTGGGAGAAGAACAAGGAGGTGACCGTGTTCTTCCATAACATTTCAATGGGGGATTGTAAGACATGGCTTGAAGACTTTTTGATATACTGGGAACAAATGCTGGATCCAACAAGTAAGTGAGAGGTGAAAAAAGGCAGCTCTCTTGAGTTCAGATCTTATCAGCCCGTTGTGTGAGTGTGTGTGTGTGTGTGTGTGCGTGTGCGTGTTTAAGTGAGTGTGAACATGACCCCCTCATGGGGGGCTCCTCCTGGGGGTGCTGGCATACCTATGCTCTCCATCCTCCTCTCCCTTCTTCCCCCGACTCCTCTTCCTCACTGCACCTGCTTCTGCTCAACCCACTGTGCATTTCTCACCAGCCTCAAATCTGTGGGTGTCATAGTGTTTCTAGACCTTTTTCATTAGTGTTCCTTCCTCCTAGAATCACTTTTCCTTTCCTCTCCCCCTGTCTGTGTCTGTATATCCATCGAAACCACCTAGAATGCCAGCCCCGAGACCCTCCCCTCCCTGGCCCTGGGGCATCATCTCCTCTTCCGCCACAGCAGGAGGGTGGGCTGTGCTGTCACCTTGCTTCCCTCAGCAGCTGTGTGAGCTCCCTGAGGACAGGGGACACCCCCCTCCCTTCCCAACCCAGGAACGGTCACAGCAGCTTCCTCACAGCATTGTGGGACAAAAGCTCTTCCAGGATGAGTTGAGGGGGGCAGGAGCTGAGGAGGCATCCCCTAAGATTTGGGGCCTGGACGAGGGTTGTCACTCCTGTGTTTCCATTTCAGAACCACCCTCTCTGACCCCAGGCACAACCCAACCCAAAGCCATGGCCAGCACCCTCAGTCCCTGGAGCCTCCTCATCATCCTCTGCTTTATCCTCCCTGGCATCTGAGGAGAGTTCTTTAGAGTGACAGGTAATGTGGGCAATATTGGGAGGGGAGCAAGAGGCAGATGGGTGAGGTGGGAGGATGCAGAAGGAGAATTCCCAGAGTCCCACCCATCCCCATGGCTGGGACCTTCTCATCCTGACATGAGACAGATGAATGAGACCTAGTGTCACCTACTGGCAATGACCTGGGTAGCTCAGCCCTGAGTTCTGATGGATTCTCACTGTCAGAACCAGAGGGAAAGGGAGGGGCCCATACCAAGGCTCAAGGCCTGTTGAGCTTGAGAGAGTTTAGCCATTTCAGGCCTGTTTCAGAGCAGGTTCCTATTCGGGAAGGGTAGTGGTGTGTGGCCTGCAGGCAGCAGGAACTCAGGCATGGGCAGTCTGCACAGTAGGAGAGGAGCAGCATGGCTGCTTCACCAAGGATGTCAAGGGAAAGGGCGTCCCTGGAGGAGGCTAAGAAGAGAGTGATCTGGGAGAATCCCAGGATGAGGGAGCTGTGAGGGCCTTGGCCCACCCAGTTCCTAAGGCTGCATTCCCAGAGAAAGCAGCTCGGGTCCCAGCAGTTAAGGTGGAAGGTGAAGAGTAGAGCGTGTCCAGGGTGAGATTTAGGAAAAGGCCAGGCCCCTTGGACCCATGGGAGTCCTTGCTGGGCCCTGGGGCGATGCCCCTGCCATTCCGCCTCTTGCACACTCCAGATCCTGAGCCAGCTGATGGCCCTGCCTGGAGCAGAGTGGACTCAGGCAGGGGAGCTAAGCTGCTGTTGGAGTTCCATGCTCACCACTGAGCTTGGCCAGGAATGAATGGGGCAGGGCAAGGACAGTCCCATTCAGAGCTATGGGTGCAGCTCCCAGGGTGAGGAAAGGCTGAGAGTGAAGGGAAAAGAAGGTGGTTTGTCTACAAGCCCACCTAAGGCCAGGGAACATGGATCCAGAGACCTCTCTTTGGACAGGGCTCCCCCAGGTCCTCTAGACCCTTCTATGAGAGGGTGGAGCAGTCCCTGAGTGAGCGTGCAGACCCCTCATTCCCAGCCTCAAGGAGGGTGGAGGCTGGAACAGGGTACAGAGCCAGGGGTAGGGTTGGAGGGAAAAACATGTTCCTTATTTGGGGGAGAGGCTCCAAAATGGGGAGGGTCTGGGAGGGATCACCCAGGAGAACAGACCCAGGTTTTTCTCAGCCACTTAAACCAACACATCATCTTTCCTCAAGGTGGAAGGTGATATCAAGAAGCCTCTGTTAGCCTGGTCTGGGTCCTGCTCTCCCTTCAGGGAGGCCGCCTGTCTACTCACCACTGTGCCTTTCTGGAAAGCAGGAGTTCAAGCCTTAGCAAGCCCAGAGGCCCCCAGCAGATGATGAGGACATTGTCGGCTCAACATCTCAGGCCACTCATTACCTTCGCTCATGATCCCAGCAGCCATTTTTCTTAACACCTTCTGCCACTTTCTCTCGGTGCTAATGGATGGAACTCCTGCACAAGTTTTAACTGAACAAGAAATCCCAGCAAAAAAGCATTTTCTTTCTACTTTTTTGATTGTGGAAAAGCAGACACTTCTCTGAAGCATGACCTTATTCTTCCAAACAGTATCGCTTATTCTTCCAGTGCATGCTGGACTTCAGACCTCAGGGATCCTTTCGATGCACTGACCAAGAATTGTATTAATTTTTTTTATTTTTATGGTTTTTTACATTTTCTCATCCTGTCAACCATACTGGAGTGAAGTGGCATAGTCTTCACTCACTGTAATCTCCAGCTCCTGGGCTCAAGTGATCCTCTAGACTCAGCCTCTAGAAATAGCTGGGACTACAAGCGCATGCCACCATGCCCGGCACATTGTTTTATTTTTAGGTAGAGATTGGGTCTTCCTATGTTGCTCAGGCTAGTCTTCAACTCCTGGCCTCAAGCAATCCTCCCACCTTGGCCTCCCAATGCTCTGGGATTACAGGCATGAACCACAGTGCCTGTTGTAGAAATTTTAAATTATTTAATACGGAAAAGTATTACATTCATGATTATTTTATTTAGTAATTTATTAGCCTAGATTTATAGTTAAATAAAGATGTCTATTTTCAAAGAACCTTATTGACTTTGGAATTTTGGTTTATAACCCAGTAGAGAATTAATGGAATTTCATTATTCTGCCATGTTGTTTTTAGTAATACAACTAGGGATGCTGCTAGATATCTTTTGGAAACAGAGACTTTAAAGATCACTCTTAATTTACAAGCAGGCTGGCTGTCAGTCTATTTACAAGCAGCCTGGCTGTCAGTCTTCACTACTGTCCTGATGCCCTGGGGGCTGGCAGATATTCCTGCCTCTATCCCTGCTTCCAGAATGTGATGCTTTCTGGTTTGGCCCCAGCCCACTCCACGCTCGGCAGTGGCTTTTCTCATCATTCTTCAGCCCTGACCACGCTCACTTCTAGTAGAAGAAATCCTCACCACAGATGCATCTCTATTTGTAAAAGTTATTCTATTCCCCCACAGATGAAAGATCAGGAGCAAACTATATAAAGAACTCCTAGAAATTAATAAAGTGCACCTAATTCTTGAGCAAATGCTCTGAGCAGTTCAGAGATGCTGAAGAAACCTGTGAAAGCTTTCATAGCTCTGACACAATCAAGAGAACAGTGGTCTACCCCTGCACACCCACCCTACTGATAATTTTTTAAATCTGTCTCTACCAATTGGTGGACAGGAAATGGAATATCAGAGACTTCTTACATTGTAGGTAGGAGTCCAGATTGAATCACTACTTTGACGTCTACTCAGGCAGTATCCAGGACAGCGGACGCTGTGCTCATCCCACTAACCAGCAATCCCAGAGTCAGTTCGGGGCTCCAAACGTTCCAGAGAGCATGGAGATACTAGACTGCTGACCGTGCTGTTCTTTGCCATAGCAAAGAGTTAGCAATGAAATATGCTAGTACAGTACAGGATGCTTTTCAATGCTGATGAAAGATTTCTCTTTTGCTCTACATCAGACTACAAAATCTGAACTGGCAAAAATGAACCAATCCAAATGCAGGATGAAAATGTTAAACTTTTCCAACATGTTAGTGAGGATTGCAGATTTACACGCAATAAAAATAATCACATCAATTTAGATCACTTTCCATATTTCCAAAAATATACAGATCTACCACTGGGACAAATAGAACACCATAACGTATATATTTAGGAAAATAAGGGGGTAGGAAATGCCCACATATATCAGCTCCCTGGTGATTAAAGACATTCTTAGAACAATTGCTGAACCCGGAGTGGCATCTGAGCATGAGGTGGTCGTAATGTCTGGAGTGAAATCTAATTTGGAGTTTGCACAGTGGTTATCTGGAGATTGTCCTGGTTTGCAAGGAAACCACAGTAAAGTATGGGGCATAAGGTGGCATCATTAAGATGGGGCATCAGTGTGACAGCTCACTCTTAAGTAGTGCAGGCAGAGAAGTTCTCCGTAATGTGCTTGCAACCACTCTGTTCATTCTGATTGTTTCATATTTCTTTTACTAGTTGAAGATAGAAATTGAAGAAAAACTTACTTTTCAGAAATTGATGTGAATACCTCCATAAATGGCTGCAGAGCTCCTCCCCTTCCTGCAAAGCCAGGGCCTCCAGGCATTTCCTTCTCATCCCTCAGCCTCAGGCAGCTTCTCCTGCCCCCTCCTCCTCTGCAGGCAGCCCCCAGGCCCCTCTAGAGAATGAAGCAGCTCAGGCCCAGAGTCCCTTCATCACCTAAATATATGGCCTAATCCAGATGAGACTCAGATCTGTGAAGGGTTGGATTTCCATGGGCACAGGAGCTGAGGGAGGGTTCTCCTTCCGCGTGGGGCTTGCTTTACCACACAGCCATCGATGGTCGCCCAGGCCTGAGTCTGCAGCTGTACCTCCTCTCCATTTGGTTCATCCATGTGGTCACTTCATTTAACCACAACTGAGGAATCCCCAGCAGATCCTCGTGTCAGTCACCACGGAGGCATCTAGACCTGTGGGCAGAAATATGAGGGACATGAAGAGCCCAGTGGCCCCTGGCTGGTGGGGAGGGCTTAGCCTGGGGTGAGGACTGGGCAGAGCCCCTGAGTCCCACTCTTCCCACAGCCGCTCAGCCCTTTCCCCATTAAATGACAAAAAGTAAGCACTGACCTCCCTCTCCACACAGTCTTCATGTGGGGATCACCTTCACCTGGTGGCCATCAATCCCTAGGGCCCTGAAGCTTTGGGAAAGAGGAGGAGGCCTGGACCAAGCCCAGGGCCTGTCTCTGCTTCCGGACAGGGGCATAGGATGGCAGCTACCTCTGTGACTGTGCAGGGACATAGGAGCCTAGAAGGTTCTCGCCTGATGCACTAGAGCCTCTGTCCAGGAGAGGCCACATGAAGGGTGGTCTGGAGAACAACAGACACACGGGGGTGGGCAGTTCTCAGACTTGGGAGGGGCAGAGCTTGGTGGGTCCCGGGATCTGTGTGTGAGAAGAGCCTCCCATGCATAGGGCTGAGGACAGGAGCCCGGGTTAGTCCTGGGAGGAGGCCAGTGGGAAAGGCCCTGGCAGCCCCCACCCCGAGGCTGGGTGACCTGGGCCAGTGACTGGGGGAACAGGAAGAAGACAAAAAGCTGGCAGGAGAGTCCTGGGCAGCACAGCCAGGTGACAGGAGGAGGGGCATCTCTGCACACCTGGGCCCTCCTGCCTCACCCCTGCTGCAGGCTCCTGGCCACCAGACTCAGGCCCACGGAAGCTGGGAATGGAAGCAGCCAGGTGACTGTAATGGCTATGATCTAGCAATTATGCACCTCCTCCAGCAACCACGGGGACCCAGGACACAGTTATCAGGAATCCAGAGTCCTTTTCAAACTCACAGAGGTTGGTTTTTCTCTCCTTCATCAAGTGAACCTGACATGATTTAAGGGTGGCTGGAGGCTGAGCAAGCAAGTGAATGAAAGAGACAGTTGTGGGAGTGAATGGGGCTCAGAGGAAAACCCCAGGTGCAGAAGGGGAGCTGGCGTGGAGGTTATAACCCCCAGAGGCCTGAAGGAGGCAGCAGGAAAATCCTAGCTGAAGAATAAGGCAAGACAAAAAAAGAAAAGGCATTCAAATAGGAAAAGAACAAGCCAAAGCACCTCCCTTTGCCATGATGTGATTCCATACATAGAAAACCCGAAAGACGGCTGGTCATGGTGGCTCACACCTGTAATCTCAGCGCTTTGGGAGGCCAAAGTGGGTGGATCACGAGGTCAGGAGTTTGAGACCAGCCTGGCCAATATTGTGAAACCCCATCTCTACTAAAAATACAAATAAATTAGCAGGGCGTGGTGGCGGGCAACTGTAATTCCAGCTACGTGGGAGACTGAGACAGGAGAATTGCTTGAACCCAGGAGGTGGAGGTTTGGAGTGAGCCGAGATCGCACCACTGCACTCCAGCCCGGGCAACAGTGCAAGACTCCATCTCAAAAAAAAAAAAAAAAAGAAAACCCGAAAGACTCTGTCAAAAGGCTCCTGGAACTGATGCATGAATTCAGTCAAGTTTCAGGATACCAAATCAATGTACACAATCAGTAGCATTCTTATGCACCAACAACATTCTAGCTGAGAATGAAAGCAAGAACACGATCTTATTTACAACAGCCACAAGGAAAGTGCAGTACCTAGTAGTTCATCTACCTGAAGAGATGAAAGATCTTTACAAGAGAACTACAAAACACTGCTGAAAAAAATCAGAGGCAACACAAATAAATGGAAAAAATATTTCATGCTCTTTGATTGGAAGAATCAATATAGCTAAAATGGCCACACTTCCCAAAACAATTTATATATGCAAAGCTATCTCTATTAAAATACCAATATTATTTTTCACAGAATTAGAAAAATCTATTCTAAAATTTGTTTAGAGCCAAAAAAAAAAGAAAGAAAGAAAGAAAAAAAGAAAGGAAGCTCGAACTGTCAAAATCCTAAGCAAAAAGGACAAAGCCAGAGGCATCACATTGTCAGACTTCAAACTATACTATAAGACTACAGTGACCAACACAGACCAACACTGGTACAAAAATAGACAGTTAGATGAGTGGAACAAAATAGAGAGCGCAGAAATAAACCTGCACACCTAAAGCCATCTAATCTTCAACAGAAATGAGTAATGGGGGAAAAACTCCCTATTCGACAAATAGTGCTGGGATATCTGGCCAGCCATATGCGGAAGAATGAAACTGAACCCCTACCTCTTCCCACATATGTAAAATAACTAGATATGGATGAAAGATTTGAATGTAAGTACCAAAACTGTAATAATCCCGGAATATAACCTAAGAAATACCAATGCGGACATAGGGCCTGGCAAAGATTTCATGAAGAAGACACTAAAAACAATTGCAACAAAAAAAATTAACAAATGGGGCCTCATTAAACTAAAGAGCTTCTGCACAGAAAAAGAAACTAGCAACACAGTAAACAGACAGCCTGTAGAATGGGGAAGACTATTTGCAAACTATGCATCTGACAAAGGTCCAATATCCAGAATCTACAAGGAACTTAATTCAACAAGCAAGAACAAAAAACCCAATTAAAAAATGGGCAAAGACATGAGCAGACACTTTTCAAAAGAAGACATACAAGTATCCAACAAACATGAAAAAGTGCTCAATATCATTAATCATCAGATAAGTGCAAATCAAAACTGCAATGAGTTACCATCTCTTACCAGTCACAAAGTCAGAGATGGTGGTGAGGCTGCAGAGAAAAAGAAACAGACATTGTTAGTGGGAAAGCAAACTTGTTCAGCCACTATGGAAAGCAGTTTGGAGATTTCTCCAAGAACTTAAAATAGAACTACCATTCAATCCCACAATCCCACTACTCGGGATATATCCACAGGAAAAGAATTCATTTTATCCAAAAGACACCTGCACCAATATGTTCATTACAGTGCTACTCTCACCAGCAAGGACACAGAATCAATCTAAGTGCCCAGCAACAGTGAATTGAATGAAAAAAAATGTGGTACATAGACACCATGGAAATCTATGCAGCCATGAAACACAAGAAAATCATGTCCTTTTCAGCAACATGGATGGAACTAGAGGCTATTATCCTAAGCAACCTAATGCAAGAACAGAAAACCACATACTGCATGTTCCCATTGGAAACTAGCAGCTAAACATTGAATTCACATGAACCATGGACACTGGAGATCACTAGATGGGAGGGAGAGGAGAGGCACCTGGGCTGAAAAAAACACTTGTTAGGTGCCATGTTTACTGTTTGAGCGATGGGATCATTGGGACACCAAGCCTCAGCCTCCCAAAATCTACCCATGCAACAAACCTGTATGTGTACCCTTTAATCAATTATATAGGTTGAAATTAAAATGAATAAATAAAATAAAATGACATAAGGCCAAAAAAATGGGGTTAACTGACCAGAGTTAACCCCATTTTTCTCTGCACTATGAACCCAAACCCAGCTTAAAAAAATAAACTCTAGTCATTTAAAATAATCATAAGTTCTGTGATGCTGATTGTATAAAAATTATACATGAAAGTGCCAAAACCCTAAAATTAAACGCTGTATAATGGAATTACAGATGATTTCCATCTTCTTCTTTATACCCTTACTACTTTTTCTCCATTTTCAAGTGACATTTTTTGTTTATCCTCAGGAAATCCTTGCTGTCAGCCTTCTCCTTCTGCACCCACCTCCTCCTTTTCCACTGTCCACCTCAGCCCTTCCTCTGGCCTAGGACTGTGGCTTCCTTGGCACTGAAAGCACAAGAGCTGCATTCAGCCTCGGGAGAGAGAATGACGCAGGGCAGGTTGTGGAGGTGGTCTCGGCATTGCAGAGGAACCTAACAGCTCTGGTCCTCTATTGCAGACGGCTGCGTTTCTCCACCAGGTTAGCTACAACCAAGTCAACCTTGCCCCTTTCCTCATTGTTTTTTTTTTTTTTTTCTAATTCTTCCCTTCGTACTTAAACTTTATATTCTTCCTCCTAACATTTCTTTCTACTTCTTGTCTGCACAATATATGCTGATTTATTACGCCCAGAAAACACTGGACTCACCATGTCCATGACAGCTGCAAAGCCACAGTCTCCACTTGCTGAAGGGGCACGCTGGTCTTGGAGCCATTCAAAAGCCCCAGCCCCAGAGAACTCTATTTGGTCTATCTGGGACTCAGTGGAAAAGCTCCATTCATTGGGTTTGTCCTCCTTTGACCTGCTGAGGTCTCTTTCTAGGGGAAAAGCCAGATCTTCAGAGCATTGGCTAAAAGCAATCATTCCAACTATACAACCTCACCGTTTGCATGTAGGGCAAACAAGAGGCTAGTGGGAGAAATTGAGAGAAAGATTTGGGGAATGAGATGTGCATAGGGGCTGGCACGTGCCCAGGAAGCACCTGAGAAGGCCACATCTCTGATCTTTGGCTGACCTGGAGGTTCTGTGCGGGCAGGAAGTGGAGCTGCAGTGGTGACATCAGCTGCCCGCCTGAGTGCGGCAGGGGCAGGAGTGCACCACACACACAAAGCCCTCAGCACTGGGGAGAGACTCGCCGGCTCAAGGCATTGATGCAAACCTCTGTCCAACCTCACCTAACTGAGCAGAGACTCAAGCCTCAACATAGAGTCCCACCGTGTCCTCTGGCCCCCTCCAATCCTCTCGTCCCTCCCATCCTCCTGCTGTTATAGGAGATAAGAAAGAAATCATTTAGGTAGATAGGGTAAAAATAGTCCACGGCAAAAAATTTTCCTTCTAACAAAAAACAGCTCAGAAATTGCTCTCTTTCTAACCCCAAGCAGTTCAAAGAAATCACTTCTCTTCTAACAAGAGCAGTCTAGAAGATCAATAAAACACAAGTAAGCAACTCGGGCACACAACTTCCCCTGCGCAGGCGCCGCTCACCAGCAGCCTCAAAGCAAGCAGGAATGGGATCCGCGCGGAAGCCGCACTTTTGGAGCCCCAAGGACCCCAGCTGTAAGGTCACGTCTCGGCAGGAGCTGGGTGTAAAGTCCTCCCCGCGCCCAGCACCAGGCTGTAGGAGGAAACCATCAGCCGCCTCTGATTTCCCCTCACCTCAAGCTCGGAGATAATAACTGTCCCCTGCCGCGATGGGGTGGAGTTCTCACGCGTCTTCCAAAGGCAGTTCCGCCCGCGGGTCCCGCTAGGCGCCCGGTGCCTGCTGGTGGGACATCGGCGGCCGCTGGGCGCTCCCTGCGGGGCATCAGGCAATCGGGACGGGACCGGAGCTCGGGCGCAGACGGTGCCACGGGAGCGCGCAGAACCCTGAGGGATGCTGCCGGGCGGAACTGAAACCCCTCGCAATGAACTTTGAGGAAAGGCTTTAGCGGTTGAAATCCACAAAAGCCTTTAATATCCTCCCTGAGGCGCGCAAGAGACAAAAATGACTTTAGAGCGACTCCGACCCGATTTCATCACCCACAGACACACAAAAACCAACCACACAGAAAAAGTACAAAACCCAATCCGTGCTCTTTGTGAAACACTCATTTAAGACAATAAAGAAGCAGCGCTCAGATGGGAGAAAAGATTTGCAAAACAATGAAGTGAAATGATCTCCTGGAAAGGATGGGAAGCAGGAGACAGGAGGAGTGAAACGTCAGGACTTTTCTCCGCGCTTCGGCTCCACCCGGGTGACCAAAGCCCCACACGGCTCAGCGGGAAGCTCCGCAGTTTCCCCTGCGCGGCGAACACCGGTGTCCTCGGCATTCCGTCGCCAGGTCCCGGTCCCAAAGGCGCTGGCTGAGGGCCCCACGTTGATTCATTGCATTCTGGCTCTGCTTCTGCTGCAGGACTGTCCCTGGACGGCGCGAGCCGGTGAGTTCCAGGAATGGGTCGGAGAAAGAGGAGAGGGCGTCGCGGAGGACGGATCTTTCTGACCGCGCCGCACCCTTCTCAATTCCCCACGCAGGGCTCCTTCTGCCCCTGTCGCGTCCCTGGGACTGCTTCTCCCGGCCCGAGAAAACACAGTGGCGGAAACGAGACCAGAAACTAAGGGCAGTGAAACAGCTGGTCGCCTGGAATAAATGCTTGGTCTCGCGGCCAAGGAAATCAAGGACGGGGACGCAAATCCACGGAGTGAGATTGGAGCAGGAGTTTTATGGGAGAAAGGAAAGAACAGCTCTCTGTCACAGAGAGGTGTCCCGAACGGGTTGCCAGGTTGTAGTAAAAATGTCAGAGTTTTTATAAATGGGCCAGTGAGGAGGGGGTGTCTTATCTCCATAGGGCCCGAAGAAGCGGTTAGGACCAGGTGTGCCATCTGCATAGGGCAGAGTCTCTAGCAGCCCACACCCCATTCTTTGATCATACAGTCAGGCTCTTGGTTTGTGTTGCTCTGCGCTGCTTATCTGCCTGTGACAAAAGAGGATGAAGAGTTTCTGTGCCTGTTCCCAGGCACCTTCTTGCAGCTGCAGGCATCCCCACCCCATGCGCGCTTCCGGCTTCCCTATCTCAGTGTGCCTAAAGAAATGGACAGGGGCCAGGCGCAGTGGTTCATGTCTGAAATCCCAGCCCATTGGGAGGCTGAGGCCAGTGAATCACCTGAGGTCAGGATTTCGATATCAGCCTGGCCAACATGGTGAAACCCCGTCTCTACTAAAAATGCAAAAATTAGCTGGGCATGGTGGCGGGCGCCTGTAATCCCAGTTACTTGGGAGGCTGAAGCAGGAGAATCGCTTGAACCCGGGAGGCAGAGGCTGCGGTGAGCCGAGATGGCGCGACTGCACTCCAGCCTGGGCGACAATAGCGAAACTCCGTCTCAAAAAAAGAAAACAAAAGAAAGGACAGGAATGTGCTCATTGAGGCTCCGTTTCCATCTTCTGTATGTGAAGTTCGGTCATTATCCAGGAAGCTCCCCCTTCTGTGCCTATTATGTGCTCCTTCTGTGAGGTGCTTATCTGTGTTTTACAGCCTGATCTTCTAGGATGCTCTTTGTTAGAAGCCAAGTGATTTCTTTGAACTGCTTGAGCTTAGAAAGGGAGCAATTTCTGAGGTGCTTTTTGTTCGGAGGAAAGTTTTTTGACGGGGACTCTCTTTACCCTATCTACGTAAATGATTTCTTTCTATCTTCTATAACAGCAGGAGGATGGGAGGGACGAGAGGATTGGAGGGGGCAGAGGACACGGCGGGACTCTGTGTTGAGGCTGGAACCTCCACTGCGCCCTGGGGCTGAAGGAGCCTGAGCTACCAAGACACAGGCATGACCAGAGGTGAGGGAGGGGATGTCGCAGAAACAGGAGCACACACATCCCGGACAAACACAGATGCTCTGTTCCCACCGGCTCTCCACCACACAAACCCTCCCGCACTCCCAGGGCTCCCTGCCCTTAAACTTCGCCCTGCACTTGGTGCACTCACCTGCAACCAGGGGCCCAGCAGACGCTTCCCTCCCAATCCCCTCACCACCCACTGCCGCCAAACAGGTCACATCCTTTCACCTTCAATCTCAGCCCAGCAATGTCACCCCACAGGGCTCCTCCTAGTCATGCTGGTGTGCCTGTGCTCTCCCATCCTCCTCTCCCTTCTCCCTCCTGACTCTTCTTCCTCACTGCGCTTGCTTCTGCTCCACTCACTGTGGATTTCTCACGAGCCTCGAAACTGTGGGTGTCATTGTGTTTTCAGACCTTTCTCCTTAGTGTTCCCTCTCTTGAGAATTACTTTTCCTTTCCTCTCCCTGGTCTGTTTCTAGAAATCCATCAAAGCCACCTCCAATGCCAATGACCAAGCTTTTCGAACACTCAGCTATCAGTTTTGTTGAGTTCTCCAATGTTTTTCTCTTCTCTACTTCATTTATTTACATTCTAATTCCTATTCATTGTTCGTTTATTTTGAGTAGATGGCTTCTTTTTTGAGTTTCTTCAAGTGAAATATTAGGTTCTCAATTTGAGATTACTCCTTTGTTTCTTTTCTCTTTCTCAATATATTCACACTGACAGCAATGCATTTCCCTCTAAGGACTGCTTTAGCTACTTCTCATAAGTTATAATATGCTGTGTTTTTGTTTTAATTTATCTTATTTTCTGATTTTTTGTGATTTTCTTTTTAATCATTTAGTTTTAAAAGAGTGTTTCAGAAAAAATTTTTGTCTTAAACACCACATTGCTTGATATTATTAATTTCAGGCTGGGCATTGTGGTTCACACCTGTAATCCCAGTACTTTGAGAGGCCCAGATCAGAGGACTGTTTGAGCCCAGGAGCAAGACCAACCTGGGCAACAAATCAAGACCCTGTTTCTAGAAACACAGACAAAAAATCGTTAATAGCAATTTCAACTGTCTTTCTTTACTATTGGTGTGCTTTGTCTTTTTTATACTTTTACTTTCAACCGACTTGTATCTTTGGATCTACATTGTATCTTTAGATCATTTATAAAATGCATTCTGTCAACCTCTGCTTTTGCTTTTGAGTATTTAATAGTTTGAGAGGTAATGGAAGTATTGCTAAGGCAGAATTTACACCTGTCACCTTGTTCTTACTTTTCCATATGTATTTATTGTATTTTTTAGTAGAGACAGGGTTTCTCCATGTTGGTCAGGTTGGTCTTAAACTCCCAACTTCAGGGGATTTGCCCGCCTCAGCCTCCCAAAGTGCTGGGTTTACAGGCATGAGCCACTACACCCGGCCCCTTAATTATTTTTAAAATGTTACTTTCTTAGTGGTTTTCCTGTGGAATAGCAATTAATATCTTAATTTATCACAACCTAGATTGGATAAAAAGCAACTTTTTATCTTATTTTATGTTATTTTATTTTTGAAACAGGGTCTCACTCTGTGACCCAGGCTGGCATGCAGTGGAATGATCATAATTCACTGTAGCCTTGACCTCCTGGGCTGACCCAGGCTGGCATGCAGTGGTATGATCATAGCTCACTGTAGCCTTGACCTCCTGGGCTCAAGCAATATTTCTTACTTGGCCTCCCAAAGTACTGAGAGCAAAGATGTGTGCCTCATGCTTAATTTTAATAGGATGAAAAATCTCTTCTCCAGTATTGCTCTGCTCCCTCCTGCATTTTGTGCTGTAAAAATGATAAATATAAAAAGTATATGGTATGGGTCCTGGGCAGAATCATCCCACCCCCACCCCCACCTCCCTGACAAGATGCAGGTCCGAGTCCCTGGAACCTCTGCACTGGGTTACATGGAAAGGGGAATGAAGGCTGCAGGTGGAGCTGAGGTTGCTTATCATCTGTCCTGGAGATGGGGTAATTCTCTGGATTTCCCAGGGGTCCATTGTAACCACAGGATCTTTATACAGGAAGATGGGGACAGAAGAGGGAGAACAAGACAGAGGGCACCCTGAGGATCCAGCCTGGTGGAGCTCCATTTGAAGGTGGGGAAATGGGTCCTGTGTCATGGATGTGGGCAGCTGGAGAAGCTGGAAAAGGTGAGGAGGAGACAGGTTCTCTCCAAGAGCCTCCCAAAGAAACACAGCTCTGACAGCGCAGTGATGTTAGCCTCGAAAGACCATTCAGACTTCTGAGCTCCAGAACCATAGGAGAATTTAAGAAAATCAATGTGTGTTTTTGTTTTGTTTTGTTTTGTTTTTGAGTTAGAGACTCGCTCTGTCACCAGGCTGTAGTGCAGCGGCATGATCTCGGCTCAGTGCAACCCCGTCTCCCGGGTTCAAATGATTCTCCTGCCTCAGCCTCCTGAGTAGCTGGGACTACAGCCACATGCCATCATGCCTGGCTAGTTTTTGTATTATTAGTAGGACGGGGTTTCGTGATGTTGGCCTGGATCTCTTGACATCGTGATCTGCCCAACTCAGCCTCCCAAAGTGGTGGGATTACAGGCGTGAGCCACCGTGCCTGGATGAATGTATGTTGTTTTAAAACACTAAATTTGTAGTAATTTGTAACAACAGCTATTGAAAACTAATACAGTCTGATTTAAAGTGGTCCTTGCTTTAGGAAGAAAAAATTCAGGTGAAGAAGGTCCAGGATTGCTCAGGCAGGTGGAAATACTGCATTTTGAAAAAGATACTTTTACATTTAAAAATGGTTAAGATGGAAACTTTCATGTTACATGTATTATATCACAATTTAATTTGTGTGTGTGAACATGTGTGTGACAGAGTCTTGCTCTGTCACCAGTCTGGAGTGCGGTGGCACGATCATAGTTCACTGAAATCTCAACCCCCTGGGCTCAAGGCTTCCTCCCCACTCAAAGTGGGAGAGTGCAGGGCAGGGTAGTCTGAGCCTCCTGCTGGTCATCCTACACTTGCTGTTTCTTATGCCCTGGCAGAAGGCTCAGTAGTATTCACACTCCTGACTTTACCATCCCCTGCGGTAGATTGGTCCAGAGGCCGAGTGGGTCTTGGCTGTGAGTGCAACCGGGGTGAGTCATCCTGCCAGGTTTGGAAACTATGATATTCAGGAAACTTTTCTCATCATCCACCCCAATCCGGTCCCAGATGAGAGGAACAGTGAGTGCTGCAGCCAGGCTCCCTGCCTTCCCAGTGCTCCCAGCATCACATGAGTTCCTCCCCAGATGGTGTGGGGTCTGGGCTCTCTGTGTTCACCATGCTCTCACCATTGGCTCCCCATTTCACGGCCCTCCCAGCATCATCCCAGCCCCTCCAGGGTCACTGCCTGACCAGGTGGGGGTTGGGTGAAGAGGCAGAGGTCGGGGCAAGACCCCTGGTCCAGTTTGACTTTAGGTTCCTCTCTGAAACGTGACTGTATTCCACATCCTGTTCCTCCAGCAACCTCAGTTGAGATGATGTGTAGGGCAGTGTAGAATCAGGGCTGGTGATGACCAATTCCTGCCACCATGGCTTTTTAACTATATTGATTTTTCCTAAAACGGATAAACAGACTGGCAAGAAGTTATGGAAACACTGTTTTCTTTACTAATAGTGCAGACATGTGTACGTATCAATGCTGGTTTTTATAACAAAGATAAGCCCATAGGCACTCTGCTGCACGCAGATTCTATCCCAAAATAACAGTTTGAAGATCTTCCAAGACCCACACATACAGATTCTTTTCCTTTTTATCTCTGCACAATATTGCACAGAATGACTGCATCACAACAAATGTAACCAGTGTCTATGTGTCCATCTTCCCAGCAGTTCCTGCACAGATGCCGCTGAAGAGAGGTGCCAGGGAAGGGCAGAGAAGAGGCAGTCTGTCCCTTAACATAAGGCTGATTCTCTCGAACTGTGCGACCGGCAGAAGCAGATGTGTGTGAACTGGACACAGATTGAAGAATCTGCCCCTGTTGAGGTGGATGGGCCTGATTGTTGTCCCCCAGCGTCCTAAAACTTGTATGGACTTGGATAATGAGGAGGCTTGGGCTGAGATGTGAGTCCTGTTGGAGACTCCCTCTCTACCTCTCACCGTGGTCCCTCTCAAATACCCAACGGAATTCCAACTTGAAGGATTGCATCCTGGTGGAGCTGAACTTGCCTGCCAAAGATGTGTCCGACCTGCGTTCCTGGCTCCCTGGTTCAGAGACTACCTTTCTCAAGGGCTCTGTGCCTGTGCTGGGAAGGAAACAACCATGGGAAGGAAACAAATGTGTATAAACTGCTGTCAATAAATGACACCCAGCCCTTCCAGCTCAAAAAAAAAAAAAAAAAAAAGACACCCAGCCCTTCCAGCTCAAAAAAAAAAAAGAAAAAGAAAAAGACACCCAGCCCTTCCACTCAAAAAAAAAGAAAAAGAAAATGACACCCAGCCCTTCCAGCTCAAAAAAAAGAAAAAGAAAAAGACACCCAGCCCTTCCACTCAAAAAAAAAAGACACCCAGCCCTTCCACTCAAAAAAAAAAAAAGAAAAAGACACCCAGCCCTTCCACTCAAAAAACAAAAGAAAAAGACACCCAGCCCTTCCAGCTCAAAAAAAAAAAAGACACCCAGCCCTTCCAGCTCAAAAAAAAGAAAAAGAAAAAGACACCCAGCCCTTCCAGCTCAAAAAAAAAGAAAAAAAAAAAAGACACCCAGCCCTTCCACTCAAAAAAAAAAAAAGACACCCAGCCCTTCCACTCAAAAAAAAAAAAGACACCCAGCCCTTCCACTCAAAAAAAAAAGACACCCAGCCCTTCCACTCAAAAAAAAGACACCCAGCCCTTCCACTCAAAAAAAAAGACACCCAGCCCTTCCACTCAAAAAAAAAAAAAGAAAAAGACACCCAGCCCTTCCAGCTCAAAAAAAAAGAAAAAGAAAATGACACCCAGCCCTTCCAGCTCAAAAAAAAGAAAAAGAAAATGACACCCAGCCCTTCCAGCTCAAAAAAAAAAAGAAAAAAAAAGACACCCAGCCCTTCCAGCTCAAAAAAAAGAAAAAGAAAATGACACCCAGCCCTTCCAGCTCAAAAAAAAAAAAGAAAAAAAAAGACACCCAGCCCTTCCAGCTCAAAAAAAAAAAGAAAAAGAAAAAGACACCCAGCCCTTCCAGCTCAAAAAAAAGAAAAACAAAAAGAAAAAGACACCCAGCCCTTCCAGCTCAAAAAAAAAAAAGAGAATGAAATAAATATACTACTTTTTCAATTCATGTGAAATATTTTCTTAAACGGTGATTAAATTGCTAGGTCATGAATATTTCTTTCTTGGTCCTAACTACTTAATAAATACATTCTTCGGTATTTCTTTTGTTTTGGGGTTGTCTTGAAAATGTTACGGAGGCACCTTCTGGATTTTCCCTGGACCGCTCAAGGCCATATTCGCGGGCTCTGCCTCCTGCGGGGAATGCTCACTTCCTTGAAGCCAGGACTCATATGTCACCTTCTTTAGAGACCTTCCTGTTCAGACTACTGAGGACCTGGGAGGTCCCCTCCCAGTCTCCTTCCCACAACCTTGTTCCCCGCCCCCAGAATCATCTGTCACCTTCCTACACCCGATGCAATGCCCCTGCTCATTAGGTTCACCTGCTGTCCCCACTGGAGCAGGGATTTTGTCTGTTTTCCTCAGGGAAGCATCCGCAGCACAGCCCATTGTTGGTGCTGAGGCTGTACTTACCCTGTGAGTGAATAAATGAGAGGCAGTGATTGGGGCAGGGGCCTCTTTCCTGTCCATTCATTCACTACACTTTAGATGGTAACTTACGACATGGTGGGACCAGTGTTTTCTGGGCACAACAAATCAGTGTACATTGTGAAGTCAAGAAGTAGAAAGAAATGTTAGGTGGAAGAATATGAATTTTCAAGAAGCAGTTGGGAAGAGTGAGACAAAAACCAAACAAGAAAGGGGCAAGGTTGGCTTGGTTGTAGCTAACATGGTGGAGAAATGCAGCCGTCTGCAATGGAGACTGGGCGCTGTTAGACTCATCTGCAATGCTGAGACCACCTCCACAACCTACCCTGCATCATCCTCTCCTGAGGCTGAATGTAGCTCTTGTGCCTTCAGTGCCAAGGAAGCCATAGTCCCAGGCCAGAGGAAGGGCTCAGGTGGACAGTGGAAAAGGTGGTAGGTACAGAAGGGGACCCCTGTAAGCAATGAGTTCCTGAGGATAAACAAAAAATGTCACTTGAAAATGGGACAAAAAAGAAAGGTATAATAACAAGATGGCAATTATCCATAATTCCATTACACAGTGTTTAATGTTAGGGTTTTGGTATAATCATATGTAATTTTTATAACATTATGGTCATATACCTTACACTTATTTTAAATGACTAGAGTTTATTTTTTTAGAGCAGGGTTAGAGTTGATAATGCAGAGTTCTCTCTCACCCCTGTCAGTTAAACCCATTTTTTGTTTTTGCCTCATGTCATTTTATTTTCTTTATTCATTTTTAATTTCAACTCTTTTTATAGATTAAAGAGTACACGTGCAGGTTCGTTACATGGGTCAATTGTGGGAGGCTGCGGCTTGGGGTCCCAACTATCCCATCACCCAGACAGTAAAAGCGGTACCCAGTGGGTGGTTCTTCAGCCCACATGCCCCTCCTCCCTCCCCTGTCTAGTGATCTCCAGTGTCTGTGGTTCCCATCTTTATATTCATATATATTTAATGTTTAGCCCTCCTCTTATAAACGAGAACCTGCAGAATGCAGTTGTCTGTTCTGTTAAGTCACCTAGGATAATGGCCTCCAGCTCCATCCATGTTGCTGAAAATGACATGATTTTGTTGTCTTTCGTGGCTGCATAGATTTCCATGGTGCATACGTACCACGCTTCCTTCATTCAGTCCCCTGCTGCTGGGCACTTAGATTGGTTCTGCGTCCTTGCTCATGAGAATAGCACTGCAATGAACATATGGGTCTATTTGATTGAATAAATTATTTTCCTTTAGATATATCCCCAGCAGCAGGACTACTGGGTTGAATGGTAGTTCTATTTTACCTTCTTTGAGAAATCTCCAAACTTCTTTCCGTAGTGGCTGGACTAGTTTGCTTTCCCAGCAACAGAGTCTAAGTGTTCCTTTTTCTCCTCGGCTTCACCAACATCTGTGGTTTTTTTGACTTTTTAAGAATTGCCGTTTTGGGCCGGGCGCGGTGGCTCACGCCTGTAATCCCAGTACTTTGGGAGGCCGAGGCGGGCGGATCACGAGGTCAGGAGATTGAGACCATCCTGGCTAGCACCGTGAAACTCCGTCTCTACTAAACATACAAAAAATTAGCCGGGCCTGGTGGCGGGCGCCTGCAGTCTCAGCTACACGGGAGGCTGAGGCAGGAGAATGGCGTGAACCCGGGAGGCGGAGCTTGCAGTGAGCCAAGATTGCGCCAATGCACTCCAGCCTGGGAGACAGCGAGACTCCGTCTCAAAAAAAAATAAAAATAAAAAATAAATAAAGAATTGCCGTTTTGACTGGTATGAGATGGTAGCTCACTGTGGTTTTGATCTGCATTTCTCTGATGATGATTCATATTGAGCATTTGTTCATGTTTGTCCGCCACTTGCAGGTCTTCTTTGAAAAGCGTCTGTTCATGTTCTTTGCTTACTTTTTAATAGGGTTTTTTCTTCTTGCTTGTTGAGTTGTTTAAACTCCTTGTAGATTCTGCATATTAGACATTTGTGAGATGCATAGTTTGCAGATATTTCTCCTACTCTATAGGCTGTTTACTGTGTTGCTAGTTTCTTTTGCTGTGCAGAAGTTCTTTAGTTTAATGAGATCCCATTTGCCAATTTTTGGTTTTGGTTCCAGTTGCTTTTGGTGTCTTCATCATGAAATCTCTGCCAGGTCCTATGTCCAGAGTGGTATTTCTAGGTTATCTTCCAGGATTTTTATAGTTTTAAGACGTACATTTAAATCTTTAATCCATGTTGAGATATTTTACATATATGGTGAAAGACAGGGGTTCAGTTTCATTCCTCTGCACATGACTAGCCAGTTATCCCAGCACCATATGTTGAATAGAGAGTCTTTCCCCATTGCTTATTTTTGTTGATTTTGTTGAAGGTTAGATGGCTGTAGGTGTGAAGGTTTCCTTCTGAGCTCTCTATTCTGTTCCACTGATCTAAGTGTCTATTTTTGTACCAGTACCATTCTGTTTTGATCACCATAGCCATATATATATATATATATATATATATATATATTTTTTTTTTTTTTTTTTTTTTTTTTTGAGACGGAGTCTCGCTCTGTCACCCAGGCTGGAGTGCCGTGGCGCGATCTCGGCTCACTCCAAGCTCCGCCTCCCGGGTTCACCCCATTCTCCTGCCTCAGCCTCCCAAGTAGCTGGGACTACAGGCGCCCACCATCACGCCCGGCTAATTTTTTTGTATTTTTAGTAGAGACGGGGTTTCATCGTGTTAACCAGGATGGTCTCGAACTCCTGACCTCGTGATCCGCCCGCCTCAGCCTCCCAAAGTGCTGGGATTACAGGCGTGAGCCACCGCGCCCGGCACCATAGCCGGGCAATGTGATGTCTCTGGCTTTGTTCTTTTTGCGTATGATTGTTTTGGCTATTTGGGCTCTTTTTTAATTCCAGAGAACTTTTAGATTAGATTTTTCTAATTTTGTGGAAAATGACATTGGTATTGATAGAGACAGTGTTGCATCTATAAATTGCTTTTGGAAGTATGACCATTTTAGCTATATTGATTCTCCAACCCATGAGCATGAAATATTTTTCCATGTATTTTTGTTGTCTCTGATTTTTTCAGCCATGTTTTGTAGATTCTGTTTCCACACAAAATCTAGCAGAATCACTCATTTATTACTCCATATCATGGAGGAAAAATGATATAACATTAATTCTCTACTGGGTAATACAACAAAATTCCAAACTCAGTAGGTTTTTGGTACATAGAACTCTTTATTTAAATATCAGTAGAGGGCAACAAATTACTAAAGGAAACTCATTAATATAATTTTTTATTAGATATTTAACAAATTATCTTTCAGGACATGGAAAGAATCCCTGGAGGTCTGAAGTCTAACATGATTGTTTTACTGACAATATCATTTGGAAGAACAGGGTCATCATTCAAAGAAGTAACTGATTTTCTAAACAAAAGCAAAAGAAAGAAAATGTTGACATATCTTATTTAGTCAGCCAGAACTTTAAGTGCAAAAATTCCATCAGGTAACACCAAGAGAAAATAGCATAAGATGTTAGGAATAACCGGTGGTAAAATTGTTGACAAAAGGGATCAAGGCAGTGAATGAGCTATTGGGTCCATGGTGTCATCATGATCTGCTGGAGGCCTCTGGACATACACAGTACGTGGTGGGCAGGTGGCCAGCCAGAAGGGAAAGTTTGATCGAGACCGTGCTCACAGGGGCTTTTTGGTTTCATCTTCAGCCTTCAGAAAGGATACAAATGTTGGTTTAAATGGTGAAGGAGAACCCGGATCACTTTTCCAGGTCTGGAAACTCAGTGACACCCGCAGTTTCAAGGCTGGTGAGAAATCCACAAGGAGGGGAGCAGAAGCAAGTGCAGTGAGGAAGAGGAGTCAGGAGGGAGAAGGGAGAGGAGGATGGGAGAGCACAGGCACCCCCAGGAGGAGCCCTCCATGAGGGGGTCTTGTTCACACTCACTCAAACACACACACACACACACACACAGACACTGGACTGATTAGATCTGAACTCAGGACAGCTACCTTTGTTTTCTTCCCACTTACTTGTTCTCTTCAGCATTTTTTCCCAGTGTATCAAGAATTCCTCAAGCCAAGTTTCCGTCTCCCAGTGAAATCTTCTGGAAGAACATGGCCACATCCCTGTTCTTCTCCCACTTCTCTTTCATCTTCTTGACTCCAGGATGAAGCACTGTCTACTTTCTGTTGTTTGGGTCAAAGAGGAGGAACCTCTGTCCATTGAAGAGAAACTGCCAAGATCCTCTGCTGTGTCCATGGGCTTTGTGCTCACAAGACATCCTGGCCTGCAGGGTGAGAGGCTCTGCCCCTTTGGAAAGAGATCAGCTCTGATCTTGACAAATTGTGAGCCCCACCCTGCTTCCTTTCCTGTCTGCTGCCCTTGCTCCTTGACCTCTCAAGTGATATAAACCTGATTTATTTGTTTATTTTTAATTAATTAATTATTTTTTTAACTAGGCTAAGAACATTATTAACCTTTGTTTCAAACTTTATTCTCAGGCTTCTTTGGCTTAATTAGCTGCAAAGAATAAATTGTGTATATGCAAAAACTGAAAAGAGCTCAGTGTCCAAGAGGCTTGGGCTCAAAAGTATTAGACACCTAGATTTTATCACATCCATAAACAAACATTTCTTAAAAAGCAGTCATAATATAAAATAGCAGTTCCTAGTAACTTATTCAAGTTTTATCTTCAGAAGTTGACTCAATTCAGTTTGCCTCATCCTTGAAAGCCTCATAAAAATTCTCCACAAGATCTGGAACTTCATCATCATCATCCTCTCCAGTTGCAAATGGTGCTGTTCCATCCACAGATTGTTTGGGCAGAGCTTCAGCCAGTCTCCTTAAACTAGCCAGACTGTCTACACCAAGCTGGATTAAGATGCTGGGTAGCATTTCTGTCAGCTGCTTTGTCTTAGCATGGCCTGTAATGGTGAAAGTGTTCCCTGCCAGAGATGTCTGAACTTCAGGGTTGTTAAAGTGGATCACTGTTCCTTGGTTTGTAAACATATTCACCTCTTCAATACCAGAGATATTGTTTACCCCTAACTTCTTTAAGGAGAACTGAAAGTTTTTATCTTCTGCTGTGGCTGTTCTATGAACCACCTTCTTCTTTCTGCAAGCAGGTCCTTTCCCACCAATGCACACTTGTGCCTGCAGTTTGGCAAGTTTTTCCTGGTTCGTGATTGTTTCTTTCATCTTGTCGGAGTGGATAAGGGGCCGCATGGGAGACTAGGGTTGGTGTTCAGGTTGTCTCAGGTGGACCAACTGAGATTAGGCACACACAAGCTGGGATGCCCACCTGATTTATTTGTTGCATGAACACATTAAAGGTTTCTAAGCTATTATAGTGTCTGCTCCCTCCTGTCCTGGGCCATTTTAAACTTACCACTGGATATTCAATTCTCCACTCGAACGTCAGGCAGTTGCTCTTTGAGGAAATCCACCATGTCTCTTAGTGTTTCAGTCTGTTCTTCCCAGGCTTTTGTGACATTGACTTTCTTCCCCAGAGAAGCAAAGGCTTTGGCCTTATGGCTAACACAGTCATAGTGAAGAAAAGGCCTTTTATCCACCTGATCTTGAACTTCACACCATCGTGGTTCAGGTCTGAACTTAGGAGTGACGATGAAGTCATAGCAAAGGCAGTGTGTGTGTATGGAAGAAAAACACAGGAGGGGGATGGTGTGGCTGGGAGTGGAACCTGAGACCCCTCCTCCCCCTTATGGTGACTGCAAGTGAAGGCCTTTGAGGGGCTGGGCTGGCAGAGCAAGACGTGCCCCAGCTAGGACTGTCATGTCAACTAGTTAAAGACTAGAGTGTCTCCTTTGCTAGAGTACAAGGCGAGGAAGGTCCCTGCAGCCATGAAACCACATGTCCTCCCAAAACATATCCCACCTGGGCTCTGCCCACATCGGTCAGCACATGACCTTGTCATGTCAGCAGCCAGGCCTGCTGTGGCAGGAAAAGGCCTGGATGAGGAGGATCTTCCTCAGCAGCCCCTGGGGACTGCAGGAGGTGGGAGAGGGTGTGGGGGCTGCCCTAGGATGCTCCAGCACAGTGGGTGGGGTGAGGACAGAATCCAATTTGTATCATAAAGAGATTATTGTCATAGTCACAGGATTTAACACATTGGCAAAGCCCCTGGTGATGCTGCCCATCTGCTATGAGATGCATTCCTGAAACCTTGGAAGAGGGATGGTTCACAAGGCTAGAAGTAGAAAATCTAGAACTTCTAAGGTAGGGCGTAGAGGAAGGGATCACAGGCTCAGAGAAGTGCCCATGCCAGAGGGGTGTCAGTGTGAAAATCCAGAACAATGTCCGTCCTCTATGCTCATGGGAAGCCTGGAGGACTCTTGTTTACCCAGCATATAAAGAAGGCTCTGGGAGAAGGCAGCAGACTGTCAAGAAGCTCAGGGATACCTGTTACTGAAGGCCAGGGTTGGGAGTAGGAAATGCTGTTCCCTAAATGACTCCCAGGAGTAATGATCTGAAATAACTGATCCCAGGTAGAGGCTGTCACCTGTCAGGAGGAGGGAAGGCCAAACAACCTGCAGTCTGATGTCCAAGGAGGAAGGAAGCAAGAACCCGCAGGGAAGGCAGAGAGAAGCCAGAGAGCTCCGCCAACAGAGTCACCCCACCCTCTCTCACCTGCTCTCATCTAGCCCAGCTGGCAACCCATGGTATGGTGCCCACCCACACTGATAGGGGTCTTCCTCTCCCCATCCCCCGACTCAAACGTCAGTCTCCTCTGGCAACACCCTGACAGACACACCCAGAAAGAGTACATTACCAGCCATCTAGGCATCCCTTATCCAATCCACTGGACACCTAATATTCACCATCACAGTCCCACAGACCACACTCTCATCCACACTCCACCCCAACCCCAACTCCCTGCGCTCTGCCTCTGGCAGGGGTGAAGGATCCAGTCTCTCCCTGTCTTCACTGTGATTATGATGACAGCCATCCTACTAGGTGTGAGGTGGCATCTTCTTGTGGCTGTGATTTGCATTTCCGTAATGGCTATTGATGTTGAGCCTCTTTTCATGGGCTTAGTGACCAATGTATACTTCTCTGGAGAAATGATCATTCAAAAACTTTCCACATATTTATATTGCATTATTTCTCTTTACAATATTGAGTTGTAAAGAGTGCTTTATATATTTGGGATACCAGTCCCTTACCAGATATGTAATTTGCACATATTTTTTCCATGCTGTAAGTTGTCTTTTCACTTTCTAAATGACATTCTTTTTGAAGCAAAGAAGTTTTACCTTTAGAATAAGTCAAATGAAACTATTTTTCTTTTGTCAATATTGCCTTAGCATACACTACTTTAGCAGTCTTAGCCAAACCCCAAGGCACAAAGATTTACTTCCATGTTTTTTTTCTTTCTTTCCCTTCCTTCCTTTTTCCTTTTTCCTTCCTTCCTTCTTCCTTCCTTCCTTTCCTTCCCTTTCCTTCCTACCTTCATTCCTTCTTTTCTTCCTTCCTTCCTTTCCTTCCCTTTCCTTCCTACCTTCTTTCCTTTTCTTCCTTCCTTCCTTTCTTCCTACTTTCCTTCCTTCCTTCCTTCCTTCCTTTCTTCCTACTTTCCTTCCTTCATTCCTTCCCTCCTTCCTTCCTTCTTTTCTTGACAAAGTTTCACTCTTGTTGCCCAGGCTGGAGTACAATGGTGTGGTCTTGGCTCACTTCAACCTCTGTCTCCCAGGTTCAAGCAATTCTCCTGTCTCAGCCTCCCGAGTAGGTGGGATTACAGGCACCTGCCACTATGCACAGCTAATTTTTGTATTTTTAGCAGAAATGGGGTTTCACCATGTTGGCCAGGCTGGTCTCGAACTCCTGACCTCAAGTGGTCCACCCCCCTCAGCCTCCCAAAGTGTTGGGATTACAGGCATGAGCCACCACACCTGGCCATCCAGCCCCATTCTTGAGGGCTTTTCTCTCATACCCTAATAACCTATCAAAGCCTCCCTCTCCTAGTACACATTAGGCACTATGTTTAGGGGCACATAGACATTCAGTCTCTAGCGCCACCTCTGCTGAGTCCTGTCTCCATGGAAATGAGGAAGCTGAACAGCCTCCTCCACACAGTCTCCCCTTGACTGCCATTGCCTCAGAGTGACAGTGAGTAACTCACTAAGACCAATGGCTGGGCTTTCTTGGGGACAGTTCCAGGGACTAGTTTCTTGTTCGTGTCTGGGGATCCTTCCCTGCTTCTTTGCACCTCTTGTGGTTTTTTGAGATGAAACGGAATGTTTACAAGAATACAATGTGACAGCTCTGGGAATCAGATGTCCCCTCTCTTCAAGGTGTGTTACTGCTGCTTGTTTAGTGACTTTCCTGGATGGATCTTATAACATCTGTATTCCCTGTCACAGGTGGACCCTGAAGTCTCTGCTCAGTTAGGTGAGGTTGGATAGAGGTTTGCATCAATGCCTTGAGCCGGCGAGTCTCTCCCCAGTGCGGAGGGTTTTGTGTGTGTGGTGCACTCCTGCCCCTGCTGCACTCAGGCGGGCAGCTGATGTCACCACTGCAGCTCCACTTCCTGCCTGCACAGAACCTCCAGGTCAGCCAAAGATCAGAGATGTGGCCTTCTCAGGTGCTTCCTGGGCACGTGCCAGCCTCTATGCACATCTCATTCCCCAAATCTTTCTCTCAATTTCCCCCACTAGCCTCTTGTTTGCCCCACATACAAACGGTGGAGTTGTATGGTTGCAAAGACTGCTTTTAGCCAATGCTCTGAGGATCTGGCTTTTCCCTAGAAAGAGACCTCAGCAGGTCAAACAATGACAAACCCAATGAATGGGGCTTTTCCAGTGAGTCCCAGATAGGCCAAATAGAGTTCTCTGGGGCAGGGGCTTTTGAAGGGCTCCAAGCCCCTGGTGCCCCTTCAGCAAGTGGAGACTTGTAGCTGTGGCCTTGTAGCTGTCATGGACATGGTGAGTCCAGTGTTTTCTGGGCATAATAAATCAGGATATATTGTGCGGACAAGAAGTAGAAAGAACTGTTAGGAGGAAGAATATAAATTTTCAAGTACGAGTTCGGAAGTATTAGGAAAAAAACGAGGAAAAGGGCAAGGTTGGCTTGGTTGTAGCTAACCTGGTGGAGAAACGCAGTTGTCTGAGATAGAGTACTCGAGCTGTTAGGTTCCTCTGCAATGCCAAGACCACCTCCACAACCTGCCCTGCATCCTCCTCTCTCCCAAAGCTGAATGCAACTCTTGGGCCTTCAGTGCCAAGGAAGCCACAGTCCCAGACCAGAGGAAGGCCTGAGGTGGACAGTGGAAAAGGAGGTGGTGGGTGCAGAAGGAGAAGGCTGACAGCAAGGATTTCCTGAGGATAAACAAAAATGTCACTTGAAAATGGAAAAAAAAGTGAGGGCATAAAGAACAAGATGGAACTCATCTGTAATTCCATTATACAGTGTTTAATTGTAGGGTTTTGGCACTTTCATGTATAATTATTATACAATTATCATCATACAAATTTTTATACAATTATCATCATACAACTTATGATTATCTTAAATGACTAGATTTTATCTTTTTGAGCTGGGTTTGGGTTCATAGTGCAGAGTTCTCTCGCTCTGGTCAGTTAAACCCATTTGTTTTTGGCCTTGTGTCATTTTATTTTATTTATTCATCTTTAATTTCAACCTATATAATACAAGGTACATATACAGGTTTGTTACATGGGTAGAATTTGAGAAGCTGAGGCTTGGTGTCCCAATGATCCCATCGCCCAGACAGTAAGCATGATACCCAACAGGTGTGTTTTTCAGCCCAGGTGCCCCTCTTCTCTCCCCGGTCTGGTGATCTCCAGCATCTGTGGTTCATGCGAATTTAATGTTTAGCTGCCACTTTCCAATGGGAAGATGCAGTATGTGGTTTTCTGTTCTTGCATTAGGTTGCTTAGGATAATAGCCTCTAGTTGCATCCATGTTGCTGAAAAGGACATGATTTTCTTGTGTTTCATGGCTGCATAGTTTTCCATCGTATCTATGTACCACATTTTTTTTCATTGAATTTACTGTTGTTGGGCACTTAGATTGATTCTCTGTCCTTGCTGGTGAGAATAGCACTGTAATGAACATATTGGTGCAGGTGTCTTTTTGATAAAATGAATTCTTTTCCTGTGGGTATATCCCGAGTAGTGGGATTGCGGGATTGAATGGTAGTTCTATTTTAAGTTCTTGGAGAAATCTCCAAACTGCTTTCCATAGTGGCTGAACAAGTTTGCTTTCCCACCAACAGTGTCTGTTTCTTTTGCTCTGCAGCCTCACCACCATCTCTGACTTTGTGACTGGTAAGAGATGGTAACTCATTGCAGTTTTGATTTGCACTTATCTGATGATTAGTGATACTGAGCATTTTTTCATGTTTGTTGGCCAATTGTAGGTCTTCTTTTGAAAAGTGTCTGTTCATGCCTTTGCCCAATTTTAATTGGGTTTTTTCTTCTTGCTTGTTGAATTGTTTAAGTTCCTTGTAGATTCTGGATATTGGACCTTCATCAGATGCAGAGTTTGCAAATAGTTTTCCCCATTCTACAGGCTGTCTGTTTACTGTGTTGCTAGTTTCTTTTTCTGTGCAGAAGCTCTTTAGTTTAATGAGGCCCCATTTGTCAATTTCTGTTTTTGTTGCAATTGTTTTTAGTGTCTTCTTCATGAAATCTTTGCCAGGCCCTATGTCCACATTGGTATTTCTTAGGTTATATTCCAGGATTTTTACAGTTTTAGTACTTATATTTAAATCTTTCATCCATATTGAATTATTTTACATATATGGGGAGAAGTAGGGGTTCAGTTTCATTCTTCTGCATATGGTTGGCCAGATATTCCAGCACTAATTTTCGAATAGGGAGTCTTTCCCACATTGCCCATTTCTATTGAAGATTAGATGGCGGTAGGTGTGCAGGTTGATTTCTGGGCTCTCTATTATTTTATTTACTAAATAAAATAATCATGAATGTAATATTTTCATATTAAATAATTAAAAATTTCTACAACAGGCACTGTGGTTCATGTCTGTAATCCCAGAGCATTGGGAGGCCAAGGTGGTAGCATTGCTCGAGACCAAGATTTGAAGACCATCCTGGGCAACATAGGAAGACCCTACCTCTACCTAAAAATAAAACAGTTTGCCAGTCCTGGTGGCATGTGCCTGTAGTCCCAGCTATTCTAGAGGCTGAGTCTAGAGGATCACTTGAGCCCAGGAGCTGGAGATTACAGTGAGTGAAGACTATGCCACTTCACTTCAATATGGTTGACAGAATGAGAAACTGTAAAAAGCCATAAAAATGAAAAGGATTATCACAATTCCTGGTCAGTGCATCAAAAGGATCCCTGAGGTCTGAAGTCCAGCATGCTATTTTACTAGCGATACTGTTTGGAAGAATAAGGTCATGTTTCAGAGAAGTGTCTGCTTTTCTACAATCAAAGAAGTAGAAAAAAAAATGCCTTTTGCTGGGATTTCTTGTTCAGTTAAAACTTGTGCAGGAGTTCCATCCATTAGCACCGACAGAAAGTGGCAGAAGGTGTTAAGAAAAATGGCTGCTGGGATCATGAGCGAAGGTAATGAGTGGCCTGAGATGTTGAGCCGACAATGTCCTCATCGTCTGCTGGGGGCCTCTGGGCTTGCTAAGGCTTGAACTCCTGCTTTCCAGAAAGGCACAGTGGTGAGTAGACAGGCGGCCTCCCTGAAGGGAGAGCAGGACCCAGACCAGGCTAACAGAGGCTTCTTGATATCACTTTCCACCTTGAGAAAAGATGAAGCATTGGTTTAAGTGGCTGAGAAAAACCTGGGTCTGTTCTCCTGGGTGATCCTTCCCAGGCCCTCCCCATTTCGGAACCTCTCCCACAAATAAGAAACATGCTTTTCCCTCCAACACTACCCCTGGCTCTGTACCCTGTTCCAACCTCCACCCTCCTTCACCACACCACAGAGCCAGCCCAGGTCCTGTTACAGCCCAGGGGGGCTCACAACTGAGGCTGGTAATGAGGGGTCTGCACCCTCACTGAGGGCCTGCTCCTCCCTCTCATAGAAGGGTCTAGAGGACCTGGGGGAACCCTGTCCAAAGAGAGCTCTTTCTATCCACGTTCCCTGGCCTTGGGTGGGCTTGTAGACAAACCACCTTCTTTTCCCTTCACTCTCAGCCTTTCCTCACCCTGGGAGCTGCACCCATAGCTCTGAATGGGACTGTCCTTGCCCTGCCCCATTCATTCCTGGCCAAGTTCAGTGGTGAGCATGGAACTCCAGCAGCAGCTCAGCTCCCCTGCCTGAGTCCACTCTGCTCCAGGCAGGGCCATCAGCTGGCTCAGGATCTGGAGTATGAAGGAGGCAGAATGGCAGGGGCATCGCCCCAGGGCCTGGCAAGGACTCCCATGGGTCCAAGGGGCCTGGCCTTTTCCTAAATCTCACCCTGGACACGCTCTACTCTTCACCTTCCACCTTAACTGCTGGGACCCGAGCTGCTTTCTCTGGGAATGCAGCCTTTGGAACTGGGTGGGCCAAGACCCTCACAGCTCCCTCGTCCTGGGATTCTCCCAGATCACTCTCTTCTTAGCCTCCTCCAGGGACACCCCTTCCCTTGACATCCTTGGTGAAGTGGCCATGCTACTCCTCTCCTACTGTGCAGACTGCCCATGCCTGAGTTTCTGCTGCCTGCAGGCCACACACCATCCCGAATAGGAACCTGCTCTGAAACAGGCCTGAATTGGTTAAACCCTCTCAAGCTCAACAGGCCTTGAGCCTTGGTATGGGTCCCTCCCTTTCCCTCTGGCCTCTGACAGTTAGAATCCATCAGAACTCAAGGTTGAGCTGCCCAGGTCATTGCCAACAGGTGACAGCAGGTCTCATTCATCTGTCTAATGTCAGGATGAGAAGTTCCCGGCCTCTGGGACTCTGGGAATTCTCCTTCCACATCCTCCCATCTCACCCATCTGCCTCTTGCTCCCCTCCCAATATTGCCCACAGTACCTGTCACTCTAAACAACTCTCCTCATCTGCCAGCTAGAATGAAGCAGAGGAAGATGATGAGAAGGCTCCAGGGACTGAGGGTGGTGGCCATGGCCTTGGGTTGGGTTGTGCCTGGGGCCAGAGAGGGTGGTTCTGAAATGGAAACACAGGAGTGACAACCCTTGTCCAGGCTCAAAATCTTAGGGGATGTCTCCTCAGCTCCTGCCACCCCAGGTCATCCTGGAAGGCAGACCTTTTGTCCCCCTCTGCTGTGGGGCAACCTCTGGGACAAGTCTTGGGGTAAGAAGGGAGAGGGGGTGTCCCCTGCCCTCAGGGAGCTCACACATCTGCTAAGGGAAGCGAGGTGACAGCACAGTCCACCCTCCTGCTGTGGAGAAAGAGGAGGTGATGTCCCAGGGCCAGGGAGGGGAGGGCCTCAGGCCCTGGCATTGGAGGTGATTTTGATGGATTTACAGAAACCGATGAGGGGAGAGGAAAGAAAAGGTGATTCTAGGAGGAAGGAACACTAATGAAAAAGATGTGGAAACACTATGACACCCACAGATTTGAGGCTGGTGAGAAATGCGGTGGGTAGAGCAGAAGCAGGTGCAGTGAGGAAGAGGAGTCAGGGGGAAGAAGGGAGAGGAGGATGAGAGAGCACAGGCATGCCAGGACCCCCAGGAGGAGCCCCCCATGAGGGGGTCATGTTCATACTCACTCAAACACACACACACACGCACTCACACACATACACCAGCTGATAAGATCTGAACTCGAGACAGCTTCCATTTATCCCCCTCTCACTTACTTGTTGGATCCAGCATTTGTTCCCAGTACATCAAAAATTCTTCAAGCCACATCTTACAATCCCCCAGTGAAATCTTCTGGAAGAACATGGTCACATCCCTGTTCTTCTCCCACTTCTCTGTCATCTTCTTGGCTCCAGGATGAAGTGCTGTCCACTTTCTGTTGTTTGAGTCAAAGAGGAGGAACTTCTGTCCATTGAAGAGGAACTGCCAAGATCCTCTGCCGTGTCCATGGGCTTCATGCTCACAAGACATCCTGGCCTGCAGGGTGAGGGGCTCTGCCCCATTGCAAAGAGATCAGCTCTGATCTTGACAAAGCCTGAGCCCCACCCTGCTTCCTTTCCTGGCTCCTGGACTTGCTCTCTCTGCTGCATCCGGCCCATGCTCCTCAACCTCTTGGGTGACACAAACTTCTGATTTATTTTTCATATGAAATCAATAAATGACTCTAAGTTACTACTGTGTCTGCTCCCTGGGCCATTTTAAACTTACCAATGGGTATTAAATTCTCCACTTGAATGTCAAGCAGTTGCCCTTTAAGGAAATCCACCACGTCTCTTAGTGTTTCAGTTTGTTCTTCCCAGGTTTTTGTGACATTGACTTTCTTCCCCAGAGAAGCAAAGGCTTTGGCCTTGTGGTTAACACAGTCATAGTGAAGAAAAGGCCTTTCATCCACCAGGCCTTGAACTTCACACCACTGTGGTTCAGGTCTGGACTTAGGAGTGATGATGAAGTCATAGCAAAGACAGTGTGTGTCTGTGGAAGAAAAACACAGGAGGGGGTTGGTGTGGGGGGAAATGGAACCTGTATCCCCTCCTCCCACTTATGGTGACTGCAAGTGAAGGCCTCTGAGGGGCTGGGCTGGCAGACCAAGACATGCCCCAGCCAGGACTGTCATGAAAACTAGTTAATGACTAGAGCGTCTCCCTTGCTTGAGTACACGGAGGGGAAGGTTCCTGCAGCCATGAAACCACATGTCCCCTCCAGACATGTCCCACCTGCTCTGTGCCGACATCAGTCAGCACATGACCTTGTGGTGGAGGTGCCAGGCCTATTGTGGCAGGAAAAGGCCTGGATGAGGAGGACCCTCAGCAGCAGCCCATGTGGACTGCAGGAGGTGGGAGAGTGTGTGGGAGCTGCCCTGGGATGCTCCAGCACAGTGGGTGGGGTGAGGGCAGAATTCAGTTTAGATAAGCAAGTGATTATTGTCATGGGTCACATGATTTAACACGTTGGCAAAGCCCCAGTGAAGATGCCCATCTGCTATGAGCATGCATTTCTGGAACCTTGTAAAGGGATGGTTCACAGGGCAAGAAGTTGAAAACCCAGAACTTCTACATCAGGGTGTAAGGGAAAGAATCAAAAGGCTCAGAGAAGCACCCATGCCAGAGTGGTTGCAATATGAAAATCCAGAACAACGTCCATCCTCTGTGCTCATGGGATGACTGGAGGACTCTTGTATACCCAGCATATAAAGAAGGCCCCAGGAGAAGGCAGCAGACTATCAAGAAGCCCAGGAATGCCTGTTGCTGAAGGCCGGGGTTGGGGGTAGGAAATGCTGTTCCTGAAATGGGCTCCCAGTAGTAATGGGGATGGAAAATCCTGAAATAAGAGATCTCAAGCGGAGGCCGTCAACTGTCAGCAGGAAGGAGGGTGCAATGATGTAAATAATTAAAGAAGTCACAATGCCAGTGGGGGACCTCAGCCTTAAAAATGTATGCCCATGGCTCATAGAACAAAGGGGTCAAGGATCCAAAAGAAATGGAAACTCAACCCGGATACTGCTAGATATAAATAATTACAACAAACAAAGACAAAACGCAAGGATGGATGACCTGAAGGCTGAAAGGAGTCACCCTAGGAAATAACTGAGCTCCTTTGCCCAGCTTTGAGAACTGAGCCACATCTCAGACCCAGAGTCCATTGCTAGAAGGAGAGCCCAGAGGCCCTGGTGGGCTCCTTCAACCCCACAGCAACTGCAATGACTCCCTCAGCCTCCCCCAGAGAGCCAGATGGGCATTCACTCTGGTAACTGTATGCCATGAAATGGCAAATACCCAGACACTCCTAGTAGACACAGTGTGTGATCCAACCTCCTCCCAGGGACCTAAAGCATTAACTTGCTCCCCTATTACTCATGAGGTGCATTTAGGGCAAAGTAACAGATGGACACCTCTGTCAGGTCCAGCTTAGAGGGATGGGCTGGGTTCATAGACCCATTCGATGGTAATTTCACATTTCCTGGATTTCTACCGGGAATGGATAGTGTTTGTAGTTAATGTAGTAACTATTATAGGTTGTGCTGGTCATATGACCTCCCCTGTCACTACTTAACTCTGCTCTTGTAGCTGGGATGCAGCCATACACACCCTGTGATGAGGGGTGACGCTGGACCTACCAATACAGCTATTTGACCCTGGACTCCCTAAGATCCCAGAGGCATATGTGGTTGGAAAAGGTGCTATGTGGATTTCATGGCAATTGCCAACCGCAGAATCACAACAGGATCCCCTAGTGCTCAGAAGCAAGGCTGTGCCACTCACAGCAGTGAAATCCCCTCATTTAAAAGTGGCTCCTGCTGTGGTCCTGGGCCCCTGTGGAGATGGGCCTCCAGCTATGGGAGGGCAGTGACCACACAGCCTCAGAGCTGCCCATCACAGGGTGGGCTCCTCACCCTTTAGGTCATTAGGAATATAGGCCCCACAGTGAGAAGACACAGGTGGGTCTCCTGGGATGGGCAGGAGCAGGGCCACAGGGAACCAAGAAGCTGCACAAGCAGTTGGCCCCGATCCCCAGGACACTACATGGCTGCACCCCCTCACCCTTAGCTCACACCTGAGGCTTTAAGGAGGGTCCCTGATTGCCCTGAGGGACCTATGATGCCACCCAGCAGCAAAGGAGGGGCGCAGTAGGCCCAGAACCATAGGACCTCCATTCACATCCATCACATCCACACCACCCAGAAGCCACAGGCAGGGTAGGACACACTTGTGACTCTTCAACTTACACTACTTGGAGATGACACCCTAGGGGATGGGGCAGCAATTGCCAGGACACAGCATGTGCCCTCATCTGGGGTCAGCAACCTAGGACAGGGTCCACATCTGCTCTCCCTTTTATTTGCAGGTTACCATTGCCTGCTGTTGCTCTACAAAGGGACAGGACTTGACACACAGACAGAGAACTCACGGCCAGCAAGGACCAAAGTGCCTTCAGCCTTTCCTTTCTAGAAAGGGTTTGCTGACTCCTGTCTGCTTAGTGACTATTCTATATGACCCTGGCTCCCCAGTCGGAAGAACAGGCGGGTCTGGGACCCAAGGGCAGAAGTGGGCACCTCTACTCACCGGCGCTCCCAGGGTCATCGTGAGGGAAATGGGATTTCCCGTCCCCCCTGCATTAAGTTTTGTGGAAAGCCTGGGGTGTGTTTGCTGGGGTGTGTCCTCAGGCAAAAGGGGACAAGGTGCTAGTTGGTCGGGGGAGGTGCTAAGGGCCCCTTCATGGATGGGGAGGTGAGGGAGGCCTGTGTGGTGACAGGGGTGAGCTGAGATGGGGAGTGAAAGGATGCGACCTGGGTGGTGAAAGTGAATGGTGAGGGGAAGGGTAGCAAGTGTCTGGTGAGCCCCTGCGTGCAGGTGAGTGTCTGCAGCAAAGTGTAGGGGCGAAGTTCCAGGGCAGGGAGCCCTGGGGCTGCTGGAAGCTTTGTGTGGTGAACAGCAGGTCAGAGCAGAGCAGGGCTGTGGCTGATGGGGGAGTCTGTGATCGCGTCCCTGTGGAACTCCCCTTTACCCCTGTCCTGACCCCAGCTAGGGTTCGGGAATCTGGTTTCTCCTTCCCTAGGGCCAGTGGGGCTGCGGGTCTGCACCAGGGATCCCCGCCCTACCTTGCCCTCTGTAGCCTTTTGGTCCCTCCACCCTCCTGCAATTCCTTTTCAGCCTTCTTTGACACTCCCCCTGGACTGCGGTGCTAGCAGCAGCTGCAGGAAGCGGACTCGGCGGAAAGGAGCCCCGGAGGGGAACTGAGTGCCTTCAGCCAGGCACGTTCGGGGAGACAGCGATGTTCGGGGAGACCGCGATGTTCTGGGGGATCGCGATGTTCGGGGAGACCGCGATGTTCGGGGAGGCCGCGATGTTCGGGTAGACCGCGATGTTCTGGGGGATCGCGATGTTCGGGGAGACCGCGATGTTCGGGGAGGCCGCGATGTTCTGGGGGATCGCGATGTTCGGGGAGACCGCGATGTTCGGGGAGGCCGCGATGTTCGGGTAGACCGCGATATTCGGGGAGATCGCGCTGGTCCACCCAGAAGCCTCCTGGCCTATGGGGCAAGCAGCAGCCGCAGGAAGCGGACCCGGAGGAAAGGAGCCGCGGAGGGGAACTGAGTGCCTTCAGCCGGGCATGTTCGGCGAGATCGCGATGTTCGGGGAGATCGCAATGTTTCGGGGGATCGCAATGTACGGGGAGACGGCGATGTTCGGGGGTACCGCGATGTTCGGGGGGACCGCGATGTTCGGGGAGACCGCGTTACTCGGGGGGACGGCGATGTTCGGGGGGGATCACGATGTTCGGAGGGATCGCGATGTTGGGGTAGAACGCGATGTTCGGGGGCATCGCGCCGGTGCTACCAGAAGCCTCCTGGCCTGCGGGGCAAGCAGCAGCCGCAGGAATCAGACCCGGCGGAAAGGAGCCGCGGAGGGGAACTGAGTGCCTTCAGCCGGGCATGTTCGGCGAGATCGCGATGTTCGGTGAGATGGCAATGTTCGGGGAGATCGCGATTTTCGGGGAGACCGCGATGTTCGGGGAGATCGCGTTGCTCGGAGAGAGGGCGATGTTCGGAGAGGCCGCGATGTTCGGGGAGACCACGATGTTCGGGGAGACAGCACCGGTCCTTCCAGAAACCTCCTGGCCTGAGGGGCAAGCAGCAGCCGCAGGAAGCGGACCCGGCGGAAAGGAGCCACCGAGGGGAACTGAGTGCCTTCAGCTGGGCATGTCTGGGGAGATCACGATGTTCGGGGAGATCGCGATGTTCGGGGAGACAGCGATGTTCGGGGGCACCGCGATGTTCGGGGAGACCGCGACGTTCGGAGGGACCGCGACGTTCGGGGAGACCGCGATGTTCGTTCAGGGAGATCGCGCCGGTCCTTCCAGAAGCCTCCCCTCCTCTGAAACCCGCTGCAGTCCACAACCTCCCAGGTTTGGCCCCCGCCCTGCTTAGGCTACATCCCCGAACTCACCGACCCATCCTGCCCGGGACCAGCCAGACAGCAGGTGCAGAAGCGGGAGGCACAGAAGGAACGCGGGGCTGGCGGCCGCTGCCATTGTAGACCTGGAGCTCCGTGGACAGGAGGCGCTGATGGTTCCCTTCGAGGCTCACACCACGGCTGTTTATAAAGCTGCCCAGCCCGGCCCGCCGCGCGCAGGGATACACTGGGCGGGATCCTAGGCATGCACTTTTTTGGGGATGCTCCACCCCGTCACGCCCCGGGCTCGTCATCTGACAGCGGCCTGGCTGACGCAACTCTCCCCTCCGACCCGCCCCCGCGGCTTGGTGGCGGCGTGCGCGGGCCCCGAGCGGGCCAGGACGCCGTTCCTTCCGTTCCTTCCATGGCCCCATCAAATAATTTTTCAACACAGCATTTATCATTACCCCAGTGTAAACACTGATGCACAGGAAGATGAAGAAACTTGCATAGGAATACTCAGTGGCGGCGGTGTCTCCCTGTCACCGCCTGCGCCAGCGACACCCGCCCTCCCTCCGCCTGCAGTCGCGAAGTCCCCGCCCCTCTCCGTCCAGGGCGCAGCCGCTTCCCCATTCCGGAGCGAACCTTTTTTGCCTCTCCACTAAAAGCATGAGGTGGTCTTTGAGTATATTCTATATCCCTTTATGACTTCTGGAAAAAAAAAAAAAGAAAAGAAAGAAAGCCCTAGAGGGCTACCGTGATCAATCATGATGTGATCAGTTGTGTTTCCATGGAGAGCAGAAGCCGAGGGAAGAGTCTACGCATGCGTGGGGCTCACTTTGCTACACACCCTTCTGTGTCTAACAACACCCAAATCCGTGGCTGTATCTGCACCTCGGCTCAGTCCCTGGATGGTCCCTGCAGCCATCCTCAAAAGGGACGCCCGAGTGCATCCTCCTCTGAGTCACCATGAAACCATCTAGATCTGCGGGTAGAAGCCAGAGGGAGGTGGAGGGCCCAGTGGCTCTTGGCCGCAAGGGAGGGCTTAGCCTGCAGTAAGGACTGGGCAGAGCCCCTGAGTCCCACTTTGCCCCCAGCCACTCAGCCCATTCCCCAATGAATGAGAAAAATAGGCACAGACCTCCCACTCCACACAGTCTTCATGTGGGGAGACCTTCACCTGGTGACCATCAATCACCAGGGTCCTGAGGCTGTGGGAAAGGGGAGGAGGCCTGGACCAAGCCCAGGGCCTGACTATGCTTCAGGACAGGGACATGGGATGGCAGCCATCTCTGTGACTGAGCAGGGACACAGGAGCCAAAAGGTTCTGGCCTGATGCACTAGAGCCTCTGTCCAGGAGGGGCTACATGAAGGGTGGTCGGCAGGACAACAGTCACACGGGGGTGGGCAGTTCTCAGATTTGGGAGGGGAATAGCTTGGTGGGCCCAGGGATCTGTGTGTGAGAAAAGCCTCCCATGTACAGGGCTGGGGGCAGGAGCTCAGGTTAGTCCTAGGAGGAGGCCACTGGGAAGTCCCTGGCAGCACCACCCCTGAGGCCGGGTGACCTGGGCCAGTGACTGCGGGAACAGGAGGAAGGCAGAAGGAGGCTGGCAGGAGAGCCCCAAGCAGGACAGCCAGGTGACAGGAGGAGGGGCCTGTGTGCACACCTGGGCCCTCCTGCCTCACCCCTGCTGCAGGCATCCGGCCACTAGACTCAGGCCTGCCCAGGATGGGCATAGAAGTGGCCCAAAGGTTATTGTAATGGCCGGGATCTAGAGATCATGCATTCAGATATGGAAGTCAGCTCATATTGTGGCTGAATATTCCTGTGCAAGCTTCTTCAGCTTTCTGGGTGTGGATGTCCGCATGTGGAAAATGACAGATGCTATGAACACAGATGAAATGAGCAGATTCTACAAAGAACCCTATCCTTGCACATGCTAAGGACCCAGGGCAGGTCTCCTATTTCAGTTGTGAGCCCTGCCACCCTCCCTGAAGTCAGCAAATGCCAGGCCCACCCTGAGGAGAGCTGGAGCTCTGAGCCCAGGCCATGGCCTCTTCATGGCCCTGAGTGTGCTGTGAGGGGGTGGAAATGAAAACAAGACCCACCATCAGGATTCAGACACGTTTTTCAGACCTACAAAGGATGATTTTTCTCTCCGTCAGCTGGTGAGCCTGACATGATTTAAGGGTGGTTGGAGGCTGAGTGAACCAGTGAATGAATGAGACAGTTGTGGGAGTGAATGGGGCTCAGAGGAAAAGCACAGGTTCAGAGGGGAGCTGGAGTGGAGGTTGTAACCCCCAGGGTCCTGAGGGTGGCAGCATCGAGGTTGTAGACCTCATGGCTGGCACAAGTTGGTAATACTTTTTTTGTCTTTTTTTTTTTTTTTCTTGAGACTGAGTCTTACTCTGTTGCCCAGGCTGGAGTGAAGTGGGATGATCTCAGTTCAGTGCAACCGCCTCCTCCAGGGTTGAAGCGATTCTTTTAACTCAGCCTCCCAAGTAGCTAGGATTACAGGGCCTGCCACTGTGCCCAACTAATTTTTGCAATTTTAGTAGAGACAGGTCTCACCATGTTGGCTAGGCTGGTCTTATAAACTCCTGGCCTCAGGTGATCCACCTGCCTCAGCCTCCCATAGTGCTGGGATTACAGGTGTGAGCCACTGAAACTGGCCAAGACTTGGAAATTTGTATGCCCACCTGGGTGTCCACAAAGATTTTCCAAGGAAGAGTAACTTGGTTTTCAACCAGTCTGGGGGTGCTTCAACAGGATAGAATCTTCTAGAAAAACATAGCATAATGATGGACAGCATAATGATAGACTTCAGCTGGTTTGACTGAGCCTAGAGTGCACCAGGGCCAAACGAATCTTGCCTTTTTTTTTTTTTTTTAGACAGAGTCTCTCACTGTCGCAGGGGCTGGTGTGCAGTTGTGCAATGTCGGCTCGCTGCAACCTCCGCCTCCCAGGTTCAAGAGATCCTCCTGCCTCAGCCTCCCCAGTAGCTAGGATTACAGGTGCCAGCCAACACACCCGGCTAATTTTTTTGTATTTTTAGTAGGGACGGGGTTTCATTATGTTGGCCAGGCTGGTCTTGAACTCCTGACTTCGTGATCTGCCCGCCTCAGACTCCCAAAGTGCTGGGATTACAGGCATGAGCCACAGTACCCAGCCGAAAATCTGTGCTTTAAACAAATAAGGAACGAGTCTGAAAGTGGGAATGGAAATGGGAAAAGATAAGGGGGCCAGGAGGAAAGAGAAGGAGAAGAGAAAGGTTGGGGTCTGAAAGGGAACAAGAATCCAGACATTTCTGGACCCATGGCCTGGAGTTGCAAGTGGGCGGGGTGGGGCCACTGGAGCTGTGACAGCCTTGAGGGCCGGGGTGACTCACACAGGGACCCTCTGCTTCCTCCAAGCATATCACACCCTGGGCTCCAGGTCTCCAGTGGCACAGGTGCTGGCGCAGAGTTGGGTGTTTGCCTCCAGCCTCTACTCCTGCTACCAGGCTGGTCCGGAGTGGGTCGGATCAGTGAGTTCCAGGCTGGACCCTAAGCAGGGGTCGTGGGCCAACATGGGAGATCTTGGACTGCAGGGGTGGGGGGTCAGGAGGAAGGGAGGCTTCTGGAAGTTTCTAAAGGTCTCCCTGGAATTTAATGTGGCATTGCTAGCTGGAGCCAGCTTGGCATGGGGAGAGAGATGTGGGACTGATGAAAAGCGTGCAGCCTGATTTAAAGCCAAACCCTGAGCCCTTTCCAAGAACAATAAAGCATATTGTAGTCGCTAAAAGAAACGAACGAACAAATAAAGTAGCCTTTCTTGGTAGATACCTTCCATTTTTAAGCTTTACATTTAACATTGCCTTTTGAAAATAGTGTATATTATTTGATATTTTAAAATCCAACCTGGGAGTTTCACTGATTTATGTGATGAGTTTAGCAATTCAGCTTTATTGTAATTATTACTGTTTAGGATTTAGCTATGCCATCTTTTTTGTTTGTTTGTTTTAAGATATGGGATCTCCCTCTGTTGCCCAGGCTGGAGTGCAATGGCGTGGTCATAGCTCACTGCAGCCTCTAACTCCTGGGCTCAGGCCATCTTACTGCCTCAGCCTCCGAGTAGCCAGGACTACAAGCATGCGCCACCCACTGGGCTAATTTTCTATATTTGTCTGTAGAGATGGGGTCTGCCTATATTGCCCAGGCTGGTCTTGAACTCCTGAGCTCAAGCGATCCTCCCACCTCAGCCTCCCAAAGTGCAGGGATTACAGGCATGAGCCACTGTGCCTGGTCCACATGTATTTATTGTGTTTTTTAATGCTGGCATTTCCCCTCCATACCTGTGTTCCATTTAGTATACTGAGGGTTTTTTTCTGTTGGTTTAAAAGTTATACATTCTAGTTTTCTTCTCAGGGTGGCCGCCGTTAACCTATGACTCATACCAGTATGTGTCACATTTATTGGTATTATTGGTTTTGTTTTATTCCTAATTTTAGAAGTCTCAGCATGTTTTCATATCCCTTTCACGTGCCACCTCCAGCCCCATTTTCCTGATAGCTTTCCTAGCTGTAATTCTCGGTTATTCTTAGCTATACTTCTTTGTTTCTATGATCCCAACTTCACATTTCCCCTTGTTGTGAGATAACAGTAATCTGGAATAGATTCCTTGGTCACTTGTCCTCCTCGGTTCTCTTGTCGCATCACCTGTGTTTCTCTTGCTATTGAGGTACCTTCCTCTAAACTATTTCCAACTTGGATCTTTAGGAGGCAAATATCCTTCAAGTTTTCTGTTTTGAATATTTCTGATACACCATGGTGGGCAGGATTTGGAAGCTGCCCCCTCAAGTTTCCTGTACCTTTTCTAGAACGATATGTTCTAGAAAAGACTGATGATAGGACAACTAACGGCTGTCTTAGCCTGCTTGTTTGAGCCTGGTGCATACCAGCGGCAGGAAAATCCAGTATTTTAAGCAAAGAAAACATGATTATGAAAATGGGAATGGAAATGGGAAAGGAAGGGGGGCCAGGAAGAAGGGGATGGAGAGAGTGAGGGGTGAGGGGCCTAGAGAAACCAGCTGCTCCTAGTCTAGGCACCGCTAGTCTAGGTACTGTGAGTATAGGTACTGCTAGTCTAGGCTCTGTACAGTCATCATTAAAGTTACTAATCAGTTGACCTTAAAATAGAGAGATTTTCCTGGATTCTCTGAGTGGGCCCAGTGCCATCACATGAGCTCTAAAAAGCAGAGAATTTTCTCAGGCTGGAGCCAAGAAATATGCGTCCAATGTCAGAGAGATTCTAAGCATGAGAAGGATTCCATGCACTGTTGCTGGCTCTGAGATGTGGGGGCCATGAGCAAGACTGGAGAGGGGCCTCTGGGAGTTAGGGAAGGGCTGCAGCTGACAGCCAGCAGGGAAGCTGGGACCTTAGTCCCACAGGTCCAAGGACTGGATTCTGCCATCAACCTGAGTGCACTTGGAAGCAGATGCTTCCCAGAACCTCCCAACCAGAGCCCAGCAGGTGGACACCTTGACCTTGACCTTGAGGAACTGGGAGCAGAGAAACCAATCAAGCCATCTCAGACTTGCAACCTAGAGGACTCTGTGAAATAATAAAGATGTACTGATTTAAGCAGGTAAGTATGTGGCAATTTGTTATGGCTGCAACAGAAAAGATACCTTCCTATTTAAATGAGAATTTGACTGGATAAAAAATTCTAGGCTCAAGTTCTTTTCCTTTATATTTTAGAAAGAATACTCCGTTGTTATCTTGCAACCAGGGTTGCTGTTGTGTAGTCTGTTGGCCAAGTGTTTCCTTCTTCCTTCCATTGTTTCTCTGGGGTAATTTGGGTGAGGGAGCCAGAAGCCTGACCTTATTTCCTGTCTTCATCCAGTGGATTTGTACTGTTCTAGGCTGTTAGTCACAGTCTCAAGGAGGTGGAGAATGGTTTCTAGTTTAACCTACCTTTCATAGATGCACTTGTAGATCGGACAAGCTTATTGTTTTTCTCTTATTCAGCTACTGTTAGTCTTCTCTCCTATCGCCTTTCATAAATATTAAACTTACTGAGATATAATTTACAGACAATACTCCTTTGTGAACATAGGAGCTTAAAGTCTCTTATCTTTAGGAGTATATTGAAACTTGTAGGCATTTGGCCGTATTATAAGGCATGTTCCCAGGCTATAAATGTTAAACAGATGAATGATATTACTCCAGTCATGTATCATCTTACCAACCTGTCAGTTCTGTAGAAAATCACATTTCTAGCATTACTTGCTTCAGGTTTGCAGAAGAGAAAAACAACAATGTTTTCACTGAACATTGGCTTTTAGACAAAATGAATTCTAGGACTATATTAAATTCATTTTTACTTCCTATTCTTTCTATATTTTATAGGTTTCATAAAATCAGCCCACAGTCTTAAATTTATTATAATTTTGATAGATATCTTAGTAAAATACTCCATCCCTTTCAGTTATTGGAAACATTAATGAATTCTAGGCTTAAACAATAAATAGCACATTGTAGAACAGCAGTGCTGTTTCAAAACTGAACTCAGTTGAATTAATCAGGCATGACAAGATATTTTTATGATTCTGACAGAAGCTTAATGAACAATGTTGAATAGATTTAAACACTTTTTTATAATATATCTAAATGGTGTGAATTATGGTAACACTGCCTTTGAGAAGAAATCATCAATTTTGGATTTCACATACAGGATGGCACCCTAGGAAAACGTTAAAAAGTCAGGAGAATAGTACCTTTAAGACTGGAATTGACTAATGAAAATATACATTACCAGGGAAACCTCCTGGGATGCCTCGACATTTACTTGTGATGTGAGCGTTTTCCTGCCTAGAAACAGCAAAACTGACTGTTTAGCTCTAACGGGCAGGTCCCATGTGACATAGCAACAACAGAGCAAGAAAACCAGGAAAATTTTTTGCTCAATGATTTTTTTCATTATTTTAAAGCTATTGAAACATAGTAAGCATAGTTATTTGTAAATCCCTGCCTGATAACTCTGATATTTTTTATTTTATTTTATTTTATTTTTTGAGACAGAGTCTCACTCGCTGGCCAGGGCTGAAGTGTAGTGGCATGATCTCGGCTCACTGCAACCTCCACTTCCTGGGTTCAATTGATTCTTGTGCCTCAGCCTCCTGAGTAGCTGGGACTATAGGCATGCACTACCATACTGAGCTAATTTTCGTATTTTTAGTAGAGAAGGGGATTCACCAGGTTGGTCAGGATGGTCTCGACCTCCCGACCTCAGGTGATCCACCCACCTTGGCCTCCCAAAGTGCTGGGATTACAGGGGTGAGCTGCCGCGCCCGGCAAGATCATTCTAAAATCTAAAGCTGCAAAGTCTAACCCAGCAGTTACTAGCTACATGAGGCTATTAAGAGCTTGCAATACAACTAGTTTAAATTGAGAAGTACTGTCAGTATATGGTGCACACCAAATTCCAAAGGTTTAGTATGAAAATGTCAAATGTCTCATTATTCATTTTTCCATTGATGACACGTTGAAATAATAATTTTGGTTAAAAAAAATTTAGTTAAAACATATTGAGTTAAAAATGTTGTAAAAATATATTTCACCTGTTTCTTTTTATTTTTTCAATGTGTTCACTAGAATATTTAAAATTCCCTGTGTGGCTCACACTTGTGGCTTGCATTATATTTCTATCAGAGGACTGATCTAGAGGTTCCATGTATTTTCTGTCTCTGTTGCACATTTCAGCTGGTTCCTGTTATTGCTACCTTATCTCCCCATGTGGTTGGTTATCTTTGTCTATGTTCTGAATACAGTGTTTTAAAAATTGCTCTTGACAGAATATAAAGTGTAGGATGGGCTGGGCATAGTGGCAACCAGGGCGAGCCATTCTGCCATGCTTGGGAATTGTGCTACTCAGGAAACTTTTCTCATCACCACCCCAATCCTGTCCCAGATGGGAGGAGCAGTGAGTGCTGTGCCTAGGCTCCCTGTCTTCCCAGTGCTCCCAGCATCACACCAGCTCCTCCCCAGTTGCTGTGGGGTCCCGACTCTCCATGTTCACCATGCTCCCAAAATTGGCTCCCCATCTTCACTGCCCACCAAGCATCGTCCCTGCTCCTCCAGGGTCACTGCCTGACCAGGTGGGGGTTGGGTGAAGAGGCAGAAATCAAGACAAGACACCTGGTCCAGTTTGACTTCAGGTTCTTCACTGAAACGTGACTGCATTCCACATCCTGTTCCTCTGGCAACCTCAGCTGGGACCATGTGTAAGGCAGTGTAGAATCTTGGCGGGTGATGACCAATATCTGCCACCATGGCTTTTCAGCTATATTGATTTTTCCTAAAACGGACAAACAGACTGGCAATAAGTTATGGAAATACTGTTTTCCTTACTAACAGTAGAGATGTGTACATGTATCAGTGCTGGTCTTTAAAACAAATATAAGCCCATAGGCACTCTGCTGAACGCAGATCCTATCTCAAAATAACACACTTTCAAGATCTTCCAATACCTGCACATACAGATTCTTTTCCTTTTTATCTCTGCACATTACATAGAATGACTGCATCACAACAAATGTTACCAGTGTCTGTGTCTGAAGATCCAGACGGTCTCCAGTCAGTTACTTTTAGAAAAACTAAATGCTGCAGAAACTGTGCTTGCATGAATCTCAACTTAATTGTGTAGAATAGATTTCCAGACACAGAATTGTTGTGCAAATTAATGCACCTTTAAAGCGTCTCATGTCACGGATGGCAATGCTGGCGACACTCTTGTCTGTGATTGTGATGACCCAGCTTGGGCAGAGGATGGTGAAACATCCACTATAGCGGGAGGGGAAACTGAAGGACAGGGAGACAGGTTTCATCAAGAGCAAAAAATATCCAAGTCTGAATGAAGAATATCTATACATATGCGTTTGAAATGGCATAAAGACTCCCTGGAAAGATTCAAAGAATCCAATCATGTCTCATTCCGGGCTGTGGCCAATGAGAGTGGACGAAGGCAGGGGCGGGGGAGCCTTTCGCACATGACTTTTCATGGTTTCGATCCTGAAACACGTGAAAATATGTAGGTGAAGAAGTAAGAAAGAGTGGGGCCGGAGCCCCAGGGAGGGTCACCGGATGGGCTCGCCTGATCTGTTGTGGGCCCCGAGGGTCCTGGGACGCGGAACCCAAGCAGGGGCGCGCGGGGCTGCCTCAGTGACGAGGCACTGGTTCTAGATATTTACCAAACGGTGTTGACACACCGGGGATGTTATAGGCGATTGCTGATTTCAACCACAGATGACTTTGGGGGAAAGTTCGCTCCTGGGGGTTTCAGTTTCGACCCCTCCGCGTCCATTCTGGCTTCTGCGGGCTCCGCCAGGGCGTCCGCTTCGCCCGAGCTCCGGACCCAGGTCCTGCCCTGTGGAGACCCCGGAGTGGGTGCGCCGCTGCCGGCCGATACCCCCGGGCCTCCGGGTCCACAGCGTCCGGGAAAAAACGGCCTTTCGAAGACCTGGGATGACTCGCTGGTCGCGGCAAGGGACCCTTGGTTCCCGTGTCAGAAGGATCAAGGAAATGCGGGGCCTGTTGGGGTGAGGAGCACGAGGTCCCTCCTCCATCCTCGCGGGGACTTTGTCACCGGCTCAGTGTGTAGACCTCACCGTCCCACTCGAATCTGTGGGGCTCCGACAGTGTGGGCCCCGCGAGGACCCCCATCCTCCTTGCCCTGGGGCCGCTACAGGAGGGCGCCGGGACGCACTAGGTCCTGAGTGTCCAGGGTCCGGCAGGGGCGTCAGGTTGTCGCCTCCTGGATCCCGCCGCTCGCGGTCCAGGGCTCCTGGTTTCTACGCTGGGCTGGGGACCCGGAGCATGCATGTCGTGGGGCGGAGAAAACCTTGGGATGGTTGGAAATGAAGGACGGGAGGGAGAACCAGAGAAAGGGAGAGGAAGGAAGCAGGGAGGGCCAGAGAACAAAGAGAAACCTCCGCCAGGAAAATGGGAAGAGGATGACACAGGCACAGCCCTACACTCCACCAACTCTCAGTCTCCTGCTCTCTGCCTTGTAAGGAACGCAGGCCCCACCCCCTCCAGCCTCACAGTGTTTGGGGTCACCCATTCCAGCGGGGTGAGGCGTCCCCTTGTGGGTGCTGTTGGCATTTCCCTGAGGTCTGTGGACACTGAGCACCTTTTCCTGGGCTCACTGCCATTTGCATTCTTCTTCCGATGCCAGTGGGCAACCGGTGGTCCCCAAACTCTGATGAGACCTCGACCCCAGCCGGTGTCGGGCTCTTGACACCGCCTGGGGAAATGAATTCTAGGACCAGTAGGAAAATAGAGAAAAGACGGAGATTTTTTTGTAAAAGGGAAAGTACACACTCGTGTAAAGGGAATGCAGGGGAACTCAAGAGAGAGGCAGGTGCAAGGGGGTTTGGGGCTGCCACCTTTCCTGGTTTCTTCAACCAAGGGATGGAATATTCATGAAAATTCCTGGAAGAAGGACAGGGATTCTCAGAACTCTGGTGCCTCGAATTTTTACACCAAATATGGGCATTCTCAGAACTGCTAGGGAGCTGGCTGGTATGTGTTTATTATGTTTATCAGCATGTAATGAGGTCCCAGGTGAAACCTAGGTCAAATCCAGGGCCATGTTGGATCCACTCATTCTTAGTCACCTTGGTCCACATGCTGTTTCTCAGCAACTTACCAGCCCAGAGCTGCTGCAGATATTTCAACAGATTCCTTTTGCTAGTCACCTGAAACTGCTGCCTAAAATTTCCTATTCTTTTGAGACCACCGTGTAGTATACCTGTCTCACTTTGGAGAAATGTCTATTCAAATTCCTTGCATATATTTAAATTGGGTTACTTCATTTTATAATATTGAGTTGCAAGAGTTCTTTTATGTTCAGAATAACAGTCCCTTACCAGATACATGATTTTCAATTATTTTCTCTCATTCTGCAAGTTTTCTTTTTACCTTCTAAATGGAGTCCTTTTTGAAGCACAAAAGTTTTACATTTGCATAAAATGAAATCAAACTACCTTTTATTTTGCCATTTTTGCTACTGGCCTACAGTAGTTAAGCATTTGCCAAATCCAGGGTCACAAAAATTTACTGCTCTATTTTCTTCTGAGACAATCATAGTTTCATGTCTTAGCTGGACATCTGCCATTCATCTAGAGCTAGTTTTTGTGTGTGCTGTAAGGAAGGGGCCCATCTCATTCTTCTGCATGTGGCATCCAGTTGTCCCAGCACCATTCACTGTAGTGTAGGATGCACCTGCCCAACCTTCTGTCCCTCCTCCTGCACTTGGGGTCAGAAGTGCGTCCTGCTGAACGGTTCTCCCAGGGTTTCCACCAATGAAATCCCCTCATGTGAATCCCATGTAGGCATCTACTTCTCAGAGGACCTGGACTAAGGAGTGGGTTTACCAGAGGAAATCATATTTCATGAGATGGAACATTCTGGGAATACTGGCACTCAGCATACCCCTTTCTACATCAAAAGAAGGACATTGCATGATATGGTCATTTGGGTCCCACAAGTCTGTCAACTTAGCTTATTTGTGTTTAATTTGTTTTGTTATTTCTTCTTCTGTTGTTGTTTTGTTGTTGTTTTCTTTGAGACAGGCTCTCACTCTGCCATCCAGTCTGGAGTGCCGTGGCACCATCTCAACTCCCTGCAACCTCAAACTCTCAGGCTCAAGTCATCCTCCCACCTTAGCCTCCTGAGGGGCTGGGACTACAGTCACATGCTACTACACCTGGTTAATTTTTAAAGTTTTCTGTAGAGACAGGGTCTCACCATGTTGCCACGGCTGATCTCCAACTCCTAGCTTCAAGCTATCCTCCAGCATTGGCCTCCCAAGGTTCTGAGATCACAGGCATGAGCCACCACTACTGGCCCAAAAAGTTATGGCATTTTAGTTTTACTTTTCACATGGTTGTATGACATTATGTAGATTTTTAAAATTCTGTATAAGTAATTTGGGCAATGCTATATAATAAAATGTTTTCTTTAGCCACAGCTTCCTGAAAATAGGAGGGGCATTAAAATGCGCATTTGTCAAATCTTGAAGAAGTTTCAAATCTTTAGGGTGATTCTGACCTCTCATCTTGGTTGACACAATAATCCATAAAAACAAGTAAAGCACCCACTGTGATCTGGAAGGGGTAGGGAGATGAAAGTATTGATAAGCCAAAGTGACAGCCTCTTTGGTAGAAATGATCCTGCCTATATATCTCATGCCCCACAAAAGAGGGTCCTGAATTTGCCACTTCTCCAGAGCTCCATGCAGTCCTTGAAGCACTCTCTGGCTGTCTCTGCAAGTTGCTGAACAGCTCCTCCTGCTTTCTGTGGGGCCGCGGAGGCTGCAGGTCCCCTAGGCCCAGGGGTTGTCTTGCGCACCTGGTCCCACCAAGGGTGCACCCACCACCATGGGAGGTGGAGGGGACCAGGTATAGCTGCTTCTGCCCCTACTCCTCTCCTGACCAGCCAATCTTAATAGGATGAAGGAGTAGGGATGAGTGGAGCCATGGAGGTTGGTGCTGGAAAGAACAGAAATGAAGACCTTTGTCCAATCCCTTAAATTATGTGGATCCCTGTCTGAGTACTAGCAGCCCTGGGGTAGTCCGATGATTGGATTCCTCCCATGCATTTTAAACCCCATAGTATGGCAACCATTGTGCTAGGTGCTGGGTTTACATGTGGGTGATGGATGTGTCCGGTCCTCAAGTCACTTAGAATCGAGGGACAGAAACAAACACCCACATGGCTGCTGCTGCTGATGTGATGTCCTCGCCGCCATTGGGGCTATCGGGGGGCAGAAGAGGGGGTAACTCATTCTGCCTGGAGAGTTGCATGGAGGCTTCTCAGGAGATGGCATTTCAGACTGTTCTTGTAGGCATAGGAAGAATACAGCGTGGCCAGGTGGCCTCGAGAAGACAGGGCATCCAGCAGATGGACAAGCATGAGGAGGAGGCCTGGGGATACAAATATCACAGAACTTTGGAGAGCTGTGAGACGTCTGCACTAACGAACCCTCAGTTACTGGGGTAGACTCTTTCCACAGGGAGGAGGGAATGTCAGAAGACAGGGAACAAGGGGTGGGCAGGAACCCCCCCTGGAGTCCCTGTCTCCCTCCATAGCAAATCAAGCAGAAAATCAATTCACCATTCATATATGCATGTTATCACACACACACACAGACACACATGCACACACACAGAGACATGCAGGCACAGTCACACACACACACTCACACCACACAGGCACACACACACACAAACAAACACACATACATAAATGCATGCAGAAATACAGACACAGCCATGCACATACACGGGCACACACAAAGACACATAGAAACACACGGGAGAAACTGCCTGTCATCTCGAAAGCTGTCATGTCGAGCCCATCGTGCCCATGCACCTTTTACCTCGGGGGCTGTCTCCCAGCTAATGAAGGAGTTCTGAAGCCATCAAGCAGGCAGTCACTGTGTGATCTGAAACACTCAGAAAGCTCCTCACTCTGACCTATCTTCCTAGTCCCCTTGGGATGAAGCAGCGTCCTGTTGGTTTTCACTGCAGCAGAAGAGAATCCTCCCCCGGGGCAGAAATGCTGGGCCACCAGACCACACCCCTCTGCTCTTTGCCCTCAGTGCCAAAGAGCTCAGGGCACAAACTCGCTGTCAGCAAACCCTCCCGACTTATTGAAATATTTGAAAAATAAGCAGTGCTGTCTGCTGGAAAACACTATAAAGTACCAGTCCAAGGTACTTCATAGTTCCAACATCAGACTATGCACCATTACAGGTTACAGGTATGCACCACCACATCTGGCTAATTTTTGTATTTTTAGTAGAGACGGAGTTTCACTATGTTGGTCAGGCTGGTCTCAAACTCCTGACCTTGTGACCTGCCCACTGCGGCTTCCCAAAGAGCATTTTTTCATGTTTGTTGGCCACTTGCATGTCTTCTTTTGAAAAGCGTCTGTTCACATTCTTTGCTTATTTTTTAATTGCAATTTTGTTCTTGCTTGTTAAGTTCCATGTAGATTCTGGATATTAGAGCTTTGCCAGATGCATAGATTGCAGATATTGCTCCCATTCTATAGGCTGTTAACTGTGTTGCTAATTTCTTTTACTGTGGAGAATCTCTTTAGTTTAATGAGATCACATTTGTCAGTTTTTGTTTTTGGTTGCAAATACTTTTGGTGTCTTCATTATGATATCTTTGCCAGGCCCTATGTCCAAAGTGGCATTTCCTAGGTTATCTTCCAGGATTTTTATAGTTTTAGGACTTACATTTAAATCTTTAATTCATGTCGAGTTATTTTACATATATGGTGAAATGTAGAGGTTCAGTTTCATTCTTCTGCACATGGCTAGCCAGTTATCCCAGCACCATTTGTTGAATTGGGACTCTTTCCCATTGCTTATTTTTGTTGATTTTGTTGAAGGTTAGAAGGTGTGAAGGTTTCTTTCTGAGCTCTCTATTCTGTTCCACTGATCTAAGTGTCTATTTTGGTACCAGTACCATTCTGTTTCGATCACCGTAGCCTTATATTATAGTTTGAAGTCAGGCAATGTGATGCCTCTGGCGTTGTTCTTTTTGCTTATGATTGTTTTGGCTATTTGGGCTCTTTTTTAATTCCAAATACCTTTTAGATTAGATTTTTCTAATTTTGTGAAAAATGACATTGGTGTTGATAGAGAAAGTGTTGCATCTATAAATCGCTTTTGGAAGTATGACCATTTTAGCTATATTGATTCTCCAACCCATGAGCATGAAATATTTTTCTATGTATTTGTGTTGTCTCTGATTTTTCTCAGCCATGTTTTGTAGATTCTCTTTTTCCACACAAAATCTGGTAGAATCACTCATTTATTACTCCATATCATGGAGGAAAAATGAAATAACATTAATTCCCTACTGAGTAATACAACAAAATTCTAAACACCGTAGGTTTTTGGGAAATAGAACTCTTTATTTAAATATCAGTACAGAACAATAAATTACTAAAGGAAACAATCATTAATATAAATTTTTTCTTATTAAATAATTTAAAAATTCTCTTTCAGGACACGGAAAGAATCCCCAGAGGTCTGAAGTCTAACGTGATTATTTTACTGACAATATCATTTGCAAGAAAGAGATCATCATTCAAAGAAGTACTTGATTTTCCAAACAAAAAGAGAAGAAAGAAAATGATATATCTTGTTTAGTCAGCCAGAACTTTAAGTGCAGGAATTCCATCAGGTAGCACCAAGAGAAAATTGCATAATATGTTAGGTATAACTGCTGGTAAAATTGTTGGCAAAAGGAATCAAGGCAGTGAATGAGCTATTGGGTCCATGATGTCATCATGATCTGCTGGAGGCCACTGGACATACACCGTAGGTCGTGGGCAGCTGGCCAGACAGAAGGGCGAGTTTGATCAAGACCGTGCTCACAGGAGCCTTTTGGTATCAGCTTTAACCTTCAGAAAGGACACAAATGTTGGTTTAAGGGGCAGAGAACCCGGATCACTTTTCCAGGGTAATCTTTCCCTAGTCACTCTATGTCTCAGAGCCCCCTGCACTAAGGGACCTATTTTTCCCTTGAGCCTCAACCCTGGCGACTGCAGCTTGGACCTACCTCTTTCCTCCTCTGTCACATCACAGAGTCAGCCCAGGCCCTGCACCTGACCAGGGGATGGAGTGGAGGGGCCTGCAGGTCTGAAGCTGGTAGTGATGGGTCCGCGCCCTCACTCAAGGCCCTCTCTATGATCTGATGTGAAGGCCTAAAACAGGCAAGGGGTGGGGCAGACTTCCAAAAAGAGGGCTCCATATTCCTGTGCCCTTGGCCTTTGGTGGGCCTGCAGGCAAACATCCTTCTTTCCCCTTCTTCTTGAGCCTCTCCTCACACTGGGAGCAGCACCCATTGCTCTGAAGGTGACTGTCCCTGTTCCACCTTATCAATTCCTTGTCCAGCCCAGTGGTGCCTGTGGAACCCCAGCAGCAGCTCAGACCCCCCTTCCTCTGAGTCCACTCTGCTCCAGGCAGGGCCATCAGTGGGCTCAGGATCTGGGGTGTGCAGGAGGATGATGGCAGGGGAGCTGCCTCAGGGCCCAGACTCGAGCTGCACATGTCCATGGGACTGACTTTTTAAAAATCCTTCTCTTGAGCAGCCTCTACTCTTCACCTTCCACCTTAATTCCTGGAACCCAAGCCACTTTCTGTGGGAAGGCAGCCCTGCACTCCCTCCTTTTCAATTAGGTGTACCAAGGTTCTCCCAGCCCCCTCCTCCTGGGATTACACCCAGATCTCTCTTAGCCTCAGAGATGGAATCCCCCTTCCCCTGTCACACCTCATGTAAAGCTACCATGATGCACCTAACCCAATTAAGAGGACTGCCCATGTCTGAATTCCTGCTGCCTGCAGGCCACACACCCTTCCTGAATAGGAACCTGCTCTGAATCAGGCCTGAACTTGCTAAACCTTCTCAAGCTCAACAGACCCTGAGCCTTGGTATGGGCCCCTCCCTTTCCCTCTGGACTCTGAAGGTGAGAATCCATCAGAACTCAGGGCTGAGCTGCCCAGGTCATTGCCAACATTGCCAACAGGCAACACAAGGTCTCATTCACCTGTCTCATGTTAGGATGAGAAGGTCCCAGCCACGGGGAGGGGCGGGACTCCGGGAATTCTCTTTCCCCATCCTGCCTCCTCACCCACCTGCTCCTTGCTCCACTTCCAATTCTGCCCACAGTACCTGTCACTCTAAAGGACTCTCCTCAGATGCCAGGGAGGATGAAGCAGGGGAGGATGATGAGGAGGCAGCAAAGGATGAGGGTGGTGGCTGTGGCCCTGAGTTGGGTTGTGCCTGAGGACATGGCGAGTGGTGCTGAAATGGAAACACAAAAGTGACAACCCTTGTCCAGGCCCCAAATCTGAGGAGACACCTCCTCAGTTCCTGCCACCCTAGGTCATCCTGGAAGGCAAAAGTTTTGTCCTCTCCCCCCTGGTGTGGGGCAGCCAGTATGACAGGTCCTGGCTTAGGAAGGGAGACGGGGTGAGTCTTGTCCTCAGGGAGCTCACACAGCTGCTGAGGGAAGCAAGGTGACAACACACCCCACCCTCCTGCTGTGGGGGAAGAGGAGGTGATGCCCCAGAGTTGGGGAGGGGAGGATCTCTGGGCTGGCGTTGGAAGTGGTTTTGATGGATTTCCAGAACCAGACCAGGGAAAGGAAAGGAAAAGTGATTCTCAAAAGAGGAAACACTAAGGAAAAAGGTCTGAAAACAGTGACACCTGCAGTTTCAAGGCTGGTGAGAAATCCACAGGGCGGGGAGCAGGAGCAAGTGCAGTGAGGAATAGGAGTCAGGAGGGAGAAGGAAGAGGACGGTGGGAGAGCACAGGCATGCCAGTAACCCCAGGAGGAGCGCCCCACGAGGAGGTCATTTTAACGTGAATGTGTATACTGGGATGATTGAAGCTGAACTCAAGAACTAACTTCTTGAGGTCACCATTTCTGATCACATTTGAGATCCCCGTTTCTTTTTCTCCTGTTACCTCCTGCACTTGGCTCCAGGGTGCTGTCCATGCCCATCAAGAAGTCCTCAAGCCATCCTATACAGTCTCCCATTGAGAAGTAATGGAAGGACATGGCCACAACCTTGTCATTCTCCCACTTTTCTTTCATCTTTCTGGCTCCAGGATGAACCGTTGTCCACATTCTCTTCTCTGAGTCAAAGAGGAGGAAGATCTGCCCATCGAAACTGAACTGCCAAGATCCACTGCTGTGTCCTTCAGCTTTCTGCTCACAAGACATCCTTGCCTGCAGGGTGAGGGGTTCTGCCCCCATCAGAGAGAGATCAGCTCTGATCTTGACAAATTTTGCACCCCCATCCTGTTCCCCTTACAATTTGCTGGCCTTACTCTCTCTGCTACATCTTGGCCTTGCCTCTAGACTCTTGAGGGGTATGATGACCTTCCCATTTGTATTTTTTTTTTTTTTTTGAGAAAGGGTCTCGCTCTGTCACCCAGGCTGGATGGAGTGCAGTGGCGCGATCTCGGCTCACTCAGCCTCCTAAGTAGCTGGGACTACAGGCGCCCGCCACCATACCCGGCTAATTTTTTGTATTTTTAGTACAGACAGGGTTTCACTGTGTTAACCAGGATGGTCTCGATCTCTTAACCTCGTGATCCGCCTGCCTCAGCCTCCCAAAATGCTGGGATTACAGGCTTGAGCCACTGCACCTGGCTTTTTTTTTTTTTTTTTTTTTGAGACAAAGTCTCACTCTGTTGCCCAGGCTGGAGTGCAGTGGCACCACCTCGGCTCACTGCAGCGTCTGCCTGCCGGGTTCAAGGGATCCTCCTGCCTCAGCCTCCCAAGTTGCTGGGATTACAGGCATGCGCCACCATGCCTGGCTAATTTTTGCATTTTTGGTAGAGACAGTGTTTCACCATGTTGGTCAGGCTGGTCTCGAATTCCTGACCTTGTGATCGGCCCACCTCTACCTCACAAAGTGCTGGGACTACAGGCGTGAGCCACCGTGCCCAGGACCCTTTTGTATTTTTACATGAAAACTATAAATGCCTCTAACCTACCACTGTATCTGTTCCCTGCTGTCCTGGGCCATCTGAAACTTACCCTTGGGTGTGTAATTCTCCAGCTGAATGTCACGCAGTTGCTCTGTAAGTATGTCCACCACCTCTCTCAGTACTGGGTTCTGTGCTTTCCAGGCCGTTGTGACATTTAGTTTCTTCCCCAGGGGACTGACAGGTGTGACTGTCTTGTTGCCACAGTCATAGTGAAGAAAAGTCTTTTCATCCACCTGGCCTTGAACCGCACACCACCGTGGTCCAGGTCTGAACTTAGGGATGACGGTGATGTCATAGCAAAGAGAGTGAGGGTCTGTGGAGAAAGGCAGGTGAGGGGTGGGTGGGGAGGAAAAGACCCCTAGTTAGCCCCCCTCCACGCTGTGTCAATAAGAGGATGCCTCTGGCAGGCTGGGCTGGCCCAGGAAGGAGTGCCCCCTCCAGAACTGTGGTGTCTACAAGTTTAAGGCGAGTGCTCGCCCCTTGCATGAGGACAAGGAGGAGGAGGAGGAGGAAGTCTCTGTCTGCTGAGAAACCACATGTCCCCAGACATGTCCCACTGCCCCTCTGCCCACATCAGTCAACACGTGACCTTGCTAGAAAGGTGCCAGGCCTCTCTAGCAAGAGAGGAGGAAGGGCCTGGATGGCAGAGGATCTTCAGCAGTAGCCCACGTGGACTGCGGGAGGTGGGAGAGGGTGTGGGTCCACCCCTGTGGATGCTGGTGCTGGTTGAACAGAGTGAGGATGGAACCCCGTTGGATAAAGAAGAGTTAATTATCATGGCCACAGGATTTAACATGTTGGCAAAGCCCCTGGTGATGGCATGCATCTGCTATGAGGAGGCCTTCCTGAAACCTTGGACAAAGAGATGGTCCACACAGCAAGAAATGGAAAATCTGAAAGTCTAAGGCAGGTAGTGGAGGGAGAGATCACAGGCTCAGAGAAGTGCCCATGCCAGAGGGGTCTAAGTGTGAAAATCCAGAACAATGTCCATCCACTGTGCTTATGGGAAACCTGGAGGACTCCTGTTTACCCAGCATATAAAGAAGGCCCCATGAGAAGGCACCAGAATGGAATGAAGCTTAGGGATGCCTATTGCTGAAGGCCAGGGTTGGGGGTAGGAGATGCTGTTCCTGAAATCTGCTCCCAGAGTAATGGGATGAACAATTCTGAAATTCCAAATTCCAGGTGGAGGCTGTCAACTGTCAGGAGCAAGGAGGGTGCAATGATGGAAATGATTAGAGAAGTCACAATGCCAGCTGGGGACCTCAGTTATACAAAGTTATGCCCATGGCTCATAGAACAAAGGGGTCCAAGGTCCAAAAGAGATGCAAACCCACCCCAGATACTGCTGGATTTAAATAATTACAAGAAACAGAGATAAACCAAATCAGGAGGCTGAAAGTAGCCAGTCCATCAAGAACGAGGCTGCTTTGCCTAATTTGCAGAATGAAGCCACTTCTCAGACCCTGAACCCATGACTAGAAGAAGACACCAGTTTCTAGTGAGGAAGGACCCTTTAACCCTGCAGCCAGGACAGTGAGTCCTTGTGGCCTTCTCCAAAGATATTTATGGCCAGTAGAGTTTGCTGTGAAGGGCAATTTTGTAAACATGTAAAGGTGTGCAGGGAATATATTCTCCATTGTAACTACTCAACTCTGCTGTTGAAGTTCAAAAGCAGCCATAGACAATCCATGCATGATGAGCGAGGCTGGACCTACCTTAAGTGCCCAATGACCCAAGACCCCCTAAGACCCTAGAGGTACATGTGGTCACAATGTCTAATTGGAGAATCACAACAGAGATTCCATGTGAATATTCAGAGACAAGGCAATGCCACTCACAGCAAGGAAATCGCAACATTAAGCAGTGGCTCCTGTAGAGTACTGCACCTTGGCAGAGATGGGGCCTTTTGCCATGCATATAAAGAAGGCCCATGACAAGGCACCAGAATGGAATGAAGCTTAGGGATGCCTATTGCTGAAGGCCTCAGAGCTGCCCATTACTGGTGGGCTCCTCACCCTCTAGGTCATTAGGAAGTTAGGCCCAGCAGTGAGAAGACGCAGGTGGTTCTTCTGGGATGGGCAGGAGCAGGGCCACCGGGAACCAAGAAGCTGCACAAGCAGTTGGACCCGATCCCCAGGACACCACGTGGCTGCACCCCCTCACCCTCAGCTCACACCTGAGGCTTCAGGGAGGGTACCTGATGGTCCCCGTGGATGCCACTCAGCACAAAGGAGGGGAGAATAAGCCCCCAACTATGGGACCCCCACTCCCATCACATCCACACCACCCAGAAGCCACAGACAAGGTAGGACCACCTTCTACTCTCCAACTGACATCAGAGACATCACTTGGAGATGACACCATAGGGGATGGGGCACTATTCACTGGGACATTGTAATCCCCTGATCTGGGATCAGCAACCTAGGACAGGGTCCAAATCTGGTCCCCCCTATTTGAAGGTTGCCATTGCCTGCTGTTGCTCTACAAAGGGACAGGACTGGACACTGAGACGGAGAACCCACGGCCTGCAAAGATCACAGGGCATCCTTCCTCCCTTTCTAGAAAGAGTTTGCTGACCCCTGTCTACACAGTGACTATTCTCTATGACGCTGACACCCCCGTAGGAAGAACAGGCGGTCTGGGCCCCAAGGGCAGAAGTGGGTGCCTCTACTCACCAGAGTTCCCAGGGTCATCCTGGAGGAAATGGTGCTTCCCATCCCCCCTGCACAGGTTCTGAGGGGAGCTTGGGGTGTGTTTGCTGGGGTGTGTCCTCAGGCAAGAGGCAGAAGGTGCGACGTGGTGTAGGAGGTGGTGAGGTCCCCTTCATGGATGGGGAGACCTCTGGGGTGACCAGCTGGGCTGAGGTGGGCAGTAAGAGGACGTGACCTGGGTGGTGGCAGTGGATGGTGAGGGGAGGGGTGGCGGTTGTCTGCTGAGCCCCTGGGTGCAGGTGAGTGTCTACAGGAAAGTGCAGGGAAAAATTCAAGGGCACGCAGCCCTGGGGGCGCTGGAGGGTTTGTGTGGTGGAGAGCGGGTGAGAGCAGAGCAGGCCTGTGGCTGGTGGGGGTGTCTGTGATCGCGTCCCTGTGGAATCCCGCTTCACCCCTGTCCTGTCCCCAGCTCCGGTTCCGGGGGCTCTGGTTTTTCCTTCCCGAGGGCGGGTGGGACTGCCAGGCTGCACCAGGGATCCCCGCCCCACCTCGCTCTCTGCAGCCCTCCGGCCCCTCCACCCTCCTGCCAGCCTCCTTTCCACCCCGCTCCTTTTCGCCTCTTCCCGGGCAAGAAGCAGCCTCGGGGACTGCACCCAGCAGGAAGGAGCCGCCGACCGGAACTGAACGGGGGCGCAGTTAGGGGAGATCTCCCCCGTCCTTCTAGAAGCCTCCCCTCCTCTGAAACCCGCGGCAGTTCACAGCCCTCCAGGCTTGGTCCCCGCCCGGCTTAGGCTCCATCCACGAACTCACCGGCTCGCCCAGCCCGGGACCAGCCGGACAGCAGGAGCAGAAGCGGGAGGCACAGAAGGATCTTGGTAGCGGCGGCTGCTGCCATTAAGGACCCAGAGCGCTAGGGATGAGAGACTTGATGGAAGGAGAGCCTGGAAGATGAATCACCTCAAGGTTTTAAAGCCTCCCTATGTACGGGCGCGCCCCCCGTTTCCCGCTGTCATAGCGTCAAGCGGGTCATAGCGTCACGCGGCTAGAAATATGATTGGCTGCCCTGACGGTGTCCCTCCCCTTCCCGGGCGTCCCTCCCCTTTGTCCCAACCCCCTTCGGGTTGGTGTCTGGGTGTCCGCCCGGCTCCTGCCAAGACACGGTTCCTTCCACGACAGACTCATTTAATCATCACAACATTTTTTTATTGAAGGTGAAGAAACTTGCAGAGGAATATTCAGCGGCGGCGGCGTCTCCCTGTCCCCGCCTGGGTCCGCGACGCTCTCCCTCCCTCCGCCTGCGCCGCGAGGTCCCTGGCTTATCATGCTCTGGGCGCAGCCACGGGCCTGATCGCGTCCCCTCCACTACTGCGCCAGTTCCCAGTGGACGTGATTACAGTCCGGGCTAGGTTTTATTATTTATTTATTTATTTATTTATTTATTTAGAGACGGAGTTTCGCTCTTGTTGCCCAGGCTGGAGTGCAGTGGCGTGATCTCGGCTCACCGCAATCGCCGCTTCCCGGGTTCAAGGGATTCTCTGGCCTCAGCTTCCGGAGTAGCTGGGATTACAGACGCCCTCCACCACGCCCGGCGAATTGTTTGTATTTTTGGTAGAGATGGGGTTTCATCTTGTTGGCCAGGCTGGTCTCAAACTCATGACCTTAGGTGATCCACCCGTCTCGGCCTCCCAAAGTGCTGGGATTACAGGCGTTAGCCACCGCGCCTGGCCCGGGCTAGGTTTTATTACAGGAGCAGCAGGCAGGGTTCCAGAGGTTTAAAACAACATATTGTGCACTAAACAACTGGTCAAGATGGTAAATTTTATCTTCTATGTTTTTACCAAAATTAAACAGCTTTAAAAATATATATTAAAAAATTATGTCTTGTTCCTGCTCTGCCCAATGCAGATTGGCCAAAAGAGTCTACTTATTAAAATCGAGGACAACATGGAGGACCCCGTTCCTAAAATCTCAACCTGTGACACACTTGCTGATTTAGAAAGCTCCTCAGAGAGATGGGCCCTGAGCTCCCAGTTCAGCAGCCTCCCTCGCCCAGGTCCACGGATGGCACAGGGGGCTCAGCAGAGCAGGTTCAAGTGAAAGTTCCTGGTGGTTCCCCACTGTTAGTGCATTCTGCTGGCCTCTTCGCCCTGGGCAAAGGGCCAGCCACCCTTCAAAGCTAGGCACAAATGCCCGGTCCCATGCGTGTCCCTCATGTTCCCACAATACAGAACACCCTCCTGCTCGCTGAGACCTGGGTCCACAGTGAGTGCATCCAGATCTCCCTGTGTGACAACTGCTCACACAATTTAATTTGTGTGTGTAAGCATGTGTGACAGACTCTTACTCTGTCACCAGTCTGGAGTGCAGTGGCACGATCATAATTCACTGAATCCTCAACCTCCTGGGCTCAAGGCTTACTCCCTACTCAATATTGGAGAGTGTGGGGCAAGATAGTCTGAGCCACTAGCTGAGCCGTCCTCTTGTTACTGTTTCCTATGCCCTGGCAGATGCCTCAGTAGTATTCACTCCTGGATTTACCAAGCCCTGTGTTAGACTGGTCCAGGGGCTGAGTGGGTCTTGGCTGTGAGTGCAACTGGGGTGAGTTATTCTGCCAGGATTGGGAACTGTGTTACTCAGGAAACTTTTCTCATCACCCACCCCAATCCTGTCCCAGATGGGAGGAGCAGTGAGTGCTGTGTCCAGGCTCCCTGTCTTCCCAGTGCTCCCAGCATCACATGAGCTCCTCCCCAGATGGTGTGGGGTCTGGGCTCTCCATGTTCACCATGCTCCCACCATTGGCTCCCCATTTCACTGCTCTCCCAGGATCATCCCAGCCCCTCCAGGGTCACTGCCTGACCAGGTGGGGGTTGGGTGAAGAGGCAGAGGTCAGGGCAAGACCCCTGGTCCATTCTGACTTTAGGTTCCTCTCTGAAACGCGACTGCATTCCACATCCTGTTCCTCTGGCAACCTCAGTTGGGATCACCTGTAGGGCAGTGTAGAATCCTGGTGGGTGATGACCAATTCCTGCCACCGTGGCTTTTCAAGTATATCGATTTTTCCTAAAATGGATAAAGAGACTGGCAATAAGTTATGGAAATACTGTTTTCCTTACTAACAGTAGATACGTGTTTATGTATCAATTCTGGTTTTTAAAACAAATATAAACCCATAGGCACTCTGCTGAACACAGATTCTATCTCAAAATAACACACTTTGAAGATCTTGCAATACCTGCACATACAGATTTTTTCCTTTTTATCTCTGCACATTACATAGAATGACTGCATCACAACAAAAGTAACCAGTGTCTGTGTCTGAAGATCCAGACGGTCTCCAGTGACTTTTAGAGAAGCGAAATGCTGCAGAAACTGTGCTTGCATGAATCACAATTTCATTGTGTAGAATAGATTTCCAGACACAGAATTGCTGTGCGAAGTAATGCACCTTTAAAGCATCTCATGTCATAGGATGGCAATGCTGGCGACACTCTTGTCTGTGATTGTGATGACCCAGCTTGGGCAGAGGATGGTGAAACATCCACCGTAGAGGGAGGGGAAACTGGTACAGGCTTCCTGAAGGACAGGGTGACAGGGTTCATCAAGGGTCAAAAATATCCGCGTCTGAATTGAGAATATGTATTTATATTCGTTTGAAACGGCATAAAGACTCCCTGGAAAGATGAGAAGAATCAAATAAACTTTCCTCCCTGGCGTGTGGCCAATGAGAGTGGACGCAGGCAGGGGCGGGGGAGCCTTTCACACATGACTTTTCAGGGTTTTGATTCTGAAACAGGTGAAAATGTGGAGGTGAAGTAGTAAGTAAGAGTGGGGCCGAGAGTCCCAGGGACGGTCACACGGTGGGCCCGCCTGATCTGTTGGGGGCCACTAGGGTCCGGGGAGGGGAACCCGGGCAGCTGCGTGCGGGGCTGCTGCAGTGACGAGGCACCGGTTCTAGATATTTACCCAACGGTGTTGTCACAAAGGGGATATTATAGGTGATTTCTGATTTCAACCGCAGATGACTTTCGGAGACAGTTCGCATATGCGGTTTCAGTTTTCACCCTGCTGCGTCCTCTCCGGGTTCTGCGCGCTCCTCCCAGGACGCCCGCTTCGCCCGAGCTCCGGACCCGGGTCCTGCCCGGTTGAGACCGCCGAGTGGGTGCCACGCTGCCCGCCGATGCTCCCGGGCCTCCGGGTCCACAGCCTCCGGACAAAACGGCCTTTCGAAGACCTGGGAGGACTCGCCGGTCGCGACAAGGAACCGTGGCAGGAGACAGGAAATGCGGGGCCTGGTGGGGTGAAGAGCACGAGGTTCCTCCTTCATCCTCGCGGCGACTTTGCCACCGGCTCAGTGTGGAGACGTCACAGTCCCGCTCGGATCCCTGGGGATCCGACAGTGTGGCCCCCACGAGGACCCCCATCCTCCTTGCCCTGGGGCTGCTGCGGGAGGGCGCCCATGGCGCACTAGGTCCTGAGTGCCCAGGATCCAACAGGGGCTTCCCGTTGTCGCCTCCCCGACCCCGCCGCTCGCGGTCCAGGGCTCCTGGTTTCTCCACTGGGCTGGGGGCCCCGAGCATGGACGTCTTGAGGCAGAGAAAACCTTGGGATGGTTGGAAATGAAGGACGGGAGGGAGAACCAGAGAAAGGGAGAGGAAGGAAGCAGGTAGGGCCAGAGAACAAAGAGAAACCTCCGCCAGGAAAATGGGAAGAGGATGACACAGGAACAGCCCTACACTCCACCAACTCTCAGTCTCCTGCTCTCTGCCTTGTAAGGAACGCAGGCCCCACCCCCTCCAGCCTCACAGTGTTTGGGGTCACCCATTCCAGCGGGGTGAGGCGTCCCCTTGTGGGTGCTGTTGGCATTTCCCTGAGGTCTGTGGACACTGAGCACCTTTTCCTGGGCTCACTGCCATTTGCATTCTTCTTCCGATGCCAGTGGGCAACCGGTGGTCCCCAAACTCTGATGAGACCTCGACCCCAGCCGGTGTCGGGCTCTTGACACCGCCTGGGGAAATGAATTCTAGGACCAGTAGGAAAATAGAGAAAGGACGGAGATTTTTTTGTAAAAGGGAAAGTACACACTCATGTAAAGGGAATGCAGGGGAACTCAAGAGAGAGGCAGGTGCAAGGGGGTTTAGGGCTGCCACCTTTCTGGGTTTCTTTAACAAGGGGTGGAATATTCATGAAAATTCCTAAAAGAAGGTGGAGACTGCTCAGAACTGTGGTGCCACCCATTTTTACACCAAATATTGGTGTTCTCTGAATTGCCAAGACGCTGGTGTGTGTGCGTTTAGTATGTCAATTAGTGTATAATAGGGTCCTAGGTGAAACCGAGGCCAAACCCAGGGCCATGTTGGGTCCACTCATTCTTAGCCAGCCTGGTCCATACCCTGTCTTTTAGGGTCTTATCAGCCCAGAGCCTCTGCAGATATTTCAACAGATTCCTTTTGCTAGTCACCTGAAACTGCTGCCTAAAGTTTTTTTCTTCTTTTGTGACCACACTGTATTATACCTGTCTCACTTTGGAGAAACATCTTTTTGAATTCTTTGCATATATTTAAATTGGGTTATTTTGCTTTATAATGTTGGGTTGCAAGAGTTCTTTATGTATTCAGGATACCAGTCCCTTACTAGATATACGATTTTCAAATGCTTTCTCTCATTCTATAAGGATTTTTTTAACCTAAATGGAGTCCTTTTTGAAGCACAAAAGTTTTACATTTGCATGAAATGAAATTAAACTACCTTTTATTTTGTCATTTATGCTACTGGCATACAGTACTTAAGAAGCATTAGCCAAATCCGGGGTCACAAAAATTTACTGCTCTGCTTTCTTCTGAGACTTTCATAGTTTCATGTCTTAGGTGAACATCTGCCATTCATCTAGAACTAGTTTTTGTGTGTGCTGTAAGGAAGGGGTCAGCCTCATTCTTCTGCATGCAGCATCCAGTTGTCCCAGCACCATTCACTGTAGTGTAGGAGGCACCTGCCCAACCTCCTGTCCCTCCCTCCTGCACTTGGGGTCAGAATTGCCTCCTACTGAACGGTTCTCACAGGGTTTGCACCAATGAAATCCCCTCATGTGAAACCCATGTAGGAACCTGCTTCTCGGAGGACCTGGACTAGGGAGTGGGTTCACCAGAGGAAATCATATTTCATGAGATGGAACATTCTGGGAATACTGGCACTCAGCATACCCTTTAATTCATCAAAAGTGAAAAATCACATTATTTGGTCATTTGGGTCCCACAATTCTTCTGTCAATTTAGTTTACTTGGGTTTATATTTTTTGTTGTTGTTTCTGCTGCAATTGTTGTTGTTTTCTTTGAGACAGGCTCTCACACTGTCACCCAGGCTCAAGTGATCCTCCTACCTTAGCCTCCTGAGGAGCTGGGACTACAGTCACATCCTACTACACCTGGTCAATTTTTTAAATTTTCTGTAGAGACAGGGTCTCACCATGTTACTTGCCATGGCTGATCTCCAACTCCTAGCCTCAAGTGTTCCTCCAACATTGGCCTTCCAAAGTTCTGGGATTACAGGCATGAGTCACCAATTCTGACCCAAAAAGTTACGGCTTTTTAGTTTTTACTTTTCACATGGTTGTATGACATTATGTAGATTAAAATTCCATATAAGTAACTTGGGTAATGCTATACAATAAAATGCTTTATTCAGCCACAGCTTTCTAAAAATAGATGTGGCATCAAAATGCGCATTCATCAAATCTTGAAGGAGTTTCAAATCTTTAGAGTGACTCTGAACTCTCGTTTTGGTTGACACAATAATCCATAAAAACAAATAAAGCACCCATTCTGATCTGGAAGGGGTAACGAGGTGAAAATATTGATAAGCCAAAGTGACAGCCTCTTTTGTAGACATGATCCTGCCTAAATTTCTCATGCCTCACAAAAGAGGGCCCTGAATTCCCTGCTTCTCCAGAGCTCCACGCAGTCCTTGAAGCACTCTCTGGCTGTCTCTGCAAGTGGCTGAACAGCTCCTCTTGCTCTCTGTGGGTCTGTGGAGGCTCCAGGTCCCCTAGGCCCAGGTGCTGTCATGCTCACCAGGTCCCACCAAGAGTGCACCCCACCGTGGATGGTGGAGGAGACCAGGTATAGCTGCTCCTGCCCCTACCCCTCTCCTGACCAGCCAATCTTAATAGGAGGAAGGAGCAGGGATGAGTGGAGCCATGGAGGTTGGTGCTGGAAAGAACAGAAATGAAGACCTTTATCCCATCCCCCAAATGATGGGGATCCCTTTCTGAGTTCTAGCAGCCCTTTGGTAGTCTGATGATTAGATTCCTCCCATGCGTCTTAAACCCTATCGTATGGCAGGCACTGTGCTAGGTGCTGGGTTTACACGTGGGTGATGGATGTGTCCAGTCCTCCTGGAACTTAGAAACCAGATATGTCCAGTCCTTCAGGCACTTAGAATCCAGGTACAGAAACAAACATCTACGTGGCTGCTGCTGCTGATGTGTTGTCCTCGAGATGGTTGGGGCTATGAAAGGGCAGAAGAGGGGGTGACTCATTCTGCTTGGGAAGTTGCATGGAGGTTTCTTGGGAGGTGGCATTTCAGACTGCTCTTGTAGAAACTGGAAGAATACAGTGTGGCCAGGTGGGAGGAGAAGACAGGGCACCCAGCAGAGGGACAAGCATGAGGAGGAGGCCTGGGGTGCAAATATCATAGAACTTTGGGGAGCTATGAGAAGTCTGCAGTAATGAACCCTTAGTTACTGGGGTAGACTCTTTCCACAGGGAGGAGGGAATATCTGGAAGGAAGGTAGGGAAGGAGGGGTGGGCAGGAACCTGTCCTGGGGTCCCTGTCTCCCTTCACAGGAAATCAAGTCACCATTCATACATATACATATAGCATACACTCCCACACACACACAGACACACACATAGAGATATGCACATGTGGTCTCACACACACAGAGAGACATGCATGCATAGTCTCACACAAACACACACAGTCGCATGCACAGTCTCACACACACACTACACAGGCACACACACATATGCACACACACAGGCACACAGACACACACATACAAACATACAAACGTTCATGCACAAATACAGACACACACACACACGCACGTGCACACACAGACATACATAAACACACGGGAGAAAGTGGGTGTCATCTCGAGAGTTCTTGTGTCTGTCCCATCCCACCCACTCACCTGTCACCTCTGGGGCTGTCTCCCAGCTCATGAAGGATTTCTGAAGCCATCAAGCAGTATGTCACTGTGTGATCTGAAACACTCAGACACCTCCTCACTCTGACCTTCCTTCCTGGTATCCTTGGCTCTGGGATGAAGCAGCGTCCTGTGGGTTTTCGCGGTAGTAAAAGAGAAACCTCTCCCCTGGGGCAGAACTGCTGGGCCACCAGAGAGCACCCCTCTGCTCTTTGCCCTCAGGGCATCTTGATCTGCAGGGTGAGAGGAACTGCCCCAATCCCCTGAAATAAACTCTTTATTGATCTCTCATCCACCATGATGTCACAATTGTCTCATCCACCATGATGTCACAATTGTCTCATCCGCCATGATGTCACAAACTCACTGTGAGCAAACCCTCTGGGCTTATTGAAATATTTGAAAGATTAGTGGTGCCATCTGCTGGACACCGCAGGAAGTACTGATCCAAAGTATTTTATAGTTTCAACATCAGACTATGCACCATTGCTTTAGATGACATTGTAGTTTTACAATCTGTGATTTCAACAGTTGCTGTGATAAAAAACCAAGAATCCCTGCAAAAATAGGTATGAAATAGGAAATCAGGGTGGCTGTGTCCAATCTGCTTCCAAAGTTTGAGAAGTTGTTCAGTGCCCAGTAGGTACACATGTCCATTAGTAAACATTTGTGCTTATTTAAGAAAGAAATAAACATACTACTTTTTCAATTTATGTGAAATATTTTCTTAAATGGCAATAAAATTGCTAGGTCATAAATATTTATTGTTTGCTCCTGACTACTTAACGAATACATTCTTGGGTACTCTTTTTTTATAGGGTTGTCTTGAAAATGTTACAAAGGCACCTTCTGGATTTTCCCTGGACCACTCCAGTACATTTCATGGGCTCTGCCTCCTGCAGGAAGGCATGAAGCCAGGACACACATGTTACTTTTTTGGGAGTCCTTCCTGTTTAGCCTGTTGAGGACCTGGAGACTCCCTTCCCACTCTTCCTCTCCATTACCTTGCTCCCCACCACCTGAATCATCTGTCACTTTCCTACACCTGATGCAATGCACCTGCTCATTACGTTCACCTGCTGTCCCCACTGGAGCACGGATTTTGTCTGTTTTCCTCAGAGAAGTATCCACAGCACAGCTCACTGTTGGTTCTGAGGCTGTACTTACCCTGTGAGTGAATAAATGAGAGGCAGTGAGTGGGGCAGCGGCCTCTTTCCTGTCCATTTGTTCACTACACTTTAGATGGTAACTTAGGATGTGGTGTAGACCAGTGTTTCCTGGGCACAATAAATCAGAATATATTGTGAAGACAAGAAGTAGAAAGAAATGTTAGGTGGAAGAATATGAATTTTCAAGTAGGAGTTGGGCAGAGTGAGAAACCAATCAGGAAAGGGGTAAGTTTGGTTTGCTTGTAGATAACATGTGGAGAAATGCAGCCATCTGCAATGGAGACTGGGCGCTGTTAGATTCGTTTGCGCCAAGACCACCTCCACTACCTGCCCTTGTCCTACTCTCTCCCGAGGCTGAATGCAGCTCCTGTGCCTTCAGTGCCAAGGAAGCCATAGTTTCAGGTCAGAGGAAGGGCTGGGGCGGACCCTGGAAAAGGAGAGGGTGGGTACAGAAGGGGACAGCTGGGAGCAATGAGTTCCTGAGGATAAACAAAAAAGGTCACTTGAAAATGGAACAAAAAAGGAATAAAGAACAAGGTGGAAATCATCTGAAATTCCATTATGCACAGTTTAATGTTAGGGTTTTAGTAGAATCATCTTCAATTTTTATAAAATTATGATCATACACCTTATAATTATTTTAAATGACTAGAGTTTATTTTTCTAGGGCAGGGTTAGAGTTTATAGTGCAGAGTTCTCTCTTGCCTGTGTCAGTTAAACCCACTTTTTTTTGCCTCGTGTCAATTTGTTTATTCATTTTTATTTTTAAATTTTACTTTAAGTTATTGGATACATGTGCAGAATGCGCAGGTTTGTTACATAGGTATACATCTGCCATGGTGGTTTACTGCACCTATCAATCCATCACCTAGGTTTTAAGCCCCACATGCATTAGGTATTTGTCCTAATGCTCTCTCTCCCCTTGCCCCCAACCCCCTGACAGGCCCCGGTGTGTGATGTTCTCCTCCCTGTGTCCATGTGTTCTCATTGGTCAACTCCCGCTTATGAGTGAGAACATTCGGTTTTCTGTTCCTGTGTTAGTTTGCTGAGAATGATGGTTTCCAGCTTCATTCATGTCCCTGCAAAGGACATGAACTCATTCTTTTTTTTTTTTTTTTTTTTTTTTTTGAGATGGAGTCTCACCACTCTGTCACCCAGGCTGGAATGCAGTGGCGCAATCTCGGCTCACTGCAAGTTCTGCCTCCTAGGTTCACGCCATTCTCCTGCCTCAGCCTCCCGAGTAACTGGGACTATAGGTGCCTGCCACCAAACCCGTCTATTTTTTGTATTTTTAGTAGAGACGGGGTTTTGCCGTGTTATCCAGGATTGTCTTGATCTCCTGACCTCGTGATCTGCCCGCCTTGGCCTCCCAAAGTGCTGGTAGTACAGGCGTGAGCCACCGCGCCCGGCCTGAATTCATTCTTTTTTATGGCTGCATACTATTGCCTGGTATATATGTGCCACGTTTTCTTTATCTGGTCTATTATTGATAGCCATTCAGGTTGGTTCCAAGTCTTTGCTATTGTAAATAGTGCTGCAATAAACATACCTGTGTATGTGTTTTTATAGTAGAATGATTTATGATCCTTTGGGTATACACCCAGTAATGGGATTGCTGTGTCAAACGGTATTACTCGTTCTAGATTCTTGACGAATCACCACACTGTCTTCCACAATGGTTGAACTAATTTACACTCCCACCAACAGTGTAGAAGAGCTCTTATTTCTCCACATCCTCGCCATCATATTTATTCATTTTTATTTTCAACTTTTATTATAAAGAGTACACGTGCAGGTTTGTTACATGGGTCAATTGTGGGAGGCTGCGGCTTGGGGTCCCAATAATCCCAGACAGTAAGCATCATACCCAGTGGGTGGTTCTTCAGCCCACGTGCCCCTCCCCACTCCCCTGTCTAGTGATCTCCAGTGTCTGTGGTTCCCATCTTTACATTCATGTGTATTTAATGTTTAGCTCCCACTTATAAACGGGAACCTGCGGTGTGCAGTTGCCTGTTCTTGTGTTAGGTCACCTAGGATAATGGCCTCCAATTCCAACCATGTTGCTGAAAAGAACTTGACTTTGTTGTGTTTCATGGCTGCATGGATTTCCATGGTCCATATGTACCAGGTTTTCTTCATTCAGTCCACTGCTCCTGGGCACTTAGATTGATTCTGTGTCCTTGCTAGTGAGAATAGCACTGCAATGAACATACGGGCCTATTGGACTGAATAAATTATTCTCCTTTAAGTATATCCCCAGCAGTGGAATTGCTGGGTCAAATGGTAGTTCTATTTTTGGTTCTTTGAGAAATCTCCAAACTGCTTTCCATAGTGGCTGAACTAGTACTACTTTGCCTTTTCAGCAAAAGTGTCTAAGTGTTCCCTTTTCTTCTCAGCCTCACCAATATCTGTGGTTTTTTTGAAATTTTAAGGATAGCCATTTTGATGGGTATGGGATGGTACCTCACTGTGGTTTTGATCTGCATTTCTCTGATGATTGCTCATATTGAGCATTATTTCATGTTTCTTGGCCACTTGTAGGTCTTCTTTTGAAAAGTGTCTGTTCACGTTCTTTGCTTATTTTTTAACTGGGTTTTTTGTTCTTGCTTGTTTAATTGTTTAATTTCCTTGTAGATTGTGCATATTCGACGCTTGTCAGATGCATAGTTTGCAGACATTTCTCCCATTTTATAGACTGTTGACTGTGTTCCTAGTTTCTTTTGCTGTGCAGAAGCTCTTCAGTTTAATGAAGTCCCATTTGGCAATTTTCAGTTTTGGTTGCAATTGCTTTGGCTGTCTTCATCATGAAATCTTCGCCAGGCCCTACGTCCAGAGTGGTATTTCCTAGGTTATTTTCCAGAATTTTTATAGTTTTAGGACTTACATTTAAATCTTTAATCCATATCAAGTTATTTTACATATATGGTGAAATGTAGAGGTTCAGTTTCATTCTTCTGCACATGGATATCCCAGTACCATTTGTTGAATGGGGAGTCTTTCCCCATTGCTTATTTTTGTTGATTTTGTTGAAGGTTAGATGGCTGTAGGTGTGAAGGTTTCTTTCTGAGTTCTCTATTCTGTTCCACTGATCTAAGTGTCTATTTTTGTACCAGTACCATTCTGTTTTGATCACTGTAGCCTTATATTATAGTTTGAAGTCGGGCAATGTGATGTCTCTGGCTTTGTTCTTTTTGCTTATGATTGTTTTGGCTATTTGGGCTCTTTTTAAATTCCCAATAATTTTTAGGTTAGATTTTTCTGTGAAAAATGACATTGGTATTTTGATAGGGATAGCGTTGGATCTATAAATTGCTTTTGGAAGTATTGCCATTTTGCCTATATCGATTCTCCCAACCCATGAGCATGAAATATTTTTTCCACTTATTTGTGTTGTCTCTGATTTTTTTTCAGCCACGTTTTGTAGTTTTCTTGGAAAGATCTTTCATCTCTTTGGTTAGATTAACTATTAGGCATTTACTTTTCTTTGTTGGTTTTGTAAATGCGATTGTGTTCTTGCTTTCATTCTCAGCTAGAATATTATTGGTGTATAAGAATGCTCTTGATTGTGTACATTGATTTTGTATCCTGAAACTTTACTGAATTGATATGTCAGTTCCAGGAGCCTTCCGACAGGGTCTTTAGGGTTTACTATGTATGGAATCACATCACTGGCAAAGAGACATGTTTGACTTTTTCTTTTCCTATTTGAACGCCTTTTCTTTCCTTCACTTGCCAATGGCTCTGGTTAGGATTTTTCTGTCCTGAGTACACTCTGGTCTCAATCAAATGGGCTGAAGACAGCAATTTCCTGTCCTGTGATCAACAAGTTTATTAAAAGATTCTATGCTGATGGAGCTCTATACCTGTTGTAAGCCAAAATTTCTCCTCTTTGGAAAAACTCTGTGGGCACCCAGGTGACTACACATATTTCCAAATTCTGCCCAGCCTGGAGGTCTCCAACCACGGTACCGCCACCTTCAGGCCTCTGGGGGCTACAGCATCCACTGCAGCTCCCCTTCTGCACCTGGGGTTTTCTTCTGAGCCCATTCACTCCCACAACTCTCATTCATTCAGCCGTTCCCTCAGCCTCCAACCACCACTTAAATTATGTCAGGCTCACCTAGTGCTACACAGAAGAATCATCCTCTGTGGGTCTGAAAAAGACTCTGGATTCCTGGTAAGTGGGTCCTGGGTCCCCCTGGTTGCTGGAGAAAGTGGTGAGGACCCTTCATGGATGGAGAGGTGAGTGAGGTTTGTGTGGGTAAAAGTGCCAGGCTGAGATGGGGAACTAAAGGATGTGACTTGGGTGGTGGCAGTGAATGGTGAGGAGAGGGGTGAAAAATGTCTGGTGAGCCCCTGGGTGCAGGTGAGTGTCTGCAGCAAAGTGCAGGGGAAAGATCAAGGGCAGAGAACCCTGGGGGTGCTGGAGGGCTTGTGTGGTAGAGAGTGTGTGGGAGCAGACTGTGTGGTTGTTGGCGGAAAGTTGACAAGCAACTTCAGCAAAGTCTCAGGATACAAAATAAACATGCAAAAATCACAAGCATTCCTTTACACCAATAATAGACAAACAGAGAGCCAAATCATGAGTGAACTCCCATTCACAATTGCTACAAACAGAATAAAATACCTAGGAATCCAACTTACAAGGGATGTGAAGGACCTCTTCAAGGAGAACTATGAACCACTGCTCAACTAAATAAAAGAGGACACAAACAAATGGAAGAACATTCCATACTCATAGATAGGAAATTGTGAAAATGGCCATACTCCCCAAGGTAATTTATAGATTCAATGCTATCCCCATCAAGCTACCACTGACTTTCTTCACAGAATTGGAAAAACTACTTTAAACTTCATATGGAACCAAAAGAAAGCCTGCAGAGCCAAGACAATCCTAAGCCAAAAGAACAAAGCTGGAGGCATCACTCTACCTGACTTCAAACTATACTACAAGGCTACAGTAACCAAACAGCATGGTACTGGTACCAAAACAGATATATAGACCAATGGAACAGAACAGGGGCCTCAGAAATAACACTACACAACTACAACCATCTGGTCTTTGATCTGACAAAAACAAGCAATGGGGAAAGGATTCCCTATTTAATAAATGGTGCTGAGAAAACTGGCTGGTCATAGGTAGAAAGCTGAAACTGGATCCCTTCCTTATACCTTATACAAAAATTAACTCAAGATGGATTAAAGACTTAAATGTTAGACCTAACACCATAAAAACCCTAGAAGAAAACCTAGGCAATACCATTCAGGACATAGGCATGGGCAAAGACTTCATGACTAAAACACTAAAAGCAATGGCAGTAAAAGGCAAAGTACACAAATGGGATCTGATTAAACTGAAGAGCTTCTGCACAGCAAAAGAAACTATCATCAGAGTGAACAGGCAACCTACAGAATAGGAGAAAATCTTTGCAATCTACCCATCTGACAAAGGGCTAACATCCAGAATCTACAGAGAACTTAAACAAATTTACAAGAAAAAAAAAACAACCCCATCAAAAAGTGGGCAAAGGATATGAACAGACACTTCTCAAAAGAAGACATTTATGCCGCCAACAGACATACGAAAAAATGGTCATCATCACTGGCCATCAGAGAAATGCATATGAAAACCGCAATGAGATACCATCTCACACCAGTTAGAATGGTAATCATTAAAAAGTCAGGAAACAACAGATGCTGGAGAGGATGTGGAGAAAGAGGAACGCTTTCACACTGTTGGTGGGAGTGTAAATTAGTTAAACCATTGTGGAAGACAGTGTGGTGATTCCTCAAGGATCTAGAATTAGAAATACCATTTGACCCAGCAATCCCATTACTGGGTATATACCCAAAGGATTATAAATCATGCTACTGTAAAGACACATGCACATATATGTTTATTGTGGCACTATTCACAATAGCAAAGAGTTGTCCATCAATGATAGACTGGATTAAGAAAATGTGGCACATATACAACACAGACTACTATGCAGCCATAAAAAAGGATGAGTTCATGTCCTTTGCAGGGACATGGATTAAGCTGGAAACGATCATTCTAAGCAAACTATCACAAGGACAGAAAACCAAACACCACATGTTCTCACTCATAGGTGGGAGTTGAACAATGAGAACACATGGACACAGGGCGGGGAACATCACACACTGGGCCCTATTGGGAGGTGAGGGGCTGGGGGAGGGATAGCATTAGGAGAAATACCTAATGTAAATGACGAGTTGATGGGTGCAGCAACCGAACATGGCACAAGTATACCTACGTAACAAACCTGCACGTTGTGCACATGTACCCTAGAACTTAAAGTATAATTTTTAAAAATTATTTAAAAATTAAAAAATAAATAAATAAATAAATTTTAAAAAATAAAATAAAAATCATATATCAGGTAAGGGACTGGTATTCTGAATATATAATATTGCAACAAAATATAATTGCAATTATATATTATATATAATATATAATGTTGCAACTCAACATTATAAAGTGAAATAACCCAATTTAAATATATGCAAGGAATTTGAATAGACATTTCTCCAAAGTAAGACAGGTATACTACACGGTGGTCTCAAAAGAATAGAAAATTTTGGGCAGCAGTTTCAGGTGACTAGCAAAAGGAATCTGTTGAAATATGTGCAGAGGCTCTGGGCTGATAAGATGCTGAAAAACAGCATGTGGACCAAGCTGGCTAAGAATGACTGGACCCAACAAGGCCCTGCATTTGACCTAGGTTTCACCTAGGACCTCATTACATGCTGATTAACATACTAAACACACACCAGCCAGCTCCTGAGCAGTTCTGAGAACACTTATATTTAGTGTAAAAATGCGGGGCACCACAGTTCTGAGAAATCTCTACCTTCTTCCAGGAATTTTCATGAATATTCCACTCCTTGGTTAAAGAAACCCAGAAAGGTGGCAGCCCCAAACTTGCACCTGCTTCTCTCTCGAGTTCCCCTGCACTCCCTTTACTTGACTGTGTACTTTGCCTTTTACAATAAATCTCCGTCCTTTCTCTATTTCCTACTGGTCCTTGAATTAATTTCCCCGGCAATATCAAGAATCTGGACACTGGCTGGAGTCGAGGTCCCACCGGCGTTTGGGGACCTCCCCTTGCCCGCTGGCATCAGAAGAAGAATGCAAATCGCAGTGAGCCCAGGAAAAGGTGTTCAGTGTTCACAGCCCTCAGGGAAATGCCAATCGCACCCACAAGGGGACGCCTCACCCCGCTGAAATGGCTGATCCCAAACACAGTGAGGGTGGAGGGGGTGGGGCCTGTGTTCCTTACTGGGCAGAGAGCAGGAGACGGAGAGTCGGTGGAGTGTGGGGGCTGTGCGCGTGTCCCCCTCTCCCCATTTTCGTGGTGGGGGTTTCTCATTGTTCTCCGGCCCTGTTTCCTTCCTCTCCCTTTCTGCCGCCCTCCCTCCAATCCTTCTTTTCCACCCATCCCAAGGTTTTCTCCGCCTCACGACGTCCATGCTAGGGCCTCCCAGACCAGCGGAGAAACCAGCAGCCCTGGACCGCAAGCGGCGGGGTCAGGGAGGCGACAACGGGAAGCCCCTGCCGGACCCTGGACACTCAGGACCTAGTGCTGCCCGGGCGCCCTCCCGCAGCAGCCCCAGGGCGAGGAGGATGGGGGGGGTCCTCGCAGGGGCCACACTGTCGGAGCCCCACGGATCCGGGCGGGACGGTGAGGCCTCCACACTGAGCCGGTGGCAAAGTCCCCGCGAGGATGAAGGAGGAACCCCGTGCTCCTCACCCCACCAGGCCCCGCATTTCCTGGCTCCTCCTGTCTCAGGAACCGCCTGTCCCTTGCCGCGACCGGCGAGTCCTTCCGGGTCTTCCTGAAACAGTTTCGTCCCGAGGCTCTGGATCTGGAAGCCCAGGGGCATCGTCCGGGAGCGGGGCACCCACTGTGGGTCTCCGCCAGCCAGCACTCAGGCCCGGAGCTCGGGGACAGCGGGCGCCCTGGGAGGAGCACACAGAACCATATCAAGGCTTAGGTCCTGTCGAGCTCTAGAGGGTTTAGCAAATTCAGGTCTGTTTCAGACTGTGTCTCTGGTCATAAGGAACCCCCACGGTGCGTGGTGTGCAGACAGCAGGAGCTCAGGCATGTGCGGTCCTCACATTTGAGTGGGGCAGCAGATTGGTGGCTCCAGATGCTGTGTGTCAAGGAGAAGGAGATTCCATCCACTGGAGAAGAGCAGAGGAACTGGGTGTAACCCCAGGAAGGAGAGGCTGCCAAGGACTGTGTCGACCCAGAGGACAATGCTGGAGTTAATTCCCAGGGAAGGTGCCTGGGTCACAGCCTTTAAGGCAGACGCTGACTGAAAAGACTGTATACAAGTAGGAGGTCAGGTCTCTGGGAACCCTCAGAATACGGCTCAGTCCTGGGGCAATGCCCCTGCCATCCGGCCTCCTGCACACTCCAGATTCTGGCCCTGCCTGGAGCAGAGCTGACTCGGAGACAGGGGTACTGAGCTGCTCCTGGAGTTCCAAGGTCACTGCTGAGCTGGACCAGGAGTGGATGGGGCGGGGCAGGGACAGTCTCATTCAGAGCTTTGGGTACAGCCCTAGGGTGAGAAGAGGCTGAGAGAGAAGGGGAAAAGAGGATATTGCCTGAGTGGCTGGGGGCAGAATGGGACCCAGGGGCTCTGTCCAGTCCTCACCCTAAGCTAAGCCCTTCACAGCTGCCAGGAACCACTGGGACCCTCACCTGTCTCTGGCTTCTGCCACCACTTCCAGATGCCCTCATGATAATTAAGACAAGGATACAATTGGGGTTTCCTTTTGAGGATGGCCGCAGGGACCGTCCAGGGACTGAGCAGAGGTGTGGGTGCAGCCATGGATCCAGGCATCAATGGTTGGCCACAGATGGGTGTACTGCAAAGTGAGCTCCACGCACGCACAGACCCCTCCCTTGCCTCCTGCTCCCATGGGAAACACAATTGATCACATTCCAATTGAGCAACAGTAGGCCACTAGGGCTTTTTTCCCTCAAAAGCTGTACACAGATCTAGTATAGTCTCAAAGACCTCATGCTTCTAGTAGAGAAGCAAAGAAATGTGTGAGCATTTGTCACACAGGGAGATCCGGATACGCTCCATCACTGTGGATCCAGGCCTCAGGGAGCAGGAGGGTGTTCCTTCATGTGGGAAGATGAGGGACACACATGGGAGGGGGTATTTGTGCGCGGCTTGGAAGGATGGCTGGTCCTTGCCCAGGGGGAACAGGCCCAAAGCAAGCGCTGGCAGTTAGTAGCTATGGGGAGCTTTCATTTGAACCTGCTCTGCTGAGTCCCCTGGGCCATCCCCACACCTGGTGGGGCACTGTTCTAAGGGGAGCTCAGGGTCAATCTCTCTGATGTGCTTTCTAAATCAGCAAGGTGCCTCACAGGTTGTGATTTTAGAGACAAGGTTTTCAATGCTTTGCATTAAAATGCAAAGATTTTAATGAGCAGAGTCTTTTTGCCAATCCGAATTGGGCAGATCCCAGCAAGACACATATTTTTAAGATAATTTTTAAAGCTGTTTAATTTTGGTAAAAAAGTAGAACATAAAATTTACTATCTTAACCAATTGTTTAGTGTACAATATCTTCTTTGAAGCTTCTGAAGACCTGGTGCTTCTGTAATAAAATCTAGCCCCGGGCCAGGCGTGGTGGCTCACCCTTGTGATCTCAGCACTTTGAGAGGCCGTGTCGGGCCGATCACTTGAGCCCAGGAGTCCAAAGCCAGCCTGGGCAACATGGTGAAACCCCGTCCCCACTGAAATACAAAACTTAACCGGGCTTGGTGGCGCGCACCTGTGGTCCCAGCTACTTGGGAGGCTGAAGCAGGAGAATCGTTTGAATTCGCGAGGCAGAGGTTGCAGCGAACCCAGATCGCGCCGCTGCACTCCAGCCTGGGCGGCAGAGCGAGACTCTGTCACGAAGAAAAAAAAGAAAAGAAAGAAAAACCAACCAACCAAACAAACAAACCTAGCCCAGGCTATAACCACGTCCACTCGGGATTTGGGATGAGGCCGCGGGGATGGGACTGGGCTTGGATCTGCGCACAGGACGGTGGGTTGGGAGCACTCTGCAACGCAGGGAGAGGGAAGGCGGGTGTCGCAGGTACAGGCGAGGACAGGGAGACCCTGTCGCGGCTGAACACTTCTGTGCATTTTCTTCACCTTTCTGTGCATCGGTATCCACATTGGATTAATACAAAATGAAAAAATTGCGGTGATGATTACATGAGGGGGTCATGGAAAGAAGCCTTTGGCAGGACTGGTCCCGGGCAGGCAGCCAGCAAAGTCTGACTGGCTGAAGCAGGGGGAAGTGCGCGAGCGCTGCAGTAGAAAGTGGGGTAGACTTGGATGAGCAACTTGGCTGAGAGACACCTGATTGGCTAGCGGCTCAGCAAAGGGGGTGTGTTTCCTCCGAGGGGCGGGGCAGAAGGAGTGCTAGAGTTTAGGGCTTACTGGAGTTTAGGGCTGCATTCAGACGGGCTGCATTCAGACAGCCTGCGAGCCGCCAGGTGATCCACGGGCTGGGCTTCGCTTCTGCTGTCCCCTGCGATCCAACTCCCCAATGGCAGCGGCCGCCAGCCCCGCGTTCCTTCTACGCCTCCCGCTTCTGCTCCTGCTGTCCAGCTGGTGCAGGACCGGGCTGGCCGGTGAGTTCGGGGATGGAGCCTAAGCGGGGCGGAGGCCAACCGTGGGGGGCTGTGGACTGTGGGCTTCAGAGGAGGGGAGGCTTCTGGAAGGACCCGTGCGATCACCCCGGACTGCGCCCCCGCTCAGTTTCCCTCCGCGTCTCCTTCCCGCCGGGTCCGTTCCCAGAGGCTACTTATCCTCCGAGGGGAGGAGCTGGTCAGAGAGGAGGCTGGAAAGGAACCCCCGGAGAGTGGAGGGGCCAGAGGGCTGCAGAGGGCGACGTGGAGCGGGGATCCCTAGTGCAGCCCGGCAGTCCCACCCGCCCTCGGGAAGGAGAAACCAGAGCCCCCAGAATCCGAGCTGGGGTCAGGACAGGGGTGAAGTGGGGTTGCACAGGGACACAATCACAGACACTCCCACCAGCCACCAGCCTGCTCTGTTCTCACCCGCTCTCAACCACACAAACCTTCCAGCACCCCCAGGGCTGCGTGCCCTTGAATTTTTCCCTGCACTTTCCTGTAGACACTCACCTGCACCCAGCGGCTCAGCAGACACTTCCCACCCTCCCCTCACCATCCACTGCCACCACCCAGGTAACATCCTCTTACTCCCCACCTCAGCCCAGCTGGTCACCCCAGAGGTCTCCCCATCCATGAAGGGGCCCTCGCGACCTCTTACACCACGTGACACCTTCTGCCTCTTGCCTGAGGACACACCCCAGCAAACACACCCCAAGCTCCCCACAGAACCTGTGCAGGGGGGATGGGAAGCACCATTTCCTCCAGGATGACCCTGGGAACTCTGGTGAGTAGAGGCACCCACTTCTGCCCTTGGGGCCCAGACCTGCCTGTTCTTCCTACTGGGGCGCCAGCATCATAGAGAATAGTCAGTGTGTAGACAGGGGTCAGCAAACCCTTTCTAGAAAGGGAGGAAGGATGCCCTGTGATCTTTGCAGGCCTTGGGTTCTCCGTCTCAGTGTCCAGTCCTGTCCCTTTGCAGAGCAACAGCAGGCAATGGCAACCTTCAAATAGGGGGGACCAGATTTGGACCCTGTCCTAGGTTGCTGACCCTAGATGAGGGGATTACAGTGTACCAGCAAATAGTACCCCATCCCCTATGGTGTCATCTCCAAGTGGTGTCTCAGGTGTCAGTTGGAGAGTAGAAGGTGGTCCTACCTTGCCTGTGGCTTCTGGGTGGTGTGGATGTGATGGGAGTGGGGGTCCCATGGTTCAGGGTCTACTCTCCCCTCCTTTGCTGCTGAGTGGCATCTATGGTCCACGGGGGCCATCAGTGACCTTCCCTGAAACCTGAGGTGTAAGCTGAGGGTAAGGGGGTGCAGCCACGTGGTGTCCTGGGAATCGGGGCCAACTGCTTGTGCAGCTTCCCGGTTCCCTGTGGCCCTACTTCTGCCCATCCCAGGAGAACCACCTGTGTCTTCTCACTGCCAGACCTCTCTTCCTAATGACCTAGAGGGTGAGGAGCCCACCCGTAATGGGCAGCTCTGAGGCTGGATGGTCACGGCCCTTCCATGGCTAAAGGCCCCATCTCTGCCAAGGCCCAGTACTCTACAGGAGACACTTTTTAATGTTGAGATTTCCTTGCTGTGAGTGGCGTTGCCTTGCCTCTGAACATTCACATGGAATCTATGTTGTGATTCTCCAATTAGACATTGGAACCACATGCACCTCTAGGATCTTAGGGGGTCTTGGGTCATTGGGCACTTAAGGCAGGTCCAGCCTCGCTCATTCATGGATTGCCTGTGGCTGCCTTTGCGCTTCAACAGCAGAGCTGAGTAGTTACAATGGAGAATATATTCCCTGCACACCTTTACATGTTTACAAAATTGCCCTTCATAGCAAACTCTAGTGGCCATAAATACGTTTGGAGAAGCCCACAAAGAATCATTGCACTTGTTGCGGGGTTAAAGGGTCCTTCCTCACTGGAAACTGGTGTCTTCTTCTAGTCATGGGTTCACGGTCTGAGAAGTGGCTTTATTCTGCAAATTAGGCAAAGCAGCCTTGTTCTTGAAGGACTGGCTACTTTCAGCCTCCTGGTCATCCATCATTTGTTTTATCTCTGTTTCTTGTAATTATTTAAATCCAGCACTATTCAGGTTGGGTTTCCATCTCTTCTGGATCTTGGACCCCTTTGTTCTATGAGCCATGGGCATAGCTTTGTATGACTGAGGTCTCCAGCTGGCATTGTGACTTCTCTAATCATTTCCATCATTGCACCCTCCTTGTTCCTGACAGTTGACAACCTCCACCTGGAATCTGTTATTTCGGGATTTTTCATCCCATTACTACTGGGAGCCCATTTCAGGAAGAGCATCTCCTACCCCCAACCCTGGCCTTCAGCAATAGGCATCCCTGAGCTTCATCCCATTCTGGTGCCTTCTCATGGGGCCTTCTTTATATGCCAGGTAAACAGGAGTCCTCCAGGCTTCCCATGAGCACAGCAGATGGACATTGTTCTGGATTTTCACACTCAGACCCCTCCAGCCTGGGCACTTCTCTGAGCCTGTGATCCCTCCGTCTACTGCCTGCCTTAGATTTTCAGATTTTTCTATTTCTTGCTGTGTGGACCATCCCTTTGTCCAAGGTTTCAGGAAGGCATCCTCATAGTAGATGAGCACCACCACCAGGGGCTTTGCCAACGTGTTAAATCCTGTGACCATGATAATTAACTCTTCTTTATCCAACTGGGTTCCATCCTCACTCCGTCCCACCATGCACCAGTATCCTCAGGTGCAGCTCCCACACCCTGTCCCACCTCCCACAGTCCACGTGGGCTACTGCTGAAGATCCTCTGTCATCCAGGCCCTTCCTCCTCTAGCACTCCTGGCACCTCTCTAGCAAGGTCCTGTGTTGACCGATGTGGACAGAGGGGCAGTGGGACATGTCTGGGGACATGTGGTTTCTCAGCAGGCAGGGACCTCCTCCTCCTCTTTGCCCTCATGGAAGTGGGGAGCACTCGCCTTAATCTTGTGGACACCACAGTTCTGGAGGAGGCACTCCTTGCTGGGCCAGCCCAGCCCTCCAGAGGCTTCCTCTTATTGTCACAGTGTGGAGGAGGGGTATCTAGGGGTCTTTTCCTCCCCACCCACCCCTCACCTGCCTTTCTCCACAGACCCTCACTCTCTTTGCTATGACATCACCGTCATCCCTAAGTTCAGACCTGGACCACGGTGGTGTGCGGTTCAAGGCCAGGTGGATGAAAAGACTTTTCTTCACTATGACTGTGGCAGCAAGACAGTCACACCCGTCAGTCCCCTGGGGAAGAAACTAAATGTCACAACGGCCTGGAAAGCACAGAACCCAGTACTGAGAGAGGTGGTGGACATACTTACAGAGCAACTGCTTGACATTCAGCTGGAGAATTACATACCCAAGGGTAAGTTTCAGATGGCCCAGGACAGCAGGGAGCAGATACAGTGGTAGGTTAGAGGCATTTATAGTTTTCATGTAAAAATACAAATAGGAAGGTCATCTCACCCCGCAAGACGTCTAGAGGCAAGGCCAGGATGTGGCAGAGCAAGTAAGACCAGGAAATTGCAAGTGGAAGAGGATGGGGGCTCAATATCTGTCAAGGCCAGAGCTGATCTCTCTTTGATGGGGGCAGAACCCCTCACCCTGCAGGCCAGGATGTCTTGTGAGCAGAAAGCCGAAGGACACGGCAGTGGATCTTGGCAGCTCAGTTTCGATGGACAGATCTTCCTCCTCTTTGACTCAGAAAACAGAATGTGGACAACGGTTCATCCTGGAGCCAGAAAGATGAAAGAAAAGTGGGAGAATGACAAGGATATGACCATGTCCTTCCATTACATCTCAATGGGAGACTGCACAGGATGGCTTGAGGACTTCTTGATGGGCATGGACAGCACCCTGGAGCCAAGTGCAGGAGGTAACAGGAGAAAAAGAAATGGGGATCTCCAATGAGATCAGAAATGGGGATCTCAAGAAACTAATTCTTGAGTTCAGCTTCAATCATCCCAGTGTACACGTTTATGTTAAAATGACCTCCTCGTGGGGTGCTCCTCCTGGGGGTGCTGGCGTGCCTGTGCTCTCCCACCCTCCTCTTCCTTCTCCCTCCTGACTCCTCTTCCTCACTGCACTTGCTTCTGTTCCCCACACTGTGGATTTCTCACCAGCCTCGAAACTGCAGGTGTCACTATTTTCAGGCCTTTCTCCTTAGTGTTCCCTCTTGAGAATCACTTTTCCTTTCCTCCTCTGGTCTGTTTCTGGAAATCCATCAAAACCTCCTCCAAGGCCAGCCTCGTGACCCTCCCCTCCCGCACCCTGGAGCATCACCTCCTCTTCCGCCACAGCAGGAGGGTGGGCTTTGCTGTCACCTTGCTTCCCTCAGCAGCTCTGTGAGCTCCCTGAGGCCAAGGGACACCCCCTCTCCCTTCCTACCCCAGGAACTCTCCCAGGGGCTGCCCCATAGCAGAGGGGACAAAACCTCTGCCTTCCAGGATGACCTGGGTCAGCAGGAGCTGAGGAGGCATCTCCTCAGATTTGGGGCCTGGACAAGGGTTGTCACTCTTGTGCTTCCATTTCAGCACCACCCACCATGTCCTCAGGCACAGCCCAACCCAGGGCCACGGCCACCACCCTCATCCTTTGCTGCCTCCTCATCATGTGTCTCCTCATATGCTCCAGGCACAGTCTGACCCAAAGCCATGGCCACCACCCTCAGTCCCTGCAGCCTCCTCCTCATCCTCCCCTGCTTCATCCTACCTGGCTGCTGAGGAGAGTCCTTTGGAGTGACAGGTATGGGGGCAGAATTGGGAGTGGAGCAAAGGGCAGGTGGGTGAGGAGGGAGGACAGGGATGGAGAATTCCCAGAGTCCCACTCCCTATGGCTGGGACCTTCTCATCCTAACATGAGACAGGTGAATGAGACCTTGTGTTGCTTGTTGGAAATGACCTGGGCAGCTCTGCCCTGAGTTCTGATGGATTCTCACCATCAAAGGCCAGAGGGAAAGGCGCAGTGGTGCCATACCAAGGCTCAGGGTCTGTTGAGCTTGAGAGGGTTTAGCAAGTTCAGGCCTGATTCAGAGCAGGTTTCTGTTCAGGAAGGGTGTGTGGCCTGCAGGCAGCAGGAATTCAGACATGGGCAGTCCTCTTAATTGGGTTAGGTGCATCAGGGTAGCTTTACATGAGGTATGACAAGGGAAGGGGGATTCCATCTCTGAGGCTAAGAGAGAGATATGTGTGGGCGGCAAGCCACCCAGGTGCCAAGGCAAGAGACTGAAGGCACAAGCTGTTCCAGTATAATAAAGAAAATACTTAAAATAAGAATAGTTGTATTAGACGTAGAATACAGACATGATTATCTATGAATATTATCAATCATTAGTCTGTAGTGTTACTCTTTTTTCCAATGTTATAATAATCTCTGTTCCACAATTATAACCCAGGAAAAACCAGGCCATGCAGAGACAGGAGCTGAAGGGACACGGTGAGAAGTGACCAGAAGACAAGAGTGTGAGCCCTCTGTCATGCCCAGACAGGGCCAGTAGTGGGCTCCTCAGTCTAGCAGTAGCGCCAGTGCCTGGGAAGGCACTTGTTACTTAGCAGACCGGGAAAAGGAGTTTCCCTTTCCCCGGGGGAGTTAGAGAAGACTCTGCTCCACCACCTCTTGTGGAAGGCCTGACATCAGTCAAGCCTGCCCGCAGCCATCCGGAGGCCTAAACGTCTCCCTGTGATGCTGTGCTTCAGGGTCACGCTCCTGGTCCACTTTCATGTTCCGCCCTGTACACCTGGCTCCGCCTTCTAGATAGCGGTAGCAGAATTAGTGAAAGTATTGAAGTCCGAGAAATACATAGAAGAAACAATGACGTAAGCTGTCCTCTCTCTCTCCGCCTCAGCTACCAAATAGCGAAGCGCCCCTTGTCTGGTGGACACGTGACTCGCGTGACTTTACCTATCATTGGAGACGACTCACACTCCTTACCCTGCCCTCTTGCCTTGTATACAATAAATAACGGCGCAGCCAGGTATTCGGAGCCACTACAGGTCTCCATATCTTGATGGTTCCCTGGGCCCAGCTGTCTTTTCTTCCGTCTCTTTGTCTTGTGTCTTTATTTCTACGATCTCTCATCTCCGCACACGAAGAGAAAAACCCACAGGCCCTGTAGGGCTGGTCCCTACAACTATGAGTGTAATCCCAGAAGGAGGGGGCTGGGAGAGCCTTGGTACACCTAATTGAAAAGGAGGGGGCGCAGGGCTGCCTTCCCACAGAAAGTGGCTTGGGTTCCAGGAATTAAGGTGGAAGGCGAAGAGTAGAGGCTGCACATGAAAAAAATTTTTAAAAAGTCAGTCCCATGGACCCATGGGGTTCGAGTCCAGACCTTGAGGCAGCTCCCTTGCCATCACCTTCCTGCACACCCCAGATCCTGAGCCCGCTCATGGCCCTGCCAGGAGCAGAGTGGACTCAGACACGGGGGACCTGAGCTGCTGCTTAAGTCCATGGGCACCACTGGGCTGGACCAGGAATGAATAAGGTGGAACAGGGACAGTCACCTTCAGAGCTATGGGTGCTGATTGCAGTGTGAGGAGAGGCTGAGGAAGAAGGGGAAGGAGGAATATTTGCCTGCAGGCCCACCCAATGCCAAGGACACAGGAATACAGAGCCCTCTCTTTGGATGGGCTCCCCCTACCCCTTGCCATGTTTTAGGCCTTCTCATCAGATGGTAGAGAGGGCCTTGAGTGAGGGAGCAGGCCCATCACTACCAGCTTCAGTCTTGCAGGCCCCTCCACTCCATCCCCTGGTCAGGTGCAGGGCCTGGGCTGACACTGTGATTTGACAAAGGAGGAAAGAGGCTGCTCCAAGCTGCAGGTGCCAGGGTTGGGGCTCAAGGGAAAAACGGGTCCTTTAGTGCAGTGGGCTCTGAGACGTGGAGTGCCTAGGGAAAGATTGCCCTGCAAAAGTGATCCAGGTTCTCCTTCATCTCTTAAACCAACATTTGTGTCCTTTTTGAAAGTTAAAGATGATACCAAAAAGCCCCTGTGAGCAGGGTCTTGATCAAACTCGCCCTTCTGTCTGGCCACCTGCCCACCACCTACTGTGTATGTCCAGTGGCCTCCAGCAGATCATGATGACACCATGGACCCAATAGCTCATTCACTGCCTTGATTCCTTTTGTCAATAATTTTACCAGCGGTTATTCCTAACATCTTATGTTATTTTTTATTGGTGCTACCTGATGGAATTCCTGCAATTAAAGTTCTGGCTGACTAAAAAAGATATGTCAACATTTTCTTTCTTCTGCTTTTGTTTGAAAAATCAAGTACTTTTTGAATGATGACCTCTTTCTTCCAAATGATACAGTCAGTAAAACAATCATGTTAGATTTCAGACCTCCAAGGTTTCTTTCCGCGTCCTGAAGGATAATTCTTTATTTAATAAGAAAAAATTATATTAATGATATTTCCTCAGTAATTTATTGCTCTGTACTAATATTTCCACAAAGAGTTCTATTTCCCAAAAACCTACTGAGTTTAGAATTTTCTTGTATTACCCAGTAGAGAATTAATGTTATTTCATTTTTCCTCCATGGTGTGAGTAATAAATGAGTGATTCTGCTAGATTTTGTGTGGAAACAGAATCTACAAAACGTGGCTGAAAAAAATCAGGGACAATACAAATACATGGAAAAATAATTTATGCTCATGGGTTAGAAGATACAATATAGCTAAAATGGCCATACTTCCAAAAGCAATTTATAGATGCAACACTATCCCTATCGAACCAACATCATTTTTCACAAAATTAGAAAAATCTAATCTAAAAGTTATTTGGAATTAAAACAGAGCCCAAATAGCCAAAACAATCATACGCAAAAAAAAAAAAAAAAAAAAAAAGCCAGGGGCATCTCACTGCCAGACTTCAAACTATAATATAAGGCTACAGTGATCAAAACAGAATGGTACTGGTACAAAAATAGACACTTAGGTCAGTGGAACACAATAGAGAACTCAGAAAGAATCCTTCACACCTACAGCCGTCTAACCTTCAACAAAATCAACAAATAGTGCTGGGATAACTGGCTAGCCATGTGTGGAAGAATGAAACTGAAGCCCTGCCTTTCACCATATAAGTAAAATAACTCGACATGGACTAAAGATTTAAATGTAAGTCCTAATACTATAAAAATCCTGGAAGATAACCTTGGAAATACCACTCTGGACATAGGGCCTGGCGAAGATTTCATGATGAAGACACCCAAAGCAATTGCAACCAAAACTGAAAATTGCCAAATGGGACTTCATTAAACTAAAGAGCTTCTGCAGAGCAAAGGAAACTAGCAACGCAGTAAACAGCCTATAGAATGGGAGAAATAGCTGAAAACTATGCATCTGGCAAAGCTCTAATATCCAGAATCTACAAGGAACTTAAACAACTCAACAAGCAAGAACAAAAAAACCCAGTTAAAAAATAAGCAAAGAATATGAACAGACACTTTTCAAAAGAAGACCTGCAAGTGGCCGACAAACATGAAAAAATGCTCTTTCGGAGGCCAAGGTGGGCAGATCATGAGCTCAGGAGTTTGAGACCAGCCTGATCAACATGGTAAAACACCGTGTCTGCTAAAAATGGTAAAATTAGCCTGACACTGCTCATCTTTCAAATATTTCAATAAACCCAGAGGGTTTGCTCACAGTGAGTTTGCACCATGAGCTCCTTGGCACACAGCTTGGGATCCACAGTCAAGGGCTACAGAGAAGACAAAAGAGACGTTGACATCATGTCGAATGAGGAATCCATAAAGAGTTCATTTTTGAGGATTGGGGAAGTTCCTCCCACCATGCAGATCAAGATGCCCTGAGGGCAAAGAGCAGAGCGGTGCGCTCTGGTGGCCCAGCAGTTCTGCCCCACGGGAGAGGTTTCTCTTCTGATGCAGTGAAAACTAGCAGGACACTGTTTCATCCCAGAGCCAAGGAAACCAGGAAGGAAGGTCAGAGTGAGGAGGTGTCTGAGTGTTTCAGATCACACAGTGACATCCTGCTTGATGGCTTCAGGAATCCTTCATGAGCTGGGAGACAGCCCCCGAGGTGACAAGTGAGGGGGCAGGATGGGCCCAACACGACAACTCTTGAGATGACACCCAGTTTCTCCCATGTGTTTATGTGTGTCTTTGTGTGTGCATGTGCGTGTCTGTGTCTGTATTTCTGCATGCATTTGTGTATGTGTGTGTGTGTGAATGTGTAAACACCTGTGTGGTGTGAGTGTGTGTGAGAGAGACTGTGCGTGCATGTCTGTGTGTCTGTGTGTGTGTGATAACATGCATGTATGAATGGTGAATTGATTTCCTGGTTGATTTGCTGTGGAGAGAGAAGGGACTCCAGGGTGGTTCCTGCCCTCCCCTCCTTCCCTGTCTTCCCTCCTGACATTTCCTCCTCCCTGTGGAAAGAGTCTACCCTAGTAACTGAGGGTTCATTACTACAGACTTCTCAGAGCTCCCCAAAGTTCTATGATATTTGCACCCCCAGGCCTCCTCTTCATGCTTGTCCCTCTGCTGGGTGCCCTATCTTCTCCTCCCACCTGGCCACGCTGTATTCTTCCTATTCCTACAAGAACAGTCTGAAATGCCACCTCCCAAGAAGCCTCCATGCAAATCCCCAGGCAGAATGAGTCACCCCCTCTTCTGTCCTCTGATAGCCCCAACCACCACAAGGACATCACATCAGCAGTAGCAGCCATGTGGGTGTTTGTTTCTGTCCCTGGACTCTAAGTTCCTGGAGGACTGGACACATCAGTCACCACCTGTAAACCCAGCACCTAGCACAGTGGCTGCCATATGATAGGGTTTAAGACACGTGGGAGGAATCCAATCATCAGACTACCCCAGGGCTACTAGAACTCAGAAAAGGATCTCCATAACTTGGGAGAATTGGACAAAGGTCTTCATTTCTGTTCTTTCCAGCACCAACCTCCATGGCTCCACTCATCCCTACTCATTCCTCCTGTTAAGATTGGCCGGTAAGGAGAGGGGTAGGGGCAGGAGCAGCTACATCTGGTCTCCTCCACCACCCACGGTGGGGAGCACCCTTGGTGGGACCTGGTGAGCATGACAGCCCCTGAGCCATGGGGACCTGGAGCCTCTGCAGCCCCATAGAGACCAGGAGGAGCTGTTCAGCCACTTGCAGAGACAGCCAGAGAGTGCTTCAAGGACTGCATGAAGCTCTGGAGAAGCGGGGAGTTCAGGGCCCTCTTTTGTAGGGCATGAGAAATTTAGGCAGGATCATGTCTACAAAAGAGGCTGTCACTTTGGCTTATCAATGCTTTCACCTCCTTACCCCTTCCAGATCAGAGTGGGCACTTTACTTGTTTTTATGGATTATTGTGTCAACCAAAATGAGAGGTCAGAATCACCCTAAACATTTGAAACTTCTTCAAGATTTGACAAATGCACATTTTAATACCACTTCTATTTTTAGGAAGCTGTGGCTGTAGAAAACATTTTCTAATACAGTATTGTCTAAATTATTTATACAGAATTTTAAAAGTCTACATAATGTCATACAACCATGTGAAAAGTAACTTGTTATTTTCAGAGTTGGAGATAAGCCATGGCAACATGGTGAGACCCTGTCTCTTCAGAAAATTTTGAAAATTGACCAAGTGTAGTAGCATGTGCCTGTAGTCCCAGCCCCTCAGGAGGCTAAGGTGGGAGGATCACTTGAGCCTGGGAGTCTGAGGTTGCAGGCAGTTGAGGTGGTGCCACTGCACTCCAGACTGGGTGCAGAGTGAGAGCCTGTCTCAAAGAAAACAACAACAACAACAGAAATAAGAAAAAATAAATAAACATTGATAAGCTATGTTGACATAAGAATTGTGGAACCCAAATGACCAAATCATGCAATTTCTTACCTTTTTTTTTTTTTTTTTTGAGACAGAGTCTCACTCTGTCACCCAGGCTGGAGTGCAGTGGCACGATCTCAGCTCAGTGCAATCTCTGCCTCCCGGATTCAAGCAATTCTCCTGCCTCAGCCTTCCCAGTAGCTAGGACTACAGGCACGTGCCACCACACCCGGCTAATTTTTTGTATTTTTAGTAGAGAAGGGGTTTCACCGTGTTAGCCAGGATGGTCTTGATCTACTGACCTCGTGATCTGCCGCCTCAGCCTCCCAAAGTGCTGGAATTACAGGCATGAGCCACCGTGCCAGGCCAATTTCTTACTTTTGATGTAGTAAGGGGTATGCCAAGTGTTACTATTCTCAGAATGTTCTATCTTATGAAATATAATTTCCTCCAGTGAATCCACTCCTCGGTCCAGGTCCTCTGAGAAGCAGATGCCTATATGGGATTCACATGAGGGGAATTCATTGGTGGAAACCCTGGGAGAACCATTCAGCAGGACGCACTTCTGATGCTGAGTGCAGGAGGGAGGGACAGGAGGTTGGGCAGGTGCATTGTACACTACAGTGAATGGTGCTGGGACAACTGGATGCTGCATGCAGAAGAATGAGGCGGGCCCCTTCCTTACAGCACACACAAAAACTAGCTCTAGATGAATGGCAGATGTCCACATAAGACATGAAACTATGAAAGTCTCAGAAGAAAATAGAGCAGTAAATTTTTGTGACCCTGGATTTGGCAAAGGCTTCTTAAGTACTGTATGCCAATAGCACAGATGGCAAAATAAAAGGTAGTTTAATTTCATTTCATGCAAATATAAAACTTTTGTGCTTCAAAAAGGATTCCATTTAGAAAGAAAAAAAAACTTGCAGAATGAGAGAAAATATTTGAAAATGATGTATCTGGTAAGGGACTGGTATCCTGAATATATAAAGAACTCTTGCGGTGGGCGGCGGGGCACCCACTCGTTGGTTTCCACTGGGTAGGACCCAGGTCCAGAACTGGGGCACAGCGGGCGCCCTGGGAGGAGCACGCAGAACCCGGAGAGCACGCGGCTAGGTGGAAACTGAAACCCTCAGGAGCCAACTTTCCCCGAAAGTCATCTGTGGTTGAAATCAGCAATCACCTGTAATATCATCCTTATGACAACACAGTTGGGTAAATATCTAGAACCAGTGCCTCGTCACTGCAGCAGCCCCGCGCGCCCCTGCCCGGGTTCCACGTTTCCGGACCCTCATGGCCCACAACAGATCTGGCGAGCATACTTGGTGACCGTCCCCGGGGCTCCCGGCCCCACTCTTCCTTACTCCTTCACCTCCATATTTTCACCTGTTTCAGGATCGAAACCATGAAAAGTCATGTGTGAAAGGCTCCCCGGCCCCTGCCTGCATCCACTCTCATTGGCCACAGCCCGGGACGAAATTTGATTGGATTCTTCTCATCTTTCCAGGGAGTCTTTGCCGCCATTTGAAACGCATATGAATACATATTCTTCATTCAGATGTGGATATTTTTGACTCTTGGTGAGCCCTGTTACCCTGTCCTTCAGGAAGCCTGTACCAGTTTCCTCTCCCTCTGCATGGAACTCTCCTCAGATGCCAAGTAGAATGAAGAAGAGGAGGACGATGATGAGGCTTCAGGAGCTGAGGGTGGTGGCCATGGCTTTAGGTTGAGCTGTGCCTGGGGCCACGGTGGGTGGTGCCGAAAGGGAAACACAGGAGTGACAGCCCTTGTCCAGGCCCCAAATCTGAGGAGACGCCTCCTCAGCTCCTGCCGAGCCAGGTCATCCTGGAAGGCAGAGGTTTTGTCCCCTCCCCCTCGCTATGGGGTAGCCCCTGGGACAGGTTTTGGGGTAGGGAGAGGGGGTGTCCCCTGTCCTCAGGGAGCTCACACAGCTGCTGAGGGAAGCAAGATGACAGCACACCCCACCCTCCCGCTGTGGCAGAAGAGGAGGTGATGCCCCAGGGTGGGGGAGGGGAGGGTCTCAGGGCTGGCATTGGAGGTAGTTTTGATAGATTTCCAGAAACAGACCAAGAAAGAGGAAAGGAAAAGTGGTCCTAGGAGGTGGGAACAACCTCCATGGCTCCACTCATCCCTACTGCTTCCTCCTATTAAGATTGGCAGGTCAGGAGAGGGGTAGGGGCAAGAGCAGCTACACCTGGTCTCCTCCACCACCCACGGTGGGGGGCACCCTTGGTGGGACCTGGTGAGCGTGACAGCCCCTGAGCCATAGGGACCTGGAGCCTCTGCAGCCCCATAGAGACCAGGAGGAGCTGTTCAGCCACTTGCAGAGACAGCCAGAGAGTGCTTCAAGGACTGCATGAAGCTCTGGAGAAGTGGGGAGTTCAGTGCCCTCTTCTGTGGGGCATGAGAAATTTAGGCAGGATCATGTCTACAAAAGAGGCTGTCACTTTGGCTTATCAATGCTTTCACCTCCTTACCCCATCCAGATCATAGTGGGCGGGGACACAGAGCCAAAATATCATTCTGCCCTTGGACCCTCGCAAATCTCATGTCCTCACATTTCAAAACCAATCCTACCTTCCCAACAGTCCCCCAAAGTCTTAACTCATTTTAGCATTAACTCAAAATTCCATAGTCCAAAGTCTCATCTGAGACAAGGCAAGTCCCTTCTGCCTATGAGCCTGTAAAGTCAAAAGCAAGTTAGTTACTTCCTAGATACAATGGAGGTACAGACATTGGGTAATTACAGCTGTTGCAAATGGGAGAAATTGGCCAAACAAGGGGACTACAGGCCCCATGCAAGTCCAAAACCCAGTGGGGCAGTCAAATCCTAAAGTTCCAAAATGATCTCCTTTGACTCCATGTCCCACATCCAGGACATGCTGATGCAAGAGGTGAGCTCCCATGGTCTTCGGCAGCTCTGCCCCTGTGGCTTTGCAAGGTTCAGCCCCTCTCCTGGCTGCTTTCAAGGACTGACATTGAGTGTCTCTGGCTTTTCCAGGCACACAGTGCAAGCTGTCAGTGGATCTACCATTCCAGAATCTGAAGGACAGTGACCCTCTTCTCACAGCTCCACTAGGCAGTGTCCCAGTGGGGACTTTGTGTGAGGGCTCCAACCCCATATTTCCCTTCCACACTGCCCTGGCAGAGGTTCTTCATGAGGGTGTCGCTCCTGTGGCAAACTTCTGCCTGGACATCCAGGCCTTTCTATTCATCCTCTGAAATCTAGGAAGAGGTTCCCAAACCTCAATTCTTGACTTCTGTGCACCTGTAGGCTCAACACCACATGGAAGCGGTCAAAGCTTTGGGCTTGCACCTTCTGAAGCAACAACCCAAGCCGTACCTTGGCCCTTTCTAGCAATGGGTAGAGCAGCTGGGACATAGGGTACCAAGTCCCTAGGCTGCACACAGCAGGGGGACCCTGGGCCTGGCCCAGGAAATCATTCTGTGGTTTCGTGAGCCAGGCCATTTTTTCCTCCTAGGCCTCTGGGCCTGTGATGGGAGGGGCTGTTACAAATGTCTCTGACATGCCCTGGAGACATTTTCCCCATTGTTTTGGCGATTAACATTTGGATCCTTGTTACTTATGCAAATTTATGCAGCCAGCTTGAATTTCTCCCCAGAAAATGGGTTTTTCTTTCCTATCCCATCACCAGATTTTTTGAACTTTTATGTGCATTTTCCTTTTGAAACTGAATGCCTTTAACAGCACCCAAGTCACCTCTTGAATGCTTTGCTGCTTAGAAATTTCTTCTGCTAGATACCCTAAATCATCTCCCTCAAGTTCAAAGTTCCACAAATCGCTAGGGCAGGGGCAAACTGCCACTAGTCTCTTTGCTAAAACATAGCAAGAATCACCTTTACTCCAATTCCCAACAAGTTCCTCATCTCCATTAGAGACCACCTCAGCCTGGACTTCATTGTCCATATCATTATCAGCATTTTGATCAAAGCCATTCGACAAGTCTCGAGGGAGTTTCAAACTTTCCCACATTGTTCTGTCTTCTTCTGAGCCCTCCAAACTGTTCCAACCTCTGCCTGTTACCCAGTTCCAAAGTCGTTTCCACATTTTCAGGGATCTTTACAGCACTGCCCCACTCCCAATACCAATTTATTGTATTAGTTAGTTTTCATGCTGCTGATAAAGAAATACCTGAGACTGGATAATTTATAAAGAAAAAGAGGTTTAATGGACTCATAGTTCCACATGACTGGGGAGGCTTCACAATCATCATGGAAGGCAAAAGGCACATCCCACATGGCAGCAGGCAAGACAGAATGAAAATCAAGTGAAAGGGGTTTCCCCTTATAAAACCATCAGATCTCATGAGACTTATTCACTACCATGAGAACAGTATCAGGGAAACTGCCCCCATGATTCAATTATCTCTCACTGGGTCCCTCCCACAACATGTGAGAATCTTGGGAGCTACAATTGAAGATGAGATTTAAGTGGGGACACAGCCAAACCATACCACCCTCCAAACGCACCCTTTTCCTCTCAGTAAAACCAAAGCCACTGCAGAGGCCTAGGGAGCCCTGCACAGCTGTCCCTGACTCTGTCCTTGCTCGTTCATCTCCTATCCCTGGCATCCTTGCTGGTTCTCAGGGCCTGTTCCCCTGCCTCAGGGCCTTTGCATCACCCTCCCCTGGGCCTGGACTGTTCTTCCCTCAGAAGTCTACCCAGCTCACTTCCACACCTGTTCCTAAGTGATACACCCTTCCACACCTGCTGCCACCACCCTCCCACTTTGGAATCCTTTTATTATTTTCTTTGTTTAATTTTTAAATTTTGATATAATTGATGTAACACAAAATGTTCCATCTTAACCACATATATATCTATATCTGTTTATCTATCTCTCTATCTATGGGCATCGCTTTACCCCAAGGTTGATCATTATTGAGAGGTATTTTTACAGTCCTCCTTCACTCCTTCCTCAGCTGCCTCCTGGTTAGACATGCTAGCAAGAATTCAGATGGCCCAAAGATACTGGAGGAAGTAAAAATGGTGAAGGCCATATACATTTTGGTTCACATTTGGCATGTTTGGGCCTTTGCTCTGTGTATGGCAAGGAGAGAAAGATATGAAATTAAAATTACAGATAAATACAAGGAATAACTGAAACGAAAGATACTAATTTTCTTTCTCTTGTTGACTCAACCAGGTTTTCTTCTCCATTTCTGGCTGACAGAGACCAAACAGGTTGGCTTTATTCCACTGTCCTCTAGTCGTTGGAGACTGCTTTCCAATACTGTCCAAATGTCACCTCCATCTTAGAGACTCCTTCTGGGAAAGATGACTTTGTAGCCAACAATTAGGGAGAAGAGAATAGGAAGCAGGAGAAAGAGTTAAAGTGCTGCACAGAAGCTTCCATCCACAAGAGGAGCACGCCACCAAAGCAGCTGTAGAATACACAGTATGGCAAAGGGCTGGAGTCCAGCCTGTGCTGTCTGAGAAGGCATACCAAGCTCAGAACCAGGTCCCACCCAGAGAAGTAGTCCAGTCCCCCTTGTCATTGAGAAATAGCCAAACCCAGTGCGCTAGACAGAGACCACGTACACCACACTCTCTCGCAGAAGCTGTCCAGGGAAGAGATAGACCAACAGGATGATCTGCAGACCATCCTTGGCCAGAGCCCTAGACCAAGGAGAGCTGGGCAAGTCCATGATGTCCAATCAGAGCTGGGCCCAGGGTTCATGTCTTGAACATCAGGAAGCCCCCAAATGCAGTGCCTCGCTGGTTTCTGTTTGTTACCAATGCCTGGGTTAACTCCAACCACACTCTCTCACCCTTTCGCAGCTCAGCCATGGCAAAGGTGGCTGCTGTGCTTCCCGCCCAGGGTCCCTGATGGAGCCCTCCAAACACCAGGTGCCTGGTTCCTGGCCCTGGGCCAAATTCAATGCTCACTGCAAATGGGACACCAAACTCCGGCTTGGTAGTAGCCATGTTCAGGGAAGTTGCTGCTGTCAGTGTCGATGTAGCTAGTGTTGAACTTCCATGTCTGCAGGGCAGCTGTCCTTTCTGAGAAACTGGCATAGAAGGCCACAGGGGAGCCTGCCTGCCAGAGCTCAGTGTTCAAGGCATCTGGCACTGGCCCTTTGATGTGTGTGTCTGGCAAAGGCTCAGCTTCTTTCCTGTCCCTCTTCCGGGGAACTTCTGGGCCTTTCTGCTTCTGCTTCCTTTTCCTGCTGGGCACGGTTTCCAGCTTCCCCAGATTTAGGCTGACACTGCTGTCACCAGCTCTTGGAAGTTTCCAAGGAGGAGCAGCTGGTGCAGTCCAAGCTGCACTCGGAGGCGGACCATGGAGGCCCCGAGGCAGGTGAGAGAGGTGGCTGGGCAGCCTTGCAGCACCACCCGAGCCACTGAAGTCAGATCTCAGGAGCTGGAGCTCCTGAGCCAGCCCAGCCAGGGCTTCACACAGCTTCTTCTGGGCCCAAGTGGTCGCCAGCTCCAAGTGCTCTGCCGGCCATGGGGGCTCCAAGCCACGGCCCACTCGTGGCCTGCTCCAGGGCTGCCACCCGGGTAGCCAGCGAGTCCCAACCGAGCACCTGCTCCTTCAGGGCCAGGCAGATCTGCTCACGGGCAGGGGAAGCTGGCCGTGCGCCTCCTTTGACCTCTCCTCCATCACCTCCTCCCCAGAGAGGGAGGCCAGCAGGCCTCCATCAGGGCAGCCTAGGAGCTGTGCAGCTGGCGCCGCCATCCAGGCTCCCCTGGGTCTCCTTCAGGGTGCGTGGTGTCCCCGTGGCACTCCCGGACGGCCTCCAAGTGAAAGTAGAGCTTGTGGCAGCTGCCTCCTTGACATACTTGATGAGGTCAGTGTGGTCGCCCCACAGGTGCTGCAGGGTGAGGCTGAGCTCCAGGAGCTGCTACTCCACCTCCACCTTGTTTGCCTCCATAATTAAAGGCTTCATCAGGACCACACACAGCTCACAGAGCGCCCTGTGGTTCACCTCCATCTCTGGCTCCATTTTGCTGATCTGATGGAAGGTCTCGTCCAATTCGGAGCACAGCTCCTTCATCTCATCCACGTGCCGGGTCAGGGTAGCCCTCATATCCCTGAGGGGTGTTTTGCAATTCCTCCTCCCTGCAGGCTGAGTCCATGTGCAGCACCCAGAGGTTCCTCTGCAGTTGGCCAGCCTGGCCTGCAGGCTCTCCAGTTCAGGCCTTGCCCCAGCCCCTGCCGTCATCAACACGCAGCTGCCATTAGTCCTTGGGGCCTCCTGGGTTTGGCCTCTTCAATTTGGTGTCCACATCAGCCTGGACCTCAGAGAGGGAGTGTACAGGGAAGAGCACCGAGCATGCCGTCAGTCCTCCACATCCTTTCACAGCTGGCCCACTCTCTGAGCATTTTCCTGGATCTTGGCTTCAAATTTACCACCAAGCTCCTGGCAGTCAGCCCTGGCCACAGCACTATCCTGGACCATCGTGATGGCCTGGTGTTGGCCTCCACATCAAGAAACAGATTTGTTATGTCCGGGGAAAAGCCATGCAAGCTTTCCTTTAAGCTCTTTCAGATGGGGCCGAAATGCACTTGCAGGAAGGTGTCCATGTGGGGCAGCAGCACCTGCTCCAAGGATCTACCAGACAACTCCAGCTCTGTTTGATTTGCCACACTGCAGCTGTGAGGTTACTAGCCAGGGCTTTCCACGGGCCTGGTAGGCTGTCACCTGGGGGAATGTCATCCTGGAGATCTCCCAGGAGGGATTCCTGCTGCTCCTGTTGCACTTCAGCCTCATTGATCTCCACAGCCAGGTGGCGTGACTTTAACTTCCTGGCCGTCTGGAGCACCCTGTGGACATGGCTGCTGTGAGTGGATGTAGAATTTCTCTGTTTTGCAAGCAGCTGTGAAGGTAACCAGCTAGGACTTCTGGAAAAGCATTGTTTTCACAGCCCCTTAATCTCAGGCTGGCTCCCTCTTTGTGCCTTCCCTTGGGGACCCCTGCTGGGTGCCCTCATCTCTCAGTGAGCTACTGAGAGGCAGGTGCCTGCCCAGAGTGTATGTGAAGCTCCTGCAGTCTGATTTGGGCCTGCACTTGGCCTGCCATGGCCCCAGCCTGCTGCCCTGCCACAGCCAGGAGCCATTTCAACCGTTTTCAAATGTACAGGCATCTATTTAAAATGGCAGTATCTGTGCCTGCTCAGGCAATCCTGAACCTTCTTAACCTGAACTTTTTCCTCCTAAAGCAATGACCACTTTAAAACAGACAGTGTTAGCTTTTGATTGCTATTGTAAGAAATTACAAATTTAGTGGCTTAAAATAACACAAATTTGTTCTCTTACCATTCTAGAGATCTGAAGTTGGAATGGATCTCAATGGGCTAACATCACTGTGTTGTCAGGGCTGTTATTTCAGGAGACTCTCGGGGAGAACCTGTCTCCTTCTCCCCTTTTCCAGCTTCTCCAACTGCCCACATCCATGGCTCAGGGCCCATTTCCCCATCTTCAAAGGCAGTTCCATCAGATTAAGTCCTCACTGTGCCCCTCATCTGGTTCTCCCTCTTCCGTCTGCCTCTTCCTCTATAAAGATCCTGTGATTACATTGGAACCCCAGGGAAATCCAGAAAATCACCCCGTTTCCGGGGCAGATGATGAGCAACCTCAACTCCATCTGTAGCCTTCACTCCCTTTTCCATATAACCCAGTGGGGGGTTCCAGGGATTCACACCGGCATCCTCTGGGATTGGCGGGAGTGGGTGGGGGTGGCAGGTGATTATTCTTTGCAAAACACATGCCATATAATTTATGTATATATCATTTTTATACCACAAAGATGGGGGAAGAAGCAGAGCAATATTGGAGCAGAGATTTTGCATCCTGTTAAAATTAAGTTGGTTTTAATATGATCTAGGTTGTGGTAAATTAAGATATTAATTGGAATCCCCTGAAATGACTAACAAAATAACTTTTTTAAATAAAAAATGAAAAAGAGACAATAAAGGAAGTAAAATGATGCAGTAGAAAATATCTGTTTAACACAAAACAAAGCAATAGTGGTGGAAAAGATGAAGAAAATGACATAGTGCATATGGAAAACTAAGAAAAAGGTGGCAGACGTAAATTCTGTTCCACCTTAGCAGTAATTCCCTTACATGTCAAAGTGATAAACATTCAAAAGAAAAAGCAAAGATTCTCAGAATGCATTTAAAAAATGATCTAAAGATACAATGTAGATCCCAAGATACAAGTAGTTTAAAAGTAGACATATGGAAAAGATAAAACACATCCATAGTAAACAAAGACAACTGAAATTGCTATTAATAATATCAGGCAGAATCATCTTTAAGACAAACAATTTTATAAACATTCTAAGAACCAATCAACGAAAGGGAAACTCACAAGGAAAATTAGAAAATACTTTGAGATGAATGGAAACAAATACACAGCATACTATGATTTATAAGAAGCAGATAAAGCAGCACTTAAAGGAAAACTTACTGCTGTAAATGCCAGTATACTGAGAAAGAACAGGACAAAGAAAGGATTATGTCAAATTAATAACTTGATATTTCACTTTAAGAAACTCAAAGAGCAAAGCGACCTAAGCCCCAAATAACAAATGGAAGGAAATAAAAATTGGAGTGTAAATAAATGAAATAAAGAATAGAAAAACATTGGCAAACTCAATAAAACCAAAAGTTGGTTCTTTGAAAAGATCAACCAAATTGTCAAACCTTAACCTAGAATGACTAGGTAAATGGTGGAGGGATAAAACTCAAATGACTAATACCAGGAATGAAAGAAGAAACATCCCTACCAACTTTACAGAAACAAAAAGGATTATAAGGGAATACTATGTACAACCGTATGTCAATGAATTCAAGAACCTGGATGAAATGAACATCTTTCTTTTCCATTTATTTTCCAGTTATTATTGAGCCACTTTTGATTGTATCCTCCCTTCTCTACCAGAAAGGACAAAGGTTGATCACCAAAGACAATTTCAGACTCTTGTCAGGCCTAGGGACAGCAGCAGAGGCACCACAAGCTTCTCTGATGCCATAGATTGGCCTTCCCATGATCTGCCACTTCTCTAGACGTTTATTGTTTTCTGTTGAAGATGCTGGAGCTCTAAGCCAGCACTTTAAGGATTACTTGTTTTCTCCAGGTGTTTCCTGTGTATATACAAGAGACGATAGATAGATAGATAGATAGATAGATAGATAGATAGATAGATAGATAGATAGATAGATAGATAATAAACTCCTGTTTGTTTGTTTTTTTCATGAAAATCATTTTTCCTCCCCGCCGTACAAAGGCTTGTCAAAGGCACACTAATGAGCAGCTGATTGGGCTCCTCCAACCGATGAACTCTGTGTTTGGCTCTGTTTGGAAACACACTGAGGAGTCCAGCCTCTTTGGCTGCCACAGGATACATTTCCAGAAACACCTGTTAGGCGTCTGTGGATGAGGAAGGCATCAGGCCTTCCTACCTGAAGCCTTATTGACTCCTGCAAGTGCTAAAGAAACCCCTGGGGACAGGCTAGGCTGCCTGTTCCTACTGGATTTTAGGCCTGGAGACTTCTGGTGGGGGCAGCCCAGGCAGGGAAATCAGGAGCTGTGGACAGGGAGTGGAGGAGATCAGGAGGGGATGGCAAGACCCCCAGCCTGACCCCAGTCCCCAGTGCCCTCTAGCAGCAGAAATAGGAAAAGGAGGTTGAGGGCAGGCAATACTGCAACCTCCTGTGCTGAGCATACAGATAGGTCCAGCCTGGTGGCCCCGCACCTGCAGATTCAAGGCAGCCCTGCCCTGCACTAACCCTGCACCTCCCAGGCCCACTGCTCTCCCACTGTGACCCCATCCGGAGACTGGTCTATCTAAAGACCAGGACATTGACCAGCAGCCCAGTGCTCTGCTCCACGGCCTCTGTCAGGCAGGACGGAGCTGGAGCCCAGGCAGAGATAAGGACAGGGGAAGATGGCCCTTGTCAGCCAGGGATGTTCTGTCCTGCTGGGCATGCGGCCTCTCTCACAGAGAACCTACGTGATCTTGCTTCCCCCACTTTCTTATCTCATAGGCCCTACATATTTGCCAGAAACACCTGCATTCCTAACTCTTTGCCAGATGTCAGGGGCCAGCCGCCAGGGGAACTGCGTGGCAGAGCCCCTGTGCCAATGGCCAGAGAAATTCAGGAGTTCCCAGAAAACAGAGGGTGCTGGAAATCCAGGTGGGAGAGCTGCTCCTTGTGCCAAGATTTTCCTCAGAGGCTCCTTCTCCGGTGCCCTGAGCAGGGCCAAGCCTGGCGAATATTAGAATTTCTGCTGGGCTGAGAAAAAACAGCAAAAGGAGAAGCAGTCTGGGGGGTGACTTGGAGGTGGAAACTGGGTGCGGTCAGAAAAGTGAGTGGAGCCTGGAGGCCAATGAGCACCCCACCCTGGCAAGTCACAGCAGGACAGGGCAGGGGACCAGGCATAGAATTGGGCCAGTTGTAACCTGCACAACCTGGAAAAGGATTTGTATTTGTATTTCATGTACCCATTGGGTAAGGTGGCATTTATCTCCAGCTTCCTTGAGGTGAGCTCAGTTTAGGAAGTTTCTTTTCGACTGAACTGTGTCAGGAATCTCGCCAATGCCTGATGCTGCCCACCACATCTCTTTTGCTGCTGCTGTGGCTGGAACCTGCCTGGGAGGCACCGGCTGTGAAGGCTGGAGACCCAGGGAGGCTGCCCTGACACCTCTCCTTGTTCCCTGAGCCAGGGGGCCCATCTGAGCCCCTTCACCCCTGGGGAGCTGTTTTCTGTGCCTTGTATGAGGTTTTTGTCTTCACAGAAATGGCATTCTAGTAAGAGATAGAAATTTTAAATGGATAGATATGTAAATTATATGGTATGTGTGTTGGGCAGAAGAATTCCCTCTCCAATCCTCAGGATGGCAGATCCAGTCCCTGGAACCTCTGTGTTGGGGTACATGGAAAGGGCGGTGAAAGCTGTGGATGGAGCTGAGGTGGCTAATCAGCTGCCCTGGGAAAACCAGCCATGGAGGGGTAGTGTTCTCATGTAAACCAGGACTCAGCCTGGTGGAGCTGCCTTTGAAGATGAGGAAATGGGGTCCTGAGCCATGGACGTGGGCAGTTGAGCAGCTGGAAAAGGCAAGGAGGAGACAGGTTCTCCCCGAGAGCCTCCCAAAGGAACACAGCCCTGACAGCACAGTGATGATAGCTCCGTGAGACTATTCAGACTTCTGAGCTCCAGAATGGTAAAAGAATGAATGTATGTTGTTTTAAGGCACTAAATTTGCAGTAATTTGTTGCAACCACAATTAAAAGTTAATAAGGTTTGTTTGATTGTTTGTTTATAGGGATAGAGTCTCATTCTGTTGCCCAGGCTGCAAAGCAGTGGCGTGATCTCGGCTCACTGCAACCTCCGCCTCCTGGCTTCAAGTGATTCTCCTGACTCAATAAGCTGAGTAGATGGGATTACAGGCACTGGCCACCACACCCGGCTAATTCTCTTATTTTTAGTAGAGACAGGGTTTCAACATGTTGGCCAGGCTGGTCTCAAACTCAACCTCAGGTGATCCAGCCTCCCTGACCTCCCAAAATGCTGGGATTACAGGTGTAAGCCACTGTGCGCGGCTTACTAAGGTATGTTTTAAAGTGGTCATTGCTTTAGGGGAACAAGTTCAGGTGAAGAAGGTCCAGGATGGCCTGGGCAGGCAGAGGTCTCCCATTATGAAATAGAGGCCTTTACATTTAACAGTGGTTAAGATGAAAAATCACGTTACATGAATCATACCACAATTTTAAAAAAAGAAAGAAAGAAAGAAATACAAGGGTTCCAAATGCGAGGGGCAGGGAGAACCAGGCGTGGAAGGGTGTGCCACCTGGGAGCAGGAGTGGGAGTGAGCCGGGCAGATGCCTGAAGGGCAGTCCATGCTGAAGGGAGGGCAATGCAAAGTCCCAAGGCACGGGGACATCTGCAGGGCTCTGAAGACCAGCAAGGAGGCCGAGGGTGGAGGTCGGAACTGAGCGAGTGAGGGGGCATAATGGACAGCTGGCCAGACTGTGCAGGGCTCTCTAGGCATCTGTAGTGACTTTGGTTTTACTGAGAGAAAAAGGGCACTTTTGGAGAATTGGAGCAGAGGGGGGCGTGAGTGATGAGGTTCTGAAGATCACTCTGGCTGCGCTGTAGCCATTTGGGAGGTGGGGACAGGCACGGAGAACCAAGTAGGGCAGCACTGCAATCACCCTGGCCAGGAGGACGGTGGCCTAGAACCAGGGTCGAGTACTAGATGACAGTGTGGTCAAATCATAGATATTTTATTTCTAGTCCAAAGAAGAGATAAGAAAGAGGTCGAGCAAATAGGTGATTTTTTTTTTAAATTATTCACAGCCTTATAACATAACCTCTAAATCTTCAGTAAAGTTGGCTACATTCACAAGTAGCTGGTGTCACTTTGGTGGGGGCTTTGTAAGGAAGTGGGCAGGGTGTCTTTTAAGGAAGACTCAGGAGAAGTGCTGGTCTTCCAGTTGCAGAGGGGAATGGAGTTGCAAGAAGAAAACAGCGAGGTTCAGTGACACACAGTGCGAACACGAGCTCAGGGGGCAGGAGCTCCAGGTCTCAAGAGGGCAGGACGATAATGCAGTGTTTGCACAGAAACCAAGCAATAGAGGGAGCCAGCACCCACCAGAAATGAGGTAGGGCCGCTGTCACAGCTATGCCAGGACCTGCAGAAGCCTAAACCCTGAAAAAAGGTGGGGGCCCCCACCTACATATCAAGGAAAACATATGTATGCCATCACATGCTGGTCTCCAACAACTGCTAAAATTACATTAAATCCTTTCTAGAATTTCGTGGCTGGGACTTGAGTCTGGTCTTGGTCCTTCTACTGATGGTGAATCCAGTACTGAATTGGATCCAATTCTGGACGAGTTACCCTGTCCTAGAATCACTCACACGTGACAGTTGACAGGTGGCCCCACCCGGTTTGCATGGTGGACGGGTGTTCTGCTAGGCCGGCCTCTCCACACCCAGAGAGACTGAACTGGTTTCTGCTCCTCAGAGAGTTTGCACAGAGACTCTGAGGAAGCAGTCACCTCAGGCCTCTCCATCCTAGAGACGGCAGAAGGACAAACATCTCCTGCTGGCACAAGGTAGGGGGTGGGGGATGGCTGGTGTTCCAAACACCCGTGCAGAGGGAACGTGTGCATGTTTGGGAGTGAAGGAGGAAAGCAGGGGCTCGAGTGGTGAGAGAACCAGGGGCAGATAATGAAGTAAAAGTGGGGTTGGGGGAGATGCTGGGGGTGTGGCGGCGGGGACGCTGGATAAGGCAGGGAGGACGGGGTGGCTCTGCGGGTCCTCTGCCTCCACACCAAGCACTCAGGGATCCGTGCCTCCTTCCAGTCTGGAGTCCCAATCGCCCCTCTCTCCAATTTGGGGGACAGGGATTTCTCCTTGTTCTCCTGCCCTAACTCCTTCTTTCCGACTTCTCTTGTCCCATTCTCCCTCAGATCCTCCCTTCCGCTTATGCCAAGGCTTCCACAGCCTCGCTCTGCCGGGCCTTGGCATTCCTAGCCTGAGTGTTGAAACCATTGGCCGGGACCTCAAGGCAGCTGGGGCAGGGAGAGGACGGTTAGAAGCCCAGGGCACACTGCCACAAAAAGGCTGTGACTCATTTTCAGGGATTGAAAACTGCAGTCCAATTCATTTTAAAATTTTCGTCTCTCTTTGGACTTCAGGCTGAAAGTTCTTTATAGCAACGGGCTTCCAGGGACTATGTGAAATTATTGGTTTCACTTTCCTTATCACCCGCTTCTTACTTCAATTAAAATTCCATTTCAGCCGGGTGTGGTGGCTCACTCCTGTAATCCCAACACTTTGGGAGGCTGAGGGGGGAGGATTGTTTGAGCCCAGGAGTTCGAGATCAGCCTGGGCAACGTGATGAGACCCCATCTCCACACCAAAAATTTAAAAATTAGCTGGGTGTGGTGGCTCATGCCTGTAGTGCCAGCTATTCTGGAGGCTGAAGTGGAAGGACTGATTGAGCCTGGGAGTTCAAGGCTGCAGTGAGCCGTGCTCATGCCACTGCACTCCACCTGGATGACAGAGCAAGACCTGGTCTCAAAAAACAAAACAAACAAAAATCTACTTCATATGTAACCATTACTTCAGTTTTGAAACCATTGCCTGAAGCTGACATTTTGCAGTTGGAAAATGGCTATTCCTTCCCATCTTCAGGTTGGCTCAGGCCAAGCTGAGATTCAGGACCACAGAGGGCAACAAAGGTGGAAGGGCCCCTTTCCCCTTTCTGTATATTTTTCCCAGCCTGTCTGCAGCTCTTTCTTTTTCTTCAGTGTTAGGTTGGCATCCCAGATGTCAGGACCCAAGTATAGGCCTGGTGTGCTCCTTCCTGTGAGTCATCAGACTTGTAGAAAATATTGGCCCTGCTAAGGAGCTACTCAGTGGTCATATCACACATATGCACGCACACACACACAAGCACCCATGCACACACACACACACACACACAAACACACACATACACTCTGTTCTTGGCCCACCCCCGCTGGTGTCCCCACAGCAGCAGTATTGGCAGGGCGGTAGCAGTGAGTTCCTCTCTGTGTACTCTCAGGGCCTGGATGTGTACAGAACAGGCTCCACTCAGGACAGATTTGAGACCCCTTCTCCAGACCAAGAGGTGGAAGTGCACCCTCAAAATTGAGGTTCTTTAACCTTAGCAGACAGAGAACCACATAGGGGACATGTAAAAAATGTGCATTCCTCGGCTCCTTCAAACGCTTGACCCACTGTCCTCTGAGCAGACAACCCCTTATCCCCCAGCCCCAGAGATAGAGCCCTGCCGATAGTCCATGGTTACTTTCTTTGAAGTCTGTTCCATCTAGTTAAGAAAGGACAGTGGTAAAGACCCACTTACCTTACCAGGCATCATAAGGGCCCTAGCATCTGAGTCACAGGATGTCACCCTCTGGGTCTGACATGCACTTGAATTAACTGGCATACTGCCCGGCACACAGAGGGAACCTAGATGTGGAACGGATATGGGTGGTGTTACAGGCCGCATGTTTGCCTGCCTTCCAAATTCATATGCAGAAATCCTAATTCTCAAGGTGATGCTATTTAGGAAGTCATAACTCATGTGAGTGGAGCCATGTGGGATTAAGAAGTGATAGGAGAGCTTGCTGTCTGTCTCTGCTCTCCACTGTGTGAGGATACAACAGGAAGACAGCCATCTGGTGAGGAAGAGAGGGCCCTCGCCAGATACCGGACCTGCTGACACCTTGATCTTGGACTTCCCATCTTCCAGGAAGGTAAGAAATAAATGCTTGGTGTTTCAGCCACCTTGTCTATTCTGTTGTAGCAGCCTGAACTGGCTAAGGTAGCAGGGTCTGATGATCAAATGGGACAGCTGTAAAAGTGAGGTGGGAAGGGGGTCTACAGATACTAAGTTTTATGAGGAAAACTTGTGCTTTATTTGAAAATGACACAAAATTTTGTTCTAAGAAAAATTTTCAGAATTCAAAACTTAGAGCCCTAAGACTTTTCCCAATGATAGACTTGGCTTTCCTTGAGGTCTTGGCCCCAGTAGGACTGCTGGAGTCTATTACAAAACTCATCTGGAAGGACCTCTGCCGTTGCTGAGGCTTGAGGAAATGGTTTTAAGGTCACAGTGTAAACAAAACTGCTGGGAAGTTGGAACTGGGCGGAGCCCACTGCAGCTCAGCAAGGCTGCTATGGCCAGACTGCCAGATTTCTCCTCTCTGGTCAGGGCATGTTGGTAAACAAGGCAGCAGCCCCAATCAGGGGCTTATAGCAGACTTAAATGTCCCCGCCTGATGGCTCTGAAGAGGGCAGCAGACCTCCCAGCACAGCATTCGAGCTCTGCTAAGGGTCAGACTGCCTCCTCAAGTGGGTGCCTGACACCCACGTATACTGACTGGGAGACACCTCCCAGTAGGGGCCGACAGACACCTCATACAGGAGAGCTCTGGCTGGCATCTGGCAGGTGCCCCACTGGGTCAAAGCTTCCAGAGGAAGGAACAGGCAGCAATCTTAGCTGCTCTGCAGCCTCCGCTGGTGATACCCAGGTAAACAGGGTTGGGAGTGGACCACCGGCAAACTCCAGCAGACTGGCAGCAGAGGGGCCTGATGGTTAGAAGGAAAAGAAACAAACAGAAAGGATTAGCACGTCCCCTCAAAGACCCCATCTGAAGGTCACCAACATTAAAGACCAAAGGTGGATAAATCCACAAAGATAGGAAAAAACCAGTGCGCAAAGCCTGAAAATTCCAAAAACAAGAACGCCTCTCCTCCTCCAAATGATCACAACTCCTCGCCAGCAATGGAACAAAACTGGACAGAAAATGAGTTTCACGAACTAACAGAAGTAGCCTTCAGAAGGTGAATAATAACAAACAACTCCAAGCTAAAGGAGCATGTTCTAACAAATGCTAGGAAGATAAGAACCTTGAAAAAAGGTTAGTCGAATTGCTAATTAGAATAACCAATGTAGAGAGGAACATAAATGACCTGATGGAGCTAAAAAACAGCATGAGAACTTTGTGAAGAATACTCAAGTATCAATAGCCAAATCAATCAAGCGGAAGAAAGGATATCAGTGATTGAAGATCAACTTAATGAAATAAAGAGAGAAGACAAGATTAGAGAAAAAAGAATAAAAAGGAATGAACAAAGCCTCCAAGAAATGTGGTACTATGTGAAAAGACCAAATCTACATTTGATTGGTGTACCTGAAAGTGACAGTGAGAATAGAACCAAGTTGGAAAACACTCTTCAGGTTATTATCCAGGAAAACTTCCCCAACCTAGCAAGGCAGGCCAACATTCAAATTCAGGAAATACAGAGAACATCACAAAGATACTCCTCAAGAAGAGGAGTTCTGAAACTATTCCAAACAATAGAAAAAGAGGGAATCCTCCCTAACTCATTTTATGAGGCCAGCATCATCCTGATACCAAAACCTGGCAGAGACACAACAAAAAAATAAAATTTCAGGCCAATATCCCTAATGAACATTGATGCAAAAATCCTGGCAAACCGAACCCAGCATTACATCAAAAAGCTTATCCACCACGATCAAGTTGGCTTCATACCTGGGATGCAAGGCTGGTTCAACATACACAAGTCAATAAACGTAATCCATCACATAAACAGAACCGATGACAAAAACCACATGATTATCTCAATAGATGCAGAAAAGAACTTTGATAAAATTCAACACCACTTCATGCTAAAAACTCTCAATAAACTAGGTATTGATGGAACATATCCGAAAATAATGAGAGCTATTTATGACAAACCCACAGCCAATATCATACTGAATGGGCAAAAACTGGAAGCGTTCCCTTTGAAAATCAGCACAAGACAAGGATGCCCTCTCTCACCACTCCTATTCAACATAGTATTGGAACTTCTGGCCAGGGCAATCAGGCAAGAGAAAGCAATAAAGTACATTCAAACAAGAGAAGAGGAAGTCAAATTGTCTCTGTTTGCAGATGACATGATTGTATATTTAGAAAACTCCATCATCTCAGCCCAAAATCTCCTTAAGCTGACAAGCAACTTCAGCAAAGTCTCAGGATACAAAATCAATGTGCAAAAATCACAAGCATTCCTATGCAACAATAACAGACAAACAGACAGCCAAATCATGAGTGAAGTCCCATTCACAATTGCTACAAAGAGAATAAAATACCTAGGAATACAACTTACAAGGGATGTAAAGGACCTCTTCAAGGAGATCTACAAACCACTGCTCAAGGAAATAAGAGAGGACATAAACAAATGGAAAAACATTCCATGCTCATGGATAGGAAGCACTAATATCGTGAAAATGGCCATACTGCCCAAAGTAATTTATAGATTCAATGCTATCCCCATTAAGCTACCACTGACTTTCTTCACAGAACTGGAAAAAACTACTTTAAACTTCATATGGAACCAAAAAGGAGGCTGCATATCCAAGACAATCCTGGGCAAGAAGAGCAAAGCTGGAGGCACCGTGCTACCTGACTTCAAGCTATACTACAAGTCTACAGTAACCAAAATAGCATGGTGCTGGTACCAAATATATAGACCAATGGAACAGAATGGAGGCCTCAGAAATAACACCACACAGCTACAACCATCTGATCTTTGACAAACCTGACACACACAAGCAATGGGGAAAAGATCCCCTGTTTAATAAATGGTGTTGGGAAAACTGGCTAGCCATATGCAGAAAACTGAAACTGGACCCCTTCCTTACACCTTATACAAAAATCAACTCAAGATGGATCAAAGACTTAAACATAAGACATAGGACCATAAAAATCCTAGAAGAAAACCCGGGCAATACCATTCGGGATATAGGCATGGGCAAAGACTTCCTTTCTAAAACACCAAAAGCACTGGCAACAAAAGCCAAAATTGGCAAATGGGATCTAATTAAACTAAAGAGCTTCTGCACAGCAAAAGAAACTATCATCAGAGTGAACAGGCCACCTACAGAATGGGAGAAGATTTTTGCAATCTATCCATCTGACAAGGGGCTAATATCCAGAATCTACAAAGAACTTAAACAAATTTACTAGAAAAAAAACAACCCCATCAAAAAATGGGCAAAGTATATGAACAGACCCTTCTCCAAAGAAGATATTTATGCAGCCAACAGACATATGAAAAAATGCTCATCATCACTGGTCGTTAGAGAAATGCAAATCAAAACCACAATGAGATACCATCTCACGCCAGTTAGAATGACGTTCATTAAAAAGTCAGGAAATAACAGATGTTGGAGAGGTTGTGGAAAAATAGAAACACTTTTACACTGTTGGTGGGAGTGTAGATTAGTTCAAACATTGTGGAAGACAGTGTGGCAATTCCTTACGGATCTAGAACGAGAAATACCATTTGACTCAGTGATCCCATTACTGGGTATATACCCAAAGGATTATAAATCATGCTGCTATAAAGACACACGCACACGTATGTTTATTGTGGCACTATTCACAATAGCAAAACTTGTCCATCAATGATAGATTAAGAAAATGTGGCACGTATACACCATGGAACACTATGCAGCCATAAAAAGGGATGAGTTTATGCCCTTTGCAGGGACGTGGATAAAGCTGGAAACCAACATTCTCAGCAAGCTATCACAAGATCAGAAAACCAAATACCACATGTTCTCACTCATAGGTGAGAGTTGACCAATGAGAACACATGGACACAGGGAGGGGAACATCACACACCAGGGCCTGTCACGGGGTGGGGGGCTAGGAGAGGGGTAACATTAGGAGAAATACCTAATGTAGGTGATGGGTTGATGGGTGCAGCAAACTACCAGGGCACGTATATACCTATGTAACAAAACTACACGTTCTGCACATGTAACCCAAAACTTAAAGTATAATAAAAAAAAATTTTTTTTTGTAGAGATGGAGTCTTACTATGTTGCCCAGGCTGGTCTTGAACTCCCGGCCTCAAGTGATCCTCCTGCCTCATCCTCCCAAAGTGCTGGGATTATAGGCATGAGCCACTGTGAGGGCCTGGCCATTTCAGTTTCGTTAATTAGCATCTATGATAGTGCCTGATACATGTAGTAGACACTCTGTGTTTATTGAGTGACTCAATATGTTTTATTACAATTACACACACACACACACACACAAAACCCATCTGTCATGGTAGACCACTTGCTGCCTGTTTGCAGCTAGTTTAATTAATACTGGGGTGTGCTTGGTGAGAGAAAATCTCAACCATTTAAGAGGAAAGAGTTTGAACGGGTTAGGGACAGTGGGAGAGGGGAGAATGGCGATGGGAGAAAATACAGGAATGGGCAGGGGGTACCAGGAAGAAAGGGAAAAGCAAAAGAGGCAGGGAGGAGAAGGGAAGAGGAAACTGGAGGAAAGGAGAAGGAGCTCACATAACCTCCAACCATCCTGCTCACACCAGAGGGGGTTTTTTTTGCAGGGGCAGCAGGGACAGGAGAGGAGAGAGAGTTTATTCAAAGTTAATTTTGTTTTTAAATGTCTTCTTTTATTTTTCAATAAATGATTATATTCTGAATACTTGGAAAACACTCTCTTCACAAAATTGTTCTTTAATTGGGTCTCTACAGGCCTGACCTCAGTTGTTCCAGGGTAAAGAATTTGGGCAGTGCCCACACCCACGCTGTTGGATAACATTTCTTCACCATACCAGTGAGGGTGAATGTGTACACGCCCAGCTTCCTGCCTGTTACTCTCCACAGTATGCGAAGAATATCCCTGACTTCTAGCCCTGTGCGCCTTCTTTTGTTTCTGCTGTTGCTACTAATAGCCTTGGAGATCATGGTTGGTGAGTGTCCTGAGCACAAGAACTGGCTGAGGACAAGGAGGAGGGAGAAAGGTAGGGGGTAGGCGAATGGGGCTTCATGCAGGCTTCAGACAAGTGGGTGCCTGCTCTTAAGGATGACGTGAGGAAGAGGATCCCTGGGATGTTACACCCAGTTCATGGGAGACCACAGCCTGAGGCCCTAGGCAAGGCACTGGCTCACAGAGGGCAGTTCTACAATGCTACCCCCCGCCTTCTACTCCAGGTCACTTTCCTGAACATCTGGGACCCCACAGGAATTCAGCGTGTGTCCTGTGATAAATGCCTCTTTTTCCTTTCTATTGAATGTCATGTGTGTTCAGCTAGAGTTTAAGTCTCAGGAGGTCATACACTGGCTTGTCTGTTTTGTGCCTCAGAACTTGGTAGATGTTGCTAAAAGTACTTGTGACATGAATCCTCCTGTTAACACCATTAACACTAAGTGCACCCCAGGGGTCCCTGGTACCATCAAGTATCTCATCCCAGACAGTCAGGGAGAGATGGGAACAGGGATCCAGAAGGTTGAGGGAGTCTGGGATGGAGCTGCCCCGCCTCTGCTAGCCTGGCCCAGTCCAGGGAGTCTTGGGTCACAGAAGCGCAGGTTCTAATGGGCCTCTTCCCCTGTCCTGGACCTCACCTGCATCTTTGTCTCACAGGTGGTCACTCTCTTTGCTTCAACTTCACTATAAAATCATTGTCCAGACCTGGACAGCCCTGGTGTGAAGCGCAGGTCTTCTTGAATAAAAATCTTTTCCTTCAGTACAACAGTGACAACAACATGGTCAAACCTCTGGGCCTCCTGGGGAAGAAGGTATATGCCACCAGCACTTGGGGAGAATTGACCCAAACGCTGGGAGAAGTGGGGCGAGACCTCAGGATGCTCCTTTGTGACATCAAACCCCAGATAAAGACCAGTGGTAAGTGTGGAATGGGGTGGGCAAACAGAGGCAGGCAGTAAGAGAGGGGAGGGAAGAACACAGATGGGGAGGGGCTTTAGGTATATCTGTGTATTGATCATTGGCCCAACCATAGAGGCACATGGGACCCAATGGGCAGGAAAGGGCAAGTCTGGGCAGAAAGAATACAGACCCCTAAATGTGCAGAGAAACACTTGACCTATTGGAGGATGATGGACTTCTCAAAGAGTGGAGGATGATGGCTTTGTGTTTGGATTGCAGATCCTTCCACTCTGCAAGTCGAGATGTTTTGTCAACGTGAAGCAGAACGGTGCACTGGTGCATCCTGGCAGTTCGCCACCAATGGAGAGAAATCCCTCCTCTTTGACGCAATGAACATGACCTGGACAGTAATTAATCATGAAGCCAGTAAGATCAAGGAGACATGGAAGAAAGACAGAGGGCTGGAAAAGTATTTCAGGAAGCTCTCAAAGGGAGACTGCGATCACTGGCTCAGGGAATTCTTAGGGCACTGGGAGGCAATGCCAGAACCGACAGGTAACTGAGCTGGGTGGGAGAATGTGGCAGCTCCCTTTAAAGGTCAAAAGCCTTCCCTGTGTGGGTGTCAGTGTGTGTGTGCGATAGAAAATTTGATTGACTTCTCCGTGGGCTTCCTGTCTGGAGAGTCAGTGATGGCTATAAGGATTTCCCACCATCCTCCCTTTCCCATCCCACCTCCCACTGTTTCTTCCTCAGTGTAGAAACCCCTTCCCATTAACCAATGATCCAGTCACAATGACCCACTGCTAAATGGTCCCAAGTCTATCTGTGTCATTGCAAACATCCAGGCCTTCTCTTCCTCTATTATAATTACCCTTCCACCAGCTCTAATGCCACTTCTTAGGAAGCCTTCCCCACCTTCCCCACACAGAATTAAGCACCACCCATTGTGTCATCCTCCAAACAGTTCTAACCACAGTAATCGTGAAACTGTGTGGTAATCAGATGGATATTTGCTACCTCTCTCAGTAGAAATCTGAGCTCCATAAGGACAAGGCACAACCCCTATTCATCTTCATGGCCCAGGGCCTGGTAGAGTGGCTGTCACATGAGCCAGTGATTATGTGGGGCACCATGTGTTCCTGGGGAAAGCAGGGGCTAAGGAAAGCATATTTTTATGCTTTTTTTTTTTATGTGACAGGGCTTGTGCTTTTTTTTCTTTTTTTTTTTTTTTTTAGTGTCACCAGTAAATGCTTCAGATATCCACTGGTCTTCTTCTAGTCTACCAGATAGATGGATCATCCTGGGGGCATTCATCCTGTTAGTTTTAATGGGAATTGTTCTCATCTGTGTCTGGTGGCAAAATGGTGAGTGGCAGGCTGGTCTCTGGCCCTTGAGGACGTCTTAGTCTGGTAAGGACTCAAGAGAGGTGAATCATGGGTCTCATCCAAGCCCCCGCTCCCTGATCCATCTCTCTCCACAGAAATGGTGCACTGCCTTAGTCTTGAGCCCCCACACTACACAGCAGGGCTGGCAGCACAATGTGCAGTGAGAGGAGGGATGAAGCAATCATCTCCTCTCGAGGAGGGGCAAGGTCAAAGATCTGGAACGCCTGCCTGGGGTGTTGTCTCCTTGCCATCCGGCCCAGGTTTCATCCAGCTCTTTGACGGAAAGTTTGTTTGCTGTCTGCGTTTACCGTGATTTAGCTCAGCAGGTCCCATCCCCTTTTCCCGTTCACCCTGAGAAGACTTGCTGGTGGCGCTTGTGGCTGCAGCATTTACTCCCAGATAACATACAAGATGTGGTATAAGAAATCCTTTCACCACCCTCTAAACATTACAGTGCCGAACTACATCCTACATTTTTAGTAGAGATGGGGTTTCTCCATGTTGGTCAGGCTCGTCTTGAACTCCCGACCTCAGGTGATGCTCCCGCCTCGGCCTCCCAAAGCGCTGGGATTACAGGGGGAGCCAACACACCTGGCTGAGAGAACTATTATATGCCAGACACATTGCCAGACATCTTCTGCTCTTTGGTCCTGTTTCTCCGCCACTGCTCTGACATGAAGAATTCATTTCTTTCTTCCATTGCTGTCTTTGTCCTCATAGTGTCTTCTCTAAATTGACCCAGGCAGACCTCAACATTTTCAAGTACAGCAATTTGGAAAAGTTAAGTAGAGCTCTAGGGTTCAAGTCACAGTTCCTGGGGCTCTCTCTGTGGAGTTCAAAGTTAGGATTCCCTCTAATGAGAAAAATAGGCTACTCCATCTGACTCACTGAGGATCAATGTTTCTGATGTAAGAAATGATTCTACCCTTTTCATTGCTTAAACGAATACCATGACTCAGATATGTGTCTGTTTTGCAGGGGCCCTGACATGAAAAGTGAGTTTGCCAAGATCGGTGTCACAACAGGCTTGGCAAGATATGGCTTGAGTCAGATAAGGGCCACTGGTCCAGAAGGGGCTCGTGTGGTGGGTGGTGTGATGGCAGCAGGAACCCAGGGAGTGAATATGCTGAGATAGGAAGGGGTCCCACCCACAGAGCTGCAGGCAAAGGGGTCCCACCTTAATCCCTGGTGGAAGGTGACTGAGAAGGACTTAACTGCCCCAACCAAGCAGGCTGGGACTTCAGTGCCATTGACAATAGTGAAGGGGATTGGTGAGTAGGAAGGGAGGCAAAAGAACAGTTTTAGAAGCTGGGTCTGAACAGTAGGGATTTAAAGGAGGTGGGACCTCCATAGACACCTGGGAGTTCCTGGCCTCTAGCCTCATCCTGGTAACCGAGTCGGCTGCTGAAGGGCTTCCTGTCTGGGCAGGAGCAGGCAGGGATCAAGCGCCGGTGGAGGTCAGTGCCCACAGCTGAGCTGAACAGAAGTGGGAGGCAGAGTGGGCCTGGGGAAAGGTGTATTACAATTCAAGGGGAAAAAAATATATCTGCCACCCTTTGGGGAGGGCCTCCCCACTGTGTCGCATGGATTTCTCTGTCACGGGGAAGAGCAGCACCCAGGGAAAAAGAGCTTTGTGTGCCCATGACACATTCCTATTTTGTTGTCTCTGGCATTTCTGGGCATTGTTTCTGCTGAAGTGACAGAAGAGAGAAAAAGCTGATCAAAGCTAAATGACAGAGCAAAGGGGTTGACAGGGAGTGTCTTTTCAAATACACAGGGACATTCACCAAGAAGGGCCATTTTTGGATCATAAAATAAATCTCATCTGGGCGTGATAGCTCACTCCTGTAATCCCAGCACTTTGGGAGGCCAAGTTGGGTGGATCATTTGAGGTCAGGAGTTCGAGACCAGCCTGGCCAACATGGCGAAACCCTGTCTCTACTAAAAATACAAAAATTAGCCGGGTGTGGTGGCATGGGCCTGTAATCCCAGCTACTCGGGAGGCTGAGACAGGAGAATCGCTTGAACTCAGGAGGCGGAGTTTGCAGTGAGCTGATATTGCGCCATTGCACTCCAGCCTGGGTGACAGAGTGAGATTCCATCTCAATAAATAAATAAATAAATAAATCTCAACATATGTAAAGGGTTAAAATCATGCGAAGCATCTTGTCCAAGCACAATGGAAATAAACTAGAAATCAACAGCAGGAAGCTATCTGGAAAAATCCTCAAATGTTTGGATATCAAATAATATGCTTCCAAATAACTATATATCAAATTAAAAAGTACAAGGAAAACTAGAAAGTATTTTGAAATGAATGAAAATGATAATACAAAATATCAAAATCTATCAGACACAGATAAGAAAATGTCTAGAGGCATCCACACTGAACTTTTTGATCTCTGAATCACCGTGCATCATTGCTGCCAAATTTTTTGCTCATGCTCATCTCTGCCTGGAATTTTCTTTCTTACCTGACCGAATTCCAGACAGCTATCCAAGTCCAGTTTAACTGTCACCTCCTCTAAGAAGTCACCATTCTTCCTGGATAGAATTAACTACCCCCACTCGTAGCTCAGAAACTCTGACCACAGAAAAATTATCACATTGTTTTATGATTGGGTGTATGTCAGTAAATTGATGCGCTTACTTGAGGACATTACTTTTGTAACCTGAGAATCTATCATGGCTGCTATATAGTAGACGCTCAGGACATGTGAGGACTTGAGTGGCAGCGGAGGTAAGGGTCATCTCCTGGGTATGGAGCTTGGACAAGAACCTGCACTCTTCTGTTCCATTTCACCTCAACCATCCATGTCCCCAACCACATCTCCACCATCCTACCTGTACCAAGTGCTAATCCTTTGAATCATGTCAGTGACTATCTTCAGCTCAATCCCAATCACAGGTCAGGAGGGAGGGCATCAGGTATACTGTGAGCAAAACAGAGTATGAGATGGGGCCAACTGGCCTCTGGATTAGGGGCAGGGCTTGTCCTGTATGAGGACAGGGAGAAATGAGGTTGCTAAGTCTCCCCAAGACCCCTGCCAAATCTCACCATAGACATAAGATGAGGTGAATTTCATTTATCGCCTGGGCATTCACGACCTGAGAGGCTTAGCTCTGGGTCAAGTTGAGCCCTCTCTGTCCCTGGCCAACAGGAGAAAGGCAAAGGCTGAATGAGTCTCGGGGACTGTCTCTGCTTTGCAAGTGGGCCCTGAGGTGAACAGGGACCTTTCCAAATTAATGCATCCACAGCGGTTTGGCAAAGTCGGGCTTTAAACCAGGGTCACTCTCCAGGGGTTGCCTATGTGATGGGTGGTCTGATGGACAGAAACACAGAGGGTGGGCAAGACACAATTTTGGGTGGGGCAGCAGCTTGATGATCTGACCATCTGACCATGGGAAAGTATATCACATGCCAAAGGTTGAGGGGTCTCTAGGTTTAATTCCTAGGAGGACATAATGAAGAAGGCTGCCTGGGCTCCAACAAAGCAGGCTGGAGGCAGGGCCACACAGACCGTGGGAGAGGGGATTGTGAGCAGAAGGGAAGGCTGAAAGTGAACCCTAGACACTCTGTGAGGACAGCAAGGACTAGAAGGTGGGATTCCTTTGACACCTGGGTTTCTGGTTCACCCCTGACACAGGAATCCTGGCAAATGGCGTCGTGCCAAGCCCCACCCTCAGTGCTCTGGACCTGCCGCAGGGATACCCTTGCCCACAGCTGGAAGACTCTTGCCCCCGCTGTGGGCCTTCCCACTGTGTTCCCACTGATACTTTGCCTTCCTTGGCTCTGAACCCCTAAAATCTCTGCTGGGGTCTGGGTCTAACTAATGATGAAGTAACGGAAAGTGAACAATCATAAACTAGATGACAGAGAGGCAGAATGTGAACAATAGCGGCTGATCTCTCCCTGAGAGAGAGGTGGGATCTGAGTCCTGAGAGATCACGGAGGGGTCAATCCTGAGCTGATCTGACCCAGGGTTCTGCACTCTTTTGTCTCCTTCCTAAAGGCAGAAGATCCACCTAGAGGTGATACCACGGCGGCGCAGAGTTGTTCACCTGTGGTCCTCGATCGCTGACAGCCTTGGCTCCCACTGCTGTGTGTTCCCTGAGTCAAGTGGAGGCGGAGCCTGCAATGAGCGGAGATCGCGCCTCTGCATTCCAGTCTTGGCAACAGAGCAAGACTCCGTCTCAAAAAAAAAAAATTTTTTTTCAGTACATATTTTTTAAAAGATAGGGCTGGGCACAGCAGCTCACATCTATAATCCCAACACTTTGGGAGGCCTAGGCAGGAGGATCACTTGAGCCCAGGAATCTGAAGCTGCAGTGAGCCTTTGCTCGTGAGATTGTGGACCTATGATCCTACCACCAGCCCACCTGGTTCTAACACCCCCTCCTCTATGTGTGAGAGGGAGAGAAGAAAAGTGAGGGAGAAAAGAGAGATAAGCAAAGAACAGAGAGGAAAAATGGAAAATAAGAGGAAATTGGGGGAATTAAACAGAGGGGAGGGCATGGATCCCCGGGAGTTAGAAGAGTAGCAGCTTGTGGATTACTACGCAGTGGAGGAAGAAGAGTTGTTGGAAATTATTTGAGAGGTAGTATAATCATTTGTGAGGCAGTTTTCTGCATTCACCATTTCTCACAGACTAAGTTACTCATAAGCAAACGTGCAATTCACATTACACTGAAATTCTTCCCTAATACATCATTTGCATTGGAATAAAGTACGGTTTTCAAACAACCTGATATAGCAGAACTGACTGTATAAATTATGTGAGCACAGTGCAAGTAATTCTTTGTTTGTTTGTTTGTTTTTTTGAGACAGAGTCTCACTCTATCTCCCAGGCTGGAGTGTAGTGGTGCGATCCCGGCTCACTGCAACCTCGATCTCCCAGGCTCAAGCGATTCCCCTGCCTCAGCCTCCTGAGTAGCTGGGATTACAGGCATGAGCCACCACGCCCGGCTAATTTTTGTATTTTTAGTAGAGACGGGGTTTCACCCTGTTGGCCAGGCTGGTCTCGAACTACGGACCTCAGGTGATCTGCCCCCCTCAGCCTCTCAAAGTGCTGGGATTATAGCATGAGCCACTGAGCCCAGACACAAGTAGTTCTTTCTGATAAACACTTTAACACTGAATGCAAAAAAAAAAAAAAAATTGTGTGTGTACTTTTTTTAATTTTACTTTAAAATAGACACACCAAACATGTTTCTAAATAAATGTAATATGGAAATCTTTCTTTTTCTCCTCCATTCTCAGTGATGATATGGTTGTAAATTCTTATCATCTGATAATTTTTATCAGATCTTTACAAATTATAAACTTATTTGCAACTCTGTTTTCAGACTATCCCTTCTATTATGATCATGAAACTGAATTAAATAGGTAGCTATTTTTTTGACTTTTACTCCTTTATTTTTATTTTCATAGTTTTACAAGAATATAATATATGTAATCTGTCTTCCATTTTAAACCTAAAGTCTTCCTAATCTCTTCTTCATAGTTTCAACAAACATAAAGGTAACAATTCAAAGCACCTGTCGCTTCGACAAGAAGATATTTTACATATTTAAAAAAACAGATAACAATTTTAAAATACTTGCTATAAGAATAAAATTGTATTTAATAAGTAGAACTAAAATTTTGACTGATGTTGCAATAGATTTGGTGGGGGCTTTTTTTGTGGGTCTTTTTTTTTTTGAGTCAGGGTCTTGCTCTGTTGTCCAGGCTGGAGTACAGAGGTGTGAACGCAGCCCACTACAGCCTTGAACTCCTAAGCTGAAACGATCCTCCTGCTTCAGCCTCCCATACTGCTGGGACCACAGGCATGAGCCATCCCACCCAGCTAATTTTCAGATTTTTTTTATAGATATGGGCGTTTCACTATGTTGCCTAGGCTGGTCTCAAACACCTGGGCTCAGGTGATCCCCTGCCTCAGCCTCCCAAATCGCTAGGATTACAGGCATAAGCCTCTGTGCCTGGCCTCTTTATTATCATTATTATTTTATATTTTCAAACTAGGAAAAAAGCTATGCAGTAACAGAAAATTCTAGTTATATTTAAAACAGGATTGTAAGAGAAACATGTTAATGTAATTTTGGTTTTCTCTTTTTTATAATTTTAACATTTTAGATTCAGGGAGTACATGTGCAGTTTTGTTACATGGATATATTGTGTGACACTGAGGTTTGAGATATGAATGATCTCATGTAGTGAGCAGCAGCACAGTACTCAATGGCAGTTTTTAGTCCTCGCCCCTCCATCTCTCCCCTCCTCATAGTCCCCAGTGTCTACTCTTCCCATCTTTATGTCCATGTGTACCCAAAGCTTAGCTCCCACTTAAGAATGAGAACATGCAGTATTTGGTTTTCTGTTCCTATATTAATTCACTTAGGATAATGGCCTCCAGTTGCATCCATGTTGATCCAAAGGACACAATTTTGTTCTTTTTTATGGCTGCATGGTATTCCATGGTGTATATGTGCCACATTTCCCTTATCCAATCCACAATTGATGGGCACCTAGGTTGATTCTACGTCTGCTGTTGTGAATAGTGCTGCAATGAACATGTGAGCATGTGTGTCTTTTCGCTAGAATGATTTCTTTTCCTTTGGGTATATGCCCAGTAGTGAAATTGCTGGTCAAATGGCAGTTCTGTTTTAAGTTCTTTGAGAAACCTCTGAACTGCTTTCTGCAGTGGCTAAACTATTTCACATTTTCACCAGCAGTGTAAAGTGTTCCCTTTTCTCTATAGCCTCATCACCCATATGCTATTTTTTTACTTTTTCCCCCCAAAGTCTCAAGTTTTATTTAAATAGCCTCCAGTGAGAACAGAGTGGGCCAGTGACTACCCCTTCCTTGTAAAGTCTATTAACCAAACCAAGGAGAGTAAGCACACCCTGCAGCCAGCCTGCCAGCCAGTCATGTGATAGGCGGGGTGCCTCTCAATGGGGGCGGCCACGACCACGGCCCCAGCTAGCTGCTGGGGGAGCATCCACAGTCAATCGGATTCTTGATGGTTTCATCCACAGACACAATCAGGCACACAGCCTAAGAGGCCACTGCCAGGGCATTGATCCATACCAAAGCTGGCTCCCACACGAAGGCCTCAAAGTTGTCAGCAATGTCCTCGTTGTTGATGTCCACCTCATATCACGTGCCCCTGGGAATGCCATGCCTGCAGCTTGTTGAGAATCTCTGTGGCCCCAAAGCCAGCATTATTGTACAGCTGGAATGAGACAATCTCCAAGGCCTTGGCATATGCCCCAATCAACAGCTGTTGTTTTCCTGGAATAGTCTTTGAGGAATCCTGGAGGTACTTGGAGAACTCCCTCTCAATGGCCCTGCCACCAGCCACCACTGACTCATTCCCGATGGCCCTCCTGATGATCATGATGGCATCACACAGGGACCGCTCTGTCTCCTCAATAAACTGCTCACTACCACCATGGAGGATGAAGGTGCCTGTCTTGGCTTTGAGGCAGCCAGTAAAAAAGTTGTACCTCTCACCTTTAATCAGGGTCTCTTCAAACACCTGGCGTCGACCCAGCACATCTGCTAAGAAAGCATTCGTACTGGTCTGGATTGAGCCTCCACAGGCCATCATTGTCCTCTTCAGATTCTCCTCAGGTACTTGGCCAGCACAGAACATGTTCCTGTCAGCAAAGTACTGGGCGGCCACATCTCCAGTGGGGAGTTCAGACAAGACAACTTTGGCTCCAAAATGATAGATCCTCTCTAACTTGTCATAGAGAATGTTCCACTCGGCATCAACAATCGCCTGATAATCCTCAACCGTGTGGACTTTTATCTAAGCATTATCTTTCTCAGCTTTCAACTCGAGCTCAACATTCAAAAGGGCAATCTAGGGATTTTGGTATTTTTGGGAGGGTTGCATTTTAAACCCAGCATAAGAGAAAGTCTTCTTAAATGCAACACCAGCTGGGCTCCATCCTGTACCTTCTTGATTCCAATCATTTTAAGCTGCAGCAAATCATCACACGTCATCACTGCATCCACCACCATCTTAGCAAAGAAAGCTTTCTGCTGTGAGATCAGTTGGAGCTCAGAGTGGTCCTGGCACACTACTCCAGCAGCTTCCTCTACTCCACTTTATCTGCCTTCTTCACAGTCACAGCAATCTCTTTGATCGTGTTAACTACCAACTGGGTGGCTGTGCAGACAGCTCGAATGTTGAGCTGAGGGTGTAAACCATCCTTCACCTGCAGTTTCACCTGCTTCAGAAACTCTGCAGCCAGCAAGGTCACTGAGATGGTGCCATCACCGACCTCAGTGTCTTGGGATTTGGCAATGTCTACTAACGTCTTTGCTGCAAGATGGACAACATGAAGAAGTTTCAGAATTGTGGCCACATCGTTAGATATTGTTGCTTTGCCTCCGCCATCCACAATAAGCTTGTCCATGCCACAGGCACCCAGGGTGGCTCTTACAGCCTTGGCAATCACCTGGCAGGTACTGAGGTTATTCACAAGCTGGGGGATGCCTTGGGAGCTATCAGTCCCCTCTTTCAACAGGATAACTAGTGTGGGCATCATTTTGGAAGCTTATTCAGTGGCCCGCGACTCTCCTCTCTTCTCCGTGACGGGTCCGCCCAGCAATCCACCTAATTTTTGACTTTTTAATAATCACCATTCAGGCTGGTGTGAGATGGTATCTCACTGTAGTTTTGTTTTGCATTTCTCTGATGATTAGTGATGCTGAGAATTTTTTCATGTTTGTTGGACACTTAGTATGTCTTCTTTTGAGAAGTGTCTGTTCCTGTTCTTTGCCCACTTTTTCATGGGGTTATTTGGTTTTTGCTTGTTGAATTGTTTAAGTTTCTTACAGATTCTGGATATTAGACCTTTGTTGGCTGCATAGTTTGCAAATATTTTCTCCCATTCTGTAGGCTGCCTGTTTACTCTGTTGATAGTTTTTTTTTTTTTTTTTTTTTTTCCCCTGCAGAAGCTCTTTAGTTTAATTAGGTCTCACTTTTCAACTTTTGGTTTTGTCGCAATTGCTTTTGAGGACTTGTTATAAATTGTTTCCCAAGGCCAATGTCCAGAATGGTATTTCTGAAAATTTCTTTTAGGATTCTTATAGTTTGAGGTCATATATTTAAATCTTCAATCTGGCTGGGTGTGGTGACCCTCAACTGCAATCCCAGTACTTTAGGAGGCTGAGGCAGGTGGATCCCCTGAGGTCAGGTGTTCGAGACCAGCCTGGGCAACATGGTGAAACCCAGTCTCTACTAAAAATACAAAAATTAGTTGGGTGTGGTGGCAGGTAACTGTAATCCCAGCTACTCGAGAGACTGAGGCAGGAGAATCGCTTGAACCCAGGAGGCAGAGGTTGCAGTGAGCTGAGATCATGCCACTGCACTCCAGCCTGGGTGACAAGAGCGAGACTCCTTCTCAAAAAATAAAAAATAAATAAATATTCAATCCATCTTGAGTTGATTTTTGTATATAGTGAAAGTTAAGGGTCCAGTTTCATTTTTCTGCATATAAATAGCCAGCTATCCCAGCACCATTTATTGAATAGGGAATACCTTTTCCCATTGCTTATTTGTGTCAGTTTTGTCAAAGATCAGATGGCTGCAGATGTGCAGCTTTATTTCTGGGTTTTCTGTTCCAGCCATTATCCTAAGTGAATTATGCAGGAACAGAAAACCAAATACTTCATGTTCTCACTATGTACTAGTACCATGTTGTTTTGGTTACTGTAGCCTTATAGGATAGCTTGAAGTCAGGTGATGTGATTGAAGTCAGGTGATGTGATGCCTCTCCCTTTTTTTTTTTTTTTTTTTTTTTTGGCTTAGGATTGCTTTGGCTAATGGGGCTGTTTTTCAGTTCCATATGAATTTTAGAATAGTTTTTTCTAATTGTGTGAAAAATAACATTGGAAGTTTGATAGGAATAGCATTGAATCTGTAGATTGCTTCGGGCAGTATGGCCATTTTAATGGTACTGATTCTTCCAACCTGTGAGCATGGAACGTTCTTCCATTTGCTTGTGTCATCTATGATTTCTTTCAGCAGGATTTTGTAGTTATCCCTGTAGAGATCTTTCATCTCCTTGGTTAGATATACTTCTAGGGGTGTGTGTGTGCGTGTGTCTGTGTGTGTGTGTTGTAAATGGGACTGCATTCTTGATTTGGCTCTCAGCTTGGACATTATTGGTGTATGGAATAACTAATTTGTATACATTGATTTTGTATCCTGAAACTTTACTGAAATCATTTACCAGTTCTAGGAGCCTCGTGGCAGAGTCTTTAAGGTTTTCTAGTTACTATCATGTCGACAGTGAAGAGTGACAGCTTGACTTCTTTTCCTATTTGGATGTCTTTTCTTTGTTTCTCTTGCCTGACTGCTGTGGCTGGGACTGCCAGTACTATGTTGAATAGAAGTGGTGAGAGTGGGCATCCTTGTCTTGTTGCTGTTCTTAAGGGGAATGTTTCCAGCTTTTGCCCATTCAGTATGATGTTGGCTGTGGGTTTGTCACAGACAGCTCTTATTATTTTGAGGTATGTTCCTTCAGTGACTAGTTTGTTGAGAGTTTTTGCCATGAAGGTATGTTGGATTTTATTGAAAGCTTTTTCTGCATCTACTGAGATGATCATATGGTTTTTGCTTTCAATTCTGCTGATGTGGTGAATCATATTTATTACTTTGCATATGTTAAACCACCTTGCATCCCAGGAATAAAGAAAATAGGCAGCTATTGTCAGGCAGTGGACAACAGACAGTGCAAGACTGCTATCCTTGAGAGAGGGGACATTCCCATGGTGAGCCCTACAACTGTCTGCCGGGGACAGTTCCCCATGGTGCTATGAGCTGAAGTCCAAACACAGCACAGGGGCCTCACTAGCATAGAAGGCAGAGATCAGAGATTGGGGCAGCTAAAGTGACTGGAATTTGCAGGACAGGTCACCAAAGAGGGGATTGCCAAGTGGAGAGGAGGGGCAGAAGTCTGTGGGGGAAGTCCTTGGCCGAGTAGTGCTTGCTCAGAGTGAGACCTCCTGAAGTTTGCCAGAGAACCACTGCTATGGGGTTGAAACAGAGATAGTAGAGGCAGAGACATGTTGCAGGACATTGGGGGCCAGCCCAGCCAGAGAGGAGAGATGTTGTTAATACTTTATTAACACCATGAACATCCTAAGGCCATAGCTTAGAAATAAGGGTCACGTCCCAGAGTGAGATCTACCCAACAAAGCTTAAAATCAATCCCTGTCAAGATGAGCAGGGGAGACAGAGTTTTGAAGTTGCATTTAGAAGGTCATAGGAACTGCGTGGACTTTCCACAGATCTACCTAATAGAGCATAAAACCAAGCCTTCTAAAGTTCAAGATGGTTAACAGGTCATTGAATTGCCTACTGGAACAAAAATCAACACAGTTCAGAGGAAAACAACAGAATCCAGAGTTTCTACAACGTGTCATCAATAATAGTCAAGATATAATAATGAAAAATCTCTGGACAGTATGGTGGTTTTGTAAAATGGCTGCCAATTCTTTGACACACTTCCCATCAAGAGGTAGAATCTCTGCCTTTTCCCCTTGATTCTCGGTGGGTGCTATAGTCTGAATGTGTCCCCCAAAATTCATGTGTCAGAAACTTAATCCGCAATGCAACAGTGTTGGGATGTGAGGCCTTTTGGAAGATGTTTAGGTCAGACCACTCAGGCCAATGGTGTGAGAAAGCCAAGCCACATGTGGGTAGTAAAGTCAGTGGGCCTAGACATCAAATCATCTTAACCCAGGCATCAGACATGCTAGTAAAGGAATCTCCATGTCATTCCACCAAGAACTGAGTCACCACTTTCTGGTCTTTCCAGCCATGGAACAGAGACAGACAATAGTTATTGTGCCCTCTCCAAATTTCCTGACCCACAGAATCTATAAGAACCCATAAAACGGTTGTTGTTTTAAACTATTAATCTTTGGAATGGTTGTTTTAGTTTTGTTTTCTTTAAAAAGCAAAAATCATCAGTGCAACCTGCAAAGTAGCAAGAAAATGTTGCTCAAGAAAAAAAAGCAGTCAATAAAAACAAACTCTGAACTAATCCAGATGTTGGATATAGCAGACAAAGCTTTACTACGTGCACAGTCATTCATGTCATCTGAAAAGAGAAACAGTTTTCTTTCTTTCTCTCCAGTCCTCTCCAGTGTCTGGCCCCTACCCCTTTCCTATCACCTATTCAATCAGAAATACTGTCAGCTTCCAGTATTTTATAGGTGCCATGGAAACTTAGGTGCTTGGGCATTGAGTATTTCTTTTTTGGCAAAGGGAATGATTTTCAGACTAACCAGGGAGAACAAACACTAGTTAGGGGAGGAACGAACATCAGGGAGTCCTAACTGCTCTCGGTGAGCCCAGGTTTCCTGATCTACATGAATGACAGTCCCAGATACCAATTTGCAAATGAGAGGACTGGACCATTGTTTGTGACCTTTGAGAGATTATGGACATTATCAAAGGTGTCTAGACTACAGAAATGGGCAAAAGATAACAAACGTCAAGAGGGGAGTATAGTTTATTTTGCAAAGACGATACCAGTCCAATATCAATCCTGTACAAGATTCTAGCAACAGTTTTTGAGGGCCTATTTGGAAAATTCTGACAAAAAAAACGATGCTCATCAGAACCTTAAATTGCTTACTAAATTCCCCGGTATATTTTTATTTTTTAAATTGCTGTTATAAATTGGCAAGTATGAGAATACAATAACCTCAACTCCAAGATTTTCAACAATTTTGCATATGTTTGTGGAGAAGATGGAAATACATGGGCTGGATAAGGGCAACTGGGTGGATTAATAAACTAATAATCGCCGGGCACGGTGACTCATGCCTGTAATCCCAGCACTCTGGGAGGCCGAGGCGGGCGGATCACCTGAGGTCGGGAGTTTGAGACCAGCCTGACCAACATGGAGAACCCTGTCTCTACTAAAAATACAAAATTAGCCTGGCATAGTGGCGCATGTCTGTAATCCCAGCTACTTTGGGGAGGCTAAAGCAGGAGAATTGCTTGAACCCGGGAGGCGGAGGTTGCTGTGAGATGAGATTATGCCATTGTACACCTAGGCAACAAGAGCGAAACTCCATCTCAAAAAAAAATTAAAATAAAATAACCTAATAATCATAGTTAGAGGATTCAAATTAATGAATTGATATCAATGTTGGCATAAGCCTTTAATGAAGTGTCTCAAGGCTCTCACCTTGGCCTTCTCATAGTCCATATTTTACATGGATTTCTTGGATGAAGACATAGAAGGCAGGATCATCAGTTTATAGAGGATACAAAGCCAGGTGAGCAAAAAGTATCTTGAGACAAACAAAATGGAACCACAACATGCTAACACTTATGTAATGCAGCAAAAGCAGTTCTAAGAAGGATGTTGCTATTGTCTAGATGTGTTCTCTCCAAAATTCAGGTGTTACCACTGTGATAGTGTTAAGAGGTGGGCCTTTAAGAGTTGATTAGGTCACGAGGGCTCCTCCCACCTCGATGGGATTACTACTCTTATAAAAGAGGTTTCATGTGCCATTTGGCTAGCTTGTCCTTCTGCCTTCCACCATGTGGGGATGCAGCAAGAAGGCCATCACTAGACACCAAATGCCAGTGCCTTGATCTTAAACTTCTCAGTTTCTAGAATTGTGAGAAAATAAATTTATGGTATTTATAAATGACCCAATCTCAGGTATTTGTTATACCAGCACAAAACAGACTAAGACAGGTATTTACGGCAATAAATGCCTAGATTAAAAAAGATTCAGCAGAACATTAAGTCTAATAAATAAATAATAACAAAAGAAAAAAGGAAGATCTCAAATAATGTAACTTTAAATCCCAAGGAACTAGAAAAAAAAAAGCAAACTAAGTTGATAGTCAGCAGAAGGAAGGAAATAATAAAAATTAAAGCAGAAATAATCGATGAATTTGAGACTAGAAAAACAATAGATGAGATAAACGAAACTAAGAGTTGGTTTTATGAAAGATAAAATTGACAAACGTAGACTAATGAAGAAAAACAGAGAAGACTCAAATGATTAAAATTATAAATGAAAGACATCACAATTGATATCACAGAAAGACAAAAGATCATGAGAGACTACTATAAACAATTGTGCACCCACAAATTGGGTAACCTAGAAGAAATGGATAAATTGCTAGAAACATAACCTATCAAGACTGCATCATGAAGAAAGAAAACCAGAATAGACAATTAGTGAGAAAGGAGATTGAATCAACAATCAAAAATCTCCTCAGGAAGAAAAGGCCAGGGTCAGATGGCTTCATCAGTAAATTCTACAAGACATTTAAAGAAGAAATAACATCTGTTTTTCTCAAACTCTTCCAAAAAATTGAAGGAGATGGAGCACTTCCAAACTCCTTTTACAAGAGCAGCATTACCCTCACACCAAAGCCAGATAAGAAAAATATAAGAAAAGAAAATTACAGGCCAATATCCCCAGTGATCACAGATGCAAACATTCTCAACAAAATACCAGCAAACTGAATTCAACAGCACATTAAAAGGATCATACACCACGATCAAGTGGGATTTATCCCTGGGATGCAAGAATGGTTCAACATGCAAAGCAATAAATGTGACACACCATATTAACATAATGAAGGATAAAAATTATATGATCATCTCAACAGACACAGAAAAAGCATTTGACAAAATTTAGCATCTTTTTATAAAAAAACTCTCAACAAATTAGATGTAGAAGAAATGTATCTCAACATAATAAAGACTGTATACAACAAGCCCACAGCTAACGTCATACTCAAAGGTGAAAACCTGAAAGCTTTCCCCCAAAAATCAGGAAAAAGACAAGAATGCCCACTCTCAGTGCTTCTATTCCAGAAAGTATTAGAAATCCTAGCCAGAGCAATTAGGCAAGAGAAGAAAATAAAATATTCAGATGAGAAAGGAACAAGTTAAATTGTCTTTGTTTGCATATGACATGATCTTATATATAGAAAACTCTAAAAACTACTCCCCCAAACCATTAGAACTAATAAATAAATTCAGTAGGCCAGACATGGTGGCTCACAACTGTAATCCCAGTACTTTGGAGGGCTAAGGCAGGAGGATTGCTTCAGGCTAGGAGTTTGAGACCTGCCTGGGCAACATAGTGAGACCCTCATTCTCAGGAGGCTAAAAATGGGAGGATCACTTGAGCCCAGGAAGTCAAGTCTGCAGTGAGCCGTGATTGTACCACTGCACTCCAGCCTGGGTGACAGAGTGACCCTGTCTCAAAAATAAATAAGTTAATGTATACAACAAAGTTGTAGGATACAAAATCAACATACAAAAATCAGTTGGATTTCAATACACTAACAATGTATTATCTAAAAAATAAATTAAGACACATTTATAATTGCATCAAAAAGCATAAAATACTTAGGAATAAATTTAACAAAGGAAGTAAAAGGTGTGTACACTGAAAAATATAGACATTGATGAAAGAAATTAAAGTAGACACAAATAAAAGGAAAGATATCCTGTGTTCATGGATTGGAAGAATTAATATTGTTCCAATGTCCATACTACACAAAATGTTTTACAGGTTCATTACAATCCCTATCAAAATTCCAGTGACATTTTTCACAGAAATAGAAAATACAATCGTAAAATTCAAATGGAACCACAAGGCTGGGCACAATAGCTTATGCCTGTAATCCCAGCACTTTGGGAGGCTGAGGTGGGCTGGTCACCTGAGGTCAGGAGTTCAAGACCAGCCTGGCCAACATGGTGAAACCCCGTCTCTACTAAAAATACAAAAATTAGCCAGGCGTTGTGGTGCACGCCTGTAGTCCCAGATACTCAGGAGGCTGAGGCAGGAGGATCACTTGAATCCAGGAGGCAGAGGTTGCAGTGATCTAAGATTATGCCATGAACTCCAGCCTAGGTGATAGAGCACGACTCCATCTCAAAAAAAAAAAAAAAAATGGAACCACAAATGAACTCAAATAGCCAAAGCAATCTGAGAAAGAAGAACAAAACTGGAGACATCACACTTCTTGATTTCAAATTATACTACAAAGCTATAGTAATCAAAACAGTATGGTACTGGCATCAATGCAGACATATAGACCAATAGTGGAACAGAACAGAGAGCCCAGAAATAACCCCACACATATATGGTCAACTAATTTTGACAAGGGTGTCAAGAATATGCAATAGGGAAAGGATAGTCTCTTCAGTCAATGGTATTGAGAATAAGTGGTAACCACATCCAAAGAATGAAATTGGACCTTTATCTTACAACCTATACAAAAGTTAACCCAAAATGTATTAAGATTTAAATGTAAGACCTGAAACTGAAACTACTAGAAGAAAACATAGGGAAAAAGCTTCTTAACATTGGTCTTGGTAATAATTTTCTTGATGTGACACCAGAAGCACACAAAAGCAAAAATAAACAGCTGGGACTGTATCAAACTAAAAAGCTTCCGCACAATAAAGGAAACAATCAACAGAGTGAAAAGACAACCCACAAAATGGGAGAAAATACTTGCAAACCATGTATCTGATAAAGAATTAATATCCAATGTTCGTCTTTAACACAGAAAGAACTCATATAACTCAATAGCAAAAACAAAAACAAAACCTGCTTTTCAAAAACTGGCAAAGGACACGAATAGACATTTTATTCAAAGAAAACCTACAAGTGGGTGACAAATACATAAAACGGTGCTCCACATTATTAATAATCGGAGAAATGCAAATCAAAATCACAATGAGATATCACCTTGCATCTGTTAAAGTGGTGTTATCATTTAAAAAAAAACACAAGAAATAACAAGTGTTGGTGAGTGTGTGGAGAAAAGAGAACCCTTGCACACTGTCAGTGGGAATGTAAATTGGTATAGCCATTATGGAAAACAGTACAAAAAAAAGTTCTATTAGAAACAGAGCTAACATATGACCCAGCAATCCCACTTCTAGGTATGTATCCAAACGAACTGAAAGCAGTATCTCCAAGAGATATCTGTACCCCCATGTTTATTGCAGCACTGTTCACAATAGCCAAGATATGGAAACAACCTAAGTGTTCACTGACAGGCCAATTAAGAAAATGTGATATAGATACACAGATAGATGTAGATACAGATAGATATGCAATGGAGTATTATACAGCCATAAAAAGGAGGAAATCCTGCCATTTGTGACAATATGGGTGAATCTGGAGAACATTAGGACATTATGCTACTTAAGTAAGCTAGACATCAACATAAAATATTATATGATTTTTCTTCATTTGGAATCTAAAAAGTCAAACTTAAGCAGAGAATAGAACGGTCATTGTCAGGGGCTGGGGGAGATGTTGCTCAAAGGGTCAAACTTTAAAGTTGGTCAAACTTTCAGTTATAAGATGTTAAGTTGGATCTAATGTACAGCATGGTGACTATAGTTAATAATACTGTATTGTTTACTTGAAATTTGCTAAAAGAGTAGACCTTAAGTACCCTCACCACACACACAACACACACAATGGTAACTGTGTGTGGTGATGGATATGTTCATTAATGTGATTGTGGTAATCATACACAATATATATGTACGTAAAATGGTCATGTCATATTTGTCAAATACATACAATTTTTTTTTTGAGGTGGAGTCTCACTCTGTTGCCCAGCTGGGGTACAGTGGCACCATCTCAGCTCACTGCAACCTGGGCCTCCCAGGTTCAAGCGATTCTCCTGCCTCAGCCTCCCGAGTAGCTGGGATTACAGGTGCCAGCCATTATGCTCAGCTATTTTTTTTTTTTTTTGTATTTTTAGTAGAGATGCGGGTTTCACTATGTTGGCCAGGCTGGTCTTGAACTCCTGACCTCGTGATTTGCCCGCCTCAGCCTCCCAAAGTGCTAGAATTACCGGCGTGAGCCACTGCTCCAGCCTACAATTTTTATTTGTCAGTTATACCTCAGTAATGCTGAAAAACGCAACAATAACAAAGCCAGGTGGGATAGAAAACAGGTTAGATGACAGAATGGAGATCTGCAAGCCTCACGATGTGATGAATCGATGAACTGAGAGGGGATGATCCCAGCTAACACTTAGGAGCCTTTAGCGCACTAGCCATTGTGCTAAGTGCTTTATGTGCTGTGTTTCACTTAATCCTCACCACACTTGTGGGAAGCAAGGTGAGGCAATTATTCCTATATTACGGCGGGGTGATCTGGTGCTTGAAGAGGGTAGGTGACTTGCCCAAAGTCACACAGCCAGCAGGTGTTTGACACTGCTGTCATAAGCCACACTCAACACTGTGCTGTACTAAGCAAGCTGAGTTGCCTGAGCTTCAATGGCATTTTAAAATTATTTAAAGGACTATCACTTGGGAGTAGGTGTAGGTTGCTCTGAGTGGTCCCAAGAGAAGGAACTGGGACAAATACTTGGAAGCTACAAAACAGATTGTAACTGAATATAAGGAAAACATTCTAATGAATAGTAAGAGTTGCCCAAAGATGGAAGGAGCTTTGGTGTGTGAAGGTGAAACTAGCTCAATTTCCCCCGAGAACTGATGTTTGCCATTTTTTTCCTATTAAAGCTAGAAATGGACCCTGCTTTTCTTAATGCTTAAAACTTACATTTGTCTTATCTGAATTCCTTTTTCAGGAAACCCTCCGACTTCCAGATAATATCGAGGAAGTAAAACTCACATCACCACATCCAGATAACGAGACACCAGACTCCTCTCCTTACTCCTCCATAATTCCTGTTTTCCTAACCAACCATCTGCTTCCCGTTGACCAATTGTTCTTCCTTACCCCTCCTTAATTCCTGTTTTCCTGTGGGTAGCTACACTCCTTCCCCACTATATACACCCCAATTTAAGTTGGTCGAAGATCTGAGACTTATCTCCACTTATCTTTATTTGGCAGCACCAAAGAAAGCCTTCTTCCCCCAAAAATACTTGATCCAGTGATTGGCTTTCTGTGCTGCAAGCAACAGGACCTAAACTGAACCCCTGGTGTTTCAGTAACAAAATATTGCATTCCCTACCTGTGAATTGGGGGTAATACTAGCACATGCTGCGTAATTGTTGTTTTAAGTAAATAAGTGACTGTGCAGAACTCAGAACGGTTCCTGGTAGTCGTAGCACAGTACTTTTTATAAGCGTTTCTTAAATTTAAAATGAAAATTAATGAACATGTTCAAGCAGACATGGGGCATTGCCTGAGTCAACGCAGAAGACAACTTCTCAGGATTTTCCCCAGTTACTACCACGTCCTTCCTCTAAGAACGGCCTCTCTTTCCATCCTCAATGAGGAGAGGGAAGGCCATGTTTGTAGCCCTGTTTGTGCCTCATGGTCTCTGCACACTAACCTCAGTTTAGGGTGGACACAGGACCAAGCTAGACTCATCAGAGTCTCTCTCTTGGTACTGATGGTCACTGTTCTGAGTTTCTGTTCATTGCTGCAGGTGAGGTGAGATAGACTCAGGCTCTGTGCATGGAGGGCAGAAAACTCCAGACTCTGAGAGAAGCATGAATCAGATGTGCAGAGAGAAGTGGAGATCTCAGACTACTTGGTCCCAGAAGAGAGAAGCAGCAACTGGGAGACCAGCTGCTTGACTGCTGAGGGTTCTGCCATGTCTGGTCCAGGCCCTCCCAAGGCCTGGCTGCATTTCCTCCCTGCCTGTGAGTGCATGTGTGTAAACACGGTAGCTATTTTTTCTTTAAACCAATCTAAAATGAGTTTCTGTTGTTTGCAATCCACAGAGATTTAACTAGGATGAACCTAGATCACTGAGCTGCAAGGCAAGAACTCCATGAGAGGAATTCCAGGTAGAAGGCCAAGTAGGTGCTCAGGGGAGAGATTTGAGACCAGAAAGTGTCAGGCAACTCCTGTCTTCACTCCCTCCCTCTCTCAAGGCTATGTATGCACTGTTCTCTATTTCCTCTTTTCACGGTTCCATTTGTCCCCCTCTGCTGAACAGCTTCTCTCTGCTATCATCCCCTTCCATGTCCCCTGGAGCTCACCTGGCTTCCCAGCTACACTTCCCTCCCTGACTCAATTTGTTGAGTCAGTTTGTTGAGTTGATTTGCTGAGTCAGTTTGTTTCTCAATTCTGTTTTTACATTCCTTGGAGAGAGTATCTGATTGGCTGTGCTTGGGCCAGGCATTCATTATTGATTCCATCCCTAGTGAACAGGGGGTGTGGCCACCTGGGGGTTGGGGCTGCCCCTTCCAGGGACGTGAGCAGAGCAGATTCCATGAAAGGGGTATGGAGAAGGAAGAATCTTAGTGCAACAGCCACTCAGCTGGGATGTTGTAGAGGAGATTCAGGCTTCAAGTGGTTTCATGACTTCTAATCTTAGGAAAGGTCCTTCATTTCTGTTGTAATAACAACAACAACTAGCATTTATTGAACTTCTATAATGTGTCAGATGCCCTTCTAAGCACTTCACATGCACTGACTTAACTTATTCGATGCCTGTAAAAGTACTTAGATGGGCAGTAGAGGGGAGGGGAGGGCAACAAAAAACGATGTCACTAGGGTGTTGCTGTAGATTGGATGTTTGTAACCCCCCAAAATTCCTATGTTGAAACCTAATGTGATGATGTTTGCAGTGGAGAATTTGGAAGATGATTAGGGCATGAAGGTGGAGCCCTCATGAATGGGATTAGTGTTCTTATAAAAAAGATCCCAGGCCAGGCACGGTGCCTCATGCCTGAAATCATAGCACTTTGGGAGGCTGAGGCAGCCAGATCATAAGGTCATGAGTTCGAGACCAGCCTGACCAACATGGTGAAACCCAGTCTCTACTAAAAATACAAAAATTAGCCAGGCGTGGTGGTGTGCGCCTGTAATCCCAGCCACTCAGGAGGCTGAGGCAGAAGAATCGTTTGAACCCAGGAGGCAGAGGTTGCAGTAAGCAGAGATTGTGCCTCTGAACTCCAGCCTGGGCAACAGAGCGAGACTTTGTCTCAAAAAAGAAAAGAAAAGAAAAGAAAAAAATCCCAGAGAGCTCCCTAACTCCTCCCACAAGGTGAGGACTCAGTGAGAAGACTGCTGTCTATGAACCAGGAAGTGGGCCCTCACCAGATATCAGCGTCTGCCAGCACCATGATCTTGAACTTCTCAGCCACTAGAATTGTGAGGAATAAATTTCTGTTGTTTAGAAGCCTCCCAGTCTGTGGTATTCTGTTACAGCAGCCCAGCTAAGACACAGGTTATCTCATTCCAACATTCAACAAACTGACCTACGAAGTCCAATCTCAATTTGATCCACTCTTACTCTTAATGATCTATCTTATAAAACAGAAACACATCTTCCTGACATTTTCATCCTCACATAAAAATTCTTCTATCCATTGATAAGGTTTTGATGTTTAGGCTTTTAAAACAAAGATAGTTTATTTCTGAAAAAAACTGAAAAGAGAACTAGAAAAAGAAGATAAATCACAATGCACAGTGCAATGAAACTTCGTTTTTAAAAAATAGCCTTATTAACATATAATTGACTATACCCACTTAAAATACACAATTTGATGAACTTTGATCAATGTATTCACCAGTGAAACCATCACCACAATCAAGGTAATGAACACACCTATCACCTGCAAAAGTTTTCATGTGCTTCTCTGTAATCCCTTCCCTTCCTACTCAAACTCATGCCTCTTGTCACAAGGTTTCTCCACTCTGGCTGTTGGGAACGAACTATTGCCTGGCCAATGCAAGCTCAGAAGTTTTTCTGCCAGCTTTTTTCTAGTGGTTGCCTCTCTGTCTTGGGAAGTTTCCTCACATGCATGTACCTGGTCGAACTTCTGCTGAAGACTCAGAGGAACCCTGCACAGATCTCCAGAGCTCCCTCCTTCCGTTGCACTCTCTCCTCTCTGGTACTCTAGCCACCCTGGCCTCCCTGAATTCTCAGCTCTATTTTCCAACTCAGAGTCTCTTTTGGTTCGCCTGTCTGCATTGCGGCTTGGAAACCCTCTCCAGGCAGTAAGCTGGAGCAAGCAGCATGTTCACTTCCTTTGTCTCCCTTCTCTTGGGCCCTGCATTGCCTGTTGCCCAATGTCTGAAAACCATTGTTCCATACATTTTTTTCACAGATTTTTCATTTCAGGTCACAGAGTAAGTCCAGTCCTTGTTGCTCCCTCCTGGCTGAAGCAGATGTCAACACTTATTTTTAAAAAATAGAAAATCATTTACAACAAGCTCATTGCAAAAAAAAAATTCAACAAAGTCTTATAAATTATAAAAGTCAGTATTTCCCCTTCAGTACTTGCAACTCACAGCCCAGAAATAACCACTGCTCACGGTAAACACAACATTAAATAATTTCCACTTCTCCCAAAAAGACCTATTGTAAAGTTGCAGATGCAGGAAAATCTTTGATGGTGCTGGAGGGATTTAGAAATGAATGCCCCTGAGAAATGCTGTCCTCTCCCCTGTCCACTTCCCTACCACGGAACATGTGAGCTAGGGCTCACTCTATACTGACTTCTCTTTCACGGTCCCAAAGGCAGGAGTGAGGTGGTCAAAGTCTCTGTGAAGGCACATAAAATCATGTATGTGAAAGTGTTTGGCAAACTTTGAAATCATGTACAATTCTTAGTTAATATTATATATTATCATGTTATTTTTAATATTAATAACTTATATAACAACTAGTCCTTGGAGGGTTTGATGATACCCTCAGTCAGCATTTTCATCACTAGTGAAAGTTTCTCCTCATAACAATCCTGCTCAAGCTCTCCAAGGTCTATGGCAAAAAATAAAAATAAAAAATAAAAAGCATTATGTTGCTTCAAGGTCATCTTACAATGACTGCAGTTGTGTGGGATGAGTATGCCATATGAGGAAGAATCTCCAGGCCGAAGTGGTACAGTCCAGACACAGCCTTTAGAGCTAAGAGGCCATTTCTTTTAGCCTCAAAAATCACTCAAATATACCCCTGCAAAAACTTTATAATTTCTCCCTTTGATGGAATGGCAAGTAACATTGAGCTTTTTTCTTTCTTTTCTATTGCTACCTTTTAATTTTACCTCCTACTCTGATCTGGATCTGCAAGCAATGGGTTCCTAAATGTCAACTCTGGAGATAATAAACACATAGCAGAGACTGATATTTTCCCACCAATTATTTATTCTTTCAATCCTAAAAAATACAGACACTTAACAGTGTTCTATTTACAATGTGCGCATCCAGGCAAAAATTTCCGGACAGGCTAAAAAGCAAGAAAATGCGATCCACAATCAGGAGAAAAATGAATCAACAGAAACTGATTCAGAAACAAACAAGATGCAGATGCTGCTCACAGAAGTCTAGAACGCCAAGGTGAAGCCCCCACTGGGTTGGACATTTTCTTATTCCTTATGTCATTTAAAGCACAACTCCCGAGATTTTACGTGATATAACCGCTAGAGGCCTCTCTGTCACAGGCTGTATTACTCCCAGGTCCCCATGTTGGCTGTGTTCAGATTTTTTGTTATATTTGTGGAAATCTGAGTGCATGTGACGACTGCTATTTATGGGTTTTGTTTTTATTTTTAAAGACAGGGTCTTGTTCTGTCCCCCAGGCTGGAGTACAGTGGTGTGATCACAGCTCATTGCAGTCTCGAACTCCTGGGTCCAAGCCATCCTCCCAACTCAGCCTCAGGACTTACAGGCGAGTACCACCTCACCAGGCTTGATTTTTGTGTTTTTAAACAGACTGAACATCTTTCAGTACTTCCCATCCCCACCCCTCCCGGCCCTGACTCCGCCACCCCAACCCCGCCCCACTTTGTACTACCCAAGCACATCTTGGGAACATGATGCGGAAAGTCAGGGACGCTGGAGGTGAAGGACTGATGACGCGCTACGGTGGTCCTAGGTGCGCGTGCCCCCTCTCTGGAGTAGTCCCGGGGGTCACGAGGATTTGAAGACAGGCCCTCCCTTCCCACTGCCCCCATTCCCCCGAATGCCAAGCCCCTGTGGGCAGGCGCCCTGGGCAGGTGTGGTTGGTTGCTAAAGCCTGCTGGGCCCAGACATGAACCCTGCCCTAGCTGGGCAGCGGCGCGGGAGCAAAGTTGTTCTGAGGCTGCCCTCCCCGGGGCCTGCTCTCCCAGCCCTGGAGGAGCCGGCGCGAGACGCGCGGGGGCGGGGCCGCGCGGGGGGGCGGGGCTCACCAAGGCTCCACCCCGCCGCGGCCACTGTTCGCACACACCTGGTGCTGATCAACGCCGAGGCCGACTCGTCGCCACCCAGCGCGCCGCAGGCCGGGGCGGAGAGGCGCAGGGCGCTGGGCAGTCTCCGGCGAGGGCAAGGAGCGGTGCCCGGCTGGGCCGGCTATGTCTCCCGCTACTGCGGTTCCCGCCGGCGCCCGCGACCTCGGGGGAGCAGCCGGGTTCGGGGGCGCCGCGCTGTGAGGCCGGGGCCTAGAGCCAGCCGCGGCCGCGCAGGAGGGGCCCAGGGCCCGCGCTCGCCCGCGTCCCCGCCTTCCTCCCGCGCTCAGCCCCGCCTCGGCTCGCTGCCCTTGGCTCTCGTCGCCATGGCCTCCGTCGCCCAGGAGAGCGCGGGCTCGCAGCGCCGGCTACCGCCGCGTCACGGGGCGCTGCGCGGGCTGCTACTGCTCTGCCTGTGGCTGCCAAGCGGCCGTGCGGCCTTGCCGCCCGCGGCGCCGCTGTCCGAACTGCACGCGCAGCTGTCGGGCGTGGAGCAGCTGCTGGAGGAGTTCCGCCGGCAACTGCAGCAGGAGCGGCCTCAGGAGGAGCTGGAGCTGGAGCTGCGCGCGGGCGGCGGCCCCCAGGAGGACTGCCCGGGCCCGGGCAGCGGCGGCTACAGCGCAATGCCTGACGCCATCATCCGCACCAAGGACTCCCTGGCGGCGGGTGCCAGCTTCCTGCGGGCGCCGGCGGCCGTGCGGGGCTGGCGGCAATGCGTGGCGGCCTGCTGCTCCGAGCCGCGCTGCTCCGTGGCCGTGGTGGAGCTGCCCCGGCGCCCCGCGCCCCCGGCAGCCGTGCTCGGCTGCTACCTCTTCAACTGCACGGCGCGCGGCCGCAACGTCTGCAAGTTCGCGCTGCACAGCGGCTACAGCAGCTACAGCCTCAGCCGCGCGCCGGACGGCGCCGCCCTGGCCACCGCGCGCGCCTCGCCCCGGCAGGGTAAGCGCGCGACTGAGGGGCCGGCCTTGGCCAGAGCGCTCGAGACCCGCAGCGCCCTCGCCAAGTTGGAAGCGAAACACACTCGTGCCAAGTTATTTTAGCCGCGGGCACCCAGAAGAGTTTCTGGCATGGGTTTCTCTGTCTTAGGGAAGAGGAAGCCCAGTAGTTTGGCAGAAGCGGGCGGGCGGGCGCGGTGACGTGCTACTGGAATTTTTCTAGGCTTGAAGAGAAAGGCTGATCTGAGAGGATTCGTGGAAATATGACTTAAAAGGGGAGAAATGCTGAGAGAAAAAAGTTTGTTTTAGTCTCATGGGTTGTATAAGGCATGGTTTGTGTTAAGTAATTGCAAGAGCAAAATCTAATTAGATGCCGGGCTTCTCGTAACACCCACTCCTTTTTCTTGACGTGGCTCTCCTGACTTTGCCTGCGGTGGCTTTCATCATACAAAAATGGGAGGAAAACTTCTGGTCCCTTTTATAAAAAGTGAAAAGAGGGGACTTGATTTTCGTTGAAAATAAGAAACTTTAAGGCCGGGCGTGGTGGCTTATGCCTGTAATCCCAGCACTTTGGGAGGCCGAGGAGGGCGGATCACCTGAGGTCAGGAGTTTGAGACCTGCCTGACCAATGTGATGAAACCCCATCTCTACTAAAAATACAAAAATTAGCCAGAGCTGGTGGCATGCGCCTGTAATCCCAGCTATTCGGGAGGCTGAGGCAGGAGAATCGCTTGAACCTAGGAGGCGGAGGTTGCAGTGAGCCGAGATCGCGCCATTGCACTCCAGCCTGGGCAACAAGAGCGAAACTCCATCTTAAAAAAAAAAAAAAAAAAAGGAAAAGAAAATAGGAAACTTTAAAGCGTGTTTCTTAAGGACTAAAAATGATGCTGATTCGACGGTTTGACTTTTTGTAGATGCTCTGAATGAGAGAATCAGGACACATACAGGAGGCACAAAAATGGTAGTGGTTGGACATGAATGTCACGGAGGGAATAAGAGACCTTGATTGTGCCCACGTGTGGTCAGGCTCCGTGTGTTTAATCATGCCCTGTTGCTGTTTGATTTATAATAGCACGAATGATATCAGCAAGATGGGGGCGGAGCTCAGCCCCTTTGGAAGTGTGGATTCTCCAAAACCTGTGGATCCATTGAAAGAGTCTGGAAATCTGTGTCCATCACATCCTGCCTCCCTCCCCACCTCTACCTTAGATGAGGCTCAGAATCCTTGTCAGGGGAGCAGATATCAAAGGGTCACCCTGCGACTGCTTGGCCTTGAGGCAAACACTGGGAAGGACTCCATAGCTTTCCTTCTGAAGTGGAGGCAGGCAGCACTTTCACTTGGACCCCCCATCAGCATCTCTGAGGCCCACCACGGCTGTTGCACACACATCCTCTCTGCCCAAACACAGACCAAAATATCCCAGCAGCAAAGAAACAAAGTCTTTTCTCTGTGTTCTCACTACTTACCTGGAAGAAACTGACATTGCCAAAGTGAGCTTTCCTATAAACCCAGAGGAAACCTTTGAAAAGGAAAATAAACAAGGAAAGAATATGCCATAGAACAAAAATTTTAAAGTTTAGATTACTTGGAGACGCCAGGCACGGTGGCTCATAACTAACCCCAGGACTTTGGGAGGCCAAGGCGGGTGAATCACTTGAGGCCAAGAGTTAGAGACCAGCCTGGCCAACATGACAAAACCCGTCTTTGCTAAAAAGAAATAAACACAAAAATTATCCTGGCATGGTGGCGCCTGTCTATGATCCCAGCTCCTCGGGCGGCTGAGGCAGGAGAATCGCTTGAACTGTGGTGGTGGAGGTCGCAGTGAGTACAGATTGCGCCACTGCACTCCAGCCTGGGCAACAGAGGGAGACACTGCCTCAGAAACAGAAACAAAAACTTCAGGTTACTATGAGAAGTTTCTGGGTTGTTTTTCCTCTTGCTTGCTTCGTTGCCCTTCCTTTCCCCAGGGGAGTTTGTCTAGGAATTGTTTTGTAGATGTTTGGGATGAAAATAGGCGAGCGCGGTGCTGGTCCTCATTTCTGGGAGAACACTGCTGTGCTCAGACTTCCTGAGGTCCCAGCAACATGGAAACGCGGAAGGTGCGGCTCAGGTTCCTGTAGAGGCTCATTTGTTCTCTCTGCGTGGAGGTCAAAAATTGTTCCCCAGTGTCCTGTGTGTCCCCTGCTCAGATGCTTGACAGGTTGAAGTTGTTTATGCTTCAGAGACTAAGTTTTTCCTTCTTGAATTGTTCGTTTTTGGGTTGTGAGCATGTGAAAATGGTTTAGAAGAGCCCTTGGAGAGGAGCTGTGACTGGATCCATCTGAGGTGGATGAAAGCACCATGAAGAAATGGTGATGGGATAGCACGAACTTACAGCAGGACACACCAGCCCTGTTTTCATGCCCACATTTGTTGACTTTGGTGTTAGGTGCTGTCCTCAGCCCTTTGCACGCATGAACTCACTCTGTCCTCACAACAACACAAAGGCCTAGGTTCTGTTATAATCCCTAGTGTATACAAGGCTTGGCAAGCGAAAGTAACCTGCCCAAGGGTCACACAGCATGGGGTTGTGGAGCCTGAACTCCTATGCTTTCTCCAGCAGCACCAGCAGAAGCTGAGAAAGGGATCACTAGGCTGGGACTGCGAGGGTAGAGGTAGGGAAGGCGGGAGGATGCAGGAATGAGTGAGAGATGCTGGAGAGAGGTGTCTTGTAGTGACTGAGCCTGCCTGCTAGAATCTGTAGAACAGAGGAGGGTGCTTGAAGTTCTGGGGCCTGGCGTCTCCACAAACAAGTCCCTGCTCATGCCCCCAGGACTTGGTGTCTGCTTGTCCTCCATCCCAGGCTGTCGTGAGGTTCAAGGGGGGACATGCTTTGTGAGTTAGGAAGGTGGCACGCATGTACATGATACTGTTCTAGGAACCTGGTTGGGTCATGCCCATGACTAGAGGGTTGGGGGACTGGATGTCATGATAAAAAGTGAAGAACAGCAGGAGGGAGGGAGGGAGGGAGGAGAGGTAGAAGCTAGAGCTGCTAGGATTCCAGAAGAGCAGGGAATATAACCTCCAAGGACTCAAGGACGATAACCTTTATGTGGTTTTTGCTGGATATTCAGCCTGAAGTCCAGTATCTCGGGGAAGAATTTGGGAAGTGGGCCCCTTGCCTTGTGTGTCAGGGAAAATCAAAGCTATTAGGCAGAGGTCTGCTCTCCTCTCTGCAGACCCACCTGCTGCCACCCCCAGCCTTTCCCTGTCTCCGCCAAGTGCAAACAAAAGAGTTGACCTTCCCATTCAAGGTTAATCCCTCTGCAGATGCTTGACCACTCTCCCTCTCCAAGGGCCTTACTTTCTCACATTCTTATCTTCTCCCTTTTGTGTTATAAACAATTATATTTAATAAATAATAGTAAGATAACTGGTTGGCAGTGTCAGGGAAAGTACATTTAGACCTACAACTCTGACCATACACAAATTCCAGATGGATTAAAGAATTAAATTTTTTTTAAATTAAGCCATAGATTACTCCATACATAAAAAAACTTAAAGGAAGTAAACTTCCATATCTGGAAGGAAGACAGGTTTCAAATCAATTAAAGAGGTCACAAAGAAAGGGGATAGATTATATGCACATTTATAAAAAACTTCATATCAAGAAACAAAAGGAATTGCAAACAAGAGTCTGGGAAAAATGTGACATTATTTATTCGTAGAGTTTATGGGCCAGGCACAGTGGCTCACACCTGTAATCCCAGCGCTTTGGGAGGCCAACGCAGGTGGATTGCTGGAGGCCAGGAGTTAGAAACCAGCCTGACAAACATGGTGAAACTCCATCTGTACTAAAAATAGAAAAATTAGCCTGGTTTGTTGACACACGCCTGTAGTCCTAGCTACTGGGGAGGCTGAGACATGAGAATAGCTTAAACCCTGGAGTCGGAGGTTACAGTAAGCTGAGATTGCAACACTGGACTCCAGCCTGGGCGACAGAGCAAGACTCGGTCAAAAAAAAAAAAAAAAAAATATATATATATATATATATGAGTCAGCAAGAAAAATAAAAATAAATGGGCAAAGGACATGAGCAGACACTTCCCAGAAGAGGAGGTATGGTGGATAAACATGGAAAAATGTTCGACCTTAGAATCAAAGAAATGTAAATAAGGCCAATTTTCATTTATTAACTTGGTAAAAATAGGTTTACTCATATTGGCATGCATATGGGAGACTTCATATACACTTCTGTGCTCACCGATGGTGTAAATTGCTACTTCCCTCTTGGAAACCAGTTGGGAAATATGTGGCAGAGACCATTAAAATATTCATTTCATACTTCTGGAATATTTTTTAGGAAAAGGAACCATGCTGAAGAGAACATATGAGCAAAAAAGTGTTTTACTCATATTGACATGCATATGGGAAACTTTATATACACTTCTAGCTCACTGATGGTGTAAATTGGTACTTCCCTCTTGGAAAGTAATTGGAAAATATGTGGCAGAAACCATTAAAATATTCATACTTCTGGAATATTTTTTAGGAAAATCATCTATGCTGAAGAGAACGTATGAGCAAAACATGTTTATTATGGCATTATTTATAATGGTGAAAAAGTAACAAAGTAAATGTCCAGTAGTACAGATTAGGAAACTCAAGTGGCAATTGTGAAGCTTAGGTTATCACATGGGCAGTGCTAAGATATATGAAGAAATATCAATAACAGGAATATACCAATAAGTTGATGGATTAAATTCAGGATGTAAAATTATATTTATTGTAACTGGAATACACCTAGGGTTGTCTCGAAGTATAGTGGAAGGATAGAACCTTTGAGTTAGAAATAACTGGGCTGCATTCCTGGGTATATATTCAAAGGATTATAAATCATGCTACTATAAAGACACATGCACATGTATGTTTATTGTGGCACTATTCACAATAGCAAAGACTTGGAACCAACCCAGATGTCCATTAATAATAGACTGGATTAAGAAAATGTGGCACATATACTCCATGGACTACTGTGCAGCCATAAAAAAAGGATGAGTTCATGTCCTTTGCAGGGACATGGGTGAAGCTGGAAACCATTCTCAGCAAACTATCACAAGGACAGAAAACCAAACACCGCATATTCTCACTCATAAGTGGGAGTTGAACAATGAGAACACACGGACACGGAGGAGAACATCACACACCAGGGCCTGTCGGGGTGGGGGTCAAGGGAAGGGATAGCATTAGGACAAATACCTAATGTAAATGACGAGTTGAAGGGGGCAGCAAACCAACATGGCACATGTATACCTATGTAACAAACCTGCACGTTGTGCACATGTACCTTAGAACTTTTAAGTATAATAATAAAAAAATAATTAAAAAGAAGTATCTGATCTGACAAATTTATCGCCTGTGTGATGTAACTTAGCCCTCTGAGCCTAGTTTCTGCATCAGTATTATGCAGATGATAATACCTACCTCAGAGATTCGTTGTGAAAGTTAAGTTCTTTCTATAACTTCACCTGGCCTGGTACCTGGTACAAGGAAATTGTAACCGCCCAATGGGTTCTCCTTGCCCACTGCCTACACAGAGCTGATTTATCAAGACAGGGGAATTGCAATAGAGAAAGAGTTTAATTCACAAGGAACTGGTTGTGCGGATAAAACACAAGACCAGATGAGCCAGTTTATCAACCTAGGTACTGCCAACGGGGTGCTGCCAACCATCGAGGACAGGGTCTATAAAATATCTCAAGCACTGAACTTAGGTTTTATAATAGTGATGCCTAAGCCATAATTTCTAATCTTGTGGCTTATTTGTTAGTTTTGCAAAGGCAGTCCAGTCCTCAGGCAAGAAAGGGGCTTATTTGGGGAAAGGGCTGTTACCATCTTTGTTTCTTTTTACTTTTTTTTTTTTTTTTGACACAGGGACTCACTTTGTTATGCAGGCAGGAGTGAAGTGGCACAGTCTTGGCTCACCGTAGCTTTGAATTCCTCAGCCCCCCAAGTAACTGGGACTATAGGCATGTGCCACACATCAGGCTACTTTCTGTATTTTTAGTAGAGATGGGGTTTCACCAGTTCCAGGCTGGTCTGGAACTCCTGGGCTCAAGCAGTCTGCCCACCTCAGCCTCCCAAAGTGCTGGGATTACAAGCATGAATCACCACACCCGGCCGCGTCTGTTTCAAAGTCAGACTGTAAACCAAGTTCCTCCCAAAATTAGTTCGGCCTATGCCCAGGAATGGACAAGGACAGCTTGGAGATTAGAAGCCACATGGAGTCAGGTCAGATCTATTTCACTGTTATAATTTTCTCAGCTATAATTTTTGCAAAGTCAGCTTCAAAATCCCTCAGTAAATGGCAACTATTATAATTATTATCAGCAGCACCATAGGGAGAAGGACTGGATCAGTACATACCAAAAATCACAATAATCATATTGGGGTTGCGGATAATTTTTTTTCCGAAGTGTTGCAGTTGGAAATCCATGATGGATTTTGACCGCATGTATCTGAGCCTCTTCCCCTAGTCTCGCCCCGCTTCCGTACCCTGACTTCAGGGTTCTTTCCAGTTGCTCTGCCTGAGCTATACCATTCGTTCCCACACAGCACAGAATGTCTTCCTTGTCATGGAGGCTCTGTGCACAGTAGCGTGTTGTGAATGAGGCTGGTTGATATTATATTACACTTCTCTGAATAAAATGCCACCTTGATTTGCTCATTCTCAATCGGCAGGAGTCTTATTTCACCTCTGTAGGTCTTACTAAGTGTGTTTAGTTTTCAAAAGAAACCAGTGTTTCCCTAGTACTTAACATGGGTTTATTACATTTTTTTGACAAAAATTCAAAATTACATATATTTTGTTCTTCATTAGCAAGTCACACATTTTAAAATGGCACACTCCCTTCCTCTTCGTGTTGTTATTTGTTTATTTTAAGGACTGTTTCTGGGTAGATAAGCTCTGGGTTATTTTAAAATACATTTTACAATGGAAATGGCCTGGACTTGAACTGAAAAGGAAACATTATCTGTGTTATTTCAGACACATCAGTGATCAGTTTAGAAGATAGGATGATTTCACTAAGCTTATAATTCATCTTAAAGCTCACCTAAATAAAAGTAAGTGACTAAAATGATCTTTTTCTTCCAGGAGAGGTAGGATTAATTAATTGTATAATGTGTGGAATATTTCAGCGCTTATCTGATTCTTCCATCTTAAATCTTTGAGAGTTTTTAAAAAATTATGTGTCCATTACTGTTTATATCACATAGACATATTTTCATTTGTCTACTTAAAAATGTATTTTTAACAAAGTTTAAATAGCTGCTAGCTGTAATGTATAACTGCTGAGTTATAAGATGCTTTCCAGAATTATAAAGTCATAAACCATTGTGTGGAAACAATGAACCTTTCAGAACCAAAGAAAAGGTCAACACTATGAAAGGACTATCAAAATAATGCAAGTGTCCTATCTCTCCTTACCTGGCAGAAGCAGCATAAAGACATCAGACACTCCGTGTTTGTTCAGAGGTGGAAAAAGGCAGAAGAACAAGTTTCTTCCTAGGCAGGGGATTGTTTACTTGGCTTATTTAAATCACAGTTACTAGTCCTCACTCTTAAGTGACTGGAAAAATGGGACACGTCTTCTCCATAGTTAGCAATAGCATGTAAAAAGCAATTGTGCTTAATTCCTCATAATGTGTTTTTTTTTTAAAAAAAAAAAAAAAGGCATCTTCCCTTTGTGGCTGGCAGCAGCATTCTCATTCAGAAAAGCCGCATCTCTAAGAGCCCCAGACCCCTCACATAAATCCCCTTGTTCCTGGATGATCAAGGTCCGGCTGCTTTTTCTCGCTTTCCAATGAGATGCAGACAGACTGGGAAAGAAGGGAGTTTATTTCTGCAACTGGTGACAGGAAGATGGTGGGAGTGACTCACCAGACCAACTCAAAGTTACAAGTTTTTCTTCAGTGTTTATTTACATTCAATTCAACCTCTATGCCTGTGTGAGAGTGTGCACCTACAAGCAGGAGTGTTTCATTCAGTCTAATCTTTAGGGTCTGGGGTCTGGAAAGTCTCTAGAGCCTTGGAAAATTTTCTTTAATCTTAAGTGGCCTTGATACAAGGTATATGTGTAAGAATGCCTTCGATCAGATGTTAGGGTCTGAGAAAGTCCAGGCGAGGTCTTAATGTATTTGTTTTCACATTCCAGGCCTTGTACTCAGGCACCAGTTTCTCCAGCTTGAATGTTTAACTTATGCATTCATCAGAATTACAGGAAAGGGTTAGTGGAAACTGGCTGCTCTGGTTGCTGATGACAACCTGTTGCCACACCCTGGTGCTGGGCATTGAGGGAACCACTAGAAGAGAAGAGAATCCTGGAGGGTTAGGTCCTAAACATCTGAAAGGCAATGGTAACTTGCTGAAGGGTTTTTCCTACTCGCAGAATGACCCCGTCAGATTAGCTTTCCAGAAGAGTCATTTCAGCTGCAATGTATCAAGAGTGGTCACCTTTTGTTCCGTAATGAGACACTGAGGTGGGATTGCAGTAAGCCCCGAAACTCAAGCACTGGGATGTGTGGCTTGGCCCTTTAGAAGTTTGTGTAGGTAGCAACATTGGCCCCTGTGGAGGAAAGTGATGGGCTCGAAAGCAGGAGGAGAGGCGGTGCCTTGCAGCACTGTGCAGGGTGAGCCAAAGAGGGGCAAGCCCAGCCAGCACTCGAACCAGAGCTTTGGCACTGAAGGAATGGGGAAGTGGATGCCAAAGAGGGCGTGGTACACAAACCTGTAGAGTTTTTCCAGTTCTGTTGCTGTTTCTTTAAAATATGTGTGCATTTGGGTGAATTTACTAAGAAGCTTACATCAATTAAAATTTTGGTAACTATGCTCTTAGAAATGTTTTCTTTGTACAGCTTATCCTTTCGGTCATCCCTGTAGCAGCTGTCAGTAAAGTATTAATATTGAAATAAACATAATTAACCTTATATTATTTAGTACCATTCTAGGTTAAAGGTAAATATAGGCTGGGTGCAGTGGCTCACACTTGTAATTCCAGCACTTTGGGAGGCTGAGGTGGGAGGATCACTTGAGGTCAGGAGTTCAAGACCAGCCTGGGCAACTCTCACTACAAAAGAGTGAAAATAGGTGGGAAGGTTAGCACACACCTGCAGTCCTAACTACTCGGGAGGCTAAGGCAGGAGGATCACTTGAGCCCAGGAGTTGGAGGCTACAGTGAGTGAGCTATGATCGTGCACCAGCCTGGGTGATAGAGACCCTGTCTCAAAAGCAAAACAAAACAAAAACAAAGGTAAATACAGATTTATTTTGCTGTTGTAGTCATCTGAGCCTGCTGGCTTCTATTATAAAAATTAGTTATTAGAAACGGTGAACGTCTTCAATTTTCCTAGATGAAAAATTGGATTCCAGAGAATTTACATGCAGGCTTTATTTTGTATGGCTCTAAAAATTTGCCTTAACTTTTCAAACTTAATATATTTCCCATTCATTGAATACTTTATATCACTCCTATTTTTAAAACTTGAGGATAAGAAAAAAAGAAAATCCATATTAGAGGTGAATTTGGTGTTTTTCAGGTTTGTTTTAATAATCTTTTCAAGGCCAGGCGCAGTGGCTCACGCTGCTAATCCCAGCACTTTGAGAGGCCGAGGCAGATGGATCACCTGAGGCCAGGAGTTCGAGACCAGCCTGGCCAACATGGCAAAACCCTGTGTCTACTAAAAATACAAAAAACAATTAGCAGGATGTGGTGGCACACACATGTAATCCCAGCTACTCGGGCGGTTGAGGCAGAAGAACCGCTTGAACCCGGGAGGGAGAGGCTGCAGTGAGCCGAGGCTGCACCATTGCACTCCAGCCTGGGTGACAAGAGCAAAACTCCATCTCAAAATAATAATAATCTTTTAAAATAAATTTATTTAACAGTATTTTGAACTTAAGTGATTTTAAAATTAAGTGAAAAATCCACTCTAGAAAATAAAACTGCTTCTCCATATTTACACATTGGTGGGACCTCGTATGCTGCCTTGTACCCAAAATCGCTACCAGCCAACACTCCACACAGCCTCTTCTGCGCATATTATAGCTAAATTCCACGATCATAAAATAAATAGAAAAATAATTTCCATTTAATATGGATTCTCTTAGCAGTTATTTGCCGAATCATATCTATTCAGCAAACAAGATACCTCTCCATAAATTAGAAAAAATAAGAAATCATCTTTTATGAATTATTTATTTTCTTTCTCAGAAAAGGATGCGCCTCCACTTAGCAAGGCTGGGCAGGATGTGGTTCTGCATCTGCCCACAGACGGGGTGGTTCTAGACGGCCGCGAGAGCACAGATGACCACGCCATCGTCCAGTATGAGTGGGCACTGCTGCAGGGGGACCCGTCAGTGGACATGAAGGTAACGCATGTTGTCACTGCTAACAAAAACGAGTATTTCAGTGAAGTGGTCTTTTGTAATGTCCTGCCACTTCATGCTCCCTAAATGTCTGTACGCTAGCAGAAGGCATAAAATGGAGACTGTATAAAACTGATTATGCCAAAATGGTTTATTATCTCAATGTGCTTTTCTGCTGAGAGTGAGCAGCAATCTCGATCATTTGTCTTGGAGCCTACCCTCCTTCTAGCTGCTGTTTGTGACTTGTCTAGAGGACAAAGACACTTCAAGGAAGAAGGCTCATGCTTTGTTTTAATGACTCAGATTACTTTTTTAAAGTTCTATTTCTTTTTCTGAGCTCAAGATCCAGGTAGAAAATTTGAAACTACAAAGGAGTCTAAAGAGGACAATAACAATAGGATGAACTTATCCTTCACATGAGCCGGAAAGTAGACAGCTTACCTGGCAGCTAGGTCTGCTGGGGCACACCGAGCCTGTGAGGGAGGGAGGCCAGCATGCGGTGCTCCTGCCCGGGGCTCCTGCCCGGGGCTCCTGGGATAGCCGCCGATGGAAATCAGCCATGTGGCTGGTGGCTGCCTATGCTCAGGAAGTCTTGGGTGGTGAGACAAGTGGCTTTTTATTCACCCTCTCAGGGTGGATTCCTGGCTTAGGCAAATAAGCACTTCCTGGCTTAGGCAGATAAACTGCATCCAAACCACTTCAGTTAGAGGAAGTGGAGAAAGAGGGTGAGGTAAGGAGGCACTGATTTGTACTCTACTGGAACCAAAACAAAAACAAATCTGGAAGTCCCTCATCACTGGTTTAAGTAAGAGTGATTTTACTCCCTGATTATATTGCATTAGAATTGGACTCACCCTCGTCCAGTATGGTTTGCCTTTGTCCCCACCCAAAAATCTCATCTTGAATTGTAATCCCCATAATCTCCACGTGTCAAGGGAGAGACCAGGTGGAGGTTACTGAATTATGGAGGCAGTCACCCCCATGCTATTCTCATGATAGTGAGTGAGTTCTCGCAAGATCTGCTGGTTTTATAAGTATTTGGTTGTTTCTCCTGCCACCTTGTGAAGAAGGTGCCTTGCTTCCCCTTTGCCTTCTGCGGTGATTATACTAGTAAGTTTCCTGAGGCCTCCCCAGCCATGTGGAACTATGAGTCAATTAAACCTCTTTCCTTTGTAAATTACCCAGTTTCGGGCAGTTCTTTGTAGCAGTGTGAGAATGGACTAATACACCCAGCATCCTTCCCAGCCTCTCCTCCAAACAAGAGTGCCTTCCACAACACCCCTTCCAAGGCTCATCTGCCATCTGTCTGACTTTTCCAAGGGCAGAAGCTCACTACTTCACATCATGTCCATGACATTACTCATCACTGTGTTGGGCAAGCAGGCTACGCCTCCCCTTACTTCTGTGCATTGGTGTTGGGTCTTCCCTTTGGAAAAACACTGAACTCATCTTTTTATCCTGTGTAAAAGCTTTGGAAGTCTTTGAAAAAAAGAAAGAAAGAAAGAAAGAACATCACCAATTGGTATGCTGTTCTCAGAACTCAGCACCCCACAGTTTGTCAGATGTTCCTCATATGAATTGATTTTTCAGGCCCGCCACTATCCTGCCTTGTCTGGATTTTCTCATATTAATCCATACCCTTCTTAACATCTAATACCCCTAATTGAACCCCATATTTAAGCTTTGGTTTTCTGACTCATTCATTACCTACTGTGATCCAGATATTGCCTCTCCTTCTATTAATGAGCTTCGTTACATGAACTGTGTCAGTAGCTGCATCACACAGTGGGTTCGTGCTGCATTTTTCTTGCCTTCAAGAGGAAACTCTGAACCAGTTCCCAATCGTGTATAACAGTGACGGCAGGTAGACCTCAAGTTATGAAGCCATCATCTAAATGACAGGGCCTGTACTAGGGGAAACATCTGTTACCAATTTGTGACTGTCTTAGAATGATATACATTCATGAATGTCACCCAAAGTTAACACTCATCCTGCTGAGACTTCATCATAATCAAAGCCCCCACGGATTGAGCACCCACTGAGTGCCAGGCAGCTTAGAGAGATCTGTAATCCACTGGACACCCTCACTTGTAGGCACATCCCCATTTGGTGGATGAAGACTGTCAGGAAACATTGTGGAAGACTTTGAGGTGGGCAAAAGATTACTAAGTACCTTTCAATGGAATGCTGGGTTGGTTAGTGGATCCTTCAGGGTTAACATCTATAAGTTGCAGAAAACTGATAGTAACCAAATGATTCTTGTCCATAGAAATGCAAAAGAAAATTAGGTATATAGGGGTAATTGACTTTCACCCTAGAGAAAATAAGATTTCAAACATGACATTTTAGTACATGTAGATACTAACCGATCTATTAGTAGATTCATTTCAGTACTGATTAGCAAACCCATTTCAGTTTTGCATCTCCTAGCAACTTCTTTTTGGCATTCATGATTGCCTGTATATGTGTAGTCTTCAGATTCTTTAAATCAGTTGAACACCTTATTGGTTCCCTCTTTAACTAATGTCTTTGAAAAATATTCATATTATATTTGTGTGACAGTCATAGCTTTACTATTTTGAGAATTTTCCTTTAACAGTAATTAACCCTCAGGAGCTATGCCTCTGATCCCTTTAACTTGAGCAGCCTTATTTCACACCCCAACATTTCTGCCAGGAGAATTGGGCCTCTCAAATCAAATTCCTTTTTCTCTGAGAATGGCTTCCTGCTGACTGGAACACTGATGCACTCCGCCCTCAAGCTGCAAAATGGGGCTAAGTTTGAAGGTTGTTGAGAATAGAGGGAGGGCAGTCACACAGCAAAATAGTTAAGTTAAAACCTGTTATTGGATGCCCTTGTTCCTAAGTCCCTTGACTGTCCCTAGCACCCAAGAGTGTCCATTGATTGGGCTTTCCCCTGAGCGCCCATCTCCTCCTCTTCTTGAGCCATTCATCCCTCCTCTCATCTCCCCTGCTCTCCACCATCTGCACGGGCTCCTCACCCTTGCTGTCTGTTCTCAGGCAGAGTAGTGATCTCTCCCTTTGCCTCGTGATACTTTAAGATCAGCTTCTAGGGCCCATCTTTTCATGTCCAAGTGACCCAGACAGGTATTCAACCTGCAAGGAATTATGCTGTCAGATTAGTTATGAAACAATTAATAGTTAATTTTTAAGCATCTGGTATGTGTCCAGTACTGTACTAGGCACTAAGCATACAGGAAAGCTCATGTTCCTGACTTGTCTCATTCATTCGTTTATTCATTCATTCATTCATTGACAGGGTCTCTGTTGCCCAGGCTGGAGTGCAGTGAGTGGCACAATCATAGCTCACTGCAGCCTCAAGCAGTCCTCCCACCTCAGCCTACTGAGTAGCTGGGACTATAGTCATGGCTAATTTTTTTTTTAACTTTTTGTAGAGATGAGGTCTCACTATGCTGCCCAGGCTGATCTCAAACTCCTGGGCTCAAGCAATCCTCCCTCCTTGGCCTCCCAAAGTGTTGAAATTACAGGCATGAGCCACAGCACCTGATCTGTCTTTTTCATTTGTGAAGACAGAATGGATGATTGGTCAGAACCAAGAGGCTATCCACTGGATTTAAAGTTATATATTTTATGCCCTTGAACAGGATATTTTACATCCACTTAACTGAATATTTATAATACATCAAAATGCAAGATGACACATATTTTTCAGGCAACCCATTAAATGATGCTGACTTTCATGGTTATTAAACATAATACATTTAAATCTGAAGTCAGAATGTAAAATATGACATTTAGGAACATGATACAAAGTAGGACATTCAGGAGATTTGGAATTCATAAATCAGTATATTGATTTACATTCGTCAGTTGCTTAAAATTTTCTAAATGATTATCTTAGTCCATTTGGTCTGCTATAATAAAACACCATGACTGGGTGGCTTCTAAAGAGCAGAAATGAATTTCTTTCAGTTCTGGATGCTGGGAAGTCCAAAATCAAGGTACAATCAGCTTTGGCGTCTAGTGAGGACCCATTTCTTATTTTATAACCAGCCATCTTCTCACTGTGTCCTCATATGGCAACAGAGGCAAGGCAGCCCTCTGGGGCCTCTTTTATTTTATATTTAAACATATTTTAACTTTTAGGTTAAGGGGTACATGTGCAGGTTTGTTATATAGATAAACTTATGACTTAGGGGCTTGGTGTACAGATTATATCCTCACCTGGGTATTAAGCATATTACCCAGCAGTTTTGTTTTTTTTCTAAACCTCTCCCTCCTTCCATCCTCCACCCTCAAGTAGGTCCCAGCGTTGTGCTGTTCCCCTTTCTCTGTCCATGTGTTCTCATTTAGCTCCCACTTATAAGTGAGAACATGTGGTATTTGGTTTTCTGTTCTTGCATTAGTTTGCTGAGAATAAGGACCTCCAGCTGCATCCATGTTCCTACAAAGGACATGATCTTGTTGTTTTGTATGGCTGCATAGTATTCCATGGTGTATATGTACCACATATTCTTCATCCAGTCTACCGTTGATGGGCATTTAGGTTGATTCCATATCTTTGCTATTGTGAATAGCGCTGCAGTGAACGTATGCATGCATGTGTCTTTATAGTAGAACAGTTTGTATTCTTTGGGTATATACCTAGTAATGGGATTGCTGGGTCAAATGATAGTTCTGTTTTTAGTTATTTGAGGAATTGTCACACCACTTTCCACAGTACACCACTTTTCACAATGGGTGAACTAATTTGCACTCCCACCAGCAGTGTGTAAGTGTTCCCTTTGCTCCACAACCTCACCAGCATCTGGTGGGGTTTTTTTTGTTTTGTTTTGTTTTTTACTTTTTAATAACATGGGACCTCTTTTATAAGGGCACTAACCTCATTCATGAGCACGTATCTCCAAACGCCATCACACTGGGCGTTAGGTTTGAACATGTGACCTTGGGAGGGCACTCAGCCATTCAGTCTACAGCAGTGACTTCAGAAAACCACACGTAAGGAAGCTTGCTAAAGGATGGGCATTATTTAAACCAACAACTTCATTATTAAATTAAAACTAACTGCATCCTGGCCTACCTGCTGTACATAATTTTTTTAAATAGACAGGTATTACTAAGTCTTTGTAACCAAGTATATACAATGTGTGTGTGTGTGTGTGTGTGTGTGTGTGTGTGTGTGTGTGTGTGTGTGTGTGTAATTTAGTTTAGACATATATGAGAAGCCCAAACGTGTATTGCTAGCCACTGAATTCCTAGCTAGGAAGATGGGGTTGAGTCAGACAACAGGCTGAGTCATTCATTGATTTGGCCAGAAGCCAACCACCAAAGGCTGTTACTGCTGAACAGGGATCTTGAGCAGAGATTGGGAGCTCCTGGTTTATGATCATGTCTTTTTCCAAGTTACAAATTGGATATGTTGTGTGTACATATATAGATAGTTTTTTATCCTGATACTTGGAACATGTCTGTGAAACACTGTAAACCCTCTCTCCAGTGTCATCCTAATGGGAGAAAATGTATAGAAGGGTCACCTGGGCCCTTAAAGGGAAAGCATCCGTGTGACAGTTCTACATCTTCTAAATATCTGAATGCAGGAGAGACAGCTCTCGTTAGCTAAAAGAGCTAGGGAAGGGACATTCAATCTGGATAGATCTAAACTGGAGTGTGCTCAGGAGGCTGAGGTGATATCATCATCTGCATCTGGACCCAGTGTTGCCTGTATCAGAGAGGCAGTGCCTGGGCAGGCAGGGGGGAAGCATGCCAAGGCCAGGTGTGAGGATGGCCCCTGACCCAGGGATGCTCTGTCCTTTCAGCCCCAGTGTTGACAAGAGGCTTGCTAGTGAACCGCAGGCCTGCAGAGTTTAGTCTGACATTGGCACTCTGAGCTTTGACACCCAGAAGCTCAGTGACTCACTGACTTTTGCAGGGAGCTCTGGCACAGGGTGACGCCAGCAGCCTCATGGATGGTACACCCAGCTCCCTGGCCTCAGTGCTTCCTTGGTTTATTCTATTCTATTCTATTCTATTCTATTCTATTCTATTCTATTCTATTCTATTCTATTCTATTATTTTATTTTATTTTATATTGAGATAGGATCTCGCTCTGTCACCCAGGCTAGAGTGCAGTGGTGCAATCTTGGCTCACTGCAACCTCTGCCTCCTGGGTTCAAGAGTTTCTCATGCCTCAGCCTCCCAAGTAGCTGGGACTACAGGCATGCACCACCTGGCTAATTTTTGTATTTTTAGTAAAGATGGGGTTTCACCATTGTTGGCCAGGCTGGTCTCAAACTCCTGGCCTCAACTGATCCACCCACCTCAGCCTCCCAAAGTGGTGAGATTACAGGCGTGAGCCACTGTGCCCGGCCCCTTGGTGTTTTTTAAAATCTCTGTTAACTTTGTCTCCACTCCGATGGCCACTCTCAGAATCTGGTCATGACTCAGCATCCCCGTCACACCAACCTTCTAAATCTCTGCTCCGAATCAATCCTGCAGCCCACGCCTCCACTCACATACCATGGCAGGGGGCCAGCACCTGCTGCTCCCTGGCAGTCTCAGGGCTTCTTGTCTGCTTTCAGGCGGAGCAGCTGGGACAGAGCAGCTTTCTTGTGTCACCTTACTTGACTGAAGGCTGCAGGGTCTCACCTAGACATACTCCAGCATGCCTGTCATTTGCAGCCATGCTCCCTTGTGTTCCTAAGTCCCAAGAGACAGTAAATGAGGGCATAAGCTATTGCACTGCTGCCCACCAGCCTGGTTCCGAGCTAGGATTAAAGAGAGCCAGAGCCTGTGACACACCCGCCCACCTCTCCACTTATGCAGCTCTGAGCTTCACCACCTGCACCTTGCCCTGTCTTTGTCTTGCCTTGGTTCAGCCTGGTGCCCATGGGAAGAGGCCATAACTGACCTTCCTCTCACTGCGGATGAAGGTGGGAGGAAAAGTTTCCAGAAAAAAGGAGACAGCAGACCCTGGTCTTCCCAGAGCTCAGGCCTCCTGGCCACTGCAGTGACCCAGGCAAGAGACAGGCTGGGGTCAGAGCAAGGTGGTACCCGCGGACAGGGTGATACATGGTCAAATTCTGGATGTGTTTTTAAGGCAGACCCCATGGAAATTCCTGATGGATTGGAGGTGAGATAGAAGGATCATTAAATGCAATCTTGAGGTCTCAAACCAGAGTTCTAGTCTTGTTTTCACTCTTATTTATCTGATTCTCTGATCTTATCTGACCAGATAAGACCTGGTCTTATCCGACAGATAAGACCTGAGCCCCAAGTCTTATCTGATCAGATTAAGACATTATCTGGTCTTGTCCTGTCTCAGACTGACTTCCACTTTTATTTCAGTGGGTTCTGATTCCTAGCATCAGCAGCCCACTCCAGGCTCTTTGGAAGTTCTCTTATTGTCATTAGAGCTCTCTCTGCTGCCCTTAGTATTTTAGCACTCACGTAAATGACCCGTTTGGCATTCTGTCAGTGTAGTTGGGCCTGAAGGTAATGTAACAGCGTGGCAGTGAGCACTGCTTAACATCTCTTTGAAATAAACAACAAAAGGCAGGTGGCCGTCATTGCCAGCCCTCCAAAGTAAGGCTTTTGCAGGGAAAGTGGTGGACAGCTTGTAGGCCAGTGTAGACTGTTTTACAACTCGAGGTCTCAATTCTGTCACTGTCGCAGTGAATGAAAATCACTTCACGGGGATTCGTTTCTTTGTCTGTAAAGAGTCATTGTGTAATGTTCAGTTAGAGATAAGAATCAACCAGTGGAGATGGTGGATATATTTAAGCGCTTACTATGGGCCAGGCCCAGCTCTTTTACATGAGTTACCTTATTTGATCCTCATCAGGTAGGTGCTATTATTACTTCCATTTTACAAATGAAAACAATGAGGTTTGGAGACGTTAAGTGACTTGTACATCATCAGCCAGCTGGTACGGGGTAGGGCTGGCATTCAAACCCATGTCTATTGGACACCGGGTTCTGTGCTCTTAACCACGCACCAGTGTTTCTTTCAGTGTGATCATGGGTCACCTGGGTGGGCTTGGTAAGTGTAGAATCCTGGGTCCTGCTCTCCTGACCAACCCACTGACTCTGACTCTCTGAGGCTGGGACCTGGAAATCCATACCTTAGCTAAAGTGGCATAACATATGACAACCACGGTAATCTCATTATATCTAAATGATTGTAAAGCATCCTATGGGTGTGTATATGTAATGTTGACAAATCCTCTAAGCCTAAGTCAGTCCAAATTCTAGGATTTCCTAATTAAAAACAAGCAGATGGTTCTTATAATAGTACAATCCCATCCTCTGTAATTTCCAAAGTCCATTATTAACGCATCAATGTAATAGAATGTCAAATGGTCAGCATTCTGCAGAGGACAATATCCAGACTAGTTCATTTAAGCAGAAAGGAATTTTTTTAAATAGAATATTAAATAGGTAATAGAATCATTAGGAGAGCTGGAAAAACAGTCTTCAGGCTGACTGTCCAGCAGTGACTCCCAAAATCCTACCACAGAGCTGAGCTTCAGAAGCTGTTGTTCCAGCATGCTCAGCAAGCTGCCTGTGAATGTTGGGAGAGCAGAGGGCAAGCATGGAGCCCTGGGTTAGGGAGTGATCAGAACTGAAGCCCAGGAGGGCTTCTGCAATGAATGACTGGGGGAACTTGGATAGAAAAGGAGGCCAAGGAAGCAGGGGTTTTCAAACAGCCAAAGTGGCCAGCATGGCCAGATACAGTAAGAGGGCCAGTTAAACATGGATTTTTTTTTTTTTTTTTGAGATGGAGTCTTGCTCTGTCAGCAGATTGGAATGCAGTGGGTGATCTTGGCACACTACAACCTCTGTCTCCCAGTTTTAAGCGATTCTCCTGCCTCAGCCTCCCGAGTACCTGGGACTACAGGCGCACGCCACCATGCCCAGCTGATTTTTGTATTTTTAGTAGAGATGGGGTCTCACCATGTTGGCCAAGATGGTCTCCATCTCCTGACCTCATCATCCGCCCGCCTTGGCCTCCCAAAGTGCTGGGATTACAGGCATGAGCCACCGTGCCCAACCAAGCATGGATTTTTTAAAAATAGTATTGTTGGTCTTGACACCTAGGAGACTTTTGCTAGGTCAGTTAGTGAGTTTTGCCAGCACTGTTTCAGGGGGATGGTGGGGAAAGCAGCTACATTGGGTGGGCGAAGACTAAATGGGAAGTGAGCAAACAGAAACAGCAAGCACGGCACAGCCAGGCCTTTCAGGGAGCCAAGTGGAGATGGGAAGGAAGCGGGGCTGTGGCTGGTGAGCCCTTAGAGCTCAGGGAATTTTTTTTATTTGTTGTTTTGTTTGTTTCTTAGGATGAGAGAAACTTGAGCATAGTAATAGCAGAGCCATTTGAAAGAGAAATGAGTCGATGTGTCAGTGTTCTAAAGGTCCTAGAAAGAAAGGGGGCAAGGACTAGAAGGAGGGGTTGGCCTGGAACACAGGAGGGACAGCTTCTCCCTGCTGGCTGTCAGAAGGAAGTGACAGTGGGTACAGGTAGGGTACCAGGAGGAGGTGGGTGGTGGAGCCCTAGTCATGGTCCTGATTTTCTCCCTGAAGCTGATGAGTCCCCCTGCTGAGACGGCAGGGCCTGGATCCTGAGCGTGAGGCTGGGGATGAGGTGCAGGTTTGGAGCAGCAACTGCTGCAGACAAGTGAAGGGATTGTCAGTCAAGGCCTTGGCCACCTAAATAAACTAGAACTTATGAGTTCAAGGTGGGCCAGCTGCCAACAGTGTGTGATGTAGTTCAGCAGCCTCGGGCCGGAGTGCAGAGGCAGGTCCTGGGGCTGCTCTGAGGACATGGACTTTCGGTTGAGGATGGTGTTGGGCTCGGAGCTCAAGTCTGCTGCTCGACGTGATGTGTCCCATCTGTGTGGCAGGTGCCTCAATCAGGAACCCTGAAGCTGTCCCACCTACAGGAGGGAACCTACACCTTCCAGCTGACCGTGACGGACACTGCCGGGCAGAGAAGCTCTGACAACGTGTCAGTGACAGTGCTTCGCGCAGCCTACTCCACAGGAGGTGAGAAGAAAGTCCTTCCCTCGCTTCCCACTGCTTGTGGAAGGCAATGTCGGGTTGGCGCTTTGTCCTCTGGCTCTGCGCTCCATGGGCTCTTCCATTTTATTTTTGGTTATTGCTGAATGAGAGAGTCTTTGCTAAAAACACAATAACAAAAGCAGGCTCTCTTCTGTTTTGGGCTTAGCCGATGCTACTGGGTTGGGGTGGAGGAAGCACTCCAGGGGATGAGAAGAGATGCTCCCGCTTCTCTTGACTCGACTTCATCAAAGACAATTGCTTGGCTATTCTGGGAGAGGACTTTGTTTACAGATGGATGGTCCATTTGCTGCATCTGTTCCAAGAGGGAAGCTAAGGAGTTTAGTGAAACCAGTTGAACTCGTGGAAGCAGAGAGTGGAATGGCGGTTACTGGAGGCTGTGCGGGGGACGGACTGGGAAAGGAGAGACGCTGGTCAAAGGGTACAAAGTGTCACTGAGACCGGAGGAACAGGTTCTGGTGATCTGTTGCACAGCATGGTGACTATAGTTAATGATAATGTATTGTCTGTTTCAAAATTGCTAAAACAGTAGGTTTTAAATGTTGTCATCACAAAAAGATTACAAGTAGGGGAGATGATAGATATGTCAGTTAGCTTGATGTAATCATTCCACAATGCAAACATATATCAAAACATCACATTGTGCCTCATAAATATATACTCTCCTCTTTTGTCAATTAAAAATACATATTAAAAAAACAAGGAAAAGGCATACCACAGGATTGAAGAAAGACTTGGCTCTTGGGTGTAATCAATTGCTGATATAATAAGTCACTTCAAAAATTTTAGAAAGAGAAAAAGAGTGCAGCTAAGGAGTACGGTTAAAATTAATTGAAATACGCAAAGGACCCATCAATTTGAAAGTGCTACCTACACATTTTCATAGACACTTTACGCAGATGCAGTTATATTAATAATATAACTTTAAATACATATGATGGTTCTCACATTCTGTTGTACAATGTAACAATGTAAAACTTATTTCATTCATCTATGTTTCTTACTTTTCTAAACATCTACATTTTTTTTTTGAGAGGGAGTTTTGCTCTTGTTGCCTAGGCTGGAGTGGGAGTGCAGTGGTGCAGTCTCGGCTCACTGCAGCCTCTGCCTCCTGGGTTCAAGTGATTCTCCTGCCTCAGCCTCCCAAGTAGCTGGGACTACAGGTGTGCACCACCACGCCCTGCTAATTTTGTATTTTTAGTAGAGACAGGGTTTCACCATGTTGGCCAACCTGGTCTCGAATTCCTGACCTCAGGTGATCCACCCGCCTCAGCCTCCCGAAGCACTTAGACTACAGGCGTGAACCACCGCGCCCAGCCCAACGTCTACATGTCTAAGAAAGATTAGGTCATCAAATTTTTTAAAATATCCATTGCATGGAACTTAGCGACACTAAAGATATTGTAGTATTGTAGAGGGAACCCCTCACCACACACACAATTCACTTCTGGAGAGGTGCTAAGGTCTTGTACATTTAAATATCCTGTTACTCGGTCATCGTGTATTTTCTTAGTGTATGCAGTGTGCAGGGTCCTTGCCAGGCACTGGGGATAGAGTGGTGCACTGGTGGTCCCTGACTCTGGTAAACTTGCAGTAAGTCTGTGACATTTTTGAATTCTCAGTATTCAATACTCAGGATCCAGATGGTAATTAAGCCAGCAGAGTGCAGAATGAGGATAAAAGAGTTGGAACAGGACTGTGATTTACTTGTACTATATTGGATCTAGCCTTCTATCAAAAACTGAGGTTAGTATGCATACTGGAAATGAAATTTTCTAAGGAGTTAGAGATTTTAGGATCCTAAGGACTTGTCAACTTTGATAATTTTCATAGGCGGCATTAAAAATTTGTTTGGCTGATGACAACCTGTCCAGCCAGGGGTTAAGCTTACTGTAAGGAAGCAGGGTAACCATTCACAGACAGGACAGGCACCAAACTCCAGCCCGTGCCAGCACTGTGAGGTCACCAGTGATAGCGAGTAAACAGTCTGTCCAGCTCAGCCCGGATTCCATCAGCCCTGCTAATTCATTGCAGCTGGACAGGAGAGCCAGCCAGCTACTCAAAACATTGTTGAGTCCCTTTGCTGGGCAGCTACTCAAAACATCATTGGTCCCTTGGCCACCAGGACCAGTGGAGACATGACATTGTCTCCAGCAGGGATGGCTCACTTCTGTAGATCTGGGCGCCCTCTAGAGGGCTTTCCCCCTGGGTACCGGGACTCACCTGGACAGGGTCTGAGTCAAGTGCTGACTCTGGGAGGAAGGGACTCTTGGGAAAAAGACACAGATACCCTGTCATCCCCACAGAAATCAGAAAAGGATTGCTCTTGTACAGCTGAAGTGCCTGGGAGGGAGGAAGGGCCTGCACTGATATGAGCAGATGGCCAGCACCTCACCGGCCACTTGTTTGTCCTGGTTTATTTCCTCAGGCAGCTTTCCGGGCTCCAGAGGTAAATTGCCAGCTGTAAATTTCTGGCCCTTCTCCAAGATGATAATAAACTGTATTTGAAGTAGCAGAGAGTGGTGTGTGAATCATTTTTGATTACTCAGTGGCCGCTTGAGTATAGGTCTTGTGTGGGTAACTTTATATGGAAAATAAAAAGGAATTGGTGAAGTACTAACTGCTGTCTAGAATCACTTAGTGGTTATATTGGAATAACATGCTATGAATTAAAGTTAATAAAACACCACAGAGAGACATTGGAAAATAGAGGTAGAAGAGACAAGTGTTTCCCTCCCCTGCATTGTATGTATTGGTCTTGCAATGAATGACCCAGATGTTATGGTAACCAAGGGTGACACTAGCTGAGGTAGACAGATGAGCAGGTACCCTGCTTATATGATCATAACTTGGTTCAATTTTTAATAAGTTGACATTTTGAACATTTTTCATGCTTAGAAAAATGATCAAACAGCAAGCCAGCAAGCTCTTCCAACATGATCTAACTCAGCAGTCTCCAAACAGGATGCCCCTGAGTTGTTCAAGACATTTTTAGGGTGAGAAAGAAGACAGCAGAGTTTATATTTTTGCTGATTTTTAATTTTTTTCCTTAAAATTTGAGTATATTTTATAAGATACACCCCATGTTAGTACAGTAGTATGCACGTATTATTTATAAATAAACCGGACTAGCCGGATGTGGTGGGACACGCCTGTAATCCCAGCTACTCAGGAGGCTGAGACATGAGAGTCAGTTGAGCCTGGGAGCTGGAGGCTGCAGTGAGCTGAGATTGTGCCACCGCACTCCAGCCTGGGCGACACAGCGAGACTCCGTCTCAAATAAATAGATAAATAAATAAACTGGAGATGCCTGTTCAACAATATATTATTGATCAGGATGCATGATCAAAAAAGTTTGGAGGCTGCTAATCCAAAAATAGATAGAAAATTTACAAATATGGATCCATCTCCAAAATCACCAAAGAATAAATAAAACCTTGAGATATCTGGGATTTTCATGCCATGAATTTAAGAAACCTGACGAGGAACTGTATCCTGCTTGATATCCAGCGTGTCCCCCACCTCCGCTCCCTGCTTCTTCCCAGTGGCCGGAGCTGACTCTCCTTCAGGCCCATGTTCTCAGTCATAACTGCAGGCTCTTTGCTTCCTCTTCTTCCGCAGGAGCTTCTATCACCATTTATTTTCTTTAACTTCTCTTCCTCCTGGATCAATATATCTTCAAATTGCCTCACACCAAGATAGACTCCTTTTCCAACCTCTTGATTTAACCACGTTTCAATAAAAGATGTGTCCAAGGCCGGGCGCAGTGGCTTACACCTGTAATCTCAGCACTTTGGGAGGCTGAGGCAGGAGGATTGCTTGAGTCCAGTAGTTCAAGACCAGCCTGGGCAACATAGTGACACCCTGTATCTACAAAAAAAAAAAAAACAAAAAAAAACCAAGTGTATGTCCAAGATTTCACTTGGGTTTGTGAACTGTGCTCAGCCATTTGGTTTTGAAGGAATATCATATAATCTGCCACTTCCCCATGTTCCTGAGAGAATTGTCTAGTCCACTCTGTCCCTGTAAAACCGTGGAGCTCCTGTGACCTGCTTCTAGCCTTGTGCCTTAGTCCATGTTGCCAGTACCAGATAGTCACCCGGTTCTCCTCTAGCTAAGTCTAATAAAGTTGGCTTAATCAAGGGAGAGGGAAAATGCATTTCAGGAAAATATTTGTAGCTCCTATGAATTGCACTGCAAATTAAAAGCTCCTAAGAACTCCAGAAGGGAGAAATGTCGTTATTTCTTTCTTTTTTTTTTTTTTTGAGACAGAGTCTCCCTCTGTCGCCCAGGCTGGAGTGCAGTGTCACAATCTTGGCTCACTGCAACCTCTGCCTCCCAGACTCAAGTGATTCTCCTGTCTCAGCCTCCCGAGTACCTGGGACTACAGGTGCATGCCACCAAGCCCGGCTAATTTTTTGTATTTTTAGTAGAGACGGGGTTTCACCGTGTTAGCCAGGATGGTCTCGATCTCCTGACCTTGTGATCCACCCGCCTTAGCTTCCCAAAGTGCTGGGATTACAGGTGTGAGCCACCACGCCTGGCCAATGTCATTATTTCATGAAACTAAATTCATGCCAGCCCATAACTAAATTTTGTTTATTCTCTACAGTACCAGGGACGTTATGATAATCAACAAATAGGATTCAATAGTAAAAACTTAATCTCAGTGAAAAGTATTACTTAGGAGACAAGAATGTAAGACATAGCATATGTAAAATAGTACCTCTGGGCCAGGCACGGTGGCTAACACCTGTAATCCCAGCACTTTGGGAGGCCGAGGCAGGTGGATCAGTTGAGGTCAGGAGTTCGAGACCAGCCTGGCCAACAAGGTGAAATCCCATCTCTACCAAAAAACACAAAAATTAACCGGGTGTGGTGGTGCATGTCTGTAGTCCCAGCTACTCCAGAGGCTGAGGCAAGAGAATCTCTTGAACCCGGGAGGCGGAGGTTGCAGTGAGCCAAGATTGTGCCACTGCACTTCAGCCTGGGCGACAGAGTGAGACCTTGTCTTAAGTAAGTAAATAAATAAATAAATGGTATCTCTGTTAAAACATAGCCAACTGCCATCCAGGGGATGGGATGGTATTAGGTGCCCTCCTGCAGAGCAATCGACAGCCAGAAGAAGAGGTTCCAACAATGGTTTCTATGAATGAATGAATGAAGAGGGAGACAGCTGAGGCGGGGAATCAAGGGTGGAGAGAGACCTGGGCTGTTGCTTCTGTGTGCCACCTCCTGGCAAGGCAAGCATGGAGAACAGCCCTCAGACCAAGAGCCCCTGAGGAGTCTGAAGAATTAAGTCGGGAGGCTCAAAAAGAGCCCTCCAACCTCTCCAGAACCTGTTGCTGGAATTGTTAGGTTTGCCTCATTATTTGCATCTCTTCCCCGAAGTGCATTTTATCATCCCCACGGACTCCCCTTTGTCATCCCCATCTTGAGAGTCTGAACTTCTGCACTCGTGTGACTTGAGATTTGTTTACAAATAGGATGTTTGCACACTTGCTCACGCTACCACTTCTTCTGTGACGATGGCTGCTGCATTGACATCACGCTCGCCTGCGATGGAGTGCAGCAGTGTCCTGATGGGTCTGATGAAGACTTCTGCCAGAATCGTGAGTTGGCTATGTCACATTGCTAGGCAGTGGCTGGAAGGGATGGAGTTGGGAGGTCTGTGTTCTGAGAATGAAATGCAAACACAGTGTCCTTCCCCTGCTTGATTTTAGTTATAACTTTACATGTAAAAGCTATGCCTTAAATGAGAATTCAATATGTCTCTAGTCTAAGTCTCAAATGTCAAATTTTTAGTATTGCTTATGTTTTTAATTTTTTTCAATTTTCCAGGTTCTTTCTATCCTAAAAATGCTGCATGTCATGTGCTTTCTTAAAAACTGCAGTGATTTGATGCTTTGTTTTGATAATTTTTTAAAGAAAATTTGCGATACACCAGGGTGTGGCTAAGTCAGAGCTGTAAATCAGTCTTATAATATCATACACATAGAAACACCCTGTAAGAAAGAAGAAAAACTGAAGAAAATGTAATGAAGTATGGATTTGAGGAAGGACGAAGAGTCTCAAAACCTTAAGTTTACGTTTAGTCTTTGTCCATTTCTTTTTTCTTTTCTTTCTTTTTTTTATGAGACCAGTTCTCACTCTGTCACCCAGGCTGGAGTGCAGTGGCATAATCATGGCTCACTGCAGCCTCGACTTCCCCAGCCTTAGGTGTTTCTCCCACCTCAGCCTCCCCAGTAGCTGGGACTGCAGGCATGTACCACCATGCCCAGCTAATTTTTGTTAATTTTTTGTAGAGATGGGGTTTTGCCTTGTTGCCCAGGCTGGTCACGAACTCGTGGGCTCAAGTGATTGCCTACTTCTGCCTCCCAAGGTGCTAGGATTACAGGCATGAGCCACCGTGCTGGGCCCCGTCCATTTCTTTATGTGTAACATTTGGAAAGCTGACTATTGGAAGAAGAAAGAACAGATTACCCATTTGAAAACGTGAGAATAGATTTTTATGGTCCTCTGACATGTCTTAGATGAGTGGGCTGTTACATCCAAATATCCGTGATTTTAAATCAGCTGCAGATGTAGTGTTTTTAGTATTAAAGCTCAGAAAAGAAATCCAGCAACTAACAGTAGCTCTTCCACACTTCAGTGGGCCTGGACCGCAAGATGGTAACCCACACGGCAGCTAGTCCTGCCCTGCCAAGAACCACAGGGCCGAGTGAAGATGCAGGGGGTGACTCCTTGGTGGAAAAGTCTCAGAAAGCCACTGCCCCAAACAAGCCACCTGCATTATCAAACACAGAGAAGAGGAATCATTCCGCCTTTTGGGGACCAGAGAGTCAAATCATTCCTGTGATGCCAGGTAAGGATTCACGGTGGGTTCTCAATGAAGAACCTTGTTTTCTGTAGCCAAACTTGGCTCACAATTAAGTTTATGTTTGAAGAGTGTTAAGGAAGTATCTTGAAATAAGAGTTAAAATTAAGAATTTGGCCAGAAAGGCGGGGGGAAATCTTGACATTTGCACTAATTTGTAGTAAGGGACACTTACTAAATACACTCATGTACCTACTCCAGAGACACTAATACATTTATTTGTAAATACATTAACACTTAGCTTACGTAAACCAATACCCAAAGTGTTAAATTTTAGGTTGTTTTGAGATGAAACAGCATAACCATTATGTATTTGTGTAAATCCTCTTCACCCAAGCAAGTGAACATTTAAACAAGTTGTCTTGAAAGAGATGCATGTGCTAGTAATTCAACGTTATGCCTCCAATTTAACTAAATCTATCACTAAAAAAAGTAAGGCTAATGAGATTTATTTTTATTTTTTTTGAGACAGGGTCTCACTCTGTTTCCCAGGCTGGAGTACAGTGACGCGATCACAGCTCACTGCAGCCTCAGCCTCCCAAACTCACATGATCCTCCCATCTCAGCCTCCTGAGTAGCTGGGACTATAGGCGTAGTAGCTGGGACCACCATGCCTGACTAATTTTTGTATTTTTTATAGAGACAAGGTTTTGCCATGTTGCCCAGGCTGGTCTTGAACTCTTGGGCTCAAGCAATCTGCCCACCTCGGCTGGCCTCCCAAAGTGCTAGGATTATAGGTGTGAGTCACTGCACCTGGCCTAAAATACATTAACATGACTAAAGCATTACAGAATTTAGCCAGATGCAGTGACTCACCTATAATCCCAGCTACTCTGGAGGCTGAGGCAGAAGAATTGCTTGAGGCCAAGAGTTTGAGACCAGCCTGGGCAACATAGTGAGACCTTGTCTCAATCAGTCAATCAATAAGTATTACAGGATTCCATCATTTTTTACACACTTATTATTTGCATGATTATGTGACATGAGACAGAAATAGAGATTATCACATTTCCAAAAGCTTTTCTAATGTCTTTTCAGACTCTGCATAAGTTGTATTGAAATAACCTGACATGATTTTAGTAAGTTTATTAAGAAAAATTTTTGTTCATTGTACAAGATACGGAAGATGCAAAATAATTTAAGAAGGAAAGTGAATTTAAAATACCACCTCTTTTGAAAACTGCTTTTAATATTTGTTATATTTCCTTCCACTCTTGTTTATGTGCCTTGTAGATTTTAAGTGCCTCCATAAAAATATGTCTGCAAAACATTGCATTCTATCAGGGGCTTTTCTTTCTGAGTTTTGGTTAAGAATGCTGCCAAGTGTCTGCTTTTTTGGTCCATTCCTGGTTGGTACTGCCACCTACTGGTAAAATCGGTCACTACATGCAAGCCTTTGGATGTGGTTTTAGTGGGTTTTCTCTGCTTAAGATAGTTTGTATGGAGAAGAGCATCACAATCTAAGAAACAGAGTTGGGCAGACCAGGCATCTTTGGCAGGACTGCCGAAGGGGTGAAGAGTTTATGGAGAGATCTGTGTTATCAGAGGCCAGGATGGATGAATTCCTACCACATTACTGTGGTGGAGAGAACCACGTGAGCATGAACAAATTAGCTGAAAGTAGAGTCGAGACCAAAGCCCAGGTCTTGGCTCTACCTTTAGAACCTTGAATAAGTCACTTCATATCTCTGGACCTCAGTTGCCTCATCTGTTAATAAGGGACTTCAACCAGATGTCCTCCAAGGTGCTGTCCAGCACTGAGGAATGATAAATAGGCTGACATTCATACTTTACCCCATCAGCCCTTACCCATGCTAGGTGTCACTCATTGGTCCCAGCACTGTCCCATGGGGAATGTGGACTTAGCTCAGAATCCTTTTGAAAATAGTGCTCCAGGCTAGAAGCCATTATTCTCAGCAAACTAACGCAGGAACAGAAAACCAAATACTGCATGTCCTCACGTTAGAAATGGAAGCCGAATGATGAGAACACATGAACATATGGAGGGAAACAACACACACTGGGGCCTGTCAGAGGGTGGGAGGTAGGGGGAGGGGGAGCATCAGGCAGAACAGCTAATGGATGCTGGGCTTAATACCTAGGGATGGGATGATCTGTGCAGCAAACCACCATGACACGTTTACCTGTGTGACAAACCTGCACATCCTACACATGTACCCCGGAACTTAGAAGTTGGAGGGAAAAAAAAGAAAATAATGCTCCAGGCTGCCACCTGCGGCTGATGGGAGTCAGCACCCAATTTCCAATCTATTTATGATCTCTCCTTTTGCTTTTTGATAATCAGCCTTTGGATTTGGTTATGAAGATGTAAAGAGTGGTCTTTCACAGATGCAGAGAGATTAGATGTACAGTTATTATATTAGGGCTTTTTCTAATTATTAAAATAATATGGATTTACTGTAGAAAATATAGAAAAATACAAAGAAAGTTAAAAGCATCTAGCAAAACTCACCATTAAAATTTTGTCGCATTTTCTTCTGGTTACTTCTATTCATACACATATACATATTTATTCATTTTTAACAAAAGCAGGATAATGCTTTTATAAAACTTTTTTCTTACTCATGAGCATTTTCATGTATTATTAACTATTCATCAAAAACACACTTTTTGAAAGTCCTGGGGTGAAGAAAGTGGGAAGAAAAAAACAAAACTGAAAATGTTAGAAAGAGCCCTCACATCCTGTAGTTTCTGTTCAGACAGTAGCTGTCCCTGCCCTCCCCCTCTGCTGTCCCTAAGACCACCAGAGTAGAGTCCTCAGCCTCTGATTTCATGTAAGTTAAAGACCCATAAGTAGATTTAAAAGTGCATTATTGGCCGGGCACGGTGGCTCACGCCTGTAATCTCAGCACTTTGGGAGGCCGAGGTGGGCGGATCATGAGGTCAGGAGATCGAGATCATCCTGGCTAACACGGTGAAACCCCATCTCTACTAAAAATACAAAGGCCAGGAACGGTGGCTTACGCTTGTAATCCCAGCACTTTGGGAGGCCGAGGCAGGCGGATCACAAGGTCAGGAGATCGAGACCATCCTGGCTAACATGGTGAAACGCTGTCTCTACTAAAACTACAAAAAATTAGCTGGACGTGGTGGCGGGCACCTGTGGTCCCAGCTACTCGGGAGGCTGAGGCAGGAGAATGGCGTGAACCCGGGAGGTGGAGCTTGCAGTGAGCCAAGATCGCACCACTGCACTCCAGCCTGGGCGACAGAGCAAGACTCCGTCTCAAAAATAAAATAAAAAAATAAAAATAAAAATACAAAAAATTAGCCGGGCATGGTGGCGGGCACCTGTAGTCCCAGCTACTTAGGAGGCTGAGGCAGGAGAATGGTGTGAACCCAGGAGGCAGAGCTTTCAGTGAGCTGAGATTGCGCCACTGCACTCCAGCCTGAGCAACAGAGCGAGACTCCATCTCAAAAAAAAAAAAAAAAAAGTACATTGTTGTTCATGACACATGCCTGGGTTTTAAGAAGACCATCAGCTAGTACAATAAATATGAATGAGTTAAATTCACTGCTGCCTCCTTCCTGCACAGACATGTGGTGAGGACAAATAAGACTTAGCTCGGCTGGGCGCGGTGGCTCATGCTTGTAATCCCAGCACTTTGGGAGGCCGAGGCAGGCAAATCACGAGGTCAGTTCAAGACCAGCCTGGCCAACATGGTGAAACCCCATCTCTACTAAAAATACAAAAAATTAGCTGGGCGTAGTGTCAGGCACCTGTAATCCCAGCTACTCAGGAGGCTGAGGCAGGAGAATCACTTGAACCCAGGAGGCGGAGGTTGCAGTGAGCCAAGATTGCGCCACTGCACTCCAGCCCAGGTGACAGAGTGAGACTCAGTCTCAAAAAAAAAAAAAAAAAAGACTTAGCTCATGGAAGACTTGTTAACAAGATACTAAGATTAATACTAACAGTGTAGCATGCAAAGTAGTGAGATGTAGTTTTTCACCTATCACATTGACAATGATGAAGAATTATAATAATTAATGTTTCTAAGAGTAGAGAGAAACAAGTCTCACACTCTGCTGGTAGCAATGCAATTAGTACGTCCTTCCAGAGGCCAGTTTCTGAAGGCTTAAAACTATGTATATGATCGGGTGCAGCAGCTCACACCTGTAATCCCAGCACTTTGGAAGGCCAAGGCAGGTGGATTGCTTAAGGCCAGGAGTTCTAGACCAGCCCTAGCAACATGGCAAAACCCCATCTCTACAAAAACTACAGAAATCAGCTTGTGGTATTCACCTGTAATCCCAGCTACTTGAAAGGCTGAGGTGGGAGAATTGCTTGAGCTTGGGAGGTCGAGGCTGCAGTGAGCTGTAATCCCACCACTGTACTCCAGCCTGGGTGACAGAGTAAGACCTCATCTCTAAAACAAAACTATGTGTGCTTTGACCCAATTGTCCCACTTTTGGGGATTTATTCCACACAGGTTACTGAGGATAAAATGAAGGTATGTGCAGACATTCAGTTACACCAGCGAATGCATGCTCAGTACACTCTGAGCCACCGGGCAGGAGGAGCACAGAGCTCCAGTGTGGCCTGTGTTTGCTCAGCATGTAAAGGCACAATGGCTGGATTGTTGACCATGGTCATAGCCGTAGGGCCTGTTCTCTGTGTGGTCCATGTCATTCATTAACAATTCCACCCTCTTGTATCCAAGCTACCCCGAGGAAAGAAATCTGGTTTCCAGCCCTACAAAGGGCTAGAAAAGTGGTGCTACATCCACATTCACGTGGAATCTGCTTTTTGAAACTTGAGAATTCCTGGGCATGTTAAAGTATTTCTTCCGGATCATGCCTGCATGCTCTATGGCAGCTGGAAATGAAATGAAAACAGCTTCCATCCAGCTGCCAATTCCCTCTGTGAATGTGTCGCCATGCATAGTAAACATAATACATTCAGAAGAAAGGAAAAATGGTCTCCTAAGACATGTAACTCTTCCAGAAGGATCATTACCAAAAGTAACTATTTCCAGAAGCAAGTGATGTCATTGTTTTGTTTTGTTTCGATTCGCCACACTGGCTAGAGCCTGTGATTGGATGTGTGAAAGTGAAGCATTTCTCTATGGCGTTCCTTATGCTGAAATCTAGGAAAAATGAATCAGGCAGACTGGGAAATCATAGGGAATTCCTTCATGGAATGTAAACAGCAGAAATTCACATTTCAGTTACCCAGAAGGCAGGGCCAGGTTCCTGGGTAATCCTAGAGTCTGGGGCAACTGCGCCTTCTGAAGTCTCCCATGCACACTGCCCGCTGCCTGATACCTGATCCCTCCCTACATCACCATCTTCCTCTCCCCAGGGAATAAGGGCATTTAAGAAAATGCTGTTTAAAAAAATTTTTCTTAAAGAAAGAAAGTGCTCTTTAATTTTGACAACTGAAGATTCAGAAAGAATTTGCATAGTTTTTTACATGAACCCACCTGTGAGGTTAGGTCCCTTTTGCAAGTACAGTTAGCCAATTTCTCTACTGCATCCTTAATAAAGCTTTGTCCAGAACCTTCCTAAAAATCATTTAAAAGTGTGTGATTTTGCCTGGGTATGAGTAAATAAATATAGTATTGACTTGGTTCTTGGAGTAAAAAACTCGTATTTGCTAGTTGTGACCTTGAGAGCAGTATGGTTCAATGGAAAACTGCTTTGGATCAGTCCTGGGTTCTAATTCCAGCACCACCAATTACTAGCTACTAAGTAATCAACTTCTCTAAACTTCATTTCCTTACCTGTAAGAGGATAATAATCTCAGCTGGGCACGGTGGCTCATGCCTGTAATTCCAGCACTTTGGGAGGCCACGGCGGGTGGATCACCTGAGGTAGGGAGTTCGAGACCAGCCTGGCCAACACGGAGAAACCCCATCTCTACTAATAATACAAAAATTAGCCAGGCGTGGTGGTGCATGCCTACAATCCCAGCTTCTCGGGAGGCTGAGGCAGGAGAATCGCTTGAACCCAGGAGGTGGAGGTTGCAGTGAGCCGAGATTGCGCCAGTGCACTCCAGCCTGGGCAACAAGAGTGAAATTCTGTCTCAAAAAAAAAAAAAAAAAAAAGAGGATAATAATCTCTCATAATATGGCTACAAAGATTGCAGGAGATATTATATGTAAATATAATTGATGTCTCTCAGTAAATGTTAGTGCTGTTTGAATTTTTGCTAGAACATTCAAGTCCAGTGGTATTCGCTAGGAAACCAGGGTAAGAGAGCGCCAAGTGTATAAGGCAGTTAATTCAAATAAAAAATAGAAATAGTGCAGTAGTGTTTCCAGTACTGAGTTCCTTTAAGAATTAAGATGAGCAAGCTCTCATCTTCATTGGGAAGAAACAGTGAGGTGAACACTGTAAATGCAGTTATCTTATTTTTTTTATTGGGTGAAAGACAAACCAGTTAGTCCTCTGAAAAAAATCGGGAGTTGGTGAATTTTGGCACTTTGTTTTTATTCCTGGCTCATTTTTAATTTTATTTTTATTTTTATTTTATTTTATTTTATTTATTTTTTTAGATGGAGTCTCGTTCTCTTACCCAGGCTGGAATGCAGTGGCGCTGTCTGGGGTCACTGCAACCTCCACCTCCCAAATTCAAGCGATTCACCTGCCTCAGCCTCCCAAGTAGCTGAGATCACAAGCGTGTGCCGTCATTCCCAGCTAATTTTTGTATTTTTAGTAGAGATGGGGTTTCACCATGTTGGCTAGGCTGGTCTCGAACTCCTGACCTCAAGTGATCCACCTGCCTTGGCCTCCTAAAGTGCTGGGATTACAGGCGTGAGCCACCATGCCCAGGCCCTGGCTTATTATTTTTAAAAAGTAGGACTTGAGTTTCCCACCATGTGATCTTCCCACTTCCAAATTTATTATTGGAGAGAGAGATAAAGCAGAATGCATAGAAGTTCCTTTGCAAGCTAACCTGGCAGTACGGCATGGGGGAGGAGGAAAGGGATGAAGGGAGAAGTGCCACAAGTGGTTTTTAGGTAACTTAGCAGTTTGATTTCCAAGCTGTTTCAGGGCTGCTAGTTTTGTGTGTGCGGCTGCTGGATGGACTGTTTTGCATATCACTGATTTATATCTCTACAGAACAAATCTTGTGTTTCTTTTGGAGATCCACGAGCAACTGGCATTTGAAAAAATCAGGCATTATTGACTTTAAAACACAGTAATGTTTTCTATATCTCTACCAAGCAAAAGCTCAGGAACATTCACTGGAGTCTCTGTAGTAATCTAAACAAGGCTTACATTGAACCTTCAAAATGCTATTGAAAATATTCATATTTTTAGGTCAGGTGCTGTGGCTCACACCTGCAATTCCAGCACTTTGGGAGGTCAAGGCGGGAGGCTTGCTTGAGCTCAGGAGTTCAAGACCAGCCTGGGAAACATGGCAAAACCCCATCTCTACAAAAAAATAGAAAAATTAGTCAGGTGTGGTGATGCTTACCTGTAGTCCCAGTTAGTTGGGAGGCTGAGGTGGGAGGATCACTTGAGCCTGGGAAGTCGAGGCTGCAGTGAGCTGAGATTGCACCACTGCACTCTAGCCTGGGCAACAAAGGGAGACCCTGTCTCAAAAAAAAAAAAGAAAATAAAACATACTCATATTTTCAATATGGATATCAACACCATGAGATTTGCACCATAAAAGCAGTGGTTAAATATGTACCTATTAACTACCTCACCCCTGAGAAAAAGTGTAAAAATTACTTGCCACAAAAATTGCACTCTGGTCTGTCTACTAGCAGTAAAAATATAATAAAATAAAAAAGCTGCATGGTCTTATTTTTCTGTATTAAATAGTGCTTTCCTATGTCAGCAGATGTTTACAGTACTTCTAGTATAGCTTCCTAGGCCAGAATCATATATAATAAAATCTTTTTTTTTTTTCTTTTGAAAAGGAGTCTCTGTTGCCCAGGTTGGAGTGCGGTGGCATGATCTTGGCTCACTGCACCCTCCGCCTCCCAAGTTCAAGTGATTCTCCTGCCTCAGTTTCCCAAGTAGCTGGGATTACAGGCGCCCACCACCATGCCTGGCTAATTTTTTTTTTTTTTTTTTTTGAGACGGAGTCTTGCTCAGTCGCCCAGGCTGGAGTGCAGTGGCGCGATCTCGGCTCACTGCAAGCTCCGCCTCCAGGGTTCACGCCATTCTCCTGCCTCAGCCTCCCCAGCAGCTGGGACTACAGGCGCCCACCATGCCTGGCTAATTTTTTTTGTATTTTAAGTAGAGACAGGGTTTTGCCATGTTGGCCAGGCATGAGCCACTGCGTGCGGCCCTTATGTAATACAATCTTATAGAACTACCTGGCCTGGGATCAGGTATCATATAAGAGAATCCAGGTAGCTGGAGAGGTCCTTGGTGACCACTGTCGTGGCTACTGCAGTGAGTTGGACAGTAACAGAACTCTTTTTGCAGGGAAATCTGATCCTGCAGCCTATGAGCAATGGCTGTGCTTTCCTCATCTCTCTCCTTCTGTCTGAGCTCAGAGTTTATGGAGAAAGCCCAAATTATTGGCTGTATGTAGGACCAACATACATGGAACTTTCTAGAGTAACAAGACACAGTAGACTGTCCCCAAAGTGCCAGGATTATAGGCATGAGCCAGTGCACCTGGCCAACTTTGTGACTTAGTAAATTTGCAAAATGCAAGTTACCAAAGAATTTTATATACTACCTTTAAATAGTCTTATTTCATTTGCAGGAATTAGGAACATTTATGTTGATGCCATATGAGTAAAGAAGCTTTAAAAATTTTCTCAATAAAATTTGTCAGTAGATTATTTCTAATTCATTGCCATTAAGCATTGTAATACTCAAAAATCCCACTTAAGGCTGGGCATGGTGGCTCACGCCTGTCATCCCAGCACTTTGGGAGGCTGAGGTGAGCGGATCACTTGAGCCCATCTGGGGAACATGGCAAAACCCCGTCTCTACTAAAAATACAAAAATTAGCGAGGCATGGTGGCACGCACCTGTAATCCCAGCTACTCGGGAGGCTGAGGCAGGAGAATTGCTTGAACCCAGGAGGTGGACGTTGCAGTGAGCCAAGATCGTGCCACTGCACTCCAATCTGGGCAACAGAGACTCTGTCTCAAAAAAAAAAAAAAGTAAATAAATAATAATAATTTCCCCCTCAGTATTATAACTTAATAGTTAAGTAATATATCATTAAATTAGAAGTACTGGTCTCTACCAAGAAACCAGTTTGCATCCCAGCCCTGTGACCCACTTACTTGTGTGAACCTAGGTACGAACCTGACCCTGAGCCTAACCAGAAAGAAAATTGAGCTATTTATACCTGCCATCCAGAGTTGTGAGAAAGAGAAAGAGCATGTCTAAATGCCTTATATATGCCCATTGTTTATTCTTCAAAGAAAAACCTTTCTGGTTTCTGCTTTTCATGGCGTGATATCCGGAGACTCCCTGTGACTCTTCTAGCCTGAGATCTCCCTTCTCCAAGAGGCGTGGTGGTAGTTCGGTGCAGGGTGTGTCTTCCGCTCTCTCTGTCGGTGGTTTCGTATTAGCTGCGTACTTTGCTTTATTCAGTGGGTCACCTTAGTTATTTACTGCTTAACTATCAAACATAGGCCTTTGTTTAGTAGAGAAATAAACAGTTCTTCTCTAAGTCCATCTTAAAAAAAAATAAGGCTGTATTTTCACATTTGTTTCCTGAAGTTTCTGATGCATACACCTTCAATATATGTTCTCTTTCTTTTCTGCAGATAGTAGTTCCTCAGGGAAGAACAGAAAAGAGGAAAGTTATATATTTGAGTCAAAGGGTGATGGAGGAGGAGGGGAACACCCAGCCCCAGAAACAGGTAAATGTCCACCTTGGAAACCCTTTGCAGACTGTAGTCTTCTCAGAACTGCATGCCCTCTGGCTGAGGATATTCCCTGAGGCCATGAGAGCTCAGGACAGGAGGAGTCCGTCAGTGGACCGAAAGAACTGTCTCCTCGTTGCTTGTATTGCACTGCGTCTTGGGGCTCCTGATAGTAACCTTCCATCTTTGGACCTCAGCTGCCTTTTCTATACACCCTTCCAGGTGTGACACCTGTGGAAAATGTCATACTTGTGGCATGGTGGGAGAACACAAGCTTTAGAGTCAGATGCCACAATTCAAATCCTTGCTCAAAGCTGGGCACAGTGGCTCACGCCTGTAATCCCAGCACTTTGGGAGGCCAAGGCAGGAGGATCGCTTGAGCTCAGGAGTTCAAGACCGGCCTGGGCAATATGGCAAAATCCTGTCTCTACAAAAAATACAAAAATTAGCCAAGTGTGGTGACATTCGCCTGTAGTCCCAGGGAGGCTGAGGTGGGAGGATCACTTGAGCCTGGGAGGTCGAGGCTGCAGTGAGATAAGATTGTGCCACTGCACTCCAGCCTGGGTGACAGAGTGAGACCGTCTCAAAAAAAAAAAAAAAAAATTCTCACTTACCCACTAAACTGTATGACCTTGAGCAGGCTATCTTATCTCTCTGGATCTCAGTTTCCTCATTCGTAAGATGAGGATAGTAACAATACCTGCCTCATAGGGTTGCTGAGAAGAATATATGGGATAATTAATCTCAAGCATTGAATGCACTGTGTGGCTCATATGATGAGCCAAATATAGAAACGATGGCAGTTATTACTCAGTTATTTACGATGAAAGAAGAGTAAAGGTCTTAGAATACCTAGTTCTCTTTCCAAGTGCCCTAGTGACAAAGACAGAAAACAACAGAAATGAGGGAAGGGTGTAGGAAGTAGAATATTTACTAAGTGGAAGAAGAATACAATAATTTCTTTAATTTTGGTTGATTTTAACTAGGAAGAAAAGACTTTGGAAACCATCCTTTAGAAAGGCAGGCTTTAGTCTTAAATCCCACAAACTAGTAAAAGAAGCTTTAGAAGAACAAAATATAAGCTTAAGTTATAAACATTGAGAAAACTTTCTTTTTACCCTATTTATAATATCAGGACAATATTAAAATATAATGTTTAAACAATAGATAGCTAAGAATACTCCAGATGTCAAGTACCTGGGTGACCCCCTTGGTCTGCTGGCCTCCTGGACTTAGCCTGTCCCAAGATATTTGAATAAAAGGGGCCCTGTCCCCTATCAAGGGAAGAGGGAAACCAGCCTGCCTCTTGCCTCCCCACACATATGTATCCAGAGAGTCTCAGCTCTAGTTGGCTGTTGCCTATTCTGGTTGTTACATATTTTTGTTTTGTTTTGTTTTTGAGACATCGAGTCTCACTCTGTTGTCCAGGTTGGAGTACAGCGGCGCGATCTCAGCTCACTGCAGCCTCTGCTTCCCGGGTTCAAACGATTCCCCTGCCTCAGCCTCCCTAGTAGCTGGGATTACAGGTGCATGCCACCACACCTGGCTAATTTTTGTATTTTTAGCAGAGATGGGGTTTTGCCATGTTGGCCAGGCTGGTCTCAAAACTTCTGACCTCAAGTGATCCTCCTGCCTCAGCCTCCCACCATGCTGGGATTACAGGTGTGAACCACTGTGCCCAGCCTGTTACATATTTTAAATGTCACCCCCATTCATATGAACAGAATACATAATTCATCACCCTAGCTGGTTACTGAGAATAGCATCATGGTGTGTTTTAGAAGGAGCTAGAAAGTTGTAAATCTCAAATTATCCAAACTAAGCCAACTAAATATTAAAAGTCAAGAATAATTTTCAATATTCTGGCAAGTACTTTTGGGAGATTTCATTTTCCTTGTCATAAAAGCATTAAACAGGAATCAGATCAGACAGTTCAGCAGCCTCATATCTGACTTAGCAAATAGAACATTTTCCCAGATCTCGTCTGTTTTATTGTTACCATAGCTAAACCTGAGCCCCGGCATTGGGATTGGCATCTTCAACCACAGCTTCATAACCCTTTAGCCTAAATGCTGATGCTCATCTTTAAGCAAGTCCCCCGGACTGGGGCTGGGTGTTGCGGTCCAATTCATGAGAAATGATTTGGGGTTCCTGGGGTTTTCTGTGGGTATTGACCAAAGTCTCTTTTTTTGTCCTGTTCCTTTGTAACATATGCAACTTATAGGAAGGTGGAGGGAGAATGACACCTTGGGGCCACTTAGCCTTGTCAGAACTTCTTTCATCAGGTGGAGACTAGGAGGCAGTAGTAGCTACTGAAGCCCCAAACTGCTGGCATGGAGAGACCAGGCAGCCATCTTGACACCTCCAGAACTGCTGTGTATGGAATGAGACAGCCGTAGAATCCAATTCCAGTCCATAGGGTTATCACCGATTTGTATCTTTCACAATTCTCTGGAGGAATGCTGGCCTCTTCCAGAACTTTGTTTGATACCTAACAGTCTCTAAAGCAGCTTTCCCATCCCCTCCTCCGGCAACCAGACACTTTCAAACTGTTCTTGAGAATCTTGTTCAGGAGTTTTACCTGGGATTCTAAAAATACACCAGAGTTCAAGTGCCGTGAGTGTGTCATCAGCTCCAGGTCCTCTTGTCTTCAAGAGGCGGCCAGCTATACCTGGGACCAGTTTTAAGCCCAGTAAATCAAGACTGTCTGGAGTGAACTTCCTCAGCTACCTGCCCCCCAAATGTAAAAACTCATCTGGTTGCATTCACCCCTCTTCCTCCCCTCCAGTACTAAAGGAAGAGGTGTCGCCTCTTTCCAAGGTCTCTCCCTGATCTGGCTAAAGCCCCTGATTTCCTCAGGTTCATTTCTCATCATCTCCTAGCTCTCCCGTGTTTTTCATCTCTGTTTCTTTACTGGCTCATTCTCCTGACTGTGATCATGTTCAGATTTCTTAATGTGTAAAGAAACAAAGTAGCATCCTCCATCTTCTGTACTCCCATAAATGAATTACCAATTGCTAAATCCAGGGGGCTCTCCAGGCTTCACCTCACTTGACATTTCCTTAGCATTTGATTCAGCTGAGGACTTTCTTCTTGGACGTCTCTTTCCTCAGCTTCCAAAAGCCCACTCCCTACTATAGCGGTTGTCCTCCTATTTCTCTGACTGGTCTTCTTCTGTTTTTTTTTGGTCCTCTGCTTTTGTCTGCCCTCTAAATGCTGGTGTTTCCCAGGACCTCGTTCCTGGCTCACCTTTCTTCTTCCTTTCTCTCTGGCTGTCCTAACCCCTATTGTGACTGCAGCTACCACCTTTATGCTAAAGGCTCCCACATATTTAGGCCCAGCTAATCCAAAAGCCTAAGAGAAAATTCCACCTGATCGCTGATAGGCATCTCAATCTGAAAATGTCAAAAAATAAACTTACCTCCTTCAGCCACCCAACAGTCTCTATCATACATCAAAATCACTCAGGCAAAAATCCTACAGACCAGGTAGATGGACCACCTATTTTATTAATACAACTATGCTTCATCTATAATTCTATCATAGTAAGTATAACACTTTGTTGCATTTTTTCCCATTTAAATGTCTGTCTACCCAGACTTACTCGTTCAAAAACTGTCTCATTTACATTTTGTAGAAGTAGAGTACCATAGTGGATAGAACCACAGGCTCTGGGGCTGTCCTGTCTGGGGTTATTTGCTAGCTCTACCACTTAACAATCTTAGACAAGTCACTTCAGTCTTTTTTTTTTTTTTTTTTAAGACAGGATCTTACTTTGCCACCCAAGCTGGAGTACAGTTTAAGAGCTCACTGAAGCCTCTACCTCCCAGACTCAAGTGATCCTTCTGCTTTAGCCTCCCTAAGTATTGGGATTATAGGCATGAGCCACTGTGCCCAGCCTCACTTCTCTTTTTTTTTTTTGAGATAGGCCCTTACACTGTCACCCAGGCTGGAGTGCAGTAGCCTGATCATGGCTCATAACAGCCTCAACTTTCTGGGCTCAGGTGATTCTCCTACTTCAGCCTCCCGAGTAGCTGGGACTGCAGGTGCATGCCACAACTGGCTAATAATTTTTTGTAGAGACAAGGTCTCGCCATGTTGCCCAGGCTGGTCTCGAACTCCTGGGATCAAGCAATTTGCCCACCTCTGCCTTCCAAAGTGCTGGTATCACAGGCCTGAGCCACCGTGCCTGGCCCTCACTTCATTGTTGATGCCTTAGCTCCCTCATTTGTAAAATGGGGATAATAATAGCACCAACTTATGTGGTGGTTGTGAGAATTCAGTGATTTAAGCTATAAAGCTGGTATTCTTGGCCTTAGCTTATCTTGAGGGGGGTGGTATTTATTTACAAATAAAAGGATTATCAGCACTTAGCTCAGTGTCTGGCACATGGAAGAAGGCTTTTAATGAATGCAGAATGAATGAATAAATGAGAGCAAATGGTATAGAATGAGCCTACACAAAGGAGATGTTTCTCCTCTAGTTCTACCAGTTGGCAAGATCCCTACAGCTAAAAACAGTTCCACCATATAATCTCCAGACCTGGCCTGGCCACAGAGTAGATCAGACTAAAAATAGAGCCTGCTAAGCTTGATAAAAAAGACTGATATTGGCACACCCTGTCCTTCCAGACTCCTGCAAGCCTCGCTACTTCTACTCTGGTGTCTAGAATCCACCTCACAGGAAAAACTAAAGAAATGTTTTCCTTTAATGTCCAAAATCACACCAGCATATTTGGAAGTTAGTTTTCAACAAAGGTTCTACTGACTGAGTCAGTTCCCTGGATTTAGAAGGAAATAAATTTCTTAAGCCCTAACTAGAACAAGAAATCAGGAGTTAGTTCATACTTAGTTGAAGAATGATCATGTATGAATTCATAAATATAGTCAATGACTACAACAAAAAAATTTCGTGATCAGAATGCCTATTTCAGTTGGATATGAGTGATCAGATGGTAGTATGTGTACCCATTGATGCCATACAAATTTTGTAGGAAGCTGGTAGAGAATTTGGTTTTAAAGAGGTCTGTGTTGGCCGGGCACGGTGGCTCACGCCTGTAATCCCAGCACTTTGGGAGGCCGAGGCAGGTGGATCACGAGGTCAGAAGTTTGAGACCAGCCTGGCCAAGATGTTGAAACCCCATCTCTACTAAAAATACAAAATTTAGCTGGGCACAGTGGCAGGCACCTGTAATCCCAGCTACTCGGGAGGCTGAGGCAGGGGAATCGCTTGAACCCAGGAGGTAGAGGTTGCAGTGAGCCGAGATTGAGCCATTACACTCCAGCCTGGGCAACAGAGCAAGACTCCATCTCAAAAAAAAAAAAAAAAAAAAGTCTAGGTTTGGGACCTGAACCTACAACTTACAGCCTCCTAGGCAAATAAGCAAATTACTTAACCTTGGTACACCTTAGTTAATCTGCAAAATAGTGATAATACTAATAACAATTTGTTTGGATTAAATAAAATAGTGCATGCAAAGCGCGTATCATATAGTGACCAGTAGCTGTCACTGTGACTAATCACTGGCTTGCCCTCTTCATGTCTAACCTTCTCAAAGGTGCAGTGCTACCCCTGGCGCTGGGTTTGGCTATCACTGCTCTGCTGCTTCTCATGGTTGCATGCCGACTACGACTGGTGAAACAGAAACTGAAAAAAGCTCGTCCCATTACATCTGAGGAATCGGACTACCTCATAAATGGGATGTATCTATAGTAATGTAATTTCAATACCTTGGGGCAGGGACATGTTTTGTTTATAATTTATACATCTATTAAGTTCTGGATATTTACAGCTTCTTTTGTTTTTAATTGGGCCAGAAGATTCTGCAAATCCCAAATCTTTCTTTATTATTTATTGTAAAAAAAGTTTCCTTAGAAGTCATAAAATATTTTGAAATTTAGAGAGGAATTCATGATTAAAGATTCCTAAAAATATAATTCTGATTTATGTAAGCTGTCCCTGAAAATAGAAATGTGTACTTAGCTGAGAGAAAATTCAGCATCTCAGGAGGTGGTATTAGGATGACTGTGTTAACCCATTACCTTTTAGAAGCCAACTGTTGGCCCCTTACCATGCTGGACTGCTATAGGCCCAGCTTCCCCTTGTTCTGTGGCCCTTTTCTTCCTCCTTGAAGCTCCCAGTATTCTTTTTCTTTTCCCCTCTAAACCTGTTTCTGAGAGTGGATCTCAAGCAAGTTCATGCCTTCAATCAGATGTTACTTAGGGTGGGTATACCTAAATTATAAACCTTATGTACAAGTCAGTAAGCCTTAGGGAAGGTGAGTGTGGGTCCTTCCTAATCCCTCTGACGTCATGTCATATAGGTGGCTGCCTCCTTAGACTGACCTTTGGGAGAAAAAAACCCCAGACTTTGAATTAGTAACAGCTCTAAGATGGTCATGCAGTGAGATAGGAAATCAAGATGGAAGCAGAGAATCTGGCATGCCAAAAACTAACAGAAACTTAGTTGAAGGCAAAGAGAGCAAGGAGAACGTTTAATACTTCATTACATCAAATCAACACTGCTCCATGGTGAGAGCACAGCAACTCATTTATATATATATATATAGGCTTTGTTGATGAAAAACGACAATTGAAGAGAGGACGTTGAGTGGATTCCTGGGTACAGCTTTTGTAAAAATGTCACCATGGCTTTCATCCAATGGAATGAGTCGATGTTTTTTAATGCTATAAAATGTTAGAATGTGCCATCAGCTAATGCCAGGCTTACGTATTTCTAGACCATAAAGCAGTTTTTCACAAATTCATCTTTACAGAAAACCAGCATCTAGCTTAGCATCTTTCCCCTTTTAATTTGTAGGCTTTTAAAGGCAAATCATTCCCACCATCACTTAACGCCGGGATTATACACATTCTAGAAATGATTCTGAGAGGAGTGTATAGTATGGTGCCTATCTACACTCACATGATATTCTTATTCACGTTTTTTTTAACCATAAGTGGCAAATATTTTAAAATATTTGAAAAACACTCCAGAATCTAGTACGCTTTATTTTTAGACTGAACCTAAAGTAGGTTGTTCTTTTAACAAAGGGTTTAATTCGGGTGGGGAATATAACATATCAAAATACATGAACAAATGGAAAGTTACTTCTAGAAAAGCAAAGAAATTGGGTATCATTTTTGTTTCTTGGGAAGCTAATTTTGTTGAATGTTTAGAATTGAGCAAAGATGTAAATTTTTGAAGGGCAGTTTAGAAAAATTAACTTTGTGAATGAACTTAAGATGTCTGTACTCTATATGTGATGCTGTGCAGTTTGTTTTTATATGGAAAGATGTCAACTATAGCCATAACCAATAAAATAAAAACTGATGAGGCATGCAGCTTTCAGCACATCTTTTATACATGAAGAAATTAATTTTGTGTTGCTATGGTGTTGAAATATCCAAGATGTTCTGTATCTATGTAAACATGATTCCTTTAATAAATTGTATTTTATTATTAAGCCTTTTTTTCCTTTTAATATAATCATAAGTTGCTATTATTGACTGAGCTGTTACTGCATTATTTGGATTCAATCATACCAACCCTATTTTACAACGGGGGAAATTGAGTATTAGAGAAAGTGACATGCCCAGGGCCACATAAAGCATACTCGAGGGAAGGAGAATCAAGGTCTACAAAATATTTATATCAGGTAGACTGAATGTGACTTTTAAAAGTGATCTTCTTACCTGTAGATTATCTGATTGAAGGAGTTCTGCATCTAAGACAATGGAAACATAATTTTAAAGGGAAAGGTGTCCACAATTTCTCTCTTAAACATGTTCTTGTGTTTTACATGTCTTTTCCTAAGGCTCACTAACTCCTCCTGAACACTTAAAACTTACTTTTTCCTTTCATTCTTAGTAGATAGCAGCTACTCCTCCAGCCTTCCACAGCATTTTACTGTTTCAAATCAGCTGAGTACCCAATACATTCTCTTCCATAGGAAAATAACAGGATTTTTTTCATCTTGCTCCCAATGACTTCAAAACCTGTGTTCTGGCCCCACAACTCAGTGCCACTCAGCAACACCTCTCTTCAGTTACTGATGGCTGTTCACATGGCCCTTTACTAGATTTTCCTTTGACCCACACATAGAGATGCTCTTTTTCTTTTTTTGGGACCGAGTCTCACTCTGTTGCCCAGGCTGTAGTGCAGTGGCATGATCTCACCTCAGCTCACTGCAACCTCCGCCTCACAGGTTCAAGCAGTTCTCGTGCCTCAGCCTCCGATTAGCTGGGACTACAGGTGTGCGCCACCATGCCCAGCTAATTTTTGTATTTTTTTTAGTAGAGATGGGGTTTCACCATGTTGGCCAGGCTGGTCTCAAGCTCCTGACCTCAGATGATCCACCCGCCTCGGCCTCCCAAAATGCTGGGATTACAGGCGTGAGCCACCATGCCTGGCCGAGATGCATATTTCTATTTCCCTTTCCATTTTGCTGTTCAAGGCCAACTCTGTTGATTACTTCACCTGTGTAAACAAACAGGTGTGCTGTGCCCCAGAACACAAGCCACCATCCTTACCTTCAGATGTTCCCTCAACATCATGTTGATGATGCCTCTTAACACAGCATCTGAGCCTGAGATTCCGTAATTTGGGCTCCTTGTTAAATTCAACTATAGCATCTCAAAACAATTTCATGTTTTGGCTTACTTTCTCAAAATGGATTATGCCACTTTATTCCTAGCAGAATTACTTTAATGTTTTGTTTTCTGGACTCCAGGTTTTCTACAACTTTTCAGATTAAAATTGAATGAGAATTTCTAACAAAGAACTGCCCAAGCTGAATACAAAGAGGGAGAAGCTTAGTTTGCAGTTTGCCATTCACAAATTTCTCGTCTCGTTGGCTTTTTAAGCATCTGTGTTGCAGACTTTTCTGTTCCTGTCCCCATTTTCCGACCTACTGGATTCTAGTATTCTAAAAATAAAATGAATATTTTAAGTTATAGCTACTTTAGTGGATAAACACAGATTCTCCAGCTAAATAGAAAACCACCAAGGACAAAAATAAGGTTCGACATCCCAAAGCTGAATGTTTTTGGGAATTGACTGGTTAGAACTGAGCCTTCTCCTATATTTCCCATATTTAGGTCTAAGCATATCTTCCTTCCTACTTATTTTAATTCTCAAATCACATCAGTTTTTAAAATCTTATGTCATCACCCTGCAAATTGGAAAGAGATCAATTTATAATATTATTCAGCTTAAATCCTTTTATGAAGTTATTTCAAAATTTAGGAAACTTCTCAAAATATTTTAATACAAAAATAATGTTAACTTTTACAAAAATAGCTTAGGGAAATTGGACCAGGTGCAGTGGATCATGCTTGTAATCCCAACACTTCGAGAGGCGAGGTGGGCAGATCGCCTGAGGTCAGGAGTTTGAGACCAGCCTGGCCAAAATGGTGAGACTAAAAATACAAAAATTACTAAAAATACAAAATTAGCTGGGCATGGTGGCAAGCCTGTAAAGCCCAGCTATTTGGGAGGCTGAAGTGGGAGAATCGCTTGAACCCAGGAGGTGGAGGTTGCAGTGAGCTGAGATTGTGCACTCCAGCATGGGCAACAGAGCAAGACTCCATCTCAAAAAAAAAAAAAAAAAAAAAAAAAAAAAAAAAGGCCACGCGCAGTGGCTCACACCTGTAATCCCAACACTTTGGGAGGCCGAGGTGGGCAGACCACGAGGTCAGGAGTTCGACACCAGCCTGGCCAACATAGTGAAACCCCGTCGCTACTAAAAAAAATTAGCTGGGCGTGCTGGCACACGCCTGTAGTCCCAGCTACTCGGGAGGCTGAGGTAGGAGAATCGCTTGAACCCAGGAGGCAGAGGCTGCAGCGAGCCAAGATAGTGCCACTGCACTCCAGCCCGGGCAACAGTGTGAGACTCCATCTCAAAAAAAAAAAAAAAAAAGCTCAGGAAAATAGTGTACGGGCTTTTTTTTTTAAAGGTGCTCTTTCATTTTCATAGTCATTTCATATGACCAAATACTCAAAATCCAAATGAATCAAAAGAGTTCTTACATATAAACAAAACAGTTCTACAGATGAAACTAGAGATCTTGATAAATCTGTAAATATATGATCTAGAGATTTGTGTATAGAAAAAGAAATCAGAACCATGAACTGCAATCTGTGAGACCACAGCTTTAACTTTTTTTCTGCCAGGGAGGTGGAAAGATGAGGAAAAACAGGGGGGTGAGAGGAGGGACAGACAGAAGCATGCCTCAGAGGTTCTGAGGGCCCCCTAGCACAGCACAGTACTATATGGGAACTGAAAGTTAGATTTTACTCTATTTTCTCTCCCAGCAAGCAAAGGGCCGTTTCACAGAGATTCCTGACTGAAACAACACAAAGTCAGTTAAAAAGATGAAGCTGGGGCTGGGCATGGTGGCTCACGCCTGTAATCCCAGCATTTTGGGAGGCTGAGGTGGGAGGATCACGAGGTCAAGAGATCGAGACCATCCTGGCCAACATGGTGAAACCCTGTCTCTACTAAAAATACAAAAATTAGCTGAGCATGGTGGCGCACGCCTGTAGTCCCAGCTACTTGGGAGGCTGAGGCAGGAGAATCACTTGAACCTGGCAGGCGGAGGTTGCAGTGAGCCGAGACTGCGCCACTGCACTCCAGCTTGGAGAAAGAGTGAGAGACTGTCTCAAAAAAAAAAAAAAAAAAAAAAAGCCAGAAAGATGAAGCCGGAAGTGGGGAACCAACAATCATTATTGTAGCAATGATATTAGAAGGATTAAGGATAAGGAAATTATTGGACTTGATTCCCTCTTTTTTGTTTTTTTTGAGAGAGTCTGGCTCTGTCGCCCAGGCTGGAGTGCAGTGGCGTGATCTCGGCTCATTGCAACCTCTGCCTCCTGGGTTCTAGTGATTCTCCTGTCTCAACCTCCCAAGTAGCTGGGATTACAGGCACCCACCACCACACCCGGCTAATTTTGTATTTTTAGTAGAGATGGGGTTTCGCCATGTTGGTCAGGCTGGTCTTGAACTCCTAACCTCAGGTGATCCACCCACCTCGGCCTCCCAAAGTGCTGGGATTAAAGGCGTGAGCCACCCCACCCGGCCTGATTTCCTTTTTATCATATTACAATACACAAACATTCCTTGGCCCCTTGGGTCAGCTGGTTTTCTTCAAGTGGGATTCTTTCACCAGCCCTCTATTTGAGCCACGTGCTAGGTTCAGTGAGAACACAACACTCATCTTTCTGGAAAATGGTCAGAGGAATCCAGAGATCCAACTGAAATCCAATCAGAACCCATTTGTTTTACTGTTCAGTTCTTTAAGAACACAATAAGTTGTAGGCAATGATTTATACCTAGAAGAATGTTAGCACTTACCTAAAATAATGTATTAGCCTCTGAACCCCATTTAGAACACTAAAAATAATCCATTAGTTCATTTACAATATTAGTGTTCAGTTACCATACTCATATATTTTAGTAAAATATCAAACTATTGAAAATTTGTTAACATTTAGCTGAAAACCAAAAATACCCACCTGGCTAATGAAACAAAACTAAGCAGCTGTTTCCTGGCTGACAATCACACACCAAGAATAGCTTCAAAAATTCATGAGCATTATTACTCAAAGATGTCAGTCTATTTTAGATCAATTGAATTTTTAAGATGCTTTAATAGAGGTACATTATATACCAATTTTAAAAGTTCAGTGGGCCAGGGACGGTGGCTCACGCCTGTAATCCCAACACTTTGGGAGGCCAAGGCAGGCAGATCCCAGGGTCAGGAGATGGAGACCATCTTGGCTAACCCAGTGAAACCCTGTATCTACTAAAAATACAAAAAATTAGCTGGGCATGGTGACGTGGAAGGCTGAGGCAGGAGAATCACTTGAACCCGGGAGGTAGAGGTTGCAGTGAGCCGAGATCGCACCACTGCACAGTGAACTTTTTTTGAACAATGGCAGTATTTAAAATTAGGGCAGTGGAATTTAAAACACTTGCATGAACAATGTTAATGGATTATTTTCCTCCCAGAATGTCATTTTCTTCTAATGTTATTGACTGGAAAAGAGTTGAAACCCTCGACCGGGTGTGGTGGCTCACACCTGTAATCCCAGCACTTTGGGAGGCTAAGGTGGGTGGATCACTTGAGGTCAGGAGTTCGAGACCAGCCTGACCAACATGGTGAAACCCCATCTCTACTAAAAAAATACAAAATTAGCCGGGTGTGGTGGCGTCTGCCTGTAATCTCAGCTACTTGGGAGGCTGAGGCAGAATTGCTTGAACCCCGGAGGTGACGGTTGCAGTAAGCTGAGATCACACCATTGCACTCAAAAAAAAGAAACCCTCAATAAAAAGCTGATATTCATAATTCAGGCTTAGATTATATAAGTGGTTTTTGTTTTAAGAGATAGGCTTCTTAGGTTTCTATTAGAAGGGTGGAGGAAAAGAGTTTTTAAAAAAGAGAGGGAGAGACTGAGTCTTACTCGTTGCCCAGGCTGGAGTGCAGTGGCATGATCATAGCTCACTATAGCTTTGCTCACTACAGCCTCGAACTCCTGGGCTCAAGCAATTCTCCTGCATCAGCCCCCCAAGTAGCTAGGACTACAGGAGCACATCACCATGCCTGGCTAATTTTTGTTTTTTTGTAGAGACAAGATGTCACTTTGTTGCTCAAGCTGGTCTTGAACTCCTGGCCTCAAGCAATCCTCCTCGCTCGGCCTCCCAAAGTGCTGAGATTGCAAGTTTGAGCCACCATGCCTGGGCAAGATTACATAAATTTTGAGAGCTTGATTTGGCCTTTAATAAAACCAAATCTGTAGAAAAAATCTCATTTCAACATGATCTCACTAGACTGAAACTTTTTGAAATGTTTTCATTGTTGCCCTTCATATTATGTAAAGGAATCATGTCTATTAAGGAAAATGACATAAGGAAATGTTTTAGAAATTATGAATACTAAAGATTAAGGAGACTTTTCTTGCCTGTAACCTGTACACACACACACACACACACACACACACATCTTACAGAAAAAAAAACTCTTAGGCCTAGCTAAAATCCATTATTTCCGTTTCTACCCATTTATTCATGCTCCCTTAAAGCCCATTCCTGTTTATTCAACATTCTACAATTTTAATTCATAAACATGTAAAGTCCAAGAGCAGTGCTTGAACAATGCTGAAGGCATAGCACTGTCTGTACTAATCAGGTGGCACTTAAGTTTGTCTTGTCATATTTATATAATTGTCTCCTCAAACAGACTTCACACTTTTGAGAGTAAGGGCCCTTTTCTATTCCCAAAACCAAACATAGAGACTCATATATAGTAAAATGTTGGTAATGGCTATGAAAGACACAGACCAGTGGATACATTTAAGAATTAACTTCAGTTGTAAGGAATATCTGACCTTGGCTGGGCGTGGTGGCTCACGCCTGTAATCCCAGCATTTTGGGAGGCCGAGGTGGGGGGATCACAAGGTCAGGAGATCGAGACCACCCTGGCTAACACAGTGAAACCCCATCTGTACTAAAAATACAAAAAATTAGCTGGCGTGGTGGCGGGCACCTGTAATCCCAGCTACTCTGGAGGCTGAGGCAGGAGAATGGCGTGAACCTGGGAGGCGGAGCTTGCAGTGAGCCGAGATCGCGCCACTGCACTCCAGCCTGGGCGACAGAGCGAGACTCCGTCTCAAAAAATAAAAAATAAAAAAAAAAAGAATATTTGACCTTTACAACTATTTAAAATGGACTAGTCCTGGACCACAGGGATTCATGGCCTGAGTATGGAAGCAATTAACAGCAGCAAACTGAAGCCAACAATAAATTTAAACTCTCAAGTTTTGGGCACCAAATAATGCTAGTTTCCTGTGTCTAAGACCTTACCCAAGAAGAGGCACTTGTGAAAAGATGCATCAGTTTTAAAAGCCATTTTATTTATTTATTTATTTATTGAGAGAGTTTCACTCGTCACCCAGGCTGAAGTGCAATGGCGCGATCTTGGCTCACTGCAACCTCTGCCTCCCTGGTTCAAGCAGTTCTCCTGCCTCAGCTTCCCAAGTAGCTGGGATTACAGGTGTGTGCCACCATGCCCAGCTAATTTTTGTATTTTTAGTAGAGAGGGGTAGAGAGGGGATTTCATCATGTTGGCCAGGCTGGTCTTGAACTCCTGACCTCAGGTGATCTGCCCATCTCAGCCTCCCAAAGTGCTGGGATTACAGGCGTGAGCCACCGCACCCAGCCTAAAAGCCATTTGTAAAGAAGTAATATTTAAGACTTTTTTCAAGAGCTGGGGGGAGTGTTCACATGCCCACGAAGGTTCTTTGCCAGAATTACGCACCCACACATGCACCCAGTAGAAGGGCTTTGCTGGGAGTGCTGATTCTGCTCATTCTGGAGCTTATATTTCCTCAGTTCCAGAACTACTTCTTATAAAAGTTATAAATCACAACATTTAAATAAGATCCCAAAGTGCTACTGCCTTCTTAGAAATTCAGCTATAGTCATTATATTAATAAATCTTTGTATAGGTGAGAGATGGGTTTTGGTCTGTTCACCCTCAATCCTGTTCTTTCCTGACTTTAAGTCGATTCATTCACCACTCACTCACTCACCAGCATTTACTGTATAGCTACTACAGGGCAAGCCCTGGGCTAGGGAGTCAAAGAGAAATGACGACTGAAGTACGGTCCTGGCCCTGGAGCAGTGTAGTCACATTCTACAATGTACAGTTGGATTAATGCTAATTACTTACTCAGACTTCGCAAAAGGAAACAACCAGAGAAACAGTCTTTTTCCCATGATCGTAAACACTCCCTATCTGGTGGACTTGCTGTTCTTCCTTCTATATTCAAAAACAACCAATGCCTCTTTTACTTTTAACTTTATTTGGCAAAGCAGCACTGCATAAACTGTTCAAGAACTAGGACACAGCTTACACAGCATGTTAAGTTCATATACATTATCAGCAGCAAATTAGAAACAGAAAACCACACTAAACTACAAGTCTCCTATAATTTTGAGAGAGAGAGAAGGGAAGAACTAAGTCAGTTATGTCCAATCTGAACAGCTGAGTGTTTACAGGACATCACCTGCCATCTTATGGTTTAATATTTACAAATGCCTAGTTTTAAGGTAACAAAGCAGCTGATTGTATCTACAACATGCTATTCTATGACACCACATCAAAAGCTTTAAAAAGAAAGCTCATCTCTATTTTCTTAGTAGCATCTAACAGATATCCAAATACCAAGAATCTTAACTTGTGAATGGTGGTGTTATCCAATGCACAAAAGCAATCTGATAAATTAATATCAGAACAGAATTAAGTGTCCAAGAAAAGAAAAACCACTCCTCAAAATCAATTCACAAACTAAGTTTTCCATTTTACAGAACCCTTTCTTTTAATATTTCCAAGTAAAATATGGGCATGTTAAAGTAATATTACACAAATTTATACTTTGCATCCTTCCTCTACCAATTTGGCTCTGTGCCTCTTTGAAGAATCAGAAACCCTAAAAAAACACACATTTTCATGCTGAAAATAACAGTGTAACAAAGTCCAAAACAAGCTGTGATGGTGTTGGTTTTCAAAAAGCTTTGAGGACTGAGATGAGCAATCCACTGTAATTTTATACTGGTCAAGCTGATGTTGCTTTTACAATTCATCCCTGTGAGGAAAAAAGAGAGAAATACATTAGTAGGAGTTACACACTACCCAATTTGGCTTTATAATAGTTTAGACACAACTATTAAGTCAATAAAAATGCGCTGATCACCAAGCAATATATTTAAAAAATAAAAATGCAAACAACCCAAGTGAAAGCAACAGAGGGTCAGCCATTCCAAACATCTTCCATGCCACTCCAGAACCAAGTATGCAACCTAAAGGGCGTGAGTTCTTCATTTTTGATTTCTAAAAATAGATTTCTTCCTTCAATGTCAAAATTCAGAAAAAATATCTTTTAGATCTACGGTCATCTTTACACTATAGTAAAATGACAACTTAAGTGTTTTAGAGTTCAAATGAGTTGATAGTTACATTCACAAAATTGGACAGAAATGTGGTCTTTTGCTCAGAATGTCCACTAGCAATTGTGGAGTGGGTCAATCTCAACCCAAGCGCTCTGAGAGAAAAGGCATCATCTGTAGGTATAATATACCTGTCAGCTGATTTCATAAGGCAGCTTTATCAGCTCCAAAAGAAACCATTCACTCAGCCAGGTGCAGCACTGTACCAGCAACTGCCAGTGAGAGGAAGGAAGGAATAAAAATGCAGTCTAAAATAAACTGTATGGTATCTCAGTTATACCTCAGTAAAACTGTTAAAAGTGAAAAAATGAATAAAACCACGAGAGAAGCCCACAAGCCTCATAGCTGAAGGTAATGTGAGTGACAAAAACAAGAACTTTAGGGGTAAAGAAGCATGATATTGATAATTAAGTCTCAAGTGGTTTAAGAAAAAGGAAAAAAATTACATATATGTATATATAGAAAGAGGGGAAAGAAATGTAGAAAAATGATAATAATTGATGACTCTGGATGAAGAGATTTAGGAGTTATTTGTACTATCCTAGCAACTTGTTGGCAATAAAAATTAAAGTTAAAAGTTTTGAAAAAGTTGTTAAGATAAATTTGAAGGGAAGAAGAAATAAAGAGCTCATAATTTCACAAGTAAGTGGGGGTAAATTACTGGACAATTTTTTTAAACTAAATTTTGTAAATTGTGCAAGAAAATATTTTTAAAATCATTTCTCCAATAAGCTGCCTTTATCCTATAGTATTGGATTATCTATTAAATGACAAATCATAAGTCTGCTTCCTCTTAATATATTCTTCCAAATAACAATGTTATAATTCTCATAGAACAGCTTTTACTTAACTCATGCAGGCATTAAAATATTTGGTCAACAAAGAATTATTTGCAAAGTGCTCTATTCATAAAGTAAAATTCACTTCTGCTTTTTAGAATATGAACTGAAGATATTGTTTTTCTTGTTTTGGCTTTTTTTTTTTTTTTTTTTTTTTGAGACAGAGTCTCGCTCTGTCACCTAGGCTGGAGTGCAGTGGTGTGATCATGGCTCACTGCAACCTCTGCCTCCCAGGTTCCAGCAATTCTCCTGCCTCAGCCTCCCGAGTCGCTGGGATTACAGGCAGGCACCACCATACCCGGCTAAATTTTTTTTGTATTATTAGTAGAGACAGGGTTTCACCACGTTGCTCAGGCTGGTCTCGAACTCCTGACCTCAAGTGATCTGCCCACCTCAGCCTCCCAAAGTGCTGGGATTACAGGTGTGAGCCACCATGCCCAAGCCAAAGATATTGTTATTTTTAAATAATTTACTACAATTTGCCAGGGGCAGTGGCTCACACCTGTAATCCCAGCACTTTGGGAGGCCAAGGCGGGCGGATCATGAGGTCAGGAGATCGAGACCATCCTGGCTAACATGGTGAAACCTCGTCTCTACTAAAAATACAAATAATTAGCCGGGTGTGGTGGCATGCACCTGTAATCCTAGCTATTCGGGAGGCTGAGGCAGGAGAATCGCTTAAACCAGGGAGGCGGAGGTTGCAGCAAGCTGAGATCACGCCACTGCACTCCAGCCTGAGCGACAGAGCGAGACTCCATCTCAGAAAACAATAATAATAATAATAATTTACTACAATTTACCTGCTGCAAGACATTAAGTATACTGTAAATAAATTAATGCCCCCTCAACAACATAGGTACCATTTTTCCAACTATCCTCTCTGTCTAAAAAATACTTTAAAAAAGGAAAAGAAATTAGGTTTATAGACCTGAATTTTAAAATTAGAGGTGCTAGGGAAAAACAAAAACTTGCTGCCAGCGCGTGCACAATTTTTTAAAAGCCTAATACTCTAAAATCCATGTAACTTTCAAGTTATTAAATTTTCCCCAATGTTCAAAATTCTGTATGACCATTTCTTTATCTGACTTACATGTATAGATCATTTACAATAAAAAATAGTATGTACTAAATTTTTAGAAAGGCTCTTTAAAATTGCTATATACTATGCTAAATATATTCATTAGGTTAATAACTGTATATATTTCTACTAGTATATAATTATACATAATTTAATTATTTATTAGATTTTATTAACTCTATGATACTAACATTTAGTCTTATACATTCTTTACCAAGAATAAATGAAAAGATATACTATAAGGAAACAACAATCAAAATCCATGAACGTTTTCTAATAATTTCATGGATCTTCCAAGGTAATAAAAGTGTTGTACAATTTGCTTTGTACGAAGCACTATGAGAGACAAAAAGAATTCCAAAAGTAACAGAATATATCCCTGCTTTTAAGGATGTAATGTATGTCACAATACTGGAACATATGTAAAGAGATTAAAAAGGAACAATATAGAATATGGAACACGGGATCAATTGGATCCCTTAGCACCAATACTGTCAGTCTTGGAAATGCAGTCAATTCCTAACATCTTTTTCATAGATGCAAGGCACTTTAAGAAGACATCAATAAACAAAGAGCTTATGGAATAATAAACTTGAACATTCCTCAGTTTCACAAACTAAAGATGGACCAATTACACTAACTCTTGTGACTACTAAAAACAAAAATAGTCTGGGTGTGGTGGCTCACACCTGTAATTCCAGCAGTTTTGGAGGCTGAGGCGGGTGGATCACTTGATGTCAGGAGTTTGAGACCAGCCTGGTCAACACAGTGAAACCCCGTCTCTACTAAAAATACAAAAATTAGCCGGGCCTCGTGGTGCGTGCCTGTAGTCCCAGCTATGCGGGAGGCTGAGGCAGGAGAATCACTTGAACCCAGGAGGCGGAGGTGCAGTGAGCCAAGATCGCATCACTGCACTCCAGCCTGGGTGACAGAGCAAGACTCTGTCTCAAAAATATCTATAAATAAATAAAAATAAAACTTTTACCAGAAGATTAACAAAATATTTTTACATATAAATTATTTATTTAAAATAAAATAATACTTAAGAACTATTAACTTTCTGTAGCAACTAATACAACTATTACATGTCCATAGTCATGAACACAATTCCACAGATTCTAGGTCTCTGGCCTATAGATCTGGCATTGTCTCCCCTTCTATTAATCCACCAAAATTACAAGTGACATCTTTCCAAGTGTAAAAAGACTCAAGTCTACATTCAAGTTTGGATCTTTACTTGGTACTAGAATTCCACATGTCCACTAATTCTCATTTTTAAAAATACAGTTTCTGCCACATCGCCTCAGCAAAAATGGGATCTCACCCTCATCAGAGCACCGCAATTAGCTCTGGATTATTCCTCAGTAAGAAAGGTGGAAAGCTGGTGAGACACAAGAGAAGGTTCCTAGGAAAGTATTATAATGAGTTAAAGTAATCCTGAAGAAAGTTTGAGGCTGGTGGCTCAAGCCTGTAATCCCAGCACTTTGGGAGGCTGAGGTGGGTGGAACGCTTGAGCTCAGGAGTCCGAGACCAGCCTGGGCAACATGGCAAAACCCCTTGTCTACAAAAAAAACAAGAAAATCAGCTGAGTATGGTGGCACACCCTGTGGTCCCAGCTACTCAGAAGGCTGAGGCAGGGGGGATCGCTTGAGCCCAGGAGGTTGAGGCTGCAGTGAGCAGAGATCATGCCACTGCACTCCAGCCTGGGTGACAGAGAGAGACTGTATCAAAACAAAACAAAATAAAACAAAACAAAAACAAAAACGGAAAGTTTGAAAGAACAGAAATCACGTAGCCTGGCAAGAAGTTGACTAGGGAACTTTTTAGATGATAATTCCCAGAAAACAGTGACAGTATTTTAGATGTAGCTATCCACCCACTTCTCTCTATCCTTACTAACACTGCCTTAATGCAGACCATCATTTCATCCTTGAATTGCTATAACCACTTCCTGTTTCTGACTCGACTTTTGTCCCTTCCCAGGCTAGTCTCTACATAACAGCTAGAGTTATCTTTCTGAAATGTAATTCTGACCACTTCAATGCCTGGCTCCCTACCGCGAGTCTGAACACTACCCTATAACTGCCTATTCATCTTGGTCTTTGCATCTCCTACGTTACTGTAAGCTCCATGAGAGCAGTCAGTTTCAAATTCACAGCTGATGACTCCTGGCACCTAGTACAGTGCCTGGCCTAGTTGGCATATGCATATTGGTTGAATTCACGAATAATATTAAGAAGATCCTCACGCTGAAAAATATTTAGCAACTGAACAAATGGCCAAAGAAAAGCATCTACAACAGAAAAATTAGAAAGTCCTCCTGGTACACCTGGAGAAATTTTTTTTTTTTCTGATAGTGCGAACATGTAAGTTTGCTCAATTTTTTTTTTTTTTTTTTGAGACAGAGTCTTACTCTGTCGCCAGGTTAGAGTACAGTGGCACAATGTAGGCTCAATGCAACCTCCACCTCCCAGGTTCAAGTGATTCTCCTGCCTCAGCCTCCCGAGTAGCTGGAATTACAGGTGCCTGCCACCACGCCCAGCTAATTTTTGTATTGTTTTTTTAGTAGAGATGGAGTTTCACCATGTTGGCCAGGATGGTCTCGATCTCCTGACCTCGTGATCCGCCCGCCTCAGCCTCCCAAAGTGCTGGGATTACAGGCGTGAGCCACTGTGCCCAGCCTAAATTTGTTCAATTTTTAAAAAACTTTGAAGGTCAAAAAGAAAACCAGGTATACATTTTTTGAGACGGAGTCTCGCTCTGTTGCCCAGGCTGGAGTGCAATGGCGCGATCTCAGCTCACTGCAAGCTCGGCCTCCCAGGTTCACGCCATTCTCCTGCTTCAGCCTCCCGAGTAGCTGGGACTAGAGGTACCTGCCACCACGCCCGGCTAATTTTTTTGTATTTTTAGGAGAGACGGGGTTTCGCCATGTTACCCAGGATGGTCTCGATCTCCTGACCTTGTGATCTGCCCGCCTTGGCCTCCCAAAGTGCTGGGATTACAGGCGTGAGCCACTGCGCCCAGCCTAAAAGCAGGTATACATTTAATGTTTAGCAGATGACTAATTGTCCATAAATTTAAAAATTATTCTAAATATATTTTTTAAAGATAAGGTCTTGCTCTGTTGCCCAGCCTGGAATGCTGTGGTGATCACAGCTCACTGCCGCTTCTGGGCTTAAGTGATCCTCTTATCTCAGCCTCCCAAGTAGCCAGAACTAGAGGTGCACACCACTACGCCTGGCTAGTTCTTAAATTTTTAGTAGATACGAGGTCTCACTATGTTTCCCAGGCTTCTCTTGAACTTCTGGCCTCAAGTGATCCTCCCACCTCAACCTCCCAAAGCATTGGGATTACAGGCATAAGCCACCATACCTGGCCCTATTTTAAATTTCTTAATACAAATAGTTTGGTTTTATCAAAGGTGGATTCAGGTTTTGTGGGGGCCTAAGGTTTATATAATTAGAAAACAGGGGAACCTTTTTATGAAGTTAAAAAAAAAATCAGTAAGACTATGCATAATATAAAATTAAGAACAGGGCCAGGCATGGTGGCTGACACCTGTAATCCTAGCACTTTGGGAGGCCGAGGCGGGCAGATCACCTGAGGTCAGGAGTTCGAGACCAGCCTGGCCAACATGGTGAAACCCCTTCTCTACTAAAAATACAAAATTTAGCTGGGCGCCTATACTCTCAGCTACTTGGGAAGCTGAGGCAGGAGAATTGCTTGAACCTGGGAGACGGAGGTTGTAGTGAGCTGAGATTGCACCACTGCTCTACACAGCCTGGGTAACAGAGCAGGACTCCGTCTCAAAAAAAACACTTTTTTAAATTAAATTAAATTAAGAACAGGGTCAGAGAAAACCTAGACAAGCAAGGGCTCTGCAGCTTCAGCTTTGTTAGCTTCACAGTAAATCTACCTCTAGTCATAAAAACAAAATTCCCTTTTTATAATTCCTTCATAATTATAAATTATAAATTATAGGCAAGATGTTCAACACTAATATTTATTGTATATAAAAAGAAAAATTTCTAAGTTGCTAATGAAAATCAACTCTTCTTATCAAATTTCAGTAATTTCAGTAACATATTTGCCCCTTTTATACTACAATAATCTCACAATTATGTAATTGTATAAACCATACTAGAAGCAAAGTGAAGGAAGGTTTTAGTTAGTTGTTAATAACTACATCTGATTCCAGTTGAAAAAACCAGTAATTTTTTAAATGCCTTTTTAATTTTTTTTTTTTTTTTTTTTTTTGAGACAGAGTCTCGCTCTGTCACCCAGGCTAGAAGGCAGTAGTGTGATCTCGACTCACTGCAACCTCTGCCTCCTGGGTTCAAACAATTCTCCTGCCTCAGCCTCCTGAGTGCCTGGGACTACAGATGCAAGCCAACATGCCCAGCTAATTTTTGTGTTTTTAGTAGAGACAGGGTTTCACCATGTTGGCCAGGCTGGTCTCAAACTCCTGACTTAAGATGATTGGCTCACCTCAGCCTCCCAAAATGCCTGGACTAAAATGCTTTTTTTTTTTTTTTTTTTTCCAGTGGCTGTGCTCCACGTATAATTCACAGAAAATAGCTATTGGTGAAGAATAAAAACAACATTGAGAGATCTATTAAACTTATTATCACCCCTTTTACTTATTAAGAAACTAATTATTTTAAAATAAGAATCTTTATGTCAAATAAAAATAAGATGCTAAGACAAGGAAACTGTAAAGCCGTTCTTGTTTTGGCATTTAATTTCAAGTAATTTGAGCTAATGGCACTGTTATGTACTGATGTCACTCTCTCTCATGGAAGGGAGTGGGAAGGGGAGGAAAAGAGAAATCTTGGCTTCAAACAAAATATTCAGATTATGCTGAGACATAAAACAAAAGTGGACATTCTTTATAAACCATGCTGTGCTGAAAGTTGCTGCATGCTGCTGACCCTCTGGGTGGGTTTGTGAGACCTGGGCACTCATTGGGTAACTTGTAGAATCCTTGCCTCTTCCTAGGAATTTAGCCAGAATAGCTTAAACAGTGGCTGGCCTATTCTATAGAATGGGGAGAAGGTGACTCTTAAACAAGGCTGAATGAAAAATAGGCATGGGCTGTCAGGTATCTATGATTTGGTTGAAACAGATAAACCAAGCTGAGAGGTAGAATGTCCTCTCTGGTATTCTGACATTTTAGAAAACTGAGACGACCGTTATCTTTCCCCTTCTTTCTCCTTGTTGGTACAATAAACAGGGCAGGAAATGATGGCCCCTTGTTTTTTTTTTTTTTTTTTTTTTTTTTTTTTGAGACAGAGCCTTGCTCTGTCTCCCAGGCTGGAGTGCAGTGTCAAAATCTCGGCCCACTGCAACCTCCGCCTCCAGGGTTTAAGCAATTCTCCTGGCTCAGCCTCCCGAGTAGCTGGGATTACAGGCCTGTGCCATCACGCCCAGCTGATTTTGTATTTTTAATAGAGACGGGGTTTCACCATGTTGGCCAGGCTAGTCTCAAACTCCTGACCTCAAGTGATCCGCCCACCTAGGCCTCCCAAAGTGCTGGGATTACAGGCATGAGCCACTCCGCCTGGCCTCTTTTACAGACCAAACTCATTGTTTCCATGCCCATCCAGTGCTATAAAAATAATTTAAAAACATAAAAACAGAGTGGCTGATAATGAAGAAAAAATCCTTACAAAGTACTGAATTGAAGCTGAAAGTCTCTCTAAAAAAAAAACAAACAAACAAACAAAAAAAGCCTTTGTGCCAACCAAGTCTCACCCTCCCTTTCCCAAAGATATATATGTTAAACCAAAATAAGGGCAGACCATGCAACATTTTTCACATTTTTAATGTAATGAATTTCTGACGTTATAATGGAGGAGCATAAAGGTGACAACCAAAAACAGCTCTTGTAGTCTAATGTCTTAAAATCCACACCCTTTCACCTTGCATGTGTGGAAGAAGAAAGAGCAGAAGATAAAATCACTTCCACCTGGACCACTGCTTTTCTTTATCTGTTAAAGGCACGTATATCACCCCCATCAGAGGCTTCATTTTGATGCTGCCATCTTGTAGCTTGTCATACTGCTCCAACATTTGGTTTCCGCCTGCAGGACCAACAGGCAATATCAATCTTCCTCCGGGCTTTAACTGATCTATTAGCTAAAAGAAAAAAAAAAAAGCACATACATCACCAAGTTACAGATTTTATTTTATTTTATTTATTTATTTTTGAGACAGGGTCTCACTCTGTCGCCCAGGCTGGAGTGCAATGACACGATCTCAGCTCACTGCAACCTCTGCCTCCCAGGTTCAAGTGATTCTCCTGCCTCAGTCTCCCAAGTAGCTGGGACTACAGGCACACGCCACCATGCCCAGCTAATTTTTGTATTTTTAGTAGAGACAAGGTTTCACCATATTGGCCACACTGGTCTCGAACTCCTAACCTCAAGTACTCCACCCACCTCGGCTTCCCAAAGTGCTTGGATTACAGGCGTGAGCTACTGTGCCCGGCCCAGATTTTATATTAATAGTCATTTGACATCATTATAAACAACTTTTAGTGTCCATAGGCAGAAAGCAGAAACGTTCTTTATTTAGTATATACAAATTAAGGCCAGACACGGTGGCTCACGCCTGTGATCCCAGCACTTTGGGAGGCCAAGGTGGGCAGATCACTTGAGGTCAAGAGTTCAAGACCAGCCTGGCCAACACAGTGAAACTCCAACTCTACTAAAAAAGTACAAAATTAGCCAGGCATGGTGTCAGATGCCTGTAGTCCTATCTACTTGGGAGGCTGAGGCAGGAGAATTGCTTGAACCCAGAGATGGAGGCTGCAGTTAGCCAAGATCACGCCACCACACTCCAGCCTGGGTGACAGAGCGAGACTCCGTCTTAAAAATAAATACATAGTATATACAGGTTGAGCATCAATAATCTGAAAACCCGAAACTGGAAATGCTCCAAAATCCAAAACTCTGAACATCAACATGACACCACAAGTAGATAATTTCACACCTGACCTCATGTGGCAAGTCACAGTCAAAATGCAATCACAACTTTATTCCATGCACAAAATTATTTGAAATATTATACAAAATTACCTTCAGGCTATGTGTATAAGAGGTATAACATAAATGAGTTTTATGTTTAGACTTGGTCCCATTCCCAAGATATCTCATTATGTATATGTAAATATTCCAAAATGTGAAAAAATCTGAAAAAATCCAAAATCCAAAACACTTCTGGTCCCAAATATTTTGGAGAAGGGATACTCACCCTGTACATACTTTGATTGTTATATTATTACTCAACTATCAGCCTCCTCTATTAAACGACAAGCTCTTGAGGATGGGGACTGTGTCTTATTCATCTTTGTGTCTTTAGCATCTAACACAGTACCTGGTACAACTGTAGTGCTCAAAATGTTTGAACTGAACCAACTAATATAGAACTATCCTCTTGGCGGGCCAAAGGCAGAGCATAGAATTCTAATGCCTGTGTGCCTGTTTTGAATCTTTGTGGGTTTGAAGGAAGGAGGAGGGGAGGAGAGGAAGTGTAGAAAATCAGCAAGGAATCCCTATCCTATTATTGTAGAATCTAGGGCATCACTGAAGGGATAAGGGAACCCTAGTTATACGATTCAATTGAGGTTTACTGGTACCATAAGGAGGGAAGGTAGGGCTGGAGTCCCTGCAGTGTTAGAATGAGGACACTCCTGTCAATGAAGAACCAAGAGTACTCAATGGAAGCTCTTACAGTCAGAAAACTTTTAAATCATGTTACCATTTTCATATAGCTTTACGCATCACTATTAATAAAAAACATTAAAGAAGAAACCTTACTCTGGTTTTTTGTTTTGTTTTGTTTTTTGTTGTAGTTTTTTGTTGTTTTGAGACTGAGTCTCGCTCTGTCACCCAGGCTGGAGTGCAGTGGCACGATCTCGGCTCACTGCAACCTCCGCCTCCCAGGTTCAAGCAATTCTCATGCCTCAGCCTCCCAAGTAGCTGGGATTACAGGTGCCCACCACCGAGCCCGACTAATTTTTTTTGTATTTTTAATAGAGACGGGCTTTCAACATGTTGGCCAGGCTGGTCTCGAACTCCTAACCTCAAGTGATCCGCTCTCCTCGGCCTCTTAAAGTACTGGGATTACAGGCATGAGCCACCATGCCCAGCCAGAAACCTTACTTTGGATATTTATTACCTCAGGAAAGGGTGCCCTCAATCAAAGTTTTGGTTGTCTGCAAGTCTATCTTCTTGTTTTTCTCAATTTCAAGGCTTATAATGAAAAACAGCTGACTTCCTCTCCCTACCCCACCCTTGCTCTCTAAATCCAGTCATTTCAAATCCTTTTAGCTATGTCTTCTAGTATTTACCTTTATATTTCAAAACATACGCTAGATAAGGATTGAACTCCCTTAATCTACATTTTGCTTCCTTCCCCCAATCCAACCAATCATTTTTTATTAAAATCATTTCTAGTTATGACTGTGTAACTATGATTTGCTGCTGAGTCAAGAAGTATCCAATCATTGTTTCCTTTCCTCCTCTTGCTCCAAATCTGAGCTGGTTATTCTCCAGGCCTGCTGCACAGCTTCCATCCAGGCCCTTCCCTTTGTAACAATCCTGCAAACTTCCATGCCTCTGCCTGATTAAGATGCCCTATGTGGTTTCCTCTTTTGGTTTTTCCTACTATCTGTCTCTTCCCTCATTTCATTTTTGGATGACAAAAATGGCATTTTAATACATTAAATTTTAAGACATTTTAAGACATCTTAATCATTTAAGAAAGTTCCTTCAGAAGCATTTTGTGAAATAGTGCATGGAATGTATTAAAAGAAAGAGATGGAGATTTGCAAACCTAAAACTATCTTGGTGATGTGTGTGCATACAGAATTCGAGGTTGGAAATAATTTTCAACTCAGAATTTGATGGTTTGGTACTCTGACTTACGAATTCTAATGCTGTTTGCAGTCTGATGCCTTTCTGATTACCAGTCCTTAACAGGAGATCTGTTTTATTTTTCTAGAAGCTTTTATTTTTTTTAGAGACAGGGTCTTTCTCTGTCACCTCGGCTGGAATACAGTGGTGCAATCATGGTTCACTGAAATCTCAACTTCCTGGGCTCAAGCAATCCTCCCACCTCAGCCTCCCATGTAGCTGGGACTACAGGCACAGGCTGCCACATCTGGCTAATTTTAAAATTTTTTTGTACAGATGGGGTCTCGCTATGTTGCCCAGGCTGGTCTCAAACTCAGATCCTCAAGCGATCCTCCTTCCTTGGCCTCCCAAACTGCTGAGAAGTGTGAGCCACCACACCTGGCCTCTAGAGGCTTTCAGAATCTTCTCTTTATCCCCTAATATTCTGAATATAAATGATATGGTTGTTCTTTTTTCTTATTTTAAAAATTCTTTGTGTTAGAATTATGTCCATCAGTTTTTAGAAAATTTCTTACGTAGAGATTAGTGCTGATTATTCCTCATGCAGAGTCTCAAGCAGCATTCCCTCTTTTCAGACCCATGTTTTACCTATGATTTTCAAGGTCTTGATGCCACCAATTCCTAAGCCTTTTCAGAGTTTTGCAGTGCAAACTGCGTATGCATAATATTTCACTCTGTAGTCTCTTTAGTTTCTACTTCCTCTACCCTCCTGGGTCAGCTATTATTCCATCTGCTTTCTATCTTCACACACTGTGGAGTTCAGGACTGCAGGTATAGTCTCCTAGTTAATTGAGTATGGAGTTTATGCTTCTGTTTTTCTGGTTATCTTGGGGTGATATCCAAAAGAAGGCATAAACATCTTCATTCTGCTATCTTAAAACTGGAAAGCCCCTTCAGTACATCTATCTTAAATCAGATGTATACATACCCCTATAATACTTGCAAGTATTACTACAATATTTAAATTCAATTTAATTAAATCTAGAAATATCTTTCAAGATCACTTCAGGGTCCCAGTAGGGAGAAATGGGCCCTGCACCCACCCGCCTCATTTAAGCACAGTTCTATTTCAGATTTTAACTGTTCACTCTAGGTTATCAATATTTTTTTTGAAAAGTTAAAAACCCATTGGTCATGTGTTCAAATTCATTGAGCTGTTCGTTTATGACTTGTAAAATTTTCTACATTATATTAATACTTCAGTTAAAATGTGTAAAACCACCAGTTCAATCTACCTTTTTTTTTTTTTTTGAGACAGGGTCTCACTTTGTCACCCAGGCTGGAATGCAGTAGTACAAGCATGGCTCACTGCAGCCTCAACCTGTCAGGCTCACGCAATCCAAGCTATCCTCCCACCTCAGCCTCTTGAGTAGCTGGGACTACAAGTGCCTGCCACATCTAATTTTTTGTATTTTTTGTAGAGATGGAGTTTTGCCATGTTGCCCAGGCTGGTCTCGAACTTCTGAGCGCAAGTGATTCATCTGCCTTAGCCTCCCAAAGTGCTGGGATTACAGGCGTGAGCTACTTTTTTTTTTTAAACAGATAATCAACAGGGCCAAAGCAATTAAGTCATTTTCCCAGTCACTTGGCCAATAAGCAGCAAGTCAATGACCAGAACAAATTATACAACTTTCATCTTCCCATAACTGATCTAAGCCTACCAAAAAAACGGATGAGACTAGACAGAAGAAACAGTGTCACCTTCATCCCCGGTCATCTAGTCAAGAACTACGCAAAAGCCATATGTAACAGAAATCTAGGACCACAGGCTACAGTGCCATGGCACAAACATGGCTCAATGCAGCCTCAACAGCTTGGGCTCAAGCAATTCTCCCACCTCAGCCTCCAGAGTAGCTGGGGCTACAGGCATATGCGCCACTGTGCCTGGCTAATTTTTTTTTTAAACAGGGTCTTGCCATGTTACTCAGACTGGTCTCAAACTCCTAGGCTCAAGCAATCCTCCCACCTTGGCCTCCCAAGGTGCTGGGGTTACATGCATGAGCCACCATGCCCGGCCATATATCCTACTATTCTTTAAGATTCAGTTCAAGTTCCATCCGTGTGTGATGTCTCCTTGACCACTCACTGCACAATTCTCTCCCTCATATGCATATTTTATTTTCCTTCCAATAGATATCCTGTGTTAATTATATGTTATCATATCGCTAATTTCCCAGTTACATATATGACATATCTCTTCTAGAATACAAGCTTTGTGAGAATATAATGTATGGCAAATACTTTCTCATATCTCCCATACACCAAATACAGCCTTACATATTCTGCTATTTAAAAAACATCAAACTGGCCGGGTGCAGTGGCTCACACCTGTAATCCCAGCACTTTCGGAGGCTGAGGCGGGCAGATCACCCGAGGTCAGGAGTTCGAGACCAGCCTGGCCAACATGGTGAAACCCCGTCTCTACTAAAAATACAAAAATTAGCTGGGCGTGGTGGCGGGCGCCTGTTATCCCAGCTACTCGGGAGGCTAAGGCAGGAGAATCACTTGAACCCGGGAGGCGGAGGTTGCAGTGAGCTGAAATTGGGCCACTGCACTCCAGCCTGGGTGACAAGAGCAAAACTCCACCTCAAAAACAAAAAACAAAAAACAAAAAACAAACAAACAAAAAAAACCTGATTATCAGGTCATAAACTCCAGAGGGATTTTCCCAATTCTACTGTTGTCCTAGTTCTTACCTGGATCAAATATGAGCGCCACAAACTGGGGTTTAGTAATTTTCATGTCATTTATACAATTGTTTGCATATGAAAAAAGAAAAGAGTAACAGCTAAATGTAACCAAAATGTATGATATAAAAGTCTAATTATATTTTGAACATCATCTAGAAGTCTTTTCTATTTAAGTCTTGTAGAGTTTTAGTTGAATAAAAACACACAAACAGAAAAAATCCCGACTCACCGCCTGGGGTACAACAGGGGCTGCAGCTCCCACATGAATGGCATCATAAGGGGCTTCTTCAGCATATCCCATTCTTCCATCCCCCACTGAAAGAAAAACAGCTATGCTTTAAAAACCTGTTTAGATCAAACTTAATGTGAAGAATTCTAGTACAGGAGGTTTACAATGGAGAAAGGATAGATTTTTCAATAAATGATCCTGGGACAACTGGATATTCACTTTTTTGCTGTTTTTAACTCATTTTATTTTATTTTTTGTTTGGTCAGAAACATTAAAACAATGGAATTTTATTTTGATGAAAAACTGGAGTTAACAATCATTTAGTAAATGAAAAGCGCTTCATTTTCCTATCTCACAACTCTTTTTTTTGAACTCCTGACCTCAGGTGATCCACCCGCCTCAGCCTCCCAAAGTGCTGGGTTTACAGGTGTGAGACACTGCGCCCAGCCTCTATCCCACAACTCTTAAGAACGAAAGCATTAGTAAATAAATATCTGTGAACAGATTAAGGATAAGGCAGACTGGATAATAAACCACCTCTGACGTTCACACTCCCTGCACGTGACTCACTCTAAAGCATGAAACGGCACTGGAGATAACGGAACTGAAAAGTTCTGTTTTAAATCTCATCCTAATCATTCAAATAAGCCCAAGATAAATATTTTTTGCTCCTTATGGGCAGCAAACTATATGAATTTTACTGGAGGAATACTTTGGCAGCAGCACCTATTTAAGTTAACTTAAGATATAGTACCTTAATAGTACTACATTCAAAAGACATACATAGATAGTCCCATGCTTCTCTCAATTCAGGAACAGTTATGCCATCAGGACAACAGGTAATTCCTATTTTATAGTAATCCAGAATAGATTGAAACACAGTGGAACCAATTCCCTCTGCTACTTCATACTCTCCTTTCTCATTGGGTTGTGTAAAGTTGTGTTCTCGGCCAGATCCAAACAAACATCCTGCCCAACACTGTATTTGGCTGTGCAGTAGAAACGGATGGGTCTACAACAAATATAGTGTTACTCACTATTGGTGCTATTTGTTCTTATGTTCTTATATTCAGAGCTCCTTCTTTTGCATTCTCAAATACAAACACCATCTCCCCAGATATCTTAACAGCTATTATCTAAACTTGACTGACTAGTGTTTCTACTGCTGTTCCCAGTACTGCTAATGGAACCATCTGGAGAGGCTTTTGGAGAACAAGGACTGCTTGGACGAGAGGAACTGTGATCTTTTTCTCATGCAACATGGCGCTGTCGTGTTGGAGAAGTTAACATTTCTTTTTTTTTTTTTTGAGACGAAGTCTCGCTCTTGTCTGCCAGGCTAGAGTGCAATGGCGTGATCTCAGCTCACTGCAACCTCCGCCTCCCAGGTTCAAGCGATTCTCCTGCCTCAGCCTCCTGAGTAGCTAGGATTACAGGTGCCTGCCACCATGCCTGGCTTATTTCTGTATTTTTAGTAGAGACGGGGTTTCACCATGTTGGCCAGGCTGGTCTCGAACTCCTGACAAGTGATCCGCCCGCCTTGGCCTCCCAAAGTGCTGGGATTACAGGCATGAGCCACCACATCCAGCCAGAGAAGAAACGTTTCTAATACAAGAAGTGAGTTGAGACTCTGTTCTTTCATGAGATGAATCCCGTGATCTGTCACTTGACCTTCGTCTATCTCTTGATCTCTCATGTCCCTCACTGGCAACATGAGACTCATTTTGGTGTGGTTTACTCCTGTATTCCCCTTTCAGTGTCCACACAGGATCAGGGCAAAGGCCAAGGCAAGCAACACCTCCACTTCCTCCTCAGCCAGATCCCTCTAGGGGATGGCTGTGGCTACTAGAGCTGCCCGGGCCTTTATTTTATTTTATTTGTTTTTTTGAGACGGACTCTAGCTCTGTCGCCAGACTGTAGTTCAGTGGTGCGATCTCAGCTTACTGCAACCTCCACCTCTCGGGTTCAAGCGATTCTCCTGCCTCAGCCTCCCGAGTAGCTAGGACTACAGGCGTGCGCCACCACGCCCAGCTTATTTTTGTATTTTTAGTAGAGACGGAGTTTCACCATGTTGGTCAGGCTGGTCTCAAACTCTTGACCTCATGATCTGCCCACCTCAGCCTCCCAAAGTGCTGGGATTACAGGTGTGAGCCACCGCTCCTGGCCAATATTTTATCTTTTAAACAAAACTGAGTGTGTCTGGGGAATACAACTGGATATTCATACACAAAAACATATAACTGCACCTTTACCTCACACATACACAAAAACCAACATCAGGAAGATCAAAAACCTAAACATGAAAAGCTAAAAATGATAAAGGTTCTAAGAAATAATAAGAGACATATCTTCATGGTCTCAGAGTATCCTTAAAAAGGACACAGAAAGCACTGAAAAAAATTGGTAAGTCTGACTACATTAAAATTAAGAATTTCTATTATCAAAAGGGTACCAATAAGATGAAAAGGCACACCTCAGATGGGAGAAGAAATGTATTTATATATATAGACAAAGGGCTAGAAGCCCTGTAAGTCAAAAATACAAGCAATCCAATATCTGAACAGGTACTTCACAAAAGACAAAATCCTAATGGTCAGACACATTACAAAAAATTCAATCTCAGAGGTTAATAGGAAAATACAAAATTAAACTCACAAAGAGATGGCTGCAAAATACACACTAGGTGAGCAAAAATAATCGTTTTTATTTTTTAGTACTTAAAAGTGATTGTAAAAAAAAATACAATAATTACCTCTGAGTATTATTTAGCTTGCATTGGATCTTCTGAAAATAAAAATCCTCTGAAGAAATTTTTAAAGTTTTCTGATACTTACCAACAAGCTGTACTCTCCCTGAAGACAGAAGTGTTGGATCGTCCTTCCTGACATTATTTACTGAGTCATCTACTAGCTCTTTAATGTGATCAATTCCTATGACTTTTCCAGTACATCCAACCTGGAAAAGAGAAAACAATTCAGTAGCTCATTGGGCTAAATTTGTTTTTCTAAAGTATTATTGAAGTTTTTCCTTATCGAAAGTCATATTCTACAAAGAGAAAACAAAAATAGCTTAAGGCTTCTATAGATTGCTAAACACTCAGTTTATCATAAATTATTTACCATATATACAACTTTCTCAACTATCACTCTCATTGAATAAAACTTGTAATACTAAGAAAAATTATATCTTTCTTAGATTAAATCTAGAACTTTGAAGAAAATTACCAATATTTAATAGTAGTACAATAATTTTTTATTTAAATTCCATCTAAAGTATAACTTTAAATATTAAAATGTTACATAAAGAATTTGACAGGGAGGAATTTCTTTTTTTTTTTTTTTGAGAGAGAGTCTCGCTCTGTCACCCAGGCTGGAGTACAGTGGCACGATCTCAGCTCACTGCAACCTCTGCCTCCCAGGTTCAAGCAATTCTCCTGCCTCAGCCTCCTGAGTAGCTGGGACTACAGGCCCCCGCCACCATGCCCAGCTAATTTTTTTGTATTTTTAGTAGAGACAGGGTTTCACCACGTTGGTCAGGCTGGTCTCAAATTCCTGACCTCGTGATCTGCCCGCCTTGGCCTCCCAGAGTGCTGGGATTACAGGACTGAGCCACCACACACCCTGCCTCCCGCCTGATGGGAAGGAATTTCTACACTTGTTTCTACTGCTTTTAGTAGAAAACATGAAAATATATACAGTGGCTCACACCTATAATCCCAGCACTTTGGGAGGCAGAGGCAGGTAGACTGCTTGAGCCCAGGAGTTTGAGACCAGCCTGAGCAACATGGCAAAACCCCATCTCTACAAAAGAATACAAAAACTAGCCAGGTGTGGTAGCATGTGCCTCCTAAGTCCCAGCTACTTAGGAGGCTGATGTGGTGTGAGGATCACTTGAGCCTGGGAGGCAGAGGCTGCAGTGAGTTGAGATCGTGCCACTGCACTCCAGCCTGGATGACAGACTGAGACCCTGTCTCAGAAAACAAACAAAAAGCAACAACAACAAAAATCCCTTCTTTGCATATTTATTTGTAAATTAAAATATTAAGTATAAATGTTTCAAGAAAAAATATAAAAATTTAAAAAATTAACACATAAAGGCTTTGAAGTCAAACTATCTGGGTTCTTGTCTAAGTGTCATCACTTACATACATACATACCTTGGCAAGTTAACCGTTCCTTCTTTTTTTTTTGAGATAAAGTCTCGCTTTGTTGGCCAGGCTGGAGTACAGTGGCGTGATCTCAGCTCACTGCAACCTCTGTCTCCCGGGCTCAAGCAATTCTCCTGCCTCAGCCTCCCAAATAGCTGGGATTACAGGCGTGTGCCACCACACCCAGCTAATTTTTGTATTTTTAGTGGAGACGGGGTTTCACCATGTTGGCCAGGCTGGTCTCGAACTCCAGACCTCAGGTGATCCACCTGCCTCGGCCTCCCAAAGTGCTGGGATTACAGGCGTGAGCCACCACACCCGGCCTATCATTCCTTGTATGAATCAGGTTCCTCAGTACAAAATGGGGAGGAAAAAGGCATAAACCCCATCATAAAAATGGGGTAGCACTTAGAACACAGGCTCTAGTGCTTAAAACACAAAGTACTTTCACACATGGTAAATGTGTGAAAAACATTAATGCCATTTTATGAAAAACAACTCAGAAACCAAATGATTTTTTAAAATGAATACATCCTCTAAAACTATAAACATGTCAAGTATAGAGAATGAGTCATTTATTAAATGGCATTTCTAACCTTAAAAAAAATCACTGATATCCATTAATGAGGACTTAACCTCTACAAAATGAGCAAAACATCTGAGAAAATATGAGTCCTTATTATGTGCCAGGCATTGTTTTAGATGTTTAGGATACCATCATGATAAAAAAGAGCAGACAAAATTTCCAACTCCCTGGAGCTTACATTCTAGTAAGTCTGCTGATTATACATTTATAGCAAGTTACATGGATTCTAGTCCAAGGTGGATCCACAACTCCCAATTTAACTAGATCAGAATATTCCAATCTGTCCTCCAGGCACGATATTTCTCAAATCAAACTGATGTGATGATCTAAGCAATGATCAACCTTTACTCCAACATATATTAGTGGGTCCCCAGTTAATACTCTGGATAGCCATTGACCAGATAAGACTCTGATGAGAAAAGGCAGAAGTATAACAAGGCATTATTTTTCTAAGAGCACTTTTTCTAATGCAGAAGTTTTACCTTCATCCTGGTAAATCTGCAGGAATGTTTAGAAACCAGGCTCATTCTGGGCAGGGACAGTGGAGAGGGTGCTGGGAAATGAGTCCCCTGGGAGACGGGGCCCAGCTACGATGCTAAATATCTCAGGCTCCTGAGTGACTGGATTTCCCTGGGACCCTCAGACATGTCCCAGGGCCCGGTGGGGAAACTGAGGCCTGTACAAGGAAGTAGAATTCTGAGTTGTCGGGGCTAAGCCTGACCCCCTCTCCATGCTAAGCCCACCCCCCACACTGTGCCTCAGTAGGTTTTTGTTGTTGTTGTTGTTGCCCAGGCTGGAGTGCAGTGGTGCAATCAAGGCTTACTGCACCTCCACCTCCTGGGCTCAAGGGATTTTCCTGCCTCAGCCTCCTGAATAGCTGGGACTGCAGGTGCTCCACCATGCCTGGCTAATTTTTCTATTTTTAGTAGAGATGGGGTTTCACCACGTTGGCCAGGCTGGTCTCGAACTCCTGGCCTCATGTGATCTGCCTGCCTAAGCCTCCCAAAGTGCTGGGATTATAGGTGTGAGCCACCGCGTCTGGTCCCTCAGTAGGTTTTAAGGAGCCTCCAGCCTTCCTTCTCCCCTTCTGGGCCTGACCAGCTATACTGCTCTGTCTCCCCCAGCCACATGCCCCACCAAGTACTGTAGAGAGTCCCCTACCCAGGGTCCCTGCACCATGAGATAAGGTGAAATACCAACTGTGGACCAAATGCAATAAAACCTCTGTTTTTAAGAAGAAAAAAAAAAAAAAAAGAAAAGAAAACCAGGCTTATTCTATTCTTTTCTGCCAAATCAGAACTTGGAAGAAGGTAGTTTGGGAGCTACTGGCCACCATCTTGTGATTACAAGGGTAGAGCTTACCGGATAATGACACCAACATGTGGAGGAAAGTAAAGCCAAATCAAGAAACAGAGAGAACCCTATCGTCAATAACAACATCTGCTCTTCTAAATCCAGCCACACAACAGACCGTATACACCCCTAGACTTTTCTGTTATATGAACTAAATAAACTCCCTTTTAGCTCTGCCAGTTTGGGTTGCATGTTCTGTCACTTGCAACAACAACAAAATCCTAAGTGATGCTCATTCCAACTGCTATCCTAATAGAATTAACAAACAAATAAACATGAAAACCACTAGTTAAAAAAACATACAGCCAAATCATATAATATTCTTCTGTTGGGGCCAGAGTGAGAAATAAAACTCTTACCATACGTGCAAAACATGCAGTAAGGATTCCACTTCCAGATCCTACATCAAGAGCTTTAGCTCCTTCATGCAACTGATCAAATAGAAGTTCTAGCGCATATGCATGCTGCCAAAAGAAAACAAAATATTCATTAAGACTAAAGTACACACATCATGGTATATAAATAAAGTTGCCAACTTTCTACCAATTTTTCTACTATTGTCATCTACCAAGATAACCAAGTTATCTTGGCTATCTGCCCAGGTATTACTTAAGTAAACTGTTTGATTAGAATTCTTACATTCAGATCATGTGTTTCAGTAATTTTAGACCTCCAGTGTGTGAATTTTTAACTTTTAATTAATTCAGTAAAAAAATTAAAAGATTTATAAGTGAAAAGTCTCCACCCTACTCCCATTTCCAACCATCCAGGTTTCACTCTGTAAAGGTAACCAATATTACTAGTTTCTTGTGACTCCTTCCAAAAAGGAAGGAATAGATTCTTTGCATATATAAGCAAATACAAAAATACAAAGGCTAATTTTGTATTTTTAATAGAGATGAGGTTTCTCCATGTTGGTCAGGCTGGTCTCGAACTCTCGACCTCAGGTGATCCGCCCACCTCGGCCTCCCAAAGTGCTGGGATGACATACATAAGCCACCACACCCAGCCAGTATTCTCATTATTAAAAATAATCAGATCAGGCTGGGCGTGGTGGCTCAGGCCTGACATTCCAGCACTTTGGGAGGCTGAGGCAGGTAGATCACGAGGTCAGGAGTTCAAGACCAGTCTGGCTAAGATGGTGAAACTCCATCTCTACTAAAAATACAAGAAAATTAGCTGGGCATGGTGGCAGCCACCTGTAATCCCAGCTACTCGGGAGGCTGAGGCAGAGAACTGCTTGAACCCGGGACGGGGAGATTGCAGTGATCCGAGATCATGCCACTGCACTCCAGCCTGGGCTGTAACAGAGCGAGACTCCATCTCAAAAAAAAAAAAAAAAAAAAAAAAATCAGATCCAATAGCAGTAAACACATTTACTACCAGATCTTGGTTGATAAAAATACCCATCCATTAATCTATAGTGATAAATTAATACATCATTCTATACATATATAAATGAAAAATAGGGAAAACCGTTCCCAACAAATATATAGATACATAATGAATGCACATAGAAAAAATTAAGAAAATCAGCCTTTGGGCAGCCATCTCAATAATAACTGATTGATTCAGGTAAAAATCATAAATGGAAGCTAAAACTAGTGGACTAACATTTGAAAAATAAACAGGATATTTACATAATCTCAAAGGGTTTGCCCCAGATAATTATTAATCACAAAAGGAAAAATAGTAATTTTACAATGGAGTTCAGAAAAAAGTTCTCCAGTGGAAAAACTGGGTCAACACTACCTTAATCAGATGATCAAAGTTAACACCACAATTATGGGACACACTGACATCAAATGCCTCTGCTAAGATACTTCATTTCTGGGATATGCCAGGCAAAAATGCATAACCTATATTGAATTATGAGGAAACATCAAACAAACCCAAATTGAGGGACATTATACAAAATAAATGGCCCATATTCGTAAAAATTTTCAAGGTTTTCAAGGTCATAAAAGAATAAGGAACCATTTCTCAGTCATTCTTTAAAGGAAACTAAAAAGACATGACAATCAAATAAAACTCACAATCTACTATTTTCTTTTCCTATAAGGAATATTATCAGAATAATTGATGAAATCTGAATAAGGTCTATAAATTGGCTAATAGTGTTATATCAATGCTGACTTCCAGATTTCAAAAATTGTACTATGGGTATGTAAGAGAATGTCCTTATTTTTAAAGGTAAAGAGCATTGGCCGGGCACAGTGGCTCACACCTGTAATCCCAGCACTTTGGGAGGCCGAGGCGGATCACGAGGTCAGGAGATCGAGACCATCCTGGCTAACACAGTAAAACCCCATCTCTACTAAAAATACAAAAAATTAGCTGGGCGTGGTGGTGGGCGCCTGTAGTCCCAGTTACTTGGGAGGCTGAGGCAGGACAATGGCGTGAACCCGAGAGGCGGAGCTTGCAGTGAGCTGAGAACGTGCCACTGCACCACTGCACCCCAGCCTGGGCGACAGAGCAAGACTCCATCTCAAAAAAAGTTAAAGGTAAAGAGCATTATGCCTGTAATTTACCCTCAAAGAGCTCAGAAAAACGGAAATATAATACACACACATACACACACACACACACACACAGAGGAGAGAGGGGATAAAGGGAGAGAGAATAAATGATAAAGCAAATGGTGAGATTTGCTTTACCAATGGTAAGACTGTGTGGACAAAAGTACACAGGAACTGTACTATCTGCATAATATTTCTGTAAGTCAGAAATTATGTCAAAGATTTAAAAACATTTGGGCCGGGCATGGTGGCTCACACCTGTAATCCCAGCACTTTGAGAGGCCGAGGCGGGCAGATGACCTAAGGTCAGGAGTTCAAGACCAGCCTGCCCAACATGATGAAACCCTGTCTCTGCTAAAAATACAAAAAATTAGCCGGGCGTGGTGGCGGCTGTAATCCCAGCTACTGGGAAGCTGAAGCAGGAGAATCGCTTGAACCCGGGAGGTGGATGTTGCAGTGAGCCAAGATGGCGCCACTGCACTCCAGCCTGGGTGACAGAGCGAGATTCCGTCTCAAAAAAAAAAAAAAATTATAACTATTTTATCAATGAAAACAGCCAGCTCCCGCTCCCGCTCCCTCTCCCTCTCCCTCTCCCCACGGTCTCCCTCTACCCACGGTCTCCCTCTCTTTCCACGGTCTCCCTCTGATGCCGAGCCGAAGCTGGACTGTACTGCCGCCATCTCAACTCACTGCAATCTCCCTGCCTGATTCTCCTGCCTCAGCCTGCCGAGTGCCTGCGATTGCAGGCGCGCGCCACCACACCTGACTGGTTTTCGTATTTTTTTGGTGGAGACGGGGTTTCGCTGTGTTGGCCGGGCTGGTCTCCAGCTCCTAACCGGAGTGATCCACCAGCCTCGGCCTCCCGAGGTGCCAGGATTGCAGACAGAGTCTCGCTCACTCAGTGCTCAATGGTGCCCAGGCTGGAGTGCAGTGGCGTGATCTCGGCTAGCTACAACCTCTACCTCCCAGCCGCCTGCCTTGGCCTCCCAAAGTGCCGAGATTGCAGCCTCTGCCCGGCCGCCACCCCGTCTGGGATATGAGGAGCGTCTCTGCCCAGCCGCCATCCCATCTAGGAAGTGAGGAGCGCCTCTTTCCGGCCACCATCCCATCTAGGAAGTGAGGAGCGTCTCTGCTCAGCCGCCCATCGTCTGAGATGTGGGGAGCGCCTCTGCCCCGCCGCCCCGTCTGGGATGTGAGGAGCGCCTCTGCCCGGCCGCGACCCCGTCTGGGAGGTGAGGAGCGTCTCTGCCCGGCCGCGACCCCGTCTGGGAGGTGAGGAGCGTCTCTGCCCGGCCGCCCCATCTGAGAAGTGAGGAGACCCTCTGCCTGGCAACCGCCCCGTCTGAGAAGTGAGGAGCCCCTCCGCCCGGCAGCCGCCCCGTCTGAGAAGTGAGGAGCCCCTCCGCCTGGCAGCCACCCCGTCTGGGAAGTGAGGAGCGTCTCCGCCCAGCAGCCACCCCGTCCGGGAGGGAGGTGGGGGGTCAGCCCCCGCCCGGCCAGCCACCCCGTCCGGGAGGGAGGTGGGGGGGTCAGCCCCCCGCCCGGCCAGCCGCCCCGTCCGGGAGGGAGGTGGGGGGGTCAGCCCCCGCCCGGCCAGCCGCCCCGTCCTGGAGGGAGGTGGGGGGGGTCAGCACCCCCGCCCGGCCAGCCGCCCTGTCCCGTCTGGGAGGGAGGTGGGGGGGTCAGCCCCCCCGCCCGGCCAGCCGCCCCGTCTGGGAGGGAGGTTGGGGGGTCAGCCCCCCGCCCGGCCAGCCGCCCCGTCCGGGAGGTGAGGGGCGCCTCTGCCCGGCCGCCCCTACTGGGAAGGAGGAGCTCCTCTGCCCGGCTAGCCACCCCGTCCGGGAGGGAGGTGGGGGGGTCAGCCCCCCGCCCGGCCAGCCGCCCCGTCCGGGAGGTGAGGGGCGCCTCTGCCCGGCCGCCCCTACTGGGAAGTGAGGAGCCCCTCTGCCCGGCCACCACCCCGTCTGGGAGGTGTGCCCAACAGCTCATTGAGAACGGGCCAGGATGACAATGGCGGCTTTGTGGAATAGAAAGGGGGGAAAGGTGGGGAAGAGATTGAGAAATCGGATGGTTGCCGTGTCTGTGTAGAAAGAAGTAGACATGGGAGACTTTTCATTTTGTTCTGTACTAAGAAAAATTCTTCTGCCTTGGGATCCTGTTGATCTGTGACCTTACCCCCAACCCTGTGCTCTCTGAAACAAGTGCTGTGTCCACTCAGGGTTAAATGGATTAAGGGCGGTGCAAGATGTGCTTTGTTAAACAGATGCTTGAAGGCAGCGTGCTCGTTAAGAGTCATCACCACTCCCTAATCTCAAGTACCCAGGGACACAAACACTGCGGAAGGCCTCAGGGTCCTCTGCCTAGGAAAACCAGAGACCTTTGTTCACTTGTTTATCTGCTGACCTTCCCTCCACTATTGTCCTATGACCCTGCCAAATCCCCCTCTGCGAGAAACACCCAAGAATGATCAATAAAAAAAAATAAAAATAAAAAAAAAGAACTGAATAAACATACCACATTTAAATTAAAAAAAAAAAAAAAAAGAAAACAGCCAATGCCAAAGAGAAAGATAGAACGAAAATGCCCTATTCCATGGAACAATTAAAAAAAAATTAACAACTACTTATTCCAGTCACTAAAAGTGGATGACCAGACATTATGGACCTCCTGATATGATGCAACAGGAAGGACCATTAGGAAGTGTTCCTGAAAAAAAAAGTTTTAAGAATAAGTCAACCACCACTAGGAAACAATTAACCAAATTCAGAATATGGGAAATTCTATATAACAAATGAACTACTTTAGTCAATAAACAAATGGCATTTAAAAAAAGAAAGGGGTCTTTCTTTAAAAATTAAAAGATACTTTAAAAAACTGAAACAAGACCAAAAATATGCAATGTATAGACTCTGTGTGGATACTGATTTAAGCGAATTAACTATAAAAATTTTTAAGCACCTGGCAAACTTTGAACGTGGAGTAGACATAAGATATTAAGAAACATTGTTAGGTATGATAATGACATTGTAGTTTATGTTTAAAGTCATTGAGATTTATAATAAAGTATCCAGGGATGAAATAATATTATGTATGTTTGGGATTTGCTTTAAAATACTTCAGCAAAAGAGAGAGTTACACTAGGAGCAGTGGTTCATAGCCTGTAATCCCAGTCTTTGGGAGGCCGAGGTGGGTGGATTGCTTAAGTTCAGGAGTTCAAGACCAGCCTGGGCAACACAGCGATACCCCATCTCTACAAAAATACAAAAATGAGGTGGATGTGGTGGTGCACACCTGTAGTCCCAGCTACTCGAGAGGCTGAGGTGAGAGGATGATTTGAGCCCAGCAGGCCGCAGTGAGCTGAGATTGCGCTACTACATTCCAGCCTGGGCCACAGAGCATGACTCTGCCTCAAAAAAAAAAAAAGAGAGAGTTAAATAAAACAAGATTAGTAAATTGTTGGTCATTATTAAAGCTGGGTGATTTATAGGTTCATTATACTATTTTATTTGTATATATGGTACTGGAACTCTTCCATAATTTTCCATAATAAGAAGTTGTGTTTTTATTTAAAGCTAAGGTTTCCAAGCACTTGGGAGCTTAAAAAAAGAATTTTTAAAAAGTTAAAGCTATCTTTTCCCCCAACTTATATATGGAGAGAAGGCCTTGAATAGATACAGCCTCACATAATCCAAGACATTTCAAACTTTCAAACCAGAAAGTCCTTAATGTTCCACAGAACCCTTTTAGGGGTAACACACAAATATGTGTTAAATGGCTGTTTTTTCCCCCAATATATTCAAGGTTCATGCATTACATTTGCCAATCTAGAATGTTCCCCCAATTATCTCCCTCCACCTACCACTTTGCTCTGTTCTTCAGGACACTGACTCATTTAAGGAGTCCTGGCAAGGCATGGTGACTTATACCTATAATCCGAGTGCTCTGAAAGGCCAAAGTGGAAGGATAACTTGAGACCAGGAGTTTGAAATAAGCCTGGACAACACAGTTGAGACCGTATGTCTACAAAAAAGTTAAAAATTATCTGAGTGTGGGTCATGGCACATGCCTATAGTCCCAGCTCCTTGGGAGGCAGAGGCAGGAAGATCACTGGAGCTGAAGAGCTTGAGGTTATAGTGAGCTATGATCTTTGCACTCCAGCCTGGGCAACAGAGCAAGACCCTGTCTCAGGGGGGAGAAAAAAAAAGAGTCCTGTCCAGTTGTCCCACACATAATGCACCACATTCTAGATGTCTCTGCTTCCTCAGGGTTAGATTCAGATCAAAGACGTCTAGCAAGAACACACGCAAGTCTTGCTATGCAACTCCCTAAGAGCATCACATTAAGAAGTATATAATATTGGACCACCACACCACCGGACATGTCAACCTCAACCACTCAGTAAATGTGGTCACCAATAGATCACTCTACTTTCAAGGCATATTTTTTTCTTTATAATTAATAACATGTGGGACGGGTGCGGTGGCTTATGCCTCTTATCCCAGCACTTTGGGAGGCTGAGGTGGGCAGATCACGAGGTCAAGAGTTCGAGACCAGGCTGGCTAACATGGTGAAACCCCGTCTCTACTAAAACTACAGAAATTATCCAGGCATGGTGGTGCATGCCTGTAATCCCAGCTATTTGGGAGGCTGAGGCAGAAGAATTGCTTTAACCCAGAAGGCGGAGGTTGCAGTGAGCCAAGATCACGCCACTGCATCCAGCCTGGGTGACACAGCAAGACTATGACTTGAAAAAAAATAATAATAATATGTGGAGTACTAATTTGAGACTACATGAGTATTTTTGTTCTCCAACAATCTTCCTCCTAATGGTTTTAGATTCATTAATAATCTTTGCCTAATTCATTACATTGATGATAACAAAATAGTGATCTTTATTTTTATTTTTGTAGAGTCAGGGTCTTGCTTTGTTGCCCAGGGTGGTCTTGAACTCCTGGGCTCAAGGGATCTGCCCGCTCGGCCTCCTGAAGTGCTGAGATTACACGCATCAGCCACTGCACCCAGCCAAAATACTGATTTTTAAAATTTCATTATTCCTTCCACATTTATTCATTAACATTCTTCTGTTTTTCTGAAAAAAATCATTTTCGCTTTTTTCCCTGTCTTGCTCTTTTTGTTTTTTTTTAAGTCTCCATAGACTCACAAATTTTTGTTTTTCAATTCACTGTGCTATAATCTGTTACCATCATTATTCTTGTTGATTCTCAAATTCTCTCCAATTTGGCCTTTGGGAGCCTCTTCAAATCTGCTCGTATGTCCTTCTGACATTACCTCCTCAGCCTTTGAGTACTTCCTCACTTGACAGATGTCAGTCACTACTCCAAGGAGCACTTGACTCTTTTAGTAAGCAGTGGTATTTAGGATCCCAAACCTGGATGCCAGGTGTGCTCACTGCTACCAGGATACCATTTTAACAGATTGCCTTTAATCTCTTCACCACTGCACGCATCACATTTTTCTTTACAGGTTTGGAAAATATTCCAGGATTATAGTTAATTCCAAGCTTGTGATTTTAAGGTTCATTAGATGTAGATGTCATTTCTCTTTGCATCCTCACTTTCTGCTTGTCTTATAATACTGCTAAGATTTATGCAATAAATGATTCAAGATCACAACTGCTTATTCATATAATACAATTAAAAATATTTTACCCTATTCACATCTTGCACTGTATGCTTACTGTTATGTGCATATATATAAACATTCATATAGATGTTTCATGTGACTATATACATACATAGATACACAAGTTTTCCTTATTAACAGTCATAGATGGCTCAGAAAATATAAGTAATTAAAAATGCATCAGCTTTGGGAGAAAATTCTGACATAAGCTATGACATATGCTAAGTGAAATAAGCCAGTCACAAAAAGACAAACACTTTATGATTCCACTTATATGATGTACCTAGAGGAACCAAATTCATAGAAACAGAAAATAGAATGGTGGTTGCCAGGGGCTGAGGTAAAGAAAGAATGAGAAAAGTGGGAAATTGTTATTGAATGAGTATAGAGTGTTAGTTTTGCAAGATGAAAAGTGTTCTGAAGACTGATTGCATAACAATGTAAATGTACTTAACACTACTAAATGGTACACTTAAAATGGTTAAGATGGTAAATTTTATGTTATGTGTATTTTAACACAATTAAAAATTTTAATGCATTTATATAAAATACAGTTTTAACAATGAAAAGACAAATAACCCAATTAAGAAATGGTCAAGAGGCCAGTTATGGTGGCTCGTGCTTGTAATCCCAGCACTTTGAGAGGCACAGGCAGGAGGATTGCTTGAGCTCAGGAGTTTGAGACCAGCCTGGGCGACATAGCAAGACCCTGTCTTTAAAAAAAATTTTTTGGCCGGGCGCCGTGGCTCACGCCTGTAATCCCAACACTTTGGGAGGCTGAGGTGGGCGGATCACGAGGTCAGGAGTTCAAGACCAGCCTGGCCAACACGGTGAAACCTTGTCTCTACTAAAAATACAAAAATTAGCCAGGTGTGGTGGTGCATGCCTATAATCCTAGCTACTCAGGAGGCTGAGGCAGGAGAATTGCTTGAACCTGGGAGGCGGAGGTTGCAGTGAGCTGAGATGGCACCACTGCACTCCAGCCCGGGTGACAGAGCGAGACTCTGTCTCAGAAAAAAAAAAAAAGTTTTAATTATCTAAAAAAAAAAAACAAAAAAAAAAAAACAAGAAAGGGGTAAGAGACTGAATAAATGTTTCTCCAAAGAAGATACAGAAATGGCCAAAACGCACATGAAAAGACGCTCAACATCATTCATCATTAGGGAAATGCAAATCAAAACCACAATGAGACACCACTTCATAGTCACTAGGATGGATAAAATTCTTTTAAAAAAAGAAAATAACAAATGTTAACAAGGAAGCAGAGAAACTGGAACCCTCATACATTGCTAGTGGGACTGTAAAATGGTGCAGCTGCTTTGAAAAACGGTTTGGCCATTCCACAAAATGTTAAACATAGAGTTTTCATATATGATCTGGTAATTCCACTCCTAGGTAAATACTCGAGAGAAATGAAAACACACAAAAATGTGTACACAAATGTTCACTGCAGCATTATTTAGAATAGCCAAACACTGGAAACAATCCAAATGTCCCTCAACAGTTAATAGATAAATGTTGTATATCCATACAATCGGATATTATTCAGTCATAAAAAGGACAGAAGTACTGATTCACACTACAACAGGGATCAATCTTGAAAACATTATGCTAAATTTAAAAAGTCAGTCATAAAAGGCAACATATTATATGATTCTATTTATATGAAATGTCTAGAATAGGCAAATCTATAGAAACAAATAATAGATTAGTAGTTGCCAGGACCTGAGCAGAGCAGGGGTTGGGATCTGACTGCTAATGGGTATAAGGAAGGTTTCTTTCTGCAGTGATGAAAACCTCATATTAGAGAGTGCTGATGTTTGTGTAACTCTGAATAAACTAAAAACTGCAGAATTCTACACTTTAAAGGGATGAATTCTACAGTATAAGAATTATACCTTTTTTTTTTTTTTCTGAGACAGGGTCTTGATCTGTCACTCAGGCAGGGGTGTAGTGGTGTTATCATGACTCACTGCAGCCTCCATCTCCCAGGCTCAAGCAATCCTTCCACCTCAGTCTGCAGAATAGCTGGGACCACAGGCACGTACTATCACGCCCAGCTAAATGTTTTTTATTTTTTGTAGAGATGGGATCTCACCATGTTGCCCAGGCTGGTCTCAAACTCCTGGGCTCAAGTGATCCTCTGGCCTCGGCCTCCCAAAGTGCTGGAATTACAGGCTCAAGGTACTGTACCTAGCCAAGAATTGTATCTTAATAAAGCTGTTTTGTATTGTTGTTTTAAAATGCATCTTTTGCCATGAAGTAACTGCTATGCTTTGTTCAGCAATGAACTGGACACCCAGACCAAACTTCAGGGGAAAGAAAAAAATCACAAAGTATTTCCCTTAATACCTGAAAGCATACCACTCCAGTCAATTTCCCAACCATGCTAGATACTGGTTCTCCAAAATGACTTTTAGCATTCATACTTCTTTTTTTTTTTTGAGTCAGAGTTTTGATCTTTTGCCCAGGCTGGAGTGAAGTGGTGCGATCTTGGCTCACTGCAACCTGCACCCTCCCCAGGTCCAAGTGATTCTCTTGTCTCAGGCTCCTGAGTAGCTGGGATTATAGGCTCCTGCCACCACACGTGGCTAATTTTTGTATTTTTAGTAGAGACGGGATATTGCCATGTTGGCCAGGCTGGTCTCGAACTCCTGACCTCAGGTGACCCACCTGCCTCGGCCTCCCAAAGTGCTAGGGTTACAGGCATGAGCCACCCCGCCCAGTCACATTCATGCTTCTATATAAATCTTTCATTTAGGTAGTGTTGTGGGACAAATCAGAGACGGGAGAGACTGAGCACAGTTCAGGAGAGTGTCTAATTATTAAGGTGATCACTGGCGCAGTCGGACTAGGGTCCAGAAAGTCTGATCCCTGAACAAAGGGATCAATCACCTTTTAAGCAGTTTGTGGCAGGAGTTAGGGAGTTACGTGCTGCAGGAAGGGTACTTGCAGAAGCGAGATCAAAGGCAGTTAATTACTCTTTTACATTTGTTACACCATATGTTTTACATCCTTGGGAATACATGCTTTTGTAGCAATTGCTTATCAACTTTGTGACTTTACAGCCGAGCTAGGGAGGGAAGCAAGAACTCGCTGTGCCTCAAGGAATGTAAAACGATGGAACACAGATAAGCCTCTCTGCGCATAGAGGAGGGATAAGCAGTTAATATTCTCTCTCAACCCGGGCCCCGCACCAGAGTGGGGGGGTGGGGTGGGGCTATATTACGTTCTACCTTCAAGAAAAAGAATAAATTTTTCTACCATTATACTTATAAAATTCATTAATTCCCCCTTCAGTAGTAGTTCAAACTGTTTGCAGATTATCTTAAGACTATAACTTTTCTTTTTAATCACTTATTGAATAGGTAATATACAAAAAAGTCATTCCTAATCTATGGTTTAAAGAAAAAAGAAAGCCCGGCCCAGTGGCTCACACCTGTAATGCTAACACTTTGGGAGGCTGAGGTGGGAGGATCGCTTGAGCTCCAGGGTTCAGAACTAGCTTGGGCAACACAGTGAGTCCTCATCTCTACAGAAAATGTTTTTAAAAAGTAAAGGGTGGTGGTATGTGCCTATAGTCCCAGCTACTCAGGAGGCTAAGGTGGGAGGATCTTTTAAGCTCAGCAGGTCTCGGCTGCAGTGGGCCATCATCATGCTTCTGTACTCCAGCCTGGGCAACAAAGCAACACCCTGTCTTAAAAAAAACAAAAACTAAAAAATTAAGGGCTAGACGCAGTGGCTCAGGCCTGTAATCCCAGCACTTTGGGAGGCCAAGGAGGGTGGATCGCTTGAGGTCAGGAGTTTGAGACCAGCCTGGCCAACACGGTGAAATCCCATCTCTACTAAAAATACAAAAATTAGCCGGGTGTGGTGGTGCACACTTGTAATCCTAGCTACTCAGGAGGCTGAAGCAGGAGAACTGCTTGAACCTGGGAGGCAAAAGTTTCACTAAGCTGAGACTGTGCCACTGCACTCCAGCCTGGGCGACAGAGAGAGACTCCATCTCAAAAATAATAATAATAAAAAATTAAAATGTTAAAAAAAATTAAGCAAAAGGAATAAAGAAATTGATAACACGCCAGACACAGTGGCTCAAGCTTGTAATCCCAGCACTTTGGGAGGCCGAGTCAGGCAGATCACTTGAGGCCAGGAGTTCAAGACCAGCCTGGCCAACGTGACGAAACCCTGTCTCTACTAAAAATACAAAAATTAGCCAGGCTTGGTGGTGTATATCTGTAATCCCAGCTATCTGAGAGGCTGAGGCAGGAGAATCACTTGAATCCGGGAGGCAGAGGTTGCAGTAAGCCAAGATCACCCCACTGCACTCCAGCCTGGGCAACAGAGTGAGACTTTGTGGAAAAAAAAAAAAAAAAAAAGAAGAAAAGAAGGAAAGAAGGAAGGAAGGAAGGAAGGAGAAAAAGAAAGAAGAAAAGAAAGAGAAAGGACAAAGAAAGAAAGTCAAAGAAAGCAAAGAAAGAAAGGAAGGAATTGATAACAGATCAAGGACACAGAGTGAAAATCAGATCTCAATTCCACCCATATATCCTAAATAAGCTAATTCCTATCTTAGAAGAAATTATTTTTAGTTTTCATTCCCAAAGAAAAACATATATGTGCATGTATGTGTGCATATGTGATTTTCATACATTACAGAATATTCTAAATACCCTTTGGGACTCAACTTTTATACTGTTTCATTCTTATTTTTCCCACCCAAAAAACCACCTGTAAGTATTATACTGCATTTCTTGAAGACTTTGTCATATTTGTACTTGCAGAGTTCTTTTAACAGTTTCACAATACTCCACAACATGGAGGTTAAGATGGTCCCTGACTTAACAGTGGTTCAACATATGATTTCTCGACTTTACGATGATGTAAAAATTATACACGTTCTGTACAAATTGTACTTCAAGTACCCATACATGCATTCTATTTTCCACTTTCAGTACAATATTCAATAAATTACATGTGATATTCACCATTTTATTATAAAACAGACTTTGTGTTAGTTGATTTTGCCCAACTGTAGGCTAACGTAAGTGTTCTGAGCACATTTAAGGTAGGCAAGGCTAAGCTATGAAGTTTGGTAGGCTAAGTATATTAAATGCATTTTAGAGTTACAGTATTTTCAACTTATGATGGGTTTACCAGGACATACCCCCATGTAAGTCAAGGAGCATCTGTACTGTAATTTATTAACCATCCACCATTTGTGGACATTGCTTTTTGTAATTATAATAAATAAGACGTCAATAAATAACTTAAGTCACTCTGCACTCATGTATATATTATGGGATAAATATCTTGAAATAAAACTGGGAAATCTAAGTTATATTTATTTCACATTTCGATAGATACTGCCAAATTGTCTTCCAAAAACATTCAATGTACTCTCCCACACAAAAAAAGTATGTGACTGCCAGTTTTCCATTTCCAATACAAAGTATCAAATTTTTTAATCTCTAACAATCTGATAGGTGAAAACTGGTACCTCATTATAGTGCTAATTTGCAATTTACTAAGTATAAGTGAAGATGAGGCTGGGCATGGTGGCTTATGCCTGTAATCCAACATTTTAGAAGGCCAAAGCAAGAGGATCACTAGAGCCCAGGAGTTCACGACCAACCTGGGGTAACAAAGTGAGGCCCTGTCTCTACAAAAAAAAATTTTAATGGCCAGGCACAGTGGCTCACACCTGTAATCCCAGCACTCTGGGAGGCCAAGGCGGGTGGATCACTTGAGGTCAGGAGATCACTTGAGGTCAGGAGGTCAGGTCAGGAGACAAGCCTGGCCAACATGGCGAAACCCCATCTCTACTAAAAATACAAAAATTAGCCGGGCATGGTAGTGCACACCTGTAATCCCAGCTACGAGGAAGGCTGAGTAAGGCACGCGAATTGCTTGAATCCACGGGGCGGAGGTTGCAGTGAGCCGAGATCATGCCACTGCACTCCAGCCTGGGCAACAGAGCAAGACTCTGCCTCAAAAAAAAAAAAATTTAAATACGTGAAGATGACATCTTTTCATTTGTTTAAATGTCAAAGTCATTTGTATTTCTGTTCAATGAACTATCTTAGCCTTTTCTTTTTTGAGACAGACTTTCACTCTTGCTGCCCAGGCTGGAGGGCAATGGTGCAATTTCAGCTCAACGCAACCTCTGCCTCCCGGGTTCAAGCGATTCTCCTGCCTCAGCCTCCCAAGTAGCTGGGATTACAGGCATGCGCCACCACGCCCAGCTAATTTTGTATTTTTAGTAGAGACAGGGTTTCTCCATGTTGGTGAGGCTGGTCTCAAACTCCCAACCTCTGGTGATTCGCCCACTTTGGCCTCCCAAAGTGCTGGGATTACAGATGTGAGCCACCACGCCTGGCCACGATGAACTATCAATCCTGTCCTTTACACATTTTCTTTTGGGCTTACCGGTCTTTCACTTATTAACAGGATACACACAAACACAAATGTATGCATACATGTCTACATATTGAAATTTTCCCTTGCTGTCATATGTATTACAATATTTCCCTCAATCGTTAATTATTATTATTGAGATGAGGGTCTCTGTCAACCAGGCTGGAGTGCAGTAGCACAATCATGGCTCACTGCAGCCTCAAATTCCTGGACTCAGACAATCCTTCTGCCTTGGCCTCCCTTGTAGCTGGGACTACAGGAACATTGCCACCACACCCAACTAATTTTTAAAATTTTTTGTAGAGACAGAGTCTTGCTTTGTTGCCCAGGCTGGTCTCAAACTCCTGGCTTCTAGCGATATTCCTGCCTCGGCCTCCCAAAGTGTTGAGATTACACAGGTGTGAGCCACCACACACAGCCAATTTTTCCTCTTTAATTTTTGCTTATAACATTTTTTCTCCGCAAAAATCCTAGATATGTAAGTTTCAAAATGTATCAGGTTTTTTTAATGGCTTCTGTGTTTTCTGTCATGTTTCAAGAAGACATTACTATTCAATTTTTATAAATGTCTGCTTTTTTCTTCTAGTATAATTATCAATTTGCTATAAATACATATAGAATTTATATTAGTATTAAGTTTAAATAAGAGCTTCTCCAACCCCAAATACTTGCAGAGAATCAGAAAAGTTATTGTTCTGGCCAGGCCCAGTGGCTCATGCCTATAATCCCAGCATTTTGGGAGGCAAAGGCGAGTGGATCACCTGAGGTCAGGAGTTCAAAACCAGCCTGGCCAACAAGGTGAAACCCTGTCTCTATTAAAAATACAAAAAGTTAAGGCTGGGTGGGGTGGCTCACGCCTGTAATCCCAGCACTTTGGGAGGCCGAGGCGGGCGGATCACAAGGTCACGAGATCGAGACCATCCTGGCTAACATGGTGAAACCCCGTCTCTACTAAAAAATACAAAAAACTAGCAGGGCATGGTGGCGGGCACCTGTAGTCCCAGCTACTCAGGAGGCTGAGGCAGGAGAATGGCGTGAACCCAGGAGGCGGAGCTTGCAGTGAGCCAAGATGGCGCCACTGCACTCCAGCCTGGGCCACAGGTGAGAGTCCGTCTCAAAAAAAAAAAAAAAAAAAAGTTAGCCAGGTGTGGTGGCGGGTGCCTGTAATCCCAGCTACTAGGGAGGCTGAGGCAAGAGAATTACTTGAACCTAGGAGGTGGAGGTTGCAGTGAGCAGAGATGACAATATTGCACTCCAGCCTGGGCACAAGAACGAAACTCCGTCTCAAAAAAAAAAAAAAAAAGACTGGGCCCAGTGGCTCACACCTATAATCCCAGCACTTTGGGAGGCTGAGGCGGGTGGATCACAAGGTCAGGAGTTCAAGACCAGCCTGGCCAACATAGTGAAGCCCCGTCTCTACTAAAAATACAAAACATAAGCTGAGTGTGGTGGCGGGCACCTGTAATGCTAGTTACTCAGGAGGCTGAGGCAGGAGAATCACTTGAACCCAGGAGGCGGAGGTTGCAGCAAGCCAAGATCGCGCCACTGCACACCAGCCTGGGCAACAGTGTGAGACTCCATCTCAAAAAAAAAAAAGAAAAGAAAAAGAAAAGAAAAGCTATTGTTCTTTCCTACAAAATAAAACAAAAGTACTCATTCAAATACTGACATTTAAACCCTAAGAAAAGGTTGGGCACAGTGGCTCATGCCTGTAATCCTAGCACTTTAGGAGGCTGAGGTGGGAGGACTGCATGAGCCCGGGAGTCAAGGCTGCAGTGAGCTGTGATGATTATACCACTGCATTCCAGCCTGGGTGACAAGGTAAGAAGTTGTCTCAAAAATAAATAAATAAATAAATAAAACCCAAGAAAATTCCCAACAGATTAAAACTGCTAGATCACTCAAAGTAAGTCTTTCTCAAGGAGCTATGCAGCTTAATGGCTCTTATACTTAACCACTCCCTAATGAATTTTCCACATAAAATGTGAAATAATATTCAACTTGAGATTTCTATAAAATGTCCATTATACTATTTAAAATATTATCTCCATTAATTAACTGTCTACTAAATAACCTTTTATGTTCAATTTTTACATGTCACAGATACTGACAACCACCAAAATCTTTTAATATGCCAGTTTCTACCTTAAAAAGCTCCTTCTGGGCCAAGCGCAGTGGCTCACGCCTGTAATCCCAGCACTTTGGGAGGCCGAGGCAGGCGGATCACGAGGGTCAGGAGATCGAGACCATCCTGGCTAAGACCATGAAACCCCGTCTCTACTAAAAATATAAAAAATTAGCCGGGCATCGTGGTGGGCACCTGTAGTCCCAGCTCCTGGGGAGGCTGAGGCAGGAGAATGGCATGAACCCGGAAGTGGGAGGTTGCAGTGAGCCGAGATTGTGCCACTGCACTCTAGCCTGGGCGACAGAGCGAGACTCCATCTCAAAAACAAAACAAAACAAAACAAAACAAAACAAAACAAAACAAAACTCCTTCTACAGACCCTGTATTAAGAATAAGATGTTCAAAAAAGAAAATGATGTTCATTACCAATTCACATAACTCATAGATGATAAATTGATACAACTTTCTTTAAATCTTTTTTACTAAAGAAAATGATTATAGAGAAAAATGTAATCCATTTGTAACCAAGTGAACAAACTTAACTTACCATGTGTGGAGCACTGATTGTTGCTTGGAAACCTGCAAAAGAAGAAGAGAACTACTGATACAGTCAGCTGTAAAAATATACTATTTCACATAATTTCTTTTCTACCATCCATACGTTATTTTTCACAATAATTCTTTTTTTTTTTTTTTTTTTCTGAGACAGTCTCACTGTGTCGCCCAGGCTAGAGTGCAGTGGCGCGATCTTGGCTCACTGCAAGCTCCGCCTCCCAGGTTCACGCCATTCTACTGCCTCAGCCTCCCGAGTAGCTGGGACTACAGGCCCCCACCACCACGCCCGGCTAATTTTTTGTACTTTTAGTAGAGACGGGGTTTCACCGCGTTAGCCAGGATGGTCTCGATCTCCTGACCTCGTGATCCACCCACCTCGGCCTCCCAAAGTGCTAGGATTACAGGCGTGAGCCACCACGCCCGGCTTTCACAATAATTCTTTTTTAGTTTTTATGATCTCAAGAAAATAAAACTTACTTCTATTAGAGTACTGTCACCCAGCAGTTAAAATTAGAAAATATAATCATGCCAAAGGGTAACGTGCTCATCTAGTAAAACAGTCCCTCTAAAGTACGGCAGCTAAAAATTTCTTCTCCTGTAGAGTCAGCTAAGAAAGGAAGAATTTCAGTAAGTTGAGAGTTGATATATTTTTGGCTTGTTTTTACTTCAGATTGTTTTTTAAAAATAAGTTTTCATATGTAATAGGTATACAAAGTCTGTGCAAAATTAAATTGCTTCATATTTCTGTCAACTTAAAAAAAAACTAGAATAACTGAAAAAGTAGCTTAAAAGACCAATAAAATACTTCATTTTATTCTTTATCTTATCATCTAATGTTAATTCACACAATCTTTTCGTGGTTCTTAACTTTTAGTTTCTTTTCTTGTGGTGTTGCTTTCTCAAAACTTATTTACCTGCTTCTTTCTGCCTCTGAAGCAAGTTTCACTGAGCGGTGGTAGCAGGTGCCTTCGGGGTTCAGAAGCTCCCCAGGATCTTCTCTGCTGACTGTTATAGTGCGTCAAAAGAAGATAGCATGGCAGCCGACTGACAGAATCCTGAGGCACTTCTAAGCCTCAAAGGCGCCCACTGCCAAGGCTCAGCAGTTCAGCAAAACCTGCTTCAGGAGAAGGAGTTAAATACAGGACTTTCTAAAAACAAACACAAGCCAAAAAAGCAGGGCAAATAAAGCAGAGAAGTCATTAATAACTTAAGCACACTTATTTAAATATTGATTTAAAAAATTAATCCTAACCTGAAAACTAATCTTTAGTCAACACTAAGGCCCCTAAAGAAAACTCAGCACTCGGCTAATACTGTAAGTTTTCATTAAAAGTTTTTTTTTACGGCAGGGTGTGGTGGCTCATGCCTGTAATCCTAGTGCTTTGGGAGGCCAACACGGGTGGTTTGCCTGAGCTCAGGAGTTCCGAGACCAGCTTGGGCAACACGCTGAAACCCCGTCTCTACTAAAATACAAAAAATTAGCCAGGCATGGTGGCATGCACCTGTAATCCCAGCTACTCGGGAGGTTAAGGCAGGAAAACTGCTTGAACCCAGGAGGTGAAGGTTGCAGTGAGCCGATATTGTGCCACTGCAATCCAGCCTGGATGATAGAATGAGACTCCGTCTCCAAATACAAAAGTTTTTTTCACTAAAATATTTTATTTCAAAAAATGTTTTTAATTCTTTATACATATTATATATTGTTCGAGAAAACAGAAAAACATACATAATTTTATTAAAATAGGTATGTTTGGGATTATGAAACTTGCTGAGTCATAAAATTCAAATTAAGAAGGTAATAATAGATAAATATCTGTGTCCCAGGCTTTTTCTACTTCCAAAAATCATAAAGTAAATGATGAAAACTATGATATTTTCAGAAATCTAAAGCTTACCTATTGATTGTGGAGAATCCATGTATGGGTTACATTTTGCATAGTGGGAGCGGTCTGTAGCCAGCATCACTTCAAATACTTTATCTGTCTTGATGATTCCATTTTCTGAAACAAGTGAGGCAAATATTTTCAGAAGAGAGAGACATGATCAGAGATATTTTAGAATAATTACACCAGCTGTGCTATAGAGACTGAACTGGAAGAGAGAATGATTGGAAGTTGTTGTAATGGCCCAGGTAATGGCAACCTGGTTTCTTTTTTTTTTTCTGAGACAGAGTCTCGCTCTGTCGCCCAGGCTGGAGTGCAGTGGCGCAATCTCGGCTCACTGCAAGCTCTGCCTCCTGGGTTCACGCTATTCTCCTGCCTCAGCCTCCCGAGTAGCTGGGACTACAGGTGCCCGCCACCACGCCTGGCTAATTTTTTGTATTTTAGAAACAGGGTTTCACCATGTTAGCCAGGATGGTCTCGATCTCCTGACCTTGTGATCTGCTCACCTTGGCCTCCCAAAGCACTGGGATTACAGGTGTGAGCCACTGGACCCGGCTTTTTTTTTTTTTTTTTGAGATGGAGTCTTGCTGTGTTGCCCAGGCTGGAGTGCAGTGGTGCGATCTCGGCTCACTGCAACCTCCGCCTCCCAGGTTCAAGTGATTCTCCTGCCTCAGCCTCCCAAGTAGCTGCGACTACAGGTGCATGCCACCACGCCCAGCTAATTTTTTGTATTTTTAGTAGGGATGGGGTTTCACTGTGTTAGCCAGGCTGGCCTTCATCTCCTGACCTCATGATCCACCCACCTCAGCCTCCCAAAGCTGGATTATAGGTGTGAGCCACCGTGCCCAGCCCAACCTGGTCTTTAGTAACAGCAAGGACACAGAAAACTAGAAGGATAATGAGTTATATTTGGTAGGTAATATATACCTGACTGACTGGATTTGGGGATGGGAGTGGAGGTAATCATTGATACGCTGATGCCATTTACCAATTTAAGAAATCCTGTAGAAGGATCAAAGTTAAGGGGTAAAAAGTTAGGGGCTTCAGATCATACAACTGGAGATATTCTGTAGTCAGCTGGACACATGGATCTGGAGCTCAGGAAAGAGATCTAGAATAAAGATTTCTATTTATTATGGATGGCAACTAAAGCAATCAAAGTGAATTCAAAGTGGCCAGAGAATAAGTAGAGAAGACAAAGCCAACATCTAAAAGATATGCAAAGAAAACAGAGCCATGAAAGATGATGAGCAGTCACAGAGGCAGGATGAAGACCAGACCATACTGTTGACTGTTGTAGAGCCAGGAGACGTGAATTTCTCAGGAAGGAAAGCAAGATCAATAATATATATTTGCCTTCCCCAACAATTAGCTGAGATTAAGGCCAGGTGCAGCGGCCCATGCCTATAATCTCAAAGCCTGGGGAGGCCAACAGGGAGGATAGCTTGAGACCAGGCAAGGCAACATAGGCCCTGTCTCCACAAAAAAAAAAAAAAAAAAAAAAAAAATTTAATTAGCTGGGGATCATGGCACAACCATGTAGTCATAAATACTCAGGAGGCTGAGGTGGGAGAATTGCTTGAGCCCAGGAGTTTGAGATTATAGTGAGGTATGATCATACCACTGCACTCCAGCTTGGGTGAGAAAGCATGACCCCTGTCTCAAGGCCAGGCACGGTAGCTCACACCTGTAATTCCAGCACTTTGGGAGGCCCAGGCGGGCAAATTACTTAAGGTCAGGAGTTTGAGACCAGCCTGTCCAACATGGTGAAACCCCATCTCTACTAAAAATACAAAAATTAGCCAGGTGTGGTGGCGCACCCCTGTAATCCCAGCTACTCAGGAGGCTGAGACGGGAGAACTGCTTGAACCCGGAGGCTGAGGTTGCAGTGAGCCGAGATCGTGCCACTGAACTCCAGCCTGCGTGACAGAGTAAGACTCAGTCTCAAAAAAAAAAAAAAAAAAAAAAAAGAATCCTGCACAAATAGGTGCTAACTCCCCTTTTCCTCCCCACTACCAATATCATCATCCATTAAAGAAGGTGCAGGATGCTATACTAACAGGAGGGGGTACACAATGAACTCTGTCCACAAAATGCCTAAAAGTAGGAAAAAGAAAAAAACCAATCAAACCAATGCCATTCAAATCTAATGTAAAAAGAAAACTAAATGCAAATAAAAACATTTCTGCTGATTAAAGAAAACCAGTATTTAAAACTATACTCTAAGAAAATGTGCCAGGGAGTAAACATATTACCAGGAAGAATTAACTTCAAAATACATTCTAATGAAACTATTAGATTTTAAAGGAAAGGAAAAAAATTCTCAAAACATCAAGGCAAAAATAATTAGCCAGGCTGGCGCGGTGGCTAACGTCCGTAATCCTAGCACTTTGGGAGGCTGAGGTAGGCGGATCACTTGAGGTCAGGAGTTCAAGACCAATACGGCCAACATGGCGAAACCCCATCTCTACTAAAAATACAAAAATTAGCTGGGCGTGGTGGCACATGCCTGTAATCCCAGCTCCTAAGGAGGCCGAGGCACAAGAATCGCTTGAACCCAGGAGAAGGAGGCTGCAGTGAGCCGAGATCATGCCACTGCACTCAAGCATGAGCAACAGAGCGAGGCTCTGTCTTTAAAAAAATTAAAAAAGAAAAAAAAAACTAGCCGTGCATGGTGGTTCATGTCTGTGATCCCAGCTACTCAGAGGCTAAGGTAGGAGGATCACTTGAGCCTGGGAGGCGGAGGTTGCAGTGAGTCAAGATCATGCCACTGCGCTCCAGCCTGAGTGACAGGGTGAGACTCCATCTCAAAAAAAAAAAAAAAAAAAAAAAAATTCAAGACTAAAAGATCAAATCACCTATTATAATAAGAATTTTAAAAATTAGGGGCCAGGTGCGGTAGCTCATGCCTGTAATCCGAGCACTTTGGGAGACCAAGGCAAAAGGATTGCTTAAGCCTAGGAGCTCAAGACCAGCCTGGGCAACATAGGGAGACCCCGTTTCTTTAAAAAAATTTGAAAATTAGCCAGGTGTGGTGCCATGTGCCTGTGGTCCCAGCTACTTGGAGGCTGAGGTGGCAGGATCACTTAAGCTCAGTAAGTTGAGGCTACAGTGAGCTGTGATCATGCCACTGTACTCCAGCCTGGGCAACAGAGTAAGGCCCTGTCTCAAAACACAAACAAACAGGTCGGGCATGGTGGCTCATGCCTGTAATCCCAGCACTTTGGGAGGCCGAGGTGGGTGGATCACCTGAGGTCAGGAGTTTAAGACCAGCCTGGCCAACATGGCGAAACCCTATCTCTACTAAAAATACAAACATTAGCCGGGTGTGGTGGTGCGCACCTGTAATCCCAGCTACTCAGAAGGCTGAGGCAGGAGAATCGCTTGAACCTGGGAGGTGGAGGCTGCAGTGAGCCAAGATCGCGCCACTGCACTCCAGCCTGGGTGACAGAGCAAGACGTCATCTCAAAACAAACAAACGAACAAAAAATTAGGTCACTACAGATTTCTTAAGAGCAACAAACAAGCCAGATGCAGTGGCTCACGTCTGTAATCCCAGCAATTTAGAAAGCCAAGGTGGGTGGATCACTTGAGTCCAGGAGTTCGAGACCAGCCTGGGCAACACGAAGAGACCCCATCTCTACAAAAAACTTAAAAAATTAGCTGGACGTAGTGACGCATACCTGTAGACCCAGCTACTCAGGGGACTGAGGTGGGAGGATTGCTTGAGCTTGGGAGGTCAAGGCTGCAGTATGCCCTGATCATGCCACTGCACCCTAGCCTGGGTGACAGAGTGAAACCCTGTCTCAATAAATAAAAATAAAAATTAAGAGCAAGATTCAAAGCAAAGTAAGAATAAGGCAGCATTTTCAAGAAATTCAAGGAAAGAAAGTGCAAGTCACCATAAAAAGGAGTGAACGGCTGGGTGCGGTGACTCATGCCTATAATTCCAGCACTGTGGGAGGCCAAGGTAGGAGGATCACTTGAGCCTGAGTTGAAGAGCAGCAGAAAAAAAAAAAAGAGTGAATTACTGATATACCCAACATGAATGAATTTCTTTTTCTTTTTTTTTGAGAAGGAGTCTTCCTCTGTTGCCCAGGCTGGAGTGCAGTGGCGTGATCTCGGCTCACTGCAACCTGCCTCCTGGGTTCAAGTGATTCTCCTGCCTCAGCCTCCCAAGTAGCTGGGATTATAAGCGCCTGCCACCACATCCAGCTAAGTTTGGTATTTTTAGCAGAGACAGGGTTTCACTGTGTTGGCCAGGCTGGTCTTGAACTCCTGACCTCGTGATCCACCCACCTCAGCCTCCCAAAGTGCTGGGATTACAGATGTGAGCCACCACACTCAGCTTGAATGAATCTCAAAAGCACTAATCTAAGTGAAAGAAGCCAGGTGAGGAGACTACATGATTCCATTTTTAACACATTCTAGAAAAGCCAAAACCATAGTGGTAGAAGGCCCGTCTGTAGTTGCTAGAGGATAGGAGAAGGGAGGAGATTAATTACAAAGAGACACCAGAAAACTTTTTGGGTGAAAGAAACATTCTATAGCAGAGATCAGCAAACAACTGTAAAGGTCCAAATAGTAAATATTTTAGGATTTGCAAGCCGTGTAATCTCTGTTGCAACTACTAAGCACTACCACTGTGATGCAAGAACAGCCAGAAACACTACATAAATGAAAGTGTGGCTGTGTTCCAATAAAAATTTATAAAACCAGGCAGCAGGCCAAATTTTGTCTGTGGCCTGTAGTTTGCTGACCCATGTTCCACATCATAATGAAGTTGGGGGTTACACTTTCTGTTTGTCACATTTTTCAAATTGTATTCTTACAACTGGTGAATTTTTATATAACTTATACCTCAATAAAGCTGATTTTTTTTAAGTGTAAGCCAACGATTTTATACCCAGCCAAGCTGTCCTTCAAATATCGAGGCCATAGGAAGGAAAAAAACCATTTTGAATATGCAGGAACTCAGAGAATGCTGTACACACAAGCCCTTTCTGAGGAATCTTCTAGAGGATGTGTTTCATTTAACCAAGAGATAACCAGGGATATGTTGGCAAAGGACACATACCCAATTGTATAGCAAAGACAGAAATAAGGATAGGAACATGGGTGAAATAATAGCACTTAAATGTTACATGTTCTGACAAAGTAGAAAGAATACAACTAAAAACAATGGGAGGAGGAAAAAAGGGAAAGTATAATTAGATCACTGACTGCTGTACAGGTAATAGAAGGAATCAAAGCATACCATTTCATACTGATAAACCAGATAGTAAAAAAAAAAAAAAATTTATTTTTTTTTTGAGACAGAGTTTCACTCTTGTTGCCCAGGCTGGAGTTCAGTGGCGCGATCTCCACTCACGGCAACCTCCACCTCCCGGGTTCAAGCAATTCTCCTGCCTCAGCCTCCTAAGTAGCTGGGATTACAGATGCCCACCGCCACACCCAGCTAATATTGTATTTTTAGTACAGGCAGAGTTTCACCATGTTGGTCAGGCTGGTCTCAAACTCCTGACCTTAGGTGATCCACCTTCCTCGTCCTCCCAAAGTGCTGGTATTACAGGTATGAGCCATCATGCCTAGCAAAAAAATAAAAAATAAAAAATAAAAAATAAAAAAATAAGGTCAATTAACGACACTATAAAGGGTATAAATACAAACTTTCCAAGTAACAATGAATATTTTTTAAAATTAGCAAAAAAGGCACATCAAATAGAGAAAACAATGTAAATAGTAATAAACTAGCAAAGACAAACTTATATGGTCTTTCCATTTTAAAATATAAATTTTGGATAAATTACCCAAATAGAAAATATTATTTCTACCCGAAGAAGCATAGGCAAGCTACCCAAAAAGGTAATTAGAATAAAACACTGAAAGCATTTTTTAATTTTTTTTTTTTTTTTTTTTGAGACAGAGTCTCGCTCTGTCTCCCAGGCTGGAGTGCAGTGGCACGATCTTGGCTCACTGCAAGCTCCACCTCCCGGGTTCACGCCATTCTCCTGCCTCAGCCTCCCGAGTAGCTGGGACTACAGGCACCCGCCACCACACCCGGCTAATTTTCTGTATTTTTAGTAGAGACGGGGTTTCACCGTGTTAGCCAGGATGGTCTCGATCTCCTGACCTCGTGGATCCGCCCGCCTCGGCCTCCCAAAGTGCTAGGATTACAGGCGTGAGCCACCGCACCTGGCCGCATTATTTTATTTTTTATATTTATTTATTTATTTATTTAGAGACGGAATCTCACTCTCGCCAGGCTGGAGTGCAGTGGCGCGATCTCGGCTCACTGCAAGCTCCGCCTCCCGGGTTCACGCCGTTTTCCTGCCTCAGCCTCCAGAGTAGCTGGGACTACAGGCACCCGCCACCACGACTGGCTAATTTTTTGTATTTTTAGTAGAGACGGGGTTTCACTGTGTTAGCCAGGATGGTCTCGATCTTCTGATCTCGTGATCTACCCGCCTCGGCCTCCCAAAGTGCTGGGATTAAAGGCGTTCAGCCACCGCGCCTGGCCCCATTTTTTAATTTTTAAAGAGATATGGTCTGGCTTTGTTGCCCAGGCTGGAGTGCAGTGGCACCATCATAGTTTATTATAACCTCAGACTCCTGAGTTCCAGTGCTCTTCCTGCCTTAGCCACCCCAACACCTAGGCCTACATGTGCATGCCACCACACTCGGCTAATTTTTAAAAGTTTTTTTTTAGAGAGTGGGTCTTGCCATGTTGCCCAGGCTGGTCTCAAATTTCTGGCCTCAAGTGATCCTCCCACCTCAGCTGAGATTACAGGTGTGAGCCCCTGTCCCTAGCCTGAAAGCATTTTTTTTTAAAGTTTTAAAAGCAGAGTAATAATAGCAGTGATATTCGCTTAATGTTTACCATGTGAAAGATACAGTACTAATAAACAGAATCTTATGTTGTCTCAAATAAGCCTATAAAGTAGGCACTATTATTATTTCATTTGACAGATCATAACATTGAGGTTAGAAAGACTAGTTAAGTAGTCCAAGATAACAGAGCAAATAAGGGGTAGGGTTATTCAAATTAAGATGTTAGATTTCTATGATCACTTCACTATACTGCTACTAACATATTCAAATAGCTTAGTGAGTTCTACTAATTCATTTCCCAAAATAATTCTTGAGTGGTTCATTTCCCCTGAAATTAATTCAAATCCCAGAGGGTGATTCATAGACTCTCAAAGTCACAAGAGGCTTTAGGAGCCATTGAGTCTAACTTCATAAATTGGTACCATATTCTCTTCTAAAAGAGTTCCATTATTGTGGTTCTTACTAGCTCATTCAGACCACTCTGATTATTAGACAATTTCCCTGTATTAAGATGAATCTCCCTTTTCATAATTCACTCACATGACACTCTTAGTGTTATTCTCTGAAGCCACAAAGAATATATTGAATTTCTATCTAGTCAACCATTTTTTACATAAAGATAAATCAGGACTACCTCCAGCTTTATTTTTTTCAGGTTAGGCAGCTTCACTCAACACTGCCAATTATTCATCAATTTTTGAAACCATCATCATATTCACTGTATTCATTCTTCTCTAGATGGATACTTAAAGTGTGACATCTTAAAGATTTTACTTGAGGCACATTCTAAAAATCAAAGTAAATTAAAGAAATCACTTCCTTCAAGCTCGATAATATACTTCTATCAAATTTATGTGAGCTTCTTTGGCTCTACAGATATGAAGGCATATGGAAGTTACTAAAAACTCTAAATTGTTATTAATAGCATGCCATCAGCCATTTATTAAAAAGCTGAACCCATCATGTCTCAGAATAAAGCTTTTTTAGGCATTACTGGGTGGTTTCCAAAATTTTCACAAGTTTCTTATTATTTATTTTTGCCCAGGATCCCATGTTCTAAAAGATGCTTAAACCAAACTATTATATATTTACTAAGCTATTAAATAATTTTTCTGTCATTGGTAATCTATGATATATATATCATAGATATATATATCATAGATATCATAGATATTTATATCATAGATATCATAGATATATATATCATAGATATCATAGATATTTATATCATAGATATCATAGATATATATATCATAGATATCATAGATATATATCATAGATATCATAGATATATATCATAGATATATATATCATATATATCATAGATATACATATCATAGATATATATATCATATATATCATAGATATACATATCATAGATATATATATCATAGATATACATATCATAGATATCATAGATATATCATATATATCATAGATATATATATCATATATATCATAGATATATATATCATATATATCATAGATATACATATCATAGATATATATATCATATATATCATAGATATATATATCATAGATATATATCATAGATATATATAACATATATATCATAGATATATATATCATAGATATATATCATAGATATATATATCATATATATCATAGATTATCATAGATATATATATCATAGGTATATATATCATAGGTATATATATATCATAGGTATATATATCATAGATATATATATATCATAGATATATATATCATAGATATATATATCATAGATATATATATATCATAGATATATATATATCATAGATATATATATCATATATATATCATAGATATATATATATCATAGATATATATATATCATAGATATATATATCATAGATATATATATCATAGATATATATATCATAGATATATATATATCATAGATATATATATCATAGATATATATATCATAGATATATATATATATCATAGATTACCAGCACTCTAAAATATTTCTAACAAACAGAAAAGTAATTTGATGTTTTACTTTGCATGTACAGGCTAATTAGGGGTAAATGTGCAATTACCATTAGGCTTTTCTGAAATAGAGAACAGCTTGAGAGCCACCCATACCCGATCTGCTTGCCGCCCTAGGGTCTAAAGACCCTCATTAAATGATTATAATAATGGCTAATGTTGGTCCAAATATGCAACTGATCCAAATGAAAACAGGATTCAAAAAGGAGACTACAATAGAATCCAAGCTATCAGCCAAATAATAAAAACCTTGAAAAAATTAGGGTCATGGTAAGAAAAATATGTTTCTTTTCCCAACTTGAAGCGTGGGTGAAAACGGGCACAGAGGATAAATCAAATTCCAGGAAAAAAAACAAAAACACTATACAAGAGTTATGATTTACATATAAGGAAAACTAAAATGTAGCAAGATTTAAAGCAACTGATGAAGCATTAAAAAACAAAGGAAAAACATTTGACAGTCTTCAATAGCAGAAAGGTCTGTAATATAGGAAACAAAGGGCAAGGAATAAACTCAATACACTACATCGTTCAGCAAAGTATGGATACAGTCATAAATATTAATGATGGCTACTGATTTTCAACTTTTGAAATCAACAATAAGGTGCAGAAGATTTATTTACTGCTCAAAACAAAATGTAAATGTTATCAACTTTGACAATGTAAAAGAACTGTCAATCAATTAGGAAATGAGAGCGGGAACTCCCTAATACCCTTTCTTACCAAGTAGATGGGTTAAGAGGTAGTGTCAGTTTATAAATTATGGAACAAGAAACAGAGGTTAAAGTCTATTACTTAAAGTTACAAAGGTAACCACAAAAGAGGAACCAAAAACTATGATATAACTATATGAAGGAAGGGGATAGGTTTGTATTGTGTAAATACTCATCCATCTTGGCAGGAGGTCAGCAGATGATGTCTAAAGTAGATAAAACATGAAACATCAGTTTAAGCATATGATTTAGAGATATGAAGATAATCACAAGAACCAAAAACAGTTAAAAGTGGTTCACTCTAAGCAATGAGTCTGGGAATGGCGAAGAATGTTGTTTTTCATTATAAGCTCATCTTATTCTGTATCTTTTAAATATGTACATATATTACTTGATTAAAAATTAATATTCTCAATTCTCCTATCATAGATAGTATGTATGTGTATATATATATGTACACACACACACACACACACACATCACCCTTACAATTAGCAAGATACAGCAAGGACTGCTTTACTTTCATAGTGATAAAATTTTATGTGTGTGTGTGTGTGTATTTCATGTTTTATCTACTTTAGACATCATCTGCTGACCTCCTGCCAAGATGGATGAGTATTTACACAACACAAACCTATCCCCTTCCTTCATATAGTTATATCAGTTTTATATATGTGTGTATACACACACACACACACACACACACACACTTTTTTACCTGCATCCTCTATAATCCAGTATATAGTGATAGAATTATTTGGGTGCATTCCCAATTAGTCTCCCTGTGATTATGTGAACTCTTACAATTAAGTTCTTGTCAATGGAACATACGTAGAAATTATGGATACAACTTCCAGAACATGCTCTTTTTGTTTTGTTTGTTTTTTGAGACGGAGTCTTGCTCTGTGCCAGGCTGGAGTGCAGTGGTACGATCTTGGCTCACTGCAACCTCCGACTCCCTGGTTCAAGCGATTGTCCTGCCTCAGCCTCCCAAGTAGCTGGGACTATAGGCATGCACCACCATGCCCAGCTATTTTTTGTATTTTTAGTAGAGACAGGGTTTCACAGTGTTAGCCAAGATGGTCTCGATCTCCTGACCTCGTGATCCGCCCACCTCGACCTCCCAAAGTGCTGGGATTACAGGCATGAGCCACTACACCTGGCCCAGATCATGCTCTTAAAAGGAATGGGTGTTTTCCTTTTTCTCCTGCTTACCTCCCCATTGGCTGGAAGAGGGAAATGGTGAAGGTAAACTATCTTTAACCTTGTAGATGAGGGAAAGAGCAGAGCAACAAGAGAGGAGTCTAGGTCTTCAGCACCATGGAACCACCATATTAGTCTTGAACTGTTTGGACTGCTATGGGAGAGAGAAACTTATTTTGTTTAAGGTATTGTGGTTTGGTCTTTTTTTATAGCAACTGAACAATGTACCCTCATGCACAAGGCATATGAAGAGGCAAATAAGACCAGCCTGCAGAACAGGATTGGAGTTGGAGCATGGGAGTAAGCTATATAAGACTCTAAAAAGGCCTGGAAAGGTAAGCAAAAGGTGTTTACACCTGATACAGTAAGCATTAAGAAGCCTAAGCAGCAAAGTGACATAACAGAAATCAGTACACTAGGAAAAAATCAGTATAATGTGTAGAATGGATTGGATCTGAAAGGAGGGAAAATGAAAAGTATGACAACCAATCAGACACCAGGTATGTTACTCGTAAGTTTCAACTACGAACCTGGGCTGGGATGGTATCAATGAAAATATGGTGAAAGGGATGGCTATGAAAGGCATTTGTAAGAACTGCTGAGTTAATCTGATGACAGTCTGAAAGAATCAGTGATTATTCTAAGATATATGATCTAAAATGCTGAAAACTCTGGCAGAAATAAAAAAATAAAGAGGGCCTGTGTTGGTATAAGCACTGAAAATACAGGTAAGAAAATAGGCCGGGCGCAGTGGCTCACGCCTGTAATCCCAGCACTTTGGGAGGCCGAGGTGGGTGGATCACCTGAGGTCAGGAGTTTGAGACCAGCCTGGCCAATATGGTGAAACCCCGTCTCTACTAAAAATACAAAAATTAGCCAGATGTGGTGGCAGGTGCCCGTAATCTCTGCTACTTGGGAGGCTGAAGCAGGAGAATCACTTGAACAAGGGAGGCGGAGGTTGCAGTGAGCTGAGATCCCGCCATTGCACTCCAGCCCGGGCAACAAGAACAAAACTCCATCTCAAAAAAAAGAAAGAAAGAAAGAAAGAAAATAAGCTGCAGATAGATTTCAAGTCATATAGAAACTTTCTAAGCTTGTTACAAGGTTACATCTAAATAAAAGAAATATTACCTTATTATATTAGTTTATAAGACTTGGATAGCTGTTAACCATCTACCCCACATTTCTTCTCTGCTATCAACATGTCTGGAAAAACAATAAGAAATTAACAAAACTTTCACCTTTTTCTTCCCATTCAGAATGATTAGGCATGATAGATGCTAAGTAGAGGCTGAGACACTCCCAGGTACTTTCTGTACTGAAAAAATGTGAAAGGAATTAGTTTTAAATTCACAACATGGCCGGGCGCGGTGGCTCACGCCTGTAATCCCAGCACTTTGGGAGGCCGAGCCGGGCAGATCACGAGGTCAAGAGATTGAGACCATCCTGGCCAACTTGGTGAAACCCTGTCTCTACTAAAAATACAAAAACTAGCTGGGCATGGTGGCATGTGCCTGTAATCCCAGCTATTCGGGAGGCTGAGGTAGGAGAATCACTTGAACCCACAAGGTGGAGGTTGTCGTGAGCCGAGATCGCGCCATTGCACTCTAGCCTGGGCAACAAGAGCAAAACTCCGTCTCAAAAAAGAAAAAAAAAATTCACAATATAATTAAGGAAGAATTTTATGTGATGGCAAGTTACGGTAAAGCATATTCTCTAAGTACCAGAGATTATTTTAAAATATGTACCTTCCTCTGCCAATCAATGGGGAAAAAAAATAAAATGGATCTTTCACTATACCTTAATAACTTTTAATTGATACATAGTATTTAGATGTTATTTCTCAAAGGATATGTTCCTTGGATTCCTTTACATCTCTAACAAACTACAATGTTATACAAAACCTAAAATGCAGGTAACATTAGAAGTTAATGTTAAACTTCTGTAGCTGGCTACTAAAACACATACACTCCACAAGTAATTTCATGCAATCCATAACACTATTAAAAAAAAGAAAAAAATTGGGCCAGGTGCAGTGGCTAATGCTTGTAATCCCAGCACTTTGGGAGGCCGAGGTGGGCAGATCACAAAGTCAGGAGTTTGAGACCAGCCTGGCCAACATGGTGAAACCTCGCCTCTACTAAAAAATACAAAAATTAGCCAGGCGTGGTAGCATATGCCTGTAATCCTAGCTACTCAGGAGGCTGAGGCAGGAGAATTGCTTGAACCGGGGAGGCGGAGGTTGCAGTGAGCTGAGGTTGCGCCACTGCACTCCAGCCTGGACGACAGAGCAAGACTCTGTCTCAGAAAAAAAAAAAAAAAAAAGAAAGAAAGAAAGAAAAAAAAAATTGGTTGGGCGCAGTGGCTCACTCCTGTAATCCTAGCACTTTGGGAGGCCAAGTCGGGTGGATCACTTGAGGTCAGGAGTTTGAGGCCATCCTGGCCAACATGGTGAAACCCCATCTCTACTAAAAGTACAAAAATTAGCTGGGTATGGTGGCACGTGCCTGTAAGTCCCAGCTACTCGGGAGGCTAAGACACGAGAATCACTTAAACCGGAGAGGCAGAGGTTGCAGTGAGCCAAGATCACACCACTGCATTCCAGCTTAGGCAACAGAGTGAGACTCTGTCTCAAAAAATAAAATAAAATATTTTTTAAATCATAAAATCTAGGTACAAGGGACCACTGGGGAAAAAAATCACAGAATCTTGGATTTGGAAGGGTCCTTAGAGATCTAGTGTACATTCAAATCTGATGACAAAATCCCTTCTACAATATCCCTTACAGTGAAATGGTCAACCATTCTTTGCTTCAACATATTTGGTGACAGAAAACACTTTTTCAAAGCCAACTTTTTGATTGTTAGGATAGCTTTGTGAATACTTACTTATAATGAGCCAAAATCTGCCTCCCATTTGTCCTGGTTTGACCCTCTACTACATGACATTTCTTCAAATTTAAACACCACTGCTCCCTAAAGGTTTTGCTAAACCAAACCACCTCCATCCCTTCAAAGCACCATGTAAGATGCTGATCCTCTTGTTATCTTCATCACTCTTATCCAATAATCTTTAGTTTTACACTGCCACCCTGAAAGCATTTAACCAAAGCTAAATATAATATTAATAAAAATATTTTTGTAACAGCACAATCGAATCTTTCCCCTCCTACAGCCTAAGATCTCATTAACCAGAATGTAATACAGCCAAGCATCAAGATCTACTGCAATCCAAAAGAACCTTCAGTGATGGCAGATCTATTCTCTATCTGCACTGTCCAACAGGGTGGGCACTAGCTCCATGTGGCTACTGAGCTCTTGAAATGTGGCTAATATGACTAAAGATATAAATTTTTAATTTTATTTATTTATGTATTTATTTTGAGGCAGTTTCGCTTTTTCACCCAGGCTGGGGTACAATGGAGCGATCTCAGGTCACTGCAAACTCCACTCCCCGGGTTCAAGCGATTCTCCTGCTTCAGCCTCCGAGTAGCTGGGATTATAGGCTCCTGTCACCATGCCCAGCTAATTTTTGTATTTTTAGTAGAGACGGGTTTTCGCATTGTTGGCCAGGCTGGTCTGGTACCCCTGACCTCAGGTGATCCACCCACCTCGGCCTCCCAAAGTGCTAGGATTACAGGCATGACCCACCACGCCCGGCCAATTTTATTTATTTTTATATAATTTAAATTTAAATATATACATAGGATTTCAAGTTTACTTACTAGTACCTATCCATAAGACTGGTTTGAAATAAGTCAAAATGAGAAGGCCTCTGGACTTTGAGGCTCCAATTTCTTAGGATTTTACCAGCTGGTTCTATTTTTCCCATGTGCATACAAAAGTAGTGGAATATTAAGAGTAAATGCTGGCTGGGCGCAGGGGCTCATGCCTATAATCCCAGCAATATTGGAGACTGAGGCGGGTGGATCACTTGAGCCCAGGGGTTTGAGACCTGCCTGGGCAACATGACAAAACCCCGTCTCTACCAAAAAAAAAAAAAAAAAAAAAAAAAAAAAAAAGCCAGTCATGGTGGTGTGCATCTGTAGTCCCAGTTACTCGGGAGGCTGAGATGGAGGAGTCGCTTGAACCCAGGAAACAGAGGTTGCAGTGAGCTAAGATCACGCCACGGCACTCCAGCTTGGGCGACAGAAAGAGGCTCTGTCTCAAAAAAAAAAAAAGGGAAAGAATAAATGCTCTTTTCTACTAGCAACACCTACTAGTGGCTAAGAACTGGTGCTGTAGATAGAAAATAATTTCATTATTTACAAAAGTAAATGCTTTTAGGATATAAAAACTACAAATCATAATTCTTGCATATTCAAATGCCTACTAAAAATCTCGACTTAAATGTCTTATAAGAAAAGCATTCCTCAAAATAATCTGATCTCCCACAGTCCCCTCCTCACAGAATAAACGTGGCTGCTCACTCACTCACCATTTCCAATTTAGAAAATGGCAAATCATTCCAGTTGCCAAGGCCTAAAACCTTGGTGTTGGATCCTTGCCTCCAATCTTTTCTCCCAGATCCTAAATCCAAATCTGGAATTCGCTATTTCTTCTGCCTGGAATGCTTATCCCAAGTCTACCTGCGTGATATGTGTCTACTCCTCCAGCAAATCTTTGGTCTAATGATACCTTACTGAGGCCTTCTCTACAACTATAAACCTACTGCCCCACACACTCTGTCCTCCCTCCCTACTTTGTCACTTATCATGTGACATACTATACTTGGCTGCTCCCATTAGAAGCTACAAGAGGGAGTGGATGTTTGTTTTGTTCACTGCTGTATCCCCAGTGCCTGTCATATAGAAAGCACTAAAATATCAGCTGACTAAATGACAAATTCCATAAACATTATATATGTAAAATGACAAAATCAAGAATGCAAAAGAAACATAAGTAGAAACAATTGATCATTAGGGGAATGGACTGAATTATTTTTACAAATAAAAATAGATAAAAGAACAATTGCTTTCAGTGGTCAGTACAGTAGTTTCCCTTTACCCACAGGAAATACGGTCCAAGACCCTTAATAGATGCCTGAAACCGCATACAATACCAAAGCCCATACAGCCCATACAGATACTCAACATTTTTTTTTTTTTGAGACAAAGTATTGCTCCATCACCCAGGCTCGAGTGCAGTGGCATGATCTTGGCTTACTGCACCCTCAACCTCTCGGGCTCAAGTGATCCTCCCATCTCAGCCTCCCACGTAGCTCATGTAGCTGAGACTACAGGCATGCACCATAATGCCCAGCTAATTTTGTTTATTTTTTGTAGAGAAAATGACAAATGTTATTTTCACTATGTTGCCTAGGCTGGTCTCAAACTCCTGGACTGAAGCGATCCTCCTGACTCAGCCTCCCAAAGTTCTGAGATTACAGGTGTGAGCCACCGCACTCGGCCTTCCTTAACTTATAACAGGTTTATTATGACAGGTTTACATCCAGTAAAGTAAAAAACTTGTAAGTCAAACCACTGTTAAGTCAGGGACCATCTGTATGTTGTTTTCTTCCTATACGTAACATACCTATAATAAAGTTTAGTTTATAAATTAGGCACAATTAAGAAATTAACAAAAATAATGAATAAAATAGAACAAGTATCATTACATGCCAGCACCATTATTCTTGCACTTTGGGTCCATTATTAAGTAAAATAAGGATTATTTGGACACAAGCCCTGTGATACTATGACAGTCACTGCTAACCAAATAGGCTACTAAGTGACAAACGGGCAGGTGTAGACAGCATAGATATGCTGAACAAAGGGATGATTCATGTCACGGGCAGGATCAAGTGGGACGTCCAGAGAGTTCCTCACGCTACTCAAAACAGCACACAATTTAAAACTTATGAATTGCTTGTTTCAGGAATTTCCCATTTAATATTTTCAGACCTCAGTTGACTTGGGGTAACTGAAACTTCAGAAAGCAAAACCATGGGATAAGGGAGGGACTACTCTATAGCATTTGAAGCCTATCCATTAAGTTAACATCCCACAAACCCTCTGGTTTAAATACCCCTGCTCCAGAACATCACCTCACCTACTCTGGCTATCTTCCTAAATTTTACCATGGCTTGAAATTATCTCAATACGAGTAGGAAGTAAACTCTAATATAAACATTATTTAAATAGTCACATTCCCTGGATTAAGCAGGCTCACGGTTTCAAATTAAGCTAATTTGTTTCACGAGCACATTACCAGTCCATAATCATAAAATAATTGTATTTTTTCATTTCTAGAGACCTGTGCTGTCCAATATGGTAACTACTGGATACATGTGGTTATTTCATTAAGTTAATTTTTTAAAAAATTGAATTTCGGTTCTTCAGTTGTCCACATTTCAAATGTTAAATGCCACATGTAGCTAGTAGCTACCACACTGGACAATATAGAGAACATCACCAAGCACTCTATAGGGCAAGACTGCTATAGACTTTTTCTAAAACATTATTCTAAAGCATAAAACTGATTTAGCTGATATGCTGGCAGAATTCAACCTTATAATTTTCAATTCTCCATGTCACTGGTTCTCAAAATGTGGTCCCTGGACCAGCAGTGGCACCACTTACAAATCTGTTAGAAATACAAATTCTCAAGCTCCGGCAATCTGTATTTTGAAAAGCTCTCCAGGTGATTCAGGAGATTTTGAAGCATGCTCAAGTTTTAGTCACTGTTCTAAGTTACTTAAGAGTGGTTATAATATAAGCCATGACATAAGAAATCTACCATTACAATCTGAAATATTCTATAAATGATGCATCAACTATGAAATCATACAACCACAGTCCTATTATGATAGATTTTAATACAAAAGGAAAACAAAATATTCTTAACAAATTATATTAAGCTTCATTTCTTAAAAACAAAACAAAACAAAACAAAAAAAACTATTGGCCAGGTGTGGTGGATCATGCCTGTAATCCCAGCACTTTGGGAGGCTGAGGCAGGCAGATCACCTGAGGTTGGGAATTCAAGACCAGCTGACCAACATGGAGAAACCTTGTCTCTACTAAAAATACAAAATTAGCTGGGTGTGGTGGCGCCTGCCTGTAATCCCAGCTACTCGGGAGGCTGAGGCCAGAGAATTGCTTGAACCTGGGAAGCAGAGGTTGTGGTGAGCTGAGATCGTGCCATTGCACTCCAGCCTGGGCAATAAGAGCGAAACTCTGTCTCAAAAAAAAAAAACCATTAAAAATGTAATTTCCTTCCCCTTCTAGTAAGCAGGCCCCTTTTCATTTCAACATCAACACAATCACATTTTTATATTTTTCTAAGATTTCAATTAAAAGCCTTTAATTTAGGAAGAATATACACAGTAGAATAATGAGGAAGGAAGGCAATATTTTCAAATTTTATGTCAATTACAATTTTCACATGAGCAAGTATTACTTTTATAATAAGCTAATAAAAAGAAATCTATTAGCTAGAATTACCTCAGCAAGAAGTTGAAACTAAAGTTGCACAAGTGTTACAAAAGAGGCTAAACAACTATTCTACTCTAATTTCCTCTTACCAATCATAAATCTAGTATAAAACTATTTGCAAAATCAACATCTATGTATATTAAATATTCCTTATTAAATTTCCTGACAGAAAAACATCCTTAGAAATTTCAGCTAAGAACAGTAATGCAATACATTAAAGTGATTATGAAACCACCGGGAAAAGATCTATCTAGTCTTGGCTTACCACAAATTTGGCCCAAAAAAGGAGAGACTTTAAGAGCCTGATTGATTACAAATTTCTGCCACAGCCAAGTGCCTACTATGATAACCTACCGGTGGAAAATTACTTAATCACAATTTGTGTACAAAATGTTTCAGGTACATATACTGCAATAGAAGGCACTGAGATCATGTTAAGGGATTTCGTAAAAAATATTTACAACATATTGAGCTTATGTGCCATCCATGAGAACCCAAATCATACTTCATACTACTGTTGTAGCACATAAATGTCCATTTCCAATCAAGCATCATTCCATAAAATGAACCTGACAATGCTTGACAAAATATTGACATCTAGGCTGGGCGTGGTGGCTCACACCTGTAATTCAAGCACTTTGGGAGGCCGAGGCAGGCAGATCACCTTAGGTCAAGAGTTTGAGACCAGCCTGGCCAACATAGTGAAACCCCGTTTCTACTAAAAATACTAAAAATTAGCCAGGCGTGGTAGTGGGTGCCTGTAATCCCAGCTACTCGGGAGGCTGAGGCAGAAGAATCGCTTGAACCCAGGAGGCAGAGGTTGCAGTGAGCCAAGATCACGCCATTGCACTCCAGCTTGGGAAACAAGAGCAAAACTCTGTCTCAAAAAAAAAAAATGTTGACATCTAAACATTCACCATGGCCAGGTGCGGTGGCTCACTCTTGTAATCCCAAAATTTTGGGAGCCTGAGTCCAACAAATTGCTTGAGTCCAGGAGTTCAAGACCAGCCTGGGCAACATAGCAAGACCCCATCTCATAAACTACCAAAAAAAAAAAAAAAACCCTAAAAATTAGCCTGGTATGGTGGCACCACTGTACTCAGGAGGCTGAAGTGGGAAAATCGCTTGAGCACAGAAAGCAGGGGTTGCAGTGAGCCGAGCTCACACCACTGCACTCCAACCTGGGTGACAGTGAAACCCTGTCTAAAAAAAAAAAATAATCAACATTCTCTCTTACCAAACACTAAAGACTCAGTTTCCACATTAAGTATTGTCCCCCCACCAAAAAAAAATCCAAAATGACTAATATATCAAGTACCGGCCTGGCGCGGTGGCTCACGCCTATAATCCCAGCACTTTGGGAGGCCGAGGTGGGCAGATCATGAAGTCAGGAGTTCGACATCAGCCTGGCCAACATAGTGAAACCCCTTCTCTACTAAAAATACAAAAATTAGCCAGGCGTGCTGGCAGGCGCCTGTAGTCCCAGCCACTCAGGAGGCTGAGACAGGACAATTGTTTGAACCTGGGAGGCGGAGGTTGCAGTGAGCTAAGACCGCGCCATTGCACTCCAGTCTGGGCTACAGAGGGAGTCTCTGTCTCAAAAAAAAAAAAAAAAAAAAAAAGTACCAACCATGTGCCAAACAGTACTCCTAATTTCTCTCAATTACCTTTGTCTGTCTAGCACAGATTTAGGCATATAACGGACATTTAATGGGCATTTATGAAAAAAAGGGATGACTGTTAAATTCTTAGAGAAAATTCAAAAAAAAATTTTTTTTTTGAGGCGGAGTTTCCTCCCTTGTTGCCCAGGCTGGAGTGCAGTGGCAAGATCTTGGCTCACTGCAACCTCCCCGTCCCGGGTTCACGCGATTCTCCTGCCTCAGCCTCACAAGTAGCTGGGATTACAGGCAGGCACCACCACGCCCGGCTAATTTTTGTATTTTTAGTAGAGATGGGGTTTCACCATGTCGGCCTGGCTGGTCTCGAACTCCTGAACTCAGGTAATCCACCCGCCTCGGCCTCCCAAAGTGCTGGCATTACAGGCGTGAGCCAATGAGCCCGGCCAAAAAAAATTTTTTTTAATGGTGCCAGCCGTTAAGGAAATTACAAATCGAGTTGAGAAATAAGACAAACACATGAAAAGCTAAGTAACACAGGACAATTAAAAATACCATGTGACAAGATATGATTACTGCATAGTAGCGAATAATGCTATAAATTCTGACCAGTGAGTTTATTATAGACTGCGGCCCTTGTAGTCTCCCAACAAAACGGGGACGCTATATTTCGATTTAAAAAAAGAAAGTGACACAGCACTCATCCTATCCTAAAATTATCATCAGAAGAAGGAATACAGTAACTAAGGAGAGTGATATAAAGAAACTCCACATAAGGTTTTTAAAGCCTATGGTAGCCCTGAAAAAAGTTAGAACATCAGACACACAACCCTCTGCTGATCCAGGACCTGCAAAGGCTCCTGAAATACAAGTCTCTCAGGAACAGCATCCCCTGTTCTTTCTCCGCCCCGCACGGAGCTTTCCACTGGACAGCCGCCCGAGAAATTTCTCCCAGCATCTGCAATGGCAATACTCTCATCTTCCTCCCCTCGCCTGTATCAGACGGTGGCATCTCCCTCCAGGGGAAAAAACGGAGGGCGGGGGAGGCTGCATAAGAGGGAAAGCTTGCAGCGAGGTTGATTATGGAGGAGGAAGGTGAGAAAAATGCAGGGGACGAGGGTGGGGTCTCCTGAGCGCCAGCCCACTCTCCATAAGGCCTAGCCCACACGCTCCCACCCCGAAGGCACGCCCCTCACAAGCCGGACCCGGACGCGGACCTGAGTGACAGCAGCATCACCTGTACTGCACTCCCTCCCCCAGGGCCTGCAGGGAGACGACTGCCCCTGCCCCCACCAGCAGCGGCCCCTGGCTCTTTCTCTCCCCTTCCAGTCCACGTCGTCGACGAGTGACAGGTCCCGAGGGAGGCGACTGCAAGCGCACGCCGTTCGGGACTACCGGGGCAACTCTGCGCCGAAGCCCTCCAACAGGCGCGCGGGGACAGACAGAACGTTCCGGACGGCCCAGGGGGACCCGGTCCAGGCCCAGCCTGCCCCAGCTGCCCTACAACGGGCGGAGGTGGCACTTACTGCGGAGATTGTGGATTAGCTCCGAGTGGCTGGCGCCGCCGGATTTCCAGGCCATCGCTAAGCACACTCGGAGCAGGTACAGAACCACCTTCAGCGCGACGACGGTGCCCAGCAGTTTTCCCAAGAGTGAGACCACCTCCCACACCGTCACCGCCCCGCTCGCGTCCCCGCTGTAGCTGCCGCTGTTACTGCCGTCGCCGCCGCTGCCGCCACTGCGCGCTCCCGGCATCCCCCGCGGCACGCATGCGCTCTGTGACGCCGCGCGGCTTAGGGTGCGGCCGGGTGGGGCCGAGGGCGGGGGAGGCGTGTGGCCCAGCCGCCCGCCCCTGTGGCTGCTACCGCTGCCAGGGGACTGCAGGGAGGCCGGGCTGAGTCAGCGCCACTTCCGCTGCTGCGTGTCCCTTTCTGAGGCCTCGGACCGCACCGCTTTCGCCCTGCGGCCCGGCTCGGTAGCCTGATCAGTCGCGTTCCCGGCTGTGTCTCCGGTCACCGAGCGGGACGGCGGGATGGCGGGGTCGATCTGTGCAGACGCTGCTAGTGGTTCCGCAGTCGTCGCTGGGTCAGCTGTTTCGAGCGGCGGATCTGCTCCTATAGATGTCCAGATTGTTAGACGGTGGGCTTCATCCGTCCTACCTCGCCCAACCCAGTTGACTAATATTTGGGTCGGTGGAGCCCGAATAATACAATAAGAATAAAACCCAACGACAAAGGCCCTCTCTAACCCGAGTACACCGGCCTCTGGCTTTGTGACAAGCACGTCACTGTTAGGCTAAGCAGAGACTTTGGAACCCCGGTTCTAAAGCTCTCAGAGTGGAAGAGTACCAGGACATGGGGGTGGGGGTTGGGGCAAAGCTTTGCTCCCTTAGAATAATACCAACGTACAGAGTTGCGATTGGTTAAAAAATACCACTGTGTCCTTTGGTGAACGTGTTATTCTCCCGACGTAAGTGTGCATTTCCACCTAATTAAGCCTCACAAATTCCACCGTGGCTTTATTGCTCTCAGCTCTGCAAGACCATGAGTGAGAAGCTCACTGAGAACATTGCTTGTCGCGTCCAAATCGCTGACTCCTAATTAGACCTGAGACTGACAGAATCCAGCCATCATCTAGTCCAGTAACTTTTTTTTTTTTTTTTTTTTTTTTTTTTGAGACGGAGTCTCGCTCTGTCGCCCAGACTGGAGTGCAGTGGCGCGATCTCGGCTCACTGCAAGCTCCGCCTCCCAGGTTCAGGCCATTCTCCTGCCTCAGCCTCCCGAGTAGCTGGGACTACAGGCACCCGCCACCACGCCCGGCTAATTTTTTGTATTTTTAGTAGAGACAGGGTTTCACCGTGTTAGCCAGGATGGTCTCGATCTCCTGACCTTATGATCCGCCCGCCTCGGCCTCCCAAAGTGCTGGGATTACAGGCATGAGCCACAGCGCCCGGCCTCCAGTAATCTTTTAGAAGGAAACAAAGCTAAGACATCTGTGCCACTATATCAGCACAATTTTCAAATTCTAGTTCTTATCCGATTTTGTAAAATGTGACACTGGCCTGCTTCCAATCCAAAATCAACATTACCTATTTTCTGGGATTATGTGACCATAAATGAAACTACAGGCAAAACTGGTTTCTTTTTGTTTTTTTGCTTTTGATTGAGACGGAGTCTCACTCTGTAGCCCAGGCTGGAATGCAGTGGCATGATCTTGGCTCATTGCAACCTCCACCTCCCAGGTCCCGGTTCAAGCAATTCTGCCGCAGCCTCCCGAGTAGCTGGAATTACAGGCACGCACCACCATGCCCAGCTAATATTTTTGTATTTTTAGTAGAGACAGGGTTTCACCATGTTGACCAGGCTGGTCTTGAACTCCTGACCTCGTGATCTGCCTGCCTTGGCCTCCCAAAGTGCTGGGATTACAGGCGTGAGCCACCGTGCCTGGCCAAAACAGTGTTCTTTACTTCAATATTAAACATGAATAAAATTGTTGATTTGGGACTGTAACCCACTTAATATTTTCCATTTCATCTTTCTACAGTTTCTTGATGATCTTCCATTTGGAGAAAAGAAAAAAGTCAAATCCTTGATAGGAAACTGGTAACTCTAAAGCTGACCCAGATGGATTGCATTTACATGCAGTGCTTCCGTAAACTGTCCCTGTGAAGTAGGACTACCAATATCACATAAAAACAACAGTAGCATAATGGCCCTTTTTAAAGAAATAACCAACATACAGTTATGAATACCTATAGTGTAAAAGAGCTTCATTTTTTAGTTGAATAAGTCATATCTCTTGTATTCAGTAGGATTTACATTCTAATGGGGGAGGAATATGCATCTAAAGAAAACTAACATAAGATATATCCAAAATATATGTCATTAGTGGTCTAGATATCAAATGCTAGCTCACGCCTGTAATCCCAGCACTTTGGGAGGACAAGGCAGTTGGATCACCTGAGGTCAAGAGTTCGAGACCAGCCTGGCCAATATGGTGAAATCCCGTCTCTCCAAAAAAAAAAAAAAAAAATTAGCCAGGCATGGTGGCGCACACCTGTAGTCCCAGCTACCCTGGAAGCTGAGGTGGGAGAATCACTTGAACCTGGGAGGCGGAGGCAGAGGTTGCAGTGAGCTGAGATTGTACCACTGCACTCCAGCTTGGGCCACAGAGACCCTGTCTTAAAAAAGAAAAAAAATGGTGTTGATTTAGATCAACATTGGCTGGGGTCGTCAGGAAATGGTAAAGGAAAGAACAGATCCTTGAAGGATAGGCAGGATTCTGAGGAGTAAAGAGGAAGGGAAGAATATTATAGGTGTAACCAAAAGCACAGAAGGAACCTAGAAAACTGATTCCTGGGCCGTTGACAATAGGTATCACAAACTTCATTCTTAATCATGCACGTAATTGAATTGATCAAAGCTAGGCAATTGGCATCAAAACTAAAACTGGAGTCTTTCAGAATTCCAACTCCAGGCTCTGACAGTGTGTATTAACTTTGAAGCAAAGTATTTGTTTGGGAGACAAGAGGGAGAGGTTTGGGATAGTAGGTTGGCACTTTATTCGAGGTACTTCCACGAGTATTTAAGGATTTTTGAATCGTTTTCTATGCGCAGTGACCTGCAACTGCTTAGGTGTGGTTTCAAGGTGGTTTCTACTGCATTGTTTTTGTTCTGTTTTTGCACTTAAATTTTACACTGCACAATTATTGAACACAAGAAAATACTGACATTGCAGATTAGGAGCAAGTCCTACTGCTCAAAGGCCAAAGCGCTCTTGCCTTTGCTCAGAGCTGCTCTGTGAGATGGGTGGGCCTCTCAGTCTAGGTACTGACTGTGCCCACACTGGCTATCGACGAGAATTGACTCTCTGCAGCCACCGTCTCCGTCCTAAAGTCCCATCCAATCAGGGTTCCGCGGGAAGAGGCGGTGCTGAGAGGCGCGTACTGTGCTTGCTTTTTGCAGTACCTGCTGCGGCCGCTTTCGGCATGGAGGAAATTTATGCGAAGTTTGTGTCCCAGAAAATCAGCAAAACCCGCTGGCGACCGCTGCCTCCGGGAAGTTTACAGACCGCGGAGACGTTCGCTACAGGATCTTGGGACAATGAGGTATCGCCGCTGATAGGGACGAGCCCCTACCTCCTCCCTCTCTCCGGTTGAGCTGACCCCTGGCCTTCCGCGCGCCAACTCCCACCTTCTGGTTCTTCTCGCACTTTTAGGTCCCCCGGACCCCTGTCTCAGGCGCGGTTGCTCCGTAGCTCAGAGCCGGTGATGGCATGCCTGAGCCTCGTATCTCGTTGTGTTTTAAACTCACCATACCATTTGAGATGTTTTGGAGCAACATTTCCGGACGGGAGCACAACTTTTATTTTCCGAGAGTTGACGTTTATGTCATCTCAAGACAAAACTTTCTGTTTTACAGGAAAATTATATTTCACTGTGGTCTATTGGAGATTTTGGAAACTTGGACTCTGATGGAGGGTTTGAAGGAGACCATCAGTTATTGTGTGATATCAGACACCATGGTGATGTAATGGATTTACAGGTAAATCTGTGTAGCATCCAAAAGCTAACTTTGAAAGTCCTGAGTAATACATTTAAACAAGCAGAGCATCATAAAAGTTGTCTGGTGTCACCCCTCGTTTACAGAAAACTGAGTGCTCTGTAAGTTATGATTTGCCCAACATCATTTAGCCATTTAGTGGCAGAAAAAGGACTGGGAAAGGGGATGTAGATTTAATCATACTTTTTTATTAATTGACTGTCGACTATGTGCTAAATACCGTTTGGGGAGCTTTACAAAAATTAATTATTGTTGCATGCCAGTGAATCAAGTATCGTTACTTTGTTTTACTAATGAGAAAATTGAGACTAATATATCTTGAGCATGTACTATGTGACAGATACTGTGCAGGGGGATAACATCATTTTGTTTTTTGAATTCTCATAACAACTCCCTAAGTAGAGATTAGTGCTCCCGTTTTAAAGATTTACCACGATTTAGTGAACTTAACTTGGCCAAAGTCTCAAAACCAGTAATGAGTGGTGGGGATGAAATTGAGTTTTCTTTTTTTTTTTTTTTTCCAAGATGGAGTCTCGCTCTGTCACCCAGGCTGGAGTACAGTGGCATGATCTGAGCTCACTACAACCTCCGCTTCCCGGGTTCAAGCGATTCTCCTGCCTCAGCCTCCCGGGTAGCTGGGACTACAGGCGCAGGCCACCATACCCGGCTAATTTTTTGTATTTTTAATAGAGACGGGGTTTCACCATATTAGCCACGATGGTCTCTATTTCCTGACCTGGTGATTTGCCTGCCTCGGCCTCCCAAAGTGCTGGGATTACAGGAGTGAGCCATGGCGCCCGGCCGAAATTAAGTTTTCAAATCCTGGTGTGGAGAGCCCCTGCATTTTCCATAGAAAGCTACCTAGCCCTGGTGCGCGCTTGTAATCCCAGCTACTCTGGAGTCTGAGGCAGGAGAATCGCTTGAACCCGGGCGCAGAGGTTGCAGTGAGCCGAGAGTGCGCCAGCTTGGGCAACAAGAGCGAAACTCTGTCTCAAAAAATAATAATAATAAATAAATAAATAAATAAATAAATAAAATAAAAAAGAAAGCTATCTAGCTCTAGGAAAGATACATTTTTTTTTTTTGGAGACGAAGTCTTATACTGTCACCCGAGCTGGAGTGCAGTGGCGAGAGCTCAGCTTACTGCAACTTCTGCCTCCTGGGTTCAAGCAATTCTCCTGCCTCAGCCTCCCGAGTAGCTGGGACAACAGGCACATGCCACCATGCCTGGCTAATTTTTGTATTTTTAGTAGAGATGGAGTTTCACCATGTTGGCCAGGCTGGTCTTGAACTCGTGACCTCGTGGTCCACCCGGCTTGGCCTCCCAAAGTGCTGGGATTACAGGTGTGAGCCACCATGCCCAGACGATATTTTCCTTTCCTTTTTTTTTTTTCTTTTTTATGACGAGTCTTGCTCTGTCACCCAGGCTGGAGTGCAGTGGCTCGATCTCGGCTCACTGCAACCCCACCTCGTGGGTTCAAGTGATTCTTCTGCCTCAGCCTCCTGAGTAGCTGGGAGTACAGGCACATGCCAGCACGCCCAGCTAATTTTTGTATTTTTAGTAGAGATGAGGTTTCAACGTATTGGCCAGGCTGGTCTCGAACTCCTGACCTCGTGATCCGCTTGCCTCAGCCTCCCAAAGTGCTGGGATTACAGGCGTCAGCCACCGTGCCTGGCTTTTCTTTTTTAAAATTTTTATTCTTTTTTTGAAACTGAGTCTTGCTCTGTCAACTAGGCTGGAATGCAGGGGCTCAATCTTGGCTCACTGCAACCTCCACTTCCCTACAACCCCAACTCATTTTTGTATTTTTGTAGAGACGAGGCCTCGCCATCTTGCGCAGGCTGGTCTTGAACTCCTGAGCTCAAGTGATCCGTCCACCTAGGCCTCCCAAAATGCTGGGATTACAGGCGTGAGCCACTGCACCCAGCCAGGAATAATATTTTCCTAAGGTTTTATTGTGTTGGTCCCAAATTAAATCAATTGTGGGTGAATGTGTCTAGGAAAAAATATTGTTTATTCATGAAAATACTTTGTATGGCAGTTTGGCCTTTCAGCTTCATTAACACATTTTATTTCCTTAGCACTCATGGCTCTTTGCTTTTTAAAATTGTTATAAGATTTGCTACTAATTGAGTTAAATAAACAAATGGACTTCCTCCCTGCTAATATTTCTGAATCTTTAACAAGCAGAAATTTTCTCTTTAGTTTTTTGACCAGGAAAGAATTGTCGCTGCTTCATCAACAGGATGTGTAACAGTTTTCCTTCACCATCCAAATAACCAGGTAAAGAACTTTAGTTTGAGAAGTGATTTTTTTTTTTTTTGAAATGGAGTTTTGCTCTTGTTGCCCGCGCACTGGAGTGCAGTGGCGCAGTCTCGGCTCACCGCAGCCTCCACCTTCTGAGTTCAAGTGATTCTCCTGCCTCAGCCTCCCAAGTAGCTGGGATTACAGGCACGTGCCACCACGCCCGGCTAATTTTATATTTTTAGTAGAGACGGGGTTTCTCCATGTTGGTCAGGCTGATCTCACCTGACCTCAGGTGATCAGCCCTCTTCGGCCTCCCAAAGTGCTGGGATTACAGGTGTGAGCCACCGCGCCCAGCCAAAGGTAACCTTTTCTAATAGACATGCCTAGTTAATATAAGTCCCAGTTCATGTTAAGGGTTTTTTTGAGTCATTTAGAAAAAGCTATAGAGATTAATATTTTATTTATTTTATTTTATTTTATTTATTTATTTTTTTTTTTGAGACAGAGTCTCTCTCTGTCACCCAGGCTGGAGTGCAGTGGTGCGATCTCTGCTCACTGCAACCTGCATCTCTCTGGTTCAAGCAATTCTCACACCTCAGCCTTTCAAGTAGCTGGGATTACAGGCGCGTGCCACCACACCTAGCAAATTTTTGTATTTTTAGTAGAGACGGGATTTTGCCATATTGGCCAGGCTGGTCTCGAACCCCTGATCTCAGATGATCTGCCTGCCTTGGCCTCCCAAAGTGCTAGGATTACAGGCATGAGCGACAGCCGTGGGCCAGATATGTATATTTTAGATGTAGGTTAATTCCCATAAGAATACAAAGAGTTGCCTTTGAACATCCAACTGCTTGATCCCTAAAAGTCATTACTGTAGTTTGAGATAAATGTGGGGCATTATTAAACAATATTCCTTTTGTATCTAATTCAGTGTATATAGAACTTTGATGGCAGTAGTTTCTAGATTTCATTATTCTAAAGGAAAAAGGAGAGATTTATTCTTGTAGAAGGGTGTGAGTCAGAATTTAAAGATACTCTTGTTGGGAAGAAGTGCTAATTCCTTAGTACTTTGCTTTAATAGTATCCTCATTTCTGATGCCTAGACTCTGTCAGTCAACCAGCAGTGGACTACAGCTCACTACCACACAGGCCCTGGCAGTCCTTCCTATAGCAGTGCACCATGTACAGGTGTTGTGTGCAACAACCCAGAAATCGTTACAGTTGGAGAGGATGGTCGAATAAATCTCTTCAGAGCTGATCACAAGGAAGCTGTAAGAACCATAGGTAAGAAAAATCCCAGCCTGGCCAACATGGCGAAACCTAGTCTCTTCTAAAAATACAAAAGTTAGGCTGGGTGTGGTGGCTCACCCCGGCAATTGCAGCACTTTGGGAGGCCGAGGCAGGTGGATCACCTGAGGTCGGGAGTCCGAGACCAGCCTGACCAACATGGAGAAACACCGTCTCTACTAAAACTACAGAATTTGCTGGGCATGGTGGCACATGCCTGTAATCCCAGCTACTTGGGAGGCTGAGGCAGGAGAATCGCTTGAACCTGGGAGGCGGAGGTTGCAGTGAGCAGAGATCGCACCATTGCACTCCAGCCAGGGCAACAAAAGTGAAACTCTGTTTAAAAAAAAAAAAAGAAAAGTTAGCCAGGCGTGGTGGCGCATGCCTGTAATCCCAGCTACTCAGGAGGCTGAGGCAGGAGAATCGCTTGAACCTGAGAGGTGGAGGTTGTGGTGAGCTATGATGGCACTCTGCAGTCCCACCTGGGTGACAGAGGGAGACCCTGTTTCAAAAAAAGAAAAATCATTGTACTCCTTTCATCCATCAGAGTAATTGAGCACTTACCATATACTAAGTAAATACTGCCAGGCACGGTGGCTCATGCCTGTTACCCCAGCACTTTGGGAGGGTGATGCAGGCGGATCACAAGGTCAAGCGATCAAGATCATCCTGGCCAACGTGGTGAAAATCCGTCTCTACTGAAAATAACAAAAATAAGCTGGGTGAGGTGGTGTGCATCTGTAGTCCCAGCTACTCGGGAGGCTGAGGCAGGAGAATCACTTAAACCCGGGAGGCAGAGGTTGCAGTGAGCCAAGATTACACCACTGCACGCTAGCCTTGTGACAGAGAGAGACTTCATCTAAAAAAAAAAAGTAAACACAATGTTAAGTGATGGAGGGATGTAAAAATATATGGCCGGGTACAGTGGCTGACGCCTATAATCCCAGCACCTTAGGAGGCAAAGGCGAGCAGATCATTTGAGGCCAAGAGTTTGAGACCAGCCTGACCAATATTGCAAAACCCCATCTCTACTAAAAATACAAAAATTAGCTGGGCATGGTGGCACAGGCCTGTAATCCCAGCTGCTTGGGAGGCTGAGGCATGAGAATCGCTTGAACCTGAGAGACTGAGAGGCTGCAGTGAGCCGAGATCATGCCACCGCACTCCAGCCTGGGTGACAGAGCAAGACTCTGTCTCAAAAAAATATAAAATATATGTACACATGTGCACACACAACGCAAGGCAGGATCCCTTTGTCAAGACAGTATGTTGATGAGACCAGTATGAATGACTGACTAGAGGAAACAGAAACCTTTTTTTTTTTGGTGAGAGGGCATTATCAGATAAAACATCTGGAAGCAGGTAGTAATTAATAGTTTTTCTAGGTTCTAGACCATAAGTAATACTAAAAGATGGCGTGCTAGACAAAGGGAATAGGCCAGAGGCAGGATAAAGACATTCAGAGAATGACAAAAAGTATAGTTTGACCCGACTTTAGATATTTATTTAGGAGAGATGAAAGATGAAGCAAGAGAGAAGTAAGCTGGGGCCAGATTGCAAAGAGTCTGTAATGCAAAATCACAGAAGTTACATCTTTTAGGTGGAAAACTAAGTGTATTGGTTCTGAACTATGCTTCAGCCAGACTTCTCTGAGGAAATTTTTTAACTGTCGACCACTCTAGACCTTTTAAATCAGAATCTCTAGGAATTGAGCCCATGAATCCATTTTGTATGTGTGTGTTTTGTTTGTTTGTTTGTTTAGATGGAGTCACGCTCTGTCACCAGGCTGGAGTGCAATGGCACGACCTCAGCTCACTGCAACCTCCACCTCCTGGGTTCACGCGATTCTCCAGCCTCAGCCTCCCGAGGAGCTGGGACTACAGGCGCACGCCACCACACCCACCTAATTTTTGTATTTTTAGTAGAGACAGGCTTTCAACATGTTGGCCAGGATGGTCTTGATTTCTTGACTTTGTCATTCGCCTGCCTCGGCCTCCCAAAGTGCTGGGATTACAGGCGTGAGCCACTGTACCTGGCCTTTTGTGTTGTTTATTATGATTTTCATTTCTGAGTTAAGTTGCATTACTTTTTTTTTTTTTTTTTTTTTTTTTGAGACAGGGTCTTGCTCTGTCACCCAGGCTGGAGTGCAGTGGCATGATCCCAGCTCATTGCAACCTCTGCCTCCCAGGTTCAAGCGATCCTCCCACCTCAGCCTTCCAGGGATGTGGGACTACAGATGCACACCACCATGCCCAGCTAATTTTTGTAGAAACGAGGTTTCACCATGTTGCCCAGGCTGGTGTCAAACTCCTGGGCTCAAGTGGTCTGCCCACCTCGGCCTCCCGAAGTGCTGAGATTACAGACATGACCCACTGCACTGGGCGACATTACTTATTTGTTAATTAATGACCATTGCCTGGTGGCAGTGTAGAGGAGTGGCACAAACTAAAGTCCATAAAGTATATGTTAAATTATGAGGCATAAGTTCTAAACACTAGGAAATCAACAAAAAGGACCATTATGACAATAAGGAGTGACTTCATGGAGAGGGCGAGAGTTGATGAGGGTGAAAATGAGTAGATTTGGGATGAGTCTGCAGAATAATACAAGGTTAGAATGAGCTCTGTAGGAAGCACTGGAGTTTGGCTCAATAGAATGGAAGTTCTAGGTCAGGGACTAGTGGGAAGTAAGATTGGGTTTAGAGGAGCTTGAACAACTCTCTCAGAAATGCAGGGTAACAATCTTAAGAGTTAAAAAGAAATGTATGAAAACTCAGCCTTCCATTTAGAAAACAGTTCAAGGCTGGGCCTGGTGGGTCATGCCTGTAATTCTAGCACTTTGGGAGGCTGAGTGAGGCGGATCACCTGAGCTCAGGAGTTCGAGACCAGCCTGGCCAACATGGTGAAACTCCGTCTCTACTAAAAATACAAAAATTAGCCAGGCATGGTGGCATGTACCTGTAATCCCAGGTACTAGAGAGGCCGAGGCAAGAGAATCGCTTGAACCTGGGAGGCGGAGGTTGTAGTGAGCCCAGAGTACGCCACTGCCCTCTAGCCTGGGTGACAGAGCGAGATCCATCTCAAAAAACAAAAAGAAAAAGAAAACAGTAGGCCAGGCGTGGTGGCTCAAGCCTGTAATCCCAGCATTTTGGGAGGCCGAGGCTGGTGGATCACCTGAGGTCGGGAGTTCGAGACCAGCCTGACCAACATGGAGAAACCCAGTCTCTACTAAACATACAAAATTAGCTGGGTGTGGTGGCACATTTCTAATCCCAGCTATTTGGGAGGCTGAGGCAGGAGAATAGCTTGAATCCGAGAGGTGGAGATTGCGGTGAGCCGAGATCGCGCCATTGCAGTCCAGCCTGGGCAACGAGCAAAAAAAAAAAAAAGAAACAGAAAACAGTTCAGATGTCCTGTGAGTAAATGTTTTTCCCATCCAAAGAGAATCCATTTAAACATATACATTAACCATGCATTTTTCTATAGAAATTTAAATTATAAGTTACTGGAAATTGTAATATATCAATCCATGAAAGGAGTGTGATTTAAGATTTTCTTGGGAAAAAAAGGGGACTCATTAACACATACTACCATTTTTTAAATTTTTAGACAATGCAGATAGTAGTACACTCCATGCTGTAACCTTTCTTCGAACTCCTGAGATTCTTACTGTAAATTCAATTGGACAGTTGAAAATATGGGATTTCAGACAACAAGGAAATGAGCCTTCTCAGATATTGTCACTGTAAGTGTTGATTTGTAATTTCAGTAATGTAATCCACAAATTAATGTGTTAGGTTGTTTATAGCTACTGGCTTTAAGCCATATTGAATTTTAATTGCATTTTAAGAGGGAGATCCCTGATTAAAATTTGGTAGAGCAAGCATAACTTGACGGGGTTGGTACTACTATGCTTCATTTAGTAATTATTTGTTATAGTGATTCAGAGCCTTTACTCTTTGAAGTTTGTATTATTTCATGGAGAACTTATTTCTGCTCTTTCAATGATTGTTTAATGGATAAAATATACTCCAGATGTAATGATTGGGGGAAAAATATAATTCCAAATATTTTTTCTGAGCAGAAATCCCCCTTTGTAGGTGTACAACGTTCTCTCGTAAGAAAATAGAATGTGTCACACTGAAAAAATAGTTACATAAACTAAGCATTAAATAAGATGATAAATAATATTTAGTATATAATTGATGTATGAGTTTTTAAATAATTTAACAAGTGGAAATGTGATTTGTACATCTTACCATCGGATTGTCTTTCATTCCATGTCTCCAAATTGAAGTGAAAATGAATAATTGTGGCCTTGAATTATTTCAAAATTGTACTATTTAGAAATATATCTAATTTAGTTCATTTTTTTTGGTATCATTAAGATTCAGCCAGGCTGGGCGTGGTTGCTCATGCTTGTAATCCCAGCACTTTGGGAGGCCGAGGCAGGCAGATCACTTGAGGTCAGGAGTTCAATACCAGCCTGGCCAACACAGTGAAACCCCGTCTCTACTAAAAATACAAAAACTAGCCAGGCATGGTGGCACGTGCCTATAGACCCCGCTACTCAGGAGGCTGAGGCAGGAGAATCACTTGAACCTGGGAGCCAGAGTTTGCAGGAGAATCACTTGAACCTGGGAGGCAGAGTTTGCAGGAGAATCACTTGAACCTGGGAGGCAGAGTTTGCAGTGAGCTAAGATCGTGCCATTGCACTCCAGCCTGGGCAACAAGAACAAAACTCTGTCTCAAATAAAAAAAAGATTCAGCCAGTAGCTCCAGCCACTAAGTTGACACTTAGTTACCATATAAAACATGTTTCTTGGCTGAGCATGGTGACTCATGCCTGTAATCCCAACATTTTGGAAGGATTATCTGCGGTGAGAAGTTTGAGACCAGCTAGGGCAACACAGTGAGACCCCATCTCTACCAAAATTTCTTAAAATAGCCTGGCACGGTAGCATGTGCCTGTAGTCCTAGCTACTTGGGAGGCTGAGGCAAAAGGCTCTTTTGAGCCCAGCTTGCAGCAAGCTGTAGATAGGCCATTGCACTGTAGCCTGGGTGACAAGACAAGACCCTGTCTCTCTTTTTTTTTTTTTTCTTTGAGACAGAGTCTTACTCTGTCACCCAGGCTGGAGTGCAGTGGCATGATCTTGGCTCACTGCAACTTCTGCCTACTGGGTTCAGGCGATTCTCATGCCTCAGCCTCCCAAGTAGCTGGAACTACAGGCATGTGCCACCATGCCTGGCTAGTTTTTGTATTTTTAGTAGAGATGGGGTTTCGCCATTTTGGCCTGGTTGGTCTTGAACCTCAAGTCATCCACCTGCCTTGGCCTCCCAAAGTGCTGGGATTACAGGTGTGAGCCACTGAGCCTGGTCTCTTAAAAAATAAACAAAAAAAAACAGGCTGGGCACGGTTACCAGTCATCCCAGCACTTTGGAAGGCCAGGGTGGCTAGATCACTGGAGCCTGGGAGTTTGAGACCAACCTGGGCAACATGGAGAAACCCCATCTCTACAAAAATACAAAAAGTTAACCAGGCATGATGGTACACACATGTACTCCCAGCAACTCAGGAGGCTGAGGTGGGAGGATACCTGAGCCCAGGGAGTTTGAGCCTACAGTAAGCAATGATTGCAGCGCTGCATTCCAGCCTGGGTAAGTGAGGCCTTGTCTCAAAACAAACAAAAAACGTGTTTCCTGTGTTACACAAAGATAAATTATACTTTATTTGATTTTGACGTCATTGTTATCTCCCACAAAAGGACTGGTGACCGAGTGCCACTCCACTGTGTTGATAGACATCCCAACCAACAGCATGTTGTAGCTACTGGTGGCCAAGATGGAATGTTGAGTATTTGGGATGTTAGACAAGGTACTATGCCTGTATCTCTGCTGAAGGCTCATGAAGCTGAAAGTAAGTATTGTGAAGATACAGAAAGTTTATATTGGGTGAGTTATATGACATATAATAAGCACCTTTCCATAATGATACATGTGGATCATTTTACATCATAGCTTTTAATGGCTGAATTGTGTAAATTTAAATAGTTATGTAATTTCTTTTTACTCGACATTTAAGTTCTTTAACATTTGTTTTTGTTTTTTTGGAGACGGAGATTCACCCTTGTTGCCCAGGCTGGAGTGCAATGGCGCTATCTTGGCCCACCGCAACCTCTGCCTCCTGGGTTCAAGCGATTCTCCTGCCTCAGCCTCCCGAGTAGCTGGGATTACAGGCATGCACCACCACACCTGGCTAATTTTATATTTTTAGTAGAGACTGGGTTTCTCCATGTTGGTCAGGCTGGTCTTGAACTCCTGACCTGAGGTGATCTGCCCAGCTCGGCCTCCTAAAGTGCTGGGATTACAGGCATGAGCCGCCGTGCCTGGTTTTTTTTTTTTTTTTTTTTTTAAAGAGACAGGGTCTGGTTCTGTCGCCCAGGCTGGAGTGCAGTGGTGCAGTCACGGCTCACTACAGCCTTGACTTCCAGGGCTCAGGTGATCCTCCCGCATCAGCCTCCCAAGTAGATAGGACTATAGGTGTGTGTCACCATGCCTAGCTGATTTTTTGTTGTTGTTTGTTTTTTTTTTTGTAGATATGGGGTTTCACTTTATTGCCCAGGCTGGTCTCAAACTCCTGGGCTCAAGTGATCCTCAGGAAGTGCTGAGATTACAGGTATGAGTTATGAGCCACCACATCAACCACAGGTTTAATTCTTATATCCAAAACTGTAGTTAGAATCCTTAGATATTTATCTCTGTGTGTGTTTTTTTTTTTTTTTTTTTTTTGGAGACAGGGTCTCTCTCTGTTGCCTAGGCCAGAGTGCAGTAGTGGTGTGATCATAGCTCATTGCAGCCTTGAACTCCTGGACTTACACGATTCTCCCAAAGTGCTGGGCATAGCCATTATGCCCATGCCCAGCCTTATGTACTTATTTTCTTAGGATAATTTTTTAGAAGTAGAATTGCTAGGCCAAACATTTTGCATAGCGCATTGACAGATTTTTCTACACAAAAATAATACCAGTTTAAGCCAGGCACATTGGCACATGCCTGTAGTTCCAGGCTCCTCCTACTCAGGAGCCTGAGGCAGGAAGATTGCTTGAGCCTGAGAGTTTGAGGCCAGCTTAGGCAACATAACCTCTTTAAAAAGTTAATAATACTAGTTTAATCCAGGTGAGTGGCATGCACCAGCTTCTCAGGAGGCCGAGGCAGGAGGATTGCTTGAGTCCAGGAATTCAAGGCTGTAGTGCATTATGATTGCACCTATGCACTCCAGCCTGGACAATATAGTGAGACCCCACTCCCTGAAAAGTGATAAAAATCATACCATTTTATATGCCATAGTGAAGTGTGCAAGAATGCCCTTTTCCCATGCAAATGCAGGCTGTCATATTTGTTAATAAATGTTGTGCTCCTCAATTTATTGTTGCATCACATCATTTTTTTTAACATGAACAATAGATTTATAAGCTTTTTTTTTTCTTTTGATTCTGGTGGAGATGATTTAGCCGGACAGAAATTTTTCATTTTCTCACTCTGTCTTTGATATCATGCCAGAATGGATTATCCTTTTTTTTTTTTTTTTTTGAGACAGAGTCTTGTTCTGTCGCCCAGGCTGGAGTGCAGTGGCACAATCGCGGTTCACTGAAACCTCTGCCTCCTGGGTTCAAGCCATTCTTCTGCCTCAGCCTCCCTAGTAGCTGGGACTAAAGGCATTTGCCACCATGCCTAGCTAATTTTTGTATTTTTAGTAGGAATGGGGTTTCACCATGTTGGCCAGGCTGGTCTCAAACTCCTGACCTCAGGTTATCTGCCTGCCTTGGCATCCCAAAGTGCTGGGATTACAGGTGTGAGCCACTGCGCCCGGCCCTATATATTTTTTTAAAAATGGGGTCTCTCTCACCCAGGTTGGAATGCAGTGGCATGATCACAGCCCACTGCAGCCTCAGCCTTGCCTCCCTGGCTCAATCAGTCCTCCCACCTCAGCCTCCCGAGTAGCTGAGGCTACAGGCACGCACCCCTACTACACCCGGCTAATTTTTTATTTTTTGTAGAGACAGGGTCTCAATATGTTGCCCAGGCTGGAGTGCAGTGGCATGGTACCTCACTTAAGCCTCAACCTCCTGGGGTCAAGTGATCCTCTTGCCTTGCCCTTCTGAGTAGCTGGGACTACAGGTATATGCCACTACACCTAGCTAATTTTTTTTATTATTAGATTTCTATAGAAATTATGATTCCATAAAAGATTTTGAGGAAATGATGGCCGGGGGCGGTGGCTTATGCTTGTAATCCCAGCACTTTGGGAGGCCGAGGCAGGTGGATCACCTGAGGTCAGGAGTTCGAGACCAGCCTGACCAACATGGAGAAAGCCCGTCGCTACTAAAAATACAAAATTAGCCGGGCGTGGTGGCACATGCCTGTAATCCCAGCTACTAGGGAGGCAGAGGCAGGACAGTCACTTGAACCTGGGAGGCAGAGGTTGTGGTGAGCCAAGATCGCACCATTGCACTCCAGCCTGGGCAACAAGAGTGAAACTCCGTCTCAAAAAAAAAACAAAACAAAACAGATTTTGAGGAAATGAGGAAGACTGGTATCTTTCAGAATTGAAAGTGATTTTGGAATATATAGAATTTCTTTGGGGCTGGGCACGGTAGTTCATGCCTGTAATTTTAGCACTTTGGGAGTCCAAGGCAAACAGATCTCTTGAGCCCAGTTGTTTGAGACCAGCCTGGGCAACATGGAGAAACCCCATGTCTGTTAAAAATACAAAAGTTAGCCAGGTATGGTGATACATACCTGTAGTCCTAGCTACTCAGGAGGCTGAGATAGGCGGATTGCTTAAGCCTTGGAGGTCAAGGCTGCAGTGAGCCATGACCATGCCATTCTGCACTCCAGCCTGGGCGCCAGAGCAAGACCCTGTTTCAAAAAGAGAGAGAGAATTTCTTTGAGTTGAATTATGTAGAAGTTTGTCACTGACCTATGTTCCTAAAGTATGAAGCATACATATGTGGGCTAAGAAATAGTTTTTCTTGATAAATAATCAACAAATAAAAAATAAAAAGCCCTCCATCTGAGACTGGATCCAAATTCTTGGAACATTTCCAAATTTTGGTTTGGTAGAAGTCAGTTGCTATTTCTGTGATAAAGACCAGAAGTATTCAGAATCTTGGCATTAACCAATATTGGATATTGCCTCTTAGAAATTCATTTTTATATTTCATTAGGATCTTTCTCAGTTTTTCCAATAATATAATCTTCATATATTAATGACACAGGAATTGAAAAATAAGACAACTTACCAATTTAAAAAAAAACTTTTCCGTAAAAGACAGTCATTCCTAGCTGGGCACACACCTATAATTCCAGCACTTTTGGGAGGCTGAGGCAGGAGGATTGCTTGACGCCAGGAGTAGAAGACCAAGGTAGACAACATAGCAAAACCCTGTCTCTATTTAAAAAAATAAAAATAAAATAAAATAAGCTTTTTCATAAAGTAATAGGGTTAAATGTTTTAGCAATGATTTTCTTTTCTTTTTTTTGAGACGTAGTTTTGCTCTTTTTGCCCAGGCTGGAGTGCAGTGATGCAATCTCAGCTCACTGCAACCTTGCCTCCCGGGTTCAAGCAATTCTCCTACCTCACCCTCCCAAGTAGCTGGGATTACAGGCACCTGCCACCACGCCGGGCTAATTTTTTGTATTTTTGGTAGAGATGGGGTTTCACCATGTTGGTTAGCTGGTCTTGAACTCCAGATCTCAGGTGATCCACTCACCTCGGCCTCCCAAAGTGGTAGGATTACAGGCATGAGCCACTGCGCCTGGACATTTTTTTTTTTCCTTGAGACAGAGTCTCACTCTTGTTGCCCAGACTGGAGTGCAATGGTGTGATGTTGGCTCATTGCAACCTCTGCCTCCCGGGTTCAAGCGATTCTCCTGCCTCAGCCTCCTGAGTAGCTGGGATTATAGGCACCCACCACCATGCCTGGCTAATTTTTAGTATTTTTAGTAGAGACGGAGTTTCACCACGTTGGCCAGGCTGGTCTTGAACTCCTGACCTCAAGTGATCCACCCACCTTGGCCTCCCAAAGTGTTAGGATTACAAGCATGAGCCACTGTGCCTGGCTACTATTTTCATTTATTTCCTTGCCCAGTACGCAAATTTAGTTGGCTTCTTTTTCCTTTCTTTTCTTTTTTTTTTTTTTTTCTCAGACAGTGTCTCACTTTGTCGCCCAGGCTGGAGTGCAGTGGTGCGAGCTCGGCTCACTGCAACCTCCGCCTCCCAGGTTCAAGTGATTTTCCTGTCTCAGCCTCCTAAGTAGCTGGGACTACAAGCACGCGCCACCACGCCTGGCTAACTTTTGTATTTTTAGTAGAGATGGTGTTTCACCATGTTGCCCAGGCTGGTCCTGACCTCAGGTGATCCACCCGCCTTAGCCTCCTAAAGTGTTCTTTTTCCTTTCTATGTGTTATAGCCATTGGAAAGTTACATTATGTCTTTTCTTTAATTCTGAAGCCTTTAATTTTTAGGACAGACTTGAGGCTCGAAGGTATGTGATGGAGGATAATGGAAGATGATGCCTAGAGATGGGGGTTTAATGTTGTTTGTTCAGCGAATCTGCACAGGAATGAGCTTATTGATTCTTGTCTCTTAGTGTGGGAAGTTCACTTTCACCCATCCAACCCAGAACATCTTTTTACCTGCTCTGAAGATGGATCCCTCTGGCACTGGGATGCTTCCACAGATGTACCTGAAAAGTCGTCACTCTTTCACCAAGGTAAAACTTTTTAATGAATACTGTTATGTGTACTTTTTTTTTTTTTTTTTAAGACAGAGTCTCACTCTATCACCCAGGCTGGAATGCAGTGGCACGATCTCAGCTCACTGCAACCTCCGCCTCCTGGGTTCAAGCGATTCTCGTGCCTCAGCCTCCCGAGTAGCCAGGACTACTAGTCATGCACCACCGTGCCCGGCTAATTTTTTTGTATTTTTAGTGGAGATGGGGTTTCACCATGTTGGCCAGGCTGGTCTCGAACTCCTGACCTCAAATGATCCGCCTGCCTCAGCCTCCCAAAGTGCTGAGATTACAGGAGTGAGCCACCACACCTGGCCTTTTTTTTGAGACAGAGTCTTACTCAGTCACCCAGAATGGAGTGTAGTGGTGCAGTCTCAGCTCACTGCAACCTCTGCCTCTCAGGTTCAAGCTTTTCTTGTGCCTTAGCTTCCCTAGTAGCTGGGATTACAGGTGTGTGCCACCACAACTGGCTAATTTTTTTGTATTTTTAGTAGAGATGGGGTTTTGCTATGTTGGCCAGGCTGGTCTCAAACTCCTGGCCTCAAGTGATCTGACCACCTCAGCCTCCCCAAAGTGCTGGGATTACAGGCATGAGCCACTGTGCCCAGCCTGTTATGTGTAATTTTATCATACTTTTATTTTGTTTTTTTTTTGTTTGAGACAGCGTCTCACTCTGACATGCAGGCTGGACTGCAGTGGCATGATCACAGCTCGCTACATCCTCGCCCTCCTGGGCTTAAGTGGTCCTCCTGCCCCAGCCTCCCAAATAGCTAAGACCAGAGATGCTTGCAACCACAACCAGCTAATTTTTTTTTTTTAATTTTTTTGTAGAGATGAGCTCTCACTATGCTGCCCAGGCTGCTCTCAAACTCCTGAGCTCAAGCAATCTTCCTGCCTGGGCCTCCCGAGGTATTGCAATTATAAGCATGAGCTGGCTGTACCCAGCCATTTTATACTTTTAAATACCAAATTAGACATCCTCGTATTTTTTACTTAATGGCAAAACATTTTTATTCTCTTGCCTCAGAGTAAATTTGAGTATCACAGGGCTTGAAATCTGACTGTCAAGTTACTTACTACTGTATGGCTGATGGCTAGAAATGCTGTAAGCTGGCTCACTTGAGACAGCCAAGGTTCTCCTTTGTGAGTGCCATTAACCTGGACCCTCATGCCATAGCATAGACAGTGGCAAATCTTTCATATTGCATTGCCAAGTTTGTGTGAATGGCAAGAAAAAAGTTGATATTTGATGTAACTGAGGGTACTGGTTAAATGGCCTGATCTCAGGCCGGGTGTGGTGGCTCATGCCTGTAATCCCAGCACTTTGGGAGGCCAAGGCAGGTGGATCACCTGAGTTTGGGAGTTCGAGACCAGCCTGACCAACATGGAGAAACCCCGTCTCTACTAAAAATACAAAATTAGCCGGGTGTGGTGGCTCATGCCTGTAATCCTAGCTATTCAGGAGGCTGAGGCAGGAGAATTGCTTTTACCCAGGAGACAGAGGTTTCAGCGAGCCGAGATTGCACCATTGCACTCCAGCCTGGATAGCAAAAGCGAAACTCCGTCTCAAAAAAAAAAAAAAAGGGCGTGCTTTCCTCATTACAGTCAGTTGTAGGTTATGGTCAGCCAAAGACCATGCACTTGTAATCGGGGTTTATGTGTTTTTGCATTTTCCAAGTTTCCTGTTTTTGAGGGTTTGTCTGTGGCTCCAAAGTTCTTTTGCTTATTCATTTATTCAGAAATATTTACTGAATGCCTACCATGTGGTAGGCATTCTTCTAGGTGTTAGGACGTGTAACAGTGAGCAGAACGAAATGTCGAAACGCATAGAGCAAATATTCTAATAGTTAAAAAAATAGATAATGTATCAGTAAGAGTCCAATTAGAATGTCAGAAACTACCTTAGATGTAGAAGGAATTGGTCTCACATGTGTTAGAAGGGCTGGGAAAACAAAAGGTAATAGGAGGGGTGCTGGGAGAACAAATAGGAAGAAAAGGGAAAACCCAGAAATAGTAATTGTTAGTACCCCTGCTACTTGACTGTTGAAAATGCTGTAAAAGTTTGTTCTGAATTAGGAGAAAAGGCGCTCCCTCAACCAGGCTGAAACTACCACCAGTGTTGTTGCCAGAAACCTGGAGCAGGAAGGAGCTGCTTCTCCCTTCCGCCTTCCAGTCACCCACCATTAATACCTGCTATTGGCAAGGCCCATCTGGATGGCAGATGGCAAAGCAGCCTGGAAAGTGGAGTTTACCAACTTCTACCTCCTACAGTATATAGTGGAGCACAGCAAAGTGGAAAAGGAGGCCGGGCGCGGTGGCTCACACCTGTAATCCCAGCAATTTGGGAGGCCGAGGTGGGCAGATGACCTGAGGCCAGGAGTTCAAGACCAGCCTGGTCCAACATGGTGAAACCCTGTGTCTACTAAAAATACAAAAATTAGCTGAACGTGGTGGTGGGTGCCTGTAATCCCAGCTACTCTGGAGGCTGAGGCAGGAGAATTGCTTGAACCCGGGAGTTGGAGGTTGCAGTGAGCCAAGGTCACGCCACTGCACTCCAGCCTGGGCAACAGAGCAAGACTCCATCTCAAAAAAAAAGAAAAAGGAAAATAACATGGCCAAATACACTGCTAATTACCATGAAGAAGAATACAGCAGAGTAGGAGGATAAAGAATAAAGACAGGGGTGAGGGGAGCTACTCTAGTGAGAGTCAGAAGAGGCCACTTGGCAGAAGGAACATTTGAGCAGAGACTTAAGAGAAGTGAAGGCATAAGTGACATGAAAGCATTCCAGGCAGAGGAAACAGCAAATGCTGAGGGCCTGAGACAGGCAGAGAACTGCAAGGACACCACGGTTGGAGCTCAGGCAGCAGGGTACAGTGGTGGGAGATAAGGACTGGTGGCTGAGGAGCCCTGGGACTTTGTAGCCCATGATAAGGACTTTAGACTTATGGGAGGGGGAGGAGAAAAGTGGAAAACAGGGAGATGAGGAAGGAGTCTTATCACAGTGGCTTGAATAATGTGTTAATCTTTACAGCGTCCAAGAGCAATGTAAAATGTAGGGGCAGTAAAAGATAAACAGAAAAACTAAGGGGAAAAAAATTCTAAAACTTCTTCAGAAAAATTCTGGAGCGGAGAGCATGTGTGGAGCATGCATGCATGTCCATGCTATAACTTCATCTACAGAGAAACAAACAGTTTCATCTAAGGATTAACTAAGTATGTACTTCGTTTTTACTTCCTTCCTCCCCTAACCGCACAGTCTTGAACTTGCAAGTTTACTTTTAAGGAACCTTGGTTAGACTGGAAATAAAACTTTATTCTGTGTCTACTATTGCAAGGCACAGTATTAGACACTGTGAAAAAGTAAAACATATAAAATATGCATCCTGCTCTTAAGACATATTTAGTCATGGACAGAGGCATGGATAGTTCAATTAGGATATAAGAATTGTTATAAAGTAGTAAATTAATGGTACATACAAGTGCTGAGGGTTCAAGGAAAGAGAAAAACATGAAGTAGAGGTTGTCTTCAAAGTTTTCTTAGAGAAGGAAGTTCAGCCATATTTTAAAGGATCAGCAAGATTTTAAATGTACTAATCTTTAAGCTTCAAGACATAGGGACTTGGCACAGAGCACTTAGCACAGAGCCTGGCACATAGTAGGTACTCAGTCATTTGTTGAGTGAATTAAATTTGTACTTATTTGATATGACAGCAAGTTGAGAGGAAAGTAAGTTGCGAATAATGACTAAAATTGAAATATACTGCCTCTGCCTCACTTTATTCTATAGTAAGTACAGTGCGCTGTTAGAGATAAAACCTTATAATCTAGTAGTGTTCTAATCTGCTTGTAAGAACATTTATCTAAAAAGCATAAGAATGAAAGATTTGAGGTAAGGCGATTATATTTTAAGAAATATAGTAACAAATATATATTTAGAAATATATTTCTAGAAATGTTCATCTAGAAATATGTCTAGAAATTCTTTCTCATGATCATTTTATTTTGTTATTACCCAAGAGTTTATATTTCCATGTATTACCTACATTTTTGGTTTCTTTTTTTTCTTTCCTTATTCAACTTGTATGCTGGCCGTTTTGCTACCTTTCTGAGACTTTCCATTAAAAGATGAACAGAAAGTCAGTTGAAATCACCTGCTTTTCCTGAAGACTTCGAGTTTGGTATCCATATTATCCCATGGAAATTTGAATATTTAATATCACTGAATAAGCCTTTGGTCCAAAGTGGTGATGTATAATAATGGAATTATTAGCCTATTATTCTGAGAATTAAACACATTGATATCATCACCTTTCTAAATATCAGTAGAAGTTTGAATGTTTACTAATATAAAAATCATCTTGAAAGATTTCTTCCTTTTCTTTTTTTCTCCCAGGAGGAAGAAGCAGTACTTTTTTGTCTCATAGCATTAGTAACCAAGCTAATGTTCACCAGTCTGTCATTAGCTCCTGGCTCAGCACTGATCCTGCAAAAGACCGAATTGAAATCACAAGCTTACTTCCCAGTAGGTCTCTGTCTGTGAACACTTTGGATGTTTTAGGTCCTTGTCTTGTTTGTGGAACCGATGCAGAAGCAATTTATGTTACTAGACATCTTTTTTCGTAGAAGTACTATAATTATAAGATTTCAGATAGAACATGCAATTAGCCTTTTGAAATCCAACTTCTGTGCAAAATTTTAGTATCAGAAAATACGAGATTTGCAGGGGAAACATCAGTAAACTACCATTAATGTCAATGCCCAGTTTTGACTTTTGTTAGCCTGACACTCCCAAACAGTTGTAGAATCCGATAGATGACTGATGGCAAAAGATTGTGAACATGTGGAAGAAAATCAGTGGGATTCTGGTGCTGATGAATAGGTTGCCTTCAGAGTATTATTGACAGACAGCTTGTGGAACTAATTCTTTATTTTTGATGTTGTGGGAATTAACACATCAATGGTGGTTATGGGAACTACCAATGGGTTCCTACAATTTTTATCAGTAGTATGTGGCATATACACCTTCCTAGTGGCAGTTGCCAATGTTAATGATTATTCTTTTTATTGCAAGTATTTCCTATGATCCTTCCACACTTTATTTCCTTAATAATAATAAACTTTTTCAGAAAGAATTGAGTAGAGCAAAAATGACAAAGATGTGTAGCTGTGTTCAATTTTTTTTTTTTTTTTTTTTTGAGGCAGAGTCTTGCTCTGCTGGAGTGCGGTGGTGCAATCTCGGCTCACTGCAACCTCCACCTCCCAGGTTCAAGCAATTCTCCTGCCTCAGTCTCCTGAGTAGCTGGAACTACAGGTGTGCGCCACCACGCCCAGCTAATTTTTGTAATTTTAGTAGAGACAGAGTTTCACCATGTTGGCCAGGATGGTCTCGATCTCTTGACCTCATGATCCACCCGCCTCGACCTCCCAAAGTGCTGTGATTACAGGTGTGAGCCACTGCACCCGGCCTGAAATTTTTTTAAGGTGAAAATGTTTTGACAAGTTCCTTTTTCAGAATAGGTTTTTGAGCAGAACTCTTTCAGCTTGTTAGACCCAACTTTGCTTTTGTTTAGCTTCACAGCATAGCTGAAAGTTGCCAAACTGGACATTGTGCAATAAAGTAGAATTCTATATTGATAAGCAAACTATTTCCAAACTAAAAATGTGATAGATAAAAGTGTGATTAATCAAATGATATGATCAGAGTAAAGAATTTTGCCATTTTGATCCTTTTACTTTGTTTTAGCCACCTATAGTGTTACCAACCATCTTTATCCTTGTCTGCAGGGATAATAATGAACTAATGTAGTGTTTTAAGATAATTTAATGATACTATCTTTCCAAACTTTGTTAGATTTTAAATGTATTATTGACCTGAGACCTTAATGACAAATCACTGCTATTAGACAATTGAAGTGTTCATTTACTTTGTAATTCCAATAATCATAGTTATGGAATTATGGTAAGGTTTTGCTTTTCTGTCCTAATAAATATATATATTTTTTGAGATGGAGTTTTGCTCTTGTTGCTGAGGCTGGAGTGAAATGGCATGATCTCAGCTCACTGCAACCTCCGTCTCTTAGGTTCAAGCAATTCTCCTGCCTCAGCCTCCCGAGTAGCTGGGATTACAGGTGCTCACCACCACACCCAGCTAATTTTTGTATTTTTAGTAGAGATGGGGTTTCACTGTGTTGGCCAGGCTGGTCTTGAACTGACCTCATGATCCACCTGCCTCAGCCTCCCAAAATGCTGGGATTACAGGCTTGAGCCACTGCTCCCGGCTGATTTTTGTATTAGTAGAGACGACAGGGTTTCACCATGTTGGCCAGGGCTGGTCTCGAACTCCTGACCACAGGTAATCAGCCCGCCTCGGCCTCCCAAAGTGCTGGGATTACAGGCGTGAGCCACTTAGTATTTGTAACCATAAGAGAAAGTATATTTTAACAGCATTACATTTCATGCCAATTGACAAGTTTTGCCAATTTTAATAAGAAACTAAGCTTTATGTAATGTAACACCGTAATTTATGAATTTGTTCATTGTCACTGCCTTTATTCATGAAACTGTCAAATAGAGTGTCTTTCAAGGGTTGCAGGATCTTAGAGATAGAAAGTACCTTGGTGATCATCTCCAGCCTAAATTTCATCATCCCTTCTATGGTATTCCCAACAAATTATCATCCAACCTATACTTAAAAACATATGGTGGCCAGGCATGGTGGCTCACGCCTGTAATGCTAGCACTTTGGGAGGCCGAGGTGGGTGAAGCACCTGAGGTCAAGAGTTCGAGATCAGCCTGGCCAACATGGCGAAACCCCGTCTCCACTAAAAATGCAAAAAAAAAATTAACCGGGCGTGGTGGCAGGCATCTATAATCCCAGCTACTTGGGAGGCTGAGGCAGGAGAATTGCTCAAACCCGGGAGGCAGAGGTTGCAGTGACCCAAGATCGTGCCACTTCACTCCAGCCTGGGCAAAAGAGCAAAACGCCATCTCAAAAAATATACATATATAAGGAGATAAAGTTTCCCATTTTCCAATACAGTTTCACATTTGAACAGCCCTAATTGATACAACTTTATGGCAGGGTTTTAGTGTGTGAGTGGGATCCAAAACACTCAATCCTGTAAAAGGGTACAGTCCTATTGTATGTTAACACACTGATGATGTGAGCCTGTGAGATGAGCCAATCACCAGTTGTTATGTTCGAATCTGCTTTGTGTTGGGACGCTTTAATGTCAGGGTTTCACTAAATAAATGAATTTTCATATACTGAACTGAAATTTGCTTCTATCTGTCTTATCTCGGGAGCCACACACACAAAATTCCTCTCATCACATATTCAAATATTCAAAATTGATTATTATAGTCTCTCCAGTGAAGGTTTCCTTCTCTTTCTTTCCATTTTTGGCTAAATCCTTCTTATCCTTCAAGACTCCTTCTAGGTGTCATTTTCTCCAGACAGCTTTTATTGGCCTCCAGCAATCCGGACTAAATTGCACTCTGCTTCAAAAGCCCATTGTGCAGAACTTAAATTGTGCGCAAAGCAGTGTGTTAAGGAGCCTGTCTCCCCCTACTGGGCCACAAGATCAAGAACAGCGCCCATGTCTTCGTGTAACAGTGTTTAACAGTATCTGAACCATAGTAAGCAATGAGTCACTGTTAATTGACCTTGTTTTCACAATCTTGTTTTCCCTTTAAAAATTACTGCTCTTTGTCAAAGGCCTTTTTTTTTTTTTTTGAGACTTTAAGTCTCGCTCTGTCGCCCAGGCAGGAGTGCAATGGCACGATCTCAGCTCACTGCAACCTCTGCCTCCCAGGTTCAAGCAATTCTCCTGTTTCAGCCTCCCGAGTAGCAGGGATTACAGGTGTGCGCCCAGCTAATTTTTTGTATTTTTAGTAGAGACAGGGTTTCACCATGTTGGCCAGGCTGGTCTTGAACTCCTGACCTCAAGTGATCCACCCTCCTCCACCTCCGAAAGTGCTGGGATTATAGGCATGAGCCACCGTGCTCGGCCAGAGGCCTTCTTTTAAGTGTGACTTCCAAGATAAACACTTTTTCATATATTGTCTACCTTGGTGATTATGACAGAAATCTTGCCATCCTGTTAATAGGAATGATATTCCTTTGTAATGCTGTGTCAGCTTTCTGAAGTGTTCACATGTGATACTCCTAAGCCACACTTCCTATATTCGGAAGTTAATACAAATGGTTTTTAATCCTTAATATGGGCCTTTCTTGTTCTAAGAAAAATTTCATTTCAATATAGGAAAGGACTAACTATTTTCTTTGAATCTTTTGTAGAAGCTATTATTTTCTCCATAATTAGCCCAGCGTGCTCTCTCCACTTTCATCCCATTGATTAAGAAAGATGTTTGAGACAGGATTTCACTCTGTCACCCAGGCTGGAGTGCAGTGGTGTGATCCCCAGCTCACTACAGCCTCGATATCCTGGGCCCAAGTGATCCTTCCACCTCGGTCTCCCAAGTATCTGGGACTGCAGGCATGTACCACCAAGCCTGACTAATTTTTGCAATTTTTATTGAGATGGTGTTTCACTATATTGCCCAGGCTGGTCTTGAACTCCTGGGCTCAAGCAATCTACTTGCCTTGGCCTCCCGAAGTGCTAGGATTACAGGCAAGAGCCACCATGCCCAGCCAGAAAGATGTTAAATGAAATGAAGTTTTTAGGCCCACTGCTGGAGTCTTCTCAATTATCAATGAAACATGAATCTCTGGTATTTGGCTACAGTTACTGAAATATTTATAAAACAACCTAATTTATTGACATTTCATTCCATTTATCTTATTTCCAAGGTTATTGTGAGAAAATGTGCTGTAGTTATACTATCAAAAATTTGGCATAATTGAAAAATTCCTGGTCCTTTGTGAATAGTACTTTTATTTAATTGTATTGTGGAAACATCCTTTTAATAATCCACTCTAGACTCTTGTCCAAGAAGCATATTAAATTCAACAGTATATAGTTTATATTGAACCTTTAGTTAAGCTTATGGTGTCAATAGTATCTAGCTCAGACTAATAGAAGGTCTGGCCAGGTGCAGTGGCTCACGCCTGTAATCCCAGCACTTTGGGAGGCCAAGGGGGGTGGATCACCTGAGATCAGGTGTTCAAGACCAACATGGTGAAACCCCGTCTCTACTAAAAACACAAAAATTAGCCTGGCCTGGTGGCAGGCACCTGTAGTCCCAGCTACTCAGGAGGCTGAGGCAGGAGAATTGCTTGAACCCAGGAGGCAGAGGTTGCAGTGAGCGGAGATCGTGCCACTGCACTCCAGCCTGGCAACACAGCAAGACTCCATCTCAAAAAAAGAAAAAATGGGGCTGGGCACGGTGGCTCACACCTGTAATTCCAGCACTTTGGGAGGCGGAGGCAGGCGGATCACCTGGGGTGGGAAGTTCGAGACCAGCCTGACCAACATGGTGAAACCCCATCTCTACTAAAAAAAAAAAAAAAGAAAATTAGCCAGGCATATTGGCACATGCCTGTAATCCCAGCTACTTGGGAGGCTGAGCCAGGAGGATTGCTTGAGCCTGGGAGGCAGAGGTGCAGTGAGTGAGCCGAGATTGCACCATTGCATTCTAGCCTGGGTGACACAGCATGACTCAAAACTAAATTACATTAATTTAAATTTAATTAAAGTATTTTTTAAAAAATTTGTAGCTGCAAAAAATCAGAAGAGTTTTTACCCCTCTATAGGGGTAGAATAAACTAAAAAATCTTAGCCAGAGAAGTCTTAGAATCCATGATACACCAGTAGCAAGGCATACACCTAGCACCCAGATTTGGTTTCTTATACCATATTCCAATAAAAGGAACCAGGGATCCTTGGAGGAATGGTGATCCCTGAACCGGGGCAAGAAATATACAAGATATCTTGGAGAACTGGGCGCGGCAGCTCAAGCTTGTAATCCCGCACTTTGGGAGGCCAAGGCGGGCGGATCGCTTGAGCTCAGGAGTTCAAGGCCAGCCTGGGTGACATAGGGAGACCTGGTCTCGACAAAAAATACAAAAATTAGGCGTGCCAGGCGCGGTGGCTCACGCCTGTAATGCCAGCACTTTGGGAGGCCGAGATGGGCAGATCATCTGAGGTCGGGAGTTCAAGACCAGCTTGACCAACATGGAGAAACCCCTTCTCTACTAAAAATACAAAATTAGCCAGGCATGGTGGCGCATGCCTGTAATCCCAGCTTCTCAGGGAGGCTGAGGCAGAAGAATTGCTTGAACCCAGCAGGCGGAGGTTGCGGTGAGCAGAGATGGCGCCACTGTACTCCAGCCTGGGCAACAAGAGAAACTTGGTCTCAAAAAAAAAAAAAGTTGGACATGGTGGCCTGCGCCTGTAATCCCAAGTTACTTGGATGCTGAGGCATCACCTGAGTCCCGGGGGTTGAGGCTGCAGTGAGCCATAATCATGTCACTGCACTTCAACCAGGGTGACACAGTGAGACCCCATCTAAAAAAAAAAAAAAAAAAAAAAAAAAAGATTTTGGAACATAATGTACTGCCAGAAAAGAAGAAAGTTCTTTTTTTTTTTTTTTTTTTTTTTTTTAGGTGAGGTCTTGCTTTGTCACCCAGGCTGGAGTGCAGTGGCTAGATCTCGGCTCACTGCAGCCTCAGCCTCCTGAGCTCAGGCGATCCTTCTGCCTCAGCCTCCTGAGTAGCTGGGACTACAGTTGTGTACCACCACACCTGGCTGATTTATAGAGATGAGGTCTTGCTATGTTACCCAGGCTGGTCTTGAACTCTTGGGCCCAAGTGATCCTCCTGCCTCAGCCTCCAGAAGTACTGGGATTAAAAAGTGCTGGGATTAAAGGGGTGAGCCACCAAACTGGGCAGAAAGTTCTTTAAAACACACACACACACACACACACACACACACACACACGCCAACTGAAAGAGCTCCAGTGGCCAAAACTGAAACAACTTGAGCAACAAAATAAATACCCAAAGCATAAAATAAATATCCATGAGGCCATACTGACATAACGAGTTTTTGTTTTGTTTATGTTTTTGCTTTTTGTTTTTTTTGTAAGACAGTCTTGCTCTGTCACCCAGACTAGAGTGCAGTAGCACAGTCTCGGCTCACTGCAACCTCCACCTCCTGAGTTCAAGCGATTCTCCTGCCTCAGCCTCCCAAGTAGCTGGGACTATAGGCATGCGCCCACCACGCCCAGCCAATTTTTTTTATTTTTAGTAGAGACGAGGTTTCACCATGTTGGCCAGACTGGTCTGGAACTCCTGACCTCAAGTGATCCGCCTGCCTCGGCCTCCCAAAGTGCTAGGATTATAGGTGTGAGCCACCACACCCGGCCAATAAATGTTTGAATAAATAAAGGAGAAGGGATAAATCTGCAGAATGTCAAATAATTTATTTGAATTCTCCACTTTATTTATTTTATTTATTTATTTTTTGGGGACAGAGTCTGGCTGGATTCTCCACTTTCAAGAAGATGGAGCACAACTCCCCATTCCTTAAGAGTGGGTGGCACATAGTCTGGTGTCTTCCCCTAAGATCGTATGAATTTCTGGAAGGGTTTATGTTCTCAGGGCCACACTGGTCTCCAGACTTCTTCCATGTACACTGCCCCCTAATTCCTTTCTAAGGTCACACAAGCATGAAATCGGATTCTACATCTATTGCTAAAAACAAGCCCCATTTCCATGAAGCACTGAAGAATTGAGTAGGCTGAAACTGGACCAAGATCTTCCATCACAATAATATAAAAACCTGCAAATGTGATGGCAGGTATCACCATTCCCACACATCCAGCACCCACAGTAAGTATTTCCCCAACCATCATCACTCTCCGCACCTACAGTCCCCAATGCTTTGCATCTCGTCAGTTCTCTTCCTGATCATTCCACCTCTGCTTTCCCTGCTCTTTTATCTCTCGCCCTACTTCACAGGAGTAAGCCTCCTAGTCCTACACAGAGCAATTTACTCAGCTCCCTGAATTATCTAGGAATTTCCCCAAAGACTAGAGTTTGTGGAGATACTTTCCTTTAGGTTTAGAGAGCATTGAGGAGCTTAAGTACCATGGGTTGATGACAGACGTGACAGGATTCTGGGGGCAGTCTGCCCTTCCAGATGCATAATCCTTTTGGATAGGGCAAGCAGACCTGTGGACATATTAGATTCCTATAATTCATATAATTTTAGGGCTGAAAAGGTCTTTATGGGGCACCCTTACGTTGAAGAAAGTAAGCCCTGGGGCTCTTTAGTGACCCACCTTGGGTCACATTGCCTTCTACAAACTCTGTGCTTGTAGAAAATAGACTTTCAACCAAATGTTCTTGGAACATAATCTTTTTTTTTTTTTTTTTTTTTTTGAGACGGAGTCTCGCTCTGTCGTCCAGGCTGGAGTGCGGTGGCGCGATCTCGGCTCAATGCAAGCTCCGCCTCCCGGGTTCCTGCCATTCTCCTGCCTCAGCCTCCCGAGTAGCTAGGACTACAGGCGCCCGCCACCACGCCGGGCAAATTTTTCTGGATTTTTTAGCAGAGACGGGGTTTCACCGTGTTAGGCAGGATGTTCTCGATCTCCTGACCTCGTGATCCGCCCGCCTCGGCCTCCCAAAGTGCTGGGATTACAGGCGTGAGACACCGCGCCCGTCCGGAACATAATCTTTTAACGGGTTTTCACATTTGGATTTCTAGATACAGTAAGTAGCCAGTTATTACTTTAACGTCAGAAAAAGATGTCTTTAATTTTTTTGTACTCTGTAGTAGAAAAATTACGAAAGAAGGTACTTGAAAACACTAACTGTATATTTCCTAGAGGAAAAACTGGCAAAGGCGATCTTCACAAAGGGTGGACCGTACCTTATACATCAAACCCAACGATCCCATCCCACACTTTACATTCAGCTTAACCAGAAGTAAAACCTCTTGTCACACCGTCACCGGTATTCCAATTATGGCAATAACGATCTCCTTCTACGGATGCGGTTGACAGATAAGATCTCTAAACCGCTGCTAATCAATCGGTCCTGGCTCAAGCATTTCTTATCTGCCGGATTCAGAAAATACAGATGCTGGAAGCTCACCGGCTTGTTCGGGGAAAGAACGCTAAGCAAGAATAAAATTTTATTTCAAAGCGCCAAAAATCTGGAATTCTGAGGTCCACAGGGAGGTTTCCCAGAGCAACTCAGTTGTTCCCTTCTGAGAACGTAGCTCCGTGAAATGCACATCCCTACTCGGTCCAGAGAAATAGATCAATGGGGAAAAGGATTGAATCAACCAAGTAGGCTGGGCGGGAGACAGCCTTAACCCACGGGCGCGGGCGAGTCGTATGGGCAGGGGCAGGCGGGAGCGACGTGGGGCGACGCTCACGAACGATCAGAGCTGCGGGCGACGCAACGAAGCCCGGAGGCCGCAGGCTGCGCGCTCCCTCGCAGCAGCCGGGCGGGCAAAAGCCCCCAGTCCTCGGCCCCCGCGCAAGCGACGCCGGGAAATGCCCACATCCGGGAAACCTGCAGCGGAGTGCGGCGGCGGCGACACTGAGTGGAAGGCAAAATGGCGGCGGCGGCGGCGGTGGCCTGGTGTTAAGGGGAGAGCCAGGTCCTCACGACCCCTGGGACGGGCCGCGCTGGCCCGCGGCAGCCCCCCCGTTCGTCTCCCCGCTCTGCCCCACCAGGGATACTTGGGGTTGCTGGGACGGACTCTGGCCGCCTCAGCGTCCGCCCTCAGGCCCGTGGCCGCTGTCCAGGAGCTCTGCTCTCCCCTCCAGGTAGGTCCGGGGCTGGCGTAGCGGGTGCGCTCCTCCAGTGCTCGAGTTGGCGGGGCGGTGGCCGCCGGGGCCCACGCCCATCCCCGCTGGCGAGGGTCCAGAGGTTTGGACTGGCGGGCAGAGCCGGCCCGCTCCGGGCCTGACTTGGCTGGTTGCATTGACCCGAGCTGAGCCCTGCCCTGGGGAAGCGAGGGTTGGCCGCGCCCGGTGCTGCAGGAAGAGCCCCAGGCTTTTCGGCCTCGGAGGTGCAGGTTTGGCTGGGTAGAGCCTGTCTTTCTGGCGGCGTGTCTCCCACCCCACCCCCAACACGCGAGTCGGCGGTGTCCAGGAGGGAAGGAACGGGAAAGGTGGTTCTGAAGGAAAATTGCAGTAAAAGAGCTACAGTTCTTTGGATCCCAGAGGGCCTTGATCCTGGGTATACCTTAGAGAAATCCTGGGAGTCTCTTACGTCTAGTTCAGTGTGATTTTAGGTTACTGTTCATAGTTGGAAGAGGTGGGAGAGATGGAGAGGTCTTTATGGAGTAGGAGTGTGTATATAAATACAGCAAATGAAGGAACGACAATTAAGGGAACAGTGTTTTTTATAACCTGAAATAGCTTGTAGCTCAATGAATGCCTCAGATGACTTGATTTATCCCCATTCTGACTTCTCTGTCAATTTCTAAGGGAACAAAATTTAATGTTTGTCAACTCATATGTTAATACGGCTTTTAAAACATGTATCATCCTCCAGAAGTTATTCATAAATCTAGTGAACAATAAGTATAATCTCATGCACAGAAGTAATATTGTATAACTCCAGTTTTGGAAATGGATTTGAATGTTAGCGATCATGAAACTTGTTTGAACTTTATGAATTATTTATTGAAGGTTAATAAATTTATCAGTTTATCAGTTTATCAGAAGTTTCTGATAAACTTAATTTTTTATCAAATTTCCTCCATGAGGAAGAAAAGGTAGGACATTATAATTGGAGTGAATGTTCTGTGCTACGAAAACAAAGCTTATTATCTCTGACGGTAAAATGGGGTAGTTGATTCCTTAAGGCAGTGGAGGAATTTGATTGAACAGTAAAAGAAGTAGCATTGTGTTAGTCCAATTGGCTGCTACTGCAAGAAACTAGATCATGGTCCATGCTTGGAATGGCACATTCTATGCCTAAATATTGATGGAATATGCCTTGCTGCTCACCAAAAAATACTTCTACTACATTTTTAATGTATAATATCTGGCTTTCATTGTGTAGGTCGTTTTTATTTTTGTTTTGTTTTTATTGCAAGTCCTTGTTCTATATAAATAGTGTTGGAACTGTTCTAACCCTGGTTATTTGGTTATTTTAGATGTTTTATTTACATCAATGGGAGATTGTTATACATCACAAAAGTTATTTAGTCATTGAATAACATTTTCGCTAAGTAGGAACAGCAATCATTTTTCAGCATGAAGATACAGCGTTGCTTTCACTTTTGATCTGACAATTATTAGAAAGTGAACTGAAGAAAATGTCAGTATGCAGTTTCCTTTAAAGATGGGAACTCGCTATGTTGCCTGCGCTGGATTCCAACTCCTGGACTCGAGCAATCCTCCCACCACAGCCTCTCAAGTAGCTGGGACTACAGGTGCACTACTGCACCCAGCCAGGGTACCTTTCTGATAAACTTAATTCAACCCAAATTAACACTTTGAAATCTTATGTAATGGTATCATTTTTTTTTTCCTAAGTTGGACAAACTAATCAATGATACTTGTTTGTTGATGTTTGTATTTTTGATGAGGGTCTGAACTTTAAAAAAAAAAAAATGGCGATCTGTCATACCCAGGCAGTTTGATTCCAGAGCTCTTACTTTAACCATGAGATTAAAGTCATTGAAAGTTATGGGGTAGGTAGGTGACATGATCAGAATTGTTTATTAAGACGAATCTGGCCCCATCGTAGTGTGGGTTAAAAAGGTAAGCAGTTTTGCTTTGAAGAATTATTTTAAAAATTCTTTTTGCCTAGTAATAATTTGAATTTTCACATGTCATAGCAGCAAAGATTGTTGAGATTTAGTAATGCCAGTATTAACCATACCTTGTTGTGGGGATTATAAAATTAGTATAACTTTCTAGAAGGCATTCTGACAATAAGTATCAGAATTTTAAATATGTATTCTCTTTGATCCAGCAATTCCACTTCTGGGAATTTATTTTAAGAAAAATGCTCAGCAATGTGTGCACAAGAATTTTTATTGCAGCAATTTTTTTATTAACTAATTTCGTTATGTGCAAGGAATATGCTATATGTATATTATACATATGTTCATTTTATTAAACTATGAGGCATAATAAAATGAACATCCATGAACTTACCACCTGAACTCAGAACAAGAATATTACCAGTATAATTGAAGTTACCAGTTTGCAGTATTATTTTACATTAGCAAAAAAATGAGGAACAACCTAAATGTCCATCAGTCAGGGATTTATAAGTAATAGTACATCTAGCCGGGCGCAGTGGCTCACGCCTGTAACCAGCACTTTGGGAGGCCAAGGAGGGCGGATTACCTGAGGTCTGGAGTTCGAGACCAGCCTGGCCAACATGGTGAAACCCCATCTCTACTAAAAATACAAAAATTAGCTCGGTGTGGTAGCGCGGGTCTGTAGTCCCAGCTACTTGTAAGGCTGAGGCAGGAGAATCACTTGAACCCGAGAGACGGAGGTTGCAGTGAGCTGAGATGGCACCACGGCACTCCAGCCTGCGACAGTGAGACTCTGTCTCAAAAATAAATAAAGAAATAAAGAAATAATAAATAAATAAATAAAAAATAGTACATCTACATGATGAAATTCAATATCGGTATTTAAAGGAATAAGGTTGAACTATCATACTTTATCAATTCTGAAATACCACTAAATCTAAGATAAGCCATCTATTTAGTAGCAATTTTTTAGCAGGAAGAAAGTAAACATAAAGCTTTTATTAATAATAGCATACATTTATTCATTCAATTGTATACCATTTTCGTCTGTCACAATAAAGTTTGAGTCTCAGCCTTATTCACATTCAGAATCTAGGATCCTTCTGAATTACTTCGGTTAGTTAATGCAACATCATGATAACAGGCTGCTTTTCATAATGCTAGTTAATTATCTTAACCTATATTGTCTTTATGATTGTGTGTATAATTTTAAGGTATATTGAAGAATACTGGGGTTTTGCTTGCCTTTCATTTTTGCTTACTTAGTTTTTTTTTCTTCTTCTTAATTGAATTACCTATTGCTGGAAATTAAACAGCTTCTTCTGAAGATAACTCCAAAAGTTTTGGCAGACTTTTGAGTCTGTCTTACCTTTGAAAATTCTGTGATCTTGCTTGAATTTAATAATTACTTATGCCTTTAATTGCATTGTCTATTGAATGACAGTTTGAGTGCACAATACTATGTCACAATGGAATCTTTCAGAACATTTTGTGGACCAGGCATGGTATCATCCCAGTATTTTGGGAGGCTGAGGCAGGAGGAACACTTGAATTCAGGAGTTTGAGACCAGCCTGGGCAACCTAGCAAGATCTCCATCTGTATTTACAAAAATAATAATAGCTGGGCGTGGTAGCTCATGCTTGTAATCCCAGCACTTTGGGAGGCTGAGGTGTGTGGATCACATGAGGTCAGGAGTTCAAGACCAACCTGGCCAACGTGGCAAACCCCTGTCTCTACTAAAAATACAAAAATTAGCCAGGTGTGGTGGTGGGTACCTGTAGTCCCAGCTACTCCGGAGGCTGAGGCATGAGAATCACTTGAACTTGGAAAGCAGAGGTTGCAGTGAGCCAGAATACGACACTGCACTCCAGCCTGAGTGAGACAGTCTCACAAAAAAAAAAAAGTAATAATGATAAAAGAAAAAAAGAGGCCGTGCGCAGTGGTTCATGCCTATATAATCCCAGCACTTCGGGAGGCCGAGGCAGGTGGATCACCTGAGGTTAGGAGTTCAAGACCACCCTGGCCAACATGGTGAAACCCCATCTCTACTAAAAATACAAAAATTAGCCACACATGGTGGCACATGCCTGTAATTCCAGCTACTTGGGAGGCTGAGGCAGGAGAATTGCTTGAACCCGGGAGGCAGAGGTTGCAGTCAGCTGAGATCACGCCATTGCACTCCAACCTGGGCAACAAGAGAGAAACTCCTTCTCAAAAAAACAAAAACAAAACAGAAAAAAAGAAAAAACATTTTGAGCATCATATATGGTGCTGCCAATGAAAATATTACAATTGTCCGGGTATGGTGGCTCACACCTGTAATCGCAGCACTTTGAGAGGCCAAGGCGGGTGGATCACCCGAGGTCAGGCATTCGAGACCAGCCTAGGCAACATGGAGAAACCCCGTCTCTACTAAAAATACAAAAAATTAGCCGGGTGTGGTGGTGGGCTCCTGTAATCCCAGCTACTTGGGAGGCTGAGGCAGAAGAATTGCTTGAACCCGGGAGGCAGAGGTTGCAGTGAGCCGAGATGGCACCATTGCACTCCAGCCTGGGCAACAGAGGGAGACTCTGTCTCAAAAAAAAAAAAAGAAAATAATACAATTGAGGTAACAGAGATTTCGACTTTTATGTATGGTTAAGTTAGGCATGTGCAATGACTGCTACTCTAGAACTTCTCTGCTTTGGAGGGGAGATTGGACCTTGATTTATTTGGAAGGAACTCTCATCCATTGTTTTCATTATCATACTCGGCCACCTGTGAAGTGTGTGTTGGGTGAGTATTCTCTCTTTGGAAGGTACACATCTTTCTCAGCTAGCTTATTGCTCATAGAAGTTGGGGGCCCAAGGGTTGATCTTAAGATATACTCAATTTATTTATTTATTTATTTTTTCTGGGACAGAGTTTTGCTCTGATGCCCGGGCTGGAGTGTAGTGGCACAATCACAGCTCACTGCAGCCTCGACCTCCTGGGCTCAATTGATCCACCCACCTCAGTCTCTCCAGTAGCTGGGACTGCAGGTGCACACCAACATAATTGGCTGATTTTTTCTATTTTTTGTAGAGTTAGGGTCTCACTTTGTTTCCCAGGCTAGTCTCAAACACCTGGGCTCAAGAGATCCGCCCACCTCAGCCTCCAAAAGTTTTGGAATTACAGGCATGAGCCACTGCACCCGGCCCTAACTTTTAGAAATATTAAAATGTAGAAAAGCATGCTTAGAATCAAACAAACATGATACTGGCCGGGCATGGTGGCTCACACCTGTAATCCCAGCACTTTGGGAGGCTAAGGTGGGAGGATCGCTTGAGGCCAGGAGTTTGAGACCAGCCTCGTCAACATAGCGAGACCCTCATCTCTATTCAAAAAGAAAAGAGAGAATAGAAGATAAAATATGGCTGGGCGCAGTGGCTCACACCTGTAATCCCAGCACTTTGGGAGGCCAAGGTGGGCGGTCACCTGAGGTCGGGAGTTCGAGACCAGCCTGACCAACATGGAGAAACTCCGTCTCTACTAAAAATAGAAAATTAACCGGGTGTGGTGGCACATGGCCTGTAATCCCAGCTGCTTGGGAGGCTGAGGCAGGAGAATTGCTTGAACCCGGGAGGTGGAGGTTGCGGTGAGCCAAGATCGCGCCATTGCACTCCAGCCTGGGCAACGAGCGAAACTCCATCTATAAATAAATAAATAAATAAATAAAAGAAACATGACACCTAACTGTGGAAAGATGTTCACGGTATTATGTTATTCTTTTGCTAAGAAATTGGGCCCTGATTAGTGACAGAGGCAAGATTCATGGGTCCTATTATCCACATGCCCAATAATCTCTTAATCAGGTCCAGATATGGTTCCTCTTGGTCCAGGGACCTGTGAAGTAATGTGTCCTGTGTGCTGCGTGTGTGCGCACTCTCTCTCTCTCTGTCACTCACTGTGTCTCCTCTCTATCTCCCTTCCTTTTCTTTTCCCCTTACTCACTCACCGCAGTACACAAGGGCCACAGTAAGCGCTCTTCCTAGAAAAAGAGAATAATGGGAGATAAGCAGCAAATGCTGATCTATAATCTGAAATCTCCTAGGCAGATTCTGTGTAAGCAACCGGGCCTGGAGGTAGGGGAGATTGGACCCTGATTTATTTGGAAGGAACTCTCCCATCCATTGTTTTAATGATCATCCTTGACCACCTGTGAAGTGTGTGTTGTACCTTCCCTTTGGAACGTACAAATCTTTTTCAACTAGCTTCTTGCTCATAGAAGTCGGGGACCCAAGGGTTTTAAATTTTGAATAGACAAGAAGATTTTTTTAGTATGAACTTGAGATGATTTAAGAAAAAAAAATTTCATTTTGTTTTTTGAGATGGAGTCTCACCCTGTCACCCAGGCTAGAGTGCAGTGGCACAATCTCCGCTCACTGCAACCTCCGCCTCCCAGGTTCAAGCAATTCTTCTGCCTCAGCCTCCTGAGTAGCTGGGACTACAGGCACATGCCACCACGCCCAGCTAATTTTTGTATTTTTTAGTAGAGATGAGGTTTCACCTTATTGGCCAGGCTGGTCTCAAACTCCTGACCTCGTGATCCGCCTGTCTCGGCCTCCCAAAGTGCTGGAATTACAGGTGTGAGGCACCGTGCCCGGCCAAAAGATATTTTTTTTTTTTTTAACAAAACAGTTTCTTTAAAGTTAGTAAGCCTCTTCCGATCTGTTTGGTTTCCTTCAGTTCTATGTGTCAGTAACCACAGTCGAAGTTCACATGTATTGGTAAACTCATCCAAAGATTTAAGAGCGTCTATTCCTCCTCCTCTCATTTGGTTGTTTGAGGCTATTAGGTTTGATGGGAAGGCTACGTCTTTAATATGGTCTTAACCACAGAAGCACTAGTTAGCTAAGGGGTTTCAGTGGGCATCTGTGCTCAGTCTTTTAATCCTGCCTCTAGGGGTCTAGGTACAAGCTGCTTTTCCAATCCTTCAAGGCTTTAAATTTCTGAACTTTTTCTATTCTCTTCTGTTTTTGCTTTCAAATCTACTACTTCCTTCTTGAACTCATCATTTACTTATAATACTTGCCAAATATCTAATAGCAGCCAATACTCACTTCCAAAATCCTCTTTACCAAACTCCTATAACACTACAAGGTCAGTAGCCTCTTTGTATGTTCACTGACCTTGTAGTTGTATGAAAAGTTATTATAGGCAACAGCGTTACCAGATATTTTGCCACTATAAAACATGATCCTCCATCTTTCCAGCCTCCGGTATCTGTTTCCTCTCAGCCCTTAATCTGACCACTAAGGCAGTATCACTAAGGCAGGACTGCATAGGTTTTTATTGTAGCAGCACCTCACTTCCAGGTACCAGTTTTCTGTATTAGGATAATGAAACACTGAATATACAGATGGACAATGGCCAGATCATATATAAAACTAGAACTCTGACCCATGACCTATGTAGCAATAGGCCCAGTCAGGACTTGGTCAGTAATTACCAGCTTCCCTAATTTTTGTGCCTTCTTCCAATTCGGGACGACTCAGAGAAAGCCAAATATGCTTCCCAAATCAACCACATAGGATACCCCGCTTCCAGTGTCGACGAAGAGTCAAACTCTGTAAAATATTTTAAGAGATCTATTCTAAGCCAAATATGAATGGCTATTGCCCCATGACACAGCCCTCAGGAGCTCCTGAGAACATGTGCCCAAGGTGATCAGACTACAGCTTGGTTTTATACATTTTAGGGAGACATAAGACATCAATCAGTATATGTAAGATGTACATTGGTTAGGTCCAGAAAGGAAGACACCTTGAAGCAGATGGCTTCCAGGTCATAGGTAGATTCACAGATTTTCTGATTGGCAGTTGGTCGAAAGAGTTGTTACTGTCTAAAGACCTAGAATCAATAGAAGGGAGTATCTAGGTTAAGATAAGGGGTTGTGGGCAGGCACAGTGGCTCACGCCTGTAATCCCAACACCTTGGGAGGCCGAGGCAGGTGGATCACGAGGTCAGGAGTTCAAGACCAGCTTGGCCAACATAGTGAAACCCCATCTCTACTAAAAATACAAAAATTAGCGAGGCATGGTAGCGCACGCCTGTAATCCCAGCTACTCAGGAGGCTGAGGCAGGAGAATCACTTGAAACCGGGAGGCGGAGATTGTGGTGAGCCAAGATCAAGCCACTGCATTCCAACCTGGGCAACAGAGTGAGACTCCATCTAAAAAAAAAAAAAAAAAAAAAAAAAAGATAAGGGGTTGTGGAGACCAGGGTTCCCATTATGCAGATAGAATCAATAGGAAGGAATGTCTGAGCCAAGGTAAGGGGTTGTGGAGACCAAAGTTCCCATTATGTAAAGGAAGCCTCCAGGTGGCAGGCTTCAGAGATAATACATTGTAAATGTTTCTTATCAGGGTTGATTCTCTCCTGGATCAGGCAAAAGGCCTGAGAAAGGAAGGGAATTAACTTCAGAATGTAGATTTTCCGCACAAGAGACAGCTTTGCAGGACTGTTTGAAGATATGGCAAAGAAACATAATTTGGGGTCAAATACTTGGATTTCTTTCAGGGCCTGCCATCTGTCATGTGATACTATGCTAGAGTCAGGCTGGAATTGGGTATCTTATTGCTACAGAGAGTCTGTTTTGTCAGTCTTAAGATTTGTTTTAATGTTAGTGCTGGTCAGCTGTGCCTGAATTCCAACAGGGAGGAGGGAATAATGAGGTATGGCCAAACTCCGCTTCCCATCATGGCTGGAACTAGTTTTTCAGGTTAACTTTCAAATGCTCTTGGCTGGGAGGAGGGGTTCATTCAGATGGTTGAAGGACTTAGAATTTTATTTTTGGTTTACATCAGTTAGCCCACCTCCAGTTTCCCATGCCAACAACCTACAATCAGAGCATACCTGATGTCTTCCCCCTTTTTTTAGTATAAAGATTTCCCACTCCCCTGCTTGCCTTTGAATCTTTGCCAAGCACAAGTTGACAGTGGCTGACTCCCTACCTATATAGTAAGATCTAATTAAATAGCCTTTGTTTGTTTCCATTTGGGCAGTCTTTGTCTATTTTCACAATGTTATTAGGCTGTTTTGTGGTAACAAATCCCCAAATATCAATGGCTTAACACAACAGAAATGTTTCTCTTGCTCAGAGTTCAGTGGGAGTCAGTAGGGTTCTCCATCCAGTGGCTTAGGGATCCACCTTCCTTCCATATTGTCAAGCCACCATCTCAGAATGTAACCTACATTGTCATTAAAGCAGGAAAACCGAAGCAAAGTGACTTTTAACTGCCTCAGTCCAGAATTGAGATATGTTACATCTGCTCATCCAGCTTTGGCCAAATCTGGGAAATGGAGTCGAGTACTGTATGTGAATATAGTCTCTGCCAGAATATATTTACCAAAAGCAATTGGCTAAAGATATACACAATTCCTCCATTTCAGCGTTTTTGAGATCAGAAGATTTAGATTATCTTACAATTGAAATTTTTTTTTTTTTTTTTTTTGAGATCCAGTCTCGCTCTGTCGCCCAGGCTGGAGTGCAGTGGTGCAGTCTCGGCTCACTGCAACCTCTGCCTCTGTGGTTCAAGCGATTCTCCTGCCTCAGCCTTCCGAGTAGCTGGGACTACAGGTGCCTGCCACCACGCTCGGCTAATTTTTGTGTTTTTAGTAGAGACGGGGTTTCACCATATTGACCAGGGTGGTCTTGTACAATTAAAATTGAAATGAATATTCAAATGTAATGCTTCTGTTATTTCCCCTGATAAATGAAGTGACATTGTTTCATGGAAATAATAGTTTCTTTAAAATGAATCCTGTGTATTTTAATTGCATGTATTTAAATAAGAATTTGTAGCAGAACCATTCTAGGATCCAGTCATTTCCTTTCCTTTTTTTTTCTTTTTTAACTCTCTATTTTGGAAAACTTCAAGAATACACAAAAGTAAAGAGAAAGGCCAAGGCAGTAGGATTGCTTGATGCCAGGAGTTCAAGACTAGCCTGGGCAACATGGTGAGCCCCTGTCTCTAAAAAATAAATAATAAGAAGAAAGAGACTAGTACAGTGAACCCTCATATACCCATTACTCAGCTACAACAGTTTTCAACAAATGAAAACTTCTGTCTCATTTATATCCCCAACCCCTTCAGCACACAACCAAATTATTTTGAAATAAATTCCAGACATTATTTATTTTATCCACAAGTATTTTCAACATGTAGATGATAGAAATATGCTTAAAATAAGTTTTCAGTTATTTAAACCTAAAACACATTGTTACACATATACCAGAACTCAGTCCTTTCTCTGACCTTTGTGCACTCAATGTTAGGAGTTACATCAGCCTATAGGACTAGAGAATGAATTTCTCTGGTCCAGCGTTTTCTAATGTATACTACATGGAATGTAAATCTCATGAAATGTTATGGGGGGAAAAGGTAAGATAAGATAAATTTGGGCAACAATACATTCTCTTCTTGTCTTGAATTCCTTGCCTCAAGTGATCCTCCCACCTGGGCCTCTGAAAGTATTGGGATTACAGGCGTAAACCCCCAGACCCCATTGTCTTCTCATAATTCCCCATGATTATGTAAAAGAATGAGATGTCCGGCCGGGCACAGTGGCTCATACCTGTAATCCCAGCACTTTGGGAGGCCAAGGCGGGCAGATCACGAGGTCAGGAGTTCGAGACCAGCCTGACCTACATGGTGAAACCCCATCTCTACTAAAAATACAAAAATTAGCCTGGCGTGGTGGTACACACCTGTGATCTCGGCTACTCAGGAGGCTGAGGCAGGAAAATTGCTTGAACCAGGGAGGCAGAGGTTGCAGTGAGCCAAGATCACCCCACTGCACTCCAGCCTGGGCAACAGAGCGAGACTCCATCTTCAAAAAAAAAAAAAAAAAAAAAGAGATGTCCAGTTTTGTGTATTATGATCCCATTTTGGTTAATAGTAGTATATGTTAGAATATTCAGTATTAATAGTGATTATTATTAGTTTCCTGTGTCTTATGTAACAAATCACTATAAACCTGGTGGCTTAAAACAACATAAATTTATCCTCTCACAGTTCTGGAGGCCAGACGTCTAAAATCAAGGCATTAGCAAGGCCAGTTTTCTTCCAGAGGCTCTAGGAGAGAAGCTGTCCCTTGCCACTTCCAGCTTCTGTTGGCTGCTGTCATCCTTGGCTTCTGACTTCATCATCACATTGCCTTCCTTTTTCTGTGTGAATCAGACCTCCTTCTGCCTCTCAAAAGGACACTTGTAATTGCATGTGGGACTTACTCTGTTAATCCATGACAATAACTTAATCTCAGAATCCTTAATCACATCTGCAGCATCCCTTTTTCCAAATAAGATAACATTTACAAGTTCCAGAGAAGATTAGGAAGGGGAATATCTTTTTTTTTTTGAGACAGGGTCTCACTGTCTCTCCTAGGCTGGAGTGCAGTGGTACAGTCATGGCTCACTGTAGCCTCTACCTCCTGGGCTCAAGTGATCCTCCCACCTCAGTCACCTGAGCAGCTGGTACCACAGTCACACACACTGCCACACTCAGCTCATTTTTTGCAGTATTTGTGGAGACGGGGTTTTGCCATGTTGCCCACCCAGGCTGGTCTTGAACTCCTGAGCTCAAGTGATCCTCCCACTTTGGCCTCCCAAAGTGTTGGGATTACAGGCATAAGCCAGGAATATCTTTTTTTTTTTTTTTTTTTTTTTTTTTTTTTTTTTTTTTTTGCGACCGGGTTTCGCTCTTGTTGCCCAGGCTGGAGTGCAATGGCACGATCTCGGCTCACCACAACCTCCACCTCCCGGGTTCAAGCGATTCTCCTGCCTTAGCCTCCCGAGTAGCTGAGATTACAGGCATGTGCCACCACACCCAGCTAATTTTGTATTTTTAGTAGAGACGGGGTTTCTCCATGTTGGTCAGGCTGGTCTCAAACTCCCGACCTCAGGTGATCCACCCGCCTTGGCCTCCCAAAGTGCTGGGATTATAGGAGTGAGCCACTGTGCCTGGCTCAGGAATATCTTTTGAGAGGCCATTATTCAGCCCGCTACAGTGATTCTCACTCTTGAGGAAGGTGAATTATGAGGGACTTCTACTTTTTCCTACTGTATATATTTATATAAATACTTGAATTTTTCAATAAGGATGCATGCTGTATTTTTTTAACAGCAGAAAGAAGGGGCAAGTTACCTGCATTTGTAAGTTCAAATATTTTTGCGCTACCTACTGGTGACCAGGTCCCATTATAGGGAAATGGAAGCAAATATTTTGACAGAAGCAAAACTATGTTTCTTTTCTTTTTTTCTTTTTTTTTTCTCTCTCTCTCTCTGTCAGAATGATCTTGGAAATGGTAAAATAACAATAATAATAAAGTGATGATTAACTTAGAGTTGAAACCCAAAGTAAGTGAGATATTGAAAGAATACCTAGATCCTATAAATGAATTGCAATCCAGATACTAAAAGAACTGACATGTAAGATTCCACAACAGTGTTAATCCTTGATCATGGAGAAATGGTAGGTTTCAGAAGACCTAATATAGAAAGTATCTTCACTTTTAGAAAGGGCCAGAGGTGAATTCTGCAAACTTTAGACTGGCGAGCTAAATGTTAAGCTTAGAAAAACTCATTAGTAAGCTATTAAATTAATATTTTGGGAAAGCTTAGAAAAGAAAATGCTTTAGGGACCAGCTTCCTTCATAAAAAGCACATGGTATGTCCATCCTAATTTCATTTACAAAATAATTATATTATTCATGTATTATTATGTTATAGATAGAATATGTGCAATTTTCAGGCAATGAAAAAGTTCATCTTTTTTTTTTTCAAAGTGGAGAAATGTGAGCTGCTTGTAATAGAGTTTGATTGATTCATAGCTAATTTAGCAATTGTGCCATGAGAGCACTGATTTATGAGGTGAAGTCATCAGGAAACTACCTCTAGTGGCTGCTACAGGGCTTCGTCATGTCTCAGGCCTGCTGCAAATTGTGTGTGTGTGTGTGTGTGTGTGTGTGTGTGTGTGTGTGTATAATTAATTTCTATAAATATAAATTTTAAAAAATTAAAAATGGGTATATTTTTAACAGCTTTATTAACATACAATTTATATACTATAAAGTTTACTCAGGCTAGGTGGGGTGGCTCATGCCTATAATCCCACCACTTTGGGAGGCTGAGGCAGGAGGCTTACCTGAGCACTTGAACCCAGGAGTTCAAGACCAGCCTGAGCAACATAGGGAGACTTTGTTTTACAAAAAATTAACAACTTAGCTGGACAGGGTGGCATGTTCCTGCATTCCCAGCTACTTGGGAGGCTTAGGCAGGAGGATGAGCACAGGAGGTTGAGGCTGCAGTGAGCTGTGATCAAACCACTGTACTCCAGCCTGAGCAACAGAATGAGACCCTGTCTCAAAAAAAAAAACAAAAAAAAAACCCCTAAGTTTACCCATTTAAAGTGTTTTTTTAGCATATTTTCACAGCAATAAATTGTAATCTAATTTTAGAACAGAAAATAGGTTAGTTTTGTATACAGTATGGTGAATTTGCTTTTTTTGCTTAGGATACATTTACTTATCTGTTTATATCTGTACATTATATAGAACTACATCATTCTGCCGGCCACAGTGGCTCACGCCTGTAATCCCAGCACTTTGGGAGGCTGAGGTGGGTGGATCACCTGAGGTCGGGAGTCCGAGACCAGCCTGACCAACATGGATAAATCCTGTCTCTACTAAAAATACAAAATTAGCTGGGCACGGTGGTGCATGCCTGTAATCCCAGCTATTCGGGAGGCTGAGGCAGGAGAATCACTTGAACCCGGGAGGTAGAGGTTGCAGTGAGCCAAGATCGTGCCATTGCACTCCAGCCTGGGGAACAAGAGCGAAACTCCATCTCAGAAAAAAAGAACTGCATCATTCTTTTTGACTTAGATGTATATTATATAAATGTACTATGAATTACTTGAACAATCCTCCACTGATGAACATCTGGACTGGTGTCAACTTTTGCTGTTATAAATGATGTTGCGAGGAACAGCCTACATCTTCACATACTTGTGTGTATATTCCTTTACTTGTGTTGCATTGTTCCTCTTAATCCTAGTTCAATTTATTAGATGTTGATAACCACTTTATGTCTCAGGAGTCAGTTTCAGAGAATTAAATGTCCAAGTCCACATTGCTACTAATTAACAGAACAAGTAATTTTTTTTTTTAATGTAGACAGGGTCTCCCTATGTTGCCCAGGCTGGTCTCAAATTCCTGAGCTCAAGCAGTCCTCCCTTCTTGGCCTCCCAAGTGTTGTGATTATAGGCCTGAGCCACCATGCCTGGCCCCTGAACAAGTACTTGAATCTCATTTTTTGTTGCTGCTTTCCATTACAAGTGCTGTGCTTTTCTAGTACTCAGAGAAGTACTGTATATCCAGCTAAGCCATTCATGAGATTCATCCACAAGATCCAACCACCTCCCACCAGACCCCACCTTCAAGAGTGGGGACTAAAGTTCGACATGAGATTTGGTGGGGACACAGATCCAAACCATATCAGAGTCCTAGTTCATAGCTTGGAAAATAAACTCAGGCATCTGTTTTTGAAGCATAAAGGGACCTTCTGGAATAGTGGTTTAAAAATCTTTTTAAAGTGGAGGATTGCAGTGGCTCAAGCCTGCAATCCCAGCACTTTGGGAGGCCAAGGCAGGTGAATCACTTGAGGCCAGGAGTTCGAGACCAGCCTGGCCAACATAGTGAAACCCCATCTCTACTAAACGATACAAAAATTAGCTGGGCGTGGTGGCAGACACCTGTAATCACAGCTACTTGGGATGCTGAGGCATGAGAATCACTTGAACCTGAGAGGCGGAGGTTGCAGTGAGCCAAGGTTGCACCACTACACTCCTGCACTCTAGCCTGGGTGGTAGAGCAAGATTCTGTCTCAAAAAAAAAAAGGCTGGGCACGGTGGCTCACACCTGTAATCCCAGCACTTTGGGAGGCTGAGGTGGGTGGATCATGAGGTCAGGAGTTCAAGACCAGCCTGGCCAACATGGCGAAACCCCCTCTCTACTAAAAATACAAAAAAAGTTAGCTGGGCGTGGTGGCGGGTGCCTGTAATCCCAGCTATTGGGGAGGCTGAGGCAGGAGAATTGCTTGAACCCAGGAGGCAGAGTTTGCAGTGAGGCAAGATCGCACCACTGCACTCCAGTCTGGGTGACAGAGTGAGACTCCATCTCAAAAAATAAAAATAAAAAAATAAAAATAAATTTAAAGCAACAATACCCTTCTAAAGAAATCTTGAAGTCTGATTTGTAAAATTTAAAATTTGATCCTCTAGGTGAAGTTGTTAATAAGAGGTTACCTGTTTTATTGTTCACTTAATAATCCCTGGCATTTGTATAAATGCTTGGTATGCTTACTAAGGAACTTTTTTTTTTTTTTTAAATCATCATAGCTACGATTTGAGGTAAATCTAGGTTATAGGCTAGGAAGTAGGCATGGAGAGATTAAGTAACTTGTCCTGAACCCGGAGTAATCCTTAATGGAGTCAGAACTATAACCTGAATCTCTTAACCCCTATATCAATGGACTTTTCCTCTAATACATGGTACTGCTGTATTAACCACTTTATAGCTTTCCTTTCTTTCTTTCTTTTACAGAGTTAATTATTTATATTGTAAAGAATTTTAACAGTCCTGGGGACTTCCTTGAAGGATCATTTTCACTTTTGCTCAGAAGAAAGCTCTGGATCTATCAAATAAAGAAGTCCTTCGTGTGGGCTACATATATAGATGTTTTCATGAAGAGGAGTGAAAAGCCAGAAGGATATAGACAAATGAGGCCTAAGACCTTTCCTGCCAGTAACTATACTGTCAGTAGCCGGCAAATGTTACAAGAAATTCGGGAATCCCTTAGGAATTTATCTAAACCATCTGATGCTGCTAAGGCTGAGCATAACATGAGTAAAATGTCAACCGAAGATCCTCGACAAGTCAGAAATCCACCCAAATTTGGGACGCATCATAAAGCCTTGCAGGAAATTCGAAACTCTCTGCTTCCATTTGCAAATGAAACAAATTCTTCTCGGAGTACTTCAGAAGTTAATCCACAAATGCTTCAAGACTTGCAAGCTGCTGGATTTGATGAGGTAAGAATGTTTAAAGACAAAAGAAAGGATTCTTCTTACCTTATGCTACATAACACTTTTTGGGTGATAACATGCCAAAATGTTTCCTTTGGGAGAATTTAACCCTGTATACACATTTATGTATTCTATCAGCAAAGAATGTTACGTTTATAATTCCATTAATTACTATTAAAAATAATATTTCTTTAGTTTCTTCTGTGATATGTATCACTAAATTCTGGAGTTTCTGGAATTTAAAAGGCCAGATCATGAAGTCATAATGGAAGTGCAGTTGAAGAAAGCCATAGGTGAGGGTAGGGGAAGGACATCTGTTTGTGTGAAATACAAGCTTGGTGAACTAAGTGGCTGTTGGGGAAATGATAGTTCCAAGGATATGAAATTTAACTTTATAGTAGGGAGAAAGAATTATAGTTAAGAGTTTGTGTAAGCAGTTGTGTTCTCAGGCCCAAATCTTAAATTCACAAAAACTAACAAAATTTCACTTCAGGCTAACTGCCAAGTCTTTAATATTTCTCTTCAGAATTCATTTTGAAGTTTTTTCATAACCCATATATTTAATCATTTCATTTAGGTTATTAATAGAATTTTCTTCTTATGATAACATACCTTGTAAGCATGAATATTTTAGGTGTCAGGAGTCATTTTAGATGGGCAATGTAAAATTTAAGTAAATGTGAATAATCAAAAGTTAGGCCAGGCCGGGTGCAGTGGCTCACGCCTGTAATCCCAGCCCTTTGGGAAGCCAAGGTGGGTGGATCATCTGAGGTCAAGAGTTCCAGACCAGCCTAACCAACATGGTGAAACCCTGTCTCTACTAAAGATATCAAATTAGCTGGGCATAGTGGCACATGCCTGTAATCCCAGCTACCTGGGAGGCTGAAGCAGGATAATCTCTTGAACCCGGGAGGCAGAGGTTACAGTGAGCCGAGATCGCGCCATTGCACTCCAGCCTGGTCAACAAGAGGGAAACTCCATCTCAAAAAAACAGTTAATTACATTTTTCAAAATTATAGTAATGTTTTTTCTGATTGCAAAAATATTACCTATTTTCTGTTAACAATTTAAAAGTGTAAAGAAGAAACTGAAAATTATATTTAGCTTCACTGTATAAAGATAACTACTCTTAAAATTCCTTCACTGTTTGTTTTTTGTTGTTTTGTGTGTTTTTTTGGTGGCCGAATTTCCATATATATCTGTATTTAATTTAAAAAATGAGAACCTAAGTATGCATTGTAGTAAAGGATTTGAAAAGGGAGATTTACAACTAAACTAGAAGGAAAAAAAAGTTTTATTTTTTATATTTTTTGAGACGGAGCCTTGCTCAGTCACCCAAACTGGAGTGCAGTGGTGCGATCTCAGCTCTCTGCAACCTCTGCCTCCCGGGTTCAAGCAATTCTCCTGCCTCAGCCTCCCGAGTAGCTGGGACTATAGGCGCCCACCACGACGCCTGGCTATTTTTGTATTTTTAGTAGAGATGGGGTTTCACCATGTTGGCCAGGCTGGTCTCGAACTCCTGACCTCGTGATCAGCCCACCTTGGCCTCCCAAAGTGCTGGGATTACAGGCATGAGCCACCACACCCAGCTGAAAATAAGAAATTTTATTTCTGGCACATTCTGTTTACTTATTTGATTAATATTATTTTCTATCATTTTTACACTTAAGTGTTCTAAAAATACTGGATTTGGACCAGGAAATAGAGAGAGGAGGAGGAGGGAAGGACCTGGGATAATGTTTTTCTCGTTAGTATTTGGAGGATTAAAGAAATGGCTTGAGTGGAGATTGTCCCAAGCACTTTCTTCCTAATCCCTTAGCCAAAAGGCAAAGTATAATTATTGATCTTATTCTTTCCTTTTACATATTGCTAAGCAAAGAGAAGTTATGAAATCACATAGCTATAAAGGCCCCAAGTGGTAATGTGTTATGTCAGATAAGTCACCCAGTAATATGTATTTATGGAGTTCTTACTATGTGTGCACCCCACCCATCAGTCAGGATAGTGACATGGCCTATACCTTTAAGGTAATTAAAAGTTCTTTCTAATAAAGACAGTTTTAGGAAATCTAAGGCATTGGTCAATGCTCTATTCATTATTGGTAATAATAACAATAATTGGTTTGTATTACAAAGATATGTTTGTGCTTTTTTTCATTGAAGTGCTACTACACAAATGATAGCTTTATTGTAATTACACATTTCAAATTGTCACAAGATTGCTTTATTGAAAGTATTTAGACATTTATCATTCCCTGTTTGTCCAAATAATGAAGTATGGTGTTATTTATTTATTTTATTTTTTTTTTTTATTAAAAAGTAAACTTTAATGTCAAAATGCAAACTTGGGGAGGGCAGAAAGATCACACACAAGGCTGTCACTTCACACTTGGAGGATTGCACAGCGGCCAGGCAGAGGCGCTCTTCACTTCCCAGACTGTGAGGTGGCTGGGCAGAGGTGCACCTCACTTCCCAGACAGTGCAGAAGTATGGTATTATTTATACCAATGGTGATATAAAGATTCTGGCAGTCCACTTCTACTTCCTTGAATCACTCATTCTGGTAGCATCCTATTATATTGTAGAGTTTATCTTGTTCAAGATCCTAACTTGGTATTTCAAAATTATTATCTAGTTTTCACTTCATTCTTTTTTATCATTTCAGAAACCCTAACCTACTCTTTTTATTAGCTATGCCAAGTTCAAGATAGTGCCTTTTTTTTTTTTGAGAATGTGTTTCTGGTGACCCTGTAAAATGAAAAGCTCAAATATTTCAAGATTAATTTTCTCATAGGAATAAATGTTAAATAGGATTGATGCATTCTTGGAGCACATAATACAATCACTGGGGTATATTTTTGCTTATAAGCATGAAAAACAAAGGCATAATTATGTGGACATATTTTCTTATCACATAAGACTTCTGGCTAGGCATGGTGGCTCACGCCTGTATCCTAGCACTTTGGGAGGCCAAGGCGGGTGGATCACTTGAGGCCAGGTGTTCGAGACCAGCCTGGCCAATATGGTGAAACTCCGACTCTACAAAATATATGAAAAAAAAAACATTAGCTGGGCCTAGTGGCACATGCTTGTAGTCCCAGCTACTTGGGTGGCTGAGGTAGGAGAATCATCACTTGAACCTGGGCGGCGGAGGTTGCAGTGGGCCGAGATCACACCATTGTACTCCAGCCTGGGCGACAGAGTGAGACTCTGCCTCAAAAAAAAAAAAAAAAGACTTCTGGCTGGGTGTGATGGTTCACTCTTGTAATTCCAGTGCTCTGGGATGCCAAAGCAGGAGGATTGCTTGAGGCCAGGAGTTCAAGTCCAGCCTGGGCAACATAGTGAGACCCTGTCTCTACAAAAAAAAGTTAAAAATCAGCCAGGTGTGGTGGCATGTTCTTGTAGTCCCCAACCACTTAGGAGGGTGAGGTGGGAGGATCACTCAAACCCAGGAGATTGGGTCGCAATGAGTTGTGGTTGCACCACTGCACTCCAGCCTGGGCAACAGAGCAAGACCCTGTCTCTAATGGGAAAAAAAAAAAAAAAGACTCCCATTCCAAAGTTACTGATTTGAGCGTTCTTTTTCACACTGGCACTAACACCTCCACTTAATGAATGCTTGGTTGATGTTTTTACAGCTATAAGAAATATTGTAAAACATAGCAATAAATATTAAAATATAAAGGTTAGCATAGTAATCACCAGAATCACAAGGCTGAAATTCTAGTGCATTTAACAAGAATATGGGCCGGGTGTGGTGGCTCACACCGGTAATGCCAGCACTTCAGGAGGCCAAGGTGGGTAGATCACTTGAGGTCAGGAGTTCGAGACCAACCTGGCCAACAAGGCAAAACCTTTTATATATTTACTAAAAAATATAAATTAGCCAGGCGTGTTTTTGGGCGCCTGTAAATGCCAGCTTCTCTGGAGGCTGAGGCAGGAGAACTGCTTGAACCCGGGAGGTGGAGATTGTCGTGAGCTGAGATCACGCCACTGCACTCCAACCCCAGGCGACAGCGAGTCTCCATCTCAAAAACAAAAAAAAGAAAAGAAAAATGATTCCCACAATATTGGAAAAGGGTAGTGGGTGCTAATTTTCTTACCAATGGAGATGTTACTGCTGTGTAATAATAGCATAAATACATATAGAGTTCACTTGACTTAACCAGTTTTAAAATTAAACACTCCCTGATGAATTTTAATGGGTGATTTCTATTATTTTACATTTACACATATTTGGTTTTAACAAAAATCTAAATAATAATGCTTTTAGCAAGATAGTGATTCAGTTAATTACGATTAGCTCAACGTCTTAAAGATTTCAGAGCCTAGGACTCTTATGAATATCTTAAATTTTACTTCTTGGTGGCAACATGCTCTAGCACAGGTGTCATATCTGTTGCCTAGGAAACGGGGTCGAGGAAGGACCAGTACCTAGATAAGGCAGGCATGGCAAAATTTTTATGGCAACCCTTGCTGCTTCCAACAAAATCAGTAACTTTTTCTAAGAAAGGGAGAAATGACCTTAGGTAGGCAATAAGTTCTTACCACATCCTTTCTTTGGTTGGTCTCACATTCTTCTCTTATCATTTCATATAGGAGGATCATCTGTCAGTAGCCTGTTCACCCATTAGTCTTACTAAGCCATTTCTCATTTAAAAATGTCGTTTGAAATACTGAATCCTCTAGGACAAGTAAGTAGTTGCCTCCCTCTTGAAAAATGCATGTCAACATACTTTCTGCATGATAGTGAGTGATTTATGTTTATATAAAACATAAAGTACAAGGAGTGGAAGAGAGCAGCCAACATTTTAGCTCCAGGCACTGTGCTTGGTAGTTTACATGTTTTCTTATTTAATCCTCACATCAACCCTATGAGCCTATTACAGGCAAAGACACTGAGCCTCTGAAATGTGAAATAATTTGCCAGGTGTCACTCTACTTTACAGAGCTGCTGGAACTCAAACTCACATCTGTCTGATTCCAAATCCTCTGTTTTTTTCATCGTACTATATAGCCTCCTAAAGTCTTTATCACATAATCATATATAGTCTAAGTATCTTCTTTTGTCTTATATTTGTATTCCTGTAATATAGTTCTCTGAAAACGTAATCTCTAAGAGGATAAGAGCCAGAACTACTATGCACAATGGCAATGTGCTTAATAAAATACCAAGATACTCATATAAAAAAGTAGTTCTTTTTTTTTTTTTTTTTTTTTTTTTTTAAGACGGAGTTTTACTCTTGTTGCCCAGGCTGGAGTGTAGTGACGTGATCTGTACTCACTGCAACCTCCACCTCCTGGGTTCTCCTGCCTCAGCCTCCCAAACAGCTGGGATTATAGACACGTACCACTACACCCAGACAATTTTATATTTTTAGTAGAGATGGGGTTTTACCATGTTGGTCAGGCTGGTCTGGAGCTCCTGACCTCAGGTGATCTATCCGCCTCGGCCTCCCAGAGTGCTGGGATTACAGGTGTGAGCCACCGCACTCAGCCCAAAAGAGTTGTTTCTGATATTTTGATTGCTACCTTTTTAACAATCTGATAGTCTCTGATTGTTTATATAAGAATTAGGAAGCTGGGAGCAGTGGCTCACACCTGTAATCCCAGCACTTTGGGAGGCCGAGGTGGGTGGATCACCTGAGGTCAGGAGTTTGAGACCAGCCTGGCCAACATGGTAAAATGCTGTCTCTACTAAAAGTATAAAAAATAAGCCAGGCCTGGTAGAGCGTGCCTGTAATCCCAGCTACTTGGGAGGCTGAGGCAGGAGAATCGCTTGAGCCCAGGAGGTAGAAGTTGCTAGTGAGCCAAGATCGCACCATTGCACTCCAACTTGAGCAACAAGAGCGAAACTCCATCTCAGAAAAAAAAAAGTAAAAAGAATTAGAAGTAATCAGAATCATGTTGCTATGATTGTACCCAGAGAAGTTGTTAATCCTAATTCAAGCCAACAATGGTGTGTTGAAAAAAATAAAAATTTAAAAATACTTTAAAAAAAGACGTTAATCCTAGGAGGAAATAGAAATATGTTACATAAAGATGAAAATGCTAAAGAAACATTTGGAAGATTTGAGGGTTTTGTTTTCTTTCTTTTTTTTTTTTTTTTCCAAGACAGCATCTCGCTCTGTTGCCCAGGCTGGAATACAGTGGTCATCTCAGCTTGCTGCAACATCCACCTCCCAGGTTCAAACAATTCTCATGTCTCAGCCTCCTGAGTAGCTGGAATTACAAGCGTGCGCCAGCACACCCAGCTAATTTTTGTGTTTTTTTGCAGAGACTGGGTTTTTTACCATGTTGGTCAGGCTGGTCTTGAACTCCTGGTCTTAAGTGATCTGACCACCTCGGCCTCCCAAAGTGGCTTGAGCCACTGCGCCCTGCCTGTTTTAGTTGAGATTTTGTGCGGGGTTTTTAGTAGCTACAAACAGAACATTAATATCATGGTTTGGGGCTGTGTTCTTCATAATTATGGATTTCTCTAGTGGAACTCATAGTGTTCTTTCCCTTGTATTATTGTAAGATTTAAATTTTGTTTCTTTTTTTTTAAACTTCAATTCATATCAGGATATGGTTATACAAGCTCTTCAGAAAACTAACAACAGAAGTATAGAAGCAGCAATTGAATTCATTAGTAAAATGAGTTACCAAGATCCTCGACGAGAGCAGATGGCTGCAGCAGCTGCCAGACCTATTAATGCCAGCATGAAACCAGGTGATTAATCAAATATTTTATTTTCTCATCTCTTCTTTTACTGTGTAGTTTAAAAATACTGAAGTCTATCAAATCTTCCTTCTTAGAAATTGTAAAAGCATCCCAGTAAATGAAAGTCTCAAATTAAGATAACATTATAATGTTATACCAAAATGAATTTAAGGATGGGGTCCTCACATTTAAAAGTTAATAGATAATTCTGGTAAGCAGCAGTCTAGATTGAGATCTATTTGATTGGTAATACTGCAGCTGAAATATGTCTATTTTCCCTCCAAATCCCATCATTCAGACTACTCTTTTTTCTTTTTATATATTTTTTTCATATTATGGGAGTAAAATATGATCAACATAGAATATTTAGAAAGCAAATACAAACATCGCTGTTAATAACAATATTTTGGTGTATTTTGTTTCCCAGTCTTTTTTCCTGTGGGAAACCAGAATAGGTTTATCTATGCGTATTTTGATTCTTGTTGTTTAAGCAAAAAATGGGAACATACTAAAACCTACTTTTTTCACTTAATATACCATGTACAATTTTACTTGTTATTAAATTTTCTACAGAATAATTTTACTAGCCACATTAAAATAGACTTATTTGCTGACTGCAGTGGCTCACACCTATAAGCTCAATACTATGGGAGACTGATGCGGGAGGCTTACCTAAGCCCGGGTGATCCTGCCACTGCACTCCAGCCTGGGCAACAGAGCCAGACCCTGTCTCAAAACAAACAACCCAACAAAAAAGATGTATCATATACTTCATTTAACTAATCTCCCATTTTTGGGCATCGGCTTTATTTCCTTTATTATTTGCCATTATAGACAGCACTGCAGTAATTACCCTTATAGCTAAATCTTTGTACATACCTAATGATTTCCTAAAAGTAAGTTTTAGAAAACTTAAAAAACGTTAAGGCTTTTCATAGATATTGCTGTCTAGAAAGATAGCACCAATTTATTATTTTATTTTTTTATTTTTTTGAGATGGAGTTTCACTCTGTTGCCCAGGCTGGAGTACAGTGGTATGTTCTCAGCTCACTGCAACCTCTGCATCCCAGGTTCAAGCAGTTCTCCTGCCCCAGCCCACAAGTAGCTGGGATTACAGGTGCCCGCCACTATGCCCGGCTAATTTTTTGTATTTTTAGTAGAGACGGGGTTTCACCATGTTGGCCAGACTGGTCTTGAACTCCTGACCTCAAGTGATCTGCCTGTCTCAGCCTCCCAAAGTGCTGGGATTACAGGCGTGAGCCACCGCGCCCAGCTAGTAGTACCAATTTATATTCTCCCTATCCGTTTACTATGAGAATGCCTATGTTTGTAAAGCCTCGGTATTATTATTTTTGTCTGTTTAATGGTTATGGAAACACCATCTTATTTTACATTTGCATTTCTTTGATCACTGCATTTGTTTATTGGTTTGTTTTGGTGTTTGTTTGTTTGTTTGTTTGTTTGTTTGTTTTTGAGATGGAGTCTCACTCTGTCACCCAGGCCGGAGTGCAGTGGCGCAATCTTGGCTCACTGCAACCTCCACCCCCTGGGTTCAAGTGATTCTCCTGCCACAGCCTGAGTAGTAGCTGGGATTATAGGCACCTGCCACCGTGCCCAGCTAATTTTTGTATTTTTAGTAGAGATGGGGTTTCACCATCTTGGCCATGCTGGTCTTGAACTCCTGACCTCGTGATCTGCCTGCCTTGGCCTCCCAAAGTGCTGGGATTACAGGTATGAGCCACCGCGCCTGGCCTATTGGTTATTTTTCATTGCCACTTTACCTCTTTTAATTTTTTTTTTTTTTTCTCTTTGAGACAGAGTCTTGTCACCCAGGCTGGAGTGCAGTGGCACAATCTTGGCTTACTGCAACCTCCACCTCCCAACCTCCGCCTCCCGGGTTCAAGCAGTTCTCCAGCGTCAGCCTCCAGAGTAGCTGGGGTTACAGGTGCACACCACCATGCTTGGCTAATTTTTGTATTTTTAGTAGAGATAGGGTTTCACCATGTAGATCAGGCTGGTCTCGAACTCCTGACCTTGTTATCTGCCTGCCTCAGCCTCCCGAAGTGCTGGGATTATAGGCGTGAGCCACCACACCTGGCCTGTCTTTGTGTCCTGGTGCAGTGGCTTATGCCTGTAATCCCAGCACTTTGGGAGGCCAAGGCGGGCAGATCACCTGAGGTCGGGAGTTAGAGACCAGCCAGACCAACATGAAGAAACCTCGTCTCTACTAAAAATACAAAATTAGCTGGGTGTGGTGGCGCGTGTCTCTAATCTCAGCTACTTGAGAGGCTCAGGCAGGAGAATTGTTTGAACCCAGGAGGCGGAGGTTTCGGTAAGCTGAGATCGCACCATTGCACTCCAGCCTGGGCAACAAGATCGAAACTCCCTCTCAAAAAAAAAAAAAAGAAAGAAAAAGAAAAAGAATTGATTTATAAGAGGGCTGTAGTCATTCTTCCTATTCAACAAATTTTTATTGGTCAACCACTGTTTCAGGCTCTTTGTTCTGCATTGGGTAAGTTCTTGCCCTTTTGTGGAGCTTAGCTAGTAAGGGAGATTAAATAATCACCCAGATACATGTAGAATTACAGCTATATATGGTGTGAATGAAGAGAGGAGAGTTACATGGTACTGTGGACTCATATAATAGTGGGATTTTTTTTTTAACCGCATCAAGAAGTTCAGAAAAACCCTTCCTAACAAACTGATAATAAAGCTGATATCTGAAGAAGTACAGAGTTAATGGGAATGGGTTTAGTGAGTGTCCCTTTGCATGGCTGCTTTGGCAGATTCTGATGCCACAAAAAAATGAAAATGTTTGGAGCACTGAACACAGGATTGTGAAATGTGACTGGAAAAGTCCATAGGGGCCTGACTCTGCAGAACTGTTTATTAATTTTATGCTAAGAGCAGCAGAAAGGTATAGAAGTGTTTCAAGCAGGGTAATAACATTATTAGATTTGTATTTCAGAAAGATGGCTGCAATGGATGAGAATGGGTTAGAGAGGTGTGAGGATAGATATGAGGACAGGTGTGATAGGAAACACAGTAGTTTGTGAGGGTAATTTGGGCTTGGGCGATAGCAGTGAAGAAAATAAATGAATTAAGAGGGATGGGAGTGGTAAAATTGACAAGGACTTGGTAATAGATTACATATGGTGCGTGATGGTAGAAGGGGATAACTTAGGTTTTTGGCTTAGAAAAATAGATGGATGATAATACCCTACATTAAGAAAGGGAATGTTAAGAGAGAATGGAATTGGGTGGGAAAGATCATAAATCTGGCTATAGTTTTCCAAGTGAAGATGTCAAGTAGGGAGGTGGGGATGTATGTATGAGCCATACATATGAAATAGGTCACCTAAGGGATGTTACATAGACAAAATAATAAGATGGCCTGCAACCAAGCTTATTATTTAATAGCTAGTAGGAAGGGGTAAACCTGCAAAGGGGACAGAGAAGAAATAGGTGAAAAGGAAGAAAACCAATAAGGTTTTCAGTGTTTTGGAAGCCACAGTAAGAGAGTGTTTCAAGAAGGGGAGGGAATGGTCAAAATGCCAAATACTGCTAAGAAAGAGATACTGACCAAGATGAGAGCTAAAAAATAATCTTGTTGACTTTAGTGACATGGTGTATTAGTTTGCTAGGGCTGCCATAACAAAATAACACAGACTGGGTGGCTTAAACAATGAAGATTTATTTGAGTGCTGGAGACTAGAAGTCCAAGATTAGTTACTGGCAGGTCTAGTTTCTTCTGAGGCCATTCTCCTTGGCTTGCAGATGGCGGCCGCCTTGCTGTGTCCTCATATGTTTGTCCCTCTGCATGTGCATGTGTCTGGGGTCTCCATCTCCATGTCCAAATTTTCTCTTACAGGGATACAGGTCATACTGCATTAGGACCCACCCTAATGACCTAATTTAATCTTAATTACCAAATACAGTCACATCTTGTGGTACTGGTGGTTAGGACTTCAGCATATGGATTGGGGGTTCAGCAAATGAGGTAACTTGTCATGTCCTGGGAGCATAATTCAGATTGGAGTGGGTTGAGGACTAAATAGGATATGTAGTAGTAAAAAAAAACAAGGTATACCTTCAAGAAGTGTTTCTGGAGGAGAGAGTGAGGATGTTAGCAAGAGTAGTGCTTCTCAAACCATCTATGGTGATTTTTCAAATTTCCAGTTCATCATGACTTCAATTCATAATTTTATAACATACAATAAATTATTAGAAAATGAAAATTTAAGTGCCACACATGGTAGCTCACGCTTGTGATCACAGCACTTTGGGAGACTGAGGCAGGAGGATCACTTGAGCTCAGAAGTTTTAGACCAGCCTGAGCATCATGGTGAAACCCTGGCTCTACAAAAAATTATCCAGGTTTGGTGACATGTGCCTGTAGTCCCACCTACTCAGGAGGCTGAGTTGGGGGGATTGCTTGTACCCAGAAAGTTGAGGCTGCAGTGAGCTGTGATTGCGCCGCTGCACTCCAGCCTGAGCAATAGAGTGAGCCCCTTTCTCAAAAAAAAAAAAAGAAAGTTAAAATTTTAAATGACATAAAAATATAAGTTGAGGCTGGGCACAGTGGCTCACACCTGTAATCCCAGCACTTTGGGAGGCTGGGGCGGGTGGATCACCTGAGGTTGGGAGTTCGAGACCAGCCTGACCAACATGGAGAAACCCCGTGTCTAATAAAAATACCAAATTAGCTGGGCGTGGTGGTGCATGCCTGTAATCCCAGCTACTGGGGAGGCTGAGGCAGGAGAATCACTTGAACCTGGGAGGCAGAGATTGCGGTGAGCCGAGATCGCGCCATTGCACTCCAGCCTGGTCAACGAGAACAAAACTCCGTCTCAAAAAAAAAAAAAAAAAGAAAAAAAGAAAAGAATACATATATGTATATGTTTAAATAGTTTATCATTGTATTTAACAGACGTAAGTTTATTCTGTCAAATTTCTATAAATGTTTCTCAATCCTCACTCTCCATTTCCATACTTAATCTCATGTCAGTTTGTAATATATCTTATGTCAGTTTGTGGACCAGCACCAGATAACACTTTGAGGTAGAGCTCTATATATGGGAGTGGAAGGAGAGTCTTATTTTTTTTTTTTTAAGTAAAGACTTAAACATGTTTAAAAGATAATTGGAAGACTCCAGTTAAGAGGATGAAATTAAATATTCAAGAGATACTTGAGGATCAAGTAAGCTTCCTGAGAAACTGGGAGGAATAGGATCCAAAGCATAGCATGAGGGACTATTAGCCTTAGATAGAGGAACAGTCATTTTTCTCTAACAGCAGCAGACGGGCCTAGGTTATGTAAGGAAGCTAAGGGAGTACTTTCTGATGCCTGCTGTTTTCTCTGAAATAGAAAACCAAGTCATTTTCTAAGAGTGATGAGTGAGGACTAGAGCAGGCAGTTTGAGGAGACTGAGGACTGGCAATAGTGGAGACTATAGAAAGAGTTTCCTGGTGGTGCTGAGGCCATTGAAGGATGCTGATCTTGAATTATAGTAAAATCAGTCTGCCCACTGCATCACTTTTTCTTTTAAGTTAAAAACAACAACAAAAAAAGATAGCTGGAATTATCCCTGACTGGAGTTTCACTAAACAAGTACAAAATAAGATCGATAATATTGCTAAAAGGGTAATTTTTTTTTTTTTTTTGAGACAGGCATGAGCCACCGTGCCCAGCCTGAAAGGATAATTTAAATCCTTAATCAGAGCGTACTCCTCCTCTACCTTTATCGGCTTCTTATTCTTCCAAATTCCTTGTCCATGGCCTGGCTACCTCTTAGATCCCATCCAATACCACTTTCCCCCTTCATTTACTGTTCTACAGCCGTACTGGGTTTATTTTGTTCTTGGAAAATACCAAGCTCCCACCTCAGGACCTTTATGCAGTCTTTTTTTTTTTTGAGACAAAGTTTTGCTCTGTCGCCCAGACTGGAGTGCAGTGGCGCTATCTCAGCTCACTGCAACCTCCGCCCCCTGAGTTCCAGTGATTCTTCTGCCTCAGCCTCCCAGGTAGCTGGGATTACAGGCATGTGCCACCATACCCAGCTAATTTTTGTATTTTTAGTAGAGACAGGGTTTCACCATGTTGGCCAGGCTGGTCTTGAACTCCTGACCTCAGGTGATCCGCCCACCTCGGCCTCCTAAAGTGCTAGGATTACAGGCTTGAGCCACCGCGCCTGGCCTGTGCTGTCTGAACTCATATATTATCCCTCAGAGGAGCCCTTATCCCTTTCTAGCCTCCTGTTACTCTCTATCATTTGATGCCATTTATGTTTCATTCACAGAGCATTTATCATACCCTGAAGTTACCTCATTTATTTATTCACCTGCTTTGTGTCTGGCTTCTCCTTCGAGAATGTAGGTTCATGGGCCACGGATGTTCTGTTGTTTACCAATGTCATTGGATTGCTTAGAGCAGTGCCTGGCATATAGTTGATGCACAATAAATATTTAATGAACGGCCCGGGTGCAGTGGCTCACGCCTGTAATCCCAGCACTTTGGGAGGCCGAGGTGGGCGGGTCACGACGTCAGGAATTCAAGACCAGCCTGGCCAGCATAGTGAAACCCCATCTCTACTAAAAATACAAAAAATTAGCCAGGCGTGGTGGTGGGCGCCTGTAATCCCAGCTACTTGGGAGGCTGAGGCAGGAGAATCATTTAAACCCGGGAGGCAGAGGTTGCGGTGAGCTGAGATTGCGCCATTGCATTCCAGCCTAGGTGACAAAGCGAAGACTCCATGTCAAAAAACAAACAAACAAACAAAAAACCCAAATATTTAATGAATGAATAAAAAGGAGGTGATCTCAGAGAAAAAGAATAGAGAGGGAAGAACAAAGTGATAGACCATGGATTTAAGTTGGATAAAATGTGTCATAAAGAAAGAGGAAGGCCAGGCTAGGCAAGGTGGCTCATGCCTGGAATCCCAGCACTTTGGGAGGCCAAGACGGGCAGATCATGAGGTCAGGAGATCGAGACCATCCTGGCTAACACGGTGAAACCCTGTCTCTACTAAAAATACAAAAACCTTAGCTGGGCGTGGTGGTGGGCGCCTGTAGTCCTAGCTACTCAGGAGGCTGAGGCAGGAGAATGGCGTGAACCCGGGAGGCGGAGCTTGCAGTGAGCCGAGATCGCACCACTGCACTCCCAGCCTGGGCGACAGAGCGAGACTCCGCCTCAAAAAAAAAAAAAAAAAAGAGGAGGGTCAAGTACGGTGGCTCACGCCTGTAATCCCAGCACTTTGGAGGCCAAGGTGGGAGGATTGCTTGAAGCCAGGAGTTCGAGACCAGCCTGGGTATATTAGGGAGACCCCGTCTCTACAAAAAGTTTTAAAAATAGGCTAGGCTTAGTGTCTCCTGCCTATAATCCTAGCATTTTGGGAGGCTGAGGAAGGAGGATCACTTGAGCCCAGGAGTTTGAGACCAGCCTGGACAACTTAGATACCATCTCTACAATAATAAATAAATAAAATAATTAGCTGGGCATGGTGATGCATGCCTGTAATCCCAACTACTTGGAAGGCTGAGGTGGGAGGATTGCTTGAGCCCAGGGGTTCAAGGCTGCAGTGATTCATGATCATGCCACTGCCCTCCAGCCTGGGTGACATCAAGACTGTCTCAAAAGAATAAAAATAAGAAAAAGGAGGACTGATAAAGTAGGGGATTAACCTTGGAGATGTTGGCTGGATGCGGTAGCTCATGCCTGTAATCCCAACACTTTGGGATGCTGAGGTGGGCGGATCACCTGAGGTCAGGAGTTCAAGACCAGCCTGACCAACATGGTGAAACCCCATTTCTACTGAAAATACAAAAATTAGCTGGGTGTGGTGGCACCTGCCTGTAATCCCAGCTACACAGGGGGCTGAGGCAGGAGAATCGCCTAAACCCAGGAGGCAGAGGTTTCGCTGAGCCGAGATCATGCCACCGCGCTCCAGCCTGGGCGACAGAGCAAGTCTCTGTCTCAAAAAAAAAAAAATAAAAATCTTGGAGATCTTGGTGAGGTTGCTACTTAATAAAGTTTAAAAACTTTTGCAGTAGGAGTAAACAGAAGAAGTAGTTGTGGTCTGGGAGTATAAGCGTATAAACCTTAAAGTAGTTATTCTGAAACAAGAGCAGATATGAGTAATACCAAAGTTTGAAATACAATCATGAGAATGATACTTGATGTGGAGTGGAAGAGGGGACGTCAAGAAGCTGAGATATGAGGGCAATAGATGGTTTATCCTCGTGGTTATTGAGGTTACAGGATGAAGGCAGGGCTTAGGGTAGACTGAATGCTGAAGCTGTGGCTGAATGAAATAGAGCAAATAGGCAGGAGCTCATTAGGTGAGAGGAATTAGTGTGGCCTCCCACATAGCATGAAGTTCAAAAGAGCTGGCTTTTTAAAAGGAATAATATCAACCTGTAAGAACAAATGTTAGAACCCCATCTTTAGGCCAGGTTATTTTTAAAGGAAACCTTAATTTCAAAGGGCTGAAAGGAAAGTAGTATCAGCAGAAGAAAACCAGCTTCAAGGAGGTGGCAGGAAAGCTTGGAGGAGAGGTTACTGATAAGGCACATTTGCTGGCTGTGGAGCCGAGTGGATCCGGAGGGCATGGTGGAAAGGTTCGGGAAGTGGAAGAACATGGAGAGCTCTGTGGGAGGCGCAGAACAACAGGGGTGACTGTATACTCTAAAAGCTGAATGAGTGACATGGTGTATTTGGCCTCAGCTGGCCTCTGAGGAAAGTGAGAAAGAGCCTGATGGCCAGAGGACTTGTCCAGTTTATCCGGAATGATAATGTTCCCCAAACATTATTTACTCACTTGCTTTTCGTCTGGCTCCTGCTTCGAGAATGTAGACCCAAAATGCTGTCCAGCCTAGATGAAAGGGAGTGTTAAACTGAACATTATGAACATTTACCACATTTTACCACTTTTTTTCTCAGATGTATTGTTAGATATATTTTTGCCCAGGATGATGTTGACCTTTCAAATTTATTAGTATTCTTTTTTGTTTTGTTTTTAATGGTAATGAGTGTTTGTATTTAGATCTCTACTTTTGTCATGCCTGGGAAGACATTCGCAAGAGGTACCCCAATACTATTGAATGGTCTTTTGTTTTTTTCTAGTGCTTACATGATTTCATCTTTAATATTTAAACCTTTAGTCTTTCTAGAATGTATATATGTATTGTCTTTATACCAGTGTATCTTGTATATTTTTCCTAAGTGGCTGGACTATTCTATTTTAAATACTTCTCTTTTTTTGGTATTGTATTTTTTTTTTTGCTTGTTTTATTGATTTGGAAATTCCGTTAAAGACAGTTTCTGTAAAATCTATACTTTATTTAATATTCAGCTAATTATAGCCTACTATCTTTTTCTGTTTTAAAAACCATATTAAAAGGCCAGGTGCAGTGGCTCACACCTGTAATCCCAGCACTTTGGAAGGCTTAGGAGGGCAGATCACTTGAGGTCGGGAGTTTAAGACCAGCCTCGCTAACATGGCGAAACCCCGTCTCTACTAAAAATACAAAAGTTAGCTGGGCGTGGTGGCGTGCGCCTGTAGTCCCAGCTACTCAGGAGGCTGAGGAAGGAGAATTACTTGAACCCGGGAGACGGAGGTTGCAGTGAGTCTGTGCCACTGCACTCCAGCCTGGGTGACAGAGTGAGACTTTGTCTCAATTTAAAAATATAGATATATATTAAAATATATTTAAAATCAGTAGAGCTATGAAAATTACAAATAGATACGCCCTTTGGCCTAATAATGCTACCTCTAATAATTTATCTACAAATATACATGCATATATATGAAATTATATCTCTTCAAAAATATATATATATTTTTTTTGAGATGGAGTCTTGCACTGTCACCCAGGCTGGAGTGCAGTGGCACGATCTCAGTTCACTGCAGCGTTGGCCTTCTTGGTTCATGCAATTCTCCTGCCTCAGCCTCCCGAGTGGCTGGGACTACAGGTGCACACCACCACGCCTGGCTAATTTTTTTGTATTTTTAGTAGAAATGGAGTTTCACCATGTTGGCCAGGCTGGTCTCGAACTCCTGGCCTCAAGTGATCTGCCTACCTCAGCCTCCCAAAGTGCTGGGATTACAGGCGTGAGCCACCACGCCTGGTCAAAAATAAATAAAATTCTAAAAGGTAAAAGGAAACCACTTAGTGAAATTTTATTTTTATAACTCTTTTTTTTCTTTTTTTGCTAAATTGAGCCAAATAACATGTATTATTACCTCACATATCATTTTTTTGTAGTGAGAATACTTCAAATTTACTCTCGGCAATTTTCAGGAGTACAATACGTTGTTATTAACTACAGTCACCATTTTGTACAAGAGATCACTTGAACTTTTTTATATTTTTATAATTCTTGAAAGAGAATTGAGTATCATTTGTAATATCAGAATTGCAAGCTAAGGTTTTCAAAAATTAGAGGTTAAAAACATGATTCTTTTTTCTCTTTATCTCTCTTATAACCATAGGGAATGTGCAGCAATCAGTTAACCGCAAACAGAGCTGGAAAGGTTCTAAAGAATCCTTAGTTCCTCAGAGGCATGGCCCGCCACTAGGAGAAAGTGTGGCCTATCATTCTGAGAGTCCCAACTCACAGACAGATGTAGGAAGACCTTTGTCTGGATCTGGTATATCAGCATTTGTTCAAGCTCACCCTAGCAACGGACAGAGAGTGAACCCCCCACCACCACCTCAAGTAAGGAGTGTTACTCCTCCACCACCTCCAAGAGGCCAGACTCCCCCTCCAAGAGGTACAACTCCACCTCCCCCTTCATGGGAACCAAACTCTCAAACAAAGCGCTATTCTGGAAACATGGAATACGTAATCTCCCGAATCTCTCCTGTCCCACCTGGGGCATGGCAAGAGGGCTATCCTCCACCACCTCTCAACACTTCCCCCATGAATCCTCCTAATCAAGGACAGAGAGGCATTAGTTCTGTTCCTGTTGGCAGACAACCAATCATCATGCAGAGTTCTAGCAAATTTAACTTTCCATCAGGGAGACCTGGAATGCAGAATGGTACTGGACAAACTGATTTCATGATACACCAAAATGTTGTCCCTGCTGGCACTGTGAATCGGCAGCCACCACCTCCATATCCTCTGACAGCAGCTAATGGACAAAGCCCTTCTGCTTTACAAACAGGGGGATCTGCTGCTCCTTCGTCATATACAAATGGAAGTATTCCTCAGTCTATGATGGTGCCAAACAGAAATAGTCATAACATGGAACTATATAACATTAGTGTACCTGGACTGCAAACAAATTGGCCTCAGTCATCTTCTGCTCCAGCCCAGTCATCCCCGAGCAGTGGGCATGAAATCCCTACATGGCAACCTAACATACCAGTGAGGTCAAATTCTTTTAATAACCCATTAGGAAATAGAGCAAGTCACTCTGCTAATTCTCAGCCTTCTGCTACAACAGTCACTGCAATTACACCAGCTCCTATTCAACAGCCTGTGAAAAGTATGCGTGTATTAAAACCAGAGCTACAGACTGCTTTAGCACCTACACACCCTTCTTGGATACCACAGCCAATTCAAACTGTTCAACCCAGTCCTTTTCCTGAGGGAACCGCTTCAAATGTGACTGTGATGCCACCTGTTGCTGAAGCTCCAAACTATCAAGGACCACCACCACCCTACCCAAAACATCTGCTGCACCAAAACCCATCTGTTCCTCCATACGAGTCAATCAGTAAGCCTAGCAAAGAGGATCAGCCAAGCTTGCCCAAGGAAGATGAGAGTGAAAAGAGTTATGAAAATGTTGATAGTGGGGATAAAGAAAAGAAACAGATTACAACTTCACCTATTACTGTTAGGAAAAACAAGAAAGATGAAGAGCGAAGGGAATCTCGTATTCAAAGTTATTCTCCTCAAGCATTTAAATTCTTTATGGAGCAACATGTAGAAAATGTACTCAAATCTCATCAGCAGCGTCTACATCGTAAAAAACAATTAGAGAATGAAATGATGCGGGTAAAACCTTTTAAAATGTCCATTTTTATACTTAATCATCTGTTTGCTTGGTGTTTATTTTAAAATATTGTGTCCAGTATTTTTCTTTCTTTTTATAGCTAAATAAAATATATTATCAGTTATGGAATTTAAAAGTGAATAAATATTAAAGTACTTTTGATTGTAGCATTTTATTTTAGTATTTCAATATTTATTCAGAATTTCCTATAATAAAATCTCGTGTAAATTAAGAAAAATATAATTTGCGGTATACAGTTTAGGTGTACATAATACCTTTATATGAAAATTGGAGGAAGGGTTGTCTTCTAGGCTTCATACAATATCTTACAACATTTAAAAATAAACTAGAAATATGTGGGTCTCAGGCTGGGGCATGGGGGCTCACGCCTGTAATCAAAGCACTTTGGAAGGCTGAGGCAGGCAGATCATGAGGTCAGGAGATCGAGACCATCCTGCCTAACACAGTGAAACCCCGTCTCTACTAAAAATACCAAAAAAAATTAGCTGGGCATGGTGGCGGGCGCCTGTAGTCCCAGCTACTTGGAAGGCTGAGGCAGGAGAATGGCGTGAACCCCGGAGGCGGAGGTTGCAGTGAGCCGAGATCGCGCCACTGCACTCCAGTGTGGGCGACAGTGAGACTCCGTCTCAAAAAAAAAAAAAAAAGAAAAAAGAAATACGTGGGTCTCATCTCTTGATATACTTATAAAACATTTACTTTTAGAAAATTTGGAGTTTATAGGTTTATTCATCACATATATCTTATTAAAAAGTGTAAAGAAGTTTCCTTCAGTTATATCTCCCTTCTCATTTCATTTTTATAATATACTGGAGAAAAATGTGCTAAAATTATTTAGTGAAACTATACTAAAAGGGAGATCAGAGTAAGTAAACACACTTTAATCTGTGTTGTCATTCCACATAGATCTCTAGATATTAAGGTAGTACGATCATCATTTTTTTTTTTTTTTGAGACGACATCTCACTCTGTCGCCAGGCTGGAGTGCAGTGGCGCCATCTCAGCTCACTGCAACCTCCGCCTCCCGGGTTCAAGCAGTTCTCCTGCCTCAGCCTCCCCACTAGCTGGGACTACAAGCGCCCGTCAGCACGCTGAGCTAATTTTTTATTTTTAGTAGAGGCGGGGTTTCACCATGTTGGCCAGGCCGGTCTTGATCTCTTGACGCCATGACCCACCCGCGTCTGCCTCCCAAAGCACTGGGATTACAGGCATGAGCCACTGTGCCTGGCCATTATTGTTTTTATCATATGCTTAGAGTTCAAAGATTTGACTCCTAATCTTACATCTGTCACTCACAATCCAAGAGGCTTAACCTTGTGATTAAACACCTTTATATACTTGAACCATTCTTTTAAAATGATTTTAATAAATCTGATTTTACAGTATTGTTATTTCTATTTTATATTTTATTAAATGAGAAATACCATAATAATTTCTATGACTTATCCATATTTTAATTCTTAGGATTTCTTACTAAAGTCTGCCTATGTGTATTTTCTTAGTTTATTTTTCCTTTTTCCTCTTCACTTTCACTAATAGCTGATTTAAACTTTTATGGTGTTGGAAGCTTTGCTGACTTCTGTAGTCTCCATTACTGTGTAGGCAAGTAAGATTTTAAGAGAAACAGTTCTGAACTAAGTCTGGCATGCCATCCTTCTTAAAAGATTTTGCATGCAAATGTGAATCCTAACAGAAGCATGTGGTTGTTCTATTTTAGTCTTGTATTTCTAGAATTAGACCCCACTTTTCCAACTGGATTTCTTTTCTATTTAAACCCTTTAATTAATTCTTTATTAATTAGCCAAAATGTTTCTCCCTTCTAAATCCAGGCATTCCATATCTATAATACTTAGAAGTTAGTTTTTGTTTTTAATCTATTTTTTGATATTTTCATGAGTCACACTGAAGTATTCCTAAGTATCCAAAGGATATCTTGTAAACAACCAGGTTGTTCTTTTCGAAGTAGGAGAAACCCTTTGCAATTTGTGTTAGTGGTAGACTGTGAGTCGCACCTTTACTCTGATGCCCTGAAAAATAGAAAAGGAAAGATTATTAATGACTGTTGTATATTTATTGAGAATAGGGAAAGGATTGGTGGGTTAGAAAAGGCATTGTTTTGTTGTTCTTTGGTACATTAATTTTTTAGAATAAATGAGCCTGGAGTGGAAGAATTTTTTTTCATGAAAGACAAAATAGGAAGAATATTTGAGGCCTAGGCATTCCACCAAGAGAAGCATATACAGAGAGATAAATGAATATGCATGTTAACATGTTAACAGATGTTTGTTGCACATTGAGAACCTTTTTTTTTTTTTTTTTCGGAGTGCATTAGAGAAGAGTAGAAAGCTTACTCATCTGGTACCCTCTTCTTGCACTCCACAGCTGAATTTGCATAGGTACTCACTTTGAATATCCTTTTAACTACCCCTTAGGCTGCACTTTTGATCATTAATTTCCTTTGAAATGTTTTCTAGATTTCTAACATGCTTTATTAAAAATTATGCATTTAACCTTTAAATATATGCCTGAATTTTTCCCAAGCTATTTCTTAATATTCAATATTGAAGAAGATAATTCTTATTTAACATCTAGTTTATTTGCCTAGGTTGGATTATCTCAAGATGCCCAGGATCAAATGAGAAAGATGCTTTGCCAAAAAGAATCTAATTACATCCGTCTTAAAAGGGCTAAAATGGACAAGTCTATGTTTGTGAAGATAAAGACACTAGGAATAGGAGCATTTGGTGAAGTCTGTCTAGCAAGAAAAGTAGATACTAAGGCTTTGTATGCAACAAAAACTCTTCGAAAGAAAGATGTTCTTCTTCGAAATCAAGTCGCTCATGTTAAGGCTGAGAGAGATATCCTGGCTGAAGCTGACAATGAATGGGTAGTTCGTCTATATTATTCATTCCAAGATAAGGACAATTTATACTTTGTAATGGACTACATTCCTGGGGGTGATATGATGAGCCTATTAATTAGAATGGGCATCTTTCCAGAAAGTCTGGCACGATTCTACATAGCAGAACTTACCTGTGCAGTTGAAAGTGTTCATAAAATGGGTTTTATTCATAGAGATATTAAACCTGATAATATTTTGATTGATCGTGATGGTCATATTAAATTGACTGACTTTGGCCTCTGCACTGGCTTCAGATGGACACACGATTCTAAGTACTATCAGAGTGGTAAGTAAACTCATAAAATTTATTTTAGTTTGTTCATAATAATGTAATTTATTGATGTAGTAAAATATAAGATGGTATCATCACTGGATGAGAGCCAGAAGATGTGGGTCAGGTCTTGATTCTGTTGGATAAACTTGGGTGACTCCATTAGGCACTTAGACTTATGAAATGAAAGAATGTGCTAGACTTGATTGTTTAGACTTATGAAATGAAAGAATGTGCTAGACTTGATTGTTTCTAAATATTATTAACATTTTTGAGTCACACCTTTTACATTTTATTTGAAAATATGCCAGACAAACAATTTTTTTTTTTTTTTTTTTTTGATGGAGTCTCGCTCTGTCGCCCAGGCTGGAGTGCAGTGGCACCATCTTGGCTCACTGCAATATCCCCCTCCTGGGTTCAAGTGATTCTCCTGCCTCAGCCTCCCGAGTAGCTGGGATTATAAGCACCTGCCAGTACGCCCGGCTAATTTTTGTATTTTTAATAGAGATGGGGTTTCACCATGTTGGCCAGGCTGATCTCGAACTCCTGACCTCAGGTGATCCACCTGTCTCAGCCACCCAAAGTGCTGAGATTATAGGTGTGAGCCCCCTGCGCCTGGCCAAAAACATTTTTAAAATAATTTTTTAATGAATCCTCATATCCAACATTCAGTTAAAGAACTAGATTATCAGTACTTTAGAAGCCCTTAAACAATCACTTCCCCTTTTCTCCTCCACAAAGATAATTATTATTTCAGAACTTTATAATCGGTTCTTTACTTTTATCGATCCTTTTATCACAAATGTGTATATCTTTAAATAATATATTATTTCATTTTGCCTACTCTTTAACCTTTATTTAAATATAATCTATATATATTCTTTGTGTTGACTTGTTTGAGGTTCCTCCATGTTATTGCTTGTAACATTTATTTTCACTACTATTTAGGATTTCATTACATGACTGTTACACAACTTATATAACCCTAAACACTTTATGATCCTTGATCCTATTTTATCCTCACAATGTCACTGTGAGGCAGGATGAAGAAACTGAGACCTAGTTAGATGAAGTAACTTGCCCAAGGTCAGACAGAAATCAAGTGTAAGGGCTAGGCTTTGAACCCAGGTTTGTCTGATTTCAGGGCCCATGTTATTTCTACTACACCACACTGCCTCACCAAGATCCCTCCAAGCGCTAATGGAAGTGTAAGTCAATCTAACATTTGTTAAATACTATGTACTAGGTGCTTAACCATATATTCTAATATGCTCGCAACAATTCTCTGAGGTAAGTATTATTAGCCTCCTGTGCTTCTGTGAACACAAGTAGATTGACATTAAAATGGGTAGAACTGAGACAATTGAACCTACTTTAATGTTCGACATAGTGGAATTTAGTGTCTTCCCAGATTCGACTGAATTATTACCTGGAAAGCTTCTTAAAAATATGATTCCTAGGCTCTATTCCCATCTTTTGATCAAAAATCTTCACTGGGGCATAGAAATCTTTTTGTTGTTTTTTGTTTGTTTGTTTGTTTGTTTTTGAGACGGAGTCTCGCTCTGTTGCCCAGGCTGGAGTGCAGTGGCGCAATCTCGGCTCACTGCTAGCTCTGCCTCCCAGGTTCACGCCATTCTCTTGCCTCAGCTTCCCGAGTAGTTGGGACTACAGCCGCCGGCAACCACGCCCGGCTATTTTTTTTTTTTTTTTTTTTTTTTTTTTTTTGGATTTTTAGTAGAGACCAGGTTTCACCGTGTTAGCCAGGACGGTCTCAATCTTCTGACCTCATGATTTGCCTGCCTCTGCCTCCCAAAGTGGCTGGGATTACAGGCGTGAGCGACCACGCCCAGCCTGTTTGTTTTTTTTTTTTTGAGACGGAGTTTTGGTCTGTTGCCAGGCTGGAGTGCAGTGGCGCGATCTCGGCCCACTGCAACCTCCATCTCCTGGGCTCAAGCGATTCTCCTGCTTCAGCCTCCCAAGTAGCTGGAATTACAAGTGTGCTCCACCACACCCAGCTAATTTTTGTATTTTTAGTAGAGATGGGGTTTCACCATGTTGGCCAGGATGGTCTCAATCTCTTGACCTCATGATCCACCCTCCCTGGCCTCCCAAAGGGAAATCATATTTTAATCAAACATCCCAGATAAATATTACAGTTAGGTTAATTTCTTATATTCTAGGTGACTTCATGCCATCTATATGTCAATGAATTCCAAATCTCTCTCTCCAGAAATGGCCTTTCTCTGAAATTCGTAATTTCTCTATCCAGCTGCTTCCTGGCTATCTTCACATGGATTTCAAATAGGCCTTTCAAACTTCACATGACCCATAAAGAACTTTTTTTTTTAAGCATAAATCAGATACTGTTATCTTCTTGCTTCGAACTCTGCAATATCTTCTCACTTTACTTGAGGTAAAAGGCAGACCATTTCTATTGCTTGCAAAACCCACATGTATTCCTGCCGCATTTCTTACAGTTCTTGCCCCATTTCCTACAGTTCTCCCCTTTATCAGCTGTGCTGGTCTTCTCTCTGTTGCTGTTATTTCTGTGTGGAATACCTAATCCTGATTTATAAATGGTTGAGTCCTTCTTGTTTTTTTACGGTTTAGCTGAAGTCACCTTCTTAACTGGTCTTCCCTAGCCATTCAGTCTTATGTAGCTATCCAGTCACATTTGTTACATCACCCTGTGTTGATTCTCTGTGTAGGGTATGTCACTGTTCCTTATATGTGTAATTGTTTTGTTTCTTTTCCTACTAGAATGTAACCAGAGCTTTGTCTTATTATCACTGTCATTTATTGAATGAAAGATGGATCTAATTTGTTTGAAAGTTTGTCCAGAGTAGTAACAGGGAGTGGGCTAAATAACAAACTCTTAATCTCCCCATGACTCATATTGTTGTTATTTAACATTGCATAAATTACTAAATCTTAGGCTAATTTTTTTTAAGTGTAAAATCCTTCCTATTGACATCTCAGAAAATAGGCTCTAATTGGTAATAAACACCATCAGTGATTTGGCATACATTGTGTCTTAGTTTGTCACAAGGGAGAATGTTGTTAACCCTAAACCACGATGTCAGAAGATTAAATAGACTTCAGGTTTACTGTTGTCATTGTTGACTTTATTTACTTATTCTTTTGTTGTGCAGGTGACCATCCACGGCAAGATAGCATGGATTTCAGTAATGAATGGGGGGATCCCTCAAGCTGTCGATGTGGAGACAGACTGAAGCCATTAGAGCGGAGAGCTGCACGCCAGCACCAGCGATGTCTAGCACATTCTTTGGTTGGGACTCCCAATTATATTGCACCTGAAGTGTTGCTACGAACAGGTAAAGCACTTCTTTCATATATATTCTCAGTAGACCTTTAGACCAGCCAAAACGACACTAGAATATGCCTTATTTTTCAGGCTTATAATAAAAGTATTAATTTTAAAGTATAAATTGGTGATTTAATGTTAATTTTTATTGTATTCTGAGCATTTTTAAAGTGCTTATAAATAACTTTGTTATTTTAGGATACACACAGTTGTGTGATTGGTGGAGTGTTGGTGTTATTCTTTTTGAAATGTTGGTGGGACAACCTCCTTTCTTGGCACAAACACCATTAGAAACACAAATGAAGGTAAGGTATGGCATCTATATCAAAAGAATTCTCACAAAGTTGCTACATCATTGACTTTTATTTATTAGTACGTAGAGCATTTTAGTCTGGAGTTAAAGAATGAACTTGGGCCGGGTGCAGTGGCTCACACCCATAATGCCAGTTCTTTGGGAGGCTGAGGCAGGAGGATTGCTTGAGCCTAGGAGTTCAAGATCAGCCTGGCAACAATGTGAGACCACATCTCTACAAACAAATATTTTTTAATTTAAAAAAGGAAAAGAATGAACTTGTAAGGGTATAGGAACTCACCAGAATTGCATGCGTGAACTCCAGTCTCCATGATGCCATATCCCCATAATCTTGTATCCCCCCTCACTCATACAGCATACTCATATATCATATATCATTCTCAAAAAGGTCTTTAGGCCAGGCACGGTGGCTCATGCCTGTAATCCTACCACTTTGGGAGGTGTAGGCGGGTGGATCACCTGAGGTCAGGAGTTTGAGATCAGCCTGGCCAACATGGCGAAACCCCGTCTCTACTGAAAATACAAAAATTAGCGGGGTGTGGTGGCAGGCGCCTGTAATCCCAGCTACTTGGGAAGCTGAGGCGGGAAAATCCCTTGAACTCAGAAGGCGGAGGTTGCAGTGAGCCAAGATCTTGCCATCGCACTCCACCCTGGGTGAAAGGGCGAAACTCCTCAAACAAAACAAAACAAAACAAAAAGGTCTTTAGTCCATTTTGAAGATTTAGTCCAGTTTACTCTTTGTCACCTACTGCCTCCTGGCCTTGTCTCCTTCTATGCAAACTACAAACAAATGTTTATATCCCCACTTGAAAATACCTCTGGCACTTAAATGAGAAGTTACCCACAATTTTGACCATACACTGTCTGATTTAATACTCTTTAGTGATTGTCCGTGGGTTAAAGTTGAAATTTGCCCTCTGTTCATACCGTTCCCTCTGTCTGGAATGTCCTACTTCCATCTCTCTCTTCTATAACCCTTCCTCCTTTCTGAAGTCTAATTAACTCTTGGTCATTCTCTCTTTTTTTTTTTTTTTTTGATACAGAGTCTTGCTCTGTCATCAGGCTAGAGTGCAGTGGCGTGATCTCAGTTCACTACAACTTCTGCCTCCTGGGTTCAAGCAATTCTCGTGCCTCAGCCTCCCGAGTAGCTGGGATTACAGGCATGCGCCATCATACCCAGCTAGTTTTTGTATTTTTAGTAGAGACGAGGTTTCACCGTGTTGGCCAGGATGGTCTCAATCTCCTGAACTTGTGATCTGCCCGCCTCGGCCTCCTGATCATTCTTAATTATTCTTTGAGGGCCAGACATGATGGCTCATGTCTGTAATCCCAGCACTTTATTTATTTTGAGATAAGGTCAAAACATTTCACCTAGGGTGTAATGCAGTGGCGTGATCTCCTCTCATGCAACCTCTGTCTCCTGGCTCAAATGACCTATCTCAGCCTCCTGGGTAGATGGGACCGCAGGTGCATTTTTTTTTGTATTTTTTGTAGATACAGGGTTTTGCCATGTTGCCCAGGCTGGTCTCAAACTCCTGGGCTCAAGTGATCCACCCACCTCAGCCTCCCAAAGTGCTGGGATGGGTGCAGTGGTTCACACCTGTAATCCCAACACTTTGCAAGGTCGTGGCAGACAGATCACTTGAGCCCAGGAGTTTGAGACCAGCCTGGGCAACATGGTGAAACCCCCTCTGTACAAAAAATACAAAAAACTTAGCCAGGCATGGTAATGCATATTTGTGGTCCTAGCTACCTGGGAGGCTAAGGTTGGAGGGTCACTGGAGCCTAGGAGACGTTGCAGTGAGCCATATTTGTGCCACTGCACTCCAGCCTAGGTGACAGAGTGAGATCCCATCTCAAAAAATAAAAAATTTGGCTGGGTGTGGTGGCTCACACCTATTATAATCCCAGCACTTTGGGAGGCCAAGGCAGGTGGATCACCTGAGGTCAGGAGTTTGAGACCAGCCTGGCCAACATGGTGAAACCCTGTCTCTACTAACAATACAAATATTAGCTGGGTGTGGTGGCGCGCCCCTGTAATCCCAGCTACTTGGGAGGCTGAGGCACGGGGATTGCTTGAACCCAGGAGGCAGAGGTTGCAGTGAGCTGAGATCACACCATTGCACTCCAGCCTGGGCAATAAGAGCAAAACTCTGTCTAAAAAAAACAAATTATTCTTTGAGAGTTTCCTGAGATTCCATCGTTTCTTTGATTTCCACCTTTCTTAAGCTATAACTTCTTCAGTCATTGCATTTAATATAGAAATGGTTTTACATTAGCCGGGTGTGGTGGCTCATGCCTGTAATCCCAGCACTTTGGGAGGCTGAGGCGGGTGGATCACCTGAAGTCGGGAGTTCGAGACCAGCCTGACCAACATGGTGAAACCCCGTCTCTACTAAAAATACAAAAATTAGCCGTGCATGGTGGCTGGTACCTGTAGTCCCAGCTATATGGAGGCCCTGAGGCAGGAGAACTCCTTGAACCTGGGAGGCAGAGGTTGCAGTGAGCCGAGATCGCGCCATTGCACTCCAGCCTGGGCGACAGAGTGAGACTCTATCTCAAAAAAAAAAAAAGGAAAAAAAAGAAATGGTTTTACATTTTAAAACTTCTTTTAGGATTTTTTATAGTATAGGTCTGCTGATAAGGCATTCTCTCAGGTTTGTCTCAGGTATGTCTGAAATTATCTTTATTTTGTCTTCATTTGAATATATTTGTGTGTAGGTGTATGAGAGAGAGAAAAAAAATTGTATGCTTTCTCCCTAAGGTTGAGAACAAGGCAGGAATGTCCATTCTCATCAATTCTATGTTCTGGAATCTTAGCCAGCATAATACAGCAATGAAAAGAAATAAAAGGGCTGGGCGCGGTAGCTCATGCCTGTAATCCTAGCACTTTGGTAAGCCAAGGCGGGTGGATTGCTTGAGCCAAGAATTGGAGACCAGCCTGGGCAACATGGCGCAACCGTGTCTCTACAAAAAAAATAGAAAAATTAGCCGAGCATGGCAGTGTGCACCTGTAGTCCCAGCTACTCACGAGGCTGAGGTGGGAGGATCACCTGAGCCTGGGGAGGTCAAGGCTGCAGTGAGCCATGATTATACCACTGCACTCCAGCCTGGGTAATAGAGTAAGATCCTATCTCAAAAAAAAAAAAAAAAAAGAAAAGAAAAGAAAAGGAAGAAGTAAAAAATAAAAACTTCCCCTATTCAAAAATGATATAATTTTCTATATAGAAAATCCCAGGGAATCTATAGGTGTAAAGTACAAGAATAACACATAAAATCTATCCATTTCTTCGTTGTTGTTTTTTTTGAAACAGAGTTTCACTCTTGTTGCCCAGACTGGAGTGCAATGGTGCTATCTTGGCTCACTGCAACCTCTGCCTCCTGGGTTCAAGTGAGCCTCCTGCCTCAGTCTCCTGAGTAGCTGAGACTACAGGCATGCGCCACCATCCCAGTTAATTTTGTATTTTTAGTAAAGACTGGGTTTTACCATGTTGGTCAGGCTGGTCTTGAACTCCTGACCTCAGGTGGTCCACCCACCTCGGCCTCCCAAAGTGCTGGGATTACAGGCGTGAGCCACTGCGCCCGGCCAAAATCCATCTATTTCTATATTTAAGCAATGAAAACTGGAAACTAAAATTTAAAAGCAATACCATTCACAATAGCTCCTCTGACATAAAATACTTTGTTATAAATCTAGAACATGAGCAAGATTTGTATGCAAATTGCTACTGAAAGAAATCATAGGCTGGGCATGGTGACTCACACCTGTAATCCCAGCACTTTGGGAGGCCAGGGCAGGCAGATCACCTGAGGTCAGGAGTTTGAGACCAGCCTGGCCAAATTGTGAAACCCTGTCTCTACTAAAAATAAAAAATTAGCCAGGCATGATGGCAGGCACCTATAAACTCCAGCTACTCAGGAGGCTGAGGGAGGAGAATCACTTGAACCTGGGAGGTAAAGATTGCAGTGAGCTAAGATTGTGCCACTGCACTCCAGCCTGGGTGACAGAGCGAGACTCCATGTCAAAAAAAAAAAGAAAAGAAAAGAAATCATAGATCTTGGCCAGGTATGGTGGCTCACGCCTGTAATCCCAGCACTTTGGGAGGTCAGGTGGGCGGATCACTTGAGGTCAGGAGTTTGAGACCAGCCTGGCCAACTTGGCGAAACCCCATCTCTACTAAAAATACAAAAAAAAATTAGCTGGGTGTGGCTGCACACACCTGTAATCCCAGCTACTCGGGAGGTGGAGACAGGAAAATAGCTTGAATCTGGGAGGAGGAGGTTGCAGTGAGCCCGTACAGTGCCACTGTACTCCAGCCTGGGCAACAGAGTGAGACTCTGTCTCAAAAAAAAAAGAAAGAAATCATAGATCTAAATAAGTGGAGACACATACCATGTTCATTGATTGGAAGAGTTAATGTAGTAAAGCTGTAACTTCTCCTGTAATTAATGTGTAGGTTTAACTCACCTCCAGTCAAAATCTCAACAGGATTTTTTGTAGATATAGGTGAGTCAATTTTAAAATTTATATGGATGGACAAAGAAAGTAGAATAGCAAAATCGATTTTTAACAAGAAAAGTTGGAGGGTTCAACTACCTGATTTTAAAATGTACTGTGAAGCTTCAATAATGTAGACAGTAAGATAGTGGCAAACAGATACACACTTAGATCAATGGAAGAGAATATAGAATGCAGACATAAGACCACACCACTATGGCCATTTGATCTTTGACAAAGGTGCAAATGGAAAAATGATAGTTTTCCAACAAATGGTATTGAAAAAACTGGTCAGCCGTATACAAAAAAACTGAACATCAGGCCAGGTGCGGTGGCTCACGCCTGTAATCCTAGCACTTTGGGAGGCCAAGGTGGGTGGATCACCTGAGGTTAGGGGTTTGAGACCAGCCTAGTCAACATGGCGAAACCCCGTCTCTGCTAAAACTACAAAAATTAGCCAAGTGTGGTGGTGCATGCCTGTAATCCCAGCTACTTGGGAGCCTGAGGCAGGAGGATCTCTTGAACCCAGGAGGCAGAGCTTGCAGTGAGCCAAGATCATGCCACTGCACTCCAGCCTGGGATGACAGAGCGAGACTCTGTCTCAAAACAAACAAACAAACAAACAAACAAAAAAACAACTGAACCTCAAGTGACCTCACACCTTTACAAAGATTAACTCAAACTGAGTCACATATATATAGATAAAGCTTAAAGCTATAGTACTTTTAGAAGAAAACATAGGAGAAAATCTCTGTGGGCTGGAGTTAGGTAAAGAGTTCCTAGAAATGACCCCAGAATCATGACCCATAGAAAAAAAAATTCATCAAAACTAAGAACTTTCCCTCTACCACAGATAACAGTCAAGAGAAAAGACAAGCTACAGGCTGGGAGAAAATATTTACAAATCACATAGCTAAGAAAGGTTTTTTAAAACTATAATATATAAAGAACCCTCAAAACTCAACAGTAAGGAAACAAATAACCCAAGCCAGTGACCTGACATGTTTCTTTAAATGTCTGGGTCAAAAAAAGAAATGGATCTCTGTCTCTTTAAATCTGCCAGAGCAGGTCAAAGAAAGGCAGGCATCTGTGCTAGTCCCTCAGGGAATCACTAACACCAACCAAGATAGACAACCTCAAATTTTTGGAGGGCAGAGTTCTTACTGCCCACCTTGGCACTAACGAGCTGCTCCAGGAAGGCAAGCTGTGGTTTTCATGACTGCTGCAGGACTGAGGAATGGTAGATGTAGTGGGTTCACACACGCTGCTGCCTGAACCAAATTTTAGCAGCCTCTCCCTTCATGAAGCACTCTCCTGGCTGCTGTAAGTATCTGATCAGGTTCCAAAGTTCCAAAATAGTTTATCCTGATAGTCTTTTTCCAGTTTAATTATTTTTAGGGAAGGGTGGACCTCTGATGCTTCCTACTCTGCTATTTTCTGTGATGTCTCCTTCTACTGTGGTTTTTACTATTATCTCTTTGTATGGTTTTTGTTTGTGGTTGCTCTAGTGACTACAAAATATATATTAAGTTTTCTTTTCTTTTCTTTTCTTTTCTTTTCTTTTTTTTTTTTTTTTTTTTTTGAGATGCAATTTCACTCTGTTGCCCAGGCTGGCGTGTAGTGGTACAACCTCATCTCACTGCAACCTCCACCTCCCAGGTTCAAGCGATTCTCCTGCCTCAGCCTCCTGAGTAGCTGGGATTACAGGTGCCCTCCCCAACACCTGGCTAATTTTTGTATTTTTAGTAGAGACAGGGTTTCACTGTGTTGGCCAGGCTGGTCTCAAACTCCTGACCTCAAGTGATCCACCTGCCTCGGCCTCCCAAAGTGTTGGGATTACAGGCATGAGCCATCACGCCCAGCCTAAGTTTTCACTATCTACCTAGAATTTATACTTTACCACTTCAAGTTCAATGTAGAACCATACTGCCATATAGGTCCCTTTATTCTCTACTATTTATGTTGTAGTTATTTGATTTTTCTTCTTTTTTCCTTTTGACAAGGTCTTGCTCTGTCGCCCACGCTGGAGTGCAGGGTCGTGATCTCAGCTCACTGCAACCTCTGCCTCCCGGGTTCAAGATTCTCCCGTGTCATCCTCCCAAGTAGCCTGGATTACAGGCACATGCCATCACGCTTGGCTAATTTTATTATTATTTTGTAATCAAGACTAGTCACTATGTTGCCCAGGCTGGTCTTGAACTTCTGGGCTGAAGCAATCCTCCCACGTTGGCCTCCCAAAATGTTGGGATTGCAAGCATGAGCCTGCACCTGGCTTGTAGTTATTTTATACATTACATCTACATACGTTTAAAACCTCATCCAGCCAGGCACGGTGGCTCACACCTGTAATCCCAGCACTTTGGGAGGCCAAGGCAGGTAGATCATGAGGTCAGGAGATCGAGACCATCCTGGCTAACACGGTGAAACCCCGTCTCTACTAAAAGTACAAAAAATTAGCTGGGTGTGGTGGCAGGTGCCTGTAGTGCCAGCTACTCAGGAGGCTGAGGCAGGAGAATGGCGTGAACCTGGGAGGCAGAGCTTGAAGTGAGCCGAGATGGCGCCACTGCACTCCAGCCTGGGTAACAGAGAGACGCCGTCTCAATCAATCAATCAATCAATCAATCCTTATCCAGCCAGGTATGGTGGCTCACACCTGTAATCCCAGCGCTTTGGAAGGCCACAGCAGGAAGAACACTGGAACCCAGGAGTTTGAGATCGGCTTGGGCAACATAGTAAGACCCTGTCTCTACAAAAAAATTTTTTTAATTAGCCTAGCATGCTGGTGTGTGGCAGTACATGCCTACAGTCCCAGCTACTTGGGGCGGGGGCACCAGTAAGTGGGAGGATCCCTTAAGTCCAGGAGGTCAAGGCTGCAGTAAGAGCTAAGAGTGTACCACTGCACACCAGCCTGGGCAACAAAATGTGACCCTGTCTCAAAACCTACCTCATCCAACAATGTAACAATTTTGCTTTCAACCATCAAGTTCTTTTAAAGAACTCAAGGTGACAGGCTGAATGCAGTGGCTTATGCCTGCAATCCCAGCACTTTGGGAGGCTGACGCAAGAGGATTGCTTGAAGTCAGGAGTTCAAGACCAGCGTGAGTAACAAATCATAGACAGTGTCTCTACCAAAAAAAAAAAAAAATAGCTGGGCATGGTGGATGGTGGCACATGCCTGTGGTCCCAGCTACTCCAGACACAAGAGGATCACTTGAGCCCAGGAGTTTGAGGCTGTAGTGAGCTATAATCATACCACTATGCTGTAGCCTGAGCAACAGAATGAGACCCTGTCTCTTAAAAAAAAAAAAAATCAAGATGAGAAGAATAGTCATTTATGTTTACCTGGATATTTAGCGTTTTCCTTGCTCTTCATGCTTTCCTGGTGTTTCAAGATTCCTTCTCTATCATGTCTCTTCCATCTGAACAACTTCCTAAAGCAGATACTTTAGAGCAAGTGTGTTGACAACAGAGTCTCTTAATTTCTCTTCATATGAGAATGTCTTTATTTTGCCTTCCTTAGAATATTATCACTTGAGGCCGGGCGCAGTGGCTCATGCCTGTAATCCCAGCACTTTGGGAGGCCAAGGCAGGTGGATCACCTGAGGTCAGGAGTTTGAGACCAGCCTGGCCAACATGTTGAAACCCCGTCTCTACTAAAATATAAAAATTATCTGGGCTGGTGGCGTGCACCTGTAATCCCAGCTACTTGGGAAGCTGAGGCAGGAGAATTGCTTGAACCCAGGAGGCGGAGGTTGTAGGGAGACAAGATGACACCACTGCACTCCAGCCGGGGCGACAGCCCGAGACTCCATCTCAAAAAATATATGTATTATCACTTGATACAAAATTCTGGGTTTTAGTTCTTACAGCACTTTAAAATGTCTACTTCCTTCTGTCGTTCATAATTTGATGAGACATCTGCAATTATTCAGATCTCTCAAATAATGCATTATGTTTCTCTAGTTGCTTTCAATAATTTTTTTTCTGTATCGTAATTATGATAGGTCTGGGCATGGATTTCTCAGGCTTTATTCCGTTTGGTATTCACCAGGCATCTTAAATCTGTAGGTTTATGTGTTTGATCAAATTTGGGGTGTGTTCAGCCATCATGTCTTCAAATATTTATCTGTACCACACATTTTCTTTTGTGATGTTAATCACAGGAATGTTAGGCCTTTTGGTGTGGTCCCACAGATTCCTGAAGTTCTACTTATATTTTAAGTTTTTGTTTTTTCTGCTGTTCAGAATGAGCAGTTGATTGAATTGCATAATTAGTATCCACCTCCTTTTTTTTTTTTTTTTTTTTTTTTTTTTTGAGATACAGTCTTGTTTTGTTGCCCAGGCTGGAGTGCGGAGGCATGATTTCAGCTCACTGCAACCTCCAGCTCAAGCTCCTGGTTCAAGTGATCCTTCCACCTCAGCCTCCTGAGTCGCTGGGACTGTAGGCACACCACCACACCCAGCTAATTTTCTGTATTTTTATTAAGACAGGGTTCTCACCATGTTGGCCAGGCTGGTCTCCAGCTTCTGGCCTCAAGTGATCCACCTGCCTCGGCCTCCCAAAGTGCTGGCATTACAGGAGTGACACCACCGTGCACAGCCAGTATCAACCTATCTTCAAGTTCACTGATTTTTTTTCCTCTGACATCTTCACTCTGCTATTGAGACTATCCATTGAGTTTTTTATTTTGGTTATTTTTCCATTATAAAATTTCTTTTTGATACTTTATATCTTCAATTTCTTTGCTGAGACCTATCTTTCATTTCATGAGTGTTCATCCTTATTTGGAGCATTTTTTTTTTTTTTTTTGAGACAGAGTCTCACTCTGTTGCCCAGGCTGGAGTGCAGTGGCTCAATCTCTGCTCACTGCAAGCTCCGCCTCCTGAGTTTACACCATTCTCCTGCCTCAGCCTCCCGGGAGTAGGTGGGACTACAGGCGCCCACCACCACGCCCGGCTAATTTTTTGTATTTTTAGTAGAGGTGGGGTTTCACCGTGTTAGCCAGGATGGTCTCGATCTCCTGACCTCGTGATCTGCCCACCTCGGCCTCCCAAAGTGCTGGGATTACAGGCGTGAGCCACCATGCCCAACCTGGAGCATTTTTATAATGGCTACTTTTTTTTTTTTTTGAGACAGAGTCTTGCCCTGTTGCCCAAGCTGGGGTGCAGTGGCACTATCTCGGCTCACTGCAGCCTCCGCCACCGCCTCCCGGGTTCAAGCAATTGTTCCGCCTCAGCCTCCCAGGTAGCTGGGACTACAGTTGCTCGCCACCACACCCGGGTAATTTTTTTGTGTTTTTAGTAGAGACGGGGTTTCACCGCATTGGCCAGGCTGATCTCGAACTCCTGACCTTGTGATCTGCCCGCCTCAGCCTCCCAAAGTGCTGGGATTACAGGCATGAGCCACCGCACCCGGCCTATAATGGCTACTTTCAAGTTTTTGTCAGAAAATTCTAGCATCTATGTCATATCAATACTGACTTTTTCTATGTTGAAATTTTCTGTTTTTGTTTTTTGTTTGTTTGTTTTGTATACTAAGTTATTTTGGATTGTATCCTGGACATTTTGAATAATATGTTATGAGACTCTGGATTTTTTTTTTTTTTTTTTTTTTGGAGACGGAGTCTCTCTCTGTCACCCAGGCTGGAGTGAGTGCAGTGGTGCGATCTCGGCTCACTACACCACCCAGGTTCAAGCGACTGTCCTGCCTCAGCCTCCCAGGTAGCTAGGACTACAGGCGTGTGCTACCATGCCCAGCTAATTTTTGTATTTTTAGTAGAGACGGGGTTTCACTATGTTGGCCAGGCTGGTCTCAAACTCCTGACCTCAGGTGATCTGCCTACCTTGGCCTCCCAAAGTGCTGGGATTACAGCGTGAGCCACCGTGCCCAGCCAAGATTCTGGATCTTATGGAGAATTTTGACCTTGTTTTGACAAGCATTAAACCCGGTTGGGTTCAGGCCACAAGTTCCAACCAGTCTTTTTTGATTTCAATGTCAGTTTCAAAGGCTTTTCCTTTCTAGGCAGATAGATCTCTTTGTAGGCTGTGGTCTTTTCCTTAGTTCAGTTCTCAAAGTCTTTGGTATGCTCCTTAGGATTAGATCCACATAGTTACAGTTTGGAGGGGGAGCCCAGCAGTTCATAAGCAACTTAATGGGGTCACTTGCCCAATCTCCTCCCTCTCTGTGATGTCCCCAGTACTTTCCTGTTCCCTGGGGCTCCCTATTTAGTTCTCTGACCAGAAAGTGAGGCTTTACTTATCCAACTCTGCCAATATCTCATAACTGCATCTGAATCCAGGACAAGGTGGCAAAAGGACACAGAGAGAAAACGAGCAACAGAGATTCAACCCATCTTCTTGGGACCCCATGCTTTATTAATTTATATATTTATGAGATATTGTCTCACTCTGTCACCCAGGCTGGAGTGCAGTGGCACAATCTTGGCTCACTGCAACCTCTGCCACCTGGGTTCAAGTGATTCTCCTGCCTCAGCCTCCCGGAGTAGCTGGGATTACAGGTATGCACCACCACACCCCACTAATTTTTGTATTTTAATAGAGACGGGGCTTCACCATTTTGGCCAAGCTGGTCTCGAACTCCTGACCTCAAGTGATCCACCCGCCTCGGCCTCCCAAAGTGCTGGGATTACAGGCGTGATGAGCCACTGCACCCAGCCCCATGCTTTGTTATTTTATTTACAATTGGAGAGGAAGGTTTGGCTGTCAGTTTTAGGTGCATACTGGCTCTTATTGCCACCTCCGTTGCTACCAGGAAACTCCTTTTCTACTCCCTGAGCCTGAACTAGAGGGAATTCTCCTAGAGCTCTCTGTGCTCAGCTTCTTCCAAGTTTTGGGCTACCTTGAGTCCAGCCTGCAGACTACTAGAGACAAAAAAATGGAGCTGGGTGTGCTGGCAGAGGCCTGTAGTCCCAGTTACTCGGGAGGCTGAGGTGGGAGGATTGCTTGAGGCTAGGAGTTCAAGACCAGCGTGGACAACATAGTGAGAATTAATTTTTTAAAAAAATAATTTTTTTTAAATGGTCACCAGGTTTAATGGTACTTCAAATTTACATCTTCTCCCCTAATCTACCTGTTATTATTTACTTTTCAGGATCTTGAAGTAGCTGCTTCCTGCATCCTGACCAGGTTTTATAGCTGCCTTCTGTGGGAGGGAGACAGGAGAGTATATGTAGTACATCTTCCTCAAAACTGGGACCTCTCTGGTTGCTTTTAGGGTTTTCTTCTCTTTAACTTTGGTTTTCTTCAGTTTGACCATGGTGTGCCTATGTGTAGTTTTCTTTGTATTTTTCTTGGTTGAGATTCACTCAGTTTCTTGAAATGTACATTAATGACTTTCATCGATTTGGGGAAATTCTCTGTCATTATCCCTTCAAAGATTTATTTTGCTTTCTTACCTTTTGAGACTCTAATGATTATACATGTGCTATTCCTTTGATACTGTCCTCCATTTCTCTTATGCTTTATTCTTTCTTTTATTCTACATGTTTTCTCTCTGTGCTTCAGTTTATATAATTTTATTCATCCATCTTTGAATTATCTGAATCTTTTGCTGTGCTCTTTTTTTTTTTTTTGCCTTAAACTGAAAAATCCTAAATATACCTTAAAATAAAAAATATTAAACTTGGCCAGGCACAGTGACTCACGCCTGTAATTATAGCACTTTAGGAGGCCAAGGTGGACAGATCACTTGAGGTCAGGAGTTTGAAACCAGCCAGGCCAACATGGTGAAACCCCGTCTCTACTAAAAATACAAAAAAATTAGCTGTGCGAGGTGGCGGGCACCTGTAATCCCAGCTACTCAGGAGGCTGAGGCAGGAGAATCGCTTGAAACCAGGAGGCAGAGGTTGCAATGAGCCGAGATCACGCCACTGCACTCCATCCTGGGCGACAGAGCAAGACTGTTTCAAAAAAAAAAAAAAATTGTTCATCTCATTGTGTATATTTTTTATTTCTCCTGTTTGAAATAAGTGATGAAACTGGAAGCATAAATAACTATTATTAACTGTATCATTTTTTTTTTCCAAAAAGGGTTTTTAAAATATTCTATTATTAGTTGAAGCCTCTCCATTTTCTAATCTGGGATAAGACTTTAAAAGGAACAAATAATAGACGAGGGAGTATATTTTTCTTCCCTCTATAGTAGCTGACTAGCTCCTCTACAAATAAGGAAGATTATACTGTTCATTTATTCAGCTTTTTAAAAAATATTTATTGACTGCCTACCATGCAACAAGTTGAAGATTTTTTTTCCCTCTTTTGAGACAGGGTCTTGCTCTGTCGCCCAGGCTGGAGTGCAGTGGCACAATCACGGCTCACTCTAGCCTCGACCTCCCTGGGCTCAGGTCATCCTCCCACCTCAAGTAGCTGGGACCACAGGTGTACACCACCAACCTGGCTAACTTTTGTATTTTTTGTAGATATGGGGTTTCACCATGTTGCCCAGGCTGGTCTTGAACTTCTGGGCTCAAGCAATTCATCTACCTCGGCCTCCCAAAGTGCTAGGATTACAGGTGTGAGCCACAGTGCCTGCCCAAGTTAAAGGTATCTAAACTTGGTTAAATGACAATGCATTCTACCACTTAACAGAGTTTGCCCCAAATCCATTTAATATCGTACTTGGAGTTGTATACCAATTCCCCTGCCTCCAAGAGTTCAGCGGGAGAGACTAGGTAGTCTTAGGTAGTCTGGCTTCACTTGGCATTCCTTTCTTCATCATTTCATTTTATTCATAACCAGAGATTTTTCTTTTTTTTTTTTTTTTTTTTTGGAGACAGTGTCTCGCTCTGTCACACAGGCTGGAGTGCAGTGGTGCAGTCATGGCTCACTGCAGCCTCAAACTCCTGGGCTCCAGGAATCCTTCTGCTTCAACCTCCTGAGTAGCTAGGACTACAGATGCATGCCACCATACCTGGCTAATTTTTAAAGTTTTTTTGTAGAGAGGGGGTCTCGCTTTGTTGCCCAGGTTTGTCTTGAACCTTCCCGGCTTCAAGCAGTCCTCCCACCTCCGCCTCCCAGGGTGCTGGGATTACAGGCAAAAGCCACCACGCTTGGCACCAGAAAAAGTTTTATCAAACATGTATTAAGTATGTGCCAGGCAATTTACTGAGCACTAGGAGATACAAAGACCACTAAAACATAATCCCTAGCCTTAATGGATATATTTCAGTAGGACATAAACATAAATAGGTACCACAAGCTATTAGAAATATGATAGAAATAAATATATGGTACAGGGGAGGCAGAGTAGAAGTAGTCACTTCTACCATAGGCCAAAAGGTTTACTAGGGGAGATTAAAACTGACAGTGAGTCTTATAATGTGAGTAGAAGTTGCTTGGAGAGGATGGGATAGGAGAAAAAATTATTTTCCAGCAAAATATCATGTAATTTATTTAAAATACAAAAATAGCCCAGTGAGACTTTTGGTATAAAACTTGAAGGAAATCTTTATTTTTCTAATTTATCTCTTCCCCCTAATTTTAAAAAATCTTTAAAGGTTATCAACTGGCAAACATCTCTTCACATTCCACCACAAGCTAAACTCAGTCCTGAAGCTTCTGATCTTATTATTAAACTTTGCCGAGGACCCGAAGATCGCTTAGGCAAGAATGGTGCTGATGAAATAAAAGCTCATCCATTTTTTAAAACAATTGACTTCTCCAGTGACCTGAGACAGCAGTCTGCTTCATACATTCCTAAAATCACACACCCAACAGATACATCAAATTTTGATCCTGTTGATCCTGATAAATTATGGAGTGATGATAACGAGGAAGAAAATGTAAATGACACTCTCAATGGATGGTATAAAAATGGAAAGCATCCTGAACATGCATTCTATGAATTTACCTTCCGAAGGTTTTTTGATGACAATGGCTACCCATATAATTATCCGAAGCCTATTGAATATGAATACATTAATTCACAAGGCTCAGAGCAGCAGTCGGATGAAGATGATCAAAACACAGGCTCAGAGATTAAAAATCGCGATCTAGTATATGTTTAACACACTAGTAAATAAATGTAATGAGGATTTGTAAAAGGGCCTGAAATGCGAGGTGTTTTGAGGTTCTGAGAGTAAAATTATGCAAATATGACAGAGCTATATATGTGTGCTCTGTGTACAATATTTTATTTTCCTAAATTATGGGAAATCCTTTTAAAATGTTAATTTATTCCAGCCGTTTAAATCAGTATTTAGAAAAAAATTGTTATAAGGAAAGTAAATTATGAACTGAATATTATAGTCAGTTCTTGGTACTTAAAGTACTTAAAATAAGTAGTGCTTTGTTTAAAAGGAGAAACCTGGTATCTATTTGTATATATGCTAAATAATTTTAAAATACAAGAGTTTTTGAAATTTTTTTGAAAGACAGTTTTAGTTTTATCTTGCTTTAACCAAATATGAAACATACCCCCTATTTTACAGAGCTCTTTTTTCCCCTCATAACCTTGTTTTTGGTAGAAAATAAGCTAGAGAAATTAAGCCATCGTGTTGGTGAGTGTTCCTAGGCTAATGATAATCTGTATAATTCACATCCTGAAACTAAGGAATACAGGGTTGAAAAAATATTAATATGTTTGTCAGAAGGAAAAATAATGCATTTATCTTCCCCCCCACCCCCCGCCCCATGGAATATTTAATCTATTTAATCTTCTTGCATTTATTTCTCAAGAATTACTGGCTTTAAAAGAAGCCAAAGCACTACTAGCTTTTTTTCCATATTGGTATTTTTGATGCTGCTTCCAATTTTAAAAGGGAACAAAGCTGCCATAAATCGAAATGTTCAATACTAAAAGCTAAAATATTTCTCACCATCCTAAGCAGATAATTATTTTAATTTTCATATACTTTTCCTGTATAGTAACTATTTTGATTATATCATCAATGTTACCTGTTTCCTCTTTCAGAACAGTGCTGCATATACAGATTGTTATTGGCAAAGGAAAATCTGGCTATCTGGCAATATTTTACCTAAGCGCAGATTAATTGGTGAAAAAATTAACTCTTAAGATGGCCATTAATAATTAGGAAAGTTTACAGAGTGGTCTTAGTAGAAAATTCAAGTCCTCCTAATTTATTTAAGGTTCAATAATGCGTTCAACATGCCTGTTATGTATAACGCTTAGGTTCTAAGGAAGATTAAGGTTTCATACCAAAATACATGTAGCTTATCTTTTAGGAAGGGGAAAAAGGCTCCATTTTGACCATAGTAAAATTTGTGTTGTGTTTTATTTCCTTTTCTTAAGCTCCACTGATAAGGGATTGTTTTTATCAAAAGTTACTATTTGTAGATTGGAGGCATAATTTTAGTGATTTTCATACTTTTAGCTTTCTTCGCATAAAAGCTAATTGAAACCGTATATGTAGTAAAATTAAAGGCAGAGCTGTTGCAGTTGAATTGGAGAGTTAGGGCAAAGAACACTTATTAGCCCACACTTCCCACCTTTCTACAGGTGGTCCTTTCAGAGCTCAGCCTGAAAACCCACTACTGTGTTATCGTGCGTCTTTTGGGGTTAGTGGTTCTTTTGAGAATCTGAAGGAAGCTGTGGACTCTTCCTAGAAAAAAAAACCACACATACACATACAATGTTGCATGCAGTTTCAAGGGATTTTGGACATATTGAAACCTATCACAGGCTGTAGGTTATGGACCTCTGTGCCATGAGAAAATTGATACATTAAACTAAGAACTTTGTTTTTAACTTACCAATCACTACTCAGCACATCTTATATAAGCTGATAATTTGTGATGGAAAAGGTCTGTAGCATGTGATATAAGGTGACCTTATGAATGCCTCTCTTGCTGGTACATTAAGTTGTTTTAATATATCATTTGGAGGGGACTGAAATGTTAGGCTCATTACAAGCTTGATACAGAAATATTTCTGAAGGATTTCTAATCAGAATTGTAAAACAATGTGCTATCATGAAATCGCAGTCTTCACCTCATGGTTCATGGAACATTTGGTTAGTCCCATAAAATCCTATGCAAAACAAAGTAGTTCAAGAATTTTTAGGTGGGTAGTCACATTTATAAGGTATTCCTCTTACTCTTTGGGCTTTTTCAGTCTGATTTATTTAAATTTTCATTTAGTTGTTTTACTTTTGGACTAAGGTGCAATACAGTAGAAGATAACTTTGTTACATTTATGTTGTAGGAAAACTAAGGTGCTGTCTCCTCCCCCTTCCCTTCCCACAAAATCTGTATTCCCCCTATTGCTGAAATGTAACAGACACTACAAATTTTGTATTCTTTTTTTGTTTTTTGTTTTGAGACAGGGTCTCACTCTGTCACCCAGGCTGGAGGGCAGTGGCGCTTCACAGCTCACTGCATCCTCAACCTTGGGGGCTCACGCAGTCCTCCCGCCTCAGCCTCCCAAGTAGCTGGGCATGCGCCACCAAGCCCAGCTAATTTTTGTATCTTTAGTAGAGATGGGGTTTCGCCATGTTGCCCAGGTTGGTGTGGAATTCCTGGGCTCCAGTTATATGCCCACCTCAGCCTCCCAAAGTGCTGGGATTACAGACGTGACCCACCGCGCCTGGCGCAAATATGTATTCTTTTAAAATTTCCTCTGATACTATAAGCTTTTTGCATTTATCTGAAGCAGTATACATGCCTTTGGTATCAGCAATTTTAACAGTTTGGATATACTTATCAGCTATCTTATTCCAAAACTACATCTACTTCTTCCAGTATAGAATCTGGTGCTTCCTGACCAAAAAGATGAGAAAAACAATGTTAAAAATATAGATGCTTTCCATTGAAATGGAGTGAAAACATTGGTTCTATATGTTTTCTTTTAAAATAATTTTCTTATTAAAAACTTGCTGTCTTTATTATACTTACCCTTTTTATGCATATCAATAGTATTTATAAGATGTGTTCTATAATTATGTAATTGTAGATACTGTTATGCATTGTCCAGTGACATCATAAGGCAGGCCCTACTGCTGTATCTTTTCTACCTTCTTATTTGTAATAGAAACTATAGAATGTATGACTAAAAAGTCACTTTGAGATTGACTTTTTTAAAAAGTTATTACCTTCTGCTGTTGCAAAGTGCAAAACTGTGAGTGGAATTGTTTTATTCTGACTTAATGTGTTAGAAATTAGAGAATACAGTGGGAGGATTTTTAGACATTGCTGCTGCTGTTACCCAAGGTATTTTAGATAAAAAATTTTTAATAAACATCCCTTTGGTATTTAAAGTGGAACATTTAGCCTGTTCATTTTAATCTAAAGCAAAAAGTAATTTGGGTCAAAATATTGGTATATTTGTAAAGCGCCTTAATATATCCCTTTGTGGAAGGCACTACACAGTTTACTTTTATATTGTATTGTGTATATAAGTATTTTGTATTAAAATTGAATCAGTGGCAACATTAAAGTTTTATAAAATCATGCTTTGTTAGAAAAAGAATTACAGCTTTGCAATATAACTAATTGTTTCGCATAATTCTGAATGTAATAGATATGAATAATCAGCCTGTGTTTTTAATGAACTTATTTGTATTTTCCCAATCATTTTCTCTAGTGTAATGTTTGCTGGGATAATAAAAAAAATTCAAATCTTTCAATTATGTGTGGAAAGCTAATTTTTACACTGCTTAACTATGTTGTTTTCTGATTCAAAAATTTATGTAAATCTTTTTATTCTCTGAGAAAGTTATGATTAAAATTTTGATGCTTTGGAATTAAAATAACTAATGATAGTACTTAGGTTAAGGCAAACTGAGTATCATGTAAATGTCAAATGTTTTCATTTAAATGTTTTCATTTTGTCCAATATAAGTACAATATTTCCTGTTAAAGGCTTCCATTAGATTACAGGTTTAGAATTTAATGATTAAGTTCTACATTCAGTACCATTTGATTATGGTATATAATTTTTTAAATGTAAAATTGTTGGTTAGTCTGTTTTCCTTTATAATCCTTTTTGTTTGTTTTATTTCTTAGAGATGGTCTTGCTCTGTCACCCAGGCTGGAGTGCAGTGGCAAGATCAAAGCTCACTTTAACCTCGAACTCTGGGCTCAAGCTGTCCTCCTGCTTTTGTCTCCCAAGTAGCTAGGACTACAGGAGTGTGCCACCACACGCAACTAATTTTTTATTTTTATATTTGTAGAGATGGAGTCTTGCTAAGTTGCCCAGTCTGATCTCAAACTCCTGGATGCAAGCGATCCTCCCGCCTCTGCCTCCCGAAGTATTGGGATTACAGACCTGAACCAGTGTCAAAATATATATGTTGATATTATATCTTATATCAACTTTATATGGATAAACAAGTACTGTTTTTCATCCTCTTTTCAAGCTTTACCATCATTAGATCTTCTTTTATCCTCTTGTTTGCACTCCCTTGTAAGTTTGTATTTGTTCTACATAAGGCTGTTGTACAGCTGACACAAATTGCATTATTCCTATGATTTATTGTGCTACATTGTGGGCCCACATTTGGTGTACTTAAAATTGTGACTATACTTTGCTACACACACACACACGCGTGCACATCTGCTTGTGTATGTGAAGAGTAGAGGGAGGTTGCCAAACAGACAGTTATTGTCCAGTTTTTCCTCCTTTCTTTCAGTAACGGAGCTACCCAGAGATTCCAAACATTTTGCTGGATTTAGGCTATGAATGGAACTTTGGGTTGTTTCCCTTGAGGAAGGGTTAAATTTGTTCTGCAGGAGAAAAAAAAGACTCTCATGAATACCTAGTTCACAGAGGGGTTGACAAATGACAGAGGCCACTCTTGCTCCCCAGTATCCACTCTCCCATTTTTCCTTTTACTAATAGAGCCAATATCCCTTTCTAAGTTTTGACTACCCCAGTAGAGTCCATGTTTCTCCTATTCCCTTGTAATTAGTTTTGGGCACATGACTAGGTTTTGGCCATTGGGACATGAGCAGACGTGGTATGTGCAAATTATACATATAATTAAAGTTGACATTGCTTGCCCACCACTTGCTTTTTACCTCTTCCCACAGGATGGAACACGTACATAGTGGTGACTTTATATTGACCATGAAAATTAGAAAAACACTCTAGTGGCTGGGTGCAGTGGCTCACGCCTGTAATCCCAGCACTTTGGGAGGCCAAGGCGGGCGGATCACGAGGTCAAGAGATTGAGACCATCCTGGCCAACTAACATGGTGAAACCCGTCTCTACTAAAAATACAAAAATTAGCTGGGCGTAGTGGCGAACGCCTGTAGTCCCAGCTACTCTGGAGGCTGAGGCAGGAGAATCGCTTGAACCCAGGAGGCGGAGGTTGCAATGAGCCTAGATCACGCCACTACACTCCAGCCTGGGCAACAGGGCGAGACTCCATCTCAAAAAAAAAACAAAAAACAAACACTCTAGTGATGGTGAATCAACCAAATGAATACAATCTGATTACCTGAGAGACTGTGTGAAGCAGGGTCATCTTTCTACTCTGGACTGACTGCAGAATGTGAGAGAGGGGAGAAAAATCAAATTATATCTATAATATCCATTTGTTACTGCTGCTGAGCCTATACCTTAAGTAATACAGCATGCAATTTGTATTAGTGTATAATCTGATTTGCAGAACAATTTAACAAAGTCATTTTGTACTTTGGCCATCTCCTATGGACTCAACCATAAAATTCAGTTATTTTACCTCTTAGGTTTTTCTCTAATTCATCATCTTTATTCTCGTTGTTAACTAATTTGGTTAAGGTCCTCATCAGCCTGAATTAATGTAATAATTTTCTAACACGAGTCTTACTTTATTCTGGTACCTCAAGTTTATTATCCAACCTGTCAACCAAAATGACCGTAAAAGGTAATTCCAGATTCTGCTTCTAGTACAACCAATCAGATCCTAATGGATTTACTGTATGACAGCTAACAACTATAAAGTCTGGGGGAAAATACCCAACTACCCAAAGATATTGGAATGGAACAAAACCAGGCAAATTCTGGAACGGAGCTGATCCTTGGAAGAGAGGAAGGGCACTAGATGAGTATTCTGTTTTTATGACATCTTGCCTGAGAAAGGCCCAAATCTTTGGCTGAATCATGAATCAAATATGTAGGGAAGGCTGGGTGCGGTGGCTCACGCCTGTAATCCCAACACTTTGGGAGGCTGAGGTAGGCAGATCACTTGAGGTCAGGAGTTTGAGATCAGGCTGGCCAACATGGTGAAACCCCGTCTCTACTAAAAATACAAAAATTAGCAGGTGTGGTGGTGCATGCCTGTAGTCCTAGCTACTCAGGAGGCTGAGGCAGGAGAATCACTTGAATCCCGGAGGCAGAGGTTGCAGTGAGCCGAGATCACCACTGCACTCCAGCCTGGGAGACAGACAGAGACTCCAAAAGGAGAAGAGAAGTGAGCAGAGAGGAGGAGAAGGGAGGGGAGGGAAGATTACTCAAGAAAATCTACTAAAATTTGGTGTGAGTTTTGAGAGTCTGTGATATTTGAACCAATATTCACTTTTAAGGGTTTTCTGTCGCCCATGTTAAGCAATTTAATTACGATGTGCCTGGTGTCATTTTGTTTATTTTTCTTGTGCTTGGGGTTCATTGAGCTTCTTAAATCTGTGAAGCAATGGTTTTCATTAATGCAAGATTTTTTTTAGCCACCATTTCTTTCTTCTTTTTTTTTCCATCCTTTTTTTAATTATACTTAAGTTCTGGGATACATGTGCAGAACGTGCAGGTTTGTTACATAGGTATACATGTACCGTGGTAGTTTGCTGCACCCATCAACTCGTCATCTACATTAGGTATTTCTCCTAATGCTATCCCTCCCCTAGCCCTCCACCCGCTGACAGGCCCCGGTGTGTGATGTTCCCCTTCCTGTGCCCCCGTGTTCTCATTATTCAATTCCTACTTGTGAGTGAGAACATGCGGTGTTTGGTTTTCTGTTCCTGTGTTAGTTTGCTAAGAATGATGGCTTCCAGCTTCATCCATGTCCCTGCAAAGGACATTAACTCATTCTTTTTTATGTTCAGCCACCATTTCTTCCAATCGAGTGCATACTAAAATAATATCTCTGAAAGGTAATGAATGAATTTGGTATCCTTTTTTTTTGAGACAGAGTCTCACTTTGTTGCCCAGGCTGGAGTGCAATGGTGTGATCTTGGCTCACTGCAACCTCCACCTCCTGGGTTCAAGTGATTCTCCTTCCTCAGCCTCCCAAGTATCTGGGATTACAGGTGTCCACCACCACCCCTGGTTAATTTTTATATTTTTTAGTAGAGACGGGGTTTCACCATGTTGGCCAGGCTGGTCTCAAACTCCTGACCTTAGGTGATCCACCTGCCTGGGCCTCCCAAAGTGCTGGGGATTACAGGCGTGAGCCACCACGCCCAGCCCTGAATTTGGTATCTTCAATTGCCTCTGGGAATGGTAAAATGGATTTGTAGGGTGACAAGAATCGTAGAAATACTTCTCACTATATAACCCTTTATATCATTTGATTTTGCATCATGTGAATGCATTGCCTATCCAAATATATAACATAAAATGGAATTAAAAAAACAACTCAAAACTTTAAGTCCAAGTGGAAGAACTGGATTTAGACAAAGGAAGATACACATTCATTGGGACGTGAGGCAAAAACCAAAAGGCAGATGTGAGGCAAAGAAGTTTGTAAGTTGGAGGGTAAGAGTATTAATTTAGGTTAAGCTCAGCTGCACATAAAACCCAAAACAGCCATACCTTAGACATATAATGTCTGAAGTTGGCAGTCCACTTCTGGTATGGCAGCTCCACAAAGTCAGCCCACACTTCATCTGTTCAATTCTGCTGTCCTTGTCAACCTAAAGTTTGCTCTGGTTAGTAGTTGGCTGCTTATGTTCTCTACACCTTGGGTGTGTGTGGTTTTTTTGTTTGTTTGTTTCTTTGTTTTTCGGGTTTTTTTTTTTATATTGCGTCTTGCTCTGTCTCCCAGGCTGGAGTGCAGCGGCACGATGGCTCACTGCAACCTCCGCCTCCCAGATTCAAGCAATTCTTGTGCCTCAGCCTCCAGAGTAGCTGGGATTACAGGTGCCCGCCACCACGTCCAGCTAATTTTTGTGTTTTTAGTAGAAATGAGGTTTTTATCATATTGCCCAGGCTGGTCTCAAACTCCTGGGCTCAAGCAATCCACCCACCTCAGCCTTCCAAAGTGTTGGGATTACAGATGTGAGCCACTGCGCCCAGCCTTCTTTTCCTTGTTCTCACCTGGTGAAAAGAGAGGGGGAGGGGTGGAGGGAGATTTCTATGGCTTCTCCTTTTAAAGATGCCTTCCTAAAAGTTCTACACAACACTTTCACTGCCAGAAGTTAGATCCATGGTCACATCTAGCAGCAAGAGTGTCTGGGAAATAGTCCTTATTCCAGGTGGTCTGATTTTATCAACCAGGTTCTGTTATGAGAATGGGTATTTGGCATCCAGTCTCTGCCGCAGTGAGCAAGCTGAGAGAATTTCTTTTTTTTTTTAATTATTATTTTTTGAGACAGGGTCTTGCTGTGTTGCCCAGGCTGGAGTGCAGTGGTGTGATCTCGGTTCACTGAAAGCTCTGCCTCCTGGGTTCAAGCAATTCGCCTCCCTCAGCCTCCCAAGTAGCTGGGATTATAGGCACGTGCCACCATGCCCAGCTAATTTTTGTATTTTTAGTAGAGATAGGGTTTCACCATGTTGGACAGCCTGGTCTTGAACTCCTGACCTCAGGTGATCCACCCACCTCGGCCTCCCAAAGTGCTGGGATTACAGGCCTGAACCACCGTGCCTGGCCCAAGTTGAGAGAATTTCTGATAGCTTCTATTTCTTTGAGGTTGGAGGCATAGTAATTCACTGAAAGGGCAGAAAGGGCTGGGTAGCTGCCTTTCTGGGGTAAAAGTCTGAAATAGGTTGGGTGCACTGGCTCACGTCTGTAATCCCAGCACTTTGGGAGGCTGCAGTGGGAAGATCATCTGAACCCAGGAGTTCGAGACCAGCCTGGGCCAACATGGTGAGACCTTGTCTCTACAAAAAATTTAAAAATTTTCTGGGCTTGGTGTCATGTGCCCGTAGTTCTAGCTACTCAGGAGGCTGAGACAGGACGATGGCTTGAGCCTAGTGGGTCAAGGCTGCGGTGAGCCGAGATCCTGCCACTGCACTCCAGCCTGGGGGACAGAGCAAGACCCTGTTTCAAAAAATGAAAGTCTGAACTAATGGGAAGAGTGAGACATAACTGAAGTGAGACAGGCAGAAAAATGTTTCGGCTGGGTTAGAAAGACATGAAATTATGGCGCATCAATCTTCACAGAGATGTGATTTTCTTCGTAGCATTCAACAGCCTGGTATTAGCAGATCAGTGATGGAAGCTGTTGTTTAGGAAGAATGTGTATAAGGTTAGTGAAGAACACTGGTGAATCTGTCCCAGTCTGTTACTGCAGCTATGGTGTGACATAATCTAAAAATTCAGTAAATCTTACTTATGGTTAGATTTTTCTAGCCTTATACATACTGTATCCCAGGAGATGGCTCAAATGTTTGAAGTATAGAAGAGGAATGCCAGATGCATCAACCACGTGAGTGAAGTTAATAAACTGGCCCTAAAAGTCCTTTCCAATTTCTCTCATGAAATGTAAAAAGTGTCTCAAATTCTTTTATGTATTTATTTTTTGAGACAGAGTCTTGCTCTGTTGCCCAGGCTGGAGTGCAGTGGTGCAATCTCTGCTCACGGCAACCTCCACTTCTGGGTTCAAGTGATTCTCCTGCCTCAGCCTCCCGAGTAGCTGGGACTACAGGCGCCCACCAGCACACCCACTAATTTATGTGTTTTTAGTAGAGATGGGGTTTTGACATTTTGGCCAGGCTGGTCTCAAACTCCTGACCTCAGGTGATCCTCCTGCCTTGGCTTCCCAAAGTGCTGCGATTACAGGCGTGAGCCACCACACTTGGCCCTCAAATTCTTTGAAATTATTTTATTTATTCTACAAATATCTAATTAACACCTACAATATGCCAGACATTGCTCTACTCAAATGGACAAAGTATCTGACTTCATTAAGTTTACTCACTGGGGCAAGAGAAACAAATATATAATGTGAAGAAGGTCTTCATGGCCATTCACCTTCTGTGTAATTCCAGGGGTCACAGTACCTCTTGCAACAGTCCCCCAATCTATTCTCTCTCCCCTCCAAAACTTCCTACGTTTAGCTGTCAAATTAATCCTCCTATTTGCTATATAACTTATGTCTTCATTTGACACCTTTCAATGGGTCCCCTTTTGTCTACTGAATAAAGTTTAACTCTTTAGCTGGCACCTATCTTTCTACCTCTTTTCCCCTAACTTGTTTTTGTGTGTCCTGTGATTCTGCCAAATTAACCTGACCATTCACCAGGAAAATATAATCTCAGATTTTCTGAGTCACAGTTTGGATACAATCATTTTAGAAGGGTGGTGGTTGTAGAAGCCACACTGTAAAAGAAGAAATGACTCCTAGTCATGAGAGTGGTACACAAATATTCTGCTTCTTCAAGGCACAATGCAGAGATGAACACCTGCATTTCTTTGAAGTCAGGCTTGACCAGTGACTTGCTCTGGCCAAAAATATGTAGGCAGAGCAGCAAGTTTCACATCCAGGCAGAGGCTGTGCAATTTATTTCCCTTTCTTTTTTTCACTGCCAAGGGTCCCACTGCCTGCATCCACTCAAGCTATGAACATAAAAAGTAGATAAGAAAAAAATGCTATTGTTGAAGCCTCTGTGACTTAGAGGTTGCTACAGCATAACCCACTCCTGCCTGACTAGTACAGCTAGTAAAGAAATGGAAGTAGTGAATGTAAGCCACTCTCTGGAGGTTTGTCTTTCCACCTAAAAAAAGTCTTCAGCCAGGAGCGGTGGCTCACACTTGTAATCCCAGCACTTTGGGAGGCTGAGGCGGGCAGATCATGAGGTCAGGAGTTCGTGACCAGACTGGCCAACACAGTGAAACCCCGTCTCTACTAAAAATACAAAAATTAGCTGGGCATGGTGGCGGGCACCTGTAATCCCAGCTACTCGGGGAGGGTGAGGCTTCAACCTGGGAGGTGGAGGTTGCAGTGAGCCGAGATCGCACCACTACACTCCAGCTTGGGCGACAGAGCTACACTCTGTCTCAAAACAACAACAAAAACCCAAAAAATCTTCATATATAATACGCGTACGTACACGTAATAAAATGTGCCCAGTTTGTGTACTGTTGATGAATTTTAATAAATGTTTACACCTGTGTAAGCACTACCCTAACAGAACATTTCCTTTCCATCACCTTAAATATTTCCTGGGGACTTTCAGCAATCTATTTCTTCTCCCCCTCCTCCTGAATACAGCCTCAGGCAGCCAACCACTGATCAGCTATTATTATAGATTAGTTTTGCCTGTTCTAAAATTTCTTTTCTTTTTCTTTTTTTTTTTTTTGAGACAGAGTCTTGCTCTGTCACCCAGGCTGGAGTGCAATGGCGCGATCTTGGCTCACTGCAGCCTCTGCCTCCTGGGTTCAAGCGATTCTCGTGCCTCAGCCACCCAAGTAGCTGAGATTACAGGTGTGCGCCACCAGACCCAGCTAATATTTGTATTTTTAGTAGAGACGGGGTTTCACCATGTTGGCCAGGCTGGTCTCAAACGCCTTGACCTCAAGTGACCCACCCGTCTCGGCCTCCCAAAGTGCTGGGATTACAGGTATGAGCCACCGTGCCTGGCCTAGAATTTCTTATCAATGGAATCATACAATATGTATTAATTTTGTGGCCTTTGAGAAGTTTTTTAACTGTAAATTGGCTTTATAAATTAGCATACCTTTGAACTCACATAAAGGATGAAGGTTGAATTAGGGTAATTAATCTGTACCTCCCTGAATTGGTTTTGATTCCAAAAATATATACTAAATATAGTTTCCTGTTCCCTATTACAATAGAGTTCATATTTACTACAGTGAAACTATCATTTTCCACTCAGTTGAGACGTTACAAGACTTTAAGCCCCATGAAACATTCTATTTCGTGACCACTGTATACCCAGTGCCAACACTGTCTCACACATAGTAGTTGCTGAGTAAACATTTGTTGACTGAATGGATGTATTTCCCCTGAATTGCTTCTACATGTCTATGTTAGATGACTGGGGTGCTTTTATTTTTTTAGAGATAGGGCCTCACTTTGTCTCCCAGACTGGAGTGCAATGGCGCCATCATGGCCCACTGCAGCCTCCAACTCCTGGGCTCAAGTGATCCTCTTGTGTCAGCCTCCTGAGTAGTTGTGACTACAGGCGTGCGCCACCATGTCCAGCCAATTTTTGTACTTTTTGTAGAGACGGGGGGTCTCACTATATTGCCCAGGCTGGTCTTGAACTCCCGGCTCAAGCTATTCTCCCGCCTCAGCCTCCCAAAGTGCTGGGATTACAGGGATGAGCCACTGTGCCCAGTCGGGATGCTTTAATGTTAGAAACTTAATTACCTTGCGTTTTTAAAGGAATGTGTGAGAAGTGCCCTATTCTGCCTCAAGTGATGGCAGAGGGTGGAGATTGAGACTGGAGGAAGCCCTGTGCAGTACATATCTGTAAGTCATGAAATAGCATCATTTTCCTTGTCTGGTCATATTAAAACGGTGATTAAAAAATCAAGAAAATAAAATCCCACTAGCAGTGTGTCCGAGAATCTTTGTTTACCTCCTCCCTATTGTTATGTCATGACATGGAGCCCAGCTGGGGAATTCTGAATACTAGGTTCTAAAACAGGATTTGTCATAAACGAATTGCTTGATCCTGGACATTCACCTCTAAAATAGACACCTGACCTCGGTGTGTGTGTGAGTGTGGTGAAAATCAAGTGGGAGGGAAAGTGAGCAAGCACCTGAACAAGGTACAGAGGCGCGCGAGGTAGTACCATAATACCATCTACACCAAGGTCTATACTATCCCTGGTCTCCGCTGCGTCCGCCGGGAGGAGGCGGTGCAAGAATGCGCACGCGCGGCCCCGGGCCCGGCCACACCCTCTTCCGCCGCTCCCGCCCAGCGACCTCGCTCCCGGGGCGACGCCCCGCGTGCGCCAGAGTCGCCGAGGTCGTCCCCGGCACCGGAAGTGACCCTGGCGGGTTTGTCTTCAAATTCTCGGCGAGCAGGAGCCGCGCCGGCAGGTGGTGTTGACGATTGAACTGGGCAGTACTGGGGCCGTGAGCGGAGAGCAAAGTGGGCTGGACTGGGTCAGGCCCTCCTTCCTCGCTGCCGGGATCTCCACTCCGCCAATCCCCTGTGCCTGGCGTTGGGCGGTTTCCCGAGGAGCTTGGGCCGCCGCAGGTGAGTTTTCACTCTGGCGGTGCTCTGGGGACCCCCGATTTTCCAGGGCCGGGCTGGTGAGGGACTCGGGGGGCCCACAGCGAGAACCCGCCGCGCAACCCTCCGTGAGCCTGCCTGTGCCTGAGCTGAGGTCCTAGGTCCTTGCTGTTGTCCACGATAACTTGGCTTAGGTGACAGTCCCCCTACCTGAGGAATCCTGTCAGGCGGAGGACTTTTCGGGGGCTCCTGTCGATCCCATCTTTTGATCTGTGTCGTTAGCGAAGTCACCAGCCGAGTTTTTAGTTCTTCGATTTTTCGACTGGTTCTCTCCAGAACCCGCTCACGCCCCCCACCCCGAAACCCTCACAGGTAAAAATCCCGATGGCCATGACATTGGGAGGCAACTTCTTTTCTTAAAATTTGTTAGGTTCGAGTGATATTGTTGGGGATGTTATTTCTTATTTATTCTAGAGCCCGGCGTCCTCTGGAAGGCCTGTGGGCCTTTTGGTTTAGAGTTGGTACCTTTTAGAAAAGTTTTCCCTCGAAACAGTTGTTTCATACAAATGTGATGACAAAGTTAGAGATAAACGTAGATCCTGAAGTGCCTTACAGTGGATAATCTCAAGCTCTTATTTAATCAAAAATAGTTTCCTGTTAAAACCGCGAAGGGCCGCTTTTATATTAGTTACTAACTTCCAACAGCACAGTGATGCTCTTTTCTCTTGAAAGCACTAATTTACGTCTTCCTCTTTGAAATTAGACCTCTAGTTATTGCTGAAAACATTCCCGATGTTTTAGAATGGGTGCAGTAGATCTTTGTCACGTAATCACAATGATAATCACCTTAGTAGATGTTAAGACAGATTCTTGAAATGTTTTTACGGGCTTAAATGTCTCAGTATAAAGCCCTATTTTCTTTTCCAAAAGAGCTGGGTTTTGTTCTTTTTTTTTTTTTTTTTTTTTTTTTTGAGACGGAGTCTTGCTCTGTCGCCAGGCTGGAGTGCAGTGGCGCAATCTTGGCTCACTGCAACCTCCGCCTCCCGGGTTCAAGCGATTCCCCTGCCTCAGCCTCCTTGAGTAGCTGTGACTACAGGCGCGCTCCACTACGCGCGGCAAATTTTTTGTATTTTAGTAGAGATGGGGTTTCACCATGTTGGCCAGGCTGGTCTCGATTTCCAGACATTGTGATCCGCCCGCCTAGGCCTCCCAAAGTGTTGGGATTACAGACGTGAGCCACTGCGCCCGGCCGGTTTTTGTTCTTATACCAAGAAATAGGAGCAAAACTTTGTTTTGTATTAACATTAACAAGTTGTGGCCTGTAAATACCTTTAAAAAAAAAAACACGCAGTAGTGATCAACTTCCCAACATTCCTAGACTATGAAAAGCTATATAAAGCTTCTTTATAGCGTTGGTTATTCAAGAAGCGTTTACATTTTTATAGGTAATAGGCATGCTATGTAGTCCACAAGGGATTCTCCACCTCATTTTGAAACTGGTATCAAGATGCTGACAAATATTGAGGATTAGAGAATCTTGTTGAATTCACTCTATTAACAACATTGTTGAATTTCTATTAACAATAGTTTGGGTTTTTTTAGCCACTTGACTGTTTAAAAAAGATAGTATTATCACATAAATATGGTCAGTGTTGATAACATGCCAAATAGCTTTTGCTTGTGGCGTTTATCGATAGGGCTTGAATATGACTTTTAAATTACGTTTTAATAATTAAACTCACTGATTTGTTTGTTTAGGGTAAACTGAAAGTTTACTGTACAAATAGAGTGGACTTTATATGTACTTTTTTTCTGAACAGGTTGCTTTTTGGTGTTTTTAAAAAATAGTGGTAACTTTCTTGTGCTTAAGTATTTATCATATGATGGTTATAAAGGTAAGAAAAATGTATGCCATGCTGTAATTGGTCATGGGTCATTCATTTATTGTGCTTATTCGTAATCATCAGTGGCTGACTATAAATTAGCATGTGGTTTCTTTCATATCCCAGAGATGAACATTCTGAAAATTACTTACCAATGTATGGCCACTTTTGAAGTCATATACACTTGCTTTACTGAAATGCCTTCAGGAAGATGCATGATTGGGCTTCGTGATCTTTTTGTTTTAGGAGGTAAATTTTACAGAGAGGTATTTAAAAAACACTTTCAGCCTTCCAACATTGCTGCTGATTTTTTAGTCTGTGTTTAATAATATTCTATGTTTGTCTTCTCTTACTAAGCAAAGAAAACCCACCTAGAATAAATAAGGTGATATCCCTTCTATTAAACTTCAAGGATTTCAAGGTCTAATTCTGTCTTATTTTTGTCTTCAGTGCAATTCCTTGCAACTTAGTTGGTGTTCCTTTAATATTTCTTGAATGAATGACCCATGCACATTATGTTAAAAAAAACTGCAAATAAGTGGAGCCCAGCCTGAGTCCTTTAAAAATTAAATGGGTAAGGTATCCTCTTTAGGTGTGAAATAGGCAGGGCCCTGTATTTGTTGTTTAGAGAGAGAATAAGAATCTTAGAACTCAGATATTTCAATATTTTGCCTGTTCTTTTTCAGTCTCTGTGATCACTTCTTTTTCCTAATCCTAGAGGAGAAAAAAAAAAACTTTCTCTGTGGAGAGACAGCACTGCATCACATACTATATTGCTAGAAAATTTGCTGTAAAATTGCGATTTCAGTATTTTTAAAAATTTGATTCTGTCACTTGAGTTAAAATTTCACATTGCATCTTGCTTACTCTAAGTAAGTTAATTTAGTCATTAGCTAACTCATAAATACTCAAGGCATGTAAGCAAAAGGGTGGTTCTGTTAGAATAATGTAAAGGAAAAACTTGCTGTGAATAAAGCAGGCATAGTGTATGGTTATCCTTCTCTCTAATAATCTGTGTAACCAAGAGCCTGAATTTTGGGGCAATCTCATCTTTATAAGTGTTCTATTAATGTTGAACCAATAGATTGTGTTTATAGTTCATGGTGCTTACACTGAGTCAGTCAGCTTTTTTTTCTTTCTTTTTTTTTTTTTTGTTTTTTGTTTTTTGAGATGGAGTCTTGCTCTGTCGCCCAGGCTGGAGTGCAGTGGCGCGAGCTTGGCTCACTTGCACGCTCTGCCTCCCGGTTCATGCCATTCTCCTGCCTCAGCCTCCCAAGTAGCTGGGACTACAGGCGCTGGCCACCACGCCCGGCTAATTTTTTGTATTTTTAGTAGAGATGGGGTTTCACTGTGTTAGCCAGGATGGTCTTGATCTGACCTGGTGATCCACCTGCCTCGGCCTCCCAAAGTGCTGTGATTACAGGCGTGAGCCACTGCGCGCGGCCAGCTTTTTATTTCAAATGGATTCAATTCTTCAAATATTGCCAGATATTGTGCTTAATACAGCCAGTTTCTAGTCTTCCTGCAGTGGAATTTTAGCAATGATAAAGATATATTGTTGAAAATTGGGATAATTTCATAAATTTACAGTTGTGACATTCGAGAAGGATGTTTTGGGCTTAGAGAGTAATAAGGGAATGGGGAAAATTATTTTCGGCTAACAATTAGGGAACTAAGAGTGCTTTAATACTATTTTCTGCAAGCACATTGTTTCTTTGATAATCAGGGATTTTTCAAGTCATTTGTTAATGTGGCCTTGGATTAGACTTTACATTCATGTTTGTTAGAAAATATCAATTCATTGGCTTCTAAAGAATTTTATCTGACTAGAAAGAGTTCAAAACATGGAACCTTTAAAGAAGGCTTGGAGGGACTTGTATGAGTTTTGGGCCGTTGAATCATGGCCCTCAAGAAAAAAACGAGGACCACCTATATATAAGTAACAACTTAATTTAAATTTATTTTTATTTTATTTTATTTTATTTTTTTGATACAGAGCCTTACTCTTTTACCCAGGCTAGAGTGCAGTGGTGTGATCACAGCTCATTGCATCTTTGACCTCCTGGGCTTGGGTGATCCTCCCACCTCAACCTCCTGGTAGCTGGGACTACAGGTGTGCCCTGTCATGCCCAGCTAATTTTTTGTATTTTTTGTAGAGACAGGGTTTCACTATGTTGGCCAGGCTGGTCTTGAACTCCTGGGCTCAAGCAATCCTCCCACCTTGGCACCCCAAAGTACTAGGATTACAGGCGTGAACCACCATGCCTGACTATTTTAGATTTTTTTTAGTGGGAAAATGGGAAGAAAGATCTCCAGGGAGACTATTAAGGAAAAGAGGGAGAGAGGCTTTCATGTCAAAAGACATGAAAGGCTTTTGACATCCAAGCTCATCTAGAACAACTATATACTTTTAGCAGCGGGTCCCAATTATACTTTTCTAACACCCTTGCCCAGACTAGGTGTCTCTGTAGGGCATGGATGGCTTCAGGGCAGAAGTAATCACACAAGAATCAAGCTGTAATCCCAGCTTGGAAGGGATGAGCTGAGGATCAAGAATGTGACCATGCTGAGGGTCAGGAACTGGACAAGGTTACGAACTCTTGGTAGTTACAACAAAAACCTGGCCAGGCATGGTGGCTCACGCCTGTAATCCTAGCACTTTGGGAGGCTAAGGTGGGCTGATCGCTTGAGCCCAGGAGTTCAAGACCAGCCTGGGCAACATGGTGAAATCCCCATCTCTACAAAACATACCAAAAAAAAAATATATATATATATTAGCTGGGTGTGGTGGTACACATCTGTGGTCCCAGCTACTCAGGATCAGTTGAGCCCAGAAGATCAAGGCTGCAGTGAGCTGTAATGGCACCACTGCACTCCAGCCTGGGCTGCAGAATGAGACCCTGTCTCAAAAAAAAAAAAAAGGACAACAACTAGGCAGTATTCAGTCATTCAAAGGTTGATTGAGATCTACATTTGAGGACATGGTTCTAGGTGCTAGAGATGTATCAGTAAATAACAGAGAGATATGGTCCTTGGCCTTTAGGCTTTTATTAAGATAGAATATGATCAGTGGTCATGAATCCAGGGAGGCAAGATTTAGGTGATAGGATTTTATTCCTTTTCTTTTGGAGCTCAGATGCCCAGTCTTGAGTTACTCATAGACCTTAGTTCATAGCTATATTGCTTCATAACAGATTATCCCAAAACTTGGTGACTTAAAACAACAGACATTTTTTATCTCTTTCACTGTTTCACTGGGTCAGGAATTTGGGCATGACTTAGCTGGATGCCTTAGATTCAGGGTGTTTCTCAGAGCTGTGATCAGGTATTGGCCAGGCCTGTAGTCATCTCAAGGCTCTAGTGAGGAAAGATTCACTTCTGATCTCACTCACATGGTTGTTGGCAGGATTCAGTTCCTCAGGGGCTGGTGGACTGAGGGTCTCAGTTCCTCACTGATTGTTGGCCTGGATCCTGCCTCAGCTCTTTGCCACATGAGCCTCTGCCCAGGCAGCTCACTCTGTGGAGCTGGTATTCCATTTGAGTGGGGCCAGCAAGAGACAGCAAGCAAGATGCAAGTCATAGTCTAATCTCGGAAATGGTATTATGTTATTTGTTACAGGCACACATTCAAGGGGTAGTAATTATATAAGGGTACAGATACCAAGAGGCAAAGGTCATTGAGTGCCATCTTAGAGGCTCCCTATGATTATCCATGGATATAAGGCCCTTCTTTTGTTATATTTATTTTTTGTTTCTCTCCTACTTGTCATAAGCAATTTCTCCACTCACATATTTTCCTCCTCACCTTCCATAGACTCTCTAATATATTTAAGGTACTTTCTTGGATATGTATGCATCCTTTAAAAATGAGTATTTTATATAGCATATGTATTTTTAATTTATAAAATGACATTGGGATTTAGATCTTGTTCTATGTCTGAGACCTTTTTTTAGCCAACCCTGTATTTTGATGATCCATCCATGTTGCTATATGTAAATTTTATTCATTGCTTCTGTCTGCTACATGGTACCATGTGGTCTGTATCCACCATATTTCCCCTAGCAGGGAATAAATAGATTGACTCTACTTGATTTCTCAAAGATTTCTGTCATTAATGTCCAAAACCAAGTTCCTTTGTGGATCTGTGTGAGACTTTCTCTGGAAGATTTACACAAGAGTGGGATTGCTGGGTCATGGGGTGTATATATACATATATATGTGTGTGTATGTGTGTGTCTATGTACATATACATGCATACATAATTTCCCCAAGTACTGCCAGATTGCACTCCAAAATGACTATGCCAGTTTATTCCTGCAAATTGATGTAAAGATTTCCTTTTTCCCAAATCCTTGCCAATACTTAGTATCATTGCTTTTTTGAGTCTGGTAAATAAAAGAGGTCTCTCGGCCAGGCGCATAGGCTCATGCCTGTAATCCCAGCACTTTGGGAGGCCCAGGTGGGCGGATCACAAGGTCAAGAGATTGAGACCATCCTGGCCAACATGGTGAAATCCCATCTCTACTAAAAATACAAAAATTAGCTGGGCATGGTGGTGAGCGCCTGTAGTCCTAGCTACTCGGGAGGCCGAGGCAGGAGAATTGCTTGAACCTGGGAGGCAGAGGTTGCAGTGAGCCGAGATCACACCACTGCACTCCAGCCTGGGCAACAGAGTGAGACTCTGTCTCCAGAAAAATAAAAAATAAAAGAATAAAAAGAGGTTTCTCATGGCTTCAGTTTGTATTTATTGGTCACTCCTGTCTGTGCTTGTTAGCTGTTTGGGTTTCCCTTCTGTGAATTGTCCTTTATGCTCTGTCCTCATTTTCTTGTGAGGTACTTTTGTCCATTAATGTGAAGAATTACAGTGATAGATTTTCTGATCTTAAGTCATCCATGCATTTCTGGGATAAACCCTTCTTGATCATGTGGTGTGTGTCTTGATGCATTGTAGGTAAACTAATATTAGGATTTCCATGTTCATAAGTGAAATGGGTCTTGTGTTCTTATTCAGTTGAGATGATTTCAGCCACATAAAAAAGAGTTGCTCAGCTTTTCTCTTGTTTTCTGGATCAACTTTTATGTGGTTGGAATTATTTCTGTTTAGAAGTTTGGTTAAAAAAAAACCCCAAGGCAGGCCAGGCGCTGTGGCTCACACCTGTAATCCCAGCACTCTGGGAGGCCTAGGCGGGTAGATCCTGAGGTCAGGAGATTAAGACCATCCTGGCTAACATGGTGAAACCCCATCTCTACTAAAAATACAAAAAATTAGCCGAGCGTGGTGGTGGGCGCCTGTAGTCCCAGCTACTCGGGAGGCTAAGGCAGGAGAATGGCATGAACCCGGGAGGCGGAGCTTGCAGTGAGCCGAGAACATGCCACCGCACTCCAGCCTGGGTGACAGAGTGAGACTCCATCTCAAAAAAAAAAAAAAACCCGAGGCCAGACCAGGTGCGGTGGCTCACACCTGTAATCCCAGCACTTTGGGAGGCCGAGGTGGGCAGATCACCCGAGATCGGGAGTTCGAGACCAGCGTGACCAAAATGGAGAAACCCTGTCTCTACTAAAAATACAAAATTAGCCAGGCGTGTTGGCACATGCCTGTAATCCCAGCTACTCAGGAGCCTGAGTCAGGAGAATCGCTTGAACCCGAGAGGCGGAGGTTGTGGTGAGCCGAGATTGCACCATTGCACTCCAGCCTGGGCAACAAGAGCAAAACTCCGTCTCAAAAAAACAAAAACAAAAACAACAACAACAAAAATACCCGAGGCCAGGCATGGTGGCTCACGCCTGTAATCCCAGCACTTTGGGAGGCCGAGGCGGGCGGATCACGAGGTCCCAAGATCGAGACCAACCTGGCCAACATGGTGAAACCCTATCTCTACTAAAATACAAAAATTTAGCCGGGCGTGGTGGATGCATGGCTGTAGTCCCAGCCACTCTGGAGGCTGAGGCAGGGGAATCGCTTGAACCTGGGAGGCAGAGGTTGCAGTGAGCCGAGATTGCGCCACTGCACTCCAGCCTGGCAACACAGTAAGACTCCATCTCAAAAAAACAAAAACAAAACCCAAAAAAACCCAAAAAAACCCCCACCATACTTACAGAAATCATCTGGGCCTGGAGCTTTTTTGTCTTTTTTTAATGTTTTCTTGAGACACAGTCTCACTCTGTCTCTGTTGCCCAGGCTGGAGTACAGTGGCACTATCTCGGCTTACTGCAGCTTTGACCTCCCCAGGCTCAGGTAATCCTCCCACCTCAGCCTCCTGAGTAGCTGGGACTACAGGCACACACCACCATGCTCTGCTAATTTTTGTATTTTTTGTAGAGATGGGGTTTTGCCGTGTTGCCCAGGCTGGTCTTGAACTCCTAGGTTCAAAGGTTGGATTAGGTTCTCATATATAGAAAGTTTCATGGCAGACACATTTAACATTTATTGAAGACCTACTATTTGTCAAGTAGTATGCTTAGTACTTTAAATAGCCATTTATTGTTTATAGCGTAACTCCTGAAAGTAGTTGCTATGGCAGTTCCACAGATATTAAAACAGGCTTAGAAAAAAGTTAAGGGACTTGATTAAGGTGGCACAATTATAATTCTAGCCAAGATTTTTCTAACTTCAAAATACATACGCCTTCTGCTAATCCACACTGCTTCAAAAAATGTATCTAATATTCACTATTTATTCTGCAGATGTTTAATAAAATGTGTGTCATGCAAGGATCATATAGTCTCACACCTTTCAGATGCAAATCCTACTGTCAGATAACAGTCTACTAGAGATAAGACATATATAGAAACTGTAATTTGAAGTAGACAAGTGTCTTGGGATGAAAGTCACAGTAAAGTGCAAGGGGACTTTAGAGGAGGGAGAGTTTATTTTGAACTGAGGAGTTCAGGGGGTAGACATACTAGGAAAACTGCCATCTGAGCTGGGCTTTGACAATAGGGAGGGTTTGAATGTGGGAACTTTTTTAAAACAATGTTTTAAATTTATTTTATTTTATTTTTTTATTTTTTGAGACAGAGTCTCATGCTGTTGCCAGGCTGGAGTGCTGTGGTGCGATCTCGGCTCACTGCAGCCTCCGACTCCCTGGTTCAAGTGATTCTCCTGCCTCAGCCTCCTGAGTAGCTGTGATTACAGGCACGTGCCACCATGCCCAGCTAATTTTTGTATTTTTAGTAGAGACCGAGTTTCACCATGTTGGCCAGGATGGTCTTGATCTCCTGACCTCGTGATCCACCCACCTCAGCCTCCCAAAGTGTTGGGATTACAGGTGTGAGCCACCGCACCGGGCCTGTTTTTTGTTTTGTTTTGTTAAACAGAGTCTTGCTCCATCTCCCAGGCTGGAGTACAGTGGCACGATCTTGGCCTACTGCAACCTCTGCTACCCTGGTTCAAGCAATTCTTGTGTCTCAGCCTCCCAAGTAGCTGGGACTATAGGCATGTGCCACCACGCCCAGCTAGTTTTTACATTTTAGTAGAGACAGGGTTTCGCCATATTGGCCAGGCTGGTCTTGAACTCCTGGCCTGAAGTGAGCTGCCTGCCTTAGCCTCCTAAATAAAATATTTCTTTGAGGCCAGGCGCGGTGGCTCATGCCTGTAATCCCAGCACTTTGGGAGGCCGAGGCGGGCAGATCACCTGAGGTCAGGAGTTCGAGACCAGCCTGGCCAACATGGTGAAACCCCATCTCTACAAAAATACAAAAAAAATTAGCCGGGCATGGCGGTGGGTGCCTGTAATCCCAACTACTTGGGAGGCTGAGGTGGGAGAATTGCTTGAACCCGGGAGGCAGAGGTTGCAGTGAGCCGAGATCATGCCATTGCGCTCCAGCCGGGGCCACAGAGCGAGACTCCGTCTCAAAAAAAAAAAAAAAAAAAAAAAACAATGTTTTTTTTAAAGGAGTGAAATAGCATGAGCACACATATAGAGATGGGAAGTGTGGTATGTGTGATTGTTTCTTGAGGGAGCCCTGGAAAGTATTTTTTAATAACTATACTTATTTTTAAGAGACATGTAAACCTAAAGTGTTTCTTTTTTTCTTCTTCTTTTTAGCTTACAGTTGAACATGAGTCTTCTTATGATTAGTGAGAATGTAAAATTGGCTCGTGAATATGCATTGCTGGGAAACTATGACTCTGCGATGGTCTATTATCAGGGAGTTCTTGACCAAATGAACAAGTATCTGTACTCAGTCAAAGATACATACCTCCAGCAGAAATGGCAACAGGTGAGAGTAATGGCTGCTGTATGTTTTAATGGCTTAAGTACTCGGAAGAGAAAATTTAGATCAGATGTCAATGCTGTATGTAGTTACATGTTAAGACTGTATGACTACCGAGCACAGTACACAGTGGCTCACTCCTGTAGTCCTAGCACTTTGGAAAGCCAAAGCAGAAGGATCACTTGAGGCCAGGAGTTCAAGTCCAGCCTAGACAACATAGCAAGACTTCATTCTACAAAAATAAAAAAATTAGCCAGATGTGGTGGTGTGTGCCTGTAGTCCTAGCTACTAGGGAGGTTGAGGTGGGAGGATCACTTGAGCCTGGGAGATTGAGGCTGCAGTGAGCTATGCTTGTACCACTACACTCCAGCCTGGGCAACAGAGCTAGACCTTGTCTCAAAAATAAAAAACAAAACAAAACATGAGTATGTGAGTTATTACACAGATTTCTATATAATATTACTTGACACTTTATTATATGAATAATAATCCACTTTCACCATCAGCAGTATTATGAGTTCTACTTAATTCTAATTGCTGGAATCTAATAAGAGGGGTTTTTTTTGTTTTGTTTTTTCCTCGAGACAGAGTTTTGCTCTTGTCATCCAGGGTGGAGTGCAGTGGCACGATCTCGGCTCACTGCAACCTTCACCTCCCAGGTTCAAGCCTCCCGAGTAGCTGGGATTACAGGCGCCTGCCTCCACACCCAGCTAATTTTTGTATTTTTGGTAGAGACGGGCTTTCACCATGTTGGCCAGGCTGGTGTTGAACTCCTGACCTCAGGTGATCTGCCCACCTTGACCTCCCAAAGTGCTGGGATTACAGGCATGAGCCACCACGCCTAGCCAAGAGTTTTTTAAAACAATGGTTTTGACATTTTTTGATCAGATTTTTACTTCGTAAAAATAGAGTAGACTTTATTAAGCCATTGTCGAAACTGTAAATGGCTTGTGAATCTCACAGGTACCATATTTTTTAAAAAACTTTTTGAGAGAGGGTCTTGCTCTCTTGCCCAGGAGGGAGTGCAGTCTCTACAGCCTTGACCTCCCAGGCTCAGGCTCAAACAATCCTCCCACCTCAGCCTCCTGAGTGGGTGGAACCACAGGTGTTCCCCACTGTGACCTGCTAATTTTTCAATTTTTGGTAGAGATGGGATCTCCCTATGTTTGCCAGGCTGGTCTCAAACTCTTAGGCTAAAGTGATCCTTCCACCTCAGCCTCCCTAAGTGCTGGGATTACAGGTGTGAGCCACCATGCCTGGCCTCATATTCCTTGTATAATAGAACTTTATGAAGCAGATTATGTTGAATCCCATTGAGAAACTTCAGTTACTGAGGACTAACAAAAATTTAAAATTGGAAATTGTAGAACTTACAGGTCCAGTGGAGGGTGGTATTTCTAACAAGGCTCAACTATGTCAAAGAGGAAAAAAAGGTTAAGAAAATAAGTCTTGCGGGGCATGGTGGCTCACGCCTGTAATCCCAGCACTTTGGGAGGCTGAGGTGGGCAGATCACCTGAGGTCAGGAGTTCGAGACCAGCCTGACCAACATGGTGAAACCCCATCTCTACTAAAATACAAAAAAATTAGCTGGGTATAGTGGCGGGCATCTGTAATGTCAGCTACTTGGGAGGCTGAGGTGGGAGAATCACTTGATATCAGAAGGCAGAGGTTGCAGTGAGCCGAGATCGCACCATTGCACTCCAGCCTGGCAACAGAGCAAGACTCTGTCTCAAAAAAAAAAAATGAAAGTAATAGTCTTTTTGAGGTGGTCTTCTAGATAGAATATTATACCTCAGATTCTGCTGAGCTGCTTTTTAAATATTGTTCAATATTTGTCCTTAATTTTTTTGAGAGAAACAGCCTATCTCTTTGAACTTCATCTATTTTCCTATATCTGTCCCTCCATATCCTTTACCATATCCATGTAATTACCAGAAAGGGCAACTATTTTATTTTATTTATCTTTTATTTATTTATTTTTTACAGACATGGCATCTCACTATGTTGTTCAGGCTGGTCTTGAACTCCTGGGATCAAATGATCCTCTTGGCTCCGCCTCCCAAATTCCTAGGATTATAGGCATGAGTCACCATGCTCGGCCTAGTAAATATTTTATTTCATAAGGAGTCTTAAGTTTGTCAGTGAAGGACTTTTTAGATCTTTTGTTGTTAGGCCAAAGACTTTTACTTAAGTCTAAGCTTTTGTTTAAAGGTACTTAAGATTAAATCATTTAAGTTATAAAGCAAAACATTATCATCTTAAATTTCATTTCAATATTATATATATAGTTTATTTTTATTTTTATTTTTTACCATTTTCTGGTTTGTTTTCTTTTGAGATGGATTTTCTCACTTGTTGCCCAGGCTGGAGTGCAATGGCGCGGTCTCAGCTCACTGCAACCTCCACCTCCCGGGTTCAAGTGATTCTTCTGCCTCAGACTCCCGAGTAGCTGGGATTACAGGAGCCCACCACCACACCCAGCTAATTTTTGTATTTTTAGTAGAGACGGGGTTTCACCATGTAGCCAGCTGGTCTCAAACTCCTGACCTCAGGTGATCTGCTTGCCTCGGCCTCCCAAAGTGCTGGGATTGCAGGCATGAGCCACCATGCCTGGCCTACCATTTTCTTATTGTGGTAAAATATACATAACACTTTACTGTTTTTTGTTTGTTTGTTTGTTTTGAGACGGAGTCTCACTCTGTTGCCCAGGCTGTAGTGCAGTGGCGCAGTCTCGGCTCATTGCAACCTCTGCCTCCTGGGGTCAAGTGATTCTCCTGCCTCAGCCTCCCGAGTAGCTGGAATTACAGGTGTGTGCCACCACACCCAGATAATTTTTTTGTACTTTTAGTAGAGACGGGGTTTTTGCCATGTTGGCCAGGCTGGTCTGGAACTCCTGACCTCAGGTGATCTGCCCTCCTCAGCCTCCCAAAGTACTGAGATTACAGACGTGAGCCACTGCACTTGGCCTTGGCCATTTTTAAGTATACAGTTCAGTGGCATTAAATACATATATAATGTACAACCATCACCATATATAGTTTTTAGGCTGAGTTAAGACCCATTACTATAATACAGTTGAATCAAAACTATATATAGGTTTTTGAGGGTTTTTTGGAGGCAGAGTCTCGGTCTGTTCCCCAGGCTGGAGTATGGTGGTGCAATCATGGCTCACTGCAGCCTTAACTCCTCAGGCTCAAGCAATCCTCCCACCCAGCCTCCAGAGTAGCTGGGGCCACAGGCACAAACCAACATGCCTGGCTTATATTTTTTTTAGAGATGGGTTATTGTTATGTTGCCCAAGATTAGTTTTTAAATTGCGTCAAGATTCCTTTTCTCTTTTATTTTTGAGGTGGAGCCTTACTCTCAAAACTAGGGCCATTTTACTGCATTCCAGACTGGATGACAGAATGAGACCCTGTCTCTAAAAAATATTTGAAAAAAAAAAAAAAGACTGCTTTTAAAAAAATACCTTGGTTGCATATGAATTGAGACCTATTTTAGTCTGTAGGTTGTGACCCATTAGCCATAAAATTAGTATATTCTGATCAGTGTTGTATTGATTTTTAGAAATTATTTACTGATATATAATAGTTGTACATATCTTGGGCATACACATTATATTTTGATTCCTGTATACAATATCTAATGATCAAATCAGGGTAATTGGGATTAATCAGCATTTTAAAAGTTAATTAAACAGAATAAAAATTATCAAAGTAGGGCTGGGCATGGTGGCTCACACCTGTAATCCCAGCACTTTGAGAAGCTGAGGTGAGAGGATGGCTTGAACCCAGGAGTTTGAGGTTATGGTGAGCTATGATCGTGCCACTGTAGTACAGCCTGGGCAACAGAATGAAACCTTGTCTCTAAAACATAAAAATAAAAGTTTGACAAAAATGAAACTTTCACAAGTTGTGCTTTGATGGTTTTTTTTCCCCCTTGGGCTCAAGCAATTCTCTCACCTCAGCCTCTAAAGTAGGCAGGACTACAGGCATGGGCCACCATGCCCAGCTAATTATTCTTGTAGAACTTTAAAGTTATGCCTAACTTTTCAATTTGTTATGCAATTTATTTTATTTTATTTTATTTTATTTTATTTTATTTTATTTTATTTTTTTGAGATGGAGTCTTGCTCTGTTGCCCAGGCAGGAGTGCAATGGTGCGATCTCGGCTCACTGCAACTTCCGCCTCCTGGGTTCAAGCGATTGTTGTGGCTCGGCCTCCCAAGTAGCTGAGATTCCAGGTGCCCGCCACCACACCCAGCTAATTTTTGTATTTTTAATAGAGATGGGGTTTCAACATGTTGGCCAGGCTGGTCTTGAATGCCTGACCTCAGGTGATCTGCCCTCCTTGGCCTCCCAAAGTGTTGAGATTACAGGTGTGAGCCACCGCGCCTGGCCTGTTATGCAATTTATTTATTTATTTATTTATTTGAGCCGGAGTTTCACTCTTGTTGCCCAGGCTGGAGTGCAATGGTGTGATCTCCGGCTTGCCGCAACCTCCGCCTCCCAGGTTCAAGCGATTCTCCTGCCTCAGCCTCCCGAGTAGCTGGGATTACGTGCATGTGCCACCACACCCGGCTATGCAATTTAAATAAGAATATAAATTAGTAGTATGATTTAGTTAGCCTGGATTTTTTTTTTATTTTTTATTTTTTTGAGACAGATTCTTGCTATGTTGCCCAGGCTGGAGTGCAGTGGCGTGATCTTGGCTTTCTGCAACCTCCATCTCCTGGGCTCAAGAGATTCCCCTGCCTCAGCCTCCCAGGTAGCTGGGCCTGTAGGTGCCTGCCCCCATGCCTGGCTAACTTTTTGTATTTTTAGTAGAGATGGGGTTTTTACCATGTTGGCCAGGCTTGTCTCAAACTCCTGAGCTCAAGTGATCCATCTACCTCAGCCTCCCTAAAGTGCTGGGATTACAGGCGTGGATGTTTCCTATCCTGGATGTTTTAATTCATTTTATCAGAATTAATTTTGCAATTGAGGGCCGAGCGCAGTGGCTCACGCCTGTAATCCCAGCATTTTGGGAGGCCTAGGCGGGTGGATCACGAGGTCAGGAGATCAAGACCATCCTGGCTAACATGGTGAAACCCTGTCTCTACTAAAAATACACAAAATTAGCCAGGCGTGGTGGCGGGCGCCTGTAGTCCCAGCTACTCGGGAGGCTGAGGCAGGAGAATGGCCTGAACCCAGGAAGCAGAGCTTGCAATGAGCCGAGAGTGATCACGCCACTGCACTCCAGCCTGGGCGACAGAGTGAGACTCCATCTCCAAAAAAAAAAAAAAAAAAAATTGCAATTGAAAACATAAATTTAATAAACTGTTATTAACATTTTGATAGAATATCTTGATGTGGTTTACTGGATATCTGATATCAAAATGGAGTTTTGTAACATCTCTAGTAAATGGCCCTCATTTAATTTTGACAGTGATATATTATAGAAATTTAAACATCCATCTTCTTCTTTGAAATCAGGTTTGGCAGGAAATAAATGTGGAAGCTAAACATGTTAAAGATATCATGAAAACACTAGAGAGCTTTAAACTGGACAGCACTCCCTTGAAAGCGGCACAGCATGACCTTCCAGCTTCTGAGGGAGAAGTCTGGTCCATGCCTGTACCTGTTGAACGAAGGTAAGTGGAAACCTTTTAAGAAACCAGTTATCCCAAGAAGCTTATAGCATTGATTATATTTAGGAGGAGGATGGGGTGGCTGAGAGACAGGAATGGGAGGGAGTTTTCTTTACTGAACGTTCTCTCTTTTATAACTCACTGGTCTTGAACCTTGTGCCTTTTTGACCTATTTCAAAAAATAAGATTTAGGTAGGAATAATTTAAAAATATGCTTTTGTGAATGACCTTACAGTGGTAGAGACAGTGTTATCTTGTGGAAGGAGAATGGGGTTAGGAATTGAAATATCCAAGCTCCGTGTCTGTCTTTGCCACTCTCTGTAGCTTTGGGAAAATAATAAAACCTTTTTAGGCCTCAGATTTTTCTTTTTTTTCTTTTTTTTTTTTTTAGACAGAGTCTCACTCTGTCACGAGGCTGGAGTGCAGTGGCACGATCTCGGCTCGCTGCAATCTCTGCCTCCCGGGTTCAAGTGACTTCCCTGCCTCAGCCTCCTGAGCAGCTGGGACTACAGGCACACACCACCTGTATTTTAGTAGAGACGGGGTTTCACCATGTTGGCCAGGCTGGTCTCGTTCTCCTCACCTCGTGATCCACCTGCCTCAGCCTCCCAAAGTGCTGGGATTACAGGCCTGAGCCACCGTGCCCAGCCAGGCCTCAGATTTTTCTTACGCAAAGAGAGGAAGTTAGACTAACAGTGGTTCTCAAACAGGGATCACAGAATACTTCTTTTCATCAAGCTATAATGAAAAATGGAAAATTTTTCTAAATTTGCTAAAATTGAAAAAATTGGCTTTTTAATTCATAGAGAACAGTAAAAATAAAATGTTCTGAATTTTAGGGTTTTCTCTGGCTTTTTTTCCCCAACTTCCTACTACCAAGTGCCAGCAGATGAACAACTAGTGATACTGATATTTACTGAAATACTGTAACTAGCCAATCATGCATAGTTTTACTGCACATTTTTCAACTGACAAGTGTGCAGGTGGATGTTATCTATTTCACTTACATAATAGATTTCCTAGTTTGTATTATAGATTTAAATATTGACTGTGTCATGCCTTTCTAGAAAGAACACTTATGACTTCCCAGGTTCATTGCCCGTTAACCTTGCATTAAGATGTTGATCAGATTGTTTTCAGTTTTAACATTTTGTCATTGCAACTCTGATTACTTGTGTTTTTTTTTGTTTTTTTTTTGTTTTTTTTGTTTTTTTAAGACTAGTTAAGGGCAGTAGTGAGAAGGAGGGGAAGAATAGAACAAGGAGTTTGATCTGTAACTGACTGTGAACAATCAATTGAGATAACTCACTACATTCGGACCAGCCTTGGTTACATTTTATTTTATTTTATTTATTTGTTTTTTGAGACGGAGTCTCACTCTGTCACCTGGGCTGGAGTGCAGTGGCATGATCTCGGCTCACTGCAACCTCTGCCTCCTGAGTTCAAGCAATTCTCCTGCCTCAACCCCCCAAGTAGCTGGAATTACAGGCACCTGCCATCATGCCCAGCTAATTTTTTGTATTTTTAGTAGAGACAGGGTTTCAACATGTTGGCCAGACTGGTCTCGAACTCCTGACCTCGTGATTCACCCACCTTGGCCTCCTAAAGTGCTGGGATTACAGGCGTGAGCCACCACACCCGGCCTGGTTGTATTTTATAATACAGGTACTGCATTATACACCCACAGTGTCCTGAACTATTTTAGGCTATAGGTGTTATTTTATTGCAATAAGCCTTCCAAATAAGTCATATTTTCCCTGTATTTCAGATAAGACAGCTGAGGTACAATAAGGTTGGGTAACTTTTCCCCACTATCACAAAACTGATAAATGGTAGAGCTAGGATTTGAACCTAGATATATTGTGTTTTATAATAATGATTACAAAGCTGGCACTCTCTGCTGTAGCAGTCCTAACAATCTCTAATTAAAAACGTGGATTTAGGGGCATCACTCCCAGAGAGTCTGATATGGTAGATAGCAGGTAGAACTCAGGAATCTGCCGGTGATTCTGATGTCGGTGGTCCATAGGCCACATTTTGAGAAGACCCATACCATCATGTTCTTGACATTTAAAATCAATTAATGAGTACTGATTATTTCTTAGCCACTTTTATTTTTATTTTTATTTTTTTTGAGACAGAGTCTTGCTCTTTCGCCCAGGCTGGAGTGCAGTGGCGCTATCTCGGCTCACTGCAACCTCCGCCTCCCGGTTCAAGCAATTCTCCTGTCTCTGCCTCCCAAGTAGCTGGAATTACAGGCACGTGCCACCACGCCCGGCTAATTTTTGTATTTTTAGTAGAGACGGGGTTTCACCGTGTTGGCCAGGCTGGTCTTGAACTCCTGACCTCAGGTGATCCACTCGCCTTGGCCTCCCAAAATGTTGGGATTATAGGCGTGAGCCACCGCACCCAGCCGCAACTTTTATTTTCTTAATCTCCACATAAAAGGACTGTACTAATGTTCTGTTACTGACTCCTGATATCCTTTGGATATTTACTAAATTTTTCCCTTGCCTCATACGCACTTTCACATAATTACATTTCTTGTTATAGTACATAATAGTTCACTAAAGCACAGTAGCTCATTAAAGAAAAATAGAAAAATTCATTGAAGTAGGGGGAAAATCACATAGTCATCCTAGCTTGTTTCCTTCTGTTCTTTTATGCATTATTTTCATAGTTGCAGGTGTGCTATATCCATAATTTACAACATTGTACCCTCTTTTAAGAAAAATCCTAATAATAGTCAACAATCATTGCATATTACTGTGTGCCAGGTACTGTGTTTGTTGTTTTACATGTATTATTTAATTCTCAAAACCACCTTAGAAGGTAGGTACTAATTTTTTTAGCCCCAATTTCTGATGAGGATAAGCTAAGATAGGTTAAGTAATTTGCTCTTCATATTTTAAACATTTATGATTTATATACCATGTCAGATCTTTTTCTCTGCAGTTTTTTAAGAGTTATTTGCCACTGTTCTGACTGGTATGTAACCTATATATAGTTAACCATGCTCTTAATGTTTTTTCCCTTCTTTTTTCATTATTATAAATAAAGTTGCACTGAATGGTTGTAAAAATTTTTCCACATTTATAATTTTTTCCCCTAATTTCAGAAGTAGAACTAATAGATGAGTCAAGTTGTGTTTTTGCTTTTGTCTGTTAATTTGTTTTATTCTTATTTACTTGCTCTTTTCTCCTTCTGGAGAATCATCACTTGGGTCTTGTATTAGTCTGCTTGGGCTACCACAATAAAATACCATACACTGGGTGGCTTAAACAACATACATTTGTTTCTCACACTTCTGGAGGCCGGGAAGTCCAAGATCAAGATGTGGCCAATTTGGTTCCAGGTGAGGGCTCTCTTCCTGAGCAGACAGCCACCTTCTGTCTGTGTGCTCACATGACAGAGAGAGTGAGTAAGCTCTTTCACATCAGGGACTCTTACTTACTTCCTTACTCCTAATATTCATATTGCGCACTGGGGCTTTAACATATGAACTTTGGGGAGGACACAAACATTCAGCCTCTAACAGTCCTGTAACTCCTCTCAGTTATTGGTAAGATCTTTCCAACAAATAGATGTTCCCAGTGGGAAATCAGTTGATTCTGAATTTAATGAAGTATTTGGTCACCTCAGTCTCACAAGCAGAGAGGGAGGATTTCCTCTGAGGGGTGGTGGGAAGTTAAGCCCTAAATGGTGTTCCTTCTTATTGCTTCTCGCTTTCTTCTGTATCGTTTTCTGTTCCTGATTTTGAATGCTCTAGATTACTGGTAAGTTTTCCTCTTTGACTTTATTTGTGGCATCTGTTTCTTCCTATAATTTATTTTACTTGCTCTCTTAACTGGGCATCTTTTAATATTCTTTTTATTTTTCTATTAGTCTTTATTTGTACTCATGCTTAAGAGGGTCATTCTTTTTTTTTTCTTTTTTTTTTTTGAGATGGAGTCTCGCTCTGTTGCCCAGGCTGGAGTGCAGTGGCACAATCTCAGCTCACTGCAACCTCTGCCTCCCAGGTTCAAGCAATTCTCCTGCCTCAGCCTCCCATGTAGCTGGGACTACAGGTGTGTGCCACCATGCCCGGCTAATTTTTGTATTATTAGTAGAGACGGGGTTTCACCTTGTTGGCCAAGCTGATCTCGAACTCCTGACCTCGTGATCCACCTGCCTTGGCCTCCCAAAGTGCTGGGATTACAGGCGTGAGCCTATGCTCCCGGCCGAGAGTCATTCTTTCTTCACCTATGTTGGTGATCCTAACCTTATGATCAGCTAAATTTTAGTACCATTAAAGAACAGATTCAACTGATCCAGTATTCTCTTCTAGAATTGTACACAAAAAATGTGAGTACAGGCCAGGCACGGTGGCTCACGCCTGTAATCCCAGCACTTTGGGAGGTCGAGGCGGGCGGATGCCAAGGTCGGGAGTTCGAAACCATTCTGCCTAACACAGTGAAACCCCGTCTCTACTAAAAATACAAAAAAAAAAAAAAAAAATTAGCCGGGCATGGTGACAGGCACCTGTAGTCCCAGCTACTCTGGAGGCTGAGGCAGGAGAATGGCGTGAACCCAGGAGGCGGAGCTTGCAGTGAGCCGAGATGGCGCCACTGCACTCCAGCCTGGGCGACAGACACTCCGTTTCAAAAAAAAAAAATGTGAGTACAAGGAGGTTCATTAAAGCCTTATATAGAAAAGGTTAGACATAGCTTAAATGCCACTAGATGTGACATTCTTTTCAAATGTCAGCTGATGTCCCTCAAATATCTTCCCATCTCACAGAATAAAACCCAGAGTTTTCATGTCTTTCAAGCCCTATGAGACCTGGTTCCCCACAGCCTCTGGAACCTAAGTTCTTACAGCTCTCTCCCTCAGGCACTGTGCTGTGGCCTTGAACAAGCCCAGCCCACAAATGCTTCACTCCTTTCACCTGCCTTTCCCTCAGCTCCAGTGCTGAATGACCTGTTCCCTTCTTTCATTTAGGTCTCTACTCAGTTGTCACCTCAGAAAGTCTGTCTCTGACTTTGCCACCTAAAAACCACCCCTGATGATCCTGTAGCCCCTTTCCCTTCTCTTTTTTTTTGAGACAGAGTCTCACTCTGTCACCCAGGCTGGAATGCAATAGTGCATCTCAGCTCACTGTAGCCTCCACCTCCTGGGTCCAGGCAATTCTAATGCCTCAGCTTCCTGAGTAGCTGGAATAATTACCCAACAATTTTTTTTTTTTTTTTTTTTTTGAGATGGAGTCTCACTCTGTCGTCCAGGCTGGAATGCAGTGGTGTAATCTTGGCTTACTGCAGCCTCCCAAGTAGCTGGGATTACAGGCATGCACCACCACGCCCAGCTAATTTTTTTGTATTTTTAGTAGACAGGGTTTCGCCATATTTGCCAGGCTAGTCTCGAACTCCTGACTTCAAGTGATCTGTCCGCCTGGTCTTGAACTCCTGACCTCAAGTGATCCACCTGCCTTGGCCTCCCAAAGTACTGGGATCACATGTGTGAGCCACCACGGCCAGCCAAATTTTTGTATTTTTAGTAGAGATGGGGTTTCTCCATGTTGGCCAGACGGGTTTCAAACTCCTGACCTCAAATGATCCACCTGCCTCAGCCTCAAAGTGCTGGGATTACAGGCATGAGCCACCATGCCTGGCCCCCTTCTTTATTCTTCTTGATAGCACTTAATATTACCTGATGTACTGTTTCATGCACTGCTTATACACACACACGTATGTAAGTCTATGACAGTAAGGGTTGTTGTTGAAATTATTATTATTATTTTTTAAGATGGAGTCTCACTCTGTTGCCCAGGCTGGAGTGCAGTGGCATGACCTCAGCTCACTGCAACCTCCGCCTCCCGGGTTCAAGCGATTCTTCCGCCTCAGCTTTCCAAGTAACTGGGATTATAGGCGCCTGCCACCAGGCCAGGCTAATTTTTGTATTTTTAGTAGAGACGGGGTTTTACCATGTTGGCCAGGCTGTTCTCGAACTCCTGACCTCAGGTGATCCACCTGCCTCAGCCTCCCAAAGTGCTGAGATTACAGGCGTGAGCCACTGCGTCCAGCCAGATGGTGTATATTTGCACATACCCTGCACACATCCTCCTGTATGCTTTAAATCATATTTAGATTACTTGTAACACCTAATACAATGTTATATGTAACATTGTATGTAAAAGTAAATGTTGGCCGGGCGCGGTGGCTCACGCCTGTAATCCCAGCACTTTGGGAGGCCGAGGCGGGCGGATCACGAGGTCAGGAGATCGAGACCACGGTGAAACCCCGTCTCTACTAAAAATACAAAAAATTAGCCGGGCGCAGTGGCGGGCGCCTGTAGTCCCAGCTACTCGGGAGGCTGAGGCAGGAGAATGGCGTGAACCCGGAAGGCGGAGCTTGCAGTGAGCGGAGATCGCGCCACAGCACTCCCGCCTGGGCGACAGAACGAGACTCCGTCTCAAAAAAAAAAAAAAAAAAAAGTAAATGTTATATAAATAGTTGTTTCACTATATTATATAGAGAGTAATGACAAAAAAAGGTTTGTACATGTTCAGTACCGACTCAACCATCTTTATTTTCAAAATATTTTTCATTGGCAATTGGTCGACTCCACATTGTGGAATCTGCAGATATGGAAGGCCAACTATACTTTATTATATGTCAGTGTCTATTTTGTATTATTTCTCTAGCAAAGGGAAAAATACATACACAGAAATACTTCCTGAATCCAAAATTGAACCCCCATCATTGCTTCACATACACGTTAGTTTGGTGTTATCATCCTCCCAAATTCTCATTCTCAACTTTCCACATCTGGGAGTGTCTTTTTTTTTTTTTTGAGATGGAGTCTCGCTCTGTCACCCAGGCTGGAGTGCAGTGGCGTGAGCTCGGCTCACTGCAACCTCTGCCTCCTGGGTTCAAGCGATTTTCATGCCTCAGCCTCCCAAGTAGCTGAGATTACAGGTCCACAGCACCATGCCCATCTAATTTTTGTATTTTTAGTAGAGACGGGGTTTCGCCATGTTGGCCAGGCTGGTCTTGAACTCCTGACCTCAGGTGATCCACCTGCCTCGGCCTCCCACAGTACTGGAATTACAGGCGTGAGCCACCGCACCCAGCCTAGGAGTATCTTTTCTTTCTTTTTGAGACAGTCGTGGTCTGTTTCCCAGGCTGGAGTGCAGTGGTGCAATCTCGGCTGACTGCAACCTCTGCCTCCTGGGTTCAAGTGATTCTTTTGCCTCAGCCTCCTGAGTAGCTGGGATTACCAGTGCGTGCCACCACACCCAGCTAATTTTTTGTATTTTTAGTAGAGATGGAGTTTTGCTATGTTGGCCAGGCTGGTCTCGAACTCCTGGCCTCACATGATCTACCCACTTCAGCCTCCCAAATTGCTGGGATTGTGAGCCACCGTGCCCGGCCTGAAGTGTCTTTACTACTAGAGTGTCTCTGAGACTCTTCTCATTGTTACTCCCTTAAACTAGGCCCTCATCTCATGTCTCAGTGATATTTGTAATCACAAACATCTCACTGCTTTCTGTGTTTTCTTTATCAGTATATCATGTTCAGTATTAGACTAATCTTTCTAAAATGTTTTCAGTGGATCCTTGTTGGCAGTTAGCTAAAAGCTAAGCCTCTTGAACTGGTATTCATATCTTCTATGGACCGAACCATTTCTGCTCAGTATTATCACTTAATGTTCAGCATTATGTGTTAGACTGGTGTCTTTATTATCCTTTACATGGATTAAGCTCATTTTTGTTTCTTTGCTTTTCTTTACTGATGTTCTGTCTATAATTGTACCCTCTTGTTTAGTTCAACTCCTGCATTTCCAGTCCCAGTTTCTTTTCTGTCTTCATGAGGCCATTCCCATTGCCATGGTGCTAGGTCTGTTTCACACCATCTAGTATACGTGCCTAGCTTTACATAGCTTCTGTCTGTTTAACTATACTGTGGTTTATTTGAGAATAGGACTCCTTTTTTGTTTGTTTGTTTTCCCCCTTGTAAATGGCTGCAACCAAATCTGGGAGCAGAGTAGGAGCCTAACAGATATTTGAGAAGTCTGAATTCTGTTATAGAAATAAGGATGAAATGAGGACCAACACAGGGGCTCACGCCTGTAGTCCCAGCTCTTTGGGAGGCCAAGGTGGGAGGATCGATTGAGCCCAGGGGTTTGATACTAGCCTAGGCAACATAGTGAGACCTTGTCTCTACAAAATACAAAAATTAGCCTTGTGTGGTGCCATGTGGCTGTAGTCCTTGCTACTCGGGAGGCTGAGGTGGGAGGATTGCTTGAGCTTGGGAGGTCAAGGCTGCAGTGACAGAGCAAGACCTTGTCTCAAAAAATAATAATAATAAAAAATAAATACATAAAGGTGAAATGAGGTGATGTATGTAAATGTAAAGCACTGAACATGAGTTCTAGTAACTGTTCATAGCTAGTGCTATATCAGTTTTTTAAATGGGAAAATGATTAAATTTTATTAATTAAAACACAAAAATTATGGTATAGATTGAGCTTCCCTGATCCGAAAATTCAAAGTGTTTCAAAAACTGAAACTTTTTGAGCACCAACATGACACTCAAAGGTCATGCCAAAGGAAGTGCTCATTGGGACATTTTAGATTGTGGATTTTCAGATTAGAGATGCTCAGCTGGTATGTATATGGAAATATTCCAAAATCTGAAAAAATCCAAAATTCAAAACACTTCTGGTCCCCAGAATTTTGAATAAGGGTTACTCAATCTGTATATTCTAAATAAATGGTACCAAATTACATACATACCATTGGATAAATGTGAATTGAATACTTGTATTGTATTCTGGTTGTCTCGATAAAACTCTCTTCTCTGATAATTTTTTTTCAGTTTCCAACAATCAGATGCATTCATCTTTGATATACAACAATTTCCTTTCTAAGTAGAGGTGACCATTACTTCCCCTCCATTATTTCTGTAATATAACTATACTGCATTCCTTTAATTAAATCACCAACAGATATATCAGATTTAAATTTTATTTTATTTTTATTTTTTTGAAACGGAGTCTCGTTCTGTTGCCCAGGATAGAGTACAGTGGCATGATCTTGGCTCACTCCAGTCTCCACCTCCCAGGTTCAAACGATTGTCCTGCTTCAGCCTCCCGAGTGGCTGGGATTACAGGTGCACACCACCACGCCTGGCTAATTTTTTGTATTTTTAGTAGAGACGGGGTATCAACATGTTGGCCAGGCTGGTCTTGAACTCCTGACCTCAAGTGATCCACCCACCTTGGCCTCCCAAAATGCTAGGGTTGCAGGTGTGAGCCACCGCGCCTTGCCCAGATTTAAATTTTAGATCTTAGGTTTCAACATCCTGAAGTTTATTCAGTCGTGTCTTGTGTTCAGTTGTTGCATTGGCTTCTTTAGTTCATAGACTCTTAACTTACACAGTATGTGTGTTCATCCATATGTGGAGTTGATTATGATATTAATGAGTTTTTGTTTGATTAGACCCTCACCAGGACCTAGAAAACGCCAATCTTCTCAGTACAGTGACCCTAAATCACATGGTAATCGTCCAAGTACAACTGTCAGAGTTCACCGTTCATCTGCACAGAATGTTCACAATGACAGAGGGAAAGCTGTTCGTTGTCGTGAAAAGAAAGAACAGAATAAAGGAAGAGAGGAAAAGGTAAATGTTAATTGATTTTTATAAATGAAAGTTATTTTTGAACCGTAAAAATGAAGACTGTACAAATTTATTTATTTTTTCTTTTTTTCCTTTTTTGAGACAGTCTCACTCTGTCACCCAGGCTGGGGTGCAGTGGCATGATCTTGGCTCACTGCAACTTCCACCTCCTGGGTTCAAGCAATTCTCATACCTCAGCCTTCCGAGTGGCAGGGATTACAAGTGGGCGCCACCACATCGAGCTAATTTTGTATTATTAGTAAAGATGGGGCTTCAGCAAGTTGGCCAGGCTAGTCTCGAACTCTTTACCTCAGGTTATCTGCGCGCCCCACCCCCCGCCCCCCTGCCAGGCCTCCCAAGGTGCTGGGATTACAGGTGTGAGCCATTGTGCCCAGCCCAAATTTCAATAAGCTGTAGTCATCAGTTTGCCAGCGCTCTAATAAAACCTTAGTTATACTACATCTAGGCTGGGATTTTCCCCACTTGCAATTCAACAAATATTTTGGCTTTTTTTGGTAACTTTATATTGTGATATAATTTCAGACTAGCAGACAATTTGCAGGAATGGTATAAGGAACTTCCATATATACTTTACCTAGTTTTACCAATTATTAATATTATGCCCCTTTTGACTTATCATTTTATTTTTCTGTATACCCTTTTCCTGAACCATTTGAGACTAAGTTGTATATATAATGCTCCTTTAACCTTCAATATTTCAGAATGTATATCCTGAGTACTAAGACATTCTTTTACGTAAAAACAACACAATTATTGGCTAACACAGTGAAACCCCATCTCTACTAAAAATTAGCCGTGGTGGCGGGCGCCTGTAGTCCCAGCTACTCAGGAGGCTGAGGCAGGAGAATGGCGTGAACCCGAGAGGCGGAGCTTGCAGTGAGCCGAGACCGCGCCACCGCACTCCAGCCTGGGCGACAGAGCGAGACTCCGTCTTGAGGAAAAAAAAAAAAAACAAAAAAAACACAGTTATCAAAAGCTGTAAATTTTACATTGTTATAGTACTGTTCATCTAATCCACAGACCTTTATAAAATTTTGCCAATTATCCCAATAATGTCATATAGAGATTTCCCCCCTTCTGTCCCCGCTAGGTCAGATTACAATGTAGAAGGACACATCGAATTTAGTTATCATGTTTCTTTAGCCCCTTTTAATACAAACATCTCAGCTTTTGCCTTTCTCGGACTGGAATTTTTGAAGAATTCAGGCCAGTTATTTTGTGGAATATTCCTCAGTTTGGGCTTGCCTGATACTTCCTCAGGATTAGATTAAGATTATTCATTTTTTTTTTTTGGCCGGGCATGGTGGCTCATGCCTGTAATCCCAGCACTTTGGGAGGCTGAGGCGGGTGAATCACTTGAGGCCAGGAGCTCTAGACTAGCCTGGCCAACATGGTGAAACCCTGTCTCTACTAAAAATACAAAAATTAGCCGGACATGTTGGCAGGCACCTATAATCCCAGCTACTGGGGAGGCTGAGGCCAGAGAATCACTTGAACCCGGGAGGCGGAGGTTGCAGTGAGCTGAGATCACACCACTGCAGTCTAGCCTGACCAACAGAGCGAGACTCAGTCTCAAAAAAAAAAAAAATTATTCATTTTTGGCAGGCATACCATTGGTATGATGGTTTTTTTCTCTCAGTGTATCATATAAGAAGGCACAGGGCCGGGCGCGGTGGCTCACGCCTGTAATCCCAGCACTTTGGGAGGCCGAGTTGGGCGGATCACGAGGTCAGGAGATCGAGACCATCCTGGCTAACACGGTGAATCCCCGTCTCTACTAAAAATACAAAAAAATTAGCCAGGCGAGGTGGCAGGCGCCTGTAGTCCCAGCTACTGGGGAGGCTGAGGCAGGACAATGGCTTGAACCCGGGAGGTGGAGCTTGCAGTGACCTAAGATCGCGCCACTGCACTCCAGCCTGGGAGACTGAGTGAGACTCCATCTCAAAAAAAAAAAAAAAAAAGAAGGCATAGGATTTCTGTTTGTCCTATTACTGGTGATAAGTTGGATCGCTTGGTTAGGTGGTGTCTGCTTGGTCTCTCCACAATAAACTTACCATTTGACCCTTGTAATAATTTGTGGGAAGTACTTTGAGACTATGTAAATACTCTGTTTCTCATCAATATCTCATCTGCTAGTTTTAGCACCCAGTGATTCTTGTCTGAATCAGCTATTTCTGCACTGACTGCAAAATCATAATTTTCTAATGCCAGTGTTGCTTCTATATTAATTATAAAAGCTGAGTGTAGATGTTGCTTTGGTTTTTAAAAATTTTTGTTTGTTATTTTTAATTTGACACATAATAATCATACATATTTATGGGGTACACTGTGATAATTCAATACACATATACAATGGGTAATGATCAAATCAGAGTAATTAACATATCCATCACCTCAAACATTTATCATTTCTTTGTGTTGGGAATATTCAAAATCTGTTCTTCTAGTTATTTGAAAATGTACCATAAGTTGTTTTTAATTACAGTCACCTGGCTGGGCATGTTGGCTCACTCCTGTAATCCCATCACTTTGGGAGGCCAAGGCGGGCAGATCACTTGAGGTCAGGAGTTCGAGACCAGCCTGGCCAGCATGGTGAAACACTGTCTCTACTAAAAATACAAAAAAAATTAGCCGGGGTGGTGGCACACACCTGTAATCCCAGCTACTTGGGAGGTTGATGCAGGAGGATTGCTTGAGCCTGGGAGGCGGAGTGAGCCAAGATCGCGCCACTGCACTCCAGCCTGGGAGACAAAGTGAGACTCTGTCTCAAAAAAATTAAAAAATAATAGTCATTACAGTCACCCTATAGCACTATAGAACACTAGAATTCATTCCACCTATCTGGCTGTACTTTTGTATTTGTTAACCAATGTCTGATACACCCACCTTCCCCTACCCATCCCAGCCTCTAGTAACCATTATTGTACTCTGTACGTCTATGAGATCAACTTTTTTAGCTTCGTCATGAGTGAGAACATGTGTTATTTATCTTTCTGTGCCTGCCTTATTTCTCTGAACATGATATCCTCCAAACTCATCCATGTTGCCATGAATGACAGAATTTCATTCTTTTTTGTGGTTACGTAGTATTTCACCATATATATGTATGTATGTATGTATGTATATGCATGCCACAGTTTCTTTATTCATTCATCTGTCGATAGGAACTTAGGTTGATTCCATGTCTTGGCTATTGTGAATAGTGTTTATAATAGTATGGCGGTTCCTTAAAAAACAAAAACTAGAACTACCATATAATCTAGCAATCCTGATTCTGGGTATATCCAAAGGAAGGGAAATGAATATGTCAGACATATCTGCACTCCTATGTTCATTAATCCTATTCCTCCCATGAGGAACCTCCATACTGTTCATAGTGGCTATATCATCTTACATTTCCAAGAACTTTGTATATGAATTCTTTCTCTAAATCCTCACCAGCATTTGTTAGTTTTTGTCTTTTTTTTTTTTGTGGAGACAGTCTCACTCTGTTGCCCAGGCTGGAGTGCAGTGGCATCATCTTGGCTAACTACAACCTCCGCCTCTCAGGTTCAAGCAGTTCTCATGCCTCAGCCTCCTGAGTAGCTGCAACTACAGGCACACGCTACCACGCCTAGCTAATTTTTTGTATTTTAGTAGAGACGGGGTTTCACCATGTTGCCCAGTCTGGTCTCGAACCCCTGAGCTCAGGCAGTCCACCTGCCTCAGCCTCCCAGAGTGCTGTGATTACAGGTGTGAGCCACCACGCCCAGCAGTTTTTGTCTTTTTGCTTACACCCATCCTAATTAGGGCAAGATGGTATCTCATGGTGGTTTTGATTTGCAATTCCCTGATGATTAGTGACATTGAGGATTTTTTTTTCATATGCCTCTTGACCATTTATATGTCTTCTTTTGAGAGATGTCTATTCCAATTCATTTACCCATTTTTTAATTGGATTATTTGTGGGGGGTTTTTTGCTCTTGTTTGAGTTCTTTGTATATTCTGGATATTAATCCCTTGTCAGATGAATAGTTTGCAAATATTTTCTCCCATTCTACAGGTTGCCTCTTTATTCTTTTAATTGTTGCCTTTACTGTGCAGAAGCATTTTAGTTTTATATAATCACATTTGTTTAGTTTTGCTTTTGTTGCCTGTGCTTTTGAGGTCTTCCTAAAATCTTGGCCCAGACCAATGTCCTGAAGCATTTCTCCTACATCATCTTCTAATAATTTCATAGTTTCAGGTGTAAACGTTTATATCTTTAATTTATTTTGAGTTGGTTTTATATATGGTGAGAGTTAGGGGGTCTAGCTCCTTATTTCTGCAAATGGATATCTAGTTTTCTCAGCACCACTTATTAAAAACACTGCACTTGCTCCAGTGTATGTTCTTGGTGCTTTTGTTGAAAATCAGTTGACTGTAAATACATGGATTTCCGGATTCTCTATTCTGTTCCATTGGTCTGTATGTCTGTTTTTATGCCAGTACCATGCTGTTTTGGTTACTAGAGCATTGCAGTTTAGGGTCAAGTAGTGTGATGTCTCCAACTTTGTTCCTTTTGCTCAGGATCTCTTTGGAGTCTTTTGTGGTTCTCCTTTTCTATTTCTTTTTTTTATTTTTTTTTTGAGACGAAGTCTCGCTCTATCACCCAGTCTGGAGTGCAGTGGCAGGATCTCGGCTCACTGCAACCTCCACCTCCCGGATTCAAGCAATTGTCTCTGCTCAGCCTCCTGAGTAGCTGGAGTTATAGGTGCCCACTACCATGCCCGGCTAATTTTTCTATTTTTAGTAGAGACGGGGTTTCACCATGTTGGCCAGGCTGGTCTTGAACTCCTGACCTCAGGTGATCCGCCCGTCTCAACCTCCCAAAGTGCTGGGATTACAGGAGTGAGCCACTGTGCCCAACCAATTTTTTTTCTTTCTTTCTTTTTCCTTTTTTTTTTTTTTCTGAGATGGAGTCTTGCTCTGTCACCAGGCTGGAGTGCAGTGGTGCGATCTCAGCTCACTGCAACCTCCGCCTCCCAGGTTCAAGCGATCCTCCTGCCTCAGCCTGCCGAGTAGCTGGGACTACAGGCATGTGCCACCATGCCCAGCTAATTTTATATATATATATTTATTTATTTATTTATTTTATTATTTATTTATTTATTTATTTATTTATTTTTGGAGACAAGAGTTTCACTCTGTCACCCTGGCTGGAGTGCAGTGGCACGATCTTGGCTCACTGCAACCTCCACCTCTCAGGTTCAAGCGATTCTCCTGCCTCAGACTCCCAAGTAGCTGAGACTACAGGCGCAGGCCACCATGCCCAGCTAATTTTTGTGTTTTTTAGTAGAGACGGGGTTTCACCATATTGGTCAGGCTGGTTTCGAACTCCTGACCTTAGGTGATCCACCTGCCTCGGCCTCCCAAAGTGCTGGGATTACAGGCGTGAGCCACCTCGTCTGGCAATATTTTGTATTTGTAGTGGAGACAGGGTTTCACCATGTTGATCAGGATAGTCTCGATCTCTTGACCTCGTGATCCGCCCGCCTCGGCCTCCCAAAGTGTTGGGATTACAGGCGTGAGCCACTGCGCCTGGCCAGTGTTTTATAGTTTTTAGCACATGTCATATATATGTCTTGTTAGCTTTTATACCTAAGTATTTCATTTTTGTAATGATTGTAAACAGTGATGTATTTTTAATTTCAGTCTGTATGTTAATTGTTAAGCTATAGAAATTCAACTGAGTTTTAAAAATTATTTATTTTTTAAAAGTTGTGGCAAAATATACATAACATAAAATTTACCATTTAAAATATTTCAAGTGTGCAGTTCAGTGGTATTAAGTAGTACATTCACATGTTCCACTAGTTGTGGAATCATCACTACTGTCTATCCACAGAACATTATTTATTTTTCAGAACTGAAACACTACACCCATTAAAGTCATCATTCTTATCATTCTCCCCTTCATCCCAGACCTTGGTAACCACCATTCTGTTTCTCTATGAATTTGACTATTCGAGGTACCTCATCTGAGTGGAATCATACAGTATTTTCCCTTTTGTGACTTACTTGTTTTACTTAGCATAGTGTTTTAGGGATTTTGCCATGTTGTAGTATGTCAAAATTTCCTTCCTCTTTAAGGCTGAGTGCTATTCCATTGCATATATATTTCATGCTTTGTTTATCATTCATTTGTTGATGTACACTTGGGTTGCTGTCACTGTTTGGCTTTTGTGAATAATGCTGCTTTGAATATGAGTGCACAGATATTTCTCCAAGACCCTGCTTTTAAGATTTTTGGATATATACAAGAAGTGGATTTGCTGGGTCATATGGTAATTCCATTTTTAATTTTTTTTTTAAGACAGAGTCTTGCTCTGTTTCCCAGGCTGGAGTGCAATGGCGCGATCTTGGCTCACCGCACCCTCCGCTTACCGGGTTCAAGTGATTCTCCTGCCTCAGCCTCCCAAGTGTCTGGGATTACAGGCACCCGCCACCAGGCCCGACTAATTTTTTTAGTAGAGATGGGGTTTCACCATGTTGGCCAGGCTGGTCTTGAACTCTTGACCTCAGATGATCTGCCCGCCTTGGCCTCCAAAAGTGCTGGGATTACAGGCATAAGCCACTGCATCCGGCCTCATTTTTAATTTTTTGAAGAATGACAAAACTGTTTTCCACAGTGGCTGCACCATTTTATATTCCTACCAGGATTACAGTTTCTCTACATCCTCATCAATGCTTGTTATTTTCGGGTTTCTTTGATAATAACCATGTAATTGGGTGTGAAGTAGTATCTCATTGTGGTATTGATTTGCATTTTCCCAATCATATAGTTGACATTTTTCCCAATAATATAGTTGACTTTTTTGCATATAGTAAAATGCACATAACATAAAATTTACCATTTTAACGGTTTTTAAGTGTACGGTGCAGTTGTACTAAGCGTATCAACATTGCTATGCAGCCATCACAACCATTCATTTTCAGATCTCTTCATCTTGCAAAGCTGAAACTCTGTACTCATTAAACAATAACTCACCATTCACCCTCCCTGCAGCCCCTGGCAACCACCATTCTACCTCCTCTCTCTGTGAATTCGGCTACTTATGTAAGTGGATCATATGGCATTTGTCTTTTTGTGACAGGCTTATTTATAGCCGTCCCTGCTATCTTTAGGTTACTGTTTGTGTGGAGTATCTTTTTTCATTCTTGCACTTTTAACCTATTTGTGTGTCTAGATCTAAAGTGTCTCTTGTAGACAACATATAATTGGTTCATGTTTTTTTATTTTAAAATTTATTTTATTAATTAATTTTAGAGACAGGGTCTGACTGTGTTGCCCAGGCTGGAGTACAGTAAATATTCACAGTGTACTATATCATAATGCACTAAAGCCTCAAACTCCTGAGTTCCAGTGATCCGCGCCCCTACCCAGCCTCCCAGGTAGTTGAGACTATAGGTGCACACCCTGTCAGTTTTTTGTCCGTTCTGCCAGTTTGTCTTTTGATGGGAGGGTTTAATCCATTTAAGCCAATTACTGATAAGGAGGGACTTCTGTTATTTCAGTCTTTATATGCCTATCTGTCTTTTTCCTTAATTTTCTACATTACTCGCCGGGGATGGTGCTCATGCCTGTAATCCTAGCACTTTGGGAGGCCAAGACAGGCAGATTGCCTGAGCTCAGGAGTTCGAGACCAGCATGGACAAGATGGTGAAAGCCCGTTTCTACTAAAATACAAAAAATCAGCCAGGCATGGTGGCGGGCACCTGTAATCCCAGCTACTCAGGAGGCCGAGGCATGAGAATCTCTTGAACCCGGGAGGCAGAGGTTGCAGTGAGCCAAGATTGCACCATTGCACCCCCAGCCTGGACGACAGAGCAAAACTCCATCTCAAAAAAAAAAAAAATCAAAACAAAAAAATAATTTTCTACATTACTGTCTTCTTTTGTGTTTAGTTGTTTTTTTTTTTTTTTTTTTTTTTGAGACAGAGTCTTGCTCTGTCACCCAGCCTGGAGTGCAGTGACACAATCTCAGCTTACTGCGACCTCAGCCTCCCAGGTTCAAGCGATTCTCTTGCATCAGCCTCCTGCATAGCTGGAATTACAGATGTGTGTCACCACACCTGGCTAATTTTTGTATTTTTAGTAGAGACGGTTTCACCATGTTGGTCAGGCTGGTCTCGAACTCTTGACCTCAAGTGATCCACCCGCCTCACCTCCCAAAGTATTGGGATTACAGGCGTGAGCCACTGCGCTAGGCCATTTAGTTGAGTTTTTGCAGTGAAATGTTTTAATTCCCTTCTCATTTTCTTTTGTGTATATTTGTATATTTTATAGCTGTTTTCTTTGTGGTCTCCATGTTTCTCAGGCTGGTATATGGTGGCAGGATCGTAGCTACTTGTAGACTCAAGTTTCTGGGCTCAAGCAGTCCTCCCACCTTAGCTTCCTGAGTAGCTGGGACTACAGGTGTACACCTCCAAGCTTGGCTGATGTTTTCATCTTTTTTGTAGAGACAGGGTCTCACTGCATTGCCCAGGCTTGTCTCAAATCCTGGCCTTAAGCAATCCTTGCATTTCAGCGTCTCAAAATACTGGGATTACAAGCATGAGCCAACCATGTGTGACTCACAGAGACTTTAAAAATTCCCGTGTGTGGTTACTTTTGAATTTCCTAGACTTTAAATGTCTATTTCCCCAAAAGGGAAAAAAGAGAAAAATGAAGGGGATGGGGGAAATAAAAGGTCGGTGGCCCTTTAACTCTCCTGAAGTTGCTTCAGCCTGAAGGGGAAGGGCTTGCAACAATGGGAGGAGGGGTGCAACCATAGCTGCCCCTGTGACTGCAAGGTCAGAAGCTGCATTCGGCAATCAAAACACACATACCTAGTTTTTGGAGGACAGGGTCCTTTTTGACCATCCTGGCTCCTGTGAACTGCCTGCAGACTACTCCAGGAGCACGTGTACAGTTGCCTACTAAGGGCCTACGGGCTGAGTTGTTTATTCCATTTTGTGCTGCTATCACAGAATACCACAGACTGGGTAATCTATAAAGAACAGGATTTTTTTCCCTCACAGTTCTGGAGGTTAGGAAGTCCAAGATCAGGGTGCTGGCATGTTCAGTTGTTTGGTGAGGGCTGCATCCTCTGGAGTAGAGGAACACTTTGTTCTCACATGGCTGAAGGAATAAGAGCAGGAAATCCAAATGCTGTGTGATACCTCTTTGTAAGGGCCTTAATCCCATTCATGAGGAAGGAACCCTTGTGGCATAATCCCCTCTCAAAGGCCCAACTTTTAATACTAGCACATTAGCTACTGAGTTTCAACACCTTGCTTTTGGAGGGACACATTAAAACCATAGCAGTAGCTGGGCTGAAATTAACCAGAATTAACCATAATTTGTCATTTACTATCCAGGTTTCCCCCTGGAAGTTGCAGTCCTCCCAATAGACTCCAGAGTTCCTAAATAGTTGCATCAAACAGATTCTGCAGGTGCAGTTTTTGTTTAGGTGGAAATACAGATTCTTGATGCTTCCTACTCTGTCAGTCTTCCACGATCCTGTCCCAATAATTGATTTTTATATGTTTATCTTCTATCTTGTCAGCTTAATACTATGCTAGAATTGTTCATTCTAGGAGAATTTTTGTAGATTCCTTAGTATTTTCTGTGTGGACAATTATGTTATCTGCAAATATTTCTGTATTTTTGGATTTCTATGCCTTTTATTTCCTCTTCTTACCTTATTGCATTGGCTAGAACTTCCAGTACTATGTCAAATATTTAAGAGTGACAAAGTAGATGTCCTTGCTGTGTTCCTGTTCCTGATTTTAGGAGGAAAGAATTCAATGTTTCATCACAGAGAGTATAATGTTAGCTGTAGGTGAGGTGTTTTTGTAGATGTTCTTTTTTTTTTTTTTTTTTTTTTTTTTTTTTTTTTTTTTGAGACAGAGTCTCGCTCTGTTGCCCAGGCTGGAGTGCAGTGGCGTGATCCCCACTCACTGCAAGCTCCGCCTCCCGGGTTCACGCCATTCTCCTGCCTCAGCCTCCCGAGTAGCTGGGACTACAGGCGCCCGCCACCACACCCAGCTAATTTTTTGTATTTTTAGTAGAGATGAGGTTTCACCGTGTTAGCCAGGATGGTTTTGTGGATACTCTTTATCAGGTTGAGGATATTCCCTTTAAATTCTATTTTTCTGAGAGCTTCTGTCCTGGATAGGTATTCAGTTTTAGCACATGCTTTTCTGCGTTTGTTGCATGATCACATGGGTCTTTTTCTTTAGTCTCTTAATATAGTGGATTATATTGATTAATTTTTGAACATTGAACTAGTCTTATGTCCCTGGAATAATTCTCACTTGGTCATGGTATGTAATTCTTTTTATATCTTGCTGAATTCTATTTGGTAATATTTTGTTAACAATTTTTGCATCTGTATATTCATGAATGATACTGGTCTATAGTTTTTCCTTTGTTTTGTTTTTTGGAACTGTCTTCATCTGATTTCAGTATCAGGGTAATATAGCCTTTTATAAAATGAATTGAGAAATTTTCCTTCTGTGCTCTGGAAGAGTTTGTGTAGAATTGATTTAATTCTTTTTTAAAAATTTTTTTTGAGACAGGGTCTCACTCTGTCACCCAGGCTGGAGTGCAGTGGCGCGATCTTGGCTCACTGCAACCTCCGCCTCCTGGGTTCAATAGATTCTCGTGCTTCAGCTTCACGAGTAGCTGGGGTTACAGATGCGTGCCACCACGCCTGGCTAATTTTTTTGTATTTTAGTAGAGACAGAGTTTCACCATGTTGGTCAGGCTGATCTTGAACTCCTGACCTCAGGTGATCCACCTGCCTCGGCCTCCCAAAGTGCTGGGATTATAGGGGTGAGCCACCACGCCGGGCCTTAATTCTTTTTTAAATGTTTCTACAATGAAACTACCTGGGCTTGAATATTTCTTTAAAACTATGAATCACCTTCATTAATAGTTATGGTACTGTTCAGATTATCTTCTTTTATTAGGTGAGTTGTGGTAGTTTGTGATTTTCAAAGAATTAGTCCATTTAATCCAAGTTGTCAAATTTATGTATGTAGCATTTTTGTAGGATTCCTTATGCTTTTTTTATTTTTTGAGATGGAGTCTCGCTTTGTCGCCCAGGCTGGAGTGCAGTGGCATGATCTTGGCTCACTGCAAGCTCCGCCTCCTGGGTTCACACCATTCTCCTGCCTCAGCCTCCCTGAGTAGCTGGGACTACAGGCGCCCGCCACCACACCCGGCTAATTTTTTGTATTTTTAGCAGTGACGGGGTTTCACCATGTTAGCCAGGATGGTCTCGATCTCCTGACCTCGTGATCCACCCACCTTGACCTCCCAAAGTGCTGGGATTACAGGCATAAGCCACCATGCCTGGCCATATTCCTTATTCTTTAAGTGCTTGCAGGTCTATAATGATAGCTCCTTTTTCATTCCTTATACCAGTAATACGTGTTCTCTGTCCTTTTTGCATTGTCAGTATTGCTAGAGGTTTGTCAATTTTTAATCTTTTTAAAAGACTCCTTTGTTTCATTGAATTTTCTCTATAGTTATTCTGTTTTTAACTTTATTGCTTTTTGCTCTTATCAATATCTTTTTTTTTCTTTTTTCTTTTTTCTTTTTTTTTTTTTTTTTGAGACAGAGTTTTGCTCTTGTTGCCCAGGCTGGAGTACGATGGCGCCATCTCAGCTCACTGCAACCTCCACCTCCCAGGTTCAAGTGATTCTCCTGCCTCAGCCTCCTGAGTAGCTGAGATTACAGGCCCCCGCCACCACTCTCAGCTAATTTTTGTATTTTTAGTAGAGACAGGGTTTCGCTGTGGTGGGTAGGCTGGTCTCGAACTCCTGATCTCAGGCAATCCCTCCTGCCTTGGCCTCCCAAAGTGCTGAGATTACAGGCGTGAGCCACTGCACCTGGCCTATTATTTTCCTTTTTAGCTTTGAGTTTATTTTGTTCTTTTCTACATTCATGAGGTAAAAGCTTAAATGATTATTTGAGACTTTTTTGTTTGTTTCTGAGACGGAATCTTGCTCTGTTGCCTGGGCTGGAGTACAGTGGTGCAGTCTTGGCTCACTGCAACCACCACCTCCCAGGTTGAAGCAATTCTGCCTCAGTTTCCCAAGTAGCTGAGACTATAGGCGTGGAACACCACGCCCGGCTAGTTTTTGTATTTTTAGAAGAGACGGGGTTTTGCCACGTTGGCCAAGCTGGTCTCAAATTCCTGACCTCAGGTGATCCACCTGCTGCGGAGTCTCACTCTTATCGCCCAGGCTGGAGTGCAGTGGTGTGATCCCAAAGTGCTGGGATTACAGGTGTGAGCCACCATGCCCAGCCTGAGACTTTTTTTCTTGTCTAACATATGCATTTAGTGCTCTAAATTGCCCTCTCAGCACTGCTTTAACTGTGTCCCAGAAATTTTGATAAGTTGTATCTTTATTTTTCTTCAGGTCAGTGTGTTCTTTGATAGCCATTGAGACTTCCTCTTTGACCTGGATTATTTAGTACCATGCTGTTTAGTTTCCAATTGTGTGGAGATTTTCTTGTTTTCTTCCTGTTACTGATTTCTAGTTTGAATCTTTTGTGCTTTGAGAATATACTTCATATAATTTCAATTTTTTTAAACTTGTCTAAGTTTGTTTTTGGCTTAAGATATGGTCTGTTTTGGTATATGTTCTGTGAACACTTGAAAAGAGTATGTATTTTGCTGTGGTTAGGTGGAATTTTCTATAAATGTCTGTCGGATCCTTTGGATGGTGGTGTTATTGAGCTCTATATCCTTGCTGATTTTTTTTTTTTTTTTGAGATAGGATCTCTGTTGCCCAGGCTGGAGTGCAGTGGCACTGATCATAGCTCAATGCAACCTTGAACTCCTTCGGCTCAAGGGATCTTCCTGACTCAGTCTCCCAAGTAGCTGGGACTACAGATGTGTGCTACCACACCTGGCTAATTTTTTAATTTTTATTTTGTAGAGACAGGATTTTTTTTTTTTTTTTTTTTTGAGACGGAGTTTCACTCTTGTTGCCCAGGCTGGAGTGCAATGGCGTGATCTCGGCTCACCACAACCTTCACCTCCTGGATTCAAGTGATTCTCCTGCCTCAGCCTCCCGAGTAGCTGGGATTACAGGCATGTGCTACCACACCCAGCTAATTTTGTATTTTTAGTAGAGACAGGGTTTCTCCATGTTGGTCGGGCTGGTCTCCAACTCCGACCTCAGGTGATTCGCCTGCCTCGGCCTCCCAAAGTGCTGGGATTACAGACATGAGCCACCGCACCTGGCCTATTTTTTTTTTTTTTGAGATGGAGTCTAGCTCTGTCGCCCAGGCTGAAGTGCAGTGGCACGATCTCAGCTTACTGCAACTTGTGCCTCCGGGGTTCAAGTGATTCTCCTGCCTCAGCCTCCCGAGTAGCTAGGATTATAGGTGCCCATGACCATGCCCAGCTAATTTTTGTATTTTTAGTAGAGACGGGGTTTCACTGTGTTGGCCAGGCTGGTCTCAAACTCCTGACTTCGTGACCCACCCACCTCGGCCTCCCAAAATGCTGGGATTACAGGCCTGAGCCACCATGCCTGGCCGAGACAGGATCTTATTTTATTGCCCAAGCTGGTTCTTGAAGTCTTGAGCTCAAGCAGTCTTGCCACCTTGGCCTCCCAAAGTGCTAAGATTATAGGCGTGGGCCACCACACCTGGCCTGAGTTTTTTTCTTGAAAAAATACTTTTTTTTTTTCCTTAAAAAATACTATGCTACTTCCTCTGGCTTGCTTTTCTGAGAAGAAATCTGCTTTCATCTGAATTGTTTTTCCCTATAAGCAAGGTGTTGATATTCTTTCATTGCTTTCAATTTTTTCTGTGTCTTTGGTTTTCAGAAATTAAAGTATAATGTGTGTTGGCATGGAGTCTTTGGGGTGTTCTATTTGTTTCTGAGGCTATTTTTCTTCATAATCTTTCAAGTACATTCATAATTATTGAAGCATGTAAAAGGCTTTAAAATCTGTCAGGAAACTAACATCACTGTCATTTTGGTCTTGGCATCTGTTCATTGTCTCTTTACATTTAATTTGAGATTTTCATGGTTCTTGGTATGAGGAATTTTCTGTTGAAACCTGGACATTTTCATATTATATCATGAGACTCTAGATCTTATTTAAACCTTCTGTTTAGCTGATTTTTCCTAACATTGCTCTGGCAGAGAGATTGGGGTGCCACCGCTGCCAGGTGGGGATGGAAGTTCAGGTTCCCCAGCCAGCCTCTGTCGGCACCTGCCTAGGGGCAGAGGCCTTCTCATTACTGCTGAGCTGCGGTGGAAGTTCTCCACACGCTCTCCAGGGACACTGTGGTTGGGGAGTGGAAGTCTAGGTTCCCTCTATGATGTCCAGTGACTGTGGCGGGGAGGGGTGGGGGAGAGAACATGCAGGGGCTCTTGTTCATTTCATTTTTGGGAATGAAAGTTTCAGCTTCTTATTTAGCCTCTGATTCTACCCTGGTGGGGGTTTGAGGTAACTCACTGTAGGCTTCCAGAAGTAGAAAGTCCTAGGCCTTCCACCCTGCCTTTGCTGCCCTGGGTGGGGCCGGGGCCACAAGTCTTTGGTGGTGCTTGACTGGAGTAGAGTGTTACTGTCTAAAAGCTCTGTCTTGCTAGACTGCCCCTTCCTTGGTCCTTTGCCTAGAAAGAGCAAGCTTCTGTTGGGGTGTTTTTGTTTGTTCAAATTGGCGTATCCAGGTTGCCGGCTCTTCAGCCCCAAGTTTGGATATTTGAAAGAAAGAAAACCCAGGGAACTCACACCATGTTTGAGTTCCTTAGTGGCTCTGCTGGCTTCTTTGCACCTTTCAGAGTCCTCCTGTGTTTGTGGTATGTATAATACCCAAGGGTTTTAGCTCTGTTTAGCAGAAGAAATGCTGAAAAGTATGCTCCATCTTCCTGGAAATGAGAACCCAGCTGTCATTTTTAATTAACTCTTTTAATTGAGGTAATGGGTTTTGTATTTATAATTTTGCCAGCTTTAAAAGAACTAGTTTTTGTTTTTGTTTTTTTGAGACGGAGTCTCACTCTGTCGCCCAGGCTGGAGTGCAGTGGCCTGATCTTGGCTTACTGCAGCTTCTGCCTCCCAGGTTCAAGCGATTCTCCTGCCTCAGCCTCCCGAGCAGCTGGGATTACAGGTGTGAACCATCACACCTGGCTAATTTTTGTATTGTTAGTAGAGACGGGGTTTCATCATGTTGGCCAGGCTGGTCTCGAACTACTGACCTAAGGTGATCTGCCTGCCTCTGCCTCCCAAAGTGCTGGGATTACAGGCGTGAGCCACTGAGCCCAGCAAAAGAACTAGTTTTAAACCCAAGGACTTATGTCCTGATTAATCCGTCTATCTGAAACTTTATTTTGAGCATGAAAAAAGGAGTCTAGGTCCCTTTGAATCCCTCAACTGTTTTTTTCCACTTCCTACTGGTTACTGTTTTCACTTAGAACAAGTTATTGTTTGTTTTTATTTGAGATGGAGTCTTGTTCTGTTGCCCAGGCTGGACTGCAGTAGTGCAATCTCAGCTCAGTGTAACCTCCGCCTCCTGGGTTCAAGCGATTCTCCTCTCAGCCTCTTGAGTAGCTGGGACTACAGGCATGTACCACTATGCCCAGCTAATATTTTTGTATTTTTAGTAGAGAGGGGGTTTCACCATGTTGGCCAGCCTGATCTCGAACTCCTGGCCTCAACTGATCCACCCCCCTCAGCCTAAGTGCTAGAATTATAGGCATGAGCCACTGCACCTGGCCAGGAGCAAATTATTAGATAGATGTATATCTAAAAGAAATTGTACTACTTCAACTAATTAAGTAAAATCCTATTAAATATGTCAGCATTTGAAGTTCCACAGCTTTCTTTGGCTGTCCTATTACAACACTGTTTCTTTCTTCTGCCTACTTAAATTTGTTTTGCTTTGTCTGCGAACATTCCCTTAGTACTGTGTTCTATGGGAGAAAAGAAAGAGAAAGAGAAAATGCCTTATATTTGTATCTTCCCTGGCTTACAGTATATGTTCCTGATAGTCAGGTACAGTGTCCTTTTCCTGTTCTCCATAGCTGCTAACACAGAACAGATACTTGTTAAATATCTGTAAATGAGTAACAACTTTATAAATACTTTGAAGAAAAGATTATCTTCTTCTCTTTTAAATGTTACACAGTTCTGGCTGGGTGTGGTGGCTCACCCCTGTAATCCCAGCACTTTGGGAGGCTGAGGTGGGCAAATCACCTGAGGTCAGGAGTTCAAGACCAGCCTAGCTGACATGGTGAAACCCCATCTCTACTAAAAATATAAAAAGTTAGCCAGGCATGGTGGTACATGTCTGTAATCCCAGCTACTCGGAAGGCTGAGGCAGGAGAATTGCTTGAACCGGGGAAGCAGAGGTTGCAGTGAGCCAAGATCGTGCCACTGCACTCCAGCCTGGGCAACAAGAATGAAACTCCATCTCAAAAAAAAAAAAAAAAAAAGTTACACAGTTCCTTCCTTGAATCTTTTATGCTAATATTGGAGGCTCAATACACACATTGTGGAACTGATGCTTATTTGGCCATCTAGGTTAACATTTTGAATATCATAAATATTGGTTAAGTCTGGACATTAATAATGGCATTAGACAGCACCAGTTGGCAAAGGAATCATCATGTTACGTGCAAAAAAAATGTTATGGGAATTGGGTAACAATCTTAGTACGGCAGAAAAAATGTTTATTTACCCTAATGCAGGGCTTCATAAATTTTCTTGGCCTATAATATTCATAAGTATCTTAGTAATTTTTATATAGCATCTCTAGGCCAGGATACCCATCCACTTATGAAAAATACCTATCCATTTATGAAGAAGTTAGGTTCAAACAGTTTATGTTCTAGCAGTTTAACACCTATTGGGCCCTGTTACACAGTTTCTCAAACCCTGCAGTCAGAACGGACATTCTACCCTCATTCCTCTTCCACATTGATTTTCTCTCTGTACATCTTATCACAGCAACTGCCCAAAACCCAGCTTCACAAAAATATGGTATTATTCAGGCCGGACACAGTGGCTCACACCTGTAATCCCAGCACTTTGGGAGGCCGAGGTGGGCGGATCACTTGAGGTCAGCAGTTCAAGACTAGCATGGCCAACGTGCTGAAACCCCATCTCCACTAAAAATAATTAGCCGGGCGTGGTGGTGCACACCTGTCATCCTACTCAGAAGGCTGAGACAGGAGAATTGCTTGAACCCAGGAGGTGGAGGTTGCAATGAGCCAAGATCACACTACTACACTCTAGCCTGGGCGACAGAGTGAGACTCTAGCTCAAAAATAAATAAATAAATAAATAAATAAAGCATTATTGAAGAGGAGTATAGCAGTCTTATGTAGGAATCGTGAACTACCTCTAGCTAGTAGTTCACACAGTGTTCAACAGATGTTGCTGTGTTTCTTTCAAAAATTTAAACTATCCCACAATACCTCGTGAGTTTGCCATTGTGTCCTGGGTATTGAGTACATAGTTTGGGAACCGTGGCCCTAATGACTGTCATCACAGAGGATGAGAGGAATCCCATGTAAGGACTGAGATGTGTCTTTTGGAGGGTAGTGGGAATAATGAAAAGGGATATTTTTAGGAGCATTGATGAGGGACAAGTAGGTGTTTAAAGATTGAGCCATAGTCTTGGCTAAATAAGCCATCTGTCTTTAATCTTATCTCCTCTAAAGGATTGAAATACATTTTGTGTATATCTGATATTCACTTGCGACCACATTTATCTCAGTATTAATTTTTTTATGCTAGCCAGTTCATTTGCATGGTCATTTTTATTTTTCTTTGATACTTTTGATGTATCAAACCAATGTTGATGTAGAAGGATGACTTAGAGTCTTTGGTCCTATCCTTGTTATTGTATTATTATTATTAGCCTTTTTTTTTTTTGAGTTGGTGTCTCGGTCTGTCACCCAGGCTGGAGTGCAGTAGCATGATCTTGGCTCACTGCAAGCTCTGCCTCCCGGGTTCACACTGTTCTCCTGCCTCAGCCTCCCGAGTAGCTGGGACTACAGGTGCCGCCACCATGCCTGGCTAATTTTTTGTATTTTTAGTAGAGATGGGGTTTCACCCTGTTAGCCAGGATGGTCTCGATTTCCTGACCTCGTGATCCACCCATCTTGGCCTCCCAAAGTGCTGGGATTACAGGTGTGAGCCACTGCGCCTGGCCAAATGATGTATTAGCTTTTTAAAGGACGTCACTTGAGTCCAATCTGTGTTTCCGACTCACAGAAACAAAATAAATGAATCAAAAGCGCTTGTTTTTTTCTCTTCATGTAGAACAAATCACCTGCTGCAGTAACAGAACCAGAGACAAATAAATTTGATAGTACCGGATATGATAAAGACTTAGTAGAAGCTTTGGAAAGAGATATAATTTCCCAGAATCCCAATGTTCGATGGTAAGTTATATCACAACCAAATAATTGGGTGCTGGTGATGCTATTCGGAATGGAAAATGGAGCAAATGTGAGCATGTACTGAAGAGCAGAGCTTGAGGACAGAACCGGAGTATGTGCAGCGTGAGCATGACTTCCCTGCATTCAGCCTATTCCAATTTTTGTCTGAGAGTCTGAGGTTTTTGTTTTTGTTTTTTAGAGACAGGGTCTCACTTTATTGCCCAGGCTGGAGGACAGTGGCTCGATCATAGCTCACTGCAGGCTCAAACTCCTAGACTCAAGTGATCCTCCTGCCACAGCTTTCCAAGTAGCTAGGACCACAGGTGCACACCACCACATCTAGCTAATTTTAAAAAATGTTTTGTAGAGATGGAGTCTTGATCAGGCTGGTCTTGAGCTCCTGGGTTCAAGTGATCCTCCTGCCTCAGCCTCCCAAAGTGCTAGGATTACAGTCATGAGCCTTTGCACCTGGCCAAGGCAATGATTTGTATGTATGTGTGTTGCTTATTATCTATAGCATCCTAGAAATGTTGCTTTTATTTTCTTTTAGAGCAGTGGTTCTCAACTTGATTAATATTACATGTAATCAAAGATCTGTAATGTATTACAATGAGTTATAAAAGTTAACTTTTCCACAAAGTTAGGTATTTTATATTTCTGTTAAAACCTTAATGATTATTAGGTATGGGTTTGAATGATATTAAAAAATATTGGGGACATTAATATTTTATACAATGAAAATACTTTTTTTAACAGAAATTGCCACATGTAGCAGTAGTAGTAGGTATTCTAGTGGTTGGAGATGACTTTATAGTAATCTCTGTGATACTCTTTAACCTTGGCATCTACCTCTTAGTAAAGCTGGAGGCAAAGCAGCTATGTTGTAGCCTGTCTCTGCTTTATACGATTTTTATTCTTTATGCTTTTTTTTAGTTTTAAAATACATGGGCTCATTGTTTCTAAATCATGGAGATTATGGAATGAGGACCATAAGAGCAGGAGTTTAAAATGAGTTGACACATAACCCTGAAGAGTGTGCCTGTAGACTATGTTCTCGTGATCCAGGCTAAAAACTGTCAACCGCCAATAACTGAAGAAAAGGTTGTGCTCTTTATATATCTGCTGGTTGACATGGTGGGCCTCATCACAGTGCATTAGTTCACCCGGGCTCAGAGAGAGGCTCACCATTCTGTCAGCAGTGCAACATCATGTGCTTCCAGTGGTTCTCAAGAGTGACTGCATAGACATGTATCATCTAAAGGGTTGTTAATAAAATGTCTTCTCTTTCAGGGATGATATCGCTGATTTAGTAGAAGCTAAAAAGTTGCTTAAGGAAGCCGTAGTGTTACCAATGTGGATGCCCGAATTCTTTAAGGGCATTAGGAGACCATGGAAAGTAAGTTTATTACTGTGATGGCATTGTCAAAGTAAATGGCAGCATGTTGATACAGAGAGCCAATATTTATCTATATTGGGAAAAGTGGAGGGAGAAAGTGGAGTCAGGAAATGTTTAAATTAAAAGGTATATGTTGTGCTACTGAGAATTTTGTTAGACCAGAAGCTGTTGCATGATTCCTAGAATAAGAAATACATACAATGTGATCTTTGGAAAGTTGAATACACAGCATTAAAATTTAGAATTTGGCCGGGCGTGGTGGCTCACGCCTGTAATCCCAGCACTTTAGGAGGCCGAGGCGGGCGGATCACCTGAGGTCAGGAGTTCGAGACCAGCCTGACCAACATGGAGAAACCCCGTCTCTACTAAAAATACAAAACTAGCCGGGCGTGGTTGTGCGTGCCTGTAATCCCAGCTATCCGGGAGGCTGAGGCAGGAGAATTGCCTGAACCTGGGAGGTGGAGGTTGTGGTGAGCTGAGATCACGCCATTGCACTCCAGCCTGGGCAACAAGAGCGAAACTCTGTCTCAAAAAAAAAAAAAAAAATTAGAATTCACCCCATTTAGAATGAGCTCATATTTGCAAATATGACCTAGTCAGCTAATGCAAAAACACTCCATTTTATATGTCATGTTGCATGATTGTAACCTGTATTTTGGGGATTGTTCTCAATAAATTAATGAGAAATATCTGCATGTGATAAATACTTTTTAAAGTCATGGGCTGATCTAAAAAAAGACCATCAAAAAAGCTTTTCTTGGATTTGGAAAACACACTGATAGGTAACTCTGCATGTATGAATAGTTGTAAAAATCCTTTATACATTAAGTGATAAGCAAGATACAAAATGATAGATATACTTTGAATAAATTATATATATATATGTATTTTGTTTGTTTTGTTTTGAGATGGAGTCTCGCTCTGTCGCCAGGCTGGAGTGCAGTGCGATCTTGCCTCACTGCAATCTCCGCCTAACGGGTTGAATTGATTCCGCTGCCTCAGCCTCCCGAGTAGCTGGGATTACAGGCATGTACCACCACGCCCAGCTAACTTTTTTTGTATTTTAGTAGAAACGGGGCTTCACCATGTTGGCCAGGATGGTCCCAATCTCCTGACCTCGTGATCTGCCTGCCTCGGCCTCTCAAAGTGCTGGGATTACAGGTGTGAGCCACCATGGCTGGCCGAATAAGTTATATTTTTAAACAACCTAATTTGTCTGAGCAAAAGGACAATCAGGATATAAATCCAGATGCTAATGGTACCTCTGTTAGGGTGCTGATATTATAAACTACTTTTTCTCATCTTTGAGTTCCAAATTTTTCATAATGTGGTTATCTTCTTTTTTAACGGGAAGAGTAAATTTGTGACAAAGTATCCTCCTGTTTATCTGTTTGTCTTTTATTTGTCTTGATATTATATATAAGTTGGTCGAAATTTGCTACTTAGTAATGACACTTTTATGAATTAGAACAATGGCAGATAAATCCTCTGCTGAGGCTATTATATTCGCAACAGGGAGTACTGATGGTCGGCCCACCTGGCACGGGGAAGACGCTCCTTGCTAAAGCAGTAGCTACAGAATGCAAGACAACATTCTTCAATGTCTCTTCATCAACTTTGACTTCCAAATACAGAGGAGAATCTGAGAAGCTTGTTCGTCTTCTGTTTGAAATGGTGAATGTTTGAGACAGCTCTAATGATTCTTTACCTCTCTAAAAGGGGAGAAAGTGAGCTGTAACTATCTCCAGTATATGGAATAGTTAGGCAGGATGCCATTTTGCCCAGAGTATGAGTCCTATGCCCTTAAAGCTAGATTTCTTTACAAACATGAATAATTAGAGTTTCTCTTTGTCTCTTTTTCTCCAGATGTAGATCCAAATCTACCAGTTTTGGGGCATGCTCACATTATGGGATCTGCATTACTAATCTTCTGTAGGAATCTGAAATTATGTTTTTTAAATCAATAGGTTTAGTTATAATATGATAACCACAGTATTGTAACAATGATGCCAAAAGGTGAGAATCATAATTTATTGTGGAACTTAGGTCACCTCCGATCTATTAACTGCACCAAATGCCTTCATTTTAATGACCTAATCTTTGGATTAGGTTCTTTCTTCCACCAATACAAATCAGAGTACCAATAGAAGAAATGTAATTCAACAAGTTCTGGTAGAGTGTTTAGATTGAATTCCACAGCCTTTTAAACTTCAGACTTTGTTAAGCTTCACTGATTACGTCACTCTTGCCTCTAAGAAACAGAGTAGTTTTATGTAATTAGGATAGAGTTATGCTATTAGTGACAAAGACGTGAATCTTCTTTTTTTTGAAATGGGTTCTCAGTCTTGCCTAGGCTGGTATGCAGGAGCATGATCACAACTCGCTGCATCCGTGACCTCCCAGGCCCAAGTGCTCTTCCCATCTAAGCCTCCCAAGCAGCTGGGATGATGGACATGAGCCACCACACTCAGCTCATTTTTTTTTTTTTTTTTTTTTTACAGATGGGGTCTTGCTGTGTTGCCCAGGCTGATCTTGAACTCCTGGGTTCAAGTGATCCTCTTGCTTCAGACTCCCAAAGTGCTAGATTTATAGGCATGGGTCACCAATCCTGGTCAAGACATGAATTCTATTTTTTTTGACAGGGTCTCATTCTGTCACCTAGGCTGGAGTGCAGTGTTGCAATCTCGGCTCACAGCAGCCTTCACCTCCTAGCCTCAAGCGATCCTCCCACCTTAGCCTCCTGAGTAGCTGGGACTACACAAGTGCACTACCATGCCTGGCTAATTTTTGTATTTTTAGTAGAGATGAGGTTTTGCCATGTTGACCAGGCTGGTCTTGAACTCCTGACCTCAGGTGATCTGCCCACCTTGGCCTCCCAAAGTGTTAGGATTATAGGTATGAGCCACTGCGCCTGGCCTTTTTTGATTTTTTTGTAGAGATGAAGTCTCACTACGTTGCCCAGGCAGTCTAGAACTCCTGGCCTAACACTCCTCTTGCCTAGACCCCATAAAGTGCCGGGATTACAGGCAAGAGCCATTGTGTTCAGCTTTTTTTTTTTTTTTTTTTTTTTTTTAAGATAAGCTCTCACTATATTGCACAGGTTGTAGTGCAGTGGTTATTCACAGGCACAATCATAGCATACTGCATCCTCCTCTCTCAGCATCCCAAGTAGCTGGGACTTCAGTCGTGTACCACTGCACTCAGCTTTCAAGCCTTATTTTTATTGTCCTTAGGGTAATGAACTCTCAGCAAAGTTAGCCCTCATTTTGTCATAGTTCCAGCAAAAGTCCAAAGATTAATATTTGGCCTGTTTTGAGTTTCATACCTATGCCGAAACTCCTTGTTTTTGGTCAGAGAATTGGAGTGCTCTGATTGGCCAGGTCTGAATAAAACCCCTGGAGTTCCAAGTAAAGTTAGCCTCTTTTGAAGTAGTGGAATAGGAATGAGAGGGGCCCGGCATGGTGGCTCATGCCTGTAATCCCCGCACTTTGGGAGGTTGAGGCGGGCAGATCACTTGAGGTCAGGAGTTCGAGACCAGCCTGGCCAACATGATGAAACCCCGTCTCTACTAAAAATACAAAAATTAGCCAGGTGTGGTGGCGTGCACCTGTAATCCCAGCTACTTGGGAGGCTGAGGCAGGAGAATTGCTTGAACCGGGGTGGCAGAGGTTACAGAGAGAGGGAGAGGGGAGAGGGGAGAGGGGAGGAAAGAAAGAAAGGGATGATTTGCAAATGAAAAAGAGGCTTCTCTTACCAGAAGTGTGCTGTGCAGGGAGAACCAATTGGTGTCCTCTACCGTACCTTCCTGGGCCAGCTAAACCCAGGACACATAGCCTTTCCTTGAAGTCAGATCATTCTACATAACCTCAGTATGTGGGAAGAATCAGTCTAGTCACTTTTGCTTGGTGTGGCAACAGACTGAAGTTTAATTTTTGTTGATGTAGGTGCTTTTGATAGATGCTTCCTAAAATTTTAGTTGAGAATTTTCTTGGATGTTTTAATGATGATGAAGTTCACTCTTTCCCTCTCTCCATTTGTTGAAAAAGTACAAAAATATTTATACATAAAGACCCAAGTATTGACTCTCTTTAAAGATGAAATTATCCCACTAGGTACAGTGGCTCATTGTAATCCTAGCATTTTGGGAGGCCGAGGCAGGAAGATTGCTTGAGTCTAGGAGTTTGAGACCAGCCTAGGCAACATAATAAGACACCATCTCTACCAAAAATATAAAAATAAGCCTGGTGTGGTGGCACACACCTGTAGTCCTAGCTACTCGGGAGGTTGAGGTGAGAGGATTGCTTGAGCCCAGGAGCTCAAGGTTGAAGTGAGCCAAAATCATATCACTGCACTCCAGCCTGGATGACAGAGCAAGACCTTGCCTCTTAAAAAAAAATAAATAAATAAAAAACGGTTCATTAGAAGCCATATTTTAGCTGTTCTAATTCTATCCCATCTCCCCAGTATTAGCGTGAGAGAAAGATGCACAGTGTGGCAGGCTCCTTAGCTGTTTTGTTGTTTTCTTTCTTTCCTCTTGTTTTAGAGACAGGTTCTCACTCTGTCACCCAGTCTGGAATACAGTGGTGTGGTGTGATCATAGCTCACTGCAGCCTTGAACTCCTGGGCTCAAGGGATCCTCTCACCTAGCCTCCTGAGTAGCTGGGACTCAGACACGTGTAACCACACTCAACTAATATTTTAATTTTCTGTAGAGATGGAGTCTTGCTATGTTGCCCAGGCTGGTCTCGAACTCTTGGGCTCAATCCATCCTCCTGCCTCACCCTCCCAGTGTTGGGATTACAGGTGTGAGCCACTGTGCCCAGCCTCCCTCAGCTATTTTCTGATTGCTAATCTGTAGATTATTTTAAAATGAAATAATAGCTTAATAGCTTGATATTGCATGGTTTCTTCCTTTAGGCTCGATTTTATTCTCCAGCCACCATATTTATTGATGAGATAGACTCCATCTGTAGTCGCCGAGGGACTTCTGAAGAACATGAAGCAAGCAGAAGGGTGAAAGCGGAGCTGCTGGTTCAGATGGATGGTATCTGTGTTTAGCTTGAGTTGAACAGGGACGGGAGGTTGTTAGGTGTGGTGTCTCCAGTTCCAGTGGGTCAAACTTTACTCATAGTGCTAACCCAAGCTTTTAATAGGTATTCTTAACTTCAGATGGACTAGAGGGGGTGGCAAGAAGTTCCTGATAGTGATAGTAATAGATTTGGTACACTGACAGTGGTGACAAGTCAGAATTAATGGCCACACACAGGGCACCCTTTTGGTATATACAACTATCTTACTTTAGCTATGAAATTGAAATAAAAATAAATGCAGATAAATTGGCCTTAGAGTTTATGTACGCTTTGAAAAAGATTTAAAATTGTTATGTATTTGAGATCTGGCTTTTCGATTAAATCTATTTTGAGTCATATATTTGCATACTACAGAACTCATTTTCTTTGGATTACAAATTCACATAGGTACCAGTTAACCTAAGTCTTAAGGAGGCATTAAGACTGTGCTTCCTTGTATTGTTGTACTAAATAGTTGTTGATCTTTAAATAGCTGAGCTTCATTTGGTATAATCCAACTTAATATCTTTTTCACTCTCCCCTTACCCTTATTTTAGGTGTTGGAGGTACTTCTGAAAATGATGACCCTTCCAAAATGGTTATGGTTCTGGCAGCTACTAATTTTCCCTGGGATATAGATGAGGCTTTAAGACGACGCCTTGAGAAACGAATCTATATTCCTTTGCCGTCAGGTATCTTCCTTTCAATCTTGTCAGAAAGCCTGTTAACTTTCATGTAGTTTTGTTTAGAGAATTTAAAATTTGTTATTAACTAACTTTCTGGAAGAGATACATGAGGAGTATCTTCCTTTACAGTACTAGTTTGGCTATATGCCTTAATACTAAATAGTAAGGAATTAAAAAGTAAAGAATGGCTCTTTACTTAATTATCTCTTCTTAGAGATCCAATTCTTACTGGAAGACAACATCTCACACAAAGAAGATTTGAGACAATAGTATACTATGTTTATGCTGCAGGCTTACATTTTAAAATTTGTTTCTACCATTAGCAAAAGGCAGGGAGGAGCTATTACGAATAAGTCTACGTGAGTTGGAATTGGCTGATGATGTTGACCTTGCAAGTATAGCAGAAAACATGGAAGGTTATTCAGGTGCGGACATTACCAACGTGTGCAGGTATGAATTATCATGGAAGCATAGGTTTTTGTAAGCATAAACTTCTAGTATGAAGTTTTTTGGTTTTGTTTTTTGAGACACAGTCTCGCTCTGTTGCCTAGACTGGAGAGTAGAGGCGCAGTCACAGCTTACTGCAGCCTGAAACTCCTGGGCTCAAGTGATCCTCTGACGTGAAGTTTTTATGCTGAATTAAGACAGATCAATATCTTGGTGGTGGCTCACGCCTGTAATCTCAGCACTTTGGGAGGCCAAGTGGGAGATCACTTGAGCCCAGGAGTTTGACTGGCCTGGGTAACATTGCAAGACCTCATATCCATGAAAAAAATTTTAAAAATTAGCCGGGCATGGTGGTTCCCACCTGCTCAGGAAGCTGAGGCAGGAGGATCGCTTGAGCCCAGGAGTTTGAGGCTGCAGTGAGCCATGATTGTGCCACTGCACCCCAGCCTGGGCGACAAAGCAAGACCCTGTGTCCAAAGAAAAAAAAAAAAGATGAATAAAGACCCACATTCCAGTTTTGTTTTGTTTTTTGAGACGGAGTCTCGCTCTGTCACCCAGGCTGAAGTGCAGTGGTCCGATCTCGGCTCACTGCAACCTTTGCCTCCTGGGTTCAAGTGATTCTTGTGCCTCAGCCTCCCGAGTAGCTGGGATTACAGGCATGCACCACCACACCTGGCTAATTTTTGTATTTTTAGTAGAGACGGTGTTTCACCATGTTGACCAGGCTGGTGTCGAACTCCTGACCTCAAGTGATCCGCCTGCCTCAGCCTCCCAAAATGCTAAGATTACAGGCGTGAGCCACCATGCCCGGCCCCACATACATTTTGTAGTCAGGGTCACAAATTCTGGTTTTGTTGGTGTTAGCAGGTGCTGGTAAGATATCTGGTATCTTTCATGTCAGTGAAGAGTCTACAGTTCATTTGAAAGCTACAAGTTCAAGAAGCTAATGTTAGGATAAATTGTGTAAAATAGAAAATCAGTAATTGTCTTGGATTAAATAAATTGTTGGTGCCTTTGTTCACTATATTATAAAATACGAAATGACTGTGAAATATATTGACTTGGCATATGCACAGAATACAGTCTCATTCTCAGTGAACTTATCCTAAATGTGACAGAATAGCAGTAAAAAGAAAAAAAGAATGTCTTTAATCCAGCTGGTTCAAGTAGGTTTTGTCCTAATCTAAGTATTAGTAGAGACACTTAATTAACCAGGGGCTTGACTGCGCTCGTTTCCTCCTTTCTAAAGTGAGCATACCACACAGGGTTCTGAGGATTAAAGCTAAAGTGTATACATCAAACAGCTCTATTGCTATCCCTTTGCATAAATGGTGGCTGCTATTAAGGATAAAACTTGGTAAAAGGCAAGAGCTGTTTGAATCTGAAGTTTTGTTTTTTTTTTTTAACACAAATGAGAAAAGGAGAAACCCTGAACTTACCTAGCTTTTCCTCTACATGGAGAAAATATTTAATTTTCTTGTTAACAGTTTCTCTTCTCTTCTGACTCTGTGATGCTTATTCTTCATTTTATTGAATAGTTATAATGAAATTCAAATTGCTAGCTTTAACCCCACTTTTACTTTTTCTGGGATTTTATATTCAGTATTAATTATTTAAATTAGCATCCTTTTTCATTACAGAAGATTTAACTGCTTAAAAATCAATCACAACAGGCTTTGTATTCCAATAAGTTTCTATACAATACTACATATATATGTAATATAATTAGAGAATGCTACAACAGATCAATTGAAAATTTTTCTATTAACAGGTTTTCATTTAACCAAAGTAACATTGTGTGTGTTGTTGTTGTTTTTAACTTAAAACCTAGGGATGCGTCCTTGATGGCAATGAGAAGGCGCATTGAAGGTTTGACTCCAGAGGAAATCCGAAATCTTTCCAAAGAAGAAATGCACATGCCTACAACTATGGAGGATTTCGAGATGGCTTTAAAAAAGGTTTCTAAGTCAGTGTCTGCTGCAGACATTGAAAGATACGAGAAATGGATATTTGAGTTTGGATCATGCTAAATTCTCACATGTAAACTGTGAGAAATGTGCCTTAAGTGTTTGAATATTAAATGCAGTAATTCATTGTACTGAGTGCTATATTTTTTTTAACTTTCATAATGGTAAGATTTTTTTAAAAAAACCCTTATGATTCTGAATAAAGGCAATATTTTTAAGCTGAAAATTTGTTTTACTTTAGCATTACTAGATTTCTATTATTATTTCACTGACCACAAATGTTACTTAGCTTGGAAAGCTGTCTTTTTTTTCTTTGCTTTTTCTATTTTTTTCAAGACTGTTTGTTTCTTCTAGCTGAACTGGCCATTCATACTGGGATTAGCCAACAGACCATAAGAAAGACATCAATCTTGGCTCTTGTTTGAAACCAATAGCTACAATGGCAAACCATCACGTTTCTTGATTCAGGGCCTAGGAAAGCTGACTTTATATGCACTTTTTTTTTTTTTTTTTTTTGGTATATAAACTATTTATTAACAGACAAGGCCTACAGACTTACTTCTTCTTAGACACACCCACGATGCGGCCACGGCAGCCTGTGGTCTTGGTGTGCTGGCCTCGGACACGAAGGCCCCAGAAGTGACGCAGCCCTCTACGGGCCCGAATCTTTTTCAGTCGCTCCAGGTCTTCACAGAGCTTGTTGTCCAGACCATTGGCTAGGACCTGGCTATATTTTCCATCCTTTACATCCTTCTGTCTGTTCAAGAACCAGGCTGGCATCTTGTACTAGTGTGGATTCTGCATAATGGTGATCACATGTTCCACCTCATCCTCAGTGAGTTCTCCCGCCCTCTTGGTGAGGTCAGTGTCTGCTTTCCTCAACACCACATGAGCATATCTTCGGCCCACACCCTTAACGGCAGTGATGGCAAAGGCCATTTTCCGCCACCCATCAATGTTGGTGTTGACTACTCGGCAAAATATGCTGGGACTTTTCAGGGATCACTAGAGACATGGCGGCAGCACAAGTGGCGGCATGTAGGCCTCCTGTGGAAGAGAGCTATATGCACTTCTAACTTGGCATCTTCTCTCCTACTGTTTGCTGCTGTTACTCCTTCTAGGAAGAAAAAAATATTGGCTCTAGCTCCAGTTAACCTTACCCATTGCCTCTGGGTGCCAGCGGATAACTGAAAATCCCTGAACATTTTTACACAGTAGCTAATTAAAGCATGAGCCAAGCCCAGTATGTCTTCCTTCCCACCTGGTGTTATGGTAGCTTCCCTTCACCTCCTGGGAGAGTTTTAAAGACACATTTTACTTTGCATTTTAAAAAAATAAAATAAAATTCTTACTTGACTTTTATTTTGCCTATGTAAGAGGCTGCACTATAGGCAAATAGGCATTTCTAAACCTGTGCTGCTCATAGTACTCTAATCACTCATTAACTCATGCATACCAAACATAGCTAAAGTAAAGTATTAATGGTATGAGTTAATAAGTGAAATAAAAGTTAATGGTATAAAATTTTAGATAAGATTTCCATGTGTGACTACTTAGAAGAAAATAACTTACCATGTTATCCCAACCATAGAAAACAGAGCCTCAGGAGATTGCGGACCTTGCTGTGGTCCCAAGTCTTACTGAGAAAGACAGAAGCCTGGGTAGGGATCTTCTGACTGCAGAGCCTACACTCTCCAATAGACCATGTAGCCTCCTAAAGTTTTTTCTTCACTAGAATCTGTAAGCTTATGGTTAATAGATAAAATAAGACCATGTCATCATTTGGAGTTAGAACTGGTGCTTTCTAATGACTTAGGGAATGAGAAAGGGTGTAAAGAACAAGTGTTACTGGTTGGTAACTCAAGGATCAAATTGTAAGTTGCAGATTATTTTTTTCAGCAGTATGGAGAGAGTATTGCATAATAGAGCTCCATGCAATGTAATTAATTTAAAGTCTGGCAAAGTGAAACATCACTCCTTCATTCTACTTGTCATCCTCTCCACCCCCATCACACACATACCTATTTGGCCTAAATATAAAGTGGTCTCAAAAAAACCAACCATGGCCGGGCATGGTGGCTCACGCCTGTAATTCCAGCATTTTGGGAGGTCTAGGTGGGTGGATTACCTGAGGTCAGGAGTTTGAGACCAGCCTGCCCAACACAGTGAAACCCCATCTCTACTAAAAATACAAAAATTAGCCGGGCATGGTGGTGGGAGTCTGTAATCCCAGCTACTCAGGAGGCTGAGGCAGAATTGCTTGAACTTGGGAGGTGGAGGTTGCAGTGAGCTAAGATCACACCATTGTACTCCAGCCTAGGCAACACGAGTGAAACTCCATCTCAAAAAAACAAACAAACAAAAAACAACCATTACTTTCTTGGATAGTGTTTTCAAAATGATGGGTTGCAGTATATATATATATATATATTTTTTTTTTTTTTTTTGAGACAGAGCCTTGCTCTGTCGCCCAGGCTGGAGTGCAGTGGTGTGATCTCGGCTCACTGCAAGCTCTGTCTCCCGGGTTCACACCAATTCTCCTGCCTCAGCCTCCCGAGTAGCTGGGCCTACAGGTGCCCCCCACCACGCCCGGCTAATTTTTTGTATTTTTTTTTTTTTTAGTAGAGACGAGGTTTCACCGTGTTGGCCAGGATGGTCTCGATCTCCTGACCTCGTGATCTGCCCACCTCGGCCTCCCAAAGTGCTGGGATTACAGGCATGAGCCACTGTGCCCGGCCAGTAAAAATATTTTTTAATGAAACAACAGAAAGTATCACATAGAGGGCCAGGCGCGGTGGCTCATGCCTGTAATCCCAGCACTTTGGGAGGCCAAGGCAGGCAGATCACAAGGTCAGGAGATCGAGACCATCCTGGCTAACATGGTGAAACCCCATCTCTACTAAAAATACAAAAAATTAGCCGGGCATAGTAGCGGGCGCCTGTAGTCCCAGCTACTCGGGAGGCTGAGGCAGGAGAATGGCATGAACTCGGGAGACGGAGCTTGCAGTGAGCCGAGATTGCGCCACTGCACTCCAGCCTAGGCGACAGAGCCAGACTCCATCTCAAAAAAGTATCACATAGAGATGAGTTATATGTACTCGTTCACATTGTAAAATATTAATATGTCAATATGAGTGATGGTTAAAAAAGGTAATAAAACACTTTTAGGGTAAACAGCACTATATCTAGAACCACAAGACCAAGGGCACAGTCTAATTCATGACATCAATGGACTCATTCAATTTGAGCCATGGTTTCAGCCAGTGTAAATGAAAGTATACCTACTCCTGCATCTCAGCCATTCTTACCTGGGCAAAGGTTTTATATCAGTGTAACCAAAACAGCTATACTTTTTTCCTCAAAAAAAAAAAAAAAAAGTTTATTTTAGAGTGAGAACATGTCATACTACTTTTAAATCTTGGAGCATTCAAGGTAAGTAGTCTTGGTACAGGATACAATCAAATCATGATACACTTCAGTGATTTTATACTGAGTCACATACTTAATATAAAGGCACACTGTACTGAATAAAAAAATAAGTGTTAAGTTCTTGACCTTTTAAATTAGAATTTTATAAAGTGCTTTTCATAAAGTCTTATATATTATAGTAATTAAGTGGATATAATTTCCTTAACAAAGGCACCTTGAAAAGTTATTGGCACATGAGATTTTGTCTGGTCTTTTTTTTTTCTTTTGATAATTTCAAAGTCTCTTCACATGTGTTCTCTTCCACTTTAAGTTTTCCTTAACAATTCATCATATGAATAGCCAGCCCTTTTAGAGAATAAGGTCAACTTTTTTTTTTTTGAAACAGAGTCTCGCTCTGTCACCCAGGCTGGAGTGCAGTGGCGTGATCTTGGCTCACTGCAGCCTCCGCCTCCCGGGTTCAAGCAATTCTCCTGCCTCAGCCTCCCAAGTAGCTGGGACTACAGGCGTGCACCGCCACACCCAGCTAATTTTTTTATTTTTTTTAGTAGAGACAGGGTTTCACCATGTTGGCAGGATGGTCTTGATCTGACCTCGTGATCCGCCCGCATTGGCCTCCCAAAGTCCTGGGATTACAGGCATGAGCCACTGCACCCGGCCGAGAATAAGGTAAACTTTAACTTGGCACTGTAAAGGTCAATTTTCAGGCAGTCTTAGAGTTTAGCAATTTCTCTAGTGTATAAACTGATTCTTAACGATTTAAAGAAAATTATATTCAAGTGGCAAATTTGGAGGCAACAGGCTACTTCGGAGTCCATGATATGAGATGGCGTTTTAAATACATGTTTTATCTTCAAGGTTTTCAGCTCTTTTCTCTGGACCATCTGGATATAAGTTGATAGCTGTCACAGGTATGACGTCCACTTTATCCAACTGAAGAATTCCTCTGAAATAGAAAGTGATTAATTACTATCAAAATTAAATGTTTCCTCTGCCTGTAGTTTGATAGTGAGAAAAGGCTACTTCAAGGTTATAATATACACCTAAGGTTAGGTGCTTTTGCTACATTCTATTTAAAAATTCATAGTGGTTGTACAAACTGAGCCCAAAGTCACTTTAACCAAACTGGCTGAGAGAATAGAAAGGCATCGAGGAAGTTCATTATTTCCTATTTTAGGGAAGAATAGGGTAAGTATAGATCTCCAAGGCAGAGTTAGGTTCCTAGATACACCCAGGCTGAGCAAAAAGCCTAAGCCTAAGCCTCTCTCTAAATAATACTCACCACCACAACACAACCTTAGGTCTTTAGATAGTGTTGCTCTTTTTGTTACTTAAAATCCCTGACCAGAGAGTACGTCTTTGGATTGAATCTAGGACCCTGCATTGTAAATTCAGTGTTATTCTAATAAGAACATCAACGGGGGTTAGTTGTTTATAGAACCAAACAGATTCTAAAGTTCACAGGGGAGTAACTGCAAGAACAGCCATAAGATTTTTTTTAAAAGAACAATGGGGAGAAGACAAAGTTGTCTTAAGTAGCTCTCAAAGGTTTTATTAAAACATGATAGTAGGCCAGGTGTAGGGGCTCACACCTATAATCCCAGCACTTTGGGAGGCCAAGGCGGGCAGATCACTTGAGCCCAGGAGTTCAAGATCAGCCTGGGAAACATGGCAAAACCCCATCTCTACTAAAAATAGAAAAAATTAGCTGGGCATGGGACACATGCAGTCCCAGCTAGCTAGCTATTCAGGAGGCTGAGGTGGGAGGATCGCTTGAACCCGGGAAGTGGAGGTTGCAGTGAGCCGAGATCGTGCCACTGCACTGCCGCCTGGGTGACAAAGTTAGCCCCTGTCTCAAAAACAAAAACAAAACATGAGAGTAATTAAAACTGTGCTACTGGCACAGGAATAGACAAATAGATCACTAGGACAGAAAACAGTCCAGAAAAAGACTAACATATATGGAAATTTAGTTTATAATAAGGTAACATTCTAAGTCAATGATAAATTACTAATGGAAAAATGGCCTCTGTCTGGGAAACAAAATGAGAACTCTAGCTTTAAAAGTATACAGAAAAGTAATGCTAAAAAATAAATTTTGGCTGGGTGCAGTGGCTCATGCCTGTAATCCCAGCACTTTGGGAGGCTGAGGTGGGTGGATCACCTGAGGTCAGGAGTTCGAGGCCAGCCTGGCCAACATGGTGAAACCCTGTCTCTACTAAAAATACATAAATTAGCCGGCTGTGGTGGTGCACGCCTGTAATCCCAGCTACTCGGGAGGCTGAGGCAGGAGAATCTCTTGACCCCGGGAAGTTGAGGTTGCAGTGAGCAGAGATTGTGCCACTGCACTCTAGCCTGGGCAACAAAGCGAGACTCTGTCTCAAATATATAAATAAATAAATAAATAAATTTTAAGAAAATATAATGGCTGGGCACAGTGGCTCATGCCCTTAGTAATCCCAGCACCTTTGGAGGCTGAAGCAGGAGGACTGCTTGGGCCCAAGGAGTCCAGCCTGGGCAACATAGTGAGACCCTGTCTCTACACAAAATAAATTTTTTTTAAAAAAATGGCTGGGCACGGTGGCTCACGCCTGCAATCCCAGCACTTTGGGAGGCCGAGACGGGTGGGTCACTTGAGGTCAGGAGTTCGAGACCATCCTGGCCAACATGGTGAAACCCATCTCTACTAAAAATACAAAAATTGGCCAGGCATGGTGGCGGGCGCCTGTAATCTCAAGCTATTCAGGAGGCTGAGGCATGAGAATTGCTTGAAACCAGGAGGTGGAGGTTGCAGCAAGCCAAGATCACACCACTGCACTCCAGCCAGGGCAACAGAGCAAGACTGTGTCTCAACAACAACAACAACAACAACAACAAATTAGCCAGGCAGGGTGGCAAGTGCCTGTAGTCCCAGCTACTTGGGAGGCTGAGGCAGGAGGATCGCTTGAACCCAGGAGGGTCAAGGCTGCAGTGGGCCTTGATAGCACTGCCACTGTACTCCAGCCTGGGCAACAGAACAAAACCCTGTCTTTAAAAAACAAAAAACAAACAAAAAAAGCCCCATAATTTTAAGATAGGAAAGTCTGGCCTACTTAGTAGGCAAAATAAAAACCCTACATGCTGTAAAGGAATAACATGAATTACTTAGGCCTTGAATTTAAAGCTTTTGTATGATGAGATACCATAAATAAGCAAAAGACAAACGATAGGCTGGGATTAGTAAAAAAATCTGCAATGTGCATTACATATGTATAACAGACAAAAGAGCTCTTATATACTAATAGTTACAAAATGCCAACACAATTGAAAAATGGCCAGAGGCTCTACGTAAGCAAGTCATGAGAGAATCATATATAGCCAATTATCACAAAGATGTTGAACCCACCCAGACCTAAACTAGCAAAGATGCTAGTAAGATGAAAATGCAAATTAAGATGAATTATATTTTTAGTAGCAAAACCAAAAAAGATTATCATCAGGTTGTAAGGAGTTAATACAATTACTTGTGACACAGTAATTTTACTTTTAGGAATCTATTCTACATAAATACACATGTGCAAAGAAATATATGTGCAAGGATGTATACTAGAACATTATTGGGATTAACATGAAATTGGAAATTACCTAAATGTTAGAGGAATGGTTATATTAAGGTATATCTATACTGTGGAACACCTGTGATATTATGACTTGTAAGTTCCTCTGGCTTCCTGGAACAGCTCCTAAAATCCTTAAATCTCCAAAGTGGTAAGTATCTTTTGGATGCTAATGATGACTGATGGCTGGGGGATCCTGGATAGCCTCAACAGGGGAGCTGGTTGCCAGGGGTATCAACCATGAGATCAGTCCCATCCCCCAACCTTGGGGAAGGGAACGGGGTACTGAAGGTTGAGTTGATCACCAGTGACCAATGATGTAATCAATCATGCCTGTGTGATGAAACCTGCAAAAGAACCCAAAAGGACTAGCTTTGGAGAGCTTCTGGATAGCTGAACACACAGAGGTATGGGACCTGGATAGAGGTGCACCTAGGGAGGGCAGGGAAGCTCTGAACCCCTCTCCCCCTCCCCATGTCTTGCCCTATGCACTTCTTCCATCTGCCTCTTCATGTTTCCTTTGTAATAAACCAGTAAGTGGAGGTGTTTCCCTGAGATCTGTGAGCCGCCCCAAAGACGTCCCAAGCAAATTAATCAAACCCAAAGAGGAAGTCATGGCAACCTCTTTATACCCAGCTGGTCAGAATCACACATCACAACCTGGGGCTTACAACTGGCATCTGAAGGGGGGCAGTCTTGTGGAACTAAGCCCTTAGCCTGTGGGATCTGACGCTGTGTCCAGGTGGAAAGTGTCAGAACTGAACTGAATTAGAGGACACCCAGCTGGTGTCCACTGGAGAATTAGTTATTGGTGGTGAAAAATCCCCACACACGTATTGGTGCCCAAACGTGAAGTACTCCAGAGTGTCAGAGTAGGAAAAACCAAAGTATTTTTCCTATGCTTTGGTTTTTCCTATCTCCTTTAGAACTATGCAGCCATAAAAAGAATAGGTAAGCTATACATAATTATGACATGTCAGTTAAAAATAATATTAAGGGCTGGGCATGGTGGCTGATGCCTGTAATCCCAGAACTTTGGGAAGCCAAGGTGGAAGGACTGCTTGACCCCAGGAGTTTGAGACCAGCCTGGGCCAACCTGGCCTCTACAAAAAATAAATTAAAAAAATTAGCTGGGCATGGTGACACACACCTTAGTCCTAGCTACTCAGGAGGCTGAGGTGAGAGGATCACTTGAGTCTTGGGAGATTGAGGTGAGAGGATCACTTGAGTCTTGGGAGATTGAGGCTGCAGTGAGCCATGACTGAGCCACTGCATTCCAGCCTGGGTGTCAAGGTGAGACCTTGTCTCAAAAATAAGTAATAAAAAATAAAATAGAATTAAAATAACTAAGGGGACAAAAAAGAATATATGTAGTGATAAGAAAAGATCTTAGGTCTATGGTTCCCAAACTGCACTGAGGTCCCTGGGTTGGTGAGCAAACTCACAGAGGCACCACAGAATAATATAAATTTTCAAGAGACTTCATGTGTAATATTACCTTGAGGTTACTTCATGCTTTTAACATTAGATTGCAAAACATTCAATGAAGTCAATCTTTCCAAAGCTGGGTTTTGGTGGTGCTAGATTTGGAAAGTTTTTCCCCTCCAAACCTCATGTTAAAATTTAATCCCCTATGTTGGAGGTGTGGCCTAATAGGAAGTGTTTGGGCCATGAGGACAGATCCTTCATGAACAGATTAATGCCCTCTCTGGAGGGGAAGGGAATGAGTTCTCATTATTCATTCCCTGGAGACCTGGTTGTTAAAAAGAGCCTGACACCCCCCTGCTGTTCCTCTTGCTTCTTTTCTTGATATGTGATCTCTGCACATGCTTTGCCTTGCGAAGCTGCTGAGTGGAAGCAGCCTGAGGACCTCACCAGAAGCCCAGCTGATGGCAGCACCATGCTTCTTGTACAGCCTACACGGTTCTTGCAGAACCATGAGCTAAATAAATAACCTCTTTTCTTTATAAAGTAACCAGCCCAGGTATTACTTTATAAGCAACACAAAATGGCTTAACACAGGTGGTTACTATGATAAAAAGCAAATACTGTACAAAACTAACACTGAACAAGAAATGAGGATGCCAATTTCCAGTCTGATGCCAAGATATGAGGTATTGTGTAGTGCTCTATAGGCACTCACATCCCATTAGTATTTCTTAAATTAGTAATTTAAGAACAAAATTGCTGGGCGCGGTGGCTCACCCCTGTAATCCCAGCACTTTGGGAGGCCAAGGCAGGGGGCTCACGAGGTCAGGGGATCAAGACCATCCTGGCTAACACAGTGAAACCTCGTCTCTACTAAACATACAAAAAATTAGCTGGGCGTGGTGGTGGGTGCCTGTAGTCCCAGCTACTCGGGAGGCTGAGGCAGGAGAATGGCATGAACCCGGGAGGTGGAGCTTGCAGCGAGCCGAGATTGTGCCACTGCACTTCAGCCTGGGCGACAGAGTGAGACTCTGTCTCAAAATAAATAAATAAATAAAAAATAAAAATAAAAATCTTTATATTTGTCTTTTGGCCTAAGTATAGGGGCATTAAAAAAATTTACTGGCACACTAAGGATACTGTAAACCAAGAAAGTTTGGGAAACCTGTGTCTTAAGTGAAAAATGCAATGTAGAACAATTAACAATCTGAGTTGATAAACAATTATGATTATCTAGTGTACATTTACATTAATACATAGAATTTGGATTAAAAATGTCAACTCAGTTGACAATGACTACCTCTAGGTAGAATAAGAATTGAAGAACAGAGAAGGGATACTTTCAGTTCATTGCTCTCTATAGTTCTGTATTAAATCCTTTTCTACCAGGAAGTATCTGCAGTACAACTGCAAATTTGGTTTTTAATTTTATATTGCATCTGTTCCTGCAGAGAAACCCATAACAAAACAATGGCAAAAGAAAAAGAAAAACATTACAACACCGTTTTCTATGCAGGTATACATAATAAAGTTCAAAAAAGTTTGGAACTTCCTGGCAGCCAAAGGGGAAAGAAATCTGTTAAACTACAGAATTTTTATTACAGGTCAAGCATCCCTAATCCAAAATCCAAAATGCTCCAAAATCCAAAACTTTTTGAGTGCCAACATGATACTTAAAGAAAATGCTTGGCCAGGCACAGTGGTTCACACCTGTAATCCTAGCACTTTGGGAGGCCAAGGCAGGAGGACAACTTGAGGCCAAGAGTTCAAGACCAACCTAGCCAACATAGCAAGATCCCCGTGTCTCTCTCTCTCTCTCTCTATATATATATACATTTATAAATATTTATATAAAATATATACAAGTATTATATATATATTTCCATATATGCAAAGGAAATGCTCCCAAGAGCATTTTGGATTTTGGATTGAGGATGCTCAACCAGTAAGTATAATGCAAATGTTCAAAATTCCAAAAAAATCTGAAATCTGAAACACTTTTGGTTCTAAGCATTTTGGATAAGGATATTTCTATATCAGAAAGGAATGGGAATGCCAATTCAGTGGAAATGTAAACTAAGAGGTGGGAGGGGCAACTAATATTTCTTTACTCTGCAGGTGCTTTGCTTGCTTCATGACTTTGACTTTCAACAATCCTTCAAGGGAGGCATTAGTTCATCATTACACCTGAAGAAGTCGGAGGTTCAAAGACCTCACAACAAGCAAGTGGAAAAGTAAATGTTCAAATTAGGTCTTCTTTTCCAAAAATCCTGTTACATAACAGTATAATGCAATGTAGCTAAGCCAAGAACTGTGGTCATCTGCATTGAGATTTGTTTCTGTTAAGATAATTAAAATGACTAATGGGCCAGGTGCAGTGGCTCACGCCTGTAATCCCAGCATTTTGGGAGGCCGAGACGTGATCCACCTGATCCACCTGAGGTCAGGAGTTCGAGACCAGCTGGGCCAACGTGGAAAAACCCCATCTCTACTAAAAATACAAAAATTAACCAAGCAAGGTGGCGCATGCCTGTAATCCCAGCTACTCGGGAGGCTGAGGCAGGAGAATCGCTTGAACCCAGGAGGCGGAGGTTGCAGTGAGCCAAGATCATGCCACTGCACTCCAGCCTGGGTGATGGAGTGACATTCCATCTCAATAAATAAATAAAATAAAATAAAATAAAACGACTGATTTAACTTGAAAAAATACTAACAATAATTCATTTTAAATTTTATAATTTTTGACTAAAAAATATACAAAAGGAAGTCAAAGTCAGTCTCTCCACCTCTGCTCTCATTCCCACTCATTAGAGATAACTTGTTTTCTCATTCCAGAAATTTTCTATGCATTTATATACACATAATACTTTTGTTTTACCTAAATGTGATCATACTGCTTTGCCATATTTCCCCCCACATAATAGATTTTGGACTTATTCAGCCAGAGAAAATCTCATTAGACCTCACTGATATACAGTTAAGAGGGCTTTTATTTTGCTTTTACTTTTTTTTTTTTTTTTCGAGAGGGAGTTTTGCTCGTTTCCCAGGCTGGAGTGCAATGGCGCGATCTCGGCTCACCACAACCTCCGCCTTCCGGGTTCAAGCGATTCTCCTGCCTCAGCCTCCCAAGAAGCTGGGACTACAGATGGGTGCCACACGCCCAGCTAGTTTTTATTTTTATTTTTTGAGATGAAGTCTCACTCTGTCGCCCAGACTGGAGTGCAGTGGTGCAATCTCGGCTCACTGCAACCTCTGCCTCCCAGGTTCAAGTGATTCTCCTGCCTCAGCCTCCTGAGTAACTGGGACTACAGGCGCCTGCCACCACGGCTGGCTAATTTTTGTATTTTTAGTAGAGACAGGGTTTCATCATATTGGCCAGGCTGGTCTCAAATTCCTGACCTTGTGATCTGCCCGCCTCGGCCTCCCAAAGTGCCAGGATTACAGGCATGAGCCACCAGGTCCAGGCTAATTTTTTTTTATTTTTAGTAGAGATGGGGTTTTACCATGTTGGCCAGGATGGTCTCGATCTCTTGACCTCATGATCCACCTGCCTTGGACTCCCAAAGTGCTGGGATTACAGCCATGAGCCACCGTGCCCAGCCTATTTTGCTTTTATTTTCTATTACAAACAATGCTGCAATGAATATCCTGCTTGTCTACTGAAATTAACATTTTAAACTGATACTCTGGGGTTGAAAATACATCATGAAGTCCTCGGGTTTTGTTCACCTCTGATCATACAGTTGCATTTTCCATTACATGTATTTGTTTCCTTCCTCTGCTACTAGATTTTAAGTTCTTAGCAGAGTTTGTCTTACTTACATCTGAATCTCTCCAAGAATGTCTTGATCACAATAGCTATTCAATAAATGTGTTTCAATTTTGCTAACATTGGAAGATGAGCTAGAAAAACAGTAGGTGTTATTTTCCCTCCCATTTGTCTTACCCTTTCTAATTTTTATATTTTCTATTCTAAAACATAGCAAATATGTCTCACTTTTTAATCATTAAAAATACTAACATTTCAAAAATAAGAAATACTTACTTGTATTCAGAAACTGGGAAAAACACCTTTAAGATGGTTATTACCACAGCTGCTCCTGTAATTCCAACCACCATGATGTTCAAAAACTGAAAGAATACTGGGAAAACGTTGCTCCAGAACCTACACAGATCTTTTCTAAACTTTTCCATCCACTGACACATTACCTGAAAAAGGAATTTCGATTAGATATGCAAGTTGCATCAATCTCTAAGAATAAACTTTAAATTTTTTAATGTTTTAGCTTTGGGATGATAAAAATATTCTATATTTTGATTGTGCTGGTAGTTACATGGGTGACTACATTTGTCAAAACTAATTGTATATTTTAAATGGTGATTTTATTTTAGAATGTACCTCAATGAAGTTACTTACAACTTTAAAAATTATGTTCTAACAATACAAGCACAAAAATGTTAATAGCCTGTAAAATTATTTATATTGTTTTCTAACTACAAATCAAGTGAAAATAATTGCTAATTGACAAGAGATTCGTTAGGCTAGTCCATTATAAACGAAATGGAGCAGAGTCAACTGTTTCCAGTACCTAGAGCACAAGAGAAGGAAGAGAAAGACAAACATATTAGAAAATTTTAGAATACATGGGAAGTTCACTGTGTACAAAACATGTTTCTATACTTTAAGAGCGAGAGCAGAACTTAAGGTCGGCACTGATGGCACGGACTATGAAGACAGTCTGCTCTGGGGCTGAGCTGCTAAGGGAGGTGAGGTAGACAGGGTAAAGGTGCTACAGTCCAGACTGCTGAAGTGACCTCAAATATGCAAGCCTGACCTTCAGTGAGAACTACTACTCCTTTAATACCAACCATAGACCCTGCTCATTTAAAATGAATTTTGGGTAGGAGTCTACTTAATATACAGAGAGATATCGGGATACTCTCTGAACCCATGAATATATTCCTGGTAAGCAGTATAAATGTCACAGGTAACATCTGAGAAATTAGTAGGTGCCAATGCATATTTATATGTAGTACCCAACTTATTTAATCCTTGTAACAACTTCATGAGATACTACTTTACACTGCTATTCAGATTAAGTGGGTGCCCCATTGTACAGATAAAGAAACTGAGGGTAGAGAGATTAAGTGCCCCAAAGTGGGAGTACGGGGAAATAAAGAGTAATTATCGGCCGGGGATGGTGGCTCATGCCTATAATCCCAACACTTTGGGAGGCCAAGATGGGCGGATCACTTGAAGTCAGGAGTTTGAGACCAGCCTGGCCAACATGGTGAAACTCCATCTCTACTAAAAATACAAAAATTAGCTGGGCGTGGTAGCGTGTGCCTGTAATCCCAGCTACTCAGGAGGCTGAGGTGGGAGAATCACTTGAACCCAGGAGGTGGAGGAGTAAGCCGAGATCACACCACTGCACTCCAGCCTAAGTGACAGAGTGAGACTCCATCTCAAAGAAAAAGAAAAAATTTGTTCAAGATCACACAACTAGTCAGCGGCAGAACCAGGTTTCAAGCCTGGGCAGGCTGACTCTAGGAAGTATATTCTCAACCACCTGAGCTGAATCACTGGGCAAGATCCTGGGGGCACAATGCATATGTGTGTATGCGAGGTAGCGGGTACAGAATAAACACAGAAATCTGGATATGAGAAATAACTGTGGAATTTATAATTCCAACCAAATGAAATCCAGCACCTTGATAATCATGATCTGACTACAATATTATTAAACAAAGCTCGAAGAGGAAAATAGGAATACTAAAAATATCACATTAAGACCAAGATGAGTCCATTATCACCAATGCTCTACAGTTCCATTCTTCAGGATTTCCACTCCATTTTAAATGCTAGGGTCGATTTTCTTCATCTTAACCATGAATGCTTATGATAACACCAAATACTTGATTTACCTTATATGAAGATGGCGGCTCTGCTCTGAGAGGAGTTTCAGGTAACTTGCCAGGTAAAACATCTTCATCTACAGTGGTTTCCACATTCCTGATAAGATACTGGCTAGTGGTTTGCAGTGAACTAACACTTTCTACCCAGGAGAAAGAGCAACGTTACCAAAATGCTGGTGTCTTATCCTACTAGTCCTAAGATTACGATACCAATAGCATTTAGGATAGTAAGAACACATATTTTACCATGGGAGAAAAAATTAACACATCTGAATGTTCACTGATTTAAATGTCAGAAGAGAACTATAAACTAAGACACGTATAAGGAGCTAAAGCAGTTATGATTCTGTCACATAGAAAGCCAAAATTTTAGAAGTTCTATGTTTCTGTGAAAAAATGAATAGTTCTTCCTCTGAATGAACCTTTACAATAGTCTTATTACATATTTTGTGATCAGTACCCAGAGTAAGAGTAATTACTGAAAAATGTCACTATGCAACCAGCACTGATCACATTCTACTAATGCTCCAAATAGAGTCCTAAAGTCCTTAAATGGACATATGAAGCAATACATGTTATGAAGCATTTTTTTAAACAAGCTCATTTCCAAACATATTAACTATTAAAGATAAATAGCAACTTTTGCAAATAGTGTAAAAAATAACAAAGTTCAAGAGTATATAAAGCTACCAACTAAATAAATAATCTCCTTAATACTTTAAATAATGGTCTTTTAAGTTACCTTTTTTGGAGAGGTTAGGAAGGGTAAATAAAATGTCACTGTCTCGAGAAATAGAGTAGAGCATGCTTTCTTCCAAAGGGAGGGTATAGTTTGAATGTCTGAGTACTCCCCGGTTCTTAACTAAAATATCAATTTCAGTGACATCCTTTTGCTGAACCTGTGAAAGAAAATATAATTATTCTTTATTTTAAATAGTAGCACAGCCCCATAAAAATTTAAAAGCAAATTTTCCTCCCAGATTTATATAACTAAAACATGTGTCCTATTCAGACAATTACTCTTTTTTTTTTTTTTTGAGATGGAGTTTCGCTCTTGTTGTTGCCCAGGCTGGAGTGCAATGGTGCGATCTCAGCTTGCCGCAACCTCCGCCTTCTGGGTTCAAGCGATTCTCCTGCCTCAGCCTCCCGAGTAGCTAGGATTACAGGCATGCGCCACCATGCCCAGCTAACTTTGTATTTTTAGTAGAGACAAGGAGTTTCTCCATGTTGGTCAGGCTGGTCTAGAACTCCTGACCTCAGGTGATTCGTCCACCTTGGCCTCCCAAAGTGCTGGGATTACAGGTGTGAGCCACCATGCCCAGCTAACAATTACTATTTATTTCCCCGTACTCCCACTTTGGGGCACTTAACTTGCAACTTTAATAATATTCCTGTCCTGCTTTAACACTTACTATTATAAGCTTAATCTCGATTCTACTTCATTTACACACAGAGACTTCATTTACCATAGAGGAAATGGTAGCAGAACTATGAGCCAAATTGAATCTCTTTGCTTACTTTCTATTTAATAATGTCTGTACATTTTAAAGTGATACAAACATGTATGAATATGGGAAATTTTAAAAATACATTTCAAATGCTAAAATAAATATACAAAAATTCTAAATAATTGGATATAGGCAACATTAGGCACCTTCCTTATCAAGTCGGAAACAAATAAAATAACTGAACACATGCATAATATCTAGCACAAATCTAAATATCATTTAATTCCCAATTAATAAACATACTATCTTACTTGTTTTCCATCAATCTCTACTACCTCTTCTTGAATGACAATTAGTTGCAAACTGGAACCAGATGTCATAGGCCACTCATGAACTAAAATCCTTACACTGACAATTCCAAAATATTCTTTTTCCTCCAAATTTTCAAGATTTTCATTCTTCACTATAAAAAAAAAAGTAGTGACACCTTTGAACAAAGATTACCACCAAATCTGTGAGTGAGTGTGATTATTTTGATGACATTTACATGGAACAAGACAGTTGAAAACCCATTTCTTTGGCTTTCTTCATCCCTGACCTCAATGCTGTTTCAGATTTATTAAAAACAAAGACAATCTGACAAATCTTTATGACTGCTTACACTCATTTGAAAGGGTAAAATGTGTTGATCTTTAGACTTTGTATGAAATACCACACTAGCAACATCTTTCCTATTCTTTTTTTTTTTTTTTTTTTTTTGAGATGGAGTCTTGCTCTGTCGCCCAGGCTGGAGTGCAGTGGTGCCACCTTGGCTCACTGCAACCTTTGCCTCCTGGGTTCAAGGGATTCTCCTGCCTCAGCCTCCCAAGTAGCTGGGTTTACAGGCTTGCACCACCATGCTCAGCTGTTTTTTTGTATTTTTAGCAGAGATAGGGTTTCACCATATTGGCCGGGCTGGTCTTGCTAACTCCTGACCTCAAGTGATTCACCCACCTTGGCTGCCCAAAGTGCTGGGATTACAGGCGTGAACGACCACGCCTGGCCCATCTTTCCTATTCTTTTATACAGGTTGGCCATGAGGAACCAACATGGCACAACTATAAAGCCAGCCAGAAGATACAGCCAATCCCACGTTTTAACATAATAAGCACATACATTCATCCATCCACAAAATCCTGTGAGAGAAGATGCCCAAGCAGTAAGAACATTGAGTTTTTTAATCAATCCTTTCCCCGATTAGTGACTCATTACTATTAGAGAGAGCAGGAATGGGGAAAGAGGGTGGGGGAGGCCTGTCATTTCTCTCTGGTAATCGATAATGGGGTAGGACTAGCTATTGTCCACGTTCTTCTCTAGCTAGGAAACCTCTACTCCTGCTCCAGTAGAAACGGGGTGTAGTAGCTGCAGCTGGTTTACAGAGCCAACGGCTACTCTATTAAGGTAGAAGTGCTATCGAAAAAGATAAAACAACATACACCAATGCACCTGTCACAGATGGAGCATTTTATTTCTATCCCTCAAATAATCTGAAGATTTTTGCCAAACAGGAATCCAGATATACAATCTGAATGCACACCCAGCTGTTTAGTCTGATTCTGTGCATCTATAGGGCTACTTCCTTTGTCTGGAATATCTCAATATCTAGTTCATTAACTACTTACTATTACAAGATATACCTACCTATTCTCCCCTGCTTTAGTCCCCGCCGCCAAACCATTCAGACAACATGCCAAGCTCGTCTCACTGTGACGTGGTTTTCAGTCCACAGCCTCCTGCTCACACACCTTTAGTGGCACTTCTGTGAAGTTCCCGGTCCTCTCACTGGTCCTCCTCAGGCTCCTCATCTGGCCCCTCGCTGCTCCTCTCTCTAGTGTGCCTAATCCTTCATGCCCTTTGAAAAGCACCACTGTCAAAGGTACCCCCTCTCTCATGGTCCATCCCCGTGTTTTAACTGACCATTACCACCCGTGGGTCTCCTTCGTGGAACAGCAGGCGCTGTGTCAGCATGTCCGTAAGCCCAAAGACTAAGGTACAGGAGACTCAATGGGTGAGAAAATGCAGTCATAAAAATACACCCAAGTGGCAATTCTTCAGCCTGCAAATTTGGTACCTGATATAGTTTGGATGTTCCCCGCAAATCTCATGTTGAGATGTAATTCCCAATGTTGGAGGCGGGGCCTGGTGGGAGATGTTTGGGCCATGGGGGCAGATCCCTCATGGCTTGGGGTTACGGCACCCCACTGCCACTCTTGCTCTCTCTTGCTCCTGCTCTGCCATGTGAGATACTGGCTCCCCCTTTGCCTTCCACCATGAGTAAAAGCTTCCTGACGCCTCCTTAGAAGCTGAGCAGATGCTGGTGCCATGCTTCCTGTACAGCCTGCAGAACCATGAGCCAATTAAACCTCTTTTCTTTATAAATTACCCAGTCTCAGGTATTTCTTTATAGCAATGTGAGAAGAGCCTCATACAGTACCTCTAATACAGCATAAAATTAAATAAAAAACAACAAAGCCCTTCATATTGACTTCCTTACTGTGGTAGGCGGCTTTCAAAAATGCCCCTCAATGACCCTTGCCTCTAAGGAGTCAGACATTTCTGCAATTCCTCCCTCAAGTGGGCTGGACCTAGTGACTAGTCAGTTAGTTACCTATCTATCTATCGATCTATGAATGATTTTTTTTTCTTTTTTTGTTCTTTTGAAAGAGACAGCCTTGCTATCTTGCCTAGGCTGGTCTTGAACTCCTGGCCTCAAGTGATCCTCCAGCCTTAGCCTCCCAAATAGCTGGGATTACAGGCATGAGCCAATGCACACAGCCTAGTGACTCGTTTCTAACAAACAGAGCATAGCCCAAGTGATGGAATGTTACTGCCACAATTAGATTATTAATGGCTATGACTTCTGTCTTGCTAGTACTCTTTTTCTTACTGGCAGTCTCTCTTGTCCTCTCGATGAAGCTAGTTGCCATGTTGTGAGATGCTCTATGGGGAGCTTCGTGTGACAAGGAACTGAGGAAGACCTTCAACCAACATCTGGTGAGGAACTGAGGCCTCAGTTCAAGAGCTCAGAAGGAACTGACTCCTGCCAACAACCACATGAGTGAGCTGGGAAGCAGATTTTTCCCAGCTGAGCCCTGACGTGATGGCAGCCTTTTGAGAACCACAGGACCCTGCTAAGCCAAGCTCAGATTCTCGACCTACAGAAACTATGAAATAATAAATATTGTCTTAGGCCACTGATTTCTGGGTTAAACTGTTATGCAGCAATAAACAAATACACCAACTAAAGAAAAAGTTTCTTTAAAGAATTAAAGAAGATTTGTTGTTGTTGCTGCATTTAATGTTTTGAAGATTCTTGCTGTAACTGGATAAGATGAGCATTTATTTCAGTTATCATAGAAACAAACTCAGTGCAATGACTGGGATGACTAAAAGATGGCCATAAGAGAGGAGACAGGCTGTATTCCACGTCCAATTCCCAGTGAATACAACAACAAAAGAATTATTATTTCAGTAGTACTAGCACTTCCTTTCTTAGCTACCATGGATCAGCTTGCAGCACACCAACCCTCTTGCAATGAACCACTTGCAAAGAACTGCTAGAAAAGATGTAAAAAATACACACCCACACATACACACAAAACCTACATCTGTGTAGAGGCATCAGAAGCTAAAGACAGCCAGCACTTGAAGGGCCAAGAAAAGAGCTCCCTGAGGTGAGTACAATATCCTATGTGATTTCTTCCCGCAAAGGCATTTGCCAACTCCCAGACAGAACAGGTGGAGAGGTTGAAAAGCTGAGTAGAAAGCAACGACTAGGAGGCAAAAAAGCTCGACAAAGTGTCTGGCAGTCTCACCCAGCAGGGGAGAAAATGAAGTGTTTAAATGTTAAAACAAAAATGCTAAGCTATGCTTCCACAGCCAGCAAAAATAGCCTTCTAAAATGAAGGCAAAGAGATGTTTTCAGACAAATAAAACCTCAGACCATTCACTGCTAACAAACCTGTACTGAAAGAAATACCAAAGGGAATTCTTTAGGCCGAAGGAAAATGACAACCAGGGCACAATGCATGTGTGTGAGGGCAAGGCAGGAGTTGCAGAATGTACAGAGAAATAGGGATAGAAGAAAGAATTTTGGAACTTGAAATTCCAACCAAATGATATAGAGTGGAGCACAGATAGGAAGGAATAAAGAGCAATGAAAAAGGTAACTATGATGGTAAACACACATGAATATTGGACTACATAAAACAATAATTATGTCACATGGGGTTTAAGAACACAAAGAGTTAAAATATATAATAATAACCCAAAGGCAAAAAGGGAATAAATGGAATTTAAGTGTTCTAAGGTTCTTGCATTGTTTGGGAAGTGATAAAAGTACAAATTTATTTATTTTTATTTTTTAAATTCATTTTTTGAGACAGGGTCTCACTCTGTCACCCAGGATGGACTACAGTGGTACAATCACAGCTTACTGCAGCCTCTATCTCCTGAGCTCAAGGGATCCTTTCACCTCAGCCTCCTAAGTAGCTGGGAAAACAAGCCTGCACCACCACACTGGGCTCATAGGTTTCCCTATGTTGCCCAGGCTGGTCTCGAACTCCCAGACTGAAGTGATCCTCCAGCTTTGGCCTCCCAAAGGGCTGGGAATACAGGCATGAGCAACCATGCCCAGCCAAAAGTACTAATCTATTGATAGCAAGGGTAACCACTAAAAGAATAGTAAAATTACGTAAAACCAAGACAGAAGGGAACTATGATACCAAAAATAACTAACCTAGAAGAAGGCAAAGGGGGAAGAAAAAGAAACACAGAACAGTTGGGACAAAGAGGAAACAAGAAGGAGGATTTAAATCCAAATGTATCAGTAATTTTATTAATGTAAATAAGTTAAAATCCCAACTAAAAGACAGACTGACAGAAACAACAAGTGGGCCGGGCACGGTGGCTCACGCCTGTAATCCCAGCACTTTGGGAGGCCGAGGCAGGCGGATCACCTGAGGTCAGGAGTTCGAGACCGGCCTTGACCAATATGGTGAAACCCCATCTCTACTAAAAATACAAAAATTAGCCGGGCATGGTGGCGGGCACCTGTAATCCAAGCTACTCGGGAGGCTGAGGCAGGAGAATCACTTGAACCCAGGAGGAGGAGGTTGCAGGGAGCCGAGATCGCGCCACTGCATTCCAGCCTGGACAACAAGAGCAAAAACTCCATCTCAAAAAAAAAAAAAAAAAAATCCTATGTATATTCTTTGTATTTGCTATTTCATCCAAATAATATGGCATATTCCAATGCAACATACCTGCTTACCTTTAAACAACTCAAAATTTTTAAAGGTTAAAAAGAAAATGTTCTACTGACATAAGGGTAGAAGAAACTGAATACTAGATAATCAGACAATTCATTTTCTTGGCTCTTGCTATCCCATTTACTACCTTTATGCACATTTTTTTTTTTTTGAGCCAGGGTCTTACTCTGTTGCCCAGGCTGGAGTACAGTGGCGATCCTCCCACCTCTCAGGAGTAGCTGGGACTACAGGCACACATCACCACACCCAGCTAATTTATTTTTGTATTTTTTGCAGAGACAAGGTTTTACCATGTTGCCCGGGCTGGTCTCGAACTCAGGGCTCAGGCAGTTCACCCGCCTCAGCCTCCCAAAGTGCTAGAGCCGCCATGCCCCGCCTCTATGCACATTCTTACATCGTTATCTACTTACCAGAAATACAGTTTCATCAATACTGATCTTATGGAAAATAGTGAATATGCGAGAAGCAGCCAATATAAAACAAGAACAGAGTTTTAAACACATTAGTGTTATTGTACATTCTGATAATGATCTGTGTGTGTGTTTTAGAGATGGGGTCTTGTTCTGTCACCCATGCTGGAGTGCAGTGGCATGATTATAGCTCACTGCAGCCTCAAACTCCTGGGATCTTGCTTCAGTGATGTATATTTTTACTTTATTTTTATTTTTTTTGTGACGGAGCCTTGCTCTGTTGCTCAGGCTAGAGTGCAGTGGCGTGATCTCAGCTCACAGCAGCCTCCGCCTCCTGGGTTCAAACGATTCTCCTGCCTCAGCCTCCTGAGTAGCTGGGATTACAGGCGCACACACCACATTTTCAGTAGAGATGGGGTTTCACCGTGTTGGCCAGTTTGGTCTCAAACTCCTGACCTCTCGTGATCTGCCCACCTCGGCCTCCCAAAGTGTTGGGATTACAGGCGTGAGCCACTGCACCCAGCCTATTTTTACTTTAAAATGGAAATATATAACATCCAAAAATTGTTTTGCTAATTTAGTATTATTAAAAACAGAACAGGCCAGGCACAGGGGCTCACATCTGTAATCCCAGCACTTTGAGAGGCAGAGGAGGGTAGATGGTTTGAGGCTAGGAGTTCAATCAAGACCAGCCTGGCCAACATGGCGAAACCCTGTCTCTACTAAAATTACAAAAGTTAGCCGGGTATGGTGGCACATGCCTGCAGTCCCAGCTACTTTGGAGGCTGAGGAATGAGAATCATTTGAACCTAGGAGGTAGAGGTTGCAGTGAGCTGAGATCGCACCATTGCACTCCAGCCTGGGTGACAGAGCAAGACTGTCTCAAAAAACAAACAACAACAACAACAACAACAAACACACAAAAAACAGAGCAATTATGGAAATAATTTAGTAATACTCACCTATCAAAGTCTGACAGCTTATTCGGGTTACACCACTATTTACAGGTAAGTCATTTACATACACCTGTCCACTCTCATAGGTTATGTTAAGAACAACCTTAAAATAAAGCAGCATATACATTAATTCCAATATTTATAAACAATAGCAAACTCTTCAAGTCAAAAAAGATTAACTAAATGAGACGTGCAAGTTAAAAAATCAAATAAGCTGCATAGCACTTAGCTAAATTATATATTAAAACCAGAAAAGGAGACAAACCTGCTGTTTAGATATGTCCCCATCATCTTTCAGTGTAGTTACATTAATTCTGATGCCGTCCTGTAAAACAAGTATTGTGTAAATTGGAAGGTGTGCATCTCACAGATTGAGAACAACGTGGCTTTCTCTTTTCCCTCCAATTGTATCTATTGTACAATCACTTATAACAGCATTAAGAGAGTTTAAAAGATCATCTTTTCCATTTTATAGCCATTTTTCCACCCTTATTTACAATTCCAATTATTTATTTATTTATTTATTTATTTTTTGAGAGTCTCACTTTGTCGCCAGGCTGGAGTGCAGTACCGCAATCTGGGCTCACTGCAATCTCCATCTCCTGGGTTCAAGCAATTCTCCTGCCTCAGCCTCCCGAGTAGCTGGGATTACAGGCATGCACCACCACACCCAGCTAATGTTTGTATTTTTAGTAGAGATGGGGTTTCACCATGTTGGCCAGGATGGTCTTGAACTCCTGATCTCGTGATCCGCCCTCCTCGGCCTCCCAAAGTGCTGGAATTACAGGCGTGAGTCACCGCGCCCGGTCTAATTTTTTATAATATATACTTTTTCTATTTACTTGTGAAAAGTATCACATGAGTATATAATATGCAAATATAGAGTTTAAAAGATGAGCACTCCTGTAAGTACCACCGAGGATAAAATATAAAATATTACCCCTACCTTGGCAGGCTCTGCATGATTGCCCTCTATCCCCCCAGAAGGAATCCTATACCCAATTCCATTTGAATCATTTCTTGCTTTTCTTTATAGTTTTACTACCTGTGTCTCTCTCTCTAAACAATATGTTGCTTAGTTTTATCTGTTTCTGAGCTTTATGTAAGTGGGATAACAGTACACATGTATTCTTCCGTAACTGTAGTTGATACTGTTGATGCACATAGCTGTAATCACAGTAGTCCATCTCTGACTACCAATTTACTTATTTATTCTATTACCCACGGACATCTGAGTTGTTTCCAACTTTTTTCCTTTTATAAATAAAGTTGCAATGACTTTTTTTTTTTTTTTTTTGAGAGGGAGTCTCGCTCTGTTGCCCAGGCTAGAGTGCAGTGGCGATCTTGGCTCACTGCAATCTCCGCCTCCCGGGTTCAAGTGATTCTCCTGCCTCAGCCTTCTGAGTAGCTGGGATTACAGGCATGCATCACCACACCTGGCTAATTTTTGTATTTTTAGTAGAGACGGGGGTTTCACCACGTTGGTCAGGCTGGTTGCGAACTCCCGACCTCGTGATCCACCCACCTCGGCCTCCCAAAGTGCTGGGATTACAGGCGTGAGCCACCGCACCTGACCAAAGTTGCACTGACCCTTTCTTGAGTGTGTTTCTTATACAAGCATCTGTAATGCTCCAATTTTATTGCCTCTCAAGGTATTATCAAAAGCAGGATACCCAAATATTGAAGATGACATGCTTTATATACAGAAGCAAGCACTATTTTAAGAAGTATTTACCACTGACCACAGGAACTACAATCTATCATTTCTAAATCAAATTCTTTCCTAAGTTTATTCACAAATAGACATTGTTATTCTGGAATAAAAACAATACTCTCAAATACTTTTTCTTTGAGGTTGTATTAACTTAGAAAATAGGAAAACTGTTCATAAACATCAAAAAGAATATACAAGTATATCTGCTGGCCCTGAGTATCCTAAATACTTTATATATAATTTCCCACAAATGAGAGAATAAGACTGATGAAATTTCATGAGGTCGAGCTGATTCCAGGAATAATTTGTGAAAGAGGATTCATACCACACAAGACCAACATCATACATTTAGGGTGACTTTGGTTCACTTCCCAACTAGGAGCCTAGGAAGCTTTCTAACTAGAAATTCCTCAGAACTAGCCAGCTTTTTCCTGGCTCACCTTGATCTAGACGGTTAGAACCAATAGTGCATCTAAAACAAATCCACATTCAATGAGCTATGAGATTGATAGCTACATTGTTTTGTGTCCAAATTCAAGTCATATGGATCTCCTTTGCAAACTAGAGAATGTATTAATTATAAACTATTATTCTTCTAACAGCCCAGAAGTAAGCCTCCAATGTTGTTCTAGGAAACCATTTTATAGCTTCTGCCTTTTAGCAGTGAACACTATATTGTTAGCAAGTTACTGAACTTTATATATATATATATATATATATATATATATATATATATATATATATATATATATATATATAAAACCTACCTAGTAAAATTACAGAGTTTGAAAAAGACAATTAACAGACACAAGCACACTATATTTTCCAGAGAACCAAGTACAACAAAATTATTTTCTGGTCTTTCTGAATGATTTCACTGCAAAAGGGAATCACACTCCTTACTGCCCCCTGGCCAGGAGTTCAGAGCCAGGTCATATTTATTGTTCTTGAGAACTTCTGATTGAACTGGAAGTTCAGGCTCGTAAGCCAGGGTTGCATATACTTAAAAAGTGCTTGGGGACACTGAAAAGTTTCTCCCTAAAAATCTTCAATTCTTCTAATTCCTTTACTCATAGGATGCCCACTGGGGACATAAGTGTCTTCCTAAGAATAAAGGTAATAGACAGCTGGTTTAAAATACGTCTGAGCGAAATATACAGTTATGCATACAAGAAAGTAAGTGTCCTCCGAATGCCTCTCTTTGGTGACCAAGTTATTTTAGTATTAGAAGAATTTACTATAAAGACTTTTATTTTTCGGTCGGGCATGGTGGCTCATGCCTGTAATCCTAGCACTTTGGGAGGCTGAGGCGGGTGGATCACCTGAGGTCAGGAGTTTGAGACCAGCTAGCCAACATGGTGAAACCCCGTCTCTACTAAAAATACAAAAATTAGCCAGGCATGGTGGCACGTGCCTGTAATCCCAGCTATCTGGGAGGCTGAGGCAGGAGAATCGCTGGAACCCGGGAGGCAGAGGCTGCAGTGAGCCGAGATTGCACCACTGCACTGTGCAGGATGGGGGACAGAGCGAGACTTCACGTCAAAAAAAAAAAAAAAAAGTGACCGGGCGCAGTGGCTCACACCTGTAATCCCAGCACTTTGGAAGGCTGAGGCGGGTGGATCACTTGAGGTCAGGAGTTCGAGACCAACCTAGCCAACATGGTGAAACCCCATCTCTACTAAAAATATAAAAAAATTAGCTGGGCGCAGTGGCGGGAGCCTGTAATCCCAGCTACTTGGGAAGCTGAGGCAGGAGAATCACTTGAACCTGAACCCAGGAGGCAGAAGTTGCAGTGAGCCGAGATCATGCCAGTGCACTCCAGCCTGGGAGACAGAGTGAGACTCTCTCTCAAAAATAAAAAACAAAAAATAAAAAAATAAAAATAAAAATACAAAAACTAGCCAGGTGTGGTGGCACGCGCCAGTAGTACCAGCTACTCAGGAGGCTGAGATAGGAGAATCACTTGAACCTGGGAGGCAGAGGCTGCAGTGAGCCGAGATCATGCCACTGCACTCCAGCCTGTGTGAGACAGAGCGAGATATTCCGTCTCAAAAAAAAAAAGACTTTTATTTTTCAATCTTATGTGCAATCTTGTATTACCTCAACTTCTGACAACTGCATACATAAAAACAGAAAAATGCTTATAGTCCAATAAATCTGAGTCATCGGAAGAAGGCAGAATTTTCCTGACTTCAACCAGTTTAATTTATATCAGACTGGAAACGAGGATGGACAGATGTGATAAAGCTAGTAATGTTAAGGGTAGTCTGGTTCTGCACTGTTCAATATGGTACACACTAATCACTTGTGACTATTTACATTTACATTGATTAAAATTAAATAAAAATTTAAAAACAGTTCCTCACTGGCACTGGCCACATTTCAAGTGCTCAGTGGCCACAGCAGTCTAGTGGCTACCCACAAGGTGAGAAAAGACATAACCATCAAGGCAGAAAGTTCTACTGGACAGCACTTACACAATATGTGGGACCACTGTGAAATTCTTTCCTATTGGAAATGTTTCACAATAAGACGTTGAGAAGACTTAGATCAAGGGACTTCAGTTTCCCACAGACACAGTCCAGGTAATGAGATTCTCTTTCTAGTTGTTCAGCACTCATTTAATCTGTGAAACTTTTTGTTGTTGAGACAGGCTCTTGCTATGTTAACCAGGCTTATCATCCAACACCCAACTCTTGGTCTCAGGCAATCCTCTGGCTTTGGATTCCCAGTAGCTGGGATTACAGGCGTGAGCCACTGCACCCAGCGTAATATGTGAATTTCCGAGTTTAGATCTGGACTTTCTGAAAGTGAAATGAAGGCCCAAGAAGGGAGAACTGAAATAGTAAAATCATCACTAAGAGCCAGCCGACAATGCAGTGTATTTTAAGCCTGCAGTCAAAATGTATTTTTCGCAGATTATATAGACGTAAACATCTCATTGACACATAGGTGTCAATTATGAATCTTTAAAACTTGAAAAATAGGAAAATAATGTCCGTATTTCCAGAACTTTTTAGAACTATTTCACTTTTATTTGGTCCCTTGGTGCCTGTCCATCACATTCCTATTGTTTAACCAGATGCAACTGTGGTCCACATATAATTTCAGATATAGGTGGTTCTTATGGCAGGCAATGTCGTGGCTTCTTGGAATGCCCTGCAGAACTGAGACATGCTCATCATTTTTGTACCCACGTGGGGTAATGTCATTATCCTAAAACGTTAACACTTGGTTTTTTTGTTTTTGTTTGTTTGTTTTGTTTTGAGCTCCCTCACCCAGGCTGGAATGCAGTGGCACGATCTCGGCTCACTGCAACCTCTGCCTCCCGGGTTCAAGCAATTCTCCTGTCTCCGCCTCCCGAGTAGCTGGGACTACAGGCACCTGCAACCACGCCCAGCTAATTTTTCTATTTTTAGTAGAGACGGGGTTTCACCTTGTTGGTCAAAGTGACACTTACCGTGCCCTTCGCCTTTGTATTTAGAGTGTTCATATTCAAGTCTTGACTAGGAAGAGGTGTACCGACATAGTTTCTTGTCATTCTCAGAACACTTGCTCTTTAAAATATTCAAACTTTTCCCTACCATTCTACTGAAAAAAGGCTGATACTGGCCTAGGTAGGCACGACTCTACGGCAGGAATGGTGAGCATCAGCCACGTTTTAATGTTAGGATGCCTCGATTCTCCCACCTCAGCTGGCATCAGAAGCACCTGCAGGACTCTCCAACCCGGACTGCTGGGCCCCGCCCCCAGAGGCCGGGCTGAGTCCCCAGGGGATGCGGACACCGCCGATCGCGCCCCGCCGTGAGAACTTCTCCTCCAACATCCGACAAAAACATTACGTCGCGCGAGGGCCAGGTCTCTCCCTCTGCCCACCTGAGCCCGGCGGAGCCCCGCAGCCTCGGAACGGCGGACCCTCGCGATCGCAGGCCGAGCAGGCACAAGTGGCCTGGAAATGCGCGAAGTGGGCAACTTCCACACTTCCCGAGCACACAAACATTCCTTGCCCAAGCGCTGGCTCTACCCCGGGAAGGCGCCATTACGAAGGCCTGATCACCGGCAACCGCGCGCTTCGACGGCAAAGCCCCGTCAGGTCGCGCGCCGGCTTGGGCCGCCGGAGAGTCGGTGTGGAGTGGCTCGAGGCTCACTCACAGCGACGCAGCCCCAGTGGGTCCCTTTCCTCTTACCTCGGCCTCCCACGCCGCCCCCATTTCCTGGGGTGCTTCTCCCCACACCTCCTTCGGGGGCCCGGACCCCCGCCCCTGCCCGCCGGTGGGATGTGGGAAGCGTCACTGTGGACAGCCCGGGCCTCCCGGAGAGTCGGAGTCGTAAAGCGGCCAGCCAGGCCCGCCCTGCCCTACCTGTGGGGCTCCGGACAGCGGCGGCGGCTCGGGGGCGCCCGTCGTCAGCCAGCCGGAGGCGGGTAGCGCCACGAACAGCAGGAGCCGGAGGGCGAGCGACCCCGGTGGAGCGCCCTCCATCTTGGACAACCCGGGCAGAGGGCAGCCGCGGCCGGGAGGTGAGGGCGGAGCCGGCCCGCGGGCGGGACGGAGCTTCGGCGGGAGGGACGGGGAGGGGCGGGGAGAGACGGGGAGGGGCGGGACGGGCCCTCCCCTCCCCGGGCGGCCGCGGAGAGGCGCGGGGACGCTCCGAGATCCGGCTCGCCAGGGAAAGGCGTTTGCGCACGCGCAGCGCCGCGCGGCGTCGAGGGGCGGAGTGAAATCTTGGAAGGTACGGCCCCTCATTAGACCCGCCCTCAGGATTGGACAGGACTCCAACTGGAGCGATGTAAATGTCCTCGTAACCATTATTTTTAAAATTAGTATTTACACACATGCATGTGTCTGTGTGTGCACATGTACATGTACCTATACGATGAAAACAACGGTAATATTTCAGAAAACTGTTATACATTAAAAATGAAACATCGCATTTACAGGGGAAGTTTTTATTAAGTGGGTAATTCCCCACCCTTGGCTGCACGTGGGACTCTCCCGGGCAGCTTTAAAAAGTACTGGGGTCTTCCTGAACACCCCACTTTCCAGCCTGGGCTGCGGCTCGGGCCCTGGTGGTTTTTTAATTTTCTCGGGTGATTCATTGTGGGGCCAAGGTTGAGGATGCGCCATGCTTACTGTTCAGCATTCTGCCGACCCCTGGAGGCGGCGCGGGGACAGCGCTCAGCTGGAAGGAAGCCAGCGCACCTGGGCTGTCAGTGCCTTTTTGGTCAGTATCGTAACTCTAAAGTGAAAGTGTTAGACTTTTCTTCCACCTTGCAGATTTAAAAAAAAAAAAAAGTTACGGAACCCTGTAAAGCAGAGTAGCAAGAAATTCAAGCATTTTAGATTAACAGGATTGCATGTTGATTGAGAAAAACTTGGAAACTTGGCCATTCAGGCAGAATAAGAGTAATATTTAGTCTTCCTTTGAAATAAAACTTTTGACATGAAATAAAACTTTTGACATGAAAAAGGAAACAAGAATCTATTTCTCTCTTTGAGCCCCCTTTACTCCTTTGAACACCCTCCTCCCACAGGCCTGCTGACCGCCACCGCCCCCTCCCCCGGCCCCGCCCCAGAATAAATTATAAACGTTTTGGCTAAAGACTCCTTTCAACTAACTCCGGGCTTACTCTGAGATTCCCCACGCCATTGTTAAGCTACAAGTGATTTCACAGCGAAGCCCCACACACTTCTGGGTTCCATCTGCAAACTTGGCCTTTTCCTTTTTTTCCTACTGCTGGAATTAAAAATGAATTTGGAGATGGGCGTGGTCATTTGTGCCTGTACTCCCAGCTATGCAGCAAACGCAGGCAGGAGGATCGCCTGAGTCTATTAAAAAAAAAAAAAAAAAAAGGAATCTAGAAGCCGGGTGCAGTGGCTCACGCCTGTAATCCCAACACTTTAGGAGGCCGAGGCGGGTGGATCACTTGAGGTCAGGAGTTCGAGAATAGCCTGGCCAACATGGTGAAACCCCATCTCTACTAAAAATACAAAAATTATCCAGGCATACTGGCACGCACCTGTAATTCCAGCTACTAGGGAGGCTGAGGCAGGAGAATCGCTTGAACCCAGGAGGCGAAGGTTGCAGTGAGCCAAGATCGCGCCATTGCACTCCAGCCTGCGCGGTGGAGCGAGACTCCGTCTCCAAAAAAAAAAAAAAGAATCTGGAAGTCAGAAAACATGACATGTGGATCTGTATAATTTGAATTAGTAATATAAGGTTACAAAGTACGTCTATATGAAAAGATAATAGGTAAAGTTGAGGCTCTCTGTTTTCTTACAAAGCCTTTCCCATGGTCTAACTGTCCATTATTCTTTATTGTTTATCTGTCTCGTCAGATAGATGTGAGCTCCAGGAAGAGGGTGGCCAAACCTTAAAGCAAACAGCTTGCTAGAGTAAGCCCTCAGTGGGGGTTTGTTGGACAAATAATGTCTAAGTGGTTGACAGTATTATTTAATAATCAAAAATTTTACTGTTTTGTATGAAATGGTTCTCTTTAGGCCATTGTTTTGCTACATGCACCCATGAGCGCTACGGAATTTCATTTAAAAAACCCCATCATTTGGGGAAAAAGCACCATACCACAACTCTAATGAGTTACAACAAAACTTTAAACAAGCTTTGTGGCTGAGTTCCACTTGTCCATTGGAAAACTCAGCTTGGTTTACTGAGCCTTCACATTAATCTGAGAAACAAAAGACAGAATTAACTTGGCAGTTGCTTACACGACAAATAAATCTGTCAATGTTAATACGGTGAGTACTTTGATGTTCCTTTGAGTCAGCTCATGTCAACTTGATATCCTCTATCATAAAAAGAGTTCAAGTTGCCTGACAGCAACCCACTGCGGTTCTGTGCACATTAGATGCTTTCTCTTCTTTGAAGGTAATCTTTCATATAGGAGAAGATATTCTAAAATATTTCTAATACTACAGAAAACAAAGTATATATTAAAATGTCTTTATTCTTTCACCAGATAATACCTTTTGATTCCAAACCTTGATATATTTCCTTTTTCAGTAGCCGATTTCATTGTCATTTTCATCATTCCCACAATCAAAATTTGAGTCCATCTTTTTCTGCAATTTAAAGCAGGCTTGATGCCAAAAGGAAATCTGGGACCTGATTTGTATCTGTTTCCAGTTTCTGGGAGTGAGTGAGTCACTGCACTTCTATTACAACACAGTCTACTCCAGTATTTTCCAGAGTTAGTCATCTACATATTTTTGAACTTTTTGAAAGACCCCTAGAAGATGACAAGAGGGAGAGCAAGAAACAAAGATATTATATTTTATTTTTTTGAGACAGGGTCTTGCTTTGACACCCAGGCTGGAGTGCCATGGCAAGATAGATCATGGCTCACTGCAGCCTTGACCTCCTGAGCTGAAGCCATCTTCCTACCTCAGACTCCTGAGTAGCTGGGACTGTAGGCACATGCCCCCATGCCCTGCTAATTTTTTTTTTTAAGTGAAGACGAGGGCTTGCTAGCTTGCCCAGGTTGGTCTTGAATTCCTGAGCTGAAGCAATCCTCCTGCCTCGGCCTTCCAAAATGTTGGGATTACAGGCATGAGCCACTTTTTTTTTTTTTTTTTTTTTTTGAGACAAGAGTTTCATTCTTGTCACCAAGGCTAGGGTGCAATGGCACAATCTCAGCTCACGCAACCTCCTCCTCCCAGGTTCAAGCGATTCTCCTGCCTCAACCTCCCAAGTAGCTGGGATAACAGGTGCCCACCACCACGCCCAGCTAATTTTTGTATTTTTAATAGAGACGGAGTTTCACCACGTTGGCCAGGCTGGTCTCAAACTCCTGAACTCAGGTGATCCACCTGCCTCGGCCTCCCAAAGTGCTGGGATTACAGTCATGAGCCACTGTGCCTGGCCTAAAATATTTTAAAACTGCTTTTGCTGTAACTTTCTTGTCCATATATTTATGAATGAATTTAATTAGCTCATAATGATGGGTGATGCCTCTCATATGAAGAACAACTCATAGAAATATTATCATTGTAGTAGCCAGCATTTATTATGCTAATTGTGTTAAGTGCTTTATGTATATTATTTAAACCTTATAACAGCCTAATGACATGATTACAATTTATTATCCCATTTTTATATACAAAACAGAAATTTATAGAAATTAAGTGTTTTTCTCTGAGTTACAGAACAGTAAATGATGAAGCTGTGGTTTTAAACTCTGGCATTCTAAGCCAACACAGTATAATGAAACAAAAGGCATTTAGTTAATTTATATACATTTATAGAGATGATTATAAATTATTCTACTCATTAGCTTTCTAAAAATATGAGCTGGGTTGCACTTTGGGAGGTGGAGGCAGGCGGATCACCTGAGGTCGGGAGTTCGAGGCCAGCCGGGAGTTCAAGAAACCCCGTCTCTATTAACAACACAAAAATTAGCTGGGCGTGGTGGCGCATGCCTGTAATCCCAGGTACTCAGGAGGCTGGGGCGGGAGAATTGCTTGAACCCGGGAGGCAGAGGTTGCGGTGAGCCGAGATCGCGCCATTGCACTCCAGCCTGGGCAACAAGAGTGAAACTTCGTCTTAAAAAAAAAAAAAAAAAATATATATATATATATATATATATATATATATATATATATATATATATATATATAAGCTGTGTTGGGAGAAATGGAGAAACAGTAAAGTGTAAGAGAGCTATGCCTTCTCCACCATCACAGGAGCTAGAGGGGCTCCAGGGCCAAGATGCAGACCCTGCTCTCTGCTCCCTCAGCTAACTAGTTTCAACAACCTGAAAATCTGCAGAGACGTTTGTACTCAAGGATGCTAAAAATCATACTATAATTTAATATTTGGTACCCTAATAAAAATCCTGAAGATAAAAGATTAAAGGGCCGGGCGCGGTGGCTCACCCCTGTAATCCCAGAACTTTGGGAGGCTGAGGCAGGCGGATCACGAGGTCAGGAGGTCGAGACCATGCTGGCTAACACGGTGAAACCCTGTCTTTACTAAAAATACAAAAAATTAGCCGGGCGTGGTGGCAGGCGCCTGTAGTCCCAGCTACTCGGGAGGCTGAGGCAGGAGAATGGCATGAACTCGGGAGGCAGAGCTTGCAGTGAGCCGAGATCTAGCCACTGTACTCCAGCCTGGGCGACACAGCGAGACTCCGCCTTGAAAAAAAAAAAAAAAAGATTAAAATAAGTATCCTAAGGAATAAGAAATCTTATCAGGTTTCAGGTTTTAAAAAATAGAACATCTGTAACAGATACTGCAAGAAGAGTTTGTTTAGAGATCATTTCATATTCAGTAACCCAGATAAGTAGGTTATATTTGTGGTAAGATGCCATTTTCATTTGTCTTATTTGACTTTTTTTTTTTTTTCTGAGATGGAGTCTTGCTCTGTCACCCAGGCTGGAGTGCAGTGGCACGATCTCAGCGCACTGCAACCTCCAACTCCCGGGTTCAAGCAATTCTCCTGCCTCAGCCTCCCGACTAGCTGGGATTACAGGTGCCTGCCACCACACCTGGCTAATTTTTGTATTTTTAGTAGAGACGGGGTTTCACCATGTTGGCCAGGCTGGTCTTGAACTCCTGACCATGTCATGATCCACCTGCCTCAGCCTCCCAAAGTGCTGGGATTACAGGTGTGAGCCACCGTGCCCAGCCTTATTTGACTTTTTAAATCACCTTTAGAAATGAAAGAAGCCTCCACTTGGAAGCAGAAGCAGAGTGTAGGGTGTCTTTCCTCTGCCTTCAGTGGATTTCCCTCTTGGGAGTGGATTTTCTTCTTTTAAGTCAGGATTCACTTTATTTAATTCACTAGAATATAAAAGCCTCACTTTATCATTGTTTACCTCAGTTGGTGCTAAAATGACAGGCAACTTCATAGCCATATGTATTAACTGTATTTGCCTATTTTCTGTATTCTTGATGTTACGGCACCTGGGGCCTTGCTGGCCCTGGAGACACTGCTGCTCCGAGGGTTAGCTAATTCCTAGAAATCGCAAACTACTTCCCTGGGCACCTCTGGGAGTTTACATCTCATATACAACACAGCCAATCCAGAGCTCATGCCCTGGTGGGCACCTCTGGGAGTGCACCTCTCATATACAACCCAACCAATCTATTTGTGTTTTTATTTATTTATGTTTGTACAGATTTATGGGGTATATGTGAAACTTTGTTATATGTATGTAGTGTATAGTGATCAATTCAGGGTATGTAGGGTACGTATCACCTGAGTATAGTACATTTTTGTTTGACTAACATCACCCAACTCTTCTATCAAACATTGAATTTATTTCTTCTATCTAACTGTATGTTTATACCCTTTAACCCACTTGACTTCATCCTTCCCTTTCCCCCTCACTCACCTTACCCAGTTTTTGTCATCTACCTTTCCATTGTCTACCTCCATGTGGTCCAATTGTTTAGCTCCCACATGTAAATGAGAACATGCAATATTTTTTCTTTCTGTGCCTGGCATATTTTACTTAAGATAATGACCTCCAGTTCCATCCATGTTGCTATAAATGACATTATTTCATTCTTTTTAATAACCAAATAGTATTCAATTGTGTATATATATCTTTTTTTTATCTGTTCATCTGTTGATGGACACTGAGGTTGATCCTCTATATTTCTATTGTGAATAGTGGTGAAATAAACATGTGAGTGCAGGTATTCCTTTGATATATTGATTTCTTTTTCCTCAGGTAGATAGCCAGCAGTGGGATTGCTGGATTGAATGGTAATTCTATTTTAGTTTTTCGAGAAATATCCATACTGTTTTCCACAGTGGCTATACTAATTTACATTCTCCCAGTGTATAAAAGTTTTTTTCTCTGCATCATTGCCAACATCTGTTATTTTTTGTCTTTTTAATCATAGCCATTCCAAATGGTAAGATATCTCATTGTGGTTTTGCTTTGCATTTCTGTGACAGTTAGAGATGTTGAGCATTTTTTCATATATCTGTTGGACATTTGTATGTCTTTTTCTGAGAAATGTCTATTTATGTTCTTTGCCGACTTTAAAAAAAAATAAGGGACAGGGTCTTGCTATGTTGCCCAGGGTCTTGCTATGTTGCTATGTTGCCCAGACTGGTTTTGAACTCCTGGGCTCAAAGGATCCTCCCACCTTGGCCTCCCAAAGTGCTAGGATTAAAGGTGTGAGCCACCATGCCCAGCCGACTTTGGCCACTTTTTAAAGAGATTGTTGTTTTTTCCTGTTCAGTAACGTTCCTTATATATTCTGGATATTAGTGCCCTGTTGAATGAATAGTTTGCAAATGTTTTCTCCCATTCAACAGGTTGTCTCTTCATTCTGCTGATTCTTTTGCTATGTAGAAGCTTTTTAGTTTAATTAATTCCCATTTGTCTATTTCTGTTTTTGTTGTATGTGCTTTTGAGGTCTTAGTCATAAATTATTTGCCTAGGCCAATGTCCAGCAGAGGTTTCCCTAGGTTTTTGTCCAGTATTTTTGTAGTTTCAGATCTTATGTTTAATTTTTTAATCCAGCTTTACTTGATTTTTGTATATGGTGAGAGATAGGTGTCCGGTTTTATTCTTTTGCATGTGGCTATCCAATTTTCCCAGCACCATTGATTGAAGGAGATGTACTTTTCCCAATATAAACTCTTTTCAGCTTTGTCAAAGATCAGTTGGCTGTAAATATATGGCTTTGTTTCTGGGTTCTCTCTTCTGTTTCATTTGTCTGTGTGTCAATTTTTATACAAATACCATGCTGTTTTGGTTACTATATTGTTTTGGTAACTATATTGTTTTGGTAATATGTTTTGAAGCCAGGTAATATGATGCCTCCAGCTTTATTCTTCTTGCTCAGGATTACATTGGTTATTTGGGCTCTGTTTTGGTTGCATGTGAATTTTAGGATTGTTTTTAATAATTCTATAAAAAATGAATTGGTATTTTAATAGGGATTGCATTGAATCTGTAGATTACTTTGGGCAATATGATCATTTTAATTATATTAATTTTTCCAGTTCATGAGCGTGGGATATTTTCCATTCATTTGTGTCATCTTCGATTTCTTTAAACAGTGTTTTATAGTTTTCTTTGTAGTGATATTTCACCTCCCTGGTTAAATTTATTTCTAGGTATTTTGGGTTTTTTTATATTTATTGTACATGGAATTGCCTTCTTAATTTCTTTCTTGGCTAGATCATTATTGGCATACAGGAACTACTGATTTGTGTGTTGATTTTGTAAACTGCAACTTTACTGAATTTATTTATTAAATCTAAGAGTTTTTTGGTGGAGTCTTTTAGGTTTCTCTACATATAAGATCATATCGTCAACAAAGAGAGGTAGTTTGACTTCTTTTCCAATTTGAATGCCTTTTATTTCTTTCTCTTGTCTGATTCCTTTGGTATGACTTCTAGTACTATGTTGAACAGGAGTGGTAAGTGTGGGCATCCTTGTCTTGATCCACTTCTTAGAGGAAAGGCTTTCAACTTTTTTGAATTCAGTATAATGCTAGCTGTGGATTTGTTATATATGGCCTTTATTACTTTGAGGTATGTTCCTTCTATGCCTAGTTTGTTGAGAGTTTTTCTCAAGAATGGATGTTGAATTTTATTAAATGCTTTTTCTGCATCTATTGAGATGATCATATGGTTTTAGTCCTTCATTCTGTTGATGTGATGTATCACATTTATTGATTTGTGTATGTTGTACCATCTTTGCATCCCAGGTATAAATCACACTTGATCATGGTGTATTAGTTTTTGATATGCTGCTGATTTGATTTGCTAGTATTTTCTTCTATGGATTTTGCATCTATGTTCATCAGGGATATTGGCCTGTAGTTTCCTCTTTTCTTGTCCTTGTTTGGTTTTGATATGAAGGTGACACTGGCCTCATAAAATTAGTTAGGGAGGGCTGGGCATGGTGGCTCACGCCTGTAATCCCAGCACTTTCGGAGACTAAGGTGGGCGGATCACGAGGTCAAGAGTTCGAGTCCAGCCTGGCCAACATGGTGAAACCCCATCTCTACTAAAAATACAAAAATTAGCCGAGCATGGTGTTGCACACCTGTAGTCCCAGCTACTCGGGAGGCTGAGGCAGGAGAATTGCTTGAACCCGGTATGTGGAGGTTGCAGTGAGCCGAGATCATGCCACAGCACTCCAGCCTGACTCTGTCTCAAAAAAAAAAAAAAAAAAAAAAAAGAATTAGGGAGAATTCCCTCCTTTTCAATTTTTTTGGAATCATTTCAGGAGGATTGACATTAGTTCTACTTTGTACATTTGGGCAAATTTGGATGTGAATCCATCTGATCCTAGGCTTTATATTGTTGAGAGATTTTTTATTACTGATTCAATCTTGTTACTCATTATTAGTCTGTTCAGGTTTTCTGTTTCTTTCTGATTCAGTCTTGGTAGATTGTATGTGTCCAAGAATTTATACATTTCCTCTAGGTTTTTGTCAGCATATAGTCATAAAAGTCTCTGATAATTTTTTTGTATTTCTGTGGCATCAATGGTAATATCTCCTTTCTCATCTTTGATTTTGTTTCTTTGAGTATTCTTTTCTTGGTTGGTCTAGATAACAGTTTATCAATTTTGTTTATTTTTTTGAAGAACCAACTTTTTGTTTCATTGGTCCTTTGTAATTTTTTAGTCTCAAATTGATTTAGTTCTGCTCTGATCTTTACTTTTTCTTCTCATAATTTGGGGGTGTGATTTGTTCTTGCTTTTCTAGTTCCTTTAAGTGCATTATTAGGTTGTTTATTTGAAATCATTCTACTTTTTTGTGTTTTTTATTGTCAATTACTTTAAAATTTTTAAAATTTTTAAATTTTAAATTTTAATAGTTTGTGGGGAACAAGTGGTATTTGGTTACATGGATAACTTCTTTAGTGGTGATTTCTGAACTTTTGCTACACCTATAATCTGAGCAGTGTACACTGTACCTAATTATAGTCTTTTATTCCTTACCTCCTTTCAACCTTCCCCCTGAGTCCCCAAAGTCCATTGGATCATTCTTATGCCTTTGCATTTGCATCCTCATAGCATAGCTCCCACTTATAAGTGAGAACATACAATGTTTAGTTTTCCATTCCTGAGTTACTTCACTTAGAATGATGGTCTGCAACTCCTTCCAGGTTGCTGCAAATGCTATTATTTTGTTTCTTTTTATGGCTGAGTAGTATTCCATGGTGTATATATATATCACACTTTCTTTTCTTTCTTTCCCTTTTTTTTGAGTCGGAGTCTCTCTCTGTCACCCAGGCTGGAGTGCAGTGGCATGATCTTGGCTCACTGCAACCTCTGCCTCTCAGGTTCGAGCAATTCTCCTGCCTCAGCCTCCCAAGTAGCTGGGATTACAGGTGTGTGCCACCACGCCCAGCTAATTATTATTATTATTTTTTTTTGAGGTGGAGTCTCACTCTGTCGCCCAGGCTGGAATGCAGTGACGCGATCTCGGCTCACTGCAACCTCCATCTCCCGGGTTCACGCCATTCTCCTGCCTCAGCCTCCCGAGTAGCTGGGACTACAGGTGCCCACCACCACGCCTGGCTAATTTTTTGTATTTTCAGTAGAGACAGCGTTTCACCATGTTAGCCAGGATGGTCTCGATCTCCTGACCTCGTGATCCACCCGCCTTGGCCTCCCAAAGTGCTGGGATTACAAGCATGAGCCACCGCACCCAGCCTAATTTTTGTATTTTTAATAGAGATGCAGTTTTGCCATGTTGGTCAGGCTGGTCTCCAACTCCTGACCTCAGATGATCTGCCCGCCTCAGCCTCCCAAAGTGCTGGGATTACAGGCGTGAACCACTGCGCCTGGCCACTGCCACATTTTCTTTATCCACTCGTTGACTGATGGACATTTGGGCGGGTTCCATATTTTTACAATTGTGAATTGTGCTGCTACAAACATGTCTGTGCAAGTGTCTTTTTCATGTAATGACTTCTTTTTGTCTGAGTGGAAATCCAAAAGTGGGACTGCTGCATCAAAATGGTAGATCTACTTTTAGTTCTTTAAGGAATCTCCATAATGTTTTCCATAGTGGTTGTGCGAGTTTACATTCCCACCAGTAGTGTAGATGTGTTCCCTTTGCACCATATCCATGCCAGTATCTATTTTTTTTTTTTAATTATGGCCATTCTTACAGGGGTAAAGTGGTATCGCATTGTGGTTTTGATTTGCATTTCCCTGATAATTAGTGATGTTGAGCATTTTTTCATGTTTGTTGACCATTCGTATATCTTCTTTTGAGAATTGTCTATTCATGTCCTTAGCCTAATTTTCGATGAGACTATTTTGTTTTCTTGCTGATTTGTTTGAGTTCCTTGCAGATTCTGGATATCAGTCCTTTGTTGGATGCACAGTTTGTGAAAATTTTTGTCCACTCTGTGGGTTGTCTGTTTACTCTGCTGATTATTTCTTTTGCTGTGCAGAAACTTTTTAGTTTAATTAAGTCCCATCTATTTATCTTTTTTGTTGTTGCATTTGCTTTTGGGTTCTTGATCATGAAGTCTTTGCCTAAGCCAATGTCTAGAAGAGTTTTTCCGATGTTATCTTTTAAAATTTTGATGGTTTCAGGTCTTAGATTGAAGTCTTTGATCCATCTTCAGTTGATTTTTAGATAAGGTAAGACATGAGGATTCAGTTTCACTCTTCTACATGTGGCTTGCCAATTATCCCAGCACTGTTTGTATGGTATTCTTTCCCCACTTTATGTTTTTGTTTGCTTTGTTTAAGATCAGTTGGCTGTTAGCTTTATTTCTGGGTTCTCTATTCTGTTCCATTTATCTATTTGCCTATTTTTATACCAGTACCATGCTGTTTTGGTGACTACAGCCTTATAGTAGAGTTTGAAGTCAGGTAAAGAACAAAAAAGGCCGGGTACAGCCTCACACATGTGATCCCAGCACTTTGGAAGGCCGAGGCAGGCAGATCACCGTAGGTCGGGAGTTCAAGACCAGCCTGACTAACACGGAGAAACTGCATCTCTACTGAAAGTCCAAAAAATTAGTCAGGACTAGTGGCGCATGCCTATAATCTCAGCTACTCAGGAGGCTGAGGCAGAATTGCTTGAACCCAGGAGGCGGAGATTGCGGTGAGCCGAGATCGCGCCATTGCACTCCAGCCTTGGCAACAAGAGTAACTCCGTCTAAAAAAAAAAAAAAGAAAATTATTCTTTTTGCTTAGTCTTGCTTTGGCTATATGGGCTCTTTTTTGGTTCTATATGAATTTTAGGATTGTTTTTTCTAGTTCTGTGAAGACGATGATGGTATTTTGATGAGAATTGCATTGAATTTGTAGATTGCTTTTGGCAGTATAGTCATTTTCACAATACTGATTCTACCCATTCATGAGCATGGGATGTGTTTCCATTTGTTTGTGTCATCTGTGATTTCTTTCAGCAGTGTTTAGTAGTTTTCCTTGTAGAGGTCTTTCACCTCCTTGGTTAGGTATATTCCTAAGTATTTTATTATTTTTTTGCAAGCTATTGTAGAGGTGATTGAATTCTTGGTTTGATTCTCAGCTTGATTGCTGTTGGTGTATAACAGTGTTACTGATTTGTGTACATTGATTTTGTATCCTGAAATTTTACTGAATTCGTGTATCAGATGTCGTAACTTTTTGGATGAGTCTTTAGGGTTTCTAGGTATACGATCACATCATCAGCAAACAGCAACAATTTGACTTCTTCCTTACTGATTTGGATTCCCTTTATTCCTCTTGTCTGATTGCTCTGGCTAGGACTTCTAATACTATGTTGAATAGAAGTGGTGAAAGTGATCATCCTTGTCTTATTCCAGTTCTTAGGGGGAATGCTTTAAACTTTTCCCTGTTCAGTATAATGTTGGCTATGGGTTTATCATAGATGGTTGGTTATTTTTGAGAGAGTTTATCATAGATTTGTTTTGTTTCGTTTCGTTTTGTTTTTTTGAGATGGAGTCTCACTCTGCTGCCCAGACTGGAGCACAGTGGCACGATGTGGGTTCACTGCAACCTCCGCCTCCTGGGTTCAAGCAATTCTCCTGCCTCAGCCTCCCAAGTAGCTGAGATTACAGGCATCTGCCACCACATCTGGCAAATTTTTGTATTTTTAGTAGAGTGGGGGACTTCAATACTCACCGAGGTTGAAGCAGCAGTGAGCCCTGATCATCCCACTGCACTACAGCCTGAATAGGAGTGAGACCCTGTCTCAAAAACATTTTTTTCAAGAAAGAAAAAGAAAACTGAAACATTAGTTCAACCTAATTGCCTGATACTGTGTATATAACTCATATAATCTTTCCCTAGCAGAATCCTAAATTAGAAGACTAGAGATAGTGTTAAAGAGTAGTGTTTGATAACATTCTGTGTATCCTTAAGAGAAATATTACAAATCCAAGGAAAAAAAGAGAGGGTTTGGAAAAATCAAGCAATTTTTTTTTTTAAGACAGAGTCTCACTCCATTACCCAGGCTATAGTACAGTGGCATGATTGCGGCTCACTGCAACCTCCACCTCCCGGGTTCAAGCAATTCTTGTGCCTCAGCCTTCCAAGTAGCTGGAATTACAGGCATGCGCCACCATGCCCAGCTAATTTTTGTATTTTTAGTAGAAACGGGGTTCTACCATGTTGGCCAGGCTGGTCTCAAACTCCCGAGCTCAAGTAATCTGCCTGCCTTGGCCTCCCAAAGTGTTGGGATTACAGGCGTGAGCCACTAATCAATTTTAATTTTTAAAGAAGAATTTGGACTATTCAAAGAGAATTGGAAAGTGACATAATAAATATGAGAAATGATTTCACATCTGGAGTTATTCATTAATGACTATATACGGTATTGCCAGATTGTTTTGAAGAATCAGACTCTGGTATGGGCATTTTTTTTTTAATTTTTAATTTTTCAATCACTTTCCAACAGTGATAATTAAGGTATGGACATCTTTCTAGATAGAATACCTTCTTATTATTATTCAGTGTGTAATTTACACCATCTTTAAATTATGCTGTACTTAATTATATCCCTAAATATAAAATATTCTACCATCACAAGGAAAATACCATTTCATTATATAGTTTCTGCTTGTCATTATCTTATTGTCTCTAATGCTACAAATATTTAAATATGTTGAAGTGGTTTGTATAGTAGTTACATAGGTGAAAAGAAAGAGCTATATTATTTGCAATTCTACCAAATGTAAATAGTAAAGTAGATTAAGTCTGGAGGAAAGATTAGTACATTTTTGTTGCTTTCCAAACATTAACATCAAGGAGAGGTTTCAAGATGCCTGACTAGATGCAGCTAGTATGCACCTCCTCCATGGAGAGGGACAAATATAGCAACTAGATATTCACACTTCAAAGCGATTGTCTAAGAAAGAACACTGGGATTCAACAGAAAAGTGACAGGAAGCACTGAAAGCAGGGAAAGAGGCAGCTTGCTCAGCCAGGATTGGATGAGAAGTGGGAGAAGCTTCCCAATACAGGGAAAGGGTAAGAGAGAAACCCTTAGAGCTTCATATTTCTGTCATCGTCTTTTATAATGTAGCTGCAGAACCACTCAACCCATGCAGGCCTCAAGCCTAACAGGAAGGTGCTTAGAGATCGCACAGAGACACAGCTTCAAAGAGGGAACTCATACAAAGTCCCAGAGGCATCCAAGACCAGAGTAGCTTCAGCTTGGTGACATTTTCAGAGCCTAGCCTCTGGGGATTTGTATCTTGCCCGGGGGCCAGGCTGATGCTGACATTGCTGCCACTGGGCTGAGAAGTGAGAGGGGAGGCCGGGCACTCCCATGCAACCCCAGGACAAATCTCACCACTGCAGCTGCAGGCTGCTGTGGGACCAAGGCCCGGGCAAACTGCACTGCCTACAGCTGCCTGCCTGCGCTACTCCAGTTGAGATAGGTCTCACCTTCCCTGAGGGCAGGCCCACAGCACAGCTGCCACTGCCCACACCTGAGCATTCTGCCTGTGGCCTGTGGACCATTCTGCCTCTGCCTATCACAAAAAGCATGTAAACGCACTACCACAGGGCCAGAGGACAAGTTGGCCAGCCCAGTACCATTCCTCCAGTACTCAAGCATGCTATCCAGGGACCTGAAAATCACCCATCCCAATCTATGACCATTGACACCTGAATGGCCACTCCTGCTGGGGTCTAAGGTTGGGCTGACCCATCCTGCTGATACTATCACAGCTGGCAGTGCTACCAGTGCAACTCAACCTGTCACAGCCCTCGCCAATACCAGCACAAACTGCTTGGGCCCCAGTGGGTTGCTCCACCACTGCTACTGCCATCAGTCACTTCCCAGCAGCTACCCAGGAGCCCAAAACCTACCCAAACACCTGGATTATCACTAGCACTACCAGCATTTGAGCAAGCCACCTGGAGGCCCAAGAATTTGACCCACTTAACACTGGTGCCAGTACAAACAGCTCTGGGGCTGGCCTTGCTAGAAACCTAGACATCCAAATACAAGAAGCTCAAAGAACACCCGGGAAATTCATCACAAAAAGATCACCACCTAGGCACATAGTCATTAGGTTATCTAAAGTCAAGAAGAAGGAAAGAATCTTAAGAGCTGTGAGGCAAAAGCATCAGGTAACCTATAAAGGAAAACCTATCAGATTAACAACAGTTTCTCAGCAGAGACCCTATAAGCTTGTCGGGATTGGGGTCTTATCTTTAGCCTCCTTAAACAAAACAATTATCAGCCAAGAATTTTGTATCCAGTGAAACCAAGCTTCACAAACAAAGATACAGTCTATTTCAGACAAACAAATGCTGAGAGAATTTGCCACTACCAGCAGAAACTCTACAAGCTAGAAGGGACTGGTGGCTCTGCTGGTCCCAGAAGCCTCCAAACTAACCCTGGGGAATGATTTAACTGTTTACACCCCACATAATGTGGCAGGACTACTGTACTCTAGAGTAAGGCTTTGGCTAACAGAGAGCTGACTCCTTAAATATCAGGCCCTGCTGTTAGAGGGTTCCCACATCCAATTAAAGACTTGTTCTAACCTAAATCCAGCCACCTTCCTCCCTGAGGAAACTGGGGAACCTGAACATAACTGTGAACAAGTCATAGTACAAACCTATGCAGCCAGGGAGGAACTCAGGGAAACTCCCCTAGAGAAGCCAGACTGGACCCTCTTCACAGATGGGAGCTCTTTATAGAACAAGGGATCCGCAAGGCAGGATGCACAGTAGTCATTGACTACCTGCTCCAAGGAAGGAGGCAGCCATAATCCCCCTGGGAACACAACTCCATTGGCTTAAATATCAGGCCCTGTTGTTAGAGGGTTCCCACATCCAATTAAAGACTTGTTCTAGCCTCAATCTAGCCACTATTTGATTCTATTGAATTTGATTCTATTGAAAGTGTGTCTCTTCCTCCAGGCACAAGCGCTCAATTAGCTGAGCTAATAGCTCTTACAAGAGCAATTGAATTAAGCAAAGGTAAGGTAGCTAATATTTACACTGACTCCAAGTATGCTTTCCTAGTTTTCCATGCTCATGCGACCATTTGGAAGGAAAGGCATTTTCTTTTCTTTTTTTTGAGATGGACTTTTGCTCTTGTTGCCCAGGCTGGAGTGCAATGGCGCGATCTCAGCTCACTGCAACCTCTGCCTCCCAGGTTCAAGTGATTCTCCTGCTTCAGCCTCCCAAGTAGCTGGGATTACATGCACCTGCCACCATGCCCAGCTAATTTTTGTATTTTTAGTAGAGACGGAATTTCACCATGTTGGCCAGGCTGGTCTCGAACTCCTGACCTCGTGATCTGCCCGTCTCGGCCTCCCAAAGTGCTGGGATTATAGGCGTGAGCCACCATGCCCGGCCTGGAAAGGCGTTTTCTTACCACCAATGGATCCCCTATAAAATATCACCAGGAAATTAATACATTACTATCCTCAGTTTTCCTTCCATGAGAAATCGCAGTAATGCATTGTAGGGGACATCAAAAGGGAACAGATGAGGTAGCTGAAGGAAACAGATTAGCTGATCAGGCAGCTAAGTCAGCGGCAAGAAAGCCTCAAGACATTAACACTTCAAACTCCTCTAGTGTGGGAAGGCTCCATCAGAGGAATTAAACCTCAGTACTCCCCTACAGAAGCAGAATGGGCCACTTCTTGAGGGTATACATTTCGGCCCTCAGGATGGTGACAGTCGGAGGATGGCAAGCTCCACTTGCCAGCCTCTAGCCAATGGAAAGTCCTTGAAGTCCTTCACCAAGCTTTTCACCTGGGAAAGGATAAGACATATCAATGTGCCCAGAGATTGTTTTCAGGAGATAACTTACTAAAAACAGTTAAGGAGGTTGTTAATGCTTGTGAAGTCTGTCTTAAAAATAATCCTTAACAGGCGACTCCTTCCTCCTCAACCCCAAAGAATAGGAGGTTATCCAGGAGAAGACTGCCAAATAGACTTCACCCACATGCCGAAGACAAAGGGCATCCAATACCTGCTGGTATGGTCAGACACCTTCACTAACTGGGTAGAGGCATTCCCATGCCGTACAGAAAAAGCCTCTGAGGTAATAAAAGTGTTTGTTAGTTAATGAAATAACTCCCCGCTTTGGTCTACCTAGGTATCTTCAAAATGACAATGGACCCTCATTTAAGGCAGCTGTCACACAAGGGGGTCTCAAAAGCACTAGGCATAGAATACCATCTCCACTGTGCTTGAAGACCCGCATCCTCAGGAAAGGTAGAGAAAACTAATGATATGATCAAGAGACACATCAGAAAATTAACCCAAGAAACTCACCTTCCTTGGGTCACTCTTCTTCTTATGGCCTTACTACGAATAAAAAGTACCCCTTCAAAACTTCGTCTTAGCCCTTTTGAGATGCTGTATGGATGACCTTTCTTTACCAATGATTTTCTATTAGATCAAGAAACCTCTGAGCTAGTCAAGCAGGTAACTTCTCTGGCTCACTTGCAACAGGAATTAGCACAATTAGCAAAGCCCCAACCCCAGGAAATTGGACCACCTCTATTTAACCCAGGAGATTTGGTACTGGTGAAGGCTCTCCCTTCTCTCTCTTCCTAAGCCCAAGCTGGGAAGGGCCTTACACCATTCTTTCAACTCCCTCAGCAATAAAAGTTACAGGAATCAACTTTTGGATACATCACACTCGAGTCAAAGCCTGGAAAGCTGAGGGAGCAACCCCTGACAGCCCAGAGAAATGACCTGAATATCAATGCGAAGAAGTAGGAGACCATAAGCTGAAAATCACAAAAGATAAGTAACGGAGTAAGAACCACTCACCTTAGTCTCGCCTCTACCTCACCAAATACTTTTTGCCGTTTCTACCTCTCCTTTTAAGCCAAGTATTACTATATACTATAGCACCCTCAGGGTGTAATATCGAACAGAATCTCAATTACTGTAGCATTTTGCTTAATTACTATCCTTACAGCAGGAATAACAGTTATTAACCAACAGTAAACATGAGTGTTTTACTATCACTAGGTCTGTTAGGATTTTTTATGGGACTTAGTAATACGTCACACCCTTTAGCTCCTACAATATCCGCCATGGCCCATTTCTACAACAAGACTAATTGTTGGGTCTGTCCTAAATGGTTTGCTCAGTTCAACAGCACTGAGGAACCTTACAATGACCCAGAACTCACAGTCTTAGGATTCCCTTTGTTGGCTTTACTTTTAACCCTTAAACACATATCAGGCATAAATGGAACATGGTATGGGAGCACTTTCTTTTTTTTTTTTTTCCTCGAGACGGAGTCTCGCTCTGTCACCCAGGCTGGAGTGCAGTGGCGCAATCCCGGCTCACTGCAACCTCCACCTTCCGTGTTCAAGCAGTTCTCCTGCCTCAGCCTCCTGGGTAGCTGGGATTACAGGCATGCGCTACCACACCCAGCTAGTTTTTTTTTTTTTTTTTGTATTTTTTATTAGAGACGGGGTTTCACCATGATGGGCCCGGCTGGTCTCAAATTCCTGACCTCAGGTGATCCGCCCACCTCGGCCTCCCAAAGTGCTGGGATTACAGGCATGAGCCACCACGCCCAGCCATGAATATTGTGGTGGCAGTCGCTGTGGCGGGCACCTGTAGCCCCAGCTACTGGGGAGGCTGAGGCAGGAGAATCGCTTGAACCCAGGAGGCGGAGGTTGTAGTGACCTGAAATCGCACCACTGCACTCAAGCCTGGGCAACAGATCGAGACTCCGTCTCAAAAAAAAAAAAAAAAACCCAAACCGAAAAACCATATTTATTCATTCAACAAACATTTATTTGCACATTGTGTACCAGGCTGTCATACGCATTAGGGATATAGCTTTAAACAAAACAGACAAGATGGAATATCCTGGAACACACATTCTAGTAACAATAAACAAACAAACAAATTCGTAAATAGCATGTTAGATTGTAAAATGTACTCTGGAGAAAAAGCTATATGGAGAAAAAGAAGTGTCTGTGGGGTTAATTTTAATTATGGCAGCCATGGAGGGCCTCACTGACAGGGTGACCGACGCCAAAGCGCCTGAAGGAGGTGAATGGGAGCCATACAAATAACTGGAGGAAGAGGTCCCTCAACCAAGGCAAGTGAAAAGGCCATGGGGCAGGAGTATGTCAGCAGTGTTCAGGGAATAGCAAACTGTCTACTGTGGCTTCAGAGGAATAAGAAGATGGCGTAGGATGGGGTAGGAGAGGATCTTGTAAATCATTATAAAAGCTCTGGCTTTTCCGCCAGGTGCGGTGGCTCAAGCCTGTAATCCCAGCACTTTGGGAGGCGGAGGCGGGCGGATCCACGAGGTCAGGAGGTCGAGACCATCCTGGCTAACACGGTGAAACCCGGTCTCTACTAAAAACACAAAAAATTAGCCGGGCGTGATGGCGGACACCTGTAGCCCCAGCAACTCGGGAGGCGGAGGCAGGAGAATGGGGTGAACCCGGGAGGCGGAGCTTGCAGTGAGCCGAGATCGCGCCACTGCACTCTAGACTGGGCGACAGAGCGAGACTCCGTCTCAAAAAAAAAAAAAAAAAAAAAAGCTTTGGCTTTTCGTCAGATGTGAAGTTATTGGAGATTATGTGTAAAATGTCATAAGAAAGAGTGACAGGCTTGCCCAGAAGAGTGTCTGGGGAATAAACTTGCATGGCAAAATGTTAGTTTTGGCCAGGCGCAGTGGCTCACGCCAGTAATCTCAGCACTTCGGGAGGCCAAGGCGGGAAGAGTTCGAACTCCTTGAGCTCAGGAGTTTGAGACCAGTCTGAGCAACATAGTGAGACCACCTCCCCCGACCGCCATCTCTACAAAAAATAAAAGAACAAAATTAGCCGGGCGTGGTGGCGCGCGCCTGTGGTCACTTGGGAGGCTGAGACAGGAAAATCGCTGGAGCCCGGGAGGTGGAGGTTGCAGTGAGCCGACATCGCGCCACTGCACTCCAGCCTGGGCAACAGAGCGAGACCCTGTCTCAAAACAGAAAACAAAACAAAATGTTAGTTCTTAGAATCGGAAACCCCTAGTAGAGGCCCAAAGTTGTTTTGCGAAAAGGAGACTGACGAGGAAACCCGGAGGAGTCCGCCCAAATAGGTGGAGAGAAGATCCCGCCGCGGGCGCCCCCTGGTGGATAAAAGGGCCGCGCGGAGGGCCGCTCTGCTCTTGAGACGGACACAAACGGGGCACAAAACACTATACTGAGACCGTTCTGAGGGACAGGCTTCCACCAAAATCGCCAAGGGCGGACCAGGATTTTCAAAACGGCCGCGCCGGGGGCGGGACCAACCCGATCCGTAAGTCAGCTGGGCAGCCCGGCGCCCGCACGCCGACCGGAAGGAACTGCTCGGAACCGGGGGCGGCGCCGGCGAGATGACGCAAAAGGGGTCGCGCCGAGGGTGACGCGTGGCGTAGACGACGCCGTCGGCCTGCGCCTGTCACCCCCCTCCTCCCGGGGTTTGTAGCGGAGGAGGAGCGGGCGCCATGGCGGTTCTACTGGAGACCACTTTAGGCGACGTCGTCATCGACTTGTACACCGAAGAACGGCCGCGTGGTGAGGCTTGAGCCCCACTCACCTGTCGCCGGGGCCCCCGAGCTTGTCTCCCTACTTTCCCTTCTCTGCGCAGTCCAGGGCAGAGATTGGCTAGAGCTCGAGCTTCTGGGCTGCTGGTGCCCGCGACTGGGCTATTTTATTAACCGGCCTTGGCTAGAAAAGTTTTTGTGACGGGAATTCGTTTGAGCCTTGGCAGCCCTTCTCCCGTATTTTGTGTTGGCCAGTCCGGTGGACGGTGCTTGCGGTCATTAATTGCCTTTGGGAGTGTGTGTGTGGGGCGTGTGTGTGTGTGATTCGAGCTGCACATACAATACCCATAGCTTTTGTGCCTTTATTGTGTTTACTCGTGAGAGGAACATAGGAACTATTGCTTGGTGTGTAATCGGTTAAATCTTGATGAAGGCAGTTAGGGTGTGCTTGGCGCAGCGAGTGTGGGCATACCGCTTAGGTGGAGGAGGAAGAGGTTGTCTGGAGTGTGGACTGAGCCTTCGAGGCACTGGGCTAAGTCCTGGGCTTGGCTTCTTGCCCCCGAGGGTCTGATTTTTCCACTGGGGGAAGTAGACACAGGAACCCATTTTAGTTTTCTATGTGTTATGGTAGAAGAATGTGTAAGTTGCCACGGAAACCAGAAGAGGGCGGCTTCTTTGGTGGGGGGTGGGAAGAAGCAAAGCTAGCGAATACTATATAGAACACTTGAACTAGTTCTTTCAAAGATGAATGGGAATGAGGGTTTTCTTAGCTTGGACTTTCTTTGTTTGGAATTTTCTGGAAACGGCAAGTAGTTTGGTGTGGCTGGAAGGACTGGTGTGAGTCGTGGAATGGTAGACTCGAGTGTGGTCAGATACGCCTAGGTCAGTCGTGAATAGTCTTGTGTGCCCTACTGATGATCAGAGTCCTTGAAGACTTTAAAAGCAGGATTGAGGCATGGCATACTTGTTTTGAGAAGATAATAGGCAGCGGTGTGGAGAATGTATCAGAGTCAGGAAGAAACTGAGACCAGGAGAGATTAGTTACAAACAGGGTCCTACCCACATGGAATGCAGAGCCTATCAAAGAAGGTGAAATAAGTTGCAATATTGTACAATAACTACCTCCTGCCGTGCTCCGCTTTCCCTCGCACGCAGCTATTCCTCCCTCCTCTCCACCTGGCGAAAACACTACAAACTCTCCCGTACCATTGTTACCATTCTTTTGCTGTTTCTTCTAAACAATATTCTTCTCCACTATTGTCCTTCTGGCAAACTTACTACTTATTATCTAAATCTCAGATCAAGCATCATCTCTTCTTTGAAGCTCTCCCTCCTTTCTAAGCAGAGTTACCTGAGGGTTCCTCTGCTGTGTCTTAGGTCTTTTATAAACCACATGACACATTTTATTTTAACATTTACCTATTATCCTGGTGTTGTTTACAAGCGTGCCCTCGCTCAAGAATGTAAACTCCAATGAGAGCAGGAACTATACCATAATTATCATCTCTATATCCTGAGTACCCAGTACAATGTCTGCTACTTTTAGGGCACACACTAGAGGTTCATTATGATGACTAATGGATATAAATGTGTTGTATTAGTTAGGACCCTTTGTTCAAGTGATAGAAACCCAACTCAAACTGGCATAAACAAAATAATTGGTTGCCTCATAATACTGGGGTAAGCTTGGATCGAGTGGCTGGATCGAGTGTTTCAAAGAATATCATAGGGAATTTTGTTTTTTATCTCTTGATTTTGCTTTTCTTTGAGTTCCTTTGACGCTCTGCCCATGTAGAGTAGCACCTGGCAAAATAAATGGGCCTCTTTTCCCAGAGTTATGAGGAAATAAAGGGGTGTAGAGCTACCCCACCCAATTAACAAGCAGTGGGTCTGCAAAGATAAGCCCATAACAATAAGTCCACCCCCTGTACATATTTGTAAGCATATGACTGGAGATGTGCTTACATGTGTACCTGCTATATTTATACTCACTTATCAATCTATGATCAACATATCCAGACTTACCTACCTTCCATTCTTTCTTCCTTTTCTTTTTTAACTTTTTATTATAGAAAATTTAAAACACAGATGTAGAGAGAATCATGTAAATGAACTCTCATGTCCACATGACCAGCTTTGTTTAACAGCTGTGAACACATAGCCAATCTTGCTTCATTTATAATACCCCCACCTCCAGTGCATCTATTTAATCTGTAATTACTTCAGTATGTATTTCTAAAATATAACGTCTCTTTAAAAAAAACAAGAAAAAATGGAACTATGAGCTTAAGTACCACATAAGTGACAGGTTAAAAAAGAAAAAAAACTTGACAGGGAAAAGGGAAAAATACTAAAGGAAAGAGAAAAAGTTGTAAAAAAGAATAAAAAAACAGAACCACAGATCTTATCACACTTTGAAAAAACTAGCAATAATTTTTAGTATCATTTAAACTTTCTTATTATCTCATAAACTTCTAAAAAATATGGTGATTTAAATTAGGACCCAAAGTCCATATATTGGTTAAAATGTCTCATATATGTTTTAATCTATTGGTTCTCCCCCTTTTTTCCTTGAAAAAATTTTGAGAAACAACCTGGGTGCTTTGTCTTGTAGAATTTCTCTTGTTTGGATTCGACTGATTATTTACTGGGTGCGTTAACATATTTTTGTGTCCCCTGTTTCCTATAAATTGTTCTTTAGCTTCAGAGCCTTGATTAGGTTCCAGTTTAATGTTTTTGGCAAGAATATTTCATATAAGATAGTGTGTACTTTCAGCTGCATCACATTCAGGAGGCACTTGATGTCTGGTTGGCTCTGTGATGTTAAAATTGGTCAGTGGGTTAAGGCCTTGTTGCGCTTATAAATTGTTCCCATCGGATTTTGATGAAAGACCTAAAGATTTTGGCAGCCATTGATGATCATTGCCTAAATTCATTATTTTTGTTTCTAGTAAAAGGACCACCCCTATCTGTTAAACATGAAGCCCAGAAATATATTCAAGAAAAACAACTGCAAGACTGATATTCAGCACTCTTCAACAGCTCAGCCCCATCTTATCTCTCCAGTCTTTTCATGCTCTATTACTGTGTAATACCAGACTATTACAGAACTTTGGTGTTTTGGACCTCCCCTAAAACATTTAAATTTCCACTTCCAGGCCTTTTCATAGTCTTCCAGACCTAAAATGCTCACCCTTCACTCTCTGCTAGTCCAGTTCTTTTAATGCTTGCCTTAACCTTCCCTGAGGTTTTCTAATTTCCCTAGCCAGAAACAATCTTTTGAACTCTTGTGGAATTTTTAAAACTACTTTTTTTACCATTTTAAATAAGTGGCACACATGTTATTAATTAGATATGCCCAGTATGTAACTACTTGTGTTCAGATGTAAGGACCCTAATTTAATGTAAGCTTTTTGAGGGCAGGGATTGCCTCATATATCTTACTGTCTGTTTGGTTTCTAACTTAGTGCCTTAAGAGCTTGTTAATGTGTCTTTCCACGACTAGACTGTGAACTTTTTGGGAGCAGGGACCACAGTTTAATGGCATTTGTGATGGCAGTGTCAGGCATCTAGAAGGTACTCAGTAAATGTTTATTGGATAAGCAGATTAACTTGTATGAGAAAGGTTGTTCATAAGTGTATGGATTTTTATAAAGGGCTGTTTAACTATTATTTAAAAAATGACCCCGGGTGTTTGACTTTTTCCTAATTGATATAATCCGTATCCATTTTTATATATTCTGCTAGATCCTTTTCTACTACAATATGCTCTTTAAGTGTTCTTTTTTCTCGTAATAAAATCAATCCATCAGTAAATGATTGCTTATAAGTGTCAGTTTTCTGTATTAGCCCAGATGCCCCAAAACTCCTATTAAAGGAAAAAAAAAGGTAATTTAAAATGTTTTTTTTCTAGACTTATTGCCCTTTTATTTTATTTTATTTTATTTTATTTTGAGATAGAGTCTTGCTCTATTGCCCAGACTGGAGTGCAGTGGTGCGATCTTGGTTCACTGCAACCTCCACCTCCTGGGTTCAAGTGATTCTCCTGCCTCAGCCTCCCTAGTAGCTGGGATTACAGGTGCCCGCCACCATGCCTGGCTAATTTTTTTTGGTATTTTTAGTTGAGACAGGGTTTCACCATATTGGCCAGGCTGGTCTCAAACTCCTGACTTCAAGTGATCCACTCACCTCCGCCTCCCAAAGCGCTGCGATTACAGGTGTGAGCCAGCGCCCGGCCTATTGCCCTTTTTTATAGCTTTGGACATTTGACTTTTTTTTTCTTTTAATAGTAATTTAGAAATTACATTTTACTGTGGCTTTACTTATTTAAAAATGTGTTTGTGGATTACTGTGATAAATTTGGTATTTACTTTCTTTCAGCCTGCTTGAATTTCTTGAAACTGTGCAAAATAAAATATTACAATTATTGCCTTATTCACAATGTACAGGTGAGTTGGTAGATATTAGTCATTTCCTTTGTTATTGGAACTATCTAACAAACTCTGTGAATTAACAAAGAATCCTACATATTACAGAGGGATTTTATCATACAAACTGGCGATCCTACAGGGACTGGCCGTGGAGGAGAGTCTATCTTTGGGTAAGTTGTTTTATTTATTTATTTATTTATTTATTTATTTATTTATTTACTTTTAACCTCTGGAAGGGCAGAACAAATTCTTTTATTCTTAAATGAGGAAAAATATAATTGCTCATGCTTCAATCTGCATTTTAAAATATGGTTTAAATTTAGATTTTTTCCCCCAAGTTCCCTAAAAAAAAAAAAGTAATATTTTGAATTCTGTTGGCATTTCTGTAAAGAAATAATTGATAACCCTGTATGTTACTAGTACTTCTGTATTTCATTTTGAGAGTACTTACATTTATAACCTTATATGTTTTTTCAGCCAACTGTATGGTGATCAAGCAAGCTTTTTTGAGGCAGAAAAAGTCCCAAGAATTAAGCACAAGAAGAAAGGCACAGTGTCCATGGTGAATAATGGCAGTGATCAACATGGATCTCAGGTTAGGAAATGAGTAAGAATATGAGATTTGCTTAGAAATGAAGGACTGGAAGGAGCCCACAGAGTTATTTTTTAAACTATCCAGTAAGGCTTAGAGGGTTTCAATCAGAAATATGTGTTAGGGGAAAAAATGCACTTTTTCTATATTAAAAAATATTATTTTCTTCTTTTAAATGTAAAGCATTCCTATTGTGAAGAATTGAGAAAATACAGAAAAGTACAAAGAAAAACATTACCTACAACTCCACCATCCGTGATTATCACTGTTCACATTTGTGGCTCATTTTTCAGTATTTCTTTTTATTTAATTAATTAATTTATTTTTATGAGATGTAGTCTCACTCTGTCTCCCAGACTGGAGTGCGATGGCACAATCCTCGGCTCACTGCAACCTCTCCCTCCCGGGTTCAAGCAATTCTCCTGCCTCGGCCTTCCGAATAGCTGGGATTACATGCGCCTGCCACAACACCTGGCTAATTTTTATATTTTTAGTAGAGACGGGGTTTCACCATGTTGGCCACGATGGTCTCAATCACGTGACCTCATGATCCGCCTGCCTTGGCCTCCCAAAGTGCTGGGATTACAGGCGTGAGCCACCGCGCCTGGCCGTTTTTCAGTATTTCTTACTTTTTTAAAAACATTACGCAGAGTACCTTCTATTCATTGTCTTGTTTAATTCTCCCAATGACCCTGTTAATTCTCCCAATGACCTACTTGTTAGAGTAGGTACTTCTGTTTTCTACTATATACACATGAAGTTGAGTCATGGCTTGTCTAAGTATTTTGTTTTATTTTATTTTATTTTATTTATTTAGAGACAGAGTCTTGCTCTGTCAGCCAGGCTGGAGTGCAGTGGTGTGATCTCGGCTCACTGCAACCTCCGCCTCTCAGGTTCAAGCGATTCTCCTGCCTCAGCCTCCCGAGTAGCGGGATTACAGATGCCCACCACCACGCTCGGCTACTTTCTGTATTTTTCGTAGAGACAGGGTTTTGCCATGTTGGCCAGGCTGGTCTCAAACTCTTGACCCCAGGTGATCCACCTGCCTTGGCCTCCCAAAGTGCTGGGATTACAGGTGTGAGCCACCGTGGCCGACCAAAAAATACTTTATTACTAACAAGTGCTTCTGATCATCTGAGCCTTCAGTAAATCATAATCTTTTTGCTGGTGAAGGGTCTTGCCTTGATGTTGATGGCCGTTGACTAATCTGGGTGGTGATTGCTGAAGGTTGGGGTGACTGTGGCAGCTTCTTAAAATAAGACAACTGACTGGCGTGGTAGCATACATCTGTAATCCCAGTACTTTGCGGGGGCAAGGCAGGCAGATGGGTTGAGCTCAGGATTTCGAGACCAGCCCAGGAAACATGGTGAAAACCCCATCTCCACAAAAAAATACAAAAATTAGCTGAGCATGGTGGTACAGGGCTGTAGTTCCTGCTTCTTGGGAAGCTGAGGTGGGAGGATCACTAGAGCCCAGGAGGTCAAGGGTGCAGTGAGCTGTGATTGTACCACTGCACTCCAGCTTGGGTGACAGACCTTGTCTTGCAAATAAATAAATAAATAAGACAACAGAAGTCTGCCATGTTGATGGACTCTTCCTTTCATGAAAGATTTCTGTGTATCATACGATGCTGTTGGATAGCATTTAGTAGAATTCTTTTAAGATTGAAGTCAATCCTCTCAGACCCTGCTACTACTGTATCAGCCAAGTTTATGTACTATCCTAAACCTTTTGTTGTCATTTCAACAGTTATCATAGCATCTTCACCAGCAGTAGATTCCATCTCAGTAAATCACTTGGCTGGGTGCAGTGGCTCATGCCTGTAGTCCCACCACTTTGGGAGGCTGAGGGGGGCGGATCACCTGAGGTCAGGAGTTTGTGACCAGCCTGACCAGTATGGTGAAACCCCGTCTCTACTAAAAATACAAAAATTAGCTCGGCGTGGTGGCAGGCGCCAGTAGTCCCAGCTACTTGGGAGGCTGAGACAGGAGAATTGCTTGAACCTGGGAGGTGGAGGTTGCGGTGAGCCGACTTTGCACCACTGCACTCCAGCCTGGGCGATGCAGCAAGACTGTCTCAAACAAAAAAAAAAAAGGAAGAAAACCACTTTGTTTGCTCATCCTTAAGAAGGAGCTCCATATCTGGTCAGGTTTGATCATGAGATTGCAGCATTCAGTCCCATCTTCAGGCTCTACTTCTAATTCTCGTTCTCTTGCAGTTTCCACCACATTTGCAGTTACTTCCTTCACTGAAGTCTTGAGCCACTCAAAGTCATCCATGAGGGTTGGAATCTACTTCTTCTTAACTTCTGTTAATGTTGATATTTTGACCTCCTCCCACAAATCACGAATGTTCTTAATGACATCTAGAATGGTGAATCTTTTTCAGAAGGTTTTCAATGTACTTGCCCATATCCATCAGAGGAATCACCATCTATGGCAGCTATAGCCTCACAAAATGTATTTTTTTTTAATTTTTATTTTTAGAGATGGGGCCTCACTACGTTGCTCAAGTGATCCTTCTACCTCAGCCTCCTGAGTAGCTGGGACTACAGGTGCATGCCACATGTCAGGCTGTATTTCTTAAATAGTAATACTTGAAAGTTGAAATTACTCTTCGATCCATGGCTGCAGAATGACTGTTATGTTAGCAGGCATGAAAACAGTATTTTTTTTTTTTTGAGACAGATTCTCACTCTGTCACCCAGGTTGAGTACAGTGGTGCAGTCTCACCTCACTGCAACCTCTGCCTCCTGGGTTCAAACAGTTCTCTTGCCTCAGCCTTCTGAGTAGCTGGGATTACAGGTGTGCACCACTACGCCCGGCTGATTTTTTGTATTTATAGTAGAAATGGGGTTTCACCATGTTGACTGTGTTGGCCAGGCTGGTCTTGAACTGGCCTCAAGTGATCCACCTGCCTCAGCCTCCCAAAGTGCTGGGTTTACAGGTGTCAGTCACTGTGCACAGCTGAAAACAATATTAATTTCCTTGTACATCATATCCATCAGAGCTCCTGGGTGACCTGGAGTATTGTCAATGAGCAGTAATATTTTAAAAGGATTTCTTATTAAAAGAGCAGTCATATTTAAAAGGATCTTTGTTCTGAGCGGCAGGTCTCAACAGTGATCTTAAAATATTTGATAAACCCTGCTGTAAACAGATGTGCTGTCATCCAAGCTTTGTTGTTCCATTTCTAGAGCACAGGCAGAATAGATTTAGCATCATTCTTTTTTTTTTTTTGAGATGGAGTCTTGCTCTGTCGCCCAGGCTGGAGTGCAGTGGCGCAATCTCTGCTCACTGCAAGCTCCACCTCCAGATTCACGCCATTCTCCTGCCTCAGCCTCCCAAGTAGCTGGGACTACAGGCGCCTGCCACCACGCCCGGCTAATTTTTTGTATTTTTAGTAGAGACGGGGTTTCACCGTGTTAGCCAGGATGGTCTTGATCTCCTGACCTCGTGATCCACCCGCCTCGGCCTCCCAAAGTGCTGGGATTACAGGCGTGAGCCACCGCGCCCGGCCGATTTAGCATCATTCTTAACGGCCTTGGGATTTTTGGTATAGTCAGTGAGCATTGGTTTCAACTTAAAGTCACCAGCTGGATTAGCATGTAACAGAAGAGTCAGCTTGTCTTTGAAGCTTTGAAGCTAGGCATTGACTTTTCCTCTCTAGCTGTGAAAGTCCTAAGTGGCATCTTCCAATATAAGGCTGTTTCGTCTTCATGGAAAATTTGTTATTTCATGAAGTCATCTTCATCAGTGATCTTAGCTAGATCTTCCAGATAACTTGATGCATGCTGCAGCTTCTTTTTTTTTTTTTTTTGAGACAGATTCTCACTCTGTTGCCCAGGCTGGAGTGCAGTGGCATGATCTCAGCTCACTGCAACCTTCGCCTCCTGGGTTCAAGCAATTCTCCTGCCTCAGCCTCCTGAGTAGCTGGGATTACAGGCACACGCCACCATGCCTGGCTAACTTTTGTATTTTTAGTGGAGACAGGGTTTCACCATGTTGGTCAGGCTGGTCTTGAACTCCTGAGCTTGTGATCTGCCTGCCTCGGCCTCCTAAAGTGCTGGGATTACATAGGCGTGAGCCACTGCACCTGGCCACTTGCTGTAGCTTCTGTGTCAGCACTTGCTGCTTCACCTTGCACTTTTAAATTATGGAGACAGCTTCTTTCCTTAAATTTTTCTTTTCTTTTTTTTTTTTTTTTGAGATGGAGTAATTCACTGCGCCTGGCCTCTTTCCTTAAACTTCATGAATTAACCTCTGCTAGCTTCAGACTTTCTTTTGCAGCTACCTTCCCTCTCTCAGCCTTTATAGAATTGAATAAAGTTAGGGCTTGTTTGGAATTAGGCTTTGGCTTAAGGGATCGTTGTGGCTGGTTTGACCTATGTAGATTACTAAAACCTTCTTCATATCAGCAGTAAGCCTGTTTCATTTTATCATTCATGTGTTCACTGGAATAGCACTTCTAATTTTCTTTAAGAACTTTTCCTTTGCATTTACAACTCAGCTATTGTTTGGTACTAGAGGCCTAGCTTTCCGCTTATCTTGGCTTTCAACGTGCCTTTCTCACTATGCTTAATCATTTTTAGCTTTTGATTTAAAGTAAGAGATGTGCCATTCTTCCTTTTACTTGAACACTTAAGAGTCTCTTGTAGGGTTAATTGGCCTCATTTCAGTATTGTGTCTCGGGGAATAGGGAGCACTGAGAGGGAGAAAGATGGGAATGGCTGGTTGGTGGAGTAGTCAGAACACATACAACATTTATGGATTAAGTTCACCATCTTATATGGGCACAGTTTGTGGTGCCCCAAAACAATTGCGGTAGTAAGATCAAAGATTATAGATGGTAATAACAGATACAATAGTAATGAAAAAGTTTGAAATCTTGTGAGAATCACCAAAATGTGAGCCAGAAACATGAAGTGAGCCTATGCTGTTGGGAAAATGGCACCAATAGACTTACTCAATACACGGTTGCCAGAAATCCTTAATTGTAAAAAATGCAGTATCTGCAAAGTGCAATAAAATGAGGTATGCCAGTATAAGCTTTGTACTTTTTACTTAGTTTTGGTAACAAGTGTCTAAGAATTGGTGCAGTAAATGTGGACTCTTAACTTTCATGTATTTTTTTGTCAGTCTGTAACTGATTTCAGTTTGAGTTATGTATTATTTTTATGGTATTTATTATGTGTCCTTCTTTATAGTTTCTTATCACCACAGGAGAAAATCTAGATTATCTTGATGGTGTCCATACGGTGTTTGGTGAGGTGACAGAAGGCATGGACATAATTAAGAAAATTAATGAGACCTTTGTTGACAAGGACTTTGTACCATATCAGGATATCAGGTATGGTTACAATTTGCTATCTGAATGTACTAGAATGTTTTAATATTGAGATGTTTAACACGTAGTGGTATGGATAGGAACGGTATGCATAGGACTGGTTTCTGGATAATTCTAATCCCAAAAGGTGAATTAATATAAGACTGTAAGAATCTTTATAATAAAAAGGACTTTTTGTATTTTTATACTTGTACTAATTATTTATAATTATGTTTGGAGGAATTATTTATTTATTTATTTTTTGAGACGGAGTCTCATGCTGTTGCCCAGGCTGGAGTGCAGTGGCGCGATCTTGGCTCACTGCAAGCTCTGTCTCCCGGGTTCACACCATTCTCCTGCCTTAGCCTCCCAAGTAGCTAGGACTACAGGCGCCCGCCACCACACCTGGCTAATTTTTTGTATTTTTAGTAGAGACGGGGTTTCACCATGTTAGCCAGGATGGTCACGATCTCCTGACCTCATGATCCACCCACCTCAGCCTCCTGAAGTGTTGGGATTACAGGAATGAGCCACTGCACCCAGCTGGAGGAATTGTTAATGCTTTAATTTAGTTTTTTAATTGAGAAGTAGGGCAAAAGTACTAAGATTTAGACAGTTATATTAGTTTACATCTTAAAGTAATGCAGGGTGATAAATATGGTATCACTCAATGCAAAACAGTAACACTCATTGTGAAAGTATATCTAGGTTAGTAATATCCATATGCAATATGGGTTTTTTTTGGCCTTAGAGATAATCAAGTAATTTTTTGTAATCTATTAAAATAAAATAGGATTCTGAAATAACTTCAATGTATAACATTTGATTTGGATTTATTTTGTAAGGATAAATCATACGGTGATTTTAGATGATCCATTTGATGACCCTCCTGATTTATTAATCCCTGATCGATCACCAGAACCTACAAGGGAACAATTAGATGTAAGTAAAGCCCTCTTATGATTAAATGTACATTCATATTAATGATTTGTATGGATTTATCTTTTTCATCTGTTAAAGTTAATTTTTTCCGAATTATTATCTTGCTTAATTATATTCAACAAGTTTGGAGTTCTTTTTCTTTTCCACAGAGGTACTCATTTTTCTAGCTGTCTTCTCATTTCTCTAATTTCCTTTCTTCAGTTTCTTTTCTACTGAGACAACCTCAGCTCTAGAAGCTTACATGAACACCTTGGGAAAGTGTTTTTCTTGTCATCAAATTAAACTGTTATCTTGTGAGGTAACTTTTCAACTGGGGACACTCTGGAGCCAGGCTAGAACCCAGAAATTTCTGTGAAACAGCGCAGACTGTTCCCCCACATATTTTAAGGTTTATGTGGCTTCCTGAAAGCTGAATTTGTCTTTATGGTTGGGATTGGTGCTTAATTGTCAGATCATTTCTCTTCATTCAGCAGTTAGAATTGGATAATAAATAGTGTCCATATAAATATTTATTTATTTTTTTGAGATGGAGTCTCACTTTGTTGCCTAGGCTGGAGTGCGTGGTGGGATCTCGGCTCATTGTGGCCTCTGCCTTCCTCATTCAAGCAATTCTCGTGCCTCAGCCTCTTGAGTTGCTGGGATTGTAGGTGCATGCCACCACGCCCAGCTAATTTTTGTATTTTTAGTAGAGACAGGGTTTCACTGTGTTGGCCAGGCTGGTCTCGAACTCCTGACCTCAAGTGATCCACCTGCGTGTTCTCCCAAAGTGCTGGGATTACAGGCACGAGCCACCATGCCTGGCCTATTTTGATTTTAACAGAAGCCCACTTTGGCTAATATTTTAGAATTAATATAAATCAATTCTTGGAGGTTTATAAGTTTGTCTCAGTTGCTGTCCAATTAATTATTAAAAATTTTTTTTTAGAGACAAGATCTCACTGTGTCACCCAGCTGGAGTGCAGTGGTGTGATTGTAGCTCACTGCAACCTTGATCAGTTACTGTTTTAGCATGTTTGATATAACTAAGAATAAAGTATGTCTTCTATGTTTCTCAGATTTTTTTATTCTTTAAATATATACATGAGTAACTTCTGTCTTAACAGAGTGGTCGAATAGGAGCAGATGAAGAAATTGATGATTTCAAAGGAAGATCAGCTGAGGAAGTAGAAGAAATAAAGGCAGAAAAAGAGGCTAAAACTCAGGCTATACTTTTGGAGATGGTAAGATAATTATCTTTGTTCAAATTGTTCTGTAATATATCTAATAATACTTACTGAGTGTTTATTTCTGGCTCTTCAGTAGTCTTAAAATGTTAAAAATTGAGTTATGATTTTTTTCTGATTTAAATTTGGTATGGCATAGTAATAAATTGGCTCTACTGTGAAAATAAATTTGACTCTACTGTCAATATAGTGCTAAGTGCCTTTTTAAACAGTGGGAAGTGGATCTCTAACTTATTAATTGAATTTCAGTTGTTTAATATTCATCTCATTCTTAAAGAGTGTTTAGCAGGCTGAATTTTATGTATATTAAAGAATAGTTCTTCACTGTACCACTCAAGTGTTAAGATTAAACAGAATGGTAGTTGTAGGGCAAAATAATGGGTGGAAACTGAGCACTCTAAAATATACTGCTTCTCTGTATTACTAACAACCTGAAGTCATTTGGGGAATAATAATTCAGTAGATGATTAATTGACCTACTTGGTATTATTTTCCATTTCTTATTTTTGTAGAATAGGCATACCTGTCATATCATAGATAATAAATATTGGAATGAATGGATAATAAAGTTACTATTTTATATAATAGAACTTTCAGATTTGTAGTCTGTTTTAAAGTTTATTTATTTATTATTTTATAGAGACAGGGTCTCACTCTGTTGTTCAGGCTGGAGTACAGTGGTGTATGATCATAGCTTGCTGCAGCTTCCAACTCCTCAGCTTAAGCAATGCCCTTGCCTCAGCCTCCTGAGTTGCTGAGACCACAGTCACACACCACAATGCCCTGCTAATTTTAAAATTTTTTTTGTAGAGACAGGATCTCCCTATGTTGGCCAGGCTTAAGTTTATATTACCATCAACTGTCTGAATGAACAAATAGTAAAGGCTGTATAGTTCAAGAAAGCTTTACTGAAATTAAAAAAATTAATTGAAAATACACATTTTAATGAGCACACTGTGTATCTCAGAGTATTGACTCTGAACACCCAACACCAAGACAAATTCTAAGAGAATTACTACACTTGAAAGATATGTTGAACAATTGGGCAGAAAGAATAAGTTACTTATAAGGGAATGAATTTAGATTGTTATCAGACTTTTCCACAGCAACACTTTGGAAGTTTATGCCAGAAGAAAATAGATTAACATACTTTTTAAAACTTTTTGTTTTCAGATAATTTCAAATTTATGGGAAAAAGTACATAGAACTTCTATATACCTTTTACCCACATTCACCAATTTTTAACATTTTGCTACATCTGTTTTATGATTCTCTCTTTTTCTCTCTCTCTGATTATACAAGCACATAAACACACATTTTTTTTCTCGACTATTTGACAGTAAGTTGCCTGTTATTTCCCTTTACCTCTTAATCAGTGTGTATTTCCTAAGAGCAGCAGTATTCAATGTGTATAACAATATGTACGTATTCACAGTGTAGTTACCAAAATCAGAAAATTTAGAAGTGACAGAAATTACAGTTTATAGGGCCGGGCACAGTGGCTCACGCCTGTAATCCCAGCACTTTGGGAGGCCGAGGCGGGTGGATCACGAGGTCAGGAGTTCGAGACCAGCCTGGCCAACATGGTGAAACTCCGTCTCTACTAAAAATACAAAAATTAGCTGGGTATAGAGGCATGCGGCTGTAATCCTAGATACTCAGGAGGCTGAGGCAGGAGAATCGCTTGAACCCAGCAGGCGAAAGTTGCTGTGAGCCGAGATCGCGCCATTGCACTCCGGCCTGGGCAACAGGGCGAGACTCCGTCTCAAAAAAAAGAAAAAAGAAATTACAGTTTATATTCCAATTTTGCCAGTTGTTCTAATAATATCTTTTATAATTGTTTCCTCCTCCAGACTAGAATCCAGCTCGTGACTTATCATCTGTTGCATTTATTTTGTAGAATATTTTCCTTTTTTTTTTTTTGAGACGGAGTTTCTGTTGCCCAGGTTGAAGTGCAATGGCATGATCTCGGCTCACTGCAACCTCCACCTCCCAGGTTCAAGCGATTCAGCTGCCTCAGCTTCCCAAATAGCTGGGATTATAGGTGCCTGCCACCCACGCCTGGCTAATTTTTTTTTTTTTTTTTTTTTTGAGACAGAATCTCGCTCTGTTATCAGGCTGGAGTGCAATGGCACGATCTTGGCTCACTGCAACCTCTGCCTCCCGGGTTCAAGCGATTCTTCTGCCTCAGGCTCCCGAGTAGCTGGGATTACAGGCGCCTGCCACCACATCCAGCTAATTTTTTGTAATTGTAGTAGAGACAGGGTTTCACTGTGTTGCCCAGGCTGGTCTCCAACTCCCGACCTCAGGCGATCCTCCTGCCTTGGCCTCCCAAAGTGCTGGGATTACAGGCATGAGCCACCGTGCCCGGCCAATAGAATATTTTTCAATTTAGGTTTATCTACTCTTTCCTCATGATTAGATTCAGGTTATGCACCCACAGCCGAAATAGTACGTGAGTGATGTTGTGTCCTCAGAGGTCACATCTGGAGGTGTACGATATTCATTGGAAGATGAGTAATTTTGGTCACTTGGTCATGGTAGTCCACTGCCTGGTGTCTCCAATAGACAATCTGTGGCTAGACACTTGGAGATCTTTCAAATGTCTTGTTCCTTGTCAAATTTCCCCCATAAATTTCTCAGCCATTCATGATTCCTGACTGCACCAGTTTTGACTCTGCTAAGTGCAAAGTGGTAATTATGCAAAGTGGTAATTTCCCACCCCCACCACTTTTTCCACAATTACCAACCTGCATTCTACTGTAAGGAAGAGCCCTCCCTTCTTTTTTTTTTTCCGAGATGGAGTCTCGCTCTGTCACCCAGGCTGGAGAGCAATGGCGCAATCTTGGCTCACTGCAACCTCTGCCTCCCAGGTTTAAGCGATTCTCCTGCCTCAGCCTCCTGGGTAGCAGGGATTATAGGTGCCCGCCACCACGCCCAGCTAATTTTTGTATTTTTAGTAGAGACAGGGTTTCACCATGTTGGTCAGGCTTGTCTCAAACTCCTGACCTGGTGATCTGCCTGCCTCGGCCTCCCAAAGTGCTGGGATTACAGGTGTGAGCCACTGTGCCCGCCTGAGCCCTCCCTTCTTAACTGCTTATCTATCCGTTCATTATCCGTGTCTCATGGATTCTTTTTTTGGCTTTGTTTTTAATAGACAATTTGTAGAGCAATTTTAGAATTACAGAAAAACTGAACATAAAGTACAGAGAGTTTCTAAGTACTCCCTCCCTCTTTCCCCCAGTCTTGCATTATTGTGACACATTTGTTAACAATTGATGAGCCAATATTGATACATTATTAATTAAAATCCATGATTTACGTTAGAATTCAAGCTTTGTGTTGTACATTCGGTGGAACTGACAAATGTACGATAGCATATATCTACCCTTACAGGATCATTCAAGGTAGTTTCACTGTCTAAAAAATCCCCTGGGCTCCACCTGTTCATCCCCACCCCCAACACCCACTTCTTGGCAACTACTGATGTTTTTACTGTCTATATAGTTTTGGCATTTTCAAAATGTCATATAGTTGGAATTATAGCGTATGTAGCCTTTTCAGACTGTCTTCTTTCACTTAGCAATATACATTTAAGGTTCCACTGTGCCTTTTTTCTTTCTTCCCTTTCCCTTTCTCCTTTCCCTTTTTCTTTTTCTTTCTTTTCTTTCCCTCCTTTTTTTTTTTTTTTTGAGACGGAGTCTCGCTCTTGTCGTCAGGCTAGAGTACAGTGGCATTATCTCGGCTCACTGCAACCTCTGCCTCCCAGGTTCAAGAGATTCTCCTGCCTCAGCCTCCTGAGTAGCTGGGACTACAGGCACGTGCCACCGCGCCCGGCTAATTATTTTGTATTTTTAGTAGAGACGAGGTTTCACCGTGTTAGCCAGGATGGTCTTGATCTCTTGACCTCGTGATCTGCGCGCCTCAGCCTCCCAAAGTGCTGGGATTACAGCATGAGTCACCCTGCCCGGCCCTTTTTTTAATTTTTTTTAATTTTTTTTTATTTGAGACAGGTTCTCGCTCTGTTGCATGGACAGTGGCACAATAATGGCTCACTGCACCCCGACCTCCAGGGCTCAAGTAATCCTCCTACCTCAGCCTCACAAGTAGCTGGGACCACAGGCGTGTGCCACCATGCCCGGCTAATTTTATTTTTTGTAGAGACAGAGTCTCACTATGTTGCCCGGCCTGGGATTTCATTTCTTTCTTTTTTTTGTTTTTTTTTTTTAGAGAAAGTCTCACTCTTTCACTCAGGCTGGAGTGCAGTGGTGCTGTCATAGCTCACTATAACCTTGAACTGAGGTTGAGCAGTCTTCCTGCCTCAGCCTCTTGAGTAGCTGGGACTATAGGCACACGCCACCACACCTTGGTAATTTTTAAATTTTTTTGTAGAGATGGAGTCTTACCCATGTTGCTCAGGCTGATCCCAAACTCCCAGGTTCAAGTGATCTTCCTGTCTTGGCCTCCCAAAGTGTTGGGATTACAGGCGTGAGCCACCATGCATGGCTGATAGCTCATTTCTTTTAATTGCTAAGTAATGTTTCATTGTATGGATGTATCACAGCTTGTATATTTTTTACCTGTTGAAAGATACCTTGGTTGCTTCCAAGTTTTGGCAGTTGTGATTAAAGCTGCTGTAAACATTTGCATGCAGATTTTTGTGTAGGCATAAAGTTTCTATGCATTTGGGTAAATACCTAGGAGTTCAGATGCTGGATTGAATGGTTTAGCTTTGTAAGAAACTGCCAAACTGTCTTCTAAAGTGGCTTTACATTTTACATTCCTACCAGCAATGAATGAGGGTTTCTTTTGCCTCACATCCTTGCCAGCATTTGCTGATGGTATTTTTTGGATTTTAGTCACTCTAAAAGGTGATCCTGTGTCCTTTTGATTTTATTAACATATTCCATGTTCTGTTTTCTAAGAATATCTGTTTCTCTTACTTTATTGCATTTGTTTGTAATATAGTGATAATTCAGCTAGTGTTTTGTAAAATTAGTTTTGAACCTCATAGCTTTTATGAATGTTTTAAATTTCCTAATAGTATTTTAAAGTTAGCTTTGACCAAGTACTATAGCAAGTTCTTTTTTGACTCATTAACTTTTTTTCTCGTTTGTGCTTCCTTTCTGCCATTATAGGTGCTTTGGAGGATTTTTACTAATTTGCTCTACTCCTTCTGTGTTTTGACACTCTTTTTTGTTTTTTAGAGGCAGGGTCTTACTCTGTTTTCTAGGCTGGAGTGCAGTGGTGTGATCATAGCTCACTGCTGCCTCAAAAACTCTGGAACCCAAGCAGTCCATCCAACCTTCTGAATAGCTAGGACTACTCACACTGCCATGCCTGGCTAATTTTTAAATTTACTATAGAGACAAGGTCTTACTATGTTGCGTGGGCTGGTCTCAAACTCCTGGCTTCAAGAGATCCTCCTTCCTCAGCCTCCCAAAGTGTTGGGATTACAGGTGTGAGCTATCATGCCTGGCTGTGATACTTCTTATTGGACATAATGTTGTCTTTTGATAGACTTCAGAAACACTGAGGAGATCTTACTGGCTGTGTTGCTTCTTACTGTTTTTTATTTTCAAGATTTTGGGGGGAAGGGCATGTTTATCCAAGAGGAGACACTTTACAGGTGATCTTATCAGAAATAATCTCTGAAAGAGTGTTTGAATGTATGTATAAAGGGATGTTGTTGCCCCATCTAAATGTGATAGAGTTGCATACATATATGGTAAAACTCTGATGATATGCAAGGAAATGACTGAAAAAGGAAAACCAAAAAGCAGGGTATTTGTTGTCTCTGATGAGGAGGCACAGGGAGAATGGGATAGGTGACATTTTAGTTCTTAAGCTAGATGGTAGCATCATAGTGGTTTTTATTTTTATGCTTTATGACTTACATGTACTTTACATAAATTCTTATCCTTTAAAAAATATATCAAATACTTGAAAAAAGATGAAGTAGGGGTAAAATTGGTCTTTGAAGCCAGATAAATGTAGGTTCAAATCCCAGCTCTGTTGTTTACCACTGTGTGGTCTTGGGCAAGTTACTTGTTTAACCTTTTAAATTTCACTTTACTTGTCTTTATTTTATTTGTTTATTTATGAGATGGAGTCTTGCTCTGTCGCCCAGGCTGGGGTGAAGTGGCGTAGCTCACTGCAACCTCCGCCTCCTGGGTTCAAGCGATTCTACTGCCTCAGTGTCCCGAGTAGTTAGGACTACAGGTGCACACCACCATGCCCGTTTAATTTTTGTATTTTTAGTAGAAATGGGGTTTCACCATGTTGGCCAGGCTGATCTTGAACTCCTGACCTCAAGTATCTGCCCCCCTTGGCCTCCCAAAGTGCTGGGATTACAGGCATGAGCTACCATGCTCAGCCGCTTTACTTGTCTTTAAAATGGAGATTGCAGGATTGTTTCAAGAATTAGCGTAATAGATCTGAAGCTCCAAGCACTGTTCACACAAAGTATGAGTTATTTAAATATTAGCTATTAACACTGTTAAGAATAGGAACAGTGTAGTTCAAATTTTGAAATCTTATTTGGATTTCTTTTCCAGAGCCTGCAGTTTGTAACATAAATTTAGATGTTTTAAGGAAATCAGCATTGTGGGATTGGATAGGATTTAGAATGGAAACTAAATAGGAATTGATTTATGTTTTTGTTTGTTTGTAATTTAGGTGGGAGACCTACCTGATGCAGATATTAAACCTCCAGAAAATGTACTGTTTGTGTGTAAATTGAACCCAGTGACCACAGATGAGGATCTGGAAATAATATTCTCTAGATTTGGGCCAATAAGAAGGTAATCCTTAGAATTAGTGAAAGAGATATTTAGAAAAACTAGGTATCAGTTGGTGGTTTTCTAATGACATATTTTGATGATTCTGTGAATTCTAGGCGAATTTTGTACTGGTGAATTTTTACAGGTGAGTCTTTGGACAGTAGGGAAGAAAAGTATATATGTGTGTGTAGACATACATACATACGTGCACACACACACACAGATAAATAATTGAATCTCCCACTCTCAACACATTTTCACCCTAAAACAGGAAATGAATGGAACAATTTAAATCTAGTTCTGTAATACTCTCAACAGCCTTCTTTAATATTTAAAATATTTATCTCATTCAACTCCTGGAATTACCAGCAATTTATGTCAAAATTAATTTAAAACTAAATTTTCTAAAATTTTTCTTTTGGTTAGTTTTCCCTGCATTAATGAAAAAGTCTATGAAGCTAGTATTTCTGTGAGGAAGGGGACTATTTTGTAATTGATTAAAAAGTATTATATTTAGGGTTTCCTTTTGTTTCAGGGATTTTATTTTATTTTATTTATTTTTGTTTATTTTTTTGACATGGAGTCTCGCTCTGTTGCCCAGGCTGGAGTGCAGTGATGTGATCTCGGCTCACTGCAACCTCTGCCTCCCGGGTTCAAGTGATTCTTCTGCCTCAGCCTCCTGAGTAGCTGGGACTACAGGCATGCGCCAACACGCCCAGCTAATTTTTGTATTTTTAGTAGAGACGGGGTTTCACCATATTGGCCAAGCTGGTCTCGAGCTCCTGACCTTGTGATCCGTCCGTCTTGGCCTCCCAAAGGGCTGGGGTTATAGGTATGAGCCACTGCGCCCGGCTTTTAAAATGAGGTTTTTAAAATGAGACTTATGACACTTGGGGCAAGGGACAAGCCAGGTGCTTTCAACTTCAGCTTATTGGCCTTTTCACTTGGTTATTATGGTATATTAGTTCTGTAATTAACATTGTGCTTACAGTGTTAAATTTGAGCTTGATTTATATTAAAATTCAAAAATTTCAAAGCTTGAACTTAAACATTTATATATGTATGAGTATGCATACATTATTCTACAGTAATGTTAGATGTTAGATATTCTATAATTCGACTATATTTGGACTAGAAAAGTGTTGTGATTTTAAAAGTCTTTAGCAGTAGTTTACTTTTGCCAAAGGAAAATTAAATATTTTTATTCTTACTTCAGTGCTTAAGGGAATTTAGGACTGTAGGCCTATATAAGGCACTTAGAGTAGAATTTAGATAATTTAGTTACTGCTCTGGTGAACTACTTTTAAAAAAGAATTGTTATTAAATGAATTTGGAAAAATAATCTATGAATTTAACTTTGCCTTGTAGTAACTGACTTATTTCTTCTTCAGTTTTGAAGAGTGAGAGTGAATGCTTTCTTCCTTTTTTTTTTTTTTAAGTCACTTTTAAATACTTTCTTTCAGTTGTGAAGTTATCCGAGACTGGAAGACAGGAGAGTCCCTCTGTTACGCTTTTATTGAATTTGAAAAGGTATGTCATAATACAGACATAAGTTTGGTATTTATTTGCTTTTATATGGTATTAAAATGTGAAAAATTATAGAACTTTTTCTAGTTTCTAGAGTTGCCCTTTCTTTTGGCACTCCCCAAAATTAAGTTTATTGTATCTATATAGGGGATAAGTTCAACATCTGTTGATGTTAACATACGTACTTTTACTTTAGGTTCAGGTGCAATCTGCATGAAAGTATCTTTAGAACTTTTTTTTTTTTTGAGACAGGGTCTCACTCTGTTGCCCAGGCTGGAGTGCAGTGGCGCAGTCTCGACTCACTGCAGCCTCCGCCTCCTGGTTCAAGCGATTCTCTTGCCTCAGCCTCCCCAGTAGCTGGGATTACAGGTGCCCACCACCATGCCCTGCTAATTTTTTTGTATTTTTAGTAGAGACAGGGTTTCACCATATTGGCCAGGCTGGTCTTGAACTCCTGACCTCAAGCAATCCACCTGCCTCGGCCTCCCAAAGTGCTGGGATTATAGGCATAAGCCACAACACTCAGCCAATCTTAGAACTTTTTAAGTTCTAAGTAAAGCCCTTCAGAGACTCTTAATTTTTCCCTGTTACTTAAGTGGAGATAAAGTTGAGTAATAGAAAGAGAACTGAACTGGGTGTTAAGATTTAGATATTAATACATCTTTTGTTATTAGCCAGCTATTGTATGATACTTGGCAGTTTAGTTAACCGTTCTTTCTAGGTCTTACCTTCTTATAAATAAAACTTGGGTATTAGAATAGATGGCCCCTTCTAGAGCTGTAATAATGATAGCTTATGTTGCTTAAATATTTACTTTAAGCTAGGCATTATGTTACTTTTGCTGCATTTAATCCTCACAGTTCTGTAAGATAGGGACCATCCCCTTTTCCAAATAAGTTAACTGAGACACATAATGCTAATGTGACTTGTTCAAAATCACACACCTAGTGAATGAATGTCATAGCTGGGATTTGAACTCAGATATGTCTGATTCTGTTCCCATTGAGTTTACACTGTGCTATGGTATGCTCTTTTTTAATGCAACTTTGGACTCATATGTATCCAGTAGTAGCTCATTCTAAGTTCTAATTATTACAAAGCATTTATGGAATACCTTTTATGTTTTCAGACACAGCAATAAGGCCTAGGGATACAAGATGAATCATGGAGGGTTGGGGAAGATAGACCATAAAGTTATATGTAGGCACTGTGTCAGATGTACCAGAAATGATACTTACAAGGTACATTGGTGCCAGCAGAAAGACCTTTACCTTTGGTTTGCTGTGAAAACTTGTAGACCTGCACTAGCATTCTATCATTGACACTATAGAATCTATTATTTATTTTCTCACAAATAAAATTTCATTTGTAGCACATAGACTAATGACTGCCCATGTTTTGAGTTTTTTGCAGCTATGCCATTTTCTTCTTTTTTTTTTTTCTTTTTATTTTTTTGAAACAGAGTTTTGCTTTGTCACCCAGGCTGGAGTGTAGTCGCATGATCTCAGCTCACTGCAACCTCCGCCTCCCAGTTTCAAGCGATTCTCATGCCTCAGCATCCCAAGTAGCTGGGATTACAGGTGCTTGCCACCACACCTGGCTCATTTTTGAATTTTTAGTAGATACAGGGTTTTATGATGTTGGCCAGGCTGGTCTTGAACTCTTGACCTTAAGTGATCCACCTGCCTTGGCCTCCCAAAGTGCTGGAATTATAGGCTTGAGCCACTGCACCTGCTGTTTTACTTTTTTATTGATCTCTAAGGATTCTTTATATTTTCTGGATGCAAGCTCTTTTTTGATTATGTGTGATACAGATATCTTCTCTGTGGATTTCCTTTTACTTTTTTTTTGTTTTTTAAGGGACAGGATCACTCTGTGTTGCCCAGGCTGGACTTGAGCTCATGGGCTCAAGTGATTCTCCAATTTTAGCTCCTGCATAACTGGGACCACAGGCATGCCTTTTTCCTTTCTTAATGGTGTCTTTTTATAAACAAATTTCTAATTTTAATGGTTCAGGTTGTCAGTATTTTTCTTCCTTTTTAGTGGCCTATTTAAAAAATATTTTCCTACTTCAAAGACATGAGGATATTCTCCTGTATTATTTTTAGAAGCTTTGTTGTGAAATTGTTTCCCATTCAATTCTGTAATTTGCTTTTGGTGTATTGTATTACATTGTTTCGTTTTTCATACATTGGATTGCCACGTGACAGCACCATTTATTTAAAAGGTTGTCCTGGCCAGGCGTGGTGGCTCACGCCTGTAATCCCAGCACTTTGGGAGGCCGAGGTGGGTGGATCACGAGGTCAAGAGATCGAGACCATCCTGGCCAACATGGTGAAACCCCGTCTCTAGTAAAAATACAAAAATTAGCTGGGCATGGTGGTGCGTGCCTGTAGTCCCAACTACTCGGGAGACTGAGGCAGGAGAATTGCTTGAACTCGGGAGGCAGAGGTTGCAGTGAGCCAGCATCGCACCACTGCACTCCAACCTGGCGACAGAGCAAGACTCCGTCTCAAAAAAATAATACATAAATAAAAAGTTGTCCTTTTTCTCTGAGGTCTCTACTGATGAAAAAAATAATAAAAAAAGTTGTCCTGCCCCACAGCTCTGTAGTACCACTTTTGTTATAAATCGGTATCCATATATGTATAGAGTCTGTTTCTAGACGCTATACTGTTGCACTGATCTATTTGTCTATTCATATACCACTGTTACATTGTGTTAATCACTATAGGTTTATAAATGTCTTGATAACTGTGAGTCTTCCAACTTTGTTGTTTTTGAAGATTGTCATAGCTGTTTTTGACTTTTGAATATTTATTTTTGAATCAGTTTCTCAATTTTGAAGAGATTTATTAACTATTATTTAGGTGTAAGTAAATTGAGTATTTGCAAATACTATCCTCCTGAAAAAGTGATCTTCAGAGCTTTCTCTTTGGGGATATAGCATGGTGATAGAATTATACCTGCCTGAAAATAATCAGTCAGATTCATGAAACGTACACTGATTGCCTACGTTTTAGATACCATGCCATATGATGTTCTAAATGATGTAGTTACAAAGACGAATCAAGCTTTGTCTATATCTTCATGGATTTTATAATTCATTTAATTATTGACATGTAATAAATATGATTATAACTATTTTATCTGCTTCTCTTTGGATTATCTCTAGTAAGAATAAGTTTCCAGGAATGTAAAAGAAAATTGGTCAGTACTGAGTTGAAATATGTAACTGTCAGTGTCAGAAACAGGGATTTAGAATTGTGAAGTTACTGACAGGAAGGATTCTTGTGTAGCACAGAGCTTGGTATTACAGTCTCACAGTTCATTATCTAAAACCCTTGAGAATAACTAGGCTTCCTAATTCAGAATTTTTCAGAATTCAGAAAGGTAATACTGTATATATGCATACACACATACACATTACATCTGTGATTATGTAATACCTTTCTGGGTCAGCATTCCATAATCTGTCACAAAAGTATTTCTGCAGTGAAACAAATGAATATTCATACTAAGTGGATAAAAAAAGGTCATAACCTACCATTAGGTTTGGTGTTACTGCCAAATTAATTTTAACAACAAACTTAGGAACACAACTTTCACTTTCCAGGATGTTTTTGAATTTTGAGTAAAAAGGATTGTGAACCTGTATAATACAGTCAGTAAGTGTATATTTATCTGTTCACTGCAGTTGGACTGTCTCTCTAAAATCCTGGCTCTGACCCTTGCCAACAACTTCTATACTTCTCTAAACTTCTGTTTTCTCATTAAGAAAATGGATAGTACCTCATGGGGTTGTTACCAGAGGTATTTGAGGTAATAGATACAAAGCATTTAACAGCATCGGGTGTGTAATAAGTATTCAAACATTAATTTTTGTAACAACAAACTTTTTGTATTTTCAGTATTCTAGCTACAGAAATCTTTTCCATAAAGATTTATGCTTGAGTTTTTATAATTATTATCAGGAAGAAGATTGTGAGAAAGCATTCTTCAAAATGGACAATGTGCTTATAGATGACAGAAGAATACATGTGGATTTTAGCCAGTCGGTTGCAAAGGTTAAATGGAAAGGAAAAGGTATGATGGTTTATCTTTTGTTTTTGTTCTGCTTTTTTTTTTTTTTTGAGATGGAGTCTCGCTCTGTTGCCCAGGCTGGAGTGCAGTGGCACGATCTTGGTTCACTGCAACCTGTGTCTCCCAGGTTCAAGCCATTCTCATGCCTCAGCCTCCCAAGCAGCTGGGATTACAAGCATGTGCCACCATGCCCAGCTAATTTTTGTATTTTTAGTAGAGATGGGGTTTCACCACGTTGGCCAGGCTGGTCTCGAACTCCTGACCTCAGGTAATCCACCGCCTTGGCCTCTCAAAGTGCTGGGATTACAGGCGTGAGCCACTGCGCCCGGCCTTGTTTTTGTTATGCTTTTCATGCTTGTATGAGCCTTTTATTGAGTGCTGTTAATTAGGAGAAATATTAATTGATGTAACTCCTGCCATTTGTAATTTTACAAACCTGCTATCTAGAATCTGAGGTAGAGTGTGTGTGTGTGTGTGTGTGCACACACATGCATGTGTGCACCTGTGCGTGTATTTTAAACTGATGAAAAATTATATTTTCTATGTTTGACTATATTATAAATTACTAATAATTACCCACTGCAGACATGATATGTTTCCAAAGTAATTATTTTGACTTTATGGTGTTTTGAGTCTTTTAGGTGCACAACTTAAATTTTTTTTGTTTGTTTTAGTTGTCATATGATGCAAAATAGAAAAGGTCCATGGAAAGGTAGATAAAAGTCTCATTCATTCCTGCTCCTCATCTATCTAATTTCTCTTCCAGGGTAACCATTATCACCTATTGGTACTAACTTTCCCCTACATTTTTTGAATACATATGTGCATATATATATATATGATTTTCTCCTTTTAAAAAGGAAAATATAAAACAAAGGATGCAGGCTATACATACTGTTTTTGTACCTTGCATTTTTTAATTAACAGTGTATCTAAGAGATCAGTTCATATCAGTATATAAAATGAACCAGCCCTGTTAATGGGTTTTCTAAATTTTTACTCTTCCATGTCCATAGCAGTATGTTCCACCTTTGTACATATTACATTTCCCACATACACATACATATATGTCAAATACATTGCTCGTAGCATGTCAGTCTTAAAAGTTGGGTCTCTCATATGTTGAAATAATACGAGTTTTTGGTTTTTGATGCAGTGTTTTTAACAGGTTTCACTTTGATAGTTACTCACATGTAATGCTAAATTTTACTGGGAATTTCAGGGTTACTTTCTTTTTCTATAACACTTATTTCCCATGCTTTTAATGAACTGTTTTTTTTGTCTGTTTTTAGTAAGAAAGAAAAACACTATTTAGTTGTGAATTGCTGAATTGTTTGGTGGATTCTGTTACCTTATGGGAGTTCAGAGAAGGAAGAAATTATTAATGTGACTAAAGTAGGCAAGGAATGTTGAGTGGAAGCTGTGATCTCTGTGATAAAGGAGAGGGTGACTTGGATTGGAGTTCCATGTACTATTAGTTTCTCCTGTGAAACCTTACCTCCTCCTAGAACACATGGCTAGTTTTTGACAGTGCTGTTTGAGTGATTTGTGAAACCTAAATTGAAGCACTAAGATTTTTTTCCACATATGAAAATTACAACTTTGTGAATGAAAGATTCCAGTAAGTATATTCAAAGTGTTGGTGAGCTGCTGGCCTGATGCAGTGTAGTTCTGGCCAGTAGTAATGCCAGGTGGCTCTTATGTAGAGCTCTGCTTCCAAAGAGCTAGTTTAATTGTATCATTTGGGAAGTGTATGAAATAAATATTATAATTCCTCATTATAGATATGGAATTTGAGGCATAATCTTGAGAAGTGATTTACCTAGAGTCACATACACAGATGATTTAGACAGACCCTACATTTGGTTTGTTTTTTACCCTCTCAATCCTGTCTTCTTCTCAACCCATCCACCCATTGAATAAATACTACTACTTTCTTGTGACTTTTAAATAAATTTCTTCATGTTTTTTCCTAAGATAAAATGTCACATAGGAGGGAGAAGCTTTGGTTTTGTATATGCCATCATAAACATACAGTTTATTATTCTCAGTTAATTTTGAGATAATTATATATGTTATTGATTCACATTTATAAACTTAATGTGTATAATGTGCCATTCACAGCACTAAGAACTTTCCTTTATAGTCTGATGATTCCAGCAACTCTGTGAAATGTTGGTATTATTTTCAGTTTATAAATGAAGATAATGTAAATAAAGATAATGAATTGCAGAGAAGTGGTGTCTTACCTAGGACCTCCCACTACAGTCAAGAACCTCTTACATTAATCTGGTGCCCTTTCTGTTATACGGTAACTGCTTCATCCATAGTGAGACTTTTAATGGCAGGCAGATGGCAAATAATTTTTCAATGATAAATGATGGCTGTTTGTTACCATTACCAGTTATTTTAACTCTTGCAGTAGACTGTTTCACATTTATGGGAAACATTGCTGGCCACTTTTGTTTCTGGAGTCTCTGGAATTGCCAAATAGATTGATCTTGTCTTTTTTGCTTACCCTATGGGTCCCCCTTTAAAACCCTGACAATCAAGGTACACATAGGATTCTCAGTCAAAACCTCTGTCTGTACCTCCAGTTTGTTTTACTTCTACATTTAATCTAGGACCCTTCTGTAGGAAGCCTTTCTACAAACAGCATTTCCTAGTGGTGTGGTTGAGGGATAGGAAAGGCAGGGCAGTCAACAGGTCTGGGACATGGATGCGAATTGAATTCTCATCTGGTAGGAGACTTGAAAATTGAATTCTCATCTGATAGGAGACTAGAGTTGAGAGTAGAGAGGCTGCATTGAATGCTCTTCCTTTCTAGCCCTACCAAGCTAGTTAGGATGTAGCAGTAGGTCCTATTTTCCTGAGGGGATTTTTGGCACTTGGGAGGAATGAAGTTGCCCCTAAGTTAGAATTTCAAAGTAGAGACAGTTTGTCTTTGGTGCTATTACCCACCCTCTCCTCTCACAGCTGTTTGGTGATCTTCTGCACATCCTGCCCTCTTCTATTTGCCTGATGCTCTGTTGCCATTTAGCAGAGTATCTCTTGTTAAATCTTTTTTTTTTGAAACGGAGTTTCGCACTGTCGCTCAGGCTGGAGTGCAGTGGCACGATCTCGGCTCACTGCAACCTCTGCCTCCCAGGTTCACGCGATCCTCCTGCCTCAGCCTCCCGAGTAGATGGGATTACAGGCACACACTATCTCGTTAGATCTTTAAAAGGTCTCTTAAAGTCTCACTTCTCTCAAACTTAGGTCTTTCAGATCTTAAACTCAGGTCCCAAATCCTCAGTTTTCCACTGGACTTAATGTTCTCATGGGCTCAATGGCTCTACTTGAACACGGCATTTGTGTGTAATTTATTTGAAAGTTTGATGTTGTAATATTCACATATATCGTTAGGTGGCAGCATGTGGCTACCTAGCAAAAATGGATGTCTGATTTCAAATTAGTAATGGAGATGGAATTACTATGATTCTTTTGTTCCCTTTCTCTGTCTCTCGATATATGCCATTTATAAAATAGCTCTTATGCTTTTTATAAAATAATTATTGTTCTTGGTTAGGTGGTTTTTTTACTAAGCTCTTTTTTTCTTTTCTTAATAAATAGGTGGGAAATACACCAAGAGTGATTTCAAGGAGTATGAAAAAGAACAGGATAAACCACCTAATTTGGTTCTGAAAGATAAAGTAAAGCCCAAACAGGAGTATCCTTACCAAGAATCAGTTAGTTAATATGTATTGACCATCTGCTATGTGTAGAGTACTGTGTGATGTGTTATGAAAAGTCACAAAAGCTATAGAAGACAAATTTCCTGAATCCAGATTGTTTGTGAGGAAGTAACTTAGTTTATCATTATCTCTTTTCAAGATCTTACATATACTTTGCTTTTTCACTATACTCTAGTGTATGGAGAAAGTTAAGGTTGAAAGAAATCTGTAGCCTAATTCTTTTATTAATACTTTCCTACTCTAGGTTAAGTACTTTCCTACTTATCATATTCTCAGAAGATCTTCAGGTAAGATTTGTATTTTCTTTTTGGGGGGGCTTTCCTGCAAAAACCGGAAAGCCTACTAGACAAATTCTAAAAGAGCTGTAACACTAGCTTTGTATTTTCTATATGTAATTGTAATGTTTTCTATTCCTCATAATCTGAAATTTATTATTGCTAAGCTGATTCCTTTGTGCTACCTGCTGTTATGTTTAACTTCCTTACCTAGATAACAAAATCCTATTGTTCTCTGTTACAATGTTAGGTTACTTCTTTCGGTATAGTATATTGTAATTTCAACAACAAATATTTATTGGGCTTCTACTGAGTGCAAGAGTTCACTTTTGTAGGATTAAAAAGAAATCCATTGACTTGACCATTTACTTCAGGTTCTTCCAAGTTTTAGGTTGAGACATGTAAAAAGTAATGAAACATACTGTTTATATTATGACATTTAAATTGGTTCACTAATTTTTCCCATTATAAATATATCACTCCACACATTGCAAGAGTTATTTCTGTTGTGATTCTTTCTGGTAAATGGTGTCTTTGTTTCCTAGTTTCTATTGGTATTTCAGGGATTTTTTTTTCTACATATGTAGACATTTCTTTTCCAAGTACTCATCAAGAAAGATGAATATCAGGTTGACCTGGTCTATATTCATGTTTTAAGATGTGTTGATTGTCTGCAATGTATAAAGCATTGTGAGGTGTTAGAACTGGATAAAGTCTGAAGAAAGCTGATAAAATCAGCATAAGGAGAGGCTTTCACATGCAGACAGACCAAATAAGAAGCTGAGATTTGGTCAGAAAAGATCAACATTCAAGGGCATATGATTGAAAGCTCAAAATCATAAAAGTTATGAATGGAATACATTTGATATTTATTTACCAAATCTTTGAAATTAAATTTAGGCTTATTACTAATAACTATAGCTGGAAGAAGGGGAATTTTAAGTTTTCTTTAATTTTAATTAATTGAAACAACCACACATATACTTATATGGAATAGTGTAGCTTCTAGCCTTTTGAAGTTGATGCAAAAGAGAGAAATGCTGTTAGGGGATAGTCTGATGTGCAGATAAATTGTCTTAAGTCAGTTAAGAAGGCATGGTGGCATCTACTTTATGGGCCTTAAGAGAAAGAGAAATTAGTGAAAGTATAGATTATTAATAAGAAGAATCAAAAATAGAAGTAGGAGAAGGAAATAACTTGGCCCAACTAGACCTCAGGGAAGAAATTGGAGAAAAGATGGCAGTGAGCTCACAAATTTGTGTTTTATTCAAAGGGAGAGGGATTTGATGTCTTCTGAAAGTGTTGATTTTAGTGATAAGTACAAGATAGTGGGTAAGTGAGGAAGCAGGAGATACAACAAGTGTCTTGAGGGTATGACAAGTAATCAACAGATACTTAGTAAGCATCTGTCACATACTCAGTTTAGCAATGAAAGATATTCAGTTCCTGCCCACATAGAGCTTACATTTTGCTGTTGGAGTGGGGAAAAAAAACCAGACATTAAATAATTACCATTCTAAATACGTCTAAATTATTGCAAATAAATATTGCAAAGAGATATGGGACTCATAATAGGGGGCGAGAGGTTAGAGAATACCCTCAACACTGAAAAAAGTGGCATTAAAGCTGTGACACTAATATGGGAGATAGGAGGGCTGAGGTGGAGTGCTGTCTTCTTTCGTATGATCCATCATTTAAGAAATAGGCTGGGTGCAGTGGCTCATGGGAGTGCTGTCTTCTTTCGTATGATCCATCATTTAAGAAATAGGCTGGGTGCAGTGGCTCATGCCTGTAATCCCAGCAGTGTGGGAGGCCGAGGTGGGAGGATTGCTGGAGCCCAGAAGTTTGAGAGCAGCCAGGGCAATATAGCGAGACCCGGTCTCCATTTTTTTTTTCTTAAAAAAAAAAAAAAAATTGGCTGGGTGCAGTGGCTCATGCCTATAATCCCAGCACTCTGGGAGGCCGAGGCGGGCAGATCACCCGAGGTCGGGAGTTCAAGACCAGCCTGGCCAACATGCAGAAACTCCGTCTCTACTAAAAATACAAAAAATTAGCCAGGCGTGGTGGCGGATGCCTGTAATCCCAGCTACTCGGGAGGCTGAGGCAGGAGAATTGCTTGAACCCAGGAGGCAGAGGTTGTGGTGAGCCAAGATCGCGCCATTGTACTCCAGCCTGGGCAACAAGAGTGAAACTCCGTCTCAAAAAAAAAATTAAAAAAAATACAGTTTTTGTCTTAACCCAATACAGTCACAGTACAAACATTCACACACACACACACACACACACACTTGAACCAAAAGATTAATAAAATAAAATTTTTTTAGGCATATACTGTATTTCTGTTTTTTTTTTTAAATGCTGTTGTGGCCCACTAAATAGATTTTATACCCCATTGATGGATTATAGTCATCAGTTTGAAAAACATTGCTCTGAGCCAGGCGCAGTGGCTCATGCCTGTAATCCCAGCACTTTGGGAGACTGAGGCAGGTGGATCATTTGAGGTCAGGAGTTTGAGACCAGCCTGGCCAACGTGGCGAAACCCTGTCTCGACTAAAAATACGAAAATTAGCTGGGTGTGGTGGTGTGCACTTGTAATCACAGCTACTTGGGAGGCTGAGGCAGGAGAATTGCTTGAACCCTGGATGGGGTGGTTGCAGGGAGCCAAGATCAGGCCACTGCACTCCAGCCTGGGCAACAGAGCAAGACTGAGTGCTCTGAAGAATTTGGACAGAGGGAGCAGCATGTGCAGAGCACACATTAGGATGAAATCATAGGTGGGAGCTATGGAATGTGTATCTGGAAAAGGCAAGATCCAGAAGATGCCCCGGAAACAGAGTAGCATAGTGAAAAGAGGGAAGTTGGAGATAATGGAGTCATAACCGAATGGTACGAGCTGACTAACCCTCTTTAGCCATCTCATGGGAAGCTAGGAGGAACAATGTCTTTCATTTGATCTTATGTAGAAGTGAGACATTCCTGTGGAAAGTGTTGAGTTGTGGCTTTGTGAAGCAGACACGAGCCTCTAGTCCTGAGGGAAGTGTGTCTGCGTTTACTGTGGTCCCACATGTAATTAGCATAGCTCTGCCTGTTGGGCTTCCTCATAACCTTTCTCTGGAAAACCACCATTCCAGCCCATGTCAGTCTTCCTCAAAATCCACCTTTGAGGTTGAGATTATTTTCAGCAGAAATCGTAACTCTTTTATATTTTCTCTTATTCTATTATAGTATATTTAAGAAAATACTTATCTCTGAATTAAAACATTAAAACATTTTTAACACATTTAGATGAAATTTAAAAAGATTCACTCGTAGCTTCATCACCTAGACACATGATACTTTTTATTTCTCCTTGTTTCTTTCAAACCTTTCTCTTATGTAAAGTTATAATCGTTGTATGGTATATGTTGTTTTTGCTTTAAGCTTTTTTCATGTTAATTTTCATAAACACCTTTCTAGGGTTTTTTCTGTAGCATTTATCGTTGTTGATAACTTCATTTATAATATTGTATCTTGTTGAAGTACTATAATGCATTTAAGTATGTCTTTATTACTAGATATTTTGTTGTTCCTACTTTGCTACTAAAAGTAATACTATTATGCATATTTTTTATATGTATATATATATATATATATATATATATTTTTTTTTTTTTTTTTTTTTTTTTTTTGAGACTGAGTCCCCGCTCTGTCACCCAGGCTGGAGTGCAGTAGTGCAACCTCGGCTCACAAAAGTCTCTACCTCCTGGGTTCAAATGATTTTCCTGCCTCAGCCTCCCGAGTAGCTGGGGTTATAGGTTGCGCCACCATGCCCGGCTAATTTTTGTATTTTTAGTAGAGATGGGGTTTCACCATATTGGCCAGGCTGGTCTCGAACTCCTGGCCTCGAGTGAGTCGCCCGCCTTGGCTTCCCAAAGTGCTGGGATTACAGGTGTGAGCCACCACGCCTGGCTTTTATGTATATTTTTGTTCATTTAACTGTATTCATAAATTCTTATTAGAATTTAAACATGATGGGCAGGTGTGGTGGCTCACACCTGTAATCCCAGCACTTTGGGAGGCCGAGGCGGGTGGATCACGAGGTCAGGTGTTTGAGACCAGCCTGGCCAACATGGGGAAGCCCCGTTTCTACTAAAGACACAAAAAATTAGTCAGGCGTGGTGGCATGTGCCTGTAGTCCCAGCTACTCGGGAGGCTGAGGCAGGAGAATTGCTTGAACCTGAGAGGCGGAGGTTGCAGTGAGCTGAGATCGCGCCACTGCACTCCAGCTCGGGCAACAGGGCAAGACTCCGTCTCAAAAAAAATAATAAGAAGAATTTAAACATGATAACTCGATATGCATTGCTGAATTTCCTCTTGATTGAACTAAAAGAAGAGACATACAAATGTACCTGTTATCTTATATAGCTTTTCTGGGCATTGGAATTTATAATAATTTTTTCTAGTTAAAGATGTCCCTCATTTTCTAAATTTAAATTTTTTAAATTATTGACAAATACGTTTATTTTTTCCTCCTAATTTTTTTGCCTACTAGTCTTTATTTTAAGATTGTTTAGGATTAGGATTCTTTCCATTTCTCCTGACTATATAATGAAAGAAAATGTTAGTTTTGTTTTAGAAATGTACTATATTCTTTTGAGATGCTTTTTGCTTTAGTTACTTTTAGCCTTATGACCTCCTTTGTTTACCAGATCTTAAGTTTTGATGTCTTACCAGTATTATTTATCACATTTATCCTTAACTAACTACTGCAGTACAAAATACGATCTTATATTAGATGAGCAGGCCGAAGACTCAAAATCAAGTCACTCACACACAAGTAAAAAACACAAGAAGAAAACCCATCACTGTTCTGAAGAGAAAGAAGATGAGGACTACATGCCAATCAAAAATACTAATCAGGTACCTCTAATGTCCAGACTTAGATGTGGAGAAATAAATATTTTATCCCTCTGTAAATGATGTCTTAGTGATATAATTTAGGAGGTAAGGGATAGTTCTAAGCAGAGATGGGTTTGTTCCTAAGAAGCAGAATGGTTGCACTGGGGTATGGGATTTTAATTTTCAAAAATATTTATCACAAATGATAAAAGATCATTTTTGACATAACTTAATGTATCAAATACTTCCACATTGTGAAGCAAGAGTGATTTCCGTACCTGTGGATACTCCTTTATTCCCATCAGAAACAAGTGTGGTTGTGCTGAAAAAGATTTTGTCATTTATCTGCTTAATTTATCACCAAGTGTTATGTATAGCACTTAAGGGCTCTTGAGATTTTACATCCTATAAAACATTTATATCCTGCTGTATTGTATATAAGAAAAACAGCACTGGTAATTAACTTTAGCATGCTAAAAGCTCTCCTGAACAGCACATTTAAAAAAAATAATAAAAATTCCCCAAAGAAAATTTATTGTGAAGAAAAGTGATTATTTCCAGCCTGTGCTTTGGTTCTTAGTTAAATAAAAAGCAATTTACAGGCTGGGTACGGTGGCTCACGCCTGTAATCCTAGCACTTTGGGAGGCCGAGGCAGGTAGATCGCTTGAGCTTAAGAGTTGGAGACCAGCCTGGGCAACATGGTGAAACCCCCATCTCGACAAAAAATACACACACACACACCTTGACAAAAAGTACACACACACACACACACACACAATTGGCCAGGCATGGTGGTGTGCACCTATGGTCTCAGCTACTTGGGAGCTTGAGAGGATCGCTTGAGCCCAGGAGGTAGAGGCTGCAGTGAGCCCAGATCATGCCACTGCCCTCCAGCCTGGATGACAGAGCCAGACCACGTCTCCAAAAAAAATTTTTTTTTTTTTTTTACATCAGAGCTCCTTGCTTTTGTTTTACCACATAGAAACATTTATGCTGGGCCCTGGTGGATGAGAAGGATTTCAGTGGGCTGAGGTGAGAAGGGAGGGAATTTAAGATGGTGAGAATGTTAACCAAAGATGCAGAAATAGAGAAATGTAGTATGATAGGCAGAGTCAAGGATTTGCTGTCAGGAGAGCTAGGTTTACATACTGCTGGCCATCAAAGTGACCTTGACAAGTTGTTTAACTTTCTGAGCCACAGTTTCATCCTCTGTGAAAAGTGAGAAATACTTCACAGGCATTTTGTTAAGATTCAGTGAAAAAAATGCGTGTGCAAACATTTTCTACACTGGTTATTATTGTTACTACTTTTTTTTTTTAACTGTTAAAGCAAATTACTAGTTTTAGAGTTACTTGGAATAGTTTCTCTCTGTGGTTATGACATTAACTAGATTCATATTTCAGTTAAAGTGTTTCTTTTCTTTCTTTTTTTTGAGACGGAGTTTTGCTCTTGTTGCCCAGGCTGGAGTGCAATGGTGCAATCTCGGCTCACTGCAACCTCCGCCTCCTGGGTTCAAGCGATTCTCCTGCCTCAGCCTCCCGAGTAGGTGGGATTACAGGCACCTGCCATCATGCCTGGCTGATTTTTGTATTTTTACTAGAGATGGAGTTTCACCAAGTTGGCCAGGCTGGTCTCGAACTCCTGACCTCGTGATCTGCCTGCCTCAGCCTCCCAAAGTGCTGGGATTATAGGCGTGAGCCACCGCGCCCGGCCCTGTTTCATTTTTATTTATTTATTTTTAATGTTTTAAGGGTTGCTTTAACAATTTTTTGTTTTGTAGTTTTAAAAACTGTTTCCAAAGTGAAATCTACAAAATGGTACATTTAGAGAACCTAGCTTCCATTCTTGTTCCCTCCCCTTTTCCTTCTTCCCTCTGTGGGTAACTATTTTATGTGTTTTATGGGTTATTGATTTAAAAAAATTTAGCAAGTAAATATTTGATATATGTAGTTAGCTCTTTGCTATAATCCAGCAGAGATAGAATTTCTTCTTTCTATAGCCCTTTAGCTGTTTAAAGATTGCCATCATTCATGCCTCATCCCGTTTTCAGGCCATACTTTTGTTGGTTCCTGCAAATATTTCTCACATGAATCGGTGGTAATAAAAGTAGTAGTAGGCCAGGTGCAGTGGCTCATGCTTGTAATCCCAGCATGTTGGGAAGCTGAGGCAGGAGAATCGCTTGATCCCAGAGTTCAAGACCAGCCTGGGCAACATAGGAGGCCCTGTCTCTATAAAAATTTTAAATAAAAGAAAAAAGTAGTAGTAGTTAATATTTTTTGGTCCTTACAATGTAAGGTGGGTTCTTTTATCCCCCTTTCACACAACAAAGTGAGAACAAAAATTGTTACTTGCCCATAGTTTTACACAGCTAGTAAGTAGTGGAACCACAGTTTAGTTTCATAGTTGAAACTAACTACTCTTAACTTGAAACATACTCCTAACTACTTTTGCTCGTCTTCTTACCTGGGGTATATTCTCATCAGTTTTCTTTCCTAAACTCTAATGTTATTTTAATAAAATTTGTCCCATAGTATAATATTCCAATGTGATCTAATAGGAACACATCTCCTCCTTCTTAAATGTCTGTACTCTATTACTTTAGTCTGAGGTCGCATCAGTCTTCTTTACTGGTGGCTGTATCACATTCCTGTGAATGTTTAGCATGTTTTCCACTAAAAACTCTGAATTCTTTCCCCCTCCATGTGCTGCTTTTAGCTCCAGCTTTTCATCCTGCACTTGTACATGGAACCGTCCATGAATTTAAGCCTGAGATAAATAAACATTGGTGTGTTTGAGATAATCAGAGGTCTAAAAAATTTCAGACTGGTTGTGTTTTTTTTGTGTGAGTCTTTCTGATTCTGCTGTTTGATTACTTGAAACCTTACAGTAGCAAATATCCTTCTCATTTTGCATGGAGTAAAAGCATCAAGATTTTGGGGGAATGCTATTAGTATTTTTAAAAAGATTTTAAGGCAATTTTAAGTTGAAATTTTAAGGCAATATTAACTATAAAATTATTAAATTCTGAATAATGATCTCCTAACTTCTCCCCTTAAAGTATATTAAATTTTAAAAAGTTTTGTACTTTGATTTAATGATATAGCTACATTAATTTTCTCTTCTTCCTAATAAAACTCAGCATCAGTATTTAAGATTTTAATGGCCCCCCGATTTTTTATTATTTTGTTTTTTATTTTTTAAAATTCATTAAAGAGAATTTTCAGTACTAGACAAATTTCAGCTATAGTTCATATTTTCCTGTTTGTCGGTGTTTTGCTTAGTGAGTCTGGTTTCCCAAGAGTATTTTAACTTATTTCTTCAAATTCTTTGTTTTTTATTGAGTAACTAGCCTTACTAATCAATTCGAAAACGTTTGTTTAATTTTCCACCTCATGTCTTAATTCCAGAGATGGTTTTTGTGTTGTTGAGGTTTGGGTTTTACTGGGGTTACAGGAAATGCGTATTCAGCTGGGGGTTGCCTTGCTGAGAAGTATTCATGCTGGTTGTCAGTTTTCCACTGGGGTTTTCATAGTGTTTGTATTCTTGACTGTACTTTTTCTGTCATTTTAGTGATTTAATGTTATCTTGGTGACTAAGATTTAACCAGATCTTTGATTTAGTCCCAGAGACTTGAGCAAGGATAGCTTTTAATTAGATTAGACTTTTTTTGATTGCTTATTTCAAGTCATTTGCTAGGTTAATTGCTTTAAATTGGCCATTTTGTGTTCTTCGTTTTTTCTTTTCTTTTTTTGCCACATGGTAGTTTAATCATCTTGTCTTATGTTTTAAATGTATAAATAATATAACTTTTAAAAATTCATACTGGAAAGGACCTAGACCTTATCTAATTCATTTATCTCACTTTAGATATGAAGATACTGATCCCACAGGCCCTTAGGCCTTTATAGTGGGAGAGCTAGAATTTTAACATTTATTTGGTTCAGTCAGGTGTTGGATTTTTTCCCCATTATTCTGTACCACTCCCCCCTTTTTAATTTTGGATGTCAAGTTAAATTATCTCCAACCTGTGCAGATCTCTTGAGTCTCAGTTTCCCTATTTCTAGAATGAGGATATTGCACTCCTAAAGCTCTTAGCACTGTGTTAGCATGTACTTGGAGGATCTCCTCTTACATGGCTTCATTCAGCCACTTTAACTTTTCCCCTTCATACATACAGGGCTCATTTTTCCTTGCTTTTCAGTTTTCACTTACACTACTTTCATTAGCCTTCTTGCAGCCCATTCAGACCCAAGCTCACTTACCCTTTGAGGCTCATCTGAAATCCTAACTTCTCCATGAAACCTTCTCTAATTATTCTAACCTTAAGAGTACTTGTTTGACACATCTCCTAAATGTCAAAGACTATTTGAACCCAGATCTACCTGACTTCAAAGCTTGTGTAGCTTTGAAAACTACTCCCGAGTAGGAGTGATTTTAAAGTTTCAGTCCAATTCAAATATTCAGCTTCCTCAAATTTTTAAAAGAATGAAGTGCTACATAATCTTTTATCTCTTCTATTTTAAATACTCAAAGCACTTAAGTGCCCATTTGTATAATAACATACTGAGGATTTTATAAATTTATACATCAGCCAGCAGTCTCGGCATTTTAAAAGTTTGTCTCAACCAATACAGAAATAAGTACAAGATGTACAGATATAATAGTATATGAATATTTCTATTTTGTATATGTTATAGGAAGCACAAAAATTCTTTTATCTCAGAATGTCATATTTTACTAGAAAATTGATGGCAAAAGGCTAAACCAAAATGCCTACTCATTTTTTCTACCTCAGGGACTCTTATAATATGACAAGAACTATTGGGATTGTGTGGAAAATCACAAATCAGTTTATAATACTGTATTACACAGTGTGATTATTACTATAACAATCCTGTTACATCTGTTTTCACACACTGTCAAACTCAAGGTGTACAGTATCTAGACAGTATATGGAATAACTAATAATTTGCTTAAAACCCAGTCCTTAACCATGGGTATTCATCACTCTGAATTTTAAGCCTTGACATTTATGTCTGCTACAGTGGTATCTGGTGATAGAGTTGAGACCCTTGGGAGTTTAGTCCTTAGAATTTTCCTTTCCTTTGGGCAGTCTTAAGAAAGTTAAATTTTACAAAGTATCTCTTGAAAGAGCATTGGCTGTGGTCTAAGAGTAGAATTAAATGTAGCAATTTTATTATCTTTGGGGCAAAGGATTCTACCAGTGTTTAAAAACTCATTTTAAAGAAATATAATAATTTTGACATAAGCCTAATCAGCTGAGTGAGGTGGCTCATGCCTGTAATCCCAGTACTTTGGGAGGCCGAGGTGGGAGGGGATCACTTGAACCCAGGAGTTTGAGACCACCCTGGGCAACATGGGGAAACCCCGTCTCTACAAAAAAATACAAAAATTAGCCAGGTGTGATGGCACATGCCTGTGGTCTCAGCTACTTAGGAGACTGAGGTGGGAAGGATCGGTTGAGCCTGGGAGGTTGAAGCTACAGTGAGCCATGATCGTGCCACTGCATTCCTGCCTGGGAGACAGCAAGACCTTGTCTCAAAAAAAATTCTCCTCTCTAACTTCTGTCTTTCTAAACATGGAAGATGTATTTGAACATCTAGAGAGGAGCTGTTATAAAATAAAACACTTTAAAAATTAATTGCTCAGACCCAAGTATACATTATCCATTTTCTTTTTTCGAGATGGAGTTTCGCTCTTGTTGCCCAGGCTGGAGTGCAGTGGGGCAATCTTGGCTCACCGCAACCTCTGCCTCCCAGGTTCAAGCAATTCTCCTGCCTCAGCCTCCCGAGTAGCTGGGATTACAGGCATGCGTCCCCACACCTGGCTAATTTTGTATTTTTAGTAGAGTTTCTCCATGTTGGTCAGGCTGGTCTTGAACTCCTGACCTCAGGTGATCCATCCACCTCAACCTCCCAAAGTGCTGGGATTACAGACGTGAGCCACCGCATCCAGCCTCCATTTTCTTATTTAAGACTTACTGACTTGTCTAAGATCTCTTCCTGCTAAGTTATTTCAATGATATCTTCTTATAGGATTCTTATGGGAATTTTAGTAGTTTCATTGCAGATCAATAATGGGACCACGTTTTGGGGGAGTGAAGGGTGGGGAGCTGGGAATAAGACTATACATAATCAGAATTTTTGATTTTGCAGATTGCTCTAGAGACATGTTCTGATTTCAGTTGAGCTATTTCAGTTCCATATTTTTGAAGCTGATCCTTCGTTTCAGCCAAAATAGTAGATACAAATCAATGACGTTGTTAAACCTTTTTCTGAATTATTTTATTGCTTTGTAATTTACAAGATTCTTGACATTAGTGGTAGTGTTCACATTTAAGCTGTTATAACAGCCTTCTAATGGTAGACTTTTCTAAGTTTTATTAATTGAAAATGCCCACAAAATGATTATTTTACTGATTCACTTGTAATTCCCCCTTCCTTTGACAGGATATCTATAGAGAAATGGGGTTTGGTCACTATGAAGAAGAAGAAAGCTGTTGGGAGAAACAAAAGAGTGAAAAGAGAGACCGAACTCAGAACCGAAGTCGTAGCCGATCTCGAGAGAGGGATGGCCATTATAGTAATAGTCATAAATCAAAATACCAAACAGATCTTTATGAAAGAGAAAGGAGTAAAAAGAGAGACCGAAGCAGAAGTCCAAAGAAGTCCAAAGATAAAGAAAAATCTAAGTATAGATGAAAGATGAAGAGGCAGAATTGAGAGGCTAACATATTTACTCTTGTCTAACTTAAGAGTGCCAGGAAAGCAGATGCTTAGATTTTGTGTCAAAGCTTGTTATTTTTTTCATACTAGGATTATGGTCTTTAGATTAATACTGATTATATAGAGCACGGAAAGATAAAGAATTGAACATTTTCTTTGTATACTTTTTTACACTAATTTTATTGTTATACATAAATGGTAGTCTTCATTTTTGAAGTCTTACATTTTCACTCTTTTTTTAATGAAGTATTTCATACTACAAAAATACATAAACGTATATATAAAGGGATAATAAATGTAAATATCTGTGTACTCATCAGCCAGCTTAAGATACAGATGTTGTCGACATTTTAGAAGTTCCCTAAGGCCCTCTCCCTCTCAAATAATTATTTGGAATTTTGTGTTTGTCATTTGTCTATTATAGTTTTACAACATACGTATGTATCTGTAAGTGAAATGTTAATTTTGTATGTTTCTGAATTTTATATAAATGGCAAAATGTTTACTTCTGTGACTTTCTTTCATTTTTATTGCTATATAGTATTATATAAATATACTACAACTTATTCATTCTTGATGGACATTTGAGTTTTGTTTATTTGTTTTTGCTGTTGAAACAATGCTGCTGTGAACATTGTATCTAGCAGTTATATTGCTTGATATATTGATAAAATAATGCCAAATTTGTGTTCTGAAGTGACTGTACTAGTTTATACCTCTCTTGGCACTGTGAGTTACCTTTGTTTCATAGCATCTCCAACACTTAAGTTCAGACTTAAAAATTTGCCAACCTAGTGGATGTTAAGTGGTATCTACCTGTGATTTCCAGCAAGATTACTGTTATCTCTGCTCTTCCATGTGTAAGATGTCATTTTTTTCCTGGCTGCTTTTAAGGTTTTCTGTCACTGGTTGTAAGAAGTTTGATTATGATGTGCTTGCTGTAGTTTTTTTTTCACGTTTCTGCTGCTGCAGCTATTTTACCTGTGGGTTTATGGTTTTCATAGAATTTGGAAATTGGGGGGCATTTTTTCTTCTGTTATGGTTTTCTCTCTGCTCCTCTCATGCTTCTCCTGGGGCTCTGATGACTTGGATGTACGTTAGGCCCCTCAGAATTTTCTCCCAGTGTGCTGATTCTGTGCAGCTTTTTAAAAAGCCTTTTTCTCTCTGTGTTTCATGTTGGGTACTTTCCAGTGCTGTGTCCTCATTGTTTATTAATCTTTCTGTCTAAAGTATCTAATTTCCTTTTAATCGTATCCAGGTATTTTTCACCTCCGACATATTTTTAGTCTTTAGAATTTCTGTCTGGGTCTTTATCTCCCATGTGTCTCCTTCACATGCTCATGCCTTCCTCTATTTTTTTTTTTTTCAACATCTGGAGTGTATTGATAATAGCTCTTTCAGTGTGCTTGCCCATTCTGTCATCTGCATCATTTCTGGTCTGTTTCTATTGATTGATTCCCACCCTACCCCAACCCCCACCCTGCCCATATTGGATTGTAACTTCCTTCATTACATGCCTGGTAATTTCTGTTTTTAATATTGGGTGCTGGAGTTCTTTTAAGTATCTTGAACTCTGTTTGGGGACATAAAGTTACTTGGAAACAATCCGATCATTTTATAGCTTGCTTTTAAGCTTAATAAGACAGGACTGGGACAGCCTTTAGTTTAGGGCTAATTTGACCCACTACGAAGGTAATACCGTTCTGAATAATCTTCCTGGTTACACGGTTTCTGCATTCTGTCTGTTGGGAACATGAAATATTCTGAACCCTATTGAGCTCCCAGTTGTATCTCCTGTTCCTTACCTCACATGCATACACTGCTTGGTGTTTAGCTGAAGACTTAAGGGAAACCCAATATTCTGCCCTGCAAATCTTACCTTGGCTCCCCTAAATTCTCTACCCAGGGAGGTTCCCTTCCCTAGCCTTAGTGCCACAGCTTAGAAACCCCATGTAGAAGCTTGCGCAATTATAGGGCTTTCTTTGTTTTCCATCTCTCAGGAGTCACTGTCCTGCACTGGCTTTTGTCTAACATCTGAAAAACTTCCTTGTATACATTTTATATAGGTTTTAATTTAAGGTGGAGAAGGTAAATCGTGCCTCTGCTACTCCATTTTGACTAGAGTGGAAGTTAACTTTGTATTTCCTAAATGTTAATGAGGCTGAGCATCTTTTCCCATGTTTATTATTCATTCCTTATTGCTCTCTGAAAAGCTTGTTTCATGTCTTTTGCCCATTTATATAGTAGTAGATTGTTGTCTTTTTATACTTAATAGATTGTGGATACTAAGAATAAGTTAAGGAGTGCTGTCTCTCTCTCCTTCCCTCTGTCTGTTCTCTTGGAAGAAAAGAAAAACATTTAAATTAATCTGTTCCTTAAAAGCTGGATAGAGCTTGCCTATAAAATTGTCTGAACTTTGCATTTTTTTGTGAGAAAATTTCTTAACTATTGATTAGGTTTCAAAAATTATAGAATTATTAGCCTTTCTATTTCTTTAATGTTAGTCATTTTTATTACATTTTTCTGGGAATTTGTTTTCATTGACGTTTTTATTTTTTGATAGCATTGCGCATAGTTTAGCTAGATTTTTCTATCCTGCTTTGTTGATGAATGTCCTTATGTTTTAGTGTGTCTCATAAACAGCATATAGCTAGATGATGATGATGATGATTATTATTACTATTTTGAGACGGAGTCTCACTCTGTCACCCAGGCTGGAGTGCAGTGGCGCAATCTCAGCTTACTGCAACCTCCACCTCCTGGGTTCAAGCGATTCTACTGCCTCAGCCTCCTGAGTAGCTGGGACTACAGGTGCTTGCCACCAGGCCTGGCTAATTTTTTTTTCTTTTTTTTAGTAACAGGGTTTTCACCATATTGGCCAGGCTGGTCTGGAACTCCTGACCTTCTGATCTGCCCACCTCAGCCTCCCAAAGTGCTGGGGTTACAGGTATGAGCCACTGCACCCGGCCAATTATTTTTAAATCTAATCTGAACTTTAACTGGTTAGTTGAGTGCATTTTTATGTGTACTGATGTATTTGCATTTATTCCTTACCACCTTATTTTGTGCTTTTTATGTTTTTTTCTTCCACTCTTTTTTTTTCTTTTGGAATCAAAAATGTTTTTTAATTCCACCCTCACCCCTCTGCCCCCTCTTCTTTGTTTTGGGGGAATTTCCTTGGAATATTACATCCGTACTTAAAAAGTATAATGTTATATCTTTATCTTCCTCTCTAATTGAGAGTCTTGGAACTCTCCAAGTCACCCCTCTTGCAACTTTCGTGTTAAAATCATTCAGTATTTTAGTTATAGCTTGTGATTTTTCACCTTAAAATTAGACCTTGAGCTGGACTCAGTGGTGCACACCTGTAGTTCTGGCTCCTGAATGGCTGAGGCCGGAGGATCCCTTGAGGCCAGGAGTTAGAGGCTGCAGTGCACTGCGATTGTGCCTGTGACTAGCCTCTGTACTCCAGCCTGGGCAACATAGTGAGACACCATCTGTTAGAAAAAAAATTAGACCTTGTGATTATTACTGTTTTTGTACAGATAATTGTTGGTTTAGATTTACTTTATATGTTAGAAGTGTTTGTTTATTCATTATTATTCTCACATCTCAGACCTTTCACCTAGGATAATTTTCCTTCTTTCTGAAGCACATCTTTTGATGTTCCTCTAGTGACATCTGTTGATGGCAAACTCTTAGTTTACATTTATCAAAAGTATTTTCAATTCATTCTATAAAGTTGATTTTATATGTACATAATTCTAAGTTGAGGTGTGTCTTTTTTTCCCCCAGTACTTTGAAGAATTAGTCTACTATCTTTTTACTTTTGTTACTACTGGGGAGAAATCTTTTGTCATTCCAAATGTCATTCTTTTGGATATAATGTGACTTTTCTTTCTGATTGCTTTTTTGCTGTGGTTAAACTTTCAATTTTGAAATCAGTTGTAGATTGGCATGCAATCATAAGAAATAATACAGAGAGAACCTGTGTACCCTTTGCCTAGTTTCTTCCAGTGATACCATCTTGTAAGATTCTAGTATGGTATCACAACCAAGATGCTGACATGGACACAGTGGAGATACAGAAAATTTCCATCACTACAAGGACCCCTCTTGCTGTCCTTTTATAGCCACGTCTACTTCCCTGCCACTTCTGTTTTCTCCTTCACCTCTGTCAACCACTGATATGTTCTCCATTCCTATAATTATGTCATTTCAAGGATTTTATATAAGTGGAATTCTGTATTATGTAGCCTTTTGGGGAGCCACTCATAATCCGGAAATACATAATCCCAAATGCCATGATCATGAAGGTTGAAACCCTGATAATCATAATCCCAAATATGTAATTCTGGAAAGAATAATTTTAAAAACCTTTAAAAGATATTTATTTACATTTTGTTTGTTTGTTTGTTTTGAGATGGAGTCTTACTCTGTTGCCCAGGCTGTAGTGCAGTGGCACAGTCTCAGCTCACTGCAACATCTACCTCCCAGGTTCGAGTGATTCTCCTGCCTCAGCCTCCCAAGTAGCTGGGACTACAGGTGTGCGCCACCATGCCCGGCTAATTTTTGTATTTTTAGTAGAGATGGGGTTTCACCATGTTGGCCAGGCTGGTCTCAAACCCCTGACTTCAGGTTATTAACTTTTTTTTTTTTTTTTTTTTTTTTGAGATGGAGTCTTGCTCTGTCACCCAGGCTGGAGTGCAGTGGCACGATCTTGGCTCACTGCAAGCTCTGCCTCCCGGGTTCACGCCATTCTCCTGCCTCAGCCTCCCGAGTAGCTGGGACTACAGGCACCCGCCACCATGCCCAGCTAATTTTTTTTGTATTTTTAGTAGAGACGGGGTTTCACTGTGTTAGCCAGGATGGTCTCGATCTCCTGACCTCGTGATCTGCCTGCTTCAGCCTCCCAAAGTGCTGGGATTACAGGCATGAGCCACTGCACCTGGCTGATTATTCACATTTTTAAAAGAGGATTTGAGAAATACAAACACAGGCCACTTTACACAATAAAATAGGCAACAATAACATACGTATGTTTGCAAGCATAAGCAGTTCTCAGCTCTACTAATGACAGTCACATGGGTATGACAGTTATGAACAGATGAGTGGTATTTATAAAGAAATAGGTCAAAAAGGGAAATGTATCAATGCATAGCCCTGTGGTTGGTAATTGTGTATGCTCAGCTTTATAACTGCAGTCATTTGAAATACTTTAAGAACAACCAGTGTCTTCCACTGGCTTCACTCAGATGCTAATCTCTGGAAACACTTGCACAGACACACTCAAAACACTAATAAGTTTCTAGGTGTTCCTTAATCCAATCAACTTGACACCTAAAATTAAGTCCCAAAGAACACCTCTTATCAACTCAGCACCCATACATACCTCCTTAAACCGTACTTAATTTCCAAATAAAGACAATGAGAAAGTTGTAGTTCTACCTATCATGATGCCAGTATCCTCTGATTGTGATTTTTGGGATTTTAGACATTATGGATTTTAGATTAGGCATTTTGATCTTTTGGGATTTCACCATTCAGGATTAAGGTGTTCGAGATTGTGTCTTACAGGATTATAAACCAAATCCCTTTTTGGGATTGGGTTTGTTTTGCCCCAGTCAGCCTTATTCTTCAGAGATTCTTCCAGTTTGTTGCTGTATCAATAGTTCACTTTTATTTTATTTTGTTTTATTTATTTATTTGGGATGGAGTCTCGTTGCCCAGGCTGGAGTGCAGTGGCGCCATCTCAGCTCACTGCAGCCTCTGCCTCCTGGGTTCAAGCAATTCTTCTGCCTCGGTCTCCCTAGTAGCTGGGATTACAGGCGCACACCACTATGCCTGGCTAATTTTTGTATTTTTAGTAGAGACGGAGTGTCGCCATGTTGGCCAGGCTGGTCTCGAACTCCTGACCTCAGGTGATCCACCCGCCTCAGCCTCCCAAAGTGCTAGGATTACAGGTGTGAGCCACTGTACCTGGCCAATAGTTCACTTTTATTGTTGAGTAGTATTTCATGGTATGAATATACTGTAGTTTGTTTAACCATTCACCCATTGAAGGACATCTGGGTTGTTTACAGTTTGGGACCGTAATGAGTAAAGCTGCTGTTAGTTTCTTTGTGAACACAGTCTTCATTTCTTCTGGATAACTGCCCAGTAGTGCAGTTGTTAGGTCATATGATAATTGCATATTTAAAGAAACTGCTGAACTGTTTTCCTGGGTGAGTCAGACTGCTTTACATTCCCACCAAGAACATATGGGCGATCCACTTCATCCGCATTCTCAACAACATTTAGTTGTGTCTCTGTGTTTTATTTTAGGCATTCTGGTAGGTATATAGTGATAGATATATAACTTACTCTGGTTTTAATTTTTATTTCTTTAATTGGTAATGTTGTTGAGTATCTTTTCATGTACTCATTTTGCCATCTGCATATCCTGTTAGGTGAAATGTTACTTTATATCTAATTGGATTTTTAGGTTTTTTTTTATTTTTGAGTTTTGAGAGTTCTTTATGTATTCTACATACTAGTTCTTTGTCAGATATGTTGCTTGCAGCTGTTTCCTCCCAATATATAGCTTGTCTTTCTTTTTTTTTCTTTTTTAAGACAGTCTCGCTCTGTCACTCAGGCTGGAGTACAGTGGTGAGATCACAGTTCACTGCAGCCTCAACCTCCAGGGCTCAAGCAATCCTCCCACCTCAGCCTCTTAGTAGCTGGGACTACAGGTGCCTGCCACCACAGCCAGCTAATTTTTTTTTTTTATTATTAGTGGAAACGAGGTCCCTATGTTGCCCAGGCTGGTCTCAAACTCCTGGTCTCAAGCAGTTCTCCCGCTTTGGCCTCCCAAAATGCTGGGATTACAGGTATGAGTCACCATGCCTAGCCTCCAATGTATGGCCTGTCTTTTAATAGAGTTTTGTAGAGTACAAGATTTTAATTTTTCTGCAGTTTATCAGTTTTTCCTTTTATGGATTGTGCTTTTGGTGTCAAAAGTAAGAACTCTGCCGAGCACTAGCTTCCGAAATTTTTCTCATACTTTTAATTTTTTTAAAAAAATTCTCTAGTTTTACATTTAAGTCTGTGATCCATTTTGAGATTTTTTTTTTTTTTTTTTTGACTTATGAACATCCACTTGTACTGGGACTATTTGTTGAAAAAGGTCTCTGGCTGCTTTTAAGGTTTACCTTTGTCTTCGGTATTCTAGAATATTCCACTATAATGTGTCTAGATAGGGATTTCCTTTATCTTTCTTGTTATATCCTGTGTCTGATGGCTTAATGTTTTTTATTATTCTGGAAACTTCTCTGCCATTTTTTCTTCAAATAGTCTCTCTCCACATTCTATCTATTATTTCCTTTTGTAATCTTAGTCAGTTTTATGTAAGGCTTTCTCCTCTTGTTCTTTGTATCTTAACTCATATTATCCAGATAGTTTATTCTGAATAATTGTTTCAGGTCTATATTCCAGGTCACCCACTCTTTTTCACATAAGCCCAGTCTCTTATTTAACCCATCCACTGAATTTTTAATTTCAGTAATTTTTTGTTTTTGGAGTTCTGTTTGATTCTTTCTTGAATTTTCCTGGTTATTTTTGATTTTCTGTTGTTCTTTGCTCATTTATTTCCACTCTGTTTTATTTACATAATTATATTGTTTCTGATAATTCCAGTATCTTAATTTCTTAAGAATTAAAAAAGTTTTCCTGCTGACCCTTGTGCGTACTGGCTTATTTCCTTGTGTGTTTCAGATTTTTTTCCCCTTAAATTGGGAGGACATACTTTGGGACTCCTAAGGTACCTAAAATGAAGATGCTTTTCTCCAGAGAGGATGCATATTTACCTTTCAGACTCCAGGTGATGCAATCACTTGGGGCCACTTTCATTTGTGGCTTGGAATTTCCATGTGCAAGCATAATGTATTTTTGAACCCTAGACCTTGATGAAAGTTGACAAAGTATCAGGGAAAACATATCTAGCATTAAGATCTCCCATCTATACCCCCATCATTGCAGAACTGGGTAAAACGCAGGTGTTGTTTTTTTGTTTTTTGTTTTTTTGAGATGGAGTCTTGCTCTGTCACCCAGGCTGGAGTGCAGTGGTGCGATCTCAGCTCATTGCAACCTCCGCCTCCACCTCCCGGGTTCAAGCGATTCTCCTGCCTCAGCCTCCTGAGTAGCTGGGACTACAGGTGCCTGCCACCACGCCTGGCTAATTTTTGTGTTTTTAGTAGAGATGGGGTTTCACCATATTGGCCAGGCTGGTCTCGAACTCCTGACCTTGTGATCCGCCCGCCTCGGCCTCCCACAGTGCTGGAATTACAGCCGTGAGCCACCGTGCCCAGCCTTAGTGGTTTTTTTCCTAGCCCAGTCTTTCTCTGACGAACTTGTTTTAGGTGAGCTCTTCTATTATAGTCTCCTGGCTTCATGTGAAGATCTTAGGCTCAGCTTCCCAGTTCTCTTTTAGGTCCAAAGCCTTGTCTTTATAAATATCCCTCATCACTGTGACCTGAAGTCCTTAGTCCCCAGCTGTGCAGGCAAGGGCATCCTGGCTAGTGGCCTGTTTACCATTTTGTTAATATATTTGTGAGTCATGAGGAATTTCCCTGTCTTGCAGTCTCATCAGTGCATGTAAAAGTATGATTGCTGGCTGAGTGCAGTGGCTCACGCCTGTAATCCCAGCACTCTGGGAGGCCGAGATGGGCGGGTCACCTGAGATCAGGAGTTCAAGACCAGTCTGGCCAATATGGTGAAACCCTGTCTCTACTAAAAATACAAAAAATTAGCTGGGCGTGGTGGTGCATGCCTGCAATCTCAGCTACTCGGGACGCTGAGGCAGAAGAATTCCTTGAACCCGGGAGGCGGAGGTTGCAGTGAGCTGAGATCACACCATTGCACTTCAGCCTGGGCAACAAGAGTGAAACGCCATCTCTAAATAAATAAAGTATGATTGCTGTAATTTATCCAGCATGTGGATGTTGTATGGAGGAGGTGGGAGGGGGCGGTTACAATTCAGAATATCTAGTTCACCATACAGCTAAGAGCAGTTGTCTCCCTGCTATTGTACATAATTCTTAGCCATGAATAGAAAACATTTTAAATACATAAGAAACTATCACTCTGAATATAGAAAAATACATACTGTTCATACAGAAGATTCTAAAATGTAGTCTGAAAGAATGAATGCACAAGGGAGAAATGTTGGTTGCAGGTGATGGAGCAGTGAGAGGAAATAACCTCCTCACTCCCGAAGCTTGATTCAGTAGATCCAGTGGGAAAAACCAAAGTAGTAAAAATGTTTGAACCTATCATTGCAAGGCAAAACTCTCCTTAATTGCAAATGCTGCAATTAGGTATGAGAAACTGGTTTTAACAAAGATGTGTGTACAGAAACGTAGTGTTCATCACGTATCCTTGATTAGATGCAGCGCAGTCTTGGCTTCATGATACTACTACTAATCTACGGTAAAGTGGCCATGTTTCCTATTTCTTCTCTTTTGCTTCTCTAGGTTTTAGGTGAACTCTTAAAACCAGTCTCCATTTATATATTCTACTGGCTTTTGCTAACCTGTCCCCGCAACCCCTCCCCCGGAAAAAAGATTGAGTGAGCTGTTGGTAGTCAGATATTTTTTAAGTTAAAAAGCTGTTTGGGGCTGGGTGTGGTGGCTCACCTGTGATCCCAGCACTTTGGGAGGCTGAGGCAGGCGGATCACCTGAGGTCAGGAATTCGAAACCAACCTGGCCAACATCGTGAACCCCTGTCCCTACTAAAAACACAAAAATTAGCTGGGTGTGGTGGCAGGTGCCTGTAATCCCAGCTACTCAGGTGGCTGAGGCAGGAGAATTGCTTGAACCTGGGAGGCGGAGGTTGCAGTGAGCCGAGATCGTGCCATTGCACTCCAGCCTGGGTGACGAGTGGAACTGCATCTCAAAAACAAAAAATGAAACAAAACAAAACAAAACACCAAAACTATTTGGAGCCTAACATTTCTCAGTTATTATAACTTCACTGTAAGGTTTCAGCTTAATCTTTCTTACCAGTTGAATTTTCAAAGATTTTGATCAGAACTATTAAAGGCTAAATAAAAGAAACTTTAAATACACTCAGCAATCATACTTTTACAAGTGTCTTTTAATAAATTAGTTGCTTTTTAGTTACTGAAAAACATATTTCATCTTGGTTTTCTACTCATCATAAAAACATTTAATCTTAAGTTTGACATTTCTTACCCCATCTAGACTGAGTCACAAAGAATGCATAATAGCTAGTAAAATCGAAATCACAGGAACCTTACCTTTCAGTGGCTGTTGCTATGAAACCATGTTTTGATGGGAAATTTGAGAGAACCCTGGGCTTCCTGTTATTAAATGACAGATTGTGGAGATCCCCTTGATTTTCAAAACTCTTTTTTTTTTTTTTTCAAGACGGGGTCTTGCTCTTGTCACCCAGGCTGGAGTGCAATGGTACGATCTTGGCTTACCACAACCTCCGCCTCCCAGGTTCAAGTGATTCTCCTGCCTCAGCCTCCCAAGTAGCTTGAATTACAGGCACCTGCCATCATGCCCTGCTAATTTTTGTTATTTTTAGTAGAGACAGGGTTTCACCATGTTAGCCAGGCTGGTCTTGAACACCTGACCTCAAGTGATCTAAGAGCCTCAGCCTCCCAAAGTGCTGGGATTATAGGCATGAGCCACCACACCCAGCCCAGAACTCTTTTTAAAGCAAGTCATTTTAATTACTCTTCTGCTAATGGGAAAATCTATATTCTTACCTTATTTTACCCACATTCGACTACTAGTTAGGCTTAATTTTGCTAGGGGCACTGTCAAGAGTTAACAATTTTATGTTTTCGCCTCCTCTGCTATTCTTTGTTCATTGAATGGGCAGATGAGCAGGGTTTTTGAGTGATGTTTTTATGGGCAATTAAAAAGTTGTATTGGCTGGGCACGGTGGCTCATGCTTGTAATCTCAGCACTCTGGGAGGCTGAGGCACTGATCCACCTCAAGTGGATCACTTGAGGTCAGAGGTTTGAGATGAGCCTGGCCAACATGGTGAAACCCTGTCTCTACTACAAAAATTAGCCAGGTGTGGTGATGCACACCTGCAATCCCAGCTGTTTGGGAGGCTGAGGCAGGAGAATCACTTGAACCCAGGAGGCGGAGGCTGCAGGGAGCTGAGATCACGTCATTGCACTCCAGCCTGGGCAACAGAGCGAGACTCAGTCTCAAAAAAAAAAAAAAGTTGTATTGCTGTTATTTACTTAAATGAGTAGAGTACTAGGAAGCTGGACACACATAAAGGTTGCAAATACAGTATCATTCTAGCAAGAGAGTTTGTGTAGAAAGAGAAGTTAGGTAATGCTTCTTTGTTGCTATGAATCTACAACAAGACCAGTGACCTCTGGCTCCTGAAAAAGAGAAAAGTTTTGTTTGCTTGGTTTGGTGGAGAGAGCTGGGGAAACCTGAGTCAGGAACAAAGGCATATGAAGGTGGTAACGAGCCAGGTGCAGAGGGAGAGCAGGGCGGTGTCTGACTACTGCCGAGGCTGGGAAGGCAATGAGTGTCAGGAGGGAAGAGGAAATTGGGAAAGGGAGAGTCCCAAATGCAAAACTGAGAAGCTTGGATTTGCTTCGCCAGGCCCCAGAAAATAAGGAAGAAAGTGGCACTGGGATAGCTGAGAAAAGTTACTCTGGGCGTTGCATGTAGGACCTTTACCATGGGTTGGCACCACAGTCCTCACATGGCATTGAACACGATTTCATTCAATATCGATTCCACACATCACCCCAAATGCAGACGTATATCAAGCAGGCTTCCCAGAGGAGATGATGCAGACGCTGAGGACTTTGATATCTCTTCTGCATTTGATATCCAAGTTGGTGCAGTGCTAGAACGTAGAACAGGCACAACGACAACAACGTTAAAGTCATACAGTCTTTGTTACATAATCACTCATTTGTTATCACAGAAATAATACCAGTATCTTCAGCATGACCAGGGATGGATGTGGTTTTAGTAAACCTGATAGGGTGTAAGCAGGATCAGAATGGAGCCCACATGGTCGACCGTGGCCTGTGCTGCGTTCATGGGATGTGTAGCTGAGGGCTGACCTGGAAGCATCTTGGGCACAGGCTCTTTGTTGGATTCATGGCACAGGAGAGAGTGCCTCACATAGAGCAAGAAAGTAGCCTCGAAAGCACTGCAATCTCAGCAGGTGGCAGTGCACACTTTTAACTTCATGATAAGTGATGTTTCATTGTTGTATTGATCATTTTCTACTACTCACTTTCTAAGAACGCACAAAAAACACACACTCATGGTCTTTTCCCCTGGCATATGTTTACAGGAAATAACACGACAGGCATGACCATGATACATGCTTAATTTTTAGGTCTGTCCTAGATGTCCTTCTCACTGCACAACCCCAGCACAGGCAGGCACAGGCAACACTGCATCACATGCAGACAGCTGCCCCATGGCCTGCCAACCCATCCTCCAGGCTCAAGGCTTCACTCCATAGCTCTTTCACAGTCTTCTCATTAGACAGCGAGAATGTGCTTAGCTGTGAGTAAATGGTTATCACAACTAAGAGCTCTGAGGGAAAGTGTTTGTGGGCTTGAAGGGTGTATTAGTTTCCTAGGACCGTCACAACAAACTACCATAAGCAGGGTGACTTAAAACAAGGTTGGACATCGTGGCTTACACCTATAATCCCAGCACTTTGGGAGACCAAGGTGGGAGGATTGCTTGAGGCCAGGCCTTCGAGACCAGCCTGAGTAACATAAGAAAACCCCATGTCGGCCGGGCGCGGTGGCTCACGCTTGTAGTCCCAGCACTTTGGGAGGCCGAGGCGGGCTGATCACGAGGTCAGGAGATCGAGACCATCCTGGCTAACACGGTGAAACCCCGCCTCTACTAAAAATACAAAAACTTAGCCGGGCGTGGTGGCGGGCGCCTGTAGTCCCAGCTACTCGGGAGGCTGAGGCAGGAGAATGGCGTGAACCCGGGAGGCGGAGCTTGCAGTGAGCCGAGATCGTGCCACTGCACTCCAGCCTGGGCGACAGCGAGACTCCGTCTCAAAAAAAAAAAAAAAAAAGAAAAGAAAACCCCATGTCGATGACGCAGTTAGTTGGCTGCAATGGTGCCGGTGAGGCGGGCGGCGAAGTGGCGGCCTGGTGGTTTTGAGGTGCGTGGTGAAGGGGTTTCCACGTTCGGGTACAGGAATAAGAATGTGAAACAGAAGACATGGCGGCCTAACCACCCGCAAGCCTTCGTGGGGAGCGTTCGCAAGGGACAAGGCTTTGCTTTTCGAAGAAAACTGAGAATACAGCAAAGTTAAAAGAAATTGCTACGGAAGGAAAAGAAGGCCCAAACGTCACTGGAATCTCAATTCACAGATCGATACCCAGATAATCTGAAACATCTCTATTTTCAGATAGAGGAAAGACTTAGGAAGCAACCAAAAAAAGTTGACCATCCTTTGTCAGAACAAGTTCACCAGCCTTTGCTTGAAGAACAGTGTAGCATTGACCAGGCTTTATTTGAAGATCAGTGTAGCTTTGACCAGCCTCAGCCAGAAGAACAATGTAGTAAAACAGTAAACTCCTTTACAATTCCAAAGAAAAATAAAAAGAAAACATCAAATCAAAAAGCACAAGAAGAATATGAACAGGTACAAGCTAAACGTGCTGCTAAGAAACAAGAATTCGAGAGGAGAAAACAGGAGAGAGAAGCCCAAAGGCACTACAAAAAGAAGAAAATGGAAGTGTTTAAAATATTGAACCAAGAGACTAAAAAGGGCCAACCAAACTTGAATGTACAAATAGAGTACCTTCTTCAAAAAATACAAGAAAAAAGTTAAACATTTTGTTCCTACAGGTTAAAACACCTGCTGCCTATTAGGTTCTTCTGTGACAAGTGCCTTCCAGCAGTGAACTAAATTTATTAACATAAACTGAATTGCTAAACTATGCTAAATATAAGATGTTCACATTTTTCATTATAGTAAAAAATTTTCTAAATATGTTCTACATATGTTTCTTATTTATTTGCCTCTGAAGGAAGGTTGGCCTGAAGAACTGAAAGAACCTCCTATGTGCAAGACAGGCCCAAGCATGTAATACTTTTGTACCATATGAGATTTATATGAAATAAAATTTTTTAAAAATAGAAAAAAAAGAAGACCCCATGTCTACAAAAATTAAGAAATTAGCCAGGTGCGGTGGTGCATGCGTGTAGTCCTAGCTACTCAGGAGGCTGAGGCAGGAGGATTGCTTGAGCTCAGGAGTTTGAGGTTACAGTGAACTGATTGTGCCACTGTACTTCAGCCTGGGTGGCAGAATGAGATTCTGTTTCAAACAAAACAAAACAAAACAAAATCTATTATCTCACAGTTCTGCAGGCTGGAAGTCTGAATCAAGCTGTCATCAGAGCCATGCTCGCTCTGAAGCCTCTAGGGAAGAATCCTTCCTTGCCTCTTCCTAGCTTCTCATGGCATTCGCTGGCTTATAGCTGCATCATCCTCATCTCTGCCTCTGTCTTCACATTGCCTTCTTCCCTGCGTCTCCTCTGTGTCTCTCTCTCCAAATTTCTCAGTCCCTTCTTTTAAAAAGACACCCTGCCTGGGCACAGTGGCTCATCCCTGTAATCCCAGAACTTTGGGAGGCCAAGGCAGGTGGATCACCTGAGGTCAGGAGATTGAGACCAGCCTGGCCAACGTGTAGAAACCCCATCTCTACTAAAAATAAAAAAAATTAGCTGGGCTTGGTGGCAGGTGCCTGTAATCCCAGCTACTCGGGAGGCTGAGGCAGGAGAATCACTTGAACCGAATCACTTGAACCCGGGAGGCGGAGGTTGCAGTGAGCCAAGATTGCGCCGTCACATTCCAGCCTGGGGGAAAAGAGCAAGACTTCGTCTTAAAAAAAAAAAAAAAAGACACCCATCATTGGTTCATTGGATTTAGGGCTCACTCTCATCCAGTATGAACACTTCTTAACTTAGTTGTATCTGCAAAGACTCTATTTCCGAATAAAGTCACATTCACAGATATTGGAGGTTAGGACTTGAACGTATCTTTTTGGGGGCACGATTTAACCCACTATAGGGTGTAAGGTGTTTGCAGAGCTCAGGAAAAGCTACCCAGCACTTTGGCTAGAGGTTAGCAAAGATGTTGAACAGATACTGAGCTGAGCCTTAGAGGCCACATTTCTAAACATAGAATGTTGCAGGCATTCAAATGTGACCACTTACAATCCCACATCATTAGCCCAGGAGTAGGTGCTTCATTTTAACATGCGATCGTCACTCATTCTTTGCCTTCAACCCAAGGTTCCTCTACCTGTGTCCCATAGTGCTCATGTCTTTTCATTCAGTCTCTCTTCCTAGCAATGGGTAGCATGTTAGTACAGGCCATCTCATAGTTCCCTGGGGGCTTTTTGTAAGAGAACTATAGCTTCCAGAAAAATGGGTCTCTATACACCAGGCACTCTTCTAAGTACTTTATAGACACTAATTCCTGTAATTCTCACAGTATCCTTATGAGGTAGATAAGATTATTTATTCCCATTTTACATATTAGGAAACTGAAGTACAGAGGTTAGATAATTTGCTCAAAGTTACACAGTTAATAAGTAGCAGAGCACTCTGGCTTCAAGTTCATGACACCAAACTGCCTGCCATTATAAGCTTAGATTCTTTCCCTACCAAGATATGCAAGAAAAGAAAAAAGAAACAATAAAAAAGAGCTTAGATTATTTCTCATACCATTTATCAAAATAAATTCCAGGTCATGATTAAAGACCTGAATGTAAAAAATAAAACTTGGGGTGGGCATTGTGGCTCATGCCTGTAATCCCAGCACCTTGGGAGGCCGAGGCAGGGGGATCACTTGAGCCCAGGAGTTTGAGAACAGCCTTGGCAAGACGATGGTTCTGCAAAAATTTAAAACATTAGCTGGGTGTGGTGGTGCACCCTTGTAGTCCCAGCTACTTGGCTGGGAGGACGGCTTGAGCCCAGGAGTTCAAGGCTGCAGTGAGCTATGATTATCCCCGTACACTCCAGCCTGAGCAACAAAGACCCTATCTCAAGACAAACAAACAAAATAAATATATAAACATTAATACAAATAAAAAGAAAAAAAGTCTACAGAATAGGAAAATGGGCAATGGAAGAGTGAAAAATGAAAACTGCAATGCCAAGAAACATATAAAAAGATCCTTAAGTTCACTAGTAACCAAGGAAATGAGAGTTAAAATAACCATGATATACCATTTCTCACACATCAGATTAGCAGAAAGCACTGAGATTGTCTCAATCTCAGATGTTGGCAGGATATGGAGAAATGGGGACCCCTCCCATGCTGCTGGTGAACGAGTCATCGGAGAGCAGCTGAGCAGTTTCTAGTGGGGCCCAACCCATGCGTGTCCATGTCACCACTGCAAATAGCTATATATACTCTCTTTTAGCTCACTGGAAAAACAGGTTACACAACCAATGATATTCATGGTGTTCACTGATGCTGTAGATAGAAGGGGGCAGGCAAGCCAGGGGGTCCCCACCTGGACCCATGGATGGGCTTCCAGTCTCCAGGACAAATGCTATCTCTCTGGGCATCTGTGTCTTCCTCTGTGGTGATGGTCCGTACCCACACGTCTGCCATCCACCGTCTCAGCATCTCTGGACTGCTTCCTGAAAGCACAGACCTCAGTCTCACCGTAAGGGCCAGAATGGGCAGAAATAGTTTTGGGGCAGATCCAATGCCAATTTTAAACAGGGCAGAAGGAGAAAGTGTGTGAGGCTCACTGCCCTACTCTCTTCTCAGTGCTCTAATAGTGTCCAGAGATGTGTGGACATTGGCCCCACTGACACAGCAAGAGGAAAGCCGTGGCCTTCTCTCTCTCTTTTTTTTTTTTTTGAGATGGAGTCTCGCTCTGTTGCCCAGGCTGGAGTGCAGTGGCACAATCTTGGCTCACTACAACCTCTGCCTCTCGGGTTCAAGTGATTCTCCTGCCTCAGCCTCCTGAGTAGCTGGGACTACAGGCACACACCACCATGCCTGGCTAATTGTTGTATTTTTAGTAGAGACGGGGTTTCACTATGTTGATCAGGCTGGTCTTGAACTCCTGACCTCGTGATCCACCTGCCTCAGCCTTCCAAAGTGAGCCACCGCACCCGGCCGCCATCGCCTTCTCTTACATCTCTCAGAGGCAGAGCCTAGTTTTGGGTCAGTGATGCTGTAGCTAAACTTGTTGTAACCCCTGGAAGGCCTTACTTTTTGCTCAAGTGTGCAATAAATAGCCTCAACAACGATTTCATTCTTCCAGCTTGTCAGAGTCATGGCAGCAAAATCATTTTAGCTGTGGAGGATTCAAGATGAGGTTTCTCTAAATCAGATACTGTAAGAAGACTGTAGCGTGGCTCTTTTCTTAAATCAAATAACCATTTTTCTGGCCTAAATAATGTCTCCAAAATTTAAGGCAGAATTTTGGGGGCCTCCACCAAATGCTTGCTTGTCTGCGTTGAGCCGATTCCGGAATCTCTTTTGAGAAGCAGTTGGTGCTGCCCACTGTGGCCCCTATCCTGTGCGGACATGCTGCTCACCTGGGGCTGAGTACACATCGGGATTCCTAAACTTCATTGCCCAGACTCATCTTTTCTTACATGCACAGCCAGGTCGCACTTGGCAATATCCTCAGAGAGTTTCTTCTTTGATTGGTTGCTATCTTATACCTGCAAAAAATGTGGCTCAGTCATCTAGTGTTTGAAAGAGATCATCCAAGGAAGCCATTGCACTATGTGTCTCTGAGTTCTGTTGCTTTATTTGGTTAGATGATTAGAGAAGAAGGCTCTTGGACAGCGGTAGCTCATTTCCCCATAGAAACACCTTCCCTTGAGTTGAGGTATGATGTCATACTCTCAGCTTTTACTGGGGCGTGTGGTGAAGAATGGGCATTTGAAGACCAACATGGCATCTTCTACAGGACTTGAGCTGAAGATATTGACGATTTCTTACTCAATGTAAGGATTTAGATCTCTCCTAATTTTTTTTTTTAGATGGATTTTTGCTGTTGTTGCCCAGGCTGGAGTGCAACGGTTAGATCTTGGCTCACTGCAACTGCCACCTCCCGGGTTCAAATGATTCTCTTGCCTCAGCCTCCCAAGTAGCTAGGATTACAGGCACCCACCACCATGCCCGGCTAATTTTTGTATTTTTAGTACAGACGGGGTTTCTCCATGTTGACCATGTTGGCTAGGCTGGTCTCGAACTCCTGACCTCAGGTGATTCGCCTGCTTTGGCCTCTCAAAGTGCTGGGGTTACAGACGTGAGCCACCGCACCTGGCCAATCTCTCCTAAAATTTAACATCAGGAATGTGTTTATTTCTCTTGGAAACTCTGCAACTTTTTTTATGGTTTTGGGAGCTTGGAGGCAATGTGTGTTTGTGTAAGGCACGTTTTTGAGCCTGATGGCCCTGGGCTTCCATCTTCACTCAGCCACTTAATGAGTGAACGTGGGCAGGTTGGCTGCCCTTTCTCAACCCCAATAACCTCATCTGGAAATGGGAATAATTATTCCAATGCCATCGAGCTTTTGTGGGGATTAGGGCACTTTGATGTAAACTACTATATATATCATTGGTGCTAAACAAATAGGAGTTGTCGGCCGGGTGCGGTGGCTCACGCCTGTAATCCCAGCACTTTGGGAAGCCGAGGTGGGCAGATCACGAGGTCAGGAGTTCGAGACCAGCCTGGCCAACATGTTCAAAACCCATCTCTACTAAAAATACAAAAATTAGCCGTGTGTGGTGGTGCGCACCTGTAATCTGAGACAAGAGAATCGCTTGAACCCAGGAGGCGGAGGTTGCAGTGAGCTGAGATCACACCACTGCACTCCAGCCTGGGCGACAGAGCGAGACTCCATCTCAAACAAACAACAACAGCAAAAGAAAAAAATGGGAGCTGTTACTTGAAAATCCATTGTACCAGAAAATTTCAAAGCTAGAATTAGTGTTCTAATGCAGTGACTACTCTAATCTAGCTTTCTGGTATGATGTTCTTTTTTTCTTGTAAGGATTTCTGATTGAACTTTCAAAAAAATTTATTTATTTGTTTTTGAGACAGGATCTCACTCTGTCACCCAGGCTAGAGTGCAGTGGTGCAATCATAGCTCACTGCAGCCTCAACCTCCCAGGCTCAAGCAATCCACCTCAGCCTCCAGAGTGGCTGGGACCACAGGTATGTGCCACTATGCCTGGCTAATTTTTATATTTTTTGTAGAGCTGGGATTTGGCCATGTTGCCCAGGCTAGTCTTGAACTCCTGGGCTCAAGCAATCCTCTCGCCTTGGCCTCCCAGAGTGCTGGGATTACAGGCGTGAGACACTGCACCTGGCCTAATTTTTTATTTTAATTATTCCATTCTCTGTGTTTTAATCATCTACACTGCTTCACATTTTCTTTGGGAGACCGGTGGTGAATAAATAAAAAGAGCTACACATTCCAGTTACCATGTGCCATTCTTACCTCCCTAGCACCAACACCTGGGTTCTAAACCCACCTTGGCCAACTGGTTGACTGTGTGTCCTGGAGCAAGTTGCTGCCTGAGACAGGGAGGTTTGTTGGGAGGTGGGCTACTGTGTGGGTTGATTGTGTTCTTTCCTCTTCTTCTGACCCCTGATGGGCATCACCAAATTTAGGAAATAATTTCAGAGTTCTGGGTCTGTTGCCTGTACCTGGTGAGGCTGGAGACCAGGCAGTCTGCAGAATGCTGTGGTCAGGTGGGTTCAGACTTCCCCTGCCACAGTGGGAGAGAAGCCACCACCCACGCCACGCAGGGCGGCAGTAGGGAGCCACAGGGCCATGTTATCTCTGACACAGGCTAGTGCCTTGGTCCCTAGTCAGAAGGACTTCGTGACTCGTTTGGAATTCCCCTTCGTGAAGGCAGGGACAGAGTCCTCCCTGTGCCATGTCCCCATATGCACCCATATCTCCGTAGCCATCTCTGCTCTGTCTCTTGCTCTGACACTCTTCCTCCTGCAAGCTATGTTTGTGTCCAGCTGTGAGTACCGACTTTCCCCAGGAGCAGCTAGAATCTGATCATCTTCTCAGCTGGAGGCAGGAGAACTTCTGTTCCAAGTTCCCACTTGGAACAGGGGTTCTCCCCCTTGGACTCTGAATGCTGTTCTCCTCATGGAGCCTCTCCTGGCTTTGCTGTGCAGCCAATCCCAGCCGTCCTCACGGAGACTTGCTGCCCTCACGGAGGGTTTGTTTTGCATGTGGTTGCTGAACTTTGATTCGGTGACTCATGCTGAGGTGCAAACTTTAAGTCCCCCCCGCCCCTTTAATTGCTTTCTTCCTTTCCTTTTTTTTTTTCTTAAAAAAAAAAAAACCAAAAAAACCCAAAGCATAACTACTTTTGCAGCTGAACGTGACTGTGGCGTGCAGGAAGTGGAGCATTGGCATGAAGTGGCTCCTAGTGGCTGCTTGGCGCACGCCAGCTGCCCTCCTCTGACTCCAGTGGCACCTGGGGGCCTGGCCTCACTGACGGGAGAACATTGGCGTGAAGGCTGCTGGCGACTGGGCCAGCATTCATTGTGAAGACCGGAGGGACACACCCTGCTGGTGAGTGCATGTCCCCTGGCTGTCAGTCAGTGTGGCCAACACCACGCAGACTTGAGTCCAGGGGTGGAGGAGAGAGACTGGAACCCCGGGGCAGAGGCAGGAGGAGGGCTGTTAGAGAGCAGTCCTTGGGGGCGTGTGACCCTGAACAATCTGATTTCTCACACTCTAAATTATTTTAAGTGCTAAATAAAAAAAATAAGATAACCCTCTTTAATTTCATTTAGGTGAAATCCTTGCTCATTTTAGCAAAATTGTGCTTAATTTCCAGATGACATTTTTGGGGGAAAGATTAACCAGAGGGAGCTCTTCAGTTTCAGTAAAACCTCCTGCTGTGGCCTTTGAAGATATTTACGTATTAGGAAATCAGAAAGAGTAGAACTCCCAGGCACATTTGAGCCCTGTCACCATGCTCATGAGAGCATCTTCTAGACTAGTTATCATCTATGGGAAGCCTAGTTTCCAGGCTGAATGCAGTCAGGAACTTTTGGTAGCATCTCTTATAGAGGATGCCTCTGTGGGCTTCCCAAAGGCTAATGAGGAAACTGAACTAAATGTTAATCTGACTGCAGTGAAGACAAATTCCCTGCAGCCATAAGAAACCTCAGCTATGGCCCCCAAGATTATGAGCTTTTCTCTAAGGCCAGGCAATGCCAATCGTGGGGTGCCCATCCCTGACTCGTGAACAGGCTGGGGTGTGGACTACAGTAGAGTTGCTCCGGGATGTGGATCGGGGCTTAAATGCTTGTGTGTCCGCCTTAGAGAAACCATCACAATGCAGAAGAGCAGGGGACAAGTTTGAGAAAGGAAAAGGCCAGGCCGGCACACTTATGTTCACAGCAACATCGTTCACAGAGGCCCAGAGGCAGAGGCAACCCAAGTGTCCACTGAAGGGTGAATAGATAAACGTGATGTGGTGTATACATACAGAGGAATGTTATTTCGCCTTAAAAACGAGAGAAATTGGCTGGGAGTGGTGGCTCACACCTGTAATCCCAGCACTTTGTGGGGCCAGGGAGGGAGGATCCCTTGAGGCCAGGAGTTTGAGACCAGCCTGGGCAACTTAGTGAGACCCCCATCTCTACAAAAAATAAAAAAAACCCTGCCAGCCATGGGAGTGTGTGCCTGTAGTTCCAGCTGCTCAGGAGGCTGAGGTAGGAGGATTGCTTGAGCCCGGGAGTTTGTATTGAAGATATAATGCTGAGCAAAATAAGCCGGTGACAAAAGGACAAATACTGTACAGTTCCACTCCTAAGAGCTGCCTAGAATCATCATATTTATTGAGACAGAACGTACAATGGTGGGTGCCAGGGACTGGGGAAATGGGAAGTTATGTTTAATGAGCTGAGAGTTTCAGTTTTGCAGGCTGAAAAGAGATCTGGAGCTGGATGGTGGTGATGGTTGCACAGCAGTCTGAATGTGCTCCATGCTACTGACCTGTACCCTTAAGATAGTTACAGTGGTACATTTTATGTTACATATAATTTACCACAATTTAAAGAAAATTAAAAAAATTTACAAATTCCCTTAAAAAAAAATAAAGGCCAGGCGAGAAATACTTGTCCCATGAACTACCGTCTTTGCCTCTCTGTGACTTCCTCAAAATCTAACTGACAGCTCCACTGAGGGCCTCTAGCTCTGAGCTGAACCAGAAACTTTCTGTTTGGCCTCTGTGGAAAAGCTCAGGACAAGACAACTTTCTCCTCACCATGGTGGCTGAGTTCTGGAGGCTGTAATTTCGTGGATTTCTGTGGAGCTGGCAGAGGTGACCCGGGAACAGACTTGGGGGGCAGGGGCGAGGTGTTAAGTGTGCTGGTCTTGGGGCTGGGCTGGCTGTGGTCTGCTCCATGGCACCTCATGGTGGCTGCTGGCCTTTGGGTGGTACCTGAGCAGCCCTGGGCGGTGCCTTCTGGCCAGCCACCTTTGGGAGTCTGGTCTCCCTTATTTACAGTAGGGGCCTGGGTATGTCACCAAAGCCGCTCTTTGCCTCAGTTTCCTCCCCTGCACTGGGAGTAATGAGGTGGCTCCCAGGACACTGAGGTTCCCATAGATGTGATAATATACAAGGAAGCACCCGTGGGAGCTGCCACGTCTCCGCCTACTCCTTCTCTCCTCTTTGTTTCTCTTTTCCTCAGGGCCCTTCTAGTCAGAGGCTGCAAACTAGAACCCGGGACCCCTCCCCTGTATTGGCTGATTCTAGAATGGACAGATCTGATCTGTTCCAGCCGTGGGGCCCCCTCCCTTCCTCCCTGCTCTTCCAGGCCGCCCCGAACCCACCCCCAGCAGCCCGCTCTGACAACAGGAAGCTGCTCCTGTGACCTCCCAGGGCCTTGCCGGGCCACTTGGAGGATTTTCTAAGTGTTGTCGCTAATCATCTGGACAGAGTGTGACTTCCAGTCAGGACGGAGGAAGGAAACTGAAATGAAGTCGTTCAGATTTTCAGGTCTTCAAAATAGGAAGGAGGAAACGAGACGCGGCTGGCAGAGCTGCAGCTCAGAGACCATCACGTCCCGGGGGAAGGCTGCGGCTCCAGGGCCGAGTGGGCTCCTAAGAGCAGCACCCCACTCCTGTCCCCGCTTCTTCCGTATTTAGAAGTTTTAAAAAGGAACCAAGTTGATTTTAAAGTCTCAAGGGAGAAAAAGCCTCTGAAGTAGATGCATTCTTTCAGTTTAGTGTGAAAACAGCTCTCCTGGCCACATTTGCCCCTTTCAGTCTCCTCAGAAAACGGGCTGTGGGCTGTGCCCCGAGGGCCCCTAGGGGAGCTGCCCCTTACTTCGGCCCTGGGCGGCTGTCCCTGCGCCCCTCCAGGCGAAAGCCCCCAGTGTTTTCATTTTGGAAACGCTCATGTTTCTGTCACATGGAGCGCAAGTTACAAAAGAAACTTGGACTTTCCTCAGAGCCGTTCCTTGGTAACCGAAGAGAAGTCACCTGACCCAGCTAACAAGATGCTGCCTGTGTCCTGAACACATCTCAAAACGACAAATCATTTTTGTCACTGCCGATCATCTCTGCCATTTTACTAGCCATGCAGCCTTTACTTTCCGAGCCTCAGTTTCCTCACCCTCGGGAAGGGAACACTTGTATCTACCCCATCTTCCCACCAGGTGTAACGGGAAGGCCTTGGATACAAAGGCTGAGCCATGGCCGGGAGCATGGCTCACGTCTGTAATCCCAGCACTTTGGGAGGCTGAGGTGGGCAGATCATTTGAGGTCAGGAGTTCGAGACCAGTTTGACCTACCCAGTGAAACCCCGTCTCTACTAAAATACAAAAATTACTTGGGCGTGGTGGCATGTGCCTGTAGTCCCAGCTACTCAGGAGGCTGAGGCAGGAGAATCGGTTGATAATCAGGAGGTGGAGGTTGCAGTGAGCCGAGGTCGCACCATTTCACTCCAGCCTGGGCGACAGAGCAAAACTCTCCCTCTAAAAAAAAAAAAAAATGCTAAGCCACAGGAAGGTGAACTTTTCTGTTCCTGTCTCCTGTTCCTTTCTTCTGGTCCTTTCTCTCTCTTAGTTCTCACCCTCTTTTCTTTCTCCCACATCTCCTCCCTCTTCCTTTCTTTCTTTTTCTTCCAAATTAAAACAAACGTCACAGTGCCTGCGTGGGGAGGGATGGAGGTGGCTGGGGCTGTCGGGGTGGGAAGGCTTCTGAGGGGTGTGGCTGTGGGGTTTGCCTGTGATGCAGATGTTCTGGGTGAGCGAAGAGCCTGACTGGAAGCCTTTGGGCTCAGTGAGAGGCTGGCCTGTCAGGCTGGGTGAGTGTCCCCTTCCTTTATGGAGTCTGGGCTGCAGGTGGACCTCAGCTGAGGGGACAACCGTCCTGAGAGAGAAGGACTGGTCACCAGTCAGGGAGGAGGTGAGGCTGGGCTGGAGGCAGGTGGCCAAGAGCCTGGAGGGTGTGTTGGGCCCGACTGTGATGATGGCGTGGAGTGTGACACGGCCCTTCTTCGCACTTGGAAGAGCCAGTCTCCTTTCACTGTGCAGTTCAGTTCTCTTCAACAGTTCCTTGGCCTTCCCTGCCCCTCCAAGGAAGATAAGACCTTCCTCACCTGTTTTTTGTTTGTTTTTTTTGTTTTTTTTGAGACAGAGTTTCGCTCTTGTTGCTCAGGCTGGAGTGCAATGGCGCGATCTTGGCTCACCGCAACCTCCGCCTCCTGGTTTCAAGTGATTCTCCTGCCTCAGTCTCCTGAGTAGCTGGGATTAAAGGCATGCGCCACCACGCCCGGCTAATTCTATGTTTTTAGTAGAGACAGGGTTTCTCCACGTTGGTCAGGCTGGTCTGCTTGGGCTTCCCAAAGTGCTGGGATTACAGGCATAAGCCACTGCGCCCAGTCAGTTCTGGTATCTATTGTTCTCTTCTTTGTGTCCACATGTACTCCGTGTTTCACTCCCACTTATAAGTGAGAACATGTGCTATTTGGTTTTCTGTTTCTGCATTAATTCACTTAGGATAATGGCCTCCAGCTCCATCTGCTGCAAAGGACATGATTTTGTTTTTTATGTCTGCATAGTATTCTGTGATGTATATGTACCATATTTGAAAACACATTTTTCTAATTGAAAGTACGTGCTTATCTTCGTGGTTTACAGCTCATTGTTAATGTTTTTTGTCTATTTTCTTTAATTGATTGTGAATGAGTTGACATTGGATTGTCTTATTTTGTTTTCATAGAGCTGGGATGCAGCACAGTGCCGGTGTTGAGTCAGTGAGCGGCAAATGTTTCTTACACAAGGGAGTGAATGAGCTAGGGTGGTGGTGGTGTGAGTGCGAAGGGGAGGGTGGTTATGGAAAATGTCCGGGAAGTAGAATTATTGGCCAATGGGTTGTAGAGGTAAGGAAAAGAGAGGAGTGAAAGGGGACTTCGAGATTTCTTCTTTGGGCCTCTGGGGGATGCCATTCAATAAGATTGGGGGCCAAGGTAAAAGATATTTGAGGAGGGAAGATAACTTTAGCTTTGGACATTTAGTTTTAAAAATCTATTAGGGCATGGTGGCATACACCTGTGGTCCTGGCTACTTAGTAGGCTAAGGTGGGAGGATCACTTGAGCCCAGGAGTTCAAGTCCAGCTTGGGCAACATAGTGAGACCCTGTTTCTAAAAATTAAAAAAACAAATCCATTAAACTCCTCAGATATACTAGGCATCATCTGGTGCTGGTGATTCTGAGGCAATAGGTCAGGATACCTGAGTAATTCAGTGTCTTGAGAAACAGAAGAATGATAATTCATTGTGTTATAAGACAGGTGTGAGCAAAGTGCTGTGGTAGATGAGATGGCCAAGCTGCTCATTCTGTCTGTAGGCTCCGGGGTGACTGCTCTGAATAACATCTGAGCTGAATCTTGATGTCTTCCAAGACAAAAAGAGGCTTCCAAGTAGAGAGGAAAGCATATGCAGAAACACAGTGCTGAGAACATTCTGGTTTTTTGTTTGTTTTTTAAATTTAGTTTTATTTTTTAAGAGATAGGCTCTTGCTCTGTCACCCAGGCTTGGGTCAGTGGCGTGATCACAGCTCACTGCAGCCTCAACCTCCTGGGGTCAAGTAATCCTCTTGTCTCAGCCTCCTGAGTGGCTGGGATTTCAGGCACACGCCACCATGCCCAGATAATTTTTAACATTTTTTGTAGAGATGGGATCTCACTATATTGTCCAGGCTATTCTTGAACTCCTGGGCTCAGGCAGTCTTCCCACCTCAGCTTCCCAAAGTGCTGGGATTACAGGCACAAGCCACTGTGCTTGGTGTGAGAACATTCTGGAATGCCTAGGGAGCAGGGAAACATTCAGCATGGCTCTAGAGAAGGGGTCAGGTGGGCCAGGGGCAGGCAGTGAGGTGGTCAGTGTCAGGGCTGCTTTGTGACAACCTCGGCAGCCTGTCTAGGAATTTGGTGTATTTCTTGTAGCCAATGAGGAGATTTCGAAGCAGGTGGCGAACATGATCCGACTTGTTTTAGAAATACAATGTTGGCTACAAGCCAGATGGAGGCTGTTACAGTCATCAGGTATGGGGTGAAGATGGCAGGACTGAGGGGTGGGTGGGGCAGAGGACAGTAGGAGATAGATGTGAGAGGGCCAGATTAAGGGAGTAAAGACACTGGATGTTCTGTACTGGGGCCCTGGGAGAAGGAGGGCATGTCTATAGGTCACCTACATGGTGTCAACTATGTGGAAATACCTGTTGGAACAGCTCTAGATTTAAGAATTAACTTTTTAGTTTCAGAGCCCCTTTATACTCTTAAAAATTATTAAGGTTCTTAAAGAGGCTTTGTTTATGTGGATTCTATCTATCGCTGGATATGTACTTTATTAGAAATGAAAACTAAGAACTTAAAAAATTCATTTATTTCTACATAATAATAAACCAATTATACTGACATAAATGACATATCTTCATGAAAAATAACTTTATTTTCCAAAACAAAAAAAAAATTAGTAAGAAGCCTGGCACTAATTAACATTTCTGCAAATCTCTTTAACGTCTGGGTTAATAGAAGACAGCTGGATTCTCATACCTGCTTCTGCATTCAAGCTGTTGCGATATCACATAACATGTAGACTCTAGAATATTCTGTCGTACACTCAGGAGAGGATAAGAGTAAAGTACAGAAATTACATCTTAGCATTATTATAAAAATAGTTTTTTTTTTTTTTTTTTTGAGATGGAGTCTTGCTCTGTTGCCCAGGCTGGAGTGCAGTGGCATGATCCCGGCTTACCACAACCTCTCCCTCCTGGGTTCAAGCGATTCTCCTGCCTCAGCCTCCTGAGTAGCTGAGACTACAGGTGCACCCCACCATGCCCAGCTAATTTTCATATTTTTAGTAGAGAGGGGTTTTCTCTATATTGGCCAGGCTGGTCTCGAACTCCTGACCTCGTGATCCGCCCGCCTCAGCCTCCCAAAGTGCTGTGATTACAGGCATGAGCCCCGTGCCCGGCCTAAAAATAGTTTTTACCTTGAAGATGCCCTGAAAAAATCTTGGAGTCCCCCGGGCTTCCCTAGACCACACCTTGGGAACCACTGAAGTAGTCACTTAGCACATGTCTGTTGTGTGACTGCATTCTGAGTTCCCATAGCACTTAAGTAGCAAGCACAGTGTTTATCTCACAGACTTATAACTGTGCCTGGTGCTCAGTGGGAGGTGTGAGCAAGACATGCAGCTGTGGGGCCCATCGGAATATAGGTGCTGATGGAGGGTGTGGGTGGCACCCCAACACTGAAGGAGAGGGGAAAGAGCTGGACCAATTGAGGAGAAGAATCAGGCCAAGTTATACAGCCTAAGGGAACAGATAGTTTCAAGAAAGGGCAGTCCACAATTTTTTAATTTAAAATAACAAGTCAAGGAGTGGTTCCCAGTTTCAAAAGCGGCAGAGAGGTGGCATAAGGCAAGGACTGTGAAAGTGTTGTTGGATTTGGCAGTTAGAAGGGGCTGGTGCCCCTGGGGTCAGTTTCATTGTTTCACGTGGTGCCTGCCATCAGTGGGCTGAGGTGGAGTGGGAGGTGAGCAGGTGGACGCCGTGGCAGAGGCCTCTCTGTCCAGGGGGCTGGCTGTGAAATGCCCTTCACCTGCCAGACCCTGCCATTGTTAGACCTGCTGTGGCTCCTGAACTCCTGGGACAGGCCTGCAGAGAATGCCAGGCCAAAGTGGGAACCTGGCTGAGTGATGTGATTGACACAATGAAGTCAAATAGGAGAAGAGGGACTGAAGGTCAGGAGCCTGTGATACTGAGATGAGGATGAGGGAGAAAGGTGGATGTGCCGGAATGTTCACTGAGCCTGATTTGTAACAGTGAAAAATGGAAAACAAACTTTCATCCTATGACATATGGTTAAACACTGAAGAACGTATTCACTCATTCATTCATTCATTCATTCATTCACCAATCAACACATGTACGTTGAGATTCAGCTGTGTGAGTCACTGTCCTAAGTGCTGGGGATACAGTGAGCAGTAGAACAGGTAAACTAGCATGGAAAGATTTCCAAACTGCATTTTTATTCTATTCTATTCTATTTTTTTAGACAGGGTCTTGCTCTGTCATCTGGACTGAAGTGCAGTGGTATGATCTCGGCTCACTGCAGCCTCAAACTCCTGGGCTCAAGTGATTTTCCCGTCTCAGCCTCCTAAGTAGCTGGGATTACAGGCCAACGCCACCATGCCCCGCTAATTTTTGTATTTTTTGTAGAGTCAGGGTTTTGCCATGTTGCTGTGGTTGGTCTCAAATTCCTAGGCTAAAGCGATACGCCTGCCTCGGCCCCCCAGGGTATTGGGATTACAGACAGGAGCCACCATGCCCAGCCAAAAATGCATTTTTTTTTTTGAGAGATGGAGTCTCACTCTGTTGCCCAGGCTGGAGTGCAGTAGCACGATCTTGGCTTACTGCAGCCTCTGCCTCCCAGGTTCCAGCGAGTCTCCTGCCTCAGCCTCCCAAGTAGCTGAGATTACAGGTGCATGCCACATGCCTGGCTAATTTTTGTATTTTTAGTAGAGACAGGATTTCGCCATGTTGGCCAGGCCGGTCTCGAATTCCTGACCTTGTGATCCACCCACATCAGCCTCCCAAAGTCCTGGAATTACGGGCATGAGCCACTGCGCCCGGCCCCCAAAATGCATTTTTAATAAGAAAAGCAAGTTGCTGAGCAATAAGTATAAGATGACACCATTTGTGTAAAACTAAACCAAAACAACTCTAAAACAATATTTGTGTTTATCTATTAGACATGCAAGTAAATGTACAGAGGAAGCACTAGAGGGGTGCGGAAAAACAGTAGGGGAAGCAAGTGGGTTTGGGGTGTGTAGGAGAAACATCATGTCTTTTCATTCTTTATGCTTCTACGTTGCTTGGAGTTTTCGCTTGCAATAAATATGTTTTCATGATTATTTCTGTATTTAAAAAAATTTTTTTTGAAATATATCGGTCTTTGTGGGTAGAAAAGAGAGAGGGACCAAGGCTGTCTAGAGTGTTCCTGTTGGTTTCATCATCATCATTTAGAAGCCATCTATCAGGACACAGCCCCCTTCCCAGGCCACCCCCCAACCCCCGGTGTAGGTCAGGCTGTAATGCCTGGCTGGGATGGATGAAATTTGGGGCAGGCCCCTTTTTTTTTTTTGAGACGGAGTTTCACTCTTGTTGCCCAGGCTGGAGTGCAATGGCGCAATGTCTGCTCACCACAACTCCGCTTCCCAGGTTCAAGAGATTCTCCTGCCTCAGCCTCCAAAGTAGCTGGGATTACAGGCGTGCGCCACCATGCCTGGCTAATTTTTGTATTTTTAGTAGAGACGGGGTTTCACCATGTTGGCCAGGCTGGTCTCTATCTCCTGACCTCTTGATCTGCCCGCCTCAGCCTCCCAGAGTGCTGGGATTACAGGCGTGAGCCACCATGCCCAGCCGGGGCAGGCCCTTCTATTGCAGAGGTTCAGTGTGGTCTGAGTTAATCATTAGGGAAAGCTGTGCAGGGCAGCAAGCAGAATTTGGGTGGGAGCACTGCCTTTCTGGGAGTAGAATTCGCCCGGGGGCATTTGGCCCTGGGTAAGCCAGGGGCCTGTGTTAGTCTGCTTGAAACCTGTGTTTGGCCTGTCCCGAGAGCTGGGTGCCCCAGAGCAAAGCACCACAGACTGGGGCGTTAAGGGAAATTCATCGTCTCACAGTTCTGGAGGCTGGAAGTTCAAGGTCAAGGTGCCTGCAGGGTTGCTTTCTCCCTTCTCCCTGAGTCTTCACATGGTGGTCCCTCTGTGTGTTATGTGTTCAAATTTCCTCTTCTTATAAGGACACCAGTCATATTGGATTAGGGACCTCCTTTTAGAGGTCATAGCTCTAAATATAGTCACACTCTGAGGTACTGGGGTGAGGAATTTACCATGGGAATTTGGGAGGTCACTATTCAGCCCCCCACAGAGTCTGAGAAACAAGAAACCTGTGTTTGGCCTGTCCCGAGTGCTAGGTGCACGCTCAGCCCCTGCAGCCCTGGTGTGCGGTCGGGTGTGTGCCCTGCCGGGCAGTGTGGGGTGAAGGCCTCAGTGAGCTCACTGTGAAAGCAGCGTGATTGCTTCTGCAGCTCCACAGCCACATTGAGCAACTGAAAGTCCCCAGTGGGACTGGGCTCCACCTGATTTCCTGACAGCTAGGCCGGGAGGGAGCCAGCGCAGGCACACCTTGCCCTTGCCCCAGTCTGCCCAGGAAACACCTGATGGATGCATTTTTTTTCTCTTTAGCTCATGTCTGCAGGGCTCTGAGAGGAGGAAGCCTGGGGCAGGACCTGCGCCAGTGGCCGCTGGGCACAGCATGGAGCACCCCAGCAAGATGGAATTCTTCCAGAAGCTGGGCTATGACCGGGAGGATGTGCTCCGGGTGTTGGGCAAGCTGGGCGAGGGCGCCCTGGTCAACGACGTGCTGCAGGAGCTTATCCGCACGGGCAGCCGCCCGGGTGCCCTGGAGCACCCGGCTGCACCCAGGCTAGTGCCTCGGGGCTCCTGTGGGGTCCCGGACTCTGCCCAGCGTGGCCCGGGGACAGCCCTGGAAGAGGACTTCAGAACCCTGGCCAGTTCTCTGCGACCCATAGTGATTGATGGCAGCAACGTGGCGATGAGGTAGCTTCCCTTCATCCTGTAGCTGGGGCTGGGGAGGCCCCTGTTCGCAGGAGCCCTGAGAACTGTCCCTCTTCCTTGTGGTTTGGTCCAAAGAGCTTTGGGGCCAACGGATCAGGCTTTGAATCCCTGTACCATCTCTTAGTAACTGTGTGGCATTAAGCAAGTCACTTAACCCCTCTGAGCTCATTTTTCCCATCTGTACGGTTGGGATAAAATCTCTGTAGAGGGTTTTTGTGCACAAAATGCCTAGGATAGTGCCTGACACAGAGTAAGTGATCAACAAGTGTAGCTGTTATGATCATAACCCAGAGGAAGAGCCTTCTTTTGGGGAAGGTGTGGTAATGAGGGAGGCGCCCTGGGTCAAGTGTTGGCAGATGTGGCTTCTTGTTGGGAGTCTGTCCCTAACCGGCTGCGAGACTCTGGAAAAGCTGCAGGACTCATTTCCTCTTCTGTGAAAGAGGCCCACAAATATCTCTTCTACTCTCTCAAGGTTATGAGCATCAGAGGGGAAGGTGTGCTTTGAAGTGCGCTGGAAGCCCTCTGCTGGGGTTGCTGGGGAGGCGGTGTTGCGGCTACCTTAAGTTTGAGAGATTTGTTTGTGGCCCCCTGAGCTGCAGATGCGGCTGTGTGAACATTTGTGTGTTGGCATCTTTGTGGGTTTTGGGAATGCCAGCCTCACGCCCGAGTTGTTATCTGCCTGTCTTGGCTAAGCTCCCCTGTGACGGAATCTCTGCAGCCTCCCCCAACACCCTGCTGGGCGAAGTGGGGCGTTGCCCAAACAAGTGGATTATTCTACCGCTTGGCTTTGTTACAACCGTGCAAAGGGCAGAGCCATAGGAAATGGTTCACTCCCAGCTGTAAATATATGTGCTTCCCTTTTCAAAAGCTGAGTTACTCCCACCATAGGTGGGAATCCAGAAAAGCAATTCTCCGCGGCACCGAATGTGTCAACAGAGCCTCCGAGAGTTTCCCCTGGGGATTTGGGCTCACTTTGGATTTGGTGTTGCAGGACCGAGGTTTGCAATGGTTCAGCCCAGATGGTCCAGCCTCAGGGGCTGTCCCTGCACTTTTTGCGGTGTGTACTTTGAGTTTTTTTTTTTTTTTCACTTTTAACCAGCTAAGTCTCCCTGGCATTGATGCCATCAGCAGGTGATGGAGCCCTCTCTTTCTCCTGGGACTTAGGGGCTGGCCCATGGGGTCTCTGTCACATTGTCACCCATGTCATGTATAGGCACCAGATAGGTAAACCTATGAAATTCTGCTCAATTTAAGATCTCTGGGAAGCTAAAAGGATTTTTAAGAATCCAGTAGGTTCTGAGGGTCCTAGAAAGACTAGAAGGGGTTGTGAGAGGGGCCTGGCCTCTATATGATCTGAGCAAGGAACCTCTTTCCCTGGGCTTCCATAGAAGGAAGGCTTTGAATGCTTAAATCAAAGACCTTCCCAGCCCTAAGGTTGTATGAGTTCTGTGATTCCAAATCAAAACAGCAGAGTGGCTGTAGGGTAAAAAGACTATTTCAGGGGCAACAAAAAACATGCCCAGTCCCCAAAGAGATTCTCTTTGGGGTGGTGGAGGGTTTTGTTTTTATGGGAGTCTCTGTTGCTGCTTGGAGTCAAACTTAAGCCACATCCTCTGTTTGCACATGACCATAATGTGTCGTGGGTACATCCATTGATCCCCCACCTCTGCCCCCCACCTCTCATGATTGCAATCAGATTAATTTTCTCATGTTCAATCTGTGCGGGTTATACATCGAAACCCTTACTCAGACTCACTACGAAGAATGTGTCAGAGCATAAATGTTCTCACACACTGGCTACCTCCAAAACACCTGAGTTAACCAGAACACATGTACCTGTGCTCTGTGTGTGTCATATATGGACACACACACACAATGTGTCTACACACACACATCCCCTCCCTCTTCCCTGGATCCCAGTAGTTAGGGAAAAGAGACAAATAGCACAACCGCCACCTGATCACAGGACTTAATTTGTTCCTTTTAAAGGCAAGCTCTGGGGAGAGTGGAGTGTGAGGTTCCACCCCATCCTCTGCCCCTTCTGCAGTGACATCTGTTGTGTCCTCCAATGGGACTTTTAACAGGACTCATGTCCCTCCGGGTCTGCCATATCCTTAGTTGTGAAAGGTTCAGGTGGGTGCTGACCCTTCACAGGCAATGGGTGATTGAAACCCAAAGTGGTGTCTCATTGTTATCTGTTGACCTCAAAATTCAATTAACCTCAGAAACATGGTTTCTGAAAATTCCCTTTCACTGAGGTTTTGTAGTATTGCAGACATTGCCATTTTCTGTTTTTGAAGGCAGTACTGCTTCATGCACTGTCTGGCCTTGCGGTGGTGGGGAGGGGCTTAAAGACTGAGTGGGACACCTGTTCTTTCCACCTTGAGCGGATGAGAAGTGTGGCTCCTGTTGGCAGGAATGTTCTTCAGTGTGCCTGTTCCTGGCTGTGGCTCTGTCCCCTGGAAGTGTCCTTCTGGAAGTTCTAGAGAAGAGTCTTTTTTATTTTTTCCAGCTTCTAGAGACTGTGTTCCTCAGCTCATGGCCCCTTCTATCTTCAAAGCCAGCAATGGCCTGAAATGATATACACAATGTGGCATGTCTGTGTACATATATGTGTTTCTCTGGGGGAAAGAGTCACAGCTTTCAATAGACACTTAAAGGGTCTGTCATCCCCAAAAATATGATAACCCACTGACATAGAATGAGACATTACAGATAATTCTATGCTTTGTGGCCAGGGATTTATTTTTCCTCTGCCTTTCAGGAGGCACTAGGCCATGTGTCCCCTGTTAGCACAGAGAATGTGAGAGTGGGCCATCAGTTCTTGTTCTGACCCTCTCAGTTACACAGGAAAGGACTTGACAGGCTTGACTATGGTCAACACTGGCTGGAATCAGACCCTGACCCCCACCTGTGCTTCCTAGCCATGACACAATAGGTAGAAGTTTCTGTGGGCTTCTTTCCCCAGTGCTTTAGAATGTTTAGCCCAATGCCATTGGTCGTGCTTGGCTGAACCCAGAAGACCTGGCTGCTGCTCTCTGGAGGTTGACAGAGTGGGCCACTGGCCCAGTGCTTTTTACAGAAATGGGCTCTCCTAAGCAGGACTACTGGCATCATTCCTCATTTTGTAAGAGGTGGGTCAACGTAATGAGAACTCCAAGTGATGATGTGGGGAGAGTGGAAGATGGGGACCTGGTAAACAGACCTATGGCTGCCCCCAGTTTTGCTGGACCTCTTGCTGTACCCCATAAAGGAAACCAGGGAAGTCAGAAGTACAGGACCGCTAGGCCAGGGCTGCCCAACACAACTCCCCGCAGTGAGGGCAAGGCCCACCCCTGCCCTGTCCCCACAGAGCCACTTGCCACGTGTGACGTTCGAGCACTTGAAATGTGGCCAGTGCAACCAAGGAACTGGCTTCTATATTTTATTTTTTCAATTAATTTTAACTTAAATGTGAATAGCCAGGTGTGGCAAGTGGCTGTAGATTGGACTGTACAGCTGTCCCTTTTCAGCCATCCAGCTGTGTGACCTTAGGTAGGTCACCTGGCTTGAGCCCTATTTACACAATTAGGATGTTGGACTAAACCTTAAAAGGCCTTTTCATCTCTAATGGGTGAGGATTCAAGGTGGTTATTTTACATATGCTTGAAATAAATATATACATTTTATTTTTATTTTTTTTTTCTTCAGACGGAGTCTTGCTCTTTTGCCAGGCTAGAGTGCATTGGTCCAATCTCGGCTCTCTGCAACCTCCACTTCCCGGGTTCAGTTGATTCTCCTGCCTCAGTCTCCTGAGTAGCTGGGATTACGGGTGCCTGCCACTACACCTGGCTAATTTTTGTAGTTTTTTGTTTGTTTGTTTTGAGACAGTCTCACTGTGTTGCCCAGGCTGGAGTGAAGTGGTGAGATCTTGGCTCGCTGCAACCTCTACCTCCTGGGTTCAAGCAATTCTCCTGACTCAGCCTCCCGAGTAGCTGGGACTACAGGTGTGTGCCAATATGCCTGGCTAATTTTTTGTATTTTTAGTAGACACTGGGTTTCACCATGTTGGCCAGGCTGGTCTTGAACTCCTGACCTCAAGTGATCCACCCACCTCAGCCTCCAAAGTGCTGGGATTATAGGTGTGAGCCACCGCGCCTGGTCAATACATTTTTCTCGTAAAGGAATTTCTCTTCTTTAGAGGTTCAGAGAGAGTAAGTAACTTGCCTGAGGTCACAGAGCAAGAAGAGCCAGCTCTGGATTCAGTGCTCTCTCCAATGCCCCATGTTCCCCCCAGACATTACCATTCCTTCTGCTCTCCCCCGGCCTAGGAAAGGACCACAGGGTAGGAGACCCTGACCCAGAGGCGGGCTCTGGCTGCAGTTGACAAGCCCTGGACTTGTCAGCTGCAGGCAGGTGTGAGGCCCCACTCCCTTCACAGGGACCCTCTGCAGGGCTGGTGCCCAGGATGCCCTCAGGGTGCCACATGTGCCTCAAATAGTAGCTCTCATGGACTAGCAGCCCAAAGACTGATTTCTCAGTGCAGTCTCCATACCTTAAAGGTAGGGCTGTGTGTGTGTTTCCGTGAGAAAGAGAGGGACATCAGCTCGGGTCATTCAGCTGAATACCTGAGTCCATAGATACCTGGCTTTAAGAATAATGTCCAGCAACTTTTTAAAAAGAAGGCAGCTTTCATTGAAAGCGTGTTCAAAATGGCATCATGGTGTGTGGGAAGAGCATGAATTCTCACGAGCCAACAGTTGCAGCATTTTCTTTTTTTTTTTGAGATGGAGTCTCGCTCTGTCGCCCAGGCTGGAGTGCAGTGGCGCCATCTCGGCTCACTGCAAGCTCCGCCTCCCGGGTTCACGCCATTCCCCTGCCTCAGCCTCCCAAGTAGCTGGGACTACAGGTGCCCGCCACCACGTCCAGCTAATTTTTTTGTACTTTTAATACAGACGGGGTTTCACCGTGTTAGCCAGGATGGTCTCGATCTCCTGACTTAGTGATCCACCCGCCTCGGCCTCCCAAAGTGCTGGGATTACAGGCTTGAGCCATCGCTCCCGGCTGAGTTGCAGCATTTTCTTGCCTAGGGTGGGCAGACTCACAAGTGCCCAGCCTGTTTTACATTCTGTAGGCAAATCTAGAAAAGGCGGGATTCAAAGTACAACCTTGGGGGGAAAGCACCTGATAATTTCACATCCTCTTACTGCCCCAGAGTAGGGTTTCATGTAAATGTGTCCTCATTTTGGAGTGCACAGGGCTTTTTGCTTTGGCTGTTGTTTACATTTTTACACTCTCAGGACACTCTGCAGGCTCTGGTTTGTGCTGGAGTAAGGGATCTCCAAGGAAGAGAGAGATCAGGCTTGAAATCATACCTCTCAGTTTTCATCATGCCCCCCTCAGTGGGTTCCCAGCAGGCAAGAAAGAGAATGGTGGGGGTTTATGACCGGGCTGGGGGTCAGACCTGCTTCTGAGACCCTGACTCTGTTCTGTCTGACGTTAGCCTTGGGCTCCTGCCTGTCTGCACCCATTTCTTGTAAGGCGAAAGCTCCCAGATCAGCCCCTGCTCACGGTCTCTTTCCCCTGCCTTGAGCTGGGGAGAGATCTCCTGGTGAGAAGGGTCAGAGTGTTTGCAATTGAACCCCCAGTAAGAAACAGAGTGGCAAGAGCAGCTTCCCTTCACATCTCAGACCCCTGAGGAATCATTGCTCCTCTCTTTCCTCCTGCCCATAGCCACAACCTTCCTCCATATGTGACTGCTTTGGGAGCCCCTAGCCTCTGCAGGAACTACTTGGCAATAGTCAAAGATGCAGTGGTGTACAATTGGATTGTCTAGTTACTGAAACTGGCTGGCACTCTGATTGCAGCTACCCCAGGCACAGTTGTCAGGCAGGCAAAATTTGCCTTGGGTGCCAACCCACTTCCTCTTTGTACCTTTGGTTATTCAAAACTCCCATCTCTGGTGGGGTGCAGTGGCTTATGCCTGTAATCCTAGCACTTTGGGAGGCCAAGGCAGGCGAATCACCTGAGGTCAGGAGTTTGAGACCAGCCTGACCAACGTGGAGAAACCCCGTCTCTACTAAAAATACAAAATTAGCTGGGTGTGGTGATGCATGCTTGTAATCCCAGCTACTCGGGAGGCTGAGGCAGGAGAATCGCTTGAACCTGGGAGGTGGAGGTTGTGGTGAGCTGAGATTGCGCCATTGCACTCCAGTCTGGGCAACAAGAACAAAACTCCGTCTCAAAAACAAACAGAAAACAAAAACAAAACTCCCAGCTCCTGTCTCCTTTTCCCAGGGCCTGGCTCTCGGCTTGCTGCCTGATGAGCTGGTTCACAGTGTTGGTTAATAAGGGCATGAGGTGCCTTTTCTAAGCATGAGCATTTAAACTGTGGGTTACTATTCCTCCAAAAGAACTGCCATCTGGATCCTGAGGTATAGATGGAGTTGGGGGGAATCAATGGTCTTTGGGAGACTAGGGAGGAAGAGTTTTGCAGCCTAAGGGGTCAGGCTTTGAGGGCTGCCCCTAGATCAGAGAGATGGACACATTGTTTTGCTTCAGTTTCCTCAAGGGTAAAATGGGGACAAGGTCACTTCCTCAAGGGCTTCTTGTAATGATTAAATGAGGCAAAACGTGCAAAGTGCCCTGGCAGACAGAACCCTCTACAGATCTTAAAAATGAGCTCCAAGGCCAGGCGCAGTGGCTCATGCCTGTAATCTCAGCACTTTGGGAGGCCAACATGGGAGGATCACCTGGGGCCAGGAGTTCAAGACCGGCCTGGGCAACATAGCCAGACCTCATCTCTACAACAAATTTTTAAAATTAGCCAGGTGTGGCAGTGCATACCTGTAGTCCCAGCGACTTGGGAGGCTGAGGTGGGAGGACTGCTTGAGCCTGAGAGGTTGAGGCTACTGTGAGCCATGATTGTACCATTGCACTCCAGCCTGGGTAACAGAATGAGACTCCATTTCTTAAATAAAAAAAAAAGAGCTCCAAGAAGCAGGGGTGATGTCTTTTCTTAGCATGCAGTGCAGAGCCTTGTAGTAGATATTCAGGAATTGCACTGAGTCTGTGAAGGAACGTGCAGATGAGTGGATGCCTTTGGTGTGTGCATTCCTGTCTGTGTGCTGGGGAGTGGGCTCCCAGGGCGACTGAGAGCTCTGCCAGGGTCCAGGTTCCCTTCCTGTCTCTCACCACTGAACACTGCCTCCTACACCCACCAAAGGTGTCAGAGATGGCTTGTGAATGGTTAAATGCAAATATGGAAGGAGACCCTGAAAAAAGAGCAGCAATTAAGAAACAGCTTTTTTATTTTATTTTATTTTATTTTATTTTATTTTATTTTATTTTATTTTATTTTATTTTTGAGATGGAGTCTTGCTCTGTCACCCAAGCTAGAATGCAGTGGCTTGATCTCGGCTCACTGAAACTTCTCCCTCCCGGGTTCAAGCGATTTTCCTGCCTCAGCCTCCTGTGTAACTGGGATTACAGGCATGCGCCACCACGCCTGGCTGATTTTTGTATTTTTAGTAAAGACGGGGTTTCACCATGTTGGTTAGGCTGGTCTCGAACTCCTGACCTCGTGATCCGCCCGCCTCGGCCTCCCAAAGTGCTGGGATTACAGGCGTGAGCCACAGCACCCAGCCAAGAAACAAGTTTTAAAATAATTGTGGTGGTGCTATTTTCCCTTGAGAATTAACTGAGGGTGGACTTGACTACATTGAAGAGATGCATGTGTCTCGGGGGTGACGTGAGGGAGGGTGTCATCAATTGTTCACTTTACTGCTTCAGGGACACAGAAAACGGACCTCATTTTCTATGACAGGCACGATATCTTCCCCTCTTTTTTAGGTAGGGGAGGGTACATCTTAACGTTTGCCAGTGTACATCAGGTGGGGCCTCCGTTTCTTCTGTCTCCTGGGCGACTCAGGCTCTGTGGTTCCTCTCCGCCCCCTCCCATCTCGGATGGCCTCTGGGGCCTTTGAGACCTGATATTGGCCGGAAAAGGGGTCTGGGGCCCTCACTGGGTTCTGTTGCACAGTGGCTGGGCTGGCCTGGCCTCTAAACGGGAAACATGGAAGTGGCCTTCTGGGAGCCATGCTGGCTTAAAGTGCTCTCTGCTCACTGGTGCCAGCTTGTCCATCCCCAGACAGTCCACCAGGCCTGGGGTCATGCGAGGGATGGGGTGTGGCTTCAGACTCACTTCTCCTCCAAGTCATGTTCCTCCAAGGCAGCCTTGCAGAAACCTGGTTTCTCTGAGGGGCTTGCAGCCTGCCCAGTCTGTGCTGAAAAACAAAGGTTCAGCCTCTTGTTCACAGTCTTGATGTTTCTCCATCTCCCCCTCCCCTATGGTTGGGCTGGGTGGAGCTGGAATTGGGGGGTGGGGTGAGGACCTCCTCCTCCTTCCATCTTCCCTCTTTTTCAGCTTCTGCTGGGCTGGAAAGGACCAGCGATCTGCTTCCTCTTCCCCCCCCCTTTTTTTTTTTTGAGATGGCGTCTCGCTCTGTCGCCCAGGCTGGAGTGCAGTGGTGCGATCTCAGCTCACTGTGACCTCCACCTCCCAGGTTCAAGTGATTCTCCTGCCTCAGCCTCCCGAGTAGCTGGAACTACATGTGCATGCCATCACACCTAGCTAAATTTTTTGTATTTTTAGTAGAGACAGGATTTCACCGTGTTAGCCAGGATGCTCTCGATCTCCTGACCTCGTGATCCTTTCTCCTTGGCCTCCGAAAGTGCTGGGATTACAGGTGTGAGCCACCACACCCGGCCTTCCTCTTCCTTTTGACCACAGATATCCCTGTTGATATTTTCTCCTCACTGTACAAGCCTCAGAGTTCAGCCTCAGTAGCGAAAGGGATATTTATCTTCTTCATTTTTTTTTTTTTTTTGAGACAGAGTCTCACACTGTCACCCAGGCTGGAGTGCAGTGGCTTGATCTCAGCTCACTGCAACCTCTGCCTCCCAGGCTCACGCGATTCTCCAGCCTCAGCCTCTCCAGTAGCTGGGATTACAGGCACGTGCCACCACACCCAGCTAATTTTTGTATTTTTAGTAAAGATGCGGTTTCACCATGTTGGTCAGGCTGGTCTTGAACTCCTGACCTCAGGTGATCCGCCCACCTCAGCCTCCCAAAGTGCTGGGATTACAGGCATGAGCCACCGCGTCCTTTTTCTTTTATAAACTTGTGACTATCCTAATCTTCCTTGAGAAAATAGCAGGAAAGGTCACATACGAGAGAGAGCACAGCAGTGTGAATTCAAAATGTCATCCTTGTCTGCATATGGGTTGGCTGCCAGGCTTCTCGGGAGAAGGCACGAGTGGCGTAGTGGCCCTTGGCTCTCTAAGAACTTATCCTTGCCCCTCCCTTTACACCTGTTGCCCGGGCTCATTCCTCGTGCTCCAGCCCCACTCCTGTCTTTCTGGTCCCTAGACCATGTCAGTTATGCCTGTGTTTGGATCCTTCCGGTCAGCTCTTCCCTTTGCTTCAGCTTCTCCTCTAGCTGCTTCTCAGCTGAGTTTCTTCTCAGCCATTCGTTTATTCAACAGCTTTTAAAGTGAGTCATTACAATTATTAGACACGATGCTGGGCACTGAGAGTTCTGTGGTGAGCAAGAGGAGCCCACGGTTTAAAGAAGGGAGACCCAGGCAATCCCCTGGATGGGTGCCAACGTTCCCCAGTGCCAGGAAGGAGCGGGAGGGTGCAGTGAGAGCTCGTGAGAGGGATCTGCAGGAGTCTAGGGAGTAGGGGATGCTTTCCTGAGGAAGTGAGGATGAAGCTGGGATCTGAAGGCGGAAGAGGATGTGGAGTGATCTAATTTGAGGCCAGGTTCTGTCTCACACATGGCTGAGTCCAGTTGATTTTGCCTTCTCAATATCTCAAATCTATCCACTTGTCTCCCTCCAGCGAAACCCCACTGACCCCACTGACTGAGTCTGAGGGACGTCTTCAGGTTTCACCAGTCACTTGGAGCAGCGTTTGGTGACCCCTTTTCCCCTGGCTTTCCTGATGCACATCCTCTGGTTTTCTTCCTCCTTCTCAGATCCGTCCCTCCTGAGTCCCATATGATATTGCCCCCCTCTACCTATAACCAGCTGCGAAGTCGCAGAGTTCCTCCAGCCCAGGCTGCTCACTTTCTCTCCAGGCGAGCAGGAAATTCTGTCCATGCTGTGGCCTCAGCTATTGCTTACACAGAGACGGCCTACAACTTTAATCACTCAGACATCTCCACTGAACCCTAGCTGTTTACTTAACATTTCCTCTAAGTGGAAATGTTAACAGCTCAATATGTGTCTAAAATAGAACTCATGATCTTTCCCTCTAACCCTGTTCCTTTCCAGAATTCCTGGTGTCAGTGAATAGCCTGCCATCCTCTTACACAAGCCAGAGATCTTGAGTCATCTTTGATGCCTTCTTCTCTATCACTCCCATATCCAATCAGTCATTGAGTTCTGGAGATTTGACCTTCTAAATAAATATCTCTCAAGTTCACCTACTCTTCTCCCTCATCCACCACCATCAGCTTAGTCCAAGTCACCGTCAATTTTTGCTATGTCGCCCAAGCTGGAGTGCAGTGGCGCGATCTCGGCTCACTACAACCTCCGCCTCCCAGGTTCGAGCAATTCTCCTGCCTCAGCCCCCTGAGTAGCTGGGATTATAGGCATGCGCCACCACGCCTGGCTAATTTTTGTATTTTTAGTAGAGACAGGGTTTCACCATGTTGGCCAGGATGGTCTTGATCTCCTGACCTCATGATCCACCTGCCTCGGCCTCACAAAGTTCTGGGATTACAGGCGTGAGCCACCACGCCCGGCCTCAGATTGAGCTTTTTGAATCATCACAACGCATCACATCATCTACTTCCAATCTTGAAATCCTTCCGTGGCTTTTTAATTCCTCTTAGGAGGAAGAAAGGAATCTTCCATAATGTCTGCAAGGCCCTGCCTGATCTCATACCACTCTCTCCTTATTGCCTCCATTGAAGTCTTCTATGGAATTTGAAGGGCATTGCCCTCCTTGCTTGGACTTGGGAAACCCAATAACACATTTACAACCATCTCTCAGGGTGAGAGTGATTCTGTAGATGGCTACTCCTATCTGTCTTATGTTGATCATTCTTAGCTTCAGTTAAAGAGAGGGTCTTGTCTGTTAGTCCTCAGAATGTATTCTTGGAGCCGTATTAGTCAGGATTCTCTGAAGGGAAGAACTAATAGGCTACATGTATATATGAAGGGGAGTTTATTAAGGAGTAGTGACTCACACGATCACAAGGTGAAGTCCCATAATAGACCATCTGCAAACTGAGGAGCAAGGAAGCCAGTCCAAGGCCCAAAACCTCAAAAATAGGGAAGCCGACAGTGCAGCCTTCAGTCTGTGGCCAAAGGCCCAAGAGCCCCTGGCAAACCCCTGGTGTAAGTCCAACAGTCCAAAAGCTGAAGAACTTGGAGTCTGATGTTCAAGAGCAGGAAGCATCCAGCACGGGCGAAAAACGAAGGCCAGAAGACTCAGCAAGTCCGCTCATTCTACTTTCTTCTGCCTGTTTTGTTCTAGCCATGCTGGCAGTTGATTAGATGGTGCCCACCCAGATTGAGGGAGGGTTGGCCTCTCCCAGTCCACTGACTCAAATATTAATCTCTTTTGGCAACACCCTCACAGACACACCCAGGAACAATACTTTGCATTCTTCAATCCAATCAAGTTGACACTTGATATTAGCTATAACAGAGCCCAAGACCCTCTACATACCTATCACAAGCTATGTGGTTCTTGTTAATGGTTATTATTTGTAAATGGAAGAATGAACTATCTTTAAAGTGTAGATTTTCTTGTGTGTGTGTGTGGTTTTTTTTTGTTTTGTTTTGTTTTTTGTTGAGACAGAGTCTCCCTCTGTTGCCCAGGCCGGAGTGCAGTGGTGGGATTGCAGCTCACTGAATCCTCCATCTTTCGGGTTCAAGTGATTTTCCTGCCCCAGCCTCCAGAGTAGCTGGGATTGCAGGTGTGCACCACTACACCTCGGTAATTTTTGTATTTTTCGTAGAGATGGGGTTTCACCATGTTGGCCAGGCTGATCTCAAACTCCTGACCTCAAGTGATCTGCCCACCTTGGCCTCCCAAAATGTTGGGATTACAGGCATGAGCCACCACTCCTGGCCTAAAACATAGATTTTCCTGGTTCCCTCTTGATTATGAGACTGTGATCCAGGATATTCGCAGGGAAATCACTCTTAGGAACACTTGCTGTGTCTCTATGATTTCTTTGTTTTCCCATTGTAGCCATGGAAATAAAGAAACCTTCTCTTGCCGGGGAATCAAGCTGGCTGTTGACTGGTTCAGGGACAGAGGACACACCTACATCAAAGTTTTTGTTCCATCCTGGAGGAAGGACCCACCAAGAGCTGACACCCCTATCAGAGGTATGCTGGAGCAGATGTATGCTCAAGAGGTACTAGACACGTTTCCTTGGTGCACTTCTAACATCGATAGTCAAATATCTACTTAGTTGTTTGTTTAATGATATTTGTCTTCCTCACTGCGCTATAAGCTCCATGAAGGCACTGATTATGACTGTTCAATGCCATAGCCCTAGCACCTAGCACCTAGCGTAACACCTGGTATTCAACAAGTAGTTCAAAATTAGGCGTTCAATAAGCAGTTGTTGAGTAGATGAATGAACAAACTACTCTTTTGGTGTGTTAAGTTATCAAAATAATTGTGCCTGACAACTTTTAACACCTGAAGAGACACTGGATCTGTATTCCACTTCTAATAGTTTATAGGATTTGAAAGAGACATTTATTTGGTCAGGTAATACTTATTTACCAAGTACTTCATCTAATCTCTTTATTTAAAAAGAAGAAGAAAACTGAGACCCAGGGAATTCTTCTTCTTCTTTTTTTTTTTTTTTGAGACCAAATCTTGCTCTGTCGCCAAGCTGGAGTGCAGTGGCATGATCTCGGCTCACTGCAACCTCCTCCTCCCGGGTTCAAGTGATTCTCCTGCCTCAGCCTCCCAAGTAGCTGGGATTACATGCATGTGCCACCACACCCAACTAATTTTTATATTTTTAGTAGAGATGGAGTTTCACCATGTTGGCCAGGATGGTCTCAATCTCTTGACTTCATGATCCGCCCACCTCGAACTCCCAAAGTGCTGGGATTAGAGGCGAGAGCCACCTCACCCAGCCTCTTCATTTTTAATTCTTCAATCAGCTAGGAATATTTTAACCTACAAATATTAGAATACTGCAGTTTTATTATTTATTTATTTAGTTTTGAGATGGAGTCTCACTATGGCTCATTGCAGACTTGCTCTCCCCTGGCTCAGGAGATCCTCCTACCTTAGCTTCTTCAGTAGCTGGGACTATAGGTGCATATCACCACACCCAGCTAGTTTCTTTCTTTCTTTTTTTTTTTTGACATGGAGTTTCACTCTTGTCGCCCAGGCCATAGTACAACGGCACAATCTCAGCTCACTGCAACCTCTGCCTCTCAGGTTCAAGCGATTCTCCTGCTTTAGCCTCCTGAGTAGCTGGGACTACAGGCGCGTGCCACCACGCCCAGCTAATTTTTGTATTTTTATTAGAGATGGGGTTTCATCATGTTGGCTGGTCTTGAACTCCTGACCTCAGGTGATCCACCCACCTCTGCCTCCCAAAGTGCTGGGATTACATGTGTGAGCCACCGCACCCTGCCCTAGCTAGTTTTTGTTTTTTGTAGAGATGGGGTTTCACCATGTTGCTCAGGCTGGTCTTTAACTTCTGGACGCAAGCCATCCCTCTGCCTTGGCCTCCCAAAGTGCTAGGATTACTGGCATGAGCCACCAGGCACGGTCAGAACACTGTGGTTTAAACAAACAGGGTCTTGTTTGTTGTTTGGCTTCTTATACAGTTGAGTATCCCTTATCTGAAGTACTTGGGAGCAGAAGTGTTTTGGATTTCTGAATATTTTCATTATGCTTACTGGCTGAGCATTCCTAATCCAAAAATCCCAAATCTGAAATGCTCCAATGAGTATTTGCTTTGAACATCATGTTGGTCGGATTTTTGGATTAGGGATGCTCACCTGTGAGAAGAGAGCAGCTGCAAAGCTCTTTATTATTATGATCAAGTGTTATGTGCTGTACATAATTGTACGTGCTAGACTTTTACACAACTGGCAGCACAGAAGAGTGTTTCCACCAGCATCACCTCAGGCACATGAGTCACACGTCACACTACAAGGTCAGGATGGCTATGATGATAGGAATTTTTCAACTCTGTTATAGTCTTATGGGACCACTGTCACACACGTGGTCTGAATCATTGTTATGCAGTGCATGACTATATCTGCGCAGTTGCCATGGGTTTTCTCTCCTAGTATGAAAACTTCTCCCTGAATGGCAGTGTGGACCATTTGTGTTGACTGGCAGTTTTCACTTTAGTATACCTGGCATGGAGCAGGCAGGCAGCCTGGCGCCTCTGCCCACCACTTATTCCAATGGCAGAATGATGATGGTTTTATTCTAGGAGGTCAACAGCCACAATGGGAGGCTTCTTCCTTCCTAGTTGTAGCTTCACTTTCTTTATAGGGATAGGGATGGGAAATGAGTGGAGGTCCATTCTCCTGGGAGCAGCTGCCAGGGAGTAGCTCAGCTCACCTGTTAGTCATCCCGATTTTGCCCGACTTCCACTCCATCTCCACCACCAGAAGTGCTCCAAGACTGCAGGGCAATGGCTCCCACCTCCACTCCAGCCTTCTGCGCATATTCTGGGCTGTGGTTCCCTCCATGCTGCACAATCAATACAATCCTCTCTGCTTTCTGTCTTCCCAAAGTATGTCAAAATCCTGGGTTTGCTGCTGTCCCCAAACCTACTTTTAACATGATTATAGATCTCCCCCCACCTTTCATTACATTGGAACTATGAGAAAGAGGGAATATAAATACTTGTGTTCAGTTCCCTGTCATGAACTGGTTGTCCTGAATTATTCTTTATGGTCTGAATGTGAAGAATGGTGAATTTCAACAGTAGTGTAATACTTAAATATAATGTGGGAAAAGTAGAGAAATTACTTTGGGATAGGGAAGGAATTTTTAAATAAGCCACAACAAGTGCAAACTTATGAAGAAAGATGAATACATTTGACTATACTAAAATAAAAGCTTTTATTCATTAACAGATACCACAAAAACAAAAAAGTGGAAAGACAAGTCTCAAACTGGGGTGAGGGTGTGGGGGCGGGTTACACATCACACATTACTGATGAAGGATTACTGCCTAGATCTTGAGAGAACTTCTCCAAATCAAAGAGACAAAGACAATGAATCAACAGAAAGATGGGCTAAAGCATGAATAAGCTGTTTACAGAAAAGAAAACATATATGGCCATATAAACATACAAACATATGAAAAGATGCTCAATCTCATTAGCAACCAGAGAAATGCAAAATAAAACCACAATAGGAGGCCATTTTGTGCCCACCAGATTGGCAAACATCCAAAAGCCTGAAAATGCCAAGTATCGGCAAGGTTGTCTTATGTGCTGTGTTGGGTATGTAACTTGGCATCGCCACTCTGGAAAACAATTTGGCATTACCTTGTAAAGTGCCTTCCATACAGCTCAGCCATATTCACTCTTGGAGATATACCCTGAAGAGGTCCTTGCCTCTTCTGTGCCGGGGACTTAGATGCAGGACTAATAGTGATGAACATATGGCACAACCAAACCTCGCAAACACAATGATGAACGAAAAAGACAAGCTGCTTAAGTATATGTATAGTATGATTCCATTTGTGTCAAGTCTGATGTGTAACCACACTGAAAATGATCCTCAGTGGGGCATGGTGACTCACGCCTGTAATCCCAGCACTTTGGGAGGTTGAGGTGGGTGGATGCTTGAGTCTAGAAGTTTGAGACCAGCTTGGGCAACATGGCGAATTCCCATCTTTACAAAAAATAAAAAAATTAGCTGAGCGTGGTGGTGCATGCCTGTAGTCCTAGCTGCACGGAAGGCTGAGGTAAGAGGATCACCTGAGCCTTGAGGGTAGAAGCAGCAGTGAGCCATGATTGTGCTACTGCACTCCAGCCTGGGTGACACAGTGAGATCTTGTCTCAAAAAAAAAAAAAAAAAAAAAAAAAGAAACGAAAAAAAAAAAGAAAAAGAAAGAAAGAAAATGATTCTCATAATCTGCATTTTTAAAAATAAAAGCAAGGAAATCATAAACACGGAGTTCTAAAACTAGGGTTGTCCTAAGGGCTTAAGGGGAATGGAGAGGATCGCAGACTGAGGGGGCAGAGGGGACTTCCAAACATGAGCCACCTCCTATTTCTCAAAGGAGGTGCTAGATATGTGGCGTCTTTATTTTTGTTCTTTGTACCATAGCTGCATTATGCACGTTTTAAAAATCAGCCAACAGTGTCATATGGGAAAGGACTTAAACTTGAGGGACCTGAGTAATTATTATGTGTCAAACGGATTTTTTTTTTCCTGCATGTCTCCAAAGGCAAAATCCAGATCAAACAGCTGACCCTCCTGGGATGCAGATTTTAGCCTCTGATAAGAAAGGCCTTGTAATGTTTGTACCATCTGGTGCATGTTTACCTCTTGACTAGTTTTTGCAAGAACTCGCACTCACTTGAGCTCAGTCCACTCACAGACACTCTGAGACAGGAAGAGGAGGCGTTGCTATCTTCATTTTATAAATATAAAACTGGATGGACATTCAACCGGGGTGAAGTACCCAGGAACTGGAGCCCGGCCCAGACTCCAGGCTGGATTCCTAGTCCTGGATGCTTTCTATGATGTTCTTGAGTCCCTGTATCTGTCAGTGATGGGGTGCTCCATCCCAAAGGTGTCCCAGGCAGGTTCCTGGATGGTGGGAGAAGATGGACCTCTGGCTCCCAGCTAGGGGCCCATGCAGGGCTTTCCAGGTGAATGCCAGGCTCCCCGTCATGCTGAAGGCATCATCAAGGTCCGGGTTAATACAGGAATGTCTTTCTCCAGGAGGCCCCTGTGCCTGCTGCGATAGGGGCATTGTGGCATGGAACCCTCAAAAGGACAAGGGCTGTGGCTGAACCCTTCCTTCTGAAGTGACTCTCCCTTGTAGAGTATCGCTTTCTGGACTCCTGTCATGATGTGGGCAGGACGGAAGCCACGCGCCTGCCTGCTTGACCTGGGGCTTCAGGCAAATTCAGTGAAATTGAGTGAAAGGAGCGAACGCTATGGCGGCAAAAACTGGTGTTTTTTCCCCGCTCCCCTCAAAACCTCATCTGACCGGCCCGGGAAGCGGGTGGCCTCGCGTTGGGGGTGGTTCTCAGGGGCGGTGCCCTTGGGCCCTCACCCGCGTCTCCGTCGCCCCGCCCTCAGAGCAGCACGTGCTGGCGGAGCTGGAGCGGCAGGCGGTGCTGGTGTACACGCCGTCCCGCAAGGTGCACGGCAAGCGCCTGGTCTGCTACGACGACCGCTACATCGTGAAGGTGGCCTACGAGCAGGACGGCGTCATCGTCTCCAACGACAACTACCGGGACCTGCAGAGCGAGAACCCCGAGTGGAAGTGGTTCATCGAGCAGAGGCTGCTCATGTTCTCCTTCGTCAACGACCGGTAGGTCCGGCTGGGGTCCTGACACCCTGGGGGGCGGCGGGGCGGGGGGCCGGGGTCGAGGCAGTGGCCACGCCTGCTACCAGGTGGAGGAGCTTGGGGTCACCCGGTCACCCAGCCCCTCAGACAGAGCTCCCCCAGGTCCGCATTCTCGGCGGGCACGTCCCCAATAGGTGGGCTGCTTTGCTCTGACCTTGCTGTTCCCAGGGCCACATCTGACACACCACAGAGAAGCCCAAGAGGTGGGCCAAGCATGCAAGCATGTGTTTAGGGCACCACTAACTTAAAAAAACAGAATTGCATACTTCAGAATATTGAAATAGTCATCATGGAAAAGATCTGTACTTTGTTGTATTGCTTTTCACTTATTTCAGGTTTTTGTCTTATTTTATTTTATTTTATTTTATTTTATTTTTTGAGATGGAGTCTTGCTCTGTCACCCAGGCTGGAGTGCAGTGGCTCAATCTTGGCTCACTGCAAACTCTGCCTCCCAGGTTCAAGCAATTCTCCTGCCTCAGCCTCCCGAGTAGCTGAGATTATAGGCACGCACCACCATGCCTGGCTAATTTTTTGTATTTTTAGTAGAGATGGAGTTTCACCATGTTAGCCAGATGGTCTCGATCTCCTGACCTTGTGATCTGTCCACCTCGGCTTCCCAAAGTGCTGGGATTACAGGCTTGAGCCACCGTGCCTGGCTGTCTTTTTTTTTTTTTTAAATCAAAATTTTGAATTACATATGGGAGTAGGCAACAGATTTTTTTTTTTCTTTGACAGGGTCTTGCTCTATTGCCCAGGTTGGAGTGCAGTGGCATGATCACAGCTCACTGCAGCCTTGAACACCTGGGCTCAAGCGATCCTCCTGCCTCAGCCTCCCAAAGTGTTGAGATTTTAGGTGTCAGCCACTGAGCCCAGCCCAGAATCTTTTCTTCTGGGCTGTAAATATCTCCCCCTGCCTGGCCCTGACTCTGGGTTGAAATGTTCAAGAGAACCTGGCTGGTTCATGTAGCCCTGAAATAGGCCTCTTGGGTCAGTTCATCCCAGACCAACCGGCTATGGCTGGAGGCAGAGAGGGACACAGGGCCACAGGCACAAACCACTCAGCTAATGGTGAGGGCAGACACTGGCAAGGTGGATGAGGGTCTGGAGACCCGAGCAGCGTGTGACAGAGCACAGCCAGCTGGGCTGTTGCTCCCATTTCCATTTCTGTTCCAGGCAGTGTTAGCTTGGCCCTCATTCTGGGCTCTCTGACTGACTTTTTGGAACGTGGTTTTAGACAAACTCCTCAGCTCTGTGAGGGCCGGGACTGTATCTGTCTTACGTGCGGTGTCTCCAGCACGCCTGGCCCACAGGGGTGCAGTAACTAGTTGTAAAGGAATGACCGAGTGAATGGCTATGGCTGGGGAAGGGTCGATGGGGAAAGAGGTCTGGGCTTAGGCTGCTTGCACACGGCTGAGCAGCTGCTGACTCTGGACCCAGGGACACAGTGTGGTGTTTGAGAAAGGGCTGGGGCTTTGGAGAGGGCAGGTGAGGTTTCCATCTGAGGCCCTGCCACTTACTGGCTGGGAGTCAAGGGGGAACCACTCAACCTCTCTGAGCTGAATGTTCTTCACCTTGAAAAGGGATTAATAATGTCACCTCTGAGATCATTGTGAGGACTAGAGAGAATTGTGCCCCAGAAGTGGTAGCAGCTATTCCCAGGACATGGTGCAGCAGGGGGTACTGTGGTCCCCAAGGCCAACTGCCCCTGCAGCCGTGGAGGTGGAGGGCCAGAGGCATGGCAGCAGCGCCCTGCAGGAGCCCCCATTGTCATTTCCAGCTACAAAAGGCCAGCGGCTCTCACTGTCCGTCTGTAGCCTGGAGGAATCTGGCTAGTCTGGTAACTATGGGCTCCAGAAATCCTCACTGAGCTCTCAGGGACATGGCCATCTCTGGCCTGATGACAGCCTGGGGCGGGAGCCAAGTCCTTTTGACGCACTGGCCTCCGTTAAGGGCCTGCCAGGAGGCAGGACCTGCCGCCCGCTTGTGAGCGAGGGCGCCTGCCCTGGTGCCCCGGGCACGTCCACAGGGCCCTCTTGGCACAGCTCCTGCTCCTGAGAGAGCAGGAGAGGAAGTCTTTGGGAACGTTTAATAACCACAGTGGGCGGTTCCCCAGATTCTTGGTCAAGGCCCAATTCTGAGAAGCCGGCTGTGCAGCTGGGAGCTGAGCTATGGAGGCCACACAGGGCCGGGGATCACCCAGCTCTCTGCAGAGTGGGACTTCAGCATGACTCTGGATTCTTAGGGGGACAGCAACCCATAAAACATCTTCTCCTTGATTTACAATCCCAACCTCTCTACAGAACCTTTGTATGACCTGGAAGTGGCCTTGGGAACAAAAGTATTTATGTAAAAAGTGGACCTCACTCAGCGAGGGGCGTTTTCCTTCTGAGGAATTGGGTTTTCCCTGTTGAACTCTGAGCATGCATTCCCTTCCTCATTAGGGCTCCATGCCAGGGAGGAGAGAAGGGCAGATCAGGGGCAGGGCAGCCAAGGAAACTAAGACCAGACCCTGTGCCCCCAGGGTGCGCAGAGGAGGAGGTTAAGTCTGCGAGGTGGCTGTATGTGCAGGCAGCACCTGGGATCCACTTCCTCACTGATTCAAACTCCCTGTTCCTATTGAATCTCTTCGCCTGGAGGTTCACAGCCCAGAGCTGTGTTTGGCACGGGGTGAAACACAGGAGAAATGGGACCTAAGCCTCAAGGAGCTCATACAACTCTGAAACCTTCTGGAACTGTTTTTTGTTTGTTTGTTTATTTAGAGATGATAGAGTCTAGCTCTGTTGCCCAGGCTGGACTCCTGGACTCCAGGGATCCTCCTTCCTCAGCTTTTCTAGTAGCTGGAACTACAGGGGTATGACACCACTCCTGGCTTTTCTGGAGCTGTTAACCTCATAGAGGTTTCTAACCTTTTGTTGAGGACAGTGGGAAGCCAGAGGAGCCCTTAGAGCAATTATACTTTCATTTTCCTGGATAAAAATCACCTGGGAAGTTCTTTTTTTTTGGAGAAGGAGTCTCACTCTGTCATCCAGGATGGAGTGCAGTAGCATGATCTCGGCTCACTGCAACCTTCGCCTCCCGGGTTCAAGCAATTCTCCTGCCTCAGCCTCCCCAGTAGCTGGGACTACAGGTGCCCGCCACCATGCCCAGCTAATTTTTGTGTATTTTTTAGTAGAGATGAGGTTTCACCGTGTTGCCCAGGTTGGTTGTGAACTCCTGAGCTCAGGCAATCTGCCCACCTCAATCTCCCAGTTGTGCAGATTCCTGAACAACTTCAGATTCTGATGAAGCAGGTCTTGCGCGAAGCTCGGAGGCTGTCATTTTTTTTTTTTTTAGCCAGGATCTCACTCTGTTACCGGGGCTGGAGTGCAGTGGCACAATCATGACTCACTGCAGCCTCCATCTCCCAGGCTCAGCCATCCTCCCATCTCAGCCTCCCGAGTAGCTGGGACTAAAGGCATTCACCACCACATCTGGCTAATTTTCTTTTTTTTTTTTTTTTTTGCTTTCTGTAGAGACAAGGTTTCACTATGTTGTCCAGGCTGGTCTTGAACTCCTGAGCTCAAGGGATCTTTCTGCCTCAGCTTCCCAAAGTGTTGGGATTACCCATGTGAACCACTGCACTCAGATGACTGCATTTTTAAGTTGCTAGGTGATTCTGACACTGCTGGCTTGAACCACAACAGGAGAAACACCCAAAGAGGGCCAGAGCTGTGCTGTGTGCTCTGCATGGGGTTCAGTGTGAAGGGAAGGTTTTGCTTTAAGATGCTGTGACATCCTGCTGGGTGATGGTGGGCCCGGGGCCGAATGCTTCCTGGTGTTCTTGGGGAACTTGGGCCTGCTCCCTTTGTACAGGTGCTGGTGGCAAATCCCAGGTGGTCTTGCAGTTGCCCCTGTGCTTATTTTCCAGGTTCATGCCGCCTGATGACCCCCTGGGCCGCCATGGACCCTCCCTGAGCAACTTCCTGAGCAGGAAGCCGAAGCCCCCAGAGCCATCCTGGCAGCATTGTCCTTATGGTGGGTAGGGCCCAGTGCTTCGCAGGCCCTGTTCAGGGCCTTGTGTGGGGGCAGTACAGGAGCACAGTCAAAAAGCGCTGGCCTGGTGCTCAGCGGCCTGGGCTCTTGCCCAAGTTCTGCCCTCCAGCTGTGCTACCTGGAGAGTTAACTTTCCTGACAGGGTTATTGTAGAACTGACATCCTGGCCGGTGATTTCATGGGAGCCAGGATCCCATGCCAGGGTCGGATGCAGGGGTCATGCACACAGCAAAGCTGTGTCTGAGAAGCCGGGAGCCTGGACACAAACCCAGCTGCGGGTCTCAGTCCCTTCACCTGGCCCCTGGCAGCTTCTGTCCTCACCCTACCCTGCTCTCCACCCCTCCACCCTATGGACTTTGGTCACTGCTATCCATGAAGAGTTAAGAATTTTATCCCAGCACCCTGGGGGATGCCAGCCTTCTAGCCAGCTCTTTCACTGACTTGCTTCGTCAAGTTATTTGATGTTTCCAAGTTCAGTAAAGACTTGGGTGACAGTCAATCATTTCTTGTTAGAATTAGGTGACCATACATACATTCAGGCTGACTCCTCCTTCCCCCTTTCACTCTCAGAAGCCTTGGGTTTGGATAGTAACACTTGACCATTTGTTCACGACTCTGTTAGAACAGCGTGCAGGGTGAGGGCAAGCGTTAGCACAGCGAACACGGAGAACGGTGGGAACTGAGGCGGCACTGCAGGCGCAGTCCTCTGCCCCGAGCACCCACTCCCTACCGCCCGCTCCCTAAGCCTGGCCCTATCCACAGGGTCCCTGGGCAATTGGAGGCTGAAAGTCTTTGAATCCAGAGATTTGGTCTTAGTCCCTGGTCAAAGGGACCTGGGAACGACACTCCTCTGCATACCCTGGGATGAGTGTGCTCAGCGCCCCCTCACCCAGGCCGCCCGCGCCTCCCGGGCACTTCTCCCCACCTCGGCCCCGCGCCCAGATCTTGAGGCGTTTCCAGGGCGCTGAGTCTGAGGAGTCCGCGGCGGCCTGGGGGCCTGCTTGGAGGAATCTCCACGGAGAGGCCGCGGGCCGGCACTCCCCGGATGCACCAGGAACCACCGCCCCTCCGCGCCCCCGGGCCTCACGTCGCGCCCTCTCTGCCCCCGCCCCTTTCAGGCAAGAAATGCACCTATGGCATCAAGTGCAAGTTCTACCACCCGGAGAGGCCGCACCACGCGCAACTGGCGGTGGCCGACGAGCTCCGCGCCAAGACAGGGGCCCGGCCTGGCGCGGGCGCCGAGGAGCAGCGGCCACCGAGAGCCCCGGGCGGCTCCGCAGGAGCCCGGGCGGCCCCCCGGGAACCATTTGCGCACAGCCTCCCGCCGGCGCGGGGGTCCCCGGACCTGGCCGCCCTGCGAGGGAGCTTCTCTCGGCTGGCCTTCAGCGACGACCTGGGGCCCCTGGGGCCGCCTCTCCCGGTCCCCGCCTGCAGCCTCACGCCCCGACTGGGCGGGCCCGACTGGGTGTCCGCGGGCGGCCGGGTGCCAGGCCCGCTCAGCCTCCCTAGCCCGGAGAGCCAGTTCTCCCCGGGCGACCTCCCGCCTCCGCCCGGCCTGCAGCTCCAGCCGCGGGGCGAACACCGCCCTAGGGACCTGCACGGCGACTTGCTTTCCCCGCGCAGGCCACCCGACGACCCGTGGGCCCGTCCACCCCGCTCCGACCGCTTCCCTGGGCGCTCCGTCTGGGCGGAGCCGGCCTGGGGCGACGGCGCCACTGGGGGACTTTCAGTGTACGCGACCGAGGACGACGAGGGGGACGCGCGCGCCCGGGCTCGCATCGCGCTCTACAGCGTCTTCCCGCGTGACCAGGTGGACCGCGTGATGGCCGCGTTCCCGGAGCTCTCAGACCTCGCCAGGCTCATCCTCCTGGTACAGAGATGCCAGAGCGCGGGGGCGCCCCTGGGCAAGCCCTAAGGGACCAACACGCACTTGCAGGGAATGGCCCAGCCTCGCCTTGCGTCTTGGACGGGTGGACCTGTGGTTGCCAGCCTGGACCTGAGTGGGCCCATCATGGTGCCCCCTTTTCTTTAAAGATGGTCAGGGAAGCCTGCTTCCTCCTCCTGAGCGGGGTTGTGGGGGCCTGGTGGCACTTGGTGATCCTCACTGAGGCCGGGGCCTGCTGCGGGGAGGTCCACCCACTTCCGTGGAGGGAATGATTTTCCATGTGCACGGAGACTGCGGGTCCAAGCTGCAGTAGAACCCACAAGTGGGTCACAAAATCAATTTAGTGGGTCACCACCACAAACACAGTGGACTGGGACAGGGCAAAGCGCACCCTGTGCCATCAGGCTGAGTCTGAACTCTTGTTACCTATCCTGTGTCCCCACCCCCTTGGCAGCCATGTAACTAACCTCAATGTGGGTCGTAGTCAGAAGTTTAAAAAAGACTATGAATGCTCTTGAATTTCATTGCTTCAGGTAATGTTTGAAATATGTAGTCAGGTGGCCAGGGGAGGTTTGCTATCTGGAAGTTTTCATGTTAGCTATTGCTAACCCCACCCGCAAGGGCAGCCCAGCCTCCAGGTGTGGGCTCTCCTGTGCTCTGAATTGTGTGGCTGTCCTATGCTGGGGACAAGTGGTAGGAGCGCTTTGTCCCAGGGCCACCTTCTGGGGCCTTCACACACATACCCCCACCACACAAACACACACACACACACACACACACACACACAGTCTATCATACATGTACATACTCACACACACCACACAGACACATACTGTTTGGCTAAGGGTTAAGTATCTCCAATATTTTATTAGCCATCCATCATGGCAGTTTCCAGAATAGGCTTTCTACTGTACCAGCTGAGCTGCCTTCTTTTACTTCTTCTTCTTCTTCTTTTTTTAAACAGACAGAGTCTCGGCCCGGCATGGTGGCTCATGCCTGTAATCCCAGCACTTTGGAAGGCTGAGGCAGGCAGATCACTTGAGGTCAGGAGTTCGAGACCAGCCTGGCCAACATGGTGAAACCCTGTCTCTACTAAAAATACAAAAATTTAGCCAGGCATGGTGGCATACACCTGTAGTCCCAGCTACTCAGGAGGCTGAGGCAGGAGAATCACTTGAACCTGGGAGGCGGAGGTTGCAGTGAGTTGAGATCATGCCACTGCACTCCAGCCTGGGCAGCAGAGCGAGACTCCGTCTTAAAAAAAAAAAAAAGACAGAGTCTCACTCTGTCACTCTGTCTGGAGTATAGTAGTGTGATCATAGCTCACTGCAGCCTCAAACTCCTGGATTCAAGTGATCCCCCTGCCTCAGCCTCCTGAGTAACTGGGACTGTAAACATGACAGCCGCACTTCACAGTTACACTGGGGCTGGATGAGTCAGGACTTTTGCTCTCAAATCTACAGGTGGGTTAGGAGAAAACTGACATGAGCTCAGTCAGAGTTTATTGCCACCTTCCTGGTGCCGTTTCTTCTAGCCAGCTACTGCTCTGGGTTTGAGGAGAAAGGGCCTACTCATTTGCAATGGCTAAGAAGTGAGATGGTGCTGCCAGAGTGCCGACCCCCGAATCCTCAGGGGCCCTGGCCTCTCCTGGCAGCATCCACCCATTCTGGTTACCATGCCAGCCCTCCAGACTATGGCTCATTTGTTCACTAGAGGGCTTGGTAGCTTGGCAGTTTGGGGAAAGCGGGAGGCACTTCCCAGGGGAAGACCAGAGAAGACCAGCCCCCAGCCCCACAAACTTCCTGCAGCCTGCTGGTGCAGAGGGAACTCTTGCCAGTTTACTACCAGATTTCATGAGATGTTGGCAGGCCTGGGGGGCACCTCAGGGAGAGTGCGTTCCCAGCCCTTTCATTCATGGTAAATGACACCCCTGGGGCATACAGTGATGTTAGGTTTTTCTCTGAAACTTCTTTGATCTTTTAAAACCAGATTCTTAGCATGGATTGAGCCAGATCTGTTCCTTACCCCCTTTTTCCAAAGAGGACGGTGCACCCACAATTTTACCATAACATATTGGGATCTCAGGCCTGAAGATGACCCATTCTTTGTAAATAAGTTGGATTTTCCTCATAATATGTGTGGGTTTTTTTGGTGGGGGAGGAGGGGGCAGGGTTCCGCTCTGTCATCTGTCACCCAGGCTGGAGTGCAGTAGTGCAATCAGGGCTCACTGCAGCTTTGACTTCCCAGGCTCAAGCAATCCTTGTGCCTCAGCCTCCTGAGTAGCTGGGACTACAGTTGTGCCACCACGTCCAGCTAATTTTTTCTATTTTTTGTAAAGACCCAAAGCGTTGGGATTACAGGCATGAGCCACCTCAACGGGCCTTTATTTTTTTTATTTTAATTTTTATTATTATTATTTTTGAAACGGAGTCTCGCTCTGTCACCCAGGCTGGAGTGCAGTGGCGCAATCTTGGCTCACTACATGCTCCACTGCCTCCCAGGTTCATGCCATTCTCCTGCCTCAGCCTCCCAAGTAGCTGGGACTACAGGCGCCCGCCACCACATCTGGCTAACTTTTTGTATTTTTAGTAGAGATGGGGTTTCACCGTGTTAGCCAGGATGGTCTCGATCTCCTGACCTTGTGATCCCCGCCTCAGCCTCCCAAAGTGCTGGGATTATAGGCGTGAGCCACCGCGCCTGGCCCCGGGCCTTTATTTTTATTTTTAACCTTTTGACAAGACACGCTTTCTATTAGAGCTGCTTTTTGTCTCCCTGGTTCGATTTCCTGATGTAGAATCATTGTGTTGCTGATTTTTCAGTTGAAAATGTTTAAACTGCTTCCTTTGAGAACAAGTTTGAGTTTTAGTAAGCTGTAAAGCTGTTTTATTTGATTCACTGTGAATAAGACAAGTACAAAAAAAAAAGTGAAAACACAGCACATTTCAAGTGTAATCCCCTTTGGAATTTTTCCAAAGTCTTAGTATATGTCTTTGTGACAGAAAAACATAGATGGGACAGGTAAATGAAATGTTCCTAGTTGCATAGCTGTTAACCATGCTTCAAAAATAAATCATTTTTTACCACACCTGGATTCTTTATTGTCAAATTGTCTATTAGTTTCTCCTACTGGCTTTCCCCTAGATTGGTCTGTTCTGTTAAAAATTGTGGGTTTAGACTGGGCACGATGGCTCATGTCTGTAATCCCAGCACTTTGGTGGGCTTCATGAGTTCAGGAGTTCGAGACCAGCCTGGTCAACCTGGTGAGACCCTGTCTCTACTAAAAATACAAAAATTAGCTGGGTCCGTGGTGGGGCACACCTGTAATCCCAGTTGCTCGGGAGGCTGAGGCAGGAGAATCACCTTGAACCCAGGAGGCAGAGGTTGTAGTGAGCTGAGACTGTGCCACTGCGCTCTGCACTCCAGCCTGAGCGACAGAGTGAGACTCTGTCTCAAAAAACAAAAAAAAGTAGGCGTGAAGAAGACTGAGGTTGTGGCCAGTCTCAGCAGCCGCAGTTCTGTGTTGTTCCACCTGGGGGGATGTGAGGGGCTCAAATCCACCTTTTCCAGGAGAAGCAGTGAGGCCATGGCAAGGACCTCCCTTTGCTGGATGTGCAGCAGGCAGTTCCCAAGGACACAGGCTGCTTGCCCATTTCCTAGACTTCTAAAATCCTCATTATAGAACTATGAAGCCATCTCATAGAAGCTGCTCTTCTTGTTCAAACATGCAGCAGAGCTCTCCTCGACTGATCAAACCAGAGGCTGTTGCCATCTTGGGTTTGCCCTGAGGCAGCCTTCCCAGAGGCCTCTGGAAGGGGGTTTGGGGTAGAACTGTAGAATGTCAGGGGTTGAGGAGTAGAAGCAAGACAAGCCACTCTAATTGGCATTCTTCCAAATAAAATGGATCCAGCTTTGGTTTGACATTGAGCTCAGCTGAGGAGCCATGCCCCAGCTGCGGCTGGCATGGACACAGCTCAGATGAGGCCACAGAGGCTGTGGGCTTCCGGGGAAAAAGTCCATCTATGGGGTGGGGTGGGGAGAATACCGTAGAAGTCAGGGATGGGGGGAGGGAGGCATTAAGGTAAAGAAGATACAAGCTAGGAGTGATCGGGAGTGGGGTTCTGGGAACTGGAGCAATTCCTTGGAATCACAGATCCCACCAGGAGGGATTGCACAGAGCCGGGACCAGCGGCATAATCTGTGGGACTCTATGCAAAATCAAACTGCAAGGTTCCCTGTTCAAAATGTGTAACAATTTCAAGATGTCGGCAGAGCATGAAACCAAACATGGGTTCCTTCGAAGCGTAGGGCCCTGTGCGATGGCACAGGTCACATGCCCAGGAATCTAGCCCCCCATGGAGTTACCCAAAACACAAGCAAGAGAACATTCTCAGTGCCGAGAGTATGTTCAGAACAAAACATTGACTGAAAGAAGTCAGAGGCCAAGATGCATGTGCTTCATAGCTAGAAAAGGCCATGGCGTCGGAGCAGGTGCTGGTCCCCCAGCCTCTACCTGAGGGTTTGCTTGCTGCAGCCACCTGAGGACTAAGTGGGGCTCCCTTGGCTTTCCCTGGAAGGGGCTAAAGGGGAGAAGTCAAGGGGCTTGGGCAAATCACACTCTGGATTGTCCACTTCCAAATGAGTGAGAGATGTCAGTCTGGGTAGCTCTAGAATTATACGTGTTTGTATTAGCCAAAGTTCTTGGCTACAAGTATGATTCACAAAACCAAATGGCAGGAGGCCGGGGGTAGAAGGCAGCTGCTGAGTTGACCGGAATTAGGGCCTCAAAACCGTGTCAGGACTCTCGTCTGTTTCCTTCTGCACCTGTTTCCTTCTGTTTATTCTCTCCTTCCAAGGTTTTTCCTGCACAATGAGAGCCATTCTCGTGGCCGGCTTAAGCACGCATCTTTCCAACTAAAGGACTCAAGGAGACAGCCTCAGAAAGATCCTGGGGAAGGATTCTGATTGGCCTGGCTTGGGTCACGTGCACATCCCTGGACCAATCACTGTGGGATAAGGAAGTACTACAGTTGGTCCAGCCTGGATCTCAGGCCCACCTCTGGCTTGTCACCTCATAGCTGAACCCACATGGTTGGTGGTGGCTGGGGAGAGGGAGATGAGCAGTGCCCTCAAAGAAGGGGGGACACTGTTTAAGCAGACAACACACATGCCCACAGCAATGTGCAAACCTGGGCACTGCACCAAGGCTCGGGATGGCCCTGCCCTCCTCCGCCCTCTACCCTGGTCCTATTTGAGAAAGCGGCAGCTGTGTTAGGAAAACGCTTGTGTCTGCCCATCCATAGACAACACGGTCTCCTGTGGGAGGAAGGTGGAAGGGCCGCTGCCACAGAGCCAGAGGTATCATCAGGTTAGTCTCGCCAATGCTGGGACTGTGGCCAGAGGAGCCCTGCTGTGGCATACCACCAAAAACCCCTGTCGGGGAGGAAGAGGCTCTGCAGAGTCAGAAGGTGACCTTGTTCCTTTGACTCACTTCTGAACAGATGCCCTCTAAGCTCAAGAAGCTCCTGGAATCACAGCAGCTCAGCCTAGCAGCTGGTGGCTGGGCTGAAAATGGGGGCTGGGGCCTGACCCAGCTGGGTAATTAATTTGTCCTGAGTTCCTGGGGACAGCTCTCTGTCCTCACGGAGGGATGACACACCTATCCCAATGCCCAGAAACAGGAAAGGTGCTGGGTAAATAAACAGAAAGGCAAACAGGCCCAGCGCTCAGAAGCCAGCTGAACACTGTGCTTATTAACTGGCTGGCTGACATGGACTGACTGACAGTGATGGGCTGGCTGGCTGACATTGATTCATTGACACTGTCTGACCAACTGACTGACAGTGACTGGCTGACTGACACTGATTGACAGACTGACACTGACAGACTAATGGATGAACACTGATTGACCAACTAGCTGACAGACACAATGATTGGCCAACTCACATTGGCTGACGGACACTGGCTGATGGACACTGGCTGACTGAAACACTGGGTGGCTGACACTGGGTGACACACTGGCTGACTGACACTGCCTGACTGACACTGGCTGAGACTGGCTGACTGACACACTGGCTGACACATGGGCTGGCTGACACTGGCTGGCTGACACACTGGCTGACATTGGCTGACAGTGGCTGACACACTGGCTGACTGACACTGGCTGACTGACACACTGGCTGACTAACACTGGCTGACACTGGCTGGCTGACACACTGGCTGACATTGGCTGACAGTGGCTGACACACTGGCTGACTGACACTGGGTGACTGACACTGGCTGACACTGGCTGACTGACACACTGGCTGACTAACACTGGCTGACACTGGCTGGCTGACACACTGGCTGACATTGGCTGACAGTGGCTGACACACTGGCTGACTGACACTGGGTGACTGACACTGGCTGACACTGGCTGACTGACACACTGGCTGACTAACACTGGCTGACACTGGCTGGCTGACACACTGGCTGACATTGGCTGACAGTGGCTGACACACTGGCTGACTGACACTGGGTGGCTGACACTGGCTGACTGACACACTGGCTGACTAACACTGGCTGACTGACACACTGGCTGACTGACACACTGGCTGAGTGGCACTAGCTGATGAGGCTGAAGTGTGGCCAGGACCTGTGGCTGGCTGTTGAGAGTGATTACTCAAATAGAATTAGCAAATCACAATGGTTTTGACTGTATCTGCAGTCAGTCTTACTCCTGAATATAACATATAACATATGTGTGATGACGCCAAGCCAGATTAAGCCTCCAAAGTTAGGTTCACAGAGGGCATTCCTGAATGAGGCAGTTACAGAAACATTTCCCCCAGAAAGAAGCCTGGGAAGCACAGGAAGCGGTAGAGGTTCCTCCCCTGACAGGGGTGATTTCCCTGTCTGGCTCCTTGCTGTCTCTCGGAGGCTGTCTCCAGCTCTCAGTTCTTCAGAGCTCCGACTTCACAGCAATCACCCCCCTGCAGTCCTCTGGGCTCTGTGTTTTGCTCCATCACGACCCCTTTCCTCTCCCACTCTTCTCCATCTGTTACCTCCATGCCCCTCAAATCTCCCCATCCTTCAGAGCCCTCCCCTTGAACCTTCCTCCAGGGCATCTGCCCAGGCCATTCCAGTGCCAGGAGCCCTCGTTATTCTCAGATTGCTTCAAAGCTGTCCTTTCAGGGCAGAACTGGTCCACTCTGCTCCACGGCACCCTGCCAACAGTTTTGCTTTGAACGGTTACTTGTTGTGCATTATTGAACTCTTCCCTTACATGTAGGCTGGACTTCCCAGCTGGGCCACACACACTTGGAGGGTTGGGATTCTGTCTCAACCTTGTTCCTGCATCAGCCCTGAGGCCAGTCAGTCAGGACAAGCTCAGAAACAACGCAGGGCTGAATCCCGGTGGGCAAGCCATTGAGTTGGTTATTGGTTTGTGATGGATGCCCATTGTAGGTTGGCTGGGGCTTACATGCAGAGACCTGGGTGGACGCAGTTTCTGTCTCCAGCCTCACAGTGAGTTACCTCCAGGAAAGAGAATGTTCAGAAATGTGCACTGGACCCTGAAGCTTCTGCCCAGATATCATTGCTGCTTCCGGTTCATTGGCCCAAACAAGTCACATGGCAACACCTAGGGACAAGAAAGCATGATCCCACTGTCTGCACATGGTCGACATATTTGGAGAATAGCACTCATGACAATTTGCCTGTGGAGGCCTAGAGAGAAATACTTGCTGATTGAAAATCCTGAAGGAAAGAATGAGTTAAATGAAGCATGGGACATCCACTTAATGGAATACCATAGGGCATTAAAATGATACTGCAGAACGATGCTCATGAGCTAGAAAGTGTTGAGCATGTATAGTGAAGCAAAGAAGTAGGTTATAAAAAAGAATGTCCCGGCCGGGCACAGTGGCTCATGCCTGTAATCCCAGCACTTTGGGAGGCCGAGGCGGGCAGATCATCTGAGGTTGGGAGTTTGAGACCAGCCTGACCAACATGGAGAAACCCTGTCTCTACTAAAAATACAAACATTAGCTGGGCGTGGTGGCTCATGCCTGTAATCCCAGCTACTCAGAAGGCTGAGGCAGGAGAATCGCTTGAACCTGGGAGGCAGAGTTTGCAGTGAGCCGAGATCGTACCACTGCACTCCAGCCTGGGCAACAAGAGGGAAACTCCATTTCAAAAAGAAAAGAAAAGAAAAGAAAAGAAAAGAAAAGAAAAGAAAAGAAAAGAAAAGAAAAGAATGTGCTATATAATCTTTTTTTTATTAAAAATGCTTATTATAGGAAAATACCCAGGGAATTCACTAAAAGATCATCAGAATATATCTCGATAGTGGGATTATGGTTACAGGTGATCCTCTCCCCATTTTGGTTTCTATTTTTCTAAATCTCTGTATTTAATAACTTTGGGTAACATGAAAAAAAAAATTTGCCAAACAATGCTGTATTTAAAAGTATAACATACACATTCATTATTCAGAAAATTCAGTCATCTTTATAAAAAATTATTGTACAGAATGTAGCCATTGTAAAATTCAGGGATCTTGCAGTGACATCTGATAATACCAATGGGGGTCCCTTCAGGCCGTTTTCCACACATACATGCATGTGTGCATTTTTCATGGAAAGAAAATCCTCGTGGGCCAGATCCCTGGCTAGCCCCGGGGCTGTCAGACCTGAACCCATGTGCATAGTCCAGGTGAGCAGCTCACCTGGATGCGCTGCTAGAAAATCCCGTGCGGGCCCTGGCTCCTGGGCCGGGGAGTGAAGGATCTTGGGAGGCTCCTCTGGGAAGCTGCCCACCTGCAGGCTGCAGTGGCTGTTGGGGGAAGACCTGTCAGTCTGCAGCACCCAAGGCCACGAACACTGTCCTGGGTCTGGCATTAGGGACTGTGCTCTCGCCAGTGCAAGGAGGCAGCCCTCACTGTGGGTGCTTAGCTCTGGGGGCCTCATGGTCTGGTCTCTTGGGAGAGAAGGAGGAAGATTTTCCTGTTCTCTGTTTGAGCTCTTTGAGTTGATTCGGCTCCAGGGAATTTTTTTGGCCCAGTCGTTTTCAAAATAGCTCTTCATGATCTGTTTGTGGCAAAGGCAGTAGATTTATGGCGTTGCTGACCTTTGATTTGTTGTCAAAGCTCTGCCTGGGGTCGTGGGGAGGTTTTCCTTTGCTTATTTACCCAGAGTGATTTAGGAACCTCAGTGGCAAGAGGTTTCCCATTTCTTCCACTGTAAGACCTGACCGCATGGCCTCTGCCATCAGGGTTCATACCCTGGGAGAGGCTCAGCCTCATACTTCATACAGAATGGCAGCTATCCTTTGGATGCCCTGGGCCATGTCATTCGTATTCCTTGGCCCACAATCCTTGTTGAGAATCCCCCGAGAGAGTCCCCAGAGCTGCGTGTCTCACTCTGCCCTGCCACCCGCTGCCTGGCCTCTTCCCACCTCCTTTTGGGCTCCTGGCCCTTCACAGCTGAGGGGCTGAGGAAGAGCGGATGAATTATTATAATTCTGATGAGTCAGCCTCCTTCCAGAGTCTGTGAGTGCAGCTGGGGCCTGCAGCACCTGTGGGCAGCTGGGCTGGTGTGCAAGGAAGGAGGGCTCGTGGGGTAGGTTAGCGACACTGAGCAATCCTGGGCCTTGTTCTTTGGGCCTGTAGGTGAGGGCTGTGTACTTTTGTGTGTGGCTTTGTCTGTTCACGGCGGGATAGAGTCTGGAGGAAACTCAGAGGTCCTGAGTGGACGCCTGTCCCGGAGGCTGAGTCACTTGCTGAAGGCACAGGGGGAGCTGGTGGCCCTGGGGCCTTTGTGTCAGTTTAGGGATTTCTACAAAAATATCCTGGTTCATTCATTCATTTATCCAGCACGATATGTGAGGCCCCTGCTATGTGCCCTCTGTTCTAGGACCTGGGGAAAGTCCTGCTGTCACAGAGCTCACCTTCTGGTTCAAAACAAAGCTCGGGTTCATTGTGCACATTCCTTCTACCCTGTTTCTGAATCACCCCGGGATGCTCACAACAGCCTTTGGGATGTGCGCCATTAATTCCATCTCATAGAAGAGAAAACTGAGGTGCTGGAAGCAACTTGCCAAAGGTCGGTTTTGTATTATCTTTATGGTTACTTAGGCTAAAAAGAATTCGGTGTAAAGAGTAGTATGAATGCATTTATAAATAACTCTAGGGGCTGGGTGTGGTGGCTCACGTCGGTAATCTCAACACTTTGGGAGGTAGAGGCGGACAGATCACCTGAGGTCAGGAGTTCGAGACCAGCCTGACCAACATGGAGAAACCCTGTCTCTACTAAAAATGCAAAATTAGCCGGGTGTGGTGGCACATGCCTGTAATCCCAGCTACTTGGGAGGCTGAGGCAGGAGAATCTGTTGAATCTGGGAGGCGGAGGTTGCAGTGAGCCAAGATTGTGCCGTTGCACTTCCCCCTGGGCAACAGGAGCAAAACTCCGTCTCAAAAAAAAAAAAAAAAAAATCTCTAATCTGCATGAAAGATTGGTTGGTTAGCATTTGAAGGCCCCTAATAGGGGTTTCTCTCTCCAGAGGAGGGACCTTAGGAGCCTAATAATTGTTACAGAAATAGATGCTAGAATCTTGTTAATGAGCAGAAACGACATGAGAAATAATTTTTCATTGTTGAAAAGGGGGATGTTCAAAATATGTGCTTAGCTGGCGCAGGCCTCAGACCTACACACAAACCTGTGAAGGTCTGCCAGTAGTGCTTTGGTCTCTTTCTTTTGCTGGCAGAATGAACTGAGGCTGGGCTAGATGGGGGAAAAGCAAGGGGTTGGTGGACTGGGATTCCAGGCTGCTTTTCAGCTTCTGAGCTGCCTCTTCCCACTGACCTCAGCAAAACAAGATATAATTAACCCCAAATCCCACCCCCACCCAGCTTGAATCAGGAAGAGATAGAAATCTTGAACAGACCAGTAAAAAGCAGTGACATTGAATGAGTAATAAAAAATCTCCCAACATTAAAAAGCCCAGGACCCAGTGAAATCACAGCCGAATCCTACTAGACATTCCAAGAAGAATTGCTACCAATCCTACAGAAACAATTCCAAAAGATCAAGGAGGAAACCCTCCCTAACTCATTCGATGAAGCCAATATCACCCTGATAACAAAGCCAGGAAAGAACATAACAAACAAACAAACAAAACTACAGACACTATCTTTGATGAACACAGATACAAGAATCCTCAACAAAGTTCTAGAAAAGTGAATCCAACAGCACATCAAAAAGATAATTTACCATGATCAAGTGGGTTCCATCCCAGGGCCCTGGGATAGTTCAACATATGCAAGTCAATAAGTGTGATTCACCACATAAACAGAATGAAAAACAAAACCATATGATGATTATCTCAACAGATGCAGAAAAAGTATTCCATAAAATTCAGCATCACTTTATGATAAAAACCCTCAACAAACTGGGCACAGAAGGAACATAGCTCAAAATAATAAATGCCACATACAACAAACCCACAGCCAACATCATTCTGAATGGGGAAAAGTTGAAAACATTCCCCCAAAGAACTGGAACAAGACCTGGATGCCCACGTTCACTACTTCTATTCAACACAGTACTGAAAGTCCTAGCCAGAGAAATCTGGCAAGAGAAAGAAATAAAGGGCCTCCAGATTGTAAAAGAGGAAGTCAAACTATCTCTGTTTGCCATGATATGACCTTATACCTAGAAAACCCCAAAGACTCATCCAAAAGACACCTAGATTTGATAAACGAATTCAGTAGAGTCTCAGGTTATAAAACCAATGCACACAAATGAGTGGCACTGCTATACACCAGCAATGAACAAGTTGAGAGTCAAATCAAGAACTCCACTCGTTTTATAATAGCTACCAAAAAGGCCGGGCACGGTGGCTCATGCTTGTAATCCCAGCACTTTGGGAGGCTGAGGCAGGTGGATCACCTGAGGTCAGGAGTTCGAGACCAGCATGAACAACATGGAGAAACCACATTCTACTAAAAACACAAAATTAGCTGGGCATGGTGGCACATACCTGTAATCCCAGCTACTGCAGAGGCTGAGGCAGGAGAATCCCTTGAACCAGGGAGGCAGAGGTTGCAGTGAGCCAAGGTTGTGCCATTGCACTCCAGCCTGGGGCAAGAAGAGCAAAACTATGTCTCAAAAAAACAAAACAAAAACAAAAACAAAAACAAAAACAAAACAAAACAAAACCTAGGAATATACTTAACCAAGGAGATGAAAGTTCTCTACAAAGAGACCTATGAAAGAAAGTAGATGAAAGAAATCATAGATGACATAACCAAATGGAAAAACGTCCCATGCTCATGGGTTAGAAGAATCAATATTGTGAAAATGATCATACTGCCCAAAGCAATCTCTAGATTCAGTGCAATTCCTATCAAAATACCAAGGTCATTTTCCACAGAATTAGAAAAGCCCTCAACCTAAAATTCACACGGAACCAAAAAGAGCCCATATAGCCAAAGCAATCCTAAGCAAAAAGAACAAATCTGGAACAAAAGAGCAATCCTAAGCAAAAAGAACAAATCACTACCCAAGTTCAAATTATATATTACAAGACTATAGTTGCTAAAACAGCATGGTACTGATACAGAAATAGACACATAGACCAATGCAACAGAATAGAGAACCCAGAAATAAAGCCAAATACTTACATCCAACTAATCTTCAAAAAGCACACAAAAACACAAACTGGGGAAAGGATATTCTATTCAGTAAATGCTGCTGGGAAAATTGGATTGCTGCCTTTAGAAGAATGAAACTGGATCCCCATCTCTCACTGTATACAGAAATCAACTCAAGATAGATACAATACTTAAATCTAAGACCTGCAACCATAAAAATTCTAGAAGAAAACCTAGGAAAAAGTCTTCTGGACAGGCCTAGGCAAAGAATTTATGACTAAGACCCCAAAAGCAAATGCAGCAACAACAACAACAAAAATAAATGGGACCTAATTAAACTAAAAAGCTGCACAACAAAAGAAATTATCAACAGAGTAAACAGACAACCTACAGAATGGGAGAAAATATTTGCAAACTATGCCTCTGATAAAGCACTAATATCCAGAATCTACAAGGAACTAAAATAAATCCGCAAGAAAACAACCCAAATAATCACATTACAAAAGTAGGCAAATGGCATGAACAGACATTTCTCAAAAAAGATCTGCAAATGACCAACAAATGTATGAAAAAATGTTCAATGTCACTAATCATCAGGGAAATGCAAATTAAAACCACAATGTAATACCACTTTACCCCAGCCAGAATAGCCATTACCAAAAAGTCAAAAAACGATAGATGTTGGCACTAATGTGGTAGAAAAAGAATGCCCACATCCTGCTGGTGGGAATGTAAATTAACACAACCTCTAAGGAAAGCAGTATAGAGATTTCTCAAATAACTAAAAGAAGATCTACCATTCAATCCAGCAATTCCACTCCTGCGTATCTACCGAAAGGAAATTCAGTCATTAAATACTAATAAAAAGAAGACATCTGCACGCGTATGTTTATTGCAGCACAATTTACAATTGCAGACATATGGAGTCAACCTGAGTGCCCATCAACTGATGAGTGGATAAAAAAATGTGGTGTCTGGCCGGAAGTGGTAGCTCAGCGGTGGCTCACACCTGTAATCCCAGCACTTTGGGAGGCCGAGGTGGGTGGATCACTTGTAGAGGCCTTGTAGAGGCCAGGAGTTCAAGACCAGCCTGGGCAACATGGTGAAACCCCGTCTCTACTAAAAATGCAAAAAATAGCTGGGCATGGTAGTGCTGGGCATGATGTGATAACAGCACTGTCCTCGGCTACGGGAGCTCCGTGACCCCGGGCCCCGGCACCTCAGGGCTGTCGTTAAGCTCCTCGCAGAGTAAGTCGAGGGGGCACGGTTGTCCCACCTACAGAGGGCACTTTGCTGGCACTAATCTCAGTGTGGCTGTGAGTCCAGGCAGGCTTGTGGCTGTTTTCAGCCCATGCTGGGGGTTGTGGCCCACGACAGTGCTGTTATCACCTCAAAGGCTGTGACAGTGGCTGCCAAACACCCATCGCTCTTGCCCCATGGAGAAAATATCAGGGATCCAAAGTTGCAGCTGACCCAGCCACAAAGCCACTGGGCCATGAGGCCACTGAGCACTTTTGTGGGTACAGGACGGACACGGTCTCCAAATGGAGGGAGACAAAGAGCCTGGAGCCACTTGGAATCCTGGGGATCCTTGGTGACCCATCACCTCAGCTTGCCCAGGACCGTCCCAATGTTAGTACTGAAAGTCCTGCATCCTGGGGGACCCCTCAGTCCCAGGCAAACTGGATGAGGGTCACCCTGATTCCTCACAAGCCCATGACCCCTGAAGGCAAATGGCCGGGCAGCTCTGAGCACTGGCTCTCACCCTTCTCTGCTCCAGTGTCTGCAGAGACAGGAACATCTGGAGGAACGGGGAGGATGGTCTTGCTGTGAGCCTCGGAATAGAAATCACAAGAAGCCAGATGGCAGAGCTTTGGGCCTGGGATGGGGCAGCTGGCTGCACCAAGGTCCTGGGAAGAGTCCACAGCACAGGCCAGCCCCGGGCCCAGCCGCCACCGGCCTCCCCCAGCCCCTACTGTCACCCTCTGGAGGGTTGACTGTCACTGCTGCATCTATGGTCTCCCTGCTCTGGTCACGTCACGACCTTCAGAATCAGGTAAGTTGTCAAGGGCTAAGTCACCACCAGCCCAGGGTAAGAGACTGATGTGGGACAATCACTTAGGGCCCTTGGTTGACCCCATTCTCTCTCCACCGTCCTCCTTCACGTCCTCGTCAAAGCCTACTCTCCACAAAGACAGCATAGGAGGCATGATCTGGGGGAAGAAGACCTTTCCTGGGCCCACGCCCAGGAGTGAGGAGGCAGCTCTGTCTTCTCTGTCTCCATTTCCTGGGGCTAAAGTCAGAGTGCCTTGTGGCTTTCCCACCCTGCAGCACGGGACCTTCTCCCACGTCCAGAGAACCCTCAGCAGCCCCAGTCATAATGACAACAAGAGGCTGGGCGCGATGGCTCACGCTTGTAATCCCTGCACTTTGGGAGGCCGAGGCGGGTGGATCACCTGAGGTCAGGAGTTCGAGACCAGCCTGGCCAACATAGTGAAACCCCGTCTCTACCAAAAATACAACAACAACAACAAAAAATTAGCCAGGCATGGTGGCAGCTGTAGTCTCAGCTACTCAGGAGGCTGAGGCAGGAGAATCACTTGAACCTGGGAGGTGGAGGTTGCAGTGAGCCGAGATTGCACCACTGCCCTCCAGCCTTGGCAACAGAGTGAGACTCCATCTCAAAACAAACAAAAAACAAAAAAACAAAAATCACACAAGAATACATGTCTTGCTTTTATTTTACACTATATCAGTTACAAAAATTATATCTATTATTTCATCTGCCAGATATTTCATCTGTCAGTTTCATCACACCTCACTTTCCACACTCACATCCTCTTAGTGGACCAATATCATCATTTTATTCATTAATGGATCTACTTAATTATTTTTTCTTAGAAGTTTACCAAAAAAGACTATTGAATGTTAATGGGAAAAATATGAAATAAACACCCAAATCTTTTCCATTAATTCCCCCATCTTAATCTAGCTCCACATCATGGCACCCATTCAAAATGGCTCATAAAATTGAGAGTCAGTACACATCTTTTTCTTTTTTTAACATTATATTTGGTAAAAATGAGTTAAGAATGACATTTTTTTTTTTGAGAGAGAGTTTCACTCTTGTTGCCCAGGCTGGAGTGCAATGGTGCAATCTTGGCTCGCTACAACCTCTGCCTCCCGGATTCAAGTGATTCTCCTGCCTCAGCCTCCCAAGTAGCTGGGATTACAGGCATGTGCCACCACGCCCGGCTAATTTTGTATTTTTAGTAGAGGTGGGGTTTCTCCATGTTGGTCAGGCTGGTCTCGAACTCCTGACCTCAGGCGATCCGCCCGCCTCAGCCTCCCAAAGTGCTAGGATTACAGGCATGAGCTGCATTTTTTATTTTTATTTTTTGTAGGAACAGGGTTTCACTATGTTGCCCAGGCTGGTCTCAAACTCCTGGCCTGAAGCCATCCTCCTACCTCGGCTTCCCAAAGTGCTGGGATTACAGGCCTGAGCTACCGCGCCCGGTCTGTTGTTTACATCTTTACGTCTATGTATACCTATGGTTTCACTCCCACTTGTAAGTGGTTTTCTGTTTCTGTGATAATTAACTTAGGATAATGGTCTGCAGCTGCATCCATGTTGCTGCAAAGGGAAGCCCCATTTTCTTTATCCAGTCCTCCACTGATGGGCACCTAGGTGGAGTCCATGGCTTTGCTGTTGTGGACAGTGCTGCAATAAACATGCGAGTGCAGGTGTCTTTTTGGTAGAACAATGTATTTTCCTTTGGGTACATACCCAGGAATGGGATTGCTGGGGTGAATGGTAGTTGTATTTTTAGTTCTTTGAGAAATCTCCAAACTGCTTTCCACAGGGGCTGAATAATTTACATTCCCACCAACATTGTTATGAGTGTTCTCTTTTCTCTGCAACATTGCCAGCATCTTTTATTTTTTGACTTTTAAATAGTAGCCAAGAATGACTGACTTGCTAGATGATCACACAGTGTGCACACAAACATTTCATAAGATCGTAAATAAGGAACATTTCAGAAGCTTTGCTGAGTAAGGATAGTCATTGCAAAAAACAAGCTTCCAAAAATGGTTAACTAAAACTAGGAGGGAAATATATTGTAATACAGACAACTTACATTTGTGTGGCATGTTGGCATTCATCAAGCAAATTTCCATGTACTGTATTATGTACTTTTCATATTAATTCATGGTGCTGTGAGGTAGATTATAAGTCCTATTTTATGGATAAACTGAGGCTCACAGGGTGACTTGTCTGAGATCCTTCAGCTGATAAGTATTGGGTTCCAACTATGAAGGACAGGGACCAATCCAGGGATCTCTCCATTACACCTGTGAGCAGTGATGGGACAGAGCTTCTTTGCTACCTGCTGCTTTGTGGCTAAGCCCGCCTTGGCCTCAGGCAGCCTAGCTGCTGATCTCAGCTCTACCTCCTACCACCTGCTGTGTGTCCTTAGGAAAGCATCTTAGCTTCTCTGAACCTCAATTTTTTCATCAGTAAAAAGGGTGCAAAGAATATCTGGCATATTGGATCATCAAGAAGACTAAACGAGCTACTGTAAATACAGCCCCAAGTGCAGTGCTTGACAGAATTACTGCACAAAATGCTGGCAATTATCATGACATTGTTATCCAAGTACATCATAAAACTAATTGAAGGAAGTGACTAGGGGATGCTCTGCAGCCTCTGCGACACAACTGTTGCTCCATGAAGATACAGATTTTCAGTAATTTATTCTAATGTTTATTATTTTATTATTTATCTTGTTTTATTTTATTTTGAGACAGAGTCTCACTCTGTCGCCCAGGCTGGAGTGCAGTGGCGTCATCTTGGCTCACTGCAACCTCTGTCTTCCAGGTTCAAGTGATTCTCCTGCCTCAGCCTCCCGAGTATCTGGGATTACAAGCATGTGCCACCACGCCTGGCTAATCTTTGTATTTTTAGTAGAGAAGAGGTTTCGCCATGTTGCCCAGGCTGGTCTCGAACTCCTGACCTCAGGTGATCCTCCCACCTCGGCCTCCCAAAGTGCTGGGATAACAGGTTGGAGCCACTGTGCCTGGCCTGCTTTTCAGTAATTTTGAAGCACAAAGTACTCAGGCTGTTGATGATTTCCCTGTCAATACAAGTAAGCAGTCAGCTTCGTTAGTGGTCTGTTGTTGTGCAGATGTGGAGAACTGATAAGCGACGTGGAAGGAGAAAGGTACGCCTCATCGCATGGTGTGGGAACACGTGTGTGTAATGCTAGAAATACTAGTATTTAGTATTTTAGTATATTTAGTAAAATTTAGTAATTTTAGTATATAGTATTATTGGGTCAATTTTGTTCTTAGTTTCACACGTACATTCTTGGACATTTCGACATTCAAATGCCTTGTGGGGAATTAGTAACATATCTCTAAGGTCTTGTCCAGCCCTAACATTCCGTGATTTCTAAAAACCACCCCAACACATTTATATAGCATCACTGACCAACTCGCTTTGAAATGGATAAAGTATGTTCCCATTCCATGCGGTTTTTTCCTATCCGACTACAGAAATAGTTCTCCCCCTCAAATCTCACTTCAAATGTGGGTTTGAGGCATGATTTTTAAAGAGCTTCCAACATTGCGATAGTGTTGGCAAGGATGCCAGGAGGGAGCCCTCCAGAACATAGGACTCCACTCCCTTAACTTCTGGAAGGCAGAGGGGAAAAGCACAGTCGAAATTCTCTGGAGGGGAAGGCGCTGGTCTGCTTCAGCTGAGAAAGGAGCTGATCAACGGTAATCCGCACCAGTCCTGAATCCTTTATTCTCTTTACACAGAGTGGCTAGAAACAGGCTGCCCAACACAGCTGCTGGTGTCCCTTCAGACCCAGGGACGCATGTCAGAACCAGCACCAACCATTAGGTGGCGCCGTTGTAGCACAACAAGCATTGACCTGGGTTGGCGACAAATCTGACCCCGCTCCCGGTGGAACTGCCACTGGCTCTCTCCCCTGTCATGGGGTTCCCACAAGCCTAGCAGCTCGGAGCCCCAGGCCAGTAACCAGTGAACAGCTGAGGATGAGGATGATAAAACACAGGAAAAAACACGTGCACTTGCACCCTGGCAGTTACAGCTCTTTGTGATGGAAGATGTAACAGCTAAGGCAAATTAAATATGTTTTCATTTAAAATTCATAATAAACTATTTTGAACATACATAAAATTATGTGTATATATGACTATTGTAACAAATGCCTGATTTTTTTTTTTTTTGTTTTTGAGATGGAGTCTTACTTTGTTGCCCAGGCTGGAGTGCTGTGGCATGATCTTGGCTCACTGCAGCCTCTGTTTTCCAGGTTCAAGTGATTCTCCTGCTCAGCCTTCTGAGTAGCTGGGACCACAGGTGCGCACCGCCACACCTGGCTAATTTTTTTGTATTTTTGGCCATGTTGCCCAGGCCTGTCTCAAACTCCTGAGCTCAAGTGATCCTCCTGCCTTCGCCTCCCAAGGTGGCTGCCTGACTTGAATTTTAACACCCTGCCATGTTTGCATTAATGTTTTATTTCTTTTAATAATGATTTGTAATTTTCTTTACAAATGTATGGGTGCATATTTTATTAAAATTATTTCTGAGTACCATGTAGATTTCTACCACTATTGTTATTATGAATGGGTTCTTTTTTCTTCACAGTCTGTTATTGTTGTATTTTTTTGTGTGTGAATAATCTTTGAATTCCCTGAATGCTTTATCTACATCTATTGAGATCATTACATTTTTCTCTTTCATCTTTGCATATGGGATAAACCAGTTAATTTTCTCCTTTAGCACTGACCAAAAAAATTCTGTTTTTAAAAATAATATTATGGCCGGGCGTGGTGGCTCACCCCTGTAATCCAGCACTTTGGGAGGCCGAGGCGGGTGGATCACTTGAGGTCAGGAGTTCGAGACCAGCCTGGGCAACATGGCAAAACCCCTCTCTACTAAAAATACAAAAATTAGACAGGCATGGTGGTGGGGGCCTATAATCCCAGGTACTTGGGAGGCTGAGGCAGGAGAATCACTTGAACCTGGTGGGGGGCGGAGGTTGCAGTGAGCCTAGATCGTGCCACTTCACTCCAGCCTGGGCAAAAGAGTGAAACTCTGTCTCTTTATAATAACATGAGCATTTCCTCGTCTTATTATAAACTCTGTAAGGATGATCTGTGGGAACTACATTTTCCCCAGTGGAGAGACTAAACTTATTGCACATTATGTCTCTTTTTTTTTGCTATTATAAATAAAAATACCTTTGGCATAAATTGACCCAGTTAGATGCAAGCAAATTATGTGATATTTTAAGGCCTCTGATGCCTGTTCCCAAGCTGCTTTCTTGAAAGCCGTGCAATTGTATACCATCACCATCACCAGCAATGCAAGTCATCACTTCTTCACCAGCAAGACCATTAAAACAATCCCCCAAACCACTGTCATCAGCACCACACCAGCAACATGACAGGTGAAAAGCTTCAAGTCCATTTGTTTAACTTTTTTTCCCCGTAGGATTGTTAACACGTTTAATTCCTCTTTGGTGAATCATCTATTCAAGTATTTTACCTACTTGGTGATCAGAATCTTGGTGTTTTTAATTTATTCACGGTAAGAACACTATACCTATTCAGAACAGCAGTCTTTTGTCTGTTTTATCTGTTGTGAACGTTTTCCTCTGTTTGCTTTTTCAAAATTCGGCTGTTTTGATGTAGCGATGCTTCCAATTCTCCCTTTTCCAGCGCTTTCTCCAGCTCTGCCTGGCTGTGAGTGCCGGCGCGGCTCTTCTTGTCTCGCCCTCTCCCATTGGCCATTTTACTCTGTGCTTGAACCATCATTGACAGGTGGCTGCCTCTCCCTGGGAACACACCTCAGGGGCCCGCTGCCCCCAACGGCTCTACTGGATGTCCCCCTGGCATCGCGCTGCTCCCATGTACCCACTGCTCTCTGTGTTCTCTAAATCCACGAATGCCACAGCCATCCACGTGGCCACCCTCACCAGTCGCGGGCAACACCCCCGATGCCCCCCCGTCCACTTTCTCACCAAACCTCCTGGTCGTTCTGCTCTCACCTGCCCGTGGCTTTGTCCCCACCGTGAGTTCTCCTGTGAAATTCCCTCTGGATTATGTAAATTCTTTTTGCCCCCCAAACTTTCTTTAAAAAAGTTTTTAAACATATAAAAGTGCAGAAAATGTCATAACATATACCTATGCGTCTACTACTCAGATTTTATAAATGCTACCATTAGCCATTACATGCTTTGAATTTTTAAAAGAATGAGACTCCTATAGATGTCACTGAAGCCCTATTTACAGCTTTCTGGATCCTGACAAGAAGAGTGAGGATGATGGAAAATCCGGAAGAGGGTTTCTTAGCAAACGTGTGATAATGGTAATGAGCAGTGAGGCCGAGGCTTGTTTGCATTAGGGAGGATGGGGAGGGAGGACCCCAGAGCCAACTCCCTCCCTGCTGCTGTTTGAGTGCTCCCCCATCACAGTCACTGTGCTGGTGACTTCCATATATTACCATTTCATCCTTGCAGCCAATCAGAAAGTGGGGTTTAAGATGAGAACACGAAGGCGGGCAGGGGTAAATGGCTTGCCCAAAACTCTCTTCTTCTCAGACATCACGGCTGCTCTTACAGCTTGCTCTGGATCCAGAACACTCCTAGGAATAGCCATCCAGCCAATGCTATCCTGTGCCCTTATGAAGCCCTTTCTTCCTACTGCCAGGCAGAATACAGTTTAGGCCATGATCAGGCTATGGAGATATCTGAAAGACGTGGGGGGCTCAGCGGCTGCAGGGAGAGTGGAGTTGCTGTGACTGCTGAGCTGTATTGAGCCCCTGGGAGGGATAATAGAGCAACTGAGCAGTTTGGAGGCTGGGTGTGAGAGCCATGGGGCCTCTCTGTAGCTTCCGAGGAGGCTTTTGTCTCCTGTAGTGGAAGAGCTGACATAGCTGACCAGTGGGTTGAGGATCTGATAGTCACAGGACTTTGGGGATGTTTAAATACTCAGTCAAGGCAGCTCTGTTGTGCTGAGGTCATTCATCTGGCTGGGAAAACACAGCCTACAAGCATGGGATGGGAGCGTATACATGGATGCCTCCAAGGACGTGGGCTCTGCAGACCCCCAGAGCGCTTGGAGCTTGCAGAGTTGGCCCACCCTTCCCTAGTGAGAGGTGCCCTGTGCTGGGAGAGACTGCAGAGGCCTCTGCCCAGCCACAAGTGCCTCTTCAGGAGCTGCAGTCACCTCCTCTCCTGGCTGCCAAGCTGCAGACAGTCTTCAATCCCAGCACACACCCGCACCTGCCCAGGGAGGACAGCAATTGTCCTCTAAAGGATCTGAAGGGTTGGTCAGCATGTGCCTGCAGGAGCCAGGAGAGCACCTCTGAGATTGCATTTTGAGGGGGCTTGATCAAGGAGGCCAGAATATAGATTGGATAAGCAAGAATCCATCAATTTGGGGGTGTATTTGGGGGACACAGGATTTAACACCCTGGCAAGGACTCCAGAGGATGGGGAAAACTCCTGCTATGTGCTGTTGGAAGCCTGGAAGTGTGACAGCCAACACAGAGCGAAGTGACAATGCCCACGTGGCTCTAACAGATGGACAGGAAGGAATAAAGAGCCTGAGGGGGCTCACACCTGTAATCCCAGCACTTAGGGAGGCTGAGGAGGGAGGATTGCTTGAGCCTGGGAATTTGAGGCTGCAGTGAGCTATGACTGCGCCACGGCACTATAGCCTGGGCGATAGAGTGAGGCAGAATTAAAAAAAAAGAGCCTTAGGGTAGTGGTCATGCTGGAAGCCATCTTACTGAGGCCAGAAGACCCTTAGTTGTGTTCCAGAGAGGGCCCTGGGGCACACGGAGGGCGTCAGGAATGCCCTGATGAGAGGGACACTGACTTCACTGGGGTGATCTGTGGTGGCTTCCTCTGCAGCCCAGGGTTGGTGGTGGAAGGGATGGTTGCAGAGCTGTGCTCATTCACGGTCCTGCCCCACCCCACGGTGTAAAGGAGCTGTGGTGACCCAACACCAGGCTGCAGTGACCCTGGCAAGCAGCAAGACGGGAGTGGTGGAGGTGGTTATCAGAGCATGGTGACCCTAGAGGCAACATGGACGGGTGGCCAGTGGGACGCTACTTAACACCTACAACCAGAAAAAGGCAAGAGTGGAAGAGCAGAAAGCTCAGGGCAGCTGCAGCTGCCCATATAAAGTCATGAGCCTTTCCTCAGTCATGGACCAGTGTCTATTTTCAGATCTGGGACCAGTTAACTGAGGAGGTGGCCACATTCCTAGGAAGGAGGATCTCATAACACTGTGTCACATGTATCCCATACTGACCCCCCCAGTCCTCCACCAAAGGGACCCCTGGCCATTGACTCAGGTGGCTGGACGCTGGGAAGGGGCAATGCCCAGACATTTTGAGGACTGGTGGACACAGGGTCTGCACTGACACTGACACGCATGGCCCCGAGTATTTCTGCGACCCTATTGTTGGAGAGATGACTTACTGGGGTTGGGATAGTAGATGGAATCCCGGCTACAGTTTGGCTCTCAGTAGTCCACTGAGTCCGCGGTCCCACCTGTGACCATTTCTGCAGGTCCTGTCCCACACTGTGCAGGGCAGTGTGGGACAGGACCTGTGACACTTCTGTGAATGTGCAATTGGAATTGATGTATTTGGCAGCTGGTGTCGCCACTACCTGGGGTCCTCGGCCTGTGGGACTCTCTATCCCCACTCTCCCCAACCCCCATCCCCTGCCAAAAACATACATCAGAAACACCATTGCACCTCAGGAGAAATGGTGGAGATTAGTAACCCCAGGAAAGACGTAAAGGGTGAAGAGGTGGTGGTCCCATCCTATCTCCCTCCATTTCACTGACCGGCCTGGCCCCTGTGGAAACTGGACAGATCCCGGAGAGACAGCATGGACTACTGCAGGCTCAACCCAATAAAAGCTCTGATGTCAACGGCAGCGTCAGGTACTGGATTGTTAAAGCAAAATAAGAAGGCCTGAGGGACATGGTATGTAGCCTTTGAGTTGGCAAATGTATCCTTTCCTATTCTAACTGGAAGAGAGGATCAGAAAGTTTGCATTCACGTGGATGGACAACAACATTCATTTACAGTTTACCTCAGGGCTATGTTAATTCTCCTGCCCTCCCTCATAATCTAAGCCAGCGCGGTCTGAACTGCCTGGCCTTCCCACAGAACAGCGTAGGGCCCAGTGCACTGATGACTTCATGCGTGCCCATCAGGTAGGAAGAGCTAAAGGTGGCAGGTGAGCAAAGCCCAGGTAAGACGCAGGCCCACAAGCAGGTGGGAGGCAAATCCCGTGGAGATTCAAGGACTTGCCACTTCAGCGAGCTGTTCGGAGGTCCAGCGGTCAGGGGCATGCCCACATATCTGCTCCCCAAATTTAAAGACAAATTGCTGTATCTTGCACCAACGATCACACAGAAGAAAACAAAGTGCCTGGTAGGCCTCTTTGGGTTCTGGAGGCAACACATTCCACACCTAGGAACACTTCTGCAGCGCACGTACCAGGTGACATGAAAAGCTGTCTGCTTCATGTGGGCTTAGGAGCAGAAGGCGGCTCCCTCGCAGGTCCAGGCTCCCACTAAGCAGCCCTGCTGCTTGGACTGTAAGGCCCAGCCAACCTCATGGTGCTGAAGGTGCAGGTGGTAGAAAGAGATGCTGGGTAGAGCTTACAGCAAGCTCAGTGGGAGAATCCCAGCACAGATCTCGGAACTTTGGAGAAGGCAGTGCTATCCACAGCCAAGAATTAGCCTGCTTTTGAAAAGTAGCTCCTGGCATGTTACGGGACGCTGATCACAGGGTACCAAGTGGCCAGGCATCCAGAAGTGTCTACTATGAGCTGGGTTCTGCCAGATTCACAAGTCGTAAAGTTGCATGGCCCCACCATCAGTCCATTTCAGGGTGGGCATGGTACAGGCAGGATCAGGCTCAGCAGAATCAGATGGCATAAGGCTGCATGAGCGGGGGCCCCGACCCCCTGTCACTCCCAGCATCCCTTCCTCAGCTCACACTTATGGCCGTCAGGAGGGTCCTATACAACCAGTTAAGGAGGGGGACAGAGCCCAAACTTGGTTTAAGGGTGGGTCAGCTCAGCATGGGGGTGCAAGCTGAAAATGCATGGTGACTACATTCCAGTGACATGGGGTGGCCGTGAGTATCAGTGGAGGGAAAACCTTCTCTCTGGGTGGATCAATGAGCAGTGTCCCTGGCCATCCACTTTGAGTGGAAAGAGAAGTGGCTCAAGGCGAGACTATATATGGATCCCTGGGCAGATGGCCTGGCTGTCTGGTCAGGGGTCGGAAATAAATGGCCTGGCAGATGGAAGACGAGGAGGTGTTGGGTAGGGGCATGTCATGGGCACATGGGAGTGGGCACGAATATGCCTATCAGAAAGCGTCCAGCATGGAAAGCACAGAACAGCCAAGCTGGCAAAATGCCTTGGCCACTTGACACTTGTCACACTATGCTACTGACCCCCTGGAACTGGCATGAAGGATGGTGTGGCCCTGGGGGCAACGATGGAGGTGACATCTATGCCCAGCATGAACCCTCACTCACCAAGGCCAACTGAGCTGCTCCTGCCTCTGACTTCCCAGCCCGCCAGCACCAATGCCAAGCCTCTTGGTGGGATGGCTCTGCGAGGACAGCCACCCACGACTCCATTCAGTCCAGTCTACTTATGCACCACCCCCTGCGACTGCTAAGCTGGGCAAACTGCGCCCATAGAAGCCCCTTCTGTACTCAATCTCTGCTGCTGGACAGTGAGGGTGTCCGTGCCTGTGGGTAGGGCACACAGCGCCATGTCTGTGCCCAGAATTCCTGCAGGCTGCTTCCAGCCACGAACCAGCACAGTGGGTGCTGATGCAGGTCACCCACGAAGATGCTGGCCTCCTCTGACAGACAGCTGTGGCTAGAGGGCTCCCACAGCCCTTTCTCAGCCTGGCACAGCAGCCCAGGGATCTGTCTGTCTGGTCTTTCCTTCTCCCACTCCCCATGTACCCGTTCTCTCTGTGCCTCTAAAAAGGCCTCGGTGGCTGCTGCAACTGAGCTGTTTTTCAGATGTAAAAGATCCATTGCCGGCCCATTTCTCAAGGGGTGTGGGTCTGTAACAAAATTTGAAAATGTTCAAATAAAAGGCAGCCTTAAAAAGCAATTTAGCTGGCCGGGCGCGGTGGCTCATGCCTGCAATCCCAGTACTTTGGGAGGCTGAGGTGGGAGGATTACCTGAGATCAGGAGTTCGAGACCAGCCTGGCCAACATGGCAAAACCCTGTCTCTACTAAAAAAAAAAAATTAGCTTGGTGTGGTGGCACATACCTGTAATCCCAGCTACTCAGGAGGCTGAGGCAGGAGAATCGCTTGAACCCGGGAGGCAGAGGTTGCAGTGAGCTGAGATTGTGCCACTGCACTCCAGCCTGGGTGACAAAAGTGAAACTCCACCTCGAAAAAGAAAAGAAAAGAAAAGAAAACCAATTTAGCTTTGTGAGAATTCAGTATATTGTTTTTTTTTGTTTTGCTACAAATCACTGAAAAAAAATCAGTTCTGGATTGGGGATGATTTGAAGTCTGGCCTCTGAGAACCGCAGGTATAAAATGCCCTGGGCACTCCTGGTTTCCCCAGCACAGGTGGAAGTTTGCACTTACATGGTGGTAGTTGATGTGTATTTTTTCCATGTCTGCTTTGTAGATGGGCACACGTAAGTGTAAATGCCCTAACGCAGCAAATGGAGGTGGTGGGGAAGTGCCTGTTGTAGGCAGAACTTCATTCTCATGCAGCAAAGGTGATGGCTTCACTCTGGTTTTCAAACAGCCTCTTCTGAGACAGAGTTGGGAGAGGACAGCAGGAGGGCTTGGACCCCGACTGCTTCCTGCAGCCCAGAAGCCCCCGCAGTGAAGCTGTTTCTTCCTCTGCTTGGCGCTCATGTCCTATGATCAATAATCAGGCGCTTTGAAGTTGGCTGGACCTCGCTTGTGCTGTCTTTTGGAATTAATTGAAACCTTAATCCTCTGCTCTAATAGTTTCTTCTGAACTATGGAAGTAGCAGCCCTGTAAGAAAATATTTCTGAAGGGAATGCTGAAAATAGCTTAAACTTTTCTCTGTAAAGTTTTTCCCGGTGAGCAATGTTTTCAACTGAAAATGTTCCCTTGTAATTATGCCTCTGTCTGTATTTGTGCTTTTCTTTTGCTTGACTTCCATTCTGTTTATTCAGCAGTTAAGGGCCATGCCACAGTGATCAGCTGACCGAAGGACAGCCTCGTGATGTGCTTAGAAAGCAAGAAAGTGGAGCCCAAATAAAGAAACCAGATGCACGGCTTCCCTCCCAACACAGCAGTTAACGTGGAGAGGAATGATCTTTTTGAGATGCCCTCCACTCTCCCTTCCCTGTTAAAGATGGGAGAGAGAGAGAGAGAGAGAGAGAGAGAGAGAGAGAGAGAGAGAGAGAGAGATCAGATGATCAGATTTAGGAATCTATCCAACCTAAAAAAAAGAAAAAAGAAATCATCAGATGCGGCTGAGGTACCAAAATTGCGAGACGCTGCTAGTGCAGTATCTGGAGCAGAAGCCACTGGCCTTCGGGGAGTCGTGGCCCAAAGCTGTTACTTCCCATTTCCCTTTCCACCCCACCTCAACAACAGCGGCAACATCACAGACAAAATCAGTACCGAGGGCCTGAAAAGCTGATTTTTTTTTTTTTAGCATTTAGCAACATCCCTTGACTAATGAGTGTCTTTATCATATCACAAAAAGCAGAAGCCAGGAAAGCATTACGGTTTTAGGTGTATAGTTTTTAAGTAACGTTCCCTTGCATTTATTTTTTGTTTGTTATTGAGACAGGGTCTCAGTCTATCACTCAGGCTGGAGTGCAGTGGCATGATCATGGCTCACTGCAGCCTCAAACTCCCAGGCTCAAGGGATCGTCCCACGTTCAGCCTCCTGAGCAGCTGGGATGACAGGTGCGTCACCACACCTGGCTGATTAAATTTTTTTTTTTTTTTGGTACAGATGGGGTGCTGCCCACGCTGGTCTCAAACTCCTGGCCTCAAGCGATCCTCCCTCCTTGGCCTCTCAGTGTTGCGGTTATAGGCATAAGCCAACACACCTGCCTCCCTCTCATTTCAGAATTTTATTTATTCTTCTGGATTTGAGCACATGCTACTAAAGAGGGAATCTACAACGAAAATAAAGCAAGACCACTCTCAAAGCACATGGTAGCACATGGAGCAGGGTCTTCAGTGCACAGAGGGCCTCACAGCTAGTCCAGGCCCAGGGGAGCCAGGACGGTAGGTGAACACAGGGGTCTTTGTGTCTTGTTCACTGCGGTATCCCCAGAACCCAGGCCATGCTTGGCACATGGGACAGCACTCTGAGTGAAGCAAATAAAAATAAGATTTCTAAATCAAGGCTTAACTGTGGAAAGCAGAGGTGTCTGATAGTTGTCTGGGATTTGTTAGGCAGCATAAGATGCTACATAGTGAATGTGACCAGAGTTAGTTTTATATAAAAGAGAATCACTGGACATACAGTCAGTCAGCCCTCTGGATCTGCGGATTCTGCATATGTGGATCAAACATATTAGGAAGACAAACATATTAGGAAAAAAATACAATAACAGAAAAAAAGCCAGGTGTGGTGACTCATGCCTGTAATTCCAGCACTTTGCGGGAGGCTGAGGTGGGAGGATTGCTTGAGGCCAGGAGTTCGAGACCAGCCAGGGCAGCACAGGGAGACTGCACCACTGCAAAAAATGAAAAAAATTAGCCGGCGTGGTAGCATGCACCTGTGGTCCCAGCTACTTGGGAGGCTGAGGTGGGAGGATCACTTGAGCTGGGGAAATCGAAGCTGCAGGGAGCCATGATCATGCTACTGCACTGCAGCCCGGGTGACAGAGCAAGACCCCATCTCACAAAACAAAACAAAACAAAACAAATAAAGGCCAATACAGCATAACAACTATTTACAGAGCATTTCCATTGTATTGGGTATTCTAGGTAGTCTAGAGCTGATTTAAAGTGCAGGGGAGGATGGGCATAGGTTATATGCAAATACACCACCATTTTATATCAGGAACTTGAGCATCCGAGGGTTTGGTATCCATGGAGGTCCTGGAATAAAACCTCTGTGGATTCCGAGGGATGAGTGAATATTTTAATGGAAAAGATACTTGAAAATAGAACTAGAGGTGGGCAGCTCCCTGGAGAACATCTCTTTAATCCAAGCTGTGAGGAGGCCAGAGGCCATGCCTGCAGGACTTCCATCCCTGACGCTGGTGTCCCTTTATCGACCATCAAATGGTGGTTGCATGGGAGTGTGGGCACCATTAGGACAAGGCAGCTCTTTCCTACCTCAAAACAGTGATCCTCAGCAAGGACCGGAAGACCAAAGTACCAGGATGGCACGGATCTTGGTGTACATACGGCAACATTCACTTGGACACTGTCAGTGGGTCACACTGAGCCCCCTGAAAGAAAATGATGACAACACAATGCTCCTAACACAGGGTGACCACAAGCAGTTATCTTTCTCAGCATTAATTCAGTAGTGTTATGGTTGGAGAAGAAAACCATGCAGCTATGTGGTGATATATTATAGAGGAATTGGCATATATATTACTAGTATAAAGTGAGTTTTAAATAAAACCGAAGTTAGCAACAGTATGGGTAATGGAAACTATCACACAGGAGGGCATCTCGTAGCTTTGGCTTTAGATATGACGAGGTTCTGTTTCACATCTGATCATTACTAAGGGAGTACCTCGTGGGTAGCTTGTTTTGTGTTCTGCTTTTCCTCTCGTTTGTCTTTCTCATGGATGTAAACACAGTAAATGTTTCTTCTCCTAAATATTTTTAAAAACATTATTTTTATTAATTTTTTTGAGACAGGGTCTCACTCTGTCACCCAGGCTGGAGTGCAAAGGTGCAATCTCAGCTCACTGCAGCCTTGACCTCCCTGTTCTTAAGCAATCCTCGTGCCTAAACCTCCTGAATAGCTGGGACTACAGGTGTACAGGTACACTATGCCTGGCTAATTTTTTTTTCTTTCTTTTTTTTTTTTTGTAGAGATGAGGTCCCACTATATGGCCCAGGCTGGTATTTGTTCCTTTTTACTGCTGAGTAGCATTCCAGTCTGTAGACACACAAGCACCTGTTTCTCCATCCACTATTGATGAACATTTGGGTGGTTTCCAGGTTTTGGCCACTATGAATAAAGCTTCTCTCAACATTTAAGTCTTTATATGGACTTATTTCTTCATTCCTCTTGGGGAGATTATCCCCAAACTTTTCATGGCTAATTTTTGCCCATTTCTTTAAGTACACTCTTACTTGTCCTCCACAGAATGTATGTTTTCCATCTTATCTTCTCCAGCTTTTAGCCAAACAAGGTTACCTGCAGATCCCTATATCACCCCTAGAGTTTCTAAACTCCACCATGGCTCACACTGTTTCCTGTGTCTGGAATGTTTCCCCCTCTGTCAGAGTCTCACCCACCATTTCAGTCTCATCTCAAAAGCCTCCTTTTCATTAATTGTCCCTGACTCAACCACAAGAAATTGTCTCTCTTCACTGAACTTTGTAGCTTTTTGTACAGCACCTGTCCACAGTTAATCTCATTATTAATAAGTGGTAGTTACGTTCTATAAAGTCTCCACAAACACTGATTTAGCAAAGAGTGAACAGCGACTTGCTCCTAGAGGAAACGCAGGGTTAGGTTCCCACGAGCTTCTGCCCACGATATTTTCACCAGCCCATCAATACATGGCCTAGTTTTACGTGTTTCTGTTTCAAGACACTTTATTCATGAACACTGAACTCATAACCAACAGGGCTACAGCTCGCGCATGAACAAAGCTCTCTGACACATGTATTTTCTCGCTAAGGCCCATCCTGGCATTCTTGGGCTTAGAACACTCGACAGCATTTCCGCACAATGTTGAGGGCATTTTAAATGGCAAAATCACCAATACAAATGCAAAAAACATATCCCTAAATAGACTGCAGAAAGGACACTTGGTTCACAGTACAGGAGCTGACACAAGAGGCAGACCATTGTGTAGCTTGACCTGAGATGGGAATATGACCATTGGGTGACTCAAGTTTGTCACTGTTCTACCCATATCTGCAAAGGACTATGAAAGTGCCATGACCATTTTTAGTGAATAGGGAAATTCACAAACGAATCCACAGATAATGATTGACTGTACTTGCATGCTTATTTCTCCTTTATAAGCTCTAAGGTGGTGACTGTCTCTCGTGTCATCAAACACACTGCCTGACCTATGGCAGGAATGTGATACTGAAAAGCATTTGGGGAAAATCATAGAAAAATTAAGCTAGACCCTGTCATCAAATTCATAACGTAACAAAATTTGTTGCCCACCTACTATGTGCCAGACCTAAGCTGGAAGCAGGGTATAAAGCAGTGAAGAAAATGAGAGAATGTGGCTAAGATTAGGAAGACTAGCAAAAGGAGGAAGTAGCAAATTCAAAATGTGAAATTTTTGAAATATAAAGATGATTGTGCAGATTGAGAACTGAGAAATTACTATTGCTACCTTAGCACAAACTGGAATCAAAAGGACAAAATGACAGTTGGCCTAAGGTTTTCAGTGAGTACTACTTATTCTTTACTCGTTTCCAAATTTGGGAGCCCCTTGTTTCTTGTAATGTGAAGCCAGTAGTTACCTGTTAACTGTTAGCATATTAATAATAAACAGAGGCCAGGCGCAGTGGCTCATGCCTGTAATCCCAGCACTTTGGGAGGCCGAGGTGGGCGGATCACTTAAGGTCACGTGTTCAAGATCAGTCTGGCCAACATGGTGAAACCCCGTCTCTACTAAAATACAAAAATTAGCTGGGCATGATGGCAGGTGCCTGTAATCCTAGCTACTCAAGAGGCTGAGACAGGAGAATCGCTTGAACCCAGAAGACAGTGGTTGCAGTGGGCCGAGATCGCGCCACTGCACTCCAGTCTGGGTGGCTGAGCTAGACTCTGTCTCAAAACAAAAACAAAACAAAACATAATAAACAGTAGAAAAGAAAGAGATTATGGTTAATAAAGAGAGCAATACAGGTGGAAGTTTAAAAATCTTTGCTGTGTGTTTTTGTCATTCGATATTGAATATAATCATGCTTTGAGATACTTCATAACAAAAATCACCTATTATCATTCACTGGAATGGAAACTGCATATATTGCTTCTCATTCATTACCTTAGCAGAGCTTGGTTGTCTGGGTTAGCAAATTGGTGTTCTAAGATGTGTATGCTGTTTTATTACAAAAAGAATTTGGCAGTTCAGCAAAAGGGCACGTGAAAGACTTGTGTTAAAAACCAAAAGGTAGTAGTTAAGACTTCAATTCAGATTAATAAAATGTGGGCTTGTTTCATGTCACTCACTCTCAGGCAATGTGTTGGCTATCAGACCCAGTGGAGTTTAACCAGTGAGAGTCCCTGCTCTCTGCTGCTCATCGTTTAGTCAGAAGCCTGTCTCTTCACCTTTCTTGGGAAAGAATAAGACAGGATTTTTACATACTTTGCATTTAATTTTCTTCTTTCTTTCCTCTTCTCTTGACCAGTGTTCTCCAGAAAAATATTCTCCCATGTCCCTCTGCTTCAATTTTGAAGAAAAACAAAAAAGGACATTCATTATGTCTAAGAAGAAGCCACTCAAACACTTTGGTCCATGAAAAAGCAAACTTTAAAATTTGAAGTAAAGTTAGATGTAACAGAGGCCTCAGGTTGAAATGCCAATTTCTGAATTTTCCAGAATATCCACAAAGATCTCTACTTCTTCATCCCCCTCTGGCACCACACAGAAGATACCAGAAACATTATTTTTGGGTTTCATTGTTACATTTATCTATCCCAATAGTATGATTGTGCCTTATTTCAGTTTTCCAAATGCAAAGCGTTCCAGCTAATTAGTGGGCTGGCCTGGGAACCTACTGCTTCTAATACTAGTTCTAGGGGAAAATACATACTACATTCAAAATGGCTGTACCCACTGGTTAACTTGAATAAATGTTAGAAATTAACTTGGCCTTCATGTTAAGAGTCGTTATCATCAAGTCTGGGTGCGGTGGGGCACGTTTGTAGTCCCAGCTACTTGGGAGGCTGAGGTGGGAGAATAGCTTGAGCCTAGAAGTCCAGGATGGGCAAAACAGTGATACCCTATCTTAAATAAAAAAAGAATCATCATCAACTACTGACCTTTTGCCATGTATGAAGTTATTTGCTATGGGGACACAAAGACACACCTGTCCTGACAGTCATACCTTGGAGATATTGCAGGTTTGGTTCCAGACCACCATAATAAGGTGGGTATCACAATACAGTCAGTCACATGAATTTTTTGGTTTCCCAGTGCACATAAAATTGTTTACACTATTCTGCAGCCTATTAAGTGTGCAATAGCATTATGTCTAAAAACAAAATGTACATTCCTTAATTAAAAATACTTTATTGCTAAGAAATGTTAACAATCATCTGAGCCTTCAGCAAGTCATAATCTTCTTGCTGGTGGAGGGTCTTGATGGCCGCTGATTGATCAGGGTGATGGCTGCTGACCGATCAGGGTGGTGGCTGCTGAAGGATGGGGTGACTGGGGCAATTTCTTAAAATAAGACAACAATGAAGCTGGCTGCATCGACTGACTCTTTCTTTCATGAAAGATTTCTCTGTAGAATGTGATGCTGTTTGGTAGCATTTTACCCACAGTAACGTGGAGTCAATCCTCTCAAACCCTGTGGCTGCTTATCAACTAAGTTTATGTAATATCCTAAATCCTTTGTTGTCATTTCAATAGCGTTCACAGCATCTTCGTCAGGAGGAGATTCCATCTCAAGATACCACTTTTTCTCGTCCATAAACAGCAACTCTTTATTTGTTCAACTTTGATCATGAGAGTGCAATTCAGTCCCATCTTCATGCTCCACTGTTAATTCTAGTTCTCTTGCTATTTCCACACCTGCGGTGACTTCCTCCACTGAAGTCTTGAACCCCTCAAAGTCATCCACGAGGGTTGAAATCAACTGCTTTCAAACTCCTATTAGTGTTGATATTTTGACCTCCTCCCATGAATCATGAATGTTCTTAATGTCATCTAAAATGGTGAATTCTTCCCAGGTTTTCAGTTTACTCTACCCAGATCCATTAGAGGAATCACTATCAATGGCAGCTATAGCCTTATGAAATGTATTTCTTAAGTGATAAAGACTTCAAAGTCTAAATTATTCCTTCATCCACAGGCTGCAAAATGGATATATTAGCAGGCATGAAAACAGAAATCTCCTTATACAACTCCCTCAGAGCTCTTGGGTGACCAAGTGCATTGTCAATGAACAGTAATATTTTGAAAGAAATCTTTTTTTTTTTTTTTTTTTTTTCTGAGCAGTAAGTCTCAACAGTCAGCTTAAAATATTCAGTAAACCAAGCTATAAACAGATGTGCTGCCATCCAGGCTCTGTTGTTCCATTTCTAGAGCACAGACAGCGTATATTTAGCATAACTCTTAAGAGCCCTAGGATTTTTGGAATGGTCAATGTGCATTGGCTTCAACTTCAAGTCACCAGCTGCATTAGCCCCTAACAAGAGTCAGCCTGTCCTTTGAAGCCAGGCACTGATCTCTCTTCTCTATCTATGAAAGTCCTGGAGGGCATCTCGACACCTTCTTCCACTCGAAGGCTGTTTCATCTACATGGAAAATCTGTTTCATGTAGCCACATTATCTTAGTTTGATCTTCTGGATAACTTGATGCAGCTTCTATATTGGCACTTACTGCTTCACCTGCCACTTTTATGTTATGAAGATGGCTTCTTTCTGTAAATCTCATGAACCAACTTCTGTTATTGTCAAACTTTTCTTCTGCAGCTTCCTCACTTGTCTCATAGAATTGAAGAGTGTTAGAGCCTTCCTCTGGATTAAGCCTTGGCCTACGGGAATGTTGTGGCTGGTTTGACTTTCTATCCAGGTGATTAAAACTCTTCATATCAGCAATAGGCTGCTTCACTTTCTTATCACTTGTGTTCACTGAAGTAGCACTATTAATTTCCTTTGAGAACTTTTCCTTTGTATTCACAACATGGCTGTTCGGTGTAAGAGGCCTAGTTGTCAGGCTATCTTGGCTTTCAACATGCCTTCCTCACTAAGCTTAACCATTTCTGGTTTTTGATTTAATATGAGCGATGTGTGACTTTTTCTTTCACTTAAGGTTAGAAGCCACTGTAGGGTTATCAATTGGCCTAATTTCAATATTGTTGTGTCTCAGGGAATAGGAGGCCCAAGAAAAGGGAGAAAGACAGGGGAATGACTGGTTGGTGAACAGTCAGAACACACACACTGGCCGGGCGTGGTGGCTCGCACCTGTAATCCCAGCACTTTGGGAGGCCGAGGCGGGCGGATCACGAGGTCAGGAGATGGAGACCATCCTGGCTAACACGGTGAAACCCTGTCTCTACTAAAAATCCAAAAACTTAGCCGGGCGTGGTGGTGCACGCTTGTAATCCCAGCTACTTGGGAGGCCAAGGCAGGAGAGTCACTTGAACCCAGGAGGTGGAGGCTGCAGTGCTCCGAGATTGCACCACTGCACTCCAGCCTGGCAACAGAGTGAGACTCCATCTCAAAAACAAACAAAATCTCACACACACACACCAAAAAAACCACATATTATCAAGTATCGGTTAAGTCTCACACAGACATGGTTCAAACGTCACTTAAGCCTTAGATGGATATGCTTCATGGTGCCCCAAAACAATTACAACATCAAAGATCACAGATCACAAATCATAATGAATGTAACAGTAATGAGAGTTTGAAATATTGTGAGACTCATCAAAACGTAATACAAAAGACACAGAGGTACATGCTGTTGAAAAAAATGGTACCAATACATTTGCTCAATGCAGGGTTACCACAAACCTTTAATCTGTAAAAAACACATCTGTGAGGTGCAATAAAGTGACACACAATAAAACAATATATGTCTGTATCTAAGTGGAGAGGTCAAAGTAGCAATGAATGCCAAGTAGGCAGAAAATATAGCAAGTGCTATGAGAAAAGGTGCGGTTTGGAAAGGTCTCATGATGGTGACCCTTGATCGGATCACTGGAAAGTTAAATTTAAGTACAGAGACAAAGCAAATGGCATGGACGAAAGTACACTGGTGGGGATGTGCAAAGCCTATTAAGGGAAGTGATTAGACCAATTTAGTTGTAAGAGGACTCTGTTGGAAAGTAATGATCCTGAAGAGACAGGTAAGGAACAAACAAGTCTTACAAGTAAGCTCAATGAACAATGGGGAAATAATAAAGATTTCTGAACAGGATTGTGTGGGCATAGTGTTATTTCTGTAATATACTGTAATCTAGCTGCAGTGTGCAAGGAAAGAGTAAGAACTTGGAATCAATTAGGTCACAGTGTGAAAGGGACGAAACCTATCAACAATCCATGGATGAGTTCAAAGGTGAAAATTAAAAAAAAAATATATATATATACATATATATATCTGGAGCCAGGTGCAGTGGCATGCATCTGTAGTCCCAGCTACTTGGAAGGCCAAGGTGGGAGGATAACTTGAACTCAGGAAGAGGCCAGCCCAGGTAACACAGCAAGACCTTGTCTCTAAAGAACAAAACCAAAAACCACTGGAAAGGATTTCCATGGTGAAGATACCGCAGTCTTTGTTCACGGCTATGAGGATCAATAAACACTTCTAGAATAAGATCAGTAAGCTGTATTGGTTCTACATCACGTCAGGGGAAGGCTGCCCTCAGAAGAGGAAGAACGGAGTAAAGAAGGGAATCTGTAAAGAGGGAGGCACTAGAGAGAAGTGTGCTTTGGGTCCATTTTAGGCTTAAAACAAATATGCAGACATGCAAACACTAGAGTAAGTTCTTCAAGTGTTTTTCCTGGAGAAATAATTTGTTATACTCCATCATAAAATGTACACTCTTTAGACAGCTGAACATATAATACAAATATAAACATACCTGATCTTCAGGTCAGCCTTCCAAAGTTTTATAATCTTTGCAAAGCTACCAACCTTTGACATTAAGAGGAAAAATTCAATCTCAGTGAATGAAACATCAAATTCTGATCCATTGAGATGTCCCTAGACCAATTCAGATAAATAGCTAACTTACCTGTTAATACTGTTGAGAGAACAATACTTCACAACCCATTTATGTAAAAACAAGGCCCACTTTTAGGACAATGCAGTTCCTAGTCAGAGAGAAGGGGTTGGCTCAGATAATAGTTTCACATTAATCCTTACAACACCCCTGTGAGGTGAGTTTAGCATTAATCTAATCACCTTCGTTCGACAAGGAGAGGCAATATAAACAAGGAACTGTCCCAGGATTACAGAGTAAATCTAATGAAGACATCTGAAATCACAGCATTTTGGGAGGCTGTGAGCCGATCACTTGAGGTTGGGAGTTCAATGCCAGCCTGGCCAACGTGGCGAAACCGTCTCTACTAAAAATACAAAAAAAATTAGCCAGGCGTGATGGCGTGTGCCTGTAAACTCAGCTACTGGGGAGGCTGAGGCAGGAGAATCACTTGAACCTGGGAGGCGGAGGTTGCAGTGAGCCGAGATTGCTCCACTGGACTACAGCCTGGGTGATAGAGTGAGACTCTGTGTCACACACACACACACCACAAAAAATAAATAAATAAATAAATAAATAATAAAGTTGAGAGGTCATAACAAATACAAAAACTCACTACAAAATTGTTTTCTTAGGCCTTTTCTCTCAGTTGTCTAATTGTATTTTCAGATGGAAGCAATACAAATTAAAATGCAGCTGAGCCATTTCAAGTAAAATGGATATAAAATTGTAGCACCAAAAAAGCTGAAGCCAAAAATATATTCATTTGCCATACAGGAATAGAAGTACTTTGTGATGTTATATGGGAAGCTATGCCGATATCCAGCATATAGATATTAAATCTGGAGTAGTCTCTAGTGTCACTACATTATTTTCTACGGCAATATGGCCTACTTCCATTACTCATGGGCTGAATATTTTATTTTATTTTATTTTATTTTTTTGAGACAGAGTCGTGCTCTGTTGCCCAGGCTGGAGTGCAGTGGTGCGATCTTGGCTCACTGCAACCTATACCTCCTGAATTCAAGTGATTCTCATGGCTCAGCCTCCAGAGGATCTGGGACTACAGGCATGTGCTGCCACGCCCGGCTAATTTTTGTATTTTTAGTAGATGGGGTTTCCCCATGTTGGCCAGGCTGGTCTCAAACTCCTGGCCTCAAGTGATCCACCCACCTTGGCCTCCCAAAGTGCTGGGATTACAGGTGTGAGCCACTGTGCCCAGTCTGAATATTTTATCTTATACTGTTTACCTCTTAAATCTATCCCTGCTCACTAGAATTGCCTGTCAACATTACATTGGGATAGAGAAAACTGGTGACACGTCAGCTAGTTTTGCTATTTATAGCTGCTTTGATTAAGTAGGTTTAAAGCTAACAATTAGTTTTGGACTACCCATGGAGCTGATTTTCTGCATAATTTCCCCAATATAAAGTTAATTAATATTAGATCAAAGATGACACAGGTTAAACAAGATTTTAAAAGAAAAATAAAATTTCAACTTTTTTCCCTCAAACGCCTGCAATATAACACACATCTTTGTCTAACGTATTAGTTGTCACAGGAGACATTTGGCTGACAATTTGTTAATATAAAAATTTTCCTGAGAAGTCTAGTTTACATGAACTGCCAATTCCTCTACCCCCAAACCCCTTTAAACATACAGATGAAGGATAATTTGTGTCAAAAAAATACTTCGAAGTCCATCTTTCGATTGGAGGTTCTTACACTTGTAATTCTGTTTTAGGGCAATGAAGTTCCCAAAAGTGGTCTCCAGATGCCCAACATGTCCAGTCCTCATATTCACTGGCATTGAGTATTTCCTTTCTACTAAGTTTAAAAGACCACTCAAGGCAGACCTTTCTACAACTGCATCATGGGGAGATCAGCAAATACTACTTTGTTCTTTTCAGGCTGAGAAAAACACCTGAGTTTTTGTAATTTTTTGAAAACTGTAAATATAAAAGTTCTCTTCAAGAGAAGCACCACCATCCTCATGACCTGCATTACACATCAAGGGACAGAACAAATATTAACTAAATGTTTACTTCAGGTTAAATGGTCCAATAAATCACATTTGTCTTTAACAATGCGGTAAATTTTGAAAAATCCAAAGGAAATAAAAGGGAAAACTATCATAAACTATGAAAAAAGAAGTCTAGGGAAATTGATAAAAACAGTCCAAGAAATGCAGCTGAGTATCACAATGTCACAAGGAGACTCTAGAGAAGAAGTTTTCCCTGATTTCCATTAATGCTTAAATGATCTGCTGATGTATAAATTATCTCCTGTCCCACAAACTGAAAACAAGTCACAAAATCCACATTAGAATATAAGTTTTTTAATTTTTATAAATAACTTATCTGTTACAAAGATAGTTTACCCAGCTAAATCACAAAACCATCAACTCAAGATATCCAAATTACGTTTTATTAATAAAACAAGTAAAAACTGATTTATCAATCTTCACATAGAACTGCAGATGAAGCTGAAAAACAAGGCCTATTTTAAAAATAAATTGCATCAAACGTAAGGGCTTTGGGTCTATGGTTTAATTACCTAGGATTGTCATATTTCTTCCCATATACAAAATGCAAAGCCTGAAAGTTAGGGCTCTGACATTCATAGAGATCAACTGTAATAATCCCATTTAAAACACAGCCACTTGCAAACATTTACAGTGGGTGGTAGTCTATATTATCTTCCATCCTTTGCTCTATTTCAGCACTTCCCTTAGCCCCATTCTAAGCACTCATATAATTTCATAATTCTGTCTTTTTAAATGCATACTGTTCTTTTTCTTGATTTCAGTTATATACATTCCTGATCATCTGAATATTTTCCTTACAAAAATATATCATCAAAATAAAGAGATGCTTGAGGTTGCTTCAGTGTTCAAGTTTGCTTGTTTTTTTTTCCAGCTTTTCTTCAGTTGTCCTAAATATGGCTAGCCTTGTTTTATAAATACACATGATACTGTCACCAAGTCAGGATTAGAAATGGACTGCCCCAACAGTAAAGCATTTAAACTTCTCTCCAAAAAAAGGGCTGTAGGTACTGCTGCTGTTGCTGGTTTTGAGACTGTACTTTCCCAATAACAACTGCTTGTGCAAGTTCTGTGGGACACCAAGCAGATGAAGCTTAACCTTGTTGTTCTGTCAGTGGGTTAAAAATATCTTTTGTTTTAAGCTTCCCTGTGGAAGACAAACACTGTGTTGTGTCACCCACTGCTCAAGTCAGTATTTAATGTGACCTACAGACATCACTTCTGTAATATCATCTGCAATTCACTGTGCAGCATCTGCCTGTCTTCACACAACATTGGAACTCATGAGGGCAAAGTACAGAATAAGTAGAGGAAAGTTATTCTGTGCATACTTTCATCTCATTAATGCTTTTTTATTTTAAGGCATTGTTCCTCTCAGGTAAGGCTTAAAAAGGGACATGATCGTGCTTAATTACTAAAAGGAAAAAAGAAAATTAGTTAACAAAAGGCTATTACACTATACATATAGAAATATAAGAAAATAATCAAGAAGAAAAGAAATCACTTAAAGCAGACTCGAGAGATCTGTACAGTAGGAAAAGCTTTGGGGTATTTCGCTGCACATTTGTACAGACAATGCATGCTGCTTTCCTTTGCATCTTTAGCCCCTAGATGCTGGCTTCACAGAGTGGAGACACGTTCAGGGAAGACAAAGACAAGGCCAAGAGTACCACAGATTTCTGAAGTTCTTCCCTATCCAATGGCACTATGCGGCAGCAAATGGTTCTTAAATAGTTAAACCTTGTTCCTTTTCTTCGTGTATGTAGTGTTTCACTGAAAGCTTTACAAATAAAACAAGCTATCATTCTATTCCTTCCTCCTGTCAAAATTCAGTAGTGACATGAGGGGAAAAAGGTATTGGGAACACCTAGGTGTTAACATATTGAGAATTATCCATAATGGGACACTGGTAACACTGTACACAGTTAGGCAGTGGGCAACCAAGTCTTTCAGCAGATTACTTTTCATGTGATGAATTTCAACTGCTCATGACATTATACTGAGGTATTATTAGCTCTGTGGGCTGACATTTAACATTAGCAGAACACCATCTTGTCACACCTTCAATTTGACAAAATCCTATGTAGCAGTGAAACTTTTTCCCGATGACAGACTAGTTTCTTGAACTTTAGATGTGGTTTTAGAGAAGATACAGGGCCATTTGGCTCAGAAATGCCTTGGCATCTCACACTGTTCACAGCGAATTAAGGCTGGATGGTTCAAAAAAGTACAGGCGGTACAATTCCACTGAGCTCCCTCATCATCTTCTGTGTCTTGAGTCTTTGGTGTTTTGATGATGGACCTTTGATCTGTAAGAAAGAAAAAAATTATTTTATAAGTAAAAAATCACAAAGTCTAAAAAATTACAGGCAACTTTAAACACCATTTGTAGTGCACAGCCTGATGCAGCTTGCTCCCCAAATGGGGCATCTAGCTGACACTGACACACATGCTCGATCACTACCAACCTCTATCTAGTTGGCACTTCTCCCTCTGGGAAATACAACATGAACATGATGTAATCACCTCCAATCTCCTTAAAGGAGAAAACAGCATCATTACCTACAATTTATAGTAGAATAAAGGGTATCTAATAGCAAAGATTCCCATAATACCACTCAAGATTGTAAAAAGCTGTCCTACTGCAAAACAATACTGTCAGTGTACATAAGTCTCATTAGAGTTTCGTTTCCCACTGCAGTAGTATTTATATTCGTTTTCTACCAGAAAGGGCAGTTTTTTTTGTCAATTCATGTTCTCCATCTGCCAAAAATGTAAGCCTTGGATGACACAAATAAAATATAAACTAGTATCTAACGTCTTATCCACAGACTCTGGAGAAGTAAATCTATGTAAAAATTTTACCATACTTTATTTTTAAAAACCACATTTGGTATGGTAAAGTAGAAAGAACACTAGAATTGAGAGTTGTGAGAATGGAGTTCTGTTCCAGGCTCTGCTACTAATTCCTGAATACTTTGCTCTGTGATCTCAGATAAATCATATACATTCTAGGTCTCTTTGTTTCTTACTTATAAAATAAAGGTCACTGGAACTCTAAGAGACCAATGTTCTAGAATGTTTATATGGATAGTGGTATCTTAAATACAGAGAATAATTATATTCCTCAAAGGTTATCTCTAACAAGCGATTACATTTATAAAACTACTTAAAAAAATTTGGGTCCCATAATGAAATTAGAACAGTATTCCTACAAATTAATTTTGGGAGGTTTAAAGTAAAAGGAGCATGCATTGTTGAATTTTTCCTGTCAAGGTTATTAATTTGAAGAATCAAACCTATGTTAAAACAATGTATATTAATATGCAAATTCCACCTACCCTACTGATAACTTTTCTATTTTAAAAGAGAGACTATTGTAACAAGTAAATAAAAATACAGAAGTCAAATTTTATGACAAATTTTAAATAATTAAGTGATATTTGGTACTTTGTACCCCTTTAGCAGCACCTTTCTTACTCATTGTACAGAAATTTTCTTGCTAAGTCCTCAACTTTAGGTGTTGGCTTTCCATTGTCACAATTTTTGCCACATGCACAACCAACTTGAATGGTGTTTATACAGTATTTTCCCCAAACTGAATAATTTTAAAACAAACATCGAATTAAGTCTTATCCTAAGTAAAAATATCTAAAAAAATCAAGGGTCTGACAATACCAGTTACTATGCCCTGAAACAACTGAAAAGAAATACAGTTTAAAAAACTTTTGACTTTTTACCACGTAAAATCATCTCACATTCCACATCTGGGAAACATTTTATAGAATAATTGTTTTAATCTGGGGATCCATCCTACTTACTAAAATTTTGGTCTCAGGCATTAGAAAACATTTTCACCTGACACGTTTTTAGTAAAACCTTGTTGATTCTGTTTAACTGCAAAGGTTAAAATTTTAGGAAGAGTGACCATAAGGAAGTCCCTTTTTACACTTCAATGTATTATTAAATGCCAGCAAATTTTTGATTATTTAAGTAATATCTAAGGCAATCAATAAGGGATCTATAAAATTTTTCTTAAATGAAAAATCTCCAGTGGTTTTCTTATAATCTCACTTGGTAAACTTAGAATTATGATTTTTTTTTTTTTTAATTAGAGGTGTTCGGAAACTAAATAACCAAAATTGGAAAAAAGAGGAAATTAGATCACAAACAATGGTCTAAACACATTTAATTTTAGCTGTTAAAAAAATCTCTACATTATGAAGCAGAACTGACTTCAAGGACTAAATTTCTATTCATGAAGTTAATGTGTATTTTAGCTTTATTGCAAAAAATTATTGATTCCTTATTTCTCCCAAAACAGCCAGCATACAAACTTCTATCTTTCATGTAAAAACTTTTAAGTAATGGATGTTTTTATTGGACCTTTCTTATTACAGAAAATTTCAAACATATATAAAAGTAGAGAGGACAGCAAAATGAACCTTCATATACTCATCCCACTTCAACAACTGTCAAGACCAATTTTATTTCACTTATGTGAAATAACAGATTATTATTATTCTGAAGTAACAGATTATGTTGAAGCAAAAGAGGAAACTTTTCATAAGAAAAAATTCTTATTTTTCAAAAAGGGTAGGAAGATTATACTAAGGAAAATCATTCAGTGTCTGAAAAACACATCTTGCATATTTTAGAGTTAGTGCTTATACCGCTGTCATCTCTACTGCTTTATTCAATTAACATCCAAATAGCATCTAGTCTCTGAACATTTGCTTACTGTGTCAAATGCCCTAATCTCACTCTCATCCTCTGTAATAACTTTTCATTGTATTCCAGCTATATTTAAAAACATTTAAATAAAATATGAGGACAGAGCTACACCTAATTATACATAAAAATGAAGGAGGCTGGGCGCTGTGGCTCACGCCTGTAATCCCAGCACTTTGGGAGGCCGAGACGGGTGGATCACTTTAGGTCAGGAGTTCAAGACCAGCTTGACCAACGTGGAGAAACCCCGTCTGTACTAAAAATACAAAATTAGCTGGGCGTGGTGGCGCATGCCTGTAATCCATCTACTTGGGAAGCTGAGGCAGGAGAATGGCTTGAACCTGGGAGGCAGAGGTTGTGGTGAGCCGAGATTGCGCCATTGCACTCCAGCCTGGGCAACAACAGCGAAACTCTGTCTCAAAAAAATAAAAAATAAACAAACAAACAAACAAACAAAAATGAAGTAGAGTACAAAAATTAGAATGTGAAAGGAGAATGTGAAAATTCTTGTAACAAACTAAAGACCAGTAATATACTAGTTCTTCCTTGTTCCCATTTCTTTTTCTTTTCCTGCAATAAAACTTTATTGACAAAAACAGACGGCAGGCTGGATTTGGTCCATGGGTCACTGTTTGCCAGCCACTTGTCTAAAACCCAGTTTAACATGGTATTCCTACCAGTATGTAGACATGTGAACAACTGCCTGATTCATAAAATGTCCTAATTTTGTTTTTCTCAACCTCTCCTTTTCCTCCCCTACGTAAGGCACTGAATTTCTCAATGACAGTAACCATACATTTTTTTAGGGTGTCCTGTTCAGCTTCACAGGAAAAATGTACATTTTCCTATCCATAATTCATACTTTCCTAGTCCTACAAACCTTAATGTTTCTTATGAAGGAAGAAGTAACACAAATAATTTTTATCTCTGAAGACATTTGAAAATACAAACATATGGGGAACAAATTGTAAGTCTGGAGTATTTATTGCAGCATACTAGTGAGGATGATGTAACACTATGAGTGCTGACCTGATTCACCACGTGTTTGCTGACTTCCAGAATTTGTGTGAATGAAAACTTGTTTTGCTGTCTTTGTTTTGTTTCCCCCACAACTTTATGGATGTATAGCTGACAGTTAAAAATTATAAGCTGTACAACTTGATGATTTATGTATATACTGTGAAAAACTTATTACAATCAAGTTAATTAACATATTCAACACCTCACATAGCTTATCTCCCCACCCCCCACCGTGGTGAGAACACTTAAGATCTCCTTTAGCAAATTTCAGTTATATAATAAACTACTGTTAACTACAGTCACACTGTTGTACACTAGATCTCCAGAGTTTATTTATCTTATATAGTTGAAACTCTGTACCCCTTCGACCACAATCTTCCCATACCCTCTTCTCCCAGCCCCTGGTAACCACCGTTCTGCTCTCTGTTTCCAGGAGTTTGATATTTTTGAATTCTACATATAGGTGAGATAATGCAGTATTTGTCTTTCTCCGGCTTATGTCACTTAGCAAGACATCCTCCAGGTTCACCCATGTTATCACAAATGACAGGATTTCCTTCTTTCTTAAGGCTGAGTAATATTCCACTGTGTGTGTGTATCTCTCACGTTTTCTTTATCCATATACAGAAATTTATGTTGTTTTCATATTTTGGCTATTGTGAATAATACTGAAAGGAAAATGAGTGCAGATATCTCTTTGAGATACTTACTGCATTTCCTTTGGATATATGCTCAGTAGTGCGATTGCGAGATCATACAATTTTAAAGTTTTTGAACCTGCATGCTGTTTTTCATAATAGCTGCACCAGCTTACATTCCCATGAAAGTGTACAAGCGTTCTCTTTTCTCTTTGTCCTCATCAATGCATATAATCTTTCACCTTTCTCACAGTAACCATTCCAATAAGTTTGTAAGGTGGTATCTCACTGGGTTTTAATTTGCATTTTCCTGATGATTAGTGAGGGTGAGTACCTTTCAATATACCTGTTGGCTATCTGTATACTTTCTTTTGAGAAATGTCTATTCTGGTTCTTTGCCCATTTTAAAATCTGGTTATTGGTTTCTATTACTATTGATTTGCATGAGTTCCTTATACATTTTGAATATAAACCCTTTAGGAGTTAAATAGTTTGTGAATATTTTCTCCCTTTCTGAAGGATGCCTTTTCACTGCTGATGATTTCCTTTGCCGTGTAGATGCATTTTAGTTTAATGTAATCCCACTTGCCCATTTTTGCTTTTGTTACCTGTGCTTTTGGTGTCATATCCAAACTATCATTGCCCAGACCAGGTCAAGAAGCTTTTCACCTATGTTTTCTTCTAGGAGTTTTATGGTTTCAGGTCTTATGTTTACATTTTTAATCCATTTTGAGTTTATTTTTGTATACAGTGTGAAGTAATGGTTCAATTTCATTCATCTGCATGTGAATATCCATTTACTGAAGAGACTACCCTTTCCCCATTGTGTTCTTGGCACGCTTGTCAAAGATAAGTTGACCACAGACACATGGATTTATTTCTGGGCTCTCTATTCTGTTCCATTGGTCAATATGTCTGTTTTTATGTCAGTACCATACTGTTTTACTATAACTTTGTAATATTTTTAAAAATCAGGGAATGTGATGTCTCCAGCTCTGTTTTGCTTACTCAAGATTGCTTTGGCTATTCAGGGTCTTTTCTGGTTCCATATAATTTTAGATTTTTTTCTGTTTCTGTAAAGGATGTCACTGGTATTTTGACAGGGATTACATTGAATCTGTAGACTAATTTGGGTAGTAAGGATGTTTTAATAATATTAATTCTTCCAATCCATAAACACAGGCTACGTTTCTATTTATCTGTGTCTTCTTTAATTTCCTTCATCAATGTTTTATAATTTTCAGCGTATTCCTAAGCACTCTTCTTCTTGCTATTGTGAATGGGATTGTTTTCTTGATCTCCTTTTTTGATAGTTCCTTGTGTACAGAAACACAATTGACTTCTGTACATTGTTTTTGTGTCTTGCAATTTTACTAAATTCATTTATTACTTTTAACAGTTTTTGGTGGAGTCTTCAGGGTTTTCAACATATATGATCATGTCGCCTGCAAACAGATAATTTTACTTCCTCCTTTCTGATTTGGATACCTTTATTTTTCTTGTCTAATTGCTCTGGCTAGGTGATATAGTTTGGATGTTTGTCCTCCCCAAACCTTATATTGAAATGTAATCCCCAGTGTTAGAAGTGGGGCTTGGTGGGAGGTGTCTGGGTCCTGGGGATGGATCCTTCATGAATACCTTGGTGCAGGTTTCTCAATAATGAGTGAGATATTGCTCTGAGTTCATGAAAGATCTGGCTGTTTAAAAGGTGTGGCACCTCCCACTGTCTCGCTCACCATATGACATGCCTCTGCTTGCTTCCTTCACTTTCTGCCATGAATAAAAGTTCCCTGAAGCCTCTCCAGAAACTAAGCAGATGTCAGTGACACGCTTCCTATACAGAAAGCATGTGGGTATCGGTGACATGCTTTCTGCAGAACTGTGAGCCAATTAAACCTTTTTTCTTTATAAATTACCAAGCCTCAGGTATTCCTTTACAGCAACACAAAAATGGATACTACATTAGAACTTCCTGTACTACGTTGAAAATAAGTGGCAAGAATGGCACCCTTGCTTGTGCCAGATCTTAGTGGGAAAGCTTTCGGTTTTCTCCATTGATTATATTACCTATGGGGTTTTTATATATGGCCTTTATTAAGTTCCTTCTATATGTGTATGTGTATGTGTGTGTGTGTGTGTGTGTGTGTGTGTGTGTGTATATATATGTATATATATGTGTGTGTATATATATATATATATATGTGTGTGTGTGTATATATATATATATATATATATATATATATATATATTTTTTTTTTTTTTAGACAAGAGTTTCGCTCCCGTTGCCCAGGCTGGAGTGCAATGGCGTGATCTTGGCTTACCGCAACCTCTGCCTCCCAGATTCAAGCGATTCTCCTGCCTCAGCCTCCTGAGTACCTGGGATTACAGGCATGGGCCGCCAAGCCAGGCTAATTTTGTATTTTTAGTACAGACAGGGTTTCTCCATGTTGGTCAGGCTGGTCTCAAACTCCCGACCTTAGGTGACCCACCCGCCTCGGTCTCCCAAAGTGCTAGGATTACAGGTGTGAGCCAGTGTGCCCGGCCTGAGAGTTTTAATTATGAATAAATGCTGAACTTTTTCAAATGCTTTTTAGCATCTATTAAGATGACTACATGGTTATTCCTTTCATTTTACTTCAATGTGTGTGCTGTATCACATTAACTGATTTGTGTATGTTGAACCATCCTTAAGTCCCAGAGATAAACCCCACTTGGTCATGGCGTATGGTCCTTTTAATGTGCTCAGTTTGGTTTGCCAGTATTTTACTGAGGACTTTTTGCGTCTATGTTCATCAGTAATATTGGTCTGTAGTTTTCTTTAGTTGTAGTGTCTTTGTCTGGTTTTGGTACCAGGGTGAGGCTGGCCTCAGAATGAGTTTGGAAGTGTTCCCCCTTCTCATTTTTGGAAGAGCTTAAGATGGGTTGGTATTAATTCTTGTTTGAGTGTTTGACAGAATTCACTCATGAAGCCATCCAGTTCTGGACTTTTCTTTGTTGGGAATTTTTTTTTAAATTTCTAAATCCATGCTGGATATTTGTTGGGAGATTTTTGATTACTGATTCAATCTCCTTATTTGTTATTGGTCTACTCAGTCTTTCTAATTCTTCTTGATTCAGCTTTAATAGGTGATATCAATTTTTTTTGGATATTTTTTGGATAGGAATGTATCAATTTTTTTCTAGGTTATCTAGTCTGTTGGCATAAAATTGTTCCTAATATTCCCTTATGATCCTTTTATTTCTGAGGCATCTGTTGTCTTCATTTTCATTTCTGATTTTGTCTCCTTTTTTTCTCAATTTATCTAGCTAAGGGTTTGTCAATCTTGTTGATTTTTTAAAAAACCTCTTAGTTTTACTATTTCTTTTTCTGTTGTTTCTAAATTCTCTATTTTTGCTCTAATTCTTATTATTTTCTTCATTATGCTAACATTAGGCTTAGCTTGTTGTTCTTCTACTGGTTCCCTGAGGTATAATTGAGATCTTTCTTTTTTTTTTTTTAATGTAGTATTGTTTATCTCTAGAAACTTCTCTCTTAGTACTGCCTTTGCTTCATCCCATAGGTTCTAGTATGCTATGTTTTCCTTTTTGTCTGAAGATACTGTTAAGATTCCCTTTTGATTTCCTTCTTGACTCAATGATTATTCAAGACTGTGTTTAAATTTCCACAAATTTTATGGTTTTCTTGCTGTTACTGATTTCTAGTTTTATTCCACTGTGGTTAGAAAAAATACGTGGAATGATTTCTATCTTCTTAGGTTTGTTTAAACTCGTTTTGTGAACTAACATATGATCTATCCTACAGAATGTTCCGTGTGTGCTTGTTCAAATCAGCTGTTTCTTTATTCATTTTCTGCCTGGATATTCTATTATTGTAAGGGGGGTATTGAAGTCTCCTACTATTGCTGTCAATTTCTGTCGTCAGAACTGTCATTATTTGCTTTACATATTAATGTAGTCTGATGTGGGGTGTGTATATATTTATAATTTTTATATTTTTCTGTGGAATTGATCCTTTTACCATTACATAATAATCTTTGTCTCAAGTTTTAGACTTAAAAATCTATTGTTTCTGATATAATTATAGCCACTTTTGATTTCTTTTAGCTACCATTTATATAAAATCTTTTTCCATCCCTTCACTTTCTGCCTATGTGTGTCTTTAAATATAAAATGAGTCTCTTGTAGATAGTATATTATTGGATCCTGTTTTTATTTTTATTTCATTTTAAACAAAAAGTTTATTTAAATAAGAAGCCTGACTTGAAGGAAAAACTTTCTAGGATTCTTTCTTTTTTTTTTAGAGTAATTTATCCCTACTTAAAGACAGATTGCCCTACATGTAACAGCTATGTACACAAAAGTTATAAAATTGTCCTTGGTTTTACAATGATAAATGAAAAACATGAAAATCCTCCAATTGAACAAGGTATGTGAGAATTTTTTTTTGTTGTTGTTAAAACAGTGAGAGCAAAATAACTTACTAGAATATAAAGATAAGACCTGAATGAACATGCCACTAATGGATAAAGGGGGTATTTTCACAGAATCAGTATTTTTTCCCATCCTGTCTCCACTTGATGTCAATCAAAACATACCATTGGCTGTTTGGTTTGAAGAAAAAAGCAATATGCTTGTGTACACATACCAGTTACTTCATGTATAATAAAAGAATGTGGAAGGGGGAAACAAAAGAATAGAGAAAACTATACTGTAGTAGTCAGAATGTGGTGGAACCAAATTGCAGTTTTCTAATTGAGAATGCAGTAATCTTGGTCTTTAAAGAACAGCGTTCTGGAGTAAAGAAGCAGGTTCCCTTTTCAGTAGACACCTCCCGTAGGCTGTTGAAACACATCAATTGTATCTTCATCTTCCATTTCCAACTGTGCAGGTTTGTCTGTTCCACTGATTGGTTGCCCACCAAATCGGAATCTGATCTGCTTCACTGACAATCCCCGTGGTTCACAATAGGCTTTCATTAGTTTACTAAGTGGTGTCTGCCTCTTAATCTTAAACTGCACCACAGAACCATCCTGTCCCGCCACCTTCAAATTAATATGATTGTTGTTCTCAGTCTTGACTTCTTCTGTGGGCTTTTCGTTGGCCATGGTGAACACCGGAGTCTCCTCAGCTGCTGCTTCACAAAAGAGGTGGCGGGTCCGCACCTAACGAGTACACGAGCAGCAGGAAGAGCAGCAGGAGGTGACAGCGGTGGATGAGGGAGAGGGTGCGTGCACATCCTGGGCTCCCTCCCCTCCCGCTGTGTGCGCCAGCACGAGCTGTTGGGGCCTCCCATTGGCTGCTGCCAGATCCTGTTTTTAAAATCCATTCATACAACTCCTTGTGAGTGGTGAGTTTAATCCATTTCCAGTTAAGGTAATTACTAATAAGTGAGGACTTACTATTGGCAGTTTGTTGCTTCCTGTCTATTTGACAACTGTTTTGCTCCTCTTTTCCTCTTATTGTCTTGTTATTCGACAACGTTTAATCGTGATTTACTTTGATTATATTTGGTTATACTCTTCTATTTTAAGTTGATAACAACTTAACTTCAAATGCATACAAAAATACTACTGCATCTTTACAACCTCCACCCTCCCACACTTTTGTGTTCTTGCAGTTTTCTTCTTTTAATATTATGTATCCATTAACACATTTTTACCTTTTAACTTTCTTATTAGAGTTGAAAGTAAATTATATACCACGGTTAAGTGTTAATCTGTAAATATGTCTATATTTTTACCTTCAGCAGTGATATTTATGTACCTGTTTCCATTTCTACACACATTTTAATGCCTGGATCAAAACACACAGACATACTTTGAAATGTCTTAGTTTGGTGTGCATATATTCTGAGAATATCAATGATGTAAAATGATAGAAGGTAGAAAACTATTCACCTGGAATTTAGGGTATTTTGATTACTTAAAGTTATATATAAATTAAACTAAATACTCATGGGGGGGGGGAACTTCCCTAAGGTATCTTCCTTATCATTTGTCTAAAGTTTTAAATGATACAAATTTTTGTACTTAGTAATTGTTTTTTAACCAAGACTTGCTATTATTGGTTGGGAGTACATAGTGTTTCCTAAGCTCGTGCATATTACTTTTAAAAAGCTAAGAATATTACATCTTTGCATCCTTCCCAACCCCAAGCATGTAAATGAAAATAAGCAAACATCTTCTTAATGAATTCATTTAAGAATGCCAAAGTTTGAAGCAATTCTAGAGAGGAAGGTTGCTGAACAGGAAAAATTTTCTAAAATTTTGCTTTTCAAAAGTAACAGTTTTCACATTTAATGGATACACTAACCTTTGGGTTTTGGTGGCACAGGACCTACAAATCCAATATTGTCATAAAAGTTATGAATAGCGCTGGGGTTAAAATGTGGTCCTGAAATATATAAAAAGTAAATATATCAATGCTTATAGCTCAAAAACAACTTTACTTTTTAAAACAAGTATTTCTTTCTAAAAATAAACACGCTATAAGAAATGCTTTTCATTTATTTTGCCCCTCTAACCTCGAATTATATGTAAGATTTCAAAACATATTTCAAATATATTATCTTAGGTATAATGTAGTACTCATAAACACGGGTAAGTGGTAAACTGTGAAAGAAGTCAAATTAATGCTGGTAAGACATTAATAGAAGTAGAAGTAGATCCCTGTTCTATGTGGCAAGTTAAAATAACTTAAAATTTCACAATTTAAAATGTAATTTTAAACGATCAAACATGGACTTAAGTAACTAAACAGCTTTACCTCAAGTAAATATAAAAACCTTGCACTATGTAATAGAATGGTTAAAATTTTACACAAAAAGAGTAAGTTCAAGGATTGTAGTTTCTAGAACAGCACCAACTTTTTAGAGTTAAATTATGGTATTTTTCTATGAATGTTTAAAGATAAATAGCTTAATCAACATTTAAAAAGAATAAAAATAAAAATAATCATCTTCCAGTTGAACAGATTCTAGAACACAGTCCCAAGTGTGATTAAAGACTTCTCTTTTGGTTAGATTCCTTCCCCTTCCTGTCTTTTCCATTTTATATCTTTTTATTATTTATCCAACTTCAGAATTAGGTTTAAGTGATAACATTTCCTTTTAGTTCTCTATGGAACTGAATTAAATTGTAAACATTATTTACTATAAGAAAACATTGCTTGTCATTAATAGCTCAAGTATAAGAAACTATCATTGTCTAAAGAATGTATAAACCTTATTTTTACTATCTTCTATATTTTATCAGTTAAGATAGTGCCATTGAGATGGGGGTGACTTTTTAAATATATTCTTAAAAGTCTGTCTGGCTCCAAAGCCACATGTTCTGAGACAGTAAGATTATGATTGATAAGTCTGTTTTTAGCCACAGAAAAACTGCTGGTGAATTAAATACGATGAATTTCAGCTACAAATACACTGAACTTTACCTCGGGCTTGAAAAAGATCAATTTCTTTGGTTAAGCAGTCAATGTCAATCTGGAGTTGTCTATTACAACTTCTCAGCTGCTGCATTTCTTCAAGCTGAAAAATAATTCTATGTAAGTAAGATTTGCACTGAATTCTTAGTCATTAGTTAATAAAGAATGGAGTTTGGCACAAGAAAGTAAGGACAGAAAAACAAGAGTTAAGAACATCTGAAGAAAACTAGATAGAGATATTACACTTATGTTAGATGGCCTACTCTCATGTTCAAGCAGAGATCACAACAGTTACATAAAGACTTACGGAAGGTATCTGGGATATAGAATTTGATCTTTTCAGGCGCCTTCGAGTTAGATTATTTTCCATTTCATTAACCTCAGATTTTAATTTATCCAGCTTTTTCTTTTGAATCTCAAGTTCTCTTTGAAGTCGTTCCATTCTGGCCTTCTGGTGTACCAAAAGAGCTGCAACACACATTAGTAAACATGAGGACCCACCCACTTTAATCAATTAACCTTTAAGCAGACTTGGAAAAGCAAACAAGAATTTGTCAGAAATCCCAAAGCTACATTAAAACAAAATATTGTAAGTTTAGGCATTTAAAATTTCAATTTTTTTTTTTTTTTGACACAGAGTTTTACTCTTGTTGCTCAGGCTGGAGTGCAATGGTGCGATCTCGGCTCAGTGCAACCTCTGCCTCCTGGGTTCAAGTGATTCTCCTGCCTCAGCCTCCCAAGTAGCTGGGATTATGGGCAACTGCCACCACACCCCACTAATTTTGTATTTTTAGTAGAGATGAGGTTTCACCATGTTGGTCAGGCTGGTCTCGAACTCTGGACCCCAGGTGATCCGCCTGCCTTGGCCTACCAAAGTGCTGGGATTAGAGGCTTGTGCCACTGTGCCTGGCCAAATTCCAAACATTTTAACTGAAAAATTGTTTTAGTCATTTAAACAAATGCCACTTTTTAAATGTTTTCTAGGATTTGGAGAAATTCACTTTATGAATGAAGACAGCATTTTTAGGCTACAGCTTCTCTAAAGGTTTTCGTCTTTTCAGTTAACCTACTTACTACTGTATCTAATTCACATCTACCCTCGGAAAGGACAAGCTCTCTTACTTCAGAGTTTGTCATGTTTGGTCTATGAATGAAGCATTCTAATATGAAAATGTTATAGATATTTTAGAAGGGAATGTAGAATCCATTTTGATGTATGCAACAAATAAAACAGGCAGATTGATTTCACTCCACATAAATGTTAACATTAAATTATCCCAATTGCCACTTATATTTTTGTATATTCAGATTATATTTTGTGAAAATATCTTCCAAGATCTTTAAAGAAACAAAATAAGCAATCAATCCTGCAGCATGAACTACTTGGGAAACCATAATAAACTACAAATACTGGTATATGTTTTTGTGATCTGTCCCTGGACATGAATCTCATCCTTTAGGATACTGGACTGGAAGTGAAGATACTTGAATCTACTTTTTATAAAGAAACAACATGGGATGATTCTATCTTGAGAAAAATAAAGCAGATTTGGAAAAGAACTTTAAACAACCTCTAGAAATAAAAGTCACTGAAATGAAAAAGCCAAACAGATTACAGTAGATTACATACAAAGACAGTTGGTGACCTGTCAGATAGATGTAAGAATGTTACCCAGAATGCACAGATAATGTGACAGAAAAAATGAAAGAAGAGTTCTGAAAGGTCTCACAGACATCTAAGAAAAAAATTCCAGGCTGGGCATGGTGGCTCACACCTGTAACTCCAGCACTTTGGGGAGGCCGAGAAGGGTGGATCATCTGAGGTCAGGAGTTCGAGACCAGACTGGCCAACATGGTGAAACCTCGTTTCTACTAAAAATACAAAAAGTTGCCGGGCGTGGTGGTGGATGCCTGTAATCCCAGCTACTTGGGAGGCTGAGGCAGGAGAATTGCTTGAACCCGGGAGGCAGAGGTTGCAGTAAGCCGAGATCACACCACTGCACTCCAGCCTGGATGACAGAGTGAGACTCCAACTCGGGGGCGGGTAGGGGGAGACAGAGAGAGAAAAGAATTCCAGAAGGAGACAACAGAGAGAATAGACAAGAGGCAAGATGTGAAGAGATATTGGCTGAAAATGTTTCAAAATTGAAGGGAAAAAAGGAAGTAACAAATTTTAGAAGATAAAATAATTTGTTCACCTAATTAAATTATACAAGAATACAAATGAATAAAGGTATTTCCAACAAAGTCTGGGGAAATTCAACAATCACAGATAGCTGCTGAAATAACTACTCAATATATGTTCTGATAAGAAGGAAATTAAACACAAAAGAATGGAATAAGATGAGTAAATCTAAAAAAAAAAAGCTCTGACAATAAAACAAAGGAAAAGACTATGGCAGGGCAGGGGAGCAGCAGACATTGTCTAAAACAAAGTGAAAATAAAACATTGGAAAAGAATAACAATACACTGGAAGTGCAAAAATCAGAGGTGAAGTATTCTAAGGTCTTGAAGGTATTTAAGAAGAATACAGTTAAATGTTGCTAAGCCAAATATACATGTTCAGTATTTAGGGATCTGTGCTAAAGGAAGTTAAAACAGAATGTGCAGTTTCTAAATTCAAAGACAGAACCTAAGGAGAAATGAGGGAAATTTAATTAAACCTAGATAGCAGGAAAGGAGGGGATAAAGGAAAGAAATACAAAACAAAAACCAGACAGGGATAATTCCAAATATACTAGAAATCACAATGAATGCAACCTAATTAAACATATCTGTTGAGATGAGATCAGTAGACTGAATTGTAAAACCTCAGCTATATGCTGCTTATAAAAAACACTCAAAACATAATTAACTTATCTATTATTTTAATAAGTTGAGGGTCTATGTGTCAGATGTTGTTGTAGGCATTTTGGAAGTCCATGAACAAAATAGGAAAAAATCCTTGCCCTTGCGGAGCTCACGTTACCACGGTAGCAGAGATTGGGGCCAGGGAGTAGGGCAAGAGAAAGACTCTAAACAAAGGGTAAACAGGTAGGCAAACTATGGCCCATGGGCCAAATCTAGCCCACTGCCTGTTTCGTCATTAAAGTTTTATTGGATACAGCCTTGCTCATTTGTTTACTTGTTGTCTATGGCTGTTTCCATTTTACAACAGCAGAATTAAATAGTTGTGACAGAGATTATGTGGCCTACAAAATCCTAAATGATTACTATCTGGCCCTCTACCAGATCACGTAGAGCCTTGCTGACCATATTAAGGACTCTGAATAAAATGGGGATCTATCATAGCACAGACAGGTTCAAAATAAAAGGACTCAAAATAAATATCTTGCACTTCAGGCACTACTCTAAGAAGCATAAAGTAATAGCAGTCAATTGCTGGAAGTATCTGAAGACTGTGGTGCACTGAAGGCAACAACAAAACCCAAACCCAGCTCCACTCCTGACTAAATTGATGCAATGCCTCATAATAATAACCTGAAAGAAAAAGAGATGTCCTCATTTCTGGGTGCAAATACCATTTACTTTAGTCTCCTCTGTTCCTTTACACATAGTGTGTGGCATTCAATAAAAAATTATGAGACATACAAGCAGGAGAAAAATGTAATTCATCATCAAGAGATAAAGTGATCAACAGAACTATACTCAAAGATGATGCAGCTGGAATTACCTGACAGAAAACTTAAAGATGTAACTATGATTAATATGTTAAAGGATCTAGTTTAAAAGGTGGACAGCATGCAAAAAAAAGATTCACAATTTGAGGAGAGAGGTGGAAATCATGAAAGGGTCAAATGCTAGAAATAAAAAATATGGCTAGAAATAAAAAATTCTTATCAGAGATAAAGAATTCCTTGGACAGACTTAACACACTGGACACAGAAGAATCAGTGAACTTGACAACAGAAATTACCCAAACTGAACACACCAAGAAACAAGTGAAAAAAAGAACAAAAAAAACTTAAGAGTTGCAGAACAGTATCAGTCTATGTGTAACTGGCAAAAGAGGAGAGAAAAAGGCAGGAGAAATATCTGAGGTGATAAAGACCAAAAATTTTCCAACATTAATGAAATACAACAAATCACAGATCTAAGAAGCCCATAGATCACCAAATAATGCTAAAACAAAACACCTAGACACATCACAGTCAAAGTGCTGAAAACCAAAGAAAGAAAATCTTGAGGGCAGCTAGAAAAATTTCATATAATTATTTCAGAAAAAAATCTGACTTTAGGGCAAAACATATGAGATAAAGATGTTCTTTACTTAATGATAAAAGGAAAAAATGCTAGTATGCAACTCTGCATGGAAAATCATAAAAATAATCTAATTTATTTTCCAACAAATACATCATAAAGTATACATTCCAGGATAAGGTTGAGCATTCTCCCAGTCACAGCTCCACCAGCAATCCCCAATCCCATATTCCTAATGTTTCTATCAAAACAAGCAAGTAAATCATAGAGTTTGAGAGATACACAGAAGGCCAATATTAGTAGGAGACAGACTTTAACAGCAGGCAGAAATCTGATTCAATGATGATTTAGGAGACTTGAAAGAGCCACAGTTGCTACACATATGGTTGTGAGGTGTTTTGAGGTTAAAGAGTAAATTCTTCAGAATATTTCTGAATAAGTATTGCATCCTTAGAAATTCACAAAGGGGTTTTGCAATGGCTGAAGATGTGGCTTACCTCTGAGAATAAAGGCAAAGTATCTCTTATGATTAGTCTGAAGCTCTAAAGTAAAATATTGCAAATCCATTTACAATTACTTACAACTTATTTATGAGGCATTTCTTTCCACTTTAAACAAAATTTTAGAGTTATAATGACTATATTACTTAGAAATGACATACCTAGTTGGTTGACTTGTCTAGGTATGGCTGTTATAAACAAACTAAAAATGCTATGAATATACTAGGAAAGTGGTTCTCTATTTCTTAGCAATTTTTTCTTCTAAGTGGCTGAATTTTTATGTGTTTAGTTCACTTTTCATTTGTGGTTTGAGATTTTTAGATAGGAATCTGAGAAAGATGAACTACAGGGAAAAAAGGGGTCAAAGTGAATTTCTAAAAATCGCTGTAAAAATTCAGCTAAAGTCGAAACTCTTCTCTAGCTGTGAGTTTTGTCTGCAAGTTTAACCTTGAGTTTACAAAATAACACCCAATATTTGTCCATTATGAAACAATGTGATTAGACTCATTATGAAACAATGTTAGTAGATCATTAAACAGCAGAGACACTTTTGCTCTAATTAGCCTCCACTAAATGAAAAAATCTTCTGTCTCCTGAAACCCCATAAAAATGAGGTATGAATGAAAAAGGTACAATCCACCAACAATTAAGAAAAAGAAGGCAATTAACTCACAACAGAAGTCAACAAGTTTCTGGAAGGCTAGAAGCAGATGAAATGACAGCTGAATGAAGGAGTGGAGAAAGCTGAAGTCTCATGGACAAGGAGGGTGCTGTAGACAAAATGGCAACTCATCTGCCCTGCAGAAACCTTGACTTTGGAAAATGCAGGTAACAACAGAAGGCAGGAGTTAGGAAAGGGCCAGAACACAGAGGCTTAAGTAGCTATCTGTATATCGAACAGTCAACTTCTCTCCATCCTAAAGGGAAGGTAGCTGTAGGTTTAAGGATCACCTCATAGTTGAAGAAAATCTGATATGAAGGCAGGTGGATCATTTGAGGTCAGGAGTTCAAGACCAGCCTGGCCCACATGGTGAAACTCTATCTCTACTAAAAATACAAAAATCAGCCAGGTGGTAGTGGCGCGTGCCTGTAATCTCAGCTACTCAGAAGGCTGAGGCAGGAGAACTGTTTGAACCTGGGAGGTGGATGTAGCAGTGAACTGATATTGTGTCACTGCACTCCAGTCTGGGCGACAAAGTGAGACTCTGTCCACCCCCGCCCCCCCGCCCCCTGCCAAAAAAAAATAAAATCTGATATGAATGTGAAAGGTCTGCATAAACAAAGAAAAAAACTAAATCCAGATTAAGTGAAGACAACATAGCAGAGAGACGAGAACTTAAATTCTGATTAATATCATTAAGAGATTTTAAGACACTATTGTACCCATAAAACAACAACCTTCCTCGAAAAGGAATCAGAGAACTAGCTCTTGGAAATTAAAAACATCACTGCCAAAATGAAAATTTCATATGTGAGTCGGAAAAAAATTTAAGGAAATCTCCTAAAATGTAGAATGGAAAGACAAGGAGGGGCCGGGTATGATGGCTCATGCCTGTAATCCCAGCACTTTCGGAGGCCTAGGAGGGAGAGTCATTTGAGCCCAGGAGTTTCACCAGCCTGGGCAACAAACGGAGATGCTGTTTCTACAAAAAAATTAAAAAATTAGCCAGGCATGGTGGCGCGCGCCTGTAGTCTCAGCTACTCCAGATGCTGAGGTGGGAGGATCATTTGAGCCTGGGAGGTCGAGGCTACAGTCAGCTGAGATAGCACCACTGTACTCTACAGCCTGGGCAACCGTGACACCCTGCCCCTGCCCCTGTCCCTGATACCCCCAAGAAAGACAAAGACGTGAAATATACTGAAGATGTAACGAGAAATAGATAGAAAGCTCGTTCAGGATATTAAATAGCTAAACAAGAGGAGGTCTAGAAGGAGACAATGGAGAAACCATAGTGGGGATCAGAAAAGAATTTCCCAGGGCTGAAGGGAGACACTAGCCTCTAAAATGGAGGAGTCCACTAAATGTGGGACAGGATGATTAAAAAAAACCCCTACACCATTGTAAAATTTCAGACTACTAAAGACAAAGAAAGATCTTAAAAATTTCCAGAAAGAAAAAAAAGTAGATTACATACAAAGGTACAATAATCATATTGACACCAGATTTCCTCAGTGATAAGGAAATCACTACATTTTTCTGTGGAGAAATGATATTCAACCAAGAATTCTATGTCCAGCTAAAAATATGAGGGGATTTCCAGATATTTAAGGACTTAAGAGAATTTACCTCCCAAGTCTCATTAGGAAAATACTTAAAGACATGTTCTAGCAAATTGAAGGCATAAACCAAGAAGGAAGATAATATAAGATCCAAGAATGGCGACTGTAATTTATAACAGGGAAGAGAAGACTCCAGGAAAAATGAACAGATGGTATCTTGGAGATGCTGAAAGGATATGATAAAGGCAGAGAACAACAACAACAAAAATTAAAAATTCCAAGGAAAACAGATAAATGACTGGGCTTTGCAGTGAACAGATGATGAAGGAATTACAGGTAAAGAAAAAAATATTCAGTATCTTTTAAATCCTCTTTCAAAGTTAAATTTTAATGGATAAAGGTAATTTAAGCATGCAACTCTCTCTTAGTTGTTGTTAAAAATAAGTGAGTACTAAGTGAATTCAAGCACCAGGGCTCTTAAACCACTGCTATAAGCATTCTAAATGGTTTATACAGAAAGCTCAGTACTTACCCAACTTTTGTTAGCTCACGAACAATGGAGAAAATTTCTTCGTTACTCAATTTTATTTGAAATTTAAAAAACACTCTTGAAGTTCCAGATGGTGTTAGTTTTATTAATTTTAGTTATTTTTTTACTGTAAATAATGTCAAATTTCTCCAGAAGTTTAAAAACAAAAACACGAGAATTTGCTTACTGAGAAAAGACATATGTCATTGGAAAATATACTAGGGACTTGTAGATACAAAGATTTTAGGCTTCTTTAAATGAAAAAGGAAAAATTTTGCTATTGAAAAACCTAATAGGTACTTACTTCTGGTATCTTTTTGTTTTTTGTCTGTAATGACAATTTTACATGTCTAAATCAGGAACAAGCCTAAGTCATACTTAAGTCATTGTACCTAGGAAAGTACAATGTCAGCTTCTAAAATAAATCAAGATTTTTCTAGGCTGTAACTTTGTTGACAACAGGAATCACATCTGTTTTATATATCACTGTATTACCATAGTCACTTATTTGGTGACTGAGTCATAAAAGATTCAAAGATGGCAATTATAACTTTAAAGCAAACTTTTAAACTATTTTGTCATTTTTAAAGGCAATTTGAAATCAGATCTTGTAACAGTGCTGCAATTGGGCCCATAATTTGGGCAATAGATGTAAAATAAAAGTATGAGGAATGATGCTTAATCTCTGTAATTATTTTTAAGAACCTACTAAGAGATGAATTTTAGTCATTTTAGCATAACTGGTGAGACCTCTTGCTAGATAATAATTTGCTGGCCTTTATTTTACATAATTAAGATTCTGCATGTAATCTTACAGCATTAAGATATAATCTAAAACTTTTATTTTAGACAGAATGAAAACAGGCCTAGATGCACCAAAAGAGCCTCAAAACAATATAACTTGGATGAGTCATTATGCGACGTGGGAGTGATTATGGCTTAGAAAGGTTTATACCTTTTTTTTTTTTTTTTTTTTGACACAGAGTTTTACTCTTGTTGCCCAGGCTGGAGTGCAATGGCGTGATCTTGGCTCACCACAACCTCCACCTCCCAGGTTCAAGTGATTCTCCTGCCTCAGCCTCCCCAGTAGCTGGAATTACAGGTATGTGCCACCACACCCAGCTAATTTTGTATTTTTAGTAAAGACGGGGTTTCTCCATGTTGGTCAGGCTGGTCTCGAACTCCCAACCTCAGGTGATCTACCCGCCTCGGGCTCCCAAAGTGCTGGGATTACAGGCATGAGCCACCATGCCTGGCCAGATTTACAATTTAAAAGAGGATATGTTCAAGTTTTGAAGGGATGCCATGAGACCAGTTCAATATGGTTTCAAGGTAATACTAAAGAGAAAATAACGGTAAGATTTCTGGGGCTGGGTGCAGTGGCTCACAGCTGTAATCCCAGCACTTTGGGAGGCCGATGCGGGTGGATTATGAGGTCAAGAGATTGAGACCATCCTGGCCAACGTGATGAAACCCCATCTCTACTAAAAATACAAAAATTAGCCAGGCGTGGTGGTGCATGCCTGTAGTCCCAGCTACTGGGGAGGCTGAGGCAGGGGAATTGCTTGAACCTGGGAGGCAGAGGTTGCAGTGAGCCGAGACTGCACCACTGCACTCCAGCCTGGGTGACAGAGCAAGACTCGATCTCAAAAAAAAAAAAAAAAAAAGATTTCTGTTATTCTTTTTTCAAAATCTTGGAATATGGAAAGGCTTTCTAAATAAGACACAAAACCCAGAAGCCATAAGAGGAAATTCTGAGAAGTCTGAATATGTAAAAGTAAAAAATTTATAAGGCAGAAAAATTTTATTGACTAACTAAAAGGTAGTAACAAAGTAGAAAGAATAGGCATTTTACAGAAATAGGCAAGTTCATAAGGTGAGAAATACAAATGGCTGGAAAAAGAACACATGAAAAGATGTTCAACCTCAATCGTATTTAAATATGCAAATTAAGCTCCCAAGAAAAAGATGAAAATTTAAATAACCTAAAGCAACAATATATTTTTACCTATTAAACTGACTAGATAATACTTTTTTCAACCACCTACAAAATATGATGAGTGGGGAAAGGAAGGAGGAAAGAATATTCTTATAAATGTTACCAAAAATGTTACCCATTTGTAAGTATGGGAGCATAAACTGGTAAAATCTCTTTAGAGAGAGCCTCAAAATTGAAATTGGCAACATTTATTGGCAGTCATTAGTGTCCTTCCCCACATTCTTCTGGCTCTCTGTCTCCCAGGTATGTGGTAGAACTGTGCCTCCCTGTTCCTGCTGAATTAGGTGTGGCTGTGTGCTTTGTTTTAGCTACAGAGTAACATGCGTTGAGGCAGAGGCTTAAGGAGCCACTGCTCACCCACTATGTTTCCTTGGTCATGGAAGCACAGAGATGGAGCTTCCCTTAACCTGGGTCCCTTGGTGAGGGTGATGGAGAACAGAGGCCACCAGCTAATCTATATGGGACAGGAAATGTGAGCTAGAAATAAATCTTAGTTGTTTTTAAGACATGGTTTGTTACTGCAACATAACCAAGCCTAAATGATACATCTATCAAAATTAAAAACACATATATCCTTGGACACAGCAGTTTCACTCCTAGTAATCTCACAGTCTGCCAAGATACTTGGACATGGGTACAATTATGTGTACACAAGGATTTTTATTGCAGCACTGTTCATAAAAACAAGATTAGCAACTACTTAAGGTCTATCAAGAATGGACTGGTTAGATATTATGGTACACAATACTATGCAGCCATTTCTTAAAAAGCAGATCCTGCTGACATGGAATTCTCTCAAAGAGATAAAGACAAAAAAAAGAGACATAATCCTAGAAGAATACAAAATGAACTGTTTGAGAAACTAGTTATCTCTAGTGAGGGGAATTTTTCATTATATACCCTTTAGTTCTGTTTTCAGTTTTTTAAAAAAGCAAGTATGTAGGAAAATATTTTAATGCAATTCCTATCAGAATTCCAGTTGACTTCTATGTAGAAATTGACAAACTGATTCTAAAATTTACTTAGAATTTCAAGAGACTCTAAATAGCCAAGCCTATCTTGAAAAAGAACCAAGCAGGAGAACTCACATGTCCCAATTTAATAATAAAATAATTACAGTAATTAAGACCATATGGTATTGGCATAAAGAACATATAGAACAATGGAAAAGAATTGAGAGTCCAGAAATGAACCCACGCATTTATGGTCAACTGGTTTTTTACAGGGGTGCCAAAATCACTCAATGAGGAGAAAAAGTCTTTTCAACAAATGGTGCTGGGATACTTGGATAGCCACATGCAAAAGAATGAAGTTGGATTCTTACTTCATGCCATGATATAGAAATTGCATCAGAATGGATGAAAGATCAAAGACTAGAATATAAGAACTAATATTATATAACTCTTAGGAGGAAAAAATAGGGGTAAATCTTTATGACCTCACCTCAGAGTTAGAAACTGTTTCTTAGGACACCAAACGCAAGAGCAATAAAAGAAAAAATACATAGAGTTTGGACTTCAGCCAAATAAAAAACTTGTGCTTAAAGGACACCATCAAGAAAGTGAAAGACAATACACAGAATGGGAGAAAATTGCAAATCATGGAAGGGACTTATTTCTAGAATATACAGAGAACTCATACAACTTAACAATAAAGATGAATAACCTAATTTAAAAGTAGGCAAAGGATATGAATAGGCATTTCTCCAAAGAAAATATGCAAATGGCCAGTAAGCACATGAAATGATGCTTGACATCATTAGCCAATAGGGAAATGCAAATCAAAATCACAATTAAATACTTTGCAGCCACTAGGATGGCAAGTAACACAAAGTCAGATAAAAGCGTTGTTGAAAATGGGGAGAAATGAAAACCCTCACACACAGCTGGTGAGAATACAAATCACTTTGGAAAACAGTATGGCAACAATTCCACTGCTGAAAAGGTGGAAAAAAACAAAATGTCTATTAACTGATGAATGAATAAATGAAATGCAGTGTATTTATATAATGGCATATTTGGCCATAAAAAGGAAAGAACATGTTGCTGCTATACCATAGATGAGTCATGAAAGATCAGATTCCATTTTATATCACGTGTCCAGAATATGTAAATTTATCGAGAAAGAAAGTAGATTAGTGGTTGCCTAGTGCTGAGTGAGGGTGGGGGGTAATGGGATAGGGAGGTGATAGCTTACAGGATATGAGGTTTCCTGTAGAGGAGATGAAAGTGTTCTACTGGCTGGGTGATGGCTGCACATATCAGTGAATAAACTAAAAACTGATGTATACTATAAGTCAACTGCATGTATATTAACTATATCTCAATAAAGCTGTTAAAATAATGACTAAACATTAAAAAATTTTAAAGAATAATAGATTTACGTAACTTAATATATTTAAGAAAGTGTACTGTTCTCATTTAGTGAATGTCAGACATATTGTAGAGTATGTGCATATTATATAATCCCGTGTGTTCACAGACCCATGTGTATAGTGTGTTCCTGCTTTAAGAACAGTGTGTGTATACACATATATACACACACGTATGTGTATGTGAATATAAAGGGAATGAATATAATGGGAAGGGGAATATAATGGGAAGGGGATTGAGTGAATCTAATGGGAAGGGGATAAGTAACTGCTAATAGAGAATACCTCTCACAGTTAAATAAGGGAAAAGCTGGAGGAAGTGACAAGTCAAAGGTTGAAAAGAAACACATTTTTATTGCATTTGTTTTTTAAAATTTCTTTTACTGAGTGTGTTATTTTCATAATACTTTTTAAAGGTATTAATTTAATGTAAGAAATAACCAGCTAGTAGGTAGAGCTCTCCAAAACCAGAATATGCTACCTTAGGAGGCAGTTTGTGTCTCATAAGAATTTAAAGTACAGAAAGGATTTACACTTGATAGGCTGGATGGGTACGTGGACTGGATAACCTTTGGAGTAGAATTCTTCATGCCCTTTAAAGTCTCTTCCAATTCTGACATTTACCCCAAATTAAAAAGGTATTTAGTCTTAAGACTGGGAGGAACCTACAAGTAGTAGGGCTAATTTGAAAAAAATATTCTGTAAGTGGTCCAATGTCAACTAATCTTAATTGCTGAGTTTATTATTGTTATTTTAGAGACAAAGTCTTGCTACATTGCCCTGGCTGGTCTTGAACTCCTGCACTCAAGCAGTCTTCCTGCCTCAGACTCCCGAGTAGCTCGAACTACAGGCATGTGCTACTGCAGTAGGCTTTTATTTAATAAAGTGATTTCAATGTCAACAAAGAATAACAAAAAGGTATTTCCAATGAAAAGATACATAAAGTTAAACAAAGTACAAGTTTTAGAATCTGAACTAAATAAAATTATATTTCCTTTTGAAGAGTATCTTGCTCATTGAATTTGTGCCACAATAAACATTTTTTATTAAATCTCATTAAAAAGAAACGTGTTGTGATTTGGATAGATGTACTAGTGAAAAATGGTAAGGAATGAGAAACACAAAGTCCAAGAAGCTAATTTTCAACTCATAATTTTTCTTACTTGTATTTCTATTTTAGGTTCAAAGTCAAGGCTACTGCTTAACACTATGGTAGGACTTTAAACATAACTGAGGAAAAACCATATTAAAGTATCATTAAAAATATTTATCATTTTATATATGTAATTTTTTTTCTTTAAATAATAAAAAGTTTACCAGCTAAGTCAATACCACAGATGGAGTTGTGTGGAAATTGTATTTGGCAGCAATGTTAGTTTTTTTTAAGAGTTTCTGGCTTCTGTAACAAAATAAGAAAGTAGGCCTTTTTCTCTCCACCATGAAAATTTGTTGGAATGCTTTGTCCTCCATACCTATAAAAGTTGCCAGTGTTACAACAGGTATACCACTATGAAGACACTAGAATGTCTCAGAATATGCTGAATGATAGTTTTCAACATTTTTTGGAAGCTAGAGTTGGGTGGTATGACTTAAGGGGAAAATGTAGCTATATCTGACCACTGACTACCAGTAAGAAAATTTCACTTCTGTATTTGTTCTTAATGGGTAAAATAAGAATTTTCTTCATATCTATAAACTTTAAACTGAAAATTTCTCTCCAACCTTAATTTGTTCTTTCCACTTTTGTCTCTGATTCCTGTAGTACCTTAAGGAATCAAGTTTAATTTATTTCCTTTAGGAAGGATGGTGGTGCTGACAGACTTAGTGCTGAGATGAGTGGGGTCTTGATGTTTCATTAATTTACTTCTTTTGCTTCTGATCACTCTATAGTAGAGGATGTATTAAACAATATACCTTTCATAAACAAATTTTCACTTTTGACAGTTTTTATCACAGTATTTTAGATTTCAAATGGTAGATTAAAAGAAAAAAGAAAAAATGCATTTTGGTTACCAAATTTATGTATGTACGTATGTTCCCTTCTCAATTTGGAAAAAGTATTTTCCTATGATTCTAGTGCCTGGCTCCACTTATTTTTCTACTCTAAAACAGTATTTCCAGGAGCATTAGAAAAATCAATTTCACTGCAGAAGACCGAGATATTTCTTTTCTTTTTCTTACCCATACCACTCAGAGTTTAGAAAAGATCCTTGCTTAAAGATCAGGATTACTCAGGCCACCCCGTTTAGTAACTGCAGAGAGTGTCTGTGAACTATGTAGGGTAAAAGCAGAAAAGATGCATTTTCCAGCAAAGGCCTCCTTTGTCTTGAATTAAGTGAATGAAACACTAGATCAAGATTGTGTCACTGAGCTAGGTGCGGTGGCTCACGTCTGTAACCCCAGCACTTTGGGAGTCTGAGGCAGGCGGATTGCCTGAGGTCAGGAGTTCGAGACCAGCCTGGCCAACAAGGTGAAACCACATCTCTCTTAAAAATACAAAAACTAGCTGGGCGTGGTGGCATGTGCCTGTAATCACAGCTACCCGGGAGGCTGAGGCAGGAGAACTGCTTGAATCCGGGAGGTGAAGGTTGCAGTGAGCTGAGATCGTGCTACTGCACTCCAGCCTGGATGACAGTGAGACTCTATCTCAGAAAAAAAAGACTGTGTTACTGGGTGATAGGTCAATCTGGATCAATACCAGTTCCATAGTAAACAGAAACAAGGAGAAGAAAAGTTGGAGAACAGTACCAATCCCAAAACAGTGTGCACACACAGATAATGCAAAACTATGTAGTCAAACAAATGTTATAAAATTCTGTATGTATGTAGGTATGTTTAAAGGTTGTTAGAGCTTTAACCTCCATCAAGGTTGTTAGAGCTGTCCGAAGGCTGTTAAGCAATTTGAGGGGCAGATTCTGGAGAAACCTGCTTTCTTGGTAGGCTTTAATTTAAGCTCTCAAACCACAGACTTCTCTCATCAGAAAGTTTTTTTATTTTTACTTTCAGGTGTCCTCTGAAAGTGCTCTCTACTTCTATCCAGGGTGTTACTTTATTGTTTAGAGTTCTTTCTTTCCTTTTTTTTTCTTCTTTATTTTTTTGAGACGGAATCTCACTCTGTTGCCAGGCTGAAGTGCAGTGGTACAAACTCGGCTCACTGCAACCACTGCCTCCCAGGTTCAAGCAATTCTCCTGCCTCAGCCTCCTGAGTAGCTAGGACTACAGGTGCACGCCACCACACCCAGCTAATTTTTGTATTTTTAGTAGATACCATGTTGTTTCACCATGTTGGCCAGCATGGTCTTGATCTTTTGACCTTGTGATCCACCCGCCTCGGTCTTCCAAAGTGCTGGGATTTCAGGCATGAGCCACCATGCCCAGCCTTAAGTTATTTCTACTTGTTGTTATCTATTTACTGTGTTATCTTTCCCTATGGTTGCCTTTTTTTAATTAATGGTTTTTTAGCTACATCCCTCTCAAATTGAGGCACATGTGGCCCCCACAGTGTTGTACCATGGGCTATAAGTGAAGCTACAAGATACACTTAAAATATCTTTCCAGAGGGTTTATTATGAAAATCTGGAAAGAAAGACATTATATGATAGTGGTTAACATTGTGGGCTTCTCTAACTTCCTAGTTAGAATTTTTTTTTTTTTCCTTTAGACAAAGTCTTGCTGTCACCCAGGCTGGAGTGCAATGGCATGATCTCGGCTCACTGCAACCTCTGCCTCCCGGGCTCAAGCGATTCTCCTGCCTCAGCCTCTCGAGCAGCTGGGATTACAGGCGTCTGCCACCACGCCCCGCTAATTTTTGTCTTTTTAGTAGAGATGGGGTTTCACCCTGTTGGCCAGGCTGGTCTTGAACTCCTGACCTTGTGATCCACCCACCTCGGCCTCCCAAAGTGCTGGGACTACAGGCGTGAGCCACCGTGCCCAGCCTCTAGTTAGAATTTTGACTCTGCCACTTGTCCTTTGACAAGTTACTTAATCTATCTGTTCTTCAATGTTTTAGTCTAAAAAATAATACTAGTGCAAATAAAAGGGCCCTAAAGTTTGCCTTCTATGTTTAAGGAAGAGAGTAAGAAGGCCAGGAGGGCTGGAACACAGTGAGCAGGTGGTAAGCAAAAGGAAAAGAGCTGGGGGGAGAAGCTGCTCATCCTGTAGGGCTTCATAGCTTTTATTCTGAGTGCAATAGATAGTGATCATGTGCAGAGAAGTGATATGATCTGATGCATATTTTTAACAGTATCTCCCTGGATGCTGAGTTGAAAGAAGACTGCAAGGAGGCAAGGACGAGAATGGGTAGGTCACTGCAATAATCCATTTGAAAGGTGATGATTGCTGAGACCACAGTAGTGATGATGGGGGAAGTAAGAAGTCACAGGCCAGGTGTGGAGGTCACGCCTGTAATCCTAGCACTTTGGGAGACTGAGACAGGCAGATCTCTTGAGCCCAGGGGTTCAAGACCAGCCTGGGCAACATAGGGAGACCCTGTCTGCAAAAAAATACAAAAAGTTAGCTGGATGTGGTGGTGTGTACCTGTAGTCCAGCTACTAGGGAGGCTAAAGTGGGAGGATCACTTGAGCCCAGGAGGTTGAGGCTGAAGTGAGCTGTGAACATGCCACTGCACTCCAATTTGGACGAAAGAGCGAGACCCTGTCCCAAAAAAAAAAAAAAAAAAAAAAGAATAGGAGGGGAATTGAAGATAGCAAGTTTAAGAAACACTTTATTTTCACATTCTAGTTAAACATGAATATCTTTTTAATATCACTAAATATGAATGCCTACTTTACTTGAAAATTTCCCTTATCAAATTATCTTCATAAAAAATTTGCTACTTAAGAATCAGCAACTATCCAACCATAGGAAACCTGATGTTTTGATGGAAGGACAGGAAGAGAAGGTGACTTTGGGAGAAGAGGAGAATTAAGTTGTAAGTGGAAAAAATAATAGCATATAACATTTATAAACTGCTGAAACTAAACAAAAATGGTTGTAGTTAATCACAGATATATGGAAAATAAAAGTTTTAACACAATTTCTAGGGCAATTGAAATCACTCATGTACCCCTAAAATGCACACACACAAATACATGCACACGCATACCTAGGATTCACTTTACTTAAGTTTGGGCAGAGCCCTGCGTACTTTATTTTTGAGATAGGGATCTCGATATGTTGCCCACGCTGGAGTGCAGTGGTGCCCTGCAACCTCAAACTTCTGGGCTCAAGCAGTCCTCCCACTTTAGCTTCTGAGAAGCTGGGACTACAGGCGGGTGCCACTGTGCCCAGCTGATTTTTTAAAGCTCCATGAATGATACTGGAATTCGAAAGGACCACAACCCAGCTTGGACTAAGAATCACTAGTGTAGCTGTTTAAAACATAAAATAAGGCAAAGCAATTAGGACCCCCTAAGAGACTCAGCAGTAAAATCACTGTATCAGAAATGTAAAAAAGGATGAGGATATTAGTGACAGTAGGGGCTGCATGCTGCCTGAGGGTGATGTTATAGTATTTTCCAACCTACAGCTGATACATGAAATGATTCACTGCAGATACATATATGACTAAGATATGCCCTTACTCTAAAAGGCTCAGTTCATCTACAAACTGGCATAAATATTCAAGAAAATGAATAACCTCCACCTTCTTATCTAAATGTATTTATTTAACAGTCCTACTGAAAATTATGTAACTTAAGAGGTTAGATAAAACATATGACAGAAATTTCTCTATTTGAATTAATATAGACATAATGTAGTATGCCAATATCAAATAGTCTATTTCAGAAAAGGATAATCAATTGAAAGATTTGAAAATAATGTCCTTATAATTCCATGTAAAAAGAAATATATTAACCAACATTTAAGGGAGAATAAAAGGGACAAATATCAGGAACAAGATTCAAACTTCTCTTTGAGGTAAATTATTCTAATACTTACGCAGTAATAGACTTAATATAAAATAAGACTAAAATGTTGTATTAGAAAAATGAAGAATTTCCCCCCACCCCAGAGAAGGGTCTCACTCTGCTGCCCAGGCTGGGGCAGAGTGGTATGGTCACAGTTCACTCTAACCTTTGAACTCCTGGGCTCAAGCAATCCTCCTACCTCAGTCTACTGAGTAACTGGGACTACAGGTGTGTGCCACCATGCCTGCATAATTTCAAAACCTTCTGTAGAGACGGAGTCTCCATATGTTGCCCCAGCTGGTCTCAAACTCCTGGGCTCAAATGATCCTCCCATCTTGGCCTCCCAAAGCACTGGAATTACAGGCGTGAGCCACCATGCCCAGCCAAGAATTACTTATTCTTCAAATATCTGGTCAAAGAAGGCAAATTTACCATATTAGTCAAGAGAGTCAACTAGTTGCTTATTAAAACGTTATTTCTAGGAATTTTTATTTACAGAAAATTTAAAGAGAAAGTCAGCATCACCACAGGTATAAGATTAACTGAAAAGAAAGTGTTATAAACATTAACAAACCAACTAACCAGATTTGGTTACTCTGAAGAGCTGATAACCCAATTACTCAAACTTCCAGTTTTATAATAATAAAATAAAATTAAAATTAAAATGTATATACATATAATACTCTCAAATGTTACAATAACATCATTTGGGGCAATATTTAAACAATGAAATAACAATGCTAACATCCATTTCTGTTGTGAAATCAAATGCACACCAACAAGCCCAGCATGGAAAACCATCCCACCTTTAGTATTCATATTACCTTGTGTGTAGGCAGCATCATCAGATCCCATACTCAGTTTCCGTGTTTCACTTATTCTATCCACATGTGCTAATGTAGGGTCCGTGAGGTGCTGAATATTCTCGGTTTCTACATAATGATCAGGATGATTAAGAAGATTTGTAAGTTCAAAGGTAGGGGACACCACCCCTGGTGAAACTGCAGGGGGCTTATTGGGAGAGACTGTAATTTTGAAAGTGTATTTCGTATTGGGCTGAGTGACTACCACTCGAGGAGAGGTTGCAGAGTTATTGCCTATTGCTCGACTTTTGGGAGGATGGTGATGAATAAAGGCAGGACCCATGCTCACTTGCCCAGACATGTTCCTGGAGGCAGCAGATGCTCCAGAGTTTGTGGATATGAAGAGTGTGGGCTGATTCCGCATGACCTGTTCATCTCCTGTGGCAGCATTCGCTGAAATATAGACCTTAGGTTGACTACGGGACATCAGCTCATCCGTATTTGGGGGGCTGGCAGCTATGTAAACAGTGGGCTGATTTCTGTTTAAGGTCTGGCTATTGACTGAAGAGGAAGTGCTGGAGGTTCGAGGTCCAGAAGAACGCAGTTTTGAAGAATTATTTCTTTGTGGGGGTTCAAGTTTGATTTCAATCTGGTTTTTTCGAGGTCCTGTTGAAATATTCTGAATGTTATATTGGCTATGGGCAGAAGACTGTGAGCTACCAGATGAATGAATGGTTGGTGGTTGTGAAGTAGTAGGTGAACTGATTGGCATGTAGACATGAGAGGTCTGGTGGCCTTGCTGATTTGGCTGTTGAGATGAGGTATGTGACAGAGGATTAGATGCAGGACAAGTAGTCCAGGGACCAGGCTGTGAAGGCTGATAAACTTGCTGAGGGTTCATGGGATTAAACTGAGATACCCAGCCAGAATGCTGTTGTGTCTGTCGAGTTGTACCACCAGGAGTTGTAATGTAAGGCCTAATATAGATAGAATTTCCCTGTGGACTGTTAAGTACAGGTGGAGGTACACCATGTATGTGCAAAGATGTAGGAGTATTACGACCAGTCTGGATATTTGGGGCTAAAGTTACCATAATGGGATTAAATCTGGGAGTTTGTTGAGAAAGGCTAGATGTTCCTTTGCTGCCTAAGTGAAATCCAAGATGTGGTGCTGAATTTGAAGCACCAGAGGAACTGGACATTCCAAAAACATTAAAGCCTTGAGGAACTTGAGCTGGTGCTGTCTGTGGCTCCTGCTGAAATAGTTCACTATTGGACTGGCCACCTTGAAGTTGTCCATCACTAATGCTGTGCGTTAGAGTCCTACTTCCATTCATCCTACTTCCTTCTCTTCCATGGTGGTAAATGTTCTGTGATTGCAAGTCCAAGTTGAGAGAAGTCATGTGATTGCGTAGACCAGAAATTCCAGAATCATCTGAAAAATTCAAGTCTCCTTCACCATAAAGATATCTTGTACTCTCCTGAGAGAGAACAGCACAGCAGGCATCCAGGTTATTATTATTCTATGAAAACAAAATAAATTGATTGATGTTAACAATCAGAAGCGAATGCTTATATTTGCATCTCTACAAATACATGATTACCAAGTGACTGGCTAATACAATTATAACATATATTTGGATATTTAAATTTGAGAAGTTTTTTTATGCAAATGATTGAATTAAAAATCCTCACTACTAATGTAATGGAAAAGCTCTCTCTGACTAACAAAGTGAATCAAATCATTGTTCCACTTTAGCAGCTACAATGGATACGAGGAGTAAAATGGATTCAGACAGATATAGTAAAATTATAACCTAATTAAAAAGGCAATTTTAATGTTGAACAAAATATAATCATTCAACTTAAGTATATAATACTGTATAATCAAACATTTTTTAAAAAGCTAAATGGAAAAATATTCTATCAATGTTTGATATATAGCACAATGTATCAAGTGCTATACACATTTGTTTAAACTAATAAATGTTTAAAAAGTTACATTTGTAGCATTTAAAGTTCTGAAATTCATACCAGTCATCTCAATCCTTCACACGCTTCCTCTTAACTTGTGTAATCCCTCTCTCTCTGGAGGCTCAAGGTAGCCTCCAGAAGAACTAGCTCCTATCTCTGCCTTTAGATAACATCATAAAAATCTACTCCAGAGTGGCGGGGGGGAAAAAAACCTCAGATTGTTTTTACGCTTGTAATCCCAGCACTTTGGGAGGCCGAGGCGGGTGGATCACGAGGTCAGGAGATCGAGACCACGGTGAAATCCCGTCTCTACTAAAAATAAAAAAAAATTAGCCGGGCGTGGTGGCGGGCGCCTGTAGTCCCAGCTACTCGGAGAGGCTGAGGCAGGAGAATGGCGTGAACCTGGGAGGCGGAGCTTGCAGTGAGCCGAGACTGCGCCACTGCACTCCAGCCTGGGTGACAGAGCGAGACTCTGTCTCAAAAAAAAAAAAAAAAATAAGTTACATTTGTAGCATTTAAAGTTCTGAAATTCATACCAGTCATCTCAATCCTTCACACGCTTCCTCTTAACTTGTGTAATCCCTCTCTCTCTGGAGGCTCAAGGTAGCCTCCAGAAGAACTAGCTCCTATCTCTGCCTTTAGATAACATCATAAAAATCTACTCCAGAGTGGGGGGGGGGAACCTCAGATTGTTTTTAAAGAATTCTCAAAAGATACTAACTAACCAGTAGTCATAAATCATCCACGAAAATGTTTGCCAAACACATACTATATGCATAGCACTGTGAGCCTGTGGAAGAATCAAAGACATATAAAACCAAACTTTTCCCCTAGAAAGGGAGACAAACCACAGATTTCTGAAAAGGTAACATGAGTACATGCCAAATATTAAGTGGTAATGAAGTTCAATAGAGAATTAATATTGTAGGCTACCGAAGAAAGGACTGAGTTAATGAGGAAGGTATGGCCTGATGGTTTTCATAGAATATGTAGAACTTGAACAACAACAACGACAACAACAACAATTCTTGGTGAAGAGAATGGCACGAGTAAAGAAGAATATAAAGGTGAGAGTTAAGTAAAAGCATGTTCCAAACAAGATGGCTGGAACAGATCTGGCTGGAGCTAAATATTTGTATTGAAAATGTTGTTGAACAAATTGTTGCAAAAGCAGATTGGAATTAAATAACAAAGGAGTTTTGAAAAATAAGTCACGCTAGAGTTTGACTGTATTATAAGCAATGAGGAGAGCTACTGAAAGTGGATGAACAGAGAAGTAAAGACACAAAGGGTATTCAGGGAAGAGAAGTCTATTGATACTTAAGATGAATAAAAAGATGAAAAACCTTTGGCAAGATGAGCAGTTAGAAGACACAAAGTAACGAGAGTTTGATAATGGAAATAAATTTTAAAATAATATAAATTGTCAACACAATTTGGCCACAAGAGAGAAACAATTCAAATAAGCCTGGAAGATTAAGAACCTGACAGAAAGGAGAGTTTTAGACTTAAGAAAGATGAATAACCAAGTTAAAATGTCCACAGGCAGTTTGATATGAGATAAAAATCATATTAAGAAAGAAGTGGACTAAAAAGGCATCTTGATGCCTTGTTAAGGAAATGACAGTTCACATTGTTTCAACAGGTAATATAAAAGGATAGTGAGCAAGGTTTGACTTCCCCCTTCCTAAAACCAACAACTTAAACCTCTCATGGTAGAAAAATCCTTTTATCCTACTAATAACTCTTAATTGATACATACTAATTTTTCAAATAAAGTTGAAAAACTGATCACAATCTTTATCAACGATTCCTATTATAATTAGATCTTATCTTTTGCCAAACCTGATTGGCCCTTTTTGCTTTAAGTTAAATTTATTGCCATTCCAAGTAAATTCTTCTTCCTTCTAAGCCAAAGCTCAGAGAGTTTATCTTCCTCTCACCTCCTCTCTGTCATCATTCTCAATTTAAAATTTACATTCCCTACCAAATCCAATTCCACATTTCCTTTGTAAAAGCTTGATACTCATATTTAGCCTTCCTCTTTAATTCTCTTGAGCGCTCAAAAATTCCTTTAATCCTTTGTAATCTCTGTAATTATTCAATATGTTCATATCAAAAAGCAATATTCTAGCTCAGTTATGCCATAATTTATGTGCACTCAAATTATTTACACTCTACAGACATTACTTTCTTAATAGCAAAACATAAAAGAACTTACAGGGGTTTTATAAGGTTACATTAGGACAAAAGGAAATGTACTTTTTATTAAAATTTTTATTTTAGAAAATTTTAAACATATATAAAAGAGAGAGGAAATATGATAAACTCCCACATACTTATCACCCATCTTTGTTCGTTTGATGTATATGCCTCAGCTACTCCCCCTACCAAACTAGATGAAGTCTCAGACATTATCTCGTTTTGATTTGTAAATACTTCAATATGTACTGTAAGAGACAGGACTTAAAAACATAACCACAATGCCATGATCATACCTTAAAATAATCAATTCTTAGCATCACCTAATATTCAAATAGCACTAAATTAAAGCATAAAAATGTCTTTGTACAGTTAGTTTAAATCAGGATCTAAATAAGGCCTACATATTTCATTTGGCTGATAAGCCTTTTAGGTTTCTTCTAATAACCAGCCCCTCCCCTCTTTTAAAATTTTTTCTAGCCATTTGTTTGTTGAGAAAACTTGGTATTTGTGTAGTAGAATTTCCCCTATTCTGGACTGCACCCCGTGGTCAATCAATTTCCCCTGCATTTCATTGTAAACTAGTAGTTATATCTAGGGATGTGATGAAGTCCATGTTTGAATTTTTGGTGACCATCACAGACATCCACTGTCAAATCATACAAGGAGACACAGCAATGTTTGCCTGTCTTTTTGTGATTTTAAAACCAACTGGTAGATTCAGATGTTGTCAGCTTGATCCAACTGATGATTTTTAGCAGCTATTGATGATCACTGCTTAGAAACACTATTTCATTAGGGGTGCTAAACAGTAATACTGGAATGTCCCAATTATAAGATTTTGGCCAGGCGCAGTGGCTCACCCCTGTAATCCCAGCGTTTTGGGAGGCCAAGGCGGGATGATCGCTGGGCCCAGGAGTTTGACACCAGACTGGGCAACATAGTGAGACCCTGTCTCTAAAAAAAAATCTTGTTTTTAATTAGCCAGGTAGAGTAGGACACCTGCAGCCCCAGCTACTCAGAAGGCTGAAGTAGCAGGAGCACTTGAACCCAGGAGGTTGAGGCTGCAGTAAGCCATGATCATCCCACTGCTGCATTCCAGCCTGGGTGAGAGCGAGACCCAGTCTCCAAAAAACATAAAATGGATTTCATCTTCATTCTTAGCAGCAATTCTTCCTTGAATGCTTGCTCTCTTCAACTATTTGGTTACATTCTGCACAGAAGAGGCAGGATAAAAAAATTCTTTTCACTAGTTTTCAGAGTAACAAATTTGGTCCCTAGCAACCTCCAAAGGTGACTATGATTTATTTTTAGTATCATTATAAACTCATGTGTCTTTAATATTTTGATGTGTTTCAATCAGTTTTGGTCATTATGTCCCCTCTTCAAGTTACTGGGAACAGCTTCAAGTTGGCTCCTCGGTATACGACATGAATCCAGTAGTTTTTCAAAGCTTCTCTGCTTTCTGATATGACAAGATGTTCTAGCTTATCATGTACATCTACTCCAGACTTGCAATCAGCCATTTCTCAAAGCAGCCCTGGTTACTTTTAGTGAGAAAGGGTAGAAGACTCTCTTGAAGTGTATCAAAAGGGGTGGGATATGAGTTTTTAGAAGGTGGAAAATCACTGCTTTTTGGTATACAGCCACAAATCTGCATTCTCCTCAAAGCTATAAAAAGGTCTGAATCATTAATTCCAGTTCCTCTTTCATTTTTCCCCAAACTCCTGCACAGACACAGAAATTACAGATAGTATCAAAGCATATATACCCTATGGCATTCATTCACTCCTTTAACCAACATTTACTGAGCATTCATTAGCAAGGAGAAAGGAATATGATCGCTGATCGCAAGAATCTCAGTCTAGTGGAGGAGAATAATGTGAACACAAATGAAATGCAGTATGGTAGGTGTTATCATAGAAATATGGATAAGGACAATGGGTGAAGGTCATCTGAGAAGGTTCCACTAAGTACATGGCACTTAAATATTAAGTGTTGCATATACTGAATGAAAAATACTTAATGCAGTACTTTGAAAAGAAATACCAATTTTAAACTTACAGATTCAATCGTCATGTTAAGAGAATTTAAAAACGGTAAAAAATTAAGTTAAAAAACCAAAGTGAAAACTATGCAATATTTTCACATTCTTCTAAGTTTTCAGATTTAATTACCAAATATAAAAATCAACTTTAAAGATATAAATTACACCTGCTGGTTATAAGTTATCTTACAGAATTCACAGCAGAAGGAAAAGATATGAGTAGTTCCAAAAAGAGGGAACTGTGCAACAGATAAACTTAAGAGAAAAGAGGATAGACACTTTTGTTCTCTCCCTGACAAGCAAGATGTTTAAAAAGAACAGGTACACAGAATTGGTAGCATGGCATGATCCTTTACTAATTTTAAAAAGTTCTGAACCAGTATACTGCAGGAAGGATCTGTCAAAAGAACAGAAACCCACCCAACTGAGAAAGGAAGAGCAGCCCCAAAAGAGACGCTGTCATTTAGAGGTAGCTTAATTTGCCCGTTTAAAAATATTGCTCTAAATTTGGGAAAACTTGCACCCCAGCTGAAACCACAGAGGAAGGAGCTCTTCCTATTCCTTTCTTGTCAGATTTCTTGTTATATCAGCTAAAAAGTACATTACCTGGATACCCTAAATTATTATCAACTCACTTTTAAAAAGTGTGGTCTGTTTCAGGCAAGCAAAGTATTTCATTTTCATTAACACCAGGTGTTGGGAAGCATGCTAAGTAGAGGAGTTTGCTTTTGTAAAGCCAGATTAACATAGGGAAGGTGATATTACTAGATGCCCAAAGGAAACGGAAAACCATTCATTTTTTATTTTTGGGTTAAAGCTTAATTATTTTATTTTTAAATAGATAATTTATTAACACAGATTAAAACAATAAAAAAAAGATACCTGTTGAGAAGTCTGAGTCCTAACTCTGTCCCATCAGGCCTGTTCCCTCTGGCCTACCATGGATAAACATCTTTTATTAATTTTGTTTTTAATTCTTCCAGTATTTCTTTATGCAAACAGAGACAAATACATGGATGTGTAAATATTTATTTGTCTTGCTCTGTCTATATACTCTGCTCTGCATCTTGTTTTTCTTAACACATACCAGAGATTATACTGTAAGAGTACATTAGAGTGCTCTATTTTTTTTTTGAAAATATTTTAAAGTAATTCTACAAAAGGCTCTATGTTTTACTCCCAGTTACGGTATTTCAAAATCTCTATACCTGTACTATATGTAGGGAAATGCTCTGGACAGTTCTTTCAATACGAAGTCTACAGAAATTTATCAAAGAACTTACAGTATCTTTCTGTTAGTTTTTTAATAACCTACTGAACAGCATAGCTTTATTTTACCACAAAATTCTCTTTTACTTGAAAAGTTAGGGAGAAGTTACTTGGGTTCTAGGGGGGAGACTATTTTTCCCCACTATCTCCGCTCCTTTCCCACACTTTCTTTTAACTTCTGACTCCATCTTTATTACATGTTTTTATTCTCTCATTTTTTTTTCACATTTTATATTAACAAATGTAAACCACTGATTCATTTACCAAATATACCTTATGGGCTTTCTGCTGTTGTTATTCCTTTTAGTATTGGCTGCTAACATTTATTGAATACTCACTATGAATCAGTTACCCTACTGGTTGTTTTATCTACATTGTCAAATTTAACTCTCTGTGTAGTTTTTTTTATTCCCACTGTACAGTGGAGGAAATGAAAGTCAGAAAATGAGGGTCAGAGAAGTTAATTAAGTTACTGCTAGCAACTGTCAAAACTTGAACTCAGTTTGGTTTATCACCAAAAGATATGCTCTTAACCATTATACTATAAGAAAAGGCATTGCTGGTGGGAGAATTCCATGCAGCTCAGGATGACCAGAACATAGGGTATGAACAGGAAGGACTGGACAAAGATCAGGGTGTAGAAACAGCCAGGATTCCAGATCACAGACCTTGTATGCCCTAGTCAAGCTATATGAGCTTCATTCAGAAGGGCACAGGGAACAATCAACAGGTTTTAAGTGTGTGAACAGCTCTGCACTCTGGCAGAAGAGGATAGATTGGAGAGACCAAAACTGGGTTAGGTAAAGGCAGGTAGACCAATTAAAAGGTGATAATGGTGATAAGGGTGTGAACAAAATGTAGTCATTATTATAAATTACAGATTTGATAAAAATTTCATATAATTTCAAACTTTAAAAATCACTTCAAGAGTAAATATGCTTGACTGAGCCCCGGACACTTTTTTTTTTTTTTTTTTTTTTTTTGAGATAGGGTCTCTCTCTGTTTCCCAGGCTGGAGTGTAGTGGCGCGATCCCAGCTCACTGCAACCTCTGCCTCCTGGGTTCAAGCAATTCTCATGCTTCAGTCTTCTGAGTAGCTGGGACCACAGGTGTGGGCTGCCACACCTGGCTAATTTTGGTATTTTCAGTAGAGACAGGGTTTTGCCATGTTGGCCAGGCTGCTCTTGAACTCCTGGCCTTAAGCAATCCACCCGCCTCAACCTCCCAAAGTGCTGGGATTACAGGAGTGAGTCACAGCACATGGCCCCAAATACATTTCTGATACAAAGATTTCCAGTTTAATAAAATAGAAAGGCACAACTATCACTCAATATTTGGAATTGTAAATTTCCAAAACTGTGTATACTAAGAACAATGTACAAATTAGAGGGTGATACTAATTGGAAAACTTACAAATTAAATTTAAAAATATAAAAACAGACTTTTTTCCCCCATTTGGAATTGGGACCTTAGGCATTGTCTAGTCAAACTCTTTTATTTTACAGATTAAAAAAACCTAAAGCACAGAGGGCATATTCTTTATCAGATATGCTTGGGGTGCCCATTTAGGATTATAACCCAAGTTTCCTGACTCTTTAATCATTTTTCTCACTTTCATACTAAGATCTGAAATTAGCTCTCCTGGCAGAACAGGTGGGAGAAAAGTTAAGAAAGCTCATGTCTAGTAAGTACAGATATTATCAATGCTTTACATTCAGATCTCATTTAACTCTCACATCTACTCTACAAGTCAAGTATTATCCATACTACAGATGGGTACAGAAAGCTCCATCTTGCCAAAGGCCACATGACTATCAGACACCAAAGCTTATCTCTTTTCATCATAATACACTAACACCAACAAGAAGATAACCTAAAAGAGTTTTTCTTCCAATGTTTAAAAAAATACCAGGTTTGTATTAACAAATTCAGAAATCATTGAACACTGACCTGTAACATGCACCTGGATACAACAACTTCAGGTACTTCAGGGAATTTTTGTCGCAGGTCATGTAAAACCTGAAAATCAATTTGGTGGCTTCCTTGGGCCATTCGTATATTGCCTGATCAGGACTATTTGTACAGTAGGCAATTCTAGGCCTTAGTGGAAATAGTACTCATCTCTTCTGTCCAAGCATTTTCTGTGAAAGAAAGAAAAAAAATTTTAATGAGAACTGATTATAGAAGGAATATTGTTGTGGATTTAAAATTTCAGTACAAAAGAATATGTGCTTTAGCACTTAACATTATAAACTATAAAAATATTTAGACCTAAAATGCTTTCCATATAGTTATACTATCTTTTTAGTATAAACTCTGATGGTAAACTTTCATACTGTCTAACTCTTATGTATTTATATGCTCTATAATGGCTGAGCCAAAAAGCATTCAAGTAAGAAATTACTTTCAAGGTTGTCTTCCCAGATTCTTTTAAAAAGGGAGAAGAAATAGTATCACTGATTTTTTTCTTAATGATTATCCCAAGGTGAGTAATCTAAATTCTTAAAGTTTGGATACTGAAAAAATTTGGTACTACAAATGACTCCGTTTTGTCTAAAACTTAATGATTCAAAACCCAATGCATTCAATATTTTGCTTTATCTTTCAAATATACTTAATCCTTAAATGCACAATCAATTCATTCTTAGGAGCTTAGTAGCATTTTATTCCCTCTGCTTCTATTAAATCAGTATTTTTAAAATACTAATATTTCCCAAGGGGTTTGATTTAATTGGCTGAGGAGTGAGCAGCCTGGGCATATGGAGTTTTAAAAGATCCCAAGGTGATTCTAATGTGTGGTCGAAGTTGAAAACTACCCACCTTATTTTTATTCCTATTGTTTCTAAGGTAAACCATGTTTAATGTTGAAAAATCTTTTGGGGATATAAATAGGAGATAAGTACATTAACCTAAATAAAATATTAAGACATTTAAAATCATGCTATTTGAAAATACCTTTCATTAGGACAAATTTCATAAGAAGACAATCTCTTTAAAACTAATTTCTTATTTGTGGTATTTCTCTTTTTAACCTCGTTAACATAAGCCTAAAAATACAGGTCTATATATTCATGAATGTAGAAATTGGGTCTCTTTTATTATTGTATATCTAGCATTTTATAAACAGTCTTCAGCATAAGAGTAGATATTTAAAATAGTTTTGAGTAGATTTATAGAACTCCTCAGTGCTCAATAAAATAAGCGCTCACTTATATAGTAATAAGCCTTTTAGTTTTTTATCATCACTTGATTAAATTGTACTTAATTATTTTATCTATGTGGCTTTAGCTTAGTTACATCTCATGGATAAAATCACTGCCAACATCAAGTTATTTGCATTGTAGATTTTCCAAAAGTATTTCTGTGTAAACACACACACACACACACACACACACACACACACAAATTTTCGCATTCAAAAGTAGTGTTTCTATAAATGGGTTGCAGGAGAGAAAGTACTAGAAATGAGTAAAGGACATTTAAAATAATTTAAGTGGCGACAATCATGCTATAGAACTGCTCATTTTAAGGAAGCCTTCCTTGACTCCTCTCTATCAGCTCATTTCTCCCTCTTCCCCCAATTTTGGGCTAAAACTCCTGGAAAGGGTTGTTTATACGTAAGTGTCTTCACTTTCTCCCTCCCTTCTAATCTCTTTTAACCTACCCCACTCAGGCTTTCATAGTTTTTCTCCACTGAAACTACACTTATCAAAGCCACTATACACTTTTAGTTTATGAAACCCAATGGTGAGTTCTCAGTCCTCAACTTACTAGATCTCTCTGTAGCTCAGGACCCATTCAACCACTACTCCCTCATTCTTTAAACAATTTCTTCATGTGGCTTCTGAGGTTTATACTCTTCTGGCTTTCCTTCTACTTACTGGCAGATTCTTCTCAGTTTACTTTGCTGGATCCTTTTCCTTTTCTGGACATCTGAATGTTGGTGGCTGGTAGAGTTCAGATCTATGGTTTCCTTTCAACTATATCTACATTCATCTTCAAGGTAATTTCATTCAAATATATTGCTTTAAATAATATCTATATACTGGTGCTTGGCAAATTATTATCTCCAACTCCAATCTCTTCCTTGAGACTAACATATCCAACTGGCTAACTGACATCTCCTTTTGTGTATCAACTTATTTCAAGCTCAGTATGTCCAAAATCAAACTCTTAATTCCTCCCCCATCCAAATCAATCCTTTCCCAGTCTTTTCCATGTCAGTAAATGGTACCACCATTCATCCAGTTGGTCTCTCATCCCACATCTAATCTACCATCAAGACTTCTTGGCTTATATACAAAAAGTATTCTTAATCTAACCAATTTTTCCCACTTGTTACTGCTCTTGTCCAAGCCACCATCATAATTCATCTAGACTACTACTGCAAAGGCCTCAATAGGTCTCCCCACCTTCCTTCTTTTTGCCAACATACCACTTCTTCCCGTCCCCAGTATTTTCTTTACTGAGCGGCGTGATCTTTGTGAAAAGTAAATCAGAGTCATCACTTTCCCTGTTCAAAATGCAATGTAACAAAGCCCCTGGCTATCTACCACCCCTCTAACTTCATCTTCTACCCTCTCCTTGTTCCCTCAATTCAAAATGGCAGTCTGGTGATTTCTCAAAGAAGTCACTCTTGTTCTTCCCTTAGGGCTATCGGATTTGCTGCTCCTTTACTACTGGAACAGTTTTCCCTTAGATCCACCTGCAACTCCCTTCTCTTATGTCATTAAGAATGTTGATCAAATGTCACTTCTTCAGAGACAGTTTCCCTGACCAATCCCTCTATCTAAATAATGCCATAACTCTTCCCCATCTCCCACCATTGCACCCTCATACTGCTTTTATTTCATAACATGTATCAATACCTGAGATATATTTTATTATCTCTCCATCCCCAAAACATTAGCCCCATGGGATCAAGGACTCTGAAGTTCACTGTTCTATCTCCAGGATCTGGATCATTCCTGGCTCACAGAAGATGCAACATATTTGTTGAATAAAATGAATATTTTATTATAAGGTTTCTTTATAGTTTCCTTCTATAAGGCTTCCAAAACATATTTCAAATGATCTAGATTTGAAAAAAAAAAATTTATACACAATTTGAGGGAGAGGCAAATAGTCTGATTGAGACATTTTTATTATTTAAAGGAGGATGAACCATGAAAACAAATTTCAACGTATTTCATTATTAAAACATACACTGAAATCTCTCACCATACTTGCCTGCTTTTCTAATAAAGACTATCACCTACACAAATGATAACATTCTTCAATTGTACAATTTTATTTTATGGGTTCTACTTCCTGTGATGGCTGAGTAACGCCTACCAGACCAAATCTTTCATGAATAACAACTATAAACAGTAGAAATGCATAAAAAACTACCTGAAGGAGGAAGAAACAAATTGGTGGAGGGAAGAAAAAGGGGTCAGCACTTGGAAGAAGGAAACAGCAAGGGTAACTTTCCATTTTTTAATGGCTTTTACTCAGAGAGCAGGTCCCAGTTAGTTTGGGTAGCTAACACTCAGATAAAAAACCTGCAGTCTTACTTGCTTGATGAACCAAAGGACAGACAATGGCATGATCATAACAGCTGAAAGCTTAGTGAGTAAATCACAGGAAGGAGAGAACCACAGAGAGGAGGCCCTAAATTCTGTGTATAAACTCTGTATTTATCTTTGATCTCCAAACTATACATATGTGCGACAGATTCCATTCAAGCAGCAAGGCTAAGGTTAAAATAACTGAACTGCGATTTCAGAGCTTATACTTTAAGTGTAGTCAAGTTATCTGGCTTGAAACAGATAACAAACCAAACATCAATACTCACTGGAGGAATACAGAATCCAGAGTCTCTACATGGCATTCATAATGTTCTAAATAAAATCCAAAATTGTTACACATAAACAGAAAAAAACTGACCCATACTCAAGAGAAAAGGCAACCAATGGACACAAAGCCCAAGATGAGCCAGCTGCTAGAATTAGCACATAAGTATTTTAAAGCATCTATTTTAACTATGCTGAAGGATTTAAGTGCAAATATGCCTGGAACTCTCAGCAAAGAAATGGAAATTATACATATATAAAGCAAATAAAAATTTAAGAACTAAAAAATAAAATAACTGAAAAAAATTCACTGGGTAGACTTAACCATGGATGGGAAATGACAGTCAGTGAACTTGAAGACAAAGCAATAGAAATTATCCAATCTGAAGGATGAATAAAAAAGTGACTGTGGGCGAGGGGGAGGAGAGAAACAGAACCTTAGGGACCTGTGGCAAGGTATCATAACATACTTGTAATTGGAGATTCAGAAGGAAAGGGGAGAAAGAATGAGGTAGAAAAAAAATTTGAAGAAATTATGGCTAAAAATTTTGTTAGTAAAATATATAAATTTACAGATTTAAAATATCAGCAAATCCCGAATAGAAAAAAACAAAGACTACACATAGGCACAAGATAGTCAAACTCCTGAAAACCAAAAAGAAAATCTTGAAAACAGCCAAAGAAACAGAATGACAATAATTTAAATGATGACTTCTCATCAGAAACAATGGAGGCATCAGAAGACAGTGAAATGACATAATATAAGTGCTGAAAGAGGAAAAAACCAAACTGTCAATCAACCCACATACTACAAACAGCAAAAGTAAACTTTAAGAGTGAAAGCAATATAACTATTTGAAAATGTAGCCTTTGTGGAGCAGTAAGTCATTTGTAAGGACAACCCAAACACATTACTGAAACAATTGGTATTTACTTAATTTCAAAACAAAAACCAAGAAATATCTTATAAATTTACTCTGTAAAATTATTTCTCATAATAAACAGAGACACATTTCCTATGTTAAGATGCAAAATAAACCCTCTCCTGAGAAAAAGAATAAAGAAATCATACTTTATGAAATGTTTGCAGCAATAGGTATAAAGTTCTGGCATCTAAACTTCCACCAGCTAAAATGATCTAGGAGGGTTAATTCCTTCTAAATAGTAGCAGAGTATATACAGCACTACAAAACATAAGTAGACATATTGGAACGGTTTATAAAATGTGCCATATTCTTTCCTTTCTTAAAGATTATGTAAACAATTTTTGATTTCTTAGTAACTATTACAGTGAAGAGTACTAGGCACTGGTTAATGGCTCACTCAGACTGCAAGTTATGCTTCATATTCAGTGCAGTTTATCATAGTGGATGTTTCTAGGACTATAAGAGTATACAAAAGCTAACTGTTTAACACGAGACCACGTCTCCAGATTAAAAAAACAAACAGAAACAAAGAATGCAACTGGATATATAGGTCTTATGAAAATCTGGGCATTTATGAGGCAACTAGATAAGAGTATTTAAAACTGGGACTATCATCATCTATTTATCTACCAACCACACATTGAATGAGTGCCTAGTATGCAGGAGATACCATGCTGGAGATAGTACAAGTATTAGAGTCAATGTCCTTGCCCTGCAGATCACAGAAATTGCTAGGTTAAAGGCACATAAATACACGTTTATAATTTAGATAACTATTTTAACTTGCTCATTATTTTATCTTCTGTCTGCGTCTTCTGCACTCGGTCTGCTGCCTGCCATCTCGCTTGTGGCTATCACAGCCACTGTTTTTCTCTTTCACATCATTCCAAAGCAGAGCATGGGAGCATGGTACATTGGGAAAAACTGTAGAGAGCAAAGATCAAGCAAAATAGGTAGGGCCCAAATCATGAAGTGCCTTATAGGCCATTAACATTTGGGGATTTTATCTTAAGAACAATGGGAAGCCGATGAAGGATTTAAAGCTCAGAGGTAGGAAAGGTGACATGATCAAGAAATCATGTGTGTATAAAAAACGGCTATTGTATGGAAAAAGGGTAAAAGAATATATGAGAAGACCAGTCAGAAAACCACTGCTGTAGTTCAGCCAGGAAATGGTAATAGCCTGTACTGTGGATAGCAATGGAGACTAGGTAGAGAGAAGTGGAAGACCTTAAGGGATATTTAGGAAGTAAAAATGTATAGAAATTTGGTGATGAATTAGAAATTGGGGCAAAAGCGAAGGAGGTGTCAAAGTTGATTTCTGATTTGCTCAACTGGATAGTGGTCTCGTCTCTGAATTAGGAAACAATGGGAAAAATCAAAGAGCACAAACAAAGAGAAGGATTACAGGTTTGTTTCTGAACCTGTGGAATCTAGGGTACCTGTAAAACATCCAAATAGAGATATCATACAGGGAGTTGTGATATATGGGTCTAGCGCTCAAAGGACAGATCTGACCTGCAGAGAAAAATGTGAGGTGCATCTGTGGTACTGGCGTTAATTAAAACCTGAGTGTGAATGAGAAAATCCTACCATATAATTTAAATATATCATTAGTTATATTATGGATAAAACATTATATAGTAATTATTAATTTTTTCACAATGGTCAACATTCTATCCTCAAAAAAACTGAAGAGCATGTTTAAAGATGGATTTTCAAACATCTTAATGAATTTTTTGTTCAGAAAATATTTTACTGTGGCATTATCCTGTAATGAAACTTTAAAAAATGTTTAAGAAAGAAAACATGTAAACAGTTTAAAAAGCCAGCAAGTGCTATGAAGCTCATTAGGGAAACTTTCCCTGCCTCATGCCTCTACACCTTTGATTCCTACTCTGTAGAGGTAACCATGGTCAAGACTGAGCTGTTTCTCCACATTCCTACCTATTGTTGGAGGTGAGGCCTGGTGGTGAATGAATCATAGGGGCGAATTTCTCATAAATGGTTTAGTGCCATTTATGAGAAAATAAAGATTTAGCTTTAGAACTCAGTGCCTACCCCATATATATATATACACCATACTTCTCCACTGCTATACTCCTCTGCCCAGTTACTTTACAATTTTTGTGTAATCAATATTCAATGTTTATATTACATTTTCCCCCTATAAATACTGTTAGCCTAGATACTTAGTCAATAATGAGGGATGGACTAAATCTCCAAGGTCCCTTCCTGTAGTGGTATTCAGGGAAGAAAAGTATAATTTTAATTTAAAAAACTGTAGAATATTAATCATTTGTGACCAAAGCTGGTATTCAACCAAGTCTGATAAAATAACAAAGCTCTTGCAATTCTAACACTAGGGAAAATGGGGAGAAATGGGAGGGAGGGGACAAGGGAGAAACATTACTATTGTACTTAAGTTATAGATTTAGATTAGATGAATTATTTTCTAGAAAACAAGCTGCCTTGATATTAAAAACAAAACAACACCTCAAAACAATGACTATAAAAATATGGCAAAGTCTGTCAAAGATTGAAGTTAACTGCTCTTGACTAGTTTCCCCTCCCCAGTACACCAAGCCAGATGGGATAGTTTTCTAAAACTTTCCAAAAAAAGGTTAATTTTTGTGTAATTTAAATTGTTCCAAAGTCCAGACAAATTTCAGTTTTCAATTTACTTTAAAAGGTTATAATATAGTTAGGGCATTATCTCCTCTAAATCTCATTCTGAACTGTGATCCCCAGTGTTGGAGGTGGGGCCTGATGGTGAATGAATCATGGAGACGGATTTCTCATAAGTGGTTTAGTGCCATCCCCTTAGCGCTGTCCTCAGGATAGTGAGTTCTTGTGAGATATGGCTGTTCAAAAGTGTGTGGCACCTCCTGTCTCTTGCACCCGCTCTATGTGATATCCAGGTTCCCCCTTTGCCTTCTGCCATAGCTGTAAGCTTCCTGAGGTCCCGCCAGAAGCGAAGCAGATGCCCAGCACCATGCTTCCTGTACAGCCTGCAGAACCATGAGCCGATTAAACCTCTTTTCATTCTGAATTACCTAATCTTGGGTATGTCTTTACAGCAATGCAAGAATGGTCTAACATAGAAAACTGATACTGGGAATGGGGCACTACTATAAAGATACTTGAAAATGTGGAAGCAACTTGGGAACTGGGTAACAGGCAGAGGTTAGAAGAGTTTGCAGGACTCAGGAAGACAGGAAGATGAGGGAATATCTGAAAATTCTTAGAGACTGGTTAAATGGTTATAATCAAAATCTTGATAGTGATATGGACAGGGAAGGCCAAGGTGATAAAAACTAAGATGGAAATCAAGAACTTATAGGAACCAGAGCAAAGTCAGCCTTGTTATGCCTTAGCAAAGAGCTTGGCTGTATTGTGTTCATGCCCTGGGGATCTGTGGAAGTTTCAACTTAAGAGTGATGATTTAGGGCATCTGACAGAAGAAATTTCTGATGTGGACTGGATGTTTCTAACAACCTATACTCAGATGTTGGAGCAAAGAAATGACTTAATGTTGGAAGTTATATTTAAAGGGGAAGTAGAACTATAAAAGTTTGGAAAACATGCAGTCTGGCCATGTGGCAGAGAAAGAAAAGGCTTTTTCGGGAGAGGAATTCAAGCAAGTGGACTCACCACTTGCTAGAGATTGGCCCAACTAAAAAGGAGCCAAGTGCGAACAGCCAAGACAATGGGAAAAAGGCCTCGAAGACATTTCAGAGATCTTTGCAGCAGCCCCTCCCATCACAGGCTCAGAAACCAGGAGGAAATAATGGTTCAGGTGGCCAGGCCCAGCCCTGCACAGCTCAGGACACTGCTCCCTGAATCCAGGCCGCTCCAGCTATGGCTCAAAGGGCCCCAAGAACAACTCGGGCTGCTGCTGCTTTGGAGAATGTATGCCACCTTAAACCTTGGCAGTGTCTATGGTGTTAAGCCTACAGGTGTGCACAGTGCAAGAGTGAAGGAGGCTTGGCAGCCTCCACCTAGATTTCAGAGGATGTATGAGAAAGTCTGGGTGGCCAGGCAGAAGCCTGCTGCAGGGGCAGAGCCCTCACAAAAAAACCTCTACTAGGGCTGTAGGGAGGGAAAATGTGGAGTTGGAGGCCCCACAGAGTCTCCATGGGGGCACTGCCTAGTGGGGCTGGGGAAAGGGACCCCCGTCCTCCAGACCCTAGAATGTTAGGTCCACCAGCAGCTTACACCTTGTGCTAGAAAAAGCTGCAGACACTCAACTCCAACCCACGAGAACACCTGCCGTGGCTGAACCCTGCAGACACAGGCAGGGCTGCTCAAAGGCCTGGATGCGGGACATGGAGTCAAAGGAGATTATTTTGGAGCTTTAAGATTTAATGACTGCCCTACTGGGTTTTAAACCTGTATGAAGCCTGTAGCCCCTTTCTTTTGGCCAATTTCTCCCTTTTGGAATGGGAATGTTTACCCCATGCCTGTACCCCCATTGTATCTTGAAAGTGAATAACTTGTTTTGATTTTACAGACTCATAGGTAAAGGGGACTTGGCTTAACTCAGATGATACTTTGGACTTTTGAGTGACGCTGAAATGAGCTGAAACTTTTGGAGGACTATTAGGAAGGAATGATTATATTTTGAAATGTGAGAAGAACATGAGATTTTGAGAGGCAGGGGCGGAATAATATAGTTTGGATGCTGTCTTCTCTAAATCTCATGTTGAATTATGATCCCCAGTGTTGGAGATGGGACCTGGTGGGAGGCGACTGGACCATGAGGGTGGATTTCTTATGAATGGTTTAGTGCCCCCTGCCTTGGCACTGTTCTCATGATTGAGTTGTCATGAGATCAGGCTGTTTAAAACTTCCTCCTCCCTTGCTTCCGCTCTTGCCATGTGACACACTGGCTTCCCCTGTGCCTTCGGCCATGATTGTAAGCTTCCTGAAGCCCCACCAAAAGGTGAGCCGATGCTTGGCAACATACTTCCTGTACAGCCTGCAGAACTAGGAGCCAATTAAACCCTTATTCTTTCTAAATTACCCAGTCTTGGGTACTTCTTTATAGCAATGCAAGAACAAACTAACACAGGCTAACATAAAAAAAAATTCAGAAAAAAAAGGCTATCATTTTCTGATGTAAAAATCTAACATGCAAATAAAGCAAACAAAATACCTATATACCAAGAGCATTTACTTTAAAAAAACTGGCACAAAAATTTTGAATAAAAGATTAGGAAACGGAGTATACAAACTATAGAGCTGGATTTATTACTGGTATCTCACTTTAAACTAAACTTATTAATGTACTTCCATTATATTAATAGTTAATGGAGACTACTTATACTATTATCTCAATAGATACCAAAAGCACATTTAGGAAAATTTAAGTCTTACTTTTGGGAGAAAAAAACTTGGCTTCAGTTCCAGAATGATAGTGTACTGAGCTAGTTCAGAACCTCTTCTGTTATGAAAAACCAGAAATAATGAAAAAATGATTGACTTTGTTTTGTAACAGCAGAGCTTGCAAGAAAAAAATTCCCTGGTGCCAGAAACAAAGACAGAATTAAAAGCCACTATAATAAGTGTTTAAGTTAAAATACTGTGGTGATATGTGGGGGAGAAGAGTTTGGAAGGAGAGAGATATAGTTATCAGAACTAGACATACTGGAGCTGGGGTTTTAATACTATGTGGAAAGAAGACACATTATAGGACCACATCAGAAAGACATTTTATTTAAATGAAATAGTTGCATAAAGCAGAGATTCTGGAAGGTCCTTCCTTACTAGAAAAAAGCAGCTAAATCTCTATCCATTGCCACATAGAAGCCACAAGAACTGAAATTCACTAGAGCCATGAGTGGGAAGGAAACATCTCCCTTACAAAATTAAAGACACGAGCCCGCACCATGCACAGGTGTGGAATCCAAATTTACACTACAGGTGTAGAAAAGAAACTTAAAATAGAAATTAACAAAAAAATTGGTCTGAGGCTGGTGATACCATAGGATTCCTGGCAGAAACAAAAGTAAAACTGCTATGGAATCTTATTTCTTTAACCCAGGAAGCAAAGGATTTCTAGAGTTAAAAAATGAAAAACAAATAACATCATGTTGAAAATGAGCTCATGTTAAATAAAATTCAAAAGCACAAAGAAATAATCCACCATGAGTAAAGATCAGGAACATTAATTAGATGATTAATATCTAAGAATGTAAGAGAACAGAACCTGAAAGAAGCTATAAAATAAAAATATTTAAAATGACTGTGGAGATAAAAGGAAATCATAACAATAAGATATAAAGTGAAAAGGCAAAATTTGAAAAAGAATCAATTAAGACTTCTAGAAAATATATCATCATAAAATGTAACAATCAATGAATAGGTTAAACAGCAGAAGGTACTTGAGACTACAGAGAAAGGTGAACTGGAAGATGGATAAGAGAATAGCAACCAGAAAGCAGCAGAGCTTATAAAGCAATGGAATATATGGAAGAGAAAATGAGAAACAGAATGAAAATACTACTGCATCTAATAGAGGACTTGTAGAAAGATATGAAAGAATAAGGGAAAGGCAAAATTCAAAGAGATAATGGTTGAGAAACTGACAATGTTTCTTTATAATATACTGAAAACACACACACACACACACACACACACACACACAGAGTTCTGAAGAGAAAAATAAAAAGAAATCTGCACCTAGATGTATTGTAGTGAAACTGCAGAGTACCAAAGACAAATATTTTATCTTTAAAACAATCAGAGAGAAAAGAGCCATAATCTACAAAGGAATAACTAGATTGATGAACTTCTAATTAGTCGCAGTAGATGCCGGAAGACAGAATAATACAAGTTGAGCATCCCTAATCTGAAGATATGAAATACTCGAAAACTGGAAACTTTTTGAGTTCAACAGGATGCGAGCATGAGTGGAAAATTTCACATAAGTACTTAAGACAAACTTGCTTCATGTGCAGAATAATGTAAAATACTGTATAAAATTACCTTCAGGCTATGCGTATTAAGGTGGATATGAAATATAAATCAATATCGTGTTTAGATGTGGGTCTCATCCTGAAGATATTATACATATACACAAATATCCCCAAATCTGAAAAAATCCAAAATCCGAAACATTTTTGGTCCCAAGCATTTCTAATAAGGGATACTCAACTTATATACACACATTTCTGAGAGAACATAACTGCAGATCTAATTTAATTTGCAGACCCTATGACTCAGCAATTTCACTTCTAGGAACTTACTTGAGAAAACAGACAATCATGTAAAGATATACATGAAAAGGCCGGGCGTGATGGCTCACGCCTGTAATCCTGGCACTTTGGGAGGCCAAGGCAGGTGGATCACTTGAGGTCAGGAGTTCGAAACCAGCCTGGCCAACATGGTGAAATCTCGTCTCTACTAAAAATACAAAAAATCAGCCGGGCGTAGGGGTGGATGCCTGTAATCCTAGCTACTTGGGAGGCTGAGACAGGAGAATCGCTTGAACCTGGGAGATGGAGGTTGCAGTGAGCCAAGATCGCACCATTGCACTCCAGCCTGGGTGACAGAGCGAGACTCTGTCTCAAAAAAAAAGAAAAAAAAAGATACATAAGAAAAGATGTTTATTACAGTATAATTTATAACATGACAAATTCAGAAACAAGTTAAATGTTGTAAAGTATTAAGTTCATCTAAATGTACTGACATGGACAGATGTTCATTAACACCGTTCAAGGGGGCAGAAGCATAGACTAAATTAAACAATGTATAATGTAATCCATTTACATATTGATAAAGAGTCTTTACTATTACTTTATATCCATCAAGGCTAAAATGTGTGTGTGTGTGTGTGTGTGTGTGTGTGTGTGTGTTTTTTTTTTCTCCTTGAGACGGAGTCTCCCTCTATTGCCCAGGCTGGAGTGTAGTGGCACAATCTTGGCTCACTGCAACCTCCGCCTCCTGGGTTCAAGTGATTCTCCTGCCTCAGCCTCCTGAGCAGTTGGGACTACAGGTGCACACCACCACGCCCGATTAGTTTTTGTATTTTTAGTAGAGATGGGACTTCACCATATTGGCCAGGCTGCTCTCGAACTCCTGACCTCGTGATCTGCCTGCCTCAGCCTCCCAAAGTGCTGGGATTACAGGAGTGAGCCACTGCACCCGGCTAAAATGTTTCATGCTGAAAACACACTACTTTTAAAAAGTAAAAATAAATTAAAAGTAAATAATAAAGACGTGGTTATTTCAGTTTTCAGCCACTAGACTGTTATAAATGTCATAATGCTGGTGAATGAAATAATTGAATAGTCAAGGTATCTGTAAAAAATACGATATGCTCTTTTGAAATGACAGGTGCATTTTTATAAATTACTGTAAAAAAATTCTATGGATAGGTGAAAGTCTGTTTGTAGCAAATTAATCATATAAGAGATTTTAATGCTGGAATTCATTTCAAACCAAACAAAAACAAAATCCTAAATTCCACACTACAAGAGTGAATACTCAACATCTGATGTCAAGATCTACAGATGAAGGCTGGAAAGATTTTTATGCTTTAGATCCATCCTCACCTGCTATGGTGTGAATGGTCAGGTCCCCTCAAAATTCGTATGTGACATCCTATCCCCCAAGATGACAGTATTGGGAGGTGATCAGGTTTGAGTGTGGAACCTACATGAATGGGATTAGTGGCCTTATAAAAGAGGCCCGAGGGAGCTGAGCTGCCCCTTCCACCATGCGAGGACATAGCTAAAAGGTGCCACCTACGAACCACAGAGTGGGAATTCACCAGACATTCAGTCTGCTGGTGCCTTGATCTTGGACTTCATAGCCTCCAGAACTACAAGAAATAAACTTCTGCTGTTTATAAGCTACCTAGTTTATGGTATTTTGTTACAGCAGCCTGAATAAACTAAGATTATCATCTTATTTCTGTAACCTTGTTTAATGGTTGCTCATTTTGACAATCCACATCTACGTGTATAAAATGAAGTTGAGTCTCACTTTCAGTTAACCCCCAATTTTAGTCACAGAATCACTGTGAAATCTTGCCTTTAATAAGGCCATACTAAGTTTTCTACAAATACCTGTTGAATGGCAGTCTCCTACATTTCTATGTGCTAAAGTAGAACTACCATTACCTTTAGTTAGAAGGAAATAAGCATTTGGAATTCTCTAGGACATTAGGAAATACGATTAAATTAGGAGGTATCAGAACAGATTCAATAATTCAAATTTTAAGAAATCTACTTGAAAGCCCAATATATCACTTTGTCATTTATCACTTCTCAAAGAGCCTTTCAATAGCATTAGTTAAGTGTTACATGGAAAAATAAGTTTTTTTTTTGTGGCAATACATTTGAAAAATGCTGTTACTTAAAGTTAAGGAGGTTTCTTTATTTCTGGACTTTAATATGCACTGTTAATCTTTGGGTAGCAGCAGCAGATGCAATATTTCTCAAATTTAGTTGGGCATGATCCTATTTATCCATAAGCATCTTGAGGTAGGAAGCACACAGGTAAACAGTGTCATGTAAGTAAGGTAATCAAAAGACAGCAGTACCTTTCTCTCTTAGGAATTTATGCTAAGGAAGTAATTCAACGTAAGTTTAACATAGTTTTTTTTTTTTTTTTTGAGATGGAGTTTTGCTCTTGTCACACAGGATGGAGTGCAATGGTGTGACCTCGACTCATTGCAACCTCCACCTCCTGGGTTCAAGCGATTCTCCTGTCTGAGCCTCCTGTGAAGCTGGGATTACATGTCCCTGCCACCACGCCCGGCTAATTTTTGCATTTTTAGTAGAGACGGGGGTTTCTCCACGTTGGCCAGGCTGGTCTCGAACTCCTGACCTCAGGTGATCCACCCACCTCGGCCTCCCAAAGTGCTGGGATTACAGGTATTAGCCACCACACCTGCCCTAAGTTTAAAATAGTTTTCTAACAGTAAAAACCAAAAAAGAACCAAACAGCTTAACTTTTGGAAAGCAGCTTTTCAAACTGTAATTTATTAATACTTGACTATTATGCAGACATTAAAACTTATTAAAACCTCAGAAAATGCAAGGAAGTAGTCATGTAATATTTGGCAAAAACAGAAAGACATTATCATGTAAATAATTTTCACTGGGGAAAATTTTAAATTGGAGACCAAACAAAAAAGTATAGGGGCGGCGCATCATGGGAGATTTAATTTATTAAAAAATAATGATCTTTAATTAACATCCAAATGTCTGTTAACACATCACTTGGTGAGGGGAATCCTCACCTCAGAGTGCAGTCTCTATAGATGTCAATTTGGCAATCTGTATCAAAATTAAAACTGCATTTATTTTTTGACTTCACAATTCTATTTTTATGAATCTGTTTGCAGATACAGTCACACAGAAAACTATATATATTTGCCAAAGCATGTTTCTAATGATAAACAACCAAAAACTACTTACGTATCTGTTAATAGTGATGTGTAAACTATGGTCATTCACAAAAGTATAATGTACTATACAGCCATTAAAAAGAATGAGATGCTAATATGGAATAATCCCCAAGAAACAATACTCAGTTAAAAAACTACCACCACTAAGTGCAGAACAGTGTTCTGTATTCTCTTACATACAAGAACACACACGCTTTTACGTGCACAGAATATCTTTGGAAGGATACACAAGAACTGGTAACACTGGCTGCCTCTAGGGAACGCAATTAAGGGAGATTTACTCTTCATTATACACCTTCTTGATCTAATAAAAAACACACAAATAAATTTTAAAAACCTATTTTATTTAATATATTGTTTCTGTAATAAAAAATATTCAATAAAAAGTGAAAATAATGTGTTTTATATTTCATCTTACAATTTAGACTTAGGGAAATGAAGATGCTTCAAAGTGTTATGTAGTCCAAGACTACCTGAAGTTCTAAAATTGAGATTACATTTTATGACATGATTTTGTGACACGATCTACCTAACATATTAAGTATATTTAATCAAAAGTTTTGAGATTTGCACAATCCAAAATGAGGCTCTGTAGAGTGCTTGTTTACCTACTTCTCTTTCGATTTCAGGATCAAATAAACTGATGTGGTAACATAAGAAGGCATACAGATGTACTAATTAAGGTAAGCAGGTGTTTGTGTTCAAAGGGCATGATTACACTTTGGATAGCAGAAGCTGGGACCAATTAGATGCACATAATTGAGGTTTTGATGAATGTTATAAAGAAACCAATATCCAGTAAAGGACATTGTAGAGAAATTTAGTTAAATTTTATCTAGACATCTGTCAACACTGAGAAGCATGCAAATAGAGAAGCAGGATTTAACTTTTATGCATAAATATAACTTGGACTCCAAAGTTTTAGTGGGTTAAAAAACATATACGTGTATGTATGTCTCTTTACATATGTATACACACACAAATACACAAATATATATATTTAATCTCTCACTCTCTATATATAGAGAAATAAAATATACACCTGAAGAAAAGTTAGAAAATAAGCATTGTTTTAAATGACTGCATAACAGTCCATCAGGTCAATATATTACTATTTAGCCAGTCTTGTAAACAAATAACTAAGTTGTTTCTAATTTTTCTCTAGAAAGCTACGCAAAAAGTTTTTTGTACGTGGACCATTTCCATATTTAAATTATTTCCTCAGAATACGACTTTATATTCACAATGTCAAGGCAACAATATGAAGGTTAGCCTTTAGATTTTATCTTTATTTTACAAAGACTTAAAGGGGTCGTTCCCCGCTTGATTTTTTCCTAATGCCTATGTAATATCCTGCTTGCTAGCACTAAGTTAGTGTTTCTCCATTCTGGATGCACATCTAAATCACTTGGGGAAGAAACTGGTAACAATGATTATCTGAGGAAGAAGAGGGAATCTGGGAGAATAAGGGCTGGAGAGGAAGACTTAAGAAACTTTCTCTTCACTGTACACCTTTTCGTGCTTGTTGAATTCTGTATTATATTCCTGCGTTACCTAGTAAAAGAGAGAAGTAAGGGGAAGGAGTAAGGTGGAGAAAGCAGCAGCAGCAGCAAAAGCAATCCAGCAGCAGCAGCAGCAGCACCCAGAGCTTTGAAATGCAGAGTCCAAAGTTGGGGAGGTAACTCAAACCTGATAATGAGTTTTAGAATTTCTGGATGTAGGGCCTACACATGCATCTCTGTTACTCAAAGTAAAAACAAGATACTCCACCAGTAACTGTGATGGGAAGTCAAGGTAGAGAACCATGGAATCAGTAATTCCATTTTACAAGGCTGATGATGTTCAAAACAGGTAAATCTTAGAGCAAACAAAGTTGAGTGTGTAAGCAGGAGGGAAAAAAGGTGCCAAAACCTTAAAAGCTCCTTAAGATTTAAGATATTGGACAAAAACGCAACTTTCCTCATCAGGAAAAGGGTGTGTTTCCTAAATCAGCATTTTTTAGTTTGGTCTGTGGACCACCTGAAACAAAATCACTGGGCTTCATCCTGGACCTACTGAATCAAAGTCCCTAAGTATAAAGCCCAAGTATGTTCACTGATTCATCTTTGAATCCACTGTGATGAGCCCTCTCAAGACAACTGCTTATCTGAATGTTTCTTCAAGTAAAGTTTACTCCAGTTCCTACAAGACCGCTAGTTGATAACACAGTAAATGAAAGGCAGGGAAGGGACTAATCAAAAACCAAGATGACTATGGTCAAAGGATCACATATAAGAGGTGCTTATAGTAAAGTATTGATTTAAGGAAGGAAAATAGAGATGGAAAGGGGTGTGGAATTTCATGAGTTTAAAAAACTGGGTGAAAGGCAATGAAATAAAAAGATTATTAAAATGAAGTCAATCACCAACAAGCCTGTAACAGGAATGGTTAGAAACTTGTATGTAACTTGATTCAATGGGAAAGAAATAACTAGGGGAAGAAAAAATTACCTCTATTAAGTATACACAAACAGATTCTGCAGCTACTATATATTTAAGAGTGTAGGAAAATGTAGATGTACAATAAACACATATGGATCACCATAGGTCAGCTAAAAATGAAGCTTATTATAAAATAAAAGCTGTTTTTGGGCAGGTAAATTTCTGAAAAATCTTTTACTATCAAGAAGGTGCCATACAAAGTAAATGGTGGAGCAAAGCTAAATTCCCAGAGATCTAACTTTTAAAAATAAAAGGAATAACTAGTAATGTATCTCACATAAACTACTCAATTTACATAATTTAAACTTGACAAAGTATTGGCCTTTACTATTAAAATCTTAAGAAAGAAAAGGAACCAATGAATAAATAAAATGTTACTCTGAGACAGGCATAAACTTTCCTGAAGAGAAGAAAAGAGTAGAACTAAAAGAACCAGTATTCTACCTTAGCCATGCACGCTTCTAAAATTTTCTGGTGAAAGAACATGTTAATAGTTTAAAACAGAGATAACCTAATGTTGCTAAATATTTCAACCTCAGTTCCATAAGTGCACACTGTCTTATCTAACTAGATGAGACAATTATGATATAAGGTATATAAAACAGTATTTGATACACAGTGATAGCTGGCTAAGTATAAATTCTAGGATTCCATGGGTTCGTTTATGAAGTTTAATATGCTATTTACTTGCAGTAACTTCTTGGGCAAATCATTTAATTTTTCTGTGCCTCAGTTTCCTCATCTATAAAATGGTGATGATAGAGTAGCTACTTCATAGGAGTGTTAGGAGAATTAAATGAGTAATCCAAGTAAGATAATAAAAAGAGCACATAGTAAGTACACATGTAAATAAAATATCAATACTATCATTTCATTCTTCGTAAAATGGAGAAAACAACTCAAAGAGCTTCAAGGATTAGTGACAACATAATTAAAGCCAATTGCATTATATCTGTCCTGCCTACAGCAAAAAGTACAAACTGGTAGTAGTAGTAATTATTTATTTTAAATATCATGAACTTCCACGAAGTGCAAAGGAACAAAACCTTACAGGGCTGCATATTACCCTGGTTGCAGAATATTGTAGGAGTGGATTGAGCCTTTAAGGCCTTCTTTTTCAATGCATACGGGACAAAAAACTTGCAGTTGGGGAAATCTGACAAAGCTACATGACAAACTCAACAGTACTAGGTTGTGCAAAGTGCTAGAAAAGTGGCATAAACTGTGTTATAATAGGTGTTTAAAGGGATCTCTCTGGGCTGAGGAGGAAGTGGGAAAGTATTGAAGCATAGGAACTTAAAGTATAAAAGAAGTAAGGCAGATTCTGGGGATCGTGTCACCTGTCTTGCAGGAGGAAGAAAGGAGGGACAAAGAGGAAAGAAGGGGATTATGAAGAAGGTACTCAGGATGGGGGTAGTTACAGGAGAAGCTGAGAAGATGAATGAAGGTTTCAAGGTATAGTGGTCTTTATCTGAGAAGACCTTGAGATACGCTAATGCTAATAAGGTTTTAATATATGTCAAACTATATATATACATCATTTTATCTTTGCACCGTTCTTACATAATTATGAGTTTTGCTGGAACAAATTTAATTATGTTAACAAAGTAAGCTGGGCATGGTGGCACATGCCTGTAGTCCCAGCTACTCAGGAGGCTAAAGAAGGAGGATCCATTGAGCCCAGGAGTTCAAGGATGTAGTGAGCTATGATTGTGCCACTGCACTCCAGCCTGGGTGACTGAGCTCTTAAAAAAAAAAAAAAAAAAAAAAAAGACATAAAATATGGTTCATGCCGAATATCAAACAGTAGTAGGAAGAAATACATAACGTTCACTTCTCAACCGCCCTAGGATTCTTCCTTAGCTTGTGTACAAGAATGTAAGAGAAGATTTTTCCATTTCAACATACGCTAAAAGCAAATTCCAGTTTCCAAAGTAGCCATTAGCGGTAATAATTTTTTCTGTAAATCATAAAATCCTGAATTGGACAGAATTCTAGGAAGTTATCTCATAAAAGTATAATTTAAGAGATCTGAAAAATGCCTTGTTGCCCAGTCGTCTCCTTGTTAGACTTCCTCTTCTCCCAGTCAATCCTATTTACCTCTTAAAAACAAGCCCTGGTCACAAAGAAAATTCTTCACGTGAGAAATATTAATTCCAGCCGGGCGCAGTGGCTTACGTCTGTAATCCTAGCACTTTGGGAGGCTGAGGTGGGTGGGTCACCTGAGGTCACGGGTTTGAGACCAGCCTAGCCAACATGGTGAAACCCTGTCTCTACTAAAAATACAAAAATTAGCCAGGCGTGGTGGCAGGCGCCTGTAATCCCAGCTACTCGGGAGGCTGAGGCAAAAGAATCGCTTGAACCCAGGAGGCAGAGGTTGCAGTGAGCTGAGATTGCGCCACTGCACTCTTGCCTCGGCGACAGAGTGAGACTCCATCTCTGAATGAATGAATGAATGAATGCATGCATGTATGTTAGTTCCCAAGCAGAGAGACTATTTTTCACTGGTGTATCCTAACTACTTAGTGTATGTCAAGTGGATGCTCAGTAAATATTTGTTGCCATAACTCTCTAAATAAACATCAGAATACATACAGCTTTTAAAGACTACTCTAAAAAGTGGTTATCTATCTCCCCAAACTCAAGCGTTTCCCTTAACCTCAGATATGTCAGTGCTGCTATATCTGTTTTGAAAATGTAAATATGTTCCATCACAATTGATATGAGAGAACAATTTGAACATTAAGTCAATTTTGCTGTAATTTCATTTGTAAGAAACACTAGGTGAACACAGAAAGCTGTATTGAGCTAAAACAAGCAGCATATGAATATACAAAAAGTAAACAGGAACACACCTGAAACACTTACCAGCTATCTCAGCTTAACAGATCTGCATGTCATTAATCACACCCAGTCACATTACTGATTTCAAAAAACTCTTTCTTGACTACCTTTTTTTTTTTTTTTTTTGAGACGGAGTGTCACTCTGTTGCCCAGGCTGGAGTGCAGTGGAGTGATCTCGGCTCATTGCAACCTCCGCCTCCTGGGTTCAAGCAATTCTCCTGCCTCAGCCTCCCAAGTAGCTAGGATTACAGGCGCGTGCCACCGTGCCTGGCTAAGTTTTTGTATTTTTAGTAGAGACGGGGTTTCACTGTGTTAGCCAGGATCATCTCAATCTCCTGGCCTTGTGATCAACCCGCCTCAGTCTCCCAAAGCACTGGGGTTACAGGCGTGAGACATGGCGCCCAGCCTTGACTACTTTACAATAACTCACAAGCTGCAATTCTTCCTGTGCTCCCTTCCATAAGCAAACTTTAGGTCTCATTGAGGAAAAAGTACAATATTCATTGTAGTATTTACATATTTCTTAATTTATTTAACATGAATAAAATTATCTTTAAGATTTTTTTTTTAAATTTTTTGAGATGGAGTTTTGCTCTTGTTGCCCAGGCTGGAGTTCAACGGTGCGATCTCGGCTCACTGCAACCTCCGCCTCCCGGATTGAAGCAATTCTCCTGCCTTAGCCTCCTGACTAAGCTGGGATTACAGGTGCCTGCCACCACCCCCGGCTAATTTTTTTGTATTTTTAGTAGAGACGGGGTTTCATCATGTTGGCTAGGCTGGTCTCGAACTCCTGACCTCAGGTGATCTACCTGCCTCGTCCTTCCAAAGTGCTGGTATTACAAGCATGAGCCACTGCGCCCGGCCTTATCTTTTTTTTTAATGTTCACAGGTGATGTTTCCAAGTGTTACAGCCATAATTCCTTTTTTTTTTCCCATAAGCCCTGTGTGTTTTTTTGTGTGACTTTGCATAGCATGGTGATATTTAGGAACATGCCTCTGGCTCAACCACTGACTATTAACATTAACCTCTCCAGGATGCCAAATAGGACGGCAGAACGTTTCGACCTATCTATTTAGTTGTCAATATGATGCTAACAGTTTTTTTTTTTCTTTCTTTCTTTCCTTCTTTCTCCTACTCTTTCCTTCTCTCTCTTTCTGAGACAGGGTCTTGTTCTGTCACCCAGGTTGGAGTGCAATGGCACAATCATGGCTCATTGCAGCCTCAATCTCCTGGGCTCAAAGGATCTTCCCTCCCCAGCTTCCTTAGTAGCAGGGACTACCGGTGCGCAACCCCACAACTGGCTAATTATTGTATTTTTTTGGTAGGCTCTCCCTATATTGCCAAGGTTGGTCTTGAACTCCTGGACTCAAGTGATCCTCCCACCTTGGCCTCCCAAAGTGCTGGGATAACAGGTGTGAGCCACTGTGCCTGGCCCACATTCTTATTACTAATTACAATTTCTCTCTTCTGTGAATTGGCTGGCATTATCACACTGCCATGAATTACTCTTAAACAGTACCTTTACCACAGAAAGAAGTGTTGATAATGCAGTCAGAATAGCTGGATGATGCTATAATTTTTTAAATTAAAGCAAATTTTAAAACCTTTTGACCTCAATGAACATTTCAAAATTAAACATAAAATAAGAATCATATTACCTAAGTACATACACTATTTAAATACCTTTTACATTATTGACATATTATACAAGTATCATATCATATACCAGTTAGCTAATACTTGGTGCACTTCAGATTTAATTAACTTTAAAAGAATTTATAAATGTTAATTTAACATAAAGTTTTAAAATTTACTTTTTATAGTAAATTATTGGAATTATATTTCTTGGAGCATGATGTTACAATTCTATCAAGGCAAAGCAAACTTTACTTAAACTCCATTTAAGATAAAAATGAGGTAACTATAATCAATCTTTACCATAAACTTTATCACAAAACATTTATAATACTAAATCATTTCACACAGATAATCAGTTATCTGCAAAAATAATGTAATCCAAATGCTACTTATTTTAAGTTAGCTATTATGTTCAGATTTAGAGTGATTTAAAATTTAAAGGGAGCAAATGATTATGTTACTAAAAACTAGATTTCTTAATTTTATAAGCCTACAATAATTTACTTTCTAAAGAATAACAATAAACATTAATAAAGTAGCATAATAATCCACACTACTTCCTCTTAAAGAGAAAATTTCCCATTTTGTCATTTAATGCACTGCCTCAAGGCCATGAATGCTGACAATTTCTGATGGTTAACAGGCTTACCAGTTATAAGTTCTTCTAAAAGGAATGTGCAAGTCGGCCACACTTGGCAATTTATGTACTGTGGTTTTGTGGTAGGTACTACATTTTCTAAGGATCAAGAAAAGTGCAATAAATCTAAGACGGAATGGTTATACTTCATCAAAACATATTATATAACTACCTTTTGTGCATTTTATAATTCATACCTCATTATTATTTTGCAATACATTATTGTTCACTGCCCTCTTTCACTCTAATTTTTGGATAATCTATCCTGTGCATAAATATCATCTATAAAAGAAAACAGGAGCTAAGTATGATAATAAGTTCCTATTTATGGGTAAAAGGGAAAGAGGAGAAAAGAGAATAAAAGCACTTGAAGGAACCAATTTTCATCTTACACCAACCATAAACATTTATAACAAACCAATTCACTGAATGATGTGTAGAAATTTTAATAAGTTGGTTAAATATTAATTTAAAATGGCACCTTAATATTCAGAGAAAGTTATAAGAAGTATCACCAGCTGGGCACGGTGGCTTATGCCTGTAATCCCAGCACTTTGGGAGGTCGAGGTGGGCGAATCACCTGAGGTCAGGAGTTCAAGACCAGCCTGACCAATATGGTGAAGCCCCATCTCTACTAAAAATACAAAAATTAGCTGGGCGTGGTGGCAGGCACCTGTAATCCCAGCTATTTGGGAGGGTGAGGCAGGAGAATTGCTTGAACTCGGGAGGCGGAGGTTGCAGTAAGCCGAGATCACACCATTGCACTCCAGCCTGGGCAACAAGAGCGAAACTCTGTCTCAAAAAAAAAAAAAAAAAAAAAAGTTTCACCAACTGATCTGATCCCCATGCAGTTTCAATGCCTTACTTGGTCCCATGATTCTTCCTGTTCATCTCATATAACTCTGCTCATTTTCTTTCTAATGTCATAGCCCTCAGCTGACTTTTTCCCATAGTGGACTCCTGGCCAGCTGCTAAGGGAGAGGGGTGTGTGTGTGTGCATGCGTGCATGCGTGGGCGTGTGCACAATAGCACTAGGAGTATGATAAGTTCACAAGTTAGACAAAGTGTACATGGATATTTGCTACTACTAATAAAGTATCAGAGTTCTAGCTTTCTATCCATCTATCCATCCACCCATCCACCCCTTCCTCCCTCTCTTCATCTATCCAGCTATATGAATTAAAGCATCTAATCTAGAAAAAACACACGTGTTTAAAGTGGTGTAAACAAGAATGGTCATCCCAGTGTGTGCTTCTAAAAACAACCTCAATGGCCATCTAGGAGGAATAAATAAATACATTATTGCATAGCCACACTAAGGAACACCATGCAGCTTTTTGTTGTTGTTGTTTAGTGGAATATGATGTCCAAATAATTATATGGACAAATATATCCAAATAATTATATGGACCTATAAGACCTTATTGACTGAAAAAAAATCAAGATGCAGATTCCATGTATAACACCTTTTGTGTAAAAATAAAGACACACAAAAGATGCATTATATTAAAAAGCTTTTAAAAAATGTTTTGTCCTTTCCTATGATGCTGAAAATAGATGTATTTTAAACAGATATTTTTATATGATTGTATAGGAAAGATTCTGAAAGTATACACACACTAATTATTCTGGAGAGGGGGCTGAGTAGAAGGACACATGGATGGAAGGTATTCCAAGGAGGTTTAGTCATCTGTCCCAATTTTTATAATAACACATATTCATGCATTACTATAAAGTTATTCCTTATATATTTCTCTATAATATTACTTGTATTCTGATATGTAGATAGAGTAAGAATAGAACAGAATGAGTTATTTGAAGGTACCTGTATTAGCCAACCACAGGTACCTTCAAATAACTCAAAGCCTGTGTTGTCTATGCTGAAACTGTTATGGATGTGCAGTTTACAGCTGCAGCACTGACCAATTATCAGGATGCTTGATAGATGAGATTTACAGTTACTTTCTAACTTAAATGTTACTTATGAATTTATATATGTAGGTCCATCCATGATTAACCATGTCTAAGCTTAGTGTCATAATTTGTAATCCTTGGTTAAAACAAAGAAGCCAGGTGACTTTTTTTTTTACCTAAAGGCTAACTCAAGGTGAACTATTTATTATGCAAGCACTCAAACTGACTAAGTATTACACATCTACCAATGAGATGGTTTAATTAATTAAAGGAAAGAGGTAAGGGGTGGTAGAAAAAGAAGTAGGCTTATTGTTACTATTAAATATAAGAGTCTCCCAATAAACACAATACCTTTATGGAAAGTTATTGTACTATCATATACAAAGGTGGACAAGACACGCTGTTTTCTCTGAGCCTAGAGTATAATCACTTTGGTTCTACACTTACTATGAGCCAAGTCCTGTGCTAAATGCCTTAAACATGTATTATTTCAGTTACTTTTTACAATATTCCAGTAGTGAGGATTAAGTGAGAAACTGCAGGTAAAACTCTTTGCACAATGCCTGACAGAGTAAATGTCCCTTATTAGGCATTACTACTGCCTAACCTCTAACTTCATCAATTCAACCCTCACTCTACGGTAGTCAGCTTTTCAAAAGATTCACTGACTTAACACATACCAGTTCTGAGAAATCTTCAACGGATTCCCATTGCCTATTAAAGTCCAAACTCCTTCATCTGACATTCAAAAAAACATGACATAGCTCCATCTCCCATCACACCCCTCCCTATCCAACTATTCTCTATGCACACTGGACTGCTCACAATTTCTATAATATATTAAATACTTTCATCTCCATAACTTAGAAATACTCTTGCTGCTTTCTCTAAAGAATTCTATTTATCCTTCATGGTTCAGCAGAAACATTACCTTCTCCACAAAGCTGATTCTCTCCAGTACTCTTAAGTATGTTGTATGCATCTCTATTACGATACTTTCATATTACTTGTCTGTAAGCTCACTAAAACAAGGTTTATTGATTTCTACATCCCAGCTGTGTCTATTTACATTGAATAATGGAGAAAAATTTCACCATTAATAGCACCACTGAAAATAACTAAGACTTGATATTCATATGTAATTCCTTCTTCAATTTCTACTTCAATTCACCTAACAGTGGTAATGACCCTAACTAGTAGCTCCCTTTCCAGCTCTAATTCAACACTCAGTGACACATAATTCTTTAAACACCAAACAAATAATGTGGCACATAATCAGTGACCTAATGCTGACTAAATTGCCAGACATTAAATTCATTATGCATTAATACTGCAGGAAGGGATGTAAGGAAGGAGTTAAGCACATGCTAGAATATTAGGATTGCCTTTTAAATTCACAATTGGGATACAAAATTCCTCTTCAGTTTTCGGTAATCTCTAACCTAGATAAACTGAACTAAAATCAAAAGACATGTATGATTATCTACCCATTTAGTAAATAAACTCATCTTTCAGGGATTAATTCTGTTTCTACATCTATATATATTGGTAAAAGGAATAAATATCCTTAAAAGCTAATTGATCTTGGCCCTCTAACCATTCATGAGTAGCTTTCTCTTGGTTAAAATCTAAGGCATTAGGAAACCTCAGTTTTTGGTTTTGTTGTTACACTCCAGGATGACTCTGACTATTTGTAACTTCCTTGGCTGGTTTCTTTTGGGTAATCAAGTAAAATATTAGCAAATATTAGTTATACACTTAGTTTAAAAATATAACTAAATTCTTCAGGTAAAGTACTATATAATACATTGCTCGGTTCTATCCAGAAATAATATGTCTAATTTCCAATTACTGAAGAATATATTAACCTTTTTTTTTTTTTTTGAGACGGAGTCTCACTCTGTTGCTCAGGCTGGAGTGCAGTGGTGCAATCTCAGTTCACTGCAACCTCCGACTCCCTCAGTTCAAGTGATTCTCGTGCTTCAGGCTCCCAAGCAGCTGGGACTACAGGTGCACGCCACCAAGCCTGCCTAATTTTTTTGCATTTTTAGTGGAGGCGGGGTTTCGCCATGTATGAATATATCAACTTTTTAGGTAAAGGCATTAGTAGGGTAGAATAGTTGAGGATCTCAGGAAGAGGGAAGTAGTTTCATTAACTGAATTCCCTATACTGCTTGTACTCAATGTAAACCTTTTAAAGAAAGGCAGTTTTGTTGTTGTTGATGTTTGTTTTTCAATTTTTTTTGGTATGTTTATACGGCTTCACTCAATAGCATTTCACATTTATTTTTCTTATGTTTTTGCATTAGTTTGCTACTACTAGCAAACAAGTTAAATTAGAAATATTCAGGCAAAAGGTATGTTAAACTCAATACTAGCTGCATGTTACCTAGATGTTAGTGTTACTATACTTTAAAGCAAGATGACTATAAGTTTTGAAAGTCAAGTTTTAGTTACTATAGATTTAATAATAAGGCAGTTACACAGGCTAAGCTTGACTGGTGCCATGGACTTTAGCATACCTGGAAATAGAAAAATTCAAATTGTAGCTGTTCTTGGTTGGCCCATTGCCATTTTTGCAGCTTACAAATTGTTAATTAAGTAACTGCAGTGAGCTCATCTCTACGGGATACTTCTTTTCCAGGGCAGGTCCAGGAACTGGGTCTGGAGCCTTGAAAGCAGAAGAGAAACTAGAGTAAACTAGAGGTAGGCAGAACAAGAAATGTGACCAGATAACATTATGAGATGTAATAGCAGTAAGGTAGTCCCCAAAGTCTCTCACATAAAATATTCTGAAGGGAAAATGGGTCTCTTAAATTGCAAGTAACCAAAGGATGCTGTTTACTTTGGTTAAGCCATTCTTTTAACCTACCCAACACTATTCTGGAATCTCAGTTCCAGCAACTCAAAACAGTAGTTTTTATGAAATCTCTAATGGCTTTTAGCAACAGACTGTCCAACAGGAGACCACAGAGTAACTCTAACAGAAAGAGAAAAACAACAACAAAATCCAAAATTGGAAATGTAAAGTCCTCATTTTCAGGTCATTTTTCTCTTCCCTTTCACTATCGTATTTCCAATCATCTTCTAAACGCTCCCCTAATTTCCTATGATCCATTCCCAGGGGTTTCTTAAGAAATGCTTTAGATATATCCAAGCAATGAATTGAATGTTAAGTTCCAATTTTTAAAAATACTTGGTAATTCTTAAAGAGGGAGGCAAAGAACAGCTCATAAGATGTGGTTCTTAACCACACTGGAAAATCTTTTTTTCCATTACCAAAATAGATTCAATGATTTTTTTTTTTTTAATTTTTGTTAGGGCCATATAAAACAAAAACCAAAAACAAACTTGCAACTACGAAGGTTACAGAAATAATAGGATATTATGAATAGTAGAATGTTGTACTATTTTGATTATTAAAACCTGGAAATGATGTCCTTATGCTTGGTAGGCTGGTACCCTTAGGCATTTCCCTAAGAAACTAATCCCACAGGAGTCAAAATAAATAGAATTTTCTGCTGCTCTCAAATTATCATAGATGTTGTGAAAACTGTAATAGGACAAAAAAAAGTAGTGAAGACGAAGATCCAAAAACTGAATTCCCTGCATTTCCAGTAACTAGCAATATAAACAGCAAAACAGAGTAAAAGTAGTTTTTGTGAAAAATGTAAATTTTCCATCTATTGTGATGGCACATTGCAGGACAAGGAATTCTGTGAGAGAGAAGTCTAAGTTCAGATCTGATTTCAGTATGGCTTTGAAATTAAACTGCAGAAATCTCTTTTATTAAATGGAATATCACTACCCACCCTGCTGTACTGTCCATGAGATTTAGCTAAAGTGTATGTAAAGCACTTAACAGTGTGGCACATATAGGCATTCAATATATTTTTCTGCATTATTAAAGAATGTAACACATTTTCTTGTTCTAAACATGTGGGTATACTTAAGTTTTCATTTTCACAAATGCTAAAGCAACAACTAGGTAGCAGGCTTTCGGTTTAAATAATTCAACTATAATCACATTCTAAGACATGTAACTGATTATCTTCCAGAATAGCCACAAATTGAGTATATGAGAGAGGTCAATTTTGAGAGCTGATGATAAATAAAAATATAACAATTTATATTTAGGATATAAAAAGAATTAGTAGTAAACAAGAAGACATGTAATTCTCTTTCCAAGTAAAGTATAAAATACTTCTGTCAACACATCTCTTGTTAAAAAGTTATATATAGATCCGGTATAATCCTTTTTAAAAAAACATAAAAGCAATCAATGCATGATATAATTTGGTCCTTAAGTTAGGAAATGTTTTAAGGGCAAAGAAAAGCCTTATATATGGGCAATAATTTTCCTCTTACTGATAGAACAGTGGGTTCCACACAAAATTATTATTTACCAAATATGGCTCAAAGATCAGATTACACCCTCTCTAAAATTACCAAGTAATAGAGCAAGTATCACAAGCCACAAGGAATTTTAAAAAATGATTTCCTTATAGTTGTTTTAAGTGTATTCTCTGCCACAACTTCATTTTAAAAGTTTTAAAAAGTTAACATGGAAGTGTCTTATTCAAAATATACTAAAACTTAGATGATAAGACTGAATTACTGCATTCCTCAGAAAGAAGGGGAAAGGGTATTTAAGTTTGAGGATTTCCATTCAGTAACTCATATGAATAGGCTTTCAGTTTAAAGACCATCAAATAAAAAAACCACTTCAGATAAACCACTTTTTTAAATTTTTTAACTAGTCATCATACTGAAATCTCATTACTTATAGTAATATTTCAGTTGATTCTCTTGGCTTTTCCAGGTATACAACGTTATTTACAAATTATAATGAACTTGCTTTTACTCTTTTAAAAAAACATATTAAGTAATATTTACTCATCGAAACTCCAATAAGCAGCAGAGTTAAAACCAGAAATGTATCTGTAGCTGTCTAACCTCATGTCCAAGGTTCCTTCTTTATTGTACTAGCTTGACGTTACTAATAATTTTCTTTCTGAAAACTTCTTTTCCGGTCAACACTCTGCATTCTAGTTTCTTAGAATTCTTATTTCTATGCCTCTTATTAATGTTAGCCAAAAGGATGTAGGTGTAAAGTTATAACATTCATTCTCTCACTTGTTCCTCTGGCATCTTATTTACACTCACAGCATAATCTAAGGAGAATCTCCTTTAAATTGTAGTTTAAGCTTTTTATTCTACTTGATGAAACTTAAAAGATTCCGAATCATAGATTTGATGTTGAAAGGAGCCTTATAGATTATCTAGTCCAACACCCTTATTTAATAGAAGAAAAACATAAAGTTCAAATAATATGTCAGTAGAATCTGAATAAAAGTTTAACACAAAAAATTAGCATTATTACTTATGAATCGTAAAGTAAATGCCTACATTTATATACAGTAAATATGAACAGAGCAATTAAACAAATTTCAAGAGTAATTATTGAGGCCGGGCATGGTGGCTCAGCACTTTGGGAGGCTGAGGCGGGTGGATCACCTGAGTGAGGTCAGGAGTTTGAGACCAGCTTGGCCAACATGGTAAAACCCCGTCTCTACTAAAAGTACAAAAATTAGCTGGGTGTGGTGGTGCACACCTGTAGTCCCAGCTACTAGGGAGGCTGAGGTAGGAGAATCGCTTGAACCTGGGAGGTGGAGGTTGCAGTGGGCTGCAATCGCACCACTGCACTCTGGCCTGGGCAACAGAGACTCCGTCTCAAAAAAAAAAAAAAATAAATAAATAAATAAATAAAAAAGATTAATTATTGGGCCGTGCTTCTTTCCTGTTAAAAAACACTTATCCCTATTTCTAAGAGAGTTTACTTATATGACAGTGTCAATGTATGAGTCCATTTATTAAAGTGGATTTAAAAATTACAGAATGGCAGACAAAAAAGTTAAAACCTACTTAATCCTACATATTTATGCATTAATTATATCTTAGATTTTTTTTCTTTTTTTCATTTTTTTTGAAACGGAGTCTCACTCTGTCACTCAGCTGGAGTGCAGTGGTGTGATCTTGGCTCACTGCAACCTCCGCTTCTGCAACCCCACTTCAAGCGATTCTCCTGCCTCAGCCTCCCAAGTAGCTGGGACTACAGGCGCGTGCCACCACACCCAGCTAAGTTTTGTATTTTTAGTAGAGCCAAGTTTCACCATGTTGGCCAGGATGGTCTTGATCTCCTTATCTCATGATCCGCCCGTCTCGGCCTCCCAAAGGGCTGGGATTACAGGCGTGAGCCACTGTGCCCGGTCATATCCTAGATTTTCTAACAAAATTACGCTATCTGTGCTTCCCACGTGAGTTGATGTCCTGACCCAGTCCAAAAGACAGAAACAGCACGGACTGCTTGCTACAGCACTTAGAACAGTGCCTGGCACATGGCAGCTCCCATTGCTGCTGAACAATTACTACTCTAAATATATTCACGTTATAATAAATATAGCCATAGGAATGATTCAACCATACAGAAAAGAATCCTGCTACAAGGTGAATTATCTCACTCTACCCCTTTTATTCTGTTTTCCAGGTTTGGTTCCATGAGTAGGATCACAACCTTCACTTATTTAGGCACACCTTTCCAATCGATAATTTCTGTTATCAATTCAGAAACACTAAGATCTCAATCAACATCAGTCTGTTAGGCTCCTTGTAGGTTGCTGTTAAGCTCCTTCTAGGTTTCATTTTAAAAGGAAATTTTACACTCCAACAACTTCCAAGCTTTCATGTGAAGCAAAAATATGTTGTTTCATCTTAATTGTACTTATGTTTAAACTTAAACTCTTCCAATACTAGTTTCCCTCCTCAACTTTCCATTTTTGTCAGAAATAGCAATTTCTTTTCAGCCTGCAAAGTGAAGTTACCTTAACTCTTCTCTCTTCTCTTTCTTTACCTTTACCCAACTCCTTGAAATCGCATCCATTTTGTAATTAACATTCCTTAAAATACAACTTCTAAGACTCTCCTCAATGGTTATTACAGTCAATACAGTCCACAATTACTTCCATAGTTCTGAAATAAAATGTCAGGACAAGATTTTTCCACGAAGCTTCATATGGAAACTCATTTGGTGGTGGCAAAAATCTGAGTTGAACCGATGTAAGGTTATTTACAGGCTTGATTTAGCCCACTTACTGTGAATATTTTCACCTTCACTGCAGAGATACTAGTGTCTAGTTACAGGATGATACCTCAGACCTTGCTGGGAGAGTTATGTAATATACAATATACACGTTACCTTTCCCAAATCCAAAAATGTTTGAATCCCAAAACACAGCTGGCCTCAGGGTTTCAGATAAAGCATTGTGGACCTGTATAATATTATTCTAGGAATCCTAATTTAGGCACCCTATACTTAACTTTCTTCCTGATACTCTCTCTTACCTGACTCCATGCATCTCAGCTCCCATACCACCAAGTTCTATTATTTTTTCTTTCCAATATCTCCTGCAATTTTACTCTATCTCTAACTGCTTACCACCCTATCCCTATCATCAAACATATAAATGACCAGACCCACTGCTTAGCTCCCTGCCAGTCTTCCCACCCTCTGTGTAAGTATAGTATAAGAGATTAAGAAAGTTTCCTATATAACCACTTTAAATATTTCACTCAATTGCAGAGGAATTTAATAAACTGAAACAGATAAATAATAAAAGAGGAAGGATAGTGACTGTGGTGTTACAAGATGAGTTTCTGTTATTTTTTTAAACAGTTTATCTACAATTGTGAGCTAAGAAGAGTTTGACCCTTTTTTCTAAACTGGTTGAAACTTTGAAATTTTCTATGTTAACACATCTATTCTGTAACTGAAACAAAACAAACAAATGAACAAAATTGGCAAGGCTCCTTTCCTGCTTATCACTTCAGCTAAAACCCCTCAGTGTGGTTTTTCAATGCCTTCTCCAGTTTGGTTCCACTAGATCGGGGGTCATGAATCCCTCTGGCAGTCTGGAGAAAGCTACAGAGTCCCCCTCAGAGTGGTTTTAAATGCATAAAATACAATATCTAGGATTATAAAGAAAGCCAGTTTTACTAAAATATAGTTGTTTTTGAAAATATGGTTTTAAATGCATAAAATATACATTACTAAGAAAACCAATTATACCGAAACAGTTATCAAGTGTTTTTAAAAACCTTGTATGTGATATATTCATACATATGCTTCTTTAGTAATAATACAATAAAATCTAGTGGGAGTCTAATAAAAACCATAATTCTGAAGTAGTAATATGCATAAATTATAGAGATATCAACAGCTGTAATCTGAAAATATCTGTGCTTTTTCTATTAGTAATAAAAGATATACGTACTGCTAATATTACTGTAGTCTGCCGCTTAAAATCTTATTAAAAGTAAATGCTAAATTTCAGTTCAAAGTTCATAAAAATATAAAGATGTCACTTTTTTTTTTTTATCTAAATGCATGCAGCCCTCTAAATTGTATCCCTGGATCCCTTCAGGGTCTTGCAGATTAAAACTACTCTATTAAATTCACCTGCTTCTATTTCCCAGCAGTCCCCACACCCTTAGGAATCTGGGCAGGCCTGTCTGAACATGTTCAACCCACACTTTCCTTTCTTTGCTTACTACACTACTGCCCTTGCTTAGAATGTTATGTCTTCACCTTGAGGCTTATCAAAATCTTAACTACCTCTTCAAAACCAATTCCAATTTCACCTTCTACTTGAATTCTTTTTATCCTGCTTCAGCCCACATGGATCTTTTCCTACAACTACTAATGTAGCTGTAGGTCAATGCTTTATGAATCAACATTTAATTATTCTCTTACAGTCTACTTCTGTGTCTCTTCATCTAAGTTATAAGATCCCCGGAGACATGTGCTATGTGCTTACACATAGAACACTGCATATACATAATATAGGCACATATAAAGTACTCAGCAAGTGCCCCCAATAAATCAAGCACAGAAGATCATCTGTTTGGCAACTTCGAGTACCAGAAAATACATCAAGATAAGCCAAAAGTTCCACTAAGGAGTTAAAACAGACATAAATTAGGCTTATAGTTCACCTCTATCAGAACCTAGATACTCCTATTTAATTAAGAACCCAGAAGCTTATTTACTAGGCAGCAATGAATTCCAAGTAATAAATCAAGGAAGGAGCACTAAAGTCAGCACAAGACAATGATTCATTCCAAACATATTGGTTAAGCACTACTACGTGCCAGGCACTGTTCTAGAATCTATGATTCAGTTCTCATATAGCAACTTAGTGCCAGGCCCTGGACTAGAACCCGGGGTTCCTGACTCATTCTGAAGCTCTGAAACAAAATGTTTATTTCTATCTTCCAGAAAAGGTTTAGTATGCAGGGTAAAAGTGGGGGAGGGGAGGAGGTGTTACTATTTCAGAAAGCAGCAAAGTATGTGAAACATTATAAAGAAATAGATTTGGAGGTATGAATATCTATATTTATCTACACACAATATACATAATATATTGTAAAATCTCTATAAAATCTCTAAAATAGATTCAGGAGTAAGTTTCAATCATTTTATGTACTTACTACCTAAGAATACTAGATGAATGAGGTGTTACTCTGCTTATTAATATTTTAATCACAAACACTTCATAAAATTGTATTTTTCTTCAAAGAGCCCTGCCAAGTTGCTTCATTTATTTGATGTAAAAATAAAAAACTAGGTCAGGTATAGTGGCTCATACCTGTAATCGCAGCACTTTGGGAGACCAAAGCAAGAGGATCACTTGAGCCAAGGAGTTTGAGACTAGCCTGTGCAATACAGCAAAACCCTGCCTCTACAAAAAGTTAGAAAAAAAGTATTAGCCAGGCATGGTGGCTGGTGTCTGTAGTCCCAGGTACTTGGGAGGCTAAGGTGGGAGGTTAAGGCTGAGCCCAGGAAGTTAAGGCTGCAGTGAGCTATGATTGTACCACTGCCCTCCAGCCTGGGTGACAGAGTAATACCCTGTCTCAAATATATGTATGTAAATATTATATATATGTTATATATACACACATATATTTTTTATATATATAATACATACATACATACATATCTATATATAAACTTTTCTACCAATTTCCTGGAGGTGAGGTGGGGTGGGGTGGTAGTAATGATGGTAGTAGATATTATTCTAAATAATCTTCACCTTTTTCCCTGGGGAAACGGACCAAAAGAGGATAATGAGAATGTGGGTAGGAAATGGGGAATTGGTCTCCACAAATTTCAAGCTCTACTGCTGACTGTGACTAAAAAAAATTACTTTTCCTAAAGGGAAGTTCTTAGACTAATAGCAATGGAATTCAGTGAGCGAGTGAGGGAAGGAGGGAGGCGGAAGGGAGGGGTGGGACTGGAACAAGTAAACTAATAGCCTGACAATACCATGCTGGCAACCTAAAGTCACCTTGTCCAAAACTCAACTCACTGCCTCCTACTCACTAATGTATTTCTCTGTTAATTATAAATGACATGCTTCTGAAGCTAGAAACCTCAGAGTTCTCAATTCTTTTCCTCTCCACATATAATCAATGGCAAAGTTTCACTGATTACTTTCACAAAAATTTCTCTTTTCCACCACAATGTCCTTGTTCAAGTATGTGTTATCTGGGCAATCACCTAACACCATGACCTCTTGTTTGACTGCTTGTTCTACTCTTAAGGTTTTCTTTTTTTTTTTTTTAAGAGACAAGGTCTTGCTCTATTTTCCAGGCTGGAGTGCTGTCATGTAATCATAGATATGCAGCCTCGAACTCCTGGGCTCAAGTGATCCTCTCAACTCAGCCTCTTGAGTAGGCAGGACTACAGGTGCACTTTACCTGCCGAGTTAGTTTTTTATTTTTATTAGAGATGGGGTCTTGCTATGTTGCCCAGGCTGGTCTCAAACTCCTGGCTTCAGCAATCCTCTTGCCTCAACCTCTCAAGACTCTAGTATTACAGGCCTTATGCCTGGCTAAGCCTTTCTAAACTGTATTTCACAGTGGTAACAAACTTGGCTAGCTTCCTAAAAACTGGCTGAATCGTGTCACTTTCCTCCCTAAGAAAGGCAAGAGATTTTGTAGAGATACGCTGTAGTGAGTTTCAGCAGAAGGTGCTGACACTGACACAGGGAATAATGAAAAAAAGGTAAGAGAGAGGAGACCTGAGGATGAAGAATTTAGAATAAGTCAGAAAAATCAGGCAGAGAAAATGTTGGGAAGAATGGTATCAAGAAAGCCAAGTGAAGAGTTATAACAAAAATGATTATAAAGTTTAAAGTTTATTATTTTTATAATTTTATAGCAATAAATTTTCTATTAATAGCTTACATTTACTAAGTGCTAGGCACTAGGTCAAATGACTTATAATGCATAAACTCATCTAATGCTCCCAATAATCATGTGAGGCAGGCACCTCTATACGAGACTCAGTTAACTACACAGTTTGTCCTACTAGACAAAGAATTATTTTATACAGCTCCCTTTCCTTATTCCCTGAGATGCTTAATGCAAAGCACTTAAACATTCTTACTATGTTGGTGTCAACAATACCAGAGAAAGACATTCTTTTTACAAACTTTACTAATTTGCCATGGACTAACACAATATATGTATCTGTACACACAGACACATAGACACACACACACACACACACACACACACACACACACACTATGGATCTGGAAATAAAAGAATATATGGTTTTAAAAATACCCAATCTCCTAATATTTAAATCTGCATTGGAATAGTAAGGGCTAAGGGTATTTTTGTCTTGTAAAGCTCAAAAGTGGAAAGGTATATAAAAATACTGAAGAGAAACTTGGCCTATACATCTACCATCTACCTGAAAATGGGCAGAAGGACTGCGTAGAAGACAGACAGATTAACATTCCTTTCTTTTAAAATGTGCACAAGAAATTTCCTAGGAGACATGCTATTATGGACTCAACTCTAAACCTAGCCTACTATTTGCAATGTGTACTCCATTCAACACAAGAAATCTGGGCCAAAGTTTAGACGAATTTGCAGAAATCCATTACCACTAGGGAAAAGAGAAAAAAGAGGCAAAATGTACGCCTCACTAATCTTGGGTTGGTGACGCTGCTATGTATGGGTGCAATCTCTAGGGCTAGAATGCTTGTTTGGAAGCATCAGAAAGACATTCAACCACAACCTGTACTCCAGAATCCCAAAAGCTCATTTACTTTCGAAAACAATCAAGTTTACTAGCTCTAAACTCTAGTAGTCTGTGTCCATTCATTCACAAATATTTACTGAGCGCTCAAGCGCCAAGGTATTGTACTCATGCTATAAAAACTGACATTTAGTGGGAGAAACTGAAAAGTAAACAGATAATTATAATACACATGGCAATCTTGCAATGGGGGTAAATAAAACGAAGTGCTAGAAAGATATAAATTATCAATAAGGAAATATTATTGGAGCTAATAATCAGTTACAACAGAAAAAACTTGTGGCATTTAAAAAATTTTCCAAATTACATGAATTTAAAGTACACATGATCACAGTGGGACTCAGGAGACATGTCTTTCTACAAATTCTCTGTGACTAAGACTGACCTGCTCCCTTTACTGATGTATTTCTGGCTCTAAGCCTCTCCTTGCCAGCTATTTTACATTCCTGTTTTTCATCTTTATTTTTCATTTATCTCTCTGGCTGTTTTTATCTGTAAGATAAATGTTGCCACAGAAAGTCATTCGGGCACTTAATAAGTGTCAAACCCTTTCCACAACATGTAGTTACTTCATTTTATAAAGATTTAGGGCAAAGCTCTAAAAATTAGTAAGACACTATTAGATGACCACTGTTAACAGCCATTTACCTATCAAATAAGTATGACTAAGTACATATTAAATATCCATCCCCAAATCACCTCCCAATTACAAAATTTCTGTTGCATTTCATGTCACATACACAGCAGAACTAATCCAAATTTTCACAAAGCTCTTTCACATGTTAGAAGAGTCTGGCTTTTTGCTAATAAATCTGAAATTACAGTAACTAGAAAGCAGTCACAGGTATAGTTTTAAACAAATACCACTATAACTTCTTTCACATCAACTCCACTGATACTCCCAAATTCATATTTCTAGTCTGAATCTCTTGCTTGAATTCCATTATACCGAATGAATTGCCCAGTTGATATCACTGGTTATATGTCTAAAAGGCATTTCAAAGTTAACACATCCAAAAAAAAGGCTCCTGATTGCTCAGTCTAAACTTGCTACTTTACCATGCTCCCAAACTGAGTCAATGGCAACTCCATACTTCCAATTGCTTGCGCCAAAAATCTCTTGTCATCCTTGAATTCTCTTTTATGCCTCAGATCCAATTCATCAGCAATTCCTTCCCACACAGAGTTTGAAACATATCCAAAATCTGATCTGTTCTCACCCTTTCCTATTACTGTCCTGGTCCCAGCCACCATCATCTAAGTATGACAATAATTTCTAATATATTTTCCCTGTTTAAATCTTTGCTCTATCTCCAAAGTCTACTCCACACACAGCAGAGTGAATATTTAAAAAGGTAAGTAACCACTAGCTACCAGCTTAAAGAATAAAAGCCATATGACCATATCAATTGATGTAGAAAAAAGCATTTGACAAAATTGAAGACCTACTCATGATAAAAACACTTAACAAACTACAAATAAAAAGGGAACTTCCTCAACTTGATAAACAGCATCTACAAAAAACCTACAGCTAACATATACTTACTGGTGAAAGACTGAATGCTTTTCCACTAAGATCAGAAACAAGCTTGTCAGCTCCCACCACTATTATGAAACAGCATTGCAAGTAGCAGAGGAAGAAAAGGAAATAAAAAGCATACAGATTGGGAAGAAAAAAATGTAAATAACTGTCTCTATGCACAGGCACATCAGAAAACCCAATGAATCTACAAAATAAACCTCCTAAAACTGATAATTTAGCAAAGTCTCAAAATATAAGATCCACTCACAGAAATCAACCAACCATACTGCCACATATTAGACATGAACAATTGGAAATCAGAATTAAAAACACAGTATCACTTACAATTGTTCTAAAAAATATATATCTAGGTATAAATCTAACAAAACATGCACGGGATTTTTATGCTAGAAACTAAAAAATGCTGACAAAAGAAATAAAAGAATTAAATAAAAGACATACCATATACCAGGTTCATGGATTGAAGACTCAACAAAATAAAAATGTCAATTTCCCCGAAACTGACATTTTACAGATTCTAAATTTTACATGGAAAGGAACTAGAATAGCTAAAGCAATTCTGAAAAAGGAGAATGAAGTTGGAGGAATTTCACTATCTAATTTTAAGACTTACTATATAGCAATAGTAATCAAACAGTGTGGTAGTGGTGGAGGGACAGGCACAAAGATCAATGGAACAGAACAGAGAATCCAGAAATAGATCCTCACAATTACGGCTATCTGATTTTTGACAAAGGTACAAAAGCAATTCAATAAAGGAAGGATAGTCTTTTTTGTTTGGGACCTAAGGTTAGCCAGTGTTCTCAGACTTGACAAGAAAGGCACAATCCATAAAAGAAAAAAATGCACAAAATGAACTTCATCAAAGCTAATTTTTTGCTCTGCAAAAGACCCTGTTAAGAGACTATAAAGACATGCCACATACTAGGAGAAAGTATTTGTAAATCACGTATTCAACAAAGGACTTGGATATAGAATTTGTAAAGAACTCTCTAAACTCAACAAGAAAACAAAACAATTCAATTAGAATATGAGCAAAAGACTTGAACACATTTCACCACAAAGGATATGTAGACAGCAAAGAAGTACATGAAAATATGTTCAACATCATTAGCCATTAAGGATATGCAAATTAATGGTCACTACATACTATTAGACTGGGTGAAATAAGAAATACTGACAATACTAATGCTGGAGAGGATGCAGAGAAACTGTAGGTTTCTCACATATTGCTGCTGGGAATGTAAAATTGTACAGCTACTCTGGAAAAGTCTGGCAGTTTCTTATTTAAACATACATTTATCACGCAACCCAACAACTGCACTCTTGGGAATTTATCCTACAGAGATGAAAACGTATTTTCACATAAAATCCTGTAAAACCTGTTCACAGCAGTTTTATTTTTACAACCCAAAGTTGGAAATTCCAAAGTCAAATTGTGGTATATCCATACAATGGTAAACTCTTTAGCATTAAAAAGGAATAAATATTGATAAATGCAACAATTTGGAAGGACCTCAAGGGGATTATACTGGGTGAAAAAAAAAAGAGCCCATCTCCAAAGGTAACATCACGTACGATTTATGTAACATTCTTGAAGTGACAATTATAGTGATAGAGAACAGAAGCAGGTAAGTGGTTGCCAGGAAGGAAAGGTGAAACTTAAGGGGTAAAACAAGGGAGTCTCTTTATGATGATGAAACAGTTTTTATAACCTAATTGTGAAGGTCACATGAATTTATACATATACATAATAATGTTACAGAACCACACACATACAAATGTCAATAAATAAACAATGTTCTAAGAAGTGAGGGGGAAAATACAAATTAGATTTTATCTTAAAGCCCTTTGGTGACTTCCTACCCCATCCTGAGTAAAATCTAAAGTCCTTATCACAGTCTAAACACCCTACATGAACAGCATACACAGTTGGATACCATCTACCCTACTTCCACCCCCCAACCCCGCCCCCCCCAGCTCCAATTATATTGGCCTTCCTGCTCTTAGAAGATGGCAAGGACATCCCACTTAAAGGCCACTGCATTTGCTACTGCCTCTATTTTCATTCATGTACCTGCTCAAATGTTATCTAATCAAGACAAGCATTCTCTATCTCCTCCATATCAAGTGAAGTCTTCCTCTTTCTCCCTCCATAGAACCTTAAAATCAACAAACAGAACTCAAATGTCTTCCTCACCTGTTGCAACCCTGGTCTGTTCTGTAATGGTGAACATCACCATCACAACTATGCACCCAGGGCATGTGTGATCTTCACTGCTTTATGTCACATTCAATTATTTCCTTCTCAAACACATTACCTATTCTTCTTAATTACCCCATTATCAGTGCCTTAATTTGGGTCCTAATCAACTCTCAAATAGATACTTATATGCCTGCCTCTTCCTCCCAAGTCTGGCTCTTTTCTAAGGTATTTTGTGCACTACAACAAGAGAATCTTTCTAGAATGTTAATTTAAGAACTTGTCTTCCATCCATTTGAAGGATGAAGTTAAATCTCCTTTATGGAGTATACAGGTATCTCGATGCTCTGTCTTTTTTCTAATTTTCCACCTCACTTCCAGCTAACCCACCACTGGTACCTAATGCACTGTAGAACTACACACAGTTACTGTGTACATGTGGACTTTCCTACCTCCATCTTTCATGCATGGTGTTTCTCTCTATCTAAAAAGACCTATCTGCAGCCTGTAACTCTCTTCCTTGCCTATCTGATATACACTCAGATTAAGTGTCACCTTTCCTAGGAAGATTTCCCTGTCATATCCTTTCATCCCTTACTGAATAGGAGATACTGCCTAATCCTTATCCATAGGAGACACTACCTCCTATGGATTCCTAAAGTATTTTATGTTTAACCCCGTCACAGCATTTGTCACAGTATATCACATGTGTTTGTATATATGTCTCTTAAGGACAAGAACTGTATCTTACATATCTGTCCACCCCTTTGACCTAGCAAAGTACAGGCACACAGCAGGAACTCAAAACTATTGGATAAGTAAGGTAGTTTGAATAATAAAGAATGTAGAGGCCGGGTGCGGTGGCTCGTGCCTGTAATCCCAGCACTTTGGTAGGTCAAGGCGGGCCAATCACAAGGTCAGGAGATTGAGACCATCCTGGCTAACACGGTGAAACCCTGTCTCTACTAAACACACAAAAAATTAGCCAGGCGTGGTGGCACGCACCAACAGTCCCAGCTACTTGGGAGGCTGAGGCAGGAGAATTGCTTGAACCTGGGAGGTGGAGGTTGCACTGAGCTGAGACTGCACCACTGCACTCCAGCCTGAGGGACAGAGCAGACTCCCTCTCAAACAAAACAAACAGAATGTAGAGATGAGACACAATAGAAGAATGAGTAAGGCAAGATTTCTTGGGTTAGCCAGCTATTCTGCACAAGCATGTCATAGAAGACATATGAAATACGCTCTATGGAGTTTCTGTTCTTTCGATCATGTGATATTCTATAAAAGTTGATATACTGATAGATAGCTTGGTTTGGTTAAGATGACCACTTCAATCTTCTACCTAATTACTTCAACTAGGTAATGAACTAACTTCAATTAGGTAATGAACTAATTACCTTCAACAAGAGCACTTACTTCTTGTTCCACTTGCAAAATTACAGCAATGGCTCTGTCATCCTTTAAATGTATGGCAATGTTCATGAGGGGAAAAATCTCATGAAGAGAATGAGTATGTCTCATGCAGGCCAAACAATTACCTTAGCTAGACAATCTCAAAGGGCATTCAACACGTGTCAATGCACTTTTATATGCAAAAAAGCAGAATCGCCATATGTGGAAGTGGGAATTTTCTTCTGAAATCCCCATTTCCATGTGCTTATTTTTCCATTTCCTATAAAATCATCCTAAGAGTTGGCAAGCAGTACTTTAGTCAAGTACAATTCAGGTACATGCTAATCATGGGGTAAACAGTAAGTCACTCTCAATGCAAATTATAAAATATCTGTATTTCTAGCAACTTTTATTTGACACGGATCCCTTGGATGGTTCCTTGAGCACATTTTCTCACAATTCTAGTAACTACTTAACTGTGACACCTACATACATCTGCAACATACAGCTGCTTAACTTCTGAACAGCAGACGCTCATGTTTATCAGGTCACTAATTGCCTTTTAAAAATTAACCAAGTTGCCAGGCTCAGTGGCATGCCATACGTAGTCCTAGCTACTTGGGAAGCTGAGGCAAGAGGATGGCTTGGGCCTAGAAATCGAGACCAGCCTAGGCAACATAACGAAACCCCCATTTCTAAACAAATAAATAATAAATCAATAAAATTAACCAGGCAACTATGACATAATTTGTGCTCAGTAATTAAATGGAACATTTAATCTGTCTTAAATTTTTAAAAAACGACCATCTTGCCTATATTTTATAATGATGACAACCCTAATAGAAACCTACAATCAGGAAATGCTAGTATAAAAGAAAAGTGTAAAAGACAAAATAGTCCATAGGATATCAAGAATGTGGAAGCAAATATCTGTATAATAGGCTTTGTACCACAGATCTGAATATTAATATTTAAAGGCCAGTTTCTCCCACTTAAATTTTTATGCAATTATTAGCTTTGCTGAACATAAGATAAACTCTTGCAAACTACAAAAAAGCAAAATTAATTTGCTGACCTAATTATTACTGATATTAAGTGACCTATCCAAAAGGATGTGAAAATGTTAGGTTTTCTAAATAATGGCATTTGATCAAAACAAAAATCAAATTTCTGTGCATAATACTTCACTCTACATGTTGACTTTTCCAACAGCAAAAGCTAAAAACCGCTTAAAAAAGCAAGGCTGAGGATGGGTGGATCACCTGAGGTCAGGAGTTCGAGACCAGCCTGGCCAACATGGTGAAACCCTGTCTTTACTAAAAATACAAAAATTAGCCAGGCAGGGTGGTGGGCGCCTGTAATCCCAGCTACTCAGGACGCTGAGGCAGGAGAATTGCTTGAACCCAGGAGGCAAAGGTTGCAGTGAGCTGAGATTGCAACATTGCACTCTAGCCTGGACAAAAGAGCAAGACCCCGTCTCAAAAAAAAAAAAATAATAACAAAAACACAAGGCTGAAAAGACCAACATGTACCTTATAATTCTTTCTGCCATGATAACATGTCATTTATCCAATGATTAATGGTTCAATCTCCTATTTGTGCTTCTGGTTTTATTTTACAGATTGCATAAAAACTGCACACGTGTAAGATTAAAGCATATTTATTACCTCTAGGCTAAGAGATTTCATGTATATACACTACAGAATGTGCTAAGCCTATGAACTTAATAAAATGCAATGACTTTTTTAAACTGTCTTTTTTTTTTTTTTTTTTTGAGATGGGGTCTTGCTTTGTCACCCAGGCTAAAAATTTTTGTCTTAATCTACTGAGTAAACCAGTGTAACTGTTGTAGACTATTTTGCTGTAATAATTAGTATTGAATGCTATTTGTATAACCAATATTTTAACATAATAATACAATTTGTTTACTCTTCTTGGTACTATAGCAATACAGATAACTTATTAACAAAATATAAAACCATTGCTATAGCTGCTGTTAAAACAGGCTGGGTGTGGTAGCTCACACCTATAATCCCAACACTTAGGTGGGAGGCCAAGGCAAGATGATTCCTTGAACCTAGCTGCTCAAGACCAGCCTAAGCAAAATAGGAAGAACCCTTCTCTACAAAAAATAAAAAGTAAGCTGAGCGTTGTGGTACGCATCTGTAATCCCAGCTACTTGGAAGGCTGAGGTGGGAGGATCACTTGAGCCTGGGAGGTCAAGACTTCAGTGAGCTGTGGTTGTGCCACTGCATTCCAGCCTGGGCAACATAGCGAGACACTGTCTTAAAACATAAACATAACAGAAAAGTATAAAGATCATTTTACACAGATAAAGTGGCACAAGTTTTGTAGTATTATATTAAACCTCATATTTGAGGTGTTTTCAAAATCTTATCCATGCCAATTTTCTAATGCTTTTCCTAAAGAAGAACTATATTATAGATTTGTGGACTAATTTCAAATTGAAAATGCAGCTTTTCCCACAGGAACAGGCAAGAAAAATACAAAGAATTAACAATCCGTATGTTTATTTTGTAGTTAAAAAAATAATGATGATGTTTTGTTTGTTTCATCTTGGTCTAAGGAGTTACAGTAAATTAAAAAGTACAGAAATTCTTTTTTCATTCTATTTGTTGAGGAAAAATGAAGTGGACAGATACCTTGAAGAAAAAACCTAACGAAGCAAAATTCCAAATGTAAAATTACTTCCAATTACTTAAGCTACATATCCTAATGTAACTAGAACAAGAATTCACCTGTTCTATGTAAGGTAGGTATTACTATATCCATTTTTCTGAAGAAAACTCCTTGGCTCAGAGTGTGTGAATGATGTCTAAAATCACATAGCTATAGTCAGCAACAGAACTCAGGTTTGAACTTGGGCTCATCTGGTTTTAAAGCCCAGAACTTTTATTATACTTCATTGACTCCCAACACGGTAAAATTAAGATATTTAGTTAAAGAGGTGGGGGCTGAGAAGCTGAAAAATTAACAAAGAGATCAACTAAAAACCAAAAGCAGTATTTTCCTAGCCTGGGCAACAAAGGGAGATCCTGTCTCTATAAAAAATTTTTAGAAATCAGCTGGATGTAGTTGCGCACACTTGTAGTCCCAGCTATTCAGGAGGCTGAGGTGGGAGAAAGGCTTGTGCCCAGGAGTTTGAGATTGCAGCGAGCTATGATTGTGTCACTGCACTCCAAAAAAAAAAAAAAAAAAGTAATATTTTCCACAGTTTAAAACCAGGTAAAGTCTCTTCTACCCCTATGGCCCCAGTTCATATCAGAATTACTGCTTTTGTTGATTTCTCTGACTAAACAAAAGTTGCTTGGCCTGAGGACAATGTTCTGCAAGGTCAAGTTGCTGAGTTCAAGTTTTCATCTGCATTAGCAAGTATTTTTCTCTCATTGATGAGGAATGGAAAGTCACTCCCCTGAACTGCCCTGCCACTGGCTCTATACTGATGAGCCAAGCAATATCTCTGGCCTGCTTCACTGGCAAACTGACAGGAAGCAAACTTGTGATGTGCTCAATTTTGCTAACATTAAAAAAGGTAAACATTAAGATATTAAAGGTCAAAAATAATTTTCCTTAATATCAATGTGAGAGTAAAACTTTAAGCTAAAATTCAAAATAATATTAATAATATTATTTAATGATTCAGATGATGGTTAATAAACTGGTGAATAAAAATTTATAGATCAAAAATTACTCTTTCCTACACATTTTAATGGATTATTTTAAACAAGTCTATTATTAACAATCGGCATTCACACATTTCTACCAAAATCTCTGCTAAAATCCCCATTCCTATACTCTTGCTGCTTCTCTCTCTCTCTCTCTGCAGGACCTTTCCAACCTCTACTTTATTATCTGGCTTCTGTGACTTGTACTAGGAGCACTGGTACTAGGCCGGTTTTTGTTTTTCTTCTTAAGTGAAACAAGAATTCCATTTTCTTTTAACAAGGCAATTAAAATACTACAAATTCTTATACTGCTCTTGTCTCTTGTACTTGTTTGTAGGTAAATCAGACTTCCTTTCTGAAGCCACTCAAACTGACACCTTGTAGGAATTATTTCTGTCCTGTAGTAGACAGTTATTGTTCAAAAAAAGCAAAGAAAAAAAATTACAAGAGTATAAAATATTCAGTTGTATGTATTCCTATCTCATTTCTAAAGTAGTACTGTGGCACATCAAATACTAAAATGAAATACTTTTCATCCTATTTGTTCATATTTGAATATAAAGCACACGATACATGCTTTGTGGAGAACTTTTTAAAAATCCAAGAAATATTTTGGGTAAATGACTGAAAGCCTCATAACCTGACAGAAGTCTTAAGTTTGGGGAAAGCTAAAATTATTATTCTTTAGGTAGAGGATAACTTACAGCAGAACAGGAAAGAGTTGACTGGTACTAAGATTTAGGCATCTGAAGAATGCTTAAAATACTGTGAAGATGGGAGGTGGGATGCTGGTGGGACGTTTTCACTTTTCAGTGAAAACACCAGTATTTCCTGTATCACAGAAATGTAAGTAAACGACCAAGCTATTTAATCCATAAAACCAGGACAAATCTACACTTTCATTGAAATTATCTTAAAAAGATAAGGTAAACTTGTTCTTTAACAGTTAAGAGCAAATAATTATTCATAAATTTTCTTCTACTCTTTTAAAAACTGCTATATTACTTTTTCACTTTGATGCCAATAACATCATAGAAATAGGTTAATGAAGACTAATCTAGCTACAAATAATTGATTTCTTCCTCTCAATTTCTAGAATATTTTTTGAACTTTTGGCTAGATTCACAAAATAGCATTTAAGAGACTTTGCATAATGATATCTTATTCAGTGCTTAAAATTAAAAGTAGAGATTCCAGTGCAGTCACCTTTCAGACTCAGGAGTTTACTACAAAAAGAGCTGTAATTTACAGAAAAATGATCATTAAGAACTATTCAACATTTAACACACAGTATTTCTTGAGCTCTTAACTACAGGCCAACCACTGAAAATAATGTGAAGTAAAGACTGAAAGGAAGACATGTTCTGCACTTGAGGTGCTGTTTCGTGATCTTCCAGTCTAAAAATGAAAATAAGTATTGCAACTTGCATGGTTATTCCACTCTTCCCTCAAAAATCCCATTCACAATTTGAGTTATTTTATCTTTGCAAAAACTTTCCTTAATAATTTGTATAAAAGATTCTTTGAATTAACAAGCAAAATGATGACAAAAAGCAAACATTTACTCTATAGTTACTATGTGCCAGGTACTGTACTAAATATTTTAAAAGTATTTACATGAATTGGAATTTTATACACTGTTATTTCCTTGTTAAAATGCTGAGATCCAGCTCATCAACCTATTCAACAACATACGACACAATGTTCCTTCACCAGAAAAAGAAAGATATCGTATCCATTTTACACAGAAGAAAACAAGCTCAGAGAAGCTAACGAATTTTAACTGATCCCAAATCTAGTGGCAAAGCTACTAAGTGGCAAAACCAGGATTAAAAACTCCGATTTTCTATCCAGCCATAAAACAGCTTTCTGAAATACTAACAATAGGAAATCGCTGTTGAAACTCTGTAACTTTGAAGTATAAATACAATTGTGTTCTGAAATTTGAAGTGTATTCTTAAAGGAAAAATTTTATGTATGGGATAGGTTTTGCTTTTTGAAATCAAGGATAATACCCATTACACAGTTTTTAAAAAAGCTCAATAAGCAATGTTCATTCCCTAACTCCCTTTTCCGTTTTATTTTTCTGCACAGTACTGTTTTGTCCCAGGCATATTACACTGTACTCATTTATTAAGTCTTTTACCACTAAATGTAAACTATATGAAAACAGCTATTTTTGTCTGTTCTTCAATACGGCACCTCCAGCATCTGGAAGAGTCCCTAGCACATAATAAGTGCTCAATAAATATTTCTGAAATGAAGAAAAGCTTGGCACACAGTAGGCATTCAATAAATATTAGTTCCTTTCTCTTTATTATGCAGGATATCACTCCCTGGGTACCATATTCTGAACTGGAATACATGATTAGAAATGAAATAAAATTTCTTATTAAAGTTTTACATTACACATGAGTAAGGCAAATCAAAAAGTCACATTCAGCAAAGCCTCATTTATGAAGCATAAAGGTAAGGGGGTGTATGTAAATTAAATTTTGAACAAATGTACTTTTAAGTGCCAAAACTTTAATCAATTTTCATAGACATCTTTTATTCATATAACATACACAATTTTACTTTGTGATAATTCTGACTTGGATGTCCTGAAACATCACTTGTCAGCTGACACTTCTCACTCTGCTCACTCCTTTTCTAAGGAATAGGAAATAAAGTAAACATATTCTGTAAAATGAGTCAATAAAAATCCAAGTGAAAATCCAAGTGAAACGCATAACCTCAACGTAGGAGCTGTGGGATCATTATTCTGGCATCTTTTTCTTTTCCTAGGAGGCTGAATGAATGTAGGTTAAGTACCACTTACTAGTAAATAGGCTGTTTTGAGAGATGGAATACTTAGAAAAAGATAGTACCCTCTTAGCAATCTCTAATTCCTTAGTTTTATCAAGATCAGTCAAGTTTAGTGATTAACTAAAGAAAACATAAAAAGTATAACTCCTAAGAGTACTTACTCAGGTTTTTTAGCTTTCTGAGTAAGCAGCGTCCTTGATTTTTTAGGACCAGAATCATAAGAAACAAAATGTTAAAATACTGTTAAGTATTCTGGAAATATGAGCCAGAGGCAAAAACATATGAACATGCATACATTTAAATTCTATATAATTTCAATGTCTCCAAATCCTTATCATTTTAATACAGAGGGTTTTAAATAAGATGACATATATAGAGTGTCAGAACCTATGAAAAGGTTCAGAGACAATCTCCTTTGTACAGTTCAGCATGATCATTTTCCTGTGCTTGGCAGCCACCACTACCCACATCTCCACATTCCTAGCTGCCTAAAACTTTTCATCTAATTCTCTGCTAGCATCTTATCCTCTGTCTCTCCTCCTCCTTATTACTGTTTTGCCCAATCTTCACATGTGCCTCTGTTATTACCTCATAATCCTTCCATTCTAGAGAGACCCAATGTTAGATCAAATAAAGATGACATAAGTGAAACAAAGGAAAAGTGCTACTAGTGTTCTCTGGGTCATGGGAACCTGGCCAGAGAGAGATATAATGGAATTATAATTTGGATTTTTCAATTACAGTTTAATTTATGAACTTTATATATTATAAAGATTATCAGGAACTTTCCCCCAAAATATCTATAACAAGGCAAAAATTCTGAAGTATGATAAAAAATAAACTTTTAGTCTTGATCTGTTTATATAACTCAAAAAAAAATGCTGTTTTAGAAAATACACATTCCTCAAGGACTTTTTTTGCAAGTAACTCATAGAGTAAAACAGCCTACATTATACTTATTTTTCAAAATGCAGTAGGTTCACAGATACACATATGTACATTTCACTCTAAACAGTATTTTGGGAAAAGAAATTTTCCTTACTGGGAAAATTACGGATGTAGAATAAACTTCTATTTCTGCCAAGACACAAATGTAATAAGACATTTAACCAAGTGTAAGTTGTTAATACTAAAGAAGCAATTCTCAATACTGACCTAAGTGGGGATCTGCCTACATAACTGCGGAGTTTAAAAACCTCATTTCATTAGGCATTTGGGAGGCTGAGGCGGGTGGATCACCTAAGGTCAGGAGTTCGAGACCAGCCAGGCCATCATGGTGAAACTCCATCTCTACTAAAAGTACAAAAATTAGCCGGGCGTGGTGGCAAGCGCCTGTAATCCCAGCTACTGGGAAGGCTGAGGCGGGAGAATCCCTTGAACCCGGGAGGCAGAGGTTGCAATGAGTCAAGATCGCACTACTGCACTCCAGCCTGGGTGACAGAGCGAGACTGTCTCAAAACAAAAAACAAAGAAAACAAAAACAAAATTAAAAAAAAATTGTTTCCCAGTCTTAGCAATACCCTTAGCTGAAGGCAAGCGCTTTTTTCCACTAGAGGACCAAGCATAGGTGTGATTTCAATCAAACGGGATTAAGTTAAAATTTATTTTTCAAAAAACATGTATTTGATGAGGTTCTGACCATTTTATCCACTTCTTAATGAGTCACTAAAGCACACGTTCTACTATGAAATAGTTAACTAAAGGGGGTTCAATAGTAGCATTTCATCAGTGTCCTTAAGAGAATACTTTTAAACTCAGGAAAAGTAACTCGATGCACACAAAAGAAAAAAGAAATAATGGAGTATATTCAGGGGATAACTTATTCATCTATAATTGACGTATTCAACTTTCAGTTTGATTCTTGAAAGATTTAAAACTTAAGCACCCTCTATTAGAAACTGATTAGACCTATGGGGGAAAAACCCAAACAGAAGTTCTGAATCACTGGAATTTTTGTTCTATTTCCTGTTAACACATTGATAGTACATCATATTCGTTCCATACATGTTTTTTTAAAGCAGCAGAATCCTTAAACTAACTGTACCCTAATTTAGCCTATAGCTCATGTATCTAACAATTCTTCCCATTGTTTCTAATTAAAATGCTCAGCCAAAGCCTACAACAAAAGAAAAGCAAGTCTTCCTTTATTACAAACTGCCATGGTTTCAAAATTTACAGTTTCAAACCGTCAAAAGTTTAAAATCGTGATTTCATTGTTACAAAGAATGTAAAGATATTTTTTAAAAGGTGTCAATACTCTGCTACTGTATGAACAGTGTAGTAAGCAGAAGTGAAAAAACTGAAAGCAAATATTCTATTCCATGCCCACTAAAATTCCCGGCCAAATCTGGAATTGCATAATGATCATCATAACCTTTAGAGTATGCTAAAGCGGAAACGAAATTCCTTTTCTAAAATGTGAATCAATCTGACCCCAAAATTAGACACTTTACAAACTTACCTAAAACAGACAAAATGGATGCAAAATTATATTGCCGTACAGTTGCTCTGAATACGATCTTAGCGTTCAAGAACTTTCCAATGAATAAGGGTACTCAACAGCCTGCACTGGGGGCCTAAATTTCGTGAACTACGGAGAAACCCCTGTGAGGCTGCAAATTCCCTCCGCTCTCCTGGAAAACCCTCTTATCAGAAACATTTGAAGAATTTATCCACAACAATTAAGCTGACTTGAAGAATGGAAACCTAACATCTCAAATATACTATATATGGAATGAAACATGGCCAAACACATAAATACAAACTCACACGGTCTCTGACACTTTGGTGTACGACTGTGCCTGAACATCTCACAGCATCAGCAACAGAAAGATCCACCTGTCACCTGTTCAGCACCGCCAAGAGACCCTTGCAGCCTCCCTGACTCAACCACAATCGTAGGGTTTGAGGTTGATGGGACCGAAAACCAGAAACATCCAGTGAAATTTAAGGGGCCACATATTCATAGTAGGGCTTGCCCCCCACTTCAAAGACGGCTGCAGAAAACCAAGATCCGCAAAGGAACGATGTTCTCCCTCCCGCCCGACCCCCACATAACTGCCCCGTGTCTGTCCCCAAAACCCCCGCCCCTGAGTCATCTTTAACTAGACCTCGGCTCCCCAAAAGGAGATTTTTCCTCCCCCGCCCCCACCTCACACATGCCTGGGGGCGGGTCAGGGGCGCCGACGCAGGGAGGGGCCCTCCCGAGCCCCTTGCGCCCTCCCCCACCCGGGGCTCTCCTAGGCGCTCGATTCCAATGAAGCTCCCCCTCCCCCCCCGCACGGACGCCCCGGAGCCCAGGCCCGGCCCGATGCTCCCCACCCCCACCGGACTGGGGGACTCGGGGGGCCTCCCTCTCCGCCACGCCACTGGGGGAAGGAAAGAGGCGGAGGGAGGAAGAGTGCAAGTTAGAAGCGAACGCCCCGCACGGGCCTCGCGAGGCGGCAGAGCCCCTTCCAGACGGAGGGGGGTGCGGGGCGATGAGGGGAGAGCCAGGTTGGGGATCCCGCCGAGGCCCGGCAGCGCTGTCCGCTTACCCTTTGCCGCCGCCGCTTCCCCCTCCTCCTCCTCGGCCGCCGCCGCCGCCGCCTCTCCCACTAGGGCAGCCGTCTCCACCGTCGCCTCCGCCACCACGGCCGCCGCCAGCGCCGCCGCCGCCTCCGGTTCCACCCGGCAGGGGGGACACCTCAGCCCTCCCTCCCTCCCCGCTCAGCCCCCTCCGCTCGCCCGCCGCCGCCAACTCCCTCCGGCCGCCGCCGCCGCCACCGCTCCTGGCTGAGGGGGAGGGGAGGGGGTCGGGCTGGGTCGCCCCGCCGGCGGCTGCAGCAGATCAAAAACGACGGCTGGGCGGCGTCGCCGCTCCCCAATCCTCAGCTCCGGCTCGCTCGGCCTCCCCACCTCCCTCTGCCCCCACCCCCCTCGCGCTCGCCTGCCCTCCCCCCACCCCCCCAGCTCTCGCTCGCTCTCGCCGCGGCTCCGCCAGCCCAGTCCAAATCAAAATACTGTCACACAATATGGCGGCGCGGCGGCCGGCAAACACCGCGAGATCTGCAGCCGCGGCTGAGGCGGCGGCTGTGACGAGGCCTCCCCTAGCCGAACGGCGGGGGAGCAGCAGGCGGCGGCGGCGGCGGCGGCTGCGGCTGCGGCCCGGGGATGCTCTTCCTCCGACCTGTACCCCTCCCCCGACACTCGCAGTCTCTACGCCTGTCTTGCTAGGGCTGGAGGGAGGACGCGGGCCGCCGCTGGGGCCGTGCGAGGGGGGTGCCGGTGCGGGCAGCCCGGGGAGGGCTGGGACCCCCTTTCTCCGCCTGGGCCCCCCATCCTTGGGGGTAGGTTGCGGGTTCCACCTCCCGCCACGGGGGCCGCTAGCAGTTTGGGCTGAGGGAAGAAAGGAACTGAGCTCGCGTCCCAGCTGCACCTAGCGGAGGGGCTGGCCGGGTCCGGAAGTGGGTGGCGGGACTTGCCGGGCGGCCGGCGGCGCCGCGCGGGTGGGGTCCGGGGGCCCGGCCGGACCCCGGGGCGCTGCGGCGGCCGAGAGGAGCAGGTGGGCCCGCGGCGGAGGCTGGCGCCGGGTCGCTGCGGTCCGGGACACACCCCCTTGGAGCCGGATCGCACCGCCGGCTAACGGGAGGGACCCGTGCAGAATCGTCCCTAGGGTGTGCGGGAGACGTCTTGGGAGCCTCACAACTGGCAACTTCGAGACTTGGAAAAAGTGTCGGCTTCTGACTTTTCTTGAGCAGTTGAGGGGGAAAAAAGAAATCTAAATGCTGCGAGGGTTTCGTTGTTTCGATTTTATTTTAATTGCACGTTCCTAGAAGTCCTAGAAGCAGAGCCAAAGACTAGCTTTGCGGGAAGAGGGGGGGCCTTCAAGTTTCTACCTCCTTAAATAAATATTTGTTTAGTGTCCCCCTAGGGAAAAAAAAAGCGTGTTTAATACTCAGACGTTTCTCACAATGTGAAATATTTATTTAAAAATTCTAGCGCTTCCATGGTGTCCAAAACACTAGGGCATTTTTCTGCCCCTGTCCAAAATGTCCATATCCCTGGCAGTTTCTTCCTTGAAACAATTCTTACTCCAGAGAAAAATCCTAAAGGACCATTTTTATACTTTTATTTCCAGTGTGAGCACTGTAGCTACAGTGAGAATTTTTTTTAAACCATCTTTTAAATAGTAGAGCCTTCCTCACAGTTAAAAGTTCTTTCTCCCCACTTCCTTTTTCCTCATTCATCCTTTGAAAATACCTGAAGTCTGGGCTATAGCACCAATTCAAATACTTTGCCACTTCAAAAGCTGAAAGTACTTATGATTTACAATATCGGAATTTAATTATTCTCCATTGGTGATACCATTAAGAGAAGCAAAAGTAAAATTAGGATTTACAAAATTGGGAAGATTCTAGTTTTACTGGCGAGAAGAAATCATTAACTTTAACGCTTTACAGCAGTTCTCTGAGGAATTATTTCCATACTCAATGATAAAATAATTGATTAAATAATTTTAGATAAACTGAATCCATTAAGTAAATTTCACTTGTCTTTGAAACCATTATAAAGTACAGAGGCAACAATTGCTTTTGAAATGGTAGGATGATGTATTTTATGCAAATTTTTAAAAAAATTTATGGAATGTACATGTACGTATTTTAATAGAAATATAATGCTTTATAGATTATAGGTTTGAGCAGGTCAAGTCTAAAAACCAGTGGGGGGCAAAGAAGGTACATATAACAAATACATCCTTGCACCAGCAGTGCACTTAGAGCTATGTAGTCATGAGGAAGCATCAGACAAACCCAAGTAGAGGAAAATAAAATATAAAATAACTAGCCTGTATTTTTAAATCATGACCAATGTCATAAAAGACAAAGACTGCAGACTAGAAAAAACTAAAGACATGGTAACGAAATGCAATATGTGACCCTGAACTGGATCCTTTACTGGAGGAGAAAAATGTCATATAGGACATTATTGGGATAATTGGCGAAATTGGAATATGGGCTGTAGATTAAAGAATTGTATCAATGTTAAATTTCCTGAATATGTTTGCATGAGAATATCCTTGTTTATAAGCAAACACACTGAAATATTAAGGGGTAAAAGAACATGATATATGTGATTTTCTCCCAAACGGTTCAGAAAAAAATAAAATACATACATATACACACATACACACATCTGTTACACACATATACAGAAAGAAGAGATTGATACAATTTAAACCTTGGTGGTGAATCTGGGTTATTTTTAAAATAAAACAATTAAAAATTGGTGAATCCGGATGTTTTTGTACCGTTCTTGCAATTTTTGGTAAGCGTGAAATTATTGCTAAGTAAATAGTTTTTAAAACCCAAGAGCTTTAAACTTCAGAGAGTTCCTTTATCTCACTAAGAGGAGGACTGTTATGAGATAGAGAGATGATAGATCCTTTTACAATGGAACTGTCCCTCTGTTCTGAGTAACCAGAATTTTGGTCATTCAGCCTTTTCTTCTTCCTTATTTAATCTATTTGGATTTGGGACAAAAATAGTTAGGAGTCTTTGTGTATTTGGTAAATGTGATTTCTGTATTTATTGATTCAGTAAATATTCAGTGTCTTTTATCCTCAAGACTGGAGAAAATAAAAAGGAAAAAACAAGACTGGCTTTCAGGTGCTCTGTGTAGTCACTACAGGAAAAAAAAAAAAAAAAGATATAGTTCCTGGACTACATTCAAGAGCTTTTTAGTCTAGTAAGGTCCTGATACAGTAGCCACTTGCTACCTGGGGCTGTTTGAATTTAAATTAGTTAAACAAAATTAAAATTCAGACTTCCAGTTGCACTAGCCACATTTCAAGTGCTCCATAAACCATGTGTTCCATCTGTTCTATGGAACAGGGCTTGTAGTAGAACAGACTGCACTATATAAATAGCATTGATACAAGGTAGCTGGCAATAAATACCATTGAAACTTAGGGGAAGAGGGATTACTTTGCACAGGGTGGAAGTGGAAGAGATATCAGGGAAAGTTATAAGAAGATTGCATATAAACAGGTGAAAGTGAAGCAAAAAGCAAGAGTATTCCAGGCAGAGAAAACATGCACATAGCAGAAAAGGGACCGATATCTGTGAGAGCACTTCATTCTGTGTATCTGTTAACAGAAGGTAGGTAGAGGAGGGAGGGTAGGGATTTATGAAACCACAAATGCTGAGCTGCTGAGCCTGGACTGTTCTCTAGGCATTAGGAAGTTTATAAAGGTCTTTGGACAAGACAACATGAACAAATGATTCTTTAGGAAGGATAATCTAGCAGGTACATGAAATAGATTAGGTTCGAAGGCACAAAGACCAGATAGCACTGTAATAGCCCAAATGAGAGATAATGAAGAGTTAATATAGTGTGGTCTATTGCATGTGTTTAACTTTAAACTTAAATCCCAATCTGTAATGGCTTAAGTAATGAAGAATTTGATATCTCACAAATTTGGAAATTTGGAAATTCCAAAGTAGCATAGACTTCAAGTCTGAAAGATTGAGAAACTCAATGATATCATCCAGGACCAGGTCCTTTCCATTTCTGCTTTGCTATCTTGGGTGCAGGCATCACTGTCTGGTTAATAGTAAGATGGAAGATGGTAGTGGTCATTCCAAGCATCCAAGCCATAATGTCCAGAAGAAGAGAGATCATCTTAAGAGAGGGAAAATGTTTCCCAGAACTGCTCCCCACACCTCCTGACTGAATTCCTTTCCCTTCCTCTCCCATCTCCTAGGCCATAGTTGGATTGCATGCTCATTCCTGAATCAGTCCCTGGTCTACATGGTGGAACAAGTGTCAGGGAGTCAAAGATGGAGAAGTAAGAGTTAAAGATGACTCTGAGGGTTTGAGCCAAATGACTAGGGAACAAGAGAAGAGAAGAAGTTATGGGAGGAAAGATGATTTTTGTAATAGTCCTCAGTTTGAGATGCTAAAGAGACGTCCAGCTGGATATGACCAGCAGGTGAAAACATGGGACTGGAGCTCAGAATGAAGATCAAAGTTGAGGATGTACATTGGAAGTCATCTGCAGAAAGAGAATAAATAAAGCCATGAGATTGCCAAAGGAGAGGAAGGGTGACGAGGGCCCACAAAGCAACCCTGGACGGAGAGGTGCAAACAGGGAAGGCACGGTCAGCAAGCTAGGCAAACCTGGGCCATGTATTGTACAGAAATCAGGGGCAACAGATGGAGTTTCGGGAAGGCCAACAGTGTTAGGAGCTGTGGAGAGAGAGAGCTGAGGTGGGAGGATCTCATGAGGCTGAGGTGGGAGGATCTCCTGAGCGTGGGAGTTTAAGGCTGCAGTGAGCCATGATTGCACCACTGCATTCCAGCCTGGGTGACAGAGTGAGACCCTGTCTCAAAAAAATAAATAAAATAAAAATAATAATTAAAATATATCTGCATATATTTTAAAATATTAGGTGGCAAAGATTGAGGATGGTAATCTGATGGAACTGTAAGGTTAAAAAACGTCTGTTTAGGCAGGAAATAAGAAGCCACGGCCATATTTTTAGGCTGAGAGTAAAATTCAAAGGTGAAAAATTGAGAGTACAAAAGGATGAGATAACGGATACAAAATTACAGTTAAATAAGAGGAATAAGTTCAAGAGATTTATTATGCAACATGGTGACTACAATATTGTACTCTTGAAAATCAGAGAGTAGATTTTAAGTGTTCTCACCATAAAAAATAACTGTGTAAGATGATATGTTAATTATCACAATTCAGCCATTCCACAAGCTTGTGTTGTACAAGACATCGTGTTGTACATGATCAATATATAGAATTTTTCACCCAGCGGTAGAGAGGTTGTGGTGGCCTCCATCCTCTCAAATATGTGAAAAGCAAAGAATTTTAGCGGTTTCAAAACACATGGAGGCAGGGCACAGTGGCTCATGCCTGTAATTCCAGCATTTTGGGAGGCTGAGGCAGGTGGATCACTTAAGGTCAGAAGTTAGAGGCCAGCCTGGCCAACATGGCGAAACGCCATCTCTACTAAAAGTACAAAAATTAGTCGGGCGTGGTGGCACACACCTGTAATCCCAGCTACTCAGGAGGCTGAGGCATGAGAATGGCTTGAACCCGGGAGGCTGAGGTTGCAGTGAGCTGAGATTGTGCCACTGTACTCCAGCCTGCGTGACAAGTGAGACTCCATCTCAATAAATAAATAAATACAAAAAAATTAAAAAAAAGCACATGGAAAGGAGATATCAACTGATGTGATGTGAAGGAAGAGCATCATTCATTCATTTTTATCTTATTTCTCTAACATAAATGAGGTAATTTATGTGCGCATGCTCTTATGTGCACAAAATGTGGTATGTATGTGTTGTGTGATGCCACTGTGGGGAGAAGCACCCGAAGTTGTTATGAACAATTAAAAAATTTATTTCAGAGAATACTAACAGTGGGGTCCATGAGAAATCAGCAGTCCTGTTCACCTACTCAGTTACCCTTTGCGCCAGGACTAGACTTGAAAACAGAAGGAATTAGAATGAGCTAATCTTCTCATCTCTCCCTTCCTTTCATGACATATTGTAGTCTCTTTCATAAAAATCAGAATGGTATTGGTCAGCATAATTGGCAATTATTTACAATCTGTCATAACATCACCTATCTTTAAGCTGAGCTTGGGTGGTCAATACATTTAAGGTTCTTCTTCACCTTTGGATAGCTATCAAACTGTTATTTAAAAATTCTGTTATCTTCCCAACTGGCCAACAATGATGGTTTCCATTTTTGAGACTAGATTCCAATATAAGATCTTAGAAAATATTGCTAAATGTAGAACATGGCATATTGATAACATGGGTGTAAAGCACAAATGTGATAGGAATTTGGGGCATACAAAATTTACTAATTATAAACCAGTTACTAACACTAGCATTGACAGTGGTACCATTACTACTACTACTACCAATTCACAACTAAAGATAGGGAGGTTTAAGAGGTTAAATGACTTACATAATCTAAAACAACTAGTAAATGAACAGTGGGGCTTTGAATAGATCTTCTGACCCCATACACTGGGTCCCTTCACCATACCATTGCGCAAGACATATTCTCTGTGCTTTAACAATTTTCAAACAACTATTAATGGCAATAATAAAACGGGTAGACAGTTTAAGAGAAACTAAGTTACTCTGGGAGTTTCGAGAGGAGAAGATCACAGGAGAGGGTTATTGGAGGTGATATTCCAGATGAACCTTGAACAAGAGTTGAAATTTCAATTGACAGAAAAACGGGAGGGCATTTCAGGTGTCTGTGATAGCTGGAGAAAAGACCAGAGAGTCAGAAAAGATAGAGCATATTTAGGGAACATGAAGTAGCTGATTTTGCAGAACTGTAGGAAAAATGTAGGATAGTGGTGGGAGACAAGACGAAGCAGGTAGCAATGTGAACTAAATTTGGAAGGTGGAGGTATACCATTCAAGTTTAGTGAACGATGGAACGTAATTAGATCATAATTAGATCTATGCTTGATCTACCCTCAATTCAGGTGGAGAAGGAAGAGAGAGAAAGTAGGGAGACCATGGAGTCAGTCATCACTCGGCAAAGGTATGGGGAACGCAAACACACTTGTGGCAATAAAAGGGAGTGAGAAGCAAGATCAATTTCCATGGTAGATTTTTCCTTTTTATCACTTTAGACAAATGAAGGAAAATAGGGGGTGAGGGAGAAAGGTATCAAAGAAGACTATGTGATTTTGAGACTGAATAATGGAGAATTGTTATTCTATTAACAAAAACGGTGAAGTAACGTAGAGATATTGCTTTTGATGGGAATAATGAGTTAGATTTTTTCATGTATTGAATAATAATTTTAGTTCTCCTGGGGGCCTTCTTGAGCCTTCTCTGTCATTCAGATGTAAAAGGATGAGAGGCCAAACTTACAGAGAATGCAAATGATCAATCAACATACAAAAGACTTCAGTCTCATTGGTAATCATGTAAATGCAATTTTAAAAAAAATATATATATTATTTTCCAGCCTATTACATAAGGTTGAGAAAACAAATTAGACAAACTACTCAGAAATAAATTTAAGAAAAATATAGGATTTGTAAGAAGAAATCTAAAAAGTCTATTGAAAGACAAAGAAAGCTGGAGATAAACAGAAATAACATATACTTGAATAGAAAGTTTTAATATTTTAAAAATGAAAATTGCCCCCACATTTACGTTTTTTGTTTTTGTTTTTGTTTTGAGATGGGGTCTCACTCTCACCCAAGCTGGAGTGCAGTGGCATGATCTCCCTTCACTGCAACCTCTGCCTCCCAGGCTCAAGCGATCCTCCCACCTTAGCCTCCTGAGTAGCTGGGACCACAGGTGGCATGCTATCAGGCCTGGCTAATTTTTTTGTATTTGTGGTAGAGATGGGGTTTCACCATATTGCCCAGACTGTTCCTCAAACTCCTGGGCTCAAGCAGTCGGCCCATCTCCCGCCTCCTAAATTGCCGGGATTTCAGGCATGAGGCACTGCGCCCCACTCCATGATTATAAACTTAACTCAGTCACAATCAAAAGTTGACAAAATGAGTTTAAAAGCACCTGGATATTTTATTAACTGAAATAAAATAACCAGGTTGCAGAACAATGTGTATAGCATGCTATGATTGCTGTAAAGAAAGGAAAAATCACACACACACACACACACCCACACCCACACACACACACAGTGTGTCCTGGGAAGGGAAATGGGAAACTAAAGGAGAGAGGGACATCTCATTTCATCCCCTTTCCTATTTCTGAGTTTGAAAATGTAAACACATTATATATCAAAATTAATGAAATCAATGAAGAAGAATAGCTAGACCATTTTTTTTTTAAAGAGGAATAATTGAGGGCAGGCGTGGTGGCTCACGCCTGTAATCCCAGCACTTTGGGAGGCCAAGGTGGGTGGATCACGAGGTCAGGAGATCCAGACCATCCTGGCTAACACGGTGAAACCCCGTCTCTACTAAAAATACAAAAAAATTAGCCGGGCGTGGTGGCGGGCGCCTGTAGTCCCAGCTACTCGGGAGGCTGAGGCAGGAGAAAGGTGTGAACCTGGGAGGTGGAGCTTGCGGTGAGCGGAGATTGTGCCACTGCACTCCAGCCTGGGTGACAGAGCCTCTGTCTCAAAAAAAAAAAAAAAGAGGAATTATTGGTGTTGGGGTGGGGAGGCATTGGTATGACATACTTGACCACACAAAAGACTTGTTACAAGGATTAAATGAATGAACATATGTAAAGGGTTTGCAAAAGTATATGTAAAGCATATGTAAAACAGCATATATAAAGGCTTTGCACATGAAGTATCACATAAATAGTTGTTGCTATGATTGTCATAATCTTGATATGTGAAGTATATGACTTAAATATCATCTATCACGAAGGAATATATCGATTTTTACTACATGAAGTTTAAAAACTTTTGGAAGGGAAAAAATAAAAAAATAAGATGAAACACAGAAAACGGGGAAAATAAACTTAGAACATATATGATGAGCAAGGTCAGTCATTCCATATATTTTTTTTTATTATCTATCCTGGGTCAGGCATTACACTAGAGGCTGGCTATGTATACGGTGATTAAGAAGATGGTCTGGCCCTCATGGAACTTATAGTCTACAGAAACTAAGAGTTAATATTCTTAATATGCAAAAGGTTATTAAAAATCCTAAGGGAGAAAAACCCCACAAGGCACAGAGAATTTTTTAAAAAGAAAATATCGGCCGGACGTGGTGGCTCACCCCTGTAATCCTAGCACTTTGGGAGGCTGAGGTGGACGAATCATGATGTCAGGAGTTCAAGACCATCCTGGTCAACGTGGTGAAACCCTCTCTCTACTAAAAATACAAAATTAGTCAGGCGTGGTGGCACATGCCTGTAATCCCAGCTACTCGGGAGGCTGAGGCAGGAGAATCACTTGAACCTGGGAGGCGGAGGTTACGGTGAGCCTGAGATTGTGCCACTGCACTCCAGCCTGGGTGACAGAGTGAGACTCCATCTCAAAAATAAATAAATAAATAAATAAGTAAATAAATAAATAAATAAATAGAAAATATCACTAATGGTTAAAAAATAGGAAAATAAATTCAATCTCTATAGTCAATTTCACTCTAACAAAACTAATAAGATACATTTCTTTCTTCGTTTGTTTATTAATGGCAAAGATTTTTTAAAAAAGCCAAACTCCAGTGTTGGCATGGTGGAGACAGAGGCATTCTTGTATCCTGGGAGTGGGAGTATAATCAGTGTACGCTTCCTGCAAGGCTGTTTGACAACATGTATTGGAATTTTAAATATGCAAACTGTTTGACCTCTTCCACTCCTAGGAATAAATAACTAGATGTACATTTGAAGATGTGTGTCAAAGGATGCTTACCTCAACCTTCCTTATAATAGTAAAAAAATAGAAAACAACCGTAATACATCTTACTAAGTAATGAGTTAAATTATGGTGCATTGGTACAATAAAATAAGATGTAGTGGTTAAAAAGAATGTAGATCTATATACATTGACATGAAAAGATGTCATAATATAATATTACAGGAAGGAGGTAGATTTCTTGACATTGTCAAAAATACTATGATCCCATTTTAAAAATGTGGGTGTTTGTCTGAATGTGGGTATGTATAGAAAAAAGTCTGGAAAGATAGATTCTAAAACATAACAGAGTGCTTTGGGGTGGTAAAATTAGGAGAGATCTTTGTTTTATTCTTTGTACCTTTTTGGTGGTATTTTCTGAATTTTTAGCAATGACTAGATTACTAATATGTCAAAATAAAATTATTCAAAATTGTTCCTTAAATATTTCTGAAAAACTCTTTGGGAATAACTTTGGTTTAACCAAAGCCATGATAACTGAAATTTTTATTATTCGGACTCAGGTTTTCACATTCATATTTTTTCCTGTCCTAAGTCAGTAGGGAAACCTTTGTAAATAATAAAATATTTCAAGAATTTGGAACAAAATGACAATCACAGAGTACTGACCTCATTTCCACAACGGTTAAAAGTATTGAAGAAAAAGAAATCTTGAGAGGGCAGCAGACAAAAAAATCTGAGCAGCATTGACCTCTGTGAAATCGGCTCCTTGGCAGGGGTGGGGGTGTGGTGGAACGGAAGATAAATGAGGATTTCACGTCTTCCTTGGTTTGTTATTGGCCTTATTGTTCCCCAAACTTCATAAATTTCCCCAAATAGTAGGCTTTAGGGTGCAAGAGAACTACTCCCCTTGTCCATGTCACTCTTCTCCCATCTTGGTTGAATTTCATCTTATTTGCCTTGTTATCTGGACATAGAGTTCTTGGCTTTGCAACTTGTGCTAAGGTGGCAGAAAAATTTCCCAATTCAACCCAGTCTTTTGTGAGACTCGGGGGCCTAATGCTGACCATATTTGCAACGGAATTGTTCTATGACTCACAACACTACCCATCCATGAACAGACAACAAGGATGTCTCAGCCCCAGATCTTGGGGCTGGAGGAGGGGCAGCCTTTGGGGACTGTGGGGTGATTGTAAGGAATCTGTGATTTCATATAGGTCCCAAGTTTAGAAAACAAAATCGACAAAAAGACAATTACTGTTATGTGGGGGCCAACATTTTGAAACACAGGTTAAAAAGGAGTTCTTATTTTCAAAAGTTTACAAACTACAAATTAAGAAAATAAACTGTATGGTCTTTCCTGTATTTGTATCTCTGTACATGCAGTTTCCCTCTCCCCATCCCCACCCACAACTTTCCTGCCCTGCTGAACCCAGCAGGGGCAGGATGCCCAGCACACAGCAAGTTTTCTTTTTTGAGACGAAGTCTTATTCTGTCGCCCAGGCTGGAGTTCAGTGGTGTGATTTCTGCTCACTGCAACCTCTGCCTCCCGGGTTCAAGCGATTCTCCTGCCTCAGCTTTCCAAGTAGCTGGGACTACAGGGCTGCGCCACTACACCCGGCTAATTTGTGTGTGTGTTTTTTTTTGTTTTTTGTTTTTTTTTTTTTTTTGAGACGGAGTCTTGCTCTGTCGCCTGGGCTGGAGTGCAGTGGCGCGATCTTGGCTCACTGCAAGCTCCGCCTCCTGGTTCACTAGAATGAGGCCATTCTTCTGCCTCAGCCTCCCGAGTAGCTGGGACTACAGGTGCCCGCCACCACACCCTGCTAATTTTTTATATTTTTTATATTTTTTAGTGGAGACGGGGTTTCACCGTGTTAGCCAGGATGGTCTCGATCTCCTGACCTTGTGATCAGCCCACCTCAGCCTCCCAAAGTGCTGGGATTACAGGCGTGAGCCACCGCACCCGGCCAATTTTTGTATTTTTAGTAGAGATGGGGTTTTGCCGTGTTGGCCAGGCTGGTCTCGAACTCTTGACCTCAAGTGACTCTCCTGCCTTGGCCTCCCAAAGTGCTGGGATTACAGGCATGAGCTACCATGCCTGGCCACATAGCAAGTTTTCAACAAGACTGTTTAGTCCAAATTGTATAGCCCTGTATAACAGCCCACCCACTTCTTTCCCTTCATCTTATTTCTCTTAGAACAAAATTCACACATGAATTACAGAAAAAGGGAACCAAACTGATTGTGGTGGTACTTAAAGGTGGGTGAAGGAGAGGCGTTGGTCATCTTCATGTTCCTAGGCCTCATTATTGCTTTACTGACTAGAAGAATTCACAAAATTTTCTAAACATTTCTTTTCCAAAACAAATGTGGAAATGCTTGCTATTGTAAAATGGAAAACCTTATGCATTCTGAAGAACTTTATAATCATAAGTCTGTGTATCTGAATTGGAGGAAAAAATGACATGTGAAGGAAACATTTGTAGACTCCAGTTTCAGCTACTATAGCATTTCTTTAAATAAAAGTGAAAAGAATATTACCTCAGATTTATGAATAACTGCTTTGTCTATGTTACTCTCAAAATCAGCATTTCACCAAAGAACTTTGTGTTCTATTGTTTTTTTTTTTCTTTGAACTACTTTTCTTTCCATGTGATAATGTCAGGATTTTTAGTTTCTAACAACTCGTCTATTAACAGCAAAGAACAGGCAGGACATTTGAGATAAGGAAGTAATTAGGAGGTGCTTTTATGTGTTTAATGGTTCCTGAGTCTGAACAGTCTTGTGAGATTTGGACAGGGCCCTTTGAAAAAGGAAACGTATTCAAAGTGACAAACTAATGCAGGATTTCGATTTTAAGCTTGTGGTGAGCCCAGTAACATAGGTTCATGTAGCAGAATTTGACATTAGATTATGTTAATAAGGCACACTCCTACCCCAACTCTATCCCATTTATACTAATAATCAATATATCAGGCAGGCATACGAACAGGAAGAAAGACATTCTATCCATGACAAAACAATTTAAAACATTTTCTGAGTGATGTTTCCAAACTTGGAAAGACCGCAGTACAGTCGGCTCTCTGTATCTGTGGGTTCCACATCCACAGATCCAACCAATTGTAGATGGAAAATATATAATAACAATAACAATAACAAAACAATAAAAAGTAACAATATAATAATAAAAACTAATACAAGTAAAAATACAGTAGGTAGCATTTACGTTGTATTTGGTATCATAAATCATAGATTATAAATAATCTAGAGATGATTAAAGTATATGAGAAGTATAAATAATCTAGAGATGATTAAAGTATATGAGAAGATGTGTGTGATATGAAGATACTATGTCATTTTATATAAGGGACTTGAGCATTTGAGGATTTTGGTATGCATGGGGACTGGAGGTGGAGGTATTCTTGGAACCAATCCTCCCAGGATACTGTGGGAGGACTGTACTAAGCCACTTTTAAACAAGTGATTCTAGTCCTTTAGATAAAATGAGAGGCAATCCTGATAATGGTGTACCTATGCTGTTTTCCATAGAGAAATCAGATGTGTGTTGCGTATTTGTAAAGCCAACTGCTTTGTGAAGTGAAGGCAGAGTGTCGGGACCTAGGCTTTTGCTGTTGTGTCTGCCATTTCTTCTGTTTTTACCCATCAGTATAGGACCTGCTCCATAACATGTCTTCGTCTGGTGAGCCCGGACATGTCCCACTTCTGAAACTCCAGAAACAGAGCTGATCCAATTAAAGCAGGCACTTTCAGATGGAGTTCACAGACTTTTGTTACTGAAGGAATAGGGAGAGCCAGCAGGAAACTGGCTGCCTGGCAAAACCCATGGTGACCATCAGTAGAAATGGAGATGTGATCACTATAAAAATGAAAAGCATCTTTAAAAATAATGAGATTGCTTTTAAACCTAGAAAAGTGTGAGGAAACCACACCAGGTGGCCATAAAATCAAGAGTACCATAACCTTAGATAATGACTCCCTGATTCAGGTTCAGGACTGGGATCACAAGGAGACCTCATTGGGAGAAAGTTGGTGGGTGAGAAGATGGGGGTGGAAAGTGCCGTGAGCAATATTACCTGTGCTCAGATATAGGGGAGAGAATGAACAAATTCAGTCTCAAACTCCTAAGGACTCCTAAGCTGTGATCCAAACTGCAGAGGTTGTTTAAACAAAATTTGAAATTAGAAAGAAAGTTTCCAGTTCCTTCATTGTCTAGCTGAAATGCCACCTCTGCACTCCCTCTTCTCAGTCCTCCAGACACATGCTCTCTTTTCATCTTTTGAACCTTCAGCACTGGCTTTGCGCCTCCCTCAAGGCACTCACCACTCATTGCCATTTAGATCCCCACTTTCCTGACTTCACTGATTCACCTTTACCTTTCCATCTGCCATTGCTCCTTGCACAGGACCTCGTCCATAGTAGGCATAGCAAATATTTCAGTGAAGAAGTAAATGAATATATTGATTCTTTAAACAGTCCAGTAAAATGCAAAGTTAGGTACAAATAAATCTGTTGTGGATTGAACAAAATCAATACATGTAAAAGTTTACTTTTTTATTGCACAATAGTACATATTTATTGTAGAACTTTAAGAAAATACAGGCAAGTAAAAAATTACCTATAATTATTCTATCAAGAGAAAGCCACTCTTCTGTATTTTCTTCTATTTGTAAACATACATAGATTTATGTATGTTTATATTTATATATATAAATACATAATGTGAACACACACACATACATTTTTCCAACCAAAATATAATAATGGGGTATCCTGCTTTGCAGCCTGTGTTATTTCAGCTTCTCTGACTAGCAGACATCAAGACATGATTAGATGCAACGGTCCTCAACATTTTTAGCACTAGGGACCGGTTTTGTGGAAGACAGTTTTTCCACAGACTATGGGACAGTGGAAAGGATGGTTTTGGGATGATTCAAAAGCATTGCATTTATTGTGCCAAGGCCACAAGAGCATTACATTTATTTCTATTATTATTGCATTGTAATATATAATGAAATAATTATACATCTCACCATAATGTAGAATCAATGGGAGCCCTTAGCTTGTTTTTCTGTAAGTAGACAGTCTCTCATCAACCCTAGATAATCCTGTCTGGGGTTGATGGGAGATAGTGACAGATCATAAGGCATTAGATTCTCATAAGGAGCACACAACCTAGATCCCCTGCATGCGCAGTTCACAATAGGGTTCGTGCTCCTATAAGAATTTAATGCTACCACTGACCTGACAGGAGGCAGAGCTCAGGAGGTAATAGGAGCAATGGAGAATGGCTGTAAATACAGATGAAGCTTCACTGGCTCACCTGCTGCTCACTTCCTGCTGTGTGGCCCAGTTCCTAACAGCCTCCAGACCAGTACTGGCCCGTGGCCTGGGAGTTGGGGACCCTGCTGATAAGATATGAATCTGTGAAAGAAAGTGGGGAGAGGCTGGGAGATAGATAGATAGATATGACCCCAAGTGAAGCAAAGAAAGATGGGAAGGTGAGTGGTAATATCCTAGACTGCCATGTAGTGCAGAGAAAGTTCAGCAAGACCTTGAGGAGTACTTTAGTAGAAGAGCTGGGAGACGTGGACTCCTCCATCATCAGAAGAGTCTACAATTCCCATGAAGGAGACTGCAATAGTAACTCTATCAGGTTCAATCACTGTGGCCTTGGCATGAATGCAGAGACAGATTTTCGGAGAACAGCAGCAGAGGCCTTTGGGCAATTATACTCCCTGTAGTTGGAAGTGCACTACCAATTAACTACCTTTTATTAGGGCCATCTTTCCAAGCCATAAAATATTCATATATAGGGTTTCAATAAATATTTATGCTTCAAAAATATACATAGATATTTTAGAAAACCTGGAAAATGAACTGAAAGAAGATAAAATTTATAAGTAAGTCTAAGTCTAGAATTACCCACTGTTAACATTTCGATATATGCCTTTTCAGGTTAAAGTGCATATATGTAATGTTATATGCTTATATATTTGTATAAATACAAAATATAAATACATATATATGTTCATAATTTTCTAGCATTTGGGAAAATGACAGTGTCTGCTCTTTAGTCTATCTTGGACATATTTTTGAATACCTATATGAAACAGAACAGGCTGTAAGTTTGTAGAAGCTGATTGAGAGATTTTTAACATATACAATGATAAGACATTGTATCTGCCGAAGTGATTTTCTGCTTGGATTTTTGGAGATAGGCTTAATTTTATAATAACTCTTCACCGAAGTTATTTTACAAATTGTATATATAGTTTTGTATTAAATGATATAAGAATTTAATGAGCAAACGTGCCATAATCTTTCAAAGTTTACTTCTATTTTCCAAAGTAGTAGCTTAGTGACTAACTCAAGAGCTTTATAAAAGTGATTTATTTTGAAATTATAAAAATAAGATTTTAAAGGTTGTAACATGTTCAGTAAATAGTGTTTGTTGAAAAGTAGTGGTTAAATACATGGAGCTCTTAGTCACAATGCACACGACTAAAGAAGAAATGTTATGTGGAAACATTCAAATGAAGATACAGTTCTTGTAGTATGAAACAACTTTTACATAAATGAAACAAACAAAAAGATTTGAAAATGTGAACTGGTATTCATTGAGTTAGCACCTACAAGGATGGGTTCATATTTCTCCCCACTATGCTTTCTTGATGAATGTATATGTGTAATGTACAGAAATGACCATTTCATTCTCTTATTAACTTCCTGCTGGCCTTCACTTTAAGAAATTTTTATAGTTGAAAATGTAATCTATATATGAAGGCTTCAACAACCTCAATACATAGGTAAGATGATAATTCCCTTAATACTCCAGTTTATAATGGCCCCAAGCACCCACTGCTTAACTGGCAGGCTTTCCAACTTTCTTCTAGCATTGTTGTAGTTCCCCTGTTACTGTCTGCTGGTGGACAGAGAATTCAAATGTCCCTTGAGGCTAAATTTGGTAACTGCTGGCTTCTCATTGTGCCTTCTGGTTTTGGTTGTCCTAAGTGCAAGGGATTTGTCCCTGGTAATGTTCAGTGGTTGCTGACCACCCTGCCAAGAGCTTCTACTCTCTTACAGAGATGTGGCTCCAGCCATCCCAATGTGGACCTCTGCCTGTTAGCCTAGTTCATGATAATTCCAAGTGTGAGAAGGAAGATGGCCTCTTGTCATCATCCAAATTCTACCAGGTTTCTCCCACAGCAAGACTCCCCAAGCTCTGAATGGCATAGCACCTGATATAGCAATTTCAATTTGCATATAGGTTCATTTTTGCCAAGTTGAATCCAATACGCTTGAGTAGCTGAGTCAGGATTCTCTCTTTCCAGGAAGCAGGATGCAGAGACTAGGATACTTTAATTCCATGATTTAGGTCTTGAAGCTAAGAACTAATGGTATGGACTCCTTTCACCCCCCCAGTGCTCTCCTGGCCTTCTGCCAACTCTTCCCTGCCATTGCCTCCTTAGGATGAATTTCCTCAGTCTGACATTGGGTCTTTCTTTTAACCACAGTGGAAGGTGTGTGTTGGGGAAGAGGGTGAAGGTGGGGTAAAAGATGGTTCCTAACCAATGACTGACAAAAGTTTATGCTGCATAACACTAAGCTATGCTCAAGGATTAACACTGAATCAGGAAAAGGCTGAAGGAAAGAGAATGATCCAGAAGAGTAATTTTCAGTCCAATATTGAATTTTAAAATACCTCACAGAATCGTGTAATTTTACAACTGGAAGGGATTTTAAAGACTTTTTCATCCAACTCCCTTATTTTATCTGTGCAGAAACTGATGTGACTTGCTCAAGGTCAGAGTTATTGACAGAACCAGCTCTATAACCAAAATTATCTGACCCTGTCAACCTCGCACCCACAATTCAGCAAACACATCTTATTGATCAAAACCACTCTGTTGTATTCTTACTTTTATTAGAATCAAACATACAAACAAGAGCTTTAAAATTTTTTAAAATCAGAATAACTGTTAACAATGTATAGATATTTTAGGATGGATCCCTTACCTGGATTCACCAGGATTACAGGGGTCTATTTTTAGTTTTCCATCTTCCTAGTCCTATACAAGATACTGTTCCTATATCGTTAATACATAGAGACAAAAATTCTTCAAAAATAGGAAGAAAAAAGGTATATTTCTACCTTTAGCCAGAAGCTTTTATCTAGCAACATTTAAAAAAAAATTTCTTTTTTAGAGACAGGTTCTAGTTCTGTTGCCCAGAGTGCAGTGGCACAATCATAGCTCGTTGTAACCTCAAATTCCTGGGCTCAAGTGATCCTCCTGCTTCAACCTCCAGAGTAGCTGGGGCTACAGGTACGAACCGCCATGCCGGCTAAGTTAAAAAAAAAAAAAAATTGTAGAACTGTGCTATGTTGCCCAGGCCAGTCTCGAACTCCTAGTCTCAAGTGATTCTCCTGCCCCCGCCTCCCAGTGTTGGGATTACAGGTGTGAGCCCTGCCCCTGGTGTAGTAAAAACTTTATCTAGTTTATCTAGCTTTATTTAGCTTCATTTTAATCTAATAAATACTTGAGTACAGGATAGAATAGGTTTGCCCTAATTTATACCACATTATCAGGTGTATTCACTTTCTTTCTGATGTGAATTATTATTGTTATTATTTTTTGACACAGAGTCTTTCTCTGTCACTCAGGCTGGAGTGCAGTAGAGCGATCTCAGCTCACTGCAGCCTCCCCCTCCTGGGTTCAAGTGATTCTCTTGCCTCAGCGTCCTGAGTAGCTGGGACTACAGGCCTGCACCACCACGCCTGGCTAATTTTTGTGTTTTTAGTAGAGACTGAGTTTCACCATGTTGGCCAGGCTGGTTTTGATCTCCCAGCCTCAAGTGATCTGCCTGCCTCAGCCTCCCAAAGTGCTGGGATTACGGGCGTGAGCCATTGCACCCGGCCTCTGATGTGAATTATAACGGCTGCTGATAAGACCAGTGGCCAATAGACACTAATGTAATTACTATAGTCTCATGACCAGAATTAAACATTTCAAGCCAATGCTATACCATGAAAATTTTCTACTAAAATCAGGCAGATTCTTAACACAGTTTTTCTCTTCCACTCTAATACTTTCATTTTCTGCTATATATGAAATATATAAAACGGTTAATAGTTGTGCAGTCAAGGAAGAAAAATAACTCCCATATTCATTTAGCATGAAAAGTTTCTTTAAGCAAATCCCCAGTCAGAAGTTAGGATTGATAGTAATAATAGAGATAAGCATGTTTTTAATTCAAAATTAACATAAGCAGAAGGAATGTACTTTGCCAGTTATGGAATTAATCCCTCTAGCTGAGATTATCTTCAAAATTTTCAAACAGGTTCTGTCAAGTGGGAGAATATAATATCATTTTATAGAATTAATGTCTGAAATAAGAAAAATTAACGTTTCTTTGTGCGTGTGCATGTGTGTGTGTCTTAGATTTTGTAAAATATCTTCCACATTCTAATTCTTTGTTAGAATAAAGAGTAAATACTATAATCTCCAATTTATAAATGAGAAAAACCTGAAGCTCAAAAGGTTAAATGACTGTTTTAGGTTACAGGTGTAGTAAATAGTGGAGTCTTTTTTTGTTGTTGTTGAGACAGGGTCTCTCTCTGTCATTGTGGTGTGATTACCGCAGCCTTGACCTCCCGGGATCAAGCAAGTCTCCCACCTCAGCCTCCGGGGTAGCTAGGGCTGCAGGTGTGCACTACCACGCCTGGTTAAGTTTTTGTATTTTTTGTAGAAATGGGGTCTCCCTATATTGGCCAGGCTGGTCTCAAACTCCAGGCTCAAGCCATTGCCCACCTTGGCTTCCCCAAGTGCTGGAATTACACGTGGCTGAGCCATGGGCTGGGCCAATAGTGGAGTCTTGATTTGAAATAATGTTTTCTGATTTTATTTTTATTTTTTCTTTCTCTTTTTCTTCTAATGATTTAAAAACTATATGTCTTTTCCCAAAGATGCCATTCTGAGGAATAGCATGCATATTTTCATATACCTAGACTAGTGCCACTTTACTACAAAATGCTATTGTAGCTTTGAATATAATCTCCTGAAATCCTTTAAGACTGCTTAATTTTTTTTCAATTAAATTGTGATTTAGTACTAATGGGTTCTTTGAGTATTTTAAGTTGGTGACTCTACTTTTTAGGCAAAACAGACTAAATTTATAATGACATTGTGAAATATAAAGTAATTGTTTTCAGAATTTTCATAATCCAATGTATTGTCCCAGAAAATCAAATATTTTTTAGCAAATAGGGAACCTGCAGTATAATCAGCAAAAATACTAAGCAGAAATATCAATATTTCATGAACATCATAAATTATTTTAAAAAGTGATCCTTCATTAAAACATATATTGGTTTAAGGCCAGGCATAGTAGCTCACACTTGTAATCCCAGCGCTTTGGGAGGCTGAGGTGGGAGGACCACTTGAGGCCAGGAGTTCGAGATCAGCCTGGGCAACATAGTGAGACCCTGTCTCTACAAAAAAATAAAAACAAAAAAAATTATCCAAGTGTAGTGGCATACCCCTATAGTCCTAGCTACTCAGCAGACTGAACCGGGAGGATCATTTGAGGCTAGGAGTTCAAGGATGCAGTGAGCTATGATCATGCCACTGCACTTAGGTTGGTCAATAGAGCAAAACCCAATCTCAAAAAGAGAAAGAAAAGTGTGCATATATATGTATTTAAAAATTACATGAATTGAATATGCTAATTGAAAAAAATTAAAACAATGCAGTAGGGTATGAACTAAAAAGTTTGAGTTCCTCTTCTTACCCAAATCATTATTTGTGTGTATGTATCTTGTCAAATCTGTCTAATCATTCATTTTTAAAATGAGAAGTCATGGATATGACTAAGAAATGAAATGCGTGATCCTTGATTGGATCCTGAATTTAAAATTGATTCTATATTGATAATGGCATTATATCAATATTTACTTTCTTCAGAGTGATAATTGTATTGTGGGTGTAGAAGAACGGCCTTGTTTTTAGAAGATATGTGATAAAGTATTGGGTTGAACTGTCAAGGTGTCCGTGTCTAACCATCAAATGGAGGAGGAAGGGATGGAAAAAGGAAAAGAAGAAGAGAGGGAAGGAAGGAGGGAGGAGGAGAAGAAAGAGAGAGAGAGAGATAGAGAGGATGAATGAGAAAAAGTAACTGTGGAAATTTTACCAATTAGTGAATCTAAGTAAAGAATATCTAGATTTTATTGTGTTATTCTTGAAGCTTCTCTGATGGTCTAAAATTTTTCGAAATAAAAAGAACAAGAGGGAAAAAATAGAAGATATTATAACAATGTGCTATAATGAAAATAGCTATTTGGTGCTAGAAATATCTGTGTTCAATGCCAGGCTACCAATTACTTAATAGTCAGGTGACCTTGGCCTAGCTAGTTAACCTCTGAAGATTTCAGCTTTACCTCCTTAAAATAAAAGTACTATCTACCTTGAAGCATTCTTTTTAAGAATTTAATGAAAGAAGTCCTGACCTACAATATTCTCAATACATATTGGTTCTCCTTTCCTCTGAACTAACACCCATTTTCTTTAATAATAACTTATGTGAGAACTTTCTGTTTACAATAATGTTAATCTAAATTATTCAAATCAATTTCCCCTCTCCTTCCCCCAGCTGAAGACAACTAAAAAGGCTGGATATAACATTTTAAAACATTTCTTGAAATATTGAAGAGATGACAAGACAGTAAGACATTTTTAGGCCAAACATGGAAGGAAAATGAGAACCCACAGAGAAAAGCAAGAAAGAAGTCACTTTTGCATTGACGTCATTTTATAATTCTTTAATATTAGAACCCTCATTTGACAGGCTTGAGGACCTGAAAGACAAAATTCAAAGTCCAGAGCTTGCTCAGAGTGGGGTTTGAACCAGTGATGCCTCTCACAGTAAGCTGAGACTTCAAAGGGCTACAACCTGGGGGTCAACCACAAGCAAGACAACCAGCTCCGTTCAAATCCCCTAGTCAGTTTGAACTGCCTCTGACCCTCACGGGCAGGAGCAAGCACAGATCCTTTCTTGAGCAAAGTTCCTTCACTATAAGCCTCAAATTATTCCTATAAATCCTTTTAAAAATGCATGTGTAATGCATCAAAGATAACCAGGCATGGCCTGGTGCAATGGCTTATGCCTGTAATCCAGCACTTTGGGAGGCCGAGGTGGGCAGATCACGAGGTCAGGAGTTCAAGACAAGCCTGGTCAACATGGTGAAACCCCATTTCTACTAAAAGTACAAAAATTAGCCGGGTGTAGTAGTATGCGCCTGTAGTCCCAGCTGCTCGGGAGGCTGAAGCAGGAGAATTGGTTGAACCGGGAGGCAGAGGTTGCAGTGAGCCGAGATCATGCCACTGCACCCCAGCCTAAGCAACAGAGCAAGACTCTGTCTCAAAAAAGAAGAAGAAAAAAAGATAACCAGGCACAAAGATAAGTATAACAGAGAAGAGTAAATATGACACATTTCAAATAATCAAATGTAACTACCAAAAGCAAATTAAAAGCATAACTGAAAGTTTTGAACTTAGCAGATAGTTTTAACATTAGAGGCAACTAAAGATGAAATCAGTGAACTATAAAGTATATCAGAAGAAATTATCCTGAAAACAACATATAGAAACAATATGAAAGAGGATTATAAACATAAAGGATACTGTGTGAAGATCTAACATAGGTTTAACTGGAGTTCCAGAAGGAGGGGACAGAGACATGGGAAAAGGTAGTATTTGAAGAGATAATGGCTGAGAATTTTCCAGCCATGAAAGATAACAATTCACAGATTACAGATGACCAGTAAATCTCAAACCGGGTAAATTAAACAAAACAAAACAAAACGAAAAACCAAAAAGAAATCCTTACTTAGAACCCACTGTAGTGAAACAGTAGAAAACCAATGACAAAAGAAGTCTTAGTACAGAAAAAAAGACAGATTATCTTCAAAGGAGAGATAATGGGGCCAAGTAAAGGCCTAGATAGCTTCACCGGCAGCTCTACTAAACATTTATGAAAGAAATCAGGTCTCTCACAAATTCTTCCAGAGAATCTTGACCCTGTTTTAGGTGTCCACCATAACCTCCACTCAAGATGAAAACTCTATTCAACTGCGTATGGGAGGTTTTGGCAGTACAGTAAGGTGAGAAGGAGACATAAAAGTAAAATGACTGGAAAGAAGAAATAAAACTGTAATTTACGTGATATGACTGTGTCTTTTTCTTTACCTGTGTGTTATATTTCACACTAAAAGTGTTTTAACAGCCTTATATTTTCATAACATTTTATGGTTTTTCAAGGCACTCTTACAATAATGATCTTATTTGATTGTCACAATTCTGTGAGGAAAACTAAACTTCAGAGAAGTTGAGTCACAAAGCTGGCCAGTGGGAGAATTTGCACCAGAACCCAGGTCTACTGTGCCTTTCCAGTTTGTAGGTATCTTTTTATGGCATTCAATTTAATGATAGTTGTTCATAAAGTAATCCATTTGTTTGGGAACATAATTTACATTATATGATGTGCTATTGGTTATAAAGTGATACAAAACTATACATGACCGTGGAATTAGATAGGAGGAAGAAGCTATAATTTAACCAAAGCAGATGTTTTACTTTGCTTATGAAAAGAGCAGATGCTCAAAGCATATTAGAAGCCATTTATAGCACTGGTGTTATAGGCTAAATTGTGTTCCTCCAAAATTCATAGGTTGAAGTCCTAACCCTCAGTATCTCAGAATGTGACTGTATTTAAAGATACGGTCTTTTCAAAGAAGTAAAGTTAAAATGAGGCCATTAGAATAGACCTTAACCCAATATAATTGGTGTCCTGAGAAGAAAAAATTTGAACACAAATGGGCACAGAGGGAAGACCATGTGAAGATACGGGGAGAAGACGCCATCTACAAGCCAAGGAAGGAGGTCTGGAACACATCCTTTCCTCAAAGCCTTCAGTAGGAACCAATCCTACCAAGACCTTGATCTCAGACTTCCAGCCTCCAGGATTGTGAGAAAATACATTTCTGTTGTTTAAGTGACCCCAGTCTGTGGTACTGTTATGGCATCCCTAGCAAACTAACATAGCTACTGACTAAAACAAAATAAAGGCCATTACTCTCTAGCAAAGTCAGATATAATCAGATACTGGATTTATACAGCAATTCTTAGGGTTTTTTTTAGCTCTTCACTTATAACTTTAAAAATCTTCTATTAATTTTTTTTCAGGGAAAATAACTTTGCTACTGAGTGTTTGATACTCTCTAGTCTCTATCTGCCTTTTCACCATTGAAACAAATTTTTTATAACATTATATATTGGATCAATTGAGGTTTCATAGTAATTAAATTATTATGTTATAGCAGAATAGCTGCTTCTATGATGGTTCTTTTCATATTATCAGATGATGTAAATGAGGTTGTATTATCTGTGAAGTGATCCAACAACATTTTGGAAGATATCATAAATTTCACTTTAACAGAACATGTTAAACTTACATTTAGGGGGACATTTTTTGAAGAGTTAACATGAATGCTAATTTATTAACTATCTGAAAAGGCACTGGGACCCTGTCATTTATGCCCTTTTCTACCCAGGCTGAATGTACCTGGAACACCTGGTCTTTCATTCATTAAATTCAACATTCCAGCGGAAAATGCTATTGGAATGTGCAAAGATTCAAACAACAAGCCAGGACAGCTGCATCTCAGACCAGTTCTATTTTGAAACCAGAAAACCCATGCAAATAAACAATAGCAACACACATAAGAAGTGAATTAATGACAGCTTACTGGAGATGACTCAAAAAGAGAAAAATTTCAATTGCACTTTCCAGCCTTCTCTCAAGGATAAAAAGAGGTAGATTACTAATCATCCTGAATCAGATGGTAGATTTATATAAAACAAATTTATACTATATTACAGAGAATAAAAAATTTCAGAACATTTTATACTCAATGATTTTTTTCTAAATGAAATAATTCCATTTACACTTCCCCCCACATTTCTCTCTCAACAATTCTAAAAAGAGGAAGAAATCAGAAGTTTTCTAATGTATTGCCATTATTGGGCCCCTCTAACCAAAGGCCTGAAAGTCACGAAGCCTGGCCTGAGAAGGCCATTTCTGGAGTTCTCTCATGGTTGTTTTCACGGGAAGCAAAGCTCAACGGGAAACTCCCAACTTGCCAACATTTCAATCAGGAAAACTAGTGAAGATACGTACCTGGAAAAATTAATTTATTCATCTGGCCAAAGAATTTTAATTCAGTCCTCATATATGGAGTAACAATGAAAAAATTTTATAATTAGATTAGGTTATATGGTACTTTTATTAATGAAAAACAAAGGAATTTAATTAAGATTAAGAACATTAAAGAAATTGGTCATACGGTTAGCTATGAAAAAACTCCCGAGAAAGCTCATTGTTGCTTAACTAAGGTAGAGTATATTAATTTTAGAAACTTCAGGGGTGCTTTTGTTCCAAATCAAAAATATGCTGGATTTCTTTATGTCATTTTTTGACATATGTCATCTTTATGACATTCTATATGTCATTTTTATGCTCCTTAATTTACCTATTTGAATCCTGTCAACAGCATAGTTCAGTGTTTTTTCAAAAATAAAATTTAACGACTGGTTCTTCTTCCATTTAAAACAATTTCTTTCATTCCCTTTTTCAAAGTTTATTTTATTCTCTTTTTCAAAGTAAGGAGAAATTCTAGAAATGCTTGCTGGTGTAGTCTCATTGTTTAAACTTGTTACTTTACAGCCAATCTGTTGCTTACTAATAATTTTAATTGCATCAATCACTCATTCTAAAGCTGTGCTTTTTATCTTGACTTGTTTAGTTCACATGCACTCCTGATTATGAAAGAGTTTTTTTCTGATGCTCCAAGTCACTGGAAAATGAGGGGAGTCAGTTTTTGTTGTAAAATATGTACTAAACCATTTACTCTTTACAGAGCATTGTACTAATCAGAGGCATTATGCCTCTGTCTAGTGAATCAATCTGCTTAACATTCTTATACTTACATTCTGCAAAACCCAGTCCCTGATCACATCTCTGGAAGGCTTCTAAGATTACTCCTTTATGAAGTTTCTCATTTAGGTCTTAATTTGCAAAAATTTTAATGAATGTTCATTGGTATGTTGCTTTATAACTTTTCTAATTATTTAGTTCTTATGATCTGTCTTCATAGCTAGACTATAAACTTTCAAGGGTTGGCACCATGTCTTCTACTATTTATATGACCAGCAACATCACTGTGATTAGTACTCATTCTCCTAGAAATCTAAAATAATGTATATAGTTTCTTTTGTTTGTTTTTTGTTTTTTTAGAGACAGGGTCACACTCTGTCACCCAGGCTGGAGTGCAGTGGTATGATCTTGGCTCACTACAACCTCCACCTCCCCAGTTCAAGTGATTCTCCTGCCTCAGCCACCTGAGTAGCTGGGATTACAGGCACCCACCACCACCCCTGGCTAATTTTTGTATTTTTAGTAGAGACGGGGTTTTGCCATGTTGGCCAGGCTGATCTCGAACTTCCGACCTCAAGTGATCTCCCCGCCTCAGCCTCCCAAAGTGCTGGGATTACAGGCGTGAGCCACTGCACCCAGGCCGGTGTGACAGTTTTGACCTGCTTCATTTCCAGCCTGGGTAGGTTCACCCCTCCTTAGGCAACCTGGTGGTTCTCTGCTCCAGGGAGGTCACCATATGGATGCCAAACTTAGTGCAGACACCTGATCGGTTTAGAGCACTATGGCCCAGATCTCTTGTGCTCAAGCGATCCTCTCACCTTAGCCTCTGGAGTAGCTGGGACTACAGGCAGGCACCACTGTGCCCGGCTTAAAATAATATTTCTACTGATGACATCCAGTCACAGTAAAATTCTGAAGTGTTTTCTGAATAATCAAAGAAAATGTGAACTCTTTCATGTTGTAGTCCAATTTTTTGAAATTCAGCAATCTTGGATTATAAATGTATGTCCTCTTTTTCAGATCCCAGATTATGTTCTCCCCAATCATTCCAAATAAACAAGAGTTCACTATGTGGTGTTCTGCCTAAAGCAGGAACTCAGGGCTTGTGTTTGATTTTAACAAATTGGAACAAAACCCCAAATAGAAGAAAAACTTTTCAATTTACATCCCATTATTTTGTAGTTTGTGATAAACTGTCAAACAGGGAGTAGGCTGAAGTATAACTTTGTTTTAGCTATGAAAATAGGGTTTACCCTGTAAATTTTTAATGTAAAGAAGGTGAAGAAACTGAAATAATTCATTCGTTCAACAGCCAGTTATTTAGCCTCTACTAAATACTATATACTCTTCTTCTTCTTTTTTATTTTTGTTTTTGAGACAGGGTTTCACTCCTGTTGCCCAGGCTGGAGTGCAGTGGCACGATCTTAGCTCACTGCAACCTCTGCCTCCCAGGCTCAAGCCATCCTCCCACCTGAGCCTCCTGAGTAGCTAGGACCACAGGTGTGCCCTACCCCACCTGGCTATTTTTTTGTCTTTTTAGTAGAGACGGGATCTTGCCATGTTGTCCAGGCTGGTCTCAAATTCCTGAGCTCAAGCAATCCACCCACCTTGGCCTCCCAGAGTGCTGGTATTACAGGCGTGAGCCACCATGCCCAGCCTAAATACCACACACTCTTCTAGTCTGTTGGGATATATAGGAAAGCAGAAGGGACAAGGATTTCTGCCTTTGTGGAGTTTACATTCTAGTGAAGTAGAGTGGGGCAGGAAATATAATTAAAAATTAGTAAATCTATAGGATGGTGATAATTGTTATTGAGAAAAACAGGGAAAATAGAGAATGTGCGGGGTGAAGGGTGCAGAGGGTGGTTAGGTATGCATCCTCTGAAAAGATGACATTTGAGCAAAGACCTGCAAGAGCGAGGGATGAGCCATGGGTTCCTGCAAAAGCAGTGTTAAGCCTCTCCACCATCTGAATGGACTTCTCCTCTCAGACAAGGGAATTCCAAAGTTAACCTGAAAAACTAGTTCAGGCCATGGTGGGAAGTGGAAGTTGGACATGCCTCATAGCTGACCAGCATTAACATCAACACAGAGAACTTAAGACTGACAGAACAGGCTCTTTTTAAGTCTAATAAGAAACATGTACAATCTTTTCTCTCTGAAACCTGCTACCTGGAGGCTTCATCTCCATGATAAAATCTTGGTCTCCACAACCCCTTATCATGACCAGACATTCCTTTCTCTTGATTCCAGGTCTTTAGATAATAACCAACTGCCAACCACCTATGACCTGGAACTCCCTGCTGCCACTGTGCCCCCCACGCCCACACCCCACATGTTTCCAGTTGTTCCTTCTTTCCGGACAGAACCAATGTCCATCTTACATGCATTGATTGATGTCTTATGTCTTCCTAAAATGTATAAAACCAAGTTGTAGCCCGACCAACTTAGGCGCATGTTCTCAGGCCCTCCTGAGAGTTGTGTCACAGGCCATTGGTTACTCATATTTGGCTCAGAATAAATCTTTTCAAATATTTTACAGAGTTTGACTTTTTTCATCAACAGCAGTGAGGTGTGTAGTTTCCGGGCATAGGCCCAGCAAGGGGCCCAGTGGCTGGAGTGGACTGGGTGAAGAGAGAGTTGGAAAATGAGGTCAGGTCAGGCAGGACTGTGATTCTCCACGTGGCTGCATGTGGGAAACACCTGTTGAGCTTTTAGAGGCCTCTAGCCCAGGCCCTGACTCACAGTCTCTGGCTTTAAAGGTCTCCCCAGTGATCTATGAGGGACTTTAGGCCATGGTAAGGACTTTGGCCTTTTTTTTTTTTAGAGACAGGGTCTTGCTATGTCACTCAGGCTAGAGTGCAGTGGCATGAACATAGCTCACTATGACCTTGTTCCCCTTGGGCTCAAGCAATCCTCCTGCCCTTGCCTCCCAAAATGCTGGGATTACAGGCATGAGCCACTGCACTCTGCCTGATTTTGCCTTTTATTTTGAGCTAGATGGAGGCCATTGGATGGTTTTGAGCAGATACATGATCTATCTTTTAAAAAGAATCACGTTGACCTGGCATGGTGGCTCACACCTGTAATCTCAGGACTTTGGGAGGCTGAGGCGGGTGGATCACTTGAGGCCAGGAGTTTGAGAGCAGTCTTTCCAACATGGCAAAACCCCATCTCTACTAAAAATACAAAAAATTAGCTGGGCATGGTAGCGTATACCTGTAATCCTAGCTATTCTGGAGGTGGAGGCATGAGAATTGCTTGAACCCAGGCGATGGAGGTTGCAGTGAGCCGAGATTGCACCACTGTACTCCAGCCTGGGAGACAGAGCGAGACTCTGTCTCAAAAAAAAAAAAAAAAAAAAATTAAAAATTAAAAAAAATCACTCTGGTCCTCGTGTTGAGGGGCAAGAGCAGAAGCAGGGAACCCATTGCCTTAAAATAAAGCTATTTGTGTGCAGTCTTACAAAGAACTAATGTTAGTTCAAGTGACTCAGCAGAATATGATTATAAGACATCCTGTAAGTCCTGCTATCAAGTATTGCTTAGTACTTATAAAGTGTATTTCAAGTTCCTTCATGCATAGTACAATTGCAGTATTTGAGAAGTGTTCTGGAGTTAAGCTTTTCACTAATTGGACTTACTTTTTCTGCAGTAGTTGGGGTTGGTGAGGTTTTGGGGAACAAAGAGGAAAAGACCCTTTTCCTGATGTTGTGGCAGTGCCACATCCCTCTCCCTTATCATTCACATCTCAGGGGGCTGGGAGATGGGCAGGACCAGAGAAAAAGGACCTGGTGACAGACAACGGGGCCACAGAGGAGCAATGTCTGCTTGCTGCCGTCTCCTGGAGGGGTGCAGAGTCTACAATGGGGCAGGAGGCCCATAGTCTCTGTGCACTTGTAACTCTGTTCTCTGCTAATTTGCATTGAGATGAATGGACAGGCAGAGGGAACCATGATAACATCTACTCTACTAAGCAGATCCTGGTGTGGGGACTGAGTGACACAAGGACCATTTTACTGGGATATTTGCACCTCAGGTTCGTCATCTGGAGATGATAGTACCATTTTGTAAAGTGTCTTGAGCATTTAGAAGATAGTCCACATATGGTAGTTTGCATAGTACTAGGCCCATAGTAAAGGTTTAACAATATTTACTGTTATCATGCTATTTCTTTATTGCTTATGTGTTTAAAAATTTAACAAATCATAAGCGTAATTTAATTCTTTGCTTAACATAATTTTATGATCGAATTTAAACATTTCACGTTTTTAGGAGTGCATCAAAGCTCCAAATACTATATAGTGAGAAACGATTTAGTGAAGCTTTGCCATATTGAGATTAATGCTTAAGACCTCCTTATAAATAACATGCCCCATGCATAGGTGCTTAGGGCTTTTATTTATGAATCCACTTGAGCAAATGTTCAGCACTAACCTGCCTTTTCCTGAATTTCTCTCCACAGGGAATAGTGATATGTGGCAGTTTAAGAATGCACAATGTCTTTATTTTTAACACATACAAAAAATAAAACTAGGCACAGTACCACATTGAAAACAAGTTCAGTAACAAACTGACTGAGAGCGGCCCTGTGTTTTGTCTGCTGGCTAGGAAGTTAATATATACATCAGCAGTTTGGATTCAAAGAAATGCCTTTACAACAACTTTTAAAAAGCAGAATTCATTGACCATTTGAAAAAGTCACAATTTTCTAATACTTTCTTTTTAAAAAAAAAAACAGAAAACAAAGTTTGCTTGTTATATTCCCTTGTAACTTTATGTGTAGGGGAAGCTTATTATTTCTACCGATTTAATATTTCTGGGAGCATTTCTAGTTCGGGCATAAATGTACACAGTTCAGGGCTTTCTCCAGCTTTATCTATTTGTTTTTCAAACAGTGCTTATTGTTTCTCTATTATAAAAGTAATACATGCTCAATGTAGAAAAACATAAACAAGCAAACAAAACTCACCTATAATCCTTTCACCTGTTGACTCATGTCAATATATTGTTTTGCTTTCAGTCTTTTTTCAGTATACACTTTTTGTGGCTACAGAGTTGAAGGTAAACAATATCTAAATTTTTTTGTTTTTGTTTCGTTTTTGAGATGGAGTCTTGCTCTGTCACTCAGGCTGGAGTGCAGTGGCTCCGTCTCGGCTCACTGCAAACTCTTCCTCCGGAGTTCAAGTGATTCTCCTGTCTGAGCCTCCCGAGTAGCTGAGATTACAGATGCTTACCACCATTCTTGGCTAATTTTTTTATTTTTTAGTAGAAACGGGGTTTTGCCATGTTGGCCAGGCTGGGCTTGAACTCCTGACCTCAGGTGATCCACCCACCTCAGCCTCCCAAAGTGCTGGGATTACAGGTGTGAGCTACCGCGCCCAGCCAATATCTAAATTTTTTAAGTCTCCTTTTTTCCCCTTAATATTATAAGTATTTTCTCGTGCTGCTAATAATTCTTCATTTTTAAGAGCTGCTAAATATGCCAACGTATATTGAAATCATAGCTTGATACTCAGTGAATCCCCTATTGTGATAACTGAGTCTACAGGTTTTGTTATTATAGATAATGCAGTGATGAACGTTTTTGTGCTTAAACCTTCTGTCAGATTATTCCCTCCAGACTGGTTTCTGGAAGATGAATTAATGAGTCAAAGCATCTGAAAGCTTTTAGGGGTTGTGATACATATTGGTAAAGTTCTCTCCAAAAAGTTTGAACCAGTTCGCACCTGTGGAAGTGCTTCAAAAGATGATGGGCTCTCTGGCTTTAATTTTAAAGGGATTTATAAAATGCTTTCCTCATCCTGTTTGAAGAAGCAAAGTAGAATAATATCAAGTATTACCAGTAACCTAGAAAAATTAAATTACCATAAAAAGAAAATAGTTGTCTTAGATCTACAGAAACAACTTGTATAGAGATGTGCACCATATCAATAATATTTGAAAATAGTTTTTCATATTCTGTGCATATATTGCATATGGAAGTCCATTGATACCAACTGGAATTTCTTCTAACTCGCAAATCTTAAGACCATGACGTTAATAACAATTAAATAGCAGTGTGTAATTAAGTTTGAAAAACTTGATTGGAACTACTTACTTGATAAAAAGATACTTTTTTGGTAGTGTATACCTCATTTTTAAAAAAGAATAAATTATTTTAAAGAAACACTAAAATAATTTATAAAATATATTTGTGGTCCTTTTCTTTCCCTGGAAATAAAAGTAAAATTTAGTTGTTTTGAACTTCATAGTGTATTCTTTAGAGCAGTGGTTCTCAACGTGCGTTCTCAGAGCGGCAGTAGATGCATCACCTGGGAACTTGCTAGAAATGCAAATTCTCAGGCCCCATGACCTCATGAATCAGAAACTCCAGGGAGGTGCCAGCAATCCATGTTTTAACAAGTCCTCCAGGTGCTTCTGATGCATGCCTGAGTTTGAAAACCATTGATTTAAGATTTACAAGCACGTCAGTTTGTCCACCTACCCCAGCCACTTTCACCTGAAGCCACTGGCAACCAGGTTGAGGTATAGAAGGGGTTTTTCTCTCTTACGCGCCTTCCTTATCCACATGTTTGGAGAAGTCACTCAGTGTACTAGTACATGGCCATATGTGACAAAGAGGGTATGTAAGTATCACACAAGTTTCAGAACCATCTCCCTCTTTCACACCTTATGTGGTGGAAGGATTCCTTGTTGCTTCCAGATTTTGCAGTCAGTAGGGGCAACAAGTGGAAATGTATAAAAACCTGAGGAGGAGGTAGATCACTTTGTAGAGGATGGCCTTAGTCCTACCTCTGGATGATATGGGAGACCACTCCCCTCTAAGGAAAGGCTGAGTTGAATGTACAAGACTCCAGCCTCCAGGCACAATTGTCAAGTATTTGAGGGTTGTCTTTGGTGCCTTCTAGCTTTCTCTCTTTACCCCCAGGGGTCCCCTGCTTTTGGTCTGCCCATTAGGGTACTGTTGGCAATAACTAATATTTCCTGGGAGACTACCCCATACCCTGTTGAAGAGCACAATGGAGATGACATCATTTAATCCTCCAACAAACCAGGAGAATGTAGCCTCTTAAAAACATGACTTAGAGAGGTAAAATAACCTGCCCAGTGTCACAGAGATATGAGTCAGTGGCTGAACAGAAACCAGATCGTGGGATCCCAAAGCATGTGTATGTAGCAGGCACATCTTTCATTTCTATGTGACAGTGCCCCAGATTCCAAAACAGCGCTCTCCTGCTCCTTGCAGCACCTCTGAGGTTGTCATCCTCGAGGCTGCTGGCTCTGTGGGCATTAGGAAGGTGTGGGGATGATGGACTTGGCAAAATCACACCAAAGGGAGAGTGACAATAATTCAACTTAACCAATCTCAGGGCTACTTGTATTTAAAAAAATAAAGGCTTAAAGAGGCAGTTCTTTAGATGTTAATTTAGGGTAGTTTTTCTAGCAGTGTAGCAGCTAGATGGATAAATAAGGTATGCCCTTCAGGCAACTGCCCATGAGTTGGGATAGATTGTTTATATTCTTGTGTGTGTGTGTGTGTGTGTGTGTGTGTGTGTGTGTGTGTGTGTGTGTAAAGAGATCATTCTGTGGTAGATATGAATTTACTCAGAGTGAAAATTAGATCTAATTTTTTATTAGATGCGACCTCCTCTTAGTCCTGAAAGCATCCTCAAAACTAACTAAAAAAGCTCTTGTTGAGCACGTAATATGTGCTCGTGATAGGCACTGTGGATACAAAGATTGACTTCAAGAAACTCACCATTTAGTAGGGGTTCTAGAGACAGAACACTCTATAACATTGTTGGGACCTTGATGGAAATATTCACAGGGAAATATAAGAAAGACAGGAGAAGCACCTTGCCTACCTTGGGGAAAGTCTGGGATGGTTTCCTGGTGGTGGAAGTCACCCATTGGTTTAGTCTTGAAGAATGGTTACAGGTCAGCGGGTAGAGGTTGGCAAGAGGCACTCAGGCTGGGTATGTGGGGGACAAAGCATTTTGGTGTTGCTGCAGCACAAAGCCCGTGGTGATGCAGAGAGTGGTGAGAAACTTCACTGGAGAGGTATGATACTTTTAAACCCTGTGTCTAAGAGCTTTGGTTTGCTGCTTTGGGCCATAGGAGTCTACTAAATGCTCTAAAAAGAGAAGATATATAGGTCAATTTGCATTTTATGTATATGCTCTGGCAAAGGAGTGTAAGTTCAAGGAAACCAAATGGGAGGGAAGGATGTTGCAGTTAATCATTGGTGGTTAGAGCCTACTGTTAACACACTTACAAAATTGTCATAACTTGTGTCCTGAAATCTTGAACTATTCACCTCATTGATTTTAGTGATTTTTATTATACTTTAAAAATGTTTTTAAAAAAATTAAAGTAATACACACATGTAATTATAAACCAGAGTCCCCTACCCAGCCCTATTCAACTCTATATTGTTCCCAAAAGTCACCACTTCTCCTTGTTTCTTCTTGTAGTATGTTTTCTGTTTGTTTGTTTGTTTTGTTTTTTAGACAGAATTTCTCTCTTGTCGCCTGGGCTGGAGTACAATGGAGTGATCTCGGCTCACTGCAATCTCTGCCTCTCGGGTTCAAGTGATTCTCCTGCCTCAGCCTCCCGAATAGCTGAGATTACAGGCGTGCACCACCTTGCCTGGCTAATTTTTGTATTTTTAGTAGAGACGGGGTTTCACCATGTTGGCCAGGCTGGTCTCCAACTCCTGACCTCAGGTGATCCACCTACCTCAGCCTCCCAAAGTGCTGGGATTAGAGGCATGAGTCACCATGCCTGGCCCTTCTTGTAGTTTCTTCTATACCATCAAATGACATTCTCTGTCCTTACTTTGTGATTTATTAGTTATAGGTATTATCAATTGACTTCCTGTCATATCATATGAAGATATAACTTACTGCCTCCCATCCTCCCATATTTTCAATGTATTTGTGTTCCTTTTCTGGCTCCTCTATCCATTTGCATGGATCATAACCTGAAATCCATGGCTTCTACTTTCTACACTCACTCAGCATTAAGCAAGAAGTGCAGGCCAACCCTAGCGGGAGAGCAGAGGGGAGCTGGTGAACGGTGTCACCCGGGGAGCCTCCCGCACTAAACCCCTCAAACGTACTAACTGGAGGAACATTTAGTTTATTGAATAAATATTAAATCACTCTTTCTAGTTAGCCACTTGTGAATCTTTTTTAAAATTAAGGAAATAAAATCTTCGTGAAAGGTTTAAAGAATTAAAAAAAAATTGATCCCCTAAGCTGTCCCAGCCAGTTGTATATTTTGACCCAGCAGTTAAGAATGCTGTTTTGTGATGTATTATGCCCCTAAGTGGGTGGGAAGATTTTGGTTTTTGTCTGAAGATAATAAGAGCTGCTTCCCCCAAGAGTAATGACAGCCAATGCTCCTTCAGTGTGTGACGAATTCATGTGACTCAATCATAGCTTTAGGATTTGTTGCGGAAAGACAGTAAATTGCTGTTGAATTCATATTTGTTCTGACTGTTGCCCTAAAATACGATCTGAGAATCAGTGAATAATGCTCTTAATCACACATCTCTTCCTTTAATTATTTCTCACCTCATTCTTTTAATTTCTGATTTAATTTCCTTATGGTCAGAGAATATACTTGTATGATTCGAATTCTTTAAAATTTTTTGAGATTTGCCTTATGGCTCAGATTATAATCTAACTTGGTAAGTGTTCCATATGTACTTCAAAAGAACGTCTATTTTGTTGTTGTTTGGGGAGAATGTTCTATAAATAGTAATTAGCTCATATTCCCAATATATTTATATATTATAAATATATGTGATAGTTTTGTTGGAGTCTTCTATATTCTTACTGACTTTCTATTTATTTGTTCTGTTAATTATTGAGAGGGATTGTTAAATTCTTCAATTATAATGATAGATTTGTATATTTCTCCCTACAGTTCTATCAGGTTTTGCTTCATGTGTTTTGAAGCTTTGTTATAGACGCATAGACATTTAGGATTGTTATGTTTTTCTGATGAATTGACAACTTTATCATATAAAATGACATTTTTTTTTTTTGACAGAGTCTTGCTCAGCCGCCCAGGCTGGAGTGCAGTGGTGCAATCTTGGCTCACTGCAACCACCATCTCCCAGGTTTAAGCAATTCTTCCGTCTCAGCCTCCCGAGTAGCTGGGATTATAGGCACCTGCCATCATGCCTGCGATCCAGCTGGTTTTATAAGAAATGCAAGTTTCCTTTAAAGTTAGAAAATGCATAAATGTAATTGATCATATTTTTTTCCAGCTTTCTTTTGATTAGTGTTAGCATAGTATATTTTCCCCATCATTTTACTTTTAATCTTTTTATGTCTTTATATATAAAGTGTATTTTTTTTGTAGGAAACATATTGTTGGGTTGTGCTGTTTTATTCAATTTGACAATCTTTGCCTTTTTCTTTTTCTCTTCTTTTTTATTAATCACCAATATTCCTCCTGGGAATCTTTGTCTTTTAATTGGGTTGTTTAGGTCCCATTTACATTTATATGATTACCGATAAGGTTAGGTTTAAATTGATCACCTTGCAGTTTGTTTTCTATTTGTGCCATGTGTTCTTTGTTCCCCTCCTTTTTTCTTTCTATATCTCCCTTTGAATTAATCAAGTTTTTTTTTTTTTTTTTTTTTTTTTTGAGATGGCATCTTGCTGTGTTGTTCAGGCTGGTCTTGAACTCCTGGATTCAAGTGATCCTCCTGCCTCAGCCTCTTCAGCTGGGATTACAGGCATGCACAACTGCACCCAGCAATGGAATTAATCAAGTATTTTTTACGATTTCCTTTTGTCTCCTTTGCTGGATTATTGGTTATAACTCTTTGTTATTATAGTGGTTGCTTTAGAGTTTATTGTTTATAGCTTTAACTCTGCTCAGTCTACTTTCAAGGGATATCGTACCAGTTCGCATGGAGTATAAGAACCTTACAATAATGTACTTCCATTTCTACTTCTCCCTGTCTTTCTGCCATTATTGTTATATATTTTTCACATGACTCTTCAAATATTTTTATAATATTGTTATTATTTGTATTTAAACAGTCAATTTTCTTTTAAGGACATTTAAATAATATTTAATAAGAATAGGAAAAAATCCTATATATTTACCCGTGTATTCATTCCCAATGCTCTGCACTCCTTTGTGGAGTTCTGTATTTCCATTTGGTATTATTTTCCTCTGTCTTAAGGACTTACTTTAGCATTTCTTGCAGTGTGGGTCTTCTGGTCATGAATTCTTTCAACTTCTTTTTTTTTTTTTTTTTTTGAGACGAGGTCTCATTCTGTCACCTATGCTGGAGTGTAGTAGCACAATCATGGCTCACTGCAGCCTTGGTCTCCTGAGCTCAAGCAATCCTCCTGCCTCAGCTTCTCAAGTAGCTGGGACTGCAGGTGCATGCCACCAGGCCTGACTAATTTTTTGTAGAGATGAGGTCTCACTTTATTATTCAGGTGGTCTCAAACTCCTGGGCTCAAGTGATTCTCCTGCCTTGGCCTCCCAAAGTGCTGGGATTACAGGTATGAGCCACTGTGCCTTATGTCTGAGTCTTGATTTTACTTTCATTTCTGAAAGGTATTTTAGCTGAGTATGGAATTCTAGGTTGACAATTTTATAGATTTTATCAAATTTGGAAAACTTTTTGGCCTGTTTTCTCATCCCTGATATGTGGACAAGATGACTTTTAATGTATCCTCTAGCTCAGCGTTATTCTATTTGAGAAGATGAATAGTAAGGGTGAAGAGGGGTTAAGCACCATGCGGAGGAAATAAAATGGGCTTTGAAATAAATGGGCTCCTAATCAGGTGTGACTGCCTTAGAAAGATCACTCTGACAGTTTTAGTATGGATTGAAGATGTGACATAATAGTAATGACTGTATTTATAAGCATTCCCTCACACTGCATGAGCATCCCATATATTAAATCATTTAATCTTCACAACCAACTCATGAAGTTAGTACTGATAACATTCAAGAAGAAAAACTGAAATTTAGAGAGTATAAGCAACATGCCTAAGAAAGAAACAAGAAAGTTGTGGAATCCAAAGTGGGAATTCCAACTCAGATTGTCTGATTCCAGAGCCTGCACTCTGATTACTACAGGTACTGGAAGCAGATATTAACTTAGGAAGTATATATAGCAATAAATTAGGTAAGATGTACAATAATAAATAAGAGGGAGGAATTGATTCGAAAGCTTTTTAATGGAAAGAACTGCTGACTGGATGTGTGGCAGTAAGCAAAGAAAGGCAGGCATGAGGTCAAACTGATTTCCAGATCTCTGGCTGGAAACAACTTGGATGACTGGTGGTATCATTGAGATGAGGAGCACAGAAGGGGGAAATAGGTTTTGATAAGAAAAACAAGTTCAGTTTTAGACATTTAGAGGTTAGAATGTTTGGGGGACATACAGGTGGAGCTGTTTGAAGGGCAATAGGATATGTAATAACAATGCACATCTAGCTTTGATGGAAACTAAATAAAGGAACTTGAGATTCGTTAGCAAGTAGCAGAAATTTCTCAATCTTGGGAAAATTGGCATTTCAGGCCAGATATTCTTTGTGGTGAGATATTTCGGGCCAGATATTCCTGTGCGTTGTAGTATGTTTGGCAGCTTCCGTGGTCTCCACCCTCTAGATGCCGGGAGCACCTCCTCCAAATCCCATTGTGACAAGCAAAACAATGTCAGACATTGCCACGTGTCCCCTTGAAGGGTAGAAATCACCCCCAGTCACTTGAGAACCACTGGCATACAGGTAGCATTTAAAGTCACGGGAGAGGAAAAAATTACCCAGGGTAAGCGTATGGAGGAAGAAGAGAGAGCAAGAACACAGCTCTGGATAATACCAACATTTAAGGATTGGGAAGGAAGAAGTTGAGCCAGAGAAATGGAGATGCTGGAGAGGTAGGAGTGGAGAAAGACTGGTGGAGCTGAAACCACATGGAGCAAGTTTGAAGGAGGATGTGGTACACAGTCAAATGACACAGAATGGTCAGGCACGGTGAACACTGAAAACTCTCCAGTAAGGTTTGGCAATGAGGTTGTAGGGGACCTTATGAAGAGAAGTTTAAGTGGAGTGATGTGGGCAGGAGCCAGATTTCAGTAGTTTGAAGAGTGAGCAAAAAATGAGAAACTGGAATCAAGGAATGGACTTTGTCTTGGTTTGAATTTAGCTTGAAATGGAATGAATGAGGTTCACAATAGCTAGAAAGGAAGGTAGGGTCCACGGAAACTTTATTTCTTCTTTTATCATTTGTTCCTTCTTTCATTCTTTATTTTTATATTGTGGGATGGGGTTTCATCGTGTTGCCCAGACAGGTCTCGGACTCCTGGGCTCAAGTGATCCTCCCGCCTCAGCCTCCCAAAGTGTTGGAATTGCAGGCATGAGCCACTGGTCCAGCCCCCTTCTTTCATTCTTTCATTTATTTATTCCTTTCCTCTTTCCTTTCACCCTTCCTTCCTCTACTTCTCCTTTTTTCTTCTTTCTGTTAAGATAAGAGAGTTTTATAAGCTGGAGGGAATGATATGCGTTGTTATTTCCCAAACGCATCATCTTTTGGTTTACGGATTCCTTTGACCTTAAGTAACTCCCCTCTTGTTTGGCTTATCGGAATCTTAGCCATTCTTCAAGACTATCTCAAATGATACCTTCTTCATCAAAGTTCTCTCTGATCCCTCTCAACTGGATGAGATCTTCTCCTCCTTCATATACCTGTATCAATTTGTCCCACTTTTATTAATACATTACTCTTCATATTATGTATTGTGTTAGAGTTACATATACAGTTGTTTTATTCTCTAACTAGTCATATGTTTTGGAGTACAGGGGCAGTATATATTTGTTTTATATTTACAGCCTAAAACTCATAGCTTATGGTAATGACTCAAAAATTTCTTTACAAATTTGAATTATGTCCCTTTGCACTCCAATATTTGGAAAACCTTCATGGAAGAAGAGTTCATATTTTTTCTCTTATGCATTGTGTATATTTATTACAACAGGTACAAATAATATGTTGCTTGGAATGATAATTATAGTAACCTAGCTGTAGAATTGTAAATATGAGATTTTATACATTGGTAAGAGAAAATACAATGATTAAACAAAGAGACTCAGAGTTAGGACTCAAAATTTTCTTCTTGGCATGTCCCTGCAGGAGACAAATTAGCTTCGCTAGGGAGAAATAATGGCTTTCAAGCTTCAAGTTCTGTTATTGAATTAATTTATATCATTAATATGTTTTTGAAAAGTGCTGTATGTAACTAGGACTAAATGTGTCACAAATCATGTCTCTAAAACTACCTCCAGACTATTTGCAAGTTAAAACTATATCAAAATACTAAAATGAATATGATGCCTTTAATTCTGATGTTTCTGTTTTGACTCAGTTAAAGGAAATAGAAAATGTAATGACTAATAGATACTATATGGTAGTACATTTATGCTTTTTATCTGAATAAGAATTCTGCAGCACAGTTAATGGCCTTCCACTTCTCACAAGGTAGAGTTTAAAAATGTATTTGATTTTTTGAATAGGTATTATAGTACCTATTTATGTAGTTCTAATATCAAAAGGTATAAAAAAGTATTCAGTGAAAGTAGACTCTTGTCTTTCATTTGCCCAGTTCCTACCCCTCACCCCATCTCTCATCCCCAATTGGTAATCACTGGTGTTAATATTTGGTTTGTCTTTCCAAGCACTTTAACATATATTTATGAACCAATTTCTATCTCCCTTTTATATTAATGATATGTCTACTACTCTGCATCTTGCTTTTTATCTTAACAGTATATTTTAAAGATTTTCTGTATCAATCTATAAAGAGCTTATTTGTTCTTTTTTTAAAAAAAATAGCCACATGGTATTTCATTGTAGGAATGCATCTTATTTTATTTAATCAGACTTTTCATTTATAGACATTTTCAATCTTTTGCTATTACACACAAAACTGCAATGAATAAACTTATACTAATGTTATTTGCATGTGTATTAGTCTGTTTTCATGCTGCTGATAAAGACATACCCAAGATTGGGTAATTTATAAAGTAAAGAGGTTTAATTTACTCACAGTCCCACATGGCTGGGGAGGCCTGACAATCACGGTAGAAGGCAAGGAGGATCAAAGTCACATCTTACATGGATGGTGACAATCAAGAGAGAATGAGAGCCAAGTGAAAGGGGCAACCCTTTATAAAATAATCAGATCTTGTGAGACATATTCACTATGAAGAGAACAGTATGGGGGAAACCACCCCCATGATTCAATTATCTCCAACTGGGTCCCTCCCACAACACGTGGGAATTATGGGAGCTACAAATCAAGATGATATTTGGGTGGGGACACAGCCAAACCATATCAGCATATATGTGAGTATCTCTGTAGGATAAATTCCTAGAAATGGAATTGTTGAATAAAAGATATAATCATTTATAATTTTGATTTTGCCAGATCGCCTCCATTGGGGTTTTACCAATTTATGTTCTCACAACAATGTATGAAGGTGCCTATTTTTCCACAGCTATGCCAATATCACTTTTGGGTTTTTATGAATGTGATAAAAATACTATTCCACTTTATATAATTCCTCTTATGAGTGAGGTTGGACAGCTTTTCAAGTGTTTAAAAGCTGAAGGTAGGATTTTTAAAAATATATAATTGATTTATTGACCCCTAAGAAATTTGGAGTTTATAGGGAAGTTACAGAAGGAAATTTTCAAATCATTTAAACATTTTTAGCCATCAAATTCTTGTTAAAGTAAATAGATGTTTCTTAGAATCACTGAGTACAATGTCTCATCGCTAGCACATTAATATCTCCTGGATAACATTTTGGGCTTCCAATAGAATACAAACCAATATATAGAGGTATAAACCAATTAACATATTAATACTCTTTCCAGACATTATTACCACTAAGCTATATCTGCCTTTGTGATAAATTGTCCAATTTTTAGTCCATTATATTCATTTCTTTGAGGCTTAAAATAAACCCAAGAGCCTTCTATATTTTAAATAAAGTTTATTTTTTGAATAGTTTCAAATTTACAGAAAAGTTGTGAAGATAGTAGAGTTCTCATATACCCACACCCAGTTTTCCCTATTATTAACCTCTTACGCTGGTGTGGCGTATTTGTTACTATATGAACAAATATTAATACATTATTATTAACTAAAGTCCATACTTTATTCATTTCTTCAGTTATGCCTAATGTCCTCTTTCTGTTTCAGGATCCTACCCAGGATACCACATTACATTTAGTCATCATATCTTCATAATCTCCTCTAGGCTAGCAGTTTCTCAGATAACCTTGACAGTTTTGAGGAGTACCGATCAGGTTATTTTGGAAACGTCCCACTGTTGGAATTTGTTTGATGCTTTTCTCCTGATTAGGCTGGAGTTATGGGTTTTGGGAAAAAGACCACATAGTCAACGTGAGAGTCTCATCACATCACATCAAGAGCACATACCATCAACATGACTTATCACTGTTGATGCTGAGTTTGAACACCCAGATGAGGTAGTGTTTGCAGGTTTCTCTACTGAAAAGTTACTTTTTCTCCTCCCTTCTGTAGTATAGTGTTGAAAAAACTCCCTCTGCACAGCTCACAGTTAGTGAGTGAGAAGTTATGCTCTACCTTCTTGGGGAAGAATCTACATAAATTATTTGGAATTATTCTGCATGATAAATTTGTCTCTTCTTCTCCATAAATTTATTTATTCAATAAGGTATATACATCAGTATGGTCTCAAGGATATTGAGTTATCATTCAACTACTTTATTTATTTTGTTGCTCAAGTTGTTCCTGCCTTGACCATTGGAGCTTCTTTCGTTGGCGAGTGCCTGTGTCCCTTTGAAATACCCCATCCCTCATAATTGTGCTCTTTTCTTTTTTCTCTTTCTTTCTTTCTTTCTTTCTTTCTTTCTTTCTTTCTTTCTTTCTTTCTTTCTTTCTTTCTTTCTCTCTCTCTCCCCCCTCCCCCGCCCAAGGGAGTTCAAGGCTCAGTGAGCACCACTGCACTCTAGTCTGGGCAATAGAGCAAGACTCCAACTCAAAAAAAAAAAAAAAAAACAGAAGAAGAGAAAAAAAATTAGGGAAATGAATGGGATATTGTTACAATATCAGTCCACACCTCCAGTTCTTTGTTTTCTTCATCTAACTCTAAGCCCTTGTCCTGCAGTGGGGTGGAGAGAGAAGCCAGACATTCTGTTTCTAACATACTTGGAGCCCTATGCTCAGGGCTACACCAGGGTCCAGGGGTCTTGTGGAGCCCCAAGGCACTGGAGCTGGTTCTCTCTCTGGCCTGGTTACTGCAGAGATGCCTATAGTCGTAGCCCATGTGGTCTTCTTCGGTTCTAATGCTCTATGACCTTGTGCCACACTTGGGGTGAGAAGAGGGTCCAGCTCTGGGTATAAGTGCAGCCCCCACTCTGGCATCAGGCACTACCTAGGGCCTTCCAGAAGCATTGCCTTGGTCCTCACTTTGTCTGGAACTCTGATCTTCCTTTTTTCAATGAAGGCCCAAATCATTACTCTTTTTTTACCCTTTCTCAAAGGACCTTTTCCTCCAGGACAATGAGTATAGCCTCTTTAAAGAACTTAGCCTTTTTCAAAAGAAAGGGAATTATCTTGCAGGAAGCTTCTGCTTTTGGCTCTGTAACTTCTTAGGCATCCCATTATCACAGGGCATAAAATTGTCTGGCTACTTGCTTGAAAGGGTAGAAAGGGAAAAATACAGGGAGGACAAAGCCATGATAATATTTCAGTATGGCTCCTCCCATAAACAAATATATGGGTATGGAAAGCTAAGGTAATAAGCTGCTTTCAATTAGAGTTATGGAACAAGAGAAACATTTTCTATGTGGTTGTAGAGTCTGTGACTCCGTTACTGAGAGCAAGTGCTCAGGTCACATGACATACTTTAGCAACAGGATCCCTTAACCGGGTCAGTTGCTCCTGTGAGGCCTTTGGGTGACTGAGGGCAAGACCACCCAGCCATAGCAATTCTAATGCGATATTATTTATGTCACATGGAAAATTGATGGTTCTGGGCCCTGGGGCAAGATTCCACCACACTTTTGAGTTATGGATTGAGGTCATTTTATGATCCCACCAATGATATTGGTCAATAGAAATATTATACTTTGAAGACAACTTGGTGAGGTAGAAGAATAAAATTATTTTTTCGCTAATCACTGCTTTCCATTACCATCTGTCCAGTCTTCTTGCTATACTAAGTAGCAGCAGATTTTTAAGACCTCTTGGGCTGATCCTTTCTAGTCACTTCCAATTTATTGAAATTAGTTCAGTTTAAACTCAAATCTCACATCTCATGTAAAACTTTCTCTGTGTCCCATTACAGGTCAGACTTCTGGCAGAAAGGACATTGAACACGGAAGGTGTGTGTTCTGCCCTTCTGTTTTCTTTCATCATTTCATTCTGAGGGACCAGAGACAAAGTAGGGGCACAATCCCAATCTCCTCATGTTGGTTGTTACAGCTTCTTTTGCTGCAATGACCTGATGGGCTGTGGATGCTGTCTTTGCGGCAGGCATCCAGAGGCTGATTTGCCCACAGACTTTTCAAATAAGTTTTAGGAGGCTATGTGACACTTCCTCCACTGCACAGTTCCCTTTTTGGAAAGTCTTGCTCTGGCCCACTCTGGTCCAGCCTCCACAGCACCTGGCCCTGGCAGTTTGCCCTTGCTGCCAGAGTTCACTCACTTGGTGGACAGATCCTCAGAGCATGGCACTGACAGGGCAGCTTCCTCCCAGCCCGTTTTCACGAGAGCCACTCAACCCACAGGAAACTGAAATGTTTGTTCCATGCCAAGAATAGAAACGCATGCCTCTCACTGCTGCCCTTGTCTAAGACCTGCCATTTCCCTCCATCTTCTTTTTCCCACCTCAGCTCGGCAGAGAGGAGCTCATCAATTTCACCATCTAAGGATGCCATTCTTGACTTTTCTATGTACCTCTAATATTGAGTTTAGCCTTGGCATTTTGGGCTGAATAATGCTTTGCTGCGAGGGGCTGTCCAGTATCTTGTAGGATGTTTAACAGCATCCCTGGCCTCTACCCACTCGATCAGTGGTCCTCGATGCTTTTGTCGCCAGGGACCAGTTTCATGAAAGGCAATTTTTCCATGGACATGGGGCGAAGGGTGCGGGGAGGTAAGGGGGTGGGGGTGATGGTTTCTGGATGAAACTCTTTCACCTCAAATGATAAGGCATTAGATTCTCATGAAGAGTGCACAGTCTAGATCCCTCACGTGCAGTTCACAATAGGACTCATGCTCCAGTGGCCCCAGGGTTGGGGACCCCTGCACTAGATGACAATTGTGACAATCTAAAATGTTTTCAGATATTGCCAAAGATTTTGTGGCAATAGCGTGACCAACTTTCCTGATGTCAAGTCTAAAAATCCCATGAACTGGTAAGGGATGCAGAATAATGTCTCCCTAAAGCTGACCACAGGCAAATCCCCCAAGTCTGTGAATATGCTACCTTATATGACAGAATGGACTTTGTGGGTGTGATTAAGTTAGGCATCTTGAGATGAGAAGATTATCCTGGATGATTTGGGTGGGCACATGGTAATCACAAGGATCCTTGTAAGAAGGAGGCAGCAGTGTCAGAGTCAGAGAAGGAAACGTGACAACAGGAGCAGAGGTTGGAGCGATGTAATTGCTGCCTTTGAAGATGGAAGGGGCCATGAGCCAAGGAATACAGGCAGCCTCTAGAAGTTGGAAAAGGCAAGAAGTGGATTCTCTTCTAGAGCCTCCAAAAGGAACATGACCCTGTCACCACCTTGATTTTAATCTAGTGAGACTTCTGACCTCCAGAACTGTGAGATAATATGTCTGCGTTGTTTAAGTCCCTACGTTTGTGCTAATTTGTTAGAACCAAAGTAGGAAATGAAATCATCTGGGAAACTCTTCAGTCCCAACCTAGACTGGAATTGTTGGTCATCCCATCTGGGGAGCCAAATTGCTCCTGCATGAGAAACACTCCTCTAATTTTTTAAAGTGGTTTTCTTGAGCCTTGTTCATTTATCTTTGAGAAGGGATATAACCTGTTTTTTTCCCTTTCTCCTAGGGTGGGGAAGGAATGACCTCTTACAACAGAAAATTACATTCCTCAGAAGGGCAATTACTCAATGACTTCCTCTTACTTCACTAACTCAGTCTTTGGGGGGTTGGGGGTGGGGCTAGGGACTGTGTGGTGTGGGTTTTGTGTGGGCGTCTGACACTGTTGATGCTCAGCGTCCTTCAGAGTGTGAGGCCACTTAACTCCTTTCTGTCTTCAGCTTGAAGTGAGCAAAGGAACATCTTATTCAACTTTCCGTTAACCTCAAAAGTAACTTTGAGTTTGCAAAAGGCAGCTTCTGCTTTCTGGTTGTCCGTGAGTATGAGTAAGAAGATCTGATTTTAGTTACCACACCTCCATTTCCTCTCTATGCTGGACTGCTATGTGATCCCCTACGTAGACTCTTCCATAGAGTAGGGTTTTAAGCAGAGCACATGATTGTCCAGCTAAATAGTTCATTTTCAAGTTTTCTGAGCAGCTAGCTGTAGATAGGTAACTAATATGTGGCCAAAAGGATGTTAGTAACTTCTGGGTCATGTCCTGTAACTTCTGGGTCATGTCCTAAAAAGGAAGTAGCTTGTGCTCTGCCTTCTCTTTTCACTCAGGTAGAAATGCAGATAAAGTGAGAGTGAATTAACTTTAACTAACAGATGAGAACAATAGGCCCGAGGGTAATAGAGCCACAGGCTAGAAAGAACCTGGGTCTCTGGATGACCTCATGGAGCAGAGCTTTTTTCTTACCCTTAGGTAAGATTAAGTTATGTACTAGCACACCAATGAAATTATTTACATCCCTAGAACAGGAACCCTGTCCATTATTTTTATGTGTGTTTTACAGAGCAGGAGTTTCCAAACACAGTCAGGTCAATAATATTCTTTTTTAAAAAATATATATATTTTTTAGAGATAAGGTCTCACTCTGTCACTCAGGCTGGAGTACAGTGGGGCAATCATAGCTCACTGCAGCCTCTAACTCCTGGGCTCAAGCAATCCTCTTACCTAAGCCTCCCAAGTAGCTAACAGTAATATTTTTGACAGTATTTTCAACTAAGTCAAAATGAAAAAAAAAAGAATAAGGTGCAGAGAGATAGAGCGACATGGCAGCAGATTCATTCCAACTTCAGGGCTTTCATTATTATACCACCCCGTAACCCTCTGACTACCCAGTTTTTTGCAACAGCAGTGGATCAGTAATACTTCTCACTCTTCAAGACCAGAATCCTTCAAGACAGTACCTCCTCTATGTCATCTTCACCACTCTTTTATGTGATACACTTCCTCTAGATCCAAAAAAGAGAAGAAACTGAAAGACAAAGCTGGGCGAGTTGACCATGTGTACGTCGGAGAGGCTTGCCCCAAGCTCTGGATAATACATCACTGGTGCCATGTGCATCTGTGATGAAAATGTGCAAGGTCTGGATTCTAAATGTTGTTTTAAAAATGTGTTAATTTTTACTTTTTAAATTGACAAGTAAAAATTATATATATTTATGGTGTAAAACATGATGTTTTGATAGATGTATAGATTGTAGAATGTTAAATCTAGCTAATTAACATGTTCATGACCTCATATACTTATCATTATTTTTGTGGTGAGAATACTTAAAATCTACTCTCTTAGCGGTTTTGAAGTATTCAATATACTGTTATTAACTATAGTCATCGTGCTATACAATAGATCTCTTGAACTAAAGAAAAAAAGGAATAATGCAGTGGTAAAGAAAATGAAAAGCCACAGACTGGTAAGAAGTACTTGCAAAACATATATCTGATAAAGAACTAGTGTAAAGAACTCTCAAAACTCAATAATAGGAAAACCATAGAGCCCAGTTAAAAAATGAGCAGAAGAATTCAACCAACATTTGATCAAAGAAGCTACATGGATGGCAAATAAGCACATAAAAAGATGTTTTACATCGCTAATAATTAGGGAAATGCAAATCAAGACCACAAATACCATTAAACACTGAATTGGAATAGCTAAAATAAACAAAAATCAACATTATCAAACATTAGCAAGAATTTGGAGCAATTGGAACTCTCATCTATTGCTGATGTGGCTGCAAAATGGCACAGCCCTTTGGAAAACAGTTTGGCAGCTTTTTGTAAAGTTAAATGTATGCTTGCTGTAGGACCCAGCAATTTCTTTCCTAGGTATTTACCCACGTGAAATGAAAACCTATGTCCACACAAAAATCTGTATGTGAATCTTTATATTGACTTCGTTTGTAATCACCAAAAACTGGAAACAACCAAATGTCACTCAGTTGGGCAATGGATAAACAAAATGTGATACATTCATGTAGTTGAATACTACTTAGCAATAAAAGAAACGAATTACAGATATATGCAACAACATGGCTATATCTCATATATACCAAGTGAAAGAAGGCAAAGACCTTATCCTGTATGATTTCACCTTATGAAACGAATGATACATGATAATCTTGCAAAGGTAAAACTACAAGGACAGATAACCAATCAATGGTTGCCAGGGGCTGGGGTAGGGAGAGGAGTGGATTGCAAAGGGGTGAAAAGGAATTTTTTAGGGTGATGTAACTGTTTTACTTAACTATTGCATCCTGGTGGTGGTTACACAACTCTATACACTTTTCAAAACTTGAAGAACTGCACAATAAAAAGGGTAAAAATCTACTTTAATCTTCTGTAAATTGAACCTTAATATAAAAAAGGAAAAAAGAATAATATAGTGAATTTTTAATAAAAGTATTCAATTTAAAAATGGTATCTATCACATACACATAATTCATAGCACTAGGTTGTTGATAACCTAGCGTAACTTCTTTTACCACGTCAAATAGGAGAAAATAGGTCCTAGGCTGTGAGGCTTTGGCTTGTTGAAACTCTGCTATTTACAATTTACTCAAAGGATGTATCATTTTATTCGCAGCACAAAGGCTAATGAAACAGCTTTTATTTAGGTATTATGCCTCAGACTCAATTTTCAACAACCTTAAATAAAAACAATGTTATGTCTTTGTAGTCCCAGAGAATGCTAATCAATTCAACTCAATATCCCTGAGTATACTTATGTATTGCACAAGGAACCTAAGATTCAGAGGGGATAAAGGAATAGCAAAGGTTCCACAGCAGGAGCCCCTTGTACTTTGATAAAGATTTGGAGGGTTTCCAGCTCCCAGACTCATGCTTAGTCCACTAGGTCACTTTGAAAAGTAATTTGATATGAAAAAGATCGACTCATTCTGTAGCTAAGAGAATTGGAAACAACTACTGTACTGTGTGTATGTTTTATAAACAAGTTTTTATTACACAAGCAGTATATGTTCACATGTTTAGTGTGGAGAAATTAGAAAAGATAGTCATATACAAGAAATTGCAGACACAATGAATGCATACTCCACCACAGCAAGTGTCGAGAAATTCTCTTCTTTGTTACATATACGAAAGGAAGAAAATAAATATGATTTGCTAGGCAGTGGTTCTCCATGTATGCAAAGACACCTCGTGTTATTATTTTAAGGTGTTACACTGATGTTACACTAAGTCCAATTGCTCCGAGAATTTATCCAATGCAAGGATCTCACAGTCATCATAAATGTCAACATTTTCCTTCCACATGCAGCTGTTCTTTGAGTCTCTGTCTTGCTCTCTCTCTATAAATGTGGTTCATGAAAATGATGAGAATTAGAACATTCATTCTCACCTCTTCTGTAGTCTACCTAGGACATGAGTTTTAGGTGGGCTCATGGCCACTCAGAATGTTATTTTTCTCCCAGCTGGATGTGGACCACGTGACTAACTTCTGGATGTGCTTTTTCTCTTTTTTGTTGCTGGAATGCTAATGGGATGGCTGGGGTGGAGCAGCCACAGTGGACCGTGATGCGGAGCTAAGACTAGCAGAACAACCGAGAAGGAGCCTGGGCCCTTAGCACTATGGATGGAGGGCCACATCAGCCCTTGAACTGATGACGTCTGGGTTTCTTTTTGGTGAGCAAGTGCCTTCATGGTTAAGCCACTACCATTTTGACTTTTCTGGTACTGAAAGCCAAACCTAACTCTAACTAGTACATTGGCTAAGAGGTATTAATATTTTGGAGAGTATATTTTGCTATAGCTTTTGATTTTCATATTTTGTTTTGGGTGATGATACTAATTCATTAATTTGACATTTACCTATAGTGGTGCCACATAATGACGTTTTGGTCAACAATAGACTGCGTATACGACAGTGGTCCCGTAAGGTTATAATACCATATTTTCACTGTACGTTTTCTATGTTTATATATGCTTAGGTAGACAAATATTTACCATTATGTTACAGTTGCCTACAGTATTCAGTACAGTAATATGCTGTACGGGCTTGTCACCTAGGAGCAATAGGCTATACGATATAGCCTGGGTGTGTAGTAGGCTATATCATCTAGGTTTGGGTAAGCACATTTTATGATGTCCGCACAACGATGAAATCACCTAACGACGCATTTCTCGGAGCATAACCCTGTTGTTAGTGACACCTGACTGCAATGAGTTCTTGCTGTTTGTTAGAGACTGTTTTGATGTAGGTGATATTGCAATGAACAAAACAAAAATCCCTACCCTCTTAGAGCTAACTCTCAAGTGGAAGAAGAGGCAATGAACAACAAATATCTAAATATTTCAATATCATGCCAGTTATCAAGCTATTGTCAAGCTATTTCCTCAGCTCCAAATCACCCTCTTCCTCTGGTTCGTGACACTGGTGCAAGGACCCTGCAAAACACTTTTGTGCTTTGGTCCCTGGATCCTTGTTGTGTTCTGACAATAGGAGACACGGGAGGTTTCCTGGACAGCAGGAAGAGGAAGAAGGAATCTGGATGCTGTTTCCTGTTTGCCTTGCAGACCAGCCCCAGCTCATCACATTCCTTCAGAAACACCAGCATCAGCTACAGGTGCCTCCTTCTTAGTTGTCTGAGACTAACCTCCCAGTCTCCCTCAAATCTCCTCTCTCCTCTCCATTCTCACAGGCACGCATTTCATTCAGGCATTCACTGGTCCTTCTGCCTTCATTCATTTTTATTCCCCTCCAATATATCCTCTACTTCCCGCATTGCAGGAAGCCTCATCTCCCTACTTTAATCTTCTAAAATTCAATAATTTCCAACCTCTTTCTTTTGCTCCCCCAGCCCTAGGGGTGAGAGCTACTTTCTGCTGTTGTTACATTCATGAAACTGGGGTGTTCCCCTTTTGCATTTTCGGTTCTACAATCCTTTATGTTCGTTTCTCCCTGTAAGATGGCTGGTGTGGGTTTTCACTCAACCAGACCCTGACTGGTACAAGGTGAGATTGTGTCACAATGATAGAGACAGGAGATGATGTCTCCAGAGGTTCATTATGGCCTCCCAGACAGGGCTTTCAGCAGGCGTTACTTCCAAGAGCCACCACATTCGTGCTCTAGCTCTTGGCTTGCTAGGTTCACGAACCAATTTGGTCAGGGTGCCTGGAGTTGGCCAGGTTCTTAGCGATAGGTCTGGGCAAAACAAACTTACAGGGGATCAAGCTGTGGGTTATAAGCCGATCACTGTTTTGTTAGATGATGTGAATTTGGGCAATCCAGTCTCTCCGTTAGCCTTCCTCTCTTTTTATGTAAGCCTACACAGGGACCCAAATGTGGTCAAGGGCCCCTCAGTGAGCACGAAATCCCAGCAAAGGGAAGGAGTGGGGTGTTCTCAGCAGTGAGGTGACCAGGTTATGACACTTGAGCATATTCATGTCTACTAAGGGACAGTCTGCCAAGTGGACCAGAATGCTTCTGTTCACTGGCGAGGACAACTTCTCTCCCGGACAAAGACACAGACACACGTACAAAGACACAGACACACGGACAACCTGTGACTGCTTGGGATCCCTTGGGCTCCTTTTTGCGAGATTTCACACAGGTCAGTCCTTGTACGGTTCACACATCCTTTCTGCACATGCATTTGATTCCTGCTTTCTTTTACATCCAATGAATACCAGATGATAGTTTCTGTTCCTTTAATTGTTTTGACTTATCTTCTAAGGTGACTTATACTGAAAGCTAATATCACTTAATTTGAGGGCATAACATTATTTCCAATTCTGAGGGTGGTAACATTTGCTAACACCCAGGAACGGGCTTCAGGTCCTCAGGACCTCTGAGGGGAAAGGCATGGGCAGACATTGTAGTTAAGTGGAACGCTGACAAAAGCCGAGAGCAGGGATGAACATTCCTCGCTCAGGGGCAACCTCCCAGTTGGCTGGAGAAGAGAATTTATGTGGGACCTGCGGTGGGTGACTGATGCGGGTCAGTGTCAGATTGTGGAAAACTTTGAATTCCAGGCTAAAGAGTTTGTACCTTATATAGGCAATGGGAACCAAGGCAGGCTCGCGCGTGGGGCTTGGGGCGTTGGCGTTGAACCCCAGTCTTACAACTCCAAGTTCAGTGCTCTGCAGAAAGCCTCTAGGCATAAGCCCCTGTTATAGTCCCTTTATTCTACTTTTCATAAAACTTTACTTTCAGTACAGATGCTGGGTGGAGCAGTGCTTGAAGGGGTGAGTGGTTGCAGGGGAGGTGGGGGCCAAGGAAGCTTAAGGAAGCAGGGGCAAAAACACAAACAGAAACCACAGAAGAGGAAAGCGAGCTATTGGTTATGATTTCCATTCCTGTGGATATGAAATGTTATCCCAATTGTGGGAAGCTGAGAAAGGCCGCAGCAAAATAAAAGAGAAGCAGTCTCATTAACAGTGATGTTCAGATGTTGGAAAACAGCTAAGGTGTAGACTTACGTTATGGAAATATCCTTAACCTCAAACAAATTCCAAGAACATTCTAAAACAGAATGCTGGCAAAGCTGGATTTGCTTTGTAGGGTCTTCGCCATTAGAGACCCGCAAAATTGTAAACCTTGGAAACTGCTGTGCTTTAAAAAAAAAAAAAAAAGGGTTCTGAACTCTTGTCATTTAAAACGCATTTTTTTCCAGCATTATTTCAAATGAGTCAAAACTCTCCCTCCCTCTTTCCCTCTTTTTTTTTTCATTTTCATAGACTAAATTTGTCTAAATCAGATTTAGAAATGATACAATTCTAAAGATGAGTATATCCTAAATTCCCAAGCCACTGCAGTTTCCAAAGGTGCAAAAGGTTTGGGTAAAAACAGCAGAATAGGACCAAATGGTTTATGCTTCTTCTACCAGCCCATCCCTGGAAACGTGGCCACACGGTGTCTTTCCTGCAGTGGCTCACACGTTCTCATTAGCCACTACAGTTCTTCTCTGAAGCCAGTGCTGCCGGTACTTCATCTGCTCCCTTTGATCTTTGCTGTTTTCCGCTGTGGCTTGCCTTGCTGCATAATGGGGCAGGTGGCTGCCATGCAAACATTGTTCCTGTCACCATCCCTGCAGGGTCACTGATGTTGATGTCATTCCTTAGTCTCCTACTCTGCTTCCTGGTTTCCTTCAGCCATTCCTGCACTGGGATGGAATAAAAACTCCTGCCCCAGAAATACATTGAATGTTTGATAGCAGAGTAGGGTGTCTGTTTTAAAACGCACTGTACTCGGGTGGTGGACACCCTAAATACCCTGACTCGATCACTACACAGTCTTATACATGAAGCAACATTTTACAGGTGCCCCAGCAATTTTTACCAAAAAAAGTAAAAAAAATTAAAAACCAAACAAAACAAAACAAGAACTCCTTCCCCAACCAGTGATACAGTTCTTTATTAGGCCTCCGAGGGAGGAGGTCTTGCTACTGGTCCCAAGTATTAGTCACTAATTATTAGCCATTAATGTCAGAACTCTCATTTGACTTGGTCTTGGAGCTTCTTATTAAATCCCTCTGTCAGGGACCCTGGCACACATTCCTTAGGGAATGGGAAGACATTGCCCCTTTACAGTGGAGTCTCTGCTCCAAGCAAGGGTGCCATGAGGCCAGGGAATTTCCAGGTCCCTAGTACTTGCCAAGGAGGCTAAAACGTGACTCCTCCTTGTTCAGGAGACTCAGACCAGCGCTACCTGCCCATTCTGCTGGGTCCTCGGGCCAACACAACCTACAGCGGCCTGCCTGTGCGTCTCTGAATTCCCATGATGGGCATGCAGAATAGGCATTGCCTTCAGCATAAACTGAGACGCATTCACTTGATCCTCCCTGGGAGCTGGCAGGAGGCAGTCTGGGAAGATGCCATGGAAAGAAGAAAATGACCCTGCCAGACTCTCCAGTTTCCAAAGTCAAGAAGAGATCTGGTGCCCCAGAACTGCCTGCCTACTAGGCAGCCTACAGAGATGGCAGCCTGTGAGAGGCATGTCTGCTACGGAATGCTTGGGAGACCTCCTGGGCGCCAATGCCACTGGCCTGTCCCATAATATTCTTTAGCAATTCCTTTTAGGGAAATTGTGTGCCTGGCTCGTAGAAGTAAAGGAGCCTATTAAGTTACTCTGTATTTTCAGGGCAGAGGAGGGACTATTTTTCACCATTTGGGGGAAACTTTGTTCATGCCGTTCATTTGGAATATTCTGTTCATCTCCATATGTTGACATCTTACCAACCTTGTATGGTTTGCTTAACATGGCACTTCTTCCTTGAAGCCTTTGCCAGTTCCTGCCCAATTCACCTCCTATGCACATTTTTCATATCATAAATTACTGCAGGGTGGTGACTGGTAAATCTTGGCTTTCAAACAGCATCAACATAATGTTTTGTGCAGAGCAGGCTGCCAAATGAAATTGAGGTTTCTGTGTCTGCATAGTAATAAGAATTTGTTAAATTTAGGTAAAAAAAATTGTTTCGATATAGATAACTACCAATTTATTTCTAATTTAAAAGATCTGTTTTTCTGTAACAACTATAAAATTGTTTTTTTCCCTAATAAGTAACAATATTTTAACAGCTCTGAAAATTAAACATGATTATCAAAACCTCTCAGCATTTTTGCTTTGCCTAAATCCTGGAGAAAAAATACACTATGAAATTTGATCAGTTGAATGCTCTTTCCCCAAAGAATATTTAACTCTTAGAAAGAGTGAAGAGAGGCCAGGTGTGGTGGCTCATGCTTGTAATCCCAGCACTTTGAAAGGCCAAGGCAGGAGGATCGCTTGAGGCCAGGAGTTCGAGACTGGCCTGGGTAACAGAGTGAAAACCCACCTCTATAAAAAATAAAAAAAATTAGCTGGGCACAATGGTGTGTGCCCATAGTCTCAGCTATTTGAGAGGCTGAGGTGGGAGGATTGCTTGAACCCAGGAGTTTGAGGTCACAGTAAGCTACAATCGTGCCACAGCACTCCAGTCTGGGTGACAGAGTGAGACCCTAAAAATAAAAAAATAAAAAAAAGAAAAAGGAAAAAAAGGAGTTAAGAGAATATCAGCTCCTAAATATTAAGTTTCTCTTGGATTTAATTTTTACATATGGGACAAGCTCATGGTGGGAGTTGAAGATGATGGATGTGATGTGGATTTGCTGCTTCTTGAAGTCCTGCTGTTTTCACTAAATGGCAAGGATTTGCATTCAGCCAAGGAACAAAATCCTCTCAAGGTCCTGGCTATTAGCTCCAAATTTATTTTGCCAGGTGACAACTCTAGCATATGAGATTTTTTTTTTTTTTTTAGACCGAGTTTCACTCTGTTGCCCAGGCTGGAGTGCAGTGGCACCATCTTGGCTCACTGCAACCTCCGCCTCCTGGGTTCAAGTGGTTCTCTTGCCTCAGCCTCCCAAGTAGCTGGGATTACAGGCACCCACCACCACGCCCAGCTACTTTTTGTATTTTTAGTAGAGACGGGGTTTCACCATGTTGGCCAGGCTGGTCTCAAACTCCTGATCTCAAGTGATCCTCCCGCCAGGGCCTCCCAAAGTGTTGGGATTACAGGCATGAGCCATCATGCCCGGCAGCATTTGAGATTTGTATGTAGAAAAGCAGATCTTGAAATTACTGACTTTGATGCTTGGTATAGGAGTGTGGCTATCATTGAGAGCCTCATCATCTTCTTTGCTTTACACTATGTAAAACTTCTCTGCTAAAAGTTCAGGCACCCTAAACATCCACACATTTCCACTAGATCTATTTCCCTTAACTCACAATTCCCTGGTAAACATGTCATTTCTTCAAGAAGTAGGGATTTTGCTGAGCTTGAACTGCTATTCAAGATCACATTTAAATGACCTCTGACAATCAAAGTCCCAGCTGCTTAGAGACAAGAGTCCTGACCTGAACTGGGGTCTTTAGAATTTGGATTCAGAGCTACTGCTGGGTGCTAAATTTATTCCCCAAGGGAGTAAATTAGCCTGAGTTGCACATGCAAGGCAAGGCCAAGCCTGATTCATGTAGTTGATTATAAGTTATTTTACCCTGGAAACTACTGTGTCTCAGCTGGATCAGCTTAACTTAGTTGTTCTCTAGAGGAGACATGATCCCTCGTTTCTCTTTTTCCTTTTTTCGTCAACAGTCAGACATCCATGGGGTGTTGTAGCCTTAGACATCAGTTAGCTATCATTAAATATAATTTGGAGCTTTAACAATGCTGTCAGTACACCGTGGGATTTTGTCATCACTTTACTATTGGTTAAAATCTCTTTCACTTATGGAGACTTTGCTCCCTTTCATCTTTGTGGTTGCCAGACTTGTAGTTTGTTTTTCTGTTTAATAGAAACCTTAGAATCATTGGTATAAAGTGAAGTACGCTATGAAAAACACATGCTTTTTAAAATAGTTCTTTTTGTCTTTAAAGATGAAAATACTGTGCTTTCATCTGTTCCAATACCAGTAAATGCATATTTTATAGCATCTCCTTTAAACTCTTCAACATGATAATTAAAAAAATTTTTGTATACCACAGTCAACTTTCTGAAACTGCTTTTACATGCCTCTTCATTTTCCTTTATATAGAAGAGATGTTGGATGTGAAATTTCTGTAGCAGCTAAGAGAACTCTGAAAAATTTCAAATGCTAGCAAAAAATCTTAAATTTCTATAGATAGAAATGTGGAAGAATCAAAGTGTGTTAGCTCTTTTGAAATGTATATTTCTTGCCTTGCTTTTCCTTGAACTCTGAAAGGCCCATTTGGAGAAAGTGGATGAAAAAGGGCCTCTCCATTGATCTTTCTAATTAGAAAGAAAATTCAAATTCAGAGCTGCAAACATGACTTAAATGCATGTTTAATCCAGAGGAAATATAGCTTCAAATTTTTTAATTTTAAGTATTTCAGGGCCCTAAACATAAAAATGCATTGTCATTTACAGAATGATTTGGAAATTGTACATTTCATGTGGGAAACGAAGGTTTTGTTTTAAAGGCCGAATAGCATACATAAAGTTCATAACTCAACTACAGGTCAGTACGTGTCTTTCATACATATACACCTGTGTCATTGCCACTCAGATTGAGACAGAGCACACTTTCAGCACCCAGCAGGCTCCCTTCTCAGCGCTTCTCAGTGAATACCACGCCACCCTCCAGCCCCCGTCCCATAGATTTCGTTTTGCCTATTTTTGACCTTCACAGATGTGGAAACATGCCCACCGTGCTCTTTAGTGGCTTCTTTCAGTCCACACGATGTTCATAGGATGATTTGTCCATGATGTGTGTAGCAACAGTTTATCCTTTTTTTCCTCCATGGGGCTTCCTAAAGATGGGCTTCTGCAACAGCTCTCCTCCGGAGACATGAAGGGAGCAATACGTATAAGGAGTGATAGCAGACAGAAGCCAGCTTCGCTTTATTTTTAGCTGAGCAAATGCCCGGTAAGGCCTTGTACCGCACTCCCCACTCCAAAGCCGAACCCTGAGAAGGCTGCGCTGGAGCACGCGGTGGGTCAGGCTTTCAGCTCAACCTCTCTCCTCCCGTTCCAAACCCACTTCTTGGATGTTACGGTCACCTGGCCAGCTACCTGCACCATGACTGGAATTGTCAGGCAAAGGAGAGTGATGCCAGGGGCTGTCCTGATGAGGTGGTGCCTGAGCCGGTTTACCTCTCCCTTTACATGGAAATGAAAGATAATGAACAGTGGCCATGTGTGATATTTTAAAATCCAACTATCCCTTCCCAGAACAAGCGTGGCCTGGCCAATGCTCACATTTGAAAGCCATCTTGGTACTTCCTCTTGGGGATGATTGAGAAAGAGGGCAGATAATGAGGCAAAAGTCAGGGGAAAGGGGGCTGGTAGTCTTATATTACTCACATGTATTTTTTTAAATGGTCAGCATCTATTTGACTCTTGACTATAGAATGAAGTCTTACTTCTTCTTTCACAGAATCCCTGTCATGGGCTACAGTGGAGGAACCAAGGGGAGGGGCCAGGCTATGTCCCGGCTCTGACACTGATGAGTGGAAGGGGTGGCTTTGGGCCACTTGTATCATGTCTCTTATTCCTCATCTGTAAAATGTGGCAGTTTGACTGATGGACCTCTCAGCACCATGGAGAAGTTTTAAAGGTGGCAAATAACACATTTTACACCTTCAGGCTCTCCCCACTCTTTTATGAATAAGCATCTATAAGACAGGATGTCTAATTCTTCTGGAGATTCCTGAATATCCTGCCTTTGTCCAGGTTGGGCAATGCTAAATGCCAGTTCTGACCAATGGTGCAGGTATTAATTTCACAGTGAGGATCTTGTTTCAATGTATTTAAATTAGGTGATGTGGAGATGGAACATTCTGACAGAAGAGTTGGGACAAAGTGACAGATATAAGCCCCCTAACATCTATATGTTTCTCAGTGAGACTCAAACTGCTTCCCTAGGCTTTGCAGAGCCCTCTCCCAGATTGTGTGTATGTGTGTGTGTGTGTGTGTGTGTGTGTGTGTGTGTGTGTAGAGGGAGCGTGCTATAGGCAGCCTTTCTATGTCTGCACTGTGAACAGATGTGGTCAGCATTTCTAGGGCCATTTATGGCTTTCTAGTTATATATTTTTCTTGCTTTGTTTTGCCACTTCCCTGAAAAACATCCTCCATTAGTTTCCTATTGTTACTGTCGAAAATGACCACAAACTTAGTGTCTTAGAACAACACCAGTTTATTATCCCACAGTTCTGGAAGTCAGAAGTCTAAAGTGGCTCTCACTGAGCTAAAATCAAGGGGTTGACAGCATTGTGTTCCTTTCTGGAGGCCCTGGGAGAGAGTGTTTTCTTGCCCTTTCTAGCGTCTAGAGGTGACCCTCATTCTTTGGTTTGTGGCCCTTTCCTCCATTTTCAAAGCCAGCAGTGGGTTGTAGAACCTTATTCACATCCCATAACTCTGACACCAACCCTGCTGAACCTCTGTGCTAACACTGGTCCAGAATCATCCAGAATAATCTCCCTACTTTAAAGTCAGCTGATCAGTAGCTTGCTTCCACCTTCAACCTTAATTTCCCTTTGCCATGTCACATGATGTATTCACACGTTCTGGTGATTAGGATGTGAATGTCTTTTGGGAAGGGAGAGAAACTAATCTGCTGATATACTATATAGGCATATGGTAATTTCTTTATCAGACTGAAAAGAGATAGGTTAACAGTGATTAACATTTTCTCAATGCAAAACTTTTTACTTAACTCAGGGAAAAATTATCTTTTGTATAAAAATGGATGCTTCTGAGCAAATGCATGATCAGCAAAGAATAGTTGTATGTTCAGTTACTGGACAGGAGGAACAGTCTTCTTCCCTTAGGTATAGGACAGAATCATACAAAAGTAAAAGTGTATTTATGTGAGAAGTGTGTGTGTGTGTGTGTGTGTGTGTGTGTGTGTGTGTAGGCAGTCATGCACTGGAGGGGGCTCACTCTGGCATGTGAGAGCCATTGTGTGTCTATATTTTCCTAAGTTCATGTTCAGTGACATCACTGAATGACTTGAAATTAGCCATGGTGGGAGTATTTACACCATAGAAAGCGGCAAATGCTGTAAGTCAGGGTTTTATTTTCCCCTGGAGAGCCCATTGTTAAACACTAATGGGCTCACCACTAGAGTAGAGACTCACTGCCTTCGGTTCATGTGCACAACACCGCTGTGTGGCCTTACTGCTCCTGTGGGATCCCCAGACTCTCTAGCTGGAGAAGGGGCAAATCCCAGGCCGCATCCAGACCAGCGGGCCTAGCCACAAACACAGCTGCTGCAGTTCTCCCTCTGCTATCTCAACTTCCCTAGTTGCTATAGTAGCGTGGACTGGATGGGGAGCTACACTTTCTCTCATGTGGGCAAAAGCTTGCTTCTTCGTCACTCCCCACTGTTTGAACTTCTCTCTGTCTAGCATTTTTTTCCTGACCAGTCTGTGTACCCGTCGTTGATCTGTCCGCTTGGATGGAGCCAGTGCTCTTTCTTAGAGTTGCATTCACTTGCCCTCGCTTGTGCTTGTCTTGCTCCCCCAGGAGCTATGAGATCAGTGCTGCCCAGATTTTAGGGGAGTTATCAGGGGAGCTTGTTAAAATGCAGACTCCAAGACTCTGCCCCCAGAGATTCTGATTGGGAAGGTCTGAGATGAGCCCCAAGGATCTGCATTATTGACAAGCACTATTATTATTAGCATTACTGACATTATTATTGGCATAATTCTAATTATTGACATCACTGACAAGATTCTGAGGCCAGGGGTTCATGGGCCACCCTGACTTGCCCAGTCTGGAAGCTCCCTGAAAGCCTGGCAGGCCACCCTACTTCAGCTGCATTCGGTCCATACACTGAGGGTCTCAGTGGGGAAAAAGCAGAGTCATTTTAAAGAAACATGGATCTTAGTTTCTAGAAGGTTTTTCCCCATCTGGCAGACAAATTTATGCCTATTCCACACACAGGTGGGTGCAGAATACCATGTTCCCAGGTTCCCAGAGAAGAGGAAACTTTTCCCCAAGAACTTTATCAGGTAGAAATGTGAAAAATTCACACAGCTGCCAAGACAGTGGATCCTCCTGAGTGCATGTATTTTGAGTATTTGAAACCATCTGAATGATTTATTGAACTTTTTACTTTCCGTGGACGTGCTTACTGGGTGTTGTAAGATGTGAACCTCACAGCCAGAGACAATGTCTGTTGAAAGGAAGATTCAATCTTCACTAAGCGCAACCCAGCTTGTTTTTCAGCAGCTAACCAACCACTCTGACTGTGGCAATTTTCTTAGCAGGAAAAATTTTAGATGGTTGTGTGGTTTCTAGCTTTATTCTTTTTCATTTTACACGTGAAATGTTTGGGATCAGATTGGTTTTCTTTAGAACTATGGTCCAAATTAATTTAAACTGACTTAATTATAAAGAAAGAGATAAATTGCTACCTTTAGGAGCTTTTGACCTCAAGTCCTCTGATATTTGAGACAAAGTTTTTTATCCCCTGGGATGAAATCCTTCAGTAGCATGTAGGCGAGTTTTGAGCAAAGCAAAGAGTAATGAAAACTCTAATATAAAGGCTGTAATTTTCTAAAGAAGTCTGTTCCTTATTAAGATCAAGTACATGTCAGTCATCTTATATTTTGGGAACATCCACCAAATGCAGGAACTGTACTGGGTGCTTTTCCATGTGTGGAAAATTTTATCCAGCGTAATCAATTTTTCTAGTGCAATAAACATATTAAAAAGAAGGCAAATGAGATATTTCTGTATCTCATCAGCATGAATAATATATTCGAGTTTTCCCCTGACCACATAAGACTTGGGCTTGAATACTACCCTGCCTCCATGGGTCTCTTCTTCATATAAAGAAAGGGGAGAACATTTGTGTTAAGTACCACATAAAGGAGGTTGTGAGAATCTAATGCAATGATGTGTATGAAAGAGTTTTATCAAAGAGGAAGCAAAATTAATATAGTTTATAATTCTGAATTTATATAGTTTATAAATATTAAATTCTATATGCAAGTATACATTCCACCCATACAATTCTAATATATTTCCTTTACTCCAATGCCCTCTAGTAGTACAACAGAATTACTGTGTTATTGTTTTGAGATGAAGTTATTATATAATATTTTAAGATGAATTATTGTATTGTCATTTTGCAATGAAAACTGTAAAATGTTTCCTCTTCCTTTTCACTTCCTTTTTTTAAAATTAACTTTCCTTCTTTTTAATAGTAACCAGTTCTTTTCTGGAAGTGTCTCAGTATGTGGGTTTTCACATACTGGTTGATCAGAGGCTTGAAGGTACAATCAACTCTTCCCTGCTAGCAGGGTGGAAGGAGTTAGTTTAACTCATTCTTGAGCCCCCAGAGAACTGGGTCTCATGACATGCTCTCTCTTTTTCTCCTTTTTCCTGCCCTCTTGGAAGTATACTGAGAGGTTTTTGAGGAGGACTCAGTTGTATATATGGTCTGCAACGACTGCCTGGTTCTTCTTTCTCTTTCCAAATTTTACATCTGGCATGAAAAGAGAGGCAATTCTAAATGTAAATATGACTTCTTGATTACTTAAAAATACTCCTCTCTAGCTCATATACATAGCAATTTTGTGTAAATATATGTTAAACATCAAGGCCCATTGAAAGAAGAAAGAAATCACATAATTATAATAGCTAATCAATCTAGAATACAAACACTTCCAGATTTATTAGATTTATCAAAGACACTAGCATAATTTCTTTTGTTGCATATTTTTCCTATTTACAGAAGTAACATGTTAATTATAGAAGATATGATAAATCTGGAAAAATACAAAGAAGCAGCAAATTGCACATTCTGCCAAAATTCAGAGATAACTCTTATGAATATTTTTAGAATAGTTTTTTAGTCTTATTTTCTTTGTAGGTATACACACGCAGAAACACACATACACACTCCTTTTTCATATATTTGATTGTATTGTAATTATGTTTTATTTGTTTCCTTAATCAACAAACATTTATTTCTCACAGTTCTGGAGGCTGGGAGGTTCAAGATCAAGATGCAGGCAGATTCATCTCCTGGTGAGGGCCTCTTCCTGGCTTGCAGACTTCTTGCTATGTCCTCTCCTGATGGAGAGAATGAGCTCTGGTGTCTCTCCCTCTTCTAACGGGACCAGTCCCATCACAGGGTCCTGCCCTCATGACCTCATCTAAACGTAATTACCTTCCAAAGGCTCCACCTCCAAATACCATTACATTGGGGGTTAGGGCTTCAACATGGATTTTAAGGGATATCAACAATTAGTCCATAACGTTTTGCCCCAGGTCCCCCAAAATTCATGTCCTTCTTCCATGCAAAATACATTTATTCCATCCCAACAACCTCAAAAGTCTTGACTTATTCCAGCAACAACTTTAAGGTCTAAAGTCCAAAGTCTCATCTAAGTATCATCTAAATTAGATACGGTAGTTACATTTTATAGCTAAAATTTTGTGTAGCCTACATTTAACATTTTCCATATCATCAGGCATTTTTCTATAGTACAGTCCCTGGAACACAGTAAGTGCCGAGTAGACCTTTGCTGAATTAATATATAAATTATTTTTAATGGATTTATGATGTTCCATCATATGAAAATACCTCAACTGATTTCATTATTCTCTTTCTCGTCCAGTTTAAAGTAGAGATATCATGGGGAAAAGTGAGAAGTGACATGTATAATTATGGTCACATTGAGGGAGGAAGAGACACCATCTGGAATGCAGGCAGAAAGCCATGTGAAGCTCCCTGTGAGGGAAGGACTGTGGAACTGTCAATCATGACCATGAGCCTTATGCCTGAACACTCTTTCAGATCACAAGTAGTTGCCTGTTAAAGTTGGAATAATGTGGAGAGAGAGTACTGAAGTGAGTTCAGAAACAGTCGTCATATGACCTGAATCAGCTAGAGAGTGCTTTCGGTGGCAAGAAACAGAAGGCTAACTCAAACTGGCTTAAACCATAAAGACATGCACCAAATCACATGCATGAAAACCCAGTGGCTGGTCAGGCTTCACATGGTTCTACCAAGCCTTCTGCCTTACTCTCCTGTGATTGCCACAGCTCTGTACTCCTCCATAGATGACTTTGTTCTCAGGCTCATTCCCCTGGAGGTCTTTGGGGGAGCGTATTTGGTCATCAGAACTGCATGCTTTGTTTTTCTTTTTCCTTTCCTTTCCTTTTCTTTCCTTTCCTTTCCTTTCCCTTCCCTTCCCTGTCCTTCCTTCCTTCCTTCCTTCCTTCCTTCCTTCCTTCCTTCCTTCCTTCCTTCCTCCCTCTCTCCCTCTTTCTTTCTCTCTTTCTTTCTTTTCTTTCTTTCTTTCTTTCTTTCTTTCTTTCTTTCTTTCTTTCTTTCTTTCTTTCTTTCTTTCTTTTTCTTTCTTTCTTTCTCTTTCTTTCTTTCTTTCTTTCGAGATGGAGTCTCTCTCTGTCACCCAGGCTGGAAGGCAGTGGTGCAATCTTGGCTCACTGCAACCTCTGCCTCCTAGGTTCAAGCAATTCTCCTGCCTCAGCCTCCTGAGTGGCTAGGATTACAGGCGTGCTCCACCAAGCCCAGCTAATTTTTGTATTTTTAGCAGAGACGGGGTTTCACCATGTTAGCCAGGATGGGCTCGATCTCTTGACTTTGCGATCCGCCCCTCTCAGCCTCCCAAAGTGCTAGGATTACAAGCGTGAGCCATCATGCCTGGCTTTCTTTTTTTTTTTTTTTTTTTTTGAGACAGTCTTGCTCTGTCACCCAGGCTGGAGTGCAGTGGTGCGATCTTGGCTCACTGCAACCTCCACCTCCCAGGTTCAAGTGATTCTTCTACGAGTAGCTGGGATTACAGGCTTGTGCCACCACGCCCGGCTAATTTTTGATGGTTGTGTGGTTTCTAGCAGAGATGGGGTTTCACTGTGTTGGCCAGGCTGGTCTCAAACTCCTGACCTCAAGTGATCCGCCCGTCTTGGTCTCCCAAAGTGCTGGGATTACAGGCGTGAGCCACAGCGCCTGGCCAAAACTACATTCTTTCTTATTCACAAAGAAGAAAGAAAGGGAATTAGAGAGTATATCTTGGCATATCACATAAAAGAAAGAAATAATTTATCCTGAAGACTCCAGCAAATCTCTTTTATGTTTCATTGGCCCCAATGGGCCTAGACATCTCCCTTCCTCAGCCAAGTACTGACAAGGGGAAAGGGAACAGGATTACCAGGATTAACTTACACGAACCAGCCAGGCTGAAATAATTGTTGTTGGTTTGTTGGTATGTTGGTGTGTGTAATCCATTTCTGTGAAACAAACAATGAGAAAATCCCAACAGTAAGTACTGATTTAGCTCAGGTCTCTGTGTCTTGGCTGGTCTAGGCTGGGTGCACCTGATAGAGCTTGGCTGGGCTGCCTCTGCTCCCTGTAAATCTCCTTCTCTGCTCCATATAGCTTCTCCTCGTGGGACCAAAGGCAAGTTCTTCTCATGGTAAGAGTGGAAGAGAAATAGGGCAAGTGGAAGTGACACACCATCCTTTCTCATTTTATTGGCCAACACCAGTCACATGACTAACCTCAAAGTCAAAAGGAGGAGAAATATATTCTGTCTGGTGAGTGGAGGAACTCCAACATCACATGGCAAAGGGTGTGAGCAGTACTAAGACTAGGGTGAGACGAGCAAATACTTGTCTTCAGTGAAAAGTTTAAGGGGCGTCAAGATATTTAATCAAGATAAATAATTAATATAAAATATTTTTAAAAACCAAAGTTAATGCAGAACATTTGGGATGAGCAAAATACCAAAGTTTTTAAATAAAGACAGGATCGGTATAGGGATGGATAAGCATTAATGCTAATGACTCAATCTACCATAGGCCACCAACCACAACGTCCCCTTTCAAGGACTCCCATGCTCAGCCTTAGAAGATGCACACAGAACTCTGCCCTCTTTTTTTTTTTTTTTTTTTGAGGCAGAGTTTTGCTCTTGTTGCCCAGGTTGCAGTGCAATGGCGTGATCTCAGCTCATGGCAGCCTCCCGGGTTCAAGAGATTCTCCTGCCCTCAGCCTCCCGAGTAGCTGGGATTACAGGCATGTGCCACTATGCCTGGCTAATTTTGTATTTTTAGTAGAGATGGGTTTCTCCATGTTGGTCAGGCTGGTCTCAAACTCCTGACCTTAGGTGATCCACCCGCCTCGGCCTCCCAAAGTGCTGGGATTACAGGCATGAGCCACTGCACCCGGCCTGCCCTCTTAAGGTTCATTGCTTTTCTCATTCCAGGTCTGTAGCTCAAGTATCTGCTTATCCTGGAAGTCTCTAAGAAATTGAATGGAAATAATCTCAAGAAAATATCCTTAAGGATAAATTATTCCTTATATATTTTTTTGTTTATAAAAAAGAAAACAAAACAAGAAAAGAAAATCATGTTCCTTTCAATGGTTCTTGTACATTAATTCCTTCTTTGCTTGCTAGTTTAAGAATTAGTGCAATTCCCATAAAAATTAGAATTAGTAAGGTAGTACAATGATTTTCTAGAGACTGAGTTTCATAATACTTTTAGATTTTAAATATGGTACATGTTTTAACAAAGTACAGCTAAAGTCTTTTTGGATCGGACACAAGTTATGCCACGAGTGCTTAACTTTTTATAAATGAGATGAGTATAGGAATTCAAGAGCAGAGGTTCCTGTGGGGAGACCATTCTCCTGTCTTATTTGATGAGTGATGTGCTAATCCCAGCACTGAAGCTGTTGGCAGAAAGGAAAGACTTCCGAAATTGACAGGACTCGTGTGTGGAACTGCCATGGGTCCGTGGGCTGCCACAGAATTATGCAGGAAATAATTTTCAAGGAAACAAGAAGGAAAACATGATTGGGTCCAAAATTCTATCATTGTTTTATTGAAAAAGCAAATCTCTTCTCTAGCTTGAAATGCTAGAGCTACAATTTATTTCTTCTTAAGTTTGTCCCAGTGGGAGTCACAGGCCGGGTCATATGGGGTGATGACCACCTTTCCACCTCCTCTAATGCTCGCCCCTGGAGTCCAGCTTCCCCCAGAGACTTATGAAAAGGAAGGGTAGGGTGGAGGCTGGCACCAAACCAAGAAGAAATAAGAATCTTGTCATGTGGTGAGAACTGTTAGCTCAACATATTTCTGGTGATGGCCTGACCTGGAGTCTGAGGTGTCCACGTTTACAGTCATCTCTACGGTTGATTATGGTACTGCATCTCCAGGAGGCACCCGGCAAAAGGAAAGCGTTAACTTGGCAAACAACTGACTCACAGCGACAGAGCTGTGCATTGAGTGGGATTTAAAATGAAAATGGAGAAAGAGGGAGTATTAATCCTTGAAGAGCTGATGAAAGCTGGCTGCTATGGGGACAGCAAATATCCTTTGGAAATAAGCGTGAGTGAGCGAGGTTTCGGAGAAAACAATGAAGAGAGGCAGAACTAAAACGAATGGTGTCAGAGGCCTGTATGTCCATGTATTAAACAGGTGAATATGTTAAACAAGTGAAGTGATTTTCATAATGCAAGGTAGTTATATGAGTTCCCAAGAATAACCAAGATTTGAAGCAAAGCAAAGGAAAGGAAAGGAAAGGATAGCCTCATCAATTCAACGTACCTGGTAAAAAATAGCCGGTGTGCTGCCATCTGCCCCCTAAACTTCCCCTTTGGAATCTATTTTATATACAGTCTTGAGTAATCTCTTTTCTGAAACCCAGATGTAATAATGCCATTTCCCTAATTTAAAAAAGTTTGGTTGGCTGGGCATGGTGGCTCATGCCTGCAGTTTCAGCACTTTGGGAGGCCGAGGTGGGCAGATCGCCTGAGGTCAGGAGTTTGAGATCAGCATGGGGAACATGGTGAAACCCTGTCTCTACTAAAAATACAAAAATTAGCTGGGCGTAGTGGTACATGCCCGTAATCCCAGGTACTCGGGAGGTTGAGGCAGGAGAATTGTGTGAACCTGGGAGGCAGAGGTTGCAGTGAGCCGAGATTGCGCCATTGCATTATAGCCTGGGTGACAAGAGCTAGACTCCTTCTCAAAAGAAAAAAAAAAAAGTTTGGTGAATTCTCACTGTCTACACACTAAGGTTTAGACTTTAGACTTTCCTGTATGGCATAAAAATCTGGCTTTATCCTTCTTCTTTCAATATCCAAAATAAATATTTGCTGAGGGCCTATTCTGTGCTGTTTCAAGATCTGTATACTCTGGTAAACAAAAGCCACCCCCTGCCCCTACCTCCCATACTGTAGCCACACAGTCCTTTATTATTTTCATGTCACGCCCTTCTCATTGAGTTTTGCTATGTTGCCTCCTCTCCCTGGAATGCCCTTCCTGTCCTTTGCCAGGAAACTCCTACACATCCTTCAAGACCCAACTCATATGTTAGCTCTTCACCACAGCCTTCCCTCACAGTCCAAGCAGAAATGATTGCTTTCTGCTCTGTTTTCAAATAGCTAACAGTTTGTATTTTAGGTACAGGACTTAGAATTTTATTATTAGTAGTAGTAGTTGTCTATCCATCTCTTGAACTGGTTTGTAAGACCAGTGATGGAGTGCGGGCCTGCAGCCAAGTAGGCAGTTACTGACTGTCAGTAAATGAGGGAAGAAATGAGGGCAGGAGACGCATCTGCACAGGAAAGCGGGAGCCTGAGAGTGAGGGCGCCGTGAAAGATAGAGACAGGGAGAGAAAGAGAGAGAGACAGACAGACACACACACACAGATGGAGAGACACACACAGACAGAGACATACAGAGAGACAGAAAGAGAGAGGGAGACAGAGACAGAGAGACAGAAAGAGAGGGAGACAGAGACAGAGACAGAAAGAGAGAGGGAGACAGAGAGAAAGAGACAGAGATAGAGAGAAAGAGACAGAGAGAGACAGAGAGAAAGACAGAGATAGAGAGACAGAGAGAGACAGAGATGGAGAGACAGAGAGAGAGTTACAGAGAGAGCACACCTTTGCTTAGAGATGTCCCTAAGAGCAGGTCCTAGATTTGTAGGTCCTGATGGGATGTTTTTGAGGGTCCAATGCTGAAGAGGGGATTATTCTAGGAGGTGAAGTTGAACTGTTGGGAGCAGAGTTCTGTCTGCCTGGGGCCACACCCATGCCCTGGGCACTGCTGTAAGCTCTGGGGAGGTGTGGCCAAGAATTGCTTCTAGTAGGGTAGGTGTCTGTGTGTGTGTGTGTGCGTGTGTGTGTGTGTGTATGTGTGTGTGTGTGTGTATGTGTGTGTGTCTGTGTGCAGAGTTGCAGGGGGAAGGGAAGAGAGACTGTAGTATAGTAAACTTTGAAACTAGATGAGCCAAGAGAAAAATAAAATATAGGAAGGAATCTTGCAAGCATGGCTGTGTCCACCATCACTCCTCTGCTGTGTAATTTGGCCTCTGTGTGTATGTGTATGGGGGATGGTGAGGCGTGGGAGAGGGTGGACACATATCCTTTAAGAGGCAGAACTGTGGCAGGAGATGAATAGCAGTGACTGTGGCCGGGGGTGGGGACATGACTGCTCCTGTGACAAGACAGAGAAAATGGCAGGTGCCTCAGACACAGCTCACAAAACAGGCCCAGGGCAGGGACAGCAGCACTGGGGGGCTGGTCAAGGTGAGCCTCACGGGGCTTCACTCCCTTTATAGCAGACCTCCAGAAAATTCCTGACTTCTCTTGCTGACGTTATTTTCCAGAGGGCACAGGAAGAACTAGGGAAACTACTCCTGTCAATACTTGTAAATGACCAAGTGCATACAGTGCTACTTATGACCACCTTGGGAGAAAGAGTGTGCTGGCCAGTGGGGAGACTCAGATGTGAACAATTTTCACTGAACTCTAAATGTGTAGAATGCTTTTCTTTCTTTCTCTCTTTCTCTCTCTCTCTCTCTTTCTTTCTTTCTTTCCTTCCTTCCTTCTTTTCTTCCTTCCTTCCTTCCTTCCTTTCTTTCTTTTTCTTTCCCTCTCTGTCTCTCTCTTTTTTTGACATAGTCTCGCTCTGTCGCTCAAGCGGGAGTACAGTGGCACAATCTCAGCTCACTGCAACCTCTGCTTCCCAGGTTCGAGCAATTCTCCTGCCTCAGCCTCCCAAGTAGTTGGGATTACAGGCGCCTGCCACCACGCCCGGCTAATTTTTGTATTTTTAGTAGAGACGGGGTTTCGCCATGTTGGTTAGGTTGGTTTTGAACTCCTGACCTCAGGTGACCCACTCACCTCGGCCTCCCAAAGTGCTGGGATTACAGGCATGTGCCACCATGCCTGACCTTAGAATGTTTATTTCTTTCTGTCTTTTATTTTATTTTACTTTAAGTTCTAGGATGCATGTGCAGAACATGCAGGTTTGTTACACAGGTATACATGTGCCATAGTGGTTTGCTGCACCTATCAACCCACCATCTAGCTTTTAAGTCCTGCATGCATTAGGTATTTGTCCTAATGTTCTCCCACCCGCTGCCCCTACCCCTCAACAGGCCCTCGTGTGTGATGTTCTCCTCCCTGTATCCCAGCGGATTAAGATGCTCATTTCTTAAAATTCAGGGGAAAGATGGACACTACCGGTTCCGTGGCCCAGGGTTTTGGAAGAGGCGGCCTCCGGATGACTGGATGCACTTCTCCCTGGGACTCACCCTGTGTCGTTACAGCTCGAGCTTACTGAAAATAACAGACAGACACCTCCACTTGTCCCCTCCAACAGAGTGGCTGCACTGGCAGCTCTCTAATGAGTTCTAACCCCATAGGGGCAGTTATGAAACTGATGCAAAAAGGATACAATCAAGATAGAAGTCAATAAGGAGCACAGAAGGCATGAGTAAGACTTGCATCAGAGAGGCCAAAACCCAAAATGCGCTGGGGGTTGTGGGAGCGGCTGAAGAGCCTGGAGAAGCCGCTTATAGTCATTTTAAGTCAGATTAAAGGAGTGTGTTTGGCTGACGAGAGGACCCCATGCTTGCATGTATGGAGCCTTATCTCAGCTTCCATACCTACAAAGGGGACATGATTGGTGTCTACCCCAGAGAGTGGTTTTAAGAATTAAACAAAATGACGTGTGTGAAACTCTTGGAACAGTGTCTGGTTCATGGCAGGAGGTGTCCGTGACGTGCCTGAGGCCATTTGTGTGCTTACCTGTGTGTTTCTGTAAAGCAGACCCAGTGCAGGGCACCAGGGATGTGGTGGGAGCCACACGGGATGATGACGTTCCTACCCTCAGGGAGCTCACACTTACGAGGGGGCAGTAGAGGTTGGGAGTGGATAGCCTTGGAGGAGAGGGGTGGGGGTTGTCGGGAAGAGGGAGGGCTTACCTGAGCAGGAGCTGTTGAAACTGCAAGGGAGGCGGCTGGGTGGTGAGGGCAGAGCAGCAGCAAAAGGTTGGGGATAAGGAACTGAGAGTGGGCCCTGACTGCTGAACAGGGACTGCTGTGGCAAGAGGCTTGGAGGAAGCAGAACTCAGGCACTTTCTGTTTGGTTTTAGTCTTCCTTGACAAACAGAATCAATTTCAGATGAAAACGGCTTCAATATTGCAGAGAGGAAATCAAAAGAGCAACTTAGCCGAGTGTGGTGGTGCATCTGTAGTCCCAGCCACTCAGGAGGCTGAGCTGGGAGGAGGGCTTGAGCTCAGGAGTCCGAGGCTGCAGTGAGCCGTGATTGTGCCACTGTGCTCCAGCCCGGCAAGAGAGCAAGACCCAGGCTCATACAAAAAAGAGCGCCCAGCTCTTCTGAATCTGACCTGGCCCCTCCGCCTGAGCCCTAGGTTCCCGCCTTCCTTGGCCCTCTCATGTTGACTGTCACGACTTAACAGCCCAGTCCAGGAACACCTGCGGTGAACTTGGGATTTCTTTGACATTTCAACTGTTATTTTAAAAGGCTATGGTCGAATAGAAAACAACATAAGACCTTCTGATTAGCGGTTTTAGAAAAAGCTTTGTTTCGATGGTGCAAATTAGGTAGGTGGAGGAAATTATCCATGAAGACTGGAGTTTACATTTTCTGGAAATTGTTTCATGCAGTCTTCTAGGGAAAACAGAGTCCTGTAAAAAGTAGCCTATTGAACACAATTTGAAATTTTAGGCCTGAACAGACCATTTGCTTTTAGGAGCAAATGCTAGGGAGCCATTTCCCTTGAAGGTAGAAGTGGGCCTTTGGTAAAAAGTCCAATAACCGGCCGGGCGTGGTGGCTCATGCCTGTAATCCCAGCACTTTGGGAGGCCAAGGCGGGTGGATCATGAGGTCAAGAGATCGAGACCATCCTGGCCAACATGGTGAAACCCTGTCTCCACTAAAAATATAAAAATTAGCTGGGCGTGGTGGTGGGCGCCTGTAGTCTCAGCTACTTAAGAGGCTGAGGCAGGAGAATTGCTTGAACCTCGGAGCGGAGCTTGTAGTGAGCAGAGATCGTGCCACTGCACTCCAGCCTGGGTGACAGCAAGACTCTGTCAAAAAAAAAAAGTCCAGTAACGACTGTATAATTTTTAAAGTGTAAACGCAGAGGAGGGAGAAATGTATAGACAGAAGTATTTGTTTCAGCTTTGCTTGAAGAGGCAGAATCTGGAAACCATCCATCTGTAGGGGAATGGTACAAAAGTGATGGTATGGATTACTGTACGATTCTCAGTAAGATGATGCTAGGGGGTTGTCCATGAGGTATTATTAAGTGAGCAAAGCAAGCCATGGAATAAAGAGTGCATTGTTTCCATATCTGTATAAACAAACAGCAAAACACCCTAATTTTGCCCACATGCATCAATATCTAGTTGTATAAGCGTGGACAGAGGGACTATCTCGGTGAAAAAGAATGAAGGAATTTCAGGAAGAGAAATAATTTATATAACCATGAGTTGTTTTATTTAGTATAAATAAATACATTAAAGAAACAATTTAAATCATATATCAAAAGGAAGAAGAAACAAGGAAAAATGTCATGGTAATTTTACATCCTATTCTATAATATAAAACTACATTTTAAAGTTATCTGATATGAGAAAAAAGTATCAAACCTCTCCCCTCCTGAGTCTTTGGGAGAAATAAACAGCACACCATAGTGATTTGATGGCTGCAAGTCCTCTGGTCACCACTACATGTGCCCAGGTTGCTCTTAGCCCACCTCTAGAAGCTACGGCTAAGGTTCAGATCTCCTCTACTTTCCAAAACTTGGGTCTTTAAGCCCTACTGAATCTGAATGTCATGCTCTGTCACTTCACAAAACCTATGGCCCTGACCCTCTTCCAAAAATGTTGCTTCTCACCTGTCTGGCAAACTCTTAGCATCGTGGTTATGAGTGTGGATGCTGTCACTGAGTGCCTGGGTTTAAACTCCAGCTCAGCCCCAAGGTAGCTGCTTGACTTGGGCAAGTTACTTGATCTCTCTGTGCATCATGAAATGGGGATAGCACTGATATCTAAACTTGAGGTCTTGAGAGAATTAAATGAGTTAATACATCTAAAACTGTGTACAGATGGCAGCAGCATCTGCCATATCTTGTTGTTTTTTTTTTTTTGAGATGAAGTCTCCTGCAGTCCCCAGGCTGGAATGCAGTGGCGCTATCTTTGCTCACTACAACCTCCACCTCCCTGGTTCAAGCGATTCTCCTGCCTCAGCCTCCTGAGTAGCTATGATTACAGGCATGCACCCCCACGCCTGGCTAGTTTTTGTATTTTTAGTAGAGATGGGGTTTCACCATGTTGGCCAGGCTGGTCTCGAATTCCTGGCCTCAAGTGTTCCACCAGCACCCCTGACTCCTTACCTCAAGTGACCCACGTGCCTCGGCCTCCCAAAGTGCTTGGGATTACAGGCGTGAGCCACTGCGCCCAGCCTGTATCTTCCTGTATGCTTGCTCTTATTATTACTCATATTTCCAGACTCTGCCTAGGCATCACCTCTATCCGGGATACATCCTTTCCTGAACTCCCAGAGTCCTTGTCTCCTTCCTCCTTCATGCTCCGTCAGCAGCCTACACCCTATGTTCTGGTAAACTTCACTGCACGTTTCTTTGTCTTCCCTCAACAACTTCCCTATCCACCCACCCTCCACCGCCACCGTGGACTATAAGTCACTTGAGGGCAGGAACCAAGCCTATTCATTTCCGAGTTGCCGGCCTTTGGCACAGTGCCCAGCATGTAGTAGAGGCTCAGTTGAAGGGGTGGAAGGAAGGATAGAAGGATAAATCCATTCCTGAGATCCCTTTTATTGAGGCTGTTTCCCCAAACACTGGAAAGCCTCAGCCTTTGTGTTTGTTTTCTGGTACAATAGCACCTGTTGGTGCTTACCTTTGATTGGTGTACATTGTCTAATTGATCTTTCTATCAGTCATGTTCCAAACTGAAGTTATGTGCTTCTTTGATCATGGGCTGTATCTGCTTTCTTTGGTGTCCTTTTCAGTTGCCCACTGGAAGAGTCTTTCCATTTGCCACACTGGATGCCACACTGGATGGGATAATCTAGGAGGGAGGAACTGTGGAGATGGTGCGCCTTGGGATGTCCAGAAGACAGTGACCAGAATTTCAAGAGATGTTTTCAGATTTCACAGTATAATAAGAGAAAAGGAGCCAATCCCTTAAATGAAGAACCTTCAATCACTTCTCCCCAGGTGCACGTTTCAATTTCATTTCTTTTCATCAACTCCTTCCCTTTGATGATGGGTTGCATTGAAAACTATTAAGAAAAGTAGGATATTTAAAATGAACTGTGTTAAGAAGAGGATCATTTCAAAGAATCTATTCTGAGGAAGTGCCTTCAGCCAATCAAAAAGCTAAAGGTAAGTCAATAAGGTGAAAGTACTGCCTATCCTCATCCTGTTGGAAATATTACATTATATAGTTAAAGTTGTCTCCTGTGTTTTAGGTTATGGAGGTGGGGGAAGATTTGTACAAACTTATTTCCATTTCTTTGCACACAGAAACTGGATATAATGTGAATCTAGTGTAAATTACCATGATGTCTCCTTCAACATTCATCAAGACTTCTGACTAGTCTACTTGATCTGTGAAAATGAGATTACTTGAAGACCTGTCACAGATTTTAAAGCAGAACACGATATATTGATTATACAAATATTTTTATGTCACCCTGTATCTTAATAAAATAACATTTACGTCTGGAGAGTGTGTCAGTCTGAAGAGCCTGCCCAAAGCCAGATCTATATATTTAAATCGAGAAAGGCAGAGGCCGTGCTGGCAGTCTTTCAGCTTGTCCTGCTTCCATGATTGGACATAGATAATAATAATTTTGGGTGCATACGAGCAGATTTCGGAGAGAAGGGAATGAACCCCTGTGTTTACACTATGAGTCAGCAGGCAGCTATTTCAGAGGCTGAGACCAAGAGCAGGCATAGCCGATTCCTTCTCTCATTTTAGAATTCAAACCTATGTGGAGATTCTGATGGAATTACAGATGCAGATCCTAATTTCTGGGAATTTCAGTTTATAGCAAGGTGATGAAAGGGTGCTTCCAGAGTGAGCATGGGAGAAGCACCTTCTGGGAGAGAACTGTTGTCATTTCCCAGCAGGGAAGAGACCTGTGAGGCCTGCCATCTTTGCGTGGTGTGACCAGGGGCTGGGCATCATGGGGATTTGATGCCTTTCTTTGGGGATGAGTCTAACTGCCCCATAGAGAAGAGACGGGCGGCCATCCTTATGTCACATTCTCTTCTCCATGGCAAAACAATCCCGAACCAGAGGCTATCTTGGGATTCATAGACTTTGGGGCTGCCAACAAGGAAGAGCTACAGGTTCTTCCAGAAAAGTGTGTGTCTCACATCGAAATTCTCTTAAACCATACATTCTGGGGCATTTCCATTTTTGGAAGCTCAACCTCAGAGGAAATGCCTCTTTTGGGGTATTGTGGGACAGTCATGAAGTCTTCAATATTCTTTCATTGGGAGAAATTTATTTCCTGTTCTACTCACAGGCAACTTTAGGAACTCTATAATAACACCTACTAACAATTCACAGGAAAAAAATAGGTTTATTTAGATTTCAAAGTGCTAATAGGCTTTAGTTTATACTTAAAGGTTACTTTCTATTGGCACTAGTATTACTGTAACCCTGGGTGATTATTTGAGTTATTTCAAACCTTAAGGGAGTATTATGATATTATATTCCTGTGGAAAAAGAATTAATCAAACTTGATAAAGATGAGTGTTGGGTCCATGAAACCAATACAGCTAGAGACCAAAGACTGGAATAGGTATCATCAAAATGATCCCTTAGTTTAGGCATGTTCTTTACAAGAGCATTGTTTCAATACACATATGTGGGATAGGCAGGAAGGAGGGCCATCCCGAGCAGTGACATCCATATCCTGCAGAGATTCAGTTTCCTAATGGGAAGCTGGAGCCCAATGGCACCAGGCAGATAAGGTTTGATGGGGAGAATGAGGGAGGAAAGTCCAGAGCCTGGGGAAGGCAGTGGGGAACGCAGTAGCCAAGGATGACCTCGGGGCCCCCAGGAGCAGCCTTACGGGGCAGCAGAGAGAGGAGGCACGGGCTGGAAGGCTGAGAGTGGGCTTCAGGTCCAGTTCACTTCTTCCCCAATTCTTTCTACTTTCTACTCGTATGTGTTCAGAGAAGCCATCCTTAAGTCTGATTCGGTGGCTAGGTATATATTCAATCAGACTCTAATGCTTTGGCTTGAGCTATAATAAAAATCACAATTTCATCTGTAAATCATTCCAGATAGCGTAATATGGAATTAATTTCTGGTTATATTTGCTTGGGAGTCTTTTATGCAGTTTTGAAAATTTGCAGGGAGTTCAGCCTTGCTTTTGATTTAATCTCATTTTCGTCATATTTCTACCCACAGCATTGAAATGGTGGCTGGCAAATGGAATCAATTTGCAAGCAGACTTTAAAGAAGTCCATATTTAAGCTAAAATATCTTTGCAAATATTCAACCTTTTCAAGCATTTATTGGATCAGTGTCTGATAGAAAGAAACAAATACAACAATTTATAATGCCACTTTAAAAACATTAAAAATCATTTACAGTACGCAGGATCAACATCCTATTGATTAAAAGAGTATAGGCAAAAAGCCACTATTAGAAAACAACAAAAAAATGGAGAAGTGGTTTGCCTACATATATCATCAAGTGTAACTATTAAACTGAGCCCAAAATCTATTGTTTTAGTCTGCTCAGGCTGCCCTAACAAAATACCATAGACTGGGTGTCTTAAACAATAGTCATTTATTCCTCCCAGTTCTCGGGGCTGGGAAGCTCAAGATCAAGGTGCTGGCATGGTAGATTTCATTCTGAGGCCTCTTCTTGTGGTGTGTAGGTGGAAACCTTCTTGCTGTGTCCTTACACAACCTCTTTTTTGACCTCTTTTTTTGTGCTTGTGTGAAGAGTGAGAGAGCTCTTGGTGTCTCTTCCTCTTTATATGAGGGCATTATCACTATTGGATTAGGGCCCCACCCTTACGACTTAATTTTACCTTAATTACCTCCATAAAGGCCTTATCTCCAAATATTGTCACATTTGGGGTTAGGGCTTCAACATATGCATTTAGGGGAGGGGCATGACCATTTAATCCATAACACGTGTCATAATTAAATTTGTAGCTCTACATATTTATATTAGTTAAAATATAGCCATTTGATTTTATTGTACTTTAAAATATATTTGACTTTATGTTAGCCCAAAAATAATAAACAAAATTGGACAGACATTACACTTAAAACATGTTCATTATATGCAAATTATACTACCATAAAGACAGAATAAAAATATAGTAGAAAGAGTAGAAAAATAAAGTAATTGTTCTTGAATCTCTCTAGGCAGCAAGCCTAAGATGTTATCACTATCCTTTTATAATGATGATGATGATGATGCTATTATTCTACAGTTTTATAACACTTTACAGAACATTCTGATCCACCTGACCTTATTTACACTGGAGTTCCAGAAACTCTCCCGAAGGCATCTGTCTGTTGAATTGTGAAGGGTTTGCAGCAGAGAGGGGCTAACTGGGCAGTTTTCTGCATTCTGTGGGTGCAGAAATGTCCCCCTTGTTTCATAGACTGGAGGAACCTGCCACCACGGCAGGAGGTGGCCAACTAGATGACTTCTCTGGCAGAGGGACATTCAGACTGAAGGCTCAGATTCCCCTTCCCCTCCTCTTGAGCCAAGCAGGAAGATGCCTGCCAAACAGGTAAAGAGGAGCCCTGCCATGCTCAGATTACATGGGTAAGGCCCTGAGCCGAGGGCCCAGTCCTTAGGGAATCTTCTATAAGATGTAGTTTTTAGAATTAATTATAATAATCAAGATAGCACAACGGGGCAGTTTGGCGCTACCTTCAGCAGGGGCAGCCTGGGCATTCTGGAACTGAAACTCCTGCTGCTGCTTTCTGCTACTTTCAATCCCAGGGCTGTCCATAGCTCTGCCATCTGCTGTGGTCACAGGTGCCCTTTTTTCATTTTGGAGTATGCTTCTAGTCCTGTGACTGAGAATTTGAATAGACTGGCCTTGGTCCTGTGCAGAAAAGCTTGACTAATAGGTCAAGTTTACCTGTTGGACACACTGTCTACTAGGCTATCATCTCTGCGAAGACAGAATATCCCTCGGCTGTGTTCAGTGTTGTGTCTCTAGGATGGGCTCAGTGTCTGGCACATATAGGTGCTCAAGAAGTATTTGTTGAGTGAGAACTCACACTTCACAGTTCTGAGCCTTGGGGAAGTAACCAAGTGCCAAGTTCAGGAGATAATTCACCCCTTGTTAACACTATTGAAAAATAACAAGAGAACAAAATAAAGTGTGTAGAAGCAGCTCGAATAAAATACAGTTGGGTTTTTCTTGCCAGTACCTAAGCTCACTAAACTGAAGTGAAATATCCCAACACCATGTCAAAACATTTACATATGCTTTTCTTGTGGAAAGCCTGGGATTATGGCAAAGCCTCAGCCACAGTGCTTAGAGCACCTTTGATCACCGTGAATTCTAGACTTGTCCATGACCTCGTTTTGACAGTGATGTTGTGGCTGGAGTAGAGGTCTGCCCATCAAATGGCTTAGCCTCTGCTTCCTGGCTCTGTTCCTGACTCAGGTGACCTCACCACATAATCTCAGTAAGCTCTGGTCATGGCAACTCCAGGCCAGGTTTAAAGTCACGGTGACCAAGAGGCTAGGCCCAGTGTTAGCTTGGGCTTGTCTATCAAGCGATCATATGACAATTGTGTTGATAACAGCCAGACATGCCAGCCTCATTGGAAGCACAAATGCTCTGCCTGTGTGGTATCTGCAGTGATCCCTTTCTAAGAGTCACTTGAGTTTTAGATGGAGAATACATTCATAGCTGGATATCAGTTGGTGAGGCACTGGCATTCCACAGTCAGTTGAGTTAATCCCTTGTAGAGGTCCCAGAGATATTTCCACTGCCGCTGTCTTCTCTTCTAAACTGGTCATCAGAATATGATAAATGTGAGTTTTACTGCTAAGATTAGACATTCCCTCAGCCCTAGATCTGTCAAGTGGGATGGTTTTGAACATGAACATTGGCGAAGGCTCTGTCGTCTAAGATGTGACAGTCTCCATGAGTAAGTCAAGAAGCTTCCTTTGAATGGGACATCCGGCTGTGCTCACATAGCCTACAGAAGGTAGCAAAGGCAAGTCTGTGTTTTAAAAGAGAAAGAGAATATGCCCCGAGCAGCCTCAGACAGCTTCCGGGATGTGCAGGCTTTGCTCTTCAGGTCTCACAGTGATTCACAGTGAGAATCACTTTGATCAGACATGGTTGGTGTGGCAACTGTTAAGTATCGTGGTGGACATGGTCATCCTTGGAGGAGCCGGGGAGCCATGATCTTGTGCCATTCTGGGAGGCCAGGGCCCAGGGCAATGGGTGTTTGTCTGGCCAATGTCCTTGTTCAGCACTGAGCCACTGGGCCAGAACATGTAGGGTGAGTCTTAATTGCAGGAAGTTTGAATATAGTAGGTTTGCTGTGCCTTGTGGAGATGTACCCCGATTTGGAACCCCAGAGAAGCTCAAGCCAGGAAGCAAGCCCACCCTGTGTCTCCTCTCCCAGGTAAAGAAAAGGGAGAAAAGGGGTACAGAAAGGTAGAGAAGAAGAGGAGCCAGATGCCCTCTAGAGCAAGAGAAAAGAAACCCAGACTTTTGAAGATGCCAGGGGGTCTTGGAAATGCCAGTGATTCCATGTGGAGTTTCCTGGTTCTTAGTTACATTTTTGTTATTTCACTGGACACGCAGACTGGGCCAGGCACCGTGCTGGGTGTTGGGAACTCCAAAGTGATGGGAGACAGGTCCCTACCCATGGTGAAAAGATCTCTCCCCAGGAAAAGCTCACGAATTAGTGAAGGTGGGAGCCAGGCAAACATAAGTAGGTGCTAGTAGAAGGTAGGCTAAATACCACGGAGAGGAAGAGGAAAAAGGAACAAAGTGCTATGGGAACGCTGAGTGTGGGGTGCACACACTGTGGGGCTGGGGAGCAGGTAGAAAGCTTCACGGAGAAACAAATCTTAGAGCCAAGTTTTGAAGAAAAAGTGGATGTTTTTCAAACAAATTGATTTGGAGTGGGGTGGCGTGGTGCTTGGGGCAGAAGGACCAGCAGAAGCCTGCTGGGAACAGGCATCATTGCTCATCCCTGAGCCCACTATGCTCGGCAGATGGCCAGCACCCACAGTGGGAGGGGACTGGCTGTCAAAAGTGATGCCGTTAGGTGTGGGGCACCCTGGGGTGTTCCAGGAGAGGTGAGTTCTAGGAAGTAGTAGCTGCCAGCCACTGAGGTGAGGCCGCCTAGAGGACGGATGAGGGGTTTGTTGTTAAAGCATGGGTCTTAGGAAGCCATTGAAGGTTTTATAAACAGGAGAAAGGCAGGACTGACTGCCTCTCCACTTACGCATGGAAAGAGGCCTGGATTTGGCACCTTGGTAGCTCCATTGTATCATCATGGGGGTGCATAGTAGATGGTGCACCTGTGTGCAATGCCTCTCAGGGTGAGGAGGCCAGAGCTGGAGAAGAGGAAACCAGCATCAGGGACCACATTGCATCTTCAGGGACTTGCTCCTTAACAGATGTGAAAGTCCTTCAGGAGCCTCCAGAAACACAATGCAAGAAGACTTTGCAAGAGGTGGGATTGTACATTAGCAAGTAGGGATGAGTAAAATAGAGGAAGAAAAAAATGAACTTCTGTATAGATTTAGTTTCAAAGAAACAAAAGGAAGCTCATGTATTATCCATGGTTTTTGTCTCATTCTGCTCACTTAGCATTATTTCAAGAGCACCTTTGTACACCCTTATACATATTATTTCTTGCCAAATTCCAAGGAATTCTTTATGCTCAGATATAACACTTCACAGTGCCTAACACGATCCACGGAGGGGATCGCCATGCAAATAAATTAAACAATTTTACTTAGGCCAATTTAAAAAATAAAGAGAGTTGGGAAGATAAATGATTTGGCTCTGCTGTGGCATGTTGGACCAAATATAATGCAGCAAAATATCAGTCTTACAACAAAAGTCAAAGGAAAAGATTATGCTGAAAATTGCTTCTGGCTGACTGGTCTCCTGGTTATTAATTCAAATGTCCCTCCTATTGATGCTGTTAATGGCTTCAAACAGCTCTTGTCTCCTTTTATGCAAGGGGAAAATTGGACCCCTTCCAAACAAAATAACAGTAGCCTAGGGAAGCCAACATATGCAGCATTGCCAGATAACTCCAACTATTAATTTTCTTCAGCCAAGTTCCTTTCCATTTTTTAACAGATATGTCTTATGCTGCCTAACTCTACAAGGTAGACATTCCTATTACTCAAAAAATTTTTATATAAAAAAGAACTTCCCCACTTGATTAGCCTCCTATCTCTTTTTCTGGGCCATTTCACCAACAGAAAGCACTGAGTGAGTAGAAACCTCAGATGTGGTGTTGTATTGGGTTCTCATTTGGCAATGGGGAATAAGGAATGGTAAAAGGGCATTAGAATCTTTGTGAACAGGAAAGAAATCGAGGCAGAAATAATTTGAAAAAGCTCCTCCCATGATTCTGACATGTTCCCAAGTTGAAAACTACTTATTTAGAGATATAGAAGCTTCAGCCAACAATACCTCCTATTGTTTGATCCTGTGACTTACGCTTGAATACCTCAAATGAGGGTGACCTCATTGGTCATTATATTCCTGGACCATTTTATTTTATTTTTATATATTTAGGGGGCACAAGTGCAGATTTCTTGCATGCGTATATTGTGTAGTGGTGAAGCCTGGTATTTTAGTGCGCCCATCTCCCAAATAGTGAGCACTGTCCCCAATAGGTAATTTTTCAACCCTCACCTCCCTCTCACCCTCCCACCCTTTGTAGTCTCCAATGTCCTGGACCACTTTAATCTTTAGAAAGTATTTCTGCATTTTGAGCTCTGTGTCATGGTCATTTTTCACTTTTTGGGTGCCTTAAATCCATTCTCCCTTCCCAAGAGGACCATAGTTTTCTTTTGGGGAATAAACTGCTTTCCACTAGAGCCAGCCTGGGTTTGACAAATAAATCTAGGTGTCCTCCCCCTGTGGAAGTCAAAGGGACCTCTTGAAGGTCCTTCTGCCAGACTCTTCTTCTCATTTCCCTGGGACAGTCAAGGGACTGATGTGTGACCTATGCATGTCTAATGAAATTCACGCTCCTAGGACATGAATCTTGAGCAGGGTGACACAAGCACCAAGGCAATGGCTGGAATTCTTTTAATTGTAGAGGCAGTGCTAAGCAAGATGGTCAAGAAGTTCCTGATATCAAGGCTTTCTGGAGCCCTCTGTTTCTTGTGGACCCCCAGTCTGGTTCCTCGGCCTAGCTAGGAAATGGTGAACTCCTTCATGTTCTTCCAACCAATGTATCTTTTTGCTCAAGCTAGTCAGATGATTTTTTGGTGCTCAAGACCAAACAAGGCTGCTACCTCAAACTTCACCCTCCTGATCCTAGTTCCTCTTTCTGCTGTTACACCAAACACATAGGATCCCCTTTTAATAGGATGTTTCAAATTTTTAAAGACATCTATCACGTTCCTCCCAAGATTGCTCTTCCTCAACAGAATATCCCCATTTCCTTTAACACTTCTTCACTATTGTGGCTTATGGAGCCTTCAAAATTCTGTTTTCCTTGGCACAGGGCCCAGTTTCTCAAGGTCCCTCTTACAGTGTGTCATCCGGGATTGAAACCGTAAACCCACTTGGTGTTTCAGCCAGTTCAGATTATGGTCAGATGTTTCCTTGCCTTGAATGTTGTATTTATATGAATGCAAACAGAACTTGCCTTAGCTTTTATTTTTATGCTCCACTCTGAACTCAGATTGAGTGGCACAGAGCGCACACTTAAAAAGCTGGAGTTATTATTAATTATAAACCTCCTGGCTTTCTAATAAAAAGTGCTGAAGTCAGATGTCCTCATCTTGTATTTTTGCAATTGTTTTTGAAAATCTAAAAGTGGCACTTAGTGTTTATTCTTGTTACATGGTATGCCTTTGTTTTTGGTCTATTCTTAGGCCAATGCCATTTTTTAAAAAGAGTGTGTTTTTTTTTTTTTTTTTCACACTCTCTAATCTTAGTCGTCTCATCTTTTTATCTTCTACTTATCTGGCACACATGCCTTTGATGTTTCCTTCAAATCACTGAAAAAATCTCACACAGTTCTATGACACAACCCAGGGAACTCCCTCCAGGTTGAAATCAATTCATTAATCATCTCAGCACAGTGTATTGTCTGCTAAGAACCCAACCTAACTGCACTCTATTTTCCCATCTTGTCCACAAGAAAATGAATAAGCAGCTCCCTGGGATGTCTGGCTGACAGCGTCATTTGCAAGGTACATGCGGCAGGAGGTGGGCAACTGTGAAATGGGGAGGTTGATTTTCCATTTTCTTTTTTGTGGGCACCAGTTTCTCCCAAACAAAACCTTACGCAAAACCCTAATACATACAAGATGGCAGTGAGTAGCTCGGGGTGAAGCTGGGGTGTGGGTGGGCAGTGGTTGACTTCCTGCTGGCCCCAGTGCCCTTCAGCCAACCCCTCTTCAGCCTCTTACTTTCCTCCTGGCACCTCTCAAGAAAGGGGTGACCTCTAGGGGGTTATGGTTTCAACATTCTGATTTAAAACATCCGAGTAGCAAGAGTTCCCTTTATTACTTCTTCTGTCTTCAAGTCTGCACATGTCAGCAGGGGAAGCCAAGATTTTATCAGATAGTCTGCTTTTAGTAGGTTTCTCTTTTATCTTAAAAATGTTATTGAAAACCTCCCATGTGAAAACTTCATACTAGGAGCGGTTTGTGAGTCATAGGTGTCTTGTTCAATATAGTTCTTAAAGACTTGGTTGAAAATACAAATGACAAAAATGTGACTGATTATTATTATTAAAAGGTTAAAAAAATCATAAACTGAAGTGAAGTACTGTTGGAACTTCATAGGAATAAATGTAAAAATGCCACATTTACATTTCATAAGCGAATTACACAAGGATAGGATTGAGAGGTCCAACCTAACAGCATTTGGGGAGGGTTGGAGGGCTTCATGGTGGTAAAAAAATTATATTATTGTTTATGGAGAGCCCGTTATGGATCAAGCATTGGATATATTAGGTTGGTGCAGAAGTAATTGCAGTTCTTGCCATTAAAAGTAGTTGCAAAAACAACAATCACTTTTGCACCAATTGAATAGATTAAGGTGAGTTTCTGGCCTTGAGAAATTTACAATCTAATAAACAAGTATATTGTGAAGTGTAAAGGAAAGCAGGACTAATCTATTGGAGAAAACCTTCCTAGGGGGTTTTCATTTGAAGAATGTCAGATCCATGAGTCATTTGGTAAACAATTACTTAGTGCTTTGTTAGGGGGCAGTTACATGTTGGTGATTCAGGGATAAAAAACCACTTCTGGCCTTTAAGAGGCTCATAATATAATGGAGGAGACAAACCAATGGCTCAACCATGACACTTACGTGTGACAAATCAGATGAAGAGATAAGAACTGGTTGCTGGGCCCTGGGTGGCTCTGGGCCCAGGCAGGAAGGAGGTTTAGTTTGCTGCTTTCTGCGGTGAGCTTTCAGGATCAACTTTCTTGGCCTACAGTAGAGGCGTCTCAGTGGAGAAGCCAAGGAGGCACACTGAGCGGAGGGAGGTTTGTCTCGGACCCTGGATGACAGATTCTTGGTCACTGTGCTAAGTGCCCAAGTTGTGACTTGTGCTGGAAAGCCCTTGTTTCTCACCCCCCGCCAGGTAGTTACCATGGCATTCATGACTTCCTTGGTTATTTCCTGTCATCATTTGTCCCCACCCATGAGTGCCTGGCTACCTCCATCTTCCGGCTGGTGGGTCTGCATGCAGGATATATCACTCCTGGTGTGAGGGGTGGACACTAGGCAGGTGAAACAGGGCTATTATGTACTATGCCCTGGCATGGGAGTGGGTACTCCTGGCCAGGATGTCAGCTGTGCCTGCCTTTTGGGCTTCGACTTCCACACAGGTCGCTGTGAGGGAAGTACAGCAGCATCCCTCAGGATGGGCCAGGGGTACGACAGCATTCCAAGGCTTGTTCTGCTCTGGGGCACTTTCTCTGGAGGCAGTTTAGTGTAGAGGATGAAAGCCTGCTTGGAGCCTACTTCTCCAAGCCTCAGTTTCCTCATCTGAAAAATGGAACTCTACTTTGTTGGATTAAAGGAAATAACTAATAGAAGGCAATAAACACAATGCTTGCTATATAGGGACAGCTAACTACACCTAGTGTTATTATCCAGTTCAGTGATACCCTCCCCCCACTTCTATGGTTTGAACAAGGCATAGCCTCCCTTAGTGGTATTCCTGTCATCGGCCTTGTTCCTGCCTCAGTGACACTGTGAGATCATAGTTCTGTCTTGTGTTAATATATCAAGCTCCTGGGCTGAGGGTGGTGGCTCACGCTTGTAATCTCAACACTTGGAGAGGCCGAGGCAGGCGGAACACTTGAGGTCAGGAATCCTAGACCAGCCTGGCAAAATGGTGAAACCCCGTCTCTACTAAAAATACAAAAATTAGCTGGGCGTGGTGTTGTGTGCCTGTAATCCCAGCTACTTGGGGGGCTGAGGTAGGAGAATCACTTGAACTGGGGAGGCGGAGGTTGCAGTGAGCTGAGATGGTGCCACTGCACTCCAGCTTGGGCGACAGAGCGAGAGTCCGTCTAAAAAAAAAAATCAAACTCCCTTTGTTTCTGTGTCTGTGGGTTGGCTGGTGGTCCCCGAGGCCTGGCCTCGTGCTCTTCCCTCTTCCTTATTTCTGCTGAACACTAAGGAACACCTCCCCAATCATTCTTCTCTTTCTAGCGCACGTCTTGTTCCCTGTCCTGTAAGTTCACAGAGTTTTCCCCCTCCACCCTCAAATTTCTGTTTCTGATCCTCACAATCAGGTCAGTGAGCTTCCTGTTAAGCATGTTTTCCCAAGCGTTTGTAGATCCTCTCGCTGTCCTTTGCCAGTAACCCGTTGCTCTGGGTAGGGAGCCCTGGTCCAGAAACCCTGCTCTCCGATACTCTGTAAAAGCCAGCTGTTCACTCCTCTCTTTTTTGCTTCCAAAGTTGTGAAACTTCAACTGGAAGAAGAAATGTAAACACCTCCTCTGCTCCCCTGATGTTTGAGCTTCCTCTTACTTGAGGACCAGAGATACGGTCTAAATGTCTTCCCCACTGTCAACTTTCCAAAGGAGATTTTCACACTCATTTCGAAAATACTTTGCTTAATTTTAGGTGTTTTAATATAGGAGCTCTAGCTTAGCTTATTTAAATTTCTTCTTTCAAGAGAAATTAGACTCATCTACATATGTACATATGCAGTGATTAAGTGCTTTTCCCAAGACAGTCAATATTATATAGAAAAGACATTTAAAGCGTGTTCAACTTACTTTAGGTATCACCCCCAAATCAAGTTTAAAATTTAATTTGTAGGAAAATTAGAAGAAAACACCACAAAGAGTTGTTAAACAAATGATTGCTTCCTACATACATACATGCAATTTACAGAATGCAATTAAGTATCTGATTGCATAAGTATATAACCACAGATGCATGCTGTTTTCTTGCTACTTTTTCCACCATTTTCTATGGAACAGAAAATAAAGTCTCTGACATTAAAGTGGTGACTGTTCAAGCTCACAAGGCATGCGGTAGTTATTAATCATCAGCTCCACTGCCCTTTTCATATGTAATAAAATGGAATCATTGTCCACATTTCGTCTCCCCTTCCTAATGTTCCCCAAATACTGGTGTAAAAGTTCAGAAGCACAAGAACTGAATTGTAATGAGGTGAGGCTGCAAGTTTAGTGTGGCAGCCTCTGATTAGAATGTAGGTATCCTGAAGGCAGAGAGACCTGCTTTCTATCTCACAGGGTTCCTTCTGAGAGCGCCCATTGGGAAGTGGGCTGACCAGCTCAGTAAGTGAGCTTGTCCAATTCCTACCCCATAGCACATCTCTCTCATGCAGCAAAACCCAGGACTGTGAATGCACAAAACATGCAGGAAGCCAAGGGGCCTGTTTTCAGTTCCCCTAAAATGCCAGAATAGCAGCCTGACCATAGAAAAATACTTACTGTAATTTCCTAACCTTTGCTGTGAATGTCAGTGTGTCAAAAGCGGGGTCCAATAGCTAGAATGAAAATAGACCTTCTAGTTCATGACAGCTCATCCTTACGGCCTTGTAGGGCAAGGAGGCTTCCACTGAAGCCATCCAATTTACAGATTTCCCTGTCCTGTGTGGATTATGACTGCCTAGAACTGTCAATGAGCTTATTATCAAGGACCTGGAGTCAAGCATCACATGGACCACTGAGCTTGCTCTGGTGGCTGTCTAGAAAACTTGATACATTTATTTTTACACTCTATATTCCTTGCCTCATGTACTTGACCTAGGAGATATCTATTATTGATCTAAGTTGGACCAAATCAGTTTATTGGCCTTTTAAGGTTGAAGAACTCAAGCCCCACTGATGAATGCAGGAGTAGAAAACTAACAAGCGTGGACTTACTGGGCATAAAAGCTGTGATTCTCAGACTTGTGGAGCTTAGGGGTGTCCACAGGCCAATACTTCTAAGATGAGTGCAGAGGGAAGTTCATCACTTCTGATGAAGGGACTATCACTGTCTGTGTCCTGACTAGCATATAGATGGGGCTCAACATGTTGAATATGTGATTAGATGAATTGATAAATGATTGCAAACATTATTGCAGGATGAAACTGAAGAAGTACTCATAATTGCAATAAATGCATCAGACCACAAGCCTCTCTCTTTGTTTAATTTTATCAGTTTCATCCAGTAGGTATTTGGCCTGGAAGAAGAGAGAGGGAGCTGAGATTTCACGACACAAAGTCCATTCAGCCAAACTTGGGCTTTTTGACATTCAACTGAACTTGGAGCCAAGCCTTTCCATTATTCTAACTTCTTACCCACTTCTGGGAGAGGTGTTCAAATATATTTCCAGATTTTGAAATGAGCCAAGGTCCTCAGAAACTGCAATTAGAATTAGGGAAATTTAAAACTTGGATCCAAATAATAACATGACCATTCAAAGAACAAATAAACCAACTCGACAGCACTCTGCTCAATGGCTTGCAAACTTAACCTACAAGGGCACCATTGGAGTCAAGGATGACATTTTAGGCCCCCTGTGGTGCAAATAAGAAACTTAAGATGAGGACTTGCAAGGGTTCAGTCTCACTGACCCAGAGAGAGTACAGGAGAGAGTCTGAGTGTCCACAGTGCCCACCAGGTCCCCAGATCCCGGCCCTGCTGGATCACCACCTATTGCCAGGCCTCCTTTACGTGCCCTGCTGACTCTGTGCAGGATCCGGTGACCCTCATGGAAAGAAGCCATGCTTCTTTCTGGCCTGCTCATTCTGCACAGTGTAGGTCTGCAGATATCAGGAGAAAAACATTTTGCCATGATCAATTGTGCAGACTCCCCACTGTTGTCAGCAGCCCCTCACCCCTTAAAATAAAAGAAAAAAATTACACACACACAAACACACACACACACACACACACACACGTCTTTAAAGGTTTGCTGGGTGCCATCTGCATGGAGCACACGTTTTCTTTGTTAGTAGAAGCACGGTGCCAGTTCAGGGTTTTACGTTGCACTGTTGACAGTTTCAGCCTTATTCTTGTGTTTAGTTACTGACACTGCATGTTTTTTCTTCCCCCTTGGTTTTGGCATCTCTGGTGTTTTCTTCTTTTTATCTGTCTCTCCCTGCTCCCTGCCCTATCCTTAGGTTTTAGACGGCTGGCTTGCTTTGTTTCTGCGTGGATTACATTACAAATGCTTGTTTGAGCTTTATTCTTCTAATGGATCTGTATGTGCTAACTTTGCTCTCCCTTCTATTTTATTGTGAGTGTCACTCTTTGCTGCCATCTTTCCAATGGTTATTTCCCCCTTTTTTCCATTTCTCAAACAAGAAGAGTTGTTTGAGGGGTCACTGTGCCCTCTCTCCAGAGAATGCTTTCAGCATCTGTGTGGATTCTCTGAGCATGTATGTGAGTGTGCACATGCGTGCATGCACTCACACACACACATGCATGCACGCACACACATCCATCTTGCTTGACTAATTGGCCATGGCTATCCTGGCATTCCTGTGGTTCTTACAGGCCCATGTGATTGAATTGGTACATTGGGACTCTTAAACCGAACACATTTAAAGGGTTGATTTAGAGAGAGCTTTGACAAAGGCTCTTTTAATTATTTTTCCTCTGCTTTGCCAGCGCACATTGCTGTAGCCGGTCAGAGGCTGGTGCCTGAATCGTTAGGGGGCTAAGCCATTAGGTGTTCCTGCTTATTCTGCAAATATAACAGGCTTATCACGTAGAACCCTGTCTCCAGCTGGTTTAAAATGTAGGTGGTGCCAGTGGGTAGCAGCTGTCACAGGCTGGGGAGCCAGGAGATGGTGGGGACGGTTCACAGTGTGAGGAAGTCAGAGTTGAGAGCTCCGTACAGTATAATGCACTCTTCCATTCTTACACCCTGGTGGCCGAGGGTTCTGACGGGCAATCTGCCTCCCCAGAGTCCCCAGATGCCACCCTCACCTTGTCAGCCAGATTCCAGGCAAGCTTAGCACTGGCTTTCAACACGTGGGGCCAGAACACTTAGCCGCATTGCAAATAATGAATAATTTATACATTTGTAATTCAAATGGTCATGGTGATGCTTAATTTAAGAGAAAAGTTGTTGTAAATGCGGGAGAAATGGATTCATTTCAGATTTTTTTTAAATTTTAAATTATTATTTTCCTTAGGTTTCAAGTTTGGGGCAGGTTCTGTTTTTGCAGCTGCTTTATCTGACTTGGCGCTGGGCTTAATGGCTTTGAGGCAGTGTTGATCAGATAGGGTGGTGCTATGGTGGGACGTTTCACTCAATAATAGGTACTGATTTGCTTTTTTCATCCTGAGAAATGAGGTGACTATAGACATTTTATTTGTTCTCTCTCTGTGGCTACGCTGGCTTCTTGCCCCAACTATGTTAGCAGATTTTTTAAAAAACATTTTATTATGAAGAGTTTCAAACACACACAGAAAGTAAGGAGACCAAGTATAAACAACCTTCACGAACCCATCACCCAGTAATAACAATGATCAAGGCGACCACTCCCATCTCACAGATTATTTTAAAGTAAATTCCACATTTTACAAATCATTTCATTTGTAAATACTTCAGCATGTTAGCAGCTCTTCTTGATTTTCAGGAAGGATGACTTATATCTTGCCCAAGGTCCAGAAAAGATTCCTCACTGGGGATGTTCTGGGGGCAATCGCAGTTTTATGGAAAGGGTGGGCAAGTGGCAAGCCGGCCTCACCCCCGAGTGACATCACATAGGAAACCAGTGTCTTGAAGGCATGCCCTGAAGTGCCTCTGCTCCCTCCACCCCTTAGCCAGTGGCCTGGCATCGTGGGCATTTGCCTTGTCTGCTTGTTGGTGGTAACATGACGCTCTTTCTCTTGCAGCCCGTATCAAGTGTTTTGAGTATCTGAATAGCCTATGTCTGGGACATCAAGGGGTCAGATTTTTCACAAGCAATCTTGACTCATTTTTTAATATTTTCAACCAAAAGTAGACTCTGAAGGTTGTAGTTAGGATAATTAAATTTTACTGGAGCAAAGAGAAGATTGTAATTAAAAAATGACCTTGACATAGTACCTAGTCATTTATAGGAAAAGGCTTAATTTAATAATTTGTTGACCATTTCTACTTTCTGTAATTCATATAACCAGGAAAGAAGAAAAATCTCTCGTTTTAATATTAAAGGTTTCTTAGAAGAAGTGAATCTTTCTTTTAGTAATATGTATGCTCCTGCAAAAACTATACCTACACTGTTTCACCAGGTTTTTTTTCTTTGAAGGGCAGTTATAAATAATTTCTGTTGGATCTGGAGTTTTCCACAGGGATTTTGAAATAAATCTGTTAGAGAACCAAATAACCCTTTTGAAAAGTGAATAACCACCCTCTTAATTCATTTGTTCATAGACTGATTCATTTATCCAACACTTTTGAGCTCTAAACACTTCGTTGATTTGTACATTTTATAAATTTGGGTTTAGGTGCACCCAGCATTGTCTGTTTGGAATGTTGCTTTTCTAAGCAATGGCCTCATGGAACTCAATAACTGAAATGATTACACTGGGATAAAAGTACATTGATATTAGGAAAATGCAAGTGTCTTACATTTGTTTTTGCACCTAGTATCTTACAAAAACGAAACAAAAACACAGCATTAAGTGAACAGACACTGCTTTGTGGTGGGATTTGAAGGGTCCAAGAGCTGCCCATCTTCCTATCTTTCTGCTTTCTGACTTGTTCCCGAGGAGGCTCAGTTAAGATAAAACAGTTTTTACCAGGGAAAGGAAGAAAATATTATTGTAGATTTCTAAGAATAAATCATCAGAAGTAAGCACATCAGGGTGTGTGAGCATCACACAGCAGTATCTGCGGAGGTGGGGACTGACCACGGAATAGGGATTGGAGAGGATTATGGATGCCAGTTAATGGTTTTTATGCATGGACAGACAGACTCACACCCGAGGACTAATAGGACCACGTTCTTTGGAGTCACTGAAGAGCGGAAGCACGCGGGTCCTCGCACTTCTCCTACCCGTTAAGTTTTGATTCACTCTCAGCCTACAGCCATGCCTTCACTGGAGCTATTTTCTGTGTCCTATAATGGGCAGGCCTTCCTCCAAATCCAGGTGCCCGAGCTATACCAAACAACAGTCTCCACCCTGGATGGCTAGGGAGCGGGATCCTCTCATTCATTCTCACTGATCTAAGCCCAGTTTAATGAGAGCCCCTCTATGTTCCTGGTGGTGGCTGTTGTGTACTTTTATGAATCGCTTTTGTCCTGGGGCAGTTTAATCCCTTGTTTCGCTTCAGAGCTTCTGAGAGCACAGGCCTCAGTGGGACTCAAGCCCCTTTCACTTCAGCGACCCTCCTGGGCCTCATGTCTGCTTGTGTTCCCTTGCTTATTCTGCTTGAACTTTTAGTGCTTTGATCTCGGATTCTTAGCTGTTAGTATTCCGCTTCTCAAATTCTGCTTGTTTTTGGAATACTTGAAATGTTTTAGTCTGTTATTTCCCAATTTTTAAGCAATGGGAGTACCTAACACCAAAACATACATTTTCATTCACAGCCTCCAGCAGGAAGAATGGCTGCTTTTCACCGACTGCCTCGTGATTTTTATAGCGGGTGGAGTTTACTTGGAATCTGTCCAGTTTAAAAATTGTGTCCCCTATCATTGGCTATGGGACAAATAAAATTCCCATTTGTATTCTAACACCATGATTGATCCACAAGAGGGAGGGAAGCCCAAAGGGAGTTCCCCAACTGTCCTTTGCCCTGCTCTGTCTGACTCTGCCTGCCAGCTGCAAGAAGATGTTGGCTTTATTTCTTTTTCTGCCTGGTATTCCATGGGTCATGTCAAAAAACCTTGGACTACCTCTGGAATCTGACAAACTCTAAAAAATTTCCCTTAGACATAGAATTTCACTTCTTTTCATTAATAGATCCATATTCTTTTTCTTTCCAATATTCTTTTTTTTTTCTTTCCCCCGCTAGTCAAGTACCTTCCAATTATCTGATGTACAAATTGGATCTAGTTATGGTAAAACTGTCAAACACAGATGGATTTTGATGGCCTACAAGCAACTTCTCAAGTTGATATTACTGATATTTCAAAAAGTTTGTGTTCCTGTTGCCTGCTTTTCGAATAATTACAAGTTTTCCATTTCCGGTGTTTGGCGTATAAGCTCCTGAAAGCAGAGTCAGTGTCTTCATCTTGTTGTTCAATTTGGCTGTAATGTCTGTAGCAAATTGCAGTCCCAAATATGTTTTAGCTAAAAATGCCAGCTTCACAAAACAGTATTAATAGAAAAGTATTATAAGAAATTTTAAGCACTTGACCAAAACACAAATTCCAGAAAGAGACCAATTAATTCCAACATCCTTTATATACATAGAACTGAAAAATGGCTAAAAAGCAGCATATGCTATCAATTACACTGGCACTTTCTAAAAAATGTGTATGTAGAAGAAAATACCTTAATTCCTTTGTCAGTTCTCCGTTTATTTTTCAAGGGCCTGCTTAACTCCAACATAAAGGTATGTAGGATGGCATTAACCTACGTATCAAACTACGAGTTGAAAAGGGAAAGCAAAGTATATTCTTACATGCCATTTTAGGACTGGTTTCTTCCTGTTGCTCTTTTGTTCTTTGAGACATTTGTGCTCTCCCTTACCTCTTGTGGCACTGTGGGCTGGCACTCTTCCCTGGACAGGCACCAGACTTTAGCAGGATGAATATTTCCTTCATGTCATCTGAGTGAGAACCGCCGTAAGTGGTGCCACAAGTTATACTAAACCAAGGATTACCAGGAGCCAAAGCATAACAGGATCCATCATTTCAGAGTTCAGCCCAGGAGCCTGTGATATACATGTCAGCATTTGACAGTACAGATAGGAAGAGTTACGGGAAAAATCCGTGCCATTTGACTTGATCCAGGAAAAAGTTTTTGGAGTTTCAGAGGTTAAAATTAATGAATTTTTGCTAAAAAGTTCCTCCTCTTCTAAAAAGGGAGGCTTTGGCTATCTTCCAAAATGATTGGGTCACTGTATTGTAAGATAATACTTAAATGCAATTAGCTCCTTGTACTATTCAAAGTGTGTGCCAGGAATACATGATTACATTTCGTTCATTATCACCCTTCCCGACTCATGGGCTGCTATAAACATCATTTTCTTCCAAGGTCAGCTGTAGTTACTGCACTGAGAACTGTCCAGGCATATTGAACTTTGGAACTGGGTCCAACATGCCCCTTTAAAAGGTGATCACATTGTTTTTCCCTGCTTTCCATTTCTGAAAAGATGAAGTTTTGGCCAGTGGGTACTCTACATATCTGGCTGCAAAGAGGTTACTAGGAGCCAAGCAATGTGGTGCCTAATTTCAGCATTCACTTAAGTAAAGTTATTTATGACAGTCTCTACAGTTTTTTTTTTTCTTTTCCTAAAGGGGGAGGTGTGTAGTCTCAGCCAGATTAAAGGAATATTTACATTCAGCCTCAGCTGCTGATGCTTTTAAAATATGGCTTTGAAGGTTTAAACTAGGGATGGTATATAAAAAATGGAATTACATGTCCAGAAAATGCAAGCAGTCATTGAAAGCATCACTAAATCAAGTACTCAAATGGTAATACAGCTTAACATTTTTTTACATAAGCAGCTGAAACAACATGAGAACTCTCTAAAACGGTAGGGGCAATCAGTCTGTATCAGGCATTTAACCCCCAAAGCCACAGAAAACCTGCATAATGGGGACTGGAGTTGAGAGAATTGTCATTTTTATCCATCCAGCTTTTCAAATTGAAAGTATTTTCCAACAGATTAGGACAGGCCGGGAATCTGGATCATACTCTACAAAATAGCAAGACAATGGACAGCAAGAACACAGGCTATAATTTGGAAAATCACAGGGGTTCTTAGAATCATTTCATGTCAGAGCTGGACGAGTCTTAGAAATCAGTTGTTTTAATTTCTGTTTAGCTGCACAGATTCTGCAAACTAAAACAAACAAAAGAGGTACTGGAAAAGACTGACTGAGATGTCCTCATCGACAGGTCACAAAGCTCTGAGAACCAAATTCCACCACAGAAACATAAAACAGACTCAGGTATCTGTAATAAAATAGAGCTGGTGAATCCTCATTGTCTTACCCAAAAAGCTTTTTGTGAAGAAACATTCCTTTTGAATTTAATAAGATAGTCTTTTGAGTTTGTTTTTTGTAAACTCAATATATTTCAATATTTCATGTGGCATGCTTGTTGCTACTTAACAAAAAAGAATTTTTTTATTAGACTTGATCTTAGTTTACAAAATGAGTTTGGTACAGGAAATAATGAATAGAAGGGGGCAGTTATCACAATCTAATAGAAAGATGGATTTATAATACTCTCTTTTTTTGGTTAACTTTGCTTATTAATTAGTAATTCCTAACAGATGTGATATGGATTACTTAGGAAAAAGTGATTCTAGAAAAGTAGCTTTTCTAACTGCATAGAAACCTGAGATGTGAAAGAGAGAGATTGAGAGAGAGACACAGTCTTGCGCTGCTGCCTATGGCCAGGCATCAGCAAGAAAAGTGTAGGTCACACTTTGAATCATCTGTGAGTTCCTGATTTTCAAAGGGAGTAATTGTTATATAGTGTATTAGCCAGGGATCTCCAGAGAAACAGAACCAATGGCACATATAGAGATATGAAAAAAAAGTTTCTTTTTTTTTTTTTTTTGAGACAGAGTCTCGCTCTGTTGCCCAAGCTGGAGTGCAGTGGGATGATCTCAGTTCAGTGCAACCTCCGCCTCTCAGGTTCAAACAATTCTCCTGCCTCAGCCTCTTCAGTGGCTGTGACCACAGGTGCCCACCACCATGCCTCGCTAATTTTTATATTTTTAGTAGGGACAGGGTTTCACCATGTTGGCCAGGCTGGTCTCCAACTCCTGTCCTCAAGTAATCTGGCTGCCTTGGCCTCCCAAAGTGTTGGGATTACAGGCATGAGCCACCACGCCTGGCCAGGAAAGGTTTATTATGAGGGATTGGCTCGTGTGATTATGGAGGCTGAAGAGTCCCACAATCACCTGTTTGCAAGCTGAAGGCCCAGGAAAGCTGGTGGTGTAATTCCAGTCCAAACTGGAAGGCCTGAGATCCAGAGAGGCCGATGGTGTAAGTCACAGTCATAATCTGGAGGCCAGAGAATCAGAAGTGCTGATGTCCAAGGGAAGGAGAAAATGGCTGAATGGCTGTTCCGGGTTAGAGAGAGTGAATTCTCCCTTTCTCTACCTTTTTGTTCCATTCGGGCCGTCTACAGATTGGATAAGGATCACTCACATTGGTGAGGGCAATTTTTACTCAGTCTACTGACTCAAATCTTAGTCTCTTCCAGAAATATCCAGGCATCCTTTAGTCCAGTCAAGTCGACACATAAAATTAGCCATCACACATACATTTATGTGGTCAAGAACGGGTGAGTAACTTTGCCTAAGTCTGGTAGTGGGAATGGAAATCAGGGGTTGGAATGCTGGCATTTCCCAACATCAGACCTGGGCTCAGACAATCAGAAACTCACTTCTCCCCTCCTTCATTCCAGGACTGATTATCTAGCAGAGCATATTCTACTTAGGCTTCATAAACAAAGTCCTCCCTTTGCCCTTGCCCTTCTTCCTAGACTACACAGAAGGACTTTTACCTGGCGAGTTAAGAGCCACAATCAGAGAGTGCGTTAAGTGTTTCACTGTGAGAAGGACAGGGACAGAAAAAGCCTGGCTTTTGAGAGTTCTCTCTCAGTTGGCTGTAGCAGTGGCTCTCTGTGATGCCCCAAGCCCTTTAAGGGGAGCCATGAGGTCAAAACTATTTTTATGATAACACGGAGATGCTATTTGCCTTTTTTACTGGGTTGACTTTGCACTGATGATGCAGTAGCCATGGAGGCGGATGAAAATGGCTGTGTTTTAGGACAAGTCAAGGCAATGGCTGGCAGCAAGCTGTGGTAGCAGTCATTGTGCTCATTGTTACACTCTGGCTTGTAAAATATGCTAGTGTCACTTAAGAATGCCCTTAGGAAGCAGTAGAAATTAATTGTAGTAATCTTGACCCTTGGTTACAGGTCTTTTGAGTATTTTCACACAATACTCATACATAAAGCACCTCTGCTGCTTATATTAATATAAGTGCCATGGTGGGTGGGAGGAAGACTGCTGTGTGGTTGTTGAGTTGTGAGCTAAACGTGCTGCTTTGTTTGAGGAGCACCATTTTACTTGACAGAATGACTGACAGGCAAACTGTGGTCATTCACAGTTGGCTACATGGCAGCAGTTTTCTTGAAAATAACTAAGTGAAGTTGTCATCTCAAGGAAAATAACTGACATTATTTGTTGCCAATGATACAATTCAAGGTTTCAAGTGGAAATCAGATGTTTTAAAAACTTGAATCTTCAGCCAGGCATGGTGGTTCACGCTTGTAATCCCAGTGCTTTAAGAGGCCAAGGCGAGTGGATTGCTTGAACCCAGGAGTTTGAGACTGGCCTGGGCAACATAGCAAGACCCTGTCTCTACAAAAAATGCAAAAATTAGCCGGGCATGGTGGTGTGTGCTTATAGTCACAGCTACGCGGGAGGCCGAGGTGGGAGGATTGCTGGAGCCCGGGGATCAGAGTTATAGTGAACCAAGATTGCGCCACTGCACTCCAGCCTAGGCGACAGAGCAAGACTCTGTCACAAAAAGCAAATGAACAATCAAAAACCCAACTTGAATTTTCCACTGTGGGCCTGACAGCTTCCCAAAACTTCAGAACTTTTCTGATGCTATTTGTAGTGATATTAATAGATGTAATCTTTGGGGATATTATATAATACAATATGCCAACATTTGGAAGATCTGAATAGCTCAGTGAGCTTCCAAATGACCAACGCATGGTGTCCCGTAATCGTGTGTGTATTCATAGTGAAATATAGTCCAATGGAGTTTAAAGTAACAGAGCAGGAAAAGTTCATTGATAATGAATTTGATTCCATTTGCAATTAATCTTTTTAAAAAAACTACCACTTGTTGAGTTTTGAGTTTTTGAATGGCATTAAAGAAGGATATCCACAAGTATCTGAAAGGTTTATAAAAATATTCCTCCTTTTTCCAACTACATATCTGTATAGAGCTGAATTTTCTTTACATATTTCAACCAAGACAGCGTAACAGATTGAATACAAAAGAAGGTATGAGAACCCATACGCTGTCTTCTATTAAGTCAACCATTAGAGATTTATAAAAACATACACATCTTACTCATTTTTTTAAACATGGCTTAAGCTTCATGAAAATGTTATTTATGCAAACGTGATAAGGTTATTATTTTTAAAAAATAAATTAATCAATTGTTTAAAAATTTCCCAGTTTTAAATTCCAGAATGGTATATGTCAATGGATCTGACCCACATAAACAAAAGTTCTTTGGGGTTTTCGATAATTTTTAAGAGCGTAAAGAGGTCCTGACATTGAAAAAAATTGAGAATTGCTTGTCTACAGAGTACGGTAAGGGTCTCTTGGGACTTTCAGGTCTATCAGAAACACACTGGGAACTATCAAAAGTAATGAAAGAATCTGGCCAGTCAGGATATGGAGAATAATTTCTTTGAAACAAGAGTAAACTGTTTCTAGGATACCACATCAATGCATAAGGTGCAGCGGGTGAATCAGAGCCACTGATTAAAAATAAAGGCAACATAAAGTACTGGGTAACTTTGAAAACAAAACAGCACAGACTTCTCTGACTTTAGTTGGTCATAAGAAATTTTCTCCAGCTCTTCATTTTTAAAAAAGAGAAATAATTTAAAGAGCAGGTTTGAATGAACAATAACTCAGTTGGTATCTCAATAAGGCCACTTTACTAGCGGGCAATCTGGGCAAACTAGTCTCTTAAGTTTGACCTTAGTTTCCTTATCTGTAAAATGGGGTAATAACACATACAGTTGTTAGTTATAAAGTGTGACACTGTTTACTTATATACTTGTCCCAGTACACACACACACACACACACACACACACACACACACAAATGTTAAAATATGAAACACTTGGTAAGCAAAAGTTAACCCTGGAAGCGGATTTGGCACAACTATGGGAAATGGTGGCCTTGCCTCATTGAGAACAGAGATTTTCTAACTGTGAAGCTTCTGGGCTCTGCAGTGGTTTGAATTTTGGGAAGTGTTCTGTATGTCCTTTAACTATCTGGTTGTCACTGAACGCTCCCAGCCCAATCATCCCCAGAGACTATTGTAATTAGTAACTGAGTAAGTGACAATGAAAGAGGGTTTATAAAGAAAATATATGCCATCCAAACAGAAAGTTCACAAGTTTCCTGGACACAGCTCTTTCTTTTCTAAATCTGTTTTTTGCTGGCAGGATGCAAGCAGTCTCTTTCCTTTACAGTCACAGATTTCAATGGCATTTTAAAAAGTACTAGGTCTCCTTTCTTTACTCACAGTGTGCATTTCCCAGGCATTTCTACAGAAGTTCAAACAGACTTCAGACACAAGATCACAGAAGATCCTTTCTCCAGAAACAATGACTGTTTCCTGCCTTACCTGCATTCTCAGTTGGTTTGCTTTGGAGGAATAAACTTAGTCTCAAATCCTTCTTCATCCAGGCAGTCATATTGAAACTGGATCAGATGGTGTTTAGATCTTTACAGCCTGTGGCCCTGAAGGAGTTCACCTCACTGAGCATTAGTCTTCTCATCTGTAAGAATATAAGAGTGTCTTTCAACCCCTACCCTGACCCTGTCCCACTGGAGGGCTTGCTTCTAAGAGGACAGCTCCTTTTGGAAGCATGAGCCAGAGACCCAACTTGAACCAGTGTCAGTCCAAGACTTGGATTCTCTTTTCAGGCTTAATGCCACTCTTCTTTTGCTTGTTCTTTCATCTTCTTTTAAATCTTAATTCCAAATGAGTCTCTTTTTTGTCCCTGATTAAGCCTTTTAATAAATCTTTTTTTCCTTGAATGAGTATTAATCCTTTTCCCTGAATAAACATAAAACATGTGCAGTGTTCTTTTGGCCTTCTGCAAGAATACATTGTTCTGTGTGGCCAAGAACCAACCTATCCGAGTACAAAATTTACTGCAAAGAATTTTTAGGTAGTGTCAAACAAGAGCCATTGAGGGCTAACTAACAATAAGCTTTCTACTCTTCTTTAAAGATTTGTCTAGTATATTTTTTAAGACTAACAAATCATCACTGAGTGCAGAAAGCCCAAAATTGCTCAAATAAGATGCATACCAGGTTAGTATGCAGTTCTGCAGCTCAGGGACCTAGGCTCCTCTTGTCTCGTAGTTCTGCTATGAATGGCCTCCATTCTCATGGTTGTTGTCATATTCTGAGACTGTTGCTCCAGCTTCAGCTTTTGCCTCCATACTTAACATTTCAGACTCCAGAAAGGAGGAAAAGGAAGTCCTATAAGAATTTTATTTTCCCCCAAGAAAAAATGCATAAAGTAGTTAAAATTACATCCCATTGGCCAGGACTCAGTCACATGGCTGTATCTAGTAGCAAGGGAGTCTGGGAAATGCAGTCTTTATTCCAGGCATCATGTGCAGGCTAAAAAGGGGAGAGGATTCTATTACTATACAGGAAGAGAAAACTGGGTATTGGGAGGCAACTAACAGCCTCTGTCACCAGTGGTTTTTATGCTGGTCTCACCATCTGGCCAGGAAGGAGAGATACAACAGGCTAAACCCAGAGTTGCCAAACTTTTTCTGTAAAGGGCCAGCTAGTTAATATTTTAGGCTTTGTGGCCATGCTGTCTCTGTTTCAATCACTCAACTCTGCTATTGTAGTGAAAACATGCATTGACAATATGTAAATGAATGTGTGTGGTAGGATTTGACACTTGGGCCTTAATTTGCTTACTCCTGAGCTAAACAGTAATACTAATACTAAAATTAAGACATATTCTTTACTTACTGTGAATGTGCGAGGCACTGTGCTGAGCTGAGCACCTCACAGACATTTTCTTAATTTCCTACAAAAACTCTGTGATGTAGGTAACATCATCATGATCATCACCAGTTTTATCTATGAGGAAACGGAGGCATGGAGAAATGAAATGATTTGCCGAAGGTCAATAGTTTGTAAGTGGCAGATGGGTTTTAAGTGGAGACATCAACTCTGGGACCCATTCCTACCTTTCTCTCTGAGAAAGTCTGGGCAAGGGGGCAACCAGAGGTTCATGACCAGGGATTTGCTCCAAGGCAGTGAATTTAGGAGGCACAAAAGACTTAAATAATGACTTTAAAAGTTTAGTACCTAGTTAGCAAAAATAGTTGGTTGAAGCTGTTAGACAGAGCGTTGGTAAGAAACCTCGCTGTGGGCCGCATCAAGAACTACTTTGTTGATTTAAGGGCTTAAGTGATCTTCTGAGAACCTTAATGTCTCCAAATCAAGGTAACTGGCTGTGTGTCGGTATTGGTGGGGCTTTTAGGGTGAGGGCCCCACTGCAGGTAGCTGTGACTAGGTCGGGGCTGCTGTGTACTAGCATGTGACTATGAAGAGAGCAGGAAGTGACATGTGTAGCTCCATAGGGCTGCTCAGGTCACGGTCTGAATTTCCATATGAGGTGGTCTAGTGGCCGGAGAAGGCAGAAGGAGACAGAATTCCAGGAACTGGGGAAAGCCTGGATGAATGAGAGAGGTGAGAGCCCCAGGGAGCTTTCTTTTCTTTTGTTTTTTAAGACAGGCTGGAATGCAGTGGCACGAACTCAGCTCACTGCAGCCTCAACCTCCCAAGCTCAAGCCATCCTCCCTTGTAGCAGGGACTACAGGCAAGTGCCACCACACCTGGCTGAGTGTTTTTCCTTTCTTTTTTTTTTTTTTTTTTTTTTTTTTTTGCAGAGATGGGGCTCTGCCTTGTTACCCAGGCTGGTCTCAAACTCCTGAGCTTAAGTGATTCACCTACCTCAGCCTCCCAAAGTGCTGGGAGAGCTTTATTTTCAAATAAAGGGCAAGACATTTGATTCGGAGGAGAGATAAAAGAGAAGGTGCCCCCAGATCTTGCTGCTAGAGTAATGCTTGAACCCAGCAGAAAACCCTCCTTCTCTGTAGGAAACTGGCAAGTCTATATTTTTAGCACCTAGCAACCTTGTATGACATACTAAGATTGCCCTCCAATGATGCTATCTCCAGGGAGGGCCGTTTAGCTAAGCAGAGCATGGGCCTCCTTGGCTGGAGCACTGACTTTGCCACCACAAGGCCTAAAGTTCCTTTCCAGCTCTTCATAATTTCTGGAAAGCCACCTGATTTCTCAAATCAGGGATAATTTATTATCAATAATCTGAACATTACATATGGTTTGCAGAGCAGCTGCATGTGTATTATTTCATTTGATTTTCATAACAACTCTGAAGAGAAGTGGTGAGCAAAATGAAATTAACACATATGGCTCTCAAATGCTAGGTGTGGCTGGTTTGATACTTTGCTGTGTACCATCTCATACAGTCCTTCAGCCATCCCGGGAGGTAGGCCATTATTATGTGCCTATTTTAAAGATGGAAAAGTAGACTCAGAGAACTTAAATAATCTGTCCAAGACCTGACGACTCACAGCTGGCATGTGATATTGCTTGACCTTGAACCCCATCTTCTGAAATCAGTTTCAGAGCCCCTCTCACTATTGTTCAGCCGTGGGTGCCCACAGAATGCACAAAAAGGAAGTAAACACTGGTGGATGTCAAGGACTTGGGCGGAAATCATCCTACCCAAATTCCAGAGCTACTGGTTCAAATAAAATTTAAAAACAACAACAGTCCCTGAAGAGAAGTAACCTGTGCAGGAAAACCGAGGGGCCTCTCAGTGGGTGCAGATCAGGCCTGGACATGTAGGGGCTCAGTACACCCTTCTTTAGTAATGGAGACCTGTGGCTGGGGACGGTGGCTCACACCTGTAATCCCAGCACTTTGGGAGGCTAAGGCGGGTGGATTGCTTGAGCTCAGGAGTTCGAGACCAGCCTGGGCAACATGGTGAAACCCCATCTCGGCCAAAAATACAAAAATTAGCCAGATGTGGTGGCATGTGCCTGTGGTCCCAGCTACCTGTGAGGCTAATGAGGAAGGAACGCTGGAGCCTGGGAAGTTGAGGCTGCAGTGAGCTGTGATCATGTAACTGCACTCCACCTGGGTGACAGAGCCAGACCCAGTCTCAAAAATAAATATATAAATAAATATATTTTTTAAGAAAAACAGTGAAGGCCTGTGTTCCTGATGGAACAGTGAACCTAACCAAGAAACAGTTGTTAATTTATTCATTCACCCATTCAACTGACATGTATTGAGAGTCACACTGTTCAGATGCAGGACACAAGAAGGCTGATGTCCAGTGACTACTTTGCAGTCAGGCCAGCTGAGGGTTTACAGATGGGCATCCCTTCTGATGGGTTGGAGTCTATGCCAGACCTGTTGTTAAATAATTTGGATACCACCACTAGATATAGTAATAAACAAGTTCCTGCCCTTGGGGCCTTATACTTTCATGAGGGGAGAGAGCTGATTTAAAGTCAGGCAGTGGTAAGAGCCATAATACCAATAGGACAGGGTGATGTGATGAAGGTGCATTAGGCATGGTAATCCTGAAAGGCTTTTCTGAAGAGGTGATATTTAAGCTGGCATCTAACATCAGGAGGGAGCCGGCCTCTGCAAGAAGGGCATCTCATGGAGAGGGAACAGCCACTGCGAGGGTCTGAGGTGGGAATAAGGCTGGTGTGTTTGAGACAGAAGGAAGTTCAGTGTGACTGGAGCACAGAGGGTGCGGGAAAGACAGGGGTACACAGGAGGAGTGGGGAGGGTGTGGCTGATTCACACAGGGCTCTGAAAGTGTTTGAAATTTCCTCTAAGTTTCAAGGAAACCATCGGAGGGTCTTAAACAAGGAGTGACATGATAGGATTTATGTTCCTAGATGATCACGTGGGTTGCAGTGTGGAGAATGGATTCTAAGGGGGCAAGACTGGATGCAGGGAGACTTGCTGGGAAGTTTTATAGTCATCTGGAGACTGTGACATGGACTGTGGAGACAGCCATGGTGATGGAGTGAAGTGGATTGCTTTGGGCTATATATTGGGTATGGAGTTGACAGCTGATTTGGACATATTGGAAAGGGAGAGGAATTGTGTTTGCCTCCGAGTTTTCGGGCCTGAGCAGTGAAGATGGAGAAGAGCAGGAAAGAGCAGGTTTTTCTGTGTCAGATAAGTTAAGTTTGAGATGCCTGTTAGATGAGTAAGTCAATGTGCTTTTATGTGCAAGACTTGTGGTATAAAAAGTAAACTACATAGATAACATGAAGAATCTCAGTCACATGATTGTAAAGGATTTCTTAAGGCTATTGCTGTGTAAGTGTGATAACATGTCAACACTCAGGGAAACTCTAAGGTGGTTATTAATTTTGGAGGCTATGATGTGCGCAGGAGAGTAGTAGAAGAGATACAGGAGAAGCTGGTGAGAGCCAGCTCATGAGAAGCCTCGTAAGGAGATGATGGGGGAACTACTGAAAAGATTTGAATGAAGAATGATGTGACCACATTGAGTGTTTTAAAAATCATTGTGAATGCAATATGCAGGAAAGATTGGAGGGACGTGAGGCTGGAGTCAGAGTGAACAAGGAAGATTTATTGCCATTGGTCCAGGTGATGGATGACAAAAGCTGGAACTCAGCTGATGACCACACAGAGGAAGCAGAGTGAGCAGATGCAAAAGATTTTCAAAAGACAGATGTGACTGTATTCGGGGATCTTTTGGCTGTGAGTGTGACAGTTTTCAGCGTGGGCGCCTGGGTAGATGCTGGGGCAATCAAATGAGATCCAGAGCATAGGTCCATGAGGACAGGGGTGGATCTTATTCTATTCTGTTTTTCTGGTGCCAACCCTTGTGCCCGTTTTCACTCTGAGGAGCTGATTGGCTTTAGCCTTTCCACTAAGTTCTTCCTCATTCAAGAAAGCCTTGTTCAATGAATTAGCCGAGAGCTAAATGGGATACCTGGGGCAACAGCAACATTTAAGAAGGCATTAAAGAGACTTGGTAGGTGTTAGGGGAACCAGAAACCTGGAGAACCAGGAACCAGCAGAATGGAAAGTGAAGAAATGGTCAACAGCCGTACTGAATGCCAAGGGAAGGTCAAATGAGACAGGGATTTACAAGTGTTCTTCAGGTTAAGGCAGCAGCAGTGTTAACCAGAGCAGCTTCAGTGGTGCAGCGAAGGTGGAAGCCAGGCAGTGGTGGGTGGAGGAATGAACAGGACAGGAAGTGGAAAATACTTGGCTGAAAAACTTGTGGGCAGTGTGGACAGAGTTGGGAGTTTTCTCACTCGTTTCTCAGTTTTCTCTGTGAATTAGGAGGAAGCAGATAGTCTACTGAAGCTGAAGGAAGCCATGTGGAAGATTTAAAGTCAGCAGTCAGTTGAAAAAAAGAGTTTTAGAAAACTCAACTTTGAGAAGTAGAAAACTTTGATAGAGACTTGAGTTTGACCTTGAGTTAGCCAAAGTGCAGAGACATGAAGTCTTCTACTTGAGGTCATAGAATATGTCTCTGTCTGAACTCAGAATTAATCCTGGGGGGAAGAGGGTACACTTGAATGCCTCTGCTCTTGATTTTGAGCTTGGTACCTTTGGACTTCGGTTTCATTTAGTATTCCAGGTCAGGTCAGTTTGTTGTTTTCCGTTTATAGGGTTGATTCACTTTAGCACTTCCAGTAAACACAGAATAGCTTGCATTTGGACTTCTATCCACTGCTGACACCAGTAGAGGCTGGGAGGCTGTTAGGCATTCTAAGTGCGGCCCTTCAGAAAGAGACGTTACACTCTTGTTTCTTCTGATAGATGTTGGTAGCTGTCCAGAGAAAAGTTAAAGTTCCCATTGCTTTTTCCAGAAAGAGTAATGGGGAGCCCTTGTGTTCCAGCCAACAATCCCTCTTCTCAATAAAACAAATAGGTTCTAATGCTGGCAGCGTTCGAAGCTGTTGCTGAGAACATAAAGGCTGCTCTGTCTCACTCCGTGGTAAATATACAGCAAACATTTAACTCATTACTAGATAAATCACACTGAGATGACTCAGAAGAAGATGTGTCTGGTACCGGCTTTTAATTTTTTTTTAACCTTGATGAATATATTTCTCCTTTCTTGACTAATTCATTCGCCAATACTTAACTAAATGTATTTAACAACAGCAATTTAAACAAGGCAACTAATGAGAGAGATGAATTGTTTAAGGAAAATATGTGGCAGAGATTCTTCATGCTCACCCAGTGGTCAGGTGTCCCTCTCCCTTTCCAAGCCTTCATGGGCCAGGTGGGTCTTGGACAATTCTGGCCAATGGGAAAATGGACAGGAGTGAGATGAACATTTCTAGGTAGGCCTGGCACTGAAAATCTTCCTGTGGATCCTCTAGCTCTCTTTTCCCTTCTATGATGATCATGGAGACCATGTGCTGTAGTTGGAATATATTTAAGATGGAGGAGGGCCGCCCAATTTGTATCAGGCACTATGTGATCAAGAAGTAAGTCTTTATTGCATTAAGCCATTGAGATTTCTTTTTTTTAGAAAACTGTTACTGACAAAGCCTATCCCAACCCAATTAATACATAAATCAAATGATATCACCTTATCAGGGAAGACAAGGTCCTTTATAAGTCCCCAGAGATAGCAGACGCCAGAAGGAAATAGAAGAGTTATCTATCTCAGAGCTGTCTAGACAAAGGTCTGCTTTGACTTAACAGCAGAGTCTATACATCTGTAGAAATTTCCAGAGGTCTTTGCATTTAGTTGTTATTGTGGACTATAGTATATTTCTTTGAGGCTTTCAACCATCAGCTAGCAGTCAAAAGAATGACCATTTATGGTCATTTACTCATGTGCTGGCATTTCCCAAGGCCACATTCGCCTATGAGTAAACAGTGGTTGTGATCACAATAGCCTCCCACGGTTCCCTATCTCTTTTTGCTGCCCAGTGGTACAGGTCCTGTTATGGGGCATCTCTATAGGATGCCTCCCATGCAATACTGAACAAGTCTGATCATCTACAGCTCTCAAATGTCATGCTCATTTGTTCTCTTCTTTTGTGGCAGGCCCCTCCATGGGGTACTAGGTTTCTGCCAGGTATTCCTTCCTGCTCACCCTGTACATGCCTATTGCTGAGTCTGTCTGAGGCCATCAGGGACCACCTGTAGTTCGGCGTTACTTCCGTTTTTGCTGGGCACAACCGGTAGATAAACTTAGTGAGAACACAGTGCTGTACTCAGACTTACTTCCTCCTACAATGACTAAGTCAAGTCATCTGTCTCTCATTTTCTTCACTTTTAGAATACATTTTATCCAAGAGACTTTTGTCAGGTCCACCTCACCAGTTTTCCAGATACATGCCAGACACGTTGAATCTAGCCCTATTTATGAGGCAAACAGTGAGCCCTGTGACACCTGTAATTATCATTCTCTTAAACATTTTGTTAATGTTGATGTTAGAAGTTTACTAAGCTTCCTAGGAGATTCTTAACCATTTTTCTTCACTCTTTGACTCTCTTTGGCCTAGGCCCTTCCCATTTTGTCTGCATGACTCCAGGAGGGACAGTGCAATTTGGAGATTAGGAAACAGATGACTAGGGACTCTGGGTCCCCTCACTGGGCCACAGTCTGGATAACACCTTCCTGCTATCTACCCACTACAAATAGAGCCCCAGACTTAGTGTCACACTCTGAATCTGGGGTTATGTCTCGAGGACTCCAGTCCTTTTCTGCCCATTTCTACAACATATGACTCATCTAAATCTGCTCCCTGCAACCACAGCTAGCAACAAGCTGGTCTGAGAAGGCTGGCTTTGCATGGGATTGTCTCTGTTGTTTGTCAGTCTATTTAAAACACTCAGTACAATTGTCAGGAAATATGCTTTGACTGCCTGGAAGAAAAGCAGGAGTAGTAAGCAAGTCAGTGCTTTGAAAAACCTACAAATATCTAAGAAGCCCTCTCAATCACCTTTTGTTTATATCCAGATATGCAGAGCCTTATTTGACCTATTTCCTCATCAGCAATGGATGTGTTTTATTGAGGTCCTCCTACGTGCAAGACATTCTATAAAATTCCTTGCATGTATTTTCTCATTTTTCATGAAAACTGTGTTGACTAAATGTTATCTCTGTTTGGCAGAAATGGAGATTGAAGTTCAGAGAATTTAAGTACAAGTAGTAGATGGCAATGCTGAGACTGAAACCCAGGTTTATCTTTTTCTTAAGCCTATGTATTTTTTTAAAAACTATGCTGTGCTGTTGTAGATGAAAGTTTCTAATCACTCCAGCACTACTTATCTACCCTGTGCAGCTATGCCTGGGCTTACTATAAATGTTCAGAGCAGTCTTGAGCCCTTTCAGCTCTGTCTCTTCCATGCCCTCTGCCAATGTGGAGGGGTAGATGAGCCTCCTCCTTCTTACTGGTCTTGGACAGCAGGAGTAGGAGTGAGGATTAAAAATAATAGATCAAATGCACTCACACATCTCCCAAGAACGAACAGTAGGATATGGTTTGGATATTTGTCCTGCCCAAATCTCATGTTGAAATGTAGTCCCCAGTGTTGGAGGTGGGGCCTGGTGTTTGAGCCATGGGGGCTGATGCCTCATGACTTGGTGCTGTCCTCACAATAGTGAGTGAGTTCTTATGAGTTCTGGTTGTTTAAAAGTGTGTGGCACCTCCCCAACCCCTGACTCTTTCTTTTACTCCCACTGTCACCATGTGAGATGCTTGCTCCCCCTTTGCCTTCTGCCATGATTGTAAGCTTCCTGAGGTCTCCCCGGACATCATGCAGATGCTAGCACCATGCTTCCTGTACGGCCTGCAGAACAGTGAGCCAATTAAATCTCTTTTCTTTATAAACTACCCAGCCTCAGGTTTTCGTTTTTTTTTTTTTTATATATAGCAATGCAAGAATGGCCTAACACACAGTAATTCTCAAAAATATCACATTTGGAAAGAGTGGCATATTTCCTAACATGAAACACCCTCTGCATGGATTTCCCCCATCCACAGTGTAACATGTAAAGCAATTACTTAGTCAATGGGTAGTGCCATTACCTTCTTTATTCACATGCCTGCTTCAAAATTCTCCACTCTTTCATCTCTACCTTCCCCCTTCTATGTCCAGGAAATAAGACTTGATATAAAATCACTTGTTCCTTAGCTAGACAAAGACCCAGTCAAATCTTTGAAATTAGTGCTTAAAACATTAAAGAAGTAATAGAGGCGGCCGGGCGCAGTGGCTCACGCCTGTAATCCCAGCACTTTGGGAGGCCGAGGTGGGTGGATCACGAGGTCAGGAGATCGAGACCACGGTGAAACCCCGTCTCTACTAAAAGATACAAAAAATTAGCTGGGCGCCGTGGCGGGCACCTGTAGTCCCAGCTACTCGGTAGGCTGAGGCAGGAGAATGGCGTGAACCCAGGAGGCGGAGCTTGCAGTGAGCCGAGATCTCGCCACTGCACTCCAGCCTGGGTGACAGAGCGAGACTCCGTCTCAACAACAACAACCAAAAGTAATAGAGGCAAAAGTTTTACAACATTCAAATAGCACAGAAGGAGAGAAAATAAACCAAAATAAGCCCATTCCTGCCTACCCTAAGTCTAAGTCCTGAGAGATAATTTTTATTTATTGATGTTTTAAATAATTTTGGTGTCTACTGTAACATCATTACACTAGAAATATGCTTATAGTTCCTTTTGAAAACAACATTGGATGGTATCTACTGGCTGCTCACTAAGAAACGTGAAGGATTTTGCACACAGCTATTATTTCCCACACACGTCTCCTGACAGTTGTGCTGCGTTTGCAGGGGGAGGGAAGGGGGGCACTGGGGTCTGCTCTCTTATCCCATTGGTGGTCCTTTCAATACTTGCCTTGATGTCTGCCCCCTGGCACACTCCTGTTCTCTACTAGTTGACTCAGAGCTTGGCATTGCCTGAAGCTTGATCAGTCAGGGGTCTGTCAGGAAAACAGAACTTATGCCAGGTAGTTCAATAGAGAGAATTTAATTAGGGGAATTAATTATAAAAGTCTTGGAAGAGCTGACAGAGCAAACTGAAGAATGAAGCAACTCAGATTTTAGAAGCAGAGGCGAGTTGGAGGATGGCATTCACAGAGTTTAGCAGCTCTGGCCCCCTTGCTGCATACTGGGAGAGCCTCCCAGCTACAGCAAGCCTTCCAGAAGGAACTAGAATCATGGAGTAGATGTAGCTGCTACTGGAAACACTGCCCAAGGCAGAGATAGAGGGGAGAATCACCCTGGCTTCTTCGGTTCTCCCTCCTGCCAGTCCCTTGCTAGTGCCTCCCGTTGGTTGACATCAGCCAGAAGCCAGTTTGGCAAGGGAGTCTGGAAAATATAGATTATAGGAGTTAATACTTTGAGACACAGAAAGAGCAGAGAGAGAGAGAGACAGAGAGAGAGAGAGAGAGTAGGAAATTAATCTGAACGCAAACAGGTGAATGATGGTGCTACAGGTTAAATTGTGCCCCCCTAAAAGATAAAAGATATGTTGAAGTTCTAGTCCCTGCTACCTCAGAGTGTGACCTTATTTGGGCATAGGGTCATTGAAGATGTAATTAAGATAAGATCATATTGGAGTAGGATGGACCCTGAATCTAGTATCGCTGGTGTCCTTATAAGAGGAGAAGGCTAGGCTCAGTGGCTCATGCCTGTAATCCCAACAGTTTGGGAGGCTGAGGTGGGCGGATCATCTGAGGTCAGGAGTTTGAGACCAGCCTGGCCAACATGGTGAAATCCTGTCTCTGCTAAAAATACAAAAAAATTAGCCGGACATGGTGTTGGGCACCTGTAATCCCAGCTACTTGGGAGGCTGAGGCAGAAGAATCGCTTGAACTGTAGAGGCGGAGGTTGCAGTGAGCTGAGATCACGCCGCTGCACTCCAGCCTAGGCAACAGAGTGAGATACCATCTCAAAAAAAAAAAAAGAGGAGGAGAGGAGGAGAAGAGATGAAGACACACAGAAACACACAGGGAGAACCCATATAACCACAGAGGTAGAGACTGGAGCGATGTGTCTACAATGCAAGGAGCGCCGAGGACTGCTGGGAACCCCAGAGGCTGGGAGAAAGGCACAGAACATATTTTCCCCCAGAGCTCTCCGAAGGAACTAACCTTGCTCGTACCTTTATTTCGAACTTTTATCCTCCAGGACTGTAAGAAGATACATCTGTGTTATAAACCTCCCTGTTTGTGGCACCAGTGCTTGGTTATGGCAGCCTTGGGAATCTAATGCAGATGGGCACAGGGCTCTTTGGGGAAAAGAGTTGTCATTCCTTGCTATGATTTTGTATCAATATGATCCCATGTATTTGGTTTTCAGGAATATGTCAAAAACAGCACTCAGTACTGTTAAGAATTTATTCTACTTGTTCAAGTGTTATTTAAGTGGGATTCCATGGAAAGCAAGTAAATACATGCACTTAATCTGCCCTCTTAAAGCAGAGCCTACTGTTCTATGTGAACCTGGTTAAATGTTTAGGGCATCTGCACTTCCTCCTGTCCAGCAATGGCGTCTTCCAATCACACATACAGAGAACACTGGGCGTATCATATATAAAACAAAATTTTGGATTAAGAAAACCACTACATTCCCTTTATTGAAGATGTAACTTTTGCATCTTTTATGTATTTATTGCTATAACTTGTCAAGTTAATTGAAATGCTTAGGGCATAACTATAAAGATAACTATCTCATCTCTAAAGAGACCTGGTATGTCTTTAAGATTTATATTATTAAGTTGTCATATTTCATTGTTAATGTTATTGAGAACAATAGTATTTAATATCCCTTATACATAACCAATGTTGGATAATCTCTCTGCTCCTTCTGACAGCTAATCTGATTCTCGGTGTTCCTAGAACTTCTAAAAGTTCTTGAAAGAACATCAGTAATCACCACCACCACCACAACAACCCATGTGGTACAAACTGCCTGAGACACGACCATTGGCACTAAGAAAAATTACTGGTTGTGTACCTGCGGACCCCCCAGGTTTAAAGGGGCCATGGAGCCACACAACATCTAAAGTTCTTGTATGTTCTTATCATGGGCCCTGAATCAGCTAATTAGTAATTGCTTTGGATAATCTTGTCTGATGGGAAGAAAATAAAAGCAGTCTTATGATACATGATATTCCCTCAAAATGACAAATACCAAAGATTTAGAGAATGTAAAATCATTATTTTAAATGGCATTCTTACATGGGCTCGTGGTATTGAAGTGAATGGTTTTTAAGATCTAAAAGAAAAGAAAAGTTATCCAGATCCACTCTTTTATCTGTTTTAAATTATTTTTCTCCACCTCCATGAGAGCAAAATGATTTCCGATGGAAATACTCCTTGCAAAGGTATATTTTGCTTTTTTCTACATGAGAGAAGGAGAAAGCAGGGACTTACTTAAAAAATCCTTTCAACAAGACCTTCTATACTGTGATCTGATAGGGCTCTTGCACATATTTGTTTATTTTCCTGCATTCATGGGGAATGGACTTGGTTTGTTGAGATAATCCCATTTGTGAATGAGGTTTAAGTTGGCAACATTTGCTTGCATTTTATTTGGAAGTTGTAATCTGTACAATACTTGTATATTTCATAGGAATGGGAATTATTGTCTGGCTTCTGCAGTGTCTGTACCTCAAGGCCTGTAACACTGTACTTAGTAGAGGACTGATCGTTGCTTGTGTGTGAGGCTGGGGAAAGAACCAGCCTAAAGACTTTGAGGGAATGGTGCCTGGTGCTCACACAGGCCACCAGCCAGACTGGAAACCCTCCTAATGCATGGGCACTGGGTAGAGAACTCAAAGGGCTTGCTTCAGCAGTAGCACAAAATTAGCTCTCGATTAATGCTGCTCCAGACCCATCTAACAATATTAAAAACAACACCCCAAAGAGTCAAACTGTTTCCAAGTAATGTAACTGCATCCCAGAACAAAGCTCAAGAATATTTATAGGAATACAAGAATATCCAGCACCCAACATGGGAAAATCCACAATGTCTTGTCCATAGTGCCACAGTTCAGTGTTTTGTCTCAAGTCTGGATGACTCAAAAAATCTTGTCTTTCCACCATAAATGGAGAGTTATTATCCTGGATTGGAATACAAATAACTTTTTGTTTCACTGATCGGTTGAAAATTCACTAGAGAAGAGATATTTTGTGTCTCCTGAGGTGATCAATAGTAAGTACAAGCTCCTTCCATGAAGTTCTGCTGAAAAATTGAACCGGAATCTGATCAAGTCTCTAGATCCAACCATGCTCACAGGAAATACAGGGGATGGGGAGTATGTTAAATGACACCACAATGATGCAATTAGCCAAATTCAGAGCATGGGAAATTCAATAAGACAAATGACTTGGTTTTTTCAACAAATAGCATGAATAGTGATATGGTTTGGATCTGGATCGCCACCCACATCTCATGTTCAATTGTAATCCCCAATGTTAGAGGTGGGGCCTGGTGGGAGGTGATTGGATCATGGGGGCAGATTCCCCCTTTGGTGCTGTTCTCATGATAGAGTTCTCATGAGATCTGGTTGTTTAAAAATGGGTAGCACCTCCTCCCACCTTTCTCTCCATCCTACACCGGTCATGTAAGAAGGGCCTGCTTCGCCTTTGCCTTCTGCCATGATTGTAAGTTTCCTGAGGCCTCCCCAGAAGCCTAGCAGGTGCCAGAATCATGCTTCCTATACAGCCTGTAGAACTGTGAGCCAATTAAACCTCTTTTCTTTATAAATTACCTAGCCTCAGGTATTTATAGCAATGTGAGAACAGACTAATACAAATGGGGTGGGAAGGAGGGAGGAATGATATAGATTAAAAGAGACTTACATAACATATCGACCAAATTTCTTATTTGGACCAGATCCAATCAAGTCAACTGTAAAAAGATGCTTTTGAGACAATCAGGGTATTTAAACATTGAGTGGACATTGAGAATACATAGGAACTATATAAGGAATTATTTTTAAATTTTATTAGCTATATTAGTAGTAATTTGATTATATAAAATAAGAAGAATTCACTATTGGAAATATGCACTAAAATATGATGTTGAGAATTTGCTTTAAAACATTCCAGTGAAGAGGATGGTGAGAACTGCAGGGTGATGTACAGACAAAACAAGATTGGCAAAATGTAATTGTTAAGACGGGGTGACAGATACAAGGGGTTTCATTACACTATTCTCTCTACTTATGCATATGTCTAGATTTTTTCATAGAAAAATAATAGAACTTAAATGTAAACATTTAGTTTACTGTTTTATCACTTTACATTCTACTAAATTTCTTATTTTCCTCTCACTCATTGTGGCACTATAACTTCATTCTGTCTAAAAACATGTTAGCTCAGAAAAAATAAAACTATGTTTTAAAATGTCCCTATATTTTACACTGAAAGAAATAGAATTGCCTTATAAAATATTAAAAGACATACAAAATATTGTGATTTCTTAAATGATAATGTTAGCATCAGATAAATCACAAAATCAAAGCATGGAAGATTAAAAAAATCACACACGTTTTGAACGATATATTTTTCTAGTCTCCAAACCATTGTCTCTCAAACAGAGTGAGAGTCAGGAAGTGAAAATGAACCTTTAAAAAATAACCCTGCACTAAGCATGGTGTTAGATGCTCATCTATTCCTCTTACTGACCTTGTGAGATAGGAGATTTTTACAGACAAGGCATCTGGGCTCCAGCGTTAACCTGCTTGCTTGAGGTCCTGACAAGCTAGATGGGGGAGGCAGGCTTTAAATTCAGGCCCATCTGACTCCAAACCCATTTATTTCCACACGGCACCAGTAATTCAGCAGAGCCTTTTGATTGTTTGCTTTGTACCAGTTTCAAATCACATTAATTATTTCTAATTCCATATACAGGATAATTCTTTTGTGGTGGACAGGGAGTAAGGTTTTTCAGTTCTTCCGATATCACAAATGAGGGCTTGCTTTTTTTTTTTTCTTCCCCTGTTTTTCTCCTGGGGTTCCAGACCAGGTTTACTAAGAAGACAGCTACGCTTAGCAAAAGGAAGGGAGATGCCACAGAACCGTTAACTTAGGAGTAGGGAAAGCTGTGATTATCCCACCTTCCCAGCCCTGAAAACAGACTGCTGAGAAGGCTGCTTTTCCTTTATCTTCTCTTCCAGCACTCAGGATTCAATGCCCCAGCACCTGGCAGTGGGTGTTAATCTGAAGAAGGAGACGAGCACTTAAAGACAAAGAGAACTCCAGGTGCAGAAGAGGTGGGGCCCTGGGTCTGAGAAGGGTTAAAGAGAAATTATTCTGACATTTGTTAAAAATGGCAAGGAAGGCTTTCTTCAACACTACTGTAATAGGGGAGAGAAGTTGAACTCAACTCTAGATACAACAGAAACAAGAGGAGGTGTATAGCCAACAGGCAGCTGAGGAGGTGAAATGGAAAGTTACCAAGAGGAACTTGGTTAGATATCAAGGGTGGGATTTTGGATAAGCTGCCTTAGCAGGACTTCTTTTTTTTTTTTTTTTTTTCTAAAACTGGGCTCAGCAGGCCAAGGCCAGGACTAAGGATGAGGCCTAGCTGTGGGCTCAGAGGAGCCTGACTAAAGTTCATCCAAGACAGGAGTCCTTGCCAGGAGGAGAAGAGATTCCAAGGTCTGGAGGATCGAAGGAAACGGAGGATGGGTGGAAGGTCAGAGTCAGAGAGGTCAACTGGCTACAAGGGAGTGACCACATGGTCACTCAGAGAATCAATTACCAGGCCTGCACCCTGGGAAACTGGGAAAGGCACCTGGAATACAATGGGACAACACCTGGAGTAGGACCCATAATAGAATGCATGGTTCAAATTCAAAATAAAGATCTGTTTTACGTATTTTTCCTATACTCTGTGTATGCTCGGCTGGCTAACAGTAGGCCATGTAGGGGATATTGACTGCCCCCTCTTTTCCACACGCCAGGTGTAGTGCATGGGTAGTATTTTGAAAGGTTATCTTATTTTTAACATTAATTGCACTTGCTGACTTCTCTGCAGACACCTGTCCTTAATGATGAGTCAGCTGTTTAGAACTATACCTAGACCGTTTTAAACAGCATTCTCAAGTCAGAGGAGAGAGCTACACACAAAGCAAGGAACTGCAGTTTCCAATCCTCACAGTCATTGGCCATTGGTCCCAGGAGTCTCCAGTCCATGACAGCTGCTGACCAATATCTAAAGATGGGTGAGGATAGACGGGTAGATTGTGCCTGTGTTGACTCCTCTCTTGCTAACTCTCTGTTACTTTAAGTTATTTAATTATGAGCAACATTCTTCTGGAAAACTGCTGATGGATTAAAAATATGATGCTTTGTTGAGCCTATGTTGAGTGCTGTTGTCCTCCTAGGGTAAGCCATAGTAAAGCCTGAGAAGTCCGCCTCCCTACCTACTAACAAAAGAAACAAGCTACTGAGCATCAAACAGCAGCTTAGGACCTTCATTTTCTTCCATCAAGTCATTTAAAATTTGTCAATGAAGTAGATTACAGGGTTACATCAGAAATCCCACAGGTTATGAATTCATTGAAATGGATTTCTATTCATTAGCAATGCCTAACTTCAGGGAGTTAATTATGCATTTTTATTGATGAGAAACAAACCAGACGAAAATGAATGTGGCGTTTGAATTAAGTGGGGAGTTTTCTTGTTGTTGTTGATGTTTTGTTTTTTATAAAACCTTATTCCAAGCAATGAAGATAAGGACCTGGTTCAAATGATTCCTCCCAAAATGCACTTGGTTACTATTGTTTCCAGAGCTAAGCAGAGAAGCTCCAGGGAAATGAAATCTTCCTCCTTCCCACTGTTCTGTTGTCTTTGAAAACAGCAGAACTGCCAAGATCAGCAGTTTGAAAGCTTCCTTTGAAGTGTTCCTCATGCCTTTTTCATTGGCTTGAGCAAAACAAGTACCTAGACTGTGTGCCCAGTCCCCAGGGGGGACACCTGGGGGGTCAGGCAACCAGCGCAGCTTAACGAGCAATGGCACAGTGAAGACAGGGAGCTGCGGGTGCCAGGGTCGGATCTGGGAACTCAGGCTTACCGGGGAAGTCACTACCAATACTTTTCAAAAAATGACGTGGATCTGGGGTAGAACAGGGAGGTGGTCAGGGGCCCTGTGTGCACATCGCTGGCCTAGAACTATCACTCTGGGACCTGGAACCTCTGGGCTATCTTTAAAGTACACATTTGATGGGTGGATAAGTGCAGCAAACCACTGTGGCAGACATATAACTATGTAACAAACCTACACGTTCTGCACTTGTATCCCAGAACTTAAAGTAAAATAAAAAAAATTTTTTTTAAGTTCACATTTGTCAAAAGGATGGAATATGCCCTTTAATTTATAATTGTGGAAAAAAGCAATATCTGCCTCATAAATATGAAAGAAAATGTTTCAAGATGCAATTAGGGAAAAAAATCTTTTCAATCTTCTAGGGAATAGATGAAAAGACACTGGAAATGAACAAAAACCAACTAAATGAGAAATGCAGAGGCTATTTATTCAGAGATTGCAATTGCGAAGGAGTCAGCCAGTGTCACTGCATTTGGCAGAGAATCAAAGGCAGGCAGAGGACTGGGAAGGCATTTAGTGGAAAACAGAGAAGCTTCCCATGTGCCCCAATTGAAGGCTGTTGGTAGGGGGAGCTGCAGGTGGGCTATCTAGGAGCCAATCACTCATGTGATTGGCTAGGGCATTCCCTGGTTGGTCCTAAATTGGAAGTGGGGACAAAAATTAGGGAAGTTATCTATTATTAATCAAGTCCTGGGCACTTGGGGCTGATTGTTACAGAAGTTATTATTTACCTTTTTGGATTGTTTAAAGAGATAGCAATCTGGCTTCCCAAGTCAGACTTACAGCAGGCTGGCTTCCTGGGTTGTTTATTGGAGATAAGGGGTTTGATTTCCTGAGCAGGTTGTGGGTTAGAGACCTGTTTTTATATACAGTCTGGCTGTTGTCTGATGATACATTCAGTCTCTCAACAGTAACCCCAAACAAGGAGAATGGCAGGTGGGAAGAGGAGCTTATGAGTTAAGCCATGTCATTTCTTTAGGAAGACACTGTAACTGCGAGTTCATGATATGGATAAAAATTGAAATTGATATTTCTTTGTGCTTTATAACTCTCATGAGTATTTGATTTACTCAGCCACGTGGCTTCTAGATCTACATTCTCCCATGCTTCTCTCAGGAGGGACCTAGCACCCTGCCGAATGGGAAGAAAGGGTGCTCCTCCACCCTGCCTCAGCTTGTGGGCTCCAGAGATCCCTTCCTTGGAGACAAGGGCAACCTTGGTTTGGAAAGAATGGAGAAACAGAAATCTTATCTTTTAAAATAACTTTAATTTGGATTAAAATATCCTAGTATCTAACATAGAATGAGAGTTTGACTCTGGATGTCAGTACTTGATCAGATGCTGTCTCAGTGTGCTGAGGCTACCTTCACAAAATACCCAGACTGGGTGGCTGAAACAATAGACATTTATTTTCTCATAGTTCTGGGGGCTGAAAGTCCAAGATTAAGGTGCCAGTAAATTTGGTTTCATTCTGAGGCCTCTTCTCTTGGCTTATAGGTGGCCACCACATAGCTGTGTGCTGACATGGTGTTTCCTCCATGCATGCTCTGAGAGAGAGCAAAAGGGAAAAAAGAGAGAGAGAGAGAGCTGTGTGGTGTCTCTATTTATAAGGACACTAATCCTATCGAATTAGGGCCCCACCCTTATGACCTCATTTAAGCTTAAATATTTTTCTTAAAGGCTCGATTTCCAAATATAGTCACACTGGGAGTTAGGGCTTGAACAAATGAATTTTGCGGGGACACAATATTCAGTCCATAACAGATGCAGAGGGCAGACACATTCTGCTGGAAGGTGACATTCTATCTGCCTGTAGGTATGTAGTGAAAGCCAATGAGATGACCACTCAGTTGTTCTTAGCTGATTAATAATTTCTACTGCCCTACAAATAAGAACATAGAAAAATCAAATTATAGAGTTTTAAGATTTAATATGTTTTTGATTATGGAACAAGAATCTTCACCTAAGATAAGATGTAGATTGATGAAATAATCATTATCTGATCAAATCACAAGAAGTTTTAAAGTGTAACGGTGTTTAAGAAGTGCTTTTTTTTCTGAGATAGGATTTTCAGATAAAAAGATACATAAGTCAATATAAATATGGCCTTTTAAGGATACCATAGATCCTTAAAGAGAGATGGATTTTTATTAAATACTTCCTATCTCATATTACTCCTTGGCTAGTAAACCTTCCATTGTTTTCCAACCTTGACAGATCGAAGTTCAAACTGTCTAACCCCAGCCTATCTTCCTAAAATTCTCTCCTAGTTTTTCTTTTCATGTTTTTTGAAATGGAACTTCACTCTCGTTGCCCAGGCTGGAGTGCAATGTTGTGATCTCTGCTCACTGCAATCTCTGCCTCCTGGTTTCAAGTGATTTTCCTGCCTCAGCCTCTCAAGTAGCTGGGATCACAGCTGTGTGCCGCCATGCCCGGCTGATTTTTTGTGTTGTTAGTTGAGATAGGGTTTCACCATGTTGGCCAGGCTGGTCTCAAACTCCTGGCCTCAGGTGATCTGCCCTGCTTTGGCCTCCCAAAGTGCTGGGATTACAGGCATATGCCACCACGCCCGGCCTCTCCTAGTTTTTCTATGCTAGTAATAGTAGTAATAAAAGTCATTACTTACTGAACACTCACTGTGTGCTAAGCCCTATGCTAAATGCTTTACATGCATTGTTGTTAGTTATCATAAGCATATGAAGTAGCTACTAATATCTCCCTTTTGACAGAGGAGGTTAAGTAACTTGCCTAAAGGCCGCAGAGTTATTCACCCAGGATTCTCACTCAGGAAGTGGAACTCTTCTCCAGGACCATCTGACTCTACAGCTCTTAACCACTGTATAACTAAACTGTTCCCCACCTGCAGGCATGGTTTTTTGAAAATATTCCTTTCCTGCTCTTGCTGTCTTTAAGGTTGTTATGTCTAGTACTGTAGGCCCCCCAAAAGAATATGCCCTTAAAATGATGAGCCAAGTTCATAAAATAAAATGTCTTGAAATGAAGTAGACTTTTTAAGCAAGACAGCAAACCCAGAAGTCATAAAGGAAAGGAGAGACATATTTGATTATATACATTGTTAAAAAATTGTTTGTCTTTTGTCATTCAAAAGACAAATAGTAGACCGAAAAAAAAAAATTGGTATATATACTCAAAAGGGATCACCTCAGATTTTTGGAGTTTTCTTTCTGTGCTGCTCTCTCCTTTCCCGTATTCTGCCCTGTGAACTCTAGCTGCCTTGATCTCCCCAGAATATCAACTTCATCTCCTTAACTTAAGGAATCTGCTGGGCTCTACCTAGATTACCACTCCCTCTGTCATGGTCTGGAAATACAAGGTTATATGCTGGAGCAATCATAGGACTCACCTTACTCACTTATTTTTTTCCTTTTTTCTTAGGAATTATTTTTCTTCATTGCCTGATATCCATTTTCTTGAAAACTGTTGTTTTATATATTTTGTCTAGTTTTTTAGTTGTTTCAGGTGGGAAGGAAAATTATGTTTCCCTATCTTGACCAAAAGAGGGAGACTCTAAATGGACTTCTTAATTATATTTAGTCTACCAATCCATGAACATGGTATAAGTCTTCATTTATGTACAGCTTGTTTAATTTTTCTTAGCAAATATTCTTTAGTTTTCAGTGTAGAGGACTTCTAGCTATTGTTTTAGATTTATTCCTAGGTATTTGATTTTTTAAAATGTCTTTCTGGTACCCTTTATTGTTTCTAGCAGATCTATGCTTCCATCTGGTATCAATTCCATTGGACCTGAAAAACTTTTTAACATTTCTTGTTGTGCTGGCTTGCTGGACATGAATTAAGTCAACTTTTATTGATCTGCAAATGTTTGTCTTTTAAAAAACTATGATTTTGTAGCTTATCCTGCTTGTTCTCCTTGTTAGGGTCTCTATAACGTTTAAAAATATTTTAAAGCAACTTATTCTAAAACAAAATCTCACGTGGAATCACATAAAACAGACAAAACCTGAATACGCTGGTTAAGACATATTTGAGTAGGGGCTGCCAGATGGGGAGGACAATGTTCTACAGGTGCTCTCATTACTCTTTGCAATGTCTACTTGGAGAAATTTTTGAGTTGTTTGAAAATTTCTGGTTTGATTATCAAGTGTAAATCTCTTGTTTGGGGGCCCTTGTCTTCACTGAATGGTTTGACTTTCTCAATATTTTCAATGTCCAATAGTCTCTTTTCTTTTTACATGCCTCAGCTTTTGTTGTTCCTTCTACATGAGATGCTTGCCTGTGTCTCAATTTAAATCGCTTACTCTGGAGGGTCCAGCTCACCCTTAAGAATTTCTGCATCCTCAAAATGGTTATGGCCATTACTATTTGGGCAATAGAGTTTAGACATAATCTGCTGTGGTACATCTTCTCCTGGTTTGGTTAGGGTTACTTTTACCTTGCTAGCTGGACACGCTTCCTTCCAGATAAGGACTATGTTAGAACTTTTCTTATGTCTTATTTGAGGCTGGGAGAGTTAGGTGAGCTATGAATATTTGCTGCTATCACCACTCTGGAAGCATAAAAACTGTCTTTTGGTTGATGACTCTATGTGAGCCAAGGTTGTTCGTGTTCATGGATTAGCATCTTTGTCTTGAAGCCCGCATGACTTACACTTAAAATGAGCCGATTTGGGATCCCTGTCAGCTCTTCTGAGCCAGGTGCCTGTCTGTGTTTCCACAGCTATCCCACGGGCTACTGGCTCCATGTGTCTTTTTAGTTAATAGTGATGCCTGAATACTCACCATACAGACATTTCAACTGTCCTGCTTCTTCCGTCCTTCATCCCCTGAGCTGGTCAGGTGCAGCCATGCTAGCCTGTGCTCCATCAAGCCTTGCCTCAGTGGGGTAGACTGGCTGTGTTCCAGAACCACACTTCAGTAGGATTAATGTGACTGTAAGAGGCGCCAACTGAGAGTGTGTCTTTTCCCTGATATGGACCGAGCTGTCAGCAACACAACTGGCCAATTGCAAGGTGGCACCCAGAATATCTAGGCAGGCTCTCAACATGTAATTGTGAGGATTTGGAATTAGTATGTTACTCTTGATTCAGCCTGATTGCTTTTCCCAGAAACAGCTATTTCCAGGCAGACCAGACTCAAAGAGATTTCTAGGAGATGTTTTGTCTTCATCCCCAGGGAAACTGGGGCAGTTTTACCTTTCCCTTCTTTGGGGTAACTCAGCCAGCCTTTTCCTCAAGTATTTTCTTTTTGAATCTTGGGGATGGTTATGGTGATAACAGTACCTACCTTGTAGCATTGTTAAGAAGATTTAAGAAGGTACAAGCTTCTCTAAATTTTATGGACATTCTTCAGTATGCATGTTTTCAAGGCCTTTTCTGCACATTATGCATATTATTTGTGCATGTTTTATAAACTTTCTTCAAGCCCTTTTATGAGGAGCTTGAGGCCAAAGCAACAAAGAAAACACATAAACACCAAAAAGCTTGTTTTCTTTAAAAGGTCCAGACTTTAGAGAGTCCAGCTCCAAGTTTTAAGACCACAGACTGAATTCTCATTATGGCATTCAGATCAAATCAATGGCATATCTAGAGTTGGAGTACACAGGCCCTGAAATTGCAAGGATTTGAAAGCTACGTATTGAGAGACCCAAAATGTGTATGGATGCTTCTAACTGAGGGGCAGTTTTCATTATATTTCCAGGGGTGCACTCAACTACAGTTTTCGTTCATCAGATTTACATATCTTCCTCAAAAAAACAAACTTCCACTGTGTCTTTTAGTAGTAGCCAAGCCTGTGCCTTCATTCTGCTTTCATTAAATCATTTGCTCAGTTGGCGTTCTGTAGCTCTGAGCTTTACACTGATAAAAGCTGAAACTGAAAACCTACTCGGTAATCAGGTGGTAGACTGGGACTGTATTAACAACTCAAAATGAAATGTGCTTGGGGGTTTTATAGCTTTAAGTCCAGCTTTAAGTTTTCATGAACTGGGTGAATCCTGCTTTCTGGTAATGGGTACAGGCACAGGTGGTCAAATGACTATGAGAATCGCCAGGAAGTTTACAGCAGGACAGGGCATTCTCTCCCCTGCTTTGCAAAGGGGGTTATTGTTGTTAAAATTCCTTGGGACTTGGATTGCACCATTTGAGTACTTTATCATCTCAGTTCTGAAATGAAATCTCTTGGGGAGCGGAAGGACTGAAACCTTGGCTGGCAGCAGTGATGAAGGAAACGGGCCCTCTTACCAGCTCGATGGGTGAGGGGATTTACTGCTGGTGTAGATAAGATTCGATGTAGTTAGACATTGTCAACACATCCTGGTGTAAATGCAGTGCCCTTCCTTGACTTTCCCAAGGGAAAAACAGAGCTCATGACACTGACTTTCATTTCTCAACAACAGTATTGAAAACATCTTCCTTGTAAAGGCAGCTGAGACACTGGTCTTTAAAGGTCTTCATTGCTGGGCAGACTTAAGAATGTAATCTGATGTGCAGTGTTATCATGTATATGTGGACATGTTTACAAGTGCATGTATTATTTTATTTTAATTTTAATTTTTATCATTTCTTTTGAGATGGAGTTTTGATCTTGTCACCCAGGCTGGAGTGCAGTGGCATGATCTTGGCTTGCTGCAACCTCCACCTCCTGGGTTCAAGTGATTCTCCTGCCTCAGCCTCCTGAGTAGCTGGGATTTCAGGTGCCCGCCACCACGCCTGGCTAATTTTTTGTATTTTTAGTTGAAATGGGATTTCACCATATTGGCCAGCCTGGTCTTCAACTCCCGACCTCAGGTGATCGGCCTGCCTTGCCTCCCAAAGTGCTGGGATTACAGGTATGAGCACCCGGCCACCTGTATTATTTTAAGTGTAATTTTGCACACAGAGCAAACGGGGCATATCTGCAGGAAATAAGTATTTACTATTTGATGGTATTGGTATCAGCTTAGATTATAATGACAGTGGCTCCAGGATCTCGCAAAGGAAGGAATGAACTAAGCTCCACGGTAGCCATTTTTGTGCTTGGCTTTGAGTTGGTTATTTATTCACTTGATGATCATTCTTTCATTCAACACTTTGCACAAGCATTGTTTGTGCAGGCTGGGTACTGAAGACATACCTTGAAAAGCACAGATTGTCCCATTAAGAGATTATAGCAGTATGAGAGAGACAAAATGAACAGGTATTTGCTACATAGCAGGAAAGGGGGGAGGTGAACACATCGGAGGGTCTGAGTCTCAGGGCAGAGAGCCTAGGAAGAAGAAAGAGTCCTGCAAGAAATGACCACAGCTTTATATTACAAAATTTGGTGGCACAAGGCTAACTCACTGTCCATCTTTCATTCCATTTTTTTTAATTTCCCTATTTTTTATGTTCATTCTTCTGCATGAACTTTGTATTATTTTTAATCAAATTCCAATTTAGACTACATCAAACTTATAGACTCATTTAGGGAAAATCACTCTCACTTTATCAGGATTGAATTTTCTTATATAAGAAAAAAATGTACTTTTCTCTGTTTCTTTCTTATCTTTTAAAATGACTTTTAGTAGAGTTTTATCAATATATGTTGCACACTTGTCTTTTGTTAAGGTTATTCCTAGGTATATTCCCTATTTTTTTTTGTTTTTGTGATTGGCTTTTTTTCCTCATTATTATTATTATTATTATTTTATTTTTTTGAGATGGAGTCTCACTCTGTCGCCCAGGCTGGAGCACAAAGGCATGGTCTCAGCTCACTGCGACCTCTGCCTCCCGGGTTCAAGCGATTCTCCTGTCTCAGCCTCCCAAGTAGCTGGGATAACAGGAGCCCGCCACTACGCCCAGCTAATTTTTTGTGTTTTTAGTAGAGACGGGGTTTCACCATGTTGGCCAGGCTGGTCTCGAACTCCTGATCTCGTGATTCATCTGCCTCAGCCTCCCAATGTGCTGGGATTACAGGCATGAGCCACCACACCTGGCCTTTCCATTACATTTTATAACTGATCAATTGGAAATAAAAGAGCTAGTGACATTGGATATTTATTTTTTACCTGGGCATAGAACGATCCCACCAGACACAGGTAATTCCCCTCTTATTTACTCGTTGCCTTAGGTCAAGTTCCCTGGGAAACAGACTTGAAGTTGGAGGTCTGTGTGCAGAAGCTTTATGGGAGTGTTCCCTCAAGAAAACAGCCATGAGTGGCTGGGTGCGGTGCTTATGCCTGTAATCTCAGCACTTTGGGAGGCTGAGGCATGTGGATCACCTGAGCTCAGGAGTGTGAGACTAGCCTGGGCAACATGGGGAAACCCTGTCTCTACAAAAAACATAAAATTAGCCAGGCATGGTGGCATGCGCCTGTAGTCCCATCCACTCAGAAGGCTGAGGTGGGAGGATTGCTTGAGCCTAGGAGGCAGTGGTTGCAGTAAGCTGAGATTGCACCACTGCTCTCCAGCCTGGGAGAAGATAGACATTGTCAAAAAAAAAAAAAAAAAAAAAAAAAGAAAAGAATGAGGGGTGAGGGAGGGAGAGGGAAGCAGGATTGGGAGAGGGAGAAATGAACCGCAGCAAATTTGCAACAGGGACCTCAGCTGCTCCCACAGGGAGCTCCAGAGCTGAGATGGTCCTTCTGAGTTGTCCTGAATTAGGGTAAGGAGGCAAGGCCTTTGTACCCCCACATTAACCCCTCACTGGAGGTGGGTTACCATGGAGGAGGGGATGTAAACTTGGGCCAGGCAGTTCCCTTTAACAGGGAGCAAATTTAGCAGCCATCGGAAGTGAACACTCCAGGGTGCTGGGGAACTGAGTGTCTTGGTCTTGAAGGGAAGGGCTTGGCTGGGTACCACAACATCCACTACACTGATACTGGCTTTCTTAGATCCCTAGATGACTATGAGCAGGGACACTAACAACACTGAGAAGCCCAATAGGTCAAAAAATACCTAGGTAGCTGCTCCTTCCTTTACCTTTAAAAGTCTTGCTATTTAAACTTACCTTTTAGAGGCTTGTAAAGGTGTTCCACTATTGCTTTTAATGAAGTTTTTTGAACACCAGTGATCTTCATTTTGAACTCACATTAATATTCCTTGGAGTATTAAATAACTATTCTCAGTATAGGGGAAATTTCCAGGAATAGAACAGTGGGTCTTCAGTCCAAATACTATTGGTTGAAATTTTAAAATGCTTTGACCAGTCCAGACCTGCTGAGAAAAATGCCAACTCCCCCCAACACACATTTACAGGAAGACTTACATATAACCATTTCTTTGCTTTATCTCTCAACTTTATTGGGGTGTAATTACATAAAATAAAACACATCTATTTTAAGTGTAGAGTTGGGTGAGTTTGGCAAATGTTTACACCCATGTAATCACCATGTCAATGAATGTATAGAGTATTTCCATCATCCCTTTGCAGTTATCCTCCTACTGTTCTCTCACTCTGCCCCCAGGCAACCACTGGTCTGCTTTCTGTCACTATAAATTAGGTGAAGAAGTTTCATATATTTGGACCCTTATAGTATGTAGTCCTTTAAGTCTGACATCTTTCATTTGCTGTAGTATTTAAAAACTAGTTTTATTGAGGTATACTTTGCACCCAGTATAACTCATTTATTTTAAGTGAACAGTCTGATGACCTGATAAATGTATACAATCATGTAATCACTGCCACAATCAAGTTAAGACATAGAACATTTCCATGGACCTCCAAAAGGCTCTCATTACCCTTTGCAGTCAATCCCTTGTCTGCAGTGTCTAATCTGCTGTTAATCTTATCATTATATTTCTCCTATCATATTTTTTTTTAACCTCTACAAGTTCCATGTGGATTTCTCATATCAGATTTTTTTTAACCTCTACAAGTTCTATTTGGATCTTTTTCATATCTGCTATTTCTTTTATCATTATCTTTATGTTTTATTTTATATCTTTGAACATGTTAATAAGATTTTAAAATCTTAATCTTTCAATATTAAATCTTTTAAGGTCCTTCTACCCATTCTATTATCTCTGGCATTTCTGAGTCTGTAATTGATTCTTCTCCTGGTTATAGGTAATCTCTTCTCGTTTCTTTACATGCTTTGTGATTTTTGATTGAATCTTAGCCATTGTCAATTTTACGTTGTTGAGTGCTCATTTTACTGTATTTCTTTAATGAATACCGACTTTTTTCCTTTTTAGCAGTTAAGTTACTTGGGATCAGTTTTATCTTTTTAAGACTTTCTTTTAAGCTTGTTATGGTGGGCCCACCACATCCTTTAGTTAGGGCTAATTTAGCCCCTCTACTCTGGCATCATGATTTTTGCCAATACATTGTTATTGGTTTTGCCTTGAAGACTTTAAAAATGTTTTATTCTTTAAAAAATATTTTTTATAAATAAATATATTTTCTTAAATATTAAAATTGAGGAAAAATGATCTTTTAAAAAAAAGTTTTCTCACCGGCTGCCTGGATATAAAGTTGGTGCTGTTGGGGGAGCACAGGGGGATTGAGACTGGCCTTTTTGGCTGCATAGGGGCTGGGTGAGGCCTGTCACTGCCAACTTTCCACCACTTCCCTGGCAACCTGTATGATGCAGCAGAGGCAGCCATAATCCCCCAGGAAACATAACTCTGTCAGCTGGAGAAAAACACCCTCATCCCCTATAGCAGCCACAGCAAGCCTTGCCCAAGGAGAGTCTGAGCTCAGACATGCCTAACACTGCCCCCACCTGATGGTCTTTCTCTACCTGCCCTGGTAGCCAAAGACAAAAGACATTATCTCTTTGAAGCTCTGTGGCTTCACCCATCACCTGGCCAACCTAGGGCAGGCTTGTATCCTCCCTGTACTACCACAGCTGATGCTGTCTTGAAAGCGCCACCTCCTGGCTGGAGGCCAATCAACACAAACCATTACAGCAACTCATAAAAGAACAGCCTTGTCCCAAGAAAGGAGAAAACAGCTAACTCTACTGCCTGTAACATCCTGGATAACCAGAGGTCCTGAGTCTGTCTACATGACAACTTTACTGCCAGGACAACCAGCATTAGAGAAAACCAGCACACTAAACAAAACTACAACAAAGTTCCCACAAAAAGTCCACCTCACTCCTCTGCTACCTCCACTGGAGCAGGTGCTGGTATCCACCTGAAGATGGATCACATCACAGGACTCTTTGCAGACACTCCCCAGTACCAGCCCAGAGCCTGGTAGCTCCACGGGGTGGCTAGAATCAGAAGAGAAATAACAATCACTGCACTCTGGCTCTTAGGAAGCCCCATCCCTAGAGGAAGGGGAGTGTGCCACATCAAGGGAATACCTGTGGGGCAAAAGAAAATGAACAGCAGCCCTTGAGCCCCAGATCTTTTCTCTGACACAGTGTACCCATATGAGAAGGAACCAGAAGAACAATTTTGGTAATATGACAAAACAAAGTTCTATTATGCCCCCAAAAGATCACACTAGCTCACCAGCAACGAATCCAAACCAAGAAGAAATATCTGAATTGCCAGCAAAAGAATTCAGAAGGTCAATTATTAAGTTACTCAAGGAGGCACCAGAGAAAGGTGAATACCAACTTAAAGAAATTTAAAAAATGTTACAGGATATGGATGGAAAAATCTCCAGAGAAGTACATAGCATAAATAAAAAGTAGTCACAACTTCTGGAAATGAAGGACACTCTTAGAGAAATGCAAAATACGTGGAAAAACCTCAACAATAGAATTGAACAAATAGAAGAAAGAACTTCAGAGCTCAAAGACAAGGCTTTCAAATTAACCCAATCTGACAAAGACAAATAAAACAGAATCAAAATAATGAACAAAGCCTCCAAGAAGTTTGGGATTCTGTTAAACAACCAAACCTAAGAATAATTGATGTTCCCAAGGAAGAAGATAAACGCAAAAGTCTGGAAAACATATTTGAGGGAATAATCGAGGAAAACTTCCCTGGCCTTGCTAGAGATTTAGACATCCAAATATAAGAAGCTCAAAGAACACCCAAGATATTCATCACAAAAAGCTCTTTGCCTAGGCACATAGTCATCAAGTTACCTAAAGTCAAGAAGGAAAGAATCTTAAGAGTTGTGAGGCAAAAGCATCAGGTAACCTATAAAGGAAAATGTATCAGATTAACAACAGGTTTCTCAGCAGAGACCCTATAAGCTAGATGGGATTGGGGTCTTATCTTTAGCCTCCTTAAACGAAACAATTATCAGCCCAGAATTTTGTATCCAGCGAAACTAAGCTTCACAAACAAAGGAAAGATATAGTCTATTTCAGACAAACAAATGCTGAGAGAATTTGCCACTACCAAGCCAACACTATAAGAACTGATGAAAGGAGCTCTAAATCTTGAAACAAAACCTCAAAATACACCAAAATAGAACCTTCTTAGAGCATAAATCTCACAGGACCTATAAAACAATAACAATGAAGAAAAAAAACCCACAGGGTATTCAGGCAACAATTAGCATGATGAATAGAATAGTACCTCACATCTCAATACTAATGCTGAATATAAATGGCCTAAATGCTCCACTTAAAAGATACAGAATGGCAGAATGGATAACAATTCACCAACCAAATGTCTGCTGCCTTCAAGAGACTCATCTAACATAAGGACTCACATAAACTTAAGGTAAAAGGGTGGAGAAAGATATTCCATACAAATGGACACCAAAAGCAAGCAGGAGTAGCTATTACCATATCAGACAAAACAGATATTAAAGCAACAACAGTTAAAAAAGACAAAGAGGGACATTATATTACAATCCTAAATATTACATGCAGCTAATATTGGAGCTCCCAGATTTATAGAACAAGTACTACTAGACCTAAGAAATGAGATAGATGGCAATACAATAATAGTGGGGGACTCCAATACTCTACTGACAGTACTAGACAGATCATCAACACAGAAAGTCAACAAAGAAACAATGGTCTTAAACTATACCCTAGAACAAATTGACTTAACAGATATGTATAGAACATTCTACCCAACAACTGAAGAATATACATTCTATTCATCAACACATGGTATATTCTCCAAGATAGACCATATAACAGGCCACAAAATAAGCCTCTATAAATTTAAGAAAATTGAAATTTTATCAAATACTCTCTCAGACCACAGTGGAATAAAATTGGAAATCAACCCAAAAAGGAGCGCTCAAACCCATGCAAATACAAGGAAATTAAATAACCTGCCCCTGAATAATTGTAGGGTCAACAATCAAATCAAGATGGAAATTAAAAAATTATTTGAATGGGATGACAATAATAACACAACCTATCAAAACCTCTGGGACACAGCAAAAGTGGTGCTAAGAGGAAAGTTCAGAGCATTAAATGCCTACATCAGAAAAGTCTGAAAGAGCAAAATAGACAATCTAAGGTCACACCTCATGGAACTGGAGAAGCAAGAACAAGCCAAACCCAAACCCAGCAGAAGAAAAAAAATAACTAAGATCACAGCACAACTAAATGAAATTGAAACAAATAAAACACAAAAGACAAATGAAACAAAAAGCTGGTTCTTTGAAAAGATAAATAACATCAATAGACCATTAGTGAAACTAATAAAAGAAGAAAGTATATTCAAATAAGCTCAATTAGAAATGAAACAGCAGATACTACGACCAATGCCACAGAAATACAAAAGATTATTCAAGCCTACTACGAACACCTTACATACACAAACTAGAAAACCCAGAGGAGATGGATAAATTCCTGGAAACATGCCACCCTCCTAGATTAAACCAGGAAGAAATATAAACTCTGAACAGACCCATAACAAGCAACAAGACTGATATGGTAATAAAATAATTGGCAGCAACAAAAAAAGTCCAGGACCAGATGGATTCATAGGTGAATTCTGTCAGTCATTCAAAGAAGAATTGGTACCAATTCTGTTGACACTACTCCAAAATTTAGAAAAAGAGGATCCTCCCTAAATCATTCTATGAAGCCAGTACCACTCTAATACCAAAACCAGGAAAGGACATAACAACAACAAAAAAGAAAACTGCAGATCAATATCTGTGATTAATATAGAAACATAAATCCTCAGCAAAATACTAGCGAACTGAATCCAACAGCATATCAAAAAGATAATTCACTATGATCAAGTGGGGGTTTCATACCAGGGATGCAGGGATGGTTTAACATATGCAAGTCAATAAATGTGATACATCACAGAAACAGAATTTAAAACAAAAATCACGTGATCATCTCAATAGTGGCAGAAAAAGCAATTGGCAAAATTCAGCATCCTTTTATAAAAACTTCAGCAAAATTGGCATAGAAGGAACATCCCTTAAGGTAATAAAAGCCATCTATGACAAACTCACAGTGAACATTATACTGAATGGGGAAAAGTTGAAAGCATTCCCCTTGGAAACTAGAACAAGACAAGGATGTCCACTTTTACCACTTCTATTCAACATAGTACTGGAAGTCTTAGCCAGAATAATTAGACAAGAGAAAGAAATAAAGGGCATCCAAATCAGTAAAGAGGAAATCAAACTGTCACTGTTCACTGAGGATACGGTCATACACGTAGAAAACCCTGAAGACTTATCCAAAAGGCTCCTAGAACTGATAAATGAATTCAATAAAGTTTCAGGATACCAAATCAATGCACACAAATCAGTGGCACTGTTGTACACCAACAGCGATCAAGCTGAGAATCAAATCAAGAACTCAACCCCTTTTACAATAGCTGCAAAATAAAATAAAATAAAGTAAAACAAAATAAAATACTAGAAAATAAAATACTTAGGAATATACCTAACCAGGGAGGTGAAAGACCTCTACAAGGAAAACTACAAAGCACTGCTGAAAGAACTAACAGATGACATAAACAAATGGAAACACATCCTATGCTCATGGATGAGTAGAAAATGTGAAAATGACCATACTGCCCAAAGCAATCTACAAAATCAATGCAGTTCCCATCAAAATACCGTCATCATCCTTCGCAGAACTAGAAAAAAACCAATTCTGAAATTCATATGTGCCAGGGTCCGTCCCACAGACCCTAACTGCATGACGGATGAATAATGTACTCAGACACTGATATTCAGTGAAAGAGCAGGGTAGAGGGCCAGACAACTGACCGAAAGAGTTGTAGCAGCCACTGCCTGACTAGCTGGCCCTGCCAGCATTTATTCAGCACACACTAAATGACAAAGGCTTTGAGTCAACACCACTAGAGAGTAATTAACCTGGTAGTCCTCCACACAGGACAGCCATCCTGCCTGAGAATGATCGAAGGTTAGTTTTAGGACCACATGAGTAAACAAGTTATTTAGATAAACTCCCTTAACATTCCTTTGTACCTACTTTAAGCTATTTACTTAAGATAAGGATTAGGCTGCCTTCAGCCAGATCTGTTACTGAAGCTTATGCAACAACCCCGGCCTTCCAGGAAGGTTTGTATCTATTACTTATAACTATCTTTAAAATTTTTCCCACCAGCCTGACTGAACTCCCACCCATATGGGACCAAAAATGAGCCCACATAGCCAATTCAAGACCAAGCAAAAAGAATAAATCTGGGGGCATCACATTACCTGACTTCAAACTATACTACAAGGCAATAGCCACCAAAACAGCATGGTAATGTCATAAAAATAGGTACATAGACCAATGGAACAGAACAGAGAACCCAGAAATAAAGCCAAATACTTACAGCCAACTGATCTTTGACAAAGCAAGCAAAAACATAAAGTGGGGAAAGGGCACCCTATTCAACAAATGGTGCTGGGATAATTGGCAAGTGACATGTAGGAGAATGAAACTGGATTCTCATCTCTCACCTTATCTGAAAATCAACTAAAGAGGGATCAAAGACTTAAATCTAAGACCTGAAACCATTAAAATTCTAGAAGATAACATTAGAAAAACCCTTGTAGATACTGGCTTTGGCAAAGGCGTTGTGACCAAGAACCAAAAAGCAAAAGCAACCAAAACAAAGATAAATACTTGGGACTTAATTAAACTAAAAAGCATCTACATAGCAAAATAAATAATCGGAGGAGTAAACAGACAACCCACAAAGTGTGAGAAAATCTTCATGAACTATGCATCTGACAAAGGACTAATATCCCGAATCTATAAGGAACTCAAACAAATCAGCAAGAAGAAAAGAAACAATCTCATCAAAAAGTGGGCTAAGGACATGAATAGACAGTGCTCAAAAGAAGATATACAGATGGCCAACAAACACATGAAAAAATGCTCAGTTATCAGGGAAATGTAAATCGAAACCACAATGAGATACCACATTACTCTTGCAAGAATGGCCATAATTTACAAATAAAAAAATAATAGATGTTGGCATGGATGGGGTGAAAAGGGAACACTTTTACACTGTTGGAGGGAATGTAAACTAGTACAACCACTATGGAAAACAGTGTGGAGATTCCTTACAGGACTAAAAGTAGATCTACTATTTGATCCAACAATCTCTACCCAGAGGAAAACAAGTCATGATATGAAAAAGACACTTGCACACACACATTTATAGCAGCACAATTTTCAATTGCAAAAATATGGAACCAGCCCAAATGCCTGTCAATCAACCAGTGGATAAGGAAAATGTGCTATATATACACCATAAAATACTATTCAGCCATGAAAAGGAATGAAATAATGGCATTTGCCACAACCTAGATGGAATTGGAGACCATATGCTAAGTGAAGTAATCAGGAATAGAAAACCAAACGTCGTATGTTCTCACTTATGAGTGGGAGCTAAGCTATGAGAACACAAAGGCATAAGAATTGTACAATGGACTTTGGGATCTTGGCAGTAAGGACGGGGAGGGGTGAAGGATAAAATACTACACACTGGGTACAGTGTACACTGCTTGGGTGATGGGTACACCAAAGTCTCAGAAGTCACCACCAAAGAACTTATCCATGTAACCAAACACCACCTATTCCCCAAAAACCTATTGAAATAAAAAAAACAAGTGGAAAGGGGGGGAAACATTGATTGGTGAAGAACTTTCAAGGTTTTGTTTTTTTTTTTTTGTCTAAAAAAATCTTTATTCTGCCCTTATTTGTTATTATCATTATTTTTATTATTTTTGAGACAGGATCTGGCTCTGTCACCCAGTCTGAAGTGCAGTAGCACAATCTTGGCTCACTGCAACCTCTGCCTCCTGGGCACAAATGATCCTTCCACCTCAGCCTCCTGAGTAGCTGGGACTACGGTATGCACCACCACACCCCACTAGCTTTTGTATTTTTTTGTAGAGATGGGGTTTTGCCATGTTGTCCAGGCTGGTCTTGAACTCCTGGCTCAAGCTATCTGCTTGTCTTGGCCTCTCAAAGTGCTGGCATTACAGGCATGAGCCACCGCACCTGGCCATGCCCTCATTTTGAAAGGTATTTTCTCTAAATTTAGAATTCTAGAATTATAGCTTTTTTTTTTCTTTGTGTACTTTGAAGATGTTCTACTCTCTTGTAACTTTGTTACTAACAAGGAGTCTGTGGTCATTCTAATTCTTGTTTCTCTACATAGTGTGTATTTTTTTTCTCCAGCTACTTGTAAGGTACTCTCTTTACCACTGGTTTTGATCAATTTGATTATAACGGTGTTTGTGTAGTTTTCTTTATGTTTCTTGTGATCCTTTGAGCTTCTTGTATCTGTGGTTTACGCTTTTCACTAAATTTGGAGAAATTTTAACCTTATTTTTTCAATTTTTTTTTCTATATCTATCCCTCCTTTTCTGGGACCCTTATCACATGTATATAGATCAAGTATATTGACCCACAGGCCACTATCATTCTGTTTCATTTAAAAAAATATTTTCTCTCTGTTCTTCATTTTGCATAGTTTCTATTGCTATGGTCAAGTTTAATAAACCTTTTTTCTGTATTGTATGCTTTTTATCCCAACAAGTATATTTTTTCTGTTCAAATAGAATATTTTTCATCTCTAGAATTTCCATTCGTGTCTTTTTTATATCTTTTGTTTCTTACACTGTCATGTTCACATTTTTCTTACACCATGATCATAATGATAATATTTGTATTAGTCATTTTAAAATCCTTGACTGCTAATGCCATTTTCTGCCATTTCTGAGTTTCTTTCTATGAATTAATTGTTTTTCCTGGTTATGGGTTATATTTTCCTTCTTTACATGCCTGGTAATTTTTGACCAAATACCAGACATTACAACTTTTACATTGTTAAAGGTTGGATTTTTTTCACATTCTTTTAAAGAGTGTTAGGCTTTTTATGTCAGGCAGCTAAGTTACTTGCAGATTGGCTTAATCTCTTTGTGCTTTATTTTATTTTTTATTTTTTTTTGAGATGGAGTCTCACTCTGTCACCCAGGCTGGAGCGCAGTGGTGCAATCTCGGCTCACTGCAACTTCTGCCTCCTGGATTCAAGTGATTCTCCTGCCTCAGCCTCCTGAGTAGCTGGGATTATGGGCGTACCACCACGCCCGGCTAATTTTTGTATTTTCAGTAGAGACGGGGTTTCACCATGTTGGTCAGGCTCATCTCAAACTCATGACCTCAGGTGATCCACCTGCCTCGGCCTCCCAAAGTGTTGGGATTACAGACATGAGCCACCCCGCCCGGCCCCTTTGTGTTTTATTTTTAAACTCTTTTGGGATGGGGCTAACCTAGCCTTTACTCTGAGACAGCCCTATTTCTAAGGCCTGGCCCTCCTGGAATATCTACTAAATGCCTTGCGTATTCAGTGAGGGCTTTCTACTTTGCCTCATGAGAAACGGAACTATTGCCAAGTCTGTGTGAACTCTGGGAATTGTCAGCGTACGGTTCTCTGGTGATTGTTCTTTTTGCAGAAGTTGTTTTTGCCTGGCCTTATGAGTTATCACCTCACACATGCGCAGACTGGCATTCAGCTAAAGACTGCACAGGACTCCCGAGTAGGTTTCTGGAACTCTTTCTCTGTGTGACTCCCTCCTTGCAGCTATTCCCCCACAGAGCTGCCTTGGACTCCCTAACCTTGCATCTTTGTCTCCTCAACTCAGCAAGATTCCAGGGCTCTGTTTCCATTCCAGCATCTTACACTAAAGTCCAGAAAGTTCCTCCAGGCAGAAAGCCTTGTCAGTGGTGGGGCTCACTTCACTTATTTTCCATTTTTCAGGAAGAACAGTCCTGCACTGCTTGTAGCACAATTTCTGAAAATTCTCATTTCCTATATTTTGTCCAGTTTTCTAGTTGTTTATGACCAAAGGATAGTTCTAGATTCTCCCAGTGGAGCTTTTATATTTTTATTTTTAAAGTATATGTTAAACTAAACATTGTCAGGGTTTTGAATTCACTTTGTGATTAAGTTTTTTTGTTATGATATGAATTTGATTTCTATAAACAGGGCCTTCACTGCATTGAACAAAAATAAGGCTATTGACATCTTATGGTTAAAAACCTACAAGCATTTAGATGTAATTCAGTGGTTACCAGTATCTTCAGATACAATATATTATACTCCTTGATAGGAATAGCAGCTTCAGCATTAATATGGAAAAAGCATTTTGCCTAATATTACAGCAATAAATCCAAACCCTACAGAATAGAAAACGGGGTAGATTTTAGTCATAATTAGAAATAAATTGTGCACATATCAGAAACTGCTTAAGGAAGTTGGTATTTCTGTTCCTTTTCTATTTTTTCTGCTTCCATGTACCGATTTGCTTGCTTTAAATGACGTATACACATGGATAGTCTTCACCAAAGGATCGAGGTAGACTATGTCCCAACCATGAATAATTGCTCATGTACCCAGTGCCTAAAAATAAACCATGATGTAGTTAAAGAAATCAGGCAGTGAGACTACATAGGGATAAATGTCAAGACCGCCTTGAGTCCATAGTCATCTCTGAGCGGGAGGGTTCTGTCAGTACCTACCAATGCTTATGGGTCCTGCTTTAGAATACCTGGATTGACCTCTCCAGAGAGGTATCTTCATCTGATGTAGAGAGTCAACTTGCCACAAGCTTTTAGAGCTACAAAAGATTTTATAATGAGTGTCCTCATTTATTTATTGTAGACTTAATGAGTTTTTTGTGCCTTGGGGGCTGCTGCTACAGCTGTTGCTTTCTGTTTGGAAGGGAAAGTATGTTCCTGGTTCGCTCGCAACACAGGATGCATTTTTCATAAAAATCATTCCCAAATGAGGGCGAGGTAAGTTGCAAACAAGTCATCCTACTCCAGTCTGTGTATATTAGGAGCTAAATTGGCTTTGGGGCTACATGAGGAACTTAGTTTCTGATACAATGTGAGTTTCAAACTTTAGGGGGTCCTTGCTAATCCCATACTCATTAGAGGAGTCCCTTCAGCTATGAGGTTGCAGGATGCAGAGGGAAACCAAAGTCAGAGGCAAGCAGAAACCATCAAGGCCTGAAAACATTTGCTAATGATCTGACCACTGGGGAAATTAGTCCTTAGACAAACAATCCTTCCAGCTTAATGCTGGAGTATTTCTCAACTCATCATGTAGCTTCTCTCTTGCTGATGGTCAGATGTTGTTAACGTTCAACAATAAAGTACAAATTCATGAGAGCCAGGAATTCATAAAATCCATCAAAGTAGTGTTGGAGAATTATTGGAATCACACTCAAAGTGTTGACAAATGAGAGTTCCGCAGAGTTAACCTGATGAACAACTGAAGGAGAGAAATTTAGGAAAGGTACAGCAGGACATAACCACAGGCAGAAAATAATTTGGTCACCAAAGGATTAAGGGACACAGTGGGAAAACTAATAATTTCCTAGAATTTTTTTTCTAATTACTTTTGTTTTTTTTTTTTTGAGATGGAGTCTTGTTCTGTTGCTCAGGTTGGAGTGCAGTGGTGCGATCTCGGCTCACTACAACATCTGCCTCCTGGGTTCAAGCGATTCTCATGCCTCAGCCTCTCAAGTAGCTAGGACTACAGGCACACACTACCATGCCCAGCTATTTCTTTTGTATTTTTAGTAAAAACATGGTTTTACCATGTTGGCCAGGCTGGTCTTGAACTCCTGGCCTCAGGTGACCTGCCCTCCTTGGCCTCCTTTCTTTATGACCCTACTGCAAAAGTCAAACATAAATGTCAAGTAAACTCTGTCATTTTAGGCTATCATGCAATTTATTTAAAATATAATAATGCCCTCCTCAACAAAAGCCTTCATGCAATTTGTCTTTTCAAAAGTTAAGGCATAATTACATTTTAGCCTATATTTGGTTGAATATAATATAAATTTATCTTTTATAAGTTTTAGTTTTATTTAAGTTTTTATCAAAATGTTTCTATGCTTAGTGTGAAATTTTGGTCCCCATTTTAAGAGGATTTACTTTAATTGACATTTATTTATTTATTGACAAGTAAAAATTGTATATATGTGGTACATAACATCATGTTTTGATATTTGTATTCATTGTGAAATGGCTAAGTCAATTTATTTTAACCTATGCTTTATTTCACAAATTTACCCTGTTTTGGTGGTAAGAACACATAAAAGAAAATGACTCTCTAAGTAATTTTCAAGTATGCAATACATTGTTACTATACTTTAACTGAGCATTAACTAGTTGTGTTACTGTATCTTTTTACAAAGGAAATTTGGTATTATAGTCCTTTGCTAAATTGAGAACCAAAAGGAAATGGCCTCAGGGCACTTTCCTAGTAGGAGATTTTGGGATGAATATTTATCTGGAGGTTTCCAGGAATGCAAATTACCCACAAGAGACTAGCCACATTGATGGACACGAACTATTACCCATTGCTCTGACCCAATAGCACTTTCTGGCTTTTTTTATGGGAAGAAAAGAAGGACCCTGCAAATCCTAGAAAATGGAAGGTCTTCCTGCTCCAGCCTGTGTTCTACAGCCTCATCTCCCACTTCTCCTTACCCTCCCTGCCTCACCTTCTCCACTCTGTCTCCCTTCCCATAGACATACCACTCTCTTTCCTGGCCCAGAAGTTCTGGTAGCAACAACCATCAGCCTGGTTATTGTTGGGATATGTTGTTCAGCTTTAGATACTGACAATCAGATGTGAATTACCCATGCTACCATCTTGGGGTACAAATATAGTCACATATCTTTTATTTAATTTCTCCAGAGACATGCTGAGCTACCACTTCCCTCCTTTAGCAGGAAATTTGTATTTTTGCTCTTCTCTTCCCTATTCTCACTTCTACAATTACTTAAGCATGATAGAGACCTTTTCAGTCCAAGGAGGTCAGTCTTGTCTCCAAATGCCAGTAGGTAAAGACCTGGGAAGTCTGATTAGTCTGCTAGAGGGCCCCAGTTTATGGATACCAGGACTCATTTTTGGCCCTTTAGTGAAATCACTGTGAAAATGGTCTTGTGTGGGCCAACGTGTCTTTGTTCAATGCTTTACGAATGCTCTTTCTCATCTAGATTTGCCAGGTCTTGGCACCATTGGCAATGATTTTTTTTTTTAAGTTTATGCTCACACACCCAACCAAATGATCCCAGAGCATAACCTCTGTGTGAGAAGGGCTGTGTCTGGAGGGGTTTGCAGCCTCTGCCATACACTGTGCCAGAAGGCCATCTCTTTCCCCTCCATCTAGTTGGTGCTGGAGTTGAGACTAGACCATCAGTCCAAACTCCTCATCCCTTCTTGATAATGTCCCGGGAACCTAGGGCTCCTCTTCTACCAACAGACCTCAGTAAAGACCCCTCTAACTTATTAGATAACTTCCCAATAAAATAGAACCTTAAAAAGGAAGAGCTGCCTGGGAAGCTTTTGTAAATTTGCCTGTGTGTATTCTCAGTGAACAGATCTGCATCCCCAAGATGTTTTTGTAAAGTACAGTTTCACACACCACAGTAAGATCTAGTACTGCTTCCCCGGAGTCCTGGTGCCTGCCCACCTCACTCTTGCCTAACCAAGAACACTACAAGTAGGCCACTCAAATGACTGCTCCCTGAGCTCCTAGAAAGTTCTCCAACCTGTCAAGCTCCCCCACTCTACTAGGGGACCATTAGAGTCTCTTGCTAAAAAACGTCAGCATCATTATGCATCCTGCCACCTTTGTGTTGTTGTTGTTGTTGTTGTTGTTGTTGCTTTTGGACCCAACTCAGTACCTGGCACATAATAGGCATTTGGGGGAATACTTGGCCGGGGGTTGTGGCTCACACCTGTAATCCCAGCACTTTGGGAGGCCGAGGTGGGTGGATCATGAGGTCAGGAGATCGAGACCATCCTGGCTAACATGGTGAAACTCCGTCTCTACTAAAAAATACAAAAAAAAAGGCCGGGCGCGGTGGCTCACGCCTGTAATCCCAGCACTTTGGGAGGCCGAGGCGGGCGGATCACGAGGTCAGGAGATCGAGACCACCCCGGCTAAAATGGTGAAACCCCGTCTCTACTAAAAATACAAAAAATTAGCCGGGCGTAGTGGCGGGCGCCTGTAGTCCCAGCTACTTGGGAGGCTGAGGCAGGAGAATGGCGTGAACCCGGGAGGCGGAGCTTGCAGTGAGCCGAGATCCCGCCACTGCACTCCAGCCTGGGCGACAGAGCGAGACTCCGTCTCAAAAAAAAAAAAAAAAGAGCCAGGCGTGGTGGCGGGTACCTGTAGTCCCAGCTACTGGGGAGGCTGAGGCAGGAGACTGGCGTGAACCCGGGAGGTGGAGCTTGCAGTTAGCCTAGGTCGTACCACTGCACTCCAGCCTGGGCGACAGAACAAGACTCCATCTCAAAAAATAATAACAATAAAAAAATAAAAAAATAAAAAAAATAACAAAGACTCGATTGGATGGAGAATTCTGCCCAGGGCTCACAGAGAAATACAGGAGGTTGGGGGAGGAAGGCGTATAGAGAGGCGGTGAGAGTTGGGTGTGCCATAGGTAAATAAAAGTGTTGGGAGTGGTTAATGTTGATTTCACAGATGAATTAAAACATTTGATAACCCTGTAAATAGACTCCTGTATGTTTATGTAAATGGCACACTTAGCTTGTAGTTACAAGGTGCTAAAATAACTGCACGAAAATGAAAGACTCCATCAGTCAAATGGTTGTTTTGCCTATGTGAAAGTCAAACAAGCAATTGGATTGATTTTTTTTTCTCCTCTGAATTGACCCTTTGTTAAGTGACCTAACACCGTAGTGCAAACTGCCAAGTGAAGGCAGCAGCTGACTGTTGTACTGATTACAGCCTTCCTGGGGTTCCTGTGTGGAAAACGAAGCAAGGTAAATTTGTTAAACCATGATGTGGGCTCAATAAACATTTGTTATTGATTGGGATTGTTTAATCATTGAGGTTATCAGGTAATTATTTATTCTTCCAGGGCATTATATAATTGATTAAAGGGAGAAATCAGTAGAATAAATATGAAAAGTAGGTTCCGTTTTTATCATTTTATGATCTAACTTAAGGGTAATCTTTTATTTTTATTGTAGTAAAGAGAGGCACATTTGAATATCTGTGAATATGCACTACTTAAAGAGCCTGTGGTAGGCTGAAAAATGGCCTCCCAAAGATGTCTAATCCCAGGCACCTGTGATATGATATTAGATTGGTGCAAAAGTAATTGTGGGTTTTGCAATGAAAAGTAATGGCCAAATCCACAGTTACTTTTGCACCAACCTAATACTTTATATGGTAAAGGGATCTCTGCAGACATGATTAAATTAAGGATTTTTGAGACAAGGAGATTATCCTAGATTATCCAGGGGAACCCAAGGTAATCACAAAGTTCCTTTAAATGTGGAGGAGTGTGGTAGAAGGCCAATCAGAGAGAGATGGGAAGATGCAGCAACACTGCCAGCTCTGAAGACGGAAGAAGGGGCCATGAGCCAAGGAATGCAGGTAGCCTCCACAAGCTGGAAAAGGCAAAAACATAGATACTTCCCTAGGACCTCCAAAAGGAGGCAGCCCTGACAACACCTTGTGTGATGGTTAATACTGAGTGTCAACTTGATTGGATTGAAGGATACAAAGTATTGATCATGGGTGTGTCTGTGAGGGTGTTGCCAAAGGAGATTAACATTTGAGTCAGTGGGCTGGGAAAGGCAGACCCACCCTTAATCTGGGTGGATACAATCTAATGAGCTGCCAGCTCAGCTAGAATATAAGCAGGCAGGAAAATGTGAAATCACTGGCCTAGTCTCCCAGCCTACATCTTTCTCCCATGCTGGATGCTTCCTGCCCTTGAAGGTTGGACTCCAGGTTCTTCAGTTTTGGAACTCAGACTGGCTCTTCTTGCTCCTCAGCCTGCAGAGGGCCTACTGTGGGACCTTGCGATCATGTGATTTAATACTTAATAAACTCCCATATATATATATATATGTTCTGTCCCTCTAGAGAACCCTGACAAATACACCCTGACTGTAGGACTCGTTTTGTGCTTCTGACCTCCAGAACTGTAAGATAATGAATTTGTGCTGTTTTTGGCCACTGTGTTTGGTAATTTTCTACAGCAACAATAGGAGACTCATACAGGTGCAAAGGCAGCTCACATTTCCCTCCTGCTCAAAGCAGGAGATTATCCTGGATTATCCGGGGGTCCCAATGTAATCACAGGGTCCTTATAAGAGGGACTCGAGAGGGTCAGAGTCAGAGGAAATGTGACAACAGAGCAGGAGGTAAAGTCAGAGAGAAAGATCTGAAGGTCCCCATGTTGCTGTCTTTGAAGATGGAGGAAAAGATACAGGGAATGTTGGCGACCTCTAGAAACAGAAAAGGCAGTGGAATAATATTTTCCCTAGAAACTGCACAAGGAATACAACCTGCGGACACCTTGATTCTATGCTTTCTGACCTCCAGAACAATAAGACAATACATTTGTATTGTTCTAAGCCACTTAGTTGGTGATAATTTGTTATAGCAACAATAGAAAACAGATCTATGAATTGTTGAGCAGAGAATTCTCTAAATTTGCTTGATAAATATACTCAAATATGAATATGGTTCATTTTAACATTAAAATATTGTTGAAAAACCAACCCAAGCTTATTCCATTATAATCCTCCTACAAAAATATTATTAATATTTGTATCTTTCTTACTGTGGATGATTGGTTTTTAGCTGATGAAGAGTTCAAGTAATGTGTGGAAGTGGCAGCTCTGCTATCCTTTTGGTGTTGACTCGATGTTGCATTATTCATTGTCTTCAGTGTTTTCAAGTTGCTTGTCTATTTTGAGGTGGTTTATTTGGTTAAACTCAGGTACTATGATTCATAAATATACCTAACCAGATACAGGAAAGGCACAAAATATCAGAGTATGCTGCCAAGGAGAGCAGGGGCTCTCAAACCTTCCCTTGGGACACTGCTGGAGATAACCCTGGCCTGGGTGACAGGATGGGGACAGAGAGTGACAGGGTAGTACAGATTTGTTATCGCTGCCACACAAAAGGCATTTAAAAAAATTCTAGCCTCTCAAAATTGACCTATAGCAATCTGGAGAGAAGAACTTGCTTCTGATGTAATATTATTTTAGAGTAGTCTCTAAAGAGCTTTTCCATGTTTGAAAACTCTTATATGGGAACATTTATCAGAACCAGTCCAAGGCAGCGTCAGAATCTCCATTTCAGCATGCATGAAAAGGAAGAAATTGTGAACAGGTAAAAGCTGGCTAGGCAACTACTGTTTAAGTGCCTAGTAAGAGCATTGGAAAGTGGGGCTCCTTTCCATGGAGTGATGAAATCTAAGAAAGACGTGCGAAATTTTATAAAACCAAATCACTGATTAGTAACTTCAGGGGGATGGCCTGTGCAGAAGGGCCCTTTACCGAGTCCGAACACACAAAAAGCATGATTATCAAAGCACCTTTCAGCAAAGTGAGGACTTTGAGGAAGCTCAGAGACAGAATCTGAGATGTTGTTTGTATGAGGTTCCAGGCTTTTCCATGGGCTGCAGTCTTTGTTGCCTTCCTTTCCATGGTGTAGTTTCAATGTCCTACCCTCCAACTGAGCAATCTGTCAGGCCAACTTCCACAGCTCCCTTAGGACTCAGCTTACTTTTCCCTTCCATAGAGTCTACCCTGCAAACTTCAGCACCCAAAGAGAAGCCCCTTGTAGCTGCAAGGGCTGCACTTGCGTTTGCTCTATTATAATACATTTGCTAGACAGACTTACCCATCACCTTACCCAGATGGTGACCTGCTGAAGGGGAAGGACCGCATCTTTTCAACCTTGCAATCTCTGTGCTTAGTATAAGACATAGCTCATTATAGGCATTCACGAAATCTTGGTTGAATAAATCAATCATAAGCAGTCTTTTTATATACTTGGAGCAAAGGCTTCTCCCTGCCTCACATCACCTCCTTTCCTTCCTCCTTCTTGTTCTTTGATTGTAGTCAGTATTTACTCACTGGACATCCTGGAACTTCAGTGATCACTGGTAGAGGGAGAGGCAACAACTTCAATGGAGAGTTATTGCATAGGAACCTCTACCTTCTCTTTTCCTCCTGCCTCCCCTGCCCCAGGCAGGCAGAGAGCATCTTCACAAGACCCCTACATGCAAAGTCTCCAGCTATAGCTCTTGTTCACGTCCATCCTCTTTGGCCAAATCCAGGAGTTCCGGGGTTCTTCTGAATTCACTCTCTAAAAACACCTAAGTCCCCGTGCTAGTTTCCTAGGAATGTTGTAAGAAATTACCAAAAACTGGGTGGCTTAAAACAACATATCTTTATTCTTTCTGGCCGGAAGTCTGAAATCAAGGTGTCAGCAGGGCCATGCTCTCTCTGAAGGGTCTAGGGGAGAAAGTGTTCCCTGGCTTTCTTTTGGCTTCTGGGGTTGCAGCAATCCTTAGTGTTCCTTGGCTTACAGCTGCATCACTCCCCTGTCTGCCTCCATCTTCACATGACTTTCTCCCTATGTGTCTCTGTGCTTCTATCTCTTCTCTTTTGTAAGGACACTAGTCATATTGCATAAAAGGCCCTCCTTAGGCCAATATGACATCATCTTAATTTACATCTTAAAAATATCTGCAAAGATCCTATTTCCAAATAAGGTCACATTCATAGGTTCCAAGGGTTAAGATGCAACATACCTTTTTGGGGAACACAATTGAACCCATAACAGCCCCTTTCTCTAGGGATCTGACCTCAGCTTGCTCAGCTGGGGATGGCCTTTGAGATGTTACTTGCCCCCTGTGACTGTAATAGTCAGCCTTGAGTCAGACAAACTCAGGGAAAGGGAAGCCTGTGATAGGAATACACACCTAAAAAATAAGTCGTTAACATCCTAGGGCAGGAGCCTAGCAGAGTCTGTCCTCGTGCGTGCTGGAGCTGGAAGGAGATTACTGATTTCAGGAGGTCCTGGGGACTTCAGCAGTCACAGTTGTGGAAATGTATTCTTATGCTCTTCCCTTAACCTGATTTGGAGTACGGCTTTTTTCTTGCCTCACAGCAAAAGTGGCTTCCAATCTCTATTCATTGATTTCAGTTCTGCTCCCTGTCTCCTGTCCCCGGCTCAAGTGCAGCTTGTTCTGGACTTGGCTTTTCCAGGCCCGATTCTGCCTCACGACCCTTCAGCTTTATGGTCCACTGTGAACTGACCCATTCTCATCATGTTACTTAGTTCACATGCTGTTATGGACTGAATGTTTCCCTCCAAAATTCATATATTGAAGCCCTAACCCCCGATATGATGGCCTTTGGAAGTGGAGTCTTTAGGTTTAGATGAGGTCAGGAGGGGAAGGCCCTAAGAAGGGATTGATTAGAGCACTTATAAGAAGAGTTAGAGAGATCAAAGCATGTACTCTTGTTCTTTCTTCCTTTCTCTTTCTCTAGACCATATTGGGACATGTCAGGAAGGTGGCCATCCATCTGTAAGCCAGGAGGAGTGCCCTCATGAAGAACTGAATCTGCTGGCACTTTTATCTCAGACTTATGGCCTCTAAATGATGCAAAAACAAGTATCTGTTGTTTAAATCACCCAGCGTCTGGCATTTCATTATAGCAGCCGGGCTGACTAAGAGACATGGCTGTGGAGAGATTCAGAGTGGCTTGGGTCCTCTGTCCGAGGCAGGCTCCAGGCCAGGCCTTGTGAGGGTCAGGCCTGGGATGCTGGTTCTGCGATTTCTCCTGGTCCAGGGTTGGACATAAATGTGTGTTTGTGTCCAGGAGTGGTGCTCTAACCCCAAGGCCCCCATCTGCAATGGTGGCATTTGAAACTTGACTGCTGGCCACTGAGACTTCTTGAGGCTTCTCCAAACAGAGCAAAGAGGCTGTCCTTGGTTCTTCTAGGATGAAGGACTCACCAGGTTGGGAACAGGAAACCTAGAGAAATTCTCAACATCCTTACAGGCAACTCTTGCAATTGTATATGGCACTGCTTGCTGGTTGAGAGAGGCTTGTAGTGTTTGTTCTCAGGACACTCACTGCGGCACTGTCCCCACATATGAAAACCAGGAGAGTGGGGATTTAAGCTTGTTTGTTTGCTTTTAAGCTGCAGAAGCATGCATTTTTCATAATGAGTAGAGGCCACCAACATATGGCTCATGGATCTCCTTTGCTGAACCTATTCCAACTCAGAGCTGTAAGAGCCCTCATCAAGTGTAAAGAAACCCGTCTCCTCATGTAACTGAAATTTTAAGTACCACTCAGGTCTGGTTTCAACTCTGGCAATAAAATAAAAATCTTTCTCACCTTTTCACAGATTGGGTCTCCCTGGTATATTTCAAATTAGCGCAGTTAGCTGAGCCCTCTAATGTTTCTGGATATGAAATGGATAGGGGTAATTCAGCCTCAGCAGCTCAACAGCATCCCACTTGCTGTCACTGGATCACAGCTATGGAAGTGTTTCGCTTTCCCCGGCTGCACGAGAAAGCTTGATGACGACCGGATGTGGAAATATAAGTCCCACCTATTTGAGAGGTAAAACTGATGAAGACATAACATACAAGTCTGTATGTCTTCAGAAGTCATTAATAGGAAAGAACTTGTTTACTCAAATCTTCTAATCTGCCCATTTTAAAGAAAGTTGTGGGCAGCACAGTTGACATGTCTTCCAGGTTCCAAAACCAACAGAACTGAGAGTTTCAGGTTACCAGAAAGAAGTCAAACATCTAGCATTTAATGAAACTGTACGTGGACTCAGAAAATGGTAAAGGGTAAAAGGACAAAAACAAGACCTCACGGTAATGACGTCACCTCCTAGGGTGACTCTGCTGGGCTTTCCGAGGGACACACAAAAAATAGTAAAGTAATAGTGCAGTCCAGTTGGGGAGATAAGATGTAACTCAGGGGAAAACCAAACGCCAGTAAAGTGTTTGAGTGACATTTTAATAGAGAGCAATGGAAGAGCTATTTCATGGGGATCCTGGGCTAATTGCCAAGGCCATCCCATCAGCAGTAATTGCTCTGCATTGGAAGGGGATAGCCGTTACTTCAGGCTGCGAGGGTCAGAGATGTAGGGCTTGACCAAGGGGTTGAGTCGGAGGTTGACGCAGGCAGGGGAGGGGTCTTTCCCGGCAGGTTAAATGGCGTGGGCAGAGGGCACAGAGGGGAAATTAATGTGTTCAGGAGAAGGAGAAATTATGTGGTAATGTTCAGAAAAGCTCAGGCACTTGGACTTCATATTTTACAAATACTCTGAGAGAAACAGGAGAAAAAAATCAATTCTAAAAGTCTGAATTGTGTAATAACTGCTGACAGTTTTGGCTTTTTTACTGCAGATGTGTTTAAATGCATGTTTTATTATAAAATTTAAAATAAAATATTGTGTATATATGCTGAAATAAAACTATTAAAAACAACAGAATTTCAAAGGCCAATTCTTGTACCATTTCTCTAATAGGTCTTTTTGTATCAGGTCTTTAAAAAAAATCATAGAAGGAAATTTTGCCTTGTCCAAAGTGGTTTGAAATATCTCACATGGGAAGGTTTCTCAATGAGAAAACAATTATGTAATTACACTCATGTTTATCTCATTTCTGTATACTTTGACTTACTAGAATTAAAGCTTCTTGCTGAAGGAACTTCCCAGAAACTTCCCCAATCCTAAAACAGAACTTTGGAATGGTACCTTCAGTTGGGAAAGCTGATGGCTTTAGACGTAGGGCTTTGTGTTGGCTTGTGAAGTGTCAGTGGGAGGGGAGCTTGACTGCACTTTAGTCACCCATGTATAACTGGCTTCTAGTAGACAGACCTCCTACCGGCTCACAATCTATGGAACCTGCTTGTCACCCATACCCTAAATCACTGTTCTTCCCCCAGGTGACTTAGTAAGTGGTTCACACACAGCTTGCCAGCACATGAAGGGAGGAGTACAAATGGCCCCTCTGGGCAGCTGCGACTGCCCTCTCGGTGTCCCCCGGCACTTCTGACCATGCTGGAGTGGCACAGAGATGACTCAGTGATGCTCAGCTATACTCAGAAAGCATTTAGGCAATTTTCCCGAAAGCTGAGCCTGGTCAGCTTCAGAAATCTGCCCTGGCCCTGCCCTTTTAGGAGGGCACAGATCACTCATTTTTACAAAGCCCATTGAGATGTAAGCCCACACCCAGAAGTTCATATTTGACTGATGAATATACCCCATTGTGGCTTTGTATATGTCTTTGCTGCCAGTGGGTATTCTGTAAAAGGCCTGTTTGTATAAGCTGGTGGAAAGGGTTTAAGTATGACAGAGTTGCTGCGTTCTGGGGAAGCGAGGATGGAAAAGCAAGGTTTTCTAGGGCTCAACCAGAAGAGCCTGGAGACTTGACAATCAGGTGTTTGTGGAGAAGATAGGAAGAGGTGAGCAGGCGTAGCAAGAGACAGACAATGGGGGAGGGAGGGCTGATAGCTGGAAATGCGAGTTCATGGAGTCCTCTCATTGGAGATGGGGGTGAAAAGGGAGGGGAGGAGGACAGGAGTCAGGCGGAGAGACCCACTCAGGTGCTTCTATGGAGCTGGGGTCATTCACGTGCACGTGCCTTTCTGGAGTCTCCCCTTCCTCTCCCATAGGACCCCAGTAGTGCCCTGTGCTTCAGTGTGTGAACCGTGGCTTTTATTTTCTCTATTCTGATGCTTTGACATCCGGAGCCTTGTGTCCCCTGGAGGGACTGCCCCTTTCAGGGTTAGCCAATTCGTAGGGATAGTAAACAACCCGCCCAAGGGCACAATTTTCAAATACAAACCAACCAACCTAGAGTCCACACCCCAACCACCTTCTTTGCTGGGCTCTCATACTCTGAGTCATTACCCATCTGCCCTAATCCCCCCTGGCCCAGGTGCTAGACAACTAGGGACAGACCCTCTTCCCAGAGCCCACTGAAATAATTCAAGCCATCCGATGCTAAGTAGCTTACCCCGTCTTTCCTGTTCCTTCCCACAGAAACCACAGCCGAGGCTCTTGCCTGTAGTTTCTCTGCTCCCTCTGCCTCCTGATGGTCCCTGGTTCATCCCCATGTGGCCCTCATGGTGCTGTGCCCTCCTCCCCTTGGGAACTGTGAGTAACAAACTATCTTTTTAATGGCGATTGTCTCTCGATCTGTTGGTCTCACCATACCTAAATAGTAACAAAGTCTGTTAAAACGTTCAGTTCCAAAAAAATCTCATGAGCCAGTGCTCTGCCCCAGTCATGTCCCCATAGTCCTAGGTCACCCCTCTGACTGTTCTCCTCTCTCTCTTAGTATTAGAGACATTGTCTGGGTGATAAGTAAGTCATTAAACAAAATAAAAGTAAGAACTTAGTTACCAGGTCACAAAAGAGCCCAATACTGTCTTAAAATTATGTATTTAAGGCTACAGTGAAAGCTGAATAATTGATTTTCTTAGATGTCCAATATTTGGCTTGCGAGCAGAAAGGAGGTGACATTAACAAGGAGATTGGAGATCCATTGACTTGGAGAGATCCCGGCCATAAATGGGCTGGGCTTGGGTGGCCATCCTGAGAGATGCAAGGACAAGAAAAGTCTAACATTTATTGAATGATTACTATATGCCAGGACTGTTCCAAGGACTTCACAATGTATTTAATCCTCCGACAAAACTTTGAGGAAAATACTCTTATTCCCATTTTAAATACAGGAATGGGGCCAGGCACGGTGGCTCATGCCTGTAATCCCAGCACTTTGGGAGGCTGAGGCAGGCAGATCACGAGGTCAGGAGTTCGAGACCAGCCTGACCAACATGGTGAAACCCCATTTCTACTAAAAATATAAAACTTAGCTGGGCGTGGTGGTGTGTGCCTGTAATCCCAGCGACTCAGGAGGTTGAGGCAGAAGAATCACTTGAACTCGGGAGACAGAGGTTGCAGTGAGCTGAGATTGTACCACTGCACTCTAGCCTGGGTGACAGAGCGAGACTTGGTCTCAAAATATATATATATGTGTGTGTGTGTGTGTATATATACATATATAAATATATATGTATATATATAAAAATATATGTATATATTATATATATATTTATAAAAAATATATATGTATATATTATATATATATTTATATATATTTTATATATACATATATATTTATATTTATATATATTTTATATATACATATATATTTATATGTATATATATTTTTATATATATACATTATATATATATGGAGACTGAGGCATAGAGATGTTGAGTAACTTGCCTAAGTTCACATAGTTAGCTAAGTGGCAGAGATAATCTCGAAATCCAGGCAGTGTGGCTTCAGGGCCTATGCTCAACCACTACCCCATCTAGTACAGTAGAAATAGCCAGACAGACTCATACAGACACTTTGGTTCTACCAATTTTTAGTTGTGTGAATATGGGTTAGTAATTTGACCATCTATGATATACGGGTCCAACTATAATATGAAGGTGATAATATTTATCCATTTTCTCCATATATAAGTATGATAATACTTATCCAATAGGATTATTTTGAGGAGTAAGTAAGATAATCATGAAAACTGAGCACCATGTCTGGTGCATAAATGAGTGGTAGATAAATACCAGTGTCCCTTTTTATTCCTAAGCAAGACATAGCTGGCCATTGCATTGTTACTGTACACTGGTGATCCCATGGCTGCCCATACCTGGATTATTCTACATGGGCCCAGTTAAAAAACTGGAAAATGTGTTACTAAGGTGGGTTGCAGGCAGGCAAGGCTGACATTCAGCCAGTATGCCCTGTATGCTCCTGTCAGTTGTTAAAATATGGAAATAGGTCCACATGGGTTGGTAATTTGATGTTGTCCTCAGCCTTTTCCAGGGGTCCCTGTCACTGCAATCACCCAGTTTTCTCTGCAGGGACACCTGGCCCAGGCCAGGCCTCCAGGATGCTGCGTGCAGAGCCCTGGCCGGTGCCCATCCTGGTCCCTCGGCGCCTGTGCTGTCCTGGTTGTTAAATGCTCAGATAACCACTGTAGGCAACAGCAGCAGAAGAGCTGCACTGCAGCCCTCAGGACTTGCTGAAGACCCCAGATCCTTGGGTGTAGGCCAGCAAAAGCAGGAAGCATAAGCCGGGCATTCTGCCATCCTTTTACGTGCTTAGTGATCAAAGAGAGAAAGCAAGCAAGCAAGGTTTTCCTCCTTCCTTTCTTCCCCCTCCTCATCCTCACCTTCGAAAAGTTACCTCTTCAGAGGCAGGTTAACATTTCTAGGCCGTTAGCAAAAATGAAAATGTCTATGTTTATGAAATCAATGTTCCCAAGTGGATCTATGCCACATTAATTTGACCTGAGAGATAAAAATCACCTCTTGGGCTCAAGTCAAATTGCATGTGGGCTCTGAACCATAATGACTTGCAATTACAAGGGCCACTTCTTGAAAACACCCTACCACAAATTCCATCTGCACTGGGACCACCCAGCCTCATTCCCATTTACTATCAGTCTGGATACAATTGGCTTTGATTGTATCTTTTGAAAACGTAACTGCAGTTTCCTGTGAGCTGAGCCATGAAGCCAGGAGGCATCTTAACAATCACATTTGAGCTGTCACAGTGGAGCACAGTTAGGTTACTTTGGAGTCTGAGCCAAGACTTTATCCACTTTGCTACAGGCATTTGGGAGAAGGCTTCTGAGATTTGGCAAACTAAGCTAAAGATTGTTTATGAACCATATTTATCACACCACTTTCAGAGAGAAACACCTGAATCATATTTCCTTTTATATGTAAAAACTGGACAGCTAGCCAAGTAATTCTTCATGCATAATCTTGGGCTGCTTTCTCAAAAATCCTGTAATGTATCCCACTTTACAGATGAAGAAAATGACATTTAGAGACATTGATTTCCTTGCTCAGTGGTGGAATGTAAATAAAATCTTTCTATGTAATATTTTGCCCTTAATCAAATTGCTTGGAACTGAGGAACAAAGATCAGTCAATAATATTTCCTAGGAAGTAAAAATCCTTTAAATTTATTTTGACTTTGTTTTCAACGAGAAGGTTGATTAACTCATATCCGCCTTCTTAACACATTGAAAATCTAAGAAAGGAGGATGATAAGTTTGTATGTGAAGGCTTGTCATTTTCATATATTGCAAGAACTAGGAAGGGCCTTAGCGATTAGCTAGTCCAGTTTTTCCCAAAGTATATGTCTTAAGGTGTTGGTAGATGTTATGCATTAAGAGAATTCCATGATCAGATAAAGTTCAGAACAGTCACTTATACAGTTAAACGGGTGTGTTTACCGTAGGGCTATCCGGAGATCAGGAGTTTCTTTCTCTCTCTCTCTCTTTCTCTCTTTCTGTCTTTCTTTCTTTCTTTTTTTTTTTTGACAGAGTTTTGCTCTGTTGCCCAGGCTGGAGTGAAGCGGTAAGATCTCAGCTCACTGCAACCTCTGCCCCCTGGGTTCAAGTGATTCTCCTGCCTCAGCCTCCTGAGTAGCTGGGATTATAGGTGCCCACCACCACACCTGGCTAATTTTTGTATTTTTAGTAGTGACGGGGTTTCGCCATGTTGTCCGGGCTGGTCCCGAACTCCTGACCTCAGGTGATCCACCTGTCTCGGCCTCCCAAAGTGCTGGAATTACAGGCGTGAGCCACCATGCTTTGTTTAACAGACCGACATGTTTGGGACTAGGAATATGCTGCTAAATGCTTGACCACCAGTTCTTTGGAGAAAAAGCCCTGCTTTTGCAGTAGCTGCTGATTTCTGTGGTGTAAATATTCCCACTACAGCCAATATCCAGCTACCAACATATCAATGATTGTGAAGTTGGGGAGAGATACATAGCAGCACACATTACCCAACACTTCCACAAGACAGTGCAATAGACATAAACAAGAGCACACCTAACAGTAAAAGGTGGTAAATTAATTAGGAAGTATTGTGTTCTGTAATCATTGCCTTTTTAATGGAGTTTATTTAATTGGAAGTTTATGCAGTTTAATTTTTAATAATGACCATGTTTAACAACTGGCTCACAAACTTCCTAGACATTTAACAATTGACTTTTGCAAGCTGGAACAAGCTAGCTCCAGCACACCACTGCTTATGGTCCCCAAAAGGATTTGGGTGGATGGGAATAGATCATGTGGTGCTCCACAAAATTATTTGACCCAAGACCCTTCCTTCAGGTAGTATTTTATAGGATTTGTGTTCTGCAGAGAACACTTCAGTAAGCGCTGAGCTAGTCAAACTTTGTCAATTTTTTTCCCCCTAATTTTTCTTCATTTTCAAAGCTCCCATGGTTTCCCGACTACTCACTGGGAGCTTAACATACCGCACTTCCATGAAATTCAATTCAATAAATATTTATTGGGCTCCTGTTATGAACAAAACATTATGCGAGTACTCCAGAAAATTCTAGATGACTAAGACTTAGTTCCTGTCCTTGGGGGGTAAACTGTAGGACACAGACACAAAGAACCACAGAGGGAAGCAACATATGCTGAGTGCCCCTAGAGCGGTACAAGCCATAACTTTGAGAGGTTGAAGAAAACGAAATCACATCCAGCTGGAGATGTTACGATGGGAGACGCTCAAGTCCACAGGGGGCCTGAGATTTAGCTGTGGCTCTTGCCTGGGACTGGAAGAGGCAAAGGTAGACAGAGGAGCCGGCGTGTGGTTCTCTTGTTCAAAGAGTGTGTACTCACTCATTTACCACTTCATTCAGCAGGCAAGGATTGGGAGGTTCTGGGGCGAGGCCAGTAAAGCCTGTCTTTTTAAAACTTTGCATGTTTTCATTACCAGCTACGTCGAGCATCTGTTCACATACTAGTTAGCTATTTGGGTTTTCTCTTCTGATGAATTGCTTGTTTGTATCTTTTGCCCATGTTTGACAGGCTTTCCTTTTTCCTCCCTTGTCAGTTTGCAGGGGTTTCTTGTATATTCTTTTGTGTAAGTTATAGATATTTAAAATGTTTTCCCCCAGTCTATCACCCACGTGTTTAATTTGTCTCTGTTGTCTTCTGGCGGCAATGTAGTGTAGTGGTTAAACCCGAGGGCTCTCTCTTCAGCTCCTAAATTACTGATGTGGCCTTGGACAAGCTATTTAACTGACTTGTGCCTGACTCCTCACCTCTAAGATACAGTAATGACAGCTTCTACTTCTTATGGGCGTTAGGAAGATTAGTTTAATCAATACACATTAACAACTTTGCTTGGTAAATATTAAGCTTTATTTGTTGACCCCAAATCTTTAATTTTGATTTCGTTAATCTGTCAGTTTTTACTTTTCTGGTTTATGTTTTTGGGGGATTTTCCCCAAAATCCCCCAACATTTTCTTCTATTAATTTTATATTTTTATTTTTGCATTTATTTATTTATTTATTTTGTCTTGAGACAAGGTCTCGCTCTGTCACTCAGGCTAGAGTGCAGTGGTGTGATCCTGGTTCACTGCAGCCTCAACCTCTGGGCTCAAGCAATCCTCCCACCTCAGCCTCCTGAGTAGCTGGGATTACAAGGCACATGCCACCACGCTCAAATAATTTTTAAATTTTATGTAGAGATAGGGTCTTACTATGTTGCTCAGGTTGGTCTCAAACTCCGGGGCATAAGTGATCTTCCTGCCTCAGCCTCCCAAAATGCTGGGATTATAGGCATGAGCCACTGTGCTCAGACCATTTATCCTTTAATGGTGTGAGGTAGGCCTCTAAATTTATTATTTTTCATGTAATAAGCCAATGCCTTTTCTAAATAATCCATCTTTTTGCAAGCAATATATCTTATGATTTCTTTTACTTTTAAATTCTATTTTCTCCAATATTAGTATTAGATTAAATATATTACATGTTAATATTAAAACTGCTGTCTCATCTTTCTTTGATCCATATTTGATTAGTTTATTATTTTTCCATCACTTCAACTTTTCTATATTTTTAAAAAACATGTGTCTTGGAAGTAATATTAATAAGTAATATTAATTACAAATAAGCTATTACCAATATTAATAATCAATAATAAATGCTAAAAGTTTCTGCCTTTTGATCTGTTTTAACTCTTTGACATTTTAATAATTAAATTATGTATAACATGATATATAATGGTATATAATAATCATCATATTAGAATATATAATAAATATTTCTGCCATCTGATTTCATGTTTTCCATTTACCATGGCTTCTTTTAGCTTATTCTTCTTTCCTATTTTCCACTGGCCATATCAAATTTAAAAGTTTGATAATATCCAGGGATGGGGAAGGTGCCTGGAAACAGCCGCTGTTGGTGGGGCATAAAATGGTGCAAACATTTTGGAGGTAATTTGACAAATATCTATTAGAATTTAAAATGCACACGCTCTTTGATCCATCATTTCTACCTCCAGGAATGCATCCAATGGATAAGGACTTTTATTGTAACGTTTTTTGTTGTAGTAAAAATCCATACTCTTTTCAACCTTCTGTACTATTTGAATTTCTTACTGTGAACATGTATCACTTTTATCATTAAAAACATACTATATAAAAATTATACATATAATTTATATAGTGCCTTTGTATATATATTTATAATTTTTATATAGTACATATATAGGTGTTTATATATACTTGGAAAGGAGAGAAATGTAAAGATCTCACAAAGCCAAACAAAGAATTTCTTTGTGAAAAATCTGGGAACCTCTAACCTAATGTATCACTTTAATCATTTTCTAAATAATATTGTATCTCAACGAAATAAAAATGGGGTTTTCTCTACTCTTATATCATCTTTCATCTGATTTTCCAAAAATTCAATGTATAGTTTTTCTCATTTATTTCTACAGGTGGATTATCTAAGCTAGGAAGAAGTTAAAATAGCTTGACTAACTCCCCACAGTGAGTTAATGCAGCTGTAGGCAGAGTTCTGGGCTCTGATTGGCCACCATTACCTCTGGGAGGTGCACTCATCTAAGAGAAACATCACTGAGGTAACAGTGACTTTCATTTGTCAGTCATTGTTCAGTGTTTTGCATATCTGTATCAGGAGGAATAAACTCTATCAGGAATTTATCAATAAATTTCATTTATTTTTAATTTAATAGACTGTTTCAGTCCATTTTTGTGTGGCTACAACAAAGTACCCGAGACTGGATAATTGATAAAAGAACAGAAGTTTATTTCTCATGGTTCTGGAGGCTGAGAGTCCAAGATCAAGAAGCCAGTAGAAGTGGTGTCTGTTGAGGGCTGCTCTCTGCTTTCAAGATGGCGCCTTGTTGCTGCATCCTCCCCAGAGGAGGAAAGCAATGTCCTTACATGGAGGAAGAGATAGGAAGGCAAGAGGGTGCTCCCTTCATCCCTGAGCCCTTTTATAAGGTGCTAATGCCATAGATGACTTAATCACCTCCCAAAGAACACACCTCTTAATATCACCACAATGGGTTTTAAGTTTGAACATGGATTTTGGTGAGGAAACGAAGATTCAAACCATAGTGTGGACCTTTCAAACTGGCCAGTCATCTACATGGCTTGGTGATCAATGAAATTTGACAATTTTACTGGCTTTCTATTAGAAAGAATTGCTTAATATTCCATGAAATTTTAATTTTGCATTGCATTCTTGAAACAGCCCTAGAAGCTTCAGAATGAAAGCAATGGGAAGCATGGGTTTGGCATAGACAGACTTGTTGAAGCCATGTTCCTGAGGTCTGGAAGCAAGGATTTGGTGATGGAATTCACAGAGTCAAGAGGGCTTCAGAACAGGGAGACTAGGCAGCCCCTACTTCCAGCTTTGATTTATGTTCTGTTCAAACGAAACATCTTGCTTCCTGAATGACACTTTGGCTTAATTTCACCAGAGTAGCAATTCTTAATCCAAAGCAGTCAAGAAGAATTTGCTCAGTGGTCAAACAGCATTTTTCTGCTTGGAAACCATGAAGGTCCACTGTTGCACAATATTCTTGAGCAAACAAGGTAAAGGTGTCTATAGGAAAGAGGAAAACCAGTAAATGTACCAGACCAGGCTGGGGTCAGCACAATTCATTCACCTTACAACTGCCATTCCAGTCTAGTCCCAAGGTGGCAGATTTAATTTTGGTTAATTCTCAACTTTTGAAGAATATATTATTCACTACTTCCTCTATGCCTCCAAAGCACTTAGTCCATATTTTCGTTAATGTATTAGCCGCATTCTGTCATTGTTAATACTTTATTCACCTATTTCCACAAATAGACTTTAAGCCCTTGAGGGTAGAGACTGTGTCTTCATCTTCACATTTTTCAAAGTCAAATGGAATGCCTGGCACATATTAGGTACTATATATTGTCTAAAGAATAAAAGTATAAACCAATGACTGAAGTCTACTTATATTCTGATCATGTAGTTACGAGATACTTTGAAGGAATAAATATAACATGCACCAATGCAAAGATTCAAAACAGGTGTGTGATATAATATTAGAAGACAAGATACAGCAAGGGGCTCTTTTTTGGCTCAAAAAGAAAAATCTAATTTAAATCAAATCTAAATCGTTATCTCTAGATTTGGACAAGTTACAGCAACTTTCATTCCGATTATTCATTACCTAAACTCCTGGCCACTTGGGTGACTGGAATGTCAAAGGCATACAAGTTTGCATTATTTAAAAATATTTTCTTAAAGCTCTTTGCTCTTTGGGATATTAGTAAGGTCACAGAAAAAGCCAGTGTCACAGGTCAATTCAAATCCTCTATTTTCATTCACAAAATTTTCCTTTATAAGAGGAAATCATTTGAATTATTACCCACCTTGAATCATTAACCCTAATAATTTGTTTACTAAATGTAAATTTTTTTTTTTTTGAGTCTGGATCTCGCTTTGTCGGCCAGGCCGGAGTATAGTGGCGCCATCACAACTCACTGCACCCTCAACTTGCTGGGCTGAAGCAATCCTCCCACCTCAGCCCACAAGTAGCTGGGATTTCAGGTGTGCACCATCACACCTGGCCACTATTTTAATTTTTCATAGAGACAGGGTCTCACTATGCTGCCTAGGTTTGTTTTGAACTTCTGAGCTCAAGTGATCCTCCCACCCTAGCCTCCCAAAGTGCTGGGATTACAACCATGAGCCACCAGACCCAGCCTGAATGTACATTTCTTATTTCAAATTAATTTAATGAACAAAATAATGCCAGTTATAATATATCCCTAAATTTCAGTTACTCCCACTACTCATTTATATAATGGCAACTTAGGAGGAGAATTTATATACTAATAGTATATTCACAGGCCTCTGTGTTGAAAGGAACTTGTATTTCAAGTGAGGGGTAAAACATCTTTTATCAAGCCAGTAGGGAGGAATTAATTTGAATTAATGGGATTTTAGGAATGGATCTTTAGACAATTGGGTATAATTGGTTAATAATTTTTAGAGTTGGAAATAATTAGATCATAACTTCTAACAGAGAAAACCTCCGGACTAGATGAGTAGTGTTCTTTACTCTGAGATTCAGTATCAACATTTGCACCGCTTACTCATCAAGGAGATTTGAGGATGGGGGCAAGCACAGAAGACAGTAAGAGACACCTGCCACACAGCATCTCAAAAGGTCAACGTTAGGACTCAGGAGAAACAGATGAAATCAAGATCGTGATCAATAAGATCAGGTACTTTGGTTTCTTAGAGGTAATGATGGCATTTATGAGAAAGGACTGATATGGACCTAAAGGAGAGAAGAGTGGGGCCTGGGAAATGATGCAGAGAAAAGGATACCTGGTTCTAGGGATCAGCGGACTGTCCCTCACCCCCAAATTTAGGGGTGGTTTGAAAAATAAGAGAAGCACTTTGAGTGGTAGTCCTTGAATTCCCAGGAGGGACCAAGGGCTCCACCCAACATGACAGGAAGCTTTGTGATATAACTGGCACTTTGACATTCCTGCTGCGAGGCAATTCTGTTTTGTTAAGATGCTGGTCATTTTCTAAATGGGAACATCAAGCCACCTGTCTTTCTAGATTTTGCCTGCCAAACAACTGCCATCTCATGAGCAAGAATATTTCTCCTAGACAGAGACTATACTAAGCTTAGGGCCCTCCAGGTATCTAGATGGGTGGAAGGGGAGGGATGAGCTTCTGGAACTGTTCCTAGCTAGTGAGACAGAGCAGGGGCCCCTCTTGGGGACCTGCAGCCACCTCACCACCCAACAAGAATGGAATTAAAAGAAAATCTTGAGTTCCTTCAAGGGAAGTTGCAGGCACTTAGCTAGCCCTGAGAAGTAAATGAGAAACTTGATAAGCAAGAAGGTAATAGTAGCTTAAACCGTATCCAAGGACGTTAGAATCACGAAATGTTTGGCTCCTCTACAGAAACTAAAGATAACATCTTAGCCTATGTCCCTTAGTTGTTTTTCAGAATCCTAGAACCCCCCACCCCCACCCAAATGGATCTCCTCCAGATAAGGGGGAACCAAAGACTGAACTCTTTGTTCTAAGTTTCTTCTTGAGGGGCCTGGAGGAGGTCACATCCCTGGCCCAGAACATTCTACTAATCCCATATTTTTAGATGACGCTTTGCCTTCTTAACTAATTGCAAATCAGAAAATCTTTGAATCCACTTATGATCTTGCTTGGGCTCATGCTTGGAGATATCCCACCTTTTGAGGTCCAGCCAATGTATAGCATCCATGTATTGATTTATGACTTTGCCTGCAACCTCTGCCCCCTGTCTTAAAAAGCCTTTACCCCTAAGCCATCTGGAGGTTTGACTCTTAAGCAATAGCTGCCAATTGTCCTTGCTTAGCACCCTGCGAATAAACGCCTTCCTTTCTCCTGCTGCAAACCTCAGTGTGGATATCTCATCTTACTGCGCCGGGCAGGTGGAGTCCAGTTTGGTTTGATAACATTAGGGGCTGGAAGAGTATGCATTCCTGTTATAGTCACAGTAAGACCCTAATGCTTGAGGTGACTTGGATGAGTTCCTTGAGCTGAAGGAGTTGAACGAGAGTGTGCGTCTTTGCATGGCACCATTCCTGATGTCCAAATTATATTTGTCGATGGAAGCCGAATTAAGTTTAACTGACTTCCTGCCTTTTCCTCAAGGATGAAATCTGTGAGAGAATTGTTGCTGCTGCTACTGATGGTGATCAAGATATTTAAATTGAACCGCATTTTAAGGTTTTAGTCCTTTATTTCATAACAAACACTGTGACGTAAATAGGTAGCTACAATTGCACATTCCAGCTAAGGTAGCCTCCCAAATTCCCAGAGGTTATCTAGGCATGCAAATTAAATTTAGCTGAATGCAAATGCACTTCCCTGCTTTGTTTCAATGTCCTGCAAATGAGAAAAAAAAAAAAAAAAAAAAAAAAAGAGAGAGAGAAAGACAAAGAAAAGGCCTTTAAAACATTTTCCTTCTTTCTCACTTTTCCATATCTTTCTGACTGGGGTAGTTCAAATTAGCATAACTCTAAGATACTATTTTAGATCACTTCTTCAAGTCAGTGCTCTTAAGACTGATATTGTCAAAGGGCAAAGGCTAAACCTGATATATATGTGCTGCTGCAGCCCCTGTAACAGAGCCTGGAACTCACTTAATTTTTTTTTTTTTAAGTGTGCCTGATCTTACGGATCCAAATGCCCAGTTCAGAGTTGTTAGATTGGAAGACTGTACACTTATTCCAATGATTCTACCATTAATCTAATCCCTTTTGGAATTATCTTATTGGAATTCCTATCCTAGACCAAGGCATGTGGTTTGAAAGATTTATTGGTGGCAAACTTTGGTTTTGCGAGAGAATCTGCTATTTAGAAAATGCAAAAGGCATCTGGTGCCCAGTCTGGTAAATAAGTTGAGTAATCTAACTTTTTAATCTGATTCATATGTGATTAGAAATGAACGAGACTAATTTTCTGATGTATTTCTCCATAAACTATATCTGAAAGCGATTCCAAAACAGAAATTTCACAGATGTTTCGAAGAATGGTGGTACCACTGGAATATGTTGTGTATCTAGGTGGGCATCCACCTTAAATGGAATTGCATTCCTATTATGCATATCGTTAAAAAATCTTACAAAGTTTTGAGACTAAAAAACAAAATTCCAAGCGGTCCTTATTCCATATTCATGGGCACTGCCTGGAATGGGCCTGATTGTTGTGATGAGTTTGAGTTTGTGGCCATTTTTGCTGGTCCTTATTCCATATTCATGGGCACTGCCTGGAATGGGCCTGATTGTTGTGATGAGTTTGAGTTTGTGGCCATTCTTGCTGGTCCTTCAAGGTAGCAGAAAGGATGGTGCTGGTATCTTAGCTGCTTGAGCCAATTATGTTTTTACTGGAATTGGAGTAACAAGCTTCTGTGCTGCCTATTAACTTCCTACATGCTGAGATGAGAATAGCTTGAAGCTGTGGAAAAATGCTGATATACTTAAAATAAAGAACCAAAATAGCCATATAAAGAAACCTCAGGGAATTTTAACCAAGAAATTACTGCCAAATAAATCTGCAGCCAGTCAAAATGCTGAATATTTTATTTTGAAAAGGAACTATATTTTTAGTCTCTGCCATGCTTGTCAACACTCCACTGTAATAATAAACTAAACCATTCATTAAAAAAAAAAAAGATGGAAGTGACCTTTTTCACAAACCCAATTAGCCACACCATGCATTAGTGGAGACAGAAATGCACAAGTGACTGTTGGCGATCATAAACACGAGGTCGGGGCATTTGTAGTTCATAACAAGGAATAAGAAGCATCTACTGTCCGATCGGAGTTCCACCAAAACTGTTGGCTTCTGTGGGCCCTTCCCACAACAACAAAAGATGAGCTGAAAAATAAAAGTCAACTCTGGTCATCATGGTAGTTCAGTAATCTTTTCTTCTCTCTTTTCTTCTTGAATGTTCATTTTATTGCATTCACTGTTGTGAGGTGAAAGGCTGAAGAAACTAATTATAAAAACAATATGCATCCATCTTAGATAATTTGGAAAATAAGCCAATAATAAAAAAGAAAATAAAAGTTACCCATCCCTCACCATTCAGAAATAATCGCAGTTAACATTTTGATATATTGCCTTCTTATCTTCTTTAAATGCATTATAGGTAAATAATTTAAAATACAATTAGGAGGATGCATATGATTTTGTTTTTTTCCCTTAGCATATTATACACATTTTCCTATGTGAGTAAATACTCTTCAAAAAGATAATTTTTAAAGGGTGCACAATAGCCAACCCCATGCATAGAACATAAATTCATCATTGGAATTCCTATTAATAGATATGCAACTTCTTTTCATTTATATTAATACATGTCTATAATGAATATCTCTTTATAATGTTTTATGTACTTGTATTAGTCTGTTTTCACACTGCTGATAAAGACATACCCGAGACTGGGTAATTTATAAAAGAAAGAGGTTTAATGGACTCACATTTCCACAAGGCTGGGGAGGCCTCACGATCACGGCCGAAGACGAAGGAAGAGCAAAGGGATGTCTTACATGGGAGAAGACAAGAGAGCATGTGCAGGGAAACTCCCCTTTATAGACCCATCAGATCTTGTGAGACTTATTTACTATCAGGAGAACAGCACAAGAAAGACCCACTCTCATGATTCAATTACGTCCCATGGGGTCCCACCCATGACACATGGGAATTATGAGAGCTACAATTAGAGATTTGGGTGGGGACATAGCCAAACCATATCAATACTGTTATGATTGTTTCCTTAGTATGCATTCTGAGAAGTGGAATTCCTAAGTCAAAGGATTCTGTGCATGTTTTAGCTAGTAAGTTTCTTGTTAAAAATAAATGATGCTTCTACTAATACATTGAAAATTATTATAATAATTACCCCCCTCCATCTACTTTTCTTTCAAAGATAAGCATTATCCCTTGAACCTCAGTATTATCAGTCCCATCTCTACTGGGTGCTGCCATATAAAACCAAACATGATATATAGGTTCACTGACATGGATAATTTGTCTCTCACCTCACTGTCTGCCAGAAGGAATATGGTGGAATTTGCTAAGGGATTCAAATGTATATCCAAGAAATGTGACAAATACTTTTGGGGTGCCTGAAAAGGTCAACCTCCATCCTTAGACAGGTGTCTGCATAAGCTTTCCTGAACAATGGGGCTGGGCATTTTATTTTTATAACAGGTAGATCAGGGATATCTGACTCTACCCAAAGCACTCAGATAGAAATCACAAAAGTTTGACTTAAGAGGCTACGAGACTGTATTCCATGAAGGTGACTTCTTCTAGAAGACTAAGCTGCAGCAGCCTTTTTGGGCCATGAGGACTGGTGATGAAGCAGAGAGAGCCAGAGGCAATCTGCAAAGGAAGCCAGAGGAGGGAGCAAAGGGACAGAGGGAAGCAGAGAGACATTGGGGTAGGATAGGGAAGGGAGAGAAAAATAGACAGAGCAAGGGTTTAGTTACCAAAGATTCGACTTCCTGTGTATATTCTTCAAGTTTCATGAAACACTCCTCTCATCTTGCAATAAGTTCTCTTTTACTCAAGCTGACTGAAATGTGAGCAAGTTATCCTGACTCAAACAATGGGACTGATGTTGATCAATCTTCCCACTGTGGCAATCTCAGGCACATGCTCTTTGTTATATGGCTAGGTGCTGGTCAGTATATATTTTTTAAAACAAGAATGTATAATTGCTGAATGTACCTTAATTTGAAAATGTTGTTTTTTTCCCTGTAGATAGGTCATATTGGTCAGACCACATGCTGACATGTGAATTTGTTCCCACCAAATGAGTCAGTTGAGATTTTAAAAAGCAAAAACAAAAAACCCAAACACCTCCCAATTGTTCTGGAGGATAAAAAAAAATGAGCTAGTTGGTCTTACTGGCTTGTACTAACAAAAAATAACCCCAAAAAATCTGGCTTCAGTATACTTAAAACAATAACATTAGCTCTTTCTGCTATCCCAGTGGGAACAGAGTTGTAATAAACTGCACATTGTCCAGATTGGTGTGATTTTAACCTGGTAGTGGGATAAAAAATATTTGCTACATGGTTTAAAGTTGAAATAGCAAGAACAAGTCTTTCTTATTCACATTTTCTTAAGAAGCTCTCTGTGCATAGAAGAGTGTGAGCCTGGGATGGGACAGGTGAGACATACTTTGAGGGATGTCAGCTCCTGCTCATTGCTACCTAGATAACGTATACACTAGAACTGAGACAAGACGCTGGGGAGGCTGGAGTGGCTTTTGCTTTTGCTTTTATTTTGGAATAGCAAAATATAGATGAGGAGAAGATGATGCAATTTTTGTAGGAGAAAAGAGTGAAGGGACAGGGTGAGGAAACAGCAGAAGTTGTTGTTTCTCTTTCCCCATCTTCTTCCAAAATTGAAATACTGAAGCATCTTAGGCACAGTTTTCTGTGAAAATGCACAGAGATGGTGTCTTAGTCTGTTTTGGGCTGCTGTAAAAGGACACCCAGAGGCTGGGTATTTTATAAAGAACAGAAATTTATTTCTTATAGTTCTGAAGGCTAAACATCCAGGATTGAGGGGCCGGCATCTGGTGAGGGCCTTCTTGCTGTGTCATCCCATGGCAGGAGCAGAAGGGCAAGAGAATGGGGACACATGGGAGAAAGGAAGCAAGAGAGGGCCAAATTTGCTTTTCTAATAAACCCACTCTCACAATAATGAAACTACTCGCATGATAGCAGCATTAATCCATTCATGAGGGCAGAGCTCTCATGACCTAATCACCTCTTAAAAGTCCCACCTCTCAGCTTGGTTGCATTGGGGATTAAGTTTCCAACACATGCACTTTGGGGGACACATTTAAACCACAGCAGATGGAGATGTGCATGTGGGAGGATCATGAGGAAGCACTCTTGGAAAGAGCATCTGTGAGGAAATAAATAAAGCAGGGTTGGGAAAGGCAGAAGTGAAGCTGCAATACAGCTACAACAGAGGTCTCAGCTGATCTCATGGTTTCTGGAGCTGGGCTGGCCCTTCGGAGTTAGCTCAAATTAAGGCAAGGGGAGTGGTCCTTATACTCTGCATTATCTACCAGTCATTGGATGTGGGCTGCTCCTGTGTCTTCAGCGGGGGGCATAACCTTGGGCAAAGCAGCTTCTTTCTACTCAGAACTTTTCCCGTGGAGGTTCAATTGTGAGCTGTTTGTAGCCAATGCTCCTGACAGCTAGAAGCAAATGCCTCATTCAGGGGGATCTGAGCAGTGCACCACAGTAGCCACTGGAGTCCACACCTCCCACCACTTGGGGCCACTTGCTTCATATAGTAAGTTTATCCCAACTGGGATAAGCTCCTCCAGGGTTCCTGGATAACTCTGCCAAAGATAGGTTATTAGGATAAACTATAGCCCCTGCTACTGCACCTGGTCCTGAGGCTTCAACTTATACACATTGTCTTTCCTATGACCCATTCTTGATTCCCTTCACCCTTGGCTAGCACCTGTCTTGGTCGAGGTGTCTTGTCTGGTGTGAGCAGACTTCATTCCTGAGAGGTCTGAGCCCCTGGCCACAATGCCCTGCTTAGGCTGTGGCTGCTGCATTTGCCCATTTACCATTAAAATTAGGCCTGGAAGTATAAACAGATGCTTCATTATATCACTTGGGTGCCCAATATATTCCTTCCTGCCCTATTGTATCACTTCAGTCACACCTGTGATGATCTGGGTCACTTTACCCAGATGATTTACAGCATCAAGGATGATGACCTTTTCCTTGTCTGCTGGTCTCTTGGCACAAGGCTCTTGAAGTAACTGGGTGGCAGCTACAGTTTAAGGTTTACTGAGACCCTTACTTTGTTCCCTGGTGGAAGCGTTGCCCTCTGGGGATCAGGATCTCTAGACCATAGAGCCAACTGTTGCAGGGATGGGCAATTTCAAGTCCCCATGCTGGAGTTGTGATAAACAGGGCTGCTCCTACTTCCACCCCTTGGTTCCTCCTGGACCTGGGTTATAGACTATATCAGGGGACACAGCTCAGTAATGTTTATTGATTTAGGATGTGTACAGCATTCTGGAGAAGAGTGCTCCATATTTGCAGAGTGTCACTTCTAAGCTAGTGCCTCAGCTGCACCTTCAAAAAGCTGTTCAATTTTTATCAGGCACAAATGTTCTAGGCGGGACTGTATGTGATAGAACCAGTGGATCCCGTGGTTAAGTGCCCACTGCTATACTTCCTTTGTTGCGTAGTAAGACCCTTGTCCAAGACGATGTTAAGCAAGATCCCATATCAATGGTCCAACACTCAGTAAGGCCTGTGATCATGGTGATGGCTGAGGCTTGGCAGGCAGGAGAGCAAACTTGTACTTGAAATACATATTTGCTCTCAGTCAATATGAACGACTGCTCATTCCTGGGTAGAAATGGTCCACTGAAGTCAAGTTATCACCAAGTAGCTGATCTCCTTGAGGGACGGTGCCAAACTGGGGTCTCAATGTTGGCTTTGTTCCTGTAAAGTTGGTTGCAGCAATAGCAGCACTATTGGGCCCAAATATAGCCTGCATTCCTGCCCCCATGGCCTCTGTCCATGAGCCCATTGTGCCAACACTTGGCATAGCTGGTGACAGAAGCTGGCTGTTGTCAACGGGTCAAATCATCCCATCTCCTTGGTTGTTTAGTGAGTCTTCTATGATGAATGTTCTGTGATGGACATTAACATGGGAAACAAAGTCCCTCCCACGTGGTTTCTGCTCCCCTATGTCCATCTGCAGCCTCTTCTCCAGACCCCCTTGCCTCTGACCTTCCAAACTTTCTTTTGACAGATCCAACCCACCAGTCACATGGTTTATCACTGTCCATGAAACCACCTATCATCTTGACTCAAGCTACTCTCTTACCACATCGTGGATGACTAAGTGTGCTGCCTAAAACTCTGCTCACTGGGAGATCCCTCCCCACTGCTGCTTTCAGTGCCATTTGTGAGAGGGGCTGTGACACAGAAGCCACCTGTCTTTAGCTTGTACTCACACACCAAGACAACCATCCATTGGTGAGCCCTGCTTAGCCTTTTTAAAAATTCCTTTAGCTTCTCAAAAGCGATCTCCCTCCCCCATGCAGCTGAATTGGTGAGCTCAGGGAGAGTGCATGTGTGGTACTGTTAGATGTCATGTGGGGTTGGGCCACCTCTTCATGCAGCTTCATTGAGTGCTCTGATCCAAATGTACCACTTCTGTCTTATGATGCATTGCTGTTGGGCATGCCACTGAGCTTCTCAGTGAGGCTTGCTCCCTTCTAACCAGCTCTGTCCTTGCTGCTCAGGTGAACAGGCTTTTTGGCTGCATGTGGAAGATCCATTCTGGCGTGCCCACCTCTACAAGCCTCTTCTCCCCTTCACTGTTTGCTGCAGCAGCTCTAGCATTTCTCCTACAATTTATTGCAAATATATTTTCCAAGAGGTTGAGAGCCTCCTAGCAGCATATCAGCATCATCTTCTGGGATCCTTGCAGGAGTGTTGAATTCTGAATTACAAGATGATGCTCCCATATCAATGAGCCCTCCCCCGCTTATCTGAGTTGATCTTGTCTTCCTTGACGCATCACCTTGGGATCCAGCCCCATGCATGTCCCCCAAACCCCAGCTCTAGCTAGCACTAGTCGGCTAGGTCTTGTGGCTTTTTTGAAGCATAGAGACCCTGTCCTGGCTTAATAAGCTCAGCACTTCCCATGCTGGCTCATGTGACTTGATCCTGTGTATTGGTGTGATGTCCAGGACAGATAGGGTAGATCCTGAGAGGCTCTCGTGCTCTCTTTAAGTTAGAGGATCCTGTAATGTCTTCAAGCAAGAGGTCAATGTCAGTCTTAGTAGAAGGCAGTAGACTACTTCTGCAATCCCAGAGCACCAAAAGGCTCTGGATTTTTAAAGTTCTTGAGCACATCAAGACAAATCTTCACATTGCAAGTCTTAGGGTCCCCCACGCACTCTCAATTTTTTGTAAATAGAATCATATGATTTTTGGCAATTCTGTATGCTCCTTTTTCCACTCAAAAATATTTCCAGGATATCTTTCTATGTCAACATACATTTACGTTAGGTTAAACTATATGAAAAGACGGATATTCAAATGTTTTGAACCTGCAAAAATGGCACTAGAGTTTAACCTAATGGAACTTGTTCTTCCTGCAGAATTCCCATTTCGGTAAATAGCTGTTCCATCTTTCTGGTTGCTTAGGCCAGAAACCTTGGAGTCATTTTTTTCCTCCTTATTTTTTTCTCAGACCTCTAAACCAATGTGTCAGCAAATTCCATCTACTCTACCTTCAAAATGTATCCAGATCTTACTCAAACTGTTTCACCTTCATGGCTACCATTCTGAATCATCATTTCTCACCTGGGTTATTCTAATAGCCTCCTAACTGGTAACCTTTCTACTGCCTTTATCTTCCTTCTAGCCATACTTTAAAACAATTTTTTAAAATATTTTGTAGAGACGGGGTCTCTCCATGATGACCAGGCTGGTCTCAAACTCCTAGCCTCAAGTGATTCTCCAACCTTGGCCTCCTAAAGTGCTGGTATTGCAGGCATGAGGCACCGTGCCCAACCCCTTATACCCAATCTTAACAAAGGAGCCAGAGGGATCCTGTAAAACATAAATAAGATCATGGCTCTTGTCTGCTCAAAATTGTCCAAAGATCTCCCATGTCACTTAGAATAAAAACTAAAGTCTATGACAAGCCCTGTGTAACTTGGCATCTCTGATCTTGTTGATCCTCTAGTTTACTTCTCTGCTGCTCACTTACTTCTCTTATTCAACCAGTCTCCTTTCTGTTCCTTGGGCACATCCGGCTTGCTCCTGCCTCAGCACCCTTGCATCTGCTCTTCCATAAGCCTAGAAGGCAGCTTACCCTAATATCCATGTGGCTCTCCCTTTTCTCCTTCACATTTTTACTCAAATGTCATCTTCCCTCATCTCCCTATTTTAAATGGCATCCTTCTTTGGCCTCCCTAATCCTCTTGCCTGCTTTATTTGTATCCATAGTGCTTCTTGACATCTAACATATATTTTCCTTACTTATTTTGTTTACTGTCTCTCTCCACTAGACTGTAAGGTCAAGGAGAGCAGAACATTTTGCCGGCTTTGTTTACCTCTGAAGAAACTAGAATAGTGCCTGACATACAGTTACCATTCAAAAAAAAAATGTTGAATGAACGAATGGATGAATGGATCATTCTTAATGACTTCATCATCTGTATAGATCTTAATTTACCCAGTTCACTCACTGGTGGACATTTGTTTCGATTCGTTTCCATCATGAAAAAAGCATCCTCAAATATCCTTGTGAAAACATTTTTGGGGACAATCTTCTAATTCTAATGGAACTGATGTTTCCCAAAAGAGAAAATGGAGTTTAATAACTGTAACAACACTAATAAACAGAATTTCATTGTTTTGACTTTATCTTAGGGCTACAAAGCTTGCAAAATACACATGAGAAAATAGATGTCAACTGAAGAACCACAAATACATTTCCTTCTCAAAACGTCGAGGTGAGGTTTGTGTGAACGCATGCCGAAGTACATGAAGGAAGTTGAGAGAAAAGTTCTTATCTTTCTCCTGTGTACAATCCATCCTCCCTCTTTGTTATTTACTGTCCTGGCAACAGCCGAGAAACTCTAATTTCACTTTGACTCCTCTTTAATCCCCATCACCACAATCCATCATAAGGTGTCATCTTCATGTGTGAATGCTGGTGCTTATCATCTCTTACATTTTTTTCTTCTCTATATTTCCCTTCCCAGTCCCTGCCTGCCCTATTTAGCTCTTGTCTTAGCTGAATCCCTGCAAAGCTAAAAGCTAAAAGAAAAGCTGAAAGAATCATTTCCCCAAACTATTTCCCCAAATTCCGTACCCAAAGGGATTCTAATCTGGAAACCTTCTTGCAGAATGAACCCATGTCATCCGGGGTCTGGAGCACATTGGGGCAGTCTCTGAAAAATGCTTAAATTAAATTAGGACTGGGTGCAGTGACTCATTCCTGTAATCCCAGCTACTCAGAGGTCTTGAGCCCAGGAGGTCGAGGCTGCAGTAAGCTATGATCACACCACCGCACTCCAGTCTGGGCAAGAGAATGAGATCCTGTCTCTGAAAAATAAAAATGTTGCCTCAACTGCATAAGTGATTTTGTTTATGAAAACATGTGAGACATTTGTGGGGGACCCCAGGAAATATTTGGATGGAATTTAGAGGTGCCCAAGGTCTTGCACGAGCAGGTAGGGGTAATAAGTCATTACATTTTGGATTATTGCTGTTACTGTAACAGCATCTGCATATCCTCAGTGAGGTCTGCATTGGACAGAGACAAATGCAGTGACATTTTAGAAATCTTAAGCTAGCAACCAGCACTGAAATGTTTTTTATTTGTCAATCCCTGCATGTCAGAAACAATTGGAAACTCCTTAACCTATAGTTTCAAGATGTTTGTAAATTCTTTTTTCTTTATTTTAGATACTTTATAGTCTAAGAATAATTTTTATCTCCAGCTCATCCTCTAGCCAAGTGTCTAATGCCTTTGTGAATTTATAATTCAAAATTAATTCCCCCCCGAGTTAGCCTTGTATAAACAAATGATTATAGAAATGATAAAACAAATGTCAAAGTAAAATATTAAAGGGTACAGAATTTCACGAATGAAAAGACATAAAAGTGTTGCAATCTGGGTGGGGCAGGGAATTGGAGAGGAGTGTGGGTATGCAGAAAAACGTTATGAAAGTATTTCAGTAAGTGATTGGATAAGAAGACAGAGTCTAAGTTAAATCAGGGCTCAACTTGTTGGCTTGTGGCTTGGGCAGTATCATCTGGTCAGCAGTGGCCAGTCCAATGTCAAAATCTTTAAGTGGACATGTCCCAGTTCCTGTGGCCAGCCAGAGGTGCTAATGCTGGCCTTCACTGGGCAAGTGTGTAAATCCAGAACAAAAATTCTAATGTAATATTGCTATTGTTATGTAGGGTATGTATTTGTAGGGATTGTATGAATGTAGTAAGTTTTGTCATTACTATACCACTTTAAATATGCTTTATCTGATTTTAAGATATGTGAGATTAAAGTAATTGACTTTATTAATGGAACAGAACAGAGGCCTCAAAAATAACACCACACGTCTACCACCATCTGATCTTTGACAAACCTGACACACACAAACAATGGGGAAAAGATTCCCTATTTAATAAATGGTGTTGGGAAAACTGGCTAGCCACATGCAGAAAACTGAAACTGGACCCCTTCCTTACACCTTATAGAAAAATCAACTCAAGATGGATCAAATACTTAAACATAAGACCTAGAAAACCTAGAAGAAAATCTAGAAGAAAACCTGGGCATAAAATCCTAGAAGAAAACCTGGGCATAAAATCCTAGAAGAAAACCTGGGCAATACCATTCAGGACATAGGTGTGGGCAAAGATTTCATGTCTAAAACACCAAAAGCAATGGCATTAAAAGCCAAAATTGACAAATGGGATCTAATTAAACTAAAGAGCTGCACAGCAAAAGAAACTACCATCAGAGTGAACAGGCAACCTACAGAATGGGAGAAATTTTTTGCAATCCTTCCATCTGACAAAGGGCTAATATCCAGAATCTACAAAGAACTTAAACAAATTTACAAGAAAAAAGCAAACAACCCCATCAAACAATGGGCAAAGGATATGAACAGACAGGCTTCTCAAAAGAAGATATTTATTCAGCCAACAGATATATGAAAAAACGCTCCTCATCGCTGGTCATTAGGGAAATGCAAATCAAAACCACAATGAGATACCATCTCACGCCAGTTAGAATGGTGATCATTAAAAAGTCAGGTGCTGGAGAGATTGTGGAAAAATAGGAATGCTTTTACACTATTGGTGGGAGTGTAAATTAGCTCAACCATTGTGGAAGACAGTGTGGCCTTTCCTCAAGGATCTAGAACTAGAAATACCATTTGACCCAGCAGTCCTATTACTGGGCATATACCCAAAGGATTATAAACCATTCTACAATAAAGACACATGCACATGTATGTTTATTGTGGCACTATTCACAATAGCAAAGACTTGAAACCAACCAAAATGTCCATCAATGACAGACTGGATTAAGAAAATGTGGCACATATACACCATGGAATACTATGCATCCATAAAAAAGGATGAGTTGGTGTCCTTTGCAGGAACATGGATGAAGCTGGAAACCATCATTCTCAGCAAACTATCACAAGATCAGAAAACCAAACACTGCATGTTCTCACTCATAAGTGGGAGTTGAACAATGAGAACACATGGACACAGGAAGGGGAACATCAAACACTGGGGCCTGTAGGGGGTGGGGGGCTAGGGAAGGGATAACATTAGGAGAAATACCTAATGTAGGTGATGGGTTGATGGGTACAGCAAACCACCACGGCACGTGTATACCTATGTAACAAAATTGCATGTTCTGCACATGTAGCCCAGAACTTAAAGTATTAATGATAAAAAAAAAGAGAAAACACATACACACACACACACCTACAAGTTATTGGCTTTATTATATTTTAAAGTTTATTAGAGTTATCATATAGATTGAATGCTAGGAAAGAATGTTCTTATTAAATTTATTAAATCTGCATGATAGGCATTTGAGCAATTCAGATGTGTTAAATACCTAATTGTAGTTCGAAGTGTCTAAGAAAATTTTGTTATTTAAGATAGGACATTTTAGTTTTTTAACTTATGAACTAATTTAAACATTTATCAAGGAGTGTGAAAATAGCTCTTCTGATTTTTGGACAATTGCTATATTTCTAAATAAAAAAGAAAGAAGATTTGCAAACTGAATTTAAATGTTCAGAAAAATGGAGATTCTTAATTTATAGCTTTAATAATTTGAATACTAATGTTAAATCCTGCTACAGTCAATGATTGGGCAAGCAGACAGAATCTTTCTTTCTGGACATACAAACTCTGATTTTTAGGAACTCCAATGATAATTCCCATTGTGATCTCAGAGACACAGAGTAACTTAGTCCACATAGACCGAGCTCCACATTGGGGAAACGTGCCATGGGGGACGGGTTGTGCACGTGCAGTTCCCATGTGGGTCATGCTGTTCATAGACGCTGACTGGAATGTCTAACTCACTCCTCATTTTTCAAAGTTTCATCTTTTCATAACTGCTTGAATTCTTCAAGGTCTTTCTTCTCCCCAACAACATTATTTAGACTCATTTATATTGCCATATGTAGTCATTTAATATTCATTCCATTCTATGAATGTACCACTGTTATTTATTCATTTTACTATTGATGGAAATTTCAGGTTGTTTTCAGCTTTTTATTTATTATAAGCAATTTCTGCTATAAATAATCTTATACTCATCACCTGTTTGCACATGCAAGGCTTTTGCTAGTATCCGTAAATGTCTAGGATTGGAATTGAAGGGTGAATTAAAATAGGTGATGCCGAAGATTGTACTGATTTCTGCTGTACATCAGCATAGGAGACATCCTGTTGCTTTATGTCTTTATGAATACTTGATAGTGCCAAGATTTTTAATATTTGCCAGTCATGTGGGACTAAAATTTTATACCAATGGGGTTTTAATTTGTATTTCTCTGATTACAAATGAGCTGAACATCTTTTAATGTTTTTAATATTTGGTTTCCTTCCTTTGTGAAATATTCATTTTGGCCCATTTTTTCATTGGGTTATTTATTATTTTTAATAGACCTTGACACACAGGAAGAGATACGTATTGTATGTGTTATTAATTCATAGGAGTTCTTTATATATTCATGATCCTGATCCTTTGTCAGTTTGATGTGTGGCAAATATCTCCTTCCAGTTGATGGTATGTATTTTTTCTCTCTTTTAATGGCTATTTTTGATGAACATAAATTCTTTTAATGTAATTTATTTTGTCAATATTTTCCTTTATAATTTCTATCCTTTGAACTGTGTTCAAGAGTGGCCTAAGTACCCTGAGGTGATAAAGATATTCTCCTATATTTTCTTCTAAAGATTTTTTGTAAAAACACCCTTTTATTTTGAAACACCTTCAAGCTAATAGATATGTTGAAAAGATAAAAATAGTACAAAGGACCTCAGTATACCCTATTCCCAGATGCACATATTATTTACATTTTACTCCCATTTTCTTTTGCATTCTCTCTCTCAACTTTTGAAAATCTCTTTCTTGAAACCTTTAATGGTAAAGTAAGTAAATCATGGCCCTTTACCCAAAATGCTTCTAATATATTTTTTTAGGAATAGGGATATGTTTCTAAAAGTTTAAAAAATTTGCTTCCCCCATTTAAATTCTTGGTCCATCAATAATTCATTTTTGAGTAAGTTATGAGGCAGAGAGACAATATAAATTTTTATGGAGATATCTAAGAGTCCCACACTCTCTGAAAATAATCCAACATTTCCTCTGTAATGTTACTTGCAACAAATATCAAGATTTCACATGTGCATGGATCTGAGTCTGGGCTCTTCAGTTTGTCCCTTTGGTCTGTTTGTCTGTCCTATTAAGACAGACTACATTATCTTAATTACTATAGCATTGTAGGAAGTCTTGATATCTGGCTGGGGAAATCTCTCTACATACTTTGTCTTCTTTAAGGGTGTTTTAATGACCATAAGATCTTTACTCTTTTATATAAATTTTAGAATTAGTTTATCAATTGCCAGGAAAAGTCACTTGGGGATTTTGATGAGAAATTCATGAAATCCATTGTTAAATTAAATAAGCAGGAGGCCAGTAAACTGAGGTTGTCTTTGTACCTTGATTTCCTATGCAACAAACTGCAGCCTAACTTAGCGTGTACTAAACTCAACACTTTTTTCTAACAAATGGCTGGGTTTCAGCCAATCACAGGTAGCCAACTGATTACATCATGAGAAAATAAGCCAAATGCCAGCTGTAGCGATTCAGATGCTTTCTCTACCTGGCTTCCATATTCAGTCTATTTCCATAGCTCACTGCTCATGCTTCTGGGTAGAGCTCTCTGAACCTCTTCTGGTTCTGAGTGCTGCCTGATTCATGAAATGTTCTTTGCTCAAATAAATTCTGCTAAACTTAATTTGTCTGAAGTTTTTCTGTTAATACTATAAATCAATTTTCTAGGAACTGACATCTTTGCAAAATTGAGCCTTCTGATCTATGAAGTTAGTATGTTCCTCCATTTAGTTATTTAAAAAATCTCTGCAATAAATGTTTGTAGAATATTTTTGCAGAAAAATATTGCACATCTTTTTCATATTTATGCATCAGTATTGTATATATTTCTTGATATTATAAATGGTATTTTTAAAAAATGTAAAATTCTAAATGTTTGTTATCAGTATATAGAATACAAATTGGTATTATAGCTAGTAAGCTGGCTAGAAGCTCTAATGTTAATAATATATCTGTAAATTTTTTAGGTGGTCTATGCATACAATTATATGATTTGCATATAGTAACAATTTTGTTTCTTTTTTCCCGATATTTATATCTTTCATTTGTTTCTTATTTATCTAGGATGACTAGGACTCTTAAAATAATATTGAATAGAAGTGAGAGTAAATGTTCTTGAATTGCTCCTAATTTCAAAGGGAATAATTTTTAGTATTTCAACATTGGGTGTTTACTGTCATTTTTTTGTGAAGGTCTTTGATCAAACTAGAAAGTTTTCTTCTATTCTTAGTCTATTGCATATTGAATGTCATTGAATGCTTTTCCTGAATCTCTATGATGATTAATTGGCCCTCTTTAATCTGTTAGATCCGTTATATTAATAGATTTTTCTGAGTTTGAACTAACCCTGCATTCCTAGAATAAACCTAACTTGATTGTGATATAATACATATTATGTAGGATTATATTATATAGAATTCAGTCTGTCAATATTTTGTTGAGAGTTTTGCTTCTATTTTTAATGCATTAGTTTTTTTTCCTGATTTTACAAATTTTGTAAAATAAGTTGAGATAATGTTTTCTCTTTTTCTGCTTGCTGGAAGAATTTGGTAAGATTGAAAGTATCTATTCCTAAATTTAGTGAGAACTCACCTGTAGAACCATTTAGGCTTAGAGTTTCTTGTGGGAAGATTTTTAATTACTGACTTAATTTTGTTAACAGTTATCAAGCCAGTCAGATTTTCTATTATTGCCTGAGTCATTTTTGGTAATTTATATTTTTCTGAGAAGTTGGCTGCTTCATATAATTTTTCAAATTATTTTTATAAACTTATAATATTCTTCTTTTATCTTTATAATTACTGCTACATCTGTGGTTTGGTCCTCTTTTTATCTCAGTCTTAATATTTTTTATTTATAACTTCTCTGTCTTTTCTTGATCAGTTTTGCTGGAAGTTTATCCATTTATTAGTGTTTTTAAAGATATAACTCTTAGCATCTTGATCCTCTTTATAGCTTTTATGTTTCCTATTTTATTAACTTCTTCTCTTGCCTTTATTATTTCTTTTTCCTACTATCTTTGGGTCTATATTGTTTTTCAAAGTTGACTTCTTAAATTGAATGTTTAGTGCAGTCATCTTTAATTTTTATTTCTTAAATATAATCAACATAATGATTATAGAAATTTATAAAATAAGTTGCCTTATCTGTATTGCTTTTTTTTCCCTCTACTAGTTTGGAAGTTATGCAGTTTATTTCTAGTCTTTTAGTGTATCCCTAGAATTTTTTCATGTATATTTAATCAATGTGTCTAATGTTAGTGAATATTTTATTCTCTTGAATAATCTAAATATATCCATATGCTTTTCCTTCAATTACCTCTCAATCAATTTACATGCTATTATTGTCAGCAGGTAAGAACTATATTTAACTCAGTCTGGTTTTTATTTTCTCATCTCCATAAATTAGACATTGTTATCTCTAAGTTACTCCATGATTAAAAAAAAGTCATCACCATTTTGGGTTCCAAGGTAATTATTGCAAGTCCTAATTATTGCAAGACTTATACTGGCCTTCATTGTCCTAAGGAGTGCAGACTTTTAGTCTAGGCCTGATTTGGAGGATACCAAAACTATTTTAAAAATCAAGTCTGTGAAACTATTGCTGTTTCTGAGAACTGTTTACCTCAGACAAATTTCCCCTTGATTGAGATGATCAAACAACGGCTACTCTCTCACCCTTTCCTGTTTTCATACTCTGACACATACTGTGTTTTCTTTCTAATGAAACAAGTCTGGGGAATTTTCTAGTACCCCTAAAAACCTGCTTTTAAAAATAAAGTTCATGAAATATTTCCCCTCTTACTGGGATTCCACTGATTTCCACTGGTTCCCTTTCCTTTCCTTGCACCTGAAGCCTTGGGTCTTTACTGGCAAATAAAGTATTTGGGTAAGGCATGAGATATTTAATATGTGAAAACAAAAAGCCTCAGTAAATAGTGGAGATGTGGGCTTTACTTGTCAGAGTGCATTCCATGTGTTTCCTGAGTAAACGTTTCAGAAAAACCCTTAAAGACAACAGACTCTAATCAGGCCAGCACAGCACACACACACAAAAAGTCCAAGTGAAAGCGTAAGATAAGAGAGAATTATGACTATTCTCTCTAAAAAGGAAAGCTCTATTTCTGAAAGTGTAGAGTCAAAACAGTTGAATTCTTCATCCTTACAGTCCTGCTGGGAGTGAAGAACTACCAGATTTCTGACCCGAACAAGAGCAACGACCTGCCTCCAAGCTGTCGGACTCTAAAACTCATGCCCTGATGCAAATGACCCTCTCAATGGATCCCTGGTACACACGTTGGGTTCCTTGATTTTGGTCTCACTCAAAGTTTATTGTGTGTCAAATTTATAAAAAGGGAAAAGCCCGTCTGTGACCAGATGAAGAGACAATGCAAATCTTACCTGGCTATGACGGTGCTGGATCACAGCAGGCCTGCAGGCCCTCAGGGAGGCAACGTAGCTTCCCTGCAGACGTCCTGCGGGTGCTGGGGTGAGAAGACAACAGGCCTTTGGAAGACGTGGCTGCAAAGTCAAGCCACAAAGTGACAATGATGACCTCTGACTGAGAATTAGAAGACTGAAGGGAGAATGTTAAAATGTGGTCAAGATTTTGATTGCAAAATCTACACTCAAAATGATCTTTTAGGTTGTTTTTTTTTTAAATCCATAAAATGGGTTTATCTGAGATAAAGAGACATCTCTTTGTTCAGTATGGGGAAATTTCTTCCATAAATATGCAGTAATAGAGGATGTTTTTCCCTTTGAAGTTTACTGCTTATAGTATTTCTAGATCTCAACTTGTGAACATTACCAATATTGCAACATTTTGCTTCATCACTGAGTGTTTTAAGTTTTACCTCTCATTTCTTGAATGGTTGTAGAGACTGTCAAATGGAAGTCTGGGGCATATCTTTTCTAAACTTGCTTAGAATCCTTCTAGAGCTTATCTTTTTCTTAAGATTGAGGGCTGTCATAGATGAATTTAAATTTCTTTCTATGTTTCCAATAGAAAATTCATGTTTAATTTCTAAATGAATATAAGGTATTCTTTTTGAGAGTAGTTTCATTTTTTTAATCATAATCACTTAAAAATATCTAAGTGTTTTGTGAGGATAGAAACTTTATAATTTTATATTTGTATTTATTTATTTAGACGTTGTCTCGCTCTGTCACCCAGGCTGGAGTACAATGGCACAATCTTGGCTCACTGCAACCTCCACCTCCCGGGTTCAAACAATTCTCCTGCCTCAGCGTCCCAAGTAGCTGGGATTACAGGCATGTACCACCATGCCCAGCTAATTTTTGTATTTTTAGTAGAGATGAGGTTTCGCCATGTTGGCTAGGCTGGTCTCGAACTCTTGACCTCAGGTGATATGTCCACCTCAGCCTCCCAAAGTGCTGGGATTACAGACATGAGCCTGTAATCATGTATTTAGACATATGTTCATGTGTGTGCTTTATTTTAAATTATATTAATATTTTTCCAGTGTCCCCAGTGTGCCAGGTACTACTGTGTCTTACATATAGTAATTTATTTGATCCTCATGAAAGCCCTATGAATATGTACTGTCATTATTTCCATTTCGTATGTGAAGAAGCCTGGGCACAGAGAGGTTAAGTGACTTCCCCCAGTCACACAGCTCATGACGCCGGACCTATAGCGCTGCTGACTCTCGTGATGCTCTGCTGTAATATAATAACTCTCTGGCCAGATGCGCTGAGCATTTAACCTGTTTCCCAGGTTCATCCACATGTGGAAGCTGCATTAACTTCTAGAACCACCAGGACGTTATACTAAGCCAGACACCAAAGGACAAATGCTGTCTGATTCTACTGGCGTGGCGTCCCTAGAATAGGCAAATTCATGGAGACAGAAAGTAGAATGATGGCTGCCGGGGGCTGGAGCAGGAGGCGTGGGAGTTGTTTAATGGGTATAGGGTTTCATTTTGTTGGGGAAAGGAGTTCTGGAGATAGATGGCGGGCTGGTTGTACCACATGTAAATGTACTTACTGCTACTGAACGGTGCACTTACAATGGTTAAAAATGCTATTTTTTTTTTACCGTAGTTTAAAGCACCCCACTAAAATTATCTTCAATAGGCCAATGATTCAGGGAACACAGAGCATCTCCTGTTACTGGGAGCTGCTGGGTAATGGAAAAGTTGTGTTCAGCTACTTTGAACCCTTCAGAAGCAAGGGAGACTTCAAACTGGGGATTGACCTGAGAGATAGCTATAACTTGGAAAACTGTGCGTGGCTTTGATTCTCTCATATGCATTTCACCTTTTGGTTTCTGCTGTGAATTGGTGGAAAAGAGAGGCTAGAGCTGCGTCTGGTGGGAGGGCTGGAGACCGTGGCTACGGCGCACCTCTCCTACTGCACTGGGAGTAGGGGAATTGGCTTGCCTGCTGGCGGGCCTCCCCGGGCTTGGCTCTGTGAGCCTCTCTCGCAGGTCTGGGCTTCAGTTCTTGGACATTTTTGCCCCTGAGTGACCGTGTCTGGCTGCTGTGGTCTCTGTGTGTCCCACCCTGCTGCCTCCCTGCAGTGCTCCAGGACTGGGCCTCCACCACAATAATAATCACCACCGTTTTATCAGGCACCAGGGCACACACAGTCAGGTGTAATCTTCACAGCAGCCCCTTCAGGTCAGTGCCAGTACCCCCAATTATCAGAGGAAGACCCTTCCTTCAATCCCCACTGATGAAATTAGGACCCCCAAATACACTTTCTCATAGTACCTTGTACATTTGATCCCAGCCCTTTCCTCCATGTAGTTGCCAGATGGGCGTAATTTGTTGTGATGTCTAGCTCCCCTATTAGTAAGCTCTGCCTCCGTTTTTGTTCCTAAAAGTAACTCCAGCAAGAGGCAACACAGTGCTGGGCTGCATTAGGCTTTTGGCCAACATTTATAGAGTGAAGAAATGAGTTGCATAACATGTCCAAGGTCCTGTTGCAAATCAATGACAGGTTAAAAAACAGGATTAAAATAAAACCCTATCACATATCTCTTCCTTGTTCTCTGTTTTAAAAATTATATATGTACACACACGTATATATGTATATGTGTGTACATATGTGTGCATGTGCGTATCTGTGTATGTGTGTATACATACGTGTTTTTTAAAAAATATGGCAGGAAGGGCTGGGTGTGGTGGCTCAAGCCTGTAATCCCAGCAGTTTGGGAGGCCCAGAGAGATGGATCACCTGAGGTCAGGAGTTCAAGACCAGCCTGGCCAACGTGGTGAAACCTGTCTCTATTAAAAATAAAAAAAATTAGCGGGCGCCTGTAATCCCAGCTACTCGGGAGACTGAGGCAGGAGAGTCATTTGAACCCGGGAGGCAGAGGTTGTAGTGAGCTGATATCATGCCATTGCACTCCAGCCTGGGCAACAGGAGCGAAACTCCATCTCAAAAAATAAATAAAATAAAATAAAAATAGGGCAGGAAGAAGAGAAGAGGAAGACCTGCAATTCCCTAAGGGAAGAAGCAAGCGGGGGTGAATGACAGCCTTCAGTGACAGGCAGGGGATGTCAGAGAGAGTCAATGCCAGAGGCTTGGCTCCTGGTTGGGCAGCAGAGGCCCTCAGGGTGACAGCCCTCCCTCCCAAGGCTGGGATACATCAAGAATCAGGTGGAACTATTGATTGAGATCAGAGTCCATCAAGTCCCCACTGCATGAAGCTCAGTTCTCCTCCACACTGACTAGGCCGTCTCTGTCAGCACCTTCCCCCACTGTCCCTGTCCCCTGCTATGGCCTGAATGTTTGTGCCCCCCCAAATTTATATGTTGATACAAAATCCCCAATGCAGTAGTCTTAAGAGGTGGAGCCTTTGAGAGGTGATTAGGTCATGAAGGCTCTGCCCTCATAAATAGGGTTAGCGCTCTTATAAAAGAGGCTTGGCAGAGCTTGTTTGCCCCTTCCCCTTCTGCCATGTGAGGAACATACAAGGCATCATCTATGAGGAATGGGCCCTCACCAGACACTAAAACTGCTGGCGCCTTGATCTTGGACTTCCCAGCCTCCAGAACTGTAAGCAATACATTTCTGCTGTTTATAGATTACCCAGTCCAAGGTATTTCACTGTAGCAGCCTGAAATGGACTAACACACACCCTATTCACACATTAACACACGCACTCAGACACATATCACGTACCTGCACACACACAAACACACCCTCAAATCTACACATATGCACACTCACAGACACATACACTTATATACACCCACACAGATCCACATATGAACACACACACACACACACAGACTCAAACCTGCACATACACTCACACATACACCCACACACATAGTCACACACACTTGCCCATGTGGGAGTCTGAAAACATTTTCATGCTTTCTGAGGCTCCCTATTTCCCGTGGAATTAAGTTCAAACTCCTTGGCATAGCATTTGGGGCCTGTCACATGGAATCTGAACATGTCTTTCTGACCCTTTCTTCTCCCACATAGCTCTATCCATGACATCCATCAGGAGGCAATTGGGTTCCCAGCCTGGATTACACTGGTTGGCAGGAAGGCTGTGAGTTGGAAGCCTGACATTGGGAGCCCTCTTTCCTTGTCTGTGCCATCAGAGCCTTCCATCATTGTGACATCCCTGAGGGCTGTCTAAGGGAGCAAACCACCTGGTAGGACTTTTCACGTTTGCTCAAGATTTTTTAATCTGCCCTAATCCTCCCTATACCTGTTCAACCCTTCAAAAAAACGCAGACAAAAGCACTACTTAGCAAATCTTTCCTCAATCCCTTCACTTAGGGGAAAACCCTTTCAAGCCCTTCCTCCATACAGAGAACTTCCATTCACGTCTCTGTATGCCTCCCTGTGCCACATACCAGCCCCACACTGAAGATGCTTGGCTTACTTCTTTCATGAAGTCTGCAGTCCTCGGACTCAGGATGGTTAAGTGCTGTATTTGTGTCATTTCAAAGAGTTTAACAGGACACCTTGTACAAATCAGGTGCTCTAAAAATCATTTATTTCTCTTTGATATAAAAAGGCTACTACATTTTGTGGTCAGTAAATTCTTCCATAGTTATTTGGCTCAACTGATAACATTGTGTGTTGAAATGTATCTAAGGCAACCATTTGAGTGTAAATCTCATCTGATCGGGAAAAATCACTAGGCCAATAACTTCTTCCTGAGGTTGGTTTACATGAATAGCTCTTCCCTGGGCTGGTCTTAGGGGAAATGGAATCCTGGGGAGACCAGATGTGCAAGGGTATCAGGGAAGGGCCAGTTTTATGGGATCAAGTTCTTGGTGGGAAGCAGGAAGAGGCAGCTAGGTCATAAGATAAAAGTGAAAATTTTAGAAAAAGGAATGCAGGGAAGGAAGGAGACAGGAAGAAAGACAGAACTTGACAGAACTTAAAAGTCCCATTTCTCTTAATTAAACATTTTTGCCTTGGCTGGGCATGTCAGGCCATAGGGTCAAAACTGAACTAAGAGGTTTGTGCAAAAGTATTCCCATCACACTTTCTAAGTATTTGTTGAAGTGAAAGTGTTCTCACTAGAACAGTTCAGTGATTTTTGCTTCGTTGTCCATTATTTTAAAAATGATCTCCCACATGAATAGCATATCAGCTTTTATATAAGCTACCATGGGTTATGAGCTCTTAAGAGGAAAACGTCTATCCCAGTAAAAAAAAATATTATTATTGCTACTTTACTACTTTTGAATTCAGCTGAAGCTTCGTGTTGGGGCCATTGGGACATCTTACATGCATTGCTTTGATCTCTACGTTATTTATTTCCATATCAGCATGAGTTTTTTCCTAGGGAATCTCTAGTTTCTGGCTGAGGGATTCTTTGGCAGTGCAGATGCTGTGTCGAAAAGAGTAGGTCCCTGGGATTTGCCATACAGTTCAGCATGTAGATTTACCTTTGAAGGCTTAAAAACTATCCGAAGTGGGGTTGGGAAGAAAAGAGTTATTTTTTTTCCTCTCACCTCTGAGTCCAATTACCTAATAAAGATTCATCATTCCTTTTGTCCGAGAAGCCCTGTGACCTAATTTTGCTCCTTGCCTCGTTTCAGATATCACAACCCATTTTTGTGCATTCTGCTTCCCTAATGAAATCCACATGTCTTAAATCAATAAAGCCATTGTTTAACTTCCTTCTCTTAAGCAGTGCCTTTTGCAGGGTCTATTTTGTTTGCATACTTGTTTGTAGGAAACACGTCTCCTTATCTAGAATCTTCCCCTTCTCCCCCCAACTTTGAGATCTTTTTCTTATCCTTCCTTTTAATGATTATCAGTTTGATGGTGTGCAGCTATTAAATGCTCTTTAATGGACTAGTCAAGAGAAAATTTTGTTTATGCAGGTTTTCTTTCTTGTTAATTGTTTGTTTTAGATAGGTCAAAAAATTAACAGTGGAAAATTCAATGTGTTTGTTCAGTATCTTTGTATACACTTAGAATGTAAAAACCCCCTGTGCAAACTTCAGAAACTCAGGTTTTATTGCCTGTTTCCAGACCCCCCAGTCTGTCCCTTTTTCCATTCAAGAGCCACCACTAAGGACTACTGAGTATTAGATCTTTTTGTACTTTTGAGGCTCCTAGATCATGACAAGACCCTCTTAGTGGTTTTCTGTTCCGAATAAACCTAAAACTCATGAAAGTTGCCTGATGTGAAAGTCAGGCTACTTTCACAGGGAACATTTTACTTATCTCAAAATCCAGGGATTCAACATAGAAGCCAACTTGAGTGGAAGAAGAAAACACCCATTTGTACCATCTCTGGGGCTTTGAGCCTCGCTGTAAATTCTAAGTAGTTCTCCATCCCATCACTGACTTTCAACAGAGTTGGTCAAGGGCTGGCCCCACAGCACTTCCTGTGAATCTGCTGGGAATCTTTCCTTTCCGGTTTCTCATGGAAGAAAGTGTGAGCTGGGTTATCAAGTACGTGCTTGAATATGGAGGATGAGGATGAGGATGGTGGAACACTGAGTTCCACTTATCGTCCTACAAATTCTCTTGGATTCAACCTTGCCCAATGGGAGAACTAGAAGAAGGGATAAACAAATGGTGGGTCAGACCTTCTACTGTTCACACATTCTTTGTGATCCCGTTGTTTTTTCTTCCTTCATTATCTTTCTTGGCCTTTTTGTGGGCTCCTGCCTGCATCTCTTTTTCTCATTTTCAGCCTCTTGCCAGAGTCAGGGCAACTGTCCTCTTCACACATCATCTTCGTTTTCTGAAGTTTTATTTAAATCATATCATAAAAAATGCCTTTTCTTTTCCTGAAAAGGTCTACTGTTACCATTCTGGACTTGATGTGAGAAGGTGAGCTTGGAATTAAATCCTCACACGCAGCAAAAGTAACTAGCTAGTCACTTTAAAAATAAACAAAAACCCAAAAACCCAAACCTTTCCTCTACTGCTTTATGGACATCTTTCCTTTCAGGGCAGTCACTGAAATGTAAAGGAATGAGCACAATGTCCTGCTTTGTTTATCTGAGAAACACCAGCAGCTCCCAGACGCTTCTGTTTTCTTCAAGAAAGACAGAAAGAGAGAATCTGGCTGTATTTGCTGTGACCAAGGGTCAACCCCTTCTTCTGTCTTCCATATTCTCTCCTGCTAGGCTCTTCCTTCTTCTGAAACATTCCCTGTTCGATGTCTAGGATGACCTCTCTCACTTCAAGTCCTTTAAAGAATCAAACATTTCCCGCGGGTTGGCCTCCCTTGGCACTCCACTTCCTTTCTTTCTCTGAACTGGGGAGGCAAGAAGACAGTCAAAGTGGAGCCAGAAGGCCAAGCTTAGCTTCACGGTGCCTGATGTCCTGTAAAAGGGGACACCATGTGGAAAAGCCGAGAGAGTTCCAGGAGTAGGGTTCAAGACATTCTGCTTTCTGCTGGTGACAAGATCCACAGGTGGTTTGCAGGACTGGAGTAAGCCTGGAGAAGCCTCACGGACCCTCCACATCTAATACTAGTTTGAGGCCAAGCTCCCCATCTCCCTCTCCAGCACACTCTTCTCTGTACACAGGTATTTGTTTCTACCTCTTCCCTTAATTGGCCTAGGCAGCAAAATGGGGTGCTCTGAACATTATCAGGGGCTGCACGGGGATTGCAGTGCTGGTGGCACAGCAGAGCTGGTGTAACCAGCTGGTCACACCCTTATTGTTGTCATCATGATTTACTGACTGGGCGGTGCTGCTATGGTTAATGTATGCCTGAGTTAGAAATGGGTCTGAGATGTCTTAAAACAAGACAGATTGTGTGTAAGGAGAGGAACAGCAAACAGGTTTCATTTTGATTGCTAGTCCCAGTACTGGCACCTAGAGTGAGATGTTAACAAAGATTTTGAAGCTTTCTTCTGGCAAGCGAGTGATTGGTTATGGGAGGGGGGAGTGGCAGCGAGAGTGTTTTCCTTTGGGTTTACTTCTTCTGCTACCAGAGGAGGACATGATTGAAAGGCAAAGGGATTAGCCTTCTCCCTTGATTCCTGGTCTGAGCCTCTCATTCCTTGCTATGTTTCTCAAGGGCTCTTTGGTGTCTCCCAGTCCTGATGTATCCAGTCTCACCCCGTAAGTTCATTGGAAGGAAGAGTGAAGAGAGAACCAAGGGAGCAGAGACTCAAGAAAGAGAACAGAGCCTCATACGTCACACTCCCAGGGAGTATAAGGAGTGTGTGGCCAACTCCTCCACCCGTAGCTGGGAAAGTTGGAATGATTCTAACCTCTTTGTGTGATAACTCCTCAAATTCTAGCACGGGGATAATAGAGGCTTGTTGTGAGAATTAGATAAAATAATGTATAAAAGCTGTTGGAATATTTTACTGGCTTTATAAATGTCAACTATTTTCATTAAAGTATATATAAGCTCTTGCTTTTCCTAGTATAAGCTCTTCTCCTATGGTGGCCCAATGGCATCCCTAATGATTTCACCATGCCCTGGTTCATGTCAGGGTTCCTCCCTTTTGGGATTCTCTGAGCTTCTTTTGTAGATAGAATGTGTGGCTTTTGGGGAAATAGAGGCATTGCAGGATCAGAGCATAAGTCCAGAAGGAATCTTGACAGTCTTCTAATTCCCACATTAGAAACTCATAGGATGGAGCCAGAACTGGGCTGGAGAGGATTTTCAGCATTCCTCTCCAGCCCAGCAGGTCAATGGGGACTTTGATAAAACCATAATGAAGATGATGAGGGGTGCAGGGTCTTCCTGCTTCCCTTTCATCCTCTCCAACTTCCCAGCTGCCCTTCCTTGTGGTACCCAGGGCCACCTTCAGTGTGTGGTCCAGGATGGATCCAGGCCTTTTCTCATGAGCTCAATAAACCTCATTCCCTGGGAGAAGCATCATGATTGGGCTTTAGGAGGTCATCTGATTCTGGTGATATTTACTGGTAGAAATGGCTGATATATGGGATCACTTGGCAGTATTTAATACCTTTTAAAAGAGAAGCCCATTAACCAAGATTATGGTAGAATGTGGTACATTTTTTAGCTTGGAGGGCCTTTCATTCTCCACCAATATTTCAGAAAATCAGGAGTTAGTAAATCAGTACTGTTGGCTGCTAGTCACTGATTCAGAGAGCCTTCTCCTCAGCCATATTGGGGTTTTATTAAAAAAAATATTCGGGAAGGAGATTGTCTACTTCATCACATAACTCTCCTTGACTGTTCAATGATCCTCACTATCAGGATGTTTTCTCTTGTATCTAAGCTAAATCCTGTCCGTGTTGTTTGATCCATTTTATTTCCTCTTGTCCTGCCCTTAGTGGAAACAGAAAACAGCTGGTGACTGTTTCTTGCATACAACAAAGGATTCTGGCTTCTAAGCCTATTCAATTAAAAGGAAACTCACTAAAGCAGCCACCCCCATTGCAGAGCTCTGGGGCCCCAACTCTAACTGCTGGGCTAGGGTCTTGCACTTCAGAAAACCAGAGGCACCACCATATACCAGTTTTATGTCCTTGCCGTGTGTGTGACAAATCCTGTGTTTAACTTGGGCGAGCTTCAGAAGGTTCTCGTTGTACCACATTCCAACTAAGAGCCTGCCACAGGAGGCCTGCATTTGAACTCTGTTGACGTTCTCCACAACCTTTCAGACTTCCCTAATGGAGCCGACAAAGTAGCTGCCACGGAGGACATGGATACTGTCACCATCGTGGAAACATAGTGTTTATCCACTTGGAAAAAAGGGGGAGTATGGAGAGTGTCAATACATAAAACTGCAGGGCCAATTCCCTGTGCACTCTTCTTTATACTATTCAGCAATTCATTTCATGGAGCAAGACTCCTTAGCCAGCTTGGTGAAAAAAAAAGGGGAGACATGTTTCATTTGTATTGAACTCAGGACTCTGACTTGAATGTGGTTAGAATACAAGTCTATGCCGAAAGGTTCTTGCAAATGCAGCAAAAACACTTCTGAAATAGGAATCAATGTTCAGGTTTTTCCCTGGCAAGTTTATCTTTGCTGTGTCATTCACTGCTTTTCAAGTAGGATCTAGGGACTGGTGTAGAGTTCCAGAAAGTAACTCATAATAATAAAAATGAACATTTAGTGAACACACATGCCAAGTATTTGATGCATATTAACTCCTAATTCTTTCAACAATGCTCTGAAGTAGGCACTGCTGCTATCCCCATGATATAGATAAAGAAACTGAGGCACAGAAAGATTAGGAACTTGCCCAAAGTATCTGTTATAGCAAGAGGTAGAGACATAACTTGAATCCAGGCAGTTTAGTTCCAGAGCCCAGACTCTCAGCCAAGCATGACATGACATCTGTGCCCAAAGCCATGAGTCAAATACGGCCACCGCTCTGAAAATTCCTGTTGCTCAATGATGAGTAGTTCGACACATCATTTTTTTTTTTACAGTGATAAAACAGATGTAGCATGTAGTCTTACGCAAACATGCAAAATCAAAGAATTTTTAGTATGCAGTGAATTGCTTCAAGCTGCACCTTGGTGTCCTGGGGCATGTACTTCACCTCCTCTGATGTCTGGGGTAGTACGCTGATGAAAAATGTAAGAGCTACAGTGGCGTTCCTTACCTCTTCCTCTTCTCAGTTCCCCTGCACTGAAGCCAGAGGTCAGAGGTCAGATGTTAGGTGCTGATAAGACAATCTCCTGTCATGTTTTTTTCGACCATTGCTCTACCTCCTTTTTTCTGGTATGGTCAAGGATAGGAAAGGGGTTGTGATGGTTAATACTGAGTGTCAACTTGATTGGATTGAAGGATACAAAGTATTGGTCCTGGGCATGTCTGTGAGAGTGTTGCTAAGAGATTAACGTTTGAGTCAGTGAGCTGGGGAAGGCAGATCAACCCTTAATCTTGTGGGCTCAATCTAATCAGCTGCCAGCGAATATAAAGCAGGAAGAAAAACGTGAAAAGGAGAGACGGGCCTAGCCTCCCAGCCTACATCTTTCTCCTGTGCTGGATGCTCCTTGCCCTCGAACATCGAACTCCAAGTTCTTCAGTTCTGGGACTCTGACTGGCTCTCCCTGTCAGCTTGCAGACAGCCTATTGTGGGACCTTGTGATCATGTAAGTTAATACTTAGTAAACTCCCCTTTATATCTATCTGTGTATCTACCTATGTATCTATGTATGTATGTGTCTATTATCTATCTATCTATCTATCTATCTATCTATCTATCTATCTATCTATCATCTATCTATCATCTATCTATCTGTCCTATAGGTTCTGTCCCTCTAGAGAACCCTGACTAATACAGAGGCAGAGCTGGGTCATGCCAGTGGCCTTATCACAGGGTGAGGAGGGAGCATTTCCTTAGATGCTGGGGCCCACATCCCAGAAGTAGGGTCTGTGTACCGTGGCTGCTCAGTCACTCTTTGTGTCCTTCCCGGGCTCCTGATGCCCCACCACTGGTGGGTTGCCCTCCCTCCCCAGTGCTCTGGGCAGGAAGAAATGGAGCTACTCTCCATGCTCATCTGCATCTCAGCTGTCTGTTGACGACACCACAAAACTGTCAAAAGATGAGGAGAGTCCTTTCTGGTCTTGATATGTGTTTGTGCCACACTTCACCACACTTCCTGCCTTTCTGGGAATCAGGAACACAGGGTTCAGCAAAGCGGGACCCTTATCAGCTCTTCCCCCATTGCCTGTTTACAAGAAGAAGCCAACACACAGCTGGAGGACCTCCTGTGGGTGGGGCTTGAACACCACCAAGAGCTGTGCTCCCTTTCTCACTCAAGGCTCAATTGCTGGTGAGCAGCAAGTTTGCGTTGGCAAAACAAATTCACTCTGCTGACCTTGTTTTACTCCTTTCTCTTCCCCATTGGATTATTACAAACAAAATGCTAAGAAAGACTGTGCTTATAAAATGCACCTGGATCACGAATAGTGTGCTGAACCAGAGTCTCATTTGAGAATTTTCTCCTTCTACTGTTTATATGACCTTTTTCTCTTTCATGTGTGTGTTTTTAATTAAACCTTTTATTTTTAAATAACCATAGATTCACATGCAGTTATAAAAAAATAAAGAGAGATCTCCTGTACCCTTTACCCAGTTTACCCCAATATTAACATTCTATAAAACAGTAGTACAGTATCACAACCAGGATATTGATATTGATATAGTCAACGTACAGAACAATTCCATCATTGCCAGGACCCCTCGTGTTGGTCTTTTATAGCCACATCTATTTCCCTCTCTTCTTAACCACTGCCACCCACTAATCTGTTCCCCATTTCTATAATTTTGTCATTTAAATAATGTTATGTATGGAATTAAATGTGGGATTAGCTTTTTTACTGAGCATAATTCTCTAGAGACTATGTGTATCAATAGCTAAATTCTTTTTATTACTGAGGAGTATTCCTTGGTAAGAATGTACCAAAGTTTGTTTAACCATTCACTCATTGAAAGACATCTAGGTTGGCTGGGTGTGGTGGCTCACATCTGTAATCCCAGCACTTTGGGAGGCTGAGGAGGGCGGATCACGAGGTCAGGAGTTAGAGACCATCCTGGTTAACACAGTGAAACCCCGTCTCTACTAAAAATACGAAAATTAGCCGGGTGTGGTGGTGGGTGCCTGTAGTCCCAGCTACTTGGGAGGTTGAGGCAGAAGAATGGCTTGAACTCAGGAGGCAGAGCTTGCAGTGAGTCGAGATAGCACCAGTGCACTCCAGTCTGGGCAACAGAGCAAGACTCCTTCCCCCACAAAAAAGAAAGACATCTAGGTTGTTTTTAGTTTTTGACTATTAGTAAGAAATCAGATATAAAAATTTGTGCTCAGGTATTGGTATGAATGTAAGTTTTATTTCTCTGGGATAAATGCCCAGGAATGTAATTGCTGAGTCATATGGTAGTTGCAAGTTTATTTTTTTAAGAAACTGCCAACTGTTTTACAAAGTGGCTATACCATTTTACATTCCCACCAGCAATGCATGAATGATGCAGTTTCTCTGCATCCTGGTTATCCTGATAGATTGTAGTAATATCTCATTGTGCTTTTAATTTACATTTCCCTGATAGCTAAAGATGTTGAATATCTTTTTGTTTAACTTCATTGTCATCTGAATACACTCTTCTGTGAAATGCCCCTTATGTCTTTTCCCCATTTTTCAACCAGGACTGTTGAGTTTTTTTACTGATAAGTTTTGAGAGTTCTTTATATATTCTAGATACTAATCCTTTGTTGGATATGTGGTTTGCAAATATTTACTCCCAATCTGTGGTTTGTCTCTTTAACCTCTTAACAGTGTTTTTTGCAAAACAAAAACTTTTAATTTTGATGAAGGCAAATTTATCAATTTTTCTTTTATGGATCATGATTATGGTATCAAGCTTAAGAAGTCTTTGCCTAGCTCTAAATCATGAAAATTTGATTATATTTCCCCCTAAACATCTTATAGTTTTACATTTAAGCCTGTGGCCCATTTTGAATTAATTTTTGGAGAAGGCGTGAGACAGAGGTCTAGGTTCATTTTTTTTGCCTGTGGATGTCCAATTGCTCTAACACCATTTATTGAAAATGACTCTTTACTCTGCTGGACTGCATGTTCATCATTGTCAAAAGTCGATTGGGCATATTTGTCTGAGTTGAGTTCTTCCTTTTTTTTTTTTCTGGAGATGGGGTTTCACAACGTTGCCAAGGTTGAAGTACAATGGCTATTCACAGGTGCAATCGTAGTGCACCCCACCCTCAAACTCCTGGCCTCAAGCGATCCTCCTGTCTCAGCCTCCTGAGGAGCTGGGACTATAGGCACTAGCTATTGTGTCTGGCTTGTGTGAGTCCAGTTTTAGGTTCTCTATTCTGTTTCATTGATCAATGTGTCCATTCCTCTGCCAATACCATACAGTATTGATTACTTATATAATATTCCTTATTTCAGAAGTAACATTTAACATTACATATTATGTAATGGCTCAAAATTAGATAGATTTCTCCCACTATTCTTTTTTTTCAATTTTTTAAGCTAGTCTAGTTCCTTTGCTTTGTCATATATATTTTAGAACAATATTTTGTCTCTCTTGCAAGGACTTTGATAGAAATTGCATTCAAACTTTATGCTAATTTGGGGAGAATTGATATCATTATGTTGAGTCTTCTAATCTGTGCATATACGTCTATTTATATAGATCCTCTTTAATTTCTCTGATCAGCATTGTGCATTTTTCAGCATATGGATCACATATATAGTTTTCCAGATTTACACCTAAGTATTTAATTTTTAAAGTAATCATAAATAGTATTATATGTGTTTCAATTTTCTTTGTTAAAAATAAATTTAATTGTGTATATTTGAGATTTACAACATGATGTTATGAGACAGATATAGATAGTAAAATCATCATCTGTGAGATGATAAATACGTAAATTTGTTTTACTATAGCAAATATTTTACTATCTATGGTAACATAGTTGTGTTACTATAGATAACAAGAGCAGCTACAATCTACTTATTTAACAAAAATTCTCAATACCATATGATTTTATTAACTATAGTTCTCCCGTACATTAGATCTCTCGTCCTGTTCATCCTATGTATCTGCTACTTTGTGACTTGACCCCATCTCTCCATTTCCTCCCTTCCCCTGTCCCTCACTCTAGTAACCACTGTTTTATTCTATATCTCTGTATATTTAGACATTTTTTAAAAAGGATTCCACATATAAGTGGGATCATCCAACATTTTTCTTTCTGTGTCTGGTTTATCTCAGCATGATATCCTTTAGGTCCATTCATGTTGTGGCAAATGGTAGGATCTCCTTTTTTAAGGCTGAATAATATTCCATTGTGTGTGTGTGTGGATACATACAGCAACACTACATTTTCTTTTTTTCTTTATCCATTCATTTATTGACAGAGACTTGGGTTGTTTTCATATCTTGGCTATTGTGAATGATGCTGCAGTGAACATTGGAGCAGATATTTTTATGAGGTAGTGATTTTATCTCCTTCGGGTATATACCAGAAAAGTGGAACTTCTAGGCCATGCAGTAGTTTTAATTTTTAATGTCTTTAGGAACCCCCACACAGGCATACCTTGGAGATATTGTGGGTTGAGTTCCAGACCACCACAATGAAGCAAATATTGCAATAAAGTGAGTCACACCTTTTTTTTGTTCTCCATTAAAAATAAAAGTTATGTTTATATTGCACTGTAGTCTATTAGGTGTGTAATAGCATTTTGTCTAAAAACACAATGTACATACTTTAATTAAAAAATATTTTATTACTAAAACATGCCAATGATTATCTGAACCTTCAGTGAGTCATGATCTTTTTGCTGGTGGAGGGTCTTGCCTTGATGTTGACTATTGACTAATCAGAGTGGTGGTTGCTGAAAATTGGGGAGGCTATGGCCATTTCTAAAAATACAACAACAATGAATTTGCCACATCAATAAACTCTTCCTTTCATGACGGATTTCTCTGTAGTGTGCAATGCTGTTTGATAGGATTTTTACCTGTAGTAGAATTTGTTTCAAAATTGGAGTCAATCCTCTCAAATCTTGCTGCTGCTTTATCAACTGGGTTTATGTAATCTTCTAAATCCTTTGTTGTCATCTCAACAATGTTCACAGCATCTTCAGCAGGCTTAGATTTCATCTAAAGAAACCATTTTAGTTGCCCATCCTTAAAAAGCAAACTCCTCATCAATTCAATTTTTATCATGAGATTTTGGCAATTCAGTCCCATCTTCAGGCTCCACTTTTAATTCTAGTTCTCTTGCTATTTCCACCACATCTGCGGTTACGTCCTCAAATAAAGTCTTGGACCCTTCAAAGACATCCATGAGGGCTGGAATCAATTCTTCCAAACTCCTGTGAATGTTGATATTTTGACCTCCTCTCTTCAATCATGAATGTTCTCAATGGCATCTAGAATGGTGAATCCTTTCCAGAAGCCTTACAATTTGCTTTGCCCAGATCCATCAGGGGAATAACGATCTATGGCAGCTATAGTGTTACAAAATGTATGCTTAAATAACAGAACTTGAAAGGCTAAATTACTCCTTGATCCATGGGCTGCAGAATGGATCTTGTGTTAGCAGGCATTCATCTCCTTGTACATCTCCATCAGAGGTCTTCATGACCAAGTGCATTGTCAATGAGCAATAATCTTTTGGAGGGAATATTTTTTATCTGGGCAGTAGATCTCAACAGTGGGCTTGAAATACTCAGCAAACCATGCTATAAACAGATGTGCTGTCATCCAGGCTTTGTTTTTCCACTTATAGAACACAGGGAGAGTAGATTTAGCATAATTCTTAAGGGCCCTAGGATTTTCAGAATGGTCAATGAGCATTGGCTTCAACTTAAAGTCACCAGCTGCATTAGCCCTTAACAAGAAAGTCAGCCTGTCCTTTGAAGCTTTAAAGCCAGGCATTGACTTCTCTTCTTTAGAAATGAAAGTCCTAGAAGGTATCTTTTTCCAACTTAATGTTGTTTTGTCTACACCGAAAACCTGTTGTTTTGTGTAGCCATGTTCATCAATTAGCTAGATCTTCTAGATATCTTGGTACAGCTTCTATATCAGCACTTGCAGTTTCATATTGTATTTTTATGTTACGGAGATGGTTTCTTTCTTTAAACTTCATAAGCCAACCTCAGCTAGCTTCCAACTTTTCTTCTACAACTTCCTCATCTCTCTCAGCCTTCAGAGAATTGAAGAGAGTTAGGGCCTTGTTCTGGATAAGGCTTTGGCTTAAGAGAATGTTGTGGTTGGTTTGATCTTCTATCCAGACCACTAGCACCTTTTCCATATCAACAATGAGGCTTTTTTGCTTTTTTATCATTTGTGTATTCACTGAGTACCACTTTTAAATATCCTTCAAGAAATTTTCCCTTGCATTAACAATTTGGCTAACTGTTTGGTGCAAGAGCCCTAGCTTTTGGTCTGTTTTGGCTTTCAACATGCCTTCCTCACTAAGCTTAATCATTTCTAGCTTTTGATTTAAAGTGAAAGATGAGAGACTCTTCCCTTCACTTGAACACTTAGAGGCCATTGTAGGGTTATTAACTGGCCTAATTTAAATATATTGTATCTCAGGGAATATGGAGGCTTGAAGGAGAGAGATGGAGAAACAGCCAGCTGGTGGAGCAGTCAGAACACACACATTTATTGATTAAATTTGTCATCTTATCAGGGCATGGTTTATGGCGCCCTAAAAAATTACTGTGGCAACATAAAAGATCCTTGATGAGATCACCATAACACATATAATAATAATGAAAAAGTTTGAAAATATCGTGAGAATTGCCAAAATGGGACACAGAGACAGGAAGTGAGTACATGCTTTGGAAAAATTGTGTTGATAGACTTGCTTGACACAGAGTTGCCATAAACATTCAATTTGTAAAAAAGAAAAAAAAGTAGAATCTGCAAAACATTACAAAATGAAGTATGTCTGTAGTGTTTTCCATAATGGCTGTACAATCTATATTCCCACCAACTGTGGACAAGGGTTCCCTTTTCTCCAGACCCTCACCAACATTTGTTATCGCTTTCCTTTTTGATAATAGTCATCCTAACAGGTGTGAAATGATACCTTATGGTGGTTTTAATTTACATTATATTTTTACTTTTAGTCCCCATGTGTTCATTTCTAATATATAGAAATATAATTGGTTTTTGTATGTTAATTTTGTGTCTTGTGAACTTGCTGAACTCATTTATTTACTCTAGAAGTTTTTTTGTATATTCTTGGGATTTCCTATGTAGACAGTCTTACCATCTGCAAATAGGAACAGTTTTGTTTCTTTTTTTCCAATCTGTATGCCTTTTATTTCTTTTTCTTTTTCTTCACTTATTGCTCTGTCTAGCACTTGGAGCGCTATGTTGAATTAGAGTAGTGCATGTGGATATTCTTGCCTTGTCCCTAATCTTAGGTGGAAAGTGTTCAACGCTTGTAAATGGTATTAATACACCAATCAAAAGGCAGAGATTGGCAACGTGGATTTAAAAAAATCACCAAAATCTATCCTATGTACAAGAAACTTGCTTTAGTATAAGGATATAGGCAAGTTGGAAATAAAAAGAGAAAGAGAAAGTGGATTTTCAAGCAAAGAAAATTACCAGACACAGATAAAGACATTATATAATGATCAAAATGTCAATGCATCAAGAAGACATAATAGTTCACTCTTCTTTAGTTTCCAAGTCTCTGGAGATTTTCTTATCTTTCTGTTACTGATTTCTAGTTTGATTCTTTTGTGATCAGAGGACATACTCTGTATGATTTCAACTATTTTAAATTTATTGGGAGTGTGTGTGTGTGTTTATGACCCAGGGTATGTTCTATCTTGGTATATGTTCTGTAGGCACATGTAAAGAATGTGCATTCTGCAGTTGATGGGTGGTGTTGCTACTATCCTATGGGGTGAAGTCCTGTTCCCTTTTCAGCTTTGTCTGACATCACCCTGGCATGAGGTAGGGGTGGAGAGTGGGGCTGGGGTACCTTGTTGCAGTTGGTAAAGACGAAAGTCTAGGCTCCCCTCTTGGCTTTTTCTGGTGTGAGTGAGCCATAGTTTTTTCTGCGGTGTTTGTAGGAGAGTGGTTATTGTTTAAAATAACCAGTCCTACTTGGATGCCCTTTCCTGGCCCTTTGGCTAGAGAAAGTAGGCTTTGATTGAGATTTTCTTTTGTCTGTGCCCATTGGCATTCCCAGTTGCCAGCTTCTTCAGCTCCAAGTCTGGGCTTTACGAGGCAAGAAGAAAATCCAGGGAACTCACCACCATGTCATTCTTTGGGTCCCAAGTTCTCCAGCTGATTTGCCCTCTTCTTTCTACCTTTCAGGGTTTCCCGATGTTTGTTTTATACAGAATGTTCAGGGTTTTTAGAAGTACTTAGCAGAAGGAATAGGGGAAAACACTTCTACCCCATCGTCTGGGAAGTAGAAGTCAGTCTTTCATGGTTTGACAAACGCTGTTAACGTGGAAAGATACATGATGTTCTAGATCTCTTCTGATTGGTTGTCCAATTCTTTCTTTTTCTGAAAAAGAGTCCCCAAATAAGGCCAAATAATTACTTCCCTTTGGGAGAGTCTTGATGTGAATGAGGCTGCGATGTTGCTTGGGTCACTGTGAGTTTGTTAGACTCCACCCCCTACCCTTCTTTTTCCAGAAAGTAAAACTTGGGCTTCCTGTATTTGTCTAAAGTGGTTTGTTCTTGGAGTATGTTCTGCATCCAGAGTGCCAAATATCTTCTGGAACTGAGGCCTGGACACAGATTAAGGATAAAGTTAAGGCTACTTAGGTGAAGCAGCCATACCACGTGGAAGCCAGAGTTGCAATGTGAGTGGTCTCAACCAGGAGAAAGGCCCTGTATTAATGTGCTAGGGTTGCCATAACAAAGTACCATGGACTGGGTGGCTTAAATAACAGGAATTTATTTTCTCACAGTTCTGGAGTCTAGAAGTTCAAGATAATGGTCTCAGCAGGATTCGTTTCTTCAGAGGCCTCTCTCCTTGGCTTGTAGATGGTCATCTTCTTCCTGCATCTTTAGGTGGTCCTTCCCCTGGGGCCTGATCTCCTCTTTTTATAAGGACGCCAGTTAGATTGAATTAGGGCCCACCCAAATGACCTCATTTTAACTTAGTTACTTCTTTGAGACCCTGTCTCCAAATACTGGCACATTCTGAGGTACTGAGAGTTAGGACCTCAACATGTAAATTTGGAGAGACATAATTAAGCCCGTAACAATCCCCAAATCAGGAAAATGAGAGGTGGAGGCAAAAAAGGGCAGAATGAGCCCCATGTTGAGAGACTTCAGGATGGGCCAGGTCAGCAGACGAAGTTCTGCGAATTTTGCTGAATAGTTTTTCCAGCTGACCCTGATGTGATGTTTAATCCCTGTTTCTCTTCCAAAGGGTCCTGGCCTTGCCTAATTCAACTTCTAACTTTTGTTTTTTAAACCAAAAAGGAAAGTTAGGTGCCTAGGGAAAATTTCCCAGACACTCAATATGTGTCAAATATATTTTAATTTTTTATTGTGATATACAAGTACATAAACTACACCAATCTAAAGTGTGTCACTCACTGTTTAAACATGTGTACATATTTGTAGCCACCATCTGGATCAAGGCATCACAAGTCCAGCACTCCAGAAAGTTCCTCATGCTCTTTCCAGTCAATCCCTGCCTCTCCACCTGGAGGTAACCACTCCAGACATGTGCTCCTGACCTTCATATAAGTGAAATAATAAAAGACATATTATTTTGTGACTGCTTCTATCTTCTATTGTGAGACTCATCTGTGTTGTGAGTATTAGAAGTGTGTTGCCTTTATTGCCAAGTATTATCTTATTATGTGGATATAGCATGAGTTATTTATTCATTCTTTTGTTGACAGACTTGTGAGCTATTTCCAATTTGGGGCTATTTTACATAAAGCTGCTATGAACATTCTCGTACATATCTTTTGGTGGATCTATGCACAAACTGCTCTCAGGTACATAAACCTAGGAGTAGAATTGCTGGGTCATTTCAAAGCTACTCATTAAATTAAATTTGATAAACATATACATGAATTTAAGTCAATTCTTCCTTTTGTTAGGTTATTTTTAGCATCAATTCTGTGGACTCCAATCATGACTTTCATATGTCTTTGCAATATCTAGTTATGTCATAAATTTAATTGAAGGTGCAATAAACTATTCTTAAAATGCCCTCTTAAAAATGTACTGATTGACATTTTACATTAGCAGTAAGATGCAATAAGGTGGGAGCTATTAAAAACAAAATAGAAGATGTGTCTTGAGACCTTTTGGTGGGGTGTCACCAATCAAAATACAACAGTTTTTTTTTTTTTGCCACAGGCTTTATGGAAGGAAGAGATAAAGTACAAACTGCCCAGTAATGGTATGAATCATACAACTTCTCTTCCTTCATTTCCTAGGGGACTGTTGACTTTTTGGCTATAAGAGAGAAACAGAATTGATCATGTATGATCAGAATGACCCTTGATCATCAGGAGTTCAGAGCTGCTGAGTGATTTTTAGACTGAGGTGAAGTCGAGGCTCAGAGAGGGAAGGTTTTAGAAAGCTGCTCCAGACACCATGTAGCTGTGTTGGTTCCTGAGCTGCCCAGGGGAAAAATACACACATCTGTGACAACAGGATTGAGCTCCTCTGGATTTTCATCAACCCTTCTATTGCCTGGACTACAGGCTCCCAATGGTGTGCCCAGACTTGGGTTCCTTCTTCTCAGTGAGGCCTGGTGGGGTATGGGGTTTCCAGAGCTTCCTGGCCTGTTGTTTCTGGCTGTGAGTGGCCCTGCTTATTTACCTTGTTCCCCAGTGTGTGGTTCAAATACGATCATGTTTCCCATGCACCATGACAACAGAGAGGATGGGAAGCACTGTATTGGACCATGTTCCCTAAAGTTAAGTTGTACAATGCACCCCACACTTTTCTGGGAGAACTTAAGTTTCATTGATTCCCGTTTCCAGAGGCTCCATACACAGAATCTTCCTTTCTGTTTCAACTTTTTTCTTCAGTGCCCCACATGAAATAACTTTTGTAAACAGGTATGGTATAGACAAGCCATCCGCTTATTTCCCTTTCAGGCCAAGCACTCCCAAGAGAACTGTAAGACCTGGGGTAGACACGCATGATGTCTACCTGGGAGGACACGAAAGAACTGGGCATCTTGTGGCCATTTGCTGGGAAATGGCGAAGACCACCATAGACATGGAAGTCCTCTTCTGTGGATCAGTGGCACTGCCCCAAGCCATAGAACAAAGAATGATGACCAGAGAGGGGTATGGGGGCTCCTAATGCTGGTGAGGAGTGAGGGATGGGCAAGGAGACCTGAGCCCACAGGATCAGCAGATTGCTACCTCTCCTTCCAGAGACAGAACACAAGGGCCACTGTGGAAATCTTTACTTGATGGGGATCAGTTTGGGGAGCAGTACGCAGACCCTTTCTGCCCCAGTGCCTTTTGCAAATGCCGTTGGGGCAGTGAGGGTCTGTGTACTGCCCCCTGTATGATTATTAAATGATTATTAGATCTAAGTCATTTTTAAAAAGAGAGAGATATAGAACCACTGATTATAGTTTTTGATGAGCACAAGATAAGTGGCCACCACCTGGAGCTGATGTGACTCTTGCCAGGAGCAAGGCAACTCAGCATTTTGAAACTTTTCTGCCTAACCGTAGTGCAGAACTAGGTATGATTTCTCCTAGCTCTTATAGAATATCTAAACTAGCTAAGGGATCCCCTGTTTCTGCCACTGTGGATACCAGCTGTCTGGGGGAGCTATGGCTGTTATGTAATCACCAGAGACCTTAGTCTGTGTCACTAGCAGACTCCAGGGAAATTTCTTCTGTAGCACACATCCCCTGGGGTTCTGGCCTGATCCCAGGTTCCCTGAGATATGGTGTCTACTCTGCCTTCTCCTCTCCGCCCCTGCCCCACCCTTGATGCGGGTACTTAAGGAACTTAGGACAATTTGGAACTTTCAGGGCTCAGCACATTGTGACTGGAAAGAGAATAGGGTTTGGGATCAGACAGACCCGTGCTGGCCATACAGTCTTGTTATTTACATTTGCTAAACCTGTGTCCTCATCTCCCAAATGGAAAATATAATAGGATTCACTTCCTAGGTTCTCATGAGGCTTCAGGGAGAAAGTGTCTAAAGCACCTGGCACACAGTAGGCTTTTCAATGATGTCCTGTTCCCATGTCATGGTTTCTCTGTGCCCTCAGAAGAGCATGGGACTGAGGGTGTGTGAAGGCTCTGCTTCAGCAACTCAAAACCAAGGGCATCTCAGAGCTAACCCAGGACCTACATTCTGAACCACTGGCAAGTGGAGCAGCTTCCCAGGGAAGCTCCAGGTTGGCCCAATAATAGACTGAATCTGATGAAATTAGAATGGAGCCAGGCCAGCTAGAGAGAAGACAGTAACTAGAAAGTCAGCAGCCTGTCATGAAAACTAAATGGCCCCATCTAGGACAGTAAATAACAATCTGGAGACTCGGGGCAGCATGAAATACCTTACCATCTATGCAAGCAATTTACTTCTTGACAGGATCAACATTTTCACATCTCCACTAATGCTAGCAACTGCCACTAAGAAAAATTAAACCTCATGGTTCTTTGAAGCCACTGTTTAGTCAGGTTTCTGTTACTTAGAGCTGAACATAAACACTAACCAACCCAAGATGGGGTGATGGTGAAGAAGGTTCTAGAAATGGAGTAGCAAAATCAATCAAAGAACCAAAGAGATGAGAATGAAAACTTGGTTGGAAGAGATGCAACACTTGGCAATCTGCATTTTGTGGGGAGACAGAGATTTTATGAACATCCAGAACTCATTTGCATACATCCCTGGGCCAAATGGGTATCTCAGGGAAAGAGAAATCACAAGTAGCCTGATTGAGCAGCCAGTGCAAGTCCTATATGCAAATTAACACTTTGGGCATATCAGGCTATCGATAATGAACTTTATTTGCCTGGCTTGCCATCCGGGCTGGATCACACCTAGGGACACATAGTATTGCCAGTTTCCTAATATAATCTAACTTTAAACATATTACCATCATTCTGGATGTAACAACATGCTCTTAGTTTTCCTTTCATAATATCCTGGATGGACTCCACTTGCCTTCCTGGAACCGAGCCCCCGTCGGGCAGTGGAAAAACCAAAGCTTGAAGCCACAGCCATTTGCTTAACCCAGCACAACTAAGCAGCTGGAAGACCTTGACCAAGCCACCTAAATACCCTGTGCTTCGGGTTTCTCATCTGTCAAAAGACAACAGCCATCCTGACTTCAGTGGATTGTCATAGAGCATGGCGGAAAGGGCTTAGCACAACGCTGGTCACGCTGCAGGCAAAGAACTAATGAGTGGTACCTACTCCCTGCCTTGCCAACTCCCCTGTCTCCCCTCACTGCTCATACTAAATTGACTCTGAGTTTTACCTGCTCTTTTAAATCTGACATCAAATCAGGAATTCTCCACTTTGAAACGCTTCCATATGTGGACTCTGCCTGTGCTGGTACCTGAGATTGCTTTCCCATGCATCAAGTGATGAGTTTGGCCCTTTCCTCTCTGCTGCCTGAGTTCCTGAGCTATCACTAATGATTGCTAATGGTCAGCATCCCCCATACTCTGTGAGGCCCTGAGGTTAGGACCCTGTTGTGTCTGTTGTTCTATCTCCAGCCCCTAGGACAGTTCTTGATCCATAGTTAATGCTCACAGACTCGTGGAATAAATGAGTGAATGAATGAAGTCCTTGAGCATCGCATAGGTAGCACGGAAATGTCCTAATAAAGTACTTTGTGTAGGCAAAGGCTCAGAAAACTTTTGTGGAACAAAAACATTTCAGTCCTACCTTCCCAGCTTTGGTGACTCTAATTGCTATGAATTCTTACCACTTCCTTCTTTTTTTTTTTTTTTTTTGAGACAGAGTCTAGCTCTGTCGCCAGGCTGGAGTGCAGCAGCCCGATCTCGTCTCACTGCAACCTCTGCCTCCCGGGTTCAAGCAATTCTCCTGCCTCAGCCACTCAAGTAGCTGGGACTACAGGCTCATGCCACCACACCTGGCTAATTTTTGTATTTTTAGTAGAGACGGAGTTTCACCACGTTGGCCAGGATGGTCTCGATCTCTTGACCTCGTGATCTGCCAGCCTCAGCCTCCCAAACACTTCCTTCTTTTTCAGCAAGAGAAGTAACCAGGGCAGCACAGAAACCCTCTAGAGCTATACAACCCTGTAACTATGTTTTATAATAGCTCCGTTCTTTCACAAACCTTCCTCCTTCCTGACCTACTCAAGGGAGGGAAACTGGGAGCATTATCAAAATATCAGTAGCTTATCTCTGAAAAAAACATTTTTCCCTGGCTGTCAAATTGAGCATAGCTAAGCACATTTAAGAGATTACAATGGAACCTTGAAATTATACCTTGTAATAGTGACAACTACCACCACAACTGACATTAACAAGCTCCAGGATGTGCCAGGCAGTGTCCTAAGCATTTTGTTTATCAGCTCTTCCCAACAACCTTATGACAGAGGCAACATCAGCATTTTACTGATGAAAAAACCAAGATACAAAGCGGTTAAAGAACTTGCCTAGAGTTACTAGTAACTGATGAAGCTGAGATTTGAATCAAGGCTATCTAATCTAGAACTGGAACTCTTTTTTTTTTTTTTTTTGAGATGGAGTCTAGCTCTGTCACCCAGGCTGGAGTGCAGTGGTGCAATCTCGGCTCACTGCAAGCTCTGCCTCCCGGGTTCACGCCATTCTCCAGCCTCAGCCTCCCAAGTAGCTGGGACTACAGGCATCCGCCACCACACCCAGCTAATTTTTTTGTATTTTTAGTAGAGATGGGGTTTCACCGTGTTAGCCAGGATGGTCTCAATCTCCTGACCTTGTGATCCTCCCGCCTCGGCCTCCCAAAGTGCTGGGATTACAGGCATGAGCCACCGCTCCTGGCCTAGAACTGGAACTCTTAACCACTGAGCTATACCAAAGTTTATTATTATTATTTTGGCCCCAAAATTGGGTAACACTGATCCAATCAAAAGACTTCTTAGTTTTTGGCTTATTGAATAAAACTCCTGAAAGTACAATTTCACATACATGTCACCCCGCTTCCCCCAACTGGCTCTCAAAGATAATATCAAAGTGAAATTCTGCATTAGCTTGCTTAGTCCTATTATGGCCTAGTAAATGTTTTTCTATTTTGTTTAGAAGAACTTGTAATCTGGTTCCCACTCTTCTTTCCTTGCATGTTTTACAGAACACATCGTGCTTGCAGAGAGAGCAAACCATGCCTGTCCCTTGTGGAGCCCACAGTGCTATGTGCTTAGTGTGGCAGTTGGGCCAGGAATGAAAACAACTACACCATAGTAACAATCCGTCATTCTGTCCATCTGCTACCCAAGAGGGATCTTAAAATAGTTTCAATTCACCTTTAAAATCCACTGCTCTATGAAGGGCTTGTAACACTTGGCGGCCTTGGAAGCCTGCCTGAGAAACAGGACTGCTATTCGGACTACTGGTGTCCAGCTGTAAGCCTCCTTGGAGGGAAACAAGCCATCCATTCATTGGGCTGTTGTGAAATTTTCCTTCCCCACCAGCCCTCCCAGCCAAGAAGGAGAATACCTGGAGGAATGGCATTCTGAATTTTTGTTCTTCCTAATGTAGGGCCTGAGTTTTTATTTTCTTAATGGCCTACTCTTTTTTTTTCTTCCTGCTTAACCCTCTTCTGCTCCAACTCCCCAACCCTACAGCTTTCCCCTTCTTTTAGCTTTTCTTTCTTCAGCTGAGGGATTGGGTGTGAGTCGAAATTTTATGGTCTAGAATTTCCAAATTGATTCATGGGGTAACTATCCCCAAACCAGCACAGTTTTAATTAGGGTAGGAGTAATGAAATGGGAGACTCCCTGGACCCCTTTGTGGGACTTTCAACAGGGGTGTGGCTTGTTTGCTCTGCCACCACATGCTCAAACCACTTACAGGAGGGGAGCATGCCGGTGAGCAGGTGCCGGAGCCAGGGTGAGCACTTTTGGGCTCTGGCCCCATGGCAGTGTCTACGAGTATTACAGTGCTCTTTCAGCCCTGCTGTCCAGGGATGGCTTAAGTGTTAAACAGCTCAGTGAAGAGTCAGGGTGACAGCCTTTTTGGGATTCTGCACCCAGTGCATCCCAAATTCTTGCCTTGCATCCAGGAAGAATCAGGTTACATGTACTTGAAAGATGGTGAATGCGGGGATTTTACTGGGTGATGGAGGTGGCTCTCAGTGGGATGGGAAGCTGGAGAGGGGATGGAGTGGGAAGATGATCTTCCCCTGGAGTTCAGCCATCCTGAAGCTGATCTCCTCTCCGACTGCCCCCAGCCAAACTCCTCTCAGGTGCTTCCTCTCTTCTCTCATTCTCTGCCATGCCGCTCTGCTGCTCTGCTGCTCTGCCATGCTTCTGCTCGTGGAGCAGATTTTTATGGGTACAGGATGGGGGGTGTGGTGGGCCAGGGTGGTCTTGGAAAAGGCAACAGTTGGGGACAAAAACAGGAATGCCTATTCCCATTTAAGGCCTTGGGTGACCAGGCTTGAGGGTGGGGCCTTTGCTGGGGAACCACCCTCTACTACCCGGTATTTCCTTGCCTCTTGTGCATATCAGTAGTATGAGTGAAGTGAGACCTTCCTGGGCAAACCCAGACATCTGGTCCCTGGGGTTAGCTCTGGCTCCACTGAGCAGCACCAAAGAGCATGGAGATGCTCAGCATGTGGCAGCTGGAGAGAACAGCATCACCCTTTGTTGGCTCCTGGTTCTGGTGCCTAATTGTGTTCTAGATCTCGACAGGGCACGGCCAGTGGGGATTAAAACAGGACAGAAGATTCTCCTTTTTGCTATTTCCATTTTTTTAAAGGTTGCATTCTCAATATTCTAGTAGTCTAGCCTATCAGATCTCTGTGTGAATTTGAAAGTTAGATCGCAAAATTTCAGTCTCACACATTTTTTTTTCCATTTTAATTTTCGTTTAGGCTGTGAAACCTAGCTTAAAATAAACTTAGAGTAGTTTTTGTTTCTTACGGGAGATGGCATAGGCCTTAGATTATTTACTGTCTCTTTCTGAAGAATTTAACGCAAACATGGATATCAGACCAAATCATACAATTTATATCAACAATATGAATGACAAAATTAAAAAGGAAGAATTGAAGAGATGCCTATATGCCCTGTTTTCTCAGTTTGGTCATGTGGTGGACTTTGTGGCTTTAAAGACCATGAAGATGAGGGGCAGGGCTTTGTCATATTTAAGGAACTGGGCTCATCCACAAATGCTTAGAGACAGTCACAAGGATTTCCATTTTATGGTAAACCAATGCGAATACATATGCAAAAACAGATTTGGATATAATATCTGAAATGTGTGGCACTTTTGCTGACAAAGAAAAGAAAAAAGCCAAAACTGTGGAACAGACTGCAACAACCACAAACAAAAGGCCTGGCTAGGGAACTCCAAATTCAGCTAGTACCCAAGGAAATTCAACACCAAATCCTCAGGTCCTCGATTACCCTCCAAACTATATTTTATTCCTTAATAACTTACCAGAAGAGACTAATGAGATGATGTTATCCATGCTGTTTAATCAGTTCCCTGGCTTCAAGGAAGTATGTCTAGTACCAGGGAGGCATGACATTGCTTTTGTTGAATTTGAAAATGATGGGAAGGCTGGAGCTGCCAGGGATGCTTTACAGGGATTTAAGATCACAACATCCCATGCTATGAAGATCACCTATGCCAAGAAATAAAATTTGGGAGAGTCATCTTTAAAGGACTTGGTGTTATTTATAGTGTTTGTTTTGCTAACATTTGGTTGGGTCATTGTAATAGAGATTAGGGGAAGTGAAAGTGAAATTTTTGTGAAGGACTTAAATTATCTAGTATTTCTTTAGCCTTGGTGAATTATGAAATACGAAGGCCTTAATTTTGTACAATAAACTTTGATTTGTATTCTGTGAAAAATAAATAAATAAACTTAGAGCTACGCTTCATATGCATTCTCTGGGGATAATGCTATCAGATCAAGAATATCTTAGAGGTGTAATTGCATATATTCTCACTTGTCACCCACACCAAAGCCATGAGGTAGGTGGCACAGTTGAATCATTTTTGAACATAGAACATGCCATTTTGATTTAAAATCAAATTATGGCAACTAGAGCTGGGCATGGTGGCTCATGCTTGTAATCCCAACATCTTTGGAGGCCGAGGTGGGAGGATCACTTGAGTCCAAGAGTTCAAGACCAGCCTGGGCAACATAGAGAGACCCTTGTCTCTACAGAAAAAGAAAAAATTAGCTATGCATGGTGGCACAGCTGTAGTCCTAGCTACTTGGGAGTTGGAGGTAGGCGGATGGCTTGAGCTCAGAAGGTTGAGGCTGCAGTAAGTTGTGATCGTGCCACTGAACTCCAGCCTGGGCAACAGAACAAGACCTTGTCTCAAAAAAAGAAAAACAAAACAAAAACAAAAAACAAACAAAAACCAATAAATTGTGGCAACTAGGAAGAAAAAGGGTATGGAGAATCAATACCATTAAACATAGTCTCACTGATGACTTTTTTCCATACTTTTGGTTGAAGTATAAACATATAGATATATCATTCTAAAACCTACCATTTGTTAGGTGTTTTTTGTTCTGAGTAATCATAGCAAGCAGTTATGTTTGCAACCAACAGCCATTTGCACCTGTGCCCCCTGAGTCCCCTGTCCAGAGCCTCACCAGCAGAGCCACCTGTATTTAATACTGAAAACACTAGCTTTCCCAGCTCCCCTTATTGCCATCAGCATCTAGTTAAATCCCGGTGAATTAAACCAGAATGAAAGTCTTCCCTGGAGCTTCTGGAAAAAACCTTCTTCTTTAGTTAAAAGATCTATGCAAGGGAAAATTAGTGCCTCTTCCTTTTGGATAGAGACTGAGCTGCAGCAGTTCTCTTGCAACCTCGAAGGGACAATCCTGAGGATAAATGACAACTCACTGAAGGTAGCCGAGCAGAAAGATGACAGTCACCTGGGTTCTTTTCCACCTCATTAAGCCACTAAGCCAACACTGAAAATACCTACCTCTGGGCTTCTTGTTTTATGAGAAAACTAACATCTTTATTTTTCAAACCACATTTAGCATGATGTTACTTGCATCTAAAAGCATCCTTAATGATTCACCATATAAATGGTGTTGCTGTAGTTCACTGTCAGACTTAATTTCCTTTTTATAGGAAACTTTTTGTAACATTTCTTTTAATCTCTTGAAATTAAACATCTAGGTAACAAAACTTCTAAACATAATTTTGAAATTCAATAGAATATTCTTACTGGAATATAAATGAGAAATGTTAAAAAATAATTTTAAAGAGGAATATACATTTAAATATGTAAATGCTTGGGTACAACTACAACAGATGACATGATAAAGTAGTCAGAGCTTGCATACCTATGTAGAATCACTGAATATAATGGTTCTCACATGTAGCATGATACAGGTGTGCTTCGCCGCTGGCTCAAATCCCAACAGAGGTGTAGACATTAGCATTGAGATTTTTCAAAAGGTGAACAGCTCTTGGTAAAGTTCCAACCAAACAATCTACAATCTCACATGGACTTATGTGGTAGCTGCATTTTTGGAAAATTCAGTGTACCTTAAGAACTGTACAAAAATTACTTTGTAACACAGAGTTAGGATCCAGAATCACAGATCTATAAATATGTTTTCACCTACATGAATATCTGATGGTACAATTGGGAGTCATGTGAGACTTTGGACAATTCTTTGCAATGCAGAATTAGCCTAGACATTGCAACATGTCTGGTGTCTCACCCAATAAACATTGACGGTGGCCCCCTGATTATTGTGACAACCAAAACTTGCCCCCATAGGTTTAGAAAGCATCCTCTGGGGACAGTCCTGCAACCGTCTCCCTCACCACAGAGGACAATATCCTGGGGCAGGCACTCTTGGTTGTTTGCTCTGCATAGATGTCAGAAGCACTCCTTATTTCTGACTCTGCAAGTCTTAGACATGCTTCCATGGGTGGGTAGGTGGAGGGAAAGTACAGAAGCAAATGGTGGATTGCTTAGGATCGGTGCTATTACTGTATTTCAAGAGTCACTGGTTCATTGCTTTCTCGGTTTGTGTGCATTTTTTTCAAGGGATCCCCACTATGTGCAAGGAATGATGGTAGACACAGAGTTGACTAAGATTTCCTTCCTGCCCTCAGGGAGGTAGAAGACTAAAATAGAAGCAGAGAAAAGTATCAAATTTTAAGATGGCGCAGGTGTTCTTAGCCTGAGGTCCCAGAAATGTGCTTCAGGGGATCCTCTAAAACTCTTGAAATTACAGACAACAATGCATGTGTGTGTGTGTGTGTGTGTGTGTGTGTGTGTGTGTGTATTTTTGAATAAAGGGTGTATAGATTTAATCACATTCTCAAAGAACTCCAAGACACAATAAAGGTTACAGCTGATGCACAGGGCAGGCTGATACACAGGTGGCAGCCTATCTGATGGATTTTTGGAAGTTGCCCTCTGCTCCAAATATCTCTTTTACTCACATTTCTTTCACTGAACTTCTACCAATAGAGATTCATTCTAATGAATGGATAGTTAGCATGGATCTCTCCAACACTGATGCTCCAACAACTTTCAAGAAATGTCTATTGAGCTTCTGCTGAGTAGCAGGCACTGAACTAAGGACCAGGGATGCAGCAGTGAACAGAATGGAGCTCACAGCCTGGTGAAGGAGCTGGAGTAGGAGCAATATGCAGATACAGGGAGCACTGAGGGGCAACTTGACCCCAAGGCAGTGGAGAGGTTCTCAGGAAGAGATAAGCGATCCTGGGCTGTGCTGATGTAGCTTGAGTAACAGCTAGCCGTCTTGTGTGAACAGAGGGTCCCAGTCCATGAGGACACTGCCTTGGGCCTGAGGACACTGCTTTGGGCCTGTGGACGTGGGCAGGCTGCTGAGGTGGGAGGTGGAAAGCCTCTTACAGCATGGGGCCTCAGCTGTGCCTCAGTTTTGCTTGGGTTGGCCTCTGGGGGAACAGGGGGCCTTGCAGGATGACCCTGATAGCATAATCTGCGTTTTGGTGTGCATTTAAGATTCCAGTTCACATGGGCTTCTAGTCATATGTCGCAAGAGTGTTTGTAAAGCAGACTGCAGACTCTCTGGGATTGAAGGGTGAAGTGGGAGGGAGGTTTATAACCTGGAAACTATGTGCTGACTGTGGCCCTGTTGAGATGCAGTGTGGTTTCTATGGGGTTCCTTCTGGACCTCATACATTTCAGTTTCCCCTGGAACAAGGCCTTTGCTGAGAAAGAAAACATACATTGGCCATGAAAATGCAGAAGCGCTCCATGGGTTGCTCCAAGCAGCTCTCTAAGCAGAGGCTTAACTTGTCCTGAGGCCATCTTGTCTTTGGAAACTCTAACCAAGCAAAACACATATCTTTTTATGCCTTTCCTTTCTTTACACAGACATTGACTAAAAAGGAGCAGGAATAACTGCCAATTCAGTAGGCTCCTTGCTCTTTTGTGCATTTTAAAGGCATTTGGTGTTTGGGATTTGGAAGAAAATCATGAGAACTGAGAAGCTCTGGCTGTCTTGGCGGGAAGCAGGCTCATTGTTTGCAGAGAGAGCTGGTTTCCATGGTTTTGGACTATAGACAGCTGCGTTTTTGTTTTTTGTTTTTTTTTAAAGAGTAGTTTCTACTTGCAATTGGATCTAATAAATAGTCAAGGTAGCCAGTCTCCCAACAGCAAAAGGTCTTTGAGTTATTTGGAAACACCCTAGTATGTTATCATTCACGACCAACTGTACCTGGTTTTTAGTTATTAAAAGTCATGCATTCTCTCAGGATAGGGCCTGTTTGGCCCAAATTCTGCTTTATCGAGGGCAGCCAATTATATTTCAGGCTTAACGTTCTAGTCTTAAAAGTGAACACATTCCTTTCTTTTAAACGACAGGAGACTTGGGATGGTCTGGGATAGGAACGCAGGGTGGGGACCTGCAGTCCTGCAGGCCTGAGAGGCAAGTGCTGGAGCTGAGGCCATGGGAGGCTCATGGTTTCCCCTCCTCCCCTAAGCCCGCTGGCACAGCAACCATATGGTGCACTGTAGGGAAACCAACAAGTGAAAAGTGGCCATTTTACTTCTGTCACTGAAGTAGGACACTGGACAAACTTTTGCTTCTTTTTTTCATGACCTATAAAGAAGAACAAATTAAACTAAAATGAAAATAACATTTTTCAGCCAGGTGCAGTGGCTCATGCCTATAATTTCAGCACTTTGGGAGGCCAAGGCAGGCAGATCACTTGAGGTCAGGAGTGCAAGACTGGCCTGTGGTGAAACCCCATCTCTACTAAAAATGCATCTCATGCTGAGGCATGAGAATCGCTTGAACCCGGGAGGTAGAGGCTGCAGTGAGCTGAGATGGTGCCACTGCACTCCAACCTGGGTGACAGAGCAAGACTTCATCTCAAAAAAAAAAAAAAGAAAAAAGAAATAACTTTTTTTTTTAATTGGGACACTGACTTGGAATTCAGAGGGATCAGGTAATGAATTTAATAATTTCCATGTTAGCAGCAATATTAAAGCAATTACAGGGTCCCTTGTATCTCGAGCAGCAGGCTTGGCATAGTGGATGGAACAGTGCAAAAGTCTAGGTCTCACCAGCATGCCAACATTACCTGTGGCCCTTACAACCTTTTAGCAGAAACCTGTACTCTTTCTAAACAGGGTTGAACTGTGTGATTATGCTCAAAACCTTTAATGTTGCCCCAAAAAATCTTCTGTAGGATGTTATGTTCTTTTCTCCCTTTCCTGAACTTATGGCTGGTGTTCTGGCTTACTTTTTATTTTGTTGGCTTTATTGTCATTGGCCCTTTGCTTGCTATTAGATTTTCTTCTGTCTAGATCTTGGTTTCCAACTGGATTTTTAGTCCTTTGGGATCAGAGACTACCAGATCATTTAATTTTCTAATGTGCTCTGTTTCCCCACCTAAGATGGATTTCTGAGTCTGGCACAAAACCAACTGGGAATACGTCAGACTTTCCTTCCAATGACACTTTCGTCAAAGAGAACGAGAGATAACCCTTTCCCCATCTTCTTTAAGCATCATGGTTGTTGTGGGTTAGCAGTTTCTTAGGATCACTTACACACAAATTTACCACCAAATATATAAACTGCAGAATGGGATCTATCGGAGAGCCTTGGTAGAATTAGATTAGTGGTGACTTAGAGTGGGATTGGAGAAGCTAAGGAGGGGCTGATGCTTTAATCAGTGCTGTAAGCACTGCAACAACTTGTTTTTTTGCAGCCACTGCCTGTCCTTTTGGCTAGAACAAGATTTCTCCCCTAAGTGACTTACATTTTCTCACTCTCAGTGGAAGATACATTTGGCTCAGGAACCATTATTTCTCTTCCTTGGGGACCAATCTGAAAGTAAAAATATTAATCATCTTCATAATCACAGACATTTCTTTTCATGTAACAGAGCACCAAACCCTTCATGGCCAGGTAGGTATGTTCAAATTAATTTAACTCACCCTGAAAGGAGAATTCCTAGGAGAAGAAGAAACTCAAAGATGTGCCCTCCAGGGTGAGGGTCCCAAAGACCTTCGGCCCAAACTCATTCTCGCCTCCCTGCAAACTCTGTAGCTTGGTTGACAGATGTGGTCCAGACTCAGGAAGATTGTCCTTAACCCAATCCAATCTTGTAAAATGATATTTAAGTCACTTTCTCAAGTACACTTTCAGGTAATCAATACTATTTTTAAAAAACTCATTGCAAGCTCAATGATAACATGTTAAAATTAGTGCATTTAATGTTGTTTTCCATTTATCGGAAATCTGAGTTACTGCTATGGTGAAATAAAAAGTGTCTACCTGTAGTCTATCGATGTATGTAAGAGAAGATGATAGATGGGAAGGTAGATAAGAGTGAAGAGGAGAGTGGATGACAGGATAGAAGAGGAGGGAACAGGAAGGGACAGGGGAGAAATGGCAAGTAGACACACACGTATGGAACTGGTAAAAAAAAAAAAAAAAAAAAAAAAAGTAGCCCCACAGCATGCTTGGAAGTGAGAATTGATTTTAGTCACCTCCCTTTTTCTAATATTCAGTGTCTTCTGCAATTAAGAATGTTAAGTTAGAAGGAATACTGGTACATGATGTGTGGTGTATGGAATTTGGAATCAGAAGACCTCGATTTGAATCCCAGCTCTGCTTTCTTCTTAGCAATGTTGAGTTCAGGTAATTTACTTCATTTCTTGCATCTGAGTGGCCACTTGTGTGAAATACAAATAATACCCCCTCAGAATTACTGTAAGGACTCAACTATTAGGTTGATGCAAAAGTAACTGCCGTTTTCGAAATGACTTTTAATGGCAACACCGCAATTACTTTTGCATCAATCTAATAGCATGTGCACTTTGAGACCATCAAAGAATGCTAGTTATTATCACATCCAGAGTCCTCTTAAAAGAATCTTGTTGCTCTGTAAGAACTTACCCGCCTTGAAGACAAATAACAGACATAAAATAGGTACTCTTCATTGTGTGTTTCACTATACAGAGAAACTTAATATCTTGAAAGAACCTGAATAAGCAAAGATGTAATCATATTTTAAAAAATGTTAACATGTATTTCTGTAAAATGTGAAAAAAGTACTCATTTAATATATATTTTTATTTTAAAAAGTTTTAAAATTGTATATAGTTGGTGGGTACAAGTGCAGATTTCTTCCATGCATACATTGCATAGGGTGAAGTCTAGGCTTTTAGTGTGCTTATTACCCTAATAGTGAACATTTTACCCAATAGGTAAGTTTTCAACCCTCACCCTCTCACCCCTTCCCACCTTTTGTCATCTCCGATGTCTATTATTCCACTCTGTGTGTCCATGTGTATCCATTATTCAGCTCCCACTTCTAAGTGAGAATATGTGATGTTTGACTTTCTGTTTCTGAGTTATTTCACTAAGGATAATGGCCTCCAGTTCCATCCATGGATGTTTCATCCATATTGCTGCAAAAGACATGACTTCATTCTTTTTTATGACTAAGTAGTATTCACACACACCACAGAATACTACTCAGTCATAAAAAAGAATAAAGTTATATATATATATATCTTTTAGATATATATATATGTGTGTGTATATATGTATATTAATATATATATGAGATCCAAAATATGAGATCTAGATGTAGATCTCACATTTTCTTCGTTCAGTCCACCATTGATGGAGTTAGGTTGATTCTATATCTTTGCTGTTGTGAATAGTGCTGCAATAAACACATAAGTGCAGGTATCTTTTTTTTTTTTTTTTTTTTTGAGACAGTCTTGCACTGTCACCCAGGCTGAAGTGCAGTGGTGCAATCTCAGCTCATGGCAAAGTCTGCCTCTCAAGTTCTAGTGATTCTTCTGCCTCAGCCTCCCAAGTAGCTGGGATTATAGGCATCCACCATCACGACCGGCTAATTTTTTTTTATATTCTTAGTAGAGACAGGGTTTCACCATGTTGGCCAGGCTGGTCTTGAACTCCTGACCTCAGGGATCCACCCACCTCAGCCTCCCAAAGTGCTGGAATTACAGATGTGAGCCACTGTGCCCAGTCAGCATTTTTTTGATATAATAATATTTTTCCCTTTCGATAAATACCTAGTAGTGGGATTGTGGATTGAATAATAGCTCTATTTTTAGTTCTTTGAGAAAGTTTCATACTGTTTTCCATGGTGGTTGTTCTAATTTACATTCCCATCAACAATGTATAAGCATTTCCTTTTCTCCACATCCTCACCCACATCTATTGTTTTTAGCAGTTTTAATAATAATAATAACCATACTGACTGGTGTAAGATGGTATCTTATTATGGTTTTAATTTGTATTTATCTGATGATTAGTGATGGTGAGCATATTTTAATATGTTTGTTGGCCACTTTATGTCTTATTTTTTTTGAGACGGAGTCTTGCTCTGTTGCCCAGGCTGGAGTGCAGTGGCGCGATCTCAGCTCACCACAACCTCTGCTTCCCAAGTTCAAGCGATTCTCCTGCCTCAGCCTCTCTAGTAGTTGGGACTACAGGTGTGCACCACCATGCCTGGCTAATTTTTGTATTTTTAGTAGAGACAGGGTTTCATTATGTTGGCCAGACTGGTCTCAAACTCCTGACCTTGTGACCTGCCCACCTTGGCCTCCCAAAATGCTGGGATTACAGGCGTCAGCCACTGAGCCTGGCCTCACTTTATGTCTTCTTTTGATGAATGTCTCTTCATGTCCTATGCCCACTTTTTCATGAGGTTATTTGCTTTTTTCTTCTTGAGTTGTTTGAGTTCCTTGCAGATTCTGGATGTTAGCCCTTTGTTGGATGCGCAGTTTGCAAATACTTTTCCCATTCTGTAGGTTGTCTGTTTACTCTGTTGATTGTTTCTTTTGCTGTGCAGAAGCTTTTTAGTTTAATTAAGTCCCATTTGTCTACCTTTGTTTTTATTGTGTTTGCTTTTCAGGACTTGGTCATAAATTCTTTACCTAGGCCAATGTCCAGAAGAGTTTTTCCTAGGTTTTCTTATTTTTAAGAAAACGAGGGTTTTTATAGTATCAGGTCTTATGTTTAGGTTGTTCATCTACCTTGTGTTAATTTTCATATGTGGTGAGAGGTACGGATCTAGTTTCATTCTTCTGCATATGGCTATCCAATTTTGCTGGCACCATTTATCGAATAGAACATCACTTCCCCAATGTACATTTTTGTTGACTTTGTCAAAGATCACTTGGTTGTAGGGATGTGGCTTTATTTCTGGGTTCTCTATTCTGTTCCATTGATACATGTGTTTATTTTTATAACAGTACCACACTGTTTTGGTTACTATAGCCCTTGTAGTATAACTTGAAGTCAGGTAATGTGATGCCTCCAGATTTGTTCTTTGTGCTTAGGATTACTTTCATTATTTGGGCTCTTTTCTGGTTCCATGTGAATTTTAGGATCATTTTTTCTAATTCTGTGAAAAATGGCATGGGTAATTTGATAGGAATTGCATTGACTCTGTAGATTGCTTTGGGTACTATGGTCATTTTAACAATATTGATTTTTCCTGTTCAAGAGCATGGGATGTGATATGGTTTGGCTGTTAAAATCTCAACTTGAATTCTAATTCCCATAATCCCCACATCAAGGGAGAGACCAGGTGTGGGTGATTGAATCAGGGGGGTGGTTTCCCCCATGCTGTTCTCATGATAGTGAGTGAGTTCTCATGAGATCTGATAGTTTTATAAGGATATCTTCCCCCTTTGCTGGGCACTTCTTCCTGCTGCCTTGTGAAGAAGGTGCCTTTCTTCCCCTTTGCCTTGCACCATGATTGTAAATTTCCTGAGGCCCCCCCAGCCAAGCTGAACTGTGAGTCAATTAAACCTCTTTCCTTTATAAAATTACCCAGACTTGGGCAGTTCCTTATAGCAGTGTGAAAACGAACTAATACAGGATGTTTTTCCATTTGTTTGTGTCATCTATGATTTCTTTCATCAGTGTTTTGTCATTCTCCTTATAGAGACCATTATTCTCCTTGGTTAAATGTATTCCTAGGTATTTTATTTTTCTTATAGCTATTGTAAATGGGATTGCTTTCTTGATTTGGTCCTTGCCCAGGTCATGATTGTTGTATAGAAATGTGTCTGATTTCTGTATGTTAATTTTGTATCCTAAAACTTCGCTAAATTCATTTATCAAGTCTAAGAATTTTTTGGGTAGTGTCTTTAGGGTTTTCTAGAGATAAGATTAATCATCAGCAAAAAGGGATAATTTGACTTCTTCTTTTCTGATTTTGATGCCTTTTATTTTTTTTTCTTTTGCCTGATTGCACTGGTGAGGACTTCCACTGCTATGTTGAATAAGAATTATGAAAGTGGACATCCGGCATTATTCACAATAGCAAAGACTTGGAACCAACCCAAATGTCCAACAATGATAGACTGGATTAAGAAAATGTGGCACATATACACCATGAAATACTATGCAGTCATAAAAAATGATGAGTTCATGTCCTTTGTAGGGACATGGATGAAATTGGAAATCATAATTGTCAGTAAACTATCGCAAGAACAAAAAACCAAACACTGCATATTCTCACTCATAGGTGGGAATTGAACAATGAGATCACATGGACACAGGAAGGGGAATATCACACTCTGGGGACTGTTGTGGGGTGGGGGGAGTGGGGAGGGATAATATTGGGAGATATACCTAATGCTAGATGACGAGTTAGTGGGTGCAGCGCACCAGCATGGCACATGTATACATATGTAACTAACCTGCACAATGTGCACATGTACCCTAGAACTTAAAATATAATAAAAAAGTAAATAAATAAATAAATAAAAAAGAAAGTGGACATCCTTGTCTTGTTCCAGTTCTTGTAGGGGATACTTTCAACTTTTCCCCATTAAATATGATGTTGGCTGTGGGTTTGTTGTATGTGGCCTTTATTATGTTGGAGTAAATTCTTTCCAGGCCTAGGTTCTTTTCATCTTTCTTGAAGATTTTTATCACTAAGGCATGCTGAATTCTATTGAATGCTTTTTCTGCATCTATTGAGATAATTATATGGTTTTTGCCCTTAATTCTGTTTATTTGATGTATAACATTTATTGATTTTCATATGTTGAAACATCCTTACATCCCTGGGATACAACCCAACTGATTATAGTGTATTAACTTTTGGATGCACTGTAGGATTTGATTTGCTAGTATTTTGTTGAAGATTTTTTCATTTATGTTCATCAGGGATATTGATCTATAGTTTTATTTTTGTGATGTGCCATTGTCTGGTTTTGGTATCAGGTTGATACTGGCTTGTAGAATGAGTTAGGGAGAATACCTTACTCCTTAATTTTTTTTTTAATAATTTCAGGAGGATTGGTATTAGTTCTTTGTATATTTGGTACAATTTGGCTGTGAATCCATCTGGTCCTGGGCTTTTTTTGTTGGAAGATTTTTTACATTACTGCTTCAATTTCACTACTTATTATTGCTCCATCCAGGAGTCCTATTTCTTCCTGGTTCAATCTCAGGAGGTTGGTGTGTTTCCAGGAATGTGTCCATTTCCTCTAGATTTTCTTTGTTTGTGAGCATATAGTTGTTCATACAGTAATAATAATAGTCTCTGCTGAAGCTATTATTTCTTTTTCTTTTTGTATTTCTGTGGTATCAATTGTAATGTCTCCTTTTTCACTTCTGATTGTGTTTATTTGGATCTTCTCTCCTTTTTCTTGGTTATTCTAGCTAGTGGGTTATCAATTTTGTTTATCTTTTTGAAGAACTTACTTTTCATTTCATTGATCCTTTATATTATTTTGTTCTCTATTTCATTTAGTTCTGCTCTGATCTTTGTTATGTCTTTTCTTCCGCTAACTTTGGCTTCGTTTTGTTCTTGCTTTTCTATTTCCTTGAGGTGCAACATTGGGTTGTTATTTGTTATTTCTACTTTTTTTTCCAAAGTATTTTTTAATTTTAATATTTGTGGGTACATAGTAGGTGTATATATTTATGGGTTACATGAGATGTTTTGATACAGGCACATAATGCATAATAATATTATGTAAAATGGGGATATCTATCCCTTCAAGTATTTATCCTTTGTGTTACAAACAATCCAGTTATGCTCTTTTAGTTATTTTAAAATGTACAATTAAATTATTATTGACCATAGTCATCCTACTATTGTATTTCTCGATGTAGGCATTTAATATTATAAATTTAACTCTTAGCACTGCTTTTGCTGTATCTCCCAGGTTTTGGAATGTTTTATTTTCATTTTCATTCATTTCGAAAAATATCTTAATTTCTGTTTTAATTTTTTCATTGACACAGTGAGTTTTTCAGGAGCATGAATTTTAATGTCCAGGGGTTGGTATGAGAAAGCTCTAAAGTACCTTTTGGTATTGATTTCTAGCTTTATTGCACTGTGATGCAAAAAGATACTTCATGGAATTTTGATTTTTAAAAACTTGTTCAGGATTGTTTTGTGGCCTAACATGTGGTCTGTCTTGGAGAATGTTTCATGTGCTGATGAAAAGAATGTGTATTCTGTAGTTTTGGGGTGAAATGTTTAATAAATGTCTGTTAAGTTCATTTGGTCTGAAATCCAATTTACCCCAATGTTTTTGTTAATTTTCTGTCTTGACAATCTGTCTAGTGCTGTGAGTTGGGTGTTAAAATGCTCCACTCTTATTTGTATTGCTTTATTTCTTTCTTTAGGTCTAGTAACATTTATTTTATGAATTAAAGTGCTGCAATGTTGAGTGCTTATATATTTAGAATTGTTATATTCTCCTGTTGAAGGATCCCTTTATCATTACATAATGACCTCCTTCGTCTTTTTCTAAATTGTTTTTTATTTAAAGTCTGTTTTATCTGTTATCCGTATAGCTACTCGTCAGTTTTGGTTTCTTCTTGTGTGGAATATTTTTCCACCCCTTTACTTTTAGTTTATATGTGTCTTTATGAGTAAAGTGAGTTTCTTATAGGCAGCATATACTTGGATCATGACTTTTTGTCCATTCTGCCAATCAGTATCTTTTAAGTGGAGCATTTAATCTATTTATATTCAAGGTTAACATTGATATGTGAGGTTAACATTGCTTTGATCCTGTCATATTGCTAATTGTTTTCTAGTTTTTTAAAAGTTCATTTCTCTCTTTTTCTCTGTCTTGTTGTCCTTGTGGTTGGATGAAATTCTATCATGTTGTCATTTGATTCGTTTCTTTTCCTCCTTCGTGTGATTGTTTTATAAGAACAGTGCATTTTACAGTTCCATGTGTTTTGTGATGGTGAATATTGACCTTTTGTTTCCATATTTAAGATCGCTTTGGACATTTCCTGTAGAGTGGGTCTAGTGGTGACAAATTCCCTCAACGTTTGCTTGTCTAGGAAAGCCTATATGTCTCCTTCATTTATGAAGCTTATTATGGCAGGATATAATATTCTTGACTGACAGTTATTTATTTTATTTTATTTTTTTCATTTCAGTACTTTGAAAATGCAATCTCATTCTCTTCTGGCCTGTGAGGTTTCTGCTGAAAAGCGTGATGGTGTTTCCTTCATAGGAGACTAGACAATTTTTCTCTTGCTAATTTTAAAATTATTTCTTTCACTTTGACTTTAGACATTCTAAATATAATATGCCATGATGAAGTCCTTTGTGCAATGTATTTACCTGGAGATCATTGGGCTTCCTGGATCTCGATGTCTAAATGTCTTGATAGACTTGGGAAGTTTTCATCAATTATTTTCTTAAATAGGTTTTCTAAACGTTTTGATGTCTCTTCCTCCTTGGGAATAGTGATAATTCATAAGTTTGCTTGTTTTATATAGTACCAGTCATCTTGAAGACTTTGTTCATTTTAAAATTCTTTTTTCCTTATTTTTGTCTCACTGGATTATTTCAAAAGACCTGACCTCAAGTTTTGAGATTCTGTGTTCTACTTGGTGTAATCTATTATTGAATCTTTTGAATGTATTTTGCATTTTCTTCAATAAATGTTTTAGTTCCAGAATTTCTGCCTTTTAAAAAGATATCTGCCTGCTTGGTAAGTTTCTCATTCATAGCCTGAGTTGACTTTCTAGTTTCTTTGTATTGGTTTTCAGATTATCTTGCATCTCATTGAGCTTCTTTAAAATCAATATTTTGAATTCTTTATCTGGCATTTTGGGGAATTCGTTTTGATTGGGATCTGTTGCTGGGCAATTCTTATTGTCCTTCGATGATGTCATATTTCCCTGTTTTTCATGTTTCCTGTGTCTTTCTGTTGATATCTGCTCATCTAGTATAGTAGTTGCTTGTTTCATTTTTTTTGAAATTGCTTTTGTGGGGGAGAATTTTTTCTTAGGAATGTATGTATGTTGATTGAGTAAACTACTTTGACTTTGATTTTGGTTGCCTGTGGTACTGTGATCTTTGTGTGACTTCCTTGGCAATATACAGTATCAGTGGTATCTGTGATTTCCTTGGTGACTTAGGGTACAGTTATTAGTTGAGGTTGTGGTGAAGTTTTGCTGGGGACTTGGACACCAACTGAGCCAGTCTTCAGGCCCAAGTATCAGCAGTGGAATAAATGTGCCTCTTTTTAGGCACTGGCTCTGGTGTTAGTGGACTCTGGAGCACTGATGCTTGGGGCTCCAGGTGGCTTGCTTAGAAGCTAGTAGTAATAGTAGTGGGCTAGGTGTGTGGGTGGGTTCTCAGGCCCCTGGGAAGCTGGTGTCATGTGGGTGATGGCAGTAGCAGTGGTGGAGCAACCCACTGGGACCCAAGCAGTTCAAATAGGTATTGCTAGAAGCTGCAATAGGTTGGGTGAGCCAGTCCTCCACCCCACAGATGCCTGTAGAAGGGTAGTGGGTATTGTCCTAAGTGTGCTTAAGGGAGCTTGGTCTCCCCTGTCCCTTCCCTGGCTGGGTGGCAGCTGCAGCCTCATCACCTCTACTTGGTCTGAGGGTGGGGCACAGCCCAGGGTTAAACTCTAAAAATCATGCTAGCTGTGGGCTTGCGACAAGAGAATATGAGGGCCCACTAAGGCAAGCAGTGTGTGCAAGAAGCTATGGGGAGTGCAGCCCATTCAAGTCTGAGTTTCATAGCAGCCCATAGCAGAGTGGTGGATATTGTTTTAGGTATGCATAGGGGAACCTGGTTTTCCTGTCCCTCCTTGGCCAGGTGGTGGCTGCAGCCATGTTAGCCCAAGCTCAGCCCAAAAGTCTCAAGCCCAGCATTAATGTCTTAAAATAGTGTCTTGGGCTTGGGACCAGGGAGGATGGTATCCATCCCAGGCAAGCAGCATAGGCCAGAAGCTGTGGGGAGTGTAATCTACTCACATCTCAGTTTCATAGCAGCCCACTGCAGGGCAGTGAGTATTCTCCTGGATGTGCATAAAATAGCCTGGTTTCCCTGTCTCTCCTTGGCTGGGCAGCAGCTGCCACCATGTCAGCCTGAATTCAAACCAAGTGTGGGTCATAGCACAGTGTTAAATTCTCAAAATGGCACCTTGGGCTTACCAGAAGGAGCAGGGCCTTAAGGGCAAGAAGCTGTGGGAGGTAATACACATTTTTGGAATGTCTCCAAATGTGAAGTTCTGAGTAGCCACTGGTAGGTGAATGAAGGAATAAGCCCTGCAGAAGTTCACAGGGTAGCTGGGGGAGCCAGACATGAATGCAAACTCTGAGGGCAATATTAATAGAACTGAGTAAATAGCTATTAGAATGAATAGACAATTAGCTAGAATGATTTTATCCACAATAACTTTGGATCAATGGGGATTCATTATCTGTAACCTCCAGGCTCTTCACTTTGAACATGGACAAAGACACCTGGATCATTGAGATTCTCAGTTAAACAGCACATAGCTGAGTATACAGTCACCAGAAATCCTAAGATCTTACTTGAATGGTCATTGTATTGGCTTAGTTCTTACAATCTCAATGATTGGTGCTTCTTTAATGACTGAGAGTCTGGCTTGGGTGCCCCTTCTCTTTTTTTCCATGACACCCTTTGGCTGAAGAGAATAGACACAGCAGTAAAGGGAAGGACAGGAGAAACAGTGTCCCTGGAGGGTCCTTAAGACTGGTCATTTCCTTATGCTTCTTTAAGAGTTGAATGTGTGATGAGAATTTCCCCTTTCTGAAGGTGCAGGCTGCTGGGAAAGAATGTGTGTGCAGGGGTAGTGGTGGGGGAGATGTGTGGGGAGATAGGACAGGAACACACTTCTTTCTGCTTTATGCATGAAGGGAAAACCACACAGATCTATCCCATCGTGCTTTAAGCCTCCTTAACACTGGAAAGCACTATCTCTACTCAGGGCACCAGCCACTCTGACCTTGAATGTTTTCTATACAAAGTATATACATCAATAGACAGCTGGCATCCACCATTTTTAACTACACTGGACCTGTCTGGGAACAATAATAAACCTTTATCATCCCACGCAGCATTTCCAAGCATATGGTCATTGATGCTTGCTCCAAACTTGTTCAATAAATTTTAGAATAAATTCTTTTTTTCTTATGTTGGCTTAGAATTCAAATAATTTCTGTTGCAGTGTGATCTCAACCTCAGTGCCAGAAGCTTTCCTATGCAGCTTCCTTTTCTTTATATAGTGACTGTGATTTTCAATGTATGGATTTGTTTGATTCCTGTGATCCCAATTATTCCTCAGCTTATGAAGATGTATCTAACCTGGTATCAGTAGAGTTAACGTTCAGCTTCCTTTAAAATCTCTTAGCAACTAGTATGATAGATGAAGCCCAACAAAACACTTACGCTCTTGCTTGAGGATGTCTATCTATCTAAAATGTTATTTAAAATTATAAAAATTATATACTTCACACACACACACACACACACACACACGAAATGCTTGTCCATTGAGTGAGTGGATTTAGCTGTTACTCAAAGGGGAGAAATATGTAACTTCAGGTCATTTTTCAGGCTAAGAATTAGACTTCCTGAGTTCTGGGTAGTACGAGGGTTTGTTTCAGATTCCTTGAATCAGAGCCCTGAGTCTGCACACTGGCCCCATGGCAGTTACATTACTGGAATCTTGATCTCCTTCCAAGAATGCTCAAAAATTACATGAAAAGGTTGAGTGAGCTGACCTGAAAAAAATTAGATGAAAGAAATAGTGTTTTTCATCTTTAGTATGTTGCTGTTTAACTATCAAGGACATCTAGATTTCTAGTCATCAAATGCTCAGTGACCTTCAGAAGTGTGCTTTCCTCACCCAGTAGACAGTAATACTGTAGTTGCCGAAGTCAGAATACACAGGTATTTACTTGCCATGTAATCAGCATAATTGCAGAGGATTGTTCTGTGTATAACTTGGAAAGTATTTTTTAACCTCTGGAAGCTCTGCTATCTAATTACTGATTTTCTGTTTCACTTACCACTTCCCTCTACACATAAATCTGTGATGATGTTTTTAACAAATAAGATCCACTAAAATTCTAGATGATTTGCAGGCATCCCAATTTCAGTTAACCTTTTCTTTCACAGACTAGTTTAGGTTATTACCCCAGTAGCTAAACATACTGTATTTATCTTTAGTTTAACAAAAATTCTAACAAAACCACTTATTAATGATTAGTTGGGTTCTCCATTGCTTACCAAGCTATAATGCTGTTGAAAGACAACTTTTAACTCCTGCATGGGTGTGTCACACTTCAAGTTCTTGAAAAGCTCTATAGGCATTTTCTTCCTTTTTTCCTTTCTTATTTAATTAAATTATTTGCGTAGTGTGTCAGGTTTAGCTGCTGGAGGTTTTACGGGAAATGTCACTTGCAGGCTGCAATGTGCTGTAGGTTAGAGCTTAGTCATTCTTTTCAGAATTAGCGAATTCAGCATTCCTTTCTTTGGCCCTCCCCTGGGCACCAGCCTACTTTCTTTAAGGGAAATCATCAAGGTTTCACTTGGCTTTTTCATACCTCCCACTCTCCTCCATCCAAACTCCAAGTACTCCAAGGTCATGACCACTTGGAGGGCCTTTTGCCAGCAGTGCTGTGGACCTGTGGCTGGAGGAACCTCTCAAAGACACAGGCAGACTTTACTACTGCTGATGATCAATATACCATGAATGCATGGACAAAGGAAGAGAGGCAGTCATGCCCAAGAAGAGAGAAATGAGAAAGCCAGGAGCAGCATCAAGGTGATGGGAAAGGCTAACCTCCTATCAAGGTTGGAGGAGACCTGGCACATTTCAGAGCTACTGCAGAGGGGCAGTAGCACAAGAGCCCAGCCACAGTTTCACGCTAGGCCTGGGGTATCTGCAGGTATCTTGGCCTGGTTTATTGGATCTGTCTTCCTTCTTTGGGCAAATACAATCTAGTCCCAGTGAAGAAAAGCTTGCTGCACGTTTCCTCCCCAGGCTTTGGAATGCTACCAAAACTGGAAAAGTAAATTCCATAAATCTCTGCTCATCCAGATCTTTCTTGTTCTGAAAAAAAAAACAAACAAAAAAAAACCTCAGCATGAGTTCCACAACTCCTGCAGCCCACACTGCATTCTCCCTGTGAGCCTTGCAGATTCGGGTCTGAACCATAAAATTCAGCAGTTCATTATCCTCTGACATGAACCATTCAAGAGGGAGTGTGGAACTGAGAATTCCCGGGGCACAGGATGGGGGATTGGGGGGCTGACAGCCGTGTCCAGGGCAGCTCTGCTCCTGAGCACCATTACAGTTGTACTGTCTCGGTATCCTCCTCTGCATCATTAGAAACACAGGCTCAGTATCTGTAAGTTGACTTGTTGCTGTAAAGACTTCAAATCTGTGCATTGCTTTCTCACTGGGCTTATTTCAAGTCCCAGGAGCAGAAATTGTGTTTTATATTGTTTCCTCTTCCTCTTCACATGGCATCAGTAGTTTGCCTGTTCGTTTATTTAACAAGTATTTATTGAACCTTTGCTATCCACAGGCACTATGCTGGTGGAAGGTGGACATGCTGCTGGTCCTTTGACAGGTCAGTGGTTCTCACACTTCAGCCAGTATCAGAATCTCCTGGAGGCTTCTGTTAAAAACAGATTGCTGGGCTGCACTTCCAAGAGTGTCTGATGGTCCCCCAATTGTTTTTTTTTTTTTTTTTGATGGAGTCTCGCTCTGTTGCCCAGGCTGGAGTGCAGTGGTGCAGTCTCGGCTCACTGCAACCTCCTTTTCCTGGGTTTAAGCAATTCTCCTGCCTCAGACTCCTGAGTAGCTGGGATTACAGGTGCCTGCCACCACGCCTGGCTAATTTTTTGTATTTTTAATAGAGAAGGGGTTTCACCACATTGGCCAGGCCTCATGATCCTCCCACCTCAGCCTCCCAAAGTGCTGGGATTACAGGTGTGAGCCACTGCACCTGGCCCAAATCTGTATTTTTAGTAAGTGGCCAGGTGATGCTGAGGCTGCTGGTGTTGGGGTGTGAGGACCACATTTTGAGAAGCATTGGTTTATTCACATAGCAGTTGGTGACAGCACTGTTTTACCCAACGGCTCTTAACAGCTGGCATCTAAACTCCTCCTGAGGAAGGATCTTCCTTTGTCTGAAAAAATTCCTTTAAAAACCTGCTTGGATGGGCAACACCTTTGGATGCCAGCCAGCAGCAAGATATCAGGAAAGGAAACATGCTCTTCAGTATACATTGGGGAACTGGAGGGTTTCACACCTGAAGAAGAGGGCAGATGAATGAAGAGGGTGAGAAGAAAGGAAAGAGAAAAAGGGCCAGGCAGGTGAGGGGCCAACCATCCAAGTGAAGGCTTGTTTTATGTGCTGTAAAGCCTGTCTTTGTTTATTATCTTTTTTTTGAGACAGTCTTCCTCTGTTGCCCAGGCTAGAGTGCAGTGGCATGATCTCGGCTCACTGCAACCTCCGCCTCGCAGGTTCAAGCAATTCTCCCTGCCTCAGCCTCCCGAGTAGCTGGGATTACAGGCACCCGCTACCACACCTGGCTAACTTTTGTATATTTAGTAGAGATGGGGTTTTGCCATGTTGGCCAGGCTGATCTTGAACTCCTGACCTCAAATGATCTGCCTGCCTTGGCCTCCCAATGTGCTGAGATTACAGGCGTGAGCGAACATGCATTGCCTGTCTTTGTTTATTCTCTATTCCCTACTTGCCCTCCCCCAAACCTTGAATCCAAAGAAGCAGGAACCAAAGGGCGTAGAGGCCACAAAAAGATAAAGCTCTCTAGAAAACACAAGAACCCTAAGATGCATCTTGAGGTTCCTCAGGCTACGGAACTGGAATTCGTGGTGGGGCAGAAGCCCATGTGGCCTGGCTCTCCAAGGGGCCAGAGCCCCTTGATGGCTTCTGAGTAAGCCATGGCTGAAAGCTAAGTTCTCAGTGAGGTCTTGAAGGCCTGAACAATATTTATTTTATTTTATTTTACTATTTTTTTTGAGATGGGGTCTCTCTATGTTGCTCAGGGTGGTCCTGAACTCCTGGGCTCAAGCTCTCCTCCCACCTCAGCCTCCCAAGTAGCTGGGACCACTGATGTGAGCCGTTGCACCTGAAATTTTATTTAAAGTGTTTTTATTTTAAACTTTAAGCCTTAAAAGAAAGAATGAAGCTGAAAATTCCATAAACATGACCATAATCAAAATTACAGCTTATTGTATTAGTGCTATGAACTTTCTCAAATGTATAGTTTTCTTTGGTCTTTCTTTACCATAGTCTTGTCAAAAGAAAACACTAGTATTAGTCATATATTCCTATTGGGAAACTGAGGCATAAAAGATGAACAATAAAGCCATGGTTTCGAGCCCGGGTCTCCTGACAGACAGTCCAGGGGGTTTTCCTAAGGAGATGCTGGGAAAAGCCTTTGTTCTCAGAGCTCTATTTTCCTCTCAGATGAGGTAGCTGCAGAGTTCAATTTGAATTCTGAGCAAATTAATATTTGGAATAGTATCTCAGCATATCCCAAGGAGGAGGTTAAATCATTTTGTCCCTAACTTAATGTCCGACTCTCAAACCCAGAGCCTTAGCTTTTTCCTTAAAAACCTGCCTGTCATTTGCCTGCAGGAGGGAAACAGGGAGGGCTGTGATCAAACCTAACTCTCTTTACATTTGCAGCCGCATGTTACACTCTGATATCAATCTTGCAGCTGGAAAGGTCTATATAAGAAATAGCCACGGCCAAATTCTCTGTTTTTTGGCAAACCTTACTCCATCTGTCTTGATAGCCGACAGGCAAATCAGTTTTATTCTAAATCAAAATGATGGGTGTCCTAGCAGTTCCTGGCCAGGCCAAGGAGAACTGAGGATGGGAGGATGCAGAGGGCCCCTCTCCCCCTTAACTCTCCTCTTCAGGTATCTTCTTTAGCCAGGTGAGATCAGGTTTAAATTAGACTCTCTAACAGGGAGGAAGAGGACAAGACTCCACAAAACCCAGGCCTGAGCAGAGTTTGTGATTCAAAAGAGGTGAGCCTTCACACTGGGGAGCAGGGTACTGAGAGTGAGGCCTTCTCTCTCCCCATGTCTCCAAACACCACACATCTAGTCTTGACGGCCAAAAATCCTCACCAGAAGAAAGTGCTAGCATTTATTATGCCTTAATGTATCTGTCTCAGTTCCTTCTCACAATTACCTGTGAAGTACATATGCCTCTTTCACAGAAGACAGATCCTAGGTCTCAGGAACCTGAAGTTACCTGCCCTCGTTAATAGGTGGCAGGATTGATATTTGAACTGTGTTACTACAAAGCCCGTATTCTTCTCCACTCTTCCATCCCCTGGTTCCCCAAAGCCTGCCTGTGAGAAAAGAACAATGAATGACTGTTTTCTTAAATACAAAATCACATCTTTTTAAATTTGGAGATTATGGTCTTAGTTTTTTAATGTGAAAATGTCTATTCTTTGCCCCAAATCATGGTGACGGTAGATAGTAATTCCCTTCTCTCCTCTTCCTTTTTTTGCTTCATATTTTTACTTGACCAATGGGGAAAGGAAGCTGACAGTCCTATTTTGGTTCCATGTTTCTATTAATTTTTTTTTCTTGGTTCATAAATCAAAAGTCTGGGACCCCTGCTTTACACAGAGTAACTCATCACAGCGAAAGAATAGCATAGCGACTGGAACGCAGGGCCGCAGCCGTGTCCTAGGTAACATGCTGATCATTCGATTTAGGATTTACTAACTGACACTGTACAATTGGTTCGAGTTTGGTGATAAGCTTTAAGTACGACTACTAGGGACTTCTTAGTCAAAGGTCATCTCTTCTCTAATCTGAAGCTTCTTCTTCCTTTAAGATTCCCACTTTCCTTCCTGGTTGTGCCCGTATATCTGGGTTCTAGTTTCTTAACTCAATAGAATGTGTTAATCAGCTAATATTCTTCTGAACTCATTTTTATTCTGTTCTATACACAGTTATTTTTCTAGGTGGAAGCTTGAACATATTTTTTCTATATTAAATAGTCTCATGATTTTTACAAATGGTATGAAATTGCTACAGGCCATATTAAATATTACAATGCCCTTAAACTTGAACAAAGCCAGTCTGGGACAGACAGTAAGTCCACAGCCTGACAGGCAGCACCCCCTTGCTGACTGTACATTCCGTTGCGTTAATCAGCCGTGGGACAGAGCCACTGCTGATGCCGCTCCTCTTTTGAACACCGTCACCTGTGGGCTCAGGGCAGCTGCAGACCCTCCAGTCCCGGGAGCCACATCTTCAGACACAGCTCTGTGTCTGCGCCATACCAGTTTCAGGGCCTCCGGAGTGTCTCTCAGCTCTAAGTCCTGCAATTTCCTTTATGGATGCAGTAAATCATTCCACACACCATGGAGCAGAGGAACAGTCTGAATTATTAGACCTACCTGCTTGGCTCCTTTAGAGGGGGATTCTTATATTGAATGATTTTCCCTCTTCACTTATTATTATTTTTTAGATTTTTTAAATGTTTTTTTGAGACGGAGTCGCCCTCTGTCGCCCAGGCTGGAGTGCAATGGCGCGATCTCGGCTCACTGCAACCTCCGCCTACTGGGTTAAGTGATTCTCCTGCCTCAGCCTCCCAGAGTAGCTGGGACTACAGGGGCACACCACCACACTCAGCTAATTATTTTTGTATTTTTTAGTAGAGATGAGGTTTCACCACGTTGGCCAGGCTGGTCTCGAACTCTTGACCTCAGGTGATCCTCTCGCCTTGGTCTCCCAAAGTGCTGGGATTACAGGCGTGAGCCATGTGAAATGTTTACATAAAACACCCATAGAGCGTTCCTTAGAAGCTGACCAGGGGGATTCTGGTCATGTTGGGCCACTAGTGTTGGTTTCCCAGAGGTGGCAAGTCTCTGTCACTTTCTTTCTCTATCTCTCCTGTTTACTCTGCCCTCCTGTTTCTCACTCCAAGTTCTCCGCCTTCCTTTGCTCAGTGAAAAAGAATTAGTTCACTGCATTCATTCAGCCACTCACCCATTGGCTCATTTGTTCACTCCTTCATTCTGAGTGCTGCATTTAAGTGCCGTGGACACTGCAGTGAACAAGACAAGGTGTTGCCCTCACAGAGGGTGTGGTCTGGGGGGTGAGACAATGGTTAAATGAGCATTTACAATGTAGCGTGGTGAGCGCTACCCTTGGGGGGAGCACCAAGGGGCTTCTGGAGGCACTGAAGCAACAGAGATGACGCAAAGCGGCTCAAGACCTGAGAAAGCGCTGTTCAAGTGGCAGCTGCAGCTTGTTCACCCTCAGCCTGGGCTCCCTGGGGCAACACAGACCCAAGGTGAGCTGAAATTGTACCCGCAGTTCTTCTTGAGCAAGAAAGGGTTTTCCTGGTGGAATTCCACAACTGAGTTGGAAAAATAAAGATTAAGATACAAGCGTGTGCCGAGGGACAGAGAACGTGACTTCTGTGAAGTGGAGAGAAGAGAGCTATGCTGCACAAAGTGGAAAGGAAACTTTGTCACCGTTAAATAAATGTAACCAGAACAGACTCAAGGAGGGCTCTGAAGGGTGGAGTCCACTGAAGTTGTGTACAATTCATTATGGAAGCGAGACTCGAATAATAGCTGACTTAGTTTAATTTATATAGGTGAATCAATAATTTGCCTGAGAGATCCAATTTTGGGTTTAAATGATCTGAATAGTCTTGCCCTAAAATCAAGCTCTGTCCAGGAGCCCTAGTGATTGAGGCAGTGGAACAGCTCTGGGCTAAACTGGTTGGGTCAGCTCTATCCACGCCTTTGTAAGCTGTTTTAACCATTTCACAAGAGTGAGGCATGATGTGAGGTTAAGGGAGCTTTCCTGTGATGGGAGGCTGGGGAACGGGACGGCTCACCCACAAGCTAAGGGTCTGGCTTGAGCATTTGTGGTTCAAGTGCATGTATTTGCAAGGTACGGTTTGCCTTGTGTCAATGAACCTTTAAATGTCACCTGAGATCAGTTAAAAGTAAAATATTAAATATGTAGCAGCTGTGAATGTATTGTAATTTATGTGAAAGTGCTTTGAAAACTTAAATGCTGTAGTGTTTAACCTTTTTCTTTGGTAACAGACCATTTTGAGAATCTGATGAAAATATGGACCCCCTTCCCAAAAGAAGTACATACCAATATGCTTATACCTTTATGATTCTCTACACAAATTCAAGAAGTTCACAGATATTCTGATGTCACAGCTTCCCTGATATAGAGATTTATAAGTATAAAATGTTATTGAGTATTCTTTTTACATATTAAGTGAATGGTGGTATGTAGAGTTTTATATTTAACATGATCTCAATGATATTATATGTATAGAAAAGGATATACGCACATGGAACAGACTGGAAGGATATGCACTAAAATGTAAATAGTGCTTATATTTGGGTGATGAGATTGTGGGTGATCTTAATTTTCTTCTCTAAGTCTTGTTTGAAAATTTTTTCACTATTTTATTGTTAACAAGTGTCGCTGTGCCTTGTGACAGGCTATAGAAATACTGGGCAGAGCTTTCAAAAGCAAATCTAGGCTGGGCGTGGTGGCTCATGCCTGTAATCCCAGCATTTTGGGAGGCCGAGGCGGGCAGATCATGAGGTCAGGAGTTCGAGACCAGCCTGGCCAACATGGTGAAACTCCATCTCTATTTAAAATACAAAAATTAGCTGGGCATGGTGGTGTGTGCCTGTAATCCCAGCTACTCAGGAGTCTGAGGCAGGAGAATCACTTGAACCTGGGAGGCAGAGGTTGCAGTGAGCCAAGATGGCGCCACTGCACTCCAGCCTGGGCGACAGACAGCAAATCTAAAAAGACCCTGTAGTGGAACCTCTTTTGGGTGGCGGCTTTGTTCACAGTAGTCTCCCGTATTCTCTGTTTCACTTATTGAAGTTTAAGTTACCCTCAGTTAACCTCGGTCCAAAAATATTAAGTTATTTGGCCTGGGGGTGGGTGGTAGTGGGTTGGGGGAGGGGGAAGCACATTCACTTACTTTTATTACAGTATTTTGTTATAAGTGTTCCATTTTATTATGAGTTATTGTTAATCTCTGATAGTGCCTAATTTATTAATAAAAATTAAACTTTTTTCATAGGTATGTATGTATAGAAAAACACATAAGCATATACACGGTTTGGTACTATTCTTGAGTCCAGGCAACGACTGGGGGTCTTGGAACATATCTTCCTTATCCACGAGGACTACTGTATTTACCAGTCTCTGAGATCTAGTGATTTATACCATGGGAACATTCCTCCTGGCCTTCTGATTGGTTCAAGGATGGGGGGCCCTGACTAGCTAAACCAATCATTGTCTTTCCCCAAGACTTTTCTGAACTGTAACTAGCAAGAAGCCAGCTCCTCTGTGGTGACAGAAGCTGTGAGAGTGAGGTTTGGAAGCTTTTTATTTTTTGGTAAGGGAAAGGGGGCACATTTTCTGCTGGTCTGGAAAAGAGAAAAAGAGAGAAGGGTGGGAGAGAGAGGGAGAAACACCAGGTAGCATTTCAGTCCCTGGTTCCAGTTGCCCTTGAGCCCGATTGCACCCTTGTCCTGCTTGCATTTTTGCTTTTTCAATTCTTTTTCTGATTTTATAGATACCCTTCTGCTCTTCCAGTAGATTTTCTTTTTGTCTGAACTTGTTAGAGTTGGATTATTTCTGGCACCCGAAACCAACAAGTACATACAATTAACAAAAGTATAAGTAGTCATATAATATAACTTGGATTATATTTATAACCCCAATTATGGAGTACAGAAAATCACCAATATTACTTGACACAAAAAGTGATTGGCTTTGTGTGCCTGGCCCTGTGCAGGACAGAGGGAGGGGGAAAAAAAAAAACCAGACAAATTGAAAATTTTGGTTCAGATCCTGAAATCATCTTGTCTGTTAAGGAGGCAAAACTTGTCTTCTTGGCTCTATGCAGAAACAGACAATAGGGGATTGTTTAAACCCTAGGTTATGACCATTTAAATTACAAGTCTATTCTCTCATTTATGAATGTGATGCTTCAGATAACACATTTACATGGGTATAAAAGAGAAATATCTTTTCTAACTTAATGAGCTGGAAAAGAATCTCTGCATTAACTTGGCAAACTGAAGATATCTGAGCTCTGCTAAAGAGAAAATCTCAGCAAATCTGTAGAGATTCTCTACAAGAATAATTACTCTCACATGGGTTTGTGCTCTTCACAACCAATTCTATTTCAACAAATGTTTAACTATAATGAAATTAGCAAGAGATACTGGGACAATATTCTAGAAACATTTGACCTAGTGGAATTTCATAATGACCTTCTTAATTAAAATATAACCCACCTAAGCGAAAAGCTCCAACTTCAAATCTGGTCCTACCTGTATCCACTATGAAAGTGTGGAAAATTATATCTGCCTTTGGCAAGTGTATGTTTCTAATGGGCTTAGAAATGGCCTGTCCAGGATAGTGTGCTAAGCTGGTGATGATGAAATCATTTCCACCTTTGGAGGCTGGTTATGGTGGCACAATCAGAAGGAAAGAGTTTTGAGGTTTACATCTAGAGTGACTATAAGATAATGAGATTAAATTTTTTTTTAGTCTCATTTAGACTAAATTTAGACTAAATTTTTTTCTTTAGGCAATGTACTATAACCTACATATTCTAATTCAAGTAAAAGCTATGTTCACGTTTCTTGAAGGTTGAGAGATATTGTTATCAAAGCATTTTAGACTACGACTTTGAGTAATTTGATATTACATGACTAATATCTTTAGATGATTCTAGATTTTGGATTTGATGCTATAGCTACGAAATAAGTATTCGGGGTAGGGCTTTCAAAATAGTTAGAATCTCAGTGTTTATTGTAGGTTTTTATCTGAATTACCAAATTACTTTTCAGAAATGTATCAATTTTACTCCCATCATCAGCAGAGCGAGAGTGAGTACTTCACTAACCTCTCTCCTCATCTCAGGCATTCACATACCTAAATATGTTTGCCCCAAAGCATCTCCAGTGATGCCACATTGCTTCTGTTCAAACTTCTTTGATTACTAATGAGGATGAACACTTTTCTTGTTTCTTAGCTTTTGAAATAGCTAAGGTCTGAGAATGAATGTGTCATTTGCACATTTTATTCGTTTTATTGATTTATGTAAGTTCCTTAAGATTAGCAGTTTCAGTCTTTTATCTGCCATGTCTGCTACAAATGTTTCCCCTCATTTGTTTACTTTTTAACTGAGTTCTTTTTTATTTGAAACTCAGAGATTCTAGTATTTTTTTCTTTGTGATTTCTTTCATTTTGCCTATGTTTAAAGTTCATCTCCACCCCCAAAATCAAATTCATTTGATTTACTTTGATAGCATAAATAAATCCTGTCAATTCACTGGAGCACAAAGATATATTTGAAGTAATAAACTCATTTTAATTTTGAATTGTATTTTTCATTTATGCTATTTTAAAAAGAAAGAAAGGAGAAGCCAAGAAAAGAGGGCAGATAGAAAAGGCAAACATCAGTACTCCCAGGATCTAAGAGTGTTTGGGGGATCCAAGGCTCTATGTAGAGGCAGAAGCCACCAGTGACTTACCTCTGCCCTGGCAGTTACTTCTGGGTTTCAGGTTAGTGTTCTGACCAGTCTGGAAAATAGCTAGAGGCCTGGATTTGCTGACAACAGCCCCAGTGCAAGTTATAACTGAAACAGGAACCTCTCCTATCTCACCTGACCATCACAGGGGTTAAGTACCTGGAAATCCAGAGATGAAATGAAGAGGAGTCTTTAGGGAGGTAAGTGGCAGAGAGACTGGGAAGCCTGGATTCCTGACTTCTTTTCCTTCTGCCCCACTCCTCCCCTTCCCCACTCAATATCCTGCACCCAAGAGTTGGATACTGATTTACAGGGAGTGGGAAAAGGGGACATTTTTAATTTGTATTCAACCAAGTTTATGTCTAAATCTAACCACACTGCCCTTTTTTCTCTTTACATCCTTGAAATTCAGATTTGTGCAAAAAGGCGTAGGTAGAATGTAGTAAAGATCAAATCAGGTAAGACACAGGTTTTAGTTTGGTAGGGTCTTCTCATTTCAGGTTTGTGTCTGGAATTAGAGCCTTCAAAACTGCCCCAAATGAACAGTAGTTGTCTCTATTATGTTTAATCAAACTCTCAGACCAAGAGTCCAAATGCTGTTCACCGAGGAACCCTGAAGTTATTATGTGATAAACATATTCAATGAATGATGAAAATGATTTTCTATACATTGGCTATGGCAGCATAATGTAGACAAAAGAGTGCTAGATAAGCAGCCAGAAGGTTCTAGAATCAACTATACCCACTATGTGACCTCTTGAAAATCAATTTGCCTCTTTGAGCCTTAGTTTCCTAATCCATATAACCATCTACACAGAGATTAGAGATCTGCAAAGAAGTAGGCAGGGCTGGGGGAGATACACAGGGTGCTAATTAATTTAGAAGAAGGAAAATGATTTCCTCATGTCACTTTTGTGTTCTGAAATGCCCAAAGCTTCCTCATTGCCCTTATAGTAAATAAAAATTTCTTCCAAAATTTTTAGCAATCTGGCTCAATCTTATCTTGCCTCCTACAAGCAATAAAAAGAAGCAAGAGCATGTTACATTTGAGTGTGCATCCTGGTTTTGCTCCTTACTGTGCTGTCACGGGCTCATTGTTTAACTTCATGGAGGCTTTGTTTCCCGTTATACACATAGGGATGACAATGCCTCTTTCTTGCAAATCTGCTGCAAGGGCCGAGTGATATTTGTGCTTATGATCTGCCTTGCTATTATCTGCAAATTCCGCTGCTCTAGCTCAAATCCCACATGAGGTCTTCTCCTTACTGAGGTCTTTACTGACCTCCCATGTAGCCCCTATGTGTGCCAATAAATTTTTGTAGATGAAAATAATTTAAACTGAAAGTTACCTGAATCCTTTTCTAGTGTGGCCGGCCTTGATAACGGGGCAATGCCTCTTTCTTGACATCTTCCTATATCCTTGTTTTTTGCATTAAACACACTTTCTACTTATCTGTATTGTGGCAATTATGGTATTGCCTGAAGGTTATCTGGGACAGTCATCACATGGGTCACCTCTTGATTACTGAACCAGAATTGTCATCATGTTTTAGTTATACAACAAACTCAGGAAAGATGATCTGATAAAGACTGATTTTAAAAATACAACGCTAATCTAAAAATAATAGCAACAAAACTTAAATCAGGCCAGAAGACCTGGGAACGCTAATAACTTATTGATCAACAGTGTGTATGTACACTGGTAAATGTACCAGGTAAATGCACCAACCATGAGTTTCTTCTGGGCCATACTGCTTTAAAGCAATAAAGGAAAATGAGCAAGTGAGAGAGAGAAAGGAGGTTTGGAAAGAACTTGTGATTTCTTGAGTAAATTGTTATGGATACGGCGCCCCCTAGTGCACTGAACAACACAGGTGCCCCAGTGTGTAGTAGCTGAGAGCTCCGGAGCTGAGCAATCTCATCCCCATCACCAACCTTACTTGAAACACCTGCGATTTCTGTTTCATCATAGCTTTCCTTTCCACTGCACAAGCAACTGTAGCCCAAGGAAGAAAGGGGGACAGATGTCCTTTATTTGGTTGGATTTAAGCACTGATCCTCATGGGAGTCATGAATTAATTCAAGGTACCCAAATAATATTGAAAAGTATAAAAAATTTTACCTTGAAAAGAGTTTCTACTTTTTCCCGAGATAGAGGAATGTAATTAGGAGAATAAGCAAAACTGAAAGATGATTCCTTGTTATTTTCTAAAAATGTTATTTGTCCCCATCTTCTTTTTATCAACATGTTCGTCATCTGATGCAAATATATTTTCTTCAAGCACGATGCACGGACCAAAATTGAACCACAGCAAGAGGAAAACAAGTCTTCCAATGAGGAAAAATGTAATCCAATAATTTGCATTAAAGCATTGTTTCTCAAAGTGTAGTCTCCAGAACACTAGTTCCACAGGATATCAATGGGTCTTATGCAAATAAGGGTTTCATGGCAAATACTTTTGAGAAATTTGAAATTCAACAAAAGATCAATTAATTTTTAAAAATGCTTCAGTATGCATGAGTCCTTAGTATACTCTGAATATACTACCATACTGTGTAACACCACACTATGAACTGCAGCACTTCCAAAATTATTTAACACGATTTTTTTTCATGCCTATCTCACACACTTGGTTCATGAATTATCCTTTGAGAATACACATTGGACTAGAATTTCACTAGTTTCCAAAGATGGACACCATACAGGAAAGTGTGCCAAAAGGAGAAAAAGCAAATAGTAAATTTGATATGTGCAAAACTTAAGGTGACTATAAGGAAGTTTGTGGTCAGTGTCTTAACTCTCTTCTGCATTTGAAAGATTAGTAATACAACACATTAAAGTTTTTCAACATGGCAGTCCTATGGGGAATCAACCATGCTGGAAACATCACCAGCCCACAAAATCATTGCCAGATTTTTCCCACATCACAGCAGTAACACTACTTCTGAGAATGAGAAATGACCCTCCAAGAAGTTTAGTACCCCCGTCCTGCCAGGTTTCCAATTTTTACTAACACTTTTCTTTGTGCACAACCTGTATTAATTCACATGGATGTTTTAGGCTCATTATTACCATTAGTCATGGGATCACAGATACACACAGTAGTTTAAATAAGTTAGAGGAAGCCTGTATTTAGTACAAGCTGTGAATTAGAGCTGAATCTTCTAACTTGCAGCTAGACAAACTCGTCCCAAAGAATGCTTGAGAAAAGTGGAATTCCACAGACTGGTTTATCTTGGATAATGGCACAGTAAACAGAACAGTGGAAACCAGGCCAGGAGGAAGGGACCGATGCTTCTTCAGGACAGGTCCTTGCTGCATTTGCTCTATCTCATGCCCAGGAGGATGTGCCTACTCCTGGGAGCTCAATTCACATTTCAGAAATGCTGCTGTCCATCGACTCACAGCATACTGGGCAATGCCACTTGCAGACATGAAGGAACGGGGGCTTCAGGCAACCTGGAATGACTATATGTAATTCTATGCCCTCTTGCTGGGGATACAGTGTTCTGTGGTGAGAACAAACCTTTCATCAGCTTAGGAAGTGTTGTGGCTCAGTCTTTTAGCATTTAGGGGTCAAGGGTGGGAAATGGTTCATCCCAGAAGCAGCTCTTGGTTTTCAGTAGATGTTTTATTTTCTTTCTAATGTTTTCCAGCTGAGTCGATTTCAGACCGATGGAGGTCAAATGATTTACACTGATGCCCAGTGAAACAGAACAGCTGGGACTTGAACTCGGGGACTTGACTGGTGGGCAGCCCCCAGCCTAGTCAGTCAAATGCTCTCCTCCCAGGTTTTTACTGCCTCTCTGGTTGCACCTCAAAGGCAGCCTGCTGTGTCTGGCAGGGCCCATCTCCTGGGCCGTGTCTGCTCCTGACTGGAATAAGAGGCCTGTGACAGGTCAAGTCTGAATGTTCTGGCAGAGCGGCACAGGGCAGACTGCTCCACCCCTGCTCAAAGCACACAGCGTCTGGTGAAAGCCAGATTGAAGATAGCTAAATGCGCATGCCAAGATTCCAAAAGGAAAAACTTAGCTCTCAACTTTCCTTTGCATGGTGATTTTTCATCCTCTCCTTTTTCTTTTTGTAAAAAGGGAATCCCCATGTTTACAAGTTGAAATCCAAAATGCACAAGTGGTCAGTTCACAATTCTGTGACCCATGAACATCTGTGGGCCTGGGTGTTCCTTGGGAATCTGCAGTGCTTGGAGCAGTGAGCCAAGCCTGCCCTGGCAGAAGGGAATTCTCCAGTGAGTCAAATAGTCCTGCGAGTGCCCGGGGTCTGCTTCTCCTCTGGTTCTGCTTTCCTGGGACATGTCTGTACTTGACTTCCCCTAGTTTTATGAACTGCATTTTGACTATATTTTTGGAGGTGGGTCCATCTGAAACTCGTTACAGGAAGTAGGACAAGAATCTTCATTTTGCCTTTAAGAGAAATAAAACTCTGTAATCTGAGATGGGCAAACATGCTCCAAGTCTGTTTACCAAGGAACAAGAACCTCTCTGTGTCTTTTGAGCAGACAGAAAAATTAAAAATAAAATATTTATTTGGGATTTGTCTCTGAGGACTTCAGTGACTGAAAACCAATAGGGCCTCCCCTCCCTCTGTGGAAAGGCGAGTTCCAAAGCCCCGGCTCCCAGGAGAGCCCTATGGTGAGGCTGCTCCAGTACAGCAGGTGGCAGTGGGTGTGGCTGAAAGTGCCTCATCACTTTCATTCTGGATCCTAGGTCTGTAGATGGGCTTTGGCTATATCATCTTTTTAAAGTTTTAATTTGGTAGCTGCTTCAAAAGTTAAGGGAACCCTCAATGGGCAAAGTTAGCATGTGACATATTTGTGTCTCCTCTTTGGACCTTGGTTTTCCTTGTCTGTAAAATGAGGGAATGGACCAGATCACTGCTCCAGAGCCCCAATGCAACTATAGGAATCTGCACTTTGAGGCTTGCTTCTCTCCTAGTAGGAATTCAGTTCCTCTGCCCTAACTTTTCTGCTATAGTCTGGGTGTTATGGGCTGAATTGTGTGTCCCCCACAAATTCATATATGAAAGTCTTAACCAAGTATCTCAGAATGTGAGCATTTTTGGAAATAGGATCTGTATTAGTCTGTTTTCACACTGCTAATATTAAGACATACCCAAGACTGGATAATTAATAAAGGAAAGAGGTTTGATTGATTCACTGTTCAGCATGGTTGGAGAGGCCTCAGGAAACTTACAATAATGGCAGAAGGGGAAGCAAACATGTCCTTCTTCACATGGTGGCAGCAGCAAGAAGAAGCGCCCAGCAAAAGGGGAAAAGCCCCTTATAAAACCATCAGATGTCATGAGAACTCACTATCACGAGAACAATAGCATGGGGGTAACCACCCCCATGATTCAATTATCCATCACCGGGTCCCTTTCACATGTGGGGATTATGGGAACTACAATTCAATATGAGATTTGGGTGGGGACACAGCCAAACCATATTAGGGTCTTAAACGAAGTCATTAAGTTAAAATGAGGTCATTAGAGTGAGCCCTAATCCAATATGATTGCGGTCCTTAGAAGAAGAGATCAAGACACAGACAGGCACGGGGGAAGGACACGGGAGGATGCAGGGATAAGGTGCCCTCTGCAAGCCCAGGAGAGAGGCCTCAGGAGGAACCAACCCTGCCAGCACTTCAATCTCGGACTTCCAGCCTCCAGAACTATGGGACAATACACTTCTGTTGTTTAAGGCAACCAGTCCGCAGCACTTTGTTACGGTAGGCCTAGCCGACTAACACCACATGATATCACAATGAATGTGCTGGGCTGTGAAAGAAGTTCTGTGTGTTTTTCTTAACAGACTTGGATTTTTGGTTTTAGCCCAAAAAAGACTTTTCTGTAGCAGGATATTTAAAACATTATGTTTGTTTATTTTTTACAGATTTCTTTATCATCTGATGTGAAATAAGCCGTGTTAGTAAAATAACTCCTCTTTATCTTTACTTGAAGGGGGTTTCACAATTTTGACCCAGAGGGCTATTTTTCTTAATAGCTATGGATTGTCATCCTGCTTTTTTTTTGTTTCTTTTTTTTTTTTTTTGACGGAGTCTCGCTCTGTCACCCAGGCTGGAGTACAGTGGCATGATCTCGGCTCACTGCAACCTCTGCCTTCCAGGTTCAAGTGATTCTCCTGCCTCAGCCTACTGAGTGACTGGGACTGCAGGCGCATGCCACCACACCCAGCTAATTTTTTGTATTTTTAGTAGAGACGGGGTTTCACTGTGTTAGCCAGGACTGTCTCAATCTCTGGACCTCGTGATCCGCACGCCTCGGCCTCCCAAAGTGCTGGGATTACAGGCATAAGCCACCGCGCTCGGCTGTCATCCTGCCTTTTAAGAAATACTGTCATTATCTATAAAATTCATTAAAGGCCAAATAGCTCATTGGATAAACCCGCAGGTGATGGCACATGTATAAAGAACTTCAGACCACACAAGCAACCCCAGATATGGCACGGTCCAGTTTTTCTTGAGTATTTTTGGCTCTAAAGTTGATTGAGTCAAACATCATTTGATTGAGTTACAGAAGGACAAACAAAATGATGAACAAAGGTCACCACTTATCACCTGCTGTTTAAGATTCTCATATTCTTACTTGAAATAAAGCATACCATTACCAAAGTGGATTTTTCTTTCCTTTCGTATCAGCATTCTGATTCTTTTATATAACAGTCACATGTAATTGGAATGTAGCATCAGACACACAGGGAGCATAGTTTGTTTCTCTTTGTAAGCTCCATTTGACCACAGCAGTGAAATTTCCCAAGAACGGTGTTTCCAGATCAAGACTACTCACTTGAGAGCTTAGAGTGGTCCAGGTTTTGAAGTGCTGCATGTCTGAGAAACAGATCATCGTAGACACTGAGAATTGGGGCACATCCTTCCTTTCCTATCTGACGGTAGACATGCCCCGTAGATGCTGGATAACAGAGACAGATGATTCAGATGTAGCACCCCGACATGAAACCAACCGTGGAAATACTGATAAAATCACCTGTTTGCTTTTTAAAATATGCAACAACATGAGTAAATGACTAGTTCATTTTATCAGCCCCCTTTTTTTTGCTGTCATATAATTACACGAATGAAAATTGATACACTTTTTAAAATACAGCTTTTCAAAATCCCATCTTGAGGAAAAAAGCTTGGCCAATTAAGAAGGCTGAGGGGAGGAACTGCAGGCACTTTTATTTCCAGCTGTCAACAGGATGGAAGAAATATGTCAACTTATTTATATTTATTTATTTATATGGGTGATGAATAAGTTAAGGAATGCTTCATCTCAAACACAGATTGCTTTTATTTTAGCTAAGTTAATGTTTCAGTTCCATATATATTTTTGAATTTCCATCAACGTCAAACACCATTTTTTTCTTTCTTCTTAAAAAAAAAAAAAGATTTACAAGCACTTTTACGGCACTCAAGAAAGTAGGCTGAAGGTTCATAATAATAATTTTCCTTTTAAAAAACATCCATCAGACCAAAATAAAATCATTTTAATTAACTCCTTCCTGAGTAACTAAAACCTTGGAATGTGCTGAAAGGTTATAATAAATAAGACAGTCAAAGATCAACTAGCTTAAAAGGTATTTTTTAAATTAAACTATGTAAAATGTACAATATGTTTCATGAAGTACAAACTGTTGGGCCCAGGGCCAAAAAAAATGTTGTCATGTTTGCCAAATAAACTGAAGTACCTTGACTTTTAGGACCTAGAGGGTGTTGGCTGGGACAAAATAACATTAAGGCCCTGTAAGTAAATCCGTCAGCATCTTTTTTTGTGAAGTTATAATGATCACTGCTGAAAAGAAATGCCTTTGAACACACAGGTAAAAGTACCCAGATAAACTTGCAGTAAGAGGATGAATGTTTTTGAACGACCAATTGTCCCAATGTTCTGACAAGAGCAGAGAAAACACAGCCAACTCAACTTTATTTTCAGATTGTGAGATTGCACAGTGTGTAAACTTATCATCATTCTTTATATGGAATTTCATAGAAATGACTCACAGGGTACCAGGCAGCAGTTCTTGTACTGGTTTTGAATATGATTGATAGCTGTTCTCCAGGTTGCTTCTGAAAGTATGCCTAATGGTAGGGCCCTGGTCTCTCTGAACAGGACAAAGGATATTTCCTCCTCTAAGAACATTTCCCTTCATCACTTCTCTGCCCCCGTCCTCTGAGGCAGAAAGAAGGCCCATGAGCGGCCAAGTGCTGGACTCTGTGCCTCTGTGGTCCCCGCCTTCCCTGGACTCCTGTGGGCTGCAGCCTTCTTAACACACATCTCATGATAAAGTAGCTTCAGTGCTCACTCGGCAGGTTCCAAATGACTTGCTTTATATCTTGGCTACAGTCCAATTTTAGTGAAGGCAGAAAAAATTCTAGAGAGACTTTGTGGTTTATGAAAAGTATAAAATGTGTAGCTTGTGTAAAGTCAGAGTCTTATTTACTATTAACTACTCCCAACTCACACATTTGCTAGGGCTGGCTCTAGGGGACAAATATGAAATAGACAAAATTTGTGGCAGTGTCCTTCCTGCTGCCACCACTGAACCTCGGCTTCTTAGCTAGCTGTTTATCGTCTTCCCAGGAGAATGTGTATTTTCAGCATTTTTTTTAAGGTGAAAATATTTCAGAACTCAAAGCAACAGATTTCTAATGACTGAACCAAGGCATCATTGATAGGTGGCAGGGGAGGGGCAGTGGGAGGTGGAAAGAAGACATACCTTAGGACAGTGAGACTGCCCAACATGTACTCACATCACATTGGAGGCAGCCACTTACTTACAAAGCTGGCCAAGCAGTCTCTGTCCCAGAAGCTCTTGCTGCTTCTTTTTGATGTCTCAAGTAAGAGTTCTCAGGAGCACACAGGTCCCATAAGAAATGGGACTCTACCTGCACAGAACTCAGGTAGTTCTCGGGTAGCTCTTCCACCTGCACAGAACTCAGGACCCCTTTTTACTGAAAACAGGTACCTCTTAGGGAACTAGAAGTTACAATAGTACATAGTACCAGGTCCTATAGGACCCAACTTGGCCAGGGGTGTGTTTGATAGATTACACACCATCTGTGGTCAGGCTCAGAACTTCTGCTGTAGGAGTCAAATGCCTGAGCTAAATTGGTTCCTAGAACTTCCATTAAAGCAGTGTTGGGAGAAGATGTTTCATATTGGGTGCAAAAGACACAGCCATGCCCTTTCCCTGATGCCACATGACCTTCAGATTTATCTGTCTTGTCTACATTCTTCCTTACACAGCAAACAAATTATTTTCCCTGCTAGAGTACTTTGATATCTGTCAGCACGGTGCTTTGAAATGGAATGTCTCAATGGAGCTGGCCATGCACTTTGACCTTGAAAGGTACTCCAGGCTGTGGATTGGTTGGGGATGCGGCACAAGCTGACTTGCTCTTTCAGAGATAATTACACTGCTCTTGGTGAAAGTGCCCCCTGAGAAGGACCAGAGGCAGAACTCTACCCATGCGGGTAGAAACCACTTACCCATGGAGATCCTCCTCCTTTAAAAAAAAAAAATTAATTGAGACAGAGTCTCACTCTGTCACCCAGGCTGGAGTGCAGTGGTGTGATCACAGCTCACTGCAACCTCAAACTCCTGGGCTCAAGTGATCCTCCCACCTCAGCCTCGGATTATAGGCTCAAGCCATGGCACCTGGCTCCATCCTCCTTTTCGATGTCCTAATCTGTCTTACCTTCTCTTAGATCCTTCCAGAGGAGATACCCTGGTCTCTGAAGTGGTTTTGTATTTCCACTGAAATATACAAGTCTGGATGTCTCCTACCATTGAGGTAATATTTTTATAAGTCATTTTACAAATGATAAGTTATTAGGCTAGGGGCTATATTTCTCCCCCTTTTCCCATGATATGGGGTGGGGGAAAGCTGTTTTATGACAAGATGCCTTGGGATGGAGCCATCTAGTGTACCCGGGAAAGACCCAAAGAGCCAAGAGAAAACACAGAATAAAATTAAACAAATAAAACCCGCAAAACCGGGCATCTCCCAATGACCCCAACATGTGGGAATGTTTTGTTCTTTTTAATGCACCCAAGCATTAATTTAGTCCCTTAAGGATTTTACTTCCCCAAACAAAGAACTTTCTGGAAAAGGGAGATAAAGCCATAGAGGCAACACAGTCACATCACCTCTTATAAATATCTTCCAGCCACTTTTCATCATCCTGTTCTTCATCGTCGATTGGCTCCTCGGTTTCCAGTGGAGTTGGGATAAAGAAGTGTGGCCTCAGGGGGGGCTTGCTGACGTGAGACTTAAGTCCAAACTTGCGCTTCAGCAGGTGGAACTGCTCTTTGACGTAGTGGTAAAACTCGTACTCGTATCTCATCCGCTGGTAGAGGATCTGCACAGCCTCAGGAGAGGGGACAGTCTTCTTCACCGTCACAGTCATGTTTCCAAGCTTCCTGTGCTCTGGAAGAGAACCGGGGTCGCACATGAGCCATCATTTGCAGTAGCTTAGAAGGGATCCCGGCGAGGACCCACATTACCTGTACAACTCTGGTAGCACCTAAGGAAGCAACTGCATATCCAAGTATTAGAAGAGAAGAAGGGTTCCTGACAATATTTGGAAACACTTACCAACTCTAGGTGTTAATGTCAACATGAGTTGACGAAGCACAAGCTATCAAATTTCCTTTCATCAGATGTGAACCATGCGATTGGACCAAATTCAATTGTTAACTCTGAGTTCTACATTCTTTTGAACAGCAGAATCTATCCATTTTCCCTCTTTTATTTCTTGATACACCAGAAAAGGGCTTTACCCTCAGAAGGAGGCATGGAAGAGCTGTCTAACCACTTTCTAATAATCTTGTTTTGTAAGTTTTAAAATATTGACATAAAGTTTAATTTGATACAAAATCCATTTCCATTTTACTATTTCAACAATGCATTTGTCCAGAAAAGGAAAGGAAGGGCTGCCAGATTTCTTAAGTATAATTTACAAATTTTTAAAATTTATTTTTATTTTTTGTAGAGACAGGTTCTCACCATGTACCCAGACTGGTCTCGGCATCAAGAGATCCTTCTGCCTTGGCATCCCAAAGTGCTGGGATTATGGCACGAGCCACTGCACCCAGTCTAAATATAATTTTAACCCTTGTAAATTTTAAATTTTTTATTGTGGTAAAATATATACAACTAAAATATGCTTAATTTTATACTAATGCTTAATAACAAAATATATTTTATATTCATTGCTGAATAGCATGAAAATGTTATATATAGAGTGTACAATTTTAACTATTTTTAAGTGTACACTTCAGTGGCATTAATTATATTTACAGTGTTGTGCAACCATCACCACTGTTTTAAAAATCCTTTCATGAGTCTATACAAAAACTTGATATCCATTAAACAATAACTCCCAATTCCTTTCCTTTCCTTACCCCACCCTACTTACCCCATCGATTAGATAGAACCTCTAATCCATGTTCTATCTTTATGAATTTGCCTATTCTCAGTACTTCATGTAGGTGGAATCATACAATATTTGTCCTTTTTTTGTCTAGCTTATTTCACTAAGCATGTTTTCAAGGTTCTTCCATGTTGTAGTGTGTATCAGAGCTTCATTCCTTTTTTTTTTTTTTTGAGATGGAGTTTTGCTCTTGTTGTCCAGGCTGGAGTGCAATGGCGCAATCTTGGCTCACTACAACCTCTACCTCCCGGGTTCAAGTGATTCTCCTGCCTCAGCCTCCTGAGTAGCTGAGATTACAGGCATGCACCACCATGCCTGGCTAATTTTGTATTTTTAGTAGAGATGGGGTTTCTCCATGTTGGTCAGGCTGGTCTCGAATTCCCGACCTCAGGTGATCCACCTGCCTCGGCCTCCCAAAGTGCTGGTATTACAGGTGTGAGCCACCATGCCTGGCCCAGAACTTCATTCCTTTTAAGGTTGAATAACATTCCATTGTATAGATAGAACGCAATTTGTTTATCCTTTCATCCTTGGAGAGACACTTGGGTTGTTTCCATCTTTTGCTTATTATAATGAACATTTGCATTCTAGTATCTGAGTCCCTGTTTCCACTTATTTTGGGTATATGCCTAGGAGCAGAATTGCTGGGTCATGCGGTAATTCTAAGTTTAATGTTTTGAAGAACTGCCAAATTATTTTCCACAGTGTTTGCACCATTTTACATTCCTACCAGCAATGTGTGAAGGTTCCAATTTCTTCGAATTCTCTCCTACGATTGTTATTTTCCTCCCTTTTTAAAATTGTAGCCATCCCAGTAAGTGTGGAGTGGTATCTCACTGTGGTTTTGATTTGCATTTCCCTAATGACTCCTGTAGTGATGCTGATGCTAATGGTTTCCCTAATTTCTAATGACCTTTTCATGTGCTTTTTGACAAGCATGTGTCCAACAAATGCTGTTTGTTTGTATATCTTCTTTAGAGAAATGTCTATTCAAGTCCTTTGCCCATTTTTGAAGTGGGGTTTTTTTTTGTTTGCTTTTGTTTGTTTTTATTGTTGAGTTGAAGGAGTTATTTACATATTTTAGATAATCTGCACATATATCAGGTATATAATTTACAAATATTTTCTTCCATTCCACAGGCTGTCTTTTCACTCTGTTGATAGTGTTCTTTGATGCATAAAAGTTTTTAATTTTAATGAAGACTATTTTATCCATTTTTCTCATATTGCCTGACTTTTGGTGTCACATTAAAAAAAATTGCCAAATCCAAGGTTGACATATAGAAGTTTTTAATTGTAATGGAGACCATTTTATCTGTTTTCTTCTTATTGCCTGTCTTTTGGTGTCATATTAAAGAAGCCATTGCCAAATCCAAGGTCATGAAGATTTGCCCTCACATTTTCTTTTATAATCTTGCTTTTGACTAAAATTTTTGTCAACAAATTTGAATAGGTATATAATTTACTAAATACAGTTCCAAATGGCTATTTCCAAAATCAGACTCATCTGAAAGGACATAGACTTCCCAATTTTTAGGATATTTGAGGTACCTTCTGAAGCCTTCAGTAGCAATTCTAAAGAAGGAATTTGAAAAATTCTCTATGTAGAGGCTAAGAAGGGTAGTGGGGGATTGGGGACAGGTGGGGATGGTTCATAGGTACAAAAAAAATTGAAAAATGAATAAGACCTATTATTTGATAGCACAACAGGGTGACTATAGCCAATAATAATTTAATTGTACATTTAAAAATAACTAAAAGAGCCGGGTATGGTGGCTCATGCCTGTAATCCCAGCACTTTGGGAGGACGAGGCAGGTGGATCACGAGGCCAAGAGATCGAGACCATCCAGGCCAACATGGTGAAACCCTGTCTCTACTAAAAATACACAAATTAGCTGGGCGTGGTGGCATGCACCTGTAGTCCCAGCTACTCGGGAGCCTGAGGCAGGAGAATTGCTTGAACCCGGGAGGCAGAGGTTGCAGTGAGCTGAGATTGCGCCACTGCACTCCAGCCTGGCGACAGAGCGAGACTCTGTCTAAAATTAATAATAATAATAATAAAATAACTAAAAGAGCATAACTGGATTGTTTGTAATGCAAAGGATAAATGCTTGAGGGGATGGATACCCCATTCTCCATGATGAGATTATTATGCATTGCATGCCTGTATCAAAACATCTCATGTACCCCATTAGGTATTAATTAAAATAAAAAATAAATAAATTCTCTATGTGGCCAACAGCCTCATTGAATAAGGGTATTACTTTTCAAACTGACTCTTTTGAAAGTCCTTTGCCAGGTTGGGTCCTTTGCACAGGGGAGCCTAGATCCTTGTAAATAGATAACATGGTCTTCATTGAAATTAAAAACATAACACACATTGAACACTCTAGAATTTCTGTTAAATAACTTGGCATAGACTCTTCTGAAATGGGTTCCTAACAGAACATTTTATAATATCTGTCTTCTCTGAAGATATGAACTCTAGCTAATCTGGGGCGGGTCATTGTTCACAGGTCTTAGGTGTTCCTTTTTGTTTTTTAAAACAGAGCTAAAAAATCTTATGAAAGACAGACAAGAAATAAAGAGTTTTAAGTCAAACATTGAGAGGCAGAGGAAAAATAATTCTCTCATTGAAAGCCTCCTTCAATCCCTTCCTCTTAGAGCACTATACATTGTGTAGGGTTTTGTTATCTGATACACAAAAAAGTAAGACTCCTGTGATTTAAAATAAATTCATTACTTAAATTATTTGGCCCAACCTGGCAAAGGATCCAAGGGGATAAGCAAAAGGGAGCCTAGATCCTTGTAAAGAAGTAATTTGGAAATCTGTTCTATTTCACAGCCTCAAAGCTCTTTGTCGTAAGGTTGAAACAGTAATTTCCTAAAAACAATGGACAGCAAGTGTAATCATATAAATACCTTGACTACAAAACTATCTGAGAAATACCAATCACATTTTACTAGTCTTCAATCACTTGCAAAATGTTGGTCTATATAATGGATTGAGTTGATTTGCTATATAAATGGTTATTAATTTCAGGCCAGAAAAACTTTGGGAATATTCTTTAAAGTTACAGCATAATGGGTTTATACATTTCTTTCTTTGATTACGATTAGGTGACTGGGTCAACTGCCATAAGGTTACTCCTAGTTCATGACAATAAAACTCTCTTCCCTGAATGCCTTCCTCTATGGTTAGGATGGGGGAGTTGGTGGATGGGCAGAGCAGGTAAATAACTCTGTCAAAAGTGACATTATATCCTTCCGAATAGACATTTCTCAAAATAAGACATACAAATGGCCAAGAGGTATATGAAAAAACTCAACATGCTAATCATCAAGGAAATGCAAATCAAAACCACAATGAGCTATCATCTTACTCCAGTTAGAATAGCTATTATTAAAAGCCAATAAATAACAGATGCTGGTGAGGATGTGGAGAAAAGGGAACTCTTATACACTGTTGGTGGGAATGCCAATTAGAACAGCCACTATGGTAAACAGTATGGAGAGTTCTCAAAAAACTAAAAATAGAACTACCATGATCCAGCAACCCTTCTACTATGTATCTATCCAAAGGAAATGAAATCAACATATCAAAGGGATACCTGCACTTGCATGCTCACGTGTTTACTGTAGTAATATTCGCAGTGGTAAAGATATGGAATCAACCTGTGTCCATCAATGAATGAATGAAGAAAATGTGGTATTATACACAATGGAATACTATTTGGCCATAAAAAAGAAAGAAATCATGTCATTTGCATCAACATGGATGGAACTGGAGGTCATCATGTTAAATGAAATAATCTAGGCACAGAAAGACAAAGATCGTGTATTTTCACTCATATATGGGAGCTAAAGAAGTTGACCACAAGGAGGGAGTAGGATGATACATACCAGAGGCTGGGAAGGATGTCTGGGTTGGAGAGCGGGCTGAAGAGAGGTTGGTTAATGGGTACAAATGTACAGTTATATAGAAGATGTAAGTTCTCATGCTCCATAGCAGAGTAGGGTGACTATAGTTAGCAACAATGTATTGTATGTTTCAAAGTAGCTAGAAAAAAAAATTCAAATGTTCCTAACACATAGAAATGATAAATACTCAAGGTGATGGATACCCTAAACACCCTGATTTGATCATTGCACATTCTATGCATGGAAAAAAATATCATACATATCCCATAAATATGTAAAATATTATACATCAATAAAATGTGATATTGTGTCCTTCAAGTACAAGTGAAAAGAACCAGGACATATTTGCACGATTAGTTAACTGATATGGTGCGAGATGGTGACAGTCCTGGCTGAGCCTAATGCTTTGTGGTATATTTTTATAGTAACAGCTACAGTTAATGGGAACTAATGTGTAGCAAGCACTGAGCTAAGCACTTGTACACACAATCATACTTAATCCTCACAATAACCCCTTGATGGAAGAGCCATTTTATACATGAGGAAACTGAGGCCAAGGCTATAACTCATTCAAGGTCATGCAGCCAGAAAGTGGCAGAGGTAGGAGGCTCCTCATGACAATCAGCTGCTGTGCTTTTGCTGTGTTGTTTCTTGGTGTGGACAGGTGAGAGGGCTATTACTGCTTCTCACACCTTTCTTCACAGTGTGGTAGAGCATAATGGTCAATGTCCAGGCCTAGAGCCTACTACTCCTCCTGCTGACTGAGGCACCCAAACTTAACAACCGATCTCACAGGAAACTGGCAGGTGTTTTGGAGGGAATGGCTAATGGCTTTATAGTTTGGGAGGAGAAAAGGGCCGATTAAAAAAAAATTGGGCACGATCATCTCTGGGTCCAATACTCAGAGTCAGTGATGAAAACCACCCCAACAACCACTATTTGCAGAGTTCCACCTGAGAGGTAAAACTGCGTCCTGGTGGTTTATTTAGATTAAACTTGTAATTTTGTGTTTCCAGTAGGAAACATTCTATCCCAGGCAGAAATTGACCTAGTATTTACCATGTTCGGAAAACGACAGACTTCTGGTGATAACCAGCATCTAAAATCCCAGTGCACTCCATCGACTCTATGACTGGAAAGTACTGGCTCTTATGATTTCACTCAGAGCCCCCTACATTGACATATCTTATCCAACTTTTATACAGTAATGAGAGGTCTTTAATAAGATTGATATTTGATAAGATCCCAGGTAGCCTTTCCAACCAAATTTTAATTGCATGTCACCTTACCAGCCTGACAAAAGTGCTTTGGCTATTTGATAGTGCTAGTCAGAACATGAGGAGGCCCAGCCCTATGTTTGCTAGAACACTCCACAGAGAGGACAGACTTTTAAGACAAGAGGGAAGGGGGACTTTTTCATGTTTGGCTACAAGGCAAGAGCTTTAAAAGATCCTTTCTTGAATAGTTAAGGATCCAGGGAGGGTGACCGCCAAATATGGCAACTTGGTATGGCGATATTTCAAATTGAAGGCCATTGGAGACCAGTACATCCTGGATGAAGCTGTTCTCTGAAGTTCCCTTATCTACCTAGAAATTGGACCTGCCAAAGAGGAACAAAATTGCCTTCAGTCACCTCCCCTAAAATTTCATTAATCAGAGAAGATCAAAACTCATGTCACAGAGGAAGGGACTGAAGATTAAACACCACACTCAGAGCTCAGATGAACGTTGTCCCAAACTATTGCCTGTTCTTGGGTCCCATTCAGTTCCCAAAGAGAATTATTTACCTTCCATTGTCTGAGCATTGGGCCCATTCATTCCCCTTAAATATCATTTACTACTCTTCAAAATTGCCACATTTAACCTCCATTTCCCCTTTCCCTATGAAGAAAGGTATAGAAAAAAGCTGGACCTCCCTGGGTTATGAGGTAACCACTCTCCTGTGATTTTCTCCTGTGTAGCATTTTATTTTTAAGAGGTAGGGTCTTGCTCTGTTGCCCAGGCTAGAGTGCAGTGGTGGCTCACTGCAGCCTCAAACTCCTGGGCTCAAGCGATCCTCCCCTCAACCTCCTGAGTATTTGGGACTACAGGAGTGAGCTACCATGCTCAGTTTCATGCATATTAATAAATTTTATTCCTTTTTTTCCTGTTAATCTGCCTATTGTAAGTTCATTTTCAAGTAAGCTTCAGAGGGTGGAGGAGAAGCTTTTCCTGTTACCCCTCCAATAACAACAGATTGTCTCGTGTATTTCAGTTACTTCAGTCTTCCTTACTCTTCTTAATCCCTCCCTAAATCCCCCGTCTAAACATGAGGGTCAGTATCAGCTGGTTTGGCAGATTCTTATGGGATCTAATGTTTCCCCAAGCTCTAGTTTTGCATTAATATCCAATTCTTGCTTCATTTGTCTACCCACCCTGCCTCCTTGGAGTTTCCTTCTCTCCCTCATCCACCCCCTCTTCTTCATTGTCAACCTCTCCCTCTCAACTGGCTCCTTGCCATCAAAACTCACTTCCCTTCTTGAAAAAACCCTTGTCTCATGCACCCTCCCTCTTTCATCTTTTCTCTCTCCTCCCCATCACAGCCCAACTTCCTGAAGAGCTGTCTACATTTGTTGTAACATTTTCAGCTTACGTACGTGACTGAACTCACCAAAACCTGCTTTCTGTTCCTTCTGTACTCCATTCAGTTACTCTCGCTTCCTTGTTGGTAGCTCAGAGGGCGCCTCACAGCATGACCCCATCACACTGTGGGCCACACACTCCATTTTGAAACCCCTGCATCTGCAACAGTGTTTTCCTGGCACCCTCACCTCTCTCTGATCACTCCCTTTCCATCTTCTCTACGCCCTCCTCTTTCCCAGCCTGTCTTATAAAGACCAGTCCTCCTCAGGCTCTGTTCCAGCCTCTTCCCTTCTCCCTGGTTACTCCCTGGGTGGCAGCATCCAACCCTCTATCCTTTAGTCCTCATAGCACTGTGAACAACAAAATGAACAGTTTATATAAACAATGACAGCTTTTTTGACCTTCGTTTTCCACAGAGCTGCCAAATTTAATAAGGTTAATGACATTGCCAGAGGGTTATGTCGCGGTCAGAAACAGGAGTGCTATTTTGTGCCAGGAGAAACAGAGACTCAGATTCAACCAATATTGATGGGGAACACCCATTATGAGTTTGGATCATCATATACATTATTTTATTTGATATTCTCAATAACCCTGTGAGGTGAATATCATGACCCCTCTTTTGCAGATGGAGAAATAGAAACTTACCCAAGGTCACATAGCTGGCTGGTAAGTGAAAAAACGAATTTGAATCTGGGTCCCCATCTATGTTGAGATTTTTCCCTAACTTTAAGTACTGCACCATAACCAGGGCAGCTTTCATGAGCCTGTAGAAAACTATCACCTTCATATGGAAAGACCAGAGGTGGTTTGTCTTGTATAATAAGCAGAGAATTCTTAAAAATCTCATTTCAAAGACATATGGATGTGTGTCTTGCTGTACGATAATCGGTGCTATGGAAAAGTCATTCCATTGCTAAGTTTTCCACATTTTTGTAAAATGCCAGACTTTCCATCCAAACAAAACAAAGCTACATGGACTATGGAATCAGCCTCTCTCCAGACTGCCATAATAGCAGCTCTAGAGGAAGTTGTTAGGATTTTTTTTCAAATAATTGTTGTTATTTCAGCCACAAAACAATTATGCTTTAAAAATCTATACTTATTAGTAGCATTCCTTGGGAAGGGAAGAAGCCCTCGTTAGGTGAGCACATACTGTCGGATTAACCATGAAGAAGTGAAGACCTCACTCCATGAGCGTTCTCTGATCCTAGCAGGAACTGAGAGTAACTTCAAGGGGCTCATGTCTCTTGTGCCCACTGATAAACATTTTAAAAGAAAGAGACGAATACAGAGCTCCTCCCTTTAAGACAGGGTGGCAAAAAGGCAGCCCAAGATCGGACTGGCAGGCAATGTGTTGTTTGGCCCGTGGGGTATTTTTTTTTTTTTAGAAATGGATTCAGTTGTTGTAAGGCTTGGTCTATTTCACATGGAAAGCTGGATTTCTGGCTTTTCTCAAAGGGCGGCTACATTCTTCTGGAGCCAAGTGTGACTGCCCCCGTGAAAGAGGCCAGGGCTTTCCAGTTTGCCTCAGACTCTAAATGCCGGTTCATTCTTTTATGTTACCTGACTGGCTGTTATAGAAAGTCGAGTTTTATGCTTCTGCTTTAAAGATTCTAAAATTCAGGCTTTCATAAACCTAGAGAGTAAGTGCTTCTCGTCAAAATCAAGGCTTCAATTAGGCCTCACTGGTGTGCCCAATATCATCTTCCTTCCCTCTTTCTGCAAAGATTTGTTGAATAGCTATTCTGCACCACGCACAGGAATTGTTGCAGTGAATGGGGCATCATCATCATCACCATCATCATCATCATCAGTTGGCACTTTGAGAGCTTTCTCTGTGCCAAGAATTGTAAGATATCTAAACACACATTTAATCCTTATAAAGCTCCCAGTGCTGTAGAGGTCTCTTATTATCACCATTTAAAGCTGTGGCATTGGAATTTAGAAGTTTGTGCAGGCTCACACAGCTGGTAAGTGGTGAAGCCCGAAGTTGGGTGTGGGGAAGTCTGACTAATGAGCCCAGGTTCTTAACTCTCCACATTGCTGACGAGTGGATGGAGCTCACAGTCTAAGGGAGATGCCTGCTCACAAGGCTTGTCACCATGGGGGCAGAGAGGGCATCTCACTCTGATTCATTTGCTGGAGTCAACATTTCTTCTGTTTGGTCAGAAATCCTCACCAGGGAGACCAGGCTTATTGGGCTTATCTTAAATACTCTGCATGGAGTTGGGTCTTTCATACTTACTACAAGATCATGAAGATTTGCCGTATGTGCTGTGTGTGCACGTCTGAGAGTATAGATTCTGTGTGTGTTTCAATCAAGAGATGGAAAACTTTTAGGAGGCCTCTGAGGCACTATCCACCTCCTAAAAAATTTTCTCTAGATTTTATTCTTAACATCTCCACCAGGTTTCATTTAGCTGTTCTTCCAAAGAGGCTTTTTATACTGAGTGATCAGGACAAAAGCGATACCCCATTTATCTTTGTATTTCCACAGCTCAGCACCTGGGGAAACACAGTTCTCCTCTGTACAGGCTTCTTGAGGGAACAAAAGAAACCATCAGAAGGACGAGGGTGCTGTCAGATTCAAGGAAGGCTTGGCTGTGTCTGTGAGATGGAGACAGACAGCTGGGCACAAAGGCAGTATCTGAAGGAGTTTCACAGAAATTCCTAGGAGACCCACAAATGCTGGGTCCTTAGCGAGAAGCAGTCTACCCTCCCATCTGGCTGGGGTCTGTACATTTCAGTGTTTAACTTTGTGGTTTGGTTGCCTTTTGGGACCAATAGTGCTGGCAAGGCACATTTTTCTGCCTCTCTACTTTAATTCATCAATACTTTTTGGCAAAAAGAAGCTGTGGCTTCAGGATGTTTTTGATATTTTTTTAAAAAGTTTTTTCTTATTACCTTTAGGGATTGGTCAAATAATTCCCTTAGTTAATTTTATGATAACTATTGAAAATTTCCTCAAAATAGGCACTGGTTTTGAGCTATGAAGTGTTCAGAAGAGGGAAAACAAAGTAAAAAAACAAACTTTGAGCTTTCTATTTAAAGAACACAATAGAGATTGTTTTTTCTTTATAGACATGTCCAATCAGCCATAGAGTCAGGGCCACAGGGGGATAGACTTCCAGGCTCTGCGCTGTCCCTGGGGAGGGAGTGGCAGGGACACTACAGAGTAGTTACGGTCCTGAGTGGAGATTCTTCTAACAGCTGGCCCCCAGTGACATAAAAATCTGTAGTTGGCCACCCAATGTTGGTAGAGAATAAAACCTGGCATGAGGCCAGGAGGGGGCTGCTTTCTGTATTATTAAAACTTTACAAATAGTAGCCCGAACAGTGCAACTTCTCATACAAGTCCTGCAGAGAAGCACATCCCTCTCATTTTCATAGGGCTCTGTGGATTAATGCGCTTTCACATCGCCCCTCACTACCTTGCTCAATCTTCCCAGTACCCATTTTACTTACAGATACCAAGGGCCCCAGAGGTCACAAGACCAGCTCAAGGCTGTACAGCCAGGACATTTCAGTCCAAGCACTGGAAAGTGGGCTTTCTGATTCTCAGCCTTGCACCTTTTTGCTACACCACAGGCTGTTAATTTCCAAATTGAGTGGAAATCTATAACCACCCACTTCTCCTTGCCCTGTGTGTATTCTGGCATTCAGGGAATCCATTGAAAAGAAGGGCTTGAGTGTTCTAAGATGAGGGGAATGCTTTGGTAAGTCTGGGAGGATCTGGTGAAAAACTTGCAAGCCAGCAAAAATGTTTTCACACTGAAAGGGACTGTGTCTTTTTCATTTTTAGTTCCCCAGTGTCCAGCTCCATGCCTGGCACCTAACCACCCTCCATAAATGTTTGTTGATTTGAAACCTGTATTTTAAATCCATCTGCAAGACTGGATTAACCCAAAGGGCAACTTTCAGTGTTGACTATGCATACTTCACTTTTTAGCTAAATTCCTTCCTTAGTTGAGGGTCCTTCCTGAGCAAACTTTCCATTTCTGGAAATTGAATTTCTGGATAGTAGGCTGACAGAGAAGGTTTGGATCACAGGTTGTTCTGGAGAGGTAGTGGTATTTGCTTTTCTTAGCCACTCTGTTGAAGAACATTATGTTATGGTGACAGAACGCTTGCAAATACTTAGCCAAGCTTAAGACATGCCATGATAAGGAAGGTTCACCACAAACACAAATAGCTATGTAGAAGCCACCGTCTTGCAGCTAATGAATTTGTGCTGGGTGTGATATTTACCCCAGCCATTAACTGAAGATTCAAACACTGTTGGGTAAAAAGACATTTATTTGTGTGACCTGACTTTGCTGTATGAATGCTGGTCAGTTACTTAATTTGCCATCACTTTTGGTACTTTTTAGTGATGTTTCTCCATTAGCAAAATGAAAGTGTTTTATTTAGAAGGAAAACAGTCATTCAATCACATCCATTTGACCTATGTGCCAAGGACTTTGCTGTGGATACAATGTGAACTGTGGCTCTTTGGTCAGTCTTGAACACTTCCTGGTGGAAGAACTTAGCCCGGGCTTTTGGGAGTATCCACAGAAAGCTGGTGGCTCAGGGAAAAGGCTGCAGGGAAAAAGTTCTACTGGGACCTTGGAAACACATCTCTGCCCGGCACCAGGCACACCCATCTGCATGAAATGCATATGTCAGTGGATTGCACACAGATTCTGGTTTGCCAACTCAGGGGCTCCTCCCAATGCCCTGCCAAACAAACACTAGCTTAACTTCTGGATGTGAATGATAAATATCACTCGCCAGTAACCTGTCTGCATGCAAGACTGGGCAGTGACAAGCACGATGTGCTCACTGCCCAAGATTTTGCTTTGATTTTGTTTTACTGCCCAAGATCTGAACATTTTTTGCAAACATAGCAGCTTCTCTACCTCTGCTGCATTGACATATGTTTGAACTGGTTCATAATCTTCAGTACTCCTAAAAGTCCCTTTAATGTAAATAGAAAGGAAATCACAGACCTGTTCCTGGGAGTCCCACTTCCCACCTCTCTTCATCTGTCAAACATGCATAATGGAAAAACGATGTAGCCCTGGCTCTGGGCCAGAATAAACAATCTGGAAATACTGTATAAACCCAGCTGCTGCACCGGAGGACAGAGGCCTCGCTTTATGACCTCCGAGATGGTTAACCATACGCAAAATAACAAAAGCTCACCACCAACTTGCAGTGTATTTTGATGCTGGGCTGGCTCTGGCATTCCTTTCCTTGATCCGAGTGTATGCACACTCCGCGCTGACCAGAGCCCTCTTCCCTTAACAATCTGCACTTGTTTTAACCTGGTCCAGCAGAGATTATGTGCACCAAACAAATACTAGTTTAATAACAACCAAAAGAGGGGCCAAAGTTTACCAGCGAAAAAAAATAAGCATGGACAAAAGACAGGCACCAGTTCTACAGCTTCAGGGGAGCTGAGTGGTGATCAACTGAGAGGCCTTGCTGTTTTAAGAAGCGCCCTGTCTAAGAAACTGACTTACTCATCTCAGGTTAGATTACAGCCAGAGATTCCCAGCACACGGGGATAAAGCACACTTTCTCAGGCAACAGGTGTGCCGAAAGTCACGGTCAAGTGGAGCACTCGGCAGTGGGAGAGGAAGTACCGTCGGTGTACTCCCCAGGGTTGGCAAACGCCTGCCACCTCCATTCCCATACAGCCCTGCACCACGCTGGCCGCTCCCAAAACTGTGTGAACATGATGCTTGTCACAGATAGAGTAAACTCATTTCCTGAATTATAGGGGAGGCCATACAGTTCAAAGAGATGAAATACAGCTGCAGGGCCGCCGGACTCCCTAGGGCTGCCTCCAGCGGAAATGAATGTGTGTCACTGCGGCTCACAGCGATATGTGCTGGGCTGGCCGGGCCAGCGCTACATTTGCCACTCAGATATGATCGATGGCATGTTAAGACCACCTTCCTGGTGGTATGGCCATGAAGGGAGAAAAGAACAAAAAGCACTTCATGGCTGCCTTGGTGCTGAGGGTTGATAAAGTAAACAGAAAACTTTTGGGGTGTGTTTTGCAGTCTTTTATTCAGATCTGGAAATATAAATAATTAAAAATAATTTGAGATCACTTGGACCTTCAAGAGAATCTTTGATCTATGTAGCCAAGTAAAAGTTCATGATTTACTTTCTTGTTGTTTAAAAATGCAGAAACCGCTAGGTTCCTTTGATGAAAGAGAATGAAGGGTTTCTAATGCACACACTTTGCTTGGATTTTTGGAAGCAGGGAACACAGTAAAAGGAACCAGGAAGAGAAAGTATTGGTCTGTGTGGGGTAGGTCGCTGAGGGCCCACCAAGACCAGGGCACTGGGCCCCTGTGGAATGGAAATCAGCCCGGAGGAGGAATGCATTTTCAGAAACATCACGGAGGCGGGTCCTAACCCCATGGAATTGGAGATGAGGGCAGCTGTTGGACGGGCTTCTAGGTTATTGCCTGGGGCTTCTAGGTTATTGCCTGGGGGATTCAACTCCACACTACTTATGCTCAGAATCTGCTGAAATTGCTAGCGGGGGTGGGCGGTGGTGGTAGTTAGTTATTTTCTTGCCTGGATTCTTTTTGCTTAGTCATCAATGCTGTACTGAGCACCGACTAAGCTCAATGCTTGATTCCAGGAAATAAGAGAAATAAAATAAAATAAAAGCTAAAAACACAGGCTCTTTCTTCTAGAAGGAGTACACAATAAAGGGAGAAGCAAATGTGCAATCCTTCCAACAACTTCCTGGGCAATCTGGAGATCTCTGTTTCACTGCGGATGGGAAGGATGCTCCTCACAGTGGGGCACCACAGGAGGGAGAGAAAGGGGGATCACAAGGAGGTGGCATTGATGGCCGCAGATGTCCACCTTTCGTGTCCTTCTGCAGAGCCAGGTGAACACCCTGCCGGACAAACTTAATGTGCAACAAATCACCGGAAGGGCCCGACACTTGTAGAGGTTTCGGTTCATGAGTTGCTGATCAGCATCCCAGCTTCTGTTGATGTGGGAGCCTCCCAACCTCACCCTCAGATCCTAATGCCTAGACTTGAACATGACAGGGCTGGAGGAGATGGCCAAGCTCAACTCCTCCTGGCCCAGACACACACGCTGAGGGTAATGAGTCCTGGGGTGGCTTCAGTTCCCTCCACAACCACCCCCCTAAGTCAGCAGCTCTGGCTTCCTGGCTTTCCCTGCTGCCTGTATTTACCGAATGAAGGGCAAGTTGCTATGTTTCTTTTCTCCCCAAGTTCGGCATCATGGCCCAGACCATTAAAAAGCTGACATATTTGTTTGAAAGTATGTGCTACGGTAAATACATATTTGTTTGAAAGTATGTGCTACGGTAAAATTTGTTTGAAAGTATGTGCTACGTGTGTGTTTTCCTCAGCACAGTTTTTACCACTAAAATACCGGCTTATATATGAGGATGGCAATAAAAGAAGGATTTATTTTCACAACAACAATTGAAGCAGATATTTCTGTTTAAAAATATCTACTTCTAAAAAAAACTTATTGGGAGAATTACTATGTCTTTATCAACAAAATGTATCTCTTTCTTAAAATATACTTTTAATTTGATATAAGTATTGAGAAATGTGTTTTTATTACGTTTGTTACTTTATTTGAAATCGTATTATGAAGGCCAGACCCAGTGACTGATAAGGATATCCTGATCAAACTGGTTTTTCATCTGGATAAAGAAGATCAAGAGAAATACTATTGCAGCAGTTCTAAATTCTTTTGGTATCTGACAATTTCATAAGCTCTGCTTTTGCTTTATGGACAGGATTCTTTTTCTCTACTCCTCATAGTCTGTGTGGCATTTGCAGGCCTAGGGTACTTCTCTCTCTCCCTCTCTTACACACAGACACACGCGCGCGCACATACACACACACACACACACACACACACACACACACACACACACATGCTCCTCCTTTGGCAGGGAGGAGGCCCTCTCCTGAAATCACACTTCATTACCTACATCTAGCCCTGATGATGTTAAAGCCAGTTGCTGACACCGTCACTCTGGGCACTCCACAGATGGTGATATGACCACAGGACAGTTCTTTGTCTCATTTTTTCATGTTGGTCTATTACTTTTTCTTCTCTGGGGTTTCGTACAGATCAAGCTACTATCTAGATCCACACAGGATCATCAGAAAGCCCTTGGGAAGTTTATAAGCTTTGAGCTTTAAACCTTATTTCTTGGAGAAAAATAATTTAAAACATAAACATTTATTTTTCTGATTGTGATGTACCCATATAAACATACTATGTACATGTATACATGATGTGCAGATATATGTATATACTTACCTATATGTACATATACACATATGCAAATACATAGTAAAGTTTTTAGGAAACTTAGGAAAACAAGAATATAAAATAACTTTTAATCAAGCCACAGTTATTACTGTAGTAGTACATTTCCTTCTAGTCTTTTTCTTATTTATGCCTATTCATTGTAAAACACATCTGTGCTATATTGTTTATTTAGTTTTATCATCTTTAAAATTTAACTAACCATGACCATTTCTCCTATATCTTTAATTATTACCAATTACATTTTGCAATGTGTTTTTATATGCTCCATTTTATAGATGCCTTAAAGGTCATATAACCATCTGCTACTGTTAGATGATTGGGTTTTCTGTTTCTATGACTCAATAATATCAGATGCACATCCTTGTTCATAAGCGATCATGTGCCTTTTTGCTTGTTTCCCTAAGGTCAATGGCAGCTTCAGATATTGAGCAGTAACTTTTCTTCTTATAGCTGATAAGGTCTTCAATTCTGCCAACTCTAAGATACCACTTATCTTCTATTGTCAGAGATCCTGAAACTTTAAGACATTTATTTTATTGTTACATGAAATCAATCTATCACCTACCTTGCTAAAGTTTCAAAATGCACAGGGCCTTTTGAAAATCCTGCATCTCCTGACTCTGAGAATGTAAAGGAGTACAGCAGTGCCCTTAATATGGGAGTATGGTTGCTCGTAAAACATTTAGTGCACTTGAAATTCTTAGCAAATTACACCACATGATGACTACAATCACGGAGACGAAATCTTTTCTCATTTTTGGATTCTATGAACTGGGTACTCAGATAGGGCTATCACAGAACTTTGTATTTTTATAGTTAATTCAAAATGCATTTTCTTTAACAGAATGTATCCTATTGCATTTTTTGTTTTAAGATTATATTAGTCACAATCATCAGCCTCAGTGAGTGAACCAATGGTGAGTCTCAAGAGCCAACAACCTGGATGTTCTCTCTGGAATGTTAAACATGGGGAAATTTTGATAAACCCTTGAAGGGCTGTGAATGAAGCAGCTGTTCATGGAGGCCGAACATGTAGATAAGTGAGATATTTAACCTTCTGTCCAGGCATTAAGAAGTTAGGTTAATAGGAGGTGCTACTCAAAATAACCATTCCCAAGTCAGGAAAGTGTGAAATGAAGTTCCAAGGATGCTGTCAATTCTACTGGGAGAGTTTGCAATGTTACTTTAAAATTAAATGTACTTTATCTGGGCAACCTGTAGCCCACTGGTAGTACTCAGTCTTAGGGGAATGCAAATTAACAGCCCTACCTCTTCCTTCTCTCCCTGTTAAAAATCAGATTTGCAACTGCACACTAAATAAGACAGTGTGAATATCTAAAAACATCCAAATTGCTTTAACCAGGCAAAACTCTAAGAAAAAATGAGATGAAACTGCAACCTTCCCATTTGTATAGGAGGCCCATTTGTTTTGCTTAAGGAAAGTTTGAAATTGATAAGCTAATGTCAGTAGACACCAGGACCATGTGAGGGAAAAATCCCTGGGTATCATGGCTATGACTTTGAAAAGCAGGGGTAGGCCGGGTGCGGTGGCTTAGGCCTGTAATCCCAGCACTTTGAGAGGCCAAGGTGGTGGATCACTTGAGGTCAGGAATTTGAGACCAGCTTGGCCAACATGGCAAAACCTCGTGTCCACTAAAAATGCAAAAATTAGCTGGGCATGGTGGTGCATGCCTGTAATCCCAGCCACTCAGGAGGCTGAGAGTCGCTTGAACCCGGGAGGCAGAGGTTGCAGTGAGCTAACGCCACCGCACTGCAGCGACATAGCGAGACCCCATTTCAAAAAAAAAAAAAAAAAAAAAAAAAAGAAAAGAAAAGAAAAGCAGAGTAACAGAGTTAAATGTTTGATATGGATACTGATATACTATAAAAATGTTATAGACATATTAAAACTTGCAAATGCAGCCTGGGAAAAAAATTAAAACATTTTAATTTTTCTGACATGAGAGAAGAAACAGAGAAGAGCACTGACATGCATTAGGTTTTAGGTCAACAACAGGCTATAAATGAAGGTAGTTGCGATGACTTCTTGAGCTGAACTTTCATGGCCAATGGCTGTGAGAAACTGCAGAAGCTTCTGATGTCAGATGGAAGAGAAGGGACTGATTGTCAGGTTAGACTTTTGATGCAGCACAAGCATGAAATTGTGGTGCAATGCACTGACCATTAACCACCAGCCTTCCCCTTTGATAAGACATGGGTGGGAGTGATAAAGGGGAAATGAAAAAGAAACAATCAGCCAATGCTAGAAAGGCCATTATGTGAATTAGAAGCAGGTAAGAAAGAGGTGCTAGTGTTACTAAGAAACGTGCTCAAAGGTATCATTAGGTTCCGTTAGGATTGGTTCACTTTGGAAACTGCATTAGAGACAGGTGGGGGAGGGGACAGGAGAAACGGGTAACTTGAATGACATTCAAAGCATTCTTAAAAAGTGTGTTCAATGAATGGAAAATCAAAGATGTTTGAAAGAGAAAAGTCAACAAATGGAAAAGCTGTAACCCATTCCATTTTAGTTTAGTTTTATTGGGGCATGAAATGAAATTTCATAATGTTCTAAAAACAACAACTTAACTGCATAAAACTGAATAAGTGAACCGGCATTAAATCCATACTGTATTTTTTAAAATCTCATTTTGATATAATAATAGTAACTGGTTAGTTAGGTCATAGTCCTCTTCCTCAAGTCACGCACAGTTAAAGAAATATTTCTAAAAATTTCTAATTGCTCCTACATTCTAGCAAAACCATACATCGACTTGCTGGTTGATTTATGACTTTCTAGTAACCTTTACTCTCAAATGGCTTCTACCAAATGATTTATTTACTTGGTCTATGCTGAGGTAACCTCCTGGCTGGGCTGACTGCCGTCCTTTCAGCTCGAAGTGTAAAGGATTGAGTCCCCTCACTAAGACATTTCTTGAGTTTCTGTGAGAGCTGTGGGTTCTCATGCGATAAACCATGAGTCTTAGGTTCAATTTTGAAATGTCTCTCTTTCAGATTGCTTGAGCCGGGGAGGTCTAGGCTGCAGTGAGCTGTGACTGCACCACTGTACTCCAGTCTGGGCAACAGAGTGAGACCTTGTCCAAAACAAACAATAAACAAACACCCAGAACAAATAAAAAATGTCTCTCCTTCCTCGTCATTTCTCTTTGGAGAAAAAAGAAAATCTTTGACAATTTCTGACCCACTGAACAATGTAAAGTGGCAAAGTTTCACACTTTTGCCAAAGGCTTCTAATTTCAAGCCTTTTTCTGGTCCACGGTGGTGCTTCACCTCACTCTTGTCTTTCCTGCCCAGTTTCCTCTCTTAGATTACAAACTTAATCTACTAAATGCCTGCCCCCCGACAATAGCAGAGTTTTATAAGATCTGTATAAAGTCATTAGTTTTCCCATTAAGCATCGGTGTCCCCCAACTCCAGCCTGTAAGATGCACACAGTATCTGGAACCACAGAAGATTGCTAAGACAATGTTAGGTGTCTGACACCTTTTAGCTATAAGTGCAAGATGATGTGGTTGAACATCAAAGGCTGTGGAACATGCAACCAGGAATCAGCATATCCTCATTGAAAACTTTTACACCATTTCTACCAAAAAAGATTAAATTCTAATTGAATGCTACTTACTCATCACTTCTTGAGTTTTACATGTGACAATAAAATGAAGGCCTACTGGTTACTGGTTGGCTAGAAGGGAAAGCAAGTGAAAGCTCTTTGGCTCTTCTTTGGGTAGATTTAATTCTACCGCACCCCCCTCCCTTTCTGAACATTTACAAAACCCTCAAGTACTTTTCTTTCCCTCCTTCTCCATTTTTTTCCCACGAGGTCCAAAGTCCCAGGGAGGGAGCTGCTGGGCATGGGGGGATGGGGTGAGAATAGGGTAGGGAACCACAGCTGCTCTCAAATTGTGCTGGTGTCTTGGACAGGGGTGACAGATGGTGGCAGGAGAGCCATTATTCCCACCCTGCCAAGCTCATGACAGCCATTTCACAGAGGTCACGGCCAGGCTCCACCTGACAATACTTGTGCCAATGTTTCTAAGCTTCTGTGACCAACTGTCCAAAAAGGCACTAGATATGAGCCCCAATTCTTGTACTTTTTAGCTGAGAGAATGCTTTGAAGGCTTTTCAACCATCAGGCTTCTGTGCATTCCCTGAGGTATTTAGACCCGGTGCTTCGATAAATTAGTGGTTGCAACTGAGCACATAATTCCTTATATCCACTTAGAATGTTTATGAGATAATTAGTTCTCAATTTCATACAGCACCATCGGTTCACCTCCTGATCAGACAGATACATGAGTGGCTATTTTTTTGGAAGTATGGCAAACATAGTTGAAGTCAGTTGACATTAGGTTATACCTCATAGAGCATATAGTAAATAAGTCATATCCATAATTGTCATAGAAAAAACACACAACACATAAGTTTGGGTTTATAGCCACAAAGAGGAACATAGAAGACAGGGAAAAATATGACCCTGAACATGAGCATGGAATGTTTTCAAACTTATTGATATTCACAGTCTTTATTCATAGCATCTTGATGGGATTCATGAGTAACAAAGGGCTTTGTGGAAATATCTGAAGGCCAATAATTCTTTTTAACAGACTAACAAGACCAAATTACTATTAAATTGATTTCAGTAGTTGGTAACCGTACTTATTTCTGGTAGACTACATATTTCAATAAACAACTTTAAAAACAAATGTCACTGAATGTCAATTCACTATAAATTTAACAGTGAATATGTCATAAAATATTTTTATATCTAAACAACTAAAATAATAATAGGACCCTAAAAAGACTTTTAAAAAGTGTTCATTAATCAAGTTTTGTTCTATATGATAAATGATGTACTCTAAGAATTTCTAAAACTCCAATAGATACTTGCTGTAACTAAACTGGAAAGGGTTCCCATTTTTGCTTTGCTATTTTAGAAAAATAAGGAGTATTCCTTGGATTGTTTGCTTTCTTAAATTCCACTCTCCGATTCATTAAAACCCTTATGAAAACCAAAGTTGCTGACATGACTGAAACAAATGGCTTTACTGTTAACCAGATTGAGTCTTTGCAAGCACTTTATTAAAGCGATTTTAGTAATTCCAACTAGTAAAGTCTTCCCCCACCAACAAAAAAATAAAACAAAGTAACACATTTAGAATATCAATGAACATCACCTCAACAGAACCACTAAGCTTTCCAGAAACACTGTGTTCTTGAGAATTCAGCAGAATAACATTTCATAGAATCCTACTTTTCTAGCTACCCCATCTCCCTCAGATAATCATGTTTTAGATTTTGCCCTTTTCAGAGAGAGAGAGAGAGAGAGAGACCAGTTAAGAGCTTACGAGCACGGGGTTGCAAGTCACCTGGGCCTGGGTTGAATGTTCAATCACTTGAGTGCTGCTAGCGACCAGCTCAGTAACATAGAAGCGTTATGAATCATCTCTAAGTTGGTGGTTTCCTTATCTGTACAATGGACATAATAATAGTATCTTCCTCACAGGGTTGTTCTTAGGATTAAATGAAATAGTACATCTAAAGGACTTAACAAGATTCCTGAGACACAAGAAGCTCCCAATGAGTGTTAAATATAATAACAACAACTATTAATATTATGACTGTTATCCTCAAAATATATTCCCTTGAAACATCAGTATTCTGCCACTGAAATAGAAAAATGCTAATCTCCCCAAATGAAACAATTAATTTCAATTTAGTTGAAACTTAATGTGTTAATGATACTTTATGAAATTACAGACATCAAGACTTTGAGATGCTCTGCTCCTATAAAATTTTAAGGTCTGGTGGTTCAGTGAAAGTAAAGATTCATATCCCTTACAGTATACATGTGCATTTATAGATCAACTTTCCCCACCTATACATTCATTAGGTGCATAAAATTCCAAAGCACTTCTTGATCATGAATACCGTATAATCTATAATTATTTAATTCTGTAAAAATGTCAAAAATATATTTTGGATGTTTCACATATTTTCCCCTCCCTAATAGAGTTCCATTTGGGTAGTACTATCTCTTTTCTATTCATTTTTTATCTTCTACTATATCTTCTTGCCTGTATTAGGTAAATAATAAACATTCAAAAATCATTCATGACTGCAGCATCTGAAACACTTTAATAAAAAAGGAAGAAAAGTAAAGTTTTGTCAGACACCCCCCCATCGCCACTGCAATAGCTGGATGGTTTAGGGCAAAGAGAAAATGCAGTCAGATACAAAGTGGAGATACAAAGGGGAAACCATAGCCTGCTGAGATCAGGAACTGTGCCATTCAATCCTCTGCTCAATTTCCTGGGCTATGTAGTTTAGGCAAAACCAATTCAGGTTTGCTTTCTTACGGAATGACATGCTATTTAACTAAGTAATGAAATGCACAGAGGATCCACTTAAGATCTTGGGTCAAAAGACCCAATGATGCCCCTGAATTGGTGTTAGAAAAATCAGGACCATTTGCAGGCCCGTCACTTCTCTGTATTGGCCTTTCCACTTTTTCCAGAATGCTCGCCACCACTTGGCAGAGGCGCCCATGGGGTTCAGAGGGCCTGCCTGACTTTCTACATCATGTCTGGTCAGCTGCATCTTTCACAGGGATGACCAGTGTGTGGCTGTAAGCTGTTGTGGAATTCTCTCCTCTTGAGCACAGATGTTTCTCCATCGATATGGCTGTGAAATTGAGATCGCAATGACTATTAAATGAGACTTTTCTTGGCTGCTGAGTCCAAGCTCATGGAATCCATATTTCACCGTGGAGGCTTCTGGTCGATGCTGGTCTGTGGCCCTCACTCTTAGCATTATTCCTCAACTCCACCATCTTTCCCTGGGTTACCTGATCTGTGTCTCTAGACTGAAGCCACCTGATGTTCCCAGAGCTTGTATTGCTTGTGCCTTCTGCCCAACTGCCATCCCTGCCTAGATAACCACCTGCCCAGCAGTCTCCCTGGCTCTGGCCCCACAATTAGCCTTGGCATGTGGGCCTTTACAACACTTTCAACAAAGGAAAGAATTAGGAAGAGATGCTAAAATAGTCAGTCACACCATAGTCCAAATCAAATGGAAGAAAAGGCACACCAATTCACCTCCACATCCAGTATTCTAACATCTTCTGACTCTCAATGTTTTTGTACAATTCGTGATTTATTTTCTAAAAACTCAGAATCAATTTATATTTACCAGGGGCATGATGGTTTTGGCTAATATGTATCCAAAGAAAAGTCCAAAGTTTTATTTTTGTCATTTTATTTTGGAGGATAAAGTATAATGAGGAATATACTTTATTGAAAAATATCAAGCCTAAACTTCACTCCTCAATAATGCTGGTGTTTACCTCTCAGAAAGGATCCTCATCAGTCACTAGAAAAAGCAAATAGGCAAATGTCATTTTAACATTCCTTGTGGTATGTAATGGGAGGGAGGTTGACTAGAGTTGGTGTGTCCACACTTACCAAACATAAATCAATGGCTTCAAGATATCACAGCATGAAGACTTTATTAGGTGCCATCTGTAATCACTCAATGAAAAACAAATAAAGGATGCATATTTCAACCTCAGTTCTTGATATGAAAATAGCTGATGAGTCCCCATCCGATTTGCTAAACCATCATTATAATATTTAATCTTACTACTACAGTGACTTGTGAGGAGGAGGGTGTGTCAGCTACTGCAGAGTTAAGACAGACAATGTGTTTTCAGATTCAAGACAGTTATGCTGCAATGGAAAAGATCTATGAGCTACCTTCTTGTAATTCAATTATTTTAAATACCTGCATTCAGGCCTGGAAAGCCAAGTCCTGCCCTTAATGGTGTTTGTACCGTAGTTCATATGGTAGATAAAATGTCAAGATTATTAAAGAGTTAAGTACAGAATTATAGAACTTTAGTATTTCAGGGCTAGAAATCTACACACATTTTATAGCTTCTGTATACAAGAAAGGGCCACGTGTGTGTGTGTGTGTGTGTGTGTGTGTGTGTGTGAGAGAGAGAGAGAGAGAGAGAGACAAGGTGAGTTTTTAAAAAACTACTGGCTAGAATTTGCCAGGTGAACTGATGAAATCCAAAGGACAGTTGCCAAAAAGAGGTTAGATATCTTAGAGAGAGGGGCTGGTAAAGGGACAAAAAGTGGAACCCAGGATTTTGTGTGCACACAACTGTGCTGCCCCCTCGAGAATGATGTTCTTTACTTGCCCCATTTTCATCAGTGTTGCTGCGGGTGCAGGAAAAGAACACGGAAGAGAGAGGGATAAAAATTCTGTGTGCTCCCAGCAATTCCACAGTAAGCCAGTGGGCTCTCCTTCTGCTTCCATATAATTTTTATCTGAACATTCAATTATTTTCCTAAAATTCATGCTTTTCCCATAATTTAAAATGCTACATGCTTACTATCTAACAGTTGGGAAATGAAGAAAATAAATTACTAATAATCCCACCACCCAAAGATATGACTAACAACATCAACATTCTGAGCATTTCAATTTAATCATTTCCTGTGCTCACGTAGTTTTTCTAGTAAAACTGGTATCATATTGTAAATACGATTTACTATTCTTTTCTCCTTTACTTCATGTCACATCATATTTCAAGCAATCAGCTATGTCATTTAACTGTTTTTGGTATATCAAAATGTATTTAGCTATTCTTCTATTTTTACAGTTGTCTTTTTATTGTGCAATGGTAAACTATCCTGTGAGGAACATCCTTATAATAGTTTTTATGTACCTGTATGATTTTTTTTTCTAGCATTGAAATGGGTCAAAGATTGTAAACATTATTTCCTCACCAAGAAATCAAAGAATCACTTACATTTAATTAACACATCAATTTTAATATACAATTTGATGAGTTTTGACAGCTATATATACCTATGCCCCTACTACCACAATCAAGGTACAGGATTTTTCTATCAGTTCTGCAGCTATGGGCATTTTGAAGGCTTTTAAGATGTATCACTAACTTGCTCTTTACCCCAGGGGTTAACAATGTGCTCTCCCTCTAGGAGTCTCCTGAGGCGCCATTTCTCTTCATCCTCATCATCGGGGACTCCACGACTGCTCAGTGTTTGTTCACATAACAGACAATAATAATTTCATAGAAAATATGGTCTCATTTTAATATGCACTTCTTAGATTATGAATGTGGTTGGGCTTATTTCTTAGTGTATTTGTTGGTAACTTGTATTTCTCTTTCTCCATTGTTTTCTGTTAGTGATTTTCTTATGGATTTGTAAAAAATGCTTCATGTTTTGGTAAAATATAATCATATGATATCATTGTTGCAAATATTTTGCCAACTTAAGTATGTTTTAAACATGCTTAAAGTTTCAATTAAACATATTTATTCTTTACTGTGTCTCTCTCTCTCTTTTTTTTTTTTTTGGAGACAGTCTCACTCTATTGCCCAGGCTGGAATGCAGTGGCCCCATCTCGGCTCACTACAACCTCTGCCCCCCAGGTTCAAGCGATTCTCCTGCCTCAGCGTCCTGAGTAGCTGGGATTACAGGCATCCGCCACCACACCCAGCTGATTTTTGTATTTTTTAGTATAGATGGGGTTTTGGTCAGGCTGGTCTCGAACTCCTGACCTCAAGTGATCCACTTGCCTCGGCCTCCTAAAGTGCTAGGATTACATGCATGAGCCACCATGCCAGCCCTTTACTTTCTCCTTGTATAAATATGTGTTTTACTGCTTTTATGCTTAGTAAATCCTTAGCAAAACCCCATCCCCCCAAAAAACAGTCAACTATATTTTCCTCTATTCCTTTCATATTTTCATTAAAAAAAAAATGAACTCTTTAGACCATCTGGAATTTATTAAGGCCCATGATATAAGGAGACTATTTTTTCCCTAAACATTTAGCTAACTAATTTACACCTTTATTTATTCTTTCTTTTTAATGATCTTTACCAGAGAGCACATTACCTTTTGCATTAGCAACTGTTTCTGTTACTGTTTCACTGACTTGTCTATCTGAGCTTGTGCTTTTACACCATTATTTTAAACCCAAGAGCTTTCTAGTATTTTTGAATCTTGTTGGGCAAATCTCCTCTCATTACTTTAAAAAAAGATCACTGGCCATGTCACTTGTTTATTTTTTCCAGATGAGCTTGAGAATCACTTTAAGCTAAAAAAAAATACTTTAAATTATATGCTCATGTGAGGAAAATGGCATTTTTGTGATATTCCATATTTTCATGCATGAACATGGTCTGTCCTCTTGGTTTGCATTTCTTTGGTTGTTGTTGTTCCCAAAGTAAAGTTTGGTGCTCACATTTCAAGTAGAAATTCTGGGCTAGAATTTCTCACAAGGGCTTGAACTGTTAATGAAAAACTCTGACCTCATTTAAGTATCCCAAAATGGCCAAGGGGTGGGAGAACACATAAGATTAGATTTCAGAGAGCCAAAAGGACTTTTAAATTTTGAAATGCTCCATAAATGATTATGAAAATGTGTTTCCTTGACTCTGACTAATGAGCCTTAGTGTGGAAAATCCTACTTCTATTGGATTTCTAATGAAATCCTAAATCTATTTCATTAAAGACATAAAGACTATAATTGCAGCATCATTCTGTACACATTCCTTAATTTTTCCTAAAAACTCAATGTTATTTTGACATTAGCAACTACTAGCAAACTATGTCTAAGTATTAGGCATAATCTTTTTTCCCATTAGTTAGCTTACTCCATTTCACAGATATGTAGAAACAAAGTCTGGCTTCAATTTGCATCTGAAATGGGGTGTGTATATATTTTTACTCTTGGTCTGTATTAAAAATAAACTAGAAGAGCAAGTGGGAATGTGCCACAGGATGTGGTCACTCAACTTCATGTGACCTCGACATTTGCATTTGAAAACAACTCTAACTAGTGACTTCAAAGGTGATTTTCAAAATAATGCACAAGGAAAATCGTTCCTCTTTAACTCCAAACAGAGACACGGCCAAGAAGTCAAGTCCACTCAGATCAGTAGGCACTAGATGGGCAATTCTACTGCCACCAGAAAAGCTGAAGCCAGTAGAGTCCTCATGCCACACTTCACAAGGGATCACACCAGGGAATGCTGGAATCTGCATCATGAGAGACTTTGGAACAATTGTGTTGGTCTCTCCTTTCAAACTCAAAAACTTGACTAAGTTGAGCACTTGAAAACCCTGCCCTATTGCAGACGGAAACGGAAGAATCAAATGAGATGATTAGAAAAGTGCCTTGGAAACTGTACATCGGTGCACGGGCACATTATCTCCATTAATCCTCAAAACAGCTTTGTGAGGTCACCATTCTCTGCTTTCGGATGAAGAAACAGACATTCAGAGAGGTTAAGGAGATTGCCGACAGTTAAACAGCTGGTAAGAATTAGAGCTGGGATTCAAACCCATGTCTACTGACTGCAAAGACCATGATTGACCTATGTACTATACCATTTTCACATCTCAGGAAAGGAGAAGAAAACTTCACAGATAGAAGATGCCTTCTTGTTAAAGAGCAGCTTTTAGCTTCCTAGCAGATGATCCAGAACAAGCTGAAGTGAAACAGGAACCCAAAGATCAGCCAACTCCTTGGCCTGCTAACAGGCAGTGGTGGCCCTACCCCTGGCCAGTAGACTGGTTTTGGGACCAACTTATAACACTAATTGTGTGTGACCTGCATATTCCCAACAGAAAGAAGCCTCTGAGCTTGCTTTTGTTAAACTTCCAGGATAGGACTGAAGCCATTCTTGCTTACATTTTGTTCACCAAATAAGACTCTAGGCTCCATAAACAGGGATGCACGATATACTCCAGGCACAGGTATGTTCTAAGTGCATTAAAGCTGTGTATGGATTTGAAGGGAAAATCTCTTTCCAATTTTCTATTGAATACTTCTTGACTGTGGCCTCCAGAAAACAATAGTTGTTGACAGTCACATGCCTGGCATTCAGCAATCTGGCTTCTGTGATGGTTTCCCAGCTCTATGGTGAGCTGGGAAAATATCTAGAACATTTCTAAGCAGATATTCTGGGAGATGGCTTTTTTTAAGGTATAATTGAAAGGACTTCAAGCTTCCAGACTTGGGTGACTGGCAAAATTGTGGCACTGTGGAGTAATCTGCATCCCTTTAAATAAATAAAACACAAAATCCTACATAGATGATTAAAGAAAATGGAGAACTAGAAGGGGGTTGCCTTGCTCTTAAAACCCCACCTCTCCTTCTCAGAGATTTTTGCTGGCTTTAAGCTCAGTCTTTCAACTGCAGGAGAGAGATGTTCTGTATATGAGAGGGCAATAGTGAACTAGAATCATTTGGGGCTTCCTGGCACCTTCCAGTCACCTCCCTGTGGTGGACAAGAGAATTGTTACTAAGCCTGTGCCTAGAGATCCGCAGGGTACCCACACACACTTCCTGGTGAGCGCCATCCATGTCCTCTCTGTTCTTTGTGTGACTAGCAGGGTTGGGCACATCATCTGGGCTCAAAAATATGTTTGCCCTTACTTTTCATGACAAAAACCACAATTACTTTTGCACCAACCTAATACAATAAATTGAGTTTGTGGACCAAATAAATCCCTTTTCCTTATTTCTATGTAGCATTGCATCTTAAGTAAAAATGAAGTTTAGTATACCATGAAGGTGAACTCATGGAAAAATAAGGAACACAGGAGCAACTCTCAAAATAAAAACCCAGTTTCACAAAAAATGACAAATTTCAAATGCACGGGTTTCTGAGCCCCAAATAGCTAATGCTACTGCTTATAGCCAGAAAGCCTGTCCACACATCCACACTTTGAGTAAAGACCCTGCCCTGGGACTTAACTTCAGAATGCCTAAATCTCTCTGAATCTGAAAGTAGGACTAGATTATAAAAGCAGTGCTCTATTAGTTACACCCCTAATAAAAAAAATGGTACTTATCAACTTACAGAATTTGGCATACAGTTGAGACATTGATTGTTTCAGCAATGTGTGCTCACTATGTGCTCACTTTGTAAAGCAAAACAAAACACTAAGCCTTTGATGCTGGCATATTGGCCTTTTTCTCTTGGGTGGATTCCACTTTGCAAGTGTTTCCTGCCCCAGATTAATCTGATATCCAAAGCACGTGTTATTGGAAGAGCTTTTTGCTATTTGTGCCCAAAACATTAGACTACTGAGCACATTATTAAGCAAACTTGGATCCTTTTTAGGAGCTCTCCAGATGGGTTACTGCCTTTCAGCTGCGCCCAGCATTCTTGTCTCTGGTGGTATTAAGCTGGAGCCACAGGCATGCAGCAGACGCCATTTCCCCAATAAACCCCATGGCCGAATGAGGCAGAGCGGGCACCACTCACACTTCATATTAAGTTCAGCCTACGGATGCTGATATCTGAATAACATTCCCACCGACCGTCATCCCCCTCAAAAGCAAAATGTAGAAAGGCAGCGAACTACATTTGAGGTTGAAGCCAGCAGTACAGATCCAGTTGTTCAGACTGTCATTTGACATTGTGTTTCCTCACTGATACTAGGGAAAAAGAGAGTGAGGGGAAATGGGAGACTTTAACCACAATACCATAATGGAGGCCACAAATAAGCTACTGTATGTCAACAGAAGTCAGACACTGACAAGAGTTTTTTTTTGAAATGAAAAAACATTGACATTTTAAAAGAATATGCTAATATTGCTTGAGATTTAAGAACTGGTAGAAGTCTCAGGCTGAACAGAGGGAAATGTTTAGCAAAACCCTCATGAAATTGATTCAAGTTTTACTAGGAATTAAGTTACAGTTTTTGACTCTGAACCATTAAAACCAACTATTCAGCCAAAAATGTATTTGGGATTTAACATTTTCTTTTGGAAAAACATCTTAAAAGTGATGTACCCTAGTCACTTAAAGGCTGTGAAACTCTATTTTAACAATATGATGGGGCCCACTTTCAACCAAAGCAAAGCTAATAATAATATGGTCTAAGATCAAGACTAATAACACATGTGGTTTTGTATCTACTTATAGACACTCTGGGAGTTGTGTGGTCTTTTGTGATGGCCACTGGGACTGATTCTGAGTTGGTGAAAGTAAGCTAATCTTCCATGGCTGATGCCAGGAACCAACGCACATGCCCTATTATACTTAGGCAAACAATATCCTATGTTATAATGTGGAAATATAGAAGCATGGCAGAGCCAGAAGTCAACCCGCATAAACAAAAGGCTTGGTCACCATTTGGAGTGCCAGCGCCACATCCTGGCTCTGAACAAGATGGCCGGCCTCAGGGCCTCGGGCCAGTTCTCCCGACTGACAGCAGCCAGTGGCTCCTCCTGGTGGCTCTCCGTCAGATGACGCCTGTCCACATCAAGGCTCCCACCAGAGTGCTTCCTCTCCCGTGGTAGGGCCAGCCCTCAGAAAAGGAGGCCACAGCACTGGCCTTCCACACAGACTGGAATGCTCACTGTTCTAGGGGATGCGGATGCCTGTGAAAATCTGAAAATTCTTTGCTTCCCAGAAAAAAAGCAGGAATATGAAATTTTTTTCTGATAAACTGGATGGCAGCCAGGTGTCGTGGTTCACACCTGTTATGCTAACACTTTGGGAGGTCAAGGTGGGTGGAATGCTTGAACCCAAGAGTTTGAGATCAGCCTGGGCAGCACAGTGAGACCTCACCTCTATAAAAAATAAACAAAATAAGTGGGTATGGCGGCACAAACCTGTGGTCCTAGCTACTTGGGAGGCTGAGGCAGGAGGACAGAATTTGGTCCCAAGAGGTTGAGGCTGCAGTGAGCCGAGATCATGCCACCACACTCTAGCCTGGGTAACAGAGTGAGACCCTGTCTCCAGAAAAAAGAAAGAAAGAATGAAAAGAAACAAGAGAAAGAAAAAGAAAGAAAGAAAGAAAGAAGGAAAGAAGGAAAGAAGGAAAGAAAGAAAGAAAGAAAGAAAAAGAAAGAAAGAAAGAAAGAAAGAAAGAAAGAAAGAAAGAAAGAAAGAAAGAAAGAAAGAAAGAAAAGGATGGTGATGGAGCAGCTGAAAGATTCCCTGAAAGGCCAGGTGTGGTGGCTCATGTCTATAATCCTAGCACTTTGGGAGACCAAGGAAAGAGGAGCACGTGAGTCCAGGAGTTTGAGACAAGCCTGGGCAACACAATGAGACCCCATCTCACATTTAGGAAAAAATATATATCAAATCAAATAAAAATTCCCTGAAAACCATGTGGTGGACTTCAGGTTAAGAACTTCTGCTGTGGGCCACACTTAGTGTTGTAGGAACGGCATAGTTTGTGGGGAGGAGGAAAAGTACTACTGAAAATCTGCTCTTTTGCAAAAAGCCCTCACTCTTAGTAGCACAGGCCACGCCTGGACATCCACCATGAATGACTCCTTCCTTTGAAGTGGAGTGACCTGCCTCAGGGCCCTGCTGGACCACGGGTGGCAGGGTGGCGCAGTGCTATGCCTGGGTCCAGGTCCTGGTGCAGTGTGGACCAGGGCAAGCTACCCACAAATAGGGTTTCTCACCATATCCCACGGCAGCCAAGATTTAACCCTCTGCCCACACTGCTAATGAGAGGAATGGCAGGAAGGGCCAAAGATGTGAGATAATGAACCTGCTTAAATGGCCAACAGTTCACATCACATCACCTGTATTTTTAGTGCACCAAATTTAGATGAATAAAAGAACATACTTCCTACAAAAAAAGCTCTTTAAAATAATTATCAGTACATGTATAGTAAAAAGTGCCTAAAATGATTTTTTTTTCTAAGGAGCCTCCCCATAAAATAGTGACGTCATATACAAACTTCAGTTTCCTCATCTGTAAAATGGGAATAATAAAAGTGCCTAAGTCACTGGATTATTCTGATAATTACATTAGGTAGCCCACATAAAATGTTTATCACAGTACATGCATTCAGTATTAATTCAATACATTTTTACTGTACACCCACTACGTGGAAAGTACTGTTCTAGTATTTCTGTGATCACTATTCTCATTATTAGAAATTCCCCTGGGAAGGACAAATTGTGTTATTGTCAGCTGTCAATATATTGTATTCTAGATCATTCTAGATCTTTGTTCTAGAATGATCTATTAGGGTCCTCGGGGAGTGGGCCACAGGACAGTCGAGTTTTAGGAGAGGACGGTTCTGGTGCCAAGGGTGGTCAGCATGGAGAGGGTGGTCTAGGGTGTGGGAATGGAGGCCTGGAGGCAGGCATGTAGCGGGGGAATCTGTCCAGGAAGATGGAGTAGCAGGATGCAGAAGAGAAACTCTCTTTGTTCTGGTCATGGTCTCCAGTTGTGGGAGAGAACAAGCGATGAAGAGGCATCTGAACAGCGGCGCATTTCACCATGACCAGAGATTGTCACCAACACTCTGTGTCACTGTGGAAAGGATCTCCATGACTAAACTGAAGGCCTGGTGTGCAGGGGCTACCCTGGAGGAGAGGGGTTCCCTCCAGAAGAGCAAGGGGCATGGACAAGGGGACAAAAGGTAGAACATCCCAGCTCCAGGTCTCTTCCTTGGCTATGAACCTCAACAGGCCAGTCACACTTACTGGCCTCACTGCATTTGTGCTCCTATCTCATGCCTTTGCCCTCTGCTCTCCTGCAGGATGTTGCAGCGATAGCTCGCTGGGCTGGAGGTCCAAGAGGAGGTGTTCTTTGCCCACTAGTGAGCCAGCAGGTTCCAACTCCTCCTGGAGTGGATCACAGGCAGCCAGCAGTGGCTAGCAAGAGGTCCCAGGCAAGGAGGAAGTCAGCACAGAGATCAGGACTATTAAATGCATCAATATCCATAAAGCCCTCATGATGCTGTCTGGCCCACAGTAAGTGCACCATCACTAGTGTTTGTTAAATAAATGGCCCAGCTGCCTCTCCCTCAGGAAATTTCTTTTTCAAGGCCGACCTGGGAAACATGGACTTTCTTTAGGTTTTATTTAAAAGGGCAATGTTTCTGTATAACAGAGGTCCACCCAGGGTCTTACGGGGATGCACAGGCTGTATCTCACAGCAAGGAGGAGGATGTCACGCAATCCATTCACTGGGGCAAAGAGTGCCTGTCTCTACTATGACAACTTAGTAAGATGGCTGAGAAAATGCATTCAGATCATGGAAACAGAAACCAGTAAGGAGAGGCCTTGGGAGTCTTTACCTGGATGTTTCTGAGCCCTTACAAAGCCACGCCGTGGAGTTCAGTTTGTTGGCACCTGTGCTTAGGGGGACCACATGCTGGAGAATGCACTGAATCGCAGGTCTTTCACTGACTGACTACATACAAAATACAATTTTATTTTAATTAATTAACTAATTAATTGAGAAGGAGTTTCACTTTTGTTGCCCAGGCTGGAGTACAATGGCATGGTCTCGACTCACTGCAACCTCCGCCTCCTGGGTTCAAGTGATAATCCTGCCTCAGCCTCCCGAGTAGCTGGGATTACAGGCATGCACCACCATGCCTGGCTCATTTTTGTATTTTTAGTAGAGACGGTGTTTTACCATGTTGGCCAGGCTGGTCTTGAACTCCTGCCCTCGTGATCCGCCCGCCCGGCCTCCCAAACTGTTGAGATTACAGGGGTGAGTCACTGCGCCCGGCCTACAATTTTATTTTTACAATGCTTACCTGCTAGTATCTACAGGCATTTTGCAGGAAAAAATACAAATAATACAGGTAAAAATCAGATCAAAATACTAGAAAGAAAGAATGAGACAAGTGAAAATTAAAATGCTAGGGTGACACTGTGATATACAAATGGAATCAAACTAGTTTCAGTACTTTATTTAAAAAGCTATTAAATACTTAACTTTGTTACCGCCAAGGTTTGAGTTGTTTGAGTTGGAAGAGCTCAGGACTGTATGAAAAAGAGAACAGTGGCAATTTTTATCTTTATGCCTAACCAGCCTTCAGATCTGGGGGTGGTGGAGGAACAGGCCACCCAGTGACCCAGGTAGGCATGTCCAGGTATTTGTCCCAGACACGCTCGGTGAGTAACCATGCTTTACATGCTGTTCTGAAAACTCTGCCAGGCAGGAGGTCAGAAAGGAGAGAAGGATGGGAGAAGGAGAGCCAGTCACGACTTTTGATGGAAGTGACGGGTCATGGCCCCTGTCTTCAAGAAGCCCCTGTAGAGTTAACTGCCAAAAAAAAGAGGACTCCTCCACTTCGTGCAAATGACAGAGGACAGAGCACAAGCAAGCCCTCCCTTAAGGGGCCACAGCGACAGTTTCCTCGCTGCTCAGTTGTGGCCCTTCTCACTGTCGTCCTTTTTTTTGTTTGATCACAAAAATAGAAAAAGCTACAAAGCGTGGTGGGAAGCCCACAGGGTTTGGAGCCAGACAGACTCTGCCTTGCACCAGCTATGAGACCCTGAGTATGGTCCTTAGACTGTCTGGCTGTGTTTTGTCCTTTGTAGAATAGCAATGCTAATATCTAACTTGCCGTGCCGCTGTGACTATTAGAAATACACATGTATAATCCCAGCACTTTGGGAGGCTGAGGCGGGTGGATCACCTAAGGTCGGGAGTTTGAGACCAGCCTGACCAACATGGAGAAACCCCGTCTCTCCTAAAAACACAAAATTAGCTGGGCGTGGTGGTGCATGCCTGTAAACCCAGCTACTCAGGAGGCTGAGGCAGGAGAATCTCTTGAACCTGAGAGGCGAAGGTTGCGGTGAGTCAAGATCGTGTCACTGTACTCCACCCTGGGCAACAAGAGTGAAACTCCATCTCAAAAAACAAATGAAAAGAAAAAGAAATATGTATATACATCACAGCGCATAGTGTCTGGACAGGGATGGTCCCTAATACATGTGGCTCTCTGTAATGCACGTGTGTTACAGGAAAGGCAGAGAACACAGGAAAGTCTACAGGAGAAACTAAAACCATGCAGAAACCACCACAACTAACAACTGCAGTTCTCTTGGTATTTTCCCTTCTAGTTTGTTCTGCTAAGCATATTGTGTGTGTGTGTATACAACAAATACATAAAAATATTGTATAATATAAATATAAATATTGTGTCAGATTTTTCATTGTTTTTCTGTTTTCCAATATATTAACATTCTTCAAACTAAAACTCCAACCGCCTCACTATATTTCATTGCATCACTGTAAAATCACTTATAAAGCTTTCCCCAAATATTAGACATCTTTTTCCCCCCAATTCCTTTCTACAACAAAGAAAGGCAATCCAGAGGACAGTGTTCATCTTTGAAGGCTCTTTGTCCTAATCCAAGGTTTGCTCCTCACAGCTGCTTTGAACGTGGGCAGATTTTGAATGCGAACGGACCCTCCAGGTCTTCCCCTGGAAATGGGGAGGAAGAGGACTTCTAACTGCATTAGTTTCCTATGATAACAAGTTGCCACAAACCAGGTAGCTTAAGACAACAGAAGTTTATTCTCTCATAGTTTTGAAAACTAGAATTGATGGGTTGGAAGAGTTGTGTTTCCCTCGAGGGGAGAATCCTTCCTCCTCTTCTAGTTTCCAGGGGTGGCTGCAAATTCTTGGTGCTCCCTGGCTTGTGACAGCATCACTCCAGTCTCTGCCTCCATCTTCACTGGCCTTCATCCTTGAGCCTCAGTCTCTCTCTCCTTTTAAGGGCACAAGTCATTGGATTTAGGGTCCACCCTAATCTAGTATGACCTCATCTTAACTTGATTACATCTGCAAAGTCTCTACTTCCAAATAAGGTCTCATTCACAGATATAGGGGATTAGGACTTCAACATATTTTGCAGGGGAAGGGGTCTCAATTCTTGGGTAACGTTAGGGGATTCACAACACTACCTAACAGAGATGTGAACAAGTGAACCAATGTAAGTCTAAGGTACTTTGCTAACTGTAAAAGCGCTATCCAAATGCAAATTGCCACTTTTAAAGGTTTTGGGTCAAAAAGGAACCAGTTTTAGGAAGACAGAGTTTCTCTCTCTTTAGGTTTGGGCGTCTGGCCATTGCTATGGGGCAGCACATGTTTGAGCTTTGAAGCCAAGAAGGCCAAACCCTATGGAAGAATCATGGCGCCTCGGAGGCCCCAGATGCCTTAGGAGTGGTCTTGCCCACTGGCTGGCCTTCTACCTTGCTGACCCAGGCAGCCCACGCTGGGAGGAAAATCTACGGCAGTGCTTCTCCAATAACCTCGGATTGTTTTCCCTACCTAATCCATTTCAGATTGACACTTTTGTAAATGACGATAAAAATAAATTGTCAGAAAAATGACCACAGCCACGTAAAATTCCCATCAAAGCTTCCAAATGCTGCTTCTTAATTTCTGCCCTTATCTCGTCACGGGCTGGTAGCAAGCAGCTTGCGGACTGGCACCGGTCCGTGGACCACACTTTGAGTCGCGGTGCTTGGCTGTGGCCAGGCCGCCGCAGGCACAGGGGCCCCACTGAACACATTCCTGCTCCCAGGCAAGAACACTCTTCCTTCTGTGCTGGAAGAGTGTTCGCCAGCCTCCAGCCTCATTCCAGGGGTCCTGCCTGGCTGGGGAAAACCCCCTCCCCCACACCTGGGCCTCCGTGTTTTCTTTGAGTTTGTTTTCCCACTGATTGACTTTCCCTTCAGTCTGGGCTTTAACAACAGTTTTCTGAGTGAACGCAGGCGATCCCAGCAACCCTGACACCACGGCTCATATGGAATGTATTTAGAGAGGGGAAAAAACTCAAATGGAGTGGTTATACGATTTTGAACTGGCTTGGACATAACATGGCTGGAATTTCGGAGCTGGCTTTTGTTTGCATTCGTCATGAAACATTTGTTATATGAGCTGCTGCTCCTGCTACCGGAGCAGCTGCGGCAGACGAGCCTTCACGATGGCTGCTTTTCCTTCTGTCTATGAGCAGACTGGCTGTGCTCACCCCCCGAGGCCTTCACTCCCCCACTCCATGCCTGTGCCGCCATCTGTGCATAACCTGGGGAACACGTTTCCCCCAAACTGACACCTAACAGCACAGGAAACGAAGATGTCCTTTTCCACCAGGTTATGTGGAATGATACCTTTAAATGGTCATACGCTCTGCCTCTGATCACAGGAGTCTGTTTTTATCAGTTCTTATAATTTACATTTCCTCCCACAAGAAACCTCCAGTACAGCCCTGATTTGTCTTCTAGGTAATTTTAAAATCATAGTATTAAGTGTGGAGCTTCATCATGGTAATGTCATCCAGTAAAAACCCAAAAGGGATTAATTAATCAATTACCGTTAAAGGATCTTGTTTTTGTTAGTTTTGCTTTTGAAATTTTACCAGTACTATAATCCCAAGATACAGATGCTGAAGGCAGTGCTACGGTAGTTTGATTCACATCATGGCTACACAGATACTGCATAAAAGATATGTGTGTGACAGATCTAGCTAAGAACGGTAAACACAAAGCTGGCAGCAGAATCTTAAAGTTCAGGTAGTTAGAACATTCCCAGTTAAATGTAGTGGGCTGATTACATGCCTTCAATGCCTGTCCTTTGAAAAACTTCTCTAAAATGACAGTGAAGGAATGATAATTTTATTAAAGATGGCATTTTATTAAAAGATGGATAAAATGCTGGAGAAGGATTATCAGTGGAAGGCAGGCCTCCACCAATTTCTGGAAGATGAAATGCGGTTGGAGGCACGCATCCGATTAGGCAAAGCAGACGAAGAGAGTCTGAAGTGCTGACGAAAAGGGACATGGCTCGGGAGTGTCAGCTCACCCAGCTGAGAGTCAGAGATGGAGTACCACTGGGTGTCCCCGACGGGAGAGCTGGGTCTGAGGCTGGCAGTCTAGGTATGAAGCAGCTGGGACCCCAGTTCCCTCCACAGCCAGGGGCAGGCAATCTTAGGATCAGTCTCCAGATAGTTTGGGCAGAGGCTCCATACCGATTTGCTAACCCAGAGGAGTGGGAAGGAGAGGTATGGGCTAAAATCCCAGCACTGGGGAAACTGGTGCATTCAGTGAGAACCTTCAGCGCCTGTTCCCACACCAGCAACCAGTTGCATGCATGCTCCACTCTCCTACCACACTTCATCTCCCATCCCCAAAGCAGATGTTTGGATAATTTTTCCGTGGGAAAACTGGACAAACTCCAGAGAGAAAAAAACTACAATCACTAACAAATATTTTTCCAGCAAAACCTCTATTGCTATTTGATTATCCTCAAGCGAGGTCCACTGGTCAATGAGCCTCCTTCATTGCACAGCACTTACAATTAGCTTTTCTTCGCTTTTTTTTTTTAAAGATGGGGTCTTACTCTGTCACCCAGGCTGAAGCGCAGTGGCACAATCTTGGCTCACAGCAACCCTGCAACCTCTGCCTCTGGGGCTCAAGCGATCCTCCCACCTCAGCCTCTCAAATAGCTGGGACTATGACTGTACACCCCCACACCCAGCTAATTTTTGTATTTTTTTTTTGTAGAGACAGGTTTCACCATGTTGTCCAGGCTGGTCTTGAACTCCTGAGCTCAAGAGATCCACCCACCTTGGCTTCCCAAAGTGCTGGGATTCCAGGTGTGAGCCACCATGTCCGGCTGCAATTAGCTCTTTAGTGCCTCACTCTTAAAACGAAAGACAGACAAGTGTCACCAGAGGAAAGCCTTCAGACTGAAAAAGAGAGCCCAAACCAACCAAAACAGTACAAAGGAATCTGGAGCAAATAGAGATAAAGCGGGGAATAAATGAAAACGCTTAAACCAATGTCTATAATTTTTAGACTTTTAAGGTAATATTGCATCCATTCACTAACAAGAACAAGATGTTATATAAAAAGAAGAAAGAAAGGCTGAAAAAGAGAAGATTCAACAGAGTGGCTGGAATACAAATTGAGGAACTCTTCCAGAGAAAAAATGTTCAAAAGATGGCAATTGAGGGAGGAAAAAACAGCGAAGCGCATAGAAAGGATGAATCTAGAGGTTCAAGTATCTGACCACTAAAAGCATTCCAGAAAAGAAGCAGAACATGGTGGTAAAATCATCAAAGAAACAAAATGTTAAGAATTCCCAGAAATAGAAGACAGGAGTTTTAAGCCTGAAAGTATCCACTAAATATTTAGCACACATACCGAGTCATATTGTAAAATTTCATAAAAGGAATAAAGAGACAATCCAAGGAGAGAGAGAGAGAGAGAGAGAGAGAGAGAGAGAGAGAGAGAGAGAGAGAGAGAGAGAGAGAATGAGCATGAATATGAGAACCAAACTAGCCATCAAGTTAGAGTAGAATACTGAGCTTTTCAGACCTTCAATGACTCAAAAAAAATTTCCCTCCCATGCACCTTTCATGAGGAGGCAACTTAGGAACATCTTGAAGTAAAATGAGTTATTAAATCAAGAAATAGCATCCCCGAGATTAAGAAAACTGGACCCAACTGAGAAACATAGTAAAGGGAAGCTGCAGTAAAGCTGTGTTTAGAGTAATGAACCCAGATATACTAGGAGCAGGAGCTTTCTTGGTGGAAAGAGGAGAGGGCCTCTGGGGGAAGGGAGGGCAGGCTGGGATAGAGCTTAAAGAGCTCTGGGTGGAAAGAGGAGAGGGCCTCTGGGGGAAGGGAGGGCAGGCTGCGATGGAGCTTAAAGAGCTCTGGGTGGAAAGAGGAGAGGGCCTCTGCGGGAAGGGAGGGCAGGTTGGGATGGAACTGACATACTTATCTGGTAATTAATATTTAAATAATACCAAAAGTAATACTGAATGCGGCAGATCTAATGGCACATACGAAAATTTTGGCACATACGAAATTTTTGATAGGTACAAATAAATCTAGGCAAATAAATGAAGGCAATAAATAATTCCAGGAAAAACAATTAAGTTGTGCAAGAAATGAAACAAAATCATGATGTACTACTCTGATCAGCAGCCAACAAAATGTATATAGTCACAGCAACGTCAGCAGGACCATGCATCTCAAATGTGGGTATGACCATCTTAGGAAGATGGAGAGGAGCAAGGAAGTAGAAGTAAAGGTAATGGAATAAGAGAATGAGATCATGACCCCAGTAAATCAAGAAACAGCAGCCTGTGCATACTAGTTACAGATAGCGCGGTGATTATCCGAAGAAACATCTAGCTGCGCTGAAAGTGATTGGCTCTGCAACATCAGACTTCATCTTTGGGAGGGTTGGAATAGGAAACTGCTGGTTTTCATTATACATCTTATAGGACTATTTGATTTTTAATTATATACATGCATTACTTAATAGATATAGCAAAAAATGCAGGGAGGTAAAATCCTAGGAACACATGTTTTGAAAAACAGTTCTGGTAGAGTCTGGTTGACAATGCAGCAGAAGCATCTAGAAGCGTATGCTATGGTAAAGACGAGGGGCGGGGTGAGACCTTCAAGTCAAGTGAAACTACCCCACCTGACAAACAACCCTCTCTTCTTCTCATCAGTGTGGGATTATGTTGGATTTTTCTATGCGTTTGTAGGTAATGAAATGAACGTGCTTACTAGAACCCACAAGAAACCACACATAAAAATCCCCAGCAATGTTATATACACAGGTATATTTCTAGCTTTTTGCTGTATTCTTTCACAATTCTGTGCCATTTGCAAGATGTGAAAAGCTAGGACATTATGTATTGATAAAAATGTCTGAGACATGAAAAATATACAGACCAAGAAATATTTTTATTTGAAAAAGATTTAGCCAGACAAAAATAGAAGCTTCCATTATAAAATGTTGAGTCATGCAAAATGGGTAAGGATTGTACTTCGCCCCGGCAGGGGGTACATTTTATAAGCAAAGAATGTCAGAGAGCTAAGGCCACGAGCCAAGGGCCCAAAGACAGTTTTGAAATCCTTTGTCTAGTGCTCTTTCCACATCACCACATTAATTCCTGGGGTGGACAGGGACCTTGACAATTTAAGCATAAAAGAACAAACTGACCACAAGGTCGTTTTTATAAAGATCAACCATCAACCCCTGGGGTCAAGTTTCCAATCTTTGCTCAAGCTTTAGAAGCCTTTCAGCTTTGTGGCGTTATCAGGAAAGTCCAAAAATTGAAATTTGTGGTGACTAATTCCACCCCCTACAAATACTCAATGCAGAGCATATTACTGTCAGCTCAGCTAAAAACTGCTCAAAGTAGAAGTGATTAAATTCTAAAGTAGAAAAAAATTCACCTCCAAACACAGAAACACACTGGTACCTCCCCCGCACACCCAGATATTATTAGCCAGCTTTTTGCCTGGGGAAATGAATCATGAGACAGAAAACTGTACAACCCCCAAGTCTGACCACACTGAGTAACTGGGGTAGACACAGAGGGGGGCATCTGGGGCTCTCCCGAGGCCAAGGTTGGGACCCAGAAGAGATGAATTTCCCTGGGTGCACAGGGTGGGAGGGAGGTGGGGCTGGAAGAACTTGATCTGGAGGGATGATCCCGAAGGCTCCCAGTGAAGAAGGCCAGGAAGAGCAGAGGATGGTGCCAGGAGGATGATGTCGGGGGACACAGGCAGCTCATGCCTGGATCAGGCAGTGACTGGTAACAGAAGGAGAGTCCATGCTGGTGGGCCCAGGGGAACATAGGTGGTCAAGCAGGGCAGTACTTGGTGTCTGGGGATGCAGTGTGCGACCTCCTGTATTCGGTGCGAGGCACATGGGGCCAGCAGGAGCTGGTGTGAGCCCGGGTCTGAAGGGTGGTGGGATCTTAGTGGGGAAGACTGGGAAGACAGCAGGGAGGAAGAACTCAGGCTGGAGGAGGATGGGGGCCTGGGAGGATCCCTGCCACACTGTTAGGAAGCCAGGGAGCTTGGGTGGTGGTAGGATGGGAAGAGGGCAGGGAAACGGGGGGAGGGTGACACAGGCCCTCCGGCAGCAGCGGCTTGGCCACTGGCGCTGAGATTGGTATGAGTGACTCAGTGCCAGGTTGCGCCACAGAAAGCTGAGGCTGCGGATCCTTCTCCTGCCTCTGGTAGGGCCGTCTTAAAGGCAGGGTGAGTGAGCCTGGCTCCAAGAGGCTGGGTCCGCAGGCAGGGGCTGACGTGGGCTGGCCCAAGCCCCAGCTCTCCTCACTCTGAGTGCTTCTATGCTTTCTCACCTCCACGCTTCCAATCATGTTATTTTCCTCTTATTAAAATGCCTCCTTCCACGTCCACTTGGCAAACTCCTACGCACCCTTTAAGGCCGGGCACAAATGTCTCCACAGGGTTATGCGCCCCAGCCCTGTTAGTGACGGCCTTCCAGCTAGACAAGATTTTCATCTTTATACTGCCCTTCCCCAGGAAAGGGACATCACAGACACTCAGCTATTTATTTGCTGGAGGTGTTTGTTGAATTTTTCTGGTAGTTTCAGATTACACCTATTTAAATATTAGTTTTCAGAGAAGAGAAATATTTTTGTAAAGTTATTCCTAGAACATCAATGTCTGTGAAGGAAGTTCTATTTTCCTGTTAATCTTTCATAATAAAATTGGAAATGCTTTCTCCTGGAGGAGAGATGATCCCAACGCAAGAACAAATCAGTAAGCAAGAGTAAAACATGTTTTCCAATAAAACAAAGAGTAATAGTTGAAATAGGCCAAACGCACATATATTATGCTGCAATTTAAGCTTTCATAAAGTAAATTAAACAAGCCTAGAGGCTGAATTCTTGTGAATTGGTGATGTTTCTGTAAACTGAATGATGTTATCAGCCTGTGGTTATACAGTTCCCCTCAGAAAAATGTTCACTAAAAAAAATCACAAGTGTTTAGAAGTTAAAGGGGTTTACATTATGTGTTCATTTTTAATGAACTATTTGCCCAGTAGCTACAGCTGAACCAGTTATATGCCTTCAGCTTAGACTTTTTTTTTTTTTTTTTTGAGATGAGTCTTGCTCTGTGGCCCAGGCTAGAGTGCAATGGCTCGATCTCAGCTCACTGCAACCTCCACCTTCCGGGTTCAGGCAATTCTCCTGCCTCAGCCTCCTGAGTAGCTGGGATTACAGGCATGTGTTGCCATGCCTGGCTAATTTTTGTATTTTTAGTAGAGATGGGGTTTCACCATGTTGGCCAGGCTGGTCTCGAACTCCTGACCTTGTGATCCACCTGCCTTGGCTTAACAAAATGTTGAGATTACAGGCATGAGCCAGCATGCCCAGCCCAGCTTAGATTTTTAGACACTATCTTAAAGACCTTGCACTGCTATTCCCTACGTCCCCGCAACCCCCACTGGAAAGACGTCAGGTGTTGTCAAACAGATCTATTCTCAAAATTATTTTTTTCTGTGTGTATTGCCTCGTACTGGCTTAAGATAACACACTGGCTTAAGATAACACATCTTGTGTGTGTGTTAAGGTAACACACACACAAGATCCAGTGCTGACATTATTAGGATCTGAGCCTGGGACATGGCTGCTGAAAAAAAAAATCTTTATAGAGAATATCGATGGTAAATGAACCAATAGCAAATTGAAGTCCTGTTTTCATCAATGATAATTGAGTTTTTAAAAACAATCATCTATGATGATTCCTAAACTCATGTTTCTTAGTGAACAGACAGATACGTTGGACAGAGATAAACTATATATTTAATTTTAATTTTTTTTTTTTGGTAGAAACAGGATCTTGCTGTTGCTCAGGCTGGTCTTGAATTCCTAGGCTCAAGTGATCCTCCTGCCTTGGCCTCCCAAGGTGCTGGGGTTACAGGTATAAGCCACAGTGCCCAGCCTAGATTTTATTTTTAAGCTCTTGCCTTTAATGGCAATACATACTATGAATGCTTAGTACTCACTAACTTCTGAATTAATGATTAAATATAAAGAAGAGTTTTAGAGGAATCACAGATTTATGTTTTGTGATGGGCCTGGGGACAGAAGCGTGAATGTCAGTGCTGTCCCTTAGGACTTGGCGAGACTGTGAGCAAGTTGTTCAGCCTCTTTGAGCCTTGGTTTCCTTGTTTAGAAAATGAGAAAAAAAAATTGTCTTCCTCAACTTCAGGGGATTTGTGTAAGAATCAAATGAGATCATCTATATGAAAGTGTTTTATAACTGCATATTGTTATACAAGTAATTATGACTTAGAAACTTACTGATTTTGTGATCTTAAGATGATTGCATCATGTATGAGTGCTATATAATAAGGAGTCTAGTTGTTTGAACATGGGTAGGTGCACACACCACACACACACACACACACACACACACACACACACACACACACAAGATCCAGTGCTGACATTATTAGGATCTGAGCCTGGGACATGGCTGGTGAAAAAAAAATCTTTATAGAGAATATCGATGGTAAATGAACCAATAGCAAATTGGAGTCCTGTTTTCATCAATGAAAACTGAGTTTTTAAAAACAACTTAATTGCCTTCTAAAAATAGCTAATCTGAATTCCTCCTAACCATCATTGTATACTTGGGAGTTTCCAGAATATTTTTGAGTTTTGCTGCAGCACAGAAGCAATAGAAGTGGAAAATAAAAATGGAAATTAAAAATGAAAGAGAGAATTTGTTTAATTCAGGCTTTCTAAAATGTTAGTTTTTAAAACTAAAGCCAGAGTTAGTGGTGTATCTATATAATATATACATTATATATTATATATACATTATATATATAATATATAATGTATATATAATATAATATAATATAATGTATACAATATAATGTATATATTTTATATATAATATATAACATACAATATATACATTATATATTACATATAATTTATATATAATATATAACGTACAATATATACATTATATATTACATATACTTTATATATAATTTAGATATACATGTATATACTTTTAACTCACATAAACTTATTTGATTGCAAAACTCCACCCTCTTCCCCTAGTCTCCACTGGCTTTCATAAAGTGCAGTTTGAACTACTGCAATCAATTGGACTTGGAATCCTTTTCATATCCAAAAATCTCATTTTTAGGCCTCAAATTGGACATAATTGTACATCTGTGTTCAAGCGTTATGTAAACTCCCGTCTGCAGAGCAAAGTCTATTAGGGAACCTAGTGCACTTTCTTGAGAAAATGGAGAGACATCGCCACCTGCTGGACAAAGGTTATTAATTCATTAATTTAGTGTTCTGAAGTACGTAATTCTGCACATGGAAAACAGTTTTTCAAGAGCTGAATCTTAGGAATCTTACTTAAAAAAACTCTATTATCATTCTATGTCTATTAAATAACATGGAATATAACAGTCAGCAAAATTCAATATTCAGCATAAGTTAAGGGTAGTTGGCCCCAATAACGTCTCAACAGTGGGTTTCATTTAGTGAAAAGTCTTAGCTCCCTAATATTTCTGGTAAGAGTTCAGGCATAAAAACCTCATTAACTTGGATTATGTGTGTCTTCCAGCCCCTTAGCATGTCACTGTAGTAATATTTCCACTTAACTTATTCCTTGCAATTGTTTCTGGAACAGGCTATTGACTGGAATATAATTGTTCGTTCCTCTCTGCCCAAGTCAGTAATACAGAAATATTGTTTCTTAAAGGCATGAGATTTCCTTGTAATGTATCAGCTGTAACTGGTGAAACAGGTCAAGGATAATCATTTCCTTCATTTGTTCCTTCCAATTTTTTCCTCTTTCTTTCACCTAGAAGTTACAAAGAGAACCTCCAGTCCAGTTTCTCTCAGGGACAGCCCTGTCTCTCCTGTGATGGGCTTGGTGGGCAGGCTAATTACTGAACACTCACCATATAGTAAGGCTGGGCTAAGGACTCTACATGGATTGATCATGCAAGACTCACAAGAACCTATGAAGTACATAAGATTATTTATGCATCTTATCCAGATGGGGAAACTGAGGCTTAGAGGGGCTATACCTTGCCTCTGGTTATGCAGTTAAGTGGAGGAGGGGGTCTAGCATGCGGGCTATCTATCTCAGAGCCTGTGCTCTAATCATTATGACATACTAGGCCGGGCGCGGTGGATCACGCCAGTAATCCCAGCACTTTCGGAGGCCGAGGCAGGTGGCTCACCTGAGGTCAGGAGTTCAAGACCAGCCTGATGAACATGGTGAAATCCCGTCTCTACCAAAAATACAAAAATTAGCTGGGCATGGTAGTGGGAGCCTGTAATCCCAGCTGCTTGGGAAGCTGAGGCAGGAGAATGGCCTGAACCCAGGAGGCAGAGGTTGCAGTGAGCCGAGATCGTGCCATTGCATTCCAGCCTGGACAACAAAAGTGAAACTCTGTCTCAAAAAAAAAAAAAAAAAGATGGGGGGATAACTCAGTGGTAGAGCATTTGACTGCATTATGACATACTGTCTTCTCCACAGGTGTGTGTGTGTGTGTTATGAAGAGAGAGGGATGGAAATTGTGACCAGAGAGTTGGAGTTGGGACCCCTGTCTTGATCACTTGAGCATCAGCAGCTCCAGGGAAGAACACATTCTGAAGGAGGAACTCTCCAGCTAGGATTTCATCCTGTCCTAGAGGACACGAAGAGGTGGAGACCACCCCCACAACTAAACTTGAGGATTACTAAGGCAATGGGGACTGCCTAGGAATATTTTTGAGGGGGTAAAAGCACCCCATAATTGTGCTAAGTAACAAAAGACAGAACAAGCAGCCTTAAAACATTCTACATGATACACTGGTATTAGAATAATAAGATCTTAAAGACCATCCACTTGAAAACTGGATTTGCCCCTGGTCATATGGGCAGACCCATGGCAGACAAAGAACTAGAAGTTCCTCCTAACTCCCAACTCAATGTCCTTTCCTTAAAGAATAACTGTTCTTTATTATAAATAGGCCAAGCTTTTATTATTTAGTATAGAACTCAGGCTGATATTTTTATTGATGGATTAAAATTTGAATTATTTCTGTAGCATAGTATTTAAAAGTTTTCTTCTACATATTTGTTATCATTTTCTAGCAAATATCCTCAAAATTGAAAACTGCAACGTCAATGAAATCAGTGAGCACACTACCATCCTTCTAATGGGAGGTCTAATTTATCATTCATGCATAGTAAAAAAAAAAAGCATAATATTTAAATGTGTACTCTGTGATTGTTTATAAAACTATTTAAGTATAAATATTCCAAACAAAGCACTTAGCTTATAAATGAACTTAAATCCTCAAAGTTAGGATTTAAGTCACTCGTTTGGAATTTGTTACATATTTTTCCTTTGTAATAGTTGGTGACCATATTCTTAAGGCAGCCCACAAAAGTCTAGTAAATTCCCTACTGTGGCTCCAGTGTTTACATTTGTAATGGAAACGTGTTGAAAATGAATACTAATGTAGTGCTAGTCATGGAAAGTATTTAAAACACAAAGTAAAAGGATTGGACACATGAGTTTTCAAGTCGCTAGGAAGGGAGAAGGTAATGGGTTAATATTAGGTCATAGAGTTCTATGTCTGGATGCTAGGTGGCGCTATTGAACCAGAACAGCTCGGTTATTTGCCAAGTCAAGGGTTTATAGAGGGATGCTCATATGACTGTTCCTATTACACATATTCACATGTTCCTTGTCTTTCATGTGCTTATTTATTTTGGCCCTTACCACCACTGAGATTTTAGCTCCTAAAAATTATGACTAGAAAAATACTGATGGCTCACAGCATGTCTTTAAGAGTTAAGGAGAAAAAGTGTTCAGAAATACATTAATATTCACTGCTCAGAAATATGTGAGTCTTGCCCCTTACTTACACATTTTTGTGGATGACTATGGATCATTCTCTCAACTTCTCTGGGCTGGCTTCAGTTTCTCATTTTTACTTTTATTTTATTTTTGAAACAAGGTCTTGCTCTGTCACCTAGGCTAGAGTGCAATGGGTGCGATCATCATAGCTCACTGCAGCCTCGACCTCCCCAAGGCTCAGGTGATCCTCCCACTTCAGCCTGCCCAGTAGCTGGGACCACAGGCACATGCCATCAGGCCTGTTTTTTTTTTTTTTTTTTTTAGATGGAGTCTCACACTGTCACCTAGGCTGGAGTGCAGTGGTGCAATCTCTGCTCACTGCAACCTCTGCCTCCCAGGTTCAAGCAATTCTCCTGTCTCAGCCTCCAGAGTAGCTGGGATTACAGGCACCTGCCACCATGCCCAGTTGATTTTTTGTATTTTTAGTAGAGATGGGGTTTCACTATGTTGGCCAGGCTGGTCTTGAACTCCTGACCTCGTGATCCACCCACCTTGGCCTCCCAAAGTGCTGGGATTACAGGTGTGAGCCACCACGCCTGGACTTTTTTTTTTGTATTTTTAGTAGAGACGAGCTTTTGCTATGTTGCTCAGGCTAGTCTCAAACTCCTAGCCTCAAGTGATCTGTCTGCCTTGGCTTCCCAAAATGGTAGGATTACAGGTGCAAGTCACTATACCTGGCCTCAGTTTCTCATTTTTAAAAGGTGATAAGTAATAAACAAACATAATAAGGATTAATCAATAAAAAATAATTATGTATAAGATGACATATGTGATCATATGTAATAATTATGTATATGTTCAACCAGTGAGGTTGCTTCTACCGAGTAAACCTGCTGGGGCCTTGGTGCTCCCTAATTCAAACTCATGGTCAGGATTGAGCAGTGTTTTCTGAATGCCCACTCCACAGTACTTGTCCTAATATCAGCAGCTGCGCACCGGCTGGAAGAAATACCAAGCATATTCTCTTGGTTATCCATCTTGCTAAAACTCTAATTTTTATTTCATCTCAAGTACTTACTATCCTAAGCTTCTGAGATACTCTATTCTGTCTCCATAAAATGCAAATATTAACATAAAATGACTGTTTAAAAAAAGTTCTAAAGGCTAAGTTTCTCCAATATTTTTGGTAGGAGACAAATTTACTTGATGTCAGCATATATTTCTACAAGAAAGGAACAGAAGAAAAGACAGTTACGCTGTTATTGAGAAAGGTTATTAACCTGTCTAAATGGTGAGTTATTGGGACAGGTAGTATTGATTTGAAAGAATCAATGAATATCATTTCAATCTGAAATAAGTGACAACCCATATGACTAACAGACATTACGATTTTTACTAGCTCTCCAAAGAGTCATTGCTATTAGTGTTTTTTCTTCTGTAATGAGACTGGTATACATATTTTTAGTATTGCTAGAGAGGAGTTACCAGAAGTCAGCAAACTCCTATTTTTTTTTTTGTTTTTGTTTTTCAATAACAGGACAAACACCAAAGAAAAATGGCCAGTGGTGTTTTTGCATCTTAATTCAGCTCTTCAGATGGTTAGTTAATCTACAATGAGTTAAGGGTCACTAGATCCCTTAAATCAGTATCTTAGATTTTAGCTTTTCTTCTCTCTGTTCTCTAATCTACTCAGTTATCAAACTCTTCAATAAAGGGAAAGAGTAATGATTTTAGTATGCCCTAAGACATGAACTTAGACTAAAAATACAAAGATGAGATGGTGAAGTAACTAGAAACTTGCAGCTATTCTTTCTTTAACCTACTTGACACCAACTCAGTTGTGGTGATGAGAAAACAATATGGGTGCTAAGTCTTCCCTGAGGCTAAAATATATTGAGAAACTGGCCAGGAGTGTGTGTTGATCTCTTGTCCTCTGCCTCAGGGGACACGGAAACTTGTTGGGATAGAGGAACTGTGGACTAGCTTGGTCTTCAATGTTACCATAGAAACATATCACAAGAAGATGCCCAAGAGAACACAAAACACAGTAGAAGTTACTGAAGCAACAACTCAAAGGTTCATTTTATTGGGCATATAATGTGTGGCAGCTGAGAGAGTTATGCTAGGGTGATATTTAAAGTATTTGACAACCAGCTCCACTCAAGAACTGAACTCAGAACAGTCACTGAGTGTGACACTGGCCCGGGGTCCTGAAGATCCCTCTTGTGCCATGAATTAGTCCTTCCGTTACATCACTGTTGGAAAAGGCGGGGGTAACAAGGACGGGCAGCCAGGCTGGCAGGTGCACCCTGAAGGCCGTATAGAAGTGTTTCACTGTTTTAACCGCTAGTCCAGCTGGACCACGTGGACTGGCCAAGTGGCCTGGCTTATGGAAACCTTTCATCCCACTACACAGGAAAACCAGATGTCCTTTATTCTCTTTGAGATATTTACTATGCCAAACTCTGAGGGAAAAATAATCTTTAATTTATAGGTGGAAAGATCATGGCTGAAGGTAAAAGAGTTAATAGTAACTTGGTTTTCAGAAATCTTTTCTCCTTGAATTAACGAACTTTCAGATCACGGAATAAAGGCCCATAATTTCTGAGAAGACACATATTTAAATGGAGAAAATAGGAAGTCAATATGATATACCACGACAAGAGCCACTAAGTGGGTCCTCTGGGCTAAGCTTTTTATAGGTGGTTTATCTGTATTCAAAAGCATGAAGATAAAAATACCCTCATCTAGGTTCTCAGGTCCACAACCCCTGTGCTGGGTTTTGCATCCTGTGAATGGTGTGTGTTCCAGACCTCAGGATGGATGGTGATGTAACTGGAAGAGGACTCTCACGTTGGCTCCTCCTCCCAAATGCTGGGACAAGAGAGTGCTCATTAAAATAAACAATATTAATAAAATAAAAACACATACATTTATTTCGTACACTGGCTCTGAGGGTCAGAAATTCAGGGGTAGCTTAGTTGGGTGGTCCTGGCTTGGGATCTCTCATGAGACAGCCATTAACATGTTGGTTGGGGCTGCAGTTATCTGAAGGCTTGACTGGGGTCATAGTAGCTGCTCCCAAGATGGCTCACACACGTGGCTCTTGGTCTGAGGTCTCAGTTCCTCACTATGTGAACCTCTCTTCATCCATAGCAGCTGATCTCTCTCAGAGCAAATGACTGAGCAGACAGTAACAAAGTTGGAAGCCATAATATCTTTTATGGAGAGTGTTCATCTTATGTGTCACCAGGATTTAGTTTGCCCTTTATCTCAGACTGTGTATTAGACACACACACACCACACACCACACCACACCACACACACACACACACACACACACACACACACACACACACACACACACCATAGAACAAGATAAAGCCAAAAGGAGAAAATGATTAACATAAACCTTTCTTCTTCAAAGGAGTCTAATTTAGGATAAGACCTCTCCTTGCACAAAGAACGGAGTTTATGTTGTCTTCTAGAAATAAAAATCAGTCACATCAAACTCTTTACATTAAAATTCTATAAACTCTTTAAATGGCTTGTTGTTGAAAAGACAAAGGAAATCCTAGTTTCACAACCCCACTCAGGTAAATGGGATTTGAACTCTAATGAGAGCTGGGAGGCTAAGGCAGCCTCCACCAACTATCCACCTTCCTTCAGCAAGTCCCTGATGGTGGTAGGGCCACCTTGACCTTGTGCAACGGGATCCAGGGCTCTCTGGGCAAAGACCAGTTTCCCTGGGCCTTGGGACCTACCAGTGATGCAGGTGGGGTTCGGGAACCCTGTGGAATGTGAGGCAGCAGACTGCATTTGGGGAGCTTTCATCTGCTGCTTCCTTCTTTCTTTCTTTCTTTTTTTTGAGATGAAGTTTCGCTCTTGTCGCCTAGGCTGGAGTGCAGTGGCGCGATCTTGGCTCACTGCAACCTCCACCTCCCAGGTTCAAGCGATTCTCCTGCCTCAGCCTCCCGAGTAGCTGGAATTACAGGCTCCCACCAACACACCTGGCTAATTGTTGTATTTTTAGTAGAGACAGGGTTTCTCCGTGTTGGCCAGGCTGGTCTCGAACTCCTGACGTCAGGTGATCCACCTGCCTCGGCCTCCCAAAATGCTGGGATTATAGGCATGAGCCACCGCACCGGGCCTATCTGCTGCTTATTTCTACAGGGCAGAATGCCTTCTTCCATCTCAGGACAACAAAACAGAACAATAAACAGATCACTGAATGTGTATTCAAGGCTTGTTGTCACAGCAGTAGATTAAGGAGAATAGGAAAAAACAAACAACGTTGTTTGTCTTTCTCTTTGGATAAAATGACAATGAAAAAATAAATGATGGATTTCTGAAAGTAATTATACTTACGATGATACCACAGGCAGCCCTTGTAATTGCTTTGCCACATTCTATTTCTTGCTGCTATTTGGGGACCACTCGGTTTGTTAGGATAAAATCATAATTGTATTTTCAATTTGCTGCTCTATCTATTCCACTGTCAGGATTTGATACACTAGAGTGCTTTTATCAAATGGAAGTTGGGCCAGAGAGAATTCATCACAAGGATGGCTCTTTCATACTCACGCATGTTTCCATCAATGGAGTCCAGGTGCACACACACGGATTCATTTGTACCCACCCCAACAACATGCTCAAGACAAGGCTGATGGAAAATGTTGCCAGTTTCAGTTTCCAGCAACATGCTCAAGACAAGGCTGATGGAGAATGTTGCCAATTTCAGTTTCCATAGGGAGAAATGGAGCCATTAAGCCTTTGGAACATGGTGCTTTTATGTCTGAACATGAAGCTCAAGATTTTGGCATCTGCAGCTCCTGGTTCTAACTTTCCTTTGCAAGCCCAGGGAACTAACTGCCCTTTGTCATCAGAAGAGATCATTTCACTCCTTTATTTCCTGAGGCCTTTTCAAGGTGAGTAGCCCTGGACACAGACCTCTCATGGAGAAGAGCTTGCTTACAAATGAAGTTACCTGGGTCTTTGTAGATACTGAGCACGCCCTTGAAGTAATGAGGTAAAAATCTTTCCAGTAACAGCAGCACATCTTCCAACTCTTCAAGAATCCCCACGAGCAGGAAGTTTTCATTCACGTTCAGCTTTGCTCTCTCAAGGGCCCATTCACCAGGCTCCCTTTATGGATATAAAAATTTATTTAAAATCAGACATTCATATTTGAAATGCAGCAAGATGCTGAGAGTTTACCCCCTCTACCTCCCACCTTCACTTGCATAAGTCCAAATCCTGTTTCCCTCAAGGACCAGCCCAGATGTAGCCCCATCCAGGGCCTTCCCAGTCCTTCCAACTGGTGTCCTGCCCTGCTCACCATTCCTTCTCTGTCACTTTCATCCATGCTTCATGCCAAGCCCAGGGCCTTGAATTCAGAGGCCCTGCCTAAGTATTGTGGACGAATGAATGCAGGCACAAGCAGTTAGGTTCTAACAAATACTAATCAAGGGGTGAGTAGAATGGTTTTTTAATAGGAGGACCAAACTGAACCAATTAAATGAATTTAGGAGTTTTGAAATATGAAACTTACCGACATAGTATTTATGTAGAACTCAAAAGAGCTGTCAGGTCATGCCTATTAATCATCTTATTCTTTGGAAGAGTTAAAGAGGAATCTTTGGATTTTTGTTTTGTTTTATTTTGTTTGTCTAGATTGCAGAAGGAAAACAGCCTAATTTGTAAAAATCAGAGAGCTGATTTGTAGGCCAGCTCTCTGAACTGACACTAAGGCGAGTGAGAAAAGCCCGGGAGTGGGGCTCCAGGCCTGGCTGTCATTTATCATTTGGGGGAATTGGGCAAGCCAGGGTTCTCTTTTGAAAAATGGTAAAAATCACCCTTACCTAGTTCAAAGCATTGTTGTAAAGACTGTGCAAGGTGATATGATGAAAGAGTTATAAAAATCATTGTGTGTGTATCAAGGTGTGGTGTCATGAGTCACCTCTCCAAGATTAGAAAATTCAAAAATCTGAAAAATACTACACGATTTAAAAAATACTTTAGGGAGTTCAAATCATGTTTCCTGTTATAAAGATATTCACTGTGATCAGCAAGTGAGTCATCCAGCCCCAAATCTTCCCAATACCTGAAGCACTAAATGTTAACCAGGAGGTATTTGTTATTGAGGCAAGGGTCGGGGGCAGGGGAGAGGCCACCTGGACTCAGGGGGCTTATGGTGAAGTCAAAAACCAACACTCCTAGTTCTATAATTTGGACTATAAGCAAACTCTTTTGTTATGGCAAATGAAACAAGACAGGAATAACAACAATACGCCTAAAAACGAAGCAGAAATCATAGCATAAGCAAAAAGGTACAATGAATGCGTTGCCGGTGTAGAAGTAGCAGTTCTCCTTTGGCCTTTTCAGAAACACAAGGACCCTCTAGTTAATGTTTCCTTTGGGGAATAATGTCACTTCTGATAGCAGGGGTTGATTTCCTACCAAGCAAATATAATGCTTCATTGTTGCTGCCATTTCTTCTCCAGGCTATGACATTTGTCTAGCACAGTAGATTTCAACTATAGCTACGCCAGAAGCATCTGGGGAGGCTGCTACACACGAGACTATGATTGGGTGGGGGTTCTTAACAAGTATACAGGGGTGCTGATGCAGGACCTGGGCAGATCACACCCTGGGGGTCCTGACTATCTGAGTAAGTCACTCTCTAAAGAAGGTTGTGCCTTCAAGTAAGGTTGACAGGTGATCATTATAAAACACTTTCTTCTCTGCCTACTAAGTATATCCACTATGGGATTGAGGTGTGGGCTTCCAGTGTCTCAGACCCAGTGACACATGCTACGAGGGCAGGTTGTTGGTTAAGTCAGTCACTGTACAGGAGCAGGCTGGGTGTTCGCTCCTGGTCTTCACGATCACATTTTATGTGACATTTTGTCATTTTATCCAAAGAGAAAGACAAACAACATGGGATGAGTAGTGACAAGTATGTTTTAGGTATAAACAAGGGTTTGGTTCCAGTTACAAAGCTTTATATGGTGGTCTCCTGAGGCCTCTACAGACCCTGATTTTTAAATTTCATTATTTATAGGACATTTGGAGTCTCAAATATTATCTTGAAAGATTAATAGTAAACAGGAACTGAATTCCAGAAGGTTGAGAGACTAGGGATACAAAAGATTCCCACCGAGTACCAGGCTGGTGGGGTTCTTGCCCTTGTTGTGCGTACGTGCATGCCATGACCCTGCTTTAGCCCTTACCTGCATCTGGGATGCTGTCCACAAAAGTACGGAATGATGTAAAATAACCTGGGGTTGGAGCACTCGGGATAGTTTTCAAGAATACACTCATTGATATCCTAGAAGAGAAAATACAGCAGTCAGATGTCTTGTAGTCTCTGCAAGGCTCTATCAAATGCCACACAGTTTAAGTAAAATTCATGATTGAATTACACAGGCACGCCTTGAGAAGATGAAGAGAATTCACAGATTTCATGAGAAAACTTATTTTTTGCCTCCCAGCATCCTGCTCCACTGGCCAGGCACACACAGGGCTGGGCCATTTTAGAGAGTGCATGCTCTGTTGAGTAAACTGCATCTCTGCACTTCCTGGTGGCTCCGAGTCTTAAGTTTGGTCACAGGCCTTGGGAGAACAGTGGTACCCACTGTGCTTCGTGGTGGCGCCACCAGTTGCCAGCCAATTAGTAGGTATACAGTTGGCAATTAATAAATGTTTGTTGCATGAATTTAGGGCTTCTCTGTGTATCCATGCATCCAACAACTAAGTACCTACAATAGTCTCATAAGAGTTTGCAAATTTTAGAGGAGCTGTAAAATCACTTCTAACACTATATTAGCTTAAAAAGTAGCAGGATGTTTATATACAGACACCCTCTCACTTTCAAAGGCAACAGTTGTGACGTCCAGGTTTTCCATTTCTCTTATATGAGGTTGGACATGGTGTTTCTGAGGGCGTTACCAGAGCTTGAAATGGCTTGGTGGGGGTAAGCAGAAGGGCTCAAAACCAACTTTTATCAAGGTAGATCATATTAGAGATTCTAAATAAGACATGCCTCATTCTCAGGTATTTCTAAGGAGAAAAGATAACTCAATCTACAAATAAACCAAACAGCTGTAGGATGTTTTTCCAGAGACTATACTGGCAAGGCAGATTAAGACTGGACACAACTCCCAAATATGGTTGATGAAATTATGAGTCGGTAGAAGCTACTGTATCTGATATACATGTGTGGGTGTAGGTGTTTAGGTGTGGGTGTTTAGCTAGTAACAATTTTTTTAGTTCAAATTGGGAATGAGAGAAATATAATTTATGCTTTTTCTTAAAAACAATAATCCCCTCATACTTCTTCAGTTTATATGCCAATTAAGTAAATTACACAATTACAATAACAAATTCAACGGAAATAAACAGAATCTGCAAAAAACACAATTGAGAGTACTCAAGCACTTGAGTTTACCATGAGAGGCGGAGGTGCAGTTTCCAGGGAGGAACATATGAGAAGTGAATAGGGGGGTGCATATGTCTGTCCAGCCATGTGGTGAGGGTGATTAAGAGCATCTCATTGTGTATGAAAACCCATTAAAATGCAAGACACTAGACCTGAAATACCTTTCTAAGAAGAGTTTGACACTGACAGATGTGTGTGTGTGTGTGTGTGTGTGTGTGTGTGTGTGTGTATATATGGATATTCATTGCTGCAATGAGTTTATTTATTACAACAAAATATGGCAGAATTTACATGTTCACGAACGGGGGATTGGTTTTAAGAGAAATTATGGTACATTCACACACTGAAATACTGGATACCTGGAAAAAATGAGAAGGATCTGTGTGTGCTATCCTGAAAAGTCTTGGATAAATTTTCAAGTGAATGAAAGTATAGACTACAGGACAATATAAACATGTAGGACAATATAAAAATCAACATGTTTACATAAACACAAAAGGATCTGGAAGGAGACACAGCACACGATTGAAAGCAGTTTTTTCTGGTGGTTGGCATAAAGGAAGATGAGAATATACTGAATTTTTCCTTATTCCTTTTTTGAAGTGTTAGCTTTTATTACAATGTACGCATCTTACTTTTTTTGTTTTTTTTTTTGAGACAGAGTCTTGCTGTCCCCCAGGCTGGACTGCAGTGGCGTGATCTCGGCTCACTGGAAGCTCCACCTCCCGGGTTCACGCCATTCTCCTGCCTCAGCCTCCCGAGTAGCTGGGACTACAGGTGCCCGCCACCACACCCGGCTAATTTTTTGTATTTTTAGTAGAGATGGGGTTTCACCGTGTTAGCCACGATAGTCTCCATCTCCTGACCTCATGATCCGCCCGCCTCGGCCTCCCAAAGAGCTGGGATTACAGGCGTGAGCCACTGTGCCCGGCTGCATCTTACATTTATTGTGAGAAAACTGTACAGAGATTTACACACTGTGAAACAAACCAAAGCTTGTGCGGGCGGGTGCCTGTGCTTTGCCTTGAGGATGCTCTGAGCCCCCTGCCCTGCTCACATTTGAGGGTGTCCTCTGGTAGTTGGCCTCCCCTTGGAACCTGAGCCTTTAGTCCGAGGGACCCAATAACCCTGGTGGCCTCCCTCTGCAGCAGTGGCAACAGGGAGGGGGCCAGGAGCTGGGTGAGAAGCAGAGCCTAGGGTGATTCTGGCCAGGACAGTGTTCATCTGCTGAGGTCGAGATTTCACAAAGAAGGACGGAGTAAAGTGATGGGGAACATCCAAAGAACTGTCACATACGCAGTCAGCCCCCCAGAGTCCTGCATTAACAGGAGGAGCAGGGCATCAGAGACCGCCAGAGCCTCCTACAGAGGCTCTCATGGCACCTGCTGCTTCTCCAGAGCTGCCCTTGAGCAAGTACTTGTGTGCTTATTTGTTTAGGTTGTAGGTCCCTCAGAGCACAGACTGTTCACTGCATCTCCAGTGCTCAGCACCCTGCCTGGACTAAAGCAGGAGTGCAATAGATACTGAATGAGTGAGTGAATAAATGGCAGAAGGAGAGAGACAAGGCACACTGCTCCAGAGCAAGAAAGGAAGCAGACACCTCTTCCATTTGCTGACCCTGCCAGGGTTTTGTCCTCAGCAACCCCGGGCTCATAGGAGTAGACAGAGGGCATCAGCTGGCTGGTGAGGGGAGGGCGGAGGAGGCACTGGGGCCTAAGAAGGCCACTTCCCTATTGGAATCCACAAATAACCTCACGAGGTCAATTTATAGGAAGACATAAATTCCTAGTTTTAAAAGTGCAGTTAACAATTCTTTTCTTAGACCAAGACGCATCCTGGGGGATTTCAAAGAGTTCCATTTGAGCCCATTAGGTTGATGAACGGCATTCATCACAACCCATCTATGGTGATGCTATAGGAGGATATAAATAAAGATGACTGGACCGGAAGATCCAGAGGAAGCAGAAATGAGCTGAGAAGCCCCAGGCATGGAGCTGCCAACTGCTTGGCCACAACCACAATAAATGGGGATGCTGCTGCCTGGCAGCCTGAGGACCAGGGGCCTGCAGGAAACTGCTCCTGGCACCTCCTACCCAGTCCACTCTTAGCAGAACCGAGACCTTCAGTGAGCAACATTTCAGCCTCCTGGGAAACTAAATGAGACCAATGAGCTGCACTTACAGTGGCCTGTTCTGACGGATGCCTTTCAGTCTCCTAGGACCATTTGGTTGCCCTGGTGTTCATGATTTATCTTTGGTCTAAGATTTATTATCCTGCATTGTTTTACAATCACCTTTTAATACTAAAGTTCTCTCAGCACATATATTTTCTAAATGATTACGCAACTTCATTTTTTCCTTCCATGTAGTGCTTCTAGGGTAAGATTGCTTTTTTAAAAAAGAAAAAAAAACATTTAATATGGATTTCAAACTTTTGTTTAAGATTGTCACTGCATTGATGACTTTAGCCAAGCCAGCCTGCTTGCCAGCACCTGATCTACGACTTGCTCCTCTGGTTCCTGAGTCTTGGCACACACCATGGGCACCCCTGCAGTGCCCTTCCCTGCCAAGTCTAGCCCTTTTTATCATTGGGTCTTAACATAAGACCCCACGCTGCTCAAGATTTTGCATTATTAGGGAAATGAGATCATCTCTCTGAGTAAGCATTCCAGATAACTATGAGAATCCTTTTCATTGCCAACACTGTACAAAAATTAATCCATTTGTGTTGCAATGTATTCTAAACTGTACTATTTTAAAAACCATATGCTTTCCTCCCTCTAGATTTTCTTTGTGGGCTCGTCTTTTTCCGTTCTGATCTTACAGCAAAATCGTCTTTTATCCACTTGCTCCTGTAATGTTTCCACCAGATGGATGGTGATGGGTGACTCTCATCTTTTGAGTCTAAAGGGCCGGCTGGTCTCAGAGGAAACTCCAGTCACTGCCTCCAGTTCCAGAGAGTCCTTCCTGAGGCCTCTCTCACCCTTACTCCCACACCCCCTCTTCACCCCCACAGGATGATGACAGCAGCTTCTCAGCCAGCAGCTCTTCCTTCCACCTCTCCTCCCTGTGTGCAGCCTCCAGAGGTGCCCCAGTCTGCACTTCCTTGCTCTCCTTGGAGGACTCCTATTGACAGTGCAACAGGGATAACAATGGGGCACCTGATACAAACTGTGATTTCCCTGGCCAGACTTCCAGGGCATTTGATATGCAGGGCCAGGAATCTGCATTTGAAAGAAACTCTGGTGACTCTGAGAGGATGGTCACTCTTCATGAGCTGTCTGTGTATTAGGTAATTCATCTCATGCCTTTGCTCTTCCTCTCCCTTGCCACCTCCCTCCTCACCTAGTCTCAATAGCAGGCCCAGGTTTCTGGCGGGGAGAGTTAACATACTCCAGTCCACCTGGGCTAGCGCTCACTTGGGTCCAGGAAAAGGAGACAGATAGGACCATGGGCTTCCTTCCATGCTGGCCATTCACTGCCAGCCACATCTGGCAGATGGGGTCCCTGGGACAGGGCTCAGGTGCCACATCGCATACTCTCTTCCCTGTTGGCTGGAACCCAAATGTCTCCAGGAGTGGGGTCTGTCTGGAACCTCATCCATCAGCTGGGACCTGGCACTCTAACCTAGTTCTAGTTCTTAGGCTAGATCTGCTCCCAACATTGGGAGTGGCCAGAATTCTTTTAGAAGTGGACAGACTTCCTCATGGTGCCCATGAAAGGACTTCCAAGCTGGCCTGAGTGCTCCTGGCATCCTGAAATAACCTTCCCACCCACCTTGCAGGGGCTCCTCTGTGTATCGGCACTTGCTTCACCCACATGAGGGCTTGCTCTAGAGATGAGACACTGCGCTGGAGGCCTGGACACCTCCTACTCCCTCCCTGTCAGCGAATTTTCACAGCCCTGCCTCCTTCTCCTCACTCTGCACTGCCAGGCCCACAGGCCTCTCGTCTGCTTCTGCCTGAGACATAAAACTGCTCTTTTATTTCTCTGTACATCAAGAACTAGACAACTGCTTCCTCTCTTGGATTTCAGTTTTAATTTTAGAAAGGGTGGAAGGAAGAAATTCCCAGGTGGAGTTAATTTTATCACAAAAGGTGAATTTAGAGACGATTCATATTTTACTTATCCTTTTATAAGACAGCACCTTGTCTGAAAGCCACTGAACTGAAAAAAGACTTATTGGTGTTTTTACACAGCTCCATGCTTGAAACATGGATCAGTTTTGTCCATATGGCCCATGGCTTTCAAAGACAGGATTTCTGGCTGCTTTCAATAGCAGAATCCTTAAGAGGCCATATGCAAAGTTCCCTGAATGAGGAAAAGGAGATTTGGGTGCTGGTCTCAGCTCCAAGATTAATTAGCTCCAAGATTAATTAGCTGGGTGTCCTCAGCTAAATCGTGCCATCTCTGAGCCTCAGTTTCTCTCAGCTACATAATCTCAGTCGATGAAACTGCAGATGGACGTACCTGGTACCAACTTTTTTTTTCTCTTTTTTTTTTGAGACAGAGTTTCGCTCTTGTTGCCCAGGCTGGAGTGCAATGACGCAATTTTGGCTCACTGCAGCCTCTGCCTCCTGGGTTCAAATGATTTTTCTGCCTCAGCCTCCCGAGTAGTTGGGATTACAGGCAGCCACCACCATGCCCGGCTAATTTTTTGTATTTTTAGTAGCGGCAAACTCGAACTCCTGACCTCAGGTGATCCACCTTCCTTGACCTCCCAAAGTGCTGGGATTACAGGCGTGAGCCACTGCGCCTGACAATAACCAACTTTTAAGAATAGTTTTATAATCTCAAGATCTAGAAAAGGCTGTAATTTCTTAGATACCAAAACTTACGAGTTAATACAAGGCTTTTACTCTGCATTTATCATTTAAACTTTTTCACCTTTCATGAACGGCAGAGAGAGAAAACCACCAAGGTTGGTATCAGACAAACCTCAGTTCAAATCTTGGCTGTACCTCTTGTGAGTTGTGGAGTCTTTGGCAAATGTTCACTTCTCAAAAGCTCAACTTCTTCATCTGGTAAAATGAGGACAATAATACTTGCCTCATAGACCCTTTGCTAAGATTAGAAATCATTTATACCAGTTACTTTACCTGCCACTCACCTGTTAAGATTATGCCATCTTTATTATACCTTCAGCATTTCATTCCTTTTTACTTAATCTTATATTCAAAAACACCATTCCTGGTGATTCTGATAGTTTTTTTTTTTTTTTTTTTAAATAGTGACTCTGGCTAACTCACAGAGAAAACAGAGAGGAAGAAAAATACAGAAACATGTAATGTGCTATGTCAGTCAAAACAACAATACAATTTAATGGAAACACAAACGGTATTATGCAAAATATACCACTGTGGAACTTTGGACTTCTTATAGCTCATCTTACTCTGCACATGACGCAATGTAACACGATGATATAAAAAGCTCTTTTTCAATGTGGACTTAAAATTGATTTTTGGAGCCAGTCTTCACACGCTAAAAATATGGATATTATGGAAAAGGACGGTTTCTTACGCTGGCTGTGTTAGAAGTGGGAGAGAGAAAAATGACTGTCATTCACCATTGAGGCAGTACCCAAATCCTTGACCCATAAGTGGACCACGGTAATCAGAGTACAAGTTTAATGGGTTAAATGGAATGGATGTGGTCTAAGTTAACTTTTATTGCCTCATACACTCTTCCTTGTAAAAGGCTTTTTTCCAACCTTGTAAAAAAATCTGAGCCAGAACCAGAGGAGTCAAACAAGACTTTTTAGTGAGGCTTAATGGATTGGAAAGTGGCAGATGGCCAGATACCATCATTCTCCCATTCCATGCTCATGTCTAGCATGAATCACTGATGACACACTCTAGTTGAGATGGGAAGTGTCCTTCGGAATTCTCAATACAGCCATCCAGGAAGCATCAGCATCAGGCAGAGAAGCACGTTGCTCTCCCTGTTGTAAGCACAGCTTGCGATGTTGGATATTTAATATCTGTGGCATCTACCGTAGTGGCTTTCTGGTCCTTTACACTACTTCTGAGTTTATGGCTATGTGTCTGATGGCAGGATGGCAGATAAAGAATTTCTGGATAAGTGAGACATAATGCCAACTTTACTTTAATTATTTCGTTTCTTTTTCATATGAGTTAAGTAAATCCTTAATAAACAAACTGGCTTTAAAATTATTGGGAAAATAAAAGTGGAAATGCCTTTTTGTTTGTTTGTTTTTTGAGATGAAGTCTCGCTCTGTCGCCCAGGCTGGAGTGCAGTGGCACGATCTCGGCTCGCTGTAACCTCTGCCTCCCAGGTTCAAGCAATTCTCCTGCCTCAGCCTCCTGAGTAGCTGGAACTACAGGCACATGCCACCCACACCCGGCTAGTTTTTGTATTTTTAGTAGAGACAGCGTTTTGCCATGTTAGCCAGGCTGGTCTCGAACTCCTGACCTCAGGGGATCCACCCTCCTTGGCCTCCCCCAAAAATAGAAATGTCTTTGGAATTGTCAGCATACATGCTTTTTTGGGGGTTATCTATCACCTCAAACATTTATTCTTTGTATTACAAACAATCCAATTATATACTTTTAATTATTTTAAAATGGACAATTAAATTATTTTTGACCAGAGTCACACTGTTGTGCTAGCAAATACTAGGTCTTATTAATTCTGTCCAACTATGTTTTTGTACCCCTTAATCCTCCCCACTTCTCCCCGCCACTGCCATTACCCTTTCCAGTCTCTGGCAACCAATCTTCTACTCTATCTCCATGAGTTCAATTATCTTAATTTTTAGCTCCCACAAATAAATGAGAACTTGCAAAATTTGTCTTTCTGTACCTGACTTATTTCATTTAACATAATGACCTCCAGTTCCATTCAACATGACCTCCACGTCATTGCAAATGACAGGATCTCATTCATTTTTATGGCGGCATATCTACATTTATTTTAGCGAATATCCTTAACTCATTGGGAGCGCTAGTCCAGTGGAGCTCTTAAATTCTGAAACTGAAACACTTACGGACACAAGAGACCAAACATTTTTTGAAGTCATTCATTTGGATTCCAAGAGTGTGAGTTTCCAGTTTCTATTGCATTGAACTAAAGACAAATAAATAGTCACAGTTTTTTTTTTTTTTTTTTTTTTTTGGTTGAGACGGAGTCTTGCTCTGTCTCCCAGGCTGCAGTGCAGAGGCGCGATCTCGGCTCACTGCAACCTCTGCCTCCCAGATTAAGCGATTCTCCTGCCTCAGCCTCCTGAGTAGTTGGGATTACAGGCACGTGTCACCACACCCGGCTAATTTTTGTATTTTTAGTAGAGATAGGTTTTCACCATGTTGGTCAGGCTGGTCTTGAACTCCTGACCTCGTGATCTGCCCGCCTCAGCCTCCCAAAGTGCTGAGACTACAGGCATGAGCCACTGGACCCGGCCGAAATAGTCACAGTTTTATGCTGAAATGTTCCATTATAAGATGAAGACCAATCTAGTATCCAGCTCAGTTTTCATTAGATTTTTGGTAGGCTCTTTTCAATGAACTACAGCAAAGTTTACTAAGCATTTGAGATGCCTGTGGGCAGGACCCTGTGGAAGCTGTAGTGCCTCTCCCCCAGAAATATCCCTGCACTTCTTCTGGTTAACACAGTGTCACTCAAACAAGGAACCGCGGTCTTTGAGGTTCAAGGGGTTTTGATGCTTTTCAGAGATGTGGAGCCCACAACTACAATGGTCTCACAGAGAGTCTGGAAAACACGTGGAGCCTAACCAAATAAAAATAACACATCCTGATGGAGTCAAACTGGCTAACAGACAAACTGGTTGCTTCTATTTCTATAACAAAATATTTATCATAGTTACATTCCAATTCAGTTATAGAGATTAGGGAACTTGTAGTACATGTCATTGTAAATAACTGCAGTCATTTAAAATGTTTACAAAGAATATGTAACTATAGGAAAAATGCTTATCTGAGAAAGTCGGGATAAAATTATATATATATAATATGACTACAACCCTAGTTTTTTTTTTAAAAAAACTTATATTTTAAAGATAGATGGGAAGAAAATAAATTTAAAAAAATTTAAATGATTGGATCTAAGATGGTAGAATAAAGGATTTTCCCCTTTTTCTATTTTGGTCTTAAAATCTTATTTGATGTATATGTGCTATTGAAAAAAATTCAAAAATGTTTGTCAAAGTAATATGTACATGTCAAAAAAAAAAAAGACAAAAGGTATAATGAAAGCAACTGTCTCTTGTTCTATGCCTCTCTGCCTCTCAGTTGTGTCCCTCAGAGGTTAAGAATCCCATTTAGCTGGATTCTATGTCTGACTTGCTTGTTTTACTCCCTCGTTTTGCTGAAGTAATTCCTCAAGTAACTTTTTGCTTTGCTGTTTTCTAGCTTACAAGGAATTTGTTGCTAATAATGTTCTCAATAACTTGCAGGTGATGTGTGTCTGTCTATGTGTGTGTGTGTGTGTGTGTGTTTTAACATCAGAGAAGATTGTGTGCTCTTTAACATTTCTCTCTCTAACCCTGATTTTCTGAAATCTCACATGGTAGACCTAGCATTGTGCTGAACACTTAGCAGGCCCTTTTAATCTGGGGACTCATGTCTTTCAGGCTTAAGATATTGGTTTCTGTGTGTGTGTGTATGTGTTTAAATAATCTTCTCTCCTTCATTTTCTGCATTCTTTAATTCTAGTTTTCCAATTGGCTTTTGAAACTTGAATGATCTTTTATAATCGTTACTCTTTCATCTTTTCTTACTCTGTCTTTTTGCTCTTCTAAGAGATTTTTTGATCTTCCATGTCCTTCCACTGAATTTTTGATCATGACAATCATATTTTAATGTCTAAGCGTTCTTTCTTGATGCATGCTGATTTTCTTCTTACAGCATCCTGCTCTATGTATGGATGCAACATTTTCTCCAATCTCTCTGAGGAAACTAAGTAAAGCTCCCTCTTAAAGCTTTATTCTTTTTCCTGAAATTTGTCTCCCTTAGGATTATTGTTTCCATTTGCTTATTTTAGCCCCTGTCTTTTAAGGTGCAGTCTTTCTTCAAATAGCTATGGATGTTTTCTTGTCCATTCATATTTAATGATGAGTCAGGAAAAACTGATGGAGAGCTGTGCTGACATTGGTAGCGTTTATAACCAGTGGGCTGCACCATCCTGCTGGTGATTATTTAATGGCCAGGTTGGGAGGTCTTTTCTCAGGAAACATTCAAATACTTTGGGAATGAATCAATTTTTCACCCAATAGACGGCTGCTGGGTGCTGGGCTTTCCCAGGTAGGGATGAAATAAAGGGCTTCTCTTCCATATAGACATCTCCAGTTCATCCTTCTGCTGTCAGCCTCTTGCTTTATCCATCGTCCCTGGCATTTCCAAATAAACCTGGAGTCTTATTCCGCTGTATTTTCTCCTCCAAATGCACTCTAGACTGTGGCTTCCTGGCCCAACTTTATCAGTTACCAACATTGTATGCCTTCTCCCAGGTACAAGGGTTTCAACCTTGTTTTTCTGCTCACTGTTGCGTGTCTCACCCTTTAACATGTCCTTATTATCATCTTAAGGGTTAGGAGAGAATTAAGTGCTGCCCACTTGCCTTCTTATGCTGAAAATTGTCCAACAAGGGCGAGTTCCACCCACCTCAAGCACATACACCATGAATCATGTACAGATGGAGAAACGGAAATAAAATCAATGCAAAGGAAAACTTAATGGCAAACATCTAAGACCTTAGAAATACTGATTGCAAATCCCTGTAACTTCAAAATGGAATCTTATCTTTTGACTCAAACATTAATGCAACATTTTCACATGTTAAAATGTCTACAAATATTAAAAATGCCTCATTTTTTGCAAAATAAATTCCTGCCTCTGTGGGAGATTTCAGTTTTTCTCCCTCAAGGTTATAGCAAATTGGCAGGAAAATCTCTCACTAAATAAGTTAGCTCACGGACTGCACAGCAAGGCACCATAACCAGCAGCAACAGCTGGTGACTTACCAGCTGTTAAGTAAGGTAATTTCCTTACCCTAACCGTACTGCAGCAACAGTTTATCTCTTAAAGAAGCCAGGAGGCAAGTTTAAATAGAAATTTGTGAGTATGAGCAACATGGGAAGAAACAGACTAAACAAATAGATCTGGGCTCTCACTGCACCTTAGAAAGAAAAATGAAATACAAAAATGTAAGACAGCAAGAGGAAGCAACTGGCCTCTTGGTTTTTCAGGCTCCTTTGCTCCTTAGGAGTAGGGACAGATTGGCATCTCTTTCTTACAGCCAAAAAAAAACCCCCTGTCTTAAATGTTTGCCTGGAGGTCGGGCGCGGTGGCTCACGCCTGTAATCCCAGCATTTTGGGAGGCCGAGGCAGGTGGATCACCTGAGGTCAGGAGTTCAAGACTAGTCTGGCCAACATGGTGAAACCCCGTCTCTACTAAAAATACAAAAAAAAGGCCAGGCGCGGTGGCTCACGCCTGTAATCCCAGCACTTTGGGAGGCCGAGACGGGCGGATCATGAGGTCAGGAGATCGAGACCATGGTGAAACCCCGTCTCTACTAAAAAAAAAAAAAAAAAATACAAAAAATTAGCTGGGTGTGGTAGCGGGCGCCTGTAGTCCCAGCTACTCAGGAGGCTGAGGCAGGAGAATGGTGTGAACCCAGAAGGCAGAGCTTGCAGTGAGCCGAGATTGCACCACTGCACTCCAGCCTGGGCAAAAGAATGAGACTCCATCTCAAAAAAAAAAAAAAAAAAATTGGTCGGGTGTGGTGGTGTGCACCTGTAATCCCAGCTACTCAGGAGGCTGAGGCAGGAGAATCGCTTGAACCTGGGAGGTGGAGGTTACAGTGAGCCAAGACCACACCACTGCACTCCAGCCTGGGCAACAGAGTGAGACTCCATCTCAAAAAAAAAAAAAAAAAAAAAAGCTTGCCTGGAATGACGTCTTGATCACTTTTTGGAATGTTTAAAAAACAGTAGTTGAATGCATGAAGTTAGCCATGATTTTGTGATAGAAGTCCAGTTAAGAGAAGTCATTCATTCATTCTCTCTACTGGAACTTGAAGTTCCTAAAATCATTCAGAAAAACCTGTCAACTACAGACAGAAGATAATAAATGAGCATAACATACCAAGACAGAGACGATGTTGACTCTGTGGTTATGGAAAGTGGGAAAAATGCAAAATGGAAGATCAGTTCAATATTTATGGCATAGAAATAAAAACCACAATGATATACCATCTCACACCAGTCAGAATGGCGATTATTAAAAAGTCAAGAAACAACAGTTGCTGGCGAGGCTGTGGAGAAATAGGAACATTTTGCACTGTTGGTGGGAATGTAAATTAGTTCAACCATTGTGGAAGACAGTGTGGTGATTCCTCAAAGATCTACAACCAGAAATACCATTTGACCCAGCAATCCCATTACTGGGTATATACTCAAAGGAAGATAAATCATTTTACTATAAAGATATATGCATGCAAATGTTCACTGCAGCACTATTCATAATAGCAAGGACACAGAATCAGCCCAAATGCCCATTGGTGATAGACTGGATAAAGAAAATATGGTACATATATACCATGGAATACTATACAGCCATAAAAAGGAACAAGATCATGTCCTTTGCAGGGACATGGATAAAGCTGGAAGCCACTATCCTAACAGCAAACTAACAAATTAACACAGGAACAGAAAACCAAACACTACATGTTCTCACTTATAAGTGGGAGCTGAACAATGAGAACACATGGACATAGGGAGGGGAACACATACTGGGGCGTGTCAGTGGGGTTGGGGGAGGGAGAGCATCAAGATAAATAGCTAATGCATGTTGGGCTTAATACCTAGGTGATGGGTTGATGGGTGCAGCAAACCACCATGGCACATGTTTCCCTATGTAACAAAACTGCATGTCCTGCACAGGTATCCTGGAACTTAAAATAAAATTCATAAAATATGGTATAGGATGAGTGCAAGAAACGCCCACTGTGAGTGGACTGCAGGTGGTGGTCCTGTCCAATTGTTTTCAGTTAGTTACAAGGACCTCTTTGGCCACAGTGGGGACCCTCCTTGAGGCAACCCTCTTCAGCCACCCTCAGGTCTGCACTGCTCCCTCTTCAAATCTGCCGCTGTCCTGGGTGTGATTGTGTTAGTGTGAACCTTGTCATTACTGCCTTTCCCCAGTCTCTTGAGGGCCTTTCATCCCTCAGTCATCTGGGGCTCTCTCTGGCTTTCTTCTCTGATTCCCATCCATCAAACATGGCTCTCAGCTAGGTGTCTGGTGGAAATGAGTTCATAAATTAATGCACACAGAAGAATAAATAAATAAGTTATCAAGCTCAATGTGCTTCCAAGAAATACTTGCATTTTAGTGGAAATCAGTCCTTTAAGAAATGAGGTCTAATGGTGGTGGAGAGAGGGAGGGAGAGAAGAAGGAAGGGACTAACCTTTACTGAGTACCAATCATTTTATTCGGTAAAAGCTTGTGGAAGGAATGAAAAGTACACTGGAGACTTTACTAATTCTATCTCATTAAATGAGCAAAGTTCGGGCCCACTGTCAATTTGGTGAGAGGCAGAGAGACACTGCTGAGGTTGCATGCCCTTTTTCTTCTCAGAAGGCTCCCAGAGGTCACCTTGAACTTCCTGTCAGATCCCGAATTCTTCTCCAGCTTCTGGAGTCTTCTTTCCTCTACAGCCAGGGCCGCTCAACCCTCTCCAATTCTATGGCTGATCCTGGACCCAGAAGAGAGGGATGTAAGGAGTTCCCAGTAAAAGGAAACGTCAACATACACAGAGGGTCTGTTGGGGAGGTGCTGGATGGGCAGGGCTCCAAGACCTCCTGCCCTACCCAAGCCAGAAGAGCTCTGCTTCGCCTGGGTTTACATATTGGGTTCTCTGTAAGGCTTCATTTGATACAAAGGTTCTAGATCTGAGAATCATTGCTCTAGGCCAGCATGCTGAGACTCAAGACATCTGATCACCAGCCTGGGCAACAAAAAGTTGTCTCTACAAAAAAGTTAAAAAAAAAAAATCAGCTGGAGGTATAGTGGTTCATGCCTACTGTAGTCCCAGCTACTCAGGAGGTTGAAATGGGAGGATCACTTGACCCTGGAGGTCAAGGCTGCAGTGAGCTGTGATCGCACCACTGCATTCCGGCCTGGGCAACAGAGTGACACTCTGTCTCTCTCACACACACAAAAGGCACGTGATCAGCTAGCATGACCCTATTCCTGTGCCCTAGTTCTGCCCATTGTACTTCTTCCTTGTTTCTGAGATTCGGGCCCACCTGGTTCTCCATTTCTTAACTGAAGCCATGTTTTGCTGCCTGTATCTGAGCCTCTGTCTTACAAGCTTGCTCAGTACTCCTGGTTCATCTAGATTCTATAAGAGTGTGGTCTGATTTGCTTTCACTAGGTACTACCTCCAGTGGAATAGAGTCTTGCTTGTGAATATCAAGCCAGTCACCAGGTCCGGTTATTAGCGTGAACTTTTATGTTACCTACTCCTGGATTTGGGGCCCCTTCCTGGGGCACCATGGGCCCTTCATCATGTCATTGCTGCTTCAACTTGCCCACTACCACTCTCTGTTCTGTCTGCCTCAGTGTGGACATCCGGCTCTTACACTGCTCCCCACTTCTCTATATAAGCAGGTCCAGGAAGTCTGATCTCAATAACTGGGTCATGACTGCTGGCTCCCAAGATTAAAGAGCACCTTGTGGAAAAAACAAAAATGTGAGAAAACCTTTTTCTTCTTCCTCTCCCTTCTGCAGTCCAGCTGTTGACAATTCTATTCCTCTGCCCACTTTACCTTCAAAGAAAAGAGGGAGCTACCTCATCCAAGTTAACAAGGGGAAGAGTAGGTTTTTCGTGTGTACAATAGCATTAAATACTATGTTCTATTAAATACTATATTCAATATTATATTAAATACATTAAATACTATATTCAATAGCATTAAATACTATGATCTATTTTCTAAGTGCCAAAAGTATCTTTTAAAAAACATGGCATCATTTGCTAGAAAGAAATTTAAGTTGCTGTAATTCGGTCTATAATGTCATTATCAGGCATTTCCAGCAAAGCGTGTCAATTCCTTGATTATTTTGGTTGTCATTATCTATTGGGAATGAATAGAGGCCCTGCACGTCTATTAAATGCTGGGGACGCCAGCCTGGCCCTCAGGAAGGCACACAGGTGGGGTGCTGGGCTGGCTTCCCTAATTCCACTCTCTGAACCTTCTAAAAGCCACACCTGCAGATTCAATGCTCTTCCAGCCTCCGGGGCAGGAAGAGCTGCCAAATACGCAGAATTTTGCCAGGTTATGTGGTCATTTTATTAGGCGAATAAAAGTCTACAGATTTTAGTGCAAAACCACTGGGCCCAACCCAGTTTTGTACAAACATTTTCGAAGGTAAAAGTGGAATACATTATCAGTCACTAATTCTCACCATTATAGTGTTTTTGGCTAACAATCATTTTCCTTCTGTCTATGATGTCAGAAACCTTAGCACAAAGAATGTCTTTCAGCAGAGGTTAGCCCCATTGGGAATTATTTATAAAACTACTAGGTGCCTTAATGTTTTTTTTTTTTGTTTTGTTTTTTACCAAATTGGACATCAAAATGACGTTAAAATATTTTGGCAAAAATTTTGGGGCATAAATTTTACATAATCATAAATTATAAGGACTGAATCCAGTGGTTAGTTGAATACTGAGGAAAAAGGGGTGGGAGAGAGCTATTATTATCTTTAATGCCATTGATTAGAAATGAAATGCAAGGTAAACTTCATTTGGGATTCTAACTTTAAGTTTTCAACCATACTATTCTAATACAGTTTAAAGGCCTTGTATAAAGGCATAGTTCCATTGGCCATAGTTCTATCATGCCACGATATGGTCTACTGCAATTTTATTTCAGAGATTCTTAATTTAGGGTAGTTCAAAATGATTCACTCATTGTGTTTCAACAATTCAAACTGGAATCTCCAACCAATGAATGCCAAGATTCTTTAATTACATTATGAATTAAGGCATCTACTGTACATAAGGCATCACAGTAAGCACTCTGGCTTTAAGCGACCAATGAATAACTGGATTGATTTTCCTTTATTTGTAGTTTATAATATGTAACTATGCTAATACTTATATAGAATATCTTCTTGGTAGTTCTCATTATTTTTATGATTTTTTAAAATTAATGCCTTTGCCTTATATTAAAATGTGTCATACGGCCAGGCGCAGTGGCTCACGCCTGTAATCCCAGCACTTTGGGATGCTGAGGCAGGTGGATTACCTGAGGTCAGGAGTTCGAGACCAGCCTGACTAATATGGTGAAACCCCACCTCTAGTAAAAATACAAAAATTAGCTGGGCGTGGTGGTCTGTGCCTGTAGTCCCAGCTACTCGAGAGGCTGAGACAGGAGAATTGCTTGAACCCGGGAGGCGGAGGTTGCAGTGAGCTGAGATTGCGCCACTGCACTCCAGCCTGGGTGACAGAGTGAGACACCATCTCAAAAAATAAATAAATAAATACATAAAAAGTAAAAATAAAAATGTATCATGTTATTATTCCTACACTAAATTTATTTAGTTTTTAACTGGTAACTCTCTCCAGTCTCATTATTTTCAGCCTCTACTTTTAGTAAATGAACCTTTCTATTTTTAATAAATTAATTTAATCATTTACTTTTAGTGAGATTAAAATACTTAATTTCTGCACCTTACATTGCGTTTTTTAAAATTTGCTATTCTTTTTTTCCTGCATCTTTTTTCTTTTCATGTCTTCTGTTGGTTTAATAGAGTTTTTAATAATATCCCTTCCCTGTCCTCTACTGCTTTAGAATCTAAGGATTACATTTTACCCTTACATTTTTTTTTTAACATTGTAAGATTTTTTTTCAAACACATGGATGACTCTTACAATTTAAGAAAATAAAAATAACAAAGGAGCTTAAGATACTTTCATTACTGAGAGAGTCTGAGGAAGGGCAAAGAATTTTAAAAATTCATTTGTAAATAGATGATGAGAAAGATAAGTAAATGGAAAAGTCATTAAATTTTTTTTAACATTCAAACTTGATTAAATTTTTTCTAATAAAGCATGAAGTAATTTGGTTTTCTTATATTCCTCCAAATCGGAGATGAATTTTAGCAACTTTATCCATTAAACACCACTCACCTTTTTAAAGTTGCCTAATTGTAATCTTTTTTTAACATACAAACAACTTTTAACACTTAATATTCAACTCATTTTACTAACATTGTTTTACTCAACAGCTCTGTTCACTGTTGCTTTTTATGCCCTTGTACCTTAATTTCCCCCATAATTCATCTTTTAATAATGCTTTTAATGAACTCAGTAAGTAGGAAACTCTCTGTGTCTGAAAAAGGCCAGTGGAATGATTGTTTAGCTGGGTATAAAATTCCAGGTTCACAATTTTTTTATCTCAACACTTTGAAGATATTACTGTACTGTCATCTGATATCTATTGTTGCTGACAAGAAGTCTGCTATGAGCCTAACTATGATTCCTTCATTGGTCATCTGCTTTGCTTCCTTTTCCTTGATATCTTCAGTTTCACTCTAAAATACTTGTGTGAATATTTAAATTTGTTTAATCTGTTCAGTACTCCCAGTGTACTTTTAGTATGAAGGATCACATCTCCAGGCCAGGCGCGGTGGCTTATGCCTATAATCCCAGCACTTTGGGAGGCCAAGGTGGGCAGATCCGAGGTCAGGAGATCAGGACCATCCTGGCTAACATGGTAAAACCCTGACTCTACTAAAAATACAAAAAAATTAGCCAGGCGTGGTGGTAGGTGCCTGCAGTCCCAGCTACTCAGGAGGCTGACGCAGGAGAATGGCATGAACCTGGGAGGTAGAGCTTGCAGTGAGTCGAGATCATGCCACTGCACCCCAGCCTGGGTGACAGAGCAAGACTCTGTCTCAAAAAAAAAAAAAAAAAGAATCATCTCCAATTTTGGAATATTTTGTCCTTTAATTGCTTCAAATATTTCTTCCCTAACATTTTTCTATTCTCTTTTTTCTGGATCTCCTATCAGATGCCTGTTGAAACTTTACAATATTTTTTCCATGTCTCTTAACTGCTCTATCTGTCTATCTGTTTCTGAATTCCATTCTTGGTGAATTCCTCTTGACTATTTTCTAAATCAATTAATATTCTCTTTAACTTTATTTAGCTTAGAACTTATCTATTAAATTTTTACTTCAATAACCATATTTTTCATTTTACTTAATTATTTTAAAGATATCCTCATGTCCTTGTTTCATGTCTCTCTTACAATTTTCTGCTCTTTTTAAATGGAAGCTATTCATTCTTTTGTCTTTTCAAACATCCTAGGCACACTTATTTTAAAGACTTTGTCAGGTTGTTCCTTAAAGCCATCTGGAGTGTATTCATATTCCAGTACTAGATTTTGCTGCCTGCCTTTCTTGGTATTGGATTTTTTTTCCATGTTCCTTAGAATGTATGGTCTGTAGGCTCATTTTGGGTAGGAGATTCATAATCTGTCTCCGTCTTCTTCCTCTCTCTGCTGCCTCTCTCCTCTCCCTGTCTCTCTTTCTTCCTCCTTCTCACCCTCTGTCTTATTCTAGTGGTTTTGTGGCTTCTACCATCCGGACTCCCGGGTCCTGAGTCCAGAATCAGGTCTTAGTTTTACTTCCCATCTTATGAGAGCAATGAGAATATTACACATTTGCTTACAAAGGAGCAAATAGTTTGGTTCACTTCTTACTTGTGAGTTTGTGGTTTTGTTTTTCCACCTCTGTATATCTCTAGCCTCTTATAAGGGCATAGTTCCAGGCAGAAGATGAGCAGTTGCTACGTTTAACTTCCTTTACTTGGAAAGTGAGGGGAAGTGTGGCTTCTCACCCCATGCCTTGGTTTAAAGCACTGAGCCTGGTCTGGCCCTCTTGTTGGCCAGGACACTTCTAGTCTCCTTGACCTTGTCCTATTTCTGGCTGCCACTACTGGATTCTGGACCAGAGCCCAGCTGGCCTGTGGATTCATCATTGCTCACCACTCAGGAATTCCTCCATGCATGAGGATGTTCTTATTTTATAATAAAGCTGGTAAATCCTTTGGATTTCCTCTTTTTATATTCTATCAATCATTACAATATATTTGGGGTCAAGAGAGTGTGAACTCAGTATACCATCTTGATTGGGAGCCCTGTATGGGCTATTCATGCTTCTTTGCTACAGGAAGGTCTATCAGAGGAAATGCTGAGTGTAGAGGCATGGATAACCTGGGATGTAAGGAGTGAAACTTGCAAAGTTAGAGGAAAGAAGTTGAGTAAGATGTCAAGTCTGTGCCAAAGCAAGGTCACATGTTTAGAGAAACGTAATCATTTTTGCTCTATATGTCAGAGGGTAAAGGACAATGCACAGTTTAAGTCAGACATCAAACAGCATTATTCCTGAGGGTTCTTCTTACAGACCCTGTGAGACACTGTTACATCATAGCAGTGAGTTTGTCTTAATGGTGTTGCTTTGAGTCTATTATTAGTGTTGCATGTTGCCAAAAGTTCCAATATTTGAAGTATGCCATGAATATAAAAAGTTATAATCTTTGTTCTACATATTCTGTATCAGAATTATATTCTAACCTAGAAGATTTGCTTCTCTGTATTACGGTATCCACCCAGTGCCAGATAGGTGTTCTATTATAGTTTCTAAAAGTGGTCTTTGAAGATAATGAAATTTTTATTTGAATTATGCTATGCCTAGCAAATCACCATGGAAGTCTGGGTGTCTAATGAAAGATTTCAGATGATACTACTGTTTTTCAATAAACAACATCATAAAAATTTCACCAGTAAAGTCCAGAATACAAGTACCATTAAATTTTGAACAAAAAGTACTTAAGTGTTCATATAGATAAAGATATATCATTGTTGATACTTTTTCTTGCTAGATATCTGCATGACTGAAATGACATTATATGACCTATAAACTACTCCCTGCTGGAAAAGGTGCATTCCAGATGCGGGCTCCACTCAGAGGAATAATGACTTCGGGATTTTGCATCTTGGTTGTCTGTGATTCTCATCTCTACAGCCCAGAAGGAGCCACATGGCTGGATCTCTGCCACTGGCTGACTGCTGTGAGTGCTGCAAGTGCTGCCTTGGTTAACCAGGCATGCACCAGCCACCTGGGCTGCAGTGCTATGCTGCTTGCTGCATTCAGACCAGCACATACATGGCAGCAGCCTCGGCCTATAAGGGGCTGCGCTGATTATATTCTGAAGCATACAGTCAATGGGACTATCTATCCTTCTAATATTGACTCATCTTGAGATGCTGATGAAACTCTTAAAATAAGCAGGAGGTCGGGTTTATGGATGGGCCCGCATCCCTACCCGCTACTTAGCCACACAGAAAATGGAGAGATCACCATTGTGAGTTTTCTCTAGGAGGGGCAGTGTGATATTATATGAATGCACTGCCAGTGCATCCTATGGGGGCTACAATTTTGCTATTCTCAAGCTTAAAATAATCATGGAAATATATTTTAACTTTTTTGTGCTCTGCATGTAATACCAGAAGGAAAAGGTGTTTATAAAACGTAGGCCAGAGATCAGAAGGAATACGGCAGATTTTGGTGAAAAGTTGAATTATGAGGTGGAGACAAAAGAATCATTCACCTCAAATCTGTTCATTTCACCTGTTATAAGAAGCCCACAGCATAGTCCACGTCTCCACAGTTTAGTACTTCCTGGAGGCAGTACTGAACAGAAAACTCAAGCTCAAACATCTTCCCAGCCAAAATGAAGCTTTGTGACTGTAAGAATGGCAGGAATTCCTGAGAAACCAAGAATGTTCTTTAAGGGATTTATACCATAAAAGTTATTTATGGCCCCTTTGGGCCACACAAGTTTTGAAAAGCCACAGAAACTGTCTTAGCCTCAGAATTTTGATGATTTTGCCTTCTTAGCTGAAGAGGTTCAGAATTTCGTTTTCTTTCACATGCAATAGTCTAATAGTTTTGGCTTAAGAACGCAAAACAAACCACAAAAGTCACACTTTCAACCTCTGGTTATCCAGGGTATAAACAGCATGTTTGTGGATTATTTTTTAGGCCAGCCCACAGCTTCTCCTTTCTGTGCTCCATGATCCTGACTTAGAAGGTCATTAAGGACTCGTAATAAGTTCAATAAAGAGATGCTGAACCTAAATAAAATAATTATTTTAAATTAACAGGGAACTTCGGTTTCTCAAGATCCTAGTATCATGAGTGACTAAGAATTGTCTGTGAAATGGAGCTTCACTGGACTATTCTCTTTTGTGAGTATTTAAAATTTTCCATAATGTTATAAAAAGCAAACAAAAAAATCCCAGAAAAAATAAATGACTATTAGTATAGTGTGTTCCCCAGTGTCTGTTCTCATCTTCAGAGGATATGAACTGGGGTTTATGTTGGTTCACTAAATGTATATATCCTAAGATGTACCTGCATATAATAAAAATATTAGAGAACATTCTGTAAGGAAGCTCAATTTTTTCCTGCCTTCATTTTCCCTTTTTCTAATTCATTTTTTCATTCATCCATTCATTCACTCATTCATTTTCCATCTGTCTCACTCTAAAGCTTCTTGGACTGTGTTTTCAGTGGGTCAGGTTCTTTATGAATCCTCAGACCTTTATAATTTTCCATCCTAAGTTTGCTTAGAGATCTCATTTCTGACCCTTTCATTGGTCCTGCTTCCTGGATTCTTTCTCTTCTAAAATAAAACATGACTACATGGAATCCAAGAAAAAAAGCTACGAAATCAAGCCCCTTTATTATGCTGGTATTTGAGATTTCTCTCACAGCTTTCTTATAGAATGTTCCCTATTTTTATTATATGCAGGTACATCTTAGGATATATACATTTAGTGAACCAACATAAACCCCAGTTCATATCCTCTGAAGATGAGAACAGACACGGGGACTCCAAAAGCAGGGAGGGAGACAGCAAAGGCTGCAAGCCTTCCTACTGGGTACTATGTTCATTATCTGGTGCCAAGATCAACAGAAGCTCAAACACATGCAATACACCCTTGCAACAAACCTCCACATATACAACCTGAATCTAAAATAAAAATTCTAATTAAAAACATAAAAAATAAAGGCTGTGTTATAATAGCATTTTTTTCTCTTATTACTCTTTCCTTTCTCTTATTGATATTCCCTCCCCTTTTTAGGTTAACTACCCATGAATCAGACCAAGGCTGTATAAACACACAAAAAATTCAAGTCACTAGAATAACTTCTACACACATAAGTACTGAAATGAAGAACTACTAAAACAGAATTTCCCAGATCTATCTTTCCTCAAGTTGAGAACCAAAGCCAAAGAAAAGCAAATATACACTCAAGTTAAAATATGTTAATTACTCTGATGATGAAGAGATCAATTCCACAGGGTAAATGTAGAACTATATTTATCATTTAGACACACAAGAGAAAGAGTCTGTAGGAGGAAAAGCAGTCTTCCTGGTGAAAAACTGATTAAACAGGGCAGGTGTGGTGGCTTGTGCCTGTAATCCCAGCACTTTGGGAAGCCGGGGCAGGCAGATCACCTGAGGTCAGGAGTTCAAGACCAGCTTGGCCAACATGGCAAAACCCCATCTTTACTAAAAATACAAAAATTAGCTGGGCATGGTGGCAAGTGCCTGTAGTCCCAGCTACTTGGGAGGCTGAGGGAGGAGAATCACTTGAACCTGGGAGGCAGAGGCTGCAGTGAGCCAAGATCATGCCACTGCACTCCAGCCTGGTGACAGAGTGAGATCCTGTCTCAGAAACAACGATAACCATAACAAACCTGATTAAACATATAATATTTAGGAGGGGCTCTTTCTCTTCCTCTTTCTTATCATGAACAGTTTTCAAAGCCAGAGAGTGGAAGAATCAATTCTCTATGGCGATCTCAGCACTTTCAACACTCAAGGTATAACACTCAGTGAATGTAGCATCCTTCAACGCTGCTCTTACTGGGTTCCCAACATCTGCTGGGCACCGTGTTGTGTGCAGTCTGTCCCCACTCTGCCCCCACCCCCTGCTGAATACAGGCTCCAGAGCTGGGACAGCAATTACCAATGCCCACAGGTGCCTGCCAGGTCATGTGAATGCATGAATAGGGCCCTGTGCCTGCAGATACTGAGGGGTGGAGAAACGCAGGGCAAACTAGGAATGCACACGCCCTGTCTCCAGGGGGCAGATGCTGTTCAGCTCCAGCCAGTCTCTGCCACACAAAATTTGTCCCAGGGTTGCCCAATATTCTCACCTGTCAAGAGAAGCTAGAAATTTGAATTTGGATCTTTGTGTGAGATCTCTCAATTCTTAAATGTTGGTACTACAAACAACAACAAAACCCATATATGAAACAAAACACGTCGGCAAGTCACATGTGACCCACAGGTAACTGGTTTATGCCCCACTGTCTTTAGTCATAGCCACTTCAAAATAAGATTTTATAACCTGCTGTACTATGTTTCTGGCAAGAATAATGCTAGTAGATAAGGAACAAGTAGAGTTTGTAATGCGACTAGAACACAGAAGATATCTGTGAAATAGAGAAGAAAACCCTGGCTTAGCCATCAGATGATCTGGGTTTGGGTCTTGCTTCTGTGCTAGCTGCTGAGTCACAATGGGTGAAGCACTCCATCTTTTTGAGCATCAGGTTTCTTACCTCTAAAATAAGAACAGGACCGAGGCTGGGCGCAGCGGCTCATGCCTGGAATCCCAGCACTTTGGGAGGCCGAGGCGGGCGGATCACTTGAGGCCAGGAGTTCGAGACCAGCCTGGCCAATGGCAAAACCCCAACTCTGCTAAAAATACAAAAATTAGCCAAGTGTGGTGGTGCGTGCCTATAATTCCAGCTACTTGGGAAGCTGAGGTACGAGAATAGCTTGAACCCGGGAGGCGGAGGTTGCAGTGAGCCGAGATCGCCCCACTGCACTCCAGCTTGTGCGACAGAGTGAGACTCTGTCTCACACACACACACACAAGATAAGGATAGGACAAATTCTTTTACAGGATGGCTATGGGGATTAAAGAAAAAATATGTGAAAATGCTTTACAGACTACAAGATAGCATTCTGCAGAGGTAAGGGGTGAACAGGCACTTTGAGTTTTGAATCTATAGATTAAGGGCTATGAAGGGTTCAGCAACATTGGATGAAGTGGTCCTGGAAATGCAAGGACTTGAGGATTCATCTTGGCCCTGAAAGAGAAACTGCAGTGAGCAGGGCAAGGAAAACGGGAAAAAGGAAAAGAGCCTGGTGGGGGGGACAGAAAGAAAAGCTGTGGGGTCTTAGAGAGTGTGCTTTCCTTTATGAGGAAACAAAGTAGGACTGTAAAGACCACAGTGAAACTCTTGACTAGCGAAGAGGTGAATATCCGCCTGGTGGATTATTTGTGGCAAATTTAAAATCACAGGTTGTCTTCCCAGTCTTGGAATAGTTTCAAGTGACCAACTGACCTCCTTACCCTTGAATCAGAGAATAAGAACTCACTTCAATATTAGTCCCCCAAAAAACACAATCAGAGGAGACCATGATGCTAGAATACTTTCATTAATTCTAAGATTAAACAGAGAGGCTCTTTGGATTATCAGCAGTTTTCCACTATCAGAACCAACATTTTCTCCTATTAAAGTGAATAAATTGTTTTTCATTAATTTATAACCATTCCACCAAGAATGTAGAAACTTTTACTATGGGGTTGTTTACTAGCCCACTCTTGCATTGCTATAAATATCTGAGGCCAGGCACAGTGGCTCACACCTGTAATCCCAGCATTTTGGGAGGCTGAGGCAAGTGGATCACTTGAGGCCAGAAGTTCGAGATCAGCTTGGCCAACATGGCAAAACCTTGTCTCTACCAAAAATACAAAAAAAATTAGCCAGCGTGCTGGTGCATGCCTGTAGTCCCAGGTTGTTGGGAGGCTGAGGCACAAGAATCGCTTGAACTTGGGAGGCAGAGGTTGCAGTGAGCCAAGATCATGCCACTGCATTCCAGCCTGGGTGACAGAGTGAGATTCTGTCTCAACAAAAAAAAAAAAAAAAAAAAAAAAAAAAGGAAAGAAATATTCAAGACTGGGTAATTTATAAGGAAAAGAGGTTTAACTGACCCAGTGATCTGCAGGCTGTGCAGGAAGCATGGTGCTGGCATCTGCTCAGCTTCTAGGGAGGCCTCAGCAAGCTTCCAATCATGGCAGAAGGTGAAGTGGGAGCAGCCACATCACATGGCAAAAGCAGGAGCAAGTGAGGCTCAGGGGAGGAGGGGCCACACACTTTTAAATGGCCAGATCTCCTGAGAACTCACTCACTATCATGAGGTCAGCACCAAGGAGTCGCTGCTAAACCATTCATGAAAAATTTGCGTCAATGATCTGATCACTTCCCACCAGGCCCCACCTCCAATACTGGGGATTACAATTCAAAATGAGATTTGGGTGGGGACAAATATACAAACAGTATCAGCTTGTTATTGGTTTTATCCTTTAGTAAGTCACACAAGTCTCTAAATTCTTTTATCCTTAACTTTTAGCACTAAGTTCTAGACAGTTTCTCCAAGTATAATAAGTCTAAGGATGCTAGTTTGGTTTAAAAAACAGAGAAAAATAAAGTTTCAATATAAAACAATTTTTTTTTTTCAAAAAGAGTAACCAAACTTTTGGAAACTCCCACTGGAGAATTCTCAACGGTACTAGACTATTATGCAGATGGTGCCCAAGATCTTCCTGGCCCCCAGCCCAGGGTCACCCTCCTTTAGGAAGATTGTGTATTTAGCTGATGACCTGTGCCACTAGGTCTGATGGAAGGCTCAGGAGAAACTCATTCTTCTTATTCCACTTTCTTGCCCTGGCCTTGTTTAGATGTAGAAATCGAACTTACTGACATTCAGAATTTGGGCATTTAAGATGTTAACTGACCTAGAAACAAATGCACTAAGAAACAAATGTCACCTCCTTTGGTGCTCCTCCTTGCCAGTTGGGATTGAAGGAAGCAAGTGGTTATTAGCCTTGAATGCTGAGCCGCCCAAAGGGGTCTGTGGATAGAAATGTATTTCAGTATAATTTGTTTTCTTTGTAATCCTAAGTATTTTATGATATGCATTTAAAAACATTCTGAGAAGAGGTCTGTAGACTTCACTAGACTGCTAAAGAGGTTCATGACACAAAAGAGGTTAAGATTCCCTCAAGTATTGGTTATTTCTTTCCTTGAGCAGGGGCCATCCATATGCTCCTGCTGTAAAATGTATTTCCTGACCTGTATTCTCATGCTAGGTCTCTGGGGCCATGAAGAAAAGTCAACAGAAGATTATTTTCTACTGAGATTTTTAAAATTCTACCTTAAACGCTTGGTTAAAACTTCAATTTCAGAGAGTTGGACAGCAAAACTACAACCACAACCAAGTTTTCATGCAAATAGAGTCCTCTGGGTGGTCCAAATGCTTAAAGGAATCTGTATTTGCCATTTAATCTAGCACAGTGGTTCTCAAAGTGAGGTCCACAGACCCCCGGCAGGACTCTAAAACTGTTTTTGTTTTTTGTTTTTTGTTTTGAGACGTAATCTCACTCTCTCGCCCAGGCTGGAGTGCAGTGGCGCGATCTCGGCTCACTGCAAGCTCCGCCCCTCGGGTTCACCCCATTCTCCTGCCTCAACGCCCGGCTAATTTTTTTTGTATTTTTAGTAGAGACGGGGTTTCACCGTGTTGGCCAGGATGGTCTCGATCTCCTGACCTCGTGATCTGCCCGCCTCGGCCTCTCAAAGTGCTGGGATTACAGGCGTGAGCCACCGCGATCGGCCTCGGGACTCTAAAACTCTTTAAGGGGTCCACAAGAACCAACTGGTTTTCATAAGAATCCTAAGGTGTTCTTTGCCTGTTGATGGTGTTGACATTTGTGTGGATGGAGCAAGGCTATGATCATAAACAGGTGGCTCATTCACAAGAATGCAGACGGTGGACCAAACTGTTCCACAGGTCATGGTATTCTTCACCACCATACTTACGACAATAAAAACACCAGTTTATCTTAAGGATGTTCTTGATGGAGCAGTAAAAATTATTTATTGTTCTAAACGTCAACCCCTGAGTACTCATATTTTTAATATTGTGTGAAGAAGTATGGGAAGTTTGCATAAAGCACTTCTGCTACTGACCTCCTAGCAGTTTGATGTAGTCTAAGGATTCACTTTTCAGGGCAATATGCTTAAATGTATATAATAAACAGGATTATAAAGGAGACCTAATCCATTGAATTATTTATCAAAATACTACAAAGTTGTGATAAGTAACATATATGCTTGTTCAATGTATTGAATGACAAGATTTCTCAATGGGTCTAATATCTACCATGACATTGATCCAAGAATTATGTTAGTATGAATGATTGAGACATCTCCAGTAACAGTTGATATAAAATATCTATGAATTCTATAGGTGGGAATTGAACAATGAGAACACTTGGACACAGGGTGGGGAACATCACACACCGGGGCCTGTCGTGGGGTGGGGGGAGGGGGGAGGGATAGCATTAGGAGATATACCTAATGTAAATGATGAGTTAACGGGTGCAGCACACCAACATGGCACATGTATACATATGTAACAAACCTGCACATTGTGCACATGTACCCTAGAACTTAAAGTATAATAATAAAAATAAAAATTAAAAAAAATTTATGAGTTCTATTGGTGGCATGACAGGTACTGTTAATATTGCCACTGTTTGTTGCCTACATTCAAAAACGAACATTTGCAAACTTTAAGTTGGTAAAACTATGATGTATTTTTTGCCACTATCATTCAGAGATCCTCTGTAATTTACCCATGAACTTTTTGTGGGGATCTGTGGACCCCATATAGAGAACACCTGCCTCAGAACAAACTTTTGATTCTTGACATAAATAGCATCCGCAGTTACTCATTGTCCTCTTATTTTTCTTAGCTTTCGGTCACCACCTGATATATATTAATTATCTGTCTGTTTACTACCTGCCTCACCTCACTAGGATGTCAGCTCCATGACAGGTGGGGCTTTGTCTCCCTTGTTCACTCCTGTTCCAGGGCTTAGGAGAGTGCCAGCCCACAGGAGACGCTTAGCCAATATTTTCTTGAGTGAATGAATAGATACGATCAGCTTCCAAGTCTTACTGAGTCTACGTGGAACACTGCTCTTTCCACTTCTAGTTCCTGCTCCTAGGAGAGTGTCACTGTGTTCTTCAATATTTATGTCTCTTATAAATATTGCAGTTTGCAGCTAGTCTCATGATTTAAAGTGAGTAGTTTTAGAGAGAAGTTGCGCTTTGAAAGAACCTCTTAATCAATTAATGCCGAGCCTCTTTGCACTTTCCCTGGGACGTCTGGGGATTGTCAGGATCTGCTACTGTTTCCTGCTGGCTTCCACAGAGAAAAGGCAAATGACTGAAACACAAGCCAGAATTTTCTGCAAAATCCCCAAAGTAAAGCTTTCGTGGGCTAAGATGGAAAATATGAATCTGAACGTCTGAATATCTGGGATTGTAATTTTATCCAGGAAAACACACTGGTGTCACGTTAAAGAGGTCAAGCAGCTAATGGAAAAATACCATCTAGTTACCTTATCATGAAACATCTCCTTTGGCTTCTCGCTCTTCATAGGTTGATCTGCTTAACTATTTGGATTTAAAAGAAAGAAAGATCTCATGGCATCAAATCTTATTCTTTGTCTTCAAATACTTCTATTATAAAACCAGTTCCTGTTTATTATATAAAATATGGCCAAGCAAAAAGAGGACGATAAAAAGCTACCATAAACCTGCCACACCAAATAAATATTTTAAAATGAAAGATATAAAGAATATAAAAATATGGTAGATATAAAAGTATGTTGGTGTATAGCACCTTTCAGTAACTTTTATACGAAAGCCTGGTTTTCTTACTGTAGGTTGTCCTGACTGTAATGCCGAACTCCAAATAAAATATTTAAAAGAACAAAGGAAGCAAAAGTCTTTGAACTTTCTTCCCCTAAACGCTTAATTTTTTTTGTACTTAAATGTGAGATTCCTCCACAAAGAGGCCAATGTTTCTTTAGTTGGATTTTCATCGACTTAGACATTCTTCCATCTAAATTCCAAATGGGGAGGGATGGAATGAACAAAGGAAAACTCATTTGATTATCCAAAAAACTCAGGAGAGTTTGTTATTTACCATGTGAATTGGTAACTTCTCACTGACTCCTTTATTTGAGGAAGTGGCATGAAGATGAGACAGTGTTAGGTGAGACAAGCCCTTCAGCCTCTTTAATTAGAATGGGAAAGGACTGGATTAGCTTTGGCTTCTCAGTTTTATAGGCTCCCTTCTTGGGAGGCTGAATGTGATTGCCTTAATTTAACAAGGTCTCTGTTCACCTGGAAGGACTCATGACAGAGTTGGGGACCTATATGATCTCCTTTGGCACTTTTGCAGTTGGTAGAACAGATACTTCTGTTAATGCAATCCAAGTTTGTTTTCAGTTTCTCTGAACAAGGACAAAGGCAAATCCCTCTTGCTTTCCTTTTATTTTGGTAATAGTCTCATGGCTTACTTTTTAATTTAATGCCCTAGTCTTCTTTTAAGTCAGTTTATAAGTGTTGGTAACATGCTAATGCAGTTTGTTAGAAGTAATAGAAATTCAGGACTTGGATTTCTTTTGGAACTCAGCCAGCTTCTTCAAAAAGGAAGGCTCTGAAATTTCCAACCTCTTAATAATTCATTCTCAGTCCTTCCCTATCTTCACCATTCCTTTTGAATTTTTAAACTTTTTAATCAAGGTTTTCATTTGCGGGGGGTGGGGGGGGGCCTTTACTGAAGTCAAGTAATTCCACCTTCATGAAGTTCTCACAGACCAGAAGTAGCTTCTTCAGAAGTCTAGAGGCCTCAAATGATAATAACAAAAACACTGAATTATGTGCCTCTTGTGTTTTCAAAGCCTTTGAACCTCTATTATCTCATTCTTATTGGCTGAGGAAGGACTGCTGAGGTTCCTGCATTTCTGAGAAGGGCCATTCCAGAAGGAGCAGGTGCTGGCTGTAAAGCTCACTGCTTGGGTCACTCCTTGTTGGCACAGGAGCATTGGAATAAGGGTGGGAGAGAGTGACAGACTTGGAGTTTCTGCCCAGTGGATCAGTGAATTAACAGGAGCAGAGGACAAGGAGGAGAAGGAGAGATGGAACTGCATCCTTGGGAATAGGCGAAGTCTACTTTGAAGGGTGGACTTGGAAATGATGAAGCGGAGTGGATTGGCATTTGGTTGGGAAGAGGTGGGGAGGGTGGGACAGTATTACATGTTGTAGGAATCTACAGCTTCAGATTAGAGACCAGGGAAACATCCTCATCTGCCTTCCTGCCAATCTTTCGGAGAACACAAGAAAGAAAGTTAATTGTGGTTATAGGTGTTGCTATTGTTGTTTTTTGCTTTTTTTTTTTTTTTTTTTTGAGACAGGGTCTTTCTCTGTCACCCAGGCTGGAGTCCAGTAATGTGATCTTGGCTAACTGCAACCTCCACCTCCCAAGTTCAAGCAATTCTTGTGCCTCAGCCTCCTGAGTAGCTGGGACTACAGGCACACGCCACCATGCTGGGCTACCTTTTGTATTTTTAGTAGAGTCAGGGTTTCGTCATGTTAGCCAGGCTGGTCTCAAACTCCTGGCCTCAAGTGATTCACCCGCTTTGACCTCCCAAAGTGCTGGACTTACAGGCATGAGCCACCGCACCCAGCCTGTTTTTTGAATAAAGGGAGTAAACCAGGTAATTGATGCATGATGCAGGCTCTGCCTAACTGTTCAATGTCAAGTTTCAGTTCTTGCTACCTCCTGCCTCAAACTTTATACCCCAGCACCCTTCACTGCCTTTAGTTCCTCCTCTGTATCAAGCTATTTCAAATTACACCCTCTCTGCTTGGACCTTGTACTCATCCTGCAAGACTCAACTGAGGTAACACCTCCTCCAGGAAGCCTCACAGACACGAGCTCCCCACACCTCTGGTGGTGCTCCTAGATAAAGCTCTGATGTTAGAACCCTAGCTGTGTGTGCCTCTCTCCTTAGACAATTCCTCGAGAGCATAGTCCATATTCTGTTTTTGAAGCTGTAGCCCTCACCACTGAGCTTGGCATAAAGTAGATGCTCATGTCTGTTTGGCTGAACGAATACACGTCTGATGAATGAAAGCACATGATGAAGAAGATCAAGAGTTTTGGCGCTACGGATGTCACTGCAGTGTTAGTGTCATGGCAGTAGGAATTCTCATTCTATTCAATGATGTTTCCCAAATGGTGGAAAATGTGCCTGTCACACGGTGGGTCCTGAAACAAAATTTTTAAAATAAATTAAGAAGGAAGAAACATTTTTGGAAGTGATGTACAAGTGGCAAGTTACAGATTCTTTTGCCATGTCAAAAGATTTTAAAGAGCTTTTCTTGAAGGCAAGCGTTCTTTTCATGAGAGACCCGCTTTTTCATCTGGAAGGAAGCTTCAAGGCACAAAGTCTTCTGCAGCTTACTCATGTGCAGTAGAAATTTTTTTTTTGTTATTCACGTTACACAGTCTGCAGTGAGCCTAAGACCCGAGTCTTCTGAAGTCTCAGGGCCATGTAGGGCACACCACTTGGTGCAGAGACTGCAGTGCCCTGTCCATCCTGACCCTTCCTGGGTTGTTCTTTGCAGAGCTAAGCTCTCAGGCCCCAAGACGCAGTGAGAGAAGAGTCTGGAGATCTGGAAGCTTCTGCATACCTCCCTGCTTCCAAGCAGCATGCATATTTTATTTTCTAGACAAGCTGGGAGGATAAACAATTTCCCAATAAACTGAGAGTGGCCAGGGAGGCAAGTAATTAATGTATCTCCTGGTTTGTGGGTGGGAGTGGGCAGGAAGCACATCAACCAGATCCCTGGGCTGTAATGGATGTCACAGTTCTCTTAAATGGTCATCTTGAGGTTAAAACACATTTTTCCAATAGTGTCTGCCATTATAAAATGTAAGATTCAGAAAGATACATCTGTATGAAGCACAATCTTTTGTATTATTTTGTAGATGTTACCAATCCTTAATCACCAGTAGGGTGATGATGTATATCAATCAGCATCACCTTCAACAGTGAATAGTTACTGAGCAGTGTGGTGTGCAGGACACTGCAAAGACAGGGAGCATAAAGTGATTGCACTCTCTGTCCTTGAGGAACTTTCTATCCAGGTAGGGAGACATAAAAATGATGATGACGGCAATTCAGGGAAAAGCAAAATACAGGGCATGGCAAGCTCTCCACAGGGATTCCGAGGAGGAGGGTGGTTTCAGGAATTTTTTGCATCAGAAATGTGTCAGGGAATCATGAAGCCAATTGTCTGTAGCATAGAGGTTGGAGAGTCAGCTGTAGCATCAGATGACCTGGCTTCAAATCAGTGGTGTACCGGCAAATGCCTAACAACCATCTTTTCAGAAACAAGCAAACAAACAAAGGACTGATGTGTAGCATATGCAGATTTCCATGCTGTAAATACTCCTATATGGCCAAATTTTCAAGCTACTGTCTTTGTGTCAACTGACTAGCGCAATTCCTAAAAATAAAAAATTGACTCGATTAGTCTGAGCCAGCTCTAACATACCACTAGCTGAAATCCAGGCTCTATTACTTACTAGTGGTATGAACTGAGGCAAGTTACTTAACCTCTGTAATCCTTGGCATCTCATCTGCAAAACAGGTATAATAATACCAATCTTAGGGGGATGCTGTAAGAATTAAATGAGATATTACATATGTGGCAGCCATGAATCTCTCCCATTGCTGGAAGAGTAAGTAACCAATGGTCCCAGCTGCTTTGTTCGATTTTATCACCTCATTTGTGCCAAGGGCATGCTTCCCGTAGGCTAATATCAGGCAGTGACTAGTGTGACAAGTTGTCTAAGGCAGGCCCATTCCTGCAACACACAGGACTCCTCTGATGAATGACTTTGGCTGACAACTTCCCCTTGGCCTGACTGAAACTTTCTTAAAACTACACTGTGTTCTGAGGCTCTCCTTACCCAATAGTCCTTCCCCTGTTCTTTATAGGAATCAGATCTACTATGGGTTTGATGGCTCTTCCTGCCTCCTTTTCCCTTCACAGGCATTTCCCCCAATAAATCTCTTGCACATCCAATCTCATCTTGGTATCTGCATCTTGAAGAAGCCCTTTAGGTTGTGTATATGGTATGTGCTCAATAGTATTTGTTTTTTAAGAGAAGAGTAATGTGGAATCTCCTTGCGCTTTAGGTTCTGAGGACCTACCTCTTCCTTTGGTAAGTGATCCTGAAAGAGAACGTGACAATCCCACGCATACCTCTGCATGCCTCACCAGGCCAATGCAGACCAGACTTCCCCACCACTATCTTCATTTTTTCCACATCTTTCTTGCCCCATCTGCATATCCATCTTGCTTCTACCCTTGTCACTAAATGGAAACTGCTCTTGCCAAGATTAGTAGAAATCTAATGGTTACGTTTTCTATTCTCATTTTAGATATTCTTCCTTGAAGCTTCTGACAGTCATGAACCTCTCAGAACTTTTTTCCTCTGATTCTCTGACACCACCACACCTCTATATTGTACTCTTCCTGGGACTCTTGTTCAGTTTTTGTTGTTGTTGTTGTTGTTGTTTTGCTTCAAAGTCCTCAGTTGGTGCTAAAAAATGGGTGACTCTGGGCTCTTTTATCCTCATCCCTGATACGCACCCCATGGCTCTAATTCAACAACTTCAGCAGATAATTACTGAGCACCAACATTGTTCCAGACATGATCTCAACCTTCACAGAATATTTTAGTAGATTGATTACCCTCTCTTTGGATACTGATAACTTCCAATTCCACATATTCAGCACAGCCCACTTTTCTGCCTGCTGGGTGTCTCCATTCATATGTACTGCAAGCACCTGAAACTCAGCATATCCAAAGCAGAATTTATTTTTCCTGCACATCCGTCCCGTTATTCCCTACCCTCAGCAGTACCTTGCATCAGCTTACTCCAACTAGAAACCTAGAATCATCCTGAACGCCTCTTCATCCTTTAGCTCCATAGCCAATTACTCATGAAACAATTGTTGATCTTATTACATAGACATGTCTTTATCCATTCCTCTTGGTCTCATGTACCATGACAATCCTATTTCAAACCAAAATAGTTTATTTTGCTCTACTCCAAACATCCTCCCCTTGCAAGATTTTCTAAATGAAAATCTTGGCTGAGTGCAGTGGCTCATGCCTGTAATCCCAGCACTCTGGGAGGCCAAGGCAGAAAGATGGCTCAAGGCCAGGAGTCAGGACCAGCCTGGGAAACACAGCAAGGCCCCATTCGCTAGGGTAGTGCACACCTATAGCCCGAGCTACTTGGCAGGCTGAGGTGGGAGGATTGCTTGAGCCCAGGGGTTTGAGGCTGCAGTGAGCTATGATTGTGCCACTGCACTCCAGCCTGCAAGACAGAGTGAGATCCCGTCTCTAAAAAACAAATTAATTAAAAATAAATAAATAAATGCAAATCCTATCATGTCATGATGTCTAGGACTTTTTATTGTCTTTAGCATAAAGCTTCAAATATTTAGAATATCTTTTTAAGGGCTTTGATGATTGATCTATTGCCCACCTCTCCAGCTTTCATATCACACCCCTGTTCTCATCCATATGAGATTCTTGCAGTACTTGGGACCCTTGACCTATGCACGTATTGTTCCCACAGCCTGATCATCTCTCCCAATACTTGTTTAATGTCTGTTTTCCCTGATAGATTATATACTCTGGGAGGGCTAGAACCACATCTGTGTTTTTCATTAGTGCATTCTCAACATCTGCTAAAGGGCTGGCTACAGAGTAGGTGCTGTGCATTTGTTGAAAGGAAGAATGAAGGAATTGACCATATCTGAATATAAGTAGTCTAAACATTTATGCACATGATGTATATAATAATCAGTTGCAGATGGGTAGGTTCCTGAAAAGATGTTGGTAACAAAATGCCAGACCCACCGGGTTTATTTATAGTTAAAGGAAAAAACCCAGGAAGAACAGTTTAATTTTTTAAAAAAAGAACAAGTCAAATTTCAGCCACTGGCATCGATGTTATCGTGTGTTTGTACACATGCATGTGTACACTGTGTGATGTGGGGGTGGTGGTGATAGGGTCTCCTATGGTGATTTGGTCACCTTGAAGACTACGTCCTCCTTTTCTGGACAAGGAATGAGGTTGCACTAGGCTGTCTTCAGAAGTAGATTGGTGAACAACACATTGGAAAAGTTTAGGTAACAGCTGTCACTTCTGAGTTTTATCATTTTGTTTCAGAACTTAACATACGCTCTTTTCAGACATTCTTGTACTTCACAAATTTCTTCTTGACATTTTATTTCCTACATTCGCTTTTCCTGGTAAACACCCCATAGGGCTCAGCCTTTGCTGGCAGCATGATAGCAGGAGTTAACTCTGTGTGACATTTCCAACCCTCCTGCTCCAGCCGTAACAACTCAAATGACTGGCTGAGATGAGATAACCTCTATGTTTCTTTTCTGCCTTGAAATATTATGACTAATTGAGGTATGATTTTTTTTTCCTTTTATCAACTCCATGGGATCCCATGTTAAAAGACCTTGATGACGAATCCTGTTCTTCCATTTGGCTTCTTGCTTCTGATTGTTTTCATTCCTGCCTTGTTCCTAGCCTCCTATTCTACTGTGCCAATGACGGTAGGCTCACAGGTCAAGGGCCTACCCAGTAAGACTCCATTCCAAGAGCCGCTGGTAAGATGTTTAATTGTTTCTTGCCACAGCTTTGTCACTTGCAAAAAGGGACTAATAAGGCTATCTTGGTGAATAGCACATTCTTGGAAGACGGTTGACTTAATGAGGTGTTTTGAGTTTTTTAAAGCGAAAAGCCCTTTGAAAACTTGGTGTTAACTGATGCCGTAATGTAAAATTATTTATTTTGACTGAATCTTAAAATTCTCAGTGCTCAATATGGCTTTGCAAATAAATTAAATACAGACTGTGCTCTGCAGAAACCTGACTTTCTCTAATCACATTTAGAGAGAATTAAATGAGGTGTCTTTTATCAAAAACATTTAAATCAATACTGGATTAAAAAGGGAGGCCCAAGTAGTTTTAGGTACAGGGAATGAAACAAATAATATCTTGCCCCAGTTTAGAAGAGCTTTCCCAGGAAAAGGAAACCTTTTTGAAAATTAAATTCTGAAGATTTGTTGGACTAATGACAACATTTTACTTACCTGTAATGATTAGTATCTAAAAGCAAGTGCTCATAAACCTCAAGTTTAAAAGCACTGTTAAGGCTGCTAAGCATAACAGAAGTGCTTCTTTTTGATAATAACGTATTAGTTTGAGTAAACTGGTGTAGCTTAATTTCATCAGCTATAATGGAGTGATGTACTCTGAGACCCTCTGTGCCCTGGGTAGAAACTGTAAGATTGAACAAGCAACAATTAACTTTGCTGAGGATACAAAGCATCCTACTATGGTTTCAATGTGGTCACTCCAGAACTCAGGTGTTGCCAATGTCATAGTATTAGGAGGTGGGCCTTTAAGAGGTGAAGGGCCATGGGATCTCTTCCCTTGTGAATGGGACTAGGTGGCCTTACAAAAGGGCTTGACAGGTTGGGTGCAGTGGTTCATGCCAGTAATCCCAGCACTTTGGGAGGCCGAGTTGGGCGGATCATTTGAGGTCAAGTGTTCGAGACCAGCCTGGCCAACATGGAGCAACCCCGACTCTACTAAAAATAAAAAAATTAGCCAGGTGTGGTGGTGCACGCCTGTAGCCCCACCTACTTGGAGGGCTGAGGCAGGAGAATCACTTGAACCCAGGATGCAGAGGTTGCAGTGAGCCAAAATTGCACCATGGCATTCTAGCCTGGGTGACAGTGTAAGACTCCATCTCAAAAAAAAAAAACAAAAAAGGCTTGATGGAGGGAGTTCACTCGCTTGCCCTTCTGCCTTTTTCAGTGTGAAGACATAGCATGCTTCTCCTCCAGAAGAACCATCTTAGAAGCAGACAGAAGCCCTCACCAGACAACTGAACCTGCTGGCACTTTGATCTTGGACTTAGCAGTCTCCAGAACTGTGAGAAAGAAATTTCTTTTCTTTATAAATTACCCAGTGTCAGGTATTTTGTTACAGCAGCACAAACAGATAAAGACACATCCATTTTATGGCCTAGAAAGACGTGTCCAGCTTAATCAACAGCAGTGACCCAGAGGCACCGGAGATGCTTGCACAGGAAATACAGATATGCACATTTATATGAATGAAAAATATGCAAAGGATGCACTGATGTGATCATATATTTTTCAAACTGTGAATAAATCAAATATGTATGCACTTAGTCATTTACTGAGCTAATAATTTTTGAGCTCTTATTATGTGTCAGACCCTGTGTGTGTGTTTAGGTGCTGAAGAAGTACAGGTGAAAAAGACAGGAAAGTTCCCTACCCACATGCAGCAAATTCTAAGACCTTCCTATGCAATAAGCTCCACGGAGGCAATGGGATGTAAATAAAGCAGTGAAGATGGCACCTGCCCTTCAGGAGCTGACAGTCAGGCTGGGAAGGACTAAGGAATCAATGACAGTGTCACATAGGACAAAAAGAAGCAGTTTGGCATAGTGGTTAAGAACAAGGTTTCTGAAGCCTGTCTGCCTGGGTGAGCATCCTGGTTTTATCACTTAATGGAGGCGGCTTCACTGTAGGCAAGTTACTTAACCTCTCTGAGCATCAGGATTCTCAACTCTAAAATAAGATCACAGTCACACCTTTTCATAAGATCATTGTGAGGATTAAGTTGAGGATTCTAGTGCTAAACAGTACCTGGAATATAGTGTGACTTCAGGAAAAAGAAATGGTGTAAAGCACATGGGCAACTGGAATTCTAGAAAAGGGAGAACATCTCAAAGGCTGGGATCATGAGAGACTGCAGATGAGAATTTGAACGATGGATAGGAGGTGGAGAGAAAAAAGACAAAGGTGGTCTTTCCGGCCAGGTGTGGTGACTCATGCCTTTAATCCCAGCACTTTGGGAGGCCTAGGTGGGAGGATCACTTGAGCTTAGGAGTTTGAGACCAGCCTGGGTAACACAGTGAGACCTCATTTCTACAAAAAAAAAATTACAAAAATTAGTCAGGCGTGGTGGCTTGTGCCTGTAGTCCCAGCTACTTGGGAGACTGAGGGAGGAGGATGGTTTGAACCTGGGAGGTAGAGGCTGCAGCGAGCTGAGATCCCAACCACTGCACTCCAACCTAGGCAACAGAGGAAGATCCTGTCTCAAAAAAAGAAGAAAAAGACAAAAAAGGCCTTTCAACTTAGGTTATCAGCATAAGGACAAGAATAGAGATGAGGATGAGCTTTTTCTGAAAGATGATGTCAGAAGCTTGGTTGGATTAGCGTTTATTTGGGAAAGCAATATGTCAGGGCTGGCAGGATAGGTCCAGATTGTTAAGAGCCTTGAAAGACAGAGAAAGGCCTGTAGAATTCACCACAGTGGGCAAAAGTCACCAAGCTTCTTAAGCAAGAAATTAAACGATATGATGTGAAGTGCTGCTTTGGGAGGCTAATCTGGCAGCACTATGCAAAAGCTGAAAGAGAGGGAGAATGTCTGGAATTTGAGGAGAGCAGTTAGGAGGTATGGGAGAGTTGAAAAAAGTTAAAGACTGTGGTGTTGGCAGCAGCCGTGGAGAGAAGATGGGGACATCTGAGAGACATTCTAAGAAAAAAATAAAAAGAATTTCACTGCTGATTGGACTGACTAGATTAAGGAAATAACTCTTTTTAAAAAATCAGGAGCATGGTATATAGGTGATATATGTAGGTTATTCCAAAGTTTTAAGTAACAAGCAATCATATTGGACAAAAATAGATTAGGCAAGATGTACGAAACTGACCGTACAAACTCTTATCGGATACCCAAGAGAGACTGTGAGTCCTTGATAAAGATGAAGGACCAAAGGACTTAGGGAAGGAAAGAAATATTGTGAGGCACAATAAGCCCATTTGGGATGGGCCAGATACGAAACCCACCATTCCAAACAAAGAGTTACTCGAGCTTTAACACCTGGGCTTTGCACATAAAAGTAAAAGGCATATGCTGATTTATGAAATTAATGACCTAAATTTAATGAGGGAAGCAGCTGGAAATAACAAAGTTAAAATCTCAGATACATCTTAAGCCAAAACAATTCAAGTGAGGGGGTTTATGCCCTCACTCCAACTTAGTTTCCAAAAATAAAAGAAAAATAAGAGTCGCTGCTTACTGACCACACAGAGCTAAGAGCGGGCATGGCAGGAAGAACAGTGTCATCACTTTGAAGTTCTCAAGGCCAAAACTTTAAAGGGAAACATCGTGCAATCAAGCATCAACATTCTTTTCAAGGACCTTGGCATATTTGCTTCCACATTTGTAGCTGAATGGATGGACTGAAAACTGCTCAAAGTACAGGGTCTTAGTCAAAGATTTCTCCCTTTTCCAATGTCAAGTGTGCTCAGGGTCCATTCAAAGACCTTCCCAGTACTTCTTCAACAGAAGTCAGGGAGATGTGGGGTCTCTGTGTCAGAGGTGAATGAGCCCTAGCCAAAGACCACCTAGGCTTGGGGCAAATCAAATTTACATCTGCTGCCGTAATTAAAGCAAGGTAAAATGGGTATCTCACAGGACTTTAAGCCTCCAGTTGTTTTTCATCTTTCCTTTGTATTGCAAAACTGTGAATTATGGTTCTAGTCTGCATTTATTACAATTTGTTAAATGTGGTCACTGAGGAACTGACTGCCAGGGAAACCACACCCATGGGAAAGGACACAAGACAACATCCAGTCCAGAAACCTCAAGAAAGGACACACTTGAATTTACTCTGGTGACACAGGTGGTTGACAATGAAGCCACTCTGGAAGTGGTGGGTTATCAAAAAGGACACGTAGGTTACAGGTGCATGCGGGGCCGAGGGGTGTTAATATGATAATCTTTGTCTTTTTCCTTAGGTTTTTCTATTACTAGTTGTTGAGACTGATGCTGCTTATATTCTCCCTGAGATGAAATCCCAAAGGATCTGGATCCTAGACATCATACTCTAGTAGAATAAAAGTAGAAATGAGCGAAATTTGGCAATTAGCAATTTAACTTTTACTTCAATTATCTGACTTCTATGAGAAACCAATTTTTTTTTAAAAAAATTTTTACCTTAAGTTCTGGAATACATATGCTGAACGTGCAGGTTTGTTACACAGGTATACACGTCCCATGGTGGTTTGCTGCAACTATCAACCTGTCATCTAGGTTTTAAGCCCCGCATGTATTAGGTATTTGTCCTAATGCTCTCCCTCCCCTTTCCCCCCAACCCCTGACAGGCCCCGGTGTGTGATGTTCCCCTCCCTGTGTCCATGTGTTCTCATTGTTCAACTCCCACTTATGAGTGAGAACATGCGGTGTTTGGTTTTCTGTTCTTGTGTTAGTTTGCTGAGGATGATGGTTTCCAGCTTCATCCATGTCCCTGCAAAGGACATGAACTCATTCTTTTTTATGGCTGCATAGTATTCCACGGTATATATGTGCCACATTTTCTTTATCTAGTCTGTCACTGATGGGCATTTGGGTTAGTTCCAAGTCTTTGCTATTATAAACAATGCTGCAATAAACACACATGTGCATGTGTCTTTACAGCCTATGTAAAGACTATATACTATAAAATGTATGTGATGTATAATCCTTTGGGTATATACCCAGTAATGGGATTGCTGGGTCATTTTTATCAACATTATATTTAACACTGTTCTAGAGATACAACAAAAACAAATGGATAAGAGTTATAAAAACTAGAAAAAAGAAAGATAAAATTATCACCTGGGGATATAATTTTATCTGGTAAACTGAAAATAATCTGTGAAAATTTCTTGACAAACATAGAATTCACTTACTAAGGTGACTGAGTTAAAGGTAATATATAGAAATTAGTAACAGTAATAATATGTAAAATTACAACAACAACAAACCAAATATCTAGAAATCAACTTAAGAAATGTGCAAGATCTAAATGAAGAAAACTTTAAAACTCTGGAGAGATATAACAGAAGTTCTGAGCAAATGGAAAGGCAAAATACATTCTCAAATAATAAGACTCCACATACAGACGTCAATCCTCCCTACCTTAATCTAAAGCTCAAAGTAAACCCAACACACAGGGTATTCTGGGTATGAATGTGGGGTGGGGGTAGCGGACGGCTGAACAAGCTGATTTTCTTTTCTTTTTTTTTTTTTTTTTTTTGAGACAGATTCTCACTCTGTCATCCAGGCTGGAGTACAGTGGCGCGATCTTGGCTCACTGCAAGCTCCACCTCCCGAGTTCACACCATTCTCCTGCCTCAGCCTCCCGAGTAGCTGGGACTACTGGCACCCGCCACCTCGTCCGGCTAATTTTTTTGTATCTTTAGTAGAGACGGGGTTTCACCATGTTAGCCAGGATGGGCTCGATCTCCTGACCTCATGATCCGCCCGCCCTGGCCTCCCAAAGTGCCGGGATTACAGGCGTGAGCCACCACGCCCGACCCTGAACAAGCTGATTTTAAAGTTCCTAAGGAAAAATGAACAAAGACAAAGACCTAGGACAATTGGGGAAAAAGCTGAGTAAAGAGGAAAGACTGGACCCTGCCAGATAATAAAATGTATATATAAATAGTCACTCTATATTATATAATTATACTATTGCATATTACATAATAAAACTATGTATTATGTAATTATACAATAGGTTACAACAGTGTGTATATATATAAATATATAGAATAGTGTTCTGTATATAAAGATACACATTAATGGAACAAAATAAAAGCCAAAAGAAAAAACAGATCCCTCTAAAACCAAGAATTTCTCATATAATAAAGGTGATACTTTAATGAGGAAAACACAAATTATTGTATAAATGGGATAGTTTGTTAGCCATCTGGAAAAAAAAGAAACTACATTGATATGTTATACCTGACACCAGAATAAATTTCAGAAGTATTAAAGATTTTAATTTAACATGAATAACAACAAAACTCTAGAAGACACCATGGAGAATATTTTTTATAGTTTCAGAGTTAATAAGATCCTTCTGAGTATAACACAAAACTCAGAAGCCATAAAAAGAAAAAGGTTGATAAATTTGACCACAAAGAAATAAAATTCTGCATGTAAAAAACATCACAAAGAAAGTTAAAAGAGATTACTAACTAGGAAAACAATACTTGCAATTTATATCAAAAATAGTGGGCAAATTTCTGTAATTTTCTGAAAAGTTTCTAGAGATCAGAATGTTAGCAAAATGGGCAATGATAAGATGAGAAAGGAAAATACAAATGCCTCTTAAACATGTGAGAAGATGCTCAACTTCACTCATAACGAGAGAAATGCAACTTATCCTACTGACACATAATTTCTCATCTCTCAGCCTGGCAAAGATAAAAACGTATGATGACATGGTGTGCAGGTGAAGGGCGGAGGAATTGAATGATGCACAAGATGGACCACGCTCCCGGAATCCTGATACCAGAAATACATGGACATGTCCATTCTGATGTACCCTTGACAGCAGAGTATGAATTGGAAATGTGCTGGAGCCAGATAGTAACAGCTTATAAGAGGCAAATGCCCATCTCTTAACTCTGCTGTATTCAGTGATGTCATGTTCGTAGTTTGAAATCACCATGGTGAGAAGTATTGACACCACAGAAATTGGCAAAGTTACAAAACAACCCCCCACCCCCGCCAGAGGTGGTTATTAAACATTTATGAGCATACCACTACTTATAATTTCTGAAGTCTCTGCCAGTTTAATACCTTAAAAGTGACATATTGCTTTAATTTGCAGTTCAAAAATTATAGATGAGGCTGAGCATTTTTTAGATTATCCGGAATTTTACTTGTAATTTTTCAATGGGGAATTAGTCTTTTTTTTACTGATTTATAAGACTTCTTATATCTTAATATCTTTAAGAATAAATTCTTTGTCATATTTGTAAATATTGTCTCCATTCGATTTGCCTGTTAATGTTGCCTATAATGCCTTTTTGTGAAATAAACTGTTAAATTATCTAAAGACAAATCTAAAATTCATTTCTTTTGTGATTTCTTCCATTGCCTATATGCTTTGCCATCCTCTAGCTCAGTCATGTCTCCTTCCACAGGATAGACAACTCACAGCCTCCGTGGCTCAGATACACATCCTTCTGATTTCTCACATTTTACCTTTTTAATCCATCTGAATTTATTTGATGTATGTTGGGTTCCTTAACGGTCTAATTTTTCCTACACTATTTATTCATAAACCTATCTTTTCTCTATTGGTGCATGATGCTTTTTTTCTAACTGAAATTTTATTGAGATAACTGTAAATTCACATGCAGTTGTGAGGCTCTTTGATCAAATAATAATATTATTATTATAATGATGATAGCTAATATTACATTTAAAGATCAGAAAGACATAGGAGTGTTTTAAGCAAGACAATGACAAAGTCAGATACACACTGGACACTTTGATCATGGATTGGAAGAAGATGAACTGGAGACAGGTTGACAGTATCTGGCACATTACAGGTGTTCAGAATATGTTGAAATTGCACGTGCAAGTAGGGAAAAGAGGCAAACATCGTTGGAGCTCCACACATCCTCGCATCTGTTATTGGGTGTTTAACAGGGAGCTGTGACAGGTACTGAGAGACAAGATGATATTCTATTATCAAGTTACATTTTAGTTCAAAACATAAGACTTACAGACATGAAATAATTTGAAGGGTTTAAAAAGCAATGTATGAGAATGTAAAAAAGAAATACCTGAGTAATAGTTACCAAGAGAAATAAAGATGAGCGGTCATCAAGACTGGTCTCGGCTAATTTTATTGCCTTGGTTTAGGACCCTTGTCTTAATCTCACAGGGTTTTTATTAATAGTGATAAGACATAGAATGCCATCGATTATACCTGACATTTATCATCAAAGTTTCCTTTTTAGTTGTTGAACTTGATAACTTTGTCTTATACATCTGCTGACTCTTTCTACAAGTCTTATCCAAGTGGTTAATTACAAAACCCGGAAGTGAGTGAATAATGCTCTGCAGAGGGTAACGGGACAGCAGTCTTACTATAAAAGTCAAACCAGTGTTATTTCACCTCTAATGCAAAGGGAGATGCATATGCAAACTTTTAGCTGAATGTTGATACAATTCCATTGTGTTTTTACTTTGTAATATGAAATGCAGAGCCATTTTTTAGGAGCCAATGCCTTACCCATTAGGCGGCTGGGGCTTCTTGCAGATCGGTGTTTTAAAAGCTTTGCTTGTCATGAAATTGAGTAAGCTTTGGTTAAAATTCTTTCATTCAACTGTGAATATCTGCATGGGTTTAGGATCAGAGAAAAAGCGGTTTGTTCTAGAGGCTGTGTGATTTTGTAGCCAGTTAAGACCCCACCTGTTCCATTTATTCCTGGCTGCTTTCCCAGAAAGAACATGGGATGAAATCAAACTTCTTATGAAATTTCTGCCAAACCACTTCTACTGGTATCATTTCTACTCTGTCTGAAACACTCATTGGTCAATCAGAAAAGGGAACAAACGTTGTTTGTTACATGTGCTTAGCAAATCTCAATGACTATAAACCAGACCATCACAATGTCCAGGCTAGATTATTTATTGTATAACTTGTTCGGGTATTTTTTTTTTTAATATTATAAGGCAAGTTTGAACTTTCAACTGCATTTCAGGAGATTAGGCATCTATAATACCTGTTTCTATCCAAGCTTATTCTGAAGCTCCAAGATACTTAGCATGGCCTTGGCTCCCCACCTACCCACCTCCTTTTAATAATAAGCTCATGCTAACATCGACATCATGCCCCATGCTTTGGGAAGAAGCCCTCAATATGGTGACAAATGGTCAGACATTCCCTCTTCTTAGTTTCCATCCTCCTTATAGTCAAAAGTATTTTAGTCCTGTCCTTCAACTTCCAGCCATTAGAGGGCAAGGCTGCCGCAGCTAACAAATCCTGAGTCTTGTTTTGAGAAGCCTGAGTGAAGCAAGTATTTTTCCAATTACACACTATCTAATTCAATTTACATTTATTAGAAAAACTGCCAGCTATTTCATGTTAATATTGACATTTTCATAAGTACTCGCAATTAGAATTCAAGCTGAGATTCCAACAAATCTCTTAGATGTTTTACACTTACTTTTCCTGTCTTCAGACTTTGCAAAATATTTTGAAGAACACGTTTGGAGATCATTCAGCCTTTGGGGAATTTATACTGTGTATGTAAAACAGCTGGGTAGGGAAAAAAATATTACAAATGGCAAAGCAATTGAGGACAACTATAGAGGCATGCCAACTTCTGCAAAAATAAGTGTGGGGTATAAAATTCAAAATGTTAACAAAGTTAAATGGAGCCATTAGTTTTTTACTTTATATAAAACTTCATCCCATCGCTTCTTTCAATAGCAAGACCTCTGACTGCATTCAGAGAACATTTCCTGACTGCATTTAAAATGTAGTTCTACTCACCCACATCTTTTAATTTAGCATTTACATGTCTTTGTATGAATTGGCCTGCATTTAAAGAATGTCACATGTCTCTTTGAAGAGATGGCAATGGACTCCAAGTGCCTCGTCAACCTAAATAAAAAGATGTCCAGATGCTAAAATATTTTATTCATCAAAGTGCTCATTCTGTTTTACTGTTTAAAGCATGGCTTCCTAAAGTGAGATCTGAAATGTATACTATAATGCACACCTTGGTTTCTGGATAAGAAATATTATTTACTTCAACTTTAGAAGAAAGTCTGACTTAAGACATTTATAGAATATTCATAAATACAACACATAATATTGCACTATATCATCAAACCTCTTTAATGACATTTATTTGCATATGCCAATGAAAAGCCTAACAAATAAAAATGTCTAAGGGGAAGAAGGCAAATGCAGGTTTTTCCAAATGGGCAGAGGATAAGAAGGTAAGCTTCCATAAGGCATTCAGGGGGTGCTTCTCTCAGTGAAAACAGCTCCTGCTAATACAGTCAGGAACGGATACGTTGTTAATTCCTCAGTAGTTCTCAACCTCAGCTACACATTGGCCTCACTTCTGAAGCTTAAAAAAAAAAAAAATCCCAAAGCCCAGGCTGCACCCTAGACCTATTAAACCAGAACTTTCGGGTGTGGGACCCAGGAATCAGTAGTTTTTAAAGCCTCCACAAGTGGCCAAGGCTGAGAACCACCGCCTTAATAAATGTTAGCCACCTGCCCCAGTAGGGGTGCAGCGCTGAGCGCCAGCGGCGGGACACAGCTGCAGCAGCTCCGCTGACTCACAGCGAGGGGCGGGGCTCACAGCAGATGAGCTCAGCTGACAGGTGGCCGGCGGATGCACCTGGCTGTGCTCTGGCGGCCCTTGCGGTGCGTGCTCCTGATGGGACCTTGCATGGAGACAGCAGGTCAGGCAAACCTGCCTTGGCAGCCATCAGAGCAGCGTTGCTTCCCCCACAACTGGGACATCTGGAGAAACACTTTACTGTACCCAAGCTCCTCACCTCCCTAAGCCCTCCGCTCCTGCCAAATAGGCGGTTCACCAGAGTGAGCCTCTTGCTCTCAGGCTTTTACACACTTTCTAAAGTGTCACTTCACTTGGAACAGTCCCCTCCTGCTGTCCCCAGAGCCTTACTTCTGCTGCATCTTCTTCTACCCCTAAAGACAGCACCCACCTCTCCTCTGTCCGCCTCTCCTTTTCTGGGAAGCCGCTCCCAACAACCCCAACTCTTGCTGATTTCGTTCCTCCCCGCAATTTTCAGATTGCTAATTTAACACATCCCAGCCAATGACAAGTCCTATATGGCTGCACTGAGCTATTATTAATATCTCCTTCTTGGTATTAAGCTTTTCAAGTTTGGGTCTTCTGTTGCTAACTAGGCGGCAAGCAACTGGAAGCACAGCAATGAGTCTTCAATGTCTTTGTAATTGCTCCCTCATTGCTGCCCCTGACCCCACCTGGAGCTGCTCTTTGCACATGGTTGATGTCCCATAAAAACTTCCTCCTTGGTTTATCTTGCACTTGGATCACTGCAGTAGCCTCTGATCTATCTAGCTGGTCTATCCACATCGACTTGAAGCCCTTCTGTACTCTGTATGTTGTAGCCAAAGTGATTCCTCCCACAAAATGTAAAAGATTCAGGATGTCCTGTAAACATGCCTCTTTTGCTTTAAGTCCTTTAGTGCCTCCCCAGGGATCTTTAAGATGGTCTGGGAGGCTCTGTGGGGCCCACCACCTGCCTGCCCACATCACTGCACCCAGCTCTTTCCTTTCTTCCTCAGCTCGCCCTGCTGCAGCTTCCCTGGTTCTTCCTCCGTGCTGTGTTCCCTTCTGCCACAGGGCTTTGTATGTGCCCTATGCCTGGGTGTTCTTCCTTCTCCTCTTTCCCTTCAGATATAGCTCAACCAACACTTCTCTGACTTCCAGACTTGCCAACTGCCCCATTCAATGCCTGGACAGCGCCATGTCTCTGCATTGTAGGATGCAGCCTACATCCTACATGTAGGATGTGATGCAGCCACTATTTCACATACATCTGTATGGTTTTGGGATGAATGCCTGTCTCCCTGGCAGTCTGTGAGCTCCATGAGGACTGACAGTGTCCATTTTAGCTCAACATTTTATTTCCAGTTCCTACAATAGCTCCTACTACACAGAAAGTACTAAATCAATGTTTATTGAGTGAATGAACGAATGACGGATGGATTGGTGGATGAGTCACTAGTAGAAGAAAAAAAAAAATGTATGACTGGCCACTTAGTTTTGCAGACTAGGGCCAGGAAAGCCATGGTTTGGTGCCACTGCATAGTAGAATGCACAGTGGTGAGCACTTATAAGTGGCATAGCCAAGTGTCAGAATGCCTGTCACACCCATGTCCCCTCCACAGTCCCCTCTCCCCCCTGCTAAGTTATCCTTGATGACACTGTGGTAGGCAAAATAATGGACGTCGAAGGTGTCCCTATCCTAATCCCTGGGACCTGTGAATATGTTACCTTGTATGGCAAAAAGGACTCTGCAAATGTGAGTACGGTTACAGACCTTGAGAGGGGACACTATGCCGGATTATCGGGGTGAGCCCAATCTAATGACATAAGTCCTTAAAAGTGGAGAGCCCTTTCCAGCTGGGCTAGAGAAATGAGATGGTAGAAGGAGAGGTGTGAAGCATAAGAGGGGCTCAACCCACCGTTGGTGTCTTTGAAGATGGCTGAAGAGAACTGAGAACCCCTGGGCAGCCTGGGCACTGACACTTGGGTGCTGGAAGTGGCTCTAGGTCTCAACAACTTCTGGTTTCCGTGTGGCTTAGCTGTGCTGTGGTTCATGTGCTTCCCATGGGGCCTGGCTCTGCCTGGCATTCGTTTCCTAGCCTTCACTGGCCTGCAATCCTTTTGTCTTCATTCCCACAGTTCTCCTGCCCCGTGGCTCCTGATACAGAGGTAACCTGGGTGACTCGTAAGCCCCTTGTAACTAAGGTAGCCTCATGCAAGTTCCCCTTATTTGTGGTTTGATCTTCACCACCACTCAGCCTCTCTGGGATCGCCATCCTGGTTCATAAGAGGGGAATGAGGAGTGCTCATACCTACGCCAGGAGAGGCTGTGAGGGCGGACACCCTAACATGAGGCAAAGCATGCTAACCTGCTACACACTACACACATGGCTGCCGTTTGGTGGTAGCACAGGTGGCAGGGGGTAGCATTCTATTCTAGCTCCAAAATCCCTTTGTTGGTCCCTCCTCTCCTCCCTTGCCCCCTCCTTCACCCATCTTGTTTTCTGTTTGCCTGAAACTCCCAGGGATACCCTCAGGTCTTGCTAACCCCCAGAAGTGGCCTTTGGTCCTAAAATCACCTGTGACTCCTGCTTTAGATACACCCAGGACAAATGTATTTCGCAGCGTATCTCTGAAGCTGGGGCTTCCTGGTCCTCCATGCTCCTGGATGGCTTGCATCAGCCTGGCGGAGCATTCGGCTCTGGCGTGCCTTTCTCGTTACTCCTCGGAGAGGGAGAGTGCGCGTGTATATGACTTTCCAACCCAGGGCCTACAGGAGCTTAGGTTTCCAAGTAAATAAACACAAGACAAATGTATGCCAGCGGGCTGGGATCAAAACACATCTCCAGCTGTTGGGAACACAAAGAGAAGTAGTTTCCTTAGAAACAGGTTCCCGGGGGAAGGAATCTAGTGAGGCAATTTGAGACCACAGCAGAAGCAGACCTGAGGGTTCAGGACCCAGTATGTCCTGAGCCCCAGGAAAACAGCAGCCTCTATGGACTCCCTGAGCAGAGGAGCTCCAGGTCTGGAGGAAAAATGGCCCCTTTAGGTCATGTGGAGCCAGTAACGGAGCCAAGGGGGTGGGAGCATCAATACTGAAATGTGTTTTGGAGAGTTTTAGCTTCCAAAGCACTTCTGTGTAGAATGCTCAATAGACTCTCCCAACAACCCTGTAATGCAGGCAAAGTAGGTAATATGGTCCCATTGTACAGATGAGACAAGCAAGGTTCACAGAGGCTAAATCCAAGTCACCCAGCTAAGGCAGCTGAGAAGGGAATATAAATACACCTTATCTTGGGCCCCTGGCTCAGCCTACAATTGGAAGCTAAATTTGAACTAGTTGAAGACCAAGAGCGTAACTTTCTTACCGTCACGTATTTGGAAAACATAGATATTTACTGAAACACTTAAAAAGCAGACAATCCAAAGCCCTTCTTCATTTTATTTATTTAAGAAAAACAATGCCTTAGAAATAGAGGCAATGCCTGAGGTTTCTTTTGCTCAAAGGACAGTCTCAGCTGGTTGGGACAGAGTGGAAATTTCCACATGCTGGTATTTCATATGTATACTTTCAAAGTTAAAGGACATTCAGAGTCCAAAACTTTCAAGTAGATTAAAATGCATAGCTTTCTAAAAACCTTTGCTGACTCTGGCCAATTTTCAGACTTCTCCAGAATCCAACAGGGCCAACATGATTCACTGAATTCTTTATGAATTAAGAAGCTGTAAATTACACATCTTTTCTTTTAAACATGCATTACTTTCCACATTTTACAGCCAAGCCGAATAAACAGTGTCACAGAGGCAGTGTTCTCTCTGGGAAGATTTTCTCCCTTTTCTTCCTATTCTTCAAATGGAGGATGGCCTAGTGAAGTGGCAATAATGGTTAGGGCAGCAGCCCAATTTGACATTTTTGAGAACTTGATGTGTAACCAGCAGGGTGAAAATGACAGCATAAGAAATCCACTTTCATGGAAGCTCCAAGACTGGAAAAGGGAGTGGCTTCAGCAGGAATAAGATGCTCTCCCTCATCTGGAGATGACAACAGTTGCTCTTCATTAGAAAAAGCTTTCCACCATTCATTAAATATGGTCTGTGTGCCAGGTATTTCCCTACCCTGGAAATAAAGGAGGCTGGACATGAGCTGGATTAGAGTCTCAGGTGCTGGGATGTGTCCAAGTGTGCCTGGGTTCAGAGGACTCCCACCCCCAAAAAGGAGGCAGCCACCTCCACACTGGGGAGCTTCCAGCTCTGGACAAAAAGAAATGAGCCTAAGACAACTGCCTTTTCACAGTATGGCTGCTAGAAGTTGAACTTGCATCTATGCGAGCACTAATTTATTTAAAAATGATTTTCCAGGAAATGCAAAGGAAGAAGAGTTTGGAAAGAAATAGAAAGTTTGAGAAAAGCTAGTTGTTCCCAGAAAATAAGGTATAGCTATAAGATGCTTGAATATTTGAAAACAAATTGCTGTAACAGCGATGTCTTTGTAAAGATGGAGAGACGATGTTACATCAAATGATTCTGCTTCAAAAGCGTGGGACTCGGCCCAGTCCTCTTCTCCCTTTACCCTTCAGGAACATAAGGTCTGAGTGGGCAAACAGCACCGAAGTGGAATCAGGAGGTCTGGATTCTCCTCCTGGCAGGGACTTTACCCCACCCCGAATCCCAGGCCCGTTCCCACACCTGTAAAATGAGAGAGTCCTCATCCTCTTTGGGGTTCCTGCAAATCCTAGGATTCCTTTACCCTTTCCATTTTCTTCCAAACCACCCTGCCTCACAAGATGATATTATTTCATCCTCAGAGCAGGCTTGGAGGCAGGCACTGGCCACTCCCAGCTGTATGCTAAGCAGCTCTGTGAGGCTCAGGGCCAGGGGCAGAACTGCCCGAATTTTGGCAATGGGATAAAGCAAGGGGCTTTAGAGCACTGAGATCTGGAATGACGTGGTAAATCAGCAGACTCATTTCAGGCCAGCAACCAAGACCCTGTGGGCATGCGGTGTGCAGGGAAGGGCCTCCGAGGGGAGGGGTGGCCGGCAAGGAGGGGACAGTGGGCTCCTCACAGCTGCCTGCGCCCCGCTGAGACACAAACAACACCCTCTTTTGAGTCAAACAACTGACTACCCAGCCTTTGCCAAAATGAGGACAGACTCTTCTGAAAGGGGGCAATTTTATTTCAAGGGTCTAATGGGACCAAGGAGATGGAATTAAAAGTTTCAGCTATTAAAAAAAGGCAATAGACCATCTTCTTCCAAATAAACAAACTATCCTTTGAACAAGAAGACAGCCTTCTAACCAGGTCAGGCTGGAACCAGATCATGAAGGGGACACCCCTCCCCCCCACCACCAGGCTCTCCTCTCTTGAATCTGAGCCCCCCCGAGTTTCTGCTGTGCTGCTTTGGGGAGCCCAGTGCTTTCCTGCTGGGGCCTTGCCAAGGATCGATCTGATGACCTCATCTGACATAGACCCTTCCCGAACACAGTGCTTACATTTGGAAAGGAGCCCCTACAAATTTCTAAGGGCAGAATTCCAGGCAGGGAAATCTCTCTACAATCTCTCAAGTCACATAACAAAGGCAGTTACCAGCTCTTCAAAAATATAACACTTGCCCCAACTACCAACTTTCAATATTTTATGACCTTTTTAAAAAAACTCCAAACCAGGCTGGGCACGGTGGCTCACACCTGTAATCTCAGCACTTTGGGAGGCTGAGGTGGGTGGATCATTTTAGGTCAGGAGTTCGAGACCAGCCTGGCCAACATGGTGAAACCCCCGCCTCTACTAAAAATACAAAAATTAACCAGGCGTGGTGGGAAGCACCTGTAGTCCTAGCTGCTGGGGAGGCTGAAGCAGGAGAATCGCTTGAACCCCGGAGGTGGAGGTTGCAGTGAGCAGAGATCTTGCCACTGCGCTCCAGCCTGGGCAACAGAGCAAGACTGTGTCTCAAAACAAAAACAAAAACGAACAAATGGAAACTCCAAACCATAATTTTTTCCCCTCACATTTGCCACCTTTCTCTCTAATGATTGCAGCTTATTATTTGTGTGAGTGTGTGAAAACTGCATTATATGAAATGATTTACAGGATGGCAACAGAAGCTTGACAGAACGGAAGAAGCTAGAGCATTCCTCTTAACTCTTACATTAATATTTGAAGAGTAGTGTTCATAAGACGTGTTTCTGTATTGTTGGTTTTTTGGCATTTTCTGCTGTCCTTTGGTTCTAACTTTCTTAGCATGAGGATTGAATCAGAACTATGAAAAAATTGTCTGGATTAAATGGAATGTATGCTGTTTTTAAAGAGCATATAGATATATTAATCAAGATCCAAAACAAATAATAAAGATAATTAGAGAAGACATTATTCTTGTAGTGTTTCTATACTCTGAATACACGTCTCACCAAATAAAAAACATATAGTCATATTCATAACCTATAGTTTTTTATTTTATTTAATTATTATTATTATTATTTTTTGAGATGGAGTCTCGGTCTGGCACCTAGGCTGGAGTGCAGTAGCACGATCTTGGCTCACTGCAACCTCTGCCTCCCGGATTCAAAGGATTCTCCTGCCTCAGCCTCCCAATTCGCTGGGATCACAGGCATGCGCCACCATGCTCGGCTAATTTTTGTATTTTTAATAAAGACAGGTTTTCACCATGTTGGCCAGGCTGGTCTCGATCTCCTGGCCTCAAGTGATGCACCTGCCTCGGCCTCCCAAAGTGCTGGGATTACAGGCGTGAGCCACTGCGCCCGGCCTCATAACCTATAAAGAAATAGATTAGGGTTTCGCCATAAAAACTAAAAAAAAAAAAAAAAAAAAAGGGAAAAGCCACTTTTAAAATATATCATCAAAGGAAGAAAATAAAAATAAAAATAAAATCATCAAAATATTTCACTGAAGCCTTAGGTAGTTGATCAAATACCGAAGGTGAGTGGAAAGCCGTGGGTCTGGTGTAGTCGTCTGGCCCTGGCTGAGACACTAACTTCTCTGTATCTCAGTTTTCTCTACTCTAATCATGGATTTGAAAACATGAACGTGACACTGAGGGGACATCATCCCCAAATGCTCCCAGCCTCTGAACATCCACTTCCATTATGTTTTTAAAATGAGATGAGGAAGCAGCCGTCCTGGCCGTGGCCCTGAGATTCGGTGCTTTTCTCCAGCGGCAAGGCTGCTGCTGACGGCACATCAGCAGTGGCCTCAGCTCTGGGCGATCTTCCAGCTTTGGGAACAACACCTCTGACTGATCCTCAACACTTCCTACTTTCCTGCTTGTGCCCGACAACAGCCCAGGATGGGTCCGGGTGAACCCCAAGGGCTCTCTCAGACACAGAGACCAGGATTTCAGCCTCCTGGGCACCAGGCTGTCAGCTCCTCAGTACATGTTTCTCAACACAGGGATGGGAAATGTACCTTTCGTTCTAGTGCTGAAAGAAAGACGCGCAACTCCGCCCTCCGTTTTTGTTACCAACCTCTGTGCTGCGGAAATAATTACTGGGCTCGAGACTAACATCCCTTATGGAGCTGAGGGTCCCAAAACAAGTCCAGAGAAAGCAAACAATTACTGGTGCAATGACAGGGTTCTATCGCGCTGTGGTGGAAAGAACCCAGACTGTGAAGGCAGGAAACCCGAAACAGTCGGTCGCAGTTGCGCCCTTACCTGAGAGGTGACTGTGGCAAATCCCACAACCTTTAGAATCTCAGGGTCCTCATCTGAAAACACCTCCCCCTCCCAGAGTGGTCATGGGAACTGAATGGGCTGAGGGATGAGAAGGGGCTCTGCCGCCCTCTAACAGACACCCCCCCAACACCTTTGTTCTTCTTAAGCACTACAGTGCTAGTCAGGACTCCTTAGGAAAGACTGTTAACGCTCTGGGTCCCAAAACCTAGCACTAAAGACAACTGAGCAAAGCAAAATCAGAAAATAATTTGAGGAAATGTTCATTAGGATCTGGGTCACCCGGAACCAGTTTCTCTCGCCAAGACCTCCTTCCTGCGGAAGCACCCTCTCTGCGCCACGCTCCATGGAGGCGCCAAGGAGAAGGCCTGGGAAGGGAAGAGTGAACCTTCCCTGGTGGAGGGCCCACTCCTCAGGCAGTGGGGAGACCGCCTTTTGCATGCGACAGGACTTACCAGGTAGCGCTCCTCCTGCCTCATGCTGGGGGTGCGGATCATGTGATTTTGTTCCCCTCTCCAGTCTCCAAAGCGACGGAAAAAATAGTTGGATAAGAACCGGTTGACGGGGTCTCTAATGATGTTGATGTAGACAGGCTGGTCTCCTCCAAACCTAACACAAACATTGAGTTCGTTACAACCCATCACTGCAGGACGAAAACAGGGCCTACTTAGACAACATCTCCCCTTCCCTCTAGGTTAACTTATTGAAAGATGACCTCCTATGCTAAGGTGCCAATGACACGTAATAAGCAAACGGTGTTTCCTGATAAGCATTTTATTATCATGCAGGAAGTGGGGAGGATGATACCTGTTCCAGGTACCTGTTGAGGGGCTGTGAGGACATTTCATAGTATAGCACGGTACAAACCACACCATTGTGCATGTTAAGGAAGAGATGGTGTCTAGTTTTCTCACCAGGCTGTAGGTTTCTTGAGGATGGGGGCCACTCTGTATTGGATTTAGTATTTCCAATGGCTAGAACAGAACCCACAGGGACACAATTGGCCCTCGGTGAATGTTTCAGTTGATTGGTAGGTTCTGACTGCCTTGCTGGGTGAGACGGCACTTCCTCTATATTGTAATTCAAACAGTTCCGGGTCAGGTGCTCTGCAGTAAGGGAGTGAATAACAGCCAGTCTTCACTGAGCACTCGCTATTCACCTTGTTCTAAATACCTCATGTAACCAGCTTGCTGAAGCCCCATAACACGTCAATGGAGTAGAAAAAATAATTATCCTCATTTACACTTGGGGAAACTGAGGCAGGAATAAGGTTCATAACTTGTAGCTGAACTAGGATATGGGTCCAGGCAATCTGGCTCTAGAATCTATGCTCTTAATTATGGAAAAGTGATTTCTGGAGTTGAGGAAATTTTGTGTGGGATATCAAGAATGAAACAAAATTCAACATAATTATCCTCAAGTGATGGCAAGTGGCTTCAGATAAAAATAAAGCAAATAGCCAGGTGTTCCATTTTAATTCCTTCCATGAAAGGATTAGATGAATCCACTAAATCTTGGCCCAAGAACAAGGTCTTCCCGAAGCAGAGTGATGAGATTGGCTGGATTTCTCTTAATGATTCCTTCTTTTTCTCTTTGAACTGCTTGAAAGCAGTAGCCTTGAGGAGTTCGGGGAGAGTGCCCCAGTCTCTGGGCAGAGGGCATGCTCTGGTGACCTCCTGAGGGGCCTGCAGGGTTCTCTAGCCCTATGGCCTCGTGACCTTCTGAGGAATGTGCCTGGACATTCTGTCAGGGGTCAGAAAGAACTAAGAGAAAACAAACTGACAGGACCCCGCTCCTGCCTCTCCCCAGCTGGCAGACTCCATTCACCTTTCAAAACCCAGCCTGGAGTCACATCACATCCCTCAGCAATTAATGCCCAACCCAGGGTCCATGCCTCCCTCCTCTGTGCCCTGGGCCCTCTCTCTTGCACTGTGTGGAAATGTGTGCCTCTCCCATCAGACTGTGGGCCTCCTGCAGCCAGGAACGACACGCTCTAGCTCAGTGTGTGGCACACAGTAGGTGCTCAACAAATGATGACCAAATGAAGAAATGAACATCTGAGTGTGTGCCTCTCAGTTGTTAACGTTTCTTCCCATATCATGGGGCTCTGTTGTCAGAGGAAAGTAATAACAAGCCCCCATCCTTTTCTGTGTATGAATTCATATAATGTTGTTCCTGGTTTATCTGCATTTTTAAAAAGAATCTTCAGAGAGAAGAATCCAAAGGAACAACTCTGAGATAGTGGAATTTCAGGCACCAGGACATATGAATGACACCCTGGAGCCCTTAAATACTACCACATTGGAACACACACTGCTCATGGGTGAGATTAGCCTTGCAATGCGAATCTTGTTAGTTCTCAGAAATACACATTCATGTAACTGGATGAACAACTAACTGGAGTCCCAGGAGTTAGCTGTGCCAACCACCAGCTAACTACTGTACACACCCCAGATTTATCCCCCTTTTAAAATTAAATTGGGTTTCATATCTATGATAAACAGCAACTAAAGTAATAAAGCTAGGGACTAGGAAGACAAGGCTTGCATACCAAATATGCACCTAATTAGACCCTCAAAATTGCTTCATGCTTTTAAAAACCTCAACTGTTCTTTTATGTTCATGTGAAGAATGACTGCTAGTGCTAGTTAGCAGAAATGCCCAATCATGTGAATCCATGCACAGCATCCCATCAGGAGATGGCTCTCAGCCTCACCACTGCCATCTTTGATCAATGGCGAGAGAAGTAAGGACTGGGAAGTCTTGATGAGCATGGATGACTTGCTCTTGTTTGCACGTTGCAATCCAATGCAAGACTTCCAGAATAATTTTCCAAAATGGAAGTTTTAGATGGCTTAAGAATGTATTGTCAAGTATCAGATAATATAGTAGGCTCTCTCTAGAAGTTTCTAACTATGACAAACAGGTGTCTTGTATATATCTTCCCCTTTGCAGAAGGCAATAATGGTTGCCGGCTGCCAACCCTCTGTACACACAGCTTCCGCCAAATTGGGAAAATCTGGGGTGACACGTCCGTTATACAGAAGAGGCCAGAATACCACCATGCTACCATCAGGGACCAGAGCATAGCACATGTCCTAGTGCCTGAGTAGGGAAGCAATTTCCCTACCCTCATTCCATCTTCTTTCAGCATCAGTTTCTCCTCTAAGTAATTTAAAACTCTGGTCAGAATTTCTGGCTACTATTTATAAAGTCCCTGGGTCACCTGAACCTTTTGCTCACTCATGATTTCATTTTGGGGCTGAGAATGGTTTGTACCCTACCATCCCATACAGTGATTTTTAAAAGCCTTGAGAGAAGATTCCACAACCTCCCTGTGAAGTCCACTGTATCAGTTGAAAAGTCTTTCTTATACTCAGCCAATATTTAACATTTTCCTTTTATGCACATTTCCTTTTGTTTGAACCATTTGACACAAAGGATTTGCATCTCCTATGCTTTTACAATGCTTAGCCTTTTCAACTTCAATTTTAATTCTTTTAACTTTTTGTTGTTTCTTTCAAACATTCCTTTGGCTTTTATCTTAAGACTTATTTCCCTTCATTTTATAATCTAAAGCTCTAATTTGATCTTTATGGAGCGCTAAAAAATTGTGGTGACTACGGCTGATCACAGGTTCTAAGTAGTGCATACACTAGAGAGTAGAAGAGTCAGGCCATATTTTGTTTTTTGTTCAACAACATACCCTTTTGTCCTTCAGTCACCACAATTACTCCTGCATCTTTGAAGCTCTCTTTTAAGTCATCCTAAAATAGCAGGCATTACCAATTTCTTCGACATTTGTTGACAGATCCTATTCCCCGACTCTGTAAGCACTCCTCTGGGCTTCCTTTGGACTCTGCCACTGTGTCGTATTTTTTAAATTTTTACTCATTTTTTTTGATGAGAAGATGAAGCTCTGCAGCAGGGAATAATTTTCTAGAAAGCATAACTGCATGTTTCTCACTCTGAGAGGCATTTCCGAACACCTCATTCTGAGCATTTTCATCAGCATTGGTCCCACACTGCTACCTCAATCAATTAATCAACCCATCGATAATATTAGTCACCTCTTCCACAGCTACACAAAGCACTAGGGTAAAAATCTTAGGTATATTTTCATCAAAATTTGAAAGGCATTCTTCCTGAGGTAATAATTATTGCACATATTAAATCAATACTTAAGACCAGAATTATCCCGGAGAATTAAGACTGTTTTGTACTCCAATTATAGTAGAGATTACTGTGATTGGAATCAGTTTTTGAAAGTATATCCTGTTCTTCTAAGAAATTCTAGTAAAATGTATATATTTGCCCTTTTCATCATTTTCAAGTGTACAATTCAGTGGTATCAAAACATTCACATTGTTGTGAAGTCATCATTATCACCCGTCTCCAAAACGTTTTCACGTTCACAAATGGAAACTCTGCCCATTCAACAAAAAAATCCCTTTTCCTGCTTTCCCCACCCCTGGTAACCACCATTCTGCCAAAAGCCTACCTCCTTTTTAGCCTCTGGCCTGGAAGCAGAGGTTATCTTTGTGCCACTATCTACATTAAAGGGTGAAAAGTACCATAGGCCAGAGGCCCAGGGCTTTGACCCTTGATCAGTGAGGGAGGAAGACAGTTTGAAGTGAGAGAAAGGCCATCATGGAAAAGAACAGGACCTTTTGGGGGCAGAGTGAGGAGTGGCTGAGGCGGAGAGGGGTAGAGCTGGCTGTTTATTTTTGAGACGGAGTTTCGCTCTTGTTGCCCAGGCTGGAGTGCAATGGCGTGATCTCGGCTTACTGCAACATCTGCCTCCTGGGTTCAAGCGATTCTCCTGCCACAGTCTCCCAAGTAGTTGGGATTACAGGCGCCCATCACCATGCCCATCTAATTTTTGTATTTTTAGTAGAGATGGGGTTTCGCCGTGTTGGCCAGGCTGGTCTCGAACTCCTGACCTCAAGTGATCCGCCTGCCTCGGCCTCCCAAAGTGCTGGGATTACAGGTGTCAGTCACTGCGCCCAGCCAAGCTGGCTGTTAAAGGGCCCTTTGCTGGAGCCCGTCACAGTAACAAGAGTCCCTGAAGGTCCAGTGGGGGCCAGCATGGTGGGGAGGTCTGGCTTCTGTCCTCACACCCCCTGCAGTGGGCACTTCCATCTCCTCTGCCCAGGACTAGACTCCCCTCCGCCCACCATCCATCACAAAACACAAGCAGAAGAGACAGCTGTGCTCTGCTCTCCGGTCTGTCCCAAGGCAGGAGAGATGGAAACATTTGCTGTGAGAAGCTGAGACAAATGGGGAAGGAGGTGGGTATTTGGGTCAGGGCTCCCACTCACAGAGGAAGATGAATTGACAAGGCATGAAATAAACAGTAAGGAATAATCAGGAAATGAGGGAAAGTCCAGATTATACTCATCCCTGATGGGCCAACACAGCTGGTGGCCCATGCAGCGGCAGAGATCCACTCCCCATAGAGGGAAAAGCAGAAACATGAGGAAGAAAGTGCCAATTTAGGAAGACGAGTCCAGCCAGGGTTCACAAAGGCAAAACCCAGAGAAAACTCGCACTTGTAAATGGAACTTCTGCGCTGTATTTAAGGAGGCAGAGACGGTGTTAACTGCTAATACCGATTTTTACTTTGGTGCTTTCTTCAGAGTTTGCAGTGTCTGTCAAAAGATAAGAGATTTGAAGGGCACAGAATTGAATTGGTCACTTGGCTAAGAAGAATAAAAAAGTCAACATTTACAAATAAGATGTGAAAACCAAATTGACTTGTGGAATTAGCGAAGTCTGATTTGTTTTGTTAAATAATGCCATCAGAGGGCAGAGTTTGTTCACAAAAGTTGATAGAAGAAACACTGTTCACATCAGTAATTGAGACTTCACTTGTAGGGAAGAGAAAAGGTGTCCAAAATGCACCCCCTTGCACATCACACCCCACTGCTTTTCTGGTGATTGACTAATTTTCACACTGTTTGTTTGTTTTTGCAAGTTACTATTGGCACCGGAACCACCATCTGAGATACAGGAGAAGACAGAAATGGAAGCAAAGGAAGGTGAGGGGGTCATGGCAGAGAAAGGAAGAATGATGTGAAAAAAGGATAAGGGAAGTGGTGGTTTGAAATTATTTAGCATATTGGTGTCTCTCATAATGCATTTGGACTATTTTGACAGCATCGGGTTCTGAGGCAAAGCTTCTTAAGGGTTTCCCTGCAAAAGCACATTTGGAAGGGTGAGGGGCATTGTAGATTGCAAAAATATTTATACGCCCCCCAAAAAATACAAGCTTAGAAAACAAACAAAATTGGGGGCAGGGGACAGACAAATTTGAATTGTAGTCTGTTGCAAGGCTTTCTAGTGTGTGGATCTAAGATAGATTTGGAGGGATGCTGTTGATGTTGGAAAGTTGATCTTTTTCAGAAACTGCTTCTTAAAGTTAACTCTGAAAACTGAAAAAAGATACCTGAAACCATAGTATGCAAATATTAAAAATCCTACTTAAACATCCTAACAAAGAGAAGCACCTTTTAGGCCAAGGTAGTTTTAACTCAATTCTCCAGATAGTCCAGGTGAAAAACATTTGCCTGGCTTGAATTTCTAGGGAGTTCCACAACTGTGTGCAACAGCAACCCAGTGTGCAAGTCAGGAATCCCCACTGAAGCCTGAGATCTCTGCTGAGAGCTCGCTGTGCATAAGTCCCCGGGCAGGAAACCTTCCCTGAGGCAAAACACCTGATGGTCTGAACCAATTACTTCCCATCTCTGGATTAATAAAACTAGATATGGTTCCTTCTAACTCTAAAAAAGGAAAAAGAAGAAACAGGACAAGAAGCCTAGAAGGTGAAAAAAAACGAAGTAGGTCAGCTAGAGAAACACCAAGTGCTCACGGGATCGCATTGTACATGACTCAAGACTGTCTAAATTTCAAGGTAAAAATGCCATCTTTAATGGAATAAAAAAAGAAAGGGCAATTAGCTATGGTATAATGCCTTACCCTTCAAAAGTTCTGACCATTTGTGTGCAAAAAAAGTGTGGGGAGGGAGGCCTGACTTTCATCCTTACAGTCTGCTTGCCAGCAAGTACCGTGCGGCATGTTAACGATGTGTGGAGGATTGGAAATATCAACAATAATATTAGGTTGCAGTGTCAGTTCTTCTCATGGGAACCTCATTATCCTGAAACAAGCAATAGGTCTGTCAGCAGCTATAAGGGTAGGTTTCTTAAGATCAGCTTCATTATCTTTATAACTTATCAGTCAAAATACATCTAAAAGTTATTTTTTAAAGTATGTTAATGTCCTTGGCTTTGCATGGTGGCTCACGCCTGTAATCCCAGCACTTGGGAGGCTGAGGTGGGCAAATCACTTGAGGCCATGAGTTTTGAGGCCAGCCTGGCCAACATGGTGAAACCCTGTCTCCACTAAAAATAGAAAAATTAGCCAGGTGTGGTGGTGCATGCCTGTAATTCCAGCTACTCGGGAGGCTGAGGCAGGAGAATCGCTTGAACTGAGGTTACAGTGAGCTGAGATTGCACCGCTGCACTCCAGCCTGGGCGACAGAGTAAGACTCCATCTCAAAAAAAAGTAATGTCAAAGGCCTCTTAAGAAGTTCCAGCTTAGTTGTTTTTCTCTGTCAATTGCATATTGACAGAGAAATTTTCCTTAGATAAAGCTACTCCCTTAAACAATGAAAAGCTGATTTTTTAATGTCCCATGTTCTATGAGTGGAACAATCATAATCTTGTCATATATTAAAGTTCAACTGATCATTCTCTTCATTTTTATGGAAGGCTGGTAGCTAAGGGCCCAGGCCCTGGTATGTGGGTGTGAAGAGAGGAAGAGGTTGCTCCTGGGGAGTCAGTTCTGGCTTTTTATTGAAAGCAGCAAAGCTGGTCAGGCAGTCTCTTGTTATTTCTGCTTAAAACTCTTGACTGCTGTTCCAGTCCAGTCATGTCCATCCTGGGTTGCACTGCATCCCTTTCAGTTCCTCTTGGCCCTGCTCTTCTGCTGGTCGCTGTGCTGGGAATGCTCTCCCCCTTCACTTGTCTAAAGCTGACCCATCCCTCACCTCCCCGAAGAAACACCTTCCCAGAGTCCTCATCCCACAGGGAAGTTCCTGCTTCCCACCTCCGCTAGGGGAAGCCCTGTGACCACCCTCTCCTTACATCTGTTACACTTTAATGGAAGAAGAACTTAGAGTCTCCCAAAGGCAAGGAAAACATTTAATGTTGACTGCAGAAGTCCCAGTTCTCATGTAGTGTATAGAAGAGAGAAGGTAATCCATAGACATGTGTTTAATTGAGTAAAATAGAACTGAGGGAGGAGAAGCAGAGCCCAGCCCTGTCCTCAAGGTGTTTCCATAGAAACCGAGTCAGGAGCTGGGCAGTGGGCTCAGCCTGAGACGTCTACAGAATTGCCTTTTTAACTGCCACTCTGAATGTATACAGCATCTGATATGTTTTGGCTCCGTGTCCCCACCCAAATCTTATCTTGAATTGTACATCTGTAATTCCCATGTATTGTGGGAGGGACCTGATGGGAGATAATTTGAATCATGGGGTGGTTTCCCCCATACTGTTCTCGTGGTAGCGAATAAGTCTCACAAGATATGATGGTTTTATCAGGGATTTCCGCTTTTGCATCTTCCTCATTTCTCTTGCCGCCACCATGTAAGAAGTGCCTTTCGACTCCTGCCATGATTCTGAGGCCTCCCCAGCCACGTGGAACTGTAAGTCCAATTAAACCTATTTTTCTTCCCAGTCTTGGATATCAGCAGCATGAAAACGGACCAATACAGCATCCTTCTCTCAGAAGGCCTTTCCTTCACAGGTTCAGAGCATCCCTATATGGTAGGGATGACTGAGAACTGTCCTTGTTTTACAGATGGAAAAATAGAAAACAGAGACCCCCAAGAGGTTGAACAGCTTGCCGAGAATCATGACCAGTTGGGAGGCCAGTTCTGACACCAGAGGTCCTGACGGCCAGGCCAGCACTGTTTTCTGTAGACATGGTATCTTCTAAAAGGCATTTATCATTTTTTTTCCTTTCAGAATTAAATGAAGACTAAACTCCTGTACACGTGTTTGTTGGTAGAGGCCATCACAGAATATGGCCACCATACTGTGATCTGCCAACCCAATTAAGATACTGGCCATGGCTTCTAATTTGTGTTTTACACTGTTCAGACATAAATATTTAAAATTTGTTGCATTGCAATCTGTTTGGTTGTAAAGATTTGACCTATGAAGCAAGAAGTGTTCATGAATGAGGTTTAAGGATGTCAGGGGTGACTCAGAAGGAAACGCGCTAGAACAGCAAGGATCAGGGAAGCAGCGCTTTTCTCTTTGCAAGTCATAAAATACAATGCCTGAAAGAGCTAATAAGCCTTGTTATCTAATCATGTCTAATAATATGCATGTGGCCTTCTGGAATTAAGAGGCAGGGCACACACCCTGGATAATCCAGTAACAAGCCATTTTATAAATGTGGTTGAAAACACAGTCCTAGCTGCCCAGCACCTGGCCCTGGATTACTGTGGAAAATTTGCAGGAGTCCTGTTACCATCCCAGGAACTCTGGTTATCAGGAAGGCCCAGGAAACTTCAGGGAACACTTGCTTTTAAAGATAAGGCAGCAGCTCCTTTTCTCTGCTTAATAACTTGCTTTACTGAATCTCATTCTTTGCACTTAACTTGCACAGGACCTGCTGCATAGCAGGGAAGTCCTTGGATGGCTGAAATCTTCTTCCAGCCAGGTGGGTTGTCAGGCACCCTGGACCAGAGCAGCAGCTCCTCCAGACCCAGCTCCCTTGGTGCCTGGCCTGCAGGAGCCACTGGGTCAGCACTAACTAGCAGATGTTGCCTGCTGCCCTGGGTCCTTTGGTGCTCTCGTGTGGACCTGCAAGGAACTGTCAACCCCATGTTAAGATGACAGAAGTGCCCGTCAGAGGGCTGACAAGGGAGGCCCGGAGGTTCCCAGGCTGGTCTCCAGCAGATCTGCCTCTGGATCCAGTGATCTGTCAGCTATTAGATAGCAGCTGTGTATGCAGACTTGAGCCAGCACAGGGAGAGCAAAACACTGAGGGCCATCAGCAAAGGAGTGAGGCACAGTGACAATCAACCTATGCTAATGAAAGACTGGGGAAGAGAACACTCAGAACCTGAAGCTAGTAATTTAACAAATAGGGAATCTAAAAACCTGAATTTGAAGATTTGCATTGTTATCAGAAGACCACAGCTGCTGGAAACAAAAACCAGAATTTTAAATACCTCCCCAGCATCAAACACGTGAGGCTTAGAAAATCAAATGGTTTACAGTCACGCATTGCTTAATGTCAGGGGTACATTCTGAGAAATGCATCATTAGGTGATTTCGTGGTTGTGCAAGCATCATAGAGTACATACACAAACCTCGATGGCACGGCCTACTGCGTAACTATGCTGTAGAGTACAGCCTGTTGCTTCTGGGCTACAAACCTGGACAGCATGTGACTATACTGAATACTGGAGGCAACTGTGACACAATAATAATCATTTGTGTATCTAAACATAGAAAAGATATGGTAAAAATACCATATTATAATCTTATGGATTAATGTATATATGAGGTCTGTCATTGACCAAAATGTCGTGATGTGGCACACGATTGTATTAAAAAGACAGACAGAGGCTGGTACTTTGGATCCTAGAAAATACTCATTACTCTAGCACTAAATTATTTCTAGAGTTCTGTGCAGGTTCAAATTGTACAAAAATGTGCAATAAAATATTTATGCTAAAATACCCATCTCCTGCCTTCTTATTTGTTTCAATACAAAATCTGATTCCTTTTTAAAAAAGAGCTATTAGGTCAAATGGCTTCTCATTAAAAATAATTCCAAGTTTTTATAAGATTTAAGACAGTAGTCTAGGAAGAAATGAAGTTTCTGTTCAAATATTTCAAATTTTGATCCCTCCGTAGCAAAAATAAACGGATTAAAAATGTCTTTTCAAGGGCAATTGCACTGCCTTGTAAATAAAGGTAGATTTCTAAAGTAACTGTTCATTAGAAGAAAATGAAAGAACCATTAAACTGGAAAATGTCTTACCTTGAGAAGTTGAGGAAATGAACATGTCGAGTGAATAAATAGGGTTGTTCGGCAGTACTTATATTTTTAATCAGTTCCATCTATTAAAAAAAGTAAAAATTAGCATATATAGGATCTAATTTACCAAGCCATATTAAGTTAAAGGTTATGTATCCCACTCTTTTTTTTTTTTTTTTTTTTGAGATGGAGTCTCGCTCTGTCACCCAGGCTGGAGTGCAGTAGCTCGATCTCGGTTCACTGCAAGCTCCGCCTCCCGGGTTCACGCCATTCTCCTGCCTCAGCCTCTCTGAGTAGCTGGGACTACAGGCGCCCGCCACCACGCCCGGCTAATTTTTTGTATTTTTTAGTAGAGACAGGGTTTCACCGTGGTCTCGAACTTCTGACCTCGTGATCCGCCCGCCTCGGCCTCCCAAAGTGCTGGGATTACAAGCGTGAGCCTCCGCGCCTGGCCAATATCCGACTCTTTTTATTCCCACTTATTCCCAGTGGACCAGCGGTATAAGTGCAACATTTATCAAGTTTTACATAAGGCTCCTTAGCGAATAAAACAGTGCTATCCAAATTGATAGTCCTGTGTCTCATTTAGTTGATTGTTACCATGAAAGCAACGTGACAGATTAAGTAATTTTGACTGGAGAAATCAGTGTGTTGCTGTACTAAAATGTAAATAAAAGAATGCCTTCTATCCCTTCCTTTAAAGTCAAATCAAGGAAGGAGGTTAGTCATTATCTTATTCTGTAAATGATATTATTGGGATATACAAAAATATTGAAACAGGTGCTGCAGAATTTAAAAATGGAATAAAATGAGGTACTACTTCATTCTTGTGCTCCTTGACCATGAAATTTATAAGGAAAATATTCTGTAGGAAACACATAAACCCCCAAATGTCTTGGTGTTTTGGTGGGTGGTCATCTGAATTATTTATTTGCAGTTATCAGCAAGGCAAAAAGTAGTTTATATTCGTATAAACTAACTTTTATGGCCTTCTGGAACATGTCATGATACAGAAAATGTTTAGTAAAATCTGTTAGAAATTCCAAGCATTCTTATGACTCCCTAACTTTCTGAACTTCTCTTTCCCTAGTTTTTCTGGTTGGCCCCATCAAAACGAACACACTGTGGAATTTTTTAAAAGCACATTGCAGCTTGCTACTTTGGATGAATGTCAGAAGTGCAACATTTCATGTTTTATGAAATAGTTCAAGTTGAAAAACTGGAAACAAAACCAGTCATTCACATGTGAACCGCAGTAGCAACAAGAACAATAAAATAAGAGTCTGGAACTCCAGGTTTGTCTCAAACATGACAGAAAGCCCAAGTCTGCCTTGTTCCTTCATGTCTAACACAGGGGCTGACACATATATAAGTGCTCGATAAATATTTGTTCAATGAATTAACTCCAACTAGTACACGCTTTATAGATTATTACACTAGGATCTCAGTGTATAAACCTTGTAATTAGATATTCAAGCTCACAACGATTGAAGGAATGAAATTGAATTTTAAAGGTAAATGACTCGCAGTTCATAAACCCTGTGCTTCTGTTAGTCAGTGGCAGGTATGAGTGAATAATGGTCTGTCTGTCCTCAAACCTCAGTATAAAAGGAAATTGAATCCTGCCTCTTTATCTACTGTTTATCCTCGACACACCACCTGCAAGTGCTTGTTTTTGGTAGTAAAACTTCCTGCGTGGTCACGTTGTTCATTTTGATTTTTGATGCATTTACTAATGGAATTACTGGTTTGGAGACATAACCATAGGTAATTTATCTCTGAGGGTGCCTGCTTGGAAAAATAACTCTTGACTGTGTGTATGTTTAATGTAAAGACCATTAACACTTTTATCTCTAGGTTATTTTATTCAGATATTTCTCTGCACACAGAAGAGTCATACAAGAAAGCCCCCTAGTACTGTACAAGAAAACTGGAAGAACAGGTCAGAAGGAAAAACGTTTCTTTCACATATTCCACATTAAATTATATTCTCTAAACACATGTCAATGTGTTAAATTTAATGGAAGAATAGTAGTAGTTAGATTTTGAGAACAGTGTCATAATAGTCATAAAGCTGTCTATTTCAGGAGGAAAAAAATGGATTAGCAGTGACAATGTATAACTCTTTCTAGACGTTATCTTTAAACATAGAATCAAGGTACTAATGCTCGTGTTTATTGTATTAGCACAGTGAAGGCAGAGGGTACATTTCAGCTCTCAGCCGGTTTGATCTTCACAAATTCTAAGACTTTCCTTGTTTTTGGCGACAAGCAGTCATATTCTGAACTCGTTGCTGCCATTGCTTGAGGTCTCTTGCCTGGTCCTCCCCCCATGGCCAGCAGCCTGCCTGTTCCTTCACCTAAATCTTATTTGCAGGAGAGGCATCAGGGGGTGACAATGGCACCACCTAAAATCACCAACGAGCCACCTCTCCTCTCCCTGGCTCATGCGGGACCACTCCTGGCCTTTAGTCTGATTCCATGGCATAAATTCACTCATCATTCATTGAGTACTTATTAGGCACTGGAGATAAAAACACGAATAAGATGGGTGGGAAGACACATGAAGAAGACAGTGGAATATGTCCTAATGGTGCCCTCAAACTCCACCATGGCCACAAACACACTTAATCCTCACCCATCTTTACTCTTTATCCAGCCTCATCCATCTCTGGACAGTCTGGTTCAGGTTACTGGTGCTCGGCATATTCCCACCTTTGATCCAGCTCTTTCCCGGACTCCCATAATTCAATGGTGTGTTGAGCCATGTGAATTCCACCTGTGCTATTTCCCTCAACTGGCTCTCAGGACCACACATGCTGTGGCCAGCCAAATGAGAGCCCTCCTTGTTCCTTCCTCACACTAAAGCCTGACCAAGTCCAAGCTCCAGTTTAAGTTCCCTCTTTCAGAATGTTCTTCTGCTACTCCTTGTGTGTCTAAATACTAACCACTCTTCACCTCTGGCTAAAATATCTACCCCTCCAAGTAGCCTTTCTGGATAGCCCTTTTCATTCAACATCCTTTGATCTCCCCTCTGTATCAGGCAATGTTGCTCAGGGTTATGGCTATAGAGATGATGGATTTGGTTCTTGCTGTTAGGAAGCTGTCAGAGTCTTGTGGGTGAGGTGGACTAAGAGGCAGGTACAATCATGTGATAACCACCATGAGGTAGATGGTAGATAAGTGAAGCACCTCTCTCTACATTCAGATGGAGAGGTAATGCTTCCCCAGGGAGGTTTCCCTCAGTAGTCTGGAAGGGCCTAGAGGAGTTAGCCAGGAAAGAAAGGGATTCATGGCATTGCAAATAATGAAGAGCAGATACAAAAGGCAGAACATAAAATGATACGGCACCAAGGAACTGCAGGAGTTCAGTGTGCCAGAGGTGTTCAGTGATCCGAGATGGGATCAGCAAAGTAGCAGGTGAGACTAGAGAATCAGGTAAGAGTCAGGTAATGGAGGGCACTGCAGATCACAGCAGGAATTCTGACATTTATTCTGTGGGTGATCAACAGCCAGAAAAAATTCTTTTTTCCAGATCTGAGGACAGGGTGGAGAATGTGAAGAAGGGTAAGGATTAGATACAGAAGCACAGCCAGGAAGACTGGGCAATAATCCCAACAGCAAATGACAATGGCATGAACTGAGGTCGTGGTTTTCAGTGTGGTCCCCAGACCTGCAGCATCAGCATCACCCGAGACTTGTTAGAAATGCAAATTCTCAGGATCCGCCCCAGGCCTTCTGAATTAGAAGGAACTCTGGGGGAAGGGGTGCCAGCAGTCTGTGTTTTGCCAAGCCTTCCAAGGGATGCTAAGGCACAAAAGTGTGAGAACCACTGAAATAAGTCAATGTAAGTAAGACAGAAGGGGAGGTTCCGGGAGGGTTAAGGAGGTGACTACCTGCCAATGGAAGGGAGGCAGGGCAAGTGGCCAAGAGAGCTTCCTTCCCAGATTCCTGGCTAGGACAACCAAATACGTGATGGTATCCATTCATGGAGATGGGCAATGCTGGGGGAGGAAAAGATTTGGCTGCAGATAAGGGGGGAAATGGGCTTGGTTTTGAACATGACCTTCCATAGCAGTGCATCTGAAAATTCTTCAGGACATGCACTTTCTACATTACATTGTAGTTGAGTTTGTGCACGAGTCTGAGCTGAAATGTAAATTCTGTGAGGGTTGGGGGCAGGCTTTATCCCCTAGAAAGCCTACTCAAGGTACTTGGACAGAACATACACCCCACAAATATTTATGAAATGAAGCTATCATCTTTAGAAATCCTTTTTGGAGTCAAGAAATGTATAGTTAACTGAAGACAGAATTATCTAGCACTCAGGCTATGAATTTAGCCTTTCTGAGACAGACCCATATGTTCATTATCCTGGTGTCACATGGGGCAAACAGTCTTACCATTATAACATCCAGGACATAACACCATCAAACAGACTCCCATTTTCTGAGTGCACCAAGGTGCTCTTTATACATATGGTGTCATTTAATCCTCACAAGAACCCCATGAATAAGTAATATTATTATTATTATTATTATTATTATTATTATTATTATTTTGAGACAAAGTCTCTGCTGCCCAGGCTGGAGTGCAGTGGACAAGAAACCCACGGATAAGTATTATTATTATTATTATTATTATTATTATTATTATTATTATTTTGAGACGAAGTCTCACTCTGCTGCCCAGGCTGGAGTGCAGTGGCGCAATCTTGGCTCACTGCAACCTCCCCCTCCCAGGTTCAAGCGATTCTCCTGCCCCAGCCTCCCCAGTAGCTGGGATTATAGGCGCCTGCCACCACGCCCAGCTAATTTTTGTATTTTTAGTAGAGACAGGGTTTCACCATGTTGGTCAGGCTGGTCTTGAACTCCTGACCTCAGGTGATCCACCCGCCTTGGCCTGCCAAAGTGCTAGGATTACAGGTGTGAGCCACCGTGCCCAGCCATGGATAAGTATTATTATCCCTACTGTAGAGGTTAAGAAACTGAGGCACAAAAGGCTGCATTGGTTGCTTAAAGCCTTATCCACACAAGAGGTAAAGCCAGGATTGAAATCCAAGTCTTTCCAAACCCTAAATCCTGTTTTTTATTTACTGGCTGCAATCTATTCACCATTCCCACCGAGATTTGATCTATACATAACCTTTCAAAATGGAAGGAACAGATTGGTTAGCACAAAAGTCTGGAGAACAAAGAAGGTTTATGGAATATAAATTTTCTTCTTTTCTTGTGATGTGCTGAAAATTTGAAAGAAAGTTCTAACAGATGGAAAAGCATTATGAAATAATACAAAAATAAAAGCTTTAAAATGCCAGAGATAATACTTTTTAAAAGTTCTAGGTGGGAAAACTGAGTATATATCCTAACAAGAACAGAAAATTAATTTTAAATACTAAAAAAGATAACTATGTAATGAAAGATACCTAAAAGAAAAAAATCAGATCACAGCATATCAGTAAGTAATTCCTAATCTTTTGCTTTCAACCTGACTGGCTGGGATGGTGCAGCAGAAAACCTTTACCTGCAGTTCTACCAACACAGTCAGACTTTGCTCCTGACTTCTTGGCAAATATTTGTCAGCAGAGGCGGTATCTAACCCTACGTGGTTCATAAGTGAATTCTGTGTCACTCATGAACACCTAGACGTCTTACAATTTTGCAAAGCATTTTACAGAAAGGACATGTTTTTAACATATCAAAGCAAAATAAGGAGTAGCTCACAGGAAGAGCCTTGGCCCTTGAACCTCAGAGCCTGGGAAGATGGCTGGAGGCTCCGGTGACCCTTCCCTCTTCCCACAGTATGGGGTAGCCCTTGTAAGCAGGAGGCAGGATGGCCTGCGGGAAGCAGTCAGCGCAACACACGCCTGCAATGAAGAAGAAGTCCACCAGGGGGAGCAATGACATGATCAAGGCAAAGAGCCTGGGTCTCAATTACAGAGAAAATCTCATGGCTGCAACTGGAAGGAAAGGAAAAACTTATTTTATTTTTGCAGGCCTTGCTGCTTCTTCCTTGTTTTTCTTTTTTTTTTTTCCACCAAGTTTCTATTAGCGGACTCAGTTTCTGTGTGTAGGGCTCCAAGACTAGACGTCTGCAGGGCTGTGTGAACTAATCCCTGTGGCATGGAAAGGGACCAGGCTCCTCTCTTTGGTTTGACTCTAAGGTCCAGTTGGAGCACTCTCATGCCTGTGGACACTGTCCCCACTCCTATAAAGTCGGGAAGTTCTGACGGTCATTCTAAGCGAGGCTTTTCCAAAACATGTCAAGCCAGAGAAAGGTTCCTGGGATAAAGAGAGAGGCTCATGAGGAGACAACACTTCATAAATCTTCAGGGACGCATGGAGTCTTCAGGGGTTTGAGAGAGTCTCAGGTGACAGCGGGATTTTCCTAGCGTAGTAAAGGATTCACTTCAATAAAAGGAAAACTTTCTAATAATCAGAGGCTTTTGTGAAATCATTCCTTGCTAGGGCTGTGCGTGAGGACCTCTTCGGGAGTTTTTCCCCTGCAAAATACAAATAACTTTGGCTCTGCCTTTACAAGTTTAGCTCTGTATTTTGCAGTGGGACCTGAATACACATATTGTGAGAACGCTCCCCAGCAGATTTTGGTGCCTATCGTGATTAAGAACAATTTTTTATTAACCCATGTATGCCTAGTGTTCCATTATTGGAACGCTAAGCATGTGGGAGTTATTTACATCCTACTGCTCAAGGTCATTGCCAAGGTCTGATTGCAAAAATTTAAAAAAATTGCTACCTCAGGCATAAATGGAATAGCTTCCCACTGTCTACAGAAGAAAGTTCCAACTCCGAAGCCCAGCATTTAAAGTTCGGGATTTGACCCCCGTTTGCTTTCAAGTCTTATTCTCCCACATTATTCTTAATTTACACTATATTTTAATCAGATTCCTGTACACACTTATTCCTCCTTCTAACATGGGGCAATAATGCTTTCCTAACAATGTTGCCTCGAGGATTAGAAATAGGGTGCACTAATATCTAGTGGGCTGTCTGGGGTTTAATACGCACATTAATACTAGGTTCTCAATAAATATTCATCAAAGTGAATGAACAAAAAACAGAGAAATCTGCTGTAAAAATGAATGAGTGCACCTTTTTTTTTTTTTTTTTTTTTTTTTTTTTGGGATGGAGTCTCGCTCTGTCGCCCAGGCTAGAGTGCAGTGGCGCAATCTCGGCTCACTGCAAGCTCCACCTCCCAGGTTCAGGCCATTATCCTGCCTCAGCCTCCCAAGTAGTTGGGACTACAGGCACCCGCCACCACGCCCGGCTAATTTTTTGTATTTTGTTTAGTAGAGACAGGGTTTCACCATGTTAGCCAGGATGGTCTTGATCTCCTGACCTCGTGATCCGCCCGCCTCAGCCTCCCAAAGTGCTGAGATTACAGGTATGAGCCACCGCACCCGGCCTTTTTTTTTTTTTTTTTTTGAGATGGAGTCTTGCTCTGTCGCCCAGGCTGGAGTGCAGTCGTGCAACTTCGGCTCACTGCAACCTCTGCCTCCTGGGTTCAAGTGATTCTCTTCCCTCAGCCTCCTGAGTAGCTGGGATTACAGGCGTGCACCACCACGCCCATCTAATTTTTGTGTTTTTAGTAGAGACAGGGTTTCACCATGTTGGCCAGGCTGGTCTCGAACTCCTGACCTCAGGTGATCCACCGCCTCGGCCTCCCAGAGTGCTGGGATTACAGGCGTGAGCCACCATGCCTGGCCCACCTTCTTGATTAAACAGAGGCCCGATTAACCATGCCTTAGGGATCCCTGTAGCCTGTAGACTTTTACAAACTTAACATGATTTTTTTAGGTGAGTTGGGTTTTTTCCCCCTAAGTCTCACTGCTTTCTAGCCACCATTCAGACTTGAAACTTGCAGGGGGCAAGAGCAACAGGAGAGGGAAATTTAAAATATTGTAAGGAAATAGTGTTTTGATAAGGAAGCTAAAGCTATCTAGGGCACATGGGCATAGGATCTCTCTCTCCTCCACCCTTTATATAACTCTTCAAGGTTTTAATAATTTGAATAGCTGTTGGAGGGTCAGAACAGATGTTACGTTTATAGTGATATAGTAGCCTTTACTGTTACAACTGGTGGGAGGATGTGGACTTGCCTAGTATTTCACAGACAATGAACTGGAGTTCTGCAGAATGCAAATGAGTCACAAACACTCATTAAGACTCCCCTGAACAATGAAGACTGCAAAAACGCTAGGTGAAATCCAGTCAAACAGTTTGTTTGCAGTTTTGTTTTTAATTTTCGAAGTCTTCAAAATGCGAATAATCATCGTGAATTGATTCATTCGGGACAAGGCACGCAACATTTACCAAATTTATTGAACCATAATATTTTTTTTCTTTCAATGTCTTAGAGGACTAGGATTCTCAGGAACATACCTAGGGCAATGCTGGTATGATGATTTCGACAGAGCTTCTTAACCCTGGCTGCATCATAAAATCTCTTGTGACACTTCATTAAAGAAAAAGTTTTCTGGGCTCTACCCCAGAATCTCCAGGAGAAGGGCCACTGCAACTCTAGGTTTTAAAAGGCTCTGCTGAGATTCTGCTATCCAGCTAGAGGAGATAAACACTGCATGATGAGAATGGCTTTTGGATTAAGGAAGGCCTAGGTTCAAGGCCAAGAGCCACTGATAGTCATTACAATGTATTTGGAAAGTTACAATCTGATTGTCTTAGGTGTCTCACCCATAAAACAGGGAATCATACCCACTCAGTAGTATATTTTTAGGTCCAAAAAGTTCAATGAAACAATGAAGAAAAACAATGCAGGTTGTAGGTGCTGTATCCAACACGTAATCCTCAGTTTCAACAGAAATAGAAATAGTAAAATTATGTGCCTTCTCAATATGCTGGTAACTTTTGCTTTTCTTTAAAGAGAATGAAAGTAATTATGGATTCTCATAGTTGTAATACACCTGCAGCACTCTGACCTTTCTTGTATTTAGAGCAATGCTCAGAAAGATGGTGTCACCTCTTAACCAAAGATGGTTATGTGTTTTTTTGGCAATCACATGCCATGTCTTCTGGGGAAAAAAATTCCCTATTTTTCAAAGCTGTATATAATCTCCATTTTTCAAGAGATAATTTAAGCCAGCTTAAGACCTGAAATCTAGTTTTAGGGCATAAATGCAATGATGTCATCACAGGTTTGCATGATGAGCTGTGCGAAAGTCCAACACTTGCCCAGCAGCCATTGCCCATGCTCTGCTGTTGAGGTGATATTTCCCAAAATATGAACTTCAAAGGTATTTCTATTTTTATAAGGACAGATGTAGTGGGATTTTTATAGGCATTCTAACATTTGGTGTCTTCACACTCCCTTTCCTTTTTAATAATCCCTTCAGTGTCTTGTTCCATTTAATAGATTTAAAAAATTTAGCTCTGTGTGTGTGTGTGTGTGTGTGTGTGTGTGTGTGTGTGTATGATCACAACTACCCTCCAGAGAGCAATGCATGTGTGAATTTGACTGTGGCCCAGAGAGGTGCCTTTTTGTATGAATGAAATGGAATAGATAATCTGGTCTTAGAAATGGATAATATTCCAAAGTTCATTTGTAAGTCAGTAGTTTGAAACTTGGAGCACATTTTCTCATAAAAGAAATTCTCTACACGGTGGATAAAGTCCCAGGCCAGCCCACAAGAGCCTGTTTAAGTCATACTGCACCTGAAGTGGAATTGTTATTAACTCTAGAGGACAATGATTCTATGGGAACAAATTTTCAGAATTCTACCATTTATAGGTGAGAACAACTGACTACAATTTCCACTAGTCTTCTAAACCATTTCCCCCTTCATTCCTCTAATAAATTACCAAAAAAGGAGCTATTCATACCACAAATTATTTCTTGAATATATATTAAAATAATATTTTTTCTGTTTATGCACGTTGAAACTTTAATAAAAGCAATACAAGGACAAAAAAAGTGTTTCTCTAAATGTTGTTGAACTTCAAACTGGGTTTCTTGTCCTTTTATTTCCTGGCTTCTCTCTCTGCATGCCAGAGCCAGATGGCTGCGGAGAGGTAATAGTTACTGTTATTATGTTTGTTTTCACATTAAAATTATATATTTGTTTTTTCTACCTTATCTTTACCTTTGCCATGCGTTTTTAAAACTGCCTTACAATTTAATAGAAATCTGGAATAATGAAGTTATGAAATATATTCTAGGTCACTTTGACCACAGGAATCAGAAATGTTTCAACTACACAATACACAGATTATGCTAGAAGTTGTACAAATATATCACAGAATCACAGGGCTGGAAAGAATCTTAAAAGACTGTCTAGTCTCTTCTCTGGCTTCCAGACAAGCCAACCATTCCAAACAGATGAGAGCTAGCCTATATTTTAGAAGAGAAGGAAGACTTTGTCTTTAACCCTTTCTGGATCTAACAATCTATACATGGTTAGTAAATTGCTGTTAATTTTTATTCTAAATTATTCCATTCATAGTTACAAGTGTATTTTACTTTTTCATGTTTGCTCCTCATAGGAAACAAACTAGGTTGATCTCTATAAAATCCCAAGGCACATTTAAATACTGTACTTTGTGTTCTTTCTTCTAACAATTCCTGAACATCCCAATGTCTAATCCTTGAGTTACTTTTGTCCTGCTCTCTGCAGGTAGTTTGTTGTCTCTCCTGCAGTGGGAACTAAAATCTAGCAACTGTGTTTTATGAGGCATCTGGGAACTGAGTATGATGATATTATATTTAAGTGTAATCCCATAGATAAGCAGGCCATAAGAGTTAGATTCAAAAGAACACCAAATTTAATAATTATAATAAAATTGCAATAATGTATTTATTTATAATTCCTTTCTTTCAGGCAGTTAAAAAGGCATCACCAGCCTAATCACATTAGCTCTTCAATCAAGTAAGGTAATCAAAGAGAACCTGCCCCTACTGTATGTACAATCTTATACATAAAATGCAATATCCTTAAATGCCACCAAAGATCATTCTTTTCTTTGGAGACCCTAATATGGAACCTACAAGGTATAACCTTAAAATATTTTTTGCTGATTGGTAATGATTCTTTAACTATTCGTGCTGGTAATGGCTATTTAAACTTGATACTGAGTGATTTTTTAATGGAAGTTTGCAAAGGAGTGGGCAATTTGATCTCTGTATTATAAAAGACACAAAACATAGTGGCTTTAGAACAAGTATGGTTGGCTATGTTACTGTCTTAAAACAGTTCTACTTTCCCCCAAGATAAAATGGAAATACGCAATTGGTAAATTAAGAATGAGATTCCCTCTGTTTGTGAGGTTCTGAATGTTTCAAAGCTGGAGATTATGTCCAAAGAAAATGGACATGGATGGAAATTTATTTATTTATTTTTTTATTTACTTATTTATTATTTATTTATTGAGACAAAGTCTCGCTCTGTCTCCAGGCTGGAGTGCAGTGGTGCAATCTTGACTCACTGCAACCTCTGCCTTCTGGGTTCAAGTGATTCTCCTGCCTCCGCCTCCCGAATAGCTGGGACTACAGGCACGTGCCACCATGCCCAGCTAATTTTTTTGTATTTTTAGTAGAGACGCAGTTTCACCATGTTGGCCAGGATAGTCTCAATCCTGGCCTTGATCTCGATCCTCAGGCTCCCAAAGTGCTGGGATTACAGGCATGAGGAAATTTTTATAATGATGATCTCAACCTGATAGTGAGCCATGTTCCTTGTTTCTTCCCAACATGCAGGTACCACTCATTGGGTGGCTGCTCATCCTATGTATGTAAGGGGACAGAAGCCAGTTTCTGAGACCAGGATGACAAACCCAACTCTGTAAAATGACCATGAGAACACTCTATCTGACTTTTCTACATTAGCAAAGCACCCCCACAGAGACTGTTGCCCTTACCTCTATACAGGTTTGCAAAGTAAACCTTCATAGCTTCTTGGTAGAGGACAGCACTCCCATCCTACCATCAGCACGTCCACTTGTACAGCTCAGCTACACTAGGGCAAAATTGTTCCTGTGAAGTGGGGTCATTCTTTTCCTACCACTGAACATTCCAAATGCTGCTCTCAAAGCCTAAGATCCTCTGAGTTTCCCATAGCAGGAAGCTCATGTCCCCCATCAACCAATACAACCATAAAGATCCTGGACATTGGTGAGAAAATGAAGAGGGAAGAATATTAAAATAAAATCTTCTCATTTTGATGGTGAAGATGTCAGCATTATTTATAGCTCGGTGGTATGACTCTTTGAGATGTATATATCGCTAATTTTAGCTAACTAGACAAGGGCAAGTACATACAGTCCTTCATCAGTCCTAATGGAAGTATCCCTTCATGGATATTCCCTGGTTTATAGAGTTCTTATGGAACCCTTAACTTAAATTTCCTTCCACACTCTGGCAAAAATACAGCATGAAATCAAAACTCTGGTATTCACTCATCAGGAGTCTGAAGGATGACCTGTAAGGCACCCACTAGTTACACAAATGAGCTGAAGCAAAACACAATTTAACAATGTGCAAAGTCAACTTACTTGTTCATTTTTAGTAAGCCTGGTTTTGTTGTGAATGTCTGATGTGACCAAATTAAATCCGTGCTTCTCCGACAAGATTCTCAGAAGCAAGACCACAGTACGGCTCCCACACTTGCCTACCCTGTTGTACACCACCTGGCTTGGGAAAGGTAGTACCTGGGAAAAAAACCAAGAGAACAAACATGAAACGTCTGTATGGAAATACTTAGGATTCTTCCCTCAATTTCAGAACAATAACTGTTTCATATAATAAATCTGAGTGAAAAAGGCCTATAATCAGATTAATAAAAAGGATGTATATCAGTTCATCAGAAGTGATAAACTATATTTATCTTCATGATATAACAAGAGAAATGTTGGTCTTCTTAACTCTCTGCACTGATGAAATTTCAGGCAGTCTCTAAGATTGATTATCAAACTTGTTTTGTTTCTTTTTAAAAACAAAATACATAAATATGTTCCTTAATGACAATATTTTTTGCTATTATGCTTTATCAGAACAACTTAATTTACAGAGTGATCAAGAAGTGGAGTGGAATTCCAGAACTCTTAAAATGCAATAATAGAAAGACAATTTGTAAATGGATGATGGATTTGAATAGATATTTCTCCAAAGAAAATATACAAATGGCCAACAAGCACATGAAAAAATGCTCAACATCATTAGTCACAGGGAAATGCAAATCAAAATCGCAATGAGATACCACTTCACAGCCATGAGGATGGGTATAATAAACAACCAAGAAGACAGTAACAGGTCAGGAGTGGAGTGGAATTGCTGGATCATATGGTAACCGTAGGTTTAATTTTTTGAAGGACTGCTAAACCATTTTCAATACAGCTATACTATTTTATATTCCTACCAACAACATATGAGGGTTCCAATTTCTGCACATCCTTGCCAACACTTGTTATTGATATATATGTATTTTTTTATTTTTTTAGACAGGGTCTCACTCTTCTGCCCAGGCTGGAGTGCAGTGGCATGATCCTGGGCTCACCAACCTCCGTCTCCCGGGCTCATGCGATCCTCCCACCTTAGCTTCCCGAGTAGCTGGGACTACAGGCACACACCACGACTGGCTAATTTTTGTAATTTTTTTTTTTTTTGGTAGAGACAGGGTTTCACCATGTTGCCCAAGCTGGTCTCAAACTCCTGAGCTCAAGCAATCTGCTGGCCTCGGCCTCCCAAAGTGCTGGGATTACAGGCATGAGCCACCATGCCTGACCTGTTACTGTCTTTTTGGTTGTTTATTATACCCATCCTCGTTGCTGTGAAGTGGTATCTCGTTGTGATTTCGATTTGCATTTCCCTGTGACTAATGATGTTGAGCATTTTTTCATGTGCTTATTGGCCATTTGTATATTTTCTTTGGAGAAATGTCTATTCAAATCCATCATCCATTTACAAATTGTCTTTTTATTATTGCATTTTAAGAGTTCCATATATATATTCTGGATTTGCAAATACATAATCTACAAATATTTTCTCCCATCCTGTAAGTTGTCTTTTCATTTTCTTTATGGTGTCCTTTGAAGCACAGAAGTTTTTCATTTTGACTGAGTCCAATTTATCTAAATTTTCTCTGGTTGTTTTGGTTTTGGTGTCATATCTAAGAAACTATTGCCTAATCTAAGATCGTAAAGATATACATTTATGTTTCCTCCTGAGAGTTTTATAGCTTTATTTCTAACATTTAGGTATTTGATCCATTTTAAGTTACTTTTGTGTGTGGTGTGAGTTAGTTGTCTAACTTCATTCTTCTGCATGCAAATATCCAATTGTCACAGCACCATTTGTTGAAAAGACTCCTCTTTCTATTCTTTCCCCACTTAGCTGTTTAGTACCCTTGTCAAAAATTCACTAACCATAAGTGTATTTGGGGTCATTATTATTTCTGGATTCTCAATTCTATTCCCTTAATCTATATGTTTATACTCATGTCAGTACCACACAGTCTTATTATAGCTTTGTTCTAAGTTTTTAAATTGGGAAGGGAAGGGTAAGTCCCTCCAACTTTGTTCTTCCTTTTCAAGATTGTTTTTGGCTACTCTGTGTCCTTTGCATTTCCATGTGAACTTTAGGGTCAGCTTGCTAATATCTGCCCAAAAAAGTAGTTGAGATTATGATAAGGACTGCATTGAATCTGTAGATAAATTTGATTACGACAGCCACCTTAACAATATTGTCTTCCAATCCATGAACATGGATGTCTTCCTATTTATTTAGTTCTCCTTTAATTCGTTTCTTTGATGTTTTGTTGTTTTCATTGCTCATGCCTTATACTGCTGTTGTTGAATTTATTCTTTTTGATGTCATTATAAATAGAATTCTTCTCTTAGTTTCATTTTGGACTGATTGGTAAAAATACGATTGATTTTTCTATATTGATCTTATATTCCACAATCTTGCTGAACTCATTTATTAATTCCAATAGTTTTTTTGTGTGGATTCTTTAGGATTTTCTATAATAAGATCATGCTATGTGCAAACAGAGAAGTTTTACTTCTTCCTTTCCAATATGAATGTCTTTCCTTTCTTTTTCCTTTCTAATTGCCTAGTGGACAATGATTTTTATATACTATTATCTACTTCTTATCTTGATATACTACTGTTTATCTATTTTGATATAATATTATATACTATTTATACTATTATCTACTTTATTATATATTTTTCATAGCTATTATGAAAAGCATCTATGATTAATCATTTTTATCTGCAATAAAGATATTTCTCCATTTTGAATGCTCAGCATTGATCAACAACTGACAATAATCAAAGGATTCCTTCATTCAGCACATACTCATAACAGAAGGTCATTTTAAAAAGCTCAAAACTAAATAATAAAGCACAGTAGAAAATCATAAATACACTGCAAACATAAATATATTATGGTAGGTCATTTGAATTTTTGCCTTTGCAATTATAGGTTAATTTAATTTTCCTGAAATATTTGTATGCAGGGTAGCATTTAATAAATTTGAAGCTTAAAGGCTAGTTGTCACTGGAATAAAATATAATATCTATATCATTCACTTAACAACCAGTCACATGCCATTTTGGTGCAATTTTTCCATTATGTATTTTTTTCTTATGAGTAATACCTTGTTTCTTGAGGGCCAGTCTACTATGTGTCCTCACAGTGCCTAGAATGTGCTTTGTACATAAAGAGCCTAAACAGACACTGAATGAGCCCTAACTGCTCTGAGGAATTTAATGTGCTGCTTAACACTAATTAACACAACAATTTCACTAAAATGTGAAACCAAGAGAATCTTCAAATACAGCTGCTTTATCTGACCAAATGCTATTTGAAGTCATCAGAGAAAATAAAAAGATGGTCATTTTAATAGGTCATTGTTACTTATGGTTTAATCAGTGAGTACTTCAAAAGCCTGTTCATTGGCAACAATTACAGAAGTCCAGATATTCAGAAAAATAAATTACATTCTTGGCTACAAGGTTATGATCAGGAAGGTTGAATTAGGTTTCATGTTTAGTTTAATGGTACAAATAGCATTTATAAGTTGGAGTTTCCATTACAACCAGGCTGGGGTATGAAATTATGGCTACGACAGAGCTGCCAACATAAACTCAGAGTTTAATTCCTCCATAGAAACAAACTGTCCAACAATTGGGATAGGTGCATTTTTTCCCGTCTCATAGCACATTACGGAATAGCAAGGAAGAATGTGTTACATCTGAATTAATGACCTAGAAGATGGGAGTTACCACATAGGTAAGTACTTTATTACAAGAGTACAGGTGCCTCTTGGACAGTTTAAGTGAATAACTGAGGCACTTACCTAGAAAACTTAGGTGAAATCACTTAATTTCTCCTGAATTGTTTGGGTAATCAGCACAGTAGCAGGCTTAGTATCTATCTGATTCTTTTTACTAATAACCAAAGATGTTATTTACCTTTAGGCTATTGGGTAATTCATTTTTTAAAAGATGTTAATTCTAATTGTTTTATTAGTTTGTGGCAAGCTTCCAACTAATAGTTTGAAAGTTTGTTATTTAAAAAGAACGCGTCTATAAGAACAAAACATCCTGTGTCATTTCTGCAGCTGGGTCTACGATAATAACTTGAGATAAAGGAGGGCTTAACATCCTCACAGTGACGGTACTTCTATCATTTCTCTAAATACCAATACACACCTACATGATATGAACATAAAAGCAGGAAATGTGTTTTCACTAAAATTTCTGGAATCAGCCTTGTGAGTTTTAAAGACACCTAATGCACTACCACAAACGTAAGTAAACCTGTCTGAAATTTAGGGTGGGGTTTTTAATCATTTTCTAAAAGAACCTATGTAATGCATTGAAACTTGCCGAATTAAGCAGCTAAATCAATGTGTAGATGTTGGATACAGTGTTAACAAGAAGCAGATTCCTCCTGTTCCTGGTAGAACTATAGATTTGTTTCTGATGGCCAGGCATGGTGGCTCATACCTGTAATCCCACCACTTTGGGAGGCTGAGGTGGGTGGATCACCTGAGGTCAGGAGTTCGAGACCAGCCTGGCCAACACGGTGAAACACTGTCTCTACTAAAAATACAAAATTAGCTAGGAGTGGTGGCAGGTGCCTGTAGTCCCAGCTACTCAGGAGGCTGAGGCAGGAGAATCGCTTGAAGCCGAGAGGCAGAGATTGCAGTGAGCTGAGATCGCGCCATTGCACTTCAGCCTGGGTGACAGAGTGATACTTAGTCTCAAAAAAATAAAAATAAATAAACAAAAAGAAAATAAGATAGATTTGTTTCTGAAGGTCTGCTTTAAAAATGTTCATCACCTTTTATTTGAAATGCACTTTCTGGAAAGATGGCAAAAAAAAAAAAAAAAAAAAAAAAAAAAGGACTGATTTTTAAGGAGGGAGGGACTGACCCTGTCCTAGGTTCTGTGACATGTAAACCCTTTTCATCCTTGTTTAACAATACAGAATGAAACAGCATAACTGTCTTTTACTCTGGCTGTGCATTTCTCTAAGAGTGTAAATTATCAAATGGCTTAAGTATCATTAGTAGCATCCAAGTAACTCCCTCTGTGTGCCCCCCATACTCCCCGTGGATCACAGATTCCTAACATAATGGAGTTTGAGGTCCAGAAGCAATTTAGAATAATTCATCCATTCAACACCCCCTAGCCACAACTATCACCCTCTATCACCCCCATCTCCAGCCCAATCTGTGTTTGATTTGGATGAAATTTTCCTTTACACTATGTAGATATTACAACTATTTTTACATGAGTAAACTGAAGCCCAGAAATATCATTTGGCATCTTCAAGGTCACAAAGCTAGAGTGACACATAACCACGAAAGCCCAGCTCTCGGCTCTCCTGACTCCTAAGATGACACTTCTTTAATATACAAATCAAATAGTGAAGAGAATTTTTAGTTTGACTTCTGTGACAGAGATCCTCTTTCCTTTTTTATGTCTTGCATGTATCCAACCTCATTGAATACACTGTTTTTCAACAGTCGGCGATCACAACCAGTATCATCAGCCATTACTCAGCCATGACTCAAGTCCCCAGAAGGCTTAAGTGGAACTGACAGGAGCAGATTAGCCTCTCTCTCCTTCCTAAGGACTCTTTCTAGAAAGCTAATGGAAGCCCAGAGTGTCAACGCAGCTAATTGGAGAAGAAGGTGGCAGGATGTATACTTTTCCCTTCCCTCCTTCCCCTGATATATCACAGGCGGTCAAAGTAGACAGCTGCCTCAAATATTGTCAACTGCTTCCACTGGGAAAGGAAAAAACCAAGAAGCAGTAAGTTATAGTAAAATGTATACAAAATCCTAAGTATATTTGGAATGTCTATCAGGACAAGCAAATGCCCTCAAATGATAAACTCAATCACTGTGAAAAGACTTTTAAAGACCTCTTAGGATCAATCTCGAAATCTTCATTATCCTTAACAGATACTTGCAATTGTCAGGCCGAGAACTCTATCCTCTACTTTAATGTTCCTATTATCATTTGCACAGAGAGTTTGAATGCTCACTCTTTCTTTAGGTGCCCTATAGAGAAGTACACATGAAACTCCTCAAGCACCCTCTCCCTCCCCCAAGTGATTCTTCATTCTTGGCAACTGCGGTTATATGAATGTTATGTCTGTGATTTCTATTTTATGGCCAATTTGTAAAAGTGAAGGGGCCTCCAAAATCTTTCATTCTATGAATTATATATTTTTATGCTGCCTGCCTTGTAAGTTCTGCAAATGCCACAAATCCCCAGAGCCTGACAGGCCTGTGTGGAGCGTGCCAGATAAACAGAAATCTTTCCAAGATCCTGAGCACGACAGGAACCACCACCAGATGACATCCACAAGTTCAATAGCTTAGCCCTGGTTTGAAATGGGGAGAAGAGAAGGAAGGCTTTCTAGGTAAAAAGTAAATGTGGTCTGGACCAAGACTTTCATAGTCTATGAGACCCAGAGTCTATAGAGCTCTTCTGGGGATTGGTAATGTTGGAAGAATTAACATCAGTGCTGCTTTTAATTCTCTGCAAAATGATACTTAATATAGTACAAGCTGTGGTTCGCAAATAACTGTATATTCAAATTCCTCACAGAACTTTTAAAAATGCAGATTTCTGGGCCACACTCTAAGACGAACTGAATCACAGTCTAGGATGAGAGTCAGGAGTCTCTCTCTAAAAAGCTCACCAGGGCCCTCTGCCAACTCCATCAGCTTTGAGGAAGTGCTGTCACAGAGGACTCCCAGCTTTCTGTATTAAGTGGCTGAGTGGGTCCTTGAAGCCTTCTGAGGGATTAAGGCTGGGGAGAAGGTTGCCTGCGTGATCCTGGAGAGGAGTTGGGGCGAAGGGCACTGTTGTGTCTTCCTGGGGTCTCATTGTGTGTTGATGAGCTCCACTCACATTTACCAGTCATAATTAACCTCATAAGTATGCTCACACTCTCCCAGGCTAGTTAGAGAACAGGTGTGCTGGTTAACTGAATGTGTAGGTTAACTGAAATTTATACTGAATGTTGTTAAAGCATTAGACCCTTAGCATGAATATTATACTGACTGTGAAATGACTTTGCTTGACGAATAAAACTGCAGTTCATGATTTTTCAGCAACTCCATTTCATGGTTAATCAAACTAACACTTGAAAGAGTCACAGCCAGGGCTGTGCAAGGCCTGAATTCAGGGACAATTCTGTTCCTCACTGTCCATAGGACTGTGAGCAGTTTAAATCCACTCAGCAAATCCTCATGTTAAAGTTCCTAGGACACTGTGGTGCTAGAAGCCAGTCACTTCACACCCTTGAGCCCCAGTTTCCTCACTTATAAAAAGGGGAAAGTTAGGTTATAACCCAATAAATGATATTTTCTTCTGAAGCTATTAAATTAATTTCAGTCCATATTGCTACCAAGATATAATCTGGAAAACGCCTTAAAAGTTAAAACTAGATTTTACCGTGTTTCCTTGTTTGTGGAATATATTCATTAAAGAAACAGAAAAAACAAAGTTCCAGTAATTTGTGCTGATGACATGGGTTCCAACTCCATAGGCGTTCCCAGTTTTATTTTGGACACCTTGGCTGTCCTATTCTTGTTTGGGCTTGTCCCATAATAAATCTACCTTTATCTTCCTTTTATCTTTCTCTTCCTTTCCACAGTTTTAATCATTTCAAGCTTCCCATTTTGAGATCATCGCCAAAGCCTCCCAGAACTCGGCAGTGATTCTCACTGGCCTTTGCCCATCAAACCATCTGAGCCACACACATCTGTTTTCTAATTACCATCATCTCTTCTGCTCCCAGTCTCCTTTCCTCCATTCTAGGGGAGGAAATACACAGAACCGATCTCAGAATTCTATTTCCCCTCATTGCAATCCTCCTGAACAGAAGGCTCTTTCCATCCACAACTCTCAAATGACATCCTGCGTGCTTCTCATTATTCAAGCCCATCTTCTCCAAGAGCTATGCCAAATCTGAACCTTTGGCTTTCTTCTCTTCCCCTGTTCCCACTTGAAACAATTCCATGTGTAATGCTACCTACAGAAAAATAAATATAGCCATAGATCATTTACAAGTCCATCTGGGTCTATCTGTTATGTGCATAGTGGATAATTAATAAAAATAATCTATCTGTTATGTATATAGTGGATAATTAATAAAGAGTATAGACTAGACTATTGGGATGAAAATACGATTATAGTAAGTGCTGTAGAACCAATGCTGTCATATTTATTATTATAAAGGATGCTCTTTCAGTTATCTCTTAAAACTATAAGAAAATCTACCAATTTTTTCTTAACATTCATAATATTTTGAAACCCCTGATTTGCTACGTTACAGAAGAAAAAGTATGTTGAAGTCGAAGGTTCCCTGGACTGAAAGTTATGAAACTCTGGCATTCCCCTTGGCTTTATCACTCTAAGTAGTTGAGTGACATGAGCAAATGATCCTGAACAACTTCTCTAAGTCAAAGTTTCCTCAAAGTATAGAATGAGGGCACTGAACCTAATGATTCCCAAGGCTCCTCCCTGTCCATGTGCCATATGTTAACCGAGGGCTACACAATACTTAGGGATGACCACAGGGTTATCTGAGTGGCATCCTGCACTTCTAAATATTAATTCCATTCTGTATACCTAATGTCCTGTTATCTCCATAACGCACATCATCACTATGCTATTCCCAGAACACAATAGCCTGCATGCTGTACCAGAATTTTCATACAAAGAAGCAATTTTCACAAGGAGCCATAAGTCATTTTCTAGATGTAATGATTAAGCTACCATAGTTGGATCCTTGAAGAGTGCTTCAGGAAAAAAATACAAGACTTCCAGTTTGAGCAGGAACTCAAATTTCAGGTGACACTGGTGAATGCTATCAATGCCATAGACCAAAAGATGAATATTTTCAAATTTCAAATTAACAAATATGAAAAAAATATACATATGAGGAACAAAGAGATTCACTTTTAATGCCACAGTACCCTTTAAGCTTCTGTGGTCAGTACACAAATAATAGGCAAAAAGCAGCCATAAACTGGGTATCTCATTACCACAGAATGTTACAGTTTCCTTTTTTTTGAGACGAGGTCTTGCTCTGTTGCCCAGGCTGGAGTGCAGGAGCACAATCTTGGTTCATTGCTACCTCTGCTTCTCAGCCTCCAGTGATTCTCATTCCTCAGCCTCCTGAACAGCTAGGATTACAGGCACACAGCATCATGCCTGGCTAATTTTTGTATTTTTATTACAGACAGGATTTCACCCTGTTGGCCAGGCTGGTCTCGAACTCCTGGCCTCAAGTGATTCACCTGCCTCGGCTTCTGAAAGCGCTGGGATTACAGGCATGAGGCACCGCGCTCGGCCAAAAATGTTACAGTTTCTAAAATTCAAACTGCAGTTGGGTCCATAGGAATCCATGGAATACTTGTATGTTTGACAGAAAGAGAAATGAAATCCACATGCCACACACATGAAATGTAAGCACAATGGGAGAGTGCAAGTTTGCGAGGCTAAACCTTCCTGAAGGCATATTTCCAAGTGGGACTTGTCTTCCTTTTGCATACACAAGGTAGCCCTACTGCACTTGTGCTTGGCGGCTTCTGTCCACTCTTCTAAGAGGCCTTTCAACTTCTCTATGGCTTTTATGATCAAAATTAAGTGGAGAAACCCACGTGGATGTGGAAGTCCTGTTTAACCTCATCTTCCCGTGAACATCTGTTATGCATGTGGATGTACCCTGTATGTTTTTGTTGTGCTCAAAAACATTATGAGTAATATTGTTGCAGTCACATCAGACTTGTAGCCATTTCTAACACTTTCTTACATGCTATGTATTCAGTCGTCCAAAAGTCCTTATTAGACAAACTCTGAGGATGAAAGTAGGAGGGTTCTCAAATTAGTTCTAGTTTGCAGTTGTTCCATTTTTAGTATTAATCAATTCGATTGGCTTTTTACATTAACTTTTGGACCAGAGTACGGAATTACAAAAATGCGTTTGGATAGATAATCTCTCCACTAGACCCACACACTTAATTTGACTCTCCATTCAGATCTGTAATACATTTTTGTTTAATCACACAAATCTCCAAATAAAACATGCATAGACACTTTTGTTTATACAGACTTCTAAGGTTTAAGAGTCTGCTCTAAAGCTAAGTTTCATTTCTCTATATTTATCCTATTTTGTTTTAGTTAACAATTTATACTCTGAGTCCAACCTCAAAACTCATTTGCTATTATACAAATAGAGGAGAAGTATTGATTATTGATTGGAGGTTTCATAATTTATAGCAGATATTGTTGGCATGGGCCAACCACTCGATTTAGAATGATCTTCTCTGGATGTTAGTGGGGAAAGAGTCCATTATTCTCATTACAACCCTCAGAAGAAGAGACTGCCCTCACTGAAAATAGTATAAAGGCTGGGGAAACAGCCACACTTGGCTGCCAAGACTCCTCTCTCATCAAAGCACTGTGCAAAGATTTTAAGACCAAAAGCTTGGATATACTGTTCACTGTGAATCACATCATTATTTTCCATTTGAAATGTCTGAATCAAATGTTAGTTTCTTGAGTGTGAATTGTACTGAGAAACTTATTCTTAGATTCAAATGATCATTGTTTAAATCTCTTAGCTGAGTTTTAGGCTTATATAACATAACCCATAATTTAAAATAGTGTGGCAGATTGGTACGATAATGGCCCCTGACCAGTCACACCTCTTCCTATCCCTGCACCGTGTAACTTCCTTCCACACGGCCCTCTAGACTGGCCACATGACTTGCTTTGGCCATTAAGACATTAGTAAGTGCAATACAAACAGATGCTTGAAAACAGCCTGCATGTGGGGGCTTCACCTCTCTTTCCCCTAGGAGGTTTTCCACCATCGTATGAACTTAGGCTAGCTTCCAGGAAGATAAAAGGTGGCACAGAATATTGAAAATTCTGTGACTAAATTCAGCAAGTAATTATTGAGCATTTACTGCGTGCTAGTCATTTGGTTAGGCATAAGAAATTGGTTGACTGCTGTAATTATTTGATTGCCTGTCTCACTAGATTTTAAACTCCATGACTGCAGGGGCCACATCTGCTTTTTCTGACTATTGTATCTTCAGTGTTCAGCTCAATGCCTGGCACATAGTAGGCACTCAATAAATAATTGTTGAATAAGTGAATACATCAAAGGTTACAACAAGTCTCTTGCCCTGTAAGAACTCACAATCTAACAAGGGAATTGAACGCTGACACTGCTTGCGCTGATACCATGTGGTAAGCGCCCCACTAGAGATATGCATACAGTGGTATGAGAACGGAAGGGGTGATCAACTTGGCCTTGAGAACTCAGGGAAGGGGTCACAGAGAACACGGCATTTGAACGGAGTCTTGGTATCTCTAGAAATTGTATGGCTTCAAAGGGATAGCCATTTTCCCTTTGCAAAGTACACCTACCCAATTCTTATTGATTTGCATTAATAAGAAACTTTCTAGCCTCCCTCCCATGTTTGATTTGGCTATGTGGAATTGGCTTCTTGGCATTTTTCACATCGTGTGTGTGTCTGTGTGTTGCACGTATGATATGCAAGGAAAACACACCATACAAAATTCATCAACTCTCTGGCCTAGTGTTTCCCCTCATACATACTGAGCATAGCAACACAGCAGGACAACTGAGTTGCAGCTCAAGAACAAATGGGTTAAACATGGCTAAAGAACTTCTCTGCTTTATGTTACATCTCCATGTATCAATACGAGGATGCTTGTATCTGCAGGTAACCAAAAACCCAACGAAACTCAAACAATAAAGAGAATACATTCTCTCGTAAATAAATAGGAAAATATATTCTCTTACAAAAGTCCTTAGGTATGGAGGTTTTAGGCCTCATTCCATACTTTTGTTCCATCTCGCTCTTCCATCCTGGAAATGCCAGCATTGTCCTCAGACTAGCTTTTCTTATGTTTCATGATGGCTGCTGCAGTTCCAGCCATCCCATGCAGAATTACAAAGTCTGGGGCAAGAAGAGACTATCTTTCCTGGGTGCTTCCTTTAAGATCTGAAAATCCTACCTAGAAGGCCCTGAGAAAATTTCTCATGTTCCATTGGTTTGGTCTAAACTTCCAGTGTACATCTCAACTAGCCATGAGCAAAGGAAATAAGACAACCATGCTAGGCTTAGATTAATCAGGACTCACTCATGAGCTAGGGTGGAACTGCCTTCCTCTTAGGGTAAAACTTGAACAAGTCAGATTTCTGCTAAAGAGGGGGAGGCTGTGGGAGAATGGATATGGAGTAAGTAACCAGTAGGGTCTGCTGTACCCCACCACTCAAAGGCCCTGTTGTTCTTGATTCTTCAAACACCTGTTCATGAAAATCTCCATTCCTCATCTACAGAAAAGGGAGTAAGAGCAGCAAACACCAAGGACATTCTCAACATGTGCGAAGGATCCATGGCTGTGTCCTATCCATATCCCCACAGCTGCTCCCTGCCCTAGGCATAGATTTGCTGATAGCTGGAGAAGAGGAGAGATGAAATACATTCCTTTCTACATAAAATGACATTGCTTCCCACACTGAAATGAGATAGAGAATTAGCAACAAGGTGAACTTGAGCTGGGAGATTAACTCCACACAAGAATCCAGAAATCATAAGGTATTTTTAGCTAGAGATGGCAATAAGACATTTAAATTGCTCTCAGATGAAATTATGTCTTAACTGCCTACATGTTGGGGGCTTTTCACAAGTATACCTTTTTCATAATTGAATTAATTTTGAACAAATGTGGCATGGAATCTAGACGCAATCCACCAGCATAGATCTGATCATGGAATGCTCTTTTCCACAGTATCTATTGGCTGGTTTTTGCTTTCATCTGTTACCTGGTCCTGGGTAAACAGATTTTTCAGAAATCTCCACCAGGATGGATGGGGGAACCCATTTCCTATAGGGAACTGTTATTACATTCAGGCTATCAAACAGTGCTAAATAAAATAAATCATTATTCAAAAAATATTTTTATAAATTGATACAGATATTTTCCATCTCTTGGGATTTTGTGATCTGATAGAAAGAGGAAAAGAGAAAGACAGTTTATAGAGCAACAATTGTCTCTATAGCTAGACTCACTGGATGGATATAAAACTTCTGACTTCCCCTATAATGGTCAAGAAGTTGGACCTGACTAAGCAATAAGAAAATCCTCATCAGGAGAGTTTAGTTAAAGAAACAAATGAAGGAAACAGAAGTTTAAAATGAGGGCAAGAGCCCCAGGTTTTAAGAGTCTATTGCTGATCTCAGACTGTAGTTGCCCTAGGGCAATAGAGTGAAAAAAAAAAAAAATCTTAGTGATGGGTTGAGCACTTGCTTGGGTCAGAGTCTGGGTAAGGCCACTGTCCAACCTATGTCATTGTAGTGCAGGAGCTCATCCTCCACCAGTGACACAAATACCTCCCCTCCAGGCCTTCACTGGGGACTGTACCCTTGGATGGAGAGCTGCTTATGTCTATCAAAGGGCTGGCTGAAAGATGTCAAAAGTAAGGGAGATTGTTTGAGGATACAGACTCCATCCATTTCTCTGTACATTTTGAATTTTTAGCCTTGGTCCAAGTTGGACCATCAAAAAGCTGTCTATTGAAGCATAACTTCTTGGCCCCATCTAGAGCTGCTTTGACTGAGTGACATTTTGGCATCATATCCTTGGCAGCTCTCAAGTGACACCATATGATAGGACATCTCACAATCCAGTTCTGTTTTGGAATGGGGATGTCATTGAGCACAATGTCTTCTATCTTTCTCATTTTTTTTCATCCCAGGGCTCTTAATTTGGTGGTGCCTTTCACGCAATATCTCACTTAATTTGTAAAATGACCTCAGAACCATGAGTATTAGTGCTCCCATATTAAAGAAGAAAAGGCTGGGAATTAGGGGGATTAAATAACTTGTTCAAAGTCTATTCCAGAGCTGGTACTCAAGCTCTCTAATCCACTACACTGTAGGACAAATGACTGTATTATTTTTTCTTCTCATGGAAAATGAGAACGACATTACCATTTATGGCCCCATTTTTTCTTGGCTACCAGAAAATCCAAAGTAAAGTTTGTTCAACTATGGCAATTAGTGGTATGATGGTTTATATAATTGTTTTTTCACCAATTACGCTAACCTGATGAACTCACTAGCCTGTAAGGCTATGGGAAGGCCAAGACTTCAATGTATTTCTATGATTTTTCCCCTTCCTCCCTCCCACTGGTCCTCCTCCTCCCCTTTCCCTCCCCTTTCTCTCTCTCTCTCTTTCTCACTCTCTCTTTGTTTTGTTCTCTCTCTTTGCAACTGTACTTAGCTCAATACATAACGGGGACGTAAGGACAACTGAATGATGGATGAATTCTTACCATGCTCCAGCAGTAATGTCTTCAGAGAATATTTTAAATTCAGAAGGTAAATATACCCCATTATTGTATTGTTAATTGCTTTCTTTCATCCCCATAGAGTCCTCACCTTCAATATGAAAAAAAAACATTTTTTCAAACCTATTACTAACTATATAGAATATTTTGAAATGACAACCCCCTATAGCAGATTCTGCTAGTTGCTTACCTAATATCTACTTTCCTCTCTTCCTAAAGGAACCATGACCTCATTCTAGGTAACAATATGCCCAGCTAAAAATAGTCACCCTAGACTCACTTGAAGTTGGGAGTGATAGAGTGATGGAGTTCTGTCCATTCATTCAACAAATGAATGAGTTATAAATGAACACTGCTGAGTTGGCCTCTTGGGCAATTTTTAATGACAGACAGATTCCTCTGGCATTGTTTTTCAGTCCTCTGCCTTGACTTTCCATTCTATTCTCCTCCCTGGAACACAGACACCACGCCTAGAGTTGCAGAAGCAATCCTGTGACCATGAGGCAAGAAGCATGAGGGCCATGCTACAAGCCAAGATCTGCAAGCTAATGAAGACAGAGAACGAAGATAAGAGGTAGACCCCAGTGATATCACAGTGCCACCACACCAGACCTGGACTGCTTAATGCATGAAATAAAAAGGGCTCTCCACTTGTGTGGGTCACTCTTGTCAGGTTTTCTGTTTGTTAGCCCAATGCATTTCTGATATAGGCCTTTCTCTTTTTAATTTTTTGCTAATTTTATTCATTTTTAAAAATGGCTACAGGTATTATCCTCTGAGAAAATCAAAATCAAGTGCACTCACAGTGAAAAGAGTTCTAAGTCTCATATCATTCCTTTTGATCCTGTAGTACACTGACATTGTAGTAACAGCACTATTAGCTTCGAAATGCTGTATCGATGATCAAAATATGTCAGTGGAAAGGATCTCATAAAGTGTGCTGCTTTCTTTCTTCAATTACTTTAAAAGTCTGTCATTAAACATTTCTGGGGGTAGTTTATAAAATATTTATGGTTGGAAGCCAAAGGTAGCTGGAGAAGAAGAAATGTTTGTTATAAATATATTTCTCTACTCACAAGCTGTCAAAGGAACTCACTGTAGTTTTTGTAATCTGCTAGGTCACGGTAAAGTTCCCTTCTGTGAATGTATGTGGTCTACTTAAAACAACAATAACAACCACACTCATTTGCTCAGAAGTCCAGCTAAACAATCTTTCAGCCCCTGTGTAATTTTAGTGTAAGCGCATTAAAAATTCAAAGCATCTTGCACCTGGAAATTATGTGGTCAATAAACAACTTTTGACCTAGTTGTGAGAGTTGCTCTCAAGGTTAAACTATGTTCATCCAGTCATCATGGGGAGTGACCAAAGGGTCACTTGCATCCAAGTGCAGAAATGCAATTTTATTTTTCAGGAATTTATACACAATTCCTTTGAAGATTCAAGAGGAGTAATATTTAGTAGGCTTTGACATTAAACGTGTAGAATTGTGACTTGGAAATATTCCCCCCTTTCTTCCACTGGGCAATGTTTGCAAACAACCTACACATTGGCAACCTTTGGAAAAAACCTACTACTATAAACTTTAAAGGTTTTTTCTCTTTTTCTTCTTTCTTTTTTTTTGTAGAAAGTTTAAAAGTCATTGTGAGTTGCAAGTCCTTCATCTGCATTCGTCCCTTTCTTTTTAAAGGTGTTCCTTATCTGTTGAAAAAGCTTGTGCCTGCTTTTGCCTGAGAATTGTAAACCGCTCAACTCAGATTGCTGGAAGCACCTTAAACATCTGCTCCCCTCAGACCGTTGCTGTCCTGCCTTCATCTTATATGCTTTAATCGGTGGGCTCTTCTGGACTTTTTTATGGGGGCAAGTAGTCAGGTCACAAATCAGTCTCCTTCTTTTTCTCTCATACACAGAGCTCAAGTTCATTGTAAAAATCATGTTTAGTACAGAAGGAACCAAAACAGGAGGGCACATCATGTCAGCAGTGTTTGCAGAGCTAATTCCATCAAACGTCAGTGAAAGCTCTGGGGTAAAAGCAATGCATCAGTTTCTGCATGAGGAATTCAACATAAACATGAATATTAGAAAAATAAGTGGAGACAAGAAATTCTTTGAAAATGCCCCAAAGTAATAGAATCAAGCAGGCATAGTCACGCCTGCTTTTCTTATTTAGAATCTCAAAAACACGCATTCCACCTTCTCTCAGCCCAGCCCCAACCAAGAGAATGCAAATCCTGAATTCATGCAGCCTGGCTGAGAGAAAGCTGTGTCTTTCCAGGAGAGGCCCAAGAGCTATTGGGTTGGGGTCTGTTACCCACAGGCCAAGTTTCTTCTCCGAAAGGGAGTTGTGAATTACCAAGAAATGTGTTCCTGGGAAGTCCAGCCCACATGTGACGGCCTAGGGGAAATTCAGAGTGTCCCCCCACACTAACGTATCTGGGGATACAATTGGGACAAGGGCATTGCTCTGCTCAAATGCAATGCACAGGAGGACAGCCAAAGCCAAGTGCCAGTCTCCTCTCCCCTTAGGACTTAAGCAAAACTGTGTGGCTGGCAAAACCGTCTTCAGTGTCCTCTTCTCCCCAACTCCCCTTTCATTCCCTGAACTCACAGCTGCTAACTTCCTACTGTGTGCCCGAGGATGCAGTGATGGAGAAGCTGCTGATTGTCTCCTAGGGATTTCTTTGTGAAAAGGGCTATGTCAGAGATAAGTACAAGGTGATAAGGGACCAATGAGTAGGGACATCTGGCCCTGAAGTGGGGGTGAGCAGGGCAGGGACGAGGGGCTGTCAGAGAAGGGCCTAGAGCAAGAATCAGGAAACTTAGGTCACATATTCTTTGTTTTGATTACAACCCTTTAAAAAATGTCAAAACAATTCTTAGCTTGTGGGAGGTAAAATATTACACTGATGTGGCCTATGGGTCATAGTTTGCTGACCCATCTTCTAGAGAAAATAATACCTGTGTCAAGTCCCTTAGGATAAGACATAAAATTAACTACTGTTTAGTAAGCACTTGGATTTGTCAGGTCTTAGACCAGCTGCTTTATAAAGCTCATTTCATTGAATCATCACAATACCATAAGAGGGCTATAGTCATCAGAAGGAAATATCACCAATATTATTTACTGACGAGGAAACCGAGGTCCAGGGGCATTAAATCCTTTGTTGAATGTCAGAGCCCTCAGCCCAGCTGAAAACAGGAACCCCGGCCTATCTGGCTTCCAAGCGACCAACTACAATCCAAGTACAGTTGTATATCTAAGTCCTGCCCTGGACAAAGGCCCCCAGGAGTGGGGAGGGGCTAAAATTCTGAGCACACCCTACTGGCCAATCCCTCATCCTGGGTCAGGTGATGGTCTCGATCTCCTGACCTTGTGATCCACCCGCCTCGGCCTCCCAAAGTGCTGGGATTACAGGCATGAGCCACCGCACCCAGCCAAAGCCTATTATTCTTAAAACTGTAACTAAAAATAATTAGGAAGAGACTCTAGCATTTTGCTTATATCCCTGAAACACAGAACATGCTAACCCTTTAAACACTGATTAAAAAACATGGAGTAATCACAATGAGATACCACTTTATAGCCACCTGGCTGACTATAATCAAAAAGATGAACAATGACAAATGTTGGCAAGGATACAAAGACACTGGAAGCCTCCTACATTGCTGGTGGAATGTAAAATGGTGCATCCACTTTGGAAAACAGTCTGGCAGCTCCTCAAAAAGCTAAACATAGAGTTACTATATGACCCAGAAATTCCACTCCTAGGTGTATACCCAAGATATGTCCCCAAAGTCTTGTATTGAAATATTCGTAGAAGCATTATTCATAATAACCCAAAAGTGGAGACGACTGAAATGCCCATGAAATGATAAGCAGATAACTAAAACATGGTATGTCCATGCAATGTCACTATTTTAAGCATAAGCATTTTTTTTAAGGGTGGGAGTTGGGTACAGGCAGCTGGACACTAAAAGGCTTATGCCTGTAATCTCAGCACTTTGGGAGGCCGAGATGGGTGGATCACTTGAGGCCAGGCCAAGAGTTTGAGACCAGCCTGGCCAACACGGTGAAACTCCATCTCTACTAAAAATTAAAAAATTAGCCAGGTGTCATGGGGCATGCCTGTAATCCCAGCTACTTGGGACGTTGAGGCATGAGAACTGCTTGAACCTGGGAGGTGGAGGTTGCAGTAAGCCGAGATCGTGCCACTGCACTCCAGCCTGGGTGACAGAGAGAGACTCCATCTCAAAAATAAATAAATAAAATAATAATAATAATAAAAGAAGGCCAGGTATGGTGGCTCATGCCTGTAATCCCAGCAATTTGGGAGGCCGAGGCGGGCGGATCACGAGGTCAGGAGATCAAGACCATCCTGGCTAACACAGTGAAACCCTGTCTCTATAGAAAATACAAAAAAAAAGTACCTAGGTACTCCTAGGTACTGAGGAGGCTGAGGCAGGAGAATGGTGTGAACCCGCGAGAGGGAGCTTGCAGTGAGCTGAGATCGTGCCACTGCACTCCAGCCTGGGGGACAGAGCGAGACTCCGACTCAAAAAAAAAAAAAAGAAAAAGAAAGATCATCTCTATGCAAATAAGGAATAGTATTCTGCCATAGAAAGAAATGAACTGATACCTCCTACATGGACAGACCTCGAAAACATTATGCTGAGTAAGAGAAGTCAGACATAAAGGCCACATATTGTATATTGTATGATTCCACTTATATGAAATGCTCAGAATCCTGTAGGCAAAATCATAGAGACAGGCAGTATGCTAGTGGTTGTCAGGGGTTGGAGGTCATGGGGGATGTGGGGAGTGACAGTCAATAGGTACAGGGTTTCTTTTTGGAGTGACAAAAATGCTTTGAATTGGACAGTGGTAATGGTGGCAAAATTTTGTGAATATACTAAAAACCACTGAATTGTACACTTTAAAAGGGAGAATTTCCTGGTATGTGAATAGAATTACATTTTTGAAAACAATAGTGTACATTTTATCTCTCTTCCCCACCATGAGACTTTCCAGTGCTCTCTTCTCCACTCCCCTCTCATGTTAAATCTGAGGTTGTTTCCTGTGGCCGATGTCCTCCTTACTAATTCTGGCTCTGATGATGCTGGGTGTTTGAGGAGAGGGTGGGGACTGGAGCCCTGCTCTGGGTAGAGATGTATCACATGGCTGGGGCACAGGGTGGAAGAGTGGGGCATGGGTGGCGGCAGTGGGGACAGCCAACTGGAGGGAGATGGGGCTCCAGAGGCACCAGACCATGGGGAGTGGCACTTCATGACTGCGACTGGATGCTGAAGGGCCTCTGTCCCCTTCCTGTGCTTCCATAACCCACAAGGATGCTCCAGGTCCATCCTGCTCAGAGGAAGTTTCTCTATAGCTGTTCACCTGGAGTGCAGAAAGCTTGGTGGGTCTCTCCTCCCAGGGATGTGTGCATTCCAAAGGATGGCTCCAGAGAGGGAAATGCTTAATTAATTCTAACACAATACCTGTTCCTCATAGGCTGCCAGACAGAGAGTCCCTGGAGAGGTAGAGTTTTTGTTTTGGGGCTCCAGCCTAATCTCCCCATACGGATGGAATGCTTTTTCACAACCACCCAACAAACAACAAGCATACTATACAACACACAAAATCACTTAGGAAAAAGCAAGTTATGATTGCTGTTGGACCCAAACACTCACGTCTTCTCCATCTCTGGGCGATTCTCCTGTTCACTTGTTGGACTTACAATTATTAGTACAGAGCTTGGCACTAAATTATTCTCAACTCCTTAATCTGTATGTATTTAATCTTCCCAGAGAGACTACAGGCAGGAGCTCTGTCTTCATGGAACTCTTCCCCTTCCAGGCAAAGGATGAAGCTCAGCCCAGGGACTCTGGATTCTGTCTGCCTGGTTGCCACCAGCAATTGGCCATTAACTGATGTTATTTAAACCTTCCTTGTTAGAACTAATTAATAGACTCCTCTTGTGTACTATCAAGAAAATGCCTCTGAGACTTTTGCAAGTAACTGCATCTAATTACCTCTCCAGCCATCTATTTTAGGTGCCAGAAATGCCTAATGAGGAGAGCTTATAAAGGGGTCTATAACACTCGCTGGTAGAGGCTCACTTAGCTGCTGTTTGTCCTTCTGACGCTCCTGATGGGAACACGGTCAGGGTACAGAGATTTATTAAAAATAACACACCATCTCTTAAAGAGTCCCAGTCTTGCTTTTAAAAGAGCAGGCAAGAAATCACAAGGAATTATTAAAAAACAAAAGCACTGGGAGGTAGAGACGAGTGAGTAGGTTGAGCCTGGGAGTTCGAGAGCAGCCTGGGCAACATGGTGGAATCTCATCTCTACAAAACACAACAAAAACTAGCCAGGCATAGTGGCATGCACCTGTGGTCCCAGCTACTCAGGAGGCTGAGGTGGAAGGATTGCTTGAGCCCAGGAGGTTGAGATTGCAGTGAGCCAGGATTGGGCCACCGCATTCCAGCCTGAGTGACAGAGCAAGATCTTGTCTCAAAAACAAATAAAAGCAAACAAAGAAACCTCTCGAGGGTGGGCAGGAGGGTTGGAGTGGAAAAAGGGAGGGAAGAACTTTGCTCCTACCCCTCCATCCTCAGGGCATCAGAAGAGGGTGAAGCAGGGGGCCTCCAGAGAGACCACATTGGCCAGTGTGGAGGATGGAGTGGTGGGGGCGAGGCTGGAACCAAAGACATCAGCAAGATCTGTCTCAAAACGTACAGCAATTAGGACCAAGAGGCTCACAATGTGTCCTCTAAAGGTCAACAGCTAGCATCAAAAACCCTGAAGATGAAACAAAATCTACCATGTATTTAAATGAATGGAAACATAATTGGGAGTCTAATTTGTGTAAAGATAGCTGGGTCTCAGCCAATCACAAGCCGGTCTAAGCTTCAGCCAATAACAGGCTACCAACTGATCAGACCACATCCAGTGAACGCAAAGCTGAGCTGTAAGGAATCAAGTTTTTTGTGTACCTGCCTTCTACTCTGTCTATAAATACTGCCCATGATGCAGAGTGCAGCTCTCTCTGAACCTCTTATGATTTTGAAAACTGCCTGATCCATGAATCATATTTTGCTCAAATAAACTGTTAATTTATTAAAATGTTTCCTTTTAACAATGTTATTCTAGTAAATATGGGCCTTTAAACCTGTGTCTTCCTGTCTAGTCCTCAAACTCAAATTAAGCCATTTTAATGGATGACAGTAGTCAGAAGCCACCTGGCAACACCCTGGAAAGTCTAAAAGGCTTAACTGGTGCCATAGCCATTAAAAAAGGAAATATGTTTTAGAAATAATGACCATAGATTACTTGTTTCATCAAACAGGACAAAATATTTAGAAGAAAAACATCAAGAACAAACTTGGCACTGAATAACAGTTTTCAGAAGACAAACTATTTTGAAAACTTTTGGGTTCTGCATTTTGCCATGACCACCATGGTACCTGTGGGACAAGATTATGAAAGCATAATTATTTCATTATGTAGAAAAACCTTAAAGACATACCTTCTTCCCTGCTGGACTGGGAATTCACTGTGGCTATAGAAGCAGGTGTTGATAGTCATCTACTTGTAGCCCCTACCAACAGAAGTGTACACACACACACACACACACACACACACGGCTCTGACACTGAGCACACTATGGAGAGATAGAGGGGTTCTCCCAGCTTCTAACTGACTCTGACATTTCCTTTGGCTGGGCTGGAGCAGGTAGTGGGAGCAGGAACTATTACAGCTGTGAGCTGGCAAGACCTCTGGTGGTGGCAGCCATGTTGGAAGGCGCTCAGTGGCAGTGAGGAGGTAGCAGAACCCTTGACAGCCTTGTTGGAGAGGAGGTGGAGGTGCACCCCATGGTAGAGGTATCTGGAGGAGAAAGACATATCCTAACTGTGTGGGAGGAAGCATTTGTATGTAGGGAATGCTTGGGAGTTGGAGACTGGGTATTAACGGGGTTCAGTTTCATTTTTCTTGCAGGAAATCAGAGTACTATAGTAAAGATCACAGGCTTACAGCAACAGCCATGCAAAGATGGTGGTGGGAATCAAAATGAACCAAAAGCTGGACAATAGAAATATCTTGGTTTTCTCTATTCATGTTCATTAAAGATACATATTTATACATCTCCTAGTCTATTCCAGAAGGGATGCAAGGTGGCTAACAAAGCTATCTTCCAAATAACAAAAATGCACAAATTAAAAATAGAACTAAAAAAAGTTTAACAATAAAAAGAATAAGATAAGGAAAGTAAAGAAAAAAGGATGTGCCTAGGGACCTAGCACGGTGCTAGGACTGAGTTCAAATGCACACCATAACGAGGTTACCGCTGCACCTCTGACATTTTATTATGTATGGTAGGAGCCATCTGGCGGAGCCTAATCATAAAATATAGTTAGGAAATATGGACTCAACCACACACATTTCCTGTGATATTTTAATCATCATGAGAATGCAAGTAAGAATAATAAAAAAGAGAGTATTTTGTTTGATAAAGAAAAATCTAAAGATGATGGCCCTATAAAATTTACATCAAAAGCACCAGCAGGCCAATTCTTTAAAAAGCACATTGTCTGCAGACAAATTCAGGTGTCAGCTGCTGAAGATCACTGAAGAATGAGGTGCTATATTAAATCAAATGGCTATTTAACAGCTGAAAGTAGCAGAGATAGGCTGGGGGAAAAGCGATTAATTTTGATTACGTATGTAAGACCGGATAAAAATGCTTCTTTTCCAAGTACACTCTCAAACAAGTCTTTAGAAGCTTTTTACATGGAAATGGTATCTTAAAACTCACTTAAGAACATTCAGTGAAGATTCTGAATGAGAAACCAAAGTCCAATTGATTTGGGAGTAGTTCCAGGTTAGTATTCAATTCATAAAGCAGTGGGGTTTTCCTCCTTACCGATGGTTTTGCAGCAAATACTAAGGTACTTCTGGAATTTTAACCCCACGAGGGCTTGGGTTTCATTCTTAAGGTCATCCGGCCTCAGTCACAACAATGCCCCTTCTGGTGCATGGCACATGTGGTTTGCAGCCACCCGGGACCCACAGTTATCAATGCACAGAGAGGGCAGTATAGAGTATCAAGCAAGAGCGACAGAGTTTTAAGAAAGATCAAGAAATGCTGCTTCGGTCATTTCTGAAAATGAGTTCCACGGTCTACCTGGCGGATCTTAGCCCAGGAAGCTGAGGGCAACCTTAGGCCCTAGAACTTGCCACCCATCTGAGCTCCCGTCCTCCTTTCTGCCGCTCCTTCATGTCCTCCACTTCTGAGAGCAGTTTTGAGTCACATCCCCTGTGGGAGATGCCTCAGCCCTACCCTGAAGCTGACCCCTGCCCCCACATAGCCCCAGCACCTTGCGTTTGAGCACACCGCTTCCCAGGTTGTGCAGGCCTCAGATTTTGAGTACAGTGTCGTAATACGTATTTGGCCTGTAACTTAGAGTCACTGGGGACACAGGTTAAAAATTCAGACCCCCAGCTCCACAGAATCACACTCTCAGGTGAAGCCTGGGAACCTACATTTTTAACAGCACGCCACGTAATTCTTCCATTGACGAATGGTCCAAGCAACCCCGCTTTTAAGACTCATGGGGTAAAGACGGTCTCTTTATATACAGTTAGTATGTGACTTCAGCTTTTGTGAGTTCAAGGACTGTGATAATAAATACTGAATTCTATTCATTAAATGTTTATTGAGGTCCTGCTATATGCATGGCCCTGTGTACTAGGTAATGGGCTAAATGCAGCTATGAAGGTAAGTCCCAGCCCTCACGGCAGTGTATACAGTTGGTGGATGAGAGAGAGGCAGATATTCCAGAAAACAGAGCAAATGGCTGAGGGGGAAGAAAGGAGGGTGGGGGGGTGCTGCTGCCCTAAGCAGCCTTTCCTCCCCAGGCCACTGTCTCAATTTGGAGCCTACAGGGTGACTGTCACAGCCTCCAAGCCCTGCCTAGGACCCCTCCCCTCCTCTTCCCTTTCTTCACTCCTTTCTCCTCTTTGCACACTGCACAAGGCTAGGCCATGGTGTCGAATCAGACCAGAGGAGCACATGGGAGCTGGAAGGGAGGAAGGGAAGGAGGGCTTGAGGGATTGGCTCTAACTATGCAACGTGATGAGCAAGGCAGGAAGAAATTGCCTCTGTGTTAGTCCACACTTTCTGTCAAGGATGGGTTTTGCTATACAGCTAAATTAAAATGGCTTATCCATGCATCTCAGCGCAAGTTACAGGCCAAATACGTATTACGACACTGTACTCAAAATCTGAGGCCTGCACAACCTGGGAAGTGGTGTGCTCAAACGCAAGGTGCTGGGGCTATGTGGGGGCAGGGTTCAGTTTCAGGGTAGGGCTGAGGCATCTCCCACAAGGGATGTGACTCAAAACTGCTCTCAGAAGTGGAGGACATGAAGGAGCGGCAGAAAGGAGGACGGGAGCTCAGATGGGTGGCAAGTTCTAGGGCCTAAGGTTGCCCTCAGCTTCCTGGGCTAAGATCCGCCAGTGAGTGAGGCGCTAAAGAGGGGGCGGCACCCAGGATCCAGAACGATGTCTGCACTAACACTGTGAACCCCAGACAATCTCTTCTCCCCGTTTCACTCTCTATAATGAAGCAACTTAGAGCCAATGCCCCATTCTCCCTCCCCTTGCTTCCCTTCACAATTTGCAAAATATACTCACGGGAGGATATGTGTTACGGTGGATCTATTACAATACAGCATAGTGCCAGAGTGCAAATCCCAGTTCTAGCTCTTACCTGCAGCATCCCTTTCGGCAAATTACTTAACCTCTCTGTGCCTTAGTTTATCCATCCGTAAAATGGCTAGTAATAACGCCAATATTATGGCCTGTGATGTTTAAATGTAAACTACCCAAAACAGTGTGTGGCACGCAGTAAGTACTCAATCAATTTTAGCTATTATTCTGTCCCTATTCAAATTTCCTGCCAAAACAAACAACAAAAGCAAACAGCTGAATAGATCATTTACTTTGAAAATAGAACTGCAGGAAAGCAGCTTAAATGTTTAGAGAAGTGACAGTCTGTTGGCTCTGGTTGCTGGAGAAGCTATTTGTTTCATGTTTCTTTATAGCACTGAGGAAAACTATGTAACATCTATGTCCCACCACTGGCTTAAGCATCCATTCCCTGCTAGAAACCCTCCCCCACACCACCCTTCAAATCAGGAGTCCTGCTTCTTCTTGGGCAAACCTGAGTTGAGCTTCCATTTCAGCCTGGTGTTAGGACAAAAATTTATCAAATACTGACAATATGTTAGCAAAGGATTTCTCTGGATTCTTATGCATTCCCCTATTTTTCATATTTGAGCCAATCTTTTCTTTCCAAGATTTGGTAATCATGTTCACATAATAACAGTTGCACTAGGATACAATTCTAAACTACATGTAATGGATGTTTATCGTTTGTGGCTGCCCAAAGTCTTTGAAATACCTTATTAATATTTTGACAGCTTCCCACAGTGGGAATCCTGACTTTCCAACATTTCCTGCTTTTTTTGAAGGTATGAATTGCCATTTTGAAATATGCAGACATCCTTGTTTGGGGTCTGGGACTGGCTGACCTGGGAGGTAGGGCTTTTTTTTCCTACCCTCTTATCTCCATTTATGTTACCAGCCAGAGAAGCAGATATGATGGCTAGAGCTCCAGGGGCCATTTTGGAACATGAGGCAATCTTAAGCATGGAAGACATACACGCAAAAATATGGTTCCTGGATGACTGTGGGGATGTCATACCACTCAGAGGTGCCTATCTTTAGATTTGCTAAACTTCTATCTTGTATAGGCCACTTTAATTTTGTCTTTTCTATGACATGTAGTCCAATTTAATCTGCTATCATTTGAATGTTTGTGTCTTCCCAAAATTCATATGCCGGAAGCTAATCCCTAATGTGATAGTATAAGAGGTGGGACTTTGGGGAAGTGATTAGGTCCTGAGGCATAAACGGGATTAGTGCTCTTATAAAAAAAGACCCCAGAGAATTGCCATGCCCCCTCCACCATGTGAGAAGGCACCATCTGTGAACCAGGAATCAGGCAGTCACCAGACACTGAATCGGCCAGCATCTTGACCTTTTGACCTTCCACCCTCCAGAACTGTGAGAAATAACTTTCTGTAGTTTATAAGCTACCCAGTCTATGGTATTTTGTTATAGAAGCCTGAAAGACATAATCTTTTATATTACATGTATAAATATCAATGTATATATTAGATTTTATATATTTAGTTCTATATACCATATTTCAGGGATCCCCCACCCCTGGGCTATGGACTGGTACTGGTCCGTGGCCTGTAACGAACTGGGCTGCACAGAAAGAGGTGAGTGGTGGGCGGGCGAGTGAGCATTACTGCCTGACCTCTGCCTCCTATTAGATCAGCGGCAGTATTATATTCTCATAGGAGCGTGAACTCTTATACTATCACATTAGGGATTAGGTTCTGGTATACGAATTTTGGGAGGACACAAACATTCAAACCATTGCAAATTAAATTGGACTACATATCATAGAAAAGACTACGAACTACACATGCAAGGGATATATTAATGGTTGCACGTTCCCTGTGAGAATCTAATGCCTGACCATCTGAGGTGGAACAGTTTCATCCTGAAACCATCCTCCCCACCCACCCCCCAATCTATGGAAAAATTATCTTCCACACAACTGGTCCCTGGTGCCAAAAAGGTTGGGGACCACTGCCATATTTCATTTATCAAAGGTAGAATCGAGTTTCGGGTAAGATTTCTGAACTCTCGTATGAGAGTATGAAAGTTAAGACTATACTTAAAGTTAAGACTGTATTTAACAATATTGCAAAAAAAGAGAAACCAAACCTTATGTATCTCCTAATGCAGTACAATGGAAAACATTCAGCACCACTTATGACACATTTTCATCAAAATACTGCATTGGAATGAAAACTTATTTCCCATAGTTCTGGAGGATGGGAAGTCCAAGAGCAAGTTGTATCTCTTCCTATAAGGGCACTAATTCCATTTATAAGGGTTCCACCCTCATGAACTAATCACTGCCCAAAGGCTCCCCTCCTACTGCTATCACACTGGGGATTAGACTTCAACATATGAATCTTGGGGAGACACATTTAGCCCCTAGCACCATAAGTTGGTAACCAGTGCAGCTAGAAGATTAATGTATATAGGGCTTTGTAACCTATACTTTCATTTTTGTACATTTAAACTGTTCCATAATTTTAAAAAAATTTAAAGACAATAGTCAATAAAACTCTTATATTTTCTAGTAGACTTAATATTTTTCCTTGGTTTGATAAAATGACTTTCGTCTAATATGGCAGATTATTCTCTACAGAAGCAATAATTAATAAAATCAGAAGTTTGTATGAACTGACATAGGAAAGCCAAAGCATTGGAATCAGCATTTCATGTTAAGGAATCAAAATCCTAAGAAAAGGATAACTACTCACTATTACGGTTTTCTCCTGAAACTCCTTATTGTGTCCAAAACATTTAGGGACATTCATTACTGACAATGAAATTATCTTTTGTAAATCAACAGAAATACATCTGATCCATTCTAACTGGTTCCTTGGTCATTCCAATCCTCAAAAAAAAAAAAAAAAAAAAAAAAAGATTTTTGGTCCCAAATACGGACTGTAGAAATTGCTTGCTCCTATAGATACAATGTTTTACACAGTCCTGGAAATGAGTCCTGTAGCCTGCAGGTGGGCAGAGTCTAAAATAAAGGCATTCTTCAAGCTACCCTTCCGATGCACAGTCAGAACATCAGAATCAATTCCGGATGGATGTTTGCAGAGGTGCTGTCCTGGCCAGGGACGGGATTTTCCTTGCTTAAGCTATTAGTTTCCAGTTGGGCAATTTCCCTAATGATTGGCAAGCTGAGGGGCCCATAAAAGCCAATGGCATTGCAAGTCCTTACTGGCTCCACTAATCCAGTAAGAAATTTCTGCACAAAGTTATTTGAGATCTCTAAGGTGCTCTAAAACTTTGCTGTGTGAAGTGAGAAACAGGGACCAGGCATTAAAATAACCTGGAAGCGTGTCAGAAATGCCAAATCTTGGGCCCCTCTCCAGACCTACTGCATTTTCACAAGATTCCCAGTGGATTTAAGTGCACATTACCACTGATAACTGATCCTTCAAATAACAACTGAGGTGCACCCTGTATCTGCTCTACAGTACTTCACAGGGGACAGTTCATTGTGAAACAGCCACCTTGTTGGCATTCTGTAATAGAATTAAATACTTATTCTCCAAAGAGAGTTTGTTAAAAGTGCTATCTGCTGTGCTCATCAGAGGGCGTTTCATCACAAGATAAAAATAAAACACATCCTCTTGGGAATAATCTACCACACCTGACAACTCCTTAGCTTCATTTGTTGCCAAAATATGAACAGGCTCTGACCGGCCAGGGAGGATTTTTCTCATTGCTTGTTTCTCCTTGTGGATAAATTATGGAAGCCATTACAGGCAAAAGCAATGTAGATAAGAGTTGCTTCTCCTTGATCCTTGTGTTCTCTTAAACTGCACACTACATGGCTAGAGTTATTGATTAACAACAAGGCCTGAAACTCTTCAAAGTACAGACTTTAACGAAGCATGGTTCAGGACTTACGCAGGGATATGGGCCTGCTCGGCCTTCGTCCTTTTCTTCTGTCACAGTTAATGCTGTTTTATGTCCTCTGATAAGCAGCCTTGAGATGAAAAGAAACAACTCATGGATTGAAACTTTCACTGAGGTATTTTTTCAGTGGCTTATTTGAACTCAGGAAAGCCACACAAGGTGCCACATAAAAGACGCATAGATAGAGTATTCCAATTTATTTTATTTTATGTTTTGAAATAGACCCTCGCTGTGTCACCCAGGCTGGAGTGCATTGGCATGATCTCGGCTCACTGCAACCTCCGTCTCCAAGGTTCAGACGATTCTCCTGCCTCGGCCTCCCGAGTAGCTGGGATTACAGGTGCTCACCACCATGCCCAGCTAATTTTTATATTTTTAGTAGAGACAGGGTTTCACCATGTTGATCAGGCTGGTCTTGAACTCCTGACCTCAAGTGATCTGCCCCCCTTAGTCTCACAAAGTGCTGGGATTACAGGCGTGAGCCACTATGGCCGGCCTGAATCTATTTTAAATGATCATTTCTTTGCTGGCAAAAAGGATTTGAGGCTGTTTACCACTTTCTCCATCCTTTTCCCCTCCAAAAAGCATGGAATTAATAAGACAATTAATACAAGAACAAAAGAAAGATGTAATTTAAAAAGGAATGGAGACAATATACAAAAGAAGACAATTCCGGTTTCATGTCTGATTTTTTTTTTTCTGATAATTACTTTCTATCTTCTGTTTCTCTTTTTAGCTTCTAAATTTTCATTTGTGACTTTTTGGGAAAGCTATTTGTCCTGAAAGCCAAAATTTTCCAACGCCAAATGATTGAGAGGAGAGTGATGTGGAATTCTAAAGAGTAAAACTTGAAGGGGAAGGCATCAAGTGTATCAACAGAACCAAAGATTGCTAAGAATAAGGTAAGAGCTAGTTGCCTCCCAAAAGGAGACAAAGGTTCCGTCAGTCAACAGGATAAGGATAAAGAAGGACAAGATCAGATTTCAGAAGCTGTTTGGGTCCCTAGGAAAAGGTCTAGTGGTTCTCTCCCTTGGGCCAAGTGATCTAGGGAAGAACAGGTTGACAGAAATCGCAGATAATGTTCTGGGAGTCCTACAGAACAAGGAGCTGGCCTCCCAGGGTGTGAGCTCTGAGGCTCTACCTCTCAGAGAGAGGTCCAGCTTCTCATTAGAGCTTGAGCTTCAGAGTGGTGATGACTGAGTGACCTTCTCAGACACACGATCCTGGGGCAATTCATGATAAGAACATTTCTGGAACTTTTCTGAATCTCTGAAAAAAGGGCTAGAGGTGCCTGGGGTCAGGGCAAGGGGGGATGCAGGGCCTCTGGGCTTCACCAGAGACCCTGGAGGGGTCAGGGCCAGCCAATTCAGACGTGGAAGCAATGGGCTGAATCCCAAGACCAGGCCTAGTGAACTGAGACAATCCTGGACAGAGGACAGCGCCTGGACAAGGGTCTGTTCCCCAAAGGCCCCCTGGGAACTTGGATCAGCCGGAAGGAGAAAGGAAGAAAGAAATGAGAAGGGGAGACCCCTGAGAAGCTGAGACTAAACGATTAGAAACAGACACCTTTCTATCATCAGTGGAAATGGGCAGTTCCTGTGCTGGGTTTATTTACCTTAGGATGCATGTTTAGTAATACCTTAAATCATGTAAGGTATGGGTTAAATAAGGTTATTTAACCCATAATGTTACATTTTTGCACACCTAACTCATACCTTTTATAAACATACATATATAAATATAGATAAATTTAGTAGAAAGTTGAACTTGCTCTGATTGATGAGACAGCAGGAGAGAAAGACCCATGTAAGGGTTCTGAGTTGATTTGCTAACTTTCTTTAAAGATGTGAGTCTGTGGTTATGACCTAAAGAACAGGTGGGCTGCAGTATGAGAGAGACGGAGATGGCTTAACTTGTCCTTCACACCCTGAACAGGGTTCTGAAGGAAGGAAAGAAAGCTGAGTAGAAGTGGGGGTGTCAAAAAAGCATCCTGCCTGTAATGCCAGCACTTTGGGAGGTTCAGGCGGGCGGATCACCTGAGGTCGGGAGTTTGAGACCAGCCTGACCAACATGGAGAAACCCCATCTCTACTAAAAATACAAACTTAGCTGGGTGTGGTGGTGCATGCCTGTTATCCCAGCTACTTGGGAGGCTGAGGCAGAAGAATCGTTTGAACCCAGGAGGCGGAGGTTGTGGTGAGCCAAGATCGTGCCATTGCACTCCAGCCTGGGCAACGAGAGTGAAACTCTGTCTCAAAAAAAAAAAAAAAAAAAAAAAGCATCCCAGGCTACCTTGGGAGATTTAAATAATCTATTTTGATTGTGAAATGTATGTGTATTTACCAAGGTAATCAAACTAATGCTAAGTTCCAATAACAAGAAGCAAACTTCCAAATCATTAAATAGCAAACACTTCTTCCCCAAAAACAATGCAGAACAGTTCCTATTGCTTTTCCCCAGTAAGCTTTGCTAGTTCTTTCTATATTTGCATAATCAAGACAATAGTTCTTAAAATATTATACACTATCCTGTGAAAATGCAGCTTGCCTATTTAGCAGTCATTTGAACACACCATATCTGCCATCATTTTTGCTGTGGCGGGGGGGACAGTGCTTGAGGAATTGCTACCTAGCAAAAGATTTATCTTCATATAGATACTTCGAGCAAAGCAAAGTAATCACTTAGAAGGCAGGAGCACTAGCTGGCAATTTTCTAAGTGAAAGTGGAGGTGGTCTGCCAGCACACATCCTTGCTGCTAGAAGGACGTTAAACAACGATGCATGAATAATGTAGATCCTGAGAGCCGCTGCATCCCTGAGGACCTACAGGCTCTACTGCCAAAACAAAAACTAAACAAAAACTGCCTGCACAAAGCACCTTTGGGTGCCTGCAATTGGAATACAAGTAGAGTCTTTTTAGAGTAAGATGGGAAATTTTAATTTTATACATATATGTGGAAGAATATTAAAAAATCAAACATCTACTTTTGGTGCCATTACCACCATTAAAAGGAAACCATGACCGTATCTGAGCGGTAGGAAGCGCACGGGCATCTCTCTATATGAATGGGACTTTTGGAATTCTGTTGTTCAGATTGCTCAGGACCAAAGGCAAATGAAACTACCTATTACATCCTTTAGCAGCCATCACAATGATTACCATTAAAGATCAGTGCTCTTTTAAAAAAGTTCAATTACTGCCTATTAAATTTGAATTTCTCACAAAGTGAACTGAAGAGGAATTTTACCAAAATATACTTATTCTCAAAGAGAAAATTACAAGATAAATATTATTTCCAATAAAAAGTGAAATGTAGCATAATACAAAACAATATATGAAAACACATCCTTGTAATCCTTAATTTTGAATGAATGATAGCTTTGAGCTATAATTCAAGCATTCAATGGTCATACAACCACAAAATCAACAGTAAATAATTAGATGATTAAGAGTAAACTATTGAAATGTTTTTTGCTAAGGTTTAAGAAAGAGATTCACATGAACTGATAGACTAATTTAAGTTCTCAGACCTCCAATAAATGGATGATTCAGGTTTATCATCAACAGCCTTTTGTTATGCTGTAAAAATATTTTGTTCTTTTTGAACTAATCCTGATTACAAGATCATTTGTAACTAAAATAAGGGAAAACAGATCTTTCATTGGCACGTTTTGAACTAGATATAGGTAGCTGAAAATATGTTGTCTGCATAACTGAGTAATTCAAATGACTCATGTTCACAGAGTTAAAAAGAGAATTTGATATTAATCATTAAAATATAAAATTATAAATCTAAATTCGTTTAACACACATTCAAAATATAGAAGCCCTGTATTACAATTAAATGGCAAAGAAAAATAATTAAATGTAATAAGCAAAAGAATAACTTCTGTCATTTGGGATAGCAATGGTTGACTTTCTCATACACTAAAATAAAAATATATACCACCAAACGCCCAAGATTTTGAAATGGAAATGATTCTTTTGGTGACTTCGCTAATGTACTAACTGGCTTTGAGTACACAGTAATCACCAAGTGGTTGTTTAGATTTCTGATTAGATGAAACATTATTATTCTAAAAGGGTATTCCAATATATCACCAATTAAAAATATACTATATATACCTACTCAAAATAATTAGTAATGAGAGCCTATTTTTACTAGGAATAAAAACTAGTTAAAACAAACTTTTCTGGCAGATTTAAAATTGATTTGACTCGAGCCAAATGCCACAAAACATATACAATTACACTTAGCTAAAATGAGACCCTGGTCAGGAGTTTGAGACCAACCTGGCCAACATGGTGAAACCATATCTCTACTAAAAATACAAAAATTAGCTGGGCATGGTGGCAGGCACCTGTAATCCCAGCTACTCGGGAGGCTGAGGTAGGAGAATTGCTTGAACCTGCGAGACGGAGGTTGCAGTGAGCCAAGATCGTGCCACTGCACTCAAGGCTGGGTGACAGAGCAAGACTCTGTCAAAAAAAAAAAAAAAAAAAAAAAAAAGCCCTGGAAACACCCTGACATAAATTACAAATGGACAGCTGTTAAAATAATATCTATAAAAATTAGCAATTCAGATCAGTAAAACACAGTTCCCCAATTAGCCACACTGGGGAATTTAAATTAGGTCATGAAATTCGTTAGCACTTTTCCATTCTAGGGCTCTGTACGTATTGCAGAGTTGCAGAATGTTCTCTGCATCGGGGATTTTTACACCCTGAAACTAGTACCTGAGCCAGTGCTAAATAAACCAAAGAAATGACTGAAGGCCATAAGAAAATGGCCACCCTTTTCTTTCTTTGCACTAAGAGGTCCTTGAAATGAGGTGGTTCTCTTTTGTAAAGTAATTGTTCCTACAATCATCTGTCACATTCTTGATCTTTACAGAGAAAAAGGCCCATGTCAGCCTATCTCCCTTCTGAATTATGAATGTCAAATTAGTAGGGCTCATTAAAAGTGCATTTCTCCCCTATGTGTGTTGTGGTATCCCTACAACATATGCTTCCTGAGATCTGGAGTAACATTTAGTATAAGTACACCTCTATAAGGTATCTAGAATGATATTTCCTTGTAGGATATAATTCAGTGTGATCTCCAAACTGTGGTCTGCAATATACTAAATTTCTTATCTTAAATGCAGTACTTTTCAATAAACAACTGCTTTTGATTTTACTTGGATAATTATGGCTGAAAAGTATACTTAAAATAGCATCAATTCCCGTGTTGGCCAGACTGAATACAAGTGAAAACACTAATCCTACCAAACAGAGATTTTTTTTCTCTCACATTATTTGTTGTGTACACGTTAATCTGTTATTTTGTCTTACCGTAATAAAATAAATAAAATATATTCATAATTTTTGCTTTAATCCCATCTGTGGTTAACCAGTTTAGAATAACTTGAAATGGCAACATCAGTGGTCAGAACACACACTTTTGAAGGCTTACATAACTCAAACTCTGCTTGTTGCTGTGACTCCTAGAACCCTTCCTCAGTATTTGCACAGGCATTTATGTGTGCACATCAAACCCACTAACTCATACCATGCCAACAACTGACTAGACTTTCATTAATCCAGGATAGACTAGGCCTGTGCTAAGCATTTTAGATGGTTTCTTTCAATTAATTCTCTCAACAACCCTATCAAATAGGATCCCTTGTACATGAGGAAACAGGACAGCAGAAATTCTGAAATCTGTCCCAAATCACAGTTAGTAAGAGGCAGAGTCTTCAAGTGAATGTAGGTTCACTAAGCTTCAGAAGTTAAGCCCCCAAATACTATACTATCACCTTTCATGACAAAAACCGCAATCACTTTTGCACCAACCTAATACAATGGCAGTCAAGCTAATAACATCTCTCCTCAGTGACCATTGTGTATCTGAACACATTTTGAAACTTTAGAAACATCAATTAGATAACCCTCATACCTTGTCCATTAAGTGCACAGATGACAAGCCCAGATCAGTTACTTTTGCCCACTTTTTGCTATATTCACCCATGATGAAGTTAATTTGTAGCAAACAATCATATTCTAAATCAAAGAACCTGAAATCCTCATAAACTACAGTCTGCACACTTCTCATTATTAATGCCCTGACATACCACTTCACTGGTATATTCTTTTTGGCCAAGGGGAGGAAGACATCTGGTTTTGAAGAGGAAGAAAGAAACGGCAGAAGCATGAAGATCAAAGCCAGGCAGGTAAGTGACTCTGGGCAAGAAGCATCCACCTCTCCAAATCACCTGTGATGCTTCACGTCCTACAGCACCGCGCTAGAGGCACTGCATCATGGAATCATGCTGGATGGGGCTTACGTAACTGACAAGTTCATTCTGGATACCTCTGACTGCCAGATGAAAGGATTCCTCTAGGTACACATAATTAGTACATATCCATTAAGCCAAAAAAGATGTATAAAATATGTTCCATGCCCTTGAGGAATTACAATATAGCTGGGGAGATAACAATATATGCATACCGGTAACAGTATGATGTATAATGATGTGTGCCAGCTATTGTTACAGAAGAATATTATAAGGTCAGAAGTGACATTCTAAGTGCTTTGCAGTTTTGCACACTAAGATCTCTAACAGGAGCCCAAGGCTGCCTTCCTCTTAGAGGAGGTGAAGTCTTAAGATCATATATTCCTCAAGGACAGAATTAGGCTCTGGTGGTAGGAAATGATACGCTCAAAGGATGGCACAAAGGTTTTTCAGGCTGTTTTCCACTTGGCTCCTTCCCTGGGTCTCCTTCTGTTGTTGGCTGGCTTCACATTGCTCATTTTTCTCTCATGTCCCACACAGCTAGTACAGAAAGTAAATGACTCCCAATTTCCCCTTAATGGGGGCTGGGGAGGGGAAGGGAGCCAATGGGGAGTCTAGGTCTCACCCCAGGGAAAGGCAGAGGGGAAGGTCCAGCTGGTTTTGCTCTACCCTAGGTTTTAGGGGGATACATTGACAATTCTGTTTCCATGGAGTGGAGGAAGGGGAGCTGAAGGTCAAGATGAGGGTGTGAGCCTAGAAGAGAACTGCCAGGGTCTCCACCCAGTCTGCCTTTCACTAGGCTTTAGGCTTCAGGGGCAGAGGAGCCCTGCACATAATCAAACCAGCTTGCCAGAGCAAGAGGCCACATGGGGGTTCATTCGCAGGGTGTCAGGGACCAGGGAAGAGAGAAGTAATGACTCAGAGGTTTGGAAAACAGGCCACTCCATCTGTACCCATCATTGCGAAGCCAGCACCTTATGGCTCCCAAAGCACGTCTAGAAATGTTAACTAGATTTCCTTTTCACAAAAATGTGAATGTGAAGAATACTGGGAAATCATTACTTCCTATTTTATAAGTGAGAAAAACAAAACTCAGAGAGAGAGTACTTGGCTTTGCCAGGATGAGGACTAGGAGGAGTAGGAGCCGGGACTTGGACCAGGATCTTCAAACTCCTGCTGCTGATGCCTTCCCAATATTGAGCTTCTGCCTAGGGCAGCTGCAGGAGGTGGAGGCTTCAAGGAAAGCCTTACAAGATGGGGAATCTGAGCAGGAGCACCCAGTGAATGCTTTGGAGACAAGAACCAAAAATTACTAAATTGGCTGGGTGCAGTGGCTCACACCTGTTATCTTAGCACTTTGGGAGACTGAGGACTTCACTTGAGGTCAGGGGTTCGAGACCAGCCTGTCCAACATGATGAAACTCAGTCTCTACTAAAAACACAAAAATTAGCTGGGTGTGGTGGTGGGTGCCTGTAATCCCAACTACCCAGGAGGCTGAGGCAGGAGAATCGCTTGAACCTGGTAGGTGGAGGCTGCAGTGAACCAAGATTGTGTCACTGCACTCCAGCCTGGGTGACAGAGTGAGACTGTCTCAAAAAAGAAAAGCATTACTAAATTGTAAATAAGAGTCAATAACCACTAAATAATATTCATATTGGAAATAATTTTTGCTAATTTTCTTATTTTATTATATATATAAAATAAGAATGATCTTACTGGATTCAAGAACATCAACTCCAAAATATTAGGCTGTCCCTCTAAACAACATTGCACTTTTCCTAATCTACTGTGGATTCATCATCCATGAATATATATCAACTTTTATAGGAACTGATTTATAGTTTTGGCCTGTACTGTCATTTGGGCAAATGAAGTCCAGCTGTTTACTATCCCCCACAAGAAACAAGATGTCCTTCAATTTGTCTTTGATATATCGTATTTAAGATTTGAGGCACTTTGAGTCTATTTAATTTCAGACCACAGTTGTGTTCAAGGCCTTGGTGAAGAGTTTTGTGTTCACCTCAAACACACTGCTTCTGATTTTATAGGCTTTGATGATTTTCCAGAGTCAATGTCCCTTCTGACAAGAATCATAATTAATTTAGTCTTTGCTTCTACCTCCCAAGATCATTTTGGTTATTAGTTTCTGAATGTTCTCCAGCCAGTTATGCCTCTCTTGGTCTTTGTTGACTAAAACTGCATAGAAACTCTCTGACATAGATAAATCATGGCTTGCACAAGACACTGTTATATTCTGTGCTCCAGGGTGTCCAGTACTTTGACAGCCTCTTTGGGCTGCAGTATTTTCCTGGGAGGAAGCCCCTACATTACAGGTGACAGAGACTCTGAGCTTAGTAGATAGTCCTGTGGTTCAGTAGTACCAGAAAAAATATTAGAGTCACCTGCATATTAGAGTCACCTGCAAACTCAGATTTTTCTGAGCATTTCCTCTTCCGGTCACCAGTAAAAATGTTACAACAAATCAAATACTGAGAAATAGTGCCTGTCTGCACGTCTCAAACTGTCTGTCCCCATTAGTTTTTACCCCTATTAGTTTATAAAATAAAGTTGAATTAAACTAATTCAGCACATGTTCCTGAGTGCAAGATCACAACCCACAAAGGAAACATATTTTCTTGAATAACTGTATGCTTTCAGAAAATTTAAAAATAATATTTTGTTAACATGATAAAGAATATGTATCTTAAACTAAAAATTACAATTATACTCAATGACAGAACATTTTTAATATTATTAAAACTTGAAGCAAAAGAAAGATACTGTCTATAACCATCATTCATTCATTTGACATGTATTTATTGTCAACTAAATAGGTACATGTCCTAAATGTGGGGGACATGATAATTAATACACAGTCTCCCACCATGGACTTTACATTACATAATATTATTCTGGATAATGTTATAAAACTTAAAACAGAATTGGATAAAGAGATAAAATGCATGCTTTTTGTCAATTATGTGATTCTCTATCAAAAAAAGGAAAAAGAAAATAAATGAAAAATTATTGAAATAAAAAGTTCAGTAACATGACATTATATCAGTAATTTTTCAGTATTACAACAATAAATTTAAAACATAGTGGAAAAATATTCCATCCAGAATAGCAACCAAAAAATAATAAAAATACCTATAATAACCTTTAGTGTGAAATGTAAAGACCCCGTATGGAACCAAAGAATGTTATAATAAGGAACATTCAGAGAACAACAACAACAACAAGCTCTTGTAAATGAAACATATGAGAACAGCAAGGAAGAAATGCAACAGAAGGAGTGGAAGACAGTTTCAAAACTCTTCTAGACAGTAGAGCAAAAAAGACAAAGAAAAGAAAAAATGAGAGGAACAAGGCCAAGAAACACAGACAACTACTCCTGGAGGTCCAAAATCCAAATAAGAGTAGGTTCAGAATGACAAAAAATGAAAATGTAGAGGAAGAAACAGGCAAGGTGGCTCACAGCTACAATCCCAGCACTTTGGGAAGCTGAGGCAGGAGGATGACTGAAGGCCAGGAGTTCAAGACCAACCTGGGCAACAACGTGAGACTCAAAATTCATTAAAAAATGTAAAAATTAAAACCAGGCGAGATGCAATAGCTCATGCCTGTAATCCTAGCACTTTGGGAGGCTGAGGCGGGAGGATCGCTTAAGCCCAGGAGTTCAAGACCTGGCTGGGCAACATAGCTAGACCTTGGGTCTATTAAAATTAAAAAAAAAAAAAAAATTAGCCAGGCATGGTTGCACATGCCTGTAGTCCCAGCTATTCAGGAGGCTGAGGTGGGAAGATCACTTGAGCCCAGGATTTCAAGGTTGCAGTGAGCTGTGATCACACCACTGTACTCCAGCCTGGGTTACAGAGTGAAATCCTATCTTTCTGGAAAATAAAACATCAAGCAAAGTTTCCAGAACAGGGTATCTGTTTCTAGATTGCAAAGTCCACCAAGTATCTGGAATGGTACATGAAACTTATACACACCAGACACAGAATTATACAATTTTAGAACACGAAGAATAAGAAGCTTCCACAGAGACAGATTAGATGTTCATATAAAAAATCAGGAATTCGTTTTCTCAACAGAAATACTGGAAGCTAGAATAAAACTGGCAAAAACCTTCATACTCAGAGGGGACATGATTTTGTGGCAGAGATAGTCAATGCTCAGAGTATTCATATGCTCTATCTTGCAGCCCTCTGTCAGTTAAGTGGGGCCTTGCGACAAGTTCTGGCTAATGGACTGCTCACAGAAGTGACACAAGTCAGCCAGGCGCAGTGGCTCACGCCTGTAATCCCAACACTTTGGGAGGCCGAGGCGGGTGGACCACTTGAGGTCAGGAGTTCGAGACCAGCCTGGCCAACATGGCAAAACCCCCATCTCTACTAAAAATACAAAAATTAGCTGGGCGTGGTGGCAGGCGCCTGCAATCCCAGCTACTCAGGAGGCTGAGGCAGGAGAATCATTTGAACCCGGGAGGCAGAGGTTGCAGTGAGCTAAGATCACACCATTGCACTCCAGTCAGGGTGACAAGAGCAAAACTCTGTCTCAAAAAAAAAAAAAAAAAAAGTGACACGGGTCACTTCTGGGCTGAAGGGCTGAAAAGTCTCCCTACGTGCCCCTCTAGTTCCTCTCTGCTCTGTGCCACAGTAACATTGGAGGTCCTGTGTTGAGACGGTAATGCCACAAGATGGAAACAGCCTGGATCCCTGAGCTATATAAGCTATTTCTTATACAAGCAAGAAATAAACTCGAATGTGCAAAGCCACTAAGATTTTGGAGTTTATTATAATTGCATCACCCTAACCTATCTTGATTAATATGGATTTCCAATCTGGAATTCCATATCATGTCAAACTATCAATCAAGGATGAAATAAAGATATTTTCAGAAATGCAGTATTTCAGATGACTTCTGTCCCATGCGCCTGTTCTTGAGAAGCTACTGGAGGCTGAGGAAAGAAGGCAGAATGATGGTCCCCCAAAGATGCCCATGTCCTCATCTCCAAATTCTGTGAATATGTTACCCTACATGGCAAAAAGGACTTTGCAGGTGTGATAAGTTAAGAATCCTGAGCTGAGGAGAGGATCCTGGATTACCCAGGTGAGTCCAATGTAATCACAAGGGTCCTGATAAATTAAGGAAGGAGAGAGGAGAAGGAGAGTCTGAGATCTGAGGATGCAACAATGCTGGCCTTGAAGATAAAGGAGACATAAGTCAAGAAATGCTGGTGGCCTCTAGAAGCTGGAAAAGTCAAGGAAATGGATTTGCCCCAGAGCTTCCAGAAGGAACGCATCTCTGCTGACTCTTCAATTTGAGCCCAGTGAGACCCATTTCAGACTTCTGACCTCCAGAACTGTAAGACAATAAATGTGTGTTGCTTTAAGCTACTAAGCTTGCTGTAATTGTTACAGCAGCAAAAAGGAACAAATACAATATGGTAATGCAGGAAATAGGAGTGAATACATGTAGTAGTTCATTTTCATGCTGCTGATAAAGACATATCCCAGACTGGGCAATTTACAAAAGGAAGAGGTTTAATGGACTCACAGTTCCACAAGGCTGGGAGGCCTCACAATCACGGCAGAAGGTGAAAGGCACATCTCACATGGTGGCAGACAAGAGAAGAGAGTTTGTGCAGGGAAACGCCCCTTGATAAAACCATCAGATCTCGTGAGACTTACTATCACGAGAATAGCAAAGGAAAGACCTACCCTCATGATTCAATTGCCTCCCACTGGGTCCCTCCCACAACACGTGGGGATTATTGGAGCTACAATTCAAGATGAGACCTAGGTGGGGACACAGCCAAACCATATCGATACAGAAGAGAGTGAAAGGAGATCCCAAGACACACCTGAGCATGAGGTTGAGCGAGCAAGCCGTTCTGATGGGAGCAGGCAAGAAGACCCCAGGAGAGACTTCATCAACTCCACACTGACACAACACCTAATGTGTGTGAAGGCTCCAGGGAGATTTACACAACTGAAGAAGAGTTCAAGGATAAATTGGGGATCATAGAAAAGTATGTAAATAAATTTACAAAACAAGAGAATTATTTGTTATAAAGGAAATGAAAAGATAAGCAGGAAAGGAGACATAATCATAATGGCTCAGCTGTCACTCCTGTCTACCTAGTTGCAACAATAAAATCACTGGGCATTGATTTAGCCCCAATAACATACACCTAGGCAAGAAGGCTAGATGGCACAGAAGGGTGATGGGGGGTGGGAGGTGGGTCAGCTGCAGTGAAAGAGCTAAATCCTTCTCTTGCACAGACAATGCCTAAAGCTGAGTGAAATCCGGAAGCAGCAACATAACAGGTTAACCAGGGATATGAAGTTAATACTAAAGAACCAGATAAAAGAGCAGAAAGTGACGTGCAGGGCGCCATCGGGGACCACTGTTTTTCAACAAGCACTTTGGTTCTGTAAACTCTGTGTGTTACGTGCATGCACGACTTTGATTAAACATACAAGGACTGATGAAATATTTGCAACAAATGTGACAGGAGGCTTGAATATTATTAATATACTATAAAGACTAGATGGGTGAAAATGGTTCATTTTAGTTGCCCTTGCGTGGTGGCATTGTGGGTAATTATTTTTTCCTGCTAGTCTATAATTTTCTGTACTTTCCAAATTAAAACATAATAGAAGCATGCATAATTTTTAAAACAAAGAAATGATCATACAATCTAATAAAAAATAAGAAAAGAATTAGGTAGGCTGGGTGCGGTGGCTCACGCCTGTAATCCCAGCACTTTGGGAGGCCGAGGCGGGCAGATCATGAGGTCAGGAGATCGAGACCATTCTGGCTAACATGGTGAAACCCCGTCTCCACTAAAAATACAAAAAATTAGCTGGGCGTAGTGGCGGGTGCCTGTAGTCCCAGCTACTTGGGAGGCTGAGGCAGGAGAATGGTGTGAACCCGGGAGGCGGAGCTTGCAGTGAGCCGAGATCCTGCCACTGCACTCCAGCCTGGGCGACAGAGCGAGACTCCATCTCAAAAAAAAAAAAAAAAAAAAAAAAAGGATTAGGTAGCTATATGCTATATTGGGAGCTGCTAAGATGATTAAGTTACTACAACTTGCAGAGCCCTGAGGCAACTGCCACTCTGCCAAGGAATGGTGGCATGGGTTTTCTTAATTTGCTAAAGCAGTTTCTTGATTAAATATGCTTTCCAACAACAATGTGCCATTTTAAAATTTCATGCTTCATTTAAAGCCCTTCATTTTTGTTATAGACAGCCCAGCCCCAACAACCAGTTAAGCTCATGATTTTGTAACTGAGGCTGGTCTGGATAAGGCTTGGTGAACATCTTATCAATGATAACTGGCCCCTGGGGATTGGGGTGGGGAAGATACTAAAAGAACAATTACATAAACTACATATTTTTAAAACTGTGGCTTCACAGAATTTTTTAATTAGAAAAATGAAAGATGTGCTTAATAGCACTAAACATTTGTGGAGGAAGAAATGAATTCATTATGTTCTTCTTGGGCAAGAGTAGACACATTACATGCTCATAAAATTGATAAATTTAGGACTGTGTCTGAACTTGGACATGGATCTCCACTGAAAGTTGAAATCTGAGAAAGCAGCCAGCTGGGCCAAACACTTCCACATAAATGGTTTAAGAAATGTGATGAGCGCGAAGTAAGAGTGAAGTGGGAATACAGGCGACTTCGGGATTAAAAAAACAATAACCCTATTATGTAAGGTTGATTTGTTTTCCTTTTGCAGATTATTTTACCTTATAAGCTATTAATTACCCATCTCCAACAGAATACCAAAGCATAAAGTTCTTTATAGCATACAGTGGTCTCAGAAGCTCTTATAATTATTTAAAAATAAAATGTTCACATCATTAATTTTCCTATCACTTGCAATGATAAAAAAAATGAGAGGGTGGAAGGGACTCTTTCAAGGTCATGTTCATCAGAGTGAAACTGATTCCTAACTCCCAGCCTCATTCTGTCTTGCTAGGTCTCTCTTTCTCTAAACCTGATATATTTATCATGAATCATTAAACACAAATCTATTACCCAGTGCAATTGATTCTTCCATAAAATGAAAAGCAGCTTCACTTTTGTACTTTTGTAGGATTTTTTTTTTTAAAGGACTTTTGGTAAAGTCAGGTTTGAAACAGAGAACAATATATTCTTAGGAAAAAACAAAATGGCAGGGGATTGTGAAAGGCCTTGCTTAGTGTCCTGAATTAGCCCAAAGGCATCAAAGCGGGGATACCTACAAGACCTCAATGTTCTTATAAGGTAAGAGATTCGTATCTGGTCTGCCAATTGGCATGTAATTGCTTTTAAAAATCCAAAGAAGCCAGTTGCAGTGGCTCATGCCTATAATCCCAACACTTTGGGAGGCCGAGGCAGAAGGATCACTTGAAGCCAGGGGTTCAAGGCCAGCCTGGGCAACAGAGTGAGACCCCATCTCTACCAAAAAAAAAAAGTTAGCTGGGCATAGTGGCACACACCTGTAATCCTAGCTACTTGGGAGGCTGAGGCAGGAAGATAACTTGAGCCCAGGAGGTCAAGGCTACAGTGAGCTATGATTGTGCCACTGTACTCCAGCCTGTGTGACAGGGCAAGACTGTGTCTCTAAAAAAAAAAATTAAAAATAAAAAGATAAGGCTGGGCCTGGTGGCTCAAGCCTGTAATCCCAGCACTTTGGGAGGCCAAGACAGGCAGGTCAGGTCTCAAACTCCTTGAGGTCAGGAGTTTGAGACCAGCCTGGCCAACATGGTGAAACCCCATCTCTACTGAAAATATAAAAATTAGCTGGGCATGATAGTGCACACCTGTAATCCCAGCTACTCGGGAGGCTGAGGCACAAGAATCACCTGAACCCAGGAGGTGGAGGTTGCAGTGAGCCGAGATCATACCACTATACTCCAGCCTGGACGACAGTGTGAGACTCAGTCTCAAAAAAATTTTAAAAAAATTTTAAAAGTAAAATAAAAGTAAAACTCCAACGAAAATAGGGTGTGGGGTGGGGTGGGGGACTGGGAACTAGGCTTGCTCTAAGTTATAGCAAACTGAGTTACCAGAATCTACATCAAGGAAACAGCTATAGAACCAAGGACCCATTGCTGGGTGCTACCATGTGTCAGGCATCATGCTAAGTGCATTCCAGTGATCTCACTTCAGCCTCACAATCCTAAGAGGTGGGCATTACTATCCTCTTTTAGAAATAGAAAACTGAAGCTCAAAGAGGTGACGTACTCATTTAGAGTACCTAGGGTAACTAGTGACGTAGCTAGGATTTGAACTGAGATCTGATTCTAAAACCGATGCTTCTCAGCCTCCTCCCAGGCACCAAGAATGAACAGAAAGTTCAGAAGGAAGCATGCAGCAAATTAACACAGTCACATGTTTTCAGCCTAAGGGGTGGGTGAGTGCATTGGACATACTGGATATATATTTTATTAGTCTCATTCATTTTTTTTGTGTTTGGAATAGTTCATAATTAAAAATAATTGAAAAGTTGAAAATAAAGAGGTTTCATCATTTCAGCCTTAGACAAAAATAAGAAAGTATTATAAACTTCTTGAGAACGCCAGTTCTTTGTTTTTCAAAGAAAATCAGACAATGTGGGTTTTTACCACATCGCATGTTCTTTACAGAACAATGAATAGGAGCGTGGAACCAGGGGCACCCTCTTAGCAGCAGCAATGGCTTCAGGAGCTGTGGCCACATGGAAGCATGCTAGGCAGGGCGGCCCTGCACACAACACAATTTTGTGCCAGAGATTTATTTGCTTCTTGCAGGTCCTCACAGAGAAGAGGAAAACCAGGTGGATGGGCATGTCTATATCCTGAAAAATAGGCTTTGAGGTTTTGGGAGACAGAAACAAGAAATTCATTTTTCTCTGAAATCTACTCTTGCAAGTAAAAGTGATGCTAACCAAAGGAGACTGTGTATACACACAAAATCCAGCAATCCTGCCCTCCGGGAAATGGGGACTTTTGGATCCAGAAATCTTCTCCAAGGTCACCAATGCTTAACCAAGCCAACTGAAGGTCATTGTACTCCCAATACCTTCTATAAGTAATTTACCTACTATCATTATAATATATTTGGGTTTTCATCTTTAAGCTCAAAGCAAGGAATGGACATCATGGTTTCTTTACTATAGAACATGGAACCTCTTTCTGTCAATGTGTCTCTAAATCTAAAGAAGTTATTAAAAGGGGAAAAAAATGTAATCTTTCTTAGGAACTTGTGGTAGTTTTGTGTATTAGTCCATTTTCACACTGCTGATAAAGACATACCCAAGACTGGGTAATTTACAAAAGAAAGAGGTTTGACGGAGTCACAGTTCCACATGGCTAAGGAGGCCTCACGATCATGGCTGAAGGTGAAAGGCACATCTCACATGGCAGCAGACAAGAGAAGAGAGTGAGAATCAGTGAAAGCAGTTTCCCCTCATAAAACCATCAGATCTTGTGAGATGGATTCACTACCACAAGAACAGTATGGAGGAAACCACCCCCATGATTATCTCCCACTGGCTACCTCCCACAACACTTGGGAATTATGGGAGCTACAATTCAAGATGAGATTTTGGTAGGGACACAGCCAAACTGTATCATATTGTTAGCCTAACGGTTAGTTAGGCTGAGAAGTTTCCTGTAGAAATAGGGGCACATTGTTTGAGAGACAGCAGACTTCCTTACTGTTTTTCTTTGTTGCTCTCATGTCCCTCTGTTGTGTGGCAACAGGATCTCTCTCTTCGGTAACTTTGTCTTAAATGAATTGTCACTGAGATCCTTTTCAGAGAAAAATATGATGTAATATAATATGTTTTTTGTGTAGAAGATAACACAATTTGAACAGCAGGAATGAATTTTAAATAGAAGAAATTGGAGAGAATGTTGGGGCTAATAACACAGCTAAAAACATGAGAATGATGAGGAAAAGTGAAGAAAGAAGGTTGGGGGGAAAACCTGAGTGGTATGGAAGGTTGGAAAAAAAACTTAAAAATGCACTGAAATGCCAGGCGCAGTGGCTCATGCCTGTAATCCCAGCAGTTTGGGAGGCCGAGGTGGGTGGATCACAAGGTCAAGAGATCGAGACCATCCTGGCCAACATGGTGAAACCCCGTCTCTACTAAAAATACAAAAATTAGCCAGGCATGATGGTGCACACCTGTAGTCCCAGCTACTCGGGAGGCTGAGGCAGGAGAATTGCTTGAATCCGGGAGGCGGAGGTTGCAGTGAGCCAAGATCGCGCCACTACACTCCAGCCTGGCAATAGAGCGAGACTCCATCTCAAAAAAAAAAAAAAAAAAAAAAGCACTGAAATTATCCTGATAAGCTTCTAAAAATGGTTTCAATGTTTCTTAAATCAAATCAAATAATGCCTAAAAGGCATAATACTTAATAGTATCCTAGTAACTGAAGATATTAAACTCAATCCATTTGCATTGCTACCTGGGGCTGCTGTAACAAAGTACCACAAACTTGGTGGCTTAAAACAACAGAAATTTACCGTCACAGTTCAGGAGGTCAGAAATCTGAAATCAAGGTGTCTATAGGGCTGGCTCCTGCCTGGGGGTTTGGAGGGGGAACCTGCTCCATGCTTCTCTGCTCGTTGGTGGCTGCCAGCCATCCTTGGTGTACCTTGGTCTGTGGCAGCATAACAGCATAATCCCAATCTGCCTCCATTGTCCCTACTGCATTCTCCTGTGGGTCTCTATCTCTGTGTCCAAATTTCCCTCTTCTTATACAGACATCAATCATTGTCTTTAGGGTCCACCCTTCTCCAGTATGACCTCATCTTCATCTGCAAAGAGCCTAATTACAAACAGGATCCCACTCACAGATTCTGGGGTTAGGATCCAATGTATCTTTTGGGAAAACATAATTCAATCCATGACACCATTCAAAACTGGATTTGTGACTGATCATTCCTTTCCTACTACACAATTACGTAGACATGGACTCCACTGCCTATCATCTTTTCTCTCTTTCCTGTTAAAGCCAAGCTCCTCAAAGCAGTTCATATCTCAATTTCCCACCTACCACTCTTAAAACTCCAGCAGTGAGGCCCATCCCTTCTCATCCTTTCCATCCTAGACTTTTTTTTGAAGAGACAGAGTCTCACTCTGTCACCCAGGCTGGAGAGTGGTGGTGCAATCATAGCTCACTGTAACCTCCAACTCTCTGGGCTCAAGCGATCCTCCCACCTCAGCCTCCAAAAGTGCTCGGATTAGAGGCATAAGCCACCATGCCTGTCCGCATCCCAGGTTATCTGACCTAGTTAGTTCCTCCTATTCAAACTTCAGGACTTGCACCTGGAAAAAAGGTCAAGTTGAGCTTCCTGCATTCTCCTTGTGTTGAGTGTGCATCCTCATCATAGCATCCAGCAGCCCACTTAGCATACTTACTGTATGAATCTGTTTGCCAGCCTGTCCTTTGACTGGACTAAACTCCCGGAGGGCATAGACTGTGCATTCTGTGGCCTGACAGCCTCAGCACCCAGCACAGAGCCCAAGACAAATTTGATGCATAGTAAACACTTGGATGAATGCATGTCACTTAGACTTAAGAATCTATCAGTCACAGAAGCATGTGCTCTCTGTCTTTGATTCCATCAAACCTCATGACACAACCAGATTATAAGCTGTTAGATTACAGAGATCATCTTCAATTCTTTAAATGTCTTCCTGATCCCTTAGACTAAGTAGGCATTAAACAATCAATACTAAAGGGAAATTAGCTTCTGGGGGTGTAGGTAGGAAGGACTCAACTTTATTGAGCAATGGTTCACTGCCAGACACTGCAAAGCACTATACAAATATTATCTCAGTTCATATTACTACTTCTCATTCATTTGGAGATTGCTGGATCAGCATAATAATTGTAAGCCGCCTTCTAATGAACCCATTTTACAACGGAATTTTGAATACTAATACTTTATATGCAAACATAATATTTTATATATAAAAATGCTTTTGTATGTAAGTGTAGATATCAGTAATATATCTTAACCCTCAATATACTATTAGCATCCATTGGACCCACTTTTAGTTTTTTAGGTTTTATAAATTTGAAGCAGTTCTAGCTATTTGTATGGATTAATATTTTATAACTTTATTCTTTCTTAGAGATATTACAAAGAAAAAGAGAAAATACTTTTTTTTAAAAAAAGAAAGAGAATAAAACTCATTCTACCTTGCAACTACCATATGGGTCCAGCAGACCGTTTAAGAAAATCTAAGATCCATTATGGCATCTTTGTAATTTTATTATTCCTATATCTTGAAACAGTTTGCTATTTTATCATCTCAGGAACAATTACCCACCAGTTATATATCAATTATTCCCAAATAAGGTTTAAGAAGACTAAAGTAATAGAAAAATATAAGAACAATAGAATGGATTAGAACACTGCCATTCAGTAGAATGTTCCTTGATGATGAAAATGTTCTATTTTTCTTGTGCAAGACAGTAACCACTAGCTGCATATAGCTACAGAGAATTTGAAATGTGGCTAGTGCAATGGAGAAACTGAATTTTTATTTTTTTAATTTTAATTAATTTAGATTTAAATAGCTACCTGAGGCTAATAGCTACCATATTAAACAATGTGAGCCTAAGGGAATGATTCATTAGTGAAATAAATTGTCACTATTGCATCACCCTCCATCTTTCTTATTGTATTACCCAAAGTATTACATCATCTTTTTGGAGGATATAAAAGGAGACTAGAGACATCATCTTTGTAGTTTGTTTTAATTTCATTGACTAGAGTGGAGAATTTCAAATTTTTCATTCTTGCCTATAATGACAAAAAGAAGATAACTGACAGAAAGAGAGATGAGATTTCACAAACAACAGAAACATCAGAGATGAATGCAAGCCATCACACGACGGCACTGAAGACTCTAATGATGATGATGAAATTGATCATGGAAACGAAACGTCAGACTACGACTCTTCAGATGATGACATGATAGATTAATTCTCTTAGACTCTCTAAATATATTGAATGAACAATATATTTCTAAGGACAAAAAGAAAACATGCTATTCTTATACAGTCAGTCGTTCAAGAGGAAGGATTCCCTCAAATAATATTTTGTGAAAAGAACCCGGACCATCCTGTTTTGCTAAATGAATGTGGGATGGTATTCTTTCACCTTTTCAAGTCTGTATACCAAAATTTACTTTATATACAGTTTGAAAACGTTCAGGTGCTGAAGGTAGCTAAGTATACAAAGGTTACTGGAAGAAAACGGATAAAGTAGATGTGAAAAGGTTCACTGCATTGATTTTAAAAAATTAAGTGTCCTTTGAACCCAAATGGTAAATGGTGATGACTATTTTTTTCTGGTATACTGAAGGTTAAAATTTGTGTATTATACTAATCAATGTACCAGATTGCTTATTTAAAAGTGCAAAAATTTAGAAATAAGGTAGAAAATTATTGTATTTCTACTTAAATTAGTAATTTTGAAATGGTTAAAAACATGAGCACTGGAGCTATACACAGCCCTGGGCTGGAATCCCAAGTCCAATGCTTACTTAGTGTGTGACCTTTGGCAAGTTAGCCTGTCCCTCTAAAATCCAGCTCCCTTATCTGTAAAGTAAGGATTTAAAAATTACTTCCTCTCTTATATCATTTATAGAGATTAAATTTTGCATGCAAAGTGCTTAGCATAGTGTGTGGCACACAGGAAAAAACAGATATGGATAGCGATTTTATTATCTTTGAGGCGGTTAGAACAGCTCTCCTTATCTATGGGGTTTGGGATGTCAATGTATATGAAATGATATCCACATCCTGTTTGTTACCAACAGAACTTATCATTGCTGCTGCCCGCTGCTTGCACCAGGTACCCACGTCCCAGGTGAAGTGAAGCCAAGGAGGGGAAACGTCAGCTTCTCGGGTCTGTGGACACTGCACATGATGCTGCAGAGGCCACGGCACTGAAGCCTTTAAACCCAACTGTAATCTTCTCTCATACCAGAAAATTTCTTTTTCTGATTTTTAGATTGAGCAGGTGTTACTTTAATGAACTCAAATTATGCATTAAAGTATAAGGAACTGGGTAGAAGCTTCCCAAAATCTCACCACTTGGAGAAAACACTATTACCCTTTCCAGGCTTGTCTCTGTAGGCATACATACAAACATATGCGTGCAATTTCACAAAAAGAGCTATCATGCTTTTGTTTTTGTACTTAAAATAATCTTTCTGTTTCATTTGCTAGAAATCTCCATGGTGATTCTTAGTCAGTGCTCTAACCTTAAACCACCGTATTCTGTGTACATACAAAGTAGTGGTAAAATGTGGCAACCGAAAGAAAATATTAACATCGACCTGTAAATAGCGGCTTAGTTCAAAAACCGAGGTGAGCTGTGAGGTTCAAGTGGATTTTAAAAACAAGTGAAAATCAGAGGGCTTTGTTTTTTCTTATGAAAATATTGGACAGAATGAGGACGGGGGCCCAGTATGTGTTGTGTGGCACACCCCATTCCCTAAATGGCTATTACTTGTGGAATGTGAAACTTGTGAAATTGAACATTTAATAAAATGAGAACTCGCCTGTAACGTCAGTATATTTTCAGGGTTTAAAAATCTTATTTTATCTAGATCTCAACTCTTTCAGTCTTGGCATCAAAAAGTTATTTTTTGAGCACTAAGCAAATATGAAAAAGATGGGTCTGGACTGAGTCTTGCTTTTCCCTGCCAGGGTAAGGGTTCATTCCAGAGGCCAGGCATGTGTGAGTCCTCATCGTCTGCATGCCACCCTGTCCCTGGATAAGCCAGTGGTCTACAGACCTAAACCACTGAGGCCCCACCCCAGGGGACACTTAAGGGACCTTTATCCGGAAGTCTGACCTCATCACTTCTGAGATTCATTTCCACCCTGCCAGAAGCAATAAGAACGGATGAGAAGATGTTCACATACCAGTAATATTTTTACCCATTTTTATATTCTTCTTCTTATGGCTACTGCTTAGAAAATCAAGAGTATTTTGCTGCTCCAATCCCAGATAATGAAAATACAGTTATAGTGAAAGCTTCTGTATTAGGTAAACTTCTGCTGATTTAAAGAGATTATGCTCCCAATTTTCAAACTTAGTAAAGAGTTTATAAAACTGGATTTACTCTAAAGGGGTCTGAATAATCTGCTATAACCTGATCATTTTTGCATATTACAAGAAGCTTTAGTTAGGGGTTGGGGGAGATATGGGGGAGTTGAAGACCAGACTGTAGGGGCAGGGGGAAGAGGCACAGCTAGGGAAGACCCTATGGGAGAAGGGGAAGTGAAGCCAGCCAACACCGAATCTAGGCACTGACAATCCCAGCAAAGAGGCAGGCAGGACAGACAACCCAGCCACAGCAAGACCAGCAGGAAGACCAAAGTGTTGACTCAGGCTGGCCACCAAGGAAAAAGGTCAAAAAGGCAAGTTCATAAAAAAAGGGTCTGGGTCTTCAGACCAGATAAAATCCTGTTTACCAAGCCAGGAACAAAAAGCCATTGAGGAAAACAGCTGATGGGTCCCATTGACAGAGCCACCTAATCCAACTCAATAATATCATGACAGGGCAGGGGGCTATGGAGTGCTTCACCTTGCCCCTCCCTACCTGGGAGAAAAAGGAAGTCACTGGTGAGGACACCTACCAGGACCTTCGGCACCATTCTTCTTTTCCCCCTCTATTGTCCCTCCTAGGCAGGTAACTGACCCCTCTAAAAATGTTTTCTCTACAAGAAAACTTACAATGGTGAGTCATCATTACATTAATAAATAAACTTTAGATAATAGCCATATCACTCTCTCTAGGCTATTAACAGTAAAAACACCACAGAAAATGTCTAAGGAAATGGTTCTCTTTATATTCATGGCCTTTAGAACAGTGGCTCTCCAATGTGAACTCCAGACTGACAGCATCAGCATCATGTGGGAGCTTGTGAGAAATGCACATGCTCAGCTCCCACCCCAGACCCACTGAATCAGACACTCTGGGGCCTGGGCCCAGCAATCTGTGTTTTAATAAGCCTCCAGGTACTTTCGATGCAAGCTAAAGTTTGAGAATACTGGCTCAGTGAAAGAACCTGGGATGGAAGCCAGAAGACCTAATTCAGATTCCAGCTCTGGATTCCATGGTCTAATTCAGTGAAATTTAATGAATAGTCATGATGTGCCTCTGTGCATTGAGGCTAATACAAGAATGTGAGGATACTGAGACGAGTTAGACACGGTCCTTATCCCCAGAGAGAACATAATCCTCTATATTCCTTTGCTCCTCTAGAATAGAGGCTATTTTTGTTGTTGTTGTTCTTGTTTTGTTTCATATTTGTATTTCTACCACCTGCAGCATCACAGGCATTCAATAAACAGGTGGTGGATCAAGTGGTAGAACCATTCCACGACTGTGATAAATACTGCTGTACCACTCATCAATAATTTTAATGTTACTGCAGTACAGTTAACAGCAGCCACCCTTGATTTAATGTTTATCGCATGTCAGTGTCAAGTGTTCATCATACATCAGCTCATTCAATCATTTTAGGCATCCTGTGCTGTAAGCGGTATTTTTAGTCCCACCCTGCACATGAGAAACTGAGGCTCAAAATATTAAGTAATTCATCCACTGTCACACAGCTAGAAAGTGGCAGCGTCAGTGTTGAATCCAGAAATATCTTCTTCCAAAGTTCATGCTCATGAATGTGGGGGTGGTCTAAACATACTTTGGGGCTGATTTGTTTGGATCTGTGTCCCCACCCAAATCTCATGTCTAATTGTCATCCCCAGTGTCGGAGTGGCCTGGTGGGAGGTGACTGGATCATGAGGGTGGATTTTCAGGGTTTAGCACTATCCCCCTTGGTGCTGTCATGGCGACAGTGAGTTCCTGTGAGATCTGGTTGTTTAAAAGTGTGTGGTACCTCCCCCAATCCCTCTTGTTCCTGCTCTGGCCACGTAAGATGCGCCTGCTTCCTCTCTGCCTTCCACCATGATTGAAAGTTTCCTGAAGCCTCCCCAGAAGCTGAGTAGATGCCTCTATCATGCTTCCTATACAGCCTGTGGAATTTTTTAAATTACCCAGTCTCGGGTATTTCTTTATAGCAATGCAGGAATGGACTAATACAGGAGTAAATTTCCCCAAAGCCTCTAAGGTTGGGGGTTCATTATCTTCTCACCGTGTATTTACAACTGCATTTTGTAGGCATCACCTTAAGTGGTCAAAGACTAAGAAAACAACCAAGTACAGGGAGAGCTAGAGTGCTTGTATCTACACTTTAAGATTTCACAGGCCAGAAAGAACATTCTTGAAGTGACAGATAGAGGGTTGCCAACTTCTTATTTTGCCAAGCACAACCCCTTCCCAAGTACTGATCAACAATCCCCATCATTTCCTAGAAGGAAAAAAAATGATGTCAAAAAAGTACAAGGGACATACGGTTAGAATAAAGGGTAATTGCATTGCATGTATTTTCTTATATACAATGATCAATTTGTTCTAGTTTGCTCACTTTTCAGTAGATTAGCATTCGGTTTTCATTGAGCTCAAGAAAGTAAACAGTGTTAGGGAAACTATACTAAAGGATTATTCTGCCCCTTAAGTCAGACAAAACTGCTTACAGGAAAAACAAAAGTGGACTCACAGGCCAGGCCAGGGCAGCCTTGAGGTGGTATTGGCAGGGCCTCAAGTGGAGTATCCCAACCCAGTTAGGCTGGAGAGAACAGGACAGATGTGAGTCTAGCCCCAAAGCCCGAAGGCATGGGGAGGCCGGGTGTGGCTATCACACTGTGGGCCAGCATCGATGCCAAGGCAAATGAAAATGAGGTGCAAACAGGAGAAGCTGCCAGAGGTCTGAAGTCAGTCTCAGGCTCCAATGCCTGGGCAGCAACAGCCACTGATTCAACAATGGCTCCTTCTCCCTGTCATCTGGGCTATCATCATGCTTTTCTGCTTCCTCCTTGTTAGAAGTTAAACATCAATTTCACATATGTCATCTACTGTTTCTTGTGAATGATTCGTGTCCAGGAGAGATCTGTTCTGCTTGTTGGAGGCTGTAAGTAAGATAAAAGAAAAAGGGGACTTATATCACAAGCAAAGATCTTACCTTACTAGGAGGTGGTCCATGGTCATCCAAGTAAGTGGAATTTCCTAGAAAATAAAGGAAAAAGTTGATGAATCCGTTTTTTAAATCCCAAATGAATTTAGTGCAAAGTTATTGAAGATAAGCATTCTAGTTATACAGTATTTCTGCTCAGACAACAGTACCAAAGAAAAATGGGGAATTAATCACTGGTTTGACTGGATTTTGCTGATATTACTATGTTTGATTAATAGTTTCAGCTGTTACAAACATTCTACATACATGGTTATGTATGCACACAAACATACATAACACACACAGTAACACGCACCATTATTCTCACCCATTATCTGCTGAGTTTAGCTTAGACCATTGGTACTCAAATGTTATTGTACTTCAGAATTACCCGCAGGGCTTGTTGAAACAAGACTGCCCAGCCCCAGTCTGAGAACCTGCATTTCTAACCAGTTCCCAAGAGATACTGATGCTGCCGGTCCTGAACCCCATACTCTCTTTCTCCAATTTGTCTTAAAATTGTCTGTTTCTCTTCTCTCTTCAGGCTAGCTTGCTTCCGGAGCTTGATTTGTCTTCACTAATAGCCATTTACTGGCATGTGTGTATTCAGAGTGCACGGCTATTGTTTCCTGATGAATAAAAGACTCAGAGGGATTTGGAAGGGAATTAAAGTTTACTGACTTCCTTTCAGTAGCAGCTACTCTGCTAAGTGCTTTACAGGTATTTATCTATTTAATGCAAATACCAGAGATGGATTAGAAGTGTCCCCTTTTAACAGAGGAGAGAACAGAGGCCTGGAGAAACTCAGTAACCTATGCACAGTCACACAGCTGGTAAACTGCAGAGAGGAGAGAAGACTGGTTTTTCCAGAGCATGTTCAGGCATCTACCCATCTGAAAAGCCTACCTAGAGTCCTTCCTGCCATCTCAGGCTTCTGTGTGAGGCAGGCACTGTAAACATTACCATCTGGAGACATCTGATCACCTGGGGAGCCAAAGATGCAATCAGTATAATCGAAGGCGCCTATCCAAGAGGGGTAACTCTTGTGAGTCTAGGGAAAATCATCTCACCAGAAAAGTAAAAATGACCAAACAAGCTAATGGAATGAAATGTAGAAAATCATGGAACGGAACTGCAAGAATACCTCTAGAGAACAGTAGATGATTGGGGGATAAGGTCAGTGTCTTAGTCTGAGTGGATGAAAGGTGCTTTTGACAGCAGAGAGCAAAAATGACTTAAGAAACTGGACTAAGAAGGGGGAAGCAGGGCTTAAGCCAGGGACAGTTGAACTGGGGAAATGTATCCAAACATAATAAATAAGCGGGTTCTGGCTTATAGGTTTTTCCATACTGAGTCATCATCCTTCCCCTTTTCTTTGTCATCTTCTGATTTATAGCCCACTTGGTGTTCACAGTGGCCATTTGTATATAGTAAAGGAACATCAGGGTCCAGTTTTAGTGTATAAGACACTTAAACACAAACACCCAGCATGCCCATGATTGGGCTATTTTAGGACCCTTTTAAATGTGAACATGATGAACAATTTGTTAGACCTTAATTAATGTACTTCTGAACTCCACTGAGAGCGTGCATGAATAGGATGTAAGATCTATGTTGGATTTAGTAAAGAGGTTATATGAGTCAAAGAATTCAGAAAAATAGCTGCCTGTGCCTAGAGAACTATTTAGAAATATTCTACCACCGTGCAGCTGGTGCGGCTGCCTGGAGCTCCCATCTGCTCAGCATGGGAATATGCCTTCCCCAGGGGAAGCGTGAGAAATCCCAGCACACACCAGCATGTTCTCCAGGAATCAATCTCAAGGATCGAAGACAGCCTCAACAACTAAATATTTCTAAAATACTAAATTTTCCATAAGAACTGAAGTTCCTAAAAACTCCTAAAAAAGAACGATTTAAATGCCTGATTCCTACCTCAAACTCCAGGCTCGGGTACCTACTAACTCCTTGGCACCTCAGCTTGGATGTCTAAAGGCATCTCACACTTCCCCTGTCCAAAACAGAACCCTATTTGCTCCAATTCCATCCTGCAAATTTCTGCCTCCACTGTCTTCCTTATTGGGTTATACAATATATCCCTTCCTCCAAACGTGTCCCATTTTTCAGGCCAAAGCCCAAGAGTCATTCTTGATCCATGTTTTTCCCCTATGCTATAGGTACCAACCCAAAGACAAGTCCTATTGGCTTGGCTTTCAAAATATAACTCAAATCTGACCACTTCTCACCAGTCCCTCTGGGCCATATGAGAGATGCCTTGTGTCTCTATCACCAATTTCCTCTCCTACTCATATAGCAACCAGAGAGATCGTTCAGCCTTATCTACTAGATCATGGTAGCCCTCTGCTTAAACTCAATTTCTCTACACACAAAAGAGTCAGCTCCTCGCCATGGTCTGTAAGGCCCTGCATCACCCAGGCCCCACCTCCCCCTCCATGCACCACTAGCCACCACAGCCTTCTCTGTGGTTCAGAGCACTCCAGCCTCTTGTCAATGAGGGGCCTTTTGAACTGGCTCTATCCTCTTCCAGAAAAGCTCTTCCCCACCCTCTTCATTCAGTCTCTATTCAAATGGAACTTCTTTATAGATGCCCACTCTGAATACCCTGTCTAAAATAGCACACTCATTTACTTGTTTACCGTCTTTCTCTTTCAGCTAGTGTACAAGCTTTATGAGAACAGGGACTTGTGTGACCTGTTCATTGCTTCAGTTCCTAGAACAGAGCCTGGAAAATAGCAGGTACTCAGTATTCACTTAATGAACGAAATACCACATTAACTAACTCTTTATACCAAAATCTTAGCAATGGCTTGTAAGAAGGAACTATTACTAGTACATTAGCCCAGTTTGCTCCTTAGCCAAAGGGTCTGCAATTTTTTTTTTTTTTTTTTGAGACGGTGTCTCACTTTGTTGCCCAGGCTGGAGTGCAGTGGTGCAATCTTGGCTCACTGCAACCTCCGTCTCCCGGGTTCAAGCGATTCTCCTGCCTCAGCCTCCCGAGCAGCTGGGATTACAGGCATGCACCACCACACCTGGTTAATTTTTTGTATTTTTAGTAGAGACAGGGTTTCTCCATGTTGGCCAGGCTGGTCTTGAACTCCTGACCTCAAGTGATCTGCCCGCCTCGGGCTCCCAAAGTGCTGGGATTACAGGCGTGAGCCACTGCGCCTGGCCCAGTGTTTTTAATAAGTGAACAGAAGCACTAATCATGGAGTTTGGGGGAAAAGACCTATTTTAGAGGACACACATTGTGCAGAAGTCCATCTCATAATTTATCCCCTTATAACTCAATGCCATGACTTAGCTATCTGTATGATACTGGGTCATTTTCTTAATTTCTCCGTATCTATCTCTTTTTGTGTAAATGAAGAGAATGATGGTATCCAGGTCATAGACATGGTCTGGGATTAAGTGGAATAATGCATACAGAGCACCCAAGTCAGGATTAAGCACCAAGTAAGCCCTTGATAAAAGTTAAATATTGTGACTGTTGTTACTGTCATTTCTATTCAACCTCAGTGGAAACAGGAAGTCCAGTCTGTTAAGCTTTTACATGGATGTGTAGAATACTCAATGTTTCCATAAGAACTGAAGTTCCTAAAAACTCCTAAAAAGAATGATTTAAATGCCTGATTGCTTCCTCAAACTCCAAGCTCGGGTACCTACTAACTCCTTAGCACCTCAGCTTGGATGTCTAACGGCATCTCACACTTCCTTCTAGACAATCCTTCTCACTACCTTCCACCTGGTATTGGTCTAAGTCCTATGGCATACCTTTGACTCAACAGTTAAAACCTTTGTTAGTTCTAAGTGAGAAATACTAAAATAAGAGAACAGTGTATCACAGCAAAATGGTCAATTCTATCTCTTTTCTATTCAATGACTTTTTGTTTTAAGGACACTGGCTTTGTAGCTGTCTTAACAGTTATGTCTACACTAAATTCTTTCCCTGGTAGAGTTAAGCATTACCTCAAAATTGAGATGCGCGGATACGCATGACAAAAGTTCCTCAGCATGGTAAGAAGAGATGTGGGCAATGTGGGCCGCACTAGTTCTCTACCTCCTCATTAGGCATTCTCGCATCTACATATTCAATCAGTATTTACAGAGCACCTCCTATTCTGTAGAAGGATCTAGAAACCAAATAAGAAATGAAAATCCTATTTTTTGCCACTGGATTGTATAACAACCTTTATTGAGTGTTTACTACTTGGCAGGCACTTTGTAAAGATCATTTTATCTAATCCTCACAAGCGCCCCTCAAAGCAATATTAGTCAAGCATTTTACCCACATCTCCAGTAAACAAACAGCGGAATTCAAACCCATACAGGCTGACTACTGTTGACACCTCCTGCTCCATAAAATGCAAAAATATTCTAATATAATTCGTCATTTTCTTATCTTTCCCCTTCCTTCTTTCTTTCTTTTCCCTCCTTCTACCTTCCTCCTCCCCCATTCCTTCACTGTAGAAGACTTTCATAATCAGATGTCACATCACAGAAATGAGACAACTCTTTTTTTTTTTTTTTTTTTTTTGAGATGGAGTTTTGCTCTTGTTGCCCGGGCTGGAGTGCAACGGCGCAATCTCGGCTCACTGCAGCCTCTGCCTTCCAGGTTCAAGCAATTCTCCTGCCTCAGCCTCCCGAGTAGCTGGGATTACAGGCACCCGCCAACATGCCCAGCTAATTTTTGTATTTTTAGTAGTGATGGGGTTTCACCATGTTGGCCAGGCTGGTCTCAAACTCCTGACCTCAGGTGATCCACCCGCCTTGGACTCCCAAAGTGCTAGGATTGCAGGTGTGAGCCACTGCGCCCAACCAGAAATGAGACAACTCTCTTTAATGCTTCTTTCTGTGCACATAAAGGAACAAGGGTCCTCGGTGTTGGCACCTGGACCATGGGCCCTGTTATCTCGGTTATCTCACCAGCAGATCACCGTGCTCCCATGGTTTCTTAGAACTCAGAGGCTATAAATGCTTTGCCCTTATAAGAGAGGTATAGAAAGGGGGAAAGAAAAGTTGCATAGACAGAAGGTATTTCTTTAGCAGGAGACAGTGAGTTTCTCTTCTTCTAGGGTATAACTATTTTATTATTTGATATGTAGGTAGAGCTTTTCATCCTAGGATTTTACGCTTTCATCAGAGTGCAAAGTCAACAAAACTGTCAGAATTTTAAAAAATGAAGTTGGTAACTTGCTCCCTGTGGAGATCAAAGGATGAGTGCTGTTATCAAAACGAGCTTTCTTGGAGAGGCTCCCAGGCATCAAAGGAGCTTCTGGCTACTCTGCCTTGTCAAGGAGTCGATGGTGGGTGTTAAGTTGTGGGGATGGAAGGGCAGCCCCAAACTCTCCAGGCCTTTGAGCATGGAGCTCAAGATCTAAATTCGGGGAAGGGAAGAAAAGGTGGAAGTGGGCTGGCAAGGGTCTGGACCAGGACAGAGGACAAGCACGCTCCTGACACCCTCCTCCACATGTCCTGTCTATACCCACCCAGGGCACCCCAGGCTCAGATCCAGACGGCAGCACTGTGCCAGGCAGGACATTCTTATTTTCAGAGGCCTCTATGGGTAAATCAGTTCATTTTTTTCTGAAAAGTAACCTATACCTTTAGAGTTTTGATTCCAGCCTTGTTTTCATGGCTCAAGTCCCTCTGATGGGGATCATGAATTACAGTGTCTTGTCAAGCGGGAAAAACTTCACACATTCCCATTCCTATCATCAGCCAAACTTTCTGAGTTTGTCACCTAACTGCCAAGAAATCACTAGTGAGGGCTGGCCATAGAGCTTAACCTCTTAGAGAAACTTAAGCTTAACCAGGCCCCTCAGGTAAGCGGAGGAGACAAAAGGTGGCTTTGACGCCCTAGTCCATCCCTGGGAACTCCATGCTGCTGCTCTATACCTTGCAGATGGTGGTGGTTACATACTCTATACATTGATAGAAGAATACACCAAAACCAACAACACTACACTAACGGTTTAATTTTTTTTTTTTTTTTTAGACGGAGTCTGGTTCTGTCACCCAGGCTGGAGTGCAGTGGTGTGATCTCGGCTTACTGCAAGCTCCGCCTCCTGGGTTCACACCATTCTCCTGCCTCAGCCTCCTGAGTAGCTGGGATTACAGGCGCCCACCACCACACCCAGCTAACTTTTTGTATTTTTAGTAGAGATGGGGTTTCACCATGTTAGCCAGGATGGTCCCGATCTCCTGATCTCGTGATCCACCCACCTTGGCCTCCCAAAATGCTAGGATTATAGGTGTGAGCCACCACACCCTGCCTAATATGTTTTTTAAATGACCTGACTAGAAGGCAAGTGATCTCAGATTTTGCAACCAGCTAAATTACAACACAATCTAAATTTCACCTTACCCATCTAGCCCTTCATGATGGAGCCCTCCCAGGGAGGTTGTAAATGTAACATGAGGGATCACATGGAAAGGTACAAAGGCGTTACATCCAAGTACACAGGAGTTAGTTGGAGCACTTGGAGGACTTTGTATGTACTACCTGAGTCTCTGCATGGCAGTATGTTATCAAGATCTCTTTACTTTGGCAGTTTTATAAAATATTTTTAGCAAAGATGCATTTCAAGAAACTCATGTGAAGTCTGATTCTAGGAATTAGGAGGCCAGGATTTGTAACTCAGAATCTGAAGATCACTGTTTACTGTACTACACCTGGGTCTCAGCTGGCAGAACCAAGGCATGTTTGCTGTCCAAGACCACCTAAGTCTTCTATGACAAGACAATGGATATGAAAAGTCAGAGATCTGGCTGGGTGCTGTGGCTCATGCCTATAATCCCAGCACTTTGAGAAGCTGAGGTGGGTGGATCACCTGAGGTCAGGAGTTTGACACTAGCCTGGCCAACATGGTGAAACCCCATCTCCACTAAAAATACAAAAATTAGCTGAGCCTGGTGGTGGGTACCTGTAATCCCAGCTACTCAGGCAGCTGAGGTGGGAGAATTACTTGAATCCAGGAGGGAGACATCACAGTGAGCTGAGATCGTGCCACTGCACACCAGCCTCCAGCCTGGGCAACAGAGCAAGACCTTGTCAAAAAAAAAAAAAAAGAAAAAAAAAAGAAAAAAGAAAAGTCAGATATCTTGCACCTAGACAAACAGGTTAAACTTCACCTTTGTAGTAGAGAATGCCCCATGAAACATGATTTCACTCTGAATACACTGCTGTACCTCCTCAAGGTTTTCCAAGTACACATCAGTGAAAATGAAATAAGCTGATAGGTTATTGTAAGGAATGCATGAGAATAATTTTGTTCTATGAAAAATGCTCAGAACAACACCAGCACATGATAGGCACCTAGTAACTGTTCACTAGCAGTACTAGCTGCACTACTACAAGTAGCAGTAGCAGTATTAGAGCCGCCTTCACTGCCTCACCATCTTCTCACTCAAGGTTTAGCCCTCTCTGCACATTCTACTCGCCTGCTTTTAAGAAATGTTGCTGTCAGGGCCCAGCCTTAGCGATTCTGATTTTAATTATTCTGGGACAAGTCCATGGTATTTGGTATTTTTAAAGTTCCTCACATAATTCTACTGTCTAGCCAAGGTTGAGAGCCACTGAGCTGCAAAACACAAATTCATGTACTTCATAATCCAGGCTGAATCCCACTTTCCAGAAGTAAAACATAACAGATTTTACCGAGGCTCATCTTCATCTCAGGCCACTTCCATCATTTCCGGTGGGAGATTATACAAAACAAGCTTCTTGTCAAAAGAGAATGCTGATGGAGCGTGGATGATCACAGAACTCCCAGTGACAGGGGAAGGTGATCAAGCTGTTCTGGTCAGCACCTGCTCCAAGGGGGTGCAAGGAAATTGTAAAGGGCCAGGCCTAGCTCACAGGTTGCCTGGGAGTGGGCTGGCACAGGGCACCTCCGGGCATAGAGCTTATCCCCTAAACCATATGGGAGCCTAAACCTTTCTGGGGCCCTAAAGATCTTTTCAAGAATAAATTTCAGAGCTTATAATTTCAGAACATATTGTTCCTGCAAACAATGTATTGTTCTGTTGAACCTCTTGTTTTATGGGTAAAAAGAGGAACTAAGAGCATCACCCTCTATCTGTCCAGAGTTTCTCTGGGCCCCACTTGACTTAAACCACCAGGGGATATTCTGTCAGTCCTGGAGACACTCATACATGATCCCCACACTCACACATAATCCCCATACTCATACATAATCCCCACATTCATACACAATCTCCACACTCATACCTGATCCCCACACTCATACCTGACCCCACCACTCATACCTGAACCCCCGACTCATACATGATCCCCTGCACTCATACACGACCTCCGCACTCACACACGACCCCCGCACTCATACACGACCCCCGCACTTATACACGACCCCCCGCACTCATACACGATCTCCACACTCATACACGACACCCACACTAATACACGACCCCCGCACTCATACACGACCCCCCTACTCATACACGATCCCCCACACTCATACATGACCCCCCGCACTCATACACGATCCCCGCACTCATACACAATCCCTGTACTCATACACGATACCCACACTCATACACGACACCCCACTCATACACGATCCCCCACACTCATACACGACCCCCCCACTCATACACAATCTCCGCACTCGTACATGACCCCCCGCACTCGTACACGATCCCCACACTCATACACGATCCCCCCCACTCATACACGATCCCCGCACTCATACATGACCCCCCCCACTCATACATGATCCCCCGTACTCATACACGATCTCCGCACTCATACACGATCTCCGCACTCATACACGACCCCCGCACTCTTACATGATCCCTCACACTCGTACATGATCTCCTCACTCGTACACAATCCCCCGCACTCACACACGACCCCCGCACTCTTACATGATCCCCCACACTCGTACATGATCTCCTCACTCGTACACAATCCCCCGCACTCATACACGATACCCGCACTCATACACGAACCCCCCACTCATACACAATCTCCGCACTCGTACATGACCCCTACACTCGTACATGACTCCCCACACTCGTACACGATCCCCCCACTCATACACGACCCCCGCACTCATACACGACCCCCCCACTCATACACAATCTCCGCACTCGTACATGACCCCCCAAACTCATACACGATCCCCACACTCGTACATGATCCCCGCACTCGTACACGACCCCTCGCACTCATACATGACCCCACACTCACACATGACCCCTCACACTCATACCCAACCCCGCACTCATTCATGACCCCTCACACTCATACACGACCCCCTGCACTCATACACGACCACCCCACTCATACACGACCCCTCACACTCATACATGACCCCCTGCACTCATACATGACCCCTCGCACTCATACACGACCCCACACTCATACACGACCCCTCACACTCATACACGACCCACTCATACACGACCCCTCGCACTCATACACGACCCCTGCACTCATACACGATCCCCTGCACTCAAACACGATCCCCTGCCCCCACACACAACCCCCCCACCCACACACGACCCCAGCACTCGTACATGACCCCCCACACTCATACACGATCCCCCCACTCATACGCGATCCCCCGCACTCATACACGACCCCCGCACTCATACACGACCCCCGCACTCATACACGACCCCCCCACTCATACACGATCTCTGCACTCATACATGACCCCCCACACTTGTACACGATACCCACACTCATACACGACCCCCCGCACTCATACACAACTCCCCGCACTCAAACACGACCCCCCGCACCCACACACGACCCCCCGCACCCACACACGATCCCCCCACCCACACATGACCCCCCGCACTCATACACGACCCCCACACTCATACATGATGCCCCCACTTATACACAATCCCCGCACTCATACACAACCCCCCACTCAAACATGACCCCCCTACTCATACACGACCCCCACAATAATACATAACCCCCCACTCATACACAAACCCCACACTCATACATGATCCCCGCACTCATACATGACCCCCCCCAACTCATATATGACCCCCCACACTCATACATGATCCCCCACACACTTCATGGGCCCACAGGATCCGCAAGTAAGAAGGCTCTGGAAAATCTGAAGCAAAGATACCCTCTGGTCTCATCCCTGAAACGCACCCCCTCTTTCCAGGCTGTACGACTGGGATGGAGAGGAGATAAGGAAACGTGGTCAGCACAGAGGAGCCCAATGCCATGCCCACGTGAATCCAATAGAGAACAACAACAACAAAAACAACAAAACGAATAAAGAAGAAATTGGTAGAATTGCTGACAAGAGAAAGGACTATGAAATGAATGATCAGGGTGCTGTGTATTTTAAATAGCCACAATCAGACACAATCACGCTTATGCAAGAGGGATGGTGAAAAGGAGCCTCAGGGGAATCACTTAATGGATTCAGTAGAACTGAGTAGTGACAAAGAACATGGCCCAGGGGTTGTAGAGTCAATCCTGCAGGCTCCAGAATCAAATGACCTGGGTTCAAATCTCAGACCTGCCCTCTACTAGCCGAGTGACTTTGGAAATATCACTTAATTTTCTTGATGTTTAATGGCCCCATTTACAACTTGAGGACAGTAAGTCACAGAGTTAAGATAATTAAATATATTGATATAGTTTGGATGTCCCCTCCAAGTCTCATGTTGAGATATAATCCTCGGTGTTGGAGGTGGGGCCTGGTGGGAGGTGTTTGCGTCATGGGGGTGGATCCCTCCTGGCTTGGTGCTGTCCTTGTGGTAGTGAGTTCTTGTGGGATCTGATTGTTTAAAAGTGTGTGGCACTTCCCCCACTCTCTCTCTTGCTCCCATTCCTGTCTAGTCCTGTGAGACCCCTGCTCTCCCTTCGCCTTCTGCCATGCATATGTAAGCTTCCTGAGGCCTCCTCAGAAGCAGATGCCAGCACCATACTTTCTGTACAGCCTACAGAACCACGAACCAATTAAACCTCCTTTCTTTATAAATTACCTAGTCACCAGTATTTCTTTATAGCAATGCAAGAACAGCTTAATACATATATTTAATGTAAATTTAAATTTAAAATCAAATGTAAATTAGATGTATTAAATGTGTGCAGCACTTATCACACTGCCTGTCCAGGATACAGTAAATGCTCAATAAATGGTCGCTACTTCCTCATCTTATATTACCAAATTTTACCAGTCATATTTAGCTTCCTTGTTTGTTTGTTTTTTTGAGGCGGAGTCTTGCTGTGTCGCCGAAGCGGGAGCGCAGTGGTGCGATCTCGGCTGACTGCAAACTCCGCCTCCCAGGTTCAAGCAATTCTCCTGCCTCGGCCTCCCGAGTATCTGGGACTACAGATGCGTGCCACCACGTCCAGCTAATTTTTGTATTTTTAGTAGAGATGGGGTTTCACTATGTTGGCCAGGCTGGTCTTGAACTCCCTGACCTCAGGTGATCCGCCCACTTCAGTCTCCCAAAATGCTGGGATTACAGGCGTGAGCCACCGCACCCAGCCAGTTATATTTAGTTTTATAATTCTATTTATTATTCACAAAATCAAAAGGAATCCTGAGGTCAGGGAATAGTTTATTGTATAAAGGACAAATATTAATATAAAATAATTATTTGATATTTTCTATTACTTTCCAATACTGTCTTGATATATCTTCTAAAATTTACAAAAAATTTTTTCCAATTATCTGAACTACACTTAACAATATGCAAATGAACTTCCAGAACCTCAGGGGCTATAATTTATTCTTGACTCTGAAGCCTTGCATTAGCAGATCTATTTTAGTCTGAATTGGTCTCTGAAGAATACAATGTTTTAATTCTAGATCACCTTATGGAAACTATAACATGCATTACTGTCAATGTCAAAGAAGCTGCCGTGACACTGTGTCAGTTTTGATCAAACACAAGCAATTCCTTTCAGAATCTTTCTTCCACAGGTCCTTTTCAAATCATAATCATAAGCAATTTAAATCCTTCCCCTTTTATTCAGAAGCAGCCATTTCCCACAGGATTCCGGTTACCTATGACACGATCATGTGGCGGCATGTCGCCCCGGGAGTCCAGGCCTTGATAAGACACTGTTAACGAAGGAGTCACTGTTGAAGACAATGCTGCAACCCCAGCTTTGTCCCTGCCAAGAAATTATGCTAATGCCACACTTTCCACCGTTAAACCATGGGTTGCATTTCTCTAAGAGGTAGCTGTCAGCACACACCAGCCGTTGCTAACAATGAGGAATTTGTGTGCTGTGTAAATGTCTCCAGCAGCTCCATTGCTTATAATTAATGCAGCCCCAAAACACTGTGATGAAGGAAAATTGCTGGCACAGCTTTATTTAAGCCTTAATAAAATTATTTTCCACTGAATTAAAACAAATGGCTTTATTAACAATCAATATTTAAATATTTTTACAAAAATATCTGCTTAAAAAAATCTGGAAGGCTCACCCAACCGGTTAACAAAGGCAAACATATCCCGAAAAGTACTTTCTTGATCTCAAATGTGAAAAATGAGCATTCCAGACACTGAAAAATAATATCCTAATTAAAATGCTATCAATTATGATTTAGAAAGTCATTCCATTTCTAATTAAACTTAAAAGCAAATTAATGCTCTTCCCTTACTATTTCAGGCTCAAAAACACTGCCTTGTTTTATAACACATCTTTTTTTCCATTAAATCTGAATATACATTTTAGAATGTCAAGGGTAAATTTGTAGAAGGAAATTACTTTCGGAATCAAATGATCAGTGCACTACTGCTATAATAACAACCGAAATATAAATATGTATAATTTCCAAATTAGCTCAGGAATTCATCATAATGTTATATGATCTTATGCAGGTAGAAATGGAGTATCAAAGAGAGATGGAATCACTTAAGGCTTCTGTTTCATTCCATTTGAAGTAATTGCTACAGTCAACTGATCTCACCTGTGGAATGCTAACACACCTGCTAACGCAGCAGCCCCAGCCCTGCACATGGCAAGCCTCTAACCAGCAGCCGGGTAGGGCCTCTTCTATCAGGACCTAGATGTCATGTGGCTGCCACAACGATTGACACTTTCCATCATGTGCTTATTGCACGAAGCACCCCTGATAAGTACAGAGCAGGTAAGGTGAAGATGACTAAGAATTTACCCTGGGAGAAAGAAAACAAGACAAGGCTGAAAACACCAGCATCCTCATTCTCATCATCAGTGATCAGCATTGATGCTGTTCTCAGCACTGTGCAAAGCACTCTCCGGACCTCATTCTACAGCAACCTAGGAGGCAAGAACCCCAGTTTACAATAGAAGCTGCTCAGGAAGGTGAGGTGACCTGCACCATGTCAGGCAGCTAATCATCAGGAGGTCCTGGGTTTGACACCAGTAGCCTGACTCTGAAGCCCTGTTCCATACCCACACACTCCCTGCCTTGCTTAGATTCCCACCTGGGAGCCACGGCAGGCTTGTGAGATCTTCATCCCTTTGAGGCTGATCTGTCTAGATCAGGGGTGGCCTAAGCAAAGTGGGGTCTCAGCTCTGGGAGCAACATCCAGCACCCCCCAGCTAGATGTGTACTTCAGGCAGAGTGTCCCTCGCCCATCGAGGACAAAGGGCTGCTGAAGAGCCTCATCACCTGGGAACCCAAGGAGCCAGCACAGTGCTCAGCAGGGTGATAACAGGGGGTGGAGAGGGACAAGTGAGATGGGGGCCCCCATCTCAGCAGCCACTCAGAGCCTCTGGCCACCTCCTGTCTTCTTCTAGCTGACGTGTCCTTTTCCTGGTCCCGGTTAGCTACAAGATGGCTGCTCTGCAAGGGTGTGCCCATTCTGCAGAGTCACCATTACTTTGAAATATTTGATATAAAAAGTGATCTTGGATTAGAAATCCATTCACATTATTGCAAGAAATTTCAGCATCACATTTGTCAGCAACAGAAAAGGAAACTCTGCTTGATTCTTTAAACATAATTTCAGTTGATGGGAATTTTTGAAGGGTGGTTGCGATAAGCTGAACAATGATTCCCCCAAAGTTGTCCTCGTCCTCATCTCCAAAACCTGTGAGTCCGTTACTTTACGTGGCAAAAGAGACCACGAGTCAAAGAATGCAGGCAGCTTCCAGGATGCTGGAAGATCCTAGATTACTTGGGACGAATCAATGTAATCACAGTGTCCTTGTCAGAGCCAGGCAAGACAGTCAGAGTGGGAGAAAGAGATGTGACGCTGGAGGATGTGTTTTGCAGATGGAGGAAGGGGCCACGAGTCAGGGAGTGCAGACAGCTTCTAGGAGCTGGAAAAGGCAAGAAAACAAATTCTTGCCTAGAGCCTCCAGAAGGAACACAGCCCTACTGACATCTTAATTTGAGCCCATTAAAACCCAGTTCAGATGAACTGTAAGATAATTATTTTGTGTTATTTTAAGCCACTACATTTATAGTAATTTGTTACAGCAGCAATAGGAAGTTAATAGTTGTGAAAATGATTTTTTATTTTTTGTCACTTCTTTCTATGAGCAAAATTTCTTGTAAGTGGTGACTCTCTGAAGACTGCTGAATGAAGCATTTCAAGTTGGAAATCCGAAGAGAGGTCATCACTCTCAATTATAAACTGATACATTTTTTATTTGGAGGTTTCCCACAACTTCAAAATTTAATATCTTCCCTAATATTTTGTATTTTGTTTTATGAATAATTACATAAAAATATGCGGTGAAAGTTTTCATCAAGCCTCATATAGACACCATCATCTCACCAGTTTACTTCAGTGTACCATCAAAATATTATCATTTTTTAAATATTCCATGATTTGAAAAGTTTTGATGTATTGCTTTACTTAACAAACATATAGAACATCAACAGATAAGAGTGTTGTCTTTGAAAGGGGGCTTTAATCCAACCAAACTGCCATTGTACTAAGCCTGATTTTCTCTCAAGCTTTGTTACGAGTCAGTACATTTCACCCGCGACATGCACGTGCATGCACACACACAGCCACATACACGATTTCAGAACAGAAAAATAACCATAGATATAGTACACCACACCCCTCAACTTACAGAGGAAATAATCAAAGCAATGAGAGGTTAAGTAATTCAGCTAAGACACACGGCTGGTTAATAGTGAAGGTTAAGAACAGCCCCAGGTGCTTGCTCACTCCACAGCATGACAACCTTACTACCTGCCATTTTTGACCCTAAGTGGTCACAATTTTCAAGCTTGCTTACCTAGCTTACTCTCCAAACCTGAATTGGAGTGAGTGGGTTTCTCTTATGTAATGAAATTCTTTCTCTAAGGACACACATATATCCTCATTGAGAGAACTTTTCTTAAAAGCTTCAAGCCTTGAAGTCAATTCCTACAAGCAATACTCCAAGTGTCCTGCATGTGGCTGTGGGGAGTTTACAGCCTACCAAGGTTACTACACTAATGTAGAAGTTCATGCTTTAGCATGTTTGTTGAAAAGAAGTAATACTTGTGAATATCAATTTCAGTAAATAACTCAAACTCATAGGAGACCAGGCCTGTGCAGCAATGTGAGTGAAATGCTAGCTGTCTGGGAAAGTATAAAGGGAGTGTGACAGGTGACGGGTAGAAATCAGAGGCAGGACAGTCACTACTGCACCCATCTAAGATTTACTGAAAATCTCTATGCTGGGCATTGTGCTGGATCCTGGGGATACAGTCTTAGTTTGGACTGCTGTAACAAATTGCCACCGACTAGGTGGCCTAAGTAGCAAACATTTATTTCTCACAGTTCTGGAGGCAGGAAGTCTAAGTTCAGGTTGCTGGCATGCTCAAGTTCCAGTGAGAGCCCTCATCCTGCCTGTGTCCTCACATGACAGAAAGAGAGGGGGACAGAGAGAGAGAAGGACAGAGAGAGAGAGGGAGAGAGGGAGAGAGAGAGAGAGAGAGAGAGAGAGAGGGAGAGAATGCTTGGCTGTCTCCTTCGTCCTTATAAGGCCCCCAATCCCATCATGGCAGCCCTACCCTCAAACCTAATCACCTCCCAAAGGCCCCACCTCCAAATATCATCACACTGGGGGTTAGGGCTTCAATATATAGATTTTAGAGGGACACAGCCATTGAGTCCATAGCACTGTCCCTCAGAAGTCTGCAGAAAAAGAGGTGACAGACATTAAACAAAGGATGATAAAATAAGTATTGATTTATGAGTGTGATGAGTCTTTCAAAGAGTAAATACAGAGTGATGTATGTGAGAAGGGAGAACAGAGGCCCTGAACTCCAGGAAGAGCAGGAAAGAGGGTGAGAGCATCCCAGGAGATGGTGGGCAGCCTGTGCTGGGCCCCAGGTCAGGAGGGAACAGGCCACTGTGAGTAACCAAGAGAAGACCGGAGTAAATGCATCCTGTAGTGGAGTCAGGCACATCTCCATGTAAAGGGAGTCTCCCCAGCTGTATCTGGAAGAAAAGAGGGACGCTGACAGCAAGAGAAGGGCAGGCGCACCTGGCCAGGGCACCATGCACCTGCAGCAGGGTGTGGCACTGGGAAGAGTGCAGGGCATCTGCATACCCAGGGGACTGCTGGATGGTGAGTCTAAGTTAAAGATGTGTTTACGACTTGAAACCAAAATCAGAAGAGGTAGTCTCATTCAAAAGGCAAATGGAAGTCCTCACAAAGATGCCAAAGGGATTGGGGCACATCTGAAATGAGCTTACATGCGTGCAGAACTTTAATGTTGTCACACATCATCTCAGCAGCCCCTCCCATCAACCCCAGGGGTCAGGAGGGCACTGAGACTCTCACCCTTCACAGGAAAGGAAGCTGAGCCCAGGTCACATGGCTGGGTAGTGTCAGAGCTGGGCTCGGACTGGGTTCAAGTCTCAGTCCAGGGTGGTATACACAGCAAGGCAATGGGTAGACTGGTTTCCTGCTGCCACTGTGTGTGTGTGTGTGTGTGTGTGTGTGTGTGTGTGTGAAACATTACCACTGTGAAGCTGGGGGAAAGCTAAACCCAGAATCCAATAGAAGTAGTCTGTGAGGACTAAGTAGGCCTTGGTGACTTTCTATGAATGAAATAATTCTTGCTGGGTTATGGGTCACGTGCATGAAGGTTGGTGTCAATGCACACATAATTTTAAATGGGTAAAATAAAATTGTGCTTCCAGCTCTGCCTCCTGTTTGATGGGTTTCTGGCCCATGGCCTGGTGTGACTGGTCATGACTGTGTCTTCCACATTCTAAATGCATCAATCCTATGTTTGACAGAGAAATGACTCATCACTTGCCAATTCTTCTCATGCTTTAGGGAAACGGGTAAGAAGGAACATTCTACCGGATGTTTCAAATAAACTGCATTAAAATGACATGCATGTGAACAAGAGACTTGAAGAGTTGCTCATAAATGCTGATGCTGATTTAGGAAGCGTGTGTGGATGAAATGCGTTTGATGCCAGCGTCGGTCTTATACAGATGTTGTGGGACAGATAGAACCATCCCATCTGGGATTATGCTTTCCTATAAACTTTCAAGTAACACAAGGAAAGGATCATAGTTTCTTCTTTATTAGGCCTTCAAATGTAAAATAAGGTTTTGAATAGAGCAGTGGAAATTATTGAAGTCATTTGGAAAGGTAATCCTCACAAAATTAACTAGCAACCTAACACATGAGCCTGATGGTGTCTATTAAAAGGGAGTAAGCTTTAATAAATTCATCACTCTCCTTTTCCTATCATCTCTCTAGTTCTATTTCACATCAGCTTTAATAGGATTTACGTGAAATTTTGTGGTTCACAGAACTATAATTTTGGAAGATAAACAAGGATTCCCAGACCTCCATATGTTACTCTATGCACAGATAAACACAACACCAAAAAACAAAACTACACCAAAGCCAAACAAATAGGTGCCTTAACATCAGAAATTCCTTTCCAAAGATAGGCTGAAGGCACAAGGGAAAGAATGCAGGGGAAGAATGTGAGTATGGCAGCCAACAGCCCAAGGTAGTGATCTACTTATTGGACGTAACCTTGGCAAGGTCTTGCAGTTTCTGAGTTTTAGTTTCCCTAGAGGTAAAGCAGGAAGAATAAAACTTACCTCATAAGGCTGGGGTGGTGTGAAACGGGGAGTGGTTAAAATCATCATTTATAAACTACCTGGCATACAAACATAAAGTGTAACTCTTACGATTATATTTAAAATAGAGCCAATTTAAGAACATGGTACATTAAGTAAAACATCTTCCAAGTAGTCACATACATAAACATCAGTCTGGTGCTGAAAGATGTAGCCCTTGTTACGCTCTTAGAATGGCCTGTCACAGTCTTCCTGCACATTTTTCAGGATTTATGATGGGGGGGTTATACCTGGGCATAAATTAATGTAATTTTCAAAACCCTGGCAGGGTTTGGGTATTCCTACACTTGTAGTATGATTCTGAAAAATAAAGTCTACCGTGGCTCATAAATACTCTTTAGTACTTAGTAGATCGGTTTCTTTTCTAGAGAAGTCTTAGTCCTACCTTTCAACAAAATGAGTTGGGAAATCCCTTCTAAAAGCCTGGCTGTTTTGAATTGCTCATAAATCTAGAAATATTCACGGTCTTTTCAAAGACGAAGTGAGTCACTCACTTTTGAATCACTGAATTTGAGGGTTGATGCAGATTACAGGGCTTGAAAGCAAAGGCCAGCACTAGCTCTGTTGGACAAAACCAGAGTTCATCTTTGCATTAAAACAAACGTCAAGTTTTCTGGTTTTCAGGGAACTAATGGAGAAAACACATTCGTGAATTCCAAATATATCCAAGCCTACTTAACATCAACTTACTTGTTGGAAAATGCTTCTTAATAAAACAATTTTTCCCCAACAGCAGAAAACATCAATTGAGTGAGTCTATCCTTACTAAAAATAAAGTCATTATCATGGTGCAAAAGGGAGCAGAAGCTCATCAGAAGACAGAGCTTTTGTCTAAGGAGTGGCCTGACATGGAGTGGGGCCTCAGATCACAGTGTCCTTTGCAGAGGAAGTGATGATGCCAGGACTGCTCATCAGTGGCAGGCTCATCAGTGATGAACAGCCTCTGACTGAGACATTAAGAAGATTACTGTGTTGGATGGAGGGAGGCACAGGATGATCTTCCAACCTTACTTCCAATTCTCAGATTCAGGGACTCCCTGAAGATCCCTTACAGCAACAAGCACAGCAAACTGCTCATCTTTTAAAAATCACCTTATTTATCATGTAGATTTCAATCCTACAAACAAGTGTGTATTAGTCTGTTCTCATGGTGCTGATAAAGACATACCTGAGACTGGATAATTTATAAAGAAAAAGAGGTTTAATAGACTCACAGTTCCACGTGGCTGGGGAGGCCTCACAATCAGGGCGGAAGGTGAAAGGCACATCTTACATGGTGGCAGATGAGAGCATGAGAGCCAAGCGAAAGGGGTTTCCCCTTATCAAACCATCAGATCTCACGAGACTTATTCACTACCACGAGAACAGTATGGGGGAAACTGCCCCCAGGATTCAATTATCTCTCACCAGCTCCATCCCACCCAATCTCAAGATGAGATTTGGATGGGGACACAGCCAAACCATATCAAAGTATGAATAATAAATATCAAGAAGAAGGATATTAATGATATCAAGAAGACATTTTAACATGGGTATGACTCTTTATAAAGAGTCGGTGCTATAGCACAGAATTTTACAAATAAAATGGCTTTCAAAAATACATACATACGTACATATATATGTGTGTGTGTGTGTGTGTGTGTGTGTGTGTGTGTGTGTGTGTATTCAACAATGCCTCAAAGAAAGGTAGAAATGGGAAGGGAAAGCTGTTTGATTAATGCAAACTGGGTTTTTCTCTCAAGAATGACTTTGTGCCTGCCAAATGACAAAGGTTTCACAGATTTTTCTCTACTGTGACTAGCAGGCAAATGTGTTGGTTTATGCCCAGTGCAGTGGTAGGACCTGGGGTTACGTGGATGTGAGATTGTCTGATCTCAGGACACAAAGACTGAAGTTAGTTGAGCATAGGAGAAGTGAAAGATACTTGCTTTCACAGCTGAGGTTTTACTAGAGAAGCCATAGAGCAGGCAGTAAGAACAAGACTCTGGTTGCCCTCGAGGCCATGACCGTTTCAGAATCAAGCAAAGCCATTACAAACCTAAAGAAAAAAAAAATGCCTTGTGGAGGTCGTAAAAAGATAAATCAAAGGAAGGTACATGTAACAGAGAATAATTGAAGAGATCACTCAGCAATGGAGGAAATATATTTCATGATAGTACAAAGAGGCATTGAAGCAAAAACAACTTGTAAGGAGAATAAAAACAATAACACGGGGTTATAAATGAGAAATTAATATTATAATGAAATTGTGCTGATGAAAGCTGGAAAGAGAGAATGAAGTTATACTAGCTAATAGAGATATGAAGCAGTGGAAAATGAATGTTTAGGTAGGGAAGCCTTGATATTTTTCTGAGGTACAGGAAAATAGAATGCAACTGGCATTTATTATGTCTATCATGAGTTGTTCATTAGGCAACTCACTAGGTAGTGCTCTCATTCAATCTTCAGGTGGATGTTGTTTTCGCATCTTGTAGACGAGGAAACAACCCTCAAGGGGTCAAAAAATTTCCCCAGGAAGGGACAACTAGCCAATGGTAGGGGCAGCACAGATTTGGAAGAGCCGGTTTCCACAGCCCATAGTTGACGTCCTTATTTTGCAGATCTACCCCCGACTACTGGTTTTTTCTGTCTGTATAACATCAGCAATTTAATAAAGGGGCAGATTTTGAAAAATGTCTTTCAAATAAATAAACGAGAGAAATAAGGTTTGGGAGCTCATCGTAGGTTTTCTAAACTATGTTATTTCATTTTTTAGTTATCACTAAATTTATTTAGTTATCACTAAATATATTTAGTTATCACTAAATATTGATTATAAAATAATCAATATTGTCATGGAAAAAAGCAGGGAAGAATTTAAAGTCTAATTAATTCTTTCTTTCCCCAATATGTATATGTATTTGTATATATATATACATACACACACATATACATATACATACACACACATATATTCTAAAGTTATATAAATAATGTCACATAAGGCTGTGCATACATGTAAGAGATAATTGTCTAACGAAGCATGCTTTCTCAATTTAAAAGCCTCAGACATACATTCCATGCATAGTCCCCAAAATATTCAAAGTCAAGTTAACAAAAGTTTGTTTCCTCACCTGGAGTGTTTTTATCCCATCTTTCCACCTATCCAAATTTTAGCCATTCCTATCCCCATTTTCTTTCTTAAGTCCATTTTTCAACACTCTAAGCCACATTAATTTGCCTCTTCTCTGAATTCACACACACACACACACACACACACACACACACACACACACACACACACAATTTCAGCAAGGAAAGAATGGGTCAATGCCGGACCTGGATGCTAATGACATTTGATTGCTGTATGTTTCATTTCACTTTGGCATGGAGCCAGCTTGTCTAACAACCAGGTGTTTTCTCTCTCTCTCTCTCTCTTTTTAAAACATTCTTTATATTAAACGTAATAAGTAAATGACTTTTCCAAAAAGAAAAAGGAATTTAAGAAAACACCCGACTTTCCTCTACAGTACCTCTGATCACAAAATTGGACACCACACTGAAAATGCAACACTTGATTCATTTCTGTGGGGAGTCTTTCAAAAGCTTTAAACACGGTGACCCCATGCCCAAAAGGGCATTTGAAAGACAATTTCAAAAGTAAGCCCTGCTGTTACTCCACTCCAGAGACCATTTTGAGCTTCTTTTCCACCACTAATGTCACAAAAATGACCAACACGCCAGGAAAGAGGGCTTGCATTTCGAGTCAAATCCCTTTAACAGAAGTCATTCTTAAACATGCCACACCAAACAGATGGAGTCATCGAAGTACTGTATGTACCACCTGTGCTTTCATCCAAATGCCACCTGCAGTACAGACCAAATGAACTTTTAAAGGTTCCAAGCCAACATAATGTTCACAGTCATGACCACTTCTAGGCCTAAAAATCGCAGAGTACAAAGTCGCATTTTGAGTTAGCTTACCTAGATTTTAAATCTTTTATGAATAAAACAACTATATAAATAATGCACACCACATTTTAAAAATTTTTATTAGCACTTGTGGAGAAAATAGACATCAGCCTTTCTGAATACTGAGCATTGTGTACTGAGGGCAAAACAAGGGAAACCAGAAAACCATCTCAATGCCCTGTAAACTGGACACTAGACCAAACTATTTTGTCAAGTTACAATTCCTCCCTTTACTATAACTATTAATCATGACATTTTCTGAAACAACCAAGGATAACTATTAATTATTGCCTCAACACATAACATTCCGGTGAGGGTTAATATTGAGCGTCAACTTGATTGGATTGAAAGATGCAAAGTGTTGGAAGTTCCAAGATGGATGAATAGGAACGGTTCCAGTCTACAGCTCCCAGAGTGAGCAATACAGAGACGGGTGATTTCTGCATTTCCAACTGAGGTACCAGATTCATCTCACTGGGGCTTGTCGGACAGTGGATGCAGCCCATGGAGCATGAGCCGAAGCAGGGCGGGGCATCGCCTCACCCGGGAAGTGCAAGGGGTCAGGGAATTCCCTTTCCTAGCCAAGGGAAGCTGTGACGCATGGCACCTGGAAAATCAGGTCACTCCCACCCTAATACTGCGATTTTCCAATGGTCTTAGCAAATGGCACACCAGGAGATTACATCCCACGCCTGGCTCGGAGGGTCCCACGCCCATGGAGCCTCACTCGCTGCTAGCACAGCAGTATGAGATCGAACTGCGAGGTGGCAGCCAGGCTGGGGGAGGGGCGCCTGCCATTGCTGAGGCTTGAGTAGGTAAACAAAGTGGCCGGGAAGCTCAAACTGGGTGGAGCCCACCGCAGCTCAAGGAGGCCTGCCTGCCTCTGTAGACTCCACCTCTGGGGGCAGGGCACAGCTGAACAAAAGGCAGCAGAAACCTCTGCAGACTTAAACGTCCCTGTCTGACAGCTTTGAAGAGAGTAGTGGTTCTCCCAGCATGGAGTTTGAGATCTGAGAACAGACAGACTGCCTCCTTAAGTTGGTCCCTGACCCCCGAGTAGCCTAACTGGGAGACACCTCCCAGTAGAGGCCAACTGACACCTCATACGGCCGGGTACCCCTCTGAGACAAAGCTTCCAGAAGAAGGATCAGGCAGGAACATTTGCCGTTCTGCAATATTTGCTGTTCTGCAGCCTCCGATGGTGATACCCAGGCAAACAGGGTCTGGAGTGACCTGCAGCAAACTCCAACAGACCTGCAGCTGAGGGTCCTGACTGTTAGAAGGAAAACTAACAAACAGAAAGGACATCCACACCAAAACCCCATCTGTATGTCACCATCATCAAAGACCAAAGGTAGATAAAACCACAAAGATGGGGAGAAACCAGAGCAGAAAAGCCAAAAATTCTAAAAATAGAGTGCCTCTTCTCCTCCAGAGGAATGCAGCTCCTTGGTAGCAACGGAACAAAGCTGGACGGAGAATGACTTTGGCGAGTTGAGAGAAGAAGGCTTCAGACAATCAGTAATAACAAACTTCTCCGAGCTAAAGGAGGATGCTCGAACCCATCGCAAAGAAGCTAAAAACCTTGAAAAAAGATTAGACAAATGGCTAACTAGAATAAACAGCATAGAGAAGACCTTAAATAACCTGATGGAGCTGAAAACCATGGCATGAGAACTACGTGATGCATGCACAAGCTTCAGTAGCCAATTCGATCAAGTGGAAGAAAGGGTATAAGTGATTGAAGATCAAATGAATGAAAAGAAGCAAGAAGAGAAGTTTAGAGAAAAAAGAGTAAAAATAAACGAACAAAGCCTCCAAGAAATATGGGACTATATGAAAAGACCAAATCTACGTCTGATTGGTGTACCTGAAAGTGACGGGGAGAATGGAACCAAGTTGGAAAACACTCTGCAGGATATTATCCAGGAGAACTGCCCCAACCTAGCAAGGCAGGCCAACATTCAAATTCAGGAAATAGAGGGAATGCCACAAAGATACTCCTCGAGAAGAGCAACTCCAAGACACCTAATTGTCAGATTCACCAAAGTTGAAATGAAGGAAAAAATGTTAAGGGCGCCAGAGAGAAAGGTCAGGTTACCCACAAAGGGAAGCCCATCAGACTAACAGCTGGTCTCTTGGCAGAAACTCTACAAGCCAGAAGAGAGTGGGGGCCAATATTCAACATTCTTAAAGAAGAGAATTTTCAACCCAGAATTTCACATCCAGCCAAACTAAGCTTCATAAGTGAAGGAGAAATAAAATTCTTTACAGACAAGCAAATGCTGAGAGATTTTGTCACCACCAGGCCTGCCCTAAAAGAGCTCCCGAAGGAAGCCCTAAACATGGAAAGGAACAACCAGTACCAGCCACTGCAAAAACATGCCAAATTGTAAAGACCATCGATGCTAGAAAGAAACTGCATCAACTAACAAGCCAAATAAGCAGCTAACACGATAATGACAGGATCAAATTCACACACAACAATATTAACCTTAAATGTAAATGGGCTAAATGCTCCAATTAAAAGACACAGACTGGCAAATTGGATAAAGAGTCAAGACCCATCAGTGTGCTGTATTCAGGAGACCCATCTCATGTGCAGAGACACACATAGGCTCAAAATAAAGGGATGGAGGAAGATCTACCAAGCAAATGGAAAACAAAACAAAGCAGTGGTTGCAATCCTAGTCTCTGATAAAACACACTTTAAACCAACAAAGATCAAAAGAGACAAAGAAGGCCATTACATAATGGCAAAGGGATCAATTCAACAAGAAGAGCTAACTATCCTAAATATATATGCACCCAATACAGGAGCACCCAGATTCATAAAGCAAGTCCTTAGAGACCCACAAAGAGACTTAGACTCCCACACAATAATAATGGGAGACTTTAACACCCCACTGTCAACATTAGACAGATCCATGAGACAGAAAGTTAATAGGGATATCCAGGAATTGAACTCAGTTCTGCACCAAGCAGATCTAATAGACATCTACAGAACTCTCCACCCCAAATCAACAGAATATACATTCTTCTCAGCACACATCACACTTATTCCAAAACTGACCACATAGTTGGAAGTAAAGCACTCCTCAGCAAATGTAAAAGAACAGAAATCACAAAAAACTGTCTGTCAGACCTCAGTGCAATCAAACTAGAACTCAGGATTAAGGAACACCCGCAATACCGCTCAACTACATGGAAACTGAATGACCTGCTCCTGAATGACTACTGGGTACATAATGAAATGAAGGCAGAAATAAAGATGCTCCCTGAAACCAATGAGAGCAAAGACACAACATACCAGAATCTCTGGGACACATTTAAAGCAGTGTGTAGAGGGAAATTTGTAGCACTAAATGCCCACAAGAGAAAGCAGGAAAGATCTAAAATTGACACCCTAATATCACAATTAAAAGAACTAGAGAAGCAAGAGCAAACACATTCAAAACCTAGCAGAAGGCAAGAAATAACTAAGATCAGAACAGAACCGAAGGAGACAGAGACACAAAAAAACCTTAAAAAAATCAATGAATCCAGGAGCTGGTTTTTTGAAAAGATCAACAAAATTGATAGACCGCTAGCAAGACTAATAAAGAAGAAAAGAGAGAAGAATCAAATAGACACAATAAAAAATGATAAAGGGGATATCATCACCGATCCCACAGAAATACAAACTACCATCAGAGAATACTATAAACACCTCTACGCAAATAAACTAGAAAATCTAGAAGAAATGGATAAATTCCTGGACACATACACCCTCCCCAAGACTAAACCAGGAAGAAGCTGAATCCCTGAATAGACCAATAACAGATTCAGAAATTGAGGCAATAATTAATAGCCTACCAACCAAAAAAAGTCCAGGACCAGACGAATTCACGTCTGAATTCTACCAGAGGTATAGAGAGGAGCTGGTACCATTCCTTCTGAAACTAGTCCAGTCAAGAGAAAAAGAGGGAATCCTCCCTAACTCATTTTATGAGGCCAGCATCATCCTGATACCAAAGCCGGGCAGAGACACAACAAAAACAGAGAATTTTAGACCAATATCCCTGATGAACATCAATGCAAAAATCCTCAATAAAATACTGGCAAACCAAATCCAACAGCACCTCAAAAAGCTTATCCACTATGATCAAGTGGGCTTCATCCCTGGGATGCAAGGCTGGTTCAACATATGCAAATCAATAAACGTAATCCAGCATATAAACAGAACCAATGACAAAAACCATGTGATTATCTCAATAGATGCAGAAAAGGCCTTCGACAAAATTCAACAGCCCTTCATGCTAAAAACTCTCAATAAACTAGGTATTGATGGAACATATCTGAAAATAATAAGAGCTATTTATGACAAACCCACAGCCAGTATCATACTGAATGGGCAAAAACTGGAAGCATTCCCTTTGAAAACTGGCACAAGACAGGGATGCCCTCTCTCACCACTCCTGTTCAACATAGTGTTGGAAGCTCTGGCCAGGGCAATCAGGCAGGAGAAAGAAATAAAGGGTATTCAATTAGGAAAAGAGGAAGTCAAATTGTCCCTGTTTGCAGATGACATGACTGTATATTTAGAAAACCCCATCATCTCAGCCCAAAATCTCCTTAAGCTGATAAGCAACTTCAGCGAAGTCTCAGGATACAAAATCAATGTGCAAAAATCACAAGCATTCCTATACACCAATAACAGACAAACAGAGAGCCAAATCATGAGTGAACTCCCATTCACAATTGCTTCAAAGAGAATAAAATACCTAGGAATCCAACGTACAAGTGATGTGAAGGACATCTTCAAAGAGAACTACAAACCACTGCTCAAAGAAATAAAAGAGGACACAAACAAATGGAAGAACATTCCATGCTCATGGATAGGAAGAATCAATATCGTGAAAATGGCCATACTGCCCAAGGTAATTTGTAGATTCAATGCCATCCCCATTAAGCTACCAATGACTTTCTTCACAGAATTGGAAAAAAACTACTTTAAAGTTCATGTGGAACCAAAAAAGAGCCTGCATTGCCAAGACAATCCTAAGCCAAAAGAACAAAGCTGGAGGCATCATTCTACCTGACTTCAAACTAAATGACAAGGCTACAGTAACCAAAACAGCACGGTACTGGTACCAAAACAGAGATATAGATCAATGGAACAGAACAGAGCCCTCAGAAATAATACCACACATCTACAACCATCTGATCTTTGACAAACCTGACAAAAACCAGCAATGGGGAAAGGATTCCCTATTTAATAAATGGTGCTGGGAAAACTGGCTGGCCATATGTAGAAAGCTGAAACTGGATCCCTTCCTTACACCTTATACAAAAATTAATTCGAGATGGATTAAAGACTTAAATGTTAGACCTAAAACCATAAAAACCCTAGAAGAAAACCTAGGCAATACCATTCAGGACCTAGGCATGGGCAAGGACTTCATGACTAAAACACCAAAAGCAATGGCAACAAAAGCCAAAATTGACAAATGGGATCTAATTAAACTAAAGAGCTTCTGCACAGCAAAAGAAACTACCATCAGAGTGAACAGGCAACCTACAGAATGGGAGAAAATTTTTACAATCTACCCATCTGACAAAGGGCTAATATCCAGAATCTACAAAGAACTCAAACAAATTTCCAAGAAAAAAATCAAACAACCCCATCAAAAAGTGGGCAAAGGATATGAACAGACACTTCTCAAAAGAAGACATTTATGCAGCCAACAGACACATGAAAATATCCTCATCATCACTGGCCATCAGAGAAATGCAAATCAAAACCACAATGAGATACCATCTCACACCAGTTAGAATGGTAAAAAGTCAGGAAACAACAGGTGCTGAAGAGGATGTGGAGAAATAGGAACACTTTTACACTGTTGGTAGGACTGTAAACTAGTTCAACCATTGTGGAAGACAGTGTGGAGATTCCTCAAGGATCTAGAACTAGAAATACCATTTGACCAAGCCATCCCATTACTGGGTATATACCCAAAGGATTATAAATCATGCTGCTATAAAGACACATGCACACGTATGTTTATTGCGGCACTATTCACAACAGCAAAGACTTGGAACCAACCCAAATGTCCATCAATGATAGGCTGGATTAAAAAAATGTGGCACATATACACCATGGAATACTATGCAGCCATAAAAAAAGGATGAGTTCACGTCCTTTGTAGAGACATGGATGAAGCTGGAAACGATCATTCTGAGCAAACTGTTGCAAGGACAGAAAACCAAACACCACATGTTCTCACTCATAGGTGGGAACTGAACAATGAGAACACATGGACACAGGGTGGGGAACATCACACGCCCGGGCCTGTTGTGGGGTGGGGCAAGGGGGGAGGGATAGCATTAGGAGATATACCTAATGTAAATGACGAGTTAATGGGTGCAGCGCACCAATATAGCACATGAATACATATGTAACAAACCTGCACATTGTGCACATGTACCCTAGAACTTAAAGTATAATTAAAAAAAAAAAAAGAAAGATGCAAATGTTGTTCCTGGGTATGTCTGTGAGGGTGTTGCCATTTGAGTCAGTGGACTGGAGAGGCAGACCCACCCTCTATCTGGGTGGGCACCATCAAATCAGCTTTCTCCATCTTTCTCCCATGCTGAATACTTCCTGCCCTCGAACATCAGACCCAAGTTCTTCAGCTTTTGGACTCTTGTTACATCAGTGATTTTCCAGGGGCTCTCAGGCCTTTGGCCACAGACTGAAGGCTGTACTGTAGGCTTCCTTACTTCTGAGGTTTTGGGACTTGGATTGGCTTCCCTGTTCCTCAGCTTGCAGATGGCCTGCTGTGGCACTTCACCTTGTGATCGTGTGAGTCAATACTCCTTAATAAACTCCCTTCATATATACATCTAGCCTATTAGTTCTGTGCCTCTACAGAACACTGACTAATAAAAAATGCTTTCACAGTCTTAGAAGGCATTGTGTATGTTTGCATTACACAATATATTCTATAATGTTGCTACAAGTAAACATACTCTTTGCATTCAACACATACTTGGGTTTTTTTTCATTTTCGCCCAAGTGTTGTTTTTTGCCTAATGAAGATTCCTATTCACTGACAGGAGAAACCACTATCCTGTGGTTTCTCAACCACTAGCCACCCAGACCTGGATCAGACAGAAAAAATAAACAGAGGTGGAGAAGCACTTGCTATGCTTCTTCCTCCTCAAACATCTGGGAATTTTTTTTTTTTTTTTTTGAGATGGAGACTCACTCTGTCTCCCAGGCTGGAGTGCAGTGGCATGATCTCAGCTCACTGCAACATCTGCCTCACATCTGGGAAATTTCATAAGGGGTAAGAGCACTTCAAGACCACCTGGAATCTTCACCATGAATAAGCTCTACAATATCGGTCAAGCCACTCAGCTTTTCTGAGTCTCTTTTCCTCATATGCAGAATTGGAGTTAAGATGACTATAACCGAGTATCTAATGTCATGGTGCAAATACAGTCTGTGCTCTAAGTTCTGCCCTTGGTAAGTTAGATATACTTACCCAGTTGTGTTAATTGACTGTGCATTCACGGGAAGGAGTAGATACAATGTTGGCAGAACTTACGGTGGGCGTAATACATTCGCTGTGCCTTAAAGGATGGCTATGACTCAACTCAGTTGTGATAAAAGGAATATACATTTACAGTGGGAAACCGTATAGTCATGAGAATGACAGGCAGAATCAGCTTGGTGTGTATGTGTGTGCTTAGGGGGCTCTGACCGTGAGAGTAGCTGTGGCTCTCCTTAGAGCATCCCTACAATTTGTTGCAGAGCTTGTGGTGAAAATTCACAGTTGAAGCCAAGTTCTGTTCACTGAATGTGTTTAACAATTTCAAGATGTTGTTAATTGACTTCCTCATAAAAATGATGAAAAGCCCAAAAAATTCTAAGATGACATACTACTACACCTACATTCATTCCCTCCTTTAAATTATATATAATAGGCATATAGTTTATATATTATGTATATATAAGTAATATATGTAATAATATATGTAATTTATTATATAATGTAATATATATATCACAAAGCTCTCATTGCCAGTATTAAGTAATTCAGCTATAATAAATTATTTATTCTAAAATGTTATCTCTGATTTTCCTCCTCAAAAAAGGAGGAAAAAAGAGAAAGTCAGGGATTCAACCACAGTAACAGTTTAGATCCCAATTCTCCATAAGCTTTGGTATGAAGACCAACCTGAAATGTAACTTAGGGCAAGTTTACACCTGTCATTTTTCTATTCTAGTCAGTTCAAAGGCAGCCTTCCTGACCAAGGCAAATAACTCACGCATAAACACGTGATTTACCCAGATCATCTCTGACATCCCACAAGAGATTATGTGGGAAAGCCCGCCCCGCAACCCTAGTCCCATCTCTTCAAGAGGTAGCTACCGCCTAGTCACTGGCCTTTATTGACTAAGGGAAAAGCCCCCATGCAGGACATGCTAGGTTGGTGGCACCTCTGCCCATACACTATCACCTGTGGCTGTCTCCGATGAATAGGACTTAGTAGATGCGTACTTTGATATATAACATTTTATTGCACTACGTTATGCTGATGGATGTGGCTCTGGTTTTATTTGTTTAGCATGAATCATCTTTGTGAACGTTTCCCCTATTTACCTTACATAATATTAATCAAAACATATTTTTCGGCTGGCCACAGTGGCTCACTCCTGTAATCCCAGCACTTTGGGAGGCCGAGGCAGGTGGATCACGAGGTCAGGAGTTCAAGGCCAGCCTGGTCAAGATGGTGAAACCCCATCTCTACTAAAAACTACAAAAATTAGCCGGGTATGGTGACACGCACCTGTAATCCCAGCTACTTGGGAGGCTGAGGTGGGAGAATCGCTTGAACCCAGGAGGTGGAGGTTGTAGTGAGCCAAGATCGCGTTACTGCACTCCAGCCTGGGTGACAGAGTGAAACTCCGTCTCAAAACGAAACAAAACAAAACAAAACCCCATATTTTTCAGCTGTAAGCAATTTGACTAGGTTGTAAAAAGTTAGAATTGATCACCAACATACAAAGGAGGAAATGTGTCATCTATCAATTGACTTTTTTGTCAGGTCCAGGTGCTGCCCTAGTTCCTGCCAGCTCAAGTGTGTATAATTTACACAACACAAACTGTATTGCCCAGCATCTGCAGTGGTACCCGTGGCCAACTCCAGGATACATGTCTTGCTCAGCTTTCTAGTGAATCTCATCGTAAGGGTCTCCTTTTTCTCCCGAAGTATTAATATTATGAACATTAGTGAGCAAAACTCAGGTGAAAAAATGCAGATTTCTACCTGTGTGCAAGTGCATGGAAAGATGAAACTGCCTTCTGCCAAAACCACTTCCAGAAACTCATCCCCACCTTCCTTGGATCCTTTTTTACTCTGATTGGAAACTACCATTTAATTTTCTTAGTTATCTGGCTTTCAGCCTCCAAATAAGTCCTCCCTGGGAACAGTGACCTTCCCAGCAGAGAGCTTGTTCCTTCTCTCCCGTCTGTTCCCACTGGCCTTCCTCACCTGGCTTTCACCAGAAGTGGGTATTTCTTTACCTAAGACAGCCCACTACCTGCTTTCTGTGAGTGAATCCTCCCCTGGTGAGAAAGGGCAGTGATCTGAGAACAAAAGGAAATTGTTAGAGCACTATGAGAGGAGATAACAAATCCCCGGCGAGGCAAGTAGGCTGCAAAGCAATGACTGTTTGAAGCACACTGGGTAAAAACCAGGAAAGACCCTGATACGGTTTGGCTGTGTCCCCATCAAATCTCATCTTGAATAGTAACTCCCACAGGTCCCACGTGTCAAGGGAGAGAGACCCAGTGGGAGGTAAATGAATCATGGGGGCGGGTCTTTCTCGTGCTGTTCTCGTGATAGTGAATACGTCTCGCGAGATCTGATGGTTTTAAAAAGCCTGTACAAGCTCTCTCTCTTTGCTTGCTGGCATCCACTTAAGACGTGACTTGATCCTCCTTGCCTTCCACCATAATTGTGAGGCCTCCCCAGCCACGTGGAACCCGACGTCCATTAAACCTCTTTCTTTTGTAAATTGCCCCGTCTCGGGTATGTCTTTATCAGTAGTGTGAAAATGGACTAACACAGACCCCTAGCGAATAATTAACATCGGAATAATTAATATCCACTACAATGCAAAAATATTTCAGCAACAGAGGCTTCTAAAATGTTTTCCTACCTTTAATTTCTACCCTCTTGACCCAAGTTTTGTGTATTACACCATGATCTCACCCCATCCATATGTGAACTTCAATTCATCAGGAAATAGAAGCTCAGCCCTCCCCCAGCTATCCTTGCTCCTTCCCCCACCTGATATTTTTATTCCAAGGCAATACTTTCTAGAGTTTTCCAACACTGACTTCTACCAAAGCATGGTAATATTAAAATTAAGATTTGTTCCATAATGAATCACCTTTTCCTAAAATGAAAAACTAGGACTGTGTTTCTGTAGACAGTATACTGTAATGCTGAGAATGTAAGTAAATATGAAGAAAAGCACATTTAGACAAAATTAAATTTTCAGTTCTATAAAAGGAGAAGACAAAGAGTAGTTAAGATCTTCTGTGGGGAAAACAGAATAGCCTTTCCGGAAGTATGTAATTTATCATCTTGAAATAGATTGGGCAAGTTCCAACACAGCCACACATTCAGAATCATGTCCACATTCTGTGTGCTCACAATGAACAAGTCCACGCCCCAATTCCAAGATCCTACAGCGTGGGCTCAGCGGTACAGGGACAGGTGTGCAGCTCCAGGACAGACGGTAGCAGAGGAGCTGTATTTGGCAATGCTCACTGCAATGTTTCTAAGTCATATTTTTATAGCTGAATCAAAGTGATTTTATTCTGAAGACCCACAGGCTTGCTTTTTTATTTAAAAAAACCTTTTTGTTTGTTTTTCTGTCAACTACCCGACACTAGCTATCAGACTTCATCATGTGTGATATCTGTTAGGGAAGAAAGAAAGAACTTTGTTATATGATGCAAAAGGTTGCACATTTTTGTCCTTATGTATCTGGAGGACTGGAAATCTAAAATATCACCCCAGTATTTTGGGTATGCAGGGGGTAGGGAAGTGGCTCTGGGAGCAGAAAGTGTTACTTGGAGTACAGGAGTCCCCTGTTGAAGAACAAATGGCTTTAAGAAAAACAAACAACCCCATTAAAAAGTGGACAAAGGACATGAACAGACACTTCTCAAAAGAAGACATACATGCGGCCAACCAAACATATGAAAAAAAGTTCAACATCACTGATCATTAGAGAAATACAAATCAAAACCACAATAAGATACCATCTCATATCAGTCAGAATCATGATTATTAAAAACTCAAGAAAGAACAGATGCCGGTGAGGTTGCAGAGAAACAGGAACGCTTTTACACTGTTGGTGGGAATGTAAATTAGTTCAACCATTGTGGAAGACGGTGTGACAATTCCTCAGAGACCTAGAACCAGAAATACCATTTGACCCAGCGATCCCTTTACTGGGTATACACCCAAAGGAATATAAGTCATTCTATTATAAAGATATCTGTATATGTATATTCATGGCAGCACTATTCACAATAGCAAAGACATGGAATCAACCCAAATGCCCATCAATGACAGACGACAGACTGGATAAAGAAAATGTGGTACATATACACCATGGAATACTATGCAGCCATAAAAAGGAACAAGATCATGTCCTTTGCAGGGACATGGATGAAGCTGGAAGCCATTATCCTCAGCAAAGTAACACAGGCACAGAAAACCAAACACCACATGTTCTCACTTATAAGTGGAGCTGAACAGTGAGAACACGTGGACACAGGGAGGGGAATACACACACAGGGGCCTGTTGGGGGAGGGAGGGAGAGCATCAGGAAAAATAGCTGATGCATGTGGGGCTTAATACCTACGTGATGGGTTGATAGGTGCAGCAAACCACCACGGCACACGTTTACCTATGTAACAAACCTGTATGTCCTGCACATGTACCCCAGAATTTTAAAAGAAAAGAAAAGAAGACAAGTGTCCTCATTCATTCAACAGGTATTTACTAAAGTCATGTGACAGGCACTGTCCTCGGTGCTGGGCATAACACATGGGGGTTGGGGGGTTCTGACCCTCACAGACCTTACAAGTCTGGGGAGGTTTGGAGATAGGAAAGCAGTGGGCAGCTAGGGAAGCCCAGTGGAGGAATAACCAACTCAGGCTCAGGGCGGTCAGCAAAGGATTCCCGGGGAAGATGCTACCTGAGCTTCAATAAAAAAGATAAATAGGAATTAAGTGATAAAGGTGGGGATTGGCAAGAGAGAAAGACATTCCAGGCCAAGTGAACAGTTCACTAGGCAGCTCCTACCCTACATGCCCTCAAAGCAATCTCCTATGCTCCAGATCTCTGAGGATTATGATATTTCTCCATACAAATGGATAAAGTAAAAACAGACTTGGCTTACATGGTAAGAGACTGTAATATATATTTCAGTAAAATCTCCAGATTGAAAATCAGTAAGTCTGAGAACAGGAGCCTCAATGGAACATGAACAGGCCTAGGCTCTTTTCCTGAACTATAATCGTTTAAACACACATCCAGATCCAGGGCACGCAGCACGGGCCTTGGCAGCAGGAGGGCAAATAAGAGATTAGCATTTAGCCAAACGCAACATATGTTTCGGATAGATTCAGTGTAATTTGTCTATTTACAGTGACTGTCTTTTTCCCAGAGGAAAAATCAGTGGGCTCTGTCCATGTTTGTTTCTAAACATTTTAAACACAAAATGTTCCCGACTCTGCTTTGCTTGAGGTCCTTTCTTAATGACAACACTGGCATCAGTCACAGATTCACAACCATGGGTGCAGGTAAAAACGCCTTTTCTGGACAGAGATGAAAGAGCATGATTGCTGGTTTGCTTAATCCCTTTTGCTGCTAATTAAATCAGTACCCAGACATCATCCTCGGATTCCTTGCATCTGGTTTGAACAAAGGTAAGAAGTCATGGTTTGAAACCTTTCCCAGCCACATGCAGTGTGGGCCTCACTCACTCGGCCTCATCAGGGGCAGCCCCTCAGTTGGCAGCCACCGTAAACATGCAGTCAACACCAGCCACTTCTGTTTCGGCACTTGCCCTCTAAGTTGTCGGAGCAGTGAGCTGGAGGGCTCCCCTCGGCTTTAGTGACTCCCTCGTCCCAATGTACACATAAAGTCTGCAAAGGTTCAGGAAAAATTGCACGAACCCAGATGTTCTGATCATTCTATTCCCAGCCGTCACCTCACCACAGGAAAGCCCAGTCACAACATTCTTCTTATTTCTATGGGCTAAAATGGTGATTTACACCAGCATTGATTGACCATAAAGGTCGCCTGGCTGAGCAGAAAAGTTTGCCAACAGTCTGCTTAGCATAGTTAAATTCTCAAACAGTTGTATCTGTATGCATAGAGATATACATTATATGTATATATGCATAGAGATTTGCATGAAAAGGTATTTAAAATGCTAATGGTCCCTTTTTAGTAAATAAAGCAGTATCTGTGAGTGGCTGGATTTCCAGGAATTTTCTACCTTGGTTTTTCTAGTTCAAGATTTGCATTTTTTTCTTTATAATTTTTTGTGATGTCCAAATTGCTTTTATACTGGTAACATTTCATTTTATCATCAGTAAAAACTATAAGTAAATGTGTACGTATATATATGTGTGTGTATACAAATATATTATACATACTTCTTAAAGTAAATCCAGCTGGCTAATCTGTCCCGAGGCTACATGTCAGGGATGAGGGATGCTAAAAGTCCATGACAATAGCCATTTGTTGCTCAAAATGTCCAGGAGCAGGAGCGAGCCTGGCTACCAGGGTCCACAAAGACTGGCTGAGCCTTCCTCTGCCCCTACTGACACCACCTCCAAACAAGAGCAGGAAGCCCTGAGCCATCAGCTTCACAAGGGTGAGTTCTGGAATGGCACAGATGCCATTTAAAGCCCATTCTGAATGATATGGGGAGTTTCAAAGGCAGAGCCTAGGGGTTCTGATGCTTTGCTCTACCCTCCAGCCAAGGAATCCCATGAGAGTTGCCAGTAGAAAGACCACAGATGATACAACGGGAAAATCTTCCCTGGCTTCTAAATGCAGCTCTGTTGAAGGCCTCGTCCGAGTGGGACAACGGGAATCATAGTGAGGGCAGGTATCAGTGTAGAGTCCACGACATCAGTGATACCACAACCACACTTCAGAAACTGCTCATCTCTTTCCATCATTTTTCCCTTCTTGGTTCCTCTGTAATCCCATATGTCAACCTGGAGGCTGCACTTCCAGTTGCCCATTGAGACACTTCACAGACCTCCATCCATTCCTGCAACTTTTGGTGTTGTTTACTAATTCATCTGGGAAGCATTTTATGTTGCCCTTCAGAATCATAATGAGGCCACTATTGCCAAGGATTTATTTTCTTTAAAATAGTGAAGTGTGGGCTTTCTTAGATTGGTTGTCCTAACCCAGATGCTTGGGTCAGGCTGGAGCAAGCGTGCTTTTTTGATTAGTTTGCTCTCCGTAGATGAAATGTGCTGGTTTGCCTTGGACTCTGGTTGATTGTGCTTCTTTAGTGTCAGAAGGGTGGCTATGGCCTACATATGCAAAGAAAATAAATTCTTCAAGACGGGGTGTAGCATGATAGTTAAGAGCAGACGCTGGTCCAGGCTGCTGGCACTCAAATGCTGGCTCCACCGTGGGCTGCTATGAAGCCCTGGGGAAGCTACTCAACTTCTCTGTGTCTCATGTGCCTCTCCATACAACTGGAATAATAATAGTATCTGTATCACAGAATTGACTAAAGTATAATTTTCAAAAAGTGAAAACACTACACTCATAGAAATATAAAGTGGGTAGGCATCAAATATTTATTTAGCTCATTAACCAGGGAACCAGCAAGGTGAGAATTAGTATATATCATAGAGTGGGTATATATCCCCAGCACACACACATATACCACATAGAACAGTATCTGGCACATAATAAGCAGTAAGCACTGTATAACTGTAACTATATATATGTAACTATATAACTATAGTTATACACTATATAACACCATTATTATGTTGTAACTAAAATAAAATTGCTCTTTCGGTCTGCATCTGATACGGTTTGGCTCTGTGTCCCCACCCAAATCTCACTTTGAATTGTAATAATCCCCACGTGTCAAGGGCAGGACGAGGTGGAGGTTATTGAATCATGGGGGCAGTTTCCCCCATGCTGTTCTCATGATAGTGAGTGAGTTCTCACAAGATCTGATGGTTTTATAAGGTGCTTCCCCTTTTGCTCAGCACTCATTCTCTCTCCTGCTGCCCTGTAAAAAGGCACCTTCCACCATGATTGTAGTTTTCTGAGGCCTCCCCAGTCCTGCAGAATGGTGAGTCAATTAAATCTCTTTCCTTTAAAAATTACCCAGTCTCAAGTATGTCCTTATAGGAGTGTGAGAACGGACTAATACAGCATCCATCAAAAGAGGCATTTTTTTCTCAAGGTAAACTGCCCGGAATAAACTTGAAATGTGGCAAAAGGAGTTTCCAAATGTCTATTAATATTGCCTTTTTCAACTAGATGACATAAATATACTATTTTCTACTTCATTGGGATGATTAATTCTTATACTCAAAGAAGGAGGTTTATGCAGCTTATGAAGGAGATGAATTTTTAAATTTTTACATTCAGCTCTATGGCTACAATGGTTAATTTTAGGCGTCAACTTAATTGGAATGAGGGATGCCTGGATGACTTGGTGAAGCATTGCTTCCTGTGTGTCCTTGAGAGTGTTTTCAGAGGAGACTGGCATGTAAGTGGGTGGACTGAGTGGGGAAGATCCACCCTCAACAAGAGCAGGCACCGCCCACTCATCCAGAGCCTGAACAGAACAAAAAGGAGGAGGAAGGGCAAATTATCTCTCTTGCAGAGCCAGGACACCCTTCTGCTCCTGCCCTTGGACACGAGGACTCCAGGTTCCTTGGTCTTTGGACTCTAGGACTTGTACCAGTGGGCCCTAGGGCTCTAGGGTCTTTAGCCTCAAACCGAAAGTGACAGCACTAGCCTCCTTGGTTCTTGGGCCTTCTGACTTGGACTGAGCCACACTACCGGCCCCTCTTGGTTATCCGGCTCGAAGAGAGCCTATGGAAACTTTGCAGCCTCCTCAAATGTGTTAGCCAATTCCTGTAATCAATTTCTTGTCATATGTCTCTCTCTCTGTGTATAAGAAACAGAGTTTGAAAGTTTCTCAAAACTTTCAAACCTATTAGAATAGTGTAATCATTTTTTTTTTTTTTTTGAGATGGAGTCTCACTCTGTCACCAGGCTGGAGTGCAGTGGTGCGATCTCGGCTCACTGCAACCTCCACCTCCCAGGTTCAAGCAATTCTCCTGCCTCAGCCTCCTGAGTAGCTGGGACTACAGGCACGCATCACCACACCCAGCTAATTTTTGTATTCTTAGTAGAGACAGGGTTTCACCATGTTAGCCAGGATGGACTCGATCTCTCGACCTCATGATCCGCCCACCTCGGCCTCCCAAAGTGCTGGGATTACTGGCGTGAGCCACCATGCCCAGCCTTAATCATGTTTTTTATAACTGAAAATAAGCCTTTGTGCTTAGTTCAAGTTTGCGGGAAAAAACATTGAATTTTTTTTTAACAACCAAGAATGGGTAGAATAACTATACCATGGTCAGGGCAGAACAAGACTCTGCTGTCTTCCTTGACTGTCTAAACTCACCAAAGCTAAGTGTTAAAGCCTGAACATCTTCCAGGTATCTCCTAACAAGTAAAATATTTTGTTTGCTCTGTTTCTCATACATGTGACTTACTTCTTAAAAAGATTCTCCCAACAGGTGTGACAAGTTACTTTTATATGACCCTAAGATTTTTTTCCGTGTCTGGTCAGGGCCAATCATTCCATTCCAGATAAGCAAATTTGCTGACAAAAATATCTGGCTTCCTACACTTAGGTTATAGGGGGTCACTCTGCCAATCTCTTTAACCCATGACAAATTTCAAAGCAAAAGCTCTGTCCAGTGGGAGATTATAGAAAAGACTCAATTCATCTGCACTGAATGAACCCACTGATGAGTATTTATCCAGAAATCACTTCATGTTTTCCAATCAATCTTCTGTGCCAGTGAACATGAACTGCAGATAATTTACCCAGAACAGGCTCTCTGTGTTGGAGATAAAGCTGGAGCCCCTGAAACTATTCATTAGAACAGTAAAAAATATAATATTCTCTTTGGGTCAAAACAACTACTTTCCTCACAGTATCTGTATTACTTCCACTTTTTAAAAAGAATTCTAATGGACCATCTGTGACAGACTCCAAGAGAACCTCCCAGTTCTCCCCACCTCCTGGTATTCATGTCCTTGTGTAAGGAATAAGGAGGCCAAATTACAAACAACCACACGAGGGGAAATTTTAACTGGGCCAAAGGTGACAGGGAGTGACTGGGTTTCAAACATCTTATGTCAGGCCTGAAAATGAATGCTGAGGCAGCAACTATATTACACAAATTTATAACAGCAAGGAACCTTGGGCGGCCCCTGGCCAACATTCAGCAGGCAACTGAGGCCCACAATCCACCAGCCCACGTTGACCTGAATCCTGTAACAACCACTTGAGTTTGCTAGCAGCTCCTTCCCCAGTCAAGCTTTGACTCACCCACAGCCCCAGCTGACACTTTGACTGTAGCCTTGTGAAGCAGAAGACTCTGTCAAGTTATGCCAGACTCCTGGCCCACAGGAACCTGGAGATAATAAGTATGTGTTGCAATGAATAAGGTGTTGCTTTAAGCTGCTAAGTGCCTTCTCATATTGTTATATTGCTACAGATAACTAAAACATCATCCTAAAAGATAGCAGGTCAGAGGTCGACAAGCTAAGACATTATGGCTTCCACTGATATCCAAGTGAACTGTTCATGTCAGATGGACATATTGCTGAAGCATGGCCTCCCAGCACACAGTGGGACTCACCAGCCTGCCTCACTCAGGAGAGCCCATGCCTGGCTGGTCACTCACTTCCTTCTGGAGATCACCAATCTGCCACTTCACCTTTGAAAGGCTGCTACCCTCTGAAGGCAACTATCCAAAGTCTTTTCAGTGTAAAACTACCTGCATGCCCCATGGCACATGGTTAGGTTTCCAGATTGTCACTGCTGAAAGGGACTTTGACAACTGTTTCTACAATTCTCAAATTATAGTTTCATGTGCATCATATTTATTGCACCACACACTGAGCTAAGCATGGTGGATGCAGAAATGAATGGTACATGTTTCCTGACCTTGACAGGCTCAAAGTCAAATGGGAAAGAGGACTATTTTATTTATTTATTTATTTTTATTTTTTATTATTATTATTATACTTTAAGTTTTAGGGTACATGTGCACAATGTGCAGGTTAGTTACATATGTATACATGTGCCATGCTGGTGTGCTGCACCCATTAACTCGTCATTTAGCATTAGGTATATCTCCTAATGCTATCCTTCCCCCCTCCCCCCAACCCACAACAGTCCCCAGAGTGTGATGTTCCGCTTCCTACGTCCATGTGTTCTCATTGTTCAATTCCCACCTATGAGTGAGAACATGCAGTGTTTGGTTTTTTGTCCTTGCGATAGTTTACTGAGAATGATGATTTCCAATTTCATCCATGTCCCTACAAAGGACAGGAACTCATCATTTTTTATGGCTGCATAGTATTCCATGGTGTATATGTGCCACATTTTCTTAATCCAGTCTATCATTGTTGGACATTTGGGTTGGTTCCAAGTCTTTGCTATTGTGAATAGTGCCGCAATAAACATACGTGTGCATGTGTCTTTATAGCAGCATGATTTGTAGTCCTTTGGGTATATACCCAGTAATGGGATGGCTGGGTCAAATGGTATTTCTAGTTCTAGATCCCTGAGGAATCGCCACACTGACTTCCACAAGGGTTGAACTAGTTTACAGTCCCACCAACAGTGTAAAAGTGTTCCTATTTCTCCACATCCTCTCCAGCACCTGTTGTTTCCTAACTTTTTAATGATTGCCATTCTAACTGGTGTGAGATGGTATCTCATTGTGGTTTTGATTTGCATTTCTCTGATGGCCAGTGATGATGAGCATTTTTTCATGTGTTTTTTGGCTGCATAAATGAAAGAGGACTATTTTAAAGTAGCATAAAACTTTTTAAATATTGGGAAAGATATGAATTAGAACACTCACACATTGTTAGTGGGAGTGTAGAGTCATACAGACACTTTGGAAAATTGGCAGCTGCTTATAAAGTTAAACATGTTTCTACTCTATGACCCAGGGATTACACAGTTAAGTATTTACCCAACAGAAATGAAAGCATATGTCCTCAAAAAGATTTTTGTACATTCTTGTACATAGATGAAGAATATTCACAGTGGCCTTATTCACAATAGCCCCAAACTGGAAACCATCCAAATGCCCAACAATAGGACAATGAATAAATAAACCGTGATATATTCATGAAATGGAATACTGCTTGGCAATAAAAATCAATGAACCACTGATGTAGTGGATATCTTTACATATCACAACACGGATGAACCTCAAAAATATTATTTTGAGTAAAAGACATGAAAGAGAAAAAAGAATACATACTCTAGAGTTCAATTTCTATGAAGTTCAAGAACAAGCAGCCCTGTGAGGCTGCAAAGAAACAGAAACGCATATACACTGTTGGTGGGAATGTAAATTAGTTCAGTTAGTTTCAAACTGTGGAACAAGTTTGGAGATTTCTCAAAGAACTTAAAACAGAACAACCACTCGACCCAGCTAAACACATTACTGGGTACATACCCGAAGGAATACAGATCATTATACCAAAAAAGACACATGCACTCTTATGTTAATCACCATGCTATTCACAATAGCAAAGACATGGAATCAACCTAGGTGCCCATCAGTGGAGGATTGGATCGAGACTATGTGGTACACATACACCATGGAATACTATGCAGCCATTAAAAAAAACAACAACAATGAAACCATGTTCTTTGCAGCAAAGCTGGAGACCATAATGCCAAGTGAATTAGCACAGGAACAGAAAACCAAATGCCACATGTTCTCACCTGTAAGTGGGAGGTAACCATTAAGCACATATGGATATAAACACGAGAACAATACACACTGCAACCTACTACAGGGGCAGGAAATGACAGGAGCGTGGGTTGCAAAACTACTCACTGGGTACTATGCTCACTACTTGGGTCCAATATACCCATGTAACAATCCTACACATGTACCCCTGTATCTAAAATAAAAGCAGGAAAAAATAAAATAAAATTCAACTGAGAGAAACAATAAAATAAAATAAGAAATAAATTAATTGATTTAAATAAAGAACAGGCAGCCCTAATCCTGAGTGGCTGGAGCAGACAGGGAAGGGGCAATGAGGTAACTTTCTGATCAGTGGACATGTTCTACATCTTGACTGGATCAACGGTTAAGCAGATGTGTGTATTATCAAAACTCATCAAACTGTACATGTAAGATATGTGCACATTACTGCAAATTTTATCTTAATAAGAAAAGAATATATTGAAAACAGGCGAGAACTGGGTTCCTACTGCATCTTTGAAATTCACTAACTGTAAGACCTGGGGCAAGTAACTTATTCTCTTTAAGCCCCACTTTCCTCGCTTGTAACATAGGACAACAGCCTTACCTCCCAGGGCTGTTTTGAGGATTAAAGAGACAAAATGTGTAGAGTATTTAGTTTAATGTCTAGCACATTGCACAATAAATAAAAGTTATTTTCATTCTTGCTTTTAAAAAAGTGACATGGAAGTACATAAACAGTGCTAAGTCATACAGAGATGAGGAAACAATTCTGCCTCAGTGACAAAGTGGGTCAGAGAAAGCTACCTAAAGGAGACGATGGTATAAATTAGTCCTTGAAATAGTATTTTACCAGGTGAACGAAAGGGTGGAGAGGATCCATCCCTGAACCTTTTTAACCAAAGTTACTCTGAGCCTTCTAAATTAAGCAGCTTTCACGGGGCTCAACGTATCTGAAATGAATTAATTCAGCAAGTATTCATTAAGTATGTGCTCTATGCAGAACATTATGCTAAGTGCTGTAAATGGGAGAAAAAAAACAAAACACAAAAACCATAAATACCTGGATTATACTGGAAGTGTGGTTAACTTCAGCTAAATGGAAAACCTAGGCAAATTACAAATGTATTTGAACTTGCTAGGCCCATTTGCATTGGAGCATGGCTAGTGAGGTGTTTTAGGGAGATGATGTAGTTTTAGGTAGACAGAGCTGGGTCTGGAATCTGGAATCAGCCACTTTCCAGTGGCTTCTGCAAATTACTTCACCTCTTAGAGCCTCAATTTTCTTACCTGCAAAATGCCGAAGAGAGTTACCTTCATGATTAAATGAGACAACTTGTGTATTTTCTACCAGACAGAACCGAAGTAAATAACTGACACTTCAAAACATTAGCTCACTTTTGGGAAAGGCTACAGAAAAATCCAAAGACTTGAGTGAGAATAGTGCCCCTTAAGCTCAAACTGCAATCATATTGATTGGATCACTGCCGTTTAAAAAATTAGTCCTTTTAAAAATATATTTTTTCAGGGTTTAAAGAGATCTATATTTTAAAATCACAAAACAATTCCACAGTAAGGACCAATATCTTCTGAGTTGGCCAAAAGTCCCCTAGCAGAACATAAGTGACATTGGCCTGGGCCAGTGGCCTTTGCTGTCTAATGTAATAGGAAATGGAGCCATTCAGAAGGGGATGTGGACTTTAGGGGCACCTGTCTCACTTACCATCTGCTTCCCATTCCCCCTGTGATCAGTCAAAACATTTTCAAAATATTTTACCCAAATAAGACACTTGATAGACGTTGCTTTCCTGAAATTTTAATCTGGGAAATGATGTTTGTTTAGCTACAGGAATCTTCAGGTGCCTAGACCACATTCAAATTTAGGGTTGCAAAATTTCATTTCTGGCAATAATTACATAGGCGTGTTCTTTATTTTATTTAATATCTATTTCCGGTGTTTTATTTAGCTCCCAGAACCACACAGAGTATGTCATCACCGCGACAGAGTGGTTTGTAAACCCACTAAGTACTACTCACTAGGATTGCCACAGACTAGGCCTGTTATAAGAAACCTCTTAAAATATACAGACGAGGGCCACGCTGTATTTGCCTTCTCCAAGGGTAGGAATTAAGGCTAAGTGCAAGCATATGCCTGCCGAGGAAATGGTCTGACACTTTTTAAACATATCAAATGCTCCAGCAAAATAAAGCAGTACATGGTTTAAATAATATTCCCACTTTGCTGGGATAACCACAGAGGGAGGGATGTGCAGACGAGAAAACTCCCCACCACCTTCCTTCGGGCTCTGTACTCCCTAGCTCCCTTCTACAGGCTGGACCTCATTTTCCTCAACAAAGTCAGCCGGCGGCCTCCACACTGTAGTGATCATGGCCTGACCTCCTTCACGCACTTCTGACTTGAAACACAAGCAGCTAAAACCAGTTTTTGCAATCTCTCTCAAATAGCTAGATCTTGTAAATAAAATAATGATTGGTGTAAGACAGTTACATATAACAGATGTGTGCATATGACCATCTGACTCTCCCTCAAAACACAGATGAGAAAGGATGGGTTGGAAAGCCCCTTCTTGTCTACACAACAAATTAACTGAGGCCTACCTTGGTTTTTCCTGGAAAGTAATTAAGACAAATTTTCCTTATTTCACTGACACTTTCTATACCGTAATGGCAGACTTTAGAGATCCTAAGAATGACAGCAAAAACACTATGTGCTGCTCTGGGAGGCCCTTTTGATTTTTGTTGTTGTTGTTCTTGGGACAGAGTCTCACTCTGTCACCCAGGCTCAAGTGCATTGGTAAGATCTCGGCTCACTGCAATCTCTGCCTCCTGGGTTCAAGTGATTCTCCTGCCTCAGCCTCCTGAGGAGCTGGGATTACAGGCACGTGCCACCACGTCCAGCTAATTTTTGTATTTCTAGGAGAGATGGGGTTTCTCCATGTTGGCCAGGCTGGTCTCGAACTCCCTTACCGCAGGTGATCTGCCCACCTTGGCCTCCCAAAGTGCTGGAATTATGGGTCTGGGCCATTGCACCCAGCCCCCTTTGGCTTTTAATTGACACATGATTAATGTACTGCTATTATAGTATTTTAAGGGTAGTGAAAAGTTAAGTGTTCATTCTTATTCTTCAGAGACTTATTTGTTCTAGGTAGACCAAAGAAAATAATTCAGAAAACTGCTTACACAAAGAAATATGACACAGCTCTTTTGCATCTTCCCTGGAAAAAGCAGCAACAATTTGCTATTTATTCAAACACATGACAGAAAAAAAAAACAAAAACAAAACAGACCCCCTTGGGCAAATTATAAAGCACAGCTAGGGAGAAAATGAAAAGTGCTTTGAAATTTTTAAATAGTAATTATCAAATAGTAATTAAACCAAAGTAGAACAGGAAACAAACCAATCTATCAACTTAGGGGATTTTCTGTCTCCTTAGTTACATGGAATAGCACTTCCCACAGATGAAACTTGAGGCAGGGTATAATTCTGGCATTAAAATAATCAATAATTCATTTTCTCCTTAAGTATTAAATTAATCATAAGAGAAGGAAATTATGTAAATACATGCAGGTATGGAAATTTGTTTAATGAATATAAATTAATTACTGATGCCATAAGAAATTTTCTATCATCATTTTTATGTATTCACTTAATAAAAGGAGATCTTTCTGCTTTTTAAAAACATTCTTCACAAGCTATAAGAAATACGTTTTATTCTATTTCAAATCTTACTAGTCTTTTTTTTTAATCTATCAAAATATCAATAAGAGTCATTGTAATTTTACAATTTTGTTTTTGTTGGGTTTTTTTTTTTTTCATTTCAAAATGTTCTTGGTCATTGGGAAGAATGCAAAGCAGAGATGGTCACGCACAAAGAAAAGTTTTCATTAATAAATACCAGAGGCTACAGCATGGTAAGGACACACACCAAGCTGTGCGACCACCACCCACCAGGGTGACCACTGAAGGGGAAGACGCAGTGAACGCAGTGGAAGACTGAGCACCCGGGTGTCCAGCTGCTGGGGCTCCACAGGTGAAGGACTCAGTAGGTGAGGGGCAGTCCCAAAATGCCAAAGAGCATTAGTTGACCTTAAGCAACACAGGTTCAAACTGGGCGGGCCCACTTATATGCAGATTTTTTTCAAAATACAGTCAGCCTTCCATATCCAAAGGTTCCATCTGCAACCAGACACGGATTGAAAATACAATATTCTTGGGGTGTGAAACTTGTGGATGCGGAGGGCTGACTTTTCGTATCCACAGGTCCCTCAGAGTCCACTGTGGGACTTAAGTTTGCTTGGATTCTGGTATCTGCAGGTGGGCCTGGAACCAATCCCCTGCAGATACCGAGACCCAACTGTACTGGCTTCCTTCTGATGCTAACCACTAGGATATGACGAATAGCTAAAGAATTCAGCTTTCAGAGCACCTATTGGCATTCTTGCACATACAAAAGAGGTGCATTCTAGCAAATGTAGCCTGAAAACTGAACGTGTAAATCAAACCCCATTTTCCCATGGACATTCCTTTTGAAACAGGGTTTGGATTCACATGGGGCTGAGGGTCTGGGAGAAACCTGGCTCCAGTGGTTCCAGCATGAGCACCAGAAGCAGCATCTCTAGCAGTGCAGCCCCAGATGCAAAGTCCAAGTTTCCATCCCAGGATCCTAGAGGTTGCCTGATCTCTGGGAACATACCTTCCTTTGGGTTCCTTCTGCAACTATTCCTTTTGTTCCTCTTGCCCTCTCAATATCATTGTACCAAACCTCTTGTATTAGATACCCTCTGTTTGCAATAGCCAACGAGTTTCTGTTTCCTGACTGGAGTCCGACTCAGACAACATTCCCTTCAATACCTAGCAAAGTGAGTTTTGCCCAAAATAGGGAAGTAGGGAGGTAGTGTGGTACTATGAAAAAAGCTCTAAATTTGGAATTAGAACTAAGTTGAAACCTCCACCTTACCATTTACTGGCCAAATGACCTTTGGCAAGTTACCCCTTTTTACCTTCTCTGTACAATGGAAGCAATACTAGCCACATACCAGGGAAATTGGCTGAAAGCTTCTAGTTCTAGTTCTCAGCCTTAACTGTACCATAGCATCATCTGGGAAACTTCTTCAAAAATACCACATTTGGGATCCTCCAAATGTTGGAGGAGAAGCTGATATCAGAGAAGCTGATAATCCATTTTTGGTGGGATCCAAGCATTGGTAGTTGCAAAATCTTCCCAAGTGACTCTGCCTCACAGTGTGATTTGAAAACCATAGGTGTAGCAGCATCAACGTCACCTCTTAGAAAGGCAGACTCTCGGGACTCACCTCAGCCCTATGAAATCATGTCAAAAGATGAAATTACAACAGATTTATTTTACAGATTGAATAAGCTTTCATTTTTGATTCTAGAATCAGGCAAAACCTCATTCTATATAAAACAAAATAGGTGTTCCAAGGAGCTGAGCAGAGAGGTTGGCTTTAGAGACAGAAAAGGGTGAAAGAAAGCAGAGACAGAAAACAAAAAAGTGAACTGGTGGTTTCAAAGTTACTTTCCTCAGAGGGTTAAAGGAGAGGGGCCTTCCTGATTATGCTGACTCAGGTTGATTGGAACCTCCTCTTGTTTAGGAAAACTGGCCTGTTTCAAAGTTCAGTTTGTATACACGGCACTTAGCACTAAGTGACTCCATTCTGGTTTGATCTATTCTGCTGCGGCCGAGTGCAAGAGGCTAATCCAAAACAATGGCCTCCCATAAACTTTGTTTAACTGAATCCACATTTTGCCAGATTCCAGGTGATTACTCTGCACATTAAAGTTTGAGGAGTGCTTGGTCTAAAATATAGTAGGTACTCAATGAACAACAGTTGAATCCGAATATTAGCCGGTTAAATAGATAATGAAATTGAATATTGGGCAGCTGCATATGGGGGCATATACCTATTCAGAACAATTCAGGGGACCTGCTGGGGGCCCCTTTATTTTGGAGCCTCGCGCTGCAGTCACACTATCCTGGATGCCTATGCCCTCACATGCAGTTCAGCAGCTTCTAACTGGTCTCCCGCCTCTACTCTTCTTCCTCTGTGATTCTTCACTCTCCACACAGCAAAGTGATCATTAAAAAAAAAAATTCTGTAGAGACAGGGGTGACAGGGATCTTATTATGTTGCCCAGGCTGGTCTCGAATTCTTGGTCTCAAGTGATCTTCTCACCTTGGGGTCCCAAAGTGCTGTGATTACAGGCTTGAGCCACCATGCCTGGCCCAAAGTGATCATTTTAAAGGAGAAGGAGAGCCTTGACACTGACAGTGACGTCTATGGACCAGCAGCAACAGCAACAGCAACAGCAACAGCATCCCAGGAAGATGTTAGAAATGCAGAATTTCAGGCCCTGCCAGGCTTCCTGAATCATGGTCTTCAGCTGAAGTCCCTAGGTGATTGGAATACACCTGTTTGGATACTCTAAAGGCTTTCTGTTATCTTAGGAGGAAACCTCACATTCCTAGCTGATCTGGACCCACTTCCTCTCTGACCTCGTGTCCTGGCACTGTCCCCACACTCACCATCACCTGCACACGCTGGCCTTCCTTCTGCTCCTTGAGTCCACCCTGCCCTTTCCAACCTGGGGCCTTAGAACTAGCTGCTCCCTCTCACCCCGCCCTCAGGCCTTCATGTGGCTGGCTCCTTCGCCCATACGGCCCCTCCTGAGAGTGGCCTGACCTGGTCACCTATTTAATGAGTCACCTTCCTTCACTCTATCCCTAGTTGCTCTCTATCATATGATACTGATTTAATCTCCTCAAGGCATTTATGAACATCTGAAAAGATCTTATTCATATGTTTACTTATTACCTTCCCCCTCCAAGAATGTAAGTTCCATAAGAAGAGGGAACTTGGCCAGGCACGGTGGCTCATGCCAGCCAAGGTGGGCACATTGCTTGAGCTCAGGAGTTCAAGACCAGCCTGAGCAACATGGCGAAACCCCGTCTCTACAAAAAATACAAAATTTAGCTGGGCATGGTGGCACATGCCTATAGTCCCAGCTACTTGGGGGACTGAGGTGGGAGGATTGCTTGAGCCCAGGGAGGTGGAGGTTGAGGCTGCAGCAAGTTGTATTTGCACCACTGCACTCCAGCCTGGGTGATAAAGTGAGACCCTGTCTCAAAAAAAGGAGAGAAAAAAAAAAAAAGAGGGACCTTGTATCTCTTGTTCTCTGCTGTACCTTAGAACCCAGAAAAGTGCTTTGTACTTGGTAGGCATTTAATAAATATTTGTTGAATACATATCCTCATATTTTTCCACTGCAATTCCCAATGCAACAATGAGTTCAATGCTAATTGTTAGAAAGAGTCTTTCCTTCCCACCCCTTGGGATTCCAAGTGAAGGAACTTCAGCTACAGGATATTCCTGGCCTGACATCTCTCCCATCTCCTTTTAGTAACCTGTCTGATAGATGAACTTTTGGAGAAAGCAAGAAAACATTTCTGGTTTTTAGAACAAACCTATCTCCTTGATTCTGATACTCTTTGCTACTAGGTTCTCTGCATGGAGTAGGCTTTGTCCCAGGAAGGGGTGAGGATATGGATTGAGGGGGATAAGTTCAATTTGGAGAAGAGTTAGGGAGTCTTTGGGATGCAAATCAAAAGCCATTTTTTTTGACATGAATTACCTGTCTTCAATGGTCCAAAATTGCTCCAAAATTCAGGAGATAACTAAAGGGGTATTATGTATTAAGCCACCTAAAATGCTAACACACATCACAGTATATATATCAGGTGTACTGATAATACCTATCAGTATACATGGGATCATTTGAGAACTATAAGTCTTCCTCAAATATCCACGGAATGATCTAGAATTCTGTTCTATGCCCTCATGAGTTATCAGCTGAGGAAAATGATCCTGATTCTTGTGGTTTTCCATTACCACTTCTAAAGAGAATTACTCATATTTTCTTGTAGTCCAGTCCCCCAAATGTAAGTGTCTTCAAAGCTTGGCTCTGTTGAGCATCTGTTTCACCTGAAAATGTCCTGCTTTCTCACCCACCTTGGGGGAAATACCTTGGCTCCCCAGGAGGTCACCTGTGTACTCCTGGACCATCCAACCCCGCCCCTGTCTGGATACTTGGTGGACCCAATGTCCATCTTTTTGCAGGGCCTCTGTGTTTCCAGTGGCATCTTAAAATAGTAACAAGTCTTAAAGAGTGGCACATTTACCCTAGGAACAATTAGAAAATGTTCATCAAGTTCAAAAATCTCTAATTTCCTTCAGAGCTAGATGTAACTTAGAGTTCTAATCCAATCCCTGTACCAAGAATCCAATGCTCAGAGAAGTTCAGTGATTGGCCCAAGGCGACTCAGCGAAAAGGTTCGTGCCTGAACGCTGGAATCAGTTCAAGATGGACCATCTCAATCATGAATTTCAATAAAGGAATTAGGTAGTTGTGTCAAACACTGCCAGATGCCAAGTAGGTCCTATGAAATTTGTGTTTGTTTGGGTTTTTGTGAGATGGAGTTAACACACGCAAATGTGAGCCAGACATAAGAAAAAATGATGAAACGCTGCCAAGTCATTACAGTACCAATAACAACTATAGCTAAGAAAAGTAACTGATGACTCAGAATAAATAATTTCCATACACATTAAATTAGCATTGGCTTTTGGCGAGAACATCTTTGAGCACACGTAGCTGCAGGGCTTAACTGAGAGTGCTGTCAAGCAGATGCTCCCCCAACCCTCCCGTGTGGGTTTGGGCTGCTTTTCCTCCTCTTCCGCAAAACACGATGAACTCTGATTGTTCAAATTAAACAAAAAATGAAACTCCCCAAAATTCTGCCTTCAGTCACCACCACCCAGACCTGTAAATCAGCACTGCTCATTTCAGTAAGTTATTGGCCAGACAACAAAAAAGGTGGTTTCCTTGAGTCCTCACTGAACATAACTGTGTGCCATCATTAGAGGAAAACACATACCCATCTTTAAATTAACCAAAGTTTCTAACATCCCTTTTTAAAAAACAGCCATAAATTTGAAAAGGAAAAATATTTTCCAAGGAAAGCTGATTGCTCGGAACTTCCTACCCCACACACTTCCGTATTTGTACACAAACCTCAATACTTAGGATTCAGAAATGAATCAACCAGGCCTCATCTTGGAAAACACTAAAGCCCCCCACAAGTCATGGAGACTGGCCAGTATTCCCGGAGTGCCAGGGATGCCTGGCTTGGTACAATCATAGTGCCCATTTTGCAACATGACAAATGACAGATTGGAGACTCAGAAAATGATGGCATTTGAGCTCTTCGAGACAAAACCACTTGAAGGATAAGTCATTAAACCTTAACAAGCCAAGACAAGAGGTGACCAGGGACTAATATTCAATACCAGGGGACCAGGGACACGTTTGATTAAGACACAGACTCTCTGAGAAAGCTTACTAGGCTACTGCCTTTCTCCCAACTGGAAAATAGACTGTTGACCACCTTCTATGTCAGTCATCCATCAGTATTCAAGGGGTACCAGTTCCAGGAACCCCACAGACACCAAAATCTAAGGATGCTCAAGTCCCTGATATTATATGGCATAGTATTTGCATATAACATACATACATCCTCCAGTATACCTTAAATAATCTCTAGATTACTTATAGTACTAAATACAATGTAAATGCTATGTATTAATAGTTATACTGTAATTTTTTAATTGTATTATTTTTATTGTTATATTATTATTTTTTATTGTGTTTTTCTGAATATTTTTGATCATTGGTTGACTGAATCCACAGACACAGAACCTGAGGATCCAGAGGGCTTAGTATATTGCATAGGGATCATAACATGTTTTATATTCCTATTTAATTCAATAAAAAGTTTTCAAGTTTCTTGGGATAAAATTTAGAGTTGGTAGCAACATATTGCCTTAAAGATTGACTATTTATTTGTATACTTTGGGCACTCCATATTAATAGGTCATGCTAAATGGCTGTTTTCTATTAGCAAACTGTGGAAGAAATTTATCTTTAAAAGTGTGGATGCCATGATAGCAGGGTCTGTATTTTTCAAATTTAAAAATCCCCCCACATAGCATAGTGCCTAGCTCATTGTATGCCCTCAGTAACTGTTTTTTGTTTGTTTGCTTTCTTGTTTTTTGAAACAGGATCTCTCTCTATTGCCCAGGCTGGAGTGCAGTGGCGCAATCTCGGTTCACCTCTTTCTCACAGGCTCAAGCAATCCTCCCACCTCGGCCTCCTGAGTAGCTGGGACTACAGGCGTGCACCACCATGCCTGGCTACTTTTTCTATTTTTTGTATGGACAGGGTTTCGTCATATTGCTCAGGCTGGTCTTGAACTCCCGAGCTCAGGCAATCTGCCCACCTTGGCCTCCCAAAGTGCTGGGATTACAAGCATGAGCAACTGTGCCCAGCCTCAGTAACTGTTTAATAAACCAAGGACTAAATGAATGAGTGGCTTCCTTATTGGAAATAATGCTGCTTTGGTAAAGAGAATGCTTCCTCAGAAATGATTTACTTTCACCTAGAAAAATCTAATGGTTACCTACTGGTATCTAAGGGTTTTCCTGTAAGATGTAACTAAATGGTAATAAATTGTTTTATTTTTAAAATGTGGTCAAGGAATTAAGATTATTTTGACATTGGATGTTATTTATCTTTGTTTAAATGTATTCACGGTTAAAATGGAATGAACCTTATAACTTTATGTGACTTTTTCTCCTGGGTATATTAGTGCTATTCTTTTGAAGTCTTTAAAATCTGTTAAACAAAGTAAAACCATGGAGACAATAAATGGAAAAAATTACATATCTAAGACAGACTCTTACCCATATTGTTTCAATAACAGCATCAATTTATGAACAAAAAACAAGACGGTGAAAAGGTCAACACAGCAACTACCTCTGTCAAAATCAACCATTTCACAGAATGCTCATATTGATAAGAAAAACACTTCATTCTTAAACTGTCACGGTTTACGCCAGCCCTTAAGACTGTGCTTAGATCTTGAGAAATGTTTTTCCCTTTAACCTTTTTGATGAAATGGGTGGTTTTAAAGGCATGTTTTTCAAAAATAATATTGAGATTCATGCATGTTGAATTTTAATCACTCTGCTTCTCTGAGCTGGAGATCTAGACAGTGAACAACTCTGTGAAGTTTATAGGTGGGCAGTTGGAAAGGTGACACTATTTCCAGCAAAACTAGAACATCTATAACCTGCTTGTCCTCCACCTAAATTTCCCTGACCACAAGGTATCCTTTTCATCTTGAACATATACTTTTTCTCCCTGGAACTTTCTGGTTCTCCTCATTTAAAGCCAAGGCTAAGTTTTCTTTCTATAGGTTCCACAGTTGGGGTTCGTTTTTTGGTTTTTGTTTTTTCAGATAGGGTCTCTCTCTTTCACCCAGGCTGGAGTGCAGTCGCACGATCTCAGGTCACTGCAAGCTCTGCCTCCGGGGCTCAAGCGATCCTCCCAACTCATTCTCCCAAGTAGCTGGGATCACAGGTACATGCCACCATGCCTGGCTAATTTTTGTATATTTTGGAGAGACAGATTTCGCCGTGTTGCCCAGGCTGGTCTCCAACTCCCGAACTCGAGCAATCCGTCCGCCCTGGCCTCACAAAGTGCTGAGATTACAGGCATGAGCCACTGCGCCTGGTCAGGTTCCACAATTTTAAAAAACATGCTTATACTATTTTTCTATCATTGCAGATAACTGTTTCATTATACCCTATGATACTGTCTTCATAGTCCTAAATGAAGCAGTGGTGAGAAGGTCATGAATGATCTGGTGCTTTTTCTCAGGAGGACAGGGGGTCAAGAATGATTCCATCAAATGGTGTTGGATAAGGGAGCTCCTATACTTTCTTTTCTTGTTATTAACGATTTGAGATGAAGGCTTTTTCTCATGCTTTTCTATGGGCTATTTGTTCTGACAGTTATGACAAAGAAAAGATAGAAATACAATACTGTCTTGGCATTGCTTGTTAATTTTAAGAAGCAAGTTGAAAAACAAATCAAAGAATATAATACTTCAGGAGTTTTGAGTCCTTACCTAAATATCAACTAAAACTCATCTGACCGAGCTCCAAATAGAAACTGACTACACTGCACCACTGGGTATCCCAACTCTAATAAGGTATTGTATCCTAAGGCTCATGCCACTGGATTTGCATTTTCTAATTCACTTTCCAATGCAAGATTACTTGGACTTCTGATGAAAATGCTCCTCCAAACAACTAAATCACCATCAGGTTTATAACCAACTCAATGTGTGATAGTCCTGACACCATCACCCCAACCTAACGCGGCACATGGTTATTTCACTCTATGGGATGCTGATCAGTTTTTGGTCTGTCTCAGCTACATCTTTAAATTACACTTGTGCTGTACTCAGATCCTAAGGGCTTCATACTAAGACATGTAAATTATATCCATAAGCAAGATGTTCAGTTGATAGTTTTTTCAAGGATTAAAAAAAATTAATATGCACACCAAAACTTGGCATCCCATTTTGGATGATTTCAATAAAGATCTCACAATATCCTCAGATACATCTCAGAGTCAGGAAGAACACATTTACGGTGTTTGGTTTAAAGTCAATTAATATTCTTTTGGGAGGCCGAGGCAGGTGGATCACCTGAGGTCAGGAATTCAAGACCAGCCTGGCCAACATGGCGAAACCCTGTCTCTACTAAAAATACAAAAATTAACTGGGCGTGGTGGTGCATGCGTGCAATCCCAGCTACTTAGGAGGTTGAGGCAGAATCGCTTGAATCCAGGCGGTGGAGGCTGCAATGAACTGAGACTGCGCCACTGCACTCCAGCCTGGGCAATAGAGAGAGATTGTCTCAAATAAATAAATAAGTAAAGTCAATTAATATTCTACCAAATGTATTTACAAGTATTAGACCCATTGTTTATCATCAGGTTGGGTAATTGAGTTTAACTGCAGTGAGTCAAAACTGAATTGGAATCCACCACTTACTAGCCCTATATATGACTTCGGGAAAGTATTTAAGCAATCTGGGTCTCAGTTCCACCCCACCTACTTTCTTTTTTTTATTTTTTTTAAGAGATAGGGCTGTACTCTGTGCAGGCTGGAATGCAGTGGCACAATCATAGCTCTCTGCAGCCTTAAACTCCTTGGCTCAAACAATCTTCTTGCCTCAGCCTGCCGAGTAGCTGGGACCACATGCATGAGCCACCGCACTCAGCTAGTTTTCCTTATTTTTAAAATAGGGGATAACAATTGTTCTCATCTCTGAGGGTTACTGTTAGGATTATATGACTTCTTATTTGTCGGGCACTTAGCACAGTGTCTTGCTTCCGATAAGCACTATATAAATGTCTGCTAAGTGAAAATAGAAAATACAATGCCTGGCACTCAGAAGGGATTCTATAAGTGATAACTAAATCTGAAGCCAATAGCAATAAAGACTTAATAAAACAAAACTAAACTATAAGGCGAATTTCCTATAATAATAAAGTAAAAAGAATACTTGTCTGTGAGTCATGAAATGACTGTCCCAGTCACAAATACACCCTGTGGCTGTGGAAAAGACACTTCCTCTCTCTGCACCTGAATTTTTTCATCTGCAAAATGAGAGAATTGTACCGCAGAAGTTACAGTAGCTTCCAGATGCTGGTATGTGGCTGCGAAACAGTCGGCGCTGGTCTAGTCTGTGAGAAAGACGAAAGCAAAGGGCACAAAGGGCAATGTGTTGATCTGCTTCCTAAAGTTATATTTAATCATTTTAAAGGAATTTCCTTCAAGATTGATTCTTCCCACCCCCCCCTTTTCTTTCTTTTTCTTTCATCTTTCTTTTAATTTTCCTTTCTTTTCAATGTAAAAATTTCTTTTCTTTCAAGCAACGGTGATGAAAGCAGAATTTTACTGTGGCAAAATACATATATAATTTACCATTTTTAAGTGGACAGTTCAGTGGCATTAAATACATTCACAATGTTGTGCAGTCATCACCACTATCCCTCTCCATAACTTTCTCATTAGCCCAAACTGAAACTCTACACATTACACAATAGCTCCCCATTTCCTCCTCCCCCCTGTCTCTGGCAACCACCATTTTATTTTCGTTTCTATGAATTTGACTACTCTAGGTACTTCAAATGAGTGGAATCATAAAACAGTGTCTTTTTGCATCTTGCTCCTTTCACTTAGCGTAATTTCTTGATGGTAGAATTTTTAAAAATGTTTTTACTTGACAGTCCCCAAGTAATGCTCTTCCTAGTTTCTAATCCAAAAAACCACTGGACTAGAAAACCTCTAAGGTCTCATCTAGCACTAAGGTTCCATAGTTCTATGATCAAGGGCAGTGGTCACATTTTCAGTGCATTGTGGCACCCAACACATTGTGGGTGAGTGCTCCCGAAAGGAAACGATGCGGCAAGACCCTGGGGCTGCTGCTTAGTCCGGTCGTCTTTGTGGGGATAGAATTGGATAGAATATGTGTTGGGTCTATCACTTCCCATATTAATTGCCATATCTCTTTTGTGCTCTAAACTAGTTATACTATAAATGTAGAAATGAAAGGATAATAGAAAATACAGTTTTTGAATGCATGCATCATGTTGCCAGACAAAACCTGGCCCACTTGCCACAAACTGGCAAGAAATTGGTGGGTGTGGTCCAGTTTCCAGCAAATTCTACAAAGCACCTCCTCATGTCTGAACTTTGAGCAATTCAGTAAGTCACTCTATTAAGGGAACTATTTTAGGGAGGTATTGGTTTCTCCAATTACCTTAAAAATCACAGATCTCAGGTTTTGCTGTTTTTCACTCACCCAGCCTCATGGACAAGAGGCTTCAGGAGTTGTAGGCTTTATGTGGCATTCATCATCCATCTTTTAAGTGTAGTGCCTGGTGGTTTTTAAATGTTAACAAAGTGATATGCAAGTCTTTTCCTGTGCTACTAACCCCAGGATGTTCTTGCACTTTAAGTCACAAACTATGAAATTACTTTTTAAAACACCTTCCAAAATAATAGTCCCTAGGTCAGACCAAAGCAAGTAGAGAAATACATAATGATGGGTTGGTAAAATTGTTTTGTGTTTTGAGAATTGAAGCTATGAGTAACTATTAGAAAGAAGAGGACTACAAAGAACAAAGTATTAAAACAAGTGTTTCTGAATATATAAAAGTGAACCCCCAACCATTCCAAACAAACCGAGGGTAAAAATAAGGAGAACACTCGTCTGTGAGTCATGAAACCAGGAGAACACAGTGATCACAGGGAGAGGCTGGTGCAGAGTCCAGCAGAGAAATGATGGCCTCAAAAGGGCAAGTAGAGATGGTGAGAGTGGGGTGGATTTGAGCCGGATTTTGGAAGTAGACTGAACAGCACAGAGAACACTTAATTCTTGTGTCTGGAATCTCATACAATATATAATTAGCCCATGTGCTCTGCCCGCTTCACAATGATGCTCACACATGGCTGAAGATTTCTGCATTTTCCAGATAGGGAAGTTGGGCCTAGAGAGGGTCATTAGTGCAGAGGGTGCCTGCTCACATGGCTGTGTGGGATGAGCAAGGCCAAAGCCATATGCATGGTTACAGCGGACCCAGGTGCAGAGGTGCACGCCCATATAAAGACGTACATTAAGACCTCTTTCCTCTAGCAATGTGAAACATGGTTAATCTTAAACGTCACTAAAATCCATCCATCCATCCATCCATCCATCCATCCATCCATCCATCCATCCATCCCAGGGCTTAACTTGAAATGTCCACTTTGTCCCTGGGTACCCTCAGCTAGATCTGGAGCACATCTCTTCTTAAATGAATTTTCCACTTCTTACTCCAAGGAATTGGTGCCATTGTGTTTCTGGTAGGTTATGTATATTTTGAGCAATTCCTGCTTGTTCCCTCCCAAATAAATAGCATGTGCTTTCTAATTTTTAAGGAAGAGGCAAATCTGTTTTCAGCTGACTTATTCAAATGGAACACTAATGAAAAGTTAACCGCAATGTACTATTGGTTATAAAATGTTACTGTAACATTAAATTGTTTCTGATGTTGATCTGATTAATTTAATGATTCATTAAGACTTGAAAAGTGTCTGATACTTAGTAGGTGGTCAGTAATGATTACTTAATGAATACTTTTGCTCCAAAGCTTAATAATAATAATAAACAATCATCATCATCATTGCAAATACTTTTATTTGCTCCAAGTGTTTTATGTGCATAAATTCATTTAGTCCTCTCTCCATTTTACAGGTGAGAAAAGTGAAACCAAGTGGTGCCAAGTAACCTGCCAAGGACATAAATCTAGAAAGTGAGAGCCAAGAATTTTAACCCAGGCAATCTGGTTCCAGAGTCTGTGCTCTTAATAGCACATTATCTGCTTGTCTTAAGTGAATGAAACATAGGTTTTTAAAACCTAAGGAGCATACGATAATTTAAATATTTTCCCAAAATATTATACTGCTATAACTAGCTCTGCATGCTTAATTTTTCCAGTAATATAACGGCATTATTAACTTATGATTTTGTTCTGTCTGTGCTCTTTCTACACATAATTCTTGACCTCAAGTCAGGCATTAAAATAAAAACCAGTGAAAGAGCACAATTATAGTGTTCTTTGTAAATAAATAAATAAATAAATAAATAAATAATATAGACTAACAAAGTACTTAGGAGCATCCACTATCAGACCTAAGTTGAACAAATACGTAATTTGACAGACGTCATATATCCTGACAGATATATTTGACAAATATATATATTTGACAGAAGTCAACATATTTGACTTCTGTCAAATTACGTATAATTCAGAAGGGATTAAGATTCAGAAAGTGAATGGTTCAAATTCATTCTTAAACATATGGCAACATTTGACAACCTCTATGAAAAAGCTTTTTTTCTCCAAAAAGAACAAATGAAAATAGATTGTTATAGGAAGAATTTCTTACTCTCCTTAATCCAATCACTTCAAAAAGTCATAAAAACAAAAACACACTTTTAAAAATACATGCTTGAGGGTAAAAATTCTCTACCATCTGTTTTAGTAAACCGCATATGTTCATCTAAATATCATGTCAAGTTTTTCTTTTAATGAATACAGAGTACAATCTAATTCACAATTAGTGTTTTTGTTGTTGGTTTTTTTTTTTTTTTTTTACAAACTAGAATAATTTCAAAGTTAAGAAAATGGCAAGCCAGGATCATGACTAATATTCTCACTGAATCCTCTCTTCGGGAGTTTAGACGCTTTTTTTTTTTCCTTTTTTGAGACAGAATCTTGCTCTGTTGTCCGAGCTGGAGTGCAGTGGTGTGATCTCAGCTCATTGCAATCTCCACCTCCTGGATTCAAGCAATTCTCCTGCCTCAGCCTCCTGAGTTGGGATTACAGGCATGCGCCACCATGCCTGGCTAATCTTTGTATTTTTAGTAGAGACAAGGTTTCACTATGATGTCCAGCTAGTCTCAAAGTCCTGACCTCAAGTGAGGCCATCTCTGCCTCCCAAAGTGCTGGGATTACAGGTGTGAACCACCGCGGCCGGCCCCAGACTCTTCTTTTTTCAATGAAAGGCTACAGACTCCTCTGTTAGAAGAACAAATCTCACGTAATTTTAAAACTTCAGAATCTAATTCCACTCTAAAAAGTAGAATTAAATTAGCAAATCTATTCTGATGATAATTGGAACTGTCCAAAAGTCCATTTGCCAGCGTACCCCAAAGTGAGTCATACTTTATGTCATACATAAACCACATGCACTATAGAACAACAAGCATCTTCTGCATTTCAGGCGGTATCAACAATGCCCTTATTTATTGGTAGGTAGAATAATGGCCCTCAATGATGTTTATGGCCTAACTCCCAGAACCTGTGAATGTATTACCTTGCATGGCAAAAGAGACTTCAGGAGATTATCCTGGATTATCTAGGTGGGCCCGATGTAATCACAGAGAGGCAGAACAGAAAGTCAGGGACTGAGCTGTGATGATGGGAGCAGGGTCAGTAAGATGCAACATGAGAGGCACTGAACCTGACTTTGTTGGCTTTGAAGATGGTATTAGGGGGCATGAGCCAAGGAATGCAGGCAGCCCTTTAGAAGCTGAAAAGGCAAGGAAACAGATTCTGCCCTAGAACTTCCAGAAAGGAAAGCAGCCCTCCTGGCCCCTTGATTTTAGCCCATGGTATGTGGATTGTTTTAAGCCACTTAATTTGTGACAATTTGTTACAGCAGCATAGAAAACTAATACAGGTACATAAAGTTGAAAGTTAGACCATGCCAATGATTGCCCAGAAAATTGAAATGGCTCATGAAGTTTAGGTATCTAGGAAGAATAGTGTTCAAAGAAGAACAAAACTGTGAACAATTCAATATAAAAAGTACATGTCATTTTTGTATAATGACAATCAAGTGAATATTCTATAACCTATGTAGTTAATTCATTTAAAAAAAAAAACATGATGAATAAAAACAGGAGCCTGGGCACCATGGCTCATGCCTGTGATCCCAGCACTTTGGGAGGCCGAGGCAGGTGGATCACCTGAGGTCAGGAGTTCAAGACCAGCCTGGCCAACATGGCGAAACCCCATCTCTACTAAAAGTACAAAAATTAGCCCGGCATGGTGGCACATGCCTGTAGTACCAGCTACTTGGGAGGCTGAGGCAGAAGAATGGCTTGAACCTGGGAGGCGGAGGCTGCAGTGGGTGGAGATTGCACCACTGACTCCAGCCTGGGTGACAGAGTGCAAGGCTCCATTTCAAAACAAAACAAAACAGGATGCTCTTAGACAGAACTCATTTATCTATCCACTGTCAAATTCATGCTCTTGTCTCTGATTTCCAGGTCCCAATCTTGACTCATTCCATGATATCTTGCAGGACTAGCAGCTCTCAGTGTCTCTTTGTGACACCTCTTAATAGCTCTATCTGCCCCCTCCTCAACCCTATTCCTGCAACACCCCTACCTACAACTCTGCTTCTCATAATTCAAATGAGGGAGGTATTTCCCCCTTGTAGAAATTCACACTGAGGCCAACCTTCCCTGTATTTCCTCTTTTCCCAGATGCCACATTATTCTAGAGCCTTCTCCTCCCCCCACCATGGGAAAACATGGAGAAGCTGGTCACTCTCTTCTGCATCTATTAGGCTGAGAACTCTTCCTTTGGGCATAAAGGCAGCTGAGTCAGCTTCTGTTGAGCTCATGGCAATGTTACGCCAATATCTTGCTCTCTTGAGATTTGTATACCAGCAGATCCGTGGAAAGATGGATGGTCCCATAATGCATTACCAGAACTTCTTCCTGGGCAATTTCAGATAGCTTGTGAACTCCAGGAGGTGCTTGAGACTCAGGAAAGTACAGACAATAAGCCATAAAGTATTTGCCAGCTATGCCAAGGATTAGACTTCTCTTTAAGTGCCTACATGGCTCAAGTCCTAGGCTTAAAAATGTTTTGTATCTAACTTCAATGCTTTTTTGGGTAAGTAGGCACCCACTGTTTAATTAACAATGTGCTCCTCCAAAGGGGATGCACAAAGGACCTGTGTTCCTATCTTTGCCACTACTGAAGCCAAACAAGCAATTTAAATACAGCCTGCCCAGCAAAATAACTTCAGCCTCCAACCGAAATAACAGAATGTGCTGGCCTATCATCAGGGGACATATTAGTCAGACTGCCAACCCACATCCCTCCCACTTTTGGTGTCCACTGCCTGTCTCTCAAGTCTAGAAAGGGGATGTGTCACCCCACCTCTCACCCCCATACCATGCCACAGGTAACCATGATTCAAGTGACCCAGGAAACTCTATTGACCAGATTCTGTACTTAAGAAAATGTGGCACATATACACCATGGAATACTATGCAGCCATAAAAAATGATGAGTTCATGTCCTTTGTAGGGACATGGATGAAATTGGAAACCATCATTCTCAGTAAACTATCGCAAGAACAAAAAACCAAACACCGCATATTCTCACTCATAGGTGGGAATTGAACAATGAGATCACATGGACACAGGAAGGGGAAAATCACACTCTGGGGACTGTGGTGGGGTCGGGGGAGGGGGGAGGGATAGCATTGGGAGATATACCTAATGCTAGATGACACGTTAGTGGGTGCAGCGCACCAGCATGGCACATGTATACATATGTAACTAACCTGCACAATGTGCACATGTACCCTAAAACTTAGAGTATAATAAAAAAAAAAAAAAAAAGAAAGAAAATACCATCTACCCCCATTGAATTTGACTCAGCGGTAGTGAAAATAAATAATGAGTAAACCTCCTAGCAAAAACCATCTCCCAGTAGCTCACACCTCTTCAATGTATCAGTGATCTCTACTGATGATGGTGATTGGATGTGTCAGAATGGTATCCACCCCTCCCAGAGGTGGATCTCCAAAGCTCTCCAATAGCAGCAAGTTTCTTATACTGCACAGTCTAAGTCTTCAAAGAAGACTCTTGTTTTGCTGACCAAGTACTGTACATTGGCTCTGAGCTTGTTGAGCAGGAGGCCAAGGAAATGTCTCTTACTGTACCTATACTGCACAATCACCTAGTGACTGGGACATAGATCTTGGCCTGAATCATCTTCTTTTCAAAGCTAGGTAACACCCAGGGTTATCCAACACATTCCTGTGATTCAACCCTCAACACCTAACTTCTCCAGACCATCTGAGCATGCTTCTTCAACATAACTTGAACTTAGGCGTCCAGAAATATGAGTTGAAGTTCATGAAGCTAAATACACTCAGATGCTCCTAACAAGCCTAATAGTTGAGTTGCAGTGGAAAAATTCTCAGAACATTAACTATATCTTCAAATTTTCCTGCTATTATTAGTCCTCCACTCTCATTTCCTTCCTCTATTTCAGCTTTTTCTGTTATCTCCTTGTATCAGTCAAAGCCGTGCTCAGATTCCTAAATCCTTTCTTTAAACCTAACATGGATTCCGTTTTTTGATTATTTATAAGTGACACGAAAATTGCTTGCAGACAAATAGTGGAAGACTAGAAGTCTACCTGGAGGAGGAATAGCATCGAACATCCTGCATCATCAACTGAAGGTGATTTTTCTCCTTTCATTCATTCTGCATCTAAAATTCTATAAAAATCTCTTCGCAGTCTACAGAACACAAGATAAAATCCACCAGAGAGCAATGTTAACTGATACCCTAGACACGGGGGCTAATCTTTGTAACACATGAGGTACAGTTTAAGAAAGCTATTATTTCCTACCCTTCCAAATTAAGGTACACTGCTACCAATACTAATATCACATTTCTTTTTCTGTGCTATCAACTTAATGATGAAAAGGAAATGTGAGTAACAGGATAAGGCAGCACCAGTAGGTAATAGATTAAGAAAGAAAATATAATTCTCCTCTAAATTATGCTTATCACAAAAATGTACAGTTCCTCTGTGGCTTAAAACACAGGAGGGCAACTGTTCTCTGGAGGCAATCAGATTACTATTGATTTCAAGAAGATCTGATGTTAGCTGGAGATATAAAAGGCATTCTTAGAGCAAAGGGCCACAGATTAATTTATAGGTAACTATTTTCCCAAGGGTAACTTTTATAATGTCAGTGATAAACTTCCTTTCTTTCTAGTTTGCTTTATTTAGATAAAAATCTTTCTAAATCATTCTTTCAGATTTTGTCATTAACCTTTCTGTAGTCTGAAAAAGCATGTAGTTATGCAAGAAAAGCACTCCAAAAATCAACACTTCATGTGATATTTTACATTTTTCAACTAAAAGAGTAGTCTCTGCCAAGTCCCTCTTCTAAAACTAAAGGAAATTATCTCTACCTCTCTGGTGATGTAGACAGATGTGGGGAAACACACCACTCTCAGTGTGTGTCCACATGTGCACATATACCCACTTACCCACAAATACAAACACACCCAAGTCATTTAAGAGCCAGGTAAGTAAGAGCTGTAAATACATTACATCAGCTCTATTAGCACTTTTTACTGGTTAGGTTATTTAATTTATTAATAAAAACAATTAAAATCTTATTTATTCTTTACACACACACAGAAATGTTTGCACTATCCATAATATATATAGTTTGCCTTTTCAAGTTCTTCCACTAAGATTTTTGCTTTCAATGCAAAAGTAACGTTTTATCCTTATTAACTATGCTTCACATTTGAGATCACAAACCCCCTCCCAAAATAAGGGAAATCAGGTTTGTTTGTATCATTGAAGAAATGGCAAATTACTCATATTCCCCGACAGAGATATTTCATACCTCATGGCTACTGAGGCTGTAGAAGTCAAAAACCTGCCTTGAGACAATGCATGGGGCTTGGTTTTACAGACTATGCAGAATACTATATTCTCTCTCTCTCATTTCTCTTTCTATACATTCAGTCTCTTTCTCTCCTTACTTCAGTTTCATCTATCTTGCCAATTAAGAATTATCACGTCTTTTTGGGGTCAGGGCCAGTGGATCAGAGCAAAGGAGGCAGCCCATAAGTGTGAGAATTGGGTGTACACAGAGGCTTGAGCAAAAATGTAAGTATATTGACAACAACATAGGTCAGTTTCTTCTCAAAGAGGGAGTTATAAATATGGAAAGAGGAAAGAGTAGAACAAACCTAGAGTGTTAGATTAGGATTGGAATACCAATGTAAGCATAAGATTTTTCAAGTATAGACAGACATCTAGAAATTGATATAGACGTGTGTGTGCACGTGTATACACTCAAATATTTTTCTATCTCTGTTCCCTAGAAGCAGCAACCTTCCAGTAGCAATGTGCAAACACAGCACCCAGATCTTGGTTAATAAACACTATTCTCTACTAAAAAAAACCAGACAGCCTTAAAGAAATAGCTGATTATAGTGCAGGGAACATAAAAGGTGAGTCTGAAACATCTTGTTTTATTATAAAGTAAGGGAACCGCTCAAAGGATGACGGGGACATGTAGAAAGAACACAAGACACAAGTTGATGAGATTCCCACTGGCCAAATCTGGGAAAACTTGAGCATCAAAATAAATGCTGATAGTAATGGAATATAGACCATTGAATCAAGTAAGATGCCATGAATCTGTACTGATAAAGATAAATGAATGAATAATAAGTAAACGGGGGAGAAAAACTTCTACTTCACAGTGGAATACCAACTTATAAATCTACAAAGAATGAGAAGGTAGAAAATCACCATTTGGCACCAATTTGGTAATAATGGCATCCATTTGGTAATAATTGATTCTGACGAGAATCATCAACGGATGCTAAAATGGGTAGATAAAATTCTAATGAAGAACAGAATATTTACATAGTTTTTAGTGGCTCCTTATAAAATATTTATTAACTACCTGTTAGTTACTAAGCACCAAATACTTGTTACTTGAATTTATCATGTAGAAACTTGGCAGATGCCATTTTATTGAAGTGATAAAAGTTAATACCACCAGTGATAAGACAAGTCAGCCTCACGTACTTGCTAACATGATGCACTGAGAACTCAGCCTCCCTTCTGCACCATTTATTTCTACAAAAAAGACAGCATAATTTGCATCTAACTATGAGGAAACATCCAACACTACCAAATTAAGGGACAAGGTAATTCTACAACGTTATTGGATTAGACTTAAAAAAAAAAATACAGCCAGGTGCGGTGGCTCATGCCTGTAATCCCAGCACTTTGGGAGGCTGAGGCAGGTGGATCACCTGAGGTCAGGAGTTGGAGACCAGCCTATCCAACATGGCAAAACCCCGACTCTACTGAAAATACACAAAATTAGCTGGGCGTGGTAGTGGGCTCCTGTAATCCCAGCTACTTGGGAGGCTGAGGCAGGAGAATTGCTTGAACCTGGGAGGTGGAGGTTGCAGTGAGCCGAGATCATGCCACTGCACTCCAGCCTGGGTGACAGAGTAAGACTCCGTCTCAAAAAAAAAAAAAAAAAAAGGAATTAAAAAAAAATACTACATGACAATTACATGTAATACATGATCCTGGATCAGATTGTAGATCTATCTATACAAGACATTATTGAGATACTCAATGATTTTTTTTTTTTTTTTGAGATGGAGTCTCGCTCTGTTGCCCAGGCTGGAGTGCAGTGGTGCGATCTCAGCTCACTGCAAGCTCCACCTCCCAGGTTCACGCCATTCTCCTGCCTCAGCCTCCTGAGTAGCTGGGATTACAGGCGGCCACCACCACACCTGGCTAATTTTTTTTTGTATTTTTAGTAGAGACGGGGTTTCATCGTGTTAGCCAGGATGGTCTTGATCTCCTGACCTCGTGATCCGCCTGCCTCGGCCTCCCAAAGTGCTGGGATCACAGGCATGAGCCACCGTGCCCGGCCTGGGATAATCAGTGAATTTTTAATGGGGTTTATGCATTCAATAGTAGAGTTATATCGAGGTTAATATCCTGATTTTGATGGTTGTTCTGTGGTTAGGTAAAAGAGAATTCTGAATCTTTTAGAAAACAGATTTTTAGAGGGAGAACAAGTTTGAGAGGTAAATGAGGCACTGTGTCAACAACCAACTTTCATATAGTTCAGAAAATTAAATAATAATGATATACAGAAAGAGAATGTGTATATGCACACACACACGTGTCTTGAGAGAGAGAAAACAAGTATGATTACCTTGAGTTTTGTGGCATCTGAGTGAGGGCATATGGGAATTTTTTGTTATATTCTTGCAATTTTTCCATAAGTTTGTAATTATTTCTGAATAAGTATATTTAAAGGAAAAAGATTAGAGGATTTTAGTATGTCGATATCCTCAAACGGTTGTCACTAAGCACCTACTGCATGCCAGGCTCTGCAACACAAAGGAGCCAGACCTGACCTTTAGCTACCTAGAGGAACAGGGGAACACAGATAATACGATGTGAACAACCTGAAACTAAGCTGGCACCCGGAGAGAGAGGCCCCCATGGGTACAGATGGGCCTTCGGAGCATTCTAGAAAGAAATAGCAGCTCGTGGAAAAAGCTGAAGGGTATAAACCCCCAGAAGAGTTAGGAAATCAGAAGCAGAGTTTCATGGAAGGAGGTGTAGATAATAAGGCTACTCTTAACCAGAACTTCCAATGGAAGATGCTATTTTTTTCTTTTTCATACACAAAAAGATTCCAGGCAGGCTACATTATGTTTGGTACAATGAAAGAAGAGAGTGTTACTGATCTTGATGGTCATACTCATTATGTGCTAACATAAGTTATTAGTGATACATACACAAAATAATGCTTTTTAACAGCCACAACATATTGACTTTTAAAAACAATAGCAAAAAATACAACTCCAGTTCTTAACTTGTTTAAGAGCATAAAATACGTAATTATCCACCTGGATACCCTTTCATCAGAAAAGTTACAAAGTCTGTATAAGTTGTCAGTAGGTGAATAAGAAAAAGTAACGTAAGAGATTCCTAATATCTTTCTATCTCTAAGTCAATAGATTTTCCAGTCCGATTCGAGTCACAGTCGTGATTACTTTTGCAAATGTAAGAAGTATTAGGTAACAGGGCTTAGTTTTCTGACCCCAGGGTAACCACACAGTGAACATTATGTCAAATCGTATTTTGTCCTACTGAGTAATGAGAAAGCATAAATCAAGAACCCACAGTGGTATTTTTACAAGTTTTGTTTTTGTTTTTTTTTAACATTTAAACCATACTTGCTTTGCATTTCATTATTATCTCTGCTAACAGGATCAGTAATAGAATTCAGACTATTTTTCAGGCTGAAAAGCAACCTAAATTGAAATCTATTACTTTCTTCTGCAAATCTGCCCTACCTTTGTGATGCAAAGTTCGCTCACAGAGCCCAGCGGGGTTTTGCTTCAAATGCAGCCTCTCCATGAAAGTGAAAATTCAATGAGTATTAACCCTTCATTTCTCAGGTCTGAACTCATTTTTTTCCCCAAAGAGTGGTCTTACATTACATAAGAACCCAGATTTTGATTATCCCCAGACAGAAAACCAGGCCTGAATACCTTAGCAGTTGGGCACTGGAAAGCAGGAAGAGAGGAGCAAGACCACTTTCTCCTTTCTCATGTCTCCCTCTCTTTCAAGATAATCCTCTGTGTATGAAGTTCAGACACAAAAACACAGGTATGAATGTTCACAAGTATACAATTTGAGTGGACTCAAATGATGTTAATTTATCATCTCAATCACATCCAATGAACAACATAATCCTGTCCTCAAATAACTTAAAATTGCCTCAAATAGGCATTTTTCTTAATATTTGGCAAAGACTCTTTGAACTTGGCTACCAGCCTAAAATTTCCTTACCATCATAGAATTTGCCCCAGGGTTAAAAGCCAGCCACCCAGGTTTGAAACATTTACGTCTGAACCTGCAATTTGTTGGCCACCCACACTGGCTCATTAAAATGTTGGAACCAAATTTGCTTTGCCAGCTTAATTATCAAAGCCAAGAAATCCATTTCCCACCAACTGAATTAGGGACAGAGTTCTCTCTCAATGGGAAAATGAAGACCTGTGTTTTACCCCCTTCTCTAGGTTACTTAATTGCACCTGTCTACTTCCAATGAAAAGTGATATTAGAACAAGTCGTGTGTACACATCGAGGGTCCAATCTAGCACGAGGCCAGGCCAGGTGTCTCCTTCACCCCAAGTCACACTTTGGCAAATAAAATGAAATCATTTATTTCAGTGGCCTAAGACACATCGTCGACTGCAAGATGTATGCCACTTCACTTCAATCTTGTGTTTTGAACGTGCTCCATTCTAGCTCATTTTATCATATGTGGCTATTGGAGACAGACTTCCGACAGACTAGCAAAGTATCAAAGTCTCCTGGTGAAGGTCTTATTTGTTCTAAGGGGAGTAAATGTAACACATCAGGTAAATGTTCATCCTTTAGCAGGTGGTTGGCAAACTTTCTGTAAAGGGTCAGATAGTAAATATTTTAGGTTTTGCGGTCTCTTTTGCAATCACTCAACTCTGTCATTGTAGTGTGACAGCAGCCACAGACTATACTGTAAATTACAAATAAAATCCTAAGGTCCCCCATCTGTCTGAATGAACTTCCTCTTCAACCAGGGCACTCTTAAAATTTAACCTGAGACTGGTTCAGGCCGTGATGGAAGTAGGACATGCCTCATGATACTTCTCCAGCATTCATCTCAACACAGACCTTAGGTCTCATAAGAAACACTTTACAACCTATTATCTCTGAAGCGTACTACCTGAAGGCTTCCTCTGCAAATAAGAACTCTGGTCTTCATAATCCTTTATCTTAACCCAGACATTTCCTTTCTATTGATCCCAGGTCTTTAGATAAACTCAACCAATTGTCAACAGAAAATGTAAATCTACCTATAGCCTGGAAGCTCCCCCACCCCTTCCAGTTGTCCTGACTTTCTGAACCCAACCAATGTATTTCTTAATGTACCTGATTTCAATCTCATGTCTCCCTAAATGTATAAAACCAAGCTGCACCCCGACCACCTTGGGCACGTGTTCTCAGGACATCCTGTGGGCTGTGTCATGGGCCATGGTCACTCATATTTGGCTCAGAATAAATCTCTTCAAATATTTTACAGAGTTTGACTCTTTTCATCAACAATACCTAAGCAAATGTGCATGGCTGCGTTCCAATAAAGCAGTATTTACAAAAATAAAAGAAGGGCTAGATTTGGCCCACAGCCAAAGGTTTGCTGACCCCAGCTTTAGTATTTCTTGGCTTTGCTTTCTAGTGAAAGTTAGCCTTTATTTAGCCAAACCAAAACCAAAAATAAACAAACAAACAGAAACACTGGAAAGGGGTTTCTGAAAGAGTAGGCCACGTGCCACCTGCACCAAAATCTCCTAGCATACTTCAAAACTATTCCTATCTCTGGACTCCAATCCCAATTTACTCAATCTTGATAACCAGGAGTGGGGCCCGGGAATCTGGATGTTTACAGCTTTCCCTGTTAACTCTTACAGTGCCAAATTTAAGACCTTAAGGGCCATGACTTCAAGGGAAGATAGGACTGCATCTGTTGGGGGTAATGGTTTGTGGCAACTCTATTATCCAAATAGAAAGCTCAAAAGAGAGATATATTCATTCCAGGGACCATTTGTTACTCCACAAATGAGTGTAACATTCAGCTGTTTGTTGAAAAAAAATTTTAAATACAAAAAAAGGAAATAAATGTTCCATATCCTATTCTCTGTTTCTCCGATATCATAGCCATTTAAACTCAGCTTTGGTTTTCTTATATGTAAGTAAGTGGATATAAACCTTAATTGCTTAATACTTTACAACTCACTCCTCACAAGTCCATGCACATATACTTGAGGGCATGACTCTTTTGTTGGGTTTTGGTTTCTCAGAAAACTTTTCTTTTAATAGGAACCAGCTATTTACTATGTTGTATAGAATTCTATTAACTTCTTTTACACATTAGGCTTTGTAGAAATGCCCTCATCAGGGGTCTAAAGATAGTTGCTTTTTATCCTGTCTCTCCTTTCAGTAACATGCTCAATTTGGAATTTAATTATTCTTCCCCAAACTGAGACACACTTCTCAAGTGGGTGCAAGGGTTCCCCTCTTTGCATAATCCACTTGTCTCTCTGGGTGTCTAGTCATATTTCTCCTGAAATGATCATGTTGATATCAGCTGTCATTCATCCTCCTCCTCATGGTGACCATGTGGCTGCAATTCACTGCTTGAGACCAATCAGGGGACTGTGGTGCATTACAAAACATTGGTTTGCTTTTCTTGACATCTGAGAATTTTAACTCAAGTGTGCAAATCCCAGTGAAAACAACACAGTGTGTAATTTCAAGTGCTCTATCTACACCCCAGCTGGCCCATCCTGAGGCACCCAACAATCCCGTGTTGCAGAATGTGGGTGCCGTGTAGGTCACAGCCAATCTCCCTTAAAGAGTTTATGCTTTGGCATGAAACACATCAGGTCTGTAGCTCATAAGCAATGAAATGTCCCAGACAGGAAGATAAGAAAAAAGGTGGGAAGCTGAGTATAATGAAAAGAAAAGCAGACTCAGGACTCACAGCCTGTCTCTAACCACAAAGCCTAGGATAATCTGATTAGCAATAAAATTCTCCCATTCTACAATTTCAGTTCATATAATCAACTATTTAAATCTGAAGACAGGAGTTCACACAGAATAGGAAAAACATGAGAAACACTGATAAAAATAATGTATCCAAACCCGAACTCATTTTCTCCTGACCAAGACCACTATTTGTTCTGAACTCTTTTTTTGTTTTTGTTTTTCTTTCTGGTCAAGACAATTTTCATATTTAATGGCAATGATATTTTTAAGTATGTAATATACACATTAAAATTAAAGGGTGATTTTTCCATGTGGTATGTATTTTTTCAGTTAACAAATATTTATTGAGGATCTACATGTGCTAGCTACATCTACACTGGGACCGTATGGTTAAAAAAAAGCAGGGGAGTGGGGCAGAGGCTTGGCTTCCTGCCCTCTTGGGGTTCACTTGTCACCTCCACCCCAAGCTTCAATTCCCCAGGCCTTATTCCAACACTGTCTTCTTTCAATATTTTATTTATTCAGCTCAATATTCAAAAGGCATAGAAGGCTGTACAGTGAACAGCATCCCTTCCATGTGTGTCCTCCAACTCCTCAGTTTCCTCCCTAGAGGCAACTAATACTATTAGCTTCTTATCTAGCCTTCCAGACAAATGTTATACTATTTAAGCAAACAAGCATATTCTCCCTCTTTCCTTTTCTTTAAAGACAATCAATATTCATGTATATGCTCTACTTTGTACCTTGCTTTTTACAAGTAAGTGTTGGAGTTCATTCCATATTGGTGCATCTTGTTTATAGCTGCATAGTATTCCATTGTGTGGATATACCACGGTTTTTTTAATAAGTGTCTTTAATGCAGATTTATGTTGCTTTCAATCTTTTATTATTACAAACTATTAACGTATATCCTATCATTCACATATGCACACACATCCTAATATACAAAGCCATGCTATCATCATTAATGGAGTAAGTTGGCTTAGTGTATTTCTTGCACATATAGGGGGTCTCCAACCCATAAGCAGAAACAACAGGGGCTGACCCTGACCCCTCTATACCAGTGAAGCCCCCATCACCCTGAAGAGATATGTTAAAGAGAATTCACTGCCATTCAGATCCTGTTGTGCTCTGTATCCTGGAAAGTTTCCTTGTGAGAAAGGAAAAGCAAAGAATCCAGTAGAGATTCTGGAAATCTGTAAATAATCATCGTGCTTTTCTGAGGTCTACAAACAACCACAGTGAACCGCATCAACCCCTAGTACAGCCAGAAGCTGACTGGGTCAGCTGCAGGGTTAAGAGCTTACAGAGCCATAACCCTGATGTCACACACAGAGTTCAGGCATCGGGTGTCATAAATCTGCAAGAATTTCTTGCTCAAAGGCCCTCTTGGCATGATTTTTTTTTTAATGCAGTTGAATGTTCAGAGTTTTGCTTCATCTCTCCATGCAGCTGCAAACTCTACTGGCTCACATGCCCCTACAAGAAGGCATAACTGGTGTGTTTCCTTTTAAATCAAACACCTCCTATAGGTACTTTGGCAGCTCTTCTAAGTCTCTAAAAGCAGAAGGGGGCAGAGAAAGGACCACCCACACAGTTAGGTTTATTTGTACAGCATGATCCTTACAGCGGGCTGTAAAGGACAGCTCCTCCCCACACACTCCTCATACAGGTGGCTCCTCCTGCCCTCTGTTCTGGGGACTTCATCATCAATGCAAACTGTGTCATTAGTGTGAACAACCAGAGTCCTGTCCTTATTACCCCATCATTTAACTTGGTGATGGCAATTTATTGAGCGCCCATAACATGGAAGGTGCTATAAAATTTAATAAATTTTGAAATGATGGAAAGTGCATCGTGTAAATGCATCCAGATGGGTTCCTGGAAAGGCCGAAAAGATTTTTACAGACATGAAAATGAAACAGTTATATTTTATCTCATATAAATGGCAAAGGGGGGGTGTGGACTCAAAATGTATGACTATTAATTGAGTATTCATTTATAACATATTAAATTAGTTCACAGATTGTAATAAAGGCTTCAAAAATTGCCTGATATAGAATGGCCCTTTCAGTATCCTGGTCTACAGCAGGTTTGCTTTACATTGCCTCAGAAATATAAAGATGGCACAACTGAAATTCAGCATAAATGGTGAAGGACACATTCTATTTCGTAATGGTCAAGTTTCTTGCCAATTAAAATTTCTTCTGGGCTGGACACGGTGGCTCACTTCTGTAATCCCAGCACTTTGGGAGGCCAAGGTGGGTGGATCACAAGGTCAGGAGTTTGAGACCAGCTTGGCCAACATGGTGAAACCCCATCTCTACTAAAAATACAAAAATTAGCCAGGCACGGTGGCAGGCGCCTGTAATCCCAGCTACTCGGGAGGCTGACGCAGGAGAATCACTTGAACCCGGGAGGTGGAGGTTGCGGTGAGCTGAGATCGTGCCACTGCACTCCAGCCTGGGCAACAGAGCAAGACTCTGTCTCAAAAAAAAAAAAAATTATTCTGTTATAGGAACTATTGGTGGCAATGGCTTATATTAGGTTGGGGGCAGTATGGCCTAATTTATAGAAACCAGGCACAAAATTTAAAAGAAAAAAAGGGTTCTGGGAGATAATAGGACTCAGCAGTTTCCCTCTCTCATTTCCCATCCCAAACCATAGCCAACTGAGGGCACTTACTGGAATTTTGCTAGCAACTACATGCTTTGTAAAATGTAGAGAATTTTATGTGCACATTAAAACCATAAGAATAATTACATAAAAATATAAAATACAAACACATAAGAAAATCTTACAATGTAAATACATGTGTGTGTGTACATACATGTGTGTATATATACATGAATACCTTAACATGAAAAAGGGGCACTATTAAATTGTTGATCTGTATGATCCGATAATTCTGCATTGGGGGATATGCTAAAAGTAAATGCCCCCTTATCATTTACCAATAAAAAGGAATTTTTTGAAAGATGTTTATAGCAATGTGTAGTATCCAGGCTCGAAGACGACCTGTCAGTGATCCCCACCTCCTGCCATTCACACCCATGAACAGTCCTCTCCCATGCTGTATCAGGATTGGTCTGTGCGACCAATAAAATATGGCAGAAGTTAAACTATATTACTTCCAAGATTAGGTTATAAAAAACATGACTTGCATTTGAGGGCTCTCTCTCTCTTTCTCTCATCACTCATTCCAGGGGAAGTCAGCTACCATGTCATGAGCACCCCTATGGGGAGACCCATGTGGCCAGAAACTGAAGTCTCCTGCTGGCTGCCATGTGAGTGAAGTTGGGAGTGGATCCTCCAGCCCCAGTGAAGCCCTCAGATGAGACTGCAGCCCCAGGCAACAGCTTGACTGCAACCTCATGAGAGACCTAATGAGCAGCTAAGCCACTCTTGGATTCCTGACCCCCAGAAACTGCATGAGATAGTAAATGTTTATTGCTTTAAGATGTTATGTTTTGGGATAATTTGTTACATTGCAATAAATAACCAATACGTGGTGCTATCAAGTTAGTGTAATTATAATAACAGAGGTACTCAAACTTGGAAACTGCTAAGCAAATTATGATATATTATCTTGATGAACTCATGGATATTGTTAAAATTACAAGCATTTTTGTGTTTTCTCTAAGCATGTGTGTACAAAATGGCTTGAAAAAACAGAGTGCAGATACATGCACTAATTAAACAATATAGAAAGTATGCATGTATGCATTTTCTTAAAGATCACTGAAAATTTGGAATTAAATAAATAGCTACCCTTAATCATTTCCTGGATTACTTTTAAATATACAGAACTATACAAAGAAAGAAAAAAAAATCTGCAAATACAAATTGCAAATGCACTATTTAATGTGAATGGTGAATGTTAAAGATCATAGCACTGTGACCTGACATTGCAGAATGAGGGAACTGATGTCTCTCCATGAATAATCGTGGTAGATTAACGGAGATTTTAAAACATGCCTGCAACCTCTCTGACACTCCTTGCACCAAGAGGTGAGATGTATTTTGCCTCCCTTTGAATTCGGGCTTACTAATGGCTTGTTTGTTAGCAATAGAAGTTACTGGAAGTGAAGACCCGCAGCTTCCAAGACTGCATCACACGAGTCCTACAGCTTCTGCCTGGTTCCCTTGGGACACTCATTCTGAGGGAAGCCACCTGTCATGCTGAAAGTCTGACTACTCAAATGCTGCAAAAGCCATGTGTAGACACCAACTGCTATCCATGTGGGTGAGCCAAGTGACTCCCAAATGAGAACTGCCAAGCTGAGCCCTTCCCAAATGCCTAAACCACAAAGCTGTGAACAAAATAAGATAGCTTCATGTCACTAAGTTTTAGGGAATGTGCTAAGCAGCCAGAGTAACCAGAATGAGACCAATTTTTAAAATGGCGCCAATTCTCACCCATTCCGACATCCATACTTTTTGCTATAAGACATTGAGAAGCAGAGTCTCTTTCCTCATTTTTTGAATCTGGGCTAGACTTGTGGCTTGCTGTGGTGTGCAGAGAAGAAACGGTGTGCTGGTTTTGAGCTTAGGCCTCATATAGCCTCTGCCTTTCCACTCTCATAATACCCAGGCATCACTAAAAGAACAAGCCTAGGTTTGTCTGTTGGAAGATGAAGGACCATGTACAGGTGAGCCAACTACTCCCAGACCAACCAGCTGGGGAGTCATAACACATAAGTAAGTCCCCCAGGTAAGACCAGAAGAACTGCCCAGCTGACCCATAGATCATGAGCAATAATCGATGTATCCTTTGTATGCCAGTGGGCTTTGGTGGTTGTTTGTTACACAGCATTATTATTATTGTGGCAATAGATAGCTGATATAATAATCACATTAAATCAATGTATATGATAAACTGGTGTACCTTTCATAAAACTTGAAAATGCCAGCTTGGAAAAACTCAATGTCATCACCTTACATATGTCAATTTCTTTTATGACTTGATGCAGATTAATTAGTATACAATACTCCCAACTTTCTTTGGGGAATTATTTTGTATTTTAGCTGATAATCTGTAATTCATAAGGATAGATATGAAGGGATACTATTTGAGAAGTAGTTTTAACACCAGAGTCAGGTTCACTGGCAATGTATGGTGCTGGTAGTAATAATTTTATAGGCTTTTTAAAAAAAATTGCTCTTCCTCTCTGGTGACACCTTGTATTATAGTTTTAGGGACTGTAGAGAGAAAAGAGAGTTGAGCCCACATCCAAAAAGGCCAAGGCCAGAACTACCCTGGTACTTATTTTGACCCCACATTGCTTAGCAGATGGGCATCAAGGTTCAAACAGAGCCAAATAGCAGGATGGATTTTACCCACACAATTTTCCTAATAATAGCCATGCAGTAATTATGTGCATGGCAACTATGTACCAAACTACTGTGGGGATCTATTTAAGTAATAGAAACGGAAATATCTACATACAATACTTATTACTCATAGGAAAAGACAAACTTAAATACTATTTACATCAATTCAGATAATGCACTACCACTAAAGCCAATAGCAAACCATATAATGAAGTGTTGAAAGTACAGTTTTTGAACCATATTTATGGCCTTTATTCTAATCCTGATCTATGGGAGTTTACCAAAAATTTCCAAAGGCAACTATAATTCTAAGCAGGCTAAAAATATATGGCTACTGGTCCACTCTCTTCCTAACCTTTTAACCCCATGATGGTCAGCCATAATGTTCAATACTGTGGTCAGAGTCCCAAAGTTTTAATGTTCAGCTTGCTTCTGGCTACTGGGTTTTATCTTCTAGCTACTAATTTAACCCAACTGCATCCTAAAATTGACTTTGGCAATGCATTTTAAAATGTGGGAAAAACAGATAAGATGGCTCTGTCTCCTCCCTGTCCTCCAGCAGAGAACACTCCTTCCCTCTCAAATTGATACCAACTTTCTGTACATGATACTGTTGCAGCTGCCAATTTATATCCAGCAGCAGAATTGGGGTGAGGATGGATATGTATACACACTGGGCTGAACAATATAATATTTAAAAAAAAGATTAAGACAACCACTGGAATGATGCCACAAGGCAGTACATGTGAACTGGAGACTAAACTGTGGCTTTGGATGAAGTGGCATTTATGGTGTCTTCCAACCCTGAGACTCACTGATGGGTATGTACATGAATGGCAAAGGTATTCAAAAGACAGAGAAGCTTCCAGCAGGTTGAGATAATCTGAAAACGTAGGACTGCTATAAACAATGATACCTCAGAGGCAATCAGCACACCTAGCTCCTAGCTTCTACTTTCCAAATACCCTTCCCAGTTCTGTTTCTGCTAAGGATACAGAAGACTGCCAGAGAATGCCACCACTCCTGCCCTAACAATAAGAAAAGCAGATAATCCACAAAATCTAATTTTTTGAGCACGTTAGAGTGTTGAGATGGAAAGGCAACCAACTGAACTGACTTTCAAAGGGTGACACGCACCTCTGAGGAAGAAAGGACACAAGCACTGTTTCAGCTTTGACAGTGTATGGGAGAAAGAGGTGGCAGCAAGAAAAGCAGGTGAGAAAAAAAAAAAAAACAAAAAACTAAGGTTTTAAGAAATTCCGTGTGGTTTAGTGTGACAGATTAAGACTTCTGAGATCCCCAAACACGAGAAGTCTGTCCCTACTGCCTACTCTTTTTCCACAGGACTCTGAACTCCCCTGAGAAACTCTGAGGACAGTGCCAAAGGCCTGAGTGAGCTGTGCTCAGGGCACAGGCCCTGCTGAGGTTTGAGTTGGTGACAGGAGTTTCCTGACAAGCCCATCTGCACTTCAGGCCTCGCTCGAGTACAAGGTGATGATTAGTTGCCAGTGAGGGACAGTGTCTTAGTCAGCATGGGCTGCTATAACAAAATACCATAGACCGGGTGGCTTACACAACAGATATTTACTTCTCATCATTCTGGAGGTGGGGAAGTCCAAGATCAAAGGCCCAGCAGATTCAATTCCTGGTGAGGGCTCTCTTCCTGGCTTGCAGATGGCCACCTTCTCACTGTGTCCTCACATGCTGAAGAGAGGGAGTTCTGGTGTCTGTTCTTCTTCTAATAAAGGCACTAATCCCATCATGAGGGCTCCATCTCCATGATTTCATCTAAACCTAATCACCTCCCAAAGGCTCTGCCTCCAAATACCATGACATTGGGGGCTGAAGCTTCAACATATGAATTTGGGGAGACACTAGAACATTCAGTCCATAACAGGTGGTATTAAATCCACCCATATCCCAACGCTTCTTTAATTTATATCAAGCAAAAGCCATCTCCTGCTGGGGAGGGACAGAAACCTGCCCACATTCCACACCTGACCCTGCTTCAGCATGAGGCAAAAGCCATATGCTACTAGGGGTGGGGCAAGAAAGCCTCCCACCCACCTATCCCCATCCCAGGTAAAGGGTGGCGGCTGCCAGGGCAGGAGTAGAAAGCCCACCCCCCTCACAAGCAGGCAAAAGCCATCTCTCCTAGGAAAGGGGTCATGTTTAGGATCTTATGCTGGTAAAAAGTATTTTTAAGAAAAGTAAAGGAAGGAAAACATTCGCCTATGAGGGTGGAGGAATAGGGTGTCTGTTGCTCTTGCTGGTCCCAAAGCCACAGAACATAAGTGACTGGGTAAGAAAAGCGAATGTCCCCAAGAGGGGCACTAGGCTCCCTCACGGCCTGCCTGGAGCACCCTTTCTGTGTGTGGAGACCCACTGATTCCACCACGAATGTCTCTTACTCCTCTCCACCTTAGAATGCCCATGGAAACTCCAGCACAAGGGTGCCTGTCCTTGGATGTCTTAGCCATACCACTGATACCCGTAACCCCAACCAGCCCCAGCCCTGCCTCCCACCCTGGCTTCCCCACCGGCTTCTGTTCGTGGCCTACAGTTAAGTATTCATTGACCAGGGCTCAAAGTTCAGTTCTATGAACAAGGCGGTGTCTTGTTGCTACTTCCTGGATGGTTTCTTCTCAGCTAGAAAGTGAGTTCAGGGGGCTTATTCCCATTCCCTTCTTTAAACCACGGCATCGATAGATATCCACACCTGACATCTTGTTATATCACAAGCATCCAGGGTGATTCTGCAATCCCTTTCAGATGTACTAGACACATCCCAAGCTGGTTACAGGCCACCCTATCATGATTTCCCAATATGAAAATACAGCCTTTCCTTCTTGCTTCTTACCCAAGCCCCCTAACACCCTTGCTGAAGAAATCAAAGCTGTATCTGTCAATGTACCACGCACTGTCTCACCCTGAGTTGCCCCTGGCATAGTTCATCTTACTGCTCCAGCCCCCTGTCTCCTACTCCTGACCTGCTTGCTGACCTTCCAGAGGGAAGAGAGAGGAAAACCAGTATTTACTGCACACATACTAGGCAAATATACACTCCATTCTCATAACTTCATTATTATCCCTCGAAAGAAACAAAAGCTCAGGGAACTTGTTAATGACCACATGGTTGGTAAATGGAGAACTGGGATTGAAACCACTAACCCACAGGCCTGGCTTTTCCTCCATTCCTTGATTCCTCCTTTGAAGGCCTAAAGAGGTAAGGATGATGAGAGCAGTGTTGCCTCTCTCCATTCCAATTAGGCAATGTGGCAGAGGCTTAATCAGATGTATTTTTCCAGTTGTCTATCCAATGTATCAGTAAAGGGGCTAATGCTTCTCACTCTCTGCAGCTAATGGAGGAACTGACCAGACTCATAAGAGAGGTATTTTCTAGGCTTTGACAAAGTAACTCTCCCTCTTTTGGGGGATTTTTCCTTCGCTCCACTCCTTTATACCTTAGAAACTTGAATACTTAGCTACTTTCAATACACAGAGATTAAGAGAGACATAAAAGGAAACTGCTGTGGTTTAATGTCCCCTCTACAACTCATATTGATTGAATTGCTCTTGCAACAGTGTTGAAAGGTGGGACCTTTAAGAGGTGACCAGGTCATGGGGGCTCTGGCCTCATGAATAGGTTAATGCCGCCATAGTGGGAGTGGGTCAGTTATCAAGGGAGTGGGTTCCTGATCAAAGGATGAGCCTGGGCCCTCCCTCTCTTGCTCTCTATCTCATGCACTTGCATCCTCGCCATGTGATGCCTTCTGCCGTGTTTTGATGCTGCAAGAAGGCCCTCACCAAATGCAGCCCCACAATCTCGGACTTCCCAGCCTCCAGACCAGTGAGTCAGCTCAGGCATGCTGTTACAGCAACAGACTAAGATAAAAATGAATTTGAAAGGCATAGGGGGCCGGGTGCGATGGCTCACGCCTGTAATCCCAGCACTTTGGGAGGCCGAGGCAGGCAGATCACTTGAGGTCAGGAGTTCAAGACCAGACTGCTGGGCAACATGGTGAAACCCCATCTCTACTAAAATACCAAAAAAAAAAAGCCAGTGGTGTGTGCCTGTAGTCCCAGCTACTTGAGAGGCTGAGGCAGGAGAATTGCTTGAACCCAGGAGGTGGAGGTTGCAGTGAGATGAGATCGCACCGCTGCACTCCAGCCTGGGTGACAGAGCAAGACTCTGTCTCAAAAACAAAGAAAGGCATAGGGAAGGTAAATCCTTCTAAGTTTCAAGACTAAGCTTGGATAGTGACCACTTTTAAAATAATATCGACATGAGGCAAATGCCTAAAGATTAGTCTGATTTAGCATGAGTCTACAACAACCAAAAGGTGAATCCAATTCAATATTCTCCTCAAAATTCACTTTGAATAGACATGGTTCAGGTTATAAACAGTAAAGCACGGGCTACTTTCAAACTAAGCCGCAATTATACTATATGCATGGACAAAAGAAAAAAAAAAGCGTCCCTTTGATTTCTCAAAATGTATATTTAGGCCAGCAAAGAAACTGGTCCTCCCAGTTCCTGTAAAGCTGAGCCCACATCTTTTTTTCCCCTTGAATAAGCTCTAGTACATCTGTAAAGATAATAGAAAAAGACCGACAGTTGCTTAAGAGCACCTAAGGTAGAATTCTGCAGTTAAAGCCTCTATTCACAGGCTCCATAAAGTTTTTCAGTAGAGATAAGAATGTGAAAAATGTTTTGAAGTTATAAAACCTGTGTTCTAACCTCCTTCATAATCTGGGTGTTCCAATCATTCACCACTTTTCAAGACACAGCAGAGGAAATTTAAAATTTCCAAAGTGCCAAATGATCTGAAGGACTATGAAAAGTTTAAGAAAATGAAACTTTAAAGCCCGTATTCTGAATGCTGTTGGAAAATTACATCAACTTTCAATTTCCTCTCCAAATGTGAATAGCCTTAAAAAGAGAGGTACTCTCTATTCTGGGAAACTTATTCCAGAAATCCTCACCATTTTATTGTCATTTTCACTTATAATCAAATGACCTTTTACGATACTGAGTTTTAAAGACAGAATTTTTCTCCCCTTTTTATGTCATGCCTTTTCTACATACCTTTTAGAAGAAGAACAAAACAAAAACACAAAAACTTCCACTAATTTTCCAACATCTCAGGCTTTTTCCAGTTGACCTTGGATAGTTGATCATGGAATCAAAACTGCAGGCAGATTATTCATTTCCTATTCTTTTTCAAATTAACATGATTTGTGAACATTTCTACACAACGTAACAAACAGTGAAATATTTCTCGTTCAGAATCCCTTGAGGACATTTACATAAACAACCAAATTGCATAATGACTTGGGGATACTGAAGAATATCCTTCAAATGTGAAATTGGAAATAAACAAAACTATATGGGAAGAAAAATGTGAAGCCCTTAGCTATACGAAATGGTCTACTTTATGTACATGTGCATATCAACCCTCAGATACAGGATTTTCATCACGTGAAACTCAAAAATATAAATATGCAAACATAGAGGGACAGCACACTGGAAAAATACTATATGTGAAAATTAGAATTTTATATAGTTTGCAAGTATATTTTCATTTTATGAACCATATCCATATATACATGGTTTATATACTGGAAAAATATTATATGCAAAAATTAGAATTTTATATATTTTGCCAGTATATTTTCATTTTATGAACCATATAGATGGTTCATAAAATGAAGTATATATATATTTATATATATATTTACATATAAAAATAGTAAGCACACCGAAAAAGTGCTTAGTAATTACAATTTCATGTTTCCCATTAAATATTGATTTTATGAATCTGAACTCTGATTTCAAAATAATATGAAATCACATTTCCAGTATATGATATTCTCACATAAACCTTAAAGACAAATGTTTTTAATACTCATTGGAAAACAAATGATAAAATTCCAGCTTGACTTCTCCCCCCTGAAACACACTTCCAGAAAGCCTTGCCTGTTTAGGGAGGAAATGTAAGGATGGCACGTACATGGTGCAGGCTGTTTACATGGGACACTTATTAATTAAGCCTTGTAAACACGCAGAGGAGCACCAGACCACTTCACCCTTGCATGTGGCACTGCAGTCACCAAGGGTGGCCTTACAGCAGGTGGAATAAGAGGGGCCCATGACCCCCCCTCACACACACACAGTGCAGACAGACAACAGGGGATATGGAGCTGAGTGGGGGAGGGGAACATTTAGAGGGCATCATCTTGCTGGGAGGGTTTATAAACACAATCAGCTGTAAACTCCCGAATGTGAAGAGAAGGACCATTTCCCTCTCTCTATCTCTGAGATGAGAGCATTCTACATTGGCCACTCCATCTGACTCCTGATACGACAATGACTCAGAGATTCATACAAGCCACGTCCTGAGTTGCAAGAGTTTTTCAAAAGGAGGCCAGTTGCCCTGTCTTCAGTTCCTGCATTTCCCTCATTTCTTTTATTTATTCACTTAACAAACATTTACGGGGTCCTTATGTGCCAGGTCATTGTAGGCCTTGAGGATACAGTGGAGACAAACCCCAGACATATTCTCTGGCCGCACGAAGTGCATAATCAAGCCAGGGAGATGATGGAGTGCTAGGAAAGAGTTTCACAAGGCAACTCAGGGAAGACTCTCCTGAGATCTGAAGGACAAGTTGGGGTTAAGTAATGTCAGACTATCCCAGGTGAATCCCGCATGTGCAAAGGTCCTGCAGCAGGACGTAGCAGGGGAAAATCAAGAAGGCCTGTGTGGCCAGAGCCAGAACAAAGTGAGGAATGATGGAGAAGCAAGAGGAGCAGGTAGGGCCTCCTCAGCCACACTGAAGGAGTTCTGGGAGTCAGGGAAAACCTCTGAGGGTTTGGGGGCAGTGTGGGAGAGTTGTGGGGGCTGGGAGGCTTTATCTGATTTACATTTTGGAAATTTTATTCTGGCTCCAGAGGAGAGAACATTCAGCATGAAATCTGAGTTGATATAGGTAAGCTAGTTAGAAGACTACTACAGAAACCTACGGGAGATAATTTTGTGGCTTCTATAATGGTGTTAATAGAGGAGTTGGACAGAAGTAATAACACTTAAGAGGTGTTTAAGAAGTAAAGTCATCAGGACTAATGATAGATTATGTATAAATTTCTGTTAGGGTTGATGCCCAAAATGAATATGGACTCTGGCCAACATGGAGGAGAACCAGGTCTCTAGAATATCCCAGGAATGGTAAGAACCGAGAATCAAGATCTTGTAATTCAGTTTGATACCATGCCTAAGGTTTCTTTCTTCCTTTTCCAAGAAGGAGAGTAGAAATGGATTGAGAGAGAGGGGAAGGAGAATTACTCTTGATTCTAGGGAGATTCTATGGATCTACAAAGTACCAGGCTTCTTTGGCAGAAAATACTATAATCTGAAAAGTCAGCAATTGCAACAGTATCATCTTATTCCACAGACTCTAAAATCAGAACTCCAGCCCCTGCCACAGGATTTATTAGGAAGACACACTCTCTAACGATAATAAAAATGATGATAATAATAAAAATGTTCATACCATCACCATCATCAATAATATAAAATAATTACCATTTATTCAGAGCCTTGTAGAAGACAATCTAACAGGCATGTTTAATCCTTACAAAACAATGAAGCTCAGAGATATTGAATCAAAATCTGTGCTAGCAAGGGGACCAAAATAGCCTCCTTCTGGGTCTACCGTTCTGCTCAAAGCTCTAAGACCCCTTTCACGATTTCAGTTCTAAAATTGTTCTTGCCTATTTGGGTGAAGGGATATGTTTACTCCTGAGAACACCTTGGTCTCTTTGAATTTCTTCATGCTTCCCAAGCATAAAACCTGGGACAATATATTAGCATTTCCTCCCACCCTGGCCCTCAATTCTCGTCACTTACAAATCTGGCTGTAGTTAAGAGCCAAGAGAGTGTATATAAAATTCTCCATATAGAGGGAAACAGCATGAGAGAGAGAGAAAATGAAATCAATGTGTGACTTAAAGTGATCTCTGAAGCCCTTAGCCCTTAATTTTGAATTGAGTTGCTGCAGATAATCTTTCCTACCCATACTTTTATGCCCAGATCCATCAAAGTCTTGCTCCATTGAGCCTTAAATAAACTTACATATACATTGTGTTCTCACAAGTGAAAAATTAAAATGACAAAAAGATAATTTCAAAAATATGGCAGATGGTTTATTCTTGATTTGCTGATTTATTATATTCTATCTAAACTTTCAAAGTAATTCATCTTTGTAAGAACTACGATTCCTTGGGGTTGGGGGGAAGCATTGTGATGATGCCTTAGGTTAGCTTCCCTAGAAGCAGAGTCTGGGATAGGGATTTGGATGCAGTTCTCCAGAGAAGCAGCAGCTATGAGCCTTAGCAATGTACACTCAACAAGCGCTGGGCAATGGGAGCATTTGCCCCGCATGGGGACTTGGGCAGGATGTCAACAACATGCACTACAGGCTGTTTTCACAATGTGAAGTTGCTTACATGGAAAACTTTTCAGTATATTAAGGGTCTGTGAGGTATTATGCACCCTCTCCCTTTACAGATGAGAAAACTGAAATTTAAGAGTGACAGAATCACTCATGCAAAGCCAGAGAAACAATTAGCAGAACCAGTACTTTAACCCAAATCTTCAAACTTCAACTTCCATCTATTTGACCTGACAGACAGAGTCAACCTGACAACCTGGAAACTTTCCCAAGAAAAAATACCTAGAAATGTTGGATAAAATATAATAAACATCATATTACAAGCTTGGTTGGGCTCAGAGAGAGAATGAGATATGCCGGGGCCAAAAAGAAAGGGGAGAGTGACTGCTAAGCACGTGCTGATGCTCAGGAAGCCCCAGGAGGATGAGGGTGAGAAACCAGGAGCTTGGAAGTTGATGGCCAAAGAGGGTTGAGGGTTTAATCTTGGCTGCAAAAAGTGGAGTGGAATGAGAAGCAAGTACCTCCTGTAAAACAGAGACCTTCACACATCTACCACACCCTGTGCAAGGATGCTGGCCTCATTATGGGCTCTGGGTAGAAAAAGAAAGAAAGAAAAAAGAAAAATCCTCCCAGAAAATTCATAATTGGAAGCTCACTGCCATTTGGGTTGTGAAAATCTACCCTACCATCTAGTCTAGGAACCCTCATTATAAGAGATTAACATAAGTGGTCTCAGATCAAAGATGTCCTGGAGCACTTGTCAGAAGTAAACACTAAAACAACTCTGTAGAGAAACACCCTTAACAAGACCCCATGAAATCCCACAGATGAAGTACACTGAAATCAAATCAAAGCTATAAAATTAAATTAAATCAAAGCTATAAAATACCTCTGGGGGAAAAATCCCCCAGGAATGCATCAATAGACACAATACACAGCAAAACTAGATCCTCATGTTCTCAAAACCCAAATGTTCTTTCTACTATTTAACTTCCAAGAGACTAAGCTGATGAGGCAGCTTCACTCCTGATCAACCTCACTGATGGAGTTGCAAGCTATGCTCCAGTTCATTAACTTCAAAGATCTATTCAGCTTGTCAAAAAAGTTGCTCTTTGAATTTGATTTTAAGAGAAAAGTGGAAGCTCCTCTAATTCCTAAAAATAGAAGAATTTACCAATATCTTTCTTAGATAATTTAAATATAGATGCAGCCAGAGGCAAGCAAGTGGAATAGTTTTCTTCTTGAATTCCCTCAGGGTTTTAAGATTCCATGAGGATTCCTCCAGAGCCACGTGTCTCCAAAAGCTTTCCAAAAAAAAAAAAAAAAAAAATCTGATCTGAAAATGTTATGTAATCATTGGCTATAATCAAAAAGAGGGTGGGTGAGGAGGCTGCATTCTGTGCCAACCAAAACAGTAACTATGCAAGAAAAACCCTACCCCTTTTTTTTTGGCAATCCCTCGAATTGTGAATCAGAGATGATACAAATATACCTTGCAAAAATCTAAAGTGGCCCATTATAAGCAACTATATAATCATTCCTGGTAACCAGTAACGCAGGTCACAGATGATAGCCCAAACTCTCATACCATAAGACAAGGACACTTTCCAACTCAAACTCAAAGCCAGATTCTTAAATAAATAAGGGGAAGGAAGTTCTTTTCCTGCATAAAAAGATTATTTGACTGATTTTCAATGCTCTGCTCTAATTAAGGACAAAAGATGGGGGAGGAAGAAAGATGAAGTAAAAATGTGAAGTAAGGGAAAGAAGGGAACCTTCAGTTCTGACTATGATACAGGCCCTGTGTTCGGTAATTTGCAAACAGTATTTCAGTGAATCCTCACAAAATCCTTATGAGGCTGGCTTCTGAACCAGACTTACAGATTTAAAAACCCAGTGAGGGTCAGTAACTGCCCATAGAGCACCACTGAGGAAGAGCCTTATCCATGTTTTTCTGATGCCAAAGCCCAGCATTTTTATTAGACTCTGTTCATAAAATCCATATTCAAATTAAAGACTCATGGAAGCTAGGAAAGTAAAGAATCTTCCTCATCAGGATGCAGACAGCTCTCGTATTCACCTTAGGGTTTGCAATTTTAATGTCAACTATTTTTATAATGGTACCTGACAAATTTAATAGCATTGATATTTATTAAAACACAAGAGAGAGAAAGAGGGCGAGAGGGAGTGAGAGAGAGAGTTCCTCTGATACCTCCTTCTAATTCTACTTCCCCATACAGGCCAAGATTAAGATTCAAAATATTTCGCAATGAACATCACCACCAATCAAAAGGATGCCAGCAATATTTTGCATATAGGTAAAATAAAGGATTAAGTACAAGCTTTATCAGCTTCTAGGTACTTTCTGATAAAGAATGAGTATACAAATAGGAATTGCAGGAAGAGAGAGATAAGAAATTGGCAAGAAAAAAAGAGAAAAAGGGAAGGAGGGAGGGAACGGGGTTGGAAAAGAAAAGGAGTGATGGGGACCTAAGTGCAGATAAAAAAGGCAAACTAGAACACTCTTTTTCTTAAATGGTTTAAGTAGGGAGGGATGCAAATACATTCCCTGAACAAGAAGGGACCCCTGAGAGTAGAGTTTTACCACTCAGTTGCCGGGAACCACCAACTTCGCCCACCTTATCAATGCTTCCAGCTAGTATCTATTAACTGACCACTTTGGGCCAAAAACCTTGCTACAATGATTGACAGACACAAAGGAAAGCACACAGTTGCCTTGGCCATCAGGGAGCTGAGCGTCAATCTGTGGAGATAACAACTTGTAAGCAAATAACTCCCCCATCCCACGCCTCAGAGAAGTCTTCTAGTGTGCGACCACGCTAAATTACTACCTTAACCTGGGATGCCTGCCCACCTTCCCTCTATTATCCAAACCTACGTAAATTTTAAAGCCTTTATTTAAATCCTATCTCCTGGCCGGATGCGGTGGCTCATGCCTGTAATCCCAGCACTTTGGGAGGCCAAGGCAGGTGAATCACCTGAGGTCAGGAGTTCGAGACCAGCCTGGCTGACATGGCAAAACCCCGTCTGTACGAAAAATACAAAAATTAGCCGGGCATGGTGGTGCATGCCTGTAGTCCCAGCTACTTGGGAAGCCAACGCAGGAGAATCGCTTGAACCCGAGAGGCAGAGGTTGCAGCGAGCCGAGCTCGCACCACTGCACTCCAGCCTGGGTGACAGAGCGAGACTCCATCTCAAATAAATAAATAAATAAATAAATAAATAAATAAATCCTATCTCCTCCTGCATTGCTTTTCCTGACCACTCCAAGCCTCATTCATTTCCCTCTCCTCTGTCATCCTAACACTAAAGAGTAACAAATGTTTATGAGCACTGACTCTGGGCTAAGCACCTTCGGCAGTGTTTGGCCCTGGTGAGCATCCCTTCTCGAAGCTCTCCCCTTCCCTGGCCCCCATAACATCACTGTCCTGGTTGTCCTCCAGCATCTGTGTCCTTTTGAGGCTCATCACTTAAATATGAGTGGTCCCCAAGGATCCATCCTTGGTCCTAGTTCTCACTTACACTCGCTTCCTAGGCTACTTCATCCCCATCCTCTAATTTACAGGGCAATCATGCTGATGATCCACAGCCTCTATCTCCAGGCCACAGCATGCTCCTGAGAGCGTGATCTGTATCATTTCCTCTGAGAAAACCCAACCCACCTGCACCACAAACTCAGCCTTCCCCAAACACAGCCCGTTAGCCTCCCTCCCATTCCCCACCACTAAGCCCACTCCTCTTCATATATTAGCAAATGGGGAAACAGAACAAATCAATGAAATCTCTTCTTTCTAAAAGTACCCACTCCTCCCCTTGGCTCTGAGGGAAGCTCAAAGCTGAGCTGTGTGGTTAGACTCACCCTGAGTCCACATTCAATCTACCAAGTCCAGGAGATTCTCATTCTCTAATGTCCTGTTCTGCCCTCCATCATGTGCCTGCTCGGTGCAGGCTCTTTTCTTCTCTGGGCTGGATTACTTGTATATCTGCCCCCAGCCTCCACCTCAATCTCTTGCACACCATTCCCCCAACACTGGCTTCCGGGTGAACACTCTCAAATTCAAACCTGACCATGTTGCCCACCTACTTCAAATGGTTTGCCATCCATTAGAATGATGGCCAAACTCCCAACCCCTTAATGGAGTACACTGGTGTGCTCTTTACAAACTTGCCACTGCTTACCTATCTGGCCTCATCATTTGCCACCACTCCTACCCTCCTAGCACCCATCTCTTCATCCCCTAGGCTCTAGACATGTTGAATGGTGTTCTCAAAATCATCACACTGGCCTTCTCACATATTGTTCTTCTTGTCTGAACTGCCTTCCTTCCCTCCTTCCTATGAACAACTCCTCGTTGTCTTTCAAAACTCAATGCAAATATCACCTCCTCTGGGAAGACCTTCACGTTTATTCCAACTACCACCCCTCTACGCTCCCACAACATTCGAAGGATACATTTTCCATCACATACCTTATCACTGTGTACTCTGAACACTCACTTTTCTTACTGTCTTCCCTTCAGAACAGGTGCTTAAAATCATTAAGGCTTTGTATTCCCAATGCATACCACAATGCCTAGCACATAGCAGGTGTTCCATAAAAGCTTGCTGAATAAATCAATAACATATTAGGAATGTTTTTTGACACAGTTCTTTGTTTTTACAATGTATTGACCTTTGGATTTATTTGTAAGAACTAAAGTATATAAAGCAGCATATAAAATAGTGCTTTCTATTATTTTGTTGTTGCTGTTGTTTTGTGGGGTTTGTTTGTTTGCTTGTTTGTTTGGTTTTTGTTCGTTCATTTTTAGAGACAGGGTTTCATTCTGCTGCCCAGGCTAGGGTGCAGTGGTGTGATCATAGCTGACTGCAGCCTCGAACTCCTGGGTTCAAGTGCTCCTCCCACCTCAGCCTCCTGAGTAGCTGGGGCTACAGGTGCATGCCACAACACCCAGCTGACAGTGCTTTCTAAACTATTAAGAATTATCGGAGAAGGTTGGGCGCGGTGGCTCATGCCTATAATCCTAGCACTTTGGAAGTGGCCGGTGGATCACCTGAGGTCAGGAGACCAGCCCAGCCAAGATGGTGAAACCCCGTCTCTACTAAAAATACAAAACATAGCCGGACATCATGGGAGGCGCCTGTAATCTCAGCTTCTTGGGAGGCTGAGGCAGAAGAATTGCTTGAACTGGGGAGGCAGAGGTTGCAGCGAGCTGAGATCACGCCATTGCACTCCAGCCTGGGTGACAGAGGGAGACTCCATCTCAAAAAAAAAAAAAAAAAAAAAAAGAATTATCAGAGAAAGTTGGTTTTTAAAGGGCAACACTGCGGCATGAAGAGAGCCTGTACTAGGGAAGCAGGTGTACCTGGGCTTCACCTTGAAGCCTAACGGGTATCAGTTTTTCACTTCAGTGTGCTTCACTCTCTCCCTTCCAGCTCTTTTTTTTTTTTTTTTTTTTTTTTGAGACAGAGTCTTGCCCTGTCGTCCAGGCTGGAGTGCAATGGCACAATCTCGGCTCACTGCAACCTCCGCCTCCCAGGTTCAAATGATTCTCCTGCCTCAGCTTCCTGAGTAGCTGGGATTACAGGCCCGTGCCACCACGTCCATCTAATTTTTGTATTTTTAGTAGAGACAGGGTTTCGCCATGCTGGCCAGGCTGGTCTCGAACTCCTGACCTTGTGATCTGCCTGCCTCAGCCTCCCAAATGCTGGGATTCCCTTCCAGCTCTGAACCTACAATTTGAATTATAAAACTTCAACTTATATACAATTATCAAGAAATGTTTCTGTTATCAAGAAAATTTCTGTATATAAAACTTCAACTTATATACAATTATCAAGAAATGTTTGACCAAAATCTTATGTCCCTTGTAGGTGTATGGATAAATATACTGAAATAAAGGGCAAAGTGCCATGCTTCTCATCTCAATCCTCATCCTAGAGAGGATGAGGATTCAAAACTACCCTTCAGTTTCTTGGGCTGTGAAACCACATGGGAGCAGTCTGCCCCCATGCATCTCAATGGGAATTTTGGTTCAATTATCCACCACGCTGTCCTATCTTGTTTGTTCAGTGATTAAACCACAGTTACTTTAGGCCTAAACAAGATTAACTAAACTATAAATATTTTCCTGAGGATAGCATATGCAGGTGTAGTTAAAAGCCAACCTTTTGTTCTGCTTATAATAAATTGTCTCTGGAAATAAAACAAAATTAATGGTTGTTTATCACTTTAACCAGCCCGTAATGAATCGGCAAAATAAATGAGTCAATATTATTACATTAACATTTATCATACCTGACATAACAGGTATACAAATCAAGTCTGTGTCATGGTTTTGTAGGTCTGTTAGAAGGCAAAAATACGTCATCTCAGCAAAGATGGAAGATTTTAGAGCAGAACAAACCATGGACTACAGACCCACGCCCATCCCACAACCCCAATGGAAGAAGCTATTCTACCTAAGGGTATAGTTGGGTTTTTTTAAAAGTCCCTGGGTAAAATACGGCAGGCGTTGAGAGGACTTTTTTTCATATATAGTAGAGAAAAAAAGCTTTTTAAGACTTAGTAATGTGCCCTGCCCAAAACCTACTCCTTAAGAAAACATGTTCACACTAAGTCCAAGAAATCAAACAAGGAGATACTTTGTATCACAAATCAGAAGCACATCTGCCATGAGATGCAGGTGCTTGTGAGCAAAGCAGCAGGCCAGGCCACCCTTAAAGTTAACCAGCCAGGACAGGCCTCTCACCGTCAGGGCACTTCCTGAACACATCGAAGACCAGGCAACTGAGCCTCTGTCTCCAGCCACACATTGGTATCACAAGCTGGGGACACCCTCCTGTCCCTTCTCATTCAGTGCACACCTCCATCCCAAGCCTACTTCTCAAATATTTCTTACTACAGCTTTGTAAAGTTTTGAAATTTAATTTTCCATGATGAAAAACATAGTACAAATCATATTACAGAAAATTACAGAAAGGCTTCTTTGCAACTGGACCAGAAACAGAAGTCAGGAAACTGAAGACTGGTTAGGCTCTGCCTCAACAACAGAGCCCTTTAATATTTAAAAACAACATGAGTCAGTCTTTAGTATGACTGACTGACTGCCTTTCCTTAGAACGTGGAAAAGACAACGCAGCCGTCAAAGAGGCTGTGGACCTGTGTTCTTAGCCAGTGAATGCTCAGAGACGAAAAGGAGTGTTTAAAGGATGAAGGATACCCACAGCAGTGTGGTAGAAACAGAAGGAATAAGTTCCCCAACTTCCACCCTTCATTAATTATTCCATGTATTTAAGGGCCTCAAATGAAAGACCTTCCACACAAAGCTTTTGTTGGATCATCCAATGTTCTGAGTTTGTTATTCCACCCGATGTTCTTTCTGTACAAGCAGCCACTTCTATCTGGCCAGAGCTAGGTAAATGGTCTGGCTCTGGGATCGAGCAAGCAACATAGGAACTAAATTTTCTGGCAGTAGGGATTGCTGGTCTCCCAGGAGTTCATCAACTATTTCTAAATGGGAGGACACTGACTTTTTAAAAAAGGTTGTCTTATAAGATCATCAAATCTCCTAAAGCTGACAACACTTACAAAAGAAAGAAAAGGATTCTGTATTTTCTAATCACACCACTCTAGCATTTTTTACTCAAAAAGCAGCTTCATTAAAAATAAATTTCTCTTCAGTGGAATAAAAAAGTATGATACTCTCAAAATTCAAATAATGCAGTTACTAGAAGAAAAACATGGTCACCTGCTCTTCAATCACAAGAAGTATAAGAAACTTAAAGCTGTTCTGAGGAAAGAGAAGGTTCATCTTGAGCCATCAAACACCACTCACCTAAAAAATGTAGGTAATGACTCAAGAGTTTTCTAGAACATCAATTTGATATTCAACTAACAGAGATAAAAATTATTCCCAATATGACAGCATCAAATAATTCAGGAAAGTTGAAAGTATCTTGGAGAAATCTTGTGATCAGCACTGGAAAATATAGAAGTGTAAGTGTGTGTTGGTACAACCACTCCAGAAAACTGTTTGGCAGTGTCTATGAAAGCTGAACAGAAACATACCATACAAATCAGTATTTCCATTCCTAGGTACTCCCCAACAGAAATATGCGCTGATGTTAACCAAAACAATGTTCACAGCAGCACTATTCAGAATAGTGCCAAACCAGAGACAACCCAAAAGTCCATCAATCAACAGTAAAATGGAAGGTGGTATATGCAAACAATGGAACTCTGTAAAGCAGTGAAATTGAACAAACTGCAGCCAAAAGAAACAATATGAATGATTCACAAATATAATGTTGAGCAGAAGCAGCCACGAACTCAGAAGGAGACATACTATATTATTCCAATTGCAGTCATGAGCCAAATATACAATGATGGGCCCACAAGATGATAATGGAGCTGAAAAAGTCCTATGGCTTAGAAATGTCATAGCCATTGTGATGTAGTGCACTGCATTACTCACCTGTTGGTGGTGATGCTGGTGGAAACAAACCCGCTGCACTGTCAGTCATATCAAAGTCTAGCACATAACATTTCTCAGAATGTGTTCCCATCGTTAAGCAACACATGACTGCATATGAAGTTCCAAAAAACAGGCACTCCCCTCTGCAGTTAGAGGCGGTGGAGGGTGAGGAGGGGGGTTTCTGGGGACCTGGTCTATCCTGTTTGAGCTTGGTTTGGGTTATATAGGTGAACTCACTTTGTGAGAATTCAGTAAGCTGTCACTTATGATTTGCGTACGTTTCTTTATGTGTTTCACAAACATCACCCTTATTTTTAGTAACTTTTTTTTTTACATATTACAAAAGTAACTCCTATTCAATGTAGAATATATTAAAAATACACATAAAAAAAATTACTTGCTCATAATCTCTTCACCCAGAGATAACTACTGGCTACATTTTTAGAATAAATATACAGGGATCATTCCCCATCACTATAATCTTGTTTCTCTTAATATTAAAAATCATTTCATGTCATTAAGTGGTCCTCTCCATCTTTCTCAACTGCTGTATCACAAGTCATACCATACCCATACAGTACAATAAATTATTTAATTACTCCTTGCTTTTCTTGATGTTTAGGTTGCTTATAATTAATCATTATTGCAATCAACACTGTAACAATCATGTCTGTAGCTAGATATTTAACCACATCTATGATTATTTCCTTAAGATAAATTTTCTAAAGAATGTTTAGATCAAAGGATATTTAAAAAATTATCCCCAGGAGGAAGTTTTGCTAATTTACTTTCCTATCAGCTGTGTTTGAGTTCCTATTCATGTAACATTAATTTTTGAATAGTACAGCAAAAGACAGTCAAAGCAATGTTGTGTTAAACATTAAATTTGTCTCTCCCCACATATAGGAGTTTTAAAATAGATCCCAGAAAATGGCTAAAGTTAAACTATAACATTTCCCATAAATTGAAAGGCCCAGCTACATGAGACACACATCTCTGCCTGAAACGTGAGCTCCAGCAGTTTTGGACAACATCCTTGAGCCACAAGCTGACAGCAAAAAGGTGACACAGGGAAGGCACTTTATGGCCAGGTGGACCTCATGTTCCCTTTCGGAAGATTTTTCAAAGTTGTCTTGATCTCCAGTCCGAAGTGTCTGGGAGGATAGTTTACACAGTTCACAGGCCCAGGCGACTTTGGGGTTTGCTGAGCACTGAGGGGCTTGGTATTAGCAGGAGAGCAAGACTGTGAGCTCTCATTGCCAGCCCGGGGTCAGCTCTGAATGACGCGCAGCCTCTTGCTTTTTGGTCAAGTATGAAACTCACATAACTTGAATCTATTTTGGTCTGCACGGTGCCAAGCATAATTTATTCAAGGATAGAAACTATTTTCAAACTCACATTAATGGGAAGTATCATTCTCTAGGTCATCAGCAACAGTGAATACCAATATCCTGAAATTCCATAAGATTGGAAAGAAGCAGAGAGAGACATCCATCTCATCCTTTGAGCTACCTGCTGACTCCTAGGCTCTCGTCCCCTCTTCTCAGACCCACTTTCCCCGCTTCCTCTGAGGATTTTACAATCTCTTTCCTCTTGGATGCTGCTTTCCAGAACCAAAGGTAATTAGATTAGACTATTTGAGAGTGGGGTTTCCATTTGAGTTTCCTAAAGTAAGTGTGCAAGCTTAGATACAGCATCCTGCATCATGTGATTGACGCGTTGGTCCTGACTTACTCGCTCAACAATCGTTTACTGAGTTTTGTGCTGATAGATATGAGTTCCCATGTAATGCATAAGACTGGCAAGAAGAAAACAGGAAAGCTAACCTCCAGGATCCTGGTGTGAAATTCCTGGATTTACATGTCCCCCTTATTGTTACTCTAGACTGAGAGGAGGCAAGAGGAAGTATTTATTATTTCCATCCCAAGAAAAACAGAAAATCTAGGAAAAGTGGTCACAGAACTTAGGACAACAAGAGTATTGTACTGAAATGTGCTTCTCACAGTGCTTAGTGATCAGTACTGTTGCCAGCAGTACTGATTACAGAATAGAACTCATGTTTGTTTTTTCCCCAGTGAGCAATTGAGTGGAAATAATGACCTCGAGTGGCATTTCTCTGACCCTACGCACTTCTTATGTGTTGTCCACCAATACATGTAAACTCCAGAAAACATATGTAACAAAAATACATTTATTCACATGATAGTTTTAATACGGAAGATTGTCTAAAACATAGAGTCCACATCCTAGGAAAATATAATGGAAGAGCAATATTGAATTCTTCTCCTCTATCTTGGTGACCAATGCTCATCCATACATTCAGCAGAGTTTCTCAACCTCAGCACTCCTGACATTTGGGGCCAGATAATTGTTCCTGCGGGAACTGTCCTGTGCATTGCAGGACATTTAGCAACAACGCTGGCCTCTACCCACTAGATGCCAGTAATAATCTCAAGTCCCCAGGCAATGCCAAATGTCACCTGGAGAACAAAGTCACCTCTGTTGAGAACCACTGCACTTGAGGGAGTCAGAGTGGTGGAGTCAGAAAAGCACTGAATTGAAAAAGGTTCCAGTCCAGATTCAGTAGTCAGCGAACTGTAACCCTGGTCACTGATGTGTTGCGAGGTTTCACTAACGCGTGCACCTTTAACTGTTGCGCAGATCCTGAGGGAGAGATGTGCATGTACTCAGATACAACCTACAAAGGAGTGGAGACGCAGGAACGGGCAGAGAGAGAAGGCAAACTGCGATGCAGCTGCAACGGAGCTCAGCCTGTCCCACAGGAGCTCTGGAACTGGGATGGCCCATCAGAGTTGTCCCAGATTGACGCAAGGGGATCAGACCTTTGTATCCCCACATCAACCAGGCATTGGATGTGGGATGCCCCGAGAGGAGAGGCATAACCTTGGGCGAGGAGGTTTCCTTCCACACGGGGCACAGCACTCCTTCCAGGCTGAAGGAGGGACCCAGCCATGACACATCGGTAGCCATGCTCAGAAGCTGGCAGCCTGAGTGCCTCTCTGAACGGTGGCACATCACAGCATCCGCTACAGCACCTTAACAGTGCAGGGCTGACATTCACCAGGCACAAGGTGGGACGTGGAGGTGATTCAGGGCACGGACTTCAAAATCAGATTCGCCAAGGAGGTATGCCATCTACCCCTGGGCAACTGCCTTGCCCTCATCTGAACCAGTGGCCTCTTTTTCAGAACCTTGTGGTCTCTACTATTCCAGAAACAGCAAATATAGTGAAGGATTATTCTACATCTGACATCATGAGGCGCTGGAGAGAGCAGACAGCAAAACGGGGTCTCTACTCCCAGAAGCTTTCATTCCAGTTGGAGGCACAGAAGAGCACGGAGTGAGATTAGCACGGGCATGAAGGGATCCAAGGTAACCACTCAATCCACCCAGCGAGGCTGCCGCCTTAGGAGGAGACGCTACATGAACACTGTCAGGGAACGAGCTACAGGAAGCAGCTAAAGTCTGACACCGCTGCAAGGATAACTACGATAGCAATGCGAATGCATTATTCCCAGAGAAAGAAAAGAGCTAAAGAAATCAGCCTTCCCAGACAAAAAGGATAGGCACTTAAAGCTGGAAAAAAAAAAAAAAAAAAAGAATCCTGAAATCTTGATGACAGAAAAAAGCTTTTGGTTTTCACTGACATGTGTGATATTTATTTATGAGTCTTCATTATGAAAATATTTTTGGCCAGGCACAGTGGCTCATGCTTGTAATCCCAGCAATTTGGGAAACTGAGACGGGTGGATCTTTTGAGGTCAGGAGTTCGAGACCAGCCTGGCCAACATGGTAAAACCCTGTCTCTACTAAAAATACAAAAACTAGCTGGGTGTGGTGGTGGGCACCTGTAATTCCAGGAGAGGCTGAATTACAGGAGGCTCTGTAATTCAGCCTCCGTAATTCTGAATTACGGGAGGCTGAGACAGGAGAATCACTAGAACCTGTGAGGTAGAAGCTGCAGTGAACTGAGATGGCATCACTGCACTCCAGCCTGGGTGACAGAGTGAGACTCTGTCTCAAAAAATACATATTTTCAATGTTGCATTATTTTCTTTTAATTCAATGATCAAAAACATTTATATAAATAAAATACTTTTGAAAGTGTGTGTGTGTGTGTGTGTGTGTGTGTGTGAGAGAGAGAGAGAGAGAGAGAGAGAGATCTGCACAAGAACTCTAGATCCTTGCTACTCAAAAGTGTGGTTCATATAGATGCTTCCATTGGATGCAGCTTCTAAGAAATTCAGTGGGGTTGGGGTGGGCCTGAGATTCTGCATTTCTAACAGTTCACAGGTGATGCTGATGCTGCTGACTCAGAACACACATTGAGGAGGACAGTTTCTAGATCATTCAGCTAAAATGGTTGTTAAAATTCAGGTGAAGAAATAATTAAGCCTTCTGGAAAGAAAAAGAAATATGGAAACAATATTGTGCCAAGAACCTAGTAGCTTAAATGCTGCTGTCTTAGCAGCAAAGTGAACCCTAATTAAAACTCTCAGCAAACCAAAAGATATTTCCTTCAGCATTTAAACGTTATTGCCACTGGATCTAAGACAACGCTAAGTAGGTATCATTCACGGGCAGGCATAGGTAGCTACATGGACTCTGGATGTATTATTTACAACATAAATACCACAAAACAAGACCTGAATAATATTATTCCATGTGAAAATGGGCCAGCCCTTAACCACAGCATTTTCCTGAACTAAACTGGCACTCACAACCATTCACTTCAAATGTCAGAGCTGAGCCCTTAAGTAAAAATAATTTGCTACAGACATCATGTTGATGAGATCGTTACTGAACATTTGTAATAAAGGAGTAAGATTTGATCTTAAAATTTGATCTCAAAATTAGTTGAGTTTCTCTTGACAATTTTATTCTAGATGCCTGGCATCATTCAAGGATTTTATCTTTTTTTTAAGAGCTCTTAAGACACGTTATAGGTCAACATTTTGGATCATTTTTTATCACAGCCACGCAGATTGGATGTGTCAGAAAATTATTATATGAGGATAATAAGTGATCTGTACAAACGGCTCAAGTTTATGAATGTAAGCAGAACTTTATGAAATGAATTATAGCATAACAGCATTTTTTAAAGAAATTTCTGATTATTTCAGTGATATTTTCATATAATAACCTTTCCTCAAAGTGACTCATATCTAAATAGTTTAAATAAGGTTTATCCTGGCTAATTAATAAAATAACTTTCACTAAGTGTGTGTGTGTGTATATATATATATTTTCTAGTTGAACGATGATATGGTTTGGCTGTGTCCTCACCCAAATCTCATCTTGAATTATACTCCCATAATTCCCATGTGTTGTGGGAGGGACCCAGAGGGAGACAATTGAATCTTGGGGGGCAGTTTCTCTCATACTGTTCTCGTGGTAGTAAATAAGTCTCACAAGATCTGATGGTTTGATAAGAAGAAACCCGTTTCGCTTGGCTCTCATTCTCTCTCTTGCCGCTGCAATGTAAGAAGAGCCTTTCACCTTCCCCTATGATTGTAAGGCCTCCCTAGCCATGTGGAACTGTAAGTCCATTAAACCTCTTTTTCTTCCCAGTCTCGGGTACATCTTTATCAGCAGCATGAAAACAGACTAATACAAGCAATCTATTTTTTAAAACTGACTTAAAAATTCAAGAATGTAAACTATTTTAAAATGATCTAACAGGAAGAAAGTACTCACAAAGATTTGTCATGTAATATCAGTGGCTTTGATTACAATTTTTTAATAGCACTGTCACTATTTGGGTTGTTCATGGATAGGAAGAATCAATATCATGAAAATGACCACACTGCTCAAAGCAATTTATACATTCAATGCTATTCCCATTAAACTGCCATTGACATTCTTCACAGAATTGGAAAAAAACTATTTTAAAATTCATATGGAACCGAAAAAGAGCCTGAATAGCCAAGGCAATCCTAAGCAAAAAGAACAAAGCTGGAGGCATCATGCTACCCGACTTCAAACTATACTACAGGGCTACAGTAACCAAAACAGCATGGTACTGGTGCAAGAACAGACACATAGACCTATGGAACAGAATAGAGAACCCAGAAATAAGGCCACACACCTGCAACCATCTGATCTGAGACAAACCTGAAAAAAACAAGCAATGGGGAAAGGATTTCCTATTTAATAAATGGTGCAGGGAGACCTGGCTAGCCATATGCAAAAAATTGAAACTGGACCCCTTCCTTACACCATATACAAAAATCAACTTAAGATGGATTAAAGACTTAAATGTAAAACCCAAAACTATAAAAAACCTAGAATAAAACCTAGGCAACGTCATTCAGGACATATGCATGGGCAAAGATTTAATGATGAAGACAACAAAAGCAAAAATTGACAAATGGGATCTAATTAAACTAAAGAGCTTCTGCACAGCAAAAGAAACTATCAATAGGTAAACAAACTACCTACAGAATGGGAGAAAATTTTTGCAATCTATACATCTCACAAAGATCTAATATCCAGCATCTATAAGGAACTTAAATTTACAAGAAAAAAACAACCCCATTAAAAGCAGGCAAAGGACATGAACAGACACTTTTCAAAAGAAGACATACATGCAGCCAAAAAACATGAAAAAAAGCTCAACATCATTGATTATTAGAGAAATGTAAATCAAAACCACAATAAGATACCATCTCACACCAGTCAGAATGGCAATTACTAAAAAGTCAAAAAATAACAGATGCTAGTGAAGTTGTGGAGAAAAAGGAATGTTTTTACACTGTTGGTTGTGGAAGACAGTGTGGTGACTCCTCAACGACCTAGAGGCAGAAATACCATTTGACCCAGCAATCGTATTACTGGACACATACCCAAAGGAGTATAAGTAGTTCTATTACAAACAGACATGCACGCATATGTTCATTGCAGCACTATTCACAATAGCAAAGACATGGAATCAACCTAAATGCTCATCAGTGATAGACTTGATAAAGAAAATGTGGCACAAACATACCATGGAATACAATGCATCCATAAAAAGGGATGAGATCATGTCCTTTGCAGGGACATGAATGGAGCTGGAGGTCATTATCCTTAGCAAACTAACACAGGAACAGAAAACCAAATACAGCATGTTCTCTCTTATAAGTGAGAGCTAAATGATGAGAACACATCGATATATGGGGAGGAACAACACACACTGGGGCCATTTCGAGGGCAGGGGGTGGGAAGAGGGAGAGGATTAGGAAGAATAGCTAGTGGATGCTGGGATTAATACCTGGGTGATGGGATGATCTGTGCAGTAAACCACCATGGGACATGTTTACCTGTGTAACGAACCTGCACATCCTGCACACGGACCCCTGAACTTAAAATAAAAGCTGGAAATTTAAAAAAAGAAATAATAGTATAAAAACCCTTTTATCTAAAGTAAAGTTAGTCTAAAAATTGAGAGTTGAAACTCTTTGAGGCAAATTTAATGAAAAGAGAATCATATACATCCTGTTAGGAAAAAAAAAAAAGATCTGTCATGGTAGCATTTTCATTAAGCAAAAATGTCTTAAGATTGAGTTCCAATTGCACTATATACTATTTAAAAAGCTAACATGATATTTTTGTCTGAACAGGGCAAAATAAAATAATTCTTGTTTTCTACCCCTCAAAATACCCATAAAAACAAATTCTATAATTCTACTTCTGTATATCCAATGATGGTTCCTCAATTCATACATTTTTTATAAGCAAGGGATCAATAATGAGTAAATGTATATTTTAAGGAACTACTTTTTTAACATACATGGTTTGGGGTATCAGTTAGAGTGTATTCTTTTCCTAAGCATTTTTTTCCTCAACATCTTATACTATTCAAGTGTTCAAGTGCTGCCCACAAAATATATAGAAATATCTTGAAATCTCATCCAAACGATTAGTTGTGTTAGTAAGCTTTGATGTTAAGAATACTTTATTGTAATTCTTTTTAACCAGAAAGACATGTACTATACTTCTATTATCCAGAATGTTCAAATAATCAGCATGCCATATTCTTCAACCACTCTGCACAAATGGTAGTTCGCTGGTCATTTTAATAGTATGTAATTTCAATAAAGGCAAATTAATATAGCACTTTAGTCTTTATAAAGCAATTTTCATTTGCATTGCCTCATTTAACCCTCACAACAACCTTTGAGGTAGGCATTATCATAGTCCTCATTTGTATATCTAAGTAGTCTCAAAGATATTATGCAGTTGTCCCCAAATCATCTAGCTATTGAGTAGTAAAATCAGGAATCAAATCTTGGGCTGAGATGCTTTTCTCCTCTTGATACATAACATGAAGTGTGACACAGACTATAAAAGATAATGGTCTATAGCATCTTAATGCCTAAATGCATGTATGCTTTTTTTTTTTTTTTTAAGATGGAGTCTTGCTCTGTCGCCCAGGCTGCAGTGCAGTGGCTCAGTCTCGGCTCACTGCAACCTCTGTCTCCCGGACTCAAGAAATTCTCCTGCCTCAACCTCCCTAGTAGCTGGGACTACAGGCACACGCCGCCAAGCCGGCGTGTATTTCAGTCGAGACAGGGTTTCACTGTGTTGCCCAGACTGGTTGCAACTCCTGAGCTCAGGCAATCCGGCTGCCTCAGCCTCCCAAAGTGCTGGGATTACAGGCACGAGCCACTGCGCCCGGCCACATATATGCTCTTCATTATCTGTTAAATATTCCATGGCCATGCTCTGCTCTTCCTGAGTCTGCTAAGTCTTCTATACTTCATGTCCACTGATAAGACATTTCAAAGTGCCTTGAAACAAAATGCAGCAACTTGCTTTTACCAGTCTATTGTTTCTACCTGACTTGAGGCAGAATGCTTGCCATTCACCAGGTATTCATCAATTCATTCAACAAATATTTACTGAGCTTTTATCATATCGCAGGCACTGTGCTTTCAGTTTTTCTAAGGGTGTCTGTGGACACATACACAAGATAAACAGCCAATATATGTACAATTTTCCACTTGTTCTTTCCAATTAATACTCTGATTGCCACCAAATCTAATACCTTCCAGCCAGCTTAGATACAGACAGAGGTATGATTTGCCTGATATAGCTTCCCTTTTGGGAGACAGTTCCTCGTGAATGGGTACACAGCTCACTCACTGGTGGAACTTGAGAGGATTTGAGATGGTGTGTTGGTTAGTAAATACTGCCTGGACTTATGTCGAGAGAATGTTATTTCCTTCAAAATTTTCATTCAATAATTCCGATTACATAAAAAGAGTGTCATCGTTTGGGGCTAGTGTTATGTTTAAACTCTTCATAACTTGATAATCTCTCTTTTTAGCAGAGAGAAAACTTCAGGCTCAGAAACTTAAGTGGGGAACTTTAGTTAAAATTTAATATATTTTTTCATAGCATTTATTTTTAGTGTTACCTTTTTCATAGTGAGTGAAATGTGGTTACATTTCCACATCGAATATGGATTACAGTTTCTTTCATAAATTATTCACATATAAAAGTCAGTCTTTATTTAAAATGATGAAGCGTATGAGGGTTGGGGTTTCGTGATATGCCGTAAATTACAGAGGTAGGACAGAAATCACTGACATTGGGGAAAACTCATAGGCAGAGAAAGCAGTGGATTGATCAGCAGCAGCCTATTTCTAGGCCGGGTTGTGTGACTTTGAAGATATCATTGAATCTTGTAGCTCATCATCTTCACCTGTAAAATGCGGGGTTGGATGAGATCTATAGTGCAACATTTTTCTGTCCCCAACCCCCTGGGGACAGAAAATTCCCACTGCACAGGGGAACCTTACTACTGCAAGGATGGCAGACTAGGAATTAGAAGGTTAGCAGGAAATGTGTAGTTATTTCAGGTTCCCCAGGCTTCCACTCCCAAGTGTTCACGTTAAGAACATGCTTAGGGGTTGAGAATCACCAGACAAGTTCATCTCTAAGGCCTCTTCCAATTCTAAAACCACAAGAAGCTCTGATTTTACATATAAATGTGCATGCACAGATATCAAGGACATTTGGTAGCTGTGAGAAGAAAATATGCCTATAATTTTTCCTAAGAAGGAAGAATTATTTAAAATAATGATACGTCTGCTTCTTCAGGGGAAAGGTGTACATGGGAAAAACTCCAGGAGAGAAATGCTTTTTGCTGGGTTGATTAAAACTTGAGCTCTGTTAGTCAATGAGAATATGACTTATCTGGCAAAACTATCAGATTACAGAAATGTTATTTGTGTATATGTGTGCCAGAGATATTGGAGGTTCAGTTCCAGACCACCAGAATAAAGCAAATATGACAATATAGTGAGTTTTTTAGTTATCCAAGGCATATAAAAGTTATGTTTATGTTACACTATAGTCTATTAAGTGTGCAATAATACACTTATATCTAAAAATAATGTATATACCTTAATATAAAAATTGTAAATGCTTAATTGCTAAAAATGCTTACAATCATCTGAGCCTTCAGTGAGTCATAATCTTTTTGCTGGAGGAGGGTCTTGTCTCGATGTTGGTGACTGCTAATGGATCAGGGTGATGGTTGCTAAAGCTTGCGGTGGCTATGGCACTTTCTTAAAATAAGACAACAACGAAGTTTGCCACATTGATGTACTCTTCTTTTCACGAAAGATCTCCATAGCATATGATGTGGTTTGATAGCATTTTACACAGAGTAGAACTTCTTTCAAAACTAGAGCCAATCCTCTCAAGCTCTGCAGCTGCTTTATCCACTAAGTTTATGAAATATTCAAAATCCTTTGTTGTCATTTCAACAATGTTCACCGCGTCTTCGCCAGGAGTAGATTCCATCTCAAGAAGCCGCTTTTTTGGCTTATCCATAAGAAACAACTTGGCCGGGCACTGTGGCTCATGTCTGTAATCCCAGCACTTTGGGAGGCCGAGGCAGGTGGATCACCCGAGATCAGGAGTTCGAGAGACCAGCCTGACCAACATGGTGAAACCCTGTCTCTACTAAAAATACAAAAATTAGCCGGGCATGGTGGCAGGCGCCTGTAATCCCAGCTTCTCGGGAGGCTGAGACAGGAGAATCTCTTGAACCCAGGAGGTGGAGGTTGCAGTGAGCCAAGATCGCGCCACTGCACTCCAGCCTGGGTGACAGAGCGAGACTCTGTCTCAAAAAAAAAAAGAAGCAACTCCTCATCTGTTCATCTGTTCAAGTTTGATCATGAGATAGCAGCAATTTAGTCCCATTTTCAGGTTCCACTTCTAATTTTAGTTCTCTCGCTATTTCCACCACATCTGCAGTTACTTCTCCACTCAAGTCTTGACCCCCTCGATGTCATCCCAACTTCTTCCAAACTCCTGTGAATACTGATATTCTGACCTTCTTCCATGAATGACAAATGTTCTTAATGGAATCCAGAATGGTGAATTCTTACCAGAGGATTTTCAATGTACTTTGCCCAGATCCATCAGAGGAATCACTATCCATGGCAGCTATATCCTTATAAAAACTCCAGCCTGGGTGACAGAGCTGAGTTTCAAAAAAAAAGAAATGTATTTCTTAAATAAAAGGATATGAAAGTCAAAATTAGTCCTTGATCCATGGGCTGCAGAATGGATGTTGTGCTAGCAAGCATTAAAACAACATTAATCTCCTTGTACATCTCCATCAGAGACCTTGAGTGACTAGGTACATTGTCAATGAGCAGTGACCTTTGAAAGGAATCTGTTTTTCTGAGCACTATTTTTTTAAAGCCCAACAATGGGCTTAAAATAGTCAGTAAACCATGCTATAAACAGATATGCTGTCACAGGCAGAGTAGATTTGGCAAATTCTTAAGGGCCCTACAATTTTCAGAACGGTAAATAAACACTGGGTTCAACTTTAAGATACCAGCTACATAAGCCCCTAACAGGAAAATCAGCCTGTCATTTGAAGATTCAAAGCCAGGTACCGGGTTCTCCTCTGTAACTAGAGTCCTAGATGGCATCTTCTTCCTATAGAAAGCTGTTATGTCTACATTGAAAATCTGTTGTTTAGTGTAGCTGCCTTCAACAATGATCCTAGCTAGATCTCCTAGATGACCTGTTGCAGCTTCTACATCAGCACTCACTGCTTCACCTTGCACTTTTATGTTCCAGAAACAGCTTCTTTCATTAAACTTCATGAACCAACCTCTGGTAGCTTCCAACTTTTCTTCTGCAGCTTCCTCACCTCTCTCAGCCTTCATAGAACTGAAGAGAGTTAGGACCTTGCTCAGGATCAGGCTTTGGCTTAACGCAATGTTGTGGCTGGTTTGACCTTCTATCCGGACCACTCAAACTTTCTCGGTATCAGTAATGAGGCTCCTTAGCTTTCTTACCATTCACGTGTTCACCGGAATAGCACTTCTCATTCCCTTCAACAACATTTCTTTTGCTTTCAAAACTTGGTTAACTGTCGCTAGAGACCCAGCCTTCAGTTTATCTCAGCTTTCGGTCTATTTCAGCTTTCAACATGCCTTCCTCACTAAGCTTAATCATTTCTAGCTTTCTATTTAAGGTGAGAAATGTGCAACTTTTCCTTTCACTTCAACACTTAGAGGCCATTGTGGGGTTATTAACTGACCTAATTTCAATATTGTTGTGTCTCAGGGAATAGGGAGGTCCAAGGAGAGGAAGAGAGACAGGGAACCACAGGTAGGTGGAGCAGTCAGAACACACATATTTATTGAATAAATTTGCCTTCTTATATGGGTGCAGTTTGTGGCTCCCCCAAACAATTACAATAGTAACACCAAAGATCATTCATCACAGATCCCCATAACAGATATAATAATAATGAAAAAGTTGAAAATATTGCAAGAATTACCAAAATATGATACAGAGGCACTAAGTAAGCATATGTTATCAGAAAAAATGGTGCTGACTATTCACAATAGCAAAGACATAGAATGAACCTAAATGCCCATCAATGGCAGACTGGATAAAGAAAATGTGGTACATATATACCATGGAATACTATGCAGCTGTAAAAAAGAATGAGATCAAGTTCTTGCAGGAATGTGGATGGAGCTGGAGGCCATTATCCTTAGCAAACTAACATAGGAACAGAAAACCAAATACCACATGTTCTCGCTTATAAGTGGGAGCTAATTGATGAGAACACATGGACACAAAGAGGGGAACAGCAGACACCAGGGCCTCCACTGGAGGGTGGGGAGTGGGAGGAGGGAGAGAAACAGAAAAAATAACTATAGGGTACTGGGCTTAGTACCTGGGTGATGAAATAATCTGTACAACAAACTCCCATGACACGCGTTTACCTATATAACAAACCTGCACATGTACCTCTGGACCTAAAATAAAAGTTTTAAAAAAAGAAAAATGAGAAGTGGTGCTGATAAACTTGCTCAACAACAGTTTGCCACGAATCTTCCATTTACTATTTTAAAATGCATTATCTGTGAAGTACAATACAGTGAACCACAATAAAACAAGGTATTCCTGCATAAGTGTGTGTGTGTGTGTGTATATATATACACACACATGTATTTGTGTGTGTGTGTGTGTATATATATACACACACATGTATTTGTATATGTATGTGTCTATAATAAAATACAATAATACCTCACTGATCTATAACTCAGTGTCTGGAGACCTCCTGTATCTGGAATAAACCTGAGTAAATAAGCAGCCAAAATAAATATCACAAAGTCTTTCTGCTGAGTTCACAAGCCCTCCAAGAACTCCACTCACAGCAGTTCACAGAGGCAGCTAACAGGAGGGGGAAAAAACACTGAGAAACACTAAGTTAAACAGAATCGAAAAGGATTTCTTTCCTGCAGGACTTAGGGGAGGCTTTAAAATGTTAAGACGTGTTGAGAGCCCACAAGGAGAGAATAATTCACTATTCTGTAAACTTATTTGACCAAAAATGTCCTTTTCTCTCAAAGCTATACTAATATTTCCAGCCATGATGACACCTACATTTCTAGAGTCACTTTAACGTCTGAATTTTCCAAGTGTTTCCACATATATCACATCTCATTTTGTCCTTACGACATCCCGTGGAGCGGGCTGAGTGGGAATTATTATTTCCCTGGCGTGGTGGGAGCAACAGAGGCAGGACCAGGACCGGAATTCTCTCAGCCCTGCTCATTCCTCCAGATGTCAGCAAGTTCATGGGTGTCAATGCACGACATTCTCCCAGACTTCCCTCACATGTCTTCCCCAGAGTTGGAGATTTCCTTTATCTGGTGAGGAACCAAGAGGAGGAACTAACGTCAAAGAGATTCCCTTGAAAACACTCTGAAATTCTCAAAGTATTCTTAAAAAGAGCTGTGATGAAATTTAATGTTACGTAATGCTTCTCCTCAAGACTGTATTTCATTTGCTCCATAGAATGACAAGGGTCTGAAATCCACACTTGAAAAGGAGACAGAAGTGCTGAGTCAACGGAAGAAGTACAGTGATGTTTCTGAAATAATAAGGAATTTTCCAGGAGGCTTGAGGTAGTACTTTCTGGTTGAAAAAAAAAAAAAAATGTGCCACAAAGAACATTCTTTGGTTCTTTGTGGAGAGAAAAAGAGAGAAGTCCCACAGCGGCATCCACAGCGGGTAAGGACAGCCACAGCTATGGCTGCAGCCCAGGAGGGTGGGCTCGGCCTTGCAGAAGAGGGCAATGGGCTGAGCTGCTGTGACCACCATGAGGATGGAAAACAGAGGGAAGAGAGGGGTGATACGCTCAACCAATGCAATCTGGATTCCGGATGGGATGGAGGGGGGTGGGCCTTGGTCGTCATCAGAGATGACCAGAGCTCTGGCTCAAGACCCCACTCCCTACCATGTAATGGCTTTATAACCCTCGGCAAGTTGCCCCAGGCCTGGAGTTTCAATTCTTAAATCAACACAATGTCAGTGATGATGGCTTACTTACAGGTGCCCTGGACAGACCCTGCGAGCCTTAGGACTCAGATCTGTGAGCCTCCAACCATGTTCCTGCCAGGCCCCACACTGATGCAGGGATTGTCACAGGACTGCACCCCACACCAGAGTGCCCTGCCTGACGTGGCCTGGGAGGAGGGGTCAGGGGCTGAAAGGGAGGCCATGCTCCATTCACAAGCCATGGTGCCAGTGTTCGCCTCAGGAAGGGCACCGTTGTAGAATTAGTCCCAAGGAGTGCCTTTTTCTGTCACCCACAAGGCCCTAGTATGTCTGCCTGGGCCCTGGATCCTCACTCAGGACTTTCAGTCCTTTAGTCAAATCACTTGATATAAAAGAAAATAAGACCAAGAAAAAAATCTCTAATAGGCAAAATCTCCACATCTTGCTTCTGAAATTCTTGTTTAAAACAGAAAACAAAGAAGCTTAACAACCCTTTCTGAGTGGCCTTGGAAAAAAATTTGGAACTAGGGCTCTGTACTCCAGGAAATCCTTATGGGAAAGGAGGCTATACCTCTATTCTTATAGCTAAGGTGAAGGTTAAAATTTCAGTTTATCATTACAATTATTGTATTATTTTTATTTTTTACTTTTCAATTTTGTTGATATGTAACTACCACTATGCATTGCTTAAGAATGGGGACACATTCTGAGAAATGCATTGTTAGGGCATTTCATCATTGTACAAACACCAAAGCGTGAACCTGCATAAACCTAGATGGTACAGCCTACTCTACACCTAGGCTAGATGGTATAGCCTATTGCTCCTAGGCTACAGACCTGGACAGCATGTGACTGTACAGAATATATTGCAGGCAACTGTAACAGAATAGTATGTACTTGTGTATCTAAATATACCTAGGCCAGGTGTGGTGGCTCATGCCTGTAATCCCAACACTTTGGGATTACGGAGGCCGAGGCAGGTAGATCACCTAAGGTCAGGAGTTCGAGACCAGCCTGGACAACATGGTGAAACCCCATCTCTATTTAAAAGGTACAAAAAGTAGCTGGGTGTGGTGGCAGGTGCCCATAATCCCAGCTACTCGGGAGGCTGAGGCAGGAGAGTCACTGGAACCCGGGATGCGTAGGTTGCAGTGAGCTGAGATTGTGTCATTGCACTCCAGCCTGGGTGACAGAGCGAGACTCCGTCTCAAAAAACAAAAAAATTAACATGGAAAGGTACAGTAAAAATAGAGTATTATAATCTTATGAGACCACCATCAGAATAAGCATCTATCCTTTACCAAAGCATCATTATGTGGCACATGACTATACAATAAAAGTCAATTAAAATATTCACACTGTGCTTTAGCAAAACGAATCTTTTATGTGTGTTTGGCTTCACCTTTGTTTGATTTGGTATTATCTGAGAGAAACTGAAAATTGCATAATTCAATTAAATCTTATTTACTTATTCAGAGTCATCCATCAGGCTTGCTTATGTAGAACACAACTGAAAATAAGAGCTAATGGCCTAACGTCTAAAAGAGGTAAAGAGATAAAGATGAGGCACGCTGTTCCCTTATTCATTAAGAGCAGTCGGTTTTAAGTGCGGTAAGTGAGCCGGCACACCAGGAAAAAACGGCTCCTGTCTCCAGGAGAGGAAACATCCAGCAAGCACTTGGAGCTCCAGTGAGGGCCATTCCTGCTGTTTTACAAATTCCAACACGTTCTGTATTTGCTCCCTGAATTTACTGCCTGTTAGAATCAGCAGGTTAGTGGGATGGAGAGCTGCTACGACCAGCCACTTGAGAGCAGGGACAAGGCCAAGGGACCACACAGGAGATGCAAACCTACAACAGACCCAAGAGTGCACCCAGCAGGACAGACCAAGGCCAGGTAAGGGCAGGACAGCGGGTCCCACCCATCATGACGGATCCAGAGGAGATGACTGTATCACAGCCAGATTCCAGAAACAATGTCTTACGAGATTCAAACGATGACTAATAGTTCCACTGGAGAAGAAAACCATGTGTAATATGTTTTAAAGAGATTTCCAACAAATGGTTAAAGAAAAAAGGGGAGGGTATGATGGTTAAAGCTCTAAACTTTCACTTTCTAGAAAACACCATTATCTGGAGCTCTTCATTCCATGCTATTCCAGATAAGTAAGGCCTTACAGTATGTTTTACTACAATTATCTCTCTTTACCTCTTTTCAAAATGCCCAACTCCAGCTGCTGTATCTCATTAAACTTTAAGTTTCACTTCAAAACTCACCACGTGCAGAAAAGAATGAGATGATTCTGCACAAAACTGGTCATCACAATAAAACAGCTTTATTTCCAAGTCCCTGAAAGGCTCAGTTGCGTCATTGACCACACTCCCACCCTCAAAAATCCACCGCAAACACTTCTGCTGAGAAGAGGATTGAACACATAGGAAAATGTAAGCTAATGGTCATATTTTTAAAAATCTTGGAAGAAGATCCACTAAGGGCCTGAATGAGAACCAGAAAGTGCTCCTCTTCTGGAAACCAGGACTGGAGGTCTGAAGCAAAAGCCAGAATTTCTCTAACACAGAACAACACCAGGCTGGTATTTAAAGAGATCTTTCTTGTCTATTTTTTTTCCTTCAGAGGAGGCAAATTTGCCCTATTAATTCAGCCAAAATAAATAAGGACAATTCTCTGGAATTCACATGTCCTTTAAAAAATGCAGAAAATAAAGTGTAAGTAATAAAATTTCAGCTCATAATTCCTCCAAGTTATAAAACAATAGCAATAACAATCAAATATATACGTCCTGTTCTCCTAGAACAAGGTATAAAATTCATATTTTACCAGGCCGGGCGCAGTGGCTCACACCCGTAATCCCAGCACTTTGGGAGGCTGAGGCGGGCAGATTTCCTGAGGTCAGGAGTTCGAGATCAGCCTGACCAACATGGTGAAACCCCATCTCTACTAAAAATTTCAAAAAAAATTAGCTGGGCATGGAGGCGTGTGCCTGTGATCCCAGCTACTCGGGAGGCTGAGGCAGGAGAATTGCTTGAATCCAGGAAGCAGAGGTTGCAGTGAGCCAAGATCGTGCCACTGCACTCCAGCCTGGGGGATAGAGTGAGACTCTCTCCCCGCCCCAAAAAAAAAAAAATTTAATTAAAAAAAGAGTTACAATCAACTAAAACCAACACAGTTTTCAGGGATGTATGTGTGTATGCACACCCACATGCACACACATACACATACACAGAGGTAGTTTCACAGTGACTGCTGAAGTTTAAATTTCAGGAGCCCTTACTTTTATGAGCTCCTTTCCAAGTCTGAGGGGTGGCTCTAACAATAAACGCACATGCTCACGTTTTTTTTGCAAAATCTGCAAAAGGAAACTGCCATTGGTAAAGACCACCACCTCGCTCCATCCTAACTTCCCCTTCTCCACACAACCTCTCACGCTGGGCGACACTGCACTGGAGTGGGCATTTTTTTTTAACTGACAATGTTTTATTCTTTGTCCTAAAGGAAGCTGTCAAATTCACATAATATTCAAGCCCTGCAAAACTTGGCAGAGAACAATAAATACAAGACCAAGAATACTAGTTACCTCAGGTAGAGGGCGGGCCTAGGAGGGACGGAGAGGATAGCATATGTATGTTTAAGATATTCTCAATATTGGGAAACCCTTGTTAGAGGTGAGATCATTATGAAGTCAAGGAGGAATTAACAAGCTTTTCTTTCATGCACTCTTTTTTTTTTCTTTGAGATGAAGTCTCACTCTGTCAGACTCCAGGCTGGAGTGTAGTGGCGTAATCTCGGCTGACTGCAACCCCCGCATCCCAGGTTCAAGTGATTCTCCTGCCCCAGCCTCCCCAGTAGCTGGGATTACAGGCGCCTGCCACCATGCCTGGCTAATTTTGTATTTTTAGTAAAGACGGGGTTTCACCATGTTGGTCAGGCTGGTTTCGAACTCCTGACCTCAGGTGATCCGCCCACCTTGGCCTCCCGAAGTGCTAGGATTACAGGCGTGAGCCACCGCACCTGACCTCATGCACTCATTTTTCTCTGAAATTCACAAATCCTCTAAAAAATGCTGAAAAGAAAGTCTGAGTAACAAATTTTTCAGCTTGTATTTTCATTCCATTCCCCCCACAGATTTTTGTTCTAACAGATTATACTTCACGCTTGAAATTACTGTATTGATCTCTCTGTTCTATTTCTACATGACAAAACTATGTAGGTAAAGTAAAATTCATTTAAAAAATATTCTTGTGACCATAATGCTTTAAAAGTTTAAACTATATATCCTGAATTTGAGTTATTATTAAGATTACCTTTGTTTCACAGTTGATCAAAACAATATAAAGATTTTACACATTTCACAAATAATTAAAATCAAAAGTGGAATTTGATCATAAATACAGTGAATAGGGCCTTGTCTATAAGTAAATTTCACTGATTTCAATTTTATTCCTATTTATTCATTATATTTTTATATATATATATATATATAAAATAACCTTGTTCGCTTTAACAGACAGGAATGGAGAGTGTTTAGTTATAGCCGTGTCACACGCTTCTTTAACATCTTTCTAAATCCCATAGTGATCTGTTGGTGATCTACCTGAGGGGATAACTAGATTAGATCCTCCTTCACTTTGGTTGAAAGCCAAGAATAGGAGCCACGTGACCTGCAAAAGGGTTTGCTGTAGTCACTAGTCATTCACTTTCTCCATGCCAGGATTTTGAATTCTTCCTTTGGTACCTGGAGGTGTTTGACACCAGCATAGAGTCAGATAAGCTTCTTTATAAAGTCGGGGAGGACAGAGGGAAGCTGGTGGGAATTGGGCCGCAAGACAAGTTCTCAGGGAGATCAATTTTAGGGAAGAATAATCTGGCAGCAGACATTTGGCAATTTGATTCCTCTTAGACAATCCCTGCTCAACGCCCATCCCGCTGGAAGTCTTTGCGTTCATGGCGCCCCACGTACAAAAAAATGCTATTCTGAGCCCTAAACCTGGCATTTGGTGCAAATTCACACCTTCACTCTGACATCTGTCCCTCACACTGTCCTTTTGTTCAGTGTAAAACAAAAGTATGGATGCCCTACAAAAATATGTGAACAAAATGTCACCCAACGGAAAGAATTTGAATATTTACCTTTCCCTGTGTACTAAAAGAAATGTAGTTTTGTGTGTGCATAGAAAACAGTCTTCTGGGATTTGCATTTACCTCATTTATACTTGAAAAATAAATTAGACTCTTAATACATACATGTCATATAATTCCAAACATGAAAAACAATCACTTTTTTTTTTTTTTGAGACAGAGTTTTGCTCTTGTCACCCAGGTTGGAGTACAGTGGCACAATCTTGGCTCACTGCAACCTCTACTTCCCGGGTTCAAGCGATTCTCCTGCCTCAGCCTCCTGAGTAGCTGGGATTAAAGGCATCTGCCACCACAGCCGGCTAATTTTTGTATTTTTGGTAGAGATGGGGTTTCACCATGTTGGCCAGGCTGGTCTCGAACTCCTGACCTCAGGTGATCCCACCCATCTCAGCCACCCAAATTGTTGGGATTACAGGCGTGAGCCACCAGACCTGGCCAACAATCACCATTTTAAAATTCATATAAATTTAGGTAAAATTAAAAGATATGGAAATTTAAGTCTCAAATTGTAATGCACTTTATAATTCTTTCAACATAGATCCTATTTTCTATAATTTTTTTTAAAATTCCTTAAACAATTTTGTGAGATCACGTACCCACCAATGCCTAGAATAAGAATATGTCAAGACTTGCAAAAGTTTGCTGAATTGGAAAAAGAGGTTCGCAAAAAAATGTTAATAAAGTTGTTGAAAAATAGTAAAATCAATTCCATCCTCTAATTGACAACTATTGTAAAATTGGAAGTATGTTTGATCTTTTCTTAAAAGTTCCTCTAACAGATAAGGTTTTAAGACATTCAAAATATGTTCATTTGGAATTTCCCCCTCTGAGAAAGATTCTGGCCCAGATCTCATGTCTTAGGGATGGGGAGTAACACTGAAAGCTCAGAAGGGGCTGGACACGGTGGCTCAACCTGTAATCCCAGCACTTTGGGAGGCCGAGGTGGGAGGATCACTTGAGGCCAGGAGTTTGAGACCAGCCTGACCAACATATCGAAACCCTGTCTCTTCTAAAAATGCCAAATATTAGCCGGGCATGGTGGTGCACACCTGTAATCCCAGCTACTTAGGAGGCTGAGGCATGAGAATCGCTTGAACCCAGGAGGCAGAGGTTGCAGTGAGCCAAGATTGTGCCACTGCACTCCAGCGTGGGTGACACAGCAAGACTCCAACTCAAAAAAAAAAAAAGGTCAGAAGGGCCCACCCAAGGTAAGTTCTCCACCAGGCCCAGCCAACCCCAAGCAGGCTGCTCAGTAAGAGGGAAGAAGGAACCAGCACATCGCCTGGCTCCTTAATCACCCACCCAGTGCGATTCACACTGATTTGTTATACCTTGGGCACATAGCATCCTTCAACTGACTGCTATCCTGTTCCTGCCAAAAATAAGGCTGCAGAAACCGATAAAGAGAAACCACCAGGCACAAACTCAATATTCTATTCTCTCTCCTTTCTAAACACATAAAACCAATGAAAAGTAGGACACCTAAACTGTAAAGGTTCAGCTCCCCAGGGAAATACCACCACTGAGCTGTGGTTTGATATTATGCTTTCACTTTTATAAACAGCCAATGTATAGTGCAGCCTCATGAAGAACATGTCCCCATTTCTGGGGAAAAAAAAATATTGAAGGAGGTATTGTCCCTATGATTCTCTAAGATCGAATAGATATCTCCTTTTGGGGGAGGTAGGAAGACAGAGGCCACCCTTTCCCAATGAGCTAGTGTGCACCTTAGACTGGACAATGGTAACATATGATACATTTCACTCCCTTTTTGCTTTGACCTCCAGAAAATTCAGCTACAAATTTAGTAGTTACCTGCAAAAACTCTCTCATTTCAGGTACATGTTATAATTACCTTAGTAAACATATATCATCCAATAAATTCTAGACCATGTGTAAGTTCAGACAGGCTCAGTTGGGGCATGGAGCACCTGTTAGAGCTGTTTTCTTCTTCATCTCTTCTCTAGAAAGATGCCTTTAAATTCTAATAGTCGACTCATTATCTAAAGGACTATCCACCTACCCACTCCATCTCAGCACAGTTCAATTTTCTGTGACCTAGACTTACTCTCTTCCAACTATATTTTAACAAAATTAAAGATGTAGAAACTTGCTTCTGGTTTAGAAACAAAAATGACTGGAACATTTTGCTTTAGACCTCTCCAGAGCAGGTGGCAGAACAGGGTGGGGCTGGATGTCATCCAACAAGCGTTGGAAGGCTGAACAGCTCTACAAAAAGCTACGCTCAGAATGCAAGCTCAACAGCCACAGCCTATGCGACTTTAGGTAAAATGGAAGCAGAGCCACTTCTATAATCTTCAATAATGGCACAAAGAAAATAAATCTGCCTTACTCAATAAAGAGTCATTTCCAAACAGCAAGAAATTACAGCCTCAATGCCAACTTAATCTATGACAAAATGGTATGATCAAAGTTATTGAAATAACTGAAACATAAATTAAGATATGTTATATCCTATCCTAATAAAAGCACACTGGAGATTTTTCTTTCCATTTTAGCTAATCAGAAAAAACAAACCATCAGCTTGTAGAAGGCTATCATAACAGGAAAATGTCAGCAACAAGGCACAGTGACATCACTCTGTTCTACTAAATCAATACCTGCAGGATAAAAGTTGTTTGTCTTGTCAAACTTTTTTTTTTAATCAAGATTAAAGTTACTTTGAAAGTCAAATCTCATTTAAAAAGTTGGAAAAATATTTCAGTATTTTGCTGAAATATGCTTCCCTGTGGCATGAGGCGAAAAGGCAAAGGACCTCGGTGACATGTTGACCTCTCCCTCTGCCCGCTGCACCAGCTGAGCAACCCAGGGCCATTCATGTCTCTGAATTCAGGCTCCTTGTCTGCAGAGGAAGCTTAACACCCACCACTCAGGAGAGGGAAGAGGTGCACGTGACAACAAAGGTGCAAGTACTTTATAAACTGTAAAGCACTGTTCAAATATGAGGACTGTATCAGACGCCTGCCCTAGGCTCTCTCATGGCTTCAGCTCTTCCTTTCTGTTTATAGAGTTGAGTTTGTGAATAAGAAATCTGCTCTCACTCTGTGGTCTAAAAATGTTCGGTGGCTTCTCATTGCATACCAGTTAGTGTAACGTACAAGTTCCTTTTACTGTAGGCGCCTACCTTGCAGCAACCCTCTTCCCTTCCCCTACCATGGTTTCTGGCCAGCCACTCTGTACTGCTTCGTGTGCCCAAAAATGCCACAATTTTGCCCAGTGGCTTGCCTTTGCACGTGCTCTTCTTTCTAGAATCTAGAATGCCCTTTTCCCACATCTTTACATAGAAAATGCCTATTTATGCTTCAATGCCCAGCTCAAGTGTCACCTTTTCCCTGAATCCCTCTCCTTCTCTCTTCTCCTCTGTGCTCCCCATGTTATGTGGGCAAATCTCTATTACCAATAATGTCTGCACGAAGATGATGAATTTATACACATCTGTATCAGAGGCTAGACTAGCAGCTCTTGCAAGAACCTTTATGTCATTAGCACACTCAATTTTTTTAATCTTGAAAAAATTAAAATCTTATCCAATGATCGCAGGGTCAATGTTTTAGAACTCTTAATCGTTCTTTACAATTTAAAGTGAGGCAGTCAGAGATCTTAGGACATACAGAAAATTTTTATCTAGTCCTTTGAAAGAACAGGAAATGCATAAAAATAGCCAGTAAACGAAAATGTAATTTACATAATCTTAGAAGGTCTTTTCCTATAAAAAAAAAAAAGTGACAGAAAGAGTAGGGATCTATACAACAAACAACCACTGTTTGTGAATGCCTAGCGGCAGAATTTTTATGAGTTTGTTTGAAGACAACACACACACACACACACACACACACACACACAAACACAGGCTCCTACATTCCTATACTCCCATCTGCCACCTGCTGTGCTCAGGCTTCTGAATGACTGACTAAACTGAAGACATGTATGTGTATTAACAGGTATTACAAATGCAAATTTCCACAGTATTCTAGGCTGGAGAATACCACACAGCAGTCTCTTTATAATTTGATGGTGGTGTTATAGAACAGAAAGAGTCCCTCTAAAGTTCCAACAGAGACTCAGAGAGGTTAAGTGAATTACCCAAGGTCACACAGCTGCACGGTGGCAATGCCAGGACACAAACAGAAGACTTCTGATTTGAAGCCCAATGTTTTGTTAACACTACACTGCCTCTTGTGATATGAAACATCCCGTTAAAGGCAAATTCACAGAAGAAAATGTAATTTCCTAAACAGAAAATATACCTCTACTGGTCCATCTTGTTGGCCTTTAAATGTCTGTGGTGCCTTGAATTTTGTAGACATTAAAAAGGACCACAATTCACAGGAACTAAACAAATGATCACCATCTAGCTGCTTATACAAATAGTGTTCAAATGAGTGCTGTCTGTGTTCCTGAGATACCCCAAACAGACAGCCAGGCTGTTGTTGAGGAGCTCACCCAAAGGGTGTATGTGCAAGGCTGCATGCAGCTGTCCAGGGGTTGTGTTTTTTGCTCAAGACCCAGTAGGAATCCAGGAGGCTGAGATCCATACAGTTACCCAATCCTGCACATGGGCAATCCAGGCCAACAGAGGTCCAGGGAGGACAGTGGCCATGTCTGCCTGGCCTGAGAGCTAGCAACTACAGGTTCCACAGATGTGGGGACAAAAGTTCTCTCCAGGAACAAGGGCATCTGTGGACCTGTGCTGAGAATCATAGCTGAGAGAGGCAGCAGAAGGGAGAGGCCCAAGCACAGGTTCTAGTATCGCGAAGAGGGACCAGATGGCCTCAGAAGCACTCCCACTGCCAAAATTTAGGATCAAACAACAAACAGGGCTTTCAAAAGTCCTCTAAAAAGCTTTCAACTCAAATCAATTCATTTTAATGTTTTAAAAATTCATTTACTGTTAAAGAAGGATATCATTCAAAATGACGACTTTGTTTCCAGACAGACATGCAGTATCATTGAGTTAATTTACTTTACACCAAAATAAATGCCAATGGGATTTAAAAAGTAAATGAAAAAGTGAAATAACAATAGAATGAGAAGAAAATATAGAGAATTTGTATCTGATGGGATATAAGTCTTTTCTAAGCCTAAAAGCAAAGAAAAGAATAATAAATGGGAAAATGTAATTAATGCACAGGAAAAATAAAAGAAACTGACTTTTAGAACAAAAGGACAAATAAAAAGCCAGGAAATTATTACTTGCATGTATGTCAAAGGGTTAATATCCTTCATCTCTAAAGAACTCTTAGAATTGATAAGAGAAAGAGGAACACATCTATAGAGAAAAATTGCAAAAGAAATTTAAAACTGCAATTCCCAAAAGAAGACCCATGTCTTACAAGCATAAACTGGTTCACTTTCACTAATATTGAAACAAATGCAAATTAAAGAATAAGAGTATCATTTTCACCAATCAAATGAGTAAAGGATTTTTAAAAGATTGCATCCAGTGTTTTTAAGGGTATAGGCAAAACAGGTAATAGACTCCTAGTGAAATATACAAAGCCATATCAATGTGCCGGTTTGTAAAATCAGTTTAAAAATTGGTATACATTTAACCAGCAATTCCAAGTCTAGGAATTTATCCCAAGGCAATAGGGAAGTCTGCAACAATTTAATAATGTTCATCACAACCTTACCTACAACCACAAAAAAAACTAGAAATGGGCCAAATATCAAAAAAGCCTTCTTATAGGAATTAATAGTATATTCACAGGCCACTCTGCCACCATGAAAACCAATGTTGTAAAAAAATATATAAAGATGTGAAACGATATCTATGATACTACAGAGTGGAGGAAGCATGTAACCAAAGCAGTTGTGAACAAAGAAATTAATGTGTGTTTTATTTTCTTTGTGCTTTTTTCCTGTATCCCAGTATTTTACAATGAGCATGTATTAACAGTTTTAATTAATTCTTAAAATTGTGTTTTTAAATAATTACACAGAGTCATTCTAATTATTCACTCTATGTGCATCCAATTATTTTCTCTGGCTATAAAAAAAAAACTTTACCTAGAATATTTGTATGTCAGGAAACTTTGGTAATGAATTTTGATAGTATGCCTAACAGTCAAACGGTAAAACGGTACCGAATCTGCAACAACTATTTGAAGAAACTTCATCTCTAAGACCAGTTGGTTTGCTCTCAATGCTTATTAACAAACTTGACATTAGGTCAAAATCTGTATGTTCACAAAACTCCAAATAGCCTATATTTTAATACTATAGTTTCCAAAGATAAATAAAAACAGCCATTTTAAACTTGAAATCATACAAGGGTGTGATTCTCACTTAAGAAATACTTAATGTTCTTAAATTGGAACAATCAAACTGGTGAATGAAAATTCAGTTTAAAAGATATCTATGAAATGCTTAATAGCACAGATCTTTAATGAGCTAAGCTGAACCCTGACATATTTGTTGTTTACAGGTATTCATTATTTCCCAGAAATGCTATGGTATAGACCCTTGCTACTCAAAATGTGGCCCTCCAACTGCAACCTCAGCTACACCTGGGTGCTTGCTGGAAATGCAGAATCTCAAGCCCAGTTCCAGACCTGCTACATCAGGATCTATAGCTTAACAAATCCTCGAGTGATTTGCATGCACATTAAAGTTTGAGAGATGCCAGAGTAGAGAAGCTGTAAGCTAAAGTGTTATAAGTCATAGACAAATAAAGATTATAGATTAAGATAAAGCATCCCTAAATAGTACTGTAAGAGGATTTACTGCACAAACAAAACTCTCCGACCCTGTATCTGCTACAGTGGTTCTTTACTTTGGTTGCATATTAGAATTACCCATGGAGCTTTTAACACATACACCCTTGACCAAATGAACACATATCTGTATTCTCCAAAGTTCTCCAGGTTATTCTATCATGCAGCCAGTCTTGAGTACCTCCTGATCTACTAGCATCAACAGGGCCTTTAGGAAAGAGATAATCAGTCTAACCATATCCAGGCATGACCAATCACTGCCTCTACTACCTCTTTTAACTCCCCCTGTTCAACACACCTCATACGGGATCTTAAGTCCTTCTCTGTCCCTCCAGGTACAACACAGCCCCATGAATACGGTGATTATCTTAGCACTCAGCATATAACTGGTGCTTGATGAGCATTTGTTGAAGGAATGAACCTGTCTAGATGGAAAAGAAAACAGAGGAAGACTGCCAAGCTAAATATAAAGGAGGGCAAGTGGGTGCGTGGGTGAGAGCAAGTGGGTGAGTGGGTGAGAGCAAGTGGGTGAGTGGGTGAGAGTGATAGGAGAACATGTGTCTCTGATCCTTTAAGGCTCATTGATGTGAGACTTCAATGAAGAATAAGCCTTGTGAGCAAGACTTACTCTGCAATTAACAAAGTCAACTATCATTCTGACAAGGTGACAGGGAAAAAATCTGGGGAAGAGAGGCTATATTTTGGCACAGAAACGCATTATGCCATAAAACAAATGAAGTATGAAGATATAAGCCTAACCAAAACCATACGATCATCTCAACAGCTGCAGAAAAAGCATTCCATAAAATCTAACATCTTTTCATGATAAAAGCCCTCAACAAACTAGGCATCAAAGGAACATACCTCAAAATAATAAAAGCCATATAGGACAAACCCACAGCCAACATCATACTGAATGGAGAAAATTTAAAAGAACTTCCCCTATGAACTGGAACAAGACAAGAATGCCAACTCCCACTACACTATTCAACATAATAGTAGAAGTCCTAGCCAGAGCAATTAGGCAAGATGCTGCAGGAAGTCAGGGACCCCGAACGGAGGGACAGGCTGAAGGCAGAAGAACATAAATTGTGAAGATTTCATGGACATGTATTAGTTCCCCAAATTAATACTTTTATAATTTCTTATGCCTGTCTTTACTACAATCTCTGAACATAAATTGTGAAGATTTCATGGACATTTATCACTTCCCCAATCAATACTCTCATGATTTCCTATGCCTGTCTTTACTTTAATCTCTTAATCCCATCATCTTCGTAAGCTGAGGATGTATGTCACCTCAGGACCCTGTGACGATTGTATTAACTACACAAATTGTTTGTAGAGCATGTGTGTTTGAAAATTACCGATGTCATTTTTCACAGAATTAGAAAAAACAATCCTAAAATTTATATGGAACCAAAAAGACCCTGAATAGTCAAAGCAATCCTAAGCAAAAAGAACAAAGCTGGAGGGATAGCATTATCTGAATTCAAATTATACTACAAGATGATAGTAACCAAAACAGCATGGTACTGGTACAAAAACAGACATATAGAGCAATAGAAGACAGTAGAGAACCCAGAAATAAAGCCACATACCTACAACCAACTGATCGTAAACAAAGTTGGCAAAAATATACAATGGGGAAAGGATACCCTATTCAATAAGTGGTGCTGAAACAATAAGTGGTGTTTGAACAATATGAAATCTGGGCACCTTAAGAACAGGATAACAGCGATTTTCAGGGAACAAGGGAGATAACCTTAAAGTCTGGCTGCCTTTCTCTTATTACCCAAAATGGGTAAGAGAAATACCGCTAAATTCTTTCCCCAGTAAGGAATATTAATAATTAACAGCGTTGGGAAAAGAATGCATTCCTAGGGCGGGGCCTCTAAAATGGGTGCCCTGGGAGTGTCTGCCTTATGCAGATATAGATAGGGATGAAACACACCCTAGTCTCCTGCAGCACCCCCAGGCTTGCTAGGATTAGGAAATTCCAGCCTGTCAAATTCTAGTCAGACCGGTTCTCTGCTCTTGAACCCTGACATTGTGTGCACAGCAGGACATGGAAGTTCATTAGTGATTCTAGTTTCGCCCTGACCTTCTGCCTTGTGACCTTTTGTTGCCCTTGAAGCATGTGATCTCTGTGACCCACACCCTATTCATGCACTCCCTCCCCTTTGAAAACTGCTAATAAAAACTTGCTGGTTTTACAGCTCAGGGGGCATCATGGAACCTGCCGACATGTGATGTCTCCTCCGGACACCCAGCTTTAAAATTTCTCTCTTTTGTACTCTTTCCCTTTATTTCTCAGACCGGCCGACACTTAAGGAAATAGAAAAGAACCCACGTTGAATTATCGGGGGTGGGTTCCCCTGATAGCAAGAGAAAGAAATAAAAGGCATCCAAATTAGAAAAGAGGAAGTCAAATTATCTCTGTTGGCTGATGACATGATCTTATACCTAGAAAACCCTAAAGACTCCTCCAAAAGACTTCTAGATTTGATAAATTACTTCAGTAAAGTTTCAGGACACAAAATCAATGTACAAAAATCAGCATTTCTATACACCAATAATGTTCAAGCTGAGAGCCAAATCAAGAACTCAATATCATTTACAATAGCCACAAAAAATAATAAAACTCCTAGGAATGCATTTAACCAAGGAGGTGAAAAATCTCCACAAGAATTATAAAACATTGATTAAAAAAACTGTAGATGACACAAACAAATGGAAAAGCATCCCAAGCATGTGGATTGGAAGAATCAATATCATTAAAATGCCCATACTATCCAAAGTAACATATAGATTACATGCAATTCCTATCAAATTACCGATGTCATTTTCACAGAATTAGAAAAAACAATCCTAAAATTCATATGGAACCAAAAAGACCCTGAATAGTCAAAGCAATCCTAAGCAAAAAGAACAAAGCTGGAGGGATAGCATTATCTGAATTCAAATTATACTACAAGACTATAGTAACCAAAACAGCATGGTACTGGTACAAAAACAGACATATAGAGCAATAGAAGATAGTAGAGAACCCAGAAATAAAGCCGCTTACCTACAACCAACTGATCATAAACAAAGTTGGCAAAAATATACGATGGGGAAAGGATACCCTATTCAATAAGTGGTGCTGGAAAAATTGGACAGCCATATGCAGAAGAATGAAACTGGACCCCTTTTCTTACCATATAAAAAGTTAACTCAAGATGAATTAAAGACTTAAAGGTAAAACCTGAAACTATAAGAATCCTAGAAGAAAACCTAGGAAAAACTCTTCTGAACATTGGCCTGGGCAAAGAATATATGGCTAAGCAATGCAACAAAAACAAAAATAAACAAAAGGGACTTAATTAAACTAAAGAGCTTCTGTACAGCAAAGAAAGAATCAACAGAGTAAACAAACAACTTGCAGAAAGGGAGAAAATATTTGCAAAAATGCATCCCACAAAGGACTAATATCCAGAATCTATACAAGGAACTCAAATAACTCAACAAGAAAAAAGCAAATAACCCTATTAAAAAGTGGGCAAAGGACATGAACAGACATTTTTCAAAAGAAGATATACAAGCAGCCCACAAAAATACAAAGGAGAAAATGCTCAGTATCACTAATTATCAGAGAAATGCAAATTAAAACCACAATGAGATACCATCTCACACCAGTCAGAATGACTAGTATTAAAAAGTCAAAAAACAACAGATGTTGGCAAGGATGGGGAGAAATGGGAACATGTACACACTGTTAGTGGGAATGTAAATTAGTACAACCTCTGTGGAAAACAGTATGGAGATTTCTCAAAGAACTAAAAATCGAACTACCATTCGACCCAGCAATCCCACTACTGGGTATCTACGGGAAGGAAAAGAATCATTCTATCAAATAAACACCTGCCCTTGTATGTTTATCATAGCACTATTCACAACAGCAAAGTCAGGGAATGAAACTAACTGTCCATCAACAGATGACTGGATAAAGAAAATGTGGTCTATATACAGATGTCTTTTGCAGCAACAGGAATGGAGCTGAAGACCATTGTCCTAAGTGAAGTAACTCAGAAACAAAAACTCAAATACCACACATTCTCACTTAGAAGTGAGAGCTAAACAATGGGTACACATGGACATACAGAGGGAAATAACAGACAATGGGGACTCTCAAAAGCAGGGAGGGAGAAAAGGCTTGATGATTGAAAAATTACCTTTTGTGTACAGTGTTCACTATTTGGGTAATGGGTACACTAGGAACCCAAACCTCACCATTATGCAATATACCCATGTAAAAAGCATGCACTTATACTCCCTGCATCTATTAAAAAAAAAAAAAAAAGATAGAAGCCTGCCCAGCAACCAAATTCAGCTCTAGCAGTTTCTCCTGACCACGCTAGGAAGCACCCCTGAAAACATGGCTAAACATACACTCTATGACAGAGTTTGGGTCAGAGACAGAGTGCCACCATGGTAACTGCATACATTTCAAGACCCTTGCATAAAAAGCACATGCCTCTCTTCAGCCACAAGGAATAGGAAAGAAAGACAAAGATGCTTGAATAAAGTATTCTCCAAATACATTTGAACAATTCATCATCTTATGAGACCCAAAATATTATCACTGATATCCTTTGCCCAGGTGAAAAGAGGAGACAAAAGCCAGAGGTTATGGATCTTAACAAATATTTCCTGTTCCCTCCCTTTAGTTTCTGGGAAAACTCTTTATCTCGCAGCACGAATGAAGAATATAACTACAAACATTTCAGGGTCTCTCAGGCCTTGGATCTCTGCTCTACAAGCAAACAAGAACAGCCTTTTGAGTTGGGAAATGCATGAGCAAAGAAAACAAGGTGGCCTCAATCCTGTTATCTGCCAAAACAAAATAAAGACACTGCGCCATTTGGTTTTTATATTTATGTGGTTTTCTGGAATCGTTTCTCCATTTTTACTTTTGTGTCCCATGCAGCTGTTAGAGAGCTGCTTCTATGGACTGTTGGGAGAGCACGCAACACATTTTCAAGAGTAACCCATGTTAACCCCGCACTGCTGAAGTTGGCTCCACACTCGGGGGTTATATCAACATTTCCTCCTTCAAGCAGATCTTCCACACAGGAACTCCTCCCTCCACCTGCTAAGAGGTGACCACACCACAATCCCCGGGCCAGGCTGGCAAGGCTGCAGGGGTGAGTGTGGCCAGGCCCAGGTTGCTCAGGTGCCCACCCTCCTTCCTCAGCCCTGCCGGGCATTCTCCACCAATCGGCACTTTCTGGTTTCTTCCCCACTGTGGTAAAAATAACTTCCTCTTGAAGTATCTAAATCTGTATGTGATTTTACACACTTTTTTTTTTTTTGGCACGTTGTCGGATGAATTCTGACACTAAAGCAGAATGAAATTGCAAGAGATCTGCAATCACATTTCTGTAAAGCTCTGACCAGATGAGTCAGTTCCACTGTTTTCTCAAAGACTGAGAAAATACTTTCAGGCAAGACACTGCATTCTAAGCACCACAGCAGTTCCTTCTCCCCTAAGCTTCTTAGGAACTTGGCAGTGTGGTAGATGGAGGGAGGCGGAGCAGAAGGCAGGGTGCTGTTTGTTGTGATCTGCCCATGGCTTACTGGCTGTGTTCTGAGCAGAGAGGGCGTCTCAGGGGACCCATCAACCCACATCGACGTGGCTCCCAGAACTTGGCCGCACGTGCTTGGAGGAGCTGAAGCAGGGTTCCAGCCAGCCCGCTGGGGGCCTTGAAGTAAGGCTCTGTTGCACTCCTGCTAACACCCTCAGAAAAGCGGTGGGAGGAGCAGTCATTCTCAAATACCACAGCTTCGAAGAGGATCCCTTCTGACAGTAACATACCACTGCACAAAGCAGGCTCACTGAGGGAACTGGAAAACTGTTCAGTTCTGTGGCTTTTACGGGCCATGTAGACAGAGGAAGGGGGCTAAGATGTGTAAGGGAATCAAAACCATTTCATTTCTCTTTGTGCTTACTGGCCAGCCGTGTCTCCTCTTCTGTGACTGCTCCTGTACTCTGCCCATTTATCTCGTGAGTTGGTTTATCTTTTTCTCATTGATAAACTGAACTTTTAAAGACCTGCATATTAGTTCTATTTCCTGGGGAGATGTTTGTGGTTTTTTTTTGTTTTGTTTTGTTTTGTTTTGTTTTGTTTTGCTATGGTTATGGGGTGTTACTGTTGAGCTTTCACTTTAATATAGTTTTTTTTTTCTTTGTGGTTTTTACTTTCTGTGTCTTCAAATGACTTCTGATGAGAAAGTACTGGTAAACAGACCTATTTGTCTGGACAAGATTTATGTGTGTAGCAGAGCAGGGTAGACATAATAGTCATTTTAGTATCTTCAATTATTTGAAGACTATAAAGTCCAATAGACAAGCCTATATAGCTTCCAGAAGAACAGCAAAAAATGGATGGAGGCTAGAAAGGAGTAGCTCACCACACTGTGAAGAACCCTCTTACCCACTGGAGCTGCCCACAGTGAAATGGGATGGTCAGTAGCAGGCAACCGGGAGGAGGCTGTGCAAATCCTCATCAACAACACAGCTTTCACCTATCACATAGTGAGACTCTAAACTCTGGAAACCCATGTCTTACTCTGCTTCTTCTCTCTTAGGACTTCCTGGGGACATTCTGCTTCCCCTAATTTCTAGAGCAAGTTCTGGCGGAGGTGGAGGAAACGCACTGCTGATTTTAATTTTAGAAAAAATTTAACTATGATTAAGACTCAGAAAATGACAACGATGGCCTAAAATGTTTTTGTGTATTCTACTTGCCTTGGTCACTTGACTTCTGCAATTTTTAAAATAAGTGTTTGGGTCCAAAGAAAATAGCCTTATATTTGTTTCAGTTGCTACAATTATATGACCTCTTGTCTCTTTCAGCACATGATTTGAAGAACAGCAGAGATCTTAGAACGATCTACTTCAGTGATTCTCAAGAGAAAAGAAACACTCTCCCCTGGGAGTGCACAGAAAAATTACCTCAGGGACTTTTTTTTTTTTTTTTTTTTTTTTGAGACAGAGTCTCGCTCTGTCGCCCAGGCTGGAGTACAGTGGTGCGATCTTGTCTCACTGCAAGCTCCACCTCCCGGGTTCACACCATTCTCCTGCCTCAGCCTCCCGAGTAGCTGGGGCTACAAGCGCCCACCACCATGCCCGGCTAATTTTTTGTATTTTTAGTACAGACGGGGTTTCACCGTGTTAGCCAGGACGGTCTCGATCTCCTCACCTTGTGATCCGTCCGCCTCGGCCTCCCAGGGAGCTGGGATTACAGGCGTGAACCACCGCGTACGCCGCATTCTTTTATTTTTTTATTTTTATTTATTTATTTATTTTGGGATGGAGTCTCGCTCTGTCGCCCGGGCTGGAGTGCAGTGGTGCGATCTCGGCTCACTGCAAGCTCCGCCTCCTGGGTTCATGACATTCTCCTGCCTCAGCCTCCCTAGTAGCTGGGACTACAGGCGCCCGCGACCACGCCCGGCTAATTTTTTTGTATTTTTTAGTAGAGACGGGGTTTCACCATGTTAGCCAGGATGGTCTCGATCTCCTGACCTCGTGATCCACCCACCTCGGCCTCCCAAAGTGCTGGGATTACAGGCGTGAGCTCAGGGACTTTTTTAAAAGGACTTCCAATGCCATGCCCTTTCTCCCTCTCCTGGCCACTGAGATGTATTCCCATAGGGACAGTCAAGACCCTATGGAAACACTGCTATGGATGAGGGTCCTAAGGAACGGAAACAGCTGAGAATCATGGATCTAATGAAACTCCTTCATTGTAGAGATGAAGACACTGAAGCCTTGGAGGCTCACATGACTTAACACCGACAACTGACTTATTGTCGGGTCACCCTGCACACCCAGGCCTAGTGCCCCCTCCATCCAGCCGCATGGCTCTGCCTGACGGTTCTGTTTATCCAATGGGAAGGCATTCATGTCAAACAGCCTTTGTGTTAAAGCAGGAAGCTCTGTGCTGGATGACAAGGTCAGGGTTTTTAAGGTCCCCAAACAAAATACAACTTTCTACGAAATAATGTAAAATCAGCATTTGCCTTCAACTGCTCAAGGAACTGGGTGATTGGCCATGCCAGATGGTATGGCTCTCACTTGCCGCAACACCTACTGGAGGCTAACAGAGCAAGGCAACACAGAGAGGCTGAGCTTGGGAAACAAGCAAGTGAAGACACAAGATCTGCTTCTGCGGTTCACTGCTCTTGCTCTGACTGTCAATGAGAGGGAAGTGGGAACTGAGAAAAGAAAGTGGGCGTACTACTGGACGTGGTAGTTTCGTCATGAATGGGGGAAGTTCTGGGAGCAGGCACAGTGTATGCCTGGCATTGTGATTATTTCTGAAAGGATGTATCTTATGGATCACTAGTGCAATCCTAGAACAGCTGGCTATCCCAGAGAGTAAGCGCCAGCATACTCCCTCCACACAGCTATTTTTATTTTGTGAATGCAGGAACAAAAAAAGTAGTGTGGATAAATTCAAAACAGAGGAAATCAGGCTGTGCAAAAAATGTGTCATTTAAAGACTATCTCCAGGAAGCAGAAGAGAAGAAGCAGGAAGGGGTACATATATGTAATTAGTGGGATGGATGAATTACCGGAACTTGTCAGGTGTTGAAGAGCCCTTGCCAAATACTAGTGAAGTAATTGTGTATTTCTAGGTTTGATTGCTTCTTTCAATTGGAAGTCAGGTTATCAGTGAATCTGTATACTCCCCCAGCTGTGTTCTGATATGAGTGTGTGTGTACACTCATATGTGTATGTGTGCTAAATGAAGAGGGAGTTAAAGGGAAGCAAAGAACAAGCTGAGAAAATTGGCAATTGTTGAACTTAAATGTCAGGCCTTGGGTTAGAGAAGTATCCTGTAAAACAGCAATTATTAATCCTATTGTATACATCAAAACATCAGAGGTTCAGAGAAGTTAATAAAATTATTCAAGCTGTCCCAGCTAATAAATGGTAACACAGTGCTTCACACCCGGAGCTCTGCTCCAAAACCTATATCCTTCCTACTGCCTGATGCTTCTGCCCCAAAGAAGGCCTTCCATGAATATTTGTTGAATGACTGAACAAAGGAATTCATATGTCTCAGAATATTCTCATTTTTCTTTCATCAAGATTATGAAAATTGTACTCCTTGAACTAAAAAACAGCAATGGTGTTTCCAGAAATGCAGTACAGTTAAAGGTAATAGGTTATTTAAATCATCTATTAATGAATTAACTAAGAATTGCCTAATCAAAGCCATGACTTAAGGTTATTATAGTATCTTTCACCAAACAAGTGTAAATGGGTTGGTGGATTGAGACCTAATTTTACAGTATGGTCGTGTTGCAGTTCTAGGTTAAACTCTGTTCAGTCCCTATTTCAAAAATCACATCATTCCACGGTCTCATCTCCTTCATGACTTAAAGTCATGCTTGAAACATACTGGCTAATTTAACACAAATTGCTACCTAAAGAAGACACTAACCTACAGAAATAACAGCTATTCTGCAAACTTCCAAAACAACTGGTCTAGGATTTCAGAAAATGACAAGTAACAAGAAGTTTGCATTCTAACTGTATGCACACAAATCTCTAAACTGATCTCAGCTATTCTTAATTACAGAGAGAGCTCTAAAAGTGTAATTCCAAATGCCCAAAGGTAAGAAGTGGACAGTTATCTCTGTGCACAGAAGGAAATGTTTGTGTTACCAGGTATGATGGCTTGTGCCTGTAGTCCCAGCTTCTCAAGAAGCTGAGGTGGGAGGATGGCTTGAGCCCAGGAGGTTGAGGCTGCAGTGAGCTCTGATGGCACCACTACACTCTAGAATGGGCAACCACCTCTAAACAAAACTATATGTACTCATATGTCATAAGTGGTTGTAATGTATTTGCTTGGAGCATCAGCTTCAAAGAGCAAGAAAGAAATAGGCTAAAGGCATCAACTGAGCTAGAGTCCTTCTTGGCATCCCTCCCCATATTCTCTAAATAGAGACCAAACAAAGCAGGATTTGGAATCCTAGTGAAGAACAGTTGCTCAGCAAATATACTGAATCAACAGCCACTTCCTGAGGGCCTGTGTGGAGCACCCAGAAGAGATGTCAGAGCAGGGATGCGAAGCACTGAATAAGCTTCCTCCCTTCAAGGTGCTTGCTCACAGATGATCACAATACAAGGTAGAATGTCAAAACTTCATAAGAGATCATGAAATAAACAAATACTTACAGGAGTTTAGAGATCCTAATTGGAATTGTACCTTCCTAAACAATCAGTACAAAGACATTAGCAGAAGTCTAAGCAGGCAGCGAGACAACAAAAATGAATCAGTGGCAGTTTTGGGGAAATTATAGACAATCAATATAAACCCTGAGACAGACCAAGAGGTATGGCGTAGCTTCAAGACTAAGCAGCTATATCTGGTTCCCTGGTAATTTTGAATGACAGTGTATTAGTCCGTTCTCATGCTGCTATAAGGACATACCTGAGAGTGGGTGATTTTTAAAGGAAAGAGGTTTAATTGACTCACAGTTCCACATGGCTGGGTATGCCTCAAGAAACTTACAATGATGGCAGAAGGGGATGCAAACACATCCTTCTTCTCATGGTGGCAGGAGAGAGAAGTGCTGAGCAAAGGGGAAAAGCCCCTTATGAAACCATCAGATCTTTGCAGCCATAAAAAAGGATGAGCTCATGTCCTTTGTAGGGACATGGATGAAGCTGGAAACCATTATTCTCAGCAAACTATCACAAGGACAAAAAACCAAACACCGCATGTTCTCACTCATAGGTGGGAATTGAACAATGAGAACACTTGGACACAGGAAGGGGAACATCACACACCGGGGCCTGTCGTGGGGTGGGGGGAGGGGGGAGGGATAGCATTAGGAGATATACCTAATGTAAATGACGAGTTAATGGGTGCAGCACACCAAGATGGCACATGTATACGTATGTAACAAACCTGCACGTTGTGCACATGTACCCTAGAACTTAAAGTATAATTAAAAAATATTACCATTTTTCACCTGGATGATTACCAGAACTATAGAGATGACATCTAGCTCTGTGGAGGTGGCAGGAAATGTGAATTATGTGTAAATTACTTCAACATTTTGATCTAAAATATTTAACAAAATTTAATAAATTAAAAATGCTCATAATTGGAATACTGGACCCCAGTAATCCAGTTTTGGGGAATGTGTATTAAAAAAAAAAAGAAAAAAAAAAGAAACCATCAGATCTCATGAGAACTCACTATCACAAGAACAGCATGGGGGTTAACCGCCCCCATGATTCAATTACCTCCCACAGGGTTCCTCCCACAACATGTGGGGATTATGGGAACTACAATTCAAGATGAGATTTGGGTAGAGACATAGAGGCAGACCATTTCAGAGAGTGTTGCCAATTATTCAAACTGAGGCCAAGCAGCATCTAATTGACTGCAGTTATTTTAGAGCTTCTTATTTTGATTATATATATTTTTGAAACCTACTAAAATTTTCTGTCATTTTTGTAAAAACAATATTTCTTCTTAAAACTCATAAGTTATTTTACTCAAGAGAAACATACGTAGCAAATACTGTTCCTATATATTTGTCCTTCATATTATACCACAACATGAATACAAAATAAATTGCATATGAATTCCAATTTCATGAGAATGCTTAAGATTTCCTTGGTTGCTTCATATATTGTATAAGGAACATAATAAACCCAAATGTTTTCTCCTGCTGAGCTCATCGGCTCCATTCTAGTGAGCAAATATAAAGACAAAATATAACCATTGTACTATAATCTGCTGTTCAAAAATTAGCTAAATTCATATTCCACATACAAGTCACAGCAATCTTTGTGACATCTCTAAAATAGGTTAAGTGTTAACTATCCATGAATTATCATACCTTAGAGATAAATGTAAAGTGTTTAATATTCAAAGTAATCCATAACTGTAAAACAAGACCCCCAGGATTCTTTAGAACAGATCCTTGTTTTCAATCCATCTTTAGAGTTTATTTAGGTTTTACTATATACCCAGGTACCGTACTTAACACTTTAAAACTCATTTACATATAAAACTAATTTCTTGCTCCTTGATAAGGTGAACACCTATAATATAGTGAACAATACATAACAGTATTGTATTTAAGTCAGTATCATATTTCCCAACCCCCAAATTAATAGCAAGATCATATATCTGAAAAGGGTCTACTGTTAAGAATATATAAATAATGTTTACAACTCAACAACACAAATACAAACAACCCAATTCAAAAATAGGCAACTGAGGTAACTCAGGAATGGAAAACTCAACATCATATGTTCTCACTCATAAGTGGGAGCTAAGCTATGAGGATGTAAAGGCATAAGAATGACACAATGGACTTTGGGGACTCAGGGAGAAAGGGTGGGAAGGGGGTGAGGGACAAAAGACCAGAAATTGAGTTCTGTGTATACTCCTTGGGTGACGAGTGCACAAAAATCTCACAAATCACCACTAAAGAACTTACTCACGTAACCAAATACCACCTGTTCCCCTAAAACCTATGGAAATAAATTTTTTAAAGAAAATCAGTGGCCGGGCGCGGTGGCTCATGCCTGTAATCCCAGCACTTTGGGAGGCCGAGGCGGGCGAATCACGAGGTCAGGAGATCGAGACCATCCTGGCTAACACAGTGAAACCCCATCTCTACTAAAAAATACAAAAAAATTAGCCAGGCATGGTGGCGGCCGCCTGTAGTCCCAGCTACTTGGGAGGCTGAGGCAGGAGAATGGCGTGTACCTGGGAGGCAGAGCTTGCAGTGAGCTGAGATCGCGCCACTGCACTCCAGCCTGGGCAACAGAGCGAGCCTCCAATCTCAAAAAAAAAAAAAAAATCAGCAAAATGTGAATAGACATTTTTCCAAAGAAGATATACAAACAGTCAACAAGCACATGAAAAGATACTCGACATCATTAATGCAAAACACAACGCCAATGAATATACCACTTCATACCCATTAAGATGGCTATAATAAAAAAATGGAAAATAAGAAATGGCAGTGAGGATGTGAAGAAATTGGAATTCTCATACTTTCTTGGCGGGGGATGTAAAATGGTGCAGCCACTGTAGAAACAGCTTGGCAGTTCCTCAATAACTTAAACTTAGAGTTACCATATGATTCAGCAATCCCACTCCTAGGTATATACCCATAAGAACAGAAAACAGGTGTTGAAACAAAAGCTTGCAACACAAATGTTCATAGCAGCACTACTTACAGTAGACAAAAGGTGAAAACAACCCAAATGTCCATTAATGGGTGAATGGATAAACAAAATGTGGAATATCCATACAGTCTTATGGAACATTTTATTCCGCAATAAAAAAAATTCTTAGGAAATATTATTCAGCCATAAAAAAGAATGAAGTACTGACACATGCTATAACATGAATGAACCTTGAAAACATTATGTCAAGTAAAAGAAGCCAATCACAAAAGACCACATATTATATTATTCTATTTCTATAAAATGCCAAGAATAGGCAAATCTATACAGACAGAAAGTAAATTAGCGGTTGCTTAGGACTGGGGTTGATGGGGCAAAAGTGTTGGATAAAGGGTATGGCGTTTCTCCTTGTGGTGATGAAAATCTAAAATTGTGGCAATGGTTACACATATCTATAATATATTAAAAGCTATTAAACTATTAAAAACTTTAAATGGGTGAATTATATGGTATATGAATTATATCTCAACAAAGCTGTTTAAAAACTAATAGCAAATGCTGAAATGTACTTTATTTGGAATTCTCTTGCAAAACAGTTGCTACATTGACTTTTGCAAATAAGAATTTTTGTGAAATGTTAGTGTTTCTGTCCCTATTTCTGATAAAAAGGGATTTATGTATATCACTGTTTGCTTAAAGCCGAGTTTCTATGTAATACAAATAAATATATTTATGACAAAATTAATTTGTGGTCAAGTCTTCTTTCCAAAAAACAAAAAAAAAGCAGCAACTCCTAATAATTCTAGCAGCTACAATCCATCAAATAAGATGCGTTTTCATTGTCCATCATGGACACCCACCAGTACAGCTGCAGGTCAAGCTACTGTTTTTGCTCCTTCAGTCTCCCTCTGAGGAAGCAAAAGATACTATTTATTTTGGGACTCAAAAACCTTGACCACTTTCTTTCCAGTTTCTCCAAAACAAAACTAACCACTGTCTTAAGCCTGGATTGATGACAGGGAATTTGAAGAAAGACAGTATTTAGATAATCCACATTTATATGTGTTCTTAGACAATTCATACTAAGACTAGTCTACATTAAAAAATAGTTTACAAGGCAGATTGCTTTTCACCATTCATGCTATTTGTTTACAGAACGGATTACCATAGCTGAATTCCATTTTCTATCCTTTCTCTAATATAGTGCCACTGTGTCCCCAACCAACCCCACAATATAAACTTGTAGCTATGAACAAGAATATCATTTTTTCTATGTCAACAATTTCTATTGATAACGTCATATTTTATGCATTCATTTCCTAGATTACTGTTTGGAGCCTAAAGTATTATATTTATACCATGTGTGAAATGCAGAAGAAAAATAAAATTTGGCTTTTTAGGTTCAAAGAAACTATTTTGTAACAGATATGGACCTCTATTTTCACATTTTCCTTTAAATGCACTTAAACTTAGAGAATTTCAAATTCAATAACATGACATACTTTTCATTTTTTGACTCTAAATTGCCAGGCTCATATATAATATACGTAAAGATTGGCAATTCTGAGAACTAAAGTTCTATATCTCCATTTAAAGTGGTATAAATTAAAAATGGAAAGGAAAGCATATCAGCTGGGAATGAGTCCAACAAGTTTAGCTCCCATAAAGTCTAAATCACATATCCAAGGCTGGATGATAGATCATTAGAGTTTGTCGGTTGTACAAGATCAGTAGTAAGCCATCTGGCTTATTCTGTTTATATCAATGAGTCTTATTCCAAGTTTTTGATATTTCCACAGCTCATAAGTAATAAGGCTACTGGCAGCAAGGCTGCATCATAACCTAATTTCTGGGGGAGATTTTATTTGATTTTTTGTTTGTTTTCCATAGCAAAACAAAGTTTGAATGCCATTTCAAAAAAAAAAAATTCACTGAATTGGAAAGACCATGGTCTCCAAGCTTAAGTGTAGCATTTGCTATATATTTCTATTTACCCCAATGTATGTTTGTGCTCCCCCTCCACCCAATCTCAGGGTGGGAAATCAAGATAACAGTTATCCTTGCATGATTTTCCTCCCCATCACTTCCTTTACTCTTTTCAAATGTGTTACAGCAGAACATTCTCTAAGTAGAACATACTCTGCCTTTCCCCAAATTGACTAGGAAGAAGGACTGTTCACCACTGTCTCCTATGGGGAAGAGAAAGCATCATCAGTGGCTCTGTTCTCGTCCTTCCCCACACTATGCTTTCCGGTTGCCCCACGTCAGCCTACTCCTCACGTCACACCTCTCCTAACCTTGGAAGGTCTAAAGCCAGCTGGGGTGGGTGCCGTTGGCTGGTCCTTCCCTCAAAACAGTGGGGCTTAAGTAGCAAACAAGATGCATTTTTAAAAGTTGAAATTAAAAACTGAAACCATGTACATTTTTAAATCACATTTTTAAATACTTTAAAGTATTAAAGTACCTTTAAATACTTTATAAATCTACCCACCCCGCCTCACATTCCTCCTTTCTCTCAAATACATGGGAAGCCTCCAGAAAGCAATACTTTGTTGTTGCTCAACAACAATGGTTCTCAAATTCTCTGCGTTGGAATCACCTAGAGGACTTGCTGACGCACAGATTGCTGGGCCCTGTGCCCAGACTTCAGCAGCTTTGGGATAAGACCTTAGCATGTACATTTGTGACAAATTCCCAGGTGAGGCTGATGCGGCAGGTCCAAGGACCCACATTGGGAACCACTAGCCTAGACATAGCACAACTGCTAAAGAAAGAGAAAACGCCCGGAAGATGCGAGTCCGACCAACATTACTCCCAGTTGTTGTCCAGCTCAGGGAGGGTCTAGTTCCCTAAATAAATGGAGGCCACATAGTGGGGATTAATACGGAAAGGTAGAGTTAAAGCAAACCAGCTGCTTGAATTATTTCCCTTCTCTGCTGGCTCCTCAAGATACTCAGAGTACAAGTATCAAGAAAAGGAAAGTGGAATTATGGATGTAAATGTGATGGATCGTTTTTAGCCAGTCCCGATCTTTAGATTCCCATTTGCATCTTGGCTGTCCTTCCATTTTCTCCCTTAAACTGCCCATAGTGCTATGCAATGGGTATTGCAATCAGACAGACATGGGTTGAAGTCCTGCCTCGCTTGCTATGTGTCCTTCATAACTCTTTGCCCTCATTTTTTCCATACAGAAAATGGAAATAACAATAGAACCTACCGACAGTGTTGCTGTGCAGATTGAATGTCACCCTGTGTATGCACTGACTGGCACATGCGTGATAAATACTAGCTTTTACTATGAATGCTACTGTCTCTTGGCTTTCCTATGAGAATATTCAGTACGTTAAATATCACACTACCTGTTTGATACAACAGGTTGGGTCATTAATTCAACCAATATTTATTGAGTGGCCATTGTGTGTCAGACATAGAATATTGTATAAGTATACTGAAATAATACTCTGTAAAGAAAAGTGTTTGATATAAACATATTTTGATTTGGAAAATTTTTACTTTACATGAACTTACATTTACGAAAAATACTTGCTGCCAAAATTGGCTGAGGAAATTGAGAGGATGTGTTTACTAACCACAAGTTTTGTTTTGACAGACACTAAAATAAAAGAATGGAGGAAAACAGGGGAAAGTAATTCTGCAGACACAGTGGCCTTATATTATTAAAGGTATATTTTAGACCATCCAAAATACCACAAGCCCACTTTTCCCAAAAATCATTATATTTACGTAACAGGGAACAAATTTGGCCAAGGGTATTCTATTTTCAGTTCACAATGATGTCATTTTGAACCTATCACATCAGTCAGAAATATAATGATCAGCTAGTAACAGGAGCAGCATTCAATCTTTCAGTTCTTCCTAGTTTCCTGAGCAGAAGCTGAGAATTCACCCTTCTACCAACTGACCACCCAAATTTATTAGGCCTCATTGTTTGGAAATATAAAGTGAAAATGTTAATGCAATATATGTTGAAATGTCTTGATTTTATCCTCAGTAGTACCTTTGCTCCTTCCTCCTCCCAGAATTTCCCTTCCTCAAGAAAGGTGTCAGAACCCCAAAACTTTAGGAGCTGGGTGGAGGTTTCATTGACAGTCAGGTGTGGCTTCTAATTCTGCCATGAAACACCAGGCCTATGAAGTCTGAGTACCCTACACGAGGCCAGGTGCTTTGAGGACAATGAGCACAGATGACTTCCATCCTGGTCCATTACACTTTTCCCTACACCCCTGGCCTCCATCTATTACTTAAAAAGAACTTCCACAAGAATTCACTGTCAGATTTAATGGAGAAAGACCCTGAGCCTCAACGCTTGCCTCCCAATGCCTGTTAACAGGGATTGCTGCTGGTGATGAAAATACTGTTAACTTTTGTGGCACTAGCAGGTGTCAGAGAGTGGAGGAAGCTATGAGACTCCACAATACAGAACTTATGAAAAGAAGAGGTTTGATTCCCTAATAAAGGATATATTGCCCCAAATCCTCTATGAAACCAAATGCTATGGAAATCTACTTGGGCCAACTTTTCCTGTAATCTGTAGTTCCCCAAAGTTTATAAAGAAATAAAAGTGTAACTTTTAAAATATGAGGTCTTGTACAAGGTAAAGAATATTATTTTATCCACATCTACATTTCCAAATGCCCTAACACATTTGTAACTTGGCTGATGTGGTTTTGTTTTTGTTTTGCTTTGTTTTGTTTGTTTGTTTTGGGTTTTTTTTTTTTCCTTTTCTTTTCTCTTTTCTCCAAACGGTCTACTATCTAGACCTGTGGCTTCTGCCACGAAGTGACGTTTGGGGTAACTGTGGCAGCCTCCAGCTGGCCCGGGTCATTTGGCCCATTTTCTTTCCAGCACTTCGGTGGCTCTGCTTCCCCGCACTCGCTCTCATCGTGCAGATGCTCAGGCTTATCACTTCGGATGCTTGCAAGAAGCTGGAGCTCTCCCAGCCTTCACCCCCGCACGACCTCTTCTGGCCACAGACTTGGGAGGGATCTGCATCCTCCCTTGGCTCGAACGCGAGTGCCAGCATCGTCCTTGCGACCTGGGCTTGCGCTCGCCTGTCCCTGGCACCCCTGGCTCCCGCAGCCGAGACGAGGGAGCTGCGGGGTCACGCCTTCTCGCTGGAGCGGCTCTTTCCCTCCCGTCAAACCCCTTCCTTACTTCTGCTAAAGACAGGCGGCCTCTCTCCTAATAAACCACACACACACACACACACACACACACACACACACACACACACACACACACACAAGTTTTGACTTGAGCTTGAGACGCACACAGCGCCGAGGATCCTCGGGTTACTGGGGGCGACACTGCTGGCCAGGCTGACCAGCGCCCTCGGGCATCCCCAAACCCCTGGATGCAACCCGTTCCCCGCGCCAGGCTAGCTGCGGGCGGCGGGGTGGGCAGCGGCAGCCAAGGGACAAGCCAGCCCGGGGACAGCGCGGAGCCACTAGGGCCGGCGGGCAGGCGGGGGATCTGCGGGACAGAATTCTCAGAGCGGACGGTGGCAAAGGGCTAAACCCACCCACACTCCCCGGGGCGCGGGACGGGACTGAACTGCGGTCACTAACAATGCAACGAAGAGGACCTTCCCTTCCCTTCGCCACTCCCCGCGCCGCCAGGCCTGAAGATACACACACTCCGGCACACCCCACACACCCATCCACTCCGCCCCAGTCCGGATCCGGGTGGCGGAGGTGGGGCGGGGGGAAGGTGAGCGGTGCCTCGCCCCGGGGTACCTGCCGGCAGCGCAACCCAGCGGCGCCCCCGCCTCGGTGAGGACAGTCGGACGCGCGGGAGGAAGAAGGCGCTCCCGACCGCGGCACAGATGCTCACGGGCTTAGCACCTGGAGAGACCCGGGGCGGCGGCGGCGCGCGGTGGCAGCGCGAGAAGTCCCCGCCGCGACCCTCTCCCCGCCGCACAACTTTGCGCTGTCGGCGCCGCCCTAGCGCCTGCCCAGCTTCCTTACCCAAGTACTGCCGCAGGTCGAGCAGGAAGCGAGGGGGTCCCCCGCTGAGCTGATAGAGGAGGGAGCCCAGGCAGAAGACCAGCAGGGTGGCCATGCAGAAGCCGTAGTCCCGGAGGGAGAAGCGCAGGAAAGGCAGCAGGGGCACCCGACGCTTCCAGCTGCCCAGGCCCGGAGGGGCGCCCCCCATAGGGGCCCCATGGGGCCAGGGATCCGCGCCGCCGCCGGGATGCTGCTGCTTCTTCTTCATCGCCTGCTCCGCTGCCTCCCACAGCCTGCCCGTGCCAGGAAAAGGTCACCCATCCGCCGCGAGGAGGAGAGCCCGGCTGGCCGGCTGCACATGGGGAGGGCCGCGCGGAGGGCAGCCGGGTGGGGGCGGGGAGGGGCCGAAGTTGCCGGGCTCAGGAGACTTTCTTCGGCATGGTCCCCGCCGCCGCGGCCCGAGCGGCCGAGGTGTCCGGCCCCGGTTCGGGGCGCTGCCCGTGACGGGGCGCCGCGCCCGTCCGGCGCCCGCTAGCGTCCCCACGCCCCGCGCCCCGCCGCGCCTCGGGCTCGCTTGCGGCCGCCGGGGCTCGCCTCCAGCGCCAGCGTGGACCCCCCGGCTTTGTGTCTGTAGGTCTCGGCGTGTTTTGTCCCGGTTCAGGCTTCTCTAAAAAACGGCAGGGAGGAACAGGAGGCGGACACCATCCCCTCGCTCCACCTCCTTGACAGGGGTTTTCCTCCTTCTCCTCCCCTTTCTCCCTCCGGCGCTCCGCAGCACTCTCCTCCCTCTCCCCTCCCTCTCCGCTCGGGTCTCGGGATTTCGCTCGGGTGTCACGTTACTGCTTCTGCTGGGGGCGGAGGGGGGGAGGCGGCGATTATTCGCAACAAGGAAGAAAGTTTCTGGGTGTTTTCTTTTTTTTTCCTTCCCCCGTTCTTTACAATCTGGATGCGGTTCCTGCGCCACCAGCGACCTCTTGGGGGCCCCGCTGACTTCCCTCTTGTAAACAGTCACCGGCAGGAAGAAGCACGACTGACTTTACTATTTACATTTTTTTCAGTTCAGAAAGTTGATTCTCCTTATATACCCCGTGCGAGCTGCTTACCCAAGGCTGATAAAAGGTACTAGAATACAGGCTCAAGACTTTGCTGAAATGGGAAAAGAGCAAGCGGTGCGAGTTATGGTCAAACACGCCCCAGAGGGCCAGGCGCAGCGCCTGAACTCCCGGGTAGGGTAGCCGAAGAGGACGCTCTGTTCTTGCTTTTCCTGGTCCTACAACTGCTCCACCTCGCAGTGCCCAGAGAGGCAAGTGGGGGGTGCATAGCGGACTCTAGGAGGTCATTGCCCTGCAGACATGAAGGGGAAAGAGCCCAGTCCGCCTATACGCTGATTTCATTGCTGCCTCTCTTCCCTCCACGGGAAAGCCTCTGGACCTGAAAGAACCTCCTGGGGCAGAAAAGGCTCAATCCTAGACATAGATCCTCTGATGGGGTGGTTGATCCACGGAAGGGCTGCTCTGATCAGCCACACTTTAAGTAAGAATACTATATCACTATTTATAGAAGCTGTAGCACCTGAGGGCTGTGTGACTCACCCGAGGTCCCAAAGCTAGTAGTAGGAGTTGGGTTGGGAGTTGCACTCAAATCTATTTGACCCTCAGACCCACTATACTAACCACTGCACAGCAGTACTTCCCAGCCAGAGCCCTTTTCCTTCACGTCCCATAGGAGGATGAGATTTAATTCATTTAGTTCAGGCCACATTGAGAAATGGAAACCTCAGTTTCTGGTGCCTATCATTTCTGGCTCCCTACTCATTTGTATATTCCAGTAATGAACAATTGGATTTAAGAAGGAACCAGGAGCCAAGAACCTCTATGATTCTAAGACTAGGCTCCTGAAAACCTTCATCAAGTTAGGCATCTGAAGAATATTCTGTGGAAAATTACAAAATATTATCCTAGACAAAGAACTTACTCGTTAAGAATATGTCTTAACCTCAGCTACTCAGGAGGCTGAGGCAGGAGAATCGTGTGAACCCGGGAGGCGGAGGTTGCAGTGAGTCGAGATCGCGCCATTGCACTCCAGCCTGGGCGACAGTGCGAGACACCGTCTCAAAAAAAAAAAAAAAGAAAGAAAAGAAAAGAAAGAAAGAAAGAATGAATATGTCTTAACCATGTTCATATATGAATGTCTCTGGTTCATGATTTGAAACATATATCATGAGCTAGAGAGATGTGTAGATGAGGTGACAGGTGCTGCACACACACAGAGACACACGTACACACACACAACTCTACTGTCCAATTTTACATTGTCCTAGCCCACTTTCTAAGGGATGAGAAGGCTGTTTTGGGGCCCCAAGAGAAAAGAAAATATTTTGTTCTGTGACAGAAAACCCTGAATAGAGTGTTAATCATTTGCTTTACATTTATCTCATGAATCAGGGTTTTATTTGGATTAATATGCACATTTTAGAAATGTGACTTCCCCTAAGAGAATTGAGTAGATCAGTCATTGCCCATTAATGTGAATTACTTTAATCAGTACAATGAGTAGCCCAGAACAGACTCCCAATTAATAACGTTTGAGCTTAAGAAGAGGGACTAGGAGACAGAAGGAGCAAAGCAGTGTTCATAATGTTTCAGGGACCGCCTTCCACAAACTGGACCTGTATCTGAGGCCTGGCCCTGTAATCTGAACACTCGCTGGATATAAAATAGTGTGCAAGACCCTCTGTGTTCACAAGTCCCACCCCCAGGAAGTTCAGAGACTTTTCTCACAGCATGCTGTGGGAAATACCCCAATTTTTTCTCCTAAGGAAAGGAATCTGAGGAACAGGGAGATGGAGCAGGAAGAAAGGAAACAAACATTTGAGAAAATAAGTAAATATGAGAATAAATGTTGTTTTAAAAAACGATGAAAAAGTTGCAAGGAAAGTACAAGGGGGCAAAGTCCAGCTTAGAAGAAACAAGCTATGACATGAACTATTTCAGAGAGAATAAACAGGTCAATCTTTAAAAGATTGTGTTAATAGACTCGCCGCCTAAAAAAACTCACAGAAGAAAAAGAAGAGATATCAAGATACAAAGAAGTTTCACATGGAAAAAAATGCTTTATATTTTCACCCAACAAAAACTTAGTTGTTTGGGTAAAACTTTGTTCTTTGAAGTCCCATAAATATCCCTTCAGAAAAAAAAATTAAATTTAAAGTACTTAGACTAATTAATGGTATCTTTATTCAAAGCAGATAACAAATCTAATTAGAGGAAGTTGTGAACGAATTTTATTATTAGTCTTATAATGAAATATACTTTATTCAGCACCTTGACCTCCATTCAATATCTTTAGCTTCTCAATTCCTTCTCTCTCCAGTGACTCATTTGACCTTGTCCTCACTGATGACTAATTGCATCTCCGAAATCTCCTTTTCCCCCTTCACAACCTTCTATCCTTCTGTTTGGCTTCTTTGGAGCCCACCCTGTTTTTCGGTCTTTTCAAGAACTGTCAAGTCTGTGTTCATCCATCTCATGTGTTTACTTCTTTCTTTATCCAGTTTTGATTCCTGATCCATCATTCTGATCTCCTTCTTGCAAACACCCCTTCATTCCCCCTGTTTCTCTCATCTTATATCCTACAGTGCTTGTCTGGTGAAACCCAGGCTCAGTTAAACCCAACCATGCAACTGGACTGGATTGCAGAAAAACACACAGCGCTGGTAAGTGGCTTTTCTTTAAATTAGAGAGCACAGATTTCAGACAGATGCACACCCATGGCTGCCCAGCAATCCCACTCACTAAAAGGACTATTCCATAGTGTCTTTCTCTTCAAACCTCCCATCTCCACCCTCTGCTTTCTTCCCTTCAGTCTCAGGGGATGACCTGGATCAGCCTTTGTTGAGAAAATAGAAGCAGTAGGATGAGAGCTCACTCATTTCCTACCAATCTGTGCCCCGTGCTCTTGGCCTCCCTCCCTGTTTCATCGTGTTCCTGCTTCTATCAAGGCCATGCTGCCACGTGTGCCCTAGACTGCCGTTCCCACCAACCCCAGTCCCACACCCAAGCCTGCCCCCTCCATAGCCTTCTGCATCTCTGTAAATCATTACACTCTCAAGTCACTTGGGCCCCAAACCAGAAGTCTTAGTTTTTCTATTAATAGTTCATTCATTCTTGTATCTAAACCATCTGCAAATCCTATAGGATTCAAAAAAAAGTCCAGTATCTGACATCCTTTGCCACCCCCCCGGGCCAAACCACTGTCTTCTCTCACCTGGATTGTTGCAAAGGCTACTTATATTCATCATGTTTCAGTTTAGCTACATAGAGCTGGAAAAAAAAAACCGCAAATTTAAAAACCAGTGGCTTAAACAGAAAAGAACTTTATTTTTTTTTCTCTCTCTCTTTTTTTTTCCTTTTTGAAACAGAGTCTCCCTCTTTTGCCCAGGCTGGAGTTCAGCCACGCAATCTCAGCTCGCTGCAACCTCCTTCTCCGGGGTTCAAGTGATTCTCCTGCCTCAGCCTCCCAAGTAGCTGGGATTACAAGCGTGTACTACCACACCTGGCTAATTTTTGTATTTTTAGTAGAGACGGGGTTTCATCAAGTTGGCCAGGCTGGTCTCGAACTCCTGACCTCAAATGATCCACCCACCTCGGCCTCCCAAAGTGCTAGGATTACAGGCATGAGCTACCATGCCTGGCCCATTTCTCTCTCATGTGAAACGAGTCCAGAAATAGGCCGTCCAGATTTGGTGTGGTATTTCTATGCTATCCTCAGGGACCCACCTGAGCTTTCTGTTCCACCATCCTCAGCATGTGGCTTCCATTTTAAAGGCCGTCTTATGCAATGTAATCAGCATTTCAAAAAGGTATGAAATCTTCATACCTCTTTGATATGTTCATTGCAGCATTGTGCACAATAGCCAAGATATGGAATCAACCTAAGTGTCCATCAATAGATGAATGGATAATACTATTCAGCCTCAAGAAGGAAATCTTGTCATTTGCAATAACACAGGTTAATCTGGAGGATATTATGTTAAAGGAAATAAGCCAGACACAGAAAGACAAATACTACATGATCTCACTTATATGTGAAATCTAAAAAAGGCCATCTCATTGAAGCAGAGAGAGGAATTACAGTTAACAGGGTTTAAGGAGGGAAGGGTAGGGATTGAGGAGATGTTGGTCAAAGGATACAAAATTTCAGCTAGGCAGCAGGAATAAATTCAAGAGTTCTGTAACGTAGTGACTATAGTTAATAACATATCGTATCGTATACTTGAAAAGTGTTAAGAGAATAGATTTTAAGTGTTCTTACCACAAATAAATGATAAGAATGCAGAAGGGGAGAAAAACAAAACAAAACAAAAAGATCTCCTTATGGTTGCAGATGGCTGCTAGAGTTCCAGCTATTATGTCTATGTTCCAGGTTGGCAGCAGAAGGAAGCAAAAGAGCAAAGAACTCCCAACTGAGTAGGCTCTTTTTAAGCAGTGCTCCAAAGTGTGCTATAAATCTACCTTCTTATAGGTCATTGGCCAGAAATTAATCACATGACTCTGTCTAATTGTAAGGGACAGGGGACAGAGAGTATCTAGGAAATCTAGACTTTAGCTGGGTGCGTTGCTGCCACAAATAAGAATCAGGGTTCTATTGCTAAAGAAAGAAAGGGCAGATGGCTACTATGTGGCAATCAGCAATTTCTGTTGTTCCTCCTGACTGGTCTGCCTGCTCCCAGCCTTTCACCCCATATTCCATTCTCCTCAGAGCAGCCAAAATAGCCATTGCTGCTCAAAACTTGCCAGTGGCTTCCAATGCACTCAGAGTAAAAGGCAGCATCCTAGAGTAGCCTCTGAGGTCTTACTCAATCTGGCTCCATTGTTTCTCTGACCTCATCTCTTATCACTTTTCCTGCTCACCCTTACCTATCCTCATTCATCAGACAAGACAAAAACTTGCTCCTCTATTAGGACCTTTGCTTTCACACTTCCCTCTGCCTAGAAAGTTCTTTTCCACACCTCTGCATGGCTTGACTTTTGACTTCCTCCCAGTTTTGCTCAATGTTGCCTTATCAGAGGAGTTTTCTGGGACTACTCTCTATGTAATGCACGTGTGCATCCACATTCCTTATTCTCTTGACCTCTTTAGCTTTCTCCATGGAATGTACCATAATCTGAAATGTTAGTATTTTGTATGTGTTGTATATTTCTCCCCCCTAGAAAACAAGCATCTTGAAGGCTATGATTTTGTCCCATTTGTTTATTGTTTTATCTCCAATACCTAGAATAGTGCTCACAGGTAGTGATCACTCAAGAAATATTTGTTGAATAAAAAGATGAGTTTTTTATAGGAAGAGTCTGATGTTCGGTGAGTCAAATCTCATTGATTCCGTGGTCGGCCAAGTGCGGATGAGACGTGGAGGTCCTAGAAAGTAGGCCTCCGTGCTGCGAGAACATTCAGATAATCATCAAAAGAATTGTTTGCAGTTGAAGATGTATTCACTGAAAGAAAGGGTGAATGAATGAATGAGGCCCTCACCACCTCCGTGACCCCTAATTAGCAATGCAGCTACTCCCTGTGATCATGAACGCCTCATGGAATCATAAAAGAGATGAGTCTATTGGCTTTGCCTGGTGTTGCCATTCCCCTTGGCAGAGAGGCTGCTGCTCTTTAGGACTGCTGTTCATTTCAGGGATTGGGGCCATCAGTCTCTTGGAGAACCAAGCTGTCTGAGCTTTGACCTTGGAAAAGAAAGAGAGAAAGAAAGAAACTGGAGAGTTGCTCTGGTTTGTGGGGCAGAAATGCACTGAAAACCATCTGGGAAGGTAGTGCTTGCCTTTGCCTGAACAGTGTCTCAAAAGCATATCTGACCAGAGTGTATGATCTAGAGGCACATTTGGATGGGAGGATTATAAAAACTGCACTTAGTAGCCAATAAGCTATTGCTTATATTTAAACTCCTATGCAATGACACAACTTTTGAAAACTCAGCTTTTAACTTATGCTTAACAACAACTGTATTTCAAGTCAAAAGTGCACTGCACAACTGGTCCCTGAGACTGGCCAGTGTGACACTATTAGCCACCTAAAGCCTCTTTTGGAAACAGTCTCAGTACTGTCTCTATTTTTCCTGAAGTATAATGGACCATTAGTATAAGCAGAGGGAAAGGAAAAAAAAAAAGTCAAATACTTACCGGTGGCTTTCATGTTATTCTCAGTTGCCTCTTACCCTGCCATGAGTAGAATCTATACAGTTGAATCTCTGACTAACCTTAATTCCTCATTTCCAAGATCCTTGTCAATTTACAATGTTAAGCTAGTGCTCTTCTCATTTTAGAGGTCATTGTCTGGTGTTAATGCATAAACGCTGAAATCGATGTAGAAGTGATATCCTTTTTCCTTCCTTCCTAACAATGTCATTAATCCTTGTTCAATGGGCACATTACATATCTTCCTGTCCTTTTAGAAAAAAAATATTACTCAAGCTTTGCAAAGTACTTTAAAATAATTTTTTGAAGAACAGCCAAATACTAAACTATGACGATAAGAGTCAGCCCTCTAGTGAAGAATCTTAGTAAAGATTCCCAAGGTCATTTTAGTAGAAAAGTTAAGAAAATATTACATTGTGAAGCATAAACTTTCAGCCCTGAAAATTACTAACCTTCTGACCTAGAGTCAATTACTTAATCTCTTTGTGCTTTCATTTTCTCTTCTGTCAAGAATGGATGATAAAGCCCGTACTCCTGGGTTCACAGGGCTCTGGTCTGGTTCAAAAGCGCGCTTACCTGGCTGGGAAACTACATCACCAGCTGGCTGCTTTTCTCTATGGTACTTGCTGTGAAGTGGTCCAAGACATTATTCCACCCAGAGAAATTGGACTGCAGAATGATGGTACTGCAAACTCTTATTTAAAAAGTAGGCTGGGCACGGTGGCTCACGCCTGGAATCCCAGCAGTGTGGGAGGTGGAGGTGGGTGGATCACATGAGATCAGGAGTTCGAGATCAGCCTGGCCAACATGGTGAAATCCTGTGTCTACTAAAAATAGAAAAATTAGCTGGGCATCGTGGCGGGCATCTGTAATCCCAGATACTTGGGAGGCTGAGGCAGAAGAATCGCTTGAACCCAAGAGGTGAAGGTTGGAGTGAACCAAGATCGCACCACTACAGTCCAGCCTGGGTGACAGAACGAGACTGTGTCTAAATAAATAAATAAATAAAATAAAGAGCAGGCAATTTGAAGCATGGGAGAAACATGGGTCTTGATCCACAACTTATATGGGAACAAATGTGATTTGGCAAGTAGCCTGAGTAGATTCTGAGCCTCATTGTCATTACCTGTGAGATACGGTAAAGCACATAGCATCCCGTGATGGGATTAAATATATTTTAAGTGTGGGTACATGTAAGTCAGAATACATGTAAGTCAGATTATTTTTAAAGATAAGAAAACTAGAATCTAAATAAATTACATAATCTGCACAAATTTGCATTATTTGTGACTGACATCACCAGAACTCAAATAGAGATTGCGCAAGTCCATCTCTAAACCTTTTTTTTTTTTTTTTTTTGAGATGGAGTCTCGCTTTGTCACTCAGGCTGGAGTGCAGTGGCGTGATCTTGGGTCACTGCAACCTCCATCTCCCAGGTTCAAGTGATTCTCCTCCCTCAGCTTCCTGAGTACCTGGGATTACAGGCACCTGCCACCATGCCCGGCTATATATATATATATATATATAATATATATAATTATAATGTATTATATATATATTTTATATATAAAATTTTATATACAAAATATATATTTTTATATAATATATATAATATATTATATAATATATTATATAATATATTATATATATAATATATTATATAATATATTATATAATATATTATATATTATATAATATATAATATATATAATATAATATATAATATATTATATAATATATAATATATATAATATTATATGTATGACATATAAAAGATATATTATATATAAAATGTATGACATATAAAAGATATATTATATATAAAATGTATGACATATAAAAGATATATATAAAATGTATGACATATAAAATATATATTATATATAAAATGTATGACATATAAAATATATATTATATATAAAATGTATGACATATAAAATATATATTATATATAAAATGTATGACATATAAAATATATATTATATATAAAATGTATGACATATAAAATATATATTATATATAAAATATATGACATATAAAATATATATTATATATAAAATATATGACATATAAAATATATATTTTATATAAAATATATAGTATATAAAATATATTTTATATATAAAATATATAGTATATAAAATATATTTTATATATAAAATATATAATATAAAATATACAATATATAAAATATATTTTATATATTATATATTATATATAAAATATATTTTATATATAATATATTATATATAAAATATATAATATATAAAATATATATAATATATATAATATATATAATATATTATATATAAAATATATATATATAATATAAAATATATATTTATATATATATATATATTTGTATTTTTAGTGGAGATGGGGTTTCGCCATGTTGGCCAGACTGGTCTCAAAACTCCTGACCTCAGTGATCCACCCACCTCAGCCTCCCCAAGTGTTGAGATTACAGGCGTGAGGCACCGTGCCCGGCCTCTAATACTTTTTCCACAATAAAATGGATTTCATTTTGGCCACTGACCTCCTCTGAGTATTCAACAAACCTATGAACCTACCTCCTAGAAAAATGAATGTATCTTCTGTATATAATTTCAGCACACCCATGGACCTTCTAGGGGTCCATGGACTCAGATTAAGAACCTGAGCACTAAAGGCTGTGGTCTCTCCTGAATATGCCTGAGTGCATTTACTAAAGGAGAATCTAATTTTTTGCCCTTATGTCAGAAGAGAAAAGCAGATTTTATGGTACTAAAGCAGTCTGGAAAAAGTCTTTAAAAGAAGTTGGAAATATAGAATTTTTATTCACACATTCATGGTCTTTAAAATACTCCTGGGGTGCTAAAGAGGTTCCAGAATTGGAGCTGTATTCAGACATACATTCATTCAGCAGATCCTTACTGAGGGCCCAACGTGTGCCTGGCCCGGGATTTGCAGTGGGGCCCAAGACAAGCCCTGCTCCCATGAAATTCACATCCACCGTGAGGGGAGATGGATGGCGAATAAACAAATATATTATGCTAGGTAGTGTTAAGTGTTATTGAGAGAATAAGACAGGGTGATGCGACTAAGAGTGATGGGTTGAAAGGAGCAGTCTACTGCAGACTGCGTGGACAGGGACAACTTCTCTAAGGAGTTGACCTTTGCAATGTGACCTAAAGGATGAGAAGGATCTTCCTGGGGAAGTTCTGGGGCACAAGCATTTCATGCAGAGAAAACATCCATTTAAGGTCTTTCTGCCTCATATCTTCCCTAAAATGGAAATAGACTTGGTATGTGCCACCGTGATGGGAGTGGGTCATTGAGAAAACAGGTGACATGAGATGAGGCTGGAGAGGTGGGTGGTGCCAGTCCCTGTAGGGCTTTGTAGACCAGGGTAGAGAGTTTGGGTTTTATTCAAGGTGAGATGGGAAAGGGTTCAATGATCAACATGAGCTGATTCATGTTTTTAATTCATCACTTAGGGTGCTGTGTAAGGTTGGCTTGTTGGCAGTGAAAGTGGCAGTAGGAAGATGAGTCATCCAGTAAAATGGTGAGGCTGGCTGGGCTCAGGCTGGTAATGGGGAAGACAGAAAGAAGTTAAACTCAGGATGTGTTTTTTTGGAGGTCGAGGGTATAAACTTGTCAACGAAGTGGATGACGGGAAGTGAGAGAAGAACTAAGCTAAGAATGATACCTAAGGTTTTTGTCAGAGCACCTGGAATGATGCTGAAGCTATTTCTCTGTTTCTTGAAATGCAGAAAACTGAAGCAGGAGCAGGCTTGGGAGAGGGACATGGGTGGCCAAAGTAACCAAGAGTTATGATCAACTATGTTAAGTAGGCAACTGGATATATGAATTTGGAGCTCCAGGGAAAGGTCATGGCTAAAGACATAAATTCAGAAGTTATTTCTATCAATGTGGTATATAAAATCACATAATTGAATAAAATTACCTAGAGAAGCATGTAGATGGAAGGAATAAAAGATGGCACAGGACAAAGCCTTCAGGAAGTCCAACATGCAGAGGTCAAACAGAATAAGTTCACCCAGCAAAAGAGATTGAGTGAGTAGGCAGAGGGCCCAGAGGAAAACCAGGAGAGTGTGGTGTCACTGAAGCCAAAAGAACAAAAGTATTCCATGAAGGAGAGAACGATCCTCTGTAACAAATGCTCCTAAGATGTTGTGGCAGAGACTCCTGCTTGTCCTCTGTACCCATTTTCTCCATTTTTCTTTTAGTAATAGAAACCACTGAGCTGTAGCTGGACACAAAGCCACTTACATGGAGACTACATTTCCCAGTCTCTTTTGCAGCTAGGTGTGGCCATGAGGCTGAGCTCAAGTCAGTGGGGTGTGAGAAAAAGGAACTTATGCAATCTGCTATACTTGGCCTTACAATATTGGGTGTGCACGCCACCTTTCTCTTTTCCTGGTTTTCCATAGGCTGGAATGTGGACATGGAAGGGGCTCAGCTTCAATCATGTGCATGAGGACAGTACTCCAAGGAATATCAGAGAAATTGGTGAAAGGAACCTGGGAACCTGAATGCTCTTAAGCAGAGCCATCCATCTGCTGTGGATTGCCTACTGCCATTTGGACTCCCTTGTGAAAGAAATAAATTAAATTCTCTCTACAATCACTGTATTTTGGGGTCTCTATTTTAGCATCATAGCCCACACCATAAATAATTCACCTATCAAGAAAGATGACAGACACTTTAGGAGGCCAAGGTGAGCAGATCACCTGAGGTCAGGAGTTGGAGACCAGCCTGGCCAACATGGCAAAACCCCATCTCTACTAAAAATACAAAAATTAGCCAGGCATGGTGGTGCATGCCTGTAATCCCAGCTACTTGGGAGGCTGAGGCAGGAGAATTGCTTGAACCCAGCAGTGGAGGCTGTAGTGAGCCAAGATCACACCATTGCACTCTGGCCTGGGTGACAGAGCAAGACTCTGTCTCAAAAAAAAAAAAAAAAAAAGAAAAGAAAAAGAAAGAAAAGAAAAGAAGAAAGAAAAAAAGATGACAGAGGAAACACCCTGCAGCCGATTGGTGAGTTTGACAATTTCAGAGGTATGACTGGGATAGGAGTAGACTGAAGAGCTAATCCATTCATTCACTCTTTCATTCATTCCACATATTTATTGAGTTTTCATTCTGTGTCATGCACTGTCCTAGGCTGCGAGATATAGCAGAAAACAACAGAGATAATGCCCTTGTTCTCATGGCACATGTGTTCTAGTGGAGGAGACAAAAAGTAAACACATAAACAGATATCGCATAAACAGGTCAATGTGAAGGCCAGGTAGTGACCTGTGCTAAGAAGAAAATAAAGCTGAGATCATGGAGAGGAAGTGCTACTTTAGAAACAGTGCTCAGGGGAGGAATTTCAGAGAAGGGTACTTTTGAGATAAATTGAATAAATAGAAATTAAAGGGAAAGCTATATGGAAATCCTGGGGAAGAGTACACCAGGAAGAGGGAACAGAAACTGCAGAGTCCCCGAGGCAGGAATTCACTTGCTTAAGGAATAGAAATAAATCGGATGTGCTATAGAGCACAGCACATGAGGTGATCAAAGTGCATGAGGGAGATTAAATTGGAGAGAAAAAAAGATGCCAGATCATCAGAGTCTGAAAACAAGGAAAAGGGGTTTCAATTTTTTTGTAGGTGTGATGGGAAGCATTGAAGTCATCATAGGGGGTTTAACCAGATTTTGCATTTTAAAATACTGATCCTGCTGCTATATTGAATGTGAGGGTAAGGGTGAAATCAGTTGGTTGATTCAAGTTATCCAGGCCAGAGATGATGGTGGTTTGGGCTTGAATAGCAGCGGTGAAGGTGGTGAGAAGTAGTCTGATTTGGGAGAGGATGTGTGTACATGTGTGTGTGTGTTGGAGATGGCTATAGAATGGCTACAGAAACATCTTTGAGATGATCTACTATATAGGGGTGCAGAGAAATGGGCAGCAGCTGGGAAGCTTATAGGGATTTAGGAAGTCTCTCTCTCTGTCTCCTTTCCCCTCTCTCTCTTTTAAAGATAGGAAATACCAGATTTAATGTGGTAATTGGGATGATCCAGTAGAAAGGGATGCATTTGTGGTGCCAGAAAGACAGGTGAAATTTACAGGAAAAGTATGAAGCCACAATTAAGTAGAGGGCTTATAGTCTTTAATATAAGCAAAGACACTTCATTCATCGAAGAAGGCAAGATGTACCAGAAAATTTATTGGTGAGAAAATACAGAAAATTTCATGTGGTGGCATCCATTTAATCAATGAAATGTGCAGCAACTGAGAGTGAAGATTTGGGCAAGAAGAGAGGTAGGAGGTTTCAATAAAGAGAACCCATAGTGGCATGATTATTTCAGAGTGAGAGACATACAACGAAAGTGCATAGGATTGCTGAACAGTTTGAGCTCATTTAAACTTGGTGGTTCTGAATTTCAAGTGAGTCAAGTCAGCACCAGTGCTGTGTTTTCTGGTGGCTCAGTTTGGTGACTTGTGTGTAGATGCTGAGTAGGGGTTTAGTTGTGCTTAGACATGGCTGAAGTTTTATTAGGGAAATGGAGAACATGCCAATAGTGTTAGGGATGCTTGCAAAAGAGCAGTGTGATGTTGGTCCCTGATACGGTTTGGCTGTGTCCCCACCCAAATCTCATCTTGAATTGCATCTTCCACAATTCCGACGTGTTGTGGGAGGGACCCAGTGGGAGGTAATTGAATCATGGGGGCGGGTCTTTCCCATGCTATTCTCATGATAGTGAATAAGTCTCGTGAGGTCTGATGGCTTTATAAGGGGGAGTTTCTCTGCACAAGCACTCTCTTTGCCTGCTGCCATCTGTGTAAGATGTGACTTGTTCCTCCTTCCTTTCTGCCATGATTGTGAGGCTTCCCCAGCCACATGGAACTGTAAGTCCATTAAACCTCTTTCTTTTGTAAATTGCCCAGTCTCGGGTATGTCTTTATCAGCAGCGTGAAAACGAACTCATACAGTCCCTGAAATCTAAACTAAGAAAAAAATAAGGAAATAGGGGAACAATAATCCAGATTTTATAGGCCTGAAAGTAATACAATTGAGGGGAAGCCCTGTTAAAGATGAGAAGACAAAATTATGAATACAGAATTAGGTATGAGACAATATTGATTTAGAATGACAAAATTAATTCTAACAAATTATGAATTTATAATGTTGATATTTATCAACATAACAAATCCAGAAAATGTACATATTTTTATTAACTGCTTGAAATGCTTTTATTATATATTTTCTTATATAATATACATATAAAAGATGATATAAGGTGATCAAAGAGTGTACAACCAACCCATTATTATATTATTATATTATGTGTTGGTTGCATACCCTTTGATCCACCCCTTCACATGACAACAATTTTGTAATAATTTTTTAAATTCTGGAAATAGATAATTCAGTCCTTCCTCTAGCATGGGGAATGGAAACCGAAAAAATGTTTAACTCTAGATATCTGGGATGCAAAAATCATGTGATTTCAATTTCACACACACATGTGCTTGCTGTTTTTTTTCTTTGGAGATGGAGTTTCGCTCTTGTTGCCCAGGCTGGAGTACAATGGTGTGATCTCGGCTCACTGCAGCCTCCACCTCCTGGGTTCAAGTGATTCTCCTGCTTCAGCCTCCTGGTAGTTGGGATTACAGGCATCTGCCACCATGCCCAGCTAATTTTTTTTTTTTTAGTAGAGATGTGGTTTCACCATGTTGGCCAGGCTGGTCTCGACCTCCTGGCTTTTTGTAGTTATAGCTATAGGTTTCTGCTGTCCTACTGCAGGAATTTTGATCAATTCTATTTTACATGATTCCCATCATAAAAGAAAAAAATCCACAGGGTGATTTTCTGTACATTACATCCTTGAGAATATTCATTGACAGGAGACAACTTCTGTTTTGCCTGGGCATCACTGAGAACAAAGGCTTCACTGAAGCAATTGCTTCCCTACATTTTTAACCTTGTTTCTTCACTACCTGTTGCTGGCAGAGGCCTGTTGCTAGCATAGGCCACATGGCACAAGGTCTTGTGGGCATAAGTCCCCCAGCCCTGCAACTTTGTGTCACTACATGAGAAGAGTGGAGCCAGTGTGCAGGCAGCAGGAGGAATCCTGCAGCCATTATGACTCTGGCGATTACATGACTCTATTCACAGGTGGTTGTGAACCCTTTATCCCCACTAAACCCAATATAAATGCATTCCCTACTAAACTTTCCCTCAGTGGCATCCTTACAATGCCCACAGCCCCTCCAACACCGTCTTCCTGCAAAGGTGTGATAGGAGGGAAGGCAGAGTGGAAAGGGAAAGGGACATCACTCTTCATCATCACTGTTAAATATCTAAGAGCATATATTGAAGTGTCTCAGTCTATGTCCTTTGCCCGTTTTTTCTCTTTAAGTAGGACTGTCTTTTCTCTTTTGATTTTTAATCGTTATGAATTTTAAAACATTTGCTTGGTCTGTATCAAGACATGTAGAATGGTTTAAAAGTCACTCTGAGAATGTACTTGCCACAAAAAATTATCTGACCAGGTGAATACAGTTCATCCTTGAACAACACAGGTTTGAACTCTGCAGATTTTATATGCCAATTTTCTTCCACCTCTGTCACCCCTTGAGAGAGCAAGATCAACCCCTCTTCTTCTGCCTCCTCTTCAGCCTACTCAACATGAAGACGGTAAGGATGAAGACCTTTATGAAGATCCACTTCCACTTAATGAATAGTAAACAGATTTTCTTTTCCTTATGATTTTCTTAATGTATTAGTCTGTTTTCACACTGCTGATAAAGACATACCAGAGACTGGGCAATTTACAAAAGAAAGAGGTTTAATTGGAATTACAGTCCCACATGTGAGGCTGGGGAAGACTCACAATCATGGCAGAAAGCAAGGAGGAGCAAGTCACATCTCACGTGGATGCCGGCAGGCAAAAAAAAAAAAGCTTGTGCAGAGAAACTCCCGTTTTTTTAAATCCATCAGATCTTGTGAGACCCATTCACTATCATGAGAACAGCATGGGAAAGAACTGCCCCCATGATTCAATCATCTCCCACCAGGTCCCTCCCAAAACACGTGGGAATTATGGGAGCTACAAGATGAGATTTGGGTGGGGACACAGAGCCAAACCACATCACTTAATAACATTTTCTTTTCTCTAGCTTATTTTATTGCAAGAATACAGTTTATAACTCATATACAAAATACATGTTCATCGACTGCTTAGGCTATCAGTAATGCTTCCGGGCAATAATAGGCTATTAGTAGTTAAGTTTTGGGGGACTCAAAAGTTATGGTGCATTTTCAGCTGTGCAGGGGGTTGGCACCCCTAACCACTGCATTCTTAAAGCGTCAACTGTACTTAGCTGGAGCCCCTTCCAGGCCTTGCACCGGCCTGTGCTGGGCAGGGGCCCTAAAACTTAGGCTTTGGTGGCTTCATAATAAGTCTGGCTGGGACCAAAAGACCAGAGGTACAGCTGAATGTGAAAAGGTTACTTTCCTTACTAAGAAATCCAGGCCCTCCACAGCTTCCTTGGCTCCCCAGTTGTGCCTCACCACCTTCTCTTTTCCTTCCCCAGCTCCATATCATTTCCTCTCAGGGACATGTGGTGCATCATGGAGGGGAGACGATGCATGGGGATTGGCTAGAAAGCATAAATCCTCATCTTTTGGTTCACAGTTGGGTCAGCAGTCTCTTTGAGACTTGGTTTCTGCTTCATTGTGGGCTGGGAGTTCCCTTTGCAGGGTGTGAGTGAGGAAGGAAATAAGAGAAATACAGGAGAAAATATAACCTTAGGAATACTTTGCAGTGTAGTCCTGCCACAATTGAAGAAGTCAATTACAATATCTCGTGGATATTAGATTTCTCAAAAGAGGAACAGCCGCATGTAACTGTCATTGCTGGTGATGCCAAGGCTATAACTAAAATTCTCTCAGGTCCTGCCTTACTGGAAGGCCCCTATGTCCTCTTTATTTATTTGACGAGGGCTGTCGAAAAAGCCGCCTCTTCAGAAAGGTCTGCATCACAGATTTACTTGAAACTTCCCCCACTGAAATATCCCCTTTAAATTCTTCCAGGAGGCTGGTTAAAATTGGGCGGATCACTTGAGGTTAGGAGTTCGAGAGCAGCCTGGCCAACATGGCGAAATTCCATCTCTACTGAAAATACAAAAATTAGCCAGGCGTGGTGGCACGCGCCTGTAATCCCAGCTACTCGGGAGCCTGAGGTGGGAGAATTGCTTGAACATAGGAGGCGGAGGTTGCAGTGAGCTGAAATCACACCACTGCACTCCAGCCTGGGCAACAGAGCAAGACTCTGCCTCAATCAAAAAAACAAACAAACAAAAAAGGAACTGTTTTGTCAGAACAAACATATTAACATGGCTTAGTTTCTAAAATCAGCTTAACAGTCTACTTAGGGTACTAATGAAATGTGAGCGAAAATAGGTATGTTTTGATGGTGAAGCAAAGTCTGAGAAGATAAGAACAATTAGTAGGAGAGTGGCAAGTATAACATACTTTTATTTATTGTGAAAATAAATCTAATTTCACAGATTAACCTAATTGTGAACCTTCATCTTATAATTTTGCCCTGTTAGCTGCTGGGAAGTGAAATTTCTCATTAAACAGGAATTTGAGGGAATTTTTTTCTGTCTGGAAATTTAAAGCACTCCCTTAAGATGAAGCATTATTTAAGTAGAATATTTCTTCTTCATTAGTTGCAAAAATGAAGAGACAAACCTAAAAATCCCACTACCAAATTACCATCTCTAGAAATACTAGATAGTGGAAACTGAAAGATATGCTCAAATGTAAAGTTTTCATCCCACTGGAATTTATTCTTCAGAAAGTGGATAATTACATTCCAGCTCTTACAAAGTTGTTCATAATAGGAGATCCTATCCCAATTATTTAGAACCACAAAATATTTTGAGAAAGTCATATAGTTTGAAAATGGGCTCAGTCAATGCTACTTTGGAGTGCTTACAGAATAGGTAGAAAGCCCAGAAAAAAAATTAATTGAAATATAATTTATATACCATAATATTCACCTATTTTAATTGTGCATTTCAATAAGGTTTAGACAATGTATACTGTCATGCAACTCATCCTTACACTATGCTTTAGACCAATCCATCATTCCAAAATGTAATTAATCCCTGCTGCCACTCCCAACCCTCAGCACCAGGGAACCACTGATTTGCTTTCTGTCACTAAACTTTGCTTTTCTACATACGCAAATGGAGACATACAGTGTACCCTCTTGCCTTGCTCCTTTCACTCATATGACATTTTTTGAGATCTATTCGTGTCTTGCATGTGTTAGCAGTTCATTCATTTATTTTTGTACTTTTTTTATTGTGGAAAATACACCTACCATGAAATTTATCATTTTAACCATTTTTAAGTATACAATTCAGTGGCATTATATACATTCACAATGCTGTGCAACCACCACCACTATTCATTTCCAGAACTTTTTCTTCTTTCCAAATGGAAACTCTATACCCATGAAACACTAGCTCTCCATTCACCCCTGCCCTCTGCTCCTAGCAATCATCACTCTACTTTCTATCTCTGTGAATTTACCTATTTTTACCTCATATAAGTCCTGTATTGGGATCATACAATATTTGTTCTTTCATGTCTGGCTTATTTCACTTAGCAAAATGTTGTTAACATTCATCTTTGTTGTAGCATATCTCAAAATTTCATTCTTTTTAAGGCTGAATAATACTCCATTGTATGGCTATTGGATTACCTTTTACTGATCCAGTCACCTAATGATGGAAATTTGGGTTGTTTTCATCTTTTGGCTATTGCAAATAATGCTACTATGAGCATTGATGTGCATATTTGAGTCCAGGTTTTCAATTCTTTTGGGTGTATTTCTAGGAATAGAATTGCTGGGTCATATGGAAATTCTATGCATAACCTTTTGAGAAACCACTATACAGTTCTTTCTTTTTTTATTGGAGCAATTAGAGTGGCTATGTAAAGATATTTCACCATGGTTTAAATTTGCATTTCCTTGATATCCAATGATGTTGAACATTTTTTATATGTTTGGTTTAGCCTCTTATATATCGTCTATTGTGAGGTATCCCTCTAAATCTTTTGCCATTTTAAAATTGAGTTGCTAGTCTTTTTATTGAGTTGTAAGAGTTTTTTTATATTCCTTTTCAAATACATGTTTTACTAATACATTTTCCTAGTCTTTGGCTTGTCTTTTTATTTTCTTTAAAATGAAATGCATATATTTTAAAAATTTGATGCTGGTCCAGTTTATAACATTTTTCTTTTCCATTTCATGCCTTTTATGTCCTATCTAAAATTTTTGGCTTACTTCAAAGTCATAAAGACTTTTGTTTGATTTCTTTCTAAGTTTTATAGCTTTAGCCTGGTTGTATATGTCCATCATCCATTTGGGTTAATTTGTGTCTATGGCATAAAAAAGGAGTATTCATTTTACCTCAAAATATGTTCACTTATTCTCATTCCCCTTATTGAGGGAAAAGGAAACAAAAAAGCTGTCCTTTCCCCCATTGAATTACACTGACAAATTGATTATATATGTGTGGACTTTCTGGACTCTCAATTTCATTGATCTACATGTATATCCCTATACCAATACTATGCAGTATTGATTGCTAATTTTTCTTTTCTTTTTTTTTTTTGAGACGGAGTTTCGCTCTTGTTGCCCAGCCTGGAGTGCAATGGCGTGATCTCAGCTCACCGCAACCTCTGCCTTCCGGGTTCAAGCGATTATCCTGCCTCTGCCTCCCAAGTAGCTGGGATTACAGGCATGTGCCACCACGCCTGACTAATTTTGTATTTTTAGTAGAGACGGGGTTTCTCCATGTTAATCAGGCTGGTCTCGAATTCCCGACCTCAGGTGATCTGCCCCCCTTGGCCTCCCAAAGTGCTGGGATTACAGGTGTGAGCCACTGTGCCCAGGCTTTGATTGCTAATTTTTATAATATGTCTTAAAAATAAGTATTGTATGTTTTCCAATTCTTTGCTTCTTCTTAAAAATTGTTCTGACTACTTTAGGTCCTTTGCATTTTATACAAATTTTAGAATCAGCTTGCCAATTTCCATATACAAGAAAATATCTGCTGGTATTCTGATAGGAATTGCATTGAATCTATAGATCAATTTGAGGAGAATTGCCATCTTAACGATATTGAGCCTTTGTCTATGAACATGGTATATCTCCATTCATTTAGGTTATCCTTAATTTTTCTTAGCAATATTTTGTGTTTTCAGTACATAGGCTTCAAAATCTTTTCTTAAATTTATTTCTAAGTATTTTTAATGTGATTATAAATGGCATTTTTAAAAATTTAAGTTTTAGATTGTTGTTAGAGGATGGACCACCTGAATTCACTTATGAGTTCTAGTAGTGTTTTGTAAATTCTCTATGATATGCTAATACATGATCATGACTTTTTGTAAATTAAGTTTTACTTTTTCTTGCCCAATCTGTATGCCATGTGTTTCTTTTAATAGTCTTATTTTGCTGGCTCGAATCTTCAGTATAATATTGAACAGAAGTGGTAAGGGTGAATATCCTTGTTTTGTTCTTGACCCTTGGTAGAAAGTATTCAGTCTTTCACCATTAAGTGTGATGGTAGCTGTAGTTTCTTTGTTGATGACCTTTAATAGATGGAGAAGGTACCCACTATAGTTTGGCTTGTTTGACTCCTTCAAGTCTCATGTTGAAATTTGATTCCTACTGTTGGAGTTGGGGCCTAATGGGAGGTGTTTGGATCATGAGGGCAGATCCCTCATCAGTGGCTTGGTGCCATCATCACAGTAATGACTGAATTCTTGCTCTGTTAGTTCCCATGAAAGCTGATTGTTAAAAAGAGCCTGGCACCTCCACCCTTTCTCTCTCTTGCTTCCTCTCTCACCATGTAATTTCTGCACATGCTGGCTTCCCTTTCCCTTCCACCATGAGTGGAAGCAGCCTGAAGCCCTCATCAGAAGCAGATGCTGGTTCCATGCTTCTTGTACAGCCTACAGAACTGAGAGCCAAGTAAACTTCTTTTCTGTATAAATTACCCAGCCTCAGGTATTTCTTTATAACAACACAAACGACTAAGATAGTTCCCATCTATTCTTATTTTGTTGAATGTTTTTTAAAATCATACATTGCCATTGGAATTTGTTAAATGTCTTCTCTCTGTTTATTAAGATTTTTCCTAATTATTCTATTAACATGGTATAGTGCATTAAATGATTTTTGAATGTTAACCCTACCTTGCATTTCTGTGATAAACCCTAGTTATTCATGATCTATTATTCCTTTTGTATGTTGCACGTTTCAATTTATTCACATTTTGTTAAGGACGTTTGCATCTATATTTATTAAGTATATTGCTCTGTAGTTTTTTTTCTCTGTGATATATTTTTTCATCTTTATATTGAGGGAAATCTTAGCCTCATGAAATGAGCTGAGAAGTTTTCTTCATTCTCTATTTTTTGGAAATTTTTTTTTTGGTAGGATTGGTATTATTTCTCAGGTGTTTGATTTAACAGTTAATTCATCTGTGCCACAACTTTTCTTTATGGAAAAATTTTTAATTGGTAATTTAATTCCTTTACAACATACAGAGATTTTTTTCAGGGTTTCTATTTCTTCTTGAGTCAGTTCTGGTAATTGGTGCCTTTCTAATAATTTTTATATTACCTCTAAGTTGTCAAAAATATTGATATAAAGTTGTTCATAGTATTTCCGTAGTATCATTTTAATTTTTGTGGGATATATAGTAATGTCCCCTTTTTCATTACTGATATTGGTAATTGGTATCTGCCCTACATTTTTTTAATCAGGCTAGCCAAAGTTTAATTATTTTTGTTCATTTTTTCTAAGAAGTAACATTTAGTTTCATTTATTTTTCTATATTTTTAAATTTTATTAGTTTCTATTTATTGGTTTGCACTCTGATCTTTTAAAAATGTTCTTCCACTTACTTACTTTGTGTTTTATTGATCTTCTCTTCCAGTTTTTTAAGGTAAGAACTTGTATTGTTTTTAGACCTTTCTTCTATTATAATATACTCATATAAAGTTATAAATTTTCCTTTCAGCATTCTTTTAGCTACATTTAACAATTTTCATATGTTGTATTTTTATTTTCATCCAGTTTCAGAAAATTTAAAAAAATTGATTTCTGACACATGAGTTACTTAAAAGTGTGTTAAGTTCTACATATTTGGGGATTTCTCAGATGTATTTCTGTTGTTAATATCTAATTTAATTCCATTGTGGACAGATAATATATTTTTTATAATTTTAATCCTTTTAAATTTATTGAAATTAATTTTATGGCCCTCCATATAGTCTATCCTGGTGATTGCTCAATGTGCACTTAAAAGTTATGAATATTCTGCTGCTTGGAAGTGGAATGTTATAATATATGCCAATGAGGTCAAATTGGTTGATATTATTGTTCATGTTTTCTTTATCACTAATGATTTTCTATTTTTAATATCAATTACTGAGAAAGAACTAAATATACAATGTGTCATAATTTTTGCATTAAACATATATTTTTAAAATTTTAAAAATATTTTTAACAGAGATTCAAGTTACCATCTGATGCAGATTCCTTTCAGCCTAAAGAGATTTCATTAGTATTTCCTGTAGTACAGTTCTAGCAATGAATTCTGTCAGTTTTGGCTTATCTGAAAATATCTTTATTTTCTCTTCACATTTGAAGAGTTTGGTGGCTATAGAATTCTTGGCTGACCTTTTTTTCTCCTTCAGCAGTTTGAATATATCATTCTATTGCTATCTGGCCTCCATTATTTCTGATGCAAAGTCAGCCATTTCTTGTATTGTTTCACTGTTTAGGTGATCTGTCATTTTCCTCTTGCCACTTTCAAAATTTTCTCCTTGTCTTGCAGTTTGACTATGATATTTTTGGGTGTGGTTTTGTTTGTACTTAGCCAACTTGGTGTTTTTTGAGCATCTAGATGTGTAAGTTAATATTTTCACAACATATAGAAAGTTTGGATCCACTGTTTCTTCACATTTTTTTCCAGTCTTTTTTTTCTTTCCTTTCCTTTGGACCCTATTTGTGCAAGTGTTGAAATACTTGATGTTGCCTCACATATGTCTGAGATGCTATTCATTTTTCTCCCATCCCTTTTCTATTTGGGTTTTCTGTTTGTTTGTTTGGTTTATTGGTTGGTTGTTTTTGGACTGACTGGGTAATCTATTAATCTATATTCAAATTCACTGATTCTTTCTTCTGACATCTCAAATCTGAAGGTAAATTTATGTAGTGAATTTTTAATTTCAATTATTTTACTTTTTCAGCTCCAGAATTTCCATGTGGCCTTTTTCATAGCTTCTATTTTTCTATTGAGATTTCTTATTTTGACTCATTGTTAGTGTATTTTCTATTAATTCTTTGAACATATTATGTTGAAGTCTCTTTACACTAAAATCTAACATCTGGACCTACTTGGAGTCAGTTTCCATTGACTGTGTGTGTTTTAAACCTGTATATTTGTTCTGTTTCTCTGAATGCCTAGTAATTTTTAAAGTGAAAACTGGACATGGTAGATAATACACTGAAGCAACTCTATATTTATTTCATTTTTTTCCTGAGGGTTGTTTTTTGTTTGTTATAGTAACTTACCTCTATTCAAGCTGAGAAATGTCTACACCATGACACACAACTTCTGATGTCTTTGCTCAGATTTATGTTTGCTTTTTTTAGCCTCATTCCATAAGTCTTCCTGTGCCTGCATAGCTTAGCAGTTGGCTAATTATTTGGCAGAGATTATACCTAGACATTTTGGGCCCATAAAGCTTCTATCCTTTGTTACTCACGCTCTGTGTAAGTTGAGGAGTGCTTTCAAAGGCACAGCCAATTACAAAGTCCCCTTTGACCTCACTTTTAACAAGCTCTCTGGGTTCTCCACATATGTGTAGTTTAGCAATCATTCAGAGATTTGTGGAGAGTTTTATTTCAGCCCTTCTATGGCTCTCACTTCCAATATCTCACATTTAAATTTCTAGCTGGTTGCCATCTTCCTTGAATTGAAATACTTGATACTGTCTGATAAAGCTACAAATTTTGTGCTCCTACCCCAAACTGAATCTGTCATCTCCACCTGGAAAAAACAGGTTTTCACTACCTGTTAACAACAACTCAACTACTACTGGATAATGGTCTTTACCACTTGAGCTGTGGAAGAGAAAGGATGAGAACCCTTTCAAGTAAGAAGCCCACAGTCTTGTCGGTCTTACTTCATGCAGTAGCAGTTTTTCATGAGTAGATTTTCCTTAATTTGCTGTCTGCCTTTGGTCATCTTCTAGTACCTTGTGATGGTTGTTTTGAATGATTTTGTCCAGTTTTTGTTGTTGTTGTTGTTGTTGTTGTTGTTGTTGTTTTTCACTAGTTTTCTGCTTGGAGACAGGAAAGAAATTTAACACAGACCTTGTCATCCTACCTAGGAACTTACAAGTATAACTACATAATTGCAGAACCTCAAACATTTTTAAAGAGCAATACTAAAAGTGATTTGGTTGTGAAGATCTTACAAACACGTAACCTACACGATGAACAACAACAGCAGCAAAAGTCTATCCTAATGTTTTGCAAACAGTGCCATTGATTATCTACAGGGAAGCCTTTCTCTCTACTTCTTCCTTTCTAACAGAATCAGAATGTGTTCACATATTGTAAGATGTATGTTGCATATGTTTCTTCCCAGTTTTAAGGGATGACTATTAATTAATCCTAATCAATCATGATTAATATCCATTTAGAATTATCATTATAAGTATGGTTTTATGATAAAACCCTGGCCAATGAAATAAGAGGAGAAATCTGCCAGGTGGCTTCTGGAAAGGTTTTTTTCTTTCTCATATAAAGGGACATAAGACAGAAATGCACTCACTGTCCTACTTTCAAAAGATTTTTGATGAAGATATAATAATTGAAGCTGCTCCAGGAGGACAAAGCCAAGGACTGGCTTGGTGATATGATAGGATTACTAACCATCCCAGTTTACCTGACACTGTACCAGTTTTAGCACTGAAAGTCCTCTGTCCCAAGAAATTTTTCAGCCCTGGAATAACCAGAAGAGTTGGTCCCCCTACATTGCTCTGCTACTGAATTGACCAACCAACACTGGTGTGACCCTACTATCAGACTTCTTAAAATATGAATAATTAGTTTGCTGTTCTTTAAGCTATCTCTAATTGAATAGGCTATGATGTACAGCGAAAAGTGTCCTATTATAGTACCCAAATATAAACAGCTTTAACCAATTCATCCTTGTATACCCATTCACAACAAGTTAAAATAAGTCTGCCCTAGGAACTTTTCTTTTCTTTTTTAAGAGGGAATGGAGAAGAAGATGGTGAGGAAGAAAAAGTGGGGAGACAGGCAGGTTGGGAGACAGGCAGGGAAGAAGATGGGCATGGGAAGAAGACAGATGGGAGAGGGAGTGGAGAAGAAGGCAGTGAGAGGGAAGAAGACAGGGAGAGAGAGCAGAGGGAGGGAGCTAAGGAGAGGGAGCAGGGAAGGAGACCTGGAGAGGGAGCAGGGAAGGACTACAGGAGAGGGGGCCTGCTCTAGGAACTTTTGATGCATACTAGAAATGTACGTCGTAATTGCAGTGGTGGCCAGTATCAGTTACCCATTGAGAGAAAATAAGCTGTGTGAAATCAAAGACCATATCCATCTTGCAAGGAGCTGTATTCCTCATCATCCCCAGTCCTCAGCCCATGGAGGTAACCAATAAATATTTGGTGAATGAATATTACTCATTACTTTTACTGAAAATTCTCAAGCTAATAGGAAAGTGGCCCCTGGTGCCAGTAGAGTGAATTAAACAGTGAAGTAAACTTTAAAATATTGATTTGTAGACAAATCTGGTAAATCTGGTATATCACAAATCAGAATGGGCCAGAGGATCTGAAATCTTGTTGAGGAAGGGTGAGTAACAGAGGGAAATCAGGAGAGTAACAGAGGGAAGCCGGCCTAGAGTCTGAGAGTTTGGGGGTGAGGAAAGAGGATATGGCTCATGAAAAACTCTAGATATTGATATAAAAGTGTACATTTAAATAGAGTTAAAGTTTGTGGGTAACTACAAGTCAGATAATGTATAATTTTAATTAACTATGGAATATTGCAATATGATCAGGAAGGGTAGACTTCAGTTTTAACTGAATGATGCAGATGGTGAATGGAGCTGCAGCAGGGGCAGCCACAGGTCCATGGGAAAAGGGCAAAGTGATCTCACAGTGAAGATTGGGAGCGGACAGCCAGTCCGGATGGCTGGCTGGAGACCCTGGCAATGGCTTGAGGGTGCAGCCAGCAGGAGCCAAGGTGAGGCTGAGTCAGCCAGGGGAGTGGTGCTGGGAGCAGGGTTGAGCCAAAGGGACAGATCATGAATTCAACAGCTACATACTTCAGCTTCAGGGATCAGCTGGGTGCCCAGCAAACTAGTGAACAGGGCACTGCCTCAGAGGCAATGACTAGAGGACACCATGCTTAAGACCCTGAGTTCCCTTTCTCTGCTCATATCCTTGCTTTATCTTATAGGAAAGGCAGGGGAGGGGAAGTCTATCTGAGAGGCAGAACTGTTTGATTTAATAGAGAGTCAACATAAAACACCAAACTGGACTAAACTTTAAACCAGATTGGACATTTCACTATTTTTTTACTGCTAGCCAGTGATTGGGAGCTTATGAGGAAGACTGTAATAGATATAGGCTAAGTAAAGAAGTCTTATTTTTTCCATACATGAATTGTTGTTAAGTTTTTTGGCCCTCCTCCCCCACATACATATTCCATGTGGACTGTAAGAGAAAAAGAAGGAGCGTGGCTTTCCAGGAAAGCTGGAGCTGGAGAGCAGAAGCACTGGAGCAAGAATGAAATCAACAGACTTCCTGGATTACTCAGAATGAATGTCTCTGAGGCCGCAGCAGTGGGAGTTTTGATCCCAGAAAACACTGGAGCAAATCTGAATCTGCTTTGGTGATTGAATCCAGGGCTGTTCGTCTGTGTTATTCTGCTTCCCTCTGCTCCTAACCTCTTCTCTTTACTATTTTTCATCATGAACAATTGGCTCTGTGTACATTTTCAATGAGTGTAGCCCACTGGTTGGGTAGGGAGTCAAGGGTTAGATAGCCAAGCTTCCCCTTTACCCTTGGGTCTCATTTCCCGCTCTGGTTGGAAATCCCAGAGTTCCAATGATAACTTGATTTGTACTAAGGCATCTGATGTTAATGGTAATTTCTTCTCCAAGGTATTTATGTGTAAACTTGAAAAAAATCATCAAAATCTAGAGTCATGAATTTGTAAGGTGACAGTTTACATAGTGGCTTTAACGTGTCCTATATACAAGAATAACCTGGGAAATATGTTTGAAGACAGTGGAAGATAGTAATTGATAAGACACCAAGGAGAAGAACTTCAAAAGGACTGGGGACCCAATGAGGTCAATGATGGCCTGGGAAACATTTATAATAGGAGAGGCAGACCAGACTTCTAGACCATAAACAACTCCAATGTCCTTGTCTTAGGGTCTAAACTCTAGCATTTCTCAGTGTGGTCTATGCACAAACCACGTTAGATTCACCAGGGGCACCTATTTAAATTGAAAATTCCTGGCCGGGTGCAGTGGCTCATGCCTTAATCCCAGCACTCTGGGAAGCTGAGGTGGGTGGATCACTTGAGCCCAGGAGTTCAAGACCAACCTGGCCAACATGGTGAAACCCTGTCTCTACTAAAAATACAAAAATTAGGCAGGCGTGGTGGTGGGTGCCTGTAATCCCAGCTACTCAGGAGGCTGAGGCAGGAGAATCACTTGAACCTGGGAGGTGGAGGTTGCAATGAGCTGAGGTTGCACCACTGCACTCCAGCCTGAACGACAGAGTGAGACTGTCTCAAAAAAATAAGTAAAAGTAAATAAAATAAAATAAAATAAACTGAAAATTCCTGAGATCCACTCTTTCTCCCTCTTTTTTTTAAAAAAACTTTCTTTCTTTTTTTCATTCTTTCTCTTTCATCAGTACATATAACATAAAATGTGTCATTTTAGCCATTTTTGAGTATTCCATTCAGTAATATTACATACATTCACAATGTTGTGCAACCATCTCTACTATCCATTTCCAAAAGATTTTTGTCATCTCAAACAGGAACTGCACCCATTAAACTAAAACTCCCCCTTTCCCCCTCCCTTCTCCACCTGTAACCTCTATTCTACTTTCTGTCCCTATGAATTTGCTGAGGCCTGCTCTTGACCTTCCTGGATTGTTCTCTCAGAGCCAGGACGGCAGAACTGACAACAGAGAGGAGGAGAGGAGAACAAAAGAGACAGAGTGATTTGAAATTGCAGGTCCTTCCTCTCTTCTTGTTCATTATAAGCAAATGCTCATAACGTTTTCCGGGATTTTTCAGGATTTTCCCTGAAGCTGGCATTTTCCTTCAGCTTCCTATGAAGCTTCAAAAGGCAAAAGCTCTGATGAAGTCGTGTTTGTATTGTCCTCAGCTAATCACACACGTTGGACCCAGCAGGCACTGAAAACACCATAAACAGCTATTGAATGATGCCTATCTTACTTCAAAAGTAAAATTTTAGCTTAGCTTTTCTTTCTTTTCCTCCTTATCCAAAAGCAGGCCTTCTTACCCCTTCAAAGGGATTTTCCAGGTGAGAAAGAGAAAAGAGAACTAAACACGCAACCGAGGTCACCGCCTGATATGGTTTGGATTTGTGTCCCTGCCCAAATCTCATGTCAAATTTTAATCTCCAATGTTGGAGGAGGGTCCTGGTGGGAGGTGATTGGATCATGGGGGTGGATTTCCCCCTTGCTGTGCTTGAGATAGTGAGTGAGTTCTCACGAGATCTGGTTGTTTAAAAGTATATAGCACCTCCTGCGTTGTTCTTCTTCCTCCTGCTCTGGCCATGTAAGACGAGCCTGCTTCCCTTTCCATCATGACTGAACGTTTCCTCAGGCCTCCGCAGCCATGCTTCCTGTACAGCCTGTGGAACCATGAGCCAATTAAACCACTTTTCTTTATAAATTAAATTACCCAGTCTCAGGTAATTTTTTATAGCAGTGAGACTATACACAGCCTATTAGCAAAAAAAAAGAGAAGACTCTGATGCGAACTAGCTGTTCTCATCCTTCCCTTTTAATTAACTCTTGTTTCTATATCATCAGAACAACATATAAAGATTGTGGGCTGGGCATGGTGGCTCACGCCTATAATCCCAGCACTTTGGGAGGCCGAGGTGGTCGGATCACCTGAGGTCAGGAGTTCAAGACCAGCCTGACCAACATGGTGAAACCCCGTCTCTACTAAAATACAAAAAAAAATTAGCCGAGTGTAGTGGCGGACACCTGTAATCTCAGCTACTTGGGAGGCTGAGGTGGGAGAATTGCTTGTACCCAGGAGGTGAAGGTTGCAGTGAGCTGAGATCGTGCCATTGCACTACAGCCTGGGCAACAAGAGCGAAACTCCGTCTCAAAAAAAAAAGATTGTGGAGAAATCTTTCTTGGCACTTCTTTATAAAAATACACTCCTATTGAAATTTAATGATATTCTGTTAGTACAAAGTTGTTTGAACCAGCTTGGTTTCCATTTTTTATTTTCTTAGGGCTATATATATGTTAATATCACAATTTACATGACTAAAGTGCATTCTCTCAAATATTTGAGAGATTATTTTAAGTAAGAATGTGACAATATCCAGATGACTTGTATCCCATTAATTCACTTACTTGTCCTATCAACATTCACTCAACAAATACTCATGGGATCCCTCTCAAGTCAGTGCTAAGGATGTAAGGACAAATAACCCTGGCTCCATTTCTCAAGTTGCCTGAAGGCTTTGCATACTGGCCTGTTTTTCATTTGAAATCTTGCCGTGCTTTGTATTTAAGAATGACAAAGGAGGCTGGGCATGGTGGTTCACGCCTGTAATCCCAGCACTTTGGGAGGCTAAGGCAGGCGGATCACGAGGTCAGATAGAGACCATCCTGGCCAACATGGTGAAACCCCGTCTCTACTAAAATACAAAAAATTAACCAGGCCTGGTGGCACGCGCCTGTAGTCTCAGCTACTCAGGAGGCTGAGGCCAGGGAATCGCTTGAACCTGGGAGGTGGAGGGTGAAGTGAGCTGAGATGGCGCCACTGCACTCCAGCCTGGCAAGGCAACAGAGCAAGACTCCGTCTCAAAAAAAAAAAAAAAAAAAATGACAAAGGACCAATTAAATAACTTAGTATTTCTATGATCCTTTCCACAAGGAAGCTTTAAAATTTAATTTCTGTTTAGGGTATTCATATTCCTCTCCTCTCCCCTAATCAAACCACACATTCCTCTGATTATTATGTTTTCAACATGATGCGGTAACACAAAGTACATCTCAGTCAAAGTAAAAGTTCTGCAATCATTCATTCATCAAGTACTTGTTTACTATTTTGGGTCAGGCACTGTTCCAGCATTGTGCAAATAGAGTAGTGAAGAAGGCAGGAAAAGACTCTGCCATTCAGGAGTTTCTGTGCTCCAAGAGGAGGATGACACCACTAGCTGCTTGTCCAGTAACCTCCTGCTGCCTTATTCTTAGCTATTAGAGCCCTAATGTAGTACAGGGTCATAATGTGCACCACTGAAAATATCTGCTTAATCTTCCTCTGACTTGAGGATAGCAAATTGACCCATTCTGGCATAAGTCTAAGTCATCAGATAGGACTTCTTTAAAAGATTTCAAAGTCATGCTCCTTTGCCTTTTGCTCCTCACTCTTCATCCTCCTTGCCTAGAAACATGAAAGTGATGCCTGGAAGTGGAGCAACTGTCTTTTCTTGTGGATATGAAAGCCACACTCATATAGAGAGGGAGCAGGGAGCTGGAAGAAACCTGGTTTCTTGCTGCTGCCAAGGGAGCAATGCACCACTTATTTAGAGATATATAAGTGCCTCCTTGGTGGTAGGGTTTCTGTCATATGATGTCAGAAACCCTACAACCAGTTAGGGTGAGTCTGATTGTTGCAGGTTGGGGTCCCTAGAGGCAGACTCTGAAGCAGTGATTTGCATGCAGAAAGTGTATTAGGGAGTGTCCTTGGGACAGCACCTGTGGATCATGCAGAGGGAAAAATTCCAAGCCTGGGATGGCCTTTCAGCCTTGTCTCAAGGTGGATAGATGGGGCTGGGCCTTTATATATGTGCAATGCCTAGCCATTGAATGCAGGTGCCCAAGGAAAGGAGTATGACTTTAGTTGAGACAACTCTTTCCAGATGAGTCAATTCCTAAAAAGGGCTGACAATGGAATGCTGTCTGTGGACAGCACTTTCAGAAACATGGGAAATAAGTTCTTCATTCCTAAAAGAGAATCAGGGAAGCACATTATAGCACCCACAGCTGTCCATCATATATGCCACTCGAATACACTTATAAATGCAAGTTTCACAACCAGCCCCCTTGGATACCATCAAGTCTCTTTTCCTGGGAGAAATTTGTAAGCAAAAGGTTAACAGGGTAAACTATAGCCCCAAAAATATTTAATAGAAAGGAAGAGCTGCATCTGTTCTTGGAGTTGCCACTGAAGCTCTTTAAATCCTTCTTCTATTATCCATTTTACATTCCCCTTGCCTTCAGCTGGCATGTTTGCTGGTCTCAGTGGCTTACCTGGTAGTGTGACCCAGATCTGCACCACTGAGGGGTCTGAGCTGCTGGTCACCATGACTTACTCAGGCCACCACTGCAGCAATCACCCTCAAAACCAGGTGAGGGACTACTGAGAGATGCTTAAGTGGATCACCAAGTACCAAACACCTTCTTTCGTGCCCTTATTATATAAGAGCAGCCAACCTTCTCCTAATGATCAAGGTCCATTTTCCGTAACAAGGCAGTCACTCCTTTTCTTTCCTGCTGGTCCTTTGGCACATGAAGCCTTAGGTGCCTAGACAACAGCCATAGCTTATAAATCAATGGGACTAATGATGTGTTCCTTGGTAGAAGCATTTCTGTTTGTGAATTAGAATCTCTAAACCCACAGAGCACAGAATTGCAGAGACAAGAAGCACAGATTCCCCAACTGAGGCTGATGCTAAGCTAACATGATCATTGAGAGAGTGTTTAGGAAAGTCCGTTCTGTGAAAATGACAATTATACTGAGAGCTAAAGGATGAGAATGATGCAGTCAGAAGAGCTAGACAAACACTTTCTTAGATGGCAACAAAAAGAAACCGCAAACAAAAAATCTAAAGTCAGAACAAATTTAGTTTATTACAAATCAGTGCATCTGTACTGTAGAGAATGTGGGGAAATGGGTAGAAAGTGGACTTGGAGAGATAGGCAGAGGCGAGATTATGTGTGATCTTTGAGGTGATAGTGAGGACTTCACATATCTTCTAAATATGAGGCAAAATCACCAAAAAGTTATAAGTGGGCCTAGCGCAGTGGCTCGTACCTACAATCTCAGCACTTTGGGAGGCCGAGGCAGGTAGATTGCTTATGGCCAGGAGTCCGAGACCAGCCTGGGAAACATGGCAAAACCCTATCCCTACAAAAAAAAATACAAAAATTAGTCAGACATGGTGGTGCATGCCTGTAGTTCCAGCTACTTGGGAGGCTGAGGTGGGAAGATCATCTGAGCCCGGGAGGTCGAGGCTGCAGTGAGCCATGATTGTACCACTGCACTCCAGTCTGGGTGACGTTAGATGCTGTCTCAAAAAAAAAAAAAAGTTATATGCAAAATAATGTCACCTTCTGGATTACAGTTTTAAGGGACTAAACTGGGGAAAGTTGGGGCACATAGCTGGCAAGAAGCTACTGGTTTTTAATTTTCCTAAATCCCCTCATAAAAGCCCACAGCAATTAGGATAACAAGCACATAAAACCCGGACAATATCTATAACAAAACTAAATGAAAAAGTAACCTCATTAACTTCAAAATATAGGTGAGTTCTATCCTGACAGCTTCAAAATATGCATAAAATCAGCGTTTATGAAGGAGAAAGCAGATGGAAACAATGGTACAACTGATGGACTGAAGAAACTTCAGAATAACCACAGGGCTCACCTGCAGCTCCAAACGTCAATCTGAGAATGGTAGCTAACACTGGGAAGAGTTTTCACCCTACAATAGCAAGCCAATTGTAAGGCCTTAAGTTGCTACAGTGGTCTGGACCTATGAACCCTTAAAACTAACTAGCAAAAGCCCCCTTCCAGGACAACACCCCACATAGAGGTGAAATTCTTGGAAATCAAATCAAAATTGAGCAGGAGAGGGTCAACAGAGACCAAGGAAAAAAGAAAGTCTGGCTAAAAATAGCAAGAGGGAACAAAGCCATGAAATTTCAAAATATAAGCAATTGTACAGTTGTTCCTGGATATCCATGTGGGATTGGTTTCAGAACGTTTTGAGAATGCCAAAATCTGCAGATGCTCAAGTCTGATGTAAAATAGCATAGTATTTGCACACAACTTATGTACATCCCATATACTTTAAGTCATCTCTAGATTCCTTATCATACCTAACAAAATGCAAATGCTTTGTAAATAGTTGTTATACCATATTGTTTATGGAATAATGACAAGACAAAAAGTGAACATGTCAACACAGATGCAATTTTAAAAAATATTTTCAAAAAGATATTTTCAGTCCTTGATTGGTTGAGTCCATGGATGTAAAGTCCATGGATACAGAGGGCCAATTGTATTTTCAAACATATTACAAAACAACAGAAGAGGAAGATCTAGGATCCATGAAGTTGGAAACATTAATCTAAAATTCAAAAAATTAATTTCACATAAAAATGAGCAAGATAAAGGAATTAAGGTCATATTAAGGGGAAAAGAAAAAAATGCAAAATAGTATTCCTAAAAACAATGAAAGCATGCCAAAGAGACATGTGCACAAATAGATGAAAAATATAAACTGATATTTTACAACACTATAAAAGACATTTAAAAAATGATGCAATATCTGAAAGGACAGAATAGAGCAGAAGAAAATTCAGGAATGAGAAGACAGAACTCAGAAAACAAGTAAAACTTCTAAAAAATTTATTTCTGAAATAATATCTAAGCCAGAAAAAAGATAATGAATAAATAGAATAGAAAATGCTTTCAGAAAAATTAAAATTAAGAAGAGTAAAACTTTAATATAAAAGTAATGGAAGAATAAAGAGGTAGAAAGGGTTATAAAGAAAGCCACAGATACAGAAGGCAGGCAAGAAAGATCCAACATACATGTAATAGGAAGCTCTAAAGAAGAAAACCAAATTTAGGGAACAGAACAAACAATAAAAACTACAAAAAAGAAAGGAAACATTTTCTTATTCTAAGTAACAATAAAAAGATTAATACTACATATTGAAAAGGTACAGTGAATCCTCAGAAAAACCAACTCAGAGTGACCAATATTAAAATAGATTCGAATTAAATAATTGGACTTAAAAAATTCCTTGAGCACTTCGCAAAAGGCCGGGTCACCTACATGAAGGAAATAAAATAGATTGCCCTATAAAGGTTTGACAGCAATGCTTTATGCTAGAAGAAAAATGGAATATAACATTTAAGATGCTCCAGAAGAGGAAATGTGGATCCAAGAATTTTATATATAGCTAAAATGGCTGCCGAGTGTTAAAGACCACAGACAAACTATGATCAAAATTTAAAAATTCAGAAAATACTGTTCTCATCAGTTCTACCTTGAGAAACTGGAGAATCATAGAAAAAAAAATCAACATAAAGTTAGTGGTAAGCTCTAAATATATAATTATATGGAGAATTAACAGTAACTGAGAAATGAAAGGAAGAAAAAAGTAAGTTAATATAACTTCTGACAATACAGAAATAGAATAACTAAAACGAATGGAAAGAATTCTCAGAAAAATAAACGTAAAAGTATTTTCAGAACCATATTGCTAAAAACATGATATTGTTAATCTTAGATTGTTTTATGTGTAATTTAGAATAAGCCAAATGAGTAATTATGTGAAATTCTCATTTATCATCCCCATTCTTGACAACCAGGATGTGTGGTATGGGTGAACGGAGGAACAAGTTTCATATTGAAAAAATTAAGCAAAACACCCTGTAGTTTTGAATTTAGAAGCCCTGTTACCTTTTAGTGAGAAACACTATATCTAAATCAACATTGCTACTGTTGGTCATTCTTTCCAGGTTTTTTCAGTGTTCAAAAGTAGAATATATGTCTTTTCCTGATTACACAATGTAAACCTTCTGGATCTTAAATGTCACTCCGGGAAGTCCCATTCGGGACTTGTATAGTCCTGAATGGACTGAGTTTGAAAATATTGAGAAAATCTGAAGTGACTAAAGAAATCTGGAATTCAATTTTCTGAATCATCAGTGGAATGAGAGTTAGAGGCAAAACTCATTCAGTTACAGAAAAATAAGTCTATTTTCTCACACCAGCATTTATGATTGTAAATTTTGTTTCTACAATATTTCTGTTACCACAATGAAAAATAAGGCAGAGTCACCAATTGAGGGTGGGGAGGGATAGGGTGCATGGGCTGTTTAAGCAGAGAAAGAAGATTTAAAATATTATCACAGAGGAGAATAATAAACTTACTAGAAAACAGGGGTACTGAGCAGTATTGAGTGCCTTTTGAAGTTTGTGGCTATGAATAAAATGTCAATTGTTAAGCTGGTTGAAATGACAGATTCAACATTTTGCAAGTAGAAAGTTGATCTAGTCAGGGTTAACCAGTGAAGTGCTGTGTTGCAAGAAGGTGAGACAGGCAAAATTGATGAGAGTAAACAATTTTGATATGTCATATTTTAGCATCTTAGAATAACATGAAAAATGTAATGTTTCAAAACAAATAGAAGCACTGGGTGCAAAATTTCCTCAAAGACTGAGCATGGTAGCTCACATCTGTAATCTCAGCACTTTGGGAGGCCAAGGCGGGTGGATCACCTGAGGTCAGGAGTTCGAGACCAGCCTGGCCAACATAGTGAAACCCTGTCTCTACTGAAAAAACAAAAAATAGCCAGGCGTGATGGCAGGCGCCTGTAATCCCAGCTACTTGGGGAAGCTGAGGCAAGAGAATCACTTGAACTTGGGAGGCAGAGGTTGCAGTGAGCCGAGATTGTGTCACTGCACTCCAAACTGGTGACAGAGTGAGACTCCATCTCAAAAAAAGATTTCTTCAAGGAGGTTATTTTTAAAAAATAGCCACTGCATACATTGCAGAAGTATGAGCAAAACTGGAAAATAATTTTGTTACCTCTATTGTGTAATTTAAAAACTTATGTTTAATTTTATGCGTGAATTTTCATTGTGAGTTAGAGAAATTGCTTTGAAGTTAATGTGTATTGGGCTTAAAAATTCAATGTTTCATCTTAATGAATGTAATTTATTAGTAGGGAAACATGTGACTAAAGTAAACTTATTTATTTCTCACATAAGAAAAATAAACATGGCCAGCCACAGTGGCACACGCCTGTAATCCTAGCATGTTGGGAGGCTGCAGCCAGCAGATCATTCGAGGTCAGGAGTTTGAGACCAGCCTGGCCAACATGGTGAAACCTCATCTCTAGTAAAAATACAAAAATTAGACAGCATGGTGGTGCATGCCTGTAATCCCCGCTGCTTGGAAGTCTGAAGCAAGAGAATCGTTTGAACCCAGGAAGCGGAGGTTGCAGTGAGCCAAGCTCACGCCACTGCACTCCAGCCTGGGCAACACAGTGAGACTGTAGAAAAAAGAAAAGGGAAGAGAGGAGAAGAGAAGAGAAGAGAAGAGAAGAGAAGAGAGGAGAGGAGAGGAGAGGAGAGGAGAGGAGAGGAGAGGAGAGGAGAGGAGAGGAGAGGAGAGGAGAGGAGAGGGGAGAGGAGAGGAGAGGAGAGGAGGAAGAGAAAAATAAATGCAATAGAGCATTGCTATGGACTGACTGTGTCCTTCCAAAATCCATATGTTGAATCCCTAATCTCCCATGAGATGGTATTGGGGCCTGTGAAAGGTAAATAGGTTTAGATGAGGTCATGAGGGTACAGACCCCGTGGTGGATTAGTGCCTTTATAAAAGGATGAAAAGACCAGAGCCTTCTCTCTGTCTCTGCCATGTGAGGATACAACTAAAAGGCAGGTATCTACAAGTCAAGAAGAGGCCCTCACCAAGAACCTGACCATGCTGGCATCCTGATTTCAGACTTCTAGACTCCAGAACGGTGAGAAATAAGTGTTTGTTGTTGAAGCCACTTATTATATGATATTTTTCATAGTAGCCCCAACTGACTAAGGTACGTATATAAAATATTTCAGAATTTTGGAACCGGGAGTACAATTAATGCTGCAAATATGTGTAAAGTTCTCAATTATGGAATCCACTATATTTACATCCTGCTTTTCAAAGAAATGGAATATTTATAGGACATTAAAAATTATTCATTTTTTTAAAAAAAGATTTATGAAACATTCAGAGCATGACATAGTTTAATTATACACCCTTCCACAAGAAGGTTAAAGAAAAATACCATTCTTTATTGGCTAACTCTTAGTTATTGTACAAGTCTCTGCCAAATGTCATTTCCTCTGAGAATCCTTTCCTGATCCCCTGAGTTTGGATTAGGTGCCCTTCTGCTGTGTTCTCCTAGCATCATGAATTTACCTCTAGTTGCAGGTTATGGGAACAGCCTGTTTCTTTCTCTCTCTTCCTACCGTACTGTAAACTCTTTGAGGATAGGGTCATGCTTTGTTCATCAAAACATCCTGGCATTAGCCCAGCCCTGCTCCAAATAAGGGCTCTGTGTCTATTTGTTGAATGAATAGATAAATCATCTCTATAAAAGCCACTAGCTCACTATTAAAAGTAATGGGGAAAAACACAGTTACTTTTGCACCAACCAAAGAGATAATTGTAAAATAGGCTTTAGAAAAATGCAAGGGGTGGCCAGGCATGGTGGCTTATGCCTGTAATCCCAGCACTTTGGGAAGTCAAGGTGGGAGGATTGCTTGAGCTTAGAAGTTTGAGACCAGCCCGGGCAACAGGGAGATCCTATCTCTATAAAAAAATAAAGAATTAGCCAGGCGTGGTGGCATGTACCTGTGGTCCAAGCTACTTGGGAGGCTTAGGTTAGAGGATCACTTGAACTTGGGAGGTTGAGGTGGCAGTGAGCTGTGATTATGGCACTGCACTCCAGCCCAAGTGACAGAGCAAGACTCTGTCTCAAAAAGAAAGAAAGAAAAGAAAGAAAATGCAAGGGTTTCCGTCCTAATTTTATTAAATCAAAAGAAAGAGGAAAAAAAAAAGAAGTAAAAGGCTAGAGTTTTTCAAATTGCCCATGTGTTAGAAATGTTGGAAACATTTTAAAAATATTCAGAACACTAAAGCAAAACAATACATTTTGCCAAGAAGGAAACAAGAATGTGACATTAAAATTAGCATTGCCATTCTAGAATTTGAAAGGCAAATATCAGAGGAATTTTTGAGGAGGACAATAAAAGCTTTTGTTAACATGGAATAGAATAAGTACATACATAGTACATACAGAGAATTTGTTGAAATTACTTCATTTTATGCACACAGGCTAGTGAGCCCATTTTGGCACTTTTATTTGTTGTTGTCTTTGTCCAAAATCATGTGCTCTGAGGAAAACTATGAATTGCTTTAAACATTAACAGATGCTGGATTTAAAGAGTGATCAACTTCTAAACTGCTGATTACCATGGAAAAAGTAAATACATATTCTCTGTTCTGTACCAAGTTTGAAGCTATTATACTATGAAGAGGCTTCTTATGTTTGAGAACACGTAAAATATGTGACACAAAAGCAGTGGCTTCACGGCTGTTCATTTTCCCTTTGTATTTGGAATTGGTTGATGTCAACCAATTTTTGCTGTAATGTACCCAACATGATGATAATAGCTAACAGTTATTGAGCGCTTACTATGTGCCCCGTATTGTTCTATAACATGTGCACGTATTAGTTCATTTAAGCATCATAATAACTTAATGGGAAGTATTATCCCCCTTTTACAGATGATGAATTTGTGGAGAGAAATTTGGCTAAGGACACAAGCTAGTAGCTGAGGCATCTGGAATTTGAACTAAAGCTGTCTTGCCCTAGAGCCTGAGTTCTGAGTTGCAATAAAAGCCAACTTGGTTCAAGTTAGCAGAAAAGAGAGCTGTTCAAAGAATAGTGGGCAGCCCACAGAATTTTGGGAATGCTGGAGAGCTAGGCACTGGACTGGACAGCCAGGAACAATCCCAGAAACCCCAGCGCAGAGCAGCTCTGGTGAGAAAACCACTGTGGTGGCCCCAAGCACTGACCACTAGATGTTTGATACACCAGATACAATCAACCATTTCCTTGCTTTTGACATGAACATGCAACAGAAAGTCTTTTACTCTTTTTTATTTTTATAATCAAATTGAATATGTATCACTATTTCACCAATGTCATTCCACTTTCCACTGAAGCAGAAAATTGTATTTATCAGTGTTTAATGAATGAACTGGATCATATAGGCATGGTGGAAATGGTTCTGTATGGTGAAATATTGTTTCTGAGCTAAAGAGGTCAGGATGCGGCCTAGGGGAAGAACGATGTGGGAAAACACTCCGATTTTCCTGTGTTTTAAAATCCTTGTTATATTTTCTCCATCATGTTTGGGGAGCCACTCGTATGTGAGGTCAGGTAACAAAGGCTATTCTTTTTGTTTGTTTGTTTGTTTTTTAGTAAAGGGGTCTCACTGTATTGCTCAGGCTGGAGTGCAGTGGCACAATCATAGCTCGCTGCAGCCTGGAACTCCTGGGCTTAAGCGACCCTCCTGACAAAGGTTGATTTTAAGAGACAAGAAACCCCTAGGAGCAGGGCTTTTATGAAAGGTCAGGTGCAGAGTTAATTACACCCCCTATCCACAGCATGCAGGGGCTGGAGAGCCAATTGTATGAATCTCTTCCCCAATTTCACATTCAGTGACACCATATTGGTGGCTCAAAATAGGTTAATAAATAGTGGGGATATTGATCATAGACCATGGAATTTGGCAAACACCCCGAGAGCACCAATTATTAAACATTTACCAGCAAGAGAACTGCTAGAGTGAAAAATCAACGAGGTCCATACACAGTGTTTCCTTCAAAGAAAACAGCATCTGAAGAGTCATGGAGGAGGATTGTGATGGTTACTATTGAGTGTCAACTTGACTGGATGGAAGGATGCAAAGTATTGTTCCTGGGTGTGTCTGTGATGGTGTTGCCAAAGGAGATTAACATTTGAGTCAATGGACTGGGAGAGGCAGACCCACCCTCAGTCTGGATGGGCACCTTCTAATCAGCTGCCAGCATGGCTAGAATAAAGCAGGTAGAAGAATGTGGAAGGTCTTGACTTGCTGAGTCTTCCAGCCTCCATCTTTCTCCCGTACTGGATGCTTCCTGCCCTCGAACATCATCAGACTCCAAGTTCTTCAGCTTTTGGACTCCTGGACTTACACCAGTGGTTTGCCAGGGGTTCTCTGGCCTTTGGCCACAGACTGAAGCCTGCACTGTGAGCTTCCCTACTTTTGAGGTTTTGGGACTCAGACTAATCCACCACTGGCTTTCTTGCTCCTCAGCTTGCAGATGGCTTATCATAGGACTTTACCTTGTGACTGTGTGAGTCAAATCCCCTTAATAAACACCCTTTCATATATACATTTATCCTATTAGTTCTGTCACTCTAGAGAACCCTGACTAATACAAGGATGAACCTTAAGCTCCCTAGAGACATTTATTTTAAAATGAATAGCTACAATAGTGTCACCAGTGATATACTTTAACAACACATGGAGTTTAGATTTCAATGTATTATAGTTCATAAGCTGAAAATATATTCAGAGTCAAAGAACTCTAAGAATTTTGACTTGGAGGATGGAAAACAAGAAAGAGACAAAAATGGAAGAAAATAATATTCTCAGTAAGCAGTAACAACCAGAGCACTAAACTAAGAATGCATCAATCAAGATGTTACTGATTACTCTAAGAAATGAACAAATCACCGTCAGCCCAATGCATGCAGATTCCTCTCTCCTTCTACTTGAATCTGCTCCCACTGAGCTGCTCCTAACGGGAGGAACAGCCTAGCATCCCAGCACAGTCTGCAGATGAAGACATGAGGTGGTGAGGGGTGTCAGGGAGAACCACGAGCCTTGATGGGGCTAAAGAAGTCAAAATAAATTCTCTACTTTGTAGCCCAAAGTGGTACCCAGTGATCAAGAAGAAAAGCAGAGTTCGATTTTACATCCCTTATGGTTTCTTTTCGGATTATCCACAGGTTGCCTGGCCTTGGTGGAAGTCGCTGCACATCTGTGCTCCGTCTGTCAGATGTTATGGCAATGTTCAATGTGTCCAACAATTGTGTCCTGAGGCTCCAGTAGCCTCCATCACATAAGCCAAGTGGACACAGGGCAGTCATTCTCCAGAACTCACTAGACATGCTGTCTTACCTTGGGATTTCTAGACACATTTGTATGTATGGGAGAACACACCATCACTCCAAACATGAGGGTCAGTGAATGGTGCTTTTCTATTGCAGGCTTCTGGGACTGCCTGGCTGATACCATTCGTGTCTGATGGAGGGAGTCTTATGTGATGGCTGTCTCCCTCTCTGATGCCATTATATTCGCCATCTTGGGCTGCCTTAACAAAATAACATAGACTGGGGGCCTTAAACCACAAAAACATATTTTCTCGATGTTCTGGAGGCTGGAAATCCAAGATCAAGGTTCTGGTGACTTGGTTTCTGGTGAGGAATCTCTGGCTTGCAGACGGTCACCTGGTCACCTTCTCACTGTGTCCCCACATGGCCTTTCCTCAGTGCACGCTCATGGTGGGGGAATGGGGAGAGAGCTCTGGGTGTCTCTTCTCCTAGGGACACTAATCCTATCAGATCGGGGTCAACTCTTATGACCTTACTGTATCTTAATGAATTCTTCAAGGCCCCTTTCCAAATACGGCAACACTGGAGGTTAGGACTTCAAAACATGAATTTTGGGGGGAACACAGACATTTAGTTCCTAACAGCGACTGACCACAGCATCCTGGGATAGAGTGTCACTCAGCATTCTGGGATAGAGTGTCACTCAAGATCTGGAGACAAGTGCTGAGCACAGCATCTCTCATTATTGAATATTAGGATGCCTGTGGATTTTCAGCTGAGTTTTCCCACATAATGAGGAAAGAAGCCAAAGAGAGATATCCTTTTTGGTGCCTGAATAGTCAGGACTGAGGACAATGGGGGAAGATGATACGAATAAAGGTGCGAGATCCAAAAAGGGCGAGTGGGGAAAATTCTACGTGAAGACTTTCATCTGGTCCATTACCCCTCTACAAAGGGTTTTTTCACTCAGGCCCAGAGTTACTCTTGGGGCCGTGTGGCTGGGAGTACAAACAAAGCAGGCCCTGCTGGGAAGTCAGGAAGCCTCTGCCCACATCTATGCTAGAACATCTTACTACAGAATATAAAGGGGAACTTGCCATGCTGTACTGTGGTACCCCAGGCAGTGAGGCCAAGGAAAAACTAAAAGGCTTTTTAAATGATCCCTAACTTTTAAAATTAGGGATAAAAATATCTTTTTTTTAATTTTTAAATTTTATTTATTTATTTTAGAAACAGGGTCTTGCTCTGTTGCCCCAGCTGCAGTGCATTGGCACAATCATAGCTCACTGCAGCCTTGAACTCCTGGGCTCAAGCAGGAATATCAATTTTAAAACAATTAATGGTATTAACATAAAAAATTAATACTATTAAAATATTTATTAATTAATTAAAATTAAGAGTCATACTTTAAAAAATATTTCTTTAATTAAAACACAATTCTTACTTCTTCTTTCAGAGAAATCCCAACTCTGCAACCCCAGTGATAAGTCCCCAGCCAGGTCCTTGGAGTTGTCATGGAAACACGTGCAGTGCCTGCCATCTGAGTACCTGGGTGTTACTCTGGATGCTTTCACTGGGGAGCTAAGCCCGAGACCACCTCAGTTGTGCTTCACCAGCTCTTTCCTTTTCTTTGAGCAGTCTGATTATTTTTGTTGTTGTTTGCTAACATGTGGGCTTTGCCCACTATCTAATTATTACATTCCATCATTACAGAGGCTGAGTCTGGACTAGCTATTTGAATGAAAGGCAATGTTTTATACTGACATTTTAATCAGTGGAACTTTCTGTCATAAAATCTCTATGAGACAGTCATGATTTGCTAAAACTAATATACATCTTTTGTACAGCCTGGCATCTGTGTATAATTGACCGATTTATTAGATGTTTGTGGTTCATTGATTTTCTAGACAGGAAAAAAAATTGGATTGCAGTTTCTAACTGCTGTTTTCCTCAAATTGATCATGTTGGCTCTCATAAATGTTCCCTTTGTGCTCATGTTCTTACTGTTGCAAAAAAGAAACTGTATTATATGCAGTGTGGTGTCACTGGCCTTGGATTTAGAGTCGGAGTTGTTTTTTTCTTCCTCCTGCAGAAGCTAGCTCTTTTTTTGTTGTTGCAAAGTCTTTTAAAGACAGTTTTATTCAGAGAAATTTTCCTTACAAAAGGCTGCTTCTTCTCTGAGTATACATCTCTTCAGTTAAGCATTATTCCTATAAGGGAAATTTTCTGAAAGCTACTTTGCTTGATTTACAATGATGCCAAAAAGATAGAATTATTGACAATTGATTTTGAGATGATATCCAAGACAAAGATGACTTTCAGAAAATTTTTCTTTATGCTATTGCTGATAATAAGACATTTCTGGCTTAGATGGGAGTTTTAGAAAAAGAAGCCACGGTGTTAAAGCATCAGGACACAAAATGATTAAAAGCTAACAGTTGTCCCTGTTTCCTTGCATAAAATACGATGCAACATACAGGGTAAGGCAAGCCATGTTTAATAGACATGAGTTTAGAATTATTGACCATTTTTGGATGCATGGGAAAAAAAAAGCTAGAAGTAAAAACAAACAAGGAGAAAAGAGAAACAGAGGAAAATATGTTTTAATTCATTCGATGAAACCAGCCTAACCTTAATGCCAAAACCAGATGAAGGCATTACAGGAAAGGAAAACAATAGACTAGTATCTCTCAGGAAAATGGATGCAAAAATCGTCAACAAAATATTAGTAAATTGAATCCAACAATGTATAAAACAAACAATACACCATGACCAAATGGGATTTACTCCAGATATGCAGGACTAGTTCAATGTTTGAAAATCATAATGTATTCAATCACAACAACAGGCTAAAGAAGAAAAATTATATGATCATATCAATAGATGCAGAAAAAGAATTTAACAAAATCCACCATCCACTTACGGTAAAAACTCCAAGCAAACTAGGAATAGAGGGAAACTTTCTCAAACTGATAAAGGACATGTACAAAAAATCTACAGCTAACTTCATACTTAATGAAGAGAAACTAGATGCTTTCCTTTTAATTTAGGAAGGCAAGGATATCTGCTCTCACCAGTCTTATTTTAGATCATGCTGGAAGTCCTAACTAGTGCAATAAGACAAGAAAAAGAAATTAAAAGCATACAGATTGGGAAGAAAGAAATAAAGCTGTCTTCGTATATAGATGGTATGATTGTCTGTGTAGAAAATCCGAAAGAATCAGCAACAACAAAAATCCCCTTCTGGAATTAGTAAGCTATTATGTAAACGTTGGCAGATACAAGATTAATATTTAAAAGTTAATTGCTTTCTTACATATCAACAATGAACAACTGGAATTTGAAATTAAGAAATAATGCCATTTACATTCACACCAAAAAATGGGTATAAATCTAACAAAATATGTATAAGATTTATATGATAAAAGCTATAAACCTCTGATGAAAGAAACCAAAGAATATATGAATAAATGGAGAGATACACCATGGACATGGATAAGATTTAATATTGTCAAATATCCCTTCTTCCCAACTGGATCTATAGATTAAATGAAATTACAATCCAAATACCAGTAAAGGTTTAAAAATTTTTTTTAATTTTGACAAACTAGTTCTAAAGTTTGTATGGAAAGGCAAAAGACCCAGAATAGCCAACCCAGTATTGGGTTTCATTAAGTAAGAAAGAAAAGAATACAATCAGAGGCCTTACACTATCCAACTCCAGGAAGTACTATAAAGCTACAATAATCAAGACAGCATGGTATTGGTGAAAGAATAGACAGATAAGTGGAGCAGAGTACAGAGCCTAGAAATAGATCCAAACAAATAAGGTCAACTGATATTTGATGAATGAGAAAAGTCAATTTAGTGGAAAAAAGATAGTCTTTTCCACAAACGGTGTGTGGGAGTGGGGAAGGTGAATATAGGAGCTCTGTATTTTCTGCCCAGTTTTTCTGTAAGCCTAAAATTGCTAAAAGAAATGAAGTCTATTAATTTTTTAAAAATCGATTCCAAAGAAAGGGTAAAGGGAGAGATATAATCATATAACCATATAAACTTTGGGGTAAGACAGAAGCTTTGACATTAAACACATGAACACACTAGAAGAGGCTTAAATACATGAAAAAAAATACTAGGAACATCTATATTTTGTAGTAGATTGGGTCAAACCCCAAAATGGCAGGAAAAGAAGCAGCCAGAAAGGAAAATAACATACCCACTCAAAATAAATGAAAAATAACAACCACTACAAGGCAATCAAATGAGTATTCTAAAGGGCCATGATATAAGCAAAAACACAAATAAGCCTTAAAAAAATCACCCTCACTGAGACTGTGTACAAGCTGGGTCAACAGCCCACTATACAGGTGTCCTATGAAAACCAATTACAGCAGCCCTTTCCAGCTCAGGGGATGCTTCCTGAGCCTTTGCCTCAATCTCAGTAGAATATTTGAAAACCTAGAGGACTCTGGAGCCAGACAGAGCATGTTCCAAGTCTGGATTCCCATGTACTAATGGATGCTCTTGGGCAGAAAATAACCTCTCAAAGACCGTAAACCAGGGCAGTCAAGCAGAGACTTGGCGTCCAGGCCCTCTGGTCACACTGCATGGGTCAAATTCTAGTTCTGTCTCTCCATGGAGGTGAGACCATGAGAATCCAATGAGAAAATAAACATGCATTTTGGCCGTTCATCTGATCTGGTTTCTACTCCATTGCTTACCACATAGATTCTTTCTATGGTTGGCCCCCTTGCATTGCCAGTTCATTTGGACAAGACAGATGATATTATTTTCGTTTCACACCCAGGATGCTGCCTCTTGTCTCTCTTTCATCCTTTCATACAATGCTGCTTCTGTCTCCTGCCCAGGTCTCCGGGTCTCCGAATTCCAGCCAAGAATCAGTGTGCTGATGCTGCTTGCTTTGAAAAGGAGAGTAGCTCCTGTGAACTGAACCTAACACACCAGAATCAAGGCAGCATCATTGTATCTGCAAGATTAGGGTAACAATTATTTACAACTCAGTAGGAAAAGATAAAGAAAACATTCTCTATGTAGTGGCAATGTGGAAGTTCAAACAAAATGAAAATGAAACTAACTTATTTACACAAATAAGAGCCCTAGGCGGTTACTGACAGGCAGCTATGCAGGTCGTGACATAGGCAATGCGTATTGAACAGGCTCCTGAATCTAAGGAAAGTGGGGGGAATACGGCCTCTCTGCCTCTGGCTGCGGGACTACACAGCTGGCAGCCGACAGTAGGAGCAATTTTGCATCTGCTTTTTTACAGCCCAGTGACTGGGCAGGATTTTATGGCCAATAGCAGTAAAAATCTGGCAACTATATATTTGGAGCCCAGAAATTGAATCACCAAAACAATCCAGGGAAAAAAAAATAGAAAAGTGGTAGAAATGAAATTCACCCAATCATTAGAAAATAAGACAAGAGTATTTTTAAAATATAGAAGTTTGGGACAAGGGCAAAGTTTGGCTCTAAAACAGAAAGGGAATTTTTTAAAATGCAAAAAGGCTTGGGGAAAGGAGCACCATGGAGCATTTCCAAAGCTTTAGGGAATGAATGAGACGTATTTCAGAAAAACCCAAAATTGCACAATTGCTTTTGGGAATTAATACAAGATTAAATTAGAGATGTAAAAATAAAGGAACAATGAAAACAGAGTGACTAATTTCTCTGTATGTGAAATAAATATTTGCTTTCTTAAGGGAAGAAAAGAAAAAAGAATGAAAAAAATCACAAGTATTCAAGGAGAAGACTTTTTATTAAAAAAAAAAAACTTACAGCACTAAAAACTATCCCAATATTTATTAACATCCAGCTAATTAAAATCATGACACTAGAGGTCAGCCTCCTAATTCTGAACAAATTATATTTACTATACTATCATATCAGTGAAGTTTATAAGCAGCAGGTCCATGAAGTCATTGCCATTATTATTTTAATTATTGGTAATAACGGTAGTAGATGTTGCTTTTTAGTGAAGAACTAGGTTAGCAGAGTAAAAGGTCTGACCTAGATTCTCTGAACTATTGTCAAGAGTATTTGCTCATGTCAGAAGAATTTTTAACATCTAAATAATTTATTTAGAAGAGAAATTTCTTGTTGAATAATCACATTTTAACAGCCTACTCTCAAAGTTCAAGAATTTTCTCTCTGCCTAGCATTTCTGAGTACAGACTCTGATACCAGGATTCCTGGGCTCAAATCCTACCTGTTTCTGATTTGTTGCCCAACCTTAGGCAAATCACCCATTCGCTGCACCTGTTTCTTCATCCATAACCTCAGGGTGTTAATAGCATGTACTCTATAAGGTTGCTGTGAAGATGAAGAGAGTTAACATAGGGGAGGATCCTTGGAAGCCAGGGGAGGATCCTTGGAAGCCAGAAGTTTGAGACCAGTCTAGACAACAAAGTGAGACCCCTCATTTCTACAAAAAACTTTAAAAAAAATTAGCCAGATGCAATGGCACATGCCTATAATCCCAGCTGCTCAGGAGGCTGAAGCAGGAGGATCACTTGAGCCCATGAGCCCAGGAGTTCGAGGCTGCAGTGAGCTATGATCGCACCACCCGCACTCTAGCCTGGAGATAGGCCTTGCCTTTGAAAAAAAAGAGCAAGACCCTGTCTTTGAAAAAAAAAAAAACAACTCAAAATATGTAAATCCTTTAGAGAAGTGAACAAAGTAACTGAAGGGTCAAAAAAAGAAGAGCAGTAGATCATGGATTTAACTGCTTAAGAAATACCTCTCCAACCCACCCCTTTCACCCTGAGCCCATGCGTGGTGCCCAAGAAGTCCAGATATTCTCCCATGCCCTAGCAGGGTCTGCAGTAGATCTTCCAGGAAGTGCTCCAGAGGAAGCCAAGGAGGCTCTGAAGCAAGGCTGAGAGGTGAATCCTCTCCAGCCAGCCTGACCCTAAATAGAGGTGGGCCTGGGAGGAAACTGCAGCAGTGTTGAGAGGTGACAGCATGCTGGCAGCCCTCATAGCCCTCGCTTGCTCTCGGTGCCTCCTCGGCCTTGGCGCCCGCTCTGGCTGCACTTGAGGAGCCCTTCAGCCTGCCGCTGCGCTGTGGGAGCCCCTTTCTGGGCTGGCCAAGGCCAGAGCCAGTTCCCTCAGCTTGCCGTGAGGTGTGGAGGGAGAGGCGCGGGTGGCAACCGGGGCTGCATGCTGTGCTTGCGGGGCCAGCGCCAGTTCCGGGTGGGCGTGGGCTCGGAGGGCCCCCCACTCGGAGTGGCCTGCCGGCCCCGCCAGTCCCGGGCAGTGAGGGGCTTACCACCTGGGCCAGCAGCTGCTGTGCTCAATTTCTCACCCGGCCTTAGCTGCCTCCCCCAGGGGCAGGGCTCCGGACCTGCAGCCCACCATGCCTGAGCCTCCCGCCCACTCTGTGGGCTCCTGTGCGGCCGGATCCTCCCTGATGATCGCCGCCCTCTGCTCCACGGCGCCCAGTCCCATCGACCACCCAAGGGCTGAGGAGTGCGGGCGCATGGCGGTGAGAGGTGACAGCGTGCTGGCAGTCCTCACAGCCCTCGCTCGCTCTCGGCACCTCCTCTGCCTGGGCTCCCACTTTGGTGGCACTTGAAGAGCCCTTCAAGCCACTGCTGCACTGTGGGAGCCCCTTTCTGGGCTGGCCAAGGCTGGAGCTGGCTCCCTCAGCTTGCAGGGAGGTGTGGAGGGAGAGGCGCCAGCAGGAACCGGGGCTGCGCACGACGCTTGCGGGCCAGCTGGAGTTCCGGGTGGGCGTGGGCTTTGTAGGCCCCGCACTTGGAGCAGCCGGTGGGCTCTGCCGGCCCCCAGCAATGAGGGGCTTAGCACCCAGGCCAGCATCTGCAGGGGGTGTACTGGGTCCCCCAGCAGTGCCGGCCCACTGGCACTGTGCTCGATTTCTCACTGGGCCTTAGCTGCCTCCCAAGGGGCAGGGCTCGGGACCTGCAGCCCGCCATGCCTGAGCCTCCCCCGACTCTGTCGGCTCCTGTGCAGCCGGAGCCTCCCTGACCAGCCCCGCCCCCTGCTCCAGGGCGTCCGGTCCCATCGACCACCCAAGGGCTGAGAAGCACGGGCACACCACGCAGGACTGGCAGGCAGCTCCACCTGTAGCCCCCGTGCAAGAGCTACTGGGTGAAGCCAGCTGGGCTCCTGAGTCTGGTGGGGATGTGGAGAACCTTTATGTCTAGCTAAGGGATTGTAAATACACGAATCAGCACTCTGTATCCAGCTCGAGGTTTGTAAACACACCAATCAGCACCCTGTGTCTAGCTCAGGATTTTTGAATGCACCAATCGACACTCTGTTCCTAGCTACTCCGGTGGGGGCTTGGAGAACCTTTGTGTGGACACTCTGTATCTAGCTAATCTGGTGGGGATGTGCGAAGCTTTGTGTCTAGCTCAGGGATTGTAAACGCACCAATCAGTGCCCTGTCAAAACAGACCACTCGGCTCTACCGATCAGCAGGATGTGGGTGGGGCCAGATAAGAGAATAAAAGCAGGCTGCCCCAGCCAGCAGTGGCAACCCAATGGGATCCCCTTCCACACTGCGGAAGCTTTATTGTTTCGCTCTTTGCAATAAATCTTGCTGCTGCTCACTCTTTGGGTCCACACTGCCTTTATGAGCTGTAACACTCACCGGAAAGGTCTGCAGCTTCACTCCTAAAGCCAGCGAGACCACGAACCTACCAGGAGGAAGAACAACTCCAGACGCGCCGCCTTAAGAGCTGTAACACTCACTGTGAAGGTCCGCAGCTTCACTCCTGAGCCAGCGAGACCATGAACTCCACCAGAAGGAAGAAACTCTGAACACATCGGAACATCAGAAGGAAGAAACTCTGGACACGCCACCTTTAAGAACTGTAACACTCACCATGAGGGTCCATGGCTTCATTCCTGAAGTCAGTGAGACCAAGAACCCACCAATTCCGGACACAGCAGGACTGGCAGGCAGCTCCACCTGTGGCCCCGGTGGGGGATCTACTGGGTGAAGCCAGCTGGGCTTCTGAGTCTGGTGGGGACTTGGAGAACCTTTATGTCTAGCTAAGGGATTGTAAATACACCAATCAGCACTCTGTATCTAGCTCAAGGTTTGTAAACACACCAATCAGCACTGTGTCTAGCTCAGGGTTTGTGAATGCACCAATCGACACTCTGTATCTAGCTACTCTGGTGGGGACTGGGAGAACCTTTGCGTCCATACTCTGTACCTAGCTAATCTAGTGGGGACATGGAGAACTTTTGTGTCTAGCCCAGGGATTGTAAATGCACCAATCAGCACCCTGTAAAAAGGGACCAATCAGCTCCCTGTCAAAATGGACCAATCGGCTCTGTAAAATGGACCAATCAGCAGGATGTGGGTGGGACCAGATAAGAGAATAAAAGCAGGCTGTCCGAGCCAGCAGTGGCAACCCGCTCTGGTCCCCTTCAACACTGTGGAAGCTGTGTTTTTTTGCTGTTTGCAATAAATCTTGCTGCTGCTCACTCTTTGGGTCCACACTGCCTTTATGAGCTGTAACACTCACCACGAAGTTCTGCAGCTTCACTCCTGAAGCCAGTGAGACCACGAACCCACCGGGAGGAACGAACAACTCCAGACGCGGCGCCTTAAGAGCTGTAACACTCACCGCGAAGGTCCGCAGCTACACTCCTGAGCCAGCAAGACCATGAACCCACCAGAAGAAAGAAACTCCAAGCACATTCGAACATCAGAAGGAACAAACTCTGGACACGACTCCTTTAAAAACTGTAACACTCACCACCAGGGTCCACGGCTTCATTCTTAAAGTCAGTGAGACCAAGAACCCACCAATTCCGGACACAGTGTGAAGCCTAAGTAGCAGGGCAGGTGACCCTGGGCTTCGATCATGCTGAAAACAAAATGGAAGGTACTCCAGTGGAGCCATTTGGGCAGCAGACACATTGAGGGCAGGACCCCGTGCCCAATGACTTAGAGGGCTGGGCTGCCCATAAGCCAAAAGTCAACAGGCACAGCAGTGACTGCCTAATAGCCCTCAGACCAAAGGATCCTCATCGAAATGGACAATCTTCAGGAAACGTCCACCAGCACCTAAATGTTACCAGGAAAAGGGAAGGAGGAGAGATGGGCACCGAGAGTCCGAGCGTGGATTCATAGAGAGACTGGGTTATGTTTTAAATCTGAATCAAGCTAGTCTTAAATGGCAAAATTAAGTTTTTTCAACTATCAGTAGAAATGGAGGTTTAACAGAAAGTCAAGATCAGTCGTTAAAAAATAAAGAGAAACTGGCCAGGGTAGCACTTCTCAGAGCGTCAGTTCCGACTAAAGTGGTGATCGTTTCAGTTTGCCCAGGATGGTCCTGCTAGGCGCTTGTCCCAGGGAGATCAGTGGCTCCCCTTTCACTCTCAGCAGGTTTTGATTGAGATGATTTTAAGGTTTCCCTAGTCATGACCTGCTCAATTTCTAATGCTTTGTCTAGGATTGCTGAGGGTTGTTAACGCAGGTTTATACCACGGAATAACAACAATTCTAAATGACAAAATGGAGCTGTGCCTCGAATGGGGTGCAGAGCAGAGGTGAGTTCTCAGAACCAAGAGCAATATTGAAAACAAAGCTGTCAGCTCTCCTGGAGGACCTGGAGAAGAGCTTCACCTAGCATGCAGCCCAAGGTGAATTAGACAGACTGGACTAAATATTTAAAGAAAAGCATTCTATGGATAATTTGTCTGGATTTTTTCAGGATGGTATGATTTTCTCCAGGGATGACCGTGACAAAGTGATGCTTGCGGCAATAACCAGAGCCATTGAAAGACAACCTGGAGCCAGACAGGGGCCAGCCAGGTAAGCAACACACTCACCTGTCCTCACGGCCTCTGCCAGGGGCCCTTGAATGAGGCGAGCCAGAAAGAGGGGGACATGACAGAGGCTGAGAAGGGGATGGAAGTCCTGAGATGGAATTTGTTTTTTTGAAAAAAGTAGAAGGATGAGGAGACAGAGCAGGTGCCCAGCCTGGAAGGCTGTTCCGCAGGGGTGAGGAGACCTGGGGAAGTTGGATTTCACCAGACACAGCACAGTATGCCCAGCACACTAGGGCCCTGCCATCGAGTGCCAGTGTCCTAGGCCCTATTGTTCTTATGGAACATGAGGCTGCAACCCTCATCCCTGACACACCCAGAGACTCTTTGATATTCATTTTCAGAACTTCTCTTCCCCTCCTCTGTCCCAACAACGGAAGTTTTCTAGCCAGACACTTGACTTGTAGGAATTAGACCCCCAGGGGCCCCCACCTCGGAGATAAGTTGGATAAATGTGTTTATAACTGGACAGGGAAGGGGTCTGCTGCCTCCATGCCCAGATCTTTGGCCACAGCAGTGAGCTTATGCACCAGGCTGTTTGCTGAGCTGGCTTTGCCTGGTCACATGGATGAGGACAGAAACAGTTGCCCCAACAGCTCAACTTCCAAACAAGTCCCATCAACTCCAGCCTGATGTTACCAGAAAACCATCTGCCCAGCAAAGGGGGGGCAGGAACCTGTGTCCCCCACCCCCCAACACTGCCAGTCCCTGCTGCCAACCCTTTCACAGAAAGCATAGGGTGAGAATTGTTTACAAGAGCCTGGTTTTTCAAACACCAAGCTACATAGAAATCCTGGGGAAAGGGATCAGGGTTAGGGATTAAGGCCTAAGAGGCTGGGCCACTGGCAGGGCCAGTGAGAGCACAGGGTACCAAGTGCTGCCTTACGCCTAGGTGAGATGGACATTTTTAACTGGACAATGACTGAAAGAATACTTGGCTCTGATTAGGTCATGTGTTGGGCCTGAGTGTGTAGACTCCTATAACAGTGCAAAGTCATCAATACGACACAGAGCAGTAGTCTCAAATAGGATCCAAGAATCTGCACTTGGTGATTTTGAAGGACATTTGGTGTACATGCCTGTATTAGTCTGTTTTCACACTGCTGTAAAGATACTACCTGAGAGTAGGTAATTTATAAAGAAAGCAGCTTTAACTGACTCACAGTTCTGCATGGCTGGCGAGGCCTCAGGAAATGAAGCAAGGCATGTCTTGTATGGCAGCTGGAGAGAGTGAGAGTGAGGAAGTGCCACACTTTAAAACCATCAGATCTCATGAGAATTCAATTGCTATCAGGAGAAGAGCATGGGGGAACTGCCCCCATGATCCAGTCACCTCCCACCAGGTCCCTCCCTCAACATGTGGGGGTTATAATTCAGATGAGATTTGGGTGGGGACACAGAGCCAAACCATATCAATGCCTTTCCTTGAAGGAACATTGAATGTTATTGGAATTGATTTTTGAAGGCCAAAATATCAAAGCTGGAGATTCTCTTTTGAATTGGGGGTGTGGAATCCAGCAATCATGTGAACACAGTCTTTGTCAGCAATCTGAGCTCAGGCCATGCACAGTGGCTCATGGCTGTAATCCTAGCACTTTGGGAGGCCAAGGCGGATGGATCATGAGGTCAGGAGTTTAAGACCAGCCTGACCAAGATGGCGAAACCCTGTCTCTACTAAAAATACAAAAATTAGCCAGGCATGGTGGCATGTGCCTGTAATCCCAGCTACTCAGGAGACTGAGTCAGGAGACTGAGGCAGGAGAATTGCTTGAACCCAGGAGATGGAGGTTGCAGTGAGCAGAGATCATGCCACTGCACTCCAGCCTGGGTGACAGAGCAAGAATCTGTCTCAAAAAAAAAAAAAAAAAAAAATCTGAGCTCAGATTAAATCAAAACAACTTAGTTTTTAATGATGGCCAGAAACAACTTTTTTCCACCTCCATTTGATGTTCTTTATTCATCATCTTACTCATTGCAAATTTTTTTGGCATTTTTATGTTTCTTATTGTTTATCTAAACGACGTCATAATTGATCATTATTGAGATCTATTATATTTGACTCTTCTCGTTTATTTATTTCTTTATATTTTTCCAAGAAGTGTGATGGACTTTGGGATTTCCTTCTTGGGGAACTCTATGTTTCAAAGTCAAGTGGAAGTTGCCTGAGGACAGTCTCTCTTTCTGGGTTTTGTTTTTGAAAACAAAATAATCGAGAGTCTTTGACAGAAGAAACAGAGACAGGTAACCAATTTGGGGGTGAAGGAGAAGATAAGGGATGAGAGAGAATGATTAATCTAGACAAGAAGGGAACAGTAGTTAGGTTTTTAGTTTTAGCAACTGAAGGAGGGTATAGAACCTCAGAGGAGCAGGAGGGAGTGCCCATCTCCAGCAGCTGATCCCAAAGCACTGCACCCTCCTGTCTAAGGGGTGGCACTCAAACTGTGGTGCAGCTCCCAAGGCCTACGAAGCCTTAGGCAAGTGTAATCAATATCAAGGTTGGCCAGAATGGGCCACAGAGAAGTGGAGCTTCCCAAATGTTGTGCCTTGTGTAAGACTATAGAAGCTGTAAAGGGATCCTGGCTGGCAATTGGGGGTGATAGAAAGAAATAGAGAATCGAGTCCCAGTGATGACTGCCTTTAAGTTTTCTATCAGAGTTAGATTTACATGTATTTTTGAAAAAAAAAATGAAGTTAATGGCATGTTTCATTTCTTAACACTTGGTGCAGGGGAATACACATTGATCACACAAAAAGAAAATTCACCAGGAATGGTACAAATCATGGAAGTGCATAAAAACGATCCTAAATCTATCAACATTTTAAATTCAGCTCTTTGAATTAGAGTTGCAAACAACTGTTGAAGCAGACAAATTCAAGTTTCATTTCCAATTGTTATATCCTCCTTGTAGTGGATGCTCCAATGGGCCTTGTGTTTGGAAGGAGGGAAACCAAGGGTAAAAGAGAGGCAAAAGAACAAGCAGCTACTCCGGAGGCTGAGGCAGGAGAATGGCGTGAACCCGGGAGGCGGAGCTTGCAGTGAGCTGAGATCGCGCCACTGCACTCCAGCCTGGGCGACAGAGCGAGACTCCGTCTCAAAACAAAACAAAACAAAACAAAACAAAACAAAACACAAGAAAACTGTCTGGCAGATTGGCAAACTGACATCTAAATTACTGAGAGGGCCAGGCATGGTGGCTCACGCCTGTAATCCCAGCGCTTTGGGAGGCTGAGGGGTTGGGATCAACTGCGATCAAGAGTTCAAGACCAGCCTGGCCAACATGTTGAGACCCTGTATCTACCAAAAATACAAAAATTAGCCAGACATGGTGGGTGGGTGCCTCTAGTCCCAGCTACTCGGGAGGCTGAGGTGAGAGAATCACTTGAACCCGGGAAGTGGAGGTTGCAGTGAGTGGAGATGGCACCCCTGCACTCCAGCCTGGGTGACAGAGCCAGACTCCATCTCAAAAAAAAAAAAAATTATTGAGAGGAGACTAATATTAAGATGCCTTAATGCTTGTATTACTAATATTCCAGTACAGACACGTGACAATTTTGCCATAGCTCTACATCTCAATGGGCTTGGTTTTTTATTCGTTGCTGTTTGTTTGTTTTAAATCTTTGTTTTCCAAATTAAAGATCTCTTTTAAATGATGTTATTTTAAGTACCATTGCCACAAGGCCTTCTAATGTAAGTTGTGTTTAACATGGAATAGTTTCTGACTCTGTGAGGAGTGGAGGTCTGTCTCTTTTGAGTAGAGGCGAAATTGGCATGACTTGTCATCAAGAAACTCAAACAGTTCATGTTCAGCAGAAACAAAGATTATATTTTTTGGTTATAACCTTTTAGGAAAGGTGCTATTGACTTATTAGTCACATTTTATAGTAGCCAGGAGGAAAAATAATTGACTAAAAAGAAAGCTGCTTATGGATTTTTGAAAGACTTCTATTTTCATATTAGTATGTTGAATATTTAAATATAATTTGTACTCTTTTAAACAGATATTTGCTCAGTTTCAATGGAGTTTCCAAAAGTAAGAAATTATTTAAATTGAGGATTAATCTTTAGCATTTATACTTCCTCATCAACTAAGATTATTGTACAGTGTATACAACAAAAAATTCTAAAATCTACAGGAAGATTATTTTTGTGAGAGAGGCAGAATTCTGGAGAGCTGAATGTGTTTATAGGTCATTTTTAAGAGACATTTTACAAAATAATTACTTGTTATTAAGTCATTTGCAAGAAAATAACACCATGATGCATCTATAAGTAAATAAAATATCTGATTATGTCAGGGAACCATTTCACCCACATTTTTAGTACTATCCGTAGTATGTAAGAACTGAATAAGAGTATTTCTGGGACAAAGAAAAAGAGGAGGTTTTTCTAAGAACTTGCTGAGTTAATATTATGCATCTCTGTGCATGGCAATGCAGCGTATTTAGTCTTAGAATAATTTTCTAAGAATTCTTAGAATAATTTTCTAAGGAAAAGACCTTTCTGCCTGAGGACCCAGATTCAACTGGGTTTACTCTGGAGAACTGAGTCTTTACCATGTCTCTGCTAAATCCAGAAATGTCAGCATCAGCCTCTGTCTGCAGGGCTGCAAGGCCTTCATCAAAGCTGTCATGAGGACATAAATCTTGAATGGGAAGCAAGGTGAAAAGTGCTTCAACTCATTGCATTTCAGTCTCTGTGGTCCTTAGAATAGTTTTTTACTGAAGTGAAGTTGAAGATGAGCCTGCAATCTTGTCTTGGTAACCCCATTTAGCCCTTGTTCTGTCAGCATAAAGTACAGAAAGTCCTCATTATCCAAGAATAATTGATACCAGGAAGGATCCACTTCACAGTGAATCTGCACAAAATGGGAACCAAAATTTAATAGTAAATAGAAAATAAAAAAGAAAGTTTGACTAGGATCGTATGAAAAGTGAAGCTAAAATTATGAAAATTGTTTTATATTACATTAAAAACTTTAAGGTTGTAATTGTATCTGTTGTGATAATTCTTAGGATAAAAGAGTAATTAACTACTTATTGCTTTTTCAGGGGTAGAATTTTTCCACAAAGTTATCTGATAGCAAAGTTTGCATTTGTCTTCCTTTGCAAACTAGAAAGAGGATCATTTTTCTTTGCAAATATATTCAAGAATTTCCTCACATTTTACAAGATCTTTTCTTAATCCTTTTTTATTAAAATCATTCTTTTCCAAGTATCATCATCCTTGTCAAATTTCTCTTCTTCAGTTGTCAACTCTTCTAATTCTGTGAGATCCTTATTTGCCAGTGGCTTTGTGAATAGGATAATTCTTTAGTATTCTTTTCAATGACTTTATGTCATCTTATATAGATGGCAAAATTGGCAATTTTTCTTTGAGTTAATTTGCATTGTATTGTAGAATGTTTATACCATAAAATTATCATCAATACTCAGATAACCAAGATTTTGAAGCATGGCTGGAGACTGCTTTGTAAATGGGATCAGGTGATTGTTAGAATTTTCCAGCTTGCTACATCTTTTGCAATCTCATAATATCAGGGACTTGATAATGAATGTTTAGACAATGAGAATACTTCTCTATACAACCTTGAAGTTGAGACAGTATTGGTAGATGGGAAAGGACCTATAGCCAGTTGTTATTAGTTTCAAAAAAAAAAAAAAAACCACAAACACCTTTGCCTCCTATTAAAAAGTAATTGAAAAACCCTGATCTTTACTTTCTTGCTATTTTTCACATTATCAAAGAACTTAACCAATGTGATGGAAAGGAAGCTCCTTTCTATATTGCCACACAGAGACAGCCTGTGCAATGATGAAACACAGCAGGACATTCTTTGAAATACATTGACAGTTAGATTTTATATTAGCAGTCTCTCCTGACACTCCCCATCATGGCTGTTACTTGCAGTAGCATTACCCAGTGTATTAGTCAGCGTTCTCTAGAGGAACAGAACTAATAGGCTAGATGTATATATAAGGGGAGTTTATTAAGGAGTATTGACTCACACCATCATAAGGTGAGGTCCCATAATAGGCCGTCTGCAAGCTGTGGAGCAAGGAAGCCAGTCCAAGTCCCAAAACCTCAAAAGAAGGGAAGCCGACAGTGCAGCCTTCAGCCTGTGGTCGAAGGTATGAGTCCCAAAGTTGAAGAACTTGGAGTCTGATGTTCGAGGGCAGGAAGCATCCAGCACGGGAGAAAGATGTAGGCCAGAAGACTAAACCAGTCTAGTCTTTCCATGTTCTTCTTCCTGCTTTTATTCTGGCCATGGTGGCAGTTGATTAGATGATGCCCACCCAGATTGAGGTTGGGTCTGCCTTTCCCATTTCACTGGCTCCAATGTTAATCTCCTTTGGTGACACCCTCACAGACACATCCAGGAACAATACTTTGCATCCTTCAATCCAATCAAGTTGACACTCAATATTAACTATCACACCCAGTAAATTTTCAGACTCCTGACAGAAATAGCCTCAAATTTACAATGTATAAATGTAAAAGTGTTTAAGAATTCATGGACATCAACATTTCTCTTTGACAGGTACCTAGAGAGAGAAAAGACAGCTTCTGGTTTGGCAAGGACTACAGGAGTTCATTTTGGGGGACCCATTGTTTATATCCTGTAGACACAGGTGAGTGTAGTGGTTAAGTGTGCATACTGTCTGGGTAGGGATCCCAGCTCTGTCTCTTACTAGCTGTGTAATCTTTAGCAAGTTATTTAACTCGACTTTTCCTCAACAAACAAATTATAATAGTGCCTATGAAACAGGATTGTTATGGAAGTGAAATGAACTAATATTTGTGAAACAATTAAAATAGTGAGGACCCATAGGAAGTGCACAAATAATTATTTTTTAAAATAAATGCCCAAATATGCAAATAGTACAAATCATTGATTACTAAAGAAACTTTAACATCAAGGACCATAAGGGAAGCAATTTCTCAGAGGGCTTCTGGTAGCTTCCTATTAACCTATGCAAAATTTCTAGGAATTTTACCAAATTAAGCAAATTATGCAAGAGGTATTCAAATTCCATTTTAAAAAGTTACAGAGCATTGCACGTGTTTGCAACATAACTAATAATCTGTTTTGAGAGTGGGCTTTCTTACTGCAGACCCAGGATAGGTTCAGGGCTTGAGTCTTCTGATGATCACTGTGGATCTACCATCTGCTCTTGGAATTGAACACATGTTTGGGCACCTGCATCAGTTCTTCCTGTGTAAGTTCTAACCACAGAGGCACCACTAGTCTACAGCACTTAAGGGCAGTGGAGTGGGGTGGGGTTGCAGGACTCTTTTACTCTGTCCCTCCCCTGCATTTGACACCCAAGTCGGTCACTTAGTGAAGCCCAGGAACCGCCTCTGAGAGGCTCATTGGAAGCCAGTTTTTATGAGCTGAGGATGGATGAGCATGTAGCATCATGAATGATAATGTAGTCAGATGAAATACATTGTGTTAAGGACCTTCAGAGGCAACAAGATCTATGTCGTTTCCAGTTGAAAAGTCAAGGCATTGTGAACCACAATGGTATTACTCCTTTCATCTCACTGGGAAAGACAGGAAATTAGCCTGGAATGGAACATTTGAAAATAAAGTCTGGGAAGATGGTTCCTGGATCTGCACAGGAAGATATGGTACCTGGACACTATGAGGAATCATCTTCTGGTTGAACTGATTTGACGATAACCAAGCATGTAGGCCCCTCCTCTCTACTCATTATTCTAAATCTTCATTGATAAATCACAATTCCTTACATGGGCCCATGAATTGTATAATACATTTTAATAAAATTGTTTGTGTAATTGGGAGCCCCATAAAAAATATCAGCACAGGGCTGTACACTTTGAGGATTACCCTGGTAAAGAATGCCAGCTTCAGACCTAGACTTCCTTTGTTCAAATCCCAGTTGTGTGCTCTTGAGCAAAGTACCTCATCTCTCTGGGTTGTTTTTTTTTTTCTTTTTTGAGATGGAGTCTCACTCTGTCACCCAGCCTAGAGTTCAGTGGCGTGATCTCGGCTCACTGCAACCTCCACCTCCCGGGTTCAAGCAATTCCCATGCCTCAGCCTCCCAAGTAGTTGGGATTACGGGTGCGCAACTAATTTTTGTATTTTTTAGTAGAGGCGGGATTTCACCATGTTGGCCAGGCTGGTCTTGAACTCCTCTCTGTTCTTTAGTTTCCTCATGTACAAAATCAGAAGGATACAGCACAGGTTGTGGTAAAGATTAAATAAATTCTCCTATGAAAGCCAGTGCCTGGCCCATGGTATGAACTCAATTATTATTTGTTATCATCTATTTCCTCCAAGACTGCATATTCACGTGGCTTTTGATAGTGTTGTGAAACAGCTTTCTTGAACGTTTGGCCATAACATCTTTAAAGCATGTCATTCCATCACATGTTAAAGTGGCCTGTTCATGAGAATGATACAATGGACTTTGGGGACTTGGGAGGAAGCGTGGGAAGGGGGTGAGAGATAAAAGACAACAAATAGGATGCAGTGTATACTGCTTGGGTGATAGGTGTACCGAAATCTCACAAACCACCGCTAAAGAACTTACTCATGTAACCAAACACCACCTGTACCCCAATAACCTATGGAAAACTTTTTTAAATAATAAAAAAAAATTAAGTGGCCTGTTTGGGTCAGCCAAATAAGGTGGAAGAATGAAATAGAAAAAATAGTAAAATAAGGAAAAGAGAAGTACGGGAAAGTATCAAAGCTGAGTAGGGGGGAAGGTGTAGGAAGAAGAGGGAGATAAAGAAAATATGAATGATTATGAAAAATTATTCTTAGCATTTTAAGTGCTAAAAATCATTTTGTGACTACTAGTTTGTGTATACTGGCCCCTGTTGATTGGATCCTAGAACTTAAAGATGGATTTGTTTCTTACCACAAAACAACAACAACAAACAAAAGCAAAATAAACATATACACACAAAGGAACATACAAAAACGCTTTGGAAGTGATGGATATGTTTATTACCTTGATTGTGGTTATAGACAGGTGTGTGCCTATGTCCAAACCCATCAAATTGTATACATTAAATGTTCAGGGTTTTTTGCAAATCAATTATACCTTAATAAAGCTGTTAAAAAAAAGATGAGTTTGTCTATGTTGTCCTTTTGTCTCTCTCAACCGTCTCAAAAATGACTTTTTGAGAGTCAGAGATACCTTGATGAGATTCTACAATATCTACTTAGGATCTCACACTGTCTCTCTAATAATTAAAAAGGAAAAGTATTTAAGCTAAGTAACCCCAAGATAAGAAAAAAACATTGCCCTGATAACATTAAATTAAATTCTGCATCCTCAAACTCTAAGATTTTTTTTTATTATATATTTATTTTTTGAGATGGAGTCTTGCTCTGTCACCCAGGCTGGAGTGCAGTGGTGCTATCTCAGGTCACTACAACCTCTGCCTCCCAGGTTCAAGCAATTCTCCTGACTCAGCCTCCCGAGTAGCTAAGATTACAGGTACCCACCACCATGCCCAGCTAATTTTTGTATTTTTAGTAGAGATGGGGTTTCGCCATGTTGGCCAGGCTAGTCTTGAACTCCTGACCTTAAGCGATCTGCCTGCCTCGGCTTCCCAAACTGCTGGGATTACAGACGTGAGCCAGCGTGCCCAGCCCTAAGTAAGATTTTAGAAAAAAAATAAAGTATCCTAGTTATAAAGGTTACTGGGACCAGGAAGTTACCCTTTTTATTTCTGAAGGAACTTCAGGTTTCCCTGAAATGAAGGAGATACAGACGGGGTCTTAACAGCAGTGAGAATCACAGATAAATATGACTCCATTTATGGGGCTTTAAATTACTTTCCATAAAAATAATGTGGCATTTTTATTTATATATCACTGGGTAATGCTTAAACTTAATGTAGTTAGTGCTAAGGGGCAGCTGGAGTTTTATATATTATTTTTATTTCTGGAAGGTAATCCAAACAAGAGCAAACCACAAGTCCTTCTAACACTGCAATTCCTGCTCTTAGTCTATTCTAAGCACACATACCTCAGTCCCATTGAAGATGCATCACTGAGATGAATTCAGGTTATCCTACGAAAATAGTATAACCTGAGATGGAATGAACAGCAATTAATTTCTGCCATTCAAAAACATCTTGTGCAACAATGAATATCAGTCTCCCACCCCACCTCTGCCCAACCTGCAAAATCATGGTTGAACAAAACACTCTAAATTACATAAATGGACACATAGACTCCCAGGCTCTGCTGCAGAATGTGTTTTGAGATTGCAAACATAATTTAATCCTTGACAATTTCTCTCCCTCCCTCTCGTCTCCACTTTTCTAGGCCAGTATAGATGTTTCTGTGTTCAAGTTTTGTTTCGCTTTGATATAATTTTTGTTGTAGTGAAACAAGAATCTACCTATTCATGTGGGTCCCCAGCTACCAAAAGCCTCCTCTTGAGGGTTCCCCATATGCATTTCACATGTGCTTAGAAATGTGTCTGGCCAGGTTTCAGGTCATCTTCCATCTATCCATTCTGATACCTGTGTCAGTAAGAAGGTCTTTTAGCACCTCTATTTCTTCTTTAATTCTGAGTATTTCCTGTTTCCTTTTCTTATCCCTCCATCCTGTCTGGGCTTCTGGCAGTTTGAGCCCGGAGGTCCAGATTTAGAGTATAATTAGTAAGCATTCCATCCCTTAACCCCAGGGTCCTTGGGAGCAGACTGCTCTGCTGGCCCTGGCCCTGCCCCTGCAGGATATCACCCCTGATGCTGCCTCAGGAGAGCCCCACCCAGATTCTGCAGGGCCCACCACACCCTCCAGACCTGGTGGTCTCCTTCTGGGTAGTGCTGCTGTAGGCACAGACCTCTGCCTACGACCACAGCTTCAGCTGCCACCAGCGATGCCTGGGAAGCTTCCAGGTACCAACACTGTCTGCTGGCCACTGTCCCCTTCCCTATCTCTCTCATATCACATTCCTTTAGGGAATTACCCAAGCAAAGCAAGTATATCCCAGTGTTAGCCTAAATAAATAAATAAATGCTCCAATTATGACTTACAGCCCCTTCTCTTCCTAGAACCCAGATGTAGAGTCTTGTGTACTGATGACAGATCTGTGAAACTGGCACAACACTGTGCTCCAAATTCCTCCCCACCGTTGACCACGAAGCCTCTATGGCGGTATCAAGCTGGTTGTGCCCGGTTCCTTCTTCCCTTAGGATGAATTACCTCCTAGGAACCTCCTTAGCCTCTGGAAATAGGCTTTCATCATCTCATCCTACCTGCCCACCAGACGTAACCGGAAGTGTCTAAATCCCAGGAGTGGCTGCAGTTCTGCCTCAGGTAAGACCTCTCTTCCTTTGAAAAGAACAAAGTCCATTTGAGACTGAGAATGGGATGACATGCTTCTGGACAGTTGCATGTGGGGAGCATCTCGTGGTATTTACAGACGTGAGGTATGAAGAATGCAGAGGGAATGAAGGAGCCTTAGCCAGGCCCTAAACTAAAAAACAACAAAACTAACTTCTAAGTAAATGAAACTTACCCTGTTGCTCTCACCTAAGTGAGAATGGTTGGTGGTTTTAAAGTATATTTCAATGGCTCTTTACCCAGCATGTATTTTGCTAAATTTTATACTAAAGTTATAGGTTAGCTTTGACATGATTGCAAATTTGTTTTCTAAGCTATTCTAGGAAGCTTAATTATGGAGCCCTAAAGGAAGTTGAAACTTCCCTGTGCAATTTATAAAAATCTACTTGTAATTTAATGTACAAGCACATTACAATGTAAGTATAATCTACAATGTATACTTAACACACCACACACGGTGCACATATCTGCATATTACAACATACAGAGCGTATCCTATAGGGACCATTCTTGAGATTTGGGGTGCTGACTAATCATACTCTTGCTCTCCTCTGGGTTCTAATCAGTTTGCTGTGTAAACAGGAGACAGATGGGAGGTCACAGAGTGCCAAAGGGTTAGGGGGAGAGTGAGGCTTCCTTCTTCTCCCCCGGCTGAATCTGACTTCCCCTCGCAGCCACAGACAATGCGGCTGGGGAGTTTCAGTCAGGAGAGGCCCTTCCTGCTGAGCTCACCACGAGGGAAGGTGAAATGGGAGGAGGTGGAGATGTGGACCTGCTCCCTGGTGTTGGATTCCACTTCTGCTTTGGCTCAGTTCAGAGCCTGTTGGACTCTTCCATCTGTCCAGTTAAGAAAGTAACTTCTTCCAAAAAGAGGAACTAGTAGAGGAAGAAAGAATTGAGAAGCTTCCTGATTTAGTACGTCCTGAAGATAGTGACCATATTGGGGGAGAGGGAGGAAGCTCTTATTTTAGGCATTAAAATGAGTGTAAGAAAATAAAAGTGCCTTCCTTTAGGAGAGGCAGAACTAGTTTTTAATATTTTATGGAAGCTACTGGAGAGTTAGCATAAGCTGTAGAGAGGTCATCTTTAAAGCAAACATGGTATAATAAGCCATATCTTAAAATGTAATTTTAAACTTAGACCAAACTATTCTATTTTAAATTGGGACTTTTTAATAACAGAATTCTGTCCAGTTTTTTATGATCACATGTGCACATGTACACGTGCACACGGGAACACACACACGAATAGGCAAAATAATGAAAGGATATCCACAAAGACAGCTCTGTGTGAAATTCAATGTGGCATTGTTTTTATCTTTTGGTTTATCAATTTTTTTCCCTGAGATTTCCAAAATGTTACTTTTCTAATAAGAGAAAAAATGTGTGTGTGTGCGAGTGTGTGTGTGCGTGGTGTGTGTCCATGCACGCATGTGTGCTTGCACACACGTGTGTACGTTCACATGTGCCTGTGTGTGTGTGTGTCCACGTGTGTGCTTGTGTGCACGTGAGCCTGTGTGTGCATGTGTGTGTATGCACGTGTGTGTGCACGCACGTGTGTGTGTTTAAATAAACAATTCTGTAGCTCCTGAGCATATTCTGGCCTGATGCGTAACAGCAGGAATAAACAAAGTCAAACCATCGCTGTCCTGGGGAAACCTTGGCGGCGGATGAAGGACTGGGAAGAGTAGCAAGGCTAAAGCCAGCAAAATTAAAGCAAGACAAGTCCTTGATTCCTAGAGAATGAGGCATGAGGACAAGTGACCTAATATCGGTCACATGTCCCCATAAGACACATGGAAGTACATTAAAAAACTGTGAAGAAAATTAAAGCAAGTAAGTGATGACAGCTAAATTCATTCTGATTGTTGGCATTTTGGGATGTTTATAAGTTGGGCTTTTATAGCTGGTGGATTTCACCAAAATATTGTTAGATGGCAATAGTTCATTTAATTCTTTATTTTTTCCATGTTAAAGTCATAGTTTTAACTTAAAACATTAGGGGGGAATCAAAGAGATGTTGGTAAAAGGGTATAAAATTTCAGTTAGACAGGAGGAATAAGTTCAAGAGATCTGTTGTGCAACATGGTGACTGTAGCTAATAATGCATTGCATACTTGAAAAGTGAACGCCTTCACCACCAAAAAAATGATAAATATGTGAGGAAATGGATATGTTCAATAGCTTGATTTAGCCATTCTACAATGTACACATATATCAAAACATCATGTCATACCCCATAATGTATACAATTTTTATTTGTCAATTTTAAAATTTTTTAAGAAGATAAATTTAGAAATGTACATTTAAGACCTTATTTTTACAAGTGTACTTTTATTATGAAATATACAAATATAGCAAGAAGGAATAAATTTACCCTATTTCAGACACAACCACTGTTAATATTTTGGTGTAAATTCTGTGGCCAAGGATATTGTCTTCCTGCAAGAACTTGATTCTAAGCCACAGATACATGTCTTATATGGTGATGGCAAGGTAAAGGAGAGAAGATAGAAGAATACAGATGAAGGACAGATCAGGCAAAGCAGATTCTCTTCAAGTAGAAGCTGCTGATAACTTTTCTGCCCTTAATTTAATAATATATTCATGACAAAGAGATAATTGTCTTGGTTGATTTTACTATAGTTGTCCTATGCACAGACACATCATGTAGGGGGAAGACAGTGAGCTTGAGCTTGCTAGAACTTCAGTTCCAGACCTACCACTCACGATTCTGCGTCCTTGGGAAAGACTTAGATTGTTACTTAAACAATCTGAGTCTTGTTTTCTCGTCTGTAAAATGGAATTACCAATGCCTATTTCAAATGGCAGTTGAGAGAATGAAATATTGGATACATAGTACTTCCACATACTTTTTTTTTTTTTTTTTGAGAGAGGGTCGTGTTCTGTTGTTCAGGCTGGAGTGTAATGGTGCAATCACAGCTTACTGAAGCCTTGGACTCCTGGGCCAAAGTGATCCTCCAGCTTTAGACTTCTGACTACAGATAATGTGCCACGCTTGACTAATTTTTTATTTATTTATTTTTTTTTTTGGTAACAATGGGGTCTATGTTGCTCAGTCTGGTCTCAAACTCTGGGCCTCAAGTGATCCTACCGCCTTAGTCTTCCAAAGTGCTGGGATTACAGGCATGAGCTACCACACTCAGCCCCTTTTTAAAAGATTCTTTTAAAAATGTAGTTTGACTGGTAAAGTTTTACCCATTCGTCTTTCCACTTTAACTGCTTATGCTTTGTTATGGCATTGCTAAACAGGGTGCTTGTGTTTGATACCTAAAGAAACAACTGCTGCCCTTAACGTGGCTCTGAACCTTCCACTAAATTACATATTTTTGATCATGGAGAATTCCTTTCTAAATTTTTGGTCTATGCAACTGTAACCTCAAACATGTGAATTAGTAACTATAGGGGCCAGAAAATAGGGACCATTAAGCCAAATTTGAGCTGCTCCTTCATTTCAAGAAAGGGAGGAGTATTACTAAATTGCAATTTGAGGGATGACTTCTTTCCTAGATGTCAACAAAATGAAATTCCACTTAGTAATTGCTGAAAGAAAAGATTACTATCCATGCTGTAATTTATATTTATCTTTCCTTTTAAATAGATCTTCTAAATTGAGAGATGAATGAAGGGTATCAATAAACCATTTAGAAGTCAAAGTTGGTAAATGAAATTTTATTTTCATCTGGGAGAGTTTACCTTATAAATTTGTTCCAGGGGAAAAGCTCAAATATGATGGAATCAAATGTAAATTATAAAATCAATTATTTAGGTGAGGTGGGGCAATCAATAAAATAACTGGGCTTCAGGACGCTTTGGTAGCTAGGCTGTCTTCAGAATATCCAGAACAATTAAGAAGACTCACTAACTGTCATTTTCTTTATTCCTTAACTTTTTTTTTTTTTTTTTTGAGACTGGGTCTCGCTCTGTCACCCAGGCAGTCGTGCTATGTTGGCTCACTGTAACCTCTGCCTCCCGAGTTCAAGCGATTCTCCTGCCTCAGCCTCCTGAGTAGCTAGGACTACAGGCGTGCACCACTATGCCCCGCTATTTTTTTGTCTTTTTAGTACAGATGGGGTTTCACCATGTTAGCCAAGCTGGTCTCCAACTCCTGACCTCAAGCAATCTGCTGCCTCAGCCTCCCAAAGTGGTGGGATTACAGGCATGAGCCACCATGCCCATCCCCTTAACCTTTAAAATTACTGAATTGCCTGTCACCAAGTAAAGTCCTAAGGATCCTCAAAAACTTGAACTCATACAGAATGCTTTGTTTAAGACCTGGGGGTGAGCAGCTGTTAGTAAACACAAATGCTTAGATGCTACGGCTACACTAAAATTGTGGTGAAAATTTAGAATAGTAAAGCATTATGCCCTATAAGCCTTGGCTTAGAATGGAATCTTTCAAAAACCCCAGTGGTCACATTACTGTTACTTATCCTAAAGAGATATTGTTTAAAAGTTCTCCTCTGCAGTAAGCATCACAAGCCCCTGTATGAGTTGATGGGAAAGGCAGGACCTTGTAAGGCTGAGTGTATTAGTCCATTATCATGCTGCTAATAAAGGCATACCTGACATTGGGTAATTTATAAAGGAGAGAGGTTTAATGGACTCACAGTTCCACATGGCTGGGGAGGCCTCACAATCATGGCAGAAGGCAAAGTAGAAACAAAGGCATGTCTTACATGGTGGCAGGCAAGAGAACATGTGCAAAGGAACTCCCCTTTATAACACCATCAGATCTCATGAGACTTATGCACTATCATGAGAACAGCACTGGAAAGACCTGCCCCCATGATTCAATTACATCCCACCACGTCTCTCCCACGACATGTGGGAATTATGGGAGCTACAATTCAAGATGAGATTTGGGTGGGGACACAGCCAAACCATATCACCGAGTAAGACCATGATGAGGAGTCATAGCCACTTTAGATGCTGTCACTTGGTGAGCAAGTCAATGTCTCTAGACCCAGTCATTGGCCATTGCGTGTCCACATGGATGTTCACTATCAGTGAGGAAAGGGTTTCACGGTACCCACAGCTTGCTTCTAATTCTGAGGACTTCCTCTTTTGTAGCCCCCTCTCCTGTCTAGGCCCCTGATGGTGTTTGGGCCCCTGAGGGAAGAGGAAAGACTAATACTGTCCTCTCCTATGGCCCTTGGAAAGCTGAGGCAGTGGAATCTACTAAAGAGGTTCATCGTCCCAGCAAATTTTATCTTCACAGTTCAGAATGCTAGTGCTGTCTCTCCAGCACCAGCCCCATGTCCAGATGGCATGGGCAAATGCTTGAGAGCCCTGCCAGGGCCACAGTATTACTGAGATTCCCAATTGCTGATGACCCTTGAGGTTTTTCTCCAGAGAGCCTCATCTAAAACATCTTTGTGTAGGACCAGTTCACGACATACTGATGTAGTGACCCGAATTAATTAATCCACTTACCTACGACGAATAGTGCCCTAAGGAATGCGATATAGACCAAAGAGGGCAAGGCTGGAAAGCTCTAGAACACAGCCCATAATGTAACCATAGAACTAGGAAGAAAGCTGTGAAAGAAAAGGTGATCTCCCCAATTCAGAATTTGTCATGTCTCAGAACTTCCTCTTTCTATGCTATTATGGGTCTTGCTCTCAAGATAATTCACTCAGCACAGGCTTTCAGAATTTCTGCTTTTCAACAAATGAACCAAATTCCTTTAAGCTAGCACCAGCCTCATGGTTGGCTGCCCCTTTTCTCACCTAATGTAATTATTTCCTGTGAAGATGGATTGGAGTTGAGATTTCATAATGCTGCCGTAACATTTCTCTCTCACTCTCCTGCATCACACTCACAGTGACATTTGGGCCATTTTTTGCCTCTGCATAAATGCACAATCTTGCCATCCATCATGCCAAGGGCAACTATGAATGAAATGAGCATTAAGCATATTAGTTTTCAATGCTATTAAAGCCATTAAACATATTAGCAGGCCCATTACTTTATTTTCCTACGGATTTTTTAGTATTGTGACCTCCAGTCATGAAGAAAATGCAAAGCCTTCCCAAGCAAAAGCTGCTATGAATGTGGGTAGGAGGTGAAGTTCACATGGGCCAAATCAGATCATTAATGGAAAATTATGCTGCCGCATGACATGGGCAAGTGTGAGATATCACACAACCAAGGAAGACACTGGCCTGTGCATGCTTTCCCACGCACCCAGTCGTACACAACTCATTAATTTGAAAACCAAAAAGAGGAAGTGAAATTAGGAATTTCAGTCTCCGTCTACCTCTCTTCTGATCTACCTTTAAATGGCAGCTACAGAAACAGAATAGTCTGAAACGCCAGAAAAATGTAAAAGTTCTTCATTTAAGTTTAGAAAAAGGAAGCTAAAAATAACCTCTAATTGAAGGAGTTATTTCAGAACCAGACTTGAAAACATTTAGCATAGTCTTTTAATTAATTTATTCTGAGGATAGTGCTGAAAATATATCTATCTACCTAATAGCAGAGAGAAAAATCTCCAACTTTGCCTTCTGGCTAGATTCGTTTTACCCTTACTGATATTTCCTCCCCTTATTTGTAGTTTTTGTTTCAATTATCCATGGTCACCTGTGGTCTGGAGATTGATGATTACAGTGCAGTAAGATATTTTGAGAGAGAAAGAGAGACCATAGTCACATAACTTTATTTTATTTTATTTTGTTTTATTTTATTTTATTTATTTGAGATGGAGTCTCTCTTTGTCACCCAGGCTGGAGTGCAGTGGCACCATCTCAGGTCACTGCAACCTCTGCCTCTTGGGTTCAAGAGATTCTCCTGCCTCAGCTTCCCGAGTGACTGGGATTACAGGTGCCCACCACCATGCCCGGCTAATTTTTTTTATTTTTAGTAGAGGCAGGATTTCACCATGTTGGCCAGGCTGGTCTCAAACTCCTGACCTCAGGTGATCCACCTGCCTCAGCCTCCCAAAGTGCTGGGATTACAGGCATGAGCCACCATGCCCGGCCCACATTCACATAACTTTTATTATGGTATATTGTTCTATTTTATTATTAGTTATTATTGTTAATATTTTGCTTGCTTAATTTATTAATTAAACTTTACATTAGGTATGTATAGGAAAAAACGGTGTAAACAGGATTTCGTACTGTGATGGTTAATATTGAGTGTCAACTTGATTGGATTGAAAGATGCAAAGTATTATTCCTGGGTGTGTCTGTGAGGGTGTTGCCAAAGGAGATTACTATTTGAGTCAGTGGACTGAGAAAGGCAGACCCACCCCCAACCTGGGTGGGCACCATCTCATCAGCTGCCAGTGCAGCCAGAATAAAAGCAGGCAGAAGAACGTGGAGAGACTAGACTGGTTTAGTCATCTGGCCTACATCTTTCTCCTATGCTGGATACTTCCTGCCCTCGAACATCAGACTCCAAGTTCTTCAGCTTTGGGACTTGGACTGGCTTCCTTGCTCCTCAGCTTGCAGACGGCCTATTGTGGGACCTCACCTTGTGATGGTGTGACTCAATACTCCTTAATAAACTTCCCTTTATATATATACACATCGATCCTATTAGTTCTATCCCTTTAGACAGCCCTAACTAATACAGGTACTATCGTTTGTTTCAAGCATCCGCTTGGATGTATCCCTGCAGATCAGTGGGAATACTGAACTTATCATAGGAAAAGCACCACCCTCAGTATCTTTTCGGATATAATGTACCCACGTGAGAAAAAGGCTTTCTGCAACAAAAATGGTGTCACGGGAGTTGAAGGAAATGATTTAAAACGTTTGCAAGTTACTATTGGGAAAAGTTAAACCTAATGTAAAATTTTAAACTAGATCCTCAGATTTAAAAATTTCTAGCCTTCCAGTATTTCATGTGTAACCTTGAGGAACACTTTGAGCTGTAAGAAAATGAAGACCTATTCTTAATCATAATGACATTTGTTGTTTTCATAAAGGGTCAGTGGCCTCAGTGTTGATGCAAGCAGCTGAATAATGTCATCAGGGAGCCAGACTCTTTCTATATTTCTGCTTATTCATTCTTACAGGACTTTTTGTTCTCATAACTGCAGCCTCACTATCACAACATGGCTGCTGAAGTTCTAGACATCACGTGCATAGGCAAAGCCAAAGGAAAGAGGAGCCCAACAGCTGAGGTCCTCTGAAAAAGAACAGGTTCTTTCCACTAAATTATGAAATCATTAGACTAGAAACTGTATCTATTTTGTCTTTGTGTCTTCCACCTTCCCTGGACCAGCTCCAGTAAGGACACATAGCAGATGCTGAAATGGTAGAATTAACAGGAAACCATGTCGTATATTCTAATCATGTTTGTCACCAACTATTAGTCAGTGGATTTTTTTTTTCTGGTATACTCTGCTCAGTGTATCCACATTCTCATCATCCTCACCATTTGCCATTTATAAGGTGGATAAAATGGTAAGGTATAGATCACACAGTGTGATCTCGATGAACAGACCTGCTAAAAGGAAAGTACCTCCTAAAGCAAATTCTGCCTTGTTTAAAAATAAAAATGAATTAACACAAAGCATAGTTGGCCTATTACCACAGCTCAGTGCTAAAGGTGATTTTCTTACTGTGGGGCATAACAAAAATATCTTCATTTGTGACTTTTCTTTAATCCCTGAAGACTTAAACATAAATATGACCACCCCTAAACCAAATTGAAAGAACATAAAAACACTTTGCTCCTTTTCTCCATTTTTAGACAGCTAGGTCAAATGGTATGTACTTTTAAATGGCTTTTGACATATATTGTTGGATTCCTCCATAAAGCTCTCTGTAAGCACTTATGAAAATGTCCCTAAACAGAAAAATTGTGTTATTGATCATTTGTTCCTGTGTTTGGTGTCCTTGCTTTTCTTCTTTGACTTGCTAAGTTAGGGAAAGTGAGCTATGGATATGCCTGACTATAGACGATAGACTGCTGGGAGCTTGTTGTGGGGAATTGCTAGGATTTGCTTTCTGTATCCCTAGTCCCCACATCTGTCACCAACCAGCAGCACTAAAATTTTGCCTTTAAGAGAATCTCCCATTGTGCCTTGCTCAGAAAGATGAACTGCTTTCTTGCCAGAGCCTTTCTTTTCCCTCCCATAAGGGCCATGCTCTGCCAAGCAGATACTCTCTCCTGAAGTCTTAATGTTTTGTGACTCTAGCAAGGCCAGTGAGTACTCTTGGCATTCATTTGTTATGTGAAAGTAGTGGTGTCTGGACCAACCTCTTTTTACTATCTAATCCTTCCACTAAATTCCATTTTGTTCTTAAGATAGCTAAAATGGGTTTCTGCTGTTTGCACATGTGGATTACTTGGTTTCCTTTTTTAAATTAATGACCACAAATCCCAAAATGTCTGTCAATGATGCCCAGCAGTCATCTGTGGTTCTCCAGGAAGCCGCCCCTCCACTCTCTGAGATGAGCATTTCATAACATCTCTCTCCTCAGGTTTCCTTCCTCAAATCTCAGCCAACTACCTTGACTCATACTCTTCCAAAAAGAAAGACATCAGACTTGAACTTCCTCATATTCCCATCACCAAATTACAACCTCACCTGCATCCATATTAGCTTCTCTATTTTTCCTGCATGAGAATTGAGTAATCATCTCCACTCCTCTCAGAGACCACCTTGGATCATGAAGTAGAAGCTTTATGTTGAGGAAAGCAGGGAAATAAAATAGAAGGAGTGTGGATTCTGGCAAGATGGATGTGATGGATGCCACAGTATGCTGCACAAATATGTGCCTCCAGGACTGAAGCTCTCATTCTCCCAGCTTCCAGGAGTGTTGGCATCAGACTGTTGCCAGCTGGTCCCTTCTCTGGCATGTTCCCTCAGCTGAAGTGAGCACCATTGTTTAAGGCCAAGCCCCCTTCCTTTTAACAGCCCTCCTCCAATGACAGGTCAATGTAAAGGTGTAAAGGCCCATCTCCCTTGCCCCAATTCTGGACAGCTTTGCAGAACTATCATAGCTCCAGAATGGATCATAGGATAGGCTGAGATCTTTATTGATTGCATCACAGCTTGAATTTTCTTTTTCTGAAAATCCTATTTCCTTCACTCCTGTGAGCATGCCCTAATGCACCTATCAACAAATCTTTTATCAGAGTCTGCTGCTTGGGAAACCTGCCTAGTAACAGCTAGTGCCAGAAGCAGTCTGAGAGAGCAGACTCTAAAATGAGATTTTGGAGCTAGATCACTTGCAGGCAGCTGGCAATGATGATCCCATCACAGCTGGTAGTTACTGGTAGACCCTGACATGTAGTAGCATGCAATTGTTAAAAATGTTACCATGATGAACTGAGATATTATACTGATGTAAGGTAATTTACTGACAGGTACAATGTGTGAGGCATTTTAGAGATAGAGAAAAAAAGGATAAGAAATATAGAACATAAAGGCCATTGCTAGGGTCAATCAGTGCTTTGGAGAAAAACAATGAAAGACTGAGAGTAAATTAATCAGCAAGTAAAGGCCGAATGTAAGAGCCAGAGGGCCTCCTTGGGTACACATAAAACAGCTTTTGATTTTGTCAGAGTGACTTCAGCAAGATGGTGGAATAGAAAACCCCCTGGCATCATACCCTCCACACAAATACAACAAGAAACAATTCAAAGACAAAAATACCAACCTGTATACACCAGAACTCTAGGGAGAAGTGGAGAAACCCCCTGGACCCACAGAATCAAGAGAAGCTACGACCAACCCACAGTTGCCAAGGTGAAAGGAGGAAACTGGAGGTGGAGATTTGATTTCTCCATCAGTTTGGGTATCTTCATAGGAAGCCCACTCTAGTCTCTTCCCATGAGAACTATTGGGAGTACCAGGAGGGCTGAACAAACTGGGGTGAACTGGGGACAAAGCAGGGCAATGATCACATCGATTGGCATGTGGGTCTTAGCAGCTCAGTGCTCTAATCAGTGGGCACACAACATTGAAGACACTGGCTGGTGCCATAACACCATAGGGGGCACCATCCATGGGAAGGCCCAAATCCCTAGTAAAATTTTTCACTAAGCCCAGGTACTCATGTGGAGCCATCCTCTGGCCCAGAAACAACTAAAAGGTTGGGAATAAGTTCTGATGCCCACTTAAGTCTTCCCCAGAAGAAACAACAGCAGGACAGCAATATAGTTTCAAGGCATCATTTATGCTCCAGTGCCTACTATATAAGTCTTCTCTAGACTGGGAAACAAAGGCAGGGCAGCAGTGTATTTCCAGAGTAGCACTGAAGTTCTGTGCTCACTCTAAGTCTTCTAGACCAAGAAACAAAGACAAGCCAATGAGTTAGTTCTAGTGTGATGTTTTAGTTCTGGTGCTCACTCTAAGTCCTCCACAGAATAGGAAGCAACAAGCAGCAAATGTTTACATTCTAATATTAGGAAGTAAAGTTCTAACATTGGCAAAGAACAGCTGCAAAAACTAAAAGAGGTGGCTGTCTCCTCAAATGCCCAAGCATCAATGTAAAGATGCAATGATTGTGAAAACTCAGGGAAATATGACACCACCAAAAGAAACCAACAAAGCTCCAGCAATGGATCCAGAAGAAATGAATATTTATAAAATATCTGACAGACAATTCAGAACAATCTACTTAAGGAAGTTCAGGGAATCACAAGAAAATACAGATTAAAAACTAAATGAAATTCAGAAAACAATCCAGGAACAAAATGAGAAATTTGACCAAAAAAAAAAAAAAATTTAAACCAAATAAAAATGCTGGAAATTAAGAATACAATAACTGAACTGAAAAATTCACTAGAAAGCTTCAATTGGAGACTTGATCAAACAGGGAAAAGAATTAGCAAGCTTGAAGACAGAATGTATGAAATTACCCAATTAGAAGAGCAAAAAGAGAAAAATAATTAAAAAGAGTAAAGAAAGCCTACAAGGATTATGGGACACCATTACATAATTGGAATTACCAAAGGAGACAAGAAAGGAAAAGACCTAGAAAGCATATTTATGAAAATAATGGCTGAAATTTTTCTAAATCTGGAGAAATAATAGCATTCAGACACAGAAAACTCAGAGGTCTTTCCAATTTATCAGTCAAATTAAATCAAAAGAGGAATTTTCTGGACTCGCTGGCAAGATGGCTGAATAGGAACAGCTCCGATCTGTAGCTCCCAGCAAGATCGACGCAGAAGGTGGGTGATTTCTGCATTTGCAACTGAGGTTCATTGCACTGGGACTGGTTGGAAAGTGGGTGCAGCCCATGGAGGGGCAAGCCAAAGCATGGTGGGGCATCGCCTCACCTGGAAGCACAAGGGGTTGGGGGATTACCCATTCATAGCCAAGGGAAGCCATGAGAGACTGTACCTGGAGGAACAGTGCACTCCGACCCAGTTACTGCACTTTTCCTATGGTCTTTGCAACCGGCAGACCAGGAGATTCCCCCCGGGGCCTGGCTCAGCAGGTCCCACCCCCACGGAGACCAGCAAGCTAAGATCCACTGGCTTGAAATTCTCGCTGCCAGCACAGCAGTCTGAGGTCGACCTGGGATACTGGAGCTTGGTGGGGGGAGGGGCGTCTGCCATTGCTGAGGCCTGAGTAGGCGGTTATACCCTCACAATGTAAACAAAGCTGCTGGGAAGTTCGAACTGGTGGAGCCCACTGCAGCTCAGCAAGGCCGCTGCAGCCAGACTACCTCACTAGGCAGGACATCTCTGAAAAAAAAGGCAGCAGCCCCAGTCAGGGACTTATAGATAAAACCCCCATCTCCCTGGGGGAAGGAGGGGCTGTGGGTGGGGCTTCCGCAAACTTAAACATCCCTGCCTGACAGCTCTTAAGAGAGCAGCGGATCTCCCAGCACAGCATTCACACTATGATAAGAGTCAGACTGCCTCCTCAATTGGGTCCCTGACCCCTGTGTATCCTGACTGGGAGACATCTCCCAGTAGGGGCCGACAGACACCTCATACAGGAGATCTCTCGCTGGCATCTGGTGGGTGCCACTCTGGGAGGAAGCAACAGGCAACAATCTTTGCTGGTCTGCAGCCTCTGCTGGTGATACCCAGGCAAACATGGTCTGGAGTAGACCTACAGCAAACTCCAGCAGACCTGCAGCAGAGGGGCCTGACTGTTAGAAGGAAAACTAACAAACAGAAAGGAATAGTAGCAACATCAACTAAAAGTACTTCCACTCAGAGACCCCATCTGAAGGTCAACAGCATCAAAGACCAAAGGTAGATACATCCACGAAGATGGGGAGAAACCAGCACAAAAAGGCTGAAAACTCCAAAAACCAGAATGCCTCTTCTCCTCCAAAGGATCAAAACTCCTCACCAGCAAGGGAACAAAACTGGACAGAGAATGAATTTGACGAATCGACAGAAGTAGGCTTCAGAAAGTGGGTAATAACAAACTCCTCTGAGTTAAAGGAGCATGTTCTAACCCAATGCAAGGAAGCTAAGAACCTTGAAAAAATGTTAAACGAATTGCTGGACACATACACCCTCCCAAGACTAAACCAAGAAGAAATCGAATCCCTGAATAGACTAATAATAAGTTCTGAAATTGAGGCAGTAATTAATAGCCTACCAACCAAAAAAAGTCCAGGGCTAGATGGATTCACAGCCAAATTCTATCAGAAGTACAAAGAGGAGCTGGTACCATTACTTCTGAAACCATTCCAAACAATAGAAAAAGAGGGAATCCTCCCTAACACATTTTATGAGGCCAGCAACATCCTGATACCAAATCCTGGCAGAGTCACAACAAAAAAAGAAAATTTTAGGCCAATATCCCTGATAAACATCGAGGCAAAAATCCACAATAAAATACTGGCAAACAGAATCCAGCAGCATGTCAAAAAGCTTATCCACCATGATCAGGTTGGCTTCATCCCTGGGATGCAAGGCTAGTTCAACATATGCAAATCAATAAATGTAATCCATCACATAACAGAACCAATGACAAAAACCATGTGATTATCTCAATAGATGCAGAAAAGGCCTTTGACAAAATTCAACAGCCCTTCATGCTAACAACTCAATAAACTAGGTATTGATGGAACGTATCTCAAAATACTGAACAGGCAAAAACTGTAAGCATTCCCTTTGAAAACCAGCACAAGACAAGGTTGCCCTCTCTCATCACTCCTATTCAACATAGTATTTGAAGTTCTGGCCGGGGCAATCAGGCAAGAGAAAGAAATAAAGCGTATTCAATTATGAAAAGAGGAAGTCAAATTGTCTCTGTTTCCAGATGACATGACTGTATATTTAGAAAACCCCATCGTCTCAGCCCAAAACCTCCTTAAGCTAATAAGCAACTTCAGCAAAGTCTCAGGATAAAAAAATCAATGTGAAAAAAATCACACGTATCCCTATACACCAATAACAGACAAACAGAGAGCCAAATCATGAGTGAAGTCCCATTCACTATTGCTACAAAGAGAATAAAATACCTAGGAATAAAACTTACAAGGGATATGAAGGACCTCTTCAAGGAGAACTACAAACCACTGCTCAAGGAAATACAAGAGGACACAAACAAATGGGGAAACATTCCATGCTCATGGATAGGAAGAATTAATATCATGAAAATGGCCATACTACCCAAAGTAAGTTTTATATTCAATGCTATCCCCATCAAGCTACCATTGGCTTTCTTCACAGAACTGGAAAAAAAAACTACTTTAAATTTCATATGGAACCAAAAAAGAGCCCACATAGCCAAGACAATCCTAAGCAAAAAGAACAAAGCTGGAGGCATCACGCTACCTGACTTCAAACTATACTACAAGGCTCCAGTAACCAAAACAGCATGACACGGGTACCAAAACAGATATATAGACCAATGGAACAGAACAGAGGCCTCAGAAATAACACCACACATCTACAACCATCTGATCTTTGACAAACCTGACAAAAACAAGAAATGGGGAAAGGATTCTCTATTTAATAAATGGTGTTGGGAAAACTGGCTAGCCATATGTAGAAAGCTGACACTGGATCCCTTCCTTACACCTTATACAAAAATTAATTCAAGATGAATTAAAGACTTAAATGTAAGACCTAAAACCATAAAAACCCTAGAAGAAAACCTAGGCATTACCATTCAGGATATAGGCATGGGCAAGGACTTCGTGACTAAAACACCAAAAGCAATGGCAACAAAAGCCAAAATAGACAAATGGGATCTAATTAAACTAAAGAGCTTCTGCACAGCAAAAGAAACTGTCCTCAGAGTGAACAGGCAACCTACAGAATGGGAGAAAATTTTTGCAATCTACCCATCTGACACAGGGCTAATATCTGGAATCTGCAAAGAACTTAAACAAGTTTACAAGAAAAAGACAAACAACCCCATCAACAAGTGGGTGAAGGATATGAACAGACACTTCTCAAAAGAAGACATTCATGCCCCCAAGAAACATATGAAAAAATGCTCATTATCACTGATCATTAGAGAAATGCAAATCAAAACCACAATGAGATACCATCTCATGCCAGTTAGAATGGCAATCATTAAAAAGTCAGGAAACAACAGATGCTGGAGGGGATGTGGAGAAATAGGAATGCTTTTACGCTGTTGCTGGGAGTGTAAATTAGTTCAACTGTTGTGGAAGACAGTGTGACAATTCCTCAAGGATCTAGAACTAGAAATAACATTTGACCCAGCAATCCCATTACTGGGTATATATCCAAAGGATTATAAATTGTTCTGCTATAAAGACACATGCACACATATGTTTATTGTGGCACTGTTCATAATAGCAAAGACTTGGAATCAACTCAAATGCCCATCAATGGATAAAGAAAATGTGGCACATATACACCATGAAATACTATGCAGCCATAAAAAAGGATGAGTTTATGTCCTTTTCAGGGACGTGGATGAAGCTGGAAACCATCACTCTCAGCAAACTAACACAAGAACAGAAAACCAAACACCGTATGTTCTCACTCCTAAGTGGGAGTTGAACAATGAGAACACATGGACACAGGGAGGGGATCATCACAAAATGGGGTCTGTCAGGGTTTGGGGTAGGGGGAGGGATAGCATTAGAAAAAATACCTAATGTAGATGATGGGTGCAGCAAACCACCATGGCACATGTATACCCGTGTAACAGACGTCTACGTTTTGCACATGTACCCTAGAACTTAAAGTATAATAAGAAAAGAGAAATTTTCCCTGGCACATTATAGTCAAATTATCAAAAATCAAAGACAAAGAAAGGATACCCAAAACAGCAAGAGAAAAGAAACATTAAATTCACAGAGTCCCAATACAGATATCAGTAGATTGTTCAACAAATACCTTGAAGGCCAGGAGAGAGTGGGATGTTATATTCAAAGTGCTGACAGAATTACTCTGCCAACTAAGAATACTGTGCCCAGCAAAGCTATCCCTCAAATATTAAAAAAAAAGACATTTCCAGACAAACAAAACTTAGAGAATTCATCAACACCAGATCTAACTTATAAGAAATACTAAAGAGAGTTCTTCAATCTGAAAGAAATGGATGTTAACAATGTAACAAGAAAACATCTGAAAGTATAAAACTCACTAGCAAAGGAAAACAGGCAAATTGAGAATACTTTAGTACTGTAATTGTGGTAAGTAAACCACTTATATCATAAATATAAAGACTAAAAACAAAATTATTAAAAGCAACAATACAGCAATTGGTTAAAGTATAGGCAATATAAAAAGATATAGATTAAAACATCAGAAAAGTCAAAACGTGTGTTTTGGGGGGTGGTATCAAAGTGTAGTTTGTTTTGATACTTTTCTTTGCAATCAAAGTTAAATCATTTTCAGTTTAAAATAACCCAGGATAACTGTAAGATATCTGTGTAAGCCTCATGGTAATCACCATGCAGAAACCTATAATACTCACTAAAAACTAAAAAACCAACATACTACCAGAAAAAAATTACCCACAAAAGAAGAGAAAGAAGGAAAGAAAGAGAGACAGGGGAGCTATAAAACAACCAGAAACCAAGCAACAACATGGGAGTAGTAAGTCCTTATTTATCAGTAACAACACTTAATGTAAATGGGCTCAATTCTCAAATTAAAAGACACACAGTGGCTGAATGCATAAAGAAATAAGACCCAACTATACGGTGCCTTCAAGAAACACACTTCACCTATAAAGGCTCACATAGACTGAATGTGACGGTATTGGGGGAACCAGCCCCCAATATTTCAACATAGTTCTTTCTATTTTCCGTAAGTGTCAGCCGGTCTGAGAAATAAAGAGAAAGAGTACAATGAGAGGAATTTTACAGCTGGGCCGCCGGGGGTGACATCACATATCAGTAGGTCCATGATGCCCACCTGAGCCCGCAAAACCAGTAAGCTTTTATTAGGGATTTCAGAAGCGGAGGGGGTGTATGAACAGGAAGTAGGTCACAAAGGTCACATGCTTCTGAGGCCAGTAAAGATCACAAGGCAAAGGGCAAAACAAAGATCACGAGGCAAAGGGCAAAATTAGAATTACTGATGAGGATCTATGTTCAGCTGTGCACGTATTGTCTTGATAAACATCTTAAACAACAGAAAACAGGGTTTGAGAGCAGAGAACCAGTCTGACCTCAATTTCACCAGGGTGGGGTTTTTCCCCACCCTAGTGAGCCTGAGGGTACTGCAGGAGACCAGGGCGTATTTCAGTCCTTATCTCAACCGCATAAGACAGACACTCCCAGAGTGGCCATTTATAGACCTCCTCCCAGGAATGCATTCCTACCCCAGGGTATTAATTATTAATATTCCTTGCTGGGAAAAGAATTCAGTGATATGTCTCCTACTTGCATGTCCATTTATAGGCTGTCTGCAAGAAGAAAAATATGGCTCTATTCTGCCCGACCCCACAGGCAGTCAGACCTTATGGTTGTCTTCCCTTGTTCCCTGAAAATTGCTGTTATTCTGTTCTTTTTCAAGGTGCACTGATTTCATATTGTTGAAATACACATGTTTTACAATCAATTTGTACAATAGTGGTCCTGAGGTGACGTACATTTTCAACTTATGAAGATAACAGAATTAAGAGATTAAAGACAGGCATAAGAAATTATAAGAGTATTGAGAACTGATAAATGTCCATGAAATCTTCACAGTTTATCTTCAGAGATTGCAGTAAAGACAGGCATAAGAAATTATAAAAGTATTAATTTTGGGAACTGGTAAATGTCCATGAAATCTTCACAATTTATGTTCCTCTGCCGCGGCTCCATCTGGTCCCTCCATTCGGGGTCCGTGACTCCCCACAACATGAAGGTGTGGAAAAAGATATTCCATGCAACTAGAAACCCCAAAAAAGCAGAAGTAGCTATGCTTATATCAGATAAAATAGACTACAAATTTAAGATTGTAAAAAGAGACAAGGTCAATATATAATGATAACAGGTCAATTTGGCATGAGGATATAACAATTATAAATATCTATGCACCCAACACTAAAACTCCCAAGTATATAAAGCAAACATTAATAGAGTTAAAGGAGAAATAGATTGGAATAAGTAATACTAGGAAACTTTAACACCCCACTCCCAGTAATGCACTGATCATCCAGAAAGAAAATCAACAAAGAAAGAGTGGAGTTAAACTATGCACTATAGTTAATAGGCCTAACTAACATTTACAGAACATTTCACCCAAATGCTGCAGAATACATATCCTTTTCATCAGCACATGGAACATTCTTCAGAATAAAACATATGATAGGCCACAAAACAAGTCTGAAAAAAATTTTAACCTAGAAATTATATTAAGTATTTTTCTGACCACAGTGAAATAAAACTAGAAATCAAAATCAATAAGAGGAATCTTTGAAAATACACAAACACCTGGAGATTAAACAACATGCTCCTGAATGACCAATGGGTCAGTAAAAAAATTAAGAAGGAAATTTTAAAATTTCTTAAAATAAATGAAAATGAAAATACAACATCCCCAAGTTTATGATATAAGGCAAAAGCAATACTAAAGAAGGAAGTTTATAGCAACAAACACTTATATCAAAGAATTAGAAATATTTCAAATAACCTAATGATGCACCTTAAGGAACTAGAAAAGCAAGAATAAGCCAAGCCCAAAATTCACAGTGGAAAGAAATAATAAAGATGAAGGCAGACATAAATGAAATTGAGACTAAAAAAATACAGAGATTAACAAAACAAAAAGATGGTTTTTAAAAAGTTAAACAAAAGGGACAAGCCTTTAGCTAGACTAAGGAAAAAGAGAGAAGACCCAATTAAATAAAATGAGAGATATAAAAGGAGACATTACAACTGATGTCACAGAAATACAAAGTATCACTGGAGAATATTATTTAAAACTATATTCCAACAAATTGGAAAACCTAGAAGAAATGAAAAAATTTCTGAATATATACAAGTTACCAAGGTTGAACCATGAGGAAATAGAAAACCTGAACATACCAATAGTGATAAAAATATCCCCATCAAAGAAGAGCCCAGGACCTGATGGTTCCATTGCTAAATTCTACCAAATATTTAAAAACCTAAAGATTCCACAAAAAACTATTAGAACTGATAAATTCAGTAAACAATATGAAAAATAAATTAAGAAAACAATTCCATTTACAATAGTTACAAAGAATATAAAATACCTACGAATCAATTTAACCAAAAAAGTTAAAGATCTATACAAGGAAAACTATAATATACTGATAAAAGAAACTGAAGAGGACACAAAAAATGGGAAAATATTTCATGCTCAATTATACATAACCACAAAAGACCCTGAATAGCCAAACCAATACTGAGCAAAAACAACAAAGCTGGAGGCATGACACTACCTAACTTCAAAATTTACCTCAAAGCTATGATAACAAACACAGCATGGTATTGATATAAAAACAGACATGTAGACCAATAGCGAATTCAGATATAAGTCCACACAAGAACATACAATGAGGAAAGGATAGTCTCTTTAATCAATGGTGTTGGGAAAACTGGATAACTACATGTGGACTAATGAAACTAGACCCCTATCTCTCACTCTACACAAAAATCAAATCAGAATGGATTAAAGACCTAAATCTAAGACCTGAAACTATCAAACTATTACAAGAAAACATTGGAGAAATGTTATAGGACTTTGATCTGAGCAAAGATTTTTGTGTGTGTGTAAGACTTCAAAAGCACAGACAACTGAAGCAATAATAGACAAATGGGATTACATTGAGCTAAAAAGCTTCTGTATAGTATAGGAAATAATCAGCAAAATGAAGAGACAGCCAAAAGAATGAGAGAAAATATTTTCAAACTACCCACCTGACAAGGGACAAATGACCATAATATAGAGCCAAACCAATACAATAATATATAAGGAGTTCAAACACAAGAGCAAAATAAAACAAAACAAAACAAACAACAATTGGGTTTAAAAAATGGGCTAAAGATTTTTTAAAATGGGCAAAAGATCTCAACAGACATTTCTCAAAAGAAGACATACAAATGAGCAACAGGTATATTTAAAAATTTTCAACATCATTAATCATCAGAGAAATGCAAATCAAAACCACAATGAAATATCTTACCACAGTTAAAATGGCTTGTGTCAGAAAGACAGGCAATAACAGATGCTGATGAGGATGTGGAGAAAAGGACAGCCTCATATACTGTTGGTGGAAATGTAAATTAGTACAGCTACTGTAAAGAACAATATGGAGATTCCTCAAAAAATTAAAAATAGAATTACCATAGGATCTAGCAATTCCACTACTAAGTATAAAAAAGGAAATGTATATATTCAAAAGACACCTGCACTTCTATGTTTATTGCAGCAGTATTCACAATAGCCAAAATATGGAATCAATCTAAGTGTCCCTCAGTGGATGAATGGGTAAAGAAAATGTGGTATAAATATATAACGGACTATTATTCAGCCATGAAAAGAATGAAATCCTGTCATTTGCAGCAGCATGAATGAAAATTGGAGTTCATTATGTTAAGTGAAATAAGCCAAGCATAGAAAGACAAATATCACATGTTATCATTCATGTGGGAGCTAAACGAAAAAAAGTGGCTCTTATGAAGATAGAGAGTAGATTGGTGGTTACCAGAAGCTGAGATGGGGAAGGGGAAAGATCAAGGAAAGACTGAAGAGAAGTTGATTAATGGGTACAAATACATGGTTTCATAGAAGAAATAAGACCCAGTGTTAGATAGATCAGTGGGGTGACTATAGTTTATAGTAATCTAGTGTGCATTTCCAAATAGCTGAAAGAGAAGAATTTGAATGGTTCTAGCATAAAGAAAAGACAAATATTTAAGGTGGAGATCCCAAATTCACTGATTTGATCTTTATAAATTATGTGTCTATAATAGGACACATGTGTCTATAATTATGTGTCCTGTAAAGGAAATAGGAATTTCCTTTTCCATAGTTCCATAGGAAAAAATTTAATCAAGAAGGCAAAAGACCGATATAGTGAAAACTACAAATTGGTACTGAAATACATTAAAGAAAATACAAATAAGTGGAAGGACATCCTGTGTTCGTGGATTGGAAGACTTAATATTGTTAAAACGTCTATAGTATCCAAAGTGATCTAGAGATGAAATGCAATATGTATCAAAATTCCAATTGCAATTTTTAACAAAATAAAAATAAAAAACAATCCTAAAATCCATGTAGAACCACATAGGACCACAAACTGCCAAAATAATGTTAAGAAAGGAGAATAAAGCTGGAGGCATCACATTTCCTAATTTCAAAACATATGAAAAACCTGTAGTAATCAAAATAGTATGGTACTGGCATTAAAAGAGACATATAAGCCAATGAAACATAATAAAGAGCCCAGAAATAATTCTACACAAACACAATCAATTGTTCTTTGACAAGAGTACCAAGACTACATGATGGGGAAAAGATAGTCTCTTCCACAAATGGTGTTAGGAAAACTGGATATCCACCTGCAAAACAATGAAATTAGACCCTTATTTTACATCATATATTAAAAAATCAACTTAAGATAAATTAAATATAAAAATGTAAGAGAGGAAACTTTACAATGACTAGCAGAAAACTTAGGAGAAAAACTTCATAACACTGGACTTGGCAAGAATTTCTTGAGAGGACATCAAAAGCACAGGCAACGAAAGCAAAGATGGAGAACTATATATAATATATATATGGACACCATAAGAACAGTATGATACACACTTGAACCCCTAACATCCAGTAAATATGATGGTATTTAAGATGGAGTGTTTGGGAGATAATCAGGGTTAGATGTATCAATAGTAATGAAGATGGGACCCTAGATAAGGCCATCAAGTGCAAAATTGGAAGAGAGCCCTCACAAGAAAGCAAATAAACTTGAACTTTGATGTGGACTTCCCAGCCTCCAGAACTATGAAAGATAAAATTTCCTTTTTTGAAAAACAGAACTGGATAAGATCTGTCATAACTTAGTTCCAGTGACATGTAGAAACTTCTATATAACTCTAATCCCTCTTCACCATTTTTAAAAATCCAAATATTATACCTATTACAGGTATATTGCTTACAAACACAATATTACACTTTTATAATTATTACTTTATATAAAACATATGTCTTTTAGAGAAGCTGACAGAAAGGATGTAGTTATAGAGTTTATTAAACTTCCAATTTACTATTTCTGATTCTCTTATTTTCTTCTTTTGGATTCAAGTTACCATCTGGCATCATTTCCTTAGTGCAATAAAGCTACATTCTCACCTGCCTTTTTTGTTGTGTTATTGTCAAATATATTACATTTCTGTATGTTATATACCCTACAGTACAGTACAATATAACACAACACAATACATATTGTTTCATATAATTGTCCTTAAATCAATTAAGAGAAGAAAGGAGAAGCAATATGGAATTGCTTTATCTTTTAGAATTACCTACTTAATTATCTTACTGGCACTCCTTGTTTATTTATATTGATTCAAAATACTGTTTGCTGTAACTTGCTCTCAGCCTAAATAACTGTCTATTTCTTAGAAGCACATCTGCTAGCTCTTCTTTATCACCTTTTCACCTTCATTTTTGAAAAATCGTTTTTTCTGGATCTGAGATTCTTTGTTGACAGTTTTTGTGTGTGTGTGTTTTGTGTTTTTTGTTTTTGTTTTTTTTTTTACTTTCAACAGTATGAATATGTTATTCTAATGTCTACTGGCCTCTGTTATCCCTGATAAGAAGTAAGCTGTTAATCTTATTAGTGCTCCCTAGTGCATGATGAGTCATTTTCTCTTACTCTTTTTTGAGATTTTTCTCTTTGTCTTAACTATGATGTGTCTGTGTGTGGCTCTCTTTGCATTTCTCTTACCTGAAGCTTGTTGAGCTTATTGAATGTGTAGATTATTGGGGATTTTTTGGTGAAATTTGAGAAATTTTCAGACACTATTTCTTGATTTTTTAATTCACATATAAAAATTGTATATATTTATCATATACGACATGTTTTGAAATATGTGTACATTGTGGAATGGCTCACCCAAGCTAATGAATACATCTATTACTTCACATACTTATTTTTTTATGGTGAGAACACTTAAAATTTATTCTCTTAGGAATTTTCAAGAATACAATACATTGTTATTAACTATGTACCATGCTGTAAAATAGATCTCTTAAACTTATTCCTCCTATCTAAATGAAATTTTATGTCCTTTAACCAACATCTCCTCAAGTATTCCCCAATCCCAAACCTTTGGTAACCACTATTCTACTCTCTACTTCTATGAGTTTAATTGTTATACATTCTACATATAAGTGAGATCATGTGGTTTTTATCTTTCTGTGCCTGGTTTATTTCATGTAACACAATGTTCATCCAGTTTACCCATATTGTTGCAAATGACAGGATTTTCTTCTTTTTTATGGATGAATAGTACTTTGATGTGTACATATACCACATTTTCTTTATCCATTCATCTGTTGATGAACAGTTAGGATGATTCCATATCTTGGCTATTGTGAATAATGCTGTGATGAACATGGGAGTGGAGATAGTTCTTTGATATACTGATTTCATATACTTTGGATATATATTCAGGAGTGGAATGGTGGTCATATGGTTGTTTTATTTTCAATTTTTTTAGAAACTTCCTTTTTTTTTTTTTAAATAATGGCACTAATTTGCTTTCCCACCAGCAGTATGCAGGTGTTCCTTTTTCTTCACATCTTCTCCAATACTTGTTATCTTTCATCTTTTTGATAACAGCCATTCTAAGAGGTGTGAGGCCATATCTCATTGTGGTTTTAATTTGCATTTCTCTGATGATTTGTGATTTTGAGCATTTTTTCATATACCTGTTATCTACTTATATGTCTTCTTTTGAGAAATGTCTATTCAGATTATTTGCCTATTTTGTAACCAGGTTATTTGTTTTCTTACTATTGATTTATTGGAGTTCCTTATGTATTTTGGATGTTAACCTCTTATCAGATGTACGACTTGCAAACATTTTCTCTCATTCCATATGTTGTCTCTTCACTCTGTTGATTGTTTCCTTTGCTGTGCAGATTTTTAGTTTGATATAATTCCATTTGCCTATTTTTGTTTTATACTTGTGCTTTTGGTTTCATCAACCTTTATTTGTTTAGATATTTTTCTGTATTTTTCTTTCTCTCCTTCACTTCCGCTATTCCCATTACACATATGTTGGTGCATTTAATGATTTCCCACATTTCTCTGAAGTACTGTTTGTTATTTTTATTCTTTTTTTGTACTCTTCAGATAGTATAATCTCTATAAATCTATCTTCAAGTTTGCTGACTCATTCTCCTGTTAATTCAAATTTGCCGTTGAGTACTTCTAGTGATGTTTTTATTTGTTATTGAAATTTTCACCTCCAGAATTTCCATTTGATTATTTTAAAATGATTTCTCTCTTTATTGAAATTCTTTATTTGATGAGACACTTTTATACCTTTCTTTAATTTTTAGATATAGTTTTCTTTAGTTTTTAGATCACCAGTACCCTCAGTTGTGATCTTTGACCTCTCTCCAAGTTAATGATGCTGTTGTTTTGGTTGTTTATTTGTTCAGTGACTTGGCAGACCTAACTATGTGAAGTTTATTTCTTCTGAAGTGTGCAGCCTTTGATGTCCCTTCTCTGATTTTTTTTCTTGTTTTATATTTTATTCTGACTACCTAGGAGTTGCCTGTAGGTCAGTATAAGCCACTTATTTGTCAGAGACTGTGCTTAAGATCTTCTAGTAAGTTAGACTTTTAACCTTTACCATGGGATGTATGTGTAGTATGGAGGCTATCACAATTCAAGGAGTTTATCTTTTTCTCCTATATTCAACCAGGAATGGGTAGCTTGTATTTTCCTTCTCTGATGTCTCCTGAGTGTGCAGCTTTGTCATGAAACAGTCTTTCAGATTGCCAGGGATGTATTATTTTTATTTTTATTTATTTATTTATTTTATTTTATTTTTTTTTGAGACAGAGTCTTACTCTGTCATCCAGGCTGGAGCACAGTAGCGTGATCTCAGCTCAACCTCCATCTCCTGAGTTCAAGCAATTCTCCTGCCTCAGCCTCCCAAGTAGCTGGGATTACAGGCCCTCACCACCACAACTGGCTAATTTTTGTATTTTTAGTAGAGATGGTGTTTCACCATGATGGCCAGGGTGGTCTTGAACTCCTGACCTCAAGTGATCCGCACCCCCTCAGCCTCCTAAAGTGTTGCGATTACAAGCATGAGCCACTGTACCTAGTCTTAATTTTATTTTTAAACCTGACTTCCTATGAGTTGTTCTTGGGTCAGAGTAATTTATAGTTCAGTAATTTATAGTGTTTGGTCAGGAATTGTGCTTAAACCCCTTGTGTCAATGAAGCTTTGTCTCTTTTTGATGAATCTGCATGTGGCTTTGGAAATGTTTTCAGGTATGCCCTGTGCCTTTCTCCGATTGCTCCTGAGTGAAGCCCAGCATATGTACACAGTCTTCCTAACTCCTAGAGTTGACTATTATCCCATCTGGGCCCTTCTTAGATGTTCTTTCCCTGATTCTCTCTGTTAAACTTTGGCTTGTGCTGCCATTTTGTTTTTTTTGCTACTCATATCAGGAAGCTATCATTGCCCTCTTTGAAAAATTTTTAATTGACAAATAATAATTTTCTATACCATAGGGTAAAATGTGACATTGTGATACATGTATACATTGGGGAATTAGCAGATCAGGCTAATTAACGTATCCATCCCCTCATATATTTATCATTTATTTGTGGTGAGAACATTTAAAATTCCTTCTTTTAGCAATTTTGATACATACAATACACTATAATTAACTGCAGTCACCTTGCTATGCACTAGATCACCAGAAATTATTCCTCCTGTCTAATTTGTAAACCAAAAATAAAATTCTAAGGTCCCCAACCACCTGAATGGACATGCTCATCAGCCAGGGCTCTTTTAAAATTTAACCTGAGAGATGGTTTCAACCCCCATAAATGAAAAATGGGGGTTGAACATGCCTCATTATACCTCTCCAGCATTAACATCGACACAGGCCTTAAGTCTGATAAGAAACATTTTACAACCTATTCTCTCTAAAGCCTAGTACTTGAAGGCTTCCTCTGTAAATAAGAACTTGGATCTCCACAATGCTTTATCCTAACCCAAACATTTCCTTTCTAAATTGAGCAATTAATGATTCATGAATTGGGCAACCCCAGAATCACAGCAGAGTCACAGAGACTCCAGCGCAGCCACTTGGTAAAAGAATATTTATAGATGAAAAAGGGGAAATGACGTACAGAAATCAGAAGTGAGATACAGAAATAGCTGGACTGGTTACAGGCTGGCGTTTGCCTTATTTGAACACAGTTTGAACATTTAGCAGTCTCTGAGTGGTTGAAGGATGGCCACTGGGATTGGCCAAGACTCAGTTATTGTTACAGGCGCATACTCCTAAGTTAGGTTTTCAATCTTTTCTGACTATTAAACTAGGTTGCTGTTCATCCACAAGGACTCAAATATAGAAGTACGGAATCCTTCTCAGGCCACGTTTAGTTTGCTTTAACAATTCCCCCCCTTTTGGTCATTTTCTCAAATTCGAGAGATTGACCAAAACCTTAGTCATTGATGTCACTATCACCATTGTAAATGTACTTATGGTCTTGAAACCCACTGGGAAACAATAGAACAGTGGGTTTTGCAAGAAGGGAACAACGACTGAGTAGGGGTACCTCTTTATGCTGGAACATTCTGTTTACAGGAGAAAAACAAAACCTGGTCTGCTCTAGGATCTTTGTGTTTCCTTGAAGTTTTAGTTTAATTATGTCATATTTAGCACAAGTAACTCCATATTAGTTTGGATTGGTCTGTTTGGGCCTACTGCATGAGCTCAGTACAAAATAATGGCCTCCCATAATTTTGTTTAAAATAAAATTCCCCTCTTTGGCAAGGTTCTCACTTAGGTGAGATTGTGACCAAAACTTAGGGCCTTAGCACCACTCTCAATTACCATCATTTTGAGTTTCCAGTCTCAGCATGTCATTTATAGGTTGTGGTGTCCTTATGGTCACACATTTCTTTCAGCTTTCATCATTCTAGTTGAAGAGAGACCATTTGACATTCTAGAGATGGCTGCGTGCAAACATTTAAAAACTTTGAGAGAATACAGCGCAGGAGGGAGACTATTATTATGACTATTGGGAGGATAATATCAAGAGTTTGGAGTATGTGCCTTATACAGGGTTCCCATAAACCAAACCGCTTAAAATTAAATACATTAAAGAATGAGCTACATGAAGAGTCTGCTCACTTGACTAAGTGGTCTTTTCATTAATCCCCTACAACTGAATTTTTTATAATCTGCATTCGATGTATTTCTTTCTTTTTCTTTTCTTTTCTTTCTTTCTTTTTTTTTCTTTTTTCAAGATGAAGTCTTGCTCTGTTGCCCAGGCTAGAGTGCAGTGGTGTGATCCTGGCTCACTGCAACCTCTGCCTCCCAGGTTCATGTGATTCTCCTGCCTCAGCCTCCCAAGTAGCTGGGACTACAGGCAAGAGCTACCACGCCCAGCTAATTTTTGTATTCTTAGTAGAGATGGGGTTTCACCATGTTGGCCAGGATGGTCTCTGTCTCCTGATTTTGTGATCCACCCACCTTGGCCTCCCAAATTGTTGGGATTACAGGTGTGAGCCTGATGTATTTCTTTATAGGCCACAAGTGCCAGCAGCTGCACAGATACTTTTTTGTTTAGCTAATTCTATTATTCAGCATAACTTTCACAGGAGAATTTAAAGCCTGTTGGGTAATGATTGCCTTTACATAGAATCTGCTATGGAGTCTATTATGAGGGATACATTTCTAGTTATTGCCTCTTTTATTCAAAATAACAGAAACAGGACCTAACAAATGATGTCCTAGAAGAGTGAAGGCCACCTGGCAATGTTCTCTTTAAATCCTGATGTGGGTTAAGAGGAGTTTTGGCTGATTATGAGACAATATATGTACCATTAAAGTTTCTCACTTACACTGGGCCTTCATCTTTTATCTATTAAAGTATAAAGTTATTCATGTATAAGGCTGGCTGCAAAATCCTTCACAAATAAAAGTATATGCTGTAAGTGCACATAATAGACCCCTTTTTCACTTCTATTGTTCATAGAGGCATAAGCAAGAAAAAAATATTCAAAGATAACTGTTTCGTGATAGCAGAGAAGTCTTGATCTGTGATTTTGGAAAAAAGTTGTTCACATTAAGGATGCCATCTTCTGGGGAGAAACTGTCCTGGTTAGCTTTACCTTAAGGGTCCCAATGGGTGTACAGTTCCAAGAGTGTGGAGGGACACTGCTCAGTATTGAGATTATGAACCCAAAGTTCAAGGTCCCCAAGTTTTGCTGTAGTGTGGATGGCAAGGACAGTCTTTCTCTGATGTTCTCAGAAGACCCAATCTTTGAGTTCTAGATTATGAAGGCATTGTCCTCAGTGAACCATAAAAAACTTTCTTTATGGGGTGAAAATACACTGTAGCATAATAATCTGCTGTTATAACATCAGCCCTTTCACATTGGAAAGCTGTTTTTTTGTTTGTTTGTTTTGTTTTTGTTTTTGTTTTTGTTTTGAGATAGAGTCTCGCTCTGTCACCCAGGCTGGAGTGCAGTGGCGCGATGTTGGCTCACTGCAAGCTCCACCTCCTGGGTTCACACCATTCTCCTGCCTCAGCCTCCCGAGTAGCAGGGACTACAGGCACCTGCCACCACACCTGGCTAATTTTTTTTTTTTTTTTTTTTTTGTATTTTTAGTAGAGATGGAGTTTCACCATGTTAGCCAGGATGGTATTGATCTCCTGACCTCGTGATCCGCCCACTTCAGCCTCCCAAATTCTGGAATTACAGGTGTGAGCCACCACACCCAGCCTGCAGAACCTTTAATAACAAAAGCTTTAAGGACTCAGGAAGAACAAGGTGGCCATCATGGTTCTCCATGAGTCCATGCTTAACATTAGATTTATGTCCTCTTGAATACCAGTTATTTTTCCAATTTAGGTGCGTAGCACTGATAACTAATGAGTTATCATAGGTAATCTGACTTAGACCATGGAGTTCATTCAAATTATATATCAAAACAATTTTAGTATTGGCTGATTTAACATGATAATCTGGCAAAGTGTTTTCTTGGTATTTAATTAATTTTTGTTCTACTTGGGTTAGCAGTTTTATAAACCAATCTTTTTATTAAAGTTTCAGGAATTCTTACCCAGTCCAATTCTTGAGGAATTGGGGAATTCATGGGAAATTCTTACCCAAGATATGATTTTAAAGTTATTAGAAACCTGTTTTCAAGAGTGCTTTTCAGGGTCCTTTCCATTCTTTCACAAACCTCTTAAAAGACACCATATTATAGGATTTTGCATGCTTGTGAAGTTTTCAGAAACTGCATCAGTATCAAGCAATTAACTGCGGAAATGACTTTAAATAGTGATAGTTAAAGACACAATTGACAAAGAAATTTGGTTATCTCTGTGGGCTACAATAACAACATAATAACCTTAATTATGATTGATAGCATATACTCAGAAATATTAGAATCCCCATTCAATTTTGGAACACATATTACTATCATTCACTAAAATATAACCTGAAGAGTAAACATTATTTTTATTTTGAAAATGCTTCCTGTGATTTTTATACCAAATAAGCCAAATGTCACTGTTGCATCAGTGCATTATTGATGTCAAACCCAATTCTTAATAAAACCTTATAGGCAAATGTATTCAATATTAATCAGTTTGACCATAAGGTAGAATATTATAAACCTTGTATAACCTTTTATGATTTTTTTAAAGAGCAGATTAGTGCTCTAAGAAAAACCTGTTGTGCTTTTATTTCAATGTTAAATTTATGGAAAAACCGAATAATACCCCTTTAAATTTAGTCAATATTTTCACACATAGAATTTTTTACAAAGTTAATTTTTATAAACCTTCCACAATTTATTTAAACCTTTAGCTTTATTTAATTTAAAACAATCCTTTAACTCTGTAAACTAGGCAAAAATTTACATTCCCTTACCTTCTTATAATCTCGTACCAAAAACACATTTCATTCTCCTTACACATCTTATATGTAAACCTATGTTTTCAGTAGTCTCAACTTTCACTTTTGGTGCATAAATTTTCTTTTATGAATCCTTTTATGACTTACACAGACCACCTATGACATGCTTGGACTTTCTAACTTGTCCTAAACATCCCCTCTTTTAAACAACCAGTCATTTTACTTTAGGACAAGAACTTACCATACAAGATCCTTTCTTATATAAAATCTCCTTTCTTTATAACCTTCTTTGCATAGTTCAGGGGCATGGCTAATTCTGCATATTCCCAGGCCTTATTTAGAATTTAATGTCTCCAAAGTAAATTGAAAATTTTCCAAAGTCAAAGCAGTTTATGACCTTAAAGCATTTAGCAAACCTAATATCTGACCTGCCTAATTTAGACCAAATGTTTTTATTTTGCCAATAATCTTTGAAGCTGTTTTTCTTTCCCCAAAATTACTAAAGTTACATGAACTAAAAGGCATTACAGTTTTTATTTTTCTTTCAAAATATTTAAGTATTTATTTTTGTTTAAGCCAATTAGAGCTCTTTTATATAAACATTTACATATACAACACATATATAACTACACAGACAGACAGACTGAATATTAGTACTGTAGTTGTAAAATTTTTCATTTGCCAGTTTTTAAGTTTCTTAAGTGGTTATTGGCTTTAGGGTGGAGTCCTTGGATGAACAGGGCCAGGAAACGGGCTCTGGTGCCTCCTGTTTTTCCCAAGGAGTCCAGGCTGTTAGAGCTTGAATATTCACTTTTAATTAAGCTGGCTTTTAACCATAGCACTCTTTAGTAAAGTCCTTTTAAAATTTCTTATGACCTGACTTTAGCTAGTCCAAACAGTCTATATTTCTGGCTTTTGAACTTTACCATAGGTAACTTCCCAGGTACTCAGAGAGAGGAAAATTTAAGATAGTCCATGGAGGAGAAGAGAATCCACAAGGTTACACAGATTTCAAACCAGAAAGCACTCATTTCCTAAGCTGGGAATCAAACCCAGACTGCCACAGTGGAAGGGCAAAACCTTGTCTACTGAGCCACAGTGCAGGGCAGTCCAATTGCCCATCCCAGAAAGAGTCTAGAGTAGTTAATTTTGAGCTTGCAAAGGCTTTTAACTACTCAAGATAATTTTTAGAGCTATGACATGAACCCTAAAATACATGTTCCCTGGAGGGTGGAGACCAAGAGAAAGTACTGCCACGTGGTTACAAGCTCAAGCCCCCAAGGACATAAAACAAGATGGATACCTCATCCAGTTTCTTGTTTGTTTCAGGGACCCCTGCAGAAAAGTTCATTACTGGCCAGCTTGCTGGGCCATCTTGAGCAGCAAGCTTATGGGGTCCTATGCCCATGTTTTATCCTAAGGTACCCCTCAACATAGAAAAACAAATTCATAGCACAAAATACACCAGATTCATTATGGCTTAAGACTAGCCTCAGAATTCTTTTTTGCATTAATCAAAACTTTACAGAGGAGATAAACCGTGATTTTTACCATTCACTCAAGTAGTTTGCACAGAGAGAGAAGCCAGAAATCTGACTGGTAAGAAATTCTTACCCTTTTGCTGGCATGCCAGGCTTCTGGGTTCCGTTTCCCTGAGTGGCTCTAGTGACCCAGCTCACTACACCATAACCCTGGGGGCCAAGCTGCAACACAAAAGAAAACATTTTTCTTTTTCTTTTAATGCACTTCAGTGCATTGTTTTTCATTTGGAACATTCCATTGTAAGTTATCTTTAGTAAGATTTTGACATTTCTGCCAGACTTTGCTGCCTCCCAGGCCTAATGCATAAGCCAAAAGGAGCTCAGTTTTCCAGAAATTAAGAATCCCATTTTAACCTAAAATATTGGCTTTACTCTCAGATTCTCTTGATTAACTTAGACAATGATTCCTCCTACCTAGGTGTGCAAGAAAAATGAAACAAAAGGGTAGAACACAAAAAGCTCCATGAATTTTAAAAGCCAAGTTTTATAACCCCTGCAATATTACTGCTTACTACCAGTTCTTTTCTGACCCAGTCAGATGTAAGAGACGTCTAACTGGATCCAAGCCAGTTAACTTCCAGATCAAATCCCATCCTGGACCTAGTCCAGTTTCTGTCATGACTTCCAAACCCAGTTTGGATGAGAAATTTGCTCAAAGAAACTCAGAGAGCTCAAAACACAAATCCCTGGAGCTCCAAAATCCAAGAGGGAGCTTACCCACAATTCCCAGCTGCTGTGAGAGATCAGTGGACACAAGTGGGTTCTGCAGTAGCCTGCATGTTCACTCAGCACTCCTGGGGGTGGCTAGAAGCTCCACTTCAGATCCTGCTTCTGACACCATCTGATAAAAGAAAAACTTCAGCCGAATTCAATTTAAAGGAGTTTAATATGTTTATTTGCAATTAAACTCCTTTAAATTGAAGTCAGCTGAAGTTTTTCTTTAATCAGTCCATAGACAAACTCAACCATTTGTCAACCAGAAAATTTTTAAATTTACCTATAGCCTGGAAGCCACGCTTCAAGTTGTCCTGCCTTTCTGAACCAAATCTTAATGCATTTCTTAAATGTATTTGATTGATGTCTCATGCCTCCCTAAAATGTATAAAACCAAGCTGTGCCCTGACCATCTTGGGCACATGTTCTCAGGACCTCCTGAGGGCTGTGTCATGGGCCATGGTCACTCATATTTGGCTCAGCGTTAACCTCTTCGAATATTTTAGAGTTTGACTCTTTTCGTCAACAAATTGACACTTTGCACTTTTTAACAAACATTTTCCCTTTTCCCCTCAACTCTCCTGCAACCTCATCTTCTGGAAACCACCATTCTATTCTCTACTTCTTGAGTTAAACTTTTTTAGATTTCACATATAAGTGAGATCATGCAATATTTGTCTTTCTGTGCATGGTTTATTTCTCTTGGCATAATGTCCTCTAGATTCATCCATATTGTCACAAATAACAGAATTTCCTTCTTTTTGAAGGCTGAATAGTATTTCATTGTGTACATGTACCCTGTTTTTCTCCATTCCTCCACTGATGGACACTTAGGTTGATTCCATGTTTTGGCTATTGTGACTAATGCTGCAATGAAAATGAGAGTGCAAATGTCTCTTTGACATGCCGATTTCAATTCCTTTGGCTATATACTTAGAAGTGGGATTGCTGGATTTAAGTGCCCTTTTAATTGCTGTCCACCATGAATTAAGATCTCCATTATCTCTACAACACCCTTAGGCATGAAATTCTCTGCACTATTTTCCTAATTGAGTCAGTTCCCTTGGGCAGGACTACAGAGCTTTGTCCTTAATAAAGGCTACTGCTCTCCTATGGCAGGAACTCTGCAGACTGCACAGGAGCTTGGGTGTAGATAATAGCCTCCTTATCCTGGTGACATCCCTGCTCTATTGGATGCTGGATGGAGGGAGAATGATAATCTCCAGCCTTCTTAGCTTGCCTTCTCCTTGTGGAACCTCTGCCCTGGGAATGACAGGGGAGGGACCTGGAGCCCCAGTATTCTCAATCTGCTGGTTCTGAAATAGTATTTCCACCCTATGAGTAGGGTATAAGATGGGAGCCTCAGCCCTTTGGGCTATGTATGATCAGAACTTCTGTATGAAAGAGTTTATGCAGGAGGTCATGTATGATAAGAACAAAGCTTCTCATCATAGGGGAAGTGAGAAACAGCAGCAGCCTGCATTCCCAGGGTGAAGCTGTAGCCCTATTCTGGGACACAGGAGGGAGAGGGATCCCCTGTGTCATATTCTTGGGCTTCACTGCCTGAAGTTGAGTGCCCAGAGCAGTGTTTCCATAAGTCAGAGCTTAGAGAGGGGAGGGAGGAAGCAGTCATGGCTCAGAGGACACTGTTAAAGTCAACTAAATATGGCCTGAGGAGGACTCTGTACTTCTGTATTTGAGTCCTTGTGAACAAACTGCAACCTAGTTTAGTAGGCAGACAAGATTGAAAACCTAACTTAGGAGTATGCACCTGGAGCAATAGCTGAGTCTTGGCCAATCCCAGTGGCTGTACTTCGACCATTTATACACTGCTGAATGTTCAAGCTGTGTTCAAATAAGGCAAACACAAACTTGGAACCAATCCAGTCGTTCTGTACCTCACTTCCAATTTCTGTACATTATTTCCCCTTTTTGTCTATAAATATTCTTCCACTACATGGCTGTGCTGGAGTCTCTGTGAATTTGCTCTAATTCTGTGGGCTGCCCAATTTGAAAATCATTCATTGCTCAATTAAACTCCTTTAAATTTAATTCGGCTAAAGCTTTTCTTTTATCAATACAGACTATGCTGTTACCAAGGATTTAGTAAATTTTCTGGAATAAATATTTCTTCATTTTCTGTATGCCCTCAGAACAATGTGCAGAAACTTAAAAAAAACTATTTTCTTTAACTTCTTTTTTAGTAAAACGATTGTTATGCTTAGTAGGCTGCTGTGCTTCTCACTTCTTCTTTCTGGAAATCTGTTAGCAATCACTGTCAATAGATTCTTGACAAAGATACCAAGGGAATTTAATGGGGGAAAGGATAATTGTTTCAACAGTTGGTGCTGGAACAACTGGATATTTATATGCTAAAAAATTACCCTTGTTTCTTACCTCACACCATAAAGAAAAATTGATTCAAAATAGATAAAGACCTTAAGGTAAGAGTCAACAGCATAAAACTTCTAGAAGACATCAGAGAAAATCCAAGCAGTCACAAGTTAGCTAAAGTTTTCATAATTAGGCTTTCTGGATACCCAGAGGAGGGTCCATATGGCATTGTTCTGGATTCCATTGTAACTTCAAGGGAAACTTTCACAACGTCTGGAGCCCTTGATATCCTGCAAATGAAGGAGGAGGATGTCCTCAAGTTTCTTGCAGCAGGGACCCAATTAGGTGGCATCAACCTCGACTTCCAAATGGAACAGTACACCTATAAAAGGAAAAGTGAAAGCATCTGCTTCCTAAATCTGAACAGGACCTGGGAGAAGCTTCTTCTGGCAGCTGGCGCCATTGTTGCCATTGAAAACTGTGCTGATGTCAGTGTCACGCCCTCCAGAATACTGGCCAGTGGGCTGTGCTGAAGTTTGCTGCTGCCACTGGAGTCACTCCTATTGCTGGCTGTTTCATTGTTTCACTCTTGAAACTTTCACTAACCAGACCCAGGCAGCCTTCTGGGAGCCATGGCTCTTGGCAATTACTGATCCCAGAGCTGACCACCAGCCTCTCACAGAGGTGTCTTATGCTAACCTGCCTACCATTGCTTTGGGTCACACAGATTCTCGTCTGCGCTGTGGACATTGCCATCCCCTGCAACAACAAGGGCACTCACTCAGTGGGTCTGATGTGGAAGATGCCAGCCTGGAAGTTCTGCATATGCATGGCACCATCTCCTGTGAACACCCATAGGAGGTCGTGCCTGATCTCTATGTCTACAGAGATCCCAAGGAGATTAGAAAGAAAGAGCAGGCTGCTGCTAAAAAAGCTGAGGCTAAGGAGGAATTTCAGGGTGAAGGGACTGCCCTGGCTCCTGAGTGTACTGCTACTCAGCCTGAGGTTGCAGCCTGCTTTGAAGGTGTGCAGGTCACACAGGTGCCCCCTGTGTCTGTTCAGCAGGTCCCTACTGAAGACTAGAGCACTCAGCCTGCCATGGAAGACTGGTCCACAGCTCCCACTGCTTGGGCCACTGAATGGGTATGAAAAACCACTGAGTGGTCGGTCTTAAGCCATTTTCCACAGGCTCCTAAGCAAAATGGAAATAAGGTTGTTGGAAAATAAACATCAGTTCTTAAAAAAAAAAAGCTTTTTATAATTAGGACATAAAAGTACAAAGTATAAAATAAAAAAAATTGGATTTCATCAAAAGTAAAAACTCTTGGTCCTCAAAAGAAATTTAAGGATATGAAAAGGTAAGCCACAGACTAACAAAATATTTTCAAATATTTTCAGATACAGAATTTGTATCTGAAATATATAAATAACTCACACAATTCAATAATAAGACAAATAATCCAAATAAAAATGGGCAAAAGATTTAAACAGAAACTTAATCAAATAAGATATAGAGAAGGAAAATAAGCACATAAGATAGATGTTCAACATTGTTGTTTATAAAGGAAATGTAAATCAAAACCACAATGAGATATCACTACACACTCATAAATATGGTTCTAATTAAAAAGGCCAATCATACCTAGTGTTGGTGAGGAAGCAGAGCAATTGGAATGATCATACACTGTGGGAACATAACCTGGAACACCACTGGAAAACTGTCAGTTTTTTAAAAACAAACCTGGCCGGGCACAGTGGCTCATGCCTGTAATCCTAGCAATTTGGGAGGCTTAGGCAGGCAGATTACCTGGGGTCGGGAGTTCAAGACCAGCCTGACCAACATGGTGAAACCCCATCACTACTAAAAATACAAAAATTAGCTGGGCATGGTGGTGCATGCCTGTAATTCCAGCTACTCGGGAGGCTGAGGTAGGAGAATTGCTTGAATCCAGGAGGCAGAGGTTGTAGTGAGCTGAGATCGCACCATTGTACTCATGCACTCATAGCCTGGGCAACAAGAGCAGAAACTCCAAAAAACAAACAAACAAACAAACAAAACCCATAAACCTGTTCTACTATGCTGCCATTTCAATCTTAGGTATTGCCTAAGAGAAATGAAAGCATGTGCCCACACAAAGACTTGTACATAATCTTCATAGCAGCTTTACTCTTAATAGCCCATAACTGGACAGAACCCAAATGTCCATCAACAGGTAAAGGAATAAATAACTGGTGGAGGACCAATACAAAGATGTACCACTCAGAAACAAAAAGAAATAAACTATTGATAAAGACGAATGAGTGTCATAAGTATTATGCTAAGTAAAAGAAAGCAGAAACAAATGCCTATAGACTCTATAATTCCATTTATATAAAATTCTGAAAAAGGCAAAACTAGGTTAGTGCAAAAGTAATTGCAGTTTCAGATTATAAATTTTAAATCATTATAGCTAGGCTCAAACACATCTTTATTAATCAAAATAGGAATCATTACAATCAACGCATTTTTGCCAACGATAAGTAAGTTTTTTTATTCCTGTAGCACAAAAATCCTTGCTTCAGGATTCGACAAACTCTTGGAAAGCATTTTCTGCATCCTGCTGGTTGTAGAAGCGTTTTCCCTGCAAAAAGTTGTCGAGATGCTTGAAGAAGTGGTGGTTGGTGAGAAGTCAGGTGAATATGGCAGATGAGGCAAAACTTTGTAGACCAATTCATTCAACTTTTCAAGCATAGGTTGTGCAACATGCAGTCAGGCATTGTCATGGACTCAAATAAGAAAATTGCTTGAATCTGCCATTCGTCTAACATCATTTCCATGGTCTAAAATGAATGGTAAGTGGTAAGTCATTAGCAAAAAAACATAAAGTGAGAAATGCATATTAAAATGATTTATAACATAACCACATTTATTTAAGAATGTATTCCAATATCAAACGGCAAATTCCAATAATGCAAAAACCACAATTACTTAATATAATAATAGAAAGTATGTCACTGGTTGCCAAGAGCCAGGTGATGGTAGAGGGAGGTGACTGTAAAGAGGTTGCAAGGGGATTTTTAGGGGCCATGGATATGTTCTATGTCAAGATTATTGTGATAGTCCTACAACTGCATACATTTATCAAAACTCATCAGATTGCTCACCTGGAATTAATTGATTTCATTTTGCATGTAAATTATTTTTGATGCATTTAAGTTTCCTCCATGTCTTTTTGTGACTTGATAGCTTCTTTTTATTACTAAATAATGTTCCTTTGTCCAGTTATACCACAGTTTGTTTATCCATTTGTTATTTGAAGAACATCTTGACTGTTTACAGTTTTTGGCAATTATTAGTAAAGCTGCTATAAACATACTTTCATGGGCATCCGTGTGAAGAGACCACCAAACAGGCTTTGTGTGAGCAATAAAGCTTTTAATCACCTGGGTGCAGGCAGGCTGAGTCCGAAAAGAGAGTCAGTGAAGAGAGATAGGGGTGTGGCCGTTTTATAAGATTTGAGTAGGTAAAGGAAAATTACAGTCAAAGGGGGGTTGTTCTCTGGCGGGCAGGAGTGGGGGTCACAAGGTGCTCAGTAGGGGAGCTTTTGAGCCAGGATGAGCCGGGAGAAGGAATTTCACAAGACAATGTTATCAGTTAAGGCAGGAACAGGCCATTTTCATTTCTTTTGTGGTGGAATGTCATCAGTTAAGGCAGGAACCGGCCATCTGGTTGTGTACGTGCAGGTCACAGGGGATATGATGGCTTAGCTTGGGCTCAGAGGCCTGACATTCCTGTCTTCTTATATTAATAAGAAAAATAAAACGAAATAGTGGTAAAGTGTTGGGATAGTGAAAATTTTGGGGGATAGTATGGAGAGATAGTGGGCGATGTTTCTTAGGGCTGCTTCGAGCGGGATTAGGGGTGGTGTGGGAACCTAGAGTGGGAGAGATTAAGCTGAAGGAAGATTTTGTGGTAAGGGGTGACATTGTGGGGTTGTTAGAAGAAACATTTGTCATGTAGAATTATTGGTAATGGCCTGGATACAGTTTTGTATGAATTGAAAAACTAAATGGAATAACAGAAGGAGAAAAACAGGTATAAAAGGTCTAAGAATTGGGATGACCCAGGACATCTGATTAGAGAGTGCCTAAGGAGATTCAGCATAGTCCTGCCAGCAAAGATTATTTATTTACTTCAGGAGTTAAGAGTGGCAGTTTGGGGATAGCACCAGGAGATATCAGCTGTGATGGCTTGGAGAAACAGCGTAAACCGGCAGTGTAAACAAGAGCAGGGCATGTATGAGTAGTTGAGAATGGTGAATAGGAGTATGACTAGACAGAAGTTAGTAGGGATGACAAGTTTTTTTGGGGCACAGTCTAAGTTGGTCTGGCGTCTGGAATGAGACTGGGGCCTAATAAAAAGGAATGTCTATACAGGAGCTCAAATGGGCAGTACCTTGTAGCATTCTGAGGACAGGTCTGACTTCTGAGAAGGGAAAGTGGTAAAAGTATTGTCCAGTCCTTTTTAAGTTGGTGGCTGAGCTTGGGAAGGTGTGTTTTTAAAAGACCTTTAGTCCGTTCTACTTTTCCTGAAGACGGAGGACCATAAGGAATATAAAGGTTTCACTGAATACTAAGAGCCTGAAAAACTGCTTGGCTGATTTGACTAATAAAGGCTGGTCTGTTATCAGACTGTATAGAGGTGGGAAGGCTAAACTGAGGAATTATGTCTGACAGAAGGGAAGAAATGACTGTGGTGGCCTTCTCAGACCCTGTAGGAAAGGCCTGTACCTATCCAGTGAAAGTGTCTACCTAGACTAAGAGGTATTTTAGTTATCTGACTCGGGGCATGTTGAGTAAAGCTAATTTGCCAGTCCTGGATGGGGGCAAATCCTTGAGCTTGATGTGTAGGGAAGGGAGGGGGCCTGAATAATCCCTGAGGAGTAGTAGAATAGCAGATGGAACACTGAGAAGTTATTTCCTTGAGGATAGATTTCTACGGTGGAAAGGAAATGAGAGGTTCTAAGAGGCGGGCTAGTGACTTGTACTATAGCATAGCCTGCCTTTGCTGGTGTGTGGCGATTAGGCCTGGTGGAACTGCCATCAATAAATAAAGCGTGATCAGGGTGAGGAACAGGAAAGAAGGAAATATGTGGAAATGGGGTGAATATCAGGTGGATCAGAGAGATACAGTCATGGGGGTCAGGTGTGGTATCAGGAATAATGTGGGAGGCCAGATTGAAGTCCGGGCCAGGAACAATGGTAATTGTGGGACTTAATAAAGAGTGAGTACAGCTGAAGGAGCCGGGGAGCAGAAAGTATATGCGTCAGGTATGAGGAAGAAAATAGATTTTGGAAGTTATGAGAAATGTAGAGAGTGAGTTGAGCATAGTTTGTGATTTTTAGGGCCTCTAAAAGTATTAAAACAGCAGCAGCCGCTGCAGGCAGACATGAGGGCTAGGCTAAAACAGTAAGGTCAAGTTGTTTGCACAGAAAGGCTACAGGGTGCGGTCCTGGCTCTTGTGTAAGATTTCTGACCACACTAACCATGCCTAGGAAGGAAAGGAGTTGTTGTTTTGTAAGGGATTGAGGTTTGGGAGATTAATCAGACATGATCAGCAGGGAAAGCACGTGTGTTTTTATGAGAATTATGCCAAGATAGGTAACAGATGAGGATGAAATTTGGGCTTGACTGAAGTAATGGGGGCTGTCTGTGAAGCCTTGCGGCAGTACAGCCCAGGTAATTTGCTGAGCCTGATGGGTGTCAGGGTCAGTCCAAGTGAAAACGAAGAGAGGCTGGGATGATGGGTGCAAAGGAATAGTAAAGAAAGCATGTTTGAGATCCAGAACAGAATAATGGATTGTGGAGGGAGGTATTGAGGATAGGAGAGTATATGGGTTTGGCACCATGGGGTGGATAGGCAAAACAATTTGGTTGATAAGGCATAGATCCTGAACTAACTTGTAAGGCTTGTCTGGTTTTAGGACAGGTAAAATGGGGGAATTGTAAGGAGAGTTTATAGGCTTTAAAAGGCCATGCTATAGCAGGTGAGTGATAACAGGCTTTAATCCTTTCAAAGCATGCTGTGGGATGGGATATTGGCATTGAGCAGGGTAAGGGTGATTAGGTTTTAATGAGATGGTAAGGGGTGCATGATTGGTCACCAAGGAGGGAGTAGAGGTATCTTATTGTTGTGGGTTAAGGTGGGGGAATACAAGAGGAGGATGCAAAGGAGGCTTTGGATTGGGAAGAAGGGCAGCAATGAGATATAGCTGTAATCCAGGAATAGTCAGGGAAGCAGATAATTTAGTTAAAGTGTCTCGGCCTAATAAAGGAACTGGGCAGGTGGGGATAACTAAAAGGAGTGCTCAAAAGAGTATTGTCTAAATTGGCACCAGAGTTGGGGAGTTTTAAGAGGTTTAGAAGCCTGGCTGTTAATACCCACAACAGTTATGGAGGCAAGGGAAACAGGCCCTTGAAAAGAAGGTAATGTGGAGTGGGTAGCCTCCATATTGATTAAGAAGGGGACGGACTTACCTTCCACTGTGAGAGTTACCTGAAGCTCGGCATCCGTGATGGTCTAGGGGGCTTCCGAGGCGCTTGAGCAGCGTCAATCTTCAGCCGCTAAGCCAAGAAGATCTGGGAAGGAGTCTGAGAGCCTTGGGCCAGAGTTCCAGGGGCTCTGGGAGTGGCGTGGCTGCCAGGTGAGTTGGACAGTCCGATTTCCAGTGGGGTCCCACACAGATGGGATGCAGCTTAGGAGGAATCCCGGGCTGCGGGCATTCCTTGGCCTGGTGGCCAGATTTCTGGCACTTGTAGCAAGCTCCTGGGGGAGGAGGTTCTGGAGGAATGCCACGCCTGGCCGCTGCGGTTCAGGCCTTTGGAAGTTCTTGTGTGCTGGAGATATGGCTGGGGTTTGTCTCACAGTGGAGACAAGGAATTGCAACTTGTTTCTATTATTGTACACCTTGAAGCTGAGGTTAACTAAATCCTGTTGTGGGGTTTGAGGGCCGGAATTTAATTTTTGGAGTTTTATTTAATGTCAGGAGCAGATTGGGTAATGTATTTTGAGAATAAGATGGCCTTTTGACCTTTTAGGGTCTAGGACTGTAAAGTGTCTCAGGGTTGTTGCCAAACAAGTCATGAACTGGGCTGGATTTTTATATTTGATGAAAAAGAGCCTAAATGCTATCTGATTTGGGATAAAGAAAAAGGAACATTAACCTTGACTATGCCTTTAGCTCCAGCCACCTTTTTAAGAGTAAATTGCTGGGCAGGTGGGGGAGGGCTAGTCATGGAACGAAACTGTAAGCCAGACCAGGTGTGAGGAGGGGAGGGGATAAAAGGATTATAGGGTGGAGAAGCGGAGGCTGAGGAAGAATTGGGACCTAGCTTGGCCTGGCGAGGAGCAGCCTGGGGAGGAGGGGAGAGGTCAGATGTGTCTGACCCCTAATCTGTAGAAAGGAAGATTAGAAAGACTCAGTGACGCTTGGGGTTGGGACTGAGGGGACAGGTGGGAGGGAAAGAAGGAAGATTTGGGATGAGTTGCACTGGGAACAGAGACTAGAGAGGGACTGATATGTAAAGGAATGCCTGGACATCAGGCACCGTAGACCATTTGCCCATTTTATGACAAGAATTATTTAGATCTTGTAGGATGGAAAAGTTGAAAGTGCCATTTTCTGGCTATTTGGAACTACTGTCGAGTTCGTATTGGGGTCAAGCGGCATTGCAGAAGAAAATAAGACTCTTAGATTTTAGGTCAGGTGAGAGTTGAAGAGGTTTTAAGTTCTTAAGAACACAGGCTAAGGGAGAAGAAGGAGAAATGGAAGATGGAAGCTTGCCCATAGTGAAGGAGGCAAGCCGAGAGAAAAGAGTAGAGACACGGAGAAGGGGTGGGGGGTTCTTGCCCTCCAGAAAAGCAGAGAAGGGGTTGGGGCACAGAGATATGAGGTCAGGGCACAGAAATAAGGGATTGGGGCACAGAGATATAAGAGGTTGGGGTGTGGAAATAAGGGATCGGGGCGCAGAGATATAAGAGGTTGGCGCATGGAAATAAGGGATTGGGGCGCAGAGATATAAGAGGTTGGGGCACAGATATATGAGGTTGGGGTACTGGCCCCTCCTCCAGAAAAGCGGGACTTGCTGCTAAGGGTGAAGAAGGGGTTGGGGGTTTCTTGCCCCCCAGAAAGGTGGAGAAGGGGTAGAGACATGGAGAGAAAGGGTTGGGGTACTTTCGCTTCCCCCAGAAAAGCGGGACTTGCCGCTAAGGGTGAAGGACCAAGGCAGGCATCCCTGTGTGATCTGACACCTCTGAAACTTGGGTGAATGATCAGAGAGGCATCCCTGCAATGATTAAACACCAAGGGAAGGCTGCCTTCCCAGTCCGTGACTGGCGCCGGAGTTTTGGATCCACGGATAAAATGTGTCTCCTTTATCTCTACCAGAAAATGAAAGAAATTGAAATTAAGAGAAGGGAGAGATTGAAGAGTGGAAAGGAGAAAGTGGTTGAGGGATAGTGAGAGACGTTGGAGAAGGGAATAAGAAGAGGCCGCTTACCTGATTTGAAATTGGTGAGATGTTTCTTGGGCTGGTTGGTCTGAGGACCTGAGGCCGTAGGTGGATCTTTCTCAGGGAGCAAAGAGCCGGAGAACAGGGGATTGATCTCCCAAGGGAGGTCCCCCAATGCGAGTCATGGCACCAAATTTCATGCACGTCTGTGTGAAGAGACCACCAAACAGGCTTTATGTGAGCAATAAAGCTTTTAATCACCTGGGTGCAGGCGGGCTGAGTCCAAAAAGAGTCAGTGAAGAGAGATGGGGTGGGGCCGTTTTATAAGATTTGGGTAGGTAAAGGAAAATTACAGTCAAAGGGGGGTTGTTCTCTGGCGGGCAGGAGTGGGGGGTCACAAGGTGCTCAGTAGGGGATCTTCTGAGCCGGGATGAGCCGGGAGAAGGAATTTCACAAGACAATGTCATCAGTTAAGGCAGGAACAGGCCATTTTCACTTCTTTTGTGGTGGAATGTCATCAGTTAAGGCAGGAACCGGCCATCTGGATGTGTACGTGCAGGTCACAGGGGATATGATGGCTTAGCTTGGGCTCAGAGGCCTGACACATACCTGTGCAAATTTTTGTGTGGCCATAAATTTTCAGCTTAATTGTGTAAATATCAAGGAGCATGATTCCTGGATTGTATGGAAAGACTATGTTTGGCTTTGTAGAAACTGCCAAACTGTCATCCAAAGTTTTCATGCCTTTATACAGTCCCATTGGCAATGAATGAGAATTCCTGCTGCTCCACATCCTTGCCAGCATTTGATGTTGTCAGTGTTTGGGATTTTAGCCATTCTATTAAGCATGTAGTAATATCTCATTTTAATTTGTAATTTTCTTATTAAAAAGTCATGTGAACATCTTTTCACATGCTTATTTGCTATCTGTATGTCTTCTTCAGTGAGGTGTCTGTTCAAATGTTCTGCCCATTTTTAAATTGGGTTGTTTGTTTTTTTATTATTAAGTTTTAAGATTTTTTTGCATATTTTGGATACAAGTCCTTTATCAAATATGTGTTTTGCTAATATTTATTTCCAGTCCGTGGCTTGTTTTCTCATTCTCATGACAGTGTTTTTCACAATGTAGAAGTTTTTTATTTTAATAAGGTCCAACTTATTAATTTTTTCTTCTATACATTGTACTTTTGATGTTTTACCTAAAAATCCATCACCAAATCCAAGGTCCTCTAGATTTTATCCTGTTATCATCTAGAAGTTTTATAGCTTTTGCATTTAACATTTAGGTCTATGTTGGATTCAGTTGCTACCATTTCGTTGAGGATTTCTATATCTCAGTTTTTTTCCTTTCTTGTAATCATTTACCTGGCTTTGGCATATGGGTAATATTGGCCTTATAGAATGAGTTTCCTCTCTGCTTACATTATCCATCTAGCTGTTCTTGCAGGTTGTCTACTTTTTTGCATTAGAGACCTTCACATACTAGTTATATTTAAATTCCCTATTTGATATTTAAAAATCTATGTCATATCTGAGTCTGATTCTGATGCTTGCCTTTCCTTTTCAGATTGTTTTTTCTTACCTTCTATCATGACTTGTAATTTTTTAATGAAAGGCAGCTATAATGTACTGGGTAATAGGAACTGAGGTCACTAGGCTTTTAATGTGAGGTTCTATGTTAGCCTGGCTAGGAGCTGACCATGTTTAATGTTTGCTGTGGCTATGGGTGCCAGAGGCTTCCGTTTCCTCTAGTTCACTTGTTTATTTTGCTCCTCTGTTGTCTTTGGATTTCCTATGAACTCCTTAAACAGAGTCTGTGTCTTACAGTTCTCTCAGTTGTAATCCACTGTCATGTTATAATCCATAATAGAGTCCTGTGGATGTGGTGTTAAGATGCTGGGGCAGGGAAGTGTTCTATAATCTTATGATTAAATCTCAATATTTTAGTGGGCCCGAATCCCTGGGCTTGACCTTCAGAAGTCTTTCTTAACCATTTTTTCCATCTCCTTTGTGATACAAGAAAACTGGGAGGTGGAGGTGAAGATGGAGGCTAGGACTGTCTAATTGTCCTTTCCTCAGGTCAGATAAGGCTATAGTAAAGTTGTTTCAAAGAACTACTTTGGTGAACACTCTGTGTGTATTTCAAAATGGCTACCTTTAATAGGGGCATATTTCAAAAAGGTTACTTTCCCCTCCTTCCTAAAACAGGAAGGGATTTTTCTGTGATCAAAGAACATGGTGCAATTCCTGGAGGTAAAACCCACAAAAGTCAGGGGCTTCACTAAGATTGGAACCCAGGAGCTTTTAACTCTTAAGCTAGACCACACTCAGCCTCCTGGAATTTGTCAAAATTACCATTTAATATTTTCATTAGTTACTGACCACAGCAGCTTCTGCTCCTGGTAAACTGAACTTGGCTGTGATTTTGTTTGTCTTTCTAGTTTCGTGAAGGTAGCTTGCCTTGTGATCTCAATTCTCTGACAGATCTAAGAAAAGTCATTGATTTTCAGTTTGTTCAGCTTTTCTCTTATTGTGAGAATGGGAGTGATGACTCCCAAGCACTTTACACATTGAAACTGAAACAGGAAGTTGCGCGTGCTTGCTTTCTTTTCTTTTCTTTTCTTTTCTTTCTTTCTTTCTTTCTTTCTTTCTTTCTTTCTTTCTTTCTTTCTTTCTTTCTTCTTTCTCTCTTTCCTCTTCTCCCTTCTTTTCCTTTCTTATTCTTCCTTCTTTCTGAAGCAAATATAGCAAACTACTAACGTCTATTCAATCTCAATGATTCATATTCTTCTAAATTCAGGCAAGAGGCAATGGTAGTGGCATTCTTTGGAAGGCAATCTGTGTTCATTGAGAAGTGAATTTACATTCCAGTCTTACTTTACAACCACTGAGATAAAATGGGCTTCAATTTTTATAACAATATCTACTCAGCCTAATGAGCAAGAGAGCACACAGGCCTCCAGAGCTCATTACTGGTTTTTTGGAGCCTTAAAAAAGTATTTTAAGGCATTTTATTATCTAATACTGAAGTGTCTTTGATGGGAAGATAGTTCTTTGAAAGCCATTCCCTGTGTGTCCTATTCACCTGCCTTCCTTCCAGGAAGCAGTCAATAAGATTAATGAGAGTTTTCAATGAGTTAGACTTGGAGAAAAAGGCCCCCAGTTAACTAATCGTGTCTACTTAGTGTTCAAATTGAAGTACCCTATTAAACCAAAACACCCAGATTTTTAAGTTAAGATTTTTCTTATCACTATTAAGTCATTATTATGATAATAGTGACAATAACTAAGTACTTTGGCCTCTTCAGCATGTAATTCTAATAATGTTTAGTTTTATGTATAAATGGTTTAACCACACCTACTGCTAAAATTTTTATTTTATCTTATTCATAAGGAAAATTTATGCTTTATTAGCGATTTACATCCTGCTAGGATCCTGTAGACTAACTTTGCATTCACAATATTTGTTTTTTCTTCACATAGTACACCCCAGATAGTTTTCATAAGCTTAGATTTCCCTAAAAATAAGTTACCTTCCAGCTATAGCTGCTTCTGAATGTTAGATTTCTCTCCTTGCAGTGGCCAGATTTTGCCATATGCCCTTCTGCTGGAGGTGGGATAGGATTTGGCCCCCGTGTTAGTTTTCTAGAGCTTCCATAACAAAGTGCCACAGACTGACTGGCTTAAACAACAGACATTTATTTTCTCAAAATTCTGAAAGCTATGTGTCCAAGATGAAGGTGTCAGCAGGGTTGGTTTCTGCTGAGGCCTCTCTCCTTGGCTCGCAGATGACCATCTTCCCCCTGTGTCTTCACTTGGTCTTCTCTCTGTGTGTTTGTGTCCTAATCTCCTCTCCTTATAAGGATACCTGTCATATTGGAATTGGGCTCATTCTAATGATCTCGTTTTAACTTAAAGACCCAATCTCCAAATATAGTCACATTCTGAAATACTGGGGGTTAGGACTTCAACATACAAATTGTGAGTACGGAGACACAATTCAGCCCATAAGGGTGCTGGAGGCAGTGAAGAGTGGAAAAGAACATTTTTTTGAAACCACTTTGTATTTGAGGCAATTTGCAAACATTATGTCATCCTCACAAAGCCTTATGAGGTAGGAGTTATTATTTCTGATTTACAGATGAGGAATCAGAAACACAGAGACAGGCAGTAACAAAGTGGAAGAGTCAAGATGAACACCTGGGTCTGATTGGCTTCAAAGTCCGTGTTCTGTCCACCAGCATATCCTTCATCTCTGCTGTATCTAAAACTCTTTACTCCGCTGGGCCTTGTCTTTTACAACCTTCTCCACTGAATGACTTGTACTCTTGGCTTCACTGCCCACTCCCCAAACCAAATCATCAACCAGTAGATTTGGGGAAATGAAGATGGTCCATTGCCATCAGAACTGGTAATGGTCCGTGATATGGTTTGGTATGTCCCCACCCAAATCTCATCTTGAATGATAATCCCTATAATCCCCGTGTGTCTAGGGAGAGACGTGGAGGGAGGTGATTGGATCGTGGGGGCATTTTCCCCCATGCTGTTCTCGTGATAGTAAGTTCTCACGAGATCTGATGGTTTTACAAGGCAGTTTTCCCTGCTCTTGCTTGCTCTTCTCTCACCTGCTGCCATGTAAGACATGCCTCTTCCCCTTCCACTATGATTATAAGTTTCCTGAGGCCTCCCCAGCCATCTGGAACTGTGAGTCAATTAAAATTCTTTTCTTTGTAAATTACCCAGTCTCAGGTAGGTCTTTATAGCACTGTGAGAACAGACTAACACAGCCCTTGTCCTAGAGTAACCTGAAGACTCACCCCTTCCTTCCTGCCTCTGGGTCAGCACAAACTCAGTAACCTGAGTAGCACATCTGCTTGGGCAGTTTCCCTTGATGGATCTTCTCAGTCTGGGGTGCTCCAGATATCACTTAAAGCAAACCAATCCTCAGGAATCTGGTGCCATGTTCAGATGCAGTTGCTGTGGGGATACCTGTTTTCCTTAGGCACTGTGTCCTAGAATCTCTCTTCTAAATTAGGAACATTTTCTCAGCTAGGACTCATGGTAAAATAATCTCTTAGCACAGGCCTATCCAGGGCTAAAAACATTGATGAAACATTTGTGTTGCTTCTTTTGAAACCTACAAATAGGATCAGCCTTGCATGTAGGCAGAGGAGACAGCTGCCCGTGGGATGGTTTCAGGACACCCAGGAAAATATCCTAGGTTAAAGAACTTTGTCTCCCACTCAATGCCACTCTTGTGTTTTGTGGGTTCAGTTTGCTTTTTAATTGCCTAGATTTTTCACTCTATTATTGTGAGATAAATTATTTTTGTATTATTGAGCAATTAACTCGTATTCCATTTACAATTCTCAGACTAAATCCCAAGCAACTGCTTCCTCAAATTTTCCACATTTGCAAATCAGTTAGGTTGATTTGCAAAGGGTTTAGAGCTAATCCAACCATTTGATTAATACCGATGCTGATACAAGGGCCAAAAGAGAGTCACTGAACTTCGGTTTTCAGCTCTGCCAGGCAAAAACACACATATTATTTCACATATCTATTTATGCAGGCTGTCCTCCCAGGTTGATCTGCTTCCATTTAAGGTAATTTCTCAGTATTTGCACTGCAGAGTAAATATAAATTTATAAAAGCTTGGGTATTTGCCATTATACAAAATAAAAATATAAGTATAGACAGAAATTATTAGAACTGGAAAGGGATTTAGAAATCATTTATTTCAACCTGATTTTATGGCTGAGACAACTCAAGTTTAGTAAAATAAAGAAATTCATTTAAGGCTTCACAATTAGTTAATGGCAGAACTAGACATTCACTCCAAGTCCTGGCCTCTCACGACAGCACTATTGCCTACCATATACTGTGAATACTTACGTAAGTTCATACATATGCTTGTTATAAGTTGTCCCTACCTCCTTTCCGAGTTGGATTTAGGAAAAAACATTGTTTTTTCAGGCTGAAAATAAGTTAGGAGAAAGCTATGTCTTATTCTTTAAAGATATTCAAGTAAGTTATGATTTATGCCAGCTTTAAAAGGAGGAAATGTGATATTTAAAATGGCATATGAAAATACCATCTATTTCCTAAGTTTTATTCCAATTTACAGTAAATATTTTTAAACCTCTGCATGTAGTTCCTGTACTTCTATGATGTAGCTCTGAGTCTAAACTAACAGCTGAAAAAGAAAATACTAGGCAACAGATGCTATGCCAAAAGCAGGGTCATTTACAGAAAACGCCCTGAAACATTCTGAGGATCACTGTCAAAGGCTATGGACCTAAAGTTAGATCTGTTTTGGTTCATGGGGTCACACCGACACAAGTAATGTTGCTGTTCTTCTGCCAGGTCGATCTAACCTTCAGATAGTCTACGTCATTCTTGGGAGCAGGTGCTTACTCGGATGCAAAAGACTTCTCAGATCCTGCCATCTGGGGTCTTGTTCATCACATTTGGAAATGATTCTTCCATCCCTTACACTTTATAGTAGCTATTATCTATGACTACCCTGCTCTATTGATGGCACGTGCTGTCTAGTACTTATTTGTGTTCCTGTTTTTTCTCTCTGATTAGATCAAAGATGACCATTTTCAGGTGTTCATGCCCATTACAGGACCCAAGGCAGTGCTTTAAGTGTAATATATGGCCCATAAATTAATTGCAAAAGAAAATACAATATATTTAATGTGTTTGAGAATTTAAAAGTTTAAGAGGAAAGGTATATTTCTTATAGATGTGTATAAACGGTCATTTTTCTTATAATCACACTTTTCTGTCCAGTAGATGGATTTATCCATTGCTCTTGGACATTAACTTGTATTAGAGAATATAATTGACATGGAAGATGTCTGTGGGAATGCCTAAAATAGTCATGCTTCTACTGTAGCAAAAGAAAGTTAGACTGGCCCAAATTTCTTAATTTACAGGTAAGGCAATCAAGATCTGGGAAATTATCTCTTGTCAAGGTTAAAAAGCAAGGTAATGGCAGATTTCTGTATTTGCTATAGTTGTCAAATGGGGATTTTTTTAAAAATGTATTTGTGAACTGTAAGAATGCATGCACCTGCATGCACTTCTGTTTTTTGTTTGTTTGTTTGTTTGTTTTTTGGCTCCATGCTTGACATTAACTTTTAGAAAATAATTTAAATTATAACTGGAGTACTTACAGTTCCTACATGAGAGTGCCATTACCTTAGCTTAACTTTGTGAAGACTGTGCTAGTACTAACAGGGATTAAATATTGATGCAGATTATTTCGGTTGGGAAAGAAAGACAGCACAAAGGGATAGGCCTGGTATTCTAATTTCTCATGATACAGTGGATTTTTTTGCTGGGGCACAGAGGGGGTCTCACTACATTGCCCAAGTTGGTCTCAAACTCCTGAGCTCAAGAAATTCTCCTGCCTTAGCCTCCCAAGTAGCTGGGACTACAGGTACATGCAACTGTGCCCAGCTTATCTTCATTGCACTTTAACAGATTTCTTTCCCTTCTGGCTGGCTTTTATCCAGAGCCCGAAGCCCCCATTACAGGACTGTCACCAGCTCACATTACTCTATGCTTGGTCATGGTCCTCAATGTAATACCTGACACTGGGCTTCCTCTCTCATGACCATAGCTCTCAAATGCTCCCTACCTCCTTTTCTTTCTTCCCAACTCTTTGCACCATACACTCTGAAGGCCATATTGCAGAAGCTTTAAAGATGTTGTAAACTCAAACCAACAAAACAAATTCTTTCCTTTTTCACAACTCAGAAAACACATGGAATATATAAAAGATTAGTAAAATAATGTGCAATGCGTTCTGGTGTCTTCTCTTTTTTAAAAAAAAATTGGTTGTGGGACAATTGCATATCCACATGCAAAGAAAAATGAAGTTATATCCTTATTCATATCATATACAACATTTAACTCAAAACAAATTATAGACCTAAATGTAACTGAAAACTATAAAACTTCTTGAAGAAAACATAAGAGTAAATCTTTGGGACGTTGAGTTGGGAAGAAATTTTTTTAGATAAATTTTCTTTAAAGAATTGATAAATTGAACAAAATCAAAATTAAAAATGTTTGTGCTTTGGCCGGGAGCGGTGGCTCGTGCCTGTAATCCCAGCACTTTGGGAGGCCGAGGCCGGCGGATCACGAGGTCAGGAGATTGAGACCATCGTGGCTAACACGGTGAAACCCCATCTCTACTAAAGATACAAAAAATTAGCTGGGCATGGTGGCGGGCGCCTGTAGTCCCAGCTACTCAGGAGGCTGAGGCAGGAGAATGGCATGAACCCCGGAGGCGGAGCTTGCAGTGAGCCGAGATCGCGCCACTGCACTCCAGCCTGGGAGGCAGAGCGAGACTTCGCCTCAAAAAAAATAAATAAATAAAAATAAAAAAATAAAATTGTGCTTCAAAAGACATCATCAATAAAATGAAAAGATATGGCTCAGACTGGAAGAAAATATTCGCTAATCATGTAGCTGTTAAATCAAATTTAGCCTAAAGCTGCCTCCTTCATATTTTAAGTTTGGCCTAAGGGTTTCTCTGTACCTCCTGAGCTATAGTGTATCGTAGCCTGAATGGAGTTGTATACAGACTGTAGCCACCACTTGTGCCAATCACTGAGTTTTGGCCAATCAAAGGTGGCCAGCTGTTCAAACTGTGTTCAAATAAGGCAAAGACGGAGCTGTAACCAATCCAGCTGTTTCTGTACCTAACTTCTGTTTTCTGTACCTTGCTTTCCTTTCTCTGTCCATAAATCTTCTTCCACCATGTGTCTGTGCTGGAGTCTCTGAGCCTACCCTGGCTCAGGAGACTGTCCAATTCGCAAATCGTTCTTTGCCCAATTAAACTGTTAAATTTAATTTTGTTACATTTTTAAAAAACATGTCTGATAAAGAAATATATCAGGGACTCTCATAGTTCAATAATCAGATTAAGAACCCAATTACAAAATGCACAAAAGATTTGACCATATGTGAATGATCACTGAGCACGTGAAAATGTGCTCAACCACATCAGTCATGAGGGAAATTAGGACTACAATGAGATACCACTACATACACACCCACTAGAAAAACTGTAATCAGAAAGACTAACAATACCAACTGAAGGATGTGAAGCAACTAAAACAATCATACATTGCGTGTGGAAATGTAAAATGGTACAACCACTTGGAAAATAATTTAGCAGTTCCTTAAAAAGTTAAATATAAGCTTTTCATATGACACAGCAATTCCACTCCTAAGGATATATTCAAGAGAACAGGAATATATTTCTACCCGAAGACTTATACACAGACGTTCATAGCGGCATTGTTTCTATTAACCTCAAACTGGGAACAATCCAAATGTCTGTCAGTTGGTGGTTGGATAACATAATGCAGTATATCCATACAATGGGCTATTCAGCAATAAAAAGAACATATTGATACACAGTTAACATGGATGGACCTCAAAAACACCAGTGAAAGAAGTGAAAGAAGCCATGCATGAAAGACTGCAAAATTGTATGTTTCTATTTATTTAAAATATCCAGGACTGGGTGCTGTGGCTCACGCCTGTAATCCAGCACTTTGGGAGGCCAAGGCAGGTTGGTCACTTTAGGTCCGGAGTTCAAGACCAGCCTGGCCAACATGCTGAAACCCCTGACTCTACTAAAAATACAAAAAATAGCCCAGCGTGCTGGCACATGCCTGTAATCCCAGCTACTTGGGAGGCTGAGGCAGGAGAATCGCTTGAACCTGGGAGGCAGAGTTTGCAGTAAGCCAAGATCGCACCAAAAAATAAAATAAAAATAAGATATCCAGAAAAGGCACACTTAAGGAGACAGAAAGCAAACCGGTGGTTGCCTATGGCTGAAATATGGAAGCAGAGATGAACTGCAAATGGGCAGGAGGAAACTTTTTGGGGTGTTGGAAATGTCTTAATACTGGATTGTGGTAATGGCTTTATAAGTAAATTTACTACAAATCACTGAATTGTACACTTACCATGGGTGATTGTTATGGTGTGGAAATTTTGCCTCAACAAAGCTGCTTTAAAAATTGAAAATGATGCAGGTCAAAACCTACTAAATTGATGTCTTGACTCACTAATGGCTCATGAGCTGTTGTGGTAACATTGCCTAATTTTACAGTAAGGAAACTCTCCTAAGCTTCTCACTGGAAGTTCTTAAACTTAAGAAGTTAAAATTCTTAAACTTAAGATCCTTAAGCTCTCTTCACTTCTTGCCTTAACTGGAACTAAGATACCAGTTTTATCTGCCAATGCTATGTCCAGATCTCCTGCAAACATAGGCTCACATCCTTCCGTGAAGTTCCTACAGCAGGGGTTTTCCCTCCTCTTCCCCCTTCTCGCATCTAATTAATGGCAACATTCTCCAGTGGTACTTACTTAATCTTACTGGCTTCTCTTTACTTCTACTCCTCAGACTTATTGTCTCTTGCCTTGATTACTGAAACAACTTTTATTTGGTTGCTTTGACTCTAATCTTCTTTACAAGAGACATGCCCTTCCAAAGCACAATCTTTACATGCTAGTCCCTGTTTAAACATTTTAATGGCTTCCAGTGCCCACAGGATGAAGTCTCAACTCCTTAGCAAGGCAAACAGTGTCTGGCAGACAATGATTGATAAAATTTGTTGAAAGAGAAAATGAATGTGTCTCGTGTCATTGATTTTTCTTTTACTTTCATTCTATCTATTTGTAAGTATGGGTGTCTCCCCTACAAATAAAACTCTCCTCTAGAACAAGGATTTGTGTGTTTAAACTCATTTGTCTTCCCCAGCCCCCAGCACAATGTACTTCACACAGTGGGAATCTGATGTGCATTTGTGAGTGGATACATGGAAGAGTACTTCTTGAAGAGCTGTGTTAGGACCCAAGAGTTGCTGGCTCTCCAGGATGCTCTTGGCTTTGGTGTAACCTGCAAAGCAAACAAGAGGCTCCTAGTACAATATGCAAACTCAATGAATGTTCTACATTCCTGAAATCTGCCTGGGGACTCATCATTCAGGCATTGTTTTGACTTAGGAGAGTTGATGAGCTCGGTTCTGGACTCCATTCAGCAGCCTCCTCTTGCCAGCACTCCTAGAATCTTCCAGAGAGGAGGAGGAACACATGTAGCATTTATATTGAATGTAGAGATTTAACAGATACCATCCACATGTGTGGTAATAGTTTTTATCCCAAATGTCACTAGAAAGGCTTTGTCCATCTCATCAAGCCTGGAAAAATGACAAATTTGTGTTACAGAAAGTAGTAAAGGAAAACGTCTCGTTGTCCTTTCCTTTCTATCATCTTGAAAATAAACACTGTCGATGTACATCTTCTTGGTTCACTGCTAAAATAATGAAGCACCTTGATGAATTCCTCTGCTGCCTATGTCTAAAAGGATCATATTCCTTTTATTCTAAAAGTTTGGCGGAGGCATTTTTCAAAAGATGAGCTGGATAACTATTTCTTACACAAAGCTCTTAAAAGAAAAAAAATTACCATTACATTCAGCCAAATTAAGGCTGCCTTCTGTTAGGAAAGAATAGAATTCTTATAAAAAACTTTATATGTGATCATTTTGACTTTTATCTTGGCCTTCAAAGTAATAGATTTAATTAGATCATGTTCTTCAGAAAGAAAAAGAGTAAGATAAAATAGCTGGGACTTGTGAAGAACAAAAATTTTCATTGAACTACTCAGACAGAATCATTTCTAAATGTTATCTTTTGGGTTACATTTTAAAATGGTCTTAATATTTTTATAGCTGTTTCCCTGTATACCCTGTTCTTGCTACCTCCTTGGTTTTGCTTATGCCATTGACTTATTCTGGAAAACCATTCTTTCTTTTAAAGTGCCCAGTTTAAGTGCCATTTCCTCTAGGAGGCCTGCCCCTAAAACTGCAGCTGTCTCTGAGTAAGCTTTTGAAGAGCTGTTTACTGCATTTGAACAGATAGTCACAGGGGGATAAGGATGGGGGAGGGGAACACATCAGAATCTGAGGTGTAATTTGAAAAGGATATTATGATATATTTTAAAATTTCAAAATAAACTATTTGTTGTTAGGGCTAAGCAAACAAATCATTCTTCTTGAGGCAGTGAAAATCAGCCTCTCTTGCCCTTTACCCTTCTTCAAATCAGAATCTCTAGATGGAATGTTTTAAAATTGAGTGAAACTAACATGGAGTCTACACCACACAGTGCACTTAACATGGAATAGTCAACATGTGTAAACTCTTAACAGTTTACAAAGGGCTCACGCACATTTTTCAGTTGGTCCTTATTAAAATCTTGCAGGTGGGATCAATATTACCACTTTCCTCTTAGACAAGGTAGCTGAGTGTCAGAAGTTCACCTCTGTCACGACATAAGTAGTAAGGAGAAAACCCAGGCTGGGATTCACATTTAGTGTGCTTTCTTTTGTACCAAGTTATGATCTCTAATTTTTAATGTCTGATGTCTCTGAATTTCTTGAGAATTTTTTCCCTCTATTTCCTCTTTGTGTCTAGTACAATTATGGGTGGGTGGATAGAGTTGCTACAAAGAGACATTTAAGTATAATATATAAAGCTGTTACAGGATTAAAATCAAAGGGAAAAATATTTTTGATTGTCCAACACCCTGTTAATATATTTTAAATTAAGAAATCTGCAGAAATCCTAAAGCTTTTTAGATGTTAATCACGATTATTCATTTGATACAGCTGGAAAAACTCAGAAGCCAAAGATTTTTATCACAGTTATAAATCAATCATAGAAGCAAAAAGAAAAAAAGTTGCTGTGATTCCTTTTCTGTTCAATAAGAATTATTTCTCTTCTCAATACACATTTGAGCATGCTTATTTGTATTTTAAACAGACTTCTCAAATGAAAACCAACATGGTTTTTGCTAAAAACGTTAAGACAATGAGTAAACTAGTTATCAATTATCGTTTTTCACATAAATATAGACTTTCTCAGGTTTCAATGATGGAGCAAAGTATAATAACTAGACTAAGAAGGTCTCTACACAATAGAAATATGTAACATTTTTGTATGGCAAAGTGGAGCACCTGTGCAATCTAGTTATGGCCTCTATGTGAATTTAGAAACAAAGAGAACTCGTGTGGTGTCTTAATTCTAGATAGCTATCAACTGAAATTGAAGTAAATATTGCAAGTTAATCAAAACTGACTCTTCCTCAGGCTAGGAAAACTGGGTCTCTTGTGAGCTCTCACTAATGAAGACAAAATAAACAATGCTTGCAGTTTATCACTGGCACGTGAACTACTTGCAGTGGGAAAATACCATGTCATTCCAAGTAGTCTTCAGATGCATAAGGACCACATATATGTTTCTTCAAAGTTTGAAACTAAATAAATTTTAAGATTTTTAAAAGTAATATTTCCAAATAAATGATTTTCCCCCATACATTTCCAGCTCCGTGAAGAATGTTTTTTTTTTTTTTTTTTTTTTTTTTTTGAGACAGTCTCGCTCTGTCGCCCAGGCTGGAGTGCAGTGGCGCGATCTCGGCTCACTGCAAACTCCGCCTCCCGGGTTCACGCCATTCTCCTGCCTCAGCCTCGCGAGTAGCTGGTACTACAGACGCCCACAACCACGCCCAGCTATTTTTTGTTTGTTGTATTTTTAGTAGAGACGGGGTTTCACCGTGTTAGCCAGGATGGTCTTGATCTCCTGACCTCGTGATCCGCCCGCCTCAGCCTCCCAAAGTGCTGGGATTACAGGCGTGAGCCACCGCGCCCGGCCTGCTGTGAAGAATTTACCAAGTGATTATTGAGGCTCTACTATGTGCCAGGGGCTTTCAAGTGCATTATTTTATTTTCACTCAATTGTTACAGTGATGTTTTCAACTACCAATGATTGGCTGAAAAAAAAAAAAAAACCATTGAGAAAGTTTCAGTAAGGTGTGGTTTGGTTTTGTTTGTTTTTGTTTTTGAGACAGTCTCACTCTGTCTCCCAGGCTGAGTGCAGTGGTGCAATCTTGGCTCACTGCAGCCCCGACCTCCTGGGCTCAAGCCATCCTCCCACCTCAGCCTCCACAGGCATGTGCCACCACATCTGGCCAATTTTGTTTTTTGTTTTTGTTTTTGTTTTTGTTTTTTAAGAGATGGGTCTCTGGCTGTTGCCCAAGGCTGTCAGTAAGATTTTTATTGTCATTTTGTAGAAAACACAAAGAAGCAAAATCAAAACTGCAAAGTTTCAAGAAATATGAAGATTATCTTCATTAGAACAAGCAGTACAAATAAAAATGCCATCAAAATAAATTCTTTTGCCCCTAATTGAGACTTTATATTTATCAAATTCCCTGTGTTTTTGTCATACTGATTAGTTTATTTGAAAGCTGGATGAATTAAAAGAATTACATGATAATTATTTTGTACTAGAACAGATCAAACTTCTGCAACTTCCCCAGTGTTACAGCCCTATAATTTTTCTCTCTAAATATTTTTAAAACTTACCATTAATGTTTAAAAAGGTTTTTCAAATGTCATATTTAAATACTTTCTCTCCAAGGACTACGTCATCCTTCCACTAATTAACTAATCTGATGGCTTCTGGCCAAAATAAACTCTGTAGCAAAAATTACGTTCATGTGTTTACCACAGTGTAGTTATTTGAATACTTGAATTCCAGGAAATTTTAAAACATGTTTAGGTAAATAGTTTTTAACATTATCCAAATGGCTCAGTTAACTTGATTTACAAAATTATGAGCAATTTCTGTTGCAAAGCAAACTTTAATTTCTGCAGAAGCTTATTGCACCAATCTCTTAAGAATAGCCCTTACTATGGGTCATCCAAATTTTTTGACTTGACCTAAATAATTAATATACAGCTATTTCCCAGAGACATAGCATAACTAAAACTCCAAACACGATTTAGAGTCAGAATACCTGAGTTTGAATGAAAACTTCTAGTCACAACTGAGACTCTGATATATTTAGGAAATGTTACTCATTTTACTGAACCGTTTGTGGCTTCAATTTCATAATCTATATGAAAATTCTATGTAAGTAGATGTTTAAAAATTATTTGCTTTAACCTGGGGTGTCAACACCCACATTTGTGACTGAGCCAATAAATGTCAAATGCAGCAAGCAAATTATTCTTTGAAGCTCATTTTCGCTGTGCTCTTAGATTAGGATTTCTGGGCTGGGGGCCATGGCTCATGCCTGTAATCCCAGCACTTTGGGAGGCTGAGCTGGGGCAGATCACCTGAGGTCAGTAGTTCGAGGCCAGCCTGGCCAACACTGGTCTACTAAAATACAAAAAAACCCTGTTTCTACTAAAATACAAAAAAATTAGCCTGGTGTGGTGGCATGCACCTATAGTCCCAGCTACTCAGGAGGCTGAGGCAGGAGAATCATTTGAGCAGGGGAGGTGGAAGTTGCAGTGGGCCAAGATCACGCCACTGTACTCCAGCCTGAGCAACAGAGTGAGACTCTCTCTCTCAAAAAAAAAAAAGAGATTTGGGGTTTCTGCTTTACCTCAGAATAAATCAGAGCATATTCACTCCTAAGCAGTTACTGACCCCTCCACCTGCCCCTGGCACCCTTCTGTGTGCAGGCATGGCCTGATACTCATCAAGCTCACGCTTCCCCAAATATTCCCCATCACCACCACATTCTGGCTTCTCTAATTCCTTGTGTTACACAATCTTTCTCATATGCATTTCCAAATTAGTTAATTTATGTAAAAGTACTTATTTTCCATGGTTTTTGAAACTAAGTTATCTGAGAATATTTTGCCATGATTACAAAAAAAAGGCACTATAAGATAATCATGTATCAAATAGTAAGCTTTATTACCAAGTCACACACACACAAATAGGATGATCAAATCATTTTTTTCTACCCTAAACCTAGTATGGGTAACACAAACCCCTAATGGTGCCTAAAATAGCACTGTGAAGGATGCCTCACTGACTGTCTACATCAGAGTCATATGGGTATTATAGAAAATGCTGGACTTCTCCCCTGACCTGCAGAATCAGAATTATCTGGAGCTACTTGGAAGTCTACATGTCATTTAAATTCCCTAGGGCAATGTTACGACAGACCTTTGAGCATGGCAGCAAGCATACAGACAGTACTTGAATATGTTTGGATTTATTGAGCAAATCTGCATGTGTAATTACATTTTGACTCTTCTGCCTTTTATTTCTCCTTTTCATCCATGACTCATCCACTGTTCCTCTGTAATCCACCACTGACCCTTTGAGCCACTTTGTCCAGTTCCAAAGCATGTCCTGAGCACCACATGATAGGGGTGGGTCCTTCTTGTGAACACTGTCTTGAGCTCCTTGTTTTTATTTCCTCCTCAAGCCTCATCCCACTCTGCAGCTAACCCCCTCACCACAGATGAGGCATGTGAATTAAGTTTGGACGGGGTGACATGAAGGGAATAAGATTGCTTGTATACAGTAGAGCCGATATCTCCACGGAAGAGAACACAGGCAAGAAAGAAGCTTCATGAGAAATTTCAGATTCATGTTCCTCAAACAGCTTCTATGTTTTTGAGTCATGAATTAGCTGATTTCTTTTCTTTCTTTTTTTTTTTTTTTTTTTTTTTTTTTTTTTGAGACGGAGTCTCGCTCTTTCTCCCAGGCCGGACTGCGGTGGCGCTATCTCGGCTCACTGCAAGCTCCGCCTCCTGGGTTCACACCATTCTCCTGCCTCAGCCTCCCGAGTAGCTGGGACTACAGGCGCCCGCCACCGCGCCCGGCTAATTTTTTGTATTTTTAGTAGAGAGAGGGTTTCACCGTGATAGCCAAGATGGTCTCGATCTCCTGACCTCGTGATCCACCCACCTCAGCCTCCCAAAGTGCTGGGATTACAGGCGTGAGCCACCGCTCCCGGCCGATTTCTTCCCATTATGCTATGCCACCAAAAATACCAACAACACATCTCCTGTAAGCAGAAAAGAATGCTTTAGGCCCTTTGAGTTAAATATTGAAAAAAAACAAGTGTCAAAGGATTCTAACCAAAAAGTCAAGTTATTCAGAGTGAGATTAAGCTAATGACGTATTGTTCATCTCTCAGCTAATCTGGCAAACTTCTCTATAACATCGCCGGGTCTATGAGACTCTTCCTGTTGGTTACTAATTCTAGATAAATGACAACCAGGCAGGTCTTTGAGCTCTCTTCCTTCATGATTCTGAAGAACACTTTTTCAGACACCAGGGACCAAATAATGAGCATTCTGTGCTCTCTGAATTCCTTGGCCAGACCTCAGAAGTAATATAATGGGTAATGCCTCGGAGACCTGGACAGCCCCGTGAAAGCAGCAGCCAAGATGAATTAAGTTGATAACAACAACATACACAGTTCATTCGACTTTGTACAACAACAATAACGAGCTAAGATGATATGTGAGTCTCTAAATTCTTATACATTTGTTTGTGCCATCATCTTGAAATTTTGAACTGAGTTTTATTTTGAGAAATTTGTTTGCCAGGAGAAGTGAGCCTGGGCAGAAATGTTATCATCTGAGTAGAGGTGGTACAGGAGAACAGCTATTACAAAGAGCTCATAAGGTTTCTTTTCTTCCTACCTTGATGAAAATTATAGTATGGAAACAAATGCAAATACAAAATGCAGCTGATGTTACATGTTTTTGGCAAATCTATTAGGGATCTTATTGTTGAGCTCATTTCTAATTATTTCTGTTCTATTCTTACCCTCCTAGCTTGTTTGCCTTCCTAGTCATGACCTTGGCCCTCTTCACACTGACAGGGCCATTTCCTAGGCTGATGGGACTCGGGACCTTCTTTCCCTGGCACATTTCAGGGATGATCTTCCCACCCAGAACCCAGGTCATGATCAGCATTTTAGAACTGTTTCCAGGATGGTCACTGGGAAAAGTCACTGCATTCAGCTCAATAACCTTTATGAAGTGTAGACTAAAACATGGAGTAAGAAATAATAAAGAGGTCAGGCACGGTGGCTCACACCTGTAATCCTAGCAGTGTAGGAGGCCGAGACAAGTGGATCACTTGAGGTCAGGAGTTGTAGACCAACCTGACCAACATGGTGAAACCCTGTTTCTACTAAAAATACAAAATTAGCTGGGCATGGTGGCACACGCCTGTAATCCCAGCTGCTTGGGAGGCTGAGGCAGGAGAATTGCTTAAACGTGGGAGGTGAAGGTTACAATGAGCTGAGATTGTGCCATTGCACTGCAGCCTAGGCAACAAGAGCAAAATTCTGTCTCAAAAGAAAGAAAGAAGGGAGGAAAGAAAGAAAGAGAGAAAGAGAAAGAAAGAGAGAAAGAAAGAAAGAAAGAGGAAAGAAAGAAACAGGCAGACAGATTCTCAACACATACTTTAATCGAGATCCTATATGTATAAATATATTTCTCCTGATGTCATATACATCATTCATGAGAATTTATGGAGTTTATTTTGTTTCTTGATTCTTGATCGATAGAACATGGCTCACTACTCAGGGCCACCAAAAGATTAATTATAAAGATTTGGAGGCCCCTGGGTAGCCAGTTGCTTCATTTTCTCCTGAAGAGGATGGAAAATGTAGCAGATTTGCCATAAGGCATAAGACACTCTAGCAAGATAAGTCATGGTTGCTGGCCTTTCACTCCTTTCTCTAAATTCTTATCAACTGCTACATAAATGTGTGTTCTAGGAAAACGGGACATGTCACCTGGGCAATGACCCTTGGCTCCTTCTAATGGTCCTTGGCAGTAGAAAAGTGAAGAAACACCACTCTTGGGAGACTACCTGAAAACCCAGAGACCAGGGGTCAGAGAACTGTGGTATCTCCCAAGGAAGTTCAGTCTTGAGACAGAGCAGGAGAGAAAGTCTGAGGATTTCCTTGCCACTCTCTGGAACCCAGGAAGAGCTCCATGGGCACTTGATGCCACCAGCTATGCTCCAGAGAGGACAGTGTGGCAGAATCTTCCCCAAAGAAGAAAGAGTTCACACCAGAGGCCAGAACCACTTTAGAAGGTGCATTTAATGTTCTGAATTTGGGGATATGGGAGGCAGTCAAACACAAGTTTTACAGGCAGATTGACTCGAATTCTGATTCACTACTTGCCAGCTGAGTGATGGGACCTTGGGCAAGAAATTTATTGGTATCCATTTTCATCATTTACAAAATGGAACTATTTATACCTTCTTCATAGGGCTGTTGTATAATCTAAAGAAGATAACATTTATGAAAACATTTGTGGCACATCCCAGTATTGCTACTTACAACTCTATGACCCTGGGCAAGTTATTAGACTCTGTGCCTTCATCTGCTCATCTCTAATATAGATGAGATGACAGTAATTACAGTACCTGCCTCATAGGGATCTTGTGAGTATTAAATGAGAAAATACATGTAAAGTACTTAGAATTGTTTCTGGTACTTGCTGTCAGCTATTTTAGTAATAGCAATAAATGTTAGCTATTGGTAGGAGTAAGCATGGAATAAATTGACATTATAATCATTATCATCATCATTATCATCATTCAGAGACCATAAAGTGGTTTAAAGAAACATTCATTACAAAATTTTGCAGGCTCGCCAGATTTGCTCATTGCAGAACATAAACTTGTTCTCCCTTCCTCTTAATCAGCTTCACCCAGTCATAATGCGATCGAAGTGTTTGTAAATAGAAACCTCCAGATCAGGCCACAGGGTGCATATCTGAGACTTCTTCGTGCTTAAACTTCAGTCAAGAAACACAAAACAACTGCACAGAAGCTACCTAGGCCTTTCCAGCAACAAGAAGGTTGAAGTAGCCAGATTCCAATGAGGCTGTCCAGGTAGAGCATCGGATGACTGGCATATCATGTAAACATTAAAGAACGAGAGGACCTTGAGGACTTTAAAGATAAAATAGATATCTTGGTGGCTGTCTCACTCAGCTTCTCACCCAGGGAGAGGTTCTTCATCAATGAGAATTCCTGTTCCATTCTGCTCTTTGGGGAGAGCTTGCTCAATGCTTGAGCCGTTGTTGGACAATTTGAGTTATTTTAAAGTTTTTTTATATACTGAACTAAAGTTGGCCTTCTGGAATCTTCTACCCAGTGCTCATTTCTGTCCTCTGAATATAAAAAAACCAAAAGTCAGTGCCCTCTTCCATACAAAGAACTCTTCACTCTTACAGGCAGTACTTGAATATGTTTGGATTTATTGAGCAAACCAGCATGTGTAATTATACTTTGATTCTTCTGCCTTTTATTTCTCCTTTTCATCCATGACTTATCCACTGTTCCTCTGTAATCCACCACTGACCCTTTGAGCCACTTTGTCCAATTCCAAAGCATGTTCTGAGCACCACATGATAGGGGTGGGTCCTTCTTGTGAACACTGTCTTGAGCTCCTTGTTTTTATTTCCTCCTCAAGCCTCATCCCATTCTGCAGCTAACCCTCACCATAGATGAGGCATGTGATCTCACATGCCACAAAGCTGCTCTCACGCTGCCTCTTCATTTTCTCATCTGTAGCTCTTCTCACCATTTTTCACCCAGTCTTCTTAATTAGTTTCATGAAAATAGGAACATTCCCTCCATGGTGGACATCTTTTATAGCTCTTCTAACCATTTCTCACATTAGTATCATGAAAATGGGAATATTCCCTCCATGGTGGACACCTGTTATACTTGCCGGTCTAGTATCCATTTTTCTCCCTTTCTATTCATAGGATTCCTCATTCATGTGGAAACCTACCTTATGGGGCTTAGATAGATATAATCCCATCTGCTTCCGCTACACCCTCCAAACCAGGAGTGGGCACATGGCCTGTGTGAGGCCACTCACCCCAATTGGTTCAGGGATGTGAGCCAAGCCAGGTGAATGAGACCCCACTCTAGGACTCTGCTGGAACTAATAAGAAAGGGATTTTTATTCTGATGGGGCTCTGGTTCTGCTAAGTTAATAGAATGTACATCGCAGGTGAGGGCTATGCTTGCTACCATTTGGTAAGAACCTATCTAAGAAAGACTAATGCAGGAAATGAAAGTCAAGAGATTGAGAGAGGCAGATTCCTGCCTGCACTGAGCACTTGGCTCCAGCTATGACAGAAGTGGGTTTTTCTCTGGAATTTGTAAGTATGATAGTCAACATATGTTCTTTTCTGGTTTTGAATTTTATTTATGTCACTTTTTTACTTAAAACAAAATTAATTAGCACACTGCCCTTGCCTAAGCTGTGATGAGAACAGACCAGGACCTAGAGTCCAAACCTGCTCCCCCAAGCCCCTCCCTCGTAGCTCTGCAGTTCCCCTGAGATTAGGCCCCTGAGCAGTTGATGTTATCAGTTGTCTTAAATTTGGAATCCCTTGGTTGCAAGAAAAGAAACCCACATTAACTAGCACAAATGTTATTACATTTTATCAGTTGCCTTAGTTTGGGATCCCTTGGCTGCAGGAAAAGAAATTCATATACATCGCACAAATAATAATATTCACAACAGTGCAATCATAAATGGGGCCCTCCTTCCTTTTAAATTGGATCTGATTTATTTTGATGCAATGTCTCAACATCCTGAGATCACTTTAAGTCCTGATTCCATCACCTTTTGAATTAGCCGTTTCTGGCAGGTGTGTAACTTCTGTATACATTTATGAGTATGTCTTTTCTGGCTTTATTTAAACCACTGATACAAAAGATGCATAAGACAAGGCCTCAGAGTCCTGTGGTCCACCACTAGGAATCCATTTAGGTTAACCTGACTATTCATTAATATCCTTTGGGTCTAGTTAGCCAGCCAGCTGCTAAACTATCTACCATTTCTGTAATGCAGCTCATATTTCACATATGGTTTCTAATCCACAAACCTATCTCAAAGGAGACTTTGAAAATACTTTTCTTAAAAGAGAAAGTAATAACCCACCACACCTGGCATCCACTAGACCTTCGCTACTTGCCAGCGCTAATTTCTACTAAAGAACTAAAGAACATGTCATTCTGCATTGTCACCGCCTTTCCAACAAGACTGAGTTCCTTGAGCTGGCTCGGGTCAATGCCTGCAGCATAGTGATGTTCCCTTGACCCTTTAGTTCCCACTGTGGTTTTACTGAATCAAAGGATGAAAGCTTCAGAATAAATAGATAAAACAGAGAATAAACCCAATAATGCTTTAATGAATTAGGTTTTAAATGTTTTATTTTACCTTGCATATTGATATTTGAAGAGAAAAGTTTATTAATTAGGAAAAAAAGAGAGAGATTAGGGGAAGGGGGACAAGAGATGGAGACTTTGGCAATAATCCAGAGAGATTAGCTTGGCCCTTTTGAAGAATTTATGATGATGGCACAGGGTTTTGTTACATTGATAGTTTTTTCCTCTAAAACAGGGGTGTCCTTAGTACTATTCTTATGCTTACAAGCCATAATTAGGAAATTAGAGGGTAATGAATGGATTAGACCGAAAGAGGAAAGATAGATAAAGGAGATAAGCCAGGATGAAAGGAAATGAACTGCAAAGTGGCAAAAGACAGAGAAAAACTGAAAACAAAAAGGACAAAACTTGCCTCCTTTCCAGCAGGTGAATCAAATCATCCCCTTCCTGGGTCACTGGCCCAGCCCCAGGGAAGATTGTGATATGATTGCCATGGGGTGGCCTCCAGGAGAGAGAAGAAGTCAGCTGTTTATATAAACAGCGCATCTCGCTGTTTGGATTACATAACATAGGTTACTGAATGTGGTTCAGATGAACAGGAATGCGTGGTCATATCTGTGGTCAACAGTTTGCAGTGTGTCTACCAACAAATTATTATTAGGCTTCCTGTGTGCTAGTCATTGCAGTAAACATTTTTTTAAACAAAATATCTATTTTAATTTCCATGATAACCCTGAGAAATGATATATCGCTCTCCTTTTTTTTTTGGCAGATAAGGAACTGAGGCTTAGAGATATTAAATAATCACCTTAAGTCAATACTTAATTTGTGATGTAGCCAGAATGTGATTCCAGACATCCTTCACAGGCTCCCAGGGTCCTGAGATTTCATGGCTTGACTTACAGCTCAGTAGGCACCAACAGGTTAAATGTGTTTATCATTGCCTCTTTTTCAAGACGCCTATATTCTTTTTTAAAAAAACTGTGACATTGAACAGTATGTTGTTACTCAGTTTTTCCAATAAAGTTTGTAATAAACTTCAAAGTTTGGATTCTCACTTTAAAGCAAGGGACAAACCCCTTTGTAACTGGACAAGATATTCATCACTCTGAGGTTTGAAGGATATTCACTTGCTCGTGTATTGAAGGATAATGCAGCTGCCTGCAATGAACCCCTGATCACAGTCAGGGGAGGGGGATGGAGAAAGGGGCCTGATGGGAACAAATGGAACATCTGGCCGAAGAACTCAGATTTCCTCCTTTGGATTTTCCCTCTCTCAAGTGCCATTCATTGCATAACCTCTGATGATCAGTTATGATCCTTGGAAGTAAAGCCAAGTTGTTGGTCATACTGTCAATATTTCTTCGGTACTATCATTTGTATTGTGAAAGCCATATGAAGGAAAAAAAGAAAGAAAAATTTTAAATGGCCACTTCTCCCAGAAAGTTTGCAACTTGCAATATTTATAAAGGTTATTAGTGGGTTCTGTAACTGGATGTTACTTCATTTCTTTAATAATTAATCAAACATGAAATGAATCTATTATTATGGATAATTATTTAATGAAACCATTAGCATAAAGTTCCTAAAGCAGAATGCCAGCACTTCAACTGTAATTCAAAGATGTGTTTTTCCCTTAGAAACTACTTTATAGACAAGATGGTTTCTAAAAAGCAACACTTTTCACAGGAATAAAGCAGCACATCTGCTCCTAAGCCCCGTTTTTCTCCTCCTCCTTCTGCAGGTTCCTACCTTCCCCTCTCTGCTTCATCACTTCTCAAAGCACTGCTACAGAAAGTTGATATTAAACTTAGAGTTGTATTAAGATATTAAACTTAGAATCATGAGTTCTGATTCTGAGACTCTCCAGGTACTAGAACTGTCCCTGGAAACTTACCCCTCCTAAGAACTAGGAAAAAGTTACTTCCAAGCATTGGAGAAATTCAGATTGTTCTTCAGCTGCCTTAGGAGATAGTTTAATGTTCCCTTTTATCAGACCCCAGAAGCAAATCAGTAATGGAGTCCCAAATTAACCTTGTCTTTTTGATTCAGTATGAGCTGGGCCCATTGGAATTACTGTCAACCAAGGCCCCCTGGCAAAGACAGGCCCTAACTCAGATCTGGGAGGCAAAGTTAAGACCAGAGGTCTCCCAAGCTTAGGGCTGGCCTACATTAATTGCTTGCTTAAATCTTCATTCTTTACATGTTCTTCTTCTTCTGCTCTGTTCCCTGGACACTCGTGAGGCATTGGAAATTGTACAGCAAGCAAGAACCTGTAGAGAAAAGGGACAAGGAGCCGTGGGAATAAAGTGGCCAACCACAAAATGATCATGATACTTGATGACAAAGGAAAAGGGACAGCTCTACAGGAGATGAAAGAAGATTCCATCCAAGCTGTGGAAACCTTATGAGCAAGAGGAAAGTCTGTGAATACAAGAAATATGGCAAGCCTGAAGCCATATCTGACACATGGAAAGTGGCCATGGCAGGCCCACAGTGGCCGAGTGGCATCCAACTGGCCAGGCTTCACTCACTCAGTCTCAGCAGCCCTGCCAGGACCACGGAAGGTGGCTAAGGATGGCTCTCCAATCAAAGCTCACTGGATTGTCAAGAAATAGAAACCCACTGAAGCTAGCTCAACTGCAGAGGAGATTTATGACACTGAGATGCGTCTTGGAATCTAAGGTTGGTAAACAAGATACAAACCCTGACTTCTAGGATCTGCAAAGCTTCCAGGAATAAAATTTCCATTTGTCTGTGCCAGTGTGGCCTCTTCTCTTGACTTCTCACTCTATGCTTCCTCCACCCCCTTCTCTCCACAGGTTCATTTCCTCATCAGGCTCCATGATATTCAAAATGCTCACTCTAAGTCTGAGGTTCCCATGACTTTCCTGCTTCTAAGCGCTCTTGACTGATCAAAGTCTCTGTATAAAATAGTTTGAATTTTGAGAAAATGAAAGAAGGAGAATTAATTCTTCCTGGGAGACTTGGTAAAATCTTCAAAGGAGCTGATTTACTGCTATGCTTGGAAAAACATACTGAGTTTTTACAATAGATAAGCATGGAACAGCCTTTTTTCAAAGCATTTTGATATTTGAATCTCCCAACAGTGCCATGAAGTATGTTGAGCAGATTATTTATATTATATAAAAGAGAAAACTAAGTCCTACAAAAGGTAAATTAATTGACCAAGGCCATGTAGCCAGTGTGGGATAAATTCCAGACTAGATCCAAAGTTTTCTGACTTTTAATTCACTGCTTTTTCTATTTGTTCATGTGTAGACATGAAAGAATGGGTCTCTTTCATTGCCACTGATAAAATAAAAACTTCAGCTGAATTAAATTTAAAAGAGTTCAATTGAGCAATGAAAGATTTGTGAATTGGGCAGCCTCCTGACCCAGAGTATGCTCAGAGACTCCAGTGCAACCATGTGGTGGAAGACAATTTATGGACAGAAAAAGGAAAATGATGTACGGAAAAGGGAAGTGAGGTACAGAAACAGCCAGATTGATTACAGTACACCGTTTGCCTTATTTGAACATGGTTAGAACAGTCAGCTACATTTGATTGGCCAAAACTCCATGATTGGCACAAGTGTGGGCTACGGTCTGTGTACACCTCCATTTGTTATAGTTCATGATGCACAGAGAAACCTTTAGGCTGAACTTAAAACATTGTCAGGAGGCAGCTTTAGGCTAAACTTGATTTAATACTATCAATAGCCCTAGAACTGGGACTGATACTACTATAATTTTAACTTGCCTTTCTCAAGTTCAATCTCTGTCACCTCCTTTGCAAAAACTCATATATTTGTAGAACATATCTGTCCAACTCATGATGGGAAACCAATGCCATATTTAAACAATTTGATTTGGGAAGAGTTTAATAAAGAGATTATTTAGAGGTGCAGGCAGGGTTTAGGGGAACCAACAAAGAATAGTGCAGGATTCCCAAACTGGCAACAGCACAGATCCATCATCACTACCCCTTGGTCTGAGGGGCAAAATGAGAGCCGAGTCACCAGAACATCGAGAGGGTAGCACGGAGAAGTCACCTGGTAAAAGCTGTGGCTTTCACAGAAGGACGCAGCCAACCCCTGCCAACAACCACCCTCTCTTCCAGCTTTCAGAACTCCTGCCAGTGGGCCCACTGATTCATTGGCTGATTCCACTGGAAGCCAGAGGGTATGGGGAATCCTTGTTGACATTAAGCTTCCTAAGGCAATAGAGAGAAACTGAGGCTGGAGAGGCAAATGACAAACATCCAGTACAGGGAATAAGGGGAGAAATTCAACATGGGAGGCCAGGCGTGGTTTCTGATCTGTTTTGTGTCACTCTCCTTTCTCACCCACACAGGCCTCTAAAACTGCACTAACACATGCATACACACACGTGCACACACACCCCATTCTCCTTCTCCTTTCCTCTTGCTGTTTCCTTTTATATTTTGGAAATCTGACCATTCAAGTCAGTGCCCTGGGTTTTCAGCCAGGAATCCACTCCAGGTCAATGGAGCCAAATCAACTGGTCTCTTGGTCATTGCAAGTCCTGAACTGAACTTGAGGATGCATGCCTGCCAAGGTGAAGGATGAGTTGCAAAGGAAGCACTTATATAATTCTATAGTATTCCAAACCCCGTCCTTTTCAAGACCTTCTTGGTATTGTCAGAGTGGCAGCTCTATGGGATCATTTTGAGGAAAACATCTTGGCGATCCAGACTGAGGTTTTTCATAAGCTCTGGCTGGGTGAGCCAGTGACACCATTGTGGACCAGCTGCAACCAATCTGCTGTCTTCCATGCCAGGCCGAGGGGCTAAGGTGGGCCAATCTGAATTTGTTATGACAGATCAGTGCATCACAACAGTCAAAAGAATGCTCTTAGAGGGCACAACCTGGAAATATTATCTTTCTTCTTCTTTTCTTTTTTGTCTGTTAATGTAACTGGGCATCCAAAAGTTTGTTTTTGTGGATAAGTAATTCCTTGATTTATTTTGCTAACGAATGAAGTTTGCCTTAATTTCCACTTCTGAAAATTTCATAGAGAGATGAATTATATTTGTGACCTTATCCAGTGACATTTTTCCTCTCAGAGTCTTGATAGGAAAGGCAATTTTATTATAAGATAGAAAAGTGACAGTTTAAAAGGGATGGGAAGGTAGTGGTATTTATTATATATCATGATTAATTTTACAATATCTGATACTTTAACAACTGTGTGCCCATTAGAGTAAACCAAAATATTATTATTATTATTATTATTATTATTATTTTGAGACAGAGTTTCGCTTTTGTTGCCCAGGCTGGAGTGCAGTGGCATGATCTCGGCTCACTGCAACCTCCACCTCCCAGGTTCAAGTGATTCTCCTGTCTCAGCCTCCCGAGTAGCTGGGATTACAGGAGCATGCCACCACGCCCGGCTGATTTTTGTATTTTTAGTAGAGACGGGGTTTCATCATATTGGTCAGGAAGGTCTTGAACTCCTGACCTCAAGTGATCCGCCCGCCTTGGCCTCCCAAAGTGCTGGGATTACAGGCGTGAGCTACTGCACCCTGCTGAGTTAACCAAAATATTATATTCAAATAATACTGAAACGATGTTTCTTAAATAAGAGGTCTCAACTCAATGGTGGGCAGGTGGGATGATCCTAGAGAGTTATCTGGTGTGCCTGAAGGTGTTTCCCCATCCTCTACCTCATGGCTGCCACCCCAGAGCCCCTCATATCCCTTCTGGCCAGTTATTCCTCCCAGGGGGAGGCTGCCCATTCATGTGAGACTTTCCTCAGTCCTGTCTCATTGCTTTTTACTTCTCCTACCATGGGCAACAAGGAGTTCAGTTGTCTTGGGATTATTTTATCCTAGAGACATCTCAAAACAGTGCAAGGAGGACTCCAGGAGTTTTTAAGGTAGAAGAGCAAAATCTCCCACAATAGGGCAATATTTTGCAGAAAAGGAGATTTTCAAAGGGAAGAAGGAAGTCAATTTTTTGGGAAACAGAATGTCTGGTTTTTATCTTCCCTGCCTTGCCTTCTAAATTCTTTTTTCTTGGCTGAACTTTTAGAAGTTGGGAGGAAGTTTTGAGTAAGTTTCTAATGTGTCAACTGGCAAAGTTAAAGAGCTTCACAGAACAATGGCTAGCTCTAGTCTAATGATCTCTGCTATATGAAGGTTTGAATGTTAAGTCAGATATAGGCAAAACCATGAAGTAGGAAGTTTTCTCTTCTCCCAGCTCCTCTTCCGTCTCATCATGCTGGCTAGTTTCTCAGAACACATCCTTCTATACCTCTTATTCCTAGCCCATGGTATGCCTTGGTCACAGCCTTTGCATTTTTGAACCCATCGAAACAATCAATTCACTTGATTTCAATTCTCTCAGTATCCAACCAAAGGAAGTTAGCTAGTTCTCACAGACAGGAGCAGAGAACTAAGGAGTTAACAGGTAACTAGGCAGGTAATACATTTGTGTTTAAACTGGGGCATCTTAGAGACTTTGCTCAAATATAGAGAAATTACTGGCAATTTGGAGACCTTTCATGTGTGACAGGGCAGTTGTGTTCTAGGGAGACAAGCCTTTTGGGAGCCTTCCATTCTTGTCATTTCCATCTCAGTTCTGCTTCTTTCACACAGGGTTGATGCTTACAGTTTAATTGCAGGAGTGGTTGGGAGGTGGTGTCAGAACCTCCAGACCTGAGACCCAAATGTGGGAGAATTTTGCCGTTGTTTGGTTTTGTTTGTTTGGTCTTTGAAACGCACAAGCCAGACGCCACTCAGTAAGATCCAAGATTAGTGGCACTGCTTGCTGCCTGATGACTAAGGCAATTAAATAAGTCTCAGTGCTGGCACAGCACCGCAATAACAAATCCCATAGTGTCAAACGCCTCTGCCAGATGGATTGCTCAAACCTTTGGAAGCGTTCTCAAGTACACATAGTTAATCACTGCAGGCCCAGTTCGTGGAAAAATGACATGGTACTTGTGTGGGCGGAAGGTTCCTGTCACTTTCCTTGGGCCATCAATCCCATTGTCAGCTTCTATAGCCAATATTGTCCTGATTCCCCTTCTTGGGGCTCAAGATATTTAAGTATTAGAAATATGATGAATTTAGGAGATCTTGTGATATTTTTTCCAAATATTTTAGATTTTTCTAGAACAGGCCTGATTTCAAATACTGTACCATTGCCTTGAAAAGTACATCATACTCATCATATTGTGTCTCAATTTTTACTTTAAAAGCAGGTTATAGCATTTCTTCTATTCGGCTTATTAAAGAATGTAAGTTACTTGCCCAAGAGGGATGCATATATTGAAAAGTAAGTTAAGCCTTGTGAAAACCTAATTAAAGCTAATATTAAATACACTTATGCCAATAAATCAACAAAGCATTTATTTTTCCTTCAATCAGTGTTTACCACGTTCAGGGAACTTGATGAGATAGAGACTCAGCATGCTGTGATCTCTCTCTTCAAGGAGTTTACAGTTTAATTGAAGATGAATGCACTCGTGAATGATTGTGAACAAGAGGCATAGATAAGCAAGGGTGATAATTGGCACAGATTGTTACTGTTGTAGAAGTTCAGGAAGAGAGAAACAAGTATAGGAAGAAATAGTCAAACAAGTCTTAGAAAGGGGGTGGCAGATGGCCTTGACCTCTAAGGTCTTGCTGGACTTGGATAGATACAGAGGAAGAGTGTCCATATAGGAAAAATACTGAAGCCAAGAGACTGTGGTGGGCATATATGCCAAGATTAGGCTGCAGGGGTGGAGGGTTTGTCTAAGAGAAAGGAGACAAGAATGAAGATAGGTAAGGTTGGAATATGGAAAGCCTCAGGACAGGCAGAAGCTCTCAGACTTAATGGAGTAGTCTGGGGGGAAATCACTAGAAAGTTCTGATGAAGAGTTAAATTTCAGGACCCTTAAGCTGGATAAGAAGCAGGATAAACTAAGGTCTTCCATCATGATTCAGATGATAGTAAGGAGGCCTTAGACTAACTTGGTATAAGTGAAATGGAAAAGGAAAGAGAGATGTAAGTGATATTGAAAAAGATCTATTAAGACTAGGTGCAAGAAATAAAGGAGAATGGGTCATGGTCTACTCCAAACCCAGCCACAGTGTCTGTGGTAATCAGTGAATAAATCTACATTACATGGAATTGAGAGAATGTTGATGCCACTGACAGAAAGGAGACTTCAGAAAGTAATCTATTTGGGTTTGAATTTATGATTGTAAGATGATGAAGTCCAAATTAAAGTATCTCTTAATCAATGAGGTGCGTAGATGTCAGGTGAAAGGTCATAAAAAAAGAATCACTGGCAAGAATATGATGCTGAAGCCATGATAAAGGCTGAACATTCCCAGGAAGGGAGGTTTTTAACCCTTAAATTTGAAGACTGGTTATATCCTACATGGAAGGTCTGTCCGGGGATGAGCAACGTTACAATAGCAGAGCTGTGGGCATAATTTTACCAACTTGATCAAATAGCATTTTAGCATTGAAACACTGTGTGAGAGATAGTTTGAAAATATATTGACTTCTGCTAAATTTAAAAAATGAAATTTCAAAATTAATGAAATGTGTTTCAAACCTCCAGGCTGACACATTAAGCGAATCAACATGGTATATGGGTGGGAGGGGGTTGAGGGTTGAAAAATTGCCTATTTGGTACAATGTTCATTGTTTAGGTGATGGGTACACTAGAAGCCCAAACCTCACCACTACATAATATATCCATGTAACAAACCTGCACATGTATCCCCTGAATCTATAATTTAATATATATATGTGTGTGTGTGGGTGTGTGTGTGTGTGTTGTGTGTGTGTGTATTTTTTAAAGGCAAATATAAGCATGTTAAAAAAAAAAACATGGTGTGTGGCATAACTTGTATCTTCCACCACCTCTGTTTCTAGAATACTATGCCATGATTAAGTAGGGTAGGTTTTTCTGTGGAGCTCTGACATACATTTTATCACAACTATCTTGCTGTGTTGCAGTTGTTATCATCCTGATTCTTATATGAGAAAACCAAAGACCACAGAAATTTGGTAGCTTGCTTCAGATCAAATAGTCAGTGAATGGCAGAAATAAGGCTATTACCAAGAGTTTCTTGTTTCAAATGCCATGCTTTTTCTGCTATGTGATGAGAAGTCATGTTCAATGGCAATGCAGAAAAGGTGGGACCTCATCCAAAAAGCCAGATGAACAAATTCCTGCAATGCTAGGTCTGCAAGAAGAGTTACAAGGGCACAGACTGCTAACTTCTTTTCACTTTCTGTATCCCACAGGGTATATGCACATGCACACATTCACACACACACACACACACACACACACACACACACACACACACAAATCTGCAAGGCCTCTGGGGATCACGAGGTGAATTACAGTCCATTGCAGGTACATAGTTGTAGGATACATGAGGAGTAATTATGCTGCTATATATTAATACTTAATAGATATTGGTGCTTTGCTATTTACAAACTTTCAAACCGTTGATACAGATGAACAAAGTTCCTTTTCAGAGCAAAAGCCCACCATTTCTACTCTTCACCAACAGATGGCACCATGATTGTGCACAGACATTTTAGTCTTGGCTTAAGTTTGTTACTCTGTGGCCAAAATCATAAACTCAGGCAGGTAAAGTAAGTGAATGAAGTGAGACCCAGGTAAGGCAATAGGGAGTGAAACTGTGAATGACTGTGTCTGCCCAGTCAAAAGTGGACAGCCAAATCTCAGCTCTAGACCATTGCTATCGCGCAGGTTAGAGGCCCACTATTGTAAGATACCCTGATTTTTCAAGAGAGTATGAAAATTCATGTGAAAAGTCTGACTTTCGTTTGAATGCTCTTGGTTTTTTAATTTGGCAGCTAATTCACATAGCAGCACTGTGTAGATGAAACACATGCACATCTGCAGGCCAGATTGTGCTTGTGTGTTTTGTTTTGTTTCTTGAGATGGAGTCTCGCTCTGTAGCCCAGTCTGGAGTTCAGTGGCATGATCTCAGCTCACTGCAACCTATGTCTCCCAGGTTCAAGCAATTCTCCTGCCTCACCCGCCTGAGCAGCTGGGACTACAGGCGTGCGCCACCATGCCCGGCTAATTTTTGTATTTTTAGTAGAGACAGGGTTTCACCATGTTGGCCAGGCTGGTCTCGAATTCCTGACCTCAGGTGATCCACCTGCCTTGGCCTCCCAAAGTGCTAGGATTACTGTCATGAGCCACCGCGGCCGGCCTGTGTTTGTGTTTTTTGAGTTAGTTTATTAACATCATTAACTTCATCATTTCCAAAAAGTGCAAATTAGGAAGAGTGATGAGAGTCATAAGAAGAGAGCCAAGAAAGTTAAGAAAGTCTGAACTAATGCCGTCAATATGTGTGCTCTCTGGAAAAGCCTAACTTTACACAGATATGGATATTTTAATTGATTTGAAAGTGATACTTTGGATTCATGAACCAATGGACTTACAAACAGCTTTTAAGATCCTTATGTGTCATCAAGACAAAAGTGCCGACAGCAAACATTTATACTGTGAACCTTCTTTAAAAAGAGATTCTCTTAACATATTTATATAAGGGATGCTGCTCTGTGACTCCAGGAAGGTTGAAAGCCTCTGAAATATTTTAAAAGTTACATCAAACCGGCCGGGCACGGTGGCTCACACCTGTAATCCTAGCACTTTGGGAGGCCAAGGTGGGCAGATTGCCCGGGCTCAGAAATTCGAGACCAGCCTGGGCAACACCGTGAAACCCCATCTCTACTAAAACACAAAAAATTAGCCAGGCGTGGTGGCATGTGCCTGTAATCCCAGAGACTTGGGAGGCTGAGGCAGTAGAATCACTTGAACCTGGGAGGCAGAGGTTGCAGTAAGCCGAGATTGTGCCACTGCACTACAGCCTGGGCGACAGAGTGAGACCCCATCTCCAAAAAAAATAATAATAACTAAAAGTTACATCAAACATGAATTTTGAAGGCAAGATTAGTTGAGAAAAAAACAATTTTATCACTAATTAAGAGAGGGACCAGAGAAAAGGTATTTTGGTATGGTGATAAAACTATATGGGATTTGTAATCAGAAGGCCTGGACTTTAATCTTAGCTCTGTTATTTATATCTACCTTACCTTGGGCAAGTCTTGTAACATTTATGTGTTTAATTTCATTTTTATAGAGTAGGAGTTAATAATTACTTTCCTTACAAAATTGTATTAATTGTAAGTATATAATAATGTTTCTAAATCAAAAAATTGAACAAGCATTTAATTTTTTAAAAAATTGCTGTTAAAATTTTAATGATAATGAAGAAGAAGAGGATGATGTTGGAGAAGAATAAATATATCAGATGAAGTGCATAAAGCAGAAATCATTTGCACTCTGTTAAAAACAAATCTTTCCTGGCTCTGTCTAGACTGAAAGGGAATACGGACTTCTCAGGGACATTGCTATAAAGGATACTAGTCCCAAAACAATGTGAGCATGAGAGAACAACTGCATCCCAAAGCAGTTCAAGCAAAACTATCCTCAGGGCTGGGACTCAGTGAGTCCTGGACAGTGATTTTTAACAGTTTACCCTTACTTTTATAATTAAAATCATTTTTGTTGCATTGAAAAACTTGACTAGAGAATGAGATATATGGGGGTGCATACATCTGCACTGTGATTTTCAATACAGAAAGGTGCAAATGACAAGAGGAGGCCAACTGCCATTACACTGAGGGAGAATCCAGTGCTAGGATATGGGTAGTAAATGAGGGATCCTAGTGAAGTAGATACTATACTGCCACATTTATATTATTTTATATTAAATTTGTATATTAGGTTGGTGCAAACATAATCATGGTTTTTACCATTACTTTTAATGGCAAAAATATGTGATTACATTTGCACCAACCAACTATATATATATATATATATATACACACACACACACACACATATACATGTATATATATACAAATTTATATCATTTTATAGCTAGTCTTTGACACTGTATATGTCATGATTTCTTCAGCTAATTTATTAATTTAAAAAGATTTTGAAGGAGACATCCATTTCAGCCATGATTGAATAATTAGAGCTGGATTTACCCTCCCATCATAAACTACTAGAAAATTGGCAAAATAATAAGGAAACGGCTTTGGGATATTAGGCAACAGGCAATGCAGGGATGTGATTCCTGGGAGAAGAGAGACAAATGAAGTGAACCCAGCTATCTGCTTGAGGGTGTTTCTGGATCATGAATCTTGGAGAGAGATTCATTTTACTTGAGGAGACACAGACTGAATTATGAGGAGGCTAAATTGGCTACAACATGTAGGGCAGAGTACTGGGGAGTGTGGGGAAGTTCATGGAAGAAGAGCTCATGAAAATTTCATAAGGATCAACACCATATTAAATGTAAATGGTTCAAACATTTTGATTAAAAGAGATTGTCAAATTGGATAAAAAAGAAAGACAACTATATGCTGCTTACAAGAAACTCATTTTACACATAAAAACACAAATAGGTCAGAAGTTAAAAAGATAAAACAAGATATATCGTACTAACATTTAAAAGTAAATAAGAAAAATATTGTTTCTATGTTAATACCAAACAAAATTAACTTCACAGCAAAGAATATTACCAGAAACAAACAAGTTATTTCATAATGATAGAAGTTAATTAATCAAGAGAACAAAAAAATCCTAAATGTATGTACACTTAATAATAGATCTTTAAAATATATGAAACAGAAATGAATAAACTGCAAGGAGGAATAGACAATTTACAATTATAATTGGAGAGTTCAGAACCCCTACACCTCCTTCTCAATAATTGATCAAATAAGTAGACATAAAATTAGTAGGATATAGAAGATTTAAACAACTCTGTCAACCAAATTGATCTAATTGATATTTATAGGATAGTCCACTGAACAACAGCAGAATGCTCATTTTTCTCAAATGCACACACAACATTTACTAAGACAGACCATATTCTTGGGACATAAAAGAAGTCTCAAAAAATATAAAAGGGTTCAAGTCTCACACAATGTATTTTCTGACCAAAATGGAATTAAATTATAATCCATAACAGAAAGTAATCTGGAAAAAAATCTTCAAATATTTGGAAACAAAATAACACACTTCTAAGCAATCAATGAGTCAAAGAAGAAATCAAAAGACTACAAAGTATTTTAAACCAAGTGAAGGTGAAAACACAAAATTCCCATACTTGTTTGATGCAACTAAAGCAGTAATAGAAAGTATTAAAGAGGATAAAGAAGTATTAACTGTTTTATAGTAACAAATACTATACTAATAAATTTGACGATATAGATTAAATGGGCACATTCCTTGAAATATAAATGGCTAAAGTTCCTATAAGCAGGAATAAATAACCTGAATAGGACTTCTATCTATTAAAGAAATTGTAGTTAAAAACTTTCCCACAAAGAAAAGTCCAGGCGCATATGACTTAACTGAGGAATTCTAGCAAACATGTAAGAAAAAATGAATACCAATTTTATGCAAACCCTTCCAAGAAATTGAAGAGAAGAGATTATTTCCCAATTCCTTTTATGAGGCCAGCATTACAAACATATTGCAAGGAAAAACACCCTGCACATATATGATCAATTCAGTTTTGATAAGGTGCCAAGATAATTCAGCAAAGAGAGACTTTTTAAAAAATGTTTCCAGAAAATCTGGATATTCAAGTCAAAAATAAATAAATAACCTCAACTCTTACTTCATACCATATACAAAACAGAACTTGAGTTGGGTCATAGTCCTAAGTGTAAACTGCAAAACTATATAACTTCTAAAGGAAACCTAGGAGAAAATCCTTGTCATACTGGCATAGGCAAAGGTTTCTAAAGACATAAGAAGACAAACCCACTTAAAAAATTGAGAAATTATACTATGGCAAAATTATAAACTTTTATTCTTTGAAATATACCTCAAGCAAAATATGTAAACAATCAAACTAGGAGATCTTTGCAGGACACACGTCTAAAATGACTTGTATCAAGAATCTATAAAGAATCCTTGTAACTCAGTAAAAACAAAACCAAAAACAAAAAAAATGGGCAAAAATTTTAACAGATGCTTCACTGAAGAAATACGGTTAGAAAGTAAGTGCTTAAAAAGATGCTCAACATCATTAATCATTGAGAAAATGCAGATTAAGAACACAATGAAAATTATTATGCACTTATTGGATTGGCTAAAATTTTCAAAACAATACCAAGTGTAGACAAGGATCCAGAGCAAATGAAATTTCGTATATTACCAGTGAGAATATAAAATTGGAAAGTTACCTTAGAAAACAGTTTGGCAGTATTTTAGAAAGTTCAGCATACTATTGGACTCAGCAATTCCATTCGTAGGTATTGAATTAAAAGAAATGAAAGATACATATTGACAGAAAGACATGCATGCAACTTTATAGCAGCTTTATTCATAATTTTGAAAAACAGGAGTTATTTAAATGTCAATCAATAAATGGATAGACAAATTGTGGTTCATTCATACAATGAAATATTACTCAGCAATAAAGAGAAACAAACTGCCAATACCACAGCATGGATGAATCTCAGATGCATATTGCTAAATGAGAGAAACCAATCTGGAAAAGCTATAATATGGTGTGGTTCCAATGATGTGAAACTTCTGGAAAGGGCAAATCAGATCTATAGCTGCCAGGAGCTGGAGGTGGAGGGAGGGGATTGACTACAAAGGGCCACAAGGGGAACTTTCGGGGTGATAAAAATAGTTTATATTTTTATTGTGGTAGTGATTATAGGACTATATACATTTGTCAAACTTTATTGAATGTACACCTAAGAAGAGTGAATTACACTATTGGAAATTATATCTCAATAAGCCTTACTTGAAATAAAGAATATAATGGGAGGAAAATGGTTACTGCATAGAGTGATAGGTGCAGTCTAGGGAGCAGTACAGGCTCATAAAGATTCACAGGATCTTTACCATGAGAACCATGCTTTGATCATCTTTAATCTTATATTTGAACAAGCTCAGAAGCTCCTGTGAAATCTGATTTTCATTTAAACCTAACCATAGTAACTTAATGTACACAGCAACTTCCATACCTGAAAATACCCTGAAATGTATAGTCGGCTGACACCTGTCTCCTCGTCCATTCCAGGAAGGGAAATAGTTGAAAGTCTGTGTGACAGGAAACATCTTGAAAACAAAAGCACATTCTATGTCCCTAAAACAAAACAAAACTGCAAATAGTTACCTCTATGCACTCACTTAGATTAGTTAAAATTTAGAAGACTGGCAGGACTAACTGGGGCTAATGTGAAGCAACTGACGCTTGCAGACATTGCTGGTGAGGATGCAAATGGAAACAACAATGGTTCTGCATGCTTCCATCTACATGAAATTCCTTTATAGGGAAATCTAATCAATGACAGAGAGCAGGTCAGTGATTGCCTGGGGCTGAGTGTAGAGAGGGCGTCTAACTGCAAGGGGGCACAAGGAAACTTTTGGGGTGCTGAAATGTTCTTCATTGTAGTGGTGGTTACAGGGGTGACTATATTTGTCAAAATTACTAAACTCGACACTTAAATGGCTACATTTTATTACATACAAATTATATCACAATAGTGTAGATTTATTTTAACAAGACTTTTAAAGGCATCTATCTCATGCAGTGCAGTAGACTAGATATACTTTTTAACTCATTCAATAAAAACAAAAATATAGGTTAATATTTAATGCTTACATTGTTTCAGTTATGAACTTGCTATTCACAGCTAAGATACATAGTAGGTTATTATTGTTTTTTCTTTTCCATGCATTAAAAAAAATTTTTTTTCATTTAGGTTTGTGGAAATAAAAACCCACCAATGAAAACAAAGGCTATTTATTCAGAGCTTGCAATAGCAGGGGAATCAACCACCATCACTTGTATTTTGGCAGAAACTCAAGGCAGGCAGAGGAGTGGGGAAATCTTTAGAGTGGAAAAAAGAGGTTTCAGGTGTGCTCTGGTTAGAAGCTGTTGGCATCAGGAAGTTGGAGGCAGGCTAACAGGAAGTGGGGCATCCTGTGTGATTGGTTAAAGGTGAATATTTGGCTTTCTCTGATTCATCCTAATTGGAAGCAGGAACTGCTGAGACCAGCTCGGTTGAGGAGACCCTAACCCTGTGGCGCTAGAGAAATTAAAGACACACACACACAGAAATATAGAGGAGTGGAGTGGGAAATCAGGGGTCTCACAGCCTTCAGAGCTGAGAGCCCCCAACAGAGATTTACCCACGTATTTATTAATAGCAAGCCAGTCATTAGCATTGTTTCTATAGATATTAGATTAACTAAAAGTATCCCTTATGGAAAACAAAGGGATGGGCTGAAATAAAGGGATGGGTTGGGCTAGTTATCTGCAGCAGGAGCATGTCCTTAAGGCACAGATTGCTCATACTATTGTTTGTGGTTTAAGAACGCCTTTAGTGGTTTTCTGCCCTGGGTGGGCCAGGTGTTCCTTGCCCTCATTCTGGTAAACCCACAACCATCCAGGGTGGGCATTATGGCCATCATGAACATGGCACAGTGCTGCAGAGATTTTGTTTATGGCAAGTTTTGGGGCCAGTTTATGGCCAGATTTTGGGGGTCCTGTTCCCAACAAGGAACAAAAATTAAGGAAGTTGTCAGTTATTAATCAAATCCTGGCTGTTTTTTTAATTATTATTATACTTTAAATTTTGGGATACATGTGCAGAATGTGCAGGTTTGTTACATAGGTATACACGTGCCATGGTGGTTTGCTGCACCCACCAACCTGTCATCTACATTAGGTATTTCTCCTAATGCTATCCCTCCCCTAGTCCCCCACCCCATGACAGGCCCCGGTGTGTGATGTTCTCTTCCCTGTGTCCATGTGTTCTCATGGTTCAACTCCCACTTATGAGTGAGAACATGCAGTGTTTGGTTTTCTGTTCCTGTGTTAGTTTGCTGAGAATGATGGTTTCCACTTCATCCATGTCCCTGACTGTTTTAACTGACTGTTACAGGGACTGTTTGCCTTCATGGACCACTTGCTAGAGATAACAGTCTAACTTCCTACAAATCTGACTTGTAGAAAAATGGCTGGTTTCCTGGGCTGGTTACTGTAGATAATGAATTGGTTTCTGGGGCTGGTTACTCCAAGTTGTGGGTCAGAGTTCTATCTTTGTATATGGTCTGGCCATTGTCTGTATATTCAGTCTGTTGGGTTTCTATGACCTTATCCTGAATGTAAGCCCTAAGTCATCATCAGATATCTCAATCTCTTCTCCAGTTCTATCACTTTAATCTTCATAAGGAAAATTACTGGGGCTCTTTTAGTCTGTCTCCATCTAAATGCCTGTGTCCTGGGGAGCACCCTGCCCTGTCCTCTGGGGGATGTCTTTCTCCTCTTTCCTGTATGGGATCTCTTCATTCCTACTCTCCATGCCTTCCTGTATCTTGGTTCATTCTCCTATTTTGGTGGTACATATTAACTTCTCGAGAAAAATTGCATGAGTGGTAAAACTGTGGGGAGTTTGCACTCCCAAAACTCACCTTAGCCAAGCTTTGCTTATAAATAATATGGATAGGTAGAAATTCTTTTAGAAAATGTTTTTCTTCAGAAGATTTTCCTTCAGAATTTTAGGCATTGCTCCATTGCTTTTTTTTTTTTTAACCTTCAAATGCTGCTGTCTTTTTATTTTTTTTTTGAGATGGAGTCTCGCTCTGTCACCAGGCTGGAGTGCAGTGGCGTGATCTCAGCTCACTGCAGCCTCCGCCTCCCGGATGCAAGCAATTCTCCTGCCTCAGCCTTCTGAGTAGCTGCCTCAGCCTTCCAAGTAGCTAGGACTACAGGTGTGTGTGCCAGCATACCCTGCTAATTTTTGTATTTTTAGTAGAAATGGGGTTTCACCATCTTGGCTAGGATGGTCTCGATCTCCTGACCTTGTGATTCGCCCGCCTTGGCCTCCCAAAATGCTGGGATTACAGGCGTGGGCCATCGCGTGGGCCCTGACTTTCCTTTTCTTAGAGCACCTAGTTTAGAAAACTTGCAATTGTAAATTCTTTCTCTGCCCCCTTTGAGATGTAAATCTTCTCCCAGCTCCTTGCCAGTTTTACAGCCCAGGAATGTCTTTCTCAAGGACCTGTGAACCATCCCTTTGAAATGTAATCACTGAGAAAGATGGCCCTCTCTGTGGATGGGTAGGAGCCTGGCTTTGATAAACACAGGCTAGCAAACACAGATGCCCAATCACATTGACCCACCTCTCTCCACCCTCTAGTACTTTTCCACTGGCTGATTCCAGAGTTTGAAAACTCTCCCACCGTTTGTTTTTGTGGAATTGAGTTCAATCTCTTTCCCCTATTGCAACAATCTTGAATAAAGTCTTCCTTGACTGTTTAACTCTGGCTGGTGCAATTTTTCTTTTATGATATGTTTACATTTTTTGTTTTAAAAATTATTTGGATCAGTAACTAATAAAAGCAAATATTTTTTCTGAAAAGAGATCACATTTTTGACACATCATCTAACTTAGTAAATGTTTCTTGAGCAGTTGTATTGTAATTGCATTATGCCAGGCATTGAAGACACAAAAATAAGCAATAAATTCAGAAAAAGGACAACTACTTCCCAAAACATCTCCTTACATCATTGAATTTGATTTGTTTACTTATAACTGAGACAAAGACTAGCTTTGAGACTTCAGACAAATCCAGACCCCTCACTGTACCTCTGTCCTGTTCTCAAAAAACAATATTGGACTACGTGTTTTCTAAATTTCCTGTTTGACTCCTGGATTCTGAGAAAGTTTTGAAATAACTCAACAACTGGTTTTTGGCAATAAAATTGCTAAAATAATTTAAAATTTTTTACTTTAAACAATTTTAAAAATGTTAATAGCTTATTTAAAATTTTGGTAGAATTAGATAAGAATAATACGGAATTAAACTAAGCATAGCTGAATACTCTGAGAGGTATTTACAAATCAATACTGGAGCCTTATCTGAAATCCTACCAATTTATTTTTCATTGTAGGATGTAGTTTCAAGGTCCAAAAATGTATCTCTGGAGAATATTACATTTTGGAGCCTGCTAAAAGTTTTTCTATAAATATTCCACCAAATGAAAGAAAACAAGCCATCAGCAATCACTCTGACAGATTTATCCAGCGGCTCAGAATGCTGGACTCTAGTCCCAACCCTTGACAAGTTATGAAGGCAGCAGAGTCATCATTCAAATGGATTTAAGTGCCCATTGTGTGTAAAGACCTTCCTTACCTCTCAAGGCCAACAAGCTAAGATGGATAACTGGAGTCTTTTAGCCTTAAAGGGTGTTTGGCATAGCAAAATACAAACATAGAAAAGATAGCTTCACTCCAACTCCTGGCTGAGCTTATCCCAACAGTGTTAGTGAGGCTTTGGAGAACTAGAAGTAATCTGCAGGCTTAAATTCGTTTTTCAGTCTCTTCCCACTTACTATTCGTGTGACCATGGGAAGGCTTACTTAACCCCTTTGAGTCTCATGGAGTTGTTGAAAGAACGAAATGACATAGATTATATGACATGCTTAGCACAGTGCCTGGGATATAAAATGTGTTCCAAAAGTGTTAGCTGAAATTATTAATATTAAGTAAGAGCCAATATGAGAGAGAGCAATAATATTAAAGGTGGGAGTTTAGTTCACTGTGTATTTATTGTAGGGAATCAGAATATGCCACCCCAAAATATGCCATTGGCATAAGGATTATTTTGAGCTGAAGACACTTGAAAAACAGCAGATGCAGGAAGAGCTTTCTGACCTTCCCCTTTCTATCTAAAAGTAGGACATAAAATTTCCCATGAGAAAGGTGCCCTTCCTGTACCAGGAAGAGCAGAATAACTCTTAGTAATCAGATTCTTATCAGCCCAGAGATGAAATCTACATAACAAACCTTAGGAAAACAACTTGTCTTTCCCCTTATATTTACCTTCCCACCCCTGAAAGCCTAAGCCCCTTTTCCTTGTCACTTCTCTACAACTTTATCATTCTTTGTTAACATGCTCTATAAGCTCCAAGTTCTAATCGCCCCTTTGAGAGACCAATCACCAGATTTCTCTTGAATGTATTCATGCTGCATGTGTGAATAAACTGTGTTTTTCTCTTATTCATCTGTCTTTTTTCAGTTTAATTTCCAGTATCCCAGCCATAGAAGCTAAGTGAGGAAAGGAAGAGTTTTTTTAATCTCCCCTACATATGTGTGTATGTGATAACTCTGTCTATTACTAGATGAGGGTTAGTGGGCATGGGAGTGTAATTAAGTACTCTATTTTTACTTTTTTTTTTCCTTTTCTTTCTGTGGCCCTTTGTATTAACTTTTTACTAATGAAATAGTAACCTTTACTCTCCTTCTTTCCACTAGGCACTTCCTTGCATTGCTGGTTTATCTAATTATGTTTGCTTAGAAGTTCTGGAGACTGAATCTTCAGACAATCCAGGTGCCTATGGAATTCTCCTTGACTAGGAGATTACTTTAAGGCTGCAGCTAATTTACAACCCTGTCAAACCCAAGATGGTGCCAGCCCATTCACCAGATGAGACAATAACTCAGGATAAGTCATTGGAACAAGTCACATAGTCCTGCACTGCATGCCCTCCATACCAAATTTCTCTTTCTTAAACCTTAGCATTTTGCCTGGGAATTTCCAAGTAGTTTTGTTAAGGCGTGTTAAAGCAAACTAAATAGGGCCTGAGAAGGACTCCATACTTGTATATTTGAGTCCTTGTGGATGAACTGTCACCTAGCTTAATAAGCAGACAAGACTGAAAACCTAATTTAGGAGTATGTGCCTGTAACAATAGCTGAGTCTTGGCCCATCCCAACAGCCATACTTCAATCACTCGTAGACTGCTAAGTGTTCAAATTGTGTTCAAATAAGGCAAACATCAACCTGTAACCAATCCAGCTGTTCTATACATCACTTCCGATTTTTATACATCACTTCCCTTTCTTTGTCTCTAAATTTGTTCCTACCATGAGGCATCCCTGGAGTCTCTCTAAACCTGCTGTGATTCTGGGGGCTGCCTGACTCATGAATTGTTCATTGCTCAATTAAACTCCTTTAAATTTAATTCAGCTGAAGTTTTTCTTTTAACAGACAGGAGACTGAACCATTTCCACACTGCTGGCTTCAGAAAATAAAGTCGCTTTCCTTCCACAGCACCCCATCCTTGTTATGGTTTTGCAGGTGGCAAACAGCCAAACCTGTGTTCAGTTACAAGAGGAACTGTGAAATCTGGGAGCTCCTCTGGCAGAAGAGGGTTGAGCATCCAATGCTGTGTTGTGTTGAGATCTAGTCTTGCTCAAGTGAGGTTTCTCATCTGAACCACAGAATACAGAAAGTGATCCCAGTGACTATCTCCTGATTTTTCCAAGGATGTTGCATTCTAGTATCATTCTAGAGACCTAGGAAGGAAGTTAATTTGTGACATACAATGAATGCCTTAGGACACTGGGGCTTAATGCAGGTCTTGGACTTGATGTAATCACATGGAAAGTGGTTCAATGGCCTTCAGGAGTCATTTTCAAACATAGCATTGTAAAATTCTGTGCATCTGTTAAAAAAGATGAGGTGAGCTTGTACATAACATGGAAGAATATCCATGATTCATTGATAAATGCAAAAGGTAAAGTCTTGAATAACAAGCATAGAATACCCCATTTTATTTTTTAAAAATCCTACATGCAAATACTTAAATAAAAAACAAATCCTAGAAGATTCTATATCAAATTGGGGGAAAGATTGCCCCAATCTCTAAAATAAAATAAAATTACTTAAAATAAAATTTAAGTAAAAGTAGTAGGTGAGCAAAGATAAACTAGCACATTTTATTTGTATTGTTCAAATTTATTCAATGAGCATCTGCTTCTTTTTAAAATTAGGAATAGTTTAATTCCCAGTTCAGATATGGTTTAAAAAAATTAATAATGTGAAAAGTGAAGGTAACTTTAACAATGCAAGTTGTGAGTGCAGGGGAGTAGGGTAGTAAGAGACAGAAGTGGTGGAAATATGTTTATAAGTGATTGCAGATGTGTGGGGCAGCGCTGGGTAATTGGAGCATTTACAGGCTGAAATATTAGGGGCTGGCAAGGCTCCAAGGAGAGGCTGGGACTGGACGGGTCATCTGGGAGGATGAGCCGAGTGCCTTCGAAGGTTGCCCAGCATTGCACACACAGAGCACCCATCTGCCTCTGTAGCTCTGTCCTCTGGAGGAGGTGCCACAACCAAGGTCTCCTGCCTCCCAAATCAGAGCTTATCTCACATTGGTGACTGTATCCAAGTTCCCCAAATACCAGTCATTCTCATAGTATCTTTATACTATCCTCTAATTTACTTATTTCTTTTGGCTCCATAAATTTGGCTCTGTTTTGACTTATAATATTCATGAAATAATGAGTTTCAGTGTTGATTATATTTTCTACTTCCCAGTACGGTCATGCGTCACTTAGTAATGGGGATACATTCTCAGAAATGCATCGTTGGGCGATTTCATTCTCATGCAATTTCCTCATCATGTGAACATCATAGAGTGTACTTAAGTGTACTTATGCAAACCTAGAAGGTAGAACCTAGTACACACCTAGCCTATTGCTCCATCCACGGTCATGTAGGCAGTCCGTCATTGACCAAAACATCATATAGGACACATGACTGTTTTGAATAATTTTTAAGAAGCTTTAGTCTGTATCTCATCAAAAAGCATCAAAGCATATTTTGGGAAATAACAAATTACATTATATATTAGATAATTATTGAGATCATGCTATAAAGTAGAGGAAGGCAAGTGTATTAAGTATTTAGAAAGAAAGTATCCATATTTAAAATGCTGCTGATAATGCTGGAGAAATGATTATTAATTGGCAGGCTGAGTACAGGATACTTTTCATGTGTATGAATGAAAGTTCAATCAGGGAAGAGGAATGACAATGAGGATGATGGAATAGGACTTTCTTACAGGGATTAAACCTTACACAAGTGTGGGAGGAGCTGGAAGTAAAGGTCTGACATGAGAGCTGGAGGTTCTGGGAAAATGCCCTATGCAGCCCTCCTGAAGCACTGGGACAGATGGGCAAGTCAGCACTTGCAGGGATTCCGGGAAGCCAGCAGATCCAGATGCTGGAGAGGAAGGACAGTGGAGAGCTGATGGGGAAGTCCAGGCAAGATGTTGCTCCTACACCTGGTGGTGGACCACAGTCGATGCTGGTCAGCAGGGCCAGCTGGCAGGAGGAGGGGCTGAATGCAGAGCAGGGAAGCATGATGACCACTGGCAGTAACTGGCATCTCAGCATCTGTTTTTACTGAGCATGCTTTGGCCAACTTTCTTTTGGCCAATTCTAACTCAGAACCATACTGGGAAGGGAATTCTGTGAAACATAATTCTAACCAGCCGAAGTTAACACAGTATAAAGCCACTGTAGCATAAGATAAAGTTAAGAAACAGGAATAAGATGGGAACTACTCTCCTCAAGCAAGAATAATGGCCAGAGGTGTAACCGTCACTTCATGGTTAAAACAATTAACGCAGATATGAACTCTCCCGCTAAGGTGAATCAGGCTTATTTGGACCTTTCTGTTGGGCCTACATGGGTTTTCTAAAGGCCACAAATCCAGGCATCAATAGGCCTGGCCACAATACAAGCAGCTGAGAGCCAATACTATCCACCACTTCTCTGCATGCCTCTGCAAGTTTGTAACTGTGCAGATGCACGAGTAACAGTTAAGGTCACCTAGTCATTCATTCAGCGTGGATTCATGGAGCATCGATGTGCCAAGCACTGTTCCAGAACCTGCAGCTATGGTAGTGAACGCAGTAGACCCAGTTTCTGCTCCATGTCTGTGAAGGGGATGGGAGATAGGCAATTGTCGATATTTGTCCATACTCTATGTGGGATGGAGGTAAGAGCCATAAATACAAAGAAAGGCTCATGTTGACTTTTTATTATTTGTGCAAATTTATGGGGTACATGTGAAATTTTGTTACATGTATATAATGTATAGTGATCAAATTAGGGTGTCCATCTCCTGGGTGCAATACATTTTTGTTTAACTATAGTCACCCTATTCTGCTATCAAACATTGAATTTATTCCTCCTACGTAACTGTATGTTGGCAGGGCACAATTTTAGAGAGGGATCGGTGATGCTGTTTTAGACACGGCAAGCAAGGAAGGCCTTTTTGAGGAGGAAGTTGATGAAGAATGGAGCTCCGTGGCTCTCTGGGAGGAAGGTCACAGGAACAGATGTGCAAAGGCTCAGACAGTGGAAAATACTTCACATGCTCGAGGAACCCCAGACAAGAGTGACTGGAGCAGCAAGGGTCAGGAGGAGACGGAGAGGATATGAGGTCAGAGACCATGGTTAAGACTTAAAATTTCATCCCAGTGGGAGTGAAAGTCCCCTAAGGGTTTCAGCAGCCACGTGGCCTCCTCTGAATGCAAGGGAAATGGAGCCACTCCTGCCCAGTCAGAGTTAACTGGAGTTTTATGTATGGCTTACACTTGTACCGCTAAGTAGAGGTACAGAGGGAAAATTTGGGCGATAATTTAACTTTTGACTGGATGAAGGCACGGGGGTGTCAGAACGGCTCATTTTTTTCCCTAGATAATTTAGTTTCACAACCATGCCTTGTAACTGGCTGAGGGCCTTATCTGTCAGAAACTTAGCCATCCGGCTCTACAAATGAAATCTCATGAGCTCTCACTCCTCATCTGGAGCCTGGACCCCTCAATGGGGCCCCAGGCAGCAGGGCAACAGCATCATGTCAGCATCATGTCAGCGTCCTGCCACCCCTCTCCATGCAGCAGAAGCAGACGGGAGAAAGGGCGGCGACTCCTGTAGAGAGGGGGCTTAACCCGTGAGCGTGAGAGGCAGTGGTGGAAGTCATTTGCTAAGTCAGAAGAGGCCCAAACATAGGGAAAAGGTCGTGTGAGTATAATTTCAACTTCCACTTCCATTTCACGGCCACATGCCACTTCTCGTAGTCATAACAATGTTAAAACTGGAACAAAATAATCGTTTAGGGAACTTCAAGTCCTATAAATGATCAAACTGTGCTGAGCAGTGCTAGGATTCCACAGAGGTGACTCAGGGACACTCTGGAGAATGTCACTGGATGTGAGGAGAAGCCCGTGGGTGGACAGAGGGTCTCCTCCCTTCCAAGCCCTACCCTCTGCTTCCATCTATGCTGGATTGGCTATTTATCTAAGATTTTGCTTCAAGGAAGAGTTTTGGCGCCAAAAAGTAAACAACAACAACAATAACAACCAAAAAAAACAGATTCTGAGATTAATTAGGACTAACTATGTGCCAGGCACTCCACTGAATTTTTTTTTACAAACATTATCTCATTAATCCTCCAATAGCCCTATGAAGTAGATATTATAGTCCTATTAATGAGAAAATTAAGACTTAGTGGAGTTAAGTAAATTTTTCATGTCTCACAGTACTGCAAAGCCAAGATTTGAACCCAGGCCAACTCATCTGACACCTCAACCTCAACTCCTAACTTTTATGCCATCCTGAAAAAAGAAAACCTATCAACCAAGGTTATTCTCATTACCATTCAAGGAAATGTCTTAAAATGTTTAGAATAGCCATTGTGTTCATCTGCTTGGGCTGCCAGAACAAAGTATCACAGACTGCATGTCTTAAACAACAGAAATTTATTTTCTCACAGTTGTAGAGGCTAAGAAGTCCAAGATCAAGGTGCTGGCAGATTTCGTGTCTGGTGAGGACTCCCCTCCTGGATTGCAGATGGCACCTTCTCACAGTGTCCTTTCATGACCTTCCTTGGTGCACACGTGTGCAGAGAGAGAATGCTGATATATTTTCCTCTTCTTAAAAGAGCACCAGGCCAGGCGTGGTGGCTCACGCCTGTAATCCCAGCACTTTGGGAGGCCAATGCGGGAGGATCAAGAGGTCAGGAGATGGAGACCATCCTGGCTAACATGGTGAAACCCTGTCTCTACAAAAAATATAAAAAATTAGCCGGGTGTGGTGGCACGTGCCTGTAGTCCCAGCTACTCGGGAGTCTGAGGCAGGAGAATCACTTGAGCCTGGGAGGCAGAGGTTGCAGTGAGCTGAGATCGCACCATTGCACTCCAGCCTGGGCAACAGAGCGAGACTCCATCTCAAAAAAAAAATTTAAAAAAAGGTACCAGACCTATCAGATTAGGGACCCATATGTGTGACCTCAGTTAATTTTATTACCTTCTCATAGTTGCTATCTCCAAGTATTGTCACATTGAGGATTAAGATTTCAACATAAGAATTTTGAGGATACACAAATATTCAGTCCTTAACAGCCATAAAGGCTAATATAATACTGACACTTATAGAGCTTTCACTATTTAATATATCCTTATGTAGTGCTTACTCTAAGCAGAGCCCTATTCTAAGTGTGAAAATATTGACTCATTTAGTACTTCCAATAGCCCCAGGAGGTAGTTGCTATCAATATTTTCAGATAAGGAAAAGACTGAGGCACAGAAAAAATGATTAATTTGTTCCCTAGTGGTGAGCAGTGATGTAAACCTGTCAAATACTTCACACACACACACACACAAAAAGTTTAATCATCCCTCAGCCTCCCTGGGGGATTGGTTCCACAACTCTGCAGATACCAAAATCCCTGGATGCTCAAGTCCCTGATACAAAATGGCATAGTATTTGCATATAACCTGTGCACATCCTTCTGTATACTTTAAATCATCTCTAGATTACTTATAATACTTAACACAGGCCAGGTGCAATGGCTCACACCTGTAATCCTAACACATTGGGAGGCTGAGGTGGGAAGATGGCCTGAGCCCCAGAGTTTGAGATGGCAGTAAGCTATGATTGTGCTACTGCACTCCAGCCTGGGCAACATAGTGAGACCCCAACTCTAAAAAAAATTTAAATACCTAATATAATGTAAATGTTGTGTAAATAGTTGTTACTGTATATTGTTTCCTATTTGTATTATTTTTTGTTGTTATATTGTTATTTTTGTTGTTGTTGTTTCAAATATTTTCAAGTCAGCATTGGTTGGATCCAAGGATGTGGAGCCCACAGATTTGGAGGGCTGACTATAACTGAGGGATCAGGCTCCTTTCCCACCCATGGCTCCACCTTCTTCAATGGATGCTTCCCATGTCACCATGGAAGGGAAAATAACGTGAGAGGTTCTATGCGTCAGCTCTGGCTTCCTCTCACATTCCATTGGCTAGAACTCAGTCATGTGACCACACCTACCCGTGAGAGAGGCTGGGAAATGCAATCCAGTTGTGCGTCCATGACAAAAAGGAAAACGTTAGGTGAAAAACTCGCAATATCTTCTACTATAAAGACACAATAAGTAATATAAAATATTCTCAATTTATTTGGAGAAAATAACCCAATTTCTGTATTTGATTTTTTTAAGTTGCATATCCAGGAGGGCTAAATGGCAATAGATAATTTTTTTTTTTAAGCAAATGACATTTTCAGAATAGAGTAGCCACATGTCCCAAGACAGAATCCACATCATTTACTGCCTGTGCCAGTGCCATGGCTAGGCAATCTGTGAAAGTCTCCCCTTTGTTTTTCTTCTTTTTCCTGTGTGCACCCCTATTCTTTCCCTCTGAACCTTATTTCCTCCTCCCCACCAGTTTCATTTTCACTTTTGTGTGGTTCCATTCTCACCTGTTTTGGGCATGAATGGACAGGGGCACCACAGACATCACCAGCCCCCCTCACTTTGGTGGCCCTTGAGCTGAAGGAGGAAAAAAAGCTGTTTAGTGGAGCTGAGAGGGGGCTGGGCACAGATAGTGCCTGGTTTGTCCCAGCCCCGACACTTTCCAGCTCTAGTTGACCCAGGACAACTTTGCTGCTCATTTTTCCCACTGGTTAAGGTCCAGGTGTATACAGGAATACGTTGGAGATATTGTGGGTCCTGTTCAAACCACTGCAATAAAGTGAATGTCACAAAAATGCACGTCACAAAAATTTTTTTGTTTTCCCAGTATATCTAAAAGTTATGTTTACACTATACCACAGTTTATTGTGTGCAAAATCATTATGTCTAAGAAAACAATTCACATACCTTAATTTAAAAATGCTTGATTGCTAAAAAATGCTAACAATCATCTGAGCCTTTGACACATTGTAAGCTTTGCCAGTGGAGGGTCTTGCCACAGTGTTGATGGTGGTAATTGTTGCTGAAGTTTGGGTGGCTGTGAGGCAATTTCTTAAAGTAAGACAACAATGGAAATTGAGGCATCGATGGACTCTCTCTTCCTTTTATGAAAGATTTCTTTGTAACGTGAGATGCCATTTGATAGCGTTTTACCAATAGTAGAATTTCTTCCAAAATTGGAGTAAATCCTCTCAAGCCCTGCCACTTCTTCATAAACTAAGTTGACATAGTATTCTAAATCCTTCATTGTCATTTCAACAATGTTCACAGCATCTTCACCAGAAGTAGATTCCATCTCAAGAAACAACTTTCTTTGCTCCCCATAAGAGGCAATTCCTTATTCATTCAAGTTTGATCATGAGATTGCAGCAATTCAGTCCCATCTTCAGGTTCCACTTCTGATTCTAGTTCTCTTGCTGTTTCTACCATATCTGCAGTGACTTCCTCCACTGAAGTCTTGAGACCCTCAAAGGTACCTATGAGGGTTGGAATCAACTTCTTTCAAACTCCTGCTAATGTCAGTATTTTGACTTCTCATAAACCACGAATGTTCTTAATTGCACCTAGAATGAGAAATACTTTCTATGAGGTTCAATTTGCTTTGCCCAAATCCATCACAGAAATTACTATTTATGGCAGCTGTAAGCCTTATAAAATGTGTTTCTTAAATGATAAGAGTTGAAAGTCGAAATTACTCCTTGATCCATGGGCTGAAGAATGAATGTTGTATTCACAGGCATGAAAACAACATTTATTTCCTTGCACATCTCTATCAGAACTGTTGTGTGACTAGCTGCATTGTCAATGAGTGGTAATATTTTGAAAGACATCTGTTTTTCTGAGTAGTAGGTCTTAACAGTGGGCTTAAAATATTCAGTAAATCATGCTATAAACAGATATGCTGTCATCCAGATCCTGTTGTTTCTTTATATAGCACAGGTGGAGTAGATTTAGCATAATTCTTAAGGGCCCTAGGATTTTCAGAATGCTCAATGAACATTGGTTTCAACTTCAAGTCACCAGCTGCATTAGACCCTAACGAGAGTCAGCCTGTCCTTCAGTGCTTTGAAGCCAGGCATTCGCTTCTCCTCCTATGAAACTCCTGGATGCCATCTTCTTCCAACAGAAGGCTGTTTAATCTACATAGAAAATCTGTGGTTTAGCCGGGCACGGTGGCTCACGCCTGTAATCCCAGCACTTTGGGAGGCCGAGGCAGGAGGATCACGAGGTCAGGAGATCAAGACCATCCTGGCTAACATGGTGAAACCCCTTCTCTACTAAAAATACAAAAAATTAGCTGTGCGTGGTGGCGGGTGCTTGTAGTCCCAGCTACTCAGGAGGCTGAGGCAGGAGAACGGCGTGAACCCGGGAGGTGGAGCTCGCAGTGAGCCGAGATCGCGCCACTGCACTCCAGCCTGTGAGACAGCGAGACTCCATCTCAAAAAAAAAAAAAAGAAAATCTGTGGTTTAGTGTAACCACTTTCATCAATGATCTTAGCTGTCTCTCCTGGATAACTTGATAACTTGCTGCAGCTTCTACATCAGCATTTACTGCTTTACTTTCCACTTTTATGTAATGGAAATGGCATCTTTCCTTAAACCTCATGAACCAATCTCTGCTAGCTTCAAACTTTTCTTCTTCAGCTTTATTACCTCTCTCAGCCTTCATAGAATTGAAGAGTTAGGGCCCTGTTCTGGATTAGGCTTTGGCTTAAGAAAATCTTGGGGCTTGTTTGATCTTCTATCCAAACCACACAAACTCTCCATGTCAGCAATAAGACTGCTTTACTTTCTTAACATTTGTGTGTTCACTGGAGTTGCACTTATAATTTCCTTCAGGAACTTTTCCTTTGCATTCACAACTTGGCTAACTGATGCAAAAAGCCTAGCTTTCAGCCTATCTCAGATTTTGACATGCCTTCCTCACTAAGCTTAATCATTCCTAGCTTTTGATTTAAGGGTGAGACTTGTAACTCTTTCTTTCACTTGAACACGTTAAAGACATTGTAGGGTTCTGAATTGGCCTAATTTCAATATTATTGTATCAGGGAATAGGGAAACCCAGCAAAAGAGATATAAGGGGGAACAGCAGATTGGTGGAGCAGTCGGAACACATACAACAGTTATTGAAGTTTGCCCTCTTATCTGAGCATGGTTGGTGGTACCTCAAAACAATTGCAATTGAAACATCAAAGATCACTGACCACAGATTATCATAATAGCTATAAAAATAGTTCAAAAGTTTGAAATATGGAAGAATTCAGTGGTCTACAGTCAGAGCTCTGATCTCACCCTGGGACAGGGCCTCCTGTGGGGAGGGACAGCCACCATCTTTGTGGTTCAGTCAACTCAGTGGTTCCAGCCTGCCAGCTTTGGAAAGTCCAAATGGTCCAGATAAGAAAAGTCTCCCAGTGCAGCACAGCCACTTTGCCAGATTGTGGCCAGACTGCTTCTTTAGGCAGGACCCAGATCCATTCCTCCTCACTGGGCAGGACCTCGCAGCCAGAGCTTCAGCCACTCCAACCAGTTTTCCATAAACAGAGCTCTAATTTCCCCCTGGAACAAAGTGCCCAGGGGGTGGAGCAGGCCACCACCTTGGCTGTTTGGACTTCTCACTCAGCCCAGCCTGTGGGTCCTGGAGACCCCATACCAATCGGGGCTGAAGGGATCCCCAACACAGCACACCTGCTCTACCAAAAAGCAGCTGGATTGCTTACTTAAGTGAATCCCTGATCCCATTCCTACTGACTTGGTAAGACCTCCCAATACGAGTCTCCAGCCACCTCTTACAGGCACACTTGGGCTGGCGAAAGGTCAGTATCCCCCTGGGATGGAGCTTCCAGAGGAAAGGGCAGACTGCCATCTTTGCTGTTTCACAGGTTTCACTGGTGATACCTCCAGGTAGAGGAAAAACCGAGGCAACTAGGGTATTAAATAGATCCCCAATAAACTGCAGCAGCCCTATGAAAGAGCAACCTGACAGTTAAAAGAAAAACAAACAAACAGAAAACAACGACAACAACATCAACAAAAAAGACCCCACAGAAACCCCATTCAAAGGTCAGCAACCTCAAAGATCAAAGGTAGATAAGCCCACAAAGATAAGAAAGAATCAACACCAAAATGCTGAAAACTCAAAAAGCCAGAGAGCCCTTTCTCCTCCAAATGACCACAACACTTCTCCAGCAAGGGCTCAGAACTGGGCTGAGGCTGAAATGGCTGAAATGACAGAAGTAGACTTCAGAATATGGATAATAATGAACTTCACTGAGCTAAAGGAGCATGTTGTAACCTAATGCAAAGAAGCTAAGAATCGTGATAAAACAATACAGGACTGGTAGCCAAAATAACCAGTTTAGAGAGGAACATAACTGACCTGATGGAACTGAAAAACACAACACGAGAACTTCACAGTGCAATCACAGGTATCAATGGCAGAATAGGCCAAGCAGAAGAAAGAATCTCAGAGCTTGAAGACTACCTTTCTGAAATAAGACAGGCACACAAGAATAGAGAAAAAAGAATAAAAAGGAACAAACAATACCTCTGAGAAATATGAGATTATGTAAAAAGACCAAACCTATGACTGATTGGGGTACCAGAAAGAGACAAGGAGAATGGAACCAAGTTGGGAAACATACTTCAGGATAGTATCCAGGAGAACATCCCCAACCTAGCAAGACAGGAAAACATTCATATTCAGAAAATGCAAAGAATCCCAGTAAGATGCTCCATGAGAAGATCTACCCCAAGACACATAATCACCAGTTTCTTCAAGGTCGAAATGAAAGGAAAAATGTTAAGAACAGCCAGAGAGAAAGGCCAGGTCACCTACAAAGGGAAGCCCATCAGACTAACAGTGGACCTCTCAGCAGAAACCCTACAAGCCAGAAAAGACTGGGGGCCAATATTCAACATTTTTAAGGAAAATAATATCCAACCCAGAATTTCATCTCCAGCCAAATTAATCTTCATAAGTGAAGGAGAAATAAGATCCTTTTTAGACAAGCAAGTGCTCAAGGAATTGATCATCACCAGACATGCCTTGCAAGAGTTCCTGAAGGAAGCACTAAATATGGGAAGGAAAAACTGTTAGCAGCCACTACAAAAGCACACTGAAGTACACAGACCAATGACACTATGAAGCAACTACATAAACAAGTCTGCAAAATAAACAGCTAGCATCATGATGACAGGATCAAATCTACACATAATAATACTAACGTTAAATGTAAATGGCCTGAATCCCCCAATTAAAAGACATAGAATGGCAAGCTGGATGAAGAACCAAGACCCATCAGTATGTTGTCTTCAACAGACCCATCTCACATGAAAAGACACACATAGGCTCAATATAAAGGGATGGAAGAAAATTTACTAAGCAAATGGAAAACAGAAAAAAGCAGGGGTTCCACTCCTAGTTTCTGAAAAAAACAGACTTTAAACCAACAAAGATAAAAAAAAGACAAGGGCATTATATAATGTTAAAGGGTTCGATTCAATAAGAAGAGCCAACTATCCTAAATATATATGCACCCAATACAGAAGCACCCAGATTTATAAAGCAAGTTCTTAGATACCTTCAAAGAGACTTAGACACCCACACAAGAATAGTGGGAGACTTTAACACCCCATTGACAATATTAGACAGATTATCAAGGCAGAAAATTAACAAAGATATTCAGGACCTGAATTCAGCTCTGGATCAAGTAAACCTCATAGATAGCTACAGAACTCTCCACCCAAAACCAACAGAGTAAACATTCTCCTCATCACCACATGACACTTATTTTAAAATTGGTCACATAATCAGAAGTAAAACACTCTTCAGCAAATGCAAAAGAACTGAAATCATAACAAATAGTCTCTCAGACCACAGCACCATCAAATTAGAATGCAAGATTAAGAAATTCAGTCAAAATCACACAACTGCATGGAAATGGAACAATCTGCTCCTGAATGACTCTTGGGTAAATAATGAAATTAAGGCAGAAACCACGAAGATCTTTAAAACTAATGAGAGCAAAGATAAAACATATGAGAATCTCTGGGACATAGCTAAAGCAGTGTTAAGAGGGCAATTTATAGCACTAAATACCTGCATCAAAAAGCTGGAAAGATCTCAAATTGACAACCTAACATCTCAACTAAAAGAACTAGAGAACCAAGAGCAAACAAACACCAAAACTAGCAGAGGACAAGAAATACCAAGATCAGAGCTGAACTGAAGGAGATAGAGACACGAAAAACCCTTCAAAAAATCAAGGAATCCGGGAGCTTTTTTTCTGAAAAAATTAATAAAATAGACCACTAGCGACACTAATAAAGAAGAGAGAATATTCAAATAACACAACCAGAAATGATAAGGGGGCTGTCATCACTGACCCCACAGAAATACAAACAACCATCAGAGAATACTATAAACACCTCTATGCACATAAACTAGAATATCTGGAAGAAATGGATAAATTCCTGGACACATACACCCTCCCAGGACTGAGCCAGGGAGAAACTGAATCCCTGAATAGAAACAATAATGAGTTCTGAAATTGAGGCAATAATAAATAGTCTACCAACCAAAGAAAGCCCAGGAGGTACAAAGAAGGATTCTATCAGAGGTATAAAGAAGAGCTGGTACCATTTCTACTGAAACTATTCCAAAAAAATTGAAAAGGAGGGACTCCTCCCTAACTCTATGAGGCCAGCAGCATCCTGATACCAAAACCTGGCAGATTAAAACCAAAGAAAAGAAATGAAAAGAAAACTTCAGGCCAGTGTTCTGATGAACATCAATGCAAAAATCCTCAATAAAATACTGGCAAACTGAATCCAGCAGCTCATCAAAAAACTTATCCACAACAATCAAGTAGGCTTCATTCCCAGGATGCAAGTTTGGTTCAACCTACAGAAATCAATAAATGTGATTCATCACATAAACAGAACTAAAGACAAAAAACACATGATTATCTCAATAGATGCAAAAAAGGTCTTTGATAAAGTTCAACATCCCTTCATGTTAAAAACTCTCAATAAACTAGGTATCGAAGGAACATAACTCAAAATAATAAAAGCCATATATGACAAACCCACAGCCAATATCATACTGAATGGGCAAAAGCTGGAAGCATTCCTTTTGAAAACCAGCACAAGACACAGATGCCCGTCTCTCACAACTCCTTTTCAACATAGTATTGGAAGTTCTGGCCAGGAAAATCAGGCAAGAGAAATAAATAAAGCGTATTCAAATCAGAAGAGAGAAAATCAAACTATCTTTTTTTGCAGATGACGTAATCCTATATCTAGAAAACCCCATTATCTCAGCTCAAAGGCTTCTTAAGCCGATAAGCAACTTTGGCAAAGTCTCGGGATACAAAATCAATGTGCAAAAATAGCTAGCATTCCTATACACCAACAACAGGCAAGTAGAGAGCCAAATCATGAATAATCTCCCATTTACAATTGTCACAAAAAGAATAAAATACCTAGGAATACAGCTAACAAGGGAAGTGAAGTTCTCCTCTTCAAGAACTACAAACCACTGCTCAAAGTAATCAGAGATGACACAAACAAATGGAAAAACATTCCATGCTCATGGAAAGAAAGAATCAATATCGTGAAAATGGCCATACGGTCCAAAGCAATTTATAGATTCAATGCTGTTCCCATAAATTACCATTGACATTCTTCACAGAATTAAAGAAAACTATTTTAAAATTTATATGGGACCCAAAAAGCTCCCAAATAGCCAAGACAATTCTAAGCAAAAATAACAAAGCTGGAGGCATCACACTACCCAACTTCAAACTATACTACAAGGCTACAATAACCAAAACAGCATGGTACTGGTACAAGAAGACCAATGGAACAGAATAGACACATAGACCAATGGAACATAATAGAGAACCCAGAAATAAGACCGTACACCTACAACCATCTGATCTTTGACAAATCTGATCAAAACAAGCAATGAGGAGAGGATTCCTTATTTAATAAGTGGTATTGGGAGAACTGGCTAACCATATGCAGAATATTGAAACTGGACCCCTTCTTTATACCATATACAAAAATGAACTCAAGATGGATTAAAGACTTAAATATAAAATGTACAACTGGCTGGGCATGGTGGCTTACACTGGTAATCCCAGCACTTTGGGAGGCAGAGGCAGGTGGATCACCTGAGGTTGGGAGATCGAGACCAGCCTGACCAACATGGAGAAACCCTGTCTCTACTAAAAATACAAAATTACCTGGGCGTGGTGGCCCATGCCTGTAATCCCAGCTACTCGGGAGGCTGAGGCAGGAGAATCACTTGAACCCGGGAGGTGGAGGTTGCAGTGAGCCAAGATCGCGCCATTGCCCTCCAGCCTGGGCAACAAGAGTAAAACTCCATCTCAAAAACAAACAAAAAAACAAACAAAACCTAAAATTATAAAAACTCTAGAAGAAAATCTAGATAATACCATTCAGGACATAGGTATAGGCAAAGATTTCATGACAAAGACACCAAAATCAATTGCAACAAAGCAAAAATTGACAATGGGATCTAATTAAACTAAAGAGCTTCTGCACAGCAAAGGAAACTATCATCAGAGTGAACAGACAACCTATAGAATGGGAGAAAATTTCTGCAATCTATCCATCTGACAAAAGTCTAACATCCAGCATCTACAAGGCACTTAAACAAATTTACAAGAAAAAAACAAATAATCCCATTAAAAAGGACATAAACAGACACTTCTCAAAAGAAGACATACATGCAAAACATAGGAAAAAAAGCTCAACATCACTGATCATTAGAGAAATGCAAATCAAAACCCCAATGTGATACCATCTCAAGCAAGTCAGAATGAAGATTATTAAAAAGTCAAAAAACAACAGAATGCTGACAAGGTTGTGGAGAAAAAGGAACACTTTTACACTTTTGGTGAGAGTGTAAATTAATTCAGCCTTTGTGGAAGACAGTGTGGTGATTCCTCAAAGACCTAGAGGCAGAAATACCATCTGACCCAGCAATTCCATTACGGGGCATATACCCAAAGGAATATAAATTATTATAAAGATACATGCAATAATTGTATGTTCATTGCAGCACTATTCACAATAGCAAAGACATGGAATCAACCAAATGCCCATCAATGATAGACTGGATAAAGAAAATGTGGCACATATACGCCATGGAATACCATGCCACCATAAAAAGGAATGAGATCGTGGTTTTTGCAGGGACGTGAATGGAATTGGAAGCCATTATCCTCAGCAAACTAATGCAGGAACAGAAAACCAAGTATTTCATGTTCTCACTTATAAGTGGGAGCTGAATGATGAGAACACATGGATACATGGTGAGGAACAAAACACAACTGGAGCTTGTCAGAGGGTGTGAGGTGGGAGGAGGAAGAGCATCAGGAAGAATTGCTAATGGATGCTGGGCTTAATACCTAGGTGATGGTATTTCTGGTAGTTAGGCATGAGTGGATCAGGAGAGGGCTCTTTTCCACCCACTGGGAATGTCGAGTGATGGTTTGGCAGTTATCACATTGCCTTTCTAAAAGCAATGAATTGGAAGCCAGTGCCAGGAAGGAGCCATTTCCTGATGGTCAACACCTGCCCAACTAAAGTGCTAATTGGATTCATATGCCAGGGAGAAACAACTTCCCAGCACATGCATTAAGACAAAATGGTGGAGTATGACCTTCCGAGGGCATACCGCCAGCAAAGGGAAGAAAGTCTCAGATGGTCATGCGTACAACTTCCTAACCACACTGTACGTGCTCTCCTCCCAACGGTAAGGAGGGCACTGTGCATGCTGGCAGCCCACCCTAAGGGAAGAATCATGGGAAAGGGGCCAGCCTGGAAAGTCCTAGGATCAAGGTTAAACAGAGCACTTGATCTGAGTGCCCACTTGGGTCTCTTCCAAGCATAGTTTTCTTTCTTTCTTTCCTGTTCTAAAGCCTTTTAAAATAAACTTCCGCTCTTGTTCTGAAACTCGCCTTGGTCTCTTTTTCTGCCTTATGCCTCTCTGTCTAATTCTTTCTTCTGAGGAGGCAAGAATTGAGGTTGCTGCAGACCCATACGGATTCACCTCTGGTAATTCGGATACCTTCCACCAGTAACAATGGGATGATCTGGGCAGCAAACCACCATGGCACACATTTACCTGTGTAACAAACCTGCACATCCTGCAAATGTACACCTGAACTTAAAATAATAGTTGGGGAAAAAAATTTTAAGTACGATCCTCCCCCCCCACCAAAAAAAAAAAAAGAAATCTGTGAGAATTCTTCAAATGTGACACGAAGACATGAAGTGAGAACATGCTGTTGGAAAAATGGTGCCAATAGACTTGCTGGATGCAGGGTTGCCCCAAGCCTTCAATTCGTGAAAAATGTAGTATGTGTGAAGTGCAACAAAGCAGAGAGCAATAAAATGAGGTATGCGTGTCCTTGATGATCTTATCAAGTTTGAGGAGTGAGCTCCCTGGCTTAGTCAGGGAACCACACGTGGAGGGTTACAAGCTATGTCAAAGGACTAGGGGATAAAAACCAAGCACAGTACAAATGGTTTTTAAGAGCCTGCATCATTCAGGAAGTTGCCAGAAGGAAGTGAGGACTTAAGGATAAATATTAATCGTGCTGGCATAAAAACAGACACACAGACCAGTGGAACAGAATAGGGAGGCCAGAAATCAATCCAACATATATGGTCTACTAATTTTCCACAAGGGCACCAAGAGGATATTTGCCTCTTCAATAAATGGTGCTAAGGAAACTGGATTTCTACATGCAAATAAATAAAATTGGGACTTTATCTTACACCATACATACAAATTAACTCAAAACATATAAAATACCTGCATGTAAGACCTGAAACCATAAACTTTTTAGAAAAAAATGTAGGAGACAAGCTCCTAGACATTGGTTTTGGAAATGATTTTTTTTTTTTTTTTTTGAGATGGAGTCTTGCACTGTTGCCCAGGCTGGAGTGCAGTGGTGGGATCTTGGCTCACTGCAAGCTCCACCTCCCGGGTTCACGCCATTCTTCTGCTTCAGCCTCCCGAGTAGCTGGGACTACAGGCGCCCGCCACCACGCCCAGCTAATTTTTTGTACTTTTTTAGTAGAGATGGGGTTTCACCGTGTTAGCCAGGATGGTCTTGATCTCCTGACCTCGTGATCCGCCCGCCTCGGCCTCCCATGATTTGTTAAATATTACACCAAAAGCTCAGGCTACTAAAGCAAAAATAAATAAATAAATGGGACTACATCAAACTAAAAGGCTCCTGCACAACAAAGGAAAAAACCAGCAAAATGAAAAGGCAACCTACAGACTGGGAAAAAATATTTGCCAACCACATATCTAATAAGGGGTTAATGCCCAAAATGTATAAGGAACTCTTACAACTCAATAGGAGAAAAACAAATAATCCAATTAAAAATGGGCAAAGGACTTGAACAGAATTTTCTCCAAAGAAGACATAAAAATGGCCAACATGTATATGAAAAAGTGCTCAACATCACAATCAGGGAAATGCAAATTAAAACCACTATGAGATAATGCCTCACACCTGTTAGGGTGGCTGTTATCAAATAGATGAGAGACAACAAATGTTGATGGGAGTGTGGAGAAAAGAAAACCGTCGTACATTGCTGGTGGGAATGAAGATTGGAACATTATAAAAAAAACAGCATGGAAGTTCCTAAAAACATTAAAAATAAAACTATGACATGATCCAGCAGTTCCTCTTCTGGGGATATACCAAAAAAGAGATGAAATCACCGCCTTGTAAAGATATCTACACTCCCATGTTAATTGCAGCATTATTCATCATAATTAAGAGATGGAAACAACTTAAGTGTCCACTGGAGGATAAATGGATAAAGAAAATGTGGCATATGTATATCAGTGGAAAGTAACCACTATACTATCTATACATGTCTCATAACATCATGTTGTAAACCTCAAATATACCAAATACAATTTATTTTTACTAAAAGGATAAGCAAATCATAGAGAAGTGGTTGAACTCCTCCCCCAAAAAGCACACATACAGGTGCTCCAAGGCAGACCAAAGCACACAGCCTGGGCTGAGAAGGGGACTAGGTCCCTAAGGGAAGACGTTGGGACAAGAGCCACTTACTCTAATCCTGTGGTGTCAAAGCAGGACCTGAATATGCCAGGCTGGCCAGTGGGGTCCACAGAAACTGAAGAGCACATGTCCAGTCCAGCCTCACAGCTGCCCTGCAAAAATTTGGGGTGGCTCTTGCCAGATTTACCTATTTTTCAATAGAAATGGAAACACCGGACTCTTCATTCTAAAATGTTGATACTTAATGTTTACAAAACGTTAACACTACAAGTGAAACAAAACATGTGCATGGGCCAAATTGACCCCAGGTAGACAATCTATGACTCAGGATTAGGTCCACATGGCACAGTCACCTACAGAGAATTGTCTGTGTCAAATCGGAGTCCGGCAGCCACCACTCAGGACGCTTTTCTATGCATGTACAGATATTCTTTACTTGTGAGTTGGGAGGGCTGATGCCCTGGATCTCAACAAACATTAACCAAAACAGATGAAGGTGACATGGTGATGGATTACTGCTGGGACTGTCTTCATCATGAGGTGACGTCCTCATTCTTCCCTAAGGCAGGCAGAGCTCAAACAAAGTCGCTGCCTCATTTCCACAGAACTCCTTGCTGCTTGGAGGGCCGCTGCCTCCTTCACACTGTCCCCAGGAGCAGCGCTGTGGAGCTGCCCCGTGTCACTTGAAGGGCGTCAGCACCACTGTGTGGTCAGGCTTCATAGCTCCGCACAGGCTGCTGGAATAAACCAGAACCCAGAAAATGTGATTTTCTTAAGTTGCATTGATGACAACTGAATTGAATTGAATTAAAAATACAATTAGCTTGATATGTATACAAATTCAGTGGGAAATGCTTTTGTAGATTCAAAGAATCTTTTGGGGAAGTAGGTAACCCATGCCCAGCCTGAATTTCTAAATTCTTGTATACATTCAGAATGATGAGTACCAGGTTTTCTGAATCACAAAGCTGAACGTGTGAGCAAGAGGTCCAAGGGCACACATTTAGACTTTGCTTCAGGAGTGGGAATTCCCCTCACCAATAACCACATGAATCTCAGGGCAGAGTTGGGGGAAGAAAGTTAAGAACCATATACACATAAAAAGAATGAGCTTATTAAGGAAAAAAATAACTTTACTTTAAAAATTATTATTTTAAATTATTAATTATTTAAAATCATTTGATTAAAATTATTAAATATTACATATGTTTAAAATATAAATTATGATCTATCTTAATTTCTGTTTAAATTAATTAAAATATTAAATGATTATATGTATCAATCTTCATAATTATTAAAATATTGTTTGTTTAAAATGAATAACAACAGAAAACAAACTTCATAAATATCAAAAACAACAGATTTCTTCTATAACAATATAGATCATTGTATAGATGTGTTCAAGAAGAGAGGGAACAAAAGAACTGGGGGTGAAATGGGAAAGAAAGACAAGGAGTTTTGGGGGACAAATATAAAACTGTCTATGGTTAAAGACTCCACTCCTCCAAGCTGTTGAAGCTGCCAACCAGATGGAATTCTTAGCGAGCCATTAAGCCTCTTTTAGTCCCAGCTTCCTTTCCTGCAAAAACGGGAATTACATAGCTGACCCTATCTGTCTACCAAATATGCTGTCAAAAGGCTTAATAGGATTTTTGTGAAAGCATTGGAAAATTATAAAGTATATAAGACATTATGGCATTTACAATAATATAGCTTTAGTAATATACATGGAAAAAAACATAGAAGAGGACAAAAGTAGATTGAGGGGGCCAAAGAGTGGCATGGGTGGCTCTTCTGGTTCTGCCTGCTGTGATGTGGCCATCAGAACAAATTTTCTCCAGCTATCTCTTGCCTGTAAAATTCAAGTTGTCTCAGTAGTCTTTTGAATGGTCCTGATCAGCTTTATTTCAGACTTTATACTTTACATTTTACTTTTATTTTTCTGAATCTCACCCTGTTGCCCAGGGTCTCACTCTGTTGCCCAGGCTGGAGTACAGTGGTGCGATCACAGCTCACTGCAGCCTCCACTTGCTGGGCTTAAGTAATCCTCCCACCTCAGCCTGCCGAGTAGCTGGGACTACAGGCACACGCCACCATGCTTGGCTAATTTATTAATTTTTTTGTAGAGATGAGGTCTCACTATGTTTTCCAGGCTGTTTTCAAAATGAAGCTCAAATTATGCACCCGCCTCAGCCCTCCAAAGTGCTGGGATTACAGGTGTGCGCCACTGTACCTGGTCCAAAGTTGACATTTTAAATAATGCCTGTCCTGACATGGAGTGTTGAAAAGTGTTACGTGTATGAAGAAATTTAGACATTTACATTGATGTGAACTTTGAATTTCTGTGACATTGAAGATTCCTTATCCATTACTTTTTATCAGAGATTGTTTTCCTCCCACTGTAAGTGCCTAAGAGTTAGATTCAGGATCAGCCTTTGCTTAGTTACTCTATATTATTGCTTGTATAGCTTAAATGTATGTATGGCAGTTCTAAGGAAGAACAGTGTGTAGGTAAAAGCAGCCTGAAACCATGAAATTCAGGATAGACACAGCCTCCTTGACCCACAGTTACTCTGGTACAATGACACTGTCAAACACTACTTTCATCTTATCACTTCTTATGGTTCTCCAGTGACTTAAAGGAATCCAAACTCTTTGTGGCAAACCAACCTCTTAACTGTCTTGCTCCAACCCACTTTTCCATCTAGTTCTGCAATCAGCCTAGGATAATACAGCATAACACTATATAGCAGCCCAGAAAGCAAATGGTTTAGACTGTATGTGGAGAATGGGCACTACAGGGGGGTCTTTAGAGAAATATAAACAATAATAAAATGATAGACCATCTGATATTCTTCAGCATTTACAAAAATCCATTGATAGCTAAATAATCCAAAGCAGAAAAAAAATTAAGTCTCAGTATATAGAAAGGAAAACCATGATAATTTCAGGAAAACAAAACATTTTGCAAGAATGAAAACATGATAATAGTGTATTACTTAGGTTTTGCAATCAATGTTATTTACAGGAACCTACTAACGTCAATTACCTGTACCTTTATTGCTTTGGCTAAAAGTGGGATATAACTACCATGGGATTGGAAAGAAAGGAAGAAGGGTAGGGAATAGAGAAGTACTAAATTTCCATCTAGCATAACAGAAAATCAATAGATAATGTTCCAGTTAACAAAAATAGTTCTGTAAGTATACTATTTAGAAATCTAGAAATAAATGTCATCTCGTTCATTATACCGATTATAAAGGTCTATTTTCATATTCTAGATACTCAATTTGAAAATGTCTTGCTTTTCCAGGAAGCTTTACACAGCCAATTGCCAATTTCTCAAGGCACCCTATACACCTAGGTTAAGGTTCTTTGTTTCAGAAAATGGATCTGAGTGCCTATTTTGAGTCTTTTCTTGATAATTTTGAATTCTTTGGACCAACTTCTTATAAAATATAAACGGTTTTTTTTCTACCATATCATTATAGAGTTGACAAATCACTCTGGGACCACTTGTCCATGGTGTCACTTTCTGGTTGGTTGTTCATTGGGCTTGCATGATGAGTGTTGACTTGTCTATTCCATGAGGATCCTTTCAGTGAAATTCGGCAATATGATCTTGAAAACCACTTCCGTGGTCACATAGAAACAACAATGCCTTGGAAACTCACCAGAGAACAAATGAATGAGGGACACTGTCACCCCCTGCCCTGCGATGTTGTGGAACTCTTTCCTTGGGGTTGGCAGTGACATGAGGCAACTGACCTAATGATAGTGTCAGTGGTGGCCCCTACATATAACATTAGTCACAATTTGTTTATTTTTAATATAAAGATTAAATATGCACAGACGTTCTCTATTTTTACCCTTCATTCTAGTGAACTGCCTTTCATACCCCACTCTGGATTGCAAGGTGTGTCTTTAAAGGGCCAATCTCCATGCTCTGCTTCTCAGCATTTTGCAAAATGTCCCTGAGTCAGAAGGGAGGGAGCATGGGCCACTGAGGTCTCTGAAGGAAAAATGGAGCTTTGGCCAGGGTGGAGCAAGGGAGTCATTTCCTTGAGTTCTTTTGCTTTACCTTAAAATTTTATGCAGTTTGTTTTCTATTTAAGAATGTTATACCTATGCATGCATTAAGCAAACACATTTGCATCAAACTCAAAGTGATAATTCAGGCAGAAGCCTGCTTGTTGTTCTAGTATCTCGTTTTTGAAGCATATCTGTAGGATAAAGGAATAAGGGTGATTTGAAATTATCACTAAGGAAAGCCAGCTATTGACCAAATTCATTCAAATGTCCTCCAGGAAATATTTTTTATTTGAATCACAATGGCAGTTTCTTACATTTTCTTTGCCCTCAGCCTATTCTCCCATTTTTCTGGCACCTTCATCAGGAGCTTCCTGTGGTAGTCAGCCTCCCATGGCCCCCAAAGATCCTCAATCCTGGATGTCTGTGCCTTGCTCAGACCCCTCCCATACTGAGCCAGGGCTGCCCTGGGTGGTGCATTCAATACGGGGAAGGTGATGATGCATAACTGCAGAGGTGAGGCCATGAGGGGCACTGCAGTACCTGCCTGCTTCTTCCAACAACTTGCTTACTCTGTGGAAGTGAAGCAGAATATTCAATGGCTAAGGGAGTACAAAGGTTCATATGTCCGCATTTGTCAATCTATTTGGGAGATGCAAAGACATCCACCAGAGAAGTTTTAATTTCCACTTCGCACTGAGTTAATACCATTAGATTGGATGAACATTGAACACATGAATGCACCCTAATTTTATGTGTATTTATTCATTTCTTGGCGAGTCTAGGGACATAGGATATCACTGTATTGCCCTCAGGCACCATTCGGCCCTGCTAAGTGCTTGTGATCATAATGTAGGAAGCCCAGCCAATGGTGCGCTTCTATTTGCATCTTTGTGAAGGATCAACTTCCGCCCCTAATGCCATTAAAACCAAGCACACAAATAAACCCTTGATCACAGAATCACAAAATGTAAATCAAGATTTTCAGAAACAATGCATCCATATATAATTAGAGCCCTGTCAAGAAAAAATGGCATTTTTATTTGGTAATACATCAAGGGCTTTTGGTACCGTTAATAAAGTAAAACAATTTATTTTCATTATTGTTTATTTTGTCTTCATCTCATACTTTTAAATCTTGTTTGTTTCATAATAGGTATTAGTATAGTAATACACTTGAACAAAATTTGTCAGTAAATAAATGCATCTATATCTGTGGTATGTATTCAAAGCTTTGTGTAATGCATGTAAGGTCAAAAAAGTTTGGGGAGCACTGAGATTATAAGCTATCATTTTTTCAGGGTTTTTTTATTAGACAGGGTCTCGCTCTGTTGCTGATGCTAAAATGCAGTGGTGCAATCATAGCTCACTGCAGCCTCAAATTCCCAAACTCAAGCGACCCTCCTGCCACAGCTTCTCAAGTAGCTGGGACTACAGGCACACACCACCATACCCAGCTATTTAATTTTTTTTCTTTTTAGTAGAGATGAGGACTGCATTACTGTGATGAGGTCACACCATGTTGTCCAGGCTGGTCTCGAACTCCTGAGCTCAAGTCATCCTCCTGCCTCAGCCTTCCAAATTGCTGGGATTACAATTGTGAGCCACCACACCCAGCCACTTTTCAGTGTTTGCATAGGAAATTCTTGGACTAGGGATTGCTCTGTCTAAGATGGCCTAGAAGGAGCCACATTATAGCCTTACTGCTCCTCCCTGTTCACAGCTATGGTCTTAATATCAAATGTGAATTTACACACTTTATCTCCTTTAGTTCCATGAGGTAATAATTAGCTGTGTTTTACAGATGAGAAAATTGAGAGTCTCTCGGTTTAGTAACTGGGGCTATATTTAACTATAAGTGAACCCAGGTCATACTGACTCCAAAGCACATGTTCTTATTATTACCCTGCCTTGAGTTTCCATAAGAGTAGGACTTCTTACAACTCAATTTTTCATTCCATGCATATTCTGCTTTACTATCCCTAAGACGTATAGTTTTTTGACACTTGAAAATCTCAGAAGTTAGGCTGCATCTTATAACTGAGGGGGTCTCAGCCCTGCTCCTGCCCAAGTGGCAGTCCTAATGCAGGAGTCGCTGTCTGTACACATGGCCTGTGCATGCTTTCTGACATTCTGGGAGCGTGAACGGTCTACTGTAACTGCACGTGGTTTCAGCCCACAAGCAATTTAAGGACATGGGAATCCGGCGTGTTGAGAAACATGATCTTTTTTCTAGGTTTAACACCGTTGCTTCCTTTAACCATTCCTAATGGGGTTTTCCTAATAAACCATGCCCAGTTTATTTCATGTCTTTGTTCCATTTCTTTCATCTGTATAGAATGTTCTTCCCTCATTCTCTTTCTGGTTTGTTCTCCTCCAAGACTCAGAGTTCAAGAGTCAGATTTAAGAGTTACCTTCACACTAGGCACGGTGGCTCATGAGCTTGAATCCAGGAGTTTGAGACCACCCTGGGCAATATAATGAGACCTTGTCTTTATGAACTTTTTTTTTTTTGAGACAGGGTCTTGCTCTGTCGCCCAGTCTCGAGCGCAGTGGTGCAATCATGGTTCACTGTGGCTTCAACCCCTCTGGGCTCAAGTAATCCTCCTATCTCAGCCTCTGAAGTAGCTGGGATCACAGGCGCATTTCACCACATTCAGCTAATTTTTTTAATTTTTAGTAGAGACAAGGTCTCACCATGTTGCCCAGGCTGCTCTCAAACTCCTAGACTCAAGCAATCTACCCACCTCAGCCTCCCAAAGTGCTGGGGTTACAGGTGTGAGACATCGCATCTGGCCCCCCAAAAATTAAAAAATTAGCTGAGTGTGGTGCTGTGAGCCTGTAGTCCCAGTTACTGGGGAGGCTGATGTGGGAGGATTTCTTGAGCCTTCAAGGCAGAGGCTGCAGTGAGTCGAGATTGTGCCACTGCACTACAGCTTGGGCAACAGAGTGAGACTGTCTCAAAAAAAAAAAGAGTCACGTTCTTGGTAAAGCAGTCCCACAGCACTTAACTAACACAGGTTTCTCCCCTCTCAGTGTCCACTATCACACTTTCAGCTCTTAGAGAGGGGGCCTCAGCCATCGCTATGGCCCTGAACATATAGAACATGTGTAGGTACCACCCTGGACCCTCATAAAGCCTTCATCCCACACATCCCAATCTCTCTCTCTCATGCCCCACCCACTAGTTGAGCTTGCATGTCATGGACGGAGCCCCTTTCTTCCTGTTGGCCTTGCAGTGTGCCCTTCAGTGTGCCCTGCAGGGCAGCGTGCCACTGCCCTGTTCTGTCTGCGATCTGTATGTGATGAACTGCTTCTGTTTCTTCATGGGCTCTGTGCAACTGCTCTTCTGTGTCTCCCCTGACTTCTCTCCTGCTCAGGGCTCTCCTAGAGAGCGGCCATCTTGGTGGGAATAAACTGCACACAGGTCAGACAGAAGCCACAAGGGGACCTACCAGTATCAACAGGTGTTCTGTGAGAGGGACCCCTGGCCGTGGGTCACACATTTAAGCATTAGGTTGTCTGCCAGAATAAAGAGGTACTCCACGAAAGGCTCACTGTAAACATCCATGATGAAGTTCCCTGGAGCGCTTCAAGGGCAGGGCTAAAGTTTGTGGCCACTCTCCTGAGAGAGACCACAAGACCAAATTAGAGTAAAACACAACACCTACTGACCAGGGTGTCAACGGTGAAGGGGTCAAAAACACCGCTAAAGAATAGCCTAAGGCTGAGAGTCCTGAAGGAAGAAACACACTTCAAAGGGGGGCCGATTTGTGTCCCCCAGAATACATGCACTGAAGTCCTACTGAGAAGGTGACCTTATTTGGAAGTGAAGCCATCACGGATATAATTAATTAAGTTAGGATAAGGTCATGTGGGAACAGGGTGTGCCCCTGATCCAATGTGACTCGTGTCCCTTATGGAAGAAGGAAATGTGGACACAGACATGCACACAGGGAGAACACCATGTGCAGATGAAGGCAGTGATCGGGATGTTTCCACAAGCCAAGGAATGCCAAAGATTGCCAGCAAAGCCCCAGAAGCAGGAGCAGAGTCTCTCTCCCAGCCCTCTGAAGGAACTAACGCTGCCCATACCTCCTACTTAGTTATGCAGCCTCCAGAATGGGAAGACAATGCATTTTTGTTGTTTAAGTCAGCCAGTGCGTGGTACTTTGTTACACCAGCCCTACAAAACAACTGCAGAAGCCTCCTTCCCCAAAACTGCTAGTCAGGCCTCACTGGGAAGGTGTGGCTGCTACCCGATGGATGATAGATTAGTTTCCTGAACTGACCCAGGTCAGAATTGGTCCAAGTCACAGGGCTGAGCTGGCAGGAAACAGCCACTGCCTCTCTCAGGCTGGCAGAGGAAGCTTCCAAAAGCCTCCTGCTGGTGCCCGTGGGCTGTGGCTGATAGGCAGGAAAGGGCAACATGGAACTCACTAAGAACTGTAGGGTGCCACCGAAGCTTGGTTCGGGGAGTACCAGTGGATGCCCACCTCCTATGTCACTGGTAGCCGTGCAGGAGGAGCAATGAGAAAGGAAAGGAAGCGTGCTGGGTGCTAGGAAGAGAAGCCCCTTCCTCCTGCATTGGTCCCGCCAGTGCCCTGTATGCACACACAAAGGAGAAACTCACAGTGCTCGGCTTCAGGGTGGGTAAGCGACAAAGAGTCCATTTAGAGCAGAGGGGCAATAAATTGATAGCCAGCTCACCCCTTCTTCCCTTCAATGTATTTAAAGAATATAAAACAGAATGTATGATTTTGAGAAGGATTTGTTTCCACCAAGGAAGTGGCCAAACAAGGGCTGGGGGGCCACATGGCAAACCTGTTCTCCACGGGGGTTCTTAAGATTTTTTTGGTGCCATGAGCTTCTTTGACTGTCTGGTGAAGCCTGTGTATCTTTTCTCAAAATAATGTTTTTAATATGCATAGTCTAAAATACATAGAATTACAAAGAAACCAATGAAATCAAAACAAAGTAATGTAAATTATTAAAAAAAAAAACAAATTTGTGGCCAGTTGCTGTGGCTCACGCCTGTTATCTCAGCACTTTGGGAAGCCACAGCAGGAGGATCACTTGAGGCCAGGAGTTCAAGACCGTCCTCGACAACATCGCAAGACCTCGTCTCTACAAAATTTTTTAAAAAATTAGCCAGGCATGGTGTGCACACCTGTAGTCCTAGCTGCTTGGGAGGCTGAGACGGTAGGATCACTTCAGCCCAGAAGTTTGAGGCTGCAGTGAGCTGTGATTACGCCACTGCACTCCAGCCTGGGTGGCAGAGTGAGACCCTGTCTCAAAAAAACAAAACAAAACAAACAAAAAGCAAAACCAAATTTGTGATATAGTTTGATGATTAATTCTATGTGTGAACTTTATGGCATCATGCGGAGCCCAGAGAGCTGGCTAAACATGATTTCTGGGTATGTCTGTGAGGGTGTTTCCAGATGAGGTTAGAATTGAATGGCAGCCTCAGTAAAGCATTGTAGATGGGCATCAGCCAATCTATTGAGGGACCGAATACAACAAAAAGCTGGAGGAAAGGGGAATTTGCTCGCTGTGCCTAACTGTTGAGCACAGACATCTGTCTTCACCCTTCAGTGGAAACTTACACCATTGGTCCCCTGGTTCTCAGAACTGTACCACCAGGCTCCCCAAGTCTCTAGCTTGAAGATGGCAGGTTGTAGGACTTCTTGACCTCCATGATTGTGATAGACAATACCTTATTTTATTTATACACAGACACAGACACACACAAACACAAATACACACGCACATATATATGTATACAGGATAAAATTCCTAAAAAGGAAAATAACTCAAAGTTTAGACAGGGTTTCATTTTAACATTAATGCATTTTGCGTGGTTTTTTTTTAAGTGGAGTCCTTATTTAACAGGAGGAATGGGCCCTCCTGCCTCCCTGCTTCCATAACCCCGGGATAGACTTCGCCGCCTGTGGAGTCATCACACCACACTGTCATTAGTGCCCATGTCGATGTTCTCCTCCCTGGACTGAGCTCCCAGGGAGCAAGAATTGACATGCTGCATCATTCCTACCCCACCAACCAGCGCAGCGCCTCCTCCGTGCCAGGGCTCCACAAGTATTTGTTGGATGAAGAGTACACAACAAGAAAGTACGCCAGCACCTATATCTTTTTTCCTTTTTCAGGAGGCTACCCCAAGGGAGAGTGGAATTGAGCAAAAATGGAATGTGCAGCCTGGGGACTTTAGGTCTGTGTTCCAGCCTGTGCCTGCCAGCCTTGGCCGCTCTGCCCTAACTTCTAGTTCTGCCTTCTGGGATGTTGCTTTGCATAAGCAGGATAGGGCAGATATCTATATCTATAGATAGATATAGATATAGATATAGATATAGATACACATTTATATTATAGTAATATATATTATATAATATATAAATGTTATATATTATATAATATATAAATGTTATATTAATTATTATATAATATATATAATATTATTATATATAATATAATATAATTATTATATATAATATAATATAATTATTATATATAATATAATATAATTATTATATATATAATATAATATAATTATTATATAATTATATAATATATAAAATAATTATATAATTAATATATAATGTATTTACATTGTATATATTATTATATATGCACATATGCATATAAAATATAAAATATAAGTATATTATAGGTAATATAATTATATATAACAAAATTTTATATATAATATAAAATTTGTGGGTATATATATGCATATATGTACACGTACATAGTTATATATGTACACATACATTTTTTTTACCACCTCTGGAGAACTGTAATACACAAGTGCTTCTATATTACCGCACTAAAAACCAAGATCTAGCAGTGGGTTCAATAGCTACATCATTTCTAAGTAGTGATGAGTACAAATAACATCATGGGCTATTTGTAGCCACTCTGAAGTGACATGAAAATATCTGTGTTTTGAACACTTCCGCTTCCGGTTTATTTATTTTTGAGACAGAGTCTTACTCTGTTGCTCAGGTTGGAGTGCCATGGCATGATCTCAGCTCACTGCAGACTCTGCCTCCTGGGTTCAAACTATCCTCCCACCTCAGACTCTCAAGTAGCTGGGTAGCTGGGATTACAGGCGTGAACCATCACAACCAGCTATTTTTTTGTATTTTAGTAGAGAGGGGGTTTCGCCATGTTGGCCAGGCTGGTCTCGAACTCCTGGCCTCAAGCCATCTGCCTGCCTCGGCCTCCCATAGTGCTGAGATTACAGGTGTGAGCCACCATGCCCAGCCCATTTTCGGTTTTTTATTCCAGAAGTTGCTGGCTGAGGTAGCGTGTGGGTCAGTGTGCTTTCTGTGGGATTCCACCATGGTGTACCACAGCCAGGGCCAGAAAGTGCAGAAGGTTATGGTGCAGCCCATCAACCTCATCTTCAGATACTTACAAAATAGACCCTGGATTCAGGTGTGGGTCTATGAGCAAGTGAATCTGGACAGGAAGCTTTATCATTGGTTTTGATGAGTGTAAGAACCTTGTATTAGATGATGCAGAAGAGATTCATTCTAAAACAAAGTCAAGAAGACAGCTGGGTCAGATCATGCTAAAAGGAGGTACTATTACTCTGCTACAAAGTGTCTCCAACTAGAAATGATCAATTAAGTGAGAAATTGTTGAGAAGGATACACTTTGTTTTTTAGATGTCCTTTGTCCAATATGAACATTTATTCACATTGTTTGGATTACCCTTATGTCATTACAAGATGACAATAAATGCTGTAGGATTGTTTGAATTGAAAGAAAGAAAGAAAAAGAAAGGAAAGAAAGAAGAATTAAAGAAAGAGAGAGAGAGAAAGAAGGAAAGGAAGAAAGAAGGAAAGAAAGAAAAGAAAAGAAAGAGAAAGAAAGAAAGAAAAGAAAGAAAGAAAAAATATCTGTGGTTTTTATGGGTGATGTCACAGACAGTGCTAATACTGGCAATTGTTGCTTACATTCAGAATTGAAGAAAATGCTAAATTGCAGTCAGAAGTTAGTTGGAAGGAAAAAAATGATAAAATTCTTCTATTCACGTTTGTGGACCCCTGAGTTAAGCATCTCTGTGCAAGAGGCAGTTCCAGCATTAGCATTGAGGTTGACCAAGATTTCACCACATATCAGGCCGGTATTTTTGAGGTTCGCACCAGGGAAACTACCTAAACCCAAGTGTCAGCCATTTCTATGTCCTTTATATGCATCAAATACTGTTCTGGAGCAGAGGCACCTTTAGATGCCTCTCTGGATGACCCACTGAAAGGCCTCTGCTACTCCTCTTGTCTCTCCCCTGCCATAATTGCTGCCTCCTGCATGAGGAAGCAAACAAAACACAAATGCATGTGGTCTGAAATGTGAGGAAGAGGAAAGTTCCTGGCTTCACAATGCTTGCTCACATGAAAACACAATCATGTACTTCATCATTCTTGGTGGAAGAGTTGTGTGGTTCTGCCCACGCCTTCGCCAAGTGAGTCAGTCAAAGAGGAAATGCTTGTGTATTTGCATGGGTGGTGCTAGGCAGGATAACTGACCCACTGACCACTGGTGAGGATAAAGACATGACTTACTTCCTTCACTGTGTTGCACAGCTTGTAAAGCAACGTCCCAGAAGACAGAACTAGAAGTTAGGGCAGAGTGGCCAAGGCTGGCAGGCACAGGCTGGAGCAGACCTAAAGTCCCCGGGCTGCACATTCCTTTTTTGCTCATTTCCACTCTCCCTTAGGGTAGGCTCCTGAAAAAAGAAAAAAAAAGGTGCTGGCGTTAACTTTCTGGTTGTGTACTCTTCATCCAACAAATACCTGTGGAGCCCTGGCATGGAGGAGGCGCTGCGCTGGTTGGTGGGGTAGGAATGATGCAGCATGCCAATTCTTGTTTCCTGGGAGCTCAGTCCAGGGAGGAGAATATCGACGTGGGCACTAATGACAGTGTGGTGTGATGACTCCATAGGCTGCGAAGTCTATCCCGGGGCTGTGGAAGCAGGGAGGCAGGAGAGCCCTTTCCTCCCGTTAAATAAGGACTCCACTTTTTAAAAAATGACATGCAAAATACTTTAATATCAAAATGAAACCCTGTCTAAACTTTGAGTTATTTTCCTTTTTAGGAATTTTATCTTGTACAGAAACATAACCAACAAATATTTAGCCAGGAAGAAAGAAAGGAGACACAGAATGACTTGTCATCACCCTGGTGAAAGCACTCAGTTTCCACCGCCTCTCACTTCCAAGACACTTTTTGTCCAGCCCTACTCCCTGCCAAAGTCAATAAAAACACGAAGAAGTCAAAAATAAGGATAAAACAGTCTATAAAATTCCATAAAGCAACTAAATTTGAAGACAAATTCTGGTTGCCATCCCTTAGAAGTGGGTGAGTTAGTATCTGGCGATGAATGAAGGAAACCGTGACAGAAGCTCAGACCTCTGAGACAGCACTCAGCACAGCCTCTGCCCGCATGGTTTAGCAAGTGCTAGAAGCAGGGCCAAGGCCAGTGTGGCTTAGCATTCTGCTCCCTGGGGAAATCAGGCCAAGAGACATCGCAGCGCTCAGCGTTTGGGTGAAACATGGAGATCTTTCCACTAATGTTGATGGAGGGACAGCCTCTTACATGTCTTCTCCATGACTACCCATTGTTTTTCTGGGTGGAAAAATAGGAGAGGGAAGCTTGGGTTGATAACCTGGACACTAGCACAAGTGGCCACCTGCATGGCAACCAAGTAGTTAACACATTTCTGAGGGCAGCTTTGGGAAAGTAACGGGTGCTAGCAATGCCACCTCTCCTTTCTCTGCCAAATATGAGAGTAAATTAATTGTCCAGTTTGCACATTTTTAGAGAGTGTTATGATAGAAACCAGTCCATCCATTTTTCTACCATTGGGCGTATATTTGGCCTCACCTGGCAGTGCCTGAAGAAAAAAATTGATTTCTTGGTTTGTGAAAATCATTCTTTACATACCTTTTGAAAAGATTCCTGCAAGGAACGCTATGCATTTTCTCCAATTTTGGAGGGGAAAAATATCTGCAAGGAAAGTTTGAGTATTTGTAACAATCCTCCACGATCCGACCAGCATGAACCCCTCATCAAACGTTCTTTTGTGGGCTACTCCCTTAAACCTCAAAGCCAGCAGGGGAGGAACCCTAGGGAGGGAGAATGGGAGGTCCCTGATGGCTGGCGCAACCACAGTCTCCATCTGTCCTGACAGCGCAGAGAAATACTACCACGGGACTCAGCAAAGCCCAATTCCATACGTTTGGAGCTGGGACTAACTAGGAAGTGCCTAGGTGCCAAAGTAAATGAGCTTCCTCCCTGGGGTGGTGCCAAGGCCCTGAATTTAGACCACAGCTGAAAGGGCCCTTGGAAAACTTGTGGAAAGCTCCCCTAGGAAGATGGAAGAAATGCACACACTGTCCCTGTGTCCGGCACTGAATCTGCTCTGCAGATCACTGCAGGGTATTGCAAGAGCTGCAGCCATCTCATGTGGAGCCTTCTTCTGGTCTCTAGGTGGACTCTGGCAGCCACTGGGGCCCTTGCAGATGTAGTGAACCATTCTGCAGGGACGAACTCAAACCAAAAGAAAGGATAACTTGTTTTTGGTCCAAGCTTCAGGTCCCAGATATGGGGCAACTTAGAATGTCTCCCTCTTTATCCACCTTTCCTCCAAACCTACCATTACCCACTGCTTCTTTATTTTCTTCAACTTTTAAGTTCAGGGGTACATGTGCAGGATGTGCAGTTTTGTTACATAGGTAAACGTGTGCCATGGTTGTTTCCTGCACAGGTCGCCCATCACCTCGGTATTAAGCCCAGCATCCATTAGTTATTCTTCCTGATGCTCTCCCTCCTGCCATTCCCCACTCTGATGGGCCTCAGTGTGTGTTCCTCCCCACCATGTGTCCATGTGTTCTCATCATTTAGCTCCCACTTCTGAGTGATAACATGTGGTGTTTGGTTTTCTGTTCCTGCATTAGTTTGCTGAGGATGATAATAGTTTTCAACTCCATCCACGTCCCTGTAAAGGACGTGGTCTCATTCTTTTTATGGCTGCATAGTATTCCATGGTGTATATGTATCATATTTTCTTTACTCAATCTATCATTGATGAGCATTTGGGTTGATTCCACATCTTTTCTATTGTGAATAGTGCTGCCATGAACATACGCATGCATGTATCTTTATAACAGAATGATGTATATTCCTTTGGGTATATGCTCAGTAATGGGATTGCTTGGTCAAATGGTGTTTCTGCCTCTAGATCTTTGAGGAATTGCCACACTGTCTTCCACAATAGTTGAACTAATTTACACTCCCACCAATACCCACTGCTTCTAAAACAATCTCTTGAAATAGATTTTCACCTTGGCACATGGGATAGAAGCCAAGAGGAGGCTTATTGGAGCTAGAAGAGGACTGGAATTAGCCAATGGGGAAGTGGGTGAAATGAATCTCAGAAGAGCTATTCCAGAGGACAAAGGGACAGTGAGGTCCCATCTTCTGATGTGCCCTAATGACCTCGGTGTGGAAACCCCAAACCCTATCCCTCCACCTGTCAAGAAGAGAGAGAGGTCAGCCTCCAGCCTGCCTCAGCTGTCCTGCGCCTGCCCCAGTGCCTACATGGTCTTCAGAGAGAGAGGCCTTGTCTTCCTGAGGGAGACGTTCCCAGGTCTGCCCTCCCAGGCAGCTGCATGAGACAGATGGCATCCAGGCTACGATGGAAGGGAGGGGAGAGGCCAGGACCAGTGCAAAGTCCCTAACTTCCCCTGCATGGCTTCGCTGAGTTCTGACCAGAGTTCCTACGGTGGGGGGAGCTTGAGCCCTTTCTGAGCTTAGAGTGTAAACTCTAACCAGCCTGGCTAAGCAGGACTTGAAGCAGCTGCCAAATGAAAAAGACCTGCCAGTTCCCCACCTAGGTGGATACCCAGTCACCCCCATGAAGTTTCAGGGACCCTTCCTAGTGACTCCATTTTAAGGCAAGTAGTCACTAATTACCCGGGGACATTGTTGGTCAAGCAGATCAAAGAGGTTACTTGCTTTCAGAGATGGGACAAACTGGAAGTTCTCAGCATTCTCTTACCTCTATTACAGGACCTTTAGACTAATGACATATTTAATTAAACAGGAGCATGTATGAGAGATAGCAACATGTCCTCCAACAGAATTTCAGCCAATCTGTGTCACTTTCAAATGTGGTTTTACATTGATTTGTTAGGACTTGATGGTTTAGGAAAAGGCAAAGGAAGAAATGATATGCTTTGCAGGTTTAAACTGCTAGATGGGTCCCCTTCCTCCGGGATCTTCTGTGATTCTGAGATCCGATGCCTTAACTAAGGGCATTCTGGGCTGTCAGGAAGGGGTGGTGTTGACTGGAGTTACTTGAGTCTTGCTGAAGGAGGCTTGACTTCAGATGATAAAATTCAGACAGACAGAGAAAGAAGAATGTGGGGAGGACTCTAGGATAGGAAGAAAATTCAAGCACGGATGAAATAGGAGTCACCATGCGATATTCAGGAGACATTGAGGGGACATTGAGATATTCAGGATGAATCGTTATTTACTGAAGGAGCCTGTGGTAAATAAGAGGTTTTTCTCTATGTGGAGGCACTAGAGCCAGGGGAATCCACGTTCAGCTAGATCATTGAGTTCTGAATCTTCCCTCTCCAAAACCCCTGTTAGCTCCACACATTCCAAAGCTCTGAAATGAAACAGCTACAGAATCTTTCTCTCCCTTTCCCTGCCTTGACTACTGCCAATCAGGGCAGGCATTCTTGCAAATACTTTATAATTGAAGGAGGAAAACAATGCCCTGGCTCCAAAGTGGCATTGAGGACACAAGCTGTGACTAGTTTCTGATTTTCCTCCCTGTTGGGTGGGCTTGAGTCATTGATGTGGTCCATGTGGCTGCTGCCCTACCCTCATCTTTACTGTTGCCTGGGAGGTGGCAGGAGAATCTTCTATGAGTGAGGAAAATATCACCCTCCGCCTGTGCCTTATTGGATACAGTTGGGTCCTGTGGCCACTAATGGCTGCAAGGGAAGCTGGCAAAGGGGGCTTGGGAGGGAGGGGCCGACACAGCTGCCACTGGTTTGAGCCAATTACGATTCATGTCCTGGGACTGGAAATAATGAGGCCAAACAAAGCAGAGATTCTGCCATCAGACAGCAGAGGGGTGGCTTTCGCAGAAAGGTCAGTGGGGCAGGCAGGTCTTTTCCCGGCACCTGCTATGTGCACAAATAATGACAATGAGGCTGAGCAGTGAAAGGACCTGCCTGGGGTCACAGAGCAAGCACAACTCCAGAGCACACCACCTCCAGGCTGGGCGCTGTCTTTTCTCCTGTGATCCCAGCACAGTGGACCAAGTGCTGGTGGCTCAATGTAAATTTCAAGGCCCCAGGAACTCCTTCACTGAAGATACTCATAGTTTTTAACCCTTACTATGCATCAGAATAACTTGTGGAACTTGCAAAAACTCATGAATGTCCAGACTTCATTCCCTGAAGTTCAGATTCAATTGGTCTGCAGTAGGCCCCGGGCAGCCTCCTTTGCAAAGCTTCCCAGGTATAATGGTGTTCTACTCTCCCCAGTTATTCAATGAAACACAAACTTAGGTGTTTCTATGAAGGTATTTTGTAGATGAAATTAAAACCCCAAATCAGTTGACTTTAAGTAAGGGAGAGTATCCTAGACCAGCAGTCCCCAACCGTTTTGGCACTGGTCACCAGTTCCATGCAAGAAAATTTTTCCGTAGATGGGGTGGGGTGCGAGGGGATGGTTTCAGGATGATTCAAGCATGTTTCATTTATTGTGCATCTTTCTTTCTATTATTATTACATACTCACCATAATGTAGAATCAGTGGGAGCCCTGAGCTTGTCTTCCTGCAACTAGATGGTCCCTTCTGGGGGTGATGGGAGGCAAGGACAGATCATCAGGCATTAGATTCTCATAAGGAGCCTGAAGCCTAGATCCCTTGCATGTGTAGTTCACAGTAGGGTTTGCGATCCTGTGAGAATCCAATGCCACTGATCTCACAGGCAATCAGATCCTAACAGGCCATGGACTGGTACCAGTCTGTGGCCCAGGGGCTGGGGACCCCTGTCCTAGACAATCCAGATGGGCCTGATTCAATGCATCAGAAGGCCTTAGAAGCAAAGCTGAGGCGTCCTTGATGAAGAAGAAATGTCATGGTGGACAGCAGCATCAGCTGGTGTCTGTGAGTTCCAGCCTGTCCTTCCTGATGATCAGCCTGCCCTATGGATTTCAGACTTGCCTCGTCACACCTCGCAATTAAGCCAATTCCGTGCAAAAAATCTCGAATTATACATCTCTCACGGGTTCTGCTGAGAACCAGGGAGTTATTCAGTAGTTGTTAAGCCAAAGGGCATCAGAATAAAATAACACAAGGTCAAATCTCATCTCTTCTCCCTGCGACCTTCGTGGCTGCAGTTCCTTCAGCTATAAAGTGGGGATCTCGGTGTTCGGTGCACAGGCATCCTGTGAAGGGTAACTGCTCTCAGGAGTGTGTACGTTCACTACACATCAGGACTGAGTGATGGCAGCTGCTCTTATACTGCTAGGCTATTCTGGGCCATGAGCAAATAAATGTTCAGACAAAAAATGCGGCTGGTGTTCCCTCACCATTGCTTGACATCTAAAGTTTAGGGCCTTGGAGTGACCTAATCCGGCTTCCCCCAGCTTGCTCCCGCAGTAGGCAAGAGGGCGCCTGCGCACACACAGACACGTGGACGCTGCACCCCAGCAGGTGCAGGACACCGAGGCGGCCGCCCAGCTCCGGTCATGAAAGCAGCCAGGAGTTCCATCGGTCACCCATCATCGCTCTCCTGGGAGTTTTAATAGGTGTTTTGGTTACAGGACTCCAGGTCTCGCTGCTCACTTGGTGAGTCGTGGCGGTCCTGCCGGCCCTGCTGCCGCCGCACTCGGTTTCGGGGCTGCGGCTCGGCTCCGCACCGCGCGGCGTGGACGCGCTCCTCCCGGGGGCTCCCGCGCCTCCCACCAGCGCCTCCCGGCGAGCTGGCTCGGCCTCCAGCCTGGCGAAGCAGTGCCCTCTGGCGGCCACGCACTGCAGCAGCGGCTCGCTCGGCAAGACGGAGGCCGAAACCTGAAACCGGCTCTGGGCCCTGATTTCTTTCTAAGCCACTGTTTTTTGACTTGGAAATCCATAAGAAATCCAAAATTGTAGGTTTTTCTCTTTTTTTATGAAACAATTTTTGTATTTTCCACAGACAATAAATTAGATGTTTCTGTTCCTGGTAGTGCCCAATGTGAGGATGGATACATTTAGCACCTGCACATGTGAAGGTGACCCGACATTAAAAGTAGGGAAACTCCGTGTGGATTTCGGTGATGAGCTACACGTTCACAAAACCACCCTTGATAGTCATTTCCACAACTTCCAGTCCTGAGAACTGGTCACTCCAGCAGGTTTAAGGTAATAATCTGTGGGTCAAAGTTAAGTCAAAGTTAAGCCTTGGATACGCAGAGAGGAGCCGCCTCTTTGTCTATTTACCTTGTCACTAGCCATCCGCGTATGGACCTCAGCCCCTCGTGTCACCCCTCTGGGTCTCCGTCTCCTAACCTAGGAAAGAAGAGGGTTAAAATAGAGCCTCTTCAGCGTTTGCATTTAGGATCCAAGGGCTAGTCATTCTGGAATAGTCATTCATTCAGCAAATACCACGTGTCAAGTGGAGAGGGTTCAGGTTCACCAGGGAGCAAACCTGTGCGTTCCCGGATGTTAAATTGTAGCAAGGGAGAAAGGTACTAAGCAATAAACCTAAAGATGACACAGTGTGTTAGAAGGTGAGAATGAACGCCAGGTGGAAACTGGCACAGGTGTGGGACTCGAGAGTGGTAGCCCAGGGAAAGGCTGAGGGAGAGGCAGTTTCAGATGACGGAATCAGGCCAGGACTCTGAAAAGTGTCCTTTGAGCAAAGACCTGTAGAAGGGCATGAGAAAACCACAGGGTCTTTCTGAAGAAGAGACTTCCAGGCAGAAGGAAGCCTGCAGAGGCCCGAGGTGAGAGCGGTCCGTTAAACTTGCGGACCAAGGAGAAAGCCTGTGTGGCTGAATCAGAGTGGCTGAAGAGTAGCGATGGCTGGGGAGGCTAGGAGGTCACAAGAGATGGTTACACAGAACCTGCTGGGCCACCGCAAAGGATTTGCCTTTGACTCTGAAAGAAACGGGGCCATTGGAGGTTTTGAGCAGAGGAGCGGCACGATCTGCCTGATGTTTTCACAGGTCTGTCTTAGCCTGCTCGGGCTGCCATACATAACAAAATGCCATAGACTGGGTAACTTACACAGCAAACATTTCCTCACAGCTCTGGAGGCTAGAAAGTCCAAGAAAGTCCGGTGAGGAGGCTGGGCGCTGTGACTCACGCCTGTAACCCCAGCACTTTGGGAGGCTGAGGCAGGTGGATCACTAGGTCAGGAGTTCGAGACCAGCCTGGCCAATATAGTGAAACCCCATCTCTACTAAAAATACAAAAATTAGCTGGGTGTGGTGGCACGTGCCTGTACTCCCAGCTACTCGGGAGGCTGAGGCAGGAAAATCACTTGAACCCAGGAGGTGGAAGTTGCAGTGTGCCGAGATCACGCCATTGCACTCTAGCCTGGTGACAGAGCGAGACTCCATCTCAGAAAAAAAAAATCAAAAAGGCCTCCATCTCAAAAACAACAACATAAAAAAAAAGAAAAAGTCTGGTGAGGGTCCTCTTTCTGGCTTGCACACGGCTGGCCACCTGCCCACTGTGTCTTCACATGGTAGAGAGAGAAAGTAATGCCTGGTGTCTTCTTCCTCTTCCCATAAGGGCACTAATCCCATCATGCAGCTCCGCCTGTGTGACCTCATCCAAATCTAATAATCTCCCACAGGCCCCACCTCCAAATACCATCACACTGGAGGCTGGGGCTTCAACATACGAACTTGGGGGAGATTCAAGTGTTCAGCCCTTAACAAGGTCACCCAGGCTACTGTATGAGCTACTGTAGATCACAAGGGTGGGCGGAGATGGGGGCAGGAAAAGCAGGAAACCACAGTGAGCATCGAGGCGAGGGTGGTGGCTGTGGCTTGGGCTGGTTTGGTAGTAGTGGAGACGGTGAGGAATGGTCAGATTCTGGAGAGACTTTGAAAGCAGAGACCACAGGATTTCCCAACAGGTTGAATGCAGAATGTGAAAGGAAAAAGAAGTAAAGGATGATTAAGTCTGAACGAAGTAACTGGAAGCTGTTATTGAGAGGGGAAATTGACATGGGTGGGGCAGAGATCTGCAGGGGGGCCAGATATTTCATTTGGGACATGTTGATAAACTTTAAGACATCTGTTTGTGAAGAGAGAGAAGTGAATGTGCAAAGTTCAGGAGATTCAGGGGACAGTTGTTGCTAGAGATAATTTTCATCCTATAAAGAACGTGGGTTCTAGAGTCAGGCGGATTTGTGCTCAAATCTCAGTCCTGTTACTTACTGTCTATGTCAGCCTGAAACAATGTCTTAACTTCTCTGAACCTTGTTATTCAATATTTATATTTTCAGCTCCTCATGTGTCAGGCACTGTACCAGGTACTGGGATTGAAAAAATAAGCAAAGTCCCTGTGCTCATGGACTCTACACTGGTCAAACAGGGATGAGAATGAATGTCCACTTAGTGTTCATTGAATGAATAAAGCGTATAAACTGCCTCAGGCACTCAGTATAGTGATTTGCCCAGTAAATAGCTGCTCTCACCACGCTTTCCTTGCTTTCTACCCATTGGAGGACAATTTGTGTTGCATACTCGGACTGACAAGTAAAGATCTAGAGGACATTTTGGGTGCCACGGAAACTATAGAACTGATTCCCCAAGACTAGAAGGTGGTCCAAAATACCAGAAATTATAGAATAATATGTTGCCTGCACAGCAGAATACAGCCTCTGATTTTCCTTCTTTGGAATTATTCTAGAGACCAGATACTAAACCCAGCTCAGGGACATTGTAACAATGACCAAAATTGAGCTGGTGCTTGAGGATGCATGGGTAGTCTAACAAGCAAATAGCTGGGGCAGCATCTTACCATGAGGGTTGTTCTCATTGTAATCAGCATCCTCTTAGATAGAAGCGCTACATTTCTTCTTAAGTGACGAATTTCTGGGATTGCTTCTTTTACTCTAAGCTAACTCTTGGAGATGAAAAGTCAACCACAGAGAGATCACCAAGGGTGAGAAGAGGCCCTGGGATGGAAGTCTGAGGCCCCTGAACATTCAAAGGGTGGGCAGAGAAAGAGGCTGCCAAGGGTGCTGAGAGGCAGTGGCTGTTGAGATGGGAGAGGGCAGAGGGGAGCGGGGAAGATCAAGAATGGGAAGTGGGGGCAAAGGGCAGCCCCACGCAATGCTGCAGAGAAGACAAGGAAGTGGAAGCCGGGGAGGTCGCACTGGATTTAGCAATGTTACTTCCGTCCGTGGCCTTAGTTGCATCCAGGGAGCAGTGGGCTGACGGATATATGAAGGATAAGGAAGAAGAGACAATGGACAGAAACATAATTCAAGATATTTGGCTGTGAAAAGCAAGAGACTGGATTATCTAGACAAGGAAAATGTGAGTTTGAGAGAGAGTTTTTCAAAGGAAAGAATGGTGAACACTGTTCTAGCCTGGCGTGCGTTGTGCTCGCTTGGAGGAGGATGGGGACTCATGACAGGAAAGTGGTGGCAGGAACAACTTGAGATGTGGGAGTGCAGTCTTCCCCAAGGGAGAGTGCAAATATCAAAATAGAGGACTACGGGCTGGCCTGAAGAGCACAGCACCGCCTGCCACAAGCACGTGCCCAGGGGAAAGTACAGAGAAGTGAGGGAGTGAATGAGGGGCTGGGAGTCCTGGGACAGCATCCTGAGCTCAAGTAGGGTTAGATGAATGGAGAAACACTTCCCTGGTCATGGCAGGAGCCATGAGGAAAGATGAGAAGAGGATGCTGGGGAGTTTGCAAGTGAGGCCCAATGGATGATTTCCATTGTTCTATGAAGTGGGAAGAGACTCAGTCAGGCTGAGGGCCAGGTGGATCAGGAGTCTGGAGACACAGAGGATATTCCTTAATTATTTTCTTGTTATTTCCAAGACTTTTTAATTTATTTATTTATTTATTTATTTATTTTCTTTTATTATTATTATACTTTAAGTTTTAGGGTACATGTGCACAATGTGCAGGTTAGTTACATATGTATACATGTGCCATGCTGGTGTGCTGCACCCACTAACTCGTCATCTAGCATTAGGTATATCTCCTAATGCTATCCCTCCCCCCTCCCCCCACCCCACAACAGTCCCCAGAGTGTGATGTTCTCCTTCCTGTGTCCATGTGTTCTCATCGTTCAATTCCCACCTATGAGTGAGAATGTGCAGTGTTTGGTTTTTTGTTCTTGCAATAGTTTACTGAGAATGATGATTTCCAATTTCATCCATGTCCCTACAAAGGGCATGAACTCATCATTTTTTATGGCTGCATAGTATTCCATGGTGTATATGTGCCACATTTTCTTAATCCAGTCTATCATTGTTGGACATTTGGGTTGGCTCCAAGTCTTTGCTATTGTGAATAGTGCCGCAATAAACATGTGTGTGCATGTGTCTTTATAGTAGCATGATTTATAGTCCTTTGGGTATATACCCAGTAATGGGATGGCTGGGTCAAATGGTATTTCTATTCTAGATCCCTGAGGAATCGCCACACTGACTTCCACAATGGTTGAACCAGTTTACAGTCCCACCAACAGTGTAAAAGTGTTCCTATTTCTCCACATCCTCTCCAGCACCTGTTGTTTCCTGACTTTTTAATGATTGCCATTCTAACTGGTGTGAGATGATATCTCATTGTGGTTTTGATGTGCATTTCTCTGACAGCCAGTGATGGCGAGCATTTTTTCATGTTTTTTGGCTGCATAAATGTCTTCTTTTGAGAAGTGTCTGTTCATGTCCTTCGCCCACTTTTTGATGGGGTTGTTTTTTTTTTCTTGTAAATTTGTTTGAGTTCATTGTAGATTCTGGATATTAGCCCTTTGTCAGATGAGTAGGTTGCGAAAATTTTCTCCCATTTTGTAGGTTGCCTGTTCACTCTGACGGTAGTTTCTTTTGCTGTGCAGAAGCTCTTTAGTTTAATTAGATCCCATTTGTCAATTTTGGCTTTTGTTGCCATTGCTTTTGGTGTTTTAGACATGAAGTCCTTGCCCATGCCTATGTCCTGAATGGTAATGCCTCGGTTTTCTTCTAGGGTTTTTATGGTTTTAGGTCTAACGTTTTAAGTCTTTAATCCATCTTGAATTAATTTTTGTATAAGGTGTAAGGAAGGGATCCAGTTTCAGCTTTCTACATATGGCTAGCCAGTTTTCCCAGCACCATTTATTAAATAGGGAATCCTTTCCCCATTGCTTGTTTTTCTCAGGTTTGTCAAAGATCAGATAGTTGTAGATATGCAGCGTTATTTCTGAGGGCTCTGTTCTGTTCCATTGATCTATATCTCTGTTTTGGTACCAGTACCATGCTGTTTTGGTTACTGTAGCCTTGTAGCATAGTTTGAAGTCAGGTAGCGTGATGCCTCCAGCTTTGTTCTTTTGGCTTAGAATTGACTTGGCGATGTGGGCTCTTTTTTGGTTCCATATGAACTTTAAAGTAGTTTTTTCCAATTCTGTGAAGAAAGTCATTGGTAGCTTGATGGGGATGGCATTGAATCTATAAATTACCTTGGGCAGTATGGCCATTTTCACAATATTGATTCTTCCTACCCATGAGCATGGAATGTTTTTCCATTTGTTTGTATTTCTAATCAAGTCTGATACTTAGAACATGGCACACTGTTATCCATAGAACCACCTCCTCTGGCCCTCTCTGTCCCCAGGCCAAATCCATCCTCCCTCTAGTTCCCACAGCCATTTGTACACATCTCTCTTATGGTTCCAACCATATTCATTACCCAAGTTTTGGGGAAAGTCCATTGAGGATGAATGGGGATGGTGGTAAAATCCAACCAGATTAGTCTTAACTGCTGTGGCCGTCACACAAGTACCCTGGGATCCTTCCAGATTGAACTCAAACTCAGTTTGGTTAGGGTCTTCCGGTGTTTTTGTTACAGTATGCAGAAGGTGACAGCTAATACCCTTTTCAGAGTATTCTTCTCTGAGGTCATGTGGGAGGGGTGCTGTATTGGAAATTGGAATATTTCCAAATAATGGTTCCCATGGTTCTCTGATGAGTGGTCCAGACCTAGACCTGAATGAGCATTCATCTTCTCTTCCTCTCTCCCTCCTCCCTTTCTCTCTCACAGACACAGACACACTCACACACACTCTAAGTTCTAGGAAGTACAATGTACATAGTTTGCTCTGAGAGGGTCCTCATAGCTAAGAGTAAAGACAGTCACAATTCTAAGGGTTCCAAAATGAATTGTGTGGTTGAACAGTGGCAACCAACCACCTTCTCTTTTCTTCTTTCCCTATTCAAATTAATGTTCTTTATAAGTGAATACATCATAGGTATCTACATACGAAGAGAGATTACAAGAAACACCAAGACTCTGGCAAGGGTTTCCTAGAAATCATAAGAAAAAGAGCATCTTCTTTGAACTGTTGAATCTTAGGAGTTAGCAGGGGATTGGGAAGATTTGAGGTTTACGGTTAGTTCTTTAAAATGATGCAGCAGTCAGGAGAACACTCACTCCTGGAATACATGAAATATCCCCGTTCGCAAAATGGATTGGAGGAGTTGGGAGTAAGATGATTTAAAAGTGGGCCAGGCACGGTGGCTCACGCCTGTAATCCCAGCACTTTGGGAGGCCAAGGCAGGCAGATCACCTGAGGTCGGGAGTTCGAGACCAGCCTGACCAACATGGAGAAACCCTGTCTCTACTAAAAATACAAAATTAGCCGGGTGTGGTGGTGCATGCCTGTAATACCAGCTCCTCAGGAGGCTGAGGCAGGAGAATCGCTTGAACCCAGGAGGTGGAGGTTGCAGTGAGCTGAGATCATGCCATTGCACTCCAGCCTGGGCAACAAAAAGCAACATTCCACCTCAAAGAAAGAAAGAAAGAAAAAAGTAAAACCAACATTAAGCTTCAATGAAACCCACCTTATTCTATCAAAATTTAAAACACACACATAACTTTAATACAGCAATTCCACATGCTAAGTGATATAGGTATAGTGATATCCACAATAGCTTTTTCTTCTATAACAGCAGAAGGTTGCACTTTCATAGAGTACTGGTTAAACCTGCATAATAGAATATTATGTAGCCTTTAAGGAAATGGGAGAATGTTGACATGGGAGGACCTCCAAGATGTATTCATTTAGAAGTATGGTGAATAGCATGAAAAATCTGCTCTCATTTCTGTATGGCGAAATACATATGCAATTATATTTATAAATACAGAAGAGTTTCTCTGAAAAGATGGTAATTTTTTAAATAGTTTCTCAAATGCATACATTACCTCTCAAAGTTTATTACAAACACCCTCTTCTCCCTATTAAAAATGTGTCTTTGTATCAATTGTGGTACGCTGAAATTAAAAACCCATTATTGTCATGTTGATTAATTTCTAGGCTATCCAGACCTAGACTTGTTTTTTCTTTCTCAGTAGAAGATATGGGTGGTGGTGTCATTTAGCTGTATAATATTGAGCAAGTCAATCATCCATATGGACTCAGATTCTTCATTTGAAAATGATAATCTTAGACTCAAGATGACTTCCAAAAAATATCTTGCTGGTCTAAGGTGCTATCATTATATGACTCGATTATGCATATTTGAAAATAAAGCAATAAAGTGGCAAAGAGAATCTGGGTGGATGTCAGAGGGTGAGTTCTGGTGATGGCAGAATTGCAGACAACTACAATTTTCCCAGTATATTTCATTATTTGACCACTTTATAAATTCCTTTTCATTTCTACTCCATTCATCTTTAAAATACCCAAGAAACAACAAAAAAGGCATATTCAACTGAAGAAATTTATTTACTTTTTTCTAGGTACATAGATGACATAATTATAGACAAGTTTTGATACATAGGAAAACCCTTCCGTCCACCTCTCTTTATGCTAAATGAATCATCACAATAATTTTTACAATTTTTAAAACAATACACAGCTTTCTTGGGCTGAAGCAATTGCAAGAACATATTGGTACTGGTATATTACAGCTACTTACAATGTTTTTAAGAACAGCAATGGAGAAAAATAAGTTATTTAAATATTGATTTCATATACAGAAAGTGCAATGTTGTTAGTTGTTATATAACTTGCTCGACAGTTTCTTTTCTCTATCAATTTTAAATCAAGATAACTTGGACTCAGACTATTATATTTTTTTCTGAAAATAATACAGTACACACATGGCAGCAGTGACTTGGCAAGTTGACCTTTTTTGCTGCAGTTATGAAAGCAAACTTTACTATGTCAGGAACTGATTTCCAATAGATTAGTAATTTCCAATTTCACCCATACCTGGGGGTTCAGGACAGAGAAAAGGGCCTCTGACTAAGGCAAGGCCATGAAACAATATCTTAGTTATCTGGGTACATAAATAGTACTAGCTGGAGCTGACTGCATTTCCTTCCAGACAGCTTTGAAGTGAAAATCATACACAATGTTATGTGTAGCTACCTGAGCCGAACTGCCTTTCCAGGTTTCTTTTGTGCTTTCCAAAGACAACAATTTTCACCATTACTCAAAATTCTGTACCAAATGCAACTGATTAAAACTGGATATTCCTGAAGCCTACCACCTGTTCACTAATGTCCACAGGCAGCCCCAATCCACCTCAGTCAAACGTCACACCCAAACATTCAGCTTTTCTCAGACCAAATTAAATGTTTACAGAAAAAAAAAAGACCAAACGCTAAAGATATTTTTAAAATATTTAAACAACACAATAAAGTAAAAACAACCTCAGACCCCTCAGACTAGACATTCCCACTGAAAATTCTTTGTGGTCCCTGAATTTGATTTTCTATGCAAAGGCATTGATTTCCAAAGAAGTGTGATAAAAATGTGGTTTGGCATTCTCAAAAACTCCAGAAAGTTCCCTCTTCTGCTGCGACTTTCACTGAAATGAAAATCCTTCATGGAGAACGAATTAAAACTTGGAAATTCACATGAGATTTCTCTCGCTCCTTTGTTATCTCATCTCTTACACAACTTTTGTGTGGTTTTTTGCTCAGCTTAAACAATGACAGGATCTGTCCAAATGTCAAGCCGAGGTATTTTGAGAGCAGGAAGAGAAGAAGCCTGTCTACAGCACCCACATCCACCACAGCACGTGAAATGCATTGAACGCTTTAGCTATACAAGAACCCTGCAGCTTCATTACATTGCAAATAGGCTAGGCCACAACCCGAGAGGACAAACAAACATGAGCTGTTTTTAAGAGTTCAACAGAAATTTGGCAGCTTTAGCTTTTTATTCTACATTTCCACAACTTCTTCACATGGCATCTTATAGAAGATGAAAATTAATTATTAAAGAAACATGCATTATTTTTTAAAAATGCATACTAATGCATGAAAAAAATACATCACCTGAGAATGTCTTTTTCCTCAGAAACATGGATCCAGACATAAGCAATATGCTAAAGATGGCTTTCTAATTAATTTATGAAATCACTTCCCCTCCAACCCAAGGGAAATTATTTGTTTTAATAAGTAGATGAAATATTATAAAATGTTCAATCAAGGGCTTGTGGTCAAGGTGTTTCTATTATAAATGATTGACCTTTATATTTTAGATGATTGCATTTGATGCTTAAAATAGTGTTCATGATAAGAATGTAAAGGAAAATCATTTTGTAAGCAATGGAAACCATAATAGTTTACTTGTTTAAATTTACTGTTTGCTAGAAAACCAGACACTAGACTAAAAGAGGACAGAGGCCAGGTGCGGTGGCTCACACCTGTAATCCCAGCACTTTGGGAGGCTGAGGCGGGTGGACCACCTGAGGTCAGGAGTTGAGTTTGAGACCAGCCTGGCCAACATGGTGAAACCCTGTCTCTACTAATAATACAAAAATTAGCTGGGCGTGGTGGTGGGTGCCTATAATCCCAGCTACTCGGGAGGCTAAGGCAGGAGAATCACTTGAACCTGGGAGACTGAGGTTGCAGTGAGCCAAGATCGTGCCATTGCACTCCAGCCTGGGTGACAAGAGCGAAACTCCATTTCAAAAAAAAAAAAGGATAGAATGTGCTGAAATCAGTTGTAAAACAATTTAAAGTAGCAAATACTTAACACATGGCTAATGAGATTTGTCTGGTTCCATAGTGAACCTTTGTTTAAATTAAAAGAATTATCTAAATAAAAAAAGAAGGATAATAATAGTATTAGTTGTAATACTGAAAAGTCTTTTAGAAAACATCTTATACATGACTTCCCTTATTAAGGACATCTTTCTGAAATATGCAGCCTCACAGTGACCTTTTGCAAACATGATCCGTTAACTGAGGACTGAATTTTGGGATGGACATGGTCAGGATTCCAAGTCAATACTGCAGCGCGACGATCCACACAGTAACGATACTAAACTGGTTAAAACCAAAAGCAGTCACTATGAATACAGACACACACGCGCACGCACGCACGCACACACATGATATTTGTGAATTTCAGATAGCTTTTTACTAGATTTGTAGTTAGCTTAAAAACCAAAAACCAACATGAAGTGTGTGGCTGATGAATACCTCTACAAAATAAGCCATGTTACAATGAGACGATTAGAAAAGCTCACTTTTGCTGGAAACATCCCAGAGAGGTTCGATGTCTGCCTAAGCTGAAGATGTGGAAGTATGGTTACAGGGTTGTGGACACTAGTTAGATAACTGCTTAAAAGCTTATATTAAGGCAAATAAAAGCTGATTGCTAGAAAGCAATTATGAAAATGTCTCTTGTTTATCTAAAGAAGAACAGGACTTTTTTTTTTTTTTTTTCCTGGTGCAGCCAGATGTTCTAACTTTTGAACAAATGAGCGTGGTCAGTAATGTACAATAACTCTTGAGTCTGTTACTTTGGCCTAGCTAAGCCCATCTGGCCCTCGGGCATCCTGCAAGATGACAGACAGAAGAGCAAGGGCACTATCAGAAATGGAACAGGCTGCCCCCTACTCCTCCCAGCCTCTACCAGTACACAGAGACAGACTGGAGATAGAGCATTCGCAGCCAGTTGGCATCTTGGTTCTTTTGTCTTCTGAAAATAAAAATAAGTGCTTGTCTTGTCTTTGGGGGTCAAAGAGAACCGCACTAATTTATTTCCTCGAGGGGGCTTTTCTGGAGGAGAGGATCCTCAGTCCTGTGCCAAGGTTTCACGCTGTTTGGCCACACGCCAGGCCTTTCTTCTGGATCTGGTCTGCACGTCCAGAGATGATGGAGGAATTGCATCAGCATCATATGCACAGTGAAAGGGTGGCTCTTGTCCAGAGAGGCCCATTCCGGGCCTGGCTACATGGCCTCAGGGCCTGGCGGCAGTTTGAAGAGTCTGGCTGCAGATAGGAGCTTTCTTATGTGTCTCTCCTCTGTGATGCCGGCCTCCTGAAGGCAAGTGTGAGACAGAGAAGGCACTTGGCTCAGTGTGCTGAAGCCCGCGGTGGAGAGGGTGCCGGCGTACATGGGCAGACCGATGGAAATGAGCCAATCTGACACAGACGAAATGCACCCAGGAGAGACGGGCTTTCGGCAGATTTCCGTGAGTCCACCACTTGGAATCTGGATAAATTAAGAAAGAATATGATAGAAACGCTCCATGTGTCATCGAGGACTACTTCGCGTATGTCTAAAAGGAACAGCACTGAAATACTGCATTGCTAGACTATTATCAGAAAGCGACAATGCAATGAGTGTCAGAGATCAAGACTAGCAGGAAAAATTCTTCTCTAAGATGAAACAAATCTTTAAGGAAGAGTTCCACAAGGTTCTCGAAGGTGTTGGAATGAGGTCAAATCCCATTTATGTGTCCGAGTCTTCAAACTATAAGCATTTACATATTCTGCTATTTTGTTTCACTGTGGATATGCTCTTGACAAAGAGCCCTAAGGTAGTCTGAAGGGACAAATCTGGGTGATCGTGTGAAATGTAGCATTCAGTGGGTAGGGTTTTTATAAAGGAGACTTTCCACTGTATTTTGAATCTATGTTAACAACCAGAAAATTACATGTTTAGTCAATACAAGTTATGAAGAATTTAAAATACAATAATATCAAGGGTTGGCTGGAACAGGGAAGTGGACATTTAACCTTGACTACTGGGTATATAAAGGGCCTGCACCTTTCAGAAAGGTGATTTGCTAACGAGTATGAAAATCTTTGGGATTTTATACAATTTTGATGAAGCAAACCATCTTCCAGGAATATCTACTCAGAAATTAACCTTTAAAGTCTACAAAGATTTATTAACAAGGATGTTCTTCATTACATTATTTAAAATAAAAGGTTAGAAAAATCTAAATGTTTTAACTATGAGACTCACTACTAGAGTACACTGACCTACTAGAATACTTTGAAATACAATAGCCACCCCCCTGCTTATCCATGGTTTTGCTTTCTACAGCCTGAAAATATTAAATGGGAATTTCCAGAAATAAACAATTCATAAGTCTTATATTGCATGCCATTCTGAGTAGTCTGAAGAAATCTCACACCACCCAGCTCTGTCCCACCTGACAATCATCCCTTTGTCTAACAAATCCACGCTGCCTACACCACCAGCCCCGCAGTCACTTAGTAGCCCGTAGTCATCAGATCAACTGTTGCGGTAATGCAGTACTTGCATTCAAGTCACTCTTATTTGACCTTACAATGGCCCCCAAGTGCAAGAGTAACGATGCTGGCCATTCGCACGTGGCAAAGAGAAGCCCTTAAGTGCTTCCTTTAAGTAAAAAGGTGAGAGTTCTTGACTTAATAAGAAAAGAAAAAAAATTGTATGCTGAGGTTCCTAAGACCTACAGTGAAAACGAATCTTCTATCCATGAAATTGTGAAGGAAAAAGAAATTTGTGTATAATATATACAGGGTTTGGTACTCAGCAAGCTTTCAAGAGATCCACTTGGAGGTCTTGGACCATAATCCCTCATGGATAGGGGGAGACTACTGTATTGATGATATCAATTTTTTTTTTTTTAAGTAACAGGGAAACAGATTCATGATCTGATAATAGCCAACAATCAGGTTTCGGTACTATACATTTACGCATACATTACGCATGTGCAGAGAAATGACTAGACAGAGTTTTAATGGACAAGTAAAAATTGTGTGTATTTATGGTGTAAAACGTGGTGTGTTGATAAATGTACACATTGTGGAATGGCTAAATCAAGCTATTTGACATATGCATTACCTCATATACTATATTTTGTGGTGAGAACACTTAAGATCTGCTGTCCTAGCAATTTTCAAGTATACATTGTTATTAACTGTAGTCACCATGTTGAACAATAGATCTTTGGAAGTTATGCTTCTAACTGAAACTGTGTCATTCAGACGGATTTTATTTTATTTCTTAAGAGATGGGGTCTCACTATGTTGCCCAGGCCGGCATCAAAATTCTGGGCTCAAGCAATCCTCCTGCTTCTGCCTCCCAAGTAACTAGGATTACAGGTGTGCACTATCACGCCCAGCACTAGACGGATCTTTAAAAAGTTTTTCACAGTGTTGGGATTACGGATAATTTTCATTTTTTTTTTCTTTCTGAAAGTGTATTTTTAAACATTTCTAGGCTGACCACATATTACTTTCTCCCCAGCTGTCTCCTTTCCATAGCTACGCAAGCCCTTGCCTACTTGGCAGTTGTTAGTATGGTCATCACTAAGCGTGATCACTAAATGTGCCTCAGGAAGCTGGAGAACTGTGGGCTGCTCACCGCCATGCGGTGCTGCTTCCGAAGCTGCTTCACCCGGATCTGGTCCATGTTGGCGGCGACGTCCCGCTCGGGCTGATCCAAGTCCTCTGCGTATCTCTGCACCAGGGCTTCAGGAATCCCACAGCGGCCATGCTGCCAGGGAGAACAGGAATATGACATCAAGAGTCATAAGGATTTTGTTTTTCTTTCCCTAAGATACACCACATATAACGTAGGGTCTCACTGTCACTTAGACTGGAGTGCAGTGGTGTGATCATGGCTCACTGCAGCCTCAAACTCCTGGGCTCAAGCGATCTTCTCGCCTTGGCCTCCCAAAGTGTTGGGATTCCAGGCGTAAGCCACCACACCCAACCCAAAAGTTTGAATTTGAAATGAATATATTTTCTTTATTGGTCAGGATGAATGCTTTAGAGGGAATACTTTTACATCTTTATCTTAAAGTACTGATGAGCTCTAGGAAAATGTTCTGAAGCATAGTTAAGGCAGAACACAATTATTCCACATTTTTCAGGACAATGCCTTCGCCTCAATCAGATCATTTTGCAAAATACAACTCCTCTAATGTTACTGAAGAGAGTCTTCTAAACTGCAGGAGAGAAGGGCTAACTTCTGCTTTACAGATATTCAACTGTTTGCACTTTATCTGCTACAAGTGATACCACCAGCTCACTAGGCCAGCATTTACTGTATGGTCTTTCTCACTACCTTTCATTTAAAGACATTCACTCAGGAAATATCAAGGAGGGTCAGAGAGGTGGAGGAGGATCTGATTCTAAGGCATTCATTGTCATGAGAATTTTATAATAAAGGACTCTCAGGAATGCATCCTAATAGGACCTGTATTTCCAGGAGTAAAGTACTGCTGTATCTGTTAGCATTGCTTTGTCTTTGGAGTCACTTGGTATTGGTAGATCTCATTTTTTTTGAATGAGAAATAATTTTTCATTATACAGCTAAATGTTTTTGGTACAATGGGGGATTTTATATTATCTTTTTCCCATTACCCATACAGATAACTGTATAATACAATTATCACATCTGAATAGGGTTCTTTTGTCCACATTTATTTTATTTGCTCCTAGTAATCCCTCTAAGAGGTCTTCATGCAGGTTATTTTTAACCTCGGTTTACCTACGGAGAGATGAAATGGGGTGGTGTCAATATCTGAACACATGCATGTCAAGTAAGGTGTGGACACGTGGATTCAGGTGTCTCCTGTCCACTGGGCGGGCTACCGGGCTGGCTTCAGATGTGGGTTCATCTCACCTGGCTGCCTGACTTCTACAAACAAAGGCCTGTGAACGTGGTGGGCCCAGGACCTTTGATACCTTATCAGAATACGGCTCCTCCGTGAGATCGATGCCTTCAGCGTGCAGCTTGTTTTCAGTGAGCGTTTCTAGATCCACTCCCCGGGCACAGGAGACCTTCCTGGTCAAAGCCGGGCCCAGCTTCACACCGTGCTCCTGGAGGCTTGTGTTCTCGGGGAGCTCTGAGAGCCAGGGGGGCGGCCTTGTGCTTGGTGGGCTGCCAGGCGCCTGCCCTGAGAGAGGCCTGGGAGCCAGTGCTGGGGGACAGTCGCTAGGGCTGGTGGGGCTGGCGGGGCTGCCCCTTTTCACTGGCAGGCATGGCGCATCGGGACTGGGGAGGGCCCCACTGGGGCCCATGGGAACAGGGTGGAGTCCGTTAGCAAGGCGTTCTCTGCTCTTTTTGGCAGGAACAGGTGGAGGCTGTGATGGAATTTTGGGCTGCATTCTCTGCTCAGCATCTACCCCTTCTTTGGTGCCCAGGGGATGGTGTGTTCCTTCAAACTCGTGTCCTTTTCTGTGGCCCTCCAGAGGCGTCCTTGCTAAACCGTGTTTAGCTCCAGGAGGCTGAGCATCATAGTTTCTGGGCAAACACTGAGGGGGTGACAGGCCGCGACCAGAGGCTGCGATTGAGCCCTCCAGTTTCTTAGTTGTCAATTTCTGAGGTTCAGAAAATCTCTTGCTTTGGGTCAGTAGCAATGCATTGTCGACAGCAGAGTCTTGCTCCAGGGGCTGGGCCTTCGTGGAAGAGGCGGTCGTCTTCTGTGGCACTTCAGGTACAATCTGAGGGGGCGGTTCTGTCACCTCGGTAGGCACGTCTTGCTCAGCACCAGGCTCCACTTGAAGGTCATCCAGGGAATGGGATCGGGGCCAAGTGTCCACAGTCTGGGGGCCCTCCAGGGTCTCACAGCTCCGGCAGATGGAAACTGGGAGGCTTCTTCGGTTTTTATTCAAACCAGTCACACCAGGTGGGTCACAGCTCTTGGACGTGTCTGGGGCAAGGCCACCACCCAGCCTGCCCTCCTCCTGTCCCTGCTTCAGTGCATCCCCTGATTTCATTAAAGGCAATGTTGGGTAATTGCCCAACTGGTTTCTGCTAAAAGACTTCAAGCTGGGCTCGGTGGATGACTTGGCAGATAGGAGGCTAGCTTTCCGAGTCTTGCCTGTGAGACAAGGGAATATTTTACAATCACATTTTAAAAGCAAATCAATCAAACGGATGCATAAAGTTGTGCTAACATAATTGAAATCTCCAACACCCACATCCTATTGTTCAATTACACTAAAAACATAAAATCACCATTTATGACATCGGGTGATAGAGGGTTATTATGGTTCCATTTTTATTTTTAGAAAGAATTCTTAGTCTTATTAAAGGAATCATGAAGACTGAAATTAATTGGGTTACATGGGAAAGAAATACGCTGTGTCAAGCAGTAAAATAAATCTTGGCTTAAGTCTGTGCCCCACTGCAATCGACGTGGAAAGAGGCTGATCATCATACCGCATATTGATGAGATTTGTTGGGTGAGTACAATTTCTCAAGGTCATGATGGAAAAGGAGAGCTGGACTGAATTTCACAACAGGTTCTATAAATGGTATCCCCTACAGAGTGATCTGTGAATACTCAAATCCCACCTTCCCTGAAGCCCCTCCTTCTAGTAAGTTTATCCTAGAAGCAATCAACCAACCTGGACACAGACAGGTAAACTTTTGTGAGTACTTTGCCAAAGAAAATCTACAAAATACTGATAAAGTTTTAGGTCCCAGCAAAGCAACAGTCCTAGTTACAACTGCCAGACTGATAACTGAACTATCAACCAGACATAATCTACTTATCTGACGACTGGTAGTTGATACTAAACTGCTGCTGTTGGATAAGCTTTGCCAAGAACTTACAATTCATGGGCCAGACAATGTGCTGAATGCTTTGTTCTCATCAGTACTTACATGTGCGCGCGCACACACACACACACACACACACACACACTGTCCCTTGTTACATTTTTGGTTGATAACATGTTTGTTGTGTGCTTTGACCCTGTCCACCTGTATGTTCCACACTGATAAACACCAACATGCTATGCATTTGTAGGATATTATTGTTGTTACATAAAGATCATCAGCCTAGTGCTACTACTGAAGATATTGACCATGGTCCTACTTTTCATTATTAGAAAAATCATCACAACTTAAGGAGGCCAAGGCAGGTGGATCACGAGGTCAGGAGATCGAGACCATCCTGGCTAACACGGTGAAACCCCGTCTCTCATAAAAAATATAAAAAATTAGCCGGGCATGGTGGCAGGCGCCTGTAGTCCCAGCTACTCGGGAGGCTGAGGCGGGAGAATGGCATGAACCCGGGAGGTGGACCTTGCAGTGAGCCAAGATCGCGCCACTGCACTCCAGCCTGGGCGACAGAGCGAGACTCCGCCTCATAAAAAGAAAAGAAAAATCATCACAGATAAATGAAGAAATACCTCTTCAGAAAAAAAAAATTGCATCAGATTTTAAAAGTGGGTTGAAATAGAAAATTATTAGAACCTCTTTAGCATAAATTTAGAAATATGACTTTCTTTTCCCTTAACTCCCAATATAAAACTATATATATAAGTTCCATTTTTGCATTCTGCATTACATTAGAAAGATCCCTGAACTTACTTTGAGTTCAAAGTATGGTTCGCTAGCAATCTAGTTCTTCAGCAGGTACACCTGAATTCATTTGGGCATGAAAAATTCTGCCAGTGATATCTGTGAGATCCTTACCAATCACCAACAGTTGGGGGAATTAATTTCCTGAAAAGTTTTGGATATGAAAAGGTTATTAAGAGAAAAAAAAATTCTTCAGAACCTACATGAGCTACATAAGGATTCTGATGTTTACTGAAACTGAGGATGTACTGGGATACTAGGTGAGTTTTGCATCCTGTCTTGACCGAGGCTATCTGAATATTATATATAGTTTGGGGAGAACTACTATCTTCCCAAGTTGATAGAAAACCTTGAATAGCAGGGCATCATGGCTCAAATTCTGAGGTCCCCAAGATGCTTCTTAGAATTGGAATTAGAGTGAGGCAAACAAGGTGCCCAGAGGACAAACTCTAAGGAGGTGAATGCCCAGAGTCATGTGAGTGCAGGGCTGGTACCCGAGAGTGAGCACTTGCTTAGGGTTTGCATCCTGGACACCCACTTTCCTGTCCTTAGCCCTAGTTTTGGTACCCACAATGGCTCTCAAACTATTTTTTCCCATGATTCCCAGTAAGAAATACATTTTACATTCAACATGTAGTACACAGAGACACACATGCATGTACACAAGCACAAACACACACACAGACATAACTGAAACAAGGATTACAAGTGACAGTGCTAACAATACTAACCTTTATCTTAGGGGATGCTCTCTGATATTTTGTATTCTATTTTGTCTTACAAAACTGCTGTCCATGACCCACTAAACTGCTTTCATGACCTACTAATAAAGTACAACCTGCATTAAGTTTTAAAAAAGTTTGCTTTAGTAGGTGCTCAGTAAATATCTTAACACATGGGCTACTAGATAGGATTCCAATGGCTGCTAAAAGCTATCAAACCTGGGCATTTTTTATGACGGCCTTCAAGAGTTTGACAGAGATTTAGGTCACTGTGGCAGCGTAAGCCTCTTACCACTGTTTCTCATCTTGCTACAATGGGAATTCTGGGGTCACAACAGGAAACCACAAAGCCATCCATGGTAACGTTTAGCCCACCTGACCCCATACCACTTAAGACTCCTCTTCTGTTTGAGACAAGTACCTTTTCTGAAATTTCATACTGATTACACTTCCTGACTGGCTGTACAGAGAGGCCACAAACAAGACATGTGGCCATCCAATCCTTCTCTCCTGCAGTAACTGCCTCGACATTCAGGCCATGCAGCCGAGGCATTTAAGACACTGCTGCTGGTATGACCCTGATGGATGGTCTACCTGGTAAACTGTTTTCCTTATGGACCTAATAGCTCCCAACACTCCAATGTTGGTTTTTATTGCATACAGAAAAGGGCATAGGAGACACACAATTTAGGTTTTACAGCTGCAGGTATTTGACACAGAATTTATTAACCTCACCCAGCAGCCAGGAGAATAGATAGGGAGGCTAACTTGGACTAGAATGGTGTAGAGGTGAGAAAGGAAACGATGATTGCTGAGTTCATGACAGGAATAGAATCGTCCTTTTGCAGAAAACTGTGCTTTGAAATCAGTACTTGTCAAAGCAGGTTCCCAGCGACTCATGCTGACATTACCGTTTTCCAGGTTCTCACTGCTTTCGTAGCATCCTGAGTCTCGGGGTGAGCATCCACTCAGGCCCTGGCTGTCAACGAGCAGCTTCTCCTGGGATCCTGACTGGTCGCTGTTACCTAGAGGAGAGAACACGGCATGAAATCAACAAGGTGAGTGAAAAGCAGAGGTTTCAGAGTCAACAGATCTCGACTTTATCCTCAGTTACTGCCCTGAGCTTTTGGAAGAGAACAATTTATCTTAAAATAGATGAGATCAAAATGAACTAGTGTGATCACAACTTTTCTTCCAATAAGGTATTCATCGCACGAAGATAAGTTTGGAGAGAGCACACAGTTGGAATATGTTGACACCTTTTAAGTTAGTTATGCGAACAGAAGCTGACTCTGGCCTTGGGGCTATGAGGAAAGGAGAAAGGTAGAGTGTTGTTTTGGCAGTGGGGCTCCCAGACCCTTCTGAGTGATGGCACCATCAAGGAGAAGCAAAGAAAGAATAAACGCCCCATTCACAAGGTGAGATTAGGTCATATGTTTTTCGGAGATCTGTAAGACTTGTGCTTGAAGACAGTTATGTTGCCAACTTTCCAAATTTGGGAGCTAATATTAAAGTGTCAAATGAAATAAATTTTATTAGCATTTAGGAGCATTCTTAGCCCTCAGCAACACGTGCTGAGGGCTCTTGTATTAGCTCAGCAAGAGTAAGGCTGGCAAGACGAGGCACAAACCCCAAAACTCAGGACAGGCCAGTGGCAAATCTTCTTTTGTTTTTGTTGTTTGGGATGAGTTAGAGGTTGTTTTTTCTTTTCTGCTTCTCCTTTTGTCTTGTGCCAGCACATTTTTGTCTCCTGCATATAAGTAAAAGCTGGGGAAAGCTTAGGAAACCCTCGAACTTGGAAGCTGAGTAACAGATACATGCTTGCTGGTATAGATAAATGGATGACTGAAAACTGAATGTCCTCATTCTGAGTGGATAAAGAAAATGCAGTACCTATACACCATGGAGTACTACTTGGCCATGAAAAGGAAAGAAATAATGTCTTTGCAGCAATTTGGATGGACCTGGAGGCCATTATTCTAAGTGAAGTAACACAGGAGTAGAAAACCAAAATCCACACGGTCTCACTTGTAAGTAGGAGCTAAGCTATAAGCACATAAAGGCATACAAAGTGATATAATGGACTTCAGAGAGTCAGAAGAGGAAGGGTGGGGGGAGTCTAGGGATAAAAAAACTACACATTAGGTACAATGTATACTACTCAGATGATGGGTGCACTAAAATCTCAGAATTCACCACTATATAATTCATCCATGTAACCCAAAACCACTTATACCCCCAAAGCTACTGAAATAAATAAAAAATAAAATAAAGAAAAAAAAAGGAAGACCTCATTCTGAGGAAGGCTTTTAAAGAGAAGCATCATTATTTGTCAACTGTGCCTCAACAAAGCTGGAGGGGAAAAAAAAAAAAAAGCAGCATCGGACGCTTCTGTTGAGTGAATCTGCCCCAAGTAAATCACGTGGAAAGCCACGAGGGCCTTCAACACCCTAGCAGCATCACCCGGCATGTTGTAGAAAGGGCACATGGAGCCTTACATGGGACACTGAGGTTACACGCAGAACATCTTTGCATTATTATGCAGAGTAAGTAAGTGCTTGGTCACATAAAACAGAAACCAAGAAAACATTTTCTACACAAAATAGCTAGTTGCAATGATGAATGGCTTTATTTTCCTTTCTTTTCATCCCCCACCAACTTCCCCACTCCAACCACATACACAAAGAAAAAAAGAAATCAATAAGCCAGAAATGTGATGCCTTTTCTCAGGTCATCAAAATAAAAATGCGGGGAGGCAGAAGGCTCTGGCAGCTCTCCGGCTGTCCACCACTTCCTGCTTGCATTTCTCACGGGGAAAGCATTTTACAGCCCCAACTACAGCAGAGATCGTGGCAGCGTAAGTCCCTCAATTAGAATCCCAAATTAAGAGTGCTACTTTTAAAGTGACTAATGAAAAATTAACTAATTGGAAGCACAAGAGCAAATACTGTCCCCCTGACCACCTAAAAGTGGAACATTCTAGAGCGGTGTCCTCACTGTGTGGAAGAGCCTGTGGCTTTGCAGTGGCCTTTGTTCTGGCCTAGCATGTTATTTAGAAAAATGATACTTATAAAATGAGGGCTTTGTGCTATCCATTACAACCCAGGGAGAGGAGTCGGTGTACTCTGTCCCTGGTGACATGGTTCAGTGCACCACAGTGGCCAAAACAGACTCCAGAGTGCTGGGTGGGAGTAACACAGAAGACCTGCTCCTACTGCAGCATGGAAGTATGTGCTGTGCCTGCATCTTTGGGGACCCCAGCCTCAGCAGACACAGCAGAATACCTGAAATTATTTTGGAGAAGGAGGGGATCCATTGTGTCACCTGAAAACCACAGTTGGCGTAAGGAAGGGGGCTAGAATCGCTGTCTTCATTAGGGAGAAGAGAAAAAGAGGTGAGGTGCCTCTCCTCTGTAGTGCAGAATCAAGACCATGACCTTTTCCCACACTTGTCAGCGTGGGTGCCAAGGTACAAAAGGTAAGAAGGAAGATAAGCTAGAACGCTGAAAATTCTCACAGTCAAATCACAGCAAAGTGCTAGGTTGTGAGGCTGTAACCCCATTTGAGCATGACCTGAACTTTGACCTGAAGGGACTCTGCTTGGGCTAAGCTCTCTCTGCCTCCAGCCTCACCAACCACACACACACACACACACACACACACACACACACACACACACACACACACACACAGAATATGCTAAGACACCTATGAATATTCCAACATCAAAAGGTAGTGGTACCCAAAGGCACATAGCATTGCCTGGGGAGCAGTTACCTTGGGAAAGAAGAGAAGGGAATGGGATTCTTTGAAAGCAGGACTTTCTGTGGGCTTACACCATATTTCTTAAAATGTAAAAGAAATAAGAAAATATGGCAAAACATTAACTTCAGCATGTGCATGCATATGTTTGTTTGTTTTCTTTTCCTCTGTACTTTTCTGCATGTTTGAAATAATTCCTAATTAGAATTCTTATACAAGTTATTGTTTATACTTAGAAATGGCTAAGACAGTAAACTTTAGATTATCTGTATTTTACCACAAGTAAAAATTCTTTTAGCAATTTGTAAGAGGCTTTCATTTGCCAGACCTAAGATAGTGGGTCTGGGCTTGGCGTAAGGAATAGCCATCTGACAATTAGAGTCTTTTCCCAATGGAACCCTATATGATGGCTGGCATTTTCCCACGCTTCGAGGGAGGCTGGACGGGTCTGACTTCCAAGTAGTGCTGGAAATGTACTTTTTGCTCTCAGTTATGGCTAAGCTAGAAACCTTTCAAGATCCCTACATATCTTCAAAGATCTCAATAGACCTCTGCATCTCCCTAGTGTATGGAAATCTTGTTTGACAGAAACCTATCATGTTATCAGTTAGAGGCACTACTTCTTAGCCACGATGACTTTAACTGTATTGGATGTAAAAATCCTATAATGCTAGGAAAAGTCTGGACCCTGACTCTTGGCACTAATGGGTACTCTGGAACCTTGAAGCCTTTGTTTTAGAACCAATAAAAGGAAGTACAACTTTATCTATCAGGGACGTTCTAAACACCAGAGCAGAATAGATCCACAATGGAATGTCTGAAGAGGCAAAGAGGTCTTCTTCACCTTCCAGGTTAGCAACCTGATGGATAGCGATACCCTCCTACAAAATGCTCCTTGGTACAAAAATCTCAGGATGTGATCCCAGGAGGAATGATGGGTCTCAGCCAAAGTGGCATGGAGCAGTCTAAGCACAGATTCCTGCCTTACACTCAGGAGTTAGCTTTTCTCCTCCAAAGCTGTGGATGATAAAGGAAATGTCATGGAGAGTATATATAAACCAGCTGTTGGTTGGATGCAGTGGCTCACACCTGTAATCCCAGCACTTTGGGAGGCCGAGGTGGGCGGATCACCTGAGGTCAGGAGTTTGAGGCCAGCTTGGCCATCATGGTGAAACCCCGTCTCTACTAAAAATACACAAATTAGCCATGCGTAGTGGTGCATGCCTGTAATCCCAGCTACTCGGGAGGCTGAGGCAGGAGAATTGCTTGAACCCGGGAGGCGGAGGTTGCGGTGAACCAAGATCGCACCACTGCACTCCAGCTTGGGCAACGAGAGTGAAATTCTGTCTCAAAAACAAAACAAAATAAAACAAAACAAAACAAAAACCCCAGCTGTTCTTGGTGACTGAGGAAGAGCAAGTGAGCTGTTTCTGGGCAGATGTGGTTCGGGACAATAGATGCTTTAATACTGATTCATACTAATTGAGCTGGTAGGCTACACCAGTTACCGTGCAGGCTCTTTACACGCAACCTGGCCACAGACCCCAAAGTGTCTCTTGGGCAATCAAATACTTACTTAAAAGACCTTGTTATAAAGTGATATTAACTATGAATCACAATTGCCTCCAAATCTATCCCAAATCTATCCCTAAAGGCAGCCTGTTTATCTTAGGCTCAGACATCTATCTGATGGTGTGTGTTTCTCTAGCTTACCAGTTCATTTAGAGGGACTGCCTATTTAGCAGAAGGGAATTTCACCTAATGACACTTGCTTCCACGTTTCTCAGGCCTGATACATTTCAGTAATGTATAATTCTTTTTTCCACCATTAACCATGGTTTTGGTGTGTCTTTTAGCAACAGAAATGCTATTAGCTACTGATATCCCTGAAGCAGAGTCCTTGAAGGAAAACGTGTTTGAATTCAGTAACTGGAAAGGATACTCCTTTAAGATGAATGATTTCAGGAATATTTCTGATGGCAGATTGAATAATACAGAGCAAGATAAGACTGAGTTAATGGAGCAAAGGGTATGGTGTATTCAAATAGACAGACTTCATAAAAGCTGTGAGCTCAGTGATGATTCTGCTCACAGGCTGTAAAAATAAGCTGTCATTTAGGTTGGGAATTTGCAAGCCAATCGATACGGAATTCTCTGCTCTACATATTCACTGCGGAGAGACGTCTCCTCCTTTAACGAAAGCTGATGAATTTCATTTATTCACTAACCAGTCTATTCAATAAGAACACAACTCCTCGTGTGCTCTGAGAAGTAATCAAGCTTTGGCTGAGCGAAAACCTCCCAGCTGGTCAGTCACTTTTGTGCTCAGCTGTCCCAATGGCCTGCTGGAGGCTGCACCTCTCAAAAGTACTGAAAGTGGAGTCTACCCATTTTTTTGGGAAAACTGTAATTCCATTCTTGCAGACACTTGGTGCAGAATCCTCTTCAACTATCACCTAGAAACATGCCCGGAAAGGTGGCGGCGGCACAGGAGGTTTTCTTTTGTTCCCATGTCTGCACTGGGAATTTATGATTTTGTGCTGTTTGACCTTGGCATGGGAAAGAACAGGACAGAATAAGTGACTCCAGGGACCTAAGCACATACTGGCAGCGTAGGTGGGGCCTGCTGTGGCAGACCTCACAGGGAACACCTCTGTGCGTACAGGGACTTACTGTCATACTCTTGTAACAGAAAGAACAGGACAGAATAAGTGACTCCAGGGACCTAAGCACATACTGGCAGCATACGTGGGGCCTGCTGTGGCAGACCTCACAGGGAACACCTCTGTGCATACAGGGACTTACTGTCATACTCTTGTAACAGCTCCACTGCTGTCAAGAGAACAGCTCTGTGTTCCGGGTCCCTGATATTTAACTCATCCAAGTCTTCCTCCTCCAGCAGCTTAAAGGTGTCCAAATCTTCATATCCATTGAACAGGAAAGTGGGCATGTGCTCCTGTGAGAGGGAGAAGGAAGACAGAAGGGTGTCAGCCAGCCCAGACACATGATAACACCGCCAACAACTAGCCTGCAACCCACACACTGTTCCCATAGTCACCTTCAGGCTAATCAAAAGATTAGTAAGTATCATTTGCAATGGATCCTGTACATCCCAGCCCTCTGGCTTAGTAGGCAAGCAGGGTGTTTTATTAATCATGGGTTAGGAAGATGTACATTGCAGGCTGTGATGGATTCTGCTGGCTTGCACTATAATTGTACTCTTGATAAGAGCTAATTCCTTTACCTCCACAGAGCCCACAACAGAGGAGACTCCTCCTCCACTTACAGAGCTATTAAAATCCAGCTTTTAAGTCCTCAGGATCAAGAGTTTTGCAAAGAGGAAACATAATCTCTCATTGCAGACTCATGCTAGTAGATGCCTGGAGTGATGGTGGGAGAGAGGTGGGCGCAGAGTTTCCTTGTGGCCCCTGTGGAGCTAGCTGCGATCAAGGTGCCAGGAGTTTCTGCCTACAGCTCTTCCAGCAGCAAGGTTTGACCCGGGGCTTACGCTATCACCCACAGCTGAGGTCAAGGGCAGTGTTGGAAAACTGGTAACTAACTAACTCTTTCTGTAGAATAATGAATGCTCATCATAGTAACGAGCTGCCCTTATTGGACCACACAGATCAGCCCCAACCCTACCCTAAAAATGCCCTCACTTGCTTAGTGTAGGAGAGAAAAAGGCAGTGAGGTAGTAGCGTGTGACAAGAATCAGAAGCGACTGACTTTTAGGTTAATCCGATCCAGGAGATCCTCCACAGACTTGGGCTGGGGTGGTCGTCCTTTCCGACGCCTCCTGGTGGGGCGTTTGGGTTTCTCCTCGTCTTCACTGAGCACGTCCACGTAGATGAACTTGAACGTGCCGACTTTGTTGTTCAGCAGGCCCATCCAGGTCCCCATGGGTGGCTTGCTGATTATATCGATGATATCTCCTTTCTGTGGCCCAGGGAGCAAAGATCTTTCCATTAGGTACATTCCATGAACGTACAAATCAAGAATCTGTCAGATACACAGGTCATGCAGAAGTGAAGATGCCACAAAGGCCAGAATCGGGGTCCCACAAGTCACCCCTCTGAGTGACCTGCATAGGATGTGACTGTGAGCTCCGCAGAGGCCAGACAGGTGTCTCTGACTGTACGGAATTCCACGCAGGCCCCCGGTCACAGCCCCTCCACCCTCCTGCCCTGCAGAACCAGGGGTGCCTGGGGTACCCCTGGTGCTCTCAGCCAGGCTGCCCGCCCGGCACTCTGAACGCCTTCCCTCCTCAGAGGGCTCCCACTTCTTAGAGGAGGCACTTCCCACCTGTCCTAACCAGTGGCAATCCCGGCCCTGTCATGGCTGCACACACTTTGTGGAACCCCATCTGTCCCATAAAGGTACCTCTGAGCACACAGAAGGCAGAAATCTTTCTTCAGATGGAGAAAACACAGAAACCAGGTGTGTGGAGCAGGAGCCAGGTGGGGAGAGGGAGGGTGTGCAACAGGAATTCTAGAGGGAAGCTGAGGTCAGAGGGGTGAAGTGATGCTAACCCAGGGATTAACACGAGACCCTCCCTCTGCCTCGAGGGCTGGCTGGTTCTTGTTCTGTTTTTCACTACAGAGGAGACCAGTGATCGAGGTAGCCAAGATACTGTCCAGTCTGTACCATAGTAGCCCAGCATTCAACAGTGAGGAGGAAAGAAAGCCTCCTAGAGAAATGGAAGAGCCCAGTTAGCTGCTCTGAGGCCAGGGAGAGAGATACCTTGAGCTTGAGTGAGTCTGTGTCATAGGGACTGGGGGTGAAGTCGGTGTGCACCCTGGCACGCCCGCAGAACGGGCCTCGGTAAGGCGGCTCTTCGTCATCCCCATCTTCCGACTTGACGCTTTCCCGGTTGCTGGTTGAGGAATCAGTGGTGCTCACTGTTTGACCGCCTGTACAGGAAACATAGGAAGAACACGGGTAGATCCAGATTTCCCACCCAGCAAAGCAGAAAGGTATTGAAGGTATGGCAGATTAGGAAATGAAGGCCCAGAGAAAGGAAGCCTTGAGCCACAACCCTCTGTCAGGACCAGGGCAGGGCCCAGTTATGAATTCTCCGAGTGCTATCCCTCAGCTCCTCAGTGGACAGGGGACTCACAGCAAGTTACCCTCATGACCTGGGAATCCATGTGGCACGGAGGATCCCGCGTGGAGGACACTGCAGGGCCAGGCACCAGACTCTGCTCTTAACATTCGTGACCTCTCAGTGGTAATGCACACTCTCTCTAACCATTTTACAGATGAGGAAACAAATTCAGAGCAGTCATGTCATTTGCCCAAAAGGGTAAGAAAGAGCTTAAAGTGGTAGGTTTAAACTTGATCTCGGGGCACGGTGGCTCACGCCTATAATCCCAGCACTTTAGGAGGCCGAGGTGGGCAGATCGCTTGAGTCCAGGAGTTCCACCAGCCTGGGCTACATGGCAAAACCCCGTCTCTACAACAAAATTAGCCGGGTGTGGTGGCATGACCCTGTAGTACAGCTATGCGGAAGGCTGAGGCAGGAGGATCCCTTGAGCCAGGGAGGTGAAGGTTGCAGTGAGCTGAGATCACAACACTGCACTCCAGCCTGGGAGACAGTGAGACTCCATCTCAAAAATAAAAATAAAAATAAAATAAAGTTGATCTTTTCCTTCATACCATTCAGCCAACTCCAACTACCATTGGCCCGAATTTATCAGTCACATATAAAATTCCCCTCCCTTCCCCACTCCCTTTATTTTGCTGGTCATCTTCATGTGCTTGTCTCCCTGGCTTATTCCCCCTGCTCTCTAGATCCTTCCTCTGAGATGCTTTCCCTATTGTCTCCGATCAAAATTCATCACCTCCTGTTTTGGGCTGCTGCTGCTGCATGTCTACTAATAAACAAACACGACTCTGAGTCCAGAGAGTTTATTGGTCTGATTCTCTAATAGCACCTGAAGGGCAGGACTTGGTCTTATTCACCTTGAAATTGCCTGAACCTAGTGCTCAGTATATGTCAGATATTAACTCCAAAGAAAATAATCTACAATGACAAACTCGACTTACTCATGGAGCTCTGCCCACTGAGAGAACTGCGAAGACTTTCTACAGAACCCCCGGCCTTGAGCTTGGGCTTGTCCAAGTGTTCGGGGTCGGGCTGTGAAGGCGGAGGGGAGCCAGGCATTCCATCAAGGCCCGAGTCCTGCCATGGGTTTCAACAAAATGAAGAAGTTCATCAGAGTGGACAGGTGTTGTTTTGTAATTCTCAGCGACTTGGCCTTCAACGAAATCAATCAAATCAATCTATACCTATATTTGATTCTATAACCAATATTCTCCTCCTCTTAAACTTACATCCTCGCTTACTTTTAAAGTCGTGGCCAATGTCACTATTTATTAAGCACTCAAATACTATTTCTCATTCTCGAATAGATATTCTTGGAATCTCCAAGAAAAAAAAAATCTGTCTACCACACAGACAAAATACTTAAAGGTTTAGAGACTCAGCATACGCAAAAGCCCAGTAGCAAGGCTGGACTTCAAATGTAGATCAAGTACAATCCATGATTACTAGAATACCTGGAAGTGTAGTCAGAGGATATTTAATCTACTTGGATAGGAAACATGCACTTTTAAAAAAGTGTATTCCTGGAAAAAAAAAATTGGCTAGATTCTTATATTTCTATTTGTACAAATTATTGGCATTGGATAAGGAAACATGAATTTAAAACCCACATATACAGCAAACATACTATTTTCCAGTCTACCATAAAATTTCCATATGTTACTCTAAAGTTTTAGCTTCTTTCACTTTTCTAAAGTGTTGTCAGTAAAAAGCTGGGAAATCTCTTTCACACCAGAATCCTGATGGGAGTGACTCAGCAGTACTTCCTGCATTTTGAGTAGCTAAGTATTATCCTCTCAGCGGCTCCTCATTTGCACATTTGAGTATAGCATGCTTATTTGATTCGTGGTGCTACATCAATAGACGATATCACACTTCAGAAAGTTTGCAGTGAGAATTGTTTACTTGCCAAAATAGAAAAGTCTCTGGCATATTACATATGGCCGCAGCCACACGGGCTCAAAACCAGCTAAAATGAAACCTGCTATTTGCATGCTGCCGAGTCATCAGAAGGGCCTTAACACAGCTCCGCAGGTCCTGCAAACATCTGAGGACATCAGCAACAGCAGCTTCTGATCCAACACACATTAGTGCTTTCAATGTGAGGAAAGTGAGCAAGCGACCTCAAAAACAACAAAGAAAACTAGAGCTGACATTATTAGGAAGTTACTGAAGCTCCAAAGTATGAATTCCTTAAAAAAAAAAAATTCATTCCTCCTTTCTGCGTCATAAAATAAGTAACTTTTTTCCCATTAAAATCTTCTGTAATGCTTCTGAAAAAAGCACGCAGTTTGAAAAACAGCAATAGTAAATGTGGGTCTCTGATATATTTTCAAATGCTTTAAAAAATTATTAATTTATTCATCACATGTTTATGAATTACCTACAATAACAGGCACTAATCCAGGTATTGGGCATATAGCAGCAACGGAGAAAACAAATATCCCTACCATAATGGTTGGTATATTTACTAAAAAGTTTTTTTAAAAAAACACACAAGGTGGGCGCAGTGGCTCATGCCTGTAATCCCAGCACTCTGGGAGGCTGAGGTGGGTGGCTCACGAGGTCAGGAGTTCGAGACCAGCCTGGCCAACGTAGTGAAACCCCATCTCTACTAAAAATACAATAATTAGCCGGGTATGGTGGCACGTGCCTGTAGTCCCAGCTACTCAAGAGGCTGAGGTGGGAGAATCGCTTGAACCCAGGAGGCAGAGGTTGCAGTAAGCCGAGGCCACACCATTGCACTCCAGCCTGGGTGACAGAGTGACACTCCGTCTCAAAACAAAAACAAAAACAAAAAAAAAACAACCACATAAAACCTTCCATTATTTTTGCTTTACAGAAAATTTATAATGATCAGTTGTTTCTTTTATTCCTTAACTTATGTGAAATGGCTGCTTTAAAAAAACAGAACTAAGCACATAAGATTGCTATATGGTAGTAAAATTATTGAAAAATGCCAAAATGACATTAAAATTCTATGCTTCTGATTCATAAAGCAGAAAACCTCTGTGAACGTAAAGCTTAAGAGTTTTAGTGGCTGTTTCAATCTATCTTGGGGAAAAGCAAACTTAATAAAATGCTTTCAATTAGTAGCATGCTCTCACTAGCATGCTGACTGCTTCATTGCTGGGAAGAAATATAGAATCACTATCACTCCGTCACCCACAAGGACAAGAGAATGAAAAGAATAAAGAAAAAAAATCATGGATAAGACATGCTGAAGGCAGTCCAGACATCTATCTCCTGCAGGTCTAACAAGCCACGGTTTCTCAGCCTGAGCACTGATCATTTTGATGGACAGCTCTTTGCTGTGCAGACCGTCCTGTGCATGCTAAGATGTTTGGCAGCGTCCCTGGCCTCTATCCTCTAGATCAGCATTCTCCAACTCCCGGGCCACGGACCAGAACCCGTCTGTGGCCTGTTAAGAAGTGGGCCGTACAGCAGGAGGTGAGTGGCGGGTGAGCAGGCCAAGCTTCATCTGTTTTCACAGCCACTCTCCATTACCCGCATTACTGTCTGAGCTCCACCTCCTGTCAGATCAGCGGCGGTATTAGATTCTCGTAGGAGCACGAATCCTATTGTGAATTGTGCACACGAGGCATCTAGGTTGCACGCTGTTTATGAGAATCTAATGCCTGATGATCTGTCACTGTCTCCCATCATCCCCAGATGGGATCATCTAGTTGCAGGAAAACAAGCTCAGGGCTCCCACTGATTCTACATTATGGTGAGTTGTATAATTATTTCATTATATATTACAATGTAATAACAATAGAAATGAAGTGAACAATAAATGTAATGCATGTGAATCATCCTGAAACCACCACCTACACCAGCTCCGTGGAAAAATTGCCTTCCACGAAACCAGTCCCTGGTGCAAAAAGATTGGGCACTGCTGCCCTAGATGCCAGCAATATCCACTCCACTTCACCTCAACCCAGTCTGACCATTGAAAGACATTGCCCTGGAGTCCATGGGGGAGCAAAATGATAGCCTCTCACCCCTTCCCCGTGAGAACCACTGTAATCAACTGAAGCTGCTGTGCAGGCTTTGTTTGAATCAAGTGAGGTGGGTGGCAGGCTGGTGACGTTCGGTCATTCGCATAGGGGCGATGCTTGGTTTTAGCTCACTGTGCCCACCAGAGAGCAGCAGCTGAGCAAAAATGTCTGCTTTTCCTGCTGTTTTTATTTGGTAGATAAAGTGCATTACCTACATATTTCAAGCAGACAACCAGCTCATACACAGGAACTTCAACAGGCTACAAAATGAGTGCTATACAGGTGCTGGAGGAGAGTGTCTTGAAAATTGAATGGTCATAATTACCTTGAGGCCCAGCTCTCCAACTATCTTTACTCCCTCCACCCATGCAATTTAGACAGAAACAGTCATTTCTCTAGCAATGAAATTATAGATCCAGGGGGGAAAAATCAATTCTATGATACCTTCCTTCATGGCTACAGATAAGGCAAATGAGGGAAAACACCCCTCTCTGAAACATTATTACCAAAGCCTGGTACCCAGGAAGAACTTTGAGTTTATTTCTTAGACTGGCTATGTGCTTCTAGAACAACTTATGCTATGATCGACAAGTCTACTGCCACCCCCCCCCCCAAAAAAAAAAAGCTTTAGGTTTGATTCAGGTAACATCCATTTTGTAGCAAGGCATAGTTTAGAAAATAAAATCCTTCCTTTGTATTCAAATTTACAACGCTTAGTGCACTGAAGAATAACCATTTCTTTACATGTCTGTCTCTCTTGTCTGTACACAGAAGGCAAGTTCTGTATTTTGTATTCCCAGCACCAAGCACGGTGCTGAGCAGCCCAAAGTGCTTAATAAACGTGTGTTGAATTCAGTGTTTCTCTACGTAAATAAAGCACGGACTTGGAGCAGGTTAATGCCAAGGAGTATGTGTATTTAGCACCATTTAAAATCTCAGAAGGGCCATTCTCAGCTTTTCTTGTCAGGAAGAACCAAGGGAACATTCTACCAGGTAGCTGCATACCTGCTCAGAGACAGAGCTGCTGTATTTTTTAGACATTCTCTTTCTCATCGTCTCTTTCACTGATTTCACCTTTTTCCCAAGAGAGATGCGAGAGGCAGTAGGTGATTTGATGACTTCTTTGTACACAAAGTCTCCTTCTTTACCCTGTAAAACAAAATGTTGCAAGTATTGTTGGTCGCAGAAAATGAAGAACAGGTTTTATTATTTAAACCATTAACATCCTAGCTCTCAGAAATATTGACATTCCTCATGGATCTTGACGTTTTTCTTGTGTTAACTCAGTGCTATTATTTATCTCTTTGATTAAAAATTAAAGCTTATTGACTATTTTTGTTTGCTTAAAGTGGGATGTGAGTCACTTTTTATTTTACTTACTTTTAGTACATTCTTATCAGGTTACATTTTTTCCACTATTTTTAACATCCAAGGGGGCTGCATTTCATCAGTAAAGAGTGATTTACCTTTGGGAGGCTGAGGCAGGTGGATCACGAGGTCAGGAGATCGAGACCATCCTGACTAACACGGTGAAACCCCGTCTCTACTAAAAATACAAAAAATTAGCTGGGCGTGGTGGTGGGCGTCTGTAGTCCCAGCTACTCAGGAAGCTGAGGCAGGAGAATGGTGTGAATCCGGGAGGTGGAGCTTGCAGTGAGCTGAGATCGCGTCACTGCACTCCAGCCTGGGCGACAGAGTGAGACTCCCTCTCAGAGGGAAAAAAAAAAAAAAAAAGTGATTTACATGAACCAATGTTCATGTAATCCCAGCAATGGGGGAGAATAGAGGGATAATACTACCGAATTGCCTGGAGAAAGAGATTAGAACAAATGGTGAAAGCTCAGTCGTTAGAAGAGCAACATCTGATTGGATTTCCATCACCATAGCACTCAGTGTGTAAATTTCTCTCTCTTAAAGAGCTAGATTGTGGTCATCTCTCATTCTAGTCTGCATTTTTTTAAAAAACAAACTTCTCCCTGAGAAAGAAAAAAATCATATTTTCTCTCATTTCTAAAAAAGATTGACAGCAGAAAACTATTGGCTTAAGAATCAATATAATTCGATAGCCAAATAAAATAGTTTAATTCTCTTCCAGGAAATTTTCAAAACATTTCATATATATCCCAGGTGGGTATTTTAGCTGACCCATGATCATAACAAATATGAAACATGAAATCTTCATTTTACAGTTTTATGACACAATGCAAAGGACAAGCTAAACTACATGTAAGACTCACCAAAGGCCGGGCGCGTGGCTCACACCTGTAATCCCAGCACTCTGGGAGGCCAAGATGGGCGGATCACAAGGTCAGGAGTTCAAGACCAGCCTGGCCAACATGGAGAAACCCCATCTCTACTAAAAATACACAAATTCTCTGGGCATGGTGGCGTGCACCTGTAATCCTAGCCAGTCGGGAGGCTGAGGCAGGAGAATTGCTTAACTGGGATCTGGGAGGCAGAAGTTGCAGTGAGGCAAGATTGTGCCACTACACTCCAGTCTGGGCTACAGAGCGAGACTCCATCTTAAAAAAAAAAAAAAAAAAAAAAAAAAAAAAGACTCACCTTCACCCTTGGGGTCTGAGAAAGCAAATTTCAGGAAACAAAACTTGTGTGCCACTGTGGTGGCCTGTCCCTAGACTATGACCCCAAAGCAGGTCTGAGAGGGCAGACACCTGGGCCTGACACCAGACCCCTGAGGGATCTGGTCTGCTTTGGTCCCACAGAGACTGGGTTCATTCCAGGACACCCCAGACCACAAAATCCTAGGCTTAGTATAGGCCATGTGGGGCCAGGTACTGGGCCCATAATAAGACTGGTGTTCCAAAATGCCAGCACATACTCTTGGGGACCAAATCACAGGGCTCCACTTCATGGCACTATGTGTGTGTAGTAGTTACATGCTTGCAACTAGCAAGAAGAAAAGGCCGTGTGCAAAATGACTCAGACCACAGAGGCCAGACTTATCTGGATTTGTTACTTGAAGAAAACTGGAAGCAAAGGCATTAAAGGAACTGTGCTACTCAAGGAAGGAGATGGCAGTGAGAGTGGTCATCATTCATTCCACGTGGAACAGTGGAGTCTGTAAGGCAAGTGAAATAGAGCTTTTTTCCAAACGTGACTCAGGATTACCAAGGAAAACGGTACCCAGTATCAATTCTCAAAGATACTCAATGGTGAACTATTGTCAACCTCATCGCCTGAATCCATATTTTTTGCTTTCCTCTGATGTTACTCACCATTGGGTCAGAATTATTACTGCCAACGTGCAGAGAGCGATTCGTCAAGTCAAATCCTCCAAAACTGCAGGTTCTCTGTGGAAAAGAGGGTAGGGCAGAAAAACTTCAGTTATGCTTAAGCCAGCCGGCAGTGCACCAACCCAGCAGTCCCCGTTTGCAGGACATCTCTGAATCACAAATACGTGGACAGGATGAAAGTAGAAAACGAGAAATGATGAGAAAAAAACACATGAGTCATGTCGTAAGGAAACTTCACTCATTTTTCCCTTTCACAGGCCACTGGAACTCTGCCTACCCCAGAGGTCTAGAATCCCCTTAACATGCAAAAACCAACCATTTTTTTTAAAAAGCCTAAAAAACAAAAGAAAAACCCTCCATGAGTCCAGTGCTGTGAGATTCCCTGTCTCCAGCACAGAACTTCCCCTAACATCAGCTACATTCAGTAGAGATAATGAAGGGATATGTGTTAGAGGATCCATGTACTCAGGCATCCTGAAAACCCAGGTTTGAAATCCCACGGCTCTGACACCAACAGCAAGCTTTTCAAACAGACTTTCATTTTGTTTAGCTTTAAATCGCTGAGAAGAGGGGGGGAGAAGGTTATGTTTACAGTTGTCCAATCAGGCCAAGAGAATTACTCACTCACCGCTTCCCCATCCTAGCCAAAAACGCTGGTAACTTTCCCATCGAACTGCCCAAGTTAATTCATGGTGACCCTTTTCTCTCAGTGAATGAAGATGCCACATTTGCCCAGAAAGAAAACGGTTGATTCAGTGACTGTGTTTGACCACACTTTTTAATTTCAGTAGGAACAATGCTGATGTTATAAAGAATGAAAACTTTATTATCCTTTTAGGTGGTTGCAAACTTCACGGAACTGCTTATATCTTAGTGATTTCTGTATTTGCAGAACTTGATTCAAATTCACTGTTGTTTTTCTAGTAAAAGCCACTGAGTGACCGCCCTGTGCCCCACAACACACATTAATGTTACAGCTAATTATCTTTTTTAAAAATCAGTAATAAAAGTTTAATTGTAGATTCGGGCTTCAATATTTTGTATTACCAGCTTCTCAGAGAAGTCTAATGAACAGCTATTAAATGGAAGAAATGAACAGAAAAGTACAATGTATTAGGTTGGTGCAAAAGTAATCGCAGTTTTGCCATTATTTTCAATGGTAAAAACTGCGATTACTTTTGCACCAACCTAATATACTATAAGCATTGCTTATTCATTAAAAAAAATATATATATATATATATATATATAATTAACTGAATTGATAAAGTAGAAACATCCTAGAAGGAAAATGCCTACATTTTTGAAATCACAGAAATCTAGATGCAAATCCTGGTTCTGCCACTTACTTGCTGTGTGATCTCAGGTAAAGTACTTACACTCTCTGAGCTTTAGATTCTTCATTATTAAAATAATACTTATATCATATTTGAAGCCTTCTAGCGCACTGCCTGGCACAAGGCAGACACTCTATGAATGCTGGTTTCTTCCACTACTTTTCATTAAGGCTGTACTGAGAATGTGGTAGTCATCCTGACAGCTGTTATACTGAAGTTGAGGCTTAGTTAACATTACAAATATGCAAATACAGGGCTGGAGCTTTGTTCTGGGCCTTACAATCTAATCTGGGAGTTCAACTATAAAATCAGAGCATACCAGGAATGGGCCACAAAGTGAGAGACGGCCATTGGGGTCTGGAGAGGGCCAGGAGATAAGGAAAGCATTTCGTGACAACTGACATCAGGAGGTCTCAGAGCTGTTCTTATTCACCGATGCTGCTGCTGCTGCTGCTACTACCGACTTGTTTTCTAATAGACATTATCCTAATTCTGTATTAAATATCAATGGGCAATCTGATTTCTCTTATCGTCAGCTTAACTGGACCTATATCTATTCTATAGAAAGAGAAAAACCTTTCTACACAAATATATTCACCAAATCACCTAACTGGGTAAGCAATGTTATGACCACCTCTCAAGGCTAATTTTTAACATTAACCTTCTCTTTCCAGCTTATAATGCCATGTACATTTCCTCCTTCTTGCAAAAGCAGTGATTTTATTCTAGTTCCTTTCCCGTGACTCAGGGCTTCACAGACATGGTATGGCACCCAGATGCCTCATCATTGTATGGCTTTTGCACGTCCCTGCTTTAAACCACAGCATCTACTGCAATGTTGGAGCCCAAGTTATTTCTGATACATATGAAATAAGTGACAAAGAATTTATGTGGAAATTATGACTGCAATAAATTAGAATCTCATTTAAGTTTTCACATGCCTATTGTATGCATTTATTTCTAAAATGAAAAACTGAAAGAATGGACCAGTTTTCTTAACTACCAACTAAAACCTCTTTCAGTGATAGGCTAAGATATCTGGAATTGATTCTTTTTTACAGTGGAGGAGTGACAAAGAATATAACAATAAAGATTGCTTGAATTAATTTCTAACTTTTTCTATAAGATCAAGTAGTTCTTTAAACAGCATTCCTTCAAAAGAGAAAATGGACTGTAAAGAGACTCATAAAAAATAAATCAATACATGAACCAGCCCTTGACGTTGATGACCTAAATAAATGAAGCCTAAATGAAGTTTTTTTAGTTCACACACTTCCTGTACTGAAAATTATAAAAACACTTTAGATAGATGCTTGGGATGAGGAGGGCTAGTCAATGGAATGGCCATGCAGTTGGAAACACATGTTTTGGGGTTGAATTCAAAAATGGACAAAATTGCAAAATGTCATGCATGTCTGTTCTCTCAAACAAAAATTGAATGACCAAATAAAATACGAGACAAGTGACCACTTCCAGTGGATACAAAGCATTATCATTTCCCTGAGGCTTCATCAAGCAAATATGGCATTTTCGAAAGACAAAGAGCTTGAGGTTGAAGAATAAAGGAAACTTTTAGATAAAATGAAAGAAATATGACAAGGAGAATGGAAAATAACCTTTTAAATAAATCTAGCAAAGAAATAAGATTAATCCCTTTTTAAAAAAGTTCTTTCTATTGTAAGATGATAGAACACTTATTTACATTCTCTGGATAATTAGAAAGTTAAATTTGTTTGATTGTACAACTGTACTACAAGAAAAGGAATATGCAAATATATAACTTCCTACTGAACACATATTTTTGCAAGTGTTCAAACTGTCCATTAGTGTCTCAAGCTCACAGTATTTTAAAAATACTCAGCCTCAGACTGATACTTGGGATAGGGATTACACAGGAGCACGTTAGGTGGGGGCGGTGCCTGGAGATGAGCTTGCCCAAATGTCCATACTCAATGTCAATGAAGAATTAATCACTGGCCTACAACACTAACTAGCACAAATCCCAGAAATATAACTTCTAGAGACAAGGCCCTCATGGAGTTATAGTATTAATCTGACAGTAAATAACATGAGAGGCACATCAACAATTCAAGGTGCTCAGATTGGGAAATTTCTCAGTATTACATGATGTAAACTCACAGAGGTGAGTCATCAATTAACAGAAGAAGTGCGTCTGTTCTATCAAGGTCATGTCAAAACATACAAGAGCAGATGAATTGGGTAGAACACTTCTGAAAGTAAAAAATAAATACATAAAACTAAGACTGGTTATTTTTCAAAATATCTGTGAGTCAGAGCAAACCAGAGGCTGAATGAGTGAGAAAGAGAATTGTTATTTTAAAACAAAAACTCAACCATTGAAAAACTGTTGCCATGATACAGAAAGAGCCAGAAGAAAAGTTCCTGCTACATACTAGTAGTATTAAAAGTGCTGCAAGAATTACATGAATATGAAAGGACAGAAAATAAGGAAAGTCAACATGTGGAAATATGTGGAAAACCCAGGGGCTAGGAAGGACCTAAGGATTCTTTTACAACAGAGAAGGTCGTTTTAAGAATGGCATTGACCAATCCGTCTTCACTTTCACAAAAGCAGAACCCGACTGAATGAATTTAAATTACACTGATCGTCTGGGGAAGAACATCCTGTTCATGAACGGGAAGGCCCCCTGGGAAAACCACTATTGAAGGACACTCTATTCTTTCAGGTCTTTAAAAGGGCCCACAGCCAACTGTCCTGAGCAGATCAAGCAAGGTGCCAGGTGACAGAGGGCCAAGAAATCTACTTCCTCACTTTGCACCATTTTATATGTGCCACTGTGCAAACTAAAAGTTAGGTGGGAATTTCAGAAGGAAAAATATCTATATTCTGAAGTTCAAAGTAAGTCATGCCTTGAAAATAAATCTTACTAGGTCTCTGATCATCCAGCGTTAAAAGTGAAAAACATCCTACTCTTTGAAAGTGAGTACTTTATTCCTTGCTGAGTACAGAAGAATCTATAGGCTAGGGGAAGGCATTTCCAAATGTTGATTTGTTTATAAAGATAAGAACATGGAATAGACTTAAGTAAAACAAAAAAGCTCCCATTTTTGTTGTTAGATTTACGAACTTTCTGCTTGCCTCTACTAATAAAATAAATGTGCTTTAAAATGTTTTCAAATCACCAAATTGGTGACTGTGATGACGGCAGTTTTTCCATGAGCCTGCTCCTATTGTTTTAATTTTAAAACCAAGAGCAAGCATCTCTTTCAAGGGTGAAATGCCCTTCTGTTTTGAATCAGCTTCTTTGAGGTCAAGTGACATAATGGCCGAGAATCAAGACAGCCACTCCTGGAGGCGGCCAAACCCCACCCCTGTACCCTGGAAGCCCCTCTCTGGATTAGCTTCAATGCTTATTTTAATGGGCACTCAAACAGCTTCATCTGACAAGAGGAGAAATGGAAGAGAAGGTGAAAGCTGCCTGGAAGTGAAAGCAGGATTTGAAATTGAAGGTGATGGTGGGATGTGCCCTGACGTCATGAGCAGGAGAGAGGGGAGGAAGCCGGTCCCCGCAGAAGAAAGGCCATAATGCTTGACTGCACATCACAGAAATGACAAGGCCGTCCTCAGGACCATCTTTGTGACTCACAGACTTCTGGTGGATTCTCAAGAGAACCCTTTTAGTACAGCGGTCGACCGTGGCGGCCCACTTCCTCTTTGCCTCCTCATCCTCCTCCAGCAGGCACCGCCTCAGGTCCTGTCTCTCAGCCTTGCTCAGGGTCCTGTCTGAGGCAGGCCGCACTAGCTGGGTCAGGTTCAGGTGGCTGTACAGGCTCCGCTCCACCACGTAGGTGATATTGAACTCGCTGACCGAGGTGCGCCCGCGCACCCTCCTGCCGGGGAAGCCGCAGCTCCCGCCCCCTTTGCCTTTCTGCCGGAGCAGCTGCAGGTCACAGGTGGTGCTGGTGACGCCTTTTCTGGAGGGACGCTGGCAGAGAAAAGCTCTGGAACAGGAATAATTAGTATCCGTTTTCTTCAAGCGGATTTGCTTCCGGACACTCTGAAACTCCTCCAGGGACACCAGAAGGTGGTGCCTGCGACGGTGGTTGTCATAGAAGCAAACACCATCCGTACTTACCCCGTGGCTTAGGGACCCGAGACCCTTCTTCATCTCCCCCTCGGTGAGGGAGCGGGACACTTTCTGGGCCTTTTCTTCTTCTGGGTAGGAGAAGAATGTCCCCATCTTCTTGGGGGGCTTAATCAGGCCCCGGCTCTCTCCTTTGCTGAAGGTTTTGACCAACTTCCGGCCAGCCCCCCAGGTGTCCAGGCTGCTGGAGGATGGAGACGTGGTGAGAGAGTCTGAGTCATCTTCGGGAGGTTTCTCAGGAGAGCCATCAAAGAAAAGGGGCTTCTTGTGCACGCCAGAGTAGAGGGCGGACCGTTCATCCAGGACCGGCGAATTCTCAAACACGTGCTCCTCCCCACCTGGAGGGAAACCAACAGAGTCTCTTGTGAACACACCTTTGCATTCTTGCATACATCTTTCTTTACATTCACCACCTTTCTCCGTATCATGACCCTCTTTATAAACCCAGCTCCCACTTACATATGTACAGAAAAATGAAAATACACTGTGCAAATACATGGTTTCACATGAGCTTAATGTTAAAAGGATTCAGATGTGTTTTCTTCTTCTTTAAATATCTTTGTAGACCTAACACCTTCACAGGCGTATTTAAAATGCCGTTTGCAAAATCTAAGCTAGCCATAATCACAATATGCCTTAGCATTTCGAGATAATGCCCTCTGCAGTTTGTAAATGCAACCCTCTGAAACTAGGAATCAGGATCTTTCCCCCTTCTGAAAGGCACTCCTTTATGTTGGCTCTGGTCGCTTTTTATAGTTGGAGTGTGATAAATGTCATGTGGCTGACAGTGATTGTTTTATTGGTACATATGCCATTTGAGTGACTAAATCTCCAAGGAAGTTTTGGTGGGGAGAAACACTATAAAGCGTTGTATCTTGCAAATGTGACTGACACATCGTCTCCAGCTGACAGGCCAAATGCAAAAAGTTAGGAAACTCAGTGATCCCGGCCAGATACTCCCATCAACTCAGGCCTCACTAGGAGCAGCCAGGGCGTTTAAGGGCCCTGACACGCAGGCAGCTCCAGGGTCCCACTGGTCTCAGGGATTCCAGCTCTTGAAGCCCTCACTGGAGCCAGGTGGCAAGCCAAGCCCTCCAGAGCCCGGTGGAAAGGTTTGGACTTGGCAGGAAAACCAAGTTCTTTTCCGCATGTGTTATGTGAACAGATGTGAGAAAAGAAGTAGGTCAAACTGTGGGTGTAGCGATCCCAACTGGCTGTGTCCCTTTAATTATAGGGAAACTTTGAGCTCTGCAGCTTTCCACCCGCTGAATTGTGAAGAGGAAAAAAGGAAAAGTTCCTTGGAACAGAAGGATGGCACTAAATATACCAGCTGGGACGAGGGCGCCAGTGTGTGGTTAAATGTCAGAGAAAAAGGGGAGCTATGCTCAGTTCAGAGCAAAACTCAGAGGGGAAAAGAACGGCAGCCATCCTTTAAAATTCTAAAAATGGCTTACTTTCCCAATTGATGGGATTTATAGGTACAAATCTAACAACAACAACAAAAAAGAACAGCTGCTATTAAATACAACCCAAGGTCAACTTTACATTCATGCCCAGCAGACGGTGGTGGGGAAGCTGGAAAGTGGAAAAGAAGATGTAAAACTCTGCCTAGCCCACAGTCCCCTGAAGAGTTGTTCAGGGATCTTTCAGGGGGACTTTAAAGGCAGGATTCGGGGTTCTCACAGAAATTCACCAGCCCAGATGCAGGGTACCAATATCCTGGAAGTTTCCCGCTCCTTCCTCAGGACACCTGACTGACAAGGTGTGGAGACCAAGGGTTCTTATGCTGTTGGAAATAAAAATGGCAACCTCTTCTAGTTATAGTCTACCCTCCACTTCCAAGAAGAAGCGACTGGGCTAAGACTAGAGGCACAACCTGTGGCAGGGGCAGCCCAACCATGGACTTCTCTATTAAAGAAGTCGAGCGTGGTTGTGGCTTCACCATCCGCCCAGGTGTCCACGCAGATGTACAAAGGCCCTTCTCCACCCACAGTCCTAAGGGGTTTCAGGGAAGTCAGGTGAGTCCACCCTGCGTATCCTAAGGATCTGTCACTCAGCAGTTGCTTTGGACATTTTCTGGGCTCTGTGCTTAGGATTGTTGTCAGAGATTCCAATACTTTGGTGTCACATCTGAGTCTGGAACCAGCTGGTGCACGCATGTCCATGACGAATGTAGCTCTATTCTCGGGTTCAGGAAAGTCAGCATCTGGTAAGGGGTTGTGAGGGAAATGTAGCAAACGCTTCCCAGGAGGCTGCATCTGCCGGTGCTGAGGGCAGGCCTCCTGTAGTGCGGGCTTTTCCGTCTGAGCCTGACCAGTGGCTTGGAATCCCAACCTTGACCTGGATGGCTTGAACTTGGAGCATCGCTTCTCCCATCCTTCTCTGACTTGAGCGTACAACTCCCCTACTGGAAGAGTGACCATCAAGATGAGCTCACTCCATCACATTTGCTGTGATTTGCTTCACGTGAAGGCCTCCATCATCTATCTTATTCAGCTGAGACCGGCTTACCAAAGGCAAGGTGATTTTGGCAGGAGGAGAGAGGTAGGCTGTGGGCTGACTTAATGCCAGGAACTCAGGGGTATGCTCTGCATCCAGCCCGGCTCTGCCACTCACAGCTCCATGACCTTGGGCAATTACTTCCTGGCTCTGAGCCTCTGTTTCCTCATCTGTAATAATGCCTACCTATCTTTCCATAATACCCCTGGCAAGGCTGTTGTGATGATAACAGTAAACATTATCCTCATAAAAGAGTTACGTGAAAGTGCTGTATGAACTGAAAGGCTTTCTACAAAACTGGCGATTCATTACTGGAGAGAACTGAGTGGGAGCAATGAGGGAAGGAAAGGTGTGCATTCTGTGGCAAAGACACAGAAATGGGCAGATAAAGGGCACCAATGTAGCCTAGGTTAAAGATTGGCCAGGGTTGTCCCTGACAGGATAAGGACTTGAAACCCAGGGTGCAAGGGTGAGAATGAATGAAGAACTGATCTCTCTCCTGGCTTTCCGAGGACTCCAGAGCTGGTGGGGGAGACAGGTGGCAGCGGAGTGAGAACAGGCTGCTGTCAGGGAGCAGGCTGCCTGGACATCGTGCTGGGCCTTCTGCTGGCTGGCTGAGTGGCCAGGAGTCAATTACTTTTAGCCTCTTTGAGTCTCAGGTTCCTCATTTTCGAAATGAGGATGGTGTAAGTGCTTACTTCTGGTAGCTATTCTGAGGATGACATTAAAGAGAATATAAAATCTAAAGTGTTAAGGAAAGTGCCTGGCACACGGTGTGCCCTCAATACATGATGATTATCATGCAGACAACTTGGTATTAGCACAGGCACGCAGGAAGTCAAAGGATCAACCCTTTGTAAGTCCAAGGGCGGGGGAGGGGGGAGGGGGGAGGGGGCGCCTACTGGCGTATGAATCCTTCCTGCTCTGCAAGATGGACAGGGGCCAAGATAGCCTCTCCCAAGTACCACTGCCAGTGAGGACCCTCAGAGAGTTCTCTATTGTGCAGGGGTTGGAGGAAGTTCCAGTTTAGCAGGGAATTGGAGGGCAGCCCAAAGCAGGCGCCTTGAGCTACACACACACACCTGGGGCCTCTCCTGAGAAGATGGGTGAGATTGGCCAACGGCAACTCAGCACCCTGACTCATCAGATGCCAGAGTGTACCTTAGGATTTGAGTTCACTAAATCCATCTTCCATCTGTGAAGCCTGATTTGTGCCCAGATAAATTAAAGTTCAGAGCCAGAATTCCATATGGTTATTACTTTTTACGTTAGAGTTATCCCTTTTGCTATATTTTTCCTTTTCCATTGATGCCTCTCAAAGATAGTTGGATTGATTTATTCTGAAATAAATGTGCAAATTACAATGTCTGTATTTTTAGTCATGTTATTCTAGTGGAAAGGCTGCTTTAACACACCACTATCATGTGTGAAGGGCCCACTGGGGAACAGGCCCAGGACTAGATACTTTGCCCATGTTATCTCAGTTATGGATGAACCCCACCCATCTATTTGTTATATCTGAGGCTTGATTTTGGCCGAGTGTTCATGAGATTTGTTACCAAATGTGCCCTTAAAGTTGAATGTTGGCAATTCCATATGGTTCCCCCAACAGTACCAACTGACCCTGTCTGTGATTTCGGTAAGGGCCGCCACAGGGTACATTCAATACTGTGGAATTCACGACTGGCGGGCAGGTATTAAAACACCCAAATGTAAAATCAGCATTGCATCCAAATGTAAACAGAATTACCACGCAAAAAGATACCCTAATGAAACCCCGGAACTGAAAACAACCCAAGAAATTGGCCACAAAGCTGATTTCTCTCCCCATGTTTTTGTTTTCCATTCGAATCCCCATTCTCTCACAGTTACCCACTTAGCTTCGGTATTATTCTAAGGGATTTAAACCCACGAATAATACCAAACACAAATTAAAAGCAGCAATAAAAACGAAAAACCCTTATCTTTGCAAATAAGGGGAAATTCATTTCTTTACATGGCTTGATTTTATTTCTATATAACAAAAATGCCTCTACAAAAATAATTTTAAAACCTACATGTTAAAATTTTGAAATTCCTCACAATGTAGATATGACATTTTAACAAGTAAGGTGTTTTTTAAAAAGCATAGTCTTTCCAGTATTTTTATCCAATTCAATTATTTTCATTTTTCAAACAGAAAAAATCTTATCTTATTCTTTCATTTTACCTTTTTGGGGAGAATTTATAAGATGCTGCAAAGAGGCACATTACTAACAAGAGAGATGAATAAGGTTGAGATTTGAACTGTCATAATTATATGTCAAAGGCTAACTATCCATTTCAATAAATCCAAGCTGATGTCTTTTGACATTACTGTTTCACCTGGCTAACCCCAGCAATACAACTCTTAAAAGATTCTCTTAGAATCCTAGGTCCTTAAAGCCCCCATTTGAATTGAGACTTGAGACTCTCTACAGGAAGAACAAATCAACCCTGAGAAATTTAAAGGGATATTAGGTGCCTTGATTGTTAGGCATTTCTTCAAAATGTATGTACATGAAATTTGAACTAAATTCACTGAGCAAGAACCATAGTCCTTTCTGGGATTGGAGGCTCATGTGAAAAAGTTAGAAAGTTTATATAAAATGGTATAAGCTCATACATAAAGCTATACTACACCTCGAGAAAATTTCCATTTCCCATCTTTTAAATTGAAATGACTAAGCACCCCAAACGCCTGACACCAGGACCCTTCATTCCATCACATCATCGCATCTGAGCATCACTCTGCTGGCAGGCATAGTCCTGCCAGATTCAGCCAGAGCTCAATGCATTTTCCACTTGAAATCGTATCCCTTTTCTGCTGAGAAACTGACCCCAAATGATTTCTTTTGGAATAACCAGGGTGGAGTCTGCCTTTTTTTTTTTTTTTTTTTTTTTTTTTTACCTTCAGTGCTGGGTTTTTTCATTTCTTCCACCCTAATTAGTTTCTTTCTGACTCTGCGAGTGGAGTTTACCAGCTTGTGTAACCTCTTAAACTTCACCGACTCCTCAGTCTCATCATCCGATTGTTCTCTTGACTGGCAAAGAAACAAAGGAAAAAGTTAATCAGGTAATTGCTCCGAGCTTTGCCCGTGTGGCTGGATGTAGCCGGCCTTGCTGCCAGTCTGAACCTCGGCAGCTCTGTTGCTGAACTTGGGAACCAACAAAAATTTGCCCAAGAGGTTTACAAAGTGCCACATACCATCTTAAGATCTAAATCGGCGTAGAATTAGGTCCTAGGCACGGAAACACACATCCTTGCCCTCAAGGGCAAGTGGGGGCAAGTGGCCTGTGGGGGCATCTGTCTCAACTACTTCCTTGTCCTCTCTTAGGAGGACTCCAGCAGGACTCTCCCTCCGATGCTGGCCCTGTAATTCCAGTTTCACTGCTGTGGTTTGGGCCAGGCTCTCATCTGTCTGGCCCATCAGGGCTTGCTGTTTAACGTGGTCATCAACTACTTCTCCAAACCAAAATTCTGTTGGCTTTTTCCAGCCCTCCCCCGAAAATCAAAAACAGCAGGGCAGGAAAGGGAAAGAGATGCAAACAGCCTCTTCCATCCCATTGGCTAAGACTGTCTGCCACATTGCAGCCAGCCCTTCCGCCTCTCCCGGCTCCTTCTAAGGGCTCACAAGGCGAATGTGAGGACAGACCCTGCATTCCTCCAAGAGAGACAAGGGAAAAAGCTGACCTTTCAGCCATACAGTACAGTCCATATTCCCCAGCAGCCCATTGCACTTTGCAGGGAGTCAGCATGCTCAGGCCCAGCTGTTTTCCCTCAAGTATCAAACATTACAGAGAGAGGGAAAAATATCTCTCTCTGCAGCAGTGACCCAGGCTAAAAACAATCCTTCCCTTGTGAACAAAATGAGGGTTTCATTTCTAAGTCAGCTCCAACATCCAATATGCAGCTTCCTCTGTTGTATCTGTTCAAAATGTGAAACAGCATAAGAGATCTCTGACTAAACGAGTGTGCAACACGGGTGCGTGGGCATGCCTGGGAGCAGCCGCCTCGGCACACCCTGTGCAGTGGGTGAGCAATTCCAGCTCACGTCGCACGCCCTGACAACAACCTTCTCTCCATTTCCTCCAACCCAGTTCATGGAACAGTAGGAAGATAAATGCCTCAAATGAACACACAAAACAAAAACAAGCCTCATCTCTGAATACAAATCTAATGTAGAGACTTTTCTCCCAAAGAAAAGCTCTCACTAATCCCAGTGTTACAGACAATAAAACAGATAAGCAAGAGTTGCAGAGAATACCTCAAGAGAAGAAGAAGTAGAGTTTCTATGCATTATTTAGGCATAAAAATGGTGCACGTTGTGAGTCCTCTTTGCACTATGGCACGAACATTAGTACAAGGATAGTAAGGGATATAAACAACTGATGTCCTGGCCTCTGTCCTCACCCTGGAACTCAAGGCATGGAGCCATGGTACTTTCTCCCTGTATGACTATCAGCAAACCGTTTACCCACTTATGGTTAACTATAAACCTAACATCAGCAAGTCATCAGGACAGAAGTGTTTCTCAGACTTCTCTTCTGTAAAGTGTATTAATATCTATGTCCAATTTCTCTAAAATTACTAGATAAAATGTTGCCTGCAAGTGTCAGAATTAAAGCTAAGTACTGGTTACCTAGTAATAAAGAATGGGAACTGGACTCCCAGGTAACGGTGGGGACAGGCTACACTGGATGCTGACAATTAGGCTTAAAACTAAAAATATAAAAAATTAGAATAATAAGTGTAGTTCATAATACAAAATGGTTTTGTCTGGTTTGAGTTTCATTTCTACTTGGTTGGATTGTTGACATGTGATGAAATGGTTGGAGCGGTCAACCAGAGGAATGAGAACTTGGTTAACCCTCATTCTGGGTAACAAGCACCTGAAAAACCCACAGTTCATGGAATTACATATAAACATTTAAAAACATTCTGCTCTCTTGATGTAGCTCAAAAGCCAAGCAATTCTAATAGAAGAAGAATCAACATTATGTTATAGAAAGTCTCTATAACTATCAACGGGACAAACCTAGAATATGTCTCTAATCCTCACATTTAAAAATGTTGAAATCAGCACTTTGGGAGGCCGAGGTGGGAGGATCACGAGGTCAGGTGATTGAGACCATCCCGGCTAACACGGTGAAACCCCGTCTCTACTAAAAATACAAAAAATTAGCTGGGCGTGGTGGCGGGTGCCTGTAGTCCCAGCTACTCAGGAGGCTGAGGCAGAAGAATGGCGTGAACCCAGGAGGCGGAGCTTGCAGGGAGCCGGGATCGTGCCACTGCACTCCAGCCTGGGCGACAGAGCGAGACTCTGTCTCAAAAAAATAAATAAATAAATAAATAAATAAATGTTGAAATCAAATGAAAATGAAATAGGTACAGATTGTTTGTAATCAAAATACAAGAAGCTGTGTTACAGGATGAAAATTACTGATGTGTATACCTCATACCTAGTTTGCTGGTTGGTGGTGGTGGTGTGGGTGTGTGTATGCATGGGACAGTGGGCAGTAAGAGAAATGGGGTATAGAAAAAACTAATACAAAAATTTTAGTCCACAAAGACACAAATCATTATATGTACTAGAGTGAACTTTCCAAGGAGAAATCAAAATAGTTAAACAAGGACAGTAGATTTAAAGGCAATGCCTTCCTCATAAAATCCTACTTTCCTCTGCCCAGATTCACTGTGGCAAAAAGTAACATATTCCAGGTACTTATTTAATTGTTTTCACATGTTCCATTTATTTTTGAGAAACACACCTTTGAATTATACCTTTGAATTATACTTCTTTGTACCTTTGAATTAATGCTATTTTTATTTTTCTAGAAAAATCAAGATTTGGAGGTGTTTGTCACTGACAAATCACAAACCATGGCAACCAAGTCCTTCTTTTCCATGATCATTTTTTGGACGCTAGACAAGATAGATGCGGCACAATTTATACGAAGAAAAATGCAATATAAAATCCAGGTCATCCAAGGTGTGTGTGTGTGTGTGTGTGTGTGTGTGTGTGTGTGTGTGTGTGTGTGTAATAGAAAATTAACCTAGAAGTCAGCCTAGAAGTTACTTGAGTTCAACAACCTATCCCAAGAATGTATTGCTGCATCCATGATATTGATGGAGAGGTGTTGACTTCTCACTTCCTACTGAGTCCAGAGGAAAAAAGCGTTGTGAAATATTTGCCTTTAAAAAATTCTCTCCAGCTGTTTTAACACAAAAACGCTGTAAAAGGCTTGCATTTCTTCTAAACTGGAGAGTAAATCTTGAATTCCTCATGTCATATTTCTCTTTTTAAGTATATTCCACTTCCCAAATGCTGAAAATAACACAGCATGTCTTTCTTTTTTTTTTTTTTTTTTGAGATGGAGTCTCGCTCTGTCTCCCAGGCTGGGGTGCAGTGGTGCGATCTCAGCTCACTGCAACCTCTGCGTCCTGAGTTCAAGCGATTCTCCAGCCTCAGCCTCCCGAGTAGCTGGGATTACAGGCACACACCACCATACCCAGCTAATTTTTGTATTTTTGTAGAGATGGCATTTCGCCATGTTGGCCAGGCTGGTCTTGAACTCCTGACTCTCAGGTAATCTGCCCGCCTCAGCCTCTCAAAGTGCTGGGATTACAGGCATGAACCACCATGGCTGGCCAGCATGTCTTTTTATTCAGGAAATACACCACCAGGGATGGGGGCTTGAGAATTTTTATATTTATAAACATAAAAAATATATAATTTTTAAATTCAAATACTATGTATATTTTAAAAGAAATCTTCCTATGTGAAAAACTTCGTAGAAGATAGAGGAAATCTGCATTGTATATAAAATAAATGACTGATTCTAAGAAATAGGTTCAGCACTGTTATAGAACAGGTTTTAAACTAAAGTTAAAAAATAAAAGTATATATTCACACACATTCAAACATGAGATAGTGTGGCCTCCCCTCCCTTGTCCCACCCTGGGTCAGAGTTAAACAGATCATCTTCTCAGTGAGAAGGTGAACTCAATCATCTGTATGACAGCTCCTCACCAGAAAACCTTCAAGAGAAAAAGGCAACTTATCCCACCAAAAATTGTGGAAAAGTGGATTTCCAATATTGTAAACAGAAACATTTGATTTCCAGCCTCTCCTCTGCAGATTTTTTTCCAGCAGAAAGCCCATATGGCTCAACTTTTAATTACTTTGGCTAATGCTATATGTAGTAATTCTGTGGTGAATGCTTAAGTGTTTCATTTCTGGTTTCCATAGCAACATTACATCAGATTGCAGACAGCTGGCTCCACAGTTTTAAACCATAACAAATTGACCAAGCCAAGACACAAAACTATAGCTGCTTTAAAGAGATAGCACACCATTTGCCGGCCAGGCCACTGAATGAGGAACCTATGGGGCCCGTCTGGCACCCGGAGGAGGGTGGAGCCTCCTTCCTTCCCAGCTTCTTTTGGAACAAGTGCATCCTTGACACATCTGCAATGTTCTAATAGGAAAGACATGGAGCCAGCGTGGAGAACTTTTTATAACACAGCTACACGCTGGATGATCAGAAAAAAGGAACAAAATGAATAGCATCTGTGAGTACAAACATTTGTGTGCCGGAGCTCACTAAATGCATCCTCTCCCTGCTCCAAGTAAACCTGTCACTGCTGGTCGGTAACAGATACTTCACCGGACCCTGTAACAAACAGTTCTTGGGACTGCAGTGTGCAGAACAAATCCTTTCCAAAAGCCATATGGCACAGTTGTGCAAGCACAATGGCAATATGCTGTAATAAAGGTTAAAACCAATTTGCAAGGAGCAACTAGACCCTTTGGAGGACCGCTTGAGACCACCACGCTGATCACAGGATTACAACTGTGCCCTCTGCAGAAGCACTTTCACTCAGCTTGTTTCCCTAGCTCGAAACACACGACACGCTGTCACAATTAACACCCAGACTAAGCCCACTCATCTCCCCCAGCGCCACGTAACACCGAGAGATATTTAAACATTTCTGAAAAGCAATTTGAAACTGGAAATGTACTTGCCTGTGAAATTCACACACTGGTCTCTCTAACCTAGCGCATGATTAGACATACATACTTCAGCTTTCTAGGTCGGCTGTGTCACAGCGTTAATCTTAAACTTAAGAGAAGGAAGCCAATCAGATATAAGCTTATGAAAAGCAATGTGCAACACTGTCTGAATTCAAGTCCTCCCCAGGAAAAGCCTCCACAATTCACAGCTGAGCCATATATGCTCATTGTCTCAAATTCTCAAAACAATACTCACTATTCTCTAAAAGTTACGCATTTTCACTGGTGAAAATGCCAGGCAAAAATGCTCAGGGTTACCAGGTAGGGAAGTAAACAGGCGAAGAAGGACAAATCTAGAGGAATTTAAGAAGAAAAGAGAGAGAAACATCATAGGCAGGAGCAGCAAAAACTTTTACTTGAAGCAACAGAAAACACATTCTTTCTTTCCCATTGAACGCATTCAGTGACTTACCGGCTTCGGCATTTAGCAAGCCTAAGGGGTAATTCTGAAGACGTCCTGTACCTCCCACCCCCCTCCCCACTCGGAGAGCGTCTTCACTCTTGTAGCATCAAACTCCGCAATCTCAAAATTAAGATTAGGCACTCCTGGAACATGTCTCTCTGGAGTTACATGATCAGGCAGGCTCCACCGTCACAGCTCAGTATCCGAAGGAGAAAGGGGAAGACACTGGATTCAATTAGCTTCTTTCTGCTTGCTGACTGATTCCCCAGTCGCTTGCTAACTGCATAACTCGCAAGAAAGGCATAAGTCATCAGCTCTAAGCAAATCTCCTATTCACCACAAGGAAAAAAGGGAGTGTTGTGCATGGCCAACAATCCCTGTTTTCACTGAGGAAGGCTCCCTGACCTCCTGCTGGCCTCCAGTTCCTTAATTACTGTCTATGGAATTCCAGAGACAGAAAAAAGAACGCGAGAATCTGAGCAAATCCAGGACAAGGAGGACAAGGACTAACCCTTAAAAGTGACTGAACTTAAAAAAAGATCTCTTTTTCAGACATTCTTCTGAACACCCCCTTAAGGGAGCAGTCTCAATTGAAAATAGACACCTTCCAATGGCTATTTTTGAAATTACTGAATTAAAACTTATGATTGTGGTTTTCTCCTAGAGTTGTCACTTTCTCTCTCTCTCCCCATTCCTTTTTAAAATTTTAACAACCAGGGTAAATGTAGGATATTTCCCCTTCATTGGTGCTTCTAAAGCTCTCTTAACAAATTGTTTTAATGCCCATTTCAGAGCATCCGAGTTCTCCTGCATTCTAGAAACGTGAGCATGAGGACCGTGTCACAAGATGATTATTTAATTTTCTCAAGGACCTCAGGGGAGCCACTAGGCACATGCTGTTACTTAAAAAGAACATCATCTAAACAACACAGGACTAAAAACCCACACAAAGTCTCCATGACGTGGGCTGCAAGTCACGTTTGTCTTTTCAGGGCTAAGTTCATTCACTTGGGTAAGTCATTTATTCTCACAGCACAATGTGAGTTGCTTGTTTCTAGATGTCCCTCCTGTTGGGTGAGTCTTCATGTATAATGCTCTTTATAGGACATCACACGACATAAAATACCTAGCTACACAGGACTCAGGGATGCGTAGGAACCACTGTCCCTCCTTAAAATGGCAGAAGTTTAGAGTTGGACAGGATTCAGAGGTTACCTAAACTAAAAACGGCCAGGCACAGTGGCTCACGCCTGTAATTCCAACGGAGGCGGGCAGATCACTTGAGGCCAGGAGTTCGAGACCAGCCTGGGAAACATGGTGAAAACCCGTCTCTACTAAAACTACAAAACTTAGTCAGGCGTGGTGGCATACACCGGTAATCCCAGCTACTCAGGAGGCTGGGATAGGAGGATAAATTGAGTCCGGGAGGCAGAGGCTGCAGTGAGCCAAGATCGCCTGACTGCACTCCAGCTTGGGCGACAGAGCGAGACTCCATCTCAAACAACAACAACAACAACAACAACAACAAAAGGGAATTGGAATACGAAGCTCCCAAGTGGAGGGTCATGTTTTACCACGCACACATTGCGGGTTCTGCATCAGATCACCAGAGCTCCATCCCCTTTTCCTCGGCTCTTGTCCTGCTCTTCTTCCCTGGGCGGGCTGGCGTCTCTCACTCCTTGCCAAGAATTAAACTCCCTTCTCCCACTCTGTCTTCTGCTCAGAAGTATCTCCTCCCAACCTTTATTGAATTTCCTCTTCTTTCTCCTGCAAGGGTTCACCACACCTTCCCTACACTGCCCAATTCCCCATTTCACAAACTGATTCTCCCACAAACTCCCCTTCCCCTGCCACCATCTGACGGACCAGGTGCTTTTGCGATGTTGTACTTCCAACACTTGTATTTGTCCAAAGCTTAGCATTCCCAGGCACTGTGCTAAACATTTGCATACAGACCCCATTTCACAGCAATGGCAGGGGCAGAATCTGAGACTGTATGGTTTTGCTCCTGTGCCACTACCCTACCTCAACAAGACCTTTCTTCATCCAAGACTGACAACTATGCTGCAAAGTTATGCTCACAGTTCCTTAAAACTGAGTGTAGACATTTTCCACCAAATTCCTTCGTTACAGGATAAAAACGAAGAAAATGAGAGTGCCCCAGTGAGACTGGGGTAAAGGGAAGAGGATTAGCCCAAGGTCTCAGGGGTTAGAAAAACCTGGGTTTAATTACCAAGTTCTCTAGCAAATCACTTTACTTTTATGGGTCTTAATATTCCTGCACATAAATGTGGTATAGTAGCACTTTTCTTACGTTGTGGTTGTATTAAATACTGCGTACCTGAAATCCTTACTGAACTGGAGTTCAATAAGGACTTAATATTTTTACTATTACTATTAATATTATTATTTGAGATGGAGTTTTGCTCTGTTGCCCAGGCTGGAGTACAATGGCTTGGTCTCAGCTCACTGCAACCTCCACCTCCCGGGTTCAAGCAATCCTCCTGCCTCAGTCTCCCAAGTAGCTGGGATTACAGGCACCCGCCAGTATGCCCAGCTAATTTTTGTATTTTTAGTAGAGATGGGGTTTCACCATGTTGGCCAGGCTAGTCTCAAAACTCCTAACCTCAGATGATCTGCCTGCCTTGGCCTCCCAAAGTGCTGGGACTACAGGCGTGAGCCACCAAGCCCAGCCTTATTATTAACTCTGCAGTCTTCTATTCATAACTCACTGGAGTTCAAATAACACCTAATTTTCACAAACTGTTCTTTTAGGTGCTGTGTAAATAGCAAAGACCACTTAAAAACCCAACAACCAGGCCGGGCGTGGTGGCTCACGCCTGTAATCCCAGCACTTTGGGAGGCCGAGGTGGGCAGATCACGAGCTCAGGAGATCGAGACCATCCTGGCTAACACAGTGAAACCCCGTCTCTACTAAAAATACAGAAATTAGCTGGGCGCGGTGGCTCACACCTGTAATCCCAGCACTTTGGGAAGCCAAGGTGGGCGGATCACGAGGTCAGGAGTTCGAGACCAGCCTGAACAACATGGTGAAACCCCGTCTCTACTAAAAATACAGAAATTAGCCATGTGTGGTGGCACATGCCTGTAATCCCAGCTACCCAGGGGGCTGAAGCAGGAGAATTGCTTGAACCTGGGAGGCAGAGGTTGCAGTGAGCTGAGATCATGCCACTGCACGCCTGGGTGACAGAGCGACACTCTATCTCCAAAAAGAAAAAAGAAAAAAAAAAACAACAACAAAAAAACCCAACAACCAGCCAGGCACAGTGGCTCATGCCTGTAATCCCAGCACTTTGGGAGGCCAAGGCAGGCAGATCACTTGAGGCCAGGAGTTCAAGACCAGCCTGGCCAACATGGTGAAACATGGTCTCTACTAAAAATACAAAAATTAGTCAGGCATAGTGCACATCTGTAATCCCAGCTACTCAGGAGGCTGAGACACAAGAATCGCTTGAACCTGGGAGGCAGTGGCTGCACTGAGCCGAAATCGTGCCACTGCACTCCAGCCTGGGTGACAGAGCAAGACTCCATCTCAAAAAACAAAAACAGAAAAAACCAACAACCTTTTTACGTGTGAAAGCTTGTCATATGGCCAGCATCTGAGGCTGGTTCTGGACAGGCTGTTCAGATATAGAGAAGACTCTGAGCCAATGCAGGTTCAGATCCCCTCTGTGCCACATGGGAAGAGCCTGTGGCTGTGGGCATGTTTCTTCTCTCATTTCTAAGATAGGCAGTGAGAAGCCTCCTAGGGCTCTCTAGAGGATAAAATGAGACCTTGAATGTGAAGTCTAGAGCTTGGCAGGTAAGGAAGCCCTCGTTCCATGTGAAATACACATGAAGTTCATGCACTGATTTATCCAGATACTTTGGGGAGGGTGGCGGGAAGGATACATCCCCAGTACTTCCCCTGAGCGGCCTCTCCTCACAGCACAGGACTTGGAGAGTGTCCTAAGAGGATGGGAGAGAGAGCCGACCTTGTCCACCCCTTTTTAACCTCACTGCCACGCCTCTCAGGGAGTCATTCAGGTATTTATCAAGATACTCGATGTTGGGCCCTTTGTGAGGACGTACCATGGCTTGACTTTCAGAAAACAGGAGGCTCCCCGGGCCAGGAGCCTTGTCTGATCTCCTGCTCCTTGCATTCCTAGTGCCCACCCATAAATACTGGTGCGATCACTGTGGAATGAAGAAGTTGAGACTCCCCAGCCCTGTGGCTCTCAGCCCTGGCCATGTGTCAGAGTAAACTGGGGGATATTTGGAAGACTAGACTGAGCCAGGCCACCCTAGGAAGCTCCCTGGTGAGGGACAGATTGGGAGATAGACTTTGTGAGGGAAGGCCACTGCTGGTCCTGTTCTCTGGGTGGCGGGCTTGAACACAGTAGATGTGCAAATTTGCTGAGAAGGGACTTCAGTATTTGACTCCTATGGTGAGGAATTGGTCCTCATTAGCTCCTTGGAACAAGGTCCAAAGGCCTTATAGTGGAATATGTGACTGTGTGCGGTCAGATTCAGTTTCTGGTACATTGTGCTCCACTCTTCAGATACCACGTGGTAGAAAGGGCACCAGAGCACCCGGTCTCACCCCCTGCTTCCTTGCAGCATCTCAAACACCCCATGCCCATCACTGCCCTGATGGCTCATCTTCTGCAAACAGCTCTGCTGATTGCATCCACACCCCTAACTCCTATGCATCCTTCAAGTTTCAGTCTGCATATTGCCTCCTCTGGAAAGCTCTCCTGGCTTTGCTCCTCATCTACCTTAGACTAAAGATACTTTATCCAAGGACTTCACACATATATTGGCATTGCTAGATTCCCTAGCCCATCACTAACTGTCATGCAGACAATGTACATGACCATATTCATTTCCACATCTGTATGTTAGTAGCATTTATTGTTTCTGACTACACATGACATATATTATTAAAAATTTGGAGAATGCAAAAATGCACAAAGTAGTAAGAGAAATGACGTATCATCCCATACTCAGAAAACTTGGTAATATTTTGGTTTATGCCTTCCCACTTTTTCCCCATACACACACATATGCACATGCACACACAAAATACACCCTGATGTTTCTGTATGTTTCTTTTTTTTTTTTTTACAAGAAAGGGTTATCTTTGATCTTTACCTCCTCCAACTCCTCTAGTCACTATCAGTGTCCCCAAATCCTCCCTCAAATGCACACGCACAGTCTAAGTAGAAATAACACATTTGCCTGTAAGTGGGGACCTTCTCTGGGTCACGGCTGCCTCAAAAGATTTTCCTTTAGAGAAACCCCAGGCCCCTGGTGTGCACCGTAGCCACACTGTTTCATAGCCCATTTTTTAAAGCTGTATGTTTTGAATATTTTCGCATGTCAAGAAATAGTCAATACAATACAATGTATTAATGATGCAGTAGTATTTAGCCATCAAAGTATACCATAATTTACTGATATCATGGTCCCCCGTAATTAGACATTTGCCTGTTTCCAATTTTTCAAATAATCCTTGGATGCACACTTTGTGGTAAAATTTCTAACATGTCTAACACATTCTTTTTTTTTTTAGAAAGATGACTCGACTGTAGAATTGACGGGTAAAAGGGTGTGTCTTTAGGACTTTTGATACATATCAACAACTTGCTCTGAAAAAATGTTGTATCGTTTTAAAATCTCAGGAGCAGTTACCAACACTGAGAATTACAATATTCTTTTCCACTTAGATAAATAAATATCTATGTTTGTGCTAAACAGATATTTCCTGATTGAAATGAACAAATGAATGAATGCACTGATTCAAGGCATTAGGAAAGGCAAGGAATAGCAATAGGAGGAAGCCAGCATTCCCTGGGTTTATAAAGGTTATCATCTAGACGTCTGAGGGTAGGGACAGCCCCAAGAGAAGTTCAGAAATATGATTAATGTTAAGGTCAACCGCGACAACCGCAAGAGAAAAACACAGAGATATAGGAATTCCGATGTGGGAAGACTCATCTCTGGGTAAGGAAATTGAGGCACACTTCCGTGAGGGGAAGAGGAAACTGCCATGGGTTTAGGGATATTTCCATGTCCCTACATGAGCCTAGTCCAGTATTTACATGGCCCTGGGGCCCTACTTCTCCCACCCACCCCATCCCAACCTTAGATGCCCTCCTATCTAGACAAAGAAGAGCTCAGCTGATGTTGTTGCTTTTATAAACAGCATGTGACACCAGTCAACAGGAGCTTCCCGGCCCTCCTCTTCCCCAAGCTTGATTTCATAATCTCTCCAACTGCCTGATCTCCCTCCACGGTCCAAAAAGTGAAGCACCGAAAGTCCCTCCCTACCTCAGGGGCACTGCACTGACTCTGGGGCCGTGGCAGAGGCCTTTTGGTCACAGTCATCAGGTTAATGTGTTATTCTTCGTATTTAGAAAAAAATTAGTCTCACTGTTCAAATAAGTTAGAGTTACTTGAAAGTGTGTTTATGAGTTGCTAGAAGTAACAGTAGAAAATATGAAACACACTGTGGGTAAGTTTTTTTTTTCTTTTATCACAAAGGAGTCAGGGGAGGACTCATCTGTTTAGTAAGAAATATTTTGCTCATTAGCTGGTGACATCATTGCCCTCTGAAATTAGGAGATTTTGGTTAGCATATGGAAAAAAAAAGATGAGATTCCATTCTTCTCCCAGAGGTACAGTGGAACACTGAAATAATCTCTCTGGCAGTTTCAAAATTAACTAGTTGTTGCCAGATTTGAAGAAAGAGACGGAGGAGGAGGCGGCGGCAGAGAGAAGAAGATAATTACATGATAGTTTTATTTGGAAAAAGTATGTGAGAATTTGAGGTAATATTACCATTCCTTTGGGGCAAAGGCTTGTCAGCACTTAATTCACTTAAGAAACTGCTTTAAAATTTAACCATAAAACCAAAGGAGCAGCAAATGGATGTTATGTTCCCTAATCAACTGCAATCTATTTCTTAAACTCATGAACTTTGAATCGTTTTTAATCGCCCCCATGAGGAGAAGGGAGAAAAATACAAAATCTCAGGAGTCCTACAGCCAGATCTAGGGAGACATAAAACAAAAGTGAATCCTCCCACCCCAATTCTGCAGGTTGCCACAGAGCAGAGAATGCCTTTCCTCCTGAATGGGTGGGGGGAGAGAGTGGTAAGTAGAGGCGAGAGGACTGGCTTCTCCTTCACTCTGTAAATCTTTGGAAGACATTTCTGCCTGGGGCTTTGTCACCCTGACCATAGGTCAGAGAAACGTATTGTTTCATATTAAATAGGTGAGTTAGGAAACAAAGTGTTGGGAAGGTAATCTACAGCTCTACAGGTCCCTCTGTTCAGAGTGGGGTAGTGTTATCCAGAGCAAATCTATGGGATCAGACACACTGAAGACTAAAGCAAAACACCAAACCCACTCATTCCCAAGGGCATCCAATTCTCACATGCCATGGAAAAAGGATGATTCAGAACAGGACTGCCAAGTAGGGCAATTACATACGCATTTAAGGCGCTAGTTTCTGGAGCTGATGAAAGTGTTCATCCCAGAAGCCGTAAGTCTCCTAAGGGATTGGGTGGTGTTTGCAAAGTCACATTACTTTTATGGCATCTTAGGCTGAATGACTCATGTATCAGGCACGATGACTTCTCCGACAGGGCTGCCAAACAACCTTGTCTAGGCAAATGGCAATGTAGAAATACAGAGAACTGATGGAGCCAAATGGCAATGGAGGGAAGGTGGGACCACCAAGACCATTCCTCCAAGCCAAACTTATGCCACCAGGTCAGTGGTCATCTGTCGAAGCTGGAGGCAGGAGGGTCCAATGTTACCTCCTAGACTGACGATCTACAACCTTAACGTTAATCTCCTTCTGTTTGCAGAATAAATAAGCAAATTTACTTCAAGTTCCAAATTGAAGAAATCTAGACTAAATACCTTCAGAGAGGAATTATTTAGAGCTAGAAAGGTTCTTTGTGGTCATCCAATTGGCAAAACAATCAGGTCATGAACTCTGCTGAACACTGAACCACAGAATATTCTTCTCACAACGACTAACAAAATGAGCAAAAGCCCCCCAAGAAGAAAAAACAAACAAACAAACAAACAATAAAACACTAAAAACTAGCAAAAATATTGCGCCAAGAGCAACCAAAGAGAGAAAGCTACATAATCTAATGTACTAAACTCCATGACTAAGGTAAGAAACAAATTTCTGAGGCCCACTGGAAAAGGCCCACAACTTCTACAAAAGCCAGGCTGGCAGGAATCCACAGAATCCTTTCATGTGACTCCAAATCTGGAAGGAAACTGTGTGACCTCTTTATCTTTTTCTGACCTAACAGCAGTGGAAATGGCTACAGAAGAGCAATGAGTGAAACGATGGAAAGTCAAGTGAGGTTGTTCTTGATTGAAATACAGTCTCTAAAATTCAAAAAATGAATGAAAGGCAGAATGGCTATGTTCTACCAATTACCCCAGCTATGAACCAGGTGGCATCAATTACGATACGGCACATTCAACACAGTTTCAGGAGAGAAAAGGCAGAGTCCAGCTATCCCAATGAAGACCACATTTCACCATATATCATGGCCAGGTTGTAGCAACAACAAACATAAATGGACCACAAAATGAAGCCCTCAACTGTATCTTGAAAGGAGAAAAAAAAAAAAAATCTATTGTCAGATAGCATGGCAAACAGGTCAAAACATAACCCTCAATATCAGCACAAATGGAGAACGTGATCAGAGCCACCCAAACAGGACCAAGGACATGACAACTATACAAACAAACTACGGCAAAGAGAGGGGGAAAAGAAGAAGCATAGATAAAAACAAAAAGCCAATCTTTGCTCTCATCACTTCATCATCTCAACTCAAGGAACAGGAAGAAATTCCTAATAGTTGCTTCTCTCTATAAAATAATTTAATAAGAACGTGAATTCAATTAAATGAGACCTCAAAGACAAGATAAAAAACATAAATTATATAAATTTAAAGTTTGCAGAAATAAGGAAACAACCTATTACAGAACCAATTTATAAATAAAAATAAGTAAAGAATAGAATCTATACCCTAGAAGTCAAAATACTGAGAGAGAGAAATGCTTCATATTACTTGACCTAATTTTCTCATATTACCCAAGTTTTCCGATTTACTCAGCTCTTCATCTAGACCTCTGACTTTGCTGCTGCCTCTCCTGACACACATTTCTCCTTCTCCTGGAAAGCTCTTCCTCAGTGTCAACCACCTTCTCTGGGAAGGCTCCCAGACCCTCTTTGCTGGGGCTTGCTGGACTTTCTGTGTGCACCTATCACAATAGGCAGGAAAATCTCAATGAAGTCCACAACCACGCCATCTATTAATCTAATCCTTTTCTCAAACCCAAGCTCCCTGTGTACAAGGACTGGCACATAGTGGGTACTCAATAAATGCTTGCACATAAATAAATGAAAGAATGCTCAAGATGGCATTGTTTCAACCTACACTTTGGTTCAAATGCTCAGTGTAAGAAGAGATTTGCATCCTTTTATAAACTAATTATGTGATGCTATTAGCATAATACTAATAATAAATATTAGAGTGAACATTAGAAAGTTAGTAGTGTGGTGTGGTACAAAGAGGGAGATGAACGGCATAGAGAAGAGAATAAAAGGATATTTTGATAGAAATTATATTGTAAAAAAATTTGGTTGTGTTAAAATATTGCTTTCCAAATGATTTGTCTCATGACTGACTATCGTTCTAAGAATTTTGTTGCAGTGAGCCGAGATAGTGCCACTGCACTCCAGCTTGGGCGACAGAGTGAGACTCCATCTCCAAAAAAAAAAAAAAAAACAAAAAAAAGAATTTTGATACAATGGGTAATTGTGACAACATTCAAATGGACTCAAAACAAGTGAAGGGCAACCTATGATTCTAATAAGCAGGCTTAGGTTGGAGATGGCCCGCAGTCTAAATTCTACTTACGAATAACAATAGTGCCTGGGTATCTCCCCAACCCATCCATTAAATAAGGACCGGCGCTAGGGCAAATGATTTAACAAGGAATTGACATGTAATCAATCAGTAACATTGAACAAGTAATGGAAATCCTCTTATCCCCAACTTCCCCAGCGTTGTTCCCAAGAGCACAATAAAAAACTGGGATTGCAAACTGAAATGCCAATCTCTAAACCAAATTAGATTACAAATATCTGTACTGAAATATAATCAGCTAGCAGGGGAAATGTGGCATATCCTCTGTGGTATGTATGTATTAGGTTGGACAAAGGAAATCACCACTTTTATAGGTCAAAAGCTGTCTAGTATCTCGAGTTCCACAAGGTTCAACCAAATGAAAGAAACAGACCAAATTGTATCCGTAATCTATCTTAAATTAATTTTTTAAAAATAGGTATCCTCAGATTATATAGTATCTGGGTTATTTTGTCATTTGTTTTTATCAATGTGGCCCTTGATATGTTTTTCTTTTTCTTTTTTTTTTCTTTTTTAGAGACAGGTTCTTGCTCTGCCACCCAGGCTGGAGTGCAGTGGCATGAACACAGCTCACTACAGCCTCGTTCAGGCAATCCTCCCGCCTCAGCCCCACAAGTAGCTGGGACTACAGATGCACACTACTATGCCCAGCTAAATTTGTTTTTTTTGTTTTTTTTTTTTTGTTTGTTTGTTTTTGTAGAGATGAGGTTTCACCATGTTGGCCGGGCTGGTCTAGAACTCCTGAGCTCAGGCAATCCACCCACCTTGGCCTCCCAAAAAGCTGGGATTACAGGTGTGAGCCACCACGCCCAGCCAGCCTTTGATATGTCGAGGAAGGCCTCCAAGCAGCAAGCACCCTCAACTTCCTGAAACTGCAGAAATCAGTAATGATAAAGATGTGCCTGGTTAGTTCCCAAAGTCAAAGAGCCAAATGGGCCTGCCATGAGAGTGCCTTCCGACATAACAGGTATGGAACACACACCCACACACTCCATGAGACGACGTCATCAGCACTGTAGGGCCCTAGATTATTTCAGTACAATAACTACTTACACTTCACAGACAGTACTAAGTCCAAACATGCTTACTAAAATCATACCAGACCCACCCTTAAACCCACTTACACAATAATGCCTTCTGAAATAGAAAATAAATTGATTATGTGTTTGGTAAAAGTGTAACCAAGTATGCACTTTTACATTAAGTTTGTTCTGACAATTCTAGCCTATCTGCTGATACATGAATATAAGCCATTACTACCATGTTAATGGCATGTACAAAAATAGCACTTTTATGGGAACTCAAGTATTTTAAGAATGACAGTTGACGGGAAGGGCAGAAGATCTTCACATCAAATAACAAAGAGATGAAGTGCCTGGCCACAGATACAGAGCTAATAGGTGGGAGATTTGGATCTGAGCCCCAGGTCTGACTCAAGTCTGAGCTTAACCAGTCTCCTCTCTTGCCCACGCAGGGTGAAGGCCTGGTTTCCAGGGCCTAGTAGAGGCAACAGCTTCCTTCTTGTGTAACTTTGTGGAAACATGGTGATCTTAGGGACTCAACAAATACATGCCTGAAAACTTTGGCCCCTGTCCCAGAGAAAAGACTGGGAATGGGAGGGCAGAAGAGAAGAAGTGACAAGAAGCCACCTAAGCAATGGCTCCTGGGCAGCTTATAACCAGACGGAACAAAACGGGCATTTCTCAAAACCTCTCACTATGTATATTTTTCCAATGGACTGATTTTTCCTTTAGTCTCACCCTAAGCTGTAGATTAAAGGAATTATTACTTTTACTCTTTTAGTAAGAACTTTAATATATTCTTATTTTACTATCATTTTAGTTTCAGAATCATGGTTTTATTAAAATACAGAGTAATACTTCCTCCTATAATCTCCTACCCAGCGAAATAAAATGAAAATTTATAAGAATTATCCATAAAAATCAGAATAATCATATGAAGGTCTCAAACACATTAAAAGACTAAGATCAGTATACATTATTTTATATTTTTAAAAAATTTACTTTTTTTTTTTCTTTTTTTTGAGACAGGGTCTCGCTCTGTCACCTAGGCTGGAGTGCAGTGGTACAATCATAGCTCACTGCAGTTTCGGCCTCTTGGGCTCAAGAAATCCTCCCGACTCAGCCTTCTGAGTAGCTGGGACTACAGGCGTGTGCCACCATGCCCGGCTAACTTTTTTATTTTATGTAGATCCCATGCTGGTCTTGAACTTCTGGCCTCAAGTGATCCTCCTGCCTCAGCGTCCCAAAGTGCTGGCATTACAGGCATGGGCCACCACACCCAGCCAATAAAAGTTAATTTTAACATAGTTACATGTAGAAAGATTTTTGAAAAGGGTTCATCTACACAAGGTAATACTGCATGCATCGTATACAGAATTGCTGATACCTATCCCAAGGATACAGGGCATAAATGCCTTCTGATAAATTATTGCTATGTTTTGTTTCTTCTTTCTCCTGGTCATATTACAAGTCAAACAAGTAAACTCTTCTGTGTGAGAAATAAAGAACTGAAGAACATGAGCCTAAGACAACTATTAGAGCTTTAATAAGTAGAACCATTTTCTAGCTGTAAACCAAAAAGCATCTTGCCAATTAGAACCCTTTTAAATTTAAACCCACACACTCAGAGTTATGAAAAGATCCCTTAGGAAAAGAGATGCAGTGGAAAAAAAAGTAAACACCATTAAAAAGCAAAACGCTTATTCAGAAATGAAAGTTATTTTTATACTTGGAATCTATCCTCTCTTAAACTTCCTTATCAAACACGCCTATAATTCCAGCACTTTGGGAGGCCGAGGCAGGCGGATCACCTGAGGTCAGGAGTTCGACAACAGCCTGGCCAACATGGTGAAACCCTGTCTCTACTAAAAAATACAAAAAAAAAAAAAAAATTAGCCAGGCGTGATGGCGTGCGCCTGTAATCCCAGCTACTCTGGAGGCTGAGGCAGGAGAATCGCGTGAACCCAGGAGGTGGAGGTTGCAGAGGGCCGAGATCGTGCCACTGCACTCCAGCCTGGGTGACAGAATGAGACTCCTTCTCAAAAAATAAATGAATAATTACAAGAAGACAAAGACAGTAGAAATAAAATCCATCATTTTCTTGGGGATACTTTCACCGGACCTACAACGCCGACTGAAGTACTACAGTATGTGTCACTCTTCACATAATTTATGCATCTAATCAATATTCACTGCCATCCAAGTCAGCAAAACTATAAAAATTGTACACATTTTTTTAGATTGCTGGGAATATTTATAGGTGGGAGCAGATTTTGTAAATTCATCATATGCTGCCATTAAAGAAATCTTTGCGGTCAGACTTTTCCACATGATGAAGCTAATGATATAGGTTTATATGTTAACACCTTTGAAATGTAAAAATAAAACATCTGGTAAATTTTAACCTAGTGTCTAAAAGTTACTCTAGTAAAAAATAAAATAAAATAAAATTCAAAATAAACACAGCAAGAATAGTCAACCTTTAAAATTTTGAGTTGAGCTCACAATAGCAGATTCTATAAAAGACGACAGTGGTTATACAAGTAGAAGGATGCTGCCACTCTGCTCCAAAAAGCAGTGAAATCACAACTGCTCAGGCCACCTTATGAGTGTGTGCACTGTTCTTCCGCCATATTCTATAAAAAGGGATTACACTGTTAACCTTTTCTTGTGTCATAATGGAAATTAAGCCATTTGCCACAAGAACCACTTAAAAGGAACTTCTGCCGGTGCCCTGGCTTTCGGCACATACCAGAATTGTTATTAGCAAATTATCTTTCAGAATGTTCTATTTCGACTAGGGCTGTGACTACCTTTCCTTCCAAAACTTCGAAACTAAATCCTCTGGCTTGAAGACAATGTCTGTTATTGAGGCTGGTGAAAGGACATTGAAAACTCTAAGTAAAACCTGGCCACTGGAGAGGCACATGTTTATGGTTTACAATTTTAGAAAGTCCCAAAAAGATTTAAAAGGTGCCAACTAAAAGATCTTATAATCTGGGGATATTTTAGTTGAGACCTTGGAAGTCCTCAATCAAGGAAACATTGAAAATAGCTCCACGGCATTCTGTGTCTGTGGCCCAAAGTTTTGGACACAGTTCAACCACATGGCTCTCTCTACCTCAAACCAAATTAGTGACAAAAATGTACATATGGTTGAATGGAAGGCTATGAAGAGTGCACACATGGAGGTAAGGTGGTGTTATAAGGCCACAAGCCCACAGTTATAACATTCTTTTTTTGTTTTTGTTTTTGTTTTTTGTTTTTTTGAGACGGAGTCTTGTTCTGTCGCCAGGCTGGAGAGCAGTGGCGTGATCTCGGCTCACTGCAACCTCTACCTCCCGGGTTCAAGCGACTCTCCTGCCTCAGCCTCCTGTATAACATTCTTTGCACAAATATTTCCCAACTCTAAAACTCCCCAAAAGCAAAAGTGATCAGTTATGAAACGATGACTTGCTTTACTCACTCAAAACAACATTTCCCTAGAGGTCCTCCATCCTGGTAAGGAACTCCAGCTACAGAAACACAATTCCAGCTTTTCCTGGAACACATTTTGCTATGAAGTGAAAAATCTACTGAACGGTAAAGATGACTCTAGCCCATCTTGTGCTTTGTTGTCATGGTTGTTGCTTTCATTTTTCTTCATACATTATATATATTCTTAAAAAATTTTAAATAAGATTGCCATCAAATGACCTTTCATTTGGAAAGATCTTTCACAGCAAACATTTTTGTTAATATTCAAGTACCAGGTATAGATCACTAACTCTTACCCACCAGCTTTCTAAAAACAGAAAAACCATGATTTACAACTTACATTAGCAAAAAACTAGAAAACCCGGTAAAACAGAGATCATAATTTCTTTAAATGTCTTCTTAACTAGAAAATAAACTGAATCTTAGGGCACAAAGCTTGAGAACTCTTACAATCACCCCTCCCTGCAGGAGGCAAAGGAAAAAATAAACTTACCAAACTAAATTAAAATGAAAAATAATAAATAAATGTGCAGACATTTAATAAGAAATCGAGCTAAGCTCTCAACCAAAAATCTCTTTTAAAACTTTTAGCACTCCCAACAGAAGTTTATTATTAATGGAAAACAGCACAAAACAGATTCTTCTCTGGCAAAGGGAAATCTATTTTTCACTTCCCCTGGTAACTATCTTTAGTACTTTACACTCTTGGAAACTAGGAATGTGCATATGGATTTATTGTGAGGCAACACGCGATTATCTAATTTCAGCGATTGGGGTGGGGAAGCCTATGAAATCAATGCAAATGAAATCCTAAGGCATGACAGGCATCAATATAGGCATTGAGGTCTGGTGACAAAGGCCTTGTGATCCCTAAAACTTTCATGGCCTGGGCATTCCTGATTCGAGCCAGTGGGCTATTCACATCTCTGTATTCTAGAAAGGAATCGATAGAAAACAGAAAAGCTCCGGCTCTTGCACAAAAAATATTCAAAGCGCCTATAACCCGTGGTGGCTGAATTCTGAAATTAACTGCTCTGCCACAGAGGAAAATCTAAAATAATGAGAATGAATATTTTGGATGGGGTTTCTGGCCAACTCTTCATAAAAATGCAGAACAGGCTAAAGCCAGAGTAAGAGGGGCAAGGGTCATATATATACCTTAGGATTACAATCAAGTTCAAGCAAACTTCAGTGGTGATGGTGGTGGGTTGTAGCTCTGAACAGCATGACCAGAGGTGGGCATGGGTGTTGGCAGAAAGTCAGCTAGCAAAATACACAGAGTAAATCAACTGCTTCAAAAAACTGCATTGCTGACTAGCCTATCATCACCTACGCCTCTCAGCCAAAAGAGAAGTCACTCTTCAGAACTTCTGGAAGACCGTGCTCTGAGAGGAGGAAGCATATGGTATTTCTGGCCCTAGGTCTAACTAAGACAGGCTGAATTTATTTGCGGGCCATCTATGAAGAAATAGTTTGGTAAGAAGTTAGTAATGCAAATGTGTATATGGCATCTCAAATCTGTGTGCATACACGAGTGTGATTTTATTTATTTATTTATTTATTTATTTATTTATTTATTTATTTATTTATATTTTATGAGACAGAGTCTTGCTCTATTGCCCAGGCTGGAGTGCAGTCCTGTGATCTTGGCTCACTGCAACCTCCGCCTCCTGGGTTCAAAAGATTTCCTTGCCTCAGCCTCCCAAGTAGCTGGGACTATAGGCACAGACCACCACATCTGGCTAATTTTCTATTGTATTTTTGTAGAGACCGGGTTTCACCATGTTGGCCTGGATGGTCTTGAACTCCTGACCTCAGGTAATCCGCCTGCCTCAGCCTCCCAAAGTGCTGGGATTACAGGTGTGAGCCACTGTGCCCTGCCACATGGATGTGATTTTAACCTCTGCTCTACAGCATAAACTGTCAGAAAAGGACCTTTCTCTTTCTCCTTTACTTTTATAACTCAAACATCTAGCACAATGCCTGCTATATAGCAAGGGCTCCATAAACGTCTCCCAAATGAATAAAGAAATGCTGAAGAGAATGAAATGTTCCAACTATTAAGAAGAACCCATTTCATTCTCACAATTTATATCTAGCTAATGGTTCTGACCAGCCCTCTGAAAGGGGTCTCATAAACCAATGCTTAATAATGCTTTCTTAGCAGCTTGTTCTAAATGCTTGATAATACTTATATTAACTTTTTCCTAAACAAAACAAGCTTCTCTCTTTGAAGTCTAAGTGTGTGAGGTTTTACTACAGTCCTGTTTCTCTGAATGGACAAAGTCTTCTAACCTCTCCCTTGACTCAGATGCTATTAATCAGGGCAGTATACAGTGGGTCTGATACTAAGGGACCCGGTATGGACAACTGGGTCTTTGTTTTCTCCCCCAAGTTGGGTTTGAATCAGTCCTGAGTTACTGTATTTATTTCTCATGATCCTTTAGGTTCGTGATTTACATCTATATTATGTTAGACTTCAGGACTTGAGGATTAGAGACCCAAAAAGGCACATTGATAACCATGGACACGGCTCTTTTGATTACCTCATCGTCCCGGGACACACTGCTGGCTGGCCTATGACACATTTATTATTATAAACGGTAATGTCTCAGTCACTTTCACACAAAAGTAAACCAGGCAGGGCTTTCAGATTCATAATCCTTTGTTTTTTAGCTGCAGTGGAAATCTGGTGCTTGATTCAGGAAATTGGGAGATGATGGGAGGATTATATTTATTTCTGATAAACTGCCATTTGTTGCTTAGATAGAAAAAAAGGTAAAGACTGAATCTGTAGTTGCAAGACATAAAACATGCTCTTAAGGCAGCCAGGAAGAATGAATGTTCAGGCCAGGTGCGGTGGCTCACGCCTGTAATCCCAGTACTTTGGTAGGCCGAGGCGGGTGAATCACCTGAGGTCAGAGGTTCGAGACCAACCTGGTCAACATGGTGAAACCCCATCTCTACTAAAAATAGAAAAATTAGCTTGGCGTCGTGGCGCATGCCTATAATCCCAGCTAATCGGGACACTGAGGCAGGACAATTGCTTGAACCCAGGAGGCAGAAGTTGCAGTGAGCCGAGATCATGCCGCTGCACTCCAGCCTGAGCGACGGAGTGAGACTCCGTCTCAACAACAACAACAAAAAAGAATGAATGTTCAAATACAATGCTCTTCTTGAAATATTTCTATAGGAGCTGGACATTGGAGAGACAAAGAATACAGTCTTTCTTGCCCAAGGGGGTCACTATTTCCAAGGAGGCTGAAATATGTACAACCAATTTTGATATTCTAGGATAATTCTTTAAGTTTGATCTATAAAGCCAGTTTAACAAAAGCACATAATAGGTAGCAATAAATACGCTTGAGGACGGGAAGGAAAGTTTCAGAGAGCAAGGAACAGTTGGACTCCACCTTGAAAAACTCAGATTTTTACCAGGAAAATTTTGGAGGAAAACATTTTAGATAAAGAAAATTATGTGAGTTAAAGGGCAGAAGAATGAAAAATACAAGGTTTGTTCAGTCATGCATATGGGGTCCAATATGTCTGGTGTATAGGCTATTGGGTGTGGAGATAGAATATGAGATTTAAGAAATTGATTAAAGCCAGATCACATAGAATTTTAAGTGTGCCAAGAAGGGTGGAATTTATCTTATAGAAATGGAAAACCATCAGCGTTTTCAAAACATAACTGCAAGAACAGAGGGATGTTTTACAAAGATGACTGGTTGTATGGAACATAGATAGGAAAAGACAAGAGACTGAAGACAGGGAGATGGGGTAGTTTCCAAATTTTAAGGATGAGATAACCTAAAAAACAAAACACAACTATATAATACGTGAAAAGAGGTAATTCCTTCTGTTTCTGCTCCACACATTGTGAAGATGGCACCCTACAATGTTTGTATGAGGCCAGGCGCAGTGGCTCATGCCTGTAATCTCAGCATTTTGGGAGCCCGAGGTGGGTGGATCACAAGGTCAGGAGTTCGAGACCAGCCTGGCCAATATGGTGAAACCCTGTCTCTACTAAAAAATACAAAACTTAGCTGAGTGCGGGAGTGCACACCTTGAGTCCTAACTACTCGGGAGGCTGAGGCAGGAGAATCACTGGAACCTGGGAGGTGGAGGTTGCAGTGAGCTGAGATCGCGCCACTGTACTCCAGCCTGGGTGACAGAGCAATACTCTTATCAAAAAAAAAAGCCTATATGAAATTCTGGAGCCTTCATTCCTATCATCCCTATGGAACTTGTAGAATAAGAAGCACTGTTTTGGTCATATTGAAACAGTGTGAATAATACAAGGTACGTAAGATGGAAAGGAAAAAGTTAAATTATTATTATTATTATTATTATTTTTTGCAGAAGACATGATCTTGTTTTCTTGTTTTTTTTTTTTTTTTTTTTAAAGACAGGATGGAGTGCAGTGGTACAATCACAGCTTACTGCAGCCTTGGCCTTCTGGGCTCAAGCAATCCTCCCACCTCAGCCTCCTGAAGACATGATCTTATATATAGAAAACCCTAACACTATACACACACACACACACACACACACACACACACACACAGCCTATATAGCTAATAAATTCAGCAAAGTGACAGGATAGAATATCAATGCATGAAAATCCACTGCATTTTTATACACTAGCAATGAACAATTTGAAAAAAATTTAAAAAGCATTGTCACTTACAATAACATCAAAAAGAATAAAATACTTAGAAATAAACTTAATTAAGGAAGCAAGACTTATATACTGAAAACTGCAAAACACTGCTGAAAGAAATTAATGAAGACATAAATAAATGGAAAGATACCCTATGTTCATTGACTGGAAGATTTCGTATAGTTAAAATGATATTACCCAAGTCAATCTAAAGATTCAATGCAATCCCTATCAATATCCCAACGATATATTTTTCAAAAATAGAAAAACTCAAACTAAGATTAATGTGGAATCTCAAGGAACCTTTAAATAGCCAAAACAACCTTAAAAAACTAGAACAAAATCGGAGGTGTCATACTTCCTAATTTCAAAACTTACTATAAAGCTATGGTAATCAAAACAGCATTGTACTAGCAAAATGACAGAGATAGTCCAATGGAATAAAATAGAGAGCCCAGAAATACATCATCACATATATGATCAATCAATTTTCAAAAAGTATGCCATGACCATAAAATGAGGAAAGGACAGTCTTTTCAACAAATGGTTCTGGAAAAACTGGATATCCACATGCAAATGAATGAAGTTGGACCCATATATTTCATCATATACAAATATTAACTCAAAACAGGTCAAAAACCTAAACTTAAAGGCTAAAACTATGAAACCCTCAGAAAAAACCAGAGGGCAACATCTTCATGATATTAGATTTGGCAATGATTTTTTGGATATGACACCAAAAGCACAGGCAACAAAAAAACAAATAGACACACTAGATTTCAAAATTTAAAAGTGTGTGCATCAAGGACACTATCAAGAGAGGTAAAAGGCATCCCACAGAGTGGGAGGAAATATTTACAAATCACATATCTGATAAGGGATTAATATCCAGAAAATAGAAAGAACCCCTGCAAGCTAACAACAGCAGCAAAACAACATAACTGAAGACCAGGCAAAAGACTCAGACATTTCTACAAAGATGATACACAAATGGCCAATGAACATGTGAAAGATGCTTGAGGGAAATGCAAATCAAAATCACGAGATACCATTTCACACCATTAGGATAATTATTATCAAAAAAGTAAAACAACAAGTGTTGATGAGAAAGGCAAGAATTTGGAACTTTTGTACATTGTTGGCAGGAAGGTAAAACGATACAGCTACTGTGAGAAAACATATGGCGGTTCCTCAAAAAGGTAAATACAGAATTACTACATGATCCAGAAATTCTACCCCTAGGTATGTGCTAGGTATGTGCAAAAGAACTGAAAGCAGAGACTCAGAGATACTTGTACACCAGTGTTCAGAGCAGCATTGTTCATAATGGCTAAAAGCTGGAAGCAACCTAAGTGTCCATTAACAGATGAATGGATAAACAAAATGTGGTATACACATAGAGTGGAATATTATTTATCCATAAAAAGGGATGAAGTTCTGATACATGCTGCAGCGTGGATGAACCCTGAAAGAATTATGCTAGTGAAATAAACCAGACACACAAAGACAAATATTGTATAATTCCACTTACATGAGCTATTGAGAGGTGTCAAATTCACAGGGGCAGAAAGTAGAACGGTGGCTGCCAGGGGCAGGGTGTGTGTGGAGGTGGGTGAGGCGGGGGCGTAGGGAGAGTTATTGTTTAATTGGAACAGAGTTTCGGTTTGAAATGATGAAGAACTTCTGGAAGTAAATTATGATGCTGGTTGCACAGCAATGTGAATGTACTTAATGATCAATATCATTAACAGTACCAGTATCACTGAACACTTTAAAATAGCTGATATGGTAAATGTCATCTTATGTATACTTTACTGCAATTAAAAAAAAAAAAAACAAAACCCCAGCATGATAACACTATTTTGACTGTAGATGAGTCTCTGTCAGGTAGAGAAAATAAGCAATCTATATGAACAGACACCTCTTTGCAGACCCAGGTGCGAGTCGGAAGTTTCGAAAAGAAATACAAAGACTAAAATGGTGAAGACTGTCCCTTATCGGCGTAGGTGATCAAGATGTCAAAGACATGATAAACTCACATTGCAGTTTGATGAGCCATCAAACGTTGGGTAAGAACCATCTGGCCAGTCAGCAGGGTCCAGGGCAGCCGACTGCCGGTGCTGGGCCTCGTATTCCTTGAGCTGTAACAAGAAGAAATGGATACTGAAATGGAAAGAATGGCCAGACACTGGCCAGACCTTTTACAGGGAAATGACTCAAATAATACATCTAGGTTCCTGGTTCATAATCTTGTGCTCACGCAGCACAGAGATCACTTTGGGTACCTTCTTCATGCCAGTGTTGGTAACTAAGTACCAGCCAAAGACACCTTTCCCAAAACCAAGAGGAAGACAAGTACCCTGCCCTATGGGTTTTCATCTAAGTCAAATCAACAGGCAAAATGGACTCTTTGTATCCTGTGTTCCAGAAAGAATTTTCACTTTCCCCCTCCAACATCAAAACTTCTGTTTCCTCAGCCTGATTATAAAGAAATTGTCTGTAATTTGGCCTCTGAATTACCTTTCCAAGTGTGTAAGTCAAAAACATGCATGCCCTTTTTAGGAAGAGAAAATGACAGACTACAGACATTTTAGTGAAATGGGGTCAAACCCTGAAACATACACATATATATATATATATATGTGTGTGTGTGTGTGTGTGTATATATATGTGTTATATATATATATTTGTTTTTTACATATATATAAAACAAATATATATAACAAATATATATATAAAAACATATATATAAGCAAATACATATATATATATATATATATATATATATATATATATATATATATATATATATATATATTTGTTGTTGTTGTTGAGACAGGGTCTCTACTCTGTCACCCAGGCTACAATGCAGTGGTGCAATCATGGCTCACTGCAGATTTGACCTCCCAGGCTCAAGCGATCCCACCCCAGCATCCCGGGTAGCTTGGACTACAGGCATGCACCACCATGCCCACCTAATTTTTGTATTTTTTTTTTTTTTTTGTAGAGATGGGGTTTTGCCATGTTGCCCAGGCTGGTCTCAAAATCCTAAGCTCAAGTGTTCCACCCCCTCAGCCTCCCAAAATGCTGGGGTTACAGGTGTGAGCCACCATACCCGACCCTGAAACAGATTTTTAACAATCACATGTTTGTCTTGTTCAAAATGGCTTCAAGTTGCTAGTCCCATGTTATCACCTAACAAACGTGATGGGGTTATTGGAGACCTTTGAGGATGGTCTCTCTATTGAGATCTTAGAGATATTAAAAGTTTAGGTTCAGAAACAAGGTTTCTAGTTTTTGAAAAACACAGAAAGACAATTGAAATCCTATAGCAGGCCAGGCGCAGTAGCTCACACCTGTAATCCCAGAACCTTGGGAGGCCAAGAGAGGTGGATCACCTGAGGTCAGGAGTTCGAGACCAGCCTGGCCAAGATGATGAAACCCCATCTCTACTAAAAACACAAAAATTAGCTGGGCTTGGTGGCACATGCCTGTAATCCCAGCTACTCAGGAGGCTGAGGCAGGAGAATCGCTTGAACCTGGGAGGCAGAGGTTGCGGTGAGCCGAGATCGCACCACTGCACTCCAGCCCGGGCGACAAGAGCAAAACTCCGAGGAAAGAAAGAAAGGAAAGAAAGGCTATAGCAAAGTGAGCAGATTTACTTTTAAAAATTTTTTATAATGTCTTTTACTATACTTCCCAAATAAGTGAGCAAATTTAACTTAGCAAGATGAGATCTTTCAGAATGGCATATGTGAGAGAGTGTTACACAGAAATTGAGCTCTGGGGTTCAAAACAATTGTCACTGCATTCAAACCCTATTACAAAGCAGTGTGCACATATGAATTTAAGACAGTGATCAAATCATGTTCCATGTGCCAAGCAACTTAAAAACAGAAATAATTGAACCTGCCTGCCCACGTGATGGTGACTGGACAATCCCGAAGCCCTGGAGCTTGAGGATGTGGTAGCGCCACTACAATGACAGTTATTGCTCCAGGAAAAAGCCACTTTCACAACTGTGATTTCAACCTGCGAAATTCTTTTCTGCATGTATGTGGGAGGAGGTAGGCAGTATTGATTATTGAGTAAGAGCTTGAATGCAGAACCAAATACCAGCTGGGAGGCCTGAGGACAAATTATTTAACCCCTCTATGTTTCGGTTCCTCCACCTGGAAAACAGGCATGACGATAAATCTGTCTTACAGAGCTGTTACCAGAATTAACTATGATAATGCAGCAAAACTCTCAGCACACTGTATCAAAGCAATAGAGTTAGTATAATACTATTATTATTACCATTGTGCTTTCAGAGAAAAGAAAGCTCAAAGTTCACATTAACTTGACATGTTTAAACTTTTGGGTATTAGAGGTATTAATCACTTTAATATTTCCATTACATTAGGGACACTTGGATTGTTCCAGTCTTTACATTATGTTATACACTAGGATGTTCTCTCCATTTTGATATATTGGCCTGTGAAATGCTACATTCTCCCTGTATGATTGAGAGTATCTGCCCGTTGGAAAATGGGATTATCATGAGATTATTATGTCTTCAGGTCTCTAGTCCATGTTTATATCCAACCTTAGCTGCATCTCCTAGGAGCCACTAAATAACTTTCAGCTTTAAGGAAAACAGGTACAAATTTCTAACTAGTCAATCATATATGACGATTTTTTTTTCCTGCTGTATGCTCATCTCTGCTATCTACTTTGGGGCCTAAAACTATGTGTGCTCTTCTGAAAGAGATTTTAATTCTGTGCCCTACCCAAACTTTGCTACTTAACTGGTTTTTTGGTTTGTTTTCTGTAACAGGGTCTCGCTCTGTTGTCCAGGCTGGAGTGCAGTAGTGCAATCACGGCTCATTGCAACCTTGATCTCCCTGATTCAAGCAATCCTCCCATCTCAGCCTCCCGAGTAGCTGGGACTACAGGGGCATGGCACCACATCCAGCTAATTTTTTTGTATTTTTTGTAGAGATGAGGTTTCATCATGATGCCCAGGTTGGTGTCGAACTCCTGGGCTCAAGTGATCCACCTGCCTTGGCCTCTCAAAGTGCTGAGATTAGAGGTGTGAGCCGCCGCACCTGGCAACTGTTTTTTTTAATTATCCTAATTACACAACTCTAAGTGTTTTAAAGTTACAAAACAAGCTCTCTATTTTTTTTTTAAGTGCACTGCACAGGAAAAAAAAAAACCCATGTAATTACACAGGTTATTACATGGATAATTACCTGTTATAATTACATTTTTATATTCCACTTTGGTTCGAGAAGTTTTGGTTTAATTATAATTTCATGAAGGCATGACCATTTGTAATTTCATTAAAGAATGTATATTAAAGCAAATCTGTAGTGTTTTACATTAATTCCAGGAGTTATAAAATAATGACATTTTAAGGTGTGTGTGTGTGTCTTAAGCAAAAACATTCCCTCACATCCTGTGTTCCCAAATCTCATTGTTTTCTCACAGTTGAAGTCCATGACATGATTTTTTTAGAATGATGGCCATCTTTAAAAGAGTAATGCTTATTCCATCTTGGAGACCTTTAGGGAGAGATATATCATAATGTTCCAATTTCTACTAGTACTTACTATAAAGAGCATTTACATTATATTAAACCGAAATCCACTCCAGCTGCTTTTTAAATTCATTTCTTTCTAATCTGTCCTCAGTAGAGATTTTAAAAAACAAACAAACAATCAAACATTCTCCAGGACATCCGAAATATGTACTCTTTAACAACCCTCAGGCACTTGAAGACTGTGATTAAGTTCTTTTCTGCTTCTTTTGAGATAAATCCTTTCCAACTTCTCCCCATGAGATCAATTTTTTAAAAACCTCCTATGGACTCTATATGTGTCCAAATCTCTGTGATTTGATGCACAGTCGCTTTTATAAGGAAATGACTCAACAATACATCTAGGTTCCTGGTTCATAATCTTGTGCTCTGGTATACCAGATGCCCAGATTACCTTAATGACTTTATAAGAATATCCTATAGGTATAAATTCACATACCCTGCTCTAGAGAACATGACTAAAAGAAGCTGTCTCCACAAAGATATCTAGATGGCTGCTCCCCATCCCCAATCAGCTTTCAGACATCTCATCCCTGGCATGACAAACTCTACAATGCCATTCACCCTCCAGGGCTCCCCACTCCCTTTGGAATCAGGCTGAGTGAGGCTAGACTCCTCCTGAAATCACATCTCTGTCCAACTTCATCCTTCTCCCTCACTTAGAGGTTTCTCTTAAAAGCTTTCTTTCAACAGGCCACTTGCACAATGCTATATATAGTTTGGATGTCTCTTTCCCCAAACCTTATACTGAAATTGAATTCCAATATTGGGGATGGAGGCCTAAAGAGAGGTGTTTGGGGCCATGAGGGAGGATCCCTTAAGAATAGTTTAATACCCTGGGGAGGGGTGGGGAAGGTGATTTCTCAGTCTATTTGTTCCCCAAATAGCAGCTGTTATAAAAGAGCCAGGCACCTCCCCTCTCCCTCTTGTTTCTTCTCACCAAGTGATCTCTGCACACACACTGCCTTCCACCATAAGTGGAAGCAGCCTGAGGTTTTCACTAGATGACCAATCTCTCGGCAGTAGAATCATGAGCCAAATAAACCTCCTTTCTTTATAAGTTACCCTGTCTCAGGTATTCCTTTATAGCAACACTAAATAGACTAAGATACACAAGAGTCCCTATCTCAGGCTGTGCTTCCAGGGAATCAGATGTATGACACCTGAATTAAGAAAAGTTTGAACCAGGCACGGTGGCTCACGCCTGTAATCCCACCACTTTGGGAGGCTGAGGCAGGTGGATCACTTGAGGTCAGGAGTTCGAGACCAGCCTGGCCAACATGGTGAAACCCTGTCTCTACTAAAAATACAAAAATTAGCTGGGCGTTGTGGCACGTGCCTGTAGTCCCAGCTACTTGGGAGGCTGAGGCAGGAGAATTGCTTGAACCTGGGAGGTGGAGGTTGCAGTGAGCCAAGATCGCGCCACTGCACTCTAGCCTGGGCGACAGAGCAAGACTCTCTCTCAAAAAAAAAAAAAAAAAATTAGCCAGGTGTGGTGGCACATGCCTAGAGTCTAAGCTACTAAGGAAGCTGAGGCATGAGAACTGCTTGAGCCTGGAAGGTCGAGGCTGCAGTGAACCATTATCACGCCACTGCACTCTAGCATGGGCTACAGAGCAAGATCCTACCTCGAAAAAAAAAAAAAAGTTCACCATGCCAAAACATCAGTGACAGTCAATGACAAACATTAAGTGCTCTTTGCTTCATCTCCAAAGGACTTTATTTCTGACTTTCACACAGATATGGTCTTGTTGGACTCACATACATACATTATCAGATCAATGTGTAATACTTATTGATTAGATCACATTGACTTGAGCAGTCTTTAGTATAAATAATTATTTTTAAGGAAATGTGATTATTAAATCACGGTCATAGATCTCTCTCAATTTCATATAGACAGTGCTTCCAGTTAAAATGGCAAAGGACATATTTTTCTACAATATCACTCATCAATGCTGAGTATTATCATTCCAATACATTTACTACTATTCTTTTTTATCCAAGGCTTTAAACATGAGTGTATTCCCTTCCCTCTTATCTTCCACCCTCCAACAAACAAATTACTCACATAAATGAATAACCTATAGCTTCCAAGTATGGGCTTTCTACATCTTATGGAATTAGTAAAAGATTGAATGTCCTGAACTTACTTGCCAAGAGCTATGTAAGCCCTTAAAATTGGTACAGCCGCACCTCATTTTACTGAGCTTCACTTCACTGCACATCACAGAAACTGCATTTTACAAACTGAAGGTTTGTGGCAGCCCTGCATCGAACGAGTTTATCAGTGCCATTTTTCTAACAGCACAGGCTCACTCTGAGTCCCTGTTGTCACATTTTGGCAATTCCTACAGTATTTCAAACTTTTTCATTCTTATTACATCTGTTATGGTGACCTGTGATCCGTGACCTTGGATGTTAATATTGTAATTGTTTTGGGGAGCCATGAACCTAAACATATAAGATAGTGAACTTAATGGATAAATATGTGTGTTCTGACGGCTCCACTGACCGGCCATTCTCCCATCTCTCTCCCTCCTGCTCAAGCCTCCCCATTTCCTGAGACACAACATATTTAAATTAGGCCAATTAATAACCCTGCAATCGCCTCTGTGCCTTAAATTGTAAGGAAGAGTAGCATGCTTCTCACTTTAAATCAAAAGCTAGGAATGATTAAGCTTAGTGAGGAGGGCACGTTGAAAGCCAGGGTAAGCTAAAAGCGAGGCCTTTTGCATCCAACAGTTAAGTTGGGAATGCAAAGGAAAAGTTCTCAAAGGAAACGAAAAGTGCTACTCCACTGGACACACAAATGATAAGAAAATGGAACAGCCTTATTGCTGACATGGAGAAAGTTTGAATGGTCTGCGTAGAAGATCAGAACAGCCACAACACTCTCGTAAGCCAACGCCGAATCCAGAGCAAGGCCCTAACTCTTTTCAGTTCTATGAAGAGATAAGGAGGTGCGTCTTATATTAAATCCAGAAACTATTTTTTTGAGAACACCAACAAATTTATGTGACTCACTTTACTGCAATATTCCCTTTACTGCAGTGGTCTGATGGCAAACCTGCAATACCTCTGAGGTATCCCAGTACACAGAAATTGTTATTTAAAATCTGCCGATGACCTAGATCTCCCTAAGCAACATTTTTACTAATGAGCTCGACTTCCTTAAAGCATATGTGTTAATTATCCATCATAAAGCTATTAGAAAATGTCTGTTAATGCCATTAGATGGGATGAAAGCATTCAGTAAATAAAATATCGAAATCCTAACTTAAGCTATCTTTTAAAATTACACTAAAAAAGACAGTACACTGAGGTTTGTTTTGTAAATTTCATTCTTTTCCAGTGATTTTTCAGCTTACGGTAATGTTTCACATATTAGTTCTTTGTAGCCTTTTTCATTTTGATCTTCATTTGTATGTGATAACTGGGTTTTTAGGGGTGTGATGAACCACGGTTTTATAATTTACAGTGGGAAAATATCCATCAATGAAATCAAATTCATACAAATGAAACAGAGTGGACCAAACTGTCTTGATCTGAACATGGGCAAAATTTTTCCCAATATGATGACGCCCGCCTCCAAGACCATCTTCTCTCCTGTTGAGATGTCCTGTAATCACTGATCAGGATCCACAAGCTCCACCCAAGTGTCTTGAAATCCTTGATTGACAGTGAGAGATAAACCCATTTGGTGGCCTGCAGGAATGGTACGTCCTATCACACCCTCTGAGGCAGTTTAGCCATTCTCAATATAGTCAATACAGGAAGTCTAAGTCTTAACTTTCTCTGTACGGTGATTAAATAAGTTTCAATCTTTCTTTTTTTTTTTTTTTTTTTAAGATGGAGTTTTGCTCTGTTTGCCCAGGCTAGAGTGCAATGGTGCGATCTCGGCTCACTGCAACCTCTGCCTCCGCGATTCTCCTGCCTCAGCTTCCCATGTAGCTGGGATTACACGTGCGTGCCACCACGTCTGGCTAATTTTGTATTTTTATTAGAGACGGGGTTTCATCATGTTGGCCAGACTGGTCTTGAACTTCTAACCTCATCAGGTGATCTGCCTGCCTCGGCCTCCTAAATTGCTGGGGAGTTTCAATCTTGAGCAGGTCATAAGTTAAAGAAGGTAGATCCTCTCCACGGACAGTTTTCTGCTTCAAATAACATTTTTCATGAAGTGTTTCATCTCTGGCTACAAAGCAGCTCATTTAGGCACCAGTAGTTGAGGATGTATGCTGCCCTGAGAACAGTCTAATAAGCAGCCCTGTGACTTCCTCATCTGCCAACAGGTGCTCACCCTTGTCTGTAGTATCCAGTAAAGTTTGGAGAATGCCTTGGATTTTTTCTTCTGGTTTCTGTGTTTCTGGGTTGCCTTACAGACAATAGTTGTGCTCTCAATGAGCTTTGTAGCTGCTTCTGCAACCACGCAGAGGCAGCCAACGTGGCCGCAGCCAGGCCAAAGGCTTGAAGCCGCCACTCACATCTGCGCACAGCTGTGCCACCTCTTACTGAGTTGACTTCTGATTTCCTTTCCATGTAAACCATGGCTAGCTATCAAATTATGAGCTCAGAAAGAGCTTCACACAATTTTTTTCTCTGCTTTCTCCCCAGCTTGAAAGTATTCCTTTCTTTTTCAGTTATAGAAACTTGCTGTCTAAAGTGGGCTACTTTAAGGCTACTTTTTAACATTTTCTCTTGCCCCAAGAACGCTGGATTAGGCATGTCACATTCAACTCCCTTCCCAAACGCAGGTGTCCTGAGATGACTGTAGACATCTTCTGCATCTTTGGTTTTACTATTAAAAAGTGGTGCAGTCGGCTGGACGCAGTGGCTCAGGCCTATAATCCTAGCACTTTGGGAGACCAAGGCAGGTGGATCACATGAGGTCAGGAGTTTGAGACCACACTGGCCAACATGGTAAAACCCCATCTCTACTAAAAATACAAAAATTAGCCGGGCGTGGTGGCAGGCGCCTATAATCCCAGCTACTTGGGAGGCTGAGGCAGGAGAATCGCTTGAACCCAGGAGGTGGAGGCTGCAGTGAGCCAAGATCATGCTACTTCACTCCAGCCTGGCTGAAAGGGCAAAACTCCGTCTCAAAAAAAAAAAAAAAAAAAAAGTAGTGCAGTCTCATCTCTCTCCAGGAGTAAATGTCTTGCTCACCACAGAAAAACTACATACAGGTCCATACTTCTCATATGCCCATACTTCTCATATGCACTTTCTAGAAATTCAATTTAACTTTTCCCAAATGTATGGCATGCCCAAGGAATGTAATGGGAGAGAAAACATATGATGAGCATTTTGCACCAGCTGGCAGCTAGGCCAGGTGGTTACTATTGTGGCAAAGCAGACCAGGCTGAGAATGAAGGCGCAGGAGATGAGCAGCATGGACAGGAGGCTGTCACTTTCACCTGCCACCCACTCCACCAGCTGCCCCAGCGCCGACCTGCTCATCTGCACTAAGCCCAGCATTCCAATTATAATCTTTTAGTTATTTTTAAATGTACAATATATTATTGTTGACTGTAGTCACCCTGTTGTGCTAGCAAATCCTAGATGTTATTCATTCTTTCTAACTATACTTTCGTACCCATTAACCATCCATACTTCCCCTCACCTCCTCACTACCATCCCCAGGCTCTGGTAACCATCATTCTACTCTCTATCTCCATCAGTTCAATTGTTTTAATTTTTACCTCCCACAAATGAGTGAGAACTTGTGCAGTTTGACTTTCTGTGCCTGGATTATTTCACTTAATATAATGTCCTCCAATTCTATCCATGTTGTTGTAAATGACAGAGACTCATTCTTTTTTATGGCTGGGTAGTGTTCCACCGTGTATATGTACCACATTTTCTTTATCCATTCATCTGTTGATGGACACTTAGGTTGCTTCCAAGTCTTGGCGATCGTCAACAGCACTGCAATAAACATGAGAGTGCAGATAGCTCTATGCTTACTTCCCTTCTTTTGGGTAGATACTAGCAGTGGGATTGCTGCATCATATGGTAGTTCTATTTTTTTGTATTGTGAGGAACCTCCATACTGTTCTCCATAGTGGCTGTAATAATTTACATTCCCATCAACAATATATGAGGGTCCCCCTTTCTCCATATCCTTAACAGCATTTGTTATTGCCTGTCTTTTGGATAAAAGCCATTTTAGGCCAGGCACAGTGACTCATGCCCGTAATCACAACACTTTGGGAGGCCGAGGCGGGTGGATCACCTGAGGTCAGGAGTTCGAGACCAGCCTGGCCAACATGGTGAAACACTGTCTCTACTAAAAATACAAAAATTAGCCAGGCATGGTGGTGGGACCTGTAATCCCAGCTTCTCGGGAGGCTGAGGCAGGAGAATTGCTGGAACCTGGGAGGTGGAGGTTGCACTGATCCAAGATTGCACCATTGCACTCCAACCTGGGCGACAGAGCAAGACTCCATCTCAAAAAAAAAAAAAAAAAAAAAAATTAGCCAGGTGTGGTGGCAGGCACCTGTGATCCCAGCTATTCGGGACGCCGATGCAGGAGAATCACTTGAACCCAGGAGGCGGAGGTCGCAGTGAGCCGAGATCTCGCCACTGCATTCCAGCCTGGGCGACAGAGTGAGACTCCATCCCACAAAGCCATTTTAATTGGGGTGAGATGATATCTTACTGTAGTTTTGATTTGCATGTCTCTGATGACCAATAATGTTGAGCACCTTTTCACATGTCTGTTTTCCCTTTGTCTTCTTCTGAGAAATGTCTATTCAGATACTTTCTCTATTTTTTAAATTAGATTATTGGATTTTTTTTCCTATTGAGTTGTTTGAGTTCCACATATATTGTTTATTAATCCTTTGTCAGACGGTTAGTTTGCAAATATTTTCTCCCAGTATGTGGGTTGTCTTTTCACTTTGCCTATTGCTTTGTTTGCTGTGCAGAAGCATTTTAACATGATGTAATCCCATTTGTCCATTTTTGTTTTAGCTGCCTGTACTTTTAGGATATCACTCAAGAAATTTTTGCCCAGTCCGGTGTCCTGGAGAATTTCCTCAATGTTTTCCTTTTACTAGTTTCATAGTTGAGTCTTAAAGATTTGTTTTTAATCCATTTTGATTAGATTTTTCTATATGGCAAGAGAGAGGGGTCTAGTTTCATTCTTCTGCCTATGAATATCCAATTTTCCCAGCACCATTTATTGAAGAGATTGTTCTTTCCCCATTGTATATTCTTGGCACCTTTGTTGAAAGTGAGTTCACTGCAGATGCACGGGTTTATTTCCGGGCTCTCTATTCTATTCCATTGGTCTATATGTCTGTTTTTATGCCAGTACCATGCTGTTTTGGTTACTACAGCTCCGTAGTATAGATTTGAAGTCAGTTAATGTTATTCCCCCAGTTTTGTTCTTTTTGCTCAGGGTGGCTTTGGCTGTTCTAGGTATTCTGTGGTTCAATACAAATTTTAAGATTATTTTTTCTTCTTCCTTTTTTTGGGGGTTGGGGGGGATGGATTCTCACTCTCGCCCACGTTGGAGTTCAACGGCATGATCTTGGCTTACTGCGACCTCCGCCTCCCCGATTCAAGCTATTCTTCTGCTTCAGCCTTCCAAGTAGCTTGCTACAGACACGTGCCACCACGCCTGGCTAATTTTTGTATTTTTAGTGGAGACGGGGTTTCACCATGTTGGCCAGGTTGGTCCCGAACTCCTGATCTCAAGTGATCTGTCCGCCTCGGCCTCCCAAAGTGTAAGATCATTTCTTCTAATTCTGTGAAGCATGTCACTGGTATTTTGGTATGGATTGCACTGAATCTGTAGATTGCTTTGGGTAGCATAGCCATTTTAATGATATTGATTCTTCTAATCCGTGAACAGGGAATAGCTTTCCTTTTTTTTTTTTTTTTTTTGGTGTCCTTTTCTTGCATCAATGTTTTATTGTTTTCATTATAGAGAGCTTTCACTTCTTTGGTTGAGTTTATTCTTAGGTATTTTATTTGTGGCTACTATAAATGGGATTACTTTCTTGATTTCTTTTCAGAGTATTTGTTGCTGAACACATACACAGAAATGTATGTGTTGATTTTGTAGCCTGCAACTTTACTTATCAGTTCTAATAGTTTTTCAGTGGAATCTTTGGTTCTCTTTTATTTCTCTCTCTTGCCTGATTGCTATAGCTAGGACTTTCAGTACTATGTGGAATAACAGTAGTGAAAATGGACATCTTTGTCACATAACTTTTATTATAGGATATTGTTGTAATTGCTCTATTTTATTTTTATTGTTGTTAATTTTTTATTATACCTAATTTATAGATTAAACTCTACCATGGATATGTATGCATAGGAACATAAGAAAAAACATACATAGTATGTATAGGGTTTGGTACCATCTGCAGTTTCAGGCATCCACTGGGGGTCTCAGAACATATCCCTTGCATGTAAGAGGGAACTACTGTATATTAAACTAAACTGAGTATATGTGTGCCATTGTTTCAAGGTTTCAGACCTTTAAGGTTCCACTCAATGGTTGCTATAGGTTGAATGTTACGGTTTCTATGTGTTGAATGTTTGTTTCTCCCCAAGGTCATGGTGAGAATTTGGTAGTTGTTGTGGCGGTGTTAAGAGGTGAAACTTTGGGAGGTGATAGGGTAGCATTACCGTCATTATCAAAGGGCAAGTTTGCCCCCTTTAGCTTCTTGGCATTCCTCCTTCTGGCTTATAAGCATCTAGCCTTCCTCCCCTGCAGATCATGTGGTGTACAAGGTGTCATCTTAGAAGAGCACAGTCTCACCAGACACCAAACCTGCTGGGGCCCCTTGACATTAGATTTCCCAGCCTCCAGAGCTATGCGCCAATAAATTCCTGTTCTTGATGAATTACCCAGTCTGTGGTATTCTGTTACAGCAGCACAAAATGGACCAAGACAATGGTAAAGTCTTAACTCATTCAATGGTTCCTTGGTGATTTGAAGGTTTTTGTCAATTTCTAAACCTGTTTATTTGGGACTTATCTGCACAGTACTGAACCAACTGTTCAAAGTGAAAATTCAAGAATCAATGGGTTTGTTGTTCAACAACAAAGCAGGGAATCTCTTAATAAATTGCTGCCTTACTATCATAAATGCTGCTCTAGTATACTAAAGGTTAATTAGGCTTCTTGTAGTGCCTAACTTAACTCAGGGGGAAGTAATAAAAACAAAAAACAAACACAATAAATTGCAATTAATATTTACTTGGATATGAAAGTAAGTATAACCTTTAGATTATTCAAAATTCAGTTTGTGAAGGCATCTTATAGAACCGATATTTATAGGCCAGGTGCGCTTGCTTATGCCTGTAATTCCAACATGTTGGGAGGCCGAGGTGAGAGGATCACTTGAGCCCACGGGTTTGAGACCAGCCTGGGCAACATGAAGAGACCCTGTCTCTGTAAAAAATTTAAAAACTAGGTAGGTGTGGTGTCACACACCTGTGGTCCCAGCTACTCAGGAGGCTGACATGGGAGGATTACTTGGACCCAGGAGGTTGAGGCTGCTGTGAGTTGTGATTGCACCACTGCACTACAGTCTGGGCAACATAGTGAGACCCTATCTCAAAAAAACAAAAAATCCTGATGTTTACAATGTTTTTAGTACATTTGATTTTTATTTAATAATTGATCTTTTACTACTGATTACATTCTTTTCAAAAGGCTTGTGAATTTTGCAGCTGCATTCAGAAGGCCATTTTCCTCATTAATGTGGTCCACAGATCAAAAATATTTGCCATTCATTCATTCACGTTTTCATTGACCATAGAAGTTTCACCTCACAAAGTAGAATGTTTGTATCAAGTAAACAGAATAAATATTTTATCTGACAACATGGGTACCTGATTCCTATACCCCTTGTTGGCCGCAAACATTTTTACACTTCAGAAAGTCAAGTCCTCACAAATATAAACCAGGTATCTGCATGCTTACCCTAGCAAGTGCTTCCTCAATTGTGATCATCTTTTCTTTGACCATCATCATTAGCTGAATCCGCTCCTCATCGCTCATCGTTATTTCACTGGCAACATAACCAACGTCTTCTCCTGGAGATTGAGGACAAAGAACAACAGGAGTGAAAACAAGAATGGCGAAACAGAACGTCAATGCGGAACATCTGCTGTCTCGGGCTAGAGAAGAATGTTGCTCAGGACACTATGTATGTTGAACGTTACTGATGAAGCAAAGGGTGGCAAAAATATGCTGCTTTTTAAGAAGCCAATAAGCACCTCTGATTGAGAAACAGGCTTGCAGAACACGTGGGTGTCACCATAGAAACAAATCCTTCAAGATGATCAGAGCCTTTGAGATAGAGTACCCAGTGGATGGGTTTTGGAGGAAAGTGAGAGAGAGATCCTCGCTATAGGTGGAGTAAAGATCTAATTTACACACCCAACTGGATCATACAAGCATTCCAAGGCTCCTTCAGCTGTGGGTTCTTTGTGTCCTTCCATTAGCAATACAAATGAGAAGAAAATATTTTTGCAAAGAAGTGGGAAAGAATCCTAGGTCATGACAGAGGAAGGTCACAGAGTTCAGACCTGGCAAAACCTTCCATTCCTACTAAGCTATTTCACTGTTATTATTCCTCAAAACTAAGTGCACCGGGCACAGTGGCTCATGCCTGTAATCCCAGCACTTTGGGAGGCCAAGGCAGGTGGATCACTTGAGGTTAGGAGTTCGAGACCAGCCTGGCCAACAAGGTGAAACCCCATCTCCACTAAAAATACAGAAATTAGCCGGGCATGGTGGCAGGCACCTGTAATCCCAGACACTCAGGAGACTGAAGCAGGAGAATTGCTTTGAACCCGGGAGGTGAAGGTTGCAGTGAGCCAAGATCACACCACTGCACTCCAGCCTACGTGACAGAGCAAGACTCCATCTGAAGACAAAAAAAATAAATAAATAAAAAATGCTAAGTGCAAATCACAGACATGAAGCATGTTGAGTTAATCAGAAGAAGGGTGCCATATAGGTCTGTATCTGAAAGTATTATTGTCATAAATTGGTTTCCAAACTGAGGGAAAATCAACTTCCAACTCGCACCTGAAGGCAGCTAGAACCTCAGAGAAGAGAATGTCCCATTAGATTCCAAAGATTTTCCTACAGAGCAAACAGACTGCTATTGCCTCTGGTATATCTGAGCCACATTGGGCAATGGTGCCTCTGGTCAGCGTGTGGGGAAGGACATGTTACTGAACATGAGCTTTAACATCCCCACTCCAGTCCCACACCCTGCTCTCCTCCCCATCTTTCTCATTCATACTTTTTACCAGCTTCCAATATCGTTAGGATGCCCCCGGCTGTGGCTTAATTTGCCTTTGGTGTAAGAGACAGAGGGAAAGAGTCTGCCTGTAGACTTGTAGGAAACCATTTCAGGCACGGCTGACTTTGGAATTTATGTTGCCCTGTATTTCCATCTAATTTCCATTTTGTAATCAATCAATCCAAAAATACTCCTCAAGTTCCCTCAAGTTCCCTTTGCTACTTGCACAGGGAGAATAATAGCGTGTGCTGGGTGAAGAGAGAAGCCTGCTGGGTTGATTCATTTTACTATCTGTGTCACCGCAAATGGCAGAGTGGGTGATGGGGAGTTGGTTGGGTTCTTTAAAAATCCACATTAGCTGGTAAACTGTTGGCTTCCTCCTTCCCTCCCTCTCCCTCTGTACCTCTCCCTTTCCCTTAGCTTTAGACTGTTTTTTTTTTTTTTAGAATCCAAGGTTTATTTTGAATCACAAGTGACGCTGGGTGAATACAAAAAACTGGGAATGCTTAAAAGTAGGACAACTTGAAAAAAGAACCAAGTGGAATGTTGCCAAGGAACCCAGGTGTGCTGTGACGTGTCTGCTGTTCACATCCGTTTTTCTCATTTCCACGCGTACTGATAATTAGACAGACGTTCCACACAGCACAGGACACTAAGATTTTGTAAAGGAAAGCAAGCAGTGTCACTGGTGATCAAGGAAAACTTTTTAATCTACTGATAACCTCATTCAGCTGGACTGGAATCTGGAAGTGGATTTGTTCTGGTTTCTTCTCTGAATACTGGGGAAACATAAATTATGTAACTGAGCCTCAAAGGGATGATATATTTACTTACTATATAAACAACAACAAAAGACACAGCCAAGAGTAGGGCAGAACTCCCTTCACAAAGCCGCCCGGGCAAATTCCCATGATGTCAGACCACTGGAGTTTCCAGGGGCAACACCCCATAACCGTCCCGCTGCAGAAGAGCATCAGAAGTTCAGAAGAATGCAAAGGATCTCAGTGGGAACGCGGACAGGAGAGCCCCAAACCAACACATGCTAGGGCTCTCTAGGCCCTTTCAGGCTAGATCTTGACGAGAGAAGAGTAAAGATCTTTCTGAGGTTGGTGCAACTGAGGAAACGAAAGTTTCGGCCTCTGCTGTCAGATCTATGAAAGGAAAGAACTGTGAACTTGTCCCCTTTTGTTTTCTTTGACTTAAAACAAAAGAAAATCACTGGAACAAAGTCTTAAAGTAATAACAGAAATGTCAGAAAAGTTGAACATCTTATGGGCACATGCGGTGAGTTACGCTAACTTATAGCATCCACTGAGATTAGCCGCATAGGATTCTTCCCATGTTAGAGCTAAAAGGACCTACTGTCCGCCAGCTGCATTGCAGTACCTTTTGAAGTCTGTCTCATTATTCCTTTCTGGTTCTTTCGGAAGTTCTGCCAGAAATACTTATTTTTCTTCTTCCAGTCTCCTTTTCCTTAAAAAAAAAAAAAAAAAAAAAAAAAAAGAACAAAAAGCACAAGCAATAAATTCATCATTAATAACAAAAGTAGCCTCTTCCTTGTAATTCAAAGCTGGTAGGAATACTTTGATTTCACAAAAGGACAGTTTTTTCTTTCAGTTAGTGAAAGAATGGGAGATGCCTATAAAGTTGTTTAAAAGAAATGCAAATTTCCTAGTAGCAAGAAACGGTGCAGTGAGGTTAAGAGGAGAAACGGAAACATCAAAAAGGAAGGCAGAACATGCATTCTTGTGTTTACTTTGATGTTTGTTTAACTAGTATGCCTAATTTGGCCTCGTCTTGCAGTATATTTCCCCCCTTTGGTCTTAGCCACAATTATTTCAACTACACCACAAATAGGGTATTTTAAGAAGTTCACTTGGTTTTGTTGTTATTTCTGTTGTTGATCTACCCTTGGTTTATTTCTGTTATTCCAGATTTAACAACAAGAAGAGAATGGTTGGTATGTCCTGGGCCCACAGGTCAGGGGAGTTGGTCCCCTGGTTCTCTGGGTCTGGCCCCCAGTGTTACTCTCAGAAGTGTGGTCTGCACGGGTCTTGCTATGGCATGCTTATGGCACTCCCTGGCATTCAGGCTACCTGGTGACCCACCTACAGCTTACCCAGGGCACAAAGACAAGCAAGACTGCAATCCCGCTGTGTCATCTCCCAAATGGGTCTCCCTCTACCCACCGCACCCCCGATCCTTTCCAGATGACTGCGGTGACTTTCAAGTGAAAACAAATTCGCTGCTATAGCTAGACATTTTTAATATGTGGTAGGGTTCCGATCATTGATAACACGTAATACCTTTTTAAAAGCAAAGCGAAAGGGGAGAGTAAGTAAAATGAGTGGGTAGAGCAGTCCTTTATTCTTTACAAATAAAAAGCAGCAGCAGCGGTGTCTGCCATCGTGCTGATGTGGCACATTCAAAATAGCAGCTCTGTCACCACTTGTTGTCTGTCTGGTTGCTCCATGGCCACTGGAAACAGGGCCCAGCGAAGTGATGGGTTTCCCCAGTCTAGACTGGTGGTGCCAAGCAATGAAGCAGACGTGTGGGAACCATGTCTTTGGTGCTCCCAGGCTAGAAAGGGCGTCGTCTGTCAAAACAGGATGCCCTCACATTTAAGTTTTGACAGCCCCCAGAGCTGTGGGAATGAAACCCGAGCCTTTCCGCCAAAGACAGAGCTTCATGGCAAGTTTTGTATCACCCACTGCCTTTGGGCTTAACACTGAAGCAAATGTCAGACATGCAGGGTTAAAGCAGACTAGTTATTATTAACTCAATCTTGCTCTTGGACAGTTCGGGAATATTCATTTTCTTTCTTTTTTCTTTTCTTTCTTTTTCTTTCTTTTTTTTTTTTTAGTGAGACAGAGTCTTGCTCTGTCGCCCAGGCTGGAGTGCAGCGGTGCAATCTTGGCTCACTACAACCTCTGCTTCCTGGGTTCAGGTGATTCTCCTGCCTCAGCCTCCTGAATAGCTGGGATTGCAGGCAGGAGCCACCACGCCCAGCTAATTTTTGTATTCTTAGTAGAGATGAGGTTTCGACATATTGGCCAGGCTGGTCTCGAACTCCTGATCTCGTCATCCACCCTCCTCGGCCTCCCAAAGTGCTGGGATTACAGATGTGAGCCACCACGTCCGGCCTATTTATTTTCTTTTTAAGAGACATGGTCTCTTTGTCCAAGCTGGAGTGCAGTGGTGCAATCACAGCTCACTGTAGCCTCAAACTCTTGGGCTCAAGGGATCCGCCCACCTCAGCCTCCCAAGTAGCTGGGACTACAGGTACATGGTGCTATGCCCACCTAATTTTTAAATTTTTGGTAGAGAAAGCATCTTGCTATGTTGCCCAGGTCAGTCTCGAACTCCTGGGCTCAAGTAATTCTCCCTCCTTGGCCTCCCAAATTGCTGGGATAAGAGAAGTGAGCCACTGCACAGGCTGACAATATATTTCTTTGACTATAAGCTATATTCCCTTCTCCCTTCTCCCATTTTCATGTTTCTGAAACAGAGATGCAGCCTAATAAATGGTAATAGCTAACATTTATTCAGCTACTATATCCAGGCACTTAGCTATCTAATGGCAAGATTTCATTTAATACTCAATTATATGACACATCATTGTTCCCACCTAGCAGATGAGAAAACTGAGGCTTGGTGCAAGTGAGCTGCACAAGGTGATAGCTATTGGGTCGGCATATTCAAAGTCAGGCAGCCAGGGTTGATTGAGTACTTAATGTTCCTAATCACTATCAGCCACCCACCCTGTGACCCAAACAAAATAGCTGTTACTAAACCAAGAGTGAATTTTATAATCAAGAATATATAAAACATACAATGCCTTAATTATGCATAATCTTGGATCCAAAAAATTCCAAATTGAAGGATTTATCCTAAGGACATTATTAGGGACACAGACCCCAGGATTTTTATAGCAGCAGTAAATTTTTAAGTCTGCATAATATTCCACCATATTGGATGTGCCATAAGCTAATTAACCAATTCATTCTTTGCTGGATATTTAGGTTGCTTCTAATTTTTCTGTATTAACGTAGAGAATATTCAGTCATGGGAAAATGCTCATAACATATTCAAGTTAAAAACTATAAAACAGTATGCAGAATATGATCACAATTATATTTTTTTAAAACTGCCTAGAAAAAGGAGAATAAGGATGTACATCAAAATCTTAACAGTGTTTATTTCTGAGTAGAAGGATTCTTGTGGGTTTTGTATTTTCACATATTCGTGTTTTCTATAAAGTATTGAAATAATTAAATAGGTAAACCAAGAAAAGTGGTACTGACCTACAGAGCTGTCTTCTGAGTTTGATTTATGAAGAGGGTTCCTAGAAAAGAAAAACAAATCAGATTACCAGAGAGCCTTGCTTTCATGGGAGAACTGAAAATCCTCCTAACTAGTTTGACCCAGCATCAATACTACTTAATACAGCCAGGGAAATTGTTATAGGCTATTTACCACTGGCTTTTTCTACCCATCTGCTGACTTCCTAGAAATAGACTCGTGTGCCATTTGTCGACATTTATTAAAGACTCACTCGAAGGTGAGACCTGTAATATTAAATGAAGAAGACAGACTTCACTAGACGATCACTGAAGTACCTTTCATTCTGTGAACTACTAATACAAGTGAAGTTACTGCCATTGGGAAGTCTCTTGTGTAAGAGGAAAAGAGAAAGCAAATAATAATGAAAACATAAACTCAGCACCACAAATGCCACTTGGGCCCACAGATGAGTACAGTGGTCGGCTCTAGGAAAACAAAGGGGGCAGGGAGGCGGGTGAGACACCCACAACAGGATATTGAGTGTCCCTAATAAAGGGGGCGGCCAGTACACAGTTCCTCCAGTTGGTTGCTGCCAATTGGCAAGTGCAATGTCCATCCTGCTGAATCTTCCAATGTTCAAAAAGAAGACAGAAATCTGCATTTTTTTTTTTGAGACAGTCTTGCTCTGTAGTCCAAGCTGGAGTACAGTGGCATGATCTTGGCTCACTGCAACCTCCGCCTCCTGGGTTCAAGCGATTCTCCTGTCTCAGCCTCCCAAGTAGCTGAGATTACAGGTATGCGCCATCACGCCTGGCTAATTTTTGTATTTTTAGTAGAGACGGGGTTTCACCATGTTGGCCAGGATGGTCTGGAACTCCTGACCTCATGCAATCCTCCTGCCTCGGCCCCCCAAAGTGCTGGGATTACAGGCGTGAGCCACTGTGCCCAGCCAGAAATCTGTATTTTTATACAAGAGCTCTAACATTTTTAAGTGATGGTAAAGAAACCAATGTTTTTAAACATGTGTCCAAATTAATCAATACATGTCTGGGCATCGAATTTGCCTCCCACCCCAACACCTTTGGCTGCCAGTTTGTGAAGGCAGATACAGATTAACCCAAATAATCTGAAAAGTGTGCACAGCCCAAAACCAGTTCATTAAGCATTTCTCCAGAAAAAAACTTAGACAAACAAAATTTAAAGAAAGAAAGCGGGAAAGCCAAAGAAAGTTAAAATTGGTTGTATCAAAAAGGGAACGAGGTGGGCAGATCACTTGAGGTCAGGAGTTTGAGACCAGACTGGACAACATGGCAAAGCTCCGTCTCTACTAAAAATACAAAAATTAGCTAGGCGTGGTGGCACAGGCCTGTAATCCTAGCTACTCGGGAGGCTGAGGCAGGAGAATTGCTTGAATCTGGGAGGCAGAGGTTGAAGTGAGCCAAGATCGCACCATTGCACTCCAGACTGGGCAACAGAGTGAAACTGTATCACCAAAAAAAAAAAAAAAAAAAAAAAAAGGAACAGGGAACAGTAGAGTGTGGAGCAAAATCTTTCATTAGGTGTGTCCAAATCCCAGAAGGAAAATACAGTATCCTTGGGCTTACAGCCAAGGGAAACCAGAAAGAAGGCACCTGCATCAGAAGAGACACAGACACTTGGGGGATTTAAACCTGAATCTTCACTACAAGTTCACCACCAGGAAGGAAGATGGAAGAGGTGATTTTTGCATCTGAAGGCTAGGGAAGACAAGAAAGTGGGAGGCCAGGTATGAGTTACACTGAAAAAATTAGAGCAAAGGCTGAGGCAGGAGGAGAGCAGCCTGGGCAACATAGTGAGACACTGTCTCTTTAAAAAAAAAACTTCTAAAAAGTTCAACTGGGTATGGTGACATGCATCTATAGTGCTAGTTCTAGCTACTCAGGAGGCTGCAGCAGGAGGACTACTTGAGCCCAGGAGTCCGAGGTTGTAGTGAGCTATGATCACACCACTGACCTCCAAACTGGGTGACTGAATGAGACTCTGTCTCATTCAGAGGAAGAAGAATTGAATATCCTAATCACCTAAAGTGATTTTCTGCCTACCTTTTGGATAAAAGGACCTTGAGAATCTAAGGTGACCAGAGAGAGGGGAGGGAGGCTTTTTCACGCAGAGCAGCCTTTAATAAGCCACCACCCTTTGGTGTAGCTGCACTGGTGTGGGCTGACCACTGGGTGCCATTTCTGAGTGGCAGGCCCATGCCCTGCAAGCACCACCATTCTCCACGGCTGAGTGCAGAGAACTGTTGATGACCAGCACAAAAATCTGAAAGCTTTCTATTGTAAACTAAGGGAGAGTCGGAGCTAAGAACAGAATCAGGGGAGAAACCGCTAGAGAGGACAAGAGCTAGTTTTGAATTCTAGTTATTTCCCCTTATTCCTGTGCTGTGAATACAGAACATGTAAGGAAAATCTCACTTATCACCAAATTGTGCCAAAACATGGCTAGGACCTACTCTCCTTCCTCCTATCCACACAAAAATGAAAATACCTGTATTTACCTGCAAGGCTTTTAGGAGGTAGCCATTTCAAAATTTAAATCTTTCAGCCAAAATGTACTGAACAACGCACAAGTAAGGTACATGGATGAACACGAAGGAAGGGGAGCCACAGGTTAGAGACGGAGGGAGACAGGAACAAAAAAGCATAAGAAATGACGAGGGGGAAGGGGAGGAGAAGAATGAGGAAGAGAAGCAGCAAATGTAACATGCTCAGGGCCACGGGAGAAGTGGGAGCAAAATAAGAGCAAGCTAGTTGGCTGGGGACTGAGGCAGGAAATCCTTCAGAAAGAAAGAAGGGTTTCTGCTAAGTTTAGCTTCTTAATTTTTTTAAAAAATCTTACTGTGCTGTACTTTGCACTTCAAGTCATGGGACTGTGCAGCTGCCACCTTACTTCAGCGGGCTGGGGTCTGCAGCTGGTTAAACATGTTTTCTGTAAGGGGCCACCAGAGGGACAGGGAGCCCCATATGTATTTTTGTCCTCACCCTAAGGACTAGGGATGTCTTTTTTTTTTTTTTTTTTCTCCTGGAGACAGAGTCTCACTCTGCTGCCCAGGCTGGAGTACAGTGATGCGATCTCGGCTCACTGCAACCTCCACCCCCAGGTTCATGCGATTCTCCTGCCTCAGCCTCCTGGGACTACAGGCATATGACACTATGCCTGGCTAATTTTTGTATTTTTAGTAGACACGGGGTTTCACCATGTTGACCAGGCTGGACTTGAACTCCTGACCTCAGGTGATTTGCCCGCCTCGGCCTCCCAAAGTGCTGGGATTGCAGGCATGAGCCACCGTGACCGGCCAGGACTAGAGAAGTCTTGACCTAACTGCTATGGACCAAATATCCCCACCTCAGGATAAAACTTATTATGTAATAAGTGAAAACACAAATTGTGAATTTTTACTTTCCCTAAAAGTCATCAAAATACTTCAAAAAGTACACTGCAGAAAAATGTACGCTCCCACTGCTACACCATTAGCACAAAATGTGATTGCATTTTCCTCTCTGAAATGATGACTGACAATATTTTCACTATTTTTAATCTACTGTCTTCAAACTACCACACACTTTGAATAATTTTATCCTCCGGTTTGGACTTGGCCCAGGCATTGCTTGAACTTCCCCAGGATGCCAGCAGATGGCACTGTAGTTTCTTTATTCATCTTGCTGTGGTGAGTGGGATTTTGTTTTTAAAATTTCACAAGTTCACCACCTAGATGCTGGCCAAAGAATAACAAGCCCATGTTTCATAAGCGTGAGGCTCCCCAACTCATCAAATTTACAATCCTTTGAATTTTACGTTGAATCCAAATTCAATGTGTGAATTTGGATGCAGTGACTTTCTCCCTGCAAACAGAAGCTGGCATAGAAGCAGTGCAAAATGCCATCTCCTTTCTCCTTGAGAATGATTATTACAATTCATCCAGCAGGAGCAAAAATCAATGATATAACCCAAGTCCAAAAGTGGATGGCAGCAGGTGGAAGGGGTCATTTACTAATCTCCTGGTGGAAGAAATTAATGCTCAGACGTCAGCTCCAAAGAGGCCTCCTGGTAGTAGTACCTCCTTCCTCCAGCCAGAAGCCCCAGGCCTGAGGATGGTGGGCGCTGGAGCTGGATCTGCTCTTTGGACTCATCTTTTTCATTGTCAATGGGTAAAAAGTATGGTAACTTCAGCATGGATTTTGATGACCAGGAAGCAATAATTAATATTCTGCTGTGCTTTAAAAATCCATTTAAACATTTAATTATCATCAAGTATTGGATTTAAAGTCTCAGAACTGAACCTTAGCAAATATTTGTTCATCAATAACTCCTACTATTAAGACCCCAAATCTATCTGCTTAAGTGTCAACATTTTTCCTCAAGATCCCTAAACTGCTTTAGCTGTTCCTGAAGGCAAAATTCACTTAAGAAAATTCCTACATTAAGGAATTTATCAATCCCATTGAAAAATAAAAATAATTTAAGAGACAGTATCCCCAGAACTGGTTTCTTTCCTCCTACCTCTGTCTTTAACAAATTCTTTGTTAAATTGCTTTGTGTATTCATTTTCACTCATTCTTTCATTCAGTATTTATTTATTCACCTCTCAGTAGGAGTCAGGCATCCTCTGAGGTCCTGAGAACATAGCAATAAACAAGACAGATTCAAGAAGGGCGACTGCAGAGTCAAGGAGTGAGGAGAAGTTGAGGTGATGGGACAGAGAAGGCTTCTCTGAGCAGAAACCTAAATAATGAAATAACATTCACTTCCCCAGATGGGGAAAGCTGGGCAGGGGAACAGCAGGGGAGGGAACAAGAGGTCCCCTTTGGACATGCTAAGTGTGCGGTGCTTATTAAACATCCCTGTGCAGACAGTAAAGAAACAGTTGGACATGTGAGTCTAGAGCTGCAGATAAGAATTTGTAAGTGACTTGCATACTCTAAGCTCTGACTGAACACTACGAAGAGAAACATTATGAAGACTGAGCTCCAGGGCAACCCGATTTTTAGTGGTCATAAAGAGAAAGTGAGGCCCAGCAATGAGACTTAGGAGGAGCAGCCAGTGGGAGAAGGAAAAGAAGGCAGAGTGCTCCTTTACCTTTCTGGTTAGAATATTATTAAACTCCGTTTTACAAAAATTATATCGCAGCTGGGCGCAGTGTCTGACCCTGTAATCCCAGCACTTTGAGGCCGAGACGGGTGGATCACCTGAGGTCAGGAGTTCGAGTCCAGCCTGGACAACATGGTGAAACCCCATGTCTACTAAAAATACAATAATTAGCCAGGCGTGGTGGAGAGCACCTGTAATCGCAGCTACTCAGGAGGCTGAGGCAGGAGAATCACTTGAACCCAGGAGGTGGAGGTTGCGGTGAGCCGAGATTGCGCCACTGCACTCCAGCCTGGGTGACAAAGTGAGACTCCATCTTAAAAAAAAAAAAAAATTATATTGCAGTCTCTCACTCCACACAGTGGAAACTCTAGGTTGCCATATTTTCTTTTCCAGTGAGTCTACTGCTTTACAGTGGAGATCCTCGTAAGACCATAGAGTAGGAGGAGGAACACAACACAGGTCAACATGAAATTCTTTACACTTGTATAGAATTCCACCTCTCAAATGCAATACTCTCATTACCCCCCATCACAGAATAGGACTGTCACTGAGATGGGAGTGATGACATGCCTGAGGTCCAATCGTGCTGGGCAAGGGCATAACTGGGCTTGGTGGCCACGTCTCTGACTCCTGAGTTCAACACCTCACCCTCTTCCCCAGACTCCTCCTCATTTGTATAACAGAATTCCAAATTGTATACATTCTTTAACAGGATGCTTCTTTTCTATTATTTAAGGGATAGACAGAAAGGGGATACCATTACATACTGGCCCAGCTCTTGAGTAAATTGCTAAAATGATACTCAGAAGAACCTGCAAAAACAGAAAGTTTTCAACACCAAACCTCACCATGGTCTATGGAAGTATCAGAACTAAATATTCCAAGAACACTTTTCAGGAATTGACTATCTGGCTATTGCAAGACCCCCCTATCTGCTTCTAGAAGGAAAGGAAGCCAAATACTATGGCTCAAACTCATTTTTCTTCTTCTGTTTATATACAAATAGTCTAAGCTACATCCAGACAAAGACAACTCTATCTCGTTTCTACATACTGAGTCCAGCACACCAGAAAAGTGCAATGAATGGCCAAGCATAAACAAATTCCTAAAATACACTTCATGTTTTGGCTTTGATGAGCTGTCCAGAAACTTCATTATAACCAAGAAAAAAAAAAAAGAAAAGAAAAGAAAAAGAAAGGAAAGTGGTTATAACCTCATTTCCAAGAAAGGAACATATGCTATATGTTACTGGAAAACCTGTACTTAAGGGATTTTCAAAGTTCCTTAATCTTGAGTCTCAGGAAATCAACTTCTCCATTAGTTGATTTCCTGCTGAATTTGAAATCTGGTCTTTTGCTGTGTCTGGGTCTTTTCCTGCATCATCCCAGGCCTGCCAAGGCAGTCCCGAAAGCCAGTAGCAGCCTTTTCTCCACCATTTAAAAAAAAAAGCCTGACACATCTGTGCTACTGAATTGTGCATGTACAGGGGGAGGCAGGGGAAGGTTAAAAGGTTGAAGGGCTTACATTAAGAAGTAGTTAAGATTTTCATTTTCTTTATGTCCTACTTAAGTATGGATAACTGTACCTTCATATTTTGCTCCTTTCATGACAAATCATTACATGTTAAAGAAGTAATTCCTCAATTTAATATTTCTTTCTATCCTTTGGGTATCAAAGATACTTTTATCACACAAACCTATCTCCTCTGTTTAAGAGAAATAGATATGAAACAAAATTCAATTCATACTATCCACTAGTTGCCATAAAAACTCAAGAGTCACCCTTTCTCCAGCCACAGGGCCAGGACTTGGATGATGCCAGAGAGACACAGATAGCCCAAGTTGTAAGAGGTCACCTCTTACAGATTTGGTGTTGATTTGGTGTAAGATTCTCTCAGAATCCGGCAGGTGCAGGGAGTGAGTTGCCTCCTTAAATTCCATGCCCTATGCACCTCTCTTGCTTGGCCCCATGATTTAGCTTGTGAATTCACTGGCTGAGACAGAAAAGCAATTCTATTGCCAAAATCTGGCATACTGTTAGAACTCCAGGAATAATCAATATCAATGACAACATGGGTGACATTTTGTCAAGCCGGTCAAAACAATCCCCATACAGGTTTTTTCTTTCATTTCACAGTCTATTCCCAGCCTGAACTTGCTGGCTTTTTGTTACAGGGTCACCTTTATAAATGAACAAGGCAGGTGTCTGCAATACCAAAACCAAGACAATGGCCTGACCCAGCACACACATTCAGGAGTCAGGCAGAACTAGGGGTAAATGACAGCGCTGCCACCAATCTAAGCCTTGACTGTCTTTCTAAGTGCAGTTGTGATGATAAAAACAGTACCCCTTAATGGACTGTTAAGAGGATCACATGAGACAGTGAATGTTAAGAGCTTTGCGCAGTGTCTGGCACTGGGGAAGCTCCAAGGAAATGTTACTTCTTGTAACTATTCACAGAGCAGTCCCAAACTGACGAACTTAGTCTTCTCCAGCAGACTCGCTGTTCCCATTCCACCAAGTATTGCCATGAGGTATCTCCTATTCTAGAATCTAAGTTTCCAAATCACTAAGGTTCCTCCTTGTAAATTATTTTATCATTAACCTCTCTCAAATAATTGAGATGGACACAAGGATTTCTCTTCTACTTGCCACTTTATAAAAGCAATTTGTATGTTTTTTAGAATTACAAAAAACAACACACATAATGATTAAGCATGACATCAAAATCTCTTTATCCAATGGATTTTCAGCATATTATTTCCATTATTCTCATGTTATTATATCCTATTGTCTTCCTTAAGCAGTATTTAGCTTATTGTGTATGGCACACTGTCTACTAAATAATTTGTCATTGATGTTGCATAGCTTTTCAATATAGGCACTTACATCAAGGGAAATGGCTTGAGTCCGTCGATTACCTCAATTATCATTAACTCTCCAAAACATTAACTCTCCGAAAGAAATGGCAGGATTTTCAGGTATGAAGTGTGGACGTTGACTCTAAACAGTAATACCATCTAATCTTTAATTCTGGTTCAAAGAGGACTTTTTGCCCCATAATCCAAATTCTCACACTTGGAGGTGCTAGATGGACACTGAAAGATCTAAATTCTCCAACTGTGAGTTGTAGAATGTTTAATTTTTCTACCCCACCCTCTTTGTATATCTTTGATTTACAACTGCCATCAGAACCACTTTAAGTCAGCCTATTCCTTCTATATAAGATGTCTCAAAAGGGCATCTTGCTCAGAAAAATAAGGAGAAAGATGCAGCTAATTTAGACATGCAGGGTTAGTTCTATTGACAATCACCTTTGTTATCCTTCAATCCCCTGCTAATTGCATTAGACATATGGAGGTTGTAGGTAACTAAACATTATCTTTCCTGCTGCAAATCAAGCCTGCCTCCTTTTGTTCTGTCTGTGGTAGAGATCATGAGCAGCTGACTGGTACCTCCATGTGAAGGATGTCTCAAATGCTGTCATAAGGCCACTACCCAGGAAGTGGCACCACACAATGAATGGCTCAGAATGTGGGTTCAGGAGTCCAAGTGCCAGTATTCAAAGCCAAGCTCTACCTGCTACTGACTCTGGGCACATTACTTAGTCCCACTGATTCCCAGTTTCCTGCTATGCAAAACAGAGACAAAATGTTACCGATCACATAGAATTTTTAGAGTTTTCTGTTGTGACTTTTACTTTACTTACTACATGCCTGCACATGCTAAGCACTAAAAAAATTAAATAAAATAAGCTAGCTATTATTAGCGGCCTTTTTTTTCAACCACCCTACCTATGAACCAAGTCATCCTCAGTCCTTCTTCAAATATACTTCCATTTCTTAACTTGTAAGGGGCTGGTTCTCTGGCACCTCGGGAATGGCCAAAAGGCTTTCCAGGCCAAGGACAGATCCCACTCCTGTTGACTCTAAAAATCCCTACAAAGGTGCAGTGAAAGAGATTTGTGTCCTTTCATTCACCAACTGGTGACTTGTACCGAAAGTTAATGATGTGGGTCACTGGCAGAAACTTAAAGAGTTTCACATCTGAAAAGCAGCCAAATGCCATCTCTCCACAGGGGAGGCCCATGGTCTGGTTGTGTCTGGGCCACGGCCTCACTAAGGCCAGGACTATCCAAGTGCAGGAGCGATGTGGGCTTGAAGGAGGGAGAATCAGATCTGGGATGGGATTCAGTCATCCTCTGAGGTTTCCAAAAACCCCTCAGTGGGTCTTCTCTTTTCCATCTGGGCCATATTTTTCTTCATTTGTGGCTTCATGGGTCTGAACTGCATAAGAAGTTGAGATAAAATTGCTCCATGAATGCCAGCTTTGATACTAACAACACTATTGACAGTAACAGCACCTATTCCAGCACTGTGAAGTTATAAATGCCTTCTCAATTCCTTCAAAGTTAATAACTAATGTTCAGAATATCCCCGTGACATATGCTAGAGGGTGTGTGTGTGTGTGTGTGTGTGTGTGTGTGTGTGTGTGTATACTTTTTTTTTTTTTGAGACAGGTTCTTGCTCTATCACCCAGGCTAGAATACAGTGGCACAATCATGGCTCACTGCAGCCTCTACCTCTTGGAGTCGAGCAATCTTCCTGCTTTGGCCTTCCACGTAGCTGGGACTCGAGTCGCATGCCATCATGCCCGACTAATCTTTTGATTTTTTGTTTTTTGTACAGACATCTCATTATGTAGCCCAGGCTGGTCTTGTCCTGGCCTCAAGCAATTCTCCCACCTTGGCCTCCCTAAGTGCTGGGATTACAGGTGTGAGCCCCCATGCCTCAGCCCACATAGTATTTTTTATAATGAGAGGTCATATAAAAAGGAATCAGCAACTGACCAGTTTCATATACAATCAATGATTTATTGTTTGCTTGGTATAGATAATAAAGCTCTATGCCACTGGATGAGTAAACTGCACACGACATGGCGCATACCTTCCAGGAGTTTACAAAACTCAAGAAGATCTTACTGTAACATAAAAATAGTCAAGCTAGTTGCCTCCCATGTCAATATCCAGTTCATTTTCTTTCTTACTTACAGAGTCCCGAGTTTGTTTGGGGTAGCAGTACACCTTGTTAAAAACTCACTTCCCCAGACTCCCTTGAAGTTAGTTGAGGCCAAGTGTCAGTGTCTGGCAGAGAAGAAATACTAGAACTTTATCGTGAGATGTTTCTAAGAAAGCTAGTGTTTCTATGACAAAAAGGATTTACTCCATCTACATGCCTTTTGCCCGGCTCTTCCCATTATCCCTCCTGGAACAGGCATCATTTTATCATAAGGAAGAAAGTTCCATACTAAGGATGGTAGAGTAGGAGAGGGAATAATTCCCTGAGCAGCTGCTCAAGCCTTGGAAAGCCCAACTCCAGACTACCTGCTATATGAGAAGATGTCCCCATTGTCTAAACACTGAAGTCACATGTCAGTTACATGCAGGTGAATATAATCATAACAGTTTGATATCATTTGGCTCTGTGTCGCCAACAGGGGTGAGACCTGGTTGGAGGTGATTTAATCATGGGGGCGGTTACCCTCATGCTGTTCTCGCGATAGTGAGTGAGTTCTCATGAGAGCTGATGGTTTTATAAGGGCTTCCCCCTTTGCTGGCACACATTCTTCTCCTTCTTGTCATCATGTGAAGAAGGATGTGTTTGTTTCCTCTTCTACCATGATTGCAAGTTTCCTGAGGTCTCCCCAGCCCTGTTGAACTGTGAGTCAATTAAACCTCTTTCCTTTATAAATTACTCAGTCTTGGGTATGTCTTTGTTAGTAGCGTGAGGATGGATGAATACACAGTTAGTGGCGAAGAAACGAAAATGACTAACTTCCACAAAGCATTGGTCTGGCTTACCAAAGTAGATTCATAAATCTCATCGTATTTCAGTCTCACAAAAACACTCAAAAAAACTAGCCTTGCTGTATGTATGAAGAGATTCTGGCCTAGAGTCTTTATATAAGTGACTTGTCCAAGGTCACGCAATTAGTCACTGTAAGTCACAGAGCTGGAGATTAAACTCAGCTCTTCCGACACCCAAACCAATGTTTTTCCCACTAAAACTTGAGCTTCATGGAGTCAAGGGGTTCACTAGTCTTACTGATCACAGTATTCACAGTACCTGGTGCAATACTGTGAGCCGAAAGCCAAAACCACATTGTCTCTAATTACCGGTACTGAAAGTGCAATTTAAGTTTGTAATGCTGCCCCTGGAGTCTGCGGCTTCAGGTCAAATTCTGACTTTTGATGATTCTTCAGTAGGCATAAAAATTAAGGTGTAAAAAAAAGGGGCGGGGGAGGGGGCCTTGAAATTCTGCTTTTTATTCTGGTTTTGATCTAACCAGTAAAAACAAATGCCTTCATTTTATGGCCTCACTGTGAATTTTAAATTTTACTTAGGTTTTTTTTTTTTTTGTCTTAAGGAATTACTAAATTATTATCAAAAGCAAAATAAAATAAAACAGGGCTGTAGCACATTGTTTTCACCACAAAAACTAGTTATTATAAAAATGAGCAAAAATTTCTTATGAGCTTAAGCAGCCTACTAAAAAGAAAGTACCTTTGTTTACATTATATTATTATTATTATTATTATTATTATTGTTATGAGACACTCTGGGTCTCACTCTGTTGGCCAGGCTGGAATGAAGTGATGTGATTATAGCTCACTGCAGCCACAACCTCCCCAGGCTCAGGTGATCCTCCCACCTCCTCAGCCCCCAAATAGCTGGGACTACAGGCGCGCACCACCATGTCCAGCTAATTTTTGTTTGTTTTTGTAGAGACAGGATTTCGCCATGTTGCCCAGGCTGGTCTCGAACTCCTGGGCTCAAGCAATCCACCAGCCTCTGCCTCCCAAAGTCCTTGGATTACAGGCATGAGCCACTGCGCCTGCTATTTACATTACTAAATGGCTCCCAAGTATTTTGTAAATGGGGCAAAATTATTCGTTTGCTCTATTTCCTTTATTAAAATTTCCTGCATATGTGTAATAAATATGGGGTCCAAGAGAGGCTTTTCTATGGGGAAATGTGGCTGAGGCTGGCAGGGGCTCCTCTGGAAGGCCCTCTCTGGCCCTCTGTTTGCGTGAGGCAGGCCCAGGTTAAGAGCTGCTGTGAGAATGGGCTGCCACACGCTCGGGCGGTATGGAGATGGGGTCACTGATCCCTATAGAGACGGGCAGGGAGGGCCCCCAGCTTTGAGTATTTTTACCAAATGTGCAAGAACCTAGGGGGAAAGTGAGGCAGCAGGGGGCTGGCCCTTACCAGCCTCGGCCTGGGGTGGGGAAGGGAGTAGGGCAGATGGGGAGGAAAGAGGCTCCATTCAAGAACCTCCTCCTTGCGTTTCCATGGCAATGGCTCCGGAAGCAGGTCAGGACTTTCTCAGTGGAAACAAACAGTGGCTCCCATTCACCATCCCCGAGGCCTGCTGGCCACGCAGGCCGTTGTGCAGCCTGGACACAGAGGACCCTGGAGGGATGTGGGGCCTGGGGCTGCCGCTTTTCTTCTGCCAGCTGCCCTGGGGGCAGCAGGGGAGTCCAGGGGAAGCAGCACTGAAGGCCAAGGCTGGAGGCACTGCGGGCATGGAGGGCCCTTCCTCTCGCTGCCACAGCACAGTGACCAACAACCCCTCCAGACCATGGCTGTGGGAGCCGCCCACCTGCCCTACTTCTCCCAACGGGCAGCATGGACACGCGGCAGCCCTGAATCTGCGTCCAGCCAGCAGCAACCACTTCAGCCTTCCCCTGCCCCACTTCTAATTCATTCACAGACATGGCTAATGGAAAATTTGTATATGTTATAAATACTATGAAAATGGAAACTCAAGTTTTCCTGTCTTCTCAGATCTCATTTTTAAATTCCCAAGCATCTCTGTCACTTCCATGCGCCCTCCACACCTAGACTCACTCCAAGTGGACCCTGTCCTCCCATTCTTAATCACTCCACTCGCTGATTTCACCCTGCCCTCAGATGACTTCACGTCCTTCCCCTTCTGATGTTGTGAGCGCACCAGCACCTGCTGGAAATGATTCAGACACCGGGAAGCTTTCCAAGGTCACCGTGACGATGAAATGACCTCTACCCACATCAGCTGAACAGCCCCCAACTCGACCTGTGCTTACGATGCAGAGTAGAAGCCAAGAGCTTAAAGCTGACAAGACACTGATCTGGGTGGCGATGAATAAAGCCAAGCTGGCTGCTTAAGAGTCTCCTGGGAAACTTCTTAGAAGCCTCCAGGGTTCCACATCTGGATATTGAATGCATTAGGTCTGGGCAAGGCCTGAGGATCTGTCTCTCCAACAAGCTCTCCAAGTAATTGTGATGTGCAGATATGCTTGCAACCACTGGCTTGGCCTAGGAGAGGCCAGGGATCACAGGGCCCATCTTCATTCTCCATTCCCTCCTTGTATCCAACACCTCCAAAATAAAATAAGCAATACTGCAAGTGAGGTGTTCAGAAAAGAATACAGAGTAATACGATAAAACAAGTGGCAAATACTTTTCAAGCATTATCCTGACTTGTAAGGTTTTATTTGGGCAAAGCTTTTAGATGAGAGGTTGGGGACTGCGTTGTCTTGACCACCAAGCATTCCTGACATGAAGGAGACACTCCCTAAAGATTCAACGAAGTAATGAATCAGCCGGTGGATAAAAGAATTTAGAAAGTGGAAGCAAAATAAAGAAAGGCTTGACAAGGCCTTTAGACCTTCCAGATCTCTCCCTCTCTTCACAGTTCTCCCTGCCTCCTGTGATGCACACAGCCCACCTCCTCACGCTGACAGTGGCCCGTCTAAAATACAAAGCCCATCACCAGGAAATGCCTGAGCTGGCTCTGAAAGCCTTCCACCAGCTAGGCCTGGGGCTCCACCACCCATTCCCCCAAGATGCTGTGCTCCTATGGTTTCGCACACCCTTTCTTCCACCAGGAACTTCCTTCCTCTCTGCTTTTGCCTAAGAGAACCCCCAGTCAGCCCTCAGGTTCTCACTCCTATGGGAACCTGTGACGATTTGGAGTCTTGACAATTTAGAACAGCCGGATTACATTTCTCCGAATTCTCTTCCTTGCATAGTTCCAGGTTAGCCTGGACCACAAGAGAGATTTTACATGAAATGCAGAAAGTAGCTCTTTTTTTTCCGTGCTTCACCGTCAGTGTGGGCATGGGGCCCTGCTATAGCTGTTATTGTTGGTCCTCTGGGTCAGGGGCTGGCATGGGGCAGCAGCTGGGCCCACAGCGCTCACATTCCTGCTGGGTCTCCTCCTCAGCTCCTCAGTCCTGGGCCTGTGATGTGTGGAGCTCCTGAGGAAGGACGTCAACAACTCCTGCAGGCCCTCTGCACCCGCGAAGCTGAAGCCTCGCTTGGAGACGGTGACTGATGGCATGGGTGTCAGCCCACCCTGGCAGGGTGGACTTTGTCCTTGCTCTCTTCACTTTGCAGGCATTGTTTTTGCTGAACTGCCTGCCCTGCTGACTTCAGGCTGTACCACCTGACACAGAAGGAACAGCCTCACCTGGCCTGTGCAGCCAGCACGGGCTGTGATGCATGAGGTCAAAAGCATATAACCAAGTCCTTATTCTATCTTAACATTCTACTTCTCAAATAGAACCCTGACTGATGCCAAAATACAGGGCCCTCAGCACCATGCCTATCCCCCAAGCGGGGTTCACCATACCTCCTTCTGCAGTTCCCCTGTCCTGATGGTTTTCGCATTGCATTATAAGCATCTTTCCATGTCTTCAGATTGTAAGAGGACAGCTACCCTACCTATCTTACTCATCTTTCCAGGGCTTACTGCTGGATAAATGCTTATCAAATTAAACTTCCTGAGCTGCCTGGCCCATCACTGGTCTCTCCGAGCACCCCAGTCTTTGATTGTACCTGTAGTTGGGTGGATGAGAAGCAGTCTGCCCCTTGCAGATAAACAGAGCTGGATTCAGAATCCAGCTCTGCCTTACCCAAGGTCTGTGATCTTGCTAAGTCACTGACCTTTCTAAACCTTGGTTTCCTTAACTGTAGAATACCATCTGCATTATAGATTTGGTAGGAGAATTAATAAGACATGCAGGGAGCACGCACTAAGCTGTAGGTGTTGAGTCTCCACATCTTCCTGCAAGTATAGGAATGATATTTATTTACTGATAGCCTCCCACCATCACCCCATCCTTGGCCTAATATTCTGTTTCTTCTTATGCAGGAGAGAGAATAAACAGCAGCCACCTCCGTACATTAAACAATTCCTGGCAGCAGCACCTGTCCCCAGCCATCCCAGCAAGAACACACACAGCCTGCCACCGGCAAAGGACACAGGGCAGACGTGCGGACTCAAGCTGTGTCCGGGTCGGCTGGTGGCTCACTCGCCAGACAGAGGGAAGGGCAACGGAGTTTCCAGTTGGGAACAGCTGAGGAGGAGGATTGTGGACCAGCTGCTCCTACCCCAAGCTCCTGCATTCTGGAATGCTGAGCCCTTCAAATATGCTGTGCAATGGTGCACGCGTGCACACACACGTGTGGACGCAGTTATGCCTGCACAAACGCACGCTTCAGCGCATTGCTACTGCACAGGCTCTATGAAAATAGCTGTTGTTTCCTAGTCGCCCCCATTGCAGGCATCACAAAAGAAACGAAAGGTCATGTGGGAAGGGCATATTTTAGGGGACCATGGCCAGTGATAAGCTCTGTGTGTATGGCACCGTCTAATGAGCCTGAGAAGAGACACCACAGACTCACTGCCCTCACCAGGGGCAGCACTGCACATTACAGAGGGGGTGAGGGGAGGGAACAGCAGAATGTGAGCACCTATCGCGTGCCAGGCAGTGTGCTGGGCATTTCACAGCACCACCCTTGAAAAGAGCTGTTTTTGTGCATGCTTTATTGAATAGAAACCTGAGGCGTAAAGAATTCGAATAACTTGTTCCCAGTCCCACAACTAGCGGAGCGTAAACTCACGCTCAGATTCTGTCCAGCTCCAGAGCCTAGGCCAGCTACAACATAGTGGGATATGCAGAGTCCAAGCTAAATTGATCGGTGCAGGGCATGCTTTAGACTGGAGCAGAAAACAAAAGATGGCCTGAGCTAGAAGGACCCTGGAGACCACCTGACTCACACTCCTCACCATGCCCACGAGGGAGCTGAAGCCCAGAAGATGAAGTGGCAAAGAGGACAAGTCACAGATGGACGAGCCTCCTGGCCAGTGACCTGGCCCTCATGCCCTCAGCCTCTACTGATTAAGGCAGAAGAGTACCTAATATCATAACAACACCTGGCTCTTGGGCCAGTCCATTTATTTTCTGAAAATTAAGTTTGCCATTTTGCCTATGCTTCCCACCCTAGTGTGCCTGAAAAAACAAATAATGATGGCTCCAGTTGCCTTTGGTTATCTTAGGGATGCTCTAACAGCTCATGGGGACCGAGAAGATGCTGGGCACAGAAGGACACATCCACCTCCGTGGGGCAGAAGCGCCCTGTGACCCACTCTGAAGGGCATGCCTCTGTGTGACATCCTCACTCCCATACACACAGGCCCCAGGCGCAGGGCACACACACATGCTCCCTGGGGGAAAACATGGGTGTCTCCACCCTACACCACAGCCCCGCCACAAACAGGATGTGGAGACAGGATGCATTCATGTCAGCACCAGGGGACGTGGCTTGACCTGGATTTCCTAGCAAACTCACAGACCTCATCAGCCCTTTTCACTGAATCTGGTCTACTTCCAAAGGCGGACTGATAATTCCACAGCATGATTTTCTAAATCACAATATTACGTATGAGTTTCTTGGTATTGTACCTTCATCTGAAGGTATTATGTCGTCTGTTGTTTCTTTCTTCCTTTCTTTCTTTTAAGAGACTGGGTCTTGCTGTGTTGCCCAGGCTAGTCCCAAACTCCTGAGCTCAAGCAATCTTCCTGCCTCAGCCTCCCGAGTAGCTAGGACTACAGGCGCATCTCACCGTGCTCAGCAGTTGTTTCTATTTTAGAAGAGGAAAATCTAGGGAGACTTGAACCAGACTATGAAATAGAATCCGGTAAGAAAAGGGGGGCAACCCTTAGAAAAAGATTTGGCAATTTATGGAAGCTACTATGTCAAATGTTTATTTAGAGGTGTCTTTATAATGTTGATATTTACAAGCCGAAAGCACTTTTTATTCACACCGTCAGTCTGGGGAGACACTGACACATGTTGGGTCACGAGTAAGCCCAAGGTAGCTTCTCTGAAATTCCAGTCCTGGGAACAATCCATTTGTAGCCCTATTTCAAATAACTAGGGGCATTCAGTGAATTCAATGCAAGTACTAAATGAGCACTTGCTCTGTGCAAACCATTATTCTGGACACTGAAGAAAATCAGAAGAGTGAGCTCTCAGCCTCAGGGCTCATGACTATGTTGGTTCTTCTGGGATTAGGGAAGTATACAAGTGGCTCAAGCCACAGGCAAAGGCATGAATGTGGGCCAGACAAGATAGATAACAGACAAGATTATCAAGCACTTACTATGCTCTTGATGGCTAAGTGAGGTAAGCACTATAATGATCATCTTCATTTGATAATTGTGGAAACTACAGATAGAAAGGTCAAGTGGCTTGCCCAAGAGTTACAGAGCTGGTAAGGAAGACAACCTGGATTTGAACCCAGAGAGTCTGGTATCAGGTAGGGCATCTTAATTCCAAGGCTATAATGACACTCAGAATGGATTGAGATGTTTGCCTCTAGCTCTGGAAATTTAGGCAAGCTAATGAGTCTCAAATATAATATATACCTCAATGAGTTTATACAAAAAAAAAAAAAAGATAACATATAATAAGAGATTCACACAGTACCCAGTACATAGACATCACCCGAGAAGCCACGTTATGATGATGTTAACAACAATGATGATATGATACGTGTTAAAGTACATTAAGAGACATCAGATCCATGGAAAATGCTACTAGAGTCCAAGGAGAGGAGAGGATACAGACAGTTAAGAGACTGAGAAAGTACTCAGTGAGAAGCAGTCCTTCAAATAGGACTTGAAGGAAGGAAATGCTTCCAATGCATGAAATTCAGACAGCCAAGGGGGCATTTGGGTAATCGTAATATCCAGTTGGGCTGGAATTGGGGTTATATGGAGGTATGAGGTTATTGCTGGGGAGACTGAGCAATAAAGAAGGGCTAGGGATATATGTAGGGGCCACTGATTACCAAGGTGAAAACCTAGACAGGTCCTAATTTATAGATGTCACTGGGGAGAGCTGAGCATCCCCTCAATGAGATGTGGCCTGAGTGTATTTTCGGGAGATAAATCCAAAAGCAATTTCTTGAATGCTCTTTAGTTCACGGAAAGAGCATTAAGGGTCTCACTTGGAACAATAAAGATTAAAAATAAACAGAGAGTGCTATAGTTTGGGTATGGTCTTTCTGTCCCCACTGAAACTCATGATGAAATTTGATTTCCAGTGTGGTGATGTTGGGAGGTGGGGCCTAGCAGGAGGTGTTGGGTCACGGGAGCAGATCCCTCACGAATGGTTTGCTGCCATGCTTGTGGTAGTGAGTGAGTTCTCCCTCTTGAGGGCCTGGATTAATTTCCATGGAAATGGATCAGTTCCTGAGAGAGTGGGCTGTTATAAAGTGAGGTTACTCTCTTGTTTGGTCCTGGCTCTTCACACATATTCACTTCCTCTTTGGCCTTTTTCACCATGTTATCACCCCACAGGACGGCCCTCCCCGGAAGCCAGGGCCATGCTCTTGAACTTCCCAGGCTGCAGAACCCTGAGCTAAATAAACATTTTTCTTTAGAAATTAGCCAGTCTCCGACTGGGCGCAGTGGCTCACACCTGTAATCCCAGCACTTTGGGAGGCCAAGGCGGGTGGATCACCTGAGGTCGGGAGTTCGAGACCAGGCTGACCAACATGGAGAAACCCTGTCTCTGCTAAAAATACAAAATTAGCCGGGCATGGTGGTGCATGCCTGTAATCCCAGCTACTCGGGAGGCTGAGGCAGGAGAATCACTTAAACCCAATGGGTGGAGGTTGCAGTGAGCCGAGATTGCACCATTGCACTCCAGCCTGGGCAACAAGAGCGAAACTACGTCTCAGAAAAAAAAAAAAAGAAAGAAATTAGCCAGTCTCAGCCAGGTACGGTGACTCACACCTGTAATCCTAGCACTTCGGGGGGCTGAGGCAGGTGGATCACTTGAGATCAGGAGTTCATAACAAGCCTGGCCAATATGGTGAAACCCTGTCTCTACTAAAAATACAAAAATTAGTTGGGCGTGGTGGCACATGCCTGTAGTCCCAGCTACTCGAGAGGCTGAGGCAGGAGAATCACTTGAACCCAGAAGGCAGAGGTTGCAGTGAGCCGAGATTTGCACCACTGCACTCCAGCCTGGGTGAGACTCTGTCTCCAAAAAAAAAAAAAAAGAAATGAAATGAAATTAGCCAGTCTCGGGTATTCTATCACAGCAACACAAAATGGACTAAAACAGAGGGAAACAAAGGAAAGACTATAGAAGTTGAAAAACAGGATTTGGCAACTGACAATCAAGGGTCAAGGAAAAAAAGCAGGACAGCATGATGAAAAAGTCTGGGTGAAGGGCAGAAAAGTTTCTCAAGGATAGAGAGAGGGAAGTGTGGACAAAGAGCAGGTAGTTAGAGAAGGGTCAAGAGGAAGTGGTGAATTATGTTATATGAATGGGCAGTTTGGGTGGCTGAGATATTAGTGAGCAGGCATTTTTCAGCAAGAGGCTGTAATAGGCAGGCCACCAGATTGCAAAGGTCAGAGCGAGAGAGTTAAATCTACAATGAGTACCTAAAGAGCTCAAAGCCATGGGCGCAGGTAAGAGCCTTGGGAGAGCTCACAGGCTGGGTAAAAAGCCTGGGGTGCACTCACAGGAAGGGGTGGGCAGAGCTGCACAGAGTGCACATAAAGGAGAAGAAACTCGAAACTTGGTGGCAAAGTCGCAGCCACCAAGGGAGATGAGAGAAGTGTGACCCGGGGAAAAGTCAGCAGGACCCAATGCAACAGGGACTCACGTGGGGAGAGGCCTCTGGTTAGGTTCCTATGAAGCCACTGACCTCTGAAATAACATTTCATCAGGGAATGAAGACAGGAGCCAGGCTTCATGGCAAAAGTTTAGCAACTAGGGAAAGAGAGAAAAAGAAACATAGTCTGGAAGAACGGCAAGAAGATTTTTCTAGAGTAAAGAAGACCTAAGCATGTTTGTGCATGCTCACTCACTCAATCGATTTATTCAACATTATGGAATATCTTCTGTGTGCCAGGAGAGAAGCAAAAGATCTAGGGCTCAAGGAGTTCAGGGTGGAAGGTGACAACGCACGCACGCACGCACACACACACATACACACACACACACACACACACACTCTCTCCACTGCAATAGAAGCAGGAGAGTCCAGGGGGTGTAGAGGCCAAGTACCAGGCCACTTCACCTCAAGTCTGTGGATTACGGGAGAATTCTGGGAGGGGCCAACCCCAGAGCTGAGGTTTTAAGATTGAATGGAGCTTGCCCAGGGAAAGGTCGGGGAGTGGGCAGCGGGGGGTAATGGTGAGAGTGGGAGACAGAGTATCCCGCTGAAGGAGCAGCATTTCCAAGGCTCAGCACGCCCTGGGAGAATAGGGCCTGTCTGAGAAACTGCAGCGGCTTTTGCTCTGCCTAGGGAGCACATAGCAAGGGCTAAGGTGGCCAGGTAGGTGGATGGCAGACCACAGAGGAAGAGGAGGACGAGGAGGAGGAGGAGGAAGAGGAGGAGGAGGATGAGGAGGAGGAGAAGGAGGAAGAGGAGAAGAGGAAGAAGAAGAGGAGGAAGAACAAGAGGAAGAAGAGGAGGAAAAGGAGGAGGAGGAGGAGAAGGAAGGGGAGGAGGATGACGACAAGATCAGATCAGTGGTGCAAGCAATCAAGAGAGCAGCAGATGATCCAAAGCAGGGAGTTGGAGGGACTGCAACAGGCATGTGTGTGCTGGGACTTCTTCCCTGCAGTCAGAGGAAAGAGGGTGAAGACAAAGATCTTTGAGAGGGAGAAAAGGAAAGCTGACATTATCAAAAGAGTAATCAGCTTGCCAGATAAAACATACCTGAGAGCGAAGCATTGTCCAAGGAGAGTAAGTGTCCGCAGAGAACATTTATAAACTATATTCGATCCTCTTTATTTCACCACAGAACACTGCTCTATTGGCCTTCTCTACTTTTATTTACCTTCCTTTTCCATCGTGCTATATATTTTTGGACTTTTTCACCATAAAATAGTTCAAGTGTAGCCACAGATAATGAAAAAAAGTGAAACTAAATCAGTGAATGTTCAACTCCAGTGAAAGACTTAGTAGAAAAGAAGTTATAAATATTGGCTTAGGTGAAGTTTTGAGATTTATTTTGGACCTTCCTGCCTCTACAGATAAATAACTGGGACCTAGCTTATATCTGGATGAGGGTAGAATTTGCTCCTATTTTCAAGGGAGCCCTGAAGTGTAGGTTTTACCTGCTGCTGTTTATTTGATGCTAACGAACACGATTTGCCACTAGCCTCTGTATTTGCATAAGCAATGCATTCTAAGGACTTTGGAATTACAGCTCTGTGGTTAGGGTTATGGGTTCTTAACTGGGATCAAATCTGTGTACTGCTTCTTAGTAAGTGTGTGGCCCTGGGCAACTTACCTCTGTCCTTTAGTTTTGCATTTGTAGATGGGAATCATACCATTTGTCATCTCGTAGGATTTTTGTATTAAGTGAGTCAATGTTAAGTGCTTAGCTCAGTTCCTGGCACATAATAAGAACTCAATAAGCATCACCTATTATTACCTGTCTATGCCTTTTCAATTTTTAGTCTATATAAACCACCCCATGAAGATTTCCTCCATAAACATATTACAAAATAGCCAGGTGGCCCTCCCTACAGTTGGCTTCCTTGAATGTAATGACACTAAAGAATCTTGACACACAGCTTGTCAGACATCTAGGTAATTTTCAGATTCCTTTGTTTACATGCATACAAATAAAAGTTAAACTTTTCATAGAAAATACTGCTAGTCTCCTACGCAATGTCTATTCACCCTCTTTCCTTAAGAAAAGAACCCTGGCCAGGCACGGTGGCTCACGCCTGTCATCCCAGCACTTTAGGAGGCCAAGGCGGGCGGATCATGAGGTCAGGAGATCAAGACCATCCTGGCTAACACGGTGAAACCCCGTCTCTACTAAAAATACAAAAAATTAGCTGGGCATGATGGCGGGCACCTGTAGTCCCAGCTACTGGGGAGGCTGAGGCAGGAGAATGGCGTGGACCTGGGAGGCGGAGCTTGCAGTGAGCCAAGATCGCGCCACTGCACTCCAGCCTGGGCGACAGAGTGAGGCTCCGTCTCAAAAAAAAAAAAAAAAAAAAAAAAAAAAAAAAAAAAAAGAACCCTATGTTGTTCAGGATAGCAATGTGCTCCGTTAAAAATGCTCACTTCTCTAAACTCCCTTATAGCTATGGTGGTCAAGTGACCCAATTCTGGGTCCCCTTTCTTTGCTTTATTTTTCTCCATACCATGACTTTAAATATGTAATTTTTGTTCTAGTATATGCCCCTGCCTTCAAACGTAAGCTCGTGACAGTTCTGTCCATCACTATATCCTGGGCCCCCTGAAGGGAGCCTTCTACAACCGGTAGTTGGTCAGCAAACAGCTGCTGCACGAGGAAATGAGTGGCACACACTGGAATGTGGTGGACAGGGTTTCTAGGAAAGCTCTGCAAAGCACAAGGTTTAGCCTTGGGACCTACTGCCTTCTTCCCTCTCTTCGCCCTGCTTTTTCTTCCCACCTAGAAGATGCAGCAGCCACTTTGAGGCTATGACGGGAAAGAAAAAGAAAGAAGAAAAAAGAAAGCAGTCCAGCCATCTGGGTTTCTGAAGGCCGACTTGAGTCATGGAGCCAGCCCTGGACCCATTCATGGAACTCAGATGTGTCTAAGGAATCACTATTTGTCAGGTTTTCTGCGACTCGTAGCTAAACTCATTTGTTGTAGTTATAAAGCTATTTCCCAGCCCTCTCAAGAAAAGCCTTACCCTCTAAATATTCTTAAAAGTGTCTGGTAATAGAAAATTAGTTAATTTCACCTGTTCAGCCAGTTGACACAAATCCGAGATTGAGCAATAAAGCAGGTATGTCAGAGGCATTTGAACCAGAGCGTCTCCACCTTGAACTGGGGCTGGGTAAAATAAGGCTGAGACCTGCTGGGCTGCATTCCCAGAAGGCTAGGCATTCTTAGTGACAGGATGAGACAGGAGGTTGGCAGGACTGGTGTCACAAGATACAGGTCAAAGATCCTGCCGATAAAACAGGATGCAGTAAAGAAGATTGCCAAAACCCACCAAATCCAAGATGGCGATGAAAGTGACCTCTGGTCATCCTCACTGCTCATTATATGTGAATTATAATGCAATAGCACACCAAAAGACACTCCTAGCAGCACCATGACAGTTTACAGGTGCCGTGGCAACATCTGGAAGTTACCCTATGTGGTCTAAAAAGGGAGGGATGCTCAGTTCTGGGAACTGCCTGCCCTTTCCCCAGAAAACTCATAAATAATTCACCCCTTGTTTAGCATATAATCAAAAATCAACTGTAAGTCTATTCAGTCGAGCAGCCCATGCCACTGCTCTGCCTATGGAGTAGCTATTCTTTGGTTTCTTTACTTCTCTGATAAACTTGCTTTCAGTTTACTCTATGGACTTGCCCTGAATTCTTTCTTGCATGAGGTCCAAGAACCCTCTCTTGGGGTCTAGATCAGGACCCCCTTCCAGTAACAGATAGTCTCATCAATAAGCGATGTAGATAGATATAAAGAGAAGAGGCTCAAATGAAATCTCCCTTGGCCTTCTTTATTAAACTTCCAGTGAAAGCATATGGAGAGACCAGATAGTGTAAGAAAATAAGGATGAATGGGGACCCCACCAAACTCATAATGGGGTAGGGAGGGTCTGTTCTTTCTTTCCACACACCTACTTACCTATCACCTACCTATCAACCCACCTCTTGTATATGCAGGTCAAGCACATCTAGAGGTCAGCAGCCCCACTTGGCAGGGGCATCCACAATAGATGCTGAGATGCCAGGTATGTCGGAAATCTCACTGCTTGTCTCTCTCCCTCCCCCTCTTCTGGTCAGAGCTAACTTCCTGTGACTTGAGACTTTAAACCCTGTTAAATGCTAAATACTACTGACAGAAGTGATGTTATTTTTTAGAAACAGACATTTGAAACATAATTAAGGCCAGATACCTCCCTTAGAATAGGTTTCAGCTGGGCAAGGAGGACAGAGGCGTGCACACAGGGGGTCCCTGAGACAAGCTGGGAGACTGGATCTGCGAGGCAGGAGTCGCAGGAGCAGTGCTCAGCTTCCACGCTGCCTCCTTCTTTGCATTTCTGCTTCTAAGGGTGGGCCCCTGCAGGTCTTGCCCACATGTGTTTTCTAAGTTCTCTTGTTTTTGGAATAAAAAGCAGAGAAAACTTCTGCCCACAGAACACCACTCTGACGCAGAATGATATTTTGGTTGGCAGAGACTTTTGCAGACACCAACCAGACACAGCCAACTGGTTCGCCAGGTCACCCTTTGAGGGTCCTGTACTCAACAGCAAGGCTCCCAGCAAGCATTTTGATGTAAGGGAATAGTGAGATTGTCTATTTGCATCTTCAAATACAATGTATAAATTATTCTATAGCGACAATGCATCAAACCTATTCAAATTATAATCTGACTTAGGATTTTCAGGGTGATACATCTTTAAAAGCAAATGAAATTTAAACACAAAACCTCTTGGGAGATTTTATACAAAATAATCATCAATGCAAGAATAAGTATCACCCTTCTGCAACCATCACAGTAACACTGATTCAGGCAAGAATCATGGAAAGAATCTAAAACCAACAGGTAAAAGTTTGATGAGAAACATAATAGTTTCACGGTCTCAGAGGATCACCTCACAATATATGTATATACATACATACATATATATAAAATATATATAAAAATATATAATATGTATTATATATAATATATATATTATATATATATTCACTACAAAGAAGAAATTGTAACTTCTCAGAGAAAACCTGGCAGATACCACCTTAAGTGAATGACCAAAATTAATATCACTAATAATGAAATAAACGGACATCACGGGCCCCCGATATAATGCACTGTGGCGCAAAAAAACACAAAAACAAATAAACCCTAAACAACAAATACTTCATCAAACAACTAGCTTACACTCTGAAAAAGGCTAAGAAACCCTTTCAGATTAAATGTGACAAAAGACGTGACACCAACATGCCGTGAGCCATTTTTTTTTTTTTTTTTTTTTTTCTAAAAAGTGCTGGATTGGAAAAACACTGCTAAAAGAGACATTATTGGGACAATTAGTAAAACAAATACAGCTGGCACGGTGGCTCATCCCTGTAATCCCAGCACTTTGGGAGGCTGAGGCGGGCAGATCATTTGAGGTCAGGAGTTCGAGAACAGTCTGCCCAACATGGTGAAACCCTGTCCCTACTAAAATACAAAAAATAGTAGCCGGGTATGGTGGCGGGTGCCTGTAATCTCAGCTACTCAAGAGGCTAAGGCAGGAGAATAGCTTGAACCCAAGAGGTGGAGGTTGCAGTGAGCCGAGATGACGCCACTGCACTCCAGCCTGGGCGACAGAGCGATACTCCCTCTCAAAAATAAATAAATAAATAAAAAAGAAAAGAAAAGAAAAAGAAAAACTTGAATAGAAACTATGTATTAGAAAAAGTTATTAAGTTTCCTGTATTTGGTCATTATACTATATTATTCTGTAACAGAATGTCATTGTCCTTAGGAAATATTTGCTTAAGCATTTAGGGGTGACAATCATGATGTCTACCATTTATTCTCAAACAGGCCAGCAGTAATAATAATTAATGGTGGTGTATGTGGGGGGCAGGGGGTGTGTGAGAGAGAGAGAGAGAAAGCTCAGGAGTGTGCAAATGTCAACAACTGGTGGCCCACGTGAAGATTACATGAACATTCACTGCACAATTCTCAATCCTTGAAACTTTACTGTAACTTTAAATTTATTTTAATATTTTTTTCTTTTGAGATGGGGTCTTGTTCTTTCACCCAAGCATGATCACAACTCACTGCAGCCTTAACTTCCTGGGCTCAGGGGACCCACCTGCCTCAGCCTCACGAGTAGCTGGGACTACAGGTGGGCACCACCACACCTGGCTAATTTTGGGGGGGCTGGGGGCGGGGGGCTGGTGCTGGATCAGACAGGGTCTTACTATGTTGCCCAGGCTGATCTCAAACTCCTTGCCTCAAGTGATCCTCCCACCTCAGCCTCCCAAAGTGCTGGAATTACAGGCCTGAGCCACTGCACCCAGCCATAAAAGTTTTCAAAAGAAAGTGTTTTTAAGTTAAAAGCAAAGGATAGCATAGTTTTCAAAAGCCATTAACAGAGAAATAAAGGACAAAATGTTTTTAAACTTTCAAATTGTTTAGAAACACATTAAGTTTGAACCACTTAAAATTACAGAGGCAAAATGACAATATTACAAATGGAGACAGTGGGCGTGTGTTTAAAATTTTTTGTTAACCTCAGAGGAGGCCATCAGTCTCTCTCAGCCACAAGAGCCATGCCACATTTTACTAAGTAAAGGATATAAACACGGAAAGAATGACTCTCCACAATTGAGGGGAAGAAGTACTACCCAGCCTAACTAAGGTTAGTACAAATTTGGTGAGTCACTTCCTCTTAGGAGGAAGAGCAAACATTTCTCGTTTCCTGAAGGATTCAGAGATTCTGAGGGAACACCTGAGCTCTCAGCCTGAATCATGGCACATAATAAACTAGGGCAGGAAAAGCTACAGCCCGTTCACTCGATGCTTCTACCCCACCACAATACCTCCAAGTTCAAAGTCAATGTCAACTTGAGCCTTTTTTGTCTATTTCAGCCTCCATATTACTAGGTTCCTGGGAGGAGGCAAGGCAAGCAAAACAAAAAAAGCTGATGGGGTGTGCACAGTTATCTTCTCAACCTGAGTGGGCAGTGGCCTTGGTTTGCTATGGTACATCACCCACAACGTTCCTCAGACCAGAACAAAACCCACAAAGCCTCTTAAGTTTAGAATTATAGCTTTCTGGCAAAGCAGCCCTCCTCCCAGAACCGCCTGTGCCAGCAGCACACACACGTGGATGGATTAGGCAAAGCTGTGCTCTAAAGCACACACACGCTCTCCCCAACGTGTGCTTTGCATTCCAGAAATACTTGATGCCTAAACCACTTCTGTGCCTCCCTTGGCATGAACGTACAAGTGGCTCCGTGCCAAAGGAAGCGTCTGTTTAGAGATGTGGACTTTCTTTAAAATTTTTTACCATGGAAGATCACAAATAGAACATTCTAGTACAATGATGATGCAATAAAGCAGAAAAAGAAAAGGTTTTAGAAAAAAGATTCTCTTGTTTTTGTCTTATTTATGTTGCCTAAAAGAAATACTGAAAATATAACAAGAAACATAAAATTAGCTTCCATGAGAGCAGAAATTACAGGGTCCAAGTTGGGTCAAGGAAGCAAAAATATTACCTTTAACAGGAAACGCTAGGGATCATTTGCCATTTTTTAACACACACATTCACTGTTGTTTTAAGGTCACCTACCAAAATGAGGTGCAGAAGACGGGTTTTTAATCATTGGTTTATTCTGGAATATAGTATATTTTATATTTGTATCTTGCTTCTTGATAACTTTTATCCTACATTAAAAATTAATGTAAAAGATGAAAATCCATCTTGGTTAATGCACCTATCCTTTCCCTTTCTATTTCCGGAGATTTATTTAGGGTTTATTCACAATAAGTGTAAAATCAGTAACTCTTCACAAAATCCTCAGACATCACCAACTGCATTACAAAACACACTCTTAGCCACCTAGATACACACACATGCATGCAACATGTTAAGGAAAATGACATCGCATAACTCCATAGTACATACGCACATGATCGCCTGTTTGATTTCCGTCAGCATGGACCTAAAAGACACCTTCTTGGAAGGTGGTCCTGGGCAGAGGGAGAAAGACTTACTTTCTTTCCACTTCTGGGGTTGACACGGCGCTACAGAAGCCAAGCGACTCCTACGAGAGAAGATTCGTATAGTCAGTGTGGTCAGAGCAGCAGGCTTCATCTGATTTGTACAGAGTGTCACTTAAAAAAAAAAGGCAGAAGCAAAACTAGATGATTAAAGTCATTGTGCTTACTTCGATCTGGGACCGCAGCTGAAGTGACGTGGGGCTAGCATCGGGTTTCTCCTAAAACAGAACAGATGCCAGTTTAACGGGACTTCCAAACATGTCACACGCGAGAAAGACAAATAGACATGTAAGAAGAGAGGGGAGGATTCGGGAAAGGTTGGGGTATAGAGTGGGAGGAGATGGCAGAGATAAACAGATTTTCTGGGAAAACTAAAATACTTTTAAAATGAGAGCTCTAGCCCCCTAAGATTGAAATATTTTCCAAACTTTGTTGCCAGACTCTGCTGACAATTTTATTTCAGAAGAAAAAAAGCACAATTTCAGTCAAGGGGACTGACAGTTCATGGTGAAATAATTCTGTGGATATACTTAGTTGGTCACTAAGACACTGAATTTACTGCAACCCATTTGAGTTTAGCTGTTTTCCAACGACACTAGACTTCCAATCCAATTTTTTTTTTTTTTGAGACAGAGTCTAGCTCTGTCACCAGGCTGGAGTGCAGTGGCATGACCTCGGCTCACTGCAACCTCCGCCTTCCAGGTTCAAGTGATTCTCCTGCCTCAGCCTCCCAAGTAGCTGGGATTACAGGCATGCGCCACCACGCCCAGCTGATTTTTGCATTTTTAGTAGAGATGGGATTTCACTATGTTGGCCAGGGTGGTCTCGATCTCTTGACCTCATGATCCGCCCCCCTCAGCTTCCCAAAGTGCTGGGATTACAGGCATGAGCCACCGCGCCCAGCCCCAATCCAATTTTAAAGTTCTAAATGTATTCAGAGCACTTAATAGCTTAGGAGAAGTTGTTAATGTCTTTAGGAAGTTGGGAAGCTAACTGAATGTTATCTTGCAGCCTTAAAAATCACTATACTTCCCTAACACAAATGAACTGACCTATCTGGAAATTTAAAAACAAACACTCGCGCGGTATCGAGTTGATAAATGAAATATAAATACTTGATATTAAGAATGCACTGAAATATCATTAAATTGTGAGAGGCAGAAGAATCAAAGAATATTACAGATAAAACCATATGGTGTAACACCCTCATTTCATAGTTCAAGGAGGCTGTATCTCCTTTGAAAGTAAAAGAAAACGAAGAGTATTTAGATAAACAAATTACCTGTGATAAAAATAAATTATGTAAATTATGCATTTTCACATGCATCTAATTGTTCAATTGCCCTTTTCATCATTAACACAATTATAAAACTACACCAATACCGAAAACCTTTTGTTGATGTATAAAAGTAGCAATAAAGTATTAAAATAAGTATAACTCAGAGCAAAGTTATACTTTTAAATAAGGAACAGGAATCCAGCACGAATATAGAGTATCGGAATGAATGCACTTTCATGCAGGATTGTGGGGGAGTGTTCTGGGAATCTGTTGCTCAACAATGTGCATGTGGCTGACAACGCTGCACCGCACACTTGGGTAAACTGTTGGGAGTGTGAATTTTATGTTACGTGGTTTTTTTTTTTGTTTGTTTTGGTTTTTTTTTTTTTTTTTTTTTGCCACAATGAAAAAAAAAGAATGTGCTGGGATGAGTACATCTGAGAATGGGATGACTGTAGACAAGCGGCCAGAAAGAGAAATGGGTTTTAATGGACAAGAATTTAATGAACTGGCAACTCACTCTTCCCCTAATCTCAGGCCCTTGTTATAAACAGTTATCACAGTGGCGTAAAACCTCCATAGAACTCTCATTAACCTCCTCCTGGTTTTCATTGCTGCCGCTGTTCATGACAGACATATTTCTGTACCAAACTTGATACACCATTTCTACCAAACAGTATATGGACAATGTTTTGAGTTATATATTCCAAATGTGAATGGTAGGATGTCAGGCTCAGGTGCAGTTAACAAAGGGGATATATACTTTTGGACATTTCTGGTGCTTACAGACCAATCACAATTTTCCAGGACCTAACCTTTCAGCCTCACATAGAGAAATTTACAAACTTAAATGGCAGGAGGTAAGCAAAAGTATAATTAGCAATTTTTTAATCCCAAATCTTCCTTCCTATTCAGGAGTTGGTACAGAGAACTCAGAGTGATGATGAAACTAAACTGTTAGTTTGTCTGAAATTTTCTCTGAAATTGCTCCTTTAACACCCAATTGCAGCCCATGACCTTCTATAACCATCAGCAAAAGTGACTGGTTCAATTCACCTCCCCTCCTCCATTTTTACCTTTTCTTCAAGCTCTAAGTTTCTACCTCACTAGTAATCATAATAGTCATGCTAGGAAACGATCTTCTTTTATTTATCTGCATTTTTTTGAATAGATTTTATTTGCTAAGTGCATCATTTGCCATGTCATATCACAAACGTAACATATATGGTACATTATGCAAAACGTACCTGCCCCTGCATACAAAGTAGTTGCTTATTAACAACCATATTAAATGTTTGATGATAGGGAAGCAAAATTTTAATCATTTCATCTTAGCATGTTCATTTGCTACTTATAATAGGCATTTGATTCTTTTAGCTATTTAAACAAATTTTTTTTTTTAAAGAAACAGCATCTTGCTATGTTACCCACACTGGAGTGTAGTGGCTATTCATGGGCGTGATCATCACGCAATGCCGTCTTGTGCCCAGAGCTCAAGCCATTCCTCAGCCTCCCAAGTAGCTAGAACTATAGTTCATGACCACGCCCAGCTTGTTTAGCTACTTTTCAGAAAATTGATTGGGGCTATAGTTTGACATATAATGTTAAAATCATGGAGACAGGCAATGTTTTCATGCAGGACGTTTGTTTTATCAAGGGCAGCTTACTGATGTTGAGCAGGAGATCTTGTATAGTGATATTTCTAGTGACTTGTTTTTTTTAAGACCAAGTAAGAGAATAACTTTTTCAGGACGTCTTCTTAATTTTATCCCCCGAGGATAAGAGATTACAGTCATCATTTAGATGCATGTCTTCTAGCAAACACATTCTAAAGTAAAAATATTGCACAACTGAGGAGAAGCTTGTAAAGTCATCCACTAAGTTAAGGACCTATAAATGATTGGAGAAAGAAAAATGGAATAAACTATTGGCAAAATTCCGTTATTATAACACTGATGAGTGTCACATGATGTCAATGACAAAAGAGCAGAAGAGTAATTCCTATAATGTGCCATGTGCCATGCACCTGACTGCTCAGCCATGACCCCTTTATTCAGAGAATAGCTGATGGTTTACACTACAGCTCCCGATCTGGATGTCACAATGTAGACAGAAATAGTAAACATTGTGAACCTCATCAAAACAATCATTGAGTATATGTGTAAATATGTATAACTTTTGGGCATGTTGTACACTGAGAAATAAGAACCTTCTCTCCTCCCCTAACATACACCGACTGTTTCATTTACTACTGCCGTGTAACAAATCATCCCAAATGTAGTGGCATAAACCAACAAGCACCTTATGATGTTCACAGGTTCTGTGAATATGAATTCAGAAAGGCAATAGCAGAAAAGGCTTGCTCTGCTCTACAGTGTTTGGAGCCTCAGCTGGGAACATGCAAAAGCTGGGGATGACTTGATGGGTGGGCTGTAATCACTGGAAAGCTTGCTCACTCAAATGTCTGGAAGCTGATGCTAGGGCTGCACGGGTTGCTGAGGCTTCCTCACAGCAGGATGCTGGGTTGCAAGAGTAAGCATATGGAGAAAGGCAGGCAGCAGCTGTATTGCCCCTTTGGTTTTTTGTTTTTTTTAATTTTTATTTTTATTTTTATTTTTGAGACAAGGTCTCATTCTGTTGCCCAGGCTGGAATTCAGTGGCGAGATCATGGCTCACTGCAGCCTTGACCTTCCAGGCTCAAAGGATCCTTCCACCTCAGCCTCCCAGGTAGCTGGGAGGCACATGCCTCTAGGTGGCACATGCCATCATGCCTGGCTACTTTTTTTGTACTTTGTGTAGAGATGGGGTTTCACCATGTTGCCCAGGCTGGTCTCGAACTCCTGGGCTCAAGCAATCCGCCCACCTTGGCCTCCCAAAGTGCTGAGATTTGTATTGCCTCCTATAACAGCCTCCTATGGTAAGATATCTGCCAGAGTCACAAGCCCTCCCAGGGTTCACGGCCACCTCTCTCAGCTGGGGGAGTGCCAAAGCCACACCGTGAGAGCAACACTGGATGGCAGACATCGCTGTGGCCAGCTTTGGGAATTACAGTCCGCCATGCTGACTGCCAAGGAAATGGGCCTGCTCATGAGTTTTCAAAATGAGGAATGGGGTGCAACCATTTATTCATGACAATATCTGGAAGGATTATCTCGTGGCTTTTACAACATTTACTCAAGTATATCTTGGCAATAGTCAGCCTGAATTATCACTTAAGGTCAAAATATTGCACTGTATTAGGCTGCAATGATCATGTCTCTCATTTCAAACCTATGATTATAGAAAATTTTAAATATACAAAAGTAAAGAGAAGAGGATAATAAACTCCCCAATTCCTACTACCCAGCTCCAACAATCAGCAGTTCAGAGTTGATTTTGTTTCCTCTATACCTTTACTGTTACTTCATGTTCATCTCATTTTACTTTGAAGAAAATCCCAGACATCAAATCATGAAATATCACCATTTCTAAGTTAAGAATTAGCTATCAGAGTTCCTTAACTGTTGCTCAATCTTGAGCACGTGGCTCAACCACCAAGAATTTGACTCCTTCCTGGTACTGGAGGACTTTCTTTGGTCATAAGGAAAAATCGTATTTATGAAATTTAGATACTCCATCTAAATGTTGCAAAGGGACATGAAGAAATGCATTCTGAAGTTGAATGTAACTTTAGAGTTTATTAGAAAAGTATTCACTATTGTTTCCTAAGTGTAAATATACTATCCTTTTTTTTTTTTTTTTTTTGAGTCAGAGTCTGGCTCTGTCTCCCAGGCTGGAGCGCAATGGCACGATCTTCGGCTTACTGCAACCTCCACCTCCCAGGTTCAAGTGATTCTCCTGCCTCAGCCTCTCAAGCAGCTGGGATTACAGGTACCCACCACCACGCCCAGATAATTTTTGTATTTTTAGTAGAGATGGGGTTTCACCATATTGGCCAGGCTGGTCTCTTGGCCAGACTGGTCTCCAACTTCCGACCTCGGGATCCATCCACTTCGGCCTCCCAAAATGCTAGGATTACAGGCATGAGCCACCTCACCTAGCAATGCTTTCAATATTTTTTTCTTATTTCCTCACCCCCTCCAATAGAGACAAGTCTCGTTATGTTGGCCAGGCTGGTCTTGAACTCCTGGCCTCAAGCAATCCTTCCACCTCAGCCTCTAAAAGTGCTGGGATTACAGGCATAAGCCCCTGCACCTGGCTACATCCTTTAAAATTTCTGAATATGATATGCACATAAACTTTGCTTGGAAAAAGCATATTCTACGCAGAATTTAATGAGAAATTACTCCTCAGAATGACCTGGGAGAGCCACACAACACTGGTGGCTGAACTTGAACCTTAAGTGAGGGCATTATAACTTAGTTTGAAATGTTTTAAATACATTAAAAAAAGAAAGTGAATTGTGAATTTTTTCTGTGGCTGGTGAGGTGAGAAGATTTTGAAATTTGACCTATAGATTGAATTGTTCATCATTAAGTCACATATGGATACCTTAGTTAAGAATGACAAATCTCATTAACATTACAAACTCTTAAAGAAACCATCCCAAGTTAAGTGTAACAGTGAAAACTAAACACAAATACAAATATATCCCAACATGAACGCATGCATGTTTGTTCATATATGAATGTGTGCACATAGAGGAAAAAAAACGCTGAGAGTATATCTCACTGAATTTTTTTACAAGCATGTAGTCTTGCATTACTTTTTTCTAAAGATGAAAGATTAGCTTAAAAATACGATCTCCAGGCCGCGCACGGTGGCTCATGCCTGTAATCCCAGCACTTTGGGAGGCTGAGGCAGGCAGATCACGAGGTCAGGAGATTGAGACCACCCTGGCTAACACGGTGAAACCCCATCTCTACTAAAATACAAAAAATTAGCCTGGCGTGGTGGCGGGCGCCTGTAGTCCCAGCTACTCGGGAGGCTGAGGCAGGAGAATGGCATGAACTCAGGAGGCAGAGCTTGCAGTGAGCCAAGATTGCGCCACTGCACTCCAGCCTGGGGGACAGTGCAAGCCTCCGTCTCAAAAAAAAAAAAAAAAAAAAAAAAAAAAAAATCTCCAGTTCCCCTATGTTTTTAAATTATCTACATATGTATGTCTATAAATGCAGAAGAAAATATCTAAAAGAATTCTACACGCCAATGGTTACTTCTCAATTTATAACCTTTTTCAATTACTTTAATATATTTTTAAAACATAATAAAAGATATATATAACAAATTCCTTTTGTAATAAAAAGTATACATATACAAATTATTCATATATTTTTTAAAACTTAATAAAAGTCCCCAAAGTTAACTCTGATAACAATTTAAGAATGACAAATCTCATTAACATTACAAACTCTTAAAGAAACCCTCCCAAGTTAAGTGTAACAATTAAGTCCAACAATTAAGCTAAAAAGCTACCTAAGAAATGTTAAAACAGGCCGGGCATGGTGGCTCACCAGCACTTTGGGAAGCTGAGGCGGGCGGATCACGAGATCAGTAGTTCAAGACCAGCCTGGCCAACATACTGAAACCCTGTCTCTACTGAAAATACAAAAATAAGCCAGGTGTGAAGGCACACACCTGTAGTCCCAGCTACTCAGGACACTGAGGCATGGGAATGGCTTGAACTGGGAGGCAGGGGTTGCAGTGAGCAGAGATCACGCCACTGCACTCCACCCTGGGCGACAAAGAGAGACTCCGTCTCAAAAAAAAAAAAAAAAAAGAAAAAAGAAACAAAAGTATTAATACTTTATTTCTCTAGTTAGGTCATGGCTAGTATTGAAATATTTTCTTGATGTGTTAAAATTTGTATATTTTATTATTAATAGAGAAGGACCATGCTGAAATGATTTCATATTCATACTTTGACTAAAAGAGGCTCCGCTATAGTATGGTATAGTTAAAAAGAAAAATGAATCAGGTGATCAAAAATCTTACTGGGGAGAAAAACCTCAAATGCATTTATTGTCAGATTGGACAATTTGTAGAAAAAATAGTTCCACAAACATTTATTGTATCTAATACAGAAGCTAAAAAAATAAATAAATCCAACAACAAAAGCAAAACCCAAGTATTGCAAGATGAAATCAGTAGTTTGCCAAAACCAAAACCGAAACAAATGTGTACCTGTGTGTGCTTTCACCTGCTTGTGTATGTATACACACACACATCTACAGCCACACTAAAAGGGACTAGGTCAAATACAAAACTAAGTCTCTGACCCTAAATGATGACATTCTGGCTTTAGGAGCTACATCCCATTGTGCAAAATACCAGACTCAAAAACCCACCCAGGGCAGAATTAGATCCTGGAAAACAAATATCATGCCCTCATCCCCACTCCCACTTTGTCTCCACCTTCCTGTGGAAATCCACACGTTCCTCCTCCCTTAATGCTGCCAAGGCTGCAAGCCAAATGAACTTCACAGCTGGAAAAGCAGGAGGGACAAATCCCCCTTCTGTTCCAAAAATGGAGAGGAAGAATACCAGGCGCCCACCAGCTCAGCTCAGTGCCAAGTTCTCCTCCTCCACACTAGGTACAGGAAGGAGGAGGTGGAAAAAGCCAGAGGCGATCGGATGCTTAGCCACATGCAGCTAAAAGTAAAATGCCACATGCTACTACTGATGCATGCAATTAATGGAAGGACCCAAGCTCTGAACTGCTGTGGAAAGTTGCTGCCGGTCACAGATTTACGTTTTTTTTATCACTTTACAAGAAGGCTGTAGAGTTGTGGTATCTCCCAGTTGGCAAACTACATTATATGTGTTCTTCACCGGAGAGATCCTTACCAAGTAACAGATAAACCAGAAGAACAGAAACTTCCAGATAAACTCTACTTAAAAATGTATATATTGCTCAGGCGTGGGGGCTCACGCCTATAATCCCAGCACTTTGGGAGGCCGAGGCAGGCAGATCACCTGAGGTCGGGAGTTTGAGACCAGCCTAACCAACATGGAGAAACCCCATCTCTACGAAAAACACAAAATTAGCCCAGCGTGGTGGCACAGGCCTGTAATCTCAGCTGCTTGGGAGGCTGAGGCATCAGAATCGCTTGAACCCAGGAGGCAGACATTGCTGTGAGCCGAGATTGCGTCACTGCACTCCACCTGGGCAACAAGAGTGAAATTCAGTCTCAAAAAAAAAAAAAAAAATTATATTACTTTGTACACTATCTAGTCTTGGCTTTTATTTGGTTTCCTGCTTATGACAAATGGGTCCATATGATCAGATTCAAGTAGGTTATTTCTCACCTTTTAAAGGAGGCCCCTTTCTCCATGTTTTAAACCTAAAAATACCATCACGTCTTTATTTTTATTGAAAATTCAAAGAGACTCTAACTATTTGCAAAGTTCTGGGAGTCCAAGCGTTGACTCCATGACCTGCTGGCTGCTGTTTAACCTTTCAGTCCTGGCTGACCTGTCTCAGACGAACCAGCCGTCCCACTAGATGAGCTCCAGCAGTCAACACATGGACTAGTGCAGGGCGGTCAGGCATGTAGATCCCAGGGCAACCTGAAAGTCAACATTCTCACCCTTGCCAGGAAATCATTCCACTCTTGTCTGACTTCTCTATTCCAGTCAATTCATGGAACATGTGTCGATTTTACCAGGACTTAAAATTCAACATTGTCAGCCAGGCGTGATGGCTTATACCTATAATCCAGCACTTTGGGAGGTTGAGGTGGGTGGATCATCTGAGGTCATGAGTTTGAGACCAGCCTGGCCAACATGGTGAAACCCTATCTCTTCTAAAAATACAATAATTAGCCGGGCGTGGAGGCCGGCATCTGTAGTCCCAGCCACTAGGGAGGCTAAGGCAGGAGAATGGCTTGAACCCGGGAGGAGGAGGTTGCAGTGAGCCGAGATCGTGCCACTGCACCCCAGCCTGGGCGACAGAGTGACTCCGTCTCAAAAAAAAAAAAAATCTATTGTCTTAGGAGTCTTCTCACTCCCCACTAAATCAGCTGCCCAAAGCTACTGCTTTTCTCTTCCCAAGGTTTCTGGCATCCATCCAGTGAATCCATTCCACTTGTAGTCCTTCGCCTCACAGCTACCTGGGCTACCAGCATACGGCTGCATGGAAAGTACTGTCAGCTGGGAGACTGGAGTCCAGTTCTGCTCCCTGCTGTAGTGTAACCTTTAGAACCTGTTTTGTTTGGTTTGGTTTTTCCAATGGCAACAAACGGCAAATGGACCACTTGATAATCTTTAGGGTCCTTTTTTACTCTAAAAGGGCTATAAGTGGTGTCATGCCCCTCTAATCACTATTGTCAACTCCATCTTCTGGAAATAGTACTCTGTGTCTCTGCTATTCAAAATGTGATTTGTGGACCATCTGCATCAGCATCACCTGGGAACCTGCTATACATCCAGTCATGGTCCCATCCCAGACCTCCTGAATCAAAATCTGCAATTTGCCAAAATTCCCCAGTGATGTGTATTGTTTGAGAAACTCACTGCTTCTGTGTCACTTCTCTCTTCCAAAATCTTTCCTGGAGGCAGGGTGCAGTGGCTCAAGCCTGTAATCCTAACACTCTGGGAGGCCAAGGCGGGTGGATCGCTTGAGGTCAGGAGTTTGAGACCAGCCTGGCCAACAGGGTGAAACCTCATCTCCACTAAAAATACAAATATTAGCCAGGCATGGTGGCATGCGCCTATAATCCCAGCTACTTGGGAGGCCAAGGCAGGAGAATCGCTTGAACCCAGGAGGCGAAGGCTGCAGCAAGCTGAGATGGCGCCACTGCACTCCAGCCTGGGTGACAGAGCGAGACTCTGACTAAAACAAAACGAAATCCACAAAATCTTTCATGGAAACACAATACTGACAGGATGAAGTCCACGTTTCAGAAGAAGAAGCCCCCTTCACCAAATAGCCTGATCATAAACCCTCTTAGTGAACAGTTACCATGTCCTCTGCTCCCTGAGTGCAGACTGAGCCTGGTGTCTCACTTCTGCTTATGCTACCTAGAGTGCTTCTCCTTTCTATCCATCCAAATCCTACTCATCCTTTAGCTCCAATCCCAATACGCTCTCCTATTTAACCTTCTCTGCCCACTTGGGCCTTAAATGATATCCCTGAGTATGGGCACACCAATGACTAGCCACATCACTTATTCATTAAATGTACCTATGGGTAGCGACTCTTCTACTCACTTACTGGTTTTCCTCAACTAGACTGTAAATGGCCTTCCAATAAATTCCTGTTGAAATTCATTGTATGCCACCACAATCCATCAAAATCTATTTACTTAGCATTTACTATCTGCCAGGACATCCCCTTGAGAATGTTACTTTCTACAGCCTTGCACAGGCTCCCTGTACAAGGGAGTACTACTGGGAATCTATTGATTTTTTTGTTTGTTTGTTTGTTTTTGTTTTTTTTTAAAGAGATGGGATCTTGCTCTGTCGCCCAGGCTGGAGTACCGTGGTGTGACCATAGCTCGCTACAGCCTTGACCTCCTAAACTCAAGTGATCCTCCCGCCTGAGGCTCCCAAGCAGCTGGGGCTGTGGGTATACACCACCATGCCTAATTTATTTTTTTTAGAGATGGAGTCTTGCTATGTTGGCCAGGCTGGTCTCAAACTCCTGGCCTCAAGCAAACCTCCCACCTCAGCCTCCCAAAATGATGGGATTAGAAGTGTGAACAACTGTCCTAGGCCTGGTTTGTTTAAATTGGATCACTTTGCCAATAAGCCTGACTCTTTTTTCCTTCCTCTTTTTTTTTTTTTTTTTTTTTTTTTTTAAGAGACAGGGTCTTGCTCTGTCACCCAGGCCTAGGTTGGAGTGCAGTCATAGTCCACTGCAGCCTTGACCTCCCAGGCTCAAGCAATCCTCCTGCCTCAGCCTCCTGGATAGCTGGGACTACAGGTATGTGCTACCATGCCCAGCTTCCTTCCTTTAATTTGTGTTTGCAATTTTACTGCATGGGATGTGTATTTTCATGTTTTTATTTAAGATTTACTTTTGGATTGCAGAGTTACACTAGGAAGCAAAAATAATTCAACAAATATTTAAGATCTACAACCTAGATACATAAGAACTTAAAACAGAATGTTGTAATGTTTAATCACTTTTAGGTAAAAATCAGTAGTGGCCTGTCAGTTTCTTCATCCATACCTAACTCTTCAGCTTTTCATGTCTCATTTCACCCGTATTGCTCGAGGTATAGCAGAAGATGTTAGTCATTGTTCTGGACCCCCATAAGCTCTTGGCCTGGTATAAGAAATTTTCTTCCGAGTGAAACTGAAGGAAAAGTACTCTCATCCCATCATATCAAAGAAGAAAGGTTCTAAGGGGGAAATTTTTATTTCACAGCTGAAGAATTCTATTCCACTAACTGCAACCTTTAAGTCTCACCATAATTAAGGGATCAGTGAATTTCTGCAAGCTTTCATAAGAAAGAAACCTGAAGTGGCAATTTCCACCCAGCCATTAGTGCTCTCTGTTAAAATAATTGAGCCTTTTGCTGTATTAGTTTATATTCTCTTTTTTTTTTTTTGAGATAAAGTTTCACTCTTGTGGCTCTGGCTGGAGTGCAGTGGCGCCATCTCAGCTCACTGCAACCTCCGCCTCTCAGGTTCAAGCAATTCTCCTCCCTCAGCCTCCCGAGTAGCTGGGATTACAGATGTGTACCACCACACCTAGCTAATTTTTGTATTTTTAGTAGAGATGGTTTCACCATGTTGGCCAGGCTGTCGCGAACTCTTAACCTCAAGTTAAGATCCGCCTGCCTTGGCCTCCCAAAGTGCTGGGATTACAGGCATGAGCCACCGCACCCGGCCTGATAGTTTATATTCTGCAGTTATTAGTTACTTATTTATTTAGGCCTCACCACGTTCCAGAAAATGACTTAAGATGGCTAAGTAACTTAGTTCAGTGTTACATGATAAAAGTAAAAAGCTAAAGAGCTAATTAATTTATATGACACAAATAGCAGAGGGAACAAGACTACAAAGTAGAGTAGGCCCAGGGATTCAGTTAGTTCATAAAAGGTGAGCCATGGGATGCTACAGTACAGACAGACAACATGATCAGTTACGAGATGGATGTTACTATACTTTTATGTCTTAAGGTAGCCATAGGAAAATGGCTCTTTCTCTGAGTAAAAATTTCTCCTCTGGCTTCTGGCAGAGATAACACACTATTACTCTGAAAGATACCACATGGAAAATTCCTGAAGAAGTCACCTTGCTCTGGAAATGCTTTCACATTGGGCAAAGCTGAAATTAGGTCTGAGATCCCCGAATGAAAGCGGAGGAGCATACCAAGGGGGCCTCCCTGAGGTCCACACTCCCGTACCCATTCAGAGGAGACAAGAAGTACCCAGGGCAGGAACAGAAATCAGTCTGGGAAGACAGGAGGGTAAGTTCCACCATCTTGAAGCATGGCTGTGCTAAAATACATCAGAGTTGAATTGGTTAAATTCAGGAGTAATTTGAATCTAAGAGGGTCAAGCTTGGTGCTCCCACACCTCATGTCAAACAAGGCGTATACTGCTTTAATGTCTAAACTGTCTTTGTTTAAAACTATGTACTAGATCGTTTAAGCTACAACTTTACCAATGTTGAGTGCATACCACATACCAAGCATTTTGCATGGAGATAAGAATAAGATCTACACACCACAATGTGGCAATGGATCACTTCAATAAGATGTGAGTGTTGTGTTAGAAGAATGCACCTTTTACAGTGTACAAAACACCAGAGTGTCATGTTATATAAATGTAATCATTAAAAGACACAGTGTCCATGAAGACATTTTAGTTATCCTAAAAAACAAATCCAACAAGTTCTATAATTCAATTTTTCATTCTACTAGCAGGACTTGGCATATCCACACTATAATCCACCCCCTGGGTGAATTTCCCAGGGGTAAAGACCATGATATCTGGCCATTCTAGATGGTAGTGGCTATCCCCAGAATCCTCTCACCCTCCCTGTTCTCATCCCATGCTCACTAAGTGATCTCCTTTGCTTTTTTGAGACAGAGTCTCACTCTGTTGCCCAAGCTGGAGTGCAGTGTGCAGTGGCACAATCTCAGCTCACTGCAACCTCTGCCTCCTGGGTTCAAGTGATTCCCCTGCCTCAGCCACCCGAGTAGCTGAGATTATAGGCACGCACCACCCACACTGAGCATGTATATATATATTGTATTTTTAATAGAGATGGGGTTTTGCCATGCTGACCAGGCTGGTCTCAAACTCCTGGTCTCAAGTGACCAGCCGCCTCAGCCTCCCAAAGTGCTGGGATTACCCGTGTGAGCCACCGTGCCCGACCACTAAGTGATCTTCTGAGTACATCCAGTTGCTCACTGGGATTGACTAACATAAGACAAAAGTGACAGGAAGCACTACATAAGCTCATTTCCTTTTGCTTTCTCTGTTTTTTTCCATCTCCTCTTTCATCTAATCATTCCATCATTTTAAAAATAGTTACTGAGCCCATAAGTCAACGAGGATAAAACAGTGAAACAGACACGCACCACTTCAGTGGGGTTTCCATCTAGTGAATTCTTAAGTCACTCACTTTGCATTTCAACTCTAAGCCACAGGTACAACACTCCTTCTGTTCGGGCACCAGGCACATGACATCTGGGTAACTCTGCTCAGCTCTGGATGCCACATTTCCCGGGGACAATGGAAACCAGAGCACCTTCACTAGAATGGTGTCTGGAAATGGTATCAAATACTCAGGATCAATTGGAGGAAGCAGGGCTGTTTACACAGAGAAGGGAAGAAAAATATAAACATGGGAAAGCCTTCCAGGGAGCAGGGAACTGCCCAGTGCAGAGCTGTCCGACCCCTTTCCCCACAGCGGTCCCCTGACAATGAGAGCGCACTGCACACTAGGAGAAACTGAGAAAATTTTAAATGGAAAAAAAAGTATTATTATTTTTATTTATTTATTTATTTATTTTGAGATGGAGTTTCACTGTTGTTGCCCAGGCTAAAAGAGTGCAGTGGCACGATCTCGGCTCACTGCAGCCTCCGCCTCCCAGGTTCAAGCCATTCTGCTGCCTCAGCCTCCCCAGTAGCTGGGATTACAGGCGTGTGCCACCACACCCAGCTAACTTTTGTATTTTTAATAGAGACCAGGTTTCACCATGTTGGCCAGGCTAGTCTCGAACTCCTGACCTCAGGTGATCTGCCCGCCTTGGCATCTCAAAGTGCTGGGATTACAGGTATGCGCCACCACGCCTGGCCAGAAGTATTCTTTTAAAGTAATACCTAATGACCATTGAGAAAATAAAATCAGGCCAGACACAGTGGCTCACGGAGGCTGAGGCAGGAGAATCACTTGACCCTAGGAGGCAGAGGTTGCCGTGAGCCAAGATTGTGCCATTGCATTCCAGCCTGGGGGACACAGGGGGACAGGGAAAAAAAAAAAGGAGGAGGGGGAGGGGAAGGGAGAGGGGGATGGGAGGGGAGAAGGGGAGGGGAGGGGAGGGGAAAGAGAAAAAATCAGAGTATTAGTGAAGATATTAAATATCGAATTGACATAATACTTTTAAATAAAATATTTTCCAATTTTTTCAAGAATGTTGAGCTTACTTCTTTGAAAATAATTGTCTTTGAAATAACTGTCTATATGCTTGAAAGAACTATATGCCATTCCAGATCAAGATGTTTAATGATGATCTCTTGATGTTCTTGTTGGTTATTAGTAACAAGAAGTTTTACTCAAACTAAGAGGTAAAAATTGTTTTAACCTTTTTTACAACCATTTTAAATTTATTAAGCATTTTACAGCCAACAGAAATACGGCAATTTCTATTTCAAGAATGTAAAAGCACCTTATTTCATTAACAGACACAGTGAAATCTCTTATGAAAACATAACAGATTTTAAATCTAGTTTAATTTTTCAATTAGGTACTACAATATACTGACAAAGTTCTTGCGTGCAGCCTTGTGCATGCAGTGTTCATCCTGAAGCTAGCTTGGCCGTGCTGGTCCAGAGCTGCCTCCCACCACATCTGACCACTGCACCTTGGACTCCATGCCTGAAGCTTCAATTCATCTCTTCCATGAGCTTCAGGGACCCTTGACCATGATGACCAAGTATGCCGCTGAAGTACACATCACCCATCCTGTGTACTGCTCATGGGAATCACTTACACCGCTCTGCCCTGGGACCATGTTCCAATAAGCCCTGTCAGCGGTTCTCAAACTTAGTGCCTTGCAATCCCTGGAGGGCTTCTTAAACACAGATTGCTGGGTCCTACCCAAGAGTTTCATCTGCATTTTTACCAAGTTCCCAGGTGACACTGATGCTACAGGCTGAGGAGCCACACTTTGAGAACTACTGGTCCAAAGAAGGCTGCTCAGAGCTGCTTCTAGTCAGATTCAGTGGCCTGCAGGTGAAGGGGTAGGTGTATCTGGAGCCCCACCTGAAGTCTGGCCTGGTTTTCAGTGCTCTAAAAGGGATGATCAAGACTAAGGATTTTAAAGTTAAGAGGAGGCTGGACTCAGTGGCTCACACCAGTAAACCCAGTGCTTTGGGAGGCCCAGGCAGGAAGATCCTTAGAGGCCAGGAGTTAGAGGTTACAGTGAGTTATGATTGCACCACGGCACTCCAGCCTGGGCAAACAGAACAAGCCCCATCTGGCCGGATATGGTGGCTCACGCCTGTAACCCCAGAACTTTGGGAGGCCAAGGTGGGCGGACAACTTGAGGTCAGGAGTTTGAGACCAGCATGCCAACATGGTGAAACCCCGTCTCTACTAAAGATATAAAAATTGATCAGGCATGGTAGCACATGCCTGTAATACTAAGTACTTGGGAGGCTGAGGCAGGAGAATCACTTGAACCCACAGTAAGCTGAGATTGCGCCACCGCACTCCAGCCTGGGTGACAGAGCGAGACCCTGTCCCACCTCCCCCCCCCAAAAAAAAAAAAGAAGAAGAACAAGACACCGTCTCTAAAAGAAAAAAAATTTTTTAAAAGACAAAGATGGACTCACCATCATTTTATTAAAAAGGATGGGGGAGGAGGGCAAGCAGAGCCAGGTGTCCAACAATAGAATAAATTACTTACAACATGTGGAAACCACATCAATGGAGCATTCAAGCTTGACTGCAGGACTGTCTGCTGTCTGGGATGGGGATTTTTTTTTTTTTTCTTCAGAAACTGGTCAGACCTCTGACCGACTACTATAATTCCACTACTTGATTGGAGTGTAATCATTGGAAATGAAATTAAGTTATTGTGGTATAATTTATCGTTTACATGAGTTTTTTTTAATGGGAGAAGGAACTGCAAGTTCTAGCCCAATCACTCAAACATTTGAAACAGACGACCTTCCAAAGTTGGCAACAGCCTACAACTGAACAAACATTTATGTCTTCATCTATTCAACGAGTGTTTCCTGACCAGTTTGTACTCAGTTGACGTGCTGGGTACTGGCAGTATAAAAAAACAGTCACTGACCTTCAAGAGCTCGCAGTTAAGCAAGAGAAACAGTAACTGAGAATATAAAAAATTAAAGGCTTTCATGTTATCATATAAATAACGTCGGAACTGATTAGTATGCAGATTGGGTGACTGAATAAGGGATTTACAAAATTATGCAGCCTGATCAAACAGGAGGTGCTAAATTTGAATGGTTCCTCTAATAGATCAGCTCACATTTTGTACTAATGAAGTGTCACTATTATTGTTGTCTTTGCTATTGTAAAATCATGTGGTGCTATCATGACATTTAACCACTTTCTCATTCTCTGAACCATATTTTCTAACCATCTTTAAATATTGTGTAACCATCTTTAAAAAGCTCCAGAATCAATTGCAAGCCAATACATTCTGAAATCATCAGCCACAAATTTGCTTTTAAAATAAATAAACTTTTGACTTAGTCATGTTGTATAATGATGTAACACATTAAAAAACACATGGGGCTGGGCGCGGTGGCTCACGCCTGTAATCCCAACACTTTGGGAGGCTGAGGCAGGCGGATCACAAGGTCAAGAGATGGAGACCATCCTGGCCAACATGGTGAAACCCTGTCTCTAATAAAAATACAAAAATTAGCTGGGCGTGGTGGCGTGCGCCTGTAGTCCCAGCTACTCGGGAGGCTGAGGCAGGAGAATCGCTTGAACCTGGGAGGCAGAGGTTGCAGTAAGCCGAGATCACGCCACTGCACTCCAGCCTGGCGACAGAGCGAGACTCCATCTTAAAAACAAACAAACAAACAAACAAACAAAAAACCACACACGGATAGATATCATATTATTTGAGAAAGAAAAGAATTATATAAAAATTGGAATCTCAGAAACAAATGGCAAACTCTAGCCCAGGGCAAACTTTTTATTGGTCTATTATAAATGTTTGCAAAATCAGGTTTATAATGGAAACAGGCGGACAAAGTTCCAATGTAATATACATAAATGACATGTTTCTGTTCTTGTATAGTGATTTTCCTCCCTTCTGAGCATTAATCTTTGAATGACTTACTCTATAAATTATGAAACTTAGTTCAAAAGCAAATGAAATTTAAAATACCCATTTATTGAATGGCAAAAGTGCCACGTTGAAATTACTGTGATTTATCTGTGTCTGTAATGGTTACTACAGCAAACATACTTCATTGCTCAAAATTATTACCTGGTTGCATAGTTTACTGTGGTTTAAACATAAATTTATCTCGCTGTTCAGAACAGCAGCTGTTTGTCAGGGTCATGTTCATTCATCCACAGCCACAAGGCCCAACTTTTTCTTTCTACAACTCTAAAGTGGCACACTGACGTATACACGTAACACTCACTTTCTGGAAACCAATTAAATTCACACGGATCACTGACTACTAATATGGGAGGAGGGGACAAGGTGGAGTACTGTTTATCCAGAACAGAGTTCATCTCCATGCTCACATGCCTGCTTGGACCCCGCATGGTTCTGGCAGCTCAGGCAGAAAGCATAGATTGGCACTATAAAAGCAGCCCTGTCTGCAAAACAAATGGGATTCTTGGGCATTGGTGCTTGTGGGCACTGCCATCACAGTGACTGAGTCATTGCTGCTGTGCCTAGGTAGAGAGATTCTGGTTGAAAAGCCAACCCTTCCTCTATACCAAGAGGAGGGCCTTCTCCTTTCCCTCCTCGTCATTTACCTGGTAGAGAAGTTGGACAAAAATGCATATTCTCCATCTGGAAGAAAATGTGCCACATTATGATAATGGACTAAATGGCTCACTATATAAAAAGTGCTGATAAATAAACAAGAAAGACATTACTTTAAATAGAAAAATGAGCAAATGACTTTAAGAGATGGGTCAGACAAATAAGGATAGAAAAATATGTGTGCTCTTATAAATAACGAGAGCAATATAGTTTAAAAGCACAATAAGATTACTTTCCAAACTGGTAACTTTTTCTCCCTAAATACTGGGAAGTATAAGATAAGAACAGGGCAAGAGTGCTGCTGGTGGGAGTGCAGACTGTAGAACATTTCCAGGTGGTCAACAGTGTTTCAAGAGTCTTTCAAATGTTCCTACTTTTCAGCCTGCTACACTCATATCTAATAATTGGCCCTGGCTGGGCACAGTGGCTCATGCCTGTAATCCCAGCACTTTGGGAGGCCAAGGTGGGTGGATCACCTGAGGTCAGGAGTTCGAGACCAGCCTGGCCAACATGGTCAAACCATGTCTCTACTAAAAATACAAAAATTAGCTGGGCATGGTGGCACAGGCCTGTAGTCCCAGCTACTTGGGAGGCCGAGGCAGGAGAATTGCTTGAACCCGGAGGGTGGAGGATGCAGTGAGCTGAGATTACACCACTGCACTCCAGCCCAGGTAACAGAGCGAGACTCTGTCTCAGAAAAAATAATAAATAAAAATAATTGGCCCTAAGGAGACAGTGAACTCTTAAGGTAAAGATACACATTTAAAGATGTTCATAGTCACTTCCTTCTTTCTTTCTTTTTCTTTCTTTCTTTCTTTCTTTCTTTCTTTCTTTCTTTCTTTCTTTCTTTCTTTCTTTCTTTCTTTCTTCCTTCCTTCCTTCCTTCCTTTCTTCCTTTCTTTTCCTTTCTTTTCTTTTCTTTTCTTTTTTTGGAGACAGGGTCTCACTCTGTCACCCAGACTGGAGTGCAGTGGCGGAATCTCGGCTCATCACAACCTCCGCCTCCCAGGTTCAAGTGATTCTCCTGCCTCAGCCACCCTGAGTAGCTGGGATTACAGGCACGCGCCAACACACCCAGCTAATTTTTGTGTATTTTTAATAGAGACGGGGTTTTGCCATGTTGGCCAGGCTAGTCTCGAACTCCTGACCTCAAATGATCCACCCGCCTCAGCCTCCCAAAGTGCTGGGATTACAGGTGTGAGCCACTGTGCCCAGCCACTTATTTCTATCATAACAAAAAATTGGAAATTGCCTAAATAGTTCAAACTGGGGGACACAAATTATGGTATACTCAAAGACAAAGACAAAGGGTACATAACGATTAAAAAAATAGGGAACAATAATTCATAAGGGAAAGGTATTCCTTAGTGAAGGCTAAGGAGTATGAACAAGCCCACCATATGACTTCAGCATACAGCTTGAAGTCATTGTATATTTTGGTATATGGTATACATATATAAACAGTGGCATGTAAACTCCCTGGGGAAGGAAATTTTGTGTGTTTTCTTCACTGGTGTATCTTCAGGACCCAGCAGAGTGCCTGGCACTTAATAGATACTCAATACTTACAGAACAGATATGTATGTCAGACAAAAGCATGTGGTTATATCTGAGTTGCAAGTGTGAATAGAGGACTTAAGTATCATCCTTATTTTTTTTAAGCCTTCTGAATTTTCTACAATGTATATATACAAATTTTACAGTCGAAAGCAGAACAAAAATGTTTCTGCTTAAAATCGGTTTTTCTTAATGTTATTCCTTCTACAGACCCAGAGTCAGATTTGATCTAAAATTTACATACACACACGCACACTATCAAGATTCTATACCACAACTGGGATATAGAAGGTCCATGACATAGAAGATCTATGTTAACTTTTTAAAATCATATATAACAAACTTCTTTTCTACACATAGATCTTTGCAGGGCACTTGTCATTTAAAGGTACATTATTCAATACGCACACACTTCTTTTTTACTGTATTATATTAATAAGGATTTTTGAAACATCAATAATGCAGAATTTTTCTCACAGAAATTTTGCTTTACTTTCCCTTTTTCTTAAAACACCTTGTTGAACTCTCCTTTCCTGTAGCATGAAAAGGAAGAATTAAAGTATTTTCTTGTTGTCTCTTAACTGGCCTCAATCAGCTAAATACCACCAGGGTGTTAATTACAAAACAGTTATTTCATATAAGGTTATGCATATTACTACATAGAAAATCTCCATGTACACAAACTAAGCCAATTTCCCCCTAGCACATAGCATGTCTTTTTCTCAGGAAAAGCCAACAAGCAAAAACTCAGAAGAGTACAAACAGGAAACCTATTAGGACCTGCTCTCCAAGGGCAGAAAACGGATGGTCTGTAGCAGAGCAGATAAAAGCAGCGAGTCTGAACACAATGATTGATGTGGCTGAGAAACAGGACAGGAGGGCGGACGGCATCCCCAATACTACATGGTCATCTAAAAAGGATGACGTGAACCTAGAGATATGATTGTTATTTAAAGAATAGAGACAATCAAGAGTCTTACATGAGTACCATCAGATCTGTTTTTTAAAGAGCCATAATCCCTATAGGGATACGGCATCAACCTCAAAGTCATCCACATTTTCTCTGTCATGCCCTAAAACAACGTATGCAAATTCAAAGCACTAACACTTGAATTTTTCATTCATTCTATAAAACATAAAGAGAATCCAAAAAGGGTGCTCACCTTTGCCCCAAAACTCCAAGCTAGAATGAGAAACCATTAGCATCCCATCCCAGTACAGATTTTAAATATTCTACCTATACGTTTTGAAAGTTGCTATGAAGACTCTCTTTGAATATTCCAAATTTTAATCACCAGACAAATGGCCTTCACATGTAAATGCTTATTACCTGAAACAGAAAATGATCTTTGGAAATGGAGAGGATTTGTCTGTTTTTGCCATAAATTATTCACAGAGCAACAAGAAAACCTCTCAAATTTCACCAAAAATATTATAAAGTTGGGAGCAATATGCCACGTGACAATGCCAGAATGGACAGGAGATGGGAGGGGAGTAAGTTTCAAGGAAGATTCAATCTTGGGGAAAGGACTGGCTGCATGGAAACTGCAGAGGGCTTTCAAAGTTATGATCTGAGGGTGGAAGAAGGGTTATGATTTGGGGTCTGGAGATTAAGGTGTATTCACAGAACTTTAGAGAAATTAAAGATGCTGCCTCCTCCTGGGCCTTCCCTGATCCCCTAAGACTGGATCAGGTGCTTCCATCGGAATACTGCACCACGCTATCTGTACTCAGACTTCAGTGTACCCTGGGCACAGGCTATCGGTTGCTCACCATTAACATCTCAAGACCTAGCGAAGTGCCTGGTTCAGAGTAAGTATCTAATAAATATCTGTATCGTGAATTCAAAAAGGAAAGAGTAGAGAAGACTGGAAGCGGAGACACCATCACACATAAAGCCCAGTGCCTTACTATGGAAGTCATTTAAAGTCCTACTGTGTTTTTAGTTGCTGGTTACTAACATTGTATAATTTGACTGACAAAGCAGGAGAAAGACAGTATGTTCAACAGTGAAGCAAAACAATGACAGAAACATGTTCACGGAAGGACACAAACCATGTTAAGTGCTATATATAACTTCTACCACATGTGTCAAGGGTTTTGTCAGGGATCACGTAGACTGCCATTTGTCCTTGTTTATCCCGAGTAGGCAGCCAGGGAAAAGCTGAGTGGCGTGGTAAGGAAATACATAAAAGTAAATTAACTATTTTCTTGAAAATTCCCTCTTAAATAACTATATGCAAGTGGTAAACAAAAAATTGAAATGATGGCTGATTTGGTTATTTACACCTAGATGTTGTCAAAATTAACTATAGAAAGAACAATGTCAAACACCTTTGGAGCTACCAAACATCTATATACCTCATAAGCCCCAAGTATTCACCAAGTGCCCACTAGGACCACTGGGTTTGTTTTCAGATTGCATCCCACTTCCCCACCTTTTGTCAATCACAACATCTCCACCTATAAATTGAGTACATGTGCCAGGGCCAATCCTGGAGCTTCAGGTGCTTCTGTAGCGCTTTCTGGTTCATCATAACCATCATCATCATCAAAGTTATCATCAACGTGATTATCACCATCTTCATCTTCTTCTTTGCTTCATTCCCATCATTGCCAACATTTATCTAATGCTAACTGGGTGCCATACACCATTCTAAGCACTTTTTCGTTACGTGTAATCTGAAAAAAACTTATAAGGTAGGAACTTTGCCTATTTCCAGTTTTTTTTAAAAAAAACCAATGAGGAAACTGAGGCATGGAGAGATTAAGTCATCTTGCCCAAGACCATGTCTGAAGGTGGCAGGCTCTGTGGAGTCTATCTGATTTGACTATGGGATACATGCTCTTTTATTTATTTATTTATTTATTTATTTTGACAGAGTCCCGCTCTATTGCCAGGCTGGAGTGCAGTGGCACAATCTTGGCTCACTGCAACCTCTGCCTCCTAGGTTCAAGCGATTCTCCTGTCTCAGCCTCTCGAGTAGCTGGGACTACAGGTGCATGCCACCACACCCAGCTATTTTTTGTATTTTTAGTAGCCACGGGGTTTCACCATGTTGGCCAGGATGGTCTCAATCTCTTGACCTTGTGATCCGCCCGCTTCACCCTCCCAAAGCGCTGGGAATACAGGCATGAGCCACCGCGCCCGACCAGGGATACACACTCTTAACTGCTACCCTAAGATCTACTGGCCCTCCCAGTCAGTGCTCCAGGGCTGATAACAGGCTTCCTTTAGCTTCCTGAGTCTCTGCCCTCCTCCCCTACTCTCTAGCCTGTACCCAAGTGTGTTTTCATTTCTTCTTTGCAAGGCCTTGTTCTGGTAACTGCACAATAACCCTCGTCTTCTCCCAGGGCAGGGGTTCCACCCCATCCATGTTCAGTGACTGAGTCTCTTCCACCTACTCACAGACCTAGCTATGAGCAGACACACAAATATGGGCTGTTCTCAGTTTCCCAGGGCTACCTCTACCCCATTATCTTGTCTTGAGGGTCCCCATCACCTGCTGCTTGCCCAGACTTCAACTACCTACTGGAGGACTGAGTCTTTCCAGTAAATCCCCACAATGAGGTCTCCCTCAATGGCTGGGTCTAAATTCAGGCTGGTCTCTCCTGCAAATTTCTGCTCAACTAACCATAACTGGCCTTGTGTGGCAAAAACCCAAGGTTGCTAAGAATGGTAATGAATCTCACTTAATGATTCCCCGTGTTCCAGGGCAGATCCTGGGTTATTTATCTGTTTCTGTTGCAATCCAACGAAGTCACATTCTCTCTAGAGGCAACACAACCCCAAGACACAGAGCCACTGTTCTGAGCTGGTGGCGTGTGTGCAGGAGCCCCCTCTTCCTGCAGGCCTCTGAGGGGTCTGCCACCTGTCAGACATTGTGCCGTTAATTAGGTAACACTTGTGAAGGGTTTTGCGACACATAGCACACATGTCGTCCAGGATCTCACACATGGTGCTCCACGCTGCAAAACTCAAGAGCTATTTTTAAACTGTATCTAACAGTTGAGCAAAACTTGAGTATCTCCTATTGCAGACCACTTTAAACTCATTACTCTTCCACTGAAAATTCCTCAAAAAGAGTGTACAGCTAGTGGGGATTATTAAATAGGATACAGAGGACACTTTAGGAAAAAAAGAAAAGAAAAAAAGAAACAACCTTGTTGCAATCCATGCCAAGTTTCAGGGAAACCTCAAAGACTTTGCTTTTGTTTCATCTATTCTTTTGAAAACAAGCAATTCAAGAGGAACAGGAGGGAACAAATTGCATCCTGTCTGCCCAGATGTCATGTCCATATAGGTGAGTGTGTCACGGCACTGGTGGGCCATCTGAGGGTACACTGAAGAGGCATCTGTGATGCCTGTAACCTGCTAAGACAAAGGCCAGCTTTTCTAAAGCCCTGGACAGACTTGCTTGGGCAGTTAACCAAATGCCTTGATGGATGTAGGCTTGAAGTGTGGGATCTCCTTTACCGCCCCACACTATAATTACACAAAGCTTTTCTGGCTTAGGGAAAAATAAAAGGTTTATTTTTAATTAATGAGAGCAGGTCCCTAATTCTCTCTTTAAAAGAGCTTCCTCTTGCCAAAGGGAATCCTCTGAATGAGTGGGTAGGTTTAATGGACTGCCTTTGGCTAAGAGGTTTGCGGGTAGTTTCCCCAAAGAGTTAAACTCCAATGACAGAGCCATGGATGTGGGCTTCCTCTTATGGCACTCCATATCATGATGGCTCTGCGGTGACCTTTGTCCTGCTGGCTCTCAGGTGATTGCTATCAATCTTTAAATTCTTGAAGTTTGCAAGGGCAGGTGCTAGCATGTGTTCAAACCTATTTGTATTTATCTTTCAGATATCTGTGCTCCCAGACAACATTAATGATCATACCAAGTTACTTAGTCAAACCTGAAGAGTGATCTTCCCTCTGATTTAAGTGGTTTTCATTTTTTAAAGAAAACGGTCCTACAAAATTAATTTATGTATATTTCCTGCAAAATTAATATTAAGTATTGCTTTATCAATCTTGTCTTCACCCCAGATGTGTGACATAACCCAGGGACCCTTTAAAGAACAGGTTGTGTCAAGCAAATGTCAGAAAAGTGATACTATTTCCTCGCACTTACTATTTAATAGGAAGGAAAGGAAGCGGCACAAATACATTAAAATCAGTGCCCAGGCCCCTTTAGAGTAATCAGAACTTCCTAGACAAACAAATAATTATCACTAATGTCAGTATGTAAATTGTTCAGCTGGCATGCACACACCAATAGCACTAATTAATTTTTTCTCTCAAATTAAAAATACTCAATACAAAGTTCTAAACTCATTTGTCAATGGAAGCCCTACTCATTTGTCATCATAAAAATAAGAAAATACTGTGCACTCTGTGAAGTCGATGGTGGTGACTCATGTTGATTAAATGCACAGTCAGGCATTATACTTGGCACTTTAAAAATATTCCCTCTTGAGAAATGTATTAACTCTTCCTGGGCTCAGTAGAATGTAAGCTCCAAGAGGCTGGATGCAGTGGCTGACGCCTGTATTCCCAGCACTTTGGGAGGCCGAGGTGGGTGGATCACTTAAGGTCAGGAGTTCAAGACCAGCCTGGCCAAGAAACTACAAAAAATTAGCCCGGTATGGTGGCAGGCATCTGTAAACCCAGTTACTCAGGAGGCTGAGGCAAGAGAATAGCTTGAGCCCAGAAGGCAGAGGTTGCGGTATGCCAAAATCGCATCACTGCACTCCAGCCTGGGCGACAAAACAAGACCCTGTCTCAAAAAAATAAAAAATAAAAAAAAAGAATGTAAGCTCCACAAGAGCAGACACTACCCACTTCCCTCACTGCTGCAGCTCCAGGACCTAGACCAGTGCCTGGCACGTTGTAGGCATTCAATAAGTATGTGTTGGATAAACTTTTTAATATTATTTCCCATAGTTCTCACTGCAGCCTCCAAAGGTAGGTATGGTGTTTATCTCCTTACAGAAAGAGAACCTGAAGCTCAGAGAGACTAAATCACTTGCTCATAATCACATAGCTAATAAGTGGCAATGCCAAGGTTTCTACCCCAGTCTACCACCTTCCTGCATTCACCCTCGCCCTCATCCTGAACCATTCTGCTTGACTGCCTAAGAGTCTCTTACATTCAATTCTCTGCTAAAGACATTTGCATCCACAAAAGTGTCCACATGAATATACATATGGGAACACGCCAGAAATTCTTCCCATTATATTTTTTCTGACTGTGCCTTAAGACCTAATACTCAGCATGCCTTGGTTCTAGAACCTAATTATTTTAGTGCTTCTTTTATTTCCTTACATAATAATTTTTGTTTTTAGTAAATATCGTACTGACAAAAGTACAGACACAAATTTTATAGGACAACTTGCCCCTGCTGTAAATATTACTGATGTGCTCCTGGCTAAGGAGGGTCCCAGAAGTGACCCAAGCTTCCAGTGTTTTCCATTCTCCAAAGAGGGACGGTTACCATTCTTCAATGGTTTTTACATAGACTTCATAAAAGGGAGGAGTGATTCCCCATATATTTATTCTTTTTTTTTTTATGCTTCGTCATCATTCTTTTCTCTTCCCTTTGGCATGTTCATACAACCAGGTTCAACTCTCCCCATAGAAAGAAGAGGGGAGCAGAAGGAGAGGCCCGGAGAAGGAATGGGAGAGGGGTAAGGGGAGAAGAGGGAGGAAGGAAGGTAGGGTGGTTCATTCTCTTATTGTATCCATTCCTTCAGAGCCAAAAGTGCAAACTTCTTGACTAAATGTTCTACATCAACGGCCTCGATTTACCTGACATTGATTATTTCAGGCCACACATCAAGCTAGGTGCTAAGAGCACAATGACGAATGAGCCTGGATGCATTTCTTTCACTCCTACCGCTTCTCTTGAGCCCGCATTCCACAAGAATGTCCCAGCAGCACCTCAAATACATATCGTAAGATGAGCTCCTGATCTTTCCCGCACATTCTCCTTCCTCCTCCCCTTTCTCCCTGTTAACAGCCACACTCCCCTCCCAGCATCTTCAGTTAGCCCTATCCATTCCAATTTAGGTCAATCGAGACCTAAATTCCTCCAACAAAATATTTCTTCTGTTCGTTTCCTCATTTCCATTTCTACACTTAGTGTCTTTGCTCAGCCAGCAGCAATACCCTTTGGACTGCTCTTCCTCCTCCCAAGAGCATAATCCTTGGGTCATTCTCCCAATCAAAAGTTTTCCTATGTCCCCTCTTAACAACAGAACAATGTCAAACTATTAAACTGGCATTTAAAGCTTCCACATTATGGATGGAACCTATTCTCCAAGTCACTTAGTCTCACTAATGTAACTGAAACTGAACTTCTCTAAGTTCCCTTGAGCATCCTAAACAAGATTCAAACTAATCAAATACCAAAGTAGCTCAAATTACTAAATTAAAAGTAAAGAACTGTGCATTCAACAAGAAATCAACACAAACAACAGGTTTACAGTTTCCAAAATGGTAAATATTTCCCTACAGAGTCTCATCATTAAAACTTCAGCAATATTCTGATACACTGAGCTGCTTTAAGGAACACGACTTTTCTTTTTTCAACAGTAATGATTTTCCTATGACCCTTTCTCTGTATTCTTTATGACTTAGCATCCTAGTGATATAGTTTGGATGTCTGTCCCCTCTAAATCTCATATTGAAATGTGATCCCCAGTGGTGGAGGTGGGGCCTGGTCGGGGGTGTTTGGGTCATGGGGGTGGATCCCTCATGAAGAACTTGCTGCCCTCCCCATGGTAATGACTGGGTTCTTGCTCTATTCGTTCACCAGAAGCCAAGCAGATTCTGGTGTTGTGCTTGTATGGCCTGAAGAACCCTGAGCCAAATACACTTTTCTTTAGAAATTATCCAGCCTCAGGTATTCCTTTATAGCAATGAGAGGCGGACTGATACGCATAGCTTTTAGGGAACTCATTGCAAACTGACATAACTATGGTACAAATTCTAAGTTGAAAAACGAAACACTAAATGCTTCATCAAATCACTTTATATCATTTTTTAAAGCAACTTTTTCTTTCATTCATGGATGCTGTAGGTGTAACTATAATTTATTAAATAATTATTCTCTCAAAACCCCACTGCCCATTTACATACCTGCTACTATTACCAGGAATAGAATGAGATACAAATTGAAATTTATGTGAAAAACAAACACTAAGTGCTAAATAAATGTAAAATAAAATAAAAATAAAAGTGATTTCTTAAGTGAACCATAAATTTCTCAATCCTTGTATCAAAATCTAGCCAAAATAATGCTTCTGATTTGCAAAAAAATGGAACCACCTTAAACATCTTCAAATACATATATATATATTCCTTCAACATCTCAACTACAAGTTACAACGAGTCATGAGTGGCAACATTCAGTGTGGCTTCAGGCCATGAAAGGGTTATGCAACAACATAAATTATATCAAAACGGAGATTCAGTATTTGAAAAACTGATGAAAAATCTATCAAGAGTGAAACCTCCATAGAGACTTGGGTGAATATTCCCATTATGGTTTTTGGGAATAAATTTTCAAACAACTGAGAATTTCAAGGGGGATTTTATGATTCATATTAATTTCATCAAGTTGGCTGAGCACAGTGGCTCACGCCTGTAATCTCAGCACTTTGGGAGGCCGAGGCAGGCAGATCACTTGAGGTCAGGAGTTCAAGACCAGCCCAGACAACATGGTGAAACTGCGTCTCTACTAAAAGTACAAAAATTATTTGGAAGTAGTGGTGTATGCCTATAATCCCAGCTACTTGGGAGGCCAAGGCACAAGAATCGCTTGAACCCGGGAGGCAAAGGTTGCAGTGAGCCAGTATCACACCATTGCACTCCAGCCTGGGCAACAGAGTAAAACTCTATCTCAAAAAAAAAATAACACTAATAAATAAAATAAAAATTCATCAAGTTTTACAGAGACAATTACTAAAAGGCCAAATGGCATTTCTGTTTTCTTTTATAAAGTTTAGATACAGCCTTGTACATGCTGAGGATTCAATATATGTTGACTGGATATAATTGCATAAGACTGAACTCCATAAATCTTGTCTTCTATGTTATGTGCGTATGTTTACTGGGGAAATATTTTTATATTGTATTTCTCTTGGTCCCTAGGGTACCTGTAAGGCTCAATCAATATTTAGTGACTGATTGAATCACAGAATTATATATGTAACTAGAACTAATGAAGTAGATAAAACAAAAATACAAAAATACAGACCTGGAAGGCCTTTTTTTTTTTTTTTTTTTTTTTTTTTTTTGGAGATGGAGTTTCGCTCTTGTTGTAGGCACTCAGGCTGGAGTGCAGTGGCACGATCTCAGCTCACCGCAACCTCTGCCTCCTGGGTTCAAGCAATTCTCCTGCCTCAGCCTCCCGCATAGCTAGGACTACAGGCATGCGCCACCATGCCCAGCTAATTTTGTATTTTTAATAGAGATAGGTTTTCGCCATGTTGGTCAGGCTGGTCTCGAACTCCTAACTTCAGGTGATCCACCCGTCTCAGCCCCCCAAAGTGCTGGGATTACAGGCATGAGCCACTGTGCCCGGCCGCCTTTTATGTCTGTCACAGATGTGTGAGCAAAGCTTTTATATTCTACTACTGGGTAGCCTGTGGCACTACAGCGTGTTAGTTCACAGTGAGGTCCTCCTTACAACTAACCCACCTTACACTGAACACTCATATCTAAAGCAACATGGTTGTTTATTTCCTTATGAAGTTTCTGTTTACTACGGAATGTCACTTTAAGTGCAACTTATAATTAGGCTTGTCCTATACAGAAAATGTAATCCTAAAAATTGTGATTCATTGGCTTACAGGAAAATATGGCTCTTGTCTCAAGAGAACTAATTCTGAGAACTTTAAGAACTTTCTGGGATAAGAAACACCTGCTCTAGATTACTAGTAATCTCTTTTGAGATTTGAATATGCAACCATTAAATGTATCACTGTGAAGTACTGCCTTCCACAAATGTTACCTTTTCCTTATAACAAAAACATACAGCCGCCCCAACATTTCAGCAGTTTCTTACGGGGAGGGCTCATCAGGACTGCTCTGTTGGGAGGCCGAGGCAGGCAGATCACAAGGTCAGGGGTTCGAGACCAGCCTGACCAACATGGTGAAACCCCGTCTCTACTAAAAATACAAAAATTAGCTGGGCGTGGTGGCGGGCGCCTGTAATCTCAGCTACTCACGAGGCTGAGGCAGGAGAATTGCTTGAACCCGGGAGGCGGAGGTTGCAGTGAGCCAAGATCGCGCCACTGCACTCCAGCCTGGGCAACAGAGTAAGACTCTGTCTCAAAAAAAAAAAAAAAAAAAAAAAAAAAAAGGACTGCTCTGGAAAACACCCTACCTAGTTCAATGTCCCTCTTGCACAGGTACCCTCACACCTTCTATTTTAAGAAGAAATCAAATTTGTGTCAAGATAAGAGCATGTTCCCTTATAGTCTGGGGTGAAAGTTATTCTCCTTTTTTGTTGTTTGTTTGTTTGAGATGGAGTCTTGCTCTGTTGCCCAGGCTGGAGTGCAGTGGTGCAATCTCGGCTCACTGCAGCCTCGCCTCTGCCTCCCCAGTTCAAGCGATTTGCCTGACTCAGCCTTCCGAGTAGCTGGGATTACAGACACGTGCCACCACGCTCAGCTAATATTTGTATTTTTAGTACAGATGGGGTTTCACCATGTTGGCCAGACTGGTCTCGAACTCCTGACCTCATGATCCGCCCACCTAGGCCTCCCAGAATGCTGGGATTACAGGCGTGAGCCACCACGCCCAGAATTGGTCACTTGATACATACTTTGTGGCTGCTTCCAGCCGTTCACATTTATTAAAAACACAAGAAAATCTCTTTCTGTTGTCTGACTTAAAATATGGATTGCAGTTTTTAATGACAATCTTGAAGTCACTAAGGTAAGAAATTTCTTACATAGCCCTGAGGTGGTACTGGTAGAAGACAGCCTCTCCTCTCTTGCCTTAGCAATATGGATGGCAGCTTTCAGAGTATTTCAGACACTTTCAAGAAAACAAAACTGAATTTGAGAGTTGATTTACGCAGGAACTGAATAAACTTCTACATTTAATATTGTTAATCATAAAATACCATCTATTTATGACTCTTTATAATTGGATATCCAGTTAATATCTGTTAAGCTTCTGCAAAATACAAGTCACCGTGAGGCACAAGGCACTATGGCATATGGTCTGAAGGACACAGAGATGCAACTTAAACCCAGCCATCCAGATGCTTAGAATTTGGCAGAAGAGATGAGACAAGCACGTGAATAATAATGCATGGTAGGAAAGCACAGACACGACATGAGAAGTATCATAAAACTGCAATGCAGGTACACAAGGGCAAGAGCCACTTAGCTTGGGGAACCAAGAAGAGCCTGCAGAGAAAGCGGCATTAGAGCAGGGTGGAGTGACAAGCATAGCAGGTGAATGTAGCCGAGTGACAAGTGTAGCGGGCAAAAAAGGTGGTGGGAGGGAGGCAGGGGCTGCCTTTTTCTCCAAAGCAAATCACTTCAATTTATGCGACTATGTGTAAACTGCAAGATAATGAAAATAAGGGGACACCTTACACCATATGCAAATATTAACTCAAAGTGGATCAGAGGCCTAAACGTAAGACGTAAAAGTGTAAAACTCTTACAAGACAACATAGTGAGAAAGGCTCACAACACTGGATTTGGCAATGATTTCAGTGGATATGACACCAAAAGCACAGGCAACAAAAGAATAAACTGAACTCCATCAGAATTATGAAAACGTTTGTGCATCAAAGGACACGATCAAGAGTGAAAGGCAACCCACAGAAGTGAAGAAAATATTTGCAAATCATATCTGATAAGGGATTCATATCCAGAATGTATAAAGAACTTTATACATGGAGTTGGATTGAAATAAACTTCTTTTATACATTGAGTTGGATTGAAATAAACAATCCAACTCATAAATGGGGAAAGACTTGTGTAGACATTTCTCCAAAGAAAATACACAAATGGCTAATAAGTATATGAAAAGATGCGCTGGGCGTGGTGGCTCACACCTGTAATCCCAGCACTCTGGGAGGCTGAGGCGGGCGGATCACAAGGTCAGGAGTTCAAGACCAACCTGGCCAACACAGTGAAACCCCATCTCTACTAAAAATACAAAAATTAGCCGGGCGTGGTGGCGGGCACCTGTAGTCCCTGCTACTTGGGAGGTTGAGGCAGGAGAATCGCTTGAACCCAGGAGTAGGAGGTTGCAGTGACACAGCAAGACTCTGTCTCAAAAAAAAAAAAAAAAAAAAGGAAAGATGCCCAACATCACTAACATTAGGAAAATGCAAATCAAAACCATAATGAGATACCATTTTATGTCCATTAGGATAGTTATTATCAAAAAGGAAAAAAAAGTGTTAGCAAGGATGACGAGAAATTAGAACCCCTGTTCCCTCCCTGCTGGTAGGAATGTAAAATGGCATAGCCAGTATGGAGGTTCCTCAAAAATTTAAAAGTAGCTGGGTGCGGTGGCTCACGCCTGTAATCCCAGCACTTTGGGAGGCCGAGGCGGGTGGATCACCTAAGGTCAGGAGTTTGAGACCAGCCTGGCTAACATGGTGAAACCCCATCTCTACCAAAAATACAAAAATTAGCCAGGTGTGGTGGTGCGCGCCTGTAGTCCCAGCTACTCGGGAGGCTGAGACAAGAGAATTGCTTCAACTCGGGCGGCAGAGGTTGCAGTGAGCCGAGACTGCGCCACTGCACTCCAGCCGGAGTGACAGAGCAAGACTCCATCTCAAAACAAAAACAAAAAAATTAAAAGTAGAACTGCCAGATCATCCAGCAGTTCCACCTCTAGGCATATTCCCAAAAGAAATGAAAGCAGGGATTTGAAGAGCTATTTGTACACTCATGTTCATAGCAGCATTACTCACAATAGAAAAATGATGGAAGCAACCCAACTGGCTGTTGGTGGATAAATAAACAAAATGTGGTATATGGGACAAGGAAATATTATTCAGCCTCAAAAGGGAAGAAAATTCTGACACATGCTACAAGACAGATGAACGCTGAGGGCATAAAGCTAAGTGAAAAAAAACAGTCACAAAAGGACAAATACTACATAATTCCACTTACAGGAGGTATTGCGAATGGTCAAATTCATACAGACAAAAGTAGAATGGTGGCTGCCAGGAGATGTGAGGAGGGGAAATAGGGAGTTGTTTAATAGGCACAGGGTTTCAGCTTTGCAGGACGGAAAGAGCTCTGTGGATGGTTGGTGGTGATGGTGGAACAACATGTGATTATGCTGTCACTGAACTGCAACTCAAAATCAGTTAGGATGGTAAATTTTACGTTATGTATATTTTACTATAATTTTTTAAAATAATTTTTTTTAAAAAACTAAAATAATACAAGATAAACTCAACTTAAAAAGTTCCACCCTCCTCTATACCACTCCTGCCATGGACTAGGCTTTCCTAGACCCTTGGAGCGCCTGATTCTCTCTGCTCCTCCCTTGGAGAGGCTGATTCTCTCTGCTCCTCCCTTGGAGAGCCTGATTCTCTCTGCTCCTCCCTTGGAGCGCCTGATTCTCTCTGCTCCTCCCTTGGAGCGCCTGATCCTCTCTGTTCCTCCCTTGGAGAGCCTGATTCTCTCTGCTCCTCCCTTGGAGAGCCTGATTCTCTCTGCTCCTCCCTTGGAGAGCTTGATTCTCTCTGCTCCTCCCTTGGAGCACCTGATTCTCTCTGCTCCTCCCTTGGAAAGCCTGATTCTCTCTGCTCCTCCCTGCCTTCACTGTCATCCCTGGACTTGGCACCTTGCTTCACCTGTCTCTTGGGGCCAGACCCTGTCTTGCTTACCTGGATCCCCAAGCCCAGCATTCTGCATCTATGCTCCATGATCCCCCACAAGCTGTTGTAGAAGGTGATAGGCATATGTTGGCTGCCTTTTCTGCTGTGTGCTGATGGAGAGGACACTGTTCTAAGTTTGAATACTGGCAAGTAGGAATCTGTATGCAAACTGTAACACTATTTCACATAATGCAACAGATTAAAATAACATTAAACATATTCCAACTGCTTTTATCTACGACTTCTTTTTTTTTTATCTCTTGCAGCTCAGAAATAGATTTTACTCGTATCAGCAATGTTCACACTGGGCCCCCAAATGAAGTCCTTCAGAGGTATTCTTTGAGATTCCTATGACCAGCCAGAACAAACAAGCACAAACAAAAACAAGCAGATTGCTGAATAAATTCAAATCTCACTAAAATGCTGGCTTGTGTTCAAAATTGTCATCTCCTGGGGTCAGGGCAGGTGACTGGCACCCAGCAATGAGAAGAATGCCCATCTGACCTGTTCTACAGCCCTGCCCTACCCTGCCCCATTCTGAAATCGGTGTGGCATAGGCACAGGGCACATCTCTGCCTGCAGAAAATGTCTCTAAGTTTTCTTTTACCATGGAGGCCACTTCCAGCACAAGAACTGGAGTCCAAAGATTACACTGTCGATTTCTGATTTTTTTTCCTAAGTAACAAGTTGCACTTTAAAGTTAGCAAAAGAAGACACATTCCCAGGTCAAACCAGTAAGTGCAGCTTTTCTCATGATGTGCTGGGATACAGAAGTACAGAACTTATCCACCAGGCATAACAAGTTTCTATGGGAAAATGGAGTCAGGGGTCCAGCTGGGGTTTCTAAGATGAATCCACTCCACAGAGGGAAAGAGTGAGTGCATACGGCCTCAGCCTAGAGTCATTACTAGTGGCCATTTTCATCTGGGCGGTAGAGGCAGTGAGGACCCAGAAGTGAGGATGGGCTCTAGGTGGATGGAGAGCCAAGCAATATGAGGAGGGAACAAAGGCCAGAGGTAGCAAGGAAGAAGGCTCACAGGAGTGAGGTGGGGCTGTGCAGAGGAACAGATGGAAAGGGAGAAGGAGCAGACTGCCAGGGTAGTTCCTTGGTATCTTCATTCTCAGCCCTGCTAACCTGAGCCTGGAGTAGAATGCAGTGGGAACAGGGCAGAACTTTCTGTTTTCCTCTGTGCCTTTCAACCAAAACCCCCTAGTCAAGGCGGGAAGGAAGAAGGGACAAGAGTTGGAGGGGAGCTTTCTATTCTCCTTTCTTCCTGCTCCTCCTTCTCTCTCTTTTCCACTTCTCCTGGCAACCATTACTTGCTAATATTCTCACTGGCACATACATACATGCACACAGAGGTGATCACAAGCAGAAGGGGATGCTTAGGTGGGCACAGCTAGGAGACAGGCCTAAGAAAGGCACAGAATCACCCCATGTCCAGGGTGTGGAGTAGGAAGAGGAAAAGGAAGAGGGAAGCAGAGGCAAGAGGCAGAAGGCAGGAGTATCCCCGGTTTGAGCAGTAAGTTCTGCAAGCTTTCAGTCAAGCCGCCCTGTGAGCAGAATCAACTATCTCTTCCTAGACTGTGATGAGCTAGCTTGGTTCCACTCCGCTTCCAACACTGCATTATTATTTTTTCCTCTCTGCTATTCTGCAGCTCCTTGCGACTACACAATACACTCAGCTGTGTTAAACAAAAACACAAAAAGTTGCTGCTGTCTTGGACAGTTCCCTATCAGATGAACAGAAAGGCCAGCAACCATAGCCTGGGCTGGGGCTGGGGGTGGGGTGTTGGAGGGGGACTGGGGACTGGGATGAGGGCGAGGCTGGGGTGGGGCACGGGCTGGGAGAGGGGAACGGTGGGGCTGGGGCAGGAGGCTGGGCTTGGGGGGCAGGTGGTGGGGGTGGGGCTGGGGTTGGGATGAGGGTACGATAGGGCTGGGATGGAACTGGGACAGGAGTGAGGGTGTGGGAGGCCGGTGGTGCTGGGCTGGGGGTGGGGCAGGTGGTGGGGGTTGGGGCGGAGCAGGGATGGGCTGGGCTGGGGGTGGGTAGTAAGTCAGTTTAGAAAGGACTGAAGTGCCAAGCACATTTTTTTTTCTATTGTACCGGTTTTTATGTAGTTTATCCTCAGTGGATCCTGGACGTTTATATTTGTATACCCATTTTAAGACAACAGCCTATCCCTTAGAACCATATTTAAAAAATAGGTTTACATAAGCAAACTTTACAGCATGAAAGACTTTTGTCTTATCAAATACACTTTCATTGGGAGCCTTTCTTCCTCTAATTAGAAGTCTGAACTTGTTAACATATTTTATGTTTTTATTAGCCAGCAGGTTCATTCTGTAATAAAGGCATTTCTTTTCCAGAATTATACTTTCAAAACTTTCTTGCTTAAAAGATTTTTCTCATTAAATATTTATGCTTATTTTTAAAACCCAAGAGTGTAATAAGAAAGCCTCACTTTATGAGTCTAGGAATGCAAATATCTCCAGAATGCACAGCTATTGTCATTCATTCACCCCACAAAAATTTATTTGTCACCTACTATATTCAGGGGATTGCTCTGGCCATAGAGATACAGTAATGGACAACATACTCACTATAGAAAGGTGAAACAGCATTCAAAGTACTATGGAATTTTGGAATTAGGAATAAAGGTACTAAAAATCACTGAATTGTACACTTAAAAGGGTGAATATTATGGTATATGAATCATATCCCAATTAAAACACTCATTTTAAAAAACACTATGGGAAGGTGGGGTGCAGTGGCTCACGCCTGTAATCCCAGCACTTCGGGAGGTCGAGGTGGGTGGATCACCTGTGGTCAGGAGTTCAAGACCAGCCTGGCCAACATAGCAAAACCCAATCTCTACTAAAAATACAAAAATCAGCCAGGGGTGGTGGCAGGCACCTGGAATCCCAGCTACTTAGGAGGCTGAGGCAGGGAGAATCACTTGCACCCAGGAGGAAGAGGTTGCGGTGAGCCAAGATTGAGCCATTGCACTCCAGCCTAGGTGACAAGAGCAAAAACTTTGTCTCAAAACAAAACAAAAACCCAGCTGTTAACAATTGTTATCTTTGAGACCTGGGTATTAAGAGACGTTACAATTCTACTGTGGAATTTTTATTCAATTTTTTTACAATGAATGTATGTTGTAATTGTATAGCAAAAATTACTTTTGGCTGGGCACAGTGGCTCATGCCTGTAATCCCAGCACTTTGGGAGGCCTAGGTGGGAGGATCGCTTGAGGCCAAGAGTTCGAGGCCAGACCAGGCAACATAGTGAGACCCCATCTCTTAAAATATATATATATTCTTATATTAATATTCTATATTATATCATGCTTTATAATATAGCGTTTTGATATCATATTACCCAAGGACATAAACTAATCTATAAATCAAGTCAACACAAACTGATTCTTCTAGAAGGCTCTGAGGAGACTCTAGAGAAGAAAATGCAAGGTTAGGGAGTGGCCAGGGAAGATTTGGCATTGGCCTCCTGGTTTCAAATCTCATCTCTGATACTTACTAGCTGTTCAACTTTTAACAAGTGCTAACTTTATAATGAATATCTCTACTATAAATAATAATATCTATGATAAGTATTCATTGAGCTCTAGCATGTACCCAGGAACTATGTCAACTCTAATGTGCTTTTAAAAATGTCGTTTTTGGGCCGGGTGCTGTGGCTCACGCTTGTAATCCCAGCACTTTGGGAGGCCGAGACAGGCAGATCACGAGGTCAGGAGATCTAGACCATCCTGGCTAACATGGTGAAACCCTGTCTCTACTAAAAAATAGAAAAAATTAGCCGGGCGTGGTGGCGGGCGCCTGTAGTCCCAGCTACTCAGGAGGAAGGGGAATGGTGTGAACCCGGGAGGCGGAGCTTGCAGTGAGCCAAGATCGTGCCACTGCATTCCAGCCTGGGCGACCGAGCGAGACTCTGTCTCCAAAAAAAAAAAAATGTCATTTTTGGCCGGTCGCAGTGGCTCACCCCTGTAATCCCAGCACTTTGGGAGGCCAAGGCAGGCGGATCATTTGAGGTCAGATGTTTGAGACCAGCCTGGCCAAAATGACAAAACCCTGTCTCTACTAAAAATACAAAAAAAGTCCGGCATGGTGGTACACGCCTGTAATCCTAGCTACTTGGGAGGCTGAGGCAGGAGAATCACTTAACCCGGGAGGCAGAGGTTGCAGTGAGCTGAGATCGCACCACTTCACTCCAGCCTGGGTGACAGAGCAAGACTCTTAAACAAAAAAACAAACAAACAAAAAGTCATTTTTGTGATAATTATCAGCATGGTTGTTATTACCGCCTTCCCATACTTTGTTTTTTCCTCTTTAGTTTTTGGCAGTACTTTAGGTAGCAAGGCAGATAAAGTACCGTACCCTGAGGTTTAGACATGTGAAGTGAAACTGATGATCAATGATGCAGAATAGCTTAATTGATAATTATCACATCGCTAGCATTGAAAAGATTCATCAAAAATATTAAATAGTAAAACTTTCCTTAAGTTGAAATTCTCCTTTAGAAGGAAATGTTTAATCTTCATGAATCAAAATGACTGACTCCAATGAAGAATTCAGATAAAATACCCAAACAGATCCCGAAAGATGAAAGAGATCAAAGGAATATCTCGGAGAAAAGAAACCCACACCCTAAGGAGAAAGGACACACACATACAAACAAAGACACCCTTTGAAATCACAGATGAAAATCTGTCTTCCTTTTGGCATCTTTGTTAAGAAATCATGTCTCTGCTGTTGCACACACTAAAAAAAAACATACACCCCCCCACACACACATCCAGATGTTCACGAATATTCATGATGTGCTTCCAATTTGGTTTGGACTTGCTCTTGATTTATTTTTGATTAAGTTTCATCAGCTTCTGCTGGGGCCCATGAGATGGATGACATTGCTGTAGCACAAATTTAGAACGTCTTCATATTCTAAATAATTGCTCCAGTCTCTCAAACTATGCCTTATACATAAATTACTTATGCACAGGTCTCAGAATGGCCAGAGACAGGAGCAGTGGCTTACTCCTGAACTTAGATTCTTAATACCATTCTAGAGTTGGTAAATTAAGTCTCCATTTCTAATACACAGATTGACCTGTCAAGGGAGAAAAAAAAGCAACAACTTAATTTTCTTTTTTGAGAAGTGCAGTGAAACACTAAGGGAAAGGTATGAGCTGTGCTCTGGGGTGTATTGAGATGTATTTTCCAAAGTTACCCCATGAGCTAGTGTGTGTCCTTCCTGATATTGAATAGTTGAAAAGTCAGGATAACTGATGTGACCGCATCAATTTTTTTTTTTTTTTTTGAGATAGGGTCTCATTCTGTTGCCCAGGCTGAATTGCAGTGGTGCAATCTCGGCTCACTGCAACCTCTGCCTCCTAAGCTCAAGCCATCCTCCCACCTTAACCTCCGAAGTAGCTGTGACTACAGGCATGCGCCACCATTCCCAGCTCGTTTTTGTTTTCTGGGTGTTTTTGGTAGAGGTGGGATTTCACCATGTTGCCCAGGCCAGTCTCAAACTCCTAAACTCAAGCGATCCACCAGCCTTGGCCTCCCAAAGTGCTGGGATTACAGTCATGAGCCACCACACCTGGCCAACACCAAACAAATTTGCTCAACATTTTACCATCTTGTTTTCTTCAACTTAAAATTCTTAAAACTTCCAAACCGAAAGAAAAGACAATCCCAAATGCAAACATACTGCTGGAATGGGGGCAATGGTCTTCTAATGAGAGGGAGCGAGAGAAACCTCCCACTGATACACATGGTGATCCACAGCTCAGAGCTTAATTCTCTTTCTTTTTCCCCCAGACAAAGTCTCACTCTGTCGCCCAGGCTGCAGTGTAGTGGCGCTATCATGGCTCACTGCAGCCTCAACTTCCCGGGTTTAAGTGATCCTCCCACTTCAGGCTTCCCAGTGGCTGGGACAATAGGTGTGTGCCACCACGCCCTGTTTATTTTTGTATTTTTTTGTAGAGACAGGGTTTTGCCATGTTACCCAGGCTGGTCTCAAACTCCTAGGCTCAAAGGATCCACCTGCCTCTGCCTCCCAAAGTGCTGGGATTACAGGCATGAGCCACCAGGCCCAGCCCAGAGCTCAGTTCTCTCTACTGTTAGTCATTTCGGTGTACAGGAGCTGTGGTGAGAGATCAGTCTAAAATATGGACTGCGTGCGTCAGGAGGACAATGTCAGGTGTAGTGTGTGACAACACCAGCATAGGCTCAGGGCCCTGCCTCAGCTGACTACCAGGCTGGGCCCTGCAGGTGTCTGCCTAATTCCATTCCAGATGCCAAACTGCCTCAGGCCCCACACAGGGTTCTGCAGAATAGGTGGGCCACTTGGCTTGGACCACTCAGTCATCTCCTACAGTCTCAAATGTAGACTGTTGACATCACCGCTAAATGACATAGATCCAGCTACAGAAACCCACTCTGAGGGCCTGGAAATAAGCAAACATTCACTGCACTCCTTTACATTTTGTCTCACTTCAGATCATACTGCCTCTAGTGTGCTACAAATTAACATTTTTAAATAGCCTATAATTAGCTTCTGATTAGCCTAAATAAATTATACTGTAATCTTCCATGTTAAAAATGTATATAATTGTTAAATGTAAAGACTGAGATCACACTACAATTTTGGCATCCTGGTTTTAATATTCCAGGCTCCAAAAAGGCACCTGGCCTGGGCCTCGTTCACCCCCTGAATGGTCCTGACTCCAAAAACAGGGATGCTCCTTTCCCTCCCAAGCCCTGGCCAAGCCCTGGCCAAACCCTGGATACCTGCTAGGTTCCGCCATCAAAGTGGCCACTTTTACCTGAGTTCCTAACTCTTCTCCCCAGTTAGTGTCAATTTCCTCAACATTTAGGAATGCTGTCTGTTGTATGCAAATGGAAACAACAAAGCTCAGACTTTTTCCTTTTTGGCAAGTACTAGTATTGAAGTAGTATGCTAGTTTGGTGTTTAAGCCCTCAGGTGTACTACTTTTTATTAAAGCAAGCAAACAAAAACCATTTCTAAATGTTCAGGAGCAAGAGAAAAAGAAGCTGAAATTCTGTAATCCTAGCATTTTGGGGGGCTGACGCGGGTGGCTCACCTGAGGTCAGGAATTCAAGACCAGCCTAGCCAACATGGTGAAACCTCATCTCTACTAAAAATACAAAAATTAGCTGGGTGTGGTGGCGGGCACCTGCAATCCCAACTACTTGAGAACTTGAGAGGCTGAGGCAGGAGAATCACTTGAACCCGGGAGGTGGAGGTTCCAGTGAGCCGAGATCACGCCACTGAACCCCAGCCTGGCAGACAAGAGTGAAACTCAAAAAAAAAAAAAAAAAAAAAAAAAAGAAGCTGAAATTGTTGATGCACATTTGAAAAATCTGAAGCTCTCTCTACTCTTAGACTGTCATGCACAACACAGCCAACCCGGTGGTTTCCGCAAGTGCACAAACAGTCTGCAAAGGTGTCTAGTGCCTAAGTGTAAGGTTGGAAACACCTGAACTGACTGCAGGGTTAATAAAAAAGAAAAGCCTTCTTAATTACCAAAGGTACAGAATGCCAAGATCAAATCTGGCACCAAGAGATCTGTTGATGTCCACGTTCCCATAGTGCCATGTGCAAAAAATGCTGACTAAATTGGAACAGGGCATTTGATTACAAATGTGACTTTGTCTGAGAGAGGCCAGAGCACAGAACTGTATTACCATCTGGCTTAAGATATAATGCTTCAGTGTATTTGACATCAAGTGTGTGAATCCCACAGCAGAATGGAGTTCAGACTCACCATCTAATGCCCACAGATACTGATCACCATCTTCAAATCAGCTGTAGCCCAAAGCTAGCAAATAATGTAAGTGAAGACAAAAGGAAACAGAACAAAAACTAATGCCATTTAGAGAAACAACGGGGCTTCAGCAGGATAACTCAGGATAGTGTGCGGCACAGTTCTCATTCTTATCCTATGGGGATAAGAATAAGAATTCAGGGACGACATAAGTCTTCTGTGTTTCTATGCTCTGGGGGCAGACCTGTGTTCCTTAAAAACAATGGTGACCTTGTAGACTGAGCTGGGCAGAGTCTCACTTTCCTGATCATTTTCTTGAATATTCAGGAAGCTCAAATGTACAACAGGAAACCTGTTTCCCATATGCTTTGCTGTCTGTAGCAAATAACAAAAGAGCAGTCAGTGAAACCAAACAAAAACCCACACAGACTGGACTATGTGCGCATGTCTGCGTGAAGCCACAGGCAAAGCAAGAACAAGTTCACCTTGGCCCAGCGGTCAACAATTGCAAAATGGCAATTTATTCTGTTTCGCCCTGTGAATAGGAATGAATCGGAATATTCTACTTTATCTTTTATATCATTAATAATCCAAGGACCTGTGAAAGAACAGCCTGCCTCTTTTTTCCCCTCACATCGTTTATACCATAGTTTCTAGCCACATTTACCCCTCCCTCCATTTTTGGCCTTGGATGAAACTGTGACGTCTCCCTGAAGTTACTCCCCACGGTCCACACCTCCCTCAACCAGGTCAGTCTTCCCTGTGCCTTCTGATTGGGAAGCCTGGGTTACCACTTCCTCTAAGGAGTCATCAGGGACCCTCTTCTGTACTCCTGCACAGCACGGTAAGAGTATGTTACTTGCCTCACACCCCTACTAAACTGTGGCCTCTTTGTGGGCAGGGAATACATATTTTGTCTGTGATTCTGGAAAGGCAAAATCCCACATGACAGACTCAATGCTCATTAAATATTTCAAATATATTTAAATGCTCAGTTGAATATTTACACACATGAATGAATTCAACAAATACTTATTGGGCACCTATTATGTGCCATGCACTGTTCTCTATGCAAGGGTACAGTAGTGACCAAAACAGACCAACAAAAATCCCTGCCCTCAAACCAGGCAGGACCCACTAGAAGGGACAGGAAGCAACTTTGCAGGTGCTGAATGTGTTCTCTATCATGCTGGGCTGCGGGTGACGTGGGTATATTTATTTGATGAAGTTATACAACTGACATTTGTGCATTTAGATGTATATAAGTTATACCTCAAAACAAATTTTTTTTTTGAGACGGAGTCTCACTCTGTCACCCAGGCTGCAGTGCAATAGTGCGATCTCGGCTCACTGCAACCTCCACCTCCAGTGTTCAAGCGATTCTCCTGCTTCAGCCTCCAAGTAGCTGGGACTACAGGTGCCAGCCACCACACCTGGCTAAATTTTTTTTTGGATTTTTAGTAGAGATGGGGTTTCACCATGTTGGACAAGCTGGTTTCAAACTCCTGACCTCAGGTGATCCACGTGCCTCAGCCTCCCAAAGTGCTGGGATTACAGACACGAGCCACCGTGCCAGGACAAAACAAACTTTTAAAAAACATAGTAATCATGAAGTGTGAGTGGGATGTGAGGATGAAACAATGGCAGGATGCTGCTAGCTGTGGACGCCGGGAAACAGGCACAGGACGTTCACGGTATTATGATCTTTATAGATGTTCACATTTCCAACATAAAAAGCTATTAAAAAAATCCCTGCACTCACTTGAATAAATATTAATGAAGTACAAGTAATGGATACTCTTCAGCATTACTGCAGGGATTTTTCAACTCAGAACAGAAAGGAACGGAAAGAAATCAACAGTTACAGTCACTTATGATGACAGCAATTTTTTTCATTTAAGCCTCTAATAACTTTGAGATACTTTACTCCCATTTTATAAATTGGGAAACTGAGGCCAGGAGAGGTTACCTCACTTGCCAGGTAAGTAAAAGAGCCAGAATTTGAACCAAGTCTGTGACTCCCTCAGCCTCTTTCCATTAATGTTTCTTACACCCTCTTGCTCACTGCAACAAGCCCGGGTAAGGGCTCTTCCTCCAGCTTGGAGAGGGGGTGGTACAGTCAAAAGAGGCTCTGACAATTAGCACTGGTTACAATGGACACTACTCTTACTGCCTCTGTCTTAATCCAGAACTATATTTGGAAGGTTTAAGTTATTAAAATTGCAAGGAATGATAAGTCATTCCTACACCATTAACAATGGTTCTCTTTCTTTCTTTTTTTTTTTTTTTTTTTTTTTTTCTGAGATGCAGTCTCACTCTGGCACCCAGGCTGGAGTAAAGCGGCATGATCTTGGCTCACTGCAACCTCGCCTCCTGGGTTCAAGCGATTCTCCTTTCTCAGCCTCCCAAGTAGCTGGGATTATAGGTGCGCACCACCACACCTGGCTAATTTTGTGTTTTTGGTAGAGATGGAGTTTCACCATGTTAGCCAGGCTAGTCTTGAACTCCTGACCTCAAGTGATCTGCCCGCCTTGGCCTCCCAAAGTGCTGGGATTACAGGTGTGAGCCACTGCACCCGTCCAGCAATGGCCCTGCTATGACCTTTCACAGTTATAATATGCAATATTTTTATTGACATTCCCAGTCCTTAAAGACCTCAGTGCATCTCCACCTGGGCTCCCTTTTCCTTGTATTCACAAAGTCATGACAACAAATTGGCACAGAAGCTGGGCCAGGCTTCAGCTGCTGATGAGTATGTCATCATCAACAGAGTGCTGCTGGGGGTAGGGACTTCTCTGTCAGCTCCGTGCCACATCAACAACTGCACAAACTTGTTTTCTGCCAATACCCACACAGATTCCACCTCAAGATGCTGAGGAAGCTGATACTGCCAGTAATAAGAAGCCACCTTGAGTACTTTCCTGACCATGGTGTCACTTTGACAGATGTCAGACTTAGTATCATTCAAGTTGGACCATTATGGACTTGGAAAGCCACTAGCATTTCTGATTGCAGCTTCTCCCAGCCAAAAAAACACATGGTGCCCAGGGATTGTGCCAAATGTGGAGAGATATGGGCAACTTCCCTGCTGTTCACAAGCACTAATGTCCCAATCCCCAGCAGAGGGAAAGGCTGTGGTCCAAACACACCATTCCTGTAGGGCCCATTTGGTGCTAAATAAAAACTCTCACCATAGTTATAAATGTGAATCATAATCTCTGTTTATATTGTTGAATTTTTACCCATCTGTACTCTCTGTTGTCTTCACCAAAACTAACTGGCCCCAAAGACACTTTATCAAATGCATTATTCCAGTCAGGATCCGGGTGATTAAGTCCTAGAGAAAGAGCTTGACATCCAGTCCAGAAAGTTAATTACTAACATAATTATCAAAACCTTTTATTTTTCAGGGTTAAGTCAAGCAACTCTGTAGGCTGAGTGTCCTTTTGTTTCGTTTGTTCTCCAGTTGATACATAATTAGCTCTTAAGGACAATGCATTTTTTGACTTTTTAAAGCCAAACACAAATATCTAAGTATCCTATCTGTAGACTATTTCTTCAATCTCCAAAATTCACCCAGAAGATTTAGAATGAAACAAAGCCATAAACCAATTCAACCCATCACCCAAAATTCTCTGTCCCCAAGGCTGTCTTCTAAAATGACTTTTTCTAGAGCAGATACAACAAATCTAATGCTACTTTTCCCCTATAAAATGTTTGAGGCTTCTAATATGTTACTGCATATTTCCTCTTCTGCTTTTAACAGGTTATTTCATCTCAAAGCCATCTCGCACTCAGCTTTGACAGGGCTGCTGACAAACATAGAAAGAAACTGGCCAGTCACAGTGGCTCATGCCTATAATCCCAGCTCTTTGGGAGGCCGAGGCAGGTAGATCACCTGAGATCAGGAGTTTGAGACCAGCCTGACCAACATGGTGAAACCCCAACTCTACTAAATACAAAAAATTAGCCGGGAGGGGTGGTACACACCTGTAATCCTAGCTACTCGGGAGGCTAATGCAAGAGAATCGCTTGAACCCAGGAGGCAGAAATTGCGGTGAGCTGAGATTGCGCCAATGCACACCAGCCTGGGCAACAAAAGTGAAACTCCATCTCAAAAAAGAAAGAAAGAAAGAGAGAGAGATAGAGAAAGAGAGAAAGAAAGAAAAAAATTATTAAGCTGCAGGTCCTCAGACCTGAAGTTGTGCCAACCAAGCAGCCAGCAGGGAAGGCATATTGTTTACTTGTCTGAAGGCAGAATTGAAAGATTAGAAATACATGTAAAATTCTGATGCAATAAAAGGGAACATGACAGACTGGAAGTCACAGCTTTTCAAGGAAATGAGTTCCCATCAGGAATCAAAACTGTTAAGCACTGTGAGAGGGAACTTTCAGTAGGTTAACAGTGTTGTATCATAGCCTAAATGATGACTAGCCTCAAAACACATCTAACATGGACATCTAGACTTTGGAGCCATGTGAGTGACACAGGAAACATCCAGCACCTAAACCCGATCCTTGCCAGTTTTAGAATTTCCCTTTTCCACTGCAACTTGTCTGGAATTTCATAGAAAGAGAATCTGAAGGCTGAGCGCAGTGACTCACGCCTGTAATCCCAGCACTTTGGGAGGCCAAGCCGGGAGGATCATCTGAGGTCGGGAGTTCGAGGCCACCCTAGCCAACATGGTAAAACCCTATCTCTACTAAAAATACAAAAATTAGCCAGGCGTGGTAGCGGGCACCTGTAATCCCAGCTACTTGGGAGGATGAGGCAAGAGAACTACTTAAACCCAGGAGGCAGAGGTTGCAGTGAGCCGAGACCATGACATTGCACTCCACCCTGGGCAACAAGAGCAAAACTCTGTCTCAAAAAAAAAAAAAAAAAAAAAGAGAGAGAGAGAATCTGAATATGCCAATTTGGGGTCTTACTTGCTAACTACAATTTAAAGAATGAACAGTCATGCTTCCAGCCTGGCTTGAATCAGCTCCCATCAATTTTACTCACCACCAAATTCTTGCACCTTTGATGGGAACTAATTAAGCTCATGTGGTGTTTTCTCCCCCCAGACTGTCTTCTGCGGTTTTGGAACAGAGCACGCCAAATTAGCCCCATCTGTTTGAATGAGAAGGAGGTTTTATTATCTAAATAATAAATCAAAATAATAATCTAAATCCCACCGATGGGCAGACTTTCTCTCCTACCTAGAAGCTGCCTTCCAAAGTTCCCAAACACCATGGGATGATGATGGTAACCCCAACTCCTAACCAGCTAGAATCCTGAGAAGAGCAGTTTAGTGTTGTGTCAGTGGTCTGTCTTCTGCCAGTTCACAGCAATCATTTCCTCAAGCACAGTAAAATGTCTGAGGAGGCCACAGAGTCCTACCAGACTATCATTTGAGGCAAGAATTGCAACATTCTGGCCAGGCGCGGTGGCTTACGCCTGTAATCCCAGCACTTTGGGAGGCCAAGGCGGGCAGATCACCTGAGGTCAGGAGTTTGAGACCAGCCTGACCAACATGGAGAAACCCTGTCTCTGCTAAAAAAAAAAAAAAAAAAATACAAAATTAGCCGGGCATGGTGGTGGGCACCTGTAATCCCAGCTACTCGGGAGGCTGAGGCAGGAGAATCAGTTGAACCCAGGAGGTGGAGGTTGCGGTGAGCTGAGATCACACCACTGCACTCCAGCCTGGGCAACAGGAGGGAAACTCCATCTCAAAAAAAAAAAAAAAAAAAAAATTGAAACATTCAAGAATTCAGGGCATTATGCAATATTTATTTAAGTTGTCCTGTGGTAATCTTGCCAAAATGAGAGTATTTTTTCATTAACTATGCTTCAACAGGAGAGCCTAATGAATTTTAAGAGTGTGGGAGTCTTTTGACACATAAAGTTACTTTCTTCAAAAGGAGGAAATAACCCCAGCATTCACACATGTCAAGGAACAAAGTTAAAAGAAAGAAGCCCTTGACAACACTGCCGCCCACCTGGGCCAAGGCGTCAGGCTCCCGTGGTGATGGCTGTCAGCCCCTGGATGACACTTCTCAGCCTCAGTCAACTTTAAACTAACTCCCATCCCTGCAGCTACTAAATTGGTGAACATAAAAGAAAGAGAATCAATTAATATTTGGCAGTCATGATATAATGTTACTCCTGATCCAAGGAATGTTTACTTGGTTAAGAAAAGAAATAATAGTACATAAGAACACCATAGTCTTACCGTGGAAACAGATTATGTTCACTTGCACAATATAGGGCAGTGGTACCCAACCACTTGCTGAGTCCCTTGTATGAGAGGACTCACAGAACCCTTGTATGTAACATAAAAATAATTATTAACAAAAGAATTATCTGTTCCTACTTAGTTCTAAATTAGTTACTTAATTATTATTTTTGTGTGTGTGCTCACCCTAAGTAGATAAACAGGAGGTGGGAGGAGGATAAATAAGGATTCAACTGAATCAGCAGTTTTCAAACTTTTTTTTTTTTTTTTTTTGAGACAGAGTTTCACTCTTGTTGCCCAGGCTGGAGTGCAATGGCGCGATCTCGGCTCACCACAACCTCCGCCTCCCAGTTTCAAGTGATTCTCCTGCCTCAGCCTCCCGAGTAGTTGGGATTAGAGGCATGCGCCACCACGCCCGGCTAATTTTATATTTTTTTAGTAGAGACGGGGTTTCTCCGTGTTGGTCAGGCTGGTCTCGAACTCCCGACCTCAAGTGATCTGCCAGCCTCGGTCTCCCAAAGTGCTGGGATTACAGGCATGAGCCACCGCTCCCGGCTTAGTTTTCAAACATTTTTTTAAAGGCAGAGGAACTCTGTTACTTAAAACATATCCATGCAGCCCCCACTATATGAGATGGCTCAAAAGGAACAGGTCTGGATGAGGAGACAGAGGGTTGAACATTTTCTTCTGCCTCAACCCCACTTCTTGAGGAGGTCCTGAGGTTGGCATAATGAAACAAAACTATTTGAAAGGCACGGAACTAAAGTGAATCCAATAGTAAGACATTTAAACTGAGAAATGCAGACGCTTTTATGATATTTTATAGCAAATATACAATTTTGAACTACTAGTATACATATAAATTATATATATAGCACCTATGCTATTTAGTTACTGTTTATCACATACAAGTCCAAATGCATCTCTGATTATACACATAAAGGTTTTCACAAACAGCCAAATTTATTTCAATGCACCTGAGTGAGAGGAGACTATAACCATGAAAGATGGTGATGACAAGTCTCAAGGACAGGGAATATGAGCTGCAATAAAATGTTAAGTAATAAAGGAAGAAGTTTTTTTTAAATATATAGATACAGCATTGTATCACTGATTTTTTTTTTTTTTTTTTTTTTTATAAAAGTGTCTTTAGGCCGGACGTGGTGGCTCACGCCTGTAATCCCAACACTTTGGGAGGCCAACGCGGGTGGTCACCTGAAGTCGGGAGTTCAAGATCGGCCTGACCAACATGGAGAAACCCCGTCTCTACTAAAAATACAAAATTAGCTGGGTGTGGTGGCGCATGCCTGTAATCCCAGCCACTCGGGAGGCTGAGGCAGGAGAATCACTTGAACCTGGGAGGTGGAAGTTGTGGTGAGCCCAGATCACGCCACTGCACTCCAGCCTGGGGGACAAGAGAGAAACTCCGTCTCAAAAAAAAAAAAAAGAGTGTCTTTAGTGGTGGGCTAGTTTTGCTGATTTTTAAATGCCCACAAAAACACTAGAAGGATACCCGCTAAAACACCAACGTGATTATTGCTAGGTGAGGGACTACAGGTGATTTATTGTTCCTTAAAATTTTATGTTGCTTTCCAAAAGAAGAAAAGAAAAAGAGAAGAAAAGAAAAAAGGAACGAAAGCTGGAAAAAAAATTAGCCTAGACACCCTTTGGGCTTAGAGTCAATAAAAAATGTAGTATACACTGGTGAACAGTAAAAATATACTTTTCCCTTAAGTAAAAAAATAAAAATAAAAATCTATTTTTTTTTTTTTGAGACGGAGTCTTGCTCTGTCGCCCAGGCTGGAGTGCAGTGGCGTGATCTTGGCTCACTGCAAGCTCTGCCACCCAGGTTCACGCCAGTCTCCTGCCTCAGCCTCCCGAGTAGCTGGGACTACAGGCACCCATCACCACGCCCGGCTAATTTTTTTTCTATTTTTAGTAGAGACGGGGTTTCACCGTGTTAGCGAGGATGGTCTTGATCTCCTGACCTCGTGATCCGCCCGCCTGGGCCTCTCAAAGTGCTGGGATTACAGGCGTGAGCCACAGCGCCCGGCCAAATCTGTTCTTTTAATGAGTGCAAAGGTTCGATCCTATTGCTCCAGCCAACACTCACTCAGTTTGATATCTGCGGCAGAACTGGGCCAGTCTTTTAGGGACCTGAACATTCTACCCCACACTAGTGCAGCAGCCTACAGATTGATACCCCAGGAAGAGCTAGCACTGGGATAAAGACCAAGGAAAAGCCCAAATTGGAGCAGCTCTGCTCACAGAAGCATATTCCCAGGACCCCCACTCACCACTTCCAGGTCCTGGGAAACCCGCCGTTTCCGCAGCTCCTCCATCCTCTCGCACACGTCGGAGAAACAGGTGTTGTAATAATCTGCATACTGCTGCGCCAGGTCATCGATGTTTCCCAGTGAACCGTCCTGAAGGGGTGGACAAACAAAGGCGGTCAGGTCAGTCCACCCTGGAAAAGCCCACAGCCATCGGACCTCCCTCTACGCAGAGTTAATAGTAATAAAGGTTGGTATTTAAGTGGGAAACATCAAGTGCCAGGTTGTTTTACATGCAGGATCTCCTAACCCTCAGGACAGCCCTCTGACAGGGGCCTGTTTTTTCCCACTTATATTGATGGGTAAACAGGAGCTCAAAGAAGTTGAGCGACTGCCCACAAATCCCAGGACTAAGAAGCACAGAGGCCAGCTCTCCAACCTCGGACGGTCTGGTGCCAACACCAAAGTCTTCAATCCCCATCTCTCTGCCTGCCTAGCAGGGCTAAGAGAGGAAACACCAGGGAAGCACCTTCAGCAAAGGCACTGTGTGAGGAAGAGGCTCCTAATGCCCAATGTGGCCCCTGGACTGCACCACCACCTACTGGGAAGCTCATAAAAGAGATGTCAGGACCCCTCCCAGGGATTCTGATGGGAGCCTGAGAATTCAGGAACCGATAGAGAATTGCATCTGGGACAAATCTCACTGCACCTCTCAGGAGACCCTCAGAAAAGTGGAAAATCTTTTTATTCATTTAGTCATTAGTGTTCATTAATATTCATTATTATGGTCATTAATATTCATATTATTCATTAGACTCATTATTCACTAGGCATTCCAAGTCCAGGTGCAAGAGTACATGTTACAAATTCACCTGCATAAATAAATAAACATGTCACTTGTTTCTTCCCCAAGGCAAGTGCCACGTAATTGCTCTAGAGCTCATTCTGAGTTTCCACCCAGCTCCATAGCGCCTGGTATTGGTTAAGTGGCCTTAGGCACGTCTCAACCTCTGAGGAACACTGAATAATCACAACACCTACTTCAGTGAGGACTACTGGAGTAACACGTGTGAAGCGCTTAGACTTTAGCCGGCTCGTGTAGTCCACCCGGCATGTAGTAAATGCTAAAAATTTCTCGCAGTGTAATACTCACTGCAAGATTATGTTCCACACTATAGTCTTCCTTTAGAGCAATGGATTCCTAAAAACATACCTGAATACATACAGGGAGGATGACAGAAATACCTTGTACATTTGTAAGTTATGCCATTTCTTCTATCAATTCATTCAGAAAGACCTCTCCTCTCCTCCAGCTCTTTTTTTTTTTTTTAACCTCCCAACATTCTGCTCTTTGGTATAAATAAATGACTTTACCAAGACAACCAAGGAAAATACGACTTTTAGACCACCTAAAGCCACACACACATTTTCCATTTTACAGACTGCTAGCCAACCCCTTCAGTTATTTAATGTTGGTGCACTGCCCATAGCAACACACGCCTAACACTGCGAAGCAGGCTTAGATGCAAGCAGGGCTTGGGAGTTGAATTTCTCCCAAAGCCTTTCTGCTAAAGACCTACACCCTGGTCAGCAGGCCTGGGGCAGAGCAAGGATCATCTCTACCCTACTTCTGCATTCACTGATTTTACAGAACCAAGGGAGAGGAGAAACAGAGACGGGAAAAAAATGACGCTTCAGAAAAGCTCCTTGCTTCCCCACCAATAACATGTTCTGCATTTGAGCTGATTGCCTCAAAGTTCCTAGCACAGTGTGGAGACAAGAAGGACTCTTCTAAGGCCAGTAAGATCTTTGAATGTGTCTGGACAAAAGTCACCCCTTCACTACAATCAGTCTTGTCTGTCTGAGCCCACAGCCTGGACTGACACAGCAGGCAACGTGGGAGACCCCCTCCTCTTCAAAATGTCGTCTATTGTCAAGTGTCCAGTAGAAAAATAACAAAGGTCAAGATAGAATCTGTTGCTGCCCCTCTGAGGACATGCACCGTGGCCCTCAGCCTCCTGGCCTCTGCTGTGCTGCCTCCAGGAAAGGAAACTGCCTGAAAACAGAACCTGGGCCGGGCGCAGGGGCTCACGCCTGTAATCCCAGCACTTTGGGAGGCTGAGGTGGGCGGATCACCTGCGGTCAGGAGTTCGAGACCAGCCTCACCAACATGGAGAAACCCCGTCTCTACTAAAAATACAAAATTAGCTGGGCATGGTGGTGCATGCCTGTAATCCCAGCTACTCAGGAGGCTGAGGCAGGAGAATCACTTGAACCCGGGAGTCAGAGGTTGCGGTGAGCCAGGATTGTGCCATTGCACTCCAGCCTGGGCAACAAGAGTGAAACCCTGTCTCAAAAAAAAAAAAAAAAAAAAAAAAAAATTAGCAGGGCGCATTAGTGGGCACCTGTAATCCCAGCTACTCAGGAGGCTGAAGCAGGAGAATCACCTGAGCCTGGGAGGCAAAGGTTGCAGTAAGCAGAGATCGCACTATTGCTCTCCAACCTGGCCAGGGCAGCAGAGTGAAACTCCGTCAAAGAAAGAAAGAAAAGAAAAGAAAGAATGGAAAGAAAAGAAATAATTTACTAAGGATGCCGAAAGAAAGAAAGAAAGAAAGAAAGAAAGAAAGAAAGAAAGAAAGAAAGAAAGAAAGAAAGAAAGAAAGAAAGAAAGAAAGAAAGAAAGAAAGAAAGAAAGAAAGAAAGAAAGAAAGAAAGAAAGAGAAAAGAAAGAAAGGAAAAGAAAAGAAAGAAAGAAGAAAGAAAGAAAGAAGGAAAAAGAAAGAGAGAGAAGAGAGAAGGGAAGGGAAGAGAAGAGAAGAGAAAAGAGAAGAAAAGGGAAGAGAAGAGAAGAAAAAAGGAAAAGAAAAGAAAGGAGGGCCGGGTGCGGTGGCTCACGCCTGTAATCCCAGCACTTTGGGAGGCAGGTGGATCATGAGGTCAGCAGTTCGAGACCAGCCTGACCAACATGGTGAAACCCCGTCTCTACTAAAAATACAAAAAAATTAGCTGGGCTTGCTGGTGGGTGCCTGTAGTCCCAGCTACTTTGGAGCCTGAGGCAGGAGAATTGCTTGAAACCAGAAGGCGGAGGCTGCAGTGAGCCGAGATTGCGCCACTGCACTCTAGCCTGGGCAACGAGAGCAAAATTACACCTCAAAAAAAAAAAAAAAAAGAAAAGAAAGAAAGGAAGGAGAGAGAGAGAGAGAGAGACAGAGGGAGAAAGCAAGAAAGAAAGAGAGGGAGAAAGCAAGAAAGAAAGAGAGAGAGAAAGCAAGCAAGCACCCAGGTAGTTCCCAGGACAGAGGGAGCTGGGCTATCTTCAGCACCAGGGCATCCTCCTTGATTCACCTAGGGATGTTTGTTTGCTGATACTTCAAAGAAACAAAGTGCTCACCATCCCTGTTCACCCTGAAGCCTCTCCTAGTTTCTTAGCTCCTTTCCCCAGCCTATATTGACAAAGACAAAGGAGCTCCCTTTTGTGTGTGAGTTTGAGGGCAAAGGGGAGCAACTTAACCTGAAAGCCCATTTTTATGAGTTACAGATCTGATCCCTATCACAACCGGGGACCCTGGAAGATCCTGGGCTCTTTGGAGTTGTCTTGGTCTCAGGAACGTGATGCTGTCCTCATCCAGAAACTTCTGCCTTCATCCAGCCAGGAAACAAAACACACCTGCCACTTTGACCAAATAGAAAGTCCATGTCTCCCAACAGCCAAGTGTACTTGTTAAGGGGGTTTACAGCTTACACACTACCCTGTGGCTTTCTGGTCTGGAATAGAAATCCATCACTCTCTCTGTCTCTTATACACAGAGGTCCACACTGAGGTATTCCAACATGGAATACTGGTTTCTCTCTAAAACAACCAGCTTTCACGTTTGTGAACTGTCCAACTTATCACAACCAACCGTCGTCTTGGACTAACCAAGACCACTGGGAAAAAAACTATTTATATATTATTTATGTAATTATTAATATAGCTTTGTCCAAACTACTTTCTTCCCCTTTTTCTCTTCTCTCTCATATATCCTAAGAATATTCTGATGATGTAGAAAAACCAAACTCAATGTCTTCTACAGCCTCACAACAGAGATCACTTCTGACACCAGACATGGTTGGGCAGGGGAGGTGGTTCCCCTCCCTCCACACTCCAAAGAAGCAGCAAGTTCTGCAGTGGACACTAGCTGGGTGTTTTCCAGTTCAAATCCGACACTACCGAACCAGAGACAGCCTCATAACCCAAAGGCTGAAGGCTCAGTCCCACAAGACTGCTCTTCACTTCTGATGCCAGAAGCAAGCTCCAGGTTGTTTTACCTGCTACAAATTAGGGTTCCCACGACCCCCTTTTGGGGCTCAATTAATTTGCTAGAGTGGCTCGGAAAACTTGGGGAAACACTATACTTACATTTACTGACTTATTTTGAAAGAATTCACAAAGGATACCAATGAATACCAGATGAAGAGATGCACAAGGCAGAGTATTGAGGAAGGGTGTCGGAGCTTCCGTGCCCTTTCCAGATGCTCCACCCTACACAAATTTCTATGTGTTCAGCTATCCAGAAGCTCCCAGAACCCAGTCTTTTGGGGTTTTTATGGAAGCTTCATTATGCAGGCATGATTGATTAAATCAAAGGCCAATGACTATCAGCTCAACCTTCAGCCCCTCTCCCCTCCCCAGAGGTTGGGAGGTGGGGCTAAATGTCCCAACCCTCTAATCCAGCCCGGGTCTTTCCTGTGACCAGCTTCCATTCTGAAGCTACCTAGAGTGGCCAGCCATCAGTCAACTCATTAACATACAAAAAAATACACTTATCACTTTGGAGGTTCCAAGGGTTTTAGGAGTTTGCCGGAAAACAAGATTAAGACCAAATATGTATTTCACAATATCATAAAACCAACAACAAGCCAACTCTTCACTTCAGTTCTGTTTTTCCTACGAGTGAAATTCTCTATCCCATTCCCAATCACTCAAAACTCCCCCAATAACTTGGGGACCTGAAAAATATATTTGTTGCTCCTGAGGAAAAGAGCAGCTGTTCAAATCAACTCAGGCCAAAGAAAGCCAGCATTTCACACCCTACAACATGCCATAATAGCCACTCCTCACTCCAGATAATAATTAGAAAAGGGTGGCACAGCTGCTTTTACATCTTCCCAAATTACTTTCCAGATGTGCAGTAAGTCCCCATAATTACCACTTTCATCAGTCCTGATGATTTAAATGCCAAGAAAGGCAACAGAATAGAAGAATGTATATGTGTGTTTTTAAGAGTGGGTCTTGTCTGCCATCCCACAAAAAGAATCTTTTACATTCCAATCAATGAAACCAACCAACTACCTGATGATTATCTTTACCCACTCAAAATTCAGGCTTTAAAAAATGAAATAATAAGAATAATCATCATTTCTATGTTATATGGGGGTGGGAGGAAACTCTGGGAATGATGGATATGTTTATGATGTTGATGGTATGGCATATACTTATTCCCAAACTCATCGAATTGTATACATTCAAAATGCACAGCTTTTCACTTATCAAGCATACCTCAATAAAGCAGTTTTTAAAAAGCCATGCTCTTTCAGGACTGACAGTGTTTGCATTATTTTTATTCAGCTTATTCCTTGAGATAGCTACAGACCTACTCCATAAAAATATTTAATTTTACTAAAAATACTTGCAACATGAGTCTGCAGGAAATTTAAATAATGTAGATGAGGTTTCCATAGGATCGCATGCTGCCATCTTTACGGAAACACAAAATCTACGTCTGACTCAACACCCCACCATACTAATGTCAAGCACTGATGTTGCAAAATAAACTTGTAACTATAATAAGACTTAAAATCATCTCTACATTTATTATAATAAATATCATGATTAAAACACTGAAACGGATTCTTTTTTAAACCTTTTCTTTTAAGGTGTTCAAAAGTTTCTGGTCTGGAGTTTATTGCTTGCCTCATCTGTTTCACTTCTTTCTTATTTTCCCTCTTTGGTTCTCTGGCATTAAACTTAAGCAATATTAGTTCAAGTTTAGGAACATGGGAAAACGTTATTTCCTCAAAATAATTTTTTGAGAAAATTGTGAAATTTTGAGTCACGCGATCTTTTTATAAGAATTTTCCCACCCCTGTCTTTGAAAACAGGAAAAGAGATACATGCAGATTCAAGTTCTCTTTCCTTTTCTTCTCATAGAACCTGGTCACAGCATCTGTCCATATGTATGACAATCCATTTCACTTGCTGAAGATTTAAATTAAATCTGTGGAGTCATCACCCGTGTCAGCTCAACGGACAACAAACTTGTATAATCTTCCCCCAAAGCCACAGAGCATCTTTGTCCCAAACACCCGTCTTTCATACAACCAACATAAAAATACAGAGATAAGGGGCATTGTACCGAGCAGTTCAGATTGGGTGGACTGCTGTTGCAATTAAGGAGAAAAGACACAGAGCACTGTTTCCTCAACAATCGGTTTCACAGTATTTCTGAGATTTATCCCAATTCACTTCTGTCTCTGGAAAATGGAAAACCTAAAACTACTAGGAAAACAAAAGGCATTTGTATCGTTACTTTTGTTATTTCTGCGCTTCTTTCCCCAGATGTCACTTCCAGTTTAGAATAAGTTGACAGATTCAGGAGAGGAAAAAAATAAAAAGAAAAAAAAGCATCTGAAAACATCAGGAGATACAATGTGATCTGTTGCATGCAGATTGTATGCAAACGAATGTGTGATCCTCCTATTTTATGTATCTATAAAGTTTTCCCCAAGGGAAAACTCATGTGTGTTGCTCTAACTCCCCAAAGTTGAGAGAAAGACAGACTGCTGACTCCTTTATTGTTTCTTTACCTTTTCCGTCCTTAATAATAAGTACATATATTTTTATATAACATAAATTCTGTTATATTTACATTGCTCCTTGTTTGAAGAGGGATGGATGGAGATATATACATCCCCTCTAAGCTAAATCCATTAAAAAAAGAAATCACTATGGTACAATGAAACCTAACTGATTTTTTGAATGACTTCCCAAGGTGTTTTCACCCTTAATTAGCTTGTTTAAAGATTTTTAAGGTGATAAACACTTTTAGCAACCTTTCAGGTGAAATTGCTACAACCATAAAAATGTCTTTAATTCTCGTTTTCTTGTTCGGCCTCATTGAATCCCTGTAATGTTACTGTTCTCACCAGCTCTGTCATCACTTCCTGCCACGTCGTCGTCGTTCTGCAGACATTCACTGACTGTAATAACTAATCTCAAATACTTTTCTGAGGTATCACTCCCAGTGTTTCTACAGATGGGTTGAGCTGGAAGTATACTTTGTCTCAGGAAAAAGTTTTAACGTGTAACGACATATGCCAGAGGGACGTATTAGGTCATGCAAATGGCAAGTGAAGCCCCCAGGGGCACACCCATAGGGCAGGTGGCTGGAGTGAGGCTTATTTCATACCTTCCATCCCCTCTCTCCAAAAACACCCAAAACCTGCCAGCACCCATGTCAAATCCTGGCTTTGGCATATACGGTCATGGTGATGCTATTGCGCACAGGTGGATCCCGGTTACCACAGATCCCCTCCTGAAGAATAAACGGCCTCCCAGAAGGCAGGATTGACAAACCCTCCTCCTCAGAGCTCTCTCAGCACCTGCTTCTAGGTCTCCAAATGTCTAAGGAAAAAAATAGCAGGAAAAAAAATTGGGGGGCCAGGCACGGTGGCTCATGCCTGTAATCCCAGCACTTTGGAAGGCCAAGGCAGGTGGATCACCTGAGGTCGGGAATTCGAGACCAGCCTGACCAACATGGAGAAACTCCGTCTCTACTAAAAATACAAAAATTAGCCAGGCGTGGTGGTGGGTGCCTGTAATCCCAGCTACTCAGGAGGCTGAGGCTGGAGAATCACTTGAACCCAGGAGGCGGAGGTTGCAGTGAGCCAAGATGGCACCATCGCACTCCAGCCTGGGTGACAGAGCGAGACCGTCACACTCTTCACAATGGACCTGCACACATGGCCGAGGACACAGAAGGCGGAGATCTGGCGGGCTCTGGAGCTGTTGTGGGTTCAGATGCTGTCTCATGCCAGCAAGGTAAGCCAGCAGATCAGTGACACCATGTGGAAGCTGCCACAATGCCTGGCATCCTACACCAACCTTCAGAGTCAAAAAAATATGCTGCTGATTCACTTCCAGCTCCCAAATCTCACACAAGGTGTCTTTTGTAAAGGTCGCTAACCCAGAACCATACCAGAAAGGGTGAACGCAGTACAATCCCCCACAGAGTCTTTGGATAAATTTAAACATTTGAGACTTGCATTTGTTTAAAGGATATCACATAGCATATTAGAAGAGCACAGAAGAGGCTGGGCACAGTGGCTCACACCTGTAATTCCAGCACTTTGGGGAGGCAGAGGTGGGTGAATCACTTGAGGTCAGGAGTTTGAGACCAGCCTGGCCAACCAAAATGGTGAAACCTCATCTCTACTAAAAAAATTACAAAACTTAGCTGGGCGTGGTGGTGCATGCCTGTAATCCCAGCTACTCAGGAAGCTGAGGCGAGAGAATCACTTGAGCCCAGGAGGTAGAGGCTGCAGTGAGCCAAGATTATTGCGCCACTGCACTCCAGCCTGGGCAGCAAAGCAAGACTCTGTCTCAAAAAAAAAAAAAAAAAAAAAAAAAAGAAAGCAAGAAAGGCACTGATGGAGTTCGCTTCCTAGGCAACAGCCATGGGGGCCCACACTGTCTCTATTTTAGAACCCCACTGCCTGTGAGTTTCCCTGTCACCATCCACCCCTCCTCCTCAGCACACCCTTACATGCAATGATTCCCCAAGGTCCTCTGCATTTTTCTCTTCTTACACTCCCTGCTCCCTTGGGGAAATGTCATCTGTGGTAGGACAGAGTTAAAGTCGCGGCAGAAACACTTTCCCTCTCCTCTACTTCCAACAGGCCCAGTGCAGCCTGCTTGACCCTAGGATTCGGCAGGCTTGAGACTGGTAGCAAAAATGTTATTACCAAAATCTTATGCATGAACTAGTCATCCCCAACTACCTACTGGGAAGAAATCTGAAAAGTTTAGTCTAAATATGAACAAACTCAGTTTCCTGGCCAGGCAGAGGAGCAGCTCTAATAAAAGAGATGACGAAGAAGGCCTACTCCACATCCCTCATGCGGAGTATATGCTAGCACCTCTGCACAGCACAGTGATTTTCACGTATGATGAAGAAACTGAGGAAAGCTGTCAACATTCGCCTGTGTTTATGCCCTTCAATCATCAACAGTTCACAGGATATTTCATTAATTCAAATAATATTTACTAAACATCTACTATATTCCGAGTGTTGTGCTAGGTATTAAGTATCCAATATAAAATCAAAAAACATGAATGTTTATTTCTACTGCACAGAAGAGCAAAGTGTGGCCATTAGTTTATTTTAATGCAGTCATACGGTTAAGTCATGAGAACTTGTTGAAGGGATTTACTAAGCTGTGTGCTTAATATTAGATCTCTTTGGAACGAAAGGCTCTGAAAAATCCAATCTGCTGGCTATCAGTGGCTCAAAAGAGTATTACACAAAAACCCTAAGAACTTGAAAATGTGGAGAAAAGAATGGGAACATTGATCATTGGTTTTTAGAAAGTACAAGCCTAGATTCAGACTCAAAATGGACATTTGGATTTAGCAGATGGCAGTTTTAGACTGAACTCATTTTCCATTTTTAATCTGCCCTGAGCTTAACAGAATCACAGATTTGAAAAGCAGCACAGATAATTGGGTGGGAATGAAGTCACAATTATAGACCACATTCACAGATCTTGATGAGCATGAATCACACTGGGTTTTCTCTGGCCGCCTTTTTGGCACACAAACGTGAGGCTGTGAACATTTTCAAGCATTTGACCAACAAGATCTGAATGTGATATGACCAGAATTTTAGAAATGAAAATATTGATCTCAGAACAATCTGAAATTTCTAGTACTATGGTTAAATGATGTACAATATTTGAGTTTTTGTGTTTTAGAAAAATTATAATCTGCCACAGCTTGACTAGAGAGCCTCGCGGTGTGACCGTCTGTGGTATGAGACTGAGCTTGACTCTGGCTGATTTCCTCACACAGCTCCCCGGCGCAACTGGTAAGTGAGACGCAGGAGTCCAGACAACTCAATCAAAACTGACTGACAACAGGCATGACGCTGGTAACCCTCTGCTTTTATACAGCTAAGGTTGAAGCAACTGTTTCTTGGTGCTATTGCCAAAACTCCACATTTTTAAGAACTGACAGGTAACAACTGAAAAATACTCTTTGTGTGGCACCTACGTTCCGCATCTCACAAATGGCTGCACACGATATCCAGGACTTGCTTTAAAATCCTGGGCCTGGGAGGGGTGGTGAGTGCAGATATAGATGGAACAAGATCAGCGGTGATGGAACATGGCAGCTCTTTAACATATGCTCCCCACTTGGTATACATCTGAAATTTCCCACTGTAAGGAGTTTTTAAAAGGTGACTTATTTGTTTACGTGTTTGTTGTTACCAGGCAACTTTAGAGTTTATGAAAACTGGGAATGGATCTTATTCATTTTTATAACCTCAATATCTAACATTATTGCAACACCCAACACTTAGCAGTTACGTAATAAATACTTATCAAATGAATGAACAGATGGATGGATGGATGGATGGATGGATTGATGGATGGATGGCAGTAAAGTTGATCCCTCTCTTTCCTGAGAGTGCCATAAAATTCACTCGGTAACTAGGAATTGACAGACTGCCCGCTAAACCAGCATTTTTATATATAATGGTGAGCTTCTAGTCACGATTCTTGTCCCTACTGACCTCACAAGAGTAATACAGTCTAATGAGACATTGATACATGAAATATATCATTAGAAACAATAACAAACGAAGATCTGAGGGAAGGGGGTAGGAAGAAGTTCCATACAGAGGGAATATCAAATGTAATTCCTCTGAGTCCAGAGAGAGAGCTTAACATGTTCCAAGAGGTAAAGCTACCCTGGGTGACTAAAAGGTCAGAATGCAGAGGTGTGGCAGGACAGGGGACTGGAGAGACAGGAAGAAACCCAGGTTTGGTGATTCCTCATGAATTCAATAGCCATAGATATTTAAGCAGGAATATAGAGGGCATGCACTTTGCTTTAAATAAAGTACGAAACTCGCTGTCATACACTTCAATGAAAACCAAACCACAGAGATTTTGAAAACTGTGACCCTGATTTCATTAACTTTGCACCCACACAAAAACCTCTCAACAGAACATACAGTTGGCACCTGTGAATTGATAGTGCCTTGTCCCTCACCAGCTAGAAAAACCAAACTAACAAATGGGGATATAATCCTAGAAGCTCATCCAGCCCTTGGCCAGCTCTGTTTCATTATATTTTTGTCCAGCTGTGAATCTTAATGCTGCTGACACCAATAAAGTGAACCATTAGCATGGTGTCTGCCTCTGTGATCCTTGACAGCAGACCCAGTCCCACCTCTGTCATGGAAGAGGCTGAACAGTGAAGACAAGATCTAAACCCACTGGGATGTTATTCCTCTTTACAGGTATGGCCACAGCCCAACAGGAAGAGAAAAGCTTCACAGAATAAGGGTGGCCTACATGAGAAAGAATTATCAACCAGGCACGGTGGCTCACGCTGATAATCACAGCACTTTAAGGCAGGCGGATCACTTGAGCCCAGGAGTTTGAGACCAACCTGAGCATCGTGGTCAAACCCCAGTTCTACCAAGAAAAATATATAAAAATTAGCGGGGCATGATGGCACACGCCTGCGGCCCCAGCTACTCAGGAAGCTGAGGTGGGAGGTTCAATTAAGCCAGGGAGGCAGAGGCTGCAGTGAGCCAACATCGTGCCACTGCACTCCAGCCTGGGCGACAGAGTGAGACCCTGTCTCAAAAAAAAAAAAAAATTGTGGCCGGGCTCAGTGGCTCATGCCTGTAATCCCAGGACTCTGGGAGGCTGAGGCGGGTGGATCACCTGAAGTTGGGAGTTTGAGACTAGCCTGGCCAACATGGTGAAACCCCGCCTTTACTGAAAATACAAAAAAATTAGCCAGGCATGGTGGCGCATGCCTGTAATCCCAGCTACTCCGGAGGCTGAGGCAGGAGAATCTCTTGAACCTGGTAGGCTGAGGTTGCAGTGAGCCAAGATTGCGCCACTGCACTCCAGCCTGGGTGACAAGAGCAAAACTCCGTCAAAAAAAAAAAAAAAAATTGTGGGTGACAGAGAACTCCAGTCAATGGAACAGGAAGTTTGGCATCTGAACCCTTCTCTCTTTCTCTGCTACTTACTGACCCAGAGTAAGGTAGTTAAATGTGTACGGCCTCATTTTCCTCATCTGTAAAATGGTAATTACAAAGCTACCCCACAGGCTGTAATAGGATTAAATAAAATACTTGTAAACCCTTGACAGATCATCTGGCATTCAATAAGCACTCATGAAATAGAAGTCCTCACTCCTCCAACAGGAAGGTTAAAATTTCTCCTATTATTTGATGGGACCAAGTTATATCACATGAGTGGCACAGAATTCCAACCTATTATAAAAATAAAGATCTAGAATTTCAATACAGGGAAGGGCCTTAAATATGATCTCATTTGATAACTTTATTTCAAAGATGAATTAAGAGTAACCAAAGACCACAGGGTTTTGAGTGACTTGTCCCAAAAGACAAGAAACCAAGCCTCCTAAATCAGAGTACAGGAATTATTGATTTCTAATTATTTACATTTATTGCTGATAATTTTTAACATGTTGAGAGTCAAAGATCTTCCTGAATCCAAAGATATTTCCCACACCAAAAGGAATAAATGGAAAGTTCCTGGGTTCAATGGGCTTAATTAAAGTCTCACAATCTTCTCATATCCTGACAGAAAAAAAGCAACTAAGATTTTAAAATAAAGATAGCCCATCTAGAAGGGCACTGAATACACAAGGAGCTTATCCAGAAAATCCTCAGCATTTTACTACCATCAGGGAGACCAGGAGGAATGCCACTGGTTCCCTCCACAGGTTTGAGTTTCATCTTTTGTGTTTTTTTTTGTTTGTTTGTTTGTTTTGTTTTTTTTTTGTTTTTTTTTTGTTTTTTTTTTTTTTGAGACGGAGTCTCGCTCTGTCGCCCAGGCTGGAGTGCAGTGGCGGGATCTCGGCTCACTGCAAGCTCCGCCTCCCGGGTTCACGCCATTCTCCTGCCTCAGCCTCCCAAGTAGCTGGGACTACAGGCGCCCGCCACTACGCCCGGCTAATTTTTTGTATTTTTAGTAGAGACGGGGTTTCACCGTTTTAGCCGGGATGGTCTCGATCTCCTGACCTCGTGATCCGCCCGCCTCGGCCTCCCAAAGTGCTGGGATTACAGGCGTGAGCCACCGCGCCCGGCCGAGTTTCATCTTTTGTTTTTAAAAACAGGATCTCATTCTGTCACCCAGGCTGGAATGCAGTGCTGCAACCACCGTTCACTGTAACCTCGAATTCCTGGGCTCAAGTGATCCTCCCTCCTAAGGCAGCCTCCCGAGTAGCTGGGACTACAGGTCACGCCACCAGGCCCAGCTAATTTTTTGTATTTTTTGTAGAGATGGGAGTTTCACCATGTTGCCCAAGGTGGTCTTGAACTCCTGGGCTCAATGTGATGCTCTTGCCTCAGCCTCCCAAAGTGCTAGGATTACAGGCATGAGGCACCATATATGGCCTGGTTCGGGTGTTGTAAGAAAACAAATACAAGAGCAATGCTGTAGCCACGGAAAACATGCATATATTCCTTTTGTGGTGATGAGCGCTTACAATAAGCCCCACCCAGAAGCTAAAGGAAAACCTGTTTGTTTCTATTTACTAGAAACTATTTTAGAGCCCTTCATTCATATGACACCAGTTGGATAGTGTCTTTCCAAAGTCAGAAAGACGCAGGAGGCACTGTGGCTCACTCCTCTAATCCCAGCACTTTGGGAGGCCCAGGTGGATGAATCACTTGAGGTCAGGAGTTCAAGACCAGCCTGGCCAACATGGTGAAACCCCATCTCTAGTAAAAATACAAAAAAATTAGCTAGGCATGGTGGCACACGCCTGTAATCCTAGCTACTTGGGAGGCTGAGGTGGGAGGATTGCTTGAATCCAGAAGGCAGGGGTTGCAGTGAGGTTGGAGATTGTACCACTGCACTCCAGCCTGGGTGACAGAGCAAGACTGTCTCAAATCAAAAACAAAATCAGAAAGAAACCAGTTTACCCCCACTGTCTGGAAAAATGCCATGCAATCCCCAAAAAACTCTTCACAACACACCTAGCCCTCTCCAAGTACAGTGCATGAGTTAGCTTCTGGCATCTACCCTTCTGATGGCTCCTTGAACTCCAGGCCAATCACACCACACAGCTCAGTGCACTAAGGATGCCATTCAGGGACTCAGAGGCCAGCTTGTGAATGTCAGGTATAGGGGAACTCTGTTGCGTTCATCCTATACCACACTCTGATCTGTAATATACAGGAAAAATCCGATTTAGAGAATGTCAGTCCTACAAAGGAACTTTTCTTGTTCCGGCACATGTGTATTATCTGTATCCATATCTATGCATCTGCCCATCTATCCAGGTAACTATATAAAATATTACATATGACATCATGGCCATACTTTCATTTCCGTTTTGTGGGGAAGAAAAGTTATTTCCTAACTACATCATTTCCCCTCAAGATGATCTCAATTTTCATCATAAAAGGCTTTTACTTTTGCCAAGAAAATAATGTGAAAGTACTCTGAAAAAGCATCTGAAGCACATGAATCTGTTCTTATTCGTAGATTTAAAACATCTTGGAAGTTAATGAAATTGTCTTCCGTTAGGGATTTCTGTTAAGTAAGTAGATTTTAGCTGTTCTTGTCACCACAAAAAAAAAAAAAAGTTAACTATGTGAGATAATAGGTGTGTTAACCTCTTCACTAGACTGTCTAAATGTATCTCTATGTCTCTGTGTATCCCACAACATCATGTTGTGGCCAGGTGTGGTGGCTCATGCCTGTAATTCCAGCACTTTGGGAGGCTGAGGCGGGTGGATCATTTGAGCTCAGGAGTTCGAGACCAGCCTGGGCAACATGGTGAAACCCTATCTCTACAAAACATGCAAAAAATTAGATGTGTGTGGCGGTGCATGCCTGTAGTTTTAGCTATTTGGGAGGCTGAGGAGGGAGGATGACCTGAGCCCAGGAGGTTGAGGCTGCAGTGAGCTATCATTGAGCCATTGCACTCCAGCCTGAGACAGAGTGAGACCCTGTCTCAAAAAACAAAAAAAGGCCAGGTGTGGTGGCTTGCACCTGTAATCCCAGCACTTTGGGAGGACAAGGCAGGCAGATCACTTGAGGCCACGTGTTCGAGGCCAGCCTGGCCAACATGGCGAAACCCCGTCTCTACTAAAAATACAAAAATTAGCCATGCATGGTGGCAAGCACCTGTAATCCCAGGTACTCAGGAGGCTGAGGCAGGAGATCGCTTGAACCCAGAAGACGGAGGTTGCAGTGAGCTGAGATCGCACCACTGCACTCCAGCCTGGGTGACAAGAGTGAGACTCCATCTCCCCCCCCCCCAAAAAAAATGCTGTAAACCTCAAATACACACAATAAAATTTAAGTTTGAAAAGAACAATATCTTGGAAGTTAAGAGTGAGAGTGGAGATTATTTGCTTTGTGTCACATTCTACACAGGGTTACAATGTAAACTTGACAGTCATTTCTGCCTAAGAGAACTAAAAAAGCTGCAACGAATTCACATCATTCTCCTAACCCAGTTACTGTGAGAATGAAAATACCCATTTTCTCAGTTTGCTTACAAGGTGAGAATTTATTAACATCACCACTGGCTTTTTCACTGACATCTAATACATAATTTTTTGAAAGAGCAATTCATTTCATTGAAGAATTAACATTTTTATCAGTTCATCTTGGCTAACAGTTTTACTGGTCAATGTTTGCTTGGACATTCCTACTCCCCTCCTTCCCATTCATATTCCTGGATTTACAATGAAACAATCCCTTAAAAGGAAATGAACTAGTTAAGGCATGCCTATCACCTACCCAAACTTGTTTATGCTTCTCGATTGCCCTATAAAAAGGGGTAATTTCACTTTCTTCTCTGGGATGTGGATACAAGTATTTTTATTTTAATTGTTTGACACATTATGGGAAGAAAGCCTGCAAAAAATTCAATGTACTGTCAAGACGCCTAGTTGATTCTGTCAGGATGGACCGTGTGTTTCCATTCTCAGAGCACAGCAGTTCAACTGTTTTTTGTTGTTGTCCTTGTTGTTGTTTTTGAGACGGAGTCTCACTCTGTCACCCAGGCTGGAGTGCAGAGTACAACAGCACCATCTCAGCTTAGTGCAACCTCCGTCTCCCAGGTTCAAGCAATTCTCCTGCCTCAGCCACCCAGGCAGCTGCGATTACAGGTGCACACCATCATGCTCAACTAATTTTTTTGTATTTTTAGTGGAGATGGGGTTTCACCATGTTGGCCAGGCTGGTCTCGAACTCCTGACCTCAAGTGATCCCCCCCACCTTGGCCTCCCAAAGTGCTGGGATTACAGGTGTGAGCCACTGCGCCCAGCCCAGTTCAGCTGTATTTTATACTGGGAAATCAAATTCTGGGCTCCCCACTGTACCCTCAAGCACCCTCTAAACACAACAGTTGGAAAGATCCTGCTATCCTGTTGGAGACTAAGTCAGATCATGTCCCTCTGCTCAGAAACCTTACTCGGGCTCCTGTTTCTTTCAGAGAAAAGGCCACAGCCCCCAGGATGACACAGAAGGCTCCTCACAACTATACACCCCTACATCTTTCCTGCTTCAATGTGTGCCTCTCCCAGCCTCACTGCCCCAGCCACACTGGCCACCTTGCTACTCCTCCAACACACCAGAGCCACTCCACCTTGGCCAGGCCTTTGAACTTGCTCCTCTCTCGGCCTGCTCAGCTCTTCCCACAATTACCTACCCTCATCCTCTGCGGATATTACTCAAATACCCTCTTCTCAAGAATATCATGTCTAAAATTGCAGCTCCCTGACCTGTCCACATTGCCTCTGCCTTATATTTCTTCTTTTTTTTTGAGACGGAGTTTCGCTCTTGTTGCCCAGGCTGGAGTGCAATGGCGCAATCTTGGCTCACCACAACCTCTGCCTCCCAGGTTCAAGCAATTCTCCTGCCTCAGCCTCCCGAGTAGCTGGGATTACAGGCATGCACCACCATGCCTGGTTAATTTTATATTTTTAGTAGAGACAGGGTTTCTCCATGTTGAGGCTGGTCTCGAACTCCTGACCTCAGGTGATCTGCCCACCTCGTCCTCCCAAAGTGCTGGGATTACAGGAGTGAGCCACCGTGCCCGGCCCCTTATATTTCTTCTTACCATTTTTTCACCATCTGAAATAGTTTGGATATTATTTGTGTAGGTTTTCATTGTTTCCCTCCCCTAACTAAGGTGTCAAGTCCAGGAGGGCAAAGATTTTTCTAAGTTTTCTTTTTTGTGCTTAGGACAGTATCTAGCAGGCTCTCAATATAAATGCACTGAATGAATGAATGAATGAATGAATGAACGAACAAATGGAATAAATGAAACAATCAATCAACATGCACCTTGCCAGGCACTAAGCTCAGGCCCTTGGGGAGATGAATATAAACAATTTATATATTGCTTTATGCTTTAATTTTTTTCCCTTCTAAGTAGCATATCTACTTTTCAGTCCTCAGACCTTAAAAGTAACTAGCAAGTTTTAACTTGTAAAACATCCATGACTTCATTATAATTTTTAAAGCCAATAAGGCACTATGCTGGTGCCTTATGCATGTATATCATCCTGTTCTCTTTGTATGATTTCAAAAGAAACAAATGGAATACAGTTCAAGGTGTTAATTACATAAGCTTATTAAAAACAAACTCCTAAGAGGCGTCAGTTCTAACATCTGGCACGTCTATGTTTATGTAGTTTATTAGTTTTATATATGTGAGAAAGTAAAATGTAGGAGCATAATATTGCAAAACAGCCACTACCAAAGGAAAATTATTTCATTCCATAAACAAGCCTTATAAAGAACTAGCTCTAGTGTAAGTCTGAAAGGGAAAGAGCGTGGCAGCAAAAACAGGTTTTTACATGCTAGTGTTTCTGGATTCATGGGAGGGTGGTACTGTGCTTCCTTATGTAACTGCAATCTAAACAATTTTACATAATCAGAAAATAAGTGTTTGCATTATCCCATTTTATAAAAATGAGTGAAGACCTTTTCCAGGCATTTTGCATAGCCAGGTCATAAATGATCTACATTGAGAACTCTGGATAATTTTTTGCAATTTGTAAGTGAATAACTACTACTGGGGGAAATGGTTCTGATAGTAAACATCCCAGAATAAGGCCTATGACCTCCAGGAGCAAACTCAGGCCACAAATACAGGAAACAAAGATTCTCAGTAGGCCATTAGAATTAACTGTCCTCCAAGAACTGGCAGGTACTTCACCATCCTCCTGGGTCACGGGGAGGCAGGTGCATGGAGGGGCCTGAGTGCAGGAGGTTCCCTGCCCCCACTCTGCCTTTCCTTATTTAGGACCACCATGAACCCAGAGGACATCCTGGCTCTGACCTAAACTCAAGTCAGATCTGTACCCACCTCCCTACAGACAAGAGTGGCAGTGGGGACCTGACATGACTCTCATGCTAAACTGCAGAAGAGCCAACAAGGCAGCTGAGCACAGTGGCTCACGCCTGTAATCCCAACACTTTGGGAAGCCAAGGCAGGTGGATCACCTGAGGTCTGGAGTTTGAGATCAGCCTGGCCAACATGATGAAATCCCATCTCTACTAAAAATACAAAAAAAAAAAAAAATTTAGCTAGGTGTACTGGCGGGTGCCTGTAATCCCAGCTACTCAGGAGGCTGAGGCAGGAGAATCACTTGAACCTAGGAGGCAGAGGTTGCAGTGAGCTGAGATTGCGCCACTGCACTCCAGCCTGGATAAAAAAAAAAAAGAATAGCCAACTAGGTGCTCCATAGATATAATTCAGAAAATGCCCAAAAAGAGATCAGTCAGTTAATTTCAACTTAACTTCATTTTCTCTTAAATATTAGCCCAGTGACATTGGTCTCTTCTCTCCCCATCCTCCTCTGTGGCAACAAAGACCTTAGAAGGTAAAACATGGAGGAGGGAAGGGAGATTGGCCACTCCTGAAACACACTTCTGTGAGGCTGGTATTCTCACAGCAACATTCAAGGAGATCGCCAAGAGAATGACAGTAAGCACAAGGCACTGGGTAAGATCCTTCACCAATTGTGTTTTCATGACAGCGTTTCACTTCTTACATAAAAAACATGTATTAGTCCTCATTTGAGAATACCTTATAAAGTCAGTACATATTTTTGAAAAAATGAGACCCTTATTAGGTCAGAATATATTTTTGTAGGGTTTTTTTGTTTTGTCTTTTGTTTTTTTGAGACAGAGTCTCACTCAGTTGCCCAGGCTGAAGTACAGTGGTGTGATCTCGGCTCACTGCAAGCTCCGCCTCCCGGGTTCACTTCATTCTCCTGCCTCAGCCTCCCGAGTAGCTGGGACTACAGGCGCCCGTCACCACGCCCAGCTAGTTTTTTGTATTTTTAGTAGACACAGGGTTTCACTGTGTTAGCCAGGATGGTCTCGATCTCCTGACCTCGTGATCTGCCCACCTTGGCTTCCCAAAGTGCTGGGATTACAGGCGTGAGCCACCGCACCTGGCCAGGTCAGAATATATTTTTGAAAAAGCATGAGACTCCAAAGCAAAGAGAGAATTTAATAGGAGAAAACCAAGATGGCACTGTTAAGAGACAAGAAAAGGAAAAACCTGAAATTGAGATATTTCAACCTAGTGTGTTAACATAGGGATGACTCAAGGACTAGATGCTGGGACCAGTATTTCAAAACTTTCCACACACCAGTTCTGTGTAAATTTCCTCCTGATTCCAAATCTTGCCAACCATCTTTAAATCTCCAGTGATAGTTAATTACCTACTTGTTTTTTAGAGTTGTCTTGGGTTTTGTCTATATATCACAATTTGTTTTTTAATAAAAGATGTACAGATAGACTTAAAAGGCCACAGAATACTTTGTGTAGACAGGGACATTCGAAAGGTCACTTTCACTTGATCTATCCTTCTATCCTTCCTCACCTCTGCCTTCCACTTACAAAAGAGAAAAATGCTATTTGTTATTAACAAATTATCTATTTTGAGAATTTTTTTTGAGGAGGTGGTTGGATTTTTGTTTTTGCTGGTTTGGGTTGGGTTTTTCTTTCCTTTTTTTTTTTTTTTTTTTTGTTTTTCTTTTTTTTGAGACAATCTCGCTGTGTTGCTCAGACTGGAGTGCAGTGGCATGATCTCGGCTCATTGCAGCCTCTGCCTCTCCGGTTCAAGCGAATCTCATGCCTCAGCCTCCTGAGTAGCTGGGATTACAAGCACACACCACCACACCCAGCTAATTTTTGTATTTTTAGTAGAGATGGGGTTTCGCCATGCTGGCCAGGCTGGTCTCAAACTCCTGACCTCAAATGATCCACCCGTCTTGGCCTCCCAAAGTGCCAGGATCGCAGGCATGAGTCACCACGTCCGGCCAGGTTGGGTTTTTTTGTCATGGAAAGGGAACAGCCAGTATGGTAGAGTGGTTAAGATGCTAGGCTCTGACCTTAAGAAAGTTATTAAATTTTTTTTGTGTCTTGGAGAGAGGTATCTGCCTCAGGTATTATTTGCATTGCTGCCAAATAAAGACATAATCCATGTAGAACACTCAGAACAGTGTCTGATACCCAGAACTCCATAACGATTACTCTTATCATTAACAATGGCCACTGTTGCTTATCATTTTAATAGACTATGATGACCAACTCTTAAACTATCTTCAAAAAACTTTCCTGCATCATAATGAAATCACCTTTGCCTGAGTAGAAACAGTTTCAACATGTGAAGCAGATGTGACTACAGATGAAAACAGTCTGCAGAAGTCCCAGAGACTCATGACAAACCCAGCTTCCAAAACAGCCTTTTCCCCTCTCATAGCAGGCTGTGCCACTAAAGACAGATTCTCCCTCTGTGCTGCATTCCTGGAACAAGCAGCCAGTCTCTCTACCTTGCACACGCTGATGATTTCTAGTTGTTTCACTTAAGCACATCCAGGTACTCTCCCCAACACGTACAGCTCTGCCAGGCCAATGCACGTGTCTGTTTCCTTCATAACTCTTTGCAGCTCCACCACAATGTTGCACAAGGCAGGCATTTACTAAAAGCTCCACAAGTGAATGGATCCGTATCTTCCAGAGTAAGAGACAGCATGCAACTTCCCACATCATATGAATGCCTTGAAAATTATTTGTTTTTGTTCCATTTGATCAAGTTTGTAAAACAAGCTAAATGCCTTCTATTGACTTCCTGATATTTGTGGATTCAGAGCCCAGGAAGATTCTTGTATCTATATCAGACAACAAATAGAACCCCGTGTGTGTGTGTGTGTGTGTGTGTGCGCGCGCGTGCGCGCGCATGTGGGGGAGGTTGGAAGGATGAGAATTAAGGGGAAAATTTCCATTTATTGAGCATCTGTATACCTATACTACATTGTCGGTATTCTTGTACATCATTTCAATTAATGCACAACACCAATGAGGACATCAAAGCAGGAAGGTTCCATGTCCACTGCCACATGGCTAACAAAGAGCTGGTCCTAGCTGGGAGCAGTGGCTCACACCCGTAATCCCAACACTTTGGGAGGCTGAGGCAGGTGGATCACTTGAGGTCAGGAGTTTGAGACCAGCCTGGCCAACATGGTGAAAACCCGTCTCTACTAAAAACACAAAAATTAGCTGAGTGTGGTGGCTTGCGCCTGTAATCCCAGCTACTCAGGGGGCTGAGGCAGGAGAATCACTTGAACCTGGGAGGCAGAGGTTACAGTGAGTCGAGATCGTGCCACTGCATTCCAACCTGGGCAACAGACTCTGTCTAAAAAACAAAAAAAGAAAAAAGAGAGCAGATCCTGGCTTCAAATCCATTCCTGTCTACTCCAAAATCTGCCTTCACCACCACAGAAGTACGGGCTCACTGCAGTTGGGCACACAACAAGCTTAAGCTAACCTTACTGCTTATTTAAACTATAAAGCCATCTACTGAGGCCTTCCACAGAAAGTAATCCCCACCCCATAATATTTTAAAATAAAACTTAGGGTTAGTTAACAGTACTCCTGAGATGCCTACAGTGTACAGTTGAATAATTCACTTAACCTGAATTGAGGAAACATATGGCTGGGTGCTTGGCCAGGCCAAATTGCCACATCCTCCACTCCATTATTTCTTCCTGAGGCTGGGCTTGCGGTAGACCCCGCAGCCCTGAACGACTCCACCCACAGGCCCCATGGGAAAAGCTGTGACTGAAATGCTGGCACAGCCGCTGCCACCCAGGCACTCGAGGCCTCCGAGGGGTGTCCCCCTCCTGGGCTTTTCACCCCAGCACTGCAGATAAGAAAATGAAATGGAAGTAAGGAGCCAGGGGGATGGGGGCAGCAGCTCCGTCCATCCCCACCAACTCCATCACCCCAACCTGGGGCAGAAGACCTGGACTTGTAACTCACAGACTAGGAAGCATAGGCCAGATACAGATAGAGGCTTCACCTCAGCTGGCTGCAGAGGGCAGGAGGGCTGCGTGTCATCACATCCTGCTTCACCCTGGTCCACCCTCCCCAAGGAAAGCTTCCTGAGGAAATCCTGACTGCTACAGAGAAATGGGTGGTTCAGCCCGAGGACGTAAACAAGAGCAATGTGTTTTGTTCTGTTTCCCTGCAGACCTGCGCAGGGCCTCTGGCTAAACAATTCTTTGGCAGCCATGCAACTAAAAACCAAGCTAAGCGGTGGCTCAGACAACTAAAACTTGTAAGTAAGAATGTGCATGGTCAGACTCAACTGAGGATTGCTAAAAGGACTGAGGTGTGTTCTCACCTAAGTTTTTAGCTTAAGGAAGCATAATTATAAACCGCGATTACTTTTGCACCAACCTAATACAATAACAAAAAGATACACTGTGGCCAGGTGCGGTGGCTCACGCCTGTAATCCCCGCACTTTGGGAGGCCGAGGAAGGTGGATCACCTGAGGTCAGGAGTTCGAGACCAGCCTGGCCAATGTGGTGAAACCCTGCCTCCACTAAAAATACAAAAATTAGCCAGGTATGGTGGCAGGCGCCTGGGAGGCAGAGGTTGCAGTGAGCAGAGATCACGCCATTGCACTCCAGCCTGGGCAACAGAGCAAGACTCAGTCTTAAAAAAAAAAAAAAAAAAGCTACCCACTAGTTACAGAATCCATCAGAACCCAAAGATGATGAGAAGGAAGGGAAATTACTTGCAGAAGCGTATCCAAATGGAATCCTTGGCTTATGCCTGTAATCCCAGCACTTTGGGAGGCAGACGGGCAGGATCAGGAGGTCAGGAGTTTGAGACCAGCCTGACCAATACGGTGAAACCCCGTCTCTGCCAAAAATACAAAAATTACGCGGGCTTGGTGGCCCGTACCTGTAATCCCAGCTACTCAGGAGGCTGAGGCAGGAGAATCGCTTGAACCTGGGAGGCAGAGGTTGCAGTGAGCTGAGATCGCACCATTGCACTCCAGCCTGGGCAACAAGAACAATACTCCATCTCAAACAAACAAACAAACAAAACAAATGGAATCCCTATTTTCTTTTAGTTTTACAAATGACAAAATTCAGGCCCAAACCTAAATGCTTGCCGAGCTTATACTCAGGATCCAGACATTGCAAGTCAGACACCAGAAATGCACCATCGCCCCACCAAGTCCGGACAAGACTTTAAATGAAGTTCTTCTTGTTCTGTTGTCTGCTCGTCTCCTTCCAAGTATCCAATATTTTCTTGTGTCTATATCTTAGCAACTAAGTTCCTCAGCACAGTGTCTACCTTTCTTAAACTTCTTCTCAAAAATGATCTCTATGGGTTTTTTTTGGTTTGTGTTTTTGAGACAGGCTCTCCCTCTTTTGCCCAGGCTGGACTGCAGTGGCGCGAACACAGCTCACTGCAGCCACAATGTCCCAGGCTCAAGCAATCTTCCCACCTCAGCCCTCCAAGTAGTTGGAAATACAGGCAGCGCTACCATGCCTGGCTAATTTTTTTTTTTCTTTTCTTTTTTGAGACAGAGTTTCACTCTATCCCCCAGGCTGGAGTGCAGTGGTGCCACCTCGGCTCACCGCAACCTCCACCTCCCAGGTTCAAGCAATTCTCCTGTCTCAGCCTCCTGAGTAGCTGGGATTACAGGCGCACGCCACCACGCCTGGCTAATTTTTGTGTTTTTAGTAGAGATGAGGTTTCACCACTTTGGCCAGGCTGGTCTCAAACTCCTGACCTCAGGTGATCTGCCTGCCTTGGCCTCCCAAAGTGCTGGGATTACAGGCACGAGCTACCCTGCCCGGCTAATTTTTGTATTTTTTTTTTGTAGACATGGGGTTTCATCATGTTGTGCAAGCTGGTCTCGAACTCCTGAGCTCAACGATCCACCCACCTCAGCCTCCCAAAGGGCTGGGATTATAGGGATGAGCCACTACACCCAGGCAAAAATGATCTTTATATTCCTAGCTCCATCTCTCCTTCAGTTAAAGCTCCCATTATGTGAGCCATTTCAGCAAGGGAGAGCAAGACATCAAAGGTGCTTAAGGATCGATCATGGAGGATGCATCATTTGAATTCTTAAAGGGAAATATGGTCATGAGGTGGGCAAGAATGAGATGTACTTCAGTATGACCCCCTCCTCATCACCTCTACCAGGAGAACCAACAATATCTTTGCAGAGAACTCTGTGCCCTGCAAGATGTCTCAGTTAAAAAAAAAAAAAAGATAGTAAAAGAATTTGATCCAATAAAACAAAAAATGGCCATCAGGCTTCCTAAATACTGTAAATGTCAAATGACTGATACAAATAGTAGGTGCTAAAGAATGTGCAAAGAAGAGAAATACTGATTTTGCAATGTCAACAGACCATACGATTTAAAAAAGCAATCATGGGTTGTAAATCATATGATAATGAGGCATGACAGCTGGGAGCTAGCTTGATCACAAAGTACCTGACACAGTGAAATACTTGAAGGGAAAATTTTCTTTTTCCTCTCCTTTCTTTTTTTTTTTTGTGACAGAGTCTCACTTTGGTGCCCAGGCTGGAGTGCAGTGGCACGATCTCAGCTCACTGCAACCTCCGCCTCTCAGGTTCAAGTGATTCTCCTGCCTCAGCCTCTCAAGTAGCTGGGATTACAGGCACATACCACCATGCCTGGCTAATTTTTGTATTTTTGGTAGAGATGGGGTTTCACTATGTTGGCCAGGCTGGTCTCCCACTCCTGACCTCAGGTGATCTGTCTTCCTAAGCCTCCCAAAGTGCTGAGATTACAGGCATGAAGCACTGTGCCCGGCCGGAGGGAAAATTTTTGTTAATCATGGAATGTTCTTAATTTTTTAATATTGGTATCTTTGACTCCATGCTTCATTTGTACTATTTTGCAATGTTTCCTATGGTCAGAACCCTTGGGGATGATGCAGACTCTATCCTTGTGTTCTTCCCATTTCCCGTGGCAGAACCTATTCTCATCTTGACCTTGTATCTACAGAAACCTTCCTTTTGGACTTGAGTCATTTCCTGTCCCAACTATAGCAACTGCTAGCCTTACGTTCTTCTTGAATATTGAATTGTGAACTCTAAACGTGCTCAGGACAGGCAACTTTCACGTTTCAACTTCCACCCTACATTAGTTAGGAGTCTACACTCTTGCTTTTGTAATCCATCGCTGAGCTTGATTCAAAATTACTGATTCCACTGTCATTCTTTTAATTGAGTATGGTCCTCTCCACACACCCCATCGACTTCCCACAGCTAATGGTGAGTGTGTGTGTCCCCAAAGGAAAGTGGAGCAGTGGTGAGCCATCTCTCAAGACTTCAGGGGACCTTTCCCTTCGTGACCATGAATCATCTTCCTTCTCGATCTCAACGTGAAAACTTTCCTTTTCCTCTGCTAATAAGAAGTTTCTTAATAGGATGTCTGCTGGGCTGTGTAATAATCTCCAAAGGGAAGTGATGGAGGTTTTGGCATGAGTCATTGACGTGGAGCTGGAGGAAGTAATGGGCAGTAATGGACCAGAGGGAGCAGTCCTTTACCAACAGGATGGGCTGCCGATGAGCTGGGAAATTTTATTTTTCTAACTCTCCATTTTTATATTACTTGGTGAGGACATTTCTCTCAATGCATTTACTCTGAATGAATGGTGGGCATTAATATTAATTTATTCAGGGATCAGAACTTTTTAGAATGTATGTCCCATTAGAGTTTAATTAAAATGTCCATTATAGAATCCACAGGGAATAAAATATCCTATAAGTGGTTTCCATTTTCTCCATATCCTCTTTTACTTTCATTGCTAACCCTCAGCAATCCAGCAAGGAGTGATTTCTGACTCTCCAAATCTTGTAAGATGCCTGCACATCTTACACAGCCTCAAAGACCAGGGAGTGAGGTGGTACCAGGAGGGGTCTGAAGCAGAGGTTAAGAAGAGCCTCAATCGGCCGGGCGTGGTGGCTTATGCCTGTAATCCCAGCACTTTGGGAGGCCGAGACGGGTGGATCACGAGGTCAGGAGTTCAAGACCAGCATGGCCAAGATGGTGAAACCCCGTCCCTACTAAAAATACAGAAAATTAGCCGGGTGTGGTGGCGGGCGCCTGTAATCCCAGCTACTCAGGAGGCTGAGGCAGAGAATTGCTTGAATCTGGGAGGTGCAGGTTGCAGTGAGCGAAGATCGTGCCACTGCACTCCAGCCTTGGCAACAGACCAAGACTCCATCTCAAAAAAAAAAGAAGTGTTGGGAGGCCCAGGCAGGCGCATCATTGGAGCCCAGGAGTTTGAGGCCAGTCTGGGCAACATGGTGAAACCCTGTCTCTACAAAAAAATAAATAAATAAAAAAAATAAAGAAGAGCCTCAATCACTCCGTCCCTAACACTATCCACCGCCACGTCCTCCAGAACACCGTGATTCATCTGATGTTGCATTCAAAGGATTGAGGACAGGGAATTCAAAGGGTGAGGCCAAGGGGTGAGGCAGGGCAGCCCTGTGTTTATGGATATCACCACCAAGGTTCCTTTGCAGCCATGCAGCCCATGCCCAAAACCCTTGGCCAGGGTCCCTGCCCCACATCAGCATATCTGCCCAGACCTAAGAAGCCACTTCAGGAATCCCTGCACCAATAAGACTTCTATGCTGCACTACAACTTTCTCTCCACACCCTCTCTCCCAGCTCTGTCCTGGGTGGCAGTTGGGATAGGTAGCAGTTGAGATTCAAAGAGGAAAACAAAGAGGTATTATCTTCTTTAGGAAACTTTAACTCAATTCCACTACTTGTATGTATGTATGTATTTTTGAGGCAAGGTCTTGCTCTGTTTCCCGGGCTGGAGTGCAGTGGCACAATCATGGCTCACTGCAGCCTCAACCTCCTGGGCTAAGGTGATCCTCCTGCTTCATCCTTCCAAGTAGCTGGGACTACAGTCACACGCCACCACACCTGACTAATTTTTTATTTTTTGTAGAGAAGGGGTCTCACTATGTTACCCAGGCTCAATTCCACTATTTTAAAACAAAGATGGAAAGCATTCCTAAGCCTCCGTTTCCTCATACGACCACACCCTCACCCTCACCTCACTTTCAAAAAAAAAAAAGGCATATAATAGTAAAAATGGCAAGCAGGAAAGGGGAGAAAACCAGGGGCATTAGACTGAGGCCTTGTGTGGGAGGGAAGATGGGGCACATTGCAATCTCTTCCTCATTGCTCAGTCCACATCACTGCTTATCTCATAGAACCTAGTAAGAAATGCTGGACATTTGGCCAGGCATGGTGGCACATGCCTGTAATCCCAGCTACTCGGGAGGCTGAGGCAGGAGAATCTCTTAAACCAGAGAGGCAGAGGTTGTAGTGAGCCAAGATGGCGCCACTGCACTCCAGCCTGAGCGACAAAGCAAGACTCCATCTCAAAAAAAAAAAAGAGGCCAGGCACGGTGGCTCACGCCTGTAATCCCAGCACTTTGGGAGGCCAAGGTGGGCGGATCACAAGGTCAGGATATCGAGACCATCCTGGCTAACACGGAGAAACCCCGTCTCTACTAAAAATACAACAAACAAACAAACAAAAAATAGCTGGGCGTGGTTGTGGGCGTCTGTAGTCCCAGCTACTCGGGAGGCTGAGGCAGGAGAATGGCATGAACCCGGGAGGCGGAGCTTGCAGTGAGCCGAGATCGCGCCACTGCACTCCAGCCTGGGCGACAGAGTGAGACTCTGTCTCAAAAAAAAAAAAAAAAAGAAAAAGAAAAAGAAAAAAGAAATGCTGGACATTCATCAGGGAAACCGTGCTTCCCTCTGTCTCTGTCTCTCCTGTTGCTCACTAAGTACCCTGGAGGAGGCCCCTGTCTTCTTCTTCCACACTGGTCCAACCCATACCTGATAAATGTTTCCTGAGTCGGTTTCTATGCTGCCATGGCCAGGGTCATATTGAGGCTCTCTGCTTATCTATCTTCTCAATGTTCTTTTTCTACTGGCCAAGGTGTAGGGCTGTGCAAGGTAGGAAACCTGGAAAAAGTTCTGCTGTCCTTTTTTTCCCTTTCCTTTTTTTTTTTGAGACAGAGTTTCACTCTTGTTGCCCAGGCTGGAGTGCAATGGTGCGATCAGCTCACCACAACCTCTGCCTCCCAGGTTCAAGCGATTCTCCGGCCTCGGCCTCCCGAGTAGCTGGGACTACAGGCATGCACCACCACGCCTGGCTAATTTTGTATTTTTAATAGAGACAGGGTTTCTCCATGCTGGTCAGGCTGGGCTGGTCTCAAACTCCTGACCTCAGGTGATCCACCCGCCTTGCCCTCCCAAAGTGCTGGGATTACAGGCATGAGCCACCGCGTCTGGCCTTGCTGTCTTTATACTTTCCTCTTTCTCCCAACAGCTCAAAGCTGCTACCCTGTGGTAATAGAGCAGCCATCTGTATTGTTTCCTAGGGGCTGCCATAACAAAGCACCAATAATTGGGTGGCTTAAAACTACAGAAATGTATTGTCTCCCAGTTCTAGAGGCTAGAGGTCCTCGCCACTTCCTAGCTGCTGGGGGCTGCCAGCGATCTTCGGCATTCCTTAGCCTGCAGGTGCATCACTGCAATTCTCCACCATCACATGCTGTTCTCTGTGGGTGTCTTTACTTCATCTTCCCCCCGTGCACATCTGTGTCTGTGTCCCAGTAAGGACATCAATCATGTTGGACTAGGGCCCACCCTAATGACCTCAACTTAACTTGGCTAAATCTGAAAAGAAGCCATTTCCAAACAAAGTCACACTCAGATACCAGGGATTAGGACTTCGAGGTATCCTTTTTTGTGGGAAAAAAAATCAACCCACAACCACACCTCACAGGGTCACTGTAACAATTAAATGAGTTAAGGTATGGAGAGAGCTTAGTATAGTGTTTAACACATAGTCCATGCTCCATAAATAACTGCAGCTAATATCAATATTATCCTTACTCTTATTACTAGGTCATCCATTCTTTCTGCCCCACAGCATCTTTGTTAAAAAGGCTTTAAAGCCTGGCGGGGGGGTGGCTCACGCCTGTAATCCCAACACTGGGGGGCCAAGGTGGCAGATCACTGGCAGTCAGGAGTTTGAGACCAGCCTGGTCAACCAAAATGGTGAAACCCTGTCTCTACTAAAAATACAAAAATTAACTGGACGTGGTAGCACATGCCTGTAATCCCAGCTATTCAGGAGACTGAGGCGAGAGAATCGCTTGAACCCAGGAGGTGGAGGTTGCAGTGAGCCAAGATCACGCCACTGCACTCCAGCCAGGGCAACAGAGCAAGACTCTGTCTCGAAAAAAAAAAAAAAAAACAAAGGCATTAAAAGCAAGTCCTGTGGCAGCCAAGTTTCAAAGAATATTCCAGCTATCACACAAAAATGCAACCTCCAATCCAACTCCTTGGGAAAAAATCAATTACGATGACTGACTAGATTAAAAAAAAAAATGAAGGACGTCCCTTGTTCTGTCCACTGAGCTCTGAGGCATCAAGGAAGCATGGAATGCAGAGCCATGTAGGAATCAGTAAAGGAAGTCCTCCAAAGAAGCAGGTGACAACCAAATTTCTGGTTCCTTTGGTTTGTAAAGAAAGAAAAAAAAAATTCAGCTGGGTGCGGTGGCTCACGCCTGTAATCCCAGCACTTTGGGAGCGGAGGCGGGTGGATCACAAGGTCAGGAGATCAAGACCATCCTGGCTAACACGGTGAAACCCCGTCTCTACTAAAAATACAAAAAATTAGCCAGGCATGGTGGCGGGCACCTGTAGTCCCAGCTACTCAGGAGGCTGAGGCAGGAGATTCACTTGAATCCGGCAGGCAAAGGTTGCAGTGAGCTGAGATTGCACCACTGTACTCCAGCCCTGGCAACAGAGTGACTCTATCTCAGAAAAATAAAATAAAATAAAAGACAATAAAGAAATCTGCTGCATCAAGGGACTCTTCCTTTCATGAAAGATTTCTCCTTAACATACTATACTGTGTGATAGCACTTTACCCACAGCAGAACCTCTTTCAAAATAGGAATGAATCCTCTTAAACTCTGATACTGCTTTATCAACTAAGTTTATGGAATACCCAAAATCCTTTGTTGTCATTTTAACAATGTTCACATCATCTTCACCAGGAGTAGTTTCCAGCTCAAGAAACCACTTTCTTTACTCATCCATAAGAAGCAACTCCACATCTGTTCAGGTTTAATCATGAGATTGCAGCAATTCAGCTTCAAAATGTGACATAGGGACTCAAAATGAGCGCACGGTATTGGAAAAATGGCACCAAAAATCTTGCTCAACACAGGGTTGCCACAAACCTTCAATTTGTTAAAAAAAAAAAAAAAACCGGCCAAGCACAATGGCTCATGCCTGTAATCCCAGCTACTCAGGAGGCCGAGGCAGGAGAATCACTTGAGCCCAGGAGGCGGAGGTTACAGTGAGCTGAGATGGCGCAGCTGCACTTCAGCTTGGACAATAGAGTGAGACACCGTCTCAAGAAAAACAAAAACAAAAACAGAAACAAGCCATAACTGCAAAGTGCATAAAATGAAGTATGCCTATATATACATACTTGTATTTTTTTTTTATTTTTAAATAAAAATTCCAAGGACCACAGATGTTTAAACATGGCATTAGGGCCGGGTGTAGTGGCTCACGCCTGTAATCCCTGCACTTTGGGAGGCCAAGGCAGGCGGATCACAAGGTCAGGAGATCAAGACCATCCTGGCTAACACGGTGAAACCCCGTCTCTACTAAAAATACAAAAAATTAGCCGGGTGTGGTGATGGGTGCTTGTAGTCCCAGCTACTCGGGAGGCTGAGGCAGGAGAATGGCGTGAACCCGGGAGGCGGAGCTTGCAGTGAGCCGAGATCACGCCACTGCACTCCAGCCTCGGTGATGAAGGGAGACTCCGTCTCAAAAAAAAAAAAAAAAAAAACAAAAACATGGCATTAGGAAACAGGAAACCAAAGAACCAACCAAGCATCTAAGGAGGGGTGACTTAAATTTAACGCAAAACAATAAAGGTAATCACTTCTAGTTTTAAAAGATAGTTAAGAGTCTGGCCATATCCCTAGTTGTACAACAGTGACTATCTGTCACAACCAAGGCACTGGTACAATATCAGTGTGCTTCTCTCTGCCTCCATAAAAATTATTTTGAAACAGACCCTCCTGGGACCCCAGAAGGTAGTGTGTCACTATTCCCTCCCCTCATTCATTTTGCTAAGTAGTTTTTCTGCCAAAACAACACTCCGAGCCGCTTCAATCCTCCCTGCCAACTGCATTGCATAATTCAGTGCTTACTTCTCTTGAGCCAACCAGCAAATGCAAGATTCAAACCAATCTGCTTTCACTTGCTCATTGGTCTCTGGCTGATCCTTGGGAGCCATCGGTGACCTACAGTCCTTGAGCAACTCTCGCCCTGGATTATCTTCTTTATACATCAAGACTTGAAATAGAACATACTCAAACTTGTCTGCAAGTCTGTCTGCAGGTGTACAAATAACAGGTTTATGTGTCTTCAAATCTTGATTTTTTTTTTAAAGCCAAACCTAAGATAAAACCTAACTGCTCTGCAGCTTGAATTTTTTTTTTTTTTTTTTTTTTTTTGAGACGGAGTTTTGCTCTTGTTGCCCAGTCTGGAGTGCTGCGGTGCAATCTCAGCTCACTGCAACCTCCGCCTCCCAGGTTCAAGCGATTCTCCTGTCGCACCCTCCCGAGTAGCTGGGATTACAGGCACATGCCACCACACCGGGCTAATTTTTGTATTTTTAGTAGAGACGGGGTTTCATCATATTGGTCAGGTTGGTCTCGAACGCCTGACCTCAGGTGATCCATCTACCTCAGTCTCCCAAAATGCTGGGATCACAGGTGTGAGCCACTGTGCCTGGCCGAAAATCTTTTAGGTGACAACAGGAGGCTGACTTTCCCGATGTCGTGGAAGTAGGCCTTTCTATTTTCTACAATAAAGAACAAAGTGGACAGTCATGGGTGCTGTTCTGGAGCCTGTCTCAAGCTGGTTACAATGAGGAGTAGGAGTCTGTGCTTCTCTCCACCACCTTGGAATTGATGGACCTGCAAATGCAAAGCCTTAGGTGTTTGCCACACTGACCCACACTGGCATCCAAGACACCAGGATCCAGGGAGCCTGGGTGGAAACTGGGAAAACCCAGACTGTGGGAGACTTTCTGGCTTTACCATCAAACTCTGCTCAAAGAGCAGAGGCCAAATCCATCTGGGTCTGGTCCACCCTGTGGGGCAGTGTGCAAAGATATATAAGCTCAGTATTTTACCTGTTTTACAGGTAAAACAGATGAGTTTGGAAGTCTAAAATCTGCAGAAGCCAAAGTCAGCCAGCAATTGTTGAATTATGGTTATTGAATAAAATGTGGGTGTGTTTAAAAGGAAACCAGGAACCCTACATTATTTACATGGCCAAAGGATGCCAACAACAGGAAGTTTCTAGTAGCTCTGAGGGCATAAATCCAATCAGCATATGTGCACAGCAAAAGAAATAATCAGCAGAGTAAACAGACAACCCACAGAGTGGGAGAAAATTTTCGCAAACTATACACCCAACAAAGAACTAATATCCAGAATCTACAAGGAACTCAAACAAATCAGCAAGAAAAACAAATAATCCCATCAAAAAGTGGGCTAAGTACATGAATAGACAATTCTCAAAAGAAGATATACAAACGGCCAACAAACAAAGGAAAAAAATGCTCAACATCACTATCAGGGAAATACAAATCAAAACCCCAATGTAATACTACCTTACTTCTGCAAGAATGGCCATAATCAAAAAATAACAGATGTGGGTATGGATGTGGTGAAAAGGGAAAACACTTTTACACTGCTGGTGGGAATGTAAACTAGTACAACCACTATGGAGATTCCTTAAACAACTAAAAGTAGGCCAGGCGTGGTGGCTCACACTGTAATCCTAGCACTTTGGGAGGCCAAGGCTGGAGGATCACCTGAGGTCAGGAGCTCGAGACCAGCCTGGCCTGTCTCTACTAAAAATACAAAAATTAGCTGGATGTGGTGGTGGGTGCCTGTAATCCCAGCTACTTGGGAGGTTGAGGCAGGAGAATCGCTTGAACCCAGGAGGCAGAGTTTGAGGTGAGCCAAGACAAGAGCAAAACCCAGTCTCAAAAAAAAAAAAAAAAAAAAGAACTAAAAGTAGATCTACCATTTGATGCAGCAATCCCACTCCTGGGGGTATCTACCCAGAGGAAAAGAAGTCATTATATGAAAAAGACACTTGCACAGGCATCCTCATGGGCTGTGTGTGGTGGCTCATGCCTGTAATCCCAGCACTTTGGGAGGCTGAGGCAGGCGGATCACCTAAGGTCAGGAGTTCGAGACCAGCCTGGCCAACATGGTGAAACTCTGTCTCTACTAAAAATACAAGAATTAGCCAGGTATGGTGGTGTGTGCCTGTAATCCCAGCTACCCAGGAGGCTGAGGCAGGAGGATCACTGGAACCTGGGAGGCAGAAGCTGCAGTGAGCAGAGATCACGCCACTGCACTCCAGCCTGGGGGATAGAGCAAGACTCCATCTCAAAAAAGAAAAGAAAAGAAAAAAAAAAAAAAACAGAATGATACAATGGACTTTGGGGGACTTGGGGGGAAGCGTGGAAGAGGATGAGGTATAAAAGACTGCACACTGAGTGCTGTGTACACTCCTCAAGTGATGGGTTTACCAAAATCTCAGAAATTACCCCTAAAGAACTTATTCATGTAACCAAATACTACCTGACCTGTTCCCCAAAAACTATTGAAATTTTTTTAACCTGTATTCAAAAATAAAATAAAATAAAACCAATCAGCATATGTAAAAGTACATATGAAGTGCAAGAAATCATACCAATGTAAATATGATCATTCTAATCTCTAGAGCAGCACTTCTTAGATTAAGGGATGTGACCTGGTAAGCTTCTCTCGAGGTTTAAGGAATGTGTTCATTCTATTCGTCTCCCCTCCTGGTCTCTATGGAAGCTCTTCCACTATAGAAGGCATCCTGCTTTCTAAAGACCCAGACTCAGAATATGCAGCCACTCAGGGGCATGACAAACCAAAGAGTTCTTGATACAAAATATTAACGTGGGGTAACTAGCTGACATTTTCTTCTGTTGAAAAAGGAGCCAGTTCTTTGATAATGCTAAAGTTACATCATGAAGATTTTATAATATCTTCTACATATCATTTAGGAATCATTTGACACCTATTTAATGCTCATCATGAAGTCTCAGTTTCCCAATCCTCTAATCAAGGCAAATTGCTACTACACATCAGTGTTATGACGCTCTTCCAGTAAATCACCACCTGGGCGTCACATGTTAGGTGAGTTACAACAACATGTTGCAGAAGACAGTAATGACCATACCCCAGTAGACTATGTCTTAATGCCATACATTCTGAGAAGGTTTTTTTTAAAAAACTGTAATTCACAATAAAATGAGCCTTAAAAATGAAATGTTTTACCTTTTCAGAATAAATGTTTATGGTCTTTACAGACTTTCCCAAAGATTTCAAATTCCTGTAGGCTCTCTTTAGATTCATAACTAAATCATCCCAAAATAACAATTTATGTAAGTGGCAAGTTTGGCCGGGTGCGGTGGCTCATGCCTGTAATCCCAGCACTTTGGGAGGCAGAGGTGGGTGGATCACCTGAGGTCAGGAGTTCGAGACCAGCCTGGCCAACATGGTGAAACCCCATCTTTACTAAAATACAAAAATCAGATGGGGGTGGTGGCATATGCCCCTAATCCCAGCTACTTGGGATGCTGAGGGAGAATTGCTTGAACGCGGGAGGCAGAGGTTGCAGTGAGCCGAGATTGCGCCACTGCACTTCAGCCTGGGTGACAGAGCAAGACTCCATCTCGCGGGAAAATAAAATAAAATAAAATAAGTGGCAGGTTTATTCATTACAGGCTTATAGTTCTTCCTCAAACCACAATGAGTCCCATTTTCTGCCATATTCACGCTGAAATGTGTGGTCAAGTTTTTCATAAGTCTGGTGGGGCCATTGTTATATGATGGCTTTATAAATTCTTGACTGGAAACCTAAGACTCTTAATTAAAGCTCAAAGATGCAGAATGAGTGATTTGCAGAAAATAGCTCATAAAAAATAGCTGCTAACTGAATGAAACCCTGGGAAAAGAGTCTACAAAACAAAACAAAAAAAACACAAAAAAATCAGGATTATAAAAACCAATTTAGTACATTCATGAATCCATCACTCAAAAAATGAAATCATAAGTGAATGCTTTTAATATTTTACATGTTTCTAAATAAGTAAACTATTCAAAAGCTCTCTTATATTATTGTGCCACTTAGACACATAAAAAAACTAAAAATGGCAATGTGGGTACCATTTAAACAGAAAATATACTTTTATTACAAGCATTTTCTTGTTTTCAGAAAATCTTGGCTATTCAAAAGCATTCATATTTTCTCTCTTTTTTTCTTTCTTTTTTGTTCTGTTTTGCTTTGTTTTGACACAATGTCTTGCTCCATCACCCAGGCTGGAGTGCAATGGTGCCATCACAACTCACTGAAGCCTTGACCTCATGGGCTCAAGGGATCCTCCTGACTCAGCCTCCCAAGTAGCTGGGACTACAGGTCCATGCCTGGTTACTCTTTTAAATTTTTTTTGTAGAGGTGTGGTCTCTCCATCTTGCTCAGGCCAGTCTTGAACTCCTGGCCTCAAGCAACTCTCCTGTCTTGGCCTCCCAAAACACTGGGATTACAGGAGTGAACCACTGTACACAGCCTTTTTCTCTTGTGAGTATAGAAGATATTTTACACACATATTTCTCAATATGTAAACTGAAGGTTAATACCTTGAAGCAATTTATGTACTTATTTTTAAGCTACATATTAAAAAGGGCATATTACCTCAATCAAATCAATAGTTAAGATCAATTGGTCAGGTATGGTGGCTCACGCCTGTAATCCCAGCATTTTGGGAGGCCAAGGCAGGTGGATCACCTGAGGTCAGGAGTTCGAGACTAGCCTGGCCAACATGGCAAAACCCCATCTCTACTAAAAATACAAAAATTAGCCAGGTGTGGTGGTGCATGCCTGTAATCCCAGCTACTCAGGAGGCTGAGGCAGGAGAATCATTTGAATCTGGGAGGCAGAGGTTGCAGTGAGCCGAGATCGCGCCACTGCACTCCAGCGTGGGAGACAGCAAGACTCTGTCCAAAAAAAAAAAAAAAAAAAATCAATCTTAAATTGAACATGTAGAATCAGAACATCATCCCTTCATTTAAAAATGAAAAATTAGTAATGCAGTGGTTCACACTTGTAATCCCATCACTTTAGGAAGTTAACTTGGGAGGACTGCTTGAGGCCAAGAGTTCAAGATCAGCCTGTGCAACAAAAAGAGACCCCTCCAATGCTAGAAAAAATAAGAAAAATATAATAAGCTGAGCGTGGTAATGCACGCCTATAGTCTCAGCTACTGGGAGGCTGAGGCAGGTGAATCCCTTGAGCACAGGGAGGCGAGGCAGCAGTGAGTCTTGATTACACCACTGCACTCCAGCCTGCGTGACACAGGGAGACCCTGCCTCTGAAAAACAAAAAATAAAAAATTAAAAAGATTAAAATAAAGATATATTAATTCATATTCTAAATAAAGAGATTCAACTATTGTTAGTAGTTAATAATAACTCACTTTTTTTTCTTTGGAGACAGAGACTTGCTCTGTCACCCGGGCTGGCGTACAGTAGCACAATCTCAGCTCACTGCAACCTCCACCTCCCAGGTTCAAGCAATTCTCCCTGCCTCAGCCTCCCCAGTAGCTGGGATTACAAGTGCCCACTACCACACCTGGCTAATTTTTGTATTTTTAGTGGAGGTGGGGTTTCGCCATGTTGGCCAGGCCGGTCTTGAACTCCTGACAGGTGATCCACCTGCCTCGGCCTCCCAAAGTGCTGGAATTACAGGCATGAGCCACCGTACCCAGCCAATAACTCACATTTATGAACTGCTCATCGTATGTCATGCACAGTTCTATTTATTTATTTATTTATTTATTTATTTATTTATTTATTTATTTATAAGAAGGAGTCTCACTCTGTCTCCCAGGCTGGAGTACGGTGGTGTGATCTTGGCTCACTGCAACCTCCACCTCCTGGGTTCAAGCAATCCTCCTGCCTCAGCCTCTTAAGTAGCTGGGACTACAGGCGCCTGCCACTATGCCTGGCTAATTTTTGTATTTTTGGTAGAGATGGGGTTTCACTATGTTGGCCAGGGTGGTCTTGAACTCCTGACTTTAGGTGATCCACCGCCTTGGCCTCCCAAAATGCTGGGATTACAGGCGTGAGCCACCAAGCCTGGCCTTTGTTCTCATTATTTAAATAATCCTCATGAGAACCCAATGATGTTGGTGACTGTTAACCTCATTTTACAGATAAGGAAACTGAGGTACAGAATAATTAAATAACTCACCCAGGTCACATGTCCGGTAAGGGTTAAAGCCACAATTTGAACTCAAACAACCTAAAATAGTTCCTTTGCTCTTAACTACTTTACTATTCTACCTATCAGTTTTCTAAGAGATGTTCAATTAACTTTTGTTTGTTTGTTTCTAAATGTTTTAACTCACAGATTAAGGTTGTTACTCTTCTCTTTCAAAACTTTTTTTTTAAAAGACTGGGCATTTCCAAACAAGGAATGCTACAAAGTTGTTAATGGTTTATTTCACAAAGGAGGTCCTTAAAATCCTATGAAAACAGACAAAGACAAACTCCTATAGCAAAGATACATATTCTTGAACTAGAGTATTCCTTTCCTCTACAAATAATTTAATGTTGAAACACTAAATTTTTAAAGCACACACACACATAAACATGTTTTAGCTCTAGGTTAAAAACAATTGTTGGCTGACAGCAAGACCAATACAAAATTATTATTAAAGTCAACAAAGTCAAGGGTGCTTAGGATACATTTTAAAGGAAACTAGGTCCTACTAGATTAAGGGCAGTTAAAAAAAAAAAAAAAAAAAGCGGTGAGTAACTAGGGCTCAGGGCATATCCCAAGATTTTTTATTCTGCTCCTCAATGGCTCTTTACTTAAAAATCATGTGATTCTTATAATGCTTTTATTTTCTTTCTTACTACCTCATGCTAGGAGAAAGAAGGAAGCCACAACCAGGCAGAGTGATGGGTGGACACATGGAAACTTCCTCACTCACTACTTGCTGCAAAAGGAATCTAGCAAATAGTGAATGAAACATCAAAATCAACCATGAATGGAACTTGCATCAGACACCCAAGGAGAACTGCAATGTATCTCTGTGAACACAGAGAACATTAGTCTGAAGAGCAAACATAAATACAAATATATTTCCGTTTTCACCAATCATCTTGAAAAACAAACATAAATACAAATATATTTCCATTTTCACCAATCATCTTGAAAGCCATAGAAGAGCCTTTCAGAAAAAAAAAAAAAAAAAAAAAAACTACTATCGCAGAAAGGAAATACTAGCCCTTTCTCAAGCGTTTGTCTTCTGAGTCTCAGAGTTACCATAATGCCTGGATACCCAGTCTCCAGGATGGAGATGTCTGTATTACATGACTTGACATGGCAGGAAAGATACAAGATAGGTTATCTCTGTGAAGCATCTCTCCTCATAAAGAATTAATGCTGCCCAGTGAAACACTTCAGAGAACAAAAGAAGGGACGTTCAACATCTGGCTAGGAGCAAAGCTAATGAGGAAGAGACCTACCATTTTCAGGTCTTCTTACAAAAGTGAATTAATAAATAGATGAGCATATCATTTGAAAAATGACAATTTATGTACTCAAAAAATACATTTTATCTCAAAATTAGTCTGAAGGTTTAGTTAATTCTTGTAGTCTCAGTCTGTACTCACAGGTATTAAATGGTATCACTGATAGTGAGAGTCAGTCTCTGTCCATTTAGATTCACTCTTTTGAGACCAATTTCATTTTTACTAATGCCAAGAATGTGTGTCAACCACAGGTAGGCACATCGTCTATTACAGTGGGATTATGACAGTCAAGTCTTAGACACGAAACAATCAGGTAGCACCACAGCACTCTTAAAAAGGACACATTAGATAAACAATAGTTTTTCCTCTTACATCCTTTGTAAAATTGAGCTACGGATTTGCAAATGAATAAATTTGCATTGAACTACATATTTCCCACTATTTCACTGTACTCTACAATTAGCTTTTAAAAGAATGATTTAAAGATCTTTCAGTGGTGTGCATATTGTTATAAATAATAATTCCCCCTTTTAAGGAACCACATTCTATCAGTATAGAGAGACAGGTATACAAATATTTGTACATATATACATGGATAGATACTTTTTTCTTTTTTCTTTAATAAGAATTACAGATGAGATCTCGCTATGTTACCCAGGCTGGTCTAACTCCTGGCCTCAAGCGATCCTCCAGCCTTGGCCTCCCAAAGCAGTGGGATTACAGGTGTGAGGCGCTGTGCCTGGCCGCCTTTTCCTTTAGAGAGAAAGAAAATCTGCCGGGCGCGGTGGCTCACACCTGTAATACCAACACTTTGGGAGGCCGAGGTGAGTGGATCACGAGGTCAGGAGATCGAGACCATCCTGGCTAACACGGTGAAACCCCATCTCTACTAAAAATACAAAAAATTAGCCGGGCGTGGTGGCAGGCGCCTGTAGTCCCAGCTGCGCAGGAGGCTGAGGCAGGAGAATGACATGAACCCGGGAGGAGGAGCTTGCAGCGAGTCGAGATCACACCACTGTACTCCAGCCTGGGCGACAGAGCGAGACTCCGTCTCAAAAAAAAAAAAAGAAAAAAAGAAAATCACAAGGCATACGACATCTCTAAAATGTCTTGCATTAACTCAGCCCACTCTTGAGCATAAAAGAATTATCAAAAGAAAGTTACCATGGAGCAGTCTTGATTACTTTAGAGACTGTACAAAGTGTTGGGCCTCAGGCAGCCAGAGGACAGGTAATGACTCGACACAGAAACATCTGGTTGGGGCTCTCACTATCCCTGCCTGGGTCACTAAAGTAGTCTCCTTCCCTCCAACCTCATTGCCACCCCATCGCCTACAAAAGTTACTTTTCTGGCCGGGCGGGCGTCGTGGCTCACGCCTGTAATCCCAGCACTTTGGAAGGCCGAGGCAGGCAGATCACCTTAGGTCAGGAGTTCAAGACCAGCCTGGACAATATGGTGAAAACCCATTTCTACTAAAAATACAAAAATTAGCCGGGCATGGTGGCAGATGCCTGTAATCCCAGCCACTTGGGAGGCTGAGGCAGGAGAATTGCTTGAACCTGGAAGGTTGAGGGTTGCAGTGAGCCGAGATCGCGCCACTGTAACTCCAGCCTGGGCAACAGAGTTTGACTCACTCAAAAAAAAAAAAAAAAAAAAAAAAAAAAAGAAAGAAAGAAGAAAGAATGAAATAAAAAAGTTACTTTTCCAAAACACAGACGCAAGTAGTCCCATGCCCAATGGCCTCTTTCACCGGTGCCCACAAACCTTATCCAGCAACATCAGCACCCAGATCTGGGAGATCTGTGCCCTTCCACCTTTGTCCCTCTTTGCTCTGTGGGGAAGGGCCCACCTCGCACCTTCCTTTTTATCCCTCTCACTAGAAAAGACCTCTCTGGGAACTCCTACTTATCCCTCAGGGCCCAAATCCAAAGGTATGTCTGGTAGGGGCCGCCCAGACGCTCCTGGGTTGCTGATCCTGAGTGAAGGGATCCTACCGCCTTCGGGGCGCTCTGCCCACTGCCCTGTGAGGTTGGGTATATACTCAGCGACCGTGGGGCTGAGGCTTTTGCAGCAAAACTAACCTTTTGTAGAATTCAAGGGCAAGTATCGCTAATAGCTCAATAGCTTAAACAAACAAAAATTAGCAGCCAATAAACGTCTGAAGAAGATGTGTGAAAGAATGAACTATACACAGTTGCAAATGGAAGTCAGTTTCAGGGAAATACATGATCCAACTCTCAGCTTCCCCATCTACTATCTGCATGACTTAGGACACAGACGTTTACATCTGAACTGTAAAATGAGGGCAAGAATACTCACTGACCACACCTCCTACAAGGATCAAGTAAGGAAATGTATGCGCAAGATCCAGCACAGCCCCAGGACTCTACACAGGAGCACTGCCTCTCACTCCGTCCCCATAGAGCTGCATGCAAAGGACCTCAGTAAGAAGCCAGGTGGCAGAGGGAAGGGTTGTATGGCTGAGCAAAAGAAAGACAAGGTAGAGAACAGCAAATAAAGGCAGAAAGGCAGGAGAAGGGAATCATGGAAGAAGGTCACTTAAGCTTAAGGGGTCTCCTTTAGCAGGAAAAGATTCGGCAACCCCAACCAAAATTATCAAAGCCGGCCAGGCGCAGTGGCTCACGCCTGTAATCCCAGCACTTTGGGAGACCGAGGTGGGTGGATCACTTGTGGCCAGGGATTTGAGACCAGCCTAAACCCTGTCTCTACTAAAAATACAAAAATTAGCCAGGTGTGGTGGCAGACGCCTGTAATCCCAGCTACTTGGGAGGCTGAGGCAGGAGAATCGCTTGAACTCGGGAGGCAGAGGTTGCAGTGACCGGAGATTGCACCACTGCACTCCAGCCTGGGAGACAGAGTGAGACTCCTTCTCAAAAATAAATAAATAAACAAATAAATAAATAAAATTATGAAAGCCATTGACTTAGTCTTTGCCAAAGAAGTGAACATCCAGACGCCTGAGTTCTGCCTCCTCTCTGTTACCCTGAGTAAGTCTTTTACACCTGGAAGCCCTCCAAACCCTTCTCTCTAAATGAGAGTTGAGGGTGCATTTCCAAGGGCGCTTCAATCCCTTCCAGTACATAACCCTGCAACTTCTCCACATAGAGAGGCCACAAGGCTTTCTTCAGTGGGCTAAAAGGAACATCATAAAATTAAGGTGAAGTCAGAATATTTGAAATGTGCTTGACTCTCAAATTCCAAGACGTAAAATTAATTAAGTCATTAGCTGATAGGCACAACTCTAGACACCTCCCAAGAGAACATGTAAATTAACTGCTTTCAAAGGAGTTAGCATTTTAAAAGCCCCCTCAGGATCTCACTAACATCTCCCCGCCCCACACTGGGCCTAAAACAACAAAGGAAAAGAGGGAGACATTTTGTTTGTTTGTTTTAGGGGTTTTCTTGTTAATTTTTTAGGAATGGAGTAAATAGTAAGATAGGATGAATATAGCAGTTCTGTGGACTGATGCCTGCCTTTCTGTAGCTTGCACAGGAATTAGAGTAGGGGAAGGTTCGGAGTATCTCTATACAATGGATATTTTTTAAACATGCTGGGAAATGGGTGTAAATTGTAGAAACAGAGCAAAAACAGAGGAAATTTCAGGTTTGGGGGAGGTGCATCTTGCAGGATCCTGCAAACAATAGGCACTTACTAACCCCCTTCCCAGTTAACAAGTAGATTTAAAGGCTTCTAAGGCTTTGCCTTAGAAGTCCTCAAATCCTGTAGGCAGAAGCTGAAGAACCATCACAATTTACCAAATGGATAAATCAGTTCTGAAAAAAGGATCTACCACACCTAACTGTATCAACAACCTTAGCAATTCCCGCTCTTAAAAACAACTTCCCTCCCCTACCTAAAAAAAGGAATGCCGTGTCTGCCAACTATGGAGTAAAGAAAAAAGGGTAAAATTCCACAGGATTCTAACTCAGTTTTGCACTTCTCAATAGAAGTCTACACATGTCACAGGGAGAAGTGACATGCTTTGAAAACCCTGGCCTACCACATGTCGTGGTGTTAGTGAACAGAATGGCACATTTCACAAGAACGCCAAGGTTTAATAGCTCAGGGCTTATAAACATGTTGCAGTTTACCATTAGTTTCCAGTGGAAGCACTGGGATTTTAATTTGCACGATGAAACTGCCCAAAATGCAGTTTCAGCCAGAGCAGAATGTATTCACATCTTTATAAATGTAACCCATTACATTACAGCAGGCACATGTGTCTTGACAGAACAATGCTTTGATGTGACTCCTGCATTTAAGAAATACATACTTTTCCCCTTTTTCTTTCAACAAAGCCATGTTCTCAGCACCCAGTTAAGTCAGGAGCACTGGAGATAGAAAAATGAGTAAGACACTGACCCTGCCCTCCAGGCACTCACAATCTAGTTAATTTTTTTTTTTTTTTGCAAGCTTGTTTTCTCTTAATTCTATATCCATTTATATATTCACTTATTAGCATTTATTTATTCTAGTACTGCTCAAACATTTTCATGCCGTAAATTATACTATTATTTCTTTTCTAAATGAGCACTTTGTTAACAATTATCTGAAAGCAACTATTTGGTGCTTAACTGTGCATGGACTGAATTAATCTAAATGCAAAATGTGTCCTAATGAACTCAAACAACCATCCTGTATTTACTGAGATCCATGACTCTGGGGCAATACTTTCACTGGGTTATAACCAACAAAATCCCCTGGGGGACAACTGCTCAATATTGCTCATTCACCTAAAAATGTTTTCACTTACTAAGCTGTGAGTTTTGTCATTTCAAAGTTCCACATACAGTATTGATAAGCTGTGTGGTTTGATTTCCACAATTAGAATAATCTGAAAAAGTAAGGTAGAACTGTGTCTGAAATCTGTTAAGGATAATGTTCAGATGTGTAATTTCCCAACTACCTCTACTGTCCTCTTCAAGTTCAGTACGGAAAAAGAATCTTGTAAGTCACATTTTACCTAAAACACACAGGATTTCTAAATGTACTGAACTACATTTCTACTGAATTCATCTGAGAGTTAACTATGGAGCGTCATGACATCAGGATCCCTACTGGAGGGGCCAGCGACCAGGGACAAGTCTAACATTGTCACTAACATGGTATGTGCCATTGGCCAAGTCACTTCACCTGTCTAGATTGATAGATGATTGCAAAATCTTATATTTTAAATAAAAAAGGAAGGAAATGGTGTCTCTTGTTTCAGTGAGAATAAAGTCAACTGTTAATTTTGTGTCTTGATGTATTTCCCCGAAGACTCAGTTTGTATAAACACTTGGATGACAGCTTTCCCTCCCTTTTAGCCTGGTGTCTCCCTGCAAGACATCTACAAAGGAGCAGTAAGCCATGTCTTCCTCTGAATTTTACTAAGGAACAATCTCCATGCCTGTTTACCCCAGATAAACAAGAGGAAAACATGAGCAAACACAACCTGTCTGGGACAGGCTTTACGTTCTTCCCAGCCTGATCCTGAATGATTAGCTGAAGTACATATTTTCTTTGCTCCTGCATCTGCCCTTTCAATAGCAGGTTTGAGCTTCTGAAGCCCCACCCCATCTTTTAACTCAGCCAAAGAACACTCCACTACAACTGACCCAACAGTGCTGGAATCTGTCAGGGAAGGGAAAGCAAATCTGCAGAAAATGCCACTGGCCAACCCTCTTCCCCAAAAGAACCCTCAGCCCAAGTTTCATTTAAACAGGCCCCCAATCCTCCCCGCCCCCAGCCCAACGCCCTAGAGTAAGGGATACAATGGGATATTATCAAACCAATTTCCTCAGTGACTGAAAACTTAGAACTGGATCTAGACAAGAAATAACAGGATAACTTAAAAACAGTCTATCGGGCGCGGTGGCTCACGCCTGTAATCCCAGCACTTTGGGAGGCCGAGGTGGGCAGATCACAAGGTCAGGAGTTCGAGACCAGCCTGGCTAACATGGTGAAACCCCGTCTCTACTAAAAATACAAAAATCAGCCGGGTGTGGTGTTGCGCGCCTGTAATCCCAGCTACTCAGGAGGCTGAGGCAGGAAAATTGCTTGAACTCAGGAGGCGGAGGTTGCAGTGAGCTGAGCTCGTGCCACTGCACCCCAGCCTGGGCGACGGAGCAAGACTTCGTCTCAAAAAAAAAAAAAAAAAAGAAAAGAAAAAGTTTATCACAACTTTAAAATGTCCATTAGGTTTTCTGGAACTTCAGTGAAGGATCATATTCATCTGTATACTTCAGAAAATGCAAAAACAAAACCTTTTAAATCTAAAATATATATTAGATTTAGGTATATTATATACATGTGCTATATATAGTATGTAAATATACATTGCATGCATATTTATATACATTTTTCAATACTGGAGAGTGACAAGAGCAGATAGAAATCTTTAACCAACGCTCGCTGGTTCTCTGTATAGTAAGAATCATAAATACCAATGGTCACCTGAAAATGGAGTAACTGGGCTTTTAGGATGTCCAGAAGGAAGAGACAGGAGACTTTGCAGGAAACAAATAAAACCTGAAAGACAGCTACACTTATTGAGCCTCTACTATATGCTATACAGTCTGCTGAGTACTTGATACACACATCAACCCAGCTAAATCTCAGAAACCCCAAGAAGCAAGTCTTCTTTTCTTCAATTTTCAGGTGATGAAACTGAGGATCAGAGAGGTTGAATGACTTGGCCAAGATCATGTAAACAGTCAATTGGAGAGCTGGCATTTGACCTAGTATAACTTACTTTGAAGCCCAAGAGTTTAATCACTGTGCTAAAAACTGTACACGGTTTATCATTCCCAAAGAAGAACTTTCACTCCATCTCCTCCCACTCAAAAAATATAAGATCTCAAAGCAAATCTAGAGACTTTTCTGATAATCTGCACATCTGGCCATTCCAAGTCTTTAAACTAAAGTTGTCTTTTATGTATGGATTAAGATGTCTGACTGTAATAAACCTCGCCCATCTGATTCCAGTCTACCTGCCTAACTACAGCTCCACCAAAGCAAATCTATTACTTCCCCAAGGTATTCAACCCTGAGCAGGTTAAAACTTCACCCTCCATACAGAAGAACTGCTTCCCAGAGACTATGCCAAATCCAGGGGCGCTTTTAGTCACTGGACATTTCAAAATACATGACAGCACAGATTTAGCAAAATAAGTCCTATTGTTTTAGCCCCAAACATATAAAACAAATATCCTGTAACTCCACAAATTGAAAAACTGCAAAAAAAAGTAGGCAAACATTTTGGCAGTTCTGAGTAAGGAAATGTTTGTTTTCCCTCTTGTGGTCACACAACAAATGGTGAAGAGATAAACATCAGTAACATCAGCCTTTTCCCTAATCCAGCACCAACCAAATATTTATTTACATCTACTTTTTGAAGGCCTCTTTCTCGCCTTTTCCACACCAACATGTCAGCAGGTGTCCCAGATTAAACTGTTGAATATCATACCCGATTGTTTAAAAAACACCTTTTGACGGGACCTGTGGCTGGTTATTTTTTAATTAGGGTTTGAAATCCTATACTGTGTGTATTTAGCCCCCTAAGAACTAGAGCCAGAGAAGGACGCCTCTGCGGAGTGGGTTGCCCAGTGGGTGGGCGAGAAGGGAGCCCCCGGTTTCAGAGGGGCTGCTGCGAACTGTACTTCCTGCGCCGCCCCCTCCCCAGGTAACTTACCAGGATACCCATCACGTCGGTCCAGAGTCGGGAGAACGCCTCGGATGTGCCAGCACCCGGCTTGGGCTCCGGTTCCGGCTCCGGCGCGGGCTCGGGCTCCGGCTCGGGCTCGGGCTCAGGCTCCGGCCCCGGGCCAGCTGCTCCCGCGTCCTCCATGGCCGTGTCCCGCGCGCGGGCCGTGCGTCCCAGTCCCCGCGGCGCCCTCGCCCCGCACCCGCGCGCAGCCTGCCCGGATGCCGGGTCCCCGCCCGCGGCGTCACCGAGCCGCGCCCCCGCGCTGCATGCCCCGGCGGCCCCGGCCACCCCGCGGGGGCCCTTCGCAGGCGCCCGCACCTCGGGTCTAGGTGGCCACGGGCTGCGCGACTGACAACTCCAGAAACTTTCCCACCCCGCTCGGCGCAGCAACAGGGTAGCAGGAGGCAAAGTCCGCACCACTGAGTTGTACGGCGGGGAATTCGCTCGGCCCAGAAGCAATTAAACCCACTGCAAAGGCGTTTCTTCCTGTGACGGGAACCAACTAACTAAGGCACGCGACTCGTTCCTTCTAGCAAGTCTTGGCAGGACCCGGCAGGGGTGGCCGCGGAGCCTCTAGATCTTGGAGGGAGCTCCCCGGGACCCCTCTCTTCAAAATGAGCTCTTCCAGCTCCACATGACTCTCTCCCTCGAGGCTAAAGAAAGCGTTTAGCAACAAAAGGTGCTCTGATGTCAGGCTCTTTGCATGGAAATGAGCCTCGGACAGGAGAACAAATCGCCTGTTGAAAGAGCAGCCGCGCCGCGGTCTCCGGCCCGCACAAGTTTCCAATCACGCTATTCACGGAAACGCTTTTGGTAACGGAAACCCGAGAAAGTTAATCTTTAAGCGACTCCCGCCCAAAGGCTTCACAAGTAGTCCGTGTCGCTACAATGCATACCTCGCCCCTCGTGAAGTCAAGCGACCCAAGGAATTACAAATCCTGCCTCTGCCAGCCAAGACTTCTCTGCAAAACAAGTGTGAAAGCTTGGGCACGAGCCATTGTTTGGATCATTTTTTATGAGTGGGGGCATTTTGGCTCCTGAATGCCCACAATGCCATGCATTGCTAGGGCTTTCGGCTAATTAAGGGAAATGCGCTTTGGGTTTTAATTATTCCTTTACATTAGGGACACAGGGAAGGGCTATTTTCGAAACTAAATTCAAATGATTGTGTAGCCAGTCAGCCTACACACACTTGGGGCCCTGTGTGTGTTTTTCCAAGGGGAAGCCCCAGGACAGATTTATTTTATAAGGGAACTAGCCCTGGAGAGGTGATTTTTCCCTTTTGTGATTCTATCTTTCAAGACTACTCAGAGTTTTCCTTGGAAGGTGACAATGCACGTCACATTCGATTTGGTGATTGATCACTTTTGAAACAGTTAAGAAACCACATGGAGTTTGCTCCTCTGTTAGGGCCTTGTGGTTTAAAAGGAAAAAAAAAAGTGAGATGCCCCAGGGAGAGAGCCCTGCTTGTTTTGAGGCCTCTCCTGTTTCTTGTTGATTGTGGGGTTTTTTTTGTTTGTTTGTTTGTTTTGTTTTGTTTTGTTTTGTTTTCCTTCTGAGTCCACTTGAAAGGGGATAAGAGCATGTCCTTGAATTCCCCTTGTTCAAGTATTAAGTGCTGTGAGCACCAATCAATGCAATGGGTGAATAGTCCTTACAGGAAAGTTCAAAATGTAAAAACATTTTCAAAAGTAACTAAATTTATAAACACAATCCCTGATAATTTTTGTGTGTTTTTGGCGGGTGCGGGGCTGGCGCCTGTAATCCCAGCACTTTGGGAGGCTGAGGCGGGCGAATCACTTGAGGCCAGGATTTTGAGAACAGCCTGGTCAACACAGCAAAACCCTGTCTCTACTAAAAATACAAAAAAAAAAAAAACAAAAAAAAAAAACAAAACATAGCAAGAGTGTTGGAACATGCCTGTAATCCCAGCTACTCAGGAGGCTGAGGCAGGAGAATAGCTTGAACCCAGGAGGCGAAGGTTACAGTGAGGTCCTGCTGCTGCACTCCAGCCTGGGTGACAGAGGAAGACTCTCTGTCTCCAAAGAAAAAAAAAGTATGCTGAAAAATTTTTTTAGAGACAAGGTCCTGCTCTCTCACCCCGGCAGTGCAGTGCTGCAATCGTAGCTCACTGCGGCCTTGAACTCCTGGGCTCAAGCAATCCTCCTGCCTCAACCACCTGAGTAGCAGGGACTACAGGCACACCGCTGCACCAGACTAATTTTTTAAATTTTTTATAGAGACATGATCTCTTGCTGTTGCCCAAGGTGGTCTCAAACTCCTGGACTCAAGGGATCCTCCCTCCTTGGTCTCCTCAAGTGCTGGGATTATAGGCATGAGCCACTGCGCACAGTCTCTGACGATAATGTTTGTGAAAGGAAACCAAAAGAATTATTAAATTTCTCCTTAATAGCATTGAGGCATTGTGTTGAAGTAGAAAGAGCACTGAACTATGAGTCAGTACAGCCAGGTCTTGTGCTTTCCTAGGCTGATGCCGGAGTTAGGCCAGATGGGTTTTCAAGGCTCCCTCGTGCTCTGTGATACTTTGAATAAAAATAAATTCAGTTAAGGCTGATGAGGTTTTTTTAATTGTCATTTCTATAAATAGATAAATATAAGTAAATGATAGGAAAAGATAAATAGCCTTTACAGTTGACTGTATTGGTATATTTAAGAATTTGAATTTATTCACCACGTGATACTTTTTTTTTTTTTTTTGAGACAGAGTCTTGCTCTGTCACCCTGTCGCCCAGGCTGGAGTGCAGTGGCACCATCTTGGTTCACTGCAACCTCTGCCTCCCAGGTTCAAGCGATTCTCCTGCATCAGCCTCCTGAGTAGCTGGGATTACAGGCATGCACCACCACGCCTGGCTAATTTTTGTATTTTTAGTAGAGACGGGGTTTCACCATATTGGTCAGGCTGGTCTCGAACTCCTGACCTCATGATCCACCCGCCTCAGCCTCCCAAAGTGCTGGGATTACAGGCATGAGCCACCGTGCCTGGCCTGGTACTTTCTTAAATTTAAGAAGATGCAGAGGACTGTGCTGCTTCCAAGGGGCAGCCTGTTCTCTACATAAACACTTTCCAGCAAATAACTCAGCAAGGAGCCAGGCAAGCCGGGCAGTTGGGGCTGGGGTTAGGATGAAGCCTGACTCTCCAGCACCAATCCAGAATCATTTTCTTCTTGACTCATCAGATGACCTGGGGCAAAGCATTTGACCTGGTGCTAGTTTCCCCATCCAAGATGAGGCAAGGCCATACTAATGGCCACCTGCTTCTTCACAGGTTATAGTATGTTTCAGGGTCATCTAAAGACACGTACAGTTTAGTGACAACACATACCCGCATCAGTGTAATTAAACGGGCCGGGCATGGTGGCTCATGCCTGTAATCTCAGCACTTTGGGAGACTGAGGCAGGCACATCACTTGAGGCCAGGAGTTCGAGACCAGCCTGGCCAACATGACAAAACCCCATCTCTACTAAAAATATAAAACTTAGCCAGGCATGGTGGCACACACCTGTAGTCCCAGCTACTTGGGAGGCTGAGACAGGAGAATCGCTTAAACCTGGGAAGTGGAGGTTGCAGTGAGCCACTGCACTCAGCCTGGACGACAGAGCGAGACTCCATCTCAAAAAATACATCTATATAGATATTTATATAGATATCTATATTTATAATTATATATCTATATATATACACACACATATAATTAAACCTTAGCCAGCATTTTGGCACTTATAGAAATCAACCTATTCTAGATATTTAAGCTGTTTTTCCTGGTGCTTCTTAATCAATGGATAGGGAAATGAGATAATGTTTTGGGAGAAATGTTGATGCCTATACATAGAATGTGAAATTTGAGGCCAGGCATGGTTACTCATTCCTGTAATCCCAGCACTTTGGGAGGCCGAGGCAGAAGGATCATCTGAGGTCAGCAGTTTGAGACCATCCTGGCCAACATGGTGAAACCTCGTCTCTACTAGAAATACAAAAATTAGCTGGGCATGGCAGCATGTGGCCTGTAGTCCCAGCTACTTTCTACTTATCAATTTCCATGTGTTAACTCAACATGATCTGATTACCACTCCCAAGATTGACGACTCTTTTCTCTCTTAGTTAATGTCACTTGTCACTCCTTTCTTCTAAAATTTCCTTCAGGGGCTTTTTATCTCTCTCTCTCTTTTTTTTTTTTTTTTTTTTAAAGACAGAGTCTCGCTCATTGCCCAGGCTGGAGTGCAGTGGCCCGATTTCGGCTCACTGCAATCTCCCCCTCCTGGGTTCAAGCAATTCTCCTGCCTCATCCTCCCAAGTAGCTGGGACTACAGGAGCCTGCCACCACGCCCGGCTAATTTTTGGATTTTTAGTAGAAATGGGGTTTCACCATGTTGGCCAGGCTGGCCTCAAACTCCTGACCTCAGGTGATCCACCTGCCTCGGCCTCCCAAAGTGCTGGGATTACAGAGATGAGCCAAGGCTCCTGGCCCTTCAGGGGCTTTTTAACAAAGTTGTCCTTTCCTTATAAAGAAATCACCATCATCATCATCATCACAACTTCAGAGTCATATAGGATATCATTTACCAAGAACGTTTTATATTAGAATTCTACCTCATGGAAATGGAAAAGGGCCTCGAAAAAGATCTAGGTCAAATCCTTCATTTTACAGATGAGGAAGTAGGCTCCAGAGAACTTGAATGATAAGTCCAAGTGAACACAGCTACATGGGGCAGAATCAAAGTAAGAACAAACTGATTTATATTATCATCTTTTTTTTTTTTTTTGAGATGGAGTCTCACTCTGTTGCCCAGGATGTAGTGCAGTGGCGTGATCTTGGCTCACTGTAACCTCTGTCTCCTGGGTTCAAGTGATTCTTGTGCCTCAGTCTCCCCAGTAGCTAGGATTACAGGCACGTGCCACCATGCCAGGCTAATTTTTGTATTTTTAGTAGAGACGGGATTTCACCATGTTGGCCAGGCTGGTCTCGAACTCCTGACCGAGTTCGAGTGATCCGCCCACCTTGGCCTCCCAAAGTGGTGGGATTACAGGCGTGAGCCACTGCACCAGACCCAAACTGATTATTTTAAAAGTCTTTTCATCTGTATCATACTCCATTTGATTCCCACAAAGTTCTTCAAGGCAGGGAAGTGTAGATATTCCATTGAAGATGGGTATACCGGAATCCTACTCCCCTTTTTCTCTTACCATCAGGAATCTCATCCAACTCATTGAAATCGTCCTTCTGTGGGTGAGTGAATTCCAAGGAAAGTGACGTAGAAGATTTTTCTAGACTTCTAGTAGAGATGCAAAAGTTGATTACAGAATCAATTCTGTGGCTCATAATAAACATTTGTTGTCACAAATGAGTGAAAACTATCACCATAATGCATTCATTAAGAATGTTGATAATTTAGCAATCTCTGTTATTTATTGGAAATTAGTCTCCATCATATTGTTGCACAGATAAGTGTACAACACATATATACATATACACACGTATGTACAGATAAATGTTTACACTGGCTTGCTTTGTAAAAACTTGTTCTTAGGGCCAGGCACAGTGGCTCACGTCTGTAATCCCGGCACTTTGAGAGGCCCAGGCAGGCGGATCACCTGAGCTCAGGAGTTCAAGACCAGTCTGGCCAACATGGTGAAACCTCGTCTCTATAAAAAATACAGAAATTAAGGGCCAGGCATGGTGGCTCACGCCTGTAATCCCACCACTTTGGGAGGCCGAGGTGGGCGGATCACGAGGTCAGGAGATCGAGACCATCCTGGCTAACGTGGTGAAACCCCATCTCTACTAAAAATACAAAAAAATTTGCCAGGCGTGGTGGCGGGCGCCTGTAGTCCCAGCTATTTGGGAGGCTGAAGCAGGAGAATGGCATGAACCTGGGAGGCGGAGCTTGCAGTGAGCCGAGATTGCGTCATTGCACTGCAGCCTGGGTGACAGAACGAGACTCCATCTCAAAAAAAAAAAAAAAAAATTAGCTGGATGTAGTGGTGGGCACCTGTGGTCCCAGCTATGGGAGGCTGAGGCTGGAGGATCACTTTAGCCCGAGAGGCGGAGGTTGCAGTGAGCCGAGATTGCACCATTGCACTGCAGCCTGGCAACAGAGCGAGACTCTGTCCCAAACAAAACAAAACAAAAACTTGTTCTTAACTGTGGGCCAGAATTACAAAAGTTTAAAAGCCATTAGTCTACAAGTTGTGGGGTATTTAGAGTATAGGTACAGCCTATTTAGGTCATTATGTCAACATACGAAATGTAATTAGTTTTCCGCTGGGCAGGGTTAAAGTAAGGTAAAATAGAGATCAGGCCTGCAGAATCCCTGCGAAGACAAAACCACTTAGTGAACTCAACCTTTCTTGATTTGCAAACCTAAGGAAAACTTAACTTGAGCTAACTCTTACAAATGCCTGTATTACAGAAAAACAGAACTTAAGCTCAACCAATCAGAGGTAGCCAACAAACTTTCATAATTAGGAACTTTCATAGGAGATCAATCAAATAAGGCAATTGTGTAATTATATCCAATCAAATGTTTGCTTTGCTTTACCTCTGTTTCTGTCTTATAAAGGCCTCCCCATAGATTCCCTTGGTGGAGTTCCTGAACCACTTCTGGTTTAGAGCTGTCAAGTCCATGAAATGTTGTTTGCTCAAATAAACTCTATTAAAATGTTTATTGTGCCCCCATTTACCTCTTTAGCAGCAGTAAAGATACAGTTTCAGGGCCGGGCATGGTGGCTCACGCCTGTAATCCCAGCACTTTGGGAGGCTGAGGCGGGCGGATCACCTGAGGTCGGGAGTTTGAGACCAGCCTGGCCAACATGGTAAAACCCCGTTTCTACTAAAAATACAAAAAAATTTAATGGGCGTGGAGGCAGGCACCTGTAATCCCAGCTACTCGGGAGGCTGAGGCAGGAGAATCTCTTGAACCAGGTAGGTAGAGCTCGCAGTGAGCCGAGATCTTGCCACTGCACTCCAGCCTGGGTGAGACTCTGTCTCAAAAAAAAAAAAAAAAAAAAAAAAAGGATGCAGTTTCATAATAGAAAGCACAAATGTAATGAGGTCAAGACAAAGCTAGGTTTTCCATTTTTACTCAAGTTCCTATATTGGGCCAGTTGTTTATCTTATCTGTGAAATGGGAAAATTCCACTTATTTGATACAGTTGTGAGGTTATCTGTGATGACACAGGCACCTTGATAAATTATAATTCATCATTATAACCTTTCTCTTTTTACCCTCTTTTTGTTTTTCCTTCCCCTACCACTCATCCAATGAGGCTGTATCTATAAATAGGAAATTTCCTTGTTCATACCTACGTCTCTGTGATCATGAAGAGGAGTCAACTCTAGCTCTGGAATGCCGTTGCTGAGTAATGGAGCTGGGAGTTTACCTCGGGTGGGGCGGGGTGATTAGGATGCTTCAGTTTTCATAGTAAAGGTATTAACAGCAGCAGTAACCATCGCTGTCATCATTTATGGAAAACCTACTCTCTGCCAGGCATTGAGCTGAGGTTCAGATGTATTTCAGTGAAACTTTCACATTCCTCAAATGGAATTTATGATTTCCTACCATGATCCAACCCTCCCTCCCTGCTCCTTTCTTGCTTCAGTTTTCGGATATATCCATTCATTTATTCAAACTACCAACTTCATCCTTCCCTTCCCTCACCATCTCTGTGATCCAAACCACAGATAAGCCCTGCTGATTTGAATTCTTTTTTTTTTTTTTTTTTTTTGAGACAGAGTCTCACGCTGTTGCCCAGGCTGGAGTGCAATGGCGCGATCTCGGCTCACTGCAACCTCCACCTCCCGGGTTCAAGCAATTCCCCTGCCTCAGCCTCCTGAGTAGCAGGAATTACAGGTGACCCCTACCATGCCCGGCTAATTTTTTTTTTTTTTTCCTGAGACAGAGTCTGGCTCTGTTGCCCAAGCTGGAGTGCAGTGGTGCGATCTCAGCTCACTGCAACCTCTGCTTCCCGGGTTCAAATGATTCTCCTGCCTCAGCCTCGCAAGTAGCTAGGATTACAGGCACATGCCACCACACCTGGCTAATGTTTGTATTTTTAGTACAGACAGGGTTTCACCATGTTGGCCAGGCTGGTCTCAAACTCCCGACCTCAGGTGATCCACCTGCCTCGGCCTCCCATAGTGCTGGGATTACAAGTGTGAGCCACCACGCCCGGCCTCAAATTCTTTTTTTCTTTTCTTTTCTTTTTTTTTTTTTTTTGAGATGGAGTCTCACTCTGTTGCCCAGGCTGGAGTGCAGTGGTGTGATCTCGGCTCACTGCAACTCTGCCTCCCGGGTTCAAGTGATTCTCCCTACCTCAGCCTCCCGAGTAGCTGGAATTACAGGTTCCCGCTACCATACCTGGCTAATTTTTTTTTCCCTGAGATGGAGTGTTGCTCTGTTGCCCAGGCTGGAGTGCAGTGGTGCGATCTCGGCTCACTGCAACCTCTGCTTCCTGGGTTCAAGTGATTCTCCTGCCTCAGCCTCCCCAGTAGCTAGGATTACACGCGCGTGCCACCACACCTGGCTAATTTTTGTATTTTTAGTAGAGATGGGGTTTCACCATGTTGGCCAGGCTGGTCTCGAAGTCCTGACCTCAGGTGATCCGCCTGCCTCGGCCTCCCAAAGTGCTGCGATTACAGGTGTGAGCCACTGCACCCGGCCTCGAATTCTTAAATTAGGCCAAAGTCATCCACTTCCCTTCACCTCCATTACCATCACTGGAGACCACACTGCTATTATCTCTTTTTTTTTTTTTTTTTTTTTGAGACGGAGTCTCGCTCTGTGGCCCAGGCGGGAGTGCAGTGGCGCAATCTCGGCTCACTGCAAGCTCCGCCTCCCGGGTTCACGCCATTCTCCTGCCTCAGCCTCCCGAGTAGCTGGGACTACAGGCGCCCGCCATCACGCCCGGCTAATTTTTTTTTTGTATTTTTAGTAGAGACAGGGTTTCACCGTGTTAGCCAGGATGGTCTCGATCTCCTGACCTCGTGATCCACCCGCCTCGGCCTCCCAAAGTGCTGGGATTACAAGCGTGAGCCAGCCGCGCCCGGCCTGCTATTATCTCTTAAAATATTTTATTGCAGATGGCTCACACCTGTAATCCCAGCACTTTGGGAGGCCGAGGCAGGCGGATCACGAGGTCAGCAGATCGAGACCATCCTGGCTAACACGGTGAACCCCCGTCTCTACTAAAAATACAAAAAATTAGCCAGTCGTGGTGGTGGGCTCCTATAGTCCCAGCTACTTGAGAGGTTGAGGCAGGAGAATTGCTTGAACCCAAGAGGCAGAGCTTGCAGTGAGCTGAGATCACGCCACTGCAGTCCAGCCTGGGCGACACAGCGTGACTGTGTCTAAAAAAGAAGGATATTTTATCTAGCTGGGCGCAGTGGCAGATCACCTGAGGTCGGGAATTTGAGACCAGCCTGACCAACATGGAGAAACCCCATCTCTACTAAAAATACAAAATTAGTCAGGTGTGGTGGCGCATGCCTGTAATCCCAGCTACTCAGGAGGCTGAGGCAGGAGAATCGCTTAAACCCGGCAGGCAGAGGTTGTGGTGAGCCGAGATCGCGCCATTGCACTCCAGCCTGGGCGACAGAGTAAGACTCCATCTCAACAACAACAACAGCGACAACGATATTTTATCTAGAGCAGTGCTTCTCAAAGTACATGCCCACAACTCAATCATTAGCATCACCAAGGAATTTGTTACAAATGCAAATTTCCCGGCCCCACCTCAAGCCTTCTACTGAGTCACTCTGGGAGTGGTACCACCAATTTGTTTTTTGATTTTTTGTTTGTTTCAGAAAGGGTCTCCCTCTGTCACCCAGTCTGGAGTGCAGTGGCTTGAACACCTGGGCTCAAGGGATCCTCCCACCTTAGGCTCCCAAGTAGCTGGAACTACAGGCATGCACCACCATGCCTGGCTAATTTTATTATTATTATTATTATTTTTTGTAGACACAGAGTCTCCCTATGTTGCCCAGGCTGGTCTCGAACTCCTTGGGCTAAAGCAAGCAATCTGTTTTTTAACAAGTTCCCCAGAGGATAGTGACTAGTGCTCAAATTTGAAAGCCCCTGCAGACTATAGGTATGTCAGAGTAAGGAAGAGGAGCTGAGGAAATGTGAAGTTTTAAAATAGAATACAGTGTATTAAAAAATCTATACCAGCAGATTGTTTTTATTTTTATTTCTTCATGTATTTTTTGAGAAGGAGTCTCGCTCTGTTGCCTAGCCTGGAGTGCAGTGCCACAATCTCGGCTCACTGCAACCTCCACCTCCCGGGTTCAAGGGATTCTCCTGCCTCAGTGTCTTAAGTAGTTGGGATTACAGGTGCACGCCACCAAGCCCAGCTAATTTTTTGTATTTTTAGTAGAGATGGGGTTTTACCATGTTGGTCTGGCTGGTCTCGAACTCCTGACCTCGGTGATCCGCCCGCCTCAGCCTCCCAAAGCGCTGGAATTACATGCATGAGCCACCGCACCCGGCCAGTAGATTATTTTTAAAAACTCACTGGCAAAATAACTAACTTACCATGAGACAAGTGAATGAAGAAATCAGGTATTTGGAGATATTTGGTTGTATCCTTTTTTTTTTTTAAAGCTCTGTTGGATTTGAGATACTTGGTTTTAAAGGGCAGACGATTAAATATTGAAATTAAAATGCATTCTCCCTTAGAATAGCATATGTTTTAGGAACACAGATTCATTTAAATACTTGTTATTTGTTACAGACGACAACAACACATTTTCTGCTTATAGCAGAGATTAAATCTGAAAGATTATAAATAGTCCAATTTATTTTTTACCATAGTTCCTGCTGCTGAAATTGAGCAATGAAAGTATATAAGCTCATTTAATTTTTGCCTACAGTCAGCAATCCTTTCTGGCACTCCTACATGGGGCATTCCACAATGCCTTGGGGGAACTGACTTCAAGGAAAGACTGATAGGTTAAAACATTTTCCCCATCACAAATCCACACCATTTTTTTTTTCCCCCACAAATGCCTTACAGGTGAGCCAAACCCATGCTAAAGCATTACCTGTTAAAAAGCCCTTCATCAGGGAGTGTTTGGTGAAAGAAGTGGGAGAAGAGCTAAGAGCAAACTAAAGAGAAATTAAAACAAAGTGCAGACAGCAGAACAGGCTAGGGAGAGAAGGGAAATAAACAAAGTGAGGCTGCAGGGATGTAAATCCTTTTCTCTGGGCTGGGTAGGGCAGGGGGGAACACACCTGTAATCCCAGCACTTTGGGAGGCTGAGGCAGAAGGATCACTTGAGCCTGGGAGTTCCAGACCAGCCTGGGCAACAAAGTGAGGTCCCGTCTCTACAAAAAATTAACCAGGCACTATAGCATGTCCCTGTAGTCCTAGCTACTGGGGAGGCTGAGGTGGGAGGATCACCTGAGCCTGAGAGGTCAAGGCTGCAATGAGCCATGATTGTACCACTGCAGTTCAAGTTGGGTCACAAAGCAGAAAATTTTTCTCTGAAATGTTTTATTCTACTCTGATAGGCAATAGCCAGTTAGGTTTTCATCTGTGTTGATGCTGTGTAAAGACCAAGTTCTGGCTGGGTGCGGTGGCTGACACCTGTAATCCTAGCACTTTGGGAGGCTGAGGTGGGCGGATCACGAGGTCAGGAGTTAGAGACCAGCCTGGCCAACATGATGAAACCCTGTCTCTACTGAAAATACAAAAACTTAGCGGGGCATGGTAGCAGGAACCTGTAATCCCAGCCACTTGGGAGGCTGAGGCAGGAGAATCACTTGAACCCGGGAGGCAGAGGTTGCAGTGAGCCAAGACCGTGCCATTGCACCCCAGCCTGGGTGACAGAGTGAGACTCCAGTCTCAAACAAACAAACAAACAAAAACACAAGTTCTGCCTGGGAATTATTCCATCAATAATATCACAACAGGTATTTATTTTATTATACACAGCGGGTTCAGACTAGATTTCTAAAGCCACTTGTAATTCTGAACTATGAAGATTCGGAAAAATTTGGTAACACATTATAGACAAGAAGCAAATTTCTGGCAAGATCTATACAGATGCCCATGAGGATCAAAAAAGTGGGCTATGTGAATTGCATCCCATACTGTTTAAGGCAGGAACCAAGAGACTTCAACTCACCATTGAGTTACTTCTGAATTAAGATGAGAACAGCCTCTCCTACAGAGAACCGTAAGATTATATGAAAGCCACCCGACACTTAGGAGAAGAAAAAAAGGAAACACTGAGGGAAATGATCTTTAGAATCACACTTCCTGCTATTTCTCTTTTTTGCTTAGGAGATACAAAAAATAAAAAAGGGGCCAGGCACGGTAGCTCACACCTGTAATCCCAGCACTTTGGGAGGCCGAGGCTGGCAGATCACCTGAGGTCAGGAGTTCGAGACCAGCCTGGCCAACATGGCGAAACCCCATCTCTGCTAAAAATAAAAAAATTAGCCGGTCGTGGTGGCAGGCGCCTCTAATCCTAGCTACTTGGGAGGGTGAGGCAGGAGAATCGCTTGAACTGGGGAAGTGGAGGTTGCAGTGAGCAGAGATCGTGCCATTGCACTCCAGCCTGGGCGACAAGAGGGAAACTCCATCTCAGAAAAAATAAAAAAGTAAAAATAAAAAGGAATGTGTTAATAAGAGACCAGAGATTGTTAACTGTTTCCAAGTTATGTAAGAAAAGACTTAAAAGTGCAGCTGGGAAGTATCCATCAACCAAATTGATTTATCAATCTTGTCTTCTAATAAACTTTACCCTATGAGAATGTCCACTTGGCTGTCTCTCTTGCTCTTAAACATGGTTATGGAAAATATTTTTTTCCAATAAATTTTAAAGCTCCAGTTAAAACTCTTGCTCTGCTTCTTTGAGGTGCCATCGTGTTATGTGCATAGAACAAAAGATTCTCACTCACGTAATTAATCCCAGGAAACAGAGGATCATTACAGTCTTATCCAGAGTTGATGTATGCTTGCACAATACTTTGGGTGAACAACAACACCACACGTATGATTAATGACATTTGCATGAGTATTTTTAAAAAAGGCAGTGAGCTGAATATAACATTCTGGGAAAAGTATGTGTTGAGTCATTATAAAGCAAAGTTCGATATCCTTTTTTACTACTCATTTTTTAAGTCACAGATCTACCAGATAATTACTTGAGGAAGACCCATGAGTGCCAGATGCATGGTGGAGCCCTGAGGTTAACCCTGTTTGTGTCTGTTCTCTGTCTTTCATGGAAATGCCAACATTTTTGTATTAGAGTAGCATGATTTTTATACTAGTAAAATTCATCTGCCAGCCCTTACAAAGAGACACTCCCATTCCTGTTCCTGAAAAAAAAAGAAAGAAAACTCAACTTTTCCCTCAGCTGTAAAATTCCATTGTTTCAGAATCTCAGAAACATATATCTTTCTTCTCACGCCATCTAACTCTTCTCCTTACCAAATATAGTAAGTCATAGGGACTCGCCCCTGTTGTTGAAGGCCATGTTCCTCTCTAGAGTACTTTCCTTCTAATTGCATTTTTTGTGACACACACGGATGCACAGACACACACACATACACACTCACACACACAAAGGCTTAGTTATCTCAGTTCTTCTGAGCTGTCTTATACAATTGAAGATATAAATAAATGAACTCTATGAAGAAATCATCAAAAGAGGTGGCACTGTGGCAATGTCTTCAATGAGTTTCTCACATATGGAGAGAGAAGCTTCAAGTGACAGGACATTGGGGTCATGGTTATTTCTTTAAATAGTGCCTTGGTCTAGCTTAGTGAAACAATTCCCTGTTAAGGGAAGTACATAGCATGCTCTGCTCCTATGGCTAGTGCTGGCCTGAATGAGGTTTGAAATCTAAAAGACATATTAATATGGGTGAGCAGGCACCAGATTTTCTGCACCATTTCCCTCTCAATGAACACAATTCTTTTTTAAAGGGATTGTCTAGGCATAATTTTTTTCCTATGCCTTATAAATGAAACAACTAGGTGCTAGCTATCTAATGAATGTTCTCAAAAATCAGATGATGTTGATTCCAATAGCAAAGAGACACTTAACAAAGAAGCCTTGTTCTAGAAATGAGGTCATTTGGACAGTCTATCCATTAAGAAAAAGCCTATTTTGCTTTCAGAGGTCACCTATTGGGGCAGGAAATCCATCTTTCAGCCAGTGAACTAACATCTGGCCTAAGTCTTCTAAGCTGAAATGTCAATTTCCTGATCTGAATGGAACACACATGAAAGGAAGAAGATGAAAAATACAGATCCTCATGTGCTAAAGAATTCTTCAGCAGCAGCACAGATAAAGATTCTCCAAAAAAGAGCTACTTTTTAGTGATCAAAACCAACAAAAATAGTAAAATGCTTGTATGAAATATTTTCTTCTGTAATAATGTAAAGATAAATGACAGCAAGGGGACAAATCAATCATTCACTGGTAAATCAAAAAATAAATCTACTTTAATTTAGACCAACTAATCACAATTTATGGTGGTTTATCCCAGGCTGGGTAAGTTTTACTTCTGTGCTGAGAAATGGGAGCAGGAGCAAGCTTACTAGGTGCAAAAGTAATCACAGGTCTTGCCACTATTTTTTTTTTTTTTGAGATGGAGTCTTGCTCTGTCACCCAGGCTGGAGTGCAGTGGCAAGATCTTGACTCACTGCAAACTCCACCTCCCGGGTTCAAGCAATTCTCCTGCCTCAGCCTCCTGAGTATCTGGGATTACAGGTGCCCACCACTGCGCCTGGCTAATTTTTGTATTTTTAGTAGAGATGGGGTTTCACCATGTTAGCCAGGCCGGTCTCGAACTCCTGACCTTGTGATCTGCCTGCCTCTGCCAAAGTGCTGGGATTACAGGCGTGAGCCACCGCGCCCGGCCTCACTATTTTTAACTAATAATTAAATTACTAGGATATAACTTGAAGAGAACTGAGAAGGTCTTTAACCTACATAAGAAAGTAATTTTTAAAAGCTGTTTAAAAGTACCATAAAATAGCCAGGCACAGCACGCCTGTAGTCCCAACTACTTGGGAGGTTAAGGCTGGAGAATCACTCGAGGCCAACCGTTCAAGGCTGCAGTGTGCTCTAATCGCATGTGTGAGTAGTCACCGCACTTCAGCCTAGGCAACAAAGTGAGACCCCATCCCTTAAACGAAAAACTGCCATAAAACACTTCACGTATAATTCTCTAATTTGCCACTCAGTTTACTTTTTGTGTTCTTTTTTCTTTTTCTTTTTCTTTTTTTTTTTTTTTTTAGACAGAGTCTTGCTCTGTCACCCAGGCTGGAGTGCAGTGGTGCGACCTTGGCTCACTGCAAACTCCACCTCCTGGGTTCAAGTGATTCTCCTGTTTCAGCCTCCAGAGTAGCTGGGATTATAGGCATGTGCCACCACCTCCAGCTAATTTTTGTATTTTTAGTAGAGACGGGGTTTTGCCATGTTGGCCAGGCTGGTCTCGAACTCCTGACCTCAGGTGATCTGCCCACCTCAGCCTCCCAAAGTGTTGGGATTACAGGCGTGAGCCACTGCACCTGGCCACTTTTTGTGTGCTTTAAACATATTCCATAATTTTGACTAATCTTTCTTCTACCAGTGTACATTATAGAAATTTCTGGCCGGGCGCAGTGGCTCACGCCTGTAATCCCAGAACTTTGGGAGGCCAAGGCGGGTGGATCACAAGGTCAGGAGTTCGAGACCAGCCTGGCTAAGATGGTGAAACCCCGTCTCTACTAAAAATAAAAAAATTAGCCGGGCGTGGTGGCAGGCGCCTATGGTCCCAGCTACTTGGGAGGCTGAGGCAGGAGAATTCCTTGAACCTCGGAGGCGGAGGTTGCAGTGAGCCGAGATCGTGCTACTGCACTCTAGCCTGGGCGACAGAGCGAGACTCCATCTCAAAAAAAAAAAAAAAGAAATTTATATTGTATGTGTCATTCATTCATTCATTCATTCATTCGTCCGTTCGTTCCTCCATGTAACAAATACTGATTGAGGACCAATTATGTCTCACATGTGCCAGGTCTGGAGTTCAGGATCACTTAGTCTAGTAAAGGAGATAGAAAAGTAAATAATAGGCATACATACCCCATAAAGAGGTGCTCAGAGGAGAGAATGGCCAATATTGGTGAGGAGCAAGAATTGTTCATGAAGGGGTTGAACCCCTTACAAAGGGATTGAGGAGCACAAGATTCACCAGCCAGTAGGGGAAGTAAAAGGAAAGATTTTCAAGGCAAAAGGAAAAGTCTGGAGATGTTAAAGATTGTAAAGTCCTAGTGTGGAGGGCAGGATGTGACGGTGGAGGTAGGAAGCAGTAATGAGTATGGCCCCATATGCCAAGCTCGGAGGGCGGATTTTATTATGTATGCCTCATTTAGTGGCATGCATTGCTCTAACTTCACCCTCTTTTATCCTTCAAGCAAGGAAAGCTGAGTAGTAATCCGAGTGAATGATAAAATCTCATTATGTTTTAACAGTTACTGTGATAAGAGCAATATGGCGGCCAGGCGAGGTGGCTCATGCCTGTAATCCCAGCACTTTGGAAGGCCGACGCAGGCGGATCACCTGAGGTCAGGAGTTCAAGACCAGCCTGGCCAACATGGTGAAACCCCGTCTCTATTAAAAATACAATTAGCTGGCCACGGTGGCGCGTGGCTGTAATCCCAGCTACTCAGAAGACCAAGGCACGAGAATTGCTTGAACCCGGGAGGCAGTGGTTGCAGTGAGCCGAGATCACGCCATTGCACTCTAGCCTGGGCAACAGAGTGAGACCCTGTCTCAAAAAAAAGAAAAGAAAAGAAAAGAAAAGAAAAGAAAAGAAAAGAATGTATATATATATATATGCATATATATATATATATATATATATATATATATATGCATGCGGTGGCTCACTCCTGTAATCCCAGCACTTTGGGAGGCTGAGGCAAGTGGATCACCTGGGGTCAGGAGTTCGAGACCAGCCTTGTCGGCATGGTGAAACCCCATCTCTACTAAAAATACAAAAATTAGCCAGGCATGATGGTGGACACCTGTAATCCCAGCTACTTGGGAGGCTGAGGCAGGAGAATTGCTTGAACCCAGGAGGTGGAGATTGCAGTGAGTGGAGATCGTGCCATTACACTCCAGCCTGGGTGACAGAGTGAGACTGTCTCAAAAAAAAAAAAAGTTCAAGAGCAATGTGGAATCACTGAGGATTATAAATGGGGAAATGCTAACCTGCCTCATGTAGGTTCATTTAAAAATTAATGGCCATAAGGAACCTAACCTAGAAGAAGATGAAATTTGAGACAAGACAATTTGCAAGAGTCATGCTACTAATCCAGGCAAGAGGTTACCATGGCATCGGGGCAAATACTGTGGATTGGCTCACCTAACATCCATTCTGACTCCTGTCTAGCATGTAGGGGCTAAAAAGTACATTTTTCAGGGTTTCCTTGCAACTGAGGGTGATATGGTTTGACTGTGTCTCCACCCAAATCTCATCTTGAATTGTAGTTGCCATAATCCCCACGTGTCGTGTGAGGGACCCAGTGGGAGATAATTGAATCATGGGGGTGGTTACCTCCGTGCTATTCTCGTGATGGTGAGTTCTCGTAAGATCTGATGGTTTTATAAGAGGCTTTTCTAGCCAGGCACAGTGGGTCATGCCTGTAATCTCAGCACTTTGGGAGGCTGAGGCGGGTGGATCACCTGAGGTCAGGAGTTCAAGAGCAGCCTGACCAGCTTGGTGAAATCCTGCTAAAAATATTTTAAAAATTAGCTGGGCGTGGTGGCATGCACCTGTAAACCCAGTTACTTGGGAGGCTGAGGCAGGAGAATCACTTGAACCCGGGAGGCAGAGGTTGCAGTGAGCCAAAATCGCGACACTTGCACTCCAGCCTGGGCAACAGAGTAAGACTCTGTCTCAAAAACAACAACAACAACAACAACAACAACAAAAGAGGCTTTTCCCCTATTTCACTCTGCACTTCTCATTCCTGGTATCATGTGAACAACGACGTGTTTCCTTCCCTTTCCGCAATGATTGTAAGTTTTCTGAGCCTCCCCAGCCATGCAGAACTGTGAGCCAGTTAAACCTCTTTTCTTTATAAATTACCCAGTCTAGGGTAGTTCTTTATAGCAGAGTGAGAATGGACTAATACAGAGGTCAAGGATGGAATTGAGGTTCTACCAAGTTAACACAATTGCCTAAGGCTTTTATTGGTAACTGGGGAGTAGCTCAGTGCACACGTGGCTGGCACAGATGGAAGCAGAAGCACCATCATCCCACAGCACTGGCTTCCTGATTTGGAGGCTGCCTGATGGCAGCAGAGGCATCGGTGGCCCAGTTCCGGGTGAGTTAGCAGACTTAGGGTGCCCAGCCGTCCTAGTTTGACCAGAACTACCACAGTTTTAGCACTGGAAATCCTGCATTCTGAAAAGCCCTCATACTCAGGCTAACTAGGACTGTTAGTCATCCTATAAAATTGCATTATTCCTGAAAGCTCAGCCCAGAGTCTATTTCTTTATTCTTCCCAAAAATTCAAGCCATCTATGTATCTTAATAAATACCTTAAAAAGAAAACACTAAAGAATCTACTTTTTTCTGCAGCTGAGAACTTGGAGGAAGACAGCAAGAGCAATGGCTATAAGGCTGGAGTGGAGAAGAAGAATCTGAGAACATTCCCAAGCTGAATTGGAAGGACTGGGTGATTCATTGGATGGCAGAGTTGGAGAAAGGGAAGGAATCAAGGCTAATGTCAGGTTTCTGGCTTGTGCAACCAGGCAGGGGACAGTGCTACTCACTGAGGCAGGGAACACAGATGTGGGAGCAGGTTTGAGAGGGAAAAGAATGAGTCCAGTTTGACTTGTGTGGAATTTTAACTGTTTTTGGAATAACCATGTCCACAGCTCATGGATAATCTAGAACTCAGGAGAGCAGTTTGGGCCAGAGATGTGTCCTGACTACAAAGGAATCCTTAAATGATTTTCTACCACTCTTCTCCTCAGTTCTTCATCACCTGATCCTTCCAGCCTGCTGCCCTCCCATTTGCCATTCTTGAGTTATACCTCACTTATGCTTGTTTTTTTTTTTTTTTTTTGAGACAGATTCTTGCTCTGTCACCACGCTGGCGTGCAGTGGCATGACCTCGGCTCCCTGCAACCTCCGCCTCCCGGGTTCAAGCGATTCTCCTGCCTCAGCCTCCTGAGTAGCTGGGACTACAGGCGTGTTCCGCCCAGCTAATTTTTGTATTTTTAGTAGAGACAGAGTTTCGTCATGTTGGCCAGCATAGTCTCGATCTCCTGACCTCGTGATCCTCCTGCCTCGGCCTCCCAAAGTGCTGGGATTACAGGCATGAGCCACTGCGCCCTGCCATGCTTGTTTTTAATGGAGAGCCTCAGTCTTCTATTCATGTGGGTCACACATGTAGCCTCCATACATGTGGCTCATGTATGCCTGAGCAGTGCCTCCCTTTAATTGGTATCAACGTGCATGGATGTCATCCAGGAAGCTTTCCCTGGCCTTTCTCAGCCTCCTCTGCATCTCTGTAACACCCAGCTATTTTCCTATCACAGCAGTTATCCTACTTCTTTGTAATTGCTTACTGAGTTGGATCTCTCATGATTAATTGCAAGCTCTGTGAAGGGAGGGGCCATGGAGTCTTACTCACTGCTAATACTCCAGTGACCAGCGTCAGCCTGGCCCATAGTAGAGATTCATATGTATTTGATAAAGGAAATCACCAATGGAGACAAGACAGAGCAGTGACTATCAAATGAGTGTACACATTAGAATCACTGTGACACTTTAAAAAAGTACAGGTGTCCAGGCCCTAGCTAGAACTATGTCAGAATCATTGGAGATGGGACTCAGGTATGTTTATTTTTTATTTTTTGAAAGAGCCACCGTTGGCCAGGCATGGGGCTCACGCCTGTAATCTCAGCACTTTGGGAGGCCGAGGCGGGCAGATCACTTGAGGTCAGGAGTTCGAGACCAGCCTGGCCAATGCGGCGAAACTCCACCTCTACTAAAAGTACAAAAATTAGCTGGGCATGGTGGTACATGCCTGTAATCCCAGCTACTTGGGAGGCTAGGGCAGGAGAATCACTTAAACCCGGGAGGCAGAGGTTGCAGTGAGCTGAGGTCCTGGGTGACGGAGCTAGAACCCTGTCTCAAAAAAAAGAGGAAGAAAGAAAAGGAAAGAAGAAAGAAAGAGAGAGAGAGAGAAAGAGAAAGGGAGGGAGGGAAGTAGAGAGGGAGGGAGGGAGGAAGGAAGGAAGGAAAAGAAAGAGAGAAAGAAAAAAGAAAGAAAGAGAGAGAAAGAAAGAAGAAAAAGAAAGAAAGAAAGAAAGATGATTTGGATGGGTGGTCACGGATGAAACCCCTCTGTGTAAATGAGAATGGAAAACTGTGAAAGGCAAAAGATGGAGAACATCAGAGTCAAAAGAATGAAGAAAAATGACACAATGTCTGAGAGAGAGAGAGACTGGTTCTAGAAGTAGGAGAATTATCATGGCATGATGCCAAGGGAGGTGAGAATGACAGCAAGGAGTAAGGGATCCGCAGTGTCCAAAGCAAGAGAAGAGTCACAGCAGCAAGAAACGTCAGCTGAGCATGCATTTTGGAGTCAATGGTAACCCTACCCAGCCTCTGCAATTTCAGGGTCAGGGGAAGGAGTAGAAACTGGATTGCAACGGACTGAAGGATGACTGGGAGAAAAATAGGTAAACAAATGTGAAGAAGCCCAAGAAGATGGTTAAGAATGTGAAAGAGTTGAGCAAATTTATAAATTAAGCCGAAAAGAACTATGTAGAGAAGGACAGATGGAAGGTTTCTTTTTATTTTATTTTATTATTTTATTTTATTTGAGACTGAGTCTTGCTCTATTGCCCAGGCTGGAGTGCAGTGGCGCAGTCTCGGCTCAATGCAATCTCCACTTCCCGGGTTCAACTGATTCTCATGCCCTCAGCCTCCCAAGTAGCTGGGATTACAGGCACCCGCCACCATGCCTGGCTAATTGTTGTATTTTTAGTAGAGATGGAGTTTCACCATGTTGGCCAGGCTGGTCTCGAACTCCTGACCTCAAATGATCTGCTTGCCTCGGCCTCCCAAAGTGCTAGGATTACAGGCATGGGCCACTGTGCCCGGCTGAGAGATGGAAGATTTAAGAGATGCTACTGTTAGACCAAGATTCCAGAGGAGATGAATGTGGTAATATTATTATCACCATCATTTATACATATATTTTAATAAATGTATATGTATACCATTTATATATGAAAGTTAAAAATTTACACATAGAAGAAATTATCACTGTAGGAGTTTTCTCTTTTAAAGATCAAATAGACTCCTCCTTTCCTATTAACACATTTTTCTTACCCAATCATAACAACAGAATTGATCAGACCTTCTAAGTAAGGAGGTAAGGACTGCATTCTAATTACATTTCCCTGATGCTATGCCTAGACCATCTTCGATGGATTTCAGTTCAATAAATACTTACTAAGTGTCTATTTTGTGCTAAGCATTGGGAATGTGAAAATAAGTTGTAAATCCTGATTTTGATGAGCTTAGTCTAGTGAGGGAGACAGACACATAAGTAGGCTGGTATGAATGTAATCACAGTTTTTGCCATTACTTTCAAAGAGTGCAGTCAGCCAGGTGCCATGTTTGATCACCATTATATTCCTGAAGGCAGAAATGGCAGTATTTTTAAGCACAGCAATCTCAGGGGTTCCTCTGTTTCAGTAGCTCATAGGACAAAGAGCTTCATTTTGATCTTTCATGCACATACATCCATTTGCCATTACTTTTTTTTTTTTTTTTTTAAGACAGAGTTTCACTCTTGTTACCCAGGCTGGAGTGCAATGGTGCAATCTCAGCTCACTGCAACCTCTGTCTCTGGGTTCAAGAGATTCTCGTGCCTCAGCTTCCCAAGTAGGTGGGATTACAGGCATGCGCCACCACGCCAGGCTCATTTTTTGTATTTAGTAGAGATGGTGTTTCACCACATTGGCCAGGCTGGTCTTGAACTCCTGACCTCAAGTGATCTGCCTGCCTTGGCCTCACAAGGCATGGGATTACAGATGTGAGCCACCGCGCCTGGCCTGCCATTACCTTCAATGGTAAAAACCGTGATTATGTTTGCACCAACCTAATACTATCAATCCTGTGTGATAAAGGAACGCACAAGGTGCTTTATGAACAAAGAGACTGGACGGTTAGTGCAGCCTTGAGGCATTATGGAAGACTTCTTGTAAGAGGCTTCATCTGAGTTAGTAAGAAGTACTGAAGGAAGAATCAAAATTACTCAGCCATGTGGTGGCTAAACTGGACTCAGACTATGAGAACAATGGGAGCAAAGGCACAAAGACATAAAATGACATTAAGTGTTGGAGGGACTTGAAGCTCTCTGTTTTAAAAAACACAAGTGAAGTCTGGGTACGGTGGCTCACGCCTGTAATACCAACACTTTGGGAGGCTGGAGGAGGAGAATCTCTTGAGCCCAGGAGTTCCAGACCAATACAAGTGGGAGAATGGCTGAACCCAAAGCTCAAGGCAGATGGATGGTCAAACACTTTCCACCTTGTAGGCTGTAAGCGAAGGAGGTTGGACTTAAAGACCTGAAAGAACCCACCCTTTGTCTTTTGGTTCTTCCTAATGTCCTCTTTGGGATGGTAATCTTCACTTTATTTTGAAGAGCACCATGTACCAGGGACAGTCCCTTGGCTGAGTAGATGATTCCAAAGCCTGCTGTAACAGAATACACACATTAGGGAGAGAGGGAGTAAAATTTGGAACACTTCACTAATGTGAAGGTCATACCTGCCCAAAGGCCAGCCAGAAGCGGTGCCGCTATCAAGGGGGGTGGCCCATACACCAATAATGTACCTTGATATTTTCTAGCAGCAGCACCAATCAGCTCTTTTCAGAGGGTCTTGTCCAGATCTTTCCACAGGCTCTGCGATCTGAAGTAAAGTATTCTCCCTTTATCCTTAGGGGATAGATTCCCCAACCCCCAGTGAATTCCTGAAACCATGGATGGTGCTGAACCCTATAGATATTATGTTTTTTCTCATACATACATACTTATGATAAAGTTTAATTTATAACTTAGGCACAGTAATACATTAACAACTAACGATAAAATAGAACAATTATAACCATATGCCAGCATCACTGCTCTTGTACTTTGGGGCCATCATGAGGCAAAATAAGGGTGACTTCAACAGCAGTATGGTGATAGTCAATCTGATAACTGAGTCAGCTACTAAACAACTACTGTGTAGACCACATGGGTACAATGGACAGAGGGAGGAGTCACATCCTGGGAGGGATGTTGCTGGACAGCACAAGATTTCATTATGTCCCTCAGAATGGCGTGCAATTTAAAACTTATACATCGGGCCGGGTGCGGTGGCTCATGCCTGTAATCCCAGTACTTTGGGAGGCCAAGACTTGCGGATCACCTGAGATCGGGAATTCGAGACCAGCCTGACCAACATGGAGAAACCCTGTGTCTACCAAAAATACAAAATTAGTTGGGCGTGGTGGCGCATGCCTGCAATCCCAGCTACTCGGGAGCCTGAGGCTGGGAATTGCTTGAACCCGGGAGGGGAGGTTGTGGTGAGCCGAGATCATGCCATTGCACTCCAGCCTGGGCAACAAGAGCAAAACTCCATCTCAAAAAAACAAAAAACAAAACAAAAAAACAAAAATCTTATACATATTTATTTATTGAGTTTTCCATTTAATATTTTAGGACTAAAATGTGGGTAACTAAAATTGAGGAAAAAGAAACCATGAATAAGGGAGGACTACGGTGATTCACAATCTCCCAGGTTCCTTAACTCCAAATTGAAGGGGGTAAAAAAAGATAAATGGGGCTGGGCGCGGTGGCTCACGCCTGTAATCCCAGCACTTTGGGAGGCAGAGGCGGGTGGATCATGAGGTCAGGAGATCAAGACCATCCTGGCAAAACACGGTGAAACCCCGTCTCCACTAAAAAATACAAAAGAATTAGCCGGACGTGGTGGTGGGCGCCTGTGGTCCCAGCTACTCGGGAGGCTGAGGCAGGAGAATGGCATGAACTCGGGAGGCGGAGCTTGCAGTGAGCCGAGATCGCGCCACTGCACTCCAGCCTGGGCTACAGAGCCAGACTCCGTCTCAAAAAAAAAAAAAAAAAAAAAAAAAAAAGAAGATAAATGCGGCTTCTTCCATATTCCATAACAGGAGAATGGTCAAATAAATGATGATATGATGTCTTGAAGGAATAATATCTACAGATTAAATTGTTAAAACCGTATAAAATATGTAACAGCATGGGAAAATATTCTCTGTGTGAAAAATTTTAAGAAATTAGTAGTATAGCTGGGCGTGGCGGCTCACGCCTGTAATCCCAGCACTTTGGGAGGCTGAGGCGGGCGGATCACAAGGTCAAGAGATCGAGACCATCCTGGTCAACGTGGTGAAACCCCGTCTCTATTAAAAGTATAAAAATTAGCTGAGCGTGGTGGCCGGCGCCTGTAGTCCGAGCTACTCGTGAGGCTGAGGCAGGAGAATCGCTTGAACCCGGGAGGCGGAGCTTGCAGTGAGCCAAGATCATGCCATTGCACTCCAGCCTCGGCGACAGAAAGAGACGCCGTCTCAAAAAAAAAAAAAAAAGAAATTAGTAGTATATGTGCCCACAAAAGGTGAGAAAAGAAGCTGCCAATGTTCTATGGCCATGTTTGCAGTACAGTAAGGAGCTCAATAAATATTTTTTGAACAAACAAATAAATGAATGTCAAATGAAAGCTGTTGATGCATTCAGATGATATGATTTTGAACTAAACTATCTGAAAATTTTTCTATACTGTTACTATGCTGTTTAATGATAAGCATAATGTTAATAAAGAACACTGATTATTTACTGTATACAGGTACTGCCCTGTATATTAAATATTTTGTAATGCTACCTATTCATTGCCTGGCAAAACATGCCTGCTGTTTGTCTGTTTCCAGACTCAAGCATTCATGGAGACAAATTCAATGCCAGCCAGACATAGAAGTGTTCTAAAAATTGGTCTGGTGAATGAAAGAATGAATGAATGCCTCCATGAATGACAGTGGCAGAAACTGAGGGCCACGATACTAGTGCCTTAGACCAAAAGGTCTCTGTGTGATGCATGGGGATGAATTCTCAGTCTAAGTCCTGGGCTTTTAGATTCTTTATGTAAATACTTGCTAGTATTAAAATGACTGAGTTCCTGAAGCTGAGAGACAAGGGTTCTTTTCTCAACAGTTTCAGAAAACACAACCTTTCACATAACTTATGATAGTTCCTGAATGCCTCACTGTTAAATAATGGAATGCGTTGCTAAAGGTTGAGATATTATAGCATTTCCAAAAAGGCAGCAATGCACTATGGCAAATATTTCATGAATGGAACCTGAATGGATCCAGTATCCAACAAAAGCAAGATGTTGGGAGTCCCATTAAAAATTTTTTTCCTTGGCCGGGCGCCGTGGCTCACGACTGTAATCCCAGCACTTTGGGAGGCCGAGGCAGGCGGATCACAAGGTCAGGAGATTGAGACCATCCTGGCCAACATGGTGAAACCCCGTCTCTACTAAAAATACAAAAAAATTAGCCGGATGTGGTGGCACATGCCTGTAATCCCAGCTACTCGGGAGGCTGAGGCAGGAGAATCGCTTGAGCCCAGGAGGCGGAGGTTGCGGTGAGCCGAGGTCGTGCCATTGCACTCCAGCCTTGGCAACAAGAGTGAAACTCCATCTCAAAAACAACAAAAAAAATTTTTTTCCTCAATATTTTCTCAAACCTCCTAAATAATAACAAATATTCAGGAACCACTTCTTTTGATCCACCCATAGTGTTTAACTTTCCTGGTTTTCCAGGTTTCATGATAAACATGGTGTCACAGATGAACAAGAGCTCTTTATTGGACCAAATTTTATCACTGGCTTACGCATGCAAGGGTTCAGTAGAGACCACTGGAATTTCTTGTCTTCATCCAAGAGAAGTATTTAGCCTTTGGTCAGTAATATAAGCAATTTCACCCTTGATTTTTCTTGGATACAGAGTCTACCTTCTTTGCTATTCATCTCTAGATTTTCCAATGAAAGCCACTATTTTTGAAGTTGTTTTGTGCTGTTGGCTATTTCTCCTGATTCCTTCCCTTTCCAGCTAACTCAGAATGGAGTGCAAAGTCAGCCAGGTGCCATGTCTGATCACCATTATATTCCTCAAGGCAGAAATGGCAGTAGTTTTAAGCACAGCAGTCTCAGAGGTTCTTCTATTTCAGTAGCTCATATATGACAAAGAGCTTCATTTTGATCTTTCATGCACATTTGCACCCAAGATACACACCTTTTCTCATAATTCTATAACCCCTGACATACCAGAGCTGAGGCACCTCTGTATAGCAATCATAAATACTACCTGTATCATCTCAACATATGGTGACTGATTGCTCTGAAAAACATTTATAATCTATGAAGAAAAAACAGCAAAACATTTCATAAACCAATGGTGTCAAATGCCACTACTCTCTTGGTGTATAAAACAAAATGTCTAACTTTCAGTGCCTAGGAGGAGAAAAATGGAGACTCCAGATAATGCGCTGCCCAGCATTTCCTGAGAGCTTTCTTCTAATCATAGATGCATTCTGGGCAAGCCAATTAATCTGGGCATGATGCCCTGAAGCGGGCCGTGTGCTGTTCGAAGTCAATAACAGTGTGACATATATCTATGCTCTGTACCCACTTAATTTGTCCCTGGCTGGAATACATGAACTTTTATTTGTGCTATTATCATCATATCCTGTCTACACAGAAAACAGCTTCAGAGTGGCTCCCTTCATATTCAGTGCATTACAAATAAAGAGGCCAGTCTGCCCCACGCTGCCTATGCTTGGGACTCTGGTGGGTTCCCTCTCAGCCTCTCTCATTGAAAACAGCAGAAACAGAGGGAAGAACGTGGAAGCTGCTGCCAACTGGGAACACCTAGATAAGGGTAAAACTTGACAAGAAATTGTAAACATTGCACTCTGACTCCAGTAATATTATATTCTCAGTAAATCATTTGGAAAAATAATAAAGGTTTTACATCAAGCTAGGCAGAAGTAATGTTTGGACTATGTTTTGATTCTATTTTCAAAACATTGGTGCTCCAGGAAATCAATGAACAAAAGGAGGACTGTATCTCAAGGCTGTGAGGGGAACAATCTATTGGTCATAGCACAGGGATTTAGGAAGGTTGAAATGCCCATGGGTGTGGCAGGCTGGTCTTAGTTTCGAGGCTTTTATTTTTTCCTTGACACAGGGTCTTGATCTATGGCTCAGGCTGGAGTGTAGTGGCAAAATCATGGCTCACTGAAACCTCGACCTCCCAGGCTCAAGTGATCCTTCTATCTCAGCCTCCTGAACAGCTGGGACTACAAGCGTGCACCACCACACCCAGCTAATTTTTAATTTTTCTGTAGAGATGGGGTCTCACTATGTTGCCCAGGCAGGTCTCGAATTCCTGGGCTCAAGCAATCCTCTCGCCTGGGCCTCCCAAAGTACTGAGATTACAGGCAGGAGCCACTGTGCCTGGCCTAGTTTTGAGATTTTGACAGGGTAAGAAAGCTCCCATAACTAAAGCGAGGAAATCTCTTAAATTTAAGAAAGTTTGAATTTATATAAAACTGATCAACTAGCGGGGTTACCTGCATCATAAAAAAGTACGGTCTTTTAAAGATTCATCAAGGAATCTAAGGTAGTGGTTGAACAGATTGGCTTTGGCTTCAGACAAACTTCAACTCCCAGCAAGTTACTCTCTAAGGTTCACTTTCTTAGTTATTAAATGGGGTCAATAACAGAGTCTCTGACATAGTGTTGATAAGACAAATAAAAAAGTTAGTTTGCAAAGAACTAAACACCATGAGTGCCACATAGCAAATGATCAATAAAAACATATTAGCTACTTTAAAAATTATTATGTGGAAAAGTGCTTACTATAATCTCTATCTGGCATAAAGGGAGCAGTCACAGTCAATATATGATCATGGTTGTTATTCAATTTTTCATTTAAATTCTATTTAATAACAGTAATAAATAGTAGCTAATTTAATCCCTTAAATGCTTGCAGATCATTAACTGCTTTAAAAATCATTTATACGGGGCTGAGTACAGTGGCTCACACCTGTAATCCCAGCACTTTGGGAGGCCAAGTTGGGCGGATCACCTGAGATCAGGAGTTCGAGACCAGCCTGACCAACATGGTGAAACACCAGCTCTACTAAAAATACAAAAAATTAGCCAGGCATGATAGCAGGCGCCTGTAATCCCAGCTATTCGGGAGGCTGAGGCAGGAGAATCACTTGAACCCAGGAGGCAGAGGTTGCAGTGAGCCAAGATCGCGGCACTGCACTCCAGCCTGGGCTCCGTCTCAAAAAAAAAAAAAAAAAAGTCATTTATACCATTTTTCATTAATAGACTTGAAACTTAGGGGAGCAAAAGGAATTCTAAACCCACCTTCTCGTTCTTGTCCCTCCTCTTGAACTAAAGACAGTAATGATGTTGGGTGGAGACGCAAGAAAGAAAATACAAAGAATGCCTATTTCCAAACTTTTGTTTGAGGGCCTAAACTGAAACTTATGCTGTAGATTAGAGGGAAATGACCGTGAATGTCTTAGAAATAACTCCTAGATTCAGGCACAACATAATGCATTCAGCGGGCTCAGTAAATTCCTCATTACCATATAAATTGTTTTCAAATCTGATCTAATAGGATATGATTAATAATTGGGATTTGTTTTCTTCAAGAAGCTGAATGATTGAAGGGAACCTGATACAGTTTAAAGGGCCATTTCTCAATTGATCAAGTACTTTTTGTTTTGTATAAACAAAAGTATTCTGATTAGAATTAGAATGAGCTCCTTGTGGATACTGAGTGGGGAAGTGTGTAGCTGTGGCCTTGGAGTTGCATGAGTTCACCACAGGAAGTGGGGCTGCATCCACTCACCATATGGCTTTTAAAGTGAGAATTACAAAAATAATGGCTGCTCCGGGACAGGACTTCTAACTCCATGTTGTTTATCCTCTGATTAGAATACCTGGTAAGGCTCCCAGTGTCGCTTGGGCTACATCCCACTCCTTTTTGTTTTCTCTCTAGACCATGTCTGAGACGCAAAAGCTTGTTTCTGGTGTAAATTGAATGCAACCTGACTTGCTTATGAAAATCTGGACAGGAAAACACTGAGCTTATGCTAAAGGTGATTTTCAGAGGAACAAGGTTTCCTTGTTGAAGTTGACCAAAAATCAGAGCTATGCAAGGGGGAGGGAAGGATTAGCAAGTTAAGGGAAATAAAACCAGCAAAATAAGTCCTCTGATGAGGAATTAATGCAATGTGTTCAAGCCAGTTGACACAATTACAGCTCCCACTTCTCCGCCAGAAGGAGCAGGTAGCAGTATCTAATTCCATTCCCCACCCTACACCCGGCATGCAGCCGCACGTGCCACAGCCACCGAGGCCCCTGTCAATTAGAAACAGCATTAAAATGACATGCCATCTGCTCTACAAATGTCATCGAGCTCGTGCCACCTGTTGAGGGGTAGTGGGGGCAGTGGAAGGGTAAAAAGTCTCGACATAGGTTTGTGTATTTATAGAAACAAAGAACCATTTGATTCAATGTCCTCCCTCTCCCACCACCCTCTCCTACCCTTCTTTGCCAGAAATCTTTTTGAATAGTTTTGCAGCAGTATTTTCTACCCAGAAGAACATTTAAATACCATGCCCCAGGAATCACAGGACATGGAAAAATATGTGATGTACCCCAATTAGTAGGGAAAGTAATAGCTTGAAGCTACTCTTGAGCCATCCCCCACTTGCATTCACAAATAAACATGAAGGAAAAGTGCAGCCAAGAGGATTTGCACTTAATGAATTTTCTCCGGGTGAATACTAAGACACCAGAATGGGTATACAGGAGATTATGAAAGCTCTTTTCCAAAGATCTGGACATTAGGAATAGTATGTCCAAATCAGGACATCATGTCAGCTTCTGTAAGCTTCCCTCCTAGTCTCTGCTAATGTAGTTCCCCACTTCTACAATATCTGTGCCCAAGTTTGAGGTTTGGCTCAGTTGGTCTCTCCTCTCTCTGCCACTAACTCCTAAGACTTCTTTTTTGTTGGGAAGGGGTGTTGTTTTGTCTTGCTGGTGTCATTTAGTGAATCTCCCTCCTCAATCCTTGCACATCCCACTGAATCTCTGTTGACACTTCTACCTGTCCTTTAAGACACAATCTGATGCCACCTCCCCAGGAAGCTTTTCTTGACTGTCTCTTCTCATCTAGCAACAGCCACAGCCTCCTTCTCCTCCTCCTTCTCCTCCTTCTCCTCCTCTTCTTATCCCTATAGGACAATAGAACCTATCTCCTAAGGCTGGAATTAACTTATATAATGAATATAAAGGCACATCTAAAACCTAGCGTAGAGTAAATGGTCAATAAACTTTAGCAAATTTTACTTTATGCATTAGGTAGTTTAATTCTCAGAGCATATTTTTATTCAGTGCTTCTACTAATTCTGTTTTCACTTTAGAGATGAGGAAATGGGTATTTCTAAAGGTTAAGAAGCTTGTCTATGGTCATTCACTCAGCTTTAAGTGCCAGAGCACAATTTTCAAAATATTGCCTTCATGCTTTTTGGTTGTTGTTGTTGTTATTAATAGCAGGATCTCACTCTGTCACCCAGGCTGGAGTACAGTGACATGATTTATAGCTCAGTGCAGCCTCAAACTCCTAGGCTCAAGCAATCCTCCCACCTCAGCCTTCCAAAGCACTGAGATTACAGGCATGAGCCACCACGCCTGACCACCTTCATGGTTTTTGATGACTAAGTACTATCTAGAGTATTGCTTCTTTTTTCTTCCTGATCAGGCTTATGGAGGTATAATTTACACACTAAAAATCATGCTTTTCATTGCACAACACTGTGAGTATTACAGTCATGTAACCAGCATGACAGTCAAGATATAGAACAGTTCCATCACCCAACAGACTGCCCTCATGCTATTTAACAGTCAACTCGTCCCCCGACCACCAAACTCCAGAAAACACTGATCTGATTTCTATCCTTACTGTTGGACTTTTTCCAAAATGTCATACACATGGAATCATACAGTATGCAGCTTTTTGAGTCTGGATCCTTTCACTTAGCAAGAAGCATTTGAGATGCATCCAGGTGACTCAGTGTAACAGAAGTTTCTTGCTTTTTATTGCTGAGCCGTATTCCACTGTGGGGATGTACCAGAGTTTACCTGTTTACCAGTTGAAGCAGGTTTGAAAATTGGTTAGTTTTTCTTGATTATGAACAAAGCCATGATAAACATTCAAGGAAAGGTTTTATTTTATTTTTTTGTTTTTCTGAGACAAGGTCTTGCCCTGTCGCCCAGGCTGGAGTGCAGTGGTATGGTGCCATTTTGGCTCACTGCAACCTCCCTGTCCCAGGTTCAGGGGATCCTCCTACCTCAGCCTCCCGAGTAGCTGCAACTACAGGTGCATGCTACCACATTCAGCTCATTTTTCTATTTTCAGTAGAGATGGGGTTTCACCATGTTGACCAGGCTGGTCTCAAACTCCTGGGCTCCAGCAATCCTCCTGCCTCAGCCTCCCAAAGTGTTGGGATTACAGGCGTTAGCCACCACATCTGGCTGACAGGTTTTATTTGAAAATAGGTTTTCATTTCACTTTTTCATACCTAGAAGTGGGATTGGTGGGTTATAGGGAAAGTTCGCATGTATATTTAATTTTATTAGAAATTTAGGTGTGGTGGCAGGCACAGTGGCTCATGCCTGTAATCCCAGCACTTTGGGAGGCCAAGGCAGGTGAATCACAAGGTCAGGAGTTTGAGATGAGCCTGGCCAACATGGTGAAACCCTGTCTCTACTAAAAATAAAAAAATTAGCTGGGCATAGTGGCAGGCGCCTGTAATCCCAGCTACTTGGGAGGCTGAGGCAGCAGAATCGCTTGAACCTGGGAGGCAGATGTTGCAGTGAGCCGAGACCATGCCACTGCTCTCCAGCCCGGGCGACAGAGTGACACTCCGTCTTGGGGGGAAAAAAAAGAAAGAAAAAAAAAAAGAAAAGAAAAAAAGAAGCTTAGGTGTGGTGGTGCTTGCCCATAATCCCAGCTATTCAGGAGGCTGAGGCCGGAGGATCACTTGAGCCCAGGAGTTTGAGACCAGCCTGGGCAACATAATGAGACCCTAGCTCAAAAAAACAAAACAAAACAAAGCAAAACAAACAAACAAAACCCTGTCAGACTGACTTTCTACACCATTTTCTATTCCAATAGGCAATGCTTGAGAGTTTCCTTTGCTCCACATCCTTGCCAGCACTTGCCATTACCAGCCTTTTTTTTTAAAAGTCATTCTAATAGTTATTTTGTTGTTTTTAAATTTGCATTTTCCTGATGACTAATTATGTTGAGTATCTTTTCATGTGTTCTGTTAAATCTTTTGCCCGTTTTAAAAATCATGCTATTTTCTTGTTATTGAGTTTTGAGATAACTGAATATATATTCTGGATACAAGTCCTTTATCAAATACATACTTTGCAAATATTTTCTCTCAGTGTGTGGTTGCCTTCTCATTTTATAGCATCTTTCAAGGAGAATTTTAAATTTTGACTAAGTTCAATTTATCCATGTTTTCTTTTATGAATCATATCTTGTTTTAGTGACAAAATCTTATTTACCACAGTCACAGTGATTTTACATTGAGGTCTACAATCTATTTTTTTTTTTTTTTTTCACATATGGATGTCCTATTGTTCCAGCACCAGTTGTTAAATAGATACAGCAGAGATTTGCACTGAGGCTTTTTTGATTCTAGAGGCTAAGTTTGTTTTGTTTTGAGACAACGTTTCACTCTTGTCGCCCAGCTGGAGTGCAGTGTCGCAATCTTGGCTTACTGCAACCTCCGTCTCCTGGGTTCAAGAGATTCTCCTACCTCAGCCTCCCAAGTAGCTGGGACTACAGGCACGCACCACCACACCTGGCTAATTTTTGTATTTTTAGTAGAAACGGGGTTTCACCACGTTAGCCAGGCTGGTCTCAAACTCCTGATCTCCGGTGATCCACCCTCCTCGGCTTCCCAAAGCGCTGGGATTACAGGCCTGAGCCACCAGGCCCAGCCTAGAGGCTAAGTTTTACCATGTACTTCCTGTACTATGCTTGTTTATATTTTTAATTTTCTACTGGATTCTAAACTCTGCCAGACTTCCCTACATTCCCCCACATGGTGCCTTGAACATCATATGTCCTCACTGAATACTCCTAGGTTGACATTTAAATGGAAGATGGGATATTAATTACTCAAAACTCGCCAGTTTTTGTTCTCCTTTGCCCAAGAAATGAATGATACCCTTGTACATGGTGTGTATGTGTTTAGAGCTCTGACCCACCCAACATGCTGGCAAAGGTCACCTGTCAAATGTTTACAATTGACCTTCATACCCTAAGTCTTTTAATACAAGGAGAGAGGAACTAGCTTTTTTTTTTTTTTTTTAAAGCAACATGAGAAGGTAACATAAGCCTCCATCTACCAAGGATATGGGGACAATAGCCTTTCTTCTGACCTCATTCCTGCCTGTTGTACAAGCCAGGGCTGTCCTAAGGAATGATCATTTGCCAATCTGTTCTGACCAGTGGGCAGGGCCAGCTCAGAGACAATCTGGGGCCAGAACTAGTGGGTGGATATGGGTGGAGGTGGGAAATATGCCACACTAGTGTAACTGAGATTAACTGAGGTCTTGATTCTGATCCTAGAGTAAATAAGCTAGTGCAGGCAAGCCCTTCATGTGACCTTCAGCTCCATGGATTTATAAGCAAAGGCCTTTCTGTAACCCACAGAGGGCAAAGCCAGCAAACCACTGCTTAGCCTTTACCACTGAAAAGGCAGAAAGTCTTGCAAAGTCTATTTGAAAAGACGTTGTCTTTATACTCCATCACTCTTTCTGGATTATAATAACCTTCAGTTCTCACCGAATATTCTGTACTCTTTTTTCCCCCCAGGCAGCATAACTACAAGCACCAAGCCATTCCTGATGGGACCATTTAGAGAAAGAGAATCTTTTTTTTTTTTTTTTTTTGGAGACAGAGTCTTGCTCTGTCACCCAAATTGGAGTGCAATGGTGAAATCTTGGCTCACTGCAACCTCCACCTCCGGAGTTCAAGCGAGTCTCCTGCCTCAGCCTCCTGAGTAGCTGGGACTACAGGCGTGTGCCACCACCCCTGGCTAATTTTTGTATTCTTAGTAGAGATGGGGTTTTGCCACGTTGGTCAGGCTGGTCTCGAACTCCTGACCTCAGGTGATTCACCCACCTCGGCCTCCCAAAGTGCTGGGATTACAGGCATGAGCCACTGCGTCTGGCAGAGAAAGAGAATCTTATGGACTGACAAGGAACAATTCTATTTTCTAGACATGAGAAACTACATCACAAGACAGTAAAGCAGAAAATACTTTAAAAAGCTCCTAAGTTGCCAGGTGCGGTGGCTCACACCTGTAATCCCAGCACTTTGGGAGGCCGAGGTGGGTGGATCACCTGACGTCAGGAGTTCGAGACCAGCCTCACCAACGTGGTGAAACCCTATCTCTACTAAAAATACAAAAATTAGCCAGGCATGGTGGCGCATGCCTGTAATCCCAGCTACTTGGGAGGCTGAGGCAGGAGAATTGCTTGAACCTGGGAAGCGGAGGTTACAGTGAGCCAAGGCAGCGCCATTGCACTCCAGCCTGGGCAACCAGAGTGAAACTCCATCTCAAAAAAAAAAAAAAAGCTCCTAAGTTTTTGATGAACAACTGATATGATACCTGAAGAGTTCTTTGCCTGGGACCCATTACAGAGCAAGTTCTTTAAAATGCCGTATTGTTACCCATTATTATACATTTTTGGGGGGGGCGGATTTAATATCTTTTTAACTGTGGCAAAACACCATTATTAAATTTTGCCCAAGGTGCGATACATATATACACTTGGATGTGTGCATGCATACACACACGTACACAAACACATGTGAGACACCACAGAAGAAGTGAAAGAGGGACATGGAGGTTAGAAATCCAGAGAAAAAGATGGATCCAGAGATACCCAAGAAAGAGATCAAAAAGATAGTGAGGACACAGTGGCTGGTTATACTTCTTGCTTATCTCTATGGTAAACCTGTGAGTGTTCAGGCTGTCTCTCTTCCGTGTTTTCTGCCCTCATATTACCATAGATCTCCTGCTAGGATCATGGCGCCTCTTCAGTGCTTTGCACATCTTGACCATTCAGAGTCAGCTGAATTATTTCAGAAAAGAATTAAATAAAATATATTTGTCGTGCAAATATTACTGGAAAAGTCATCAAACCCTGAGCCAAGTGACCAATTAAGCAAAATTCTACTAAGTGATTTGCTTTCCACCAAAATAAAGCCAAGTTAAGTTGACTAAGAGGCTGAGCAGACATTTTAATAACCTAATTCAACAAGCAGCTGCCTAATTCAACAAGCAGCAGAAGGGAGATGACAGGTCATTCTGGTAGGGCTGGATTCTTAGGATCAGTCATACATCAACCTTTGAAGCCTGGGATCAGCAAGGGGTGGAATAACAATAAATACAATCAGATGCTTGGAGCCTTGGGGCAGCCACGGAACCTGTTTCATAAATATCTTGTTCCAGGAGGATGCTATTATTTAATGGGCTTGGCACCTCATTATACTGTAAGCTCTTTTAGGGTAGGGCTCCCAGCTTCCTCTCCAGTTGCCTATAAAGGTTGTGCTGGCCAGGTGCGGTGGCTCATGTCTGTAATTCCAGCACTTTGGGAGGCCGAGGCAGGCAGATCACGAGGTCAGGGGTTTGAGACCAGCCTGACCAACATGGCGAAACCCTGTCTCCACTAAAAATACAAAATTAGCCAGGCATGGTGGCACACACCTGTAATCCCAGCTACTCAGGAGGCTGAGGCAGGAGAATCGCTTGAACCTGGGAGGCGGAGGTTGCAGTGAGCCAAGATTGAGCCACTGCACTCCAGCCTGGATGACAGAGCGAGACTCTGTCTCAAAAAATAAGAAAGAAAAGAAAGAAAGAGACAGAGAGAGAGAAAGAAAGAAAGAAAGAAAGAAAGAAAGAAAGAAAGAAAGAAAGAAAGAAAGAAAGAAAGAAAGAAAGAAAAGAAAGAGAAAGGTAGGTTGTGCTGAGGATGTGACAAGCAGCCAGTTCTCTGGGTCACTCAAGGATGACTAAGAGGAACTGTCACCCTATATGTTTACAAATACCAAGGCCTGGTCATCTGACCCACCTCTGCTTGAGCACATTGCACAGAGTGAGTTCCTAGAGGTACATTCCCATTCCTGTGGCCAGGATGAAGCTCTCCCAATTCTTGAGTGCAGCTGGTTTCTGAGACACAGGGGTTCTGCATGGGCTGTTGGGTGATGTGTTCTACAGCCTCTTTCTCAGGGGGAAAGGAGGAATGAAGAAGAAAACCTGACCCTGTCTCAGCTCGGGAGAATCTTGTGTGTGTTTCTAGGGAGAGGAGACTGTGCGAATAGGAGGGAAAGACTGCTTCAATAAAACAAAAGAGGGGCTGTAAGTAGGAGTGTGGATGGATGCCTCCCCTACCACAGCAAGATTGAAGACTCCCTGGAGAAACTTAGTGTGGGTTGAAGTAGCAGCTGCTTTGAGAACACAAAATATTGGAAGCAGAAAGCAACCTCAGCAATAGAGGAAGTGGCAGTGGGTGAAGAGTCTTGCCAATCAACAAGAGTTTCCCTGGGACCCAGCTGAGGCCTGGAACCTTGGGGCTCAGAGGCCTGTGGCCCTGGCTGGAAGACTTGTGCTGGTTAATTTCCATCTTCCCCTCAGATCTATCTCTGCCATCTGTCCCTTTAGAGGCGGACATCTATAGATGGCATCCTGACTTCCTGGTTCTCTGGCTTCTTTTGGGTTGGGTCAATGGCAGAGAGAACAAGCGAGTGGAAAGAGAAAGAAGTAGGTAGGGTATTTATGTCTATTCTTACCTGTGCCCCCCACCTGCCAAAGTTTTAGCAGTTGCTACATCCCTCTAAGGCCAGGGATCAGTAGAGGTAACTCCTTCTTCCAGGGTTCTGTTTTCTTTTTTTAAAATTGTTTTAATTTTGAATTTTTATGGATACATAGTAGGTGTATATATTTATGGGGCACATGAGATATTTTGATACAAGCATATAATAATCACACCAGGATAAATGGGGCTCATCACCTCAAGCACTCATCATTTCTTTGTGCCATGGACATTCCCATTGTACTCCCTGAGTTATTCTAAAACATAAACGTTCTGGTACCTGATTTAACAACCGTTTCCTCGAATTTCTCCTTCAGACTTAAGCATAGGAAAGGCTTTCTGATGTTGCTAGTTTCTGGTGCGTCACTATCTTTGGTTGTTCTTTAATCCTGCCCACAGCTCTGTTAAATAGTCCCCTTATTTGACTCTTGTCAAACTCACTGGGTCTGCCAGTTGTTTAAATGCTGAATCCTGACTGAAAGAGAGATCATTTTCTTTTCTTTCTTTCTTTCTTTTTTTTTTTTTTTTTTTTTGAGTCAGAGTCTCGCTCTGTCGCCCAGGCTGGAGTGCAATGGCACGATCTTTGGCTCACTGTAATCTCTGTTTCCTGGGTTCAAGCAATTCTCCTGCCTCAGCCTCTCGAGTAGCTGGGATTATAGGTGCCCGCCACCACATCCAGCTAATTTTTGTATTTTTAGTAGAGATGGGGTTTCACCGTATTGACCAGGCTGGTCTCTTGGCCAGGGTGATCTCGAACTCCTGACCTCATGATCCCCCCGCCTCGGTTTCCCGAAGTGCTGGGATTACAGGCGTGAGCCACTGCGCCTTGTCAAGAGATCAGTTTCAAGGTTTCCACAGAGCAAGAGCTTTGGTGAGCTTCTGATTGTAAACTCAGGAACAAATAGAACCTTTAACTCTCCTCAGGAACCCATGCAGCAGTAGACAAAAGACGCAAAGAACTTGAGGAAATGAGCCTCAGCCCAGGAATGTTAATGAGAAAGAAACTCTGGAACAATGACCAAAAGTGTATAAATAGGGGATAAACTGCTGAATACATTCTAAAGAAATGTGTATTCAGGAACTGAGTAGTATAGACTGTAGAAGTTATTTATTTATTGATTTATTTGAGACTGAGTCTCGCTCTATCGCCCAGGCTAGAGTGCAGTGGCACAATCTTGGCTCACTGCAACCTCCACCTCCTGGGTTCACGCGATTCTGGTGCCTCAGTCTCCCAAGTGGCTGGGATTACAGGCACCCGCCATCACCACGTCCAGCTAATTTTTGTATTTTTAATAGAGACGGGATTTTACCATGTCGGCCAGGCTGATCTCGAACTCCTGACCTCAAGTGATCCGCCTGCCTCGGCCTCCCAAAGTGTTGGGATTACAGGCGTGAGCCATGGCACCTGGCCAGAATGTAGAAGTTATTTTAATAAGCTTTTCTAGAAGTTGTAAAATTTTAATGCTAGGTCTTTAAAAAGTTCTTTTTCTTCTCTTTTTTTAAGGTGGAAGATTTGGTTATTTTTAATTTTAATTTTTATTTTATTTGAGATGGAGTCTCACTCTGTCGCCCATGCTGGAGTGCAGTGGCGTGGTCTCGGCTCACTGCAACCTCTGCCTCCCCGGTTCGAGCAAGTCTCTACCTCACCCTCCCTAGTAGCTAGGATTATAGGCGCCCACCACCATGCCCGGCTAATTTTTTTTTTCTTTTCTTTTTTTTTTTTTGAGACGGAGTCACTCTGTCGCCCAGGCTGGAGTGCAGTGGCGCGATCTTGGCTCACTGCAAGCTCTGCCTCCCGGGTTCACACCATTCTCCTGCCTCAGCCTCCTGAGTAGCTGGGACTACAGGTGCCCACCACCACGCTAATTTTTTGTATTTTTTTAGTAGAGACAGGGTTTCACCATGTCACTCAGGATGGTCTTGATCTTCTGACCTCGTGATCCGCCCGCCTCGGCCTCCCAAAGTGCTGGGATTACAGGCGTGAGCCACTGCGCCCAGCCATTTTTTTGTATTTTTAGCAGAGACAGGGTTTCACCATCTTGGCCAGGCTGGTCTTGAACTCCTGACCTCGTGATCCACCCACCTCGGCCTCTCAAAGTGTTGGGATTACAGGCGTGAGCCATCGCACCCGGCCCCCGATTTGGTTATTAATTTGAGATCTTTCTTCCTTTTAAATATAGGCATTTAGAGCCATACATTGCCTTCTGAGCATTGTTTTAGCTGCATCTTATAAGTTTTGGTATATTGCATTTTTCCATCTTAAAGCATTTTCTAATATTCCTTGTTATTTCTTCTCTGATCCACTGACTATTTAGGAGTATTTTTATTTTATTTATTTATTTATTTATTTATTTATTTATTTATTTATTTATTTTGTTGAGACAGAGTCGCTGGAGTGCTGTGGCACAATCTTGGCTCACTGGAACCTCCACCTCCCGAGTTCTAGCGATTCTCCTGCCTCAGCCTCCTGAGTAGTTGGGATTATGGGTGCCCGCCACCACCCAGCTAAGTTCTGTATTTTTAGTAGAGACGGGGTTTCACCATGTTAGCCAGGCTGGTCTCGAACTCCTGACCTCAAGTGATCTGCCTGCCTCAGCCTCCAAAAGTGCTGGGATTACAGGCGTGAGCCACTGCGCCCAGCCTAGGAGTAATTTTTACATATTTGTGAATTTCTCAAATTTCCTTCTGTTATTGATTTCTAATTTAATTCCATTATAGTCAGAAAGCATACTCTATGATTTTGATTCCTTTATCTTGAGTCTTATTTTATAGCTTAGCATATGGTCTATCCTGAAGAACGTTCCATTTGTGCTTGAGATGAATATGTACTTGGCTTCTGTTGGATGGAGTCATAGATTTATTTTTAAATCAATTTTAGGCCAGGCATGGTGGCTTATACCTGTAATTGCAGCACTGTGGGAGGTTGAGGTGGGTGGATCACCTGAGGTCAGGAGTTTGAGACCAGCCTGACCAACATGGTGAAACCCTGTTTCTACTAAAAATACAAAATTAGCCTGGCATGGTGGTGTGTGCCTGTAATCCCAGCTATTCAGGAGGCTGAGGCAGGAGAATCGCTTGAATCTGGGAGGCAGAGTTTGCAGTGAGCTGAGATCGCGCCATTGCACTCCAGCCTGAGCAACAAGATCAAAACTCCGTCTCAAAAATAAATAAATAAATAAATAAACAAACTAATTTTAAAGTACAGAGGTGCCTGGAATCAAACACATTCTCATCTCCTTTACCTTACCCATTGTTGAACTGGGAGAAGAATAGTTGCCATCATCTCTTTCTTTCTCTCTGTGTGTGTGTGTGTATATATATATATATATATATATACTCCTGAGGTCAGGAGTTCGAATATATACACACACACATATATATATACACACACACAGTATATAAATACATACACACAGAAATACATAAACACAGAAATTATATATATATATACACAGTGTGTATATATATATTTCTCCGTGTGTGTGTGTGTGTGTATATATATACACACACATCTAATGTACCCTATATATATATGATTTCTGCGTGTGTGTGTGTGTGTGTATGTGTGCATAATTTCTGCAGCATGGAGATATTTTATATACGTTTGAGAATAAAGCAGCATGAAGTAACAAAAACAGCAGAGATTTAAAATTTCCAGCTCTAACTCTTTAACACAAGTATCATGGCAAATCCTAGAAAATCAGAAGAGTGGTTTTGGATTCCAAAGATCCCTTCTAATGTTAAAATGGTAGGCAATTACTTACCTTCTCTACCTCTCACTTAGTCTCTATTAACCAAGGTCATAATATTACTAGTTTTTTTTTTTTTTTTTTTTTTTTTTTTTTGAGACGGAGTCTTGCTCTGTCGCCCAGGCTGGAGTGCAGTGGCGGGATCTCGGCTCACTCCAAGCTCCACCTCCCAGGTTCACGCCATTCTCCTGCTGCCTCCCGAGTAGCTGGGACTACAGGCGCCCGCCACCACGCCCGGCTAATTTTTTGTATTTTTAGTAGAGACGGGGTTTCACCATGTTAGCCAGGATGGTCTCGATCTCCTGATCTCATGATCTGCCTGCCTCGGCCTCCCAAAGTGCTGGGATTACAGGCGTGAGCCGCCACGCCCGGCCTATTACTAGCTTCTTAAGGGTCTTGTAAATGATGAAATTTTTGATTAAATAAGAAATAACATGAAAATTATTTAGCACAGTGTTTGGCACATAATGATCATTTAGTGAATGTCAGTTGTTTTTAATATAGAACTACAGGTTGGGTGCGGTGGCTCATGCCTGTAATCCCAGCACTTTGGGAGGCCGAGGTGGGAGGATTGCTTGAGCTCACAAGTTCAGCCTGGGCAACATGGCAACATAGCAAGACCCCATCTCTACAAAAACTGCAAAAAAAAAAAAAAAAAAAAATCACCAAGATGGGGTGGTGTGTTTCTGTAGTCCCAGCTACTTGGGGGACGGAGGTGAAAGGAATGCTTCAGCCTGGGAGGTTGAGGCTGTAGCGAGCCATGATCACAACACTGCACTCCAGCCTGGGCCACAGAGCAAGATCCTGTCTCAAAAAGAAAAGAAAAGAAAAGAAAAACCCCAGGTTGGGCACAGTGGCTCACGCCTGTAATCCCAGCACTTTGGGAGGCCAAGGCAGGAGAATCACCTGAGGTCAGGAGTTTGAGACCAGCCTGGCCAACATGGCGAAACCCTGTCTCTACCAAAAATACAAAAATTAGCCGGGCATGGTGGTGGGCATCTGTAATCCCAGCTACTCGGGAAGCAGAGGCAGGAGAATCACTTAAACCCAGGAGGCAGAGTTTTTTTTTTTTTTTTTTTTTGAGATGGAGTTTTGCTCTTGTTGCCCAGGCTGGAGTGCAATGGCACGATCTCGGCTCACTGCAACCTCTGTCTCCCAGGTTCAAGTGATTCTCCTGCATCAGCCTCCTGAGTAGCTGGGATTACAGGCATGCACCACCACTCCCGGCTAATTTTGTATTTTTAGTAGAGACAGGGTTTCTCCATGTTGGTCAGGCTGGACTCGAACTCCCGACTGCAGTTTATCTGCTGGCCTTGGCCTCCCAAGTGCTAGGATTACAGGTATGAGCCACCGAGCCCGGCCGAGGAGGAGGTTTCAGTGAGCTGAGATTGTGCCACTGCACTCCAGCTTGGATGACAGAGCAAGACTGCCTCAACAACAACAAACTCAAAAAACAAAGATATAGAACTGCAATGACTACTAATAAAAAAGGGTTTTACTAGTCCTTTTCTTCTCTACAGTAAAAGAAATAGGGAATTCTTTTTCACAGTGCTGTCGGGTTTTTGAAACTGTGGCTTCATGTTGCTTCCTTGGTCTAAATGAAAGGAACAAAGTATCTTAATTCTGGCCAGGTGCAGTGGCTTACATTTGTAATTCCAGCATTTTGGGAGGCCGAGGCAGGCAGATCACCTGAGGTCAGGAGTTCGAGACCAGCCTAGCCAACGTGGTAAAACCCCGTCTTTACTAAAAATACAAAAAATTAGCCAGTAAGAATATAAATATAAAAATACAAAAAACTAGCCAGGATTACTCATGCCTGTAATTCCAGCTACTGGGGAGGCTGAGGTGAGAGAATCACTGGAACCCGGGAGGCAGAGGCTGCAGTGAGCCGACATCTCGCTACCACACTCCAGCCTGGGTGACAGAGCAAGACCCCATCTCAAAAAAAAAAAAAAAAAAAAAAAATCTTGTTTCTGAGAGGTAAAGTTGTTGTTTGTTTGTTTGACCAGGCCCCTAAAGCTTATTCTAGTGCACCTTAAAAGATTGGACCACCTGGTGAGAATATTACGGAGGGGAAAGAGCATCCGATGGGCACAGGAAAGTCAGAGTGGATAACTTTTAACATCCTTCCAACCTGGAGTTTACCAAGGCTGACAATAGAGGCTATGAAAATGAGTATTAGCATAAAATCATCTTGTGAATCTGATCATACTAATGAAAGGACACATTAATCAATTTATTTCTTGGTACTATACTCAGGTTTTTAGCCTTCCATATTCAGTTTACTAAATCACTTCTGACAGCATGTTATGGTAATGTAGTCATAGAAAAGAGTTAATTCATTTCTACCCAAAAGCAATTTACTGCCTCTCAAGTGTAGAATGGGAGCTGCAGTGTGTTGCCAAACTGATACCCATGCATCAGTGGAAACAGGCCCCAGGCATTGAAAGTTTCCTTTCCTCCCCAGCATCTTGACAACATTATCTACTCCTAAAAATCTCCACCAAATTATTTGTTGGTGGGGCGGGTTAGGGTTGGCTAGTGCTCACAGGCACCCTGTAAATTTATTCTGATTTAAAAGTTGAGAGCTTTTAACCAAAGATAGCATCCTGAATTAATGTTTGCTTCTCAGCCCCTCCTAATACAGGTTGACCTGATACTTAAAGGCTTCTTATGTTTATATCATTTTCAGCCATCAAACCCCAGAGAACCCTGAAAGGCCTTTTTTTTTTTTTTCTTTTGAGGTGGAGTCTTGCTTCCATCTTGCAGGCTGGAGTGAGTGGCGTGATCTCGGTTCACTGCAACCGCCACCTCCCAGGTTCAAGAGATTCTCCTTCCTGAGCCCCCCGAGTAGCTGGGATTACAGACGTGCACCACTATGCCCGGCTAATTTTTGTGTCTTTAGCAGACATGAGGTTTTACCATGTTGGCCAGGCTGGTCTCAAACTCCTGACCACAAGTGATCCACCCACCTCGGCCTCCCAAAGTGCTGGGACTACAGGTGTGAGCCACCGCACCCAACGACAGTCTTTTAATGATATCAGAATATCTTAATTCTTGTAGCACCAATAAATGCTAAAAAAAAAAAAATTCTTTTCTAAAATCATTACAAAAAAAATCTTTGTAATGTTAGAGTGTCCGCTCCCCTATTTTACTACATCTCCAGCAACTGGCTATAGTTTAAACTTCACCATTCTCTAGAATATAAAGCCTAAGAGGACAGAGAAGTTCATTTTGTTCCCGCTGTTTCCCAAACACCTTCAACCATGCTGGGCATAGAGTGAGGGCTCAGTAGGTATTTGTTGAATGAATTCCCTCCTTTAACTCAAAAACATTTATATACAGTTTAAAGTGTTTTTAAATGCTTGCAAAATTGTCTGTGTGCTTTTATTTGTGAATTACTTAATGATATTTTGACTGAAGAGAAAACATAACCTAATGGCTCTCTGCTAACAAACTTACAGACTCATTTAAAGTGAGTCTTTCTTTTCCTTCCTTCCTTCCTTTCTTCCTTCCCTCCCTCCCTCCCTCCTTACTTCCCTCCCTCCTTCCCTTCCTTCCTTTTTTCCTTCCTTCCTTTCTTCCCTCCCTCTCTTTTTTCTTTCTCTTTTTCTTTCTTTCTTTTGTTCTTTCTTTTTTCTTTCTCTCTTTTCTTCCTTCCTTTCCCTCCCTCCCTCCCTCCTTTCCCTTCCTTCTTCCTTCCTTCCTTCCTTCCTTCCTTCCTTCCTTCCTTCCTTCCTCCCTCCCTCCCTCCCTCCCTTCCTTCCTTCTTTCATCCCTCTCACTCTGTTCAGGCTGGAATGCAGTGGCATGATCATAGTTCACTGTAGCCTCTACCTCCCAGGCTCAAGTGATCCTCCCACCTTAGACTCCTGGGTAGCTGGGACCACAGATGCATGCTACCATGTCAGGCCACACTAATTGTTAAAAAACATTCTTTTGTAGAGATAGGGTCTCGCCATGTTGCCCAGGCTGGTCTCCAACTCCTGGGCTCAAGCAATCCTCCTGCCTCAGCCTCCCAAAGTGCTGGGATTACAGGTGTGAGCTACTGCACCTAATTAAAGTGAGAAATTGCCACATAAGAAATTATAATAAGGCCGGGCACGGCGGCTCATGTCTATAATCCCAGAACTTTGGGAGGCCGTGGTGGGCAGATCACCCAAGGTCAGGAGTTCAAGACCAGCCTGGCCAACATGGTGACACCCCATCTCCACTGGAAAAAAAAGTACAAAAATTAGCTGGGCATAATGGTGGGTACCTGTAATTCCAGCTACTAGGGAGGCTGAGGCAGGAGAATCGCTTGAACCCAGGAGGCAGAGGTTGCAGCGAGCCAAGACCGTGCCACTGGAGTCCAGCCTGGGCGACAGAGCGAGACTCCATCTCAAAAAAAAAATATATATATAATAATCAATTAGTTGCAAATCAATAATTCATTCTATTCTGTTTTAATGAATGCTATTTCCCTTAAAACCTGCAAATTATAGCCATGTACTAATTTTTACCAAGAGTGGTGGTATTTTGTTAACATCAGTGCTTCAATAGGGTCCACCAGATAAAATATTAATAATTTTTTTTTAAGAGATAGAGTCTCGCTCTGTCACCCAGGCTGGAGGGCAGTGGCACGATCTCGGCTCACTGCAACCTCTGCCTCCCAGGTTCAAGCAATTCTCCTGCCTCAGCCTCCTGAGTAGCTGAGACTACAGGTGCACGCTGCCACACCCAGCTAATTTCTTTTGTATTTCAGTGGAGACAGTGTTTCATCGTGTTGCCCAGGCTGGTCTTGAACTCCTGACCTCAGGCAATCCACCTGCCTTGGCCTCCCAAAGTGCTACAGGCGTAAGCCGCCACACCCGGACAATAATTTTTTAGTATACATATATATCCCAAATACTGCATAGGATGGATGTATGTTAAAAAATATTCATTATTTACATAAAATCTAAATTAAACTAGATGGCTCATATTTTTTTTTACAATCCTAGTTTCAAAGTTAGTATCATTGTTCTCATCTTAAAGTGTTGTCACAATCAAATAAAGGTTGCTTAATACATAAACCTGTCACTGTCTTTATACACAATGTCTTTAGTCTAAGCTATTTTACCATCCTCTTTATGCAGGAAAATAAACAAACCAAAGAGGAAAATGACTTCCCCAGTGACGGCCCTGGTGCGACCCTCTCCACAGGGTCTCTCCTTTGTAGTTCTGGAAGGTCGGCTGCTCCCCGCGACAGCGTGCACCATGCCCAGAGTCCTACTCTCTGTGCTGAATGAACCATAGTTCACACGACAGACTCTCTTCAGGGTGCTCTTCCAGAAGTTTTCTGGAAGAGCAGCAGTCCTGTCCATATGGAAATACTAGAAATTTTAAGAATGCAACAGTAAAGAGATTCTCTTCCCTGAAGGCCTTTCTTTCCTTAGGTTAACCTCATGCTGAGGAAAAGCATCCACAGCTGCAGCCCTTTGGCTCTTGGCCTTTGCTTTCACAAGCATGAAAATGTGTGCTTTCAATATTTTGCTAAATTCCCCAAATCCTTTAAACAAGGAGCAACAGTGAGGGCAGAGTAGTAAACTACATCAGACTTGGGTATCCTCCATGCCAGCTCCTTCTCATTAAATGCTCTAGGGGAAGAAGCCCTTGTCCTTGACCCCTTTCTCCAAACTGCCGCACCGAAGGGATTTTGGACATGTGCCCACATACGTGTAACACTCTAGATAAACAAGTTTAGGGAGACTGTAGGTCCCAGCATGCTGCCTTTTGAGTCGGACAGAGCAGCGTTTAGAACCAACTGTCCTTGGGTCAATCACTCTATCCTATTGAGCCTTAGTTTTCTCATCTATAAAATGGGGCCATGAATACAATGAATCCCATAGAGTTACATGAAATATTGTTGTAGTTATCTCCAGGAACATAGTAACTGCTAAGTAAGTCTACTACTTTAAATATAAAAAATAAAATACATACTTAATGATAATAATACACAAGGGCCTGGGGTAGTGGCTCATGCCTGTAATCCCAGCACTTTGGGAGGTCGAGGCAGGTGGATCACTTGAGGTCAGGAGTTTGAGACCAGCCTGGCCAACATGGCGAAACCCCATCTCTACTAAAAATACAAAAATTAGCTGGGCATGGTGGCATGCTCCTGTAATCCCAGCTACTCGGGATGCTGAGGCAGGAGAATTGCTTGAACCTGGGAGACGGAGGTTGCAGTGAGCCGAGATAGCGCCACTGCACTCCAACCTGGGTAACAGAGTGAGACTCTGTCTCAAAACAACAACAACAAAAACAAAAACAACAAAAAACAAAACCCACAAATATCCCATAGAAATTTGCTTTTTAACAAGTATTCCCTCCTTTAAAGTAACAATGATTTCCAACAAGTTTTGATGGTAACTAACAAAAGGCGTAATGAAAGTCAATACATATAAGAAGTGGTATTAGAATAATACGAAACTTTGTTTCATTGTTTGGAAAAATTGGACTAGGGCAAAGGATAGAATACAGACTGTCAGAATATTGAAAATTAACAATTTCACTAAGGGGCAAGGTGTGGGCAATACAGCAGTTGTCCCCACCCACCAGGTGAAGTGCTGGCTGCTGTCAACACACAGCCCTTCTTTGTGCTGGGGTGTGAAGGAGAGAGGCATGGCAGGAACAATTCTGCACCGTTCTTCAGCCCAACTGCACGTCCTCAGACAGGGGACAGTGCTTTTCTGCTGGAGCTGTGCTGCCATACGCCGCCATCAGCTTAAACTGAATGTATCACAGGCTGCCGAGATAACTCTCTGCCCTGTGGGATTGTCACCCGGTTGATCAGTAATCAAAAGAGAGCTGGCAGGGTTGTTATTAGTAATATCACTTGTTTCTGTTTTTCTCCATTACTCCCCCTCTCCAAGGGAGAAGAAGCTGAGTTAAGAACAGAAACCAGAATCTGGGTTCTGCTCACCCAAAGAATAATGCATCCATTCTGTTCAGAAAATGCCTTGATTGTTGATTTGTTTACTTCAGCTCCTTCTCTGAAGGAGAGTATCAGAATTTTGGGGACAAAGCAAAAACTGGAAGAGAGAGAGATAAAGTATGCACGTGTGTGTGCAAACAGAGAACTCCTTTCTCTAAGTGCTGAAAATGCCTCTGTAATGAGCCTGCCCACCCAACTGCAGCATCAAGACTAGGGTTATTTTTCCCCCAAAGCTACATTTAAACTACCTAAAAGTGGGTAGCTAGGAATGCCGGTACTCGTTTACTTCATTATCAGGACCTCAGTTTACTCATCTATAAAATGAGGACATTGTATTAGACTGGTGTGTGTACGGGTGTGTATGTGTGTGTGTGTGAGAGAGAGAGAGAACGAGAAAGAAAATAATAATAGGTCTTATTAGTACAAAAGACTTACTAGGCATCCATTAATTTTTCTTTGCCTATTTCAAAAGTGGGAACCAGATTCAATTCTATGCATTTTCACAAAATGGCTGTGCCAGTGTTTTTTAATTCCCATTCTTTGGAAAAGGCAGATGTCAATATAGAGCACAGGGAGTGGTGGAGACTAGAATACCTTACTGAGCTGTGGAACCCCTTTAGAAAGAAACTCAGCACTTTTTCCAAGTTCTTTTTTCCATCCAATAAGATATAAGGGCAACTCAAAATTTTAAGAAATTTTTGCTCCCCTCTCGTTCCTCCTTATGATTAAGACCTTGGGATCTGATCACACAGGCTGAGGGTCACAACTCCACACTGCCGTTTATCAGGTGTTGTTTAAAACGTGGGGCATTAGCAATTCCAGGCCTCATGCAGGCTTTTCTGTGTAGGAAAAATAATAAATAGAACAGTAGCAACTATGTATCACGTACTTAGTTATGTTCCAGGCAGGGTGCTAAGCAAGTGTTTCACCAGTTGCTGCTTAATCTTCCTACCTCCTGGTGAGAAAGGGCCTATTACTATCATTCCTATTTGGACTTCATTCTGGTGAGGAAGGATCTATACCATCCATCCCTACTGAGAGGTTCAGTCATTTGTCCAGAGTCTCAGAGCTCGTAAGGAAAGGGTCCAGGATTTGTACCACTCTGACCCTGAGGTCTGTGTTCTCAACCGTTCCTGGATTCTGCCCCTGGTCTCCATTTCAACCGCTGATCCTGCGACAGTTTCTTGGCTGTGTAGCCTCATTTGAATTCTTGTCTGCCTTCTCTTGTGGCCAGTAACACATCTGCAAAGCCACTTGTGGCCATGGACCCGAATTTTTTTGTGCAAAATCCAAGCACGCCTCTTTAGAAATGTGCAAATGACCAGTGCCACTTGGGCATCTTTGGGTGGCGGGGCCAGCCCAGGTGTGGCTGACATAGTCATATGGTGCTTTTCAGAGAATAGATTCCCTTTGCCTCCCCAGATCCATGCCAAGGTCTCAATTGCAATTCACAGGCTTTTTCATGAAACAATTCAGCCATCCAAATTAGGCCAATGACTATTTCTCAGATTTCTCTTGCTCCCTTGAGAAATGTTAATGCTCAAAGAGTGTATTTGAATAAGAAATATTTCCCAAGTTCCAGTGAGAGACTAGAACCTTTGCTTTTCCTCCTCCCGGGACGGCTGGCATAGTTGTTCTAAGGTAAGGACTATAACAGCATCCTAGACAGAATCTGGAACACTGTTGTCCCTTGGGGAAAGCTCTAGCTAATGGCTTCTCCTAGGATTCCAACTCACAGCACCTCTTGAGCAGGCTTAAAGGGTGCTGGCATGTGGGTTGTAGAAAATTTAGATCCTGGCATCAGTGGCGTAAACAAGATTTCTCCAATTCCCCTCCCCCTCCCCCTCCAGACTAGCTGAGTCTCTGGCTCCGACTCTGCCCACGCTGCCTGGGAAAGTACAGCTGTCAAGAAGGCAGGTGGAAAGCCTCCACACACAGTGCTGCCCAGTGTCCAGGGCCAAGCAAGTGGCGCCAATCCAGTGCCATCTCCGAAACCTGTGGGATGCAATCACTCCACTTCCATTCAGAAGGGAAGAATAAGCAAACAGTTCAAGGACACTTCCTCACCCCAGGCATGTATCTGACAGAACTGCAAACCAATCGGAGATGTCTCACTGGCTGCTGATTCCTGGCTGCATGCAAGGAGCCAAGCCTGAGGAGAAAAAGGGCAACATCTTTGCTCAGTGCTAGTCTGGAGTGCTCTGGTCCTGAGAACATCTAGAGGGGCATTCCCAGCAGCACTGAGCACCTACAGGGTTTGGATCGTTTAGGGTGTGCAGGTTGCTCTGTGGCCACTATATCCAGGTGAAATGAGCCCTTTGAGATTATTACAGATCATGGTAGATCTTATACACCTTTCTGGGCTGCTGTTGATTCACATAGACCTTTTTTTTTTTTGAGATGGAGTATCACTCTGTTGCCCAGGCTGGAGTACAGTGGGTGGTGCGATCTCGACTCATTGCAACCTCCAACTCCCAGGTTCAAGTGATTCTCCTGCCTCAGCCTCCTGAGTAGCTGGGATTACAGGCACATGCCACCATGCCCGGCTAATTTTTTGTATTTTTAGTAGAGACAGGATTTTGTCATGTTGGCCAGGCTGGTCTCAAACTCCTGACCTCAGGTGATCTGCCCACCTCGGCCTCCCAAAGTACTGGGATTATAGGCATGAGCCACTGTTCCCGGCCCTGATTCACATAGACCTTTTAAAGCCTGGCATTGAACCTACGATCAATGGAATTCACATGCCTCTTCCCTTGCTCTGCCCTGATGCTAGTTTGCTGGAGAGGGGAACTGAGTTGCCAGGGTACAGCTCTGGCTTTAGCCACATGTGGAGCATCTGAGTCCCCATGAAAGTCGGTGTTTAAGTAACATGCCCTTTACACCCCTCTTCCTAGGGCAGAGCCTTCTCAAGGCTATTTTTTGAGGTGTAGAGCCCCACAGGCCAGTGCATTTCTATAAGCACGTAGAAGAGACTGAAGGCAGAATGTTGCTAATATCTGTAATAATAGCCATATCCCAAAAACAATCCCATTTCTGTGGAAGGCTCCATTAGCCCATATCCCAGGATAAAGCAGGTAGGGCCTGGGATTGTCGGGAGCCCCTAGGCAAATGTGTCACCTTCTGCCCATGTGGATGGCAGGCAAGCTCAGAGCTCAGGGCAGATGGTGGTTTAAATGCTTAAAAAAAATGAATTGGATAACCATCCAAATGGGATGGTTTAGTTATATAGCTCCCTGAGGCAGGAAATAACACTAAACTATTTCTCCCAGCTGCATGATTCTATGAAAAGATCATCACAGAAGACAACTCTGTCTACTTTCTAATCTCAAGTAACCCTGAAAAACACTTCATTAAGTACATTTGACAAAGTTAGTTCCTTCCTGTTCCATATTCAGGCGTTTTTTTCCTGAATTCCTTTGCCTGATTTTGCTACCAGTGTTAAAGATGCTAGCCACTCTTTCTCAGGAGGATCTTAAAATAACCAAATTCTTTTAAGTACTAGTATCTATTTTTCTTGGCTCTAAGCTCTTCCATCTTCTTTTCCAAGTCTGGATTTCTGGGTTCTTTTTCTTTAACCTTATCCCCAGTACCCGCTGGGAAATCAGCAACAACAAGAATAACAATGACAATAAATACCTTATACCCCAAGTTATGGCTTTCTTATTCTTATTTTTTATTTTTGGTTTTCATTTGACTTAAAACAGCATTTCTTTTTTTAAAAAAAAAGTCCCCGAGTCATAAATACACTGTTTGTTGTTGTTGTTGTTTGTTTGTTTTTTGATACTTTGTCACCCAGGCTAGAGTGCAGCGGTGTGATCACAACTCAATGCAGCATTGACCTCCTAGGCTCAAGCGATCCACCCACCTCAGACTCCCAAGGAGCTGGGACTATAGGCGCCATGTCACCAGGTCCAACTAATCTTTTTTGTATTTTTTTAGAGACAGAGTTTCGTCACATTGGCCAGGCTGGTCTTGAACTCCTGACCTCAAGTGATCTGCCCACCTTGGCATCTCAAAGTCCTGGGATTACAGGCATGAGCCACTGTGACTAGCCATCCTGCACTTTTTAAAAGCTATTCTTTTAAAAATTTTAAATTGACACATAATAATTGAACATATTTATGGGATGCATGTGATATTTCAATACCTGCAAACCATGTGTAATGATCAAATCAGGGCAATTAGCGTATCTGTCACCTCAAATCTTTATCATTTCAAAGTTATTCTTGATATTCCTTTTTAATGGATTTCATCTGAAGCAAGAATGAGCAAATAATCAACTGCCTGATTTTGCCACTTGTGGCCATGGCTGATTTTTGCCATGTCCTAATTGGCTGAGGCAGGAGGATCGCTTGAGCAGGGGCAGTTGAGGCTGCAGTGAGCCATGATTTGCACCACTGCACTCCAGCCTGGGCAACAGAGCAATATTTTCTCATACAGAAAAAAAAAAAAACAAGATAAAGTGGAAGAATGCAGGCATTAAGAAAAGATGCCTTTTATCTCTTTCATAAAACATAATGAAATTTTAAAGAACCTTTTCTTTTTTTCTCTTTCTTTTTTTTTTTTTAACTTTTTTTTAGTATTTATTGATCATTCTTGGGTGTTTCTCGGAGAGGGGGATTTGGCAGGGTCATAGGACAATAGTGGAGGGAAGGTCAGCAGATAAACATGAACAAAGGTCTCTGGTTTTCCCAGGCAGAGGGCCCTGCCGCCTTCCGCCTTCCGCAGTGTTTGTGTCCCTGGGTACTTGAGATTAGGGAGTGGTGATGACTCTTAACGAGTATGCTGCCTTCAAGCATCTGTTTAACAAAGCACATCTTGCACCGCCCTTAATTTCCTTCTTTTTTGAGACGGAATCTCACTCTGTCACCCAGGCTGGAGTGCAGTGGCACGATCTTGGCTCACTGCAAGCTTCGCCTCCCGGGTTCACACCATTCTCCTGCCTCAGCCTCCCGAGTAGCTGGGACTACAGCCGCCTGCCACCACGCCCGGCTAATTTTTTGTATTTTTAATAGAGACGGGGTTTCACTCTGTTAGCCAGGATGGTCTCGATCTCCTGACCTCGTGATCTGCCCGCCTCGGCCTCCCAAAGTGCTGGGATTACAGGCATGAGCCACCGCGCCCGGCCAAGAACGTTTTCATTAATTCCTAGTTCTCAACTGGGAGAGAGAAGAGAAATTTTCCTCATATATTTGGGAATCAAAGACGTAAAGGCTAAAGGGTGTTGGTTGTAATCACCGAGAAAAACTAAATATTTCATTAACACTGAGATTTCCCTCACAGAAAGCTGGGTACGGTGGCTCTCGCCTGTAATCCCAGCACTTTGGGAGGCCGAGGTGGGCGGATCAACTGAGGTCAGGAGTTTGAGACCAGTCTGGCCAACATAGTGAAACCCCTTCTCTACTAGAAATACAAAAATTAACCGGACATGGTGGTGCATACCTGTAATACCAGCTACTCAAGAGGCTGAGGCAGGAGTATTGCTTGAACCTGGGAGGCAGAGGTTGTAGTGAGCTGAGACTGTGCCACTGCACTCCAGCCTGGGCTACAGAGTGAGACTCTGTCTCAAAAAAAAAAAAAAAAAAAAAAAACACAACCAAAAAAAACCATTTTCCTCACAGAACTCATGGCTGTCATTTGTGTTCACAATGGCTATACAACATGAGTATGCTGTCAGGATATAAATGCAATCACTCTCTGGTTATTTATCAAAGGGGACTGCATCCCCTGCCCCTATTCCTCAACACACAAAACTCATTGCACTTCTTTTTAGATTCCTGTATTTCAGATGTTCTCCAAGTCTGACAGCCTTATCAGTAACAATTGTCTATGTCTCTAAGGCTAATCAGGCTTAAAAAGAAACCTTTGCCAAAAAGCCAGCTCTAACTTACTTTACCATGGCAAAGGCATTGGTTACCGTGAAGAAAAATCCAGACAAATCCACCAGAGATGCGTAAGGGGCAGACCTTCCTCTGACCACTTCACTGCCTTTTACCCTGAAGTCAACAGGAAAAGAAAATAGTGACAAAATGAGGTTAGAGGCTGTAGGCTGGAGATCGTGAGGCATGTGAAGTTAGATAGGCTCACGCCTTTCCACAGGAAGGGACCAGTGGGGTGTTGGCACCAAGTGTACCATTCGCCCTGCCCTGAGTCAACACCGGCCATCCCTCCCTTCTCTTTTCTTGCCTTCCATCAACTCAAAGTATAAAATGCTTCTCAGTTATGGATTGTGAGGTGACCTGGGCTGGGAATGAAAACAAACAATCCCTTGAAACTGATGTTGTGTTTTAGTGCTTTGTTTTGTTTCGTTTTACACAGTAAAAAAGAAAAAGGGGTTCCAGCTACTCGGGAGGCTGAGGCAGGAGACTTGCTTGAACCTGTGGAGAGCCAAGATCATGCCGCTGCACTCCAGCCTGGGCAACAAGAGTGAAACTCCGTCACAAAAAAAAAAGAAAGAAAAAAAGAAAAAGGGCACAGGCATGCCCTAAATTGTGCACCGTGTGGGATTCAGCTGTCTCCACTTTACTGCCTCTCTAGTAACCTAAAGGGTAGGAGGTGAAATCTCTCTGGCCAGTCTTGTCTGGTAACCAGGCTTTGATGTCAATAATTTGAGCAACATGTGGTGTTCACATTTAGAAACACAGACACCGGGGCTAGCTGCTGAGAACCAGGTTGGAAGTGTCAATCTAATTACTACCAGGACATTTTTCTGATCTTAGAGTGGCCTCAGCCTGGAAAGTGTGTGTGTGTGTGTGTGTGTGTACATACACGTGTGTATTCCGTGTGTGTCTGTGATGGCTCTAGTGCTGGCGTGGGATTTGCTGAGGTGTAGGAAATGATAGAAGTCACATATTCTTGAAGTCAGGAATAGCAAGCAAGGACCACACATGAGGTAGATAAGAAGTAAAGTAGTAGCAGGATTGTTTCTGTTGAGAGATGGCTTCCTGGTTCATGTACGGATGCATAGGTAGTTCAACCCCTTCCTCTGGTTTATTTCTATATTTTTAATTATACTGAATTTTAGATAATTGATTTTTACAGACATCTGGGGGCTGTTTCTTTTCAAATTCTACATCTTTGGAGACAGCCTGTGTTTCTGCCACTGTCACAGGGTTGGGCTGATTCCCGTGATGCCTCTACTGTAGGAGACGGTAATGAGGGCTCATCGCACAGGCGAATCCCAGGGCCGCTCTGTCATTTACTCTGATTTCTCTAAGTGATTGAAAAGCACACTTGACATACACTCCCTCTTCAGAGATCAAGTTATCATTAAATCCAGGGAAACTCTCTGACAGCTGGGGCCCGCGGGTTTTCAGCTTGGTGCTTGTTCTTGCAAAAGCCGACAGCCATAGCTTATGTCCCACTGCCACAAGCACGGCCAGTTAGGGCGATGATGAAACGTCTTTTCTGTCTGCAGTTTATTTTGTTTGGTGAGAACGAAAGCCCACCAAAAAAGTGGACTTGCTTTGAATACAGATGTGAGCATTTCTTACAAAACTCAAGCCCTACTTTTTCCAGAGAGGACTAAAGGTTAGTTCCATACTGTACCAACAAACAAGAAACCATCACTAAGCAGCTAAGAAGAGGGAAACACAAATGGCTTGGGAGACGGGAGATGTCTGGGAGGATGCCAGTGTGCACTCAGATTTAACAGCTTCATCAAAGGGAATGTGTTAAATGCTCATTAACTAAATTTACAAATGATCCCCAACTGGGAGGTGTTGCAAACAACAGAGGAATACCACCCCCCACCCCCCCACACACACGCACGCACTGATTACAGGCATGTACACACACATACACAGAACAGAAAGTGAAGTGTGAAGTAACAATCTGCTCAAAAAACAGACCCATAATAAAATAATCTTAAATACAGACATTCAAAGACAGCATTAGAATAGATTTAATACAGAATTGAGGCAACAGCTCCAGAGCAGCAAGTTGCCATCTCTGATGGATGTTACCGGGGAGACAGACTGTGGCCATGGTGGCAGGGGGTGTGACCATCCTCAAAGGATCCTGGAAAAGATGTGACACACACCTTGAAGGAGAGAGAGCAGGGGCCACTGGACACCAAGACTGAAGACATTAAATGTTAACATGCCGATAGATTCTAAATATTTGTTACTAAAATCCTTAATTTTCCAAGGCGTAGGGACTATTGGCCCAGAGGACGCTGAATACTGATAGTAGAGGAAAGAGCACATTGGCTCACATCAGCACCCCATAATTGCCCTACTGATCCTCAAGAAGCCATCATTAGGAGCTGACTTCTTGGGGTATTGTCCTGGGTATTGCCCAAGCATCTGGAGGAAGGAGAGCATTCTGGAGCTGAAGTCTCCTCCTGATGCCATCAGAGACCTGGGGCAAGAACGGCACCTCCACTCACATCTCATCCCTCAAATCTGACCCTCTGGACTCCACCCATAGGCTCCTGGAGCAGCACACTGTGGTCTGAGGAAGCGCATGGAGAGGGTGCAGGGTGGTATGGAAGCCTGGGTGATGGGACCCCCAGGCTGTGGTTCTGCCTCTGCTGCTAAACATTCATGTGAGTGCATGGTTGAGTCTCTGGACCGCTCTGGGTTGCAGTTCCCTAAGTAGCTTAGAGATTTGTTATGGGCTGATTTGTGTCCCATCCCCCCAAATTTATATGCTGTAACCCTACTCCCCAGGACCTCAGAATATGACCGTAATTGGAGACAGAGTTTTAAAAGAGGTAATTAAGTTAAAATGAGTCACTAGGGTGGGCTCTAATCCGTATGACTGGTGTCCTTCTAGAAGAGGAGGGGGTTAGGACATAGACACACACAGAGATGGCTATGAGAAGACACTGGAAGAAGACAGCGAGCCTCAAGCCAAGGAGAGAGGCCTCCGGAGACACCAATCCTGTGGACACCTTCATCTCTGACACTTGGATCTCCAACTTCAAGCCTCTGGGACAGTGAGAAAACTAATTTCTGTTGTTTAAGCTCCCCACTCCACCACCCCAGTTTGTGATTCTCTGTTATGGCAGCCCTAGGCAAACTAATACAGAATTCTTTTTTTTTTTTTTGAGATGGAGTCAAGCTCTGTCACCCAGGCCGGAGTGCGGTGGCACCATCTCGGCTCACAGCAACCTCCGCCTCCCAGGTTCAAGTGATTCTCCTGCCTCTGCCTCCCGAGTAGCTGGGACTACAAGCATACGCCACCACGCCCAGCTAATGGAATTATTTTAAAAATTATTTTATTTTTTTTTTTAGAGACAAAGTCTTTTATGTTGCCCAGGCTGGAGTGCAGTGGCATGATCTAATACAGGACTCTTAATGGAGGGTCCATGAATCAGCTTCAGGGAGATCTCAAATCCCTTGATGTTTGTAAAGATTTTATGTGGATGTGCATGTGGGCACTTTTTAGAGAAAGGTACATTCTTTAGAGGAGAATCATAATTTTAGAGATGCTTCTAAAAAAGAAAGTTAACATCCATTGACTATCACTAGATTATTGCTAAAGTTCCTTATAGAACTAAACTTCAATCTTTAATGCTTATAATTCCTTTAATTTCCAACCCATGCAAGCAACCAGAGACTTCAGTAATACAGAAAGAATCTGAGGCACCTGCTGATTGTAGATCACCAAATCTATAATTCAGACATCTTACTACCTTAATTATGTGTTTGCATTGAAAACTGTTGGCGCTTCCTTTCTCATTTGGTTAGAACATAGTGAAATAAGTCCAGGGTTGCAGGACTGATATATGCTCAGAACATTTCACTTTTCACTTGAAAAGTAAAGAAAGGGGAGAAACATCTTCTACTGGAATTACCTGTAGGAAACCCTTCTTAAAGATCTGATCAATGTCTGTTTTAGAACCTAAGGAAAATTATGGAAAAGAGAGAGAGGAAAAAAAAACCAAAACAGCCTGTCACTGCTTTGGGAAAAATAGCAAGGGCAGCATCAATACTGGACAAAACCTGTAAAGTGTTCTCTAGCTACTATCCCAGAAAGTGGTGTTCCCTGGGCCCCCAATAGCCAGAGGCTACTCTGTAAAGTAATGTTCTATCCTTGGAGGATGCTAGATGCTTATCTCGATTAACACACGCCACAACCATAGCAAGGAGATAGGAACTCTTTTCCAGGGAAACAAACAGGACTTTGGAAATGGCAAGGCAACTTTTCTAAGGCCAGAGATGGCAAGTATTGGAGGTTGGACTCCAGGGCAGGCAGCCCTACCTCAAACCAGTCTTTCTGTGGGGCTCAACATTTCCCTCCCTCCCTTTTTCTTGTTCTCTCTTATTCTCTAACAGGAAGACCATATATCCTTGAAGTTCTGCTCCTTTAAATAATCCAAAGAACACAAATGCAGAATAATGGCTACCTTTGGAGTTGAGAGAGGGGGCGTGGATATGGGAGAGGTCCGGAGTGGCATTAGCTGTGGAGGTAAGATGTTATCTTAAGCCAAATAATGGGTAATGGGCATGCACTTGTTGGTTTGTTTGTTTTGTTTGAAAAAGTATTAAATATTAAACAAAATTTTCAAAATCTGTCTTTAAAAAGATTTATTTGGCCTTAAAAACGTTCATACCCTTTGGCCAAGAAGTGCCATTTCTATTGGGACTCTATCGGGAGAAAATTATCTGAAATGAGGATAAAGATTTATATGCCAAAAGTTCATTATAGCATTTGTTTAAATTTGAAAATCTTGAAATAACATTAAAAGTCCAACAAAGAAGAATGATTGGGCAAATTAAGCTACTTCTATGAGTTGGAATATTATACAGACTTCAAAACAAGATGCTCTCAAAGAGTTTGTAATGGTTCGAGGAAATTCATTTGATAATATTTTAAGTGGAAAATTAGGATATGAAATTATGTATAAAATAAGATTTCAAAGCTCTGGAAAATACTTTGAAACAAGACTAACAGGAAACAAAGCAATGGGTACCTCTAGGTTAGGTTATGCAATTATGGTTATTTTGTTTTTGTTTATAAATTTTAATTTTCATACAGTAGAAAATGTATTACTTTATTTTTTTTTGGGATGGAGTCTTACTCTGTCACCCAGGCTGGAGTGCAATGGCATGATCTCAGCTCACTGCAACCTCTGCCTCCTGGGTTCAAGCGATTCTCATGCCTCAGCCTCCTGAGTAGCTGGGACTATAGGCGTGTGCCACCACGCCTGGCTAGTTTTTGTATTTTTAGTAGAGACGGGGTTTCACTATGTTGGCTAGGCTGGTCTCGAACTCCTGACTTCAGGTGATCTGCCCGCCTCGGCCTCCCAAATTGCTGGGATTACAGGCGTGCGCCAACATGCTTGGCCATGTATTATTTTCATATAATAAAAAAATTGTAAAATTTAGCCTGCCTATTAGTTCTTGTCATCAAAAATCTTCGGGTAGGTTCCTATAGTGGTCATTGGAATGATTATATCCTTGGCCTGAAGTGGATAATGTGCTATTCCTGCTAATGGACTATAGCTAACACTCAGGGTGAAGGGAAGGCATTTTGGAATTTCTGGTTCTTCCTGGTTATTCATTAAAAAAAAAAATTACATAGATATGATATTTCCCCCTAAACAATTCAGTGTGTTCCTGTATTGCTCCATCTATTGTAAGACCAGATGTAGATGAGGAAAGCTCTTCACTGGCTTAGTATCAGAGCCAGGTAGTCAGATACACACAAGTGGGGAGTACTCATTTTTTTTGAGACAGAGTCTCGATCTTCACCCAGGCTGGGGTGTAGTGGTGCGATCTTGGCTCCCTGCAACCTCCGTCTCTCGGGTTCAAATGATTCTCCTGCCTCAGCCTCCCAAATAGCTGGGATTACAGGTGCATGCCACCACACCCAGCTAATTTTTTGCATTTTTAGTAGAGACAGGGGTTTCACCTTGTTAGCCAGGATGGTCTCGATCTCCTGACGTCAGTTGACCCATCCTCCTCTGCCTCCCAAAGTGCTGGGATTACAGGCGTGACCCACCGCGCCCAGCCGGAATACTCTTGTTCTTTCTATGACCATGTGCTGTGATGCTGTGTGGTTTCTGTCACGTACACACACACAGGCACACTCATGCACACACCCCCTACCTCCCTGCCTACATTCCACCCAGCCTGACTGCTCTGGAAGGAAGGTATGTAGCAGGAGTCTGGGGGCCTCTGGGGCAGCTGTCTCAAGACCCAAGCGGCTGCAGAACAGTGGTCGCAGCTGTGGGGGAGGTGGGGGAGAGGAGGAGGAAGGAGCTGACTTGCAGTCATTTCTTTCTGCTCTTTGTCCCTGTCCTCTTCATTTGGCGCACTCAGCTAGACGGGAGGACAGTATGTCACTAGTTTGACCAGCTGCCGATGTCTCCCAAGAAGGAAGAAGTAAATCTTCTAATATTACTTCACTGCAAGCACATTCTAAGCTTTCTGGCAGGGAGTCCCCAGATGAAATTGGGAAGCAGTTGGCTTGGGATCACTTCAGGTCTCCTCCTTGGGATACATGGATGTATTCCTGACTCCAGGCGTTCTCTGGATACATCTTTAGGTGTGTCTTCTCTGGCAGACAAATGAGCTATGCTTAGAACCAGTGGCTGCAGCTCAGTTCTGATGACACGGAGAAATGAGTTTGGGGAGGGGGACTAGGGTTGGACTGTGGATTGGTGAAAGGATACCGCATCTGAAATAAAAGAACCTAACACTGTATTCTGCCTCTAGCCCCCAATTCTCCTTCTCTCCTCCTAATATAGTGGTTGTGTTAGTTCGGTTCCTCTGACAGTTTGATTCCCCAAGACAGAATTAGAAATGCGTAAGATCTCCTGAGGCTGGGCGTGGTGGCTCACGTCTGTAACCCCAGGACTTTGGGAGGCTGAGGCGGGGGGATCACAAGGTCAGGAGTTCAAGACCAGCCTGGCCAACACAGTGAAACCCCGTCTCTATTGAAAATACAAAAATTAGCTGGGCGTGGTGGCAGGCGCCTGTAATCCCAGCTACTTGGGAGGCTGAGGCAGGAGAATCGCTTGAACCCGGGAGGCAGAGGTTGCAGTGAGCCAAGATCATGCCACTGCACTCCAGCCTGGGCGACAGAGCGAGACTCCATCTCAAAAAAGAAAAAAAAAATCTCCTGGGCAGGATGCCTGTGAAGGATGGAGCCTGAGAAGGAGAGCAGCAAGGGAGGAGGTTGAATGGGAAGAGCTTTAGACTTCAGTGTAGTCCTGAGAATTTCACTGCCAGGCCCATGGGGAGACCCAGAGTAAAGAGTGCCCATTGGAGAAGTCCTGCAGTGTGCAGGAATGGCCATGCCAGTTTCCTGCCCGGCTCAGCCACTGGCTGACTGTAGCCCCGGGCGGAGACCTTTCTGTGAAGATAGCTGTGGACCCTGAAGTGGGGATACTTCCCTCAAGATTGTCCTTCAAAAGGAGGTCTTCGTGGTCTACCTCCATGGCCATGACAGTTATGTTCTAATTTATGGTTTCATTTATACCAGTGCTGACATGATTGTGTACTATAGTCACATTTCTTTTCTCATTATTTTTTCTTTCTTGGAGTTTTCTTTCTTTTCTTTTTCCTTTTTTTTTTTTGAGACGGAGTCTCGCTCTGTCGCCCAGGCTGGAGTGCAGTGGTGCAATCTTGGCTCACTGCAACCTCCACCTCCCGGTTCAAGCAATTCTCCTGCCTCTGCCTCCTGAGTAGCTGGGACCATAGGCACGTGCCACCACGCCCGACTAATTTTTTTGTATTTTTAGTAGAGACGGTGTTTCACCGTGTTAGCCAGGATGGTCTCGATCTCCTGACCTCATGATCCACCCACCTCAGCCTCCCAAAGTGCTGGGATTACAGGCGTGAGCCACCGCGCCCGGCCTGGAATTTTCTTTTTAAAATTCGGTCACTTCTCTATGTCCCTGTCCATTATTCTGCTCCGAGCTCTGACAGAACCATGACACACCTCACAGGAGGCTGAAGTCATCAGGCTCATGAGTCGGTCCCATTTCTTCCTTGAGACATGCCTCCTGGAGCCCTCCCTGTCTGACTTGGTTGTGCTTTGCACATTCCCTTGTTTTAGTGGAGCATATCCTCCAGGAGCTTGCAGATAAGGGGTGTAGGTGATATAAATGCTTTGACTCCTTCTATGTTTCTAGTCCATCTGACCCTTAATTGAGGGTTCTAGGTCGGAAATCGTTTGCCCTCAGAATCTCCAGGCTGTTGTTTCCTGGATGCTGGTGTTCCTGTTGAAAAGTCAATGCCAGCCAGGCGCGGTGGCTCACGCCTGTAATCCCAGCACTTTGGGAGGACATGGCAGGAGGATCACTTGAGGTCAGGAGATCCAGACCAGCCTGGCCAACACGGTGAAACCCTGTCTCTACTAAAAATGCAAAAAAAAAAAAAAAAAAAAAAAGCTAGGCATGGTGGTGCATGCCTGTGATTCCAGCTACTTGGGAGGCTGAGGCAGGAGAATTGCTTGAACCCGGGAGGTGGAGGTTCAGTGAGCCAAGATCATGACACTGCATTCCAGCCTGGGTGACAGAGCAAGACTCTGTCTCAAAACAAAACAACAAAACAAAACAAAACAAAACAACACTCTTCCATTTAACCCTACTCTTCTGAAATTTCACAATGACATGCCATATTCTCTATGCCGGCACTAGGTCTTTTTCTCTCTTTCTCTCTCTCTGTCTCTTTTGTTGTTGTTGTTGTGAGACAAGGTCTTACGCTGTCACCTAGGCTGGAGTGCAGTGGTGCCATCATGGCTCACCATGGCCTTGACCACCCAGGCTCAAGCGAATCTCCTGCTGCAGCCTCCCGAGTAGCTGGGACTATAGGCATGTGCAACCACACTCAGCTAATTTTTTTTCTTTTTGTAGGGACGGGGTCTCTCTATTTCCCAGGCTGATCTCAAACTCTTGAGCTCAAGCGATCCTAGGGATGGGTACAGTGGCTCACCCCTGTGAGGGTCCTTAGATCCTCTTTTGATCTATTTGTTCATCAAGGTAATGAAGGGCTACCATGGATTGAACACCTAGTATGTGCCACATATTGTACTTTCTACTCAGTATGTCTCATTTCACCTTCACAGAATCCCTGCAAGGTGAGTGTTATTATATCCATTTGTGGACCAGGACTGCGGCTCAGAAGCTTTTCCCAGGACACTGAACTCTGACAGGTGAATAGCTGCCAAGTGGTGGAGGTTGGCCTGCAGTGAGCATCAGTCTGACTTCGAAGGTAACTGCTCTTTCCAGGGCAACCACCCAGAGGCAGGTTCTAGTGCTAGGTGATGGCAGGACTTGCATGTGAAGTGCTTCATGGGAGGGTGTAAGTTCCATGGGGCTGAGACCTTGGCTGTTCTGTTCACCACCATCAACCAAGCACAAGAACAATCCTTGCCGTGTTGAAAATACACAATCTTTTTTTTCTTTTGTTATGTCGGGGGGGAATGATGGGGGGGAATGATGTTAGGGGGAATGTTGGGGGGAATGTCGGAGGGGGGAGTGTTGCAGGGGGAGGATTTTTTTTTTTTTTTGAGACATGGTCTCACTGCCACCCAGGCTGGAGTGCAGTGGCATCATCTTGGCTCACTGCAGCCTCTGCCTCCCAGGTTCAAGCAATTCTCCTGTCTCAGCCTCCCAAGTAACTGGGACTACAGGCATGCACCACCACACCCAGCTAATTTTTGTCTTTTTAGTAGAGACGGGGTTTCATCATGTTGGCCAAGCTGGCCTCAAACTCAAGTGATCTGCCTACCTCAGCCTCCCAAAGTGCTAGGATTTCAGGTGTGAGCCACCACTCCTGACAATCAATATTTTTTAAAATGATGATGGATGGATAGATGAACATAATTTCATTGAATTCTCAGAGCAACTCAGTCATAACTCTAATTTACCCTTTTGCAAAAGGTTAGAAAGCAAATCTCAGCATTCTGGGATTTTTGTTTCCCAGCGAATTGCTCTTTCTAGGAAGTGTTTTTGTGTAATCTTAGAATTATCCATGATGATAACCCATGCTACCCCATGGCAACCAGAACCTAACGGGATAGCTGAGTTGGCTTGGCCAAGTGATTGAACATTTATTCAACAAAGTATTATTGAGTCAGTGTCCACTATGTGCTAGGCATTAGCCTGGGAGATTTACATTCATTAAATCTCATGTTATCCTCACAATAACCCTGCCAAGTAGCCAGGTGGCCTAAATACAGTTTCTTAAAGATTCATTTGCTTGGCTGGGTGCGGTGGTTCATGTCTGTAATCCTAGCACTTTTGGGGGCCGAGGTAGGCGGATTGCTTGAGCTCAGGAGTTCAAGACCAGCCTGGGCAACATGGTGAAACCCGTTTCTACTAAAATACAAAAAATTAGCCGGGCATAGCAGCATGCGCCTGTAGTCCCAGCTACTTGGGAGGCTGAGATAGGAAAATTGCTTGAACTCAGGAGGCGGGGGTGGCAGTGAGCTGAGATCGCACCACTGCACTCAGCCTGGGCAACAGAGCGAGACTCTGCCTCTATTAAAAAAAAAAAAAGATTCATTTGCTCAATGAAGAGTTTGCTTAAAATTCAACCTCTAGACCTTTGAGAGTCTGAGAGTCTAGGTTTCATTTTAGTGTTCTATATTTTCTTGGCATTTGGGAGCAGTTTAGTGATGAAAATAATTAGTTCCTCCAAGGGCATATCTAACTTAATTTAGTGTTTATATTACGTATTTATTGCACTTGCAGATTTTTTTTAACTATTTAAGAAATACATGAAACATTTCACAAATTTGCACATCATCCTTGCACAGGGGTCATGCTAGTGTTCTCTGTATCATTCCAATTTTAGTATATGTGCTGCTGAAGTGAGCCCAGAATTTTCTTTTTTCTAATGATGGGATTGTTTTGTATACTTGAAAGTGCCTTGTTCTATTTAACCTACTTTTGCATAGTTAAGCTCTTTTTAGTCAGTTTATGTAAGGCCTTTTATTCAAGATTTAAATTAAATTTAAAAGTAAATTAAATTAAAATTAAAATTTAATTTAATTCAGTATTTCTTTCCAGGACATGTGAAAAGACCTAAAAATGCTCCAAAGGAGATAGAATTTTGCATGAATGAGTTTTTAGGTAAGATGTTCCCCAGCCAGGCTGTAATGAGAAAAAAAAATGGAGACCAAGATGTGGGCAGACATTTAATAAGCCTCTCCCGGCCGGGTGCGGTGGCTCACGGCTGTAATCCCAGCACTTTGGTAGGCCAAGGCTGGTGGTTCACCTGAGGTCAGGAGTTTGAGACCAGCCTGGTCAACATGGTGAAACCCCATCTCTATTAAAAATACAAAAAATTAGCCGGGCATGGTGGCGGATGCCTATAATGCTACTCGACAGGCTGAGGCAGGAGAATCGCTTGAACCCGGGAGGCAGAGGTTGCAGTGAGCCGAGATCATGCACTGCACTCCAGCCTGGGTGAGAGAGCGAGACTCCGTCTCAAAAAAACAAAACAGAAAAACAAACAAAAACAAAAACAAAACAAGGCCGGGAGCAGTGGCTCACGCCTGCAATCCCAGCACTTTGGGAGGGTGAGGCAGGCGAATCACGAGGTCAGGAGTTTGAGACCAGCCTGGCCAATATGATGAAACCCCGTCTCTACTGAAAATACAAAAATTAGCTGGGCTTGGTGGCGCGCGCCTGTAGTCCCAGTTACTCAGGAGGCTGAGGCAGAAGAATCGCTTGAACCCGGGAGGCGGAGCTTGCAGTGAGCTGAGATCACGCCACTGTACTCCAGCCTGGGTGACAGAGCAAGACTCTGTCTCAAAAGACAAAACAAAACAAAACCCTGCATATTTTTTCTCTTTTAAGTAGGTCAAAATAGATGGTTCTTCAAAATAAAGCACAATTGTCTTTATTTTCCTATTTGGAAAACTATTGGAGTGTCAACATAATAATGTCTGCAAACTTTCGGAAAGAATTTTTGTAGAATTTCCTGGACATTACCTGGAATAAGGATAATGTCCTTCTGACGCTGCAGTGTTATATGGGAGGCTGAGATCAACTCACTTCTGCCCTGTGTCTCTCCCCAGAGAGTTTGACCAGTGACCCTGGGTCCAGCTTTTCCTGGCACTCTCAATAGAAGCAGCTGGCTGGTCGGAGCACGGTGAACCCAATGTCTCTCCATGCCATGCAATTCTACCATTCTAACTTCTCAGGTGTTAGCATGGTATTGTTAACGTGGTATTTTGGAAAGTATATCAGTGGGAATGTCCAACAGGCTGGACTTTACTGTGCTGTTGACTGTAGTGGCCACATTGGCCACCTGACCACGCCAGGAGCCACCTCAGCTGCAGGTGCATTTCTGCGTGATGGTTGTCATTTCCATTAAGAGTGCAAGACTCCAGGGGCAGACTCTCTGGGTTCAAATACTGGCTCCCATATATCCTAGTTATGGGACTATTCGTGTGTCCCCTTTCTTTATCAGTAAAATAGGGATTTTTATGTGTCTACCACACCGTGTTGTTGTGAGGATTAAATGAGTTAATATGTCTGAAGAGCTTAGAACAGTGCCTGGCACATAGTAAATGGTATGTAAGTTTTAGTAACGCATAATTATCATCATTATTATTATTTTTTAGAGATGGGGGTCTTGCTACATTGCCCAGGCTTGTCTCTAACTCCTGGCTTCAAGTGACTCTCCTGCCTCAGCCTCCCAAGTAGCTTGGATTTCAGGTGCAAGCCACTGTGTCAGGCTACCATGATTATTTATGTGAAGTACTTGGAACTACACAAGGCACTTCTTGGGTAAAAAAATGCACAGGGGTGCACTCGCAGGTGTATATATTTAAATGAACAATTGCTTCTTCTATGATCCTGGAAGTGCAATTTCCCAGTGGTGCAGTTTCTCTTCTCTCTGTCTCCCTTTGCTACTACCTGCCCTCAGCTTTCTCATCATCCGCTCCCTTTTCCCTTTGCATATACTTTGTTCCCTCTTCCTCCATCCTAGCTTACTTTTTCTTTCGCACACTTACAAATCGACTGGGCGCTGTTCCTCTTTTCTCTTACTCTTCTAGGTTTTATTTTATTTTAGTCACCGAAGTGATCTGAGAAGTGGCTGTAAAAAGGTAATGCTAGCCTACTGACATGCTGCCTCAAACTGAAGGGGGTGAGTCACAAAAGGAGAGAGTCCAAGGCTGGACAGAAGAGACGCAAGTTCCTTCTGGCTTCAGAGTTCTATGTCCACCATTTCAAATTTAGAATCATATTTTATTAACATTTATCTTTCACTTTGTATGGCTTAAGCACTAGGCTAGGGCTTTTACACGGATTATTATTTAATCCTTACAACAACTCCTTACAGGCAGGTATTACTCTCATCTTACAAATGAAGAAAAGCAAAAATGGAGAGAGAATTAACTTATCCAAGACCACACAACTGGAAATCAGAGAGCCAGTGTTGGTGCCTATACTCTCTAACTCTAAGCTCCAGTCTCTTCCCACTACTCATAATTCCTCCCACACAAAAAAGTAGAAGTAGGCTAGGCACAGTGGCTCATGCCTGAAATCCCAACACTTTGGGAGGCTGAGGCAGGAGGATTGCTTAAGACCAGGAGTTTAAGATAAGCCTGGGCAACATGGTGAAACCCTGTCTCTACAAATAATAAAAAATCAGCTGGGTGTGATCATGCATGCCTATAGTCCCTGCTACGTGGGAGGCTATGGCAGGAGGATTGCTTTAGCCTAGGAGTTCAAGGCTGCCATGGGCCATGATCATGCCACTGCATTCCAGCTTGGGTGACAGAGTGAGACCACACGCCCCAAAATAATTGCAATATAATGTGATTAATGTAAATACATAGCGGTACTTTTAAGATCTTATGGAAATGCAAGCGAGCTAGGGAGGGGAATTTCTAATATTTCCTAGGCAGAGTTTTGAACTGGGGTCCTTGGAATTTTGGAAGGTCAATGGAGGAACCACTTGAAGCTGTCTGCAAAATTTTCTTAGAGGGGTTTGTGGCCAAGGGAGTAGAGAGGTGGAAGTTTGACTGGGGCATCACAGAAGAGTATTAACTGTGTGAATGTTTGAGCTGATCGAGAGTTTGCCAGGAATTAGAAGAGGAATAAGACAGTCTAGGCAAAAGAAACCACAAGTGGAAAAGTACATACAAATAATTTTCTTGGACTTCAGCCTAGGGTACCATTCAAGGAAGCAGCAGGAGACAAAGCACCTAGAATAGGTGGTTAGGGTCCAGACCAAGAAACAAATGATGTCCAGGGCCAAGAATGAATTCTCAAGGATATTAAAAATGCTCTTGAGAACATTATTACCATTCATTGTAAAATATATTCTCCAATGCCATTAAACAATATGACGCAAGTTCTTTCTTCCCCTTTCCAGATGCTTGTAGCAGATTCTCTGTATTTTAGGATAAATTTGCATTCAGGAGTAGAGCTGGAGCCTAACCTTGTTTCTGGGTGATAATGTGTTCTGAATTCTAAACAATGGCTTACAAAACTTCTGAAGAGCCACGAGTTCTGTGAATTGGCATGGTGGCACCACCCATTGGTGCCTTGGTGGTAGGTCATTGAATCCCTGGTGTCCAAATATGGGGCTGTAAATTAGAGGAGGGGCAGGGCAAGAGGATATTGCCCTAAATGAAGATGTGCTGGGTTTGTTACTGGAAAAGAGGCAGAGAGATTTTGGATCTGGATTTTCTTTGAGGTAACAGTAAATTTATAATCCAGGTATCACTGTGGAAGTCTCTGCCACACTGATTTTATTTTCTCCCCAAACTTCTGAGGTTGATAAATTAATCAGGTAGATTAATTAGGTTAGTTAAAATAAGACATATACACAATCATCTCCCACAAAGGAAGCTTGTCTGAACTGGAACTGTCTCTATAGATTTCAAGGCTCATTCACTTGTCTCTTTAGGACAGGAACGATATTCCTAAGGCTGATAATTCCCCTTTCTGTCTGAGTTGATCAATACATCTTTTTGCATCCTCAGCACAAAAACCCAAATGTGCTTGCTTCCTTTTCTAAAAGAAAGCCTCTGTCTTGCTGGGATTAAGAGGGCATAGTCCCATGACAGAGTTTGCAGTCAAATTTTGGCACCTGAAAAAACCTTCCCTCTTTAAAGAACTGCGGGCAACCAGTCAAGAGGGACCAGAGTTTTGGCATTTGGACTGAAAACATTACCTGCCAACTAGGCTGCTCTGAACGTATTGTTTCTGAAACCAGGGAAAGCGCATGTAACAAGAGGAGGCTTTGTTCTGTTGGAAGATTTTTGATGAGTCCATCTGCCCCAAGTTGAAAGGAGAACCTGCCAGCCATGTCTGTTCACTTTCTCCCATTTACCAGCCTCCCTTGGACTCCTGAGCACCCTCTAGGGCATGACTGTTACCTCTCACAACTCATATTTCAGACATTTTTTGCTTTGTTCATCCCATGACCGTGGAATTCTATGTTTCATACATAGTTGCTTTGACTGGCAGTCTAGCACTTTTCTCTCAATGACCCAGTCTCTCCTTCTGGTTGCAATCCTACCAAGATGGCAAGGAGAAATTTGCCCAAGCAAAGCCTCACTAGGTTAAATGCCCAAACTGACATTTCTTCTAGAGTTCCCTTCTCTAATTCTAATTTCTTCTAGAGTTCCCTTCTCTAATTCTACTTTCATTCAACAAGTATTGACTGGGCACCGACAGTACCAGGCACTGTTCTCAGCTCCTCAGAGACAGTAGTGAGCAAAGCAGCCTTCCAGAAGCCCACCTGAGAGGCCTCAACTTGCCAAAGCCCAGGCCAGAAGCAGAGAAGGGGCAGGAGAGGCCCTCAGGCCAGGCAGGGGTCAGCACCCATGCATTGAGTGGTTGGGCTCTCAGACTCTACCTCATGACCTCTGTACTCTTTAATTATTTTTCATGAACAAATCTATTTTTTTTTTTTCTTAAGAGACAGGGTCAGGCTGGGTGTGGTGGCTCATGCCTGTAATCCCAGCACTTTGGGAGGCTGAGGCAGGTGGATCACCTGGGGTCAGGAGTTCAAGACCAGCCTGGTCAACATGGTGAAACCCTGTCTCCATGAAAAATACAAAAATTAGCCGGGCATGGGGGTAGGTGCCTGTAATCCCAGCTACTCAGGAGGCCAAGGCAGGAGAATTGCTTGAACCCAGGAGGCAGAGGTTGCAGCGAGCTGACATTACACCACAGCACTCCAGCCTGGATGACAGAGGGAGACTCTGTCTCAAAAAAAAAAAAAAAGAAAGAAAGAAAAATTTAAAAAAGAAGAAGAAAAGAAGAGACAAGATCTCACTCTGTCACCAAGGCTAGAGTGCAGTGGTGTGATCATAGTTTACTGCAGCCCAGAAATCCTGGGCTCAAGAGATCCTCCTGCCTCAGCCTCCCAAGTAGCTGAGACTACAGTTGCATGCCACCATGCCCAGCTAATTTTTGTAATTTTTGTAGAGACAGTGTTTCGCCATGTTGCCCAGGCTGGTCTCCAATTCCTGGGCTCAAGGAACCTTCCCGCCCCGGCCTCTCAAAGTTCTGGGATTATAGGCATGAGCCCCCATGTTCAGCCCAAATATAAACCCCTTTTTTAATTAAAAAAGAAAAGACCTTCACAATCTGTAGAATACGATTTCCACAGAGAAGACGAAGACGGAAACAAAGTTGTTCAGCAACCTGAGAAGAAAACTCCTTCAGTAAAATATGAGATACTAAATGGTTAATCGGATGGTCCCGATCCCCTGGGGGTTGCAACATGAAATACATCGTTACATCCTTCATTCTTAGCGTGTGTGCAAATCTTTAAAAAAGTTTTCATAGATAAGTAGAGGCTGGAAAAGCTCTGGTCTTTAACAGGAAAAACTTTTCTTGGCTTACAAAACCTTTTTTAGAGTCTTGGGGGAAAATAAATATCTACATAATTATATAAATATATCTTATATAATGAATGGTAAGTCACAAAAATGGCAAAGCCCGGTGAAGGAATTCCGAAGCAGTCACTGCCTAGCGCCCTCGGAATTTTGATGAATTCATCAGTAGCACTGAAAATCCCTAGATACTGACAGTTACTTTATACCTGTTTCCCACAATAGTCCTTTCCTGAATATATCAGTCTAAATGTCAGAAGGCACCAAAAACAGTCTTAAAATTTGAAAACAGACAGCCTACATACCCTGCAATCTTGTTCCTCCATGAAGTGAGCTGCTGGCCATACGTTCAAATGGTCTCTGACTTCCTCTCTGACTCAGATCGCATGAATCTGCAGCACTGATGTAAGGCTCTAAATGGGAATCTGTTTTCAATTCAGGGCAGATGTGGGACACTCTCACAGCCCTAGGGATTATCAACTTTAAAACAAATCGCCTTCAGGACGATAAGAGAGGCAGTAACTGCTTCCTGAGGCCTCACTGGGGTCCCTTCCAAATGCTTAACATATAACACAATAACTATGACACAAAAGCGAGTTTCATTCTTCGGGTTCTCGGACTTTAAAATGAAGCTTGCAAATACCCCTCAGAAACAAAGCTTGAAAATGTATCTCAGAACATTTAAATAGAAATCCAGATATTTTAGTAACTAACATACAACAGTGATCCAAATGCCCCTTTCTCCCGCCCCCTACAAAACTCTCAGCACGGTGTTTGGCTCATTGAATATAGTTTTTCCACAAATTGAAATCGAATTGTTCTGGTTCAGAGTTTTCTTGGCTCAAGAAAAGGAAGGGAGGACTATTCCAAGACTTCCACAGAGAAACTTCCAGAAATCCATTTAACACGGTAAGTTTAATGTTCTAGGATTAGTGTTCATCAATGGACTGTACATCTCAGAATGTCCTCTGTTCTGAGACCACTTTGTAGAGTTGGCTGATATGCCAGGCTTCAAACTCTGAAACACCTTCGCTGGGGCTTAATCTAGTTTAACCTGATTTAATAACCCTGAAAAGAAGTTACAAAAACATGAATTTTGAAGACATCTAAAGGAAACATAGAAACATTTCCCTTTTAATAAAATAAAACAAAAGTTTTATACAGTCTTAAAAAATATTAAAAGTTAATGTGCATGGCACTTCCCTACACAAGTAAGTTTAGGTGTTGGTAACATCAGTGAATAGTCAGAAGATAGTCACATTAAATACATATATTTGGAAAACAGTCTATTCTTTAAAATTAATATTGTGAGTGTGACATAACAGAGCTACATGGTAAAGCATCAAGTCACTAAGGAACATTAGGGTTAGTATTTCTCCTATCTTCATGGGGAAAAATAAACTTCCTGTAGCTTAGGAATGTGCTAACATAACCATTAGGCAGCAGTAGCAGTGGTATTAGGAGTTGTGGATGAGCTGGGCGCGGTGGCTCACACCTGTAATCCCAGCACTTTGGGAAGCCAAGGCAGGTGGATCACCTGAGGTCAGGAGTTCGAGACCAGCCTGACCAACATGGTGAAACCCTGTCTCTAATAAAAGTACAAAAATTAGCCGGACATGGTGGCGGGCGCCTGTAATCCCAGCTACTTGGGAGGCTGAGACAGGAGAATCACTTGAACCCAAGAGGCGGAGGTTGCAGTGAGCCAAGATCGTGCCGCTGCACTCCAGCGTGGGCGACAAGAGCGAGACTCTGTCTCAAAAAAAAAAAAAAAAAAAAAAGTTGTGGATGAGATGTCCAGAGACCCAGAGACAAAGACCTGTCCCTAGATTTCTCTTTAACTGAGTGGCCTTGGACATGCCATTGCCCAGGCTACCATTTCCTTATTTGTAAAGTGGCTGAATTAGGTTGAAGATATCTAAAATCCAAACCTCTAATATCAGTGATGGTGTATTAACCAAGAACTGGTAAAACAGAAGGTAAGAGCCTTTTTGTTTTTTTGTTTTCAAAAGTAATCACTAACTGCCACTAGTTTGACATCTCAGACAAATTTTTTTTTCCACTTTGGAGTATATATCTACAATTCTGGCTGATAAAGCAAGTTTTAGCCAAAAAATTGGATCTGAAGGGTCAAGAAACCCACTACCTTATGTAAATTAGATGCCTAGCTTTTTTTGGTTGGGGGGTTGACAGGTTTTTAGGGAAACAATCACCAAAGGCATAACTCCCCAATTTTAATTCTGCTCATCGGTATCAGTAATGCACTTATTTAGCAATTAGGATCAGTTCAATACAAAAAAAAATTTTAAAATATTAAAGTCAGTAAGGAAAAGCATATATTGCCAGCGAGCAGTGGGTGGTTTTGATAGCTGGCAGGTAAGGTGAGGGATACCCGGGGTGGAGGATAGTGTGGTTTGGTAAAAGAGCACCGGCTTATGAGTTGGGAGACCCAAGATCTAGTTCCAGGGCTGCCACTAACTAGCCCTGTGACCTTTGCCACCCTCTTCCCTGTTTCTGGCCTGTTTCCTTGTCTATACCAGGAAGGTCTTAGTCTGTCCATCCTCTTGCTGTCCCAGCAACCAAAAGAGAAATTCTGCCCCGTTGAATACAGCTTTTGCTATAGAGTTTGGCTCTTAGGAGCACAGAAGCCAAATCTATAACATCAGTGTATATCGGTCTATGGTGTACGGCAGAAAATAATTGTATACTGGGAGACAGCTAACTGGGAGATGATCATTTTCACACTTGTGGGAGGTACACACTCACCTGCCAAATACCAGTAAAGTCCTGTTCCAAAGACCATCGTCACAATTAAGGTTTTCTTTCCAGAATTTATTTTCATTTATCAGCTATGATTTGAGGATACAGGAACAATCTTTAAAATAATCATGTATAATACTACTGTTGAGGGTTGAATTGTGCCCCCCCACACCCCTCAGATTCATATACTGAATACCTCAGAATATGACCTTATTTGAAGATAGGATCTTTACGGAGGTAATTAAAATCAAATGAGGCCATCAGGGTGGGCATCCTAACATGCAATCTAACAATGCAATCAAACATGCAATCTGACAATGAAATGACTCAACAAAGAACAGGAAAGTATAAAAAATTACAACCCTAAACAAACTAGTTGGGGGTGGTGGCTCACACCTATAATCCCAGCACTTTGCGAGGCTGAGGTGAGAGGATCGCTTGAGCCTGGGCAACATGGTGAGACTTTGTCTCTATAAACTATTTGAAACATTTGCTGGGCATAATGGTGTGTGCCTGTGGTCTTAGCTACTTGGGAAATGGTGGTGGGAGGATTGCTTGAGCCTAGGAGGTTTGTGCCACCGCACTCCAACCTGGACAGCAAAGGAAGACCGTATCCCAGAAAAAAAAAATTAAAAAAGACAAAAACCAATTGAGAGGGAGGGCACACAATTGGGAGTGCCCATAGCTCTGTTCTTGCTCAAGGTATCATGTGCACTAGCTCCTCCATGGGGCATGGGACTCCAAGCATTTATAGTATACCTCTTATTAATGATAAGGACTTTTTCCAAATGTAAACAAACCTGGCAATAATGTCTTGTTATTTCATACTATTAAAAGGTAGGCTACAGTGATATTCTCTATTAAAACACTTTATCAAAAATAAAAAGAGATAAAAGAGATACTAAGAAATGGGCATGGTGAATGCACATGAAAACAAGTGCTTATTACATGAAACGAGTGGCTATAATTTCCAAAGACATAATTCAAACTGGATCCAGCATTGTTATTCCCCAATGCCTTATCTGACAAAGTTTAGAACTGAGTAACCGATATGAAGCCATTATAAAGGAAATGCAAATATCTGAAACTCATCTATTTATTAAAATCAATCTCCATTATCTTTCTTCTTAAAAAGCTTAGAAATAAATATAGTCTCTGAATATTGACAGTATTTGTGGCTCAAACAAAGCTGAGATGAAGGCTGGACTCAAAACAGTGCAAGAAATAGAAAGGAGAAAATATTTTAAGGTTAACTACTTAGGCCATGCAGGTAAATGTGACCCCAGAGGGAACAGAATTCCACAAAGCTTAACTTTTCAATGACAACATGAGAATGTTCAGCAGAAGCTGATAGACCAACCATTCTGTCAGTTTGATGCTTTCAAAATGGTAGATGAGGGAAATTGCACAGAGTTGAGCAGAGTTTTACAACTTGCATATCAGCAGTTGATTACATTTTTTCTTGATATTTTCCACTTTTCTGCGACATAGTAGCTTGTTTGTATGTTATTTACATTAAATGTTATCTGCCTATCTTTCCCATGTGAGCTTCAAGTAATAGGGTAAGCTTTATAGAACTGTGCAATATTTCCTTTTGAAAGAAAAATAATAAAAATTTAGTTGTGTCTGTACCACCTGGAGGTCAGCTCTCTTTGTGGACATCAAAAAGCTCAGCTTATTATTTTATTTCACAATATTTGAATATTTCTTTTTAAATGAAAGATTCTTTCTGTGCATTTCCTAGCATCCCAAATTGTTTGATTCAGAAAAGTTTCTTATCATTGCAAATCTCTTCAGTCAGTCAAAATTTCCTGAACTAGAAAGTTCAGGAACTAAACGGAACTGAGAGGCTGGTGATGATTCCAGCACAGAGGAATAGCTAAAAGTCGTATTATTTATTGTTCATGTAGTGGGTTAACACACATTGGCCTTTCGTTCGTGGGATTCATAAAGTTTCACATGGTTTTGAGATGATTCAAGGGTGAAGACTTTAAACAACATCCCTTCCAACTCTCAGACTATGATTCAACACATTGTTTCTCATAATTGCTTGCTGTTAAGAGTCAGCTAAGGATGCCTGTTGAAAATAGACTCCACGCCCCCTTCCCTTCGAAGGCTGATTCTGCAGGTATGGTGGGACTCTGGGGCTCCTTATCATTGGGAAGGTTTAAGAAACATTTTATTTCTTGACTCTTAATGTTGGATGGATATTGGAATCACTTGGGGAGCTTTACAAAAGTAGCACTGGGGCCGGGCACGGTGACTCATGTCTGTAATCCCAGCACTTTGGGAAGCCTAGACAGGCAGATCATGAGGTCAGGAGATTGAGACCATCCTGGCTAACACGGTGAAACCCCGTCTCTACTAAAAATACAAAAAATTAGCCGGGCGTGGTGGCGGGCACCTGTAGTCCCAGCTACTCGGGAGGCTGAGGCAGGAGAATTGCTTGAACTCAGGAGGTGGAGCTTGCAGTGAGCCGAGATTTCGCCAGTGCACTCCAGCCTGGGCGATAGAGTGAGACTCCATCTCACACACACACACACACACACACACACACACAAAGTAGTACTGGGCCTGGGTCCCACGGAAGAGATTCTGGCTTAGTTTATGGTGTGGCCCGGGCATTTGGATTTTTTGAAGCTTCCGGGTGCTTCTAATTTGCAGCCAAAGTTTAGAACCGCTGACTTGATTGAAACAATAGCCAGTTATCTGTAACATATGTGAAAGCAATATCTAACATTTCCATTAAGACATACAAAGTGCTTTTACAGATGTGTGTCTTATTTGAATCCTTGACAACCTGGTGAAGTAGGTTAGAGTTGGTTATTATCTTTCCTTTACAGGTAAGCGAACTAGACTTCAGAGAGGTGAAGTAGTTTGATGGAGGACCACTCGCAGCAGAATTCTGGAACTGCTGAGGTGTACCTTAGGCATGCTACTACCTCACTCTCTATGTGCCCTGGCTCCTACTAGCTCTCCGGCTTTCCCAGCCTCCCTTTAAAAGAAAAGAAAAGAGGCCAGGCATGGTGGCTTACACTTGTAATCCTAGCACTTTGGAGGCTGAGGTGGGAGGATCACTTGAGCCTAGGAGTTCAAGACTAGCTGGGGCAACATAGTGAGACATCATCTCTACCAAAAAAAAAAAAATTAAAAAAAAATTGGCTGGGCATGGTGGTGCACACCTGTAGTCCCAGCTACTTGGGAAGCTGAGGTGGGAGGATCACTTGAGCCCAGGAAGTTGAGGCTGCAGTGAGCCATGATTATGCCACTGAACTCTAGCCTAGGCAATAGAACAAGACCCTGTCCAAAAAGAAAAGAAAAGCTCTCTTGTTTCTAGAGCTTCTCTTACGTTGGAATTGTTATTGATAATAATACAACAGCAGTAGGAGCTAACATTGGGCCCTTTGTATACATTGTGCTAAGAGCTCTACATGCATTATCTTAATTGTCTTGAAGACTCTGTGAGGTAGGTCATATATGTTATATCCCCATTTTATAGCGTAGGAAACTGAGTCTTAGAGAGTAACTGGCTTGCTAAGGGTCATATTCCTATGCAAACATTCTTCTTATTTTATCTAAGCCTTTTCTTATTTTCCGTTCAGTCAACCAAATTTCAGCAAGTGGCAGAGAGGAAAAGAATCAGGTAAAGTATTTCTGAGCTGGGCACGGTGGCTCACGCCTGTAATCCCAGCACTTTGGGAGGCTGGGTGGATCACCTGAGGTCAGGAGTTCGAGACCAGCCTGGCCTACATGGTGAAACCCCGTCTTTACTAAAAATACAAAAAATTAGCTGGGCGTGGTGGTGGGCACCTGCAATCCCAGCTACTCAGGAGGCTGAGGCAGGAGAATTGCTTGAATCTGGGAGGCGGAGGCTGCAGTGAGCTGAGATTGTGCCATTGCACTCTAGCCTGGGCAACGAGAGCAAAGCTCTGTCTCAAAAAAAAAAAAAAGAATTGCTGAATACGCGATGATTGACAATGACAACTTCCTTGAATTGTATTACCACTTCTAATATGGGGACTGGATTTTTAAAGAAACTTCTGGAGCCAGTCACGCAAAAGCATGAGGATCTAGTGCTTGAAGGATTCAGTTGGAGAATCATGGGTTGTTAATTCCTAACTAACCCTGCCTTTCCAGAGACAGCAGTAGTTCCCTGAATTAAGGCCTAGATCTGGCATCAGAAGGCTTGGGCACAGGTCTCAGATGGCTTTTTTTAGCTGTGGGGTCTTGAGCCAGTCCTATCCAGGACAAAGTTTTATGTTCTGAGTGAATCAGGCCAAGTTGGAACATTAATCAATGCTCTTATGTCTACTTTTCTAAGGTTTGCAAAACGCTGAGCATATTTTTTTGTGGTCTCAGTATTCAGAGCTCAAAGTACATCAGGTGAAGAACCTGGAATCTACAAGTTCAAGAGGCATGGGGAGCACCTTGGTGAGGTCCACAAACTCTTTGCAGAAGTTCAGCACAATTTTATGGTGCTAAAAAGAGAGTGAAAGATGTAAAAGAACAGAATTTCTTTATCCATCCAATATATTTATTTTCCTTCCTCCCTCCCTCCCTCCGTCCCTCCTTCCCTCCCTCCTTCCCTCCCTCCTTCCCTCCCTCCTTTTTCTTTCTTGGCAGGGTCTTGTTTTATCACCTAGGCTGGAATGCAGTGGAACCTGCTTAGCTCACTGTAGCCTTGAACTGCTGGGCTCAAGCAGTCCTCCTGTTTTGGCCTCTGAAGCAACTGGGACTACAGGTGTGTGCCGTCATGTCTGCCTTATCAATCCAATTTCTAAGACTGTCATTTTGTGTGGGAATTCTAGTTCCTCTTTGCAAACTGGAGGTTATATAAAAATCAAGGAGAAATTATTCTATTATATATACTACAAAGAGAATAATGACTACTAAAGCTTAAATTTATAATGCATTATGTAATACATAAATCTCAATTTATTCAGCAAATAGTGAGCACGTGGTCTGTACTAGACACTGGGAATATAATGGCCAAGGCCCCTACTTTCATGAAGCATGCTTTCTAGATGGCCATAGATAAAGGACAAGTGCAAAAACAGATTAGTAAAACAATAGCTGTGCTCAATTTTTCAAAAGAAGCCAACAGGGGGTCGAGATGGAGGTTGTTAGGAGAGGTGATGGAGCAGGCAGGCAGAGGTGACATTTAAGCTCAAAGGATATGAAGAGGCCAGCTGCTCTGAGTGTGGGAAGAGAAACATAACTGGCAAAGAGGTTCATAAATGAAAAGTCCCTGAGGTGGGAGAAAAAAGGTTGATGTAGCTGAGAAACTGGAAAAAGTCAAGTATGACTGGGTGTGGACAACATGACAAGAGGCCACAAGGCTCTTGAGAGGCCGGGTTGTATAGCCCTCATGGGCAATGGTGAAGAGTGTGAATTCTATTTGAGACCCAATAAGAAACCATTGAAGAATTTTAAGCAGAGAAACAGCATGATCTGATTCCAGTCTTCATGTAATTCTTGTGGTGTTTAGAGAAAGGACTGGAAGATACTGAAGACAATAATGACCTTTTTCTTCCCAAGCAATACTTGTTAGAAAAAGCAGAAGTTATAATCTGCTCATATTTTTAAAGCAGTCTTCTATGAACCTAATCCTTCATATTTTTGTATGGGTAAGAGTTGTTCTACATTCCCAGCTGGGACAGAGATATAGATATATAGACCATTGAGCTTTAACCTGCCCAACCATGACAGGAATGCATTTCACAAGACCTTTTTTTTTTTTTTTTTTTTCGGTCAAAATAAAAGATAACAGAGTCCTTTCAAATCACGTCATTGAAACGCATACCTTCAGGTCTCCCTTTCATCAGAGAAAGGTGTTGAAAGTTACATCCAGCCCTATGTAACCTCCTTAAGCCTCAGGTTGAGCCCTAGGGGCTCTTTGCTTGCTGGTTTTGTACAGGTAACAATAAACAAAACGACACCTAGGATAAATGATTGTCGTACAAGTGTTACTTTCATTATGATAGAGCTCTTAGCATCCCCAATATACATAAAAGTTAAGACATTCAGATTTCCTCCGGACCAGCTCAGAAATGAGTCCTCCACCCTCAGTCTTCCATTTCCACCATCCAGACAGGGGCAGGAAAACAGTAACATTCCTTCTAACACGGAGTTAGATGTGTACAGATGGTAGTGGACAACTGACACATTTTACAGCTCTAAAAGTCCAACTCTCTTTTCCCTGTGACAGTTTCTTTTCAGGTTCCAGTTCAATGCAAAGCATATTTCCATGGTTGAGTTATGAACTCCAAAAACGGGGGCTTGTAATGGAAATGCAGACAGACGCTTCGCCTTAGCTGTGCTTCTGGGCACCGCTAGAGTCATCAGTTTTAATGAGAGCTGTTAATATCACCTCCATCAGAATGGTTGCCCTGGGCTGACTTTCTGGGCTGTGCACAGGTGCTCTTGGCCAAGAATGTAATGTAGGTTATTACATTATCAATGAGGCACAGATGTGCTTTCTGACTGAACTCAAGGTGGTGTTCTGGCCAAGTGCATCACTCTTTCAGTGGGCCCAGGTCTGTTTGTATCAAAATGCTGTTCTAGCTCAGTGAACCTCAGAACTGCCTTCTGCTTCCCCAGGACACGAGTTCAGAAAACCTGCTTAAGAATGCAAGGATGGGCTCTCCACAGGCAGGCACAGGCTTTCTCAAGAACATGAAACTTGTCCTGCCACCTTCTGCTTCTTCGGGGAAGGCTTCAGTTACTGCATATTCATTCACTGACTCATCAGGTTTTTCTTGGGCACCTGTCCTGTGCCAGGTACCCTGGAGGAGTTAAGGGTGATCCTGCCAAGGAGTCTGCCTGCCGTCTCTCTGCAATGCTGTCTGCTGTTTCTGTCCTCTTCCAACTTCTTCAGAATCATCTCTCAAAACTTGCATCTCCATTGCCTCCCCCAGAGGTTCCAGTGCTAACATTATGGTGTTTTTTCTAGTGCTGAATGTTTGCCTGAATTTACAACCCCAGCAGCTCCGTTCCTCTAAGCTTGAAACCCCCATTAATTGGGCTTTTACTTTCTTTCTTTCTTTTCTTTTGAGACAGAGTCTTACTCTTGTCACCCAGGCTGGAGCGCACTTGGCTCACTGCAACCTCCCCCTCCCGGGTTCAAGCGATTCTCCTGTCTCAGCCTCTCAAGTAGTTGGGATTGCAGGTGCCTGCCACCATGCCTGGCTGATTTTTGTATTTTTACTAGAGATGGGGTTTCCCATGTTGGCCAGGCTGGTCTCAAACTCCTGACCTCAGGTGATCTGCCTGCCTCGGCCTCCCAAAGTGCTGGGATTACAGGTGTGAACCATCTTGCCCGGCCTTCATTGAACTTTTTCTTATTCAACTTGCTCCCTGGGATCTATCTGAGTCTGACTTGAAGCCAGATTTTTTGTAAAGCTAGTAGCTGCAGGTCCTGCAGTTAGCCTAGTGGCCTGGCTTGACACTGTCAAGCCAACAGGGAGCTTGGGTGCTGAGAACTGGCTTGGAAATGCCACATTGGATGCAACACCACACCTGTCTGTGTCCTCAATGAGAGGTCCCAGAAGTTTGTTAGGGAGCGCATGATGACTCAGGAGGAAAAATGGGTTCTCCTCTGCATGAGGGAGACATTTAGAATTGATCTTGACTTTGAGAGTGATATTGCCGTGCTGTTCAGGAAAACTGATATCTTATACAGGAACTAAATAGTGGGAAAGGAGACCACCGCACTCTACAGCACAGCCTCCCTACTGTCAGTTCAGTTTTAAGCACAGAGGTGAAAAGACATGAATAAGACACTGGGAAATGCGTGCAAGCCCGTGCGTGTGTGTGTGTGTGTGTATGTGTGCAGTTTGTGTGTGGGCCTGGAGAAGAGTGCAGTGTTTTCATGAGCATCTGAGTGCACGAAGCTGGGGGAAAACATGAAAAAGGCACGGTCAAGATGGAGTGTGATTCAATTCTTCCATCCTTTTGCTTGTTGCATGCCCCTCAACTGTTAACCAAAGATGACAGAAAGATCCCGAAGACAAATGGATGTCCTTTTCCATTTCCTTTCTGCCTACCCAAGCCCATCCCCCACCATGCCTAATTTCAGATCACTTCCTCCTTTCTCTTATTCCCATGCCTTTTCTACTCCTTGTTTGACTGATGGTTTGGCAGGGGCAGCATGAAGGGGCTGATGGCACTAACCCCGTTGTCTGTCCCCCATACCCTGCAGGGACGTGGCTGTTGTGGCAGAATGCAGGACTGTCATTCCTGCAGCCCACCTCAGAGCCCCAAAGATATGGGCTGGTGGCAGCAGTCCCCTGGTGGCGCTGGGACTGTTCTACATGGCTGGCCTCGTTATGAAGTGAATCTCTTGACAGGCAATTTGTGTCCGCCACCTGTATCTAGAAATCCTTTGCTAAGGCTGAGAGATGCTTCCAATCTCTCCTCCCAGGTGTAGCTTTCATGACGTGTTCCACTTCCACTTACCATATAAATTGCCCTGTTTGCATTTCCATTCAGTCCTTGAAATATTCTGATCACCTCTCCTTTCTCATAGGGAGAGAGGCACATGTTTTATAAGTAGGAGAAAGGCAAGGACATGGAGACCCAGCAGATGATAGAAAGTAAGAGTCAAAGCGACACAATTCCGACTCAGGAAGCTTGGGTGGTACAGCCACTCCCTCCAATGAGGAGAGGCTGTTTGGATACAATGCAGAGGTGTGAGGGTTGACTATTCTATCTAGGGATTTGCTATGGACTTTCTTTTGTCAAACACCAGGTGGAAATCTTCATGGTGATTAACTCAATAGTAGAAAATTTGGACAATATATTAGTATTTAAAAAGCCCTTATGCCGGGCGCAGTGGCTCACGCCTGTAATCCCAGCACTTTGGGAGGCTGAGGCTGGCAGATCACCTGAGGTCAGGAGTTCGAGACCAGCCTGGCCAACATAGTGAAACCCCGTCTCTACTAAAAATACAAAAATTAGCCGGGTGTGGTGGCACGCGCTGGTAGTCCCAGCTACTCGGGAGGCTGAGGCAGGAGAATCGCTCGAACCCAGGAGGCAGAAGAGGTTGCAGTGAGCCAAGATTGCACCACTGCACTCCAGCCTGGGCCACAGAGCAAGACCCTCTCTCAAAAAAAAAAAAAAAAAAAAAAAGCCCTTATAGGAGATTTACCAAACATTATGCAGATTCTAAACAAGACACATGAGAAACTGATTAATGTTATTATATTTATATATCACATGCATAAACTCTATCATAAGATTTTTTGGGGGGAGCAACTATAAGATTATTTACGTGATAATTTAAGCAATATTTTAAAATAATCTTTTTTTTTTTTTTTTTAAAGACAGGGTCTTGCTTTGTTGTCCAGGTTGGAGTGTAGTGGCATGATCATAGCTTATTGCAGTCTCAAACTTCCGGGCTTAAGTGATCCTCCTGCCTCGGCCTCCCAAGAGCTGGGACTACAGGCTGTTCTACCATACCTGGCTAACTTTTTGATTTTTTTGTAGAGACGCATTCTTGCTATATTGCCTAGGCTGATATCAAACTCCTGGGCTCAGATGATCCTCCCACCTTGGCCTCCAAAGCACTGAGATTACAGGCATGAGTCATGGCACCCAGCTTTAAAAATAATCTTGATTTAAAATAGAAACACTTTCCAACAAATATTTCATAATATAAAAATTAAGCTTCTTCAAATTTCATGAAAAGTGAGAAAAACATTATGAAAATGGTATCCTCTGACCTCTGTTCTTTTAGTATTTTCAAAAGATTATATATTTCAAATATATATGCATATTATATTCAAACTTGCATGAAAGAAAAATGTTGGTTTTTAAATATGCCATTTTGTTCTGAAATAAAAACTGGGTAAGAATCATTTAAAAAGCCAAACTTGGCCAGGTGCAGTGGTACATGCCTTATAGTCCTAGCTACTCAGGAGGCTGAGGCAGGAGAATCACTTAAGTCTACGAGTTCGAAGCTGCAGTGAGCTGTGTTTCCACCACTGCACTCTAGCCTGAGTGACAGAATGAGATCCTGTCTCTTAAAAAGTAAATAAATAAATAGATAAAAAGTCAAGCTTTACAGTGCTTCCAAATGGTGTTAAAATGACAAAAATCACCTTAGTTTTAAAAAGAGGTTATGATCCCAACAGAAGTACTCCCTTCTTAGTATAAGGGGTACCATCTGCGGGATCCAAAAGTCTTCTCTATGAAAGCAGAGTCAGTTCCCAGCCATATGTTTCCCAGGCATTTCTTCTCCATTGACCTTATATTTCATTTATGCAATGAATGAAAGCGTATTAAGTTAGGCGTGTGCTGGGTTCTGGAGGTACAATCATGAGCAGGACAGACCTAGCCCTGCCTTCCCGGGGCACCCAGCGACAGGCAGCGACACAAGCACAGCCATAAACCAGGGCCAGGATGGGTGAAGGACCGAATGCTCTTCGTGGCGCCTTCAACAGGAGTGGCTCACCTACTTTTGTATATTGGTGAGGATGGTAGGGGAGTGGGGGCATTTTGCCCTTGCTTTGAAAAAATTCAAGAGTGCTATCTGGACTTCCTCTCTCTTCAGCCGTGCAGTTCAGTAGAACAAACTGGGAACAGTTTGGGAATTGTTTACACCATGGGCATTGGCAACCCTGTCCCTTCATAGAATTTTGGCTTAGTTCTAGACACACTGAATGCCTTGAGTGTGAGGATTAACTCTGATGGTTCTGTTTTAACTTTCCGAATCTTTAGGTATTGGCCTGGAGTGATTCCAAGCTCTCCTGGAACAGGAGGTGCCCCCACTCTGGGCATAAATATCTCTCCCTCATCCCTCGCAGACAACGATCTTTGAGTACCATCCAGTCATAATATAGACATGGCCAAGGTAACGGAGGTAAACAGAAAACAGGAAAAATACTAGGCTGTTTGCACTGGAACATGGTAACCATGAAATGAGCAAACATTTAATTTTGTTCATTGAGGTCAACGTGAAAGCTGCTGAATCTCTTATAACAACTTTCAGGACACTTGGTGCATGCCATTTTGAAACACCTCAAGCTGAGCCTGTTGTTCTGAAATGTCAGAATGTTCCATTCTGGTAAACATTCAACTTGTATTGAGTTTTCCCTTTGTGCAGAACCCTGTGAAGTGCAGCTAAAATGTATAAGGGGAATGAAAGAGGATAAAATGAAAACTGTGGAAGCCGTGAGTCAGTAGGCAGTGAAAACTATCCGAGAAGGCTTTCTGCTTTTGGTTGATTACAGACTGAATCTATGACCCAGGGAAAGAAGCCCACCCATTCTTTGTACGTGTGCCTTATTTCTGTGGTTCCCTTTTCAATATAAGGGGCTGCTGAGACAGTAATTTTTACATGTGGAGTAAGGTAATCTCAGAACATTCCTGTGTGAGTTTGAGGCAGCTTTGAATCCTGGTTCCACTGCTATTACCTCTGCAGCTTTGGGCAGGTTACTTAATCTCTGTGATCCTGAGTTTCACATCTGTAAATTGGGGGTAATAAAAGTATCTATTTAGGGGTTTATTGTAAGGACTACAAAGGAATTATGAATCTAAATTGCTTAGTGCAGCCTGGTCCAAAAATGTTCAATGAATGTTAAGCTATTATTATGGAAAATTAAGTCGACTCTGGAAAAATCAATGATTTAGGATTCTTTAGTTTGCTAGTTTTGAAAATGGCTCAATCTAGCACAAGCAAGACGGTATGAGCATTCTAACACATAATAAATGGAAAGCTGAGTATGGTGGTATGCCTATAATTCCTCGGGAGCCTAAGGTAGGAGGATCTCTTGAGCCCAGGAGTTCAAGGCCAGCTTGGGCAACATAGTGAGATCCCCATCTCTTAAAAAAAAAAGGGAAAGCCAAGTACTCATCTATTCATTTACTCATCAAACAACATGGAACATTTTTATGTGCTTGCCAGTGGGCAAAGCACTGGGAGTGCAGGTATAAAAGTAACAATTCCCATCTTCCAGGATCTTAAAGACTAGTGGAACAGATCCAAAAGTAAAGTGACGGCCAGGTGTGGTGGCTCAGCCTGTAATCCCAGCACTTTGGGAGGCCAAGGTGGGCGGATCACAGGGTCAAGAGATCGAGACCATCGTGGGCAACATGTTGAAACCCCGTCTTTACTAAAAATACAAAAATTAGCTGGGCGTGGTGGCACGTGCCTGTAGTCTCAGCTACTGAGGAGGCTGAGGCAGGAGAATTGCTTGAACCCAGGAGGCGGAGTTTGCAGTGAGCTGAGGTCGCACCACTGCACTCTAGCCTGGCGACAGAGTGAGACTCCGTCTCAAAAAAAAAAAAAAAAAAAAAGTAAACTGACAATGACAATATAGCATGTGTACTTAATAAATGCAGTTTGGCAGACTTATGCTTTGAAAACCCAGAGCTTGTGGGAGAAGCATACTGAAAGGATTACATGCTCACTAAAGTCTAATATTCAAATTCCAAAGGAATTGGCGACGGAAGTCAGGAACACATGAGAGACTACTTGAGGTCTGGCCTCGGGAACTCTCTTCTTCCCAGGCAGATGTCAACTTTTGTCTCTAAGATGAATGCCAGCCTTGGATAGGAATTTTAAAATTCCTTAAAAAAGCTCTAGGCCAACCCTATGTGACTCAGGTTCAAGCCACATTTGCCACCAGGGAAGCCCTAACCATGTGCCAGAGATCTGATGCCTGCCCTTCTACCTGGGATTCCTCAATCCATAAGGTTTAAGATCGGAACTGGACTCTTCCTTATATGTGGGTAAAGACTAGTCCTGGCCCTGAACTCCATGCTTCTGGATAGAATCCTGCTACCTCTCAGAGACTTCACCAATGACTTCTTTTGCCCTTAAGCTTGTATTTTTTGTTAACAGCCGTATTGATATTTAATTCACATAGTATACGATTCACTCATTTAAAGTGTAAAATTTAATGGCTTTAATATATTCCAGAGATGTGCACCTATTATCACAGTTAACCTCAGAATATTATGCAAAAAAAGCCTCCACACCCCATACCTGTCACCCCCAAAGCTCTCATCAACCCAGATCTAATCTACTTTTCATTTCTATAGATTTGCCTATTTATTTATTTATTTTGTAAGTTTTAAAAGTCATGTTTATTGAAATCTGAATTTACATTCAGTAAAATTCACCCTCTTAAGTATAAGATTTGACAAATGCATAGTCATACCATAATCAAGATGCAGAACAATTATAGAATCACTCTAACCATTCCCTTCTGCCTCTTTGCAGTCAACTCCTTTTGGATCCCAAGGAACTCACTGACCTGCTTTTCTATCAAAAGGGTCAAATTTTGTCACTAAAATAATCTATGGTACTATGGAAAAATTTGCAAGCATACAAAACACACAAACCAATTTTTAACATGAGACACTTTGAAAAGTTTCTTTAGCATACCAACAAAATGAAGGTAGCTTAACATTGTACTACAGATGTGCATTCATCAAAGTCTACCATTTAAGGATATTTAAGAATATACTATATTTAAGAATACACATATTTAAGAAGATACTGTAAAATAACAATCTTTAGAAGAGTCAAAAGAATGTGATTTTAAAACAACTTTATAAATTAAAGCACTTTATAAAGTTGTCTTAGATAGTTGTAAAATAGTCAGTCTAGTTAGAATTAATGTGTTCTAAAACTGATCTACTTGAAAAACTAAGATGAGTTATATCTTTGTTGAGTATGTGAACCATGATTAAGGTCTTGCTATTTGGTGTTAACACTGTCAAGTTACAGACCATGGCTGGTTCATAGAAAAACTACTTTAAATAATGGAATTGAATTCCGCAGAAATTTTCTATGGGACCAACTCAGCTATAGGGCAGAGGCACAAAATTGTCAAGTAAATATTCCTATAGATAATTGAGGCCATGACAAAATTCACCCTTATTACCACTACGAAAGGGACAAAAGAAGCAAAAATGTCCATTCTGTAGATACTAAAGATTACATGTTTAAATACATCTTATCTACTTGAAAAGCTTTGGCCAAGCATGGTGTCTCAGGCTTGTAATCCCAGCACTTTGGGAGGCCGAGGCGGGTAGATTGCTTGAGTCCAGGAGTTCGAGATTAGCCTGGGCAGCATGGTGAAACCCCCTCTCTACAAAAATGCAAAAATTAGCTGGGCATGGTGGCACACACCTGTAGTCCCAGCTACTCAGGAGGCTGAGGTGGGAGAATCACCTGAGCCTAGGATATGGAGATTGTAGTGAGCAGAGATGGCACCACGCCACTGCACTCCAGCCTGGGCAATGGGGAAAGACCCTGTCTCAAAAGAAAAAAACAAATAAAAAAAAAGCCTCAGTGATTCTTTCAAGCCTCAGACCTTGAGCTCATCAGCATCTCAAAACTCAACCAAGTCCAGTCATGTGCCACAACTGAAAAGGAGATTTGCCTGTGTATAAGAGGATGTTATAGACTGACTTGTATTTCCCCCAAATTCATATTTTGAAGGCTGAAACCTCCATATGACTATATTTGGAGATAGGGTCTTTAAGGAGGTAATTAAGGCTAAACGAGCTTCTGAAGGGTTGGGAGCCCTAATCCAATAGGATTGGTGTCCATTACAAAGAGGAAGAGACCCGAGGAATGTGTGCATACAGAGAAAAGGCCATGTGAGGACACAGGGAGTAGAAGCTGTCTGCAAGCCAAGGAGAGAGGCCTCAGGAGAAACCAAGGCTACCAACACCTTGGTCTTGGACTTCCAGCTTTCAGAACAGTGAGAAAAGAAACCTCTGTTGCTAAAGCCACCCAGACTGTGGTATTTTGTTATGGCGGCCCTAGCACACTAACAGTGGACTCATGCAATATGTGGCCCTTTGTGTCTGGCGTCTTTCACTTAGCACATTTTTTTCAAAGTTTAATCCATGTTGTAACATGGATTAGTACTTCATTCCTTTTTATTGATAAATAATATTCCATTGTATAAATACATCTCATTTGGTTTATCCATTCATCATTTAATGGACATTTGGGTTATTTCCACATTTTGGTTATTATGAATAATGTTACTATGAACATTCATGCACAAGTTTTTGTACGGACATATGTTTTCATTTGTCTTGAGTATATATCTAGAAGTAGAATTTCTAGATCACATGAAAACTCTGGGTATAACTTTGAAGAACTGCCATACTCTTTCCTGAAATGGCTGCACCATTTTACATTCTCACCAGCAATGAATGAGGTTGCAATTTCTCCACACTCCTGCTAACACTCATCACTATCTTTTTAAAAAATTCTTATTATTAGAGCCATCCTATCGAGTGTGGCATGGCAAATCACTGTGGTTTTGATTTTTGCTTCCCCAATAACTAGTGATGTTAAGCATCTTTTCATGTGCTTATTGGTCATTCATATGTTCTTCTTTGGAGAGCTATCTATTCAGATCTTTGGCTTATTTTTTAATGGGCATTTTGTTTTGTTTTGTTTTTAATGATAGAGTCTTGCTATATTGCCCAAGCTGGAGTATGGTGGTTATTCACAGGTGTGACCATAATGCACTACATTCCAATCCTTCTGCCTCAGCCTCCCAAGCAGCTGGGACTACAGGTGCATGTCATTGTGCCTGGTGGCAATTAATTTTTACCTTGTCTTATTATTGAGTTGTTATCACTCTTTGTATATTCTAGCTCCAGTTTCTTTATCAGATATATGACTTGCAAAAACTTTGTTGCATCTAATGCGTTATATTCTATTTTCTTTCTTTCTTTTTTTTTTGAGACAGAGTTTCATGCTTGTAGCCCAGGCTGGAGTACAGTGTTATGATCTCAGCTCACTGCAACCTCCACTTCCCAGGTTCAAGCGATTCTTGTGCCTCAGCCTCCCAAGTAGCTGGGATTACAGGTGCACGCCACCAATGCCCAGTTAATTTTTGTATTTTTAGTAGAGATGGAGTTCCACCATGTTGTCCAGGCTGATCTTGAACTCCTGACCTCAGGTGATCCGCCCACCTTGACCTGCCGAAGTGCTAGGATTACAGGCATAAACCACCGTGCCTGGCCTATATTTTATTTCTTTTTATTTATTTATTAAATGTATTTATTTATTTATTTTTGAGACAGAGTCTCGCTCTGTCACCAGGCTGGAGTGCAGTGGTGCGATCTCAGTTCCCTGCATCCTCTGCCTTCCAGATTCAAGTGATTCTCCTGCCTCAGCCTCCCCAGTAGCTGGGACTACAGGCACGTGCCACCATGCCCAGCTAATTTTTTGTATTTTTAGTAAAGATGGGGTTTCACCATGTTGGCCAGGATGGTCTCAAACTCCTGATCTTGTGATCCACCCTCCTTGGCCTCCCAAAGTGCTGGGATTACAGGCATCAGCCACCGCACCCGGCCAATGGGTCTTTTAAAGTACAAAGGTTTTAGTTTTGATGAAGTGAAATCACATTCTTTCATTTCTTCTGCTTTTCGTGTCATCTCTAAGAAATCATTGCCAAATCTAAGGTAAGATCTACTCATGTATCTTCTTTTAATAGTTCTATAGTTTTCTTATATTTAGGTCTTTAATTTTGAGTTAAGTTTTTGTATATAGTGTAAGGTAGGGGTCCAGCTTTATTCTTTTGCATTCAGTTACCTAGCATTATTTGTTGAAAAGACTACTCATTTCCCAGTTGAATTGTTTTGGCCCTCTACATGAAAATCAAATGACCATAAACATGAGGGTTTATTTATGGACTCTCAATTTGATTCCACTGATCTATATATCTGTTGTTATGCCAGCACCACATTGTAGCGTTGTAGTAAGTTTTGAAATAAGAAAATGAAAGTCCTCTAGCTTTGCTCTTCTTTTTTAGGACTGTTTTGGCTATTCTAGGTCCCATGAAGCTTGCAAGGCTTTTGAAGGACCAGCTATCTTTGGTGCCTGGTTCCAGAGTCTATCTGCAGGCTGAGCATCTGAGGGTGGCTTGCACGTGTGCCGAGGCTGCCCCACGGGCTAGTCCCCCTGTGCCACTGAATTATTCAGTCTGCCTGAATGGACTTTTTCTAGGTCCTAGAGCTGGATCTTGTGAATCCAAATTCCTGATGGGTACCTTGTGAGGGAGGAGATGAAATTCTAAGTCCAGCTCTCATAGTGTTCCAAATAGGGTTGATGTGTTAGGTCTGATGGCTTACTCTGAAATCCTAAGAGTTATTAATAATTAGCTTTGGGCTGGGCATGGTGGCTCATGGCTGTAATCCCAGCACTTTGGGCGGCCGAGGCGGATGGATCACGTGAGGTCAGCAGTTTGAGACCAGCCTGGCCAACATGGCGAAACCCTGCCTCTACTAAAAATACAAAAAATAGCCAGGCGTGGTGGCAAGCGCCTATAATCCCAGCTACTTGGGAGGCTGAGGCAGGACAATCGCTTGAACCTGGAAGGTGGTGGTTGCAGTGAGCTGAGATCATGCCACTGCACTCCAGCCTGGGCGACAAAGCGAGACTCTGTCTCAAAAAAAAAAAAGAAAAAAAACCACAAAACAACAACAACAATAAAAAACAAATAATTAGCTTTGATGGTGTCAGTATAGCCATGATGTAGCTGTTGTTTTTGAATTATTAAAGTAATATAATCACATCCTAAAAAAATGGCAAACAGGGAAGAAAATTCACCGTAATCAGAATTCGCTTGTTATAGGTTATAATGTTATTTTCGATTATCTAATGCATTACTGTACATATACTCTTTTTCCTCTGTAGAAAGAAGTTTTTGCATTATTTTTGGAATTTAATTTGAACTGAGAATTCCACTAGGGATTTGTGGGTATCTATCATTTCCCTTGTGGTTTTCGAGAGGCCACATACGTTTTTGGAGACATAATCAAGCAAAGTCATACGTCAAGACTAGAAAGAGTTTACTTCATATGGGTGCATTCATAGGAATGCATTTCCGGGATTTAAGTTAGGCTAAGACTTAACGTGTAGCTTTTCTCTCTATTGCACTTTTTCCTCTGTAAGAAAATATGTGCATTTCCTCATCATTCTCAGTAAACTATCGCAAGGACAAAAAACCAAACACCGCATGTTCTCACTCATAGGTGGGAATTGAACAATGAGAACACATGGACACAGGAAGGGGAACATCACACTCTGGGGACTGTTGTGGGGTGGGGGGAGGGGGGAGGGATAGCATTAGGAGATATACCTAATGTAAATGATGAGTTAATGGGTGCAGCACACTAGTATGGCACATGTATACATATGTAACTAACCTGCACATTGTGCACATGTACCCTAAAACTTAAAGTATAATAATAATTTAAAAAAAAAAGAAAATATGTGCATTTCCAAATGCCTCATCTCATTGTAATGATTCTTCATACTAGCTGCAGATGTTTTGGCCACATCAGTTTGGCTTCTTACCCGTCTGAATAGAACTTGCCACTCCATTTATTGAAACCTGGGTTCTTGGAGTCATTATGCTCCAATTTTCTTCAGGTTGACCAGCAAGGGGCACTAAAGTATAGCATCTATTTTCTCCTAGCCACAGCAGAGGTTTCGGTAAGCAAGTAATTGAGCAAGAATCTAGAAACTGTGCACTCTTATAGTCAGATCAAAAAGCTGTTGGTGGTATATTTGATATTTTTCAGGGGTATTGATACTTTTTAAATGAAAAAAATTCTGATTGGACAAAAAGGGAGCAAAACAATTCCAAATACAGAATCACTCTTTGTTTGTAAGCCATAATTCTCCTGTCTAGTCAATACTATTAGGTAAACTGGCAGAATCCTGTCATTGCTTTTCTGTGAATTACTGCATTTTTTCTTTTCTATCCGGAGAACATAATGGGCTAGCCACATAACGAGTTCCTAAAAGGATGAACTACTTGATGTTACACTGACAAGCAATTATTATAGGGGCCTATTGGTTGGTCTTTTTTTCTTCCCTTTAAATTTTGCTTGCCTATTTATTTCCATCAGCTACTAAGGATGACTCTTTTATTGTCTCAAATAAAGGATGCAATCTATATGCTAGGCACACATTATGAATAATTCCTTGTCATAACAAGGCACAAATGTCCTTCAGAGACCGGCACAAAGTTACTGAAGCTGTTCAGGATTTGGTAATGAGCTTTTCTTTCTTTTTAAAATTTTAGCTTTTATCCATGCTTAATCATACCAAGTTACTGAAACACTAGGGATAGGGATGATAGAATTTAACAATTCGTCCACCCAGCTAGAAGCAAATACCCATGATGGTTTCTAATTCTAAATCAAATAAATAGTTTTTGGAAGCTCTGCCCACCTATCAATACTATAGAAATAATGCATGTCAAAGTAATTAATTCAACAGGAATGTTCAATTACAGCCACTGTATCATTTTTTCAGTAATGTTTCATTCTTTTTTTTTAAATACAGTTTTTTTTTTTTTTTTTAAGACTAAGGCTTTTTTAGGCCTGGTTATTTGCAGCCTGTGAGAATTGTGTATTCAAATGGATCACATACTTCTTCACTCATCACAGCACTCTTCTCTCAAATATAATCCTAAACCTCAAATGGCTGATTACTTAAGAACCCTTAAGAAGTCTTAGCTGAATGATGGATCTCTGAGAGTACGATTTCTAATATTTTTCTCTCTGTTAGCCAGAATTAGAAACTGGAGGTTGCAGAGCAAAGATTTTTAGGAGCCGAGGCAGATATCCAGGGTGAGATGAAAAAGACAGAACAAGAGGAAGGAAAAGATGAATGCTTCCGTGTTTTCTAAACAACCCTGAAGACAGTCTGTCTTGGTTTCTTGAGATGATTCTGATATGCCCAGGTGTTGTGCCCCTCCCCCTATCTGCACCTTTCTTGTCTCTGATGCCAGAGGGATGAGGGCAGAGACTGTAAGTGACTGGCAATGCTAAGAGCACAGGCCCTGGAGTTCATCTGCAGGGTTCACATTCAGGCTGTGTGGCTTTGGGCAAGTATTTAACCCTCAGTTAATTCTGCTGTAAAGTGAAGATTCATTCACTCACTTAACAAATATTTATCAAACACCTGCCTTATGCCAGGCACCATTCTAAGCACATATGTTTTCTTCGAGGATCAGATGAGAGAATGAATGTAAAGCACTTAGGACTGTGACCATAAATAATGACCATTACTGTCTATTGAGAATCCGCGGTGCACAGGCCCTAGGCTATATATTTTAGGCAATTACTTAACCCCTGTTTGTCTGTTTTCCTCATTTGCAAAGACAGTGTCTTGTCTCACATGGCTCTTGTGAGGTTGAAACAGGGTAATGTACATAAAGTGCTTAGAACAGTGCCTGGCATGTAATAGAGTTTGCCATCATTACCTCTGTTTCTCAGACATGACCTGGAGAGGTAAATGTTATTATCACTGCTTTAAGATGAGTTAACTGAGGCGTAGGGAGGTAAGGTAAATCGGTCAAGGTCAAATGGCTGGTAAGTTGCAGATTCGTACCCCTATCTGTCTAGACCGAAAGCTTATGCTTTTCTCAGTGTACCTTGGTACCCTGGCTCCTAGAAGCATTGAACACCTGGCTTGATCACACAGACTGTTTACACATGAGCCTTTTTGTAGCTCTGAAATGCCACTTCCCAATTCCTCCAAGTCTCCCCTATCAGCCCACGTGCGCATGTGTGTGTGATGCATGCACACACACACACACACACACGTGCACATGCACTCACATCTACAGTCTCTGCAGGAGTATTCATTCTGATAAGCAGCTTCTCCCCTCAGGGAAATTATGCTGTCATTCATTCGTTTAGCAAAATTGTCATCCACTGCTCTAGGACCTGTATATTCTTTGTTAGACAATAAGTAAAAAATGTAAATTTATTTTTTTAATCTGTGAGCCTTCTCAGGGAGAAAGCCATTTTGCTGGCGTGCTTCTTTAGTCACTCATTCATTCATTCATTCATTCATTCATCAGTTATTCATCAAACATTCACTGTGAGCCAGGTTCTATACTATGTAAACTGTTAAATTTCTAGGAACCACACACTATGTTTTCTCAGTATGTAAAATATTGAATCCTAATTGGAGATTTTGTATAAATTAGTTTTAAAAGGACAGAATACAAAAAAAATACAATGTTTGCTTGTTTGCATTTAACATCCACAGTGGTCCTCACTGATTGTCAGAAGAAGGTAGTTCTACCAACACTTCACAGTTTAAATAAGGAGCAGATTTTCTCACAGTGTCCTTTGTATATCTTCCCCTTGGGAAACACAGCTACAAATCATATGGAGATGCTTTAGCACCAAATGAAGCTCCTTCTGAGGCTTGTGGGGGGAAGTGACTGCTTTCATAAACTGTTCTTTTTGACTTGATGAAGTTGAAAATGTTGCAAATGTTCCAAAGAACAACATTACACCAAGCTGATGGGAAATTTGTGGAAAATTAAGTACCACAGTCAAATATGGTAATTGCTTCTTTATAAAGATACAAGAAAAATGTTCCACCTACCCCCTGACAAATGTACCTGTATCAGGTAGAGGGTAGATTTTGAGGACTTGTACCCTTATGGCAGAATTCTGCACGTTATGCCGCAAAGAGTTAGAATTATTGAGGATGTGTTTGCTGTTTGTTGTTCACTGAACACCCATTCTTTCTTCTTTTAATAACATATCAAATTTCCCCTGGGGAAAGCTTTGTACCGGCTCTTGGATTAAAATAAACAAACAGGAAAATGCCCTTACTGCCTTCTCTCCTAGTCCTTCAGGACCCTAGGCTGCACTATCACCAATTACCACCCTCACCAAGCTTCTTTCTTAGGAGATCTTGTTGGGAATGCTCTAGAAACCAGTACTGCTTAAGAGATAAAGCTTTCACTCAGCTCCATTCTTTGGCAGTTTGGAGGATTGTAAAAGAAATGTTAAATATTTCGGACTTGTATGAATTGTTAGCATTCAGGGGTGACTGTGAGGTTTCCAAGAACTTGAAATAAGGGCTTAGCATTGAGAATTAAATGGCAAAATCAATACATAATGCAGTACATCATAAATATATGCCAATGTCTAAAAAAGAGATACTCATTAAACATATTTACCAATTACCATGCTCAGAACAGATGGTATACTCTCAGCCTTTAATCCTTTAATTGCTGGAATTTGAGGAGGTCTAGGGTTTCCCAGGGAGGGGCCAGAGTGGCCAGGGTGGCAGCGCTTTATCAACTACAGTAGCATGAAAGTATTTCCATAACTTAACATTCGGTTTTAGTTTCTATGAAATAAATGAGTCCCCACTTGCATGGGAACTTTCCAAAGAAATATTTACTTTCATAATTAATTTTTACTCATAAAGGTTTATTGTTTCTTTAAGAGGCCCCACAAACTTGTATAAGGTTTAGGCCCCAGTAAAACCAGATTTTAGGCCCCGGATATGACCACAACTGCATTCCAGCTGAGTATCAACCCAGCCAATAAAGGGGGATGGCAACTGTTAAAGGCGTCTCCATAAGGGGTTCAGGATGGGCCAACTCCGGCTGTGGCCTGAAGGTGCTCACTGTCCACTAGAGGAGGTGCTCTTGTCCCCAGCTTTGACTTCTGCCATCACAGCGTCAGGTCTCCCCATTTTAGGAGATGGAGGTACCAGGCTATCTTAGCTTGGTGTCATTATAATTTCTCAGGATCTTTCATCGAACCTTAATTTCTTCTATTTCATGCTTACCAAGAAGCCTTCTTATTGTAATTTAGCTGCATTGTGGCTGCCTATGGTGTGCTGAACCTTGAACTTAAGGATCTCATTTCTTGGGCAGTTCTATTTCTCAGGGCAAATTAATAAATTCGCATTCTAGTTTACTATTAGTTATTCTAATTACTTGGCCAATGGGAATTCACTTCTGAGAGACAATCTTCACCTATGCCAAGGTTTCTAAGTCTGTGAAGCTAGTCCATGGACCATGGCAAATTGACTAAAATAAACATTGTGTCCTCAGGGATAGACAGTCCATTCCATCGCCCTTGGCCTTCTTCCCTTATTTTCAGCAGCACTTTATTGGAACTGTTTATTTGTCTCCCCACTAGATTGTAAACTCCTTGAGAGCAGGGCCATCTGCATTCCAAACACTTAGTACAAGTACATAGCATAGGTTAAGGACTCAATAAATATTTGATGAATCAGTAAATGGAAACAAAAAGTGTGTGATATTCTTTGGATACCAGTAAACTCGTAGCGACGCAAACTTTTAGTTAAATTTACAAATCATTTTGTTTTTGAACACATTTACTTTTTCATTGCAAAAGTATTCATAATATTTTGGAGGCTGAAGATCTTTCAGCTGTTTGTTTACAAGCATGTCAGATAAATTATGAACCTGACTGTGGTTGATACAAAGTAATCCCTTCCTTAAAATATTTTCTTTTTACTATAGAATAGTCTCTCTATTATTTTATGTCTATCTGATCTGCAAATATTTAGGAGGATTGAAACTCCTTTTGTACTTGGCACCAAAAGCTAGTGATGAGAAATGAGTTGAATCAAGAATAAATGAGTCCTGGGATGAATCCCTTTATGGAAAAATGTGTGAAATAACACAAATGAATGGTATTGATGCTGTCACTAATCATTTTCAACACCCAGAAAGGTCTACTGTTTGTTTTAAAGCACACACACATAAACATTACCCCACTACCTTAAAATTTTCGGGCTGAAGTTGAGAGAAAGAAACAATTCTAAAGGAAACATTCTGTTTAAAAAGAATTGCCAGAGGAAAATACATGAACTGAATGACGATAAGATAAATGACAATGAAAAGACTTCTACTTATTCCTGTTAGCTCTTGTTTCTGAATCCACTGTTCTGTCAACTCTCAAGAATATGGGTAATCTATAAGACAGAGAGAGAGAGAGGAGAGAGAGACAGGGAGAGAGAGAAAAGAGAAGAGAAGAGAAAAATATGAAGTCTGAGCATGCATGTATGTGTACACATGTGTGTTTGTGTATGTGTTAGGGATAAGCAGATGTTTCCCAGCTTAATTCTTTTTTTTTCTTTTTCTTTTTTTTTTGTTTTTTTAGACGGAGTCTGGTTCTGTCGCCCAGGCTGGAGTACAGTGGTGCGATCTGGGCTCACCTCCATCTCCCGGGTTCACGCCATTCTCCTGCCTCAGCCTCCCGAGTAGCTGGGACTACAGGCGCCCACCACCATGCCCGGCTAATTTTTTTGTATTTTTTAGTACAGACGGGGTTTCACTGTGTTAGCCAGGATGGTCTCGATCTCCTGACCTCGTGATCCACCCGCCTTGGCCTCCCAAAGTGCTGGGATTACAGCCACGAGCCACCGCACCTGGCCCCCAGCTTAATTCTTGTTTTCTCAAACTTGGCAACCAAACCCAACCCAAACCAAACCGTACCAAAACACTACCCCCTTCTCACTAACATGTCTTCCGAAAGAAAAAAGTCCCTTCAGTTATTAAGAGCTACACTGCCAGTTCTATAACTCAACCTTACTAAAGAACCCCAGGAGAGACAACCAGTAATGCATTTACTATGGGATAATTAATTGTTCTAACTTAATGCTTCCAAATCAGTAATCACTTGTGTTAGATTGACCTTTTGTATCTCAAAGGTGGGAAACCGTCTAGCCTCAAGCGGAAGTTCTCTGGTCTCTATCTTTGTATCACTTTTCAATTGCAGCATAATGATGAACAGTATCCATGCTATAATACCAAGAACCGATTTTATTATTAGCATCTACAACTTAATTGCAGGCTACCTGGTGTTATCTGCTCTTCCTTGATAGAACCGTATTTGAGAGAGGAAAACAATCATTTGGGAACCGTGTTTGTGTCGAGAAAGAGGAGTTAGTGCTATTTGTTTTCATAAGCAGAGAGGAAGTTATCAACCCTGCAGATTCTAAAATTCTAAATCTCAAGAGCTTTTAACATTTCCTCTTTAAGGCATCAAGCAGCTGTTTCTCTTGGGAGGGCTCCTGGAAACCAACTGAGTTGAACATGGGGTAATGGAATGTGGATTTGAAAAAGGAATACCAAGATACAGCTTGTAATCTTTCTCTCTCTCTCTCTCTCTCTCTCTCTCACACACACACACACACACACACACACATACACACACACACACACACACACACACATGCCCCAGGCCTCAGGCCCCAGGCCCCAGAACCTGTGAACAGCTTAGGGCAAATGAAGTTCTTTCTTCCTTACAGCCAGGCAAAGCAAGAATCCACTCTGTCAGGTGGCTTTTCTCATGTCGCCCTTGGGGCCTATGCTTAGAGAAGCCCTGTGGCCGGCAGCACAGCTGTGACCCAGTTGCCCTGAAATAGGAGCAGTCAGACACGTGGCCCCAGGAGAAACAACAGCAGCAACAACAACAGCAGGAGCTTCTTCTCCAAACTGCTGCACCCTCTTTAAGAGGGTCTTCCCTATTAAAGAAACGGAGGCCTACAATGTGTACCTTCCTCTGCCTCCCACTAGAGCTGCAAACAACGCCTTAGCACCCAGGAACACTGGCCCACTCTCTAAATGTCTGTGACATTTGTATCATCATAATAACCCTTTATAATAAAACAACGTCCTACCGCTGGGTGTGTTCATCCATCAATATGTGCATGTAGTATTCTGATGTGGTTGTCTTGTTGAGGCCATGGGAAAGACCAAGGCCTGTGAATAAAGCCGGTCTCCTCTGCATGATAGGGATACATTTTCCAGTGTAAACATGCAAGGAATATACGTGTTTGAAGACAGGATACCAAAACCTAGTAGGTGGTAAGGTCTAGGCTTCCAGGAGTCTAAGCATACTTTCGGGTCCTGCCTGGTAGAGGGGAATAATGGCCTTGCCACATGGATGCAGGCTTAGAGCTGGGAAAGGGGGAAGATGGTCAAGTGCTGTGTTGAGAGCAAAGAACAAAATTGTGGGTTATTTTATTCTTTTTGCTATTCCTAGTCATTTAATGGGGTTTTCTTTACATGTTTCAGCCTAGTCTCAGAGTGCTTTGGGGAACTCAGAAACCAATCTCATCAGTGGTTGCCAACAGAGTTGAGGCAGAGAGTGTCCCCTGAGGCTGGTGTAGTTGTCAGAGGAGAGACTCCAAATCCTGGCCAGGTGGGCCAGGCGCTTCCCACATGGCAAGTCTCCCTGCATAGCCTAATGTGGAGGATCAGATTTGATTTAATGAAAGAGTGGTCTTCCTGGCATCATTTCTCTAAAACATAAAACTGGCCATTCCTCATTTCCATAGTCTCCCAATTACTAACACGTTTATAAAGCTCAATAATGACTGTCACGTTTGTTTAGGGAGCTAAAGGTGGAAGTCCAACTTTAAAGCAGGATTTCAAGTTTCCTGATCACATTGAATTCTTTTTTTTTTTTTTTTTTTTTTTTTTTGAGACACAGTTTCACAGTTTTACTCTGTTTGCCCAGACTGGAGCACAGTGGCGTGATCTTGGCTCTCTGCAACCTCCACCTCCTGGGTTTAAGCGATTCTCCTGCCTCAGCCTCCTGAGTAGCTGGGATTACAGGCACATGCCACCACACCTGGCTAATTTTTGTTTTACTATTATTATTATTATTATTATTATTATTATTTAGATGGAATTTTGCTCTTGTTGCCCAGGCTGGAGTGCAATGGCACTATCTTGGCTCACCTCAACCTCCACCTCCCAGGTTCAAGCGATTCTCCTGCCTCAGCCTCCCGAGTAGCTGGGATTACAGGCATGAGCCACCACACCCAGTTAATTTTGTATTTTTAGTAAAGACGGGGTTTCTCCATGTTGGTCAGGCCGGTCTTGAACTCCCGACCTCAGGTGATCTGTCCGCCTTGGCCTCCCAAAGTGCTGGGATTACAGGCATGAGCCACCGTGCCTGGCCAATTTTTGTATTGTTAGTAGAGATGGGTTTTCGCCATGTTGGTGAGGCTGGTTTCAAACTCCTGACCTCAAGTGACTCGCCTGTCTCAGCCTCCCAAAGTGCTGGGATTACAGGCGGGAGCCACTGTACCTACCCAACATGGAATTCTAATTCTCCCATACAATCAGCCAGCCAAAACATCCTGTTTTTAGAGGTAGCCAACCTATGGGATTTATACCATTAGTAAGAGTTAAAAAAAAAATCACATATTGAGTGCCAATAAACTGGAGAACACAGATTTACCCAGCATAGAGCCAGAGCCCATGGTCCTTAAGGAAGAAATGATTTTCCCTTTTTTGGCTTGGGCTAGTTCATAGAGAAAAAGAATCCTAAAAAAATAGTGTCTATCTGTAGATGAACCAACGGCATAAGGGACCCTGAGGCCCCCATAGTATATTCCACCAGAGAAGAGATCAGAATAAATTGCGATATGTATTTGTTATAGTGGCAGCTACCCTTTTTGAAAGAACTACAATGGAATATTGAGGTCATCTCTTAACTTGTAAATAACCTTGTGAATGATAAACGTGCTTTCTTTGAAAGCTGTGATAAACATTGAGGTGTGAAAAGCAAGTGAAAGGGGACTTGAAACAGATGCAAACGGACGCTTTACTTGGCCTTGAGAAAGATTGAACACTAGAAATTGGAGTCTTTGTTATTAAGGGAGAGATTCTCAAATCACTTGGGCATGAAAGTGTTCCCAGGCTAATTCCAAGCTACCAAAATACAGAGTCCAAAGACACTCAGAGTCTCGTAAAGTGCCTTGCCAAGAAAAAATGGAACTTTGCCTTCTTGGCTTCCAAAAAGAGGGTTTCCATCCAGGTTCCCACTGGAATGGAGAAGTCGTTCACATATTTTCCCACCCTTTCTGTTTCTCTGAATCACAATGACTTTATTTTAGCTTGTTACTTACACAAGGAAAATGATCCCTTAGCACTACTAGTCAAGTCCTCACCATTTGCTTGTTAGTTGCATGTAAATAGCAAGAGACTGGTTGACTACAGTTAATCCTGAATAGTCCTACATTATCTTACGATGTCCGTGTGTGGAAACAACTAAGGCACCAAGAAACTAACAAAGATCATTCATGACCATTTTGTTTACCTCTTTCTATCAGATATGAAATCATAAGAAGATCAAAGTAATAATTCATGGATGGGGGTCTCATGCTCTTCATTTTTGACCCAATTCTCAGGTTATTAAAATAACATTTAACATTTAGTGAACGCTTGCTGCTGTGCCAGTAATAGAGGTAATTGATACAAATGTATGATCTACTGGAATCCCTACAACAGTCATACGAGGTGGGTACTGGAATTAGCCCCATGCCCAGATAAGAAGGTTGAAGCGTGAAGGAGTTAAGTCAACTTCCCAAGGTCACAGAGCTAATAAATGTCAGAACAGAGATTTGAACCCCAATTGCGTGGCTCCAGAACCTGCCCTCTTAACTATGAAGTTTTACTGCTTTATGCAGCTATATGATATTGCAGCTCGCTTCATTTCTGATGACTATCTGTGTTCAAATTCTCTGTTTAAATATTTATACAGAATATAAATGGGTACCCTGAGACTTTACAATGGGCATATTGCTATGAATTTCTTAGACACAATTCAAGGGGTCTATAAATCTCAAGTTTTAAAAGCAAGAGGAGATGCCATTTGCCTAGGAGTTCTCATCTCAATGCATGTATTTTAAGACAATTCTAGATGTACAACTGCAAAATGTATGACTTCAGCACTTGTATGTGCCCACTTGCTTGGAGGCATTTGGCTTGTTAGAGTTCTTAATATGTATATAATCCAGCTTTTCAGGTAGGCTGAGTGACTTGCTCAGGGCATGACAACTAGTTAACTACATAGCCTGGATGAGAAGGCGAGTCTCAGTTCCTATTTCCAGCCTCTTCCAACTATTTCTTCATCTCAAACCCGCAAATAAATAAAAGCAATCTTTAATGGGGCAGCAGAATTTGAAATTGTATTTATTTCAATGAGTACCTAGAATCTGATGGTTCTAATTCCAGTGGATATTTTTTTTCCCCTTGATGGCCTTTAAATATTTTACAGATTTTTCAGAGCTTGCCAAAAATAGGTCTGTGAAGACTTTGACATGTTTTGTTTGTAAGAGAGGAAAAGAGATAAAAACATAACTTTAAAAAAATGGTGACTATGCAGGCAAAAATAATGATGTGGGAAATTAAATCCTGCCTAGAGGTCTGAAGCCGATAACTTTTCCTAAACCCAGCAAGAAGATATTTTTCTTTCATGGGGAGCACAAAATCATTGGCTATGCCTTTTCTCTTTCTTTAAAGAATAGCTCTTCCCTTTATTAGCCCAGGACAGATCAAATGACAATAATGCCAAACGGGAATTTAATTTAAAATATCTTCCTCTTTATCATGTTGAAAAGCCTTCAGCTCCAAGTTGGCGAATACTGTGAGTCGTCTTGGCCCGCAGAGCCCTGACGCATAGAGAAATGCATGTGGTATGAGGGACAGCCACCCACCAGCAGCCTCGGGTGTGGGAAAATATTCCTTCAACTAAGGGAAGGCAGCCCAAACTCTGAAAATTTGATCTTCTTTTGCCAAAGAGCCAGCAACAAGATTCTGGGTTCCATCACTGTTATTATAACTGTAGGGGGAAAATAATGACTTAATTGTAAACCAATGACCTCACCCTAATAACCATGTTCTAATCATTTCTAAAGAAAGCTGCCTTCTTCATTCCTGCCAACTTTCAAATGAAACAGATGACATTGGAAGATGATTATATTCATTAGCAATTATTCCATGAAAACAGTGAGAATTTGAATTTACCCTACACTTAACCCAGACAACTAAAACTGCAGTGCAACCTCGGGCCAAGTGTTGATCAACACTGTGTGGGGACAATGTTTAGACCTAGGCTTTGAGCATTTGAGTGTTTCCTTTCCCCAGTGAGGCACTGGTTCAGGTTAAAAAAAAAAAAAAAGCAAACAAAACAACAGAAATGTTCTTCCTCTTAGGCATAGGAATTGTTTTGTTTAGAATCTTTGAATGACAGATCTCTGATATAACTGCATTTTTTTACAGGACAGAATGACACATGGTACAAGCTTTCTGTCTTACTGCCACACGTCAGTGTCCTGGGAGATGAACCAGATGCAGGTGATGCCGAAGAGGTGACGGGGCCAGGGCTGGGGCATGAGCACTGGTCAACACTGACACTCAACAGCTCCCATCTGGCTTGTGTGTGAGCACCCGAGTGTAGCTCAAGGCAGGGACAATATTTGCTGGAAGTTTAGGTGTTCCCTAGGCGTCCTAGCTAGGCAGAGGAGGGAATGAAGATAGGTTTTGCAAGTAGAAATAAAAAAGAAGCACTATTATAGCATGATAACATTTCCTAAAGTCATTTTATGAACCATTTTTGGTTAATTAAAAAAAAAAAAAGCCGATCTATATGTCATGGCTGAGACATTGATTAGCAAGGTGCTACTTTTACAGATGAAAGAACTAAAAACAAGAAAGACAATGATTCGCGCACAGTGATTTGCTGGAGATTGATTGGCAAGTGTGAGCCAGACCTGGAGTAGAATTCAACATGTCTGGTGCCTGCTCCAGAACTCTGACAATGAAAAGGAGTCCAGATTTTGAGAATGAAGAAGGTTTCAAAAGCTAAGCCAGCTTCCCTTTCACAGAGGTTCAGCTGGTCAGGCTTCTTTCAAATCCACGCCCTGTTACGGGAGAGCACGGTGCTAGGAGCGTGTGGGAGGGGCAGCCCTGAGCCAACACTCCCTCTAGAAAAACATCCTAAGGCCATATCATGGTGACAACGGGACAGGATTATTATATTCCTATTGGAAGGATCACACTGTTATGTTATCATTTCCTTTAGGAAATACCCACATCCCCAAACTACTTAGTGATTATGAGTCCCTACAGAACAAACAACCCTCACCTTAGACCAAAGAAATATGTCTCTCAGTCAAACAAATGTACGTAGAATCAGTGAGCGCAAAGCCCTACCTCAAATAAGTTCAGAAGCCCCTCAAAATGAGGTCCCGTGATAGAGTTTCAGTAACTCTAATGTCCCTAGTTGAGCTAACCATCTGGCATGGCAAACTCATGGGCCAGTGAATACTCGGTACTTTGCAGATTCACAGTTTTTGTCTCTGCTTCTATCCGACCATACCTCTGCCCAGCTCCCTGCAATCTGCCTGCTCTTTTGGTCATTGAATGACAGCGTATCCCAGAGTGACTTTTGGGAGCTATTTTTGAGCTTACCCATATTTGTAGTTCCCCAACTCACCGGGAATGGAGGCTGGGTGAGTAGCAGAGGAACGTGCCTAGATGTGACAAAAGAGTGGGGTAGATGTATTAAATGAATATTCAATGAGAACCCACTGTACGCCAAGCCCTTTTCTAGTCCAGGAAACTCAGCAATGAGCAAAGTCATAAAAATCCCTTCTCTCATAGAATTTACAATTTGGGATGTGTGTGTGTGTGTGTGTGTGTGTGTGTGTGTGTGTATGTGTGTGTATGACACATACACACATTAGGGACAGGGTGGGTAAGATATAATGACTAAAATGTGTGGAAAACTTCATATGGTATATTAAAAGAAAATAAAAGTCCAGGCACGGTGGCTCACGCCTGTAATCCCAGCACTTTGGGAGGCTGAGGCAGGTGGATCACCTGAGGCCAGGAGTTTGAGACCAGCATGGCCAACATGATGAAACTCTGTCTCTACTAAAAATACAAAAATTAGCCAGGGATGGTGGCGCATGCCTGTAATTCCAGCTACTTGGGAGACTGAGGTAGGAGCATCGCTTGAACCTGGGAGGCGGAGGTTGTGGTGGGCCGAGATTGCGCCACTGCACTCCAGCCTGAGCAATAGAGAGAGACTCCATCTCAAAAATAAATAAAATAAAATAAAATAAAGTAAGTACTATGGGGTGAAACTAGGAAAAGGGGATAGGAGGCTTTGAGGTGGAAGGTGATAGCTGTAATTTAAATAAAGTGATAAAACTCAGTGAGAAGGTTACATTTGAGTAAAAACTTGAAGAAAAAGTAACAAGCCGTAAGGTCATATGGGGAAGAGCATTCCAGCCCCCAAAACAGCAAGTGCAGAAGCTCTAGCTAGGGCCACCCTGATGCCCATTTTCAGGGTGTGCTATTCTCATGGTACCCTATGTAGGTGGTGTCCACTGGGATTGTGTTATGAACAATGTGCATTGGAAAACATGGCAGACCCGTCATAAAGCAGGAACAGCAAGGAGGCCTGGAAGGGTAGGGGGAGGCCAGAGAGAAAATGGAGGGCCAGGTATTTTCAGGCTCTTTCAACTAGCTCTGCTGGAAAGCTAGCTTACTGTCCAGGGAATTTTTAGACAGTCCCTTTGCCCATGTCTGCTGATACCACATGCCCTAAAAGCAGGTAGGCTGTGTCTAGCCTTCTTGGGTTTGATAGTTGATAAGTGAGCTCCATGAGGGAGATGTACAACTGATGTGTCTTTGCATGGCGGTTTTTTCAATTCTCTAGCTCCCTGATGAATGTGGGAATAAAAATTTATATCAGAATCGACACTGGTTATAATGTGAATTTATGACATTACTTGAGAATATTCAATTCTGCTGTAGAGGACAAAAAAAATGGAATAATGAAATCCATCATAAACCCTGGGCATAGTTGGTAAGTAAGCAGGTACCTTATGCGATATAGGCAAAACTTATAGGATGTATTAAGTATAGATAGAGAGTAATGTAGTATATACTGAGGCATGTTAAAGATAAACAGAATGCATGAAATATATGCTGGAACAAGGAAGAATATTATAGATAGAAATGTCAAGTCATATGTCTTGATCATTCTATCTCTAGGCTGACAGCTCAGTCATCTCTAGATGAGCCATTCATTGGTAACTCAATATGGTCTCATTCTGAGTTTCACATGAACTGTGCTAAAAAAAAAAAATGCAGATAAAACCTTTCACTGTTCAGTAAGTGAATTGGCCAGGGGGTCCTTGTTTCTTATCTTAGTCCATTTTCTGCTGCTATAACAGAATAACCTCAGATGGGATAATTGATAAAGAATAGAAATGTATTTCTCACAGTTCCAGAGGTTGGGAAGTCCAAGGTCAAGGGGCCCAGATCCGGTGAGGGTCTTGTTACTGTCATAGCATGGTGGAAGGGCCAGAGAGAAAGTTGGAGAGAGAGAATGGAACTCACAGCCCCCAGCCCTTTTATAATCCACATTAATCCATTCATGAGGATGGAACCCTCGTGATCTAAACACCTCCCATGAGGCCCCACCTCCTAACACTGTGGCATCAGGGATTGCATTTCCAGCACATGCTTTTTGGGGAGCACATTCAAACCATAGCATCCCTGCATCTCTCTGACATAGCAAATGTGTGTCATTGGCCCAGCAGGCCTTCTGTCTGTGGGCCCCCTTGCTCAAACCTCAACTCTGGTCTCCTGACCACACTGTTAGTGTAGAGAAAGACAGGACGTTTGGAGCTTGCATAGTCCAGAAGTCAAGAAGCGGTTGCTGTCACCTGCCTGCAACCCATCCTTACGAACTGACTCTATCTCCTTCCCCTTGCTTTTCCCTGTGTGTTTTAAATTAATTTAATAAACTGTGTGAGGCCGGGTGTGGTGGCTCATGCCTGTAATCCAAGCACTCTGGGAGGCTGAGACAGGTGGATCACCTGAGGTCAGGGATTCAAGACCAGCCTGGCCAACATGGTGAAACCCTGTCTCTACAAAAATACAAAAATTAGCCAGGCATGATGTGGGTGCCTGTAATCCCAGCTACTCAGGAGGCTGAGGCGGGAGAATCACTGGAACTCAGAGGCAGAGGTTGCAGTGAGCCGAGATCGTGCCATTGCACTCCAGCCTGGGTGGCAGAGCAAGAGTCCATCTCAAAAAAAAAAAAAATTTAATTTAATAAACTGTGTGATTTAAGCAGCCCAATTTAGTCTGTGTTCCTTCCTGTTCCCTGACCTCTGGAATAGCTTGGGATAGTTTCCTGCATGCCACCATTTCCTACCCACACCCCTCCTTGCCATGCAAATGCAAACCCCAAGGTGCTATGAAGTCTCCAAGAGTCCTTGTATTAGACCATTATTTTCTGAATCCTAATATTCATAATGAATGAACAGGGTCCTTCAGAGTCCTTGAACACAAAGAAGGAATTTTAAAATATAAGAAGAAAACTAGCCTACAGTGTCTCTGCATGTATGTTTTACATTTTCCTTAATAGTGAGAGACACGATAAGGTTTGATTGACTTTGTCCACCAGTAAACTTAAAATAGAGGTTCTAGAAATAACGTGTAACTAGCCAAGGGGAAAATTTAAGGCCATTGTGGAAGAGTAGGAGTTCTTGTGAGAGTCAAGGTCTTAACTCGCAAGACTTCTCCAACTCTTTGCATCTACAATTATTTACTGAATAGCATTGCTACAAACATGTTTGTACTGGTCCCTGTGAGTAAGTGGGCTGAAATACAAGGAGCTGTAGGTTTGACTCATCAAAATATATGTGTAAGAGCCAACCATAGGGCTCCTGGACATGTTATTATATCCTGGAAACTGCTGAGTTCATGTATAATTTAGACATGTAAAACCACGCACAAATACATATTTTAAAAATTATACAGTTTCTAATCAATTTAACATATACTGTGGAAAATAATCATGCTGAAAAAATAATAGTGTTAGCTATGCCTCCATGATTGAGTAGGTTAAAAAGGACAATAAGGAGTGATAGTAACAGAAAATATCTTTTTGATTAGAGATATTTTATTTTTCTGATTTTGTCTTTTCTTTCAGTGAGTTAAATACATTTGAGGAGATTAACGCCAAATGATTAAGATGACATGATAAGATAAGGTCAGCAATCAGGGGCTGTTAATCTACCTACAACCCCCATCCACCTCCACCATACACATACACCAATTGTCTTTTAACACTTACGTTCTTTGCAGAATTGGGTTTGGTTATGTGATTACCATTGACACGTTATGACGCAAGTGCTCCTGGGGTGTAGACCATTGTTTTTATTAAACTTCTGAGCCAAAATCATAGAATGGCGGTATTGAGCAAGGAGGAGGGAGAATCCATGTATTGTTGGTGCTTGTTATCAGATTATCCCAAAATGGATACTATTCTACTTCACCTGGGACCGAAGACAGCCCACAGACCCATTACGGGTACATTTTAGATAATATTTCTGATGTTAGAGAATAAGCATTTTCAGACCCCACCAGGTTCTCCAGCTTCTTGGCCTGAGCTTTCAGTTCCTCCTCCTCCTTCTTTTTTTTTTTTTTCTGAAACGGAGTTTCGCTCTTCTTGCCCAGGCTGGAGTGCAATGGCGCAGTCTCGGCTCATTGCAACCTCCGCCTCCCGGGTTCAAGCGATTCTCCTGTCTCAGCCTCCTGAGTAGCTGGGATTACAGGTGTCTGCCACCACGCCTGGTTAATTTTTGGTATTTTTAATAGAGATGGGGTTTCCTCATGTTGGCCAGACTGGTCTCGAACTCCTGACCTCAGGTTATCTACCTGCCTTGGCCTCCCAAAGTGCTGGCATTACAGGTGTGAGCCACCACGCCCGGCCAGTTCCTCCTTCTTCTTATCCTCACCTCCCCACCCCAAGTTAACTCAGACTAGCCCAGATATGCCCTGAGCAAAGGAAGGGATCCTGCCAAGCCCTAGATGCTTTGCAGAAACCTCAGTGATAGAAGCCAAATACGGATATTCAGTATAAACACACACATGCACACACACACAATGACATTCAAACTTAACACTTGAATCAACTAAAAAAAAAAAGCTTTGCTAAGTTTGCTAGCTTTTTAAAGAGATGGTTTAAAGGGACTGCAACTCAGAATGTACTTTTCAATAGAAATAGTAATTCTAAGGCAAGCTTAGGATACTGCAATTAGCCTAAGTGGTAGGCTGGGCATGGTGAAGCCAGTGCCTGTGGTCCCAGCTACACTGGAGGCTGAGGTGAGAGGATTCCTTGAGCCCAGGAGTTTAAAGCTGCAGTGATCTATGAGGGCACCACTGCACTCCAGCCTGGGCTACAGAGTGAGACCCTGTCTCAAATTGTATCCCTATCCCCACCCAAAAAAAACCTAAGTGGTACTCATTTCACAGCAAATGCTCACTTCCTCTCTTTTTCTAGTATTTTTTTCTTTTTCTCTGTGGATCACATAAAGGGAGGAACATTTAGTTTTTTTTTTTTGGAAACAGAGTCTCACTCTGTCACCCAGTCTGGAGTGCGGTGGTGCCATCATCGCTTACTGCAGCCTCAAACTCCTGGGCTCAAGAGATCCTCTCATCTCAGCCTCCCATGTAGCTAAGAATGCAGGTGTGTGCCACCATGTCCAGCTAATTTTTTTTTTTTTTTTTTTTTGTAGAGAGGAAGCTGCCATCATAGCTCCCTGTGTTGCCTAAGCTGGTCTCAAACTCATGACCTCAAGCAATCCTCCCTCTTTGGCCTCCCAAAGTGCTGCGATTACAGGCGTGAGCCCCTATGCCTGGCTGATTTAGATAGTTTTAATTAACATGTAATTCATTGCTTAATGTCTTTAATTATCTCTTCTCTGTAAGCACCATGAAAGCAGGAGTTGATTCTTGTTCCTACCTGTATCACCAATGATTGGCACATAGTACATACACAATATACATTTTTCAACGATATGAACGTATGAAAGAATAAAAAGAGAGAAAGAAGAAAGGAAAAAAGGTGGACACTGGGTGGGTGAAGGTTCTGGTCTGCTTGAAAGCTTCCCCCTCTTTCTCTGGCAGATGAGAGGGCAAAGCCCTACAGCATGGTGCTTTGCAGTACTGAAAGGAGCATGAACTTCGGTGTCAGACAGACTGGGTCTCAATCTTCGCTCTACCCTTGGCTGTGCTTCACTATTTTTTTTTTTTTTTTTTTAAGATGGAGTTTCTCTCTTGTTGCCCAGGCTGGAGTGCAATGGCGCGATCTCGGCTCACTGCAACCTCCGCCTCCTGGGTTCAAGCAATTCTCCTGCCTCAGCCTCCCGAGTATCTGGGACTACAGGCATGTACCACCACGCCGGCTAATTGTGTATTTTTAGTAGAGACGGGGTTTCTCCATGTTGGCCAGGCTGGTCTTGAACTCTCGATCTCAGGTGATCCGCCCACCTTGGCCTCCTTCACTATTTAACCTCTCTGAATTTCAGTTTCCTCATCTATATACTGGAGAGAATACCAACTGCATACAATCTTTGTTACATATACCAGATAATGTACTATATATAAAAGCTCTCTGCCAGGTGCCAGGCTCAGAGTTCTGAATAAAGAAACACTAAAAGCTAGTTTCTCGTGGGCACTGACTTTAGGAAATCTTTGAGGTACACATTGCAAGTTTTAGGTGATGCACAGTGGGGTTGTAGGATGAAAAGCTAAGTGCCAAGTCCTCTGATTTTCCTTCCTCACAATCTTTGGCTTAGAGATTTAATACTTTGTCTTCAGCCACCTCTTGAGGGCCAATCCCATCTACTCATCTAAGGCTCTGTCCCACATCTTAATTGTCTTCTGCATAGTTGCATGTTTTACTGTCAGCTCAAATTTAACATACCCGACAACACCGAGTATCAGTTTCTTCCCCAAAGAGTGTCTCCTTTCAGATTATCTTTCTGTTAATCTTACTTCTGTTCCCTAGAACTTCAGGTTCAGAGCCTCAGAATCAGTTATCCTTGACTCACCTAGAAGAAGGATCAAACCATGTCTTCTTGAGCCAGTAGGCCCGAGCCCAAGTCTGAATATCGACAGTTGCCTGTTGAATGGATGAGCTTGTTTTTCACATCCACCAAAACCTGTTTTACCTATTGCCTTCCATATTCTTATTAATAAATCCTCCCTTCTCTCCTACTTATTAAAGCTTGAAACCTCAAACTCATCTTTGGTAACATACTCTTAGTCAATGACAACATTCAGCCAATTCAATGGCTCCTGTCCCTTTTCCTTGATGTGATCTTTCATATTAATTTCTTTTCCTCTATCTGCCACTACAACTCTTGTCCAGATCATACCGAGTAAGAGCATGGACTTTGGTGTCAAACAGAATTGGGTTCAAGGACAAGCTTTGTCACTTTTTAACTGTGTGCTGCTAGACAAGTTGCTAGCCTTTTTCCTTATCTAGCAAAATGAATAATAATAGTATCCATCTCGTATGGTTGGACGATTAATTAGGTAACAGTCACTGACAGCATCCATTTCTCACTGCTATTCATGCTCACGTATCAAAGAGTTATATCTTCTTCCTTCCAATGATGACATTTCTTCTACAACATTCCTGATGAACAGGTCATCTTGCCTAGACTTGACTCTCTTCAAGGTTGGGTGGGCCAGTGTGTGAGAAAATGTGAGTTATTTATGAATGAGTTTAGTTGTATTAAAGGTCGTCCTTATACTGAGCTTATGTTCACCTTTCTATCATTTTAACTATCTGGGGCAATAAAGAATTCACTGAAATCATTTTCTACATTACAGCAACATTTTAAGCCTGTGAAGTCATCTCTTGCATTCCACTTTTATATTTCATCTTGCAGATTAAACATCACAAGTTGTTGTAATCTTTCTTCTAATGTCCTCTGGATCCACTCCACTTTATGAATATTCTTTTAAAAATTTGTTGTCCTAAGCTGATCATGAAAATACAATGGACTCAGATTAGGAAAAACCATCTTGAAAATGAAGAACAAAGTTGGAGGAGTCACACTTCCCAATTCCAAAATTTTGTCCACAGCTTCAATAATCAAGACAGCATGGAACTGGCATAAGAGGAGACATAGATCAATGGAATAGAGTTGAGGGTCCAGAAATAAACCTTAACATGTATGGTCAATTGATTGCTAACAAGGATGTCAGAACAATTAAGTGAGTAAAGAATAGACATTTCAACAAATAATGCTGGAATTAACTGAATATCCACATGCAAAAGAATAAAGTTGAGCGCTTTTCTCACACCACACAGAAAAGTTAACTCCGGGTGGATAATAGACACAAATATATGAGCTAAAGCCATAAAGCTCCTAGAAGAAAACATAGAAGTAAACCTTCATGATCTTAGGTTAGGCAGTGGTTTCTTAGATATGGCACCAAAACACAAGCAACAAAAGAAAAAATAGGTAAGTTAGATCTTACACAATTAAAAACTTTTGTGTAGCAAACAGTACAAAATAGAATGTGAAAAGACAACCTACAGAATGGGAGAAAATATTTGCAGATCATATATTTGATAAGGAATTTGTATTCAGAATAAATAAATAACTCTTAAAAATCACTAATAATAAGATAAATAACTCAATTTAAGATGGGCAAAAGATCCAAATAGACATTTTTTTCAAAGAAGACAAATGGACAAAGTGCATTAGGGAAATTCAAATCAAAACCACAATGAGATACCACTTGACACCCACTAGAGTGGCTATAATAAAAAAGATGAAATTGACAGGTGTTCACAAGAATGTGGAAAAATTCGAAACCTGTTTACATAGCGCTGGTGAGGATGTAAAAGGGTGCCGCAAGGGTGCACTTTGGAAAACTGTCAGTATTCGACAATGTCTAACAATGTTAAACACAGAGTTACTATATGGCCTAGATGTATACCTAAGAGAAATAAAACATATATTGGCATAAAAACTTATAGCTAGGAGCAGTGGCACCCACCTCTAGTCCCAAATACTTGGGAGGCTGAGGCAGGAGGCTCATCTGAGCCCAGGAGTTGGAGACTAGCCTGGGCTATATAGTGAAACTCAATTTCTGAAAAAAAAAAGAAAAGAAAAAGAAACAAAAATCTCTTATATTGATCAATATTCAAATGTTCGTATTAAGTGTGGTCTATCCATACAATGAGGTATTATTCAGCAATAAAAATGAATGAAACACTGACACAGGATAGAAAATGGATGAGCCTCAAAGAATTGTGGTGCGTGAAAGAATCCAGTCACAAAAGACCACATATCGTGTAATTTCATTTATATAAAATATTCAGAATAGGCAGATCTATAGAGATGGGAAGTAGATTAGTGGTTGCTTAGGGGCTGGGTTAGGGGTGAACAGGAAATGACTACTGATGGTTACTGTGTCTTTTTTATAGATGATAAAAGTGCTGGCCAGGCGTGGTGGCTCATGCCTGTAATCCCAGCACTTTGGGAGGCCGAGGCGGGTGGATTACCTGAGATCAGGAGTTCAAGACCAGCCTGGCTAACATGGCGAAACCCCGTCTCTGCTAAAAATACAAAAATTAGCTGGGTGTAGTGGCATGCACCTGTAATCCGAGCTATCCAGGAGACTGAGACAGGAGAATCGCTTGAACCTGGAGGCAGTAAGCCAAGATCGCACCATTGCATTCCAGCCTAGGCGACAGAGCAAGACTCTGTCTCAAAAAAAAAAAAAAAAAAAAGTGCTCTGACGTTATATTATGGTGTTGGTCGCACAACTTTGTGAATATATGAGAAGTCATGGAATTGTATACTTTCAATGAATAAATTATAAGGCATACAAGTTATATCTCAATAAAGCTGTTTGCTAAATTTGGACGTCACTTTTTTTTTAAACAGCTTTGTTGAGGTATAACTCTGGTGTTATACGTTTAGTATTTGTTTGTTCACCTCTATCATAAGCTATATAAGCTATATGTCTCTTAGGACTGGGATCATTTTTATCAATTGTTACACCTCCACTTCCTTGTATAGTACTTTTTGCCCGAATGTTAATTTAAAAATGTTTGTTGAATGATACATTTTAGGCTAAATGAATACAGTTTGCATCAGCATTAGGGTAGACATGTCACATGTAGTCCACTAACCCTCCCCAAGTCTTTTATGTGAGTTGTTGTTAAGCCAGGGCAATTCTATCCTGTACTTGGGCAGAAATTTCTTGAAAAAAATCAAAGTTAAGAGTTTACATTTATTTTAAAATTTTTATCATGTTAGAACCCATCAGTCATTTTAGCCAGTTAAGTGTTTTTTTTTTTTTTTTTTTTTTTTGAGATGGAGTCTTGCTGTTTTGCCCAGGCTGGAGTGCAGTAGTGCGATCTTGGCTCACTGCAACATCTGCCTCCCAGGTTCAAGTGGTTCTCCTGCCTTAGCCTCCCCAGTAGCTGGGGTGACAGGTATGCACCATGTTGCCCAAGTTTTTGCATTATTTAGTAGAGATGGGGTTTCACCACATTGCCCAGGCTGGTCTTGAACTCTTGACGTCAAGTGATCTGCCCGCCTCGGCCTCCAAAGGTGCTGGGATTACAGGCATGAGCCACTGCGCCCAGCCAAGATTTTCTTGGATTTTTTTCTCTGTCATTAAGTGTAGTCTCTATTTCTACCTGCTTTGTACTACAAACCAATTTAAATAAGCATGCTGTCTTTCTCCATAAAAACATTAAACTGTAGAACAATGTTTTTATGGAGAAAAAGAGCTAAAGTCACATGCTGGTGGAGCATAAAACGCTCACTTGAAGAACACCTTGGTAATGGCTCCAGCTAACTGTACCATGACCTAATCCTGTGGCTGGAACCTCTGGGGAGTCTTATCCACCTCCCCAAATCCATTTGACAAGCTCAGGTCCAATACCACTTCTTTCATGGGCTATTCTCTGATCTTCTCAGAATGTCTATCTTCTATTGAATTTGCCACAATATTTTGTTTGTACTACTCTTGAGACATCCCACACAACCTTGAATTATAATTGCTCACATGGGTGTCTCAGCATTTATTCTAGACCATAAGATACTTAAAAGGAGGAATTGTGATTTCTTTGACAGTTTTGTCTCTTAGAATTTAAGGGTGAGGGTGCTTAATAAGTATTAGAAATAACGGATAAGTAAAATATTCAGTGCTATTAAAAATACTATTAAATCTCAACACCTCCAGGGGTTACATATCTGAAAAAAGATATCATACATATCTATATAAATTCTAAAATAAATTGAAATAGTCCATATCAAAAACCCTGCTGGAGTAGGTAACTCTTCACAATCGACTTCAATTATTCATGATATAATTTTTGCAGGCACATCAAAAATTGTATGTTTAGAGGTTAGAGGATGAATCCTCTTACAGTTTTCAAACCAGTCTGTACTAGCTTGAAATGTAATGTTTCTTGCACTTGAATTTTCCCTGCTTTGTGTCTGCCAGTCTTGGCCCAATGCTTGGGTACTTTTTTTATGTTATTGTGGTGCTTACAGGTGTTTTTCCAGCTGTGTTTTTCTATCCTGAGGTTACATCGGAGTATGACATGATCAAACCTCTTCTTTGCACCATGTCACAGAACCACCTTAATGGAAGAGTGGACAATAACTATTGTGGTTTTCTCCTATTTCAGGTGATGGAATGGAACCATGTGTGTACAAAAAGATACAGGAATGTACATATTCAGTTTGCAATATAAAAACATACACTGTGATTGGAGAGGGATTACAACATTCTAATTGCAATTTTTGTCATTTATTCAATAAATATTTCCTGGCTGGGTATGATGGCTCAAAGTGCCTGTAATCCCAGCACTTTGGGAGGCCAAAGCAGGCAAATCACCTGAGGTCAGGAGTTTGAGACCAGCCTGGCCACCATGGTGAAACCCCATCTCTACTAAAAATACACAAATTAGCTGGGTGTGGTGGTGCATGCCTGTAATCTCAGCTACCTGGGAGGCTGAGGCAGGAGAATTGCTTGAACTCGGGAGGCGGAGGTTGCAGTGAGCTGAGATTGCACCACTGCACCCCAGCCTGGGCAACAGAGTGAGACTCTGTCTCAAAACAAACAAACAAACAAACAAACAAATTCCTGAGTGCCTACCATATGCTGATTAAACTGTTCTAGATGTTGGAGATGCAGCTATGGACAAGACAAATACAGTCTCTTCTCTCCAGGAATTTACCTTCTAATGGAGGAGAGAGACAAAAACAACTTTGTACATAAACCTTTTCTGATAGTCATTAAGAAAATAAAGCAACATGGTGTCCAAATTCTAGATTGCTCATTTTAAAGGCTAGGGTGCCTAAAACCACAAGGAACATTTCAGAATTAGTAACATTCATACTTCGTAGAGCTATACTTAGGCTAATAAATGTTTGGTATTGTTGCCTCCCCAACAGCCACCTCAGACCACCTCCTGACTCCAAGTTTCCCTGCTCATCAATCCAAAATTTTGTTGAATATACTACTTCCCCACCCCCAATGGAGCTTAAGGGTTAACCTGAACTCTCTAAACCAATCAGGGCATTCCTACTGTCTTTGATCGTGAGTGTTGTAGGCAGAGACATATAACCCAATCCTTGCTAATGAGACTTGAGGTAGGACCCCAGCTTCCGGAGAGGTTGCCTGGCTCCTAAAAAGAGAAAGATACCGGAAAAGAGATGGACTCTTCTACCACTGGAAATCAGATGGTGTCCTGAGTGACATAAGTGTACTTACAACAGCCATTTTGCAACCATAAAGAAGCCAGTGGGAATACACAGGCTACGTGTCCTCGAAGGCACAGAAGAAAGAAGAGAGAAAACTATATTCTTGATGACACAGTTGAGCTACAGAATTGTCCAACCCCGGAGGTGCCCCACTTCGCGTTGTGGGAGATAATGCATTTTCCTTGCTGTTTAAACCACTTTGAGCTGAGTTTTCTATTACCAGCAGCCTAAAGCATTTTGACAGATAAAAGTAGATACAAATGCACATATATAATGAGCATCCTGACTGAACGATTAAATGTGTATGTAGGCATGCATTACCTCCCCACTCCATTTATGATTGTCACATTTATTTTTACTTCAGGGAAAAGCAACTATAGAATTTAAAAAATCAGGATTGAAAACAAATACCTGAATTTCCTACAATTAAAAAATCAATCCATTAAGTAGTGGTATTATGCTAAAATAAAATGAATGCTTAGAAATTTGTTAAGTGTTTATGATGTAATAAGACATCAAATAAACCATTTTTCTTTAAGTTCTTTAATAAAAAAAATCTGATGTGGAGTCCAGTCTTTCATTTTTATCACTGGAATAAATAGAGAATAGTCATTGCAATCAATTGCCTGTTTGTTTCCCCAGAGAGCTCTCCCACAATCATACATTATGTATGGAGATGAGAGGGGAAAGTGGCTTCCTTTTCATACTGTCTTTTCTTCTAAACTACAGTTTCTCCATTGGGTCTACTTTTAAATAAAATGAGAGCAAAAATGCTAAACTATTGTTGTTAGAAAACAGCTTTCTCTAAGAATGAAATGCCAATTATCTTGCAAATATTTGCTGTTTCTCATTTGCAAAGTTCTGTTGGTCACTTTGATGTAGACAAAGCTTCTGAATATTTATAGATTTCTCATTTTTTGGAGAAAGACCAGAAAGACAGTAACAGCCTCACTGGGTTGTTATCTAGCAATTCAACCTTTATTTTTATTTTATTTTAAAAATTTCCATAGTTGTTGGGGTACAGGCGGTTTTTCGTTACATGGACAAGTTCTTTAGTGGTGATTTCTGGTATTCTGGAGCACCTGTCACCTGAGCAGTGTATGCTGTACCCAATGTGTCTTCTTTTATCCCTCACTCCCCTCCCACCCTTTCCCCTTCAGTCTCCAAAGTCCATTATATCATTCTTATGCCTTTGCATCCTCATAGCTTAGCTCCCACTTATAAGTGAGAACATACGATATTTGGGTTTCCATTCCTGAGTTACTTTACTTAGAAAAATGGCCTTCAGCTCCATCCAAGTTGCTGCAAAAAACATTATTTCATTCCTTTTTATGGATGAGTAGTATTCCATGGTGTACATATACCACACTTTTTAATCTACTCTCAATCTTTATTTGTAAAGTACAGATGATAAAGAATTAGATTTATGAAAAACCTAAATATATATTCTTCATAAATTACTTCTGTAAGTGTAACTCTGTCCATAACCTTTGGTGTATTGCAATTAGGAACACAGTTAAAACTGGTATCTGAAGTGTGCAGGGTGAAGGAAGTGATGGAGTTGCGTTAACAATAGCCACTCCAATGCTTAAGACAATCACAGGACTTCTTTCCACCCATAACCAGGGGCTCCTCTTGCTCTGTTTGCCTTCCAGTTTGTTCTATCTTCACCTGTAATAGGAAACCATAATATTTCTTCCTACTCACTTCCACTAACCATCCCAGCGGTCCTTGGGAACCACTTCTCCCACATCTGTCTGCAAGAAGGAAGCTGTGGAGCCACGATGGGTCACCTATACAAAGGCCCAGATTTTTTGGGAAGGAATCAGTGTCGATGTTCTCAACTTCCATAACTATTTTTTCCTAAGATGATCTACTTTCAGGAAAAGTTGGTTCATAATTGCTTAGAAAACATTTACGCAAAATTTTTTCTATCAATTTATAAAAAATAAAACTATACCCATCTCCCATCTCATTACTCATTCCCAATATTACTATGGGGCATTGCTCAGGGGTGTGCAAACTGCTAAAGAGCTAAATAAAAGTATAAATAAAAATAATGGAGGCCGGGTGCAGTGGCTCACTTCTGCAATCTCAGCACTTTGGGAGGCCCAGGAGAACGGATCACTTGAAGCTAGAAGTTTGAGACCAGCCTGGCTAACATGGTGAAACCCCATCTCTACTAAAAATACAAAAATTAGCCAAAGGTGGTGGCAGGCACCTGTAATCCCAGCTATTTGGGAGCCTGAGGCAGGATCATTGCTTGAACCCCTGAGGCAGAAGTTGTAGTGAGCCAAGATCGCACCACTGCACTCCAGCCCGGGCAACAGAGCAAGAATCTGTCTCAAAAAAAAAAAGGCTGGGGGGAAGCCTCTCTAATGATTCATCAAGGCATCAAGGCAACCTAAACACATAAGGCTTTCTTCTACTTTTTTTTGTTGCTTGGAGGGGCAGGCTGGAGTGAGCAGTTGCATGATCATAGCTCACTGTATCCTTGACCTCTTAGGCTCTAGTGATCCTCCCGCCTCAGCCTCCCAAAGCATTGGAATTATAGGTGTGAGACACCGAACCTGGCTAATTTTTTAAAATTTTTGGTAGAGACAAGCTATCACCATGTTGCTCAGGCTGGGCTCAAACTCCTGGCCTCAAGTGATCCTCCTGCCTTGGCCTCCCAAAATGTTGGGATTACAGGCATAAGCCACTGTGCCTGGCCCATGTAAGACTTTTTATTTTTCTCTGTTATATACAAAATTCTGTAAAATCTTGGTGCTGGTAAAGTGATATTTTAGATTATACATATATAGAGATATGGATGTTCTCAATTCCAAAGAGCCAAAGCAGTATAGATTATTGAGGCTGATCTTTTCAAATGCAACAAGAATGTTTTGTGGGTCTACCAAAGTTTTTGGTGATATAATTGATAAATCTACACATCAGCATTTTATGTCATTTCTTTGAGCTTGGTCATGCTTTATTGAATAAAGTAGGCTAAGTCTATTTTTTTGAAATTGAGTCATGAGCTATGTCCTGCAATTAGTCACTCCTTGTTTTATCTCATTGCATATATTCTACCCTCTAGTTAAAAAAATAAACTCACATGAAGTTATAATAGAATCTGAGACATCACATTTAAAATGGGTGGGTTACATGAGCGAACATTGTTAGGAGGCAGAGAAGCAACATAGTTTAAAGACAAACAGTCAATGGATTGCTGTGTCCTCTGTCATGTGGTCACTTGTAACCCACATCAGCGGAAGCCTCTTGGTTGAACTCAGTCTCGCTTATGAGTGACAACAATCATGACTGCATCTTTTCAGACAAAGCAGTGACTTGATTCCAGCATAATCTGAAATGTGAAATTTTTATTTACACAGCACTTTGATATTCAAAGCACTGTTCTAAGAACTTTATAAATATTAACTCATGTAATCCTAGTTACAGGCCTCTGAGGGGGGTCACAGATATAACTATATTTCACATTTGGGGAAACTGAGATTGGAGGCCCACCTAGTTAGTTAGAGGCAGGACTGGCATTCAAATCCAGACAGCTCGGCTCTCTCTCTGTCTAGGCTCTTATCCACCATGCTCCGCTGCCTCTCCAGGAACATTTTCAATTCTTGGGTCTTTTTTAAGAGAGTTCTCAGCATCATCCTTTGTTTGCCTTGGCCGTGCCCAGAATGTTTCAGGATGATGACCATATTTAATAACATTTAGTTACTGTCCATCTGAGACTCAGTTCGCATGCGAAGTACTATTATCCTCATTATATAAATAAGGAGAGGAGGAACCAAGAGGTCCGGTAGGTGTAACTAAGACACAGTCAGAAACAGAAGCCCCCAGCCCTGTGATGTAATGATAAGAGAAGTTTCCATTCCCTTGTTTACTAGGAGTTGCTTAGTAAACATATTTGGAGGGACTGAGAGAGAGAGAGAGAGAGAGAGAGAGATCGAAGGGGAAGGAGGGGGAAAAAACCTAAAACACAAAACCCTTTGCAATAATAAAATTTATAAGATAATGGTAGTAAAATGATTCAATGTAATTATTCAACATTTCCTTATGTGGAGAATTATTATGCAATTATTCAACATTTCCTTATGTGTATTATGTATGTAGTCATAACCGTAATGTTTTCAGTACTAACTTGACAAACAAGTTGCAAATCTTTCTGGAAGTCAGAGGCTTATGTAGTTCACTTCTTGGTGCAAAATCTCAGCAGCTCTATGGGGCAGAAGCGATTTGAAGTGCACAGGGCATTGAATGATCTCGGTGTCTCTTCCTGAGGGTGCAGCCCCAATCTCCTTTCCAGCTTAGGAGCCTGCAGAGAGAGGAGTACCTCCAGCCTCTGTGCTAGCACCTTCCCCACCTCAGGAATCGCTTCATTCACTTGCCTAAATAGTTTTAATTAAGGCAAGAAGGAAAATGTGTGAAATATTTTTCTGTGGCTATGGTATTAAAGACATAGATAGGGATTGTGTCTGGGAAACATCCTAATTGTTGATTTATCTGCCCAAACAAATTCACACTATTCCTCAGCTACCTAAGGGGCTCCATTGCATGGGAATACATTTGATATTGTGGCCCCTTAATGTGAAGGAGGAAAAGCAAAGGTGCCCCACACATTGACCAGGGAGACCATAGGTTAGAAGGGGAGAAGAAGTTCACCTTGCTTTTGAATTTAAGAAGAGGGAAAATAAAACTTTATAAAGGAAGAGAGGAATGTTTTTCAGTTTTATTTTATGGGTAGTGAAAAAAGATGCAAAGGAAGAGGCTGAAGAAAGGAGGTAAAGGGAAACATAAAGAAGGCTACTACGAGGAAGAGTGAGAAGTAAAGAACAGGCTAAGTGACCCGCAGGGAAAGGAATCTTGCAGAATGGGAGAAAGACTCAGTCACTGTGAAGTGTTTTAATGGACTTGAACTTCTCCTGTCACTTCCTTCTCTTCACCACTGTTATCAGTGCCCTTTGAAATTCTAATCAGCCAATTAATCTCTGTTCACAACCACCGCAGCTCACCAAAGGGAAAATTATGCTCTGGGCTGTAGCCAAAGCAATATCACCCCTTGTCTAGATGAACTCAAATCAAATCAGCCTTGGAAGTTACAGGCACCTTCCTCCTGCCTTAAAGTAGCCACTGTAAATTCTGTGGGATCCAGGTCATTTTCAAAATGAAACGTTCCTGGAGAAATGTTGTGTAAAAATCAGAATTATCATATGTTCCCCAAACCCTTTAAATACAGAGGACTTCTGCCTATTCACTGTGTTTGTAGTCTCAGTCTGTTACGTTTCAGATCTATTCACTTCCTTGCATACAGCTATGCAAAAGATATTTGTGCAAATGGTGGATATAAATTCAGTACTAAGCAAGCTCTGTTGAGGCTCTGTCATGTTAATACCAGTCACGAATGAAAGTAAAATTTTATTTTGAGGTTTAACCTTGTAAATTACTCAAAAGCAATTTTTTATTTCCAGCTGATTTATTTGAAGAAAATAGGCTCAGATTTATTGGGCCTGTTAATAATAAAAAAAAATAAATGACCTCCTGTAGTTTTTGCTGCTATTTATTGATCTCTTTCAAATTTAGCAAGCAATTCAATCTGCAGTAAGACGTGTTGAATGGAGTGGATTGCAAATGTAAAAATGGAATGAACATTTAGAAAGCATTTTCAAGTCCCAGAAAGTAGCTTTAATAAATGGGAATAAATTAAATTTACATAAGTGGAGGGAAAAAAGAGGGATTTTGTTTTAATGATGAACTATGCAGAAATCATTTGTTAGATATGGGGTCTATTGGTCACATTTTATTTTATTTTTTGAGACACAGTCTCACTCTGTTGCCCAGACTGGAGTGCAGTGGCACGACCTCGGCTCACTGCAACCTCTGCCTCCTGGGTTCAAGTGATTGTCATGCCTCAGCCTCCAGAGTAGCTGGGACTACAGGCGCGTGCCACCATGCCTGGTAATTTTTGTATTTTTAGTAGAGACGGGGTTTCACCATGTTGGCCAGGCTGGTCTGAAACTCCTGGCCTCAAGCAATCTGCCTGCCTCAGCCTCCCAAAGTGCTGGGATTACAGGCATGAGCCACCATGTCCAGACTGAGCATTTTTTCATGTATCTGTTGGTATTGGCCATTTACTCTTGTTTTCCCCATCCAATCATTGCTATTCCCACAACTACTAGTTCAACTAGTAGTGTAGTTGTAATAATATGAGTACTGCTATGGTTTGAATATGTCCCGCTAGAATTAACGTTGCAACTTAATTCTCATTGTGGTGGTATTAAGAGGTAGGGTCTTTTGGGAAGTGATTGTCATGGATGATTAAGTCCACCCTTATGAATGGATTAGTGCCTTACAAGACGGCTGGAGGGAACAAGTTCAGACCTCTTCGCTCTTCTGCACTTCCGCCATGTGAGCACACAGCGTTCATCCCCCTTTTGCTCTTCTATCCCTTCTGCCATATGAGGATACAGAGTTGAAGGTGCCATTGAGGAAGCAGAGACGGGGCCCTCACCAGACACTGAAACTGTCTGTGCCTGGTCTTGCACTTTCCAGCTTCCAGAGCTGTGAGAAGTAAATTTCTATCCTCTATAAATTACTGAGTCTGTGGTATTTTGTTACAGTGGCACGAACAGACTAAGAAAAATAGATTTGACTTCAAAATGAGAAGAATTACTGGAGGTGCTTTCGCAGGCTTAGATGAAGAGACCTCCAAATTGCCAAACCCACATGTATGTTTCAGTGCATGTCCTATTTCACCTTTGCTATAGTTGCCACTATCTACTATTCCATTCTTCTTGAAACTCTTTTGGCTTCCTCAATACCATGCACCATTTTGCATGTCACACTCCCATCCCGGACCCTCCCCTCAGGTTCCACCTGTGCTGTAAAGAGCCTCCTATGCACGTGGGGAAACACCCAGGCCTGCAAGTCTAAACTCAGTCCATTTCCCCATCACCTGCACAGGTCATGAAAGCTGCCATTGAACCATTGCAGCAGGGTCTCAGGTGTCCCAGGCATGGACCAGATAGCAGGATGTGGGCTCAGTGGGTACGTTCCCTTAGCTCTGCCAATTTTTTGCCCCAGAAGGAGGAGGAAGGCCAGAGGAGGGTCCCCTTAAGTGTGGAGCCAGAGTGAGGGCCATTTCACCTGTATCTGCGTTGTTTGGGAGGATAAAGGTGACAGGTTAACAGGTGAGAATCATGAGGCGTGTTAAAGGACTAGGGAAAAACGAGTTTGGAGGAGATAATGCATGCAGCTGAGTGGGAATCATCATAGCGTCAGAAGAATTTGAGGATAAAGACTGAACTTTGATCATAGGGGAAATGGGGAGGTCTGAATTCTTTTGCATAGGGGAAGAGATAATCAGACATTTCTGTGCAGGGTGGATGAGAAAATAGGAGAGAAAACAAGGAGATTGGCAACGTTACTGCAAAGTTTAAGATATGAAGTAAAAAGAAGGGAAAGCAGAAAGGGGCTCCTGGAATTTCTACAATGAGGAGAGAATCAATTAGATGTAGGAGGTGAGGGAGATGGAGAACCTAGGCCAAATAGTTTCGCAAGATAAAATGTGGCCAGGCTGTTTGATTCCTAGGAAGGCTCTTCTGTTTCTGAGAAGTGAGGATGCTGCGTGGGCATGTTTTGAACACTGTTCCTATAACCAAGGCCAATCCTGGCTCCCATGAGCCTGTGGTCCTCCCTAAGGTCTTTCCAAGGAAGCCCAGTCCTTACCTCAGCACCTCCATCCACTTTCAGGCTGAGCATGAACATGCAATTTCAGCTCTGAGTTCTAAGTTATGCTCATTTTGGATTGGAAGAGGGATATTTCAGAGTTTATAAAAATGCAAGATCCTTTTCATTAAGGATAAACAAATCCTTTCTGAGGCAGGCACACTAGCCAAGGTCAGATAAGGTTAAACTATCATCACAGAGAAGCAGAAGGGTTCACAAGGTGGTGTGGACTCTGAACTGCCTGGATTTAAATCCCTCTGACTGCGTGACCTACAAAGTCCAGAGCAGAACTTCTTCCAAAGTACTGCTAGCAGGAGTCAGTTTTCTGTCCTGATGTGGCAGCTGGGAGGGAGGAGGAAGCTCTCCCTCCAAGGTCCCAGCACCAGCTCTCCTTCTGCCACCAGAGCAGTGAGGACAAAGGCCAGGGACCCTTTTTCCTGCAAAAGTCAGATACCCACCAGCTTAGTTGCACTGGGGCAGCTGTGTTGTGTTAGAACCAACAAAGTAGAGGAATGTCCCACTAAAGAAAATGAGCCCTGTAGATTTGTGCCATTCAACAGAAAAAGAACAGTTTTCTGTTCCCCTTACTGAAGCGTAAAATAACTTTTGGCAAAAACCTCTGTCATCTTTACATGTTAGGTTATGTTTTTGGGTTGGGGTCTTATTGTGTGACCATCTGTGGCGATGTGTTTACTAGCTGTTTGTCGCTGGTTCTTTTTTCCTCTTCCTCTTTCCATGGTTGCTTGGCAGCTAAGTTTTTTTATTTTTTTTTCATTTCATTTCAATCAGTGGCTCACAATTTCAAGCAGATGTTTTCAAAAGTGCTTGACTTTTAAGCAGAGTGTATGCAGTGCCCTCTTGGCAGTGTTGCTACACTCAGCCATGAATCTGGTTTGCAAATGAGGGTGCTGGGGTGCCTGGGAACGGGAGCTTCTTGAACTACAAGTGCCCAAGATTCATTTTTTTTATTTATTTTTTTTTTTTTGAGACAGAGTCTCATTCTTTCACCCAGGCTGGAGTGCAGTGGTGCCATCATAGCACACTGCAGCCTCAAACTCCAGAGCTCAAGTGATCCTCCTGCCTCAGCCTCTCCAGTAGCTGGGACTACAGACACACACCACCACACCCGGCTAATTTTTTTTTTTTTTTTTTTAGAGATGGGATCTCACTATGTTGCCCAGGCTGGTCTCAAGCTCCTGGCCTCAAAGGATCCTCCCACCTCCCACTTTAGCTTCCTAAAGTGCTGGGATTATAGGCGAGAGCCAGTGAGTCTGGCCTGGGTGTTCTAGATTCTTGACATCCTTCCTCAGGATATTGGTGCCTGGGCCTGCGCTGGAAGCATCTTAGCAGTTTAGACTGCCCTGGCTGTTTCCTGAGGGATACAGGCCCACCACAGACTGTAAGGCTGGTGGGCTTTAGATTAGGAGGACCTGCGTTTGAACCCTGCCTCCACCACATGCTGGCTGTGTGATCTGGATGATGTTCTCAGTTTTCCTGTCTGTAAAATGGGGATAAGAACAAAACGGTACCACATAGGCTACTGTGAGGATGGAAAGTGATAACATGGTAAAGCACTTTGCTTCAATAACTGCCACTGGGTTATGGAGTGTCACTCAGCAAGTACGCAGCACATGCCAAACAGTAAGCAATATTCCTATCAAGATTTTTAAAGTCCTTACAACAATCCTATGCTATGCATATTATTGTCACTGTGTTAAGGACAAGGCTCAGAGAGGTTAAGCAACTTGCCCAAGGTGGCACAGCCAGTCTGGCTCGAGTCTGTCTAGGTTGCTATTCAGGATTAAGTGGGGCCATGTGGTCCATAATAAGCAGTGTGTACTCAGGGACTCAGTGTCAGGGACTAGTGGTAAGCGCTTTATAGCCCAGGATTTCATTTAACTCCCTAACCTAAGTCTCTAGCGGTGCTTGGAGGGATGCTATTACTATCTTCCTGATAGAGATGAGAGACATTAGGCCAGGCATGGTGGCTTATGCCTATAATCCCAGCACTCTGGGAAGCCGAGGCAGGATGATCATTTGAGGTCAGGAGATCGAGACCAGCCTGGCCAACATGGTGAAACCCGTCTCTACTAAAAACAAAAAAATTAGCCGGGCATGGTGAGCACCTGTAATTCCAGCTACTCGGGAGCCTGAGGCATGAGAATTGCTTGAACCCGGGAGGTGGAGGTTGCAGTGAGCCGAGATTGCACCATTGCACTCCAGCCTGGGAGACAGAGCGTGACTCTGTCTCAAAAAAAAAAGAAAAAGAAAAAAGAGATGAGGTCAGGGAGAAAATGTGCTGCTGAGAGAGGCTGGCTTCAGCACTGCCATCTCATCCTCTTTCCCTGCACTGTGGGACACTCTCCCCATCATTCAGGGCTGGACGGACCTGACTGGTCGTCTCACACAAATGTCCCCAGATGCCAGCGGTCTTCCTGGAGATACAGGAGTTAGAACCCACATGTCCTGACTCCAGCCCATTGTTTTTTGTTTTTGTTCATGGTATTAGAATAACAATATCATTTGCCACTGTAAGTAATTCAATATGCTTCATGTTTTTCCCCCTCCAGCCAGTCTTATCATAATAAAAAGTTACCAAAATAAATAAATATTAAAAACCCAATCTGCACAAGCACAACGAAGTACAGAAGGCCAAGTAAGCAAGAAATCCGAGTATTTCTCTTTAGACAATAAAAGTAGTAGGAAAAAGAACAGAAGCTAAAAAATGATACAAGTAGATGTGGAAAAGTAATACTATAAATTCCTTCATGTCATCCATATTCTAGAAACTTAAAATCTACTGTTACATATTAGAAGGTATTGCTGGTATAGTTCTGCCAGGGAAAAGGTTTTCTTTTATAAAAAGAAGTTAGGACAATTTGGGAGGCCGAGGCGGGCAGATCACTTGAGGTCAGGAGTTCAAGACCAGCCTGGCCAACATGGTGAAATCTCATCTCTACTAAAAAATACAAAAATTAGCTGGGTGTGGTGGCGGGCGCCTGTAATCCCAGCTACTTGGGAGGCTGAGGCAGGAGAATCACTTGAACTCAGGAGGTGCAGGTTGCAGTGAACCAAGATCGCACCATTGCACGGCAGCCTGGGCGACAGGGCAAGGCTCTTTCTCAAAAATAAATAAATAAATAAAATAAATAAATAAAAAAGTAGATATTTCTGCTAGCTCTGTCCACTATACACCATAGCAAAATTTTAGTGCTGTGGAAAAGTTCCAGCAAGCACAGCAAGTTGACTCTGATTTTACAGTTGACCCTGACGTCTGGGGATGCGATGAAACGACACCACAATTTATCATCAGAAATAAGATAGTCATTACAATGTTGCTTTCTATGATACCTCGTAGAGGGCCGTTTATTACTGAGAATCCCATTTTTAAAGATTTTAAAAAATTACAAGTTCCCTCATCAGCAGTCTGGCAAAATGTCTGCATCTGTCCTCATGAGGATAACCTTTTTCCACTCCAGAGCACCCATCCCAAACAGAAGAAGCCCAGAGTGTTAGCTTTTGTTGAGCTAAGTTGTGGAAGACTTATTTAGCATGATTTAAACATATTAGGTCTTATCAACCTTTCCTTTTCTAGAATGACTGCCTCAGTGGGACATAGATTTTAAAATTTCATAAGTTTCACAAGAAACTAAGATTTGCACACTTTGGCCAAACTAAGAAAGGTAATGATTGGGTTTCCTACTGGTTTCCAAACTGGGTTGTTTTTTTCCAGATGCTTATTGAATTTCAGTTGGAATAAGACAGGTGGTTTTAGGCCGAAAGCAATTTAAAGCTGACAAAAACATAAAGCTAGGTGAGTGGCCCTTCTCACAGGGAGCCTGTCCAGGTGCTGGCAGAACCCCTCACAGTCTTCTGTCCAACTCTCTGCAGGGCCAAGTGACAGCATGGCAGAATTCCCATGATGATCCCAGATGAACCAGGCATCCCTGGACTCCTGGGCACCAGGGTGATAGGAACGAGCCCGCCAGACTCCTCAGAATGTTTTGTTCTGGAATAGCTCTTCTACATCCATCTACCAGTGATGACTACAGGGCCAGGGCAGGGATGGCCCCAGAGTGCAAGCAGGTGCAAGGAACACAGTCATTTTCTTTGTCTCCTGTTTCAGCTCAGTTCAGCAGAAACACATTGAGCCCCTACAGACTGCTATACAGTATAAAAAAGCTGTTGGTAATAACGGCATGAAATCTCATGTCATGCAAAGCACTATGGCAACATGAGACTTTCCTCCCCGCTCCCTCATCCAAGCACGAATTCTCTAATATATCAGAGCTGAGAGAAATACCAAATATACAGCTAGGCACATTTTGGGGCTCAGTTGTATTTAGGCACAAACAATGTTGGAGAGGGATCTGGTGGGAGAATAGAGCTGGGAAATCATTATTATTCTGAGAGGTAATATTGATGAGAGAAAACACATATTGAACTAGACACTGTCCTAAGTAAGTGCTTTACATGTATTATCTCAATTAATACTTGAAGCTCCTCTATGGGGTAATACTAATTTTAATGTCAGAGAATGAAGTATAGAGATATAGAGTAACTTACCTATAGTTATATAGCAGAAAAGTGGTTCAATATCCAAATCCAGGTTAAATTAACTACAGAGTTCAAGAACCTAACCATTTTCACTCAACTGCATGTATCATTTCATCTTATATTATTAACATGTGCGAAATGAGGGGCATATAAGCATTTTGTACGAACATGCCTATTTTTTTAACTTCACGTCAACATGCACGCACCATCAGTTTCTGTCAATTACCAAATGCACAAATCAGAATTAGACCTCAGTCCAGTGTCAGGAGCGATGGATACTCCTGTCAGAAAAAAGCCAGCCTGAATATATTGCACTTGGTGTGGAGTGACAGAACTGTCATAAAGGTAATCATGTAAAAACCCCAATCTGCCATTATCAACTTTTTGAATTTCTGAGAAGAAGCTGTTTTCTGTGTTGGCTAATGGCGAACACAATTCTTCTATTCATCATTTCTAGTTTTATACTCTTGGGAGCAGGTTATCATAACTATCAAGCAGAGATATAAAAGACTAGGAAACATTTAGTTTTAGAAAATAATGGCTTAGAACCCTAGTAAATCAAAAGAGCAAGGGGAAAATAAACTAGACAGTTAAGATGCCAGCTGGAGATTTTTTGTAGTAGGGCCCTGACAGTGGTTTGCAAATTGAGTATTGCAGATGATGAAAAGGAACCTGCCTAGGAGATCCGAAGTCTCCAAGCACATACAGACCAGAGATAATGACAAGATCCTGAACTGAAAGCGACCTCTAATCTAGTGCCTGTTTTCAGGACTGACCAGTTGGTTGTTTATAAGAGCAGAGAGGTCAAAAGAACTGTAAGGATTTAATAATACCTGTATGGGTAATTTTCTTGAGAAATGAGAATAATCACCTGAGCCTCCCTTCCCCGTGCTTTTCTCAACACTTTAAACACACACACACACACACACACACACACCCTTTGGCTAGGGAATTCCAGGCTTCTACAGCAATTACATCTCCACAGAATCATTGACATATTAATTGAAATAATCTTGACTCTTTCCAGTTGAACTTTTTTTTGCTATTAATTTTTGTCACAGAAAATTTACTTATTCCATAAAAGCGGAGAATACAGATTCTTAATCTGGGGTTCGTGGGTAGGAGCCTCTGAAATAGAGTGAAAAATTTAGTCTGTGGAGGTTTCTGTGCAATATCCCACAGAGAGGGTTCTTCTCATCAAGTTTGCAAAGGAATTGGAGACTGCTTAAAGTTTTAAAACTATGGTCTTAGGGGTCTTCTCATGTATCTGAAGGACGCTAGAGTTTTTACAAAAATTCGATTTCACTCTAACTCAGCATTGCTAGAACTTCATGCTGACAGAAGGCTCTAGCCCAGCAGTTGTTTCTTTTTAAATAAAACCCAAAATAACTGTGGGAGATGTCACAGGCAGGGGCAGGAGAATGTAAAAGGAGGATCACAAGCTATCTTGTTCTTACCAGGAGAAGCTTAGTGATGTCCCTGAGTCCCCTCCCCTGAAGCCATTGCTTGCTGCTCTACCGTCCCCATCACCGGACTGCATGGCTCAGGCACAGAAACTGGGTTCAAGCCTCACTCTGTTACTTTCCACTGGTTGTGGGACCTGGGTCAAATAAACTCCTCTCTATATTACTTTTTTCTTCTACAAAATGAGGGAAACAAACCTTCCTCTCAAGATTCTTGTGGGGATTAAATGAGATAATGAGGAAGTGAGTGCATGACACACAGTCCCCTGTCAGAAACCCTTGAGAATAGATGTGTTTAGAAATTCAGGCTTTGCAGTTCCACACATGTAATTCTATTCTTATCTTCTCTATCATATAATACCACCCGCATCATCCATAATCAGATATACACGTATTTCTGTAGCAAAATGGTAAGAATAGTCACATTAAGAGAGAGGAATGAAGATTACAGACAGCCTTACGTCAATTCAGGACTGGTTTTGCCACTAAAAATGTTCAGCTTTCAGAGCATCTTGGACTTTGAGAAGAAGCAATTAAGATGTCTTTTGTCAACAATTGTTGGTTGAATCCTACTTTCTTCAGCCCCCAAGGTCCTAATTCTTAATCACTGTTGAGACACCAACCTTGGCCTGTCCCCATATTCCCCATCTCTTGGCATCAGTGCTGCCCCATGGCTGTACCTGCTTCCTGGGTGTATTTCTCCTACCTTCATGCTCATTTTGCACAGTGTCCTGCTTAATCTGGTGGCTCCTCTTTCCTGCCTGCTGATGCTCTGGGTGAAGATGATTTCCCTCTTCTCCCGGTTCTCCTAAACTCCCAATTCCCTGGGCAACCCTTCTGGCGACAGCTCCACTATTCCAGGACTGTCTGCTGCCCAGTGTACCCTCGGGGAGCTATCAAAGTGTCTCCCAGTGACGCTGGTTGGTTCACTGGCTAGAAGAACACTCTTTTCCTGAAGCTGAGAGGGGACATTCCTCAGTCCCACCCAAGTATGCCCGAGAGCGGCTTCCAGGTGGCTTGACAATGACGCAGCAAATCCTCTTGAGGCCAGCACTCCTGGCTTCTCTTCCCTATTCTAGAGTGTCCTGAAAGAAGGAACGTGGGGGTTCCAGCATCCATATAACAGATGCTTCCAGCGCATGGTGGCAGTCACGACAGGGAGCAGCCGTCACAGGCCACCCACATCATGGCACCTGGCTGTGGGGATCATGCAGTGTATCACTGGTGTAGTGGAAAGAGCATGATGAGACACACAGGGGCTTCATTTCTAGCTCTGTCACATACTGTGTGAACTTGGGCATGTTACTTTAAATTTTCTGGGCCTCAGCTATGAAATAGGGACTAACCTATATAAATGCCCCAATAAATAACTGGTACCTTCCTTTAGTGCTTTTTTTTTTTTTCCCTTTGAGATGGCGTCTTGCTGTATAGCCCAGGCTGGAGTGCAGTGGCACAATCTTGGCTCACTGTAACCTCCACCTCCCACGTTCCAGCAATTCTCCTGTCTCAGCCTCCCAAGTAGCTGGGATTACAGGCACGTGCCACCACACCTGGATAATTTTTATATTATTAGTAGAGATGGGGTTTCACAATGTTGGCCAGGCTGGTCTTGAACTCCTGACCTCAGGTGATCCCCTCGCCTTGGCCTCCCAAAGTGCTGGGATTACAGCCATGAGCCACCGTGCCCAGCCTCTTTTAGAGCCCTTCAAAAGGCTTTTCTTTGCCAACCCAGGAGACCCACAAAGAGTAGGAACCTGTCTTCTCTTTGTATTTATTCCTAGCACAGGGTCTGGACCACAGCAGACAGGTAATAAACTGTTGAATGAATCACTGGATGAATGTAATTGTTTCTGAGGTAGGTAGCATATCTTTAGTTGCTCCTAAATCTGATATCCACAATTCGATAAGAGGCCACAAGGTTGAGGATGGCTGGGCCATAGTTTCATAATCCAAATAACCATATTTCCCTTGGATATGGATAACAGAGTTAGACTGTTACAAGCTCTTCCACTCAACAATGTTTTCTTTTTTAACAGAACTTTAAATTTTATACACTGAGCAACACATCCCAATAACCAACATGAAAAGTGTTCTACTTCAGAAAAAATATGTCTATTTAGAGCAATATTTGAAGATCTACTACAATTCTATACCTTTGTCACAAATCTTCAACTACTAGTAATTAGAGCTCAATTAATCCTAACATTCCCTTGGGTTCAAGCAGATTATAATGACCAAACTAACTCTGAAAGGCTTTGTAGACCTCAAGATTCATCCAGGGTGTCACATAGGTTTTGGGAATTAAGACACTTTGGATTTAAAAGCCATTCAAGCAGCTCTGTATTTAATTATTCCCCAACTCTCTTGGAACAGAGAAAAAACCAAATGACTTGTAACTCATTAATATAGACAGCAATGATATAGTTTTTTGAAGTATTTATTTATTTGAGACAGAGTCTTGCTCTGTTGCCCAGGCTGGAGTGCAATGGCGCGATCTTGGCTCACTGCAACCTCCACCTCCTGGGTCCAAGCAATTCTCCTGCCTCAGCCTCCCAAGTAGCTGGGATTATAGGCATGTGCCACCATGTCCGGCTAGTTTTTGTATTTTTTTAGTAGAGACAGGGTTTCCCCATGTTGTTAGTCAGGCTGGTCTTGAACTCCTGACCTCAGGTAATCCGCCTACCTTGGCCTCCCAAAGTGCTGGAATTACAGGTGTGAGCCACCATGCCTGGTCTGTTTTTGCAGCATTTTCAATTAATCTCAGTTCCTTTATCTGTAAAAGGGGCATCAGCAGTCTTTACCACGTTGTGTGAAACATCCTGGTGACACAGTTGGCTTGGCCACTGTGAAAAGTCATAGCTCTTGGGTGGAGCATTACTGTAATATACTGCCAAAGGCCCTTTTCAGTGCTGATGTTTCATAATTTCAATATGTGGTCAAGCCATAAACGAAAATTATGTAGGGCTTTTGCTTACAATCTATGTTTTCCTTTCTGTCTGATGTTTAATTTTGCTATCTCTGGAAGACACATTGGGGAAAAAAAATACACTGTGTGTATGTGTTTCATTTGTCTTAGAGCACACTCTTTCTTTTTTGCCTATAACAGAGTAAAACCAAAGACAGTCTCCAAGAGTGATCACTATGACTAGAATCCTAGTAAGACAGGGGAAAGATCAGAGAGGAAAAGAAGCTGAAGTTAGATGCAACCGGAACAGCCAAGCTTGAAAGAGGGGAGGCATACGGGTTGAGGAGCCCTTCACCATTCTGAGAGGTGCTAAAATGCATTTCTCCCAGAGAGTACATGGATGCTGGATACAAAATCTGTTATTCCGGAGGCTTGAGATATAGAGAGGTAAGATGCTTGGTACAGCTGACAACGGGTGAGGACAAAGAGGGGAATAAAGATGTGTAAATTGCTCACACTTGGCCTGTGTGGCCCAGCATTTCTTCCAGGACTCAAGAACAGATGTACACTTGATTTAACCAAGCCCCACATACTTCTTCCCACAAGAAGAAAAACCCCTATGAATTTCTCTTCTCTGTTCATTCCCTCTTTATTTTATTCAATAGAACGTTAAATTTTGCCTGAGTAGAGGTACGCAGTCACATAGATGAGTCTGCTTCATCTCTTCTGATGGCAAGAGGCAGTATGTGGGAGATGAGAGCAAGAAGAAACAGCTTTTGATTAATATTTCAGTCACAGGACAGGAATTCAGCTATGATGAAGGTGTATTACGGAATAGCTGCCAGACAAATATATTTTGTCATTTCATCTTGAATCATCTGGCATCAGATTCACACTGAATCAAAATTCAGGTGATTTATAAAGGCACATTAAGTTCTATTAGTATTAATGGGAAATATGCATGTGTATCAATACATGCATTAGTGGAGACAGATTCCCTGAAGGGTTTTTGCTTTGGGGCGAAAGCTACTATTTGTGCCTTTTGCACAATGGAAGTAGAATTGTGCCTACTAAATAAGTGTTCAATATCGATGCCCAGCAGAAAAAGGCCTTATTTTTAAAGATGCAAATAAAACGGTATTTTATATTTGTAATTAAAGGTATTATAGCAAATGGCCACATCTTATTACTGCTATTTAGAATTTGTCATTTAGGATTTATTCTTATTAGTAACCGTATTCAGTCAGTTTCTATATAGTTGAAAGAGTAGTTGTTTGGTCCTTTATTCCCATGTCAAAGATGAAGAAATAGGCAAAGTTTGGCCTATTTGATTTATATAGAAAGGCATTCCAGAAGTAAAATAACAAACAGTGTCAGAAAAGACAGTTTCTCCAATTCACAAAACAAGAAAAAGCTAAACCTATCCCCTGTTCATTTTCTGGGGGCAGGGAAGCAAAAGTTTAAGTCAAGTGAGACGCAACAGAAATGCCATGATTTATTACACTTTTATCAATAATAATGATGTCAGCTGCTAAGCAAAGAAAAATCCAAAATGGCTTAACCTCCTAGGAGGTTTATTATTTCACAATAACAGTTCTGCTATGCTGTTAAGGACCCTGTCCCCTCTTCCTGTCCACCATCCAGAGGTCGTGCCTGTACTTCAAGGGTGACAAATGGCTGCTGTAGTTTCTGACTTCATTGTGAACCCAACAATGCCAATGGAGGGAGAAGGATCATGTCCTATGCATCTCTTTTTATCAGTAGGAATGTTTTCCGAATAGTCCTTTAGTAGACTTCCCTTAGCATCGCACTGGCCAGCATTAGGTCATGTTCCTCTTCCAAAATCATTAAGTGGCTAGAGAAGAGAAATTCCATGATTGGCTTAATCAGTTTTACCAACCCATCTCGCGAGCTCCATATCATGTTGCCGTCCTGAGCTTATGGTCTCCCAGAAGAGGCTGGGCACCACACCAAACGGGGGCTCAGCTGATGAGGAAGCAGGAAGAGGTGGGGCAGGAATGGATGGGTGGTCATCCACGTGTGTGCTCCACAAATGTGTGCCATTGCTGTGATCCTTAAAGGTCTGCTTAAATGCAGTCATGGTCTCTGAGGCCTCACTGGACTGATGAGAGAGCGCCAGGTTTTGTCATGAATTTAATTCAATACCATCAGATTCACAGACTTGAATACTAAAGTCTGGGGACTCAAGCCAGCTCAAGCACAGTTTCTGAGCTTAGCAGGTAAATGACAAATGACTGAGCAGACGGCTTACACTGAACCTGAATCTTGACTCTGACTCACAAATGTTTTAAAAGGGACAAAGAGGAGAATGTTCAGGAAATAAAATATTAATACAGTTTAGATGTTGGGTATTCTTGCATAACTGAAAAGCAGGGGCAAATGAATCCATCTCTTCATTCTGTCTGTGTCTGCGCCATCCCAACATCTCAAGGCAGCACATGGGGCTCCCGTATTCTCTTTGTGTGTCCTTCTGTCATACCTCCTCCCAGGGCCTTCTTTCACACTAAAGTGTAAACAACTAATAACAGCTTAAGTATCATCATTTCACTAATAAGCTTGGCTGTGTGGCATAATAGAACTGAGGGAAAGGGAAATAATTTTAGAACTGTTCGGGATGGAGATCTAGAAACTAAGAGGACAGTCATCAGTCTAACTCACAGCATCCAGAGCTGCCCCGTTCAGTGTGGTAGCCACTAGCCACATGAGTCTATAGAGTTTACATTTAAATGATTTAAAATGAAATAAAAGGAAGAATTTAGTTCCTAAGTCACACTGGCACATTACAAATGCTCAGTAGTTACTGCTCCTATTGGGTATACTGCGCTGGCAAATGCAGAGACTGGACATTTCCATCAGCATGGGAGGGGCCAGGGGACAGTGCTGCTCTGGAGGACATGGAAAATCAGGGTGGGACAGATAGTGCTGTTCCCAGGAAAACCCAATGTAATGGGATGCTTTGCCAATGCTTAATTTGGTTGGGAAGGTCTGGTTGGCTCATCCATTTTGGAGCAGTAGCCTGGAGAGGGGCCGGGTGTCAGTGGGTAGACAGTGAGCAAATAAAAAACTTTGAACAGAGGGGGCACATTTGTGCTAGGGATTGACCCAATTATTAACTCCACAGGGAACACTAGAGGACAAGGCTGAGGACAGCAAAATGCCTGGAGCTGGGTGGAACATGAACAAGCTGAATGTTTTTTAATGCATAATGTATTTATGTTAATTTGTGTGTGTGTGTGTGTGTGTGTGTGTGTGTGTGTGTGCTTTGAGATGGAGTCTCACTCTGTTGCTTAGGCTGGAGTGGAGTGGCACGGTCTTGGCTCACTGCAACCTCCACCTCCCAGGTTTAAGCGATTCTCCTGTCTCAGCCTCCTGAGTAGCTGGTATTTCAGGCACCTACCATCACCCCTGGCAAATTTTTGTATTTTTAGTAGAGATGGGGTTTCACCATGTTGGCCAGGTTGGTCTCAAACTCCTGACTTCGGGTGGTCCACCTGCCTTGGCCTCCTAAAGTGCTGGGATTACAGGCGTGAGCCACTGCACCTGGCCTGTTAATTTGTATTAATGTAAATTTTCTATTTATGGCAAGTTATATTGGCTTTATGCTAGTGACATTACATTTCTTAAATATACAGCTATCAAAATTTCAAAGGAAGTAAATTTGAAGAAAAATATTAGATGAAAACTAGTACTAGTGAAATGCAATATGGGATAAAGTTTCATATGATTTGCAAAAGACTGAGCTTTGAGAAACCCTGATTTAAGGCAACAAGATCCATTATGAAGGTATGTTTCTAGGTGGGGCTGACTTCTCCATCAGGTGCTCTAGGCATAGCACTGACAGCTGGCATGTTTCTAGGCTTAGTAGGTTAATGACAATACAGCAAGGGCCCATGAAAATGTATTAATACATTTTCTCTTTAATAGATTAAGTCAGGAAAAAAATAAATGGCAAAGAAAATCTTTTAATTATTTATCTTTATGCTGACATTTGTAAAGTGCAACTTTCTATATATATATTTTTACAGAGGAAGGGGTTCTTGAAGGCAAAAGTGCCTAAAGCCCATGAAAATCATAAGGCAGCCTATTCCTAGGCAAACCGGGAAGGAACCTCTGAGGCAATGGAATGCAAAAGGATAGAGCTCGCTCAGCTGCACCCACAGTGGGTAGGGGTGGAGATGCTGGATTTGAGCAGGAGGGCATCAGTACAATCAGAGAGCAATGCTCCATGTGTGCTTATCTGCTAAGTATGGCACAGGCTCAGGGCAGGTCAGCAGACAGGGTGCCCAGGGTTCAGTCCAGGCCCACCAGACAGCAGGGTTAGGATAGTTGGATTAGTCTCCACTTTTGTGATGACTACCTGTTGGTCAGAATTGATTGGGGAGTGGTGGTCAGAGCTGAGTCTTCAAGGTGAAGTTCTTCTGGGGACTAGGGAAAGGCAAGGTTGGGAAGGGCAGGATTTAGGGCATCCTCTATTAGGAAGACCTATTAGGACTACTTAGCACTGACATTATAGGGGTATAGAGACAAACACCTACTTGGCCTGAGTCAGGCCAATTATGATGATAAGAAACACAGAAGTGAGAACCAGAGACACACATAATGCAACCCCTAAATACAAAAAGGGACTTGGGAATGCTGGCAGATATTGCTTTTGGAAAAAAGAAGTTTATGAAAAAATTATCTAATGCACCCTGAAGGCAAAGGCTGATGGGCAACCAAGCGCAAGGCCCAGTTAAGGCTGACCCGAGACCTCTTGACAAGTTCTGGGACGACAGAGGTATAAGAACCATTTCAAGTCGAAGGAGAGTGGTTAAAGGCCAGGTATGCGGACCACTTCTATAAGATCTCATAGTTGCTCTCTTGTTGCCGAGCGAGGCGAATGACATTGATAAATCGCCCCATTATAACTGGTGATAAAAGCAGCAGGTACTTAAAGGACTGACCAATAGACATCTGAAAAGACAAATGACTGCTTGAAGATGACTGATACAAGTTGGAAATTAGCGATACCCATTGTGAGGAGAACAGGACAAAGCACGCTGGACAGAGATAATACCCCAATCTCCTGAATGCTCATTGATGTGGGTCACCTGACAGCCTTCTCGGAAAAAAGTCTTAATTACTAAAAACATATGTGAAAACACCCTGAGGACCATGATAGCTCATGCAAATGTAAGGTATTATTATGATTCAACCAACTGAAGTGTTGAAAATTAAAGCAATTTTATATACTTTCATTTGGGGCACAAGTTTTGGGGCATTCGGTTAGGACTTTTTTTTTTTACTAAATGGTCTGGATACTTACTATAGTGATGTGTAGAATCAGCATAAACAGTTTTTTTTGTTTGTATTTTTGTTTTTGAGAAGCAGTTTCACTCTCGTTGCCCAGTCTGGAGTGCAATGGCATGTTCTTGGCTCACTGCAACCTCCACCTCCTGGGTTCAAGCGATTCTCCTACCTCAGCCTCCTGAGTAGCTAGGATTACAGGTGCCTGCCACCATGCCTGGCTAATTTTTGTATTTTTAGTAGAAATGGGGTTTCACTACATTGGCCAGGCTGGTCTTGAACTCCTGACCTCAGGAGATCTGCCTGTCTTGGCCTCCCAAAGTGCTGGGATTACAGATGTGAGCCACTGCACCCAGCCAAGAATTTTATCTTTCAAAAACCTCCAACTTTTGGGGGAGACTCAGAATGACTATGCAATGAAAAAAGTCTTGCAGATAATTCTCCCCTGTGAAATTGGTCTCTTTTGTACTGTCGATTGTGGTGGTTTCTATACAGTAGCATCCAGCACCTATTCCGCAAACCACTTCCTTCTTAAACCTCAAGGGTTTCTGCAAACCGCATTCAAATGATCTGTAGAAAGCGTTACCCTACACTTTCCATTACATCAGAGCCTTGCCGAGCGGCCCGAGAGGGATTCATCAACTGCTGCTGTGTCCCCATGTGTCTGATTAGCCACAAACACATAATGAATGTGGTTCAGCAGTGTAGGAAGCCGCAGTGGAGAACTGCAGCAAAAATTCCCGGCAATTTTTCTGGCAGCTGTCATCAGTCAACAAAACCCAAACTGACACCTTCAGTTGCCAACAGTTTTGGGTAAAACACATGCATGTTCCCAAGGTACAAGGGCCACAGGTTGAGAGTAAGGTTAAACGATAGAGTTTCTCTACTGGATGGAATGGAAGAAGATAGCAAAGTGAGCTTTTGTGATATTAATAAAGAACCTAATGGATTAATGGAAGGGACTGCTATGTAGGTTTCTGGTGAGTAACCGGTGATGCTGTGAAAGCTACGTGTGGCATCCAATAGTTAGCCCATTTTTACTTCAAGAAAACTCATCCTCGTGCTCTGCAGCAGCTGCTACTGTTTGGATTATGAATAGTTATACGCCAGATGGTGTGGCAGAAAGGACTCACACATATTTTCACATGGACAAATATTATTATTCCAAAACATAAACACGTTAATATAAGTGTTTTTTCTCCTGGGAGAAATCCAGCCCCTGATCTCAGTTATAAGAAAATGACTCAGTCTGTATATGCAAAAATTACCTGCCAAGGTTATTATTGGAAGAAACCCACACCACAGCGTTCCCCAAGTTTTCCTTTCCTTATTTGTAGTCAGCTGCATTTAATGTGATAAAGGAGAAACAGAAAGGAAGGGAGGGAGAGAAGACGGGAGGATGGAAAAGAAGGAAGAGGAAGAGAGTGAATGAAGACACGAGGTAAGGAAGGGGAAAATCACTGTCCCTCCACCCCAGAATTCTCATAATGGTGACAGCAGTGTGTTGGCCTGGGAATTATAATGCCAAATACCTGGTGACCAAAACTAGAAGGCAAAGATGGAAAAGATGGAATCAGGCCATTTAGACACATCAGTGAAAGATTCTTCTGAAGCATACTTCCAGCTCTTTCTCTGATTTTATTTGGAATGTTTCAAGGACAAAGAGTCCATCACAGTCAAGTCAATATAGTTCTCATAACAATGTATCCAGATTTCCCATTTCTAAATTTTTCTTAATTTGGTCTTGTTACTTCTTGCTGTCATTTCAATTTTTCTATATTCTTTCTTTTCTGTTTTTTGTTTTTGTTTTTTTTTTGACACAGCCTTGCTCTGTTGCATAGGCTGGAGTGTAATGGCACAATCTCTGCTCACTGCAACCTCTGCCTACCGGGTTCAAGCGATTCTTGTGCCTCAGCCTCCTGAGTAGCTGAGATTACAGGCACATGCCACCATGCCTGCCTAGTTCTTGTATTTTTAGTAGAGACAGAATTTCGCCACGTTGGCCAGGCTGGTCTGGAACTCCTGACTCAGGTGATCTGCCTGCCTCGGCCTCCCAAAGTGCTGGGATTATAGGCATGAGCCACTGCTCCTCACCTTATATTCTTTCTTTCCCCAGAAATTCCTATAATAAGCTTTTCTTCACAAGAATCTTCCACTCTTGGTGCCAGACATTTTGTAATCAATCCTAAACCCTCCTTCTTTATCTCTCTTCCTGCTAAGCCTTGGTCATTGCCTTCCAAGACTTCTTGCCTAGTTTTCCAGCCTCCCGGCAGCCCTCCTGTCTCCTAGCAGGGTAGACCAGCCCACCAGGGCTCAGGGAGGGCAGACCTGGGGTGATGTGTGCAGGAGGAGATGGAAAGGATGAGTCCAGCTGCAGTCCTTGGATGTCTTTTCGCTATGTGGGCCCTGTGGGTCAGCTCTTTTAACGTGGAACCAGCGCTGTGCCCTACTGAGAAAGGCACACTAGGAAGTTCTGTCCTTGCAGGCAATGTTAGAGTTGGCTTCCATTGTAGAGTAGTTTTTAGTGGGTCCTCTCTTTTGGCATACAATTGCAGGTTTACTACCTACAAGCGAACAATTCACCTAGCATCCTGACTTTCATTCTTTGGAGTTCAAATAACAGATAATTAAAAAAAAAACTGAATCCAGCATTTGCCTATTGCTTGACCACCCTGCTGCATGTACACCCTTCAGCTCCAGGACCACATGTGGTCAGGCTGATAAGTATAAGTGGGTGACTCGGTGGGGGCTAAGAGATAATATGGACCGGGTGAACTGGTGGATATACACCTTCAATAGCATTCAAGCTAAAATGCCTCACAGCCTTGTGCATTCCCACTGGAGAACATCTGCAGGCTGTGTCCAGCCTCAGGGCCACAAGTACACAATCCCTGCTCAGCAACCCACCACCCTTTATGTTCAAGCACATCCCCATATCTTTTATTTTTGTGGCCTCCCCTGGCAGGACCCACTCCATCTGTTCTCCTTTATTCTCAGGCTGTTTGTCTCAATGTCACTTCCACTGGTCCTGGTTCAGATCCTTGGTATCACGAACACCCTCCAGGTCTTCGACAGGCCCCAGGAGCCTTCTGGGCACCCCAGAGCAGTCTCTTCTCTAAGGAAAGCATTCTGGATTACTGCAGCTGTTCCATGGGTGATACGGTTTTGAGCTCTAGGACAGCAATTCTCAAAGTGTGCCCCGAGATCAGCAGTATCGGCATTGCCTGGCAACTTAGAAAAATGCAAATTTGGGGGTCCCACCCTAGGCCACTGAATCAGAAACTCTGGGGGGAGATGCACAGTGGTGGGCCCAGCAATCTGGGTTTTAATCGGCCTTCCAGGAGATTCCACTGCAGGGACAAGCTTGAGAATCACTGCTCTATTCAGTTGGTCCCACCCCGGATGGCAATGTACTTTGGTTTGCCTGTATCCCTCTTAAATTTCACTCCCTAAAACTAAAACTTAACCCATTTAGAGGAACACAGGGGCATTATGCAGACAAAATTAGATAATACCTAGCACAGTTTCTAGCACATGCTAAATTTGCCATACATGTTAATTATTATGATCGTGTCATCATTAATATTATTACGTCAGTGTGGTCCAAGGTCAAATGACCATTTTATGTACAGTAACCTTCTACTATCACTCTAAGAGTCAAATATCTCTATGGTGTTTTTATCTCTCATTTACAGCTCACATATTTACGTGGTAGATGGAAATGTAGACTCTATATTGAATACAACAGCATAAGTGATAGGGCTGAAACTTCCTCACCAGTGGAGAGGAAGTGATCTTGTCACATCAGCCAAAAGTTCTAAGAGCTTGAGGAGGAGGAAGAAAGTTTCCCCAGAATAAAAGAAAGCAGTCACAGAGGTATAATTTCTTTGAGGAGGACACGGGTGGAGTAGTGAAAGGAAAGATCAAAAATTAATTTTAAAGCTTCCCTATATTTCAAAGAACACAGAGAATCTCTCTTCTATGTCTGTCCTTCAATTGTAAATGCCCTGTAAAATCTCCATCCTTCTTCCACTTTAGACAAAAGGCTATTTTGAGTGTTACTATGCAAAAAGTAGAAATGCCAGCCTGTGCGAGGTCTGTTCAAATTCACTCAGTAAAGAATTCTTTCATTAAAATAACTACTAAAGGAGAGCCAAGAGGTTGACCTTCACATTGTTCAAGAGCCACACCAATCACCTCGCCTTGGCACGCACTTGGATCTCTTGCCAGGATTTCAGCAGGTGTTTTCTGAATTGCATCCAGAATCACACTGGACAGAAACACAGCAGAGGTCGCCGAAGCCACATCAATAATGATAAGCAGATGATCGCGGCCCCCTCCCGCTCGCTCTGTGAGCTGCAGAGATCACAGCACTGCTGTCTGTGGGAGGCAGCGCAGCCTTGAGCTTCTAGCCAACAACCAATGTCATTTTAACATATTCAAGACAGACTAGCTGAACCAATGTTTCAGGCTAGAGTTCTAAAGACACAAAATGAGGTTAGGAGAGGAAAGTGAACAGGAAAATATACATGAATATTTTTTATTAGTAACTTTCATTTAGAAATTTGGGACATCTTCAATACAAATGCTTAAAATGCTGTAGTCACAACTGCTATATTTGCAAGTCCACTTTTTTATTTTTTAACCCAACAAAGTATAATCAAAGGAAAAAGCTAATTCTGAAGTATGTTCCGTCTTGGCATTGTAAGCAGCCAGTGCAATCACTTAAAATACAATTCCATCAAGGGTCGCAGATGAGAAATACTACTATTCCGGGTTTTCTCAGATTCTGGCTCTCAGGGTGACCTATTCAATATCCCTCAGTTGATATTCAGAATATCAGTTTTGACTGATGAGCATCTTCACACATGCTGGTCTTTGCCTTTCTCCAGGTTGCCTTCTCTTTTCTTTCCTTTCCTTTCCTTTTCTTTTCTTTCTTTCCTCCTTCTCTCTCTCTTTTTCTTTCTCTCTCTCTCTCCTTCCTTCCTTCCTTTCTTTTTCTTCCTTTTTCTCTCTTTCTTTCTCCTCTCTCTCTCACTCTCCCTTCCTTTCTTTCTCTTTTCTTTTTCCCAAGACAAAGTCTTGCTCTGTCACCCAGGCTGGAGTGCAGTGGTATGCTCAGAGTTCATCACAGCTCTAACTCCCGGACTGAAGCAGTCCTCCTGCCTCCGCCTGCCGAATAGCTGGAATTACAGGTGTGCACCATCACATCTAGTTAATTTTTAAACTTTTTATAGAGATGGGGTCTCACTATATTGCTCAGGCTGGTTTCAAACTCCTGGCCCCAATTACCAACCTTTTGGATCCTGTATTTGAGAAACAACTACAGTCCTTAAAAGGAGAGAAAAGGGAGTGAGGCCTTATAGCCAAGCTCAGTTTTTTTTTTTTTTTTCTTGAGACGGAGTCTTGCACTGTTGCCCAGGCTGGAGTGCAATGGCAAGATTTCAACTCACTGCAACCTCTGCCTCTCGGGTTCAAGTGATTCTCCTGCTCAGCCTCCTGAGTAGCTGGGCACCCACCACCATACTCAGTTAATTTTTGTATTTTTAGTAGAGACAGTGTTTTGCCATGTTGGCCAAGCTGGTCTCGAACTCCTGACCTCAGGTGATCCGCCTGCCTTGGCCTCTCAAAGTGCTGGGATTACAGGTGTGAGCCACCACGACTGGCCAGCAAAGCTCAGTTCTCATCCCCGTACTGATATCAGCCTCTTGGGAAATACTGAAAAAGTCATTTAACTTCTCTTTGCCTCAATCTCCCTTCTTTGTAAAATGAGGGATTAGTTAAATCAGGGGTCACAGCTGAAATATTCACAGGCCCCGATAAGTACTCAAAAGGTAGGTAAGGAGGAGAATACTTGCCCTGTCTACAGGGGACAGCTATACTCAGCACTAGCTGATAATTGTCATCTTTTGATTCTGTTTCAAACAAAACAAAACAAAACAAAACTGTCCCTGGATTATTATGTGAAAATGTCTTAATTTTAAATATTTGCTAAAAATGTAAATAAAACAACAACAATTATAAAAACCATATGTAGGTCAAACAGAACATGTTGATGATGCTTTAGAGTTCTTGCCTTCTGTGATTCAAAATTTCTCCTGAAACCTGTCTAAGACCTGTCAGTCTAAACATACAACATCTTGATTTTCATCATTTGTGTTCCAGTTGTGGTGGCTTGCTTCCCCTTTCAAAACATCAGATGGACTGGATACCTCTTTTTCCTGTATGTAGCACACACTTTATTTATGTCAAATATAACTATGTACATGCCTAGAAAAGTTAATCATCTTGACCTGAAGTATGCTGCCAAGTAGCCAAATATCAGTGGGCGGCTACCTCAATATCAATAAAGACAGAAGGGAGAGATGGGAGAAGCCCACAAACTAGAAATAAAACTAAGTCAGGATATTAGTCCATTTTCACACTGCTAGAAAGAAATATTCAAGACTGGATCATTTATAAAGGAAAGAAGTTTAATTGACTCACAGTTTCACATGGCTGGGGAGAACTCAGGAAACTTACAATCATGGCGGAAGGCAAAGGAGAGGCAAGGACCTTCTTCACATGGCAACAAGAGAGGGGAGTGAGTGAAGGGGAAGAATGCCCTATAAAACCATCAGACAGGCACGGCAGCTCATGCCTGTGATTGCAGCACTTTGGGAGGCTGAGGTGGGCCAATCACTTGAGGTTAGGAGTGTGAGACCAGCTTGGCCAACTTGGTGAAGCCCTGTTTCTACTAAAAATACAACAATGAGCCAGGCGTGGTGTTGGGCAGCTATAATTCCAGCTACTCTGGATGCTGAGGCAGGAGACTCACTAGAACATGGGAGGCGGAGGTTGCAGTGAGCCGAGATAGCACCACTGCACTCCAGCCTGGGTGACAGAGCCAGACTCCATCTCAAAACAAAACAAAAACAAAACCCACCAGATCTTGTGAGAACTCACTCATTATCAGGGGAACAGCATGAGGAAAACCACCCTATGATCCAATCACCTACCTCCCTCGATACATGGGGATTACAATTAGAGATAAGACTCAGGTGGGGACACAGAGCCAAACCATATTGGTCAGTGAGGAAGAAAGAGGAAAAATGTTTCCTGTTCATCAAACAGTAGCTGAGGAACAGATCCTAGGAAAATGACCCTCAGGAGCATGAGTCCAGCTGTGAGGAAGGAGAAGCTTTGAGGGAGCAGAATGCTCCAGGTGGCAGGAGGGTGGCCTGCAAGAGAAATTTTGGCCTGAACTCTCAGGATGGGGACTGATACCTGGAGAATTTTCTAGAAAGGACTTGGTTAACTCAAGGGACAGGGAGGGAAGTATGAGACAAGTTTGCTAGTCTTAGGAATAAATCTATGGAAAATAATTAGACTTCTCTCTTATCCTGAGCAAAAATAGACTGTTGTCTGCAGAAGATATCCATTAGGTGCTGACTTGATGTAGTTTGTATCCTACATAATCCTGTCAGCTGACTGGTGTTTCATGTTTTTCCTTAAAGATATGTTTTTCTCCTTACTCCACTTGTACCACACTGGTCTGGGACCACTGCCATCTCATGTGTAGGTCCTGTAACAATAGCTTTCTTACCAGCCTCTAGAATCTTCAGAATCCAATCTACCTTGCCAGACTCATTTTCCCTAAATGCTGCCTTTATCAAGCCATTCTACTGTTCTGACTCCTTCCACGACTCCCATGTCCTACCCAGTCTAAGATCCTCTGTTTGGTCTTCAAGACTCTCCAGGATCTGCTCCATTCTCTATCTTTCCCCAGTCCCTCACATCCATTTCCTGTTCAATCACTCAGCAGTATCCTGTCACCAGAGGCGTTTCTGCCTCCCAGCATTTACTCGACACCATCATCTCCTTCATCTGGATGCCTATCCCTCTCCTTTCCAAATTCTATCCATCAATTTCCATCATGAAACCTTCTTTGACTCTTCTGGGCCTCACAGACTTCCCTGACTTCAGACTTGCTATTCCACTTAATTTCTGAACCATGCCGTCTGCCACTCAATTATATATTATTCTGTTCTCTAATTGTTTCATGGATGTTTGTCTTATCTCACAATTATATTTTGACCTTCCTGAGTCAAGATCACGTCTTCTTCCTCTGTATTCTCCATAGAAACAGCGGATTTAGTCATAGAGGCTGGGCTCGATGAGCACTTGCCTGATGCTTCAATGAGGCAGGTATTCAGATGAGCTCACTGGGAGAAAGAGGATGGTGGCAAAGAAAGATGGCTGGGGTCTCTTGGGAGGAGATGATCAGACAGGACTATGCAGAGAGTTACCACTGTCCACTTTCCCCAAATAATCATGCATGGCCATCATGCCCTCTGCTACCTGCACTTTCATATATGGTTCGTGCTTGTTGAAGCTGTGCTAGGTTGAATTGTTTCACTGGGTTGTATGCAAGGGGAGACCTAATCTACCAACTGTCCTGGACCAGCACATAGCCTTGAGACTTAAAGCTGCACTTGGAGGCAAGCTTCTGAATTTGAGCTCCCAGGGGTTACTATTATCCTCTTTGAGAGAAGCATGATCCAGTTATGTCTGACATGAAAGTGAACTTCTAAGTGACTCCAATATTCTGCAAGAGTGAAGACATTCAAGAACTCAGATGCACTAAGAGCAAAAAATGATGAGAGAACTCTTGATGGAAGAACCACTCTGATCCTCCTGGTGGAGAAGGCTGAGAGACAATGTCCAACATTCTGTAGGAAATCACCAGAGCCTTAGATTTCTCACTCCCAGCCCACTCATTAACCAGAGAGCACCAAGCCTGTTATTAAATCTCTATGTCTCACAATCTACACAGTTCAGATAACAACCTGCTGACCACAGGAGAGGTTGGGTGCATTAATTATGATAGAAAGCCACTGTGGAAATATACCAGGCCCTCCAAAATCCATTTCTGTTGGTTCACACAGGTTGAGTAGCCATTGGTTCATAGTAAATTGCAGTCCCTCCTGCCCTGGGCTGTGCCTGTCACTGGGTGTCTGTGCTGGCAGGTAATCTGTCCATGACACAGACTAAAAGGCGCGTAAGAGAGGCTAATGAGTTGCCACCAGCTCCCCGAGGCACCTTCTGGGGCTGCTGACTTAGCTCTCTCACGGGAAGCCACCACCCACCTGCCAGGGGAACTGGTGACACATGTAGTGGCAGTGCTGGAGCCGGGGTGAAAGAGAGTTTCAAAATGAGGGGAGAATTTTCAAAATGGCAGTTTGGACAACCATGATTTAACAAAACAAGAGGCTACCTTGAATTTGCATGGTAGCTGCTTATAAGTCCGATAGTTCTCTCATGTGACTATCTGATTTGGAAAACTCCTTGAGCAGTTCTGGGTGGACAGGACCAATGCCTACGTCTCAGTCCTTTGTGTATTTCCTGAGCATCGGCCTCTGCCCAGTCCCCATAGGTTTAGGACTCTGGAGCCAGTCAGAGCCTGCTGCTACATCAGCTCCCAGCTCCTTGGAGCACAGATGTTCCTCTCTGCCTGGAGGACATGCAGAAAAAACCTTTTTAATTTTTCTATAGTTTGTCAAAATGAACTCTTAATAAAAATAAAGACATTTAAAAAAACCTAAGTATTGTAAGAGCATAGAAATGATTGAGTTTCCAGAATACAATATATTGATGTGCTTGCTAAGTAAACGAGTGAAATAATTGGATAAACAAAAGTAAATGTATTAAATGTTTGAATATTGATCTAAAAATTGTGCTTTTTAGTTATGTTTAGAAATAATAATACATTTTTTTACCCTCCTTTCTCCAAAGACATCACACAGAATGGCTTACCAGCTCAGATATAGCATTATAATTTAAGACATCAGAGATACTGAACATTCTTTTTTTGTTTTGTTTTGAGACGGAGTCTCGCTCTGTCGCCCAGGCTGGAGTGCAGTGGCGCGATCTCGGCTCACTGCCAGCTCCGCCTCCTAGGTTCACGCCATTTTCCTGCCTCAGCCTCCCGAGTAGCTGGGACTACAGGAGCCCGCCCCACAACCGGCTAATTTTTAGTATTTTTAGTAGAGACGGGGTTTCACCGTGTTAACCAGGATGGTCTCGATCTCCTGACCTCGTGATCCTCCCGCCTTGGCCTCCCAAAGTGCTGGGATTACAGGCACGAGCCACCGCACCTGGACCTGAACATTCTTTAATGAATAGAAGTGACTACTTTAGAAACCAATGTTTCAGTATGCTCACAGAATAAACTTAGTGTCATAAAAGATGGTAGTATAGGTCATACTGCCAGGGAAAAGACAGATGAGTCACATCGTTGCCACGAAAAGATAATTTGTTATACCATCCAATCTAAAAATTACCTGTTTGCAACAGAATTTTCTATTTCCAATGAAGCTGAAATTTACATTAGAAAGGAGAAAACAAAATGAAATTTTATGCTATGAGACAGTGAAGGATAACTAAAAACAAAAAACCCACTGGAATGGGGGGTGGGGTCTGTGATCTTGTAGCCAGACTATGGGTTGTTTGGATAGAGGGACTTCAGTTTACTCCACTATAAAATGACATGATCATCTAGAATCACCAAAGTCAGGGAATCTCTGCATTCTTTGATGCATTCAAGACTGTACCAAGTCATCTAAAGTAAACTCAGCAGTTCTTGGTCACATAAAGGGAAAATGGCAGGTACGAATATGTTCAGTTCAGAAATCACAAAGGTTAGTCTTAGACATTAGAATCCTCCTTTATTACACCCTTCTGATCATGTTTATGTATACACACCTTAGAGAAAATCTTAAAAGAGGTACAGTTAAAGAAAACCAAAAGTAAAAATCCAACACAGAGTTCCAAGAAATGCTTCATTTATGTTAAAAATCTACCTTAGAATAATTCCTTTCCACTAGTGAACCATATTGCTTCCACAAAGTCATAAAGCCTTACATGCCCATAGCTGTTAGTATTCTTCATCAATAGAATTAGAAAAAGTTCCTGCCAAACAATTCATTCAAAGCCATTTATCACTAACAAAATTTGATATGTAGAAGGCACGTTTCACTTAAAGTAATAAGCAAGAGTACAATCCTTTGATTATAAATTCCCCTTTCATCTTATTTTATAAAAAGCCACAAGGAAAATGCCCAGCATGATGTCCTTGATATTTAAACACTTTATTCAACTTACCATTAGTTTGCTCCAAAACTCAGCTTCCCTTGTAAAATGCTCCATAGTGAAGGGATAAATTTCTTGTTCTGCCTTGTCAAATGTGTCACTTGTGCTGCTCAAGTGACTGAGCACAGGGAAGCAAACATTTTAGCCAAGCCACTTTCATAATATTGACTGTTGCATTCTCTCATAGCTGGGAGTCTTGGGAGAAATGGAATTTACATATGTGGAGGTAAGAAGGGTGTGGGCATTTCTCACAGTTATGATTCAAAATCGAGATATGTCTCATTCAAGAAGATAATAATATAAATCAAAGAAGAAAAGTATCCCCTAGCATTACTGCCACTTATGACAAGGCAACTGACACTGCCATGTGCACAGGCGCCACGCCTCAGTCATCATGCCAACAATAATCCTTCAGTGGGTGGTGACGTTTCCTTCTGGCATTTTTTTTTGACTCTAGTAATTATAAATCTCTCAGCTCACTTTAAGGTGTGTTCGGTACACAAGAATGGACACCTGGAATGCAAGTAGAAGTGCAAGCTCAGGAAGGCAACTTCTGGCAATCCTGCAGGCAAAATTAACCAAAGTTGGCTACCAAGTGATTCATGCTCCGTGCTACTTTGTTAGAACAGGTCAATTAGGATTTTAAACAGCCATATAAAAATATAGGTGCTTATAATATTCTCACTTTTTTCTGAAAAGAGGCAGGAGAAGATAGAACGTCCTCAAAATATCCTTGAGAGCTGGATCTGTGGTTATCATCTCAGGCACAACTCATCTTCATCCGTGCTGATTAATGATACTCAAAAGAAACATTCTTATAAACAGAGAAGTCTAACGCTCCTACCCACCATTCCTGCAAGTGGAACAAAAATGGAAAGGTAGAACCCAGATGAAGCCTGATGGGAGAGACCTGGAAGAATTCTGGTCCTTTCTTTCTGTGGACTTTACACTTTCAATGAACGTTTCTCGGACATTTGGATCCAATGAAATTGCGAAAGGTTATGAAGAAAAGAAAAACTCAAATGCAAAAACTGCTTTTACCCTTTAATAACCCTTCTCCTGAGTGTTCTAACCACATCTCCCTTCCTTTGCCAGTTCCTAAGTCCACAGGCCTTACTGTGTACTGGCCCTTTGTAGCACAACATAACTGCGGTCAAATGCTGAGCTTTACCTCCAAAGCCTGGAGTGGAAAATCAGAAGCCAACATCATATTGTTCCAATGTGGAATTCACCACTTGGACAGTTTTTCTCCTGCAGGGAGAGTCCATCCCTCCCACATCTACACATGAGTAGGGCTTTCTAAAATGTTTAGTTTTATAAAATTTTACCCAGGAAAACAGTTATGTCTACTGCATTTTCTCTAGTCCCTGGCTATGTCAAATTAGTATTAGCTTTGCCAGATTAACTGCTTAAATGCACGAAAACAATTATTTACAAACCAAGAGACCCAGAAGAATGCAAACCTGGTCAAAAAACAGTAACTTTTCAAGAGGAAATATATGATTTTGCTGGGGAGATATCTAAAAGTCCTTGTTGACTTTCCTTCCTCAGGAGCCTGGGGAGGGCTACCCTTAGCTTAACCACTTCATTAACCTCTGGGCCTTCAGAACCTGTTGTACGAGTCCTGCCTCATAACCGAGTCCACCTCTGTGCTGGTGTCTGTGACTTGCTGAGTCACTTTTGCATACTCTGCAACTCTTCCAAATAGGTGAAACAACTATTTAGGTCTGGCAGGGAGTTTTCTTCTTTCCTATTGGTGAAATCTCATGTTCTATCTGGCTTAACATTCATTTCACTGAGTACAGGCACATGTACTTTTACAAAGATATACTTTTGAAAAGCTACAATACCTCCATGATTCTAAATTGAGTCATATTTTTGGAAAACTCAAGGACATCTTGATACTTAAAGGAATCCCTGGCATATCCACTTGTAAGCTTTTACAACTTTTGCAAAACCACTTGCCAAATGAGTGTTTTACAAGTGTGGGATTTTATAGACTGTGTTTTACTAAATTGAGGGACACCAGCTTAGCCCATGTGGCCTATGACGAACTCAGCTAAGGTCATTGGAGCACAAAAGTGGCTCTACAGGTAAATACTGATTCTTTTCCAGAGAGAGTTATTGAAGTTTTTTAGGCCAGGCACTGTGGCTCACGCTTGTAATCCCAGCACTTTGGGAGGCCGAGGCGGGTGGATCACTTGAGGTCAGGAGTTCGAAACCAGCCTGGCCAACATGGTGAAACCCCATCTCCACAAAAATACAAAAAAAAAAAAATAGCCAGGCATGGTGGCATCCGCCTGTACTCCCAGCTACTTGGGAGGCTGAGACAGGAGAATCGCTTGAACCCAGGAGACAGAGGTTGCTGTGAGCCAAGATAGTGCCATTTGCACTCCAGCCTGGGCAACAGAGCAAGACTTCATCTCAAAAAAAAAAAAAAAAAAAAGTCTTTTTGAGTATTAGTGACTTTTACTTGTGTGCAGACAATTTACAGGAAAAAGGATGCAAAATCAATTTACATTTTCTAACAAATTAAAATGATTTTAAGAGCAATCTGTAAAGGGTGAGTCAGTGGTGCCTTGAAAATGAACCTTTAACCTTCCTGCCCCTTTCTTACAAAACCAAGGCATTGAAAACCCAAAGTTTGGCTGGGTGTGGTGGCTCACATCTGTAATCCCAGCACTTTGGGAGGCCAAGTCGGGTGGATCAGAAGGTCAGGAGATTGAGACCATCTTGGTCAACACGGTGAAACCCCGTCTCTACTAAAATACAAAAAAAAATTAGCCGGGCGTGGCGGCCCATGCCTGTAGTCCCAACTACTTGGGAGGCTGAGGCAGGGGAATTGCTTGAACCAGGAGGCAGAGGCTGCAGTGAGCCGAGATCGTGCCATTGCACTCCAGCCTGGCAATAGAGTGAGACTCCGTCTCAAAAAAAAAAAAATAAAATAAAATAAAAAAAGAAACCCCAAGTTTCTTCTCTTTGCCCGATGTTGATTCAATTTCTTGAAGAGCAGGCTAGATGCTCCTGAGGAATGCAAAGTGCTATGTTTATCACTACCATACATATTAGCAACAGGGTTCGGAGGTTTTAATTTAGAGTTTTTCCCCCTTTTTCTCCTTCTGTGTATTTTTCTCCTTTTCCTATGTCTCTCCATGCCTCCGCGCCTTAGTATGGTAGAAAACAGACCTAGCGTGCAAGGCTTCCTGGTGTTTTCTAAAAGCCTGATTTCCAAAGGGGAGATGGAATTTGAGGAAAGAATGTCTCTGTGAAACAAGCCATGGTGGGTGTGGTGGTGCTTTCATGTAGGAAAACACTTCCCCTGGTCTAGGAGGAGGGCGAGGTGCAAAGGTCGTAGAGAAGCATGGCTCCCCGGCTTTCTTCTGGGAGGCAGAAGACCCTAGGAAGGAAGACTTAAGGGATGTCACAGGAAGAGAAGTGATGGGACTGGGATTCACAGCCTCCACAAAGATTCTCCTACTTGCAGAGGTCATGGAGGAAGCAGAGAGCTGCTGGGCATCAAAGGGGCCACTGTGGTCTGGGACAGTGGGGTGTGCTGGTGAGACCATAGTCAAGGTGGTTTGCCTTACTGGGTATTGTATAAGCTTCCTTAAATCTGGTGCAGCTCTGGGAAGGAAAGGAGAGCTCAGCAATGACAAAAATGAAGAACAGCTAGGGGCTCACAGTGGCTTTAAAACAAATATAAATGTTTGCGGACAAAGATTCATACCGGGTACTCATTCTGGTGCCAAACACTGGGGTGAGGCCAATTTTTTGCTCAGTTTTTTGAGGAGTAGGCAGGCAGAGTCATGTCCCTAGCATTATAACTAGAGAACCAGAGTGTCCTACCAGACAGTGCTGTGTGTAACTTTACCCCCAGACTCAAGGTCATCCAGAAGTCTTTGCGGAGTACCTTGACTCTACCACTGGGATCCAAGGTGTGGAGTTTACTGCTGTTGTTTCCTGACCCTGAAGAGTTAAGAGGCAGAGGATGAAACAACAGATTGTGAAATTTCTGAATTAGAAGAGATTATCACGTTAATTTTGATTTTGGCTTTTGAACTGTAAATGACAGACAGCACATCCTTACCAAATAAAATCCTATGGCAGAAAAAAAGATGCATTTAGTCCATATGTGGTGGCTCATGCCTGTAATCCCAGCACTTTGGGAGGCCAAGGCGGGTGGATGGCCTGAGGTCAGGAGTTCGAGACCAGCCTGGGCAACATGGCAAAACCTCATTTCTACTAAAAATACAAAAATTAGCCAGGCATGGTGGTGGGCACCTAGGAGGCTGAGGCAGGAGAGTCACTTGAACCTGGGAGGCAGAGGTTGCAGTGAGCTGGGATCGTGCCACTGCACTCCAGCCTGGGTGACAGAGTGAGACTCCGTCTCAAAATAAATAAATAAATAAATAAATAAATAAATAAATAAATAAATAGATCCATTTAGGATCTCAATGACCAAGTACCCCACCGGACCATAAGCATGGAACTGTCACCCCAGAAGTCAACCTGGCCTTGTTCTTCCAGTGTTAAGCACAGTGGTTTCTGAAAATGTATTGCAAGTATTGCCTATGTTCATTGCCAAATAGTTTCCAGGACCACTGACAGATGTAAATAGAAAACAAAACTAAACAGAAGCCCTGCCATGATGGTTTGAGCCTATCAAACAGAAAACGGATCTTCTTCAGCCTTCTTTAAGTGATCCATAGAAGTGTAACAGATGAAACTTACAAAACCTTACATGAGTACCAAGAGCTAAACCTTAACTCCCTCCTATAGGAAGCCACACAAATACAGACAAGCAGAGCCAGCCTTCTCCCTTCATGGAAGGAAGGTATTAATACACAGAGCACAAGAGCAAAAGAGGAGGGGAATGGATGGCCTATGTGTGGGTGTGAGATGAAGTATATGCCAAGGCTGTGTCTTCCTTTTCATCGACTGTTTCCATAAAAAGTGTAAGAACCTGGCAATTGTCAAGTTGCTGTGGTCAGCTACATGTTGTCCTGCGTTAGGTTGCTGTTGGTGGACACTACGGGATCCCAATATGCGTGGAAAGGTGGTCTATTGTCTTGCCTCTGTCAGTAGAAGATGGTGAGTGAGGCCAGGAAACATCCAGAAGAGGATAGACCCTCTTACCACAGAGCACAGGCAGGGGCCTGGGGAAAGGTGTAGATACACTCTCTGCCTATTCTCCAGGTATTGGACATTGGGTATGCAGAGTCCCTGAAGGAAAAGGAGAAAGATCTGCTCATGGATAGAATATTCATGTGCTACACACATTTCTTGCTTCCTCTGTAGCCTAAAGATGGGTTCAGATCTAGCAAGCCTGGTAGTAGTGTGTGAATCTTTTCTGGAAATGAATCAGGTCTAATTTAAAGTGCATTTAAGATGCCCCTCCAGGCTGTAATCTAATCTCAAGATCAGCATGAACTACTGGCCTGGGAATATCAACAGGGTCTGAAGAGTTCTTGATATTTTTAAGAAGACGGGAAAGGAGGAAAAGATTTTGAACTAAAATTTGTTGAGTACATGCCATGTTCCTAGCACTTTTTAGGTGTTAGCATTTCATTGTCTTCACAACCCTGTGAAATAGACATTATCTTTCTTTTACTGAAAAGGAAACTGAGGCTCAGAGAGTTACCTGGATTTCTCACGGTCAGTCAGCTGGCAGTAGTTGTAATAGTGAACTTATTGGAGGTGGCTGAGCTGCTGGTAGTAAGAAGACCACAACTTCTCTAAGTGCTGGGAGCTTTAAATACCTATTTCATTTAATTGTCCAATAACCAAGTAAGGTCTATGCCAATTGCACAGTTTGAGAATATCAGACTGTTTCAATAACATGACTGTGGTCATTTAGATATTAAACCAGGATCCACACCCAGGCTGATTTGCTTCAAAGTTCATGTCCTTTCCATTATCTCGTAATGCTCCTTTCCCTCTAAGTTGTAAATAATGATATTGTTCTTTTAAACAAAAGGTAAAAGTCTAACCAGAGGATGTCTAAGAAGGCCTTGGATAAAAAGTTGGTAGAAGTTGCTGTGTGCTACAGTCATTGAAAAGATGCAGGAAAGACCTATCTCTAGGTTGAGAAAGTCAAATTGATTTATTTCATATAAACACAGAAGTTGTGCCAAGGTTAAATTAAATAGTGATTGACAATGGTTGAAGACCACAGGAGAACAGATATCCAATACTATCTGGCCGATACTGCTTTACTTATTCATAGTTCTTTATATTTTACTCTGAATTATATTTCGCAGCTTAAAATATAAATATTAGAGATAGGTTTATTAAAAATGGGAAAGGGATAATTAAGTAGAAAATGTCTCAGTTATTCATGCCTCTCCGAGAATCACAGTGTCAGGATCTTGGAGCCTAACTACAGACATAGTGCCAGGTACAGAGTAAGTCTCTGGAACATCACAACCCAGCTCCCAATGCCGAGGGTGCTCTCTGTCAGAAACAGAAGCCCTGAACTTGCCTCCTGTGCCCCTCCTGCCAGGTGTGGACATGTCAGGGCACAGTTATTTGGCAATATCTCTCTGCTGTTTTGTTCGCTCTGCTCATTCCTTTCCTCGAAGAAAGCGAAGTTAATCATTAAAACAAGTCACCTATTATTTAAACAGCTTCTTTGTTTCTGATGATCTTAAAATATATTTTTGGAATCAAATCTACCCATACAGAAAGTCAAGCAAAATGTAGTCTAAAATGTGCTATAGGGACAGGGTCTAAATTTCTTGGCAATAGCTGATAAGTTGATTGAAACCAGATTTGTGACCCACTGTTAGCAATGATAGAGAATCCTAAAGGGTACAGTTTGGTCCCATTTTGTACTGATGCAATCTTCTTGCTTTTGCATTACATTCTAACTCTGCTTCTGATGGACAAAGATGGGGGTGCCAGGATATGGAATCCTCAATTCTCATTGTAGCTCTTTGCAATGTATATATCATCTTTCATGGAAACCTCTCACAGGACATTTAAGGCAGAAGAATGTTCCATCAGTTTCGTCTCAATTCCCAGTGTATTTTCTTAGGCTATTACATGAAGTTTCAATGTTTTTGAGCCACAAAGACATCGTTTATCCCTCTGGTTAGGTCTACAATAAAATCAGAATTCTGAGTTCCTTTTTTTTTTACTCTCTCTGTCGCCCAGGCTGGAGTGCAGTTGCAGGATCTACGCTCACTGCAACCTCCGCCTCCTGGGTTCAAGCAATTCTGCTGCCTCATCTCCTGAGTAGCTGGGATTACAGGCATGTGCCACCATGTCTGGCTAATTTTTGTGTTTTTAGTAGAGACGGGATTTCTCTGTGTTGGTCAGGCTGGTCTCAAACTCATGGCCTCAAGTGATCCGCCTGCCTCAGCCTCCCAAAGTGCTGGGATTAAAGGCATGAGCCACTGTGCCCAGTCAGGTTTCTACATTCTGACAAATGCCTCCTTTCCTTGGAGCTCTACTCTGATTCCTGTTTGACCTTCTACAGACTCGTTTGTGCTGAAGAGAAATGTGGACAGAAGAACTTACTGCAGAGGCAATTAGAATAGGGACCGGAGTTCAGCCTTAAAAAACAGAACCCCTTAACTTGGTTATCTTGCCATCACCAAAGGGCATTCTCCAAGGGGAATACACTGCTTTTATAAGGCAATGTTCATTGTTGGGAAATTCTAGTTAGTATAAATTTCTTAAACATGTTGATTCAAAAACCGAAACCAACTGCTAGTAATATCCAAGGGGAAAAATGGCTTTTTGCTAATTGAAATAAAAGTCCAGCAAGCCAGTCAGAGGACCAGCAGTCTTCAACCTTGTTAAGCCCAGTTTAGTAAACTCAGCTGTTCTCCATGGAAGCATGAGTTTGTGCATATTACAATAATGAGCTATCTTAAAAAAAAGATCCACATCTCTTTTCATAAAAGGTGCAAGAGGACCATTTAAAAAGGTGTGCTGAGTTCAGTACTATTTGGAGCAAGAGAAGAATGGGAATGGCTTACTGGAACTAGGCACATAAAGTCATTGTAAGACCAGGAGGAAGTGCCATAATTCTGGGGTTAATGCTGCCTTTAGTTGCTGTCTCTGCTTCTCTTGTCAGACTGGGAGTTAATTTGGAAAAGTGACAGCAGCCCCTGCAGCCACCGACAGGGAGATGCCCAGCATTCCTTAGCTTGGTACATCAATAGCGGAATACCAGATCTGGCCCTGATCATTTAAACTCCCATGAAGAGAAACCACAATCTTCTTTCAAACCCGTACTAATCAATATCTGCCAAGGCTTATCCTCTGTCACCTTAAGAGTAGCCTCTAGTTGGCTGGGTATGGTGGCTCATGCCTGTAATCCCAGCAATTTGGGAGGCTGAGATGGGCAGATTACGAGGACAGGAGTTCGAGACCAGCCTGGCCAATATGGTGAAACCCCATCTCTACTAAAACATAAAAAACTTAGCTGGGCATGTTGGTGCATGCCTGTAGTCCCAGCTACTCGGGAGGCTGAGGCAGGAGAACCTGGGAGGCGGAGGTTGCTGTGAGCCAAGATGGTGTCACTGCACTCCAGCCTGGCGACAGAGTGAGATTCCATCTCAAAAAAAAAAAAAAGGGACTCCAAATTTAGAGAACATCAAGAAGTTCAAGTACATTGTTTCCTGGTACCCTAGAAAAGGCCCAAAAAGTAAGCCATTCCTATGAACTCAGCCTAAAGTACCTTTATACCTCCCAGAAAACCAGGGCTTTGAGCTGAGTTGTGGACCAATTCATGTTCTTTTAAGCAGAACCTGATAAAATAGTTGATAATCTTTTTAATTCTTCGTAACTTCAAAGGGCACATTTTGGTTGAAGAAGCACAAACATTCCCTGAACACGTTATAAGTCAAATGTTGACTGTGCCCTTACTTTTGAGAACCACTGAAACACAAGGAAACCAAACTGAATTAGTTAGAAGGGAAAAAGAATCTGATGTGTAGCATATCAAGCCATTTCTACTACACACACAATATTTATGAAGGGAAGCAAATCAAATAGGTTTTTCCGATAGGAACACATACGTGGAGCCAAGCATAAGAAGTTTTTAAAAGGCCAGGTATAGCTTTTATAGGCTCATGCCTATAATCCCAGCACTTTGGGAGGTCGAAGTGGGCAGATCGCCTGAGCTCTGGAATTTGTAACCAGCCTGGGCAACATAGTGAAACCCCGTCTCTACCAAAAATACAAAAATTAGCTGGGCATGGTGGTCTGTGCCTGTAGTCTCAGCTACTCAGGAGGCTGAGGTGGGAGGATCACTTGAGCCCTGGAGGTGGAGGCTGCAGTGAGCAGAGATTGTGCCACTGCACTCCAGCCTGGGTGACAGAGCCAGACCCTGTCTGGGGAAAAAAAAAAAATCAAAAAATGAATCAAAAGAAAAAATATAGATTATCTTCATATACTATATTTTCTCCTGTATCCTCTAACTATGCAGGTATAAATTCTAAAAATTAGTGTAAATCATTATATTTAAGTCCATTTTGTTGTAAGCATCCTGTGAACATTCTTAGATAGCCTTGTTAGATTTCAAAATAAAGATTTCTCCTACACACACTTCAACCCTTTGTTTCACCCAGCAAATGACTGACAGCAACACACAGAGTTGATCCTTTCAGGTCTTTAAACCGTGTGCAATGATGGTTTCCCCAGCTGATGGACTGAGCATGAAGCTCCTCCAGTAGGGTACTGGCCTCCAGTGGACATCCATCAATGATGTCTGCCTTCTTGTGGCTTCCATAAAAAGCTCTCCTGCCATCTATGCTGCAGAACGTCCCTGACCCTTGCCACCAAACAGGTGTAGGAAGATTCTGCTGATTCTCTGGCAGAAGGGTACTGGCTTGATTTGTGCCTGTGGCCATCAGTTTCTGACAAGCCAAGCAGCCTCTGCAGATCTATCACGTGGGATGTGGACACGCAGCTTTGTGACCTAGCACGTGGCTTCCGTCCTCCTCCTGCTGTGTCTGACCACGCGTGAGGCCAGCCTGGCTCCAGCTGCTTCAAGAAGGTGGCCGTCACTTGCTGGCTAAGGTGGACACAGATGCCTGTGAAATTTGGATGTTTACTTCACAAGGCCCCGGTGCAGAGCAATTTATAAGAAATGCAATCTCACAGAGAGGAGTAAAAAAGGGACATATTTGTAATTGATGATGGGGAGGTAAAACTCCATGCGCTTGCTTTGCAGTCAGTGTGAGGAGATGGCTACGGGATAAGTGGCACCAAAGGAGCATTAGTTGCAGATTAGTTTTCCTGACTTACAAAACCTCCCCAAATAATTTAGTAATGAAGACCTCTTCTGTGAACTGTCAACTTTATTTATCTGCTCAACCTCCGTTCTGAATCAGAGTCATTTATATACTCTTTGTGGAAGGTGTCACATTCAGCCGACAGACTACAGCACGCTCTATGGATTTACAGAGAGATGTGTCCTTTAAAGTCAACTAAAATGACGGTTTTTATCACATAGAATGTGACCCACAAAAATAGCTTTTTGAATTATTTCGGTGATAGACACGCTGTATTTTGGTCCAGCAATCAGAGTCATTATTTCTAACAGAGAGTAATATGCCATTTCTCAAAACGGCTTTAAAGAGAAGCCTGGTGGCATTATTTTGTGCTGTAAACAAGGTCATTGGAGACATTGGTGGGCCCTGAACAAAATAAAATCTGGAGAGGGTGGAGCAGTTCGGTGCGAGCTTGACCCATAGGGCAGAAGACCTGGGTCTGGGCTGTCTACTAACTAGTCAGGTGGCCTTGGGTGGGCCACACCCCTACTTTCAGTTTTCTATTGTCCCTGTTTTACAGGGTTCAGAGAGATTGCAGTAAAAATAAAGATCCTCTGAAAATGCCCATGGCATCGTGTACCTGTGGTGATGCACCATCCTCACGCTATGAGGCTCCTCAGCATGAATAAGTGTTCCCTCCATTCCAATTCCCTCGGAGTTTTTAGTTCAGGGGAATGTGTGGGTCATCCTACACACTTCCAACCCCTAGGGACTGAAGCTTCTCAGCTCACTCTCTCCCCTTCTTCCTGTCTCTAGACCACACTGAATTCCCCACAGAGGGGAATTTTGGTCTGTTATGGCTCTGACGGGGCTCTGATTATGCTGAACTTTATGCCTCTTGTAATCCTGTGTTGGGCACCTACTCATATTGAGTACTAATCCCCATCATAAAATCTTTCTTATTGGTTCCCAAACATCTCACTCAGAACACCCTTCCCTTCCTTCCTTCCTCCCCTCCTCGCTACCTCCTTCCCTCCCTCCCTCTTTTTCTTTATTTTAATAGAGATGGGATCTTGCTATGTTGCCCAGACTCTTGAATTTCGGGTGTCAAGTGATCCTCTGCCTCAGACTTCCAAAGTGTTGGGATTGCAGGTGTGAGCCACCACATCCAGCCTCCAGAGTACTCCTTCTGTCATCTCACCTAGTCTTCTGAGTGCAGAGTGATCCATATCCCAGAAAAGGTGTTTCCTAGCTCTAGCAATCTGAGTGCATTTCTTCATCCCCAATCCATCTTCTGTCTGTAACTCCTACCAAACAAATCTGCACATTATCTATCTATCTATCTATCTATCTATCTATCTATCTATCTATCCATCCATCCAACCATCCATCTATCTATACTGACACAGGGTCTCACTCTGTTGCCCAGACTAAAGTGCAGTGGCGTGATCATGGCTCACTGCAGCCTCTACCTCCCTGGGCTCAAGTGATCCTCCCCACTCAGCCTCCTGAGTAGCTGGGACTACAGGCATGTGACATCACACCCAGCTAATTTTTGTATTTTTTGTAGAGACAGGGTTTGCCCATATTGCCCAGGCTGGTCTTGAACTCCTGGGCTCAAGCGATCAGCCCCCTTAGCCTCCCAAAGTGCTGGGATTACAGGCGTGAGCCACCAAGCCCGGCCACGTCATTATTTCAAATGTCCTTTTAATTCAAGTCCTTTATTTATAAGACTTGAACTTCTTTGGGATAGGGTTATATTCCAAAATAGCCTATAAATAATAAATTCTTAAGGAAATTTTTGATTGATTGTTGGTCATTAGATACTTTCTACTAGAGGACTAATGTCGTAGGAAACATTCATACATTGGCTCATTTTCTTAGTCATCCAACCAACATTTGTTCAACTCCCACTATGTTCCTTCCAAATCTAATTGAACTTATCTGGAAGTTTTGAAACAATGACTAGAGAGGCAAGATAATGAAATACAGATAAATGCATATAGTAAGACCCCCTCCTTCTCAGGTGTTTCTTTGGGTTTTTTCTATTTGCTCTTTAAAATAGAAAATTGCCCTGTAGCTTTCTCCGATTATCTTTCATTGCCTATGTAACAGACACCCCGAAATTCAGTGGCTTAACATAACAGTTTATGCTCGTCTCTTGTAGCCCAGAGGGTTGACTGGGCTCAGTGGGTAGTCTGTGTCCAGGATCTGTCATACGGCTGGAGCTTGAAGGGTCTAAAGGCTCAAGTGGGATAGATGCCCAAGATGGCTCACTCGTGTGGCCTGTGTTGACACTAGCTGCTGACTGGGAGCTCAGCTCGGTTGCCAACTGGTATATCTACACATAGCCTCTCCATGTGCTTTGGGCTTTCCACAGCCTGGTGGCTGGGTTGTGAAAGATTATAACATTATAAGAGCAGGCATTTAAGAGACACAGGTGGAAGCTGTAAGACTTCTATGGCCCAGCCTTAGAAGTCCCAGAATGTCACTGCCATTGGTTCTATCAGTCAAACTAGTCACTCAGGCCAGCCCAGATTCAGAAGAGGAGAATTAGCCTCTGTCTCTTGACATGCGCATATGGAGAAGAGGAATCCGCGACAGCCATCTTGCTGACTTCCTATCTTAAGAGAAGTCCCCCAGCTACCATCATCCAGTGGTTGACAGGAGCTCTTTGTTTTCTCAGTCAGTTCTCACAAAAGCCTGGTGAGATAGGTCTTATTATTTCTCCTATGTTGGAGATGGCAAAAATAAGCTCAGAATACTTGTGTGGCCAGTTCAAGGTCAAACAAACTGTAAAGTGCAGAGTAGGGTGTTAAACCCTGGATCCCTAGCTCAAAGCACAGGGTTGTTTTTGTTTTTTTCCATTATGCAACTCTCCCTGGAATTATGACAGCATGTGAACAGCACCCATAGAAAAAGAAGATGGAAGGAAAAGAAAGGGTGGATAGAGGTGCTTTCATTTAAGTGGTTGTAATTATCTGATGATGGCAGTTTCTATACCACAGCCCGTTACTCTTAAGGTAACATTTTTGGATGTTCAAGCCCTCAAGCACTCTTGTTTTATAGGAAAATGGTCTCTAATTTTAGACAAAGCCGTTCAAGAGTACATACTTCAGCCAAATGGAAGCTCAACGTATAATCTGAATTGCAATTTACTGTAGGGTAATACGTTTTTATTAAATGAAACAAATGTTCTCTAGTAATTTTTAAATTGTCTTGAAAATAAGGCTAAGATTAATCCTGCTATCAAATCTGAGCTTTAAAAATTAATTAGAAGACAGAATTTAGTATTCTGCTATAATGCAAGTTGGATTTTTAAATAAACACTTAATCCTGCAAAGAAAACACAATTCACAGAACAAGGGAGCTCAATTATTTCAGCCTCTTTTCTCATTTCCTTTCAGCTGCAGGGGGCAGCACTGCTCAGCTAATGGCTTTTTTCTTTTTCTTTTTTCCTTTCCTAACAAAAGGAAGAGTCATTTCCTTCTATACAATGTTTTCATCCCTGCTCTCCATTGTACAATGTGTGGCTTTCTTGAGGCACTGCCTCTCGAGTCCCTACCTCAAACTTCACTTCAAATAGGAGATTTTATGTTGGGGAAAGAAGGATTGGTAAAGAATTCTTACTTAAAAAAAATCCTGCCCTCTCCCTCTCTCCCTCTCTCCCTCTGTCCCTCTCCCTCTCCCTCTCCCCACGGTCTCCCTCTCCCTCTCTCCACGGCCTCCCTCTGATGCCGAGCTGAAGCTGGACGGTACTGCTGCCTGATTCTCCTGCCTCAGCCTGCCAGCGCGCGCCGCCACGCCTGACTGGTTTTCGTATTTTTTTGGTGGAGACGGGTTTCGCTGTGTTGGCTGGGCTGGTCTCCAGCTCCTAACCGCGAGTGATCCGCCAGCCTCGGCATCCTGAGGTGCGGGGATTGCAGACAGAGTCTCGTTCACTCCGTGCTCAATGGCGCCCAGGCTGGAGTGCAGTGGCGTGATCTCGGCTCGCTACAACCTTCACCTCCCAGCAGCCTGCCTTGGCCTCCCAAAGTGCCGAGATTGCAGCCTCTGCCCGGCTGCCACCCCGTCTGGGAAGTGAGGAGCGTCTCTGCCCGGCCGCCATCCCATCTAGGAAGTGAGGAGCGCCTCTTCCCGGCCGCCATCCCATCTAGGAAGTGAGGAGCGCCTCTTCCCGGCCACCCATCATCTGAGATGTGGGGAGCACCTCTGCCCTGCCGCCCCGTCCGGGATGTGAGGAGCGTCTCTGCCCGGCCGCCCCCTCTGAGAAGTGAGGAGACCCTCTGCCTGGCAACCGCCCCGTCTGAGAAGTGAGGAGCCCCTCCGCCCAGCAGCCACCCCGTCTGGGAAGTGAGGAGCGTCTCTGCCCGGCAGCCACCTCGTCCGGCAGGGAGGTGGGGGGGTCAGCCCCCCGCCCGGCCAGCCACCCCGTCCGGGAGGGAGGTGGGGGGATCAGCCCCCCGCCCGGCCAGCCGCCCCGTCCGGGAGGTGAGGGGCGCCTCTGCCCGGCCGCCCCTACTGGGAAGTGAGGAGCCCCTCTGCCTGGCCGGCCGCTCCGTCCAGGAGGGAGGTGGGGGGGTCAGCCCCCCGCCCGGCCAGCCGCCCCGTCCGGGAGGGAGGTGGGGGGGGTCAGCCCCCCACCTGGCCAGCCGCCCCGTCCGGGAGGTGAGGGGCGCCTCTGCCCGGCCGCCCCTACTGGGAAATGAGGAGCCCCTCTGCCCGGCCACCACCCCATCTGGGAGGTGTGCCCAGCGGCTCATTGAGAACGGGCCATGATGACAGTGGCAGTTTTGTGGAATAGAAAGGGGGGAAAGGTGGGGAAAAGATTGAGAAATCGGATGGTTGCCGTGTCTGTGTAGAAAGAGGTAGACGGGGGAGACTTTTCATTTTGTTCTGTACTAAGAAAAATTCTGCCTTGGGATCCTGTTGATCTGTGACCTTACCCCCAACCCTGTGCTATCTGAAACATGTGCTGTATCCACTCAGGGTTGAATGGATTAAGGGCGGTGCAAGATGTGCTTTGTTAAACAGATGCTTGAAGGCAGCATGCTCCTTAAGAGTCATCACCACTCCCTAATCTCAAGGACCCAGGGACACAAACACTGCGGAAGGCCGCAGGGTCCTCTGCCTAGGAAAACCAGAGACCTTTGTTCACTTGTTTATCTGCTGACCTTCCCTCCACTATTGTCCTGTGACCCTGCCAAATCCCCCTCTGCGAGAAACACCCAAGAATGATCAATTAAAATAAATAATAAATAAATAAATAAATAAATCCTATTTCTGTATAAAGCTATCCTTCCTCTGACTAGAAACAACTAGGAAATAAAGAGAAGACAAAGATAAAAAGGAAAGTCAACACTAAGTCACATCATCATTGAAGGCGTCCGTGGGGAATGTCGTTGACGGTGCACCTATCGGGTGTTTGTGTCTTGAAAAATCAAACCCTTTGGAGGCAAGGGCAGTCCTTGGCTTTGGTCCATTATATGTTACAGGACTCCTGAAGGCTGAGGGGTAAGTCCCTATTTTCCATAGGTTTTTCCTAAATGAGGAAGGGCAAGAAATAGTAATTATCTGAGCCGTGCTGCCCCCTGCTGGTAGCAGTTATGCAACCCTGCAAACATGTTCCCTAAATCCGTTTCCAACGTTTGTTCAGAACTCCAAAGCTCTCATAGATCATCCAGGTCATACTCTCCCTGCCCAACTTCATCCCTTCTGCAGAGTGGAAGCTGCAGCCAGCCCTTGGAGGGGAAATGACTTATCATCACAGGTTTTAGCTCAGGTCTCTTTCTACACTACCCAACATCACGGAACACCCAATACACGAAATTCACATGATAGTGCTGTTTGGACATTCTTTTAAAAGACATACATTGGAGTCCAGAGCTCTATGGTGAATCTTATCCTTCGGATCTGACCTATTTAATCAGAACTGTCAGAATTTTCTTTAAACACTGAAATATGATACTTAGGATAAGTGTGGTATTTATGATTTCCCATATCTCTTTCATGGAATAAAATAATAGAAAACTTTACTTACTATTCTGTAGTCTAGTTTCTGGAGAAAGTAATCTTTCATAACTGGAGCTAGTGATTTGAGGCTGCAATTAAGATAAAGGAATTTGATATTTACAGAGCCAGGACGTTCCAATAGTCTTTCTAAATTTTCATGTATTTAACTAAGCTATATTTAGGCTTTATTCATACTTGAGCTTTATATATAAATCGAATGACCAGAGAAAATTTTGTCTAAAATTTTAATCGTCAATGCTTATTGGAAAGTTCAGAATTTCACAGTGGCCCAGCAAGGTAATTAATGTGAATCAACTGGCTTGTCTATTCTTTTGGTACCTATCCACACACTCTGATTAACTAATTTGATTACCAGTTCAAAGATAGTGTCTGTCTTAGCCAGTTTGAGCTGCTATAATAAAGTACCATAGACTGGGTGGTTTATGAACAACAGAAGGTTATTTCTCCCTGTTCGGGAGGCTGGAAGTCTAAGATCTGGGTGGTAGCATGGGTGGGTTCTGGTGAGGACCCTCTCCTGGGTTGCAGACTTCTGTCTTCTTATTGTTGCTTCACATTGTAGAAAGAGACTGGAGAACTCTCTGCAGTTCCTTTTATAAGGGCACTAATCCCATTTGTGGGAGTTTCACCCTCAGGACCTAATCATCTTCCAAAGGCCCCATCTCCCAACACCATTGCATTGAGAGTTAGGATTTCAACATACGGACTTTGTGGGGACACAAACTTTCAGTTCATTGCAGTATCCATGTTACATTCATGGACATGGTAAATGATAGCTTTTAAACTTCCACATCTAATAAGGTGTTTTTCGCAACTGTAATACAATGACAACTGGGAAGCTTCTGTGTCAGAGATTCTTAACTTTCTTTACCAAGAACAAAAATCTCTTGCCTTGAGATGCCTTCATCCAGTCTCTAGTCAAAGCTCCATCTCAAACATGGTACCTACAAACCACTTGACTTTGGTCCCTTCTCATTTTGATAGCATTCTGGTATTTACGTTCTTAGTTCTCTCAATTTTAAAATCTTTTAACATAGAGTCTTACTCTGTTGCCCAGGCTGCAGTGCAGTGGTACAATCAGAGCTCACTGCAGACTTCAACTCCCGCGTTCAAGTGATCCTCCTGCCTCTGCCTCCCTGGTAGCTGGGACTACAGGTGTGCATCACCAAGACCAGCTAATATAAAATTAATTATTTTTTTTTAACAGACAGTCTTACTACATTGGCCAGCCTGGTCTTGAACTCCTGGCCTCAAGTGATCCTCCCATCCCAGCATCCCTAAGTAGTTGGGATTATAGGTATGAGTCACCATATCTGGCAGATTCTCAGTTCTTGACAATTTTTTATACAGTAAAAATGTCTTTCAATTTGTGTGTGTGTGTGTGTGTGTGCGTGTGTGCACGTGCTTGGGCATGCCTGGAGAATGAGCTAAGCTGTAAGCTTCCAGAAGGCAGGTGCTGAGTCTTTCTTTCTTGGATATTCTTCTGCAGTGCCTGGTACAATCTTCTACCGAGGGAAGAACTCAAACTATGTTGGCTGATGCACGTGGTGTTTCTTAGAAAACTGATTATAGGAAAAGTCTCACGAAGCCTACCAGACCTTGCCCTTCTTAACAAATGTGTCTGTTTCTCCCAAGACACTGTCTGCTTATCCTGCAGCCTGCGTGTTTTCTAGTCACTACCAATTAGCATAATTACTATCTCAAGGCCTTGCCCTTTATTGATCCTGGTAGTTACAGCAGTTTACAGTCACGAGACGTGCTGACAGAAGGTACAAATATATTCACCAGGACCTCCAATGGAGTTCTGTCCCTTTTCTTGCTTTTCAGAATTGCTTTTGTCTGCTTTTGTTTCAGAGTGTGCCTTCCTTTTCCTCATTTCCCCCAAGTTTGCTGTGGCAGAAGTTCAGTAGATCACTCAACACAGCGCCAGAGAGCCGTAGGAAGATATTTACAACAAGAGCTTAGTTTCAATACAGACTAACGTGCTCAATCTGTCAAAATAAATGTAAAGTCAGATAAATAATCAGCAAGGTATTTATCAAATGCCATGCCGGCACCATATGGAGGGTTATTCAGGGATTTTTAGTTAATAGAAGGGGTGGAGGCTGGAGTCCCTGGGTTCTGAAAAGACTCTCACCAAGATGCTATTAAAGAAATGAACTAACAGTGAGAAGGCTGGCAGAATACCAGCCTATATCCTGAACCATTGTCAAGAAAAGGTATTCTTGAGCCTGTAGAAACTAGAAGTACTTGACAGAAGTGGTGACATTCATTGACATAAAGAATACTGTTTCTAATCTATATAAGAGTGCGCCAAGCCAAGGATTTATTACATACAATAAAACTACTATTTGGTGATACTGAATATATGTCTTGTGCATATTTGGATGCATATAAAATAAGCATCCAGGAACAAGATGGGCCTAAGAGAGATCAGGAGAGGAAGCACTCTTAGGGCAGAAATATCAGAAGGGTTCCTCCCACTTCATCCTCCTGAGTCACTAGGAGTACAGGTGCATGCTACCATGCCTGGCTCATTAAAATTTTTTTTTTTTTTTTTGTAGAGACAGGGATCTCACTATGTTGCCCAGGTTAGTCTTGAACTCCTGGGCTCAAGTGATCCTCTCACCTTGGCCTCCTAAAGTGCTGGGATTACAGGCATGAGCCACTGTGCCTGGCTGTGATCGTGCCACTGCACTCCAGCCTGAGCAACGAAGCAAAATCTTGTCTCCCCATCCCACTCCCCCCACCAAAAAAAAGAAATCTTAGAAGGCCCGATGGAGGCTTTAAGGCCCAGAAGGCAAGTGGCTTGAATTTCTTGAGCCAATTCTGATTGGGTAGTAAAGATTACCTGGAGCCTGGCCTGAAGAAACTGGCACTTGGCTGCTAGGTGTGGGAATGAAGAGGTGCGCTGCATGACTCCTGGGTGTGCCAGACACCGAGACCACACACATGCTTGGTTCTGAGCTCTGCGGAGGCTCAATGGAAACAAATGCCTTGGTTGATGCGTAACACTGACTGTGACATGAGAGGGGGATGGGAAGACCCCCTGCTGTAAATTCAACATCCCTGCCTGATAGCTGCTCCTTCCTGCTTTCATCCACGGCCAGACACCAGCCAAAGGTGATGCCATGCCCATCCCTCTGCTCCTCAACCATCGATGCTTTGTTCTTTGGTAACTGATGGAAGCAGGCGATCAATATTGTCTTCTTGTTCTTGTTAGGTTTACCCTCCCCACTGTTGGCATCTAAGCAGCCCAATGCAATTTCATCTTATTAAAATGATGCTCAAATGCAAAACTTCTCTTAACCAGTGGAGTAGTAGAGAGAAATGTGAATGCTATGATTCTATTTAAATAATACAGTGTATGCACTCAGTAATGTATCTGGCTACTCATATGTAGGTCAGATGTAGGTATGTGCATAAGATTGAGGCCTTTGTTTTGATGTAAATATTTACTATAATTAATATTGCTTTTGCCTACTCAGCATCTGGTTCTCCTTCTTTGGGTAGATTAGTCTGATTTTTCCTGGGAGAACAAATCCTTTTTCACTCTTACCCCTTATATTTAAGGAGATGACACCACTGTCAGCTCTGGGGTTGCTCAAGTGATCTGGAAGCAGCCAATAAGTGCTTTTTGTTCCTCTTGCATAGTGTTTGGTTTAGGGGTTGTTATGGGGAATTGTGTCTTCCTTAAAAAGGATGGGTTGGAGTCTTAACCCTTACTACTTCACACTGTGGCCTTATTTCGATATACATTTTTTCCTCCTCCTCCTCCTCCTCCTCCTCCTCCTTCTCCTCCTCCTCCTTCCCCTCTTCCCCCCTCCTCTTCCTCCTCCTCCTCCTCCCCCCTTCTTCCCCTTCTTCTTCTCCTTCTCCTTCTTCTTGTTTGGAGCCCTCGAACTCCTGACCTCAAGTGATCCACGTGACTCGGCCTCCCAAAGTGCTGGGATTATAAGCATGAGCTGCTGCATCTGGCTGAATATAGGATTTTTATAGAGGTAATCAAGTTTAAATGAAATAAATCACTGAGTGGGACCTAATCCAGGATAACTGGTGTCCTAATAAAAGGGGAAACTTGGACACACATAGAAGAGGATAATGTGAAGACAGAGAGAAAGCCAGCCACAGGCCAGGGCTGCCAGAAGCTGGAAGAGAGGCAGGGAGCAGAGGCTCACAGCCTCCGAAGGAACCAACTCTGCTGACATCCTGATCAACTTCAGGCCTCTAGACCTGTGAGACAATATATCTCTGATGTTTAAGCCACACAGTGTGGGGTACTTTGTTACGCAGCCCTAGCAAACTAATATGGGGATGATCAAGTTCAGCAAATCGGAATGAATCCCAGAACTTGTATTGAAGCAACTGGGAAAGAGAAGATGCCTTTTCCCTCATAGTTGTAAGGAAGTAACAATAGAGCTTCTGGGGCTGCCAAGTAGCCAGGATGTGTTTGAGGCTGAAGCCAGCACAGGCAGGCAGAGCTACAGGTTCTGAGAGAGGAAGATGGGATCCTGGTGACATTGTTTGAGTCATGAGATTAAAATATTTTGAAGTAGCTTCCAGGCCCTGAGTTTTCCATTACATTGGCCAGTAAATTCCCCATTTTTGCTTAATCTAGGTTGAGTTGCATATCCTATCACTCTTGTTCAAGAGGTCCCAACCAAGGTATTTGGGGCATGACTGAGCTGCCTCTGGGATGACAGCTGCCTCAGCTGCTTCCTATTATTGCATGAATATGGCTCTAAACAGTAAAGGGAGGCATGATGGGAAATCCTCATCACTATGTCCTCCGTATTACATATCATAATGAGACAATGTTGTACCCACCTGAATCATGGACTCCTTCAGAGCTGTCATCCTGTAGCACACACAGAGTGGCTTGAAAAGAGTATGTGTTCAATAGCAAAGTGTGAGATTAAACCGAATCATTCAAATATGACTGACACAGGTCAAATCTACTTTTGCAGTGACCTACGACACTTTTTTCATGCTATTTCCAAATGATACTCCTTGAGACAGATGCTTTTTAAAAAGAATAGGTTTTGAAGCATCACTTACACTAAGTGTAATAACACTAAGAAATAAAAATACAGGATATTTCAAGTTCACTGATGGTGAAATATTTCTACAATCTTTACTTTGGGACTCTTGTGCAGTCACATACAGGAAAGTCTTTTTTCTTGTAAGGAGAGTATTCACAGACTGTCACAGTGGGATGGTGCTGAGTGGGTATGCAGACAATGGGGGAGATACTGCTAGGCCAGATTGGGACTATAAGTCTCAATATAATTGAAAGTCACCAGTGAAAATGTGGCCCAGAATAGTCATGACCCCGAGTGATTGCCATCTGTTGATTATTGGTCTCAGTCCAATTTTTCAGTCTAGTATCCACATTAAAAAAGATATACACATATATTAGCATCAAAATAATTATCCACAACAGCATCTGTGCCAAGGACAGAATGAATGGGCCATTTGAAACGCATTGTCCATTCATGCCTAAAGGTGACCTCTGCAGTAATTCTGGGGCATTCTCTTAGATGATTTTGCTGGCTTGGAGCAAGATTCTGACTTGCTGAGTTCTGAGATAAATAATGGATTATTCCAAACTAGAACCCAAAGGGAAAAATATGGCTATCCATTATTTATTTTTTATCAAGGATATCCTTTATCCAAAAAGTGATTTAGAGCAGCTTACATGGTTGCACATAATATAGCTATCTCATATGGATTTAAAATAAAAACAAAAAGTAAGGCAAGGAAAAAATGTGCATGAAAATCAGATAGTGCCAGAAGTGAGATTAGTATCAAAAAAGAGTTTTGCTTGTAGTTGGCTTTCTGGCATAAAATATGAAGAGGAAAACATGATCAGTTGCAAGAGTCACAGTATTTATATAGTAAAAACAAAGAAAGAAAGAAAAAAAATCTTCAATAGTCCAAGTAAAAAACTCTGCCTGACACAAGACTTTTTACACACAGGAATTTTTCCTTGTTATAGTAGCCCACAAGGGATATAGCAGAACAAAGACCTAGGCTCTTTCCTTTTGCAGGACCTGTATCCTACTTTCTCCTCCCCCTTGTCTTCCCTCAATAAAAGTCCTCAAGGATCTAGAACCAGAAACATCATTTGACCCAGCAATCCCATTACCGGGTCTATACCCAAAGGATTATAAATCATTCTATTATAAAGACACACACACACATATGTTTACTGTAACACTATTTACAATAGCAAATACTTGGAACCAACCCAAATGCCCATCAATGATAGACTGGATAAAGAAAATGTGGCACAAATACACCATGGAATACTATGCAGCCGTAAGAAAGAATACGATCGTGTCCTTTGGAGGGACATGGATGAAGTTGGAAGCCATGAGTCTCAGCAAACTAACACAGGAAGCAGAAAACCAAACACCACATATTCTCACTCCTAAGTGGGAGTTGAACATGAGAACACATGGACACAGGGAGGGGAACAACACACACCGGGGTCTGTTGTGGAGTGGGGGCAAGGGAAGGAGAGCATTAGGACAAATGCCTAATGCACGTGGAGCTTAAAACCTAGACGACGGGTTGATGGGTGCAGCAAACCACCACCACGGCACGTGTATACCTATGTAACAAACCTGCACATTCTGCACATGTATCCCAGAACTTAAAGTAAAAAAAAAAAAAAAAAAAAAAGTCTTTCCCTAAGTTAATGTTTACCAAGCCCTCACTATGAGGCAGGCACTGTGTTAGTTACTTTCCCTATAGGGTTTCAGTACATGATGATAACACAGTTGTGACAGGGTGGCAAATAGTATTGGCCTTCTGATAGATGAAGACAGGTTTGGGACAGGAGTGACATATCTGGGTGGGTCAGTAGGTCTGTCTGATTCCAAAGTTTCTGTGCTTATCAGTAGCAATATGCAGCTTTTAAAGAAGGGGCTGAAAGATAGCTAACAAAACACCTCTAGACAGTTCCAATTAGGGTTATATGTTTTTAAAGCACTCCCCAAAGGAACAGATTGTGTTTGATGATTCTAGCAGGAAAATGAGGCGATGATCTTGCTAACAGATCAATGTGTGGGGTCATCAAAGTTTATTGTGGATCATGTTTTTTTTTTTTATGAAATGAAAGCCTAAAATAGACCTTGTCAAGAGTAAGTTTCAACACCTTTAAGTACAAAAAGCTTCACTTTGCTGTCATTTGAACTTCTCAATTTCATATTTAACAGGACAGAAACAATCAGAGATGGTTCTGAGTGTGGAAATCTGGCCAATAAAGACAGTTTGTGAGGAGGCCAGGCTGGCTGTTTCTCCAAAGTTTCTAGAGCGGTCATGCCTATTAAATTGACTGCACGTGTGTTGCATAGCGTGCCTGTACTGCTCAGAAAGGTGACAATGACTGAGACAGCATTATATCTATCCCCTACATTTGTAGCAGACAGAGCCAGAGAAATCTTCACAGCAGGGGATGTTACCAGAACAATATAAAGGGAGCCTGAAGAATGACCACAGTGCTGCTGGTTTCCAGGCAATACTAGCAGCCGACACATCAGAGTTCAGCGCCTTAAAAGGAGCTACAATTGGTGTGTGCGAGCAAAACTGTCCTGGGATGAAAAGGTAGCGCCAATGAAAGCACTGAGCTTTGCAAACGGAGGCAATGGTTACCCCTCCCCTCCCCAAATTTACGTATAGACACACATACGCGTGCGCACACACACATAGAATTGAGATAATCTTCAATGGCATTGTCATGTGTTTAATATTTAGCTCCTCCATCTAGATCACTGTTGTTTGTCAAATCACCAATGTACAGAAGGCAGGAGGCAGCCTCCATGGCTTCTCATAAAACCTAACATGGAAGCATTCTCATGAAAATGTGTACTGATGAAGGCGATCAAGAAGATAAAATAGTAATGGATGTAGAAAAAGAACACTACCTATCTTGGCAAGAACCGCTCTGAGTTGAAAATAGGTTAGCACTGGCGGTGGGGTGAAATTAGGGAAGTAAAGGCAAAGCAGAAACCGGGAGGAATCGGAGCATCTATCTACCCATCCTTCCTGCAAGGAGTCTCCTGAGATGTTTCCGTAACAAGTTTGTCTATTCACAGTAGGAGGCATTTCAAACTGATCTGTTTGAGGATGCATTTAATTACTGTCATGTTGATAATGAAGCGTCTTCTCACCCTCCCACCTACAGACTTAATTGTATGTACACCCATCTTTTCTTGTAACCTCACTTCCAGATATCTTTCCTTCCATTCAAAGCTAATTTCAAATACTCCCCTGTTCCTCCCACTTCCTCTTAGAGCTTTCACCATTAATTATTCCCTTTCCTGTCCTGTACTTGGGGGGGAAAGGCTGTCACACAGAGATGCCCAGAAGAATCTGAACAAACAGGCCTTGCTCCGCTTCCCCCAGTTTGTTATCATTAGATCATACCCGTTTGTCCTCCAATCATACTTCTGCAGGACTGTCCATAAAAATACACAGATATCCTCATTTCTTTCGGTCTTTATTTTCGAAGTCTCCTGTGTCAGGTAAAAGTTAGGTTAAATAAATCTCTATGCTTTCCTCTTGTTAATTTGTGTTTTGTGATAGGGGTCTCAGCCATGAACTGTGATGAGTGAGAAAAAGATATTACTTTTTCTCCCTCCTAGCGCCACACTTCACATAGTCACCCAAGACAGAAACCAGAGCGTCATTGTCAACACTTTGCAATCAGAATCCATATTCAACCTGTCACTAAACCTTGCTATTTCTACCTCTTTAAGAGCTGAGTAGCTGTCTTCTCCATTTCCACTGCCTGCCTCAGGATATGACCATGGTAGCCAGGATTTATGGAAGACTTTCATAACAACTCTTTTTCTTTCTTTCTTTCTTTCTTTCTTTTTTTTTTTTTTGAGACAGAGTCTTACTCTGTTGCCCGGCTGGAGTACAGTGGCACAATCTTGGCTCACTGCAACCTCTGCCTCCTGGGTTCAAGTGATTCTCCTGCCTCAGTCTCCCAAGTAGCTGGGATTACAGATGGCCATCACCATGCCTGCCTAATTTTTTTATTTTTAGTAGAGACGGGGTTTCACCATGTTGGCCAGGCTGGTCTCAAACTCCTGACCTCAGGTGATCTGCCCGCCTCGGCCTCCCAAAGTGCTGGGATTACAGGCTTGAGCCACTGTGCCTGGCCGACTCTTCCTGATTCCAGTCTTGATCCCTTTGCATGTATCCTCTCCCTTCTTACATTTCTATTGCTCCCAAAGAAGTGAACTGAAACTCTGGCGAAGTCACTTACCATCAACGACCACTCTCCAGGAGCATAACAGTCAAGCTTCCTGACATGGAGCAAAGGTACTTTTAGCATGAGCCTTTCCCTGACCTCTTCAGGACAGCCACCCTTGATTTCCTCCCCATGCACCTTACATCTAGTACAGCAAGCTGCCGCCAACCCTGTGCACAGACCTCTGGCATTGCACCTACCAGGCCGTTCTGTTCCTGTCTTCTATTTGACTCCCCTCAGCCTGAGCAGATGCAGGTGAGTGATTCTGAACCTTCAGATCCTTATGTCTACAGAGAAACTGGTACCTAGTAAGTGGTCAATACATTTTGGCTCCGTGAATAAATAAGTGAATATTCGATTCTCTTCTGACTGCTGGGGATGGCCTTATCTGACAGCTAACGTCTAAACAAGTTTCCTAGAGTGATTAACACAAGCAGGCAAGGATGAAAGAAAGAAATGCAAAACACAGTGATCCTGAGGCCCAGAGAACCAAAACAGGGAAGGGCAGAGGGGTGGGGACACGGCAGGGAAAGTGCCTGCTACATGGGTCAGCTTTGCTCTACACACCTTGGTTGGTTCTCTTTGAGATCTAGTTTTATTCATATAAGAAATCATTTCTTTAAGTTCAGTGCCACATATGAGTTTCATTATAGGCCAGCAGAAAGCAATAAAGTACCCTGGAGACAAAGTAATAGCATGAAAACGTGTGGAGCTATGGTCCAGCTTTGTATTTGAATAAGGACTATATTTAACACAAAAAGAAAACCTCCCAGGACGGATGCGGTGGCTCATGCCTATAATTCCAGCACTTTGAGAGGCCGAGGCAGGCGGATCACTTGAGGTCAGGAGTTTGAGACAAACCTGACCAACATGGTAAAACCTGGTCTCTACTAAAAATACAAAAATTAGCCCGGTTCGGTGGCGCATGCCCGTAGTCCCAGTTACTCGGGAGGCTGAGTAATATTTTATTTTGTTAGCCCTATTTCATGCCCATTTCTTATGGATTAATTTAAATTCCAATATGCAAGTGGTAATAATATGGCCATTGGTAGTCCCTTCTGTGAATCACAGATTTTACAGTAACGTGGAGAAACAGGCATTTCTTCATCTTCGATGTCTACTTGTTTGGGAGCAATTTATCAAGGAGACTGTTGAACCATCAAGAGTAAATTGTGTACTTTGGGGTGCAAACTGCTAATTGCTAATGCATTAATTAAAAGATTTCTTGTGCTTTTTTGCTCCAGGAAGCAAAGCCTATACAAATGTACCCAGTCACCTTTTCCTGACCTGCCCCTGCTCCCACCCCTTCTTGGATATTCGGAATGAGAACACGAAGATAATTTGTATGCACATTTCTGACAACCATTTTAGGGTTCTGTAATGATAAAGAACAATTAACAAAGGCTTCCCTGGCATTGACTAACCACTTTCTGGGCAAATGGTTTAATTAACGAAGAGGCTGCTTCCTTTGGTTTAATCACACAGCATTTAAGTAGAGGCCGCTTAGGCAAATAAAAGGCTGTTATTTCTTTTGGGTATTTTGCTAATGTCTGTCTGTCCACAAGATGGCAGTAAACGTTTGATGAGTTTCTATGATAACTTTAGTCTTTTGTGTGTAAATGTGTGTGTATGGAAGGGGTGGGGGTGAGACTTCCTTTAGAAGAAAAATTTTATTTATTTGATGTTTTACATTGTTTTACACTTTATGTCAAATACGTCTACTAGTATATAATTAATTTAAAATATCTTCAAGTGGGTGACAGTTACACTGTTTATCCTAACAGTTCAGCTGTGTATCCTAACAAAAATAATATCGTCTCCATCTCAACTGCATCTAACAAAAAGGATGAACAAAAAGTTAACATTTGATTATGAGAAATTAGAGAGTTCTAACTTTACTGGCTAATAACTTGGAAATATATGAACAAACTGGTTCATTTCTGAATCCTAGGTGAGTGGGTGCTATAAGCAAGAGTTGTGGGTACTATATGCAAAAGTGAAACACACTAGGATCTTCTCTGTAAGAAGCTTTAGACCTACAGAGACTATCCAAGTGAGTGTGTTCACAAAATTGTTATACAAGCTAATGGGTGACATAAGGGAGATATGAATGAGAAACTGTGTCACTAATAGTAGAGGAGAGATGATTTTTAATTGGTGGGAACCAGGAAGGCATTCTTGGAAAGTGGGGCACTCAATATTTGCTCTCACCTAGGAGTGGGACCCAGACTTGTGAGTTGCCTGCACATAGGTGTGAGAGTAAAAGCTCACCTGGACAGGTGAAGAATACCTGGGGATGAATAGGTCAGTTGACTTGGTTGCAAAGTGTATCTAAAGGGTAGGATTGGGAAGAGTGAGCTTGATGGTTGAATGTGAGTTTTAGAAGTTTGGATTTTTTTCTGGAGGCAATGGAGGATCACTAAAGGTTTTGAGCTGAGAAGGAGCCTAGTGGCAGTGGCTCAGAAAGAACAGCCTGGAATCTCTGCAGGATGTATTGAGGTGGAGAGACACTGGCTGTGTGATAGTGTGTATAGGTCTAGAGAAAGGTGGTGTTATGGTCATATTCAAGCTACAGTCCTGAAGCAACGACCATTAACTTCATTTCTTTAGGTGATTTTCCTCATTCGAAAGCAAAGGCTTGGACGAGGTGGTTCTTTTCAGCTCTAAAAATTACAGGCCTGGCTAGGATAATAGCAGGGGTATGGAGACAGGTGAATGGATGCAGGAGAGATTAGCAAGGCAGGCAGAGAAGCACCTGGTCTCTGACTGGAAAGGGAATGGAGGGACATTGGAATGGAAGCTTGGCAGGAAGCAGAGAAGAGAGATAAAGGCAGAAGAACATTTTATGCAAAAGAACATTATATGCCTAGAGTCACAGTGGGATTGTAAGTAGAGAATGGCAACGCCAGCTATGTGAAGAATATTTTCAGATTTGAACACTGGCATTATTTGTAACAGTTAAATCATAGACAAAAGAATTGTTTAAATGTATCTGAAAGATTTGGGTAAATTATCTGAAGAGGTAGCCGAATACTGTCATGGAGGTTTCCATTCCTTTCTTCTTGATACATGTAGTATTCAGCACACATAACATTGCCAGAGAAGGCAGAAAGGCTCTTAAATGCAGTATTGGAATGGACACAAAACAGGCAGGTCTTTGTATACAAAGATGGCTACTATGGGCCTCATAGGAGCTGGGCTCCCAGCTGCTTTCCTGCTGGTGGTGACCTATGAGGCCCAGGCCACCACGTGTGCTCCCAGAGCCACAGCCACCGGGAGTGTGGAGGTAGCACAGGCTTCATGAGTCATCATTGAAGACCCAGTTCTCAGTCCCAATGTTATCTCAGCAACGAAAGCAACCCAGTGGTGGGGGTTTCTCTCCACCCACTTCTGACTAGATCGTTGTGCATAAAGGAAAAATGTGAAGTGAACAAATAGTTATTGGGGAGTGGATTCAAAAGTGCAATTTCCAGAGCAGTCACAGGGTAAGATCAGGCAGTTTCAGGCTAATCTCCAGGACCACAACACTGGATGATGACAGCTGATGCCCAGAGAGGGGTGACTATGGTTGGAGGGTGGACCCTGATGTGCCTTCAGATTGCCAGAGATTAAAGTCTTTGTGATACTGCTCAGTGTTCTGCATTGAACGTGGACATTTTCATTTCATGTGCTGAATGTAGTGAATTCATTTCTAGAATGTTCAGTTTATCAGCATATCACATCCTCAACCTTTCTGCATCAACAGGCATTTGCCATATAATGAACATATATGTGTATTTGTTAAGACAGGAATTTATGCCCTTTAATACAGGAAGCTAAAACATTCCTAAGTAGGTTAATTTTACAGTAAAATCTCTGGCCATCTTCACTTCCATGTTTGTATTTGGAACTGCGTATAAATCTGCATTTGGTCTCCAAACTTTCTAACATCTAAAATCCTTTTCCTGAGAGTCTGAAGTGATTCAAACATCAGGGATTGGAGAAAAGTAGGGAGTTTGAAGACAAATATAAAAGGTAAGATCACAGCTTTGGGAAACCACGAGTAACTTCAATTTTCTAATAACAAAAATATTAACTATTCTTTTACTACAAACATTATAGAAGTACTATACAACTCTTTCTTCTTCTTCTTCTTCTTTTTTTTTTTTTTTTTTTGCCAAATCCAGTTTTCTTTCTTATTTTAAAAATACTAACGTAATGGTTAAAAGCAATATTTTCTACAATGTGCTGAGAAGTTAGTAGAAGATATGGCTATGAGGTTACTGAAGGTATAGGACATAAGAAAAAGAAATTCCCCAAGGAAGCAAGGACTAAAAGTGATATGGTTTGTCTGTGTCCTCACCCAAATCTCATCTTGAATTGTAATTCCCATTGTCCCCATGTGTCATGGGAGGGACCTGGTGGGAGGTAATTGAATCAATGGGGCAGTTACCTCCATGCTGTTCTCGTGGTAGTGAGTGAGTTCTAATGAGATCTGATGGTTTTATGAGGGCCTTTCTCCCCTTTTGCTCACTATTCTCCTTGCTGCCACCATGTAAAGAAAGACATGTTTTATCAGAGACTAGGATTGCAACCCCTGCCTTTTTGTGTTTTCCATTTGCTTGGTAGATCTTCCTCCATCCTTTTATTTTGAGCCTATGTGTGTCTCTGCACGTGAGATGGGTTTCCTGAATACAGCACACTGATGGGTCTTGACTCTTTATCCAATTTGCCAGTCTGTGTCTTTTAATTGGAGCATTTAGTCCATTTACATTTAAAGTTAATATTGCTATGTGTGAATTTGATCCTGTCACTATGATGTTAGCTGGTTATTTTGCTCGTCAGTTGATGCAGTTTCTTCCTAGTCTCGATGGTCTTTACATTTTGGCATGATTTCGCAGTGGCTGGTACCGGTTGTGCCTTTCCATGTTTAGTGCTTCCTTCAGGAGCTCAACAAAGATCAAAAGAGCAAAGAAGGCCATTACATAATGGTAAAGGGATCAATTCAACAAGAAGAGCTAACTATCCTAAATATATATGCACCCAATACAGGAGCACCCAGATTCATAAAGCAAGTCCTGAGTGACCTACAAAGAGACTTAGACTCCCACACAATAATAATGGGAGACTTTAACACCCCACTGTCAACATTAGACAGATCAACGAGACAGAAAGTTAACAAGGATACCCAGGAATTGAACTCAGCTCTGCACCAAGCGGACCTAATAGACATCTACAGAACTCTCCACCCCAAATCAACAGAATGTACATTTTTTTCAGCACCACACCACACCTATTCCAAAATTGACCACATACTTGGAAGTAAAGCTCTCCTCAGCAAATGTAAAAGAACAGAAATTATAACAAACTGTCTCTCAGACCACAGTGCAATCAAACTAGAACTCAGGATTAAGAAACTCACTCAAAACCGCTCAACTACATGGAAACTGAACAACCTGCTCCTGAATGACTACTGGGTACATAACAAAACGAAGGCAGAAATAAAGATGTTCTTTGAAACCAACGAGAACAAAGACACAACATACCAGAATCTCTGGGACACATTCAAAGCAGTGTGTAGAGGGAAATTTATAGCACTAAATGCCCACAAGAGAAAGCAGGTAAGATCCAAAATTGACACCCTAACATCACAATTAAAAGAACTAGAAAAGCAAGAGCAAACACATTCAAAAGCTAGCAAAAGGCAAGAAATAACTAAAATCAGAGCAGAACTGAAGGAAATAGCGACAAAAAAAAACGCTTCAAAAAGTTCATAAATCCAGGAGCTGGTTTTTTGAAAGGATCAACAAAATAGATAGACCGCTAGCAAGACTAATAAAGAAAAAAAGAGAGAAGAATCAAATAGACGCAATAAAAAATGATAAAGGGGATATCACCACTGATCCCACAGAAATACAAACTACCATCAGAGAATACTACAAACACCTCTACGCAAATAAACTAGAAAATCTAGAAGAAATGGATAAATTCCTCGACACATACACTCTCCCAAGACTAAACCAGGAAGAAGTTGGACCTCTGAATAGACCAATAACAGGATCTGAAATTGTGGCAATAATCAATAGCTTACCAACCAAAAAGAGTCCAGGACCAGATGGATTCACAGCCGAATTCTACCAGAGGTACAAGGAGGAACTGGTACCATTTCTTCTGAAACTATTCCAATCAATAGAAAAAGAGGGAATCCTCCCTAACTCATTTTATGAGGCCAGCATCATCCTGATACCAAAGCCGGGCAGAGACACAACCAAAAAAGAGAATTTTAGACCAATAACCTTGATGAACATTGATGCAAAAATCCTCAATAAAATACTGGCAAACCAAATCAAGCAGCACATCAAAAAGCTTATCCACCATGATCAAGTGGGCTTCATCCCTGGGATGCAAGGCTGGTTCAATATATGCAAATCAATAAATGTAATCCAGCATATAAACAGAACCAAAGACAAAAACCACATGATTATCTCAATAGATGCAGAAAAGTCCTTTGACAAAATTCAACAACCCTTCATGCTAAAAAGTCTCAATAAATTAGGTATTGATGGGATGTATCTCAAAATAATAAGAGCTATCCATGACAAACCCACAGCCAATATCATACTGAATGGGCAAAAACTGGAAGCATTTCCTTTGAAAACTGGCACAAGACAGGGATGCCCTCTCTCACCACTCCTATTCAACATAGTGTTGGAAGTTCTGGCCAGGGCAATTAGGCAGGAGAAGGAAATAAAGGGTATTCAATTAGGAAAGAGGAAGTCAAATTGTCCCTGTTTGCAGACGACATGACTGTATATCTAGAAAACCCCATTGTCTCAGCCCAAAATCTCCTTAAGCTGATAAGCAACTTCAGCAAAGCCTCAGGATACAAAATCAATGTACAAAAATCACAAGCATTCGTATACACCAATAACAGACAAACAGAGAACCAAATCATGAGTGAACTCCCATTCACAATTGCTTCAAAGAGAATAAAATACTTAGGAATCCAACTCACAAGGGACGTGAAGGACCTCTTCAAGGAGAACTACAAACCACTGCTCAAGGAAATAAAAGAGGATACAAACAAATGGAAGAACATTCCATGCTCATGGGTAGGAAGAATCAATATCGTGAAAATGGCCATACTGCCCAAGGTAATTTACAGATTCAATGCCATCCCCATCAAGCTACCAATGACTTTCTTCACAGAATTGGAAAAAACTACTTTCAAGTTCATATGGAACCAAAAAAGAGCCCTCATTGCCAAGTCAATCCTAAGCCAAAAGAGCAAAGCTGGAGACATCATGCTACCTGACTTCAAACTATACTACAAGGCTACGGTAACCAAAACAGCATGGTACTGGTACCAAAACAGAGATATAGATCAATGGAACAAAACAGAGCCCTCAGAAATAACGCCACATATCTACAACTATCTGATCTTTGACAAACCTGAGAAAAACAAGCAATGGGGAAAGGATTCCCTATTTAATAAATGGTGCTGGGAAAACTGGCTAGCCATATGTAGAAAGCTGAAACTGGATCCCTTCCTTACACCTTATACAAAAATCAATTCAAGATGGATTAAAGACTTAAACGTTAGACCTAAAACCATAAAAACCCTAGAAGAAAACCTAGGCATTACCATTCAGGACATAGGCATGGGCAAGGACTTCATGTCTAAAACACCAAAAGCAATGGCAACAAAAGACAAAATTGACAAATGGGATCTAATTAAACTAAAGAGCTTCTGCACAGCAAAAGAAACTACCATCAGAGTGAACAGGCAACCTACAAAATGGGAGAAAATTTTCGCAACCTACTCATCTGACAAAGGGCTAATATCCAGAATCTACAATGAACTCAAACAAATTTACAAGAAAAAAACAAACAACCCCATCAAAAAGTGGGCAAAGGATATGAACAGACACTTCTCAAAAGAAGACATTTATGCAGCCAAAAGACACATGAAAAAATGCTCGCCATCACTGGCCATCAGAGAAATGCAAATCAAAACCACAATGAGATACCATCTCACACCAGTTAGAATGGCAATCATTAAAAAGTCAGGAAACAACAGGTGCTGGAGAGGATGTGGAGAAATAGGAACACTTTTACACTGTTGGTGGGACTGTAAACTAGTTCAACCATTGTGGAAGTCAGTGTGGCGATTCCTCAGGGATCTAGAACTAGAAATATCATTTGACCCAGCCATCCCACTACTGGGTATATACCCAAAGGACTATAAATCATGCTGCTATAAAGACACATGCACACGTATGTTTATTGCGGCACTCTTCACAATAGCAGAGACTTGGAGCCAACACAAATGTCCAACAATGATAGACTGGATTAAGAAAATGTGGCACATATACACCGTGGAATACTATGCAGCCATAAAAAATGATGAGTTCATGTCCTTTGTAGGGACATGGATGAAATTGGAAATCATCATTCTCAGTAAACTATCGCAAGGACAAAAAACCAAACACCGCATGTTCTCACTCATAGATGGGGATTGAACAATGAGAACACATGGACACAGGAAGGGGAACATCACACTCTGGGGACTGTTGTGGGGTTGGGGGAGGGGGGAGGGATAGCACTAGGAGATATACCTAATGCTAAATGACGAGTTAATGGGTGCAGCGCATGTACATATGTAACAAACCTGCACATTGTGCACATGTACCCTAAAACTTAAAGTATAATAATAATAAAAAATAAAAATAAAAAAATTAAAAAAAGACATGTTTGCTTCCCCTTCTGCCACAATTGTAAGTTTCCTGAGGCCTCCCCAGTCATGCTGAACCGTGAGTCAATTAAACCTTTCTCCTTTATAAACCACCCAGTCTTGAGTATGTCTTTATTAGCAATGTGAGAATGAACTAATATGAAAAGTAATTTTGGAAAAGTCAGAAGAGGAAAATGAATCTAGAATTAGTGAATTTTATTTTTTGCTTTTAGATTAGCCATCACATCTTTCTGAACTCAGCCCTTTTCTTAATTCTCATCTACTTGGGGCCTCCCTCTTTAGTGAGCTGTCTACGTGGACGTGTCTCAGACAGGCCCAAGCCTCAGTGTCTTGCTCTTTTTTGCATCCCTAGCATCTACTTTGCCAATGCCTGGCTCCAGAGGTGTCTCTGCATATGTTGCATAAATCAATAAATCACCCCTTTGCTTCTCCCAATCATAGTTTATATGTGCTCACAGATGCATATTTATAAAAAGTAACACTGTATAAACTCAACATATAGTAGGAAGGTGAGCTTGATGTTACATAATGAATACCAATGAAAACCAAATAATCATGATAGCAATACTTTTTGGATGATTCACATTGTCCCTTCTTCCTTTCTTCTGTCCCTCCCCTTCTGTCCTTCCTTCCTATGTATGTTGAGTATCTATTAAATGTAAGGTACTAAAATTACAGAATGTCAAAAGAAATCTTGGGGTAATCTAAGGTAACCCTGGTCTTATGGTGAAGTTCCTCTACCATATCCTTGACAAGAATCCTATCCCCTTGCCTGAGCAAGAGCAGTGAGGGAACCCATGATCCCTATAGGCCGTGCATTCTATGTACGGACCTGTGATTGTCAGGATGATTTTCCTTATTCTTTGGTGTAAATCTGAGCTCCTGTAACTTCTATCTTTTGGTCCTGCTTCTAACGTATAAATACAGAAAAATTCTAAGTTTCTACATAATGGTCCTTAAAATATCCGATGTCATGTATCATGTCCTTAATCTTCTCCTTTCTTAGACTAAACTTCAGTTTTTTTCATATTCTTTACATATCTGGACCTCTCTCCTGGACAACTGGGAGCTTAGGGCTCTGACACTGGCGGTGATGGGGGTTACCATATTCCAGAAACCTGAGCCAGACAGCGGGTGGGAGGTACCAGCTGTTCTCAGGCTGCACTTTGGGGACTACTCGATGAGGTGAGAGGCAATCAGAAGATTCACAGTCAGAAAACTGGACAGGCTGCTTTTTATTTTCTTTCTTTTTTTTTAGAGACAGGGTTTTGCTCTGTCGCCCAGGTTGAATTGCAGTGGCGCTATCATAGCTCACTGTAACCTCAGACTCCTGGCCTCAAGCCATCCTTGGTTCTCAGCCTCCCAAAGCACTGGAATGACAGGCAGGAGCCATCATGCCAGGCCCCAACCTGTATCAACAATTAATACCCACCTCCCTCATCTCTAGACCTGTGGCTTTGAAACTCAAGCTTGCATCAAAACCACCCAGAGGGAAATACAGATAGCTGGGCTCCACCGTCAGAATTTCTGATTCAGCAAGTCTGAGCTGAGGCCTGAGAATCTGCATTTATAACAAGTCCCCAGGCGATGTTGACTACTGCGCTAGATGTTGCAATGAGGGTGAGACTGCAAAAGATGAGAATAGAGGGCGCAAAATTAACATAGGATCAGGGCTGAGACTAGCGTGAGACAAGTTATGGGCCTGCCTGGGGCGCAAACTCTATGGAGTCTCTCACCCACTTGGCCATGCACGTGAGAGCCAGTGGCAACAACTCCTGTGCCCAGCAAGCTGCCAGCTGGAATAGTTTTCCACGCTGCAAGCTGCAGTGTGGCCAGGTGGTAGGTAGGATGTTGATCCTCAAAGCTTCAGCCCACATATGGACATATAAGAGAGTCCCTAGTTCCTTCACCATCCTGGTGACTGCTAGAAGTTGTTGCTACCCGTATGAAAGAGTTAAGTTGTCACAGTAAGGCTCTTCTGGTAATAAATGTCACAAACCACCTGCCAAATACTTCTGTGTAATTTTGGGCAGTGTTAAACAGCAGGGTTTTATTCTAACAAATATTTAAAATCTAAGAGTAGATTTTAAATATAATAAAGGTAGATTTTAAAATTCCATTCAAATCCTGCACATAGTAGAACTGAATTCCTTTTTTAAGAGGAAGTAAAATTACACAAAGTGCAGCAGTCTATAATAAGTAACGGGTGCGATCGGTGAACTATTATCATATCATTTCTATCCTCAAAGGCTTTCCTGTCTCCTAGGAGACAAGCATGTAAATAAGTGATTCTACATCACAGAGGGAAATAAGCAGAGGTCCAGAAACAGGGCTACCCACCAATCGCGTGGTGACAGAGGAGAGAGGGTCCTAAGGACAGATGAGGATGTTCTTGATTTTGTACTCCAAGTAAATGTATTTAAGAATGGTTACCCCAACCTCTGAGAAATCTGAAAGTGGCAGCTGGAAATGCCAGGTAAAGAGGGGTGGCAGGGAGACACAGAGCTGGCATTGCGGTCCACTAGCCCCAGGGGCCTGACCTTGTGCCTTCTTTTCCAGCTGCGGAGGCCCTCAGGAGGTCACTGCACCCCTAATAACCTCTCTCTTTAACATAAAAGAAATTTAGTCTCAAGTTTCTCAGGAACTTAATAGTATCATCCATCCATTCCACTCTCCAACTCCAGATAGAGCTTTAATAATCAAGACAAATACGTGTTAGTGATACTGGCTTTTTTGTTTGTTTGTTTTGTTCTGTTTTGTTTTGTTTTGGTGAGACGGAGTCTTGCTCTGTTGCCCAGGCTGAAGTGCAGTGGCACAATCTCGGCTCACTGCAGCCTCTGCCTCCCGGGTTCAAGCAATTCTTCTGCCTCAGCCTCCCGAGTAACTGGGATTACAGGTGTGCACCACCATGCTTGGCTAATTTTTGTATTTTTAGTAAAGACGAGGTTTTGCCTTGTTGACCAGGTTGGTCTTGAACTCCTGGCCTCAAGTGATCCGCCCACCTCGGCCTCCCAAAGTGCTGGGATTATAGGCATAAGCCACTGCGCCCGGCCATGATGGTGGCCTTTTTGAAGGCCCCCAGGAAAGAAGGATCACAGTGTCGCCTGTAAGCTGCTCATCAGCAGAGTGCGTCCACTGCCTCGCCTGACTGTTAGTCATTAGGTCCTACCTTTCTTTCTGGCCATTTCAGCCCACCACGTGTTATTACATGAGAGAAACGACAACCAGCTGGTTTTCTGGGAGTCTAAAATGTGCCCCTTCACGATGTGTTAGGTGCTGGGGATGTTGTATAACCCAGATTCTAGCAGATGAGGACAGAACCCGAAGTCCCTCCGTAGGGGAGGAAAGAACTTCCTGGCTCTTCACGTACTGTAAGTGCCCTGTTACAGAGGAGGACAGGGAGAAACTGAGACAGGGCCCTGACCTGCTCTGTTAAGTCTGTACCTCCTGTGGCAAGGAGGGCCTCTGTCACTGGGCAAGTAGACGGATAACTTGCTTACAAGGCAACATTAGAATCTAGACATGCTGTGCTTGGAATGAACTCTTTCCTATATTGATAACCTGGATCAATTTCCTTAGTTGGGAAGGAGGAGAGTGGGGTGTGACCTTATACGTGGTAACTCTCCCAGGGCAGACTCCAGTTTATTCATCTATAAAGTAAGTAACGTAGATAAAATATGTGTAAGGTCCCGTCTAGCTCTTCAGTTGTCTAAGTTCCGCTGGTTTTGCAGTGCTAAATGTAAAAGCTATCCTAGTTGTATTTTATTTAATTCATTAAGCAGCTCTGATTTCATTTTGTCTCTGTACAAGACAAATGGATGCTTTACATTCACAGCTCTGCTGTAGCCCCTTCTGCTAAAGGGTGTTCTGTCCACCTGATTTTGCATTCCAGGCTTGTCCCTCAACCTGAGCCTGTCCCTGCATGTCACAGGCTAATTTGTTCTAATTCCATTGAGTTCACAGCCCCGTGGATGCGTTTTCCTATTGGCAAGCTCAGGGCTGATTAATGGGCAGTTACAGCAGGGGACATGGCGGGTAGAGAGGGTCGGCAGAAGGGGATGGATGGATGTTACCTGGAGTATTTCACTAGATTCAAATGAGAAAGTATTAACCTCTTTACAGGAGAACACATGGCAACACTGAATTGACAGAGTTCAAACACCAAAGGGGCATTTGAGAACTGGAGCTGCCCGATGGCAAGAGGGCACTTGTATCAGAAGCTTCACTGCACAGGCCTACAATAAATGGTGCCTTGACATCAAATGAGTTGGTTGGCTAGTTCCTTCCCCATGAAATTGTTATTTTAAACCCCAAACTACCTGGCATAATTTCCAGTCTGCTGACTGAAAATCAGAATGGAGCATAACTATTTTCCTTGCAGAAAAAGGCTGCCCAGGGATGTACTGGAGATGATCAGGAGAGACATGCTTTTCTCCTTCAAACCTTTTGCCTGCTTTGTATTTCCAGTTTTCACAGCCCACCTTTTTCAGAGACCACACACAGAGACTACACTGATTGGAATCAAGTTTAAAGGCATGGCTTACATTCAGGTGAGTGAAAGAAAGACTGCCTTCAAGCTAAGGAGACCCTGCTGTGCAGTCCCCATTCTCCAAAACTTTATCTCTGAATCACCTTTTCTTGAACAGGGTCTAGTTTATTTTAATTTGTCCTTCAGAATAAGAAGTTTTTTTGACTGAAGATTCACTTGGATGAACTTTAACAGAGGCTGAATCAAACCCAAGTGTATGCTGTACTCTTGGGCTTCAGTTCACAATCTAGATATATACTGCAGTTAAGACAAGAAGGAAGAAAAGAAAAAGGGACATGTTAGTAGCAATTCAGTGACTCTTCTAGGCTTCACCATGGTCATCCCCATTTAGATACCAGTAAGTGGATCTCCTAGTCCAGAACTGCCAAAGTGATTTGTGCCCGAATGCAGAAGAATTGCATCCAATACTAATTGAGACAAATATGAAATTTGCAGCTACCATTTATTGAACATTATTATTGAGTATATTACCATGCATATTGCTGGTCACTTTACCAATATTATCTCATTTAATCCTCAGACCAGTTCTCTGAGGGAGCTATAATCCTCCCCATTTTCCAGGTAATCAAACAGAATCTGAGAAGGTTAAATGACTTTATTAAGGTCACATAAGTAGAAGGTAGTACAAGTGGAACAGAACCCAGCTCCATCTGACTCCAAAACTTGTGATCTTTCAATTCCCTCCCATGAACCTTGAGAACAGAGAATAGTTATTTCATTGTCAATTTCACCTTCCAGTATGGTTGGTATTTCACATTCAATTCTGATTGTAGCTATGCAGGGGCAAAATATACGGGTTCCTCCTCTTTATGAATAGAAAACCGGTCTAAGATTATTTTTGAACATTTGCCTTTAGTACCTTTTAAACACATGCATCAGTTTAATGTCAAAGCAGAAGCTTTATGTATTGGGCCATTGGCACCAATATGTTTAGATTATATGCAGGTCTGAGTCTGTTTTACTAGAACAGGGCCTCATTCTCTCAAATATATCCATCAACCATCCATCAGTGTAATGTACATCACTCATGGAAAGAACATGTTTCCATCAGACCTTTTTTTCACTCCATTTCTATTACTACATATGGCAATTACAATTTTAGGAATCAGAAGGCTATAAAGTGGATAATCTAAGAATGATTAATTTTATTCTGTTAGAAAGTTGTCATTTCTGCTCTTATGAATGGATAATAATAACCTCACCATTCCCCTCCTCCTTCTTTAGGATATAGGCTAAATATTGGTTTGCTAGGGCTCCCCTAACAAAATACCATAAATTGGGTGGCTTAAATAACAGACAGCTATTGTCTCAAGTCTGAAATGGAGGTGTTGGCAAGGCAGATTTCTGCTGAGGGATGTGAGGGATAATCTGTTCCATGCTTCTCTCCTAAGCTCCCTGTGGTTGGCTCGCAACCTTTGGCATCTCTTGGCTGGTGTATGCATTACCCCATCTCTGCCTGTGCTCACAGGCATTTTCCCTGCCTTCCTGGCTGTGTCCAAATTTCCCCTTTTTATAATGACACCAGCTATATTGGATTAGATGCCCATCCTACTTCCTCATATGACCTCACCTTAAGTAACTGCATCTGCAACAACCTATTTCCTAGTAAGATTACATGCTAAGTACCGGGGGCTACTTCAAAATGGGCATTTGGGGAAGGGGATGCAGTTCATCCCAGATCAGGCTAGGCCCTTTTAAAATTCAGTGCATAATGGCGATCAATAGAAACCTTTATTAATAGCCCAGGATTTAACTAAACAAACCCCTTTGCCTTCATGCACTCCAAGTGCTTTTTCTCGTCCCAACATCATTCTCTCCATGATGAGTTCAGGGCCCCCAAAGGTCCTCTAAAGCATGCTGGCAAAGCATCTGTAGGAGATGAAAGGCTAGGTACACATGTAAATGCCACCTCTCTTCTTGTCACTGTGGAGGAGACTCTAATGTCGAGGAATTGATACTCAACTCTCCACAGTAGCACCTCTTTCATTACTAAGTCCCTAGAACTTCATTGAGCTGGTCCACCCTTTCCCCCCAGCCTCCCCATGAAAAGCAGAGTAAGGTATTGTCCTATATATGTCTTAAAGCTGAAAATGCACAAAGCGTGAATACTCTAAAACCCGGAGTACATTCATCTGGAAAATCTGTCCTTAACAGCTGTGGGATGTGGACAAAGAGTTTAGCATATTTGAGGATCCAGGTTATTCCAAATGACCTAATGAGAGGGCACTGGAGATTTAGGTTTGGGTGGTGGATAACTCTTCAGCTCTAAACCTATGCCTCCAACTGCCTACCTGTCTCTCCATTCACATGCCTTGATCAAACTGGAAGTCATGGATTGTCCCTTGTCTCTGCCAAACACCTTGTGGTATTCCTTCTGCACAGCACCTGTCGCTTCCAAAGGTCAGTGAGTCATGTCCCCATCCGCGTAGTTACTCAAGCTGGTAACTATTGTCATTTACTCTAGCCATTCCCTTACATCTAACAACAACTCTCACCATGCCCTGTTCTATTTCCCTTTTAATGTCTTCTGACCTGTTTTTACGTCTCTCCATTCTCTTGACTCCTGCGTAAGCTCAGACCTCAGCATCTCTCCCATGGAGAATGCAGCAGCCTCCAAACTGGGCTTCCTATACACAGTGCCCTCCCCAGGCCCTGCTTATCTCTGCTTTTACATCATCAAATACAGGACAAGAGTGCCATTGCCTTTTGACTGCAAATCCTCTGTGTCTACTTCTGTCTTCAGTATAAAGTTCAAACATCTCAGCGGGGCAGAAAAGGCCCACCCCTGTCTGGCCATAACTTCCTTTCTAACCTGATCTCCTTTGTGTGATCCTTTGTTAGGAAACAGATCATGCACTTTCATACCTCCATGGAGCTTCCCCTGCCTGGAATTCCTTTCCCTTTCTCTCCTATAAAATGCCAATTTATGTCTTCAGACCAAGTGGAAACTACTACTTACTGGAAAGACTTTCCTAATGATCCCTGGGCATAATTATTTCCATTCTCTCTGTGCAGTTTCTTATGTATCCTTTATTCTTGCTCATAATAGAATTAAAGTGTAATTCTTTATCAGCCTTCCCTCCTAGGTTGTTTATTCCTTTGGGGCAGGGATTTTTTCTTATTGATTTTTCAATTCTTAGACCTTGTCTGAAATATGGTAGGTACTTAATACATTCTTAATGAATGAATGAAGTTAAGCTCATCATTTCTTTCACATTAGGAGATTTTTCTCCCCTTTGTTTTCAGAATGCTATTCTAGGTGAGGAATAAGGTGGGGGAAACCTGTCCTTATTAAATATCAAGTCTTATACAAGTATATAAAGGTGATACAGAAATTGTCAATTAGAACGATGAAATAGAATAGATATCCCAGAAATAGACACAACTACAAACTTGAGTTATGACATTTTTGCCACTGAAACCAGTAGAGGAAAAATGGACTTTTCAGTAAACGGTGCAGGGGCAGCTGGTTATCCGTATGAGAAAAGGATGAAATTGGATGCTTATCTCTCACCATATACAATATTTAATTGCAGGTGAATTAAAGAATCACAACTATTAGTATGAGACTTTTAAAAGACCATACAGGAAAACATCTTTATGATCAGAAGATCAAGAGAGATTTGTTAAACAGGAAGTGAAAGGCAAAAAACCTAAAGGAAAAAAATGCTATATTAAAATTAAGAAAGTCTGTTCATGGAATGACAGAATAAAGAAAGGAAAAAGACAAACCATAAATTTGAGAAATATATTTATAACACATTCAACTAGAATTTTAACTGGAATTCTATTTAGCACACCACTTTCAAAGATGAGCAGACAGAAAAAGATATTTAGGCTTTGAGGAAAGCATTATGTGTGAAAGACAATGATCAACACAACAAAAAGAAAAATGAAACAACTTAGAACATGCAGAGAATATGCTAGAAAAAAACTTAAAAAATATAATATCTTTAGAAGCATGTAGAGCTGCATCTGTTAAATAAAAACAGGATGCTATAACAAACAAATACTCCAAGAAAAGAAGGAGCTCTTGGAAAAAGTAAAGGCTTTTATGGCACAAATGAAAAGCTCAGTTGAAGGATAAGAAGATTAAGTTGAAAAAGTCTCCCAGAAAATAGAAAAAAAATGACAAAGGGATGGAAATTAGGAAAGAAAAATACTAAGAAAATGCAGGAATTATACTAGGAGGCCCAACGTAAGCAGATCAGAGAAACCAAACCGAAGAAAAATATTTATGAAATAGTGGAAGGAAAATTCTTCAGAACTGAACAACATGATTTTCCAGGTTGAAAGGCTCACCAAATACCCAGTGGTATGGGTGAAAATAGCCCCTTTTTGAATGGCACATTGTCAGAAATTTCAGATCATCTGCAACAAAGATCTACAAACTTACAGAGAAGAAAATACAATTTCATACAGAGAATCAAAACACAGAAATATTGGACTTTTCAATAGCAAGACTGGAAGTAGATGTTTTCTAAATTCCCAAGGGAAAGAATTTTCGACCTACAATCCTACAACCAGCCAATAAAGTCACATTTAGACATTCACATATCAAAAATTTAATCATCTATCATCCTTTCCTACAAAGCTACTGGCACATGTGTTTCAGAAAGACGAGGTTGTAAAACAAGAGAAAGAAAAACCTGGAACCCAGGAAACAGGATATCCAATGCAGCAAAAACACAAAGGGAGTCCCTAGAGTGACTGTGAAGGGAGATTTTAATGACAGCTGTTGACCATTGATAGGGTTTGGCTGTGTCACCATGCAAATCTCATCTTGAATTGTAGCTCCCATAATTTCCATGTGTTTTGAACGGGACCCCATGGGAGGCAACTGAATCATGGGAGCAGTTTCCCCCATACTGTTCTCGTGGTAGTAAATTGGTCTCACAAGAGCTGGTGGTTTTATAAAGGGAAACCCCTTTCACTTAGCTCTCATTCTCTCTTGACTGCCGCCATGTAAGACGTACCTTTCACCTTCTGTCATGATTGTGAGGCCTCCCCAGCCACGTGGAACTGTGAGCCTATTAAGCCTCTTTTCCTTTATAGATGACCCAGTTTTGGGTGTGTCTTTATTAGCAGCAAGAAAACAGACTAATACAGCCATCCCGATTGGAACAGGTCAGAAGATTTCTTCAACATGGTAAAGATAATAGACTACTTAATAGGCTTGAACATTGTGAAAGGAGATTTACACAATTGGGGGACATTTGGGAATTAAATTCATGATGGTCATATAGAAAAATAAATGAATCAAACAAAAGTTAATTGTTAATTTTAGGGAAAGCCCAACATTGCACAGAAAAAAAAGTAATTGTAGTATCATGTTGTACCACATGGCTAGGCTGTGAATAGTGTTCATATGGTCATAATTATGTAAACTCCAGCTAATGATCTACCCAAAATATGATCTAACCCTGCTGAGAGGAGGGGGAAGGTGGGAAATGTATGAAGAGTGAAATTCTCATATTCCAAAGACAGAAGAAAATAGGTATTTTCTAAATCTGAAAAAAACCAATTAGTAACAAAATAGGCATACAATGTAAAGATATTTAGGTAAGCATTTTAAAAAATCCGTTGAGAAAGTTGAATGCAATTGCCTCCAGGGAGCAGAAAATTGTGGTGAGTGTTGGGTAGAAACTGATGTTTTTTATGTCAAGACGGGATGCTATTAGCTACTTTATGTGTTTGTGAAACTTGGATAAAATAACAACTAAGTTAAAAAATAAGTAACAAAAGAATATACACAGTATTACATATTTTATAAAGTATAAAGCCAAACAGTATATTGTTTAGCGACACATACATAGGTGCATGGGAAACCATAAAGGTAATGAAAAAATGAATGACAAAGTGGATGGAAATTTTTTTAAAAACATACAAACCAACAACAACAGGATATAGCAATTAGCTGGGGCAGAGGGATAAGAATGGAGAGGGAACTCTCAGAAAATCGCAACAGTGTGGGTAATGTTCTGCTTCTTAAGTGGAGTAATGGGTTCATTTTTTTTTTATAATTCTGCTTTGTAATTTGAGCATATATAAATTTATATATACTATATATAAAATGTATATGTATCGAACATTTTATGAAAACAAAAGATGTTGTCTTTATAAAATGCATTAATGAAAACCTATAGAATATTGATCGTCTTTTAATCTATAGCTTGATTTCAACTTTTAGCAGTAAATTTAGAAAGTTCACAGAGATGATCATTATGTGTAATGAGCATCAGGACTTATTATAGGTCAATTGACATCAAGAACTTAATGATATGGGGATTTTCCATATTGCAGTTAAAACTATTTAACAAAAAAAGAATTCTCAACTTTTCTTCCTTTGAACTACTAGAGAATTATTGATGTTTATGGTCTTCGTCTTTATTTGGGTTCTACTTGAGATTAATTGTGGCCTGCCCCACACTTTACCTAACTGCTTTTTATGTTAACCTAAGCTACCCCAATACCCATTAGCACTGAGTGCCATTAGCAGTGATATTACCTCCTTGACTACTCATGCTGAACTCACGTGTAATAACAATGAGGTAGGCTATTAGGAAGAATTCGTCTTACACAGCACGACTGAAAAACACTTCTAAGTCTTCCCCAAGTGATATAAAATGCACCAAAAGTTATAACAAGAGAACATCCAATCTCCATAAATGGCTCTATTTGTCAGTAGCTTTATTTTCAATACCAATTGTTGGAAAGTAATGTACTTCTATCCACGTTTCAAACTGTACTTACTGGTAACTAATTTGCACAGCCTGAGAGATATTTATTTGGGATGACATTGAACTGAGCTTTCAATATTTCTGATCTCCATCTTCTCTTTGGATAGGCCATCTCTGACAGAGCAAGAGTCAAAAAATATGTATTTGAAATCTGCTGATTGTCATTTGGTTGCAGTGCTTTATTTGGAAAAACTACTTCCAGGAACTGTGTTGGGATGCCAAAGCTGACTAGACTGCACCTTTGCCTTTAACATTACAGATTTTAAAAAAAGTTAAAAAAACAAAAAACCCTCATTTTTTTCAAGCAATATCCCATATACTTACAGTCCAACTGATATTTATTGACTATCTCTGACATGAATAGCTCTAATAAGTTATTTTCCTATTCGATGACACAAAGGGATGAAACAACCAAAACAGCTGTCAGATTAAGAATGCTGTTGTCACCATCAATTAAATCCCTTTGCTAGATAGCTCTGACCACGCACCTGTTTCCTTTCCTTTTCCTTTTTTTTTTTTAAATGGAGAGCTACTCTCCCCCCCTTCCCCTTCTCCTTGTATTGAAAGAAAGGCAGGAGGGGAAAGGGACGATAATTTAGCTGAAGGTCAACTAGGGCACCTGCTAATGGCTCCCTCTCCTCCCATCACTGATTGCCTGAAAATAGGAAATCAGCCCAAATCTATTGTTGTGATCAGGGAGCAAAAGCTGTAATGCTGGTGAGTGAGCACGTGCTTCTTCCTGCCTCTTTTTCCTTCGAAGAAAAATGATTACTACATTTAACTGACACACTGTAGAGCAAATCCCTTCTTTAGAGCTCATCAGTCTGAAGGGTGATGGGGATGCGGCCCAGAAGAACTGGTCTCCCCTGATGAAAACACCTGCTGCCAGAGCCGCCCACCGCCTCTTTCCTCTCGCTTCCCTCACGTTTCCATGGTTCAAGGTGATCCTTAAAACCATGGATGAAGTGTGAGGCTTGCAATGTGTCAGCACCTAAAAGTGGGTACGCTAGGGTATCCTGGATTTTCCTGTGTTTGGGAGAATAATCAGCGATGACTCAGTTCTAAGAGCAGGCCAGACCCATGATGGGGAGAGAAAAAGCAACTGTGAGAAGCTGATGGTGTCCCAGCCTGCATCCAGTCTGACCCTTGTCTGTCCTTCCAGACAGGATATGAGCAAAGTTACCTAGCAGCACCAGCGGGAACTGAGCCAATGAAAACCCCCTGCCCTGCTGCATTCTAATTTCACAGGTGCCCCCGCCTTCCGGGCACAACAGGAAATGAGTCAAGGCAATGATGATAATGAGAGGAAGAAAAAAAGTGCTTCCTCTGTACAAAATGCTTACACACAGGTAATCTCATCTTTTAATTGACTTCTTCCTCAATGCAAAGCAGGTTATTGTCCTTATCTTTAAGAATGAAGACATAGATTTTCTGAGAGAGGTGAAGGTGATGTATGAGGTCACATGAAGGTCACAGCTAGGAGCTGACTCAGCTCATGACACCTCTCGGAAGACGGGGAAATTTCCAACTGAACTTTTTGTAGTTAATACTTGAAAACTTTTGCCTCTCATGAGACTAGGTTTTTTTGAATATTATTTTAAAATGTTTTATTTCCTGACAGTATACAATCTTTATGGTAGGTAATATATTCTTAGAGATGCCAAGAAAAAAAAATTATTATCACCATCTACAAACCACTGTGAATTTTTGTGCTTCCATGGGATACTAAGAGTCAAAGACTTTTTATATTTTTAAATCTATCATTTACCTTTTAGCAAGTATCTGGTTAGTAACTTGGCATAATGTTTTACTCTCTTCATTTTTTTTTTTTAAGAGACAGTCTTGCTCTCTCACTCTGATGGGAGTTCAGTGGCACTATCATAGCTCACTGCAGCCTCGAACTCCTGGGCTCAAGCAATTCCTCCTACTTCAGCCTCCTGAGTGGCGGGGACTACAGTAGTGCGCCACCAGGCTAATTGTTTTATTTTTTGGAGATACAGCATCTCTCTATGTTGCCCAGGCTGGTCTCGAACTCCTGGCCTCAAGCAATCCTCCTGCCTCAGCCTACCAAAGTGTTGGGATTACAGGTGTGAACCACCGTACCCAATCTCTTTTTCATTTATTAAATGAAATTAATCAAATTTACCTGATTTGAAAATTTGAAAACAATAAACTGCTAAGCATACCTGTATTTTGGCTTTAGTTTAAAAAGTGAAAGATGGCAAATGTTTCTTCAATTAAAAATGCAGTCACAATATAAGCATAAAATAACTCATATAACATATTAGGACTACCCAGGAAACAACATATGCAATAAAAAAAATAGTGACAAATATAGAAATACTGAATTTGTAAGGTCATTCAACTTTTTGTACTCCAGCAGCAACAGATTATGAACTGGTTTTATTAAGCACTGTAGCCCCAATAATTAATTTAAAGGTTGCAGCTAGCACAGTGTCTGGCCCAAATAAAGTATTGAGTTAATATATGTTCCCTGATTAGCTTGCTTCAACTGCTTCACAAAGTTTACTTACATTGAAAAATCATGTTGTACCTAATAAATACATCGAATTTTTATGTCAACTATACCTTTTAAAGTATTATACATATATAGTCTCTAAATAATAACTAAATGAGCTGGTGTTATAATGAATCTGTTTCATGATTTTGAATTATTTTACAATAACGGTAACGGAATTCTTAAAGTCTTTAGCAAAATAAACATACGTTCATTCTGTACCTATTTTTGGATCTATAAATCATGAAGTAAAAAGTATTCAGGCCACTCAAATGACATATAATTGGACATAAAGCCTGTGGTAGCATGATTTTAATTTTAGGAGAAATTAGTCTCTCTGTAGACTTTATTCTTATGAAACACTCTCCTATTTCGTTTTTCCTTTTCTTCTATTCCTCCCAGTCGCTGCTCTTAGACATCATCAATGTGCTTGTGTGTATAAAAGGCCGTGGCTCCATTGCGCCCCCTGGTGTGAAGTGTTTGTTCCACCAGAACTCCGAATGTCCAGAATTCCATCTCCATTTTGCTTTGAAACATTGAGTTGACTATTAATATGACCATATTAATGTGATCAAAATAAAAAAGCAACAAAACAAAATTGAGAGAGGACCCTAACCTCTGAGCTCCATCTTCCACCACCAAGTCAATTTTAGTCCATTCACAAGGCTTCAAAAGATTTTAAAAAATACACTGTGTAATGATTCAGGCCTCTATATAGGTGGTAAATGGCAAAGTGCCCATCATCACTTTTTTCTGGACTCATAACTAAGTTATACTATCTCAGGCCCTAGCACAGAATCAAACATAATCTCACATTAGACCCACTCAGTACAATTTTATGAGACATTCTTTCTTGCAGACACCAAGCCAGCCCACAAATATCACAAACTGTGTAAAATACATTCATTTTTATTCTGATGTGATATTCCATATTATGGACTATTTTGTTACTTTAGATTTGTTGCTCTCAGTGGTGATATTATCCAGTTGATGATTTGATTTTCTTTTTGTTCTCATAGCCCCAGATGGACTACAAATACAATATAATCAGTCCCTAACATACGAGTGAGCAGTGTTCCTAAAGTGTATATATAACTTAGTCATTTGGAACTCAAAATACATTTTCCCACAGAAAAAAATTTAAAATATGATAATTCGTTTCCAAGGGTAACCCCTAAAATCAATTTAACCCAGATTGAATTGGAAATATTTTACTAACAGTACCATTTCTACTAAAGTTGGCCAACCATTTATAAAATTATTTGTCCAGGAAAATGAATTCTGAGGTTTACCTTAGGACTACCAGAAACACTCCTCTCTTTCAGAGAAGTAGAAAGACCATCTGGCTTCTGACTGGGGGGCTGCAGGGGGTCTGGCTGGAGTGACCACGCAGATACTCTTTAAGGGCTGGCATGTGCATGGGTGAGGAGAAAAAGGCAGAATTCATACCATTTCCCCAAATCACTACCCGGCCTCTGTCCTACTGTATGGGAAGAACGCTCAGTATTAGATGATTTCGCATTTAGGAGCACGTAAATCCTTCAGCTGAAAGATGCCACGGCATCTACTGTGCTTTCAGGGACTCTCCCCAGACACACAGTGAGAAAGGGATTATGAAATGTAGGAGAAAGCACGCACCCACTCACTTATCAGCACACTCAGTGATCCCTGTGATATTACAGCTACTCTGACAGGTGCTGGGGATACAGAGGATAGAGATGGATAAGGAACTGTCCCTGTCCAACGGGCTCACATTCTAAGCAGGAGTGACAGATATCTATCTAAAGGGTGGTCTGCAAGCATAATAGAAAACACAAGCAAGCATTGTGTTGTAACTTCAGGGGGCTTACATGATAGCTGGGGATACATAATCAACAACCAAAAATTAAATCGGAATAAAGAACATAATATTTCAGATGTCACAAAGGAAACTAGAAGCAAGAGGTGAGGGAATAGTGTACCCTGTTCCTTGACCATAGAACCCCCCTTTTCCCATGGAATATCTTACATCACTCAGAACATAACTGTGACATGAAAGAAAACTCAAGGATATTTGAGTGTGGAAAATAAGTAGTATAAATCCAAGAGAGGGAGAAACTTTTAATTAAGCCATGCTAGGTTAACCCCTGTGCTTATCTTTGCTTCTGTCCAAATTTCTCTAAAAAGGTAATAAAGATAACAAAAATAATGGAAGTACACAAGGGATAAGAGAGAATGAGAGAGCAGACAAGGTGATTAAATTCTGAAACATGGACAGCTGAACGCAGGGAGTAACAGACAGAGCAGAGAGAAGAAACCCAAAACTCAAGGCTGGTAGTGGAGTGTCAACAAGAAATTATGTGTTTTGCACCAAAGAACTCCAGCATGTCCTAGGAATTGGAAGCCACAGGTGCCCGGAGTTGAAATGGAACTCGCTGAATTGGTGCAGTTGAACCCTCCATCCTCCTTCCCCAGCCAGTCCCTTCAGCTCCCAGGGGAAGCAGGTTTACTTGCTGGAGAGGAGGAATCACAGAGGCTGTGGAAATGGGAAGGAGACAGGTCATGCAAACACAGGAGTTGGGAGAAGGTATGTCCTTCCCACCTCTGTGCCCCATTTGCATCTCAGAACATTGTCTGACAACTACTAATCTGAGTTGATAACCTCTATTCAGGGGAGGTTAGAGTGTTTTACTCAGGGGCAATGGATCAGCAAGGGGATGGGGGGGATTAATACTTGGGGTCTTCCAAAGCAATGTCTAGGTCCACTGGTAAGACATGAAGTTCATTTGTGCACAAAGAGCATCTGATCAGAATTTTAACACTTCTCTCTTAGACACAAATGGGCTATTAAGGTCATGGGACTTGTGAGAAAACTCCAAAACATTAGATGGAACTCAGAGGAAACAGATTAATTCAGAGAGCAGAAAAAAATTTCCTAAAGGATTATCGTTAGTGTCCTTACGAAGTTATAAGAGGAAAGCATTCATTAACAAAAAGGAGAAAGAAACAAAAAGCACACAACAATAAGAAAGAGCTCTTAGAAATTTCAAAAGAAGAGAAGAAACTAGAAGAATTGTAATGATTCCAATACACACAAAAAGACAAACGTTTAAGGTAATGGATAAACTGGTTATCCTGATTTGATCATTATACATTGTACCCAAGTATCAAAATATCAGACACCCACAAAATATGTACAATTGTAACATATCAATTAAGTTTTTTAAAAAGAAATGAAAACACTAATAATAATAAAAAAATTTAAAACTTTAATAGAAAAGCTGGATGACAAAGTTTAGTATATGTTCTAGAAAGTAAAACAAAAAAGTCACGCTGGGCGCTTTGGCTCATGCCTGTAATCCCAGCACTTAGGGAGGCCGAGGTGGGTGGATCACCTGAGGTCAGGAGTTCAAGACCAGCCTGGCCAACATGGTGAAACCCCGTCTCTACTAAAAATACAAAAATTAGCCAGGCATGGTGGCAGGTGCTTGTAATCCTAGCTACTCAGGAGGCTGAGGCAGGGGAATAGCTTGAACCTGGGAGGTGGAGGTTGCAGTGAACCAAGATTGCACCATTGCACTGCACTCCAGCCTGGGTGACAGAGCAAGACTCCAAAAAAAAAAAAAAAAAAAAAAAAGCCGAAAAGATGAAAAATAGGGGAGAAGAGAAGAGATGAGAAAACTAGAATACCATAGATGAGATATGATCATATATCTAACTAACAGGAGTTTCAAAAAGCCAGATAAAGAAGAGAGAAGAAACTTACGAGGAACAGGAATTTATAGATTGAATGAGCCCACACAAGAGTAGCACAATAAATAAGAAAAATTCATACCAAGGCATATTGTTGTGAAATTTTACGGTTTACAGAGAACTTCTTTAAATGTTTTTTCTTGGGGCAGGGAACACTAAATCACATACAAGAAATTGGGTATCAAAATATCTTTGAACAATAGTACCACTAGGAAGCTTGAAAATAGTGCAAAGATTTCAGTGATTCTAAGAGAAAATGATGTGCCATCTAGAATATAATATTGATCTAACTAACAAATGCAGTACTCAAAACAATCATATTCAGGCAGAATAGTAATAGTAACACAAAAATTTGCCCCTGTTGTATTTATTCTCAGGACGTTGCTGGTGAGTGTGCACCACCAAAATGAAAGAGCAAGTCACATGACAGAAAGAGATGGAATCAGGGAAACAGGAAATCCCATATGGGAGCAAAGGGAAGGGAGTTCCCTGAATGATGGTGATAGTAGCTTCCAGAACATATATTGTTTGTAGGGTGCAGCAAAAGAGCAAGGGTTTTAGAAGGAATGCTTCCACAAACAAAAAGGGAAGTTATTTTATTATCTGATGGTTTGACAACATTAGGAAAAATTTGTATAGTTCTTTTAGAAAAGTTAGGGCTGAATTCATGATGAATAAAAAGAAAAGGAAGCAAACAAACATGCAAAGAGACCAAGGAAATGATTAACTCCAGAGAAAACAAAACCTTGAGCAAGAAAAAAAAAAAAAAGAAAATGATAGTAAACTACATGACTCAGCTGTGAACAGTACTTACATAATTATAAGCAATATAGCATTGATATAAATATAAACTGTAATTAAGTTTCATTTGAAGTATGGTGGAAAGTAGTGTGTGTGTGAGGATGGGGCAAGAAGGGTGAGATTGGGTAAGAAGGAAGTCAATAATGCATATAATTTAAAAATAAATATACATTGGCCGGGCGTGGTGGCTCATGCCTGTAATACCAGCACTTTGGGAGGCCGAGGCGGGTGAATCACTTGAGGTCAGGAATTTGAGACCAGCCTGGCCAACATGGTCAAACCCCATCTCTACTAAAAATACAAAAAAAATTAGCTGGGCATGGTGACAGGTGCCTGTAATCCCAGCTACTTGGGAGGCTGAGGCAGGAGAATCACTGGAACCTGAAAGGTGGAGGTTGCAGTGAGCCAAGATTGTGACACTGCACTCCAACCTGGGTGACAAGAGTAAGACTGTGTCTCAAAAAAAAAAAAAAAAAGTAAATAAATATACATCCAGTTAAGCATGTAATGTACTGATATGGGGGTAAATACTAAAGGACTTGAAAGTGATTGTCTCTGTAGAGTGGGAAATTAGGAGCAAGGAGATGGGAGAGAATACTTGTTTTTCTTTATCAAGCTTGCTGTACTATTAACCTGTTAAAACTATCTATATGCATTGCTTTGTTAAATACAAGAACTCAATGAAAAACAATGTTAGCAATGTGGAAAAGGCATATGGTATAAAATTGTATCCATCTTATGAATATTCACTAAATAAAAGAACATTTAAATATAAAAAAGTTGGTTATAAACTGTAGTGGCATTTAAAATGGGCATTTTGGTGCCTTCGGTAAGGATCTGCCACTTTGAACTACTGCAAATTAAATAGCCTTTTTTTTTTTTTTTTTTTTTGAGATGTAGTCTCACTCTGTCGCCCAGGCTAGAGTGCAGTGATGCAATCTTGGCTCACTGCAACCTCTGACTCGTGGGTTCCAGTGATTCTTGAGCCTCAGACTCCCAAGTAGCTGGGATTACAGGCGTGCCCCACCACACCCAGCTAATTTTTGTATTTTTAGTAGAGACAGGATTTCACCATGTTGGCCAGGCTAGTCTCGAATGCCTGACCTCAAGGGATCTGCCTGCCTCAGCCTCCCGAAGTGCTGGGATTACAGACATGAGCCACTGCACTGGGCCAACAAGCCACTTTGAAGAATGGTTTACCACATCACACTTTGATTATCAAATGTCGGCAAAAGAATCACATCATGTTCCTATTTTATTTAACAGTTCATGAAATAAAAGCTCAATGTTATGAATTTTTAAAAGCAGGATAATATAATTTGTCTTTTTGTCAATTTTGAGTAAAGTAAGTAAAATCTTAAAAATTCTCCACTACACATGAATTAATTCAATAATAGAAGAAAATAAAATAATTAAAATAAAGTAAAATAGACATTTTTACTGCTTTTATTTCAAATGTTTTGATGCCACTGCTTTTCTTATTGTATTTCCAGAAATGCAAGTAGCTCCATTTAGCACTTGGCTGATCCATACTATATATTTTATTTCAAAGACTAGAAAAAGGAGGCCTAGAAAAGTTAATGGTCAAAGGTCTCCCAGTAGCATGGATGAGATGTAGAACAACATGGCTTCCTGGACAAGAACAGAACAACATTTCTAAACTTTAAACTCAACGAGAAAAACATAGTTGTCTCTGTTCAAACATGGATTAACTGCACTTTCAGGCAAAAACTCAGTTGAGCCACTTCAATTACACTTGACAAAAGGTTCAGTTTTCCAAAAATGAAATAGCAATATGTTTTTTTTTTCCATTATGAAACTACAATTTTCAATACAGCAGAGAAGTTTATTTTGGATCAGAAAGAAAAAAGGAAAAAAACAGCCATGAAATTTCTAAGAAGGTGAGAAAACTTCAGAGGCCACAGTTTCAAATAATGACAGTGGAAATAACTTCAGTAGTTAAAGAAAATATTTATATAGGAGACTAAAGCGTTACACCATGGAGAACTCTCCTAACCCCTTCTATATGGACATTTTGTCTCACATCCATGTGCTAAACCTAAAAGACCCTTTCTGGAATGTTCTTCATCCCCAGCCAGGCCTGTCTAGTCTGCTTTCCCTTTAGAGCTCAGCTTCAGACCACCCTTCTTATCAAATCCTCTCTACTTTCTGCCTTTATCTGTTTTTCATCTTTCTAGTTCCTTTTTACTGGTGATACATACAAAGGGTAGCACTTAATTTTTCAAGCCTAGTTTCCTTTGTGCTAGTTTGGGCTCCACTGCCAGAAAATAAAACCTTTGAAGGCAGGAATTATTTCTTACACCTCTTTGTATCTTCAGAGGACCGGCCCCACAGGAAGCTCTGAGAGCCCTGACTCCTGAGCTATCTTTATCACCAGCTCTTCCTGGAGACTTCAGAAGGCTTCCACTTCCTTTACTTATTGAAGCAAAGCACTCTGATGAGCTTTCCTTCTTAGGTGCTTAGTACAGAAAGAGGTTTATTTTTCCCTCTCTTTCTCCCACAGTAGCATAATGATGCAACATGGATTAAAACCACTTGGGTTCAAATACCAGACTCACCACTTCTTAGCTGCGTGATCATTGACAAATTATTTAATCTCTCCCAGCCTCAGTTTCACCATTTATAAATTGGAAATAGTAGTATCTATTTCATAGTTTTATTGTGAGGAATAAGTGAGAAAATATCTGTAAATACTTCTTACGATGGCTGGCATGCAGTAAGAATTCATTACCTCCTACTTGTTGCAATTCTGTAAAAAGTCTGGGCCTCTTATATCTAAGATGCTTCTTTATGGAGCATGGTGTGTAGTGCACTGTACCAGGCCGAGCAGCTGGGCAGCAGTTCTGCTCCGTGATGGAGCCCCTGCTTGGTAACCCCACTCAACACCAGCAGAGATGCCTGCAGTGTTATTGGCCCCTGTAGAATCTGCTCACAGCTGCTGGCAAGGGTGGAAATACATAAGAATCCTGGATGAAAGTGACCTTCAGAAGGGGAGATGAGCACATGGAGCTCAGTTTGATGGTGAGAGACTGTATATGCAAATGGACAATGGCCACAGTCTGCAGCAACCAGCCCAGGAAACCAATCTATTGTCTAGAGCAGCGAGGCCAGAAAGCCAGCCTGCTCTCTGCAGGTCAGACTCATGGGAAATCAGACCACTATCTCTAGTAACAATTCAGCAACCCAAACAATAACTCCTCTAACAATCTGCCCCAAATGGCCAGGATTTCATTAGTAACTGACAGCTTCCTTAATTTTGGTCACTGCCTACAACTTAGGACTAACTAGAGAAAGCCTTGACCAGCCACACAGGATGTCCTGCTTCTAGGTATAGAATCTGCCTCCAGATTCCCCATGCCAAAACCCTCCAATCAGACCATACTTGAAACCTTCTCTTTTTTCCACCGTAAAGCCCTCCCACTCCTCTGCCTGCCTGTGAGCCTTGCCAAATGCAAGTGACACAGTGCCTGACTCCCTTGCTATAGCAAGCTCTGAATAAATAGCCTTTGCTTGTTCTCATTTGGTTGGTCTTCTTTTATTTCCACCAGGGGCTTATTTAAAACAAAGGCTCAAATGTCCCGTCACCAGGTCTCAATCTGAACCAACTTCCAGATTATAGATGAACGTAGTCTTCACTGTGCTACCTGCTCTGAATATATCCATGCAGTTTCATTCAATTTTTCTGGAGGAGACCGATCAGCAATTTTCATAAGATAAGTAACACTATCTGTCTCAGTTGTAAGACCTCAAAAGTGCTGTGTCTGTTGGATCATTCACCAACTGTTTTACATTTCTGAATCAGAAAGTATGACACTGATAGTTCATTTTCCATGTAATTCTAACGCAGGCTTAAATAACAATTTCTTGACAAAAGCAGTCTGATTTTAGAATTGATGAAAAATTGCTTCTTCTTTTTAACATTTGCAAATAGTCATATTTCCATAATAAAAAGTCGTCTAGTTAGCTCGTGCCCCTTTCCTTGTATTTCTAACCTATTAGCAAAGGGACTCCAGCCTTCTGCAACATGTTTCTTTGTTATAAAGCCAGAAAGCCTTGCAAGTAAACAAAACAAATAATCCCTCAAATTTATAATTGGACAGGAAAATCACAGGGACAGAGTGACTAATCACCAAACCAAGAAAGACCTGAGGGATGAGACTCTCAATAATCCTTTGCTGAGGGAATGGTAAAATGAGCCAGCTGTGAACCGAGGGATGTGCAGCTTGTGTGTGTGTGTGCTCATGGGACACAGCCAAGTCGAGGGACTCAAATAGACCCTTTACACCACTCGCGACCCTAGCCATTAAGCTCAGGGGAAAAGGTTTTGTTTTTGTTTTTGTTTTTTTATGAAGCCACAGTTTGGGGACCCCACAGGAGGAAAGGGGCCTCAGTGGTGAAGAGGGGTTGTGGCTGGACCTCAGGAGGAGCCCTAGGGCAGTCAGAACTTGTCAGCAGCTCCCTTAAGCCAGTTGGACATGTCCTCCTCTGAAACCTTTTTTAAAAAAATTAAAATGCCTAATTTCTCTTAAAATCTGTTTTATGTAAGTTTCAATCAATTAATTATTTTAAACTTCTTGTGTCATTTATGATGCAGGAGATATATTTTAGTGTGATCAAAATATTTTGGAGTTAAATAGAGGTGGTGGTTACCCAACGCTGTGAATGCCACTGAATGGTTCATTTTAAAATGGCTTAAAGCGAATTATATGAATTTACCTCAGTTTTAAAAAGTGAGAGGAATGAGGAGAGAAAAAAAACACTCTTTCTCAATAGCTGTCATCAAATAGAGACCTCCAATCTCTTTAGTCATTCATTCATTCATTTAATAAATGTCTATTGAGCTTAAAAATTGTTTTTGGTGCATTTTCTCTGAGCTCAGTGAATTGTCATTGCTGTATGTCTAACTGTCATCTCAGAAAACATGTGAATTCATCTCATAGTTGTCACTGTCCTTCCTCCCCTCCTCCTCTCTACCCTCTTTTGCTTTTGAGACAGAGTCTCACTCTGTTGCCCAGGCTGGAGTGCAGTGGCTGGATCTCACTGCATCCTCACCTCCGAGGCTCAAGCAATCCTCCCACCTCAGCCTCCCAAGTAGCTGGGACCATAGGTGTGTGCCACTTTGCCCAGTTAATTTTTTAATTTTTTTTTTGGTAGAGATGGGATTTCACCATGTTGCCTAGGCTGATCTCAAACTCCAGAGCTCAAGCAAACTGCCTGCCTCCCAAAGTGCTGGCATTACAGGTGTAAGGCACTGTACCCGGCCTGTCCTTCCCCTTTGATAACCTGGTTCTCTCTGATCACTCACTCAAATATATACACATAAATCCTTCTGACACAAAAACATTCTCTCCATTCCCATTCTTTTATAAAAGTATCAAGTGTTGAGACCTCCAGTTACAACTCTGTTTTACGAAGCTTCCCAACACCTGTCCAGTAACTCTAATGCAACACCTCGAGGGCCCAGCCTGCCAGGATCTGGAGCTCTGGTCTTCACCCCCAAGACTCTGGAATCCGGGAATATGTCCTTCCCTAGAACATGTGTCTCACTGACTTTAGGGAAATAAGAACCGCCTGGTACTTATTTTTTCAAACCCCCTTAAAAGCAAACTTCCAAAATGCCACATTCCATTATCCCAAAACTCACCTTTAAAGGTAATGGGACATTAATAGATACCAATCGTACAACAAAAAGACAGAAATGCATAAGTAAAGAGTAGACTAGATAAGTGTAAGCCATTCATTGCTACGCCAAGTAAAAATTATGTTTGAGTGAAAAGGTATTTTTTTTTATCATTGGATTCGGTAATGAAGTGACAGGCACGTAAAAATCTTGCCTTTTCTTTATTTCTATTGTACTTACAAGGAGATAAACGTCTGTGTGTTCTGTTTTATTTGTAGTTCCCATTCCAAGATCTCATAAATTATTTATTTTTATTTGGGTTGTGTTGTCTCCTAGGATTTTACTTCAATGTGTTCGCCAGCGTTCTGCTAATTTTTATTTTAAAGGGGAAACATGGACAGAATCTCATTTACATCTAAAGCATGAGCTAACTCCAAATACTATCGCTTCTCCCCGGAACTGGTTTTTAAAATAGCAGGCTGGGCTCTTACTTCAAGCCTGACTCTGTTTTTCCCATCTCAACTTTATGTCTGTGCGATTTGTGAATTGTAAACAACAATCATTCTTTAATGTTCTTAGCGAAATACTTTGGCTGCATTTCAAGCCTTTTATGTATTCTCCTCATGACGTTATCTGTAATTAAGCTTTAGATAATTAACATTTCCCTCAAAATCGGTATCTCTATATCTTTCCCCCTTGTTTGTTACAGAACTTTAAATTAAATTCAGTACTGCTTCCACTCTGTCCTCATCCCTGATCCCAAAGGTCAGCCAAGTTTTAGTTTAGGTTTTTTTTTTTTTTTTTGCATGTAAATAATAAAAGGAGCATGGGTCAAAAAGTAGCATTTGATGTAGTAGTAAAAACCGGGGTTGGAGACTAGGAAAGAAATTGTCTTTATGCAGCTATACTATTCCTTTTTCACTCAAACTACTCTCAAAAGCCTTCTCAGCCAATTAATGGACTAAGGCAGCAGGTGATGGGATGACTGGAGGCGAGGAGCTGATTCAGCCGCACCTCTTAATGTATCCCAGCTACTTTTAGGAGCAGTTTGGCTCGTAGGCTGTTCTCTAGGCTGGAGAGGAGGCATTTTACTGTTCAGAGGTAGTGATAATATGCTGGGAAATAGTTCACACAAACCATTTCACCATTATTTTGTTATTTCAGCTATTAGGAAAATAGATGCTACATTTTACATCTAGATGGCACATATCTCTGTAGGAATTCCAACTCTTACAGAATCCATTTTCCTTTATATCCTTGTAGATGGGGGCGAGTAGTAGCGTGAATGAACCCTGTCTAAAGCATGTGGAAGACGAGGAGGAACGCAAAGCCCTTAACATCGAAGCTATAGGACAAACTGGCTGTATACTTTGCTTGAAGAATTATGAATCATGATAAAAGTAACCTGTAATGCCCCTAGAAATAGGGCTCTTGTTTAATCTCTGCTTAAACATTGACTAAAGACACAATGGCCACATCTAGCAATGTGATTCTGGAGACAGTGCTGCGGTCTGCAACGGGACATGAATGGCCAAGCCAAGCTTGCAAACATGGGATGCTGTGCGTGGGGACAGACCTATGGAGTCTTGCTCTGTTACTCAGGCTGGAGTGCAGTGGCATGATCTTGGCTCACTGCAACCTCCGCCTCCCATGGTCGAGCAATTCTCCTGCCTCAGCCTCCCGGGTGGCTGGGATTACATGTGCCTGCCACCACACCTGGCTGATTTTTGTATTTTTAGTAGAGACGGGGTTTCACTATGTTGGCCAGGCTGGTCTCGAACTCCTGACCTCAGGTGATCCACCTGCCTTGGCCTCCCAAAGTGCTGGGATTACAGGCATGAGCCACTGCACCTGGCCCAGATCATTTTTTAATGAAAGGGGAGTCTACCGTAAAAATTCAACACATGTCTTCAAAAGGGAAAAGGTTATCTTTCACAGAGGGTTTGAATGTAGTTATTAAAAGGTAACAAGCTTAGTACAACAGGAAATGAATTAGGGATGTTTTAGTCACACAAAGTAAATAATGATTCACGTTTACTAGGGAAGAAGCTGGAAACCTTTAGTATTTAAGACTGCAGGTGGGGTACTAAGTGCCTCATTACAATTATAAGTGGTTGATGCTGGGAAACCATCCTTCTAAAGAGGGTCAAGACCACTTTCTGCCTCTCTAGACACAGATAACCAAGAAGGTTGTAAAGACTGCTATTTGTAGAGAAATAGCAAAGCCAGCAATCTATTCTTACCAATGCTCTTTAAGAGCTCAGGTCTCCCATACTCAATCACCTAGTACATATTTCCACTGCATATGGTGACAGAATAATGTGTATAATATATGTAGCAGGGAGCCATGGACTGAATGTGTGTGTACCCCAAAAACTCATGTTGAAATTTAATCCCCAATGTGATAGTATTTGGAGGTGAGGCCTTTGAAAGGTGATTGGGTCACAAGGGCTCATGCATGGGATTAGTGTCTTATAAAAGAGACAAGGAATTGTCCTCTCCCTTCCACTATATGAGGATACAACAAGAAGGCGCCATCTCTGAACCAGGAAGCTGCACCAGACACTGATTCAGTTGGTGCCTGACCTTGGACTTCCCAGTCTCTAGAATTGTAAGAAATAAATTTCTGTTGTTTATATGCAGGCCAATCTATAGTATTTCTGTTATAGTAGCCCTAATGGACTAAGATACAGGATTTCCATTTGAACCAGAGTTGTGCTCAAACTAGTATTCCGAATACTGTGCAATGCTGGGAAAGGGTCCCCTTTTGAGAGTGACCAAGAGGTCCCCTGGACAAAAATATTGAAGGGAAAAGGAGATGCACAAGAAGAGGCCCTCGGTGAGGGACACCACTTCCGTGGATAGCAAGGTGCCTGTCACACCTGGTAAGATTTGCCTACGGTCCTAACTTTGTCTATGGTACTTACATGTTGTACAGCAAATTTGTCAATGGCAATCAATACAATGCTGTCACCTTCACATGCGATAGATAGTAGGGCTATGCAAAAACCTATATTTTGTTTTTCAAAAATTATCTTGCTTGAAAACTAGTGAAATCTACACGAGAAAAAATCCAAGAAATTTATTTATTAGAGCCACAAACCCAGAGGTTATTAATGAAACAAAAATGTTTTCTGCCCAGGCATTTCATACTGAAGCTGAAACAGCATGAAAATAAATGTAGGGTGTGGTGGCTCACACCTGTAATCCCAGCACTTTGGGAGGCTGAGGTGGGCGGATCACCTGAGGTCGGGAGTTCAAGACCAGCCTGGCCGACATGGAGAAATCCTGTCTCTACTAAAAATACAAAATTAGCTGGGCGTGGTGGCACATGTTTGTAATTCCAGCTACTCGGGAGGCTGAGGCAGGAGAATTGCTTGAACCTAGGAGGCAGAAGTTGCAGTAAGCCGAGATCGCGCCACTGCACTCCAGCCTGGGCAACAAGAGCAAAACTCCGTCTCCAAAAAAAAAAAAAAAAAGAATGTAGCATATTTAGAGCAGCAGATTTTTGTTTCTTTAAATGTTGTCCTCTTAAAGATATGAACATGTCCAGGCCAGTTATTCTCCCACAGACAGGATTTAGAGGGAGCTGTGTTTTCCATGGTGAAAATATCCAGATTCATCAAAAGAATAAAAAAAGCTCACAACTAGCTAAGCTCAAACCTTCAAGGGAATGACATGTGGAATTCCTCAAATGTTTACATTCAGAGTTCCAAAGATAGATATACTGTCTGCATAATTTGGTAAATACTTCTTTTGTAAAGTAAATATAATTTTTATTCTGAAAAACTTAATGACAGAGTTTTCCTCAAGGAAATTTTGGATTTAAAAATCCTTATTTAAGATAGCCAGTTTTATTTTTTCCTTTTTTTTTTTTCATAAAGTTGCAGGGCTGGGCGTGGTGAGTCACGCCTGTAATCCCAGTACTTTGGAAGGCTGAGGCTGGTGGATCACCTGAGGTCAGGAGTTCAAGACCAGCCTGGCCAACATGGTGAAACCCCATCTCTACTAAAAACACAAAAATTATCTGGGCATGGTGGCGCATGCCTGCAATCCCAGCTACTCGGGAGGCTGAGGCAGAAGGATTGCTTGAACCTGGGAGGCGGAGGTTGCAGTGAGCCAAGATCGCACCACTGCACTCCAGCCTGGGCGACAAAGAGAGAGTCCATCTCAAAAAAAAAAAGGTTGCAAAGTAGTCCTTAATTCAGATTACTGCTGGGAGATTTGATAAATAGGTGAACACAGCACTATGGTTAATACCGTTTGAATTGTACATGTATGAAATAAAAATATTACTCATTCCTCACAGTTATGGGTCGACTGGTTGGTATATAAAGCTAGTGTGAATGCAGGGCTGGACTGATCAGCTTCTTAGTTGGGCAGTGGTAGGCTGCACAGAACTGTGTCCTCCATGACCTATAATGAGTCCCGCTTTCTTGTGTTTGGGTGGCAACCACCCTAGAGGGGCCCAGAGGGCCCAGAGGGTAAGTAAGGACACTCATGCATAGTGCATGAACTTCTGTTAAAATAAGACAATGAAGATAAAGGATATGCTTCTGAGGCTGATGATACAGTTCTGAGACTGATATGCTCTCAATTTAAGTCTCAAACAAAGGAACTACTGTACTGTCCAGTTTAAATCAGATGCCAAGAAACTACAGATTCAACTCCCCCAGGACTCATACATGAATCTTAAGGTAATGGAGCTAAAATAAAACAGCAAGTAAACACTAAATGGTTGTTTTACAAAAACATTGGCAAGACCAACGTTTTGGGGTTTTGTAGCTTCTCCATTATAGAAGGTAGTCTTATTTTTTATGGGAAGAAGAGTATGTGGGAGATCAAATGTTTTAAGGTGATTGTTGCAATTGGTTTGCATATGGGGCAGACACAGCCTGTAGCTGAGCAGGCAGGAAGGATGAATGCCTTGACCAGGGTGTGGGCAGGCTCTTCAGCTGACAGGAAGATGGTGCCCATGGCATAGCCGAGGAGGTGGCAGCCAGAGCTCCAGCAGCGGCTGAGGTGGTTTCCCAGAATTGGGAGCACCTCATACACACCTTCAGGGCTATGAGCGTGCTCAGCAGCAGGTGGAGAGGAAGAAAGCAAAAGGAAATGAAGTAATGTAGCAGGGAAGTCTGCGTGTACAGGTAGATGTGCATCCCACATGGGCACTCCAGATATTGAAAACACACACACACACACACACACACACATACACACACACACACACACGTGTATAAACTAAGAAGACCTGTAGCCCCTGGGGTTGCTCCCATTTCTGGTGGTGACAAAGACAGAGGCACAGCCCCCGTTACTAAAATTGTGACCCAGATTCTACTCCATTGCTGGAAACCAGAGAATGGCTGTGTGTGGCTGGTACCAGCTCTTGCTGAAATATTACCGGTCAGAAATTATTTTAATTAAACAGTTGAAATAACATATGCAAAAATACTCTCTGGAGAACTATACATTTATGTCATAGAAATATTTTAAAACTAAACATTCATATAATAGCTGGATATTTGTTAAACATGTCTTTCTCAAATAGAATGGACATATATGAGATATATGTATATATTTACATATATGTATGTGTATAACGAGTTTTATGACAAGTAAACCTTTAAATAAAGAGCATAGAGAATGTTTCTTTTTATAGATTTATTTTATTTTATTTTTTTGAGACAGAGTCTCACTCTGTTGCCCCAGCTGGAGTGCAATAGCATGATCTCAGCTCACTGCAACCTCTGCCTCCCGGGTTCAAGCAATTTTCCTGCCTCCACCTCCCAAGTAGCTGGGATTACAGGAGCCCACCACCATGCCCAGCTAATTTTTGTATTTTTTAGTGGAGATGGGGTTTCACCATGTTGGTCAGGCTGGTCTCGAACTCCTGACCTCAGGTGATCCACCTGCCTCAGCCTCCCAAAGTGCTGGGATTACAGGCATAAGCCACCGTGCCCAGCCTACAGATTTCTATTATTAATGTTTCTATGGGAAAAATGTAACAGTGAACTTTCCTGACATAGGGTTTCTTTGGGAAGTAGCAGTGTTAGACCTGTCCTCAAAATAGAGCATTGTTGGCCCTATTTTCCTCTGGAATAACAGTTTGAAATCTGCTTGTGAAGTAAATTACAGGAAAGAAGAATATTAAATAAGTTAAAGGAAAGCCAAAAATATTTTACCTTTGCTAATAGTCTAAATATTCACAGGGCATTTATCACGATGAAATGCATGGCTGTAAGTCTCTAATTAAATTGCTATTTCCAGGCCTGGAGCTACAATGAAAATTCTGTAAAGAAGGCTATAAACCAGTTATCAACCTATTTTAATCACAGTTTAAATTAATACAAGAAAATAGTATTCAAGGAGAGGGCGTAATTTTAACTCACACTAGACAGGCTGAAAATTCCAAACAAGATGGCAAGTGCTCCATAGACAAGGACTGCTTCTCTGATTCCTTTGCATGCACTCAGGGCATTGAATAGGACTCTGCAGAGCGAGTATTCCATAAATCCTGCAGACTGACTTGTAAGAGTATCTTAAAAAATAATAAAAATGCCGTTTAACTCAAGTTTCAGGTTAGAACATCCTATGAGGCTTTCCCTGGCCAGTAATAATAAAGTCATCAAATAATGATGCCAACAATTGGACATGCTCACCAACATAGTATAAAGGGATCAATGCTGCTAAATTTGCACAGAGGAAATCTTGCTTGCTGTTGAAAATCAAACATGAGGCCATTGTAATTCACCACCCGTCCAAGAACCAGAAAGGGAAAAGGTATGATGAAAACCAGATTAATCTGTGGTTAGACGCAAGGCACGCTTTAGTCCAAAGAGAACAGCTACCGTGGCACATTCCCTAGGAGTACCTGTGTACCTGCCCTACCCACATGGTTTCCAGAATTCCACATAAAGATGTTAATAAGGTCACTGGCTCAGGCTCCTCTCAGGGAAAAATGACAAGAACTTTTAAATAGGGACATTCAAAACATTTATTCGACAACTATTGTTAAATATAGCAGTCCCTGCTTATTTGCAGTTTTGATTTCTGAGGTTTCAGTTACTCACCAGTAAACCAAGGTCCAAAAATATCAAATGGAAAATTCCAGAAATAAGCAATGCATAAGTTTTAAATTGCACAAAATTTTGAGTAATGTGATGAAATCTTGGGCCATCCCACTGTGTCCTGCCCAGGACATGAATCATCCATTTGTTTAGCAGATCCACACTGTTTACACGGATCACCTGCCTGTTGCTTACCTGGTGATCAGATCCACTGTCATGGTACTGCAGTGTTCAGATAACCCACATTACAGTAAAGTCCCCAGAGCTCAAGAGTAGTGATGCTGGCATATTGTTATAGTCCTATTTTATTATTAGTTATTGCTGTTAATCTCTGACTGTGCCTAAGTTGTAAATTAAGCTTTATCATAGGTATGTATGTGCAGGAAAAAAAATAATATATATATTTTTATATATTTTATATATGTATAAATACACCTATATATGCATATATATACATATATATACACCTATATATGCATATATATACATATATATATACACACACACACACACACATACATATATATGGCTCAGTAGTTTCTGTGGTTTCAGGCATTCACTGGGGGTCTTAGAACGTTTTCCCTCCAATAAGGGGGGACTACTGTTATCTAGTATGTGCCAATTACTGATCTAATTATTGAAGCTCTAATCATAAGCAAAATACAACTTCTGACCTTCAGGAGATTAAAAAAGGCCCTAAGAAAAGAAGTATTGTATACTTTGAAGAGAACTAGATATAAATTACAGAGCAGTTACCCTACTTACAAATATGCACTGAGCACTAGAAATGATATCCAGCCACAGCTTTAGCCTGGTTCTGCTTCAAGCTACCAGCTTTACCCCAGCACGAGGCTGCAAAACCCTAGTGAGAATCCTCTCATTTCCGTGTGGGCTCTGAACCTTTTTTCCTCCTTTTTCTTACTTTGATATGACTCTTTCCTCTTAAGTCTCATTGTTTTGTTTTGTTTTTCTGGTCTTGACACCAGAGTTTTTACCTTTGGTATAGACCTCTTACCTACCTATATTTCACCAAGCTTATATATTTTAAAATTCTTCAATTAGTCCAGTTTTAAAATGTGCATAAAGGAAAATAATCATTACGCAGTGAATGATTCATTAAACAATAAATTTCCATGAGCTCATCACTGAGCTTCAACAATCATCAATTTCGCCAATCTTGTTTCATCTATCCATAACCCCTTTTTACAAAGTTAATATTATTTTCATTGCTTGAGTTATTTTGATTTCTAATTGTTACTGAGAAATAAAATAGTTTCCAGGTACAGGGCTAATACCTAGCAAAGAGTAGATCTTAAAAATATTTGTTCAACAATGATTGCCTTCAGTAAAACTGTCTTTGCTTTTAACGTGGGAGGAGTTTTCAAACTGTCTGAAGAAAAAAAGATATTCCGAATTCAGTGTTAGAAGGTGAGGCTTATGAGATTTCCTTTTTAGAACAAGCAAATCTTTTCCAGGTTTTCCTGTTCTGTTTCCCTCCCACTGCCCAGTAAAAGGAGGTACCCAAACAGGAAGGGAGGACAGAAAGCATCCCATAGTAGCAGAACTCAAGGCAAGGATTTCTCTCCACTCTCTGGAAACATTTAATTAAAACAAACATTATTCTAAAATATGTAGTTACTTTGCAGGGTCATGGGGTGTCTTTTTTCTGGAAATACATTTACTCAAGCATATTTGGTTCATTGTATAGGTTTACATACATTAACCTGCATACAATATCAAACGTACCTGTTTTGGAACCAGGGACAAAGCAATACACGTCTCAGAGAATGCTGAACAAAACAAAACAGACACAAGCTCTGCTGAACTTCAGCAAGAAGTCCCATCAGAGCAATTTGCTGGATCCGAGTTCAGCCCAAATCTACTTAAAAAATTGCCAATGGAGAGGAAATAACACTTTAATAATGGGTAATGCAGAACTAGTAAAAGTACTTAAAATCATATTAATTGAAAAAAAAAAAAAAGATAGTGTCATCCAAGGATGACAAATGAGGAGACCACATCCTACCCTGGCTTTCCGTCCATATCCCAAAAGATCATAGTAAAGTTAAAATCTCAACCTTTACTTTTACCTGTCAAGCAAAACCACAGTAAAATCTCATTTGTATGGATAGCATAAGAATTAATCAAACAGGCTGGGTGCAGTGGCTCATGCCTGTAATTGCAGCACTTCGGGAAGCCAAGGCAGGTGGATCACCTGGGGTCAGGAGTTCAAGACCACCCTGACCAACATGGCAAAATCCCTCTCTATAAGAATACAAAAACTAGCCAGGCATGGTGGCTGGTGCCTGCTACTCTGGAGGCTGAGACAGGAGAATCACTTGAACCCGGGAAGTGGAGGTCGCAGTGAGCCTAGATCACACCACTGCACTCCAGCCTGTCTCAAAAAAAAAAAAAAAAAAAAAAGAATGAATCAAACAGTATTTAAACAGTATTTAAGTAATCTGGTATAGTCAAGGGAAGACAGATTGACCTGAGAATCAAAGAACCTAACTGTGTAACCCTGGGCAGGTGATTTAACTTGTCTGAGCCTCAGTTTCCTGGCTGTGCCATGTGAATACACTAAGTTAAAGGTTTTCTTTCATGTTTTAAAGCAGCAGAAACTGATTTCACAAGAAATCCTGCATGAATTTTCAATATATACTATACATAAGTGTGGAGCTACTCTGGTTGAAATAAAGGCAAGAGCCCCAAGTGCTCAGCAGCTCTCCCTCCCCCAGGCCTCTCAGGCCTTTTGTGGAGCAACAGGGTTTTAGGATCCCTTCTCTGGAATTCCTGAAGATTTGTCAACCCTAAAATCCTAAGACTGTATCATGGCTAAAGAAATCTAAGGTTAAACTGATTTATAAAACTACTGAGAAATGTAATTTTTTTCACATATAAAACATTATTAATATTTCTTTCTTTTTTTTTTTTTTTTTAGATGGAGTGTCTCTCTGTCGCCCAGGCTGGAGTGCAGTGGCGCGATCTCGGCTCACTGCAACCTCCGCCTCCCGGGTTCATGCCATTCTCCTGTCTCAGCCTCCCGAGTAGCTGGGACCACAGGCACCCACCACCACACCCGGCTAATTTTTTTTATTCTTAGTAGAGACGGGGTTTCACTGTGTTAGTCAGGATGGTACTGATCTCCTGACCTTGTGATCTGCCCGCCTTGGCCTCCCAAAGTGCTGGGATTACAGGCGTGAGCCACCGTGCCTGGCCAAAACATGATTAATATTTCTATGTGATATTCTGATTTCTTAAAGAGGGTACACCCGCAAACAAAAAGCTATATAATAGTCCCCTTTTATCCACAGGAAATAAGTTGCAGACCTCCAGTGGATATCTGAAACATTGACTAGTACCAGACTTTATATAAACTCTGTTTTTTTTCCTATACATACATACCTATGATGAAGTCTGAGATACAACAGCAAAACTAGCATGAAATTCTTTTTCCTTCATCATAAGTTCAAGGACAGAAGATTGGTTCTTATGGTAGATCTTGGCACCCTCAACATATGATTTTTTCTTTCCTTTTAAAATTGAGAACTTTTACATTTTCATTTAAAGGAAGTACTTTATGGCGTCTCTTTGGCGTATCCGAATTGCCAGTATCACTACTGTTGCACTTTGGGACCATTATGAAGTAAAATAAGGGTGATCTGAGCACAGCACTGTGATAACCCTCCAGTCAATCTGACAACCAAGATGGCTACTAAATGACCCACAGGTGGGTAGTGTAGACCATGTGGATTCACTGGACAAGGGGATGATTCACATCCCCAGCAGGATGGAGTGGGATGGCATGAGGTCTCATTATGCTACTCAGAACAGTGCACAATTGAAAACTTTTAAATTGTTTATTTCTGGAAATTTCCATTTAATTTTTTTGGACTGAAGTTGACCTCGAATAACTGAAACTGTGAAAAGTGAAACCATGGATGATGGGGGAACTGCTGAAATACTATTCCAAAGCTAAGTCAATATACTTATTAGAATTTCTTCTCATCTGCTCCATCTGAAGTCAACGTTTTCTTTGAAATCATATTTCTGCATTTTCCCCCATTTCCTAACTAACCATGTATGGATGCAAATTATTTTATAATTATTTAAATAAGAAAGAATACAAAAGGCTTCCTGGAGTAATGGTTTTAAGTAAACTACTGTTTAGACTAAAGTTTTCCTTATGAACTACTGATCATCACTTAATTTTAGGTGAAAATTTTTACACTGGCATCTCACTTGAGCAGTCTAAATGATGGCACACACATGGAGGAAAAATATTAACAGTGGTGACAATACTTACAATTTTCCTTCCAATTATGCATTTCTATATATACTATGTGCTATGGGCTAAGTTGCTGTATCCCCCAAATTCCTAGGTTGAAGCTCTAATGCCCGGTACCTCAGTGACTGTATTTGAGACAAGGCCTTTGAAGAGGTGCTTAGCTTAAAACGAGACTCTTAGGGTGGGTCTTAATCCAGTCGTACTGGTTATCCTTATAAGAAAAGAAACCTTGGATGGAAAATCGAGGCACCAGGAGTTGGTGCCCAGAGGAAAGGCCATGTGAGAACACAGGAAGAAGAGAACTCAGAAGGGATCAAACAGGCCGACACCTTGATCTTGGACTTCCAACCTCTGGAGAAAGTAGAAAATAAATTTCTGTTGGTTAAGCCACCCAGTCTGTGGTATTTGGTTAATGTAGCCCTAGTAAATGTTATTTACACATACATATACACATATACAAACACTCTAGCAAAGGATGCTTTCATCTACACATCCACACACACACTCCTCACGGATGATTATCTTCTGCAGTTGAAAGCTTCTTCATATATTTAATAGCATTGCCAAACATTGAAAATAGCCCTTCACCAAACTATTTTGGAATTTGGTGCATTGTTATTATATATGACAGATGTTTTCATCTCACAGTAAAATGTGTAGGTTAAGCCTGGAAAATACTACATAAAAAAAAATTGATCTGGGAGTTGTGGCTCATACCTGTAATCCCAGCACTTTGGGAGGCTGAGACAGAAGGATCGCTTGAGCTCAGGAGTTCAAGACCAGCCAAGGCAACATAGTGAGACCTCATTACTAGTGAAAAAAAAATGTATCAGGTGTGGTGGCATGCACCTGTAGCCTCAGCTACTCAGGAAGCTGAGACAGGAGGATCGCTTGAGGCTGAGAGATCGAGGTTGCAGTGAGCTGTGATCACACCACTGCATTCCAGCCTGGGTGACAGAGGAGACCCTGTCTCAAAAAAAAAAAAAAAAAAATGCATCGAGAGATACAAACTTCTTCATGTTTGTTCAGTTTGCTAAAAAAGTTCAGATAATATTTTATACTGTGCAGGGTTACACATAGATGAGATTGGCTAGCAAAGAATTTCGGGAGCAAAAATGAATTCCATAATTAGTCAACTTTTCCTTTTAGGTATTACTGGATTGTTTCTCTGTGAAAGACAATCACCAAAATAAGATTTTTTCGTGTTTTTTTTTTTTTTTTTGCCAAGGATTTGGTAGCTCTGCTTTGTAATATGTGATGATAGTAATAAATAAATAATTTCTCTGGCATTAATGATATTAACATTTTATGTAACTCATTCATTAAGGTCTCAAGTGGATGCTCAAAGCTATTACAATTCAGTACAAGTCACTTAGTATGAAACACACGCCTCCCACAGCACTACACTGGTTTTAAAATTGATAGCACCATCAGGTCTACAAGGTCTTGAGAAGAATTTCATTTTCTCACCAGTCTAAAGTGATTGTGCTATGTTCCCTGACCTTCAAAAGCTTTTTGTCATTTTTCTGCCATGTAGTGCAGAGGTTCTTTCCTCCATCCATTTCATTTAAATATGTGCTATGTGGGTAAATCCAATAAACTAAGTAGCCATTTAGTTAAAACCCTTGTGGGGGTCAGAGCTCTAGGGAACATTTCAAGGCACTGATGTTCCTTCTTCAACTCTGATTTCCTAGATCATTGATCATCTTCTACCAGCTCTTTGAAATGGATCCTCTTACCACACGCCCCTTAATCCCCTGTGTTGAAAGGAATGCTAGGTCTGGTACCCATTGGTATCCATCCCCCGGGGGAATGAATGAAAGGAGAGGGAACTCCTTTTCACGATTAATAGTCTAAAATTCTCCCAAGGAGACGCAAGCCCTGGACATCGCCAGACAAAAGTCCGTGAAGGTGAGTGGGGAGGATTCTCTTTCCTGGCTTCCTTCCCTAGAGCACCACCTTTGCTTATAAACAAATCTCCTGTCGCTTTTCCAAAGATAAGTCACAGGGTCAAAGGTGCCTGTAAGGTCGTTAGAACATTTTTCTTCCTGGGAGTGCTCTTTTGTCTGGAGAGCACATCAAGGTTGAGATTGTGAAAGAAGGTCAAGTGCATCCCAGGGCCTTGTAAACAATAAGTGCTTAATACTGTGGAATACAAATGAAGGAATGAGGAGGAATGTGCCATTTCAAAAATGTGTAACTCAAAATATGGCTTTGCACTACACGTATGCTTTTCGTGGTAGGTTTTAGATACACTATAAATTAAAAAATAGGTTTTAACTTGAAAACGGGATTCCATGGTGAAATAAATCTGCTAAGCACTGGGTTAAACCAAGTGAGGGATTTTTTAAACTGCAGGACCCCTCATAGCTTGAATTTTTGAAAGACGGCTGGAGCATTCAGGGATTCTGAAACTTGTTTAGCCATAGGACTTGTTTCTTCTACAAGATACTTGGAAAAGGTTGTGCTAAATAGTCTTTAACTTGCAGAAGGGATTAACTATTTATCGCCCTAACTGACCATGGCAGAAATTTTAGATCTTCCACGTGTTTGTGGGACTGACATGGCAACAGTGTCCCAGGCAGCAGAGCATAACTACCTTGTTGAAATAGATGCACCACTTCTAATTTTCTTTTCTTTTTCTTTTTTTTTGAGATGGAGTCTCGCCCTATCACCCAGACGGGAGTGCAGTGGTGCGATCTTGGCTCACTGCAACCTCTACCTCCCAGGTTCAAGTGATTCTCCTGCCTCAGCCTCCCGAGTAGCTGGGGCTACAGGTGCGCACCACCACGCCCGGCTAATTTTTTTGTAGTTTTAGTAGAGACGGGGTTTCACTGTGTTGACCAGGATGGTCTCAATCTGCGGTGGCTCACGCCTGTAATCTCAGCACTTTGCAAGGCCGAGGCCGGCAGATCACGAGGTCAGGAGATCAAGACCATCCTAATTTTCTATAAGATGAATGCATGTGTGTGGTGGACGTATCGCTGCCAAGTTTACCTTCAACTTTTTCCCTATTAAAAAGACAGGCTTTTGGATGAGAGGCATTTACTATACTGTTTCATAGTAGAGTAAGATGATAGGGTACTATAATAAAGTTTCAAAAAGGGAAGAGGAGCAAAAATAAAATTTGAAGATGTGTAGCGATAGAAGAAGCTTCCCTCTTTACTCCTAAGCTGCTAACGGAGCCTGATAGAAGAAAATGCAATTCAAATCAAACCAACAAGAATACTAGGTGCCCTGGGGAAGCAGAGCAAGATGCTTGCCTGTGCTGACCCACCTGACCGAGGACCAGCTCTTGTCTTGGTATCTCAGCTGCTGTATATTCATTTTATTACTTAGTAAATACAACACATTTTCCAATGATGATCGAGTCTCATTTAAATATGTGTATTAAGAGGTTTGGTCCTGTTTACCTATAAGTTCAACAACAAAGAAATGATTATTTTAATGTATTAATCCACCCAGGGTGGCCAGTAAACAAATGGTTATGAACATTATATTGCAACACAGAAAAACTTAAGTTTTAGTGTTAAGTTAAAAATATGTAGCTAAGCATATATATTTAATTGTATCTATAAAAAAACATAAAAAATAAATATAATAAAAATTAAACTGTGAATAGTGATTATCTTTGAGAGATGTCATTATAGAGCTTCTTTCTTTTCCTTTCAATAATTTCTTAATGTGAGATCTATAATTTAGAGTGTTTAAAACTTATATGTTTTCAATAATCTAGTTTCATTCTCAGGTGTGATTTTGTTATCCAGGGGCCATTGTTTTTTGACTTGAGTTACTCATGTTTTGTTATGAATACAAACTGGAAAAAAATAGAGATTGAGATATACAATTTTTAAAAATTACAGTTAAATTTCCAGGAAATCTTGGTCCTGTTGATTAGTAGGTGATTGAAAAGACAATAAAGTCTGCCTCACTCTGAGTTAGAGCAGATGGCTTTCATTATAACCAAGGTATTGATTTTAGATTAACTTCCAATAACAGTTTTTCTCCCTCTTCAAAGGGGATGTGATACTTTCACTTTCTGAAATCGGTGCACAGTTTTGCACAAGATTTGTTGTTGTATTTGTTGTTGTTTTCCAATGCAGGTGGCAATCAAATTTTCAACAACCATAGAAGAAATCTTAAATAATATTTTTCTTACGTCTATATTCAATTGTAGATATAACAAAACAAACCTGCCACCAGACAATAAGGGATATTTTTCCTTTTGTTGTCAATAATAGAAATCATATGCAATGCTGAACTGAGAATATATGACAAAAGTTTACAGAATCTCCTAAAATGCAAACCTAGCACTAAACTTACTATGATCCCACTCAAACTGACTATGATCCCACTTGAAGAAGAGAGATGACAAATGGCCAGCAACTCCCCGCCCCCACCACTAAATAGAAGTTATCCAGGTTTAACCCCCAAGAATTACCCCCAGGAAATCAATGACCTGTTTTTTCCAAAGAGCCCAGATTTAACACTTGGATGGTCTATATTGTGCCTTCAACATAGAACCTACTTTACCAAACAATTAAAAGGTAAACATGTACTATAATAGATACTATAAGGAAATAATGATGCAAAATAACCAGGTAGCAAATCTTCCAGCTTAATACCATGACCAAGTATTTCTGACTGACACAGTGTTATCCTCAGTCTGACTAGCTCACCTGTGGCCCCATCACACAGAGGTATAACCCTGAGCAACTTTATGAATTACTTATGTGATACTGTCTCTCAATCCACAACACAAACCACATCTCTTTTTCTTAGGAAAAAACGCAGGAGGAGATGTGGCTAAAAATCTACAACTGAAGCTACTGATTTCCTTGTCTATGCCACGTGGAAGGAGAAATCTGTTAGCAAATCTGAGAAGGATCAAAATTCCATTCCCTCACGCCTGTAATCCCAGCACTTTGGGAGGCCGAGGCGGGTGGATCATGAGGTCAGGAGATCGAGACCATCCTGGCTAACAAGGTGAAACCCCGTCTCTACTAAAAATACAAAAAATTAGCCGGGCGCGGTGGCGGGCGCCTGTAGTCCCAGCTACTCGGGAGGCTGAGGCAGGAGAATGGCGTGAACCCAGGAAGCGGAGCTTGCAGTGAGCCGAGATTGCGCCACTGCAGTCCGCAGTCCGGCCTGGGCGACAGAGCGAGACTCCGTCTCAAAAAAAAAAAAAAAAAATTCCATTCCCCACTTTCTTCAGTTACACTGTTACTGGAATACGAATTTCACCTCTTGGTGTTCATTTCTCCTTCCAAAGCCTGTGGACAATCCTATTGTTGAAGTATTGAAAGATCCTTTGCTGAAATCTTTGTAAACATGTCACATTTTTTTAATGCATATCAGATCACAAATTTCATGTAATTTCTCTAATATTTTCCCATTAATAGTATACTCTAGTGATCTTCACCCAGAGAAGCAAATATATTAGTGCCAGATGCCCTGTGCTCACAAGCAAAGCTGAATGCATTTACATTTGTAAATATCCTCTCCAGTAATATCATTGCTTTTTTTTTTTTAAACATCAATGTTTGCAGAGCCATCAACCATTCCAGAGCAATCTGTCTTGCTTGTCTGTGCTCAACTGTGAAAATGCATCTTGATCTCCTACTTATTCCCCAAAGCCATGACTCAAGCATAAAAGCAGATCTTTATTACTAATTGATCTGGTCTTTTCCTGTCCCCAAAGCATGTGCTGCTCTGACCACAATTCTGAAGAAAGAAAAATAGTAATTGAATATTTCAGTTAAATGCAAAACCGCACTTTCCATTCTTCTCCCAACTAAGGTTGGCCTAGGATTTCTGAAAGGCCAGCATTTCTAGAAGTCTTCTAATAACCCAAAGCAGATAAAACATGGTGTTCTATTTTCTTTGCTCTAACTAAAGGAGGCATTCAACTATACATTTTCCATTTCCATTTTTATATTTTCCAGGTTTTATTCTCCATGGGATACTGCTATTGCCTTGGACTTAGAATATTTTTTCTTGGAGTTCACAATTTGTAATTGATTAAATAATACCCTCTGGCCAGCTTATGTTATGAGCTAGATGTTTTAATTTTTGCTCTAAACTTTGTGAACTGTGTATAATTGCTCAGTAGTTTAAGATCACTTTTTCTTGTCCCATTAAAATGTTGGAAAACAAATAAATCTAACTGAATGGTTTTCCCTAAACTGTTTAAACTAAGTTAATAATCTATTAATTATGTGTAATGGGATTTAACACTAAAATGGAAAAACACACATTATTTTGACAAATTACCCTTAGAGTCTGATAAGACTTAACTAATTATTTATGTACAGTGAAGAGCAATCTGGTAAACAAGCACATCAACCCTGCTAAACCATGTGGAAATTTGGTTCCAATTCATCTCACCCCTTCCAGGAATGACCAGCAAAACTACACCGTGGCTTATAAGAAAATCCACCATGTGCTGATTTACCTAAGGCTTGGAAAAGATGCTTACATTTAATTAAACAATCAGTAGGACAAAAAAATACCACCACCTCAAAAGTAAAACTAAAAACATTGAAATGCCATAGGTTTGCTGCATGATTTCTTTCAGTTCAGGATCATTTATTTTGAGACAAAAGCCAGTTTGTTTGAGATACTTCAACTCTTAAAAATAATCAAGGCATTGATTTAGGTAATTTAGAATAAGCCCATCTAAATCTTTTTATTATATCCATCAGAAAACTGAGGCCCTGAAAGTTCGGTTGCCTTGTACAAGCTGACAGAGGTATTAACATTGACTTTTGGCTCACAAGCCAGGGCTCTTTCCACCAGAGTGTGTCACCAGTGGCATCTCATTCATAGGAGTGGCCAGCTCTAATGGAAGGACAATGACCCAACTATTTTCCAGATTTCTTTTGATGGCTCAAAAAAATCTTTATACTTTTTTTAAAAATGATTTTTAAAGATCTAGTGCTATAGTTTGGTTTATTTGTCGTCTCCAAATCTTATGTTGAAATTTTATCCAAAGTGTTGGATGTGGGGTCTAATGGGAGGTATTTGGGCAGTGGGGGTGGATCCCTAATGAATAGATTAATCTCCTTCCTCGGTGGTGGCAGGAGAAATGTTCTCACTCTATCAGAGAGAACTGGTTGTTAACAAGAGCCTGGCCCCTCACTGCCTCCTTGCTTCCTCTCTCACCATGCAATCTCTGCACATGCTAGCTCTCTTTCCCCTGTTGCAGTGAGTGGAAGCAGCTTGAGGCCTTCACCAGATGCACATGCTGGCACCAAACTTCTTGTACAGCCTGCAGAGCTGTGAGCCAACTCTTTTTTAATTATAAATTACCCATCTTCAGATATTCCTTTATAGCAACACAAATAGACTGAGACACTTAGTCTACTTTAAGTTGGATTTGGGGATCTGTAAGCACTTGATTGATAATATATATTGCTATCCTTGATTTTTCCTGTATTTCTTTAAAACATCAGCGTTTTTGACTATTTAAAAAAAAAAAAGAAAGAAAAAGAACCATATTAGCCATGTTTAGCCAGAAAACTTGGGGAATCATTTTACGCTCTATACCTGTTTCAGAAATAAAAATTTTTCTTGAAAGAAAAGTTTTAGAAAACGCATTTGACCACAGAAACTTTGTGTGTGTGTGGCAGTTGTTTTAATAACAACTATTCACATGCTCTAGAACACCGAGCATACTGTCTTGCATTCCATGGTGCTTGTGATGGTTAATTTTATCTGCCAGCTTGACTGGGCCAACGGATGACCAAGTAGCATTATTTCTGGGTGTGTCTGTGAAGGCAGTTCTGGAAGATCAGCATTTGAATTGATAGGCTGAGTAAAGAATAGTGCCCTCATCAGTGTGGGTGGGCCTCCTCTAATCCATTAAGGTCCCAGTGGAACAAAATGTTGAAAGAAGGATGAATTTGCTCTTTCTGTTTGAGCTGGGACATCCATCTTCTCTTGCCCTCTGGCATCAGCACTCGTGGTTCTCAGGCCTTCAGACTTGGACTTAATCACACACCACTGATTTTCCTGGTTCTCTAGCTTGCAGACAGCAGATTGTGGCACTTCTTGGCCCACATAGCTGTGTGAGCCAATTCCCATAATAAATCTCCTCTTAAATGTATGTACCTCCTATTGGTTCTGTTTCTCTGGAGAATCCTAATACTATGCTCAATAGTTGCCTAATAATTTGAATTGGTACACATTGGCTGTATGAATTCCTTTAAAATACTTCTATACATGTACTTTACCCAGATTTTTCCATGGTCTCTCAATGATTTGCCCCCAAAGACTACTTCTAAAGGGATTAATTTTCAATAAGTCTTTGAACTCTTGCCATTCAGGGAAGAATACATTGTTGTTATTTTTAGTCAATGATGACCCTTTTATACAAGATCTCTAGCTCAGTAAAAACTTTTAGTGGGAGTATGATTTGAAAGAGCAGAGAAAGTCAATATTCCACTTGAGCTTCTAGAAAATATTTCTAGTTTAGACTCCGTTGGGACCTAAACTGGACAGAGGAGGCACATGTAGATTGGCATGATTCTGTTTCTTGAATAGGTGGCAGCCACACAAGTGTTTGCATTAAAATTATTCTTACAATTTGGCAAATATATTTTACACTTTTTTATGTGCATCTTTTTTGATTTTTGATTTTTAAAAAGAAAAGAAAATATCACCTAACTATAAGCCTAATGATACCCCTGCTTACCCACCAAAAGGTGAGAATGAGACCGTCACCTGCGTGGCTCTTCTCGAAGTCAGCTCCACCATCCTGGCCTTCTCTAGCAGACACTGGAGCAAAAGGGCAGAATTGGGAAGCTGTGTCCTTTTTCCAGCTGCTAAATTCATTCTTCAGAATATGATATCTGAAGTGATGGTGAATTTCTGTCACATTCGGATTCAAATGTAAGCATTAAAATATATTTCTGGCCAGGCACAGTGGCTCACGCCTGCAATCCCAGCACTCTGGGAGGCCGAGGTGGCAGATTACTTGAGGCCAGGGGTTCAAGACCAGCTTGGCCAACATGGTGAAATCCCCATCTCTACAATAAAGACCAAAATTAGCTGGGTGTGATGGTGCATCCCTGTAGTCCCAGCTAATCTGGAGGCTGGGGCAGGAGAATAGCTTAAACCTGGGAGGCAGTGGTTGCAGTAAGCTGAGATCGTGCCACTGCACTACAGCCTTAGCAACAGAGCAAGACTCTGTCTCAAAAATAAATAAATAAAATAAAATAAATTTCTAAAGCCACCTCACAGGAATTTGGAAATTCACTTACATTATCCAGACCTCTGTTCCCTGCTCTGGAAAAGGCTGACAATGTACTCTCATATTTACTCCCTATGGGATTCTATATTTCAGTTTGTATTTATTAGAGATCATAAGGTTATTAACCATTCTCTTTGTCAGGAAAGCATTTATTAGTATTATTGTTCAAGTACTCCAAGGTACACTGTTGTCAAAACCTGATCTATATCTGTTTTGTTTTTGAAATGGAGTATCGCTCTGTTGCCAGGCTTGAGTGCAGTGGCACCATCTCGGCTCACTGCAACCTCTGACTCCCTGGTTCAAGCAATTCTCCTGCCTCAGCCTCCCGAGTAGCTGGGACTACAGGCATGCGCCATCACGTCCAGCTTATTTTTGTATTTTTAGCAGAGACAGGGTTTCACCATGTTGACTAGGATGGTCTCCATCCCTTGACCTCGTAGTCCGCCCACCTCACCTCCTATAGTGCTGGGATTACAGATGTGAGCCACTGCGCCTGGCCTATATCAGTTTTAAGAAATAAAAGACATTATAGCTTTTAGTCTTTGTATTTTAGCCTTCCTGAAGCGAATTCTCCTTTTTTTTATCCACAGGTAGTTAAAACAATAACCTTCTTCAACATTTTAACAAGCTGATGGTAAAAAATGACTGAATATTTCCAAGTTCATTTCTCAGCCCACAGGCTCTGGAATATGAATTAGGTGCACTGATAAAAATGTTGAATCTTTAATATTTCACACCAAAAGAAATGCCTCCAGGTAGTTTTTAGCATACTGCTGTAATCTTGGGTAATGAATTAATCATACCCATCCTTAACATAGAATGTTAAGGTGGAATCCACACAGAAGAGTATGGATCGGATAAGCAAGCACTTTTGCTCCTGAAAACTATTTCAACCACTACATTAGAGTTCATAGAATTGACTAATCTCCACAGACTAGGATCTAAAATTAATATAGGCCCCAAAGCCCCAGTCTCAGAACAGTGCCAGGTGAAAATCCCAAATCAGACTGCCAGAAGTGCTTCCAAGTAGAAGAAGGGCACCCAGGGAACCAGTCATATTAATTCAGTAAATAGGAATTTATGCCACTTACCTTTGTCCTGAGGCCTTTCTGATTAGCAACCCATTTACAGCTAAATCGGGAGGGATTACTTTGTGGAAGCCTGGCCCCCTTAACTAGGGAGGGGCTGTTTGTATGTCTACTAACATTTCTGCCTATCTAGGTGGCACATAATTAATATTGAGGTTCATTAGACATTTAAATGCCAATAGTGGTCATAACAAAGGAAAACAGCCAGGCGCTGTGGCTCATGCCTGTAATCCCAGCACTTTGGGAGGGTGAGGCAGGAAGATTGCTTGAGCCCAGTAGTTCAAGACCAGCCTGAGCAATGCAGCGAGACCCAGTCTCTATAGAACATTTTTAAAAATTTTAGCTGGGCTTGGTGGTGTGTGCCTGTCGTCCTAGCTACACAGGACGATCCCTTGGGCCCAGGAGGTTGAGGCTGCAGTGAACCATGATTGCGCCACTGCACTCCAGCCTTGGGTGACAGAGAAATACCCGGTCTCAAAAAAAAAAAAAAAGAAGCACAGGCTGACTCACCAGTCACTCTGTCACTCTGTCATACTGTGGGGGAGGCTTTGGCTTATGTGTAATTTTGATTATATGGAATTATTTTATTCATTGAATATGAAAGCTGGTTTTATGTTTCATTATCCACACCTCCAGTGAACTCCTCCACTCTCTGTTATTTATGGCTCTAGTCATTTCTTACAAGTAATATTTTGGAGCCTAGGGTGAGTAGTATGAAACTCATGAATAAAGCTTGGTTACATATGTGTGGTTGGACCTGGGAAAAATGGCCCTAGGCTGGCAGGCTCCTTGCTTGTAACCCTGGGCTGCTGAGGGGCAGGGCAGAGGTGCCCATACCAACTCACTGAGTCAGTAGGGAGGAATCTTCAGAGGTGGGAGAACACTTACAAATGTGTATTAATATTGTCCTGTATCAACACATCACATATTATTTGTAGATGACCATTGCTTCCCTCCCTCCCTCCCTCCCTTCTTTCCTTCCTTCCATAAATATGTGTTCAGGTTCTATTGCATCTAAGGTACCATTCTGGTAATGCAGATTAGACAAAAGTGTATGATGTAGATTCTGTCCTTCAGTTTGAGCATGGAAAGTGGAGTCAGAGAGGAGAGGGAGCGATGGAGAGAATCCATGCCACGGTCAAAAGCCGATCATGAACTTCACCTACATTATTAACAGTTTTATTAATTCTGTAAGATCAGTTTATCCCATACTCATTCTACAGGTTTCCTACTTCTAAATACCAGCTTTGTTTAGAAAGTATCATTCTTTTTAGAAATTTTACAAACAAGATACAGAATATAAATATAGAATGAGGAATTGGCATGTATACATAACTGTCATACAAGGTCAAGTGAGATAAGTTCTGTCAGAAAAGTACGAAGTGTTATGAGAATTTAGATAAATAGAGATTGCTTTGATTTGGGAGGAGCAAAAAGTGAAAGTGCTAGAAAGAAGCTACCTTTTAAACTGGCCACAAAGAACATGCAGGATTTCAATGGACAAAAGAATTCAAGAGTTCAAATGCCATCAACAAGAATGGGGCAGGGGAGACAGGGACAGGTTGAAGTTTGGCAGCAAAAAGCCTGTATTAAAGATGATCATTTTGGTGTATACATGCTAAGTTACAGGACTCGGGCAAGATCCTAGTGGAAAAGTCCAACAGGTAGATTAAAACACAGCCTCCAGCCTTTTGAATCCTTTTCAGTCCCTACATATTGAAGATAGCTGACATAGAATGTGCATAATTTTAAAGGAAAGAGGGCTGAGAAGAAAAGGGAAAATGATAGAGACATATGGAATGTTCACATTTAGGAGCAGAAAGAAAGGAGAAAAAATAAAATCTTAGAAAATTGTAGCATGTGCATGCCAAGGAAGTGAACATATTAAAGGTTGTGAGGACACTGACTTATGTTTAAAAATTAAAACTGCTTTGACTTTTAACTTACAACATGTGCTCAAATACATCCCATACGGACCAAAGACTTTTAAAGAGAAACAGAAATTTTAAAAACTAAAAGAAGCTACAGATAAATATTTATCTGATGTCAGAATGGGAAAAAACTTTCTAAGAGTAAAAGCAAAGTGTACTAGTCAGGGTTCTCCAGAGAAACAGAGCAAATAAGAGATACATATGCACACAGATATACATGTATCCTGAGACTTTCATACCTGCATAATCTCACAGCAATTTCTTATAATAAATCTATATATATTTATATAGATACATATATAAACATATATATACACATTATGTATACATACATACACATATATATTTATATATGTACACACATATAATGAAGTTTATTATAAATAATTGACTTATGAGATTATGGAGGCATGCAAGTCTCAAGATCTGTACGGTGAGCTGGCAAGCTGGAGACCCAGGAGAGTTGATGGGGCAGTTCCAGTCTGAGTTCAAAGGCTTGAGAACTAGAATGGATGATGTAGTCCCTGTCTCAAGACCCATGAAGAGCTGATGTTTCAGTCTGAGTCAGAAGGCAGTCAGGCAGGAAGAATCCTCTTTTACCTGGGGAAGGGTCTGTCTTTTCGTTCTATTGAGGTCTTCAATTGTTTGGGTGAGGCCCACCCACATTAGAGTAGGCGATCTGCTTTACTAAGTCTACTGGTTTAAATGTTAATCTCATCTGGAAAAAAAATCCTCAAATGAAACACCCTGAATAATGTCTGACCAAATATCTGGGTACCCCATAGCTCAGTCAAGTTGACACATGAAATTAATCGTCACACAATGTGAGATATGGCTACATAAAAGTTGAAAAATCTATATAACCAGGAAAATATTTTGTAAAGATTAAATAGGTGCATCCTGATACCCTCCCCCCCGCCCCGCCCCACCTTATTTGTGTCCTATTTTTAGCCTCACCCCTCTGAGCCCAAGCTGCAAGAATGACTTCCCAGAGCAGGGGGGGATGTTCATTTGCTGTCTTGAGCAGTGCTGGAAAGTCAGGAGAAAGAGGATTGCTAAATGCTGAAATCTGTTCAGTCACAGTTGAACTTATCAGAGGATGGGCATGGCCCATCAGATCCTTTGCTTCTCCCAGGGTGTGAAGAACATGTACTTCTGCCCATGGGGCCAGGAGGCCTATTGTTCTATGCTAGAAAGATGATCCAACATAGGGGAAGTTAAAAATAAACAGCCAGAGGGATTGTATGAGGAAAAGGGAAACAAGGAGTAGGAGAAGAGAAATGGTTAGAAGTGGGTGTCCTGCTTTGGCCAATGATATGAGGAATTCAGAGGGTGGAGAGATCTCTGTCTCAACTTCCAGTTAGTGCTTCAGAAAGAGATGGCCCCTTGGCTGCTCCTTTACCTACTCAGGTGCAGCCGCTTCAAGGTACGGCTTCGTGGTACGGCCTCATGATATGCTAAGTGGTAGGGCTGCTTAGGCACATGGAGGCCTGGACGTGTAGCTTTTCTGGGCACCTTTTGGTTCCCATATGATGTGTTGGGGACCTGCCCACTAGAGGGTCTTGGACCTGAGTTAAGAGCCCGCCGGCCCGGCACAGGCTTACCATGGTGAGGTGAGGAGACCTCTCCACAGGGAATGGGGGTGGACAGCTTCATCCCCGGAAGAATGAGGCAGAGAGGCAGAGGGTGCTATAGCAGCCACTCAAGAAGAATCCAGTCAGCTGGGAAAGTAGGGGGAGGGAGAGAAATGGAGGGAGATGAGGAGAGAGAGAGAGAGAGAGGAAAGTAGGGAGAGAGAGAGGAAGGAAGGGAGGGAGAGATGTTAGGTGGAAAGGCTGGCAGCACGCCCAATGATCATGTGAATCCAAGTTGCTCTTCACTGCTCTCAGAGGTTACCTGAGTCCCTTCCACTTAAGACACTTAACTCCACCTTGGAACAGAGCCAGGAAGGAGTTGGGAACAAGAGAGACTAAGCAATTACCTCAAAAAAACCAAACATTACTACAAAGGGCTATTTACGGGATAAGTTCAGACTAAATTAAAAAATAAAAAAGGCCTAACATTCATTTCTGCCTCTCTACCAAGTGACTGTGAGCTTATAAGGAAGACCAGCATAATTACAGGTAAAATAAACATACCATGTATCTGCACGTTGAAAGATCCGTATTGCCTGAATTTGTAAACCTGGTATGTTTCCATATGTCAAAAACAACATTAATAAAAAAGTCCGATAACAAATAAAGGAATAATGCCAGAGATAAAAGGTTAATTGCTTTTACTTACACAGAACTCTTTCAAATAAATAAGAAAAATGCTAAGACCTCAGAAGAGGAATGGACGAAAACTAAAACAAAATATCCTGTTAATTTATAAACTAAGATATAAGAGTAGCTAATAAGCATATAAATACTTAACAAGTTAATCAAGAAATAAAAGATAAAATAATAATTAGTACCATTTTCACTTATCAGAAGAGAAAATATTGACAACTTATCAATATATATCAAGGACATTCAAAATGTCTATATCTTTTGATATATTAATTCTACTTCTAGGAAATTTTCCTACAGAAATAATAAAAAATGTGGACACATTTAACAATGAAATCAACATTGTTCAAGATATATGGAAAGATTTGAAAATGTAAAATATAATACATTTCCCAAGGTCACAAACAGATAAACATCTACCTAGTCTCATTTTAAAGAGAGACTAGAAGAGAATTTTACACCATAACTTTTCTTGCCACTTTATTTCAGTCTTTTATCAGCTTTGCAGTAAAGCCATCTTTCACATGTCTAACTGAAATACACCTTGCTTTAATTTAAGCCCAAGTGGACACAATGAATAACTCCGTGGCATTGTTTCATTAAATTAAAAGACAACAATTCTCTCTTGGACCAAATTTTTCTTCCTTCTTTCGATGAACACTCACTTCTGGGACTAAAGCTGTTTCTGACTGCCTAGGATCGATACCTTTCTTCTTATCTGGCCGTTAGCACCCCATCTGGCCAGGTCCCAGATGCCTGTTTGCTCCCTTAGCCTATGAATGGGAAATGGGCCACAGGGAGACAAGCACACAACTGCAACATGGTGTGGAAAGAGCTCAGGCTGAGGTCTACACATCTACACAAGGCCTATAGGTGCACAGAAGATGCACCCAAGTCAGTCTGGTAGAGTCACATATCAAAGAGGAGGAGAATGTCTTAGTTCATTTTGTGCTGCTATAACAGAATACCAAAGGCTGGGTAGTTTATAAAGAACAGACTTTTATTTCTCATAGTTCTGGAGTCTGGAAGTCTAAGATCAAGGCACTGGCATTTGGTATCTGGTGCCCCCTCTGGAGGGGACAATGCTGTGTCCTCATGTGGTGGAAGGCAGAAGGTCAAGAGAGGGTGAACTCCTCCCACACCTGATCCCATTCACGAGGGAAGAGCCCTTATAGTGTAATCACATCTTAAAGGCCCACCTTGTAAAACCGTCACATTGGCAACACCTGAATTTGGGAGGGAATCCATTCAAACCATAGCAGAAACTGTAGAGCTGAACGGAATTTCCCCAAGTGGACAAGGGCAGTGGAGAGGTGGGAGGGTGAGTGTGGTTATTTCTGGCATGTAAACATATGTGAAGGTATCCAAGTGAGAGACAGTGTGTCTTCAGAAACTGAAAGACTATGCAGTGTGATTACGCAGAGAGGGTGCCAAGAAGGATCACATTAGCATGAGTGGGAGCTTGGGGGCAGGTGACAAAGCCTTGCAAGCTAACATGAAGGAGTCTGGGTTTTAACCTGTGAACATCTGGAGTCAGTGAGTATTCTAAGCAGGTGAAACATGATCAGATTTCAGTGTTAACCAAAACCACACAGATACTGTGGATGTAGGTTGGAGGGGTAATCTGGAGGCACATGTACCAGATAGAATGAATGATGGATCCAAAAAGAGCAAAACGGGATGGAACAGAGAAGAGGGGTACAGGGGGAGGATTCAGAATCAAGAAGGCTTTGAGACTTACTGGATATGGGGTTGGGTTGAGCAAAAATGAGGAGGTGGTGATGACAACCTAAAAATGTTACCTTATTAAAACATTTGGCCTCTCAGTAGATCTCACACTTGAGTATGCATGAGAATCATTGGAATCCTTGTGAAAAATCTTGATTCCTGGGACATGCCCCAGATTAATAAAGTTGGGGAGAAGGACCAGAAACACATTATGAGCACTCCAGGTGATTCTGATGTAAGTCTACTTTGAAAACTATAGCAGGGTTGGGCACGGTGTATTACACGCCTGTAATCCCAGCACTTTGGGAGGCCGAGGCGGGTGGATCACGAGGTCAGGAGATCAAGACCATCCTGGTTAACATGGTGAAATCCCATCTCTACTAAAAATACAAAAAATTAGCTGGGCGTGGTGGCACATGCCTGTAGTCCCAGCTACTCAGGAGGCTGAGGCAGGAGAACTGCTTGAACCTAGGAGGCGGAGGTTGCAGTGAGCTGAGATCGTGCCACTGCACTCCAGCCTGGGTGACAGAGCAAGACTGTCTCAAAAAAAAAAAAAAAAAAAAAAAAAAAAAAAAAAAAAAAGGGAAACTACAGCAAAAAGTTTTTTCTTTTAATTTTTCCTTTTAAATAATTTGCAAATTACTACTCCCAATGAATAACTAGTAGGTAACTATGCACAATGAAGTGAACAAAAATATTTGATGGTAGCCATGGTAGACTATCTGTATGGTCCATATCTACCAATCTAGAATATGAGTGGTGGAGAAGCGGGACAACGAGGTGATTTCTATGAAAGAGCAGCAGAATTTAAGGGGTTGACATGGGAAGATAAATTAGTAAAGATAGGAAGGAGAGAGCAGCAAGAGAGGAAAGGCGAGGAAGGAGAGGTAGTAACTGTGGGGACTAACTCAGGAAGCTCTGCCCCAAAGAATGCAGGACAGCCACCATAGCACTGATTATAAGTTCTCAGGGCTGCCCTTTCAGACTGCAACATTATCTCCATCTATTTAACTTTTTAAAAATTAAAAATATATAATTCCTGAATAATACAAAGAAACAACATTCAGATTTCCTAATACCATGAGATTTTTCACAGGTTTAGCCAGGAAATCTAATTCGTACAAAGACTAAAGACGTGAATTCTGGGGATGCTACTGATAAGCATATTTAAAGATTATTATTTCTATTAGTTTAAACCATCAAAGCATTTTAAAAAGCCTCTAGAAATACTTTTATGAAAAGTATATGCACCTCTATTTAGAAATAAACATTTTCTTCTAAGATTAAAAACTTGCTCCCAGCTGCATCAATAAACCTGTCATAGTTACATAAGTCTAAGGCAGTAGGCAATTTGGAAACAGCTCACAAATTTCCTTCTTGAGCAATTTCTGATTAGCAAAAGTCTAAAGAGAGCTAGTGGATCAGCCTGCACAAAGCATTTGGAAGTGTGTATTCACATTCACTGATATCAAATGCATTATCCTGGAGGCAAGCTAGTGAAAACATCAGTGGGACTGAAGTGGGTTAAAAAAGAAAAACCTTTCAGAGATAAAAGCATCTTTAAAGTTTTCTGGAAAATTTAGTTACTGTCTATTGTACTTGAAACAAAATGAGAGTTAAAAATATTTCTGCCCCGAATCCCTATGGGACACCCATTACATTATATTGCAAAGTTTTATTGAATGAACTCCCAAGTGAATGTGGGTGGACCCAGATAATGACATCTCTTCATAGGTCACAAGGAGGTGAGAAGCAATTCTTGAATTTCAGAACTTCAGCAAAGTGTAGTCTAAATTGGAGTGGCCCAACACAGCAGGTTTGAGAGTAAATCTAAACAGGTCACCTCCTATACCAGTCTGTAGTTTAAAAATCCCACTAGGGGCAGATGAGTCAATTGCTTGAAACCTCTCATGTGGCTAGTGGTGTTTTGGGCCTTGCTGGAAGGTCTCTGAGTTTTACCTGCCTGATCTTTTTCGGCAGACCTAGAATCTTCCTTTCCCCCCATCTTCCTCCTTCTCCTCCATGTATCCCATCCTGGTGTTGTGACCTGAGTCTACTCTGCTCTCCAGCCAAGGCCCAAACTTCAGGACCTTGACTCTGGGTTCTATTCCTGTGACTGATGTACTTTCCACTACCAAGAGATTGGGTAGGAGTTTGGATAGAGTTTCATATGTATTTGCAATTAGATGTTGTAACAACATGTATTAATAAAACACGCTCTATATAGAAATAAAATGAAGAAGACATGTACATTTTATTATTAGATATTGCATGAGACAGTTAAAAATAATGAGATCCCACAAAAAACATGCTGGCTGAGGTGGCTCACTCTTGTAATCCCAGCACTTTGGGAGGCAAAGGTGGCAGGATCGCTCAAGCCCAGGAGTTTGAGACCAACCTGGGTAACATAGTGAAATCCCATCTCTACAAAAAATAAAAAATTAGCCAGGTGTGGTGGTGCATGCCTGTAGTCCCGGTTACTTGGGAGACTGAGGTTGGAGGATCACTTGAGCCCAGGAGGTCGAGGCTGCAGTGAGCTGTGATTGTACCACTACATTCCAGCCTGGGCAACAGAATGAGACCCTATCTCAAATAAATAAATAAATAAATAAATAAATAAATAAATAAATAAATTTGGCCTATGAATGGCTCTCATGCTTGTTAAAAAAAATAGATTCCTGTGCCTGTAATCCCAGCACTTTGGGAGGCTGAGGTGAGAGGATTGCTTGAGGCCAGGAGTTCAAGGCTGCAGTAAGTCATGATTGCAACATTGCACTCCAGCCTGGGTTATAGAGCAAGACCCTGCCTTGCTCTAAAAAAACAAAAAATAGATTTCTGAGCCCCACCCCCAGATTGGCGACATCAGTGGGGAGAACCAAGAAAGCATTTTTAAGGAGCATGGTAGTGCTTCTTAGGTAAGTCCACTTTGAAAAACGAAGCAAAAAGTGTTCCTTTAATTTTTCCATTTCAATGTTATGTAAATTACTATCCTCAGCTAGTCATTAGTAGATACTATGCACAAGTGAAGAGAACAAAAAAGTGATGCAGTATAGACGGGCTATGTATTTCTCCTTTGTGCCTTGTAAATAACCTCCTTTAGCTACTACATGAGCACAAGCAATGGACAAAGCTTTTTAGGTGGTCTGAGGAAAATCAGGAGTTTTCAACTGGTATATATTATTATAGCAAGGAAAGAGAAAATACATTATTTTTTCTACCCTGGCATTTATGTTTGACTAGGTATTAGCTAAAATAAGCAATTTGTTTTTGGTTGGGGGGTAGAATATAGCTTTTTGATTACCTAGAGTTTGTTCTTTTAGAGATAGACTGCTGGGGAGGTAAGATCTTATCTGTGGTAAAGAATGTATCTGAACAAAGAGCAAAATGAAATTCTAAGTTGTCTCCTAGCTACTGATCTTAGCTGGCATCTGAGAAATTCTGTAAATGACACTGGCCCCCATGCACTGACCCTGATATGCTAGCATGCGGAACATCAAAGGGGTGTGTGCACGCACACTAAAGGGGAAAAAACTCTTAAACCCTAAGGGGTTGAGTTCTATTTTTGAAAAACAACTTTGATGAAAAGCCCATAAAATTACGTAAAACTGGGATCATTTAAAAGTTGGGAAAAACTATCCCTGGTTGTCCTAATTTCAAATAATGACTTTTTTTTTTCATGCTAAACATACAGCCTATGGGATTCTGGGTTTCTGTCCCCCTCCAAATAAAGTAGAAAACAGATTCTCTTACCTTTTTTTTTTTTTTCTTGTTCTTGGCTTCTAAAGCTCTGCTTGTTAAGTGAACTTCTGAGCTTATGAGAAAGATAAAAGCCTTTTTCATGTGAGGTAGAGGGGAAAGTGGTAGGGAACGACCAGGAAAATGTTATTACTAATAACCTGCCCAAATTAGGTAAGCACAGGGGGTGAACGAAAAGATCTGATAATTATTTTTTTCTAAGTAAAAATTTAATGGCTGCAAAGGGAAAGACCAATGAATTGAATGGGCAGTGAGTCTAGCTCCTAACTCGCATTTAAGAAATGTTTTATAATGATGGCGGTTGCCTACGTGAATGCCCGCCCACTGCAAGAATGAAAGTGAATGAAAGTGAATGAAATCCCTTAGAAGACCTTTGATCAGGCGCTATTCCCTGACAGAAGTCAGCTTGCACCGAGAAAGAAACAATCCATCCTGATGAGGGTAGGGTGATGGCTACCAATACTCAATTAGACAAAAGGTGACACCCAGGGGTTTATAATTCTCGAGGCGCCCCAATTAATTTATGTAGCTGCTAGTGTGTGTCAAGCTGAGGTGGGAGTTAAAATTTTTTTAAATGTATTTCTTCTCAATAGTATTCATATTTATTAATGTTCATTTGGTAATGTTATTCCCCTGCAGAGAAAAGGAAACGTGTTCATCTTAGCATTTTTGCCTACTTCCTCTTCCTTTTCTCCTTGTTTTAATTAACAATTGCTCAGTGCCCTGAGGGCTGTCATTAATTAAAAGATTTTTTTAAAAAAAAATCCTTCAGGAATAAGAAGAACTGATATTTTCTTCTTTTTAAACATGAAAGTGGTTTTAAGATTTATTTTGTAGTGAGTTTCTCTCTTTTAATGTTCCTCTCCTTGTGATTACACGTATTTCCAAAAGATTCAGTTGTTTTTATGCAACTATAGGAGTTTTCAATATAGGAAATAAAATCTCTTGATGTTTTATTAATTCATGCTTTCCTTAGGGTTTGGTAAAAGAGCTTTTACACCATGGGAATGATGCTTTAATAGAAAAGAATATAAACATTAGTAACTCTTATAATTGGGAAAATGCACGGTTTGGTAGTTTCTTTTTTCCATTGTTTAAGAAAAAGGTAAAGATGTGCTTGGGAGTAAAAGAATTCACTGATGAAGGCAGATGGAGGAGATAAGTAGTAAGTATGTATGCCTTGAAGCCATCAGGCTGTGACTTACACTATCTAATTACTATTTTGACCACTGATAGAATTTTTTCTCCCTTTAGTCTACGAAAAAACAGATTAAATAAGAGACTATAAAGGGACTAAAATGATTCCAAAGGTGGCTTAATGAAAAAAGAATAAAATGTTCTGCAGTTTTATGGAAGGTTATAAACCTTATGAAGTGAGCCGTTTTCTGATGATAAAATGCTGCTGGAAAGGCGGTCCAGAACCTTCCCCGACACAGGAGAACAGTCTCTTTCAGTACCAAGGTCATCAGGAGAGGCTTACAAATATTTTATCACTGCTCAAATCCCTTTTGTTGCAGTTTCTGAACTCCACTTCTCATGTTAAAATATCAATGCAAACCGTAGGAATTAATTTAAAAAATAATTTGTGTTTGAATTGAATTATAAAAGCCAGTTTGTCTTTATTGAGGCCTCTTGGTGGGAAATCCTTAGTGAATCGGTAGGTTTTTTCTTCAGTTCCTCTTCTCCTTAGCCTTTTTCGGGATGTGATAAACCCACACTCCAACCTTTTTCAGCAACACCAGCAGACACACACTTTTCAGTGCAGTCATTTCTAGTTAATTATCCGTCAACTCCGCTCAGCACATTCCTCTCCTTTTCCAAATGTGGGCCACTGCATGGCTCCCTATTGGCCCACTCTGATCTCCTCTCTCTATAGTCTATTCTTCAAAAACTTTGGCCACAAATGATTATTTGGTCAACGCTGTGGCAAATAATCCTAAATACAAATAATTAATCCTGAATTTGTGCACTTCTTGACCTTTTGATTTAAAATACCTTTAAAATCATGAAAGCAAGGCTGGGCGTGGTGGCTCACGCCTATAATCCCAGCACCTTGGGAGGCCGAGGTGGGCAGATCACTTGAGGTCAGCAGTTTGAGACCAGCCTGACCAACGTGGTGAAACCCCATCTCTACTAAAAATACAAAAAAAAAAAAAAAAAAAAAAAAAGCCAGGTGTGGTGGTGTGCACCTGTGATCCCAGCGACTCAGGAGGCTGAGACAGGAGAATCACTTGAACCTGGGAGGCGGAGGTTGCAGTGATATGAGATCATGCCACTGCACTCCAGCCTGGGTGACAGAGCTAGACTCTGTCTCAAAAAAAAAAAAAGTTATGTTTACACTATACTATAGTCTAAAAGTGTGCAATAGCATTATATCTAAAAAAGCAATATATAGACCTTAATGAAAATGCATTATTGCTAAAAATGCCAATGATCATCTGTGCCTTCAGTAAGTCACAATCTTTTAGCTGGTGGAGATCTTGCTTCGATGAGTCCCTGTCACCCAGGCTGGAGTGCAGTGGCGCGATCTCGGCTCACTGCAACCTCCTCCTCCTGGGCTCAAGTGATTCTTCTCCTGAGTAGCTGGGACTACAGGCATGCGCCACCACGCCCAGCTAATTTTTCTATTTTTGTAGAGATGAGGTTTCACCATGTTGGCCAGGCTAGTCTTGAACTCCTGACTTCAAGTGATCCATACGCCTCAGCCTCCCAAAGTGCTGGGATTATAGGCATGAGCCACTGCGCCCGGCCGACAATTTCTTAAAGTAAGACAGCAATGAAGTTGCTGCATTGATGGACTCTTCCTTTCACAGAAGATCTCTCTGTAGCATCTGATGCTGTTTGATAGCATTTTACTCACGATAGAACTTCTCTTGAAATTGGAGTCAATCTTCTGAAACCTTGCTCCTGCTTTTAAACTAAGTTTATGGAATGTTCTAAATACTTTGTTGTCATCTCAACAATGTTCACAGCATCTTCACCAAGAGTAGATTCCATCTCAAGAAAACACTTTCTGGCCAGGCATGGTAGCTCACAGCTGTTATCCCAGCACTTTGGGAGGCTGAGGCAGGAGGATCACTTGAGCCCAGGAGTTCACGTCCAGACTGGGCAACATGGTGAAACCCCCGTCTCTACAAAAAAATACAAAAATTAGCTGGGTGTGGTGGCACGTGCCTGTACCAGTTACTCAGGAGGCTGAGGTGGAAGGATCACCTGAGCCTGGGGAAGTTGAGGCTGCAGTGAGTTGTGATCACACCATTGCACTCCAGCCTGGGTGACAGAGTGAGACACTGTCTTAAAAAAACAAAACAAAACCAAAAAACACTTTCTTTGCTCTTCCATAAGAAACAATTTATCCATTCAAGTTCGATCGTGAGATTGCAGCAACTCAGTCTTGTCTTTAGACTCCACTTCTAATTCTAGTTCTCTTGCTGTTTCCACCACATCTGCAGTTACTTCCTCCAGTGAAGTCTTGACCCCTCAAAGTCATCCAGGAGGGTTGGTATCAACTTCTTCCAAATTCCTGTCAATGTTGATATTTTGACCTTCTTTCATAAATCACAAATGTTCTTAATGGCATCTGGAATGATAAATCCTTTCCAGAAGGTTTTCAATGTACTTTGCCCTGATCCATCAGAGGAATTACTATCTATGGTAGGTTAGCCTTACAAAATGTATTTCTTAAATAATAGAGCTTGAAAGTTAAAATTATTCCTCGATCCATGGGCTGTAGAATGGATGTTGTGTTAGCAGGCATGAAAACAACATTCATCTCCTTGTACATCTCCATCAGAGCTCTTGGGTGACCAGGTGCATTGTCAATAAGGAGTAACCTTTAAAAGGAATCATTTTTTTTTTTTTTCTGAGAAATGGTCTCAATAGTGGGCTTAAAATATTCAGTAAGCCATGCTGTAAACAGATGTGCTGTCATCTAGGCTTTGTTGTTCTTTTTGTGGAGCACAGGCAGAGTAGATTTGGCATCATCCTGAAAGGTTCTAGGATTTTTGGAATAATCAATGGGCATTGGCTTCAACTTCAAGACACCAACTGCGTTAGCCCCTAACAAGACAGGCAGCCTGTCCTTCGAAGCTTTGAAGCCAGGCATTGACTTCTTCTCTCTAGCTATGCAAGTCTTACATGGTATCTTTTCCCAAGAGAAGCCTGTTTCATTGCAGGCACCTGTAGCCCCAGCTACTTGGGAGGCTGAGGCAGGAGAAATGGCGTGAACCCGGGAGATGGGGCTTGCAGTGAGCTGAGATTGTGCCACTGCACTCCAGCCTGGGCGACAGAGGGAGACTGCCTCTCAAAAAAAAAAAAAAAAAAAAAAAAAAAAAAAAAAAAAAAAAAAAAAAGAAGAAGAAGAAGAAGAAGCCTGGTTAATTATAGGGTAAATCTGTTGTTTTGCATAGCCACCTTCATCAATGATCTTAGCTAGATTTTCTGGAGAACTTGCTGCAGCTTCTACATCACCACTTGCTGCTTCACCTTGCATTTTTATGTTATGAAGATGGCTTCTTTCCTTAAACCTCATGAACCAACCTCTTTTAGCCTCAAACTGTTCTTCTACAGCTTCCTTACCTCTCTCAGCCTTTACAGAGCTAAAGAGAGTTAAGGTCTTGCTCTGGATTAGGCTTTGGCTTAAGGGAATGTTGTGGCTGGTTTGATCTTCTACCCAGATAACTAAAACTTCTTCTATATCCACAAAAAGGCTGATCCACTTTTAATCATTTGTGTGTTCACTGGAGTAGTACTTTTAACTTTCTTCAAAAACTCTTCCTTTTGCATTCACAATTTTGTTGTTGGGTACAAGAGGCCTAGCTTTTAGCCTATCTTGGCTTTTGAGATGCCTTCCTCACTAAACTTAATCATCTCTAGCTTTCAGATTTAAAGTGAGAGACATGCTACTCTTTCTTTCACTTGAACACTTAGAGGCCATTGTAGGGTTATTAATTGGCCTAATTTCAATGTTGTTGTGTGTCAGGGAATAAGAAGGCCTGGAGAAAGGAGGCCTGGAGAAAGGGAGAGAGGCATGAGAATGACTAGTCACTGGAGAAGTAGGAGAACACACAGCATTCATGGATTAAGTTTGCTGTCTTATATGGGCATGGTTTGTGGTACCCCAAAACAATTACAATAGTAACATCAAAGATCACTGATCATAGATCACAGATACAATGAAAAAGTTTTAAATATTGGAAGAATTCCCAAAATGTGACAGAGACGTGAAGTGAGCACATACTGTTGGAAAAATGGTACCAAAAGACTTGCCCAATGCAGGGTTGCCACAAACCATCAATTTGTAAAAAAAAAAAAAAAAAAAAAAAACGCTCAATATCTGCTAAGCACGGTAAAGTGAAGCACAATAAAATGAAGTATGCCTATAAATTATTAGTTCTTTATGATAGTGTCTCAAAGTAGAATTACTAGTTTAAAGTTTGTGAACACACACATCTAGATTAAGATACAGACATCTTACATATCTAATGTAGATCTTAAGATATATTGACAATGCCAACTTTTTGTTGCCAAAGTGGTGATGTTTGTTTTTTTCTGCTTTTTATTTTTAAATGATTTCAAACTTATAGAAAAATTATAAGAATCATACAATGGATACTATTTAATCATCTGATTTAAAAAACCTGGATACCCTTTGCCCAAAGATGCAATCAAGTTTTGCCAATTGGCTCAATCCCGTCCTTCATAGCAAAAGCACTGCTCCAGGATCCTGGGTTGCACCCAATTCCGGGTCTCTCTAGTCTCCTTCAGTCTGGATCAGTTCCTCAATCTCTACTTTATTTTCATCGTGAAGATTACATTATCAATATCAGTTTTAATGTCTCATCATCTTCTGAAGTGCAACAAATCCAAAACTAATATCAGCATCTTTCTCTGCAAATCAACTTTCCCACTGACCTCCTACTTTTTTATCATCCTTCTTCCAATATCCTAGGCTTAAAACTTTCCCTCTCCCTTAATCCACACATAATTATCAAATTGTTAAAGCATTATTATTCAATTGTGCTTCAATACATTTACTTGTACTTTCCCATTGGCACCTAAACTCAACGTGTCCATCACTCAACTCATCAGCTTCTTTCTAAAACCTCCTCCTCAGCTTCCTATCTGCATGAGTAACCTCTTCATGGCACCAACATTGGCCAAGTGTGCCAGCGTAGCATGAGGAAAGACAGGCAGCTGGAAAGGACCTGACCCTGTGTGCTAGAAGAATAGGTAGGAATAGAAGAGGGAGGGCATAAAGTGTGAATAAGCCCTTAAATGCTATGCTACATAATCCAATTTTATTCATGTCTTCTTTCTGGACTATATTGTGGGCATTTTAAGGCTCTAGCAATTTAAAAATCTGCTTTAGCATGTGATCGCTAATAAGCTTTTTATATACAGAGAGGACTAAATAAAAGTTTGTTGATATATAAAGTTGATAAATTACATTGAGACTTAAAGTCTTTGAGAGTTCATACTCTACCGTGAATTGCTTTCTTCTCTAAATGTGGCATGAATATATTGAACCATCTGATTTTAAAAACATGGGAAATCATCGCACCTTCCCTCTAAACAGCAGTAGAAAGACTGTGTATACTAATTTAGCAAACATTAGTATACATAGATTTTGCAGAAAAGAAACATTCAGCAAATACTTATTGAGGGCCTGGTACACACACACACACACACACACATGTATATATACACATACATATTTATAGACAAATATAATTGATGTATTATTTAATTAAGGAAGTGATAACCATTTGGGAATAAAAGTATGAAAACATATATCCTCAATTAAATAGAGTACCTTTTAAAATGATAAGCATATTGGCTTAATTTTTTTTCACAGTCTTTTAAAAACTGGGTTTCCAGTTTTCATAAGCCAATAAGGAAAGCTAGCGGTTGTGCTCTTGGAGAGGAAAAGCATGTTTTTGGCTGGCAGTGTGTGTGGTTGCAAATGCATAAATTCTGTATCTAATATCTGGCTTCCCATTCCTGTTCTGCCACTTGCTAACTGTGTGATGGGGCGAGATGGGTCCTCCAGACCCCAGCTTCTTCATTTGTAAAATGGGGGAATGATGATAGTTCCCACCTTATAGTGTTATTGCATTAAATGAATTAATACACATGAAGAGTTCATAACAAATGGTGAAGATGGATGATGCCCTCCCGAGGATTCTTTGAGTTGCAATAATCTTATTTAAATCCAGTCAATCCTGATTATTAATATATTTACTGATTCAATTAACATTCACTGTAGTTCAGTAAGCTAGGAGCAGTGATGGGTAAGACATAGTTCCCACCATCAAAGGATATCATATTATAAAAATTGAAGAATCAAAATAATACTGTTGGGTAAGGATGAGACACTTCGCTTCTCTTCCCAGCTTTCTATCTCAGCTCATAAGAGAAAACATCCATCCTTGCATGGCTCAGTGGATTCTTGGATGAATCCCTCACAGCCAGCTCTTTACTTTAGTTCTGAACTAGTTCTCATGGGAGAGGAGCTGCTTATCTGATTAAATCTGTTATTTATGGGGCCATGTTTCCCCTAGTGATCAGTAATCCTGCACAGAAATATAATGGGTATCTCTGGGCTCAGTTCAGCCTGATATTGGACAGGTGAGCATGCCCATATATTTAGGTTCTTTTTCTTTCTCTCTGCTGTCCTTGGGCTCACCTTTTCCCTCTCCCTCCACCCACCAACTCTCTGAACATGAGAGTGTATGTGCCTATACACCTTCTCCCACACATGAGCATAGGATCCCAAGGTCTAGATTTTGGATGGGACATAAGAGACTCCATTCCTTCTTTGTCCCAAATTATGCCTGCCATCCAGCTTTCCCTTGGATTTTCAGGGAACTATTCAGATACTGATAAAATTTACACTGGATTTCTTATTCGATTATTGATCCTTTTGTAGGTGTTCTTTGGCAGAGAACCCTGTAGGTAAGAAGAACAAGTGCCAGGATTTGGATATCCTGAACACCTAAAAATGTGTTATGTAAACTTTTTCTACAAGACATTTTATCTCCTAAAAACAAAACTCTCTTAAATTATAATCCTCCAATTGCTCTGTTTCTTTAGTCATCTTTATCTTGGATGATATCTACATAAATTGTCTCAATTTCTCTCCTCCTTCTCCTCCTCCTCTTCCTTTTAGTTTTGTATTTTAGTTCTGGAAGCCAATCTGTGAGATAATCTACTCAGTCTCTCTGTAGCTGAGGAAACAGGAACAGAGTGGTTAAATACTTAATTAGCCTGTAATCTCAGCACTTTGGGAGGCTGAGGGCAGGTGGATCACCTGAGGTCAGGAGTTCAAAACCAGCCTGGCCAACACGATGAAACCCTGTTTCTACTAAAAATACAAAAAAATTAGCCAGGTGTGGTGTTGTGTGTCTATAGTCCCAGCTACTCGGGAGGCTGAGGCAGGAGAATCACTTGAACCTGGGAGGCAGAGTTTGTAGCAAACCGAGATCGCGCCACTGCACTCCAGCCTGGGTGACAGAGCGAGACTCCATCTCAAAAAAATCAAAATCAAAATAAAATAAAATAAAATAAAATAAAATAAAAATTTAATTAAGGACATGCAGCTAGTTAACAGCTAAGCTGGAACTTGAGTCCAGATTTGCAGACTTCATGTACTGTTCTTCCCATCAGACTATGTTATCTTCTAATTTCCGACTCCATCTTTGACACATTTCAGTTTTCATCCCAGCTACATCAACAATATTGTCTCAGTTTTACCCCCTCCTCTATGAGCCCTGCTGCCATTGTCTTAACTCAGGCCTTCACCATCTCCCATTTTCATCTCTTTCCTCCAATCTTTCCGACATGGGGCTGCTAGAGTCAGTTCCCTAAAACAAAATACGAACTTACTAGTCTTCTGGTTTATAGACCTGCAATGCTCTTTATTGCCCCCTGGATTGGCTCCAAATTCCTTGGGATGGCATTCTAGCCGGAAGCTATCATTTTAGACTCATTTCTTGCCACTCTTTCTCCACCTTTCCAACTTCCCTACCCCCATAGTGCCTGTGCCTTGGCAACAGACTGGTCCCCAATTACAGTATGCCCATGCCTATTTCTCACATTCTTAAAAATTGAACTAAACTCTGATCAATGCAAACGTTATCTAACTATCTGAGTCAGACCAATCACTCTCTTAACAGTAATTTTATCACACCTAGTCATGCCATTGATGGCATTTCTTGCATGATGTGATTTTCATTTGGATCCATGCTTTCCCCACTAGGCCATGAGCACCTAGAGAGCAGGGACTAGTGTTCTCTTCCTCCTTATGTTTCCAGGGCCTAGCCCTGATTTGTTAGTTCTAACAGTTTTTTGGGGCATCTTTAGGGTTTTCTATATATAAGATCATGTCATCTGCAAACAGATAATTTTACTTCTTCATTTCTAATCTGAATGCCTTTTATTTCTTTCCTATCTAATTGCTCTGGCTAGGACTTTCAGTGCTCTGTTGAATAGACATGAGAGTGGCTATCCTCGTCTTGTTCCTGATGTTAGAAGAAACGGTTTCAACTTTTCACCATTGAGGATGATGGTAGCTGTGGGTTTAACACACATGGCCTTTATTATGTTGAGGTCTATTCCTTTTTATACCTAGTTTGTTGAGAGTTTTTATCAGGAAAGAGTGTTAAATTTTGTCAAATGATTTTTCTGTGACTATTAAGATGGACATACGATTTTTATTCTTCACACTGCTTATGTTGTGTATCACATTTATTGACATGTCTATGTTGAATCATGCTTGCATCCCAGGGACAAACCTCAATTGATTATGGTGTATGATTCTTTCATATACTGTTGAATTTGGCTTGCTATTATTTTGTTAAGGATTTTTGCATCCATGTTCATCAGGGATATTGGCCTGCAGTTTTCTTTTTTTGTAGTGTTCTTGTCTGTCTTTGGTAATGCTGACCTTGTAAAATGCGTTTGGAAGTGTTCCCATTCTCCTCAATTTTTTTGAAGAGTTTGAGAAGACTTGCTATTACTTATTCTTTAAATGTTTGAAAGAATTCAGTAGTGAAGCCACCTGGTCCTCACTTTTTCTTTTTTGAGAGATTTTTGATTGGTGATTTAACCTCCTTATTAGTGGTACCTTCAGATTTTCTATTTCTTCATGATTCATTCTCGATAGGATGTATGTATCTAGGAATTCATTCATTTCTTCTAGGTTATCCAATTTGCTTATATATAGTTGTTCATAGTAGTCTCTTATCCTTTGTATTTCTGTGATATCAGTTGTAATCTCTCCTCTTTTCTTACTTTATGTATTTGAGACTTTTCTTATTTTTTTCTTAGTCTAGCTAACGGCTTGTCAATTCTGTTTTTCAAAACATGTCAATTCTGTTTTTCAAAACACCAATTGTTAGTTTTCTTGACCTTTTCTATTGTTTTTCTAGTCTTTATTTATTTCTGCTCCAATCTTTGTTATTTTCTTCTTTCTGCTAACTTTGGGCTTAGTTTGTTCTTCTTTCTCTGGTTTCTTAAAGTTAGGTTGTTATTTGAGATCTTTCTTTTTGCTTAATGTAGGTGTTTATTACAATAATCTTCCCTTTTAGAACTGCTTTTGCCTCATCTCATAAGTTTTGGTATGTTAAGTTTCTATTTTCATTTGGTTCAATTTTTAAAAAATTTTCTTTCAATTTCTTCTTTTACTCATTGGTTGTTCAGAAATATGTTGTTTACTTTCCTTATATTTGTGAATTTTCCAGTTTTCCTCCTGTTATTGATTTCTAGTTTCTTACTTTTGTGGTTGGAAGAGATAATTGTTATGATTTCAATATTTTTGAGTTTGTTAAGGCTTCTTTTGTAGACTAATATATTGCTATAAACTGAAAGTTTATGCCTCCCTACATTTCACATGTTAAAATGTAATAATCAATACATTTTATGATATGATATGATAATTAGGAGCCAGGGCCTTTTGGAGGTGACTAGGTCATGAGGTGGAGCCCTCATGAATGGGATTAGTGTCCTTATATAAGAAGCTCTTGCCCCTTCCATTAGTGAGGACAGCTGTCCATGAGCCAATAAGCGGACCCTCACTAGACAGTAAATCTTCTGCCACCTTTATCTTGAACTTCCCAGCCTCCAGAACTGTGAGAAATACATTTCTGTTGTTTAAAAGCCATTTAGTTTATGGCATTTTGTTATAGCAGCCCAAAAGGGCTAAGACACATATAAGGATCCTGGAGAATGTTCTATGTGTGCTTGACATGCATGTGTACTCTGATGCTGTTAGATGAAATGTTCTGTATATGTATGTTCAGTCCATTTGGTCTAAAGTATAGTTGAAGTCCAATGTTTCCTTATTAATTTTTTTGACTGCATGATCTTCCCATTGTTGAAAGTGGGGTATTGAAGTCCTCTACTATTATTGTATTGCTTTCTATTTCTCCCTTCAGATACATTAAAACTGCTTTTATATTTAGATGCTCTGATGTTAGATGTATATAAACTTATTATATCCTCTTGATGAAATTATCCCTTTATTATTATATATCGACCTTCTTGGTTTCTTGTTTCAATTTTTGACTTAAGCTCTTTTTTGTCTGATATTAGTATAGTTACCCTGTTCTCTTTTGGTTTCCATTTGCATGGAGTATCTTTTCCTATTCCTTCACATAAACCTAGGTGTAACTTGAAGTTAGAGTGAGTCTCTTCTAGGTAGCAGATTAAAAAAAAAAATCCATTTAGCCATTCTTTGTCTTTCAAATGGAGAATTTAGCTCATTTACACTTAAAGTAATTATTGATATGAAAAGACTTACTACTGACATTTTAGTAATCCTTTTCTGACTGTTTTGTAGTTCTTACTTATATTCCTTTCTTCTTCTCTTGCTATTTTCCTTTGTGATTTGATGATTTTTTAAAAAAATACTGTATGTTTTGATTATCTTTATATTTTGTGGTCTACTATAGGTTTTTGTTTCGTGGTTACCATGGGGCTTGCATATAACATATTATAGTTATAAAGTGTATTTTAAGCTTATAACAACTTAACTTCAATTGCATACAACAACTCTCCACTTTTACTTTCTCATTTTATGTTTTTAATGTCAGACTTTACTTCTTTTTATATTGTGTATCCATTAACAAATTATTGTAGCTATAGTTATTTTTAATACTTTTGTATTTTAACTGTTATACTAGAGCTAAAAGTGATTTATACATCATCATTACAGTATTAGAGTATTCTGAATTTGACTGTACTTACTTACTCTTACTTACCTTGACCAATGATGTTATTAATTAGTGTCTTCTCATTTCAGCTTGAAGAACTCCCTTTATCATTTTTTGTAAGTCAAGTCTAGTGGTGATGAACTCCTTCAGCTTTTGTTTGTCTGGAAAAATGTTTATTTTTCCTTCATTTCTGAAGGACAGCTTTGCTAGATAAAGTATTTCTGGTTGGCATTTTTTTTTCTTTTAGCACTTTGACTATATCATCCCACTCTTTCCTGGTCTGCTGGGGTTTCTGCTAAGAAATCTTCTGACAGTCTAATGAAGGTCTCCTTGCATGTGATAGGTCTCTTTTCATACTACTTTCAAAATCCATCATCTTTGCTTTTTGACATTTGATTATAATATGTCTTGGTGAAGTTTTTTTTGGCTTGAACCTGTTTGGGAACCTTTGGGCCTCATGTATCTGGATGTCCATATTTCACTGCACTTGGAAAAATTTTAGCTATGATTTCTTTAAATAAACTTATTTTCCTTCCTCTCTTTATTCTCATTTGGAGACTCCTATAATGCATATATTCTTTTGTTTGGTGGTGACTTGTAAATCCCATAAGCTTTCTTTGTTCAATTCTTTTTTCTTCTTTTCTCCTTTGACTGCATAATTTCAAGTGACCTGTCTTTGAGTCCACAAATTCTGTCTTTTGTTTGATCAAGTCTGTTGTTGCCTCTCTATTGCATTTTTTATTTCATTCATTGTGTCCAAGAGTTTGTTTAGTTAATTATTTCTGTTTCTTTGTTAAACTTCTTGGCTGGGTGTGGTGGCTCATGCCTGTAATCCCAGCACTTTGGGAGGCCAAGGCGGGTGGATCACTTGAGGTCAGGAGTTTGCGACCAGTCTGACCAACATGGTGAAACCCTGTCTCTACTAAAAATACAAAAATTAGCCAAGCGTGGTGGTGGGCACCTGTAATCCCAGCTACTTGGGAGGCTGAGGCAGGAGAATCGCTTGAACCTGGGAGGAGGAGGTTGCAGTGAGCTGAGATCATGCTACTGCATTCCAGCCTGGGTTACAGAGTGAGACTCTATCTCCGAAAAAACAAAACAAAACAAAGCTTCTCATTTTGCTTATGTACTTTTTCTGATTTTTTTTTTTAGTTGTCTGTGCTTCTCTTATAGCTCACTGAGCCTTCTTTAAACAATGATTTTTGAATACTACTGTCAAGCAATTCATAAATCTTCCTTTCTTTGGGGTTAGTTATGGGAAATTTATTGTGTTCCATTGATGATATCATGTTTCCTTAGTTTTTCATGTTCCTTGAAGTTTTGTACTGCTGTCTTTGCATTTAAATAAGCAGTCACTTCCTCTAATTCTTACTGACTGGCTTAGGGAGAGAAATAACTTGGCCAGTCAGCCCAGCTAGGTATTCTCTGGATCCCTCCCTCCCTTCCTTCCTTTTCGCTTTCTTCCTTCCTTTCTGTGTCTCTCTCTTTCTTCGTTTCTCTCTCTTTCTTCCTCTCTCTGTCTCTCTCTTTCTTGTGAAAAGGCCTTGCACTGTTGCCCAGGCTGGAGTGCAGTGGTGTAATCATGGCTCACTGCAGCCTTGACCTCCTGGGCTCAAGCAATCCTCATGCCTCAGCCTCTGGAGTAGCTGGAACTATAGACACACACCACCACACCCAGTTAATTAAAAAAAACATTTTTTTGTAGATACAGGGTCTCAGTAGGTTGCTCAGGCTGGTCTCAAACTCTTGGGCTCAAGTGATCCTCCTGCCTTGGCTTTCCAAAATACCGAGATTACAGGCATGAACCACTGTACATAGTCTCAGACCTTTGCTATGGATGCATCCAACCCACTCTCATCTTCTCTTTCGTATCTTAAGATTGTATGCCTTCTCACAGTCTCACTGAGTCACAGTGGATGCTCAGTGCCTCTGCTTTTTTCCTCAGGGTGATGCCCTAGGGAAAAAAATGCTCAAGTTTATGTGCCTTCTCCCAGTCTTGCAGAGGCAAGCTGGCTGATTGTGCAGGCTCCCAAGCCATCTGCAAAGGCTCACACTCACTGTGCATTGGGAGGAAGACTGGAGGGGATGAGAGGGAAATGCACAGGGATCCAGTCACAGAGTGTGTGTGAAGGTGAGCCATGACAAACATTGGAAGTCCTCATGGGGACATTTGGAGTGGGTGTGCTGTTGAGGCATCCCAAATGGCTTTTAAGTGGACTACCTGATGGAATCTGAGAAGACGGTTAGTAGGTTACATGGCCCTTTGTTGAGTTTCCTGGTTAGTTGCTGTGAATCCCTTCCTCTCTTCCCTGCTCCCAGGCTCCCCCAGCTACTCAGTTATGCTGATTTTTTTTCAGTATTCTGGGTGGGGCAAGAAAGAGATAGGCCTCTTGAGTGCATCCTGCACAGCTGGGAAGGCCGGGAGCTCATTCACTATGCTTTTTACTTCCCTTCATGGGAGAAACTTGTGGACCACGTGGGTCTCTCTTGTCACTGACCTATGCCAAATTGGGGGAGGAGTAATGTGGGTAAAATGAAACTGTTCTTCTTACCTTCTTCAGTGCATCACTTCTTAGATTTTTGGTCCAAGAACATGCTGAAGCTTCTCTGGACTCTCAGACTCCCACAAAGTTAATCTTTTTCATGGGTGGCTGTCTAAATTGGTGCACTGTAGGGAGATGAGGGTAGAAAGCTCCTATATTCCTCCATTTTGCTGACATTACTCCTCTGGAACACTTGACATTACAAAGATGGCAATATGCTCTAAATTCCTCTACAGATTCAATGCAATCCTTATAAAAATACTGACTGCCTTTTTTTGCATAAAATAATAACCTGATCCTAAGATTTGTATAGAAATGCAAGGAACCCAAATAGCCAAAATAATCTTGAAAAAGAACAAAGATGAAGCACTCACACTTCCAAACTTTAAAACTTATTATAAAACTACAGTAATTAAGACTCTGTGATACTGACATAAGGATAGGCATATAAATCAATAGAATACAATTAAGAGTCCAGAAATAAGCCCATACATTTGTGGTTTATTGATTTCAACAAAGTGGTTATAATAGCCAAAAATTGAAAAAATCCAAATGTTCATCAACTTATTAAACAAAATGTGACATATCCACACAATGGAATTTTTTGACAACAAAAAGAAATGCAGTACTGATACATGCTATGACACAGATGAAACTCAAAGACATTATGCAAAGAGAAAGAAGCCAGTCACAAAATATCACATATTATATGACCCCATTTATATGACATGTCTGGAATAGGCAAATGTACAGAGAAAAGTAGGTTAGTCATTACCTAGGATTTGGGACTAAGTGAGGGGAGAATGGGCAGTGATTATTTTGGGGAGAGGATGATGAAATTGTTCTAAAATTAGGTTACAGTGACAGGTATGCAACTTTGCGAATATTCTAAAAACCTTTGAATTGTACACTTTAAAAAGGTGAACTTTATGGTATGTAGATTACAGTTCAATAAATCTGTTAAAAAGTTGAAAGAAGCATTTTCTTATCACTGATGTGTCCTAGGTAGGCATGGTTACTTCCCTGGCATTTATGGTTACTTTACTGCCATTTTCGGTTAATATGGTCAATTCAGATGGTTAAATGTTCCCCGTTCATACCTAACCCTCCATAACTATAAGAAAGGCATGACTACCCAGACATGAAAACTCTACACTCCACAGGATTCTCAACTTAGTCCACTAAAAAAAAGTTTAAGCTGCTCTTTATATTATCTTCATTTCCTGTAATGAAACACTTGTTTTATTCTAGCCAAACAACTCCTAGGTACTCATGAACTCCATTCATTTTCTTCTTTTCTCACTCTTGCTCTCACTCTCTTCTCCCCTTCAAAGTAATATCCATTTCCCAAGTATAGAAATCCAGTCTTTAAGAAAAGTTACTCTTATTTATTACTATGATGATGTCATCTCTACCCTCCTTAAATCTACCCTCCTTAGAAATACACTGAACATAAACTATATGCCAGACTCTGATTACCACTGAGGATCCAAAGACAAATGACACAAATTTCTGGCTGGAAGAAGCTTTCAATCTAAGTGACGTGACAGATACGTGTACATGCACTCAACGAGTATATGACAACATAAAACAATGCAACAGGTGCAGAAGAGGAGTATAATTACTTTCAATCAGAAGAGATGGAAAGGCCTCCAAATTCAAACAGATGTTTGTAAATCTGTCATACTGTCAGTTGACTTCAAAGCTTTACAAGATATCATGAATCAAATTCCAAAGTTAAAGAACAAAATATAGGACTTAATAGTTGATCCCTTTTCATAAATGGAACCTACTAGTTAATTTCATATTCATGTGGACCCTATAAATATTAATAGGATTAGGTTATAAGATGGGATTCCAATAAAAGGAACCAAAAGAATGTGAGGACGCTAAAAATGAAACTAACATTTTAAAGAGTGAGTATTTCTGAATCACAAAATGACACTCTTTTATAGCCAAAACCTCCAAATCAAATAAAAACCAAATCAAACCAAAACAAACAGTACTCTACCTCCAAATAGATAAATGTGGTGTTTCTTAAGGCTTGATCTTCTCACTGTCTACAGGATTCCTGTACAATTCATGGTCACTGTGACAGTGACCCTTTGAGCTACCCTCGAAGACACTGAGAACCAAGAAGGAAGATTGGCTGTATGGCGCCATGCTCGTAGGAACTTTGACTAGTTCTTTAGTTGATGGTGTCACTCCACACTCTCTGTTGCACATTTTGATGTGTACTTTGGCATTGCATGAATGGCTCTCTTCCAAAACCTGGAATCTTGAGTCAGTTTTTGAGCTTTTTCATGTATAAGGATCATCCTAACACAATAGACAAAACAAAGTGAGATGGAAAGCAAAGAGTTTCTTTTTTTGGGATCTGAGGTAGCAAATCCCCACTTCCTCATATGGCAAATGATGATACATCTCCTGGATTTTGCTCTCCACAGGACTTGACCTTAATTAGTCTCCTGGCCCTTGAGGATTTTCCTGAATCACCCATCACTCTTTCCACTTGAATCTATCTGGTGCAAGACACCTATTCTACTGATCTTTGCATCCACAAAGGGTGCCCATCATCATCTTCATTCTTAGTCAGATTCTTGGTCCCTTTTCTTCTTGCACAGCCTTGTTCAGCCCAGAATGACATCTCCCTCATAGGAATTTAACTTTCCAGTGTTCTGTTATGCGCTTGGTTCATGTCTGTTTAGTGAATGAATAAACCAATTCTATCATTTTTTAAAGAATTTATGTAAAGACAAATAGAATAGTTGTTCTCCAGTTCATTTATTAGTCAGCTGTCTGTCAGTTATATCACTATTCCTAGGACCCAAATAGAATGGGTAAAATTCCAACTTTAAAAACCTGCAGGATGAGAGAAAATGAAATCTGCTACTATCTTTTAATGTTTTTAAACTGATAGGTAATAAGAAAGTTACCAAAATCAGAATCAATCTAAAATATTTTTTTTCCTCTGGGAGTGATTGAAAGGGAGCATAAAAAGATGTCAGGCTGACAGATGGACTACTACTACTTCAGATCTGCAACTAGAAAACAAGGCCAGGCTGTGGATCTTGGTGTGAAATTGCAAGTCTTCTATCTATTTCAGGAGATCACACTGGAACAACTTTCCCAGTCATCCCCCACTTCTCTTACATACACAGCAGCTGTTATACTTGATGAGAGCTGCTCAAGGACAGTGCTAGAGTTAGATTCCTCCAGACTTTCCTTTACCCAACCATTTAAAAAAAGTGTAACAATTTACAAAAGCTGAGAGGCTTGTAAATATATGTTTCTCTATGGTAAAGAGGCAATCCCTAAGATTGGATTATATCGTTGAAAGTTACGATATTGAATACTGTCTTTAGCACCATCCAGCATCTCCTAGGATCATCTTTCCTCTGGGTGACCTCACTTCCTACATTCCTTTCTTCTGGGATAAATTGCTGCCTGTACTTAGACTGCCTGCCCCAGGCATTCTTTCATTTTCTGACCATTTCCATATGAGCCTCCTCCCATCAAAATTTATCTTTTATATTTCCTGACACCAATAAAAAGAGATATGCCAAGCCCAAGCTCAGACTGGGTTTAATATTTGAGAAACTGCTTTACGTATTTCTGCTCCAGAGTTATTTTCATTTAAACAGATGGCTACTGAAACATATTGCCTTAATGTAATATAATGTATGTAAGAGTAGAAATTTAGACTGTGCAGCAACATAATAGTGCCCCATTTCATTTCACACTACAGAGATGACTATTACCCCTATAAATAAAGCTGAGGTTGTGCTTTGATCCTCAAGAAAAAAAAAGCCTATATTCTACTTCGGTTGAGTCATTTATTATTCAAATGCTATTGTTTGACATTACTTTTCCTGGACACTATATTTTCTCACTCACCTTCACACTCACATGATTTTAAATATTTTAAATAACCTTTTATTTATAGTCTGTTTTTTGGTATGAAACATTTCCAATGAACATTTGCAATGTTTCATCATGAAACAATGAACCTAATAGCAAATTCCTATAATCTACTAACAAAACAGATCTAAACTTTTAAAAGCAATATTATCTTGTTTCGTTTTCTGAAGTCAACTAATTAAAAAGCCATCAAGAATGACGTGGCATCTTATCATCAAAGAGTCAAAAAGAGTATGGTTCCAGCTCCTTCCTGTTCATCAATTAGTGGTGTATCATTAGAAAATGATATCACTGTTCTGGGTCTCTAAACATTGAGAACTGGATTTAATAATTCCTGAAAATTTTTAGGTCCACCTTTCTCTGGATCTAAAAAGCTGTGGTCCAGCTTTCTCTTACAGACATAAACACACAATTTTTATTATTTTATTTAGACTATTTGTTATAGTATCATGGTTATCAGTTATGGCCTAAGTTTGGATTCTACCTTCACTACTTCCTACTTCTGCAAACTTGGGAAAATCACCAGGCTTCTCTAAGCTTCAGTGCCTTATTCATTAAAATGGTAAAATAGCACCTACTTCATGGGGCTATTACAATTTTAATATATGTAAAAGTACTTAGCTCAGTGTCTGGCACATAGCAGGCTTTCAATAAATGATAAGTCAAATAAATTTATGATGCCAAGAACACAACTGAATTTAATTATTTATAATTATTATTTAATTTTAAGTCCACATGTATTAAGCAAACATCCCAAAAGGTTGTTTTTCAAAATATTCTTTGGGGAAAAAAATCAGATGGTGGGATGTAGAGGAGGTGTTCCATTAAGTTGGGGAAGCTAGGTCTCCCTTTTTGAGATTTATAATGTTCATGGCATGTTAAAAGCTCTGATGAGCCCTAAAATATAGGAAAAAAATGCTAACTTGGCTTATCTCAGCATTTCTCAAACTTATTTCACTGGGTTACCCACCTCCCCCCAACCCAAATCTTAATAACTTCTCCAATAATTAGTGTTCTTGGACACACTTCAGGAAATGCTCTTTTGGTTTGTGATTCTTTTTCCTTCTTTTAATCTCATCTTCCTTTAGGATTGCTTCCTTAATTGATCAGTGGAAATTAGTATTGCTGGAATATTCAAGTACATATAAAAGTAGCTAAGCAAGATGGACGAACCTGATGATATGTTTTGTTCATGTTGACAAGGCCTAAAACACAGCCCAATCAATCAAAGTTCCTTGCACACTGAACACCAATTGCTAATTATGCTTGCAGTCAAATGTAGTGAGGAACTCCTTGACAGGACCACAGACTTAAGACTCACCCCCTACAAATATTGAGTATGATAGTATTTCACATAGCTCTTCATCCACAGAGATGCCCAAGATGGCTGGCGTCTATTTAGTTATTTCATTAAAGTATTCAACAGAGAACTACAGAAAGCAACTGGGAAACCATAGCCATTGAATTGATGTATGCGAGGTCGTCATTCTGGCATTGGCTCTGGATGATTGGTGTGGAAATTTGGCTAATCACATCAGATTTGGGATACCCACTTGATACCAAATAGCCACTAACTGGACTCACCAAACACTCAGAAAATTTCAAATCCCTTGTCTTTTAGGTATCCAGACCATCCAAGAATCTTGCTAGTTTATTTTTGTACCTTTTTCTAGACATACATTGTATTTCTGTACTAGTGATCCTAATTGTTACCAGAAACTTGGACTACAGAGACAGAAAATACTTTTTTTTTTAAAGTGAGAAAGAAACCTCATTTAAAAAAACCCATGAAAAACCAAAGTATAAAAACCAAAAATGACTCAGTGAGGGAAAGAAGACTAGTTCTGGGACTAAAAGCATTGAGTATTTCCTCCCAAAATAAATGTTTTAATGTTAATATGAATTATTATACATCTTTTATGGGGAAAAAACTTGACCTAAAGGAAAGAAGAAAGTCCAAAATTCTGTCATGTACAAACAATATACCCTGGAAACAAATAACTGTAACCCACAACTTAGCAAAATAACTCGGTAAAAATTATTCTTTTCCAATAATTCCAAGTAACCCACAAGGATTATTGGCTTTGGCATATGCTTATATTTTACAGGGAATCTCAGGAGAGGATTTCCAATAAATGCTTTCCATGGGTAAAATTTTTACACTAAAAATGCACATTAAAGTAAAACCTTATTTCTAATCACTCTTCAGTCTCAATATTCTACAGACACCAGTTTAAATTACTATTATGTTTTTACCAGTTGCTTAACGGAATTTTGTTCCATCAGAAAGGCACACAAATAAAAAAAATTGAAGTGACTCACACTACATCATAGCTGGAAACAACAAAACATTTTAAAGGTCTTTTGTATAATATATTGCAAGTCACCAGCTGTTTTTCTGATCCATAGAGTAAATCCTGCACTGAAAGACTGCTGCCCAGAAGGCATGAGCTGACATTGATTTGAATCCACCAGCTCTCCCAGTGGATCAGATGGCATCTCAGCACTGGAATCAGTATTGCTATCACATACTCATCTGTCGCCTCATGGGACAAGAGCTGCAAGAAATATGAAGGGAAATTGCTCCTGTTAAGGGATAGCTACACTTATTTCTGTTACAAAAAAGCCACCACCTATAATGTACATGTTAAAATGATGCCTAACTATGTAAAAGGAATCTATCCTTTCTGCCCAAATGTTAATAAGCTCAACAAAATAATGCATTATTTCTGCTTCCCAGCCCTGTTCATAGCCTTTCCTGGGGTTGAGCTAACCAAGTGATTGTCAAGGCTGCGTGAAAGTGATTTGTTCTCTTAGAAACTCACACTCAGTGATAATTCAGAGACACTGCCACTTTTTGTGCCTATTTCCATCCTTGTGAGCTTACTCACCAAAGCAAGGATCCTTGCATTTTTATTTATTCTCCAATTTCCAGGAGAGTTCTGTAATTTGAAAGACTGCAACCATTTTGGAGAAAGCAATTTCAAATTTGAACTCATTTTCTAAGCCAAAAATACGCTGGCTTTGCTTAATGGAAAGCAGTGCCATCCTCCTAAGAGTTCATTAGCCCTCTGCACTTTTGTTTCTTCACATGAACAGCAGGACATTGACTTCCAGTAAATGTTTGTGAAGCTCAGTGATGCAAAACAGCCTGACTTAAGTCTGGACTCACAGAAAAAGCACGGCCCTCAACCCCAAATCACACACATATCTACTTCCTCCATCCATTCATCCATTAATCCATCTATCCATCCAACAAATATTTATTGAATACCTGTTATGTACAGCATCTTCTGTCATAGAGCTTACCAGGTAGAAGGGAGGTGGGATTATTCATATGAAGCACACGAGGACCATAGTCCATGTTACCCTAAAAACACTGTGATTTGGTGATAATCACGGTTGCTGTTTTTAAAAGGCTTACTTTAATCCTAAGCTTTGTGCATACATTCTATGCCATGAAAATGCTCACAAACAACATCTTCAGTTTAAGACTATAAAATATATTTACAAAAGCAAAGATGACACTTGGCCTTTAAGATATACACTGTCAAACATCCTTAAACAGAAAAGTATTATAACAGAAGAATTCATAAATACATTTAATAATACAAAATATAGTATTACTAAATATAGTCATGGAAGCATAAAGAAAGATGATTGCATGATAAACTGTTGACCAAGTATTTTATTCAGAAAATAGTAAAACACATTCTTGTGGGTCTCAGACCATAAAAAAAGATGGCATTAAATGCAAAGCTTGTTTAGTACAAAATAAATTCAATCGTCACAGTAGCAAGCGCCCTTGGGGAATAACAGGTCATTAGAAGCTTTTAAGATTCTCATAACATATGACATTCCCTCAGGTCCCTTTCAATCCCAACTCGGCCCTAATCATTTTCTTTCTTTGGCTACTTTTTTATAAAGTCAGTAGGCTGCAGTATAATATATCTTGACATCATAACCTAAAATATCAGATCGGCTCAATTGTTATGCAAGTAATGTTGCTCTGCAAATGACTGCTGGGAGATGAGACGCTACCAAATGAAGAGGAAAATGCATGCCACGTCCACTCCCCGCTGTCTGTGGCTTAATCTGAAATAACATCTGTGAAGGAACGAACATGCGACACTCTGATCCAACAATGCATCTGATGTGCACAAGTATCTGTAATGAAATTTCTAGTACAAGGGAATCAGGACATAGAAGCTTCTGCCTCCACCATACTGTCACCACCCCAACTCTGCCCAACTCCCTCAGAAAAGGGAGCCTGGGAAGTCAGCTCCTTGCTGAAAGCAGCATTTCACATGGTTCACCCACATTAGGATTCCAACATCAGGAAAATTTGTCTCCCGTGGCGCAAAATTATTTAAACCTGCCATGGCCTCGAGAAGTCTGCTAACAAAACATTCATCTCTGTGCAACCTCCATTCAAACAAGGATTTAATTCAAAAAAGTACATTTGGTAATTAGTATCCATGAATAGTGATACTCATACTCTTTTGTTTCTTCCTTCTTTATGTATTACCTTGAGACACTGAAAACTGTAAAGAGGTTTGCAGATGATCACAGGAGTTGTTGGGCAACTGATTCCTGCTAAGAGATAAAATGATGGTGAAAGGATGTCAAAAAAACAGACTCTGGGAAATATCTCTCGATGCACATACCCAGAGCCTGCCTGTGTCAACTTTTAAGGATCTTCTATGGTAAAAACACTAAGACAACTCATATGTGTATACAGATGCAAAGATATCAGGAGTATTCCTTGGAGGTTTCCTATTTCCCCCAATCCTCAGCATGCACTGTCAAGATGCCTTTGGGCTTGAAAATGTGCCTATTATCAGCAACCACTCCCTGTATATTAATAAGAAGATTGAAGCTGCCTAACTGCTGAGCAAGGCTCAAATTAGTCACAGCATTATGTAAGCCCCCATTTTCATATTTAAAACATCATATTTCATAAAGTATCAGAAGCACCTGGTGCAGGGTGGGCACTCAATGAAATGATCATCATTTTTGAAGGGAAAAAGGATAGAAGATGGAGGCTAATGCAGTGTTTTATGCTGTAGCCATCACAGGATCCACATCCGAAGTACCATAAGAATGCTGGCCAACTCTGCTGTGTCTCAACAGGGGTTTTTGCAATGGTCAACCGCATCTCCATTAGTATCAAGCCAGCATAATAAAAGGGCATGAGAGTCACCTCCTAGAGAGGCTGTACCCTTGGCTCTTGTTTCAGGGAGTGAATGAAATAAATGAATGAAAGAATGAATAAGTAAATAATAGATGTTACTGTGACTCTTCCTTACAGCTGGCAAGAGGTGGGAGAGAGTAAGGAAGGTTTAAGGGCTAGCACATCCCTTCTGCCCACATTCCATTGGCTAGAACTCAAGAACACGAGGACCATAGTCCATGTGCCCAGGAGGAAATAAAAATGGGTTCGATGAATAGCCGGTCAGTCTCTGCCACTAGAAGCAAGGATTCAAACACCCAGCCACTCTGCTTGGTTCATGCCTCCAGCTCTCCTTAGACTCTGTACCCTATTGAGCTCCTGCTGCCTTCCTTGCACCACCAATTTGCAGCGTCTGTGAATAGTCTTGTCTCCTGGAAGACCAGAAGGGCCCTTCTAGCAGAGTCCTAGCCCATCAGTCTCAAGTCAGATTTCTTCCCAGTCCTACCCCATTTGGGTCCCTCGTTCACTAGGGCATGCTTGGCCCTATCTCCCTTGTTCTAGGTCATTGTAATTTCAATTCCATTTGCAGGGTCTGCGTCTTGCTCATGTGCCTTAATCCAGGCATTAGATTCTGGTACCCAGGTCCTCTGGGGTCAGGTCTGATCAGCCAGGAGCCCATCAGGAAATAGAAAGCACACTCAAACTGGGTAATGTGAGGAGTCCAACAAGGAGACCATCGACAAAGGTATGGAAAAGGTATAAGAGAAGGTAAGTAATACAGTACTGTACCTGGGGCTAGGTCAGAAGGGGCAAGAGGAGGAATAGGAAAAGGACCCCATGGGGAAGCTGTCTTATAGGAGACTGGAAGGCTGCAGCATGCTCATGGCAACCTCACGGCATCCTTCCTTTTGCCAATGGAAGCAGTAGGTGGCAGTGGAAGCAGCGACAGAGGATCAGAGGCAGAAGGAGAATTTATCCCTCTTCACTCTCCTTCCTCACTCCCCTTCTACCTCTAATCTGATCCTCTGTCACTGCTTCCATTGGCAAAAGGCAACCATAAGCCAGGGGGCAAAGGGGTCCTTTGATTCCATCCCAAACAGAGAGCAGGGTGAAGGCGTGTAGAGAGTAGATCTGGAGAAACAAACAGGAGCCACACAGTCCTCTGCCCTGGGTCTGAGCACTGAGGACCTCCTCTTGCAGCCCCTTTCCATGGCTAAGTTACCATGCCCAGCTGCCAGACCTACAGACAGAAAACCACCAACCTGCTGGGACTCCAAACAGGTGCTTCCAGACATCCCTCCCTAAGGCCATCTGCCTATTTACTTGAGACTCCTCCAGATCCCTAGTTAGAAGAAGAACAGTTCTGCAAGACAGGTCCATTTAATTTCTCAGGAAGCATGATGTAGTACAAAGATCACGGGTTCTGGGGTCAGGAAGACTTGGGTTCAAAATCCCCATTTGTCATTTTTAACTGCATGATGTTGGCCAATTGAGACTCTCTGAATCTCCTTAGTAATGTAAGACTAATGAAACCCATATTCCCAATTGGATAGGGTCATTCTGAGAATCAGATGAAGACTGAGTGAAAGCAATTTATAAACTTTACAACATTAGACAATGCTATAATGTGGTATAAAGGGTGGTATCACATGTCTTGAAGATGTGACCCTTACAATCAAATCAGGCACTGATGCAACACATTTTAAAGAGCACATAGTAATTTCTTTCCTTCATTTTATGAAAAGAATTTACCGATTTATTCTCATTACTATACCAGCATCCATATTGATAAACCTTGGCAGAATGTACAGTGTATTTTCCAGGATTCTTTAATTTGTCATTTTTAAAATTTCCTATCTAAACCGCTATGCCTATTCTGTTAATCCCAAACAGCATAATCAGAGCGCTATGGAAAGAAGTCTTTCAAGGAAATATCCTGAACCATCAGGCAGCAACATACATCATAATTACCAATTGGGACTCCATGCTCAAAGATGCTATGTGACTTTTCCTAAGTCCAAAGCTCTGTGTGACACCCCTGGGGTCAGAAGCTACTGATAGAGAATCCAGTGTTCTAGGATACTGTTTGTCCCCAGTAAGGAGAGTTTTCTTTCCTTAGTCTCCCTAAGACCCAACTCACATATCTTCTTCTAAGGCAAGGGGAGTGTTCGTAATGGCATGGTTTCCTCAAGTTAGAAGGACATCAAATTGTAAAAGCTGAGTTGGTATTCTTGAATGACAACAAAGGAAGAGGGAGATCAGAAATTCCTACTTCAGGGTGTTTCCCCTGCATTCAGCATGTGTTCAGAGATGACAAGAACATTAAGGTTTTTGATTTAAATTCTTTCTGAAATGGAAAAACAGGATTATGAAGAGAGATTTTTCAGAAAGTGAAGCCCCTTCAAACTCTCACCTTGCTGTGCTACAAAGTGCTTCCACCAGCATCTCTGCATCCCAGGAACTGAGCTGGAGGATGTCTGGTCAATTATTCTGCCCATCACTTGCCAACCCAGGATGGAGAGATTCTTAAATTCTTACCCAGTCTTGCTTTACTGAGATGGCTAATTTGTTTAGCAGTTATTTTGAGAATGCATGACTGTAGTAGGGGCTCATAAACTTTTTCTCCAGGGTGTCAACTGTCTTAGTTTCTTTCTCTTTAGTTCTTTTCAATTTTACCCTATCATTGCTTATCTATAAGTAAAGTTCCTTTTTGTAAGCCTCTTGGGGATACTCAAATACTCCATCCTTGTTACTCTGGACTGTCCTCTTTGGACTGTAACACAAATGTCTTTGCTTTCCTTTCTTCCCTTGGAGGTCAACACATTCTCTGTTCCTTTTGTTTCTACCTGGTTGTTCTTGAACAATGCTCTTACTTTTGCCCCCTCTTCCCCTACATGGAATGAATCTGAAGAGCCTCAATTTTTGCCTATCTTCATTTTCCTTCCACATGTTCTACCACAGCAATATCAACCTCCATCACTACCACATTCTCCTCTTTTTCTGTCTTCACTGGTCATGGATCACCTGCCCTCCAGTGGCATTTGCAGCCCCCATTGGGCTCCTGCTCTTAGAATAGTCCCCAAAGTGGAGGTGTGCAGGGACATCCACTGGGGTGCCTCTGTCGCTATTTCTTTATCTAGAAAAGGAAATAATTGAAAACTCAGAAATATTTTAAGTATGGTTTGATAGTACTACCTGTTAATGATTTGTAAGTACATATAACTCATTTATTGAACAAGACAGACCTGATATAGGTAAAATTAAACAAGAATTGCATGGTTTCATCATACCACTGCCTTCCAGCAAGCTTTTTAAATTATTCTCTGTACCCAGATGAAATCTCAGCCAGGTCCCACACCTTTTCCAGGCACCTTTCTGACATTGGTCAAAGGTCTTGTCTAACCTGCTGGTCATCTAACACTTTCCGTACCCCGTCTCAGGCTATCTGAGGATTAGCAGATCATAGCTGGGATGAGGGTGCAGTAGTAACGATGCTCACTGTTTCCCTTCTGTGCTCTTCCATTCAACTCCTGGAGTTCCTTCTGCCTCTTCAGGCTTGGATGCAGGAGAGAGGAGAAAAAAGTGTTCTCAAGACTCCCTTTCTTTATGAAAATGAGCATATATTCATGAAGCACATACTAGGTACTACTGCAAATAATGGCTTAAGGATTTTGTTTAATTTTCTCAACAGTCCCAGGACATAACTATTACTATTCCCATAGAGTGTTCATTGTGCCGAAGTAACTTGCCCAAGGCCCTATGGCTGTCAGTGCTGGGATCCCACTGCAGTGGCATTTGCAGCCCCAATGCCACACTCATCCTATATCAACATGATGCTTACAGAACGACTCTTACCCACACTCTCCATCTGCTCTTCTTCTGAACCACAGTTCCTGTCATGTGTTCTCTTGAGCACATTCCTCTTGTTGTTGTTTAATTTTGTATGCGTACATGTCTTGCAGAATTTATGAATATACTCCCTCATGTTTCTATGGAAGTAGCACAGCTCTATTCTTTCACATTTTTGACACAGGCAGAGGCCATGTAGGAAACAGAAGGAGAGTGGGTAGTGAGCTGTAAGGAGAATGTGAAGCTTTGAACTCTGAAGAAACAGAGAGGTCTACAATGGAGGAAATAATTCAGAAGTTCAAACAATGTGTAAGAGAACAATAAGATAAGAACTCAAAACTGTCTACTGGATTTCCTAATTAGGAGCAGTACCATTTGTGATTTTAGAAAAAGAAGCTTTTGCAAATTGTTGGGAGTAGAACCTAGATTCCTGTGGATTCAAGAGTAAATAGGAGGTGGGAAAATGAAAACAGCAAGAATAGAACACTCTGACCAGAAATTTATCTTTGAGAAGTGGAGTTAACAAATTGCATAGTGCCTGAATGGAGACATTTTTAAGGACAGGGGGCATTAGAAGGAAGAGAAACTGAAGGGAAGAAAGGAAGGAAGGAAGGAAGGAAGGGAGGGAGGGAGGGAGGGAGGGAGGAAGGAGTGAGGGAGGGAGGGAGGGAGGGAGGCAGGCAGGCAGGCAGGCAGGGAGGCAGGGAGGGAGGGAAAGGAAAGAAAAATAAGGGAGGGAGGGAGAAATGCATAGTATGTGTTGATATTTATAACAGATTTTGATATTTATAACAGACTTTTTTGCTTATGTTTCTGAAATCTCATGAGATATTTGCCCTGGGGCTATGATGACTTACAGTAGGATTGAACATAGGATCTTTCTGCAGTTAATGTGTTCTCCCAACCCTCATTGTCCCAATCTCTCTAATTAAAATGACTTGAATTATTTAAATTTTCCTAAAAACATTGTATGCAAAAGCACTTTAGGGAGGCTGAGGCCAGTGGATCATGAGGTCAGGAGATCAAGACCATCCTGGCCAACACGGTGAAACCCCATCTCTACTAAAAATATATATATATAAAAAATTAGCTGGTTGTGGTGGCACACACCTGTAATCCCAGCTACTCGGGAGGCTGAGACGGGAGAATTGCTTGAACCCGGGAGGTGGAGATTGCAGTGACCTAAGATCGCGCCACTGCACTCCAGCCTGGTGCGAGCCTCCAACTCAAAAAAAAAAAAAAAAAAAAGGAGTTTCTTTTTTATGTTTGTTTTTTCTCTTTCCCTTTCATAAACCTTGAAAAGGGGAACTCTGACACGGTGAAGCAGTTGAATGGCACTCAATACTTCCTGAGAACTCAGAACACACCTCCAGCCCACAGGCCATGTTGGGGAAGAAGGTCAATATCTCAGGCAGTGCTGAGCAGGGCCAGACAAGTATGCTGGCAGCTATCCTTCCTTTGAATGCCAAACACTGTCAGACGAACCTGAAGAGGTGCATTGCAGAAGTGGATTGTCCATGATGTGGTGTAATTTACCAGTTGTCTTGTTTTAAAAGTAATAGAGGTACAGAAACCAGGAGAACTGTACATATTACAAGCCTGTGATCTATCACCTGGCTTCCACACAGTGTGTTTATGGGCCCTTGAGGGATGGAAGCTAAATTCTGATACTATTACTTCTTCAATATGGCAAAGGTTAAAGTGCTACACCTAATGTAACTTTGCAGTGTTATACGACAAGATGCTGGTGGCGGGTGGTGTGACTTAATGATCACCCTTTGATTTAAAGTTACAAGCGTTTGCTTACGGCCCTGACTTGGTCTCTAGCAGTAACAGCTGCATCCATGAAACATGGGCAGTGACAGATGGTTATTAGCACAAGGAAACTTCCTAAAGGGCTCGAGGAAGCTCAGAAGGTCCACAAATTGAACCAGAATTGGTGAATTCCCAAAGTTGAAAGGTTTCAACACCAGAGAGCAAGGGGATTAATGGGAGACAATCGGGGAGCAAAAGTAAAAAGCTGCAGGCAGCACACAGTCCCAATTTATTAAACAGCCTCCAATTGGAGGGGTCTGGTGAAAATGCACACAGGCATTGGTCAGTCACTATCTAACACTGGAATCCTATAACCAAAAATATTTACAAAAAATAGGAATGAAAAAAGGAACCCCTTCACGCCAAACTCTACCCCCAGAGACCTGCAAGATCTTAGGGTTGGGAAATACTTTATGGAGGGAGGATGTCTTTGTGGTCAATTCAGGCCAGTGGTTTTACTGAAATTAAAATATTTCTCAGTCTTTCAGCTTTTTGGACATTTTCTAAACAAATAATGTTGACAAGGTCTGTTTTTTAAAATTAACTCTAATTAAGACTTCCAAAAGGGTCATGAGGGAGTTGCCAGCACTTCTCTTAGTGGTTGTTATCCTAAAGCAAGATAGAGCAGAGCATCAGCGACCATATTCTTATCCCAAAATGCTTCTGAATGCTTTCGGTTTAATGTGTGTGAGTGTGTGCATTTATACATACATATATGCTCACACTATTTCCTCTAATTGCAGCTTAGGAAGAATAAGTTCTAAGCAGAAAACTACAGGAGAAATTAGAAATGGATATAAATCATTCTTGAAATAAAATGCTAACACAGGAATCAAATAAATACCCAGAAAAGCAAGCCTTTCCCCATTAATCTACTTTCTCACCATAGGAAGGCAGGTAGCATCTTTTTTTTTTTTTTTTTTTTTGAGAAGGAGTCTCACTCTCGCCCAGGCTGGAGTACAGTGGTGCAATCTTGGCTCACTGCAAGCTCCACTTTCCGGGTTCACGCCATTCTCCTGCCTCAGCCTCCCGAGTAGCTGGGACTACAGGTGCCCGCCGCCACGCCTGGCTAATTTTTTGTATTTTTAGTAGAGATGGGGTTTCACTGTGTTAGCCAGGATGGTCTCGATCTCCTGGCCTCGTGATCTGCCCACCTCAGCCTCCCCAAGTGCTGGAGACAGGTGGCAGGTGATTAATTAGAAAAGGCCTCAGAGAAATGTGTGGAAAATGCCTAATGAAAATATCTTATATCTGCAAAGACTAAAAGTGAGTGTGGCAGTGCATTCATGTCATGATCCCTTGGGTGGGGCAGCTAGTGGAGAGAAGCCAGAGGTGTTACTAATGGAGGCATTCCAAGAAATAGGTAAGAAGACACATGGGAAGTCTACTCTTGTTACTTCCTTTGTTTCTCGGGGGATGGGAAGAAGGCTGAGTTGAATCACAAAGGAAAACATTATAGCAGAAAGTTCTATCTTCCAACTTTAAACAGGTAGAGTAGAAACACCAAAGGAATGGAGAGAAACATTAAGAATGTATAGCAAGAATTGCTGTTGAATAATTAAGGCCAAGGATAAATGGAATAAATAAGTATAATGCTAATCATTTTCAAGGGAAATATAATGACATATTAAGTTAATACACACGTGTGCAATGCTGTTTAGAAGGAACTGTTAAAAAATATAACTTTAAAAATTTTAATTTAAACTGGCTATACGGCCCAAAGTAATGTATAGATTCAATGCTATTCTCATCGAACTATCATTTACATTCTTCACAGAATTAGAAAAAACTACTTTAAACTTCATATGGAGCCAAAAAAGAGTCAATATAGTCAAGACAATCCTAAGCAAAAAGAACAAAGCTGGAGGCATTACTGAAGTCAGGCTACCTGACTTCAAACTATACTACAAGGCTACAGTAACCAAAACAGCATGGTATTGCTACCAAAACAGACATATAGACCAATGGAACAGAAAAGAGACCTCAGAAATTACACCACACATCTACAACCATCTCATCTTCAACAACCTGACAAAAACAAGCAATGGGGAAAGGATGCCCTATTTAATAAATGGTGCTGGAAAAACTGGCTAGCCATATGCAGAAAACTGAAACTAGACCCCTTCCTTATACCTTACACAAACACTAACTTAAGATGGATTAAAGACTTAAATGTAAAACTCCAAAACATAAAAACCCTAGGAGAAAACCTAAGCAATACCATTCAGGACATAGGCATGGACAAAGACTTCATGACTAAAACACCAAAAGAAATTGCAACAAAAGCAAAAATTGACAAATGGGATCTAATTAAACTAAAGAGCTTCTGCACAGCAAAAGAAACTATCATCAGAGTGAACAGGCAACCTACAGGATGGGGGAAAATTTCTGCAATCTATCCATCTGACAAAGGGCTAATATCCAGAGTCTACAAGGAACTTAAACAAATTTACAAGAAAAAAACCAACAACCCCATCAAAAAGTGGGCAAAGGATATAAACAGACACTTCTCAAGAGAAGACCTTTATGTGGCCAACAAACGTATGAAAAACACTTCAACATCACTTATCATTACAGAAATGCAAATCAAAGCCACCATAAGATGCCATTTCACACCAGTCAGAATGGTGATTATTAAAAACTCAAGAAACAGTAGATGCTGGTGAGGCTGTGGAGAAATAGGAACACTTTTACACTGTTTGTGGGAATGTAAATTAGATCAACAAATGTGGAGGACAGTGTGGTGATTCTTAAGGATCTGGAACCAGAAATACCATTTGACCCAGCAATTCCATTACTGGGTATAAATCCAAAGGAATATAAATCATTCTATTATAAAGACACATGCATACATATGTTTATTGCATCACTATTTACAATAGCAAAGACATGGAACCAACCCAAATGCCCATCAATGATAGCCTGGATAAAGAAAATGTGGTACATAATACACCATGGAATACTATGCAGCCATAAAAAGGAATGAGATCCATGGAATGTTATGCAGACATAAAAAGGAATGAGATCATGTCCTTTTCAGGGACATGGATGCAGCTGGAAGCCATCATCCTCAGCAAACTAACACAGGAACAGAAAACTAAACACCACATGTTCTCACTCATAAGTGGGAGTTGAAAAATAAGAACAACTCTCACTCATAAGTGGGAGTTGAAAAATAAGTGTCCCCAACATCACACACTGGAGCCTGTCAGGAGATGTGGGGATGAGGGGAGGGAGAGCATTAGGACAAATAGCTAATGCATGTGGGGCTTAAAACCTAGATGATGGGTCGATAGGTATAGCAAACCACCATGGTACATGTATACCCATGTAACAAACCTGCAAGTTCTGCACATGTATCCCAGAACTTCAAGTAAAATTAAAACAAAAAAGGAAAACAGAAAAAAATTTAATTTAAACAATACTATAAGAGGGAATGGAGGGAATTTAAAAATATGTATAATTCATAAGAGGCAACATTTTCAGAGGAAATCTTACAACCTAATACATTTCTGAATGGCCTGAATTCCAGTTAGCCAAGTTTGCCCAGTTATCAGCCAGAGCCCTGGAGACGAAGGTGTCTGTCTATTCAAGGGACTCAAACAGTTTAAAGTTCCAGAGATCTAGAGCTTTCTGGTCCCATTTCCAAGGCATGCTTGTGATGGTAGATCTACCAACTGCTCTGATCACTGTACATTTGGGAACCGCACCTGGCTCAAGCTTCACTGCTCCATGTCTTCCTGAGGTGCCAGAGAGGGGCATATCATGATAGACCCTGGGCTCCAGTGGCAACGGTAACAGCAACACAGCCCAACTCATAATAGATCGAATGGACCTGCTTTCTGGCCGCCTGTTCCAGGGTATTTCAGAGCATGTCAAGGACATTTGGCTGGTAAGTATTAAAAAGAAACTATGTGGATAGTTGTATGGAATTATAAAAATACCATGGCACTTCTGTTCTTTGCTATATTTTTCTTTAAAACCATCCCCCCAAAGAGCAATAAATATACATAGGCCAGAATTTGAGCACTCTGCAAACTCCCAGTAACGGTTGCTTGAACTCGAAAATGAATCTTACTTGATAAAGCAAAGATTAGTTCTTTGAAGTCTATGGGAAACTCACTTTCACGCAATGGGATACATAGAGTCGGCCAGAGCAGTACTGAATTCCAGCTGTAGAGTTAAATTACTAAAATGTCACTTTGGCAATTGGTTAAAAAAATCCATATGAGGCCGGGCCCTGTGGCTGACGCCTGTAATCCCAGCACTTTGGGAGGCTGAGATGGGTGGATCACGAGGTCAGGAGATCCAGGCCATCCCGGCTAACACGGTGAAACCCCGTCTCTACTAAAAATACAAAAAAAAAAATTAGCCGGGCGTGATGGCGGGCACCTGTAATCCCAGCTACTCGGGAGGCTGAGGCAGGAGAATGGCATGAACCCGGGAGGCGGAGCTTGCAGTGAGCCGAGATCGCGCCACTGCACTCCAGCCTGGGCGACTGAGCGAGACTCTGTCTCAAAAAAAAAAAAAAAAAAAAAATCCATATGAGGGGTTTGAAGACTGGGGGACAAGTAAACATAATTTTGGTTCTCCCTGATCTACAGGCGTTTTATTTTTTTCTTTTCTTTTTCTTTTTCTTTTTTTTTTTTTGAGATGGAGTCTCATTCTGTTGCCTGGCTGGAGTGTAGTGGCACAATCTCGGCTCACTGCAACCTCCACCTCCTGGGTTCAAGTGATTCTCCTGCCTCAGCCTCCCAAGTAGCTGGGCCTACAGGCACACACCTCCACACCCAGTTGATCTTTGTATTTTTAGTAGAGATGGGGTTTCACCATGTTGGCCAGGATGGTCTCGATCTCTCGACCTCGTGATCTGCCCTCCTCAGCCTCCCAAAGTCCTGGGATTACAGGTGTGAGCCACGTGCCCAGCTTCAGGCCTTTTCTAACAACATATCCGTCTGTGAGGGCTCTGGCCTGAACAGTGGCCATTGCAGAATCTTGGGGTGGTGAGAGGATTTGGAGGAAGTAGTGACCAGCCTGTCTACTGAGAGGTTTGCCCTCTGATCTGACCACAGCATTGTTTAGCTCACACCGCAGATATGCTAGTTCCTCCTGGCAGCCAAATAAGAGGGCTCCCTGGCTAAGAAGAATCATTAGGGGGAAATAATTGCCACTGGGAAAACTAGCCACTGAGATTATAATTATTCTCTTATCTTACCCTTCTTTTGGGGGCTGGTCAGGAAACATAATCCAAATATCACTTTTCTCTTCAACTTAACTGAATTATATACTTTATCACCCCAGCAGCTTAGGCAATAAATGTTACTGAAAGGACTAATTTAAGATCTAAATTTATTTTAATGAGTCTTTGTAATATTGCAGCAGATGTGAGTCTGCTTAAATGCAACCTGTACTTGCTAAGAATCTCAGTGAAGTCCCAAACCTTTTAGATTGCTAGACAAGACAATTTTTTAATAATACGAAGAGGAAAAGGAAGCCAAAAGAAGAGGGAAAGAAGGAAGCAGGCTTATTTTGTTCTGGACGTGTTCTCTGCACGCACGTAGCAGTGTAAGGCCGGGTCATGGCACAGGATTAATAACTGACAGCTGTTGTTAACTCCTATGGAAGCGTAGATAACCTTATGTGGAATCTATATCCAGATACTGGGCGGCAGAGTAATGAGTCCCCCTGGAATGAAAGCTCCGGCCTTCTTTGTTGTAACTATCGATCTACTGTAGAGTCCTGATGTGATTTAGATAAGGGAGGAAGAGATAATGGCATTGATTATTCTATTTAGGAAGCAGACTAAGACAGAACTCAGGTACAATACATGAACAGAAAAAAAACCCATTCAATCATTCCTTGTCTTTTCTTTGCAGTCCAAAGCAACACAAGGTGGCCATGGTGACAGGGGAATACATCTTGATAAACATGTAGCTCTGAATTTCAGGGACACTCGTGTAACACAACTGTAATATTACATTTCCTGCTCTGACGTTTTAATGATCATCTAACCCAGTCCTAAGACAAAGCCTTAGATGATTGTATTCCAGTCAGGGTGAGCTTAAGGGACAGAGGACTCACCCAGGGAGAAAAAGAATCTTTCACAATTGATACATTACTTTCTAACTTCATTAGGTAAACATTTCTTTGATTCAAAACTGTATTCTGTAAAGTAATTGTCTTATCTCAGGCTGCTATAACAAATTATCATAGACTGGATGGCTTAAACAACAGGCATTTACTTCTCACAGTTCTGGAGACTGGGAAGTCCAAGATCAAGGTGCCAACAGATCTGTGTTGGATGAAGGCTCGCTATGCTTCCTGGTTTGCACACAGCTGGTTGTATCCCCACATGGTGGAGAGCAAAGAGAGAGAGAGGGACCTTCTGGAAATAACTAGGTCATGAGGCTGGTGCTCTTATGAAGAGGATTAGTGCTGTTTATAAGGGCACCACCCTCATGACCTCGTTGTTTCCAGAAGGTCTCTAATACCATCACATGGGGGTTAGAATTTGAACATATAAATTTTGCTGGGCATGGGACAAGGATGCAGACATTCAGTCCATAATAATAATGAAGTTCAGCCCACGTACTATTCAGTTTAGTTCAGTGATTTCCAAATGCGAATGGGGAAACTGGGAGGTGAGGGGACTTTTCCCCCAGGGGACATTTGGCAATATCTGGAGACATTTTGGATTGTCATGACTGAGGACGTGATGCTAATTGCATCAAGTAGGCAGAGACCACGGATGCTGCTACACATCCTGCAAGGTGCAGGATGGCCTGCTGCCAGAAAGGACTATCCCAATTATCCAGTCTAAAATGTCAGTAATGACAAGGTAGTATTTGGGAGAGCTGGAAGGTGAGCAGAGAATGATAGGTTTCAATAGGATGTTACATATTCTGCCTTTTACGAATGGAAATATTTATGTTGATATGACTTCACAATTTACAAAGTACTTCCAAGTACTCCTATCACCACTACTACTACACCGTGATGAAATTAACATTTACTGAGGGCATTTTGTGTATCAGGAACTGTGTTAAGCATTTTACGTGAGCCAATTCAGGTATTTTTAACAAAAATATCTATGAGGAAGATATTATCACTGTGTTAATAATTAGTATTTATTAATTATGGAGCAACTTAGGGTAAAGGGGATGTAGGGATTTGCCTTAAGTTACGTACTACTTAATGGCAGACCTAAACAGTGGCTAAAACAGAGTTCTTCTGACTTTGTGTCCAATGCTCTCTTAATGGTCATGTATGTGTCTTACATCTTCCCCGTTCCTCCTTACACCTACTTCCCTCTTTAGATTATACATTCTCTCGGGGCAAGGTCTATCTGTCATGTATGCCCACTGAAGCTTGGGTGGGGTTAGGGGCTGGAATGCAGATTTAAGTGCCTGGAGCACAATCAAGATGGAAGAAAGGTAGGAATTCAATAAAGATAATTTTAACATTGGAACTTAGTTCAAACAAGTTCTCTTTTTTAAGAGGTATTGATAGAAATGGAATGATACTGGACATGAAAGAACTAGTTCAATTAAAAAAGAATGATGGTTGTTGTATTTGGGAGAATTAATGTACAATACTGAATATTCCCTTCTCTGCCCAACTAGACTCTTTTCTTGGTTCAGGCCACAAGTGTAAGATTCCAAGGGGTTTTCATCAGCACATGTGCCCCAGGGAGGCTTCAAAATGAATGAAACCTTTTTGAAACACTAAGCTTTGCTTGCTTGGAAGTGGGAGAAGTTATTTCAGTAACGATGCCAGCGGCTTAGTAAGAATTGAACCTGAAGACATTGGAGACTTCAAGCCTCCCCCAGCCTGGTGCCTACGCAGCCCTGTGGGCCTGTAGATGTGTCTGAGTGTCTGGTAATTCACAGAACAGGTACCTGCAACAGTGGTTTTCTCTCTTATAACTAGTTCTTCTGGACTAGGCTTCAAATAAATAAAATTTTCACACTTGAAAATTATGAACACTTAAAGCACACATATTGACTGTGATACTGTGAGCCACATTTCCACTTCAAGGACTTGCATCAGTATTTAAATGCAAGAGATTGGAGTGCTTTCTCTGATACAGGTTGAGTTCATCATGGGTGATTTGGGGAAGGTATAGAGAATCCGATTGTATTAAGCAAGCTTCTATCCCGCCTGTCTTATCAAGTTAACTACATGGTAAGGTTTCACTGGATTTATCCACTGTGATGTGTCTTTCAGACCATAAAACACAATAAGAAAAATAAATTTCTTCAGTTTCATACATCTCTTTGTTAATTCTGATATTTGGGCATAAGCTCTTTAGCCTAGAGCTTGGTCTTATAGATTGAAAACAGGAAAAATATGAATTTTATTTTGGATTCCACTGACAAACTGCTATATGATTATAGATAAACACGAGCTTCTTAGAGTGATTTGGTAATTTCAGCTCAAGAATTATTATGGCCAGACTGGATTTTCCAAGATGGCTGCAACAAGATCACCCATCCTGCATGTTTTTCTCACAATGTTGAATTGCCACTTTTCTCAATAAGAAGTGACTTCTGTGTTCCTGCTCCTTGATTCTGGGTGGGCTTGTGACTACAGAGGAAGAAATGTCAGGTGACTTCTAAAACAGATTTTAAAAGGCGATGCATCTTGTACCTGGTGTCTCTCTTGGGACTCCTGCTCTTAGAATCCACCTGTCATGCTGTGAGGAAGCCCAGGCCACATGGAGACACCACATGTAGGTGTTCTAGCCAATAGCTTCCACTAAAGTTCCAGTAGACAATCAGCATTAAATGTCAGATACCTGAGGAAGAAGATCCAGGCAAAATATTAAAATTGCCATCTGACTTTTTCTTGTGGCCTGTGATTAAATGTGAAAGGAAAGAGATAAGCCAAACAAAGTTTGCTGGGGATCTACTCCAGACCCTAGTCACTTCAGATCCTCCCACACCTGGAGGTATCACCAGTGAAGGCTGCAAAACAGCCAAAGAAAGAATTATTAAATTGAAATGGGCCAAAATTTGGTGGGTTTGAAATAATACCCTTTCTCATAGGCTTTCTAGAAGGCAAATGATTCTAACATTAAAAAATGTCTTTTAAGAGATCAAATCGGTTGGGACTGACTGGGCAGTTGGCACCACCCATGGAGAGCGAGGAAAGGGAGGTTGGGGCGACAGCCCACTCCTGAGTAGTGTGGAAGCAGGGGAGCCCCAACCCCAGCCAAGGAAGGCTGTGAGTGATTGTGGGACCCCACCCAGGAAACCATGCTTTTCCCGTGGATCTTTGCAACCCATGGATCAGGAGATCCCCTTGTAAGCCCACACCACGAGGGCCTTGGGTCCAAAGCACAGAGCTTTGTGGACTCTTTGCAGCCACTCAGGCATGCACAGAGACCCAGGAGTTTTTTGTGTACTCTGGCCCCGGGAATTCTGGTGAGACAGGAGATCATCTGTGCATCCCCGTAAGAAGGAGACTGAAGCCCGGGAGCCAAGTGGTGTTCTGCAGGCTGCACTCACACGGCAGCTCACAAGATAAGATCTACTGACTTGGAATTCCAGCCCGGCCAGCGGCAGCTGACTGGAGACTGCCTGAGATGACTAAGTTCCTGGAGGGAAGGGCAGCCACCATTTCCGTGGCTGGAGTCTGCCATTTTGGCCTGCCAGCTCAGGGGAGTCTGGGTGGTCTGGACTGGGGGGAATTCCCCACAGCACAGCATAGCTGCTATGGCAGATCATGGTCAGACTGCATCTTTAAATGGGACCCTGATCTATCCCTCCTAATCTGGCAAGGCCTCCCTATGGGAGTTTCAGCAACTCCAGCCAGGGTTTTATGGACAGAACTCTGTTCTCTCCCTGGGATGGAGCCACTGGGGGAGGGGCAGCCACTGTATCTGCAGTTCAGACTGCTGGCTCCGAAAAGTCTAAGTGGTCTGGACGAGGGGGGTTTCCCCCAGTGCAGCACACCCGCTCTGCCAAGGGGCAGTCAGATTGCTTCTTTAAGCGAGTCCCTGATCCTGTTCCTCCCGACTGGGTGAGACCTCCCAAAAGAAGTCTCCAGACACCTCCTACAGGAGCATTTGGGTTGGCAAATGTGCCCTGGGATGGAGCTCCCAGAGGAAGGAGCAGGCTGTTTTGCAGCCTTCACTGGTGATACCTCCAGGTGTGGGAGGATCTGAAGTGACTAGGGTCTGGAGTAGATCCCCAGCAAACTGCAGCATCTCTGCAGATGGGGGGCCTGACGTTAAAAGAAAAACAAACAGAAAGCAACAACAACAACGACAGCAACAAAAAAGACCTCGCAAAAACCCCATTCAGAGGTCAGCAACCTCAAAGATCAGAGGTAGATAAGCCCACAAAGATGAGAAAGAATCAATGAAAAAATGGCTGAAAACTGAAAAAGCCAGAGAGCCTCTTGTCCTCCAAATGATTGCAACATCTCTCCAGCAAAGGCAGAGAACTGGGCTGAGGCTGAGATGGATAAATTGACAGAAGTAGCTTCAGAAGGTGGGTAATCAAAAAATTCACTGAGCTAAAGGAATATGTTCTAGCCCAATGCAAAGAAGCTAAGAATCATGATAAAATATTACAGGAGCTAAAATATTACAGGAGCTGATAACCAGAATAGCCAGTTTATAGAGGAACATAAATGACCTGATGGAGCTGAAAAACAGAACATGAGAACTTCACAATGCACTTACAAGTATCAATAGCTAAACAGACCAAACAGAGAAACAAATCTCAGAGCTTGATGGCTATCTTTTTGAAATAATACAGGGTGACAAGAATAGAGGGGAAAAAATGAAAAGGAATGAACAAAACCTGTGAGAAATATGAGATTATATAAAAAAAAACCAAACCTACAACTGATTGGGGTGCCTGGAAGAGATGAGGAGAATGGAACCAAGTCTGAAAACAAACTTCAGGATATCATCCAGGAGAAATTCCCCAACCTAGTGAGACAGGAAAACATTCAAATTCAGGAAATCCAGATAACTCCATGAGAAGATCAACTTCAAGACGTATAATCATCAGATTCTCCAAGTTTGAAATGAAAGAAAAAATGTTAAGGCCAGAGAGAAGGGCCAGGTCATCTACAAAGGGAAGCCCATCAGACAAAGAGCAGACCTCTCAGTGGAAACCCTACAAGTCGGAAGAGATTGGCAGCCAATATTCAACATTCTTAAAGAAAAGAATTTCCAACCAAGAATTTCATATCCTGCCAAACTAAGCTTCATAAGCAAAGGAGAAATAAGATCGTTTTCGGACAAGCAAATGCTGAAGGAATTCTTCACCACCAGGCCTGCCTCGCAAGAGCTCCTGAAGGAAGCACTAAATATGGAAAGAAAAAAACCGTTACCAGCCACTAAAAAATAACACTGAAGTACACAGACCAGTGACACCTTGAAGCAAGTACATAAACAAGTCTGCAAAATAACAAGCTAACATCATGATGACAGGATCAAATTCACACGTAACAATATTAATCTTAAATGCAAATGGGCTAAATGCCGCAATTAAAAGACACAGAATGGCAAGTGGATAAAGAGTCAAGCTCCACTGGTGTGCCATCTTCAAGAGAAACATCTCATGTGCAAAGACACCCATGGTCTCAAAATAAAGGGATGGAGGAAAATTTACCAAGCCAATAAAAAACAGAAAAAAGCAGGAGTTGGAATCCTAGTTTCTGACAAAACAGACTTTAAATCAACAAAGATAAAAAAAAGACAAAGAAGGGCATTACATAATGGTAAAGGGTTCAATTCATCCACAGGAGCTAACTATCCTAAATATATATATACACCCAATACAGGAGCACCCAGATTCATAAAGCAAGTTCTTAAAGACCTACAAAGAGATTTAGACTCCCACACAACAACAGTGGGGGACTTTAACACCCCAATGGCAATATTAGACAGATCATTGAGATAGAACATTAACAAAGATATTCAGTACCTAAATGCAGCTCTGGATCAAGTAGACCTGATAGATATCTACAGAACTCTCCACCCCCGAACAGCAGAATATACATTCTTCTCATCACCAAATGGCACTTACTCTAAAATTGATAACATAATTGAAAGTAAAACACTCCTCAGCAAGTGCAAAAGAACTGAAATGATAACAAACAGTCTCTCAGATCACAGTACAATCAAATTAGAACTCAAGATTGAGAAACTTACTGAAAACCACACAACTACATGGAAATTGAACAACCTGCTCCTGAATGACTCTTGGGTAAATAATGAAATTAAGGCAGAAATCAAGAAGTTATTTGAAAATCATGAGAATAAAGAGACAACATGCCAGAATCCCTGGGACACAGCTAAAGCAGTTTTAAGAGAGATATTCAGCCAGGTGCAGTGGCTCATGCCTGTAATCCCAGCACTTTGGGAGGCTGAGGTGGGCAGATCATGAGGTCAGGAGTTGGAGACCAGCCTGACCAACATGGTGAAACCCCATCTCTACTAAAAAAAAATACAAAAATTAGCCAGGCATGGTGGCGGGCACCTGTAATCCCAGCTACTCAGGAGGCTGAGTCAGGAGAATCACTTGAAACCAGAAGGTGGAGGTTGCAGTGAGCCGAGATCGTGCCACGGCACTCCAGCCTGGGCAACAAGAGCAAAACTCTGTCTCAAAAAAAAAAAAAAAAAAAAAAAAAAAAGAGGGACATTTGTAGCACTAAATGCCCATATCAAAAAGATAGAAAGATCTCAAATTGACAACCTAACATCACAACTAAAAGAACTAGAGAAACAAGAGCAAACAAACCCCAAAGCTATGAGAAAATATGAAATAACCAAGATCCGAGTAGAACTGAAGGAGATAGAGACACAAAAAACCCTTCAAAAACTCATTTAAATCCAGGAGCTGGTTTTTTGAAAAAATTAATAAAATAGATAGACTTCTAGCTAGACTAATAAAGAAGAGAGAAGAATCAAGTAGGTACAATCAGAAATGATAAGGGGGATATAACCACTGATCCCACAGAAATACAAACAACCATCTGAGAATATTATAAACACTTCTATGCACAAGAACTAGAAAATCTAGAAGAAATGGATAAATTCCTGGATGCATACACCCTTCCAAGACTGAACCAGGAAGAAATTGAGCCCCTAAATAGACCAATAATGAGTTCTGAAACTGAGGTAGTAATAAATAGCCTACTGATATGGTTGGGCTGTGTCCCCACCCAAATCTCATCTTGACTTATAGTTCCCATAATCCCCACGTGTAGTGGGAAGGACTCGGTGGGAGGTAATTGAATCATGGGAGCAGTTTCCCCCATGCTATTCTTGTGATAGTAAGTTCTCACAAGATCTGATGGTTTATAAGGGGCTTTTCCCTTCGCTCGGCTCTCATTCTCTCCCCTGCCACCCTGTGAAGAGGTGCCTTCTGCCATGATTGTAAGTTTCCTGAGGTCTCCCCAGCCACGCAGAACTGTGAGTTAATTAAACTTCTTTTCCTTATAAATTGCCCAGTCTCAGGTATTTCTTCATAGCAGCATGAGAACAGATTAATACAGTAAGTTGGTACTGCAGAGAGTGGGGTGCTGCTATAAAGATATCCAAAAATGTGGTAGCAACTTTGGAACTGGGTAACAGGCAGAGGTTGGAACAGCATGGAGGGCTCAGAAGAAGACAGAAACATGTGAGAATGTTTGGAACTCCCTAGAGACTTGGAGGGCTCAGAAGACAGGAAAATGTAGGAAAGTTTGGAATTTCCTAGAGACTTGTTGAATGGCTTTGACCAAAATGCTGATAGTGATATGGACAATGAGTCCAGGCTGTGATGGTCTCAGATGGAGGTGGGGAACTTGTTGGGAACTGAAAGAAAGGTCACTCTTGCTATGCAACGAGAGTGGTGGCATTTTCCCCCTGCCCCAGAGATCTGTGGAACTTTGATCTTGAGAGAAATGATTTAGGATATATGGCAGAAGAAATTTCTAAGCAGCAAAGCGTTCAAGGGGAAGCAGAGTATAAAAGTTTTGAAAATTTGCAGCCTGAGGATAGAACAGAAAAGAAAACCCTACTTTCTGGGGAGAAATTCAAGCTGGTTGCGGAAATTTGCCTAAGAAACAAGGAACCAAATGTTAATCACCAAGACAATGGGGAAAATGTCTCCAGGGCATGTCAGAGACCTTCATGGCAGTCCCTCCCATCTTAGGCCTCCCAGAAGGCAGAAGAGGGAAAAATGGTTTCCTGGGCCAGGTCCAGGGCCACCCCTGCTGTGTGCAGCCTTAGGACTTGGTGCCCTGCATTCCAGCCACTCCAGCCATGGCTAAAAGTGGCCAACATACAGCTCAGGTTGTTGTTTCAGAGTGTGAAGGCCCCAAGCCTTGGCAGCTTCCATGTGGTGTTGGGCCTGAAGGTGCACAGAAGTCAAGAATTGAGGTGTGGGAACCCCTGCCTAGATTTCAAAGGATCTATGGAAACTCCTAGATGTCCAGGCAGAAGTTTGCTGTAGGGGTGTAGCCCTCATGGAGAACCTCTGCAAGGGCAATGTGAAAGGGAAATGTGGGGTTGGAGCCCCCACACAGAGTCCCCAACGGGGCACTGCCTAATGGAGCTATGAGAAGAAGGCCACTGTCCTCCAGACCCCAGAATGGTAGATCCACCAACAGCTTGCACCATGCACCTGGAAAAGCCACAGACACTCAACACCAGCCTGTGAAAGCAGCCAGGAGGGGGGCTGCAAAGCCACAGGGGTGGCCTGCTACAGGCCACATGCAAGTTTTGGCCAATTTCTCCCACTTGGAACAGGTATATTTACTCAATGGCTGTACCCCCATTTTATTTAGGAAGTAACCGACTTGCTTTTTTCAGGCTCATGGGCAGAAGGGACTTGCCTTGTTGCAGAGGTGACTTTCGATTTGGACTTTTGAGTTAATGATGGAATGAGTTAAGACTTTAAGGGACTCTTGGAAGGGCATGATTGTGTTTTGCAATGTGAGGACATGAGACTTGGGAGGGGCCAGGGGCAGAATGATATGGTTTGGGTGTGTCCCCACCCAAATCTCATCTTGAATTGTAGCTCCCATAATCCCCAGTGAGAGGTAATTGAATCATTGAGGTGGTTTGGCCCATGCTATTCTTGTGATAGTAAGTAAGTTCTCACAAGATCTTATAGCTTTATAAGGGGATTCCCCTTTCACTCAGCTCTCATTCTCTCCCCTGCCACCCTGTGAAGAGGTGCCTTCTGCCATGGTTATAAGTTTTCTGAGGCCTCCCCAGCCATGCAGAACTGTGAGTCAATTAAACCTCTTTCCTTTATAAATTACCCAGTCTCAAGTATTTCTTCATAGTAGCATGAGAATGAACTAATACACCTACCAACAACAACAACAACAAAAGCCCAGGATCGGATGGATTTACAGCTGACTTCTACCCAAGGTACAAAAAGGGGCTGGTACCATTTCTACTGAAACTATTTCAAACAATGGAAAAGGAGGGACTCCTCCCCAACTCATTTTATGAGGCTAGCATCATGCTGATACCAAAACCTGGCAGAGATACAACAACAAAAAACTTCAGTCCAATATCCCTGATGAACATCAATGCGAAAATCCTCAATAAAATACTGGCAAACCGAATCCACCAGCACATTAAAAAGCTAATCCACCACGATCAAGTTGGCTTCATCCCTGGGATTCAAGGTTGGTTCAACATACACAAATAAATAAATGTAATTCATCACATAAACAGAACTAAAGACAAAAAACACATGATTATCTCAATAGATGCAGAAAAAGGCTTTGATAAAATTCAACATCCCTTCATGTTAAAAACTCTCAATAAGCTAAGTATTGAAGGAATATATTTCAAAATAATAAGAGCCATATATGACAAACACATAGCCAATACCATACTGAATGGCAAAAGCTGGAAGGATTTCCCTTGAAAACCCACACAAGACAAGGATGCCCTCTCTCAAAACTCCTGTTCAACATGGTATTGGACAGGACAATCAGGCAAGAGATTGAAATAAAAGGTATTCAAATAGGAAGAGAGAAAATCAAATTGTCTCTGTTTTCAGATGATATGTTCCTGTATCTAGAACCCCATCATCTCAGCCCCAAAGCTTCTTAAGCTGATAAGCAACTTCAGCAAAGTCTCAGAATATAAAATCAATGTGCAAAAATTGTTAGCATTCCTATACACAAACAATAGGCATGCAGACAGCCAAATCATGAACTCCCATTCACAATTGCTATAGAGAATAAAATACCTAGGAATACAGTTAACAAAAGAAGTGGAGGTTCTATTCAAAGAAAACTGTAAACCACTGCTCAAGGAAATCAGAGAGGACACAAACAAATGAAAAAACATTCCATGCTCATGGATAGGCAGATACAATATCATGAAAATGGCCATACTGCCCAAAGTAAGTTATAGATTCAATGCTATTCCTATCAAACTACCAATGACATTCTTCACAGAATGAGAAAAAACTATGTTAAAATTCATATGGAACCAAAAAAGAGCCTGAAGAGCAAAAATAATCCTAAGCAAAAAGCACAAAGCTGGAGGCATCATGCTACCCAACTACAAGGCTACAATAACCAAAACAGCATGGTACTGGTGCAAAAACAGACACAGAGACTGATGAAACAGAATAGATAACTCAGAAGTAAGTCTGCATACCTACAACCATGTGATCTTTGACAAACCTGACAAAAACAAGCAAAGGGGAATGGATTCCCTATTTAATAAATGGTGCTGGAAGAAATGGGAGAAAATTGAGACTGGACCCTTCCTTACACCTTATACAAAAACTAACTCAAGATGGATTAAAGACTTAAATGTAAAACCCAAAACAATAAAAACCCTAGAAGAAAATCTAGGCAATACCACTTGGGACATAGGCACAGGCAAAGATTTCATGACGAAAACACCAAAAGCAATTGCAACAAAAGAAAACATTGATAAATAGGATCTAATTAAAGAGCTTCTGCACAGCAAAAGAAACTATCATCAGAGTGAACAGACAACCTACAGAATGGGGGAAAATTTCTGCATTCTACACTTCTGACAAAGGTCTAATATTCAGAATCTACAAGGAACTTAAACAAATTTACAAGAAGAAAAACTAACCACATTAAAAAGTGGGCAAAGGACATGAATGGACACTTCTCAAAAGAAGACATACATGTGGGCAACAAACATGAAAAAAGCTCAACATCACTGATCATTAGAGAAATGCAAATCAAAACCACAATGAGATACTATCTCACACCAATCAGAATGCTATTATTAAAAAGTCAAGAAACAGCAGATGCTGATGGGTTTGCAGAGAAAAAGAAATACTTTTACACTGTTGGTAGGAATGTAAATTAGTTCAACCATTGTGGAAGACAGTGTGGTGATTCCTCAAAAATCTAGAGGCAGAAATACCATTTGACCCAGCAATCCCATTACTGGGTATATACCCAAAGGAATGAAAATCATTCTATTACAAAGATACATTCTATTACAAAGATACTTGTGTATGTTCATTGCAGCAGTATTCACAATATCAAAGACAAAATATCAACCCAAATGCCCATCCATGATAGACTTGATAAAGAAAATGTGGTACCTATACACCATGAAATACTATGCAGCCATAAAAAAGAATGAGATCATGTCTTTGCAGGGACATAGATGGAGTTGGAAGCCATTATCCTCAGCAAACTAACACAGGAACAGAAAACCAAACACTGCATGTTCTCACTTATAAGTTGGAATTGAACAGTGAGAACACATGGACACATCAGGGGGAACAACACACACTGGGGCTTGTTGTGGGGGTTGGGGAGGGCAAGCATCAGGAAGAATAGCTAATGGATGCTGGGCTTAATACTTAGGTGATGGGTTGATCTGTGCACCACCATAGCACACATTTACCTAAGTAACAAACCTAGATGTCCTCCACATGTGTCCCGAAACTTAAAATAAATTATGATGAAAAAAATCAAATCCTGCTATCAGAAGACTTCACTAAATTTAAAAAAAAGAACTACCTGAGACTAGGTAATTTTTAAGGAAAAGAGGTTTAATTGAATCACCATTCCACATGGCTGGAGAGGCCTCAGGAAACTTACAATCATGGTGGAAGGGGAAACGACGCACATCTTCCATGGTGGCAGGAGAGACAGAGTGAAGGAGAAAGTGCTGAAACACTTTCAAACAACCAGATCTGGCAAGAACTAACTCACGAGTCATCACTAGGGGGATGGTGTTAAGCCATGAGAAACTGCCCTATGATCCAATCACCTCCCACCCTGCCCATCCTTCAACATATGGGGATTACAATTCAACATGAGATTTGGGTGGTGACACACACACACACAGATCAAATCCAGGGTGAAAGTGGTAAAAAGTGTCAGGAAAATGTGGTCTAAGGATGAAGCCACAGGTGTGACTGTAGCATGCTTTGTTACGATCTTAAGAAGATCTAAGGCTGTGCTTTTTGAACAGACAAACCCCTCTCCCCTCCAGCATATTAAGGACGCTGTCCCACAGGAGTCTCACCAGGATCTCTAGATGGAGAAGGATTTATCTCCAAGAGATTTGTAGATATGACCCTTTCTAATAGAGTGGATCATAAATGCATACACAAATACAAAGTTTTGGAGAAAATTCTTTTGCCAGAAGCCTCATCAACTTGCATTAAAAGGGACAGAGACTTACAAAATGAAAAGAAGCTTTTGGGCCCAAATCTTTTATGGACAGAAAGCAGGATGAGAAAGCTAGTCAATTCCAATTCAGTTTTCTTTTGGGAAAGCAAGTATGACTTAGAAGCAGTACTAAGAGATAAGAGTCACAGTGAAGAACAAGACAGTAGGACTGAGCCTGACTCAGGGAACTGGCAATATGTGCTCAGCAGGATTTCAGAATTGCTATGCAACAGTGACTTGCTGTTTGCCTCCAGTTCTCCACTTTTTTGAATGAGAGTAAACAAAGTGGTGATCTTAGTTTGTCTCACTATTGCATGTTGGGTGAACTGGGAGGGAGGAGGGAAGACAATTTGACTCTCTAGTTTGTTGCGGGAAGTCAGGGACCGTGAATGGAGGGACCGGCTGAAGCCATGGCAGAAGAACATAAATTGTGAAGATTTATGTGGACATAAAAAATGGACATTTATTAGTTCCCCAAATTAACACTTTTATAATTTCTTACACCTGTCTTTACTGCAATCTCTGAAAATAAATTATAAAGATTTCATGGACATTTATCACTTCCCCAATCAATACTCTTGTGATTTCCTATGCCTGTCTTTACTTTAATCCCTTAATCCCACCACCTTCATAAGCTGAGGATGTGTGTCACCTCAGGACCCTGTGATGATTGCGTTAACTGCACACATTGTTTGTAGAGCATGTATGTTTGAACAATATGAAATCTGGGCACCTTAAGAACAGGATAACAGTGATTTTCAGGGAACAAGGGAGATAACCAATAGGTCTGGCTGCCTGTGGGCCGGGCAGGACAGAGCCATATTTCTCTTATTCTAGTTTACAGGTTTTCAGATAGGGAGGAATGGTACTTAAGGGGCCGTACCCAAGGAGGCACACCCAAGGATCCTAATTAGCGTGCAGATGTGATTTAGATGATGATTCCTAGACCTGGTGCCATAATGGGTTGAGTCTTGGGAGCCTGAGGGAAGGGAATGAGTATGTTTTATATGTGGAGGAAGTGAATTATCTTGGCCAGAGAGAAGGCTGTAGCAGATTCTATCTTCCAAGATGGCCACAAGAAGGTCTTTCATCCTGGCCATAAGAAGGTCTTTCAAGGGAGGAATGTAGCCACTACATTGTGAGAGGTGGCATTATGTTCCCTTTGAATTTGGGCGGGCATGTGACTGCAAAGGAAGTGATGCAACTTCCCAGGCATGGTCATACAAGAAGACAGAGCTTCAATCTGGTTTCTTTTGAGAAGTTTGCTCTCAGATCCCAGGTGCTATGTGATGAGGAAGCAGAGGCCATTTATAGGTGTTTTACAGAAAGCCCCAGCTAAGACTGCAGCTGATGTTAATTGTCAGACATGTGAGAGGGAAATCTTTTGAACTGACTCCAGACCTAGCCACTGTCTGACTGCAGCTGCATGAGAGACTCCAGGTGAAAACCACCCAGCTGAGCCCAATCAACCCCAGATCCATAAGAGTTAATATTGCCTGTTTATAGCCACTTAGTTTTGGGATGATTTGTTATACAACAATAGAGAAGTGGAGCAACTAGTTCTCTCACATTCTGCACCTTATTCACTTTTATTGTTTCGATATGTTTTAAGGTTACATAAGTAACCTTATATACATATAGTACATATGAGAAAGGCCTGTGATGCATAAAGCCTTAAAAAGGTTGTTAAACTGTTTAGGTTTCTCCCCCTCTAACAAAAGTTTTATGTATAATATATATGTATAAAGAAAGAGAGAGAGAGAACAACTGAAAGTACACTTCAGACAGTTCCAAATCCTGCATAATAATTTCTCAAATTTAATTTAGAACTTTGCATTTCTGCTGACAATCTAGTTTCTTGTTTTTTGCTGAAGTTGGTTTTTAATGATAATCTTACTGCTTGTGGGCATTGAAACTATGAATTTTGAGATTCACCCAAGTGAGCTAAGGATCTCATCAGACTCAGTAGCTGTGTAGCCAAGCAAATCACTCTGTGAACTGTCATCCTTACTGCTGATAAATATATTTAATCCCATTCAAATATATTCTACTTCCAAGGCTATTTATAATAAGGTTTTCCCTCCATCATCAATTCTATTCATCCAGGTTGCCAAGGCTCCCCAAGTTATTCTACCTTTCAATAAATTATAAGAATATAATTAGTAATACATCAAAGGTGTACTTGACCCAGGTCTCCCTCAACCACCTTTCAGTAGAAGTAGGTTTTAAAAAAATGCCTCCAATTTATTGGGTATGAAGACACAGGGAGTCACATATGGGGTCAATACAAATCCCATGAAATGGATCCAAAGGAAAGATCTGTGTTGGTGTAAATTGGGCTCAAACACCTAAACAGTTGAGCAAATGAGAGAGAAATAGCAAGTAGGATGTTTTAATGTCAGCATAATGCTAAAGGCAGGTAGTTGAACTTTGGTTTATGGTACCGAGTCCAGCTTTTAAACGCGGTGCACAGCCATAATCCAACTCCTGAAAATAACTTTCAAGATTCCTCCGATCATTTAACACTGCAAACTAATTCCTTAGATGTTGCCACTGGTTCTTTCTTCAATGGCTTTATAATTAACAAGTAAAACTCAAATAAAAAAATATATCCACACAAGAGACAGTCGTTAAATCTGAGTGAGAGTAAGGTATATGCGGTGCTGTGAGGCCTTGGAAATGCAGATAAAATTTAGTTCCTCCTCTCAAGAAGAATTATTGGTTCTCTCATATAGAATTATTGTAATATTAATAACTTCCTAGGCCTGCTGTAACACTGTACCACAAACTGGATGGCTTAAACAACAGGAATTTATTGTCTTATTGTTCCACAGGCTGGACATCCCAAATCAAGCTGTTGACAGCGTTGGTTTCCTCAGAGGCTGTGAGAGAAGGAGCTGTTTCAGGCCTCTCTGCTTGGCTCGCAGGTGGCCAACTTGATGTTCACGTAGCATTCTCCCTGTATGTGTCTCTTTGTGTCCAAATTTTCTTTTTTAAACATAAGGATACCAGTCATGTTGGATTAGGGCCCACCCACATGACCTCACTTTAACTTGATTATCCTCTCTCCAAGTAAGGTGAAAACCCTATCTTCAAATAAGGTCACATGGTGAGGTACTGAGGATTGAGGCATATGAATTTGGGGAGTGGAGACAGTTCAATCCATAACACGTATGATAGTCATGTAGAGCAAGAAAGTACAATGCAAAAAACACAATGATACAGTGATAGGAGACCTCACAGTCTTTCTGGAAAATCAAGGCACACACAAGTAGGTAACAATTCAGCTGTGCACAATACCGATACAGAGATTTCTAGCATGATACTGCATTCATTATCAGGGGCCAAAAGAGATCCTCAGAATTTTTGCCCACTTCTGGCAAGACCACCACCTGATCTGCCTAATATTATTCAAAGAATTCTCACCACTTTCTGCCTAAAGGCATTCAGGACTAATGTCATTATGGCTGTTACCCCTGAGAATGTCAGCCACCATATGAAACCCTGGGCTCCCTTCCTCTCCTGCACAGTAATTCCCATAAGGCTGTGGGAAACCTTCTGCTGTGCCTTCTGGAAATCGCAGTCATTGGCAAAAATCGCCACACCCTGACCTCTTTTCTGAATGTTTCCTTTGCATCCTGTCCTTGGCTCCCACTAAGAAAACTGTTTCCTCTGATGCCAAGTAGTAGCCATTTTTCTCCCATAATCCTCCCCTCACTGGACTCAGAGGTGAAGTATGAGTTTTCCTTGTCCCTCATTGCTCTTTCTGGATCATTCTTCCTCCCTTCTTCCTTAACAATAATCACTGTTGAGTTTCAAGTCTTCAAGCCGTAACATCTTGTTGCAGTTATCTACCAGGCCCCAGGACATTTGCTCTACTTGAATATTTTAGCTCCTGGCTCACTCTGCAAAATGACTCCTGTTAAATTTGTTAGTGATTTTTATATCCTTGTAAGAAATTAATCCAATTTCTTGGTCTCTCAGTTTCTTGACCTCCTCTCTTCAAAGTATCTTGTCCTCCACCTACCTCAGCCGCTTATTCCCACGGTCATTAGACCTAGACCTTCTCAGAACCAATAACCAATACACGACCTTGACTTTCAGCATCTGGCTCTATGACCAACACCTCACATTTCATACAAATTCTTCTAAGATCCCCCTTCCAATCCTCAGTTCCATCAGCTCTAAAGTTCATCAATCTTCTCACTCACTCTCTCTCTCTCTTTCCTCATGACCTCACTTGTCCCCATGTCCTTACTTCCTTCTCTATTCAGCTAAAATGTCATAGGCAACCATTAGAATAACCCCCTCACACATATCTTCAACATTCTCCTCTTTCATTTTGATTTACCAGCATGACAAAGCCTGAACCCTTTTACATTCCGCTGTCCTCCTATTCCTCACCTGTGTGTGGATGGAGAAAAACACTGCCTGGGCTCATTGGTGTCACTTCAAATTCACACCCCTGTACCTCTTTCCTGCCTATCCTCATCCAGCCCTCTGGTGACTTCACTCAGCTTCCCAGCTCAATATTTCTTGGAAGCTGAGCATTATTGTACATAATTCCTTTTTCCAATGATATAAAATTCATTTTACTCATGAAGGGTAAAGTTTATCTTAAAGGGTAAAGGTTATTCTTCCTTTTAAGACTAAATTCTCCCTAAGAAGTCTTTTATTAGTTACTTCTATGATTGCAATTTAAGAAGTAGTTCATCAAAATCCAGAAACCACTGGGTGCAGTGGCACATGCCTGTAGTCCCAGCTACTCAGGAGGGTGAGGTGGGAGAGTCCCTTGAGCCCAGGAGTTCAAGGCTGCTGTGAGCTATAATGGTGCCACTGCACTCTAGCCTAGAAGACAGAGGAGACTTTGTCTCTTAAAATAAAGAAATAAAGAATAAAAATCCAGACTTAAGCGACTCAAGTTTCTCTCCAACTGACGAATCTGAAAGATCTTGTACTTGATAGAATAATTGGACATTCAGGACAGGAATCTTCATGAATTAAAGGAAAAAGGGTTTTTTCAAGAAAAGTAGTTTATCCATCTTTCTTTAAAAGAGGACATCATCACTTTCATCCCTGACCTTCTTTCAGGCAAACTGCTAGTCTGCTTCAGAAATACTTAATGGACCAGTCATAGTTACCACAAAGGTACAAATGCAAAATGAACTGATGATAATGCCATTCACTTAGCATTATCTTCTCTCTTCTCAATCACTGCATGTAAATTTGAGACTTGAGAAGAAACATATTGTCATATACCTGTGTTTTTGCTTTTTGAGAAAGTGATTTCCAGTTGTAGTTTGACTTGCATTACTTGCTTCCTGTTGGGAAATTTAAAAACCTGGCTCTATTTTAAACTCTCCATTTGTGTACAAAAAAAATAACTGAAACTGTCGGCATCTTTCTTAATCTCGAAACAGCCAACTGCCTACTCATAGGTACTCTCCTCCCCCTTGTTGGTCTGTTTCAAATATTTTCCAATGTAGAATATTGTAAATTTAAATTAGATGTCTTCCTTAATGGTACTTGTATTAGTCAAGGTTTTCCAGAGGGACAGAACTAATAGGATATATGCATACATGAAAGGGAGTTTATTAGGGAGAATTGGTTCACATGATCACAAGGCGAAGTCCCATGATAGGCCATCTGCAAGCTGGGGAAGAGAGAAGCCAGTAGTAGCTCATTCCGCGTCTGAGAGCCTCAAAACCAGGGAGGCTGACAGGGCAGCCTTCAGTCTGTGGCCGAATGCCCCAGAGACCCTGGGAAACCATTGGTGTAAGTCCAAGAGTCCAAAGGCTGAAGAACCTGGAGTCTGATGTCCAAGGGCCAGAGGAGTGGGAGGAAGCATCCAGCACGGGAAAAAGAAGGAAGCCAGAAGATTCATTAAGCAAAGTTATCCCATCTTCTTCTGCATGCTTTGTTCTAGCCTGGTTGGCAACCCAAGGTATGGTGCCCATTCACATTGAGGGTGGGTCTTCCTCTCCCAGTCCACCAACTCAAATGTCAGTCTCTTCCAGTAACACCCTCACAGACACACCTAGGAACAATACTTCACCAGCCATCTAGGCATCCTTCAATCCAATCAAGTTGACACCTAATGTTAACCATCACAGTACTGAAAACTGTTTCCTAGGACCTGCCTGTCATTTTATAAAGGCACTGTTGATGATGTGTGTAATCCTCTTGAATTTATTTTTAAAAAGTAACACAGCACATTTTACCAGTTTTGCTAATTTTAAAATAATTGGCTTTTAAAGAAATTTTGTAACTGTTTTAAGCTAAATAAATATGGGGAGAAAGAATATTTTTAAAGTAGAAAAGCATATTTTCATTTCCTTAAATTCTCAACTCACTTCTACAAACAAATGAAATCATAAGATCCTTAGCAGTCACTAAAAGTACCTGAGGTTGGGTCTACCAGGTGTAGGCAGAGCCTCTTAGTCCTAATAGTTCTACTGTATCTCTAAGTTTTTCATCTAAGATGCTTTATATCTCATTCTTAAGTATGAAGGAGGTTTAAAAAGTTAAACAAGTAATAGTTTAAGTTAAACAGGTAATAGTGGGATTTACAATTTTGTCTTAAAGAAAATTTTATGTTTTGCTTAGATTCCTAGAAACTATACATGGCTTTTTCTAAGTCTATTGAACTGATGATATAATTTTTAATTGTATTATCATTTTAAATCATTAATGTAGTGAATTGTATTAATAGACATTGTAATGTGAAACAAACCTTGTTTGACTAGGACAAAACAGTCTTATCATTAAGTACTATCTTTTTTATGCATTGCTGGATTGAGATTGTTAATACTTTGTTTGGGTTTTTGTGTCTATACATGTGAAAGAGATGAGTTTATAACTATTCCCTTCTCGCAGCCATTTTTGTCAGAATTTTGATAACAAGGTTATCATAGCTTCATAAAATAGCTGAGGAATACACTTCTTTTTATATATTGTTTATGATTGAAATTATTTCTTTAATGGTAGAATTTCCTCTTGAAACCATTTGAGTTAGAATTTTCTTTCTTGGAGACTTTTAATTACTCCCATTCTTTACTAATTATAGAAATGATCAGTTTTTCTATCTCCTTGATTCAAATTTGGTAAATTATTTGGTGGAGGGGTATGGTGTATTGTCTGCTTTGCTTACTTTTCTAATGTATTGATGCAAAAGTCTTAATATACTCATTATTATTTTAAAAATTTTACATAGTTTGATATAATTTCCTTTTCATTCTCAATTTTATAATGCTTCATTTCTTTGTCATTTTTCTTAATCAACATGCCGTAAGTTTGCTAATAGTATTAATTTTAGAATATTCTATATAACTTATTAGATTAACTTATTGTTTCTAAATCTATAGCTTGATTTTTTTGTCTGTTTGATCTATCAGTTATGAATAGGGGTATGTCAATTAAATCTTCCACCATGCTGTAGTGAACATTTTAATCTCTAGAAATGTATTTTGTCTTAAAGATAGATTAATCTCATGTTAATATAGCTACATCGATTTTATTTTGGTCAGTATATTTCTGCTTCATTTTTCCCATCTATTGACTTGTAACTATTTTGATTCCCTATGCTTTTGTTGTCTCTTCTAAACAGTACTGATATACAGTCTGACAACCCTTGTCTTGTAACTGAAAATTTAATTGAGTTACAGTTTTTAAAATTAATTGATATATTTCCATTTATTTCTATCACCTTATTTTTGTCTATTTTCCTTTCCATTTGTTTATTGCTTTCATTTCTTTCCCTTTTCTAAAGATTATTTTTCTCATTCTATTTTTTTTCCTTCAATTAGTTTGGCAGTTGTGCAAACTTGGTCTGTTGACTATTTTCTTTATCACTCTTTATTCTTTCAATGGTTATCCTAGGCATTTTTTATATGCACACTTAACTGATTATTCAAATATAATAAATATATTTTCTATCCCTCAATTAATACAAGACCTTCCACTTTCTCTGGTTGCACTGTTTTCGATTTATATGTCATTATTGTGTATTTTAGCCTATCTTTAGTCTACTCTTACCACATAAGAGATGACTGTTTGTTTTATATAGTCATTTTAAAAAGGTTTACCACCTTCCTTGCTCATTATTCCTTCTTGCATCCCAGGCCTTCCATTTGTAATCAACTTCCTCTTTCTGAAATGCATCCTTCTAATTTCTTTAGTGATAATAAATAGGTGAAAATCTCTCTCAGCTCTTGTTTGTCCAAAAATATCTTCATTTTCACTTCTAGCTGGAAGTATTTTCATGGAGTAGACAACTGTTGATTGGCTTATTCTCTTTCAGCACATGGTAGATATTATTCTGCTTTGTCTGGGTTCCCTTGTTTCTATTCAGAGATCAGCTATCAGTATAACTGCCATTCCTTTGTCATAATAGTTGTTTTTCTCCCTGTCTGTAAATCTCTTTATCTTTGGTGTTTTTCAGCTTCACTGTGACCCTTCTTAGTGTGGATTTCCTTGTATTTATTTTGATGTGGATTTGCAGAACTTACTGATTCTAAGGATTAATATCTTCTCCATTCTTTACATTTTCTCTCCCTTGCACTCTGATTATATGAATGTTAGTCCTTCTTATACTATCCTACACGTCTCTCAACTTTTTCTTTGTATTTTCTATATTCTCACCTCTCTGTAATCTGAAAATTTTCTTTTAATCTATTTTTCAGCTTTTCAGTTCTCTCTTCAGCTGTATCTAATCCTTTGTTGATTTAGGTTTTATTTTTTTTTTTATATCTAGAAGTTCAATTTTCTTGCTTTCAAGTCTCCTTGGTCATTTAAACAAAGTCTCTTTTTTTCTGACATATTTTTAAGTTCATATTTTTATTTCTTGAAACATACTCATTTTACATTGTTTCTGATGATCCCGGTATCAAAATCTTGTGTATAGAACTTTGTTTGCTTATGTGTTTAGTGTTTTCCACTAGAAGCTCATTATTTCAGTGTATGTCATTACACTTGTATCCATGACATTTCTTTGAGGCCTGGACAGCAGGTGAGTTTCTGCAGAGGATTTGCATTTGCCTCTGTGAATTTACTGATAAAATCTTTAACCTGGGTTTACATAAAGGGCATTCTCAACTTGAAATTTTTGAGTGTGAATTTGGTTTGATACCTGACGTTGTTATAGAATTTAAGGGGAAATATTTTTCTGTCAGTGCCAATTTTCCATCTGAACTTGATAGGTGATTTTCTTCGATTACCTTAAGATAAAGATGAATGTTGAAGATTTGGGTTGTTTCCAGTTTAACTTTATGCTAGTAGGCATTCCTATGAGGCTCACCATCCTGGGAGAGATCCCTTAATTTGTTAACTCCTATTGAGGTCTCCTTGAGACCAGAAAGCTCAATATCAACTTAAGCAAATGCCCTCAGATTAAATGTTAGTTTCAGTAGTCAGCCCACACCTCTGGTTTCTACTTCCAGATGTTTTTGGTCTCTGAATTTTTAACATTTTTACCATCTCATATAAGCATTTAAAGTTGTCAGAAGTCCATAATTTTCAGTTCTTTTTAGAGGGAGGATCTATTCAAAGTGTATAGTCTATGATAATCTATTATATTGCCAAAAACAAAACTCGGAGTCCTTTTGAAGACTGGGAAAATCATATTGAGGTTAATGACTTTGTTCAGCTGTGTTGTCATATTAAAATATTACAACTCTCAGAAACAGTACAGTGAAGCATATATTTGCTCTTAACCTTGTTCTGTGCCTTGGATCCTAATTATATAAGAATGCCAAGTTTCACTGTCTAAGAAGGAGAAATAATGATTATTTTATCCTTTTAGTTTTTTGGATTTTTAATAAATGAGACTTTGTTGTGTAACTTTGTCTTCAGAAGCCCAAACAAAGAAATGTTTTAAACACATTATTTATGTTTTAATCTGGAACCAGTAGAAATTAAAAAAATAATTAGCAGAGAAAATGCTAGAAATTTAAAAAGTAGTTTGTATATTTTAAAATAAATTCTTTTTTTTTCTTGGTACATGGAAAATTAAGAGGTTCTGTTCTTTAAATTTACTAATTCTCGCAAACATTTCTTTTCTACATGTTAACATACGAATAAAATAACCGAAGAACAACAATAATCTTCCCTAAGGTATATCAATTCCAGCATGAAAATGGAAAGCAAAACTTTCAGTCTAATATCTAAAAGGCTCAGGTTCCATATAAATGACCCGAGTCTTTGGAGAGTTTTTCACTGAGATGATGCATGTCTCAAGTGGGGGCTTTGGTGTGAAAGATCACAAGACATCATTTCTTCAGTTTAATAATCCATTTAATACCATCTTTCAATCCCATTTCATGCTCAGTAAAGCAAGAATAAGTGAACCTTTTGCTGACATTGGTTTTGTTGAAGAGCTTTTGTTTATAAAGCAGTGGCAACATGATCTTATCAGTGCCCATCATCACTGGTTTGCTCTGTCCCCCATCCGAGTAATATGTTCCTGTGATGTGTGCAGTCTTTTCATAGCGATGACTCCTGTTCTATGCTAAAGTGAGTTGACAGCACTTGCTTGCTTCTTAAAGAGAGACATGTTTCAACTTTCTGCCTCAAAAACCTATTTAAGTCATTGCTTTTATTCCACTGTCTCTGAATTTTGCACAGGAAGTGTAAATTCAATTGCTTGAATGTGAACAAAAGTGAAGGAAGTCCTGGACACTTGAACTAACTTCTGGGGCTGCATAGTGGACAGCTGATAACTTGATGTTGAAATTACATTCTTGCATGAGCTGTGCTTACCGATGAAACCCAAGCTCATAATCAAGTTAGAGAGAAAAGGAGTTGGGTAGAGTTGAACAAAAAATGCTCAGCTCTTGTTATTATGTCTACCTAAGATCTGTGAATGTTGTGTATGGTGCCATGTTTCTCTATTTTCACTGTTTGAGAATGAGAATAGTAATCAAAGGGAATGATGCAAATCTGTGTTAAAATATGTTCTCATGGGGGATATTTTAAGAGGCTGATTCAGCATTTGCAAAATAAATACATTATTATGGTTTTTGTAAAATTTGTATACTTTGGCAATTTTATCTTAAATTTCTATAGTGTTTTGTGGGATGCTTTCACAAACAGTCAGTAACCTGAATCCTTCTTTTTTAGAAGAAAGAATGGACATTTAGAGAGTGAATGAATGATCTCATCAAGGTCCCCTAGTATAGTATTAACAAAACACATCTGGAAGTAGTCTTCTGACTCATATACCAATGCTCCCTCTATAATAGGAACCATGCTTCTTGGAGTCCCAGGAGTTCCCTGGATGTCCCTCTGACCCTCTTCCCCACTCTCTCTCACCTGGAAGGGTGCACAAAAGGAAACACAAATTGACAGTAGATTTAGGCTTACACCTCAAATCTAATCTCTGGTCTGGTGGATTCTTACCCTACCACTAGGCAAACATTCTTTCCCAGCATAGTAATGTCCTAGTATGAGATTATTAAAACTGGGAGGTGGATAAACATACCACAACATGACTAAAGAGAAAGTTTAAAAAATGTCAACAAGACCTCCTGCAAGGATTTTATATGATCATCATGAAGACGTATCAAATGGCCACTGTGTGTGTTATGCTTGCAATAAAAATTCTCTCCCAGAAGGGCCTAAAAGTAGGAAGATAGATGGGTGCAGAATGTCTTAATGACTTTGGTGTATACAGAAATATTTGGAGATTAAATAGAGAACAACTTTATGCAGAAACATAGGGAGCTGCATTCTAGGGACAAGATAACTGGAAACTTCAGTCAATAGCCCAGGGTTACCCCCCCAGCACTGCCATGAGAAGTAGGACTCCTGGAGCAAGTTACTAGCCCTCTCTGAGCCTTGGTGACCTCTATAAAGAGGGACGATGACTTATATTAAAAAGTGTCTGAGAGAAGTAAACTCACTAGAGTACAAAAACACTTTGTCAATCATAAAGCAATGCACAAGGTAAAGAAGAGTGAAGGACAGATTGTCATATATGGCTGTAAACCTTGGCTGTGGATTTTGTCCTGATGATGCCAACCACTCCAGTAGTAAAGCCATCCTCCTAAAATGCCTTGGACTCTTCACAGAACCGTTCTTGGCTGCCGGTCAACCCAATGCACCAGTTCATGAAGCCACGTGGCAAAGGCCAGATGCAGCATTTGAGGAACAGTGAAGTATGGTTGGTGCCTCTCTATAGCATTAGAGATTGTGTATTCTTTGGGAAATCAAACAGCAACCCACTGCTAAGGGCTGTGTTCCTGTGACGGTCACCATCCACATTTGAGGTGCTATGCTTTGATTTCTCAACATCACAGAAAGAATATTTTTACTAAAAAATTTTTAAGGAAGCATGTAGTTTATTTTTCTCTCTTGGTTTTTCTTTACTTTTCTGAATTCCTAGAACTGGAGATTACACCTAATGAGATGATCATAACCAATACTACGTATATATAATTTGAAGCCAATCATAGTTAGGTTATGATCATCTCATTAGGTGTAATTTCCAATTCTAGAAATTCAGAAAAGTAAAGAAAAACCAAGGGAGAAAAATAAACTGATGCTTCCTTACATTTTTTTTTCAGTAAAAATATTCTTTCTGCGATGTTTAGAAATCAAAGCATAGCACCTCTGCTTAGATCATGGGCAAAAACATTATAAAAGATAGACGTCCACAACACGTAGCTCTTCCAATCTCCATTTTTTATCCTGGCACAGCAAACTTGGTTATTTTTAAAATTATCTGTCAGGTCAACCTGAGATCAAAAAGGCACTAACAACAATGTCAGTTTGAACTTGACTTGGGGACAACAGAAAAAAGACTAAAGATTTCCTGTATCTAAAAATTTAGAGTTGTATTCCTGATATTAATCACACTACCATGTAATTAATGTTGGTTGTGTTTTGACAGGCAGCTTGGTGCTCACTAGAAATCACCTTGAACCTATTCAAAAAATTTTTTTAATGTCAGCATTGCATTTTATAAAGCCTAAAATTAGAACATGCATGTAAGATGGAGAGACAGGCTGGAAGCATCAGGTTTTAAGCAGTTATGTAAAAAAGCATGGGTCTGGGGGTACCCTAAGACTCTCTGGCACATCCTTGCCAACTTCTATCAGTACTTGGCATTGAGATAGAGAAGGCAGCTGATTAAATGACAAATGAAACAAAGCAGTAACGAAAAGCATGACAGAATCAAAACACAAAAGGATTTAGTGGCTTAAATGCCAGACCAAAATCAAGCTGAAACTCAACAGGAAAATATCTAGCACTGAGAGCAGATTTACAGTAGGTGATAAGCAAAGACCTACTACCTATCTTGGCCAAAGGTCATATAATGAAGAGCTGAAGGTTTTCATCAAAGGTGATATGGTTGCTTTAAACAAAAGTGACATAAAATTATTCTATGCTAATAGAAGGAAACTTTGAAACATTTTTTTTTGCCTCTAATAAAGGGGTAAGTCATTCTCTGAAGGCTGCAAATTAGAATCACTGAGTAAGATTTAAAATAATTCAAATTTCCTGGCTTTTATACAACTTTTCTGCCTTTCCTTTCTGAGACCTTGCTCAGCTACCTGTTCTAACATATCAATATGGCTTGGATCTGTGTCCCCACCCAAACCTCATGTTGAATTATAATCCCCAATGTTGGAAGAGGGGTCTTGCGGGAGGTGATTGGATCATGGAGGCAGATGTTCTTATGAGATCTGGTCATTTATAGAAGTGTGTAGCACCTCCTCATTTGCTTTCTTTTCCTCCTTCTCTGGCCATGGAAGACGTGCCTCCTTCCCCTTTGGCCATGATTGTGTTTCCTGAGGCTTCCCCAGTCATGCTTCCTGTATAGCCTGTGGAATTGTGAGACAATTAAGCCTCTTTTCTTCATAAATTACCCCGTCTCAGGTAGTTCTTTATAGCAATGTGAGAATGGACTAGTATGCATATCATATGATATGATATTGTTTCTAGTTCTAAAAGTTTTTTATTCTCTTCTACGATGTTTTTGTATATCTGAGTTAGTATCTTTAAAAATTAATTTCTCCATTTTGCTTAGATTACCTCAATTCTGTCAGCAAGAGCTGGCATTGGCACTGCTGCGAAACACGAACGTTCTTGGCATAATTCCTTACAACTCCCTCCCTAAGTAGTTTCTCTCATATTTCATGATTTGGCTGAAAACCCAATATGGTTAGGAAAAAGATGTGCATAAGTGAAGCATAATTATATTCATTCATGTTCAGCTGATAAAGATTTATTTGTCCTCAAGGCATAATAATGGCCAAGATTTGCCCATGATCAATAACTCTTGAACCAATAAATCTTGGTACTGGCAACAAAAGCCAATATCTACTTAAACTTTTTTCAAAGTGTTGCTATTATATGCTGATGGCATAAAACATGGGAGCACATCAAACACAGTCTCTTGAGCTTTATGTGGACACTAAATTTGTATTCTCCAACAGTTAATATTCTAGATTTCAATGACATAGGAGAAACTGGCTGATCAAGGAGAAAGTTGACACCAAGCATTGATGGTTAATAACATATTTTAGAAGAGCAAATACCATTAGTGTATGTGGAAGCACTTTGTTAATATTCAAACCATTATAGCAATGTAAAGTATAATACAGTTTGTCTACAGATTTAAGCTCTGCATAACATACTTGAAAAACAAAAACAACTTTTTGTAAAAGAGCAGGAATAGAAGCAAGATAGGAGAAGAAATGAGGCAAAAAATATACAGATAAGCAAGAAAGGGAAGGAACAGTGGCCTAACATTGTAGTGGAAACCAGCCTGTGCCAGCAGCTGTCATCCAGGCTGCACTGCAGTGGTGCGATCTCAGCTCACTGCAGCCCCAACCTTCAGTGCTCAGGCAATCCTCCCTCCTCAGCCTCTCAAGTAGCTGGGAGTACAGGCATGTGCAACCACACCCGGCTAATTTTTGTATTTTTTTTTTTTTGTAGAGATGAGGTTTCGCCATGTTTCCCAGGCTGGTCTCATACTCCCGAGCTTAAGCAAATCTGCCCACCTTGGCCTCCCAAAGTGTTGGGATTACAGGCTTGAGCCACCATACCTGGCCTTGATGTGCATTGTTACTTTAATTTTTACAACAATTCTGTTAGGTATGAGCCAAAAAACAGGTTTCTACAGAACTGAGGCTGGGGCTAAGGAACTAGTTCTAGAGTTTTAAGCAGCGGAGGTAGAATTTGAATCCAGGTCTATCTGACTCCAAAGACCATGATCTTTCTAGGATTCTAGAAACAAAAAGCCCAATAGTTACATTTACAGGGTCATTTAGGATTTGTGAAAGGTATGGTAAGGCATTTTCTCAGGTTGGCTAATAGACCTATGCTGTTCTTCCCTTTTCACTCCAGCATTATTTTTCCTGCTACACTAATATGCCTCAGACTACTAGACAACAAATATTGGTGGTTGATAATCATAAAAAGGCAGATGGATACTCTAATGCAGTTTGTTCCTTGGTAGAGTGAAAATATTTTGGGAGATGAAAGGACGTTGGAATGTCTTTGAGCTTCAGGAAGACAAGGGCCTTTCCATCAGTGAGGCACATTGGACCTGTATCCAAAGATCCCCTCATGGGTTCATGTTCAGTTCTACGACATATGAACTTGGGCAAATTCCTTCTAAACCTTCTTGAGCCTCAGTAGCGTCACCTGACTGATAACAAAGAAATCACTCTGCTTGCCCAGTAGACATCATGGGGGTGTGGGAGGATCCAATTTTAGCATGTGCAGGTAGTCCAGTGTTTTTGTGCATGAAGCTTTTCTGAGAAAATGTGGGGAAGACCAATGTCCCAAAGATGGACTGGAGTGTTACAAGGAGCTTCTATTTTCTGATCTATACAAAGGATTCTAACGTCTTTAATTAAACATCACTTTTTAGATGGAAACTTTGCCGATATATCTTAAGTTTTAATACTTTTTTTGGTCATTTACTTGTTACTATTTTCAAATTACCCAAATAATATACAAATATATATTGCAAAACCACAGACAATACTGAAGTAAAAAGCAAAAGTCTCTCTACCTTCTTTTTACAAATTCCACTCTCATTCCCAGAGGTAACCATTGCTATAAGTCTGGTATTTTCCATCCTATGCATTTATAAGAATGCACATATATTTCTTTACATGTATATATAAATATATACAAACATGTAATTTTGTGGAAGATTTTTTATAATATGAAAATATCATGTTTCAATATTTGTTCTTTTCTTTCTTGTTAAATACATATTTGTCTTGCTCAAGTTCAATAATTCTGTTGTTGAACTAAAGATTTGCAACTTTCAGCACGTGTCAAGATTTCTTTCCTTATCTGGGTTTAAAAGACTACGCTTTTTGCAGTATCAAACCAATCATTTTCTCCAATTTTCTGCTAATTTTTAGAAAACAATGAAGCAAACCATGCAATTATTTCGATTTCTTGGTGCAAACAAATACTGCTCTGCAGACAAAGAGCAAAATGCAACTGAAGCAGAACCATCAGCTACCAGGCAACACTAATATGAAATTGTTTAAAATATTGTTCATCAGCGACATCTAACTGTAGCAGATAAAGACTGTTTAAGGATATGTGAACAATGCACAGAAGTTCAAGTTGTTTTAAATTCAACCTTATAAAGCCTGAGTTTATACATGAAAGTAATATAGTCTTGTTTGATAAAGGCACTTTTTCAAAAAGTATGAATTTTCTCACATTCATTGTGTGTGCGCGTGCGTGTGTGTGAGGTTTTGTCACCTGCCTGAAAATCTTTTGTCTTTCATGCATTTAATAAACAGGACTTATTTTACAATGAATTACAATTTCTCTCAGTCTCCATGCACTACAGATTATTCTTCTTAAAGCGATTTGTGCATTTACTCTTAGAAAAGACAATAGAGTTGAGAATGAATTTTTTTTTTTTTTTAAAAGTCACAAGACACTGAAGATCACTCAGCTAACAATCGAATTTGGTCCTACTAACCCTGAGCAATACCATCTAGTAAAAGGCACTGTCTTGATGGATCATTCATGGAAAACTAAAGTAATTACCATCATTCTAATATTTCTATTTAAATGCATGAAAAACTGATTAGCTGAAGGCAGCCCTATATATAGCAGAAATGGCATCTTCTTAATATTTATGCTAATGTAAAAGACATTTTACACAAAGGTTAGAGGTGACATATGGGTAAGAAATGATCTTAACATTCACAGTTATTTACTTACAATAATGCATGACAGGAATATTCCTCCTTGGGAGAGGTTTAACAGGCAAAGAAGAGTAGGTGTGGAGAAACTAATCAATATTAAAATACATGGACACTTATGGACACAAATGTATATATTTATAAGATACAGTCATATAGAATCACCAACGACCAAGAGAGAAATGGAGCATCCACGCCTCCAAGCTCTAGTTTTACAAGTACATTTCACTTCACTTTCAGCCTGAGGTAGTCACATTTTTTTCTTTTTAAGTCCAAAGAGAATTTGGATAGAAATCAGAAAAGATTTAATGATTTAGCTGACTTTGAGCATTCTCTACCTCATATGTAAGGAAACTAAAAAATGTCAAAATGATGCCATTTTGAATTGCAGTTACTATCTTGAGCAAGAAATGAAGGACTTGGCTTATGAATTCAATTTGGTTTTTACACTGTCATTTCCACATGGCTAACCCACAGACCGAATACTGTTTTCTGCCAGCTTTCTAAGCACGCTCCAAGGTGAGACTCCCCAGAAATGGTGCATAACAATGTGCACATCACGGAAGCAGTGCATGAAGAACAAATAAAACATGAAATTACACACGAACTCGAGAATCACATAAGCTGGCTAAGAATGGGTTACTGCCAATAACGGATTTCAAATAAGCCTCTGATTTAATGACAACCGCAAGCCAGCGCCTGATTGAGGGCAATCAAATGCTTCTCTTTTTATCTGCTTCTAACTCACTTTTTATATGAAAAGAAAAACAGTGCTATTACAACAGCAGCAATAGAAGGCTACACAAAAATCTGAAAACAGAAAGGCCATTTCCACAAGCAATTATAACACAATGCACATCCACACTTAAAGTATGTTCCAGTGAACAAGTAACCAATAGCAACTTCTTACTCAGCACATCAGTAGACACTCTCTGGAAAGACAGTATTTGCTTTTCACTTAAGCATTTTAATTGTGATTGTCCACAGTGCAATTGTGACTCAAAATGGTATGAATTTCAGATTTAAAAACTGGATAAACAACCAGATGAGTCAACCAGGGGAAACGTGGCTGCACTGAAAATGACCGTAGGTCCCTAAAACAGAGACATCTTTTTTCAGTTTACGGGAGAACCTGCAGCTCACACTGATTGATCATTTCCTAATCATACCTCTAAATCCCAGCCCCCAGGACACACTGGCTGAACTTTTTTTTTTTTTTTTTTTTTTTTGCATCTGAGTGTATTCCATTCAGCATTTCATTATCCATTATCTAGTATTGTTTTCTTCGTTTTCAGGAATAATTGTTTTGGGGGTGCTTTTAGTCTTTTTAGGGAGGTTCTGGTATGATAGATTCTTGTTGAATTAATATTGTATTAAAATGGGAAGAGAAGTCATTGATGAGAGTTTCTCTAGTTTTTCGATAAAAGGCTATTTGCTGAGAGGGAGTTGCGACAAAAGTTTTTCCTTCACATGGATTTGGATGTGTGCCCCCTGTACCATACTGTAGAAACTGTAGGTATTCATGTATTTGAAGATCCTTAGGGTCAGATAAATATGAGCTGTGCATGGAGAAAATGAAACTATACCGTCGAAGGTTGTGTGTGTGTGTGTGTGTGTGTGTGTGTGTGTGTGTGTGTGTGCTTTATGGGACTGGATGCCAGAGGTAGGCTTCAGAAGACTGATCCATGCTGATCTATTTCCAATTTGCCTGGAAAGACCTAGTTCAGTCCAGTCCACTTCATAACTGGGAGAGAAAATCAAAGTGGAGAAATGCACCCATCTTTTATGTATTTCAGTTCTCACAAGGAGAGGGAACAAAACGGCCTTGTTCCTTTGGATCCATAAAATCTCCCTGAAGTCAGACCCAAGTTGCTGGACTAACTCCAGGGGCAGTGGCTTTTGTCCTTTGACCCTGCCCCTCTCCTGCCAGCCCTCGGAGTCTCCCCATAATACCAAACCCTCCCCCGACATAAGACTCCTGCTTCAAGGTAAAAATACTTATTTTCAAGTGAGATATCAAGAACTCGGTTTCCCTGGTAACTCGGGCAGGGAAAGAGAATTTAAGATGATCAGAAATATTCATTCTGACCAGCTAGATCCATTCTCCTCCTTACTCCTAAGGCTTTATCTGCAACACAAGGCAGGGTCCCAAGCCTCTCCAAGTCACTATACATTTAAAGTTAAACGAAAAGTGAAGTCTGCCACTAAGTTTAGCTCTCCTGCTGAAATCCTTGGGAGATTATTACTTCCTTCTGGCTATATCAGCCCCCCTTTTCCCATACCTATCAGACGGCTTTGAAGTTTTACTTCATTTGAAATACTGTACAGTAAGTGCACACAGTGTGCTAATGGGTTGCATGGATTAATGGAGCAAATAGTTGCTTAAATTTAATTTAAAAGTAGTTCAGATAAAGACCTAGAGAATTAGTACTGGGGTTAAGGATGGAACCTACTGAGCTATGCCTGGCTGAAGGGGAAAATACAGAGAGGCGGGGCTGCTTCTCCCTTCTCACTCTGCCTCCGACAGAAGAGGGTTTTGTTTAGCGCCTTGTGCAGACAAAGGGGATCCTGGTTTAAGGATGAATATGTGTGAGTTATTTTTAGATGAATCAGGTGTCACCCTAATATGCCCTGCTGCAACAGGTGCGTGTAGACAGACACGGCTACCCCCTGCTCTCTATTCTACGTTGTAAAGTAGTTATCAGCTGCTTACACAATGAATACACTTTTATTACACCTGAAGAAAAGCACTTTGTCAAAGCTACACCATGAGTCTAGGGAAAAGTGTCAGATTCTTTGCTACACACAGATTTATCTATTGACTGTCCTTTACTTAGCCCTGCCAATGGGTTTCATGACTCAACTGCACCTCATTACCCTTTTTACAACACTCTGCAAATTCTTATTCATAATCAGACATTTCATCCAATTCTAGGTCGCAAAAATCACTTATGCAGTCTTAATGAATACAGCATCCTTGGGATTTACATTTAGTAAAACTATAAAGTAAAATATTCATAAAAAGAAAAGACAGCCAACCTAACATTCCAATCCGCAATGCAAGTCTACAAAATCATAGCTGAGATGATGCAGCCCTGCTTAGACTTCTCAACACTTTTCCTGTGGAGAAATTGGAATCTAAACTCTTAAAAAAGGGATGGGATTTATGCATGAACAATGAAACATGCTAAAGAGAATGCACAATTATAAGAAAACTTGATATTTGTCACTTCATATGACATGGTTTGGCTGTGTTCCCACCCAAATCTCACCTTGGATTGTAGCTCCTATAATTCCCTCGTGTTGTGAAAGGGACCTGGTGGGAGATAATTGAATCATAGGGAAAGTTTCCCCCATACTGTTCTTGTGGTAGTGAATAAGTCTCATGAGATTTGATGGTTTTATAGGGGGAAACTTTTCCCTTGGCTCTTTTCTCTCTTGTCTGGTGCCATGTAAGACGTGTCTTTCGCCTTCTGCCAAGATACGATGCCTCTCCAGCCATGTGGAACAGAGTCCATTAAACCTCTTTTCCTTTATAAATTACCCAGTCTTGGGCATGTCTTTATCAGCAGCATGAAAACAGACTAATACATCATATATATATGAATATATATAAAGGAAGGAGGAGGATATACTAGTAATTAATTTTCATAAGAAATGAGATGAAACCGTAGAATGATAAGCTCTTTCTTGTGTTCTTAGAGAACCCACTGTTGCTTTGCCGCCACTCACAGGGTGAAGCAAACACAAGAGCTTGCAGAACAGTTAGACAGGCAAGCCTGTGAACAGCCACGGGCTAGAGAAGGGAAGAACGCACTCCCCGCCGCACTCTCTTTTCTTCTAGATGAACTGGAGGCTTTATTTGGTTCACTTCTGGAAATCCCATATCTAGAGCAGTGCCTATCACATAGTAGGTACTCTCTAAATGTTTGTTGAGTGGAGGAATGAGTGAAAGAATAACAAATTTAGTTGAATACATGTCATCAACTTCCGTTCTATAAAACACATTCTATAAGACATCCATTTCAACCAGACAATTCTCTTATGGAGAACTGGATGATTCTCTATGGCAGCAAGAACCACAGGATAACCTATAACCTCTATTTGATTTGATTAAGGAAGACTACAACTATTAAAGAAAAAGAAAACAAATTGGGAACCTATTCATTTTGATTTTCTGTTATTTCCGTGGCTTACTAATAAGCCAATCAATAATACAAAAGAAATCCCTGCAGTCATTAGCAAACCTCTTTGCCTAATTTACCATTTTGTTTTTAAAGAAGGCAATTACAGAATTTAAAATATATTCAGTCTTCCACAAAACTCACCATTACAATACTGAAAATCTAAATGGTGAATGCAAGTAGATGAGGCTGCATTTCAAGTGGAGTTAGTGGAACTTTTCAAATTATAATTTTATTTTCAGGTAATTGTAGACTCACAGATATAAGAAATAATACAGAGAAATCTTGCATATCCTTTACCCAGTTCTCCCCAGTGGTAACATCTTACAACACTACATGTACCACAGTATCACGACCCAGGTATTGCCATTGATAAAGTCAAGATACAGAACTTTCTGTCACCACAAGGATCCCTCGTGTGGCCCTTTTACAGCCACTCCTACTTCCTTCCCACCCCTGCTCCACCTTAATCTCTGGAAACCACTAATATATTCTCCATGTCTGTAATTTTGTCATTCCAATGATGTTACAGAAATAGAGTCATAAGTAGGTAACCTTCTAGGATTGACATTTTTTTCTCACTCAGTATAATTCTTCGGAGATTCCTCTACGTTGTTTGTATCAATAGCTTCTTTATTTTTATTTCTAAGAGGTACTCCATGGTATGGATGTACCACAATTTGTTTAACCATTCATCTGTTGGTGGACACCTGGGTTGCTTTTAATTTTTGGTTATTATGAATAAAGTTGTCACAATCACTTAGGTACAAATTTATGTGAATGTGTCTTTTCATTTCTCTAGAATAAATGCCCAGGAGGGCAATTACTGGATGGAATGGTAGTTGTAGGTATAAATTTAAGACACTACCGAACTGTTTTCCCGAGTGACTGTGCCATTGTGCATATTCCCACCTGCAGTTTATGAGAGATCCAGTTTCTCTGCATCCTTGCTAGCATTTGCTGTTTTCTCTGATAGGCATGTAGTGATATCTCGATGTGGTTTTAGTTTGCATTTCCCTAATGATGTTGAACCTTTTTATGTGCTTATTCCTCTTTGGTGAAATATCTTTTCATGTCTTTGTCTATTTTCTAATTTAATTGTTAGTTTTTTAATATTTATTTTTAAGAGTTCTTATATATTCTAAGTACTAATTCTTTGTTGGATATGCGGTTTGTAAATATTTTATCTTTTCATCTTAACAGATTTTTGTTACAGAACAAAAGTTTTTAGTTTTGATGAAGTCCAGTTTGTCAATTTTTCTTTTATTGGATTATACTATTGGTGTCAAAACTAAGAACTCTTTGCCTAGCTCTATATGCCAAAGATCTTCTGTTTTTTAAAAATACAGATTTTCATTTTACATTTAAGTTCATGATGCATTTTGAGTTAACTTTTCGTAAGGTGTGAGACCTAAGTCTGGGTTCATTTTGTTGCCTATGGATGTTGAATTGCTTCAGCACCATCTGTTGGGAAGAATATACTTCTATTGAATTGCTTTTGTACCTTTGTCAAAAGTCAACTGGGCATTTTTGTGTAAGTTTCTTTCTGGATTTTCTGTTCTGATCCATTGGTCAGTGCGAGCAGACATTGTTGCCTTTTTCCTGTTTTTGGAGGGAAAATATTGTCTTTCATATTATGTATAATTTTAGCTGTAGGTTTTTTGTGGGTACTCTTTATCAAGTTGAGGAGATTCCTCTCTATTCATAGTTTTCCTGAGAGATTTTTTTTTTTAAATCAAGAATGGGTATTGAATTTTGTCAAATGCCTTTTCCATATCAATTGTAGTTTTTGTTTTCATGTAATTTTTCGTCTCTAGCCTATTATAATATGGTGGATTATACTGAACCAGCCTCGTATCTCTGGAATAAACTCTACTTGTTCATAGAGTAGAATTACTTTTATATAGCTAAATTCTATTTGTTAATATTTTGTTAAGGAGTTTTGCATCTGTATTCATGAAAAATATTGGTCTGTAGTTTTCTTTTTTGAAATATCTTAGTCTGGTTTTGGTACAAGGGTAATACTAGCTTCATAGAATAACTGGACATTTTCTCATTTTCCTTCCTCTTATAATTTCTAGAAGATATGTAGAATTTATGTGAATTCCTTAAATGTTGGATATAATTCTCCAGTAAAACCACCTATAACAGCAGAGTTGGTTTTTCTTTTCTCTTCTGGAGCTCTAAAATAATGGACTCAATTTTCTTAATAGTTATGGGGCTATTCAAATGATCTATTTCTTTTTTCTTTTTTTTTTTTTTTGAGATGGAGTTTCACTCTGTTGCACAGGCTGGAATGCAATGGCACAATCTTGGCTCACTGCAACCTCCACCTCCCAGGTTCAAGCAATTCTCCCTGCCTCAGCCTCCCAAGTAGCTGGGACTACAGGCGCTTGCCACCACACCAAGCTAATTTTTGTATTTTTAGTAGAGACGGGGTTTCACCATGTTGGCCAGGCTGGTATCAAACTCCTGACCTCAGGTGATCCACCCGCCTCAGCCTCCCAAAGTACTGGGATTACAAGCATGACCCACTGCACCCAGCCCAAATAATCTATTTCATATTGAATAAATTGTGGTAGATTGTGTTTTTAAGCAGTTGGCCATATAAATCACAAAATTTATGTGTGTAGAGTTTTTCTTACAGCATTCCCTTTTTGTCCTTTTGTTGTTTGTAAAGTGTTATGGGTTAAATTGCACTCCCCAAAATTCATGTTTAAGTCCTACCCCCAGTGCCTCAGAATGTGACCCTATTTGGAGACAGGGCCCTTACAAAGGCAATCAAGTTAAAGTGAGGTCATTAGGATAGGCCCTATTCCAATATAACTAATGTCTTTATAAAAGAGGGAAATTTGAATACAGAGAGATACACATAGATGGAAGGCAATATGAAGAGACATAGTAAGAAGATGACCATTTATAAGCCAAGGAGAGAGGCCTGGAACATATCCTCCCCTCACAGCCCTCAGAAGGAACCAACCCTGCTGACACCTTGATTTTGAATTTACAGCCTCCAGAACTGTGAGACAATACATTTCTGTGATTAGAGACATACAGTCCATAGTATTTTGTTATGGCGGCCCTAGGAAGTTAACATACAGGACCTGGTGATATCCACAGTTTCACTCCTGATATGGGTCATTTGTGTCTTTTCTCTTTGTCAGTCTTTGTCAATTTTATCTTTTCAAAGAATTACCTCTTTGTTTTATTTCTCTACTAATTTTCTGCTTCAGTTTCATTGCGATCTGATCTTATTTTCTTTCTTCTTCTTGCTTTGAGTTTCTTTTGCTCTTCTTTTCCTAGGTTCTTGAAGTGGGAGCTAAGAATATATATATATATGAGGAGACTTCAAAAAGTTTGTGGAAAAATGAAATGAATAGATTTAATAAATTTATTAATTTTAATAGATAAAAATAAAAAACATTGACTTTATTTCTCAACACAAGCTTCATCAAGTTCAAGACAATTTTGTAAGCAATGACACCAACATTAAGCTCATCCCTAAATAACTGAGAGTCCTGGGAATTTAACCATGTCAGCGTAGTCTTTTCACATTATTAATTGAAGAAAAATGAGTGCCTTTTAAAGATTTAAGATTAGGAAATGAAAAGGAGTCAGGAGGAGCCAAATCAGGACTGTAAGGTGGATGCCTAATGATTCTCATGGAAACTCTTGCAAAATTACCCTTGTTTGATGAGAAGAATGAAAAGAAGCATTGTTGTGGTGGAGAAGGGCTCTCCGGCGAAGCTTTCCCAGGTGTTTTTCTGCTAAAGCTTTAGCTAACTTTCTCAAAATACTCTCATAATGATCAGATGTTATTGTTCTTTGGCCTTGCAGAAAGTTAACAAACAAAATGCCTTGAGCATCCCAAAAAACTGATGCCATGACCTTTGCTCTTGACCAGTCCATTTTGCTTTGACTTGCCCCCTTCCACCTCTTGGTAGGCATTGCTTTGATTGTGCTTTGTCTTAAGGATCGTATTGGTAAAGTTATGTTTCATCTTTTGCTACAATTCTTCGAAGAAATACTCCAGGCTCTTGATCCCATTTGTTCAAATTTTCCATTGAAAGCTCTCCTCTTGTCTGCAGCTGAGCTGGGTGCAACAGTCTTGGCACCTATACAGTGGAAAACTTGCTCAACTTTAATTTTTCAATCAAAATTGTGTAAGCTGAACTATTTGAGATGTCTATGGTGTTGGTTATTGTTTCTGCTCTTAGTTGTCAGTCCTCTTCAAGTAGGGCACAAACAAGATGAATTTTTTCCTTGCAAACTGATGTGTATGGTCTGTTGCTGTGGGCTTCATCTTCAACATGATCTCATACCTTCTTAAAACAAGTTATCCATTTGTAAACTGCCAGTTTCTTTGGGGCACTGTCCCCATAAACTTTTTGTAAATAATCAGCGATTTCACCAGTCTTCCACCCAAGCTTCATCACAAGTGTGATGTTTGTTATTGCTTCAATTTTAGCAGAATTCATGTTGCTCTGATAGGGCCTCTTTTCAAACTGATGTCTTATCATTCTTAGTGCCTTAAACTAGATCCTGTTCAGATATGCTTCAACAAGTTAGGATGAGTTTATGTTGGTGCCAAAAAACTCTGAAATCCATGCATAGTTTTTCATAATACACATTTTCTATAAACTTTTTGAAGACCTCTTGCAGATTTGAAACTTTTCCTCCTTTGTAATATCTAGTGCTAGAAATTTGTCTTTCAGCCTTGCTTTGTGTTCCACAAATTTTGATATCTTTTCATATTAATTCATTTCAGTGTATTTTTATGATTTCCCTTGACATTTCTTCTTTGACCTATAGATTATTTAGAAGTGTATTGTCTAGTTCCAACTGTCTGAAAACTTTCCTGTTTCCTTTACATTACTGACTTCTAGTTTTACTCTGTTGCGGTCAGAGAAAATATTGTGTATAGTTTCAATTCTTCTAAGTTTGTTGAAGTTTGTTTTATGGCCCATGGTATAATCTATTTTGGTATATGTTCTGAGGCCACGTGAAAAGAATGATTATTCTGTTGTTGGGTGGAGTGTCCTATAAATATTGATTCAATCATGTTGGTTAATGGTGTTGTTGATTCCTTCTATAACCTTGCTGATTTTCTTTCTAGTTGTTCTAATGATTGTTGGGAGAGCAGTGTTGAAGTCTCCAACTATAACTGTAGATTTGTCCATATTTCCTTTCTGTTCTAACAGTTATATTCTGATTTATTTTGTGTCTTACAGATCATTTGGCTGGAATCCACTATTATTATACTGAAGTCCTGTCGGGGTGATGTTAACATATGGGAAAAGAGAAGCTTGTCATAATATTATTATTAAATCTCAGGCTTTTAGTGGGCTGTGACTTTGACACGTGTTTCTCAGCTTTCCTACCTCAACCCCACCATCAAGGCTTAGGTGAGACATAAAGACTATCAAGGCAGGAATTCTCTGATGGGCCGAAGACTAGAGCAGAAGAGTTATTGTCTAAAAGTCTCTGTCCCTTTCTTGGTCCTTTGGTTAGAGAGACAAAGCTTTTGTTAGGGCTCTTTGTGCTTGCACACATTGCTATTTCCAGATTAATGTGTTTGCATACATTGGTTTCTTCAACAATACATTTAGGATATATAAGAGAAAAAGATAAATTGCCACTCACTGCTGTGTCATTCCTTGGGTCCCAGGGTCCCTAGCTGGTTTGCCTTCTTCTGTCCACATTTCAGAGTCTTCTTCTGTTTGTTTTATATATAATGTCCAGAATTTTTAGTTATATTTAGCAGAAGAGATATGAAAAAGTATGTGTACTCCATCTTTACAGAAGTAAAAGTCCTCATAGCATTGAAATTTGTGAATATTCCAAATATCCATACCCTGGCTGAAAATAGATTTGATATCTTCTTTGACATTGTAATAAAATAATGAAGAGTCTATTTAGAAAACTGAAAATTTTGAAACTCGTTCTATCACTTGTTAATATCACTGTCCTCTTAATTGACCTGCTGTTTATCTAAATAGCTTGTTCTTTCAAAATGAGGTATACTTACATTGTATAGCAATTTTCTGTCCTTTAAAGTAACAATTTAAACTTGACCATTTTCCCACCTGAAATTGATAGTACTGCACAGTTTATAACTCATTATATTTTATAATGTATTAATAAACATAACATTTGAAAAAGCATTTGTCCGATGAGCATCTAATCATCTAATTATACCAGACTTTGATTTTTTTTTTTTGAGATGGAGTTTCGCTCTTGTTGCCCAGGCTGGAGTGCAATGGCGCAACCTCGGTTCACTGCAACCTCCGCCCCCTGGGTTCAAGCAATTCTCCTGCCTCAGCCTCCCGAGTAGCTGGGATTACAGGTGCACGCAAACACGTCTGGCTAATTCTTGTATTTTTGGTAGAGATGGGGTTTTGCCACGTTGGCCAGGCTGGTGTCAAACTCCTGACCTCAGGTGATCCACCCGCCTTGGCCTCCCAAAGTGCTAGGATTACAGGCATGAGCCACCATGCCCAGCAAAGAGTTTGATCTTAAGGAATAAGGAAATATACAAACTGTAGAAAAGGTAGTTCTAGAACTCATTGTATAGACTCTGCTAGTACAGAGCCTAACATGCAATATACACGAAGTAAATATTTGTAAATGAATGGAAGAATAAATGAAGACAGAATTAGGAATTTGATGGAGACATTCTTCCCTTTGAAATAATACAATTTTTGTAACTAAGACACATAAATGAAATCTATAAGCCTCTAACGGCAATGTATACTTATATATAAAGTTTATGCATCCATACATAAAAGTATTTTTGGCTGACAAGTCTCACATTTATTCTTGTCTAGGCACACATGCAGAGATTCCTGATTATTTTTTTAAATCACAGAAAATTTTCTTCTTTTAACATCATATAAAGCATGAGAAAATCACAAAGTTAACTCTCCTCTACCCACAGTAAAAGTTAGTTAATGGTTAAACTTCCTGAGCACTTTTGAGAAGTGGTTTCTTCAAAAGTCCTTAAAGATATGGGCATTGTCAGAAAACTGCTTCCTTTTCAACTACACAAATGACTTTTCTACTGTTCTCTGCTTTCCAGGTCTCAGTGTAAAGTGGTTCAAAGTGGTAGAGACCTTTCAAGCTGTGATTCACCTGAGCCCTGCAGACTAAGTGTAATTGATGGGAAGAGAGTAAACAAAAAAGCAGGCCCAGGCCCAGCTGACGGAAACCCAGTTCTCCCTGCCCAGCAATCAAATGCCAGCTAAATCCACTTACATTATTCATAGGCAGGATTACAGTTGCTATAATTAGTGATGTCTAGATATGCAACATAAAAGAAACCCTTCCGATCGCTGCAAATATTTTGGGTAAAAGAAAAAACTCTTCCCATTAGGATGTTCATTTAATAGAGTTGACTACTTGTAGAAGATGAAGAAAAAAATGTCTGAAAAAAATCTTGACTTTCTTCCCTGTGGAGGAAGCTAAGATCTCCCACAGTCATGAAGGAAATGGGTTGCATGGCTCTCTACCTTCTTAGGTCTTTCCTGAAATGTCACCTTTTCTGTGACATCTTTTCCGGCTTTTCTACTTAAAATTTTACTCATCCTTTCCCACCCTTCCTCTCCAACACAAAATATAAATGTATTCCCTATTTCCTTTCTCTGCCTTATTTTTCTTCAAAGCACTTATCGCCATCTTGCACACTATACGTTTCCCTCATTTGTGCTGTTTGTTGTCTGTTTCACTCCACTGCAACACAAGCTCCAGGAAGGCAGAGAGTTCTGTCTTTGTTTGCTGCCATAACCTTAACAGTGCCTGGCACATGGTAGTTGCTCAATCAATATTCATAGAATAATGGTTGAATAAATTCTCAAGGAAAAAGACAATTGTCACGAATAATTTAGCCTTGGAGATGATGACTACCTTGAATTACTCAGTTGCTTTAATCACAAAGAAAACTAAGGCACAGGGGAGAATGCACCAATCTGGGAAAAAGGCAAGTTTGGGGCTGTTACTCTCTGGCAGTGTCATCTGAGCAGGTTGCCTGGCCTCTCTGGATTTCAGTTTCTCATCTTTAACATGGGGACTAGAGTAGAAGATCTCCCCAACTCCAGTATCCGGCAATGCATTTGTTTATTACTTCATGATCTGTGAGGGACTCAAAGCCCAGAGTATTGGTGCAGATACAGATAGTTTTATTTATTATGGCATTTTGTTCCTATCATACATTTTATGGTATTGGTGACACAAGTTAGATTACAAAAGACAGACCAATAAAAAGTTTCAGATAGAGTAATAGTTTAAACAAAGTAAATAGTTTAAAATAGAGCAAAACATAAAACACAGAAAAATAATATAACAAAATAGAACAAGCAAAGAAGAATAAATAAATGTGGGGTGTGGACTAATAGACTGTATAAAGAAACTGCATGGAAAGGACTATACAGTCAAGATAGATGAATTTATAACACTGTGTGCTGATCACAATTGCATAATGAATCATGATTTACCACACAATTTTTCCAAATAGACTTGGTGCATTGAATTGTTCTAACAGGTCATGTTTTTAAATGACTTCTGAATCTTCAATAATAAAAAAAAACTTAACAAGTGGACCTTGAGATTACTGCCTAGCCATAAAACAAGGTGATTTCACTTCCTAAAAATGAGTTATTTTTTTGTGAGCCACTGCAAGGCACATGAAACACTATTCTCATTGCTTCTCTTTCTTTATACACTTTTTTGCTCTTCTCCAATCATAAGTCATTGCACTGATGGAATTTCCACTTGCATATAAAGTAACTGGGCCATAGACATATTTACTGTCACTTTTTATAAAAAGCTATATATTTCCAGCCATGACAAGAGACCAGCTGGCTAATTTAGACTGCCTGCTGAACGTTTGAGGAAAAGTAATCATTTTATTTTTCACTGGCATACTTAGAAGGCACATACTATTCTGAATATGAATGATTATAAATATGAGAATTGTACAGATGTGCGTGGTGGGGTATCCAAACATTTTCATGAGAAATGCACAGCAATTCTTTTCACAACTCTGTGGTGGTTTTGAGTAAAGCAGTGTAGAAATGCTTATTTTTTAAGCAACAAATAAAGATTGGCCAAAATTGAGTATGTGATGTTCGAAATTTTTAAAGGACAGTTTTACTGTTAATTCATTGTGTCATTACAAAAGAAATTTTTATTTATTATTATGACATACGGTTTCTAAATATAAGTCTAATTATTAATAAACACAGTTCCTCTACTGATTGTTCTGAAATCTAATGCATGAAATTTCACTACTGTAACACTCACACGTGAGGGCTTAATTCCAGAATATAATTTAAATTTAAGAATCCTGGATTGTATCTCTGAGTATGAAATCATAGAATGATTCATGAAGAGGAAAATATTAAAAGTTTAGATTTATTTCATTATTTTCAATTTCTATTTTTAAAAATTATAAATAAAAAATGCAATTTCAATGATATGTGTGTATTACATACAAATAGACATACATATGCATTGGAGAATGCATGAATAAGAACATACAACAACAGGCTGGGTGTGGTGGCTCACTTTGGGAGGCTGAGGTAGGAGGCCTCGACTCCTGAGTGACTTGAGGTCAGGAGTTCAAGACCAGCCTGACCAACCTGATGAAACTCCGTCTCTACTAAAAGAAAAAAAAAATTAGCCGGGCATGGTGGCAGGTGCCTGTAATCCCAGCTGCTCAGGAAGCTCAGTCAGGGGAATCCCTGGAACTCAGGAGGTGGAGGTTGTAGTGAGCTGAGATTGTGCCACTGCACTCCAGCCTAGGCAGCAGAGCAAGACTCCTTCTAAAAAAAAATTTGAACAAACATTTATTTTTAAATAAAAGATATACACATGGCCAATAAGCACAAGAAAATATGCTTAATATCATTAATCATCAAGGAAGTACAAATTAAAATCATAATAATATACTAATGTACATCCTTAAAATAGCTGGAATTTTTAAAAAGGCCAATCATACCAAGTGTTGGTGTAGATATGTATGTATGTCCACAAAAAGACATGTACACAAATATTCACAGCAATTTCATTCACAATAGCCCCAAAACTGAAAATAACCCAAATATCCAACTGGTAAATTGATAAATAACTTGTGATAGACACATACAATTCTATTCAGCAACAAAACATTACATTGATATTACTGACACATGCCACAGCAGGGTGAATCTCAAAAGCATGATGTGAGAGAAAGAAGCCAGGTACAAAAAGCACAAAAGGGATTCATTCTTTCTGTTCCTGCCTGTCTCTGTCTTTGTCCCCCTCTGTCTCTGTCTCTGTTTCTCTCTCTGTGTGTCTCTTTCTCTCTCTCAGTGGTCGCTAAAATCTTAGAGAGATGAGGAACGAACTGAGAAGGCACATGAAGAAACTTCTGGAGATGCTGGGAAGTTTGATATCTTGTCTGCATGGTGATATCATGAATGTATACAACTGTCAAAATGATCAAACTGTACACTCTAAAGGGATACAATGGATGGTGTTAAATTGTAGCTCAAGAAGGGTGACTAAAAACATAAAAGAGGAAACAACAAAACTTTAAAAAACATACATAAGCTTTAACTACGAAGTATGAGTGAATCCTACGGCCTTTATAATGGTCATAAAATAGCTCATATGGTAAAGCAAATGTGCTCAAGTTCGGCTGCCTACAGTATAACTTTGGTTGAGCAATGTTCTCATTTTCTCTGTATCTCAGTTGGTATCTATTAAAAAGGAGTATGCTAACAGTACTTACTTCATAAAGTTGTGAGAATTAATGAGAAAATGCATGTGAAGTATTTCTCAGTAATTAAGTACCATTCTCTTCAGTAACTGCTGAGGGAATCAAAACACATATTTAATGCTGAGGAAAACTTAGTTATAAAGATATCGAATAAAATTCAGCTTATAGAGGTTAAGAAAATATGGCATAATCAAACATAATTGATTTAGATTTAAAGTGGTTAAAATGCCCCTGTAAAAATCATTTCATCCCTGTCGTTCTTATAACATCCTTACTCTTTCATCAATTTCTAATTTGGTCATTGCAAAACTTACTTAATTTCTTTCTCTCCAACTCAGAAGTTTCATGAAACAAAATATACCAGAAGTAGCCATTGGCTCACACAGTACCAGACACCTAGAAGATGCTCAGTAAATAGGCATTAATCAGATGAACGGAGGTTGGCTAATTAATGGGGCACCTAGAAGATGCTTAGTAAATAGGCACTAATTAAATGGATGGGGGATGGCTAATTCATGGGCTGCTGTATGACTGAGCACGGAAGTGTGTGGTATATTGCAATGATTTACATTTTTATTTTCATTTCTAAGCTGTGAACCCCATTCATCACTAGAAACCTTACCAAAAATTCTGATAGGTAAAACAGGCAAACCGAGCTCTGTGCTGCATGCCGCTGTTAGGGAAAGCAGGAGCCTAGGGGAACCAGACTGCTGCCATTTTAAAATCAACTTCATTTTCAAACTAGCAAGGTACATTTCTTGCCAGTCACGACCCATGGTCCTAAGATGCTTATAGTTGAGGAAGCAGCCTAAAGATACCTACAAGGACATGCTCTCACAATAATGGAGAATCCAGATGTCCCAATACCCATAACGATAATAAGCTTTCAAGATAACAAGTTATGTTTTGATATACTCACATACTAAAATGTCAAGGATAGACTGGCGCCAGGCACGGTGGCTGGCGCCTGTAATACCCGCACTTTGGGAGGCCGAGGCGGGTGGATCACCTGAGGTCAGGAGTTCAGGACCAGCCTGGCCAACATGGTGAAACCCCGTCTCTACTAAAAATACAAAAAAATCAGCCGGGCGTGGTGGCGTGCCTCTGTAGTCCCAGCTACTCGGGAGGCTGAGGCATGAGAATTACTTGAACCCAGGAGGCAGAGGTTGCAGTGAGCCCAGATCGCAGCACTGCACTCCAGCCTGGGTAACAGGGCTAGACACCGTCTCAAATAAATAAATAAATAAGTAAATAAATAAATAAATAAATAAAATGTCAAGGGTAGTTTTCTTTAAATCAGTAGAATAATATATTTTGTCATGTCATCTTCTCACTCTTACATAGTCACAGCTTAGTTTAGTCTTTACATAGAGAAGACCCCTATATAAGAAAAACTTAAAGATGGTGCATTCCTCTGCTTGTTTTCTCAGGATGCCCTACTCTGTAATCGGTAACTTTCAATAAACTATCTCTTCCCACTACCAGGCATTCCTCTTCTTCCTTTCTGAGGGCATTCTACTCCATAGAGCAGTTTTTAATAAACTTGCCTCTTTCACTGCCCTTTGTGACTCACCTTGAATGCCCTCCTGCGTGAGATCCAAGAACACTCTCTAGGGGTCTGGATTGAGAGTTAACACTGCCTCCCACCTCCACTCCACCTATCTTCCAGTGGCAGTCACGAAAAATCTTCTCAATATGCAGTGGGCAGGACCTGCAAGGAGTCACGAAGGACTGACAGGAATTTCACAAGGGAAAAGGGAAAGACTGATTGGAGTGGGAAATACACATACAGGATGCCAGGCAAAGCCTGGGCGGAAGGGGCGGGGCTTCGTTTAAAGTGCTTTTCAAACATGCTCCTTGACTTCCTGTTTCTCTCTGCAGTCTGTTTTCTACCTTCCAAAGCCTAGAGCTTCCCAGAACCATTTCTCCTCTGGGTCCTTTCCTGACCATGCCAGGAAAAGGAAATTTCTCCTGACATTGCACCTTCATGGCACTTACTGCACTTCATCAAAGCTAGAAATGCCATAAATTGTAAGACACACCATTATTTCACACACCATTAAGAGAAAATGTTGCCAGTTAAACTATGACGGTATTTTTGTTTTTTAATGACTTGAAATTCCTATTCTAACTTACTGAATGAGCTGCTCTAGGATTATTTAGACATGGAAGATGTGCAACTGGTGATTATGAATTTGACTTCTTTAATACCTTTAGCATTGACAACATACTTCAAGAGCACCAAGGTTTAATTAACATAACCTTGTAATTTCATTTTTTTTTCCCTGACTGAATCACACGTGGCTGGAAGTTAGATGGCTTTGTTCAGTCAGCAGGAAGTTCAGTGGAATTTCAGTGCTTTAATGTTAAGTCCTGCACAATGAATGAACTGGTAACACCAGCTTCCTGGCACTTTGACATTTCCTTCATCTAGTGGCAGATTGTATTTTCCAAATACAGCTGCAACAACATCTCCTAGACCATATGTTCTAGAAACTTGCTACTTTCCAATCAAGAGGTGAAGTTAATTCCCCTCCTCCAGAATCTGGATGGCTTCTGAATCTCTTGGAAACCAACGGAATGCAGCAGAAGTGACTCTATGTGACACTGGAAGCTGGGTCATAAAAGATTTGGCTTCGACCTTGCTCATGGGTCACCAGCTCTAGCTCTTGAAGCTTTTGGCTTCCATGTAAACAGTTCAGCTAATCTGGGTCTGCCAAGTTATATCAAAGCCCAAAGTAGTCCATGCAGAGAGATCACAGGAAGAGGCTTGGTGGCTACAGAAAGACAGAAAGATGCCTGACCTGCTTCCAGCTGCTTCAGCCCCCCCACTGTCCCATCTCCAGACACGTCAAACTGCAACTGGATGACAGACATTAAGCTGGAACTTTGCAGGCAAGCCCTTTCTTAGCCTGACCCATGGAGAATGTGAGAGATGATAAAATTATTAGGATTGTTTTGGAGTAATTTGTTGTGTAGCAAGAGGTAACTGGAATACACCTATTTCCAGGAATTTGGCAATTTCTCCTCCCTTTAGGTGCACTGTTTGATCTGTGCTAGGCAATCCTTTCCAGTTGTCTCAGGAACAGACATAACTGGCTGCATCTATTTGTTGGCACAGGTTATGCAAAACACTTGGGTTGCTGCTTCACAAAAACATATGGACTTGTGATCACATTTACTTCATTGATACAAATATTTCCTCTATTAACATATCATACATGCCTTGCAGCACTATTTCCATTCCTTTATGTATGTAATAACTTTTTTCAATGAGAAACCATACAGTACTTTTCTTAGAAGATATTTTAAATGGCACTATAACTCACGATATCCACAGTGAGCATAAGTCATGCAGAGAGGACGATCGGGTCAAGGCCAATTTCTAGAATATGCAATCACAACTACATTTTGAAGACTACCTCGCCATCAGTGGAAAAAGATGCCACCCATTTAAAGACACATCCCAAATGTGAGGCATTAAAATACGAGACTTTAGAATTAGAGTGAAGGAAGTATGGCCCTCTCCGTTCCTCTCTCATGGCAGGTATCATATATGATTTTTGCCTCCTACTCTAGGTATTTGCGTACATCAACGTCAAAAGCGTGATTTGAAACATTCTGTTTATCTCCCAGTTTCAACTTCATCCTTTGAGCACTGCCTTCTATGGGGAATCCTTCAATCATCCAGAGAGGTTCCATGTTAATATCACACTTTGTGACCTCAAATCCTAAGATCTGATGCATAGACCTTTTGGGGGCAATTCTTCGCTCACTTCTCACTGGCTGTGAGTTTCATTCCCTACAGTGACTGTTCCAAACCTTCCCTGGTCTTCATAATTTCCCAAGATCATTCCTACCAACTAGAGAATTGAATAGTAAGATATCAGAGGGGTAAGAACCAAGATTTGGTGGAAAACAATGTTGAATTTGCAGACTTTTACTAAGCAACTGAATATCTTTCTGGAAGGGCTGTAGTAAGGAGTAGGTAAAAGTTATATGCAAAATGTTTGACATCAGAGTGCCTAAGGATAGTAACGTTAGTCTTAGTTTTCCTTATATTACCTCCTATTTTGCAGAAAGGATAAAGACAATTTCTTTCAATTGTTCTCCATTTCATCTAAAAATTCATCTGTATCTACATTTACTCCACCTATCTTCATTGCCTCTTGTCTCATAAAGAATATCCCCGTTCTCCTGAGAGTGTGACTTGAACACCATAGTGGCTTAGTTTCTTCATAGACAGATTACAGGTAATGGAACTACCCACTTCCAGGGTTGTTCATTAGAATGTAATGAGTAGATACATCTTAAAACTTCAGGTCGTTTCCTGGCACAGGTTAAGTACTAAATGTTAACAAGTAATCTTAGCATCTTGAATTTCTCATACTTTCCTCTAGTGGTCAACAGGCCCTGCTTAGATAAATATAAGTTGTTTGAGGTGGAGAGTGGGAGTGGATATGGTGCTTTCAGGTTTGAGTGTGTGCAGTATTAGAAAGAAGAACGAGAGAGTTGGAAATGAAGCTAAAACGATTTCTGTCATTAAATTAGGACAGATCATTTCTTCAGGTTACTGGTTTCATCATTGTTTTTCCTTAGTCTTTGTTTTTGGAAAACCTGATGGAAATTGTACCTTGAATAAACAAGTTAACAAATATTTATGGATTAACTGAATATATAATTTGCTTTCACATGAGAGTCAATGGAAAAGCAGAGTTCAAACATAGAATTTCACTTTAGTCAACTTTCAAGGGGTCATTTTTTTTAATTTGCAGAACAAATTCCATGAATAATAGGACTTGGTCCAGGCTCCTAACCATCTTTCATCCTTGGGTGTATCCATCGGCCTAGGAACACCTAACACCACGTGATGTTTAATCCTACAGCAAACCATCGACACTTTCAGCTTGAATGATCATGTATCACTTAGTTTTCAAGGTACCACCTTCACTTCTAAGGATAAAACAAAATCCAAATGTTAGATTTATTTTTTTTCCAAATATTGATAAACTTTATAAAAAGGTTTAAAAAATCTTTCATTATTAATTCATTAGCTTACTTCATTCATTTTTCTTGTTCCTTTGGACTTGACTAACGTGGGTTTAAACCCATTGTTGCTCCCTTATGGAAGTTATTTTACCTTACTGGGTAACTGTTTTCTTCACATATCAGATACTGTTTAAGAGGCAGTTTTGAAGATTAAATGAGATAAGGTTGAAAGCAGGTAAAAGGGTACCTGGAACATAATAAGTGATTTAACAAAGCTTAATTTAATGGCAAACTCCCCTGATTCCTCTTGACATTTTTTTTTCTTTTCATATGGGGGCTGGCCTATAAAGAGAATTTAATTCTGTCATCTGGGCATTTTATCTTCTTAGTCTCCCAGCTTTAAGAGATTAAAAGGGTTTTTAAACATTGACGTTGCTGGAATTTTATTTACAGTTCATATCTGTTTAATTTTTAATACTCCATGGATGTGTGGAAATATTTTTTTCCTCCCTTTCTTTTTAGAAAAGAATTTCCCCCAGGTTATCCTCCATTAAAAGATATGCTTTAGATAATCTTTTCTGGAGACAGGATAGAAACCATATCCATGCAGATATTAACTAGATTGACAAAGTTGTTGAGATTACTGTAAAGTACACTCTAAATTTATATACTAAACTCCTGGAGTATCTAAGTCATTGTTAGTCATTGTTCATATTTATTTTAAATAAAAAATCCTTCTGGATTGTGTAAGAAAAATCAGTAACTGTATTAACAAAATACAGTTGAAGGCCTCCAACAGGACAGTGGAGAGATCATCTCCATGTAGTGAAGACCAAGCGTGGTGTGGACCATGGTCCCAATTGTTATATCCACAATTCACCAGTGCCATGACCATCTCTCCTTAATCACACTTGACATCTTTCTGCTGACTTCCAGGGCGTGAGGCTTTATAATCAAAATGCTAACTCAGAAGAGCTAGGCAGTCCCTTCCTTAATAACTTGTGACCTAGCTCAGACATTTATATAAGACCTTGTTAGAGGCCTTGTTAGAGTGATAGAAAAACATAAGGCTATAACATCACACACACACACACACACACACCCACACACACCCACCCCAGGGTAAGCGCTCAGCTCTTTCGTCTCTTTCACACAGGCCCATTTTCTCTGTTTCAGTTTAATTCAAGTGCATCTACCTCTTCTCCACTGTTGACACCAGAAAACTCCCTTCCATATGCCCTTGTGGAACTCACTATACTTCGTTCAACAAACGTTCAGTGACTACCTGCTATGTGTCCAGAATAAATTAAGAATACAGTTTATGCCCTTTATCTTCTTGAATCACATTTTCTCCTGTCTTATGCTACTCTTTGGTTCAGAAATTCGCTAATGCCATGGTTCATATGTTTCAGAACATTGATTTACATTTCTTACATTCATATAGACAATATTTAGCATTAATAATTCAGCTATTAGTACGTGCTTCTGTATACAACAAAGGCAAATAATTTGTCTGTAAATAAAGTGTGATTTGACTAAGGTGTTTGGAATCCACAGTTGGGCACAGCACTAGGTAGGTGGCCTAAGGCACACAAAAAAGCACTGATTTCAAACCCTGGCCTTGCCATTAAGCAGCCAAGGAGATTGGAGTAAGTTATGTAGTTTCACTAGACTTCCGTTTCTTTACATGTAACATGACTGGTTTGCCAGATGATCTTTCTGGACCTTAGCTCTAAAAAATTAGATTCGACCATGTGTCTTATGTTTTGGTATTGCACTGAAAATATAAAATAAGAGACTGATATGGTTTGACTCTGTCCCCACCCAAATCTCTTCTTGAATTGTAGCTCCTGTGATTTCCACGTGTCATGAGAGGGACCTGGTGGGAGGTAATTGAATCATGGGGCCAAGTATTTCCCGTGCTGTTCTCGTGATAGTGAATAAGTCTCACGAGAACTGATGGTCTTATAAAGGGGAGTTCCCTTACACAAGCTCTTTCTGCCTGTCACCATGTAAGATGTGATTTTGCTCTTCCTTTGCCTTCTGCCGTGATTGTGAGGCCTCCTCAGCCATGTGGAACTGCGAGTCAATTAAACCTCTTTCCTTTATAAATTAGCCAGTCTCGGGTGTGTCTTTATTAGCAGCGTGAGAACAGGCTAATACAGAGACACTTCATGAGTCAAAGTTTTCAGAAATGATGATTGGCTGCTGAGTTGCTCAGTTACATTTATTAGTCCAACACCACGTGCTTTAAATAGGACTCAGCACCCAGTGGGGATTAGCATGTGCCTTAGTTTGAGAATCTGAACTCAAGTCATTTGTTAAGAAAGTGCTCCCAGGAGAAACTGAGAAGCAAGTCTGAGACGTTGAATAAGGAATGGAAGAAGCCAACCCAAGGTGCAGATCTCACAGGTGAGCTCTATGGTGTAAAATGTGGCTCAGGATTTGTCTCACTTGGCAGGGAAGCAGGGCTTCATACTCATGTACCAGAAGGTGGTTAGCTAAGGCCTGCCCTGGGGAGAATGTAAATTCAAGGCACTTCTGGCTCTTTGAGCAAACAAGCAGGTCCCTGAGGAGTGTCATGGGTACAGCCCACTGGAAGCAAAATGGGTATAAGGAATGAGGAACAAAAATAGAAAAAGGAATCTAGGTATCTGAGCAGAGATTTGACCATGTGCACTGCAGGGCCTATGAGTTAGAATGCTTTCAGATACATGTAAGAGAAAACCTACTTCAAACTGTTCTAGTCAAGAAAAGGAGCTGGCTGGCTCCATTCAGAGATAGGGTAGGTTTCAGACATGGTATATTCTGGGCTCTAGCACCCTTTCTCTGCTGTCCTGCAGGGTCTGTTCTCCTCCGAATATTGTGTCTAGTGACAATCAGCATTATATATCTTTTTTCATATTTTCTTTCCCAGCTGCTAAAAAAATTCAAAGTTTTACTTTAATTGGAATATATTAGGTCAAATACCCTCTTCTGAATCAATACCTGTGGCAAGGTATGTGTATTCCTATGACTGACAGAAGCTAGGATGGAGCCAATGAAGAGTGTACCCAAAGGGAGAGAGGTGAAATGATTTGAGGAATGAGAAAAAAGATGACTGCAATCTTTTGCTAATCAATTTCCATCCATATCCTCCTCCCTGTATCAAGCTCCCCAAATCTCAACCTCTAAATGAAAGCTGTGGTTCACCACTAGGCTGCATGCTGGGATCACCTGATGCCTGAGCTCAGCTCCCAGGGATTCTTATTTAATTAACCTGGGATGCAGCCTGGCCATAGAAATTTTTTAAATTTCCCAGGTGGTTCAGTTGTGCAATCCAAGTTGAGAACCACTCTCTAACGGGAGACAACCAAATCATCTTACAGTTATCTCAAGCGCAGGATTTCTGAGTGAAATTCTTTCTTAATCAAATTCTGACATAACTCCTAATGGCCAATAACAAGTCAATAAATGGTACATTACCCATCATTTACACTCTTCAACATACATACAATGGTGGAGAGAGAATGACAAGCTACAATACAAATTTCCATTTTAAAAAACAATAAGAAGCAACACAGAGTGCCCATTGGTCCATAGCGCATTTCATATCCTGCTGGACAGAAACATGGAGTGATCCTTGTTTTGCAGGAGGAGTGAATGATTTAGCTGGCCAGTCTTGTAGACCTTAGTCCTACTCTCTGGGAGGATCTTCTTTATCCTTTGTAGTGCAGGGTTACATCAAAGATGGACATGGGGTAGAACTTTCTTTCTGGGTCTTCATCACCCTGGGGGTCAATATATGTGATTATAAGAGCTTGGAGATTGCCCTAGGGGTGAACAATAGCCAAACTTTTGTCTTGGGGAGTCTTTAGGGATTTTAGTTGCTGGGAAAGAACGAAGGATTAGGTTCTTCCCAGATATCAGCTTTATCTCCTGTGATGGCTCCTACCTCCCTGCTTTTGTTCCAATTTACCTTACCTTGGGGCAGAGAATATGATTTTTTTCAACCTGTCTGTCTACAGATAACCCAGCTTTTACCCATTTAGGAAGAAAAACCATTTGTTGAGAGTGTCTGTCTCAGAAAAGCTATATTGTCTTTCTTCTTTTCTTTGTTTGGTTAGTTTCAGACCAAATTTGTCTTTCTGTTGAAGGACTTTAGTGAAAGCTATATTTATTTTCCTGTGAAATCACCAAATGCTACAATCTTGTTGGCACTTGAACTTTCTTGTAAGGTACAACAGGAAATCATAATTAGCCAATTATTTTGTGATTTTATAAAAAGATTTACCAAATTCTGACCATAGAGGATTTTTCCCTATCGCTCTGCTGACCTAGATGCAGTTTATTTCAACATTTTAGGATATGTTGTGTGCAAAACACCATTCCTGTTAGTACCAAATTCTGTATCTGGTAGGAGGCTTTTGTTTATAAGTAATACAACACCACTACAATCAAGCTAAGTCATGAAGGACCTTAAATGGCTCATGTAACTGAAACTAAAATGTTGGGGAGGTGGGTGCACTTCAGCTAGAGGTCCAGTTCTTCCATTCCCCTACATTTCTCTCTTCTCCTTCATTCTTTATGGATCAGCCTCATCTTCAAGCTGGGCTTCTCTTGGAATCATCAAATTGCTGCAGCTAGAACCCAAAATACACACCTCTCTCCAGAACACGTGTGGTGTGATTAGAGGGGTATGGGTAACATTTCTCTCTTTAACATTGAACAAGAATTCAGAGTTTCACTCTAATTAAATAAAATTACATCACACAATCACCTCTGGGCAGTCACTATGGCAAGAAGTGGGAGACTGCCTTGATCATTGACTCAGGCTCGCTACCCAGTAGCCTAAGTTGGGTCAACCCCAAGAAACACTTATCAATGCCTGGGATGGCCACCAAGGAATATATTAGAGAAATAGAAAAAAAAGTCATTTGCTCATATTTTAGGTGTGGATGTAAAGACACGGAACATCAATGAAGAACTTTTCTATTTTCAAGTGAAAAATGTATGAATGTGATGAGATAATCATTTGGTGGATTTAGCGAATTTTTTATTTGTTTGCTTTAAGCAAGTATTGGTATTAAAATCTGTAAATCTTTTTTTTTTCTTTGAGTCCTTCTGATCCCCAGCAGGTAAACAAATAATACTTTAAACTTAAAAGCAATGAATACACAAAATTGCTGAGCTCCTAAGTGCTTAATCAGCTCATGGTTGTTACATTATTGCATTCACATCAACGTTATAAAAATATTGCATGGCAAAATTCTGGAAATGAAATGGTTAACTCTGGGGAACCCAAGTGTGTTAGCAACTCTGGTTCACAGGCGCAATTCTGTGTTACTGTCTCCAGCATTCTTCCTCTCTGTGTTTTTTCTTATTGCTAAATGCTAACAGCCTCAACATGATAATCTACATAAAGCACCCCCATAATCATATTAAAATTAAGGAAAACATGTATAAAACATCTTATTTCTGCTTAGTGACAGTGAGCAGGGGGAAAATAGGCAGAAGAATTTTTGTGACAGTTTATATTCCAACAAATAATCACATTTTATCCTCTTAATAGGTTTAAAGTGCACTCCCAAAGCCGATTATACATTTTATGCATTTAATGATAATCACACTTTCCTCTTATCTGCTGTGAATATCTTCAATTTAAATATAAGTTTAATTGATGCCTATCATTTAATAATCATACTATGATCCAGGCCAATTATAACAATTCTTTCCTATAAAACTACAGTTGTTAGAGGAATGTCGAGTAGGAAAATGTTTAAATCCTGACATAAAAATGTCTGTGATAAAACCAGGAGCTCTGAGTTTCATGGCCCTTTAATATTGCCTCTGAAGTAATGAAAAGGCCATTTTCCAACACTTGTTTCAAGGACTTCACTAATAACATCTTCCACAAAGGACTGATCTTTTTTTAAGCGGGATATTGTGACGTTATTCTAAACCATTTAAAATTATGTAACAAACTTTTACTGGAATCTCTCAGTCTTCCTTTTTTATTCACTCTAATGAAATACTTGTTAAATACTTCATCTTAACCTTATGGAAATGCTTATGACAGACAATCTGTTATTTAAGTCAGTTTCAGAATTAAAGGATAAGAATTGGGGGTGGTGATGAGGAAGGAGGTCATAAATAATCTAAAGAATTAGGAAAAAGGCTTTTCTTTTGGTCTTGATTCAATTCATCTAGATTGCAAAAAATATTGTGCTATGATAGCTTGATACTAATCCCTGGGGGACAGTGCCTTCCATGCAAACCTCCTCTTGGGTATGAGTGGCTGTCCACTTAGAAAGAACCTGGCTGGCAAGGAAATTGCTAGGTCTTGAATGGGTCAATGGAGTCAGCAGGGAATCTTTGCCGAAGTCTATGTGTTAAGCGCTGCGGTCCACTCTGAGGGCCCTGAATAATGTCAGTCACACCAAAAAGGAGAATTTTGGAAACTCCTAGAATAAGGTTGCCTAATTTAAAAATGGCTCAAGGTGAAGTTCCCCTGGAGCACAGAAATCCAAGGAGAAAATCAGTTTCTACTTTCACTTCATATGGGACCTCTCGCTAGGAAACTGCAAAGGGTAATTATGCAAAATGCACATCAGAATGTCACAGACAATCTGCACAGAGGGAAAGGTGATGCAGTAAGAACCTCAGGCACTGGCTTTGTGCAGCTCAATTTTCCTGGGAGGACTAGTGTAGGGGGGTGAGCTAGGAAGTGACCAGTGAGGAATCAGAGGGCAGCTCCACCAGTTAGTGCTATAAATAAAATGAATGAATGAACTAAGTAAAAATCAGTCTCTAAAGAAAGATCTTCCTATCACAATGCTAGAGGGTGCAGATGCTTTTACCTGCATCACACTTTTCCACTTTCCTTTCCTTTCCATGGGAATGACATGAGTACTGAGGTAAGAACCATTATCAGAATTTCAGAATAGTGCCTGGCACATTTTTAGCTTAGCTATTTTTATTAGTCAATTTTCACACTGCTATGAAGAATGACCTGAGACTGGGTAATTTACAAAGGAAGAGGTTTAGTAGACTCAGTTCCACATGGCCAGGGAGGCCTCAGGAAACTTATAATCATGGTGGAAGGTGAAGGGGAAGGCAAGGCACGTCTTACATGGTGGCAGGAGAGAGAGTGAGTACAGGGGAAACTGCCACTTTTAAACCATCAGATCTCATGAGACTTCCCTCACTATCACAAGAACAGCAGTGCGGGGAACTGCCCCCATGATCCAATCACTTCCTACGAGGTGCCTCCCTCAACACATGGGGATTACAATTTGAGATGAGACTTGGTTGGGGACACAGAGCCATACCATACCATTCCACCCATGACCCCTCTCAAATCTCATGTCTTTTTACATTTCAAAACCAATCGTTCCTTCCCAACAGTCCCCCAAAGTCTCCACTCATTCCAGCATTAACTCAAAAGTGCAAGTCCAAAGTCTCATCTAAGACAGGGCAAATCCCTTCTGCCTATGAGCCTGGTAAAATAAAAAACAAGTTAGTTACGTCCAAGATACAATGGGGCTATAGGCATTGGGTAAATGTTCCCATTCCAAATGGGAGAAATTGGCCAAAACAAAGGGTCCACAGGCCCTGTGCAAGTTCAAAACTTGGCAGGGCACTCATTAAATCTTAAAGCTTCTTCAAGTCCCACTTCTGACTTAAAAGAAAAATTAAAAAATTTAAAAAAAACCTTAAAGCTCCAAAATAATCTCCTTTGACTCCATGTCTCACATCCAGGGCATGCTGATGCAAGGGGTGGGCTCCCAAGGCCTTGGGAAGCTCTGCCCCTATGGCTCTGCAGGGTACAGACCCTGTGGCTACTTTCATAGGGTGGTATTAAGTGCCTGCAGCATTTCCAGGCACACAGTGCAAGCTGTTGGTGGATCTACCATTCTGGTTTCTGGAGTATGGTGGCCCTCTTCTCACAGATTCACTAGGCAATGCCCCAGTGGGGACTCTGTGTGGGGGCTCCAACCCCACATTTCCCCTCTGCATTGTCCTAGTAGAGGTTCTTCATGAGGGCTCCACCCCTGCAGCAGACTTCTGCCTGGACATTCAGGCATTTTCATACATCCTCTGACATCTAGGTGGAGGCTTCCAAAGCTCAACTCTTGTCTTCTGCACACCCACAGGCCCAACACCAAGTGGAAGCCACCAAGGCTTGAGGCTTGCACCCTCTGAAGCAATAGGCCAAGTTGTACCTTGGCCCCTTTTAGCCACAGCTGGAGCTGGGAGTGGCTGGGATACAGGGCACTAAGTATCAAGGCTGCACAGAGTTTAGTTCCCAGTAAGTTCCTCATTTCCATCTGAGACAACCTCAGCCTGGACTTTATTGTCCATATCACTATCAGCATTTTGATCAAAACCATTGAAAAAGTCTCTAGGAAGTTCCAAACTTTCCCACATCTTCTTATCTTCTTCTGAGCCCACCAAACTGTTCCAACCTCTGCCCATTACCCAATTCCAAAGTTGCATCCACATCTGCAGGTTATCTTTATAGCAGTGCCCTCCTCCCATTGCCAATTTTTATGTACTTGTCCATTTTCACACTGCCATAAAGAAGGACCTGAGGCTGGGAAATTTACAAAGGAAAGAGGTTTAATTGACTCACAGTTTTTCATGGCTGGGGAGGCCTCAGGAAACTTACAATCATGACAGAGGGTGAAAGGGAAGCAAGGTATGTTATACATGGCAGCAGGAGAGAGAGAGAGAGAGCAGGGGAAACTGCCATGTTTAAATCATCAGATTTCATGAGACCTCCCTCAATATCATAAGAACAGCATGAGGGAAACTGCCCCCATGATCCCATCACCTCCTGCCAGGTCCCTCCCTTGATATGTGGGGATTCCAATTTGAGATGAGATTTGGGTGGGGACACAGAGCCAAACTATATCACTATATCTTCTATATCACTATCTAAACTATATCTTCTATATCACTATAGAAGAAAAACTATATATTCTTCTTCTTATAACTTGATTCTATCCTCTTATGGTGTCTTAGACAGAATGCCCAAATGGAGGAGCATAGTATTTATATCAATGAAAGTGTTAAAGAACAGTTGCCTTATGTATTTCATGGCATCACTTCACTGGAATCATTATATTCCACATGACTGCTTGGGTCAGACCATGAGATATAATATAATATGGACACTTGTGTTCTAGAAATAACCACAACTACATCATTCTAGGAGCAAAATATCAGAGAAGAAGATTCAAATTTCTTCTAAGTTAGAAGTTTATTTTAAATGTTATTCTCTTCTGCTTAAATTTCAGTTGATTCCTTCTTCATTTCACTAGATTTGAAAAAAAACTATCCCATCTATAAAATAAGTTTGATGTTTTCTATTGGAAATGAGGGAAAGGGCTACATATGAGTTAGCAGGTAGGATCATACAAAAGACAAGATGGCTTATCTCACAGAACACAAAATCATAAAATTTTAGGGCTGAAATGGACATCAGAGAGCATCTAACCTAAGTATTTCATTTAAAAATGTGAAAAAAGAAGCCATATAGGTTATTTGCTTAGTGAATTAGAAATGTGGTACCAATATAACACCATTGCTAAAATGATGGAAACTGTTTCAGAAACTATTATGCATAAAAGACATTAAATTGATAATATTGGATGATGACTTCCTGTTAAATTATAACCAGAATTAGAATCATAATGTTTCTATAATTGTAGGTACTCTACTCACAAAAATATGAAGTATTTAATCTTAGTAGTAATTACCATATTTAATTTAAAAAGGGAGATTCTTAATATATTTTCCAAATTGAAGAATTTATTTGACTTAAGTTATATTCAAGATATAGTTTTTTAAAATCAAGACTATGTATAGCCCTAAGGCTAATATTGTTATCCCCAAACTTTTCCCATATTGGAACTAAAAAAATATATTTAGCTGTCTTGCTTTATCTAAGAACAAGGAGAATATAAACGGTATAGGAAACCTAAATTTACTTCTGCAATATATAAGGCTCTCTAATTAAAAATGCTCTGTGTGTTGTAATTGGCTAAGTTTTCATTACTGGGCTCTGAGGTGGTGGGTGGGGAGGTTACAAAGATCTCGGTATATATTTTAATCAAGACACATGATGCGCAATTTAAGAAGCACAGTTTACTTTCTTTATACCATAATGGTACCTTCACATTCTGAAAGAGAAAAAAATGGACACTCTGCTTCCTTTCAAACTTGTTTGGACACAGAGTTTTGAATGAAGGAGATAACTGATTAAAGCCGTTTGGCAATCAATGTAGCTGAGGACCACAAGGAAATAAAAGACTAGACAAAATAACATCATAAAGTATGTAGAAAAAGAATCATAGCCTTGACTGGCATTCTGTTTAATCAATGTAGCATTTCACACTGTCTAGCTCTGACTTTTCCACAGTTGGTGAATTGGAAGTCACGTTCGTTAAAGCAAATAGGAGTTGCCTGGCAAAATCCTTAAACAACAATGAAATATTTAGAGGTAATGTTTTGATGTGACATCCTGGAAGCTGGCTCTATATTTGTAGATGACATATAACTCTTGCTTTCATAAATTTTCAACTTTCTTTTCTGGCACATTCTGCAGATTTTTTTTTTTTTTTTTTTTTTTTTTTTTTTTTTTTTTTTTTTTTGAGATGGAGTCTCACTCTGTCACCAGGCTGGACTGCAGTGGCACGATCTTGGCTCACTACAATCTCTGCCTCCCGGGTTCAAGCGATTCCCCTGCCTCATCCTCCCAAGTAGCTGGGACTACAGGCATGCACCACCACTCCTGGCTAATTTTTTGTATTTTAGCAGAGATGGAGTTTCACCATGTTGGCCAGGATGGTCTCAATCTCCTGACCTTGTGCCGCCCACCCCGGCCTCTCAAAGTGCTGGGATTACAGGCGTGAGCCACTGTACCTGGTCAAGAATATTCTAATAGATAGATTACCAGGGGAAAAATGTATACCTTGACTAAATAATAATACAGTCTTTTTAAGTGTGTGTATATAACCCCAAACCTAAAATCCTCATTGCATACTTCTTGCTGAGACAAGAAACTTTACATTTACCACATCTTAAGATCTTAATAGAATCTATTTTGTTGGATTACGGTATAATAGGCAACCAGGTTTTCAAATATTGAGCATGTGGACACAAATACAACCCTTCAACACAAATCATAGCAGCATTAGTTTTTAGAAACCAAAGGAGGAAAATACCAGTAAGAATAGAGAAGAAATAATTTTCCACCCATAAGAGCATCTTTTTCCAGGAAGTTCTTTCTGGCTTCTAATACTGGTTATAGAAAGAATGTGTGAGGCTACCTGGGCCTATGTGGGGTCCAGTTTGTTTTCTTTCGTGAGTCCTCAGGGAATTAGGTCAACTAACAAATGCCTGATTGTCCCAGAGAAGATACTTAGAACGGGGCTGCAGCAGTCAAGTCACAGTCAGAGAGTGACCTTCTTGGGTGAGAAGCAGGGGGGTCCCATGCTCGTCCATCAGCATGTTGATTCATGTACGTTTCCTGAGGTTCATGTCGAGAATTCTCAGTAAACACGGTCACCTGATGGCAGGTGATAGGAACTGTCAGCCTATTTGAGGAATTCTAATTGATTTCATACCAAAGAGTAAGCTGTCCTTCAGAATCAGTTCTTAACATCCTGAAGTTAGAAGGCACTGGCATAACCCTCTACAGGCCGAGCAGGAAGTGGCATATTGCTGAGATCTGCAGACATTCCCGTCCATGCAATCTTCAGCTCTCCTGCCATCCCTGACAAAGGCTTCCACTGTGTCAGGAAGAGCACATAGATTAGGAAGCTCCTTTTCTATATCCTGCAACAGGGAATTGCAATCTGAGTATCTTTTTAAATCCATGGGAACATCAAGGAGGTTTAAATCAAGATGCATTCTTCAAAGGCTACACCGAGAACTCCACACGCACAGCCTCCAACAAAGCCCCCAGGTTTCTCCATTGAGAGAGGTGGAACAGTGATAAAGAAAAACATCTTACCAGACTACTAATGCAGGCAATTAAGGCTATGAAATTTGAATCTGTCAATGAAAATGAATGCTCAATAAAGGAACATCCAAAGAAACAGCATGCAGCCATCAAATATTTCAGGAGAAACCAGGAGAGTGAGTGAGGTCCCAAAACCATGAGGAGCCTGGGAAACTTGGATTCAATGCACCATGTTTTATTAGCCCCTCAGGCAAAGAGTACACCAGGCGCCACAAACAAGGTAAGTCTAATTTTTAACTGTGCATCTGGGGTACCTACTCCTTGCTGTTATTTCTGGCTATATTTTCTTTCCTTCTTTTGTTCTTTTTTCTTTTTTGAGATGGAGTCTCACTCTGTCACCAGGCTGGAGTGCAGTGGCACAATCTCAGCTCACTGCAACCTCTGCCTCCCAGGTTCAAGTGATTCTCCTGCCTCAGCCTCCCAAGTAGCTGGGACTACAGGCGTGCGCCACCACGCCCAGCTAATTTTTTGTATTTTTAGTAGAGATGGGGTTTCACCATGTTAGCCAGGATGGTCTCGATCTCTTGACCTCGTGATCCACCCGCCTTGGCCTCCCAAAGTGCTGGAGTTACAGGCGTGAGCCACTGTGCCCGGCCTTCTTTCCTTCTTTCTATTCCTCCCCTCTCTATTTCTCATTCTATTCCTTCCCATCAGGTGTCACCAACCCCCAGGCTATGGACTGATACCAGTCCATGGTCTGTTAGGAACCAGGCCGCACAGCAGGAGGTGAGTGGTGGGCAAGTGAATGAAGCTTCATCTGTATTTACAGCTGTTCCCCATCGCTCACATTACTGCCTGAGCTCTGTCTCCTGTCAGATCAGCTGTGGGATTAGATTCTCCTAGGAGTGTGAACCCTATTGTGAACTGTCCTAGGGTGCATGCTCCTTATGAGAATCTAATGCCTGATGATCTGTCACTGTCTCCCATCACCCCCAAATGGGACCATCTAGTTGCAGGAAAACAAGCTCAGGGCTCCTACATTATGGTGAGTTGTATAATTATTTCATTTTATGTTACAATAGAATAATAACAGAAATAAAGCACACAATAAATGCAATACACTTGAGTCATTCTGAAACGATCCCCCTCACTCTTGGTCCATGGAAAAACTGTCTTCCATAAAACTGGTCCCTGGTGCCAAAAAGGTTGGGGATCACTGCTTTCCATTCTACTCTCCCTCCCTCCTACTCTCCTTTGCCCTCTTCCTTCCTTCCCCTCCTCCTCTTTCCTTTCCCTGACAAGAGATTAAGTTCATCATCAGAAGAGAGTATCTGATGTTAGAAAAAACAAAAAGGGCAAGGAACCAATGAAGATTATTTTAAAAAAAAAAAGAGTCCTTCACTGCCATAGAATTACTCTGGGTTAAGCCCATCCGATTTCTACAGTAAATAATTTCAAGAGCTCATAAAGAACAAAATCAGCAGCATCTAGTTCAAGTCCCTTATTGGATGGAAACTGAGGACCAGGGAGATGAAATTGGTCTGCCACAGTTACACTATAAAACTAATGAGGAAATTTCCTGACAAATTTTTAGTAGGCTTTAAAAAGGTGTGCAAGAACATTTACTTGACAATCAAAGCAAAGTTTAAAGAAATATTTCACGAGTAACAGCCATTGTCACCATCAAATTACATCTTAATGCCTAGAATGAAAAAAGCAAGGGATAAAATGCATACACATGGTATATTTCTTGAGGCCTTATGTGAGAAGGCCAAAGGAATTGGCTTTATATTTGGCATTAAGACAACAACAAGAACAAGAGAAAGCTTAACACTTTTCAGTCTATGCAAGGATAGTGTGAGTCGTGGTGAGCAGTTTTTGCCTTTTTCCCAAGCATAGGCTATAGAATGTGGCTTAGACAGCTTGGAGTAGGAACGCTGAATTCTGCTGAAAGATTTCAAGCCCTAATGCACACAACTGCCAAGTAAAGCTGTGAAATTTCTTTTTCTAACAGGCTTTAAGATATCTTTCAGGGTTAGTTTACATGTAACGTGACTGTGACCTAGCATTACCCTTCAAGACTTCTAAGAGGCTACAGTTATCTAGTTTAGAGTCTGACTTTAAAGTCTGCACACTTGTGATTATGGTGTATTACATTTGACAAATTGGAGAGAACTAAGCCTTCTCCGAGTGTTGAATCTAATGACACCAATTTAGATTTACAAAACAACTTCATGATTGTTTTGCCTTATATTCAGTGTCTCCAGATGGTAGAAAGGTTCTGCTATTTTTGATTTTCCCATTTAGAGGGGAGGGCAAAGAGTTACAAGGCAGGATGATGACAGTCGAGTGACCACTGAGTCCCAGGCAGGAGTGGTCTTTAAAGAAACTCTGGCCCTGGAACATACATACTTTTCACAGTGTCATCCGCTTTGCTGCTTAAGGAATCAGCACTCTGACAACATCCCTTTATTATAAAAATAAATTATATAGTAAAACAAGACTCTTCATTTATATATTCTACAAAATGGCTTCTCTTTTCCTTAATTTTAATCTTTGTAAGACTGTGTTTTTATAGTGTTTCTCTGTTACGCGGACCACCCAAATCAGAATTTTGGGGAGTGCTTGCTGGAAAGGTAGATTCTTTGGCTCCACTCATGGTATATCAGATTAGAATCATGAGAGATGGCACCCCAAAATCCGCAGCTTAAACAAATCTCACAGGTTAATCTCCTGCGTTGTTCTAATTTTTGAGTATTACCTAAATCAATTCTACAAGCTTGCTCTGAAAATTCCAACTATTCAATTTCTTCCAAAGAACAACAACAAAAGTATAGACTTCAGTTCTACAATAAAAACATATAATTACACAAATACTATGCCAAGATAACAAGCCTGCACACATACTCCCTGAATCTAAACTAAAAGTTGAAATTATTAAAAAAATTGCAGAAGCAGATTCTCTAAAATCTTGTTCTCAGTGGGTAAATTCTCTCTTTGCTTTTTCTTTTTTTAAAAAATTTCAATAGTTTTGGGGAACAGTTGTTGTTTGTTTGCATTGAAAAGTTCTTTAGTGGTGAGTTCTCAGATTTTGGTGCACCTGTCACCCAGTGTACACTGTACCCAATGTGTAGTCTTTGATCCCTCACCCCCTTCCCACTCTTCCTCCCAAGTCCCCAAAGTTTATTACATCATTCTTGTGCCTTTGTGTCCTTATAGCTTGGCTCCACTTATAAGTGAGAACATATGATTTTTGGGTTTCCATTCCTGAGTTACTTAGCTTAGAACAATGGTCTCTGGCCTGGTGCGGTGGCTCACGCCTGTAATCCCAGCACTTTGGGAGGCCGAGGCGGGTGGATCACGAGGTCAGGAGTTCGAGACCAGCCTGGCCAATATGGTGAAACCCTGTCTCTACTAAAAATACAAAAATTACCCAGGCGTGGTGGTGCTCGCCTGTAGTCCCAGCTACTCGGGAGGCTGAGGCAGAAGAATTGCTTGAACCTAGGAGGCAGAGGTTGCAATGAGCCAAGATCATGCCATTGTACTCCAGCCCAGGCAACAAAGCGAGACTCCGTCTCAAACAAACAAACAAACAAAAAATGGTCTCCAACTCCAGCTTGCTGCGAATGCCATTATTTTGTTCCTTTTTATGCTTCTTTTTTATAGGTCACATAGATATTTATGAGTCTGGTTACAATTTCATACCAAATTAAGAGTAATAATTGGCCTCCTTTTTCTGACTCAGTTTTTATGAGATCGATCCCCTCTAAATTTAATATTTTCGATATTGTTAGGCTGAAATCCACAAGGAAAGTCAACATAAAATCTTTATGAAAGGTCCTCATTGTAACCAAATAAACAACATAAACCACCCAAAAAATCCTTCCAATGTTTAAGAAAAGATAAGCTTTGATAAGATCAGGAATGATTTGAACAGGTTCCACATCCAAGTTTCCCAACTTCTACTCAGAAAACTGGCTTTCATGCAATTCCCACCCCCATGCAATTTTCAACTATTAACTTTAAAATTTGAGGCTCTCTTTGGCATCCTAGCCCTTTCTTCTTTTGCAGTAGAATGTACAGCCTCAATAACCTCAAAGACAGAAGTTTGCAAACAGGAGTATTATGAATGGGTTTTAATTCCCAGCTGATGAAGTTGTACATGGTGCAATTGACAGATGTTAGCTCGTGCAGGAGTTACATATGCTTAAAATATCTTTCCATTCATGGTGAGAAAGAAATAGCCATTTCAAATCTACACTAGCTGGTATGCTGCCCCCAGCCAAAAGCTCTTTATGTAGAAATGTCATTTTACACAGCATAATCACAACAGCAGGAGGAGCTAGGCAGTGGGGTCTAACCCTAGGACAGCAAGAGATCTAATGAACAAAAAACCTGTCTCCTATTAAGGGGAAACAAATTTAAAACCATGCTGTGTGGCCAGCCTCCAGTTTACTTTATAAGATCAATATTTCAATGTTATCTGCTAGAAATCATATCCCTGGATTCTCACGTGACCAGATCCAAGCAGAATTAGTGTCGGAAAAGCTATACTTTTGCTAGAGCACATTAGTGACAGGGTTCTCACTATGAATTAACACCAGTGGATCTGTGGACAAACGATAAGTCGAGGAGATAACAATAGGAAAATAGTCTGTGCATTTACTGTGACACGGCTATTTAGTTCAAATTAATTATGAAAATACCACAGACTGCTAGTCAGCATGTGACGGTTAGGGTTTTGTCAAAGCAAAGATGTGTCTGTAATTTGAGAAACTGCAGTAACTCTCAGATACTAAATTTTTATAAAGTGAAAGGAAAAGGGAAGCCTGGATATTTTGTAAGATCTTTAAGCAGGCATAATACTGAGAGTGCTATACCATACCTTTCATAAATTTTAGACTAGGGAAAGAGCCAGACAAAAAAATCTTGTGAAAATTTTTTGTTAGAAATTAATCAAAGGATCAGCTCTGAATACATCACCTTTAAAAAGCCAGCCACCATCACTACGTTTCTGTGGGCCATCGTCGAAGGTAAACTCGCACAGCTCCTCAGAGAGCCATGTGGGTAGGACCTATCAAGCCTTAAAAATACGCATGCCCTATGACCTCACAATTTAAATTCTGAGAATTTATCCTGAGCAAATAATTAAAGATACTAAGTAAAGATGAAGTACAGAGGCATTCACAGAGGCTCAGTTTGTAAGGGAAAAGAGCTGGAAGCAACATGAATGTACTAAAAACAAAATGCTGGTCAAACTATGACACAACCATTCAATGGGTAATACACATTTGTTAAAGACAATGATGCACACAGAATCATCAGAAAATATTATTTAATTATGATTTACATTGTTTCATGCTAGAGATATACATATTTAATGTAAAAGTGAGTCTAACCAAATATTATCATTGGTGGAAATCAAGTGTATGTTTGTACGTGAAACCGAGTTTTGGTGAATTTCCCAGACTGAGGGTTTGTCTTAAGAAAGCACCTAGAATGAAAATTGGGTCTGAGAGTTTCAAGGCAGCAGAAGTTGCACAGGGACAGAAGGTGTGTCCACATGCCCAGGAGCATTATGTTCACAATCTCCACTTACAATGGCATTAAATCTCAGGCCCTGGATTAACACCTCCCTCCTAACCCCTTCTTATTGCCAACTCCTTGGTTGTAGAAAGACGTTAAAGCAGGGGTTGGGAGAAGTGAGATCTGGCCCTGATATTGCTACTCTTTCTTCAATGTGACATGAACATGTTAGGTAAGGTGGTATTTTATCTGTACATTTTAAGTTTTTTTAAAATAAAATAATGTATAAACCATAAATATATAAGGTTGACTAAAATATATACAGGTGACTTGTAAAATTTCTTTCCAACTGTATGGTGGGCCAGATATCTTGACTAACCCTCCTGTTGAAAACAACTAAAAATTCAAAATAAAATCCTAAAAATACTTTATGACTGAAAGGTCAAAACCAAGTTAAAGCAAGAACCCAAAAAGGTAAGCCAAGCACTAAAGATGACCTTGGTTTCAAGGGAATTTACCATCAGAATGAAACTTAGCATCCATTTTCACAAATTAATGAAATGTACAGAGCAGAAGACAAAGAAAGCCAGAGTTCATCCAAGATCTCCCATATGAGATCCTGCAATAGGAGGCATCTGAATTGTCTACCTGCATACTGTAGGGCGAACCAGAAATTACACTCCCCTCATGAGACTGAATGAAAAAAATCACAAAACCACAGCAAGAGCACAAGCATTAGGTAAGAAAACAGGGTAAAATAAGATCTGCAAGTTTTCAGGTATTAGAATTGTCAAGCACAGAATGTAAAATAATTATGTTTAATAGGTAAAAAAAACTCCCAGCAAGTTTGAAGACATGAATAAAAAGATCAAGAGACTTTTTTAAAAAAAGAGCAAATATTTGAAAAAGAAGCAAACAAATAGAACTACAAGATACTGTAGAAAGTGTCTTTGGAAGTAAAAATTCAGTTAATAAGAGTTTTTATACGTAGCTTAGAGAGAATTAATGAATTTGAAACTAGAACTGTAGAAATTATCCAGAATAAAATGGAGACAAAGAGAAGAGAAATCTAAAAAACAAGTAACAGATAACAGAGAAGGTAAAAAGCGTATCATACTGGCAATCCAGAAAGAGAAGAAAAAATGGGGCAGAAGCAACATTTGAAGAATTAATTACTAATTTCCTCATTTTACACTAAATATGTATTTGTAACATTTATATACCATTTTGTGCTATTTATACTAAGTAGTATAAATAAATACAGTTAAACCTAAATACATGATAGAAAATTGCACAATACCAAAGACAAAGATAATATTCTAAAAACAATGGAGTTGGGGAGTGACGAATCAAATAACCTGCAAATAAAAACATGACTGAGAGTTGTTAAATAAGCAGGAGGCCACTGGCCCAAGACTGTCTCCATACTTTAAGTTTCTGTATAAGAAACTGCAATCTGGCCGGGCATGGTGGCTCAGGCCTGTAATCCCAGCACTTTGGGAGGCCGAGGCAGGCAGATCACGAGGTCAGGAATTCAAGATCAGCCTGACCAACATGGTAAAACCCCGTCTCTACTAAAAATACAAAAATTAGCTGGGCGTGGTGGCACGCACCTGTAATCCCAGCTACTCAGGAGGCTGAGGCAGGAGAACCATGTGAACCAGGAGGCAGAGGTTGCAGTGAGCCGAGATTGCGCCACTGCACTCCAGCCTGGGTGACAGAGCTAGACTTGGTCTCAAAAAAAAAAAAAAAAAAAAAAAAAAGAATAAAGAGAAACTGCAACCTAAGGTAGTACTGAAACAAACTGGAATCTAACTTAGGAGTCTAACTTATGTAAAAAAAAAAAAACAGGTCTCAGCCAATCATAAGCAGCAGTGCTTTAGCCAATCACAGACAGCCAACTCATCAGACCATATCCAAATAAGGCAAACACCTTGCTGTAACAAATCAGATGTGTTCTCTACTTGGCTTCCATGTTCAGCCTATGGAAGCTCACTTCTCATGCTCCTGGGTGGAGCTCTTTGAACCTCTTCTGATTCTGAGTGCTGCCTGGTTCATGAATCATTTTTTGCTCAAATAAATTCTGTTAAGTTTAATTTGTCAAAAGTTTTTCTTTTCCCAGAGTTTACTTCTTAAAGTAATGTAGTGAGTCCTTGTTCAACAGAGCCATGGTTTCTTTTAGTGAGGCACAGCATTAGAATCTAAGATTAGAGTGCTAGGTGTGTTCATAGTTACTGGGATGCCTTTGTTTCTAGGCCTTTTTATTGAATAGAGCTAGAAAATATCTGCGTATATATACACACAGGCAAATATATACCTATGTGGACACAGACATGTATGCATACGCTCATATTACATGCATTACCTACACAAGTATGCTTATTGTAGAAATTATGAATTTACACTGATTGCTACATTCCAATCCATCCCACAGGGTTCTTTCTTTTTTTGAGACAGGGTCTCACTCTGTCATGCAGGCTGGAGTGCAGCGGTGTGATCTTGGCTCACTGCAGCCTTGACCTCCTGGGTTCAAGCAATCCTCCTGTCTCAGCCCCATAAGTTACTGGCACTACAGGTGCACATCACCACGCCTGGCTAGGTTTTGTATTTTTAGTAGAGATGAGTTTTCACTATGTTGCTGGGGTTAGTCTCAAACTCCTGAGCTCAAGCAATCTGCCCGCTTTGGCCTCTCAAAATGCTAGGATTATAGGCGTGAGCCACTGCATCTGGCCTCACAGGGTTCTTTCTTGTTCACCCTCATTACATATTTGTATGTCCCTTCTTTCATAATGACAAACCTGGCTCCCAACAAAATTGACACACTTACTTGCCTGTTGGATCCCATAACATAAATTGTTTCACAATTGCTTTATGTATGCCACCATAGAAAACAAAATAAACTAAAAAGAATGACAGATTTGTTTGAAGCTCTTGTGCCACGACTTTTCCCTAGACAGACAATATACAGTCATATACTGTTTTCGTGAGTTACTTAGTTCTTTTAAATTTTCTTTCAGTGTGGTTATAGTATTCATTTGAAATAAATTAGGTTAATTTGTTTCTATTTGCTTTTAACTTTATTTTTTCCTCCCTTCCCAACCTAGTTGATTTTATTCTTTTGAGTATATAAAACATTAACATGCCTCCAAAAGTAAAAACTGTACCAAGAAAGCTATATTAAGAGAAATGTCACTTCTCTCCAAATTTTTTCCACTCTGCTTCTCATTACCACTTGTAGGTGACAAACTTCTTTGAAGTAAAACATTGATGATTTATCTTTCCTGTGTTGTTTTTGAAATTAAAAGCAGATACCTGACTGGTTTTCTAATTTCCTCTTCTTATACAAGAGGTAGCATACTACAGATGGTATTTTGAATTTTGCATTTATGGAAATGTTCTTCTTCTAAAAAGAACATCAAGGGTTACAGAAGAAATTGTGATAACATTTAGAGAATATTTAAACAAAATTATAATGATGATGTTGAATATCAAAACATATTCAATATCCCCCAAAACTGACTCAAGAATAAATAGAAGGGCTTATATTATCGTATCTAGTGAGCATTCAGAATCATTAAATAAAGAAAACACCAGGTAGTACTTATTACTCATAAGTCCTACCGCATTTGTTTTAAAGTTACAAAGTCACCCACATTATACCAAAGGGTAGGAAGAGATGGAATATTTATCAAACTAATTTTTTTTGGTGGGGGGTGGGGTGGAAGCTAATATGATCTTCATGTCAAAACCCAAGTTGAGGATAGTACAACAAACAAAATTAGAGTTCAGTCTTTCTCATGACCATATGTGTTGGAAACTGTTAACTATCTCCCACCTTTAAGTTGCCCTTTGTTTCTTTTAGTGATGGGCATTCACACAGAACTTCATACAACCTGGGTTCATGGACACCACGCCACAGAAAATATTTTTCTGTTTGACTTTCAGGTATCTGTAGCCATGGAGTTAGCTTTGGGTGAATGAGATATGAATGGGTAGGGGGAGGGCAATTTCCTGGTCGTCTTTTTATGAAGACTGTTCAGGACTCTCTGCCCTTCTTTGAACTGGCAGAGAAATAATGATGACTTGGAAGCTAAGTACTGAATACACAAGGCAACTCTACCAGCCACAAACCACTCCCCTATTCCAGACTATTACCTGTGCCAGAGAGAAAAGTAAATGTCTGTCTTATGTGTGCTATATATGTTGGTTTTGTTTGTTATAGCAGCTTAGTTTCTAGCCTAATTAATACATAATAGATGTAAAAATCTTAAATATATTAGCAAACTGAATACAGCAAAGAACATAAATGATGACCATGTTGCGTTTATCTCAGATGTGCGAAGGTAGTTTAACATAGGACAATCTATTAATATATTTTATCATATTAGCAGATCAAAACAGAAAAATAACATGATGATCCCAATAATTTCATTAAAAAGTGTTGGGTAACATTCAGATTTTTAGCAAAATGATGTTAGAGAAGATGGGAAAAATGTGACTCTCAGAATAAATTAAACATTATACTTAATGTGATATGTTAGAAATAGTCCCTTTAAGATGAAGAACATCAAAAAGTACCCACATTAATTTCTATTAAGTGTGGAACTGGAAGTGGATACAGCACAGTAAGGTAAGAAAGAAAGAAAAGAATTAGAAGGGAAGAAATAAAATTAACATTATTAGCTGACTGTACGATGGTCTATATCAAAATATCCCAGAATTTACAGAAAAAGTATTACAATTATTAAGAAAGTGAATGGCCTGGGTAATTTGGGTTCCTCAGAGTTGTTTGGATTTAAATATAAATTGTATTTCTTCTATACATTGGGAAATTTAGTTTTAAAAGATACTATTATAATAGTATCAAAATATAAATTTCCTAAGAATAAATCCAGCTACTTTGGTACTTTATAGAAAAATCTTAAAACTTTATTTGAAAACTTTAAAGACTCCTCTCTCCCCAAAATAGATATCTCATGTTCAGAAATAGGATGACTCAAAATTATAATAAGGCTAATTTTTAACAAATGGATCTATCAATCAATTCCAATCCAAATCCTGGCAGATTTTGTCTGTTTGTTTGTTGAACAAAATAAACTGATTCTAAAATGTATATGGAGAAACAAAAGGACAAGAAAAAATATATATCTTAAAAAGAAAAAACAAAGAGTGGGGAACTCAATTTACCAGAAATCAGGGATTATGATGAAACATTTGATTAAGATTGTGTGGTTTGGGAGCATAAACCTGGGAGATATGACTTATTGCTGCTGACCAATGGGCAGAACATGACTTTTTTCTTTTTCCCTTTTTAGAAAAATTTAATTTATATTTTAGATTCAGGGGGTATATGTGCAGGTTGGTTACAGGTTGGTTACATGAGTATATTGCTTGTTGTTGAGGTTTGGGGTACAATTGATCTGGTCATCCAGGTACTGAGCATAGTACCCAATGGGTACTTTTCAACCCTGGCCCTTCTCCCTCCTTCCTTGCTCTGGTAGTCCTGAGGGTCTATTATTTCCATCTTTACGTCCATGTGTACCCAATGTTTAGCTCTCACGTATAAGTAAGAACATGCTTTATTTGGTTTTCTATTCCTGCATTAATTTGCTTAGGATTATGGCCTCCAGCTGCATCCATGTTGCTGGGAGGGACAAGATTTCATTCTTTTTATGGCTGCATAGTATTCCATGGTGCATATGTACCACATTTTCTTTATCCAGTTCACTACTGATGAGCATCGAGGCTGATTCCATGTCTTTGCTGTTGTGAATAGTGCTGCAATGAACATTTGAGTATATGTGTCTTTTTGGTAGAACGATTTATTTTCCTTGGGGTATATACTCAGTAATGGGACTGCTGGGTCAAATGGTAGCACCATTTTTAGTACTTTGAGAGATGTTCAAACTGCTTTCCATGCTGGCTGAACCAATCTACATCCCCACCAACAGTGTATGTGTTTCCTTTCCTTTATAGCCTCACCAACACATGTTATTCTTTGACTTTTTAGTAATAGCCATTCCGACTGGTGTGAGGTGGTATCCCATTGTGGTTTTGATTTGCATTTCACTCATGATTTGTGACGGTGAGCATTTGTTCATACGTTTGTTGGATGCTTGTATGTCTGTTAACGGCTTTTTGAGAAACGTCTGTTAACGGCTTTGCCCACTTTTCAATGGGGTTGTTTTTTGCTTGTTAATTTGTTTAAGTTCTTTGCAGATCCTAGATAGTAGACCATTGTTGGATGCATAATCTGCAAATATTTCTCCAATTCTGTAGGTTGTCTGTTTACTCTGTTGATAGTTTCTTTTTCTGTGCAGAAGCTCTTTAGTTTAATTAGGCCCCAATTGTCAATTTTCCTTTTTTTTTTTTTGAGGTGGAGTCTCACTCTGTCACCCAGGCTAAAGTGCAATGGTGTGATCTCGGCTCACTGCAACCTCTGCCTCCCAGGTTCAAGCGATTCTCCCACCTCAGCTTCCCGAGTAGCTGGGATTACAGGCATGCACTACCACTCCCGGCTGATTTTTGTATTTTTAGTAGAGACAGGGTTTCACCATGTTGGCCAGGATGGTCTTGAGCTCCTGACCTCAGGTGATCCACCCACCTTGGCCTCCCAAAATGCTGGGATTACAGGTGTGAGCCACCGCACACGGCCTCAAAGTTCATTTGCGTTGCAATTGCTTTTGGGGACTTAGTCATACATTCTTTGTTAAGGCCAATGTCCTGAAGGGTATTTCCTAGGTTTTCTTCTAGGATTTTTATAATTTTAGGTCTGAAGCTTAAGTCTTTAATCTATCTTGAGTTAATTTTTGCATATGGTGATAGATAGGCATCTAGTTTCATTCTTCTGCATATGGCTAGCCAGTAATCCCAGCGCCCACTTATTGGGTGGGTGTCCTTTCCTCATTGCTTATTTTTGTTAACTTCATCAAAGATCAGATGCTGGTAGATGTGTGGCTTTATTTCTGGGTCTGCAAATTTTCAATAAATAATCTGGGACTAACTTTTAAATGGGTCATTTAAAAAATGGAATTAGATGTTTACCTTATACCATAAATAAGAATCAATTTCAGGTGTATTAAAGACTTAGAGTAAAATGCAAAATTATAAAACTCTTAGGAGATGACATAAGAAATGATCCTTCTGACCTGGATTGAAAACTTTTTGTTCAATACATAAAAAACCTCTGAAGAAACATTGGGAGACATTGAAAGGGTAACAGTTTAGAATTCTGTTCCAGCAAGTAACCAAAAAAAAGGAGATACTTCACATCGGGCAAAAAATATGTTCAAAATCTAATTTGGGTGAATTGTAGTGTTTGGAGAAAGCATTAAACATAAATCAGCCAACACGGGCTTCTCATGCAGAGGCCTCCTTCTCACACCCCAATAGAACTGGCTACCCTTTCTGACAACAGCCAGATAGTCTTAGGAAGGCAAAGCAAGAAAAAAGTGCAATTCACACTCATCAACAGAAAATATGGGTCTTTAAATTATCTTGCATAAGTAATAAAATAAATATTAAAGGTTAATATTGAGTCACAGAGGGCTTACCTTCCTATCAATATTAACGAATGTAGTACATTAGCACCTGAAAGCTACACTTTACATTTTCATCTGTAAGACAGATAAAAAGAAGTGATTCCTAGAGCATATAAAAATCATTTATAGCCAAGGACATCTGCCATGAACTTCCCCCAAAATTATTTGGTTATAAGACAATGAATCATGGAAGTGCCATTAAAAGCTGAGGCTAGAGAATATAAGAATTTTCCCTCCAGGCCAGTGCTCACTAACTGGTGACTCCACAATCATTGCCATAAATTTTTTAACCCCTTTGCTTCCTCATATGGACCACCAGCTCACAGGAGAACTATAAAATCCAGATAACTATAAATAATTTCTTCTCCTTTTTCTTTTTCCTTCCCTGTCTCTTTCTCTCCTTGCATCTTTCCCTCCTCCCTTTCTTTACTCCCTCTCCCTTCTCTTTACTCCCCTCTTCTTCCTCTTCCTCCTTTTCCTCCTCCTTCACTTTGCCCTCTCTTTTTCCTTCTTACTTTGTAGAAACAAAAATGACTCACAATTGAAGGTATAACTTTTTTTCTTAATGAGGGAAGTAGTAAAATCTTTCAATATGGGGCATATATGAAACTGAACTTAATAAATAAAAAATATAACTCCAATGTGTTTCTAATATCAGATGTTTATAATATTCTCAGGAGTCTAGGACAATTTTTCCCTGCATGCTGGAAAGAGAAGAAAGTCTTATTTCCCTGATCTAAATAATTTCAGGTACATAGTAGATCAATAAAGCAGAGCTGGCATAAAACAATGATTATTTCATAAGGACAAGTCCTTTTGAAATAAACATAAAAGTCTAGACTTGTAGCTGTGACTTCTTTTATAATGACAGCAGATATGAAACATGAATTGCTTTCTTTACTACAAAAACAGCTTTGCAATACTGGATGGGAGAAGACTGAGAATACAATTTTAATAACTGTCCTGAGAACACATTGACCTCTACTTTCAAGCTTCTAGTTTATGTAGTCAATTTGAGTTAAAGAACGTGGATATTGCTCCAAGATTTCTGTCTATCATCCCCTCTCCTCTTTCAGCTCCACTGTCTCCTACCAGTTTGCCCCAGCAACTTCATGGCAGCTGAGGACACCCGGTCCAGCTAGGGGAGCAATTTCTGAAGATTCAGGGCAAGGTCACCAGCTGGCATTAAGGTTAAAGTGGCTTCTCAGTGCTAGAGAGTCACCAAGGTTAATTGGGATGTCATATACGCTCATATTCACGCTCACTCTGTGCATTTAAATTTATACATCACCAAAAAAAAAATTAAAAGAAAAAAAGAAAAGACATCGAAGACTCAGTAAACATCATTCCCAATCTGGCACCACTTCTCTCCTATGTCTTGCTGGTTTCTGATTCATTCCTCTGCTCTGTCTTCCCATTCTCTTCCTAGGCTGGTCCTTTAAGAATGAGGACTGTGTTTTTTGCTCCTGGCTGCTCTCTATAACATCTGTGACTGCTAAGGGACTGCGGTGGCCTCCTCTGAGAAGGGATTATGCAAACATTAGACAAGGGCTGTAGGGATGTGGCTCTACACCGCCTGTTTTGTATGCAAAGTTTCAACACTCTCCGCTGAACTCTTCAACCATCCTTATTTGATCCTCACCTCAGCATGTGCTTTGGGTGTTTTCCATTTTATATTTCTTCACTTGTTTCTTCAGGGTTTCCCCTTTGGCTGGGGTTGAACAAGGAGCTACAAGAAGGGTAGTGTAGCTGGCTACTCTTGAGATACTAAGTTGCGGGTAATCAGAATCTTGGCTCCTGTGACATACTCTCTGTTGATACACCTTGGTTATGCTGTATTATATAGGGAAAGAGACTTTGCAGATGAAATTAAGGCTTTGGACTTTAAAATAGGGAGATTATTGGGAGGAACCAATCTAATCACATAAGGCCTTAAAAGCAGAGAACTTTCTCCATTTGTAAGCAAAGAAAGATTCATCAGAAAAGGAAGTGAAAGAGATTCAACATGTGAAAGGGACTACAGCCCACTGTTGCAGGCTTTGAAGATGAAGAGAGATTTATTATAAGAAATCAGCTTAAATAATTATGGAGGCTGACAAGTCCCAAGACTTGCAGAGTGAGTTGGCAAGCTAGAGACACAGGAAGAGCCAGTATTTTAGTTTGAGTCTGCATGCAAGAAAAAAAAACCCATGTCTTTTTTCTTTCTTTTTTTTTTTTTCTTTTACTTTACATTCTGGGATACACGTGCAGAACGTGCAGGTTTGTTACATAGGCATACATGTGCCATGGTGGTTTGCTGCACTTATCAACCTGTCATCTAGGTTTTAAGCCCTGAATGCATTAGGTATTTCTCCTAATGCTCTCCCTCCCCTTGCCTCCAACCTCCTGACAGGCCCCAGTGTGTGATATTCCCCTCTCTGTGTCCATGTGTTCTCATTGTTCAACTCCCACTTATGAGTGAGAACATGCGACGTTTTGTTTTCTGTTCCTGTGTTAGTTTGCTGAGAATGATGGTTTCCAGCTTCATCCATGTCTCTGCAAAGGTCATGAACTCATTCTTCTTCATGGCTGCATAGTATTCCATGGTGTACATGTGCCACATTTTCTTTATCCAGTCTACAATTGATGGTCATTTGGGTTGGTTCCAAGTCTTTGCTATTGTAAATAGTGCTGCAATAAACATACTTGTACATGTGTCTTTATAGTAGAATGATTTATAATCCTTTGGATATATACCCAGTAATGGGATTGCTGGGTCAAATGGTTATTTCTGGTTCTAGATCCTTGAGGAATTGCCACATTGTCTTCCACAATGGTTGAACTAGCTTATACTCCCACCAACAGTGTAAAAGCATTCCTATTTCTCCATAGCCTCACCAGCATCTGTTGTTTCCTGACTTTTTAATAATCACCATTCTCATTGGTATGAGATGGTATTTCACTGCGGTTTTGATTTGCATGTCTCTCATGACCAGTGATGATGAGCTTTTTTTCATATGTTTCTTGGGGGCATAAATGTCTTATTTTGAGAAGTGTCTGTTCATATCCTTCAACCACTTTTTGATGGGGTTGTTTTTTCTTGTAAATTTGTTTAAGTTCTTTGTAGACTCTAGATATTAGACCTTTGTCAGATGATAAATTGCAAAAATTTTCTCCTATTCTTTAGGTTGCCTGTTCACTCTGATGATGGTTTCTTTTGCTGTGCAGAAGCTCTTTAGTTTAACTAGATCCCATTTGTCCATTTTGGCTTTTGTTGCAATTGCTTTTGGTGTTTTAGTCATGATGTCTTTGCCCATGTCCTATTTCTAAGGCATTAGGCAGGAGGAATTCTTTCTTACTTTGGAGAGGGTCAGTCTTCTGTTCTCTTTAGGCCTTCCACTGATTGGATGAGGCCCACCCTCATTAGGGAGGGCCATCTGCTTTACTAAGACTATTGATTCAAATGCTAAGCGCATCCAATACGATTCTCATAGAAACACCTGGAATGATGTCTGGCCAAATATTTGGGTGCCCTGTTACTCAGTCAAGTTGATACATAAAATTAACCATTACAGGGGCTATGAGCTGGGGACCAACAGCCTTTAAAGGCAGAGAATGACATCCAGCTGACAGCTAGGATGGAAAGAGGGACCTATGGCCACATGGAACTGATTGGCGCCAATAGCCTGAATGAACCTAGAAGCAGATCCTCCCCTGCCACACCCACAAGCTTCCATATAAGAGGCTAGGGTGGCCAACACCTTGATTCTGGACTCGTGAGACCCAGAGCAGAGGAATCATCTGCACCCACCCAGACTTCTGACCTGCAAAATGTAAAAATAATAAATTTGTGTTGTTTTAAAGTCACTTTGTTTCTGGTAATTTGTTATGGGAAATCAATGTGTTATTTTTCTCCTTATAATTTTCCATCTCTCTTTCTTCCATTTAAACAGGAAGTTGGCTCTGTGTTTTAGGGAGTCATGAGGGTAGGTGGAGAGTATGTCCAGAATTTGTCTTCACATTTTAAATAAATTTATATTTCAATATAAATATTAATAAAAAATAAGATACACATACATACATTTAAGTATATAATAAAACAAAAAGTATAAAATATTTCTACTTTATATGTATATTTTGATGAAATATAAGGCCATAGGGAAAAGGAATTCTTGAGTTTAGATAGAGTGTCTAGATGAGAGGAAATCAGAGGCAGGAAAGGGAAACTGTTTCCTGTAACCCTGATCTCTCACTGGCGTTGTGGGCAGGAGACTGGGAGGGAGAAGTAAAGGGACCACCAGAAGGTCCTTAGGAACTGACCGCCAGAAAGGACACATTGCCTAGAATGAGGTTGGGGGCTGGGCCTGATGAAAGACCTCCACTGGGAGCATCACTTGAAAGTCCAAGAGTGATGTGAAGCCTGTGCCGCTGCTCCTATGCTATTCCTACACTGCACACACCTCCACATGCACCTGGGGGGCATGAAGGGATGAGCTTGACAGTCCCCTAGGCTGGGAAAGATGTGGTCAACAACCCCGCCACTTTCCAATAGCAAAACCACGGATCTCTGCCTCCACTCAGTTTCCCCTTACATTCAGGGGTTTGTGGGGTGTCTTATACATGTTCTCCCATGCACAGGCCTTTCAGTCATCCCTCGCATGGCCAATCTCCTGGGCTCCACTCTGTGGGTTGTGATGATGTTTCCGGTGCTACCAGCCCACAATTCTGCTCTGCGTCCCCAGTCTGAACAGTCTGAGTTCTCCACTCAGCACTCTGCATCTGTTTCAGGCACCTCAGCAAGGAAGGGTTCCTCAGTTCTACCCTGGGAGCTACATGGTGACACATTCTACAAAGTGGCACCACCTCCTGGCTTTCTTCAACTCACAGAAATATCTCCAAAAAGCAGGTGACCACATACTTTAACACCTAAATCTGAGCACTTTTGATAATGAAGGGAAGGAGCTATTGATAATGATGCCAGGACAATAGGCATCTAAGACAAGGTTATCCCAGGCAAATCAAGTGATATGGTTTGGCTCTGTGACCCCACCCAAATCTCATCTCAAACTGTAATCCCCATGTCGGGGGAGGGATCTTGTGTGAGGTGACTGGATTATGGGGGCCATTCCCCCATGCTGTTCTTGTGTTCGTAAGTTCTCATTGGATCTGATGATTTAAAAGTGAGTGGCAGTTCCCCGCTCGCTCACACTCTCTCTCCTGCAACCATGAGAAGAAGGCCCTGGCTTTCCCTTTGCCTTCTGCCATGATTGTAAATTTCCTGATGTCTCCCAGTCATGCTTTCTGTTAAGTCTGCAGAACTGTGATTCAATTAAGCCTCTTTTCCTTATAAATTACCCAGTCTCGGGTAGCTCTTGATAGCAGTGTGAAAACGGACTAATATCTCATGGGTGTCGTCACCCTAGGAAAAAGGCTCTTCTCTTGGTTTACATTGTTGGCCACAGCCTCTGCTGTCTGGTGCACTATGGTAGGGGTCCTATCATGCCTGGGATGGGTGTCGGGAAGTGGGGAGGAAGATGCACTCACTGATTTGCTGGATTCAAGATCTCCCCTCTGTTTCCTGCTTACTCTTGCTGACAACCCATGCTGGGCTGTCTTGTCTTCCCTTGTTTCAGGTTGGGGCTTTCCCTGAACGTTTCTTGTCCCTCAAGCAGATAGGTTCATGCCAGACTCTCTTTACGTCCTCCAGGCAGACCGGGCAGGAGTGGATTCAAAGGTATACAGAGCTCATACTGCCAAACCGTGCATTTGCACAATGCTGAGTTATGGTCACACAACTAGAAAGGAATTGAGCCAGAACTAGAATCCAAGTCCTTTGAATTCCATTCCTGTGCTTTTTCTTCAACACCATGAAGTTTCAGGTAGCTACAGGATAGACTCCTGGGCATAATACCTACCATGCTTGGCTGAGCAGAACTAGGCTCTTCACGTTTCCTCACCAGACACTTTATTACTCTCACATCCCATGGGATCGCATGACTGGGCCCACGTATCTTTCCAAAAGTCATGCTTCCTCTATTTAGAAGAACAAAATGCAGCCTCTATAGAAACTACTGTGAACAGAAGTAAAGAAGAAAACTCACCTGAGCTAAAATTTTTTTTAATGAGAAACTAATTTAGTAGCCCTCTAGTTTGAATATTCATGCCTTTGGTCACAGGGGAGGCAGCATTTTCTCGATGGCAGGTGGAAGGCAAAGGTTTGGAACCTGGGCCTTAAGATCCTTTTGTGTCTGCCGTTGTACCGCCACGGAGCCTTGCTTGATTCTCACTACACAGTCTGAAGACACTGTCTGTGTACTCTCCAGAAGTGTCATACATTTAGATTTTATTGTTATAAAATGACCAGGTATAATTTTGTAAGGTGAGGTCAGAAAATATTGCAGCCTCTCCCACTCCCCCCACCTCCTTTTAAAGCTAGTTTATTAAGTTAAAAAAGGAAGAAATGCGCCTTCTAACAAACAGACTAAATTAGACTTTTCTCAACCCTTGTCATTTAAAAGATGGTTTGTTGAAACTTGAGAGAGGTTAAACGTATGCCACAATTTGAGTGAAAAAAAAAAAAAAAAACCACCACGGGCTTTCCAGGGTTGCAATTACAACCCTACTTAGTTGCCATGGTGATCATACAGCATATGGATTTTGTCAGATAAAGACATCAGGGGTGGTGAGAAGGGACAGTGTATTTTTTGAATCACCACATGCCAAGTGTCAACTCTTTGGCAGTTCTCTTTCAAAAAAATTTTTTTAAAGAAAAATATGTATCTGGATTGGGAGAGTGGGCTGGGGAGAGGAGCCAGGGTTTGGAAGAATAAAAAGCGGAAGATTCCTAGAAGTGTTTAAAGAAAATCTGAATTTAAAATACACTGAACATTAATGCCAAATTGTGTAATAAAGAGTCCTTAGGGTTTTAGTGTTAGAAGTACCTACTACCTAACAAATACGTTCTGATAAAGGGTGGCCAATCTGTTCCAGTTTCTCCTCTCTTGTGGTTTCTCTTATTTTTATATGTCGTGTCATTTTAATGTTCCTCCCCCTGTTTTAACTGTATGTGCATCTAGGGTTATTTTGTTAATGAATTGTCAATCTCCTGGGCCAGTGATAAAAACTACACTGTAGAATAAGAATGTCTCTGTGCTGAAGACACAGGCCTCTAAGATGGAAAATGATCCTATATATTTCTACCTGTAACAAAAAGCAAAATAAAACAAAACAAAGCAAAACAAAAACCACTTAATATCCTATCAACTCTAATAAAACTTAGAATCCTCAATTTACAGTTATCATTCAGAATGTATCCAGTCGTAATGATTCCATCTGCTCTGCCAGCGGGAAAGTGAAATGAAAGGACTGTGCTCCATCTCTGTCCTCCACCTTGGGGGGTATGTGAGCCTTGGAGTTGCCTAGCTTGGGTCCATACTAGCTGTATGAGACTGAGAGATGGCAGAAACTCATCACAGCAACCGTGAGCTTCTGACCTTATGGACGTTACATTTTAGTGCAGGAAGAGGAACAATCGACACCGAACAAATAATATAGAAGATATTTTCAGAGCGTTTTAAGGACTTGCAAATAAAGAAACATAATCTTGTAATGGAGGGTACCTCGTTGGGGAGGACAGAAGTGGGATGGCGGGTCAGGTACCTATTCCAAGACAGAGCATCTGAGGAGACCACTCAAGGAGGCGATATATAAGTTAGGATCTGAGAGGTGGAACACAGACAGCCAAGCAATGATCTGGGGAAAGACCAGAGGCAAAACAACACAAATACCCTAAGCAGACAGGAGTTTGGCTGAAGCAGAATGAGGATGAGAAGAGGGTATGAGAAGAGGTTGCAGAAAGGGGTAGGTCATGAAGGGCCTGGTGGTCCAGGATATTGAGTTTTGGTTTCACTCTATTTCCTCAGGAGAAATTATAGAATTATATCAAAATACTCCAGAATTTTTGAAAATCTGAAGGATGAGATGCCCTAGGAAGATGCCTGTGGAAAAGAACAGATGGGGTTGGATACGCCCAGGATGTTATGCAGAAGTCTCAGCCAGTGCCTGGGGCTGACTTCACTGGTGATTCCCATTCCTGGCCCTCCACTTCCCTCCAGGTAAAGTGAGTGGGCAAAGATTGGGCAACGGTTTGCAAGCCTTGATGATCGTCATGATAACTTGGTGAGCTTATTAAAAATGCAGGTTCCCAAACCCCATCCAAGGCTTCCTGAATCAGTATCACAATGATGAGGGCCAGAGAACCTCTCTTTCTGTTATATCCTCCTGGATGAGCCAGATCATTGGTCATGTCGGGACTCCTGGTGCAGGGCCTAGGAGCAGGCAAAGTCTACTGATGCCACTGAGGCCCAGGACATAAGAGTAAAAATTGCTTTCTATCTTCACAAATAGGGAGTCAGGAGGCTACAGGCGCTCCTGAACAATGCTTTCAACCTCAATGGAGGCAAGCCTGGGGCTCTAAATTCCACTCCGTTCCTTCTCCTCCCTTTCTGTGTACAACAGCACCCCGCCTCGTGAGGGCTTTATGAGGCTTGGTTCTTCTTAGAATCTCAAATTGCCAATCTTAACTTGCTTAGTGCTTCTCACTCTTAAAATGAAGATGATTTGTAGGAATTGCAAACTTGTCTGTGTATGAAAATGGTGTGTCTGTCTCTTTAAATAGAAAGGCATTAGGGAATATTAGCCAAGGCTAATTATGCAGATCACTTATAGCTAATAATAAAAATTTGCCTTAGGCTTTGTGGGAGTGTCGCTTTTAGGGACTAAGGGTTGGTTTTCCTTCCCTTGTTGTTTTACATATTTCCAAATTAGTTTAAATGTGATAATCTGCAACACTGATAATTATAAATGCTTGACTAAATAGAAATGTGTCAATCTTGAGACAGGCTCCTTTTAAGACAAGTAAGACAAAACCACTGATCCAAGCAATCTCCTTACACCGTACCCGTTAGCTATGGAGGGCTTATTTACAGAAGTGAAAACAAAAAAAAACAAAACAAAAAATCCTCCCAATCTCATTCAGCCTTCTGCCTCTTTCTTGAAGCCAGTGTGGGCATCAGAAAATGTCCACTGTATAGACATCTGTTTGAAGCGAGACCCCGATCAACATCCAATTTAATACAGGTCAGTGAACAAGTGTTAAAAAGCAAGGTCTCTCGTCTGCTTCCAATCTATACTGGATTAAAAACAATGATTTAAAGGTGAAAGGCTCTGTGCCCGGGCCGCGAGCTCAGTGCCACGCAGCGCTTTGGCCATTCTTCAGAGCTGAAATCCTTGGCACCATGTTTTCCTGAGGCCATCTTCATCAGACAGGCCGTTGCTCGGTCTCATCCTGCCAGAGAATTTATTATATTGATTTGGGGAATAAGGTTAATTGAAATGAACTTTTGGTTTTAAAGGTAGCTTTGGTGCAAGCCTCAACAATTAAAATGGAATTCTTCTCCTTTAAATGACTTGGGCTCATTTGACTGCCTGGACAGCGGCTGTTTAGAACAGAGGCAGGCATAATTTTACAACGTGAAATGCTCATTTACTTTTCTCCTGTTGCTATAACAACTCACTTTTGAACCAGACATGGTGATAGAAAGCCTTGGCTTCGCAATGAATTTCACATTGGTTTTGTTTAGATTTTTCAATCCGTTCGCTTGGAACTGCAGCTGGAAATGCAGGAATAGATTTTACTCTTTCCTTTTTTAGAAACCTTGCTTAGGACCAAAGCTTTGTGTTTCCAGCTTGTCTCAAGGGTTGAAAAAAAAAAGCTACACCCCATGTGCAGTTTATGATTTTTCTGACATAAATCATATTTCAAACTCATATTGTGCTCTTCTTTCCCTTAAAGGTAACACCAGGGTTTTTGGTGCTTCTGGCAGAGAAATATGACTGTCAATTCATTCTGCTTTTGAATCTTCTTCTGTCCGAATGTTACCAGCAAGACCTGTGTCTCTGCAGGATTTGGGGATCTGTAAACCTCAAAATCCTGTTAAGCCTCACACTGCATAGCAACATGCTTTGTTTCTTAATGACTCCAAGGGAAAGGCAAGTAAATTTGGCAAACACAAAACAGACAAATATTTTCAGAAAAACATAAAAGAGTAATCACACCCAACAAGACTCCAATTCTGCTTCCTTCCCCTTCTTAAAATCCCCCACCAATAACAGGAGCTCATGCAGGTCTAACATTTACTTCCATGCTTTTGGGAGCACTAGGTGATTTGAACACAGGCAGAATTAAGAATTGAACTGAAAAACAGGCTCAAATGTTTGAGATGAAACAAATGTTTTCCAGTCAATATCTATAGTTTCCTTTTTGGGAAGATAAACCACAGAATAGTTTTCACGGCTTGATAAAATTGTTTAAAATCGTGGAATTCTGGAGGCTAAGAAATAACATGTGAAAAACAATGCCAAGAAATATAAGCTTCTCCTCCCCACACTCCATCTCTAGTAAGATAGGAAGTGGCCATCTGCCAGTTCTGGCCCTGTGGACCTGGTTACCTCCTTTTGTCCATAGTCTTATGAGGAGGAAGAGCCAAATTGTTCATCAGTAGCTTCTATTCTTTAAATATTAAGATTAAATACACAGACATTGACATGGTAAACACATTTAAGATCCTAAGGCATCCTATGAGTGTCAATGAGATGGCGCAACATGTACCAGCACCAGCATTTTCATCTTCTTTGGATATGCTGTTTTGCTCTTGAATTACCTACGCAATTCTGTGAGGCATACACCCAAACATGGCTAGAAGGTATGCTCTGTGGCAGAAACATACACAACACATTTGTTTCTGGCGGCAATACAAAAAATATGACCTATTTTGGAACATAATAACGATGACCTTTACGTAGAGATATTCATTTTCAATGTTGGTGAATCCATTAAAATTAATCTCCAAGCACAGAATCAAAAGAAAAAAAAAACCTAGTAATGAGCCTGATTCTTCTCCCTCTTTCTCTCTCTCTCTCTCTCTCTCTCTCAGTAGAGAGGGAAAAACATCAAACATTATCCAAGAAGCTCAGGCAACTGTGCAAATTCACTTTTCTGCTAGAGCAGAGGAGAGCCTGATACAACTTAGCCTCTTCGCCAGGCAGCCTGTTTGGAGTCTTTGCTGGATAATCAGCCATTCAGAAGTGTACATTTGGAGTCTTCCAAACTCACAATTTCTATCAGGTTGGTGCAAAAGTAATTGCAGTTTTTGCCATTAAAAGTTAACTTTGTAAATGAAGTATGGAAGAAGGAGAATCAATACTTGAGCACCTCTAGGTGTTAGGTGCTGGTTTCGTTTAAAATAAAACACATCCTAAGCAGTTTTATAATCATAAGTGTGAAAAATAGATCAAATAAACTCAGGGAGGCCTACAAACTTGTTGTTTGGCAAACTCTTGGAGCTCATATCAGTTCACATATTCACTAGTCCTAATTTTCATATCTGGCTTGATAAGCAATTTAAAAAATATTTTTATATTTTAGAGTTATGAGGGGAGGATAAGATATTCTTTTATAACATCAGCAAAAATTTTCACTTTTTTCTCAATAACTTCTTCATAATTTATGACTTCTATCTTAACTGTTTCCAAAAAGGGCTGAAGAAGTCATTTTTTTCCCTCTTCATGACACACATGTTGCTTTCTTATAAAAGTCATCTGGATACATTCAAAGTTAAGGGTGACACAGTTCATGGGAGAACAGTATTCAATAATCTTATTAATATTTCAATAGCAACCAAAGGGAACACAGTGGGAGCTGGCACTGAGCTCTCGAGGCCTTCTTTAATGACCGGGATGAATGAGGCGAGCATGGCCTCCTCTGCATGACTTGGGCAAACTTTCATATCCCCATTGATAGCTGGAGAAGTGGTCCCAAGCAACTTGTCTGTATCACAGAGCCATGAGTGGTGGGCCTAGATCAAGACCCTAGACACATGGATCAAACCACTAGGAAACATTGCCTCATAAATATCTTTGTTCAGAGAGAAGCCAGTAAAAAAAAGAACATTTTGAGAGGGAAAATAGCAAAAAGAAATAACAGATGTAAAAGAAGTATACCTATCTAGGTGCAGAAATTCTGAAAGTGACCTTGAGTTAATCACACAATGTTACAAGTATTCCAAAATATTATACACAACTAACAGCAAGGAAAGTGCTGGACTGAAGTGAGACCATAACAGAACTTCATCCATTCACTCAATGATAAAGAAAAACAAAAATAAAAAATATTTTGAGTGGTCATAACACGCCAGGAACTGCGCTAATTATTTTGGGAACAAAGACTAGTAAACCGCAGTCTTTGCTCTCAGGTAGAAGTCTTATTAGCAGGGGTATATATTAATAGAAACAAAGCCATCCTGCTTTAGTAAGTGCTAAAATAAAGCGCATTGGCAGAGGAGCTAGGGAGGGCACCTCAAGAGGTGATATGTGAACTAGGTCTTGTATGAAAGAAAGGAATGTTCCAGATATAGATATGAAGAGGGACTGGAGACAGAAAAGATTCCAAGTTGGAAGTATGTCTATTACGTGTGTGGCTATTTGGTAGTGAAATATTAATATCTCAATAGCGACCAAAGGGAACGGTAAGAGCTAGCACTGAGCTCTTTGAGGCCTTCTTTAATGACCTATAATGTCATGCTCAAGATTTGAGGCTATGTTACCTCATTGCAGAGTTTTATTAGCAGAAGGGTAGTGACATGATGGGGTTTGTGTTTTAGCAAGCATTCCTGCGCTAGTGTGGAAAATGGACTACGGATGGGGAGAGGCACATCAGGAGATAATGGCATCAACCTCAGGAGCAGCTTTTGAGGCCTCAGTTTAGGCAGGTGACAGTTCTGAAAGCCTATTCAAGCATACTAGTTTGCATTACAATTTGCCAACCGAATAGAGGTCTACATGACTGTATGGCAGAAAGATAAAGTTGCCAAAGCAACAGATTTAAGCTGCAATGCTTGGGAGTTTTCCAATTATATGCACAGTTTAGGTGCACAGAGGAGAACCATGCATTCCTTCCTTCCTTTCTATTGTATTCTCTGAAACTGATCCTTCATAGGTAAAATGATGGTAACCACAGCACCTCTCTCATGGTGTGGTTATGAGAAAAGAACAGGATAATTCCTGTGACATGCTTAGCCAGGGGATGGCAAACCTTAGTCACTCAAGAAATGCTAGCTCTGATTATGTTATCTGCACATTTATCTCACTTGGTTTGTGTGTGTGTTGGGTAGGAGGGTATCTATGTGTCTGTGTGAATGTGTTTGCGTGGTGGGTGTGCATGTGTGTTCACGTGTCTGTGAGTGTGTTTGATGGGTATATGTGTGTGTGTGCACTGTGTGTGTGCTAGACCTCCACAATGCCCCTTTCTAAGCTCTGCTGCATTTTTTGTTTTCAAAAATTCCCTAGAGCACCCTTTATTGGCCTGTTTCAGAGAGCGAAAAGAGCATGAGATCTTTACTGTAAGACCAAGTTTATTTACTTATTGACATGTGAAAATTATACTTCAGTGCTCATAAATGAAGTTTTATTAGAACGGAGCCATACACACTCATTTACATATGGCTACTTTAGAGCTTCAATAACATAGTTGAGTAGTTGTGATAGAGACCATATGGCCTGGATAACCTAAAATATTTACTATTTGGCCCTTTTGAGGAAAAGTTTGCCAATTCCTGATATAAGCAATCAGGAATGGTGACCCACATTTGTAAATTGATGCAAAACTGGTCAAAATCCACCTTGCCATAAAATGTAATGTTGAAACCATACCTTCCACAGAAGGAAAATCAATGGCATCTCCATCAGAAAAAATTCACGCAAGACTAAAGTTTTAAAAAATAAAATAAAGAACTAGAAAAAGTTAAGAATACCATATGTATTAGTCCGTTTTCATGCTGCTGATAAAGACATACCCAAGACTGGGAAGAAAAAGGGGTTTAATTGGACTCACAGTTCCACATGGCTGGGGAGGCCTCAGAATCATGGTGGGAGGCAAAAGGCACTCTTACATGGTGGCAGCAAGAGAAAATGAGGCAGATGCAAAAGCAGAAACCCCTGATAAAACCATCTGATCTCATGAGACTTATTCATTACCGTGAGAACAGCATGGGGGAAACCGCTCCCATGATTCAAATTATCTCCCACCAGGTCCCTCCCACAACATGAGGGAATTATGGGAGTACAATTCAAGATGAGATCTGAGTGGGGTCACAGAGCCAAACCATATCACCATACCCTTGGGGTGCTGAAGAACCATTTTGTCTTTCACTTGGATCCTCTTTTGTTCTCCACAGTCCTGATAACAAAAGTTTGATGCACATTCTTGCCATCATCCTTGAAAATGACTGCTATAGGCATACTTTCTATATTTAAGAAAAATAATCTCAATCAACCACCCACAAAGAAAAAGAATGTAACACTCAAAGGACCCTGTGAAAGAAAATAAAACTTTAAGTCCTTTATGGGGAAGTTTCATGATAATGCTAAACTTCCTGGGACTTTTGAAAGGTATTTCTAGAAGCAATACTGAAATTACTCTGTTATTCAATTCATTTATCACAATATCTCTCCCTCCTGTTTGAAATGTAGGGGAGTGAACTCCCCTGAGCATCTTATTCCATTAAAAGGATTCCCTAGGTAGATGGAGTGTGCCATTACACAACCCCACTCCAAAGTGGCATTTCTGCATACTTACGGTATACCACTTTCTGTCTCTTGCTCAGTTTTCAAGAAGGCTGCATTGACTCATGGAGAGAGATGGAATGGTGTCAGAGATCCAGGTTCATAAGCAGCTTTGCCACTTACTAGGTGTTTGATCCTGGACAATGACTTTATCCTTATTCACATTATAAAAGGTAGAAATACTACCTAGCTTTGAAGCTACTTTGATTCAAAAATGAATATGTAAAACATTTATCACATGATCTGGCATTGCAGAGGCTTAGTAATTGTAGTTATTATCAACCCACCACTATCCTGTCAACAAATCACGTTAGAAAGTATTGTCTATTCAGTTCATGTAGCTTATAGATTACACAAGTGGTGAGAGGAAGTTTGTGAACAATTCTTTATTGTAAATGCAACTCACAAGATGCCATCCAACAACTTTGATTCACTGGGATTTAAAATTTCATATCAAACAAGAAGTGAAAAATATTCCTTATCAAGGCATCACAGAAGTAGGGCATACAATAGTAACCTCAGATGTACCACTTGAATACTGCAGGGTGTTATGCAGAAATGAGAAATAGAGCCACACACAGGAATGTATTCAGCAGAAGACTTAATAGAAGAATTGGAAACAATAGCCATCTTAAAAGTTCAAACAACATAAAAATAAGCAACAGGATTCAGTGCCACCAACACACAACTAAGGCAGCACCAGGGGGAAGCACTCTAGCCCATGCAGTTGGACATTTACAAAGAAGCCCAAAGCCTTTGATGAGAGTGCTGACATTTCTTTAGTGAAAGGCACTTGGCTTTGGAAATGATTCTCCCAGGCGGAAAGGACAATCTGTGTTTGATTGGAAACAGCATGCAGAAAGGCCAGTGTTTCACCACAAGCCTGTCTCTCTGTGTCGGTTTATGCTAGGATCTAACAGCTGCTGAAGTTCAGGGACGCCTTCTGAGCAGTACCTGGGGTGGTATTCAGTACAGTCAGCATGCCTCCTACAAATCACTGCTGAACAAAACTAGAGATCACAGACCAAAAAGAAACCCCCAAAAACAAAAGCACACAGAGACCAAAGAATAAACACAACCATCAGTCTAGTTCAAGGTAGACTACAGGAGAGAGAAAAAGAGAAATTTTAACGAAGCCCCTTAGTTCAGGGCAAGGCATCAGGCTTCCCCTTTACCTGCCCAGCGGCTGTAGGAGGCTGAGGGCCCTGGGTGTTCTGAATGCTTGCTCCGAACAAACAAGAAAGGTCTAATCTTCCTGTGGAGCCAGCATGTTCAACAAGCGACCAAAGCAAACTCAGGTGAAGACATTCTTCCGGCTACCTCTCCGCCCCATCATCTCCAAATCAAACGCTTCTTTCTTGTGCGTGCTTCTCCAGAGAGCAGTGCAGCCAGCAGACAGAGACCAGGATTTCTTACACAGCCACTGCTGGATACTGGGCGAAGTCAGCCTCACAGAGAATCTATGTTATCCTGTGCTGACTGTGTCAATGTGCTTTTCTTAGTCTGTATCACTTAAATAACCTCTACTGACATCAAGATGTCTAATTTGTAGTCAATCAGCCACTTCCCTGGTTGTAGATGAAATCGGTCTACATATTCCCACTTGCTACAGGTTGGCGTCACATAGAAATAAGCATCCTCCTCTCATCTATGGGTCGGGGACAGGGCAAAAAGTTCTCATCATTCAATCCCTTATTGCCAAAAGCCTCAAACACCATTCTTTGCTCTCAGCTTCTGCCCTTTGAGCACGAAGATGAGATCTACCCCAAGTCTCCTCTGTTGACTTCCAAGCAGTCACTTGAAAGAAGCCTTATCTTAATTAAGTCAAAACCCCTAGTTGTCCTTGACCAGGCTATGCCAAAAGCACACTGTTAGGCTAGCTTGTCCTTTAGTGTAACCTGCCTTGAAAGAGGAAGCTGTTTAGAGGTCCAGAGAATACCCTTCCTTGTCTCTAAGATTGACTTAAGATTGTTTTAGAATTGATCGGAACGAGAACACAAAGCTGTAGAATCATACTATGCTCCATTTGGAGAAAGTTGGAAAGCTTTCAGAAGTGTTGATTTGAAGAAGAAAACATCTTTGGGTGCAAATATTTAAATATAACACTTTTTTTCTAAGTGATTTATAGTTCTTAGCCTTTCATTGAATTATTATTTCCATTTTATAAATGAAGAACTTGAGGCCTACTTTCTTCTATATTGGCACTACTGGGTTGGGAATGTGCCCGTTGGCACTGTGGGAAGACTGGCAGCTGCCACTTCAATCTGGTGGTAGGCTCTGGAAGACTCAGCCTTCGGGCCTCCAGTTCCACTCTTGGTTGGCTAAAGAATTATCCAACGAATCTTCCTCTTTCTCTGTCCTGAACCTTCCCTTCTAACAGTATAGGTTTTCAGAAATCTGATACTCAGTCCAAAAGAGCATCCTTTTGGAGGAGAATCAAGGCGTTAGACACCACGATTTGAGCCACTGGAATGACAGCCAATTGACAATTTCTAGAGATTTTGTGAGCTGCTTGACATCAGATTGGTAGTTGAAAATTGGCTACTTTGAAAATATTTACACCACAGGTATCAGCAAATGCTACAAATTGGATCTTCCTTCTTATCCCAGGATCCAGCTGTTCAACAGTTAATAGCACACCACTGAACAGAAATACAGCAAATGAGATAAGAAAGGCCAAAAATGGAGAGTCTCCATCCCTAGATGCTCGGAACCACATCTATCTGAGGAAAAACCAGAAAATTCCTTTACAAGCCAATAAACAAAAAAAAGCAGATGTGACCAGATTGGTCCATTTTTAATTCTCGGCATCATGGTGCATTTTAGGCTTATTTTTAAAATTTTTACAAAAGTAGTAAATGAATATATTCTCATTGCAAAAATCATTGAAATAATATAGAAGTATATGGAGTAAAAAAAAAAATCCCTTTCCATCACCTTCCCATTTACACTGCACTTCCCAGAGAGTTCCTCGTCAGTTGTGTGTACCCTTCCAGTTTTTATTCTATGCACCCTACAAGCACATGCACACACACATCCACATATTTATATGCACTCCTCTGCATTTTGTACTCTTATAAAATCTAGTCTGGTGAAGGTATTCAAAGACGCTGTTCCAACCTACAATCACCAAACCTCTTCCCATTAACTGAAGCTCATTCTCATTTGAGCAGAGATGATTTCTGCTCACTGCACATTTACTCTATTACCATTAATGCTTAAGGACACGCTTGAAAAATTCTGAAATATGTGATAAACTGGTATATTTTTGGTTCCACGATAAAATGCCCACTTCAATGCTGTCTATAGACCTCCCCATCATTCCAAACATAAATTAGCAACAAATCACTTGAAGAAAATATAATGACAGAGATAATAGGCTTCATATGTAAAAATCAATTATTATGAAACATTTGGGGGCTACTTTATATAAATGCCTCATAAAATTGGTTTTATTTATTGATATTTCAGGAAAACAACTATGTATTTGAGATGCCAATTATATTGTTGAAAAATATTATTAATTGCCTGGTGTAAAATAGGATCATCATCTCACATGATATAAATCATGGAAAGTATTTTAAAAACTGTAAAGTGCTACACAAATAGTAGCTACTGATGGCCTGCATAAAACAGATAGTTGTTCTTTCTTTTTTTGCATATATTATTAAATGGGCTGTATATCGAGCGTGCATTCCTTATGCTTTGCCATGTTTCACACGATTTTCTCCATGTAAATGTTTATTCCTAACTCAGCGAGCAATTGTTGTGCATTATGCATAAGCCTTCAACTTTCAATATTCAGATAACTTAGAATTTCTATATATAATTTAAATTCCCTTCAGACAAATGACTCTCAATACATTTCAGTTAAATACTGCTAATTCTCAGGTTATTCAGGATAGGAAGAGTGGGCTTGGCAAGAACAATTCAAAATAGCTGATAATGCCCATGCATTTTTCAGGATGTGCCACATCTGTCCCGTGTGGATCTGAATAATCAAGCATTATGTTAAGACTGATTATTTCCCCTGTGGCCATGTGAAGTCCCCTGGCAGACACACATCTTCCATTTCCTCCTCGGTGTTCTGTGTTTGGCTTAGCACAATCCACTAAACACTATTAAATGAATAACTGTGAAGGTAATAAAAACAATAACCAAACCATTAAATGTACTGAAGTCCATTCAAACATGTAGGGTCACTTGACATTTCTTTTATTCAAAGGCTATTTCCTAAATGTCCCAGTGACCATTGAGCATTTGTTTCACATCCTCATGCTGCTAGTGGCATCTACATTTAATGTCAAAATAGCCACCTACTCTTCAAATAGAGCGACCGCTGTAGCTCCAAATCTTATAGCCTTAGGAAATGGATGCAAGCATTGATTTGATAGACTGAAGTTTGTGCTTTTCCCCCTGTTAAATAAGCTCACCCTTTGGTAGCAGGCACTTAAGGGATTCCCCAAATATTTGCACACATTTCTGTCAGATAGCATCACCGTCACCACATGATTTAAACAAGCATGTATTCATCACACTTAAACCAGATGTCATCTGAGTAGATGAGAAATGAATCATTTGCTCCTGAGAGCTTGTTTATTTCTGGCAACACTTTCCAGCAGGGATTGTATAAATGAACAAAACAATTTTCTCATATCTCGATATGAGGATGAAAGTCCAAATACTACAGGAATAAGCTTTCCTCCAAGGTGGTGTTCCTTCAAAACAGACTGTCTTTTCCCTACAAAAAAGGGACGTGTGACTTCCAGTCTTGGGGATGGAATCTCTCTTTGTGGCCACCTCCAACATAAAGAATCATTTCCATTGATTAAAGAGTAGCTTCCACCAACCAAAATGTGCCAGGAATGGTGGGCTCAGCATTTTGTTAACTTATCTCATTTAATCCTCCCGACAACTTTGGAACAGGTATCTCCTCTCCATTTTACAGCTGAGGACACAAAGCTATAGAGAGAAGCTGAGTAAATTGCTCACGGATTTCCAAGGATTAAGTATGAGACAAATCAGTGGTTCACGCCAGGGCTTTTGACTTCAAAGCCTGTGCTACACTGCTTGAAGTCTCAGATTCTGGGCTGATAACCTTTTGGAGCCTCCTGTTCCTTATTTGTCGGATTAGGGAGTTGGGCAATAGAATAACTAAGAGTCTCTCCAGTTTTAGAATTCTAAAAAAAATGTGAGCACTTCCCACCATATAAAACAGTTTATATCACATTTTTGGTCAGTTTGCACACATTCGTAACCTACATCTTATAAATATGCAGGAGGTTAGCCTGTCAATAAATAAAATACATCCTGGTGGTTTTCCAGTTTGATTACAATTCTTAGACAAGAAAACAGATGGCAACAGCCTTTGTAGCGCAAAACCTTGGGAATCAAAAAAATTTGTAAATTTCATTTTCTGAGTAAGTTAGGCCAAATGATCAGGGGAACACTATGTGGTTCTAAGTGCCATGGAGAATTATCACTAGGGTTACTTTACAGTTCCTGAGGCAACTGAATGGCTTAAAATAATGACTCTTCTAATAATGAGGATAGAACAAGAAAAGAGAGATGGTGAACAAATGATTGGTGAGGACTGCCATTCTGCAATATTAAGGTCTTCTTGATAAATCCTATAGATTCAGGCTAGCTCCCAGGTCAGAAGGTCATGATTCAGTGGCCAGAGGAACTGCGGTGTCAACTTTAAATGATATCTCTCCCTGCTACGGACCTGGGAAGAGGTGGCATTTAAAGAAAAATATAAAATATCACTGATGCCCTATATGCTTATATCATCACCTGCTTCTTTCCTTTGAGGGTGAGGATGTAAAGATCAGAGGACCTAATCCATATAGAGTTGGCTGGCAAATGAAAGACCTTCCAAGAGCCACACTAGCGATAAGGAAAATGTGTGTCCCTTTCAGAAGCTGTTGCAATCTAATTTATTTCCTCCCCATGATGTGCCATAGATTTTAGAGTGCTCTTCTTTTTTCATATTCAACTAAGAATGTCCTCCTCCTCAATTTTGAAGATATCTCCCTATGGGATAAATTGCTGTTGATCAGAAAAAGTTTTCTAAAAGTTAATATAATGTTACAGAGTACATATGAACAGAGGCTGTGAAGGTAGCATTTATGTCAGGGTGGTAAGATTATAGGAGAATTTATTTCATGTTTTATATTTCCATTGATATGGCAATAATATTGTTTTAATCATATATGCAGATGTTGAGGTGGGAAAAGCTAACATGATTAATGTAAGTTGATTGGTAACAACATAACTCCCACACGTGGCTCGCCACAAGCAAAAAGTAAGTCCCTATTCTGTGTGCTCTCTGGGATCACCCATGGGAAGGATCTGAATTTCTGACAGTCTTAAATGTGACAGCAGCCTTTTAGCATGTAGACGAGTGCAGTAATTTGGCAGCAAACTCAAGACTCATGCTCACCAGACTGGTAGATCAGAAATAAATCACAGATGTCACACATGTTCTCTTAGAAGGGAGAGAATTGATAAGGTGCCAAATCCCATCACACCCACGCCGTTCTTGTTCCAATTGATAGAACCTCTCACCCTTGAAATTCTGACAAGTACTATTAGGGAAAGAGACTCTAACTCATATCTCTTCCTGACTCTTTATCCATCTTTCCAAAGAGTGTCTATCTGAGCTCAGTCTCAGGCTCATTTAATTATGACATCTGAATCAATACTTCATGCTAGCCCCAGACTGCACTGGCCTGCTTGGCAGTTTCCAATATCCAAGACAGCCCTTCTAAAAATGTTCACCTTCTTATTTGAAAATAAGGTACCTGCCTTGCCATTGGGTTTCTTTATTTATTTTTAATTTTGAAATCAGTCATTACTTATAGGCCTTGCAAGATTTAACATATGTTTCCAAAAGCAAATATGGCATTTTCTGAACTCAGATTCGCTTTCTGCCTCTGAAATGCTAAGCCAGAGACCACAGAAATGGAAATGAAACTAACACCAATTTAAATAAATTACAAGCTGACAACAATCTGCCTCAGTGATGTTTTAAATGAAATGTATTAACTGCAAAAATATCAGAATGCCTTGGGCTATCTTAAGAGACTCCATTTTGACACTGGGGTAGGTTTTTAGATATCTACATATAAAGGAACATAACATGAGGGAGGTTTAGAAATAAAAAAGGTTGCTCAATAATGGTTTGTTCTTAGTCTGTTCTGTCTGCTATAAAAAATACCATAAACTATGTAGCTCATGAACAGTAGATTTATTTCTCATAGCTCTGGAGGCTGGGAAGTCCAAAATCAAGGCAGATTCAGTATCTGGTGAGCTCTCACTTACTGTTTCGTAAACAGTCATCGTTTTCACTATGTCTTTACATGGCAGAAGGGGCAAGGAGGTCTCCTTTATAAGAGAATTAATCCCATTAATAAGGGCTCTATCTTCATGACCTAAACACCTTCCAAAGACCCCATCTCCCAATACCATCACTTTGGGTATTAGGATTTCAATATATGAATTTCAACTTATGAATAAGATCAATTTATCTACTCATATTTATTGCACCAATCAGGTTCCAAATCTAGCATATTATGCTGAGGTCAGAATGTCTGTACATTCTGTATTCAAAGAACAGCTGTGGTTATGCTCTTAGAGCATAGGTACTGGCCTAGAATCAGAACACTTAAGAGTTGTCCTTGATCATCAAATCTGCAAGCTTAATGCAAATCACCTGGAGTCTCAATTTCCTTGTCCATCAAATATTCAGAGGGAGAGAGATCCTAGGATGTTGAACCTTTAAGTTGGAAAAGTCTGTGATTATAAGAACATCTCAACGGTGCATGCTTAGCCCTTAAAATGTTCATCAAGGAATTTTGGTCCTTTCTATATGTCTAGGCCTCTAGGTGGCTCCAAGCTACAGGCTTATATGTGTATATAAGGTAAAGTCCTATACATGTCTCTAAGGTATAGGCCCCTAGAAGTCTATGTACATGGTTATAGATCTATATATATCTATCAAAGATCAGCTTCTAAGGGCCTAAAAGCTGCAAGCCAATATGTGTCCATAAAGTGTAGGCCTAGGTATGTCTACAATGTTTAGACCTAGGTGTGGCTATAAGGTATGAGGTAATGCTTGTCTGTAAGGTTTAGGTTCATATAAGTCTCAAATGTCTTGATAATGTCCCAAAGGGAGTCGAGGAATTAGTTAAATTACCTTGATAAGATTTTATCTAGTTTTTGGACTAAAGATAAACTCTACAATTATACTATGAGGAATAAAAAAGACAGGAACAAACAATCATGCACATACATATACATATATAAAATTATTTCTTGGAAATATAAGGAAGAAGTCTGTACAAAATACAGATTTAATAATAAGTAAGTTCTTTTCATTGTTGGGAATTGAAAAGGAAAACATATAAAATCTTTTTAATGAAGCTTTGTAAGCTGTTAAATCAAAATCAATGGTTTGGTGACTGTTTTTAATGCTCCTAACAAAAAGAAAAAAAAACTCTTTATATCTTTCCCCTGTTAGCACTTAGTCTTACTGCCACTGGCAGGACTTAAATTCTTTAAGCTTAGCCTTGTCCTAAAGGAGAAATAGCCATTATGATTTGTTGCCTTTGGGAATGATGTGTGATTGATGAGGGCTCAAATGTTCCAATGAGGGAAGTATGAGGCCAAATACAGTTTGACAGATGTCCCAAACAATAATATTAATAGTTTACATTTATTATTGTCACTATCTTTTCAAATGCTTTGATTAGATTCCCAGTGTACGTTATGTACAAAATATTGTTTCTTGTTCATATTACTATGGTCATCTCAATGAGGCAATCAAAACCCACATGAAAAATTCTTCACAAAACACACAAAATATCCCAAAAGTGTTTTTGTGGATTGCTGCTTTTTATAGCTTCTATTAACTAGGTCCTGACAGTGCAGGGCGTGTCACTAAACATTTATGAATGACCACAGAATAGAACTTCATCTCATTTACTATATGTGCACATAATAATCTTTTATGAATCCTAATATCTTTCAAAACACATCTTGAAAAACCTACAATTTTTTTGGCTTATAGAAATTGCTGAGAAAAGATGAGAGAAGAACTCTATTTTTCTGCTTTTAAACTAATTTCCCATCATTTGCAGATCACTCAGCTTTCAAATTTTCACATAAGGAAAGAACTACAATTATCCAGCTCTGGCCTCTTAAACCCATGGTTTAGACTTTGCTTTATCCTGACTCCAGATACCTTCTAGGACTGTAAAACATATCGGTAGATCCTCTTTTCATCACCTGACTGCTTAGAAATAGTTTGTATACCACTTCTCAAAAGAACACATTTATGTGGCCAACAAACATATGAAAAAAAGCTTATCATCACTGGTCATTACAGAAATAAACCAAAACCACAATGAGATACCATCTCATGCCAGTTAGAATGTGATCATTAAAAAGTCAGGAAACAACAGATGCTGAAGAGGATGTGGAGAAATAGGAACACTTTTATACTGTTGGTGGGAGTGTAAATTAGTTCCATCATTGTGGAAAACAGTGTGGTGATTCCTCAAGGATCTAGAACCATAAATACCATTTGACCCATTACTGGGTATATACCCAAAGGATTATAAATCATTCTACTGTAAAGACACATGCACATGTATATTTATTGCAGCACTGTTCACAATAGCAAAGACTTGGAACCAACCCAAATATCCATCAATGAGAGACTGGATAAGGAAAATATGGCACGTATACACCATGGAATACCATGCAGCCATAAAACAAGATGAGTTCATGTGTTTACAGGGACATGGATGAAGCTGGAAACCATCATTCTCAGCAAACTAATACAAGAACAGAAAACCAAACACCACATGTTCTCACTCATAAGTGGGAGTTGAAAAATGAGAACACATGGACACAGAGAGGGGAACATCACACACCAGGGCCTGTTGGGGGCTGGGGGGCTGAGGGGGATAGCATTAGGAGAAATACCTAATGTAGATGACCAGTTGATGGGTGCAGCAAACCACCATAGCATGTGTATATCTATGTAACAAACCTGCATGTTCTGCACATGTATCCCAGAACTTAAAGTATAATTAAAAAATTAAATTAAAAAAAAAAGAAATAGTTTGTCTACTCAGAGCTCCATATGGAGGGACGTTTTGGGTCAGACATGTCAGCAGTGGAAGTCATTTAAGACAAATTGCCCCTGGGTTGAGACCGTTTTCTGATGCCAAAGACTATGAAGAAAATGTAACCTGAGTTCTCTGAATGAACTTTTCACCACTGGCACGTGTGGATGCAAGGGAGCACAGAGCAGAGGGAAGAGGCGGTGCAGTTCAGCGTGAGTCCTTACTTAAGAGCATCATTCTAGTTATTGTCCAAATCCAGATATCTAGTTTTTTCCAAAAAAAAGTTCACCAACCAGATTGCTAAAAAAAAGTTCACCGACCAGGTCAACCTGTATAAACTGGGATTGTTTGAGGCAAACTGGGATGTACGGTCACACTGTCATCCCTGGCTGGGCAACCTTTTATGCATTATGCCCTGTCTCTGGGCCTCAGTTGTCTTACATGAAAAAGGAGATTAACTGTACCTGCCTGACCTATCTCAGAGGATTATGGGAAACTTAATGCAGTAATGTTTATCAAAGCACTTTGGTAACCTAGAAAAACTATATAATAAAAAGATAAGCATCATTACTATTGATGCTAACATGTGATTAGACAAGTCATAAGAGCCTGAAAAATCCAAAAGAATGGAAAAAAGGGATTTGCACTACACCATTAGGCTTTCTGGGATATGTTTATTTATGTCTCTTGTATTATTTATTAAGGATTTTATTTAAATATCCTTTATATAGTTGTTGTACAGAAAAAATCTGCCACTTCTCACTTTATTTTATTCTCATAGGATGGCCAAACCATGGATAATCCTCAATAGTAGATAACTGAAAAAGAAATTTACATTCTAAATGCATTATGGTGTATATAGGTAATTATTTTCCAGACTGAATATTCTACGGATTCACTTCCAAACATAACCTTTTAGAGGTTTAAGTTGACTGGATAATCATCAGTTCACGTGGAAAAGATCTGGCTTTTGTTGATTGCAAGTTTCATTCATGCTAATGGTGAACCTGGGCTGCCAAAAAACATCCAGGCTTCAGGTTCTTTGGTGGAAGTCCAGGCAGGGAAGGCCAGGCACAGTGGCTCACACCTGTAATCCCAGCACTTTGGGAGGCTGAGGTGGGCAGATCACCTGAAGCCGGGAGTTTGAGACCAGCCTGGCCAACACAGCAAAACCCCGTATCTACTAAAAATACAAAAATTAGCCGGTCATGGTGGCGCATGCCTGTAATGCCAGCTACTCAGGAGGCTGAGGTAGGAGAATTGCTTGAACCCAGGAGGCAGAGATTACAGTGAGCCAAGATCGCACCACCGCACTCCAGCCTGGGCAACAAGAGCGAGACTCTGTCTCAAAAAAAAAAAAAAAAGAAAAATGCAGGGGAAGAAGGTCCTCTGTATTCAACACTGGTCAGTCCACACCCGGAATAAATGGTCCAGGACATCCGGAGGCATTCCAGACAAGAGTGATGAAGGCAGCAAAGGTCTGGGAACTATGTCATGTCTGCAGAGGTGGAAATAACTGGGGATATGTCAACTAAAAAAGGAGACAGCACACCTGAAGTGCTGTCATGTGGAAAAGAGATTTAGAGTTCCAAAAGGTGAGATAAGAACTAACAGATTAAAGTTACAGGGACAAAGGTTTGCATCAACGTGTCCAATTTCTTTCTAACATTTGGACTTGTTCACAAATGGAATACGATACCTCCAAAGGGAGTGAGCTCCTTGTCAGTTACATGGTTCAAGCAGCAGCTGGAATCTTCCATAGCAGAGAGAGGGCCATGAACTAGATCAGAGCTTTCCAGATTGTGTTCTGCAGCATCTGAGAAGGAACCACGAATGCCTTGGGGGTCACATAGATTAGGACAGTCAGACACTGCTCAGTAGTATGAGGGCTCCAAGCCCCCACTCCTGACTAACCAGAGCAGTTCCACTTCTGTTTGTTGTTGAGGTTTTGGTTGCTGTTTTGTTTCTGCTTGTTTGTCTAATGTATTGTCTTATGTCTGCATAGTATTTATTTTGGAAAAAAATAGTACGGGAGAGGTTCTTCTGAAAGATCTGTTTTAAAATCACTGACATCAAAGCTTCTTTACAGGCTGGGCATGGTGGCTCATGCCTGTAATCCCAGCAGTTTGGGAGGACGAGGCAGGTAGATCACCTGAGGTCAGGAGTTCAAGACCAGCCTGGCCAACATGGCGAAACCCTGTCTCTACTAAAAATACAAAAAAAGTAGCTGGGCATGATGGGGGGCACCTGTAATCCCAGCTACTTGGGGAGGCTGGGGCAGGAGAATCACTTCAGCCCGGGAGGCGGAGGCTGCAGTGAGCCGAGATCACGCCACTGCACTCCAGGCTGGGCGACAGAATGAGACTGTCTAAAACAAAACAAAAACCAAAAAAAGCCTCAAACTTCTTTACAAGTCCAAAGTTCTGTAAGTTTATAATTTATAAAAGTAAGTCAAGGGAGTGGCCCGCTGTGCACATCCTCATCTTCCTTCAGAGTTTCCTGCAGCCCAGCTCTCAGATTAGTAGCCTCTCAAACACAAACTCCAAAAAAGAATGCAACTGGAATGTCTGATCTTCAAATGTTACCTTCTACATGTGAAAAATAGAAGTCAAGGGGTGTAAGATACCTAAATATTTGATTAAGAAAATTAGCCAATAACAACAAAGTAAGTTTTGCTGAGGATAAAATGTAATTCAGATAATCAACATGCTGTTGTGTTTGTTTTTTAATCTACTTCTAGAAATCTACTTTTCGGAGTAGTCTAAAAATATGAAGACTAAATTAAATAACTGAAATGAAATTTACCTATAAGTCTTCACTTTTGCTGGGTAAAATTTTGAAATTTCTTTAACATTTACTTTTAGGGAGATTGATCAGCTGAGCATCCTTCTTTATTTGACTGATCTCTATCTCCTGATGCTCCATCCTGAGAATATTTCATTTATAGACAATGTTACATGGTCTTAGTGATTCTTAGCAAATTTTTTTAAATTATTATTATACTTTAAGTTCTGGGATACATGTTCAGAACATGCAGGTTTGTTACCTAGGTATACACGTGCCATGGTGGTTTGCTACACCCATCAACCCATCATCTACATTAGGTATTTCTCCTAATGCTATCCCCCTCAGCCCCCCAGCCCCCTACAGGCCCTGGTGTGTGATGATCCCCTCCCTGTGTCCATGTGTTCTTATTGTTCAACTCCCACTTATGAGTGAGAACATGCGGTGTTTGGTTTTCTATTCCTGTGTTAGTTTTCTGAGAATGATGGTTTCCAGCTTCATCCATGTCCCTGCAAAGGACATGAACTCATCCTTTTTTATGGCTGCGTAGTATTCCATGGTGTATATGTGCCACATTTTCTTTATCCAGTCTATCATTGATGGATATTTGGGTTGGTTCCAAGTCTTTGCTATTGCGAACAGTGCTGCAATAAATATACATGTGCATGTGTCTTTATAGCAGAATAATTTATAATCCCTTGGGTATATACCCAGTAACGGGATTGCTGGGTCAAATGGTATTTCTGGTTGTAGATCCTTGATGAATCACCACACTTAGCAAATGTTTTAAAACAACCAGGTTCTGAGACTCTGGGACTCAAATTGAAAAGTGGAAATGGAATATGAATCAACCCGTAGGGCTATTGAATATATTTAGAAAAGTGAGGGTAATAATTGGAACATAAAATTTACCTCCATTTCAGTAGAGTGTCTATAATATTAATTTAAAAAAATAATAAGTATTGGATATGGAGAAATCGGGGCCCTCGTACATTGTTGGTGGGGATGTAAAATGGTACAGCTGCCATGGAAAATAGTTCACCAGCTCCTCAAAAAGTTAAACATGGAATTACCATATGATCCAGAAATTCCACTCTTAGATCTATACCCCAAAGCACTGAAAACAGAGACTCAAACAAATTGATCACACATGTATGATCATATTAGCATTATTCACATAGCCAAAATAAGGAAACAACCCAAGTGTCTGTTAGTGGATGAACTGATCAACACATTGTGGTCTATCACAGTGGAATATTATTCACCCATAAAAGGAATGAAGTAATGATACATACTCTAACCTGGATAAGCCTTGAAAACATTATGCTAAGTGAAAGAAGTTAAACACTATAGGTCATATATTGTTTGATTCCAGTTATATAAAATATCCAGAATAAGTAATTCCATACAGATAGAAATCAGATTAATGGTTGCCAGGGACTGGGGAGATGAAGAAATGGATAGTGACTGCTTAAGGGGTATAGGTTTCCTTTTGGGGTTATGAAAATATTTTGGAACAAGATAGAGGGGGTTGTTGTACAACATTATGAATGTACTTAATGCTACCAAATTTTTCACTTTAAAATGATTAATTTTATGTCTTATGAATTTTACCTCAATTAAAAAACATATATAGAGAAAATTAATTTTGTGAATCCCCTTTTGGGATAAAACATCAAATGTTCCTACCTCTCAAGAGCACACTAAAATGTAGAGTTAAAAAATTTTTAAAAAGTTTTACCGCCAGACACGGTGGCTCATGCCTGTAATCCCAGCACTTTGGGAAGCCGAGTTGGGTGGATCACAAGGTCAGGAGTTCGAGACCAGGCTGGCCAATATGGTGAAACCCCGTCTCTACTAAAAATACAAAAATTAGCTGGGCATGGTGGTGGGTGCCTGTAATCCCAGCTACTCTGGAGGCTAAGGCAGGAGAATCGCTTGAACCTGGGAGGCGGGGGTTGCAGTGAGCCAAGATCATGCCATTGCACTCCAGCTTGGGCAACAAGAGGGAAACTCCATCTCAAAAAAAAAAACAACAAAAAAAAAACCCCACAGTTTCCATGCTCAATGATGGCTTCTGTGGACTGGCCTTTAGATGACATCATTCAGAAAGAGTGCCATCCTCCATCGACGTCCACCCATCAGTGGTTCAGTCATTCACTCAGTCAGAAAGTTATTGAGTGCCTACCCTATAGAGCCCGTGGAGACAGGTAGACCACCCACTTTCAAGGAGCTTTCAGTCTAGATGGGAAGATCAGGCTGGACTGCTCAAGTTGTTACGTGTTCCTTCAGTACAGATCCAAAGTGTCTCATCACTTCAGAGGAGATCAGTGAGAGACAGAAAAGTATGAGAAGGCTTCATTGAGATGGCAGAGTCAGAGGCCAATCTCTAAAAACAGATGGGACCACTGGAACACTTTATGCACTCTTGTCTTACAGCATTTATCACACTGGATGATAGCTGTTAACATGTCTGTCTACCCTTATAGATTGTGAGACACTTGAGGCCAATAATCATGTCCTTGTATTCCAAGTACCTCACAAGAGAGATTTTTCTGAGTTCTTAGAGAAAAATCTATCTTGCAAGCTTTCTTTCCACATAGAATTTAGGGGGAAACTGCTGTAAGAAGATGAACCAAGACTTAGGTCAAAATATTATGTGTTTACATGAACCAGTGGGTTATCTCCCTGACTCCACAGTGGCTGTTTCTAAGGAAGTACCACTCTGAAGATGGAAGCCAAGGCAGAATGAGGAGAAAAGGGTAGGGTTTACCACGAAACCAAAGCAGCTTAAGCTTTGGGGCCCATTGCTTGCACTGAGCTCTCTCCAAGGCCCTGTTGAGAATTGCATATGCCTGATTTTGTATTCTTTTTCTTAAAGAGGGTCTCTCAAATTGTATCAGCTTGAGACCTCACAAAATGTAGAACCCGACAAAATCTAGTACCACCTTGGATGGTTCGAGATTTAGGCCCCGCAAAATCTAGAACCACCCTAGATAAAAAGAATCCAGTTGGTTTGATTCAGAGAAAATCAAGGTCTTTTGGGACTAGTAGAGTCTGCACTGCTTAAGAAGATGCATTCTGACGTCACATTGTGGGTGTGACTTTGGGTATGTTACTTTACCTCTTTAGTTCAAGGAACAATAGCACCCACTTCATGAACATGTATTCTTCTATTCAACTTTATTTACTGAGCACAAATTAGGTGCCTGACCCCGCACAGTAACTCAATAAATGACATCTCCACGACAGCTGGAGAAACTGTTGGTTGGGAAGCATCCTTTTTATTTACATTTTGAGATGATGGTGTGAAACATAAAAACTGGATTTTAGCTAGACTTGTATATTATTAAGGAGAAGAAAAAGCAGATCACAAGTCTGCATATGTTTGAGACATGGCAGTGCACAAACAGCTTTGCACAGCTTGACTTCTCAATAGGAGACCCCAAGCTGGAGCTTTAAAAGCCTCTCATATTTCTCATGGCCTTCATGTTAGGAGCATATTTCAGGTGAAATTCCAGAAGGGGGTCTTGATACACGAGGCAGTAGTTGCTCAGTAGCTAATTCATAAGAAGACAAGCTTTCCCTCCTCGGTTTCTCATTATGGCCAAGAATGTCTATTGCTGGCAGCCAGGCATTTTTCACAGATGAGGCCCAGTACCTGCAGAATTCATTGCCTCTGGTGGCTCAGCAGAACCAGAGCTTAGCAAGTTGTAAGGCCTCGTACATGGTGCTTTTGTTTCCATAACCTTTTAATTAAGTTTTTATCTAGAGCTTCTAAATGAATTTTTATATTGTAGCGAGGCAACTTCTCAGGCACTAAACAGCCTCACTGCTGTGTGGAAGCAGCACAGGAACCTGCAGACACCAATAATACCGGCCTTGAATGTACGTATTTTCAAACTATATGAGGAAGAAGTCAAGTTCAATGGCAAGAGGAATTCTGTAGCTCCGTACAATTAAGAGATGGGTTGCATTTGTGAATTGGTATGCCTACCTGTATGAATGGAAATTATTTTCTCAGTTCTGTTCAAAATATTTGTTGAATATTTCCTGTTTTCCTTTATTTTTTTTTTAAATCTGAGATTTAATCCATAACACAGACTGCAAGAGAAACATCAACTAATTCAGGCTAAAAATTCTACCAGTAGCATTGAATTCTTTATATTGGCAGCCTACATTACACAAATTAATGTGATGACATAATCAGTATTTCATTACACTTGATGTGAATACCTTCCAAGTTTCTCTTCCATTTTTCTCTTTTTACTAATACAGCAAAAAGAGTCTTTTCTACTTTATATCAAACTCAACAAACCACTCATCTAAAAAAAGGGAAAGTGAATCTTCTTCCTTCTCAAAGCCTGGGTAACCTTGGCAGCGCATAAGCCTCTATCAAAAGCAAATAAGGCTGTAAATAACAATCATTCCCCATTCATAAAAGCTGCCTTTGACAGTCCAAGAAATAACAAATTACAAGTGAATAGTCCCCAAGAGATTATAAAGCACTTTAATCATTCTGAATCTGTTTTGATGTGTGTGGTTTTTTTTTTAGAGAGGAATTAGTAACTCCTTTGAGAAACTACAGCCAAGTTTGTGATTTCTGAGTGTTTCACTTAAGCAGAGTTGGACGCAGAAAAATCCACCATCAATGATTTTTTGAAAAACAAAGACAGCCAAGATACTTGAGTGCCTCCTATTTAGGACTATGCTCTACTTCCTTCCTTTATATTTGTACTATTAAAGGGTGTTAAAGAAATATATTGCCTGTTCTTAGGAAGCTTACCTAATGGGGAGCTGCAATACATTCATTCTTTTGAGTCATTTGCTCTTTATTTATTATATCTAATGAATTCTTACAGTGTTGATATAAGAATAGAAATATAGTGTTGGTGTAGGTATTCCTGTAGCGTTGGTGACTGAAGAATGCATCTAAACTTACATGCAACGTGTTCACTGAGACATTGAAACTCTTGGAGCTGAAGCTGTCTTCACTGTAAGAGACCCTGCCCAGTTATAAAATTATCTGCGTATAGTCCTAGTACTGTTAATACAACTGGAATTGTTGCAGTCACTTCCAGGCAGGTGCTGTTCAGGATGCTAAAATAAGATTAGGTGATAAAGATGAATCAAAGATTAGTAAGATGAGCTGTTCACACTATGCGCAATCAAAGAGCACCCAATTGTGAAGACTCTTGAACTATATAACTAGATTTTTATTCTGTTTTGATATAATAACAGGGCCCCTAAATGGAATTATACTTAAGACTGAGAAGAGGCAGCTAGTGGTAATGTAGATATAATTCTATCAAGAAATTCAGCCGGAGCCATAATACAAAAGTGAGATGCTCAGTTGATTCGATTTGTACATATTTCTAATATTTCCAGAAAATGATGTTTTCTCACAATTATTTAAAAAATAATCCTGACAGTTTCTATGAATATATTTATTTACTCCATATGGCTGTATGACCTCAATTTTATTTTCTTATGCATACTTTACCACAGAAATGGAAAGTAAGCTACTTGCTATACTCCAAAACCATTTTGGAGCATTCACATGCTCTGGTTCTAATTACAGATTTAAAAGCTAGTGAGTCTTCACTGCAGCACTGCATTCTGACAGTAAAACAGGAGTTTCACCTGCTCAAAAACCACAGCTGCTTCTACCTAAGGCACTGAGGAGAAATTCAATGACTTCACAATTAGGGGGACCTCATCCTTATCCTTCAACATAGGCAACTATTTCAGTTTTAAATTTTGGGGTCACATTTTTATGTTACATTATATTCGAAGAAATATCTATATGTATACATCCTAGAGAATGCATCACATTCTCTAGAAGGGCTCAGCAGCAGATTTCAGGTGGCCAAAGAAATAATCAGCAAACTTGATGATAGGGCCATTAAAATACCTAAACTTCAGAAGGCCTTTAGTTTTCTCTTAGATTTTTCCAAAATAGCCAACTAAAACTCTGGGATCTGGAAAAATGGGGCTGAGGCATAATTAGAAGGAAGCCCAGCATTGAAAGCCATGTTCTGATGCCATTTTTTTCCCAAGAAGAAAATATAAAGGATATATTTAGTCACTATTAATCAAATCACAGCGTGGCAATCGTTACTTTTCAAGATTTAAACAGTAGTTACCACAGTAAATTAAAATTCAACTGGAAGAGTATGGCTCAATATTACTACTGGTTATTAGGTTAAACTGTATAAAATCTGCATTTTTTTACAGATCAGAAACAGTTGAATATTGGCATTTTCATATAATTCAATCAACTAATTGGATTTAGATAAACTTTTTCACATTTAATATAGATTCCATAACTTTGCAAGTTACAACTGCAGCCACTCTTATTTAATTTCTAATTGAATGGTTAACTTATCTGGTATGTTACGGACTTTTTCCCTAAAGAACATGGTTTAGCACCAAATTCTTCAATAAGAAAGTTGATATGAATGCTGGATAGTTTTCGCATGACTGCACATGAGTTTTTGTCCTAGGGGTAGAGGAAAGCTCACACATTTTAATGTCACCTAGCTGTTTTTGAAATTTCTTTTAAAACTGAGGGAGCCACCTGTTAGGGTAAAGTCTCAGCTACACAGAGTTTTATTTTTTGATGAACAAAACTCCCCAAATGTAGTATATGAATTTCAGGACTCTTGATATTTAATATATCTAAATATGGATAACAATTACTGAATATCCATAGCACACACATTTTATGGATTTCTGTCCTTAGCAGTATTTATCACACACAGCACTATTTATAGTACAATTCAAACACCAAGCTTAAGCAGTGGGAATATTTCTTGGGAAAAACATAAACGAACCACTGCAGTGGAATTCAATTAGATTAAATTTGCTATTCCTTGGTTCAGTAGAAGAGGGGCAATGCCTGAAAGCACGATCACATAGTCCCTGAATTGGAACAAGTCCACCATGCTCTGCCCTTGGAAATGAAGAAAGGGTAGGGCATGCTTTGTGAATGAGTTGTATTGTAGCAGGAAGAAGAAAAGAAAAACTTGGCCTTCTCCTCTCAACACTTTCACAAAGACACAAAATATGCTTTGAAGGTTGCAGAGAGGAAAAATCTCTCCAGGTTAAGCTCCAGGGAAAGGCCTGTATTTTGTCTTCCTTGGAACCTTACAAAGAGATTGGTGTGGCATTTAAGGATGATCAAATCTCCCTTCAGTCCAGAACATGCCAAGTGGCCCAGCCTTCCCTAGGCATTCATGGGTCACAGGAGAAGAAAAGCTGTGCTGGAGAGTCCATGCCAAGGACTTGGCCACTGTCCAGTCCAGGAGTGCTCCTGATCAAGAGGCAGATGAAAGAAGAAGGGAGCCAGGGGAGGCTGAGCTACAAGCCTTCTAGCATTCGAGTCGGTTTCAGCTTTTCTCTAAAACTCTGAAAATGAATCTCACTTCTGAATTTTACATTGTAAAAAACCACCAAACTTATTAAAATCTTACTAAAATCAAGCAAGCAAAAATGCAAATACAAAAAGACAATAGCTTGTGGTTCTTTCAGTTTTATTTGAACTGTTTCTACAGGCATTTTTCACTAAAATTTTCTTTCTTTGTGATAGAGGAAAGCACATATTTTCTTTTTTATTAAAATATACATATTCAAACAATATTATCTATGAACTCCTTGATGGCGGCACCCAATAATTGATTAAATGACAGAGTGATGATACGTTTAATTTAACTTGGTCATTAAAGTTCTCTGCACTTTGTATATTAAATGCAGTTGAATCCTCTTGTGCTATGGGTTAAAAAGGAAGGCAGCTCAGGAATAGGTAAAGATAAACTCCCTGGTCACCCACAACAGACTTGGATAGGTGACAAAAACTGGATTATGGGAATTGAAGGAATTGACGCATTTGGTTACCAAATTAAATAAGTTTGACTGTAGAATTGAAACGGTGCTTTGGCACTTGTGTGATCACTGTAGTTGCGGGATACCTATGTCTAGAACCTTCTTTCTGGTGCAGAAGCATCCGGAATAAAACCTTCAGAGATAATTGTGCAAATGCTGCATCACTGGTTGTAAAAAAATATATATTATATATGACTTTTTAATATCTCCTAAGAGGGATAGTAAGAAAAATATATTTGCTTTTCAAGAACATATATCAAATAAGGTAAATGACTCCGTATATAAGAAAAAAACTTCCATTAATATTTTTCATAAAATTTTTTCATAAAAAAGCTTACATATGAAAATAATGTTTCACTTAAATAGATTTACTCTTTGGCATTAATAGACTTAGCTGCTTAAATTAATTTTACATTTTATAAAAAACAATATAAAACATTGGCTTTATTATGATCTATACAATTATTTTTTAATACTTTTTTATACCCTTGAGCAATTTAAAATCTGAGAAATAATACATTCTTTCATAGGAAACAATCACTATGGTGATCCTGAAGCCTTAATTTTTATATTAAACAAAAGCATTAGGCTTTAGAGCTTATCAAGACAACAAAATGAAATACACAATTGCCTTGAAATAGTATCAGCAAGTAATAAAATGTTTAGAAATGATTTAACTATTTTTAAAATGTAGACTTTTAATCTATTATAGTTGGGGTGTGTATTGTGTAAATTAATGCAGGTAAATACTTCAGCTAAGTGCTCTTGGGTGAATTGCAATCAAAATTAACACCTATAATTTAACAAGATAAAGTCAGCTCTAACTCTTTGTTCACTTCAAACAAGGGGAATAAAATCTCCTTAAGCTGATAAGCAACTTCAGCAAAGTCTCAGGATACAAAATCAATGTACAAAAATCACAAGCATTCTTATACACCAATAACAGACAAACAGAGAGCCAAATCATGAGTGAACTCCCATTCACAATTGCTTCAAAGAGAATAAAATACTTAGGAATCCAACTCACAAGGGACGTGAAGGACCTCTTCAAGGAGAACTACAAACCACTGCTCAAGGAAATAAAAGAGGATACAAACAAATGGAAGAACATTCCATGCTCAGGGGTGGGAAGAATCAATATCGTGAAAATGGCAATACTGCCCAAGGTAATTTATAGATTCAATGCCATCCCCATCAAGCTACCAATGACTTTCTTCACAGAATTGGAAAAAACTACTTTAAAGTTCATATGGAACCAAAAAAGAGCCCACATCGCCAAGTCAATCCTAAGCCAAAAGAACAAAGCTGGAGGCATCACGCTACCTGACTTCAAACTATACTACAAGGCTACGGTAACCAAAACAGCATGGTACTGGTACCGAAACAGAGATATAGATCAATGGAACAGAACAGAGCCCTCAGAAATAACGCCGCATATCTACAACTATCTGATCTTTGACAAACCTGAGAAAAACAAGCAATGGGGAAAGGATTCCCTATTTAATAAATGGTGCTGGGAAAACTGGCTAGCTATATGTAGAAAGCTGAAACTGGATCCCTTCCTTACACCTTATACAAAAATTAATTCAAGATGGATTAAAGACTTAAACGTTAGACCTAAAACCATAAAAACCCTAGAAGAAAACCTAGGCATTACCATTCAGGACATAGGCATGGGCAAGGACTTCATGTCTAAAACACCAAAAGCAAGGGCAACAAAAGACAAAATTGACAAATGGGATCTAATTAAACTAAAGAGCTTCTGCACAGCAAAAGAAACTACCATCAGAGTGAACGGGCAACCTACAAAATGGGAGAAAATTTTCGCAACCTACTCATCTGACAAAGGGCTAATATCCAGAATCTACAATGAACTCAAACAAATTTACAAGAAAAAAACAAACAACCCCAGCAAAAAGTGGGCAAAGGATATGAACAGACACTTCTCAAAAGAAGACATTTATGCAGCCAAAAGACACATGAAAAAATGCTCATCATCACTGGCCATCAGAGAAATGCAAATCAAAACCACAATGAGATACCATCTCACACCTGTTAGAATGGCAATCATTAAAAAGTCAGGAAACAACAGCTGCTGGAGAGGATGTGGAGAAATAGGAAGACTTTTACACTGTTGGTGGGACTGTAAACTAGTTCAACCATTGTGGAAGTCAGTGTGGCGATTCCTCAGGGATCTACAACTAGAAATATCATTTGACCCAGCCATCTCATTACTGGGTATATACCCAAAGGACTATAAATCATGCTTCTATAAAGACACATGCACACGTATGTTTATTGCGGCACTATTCACAATAGCAAAGACTTGGAGCCAACCCAAATGTCCAACAATGATAGACTGGATTAAGAAAATGTGGCACATATACACCATGGAATACTATGCAGCCATAAAAAATGATGAGTTCATGTCCTTTGTAGGGACATGGATGAAATTGGAAATCATCATTCTCAGTAAACTATTGCAACGACAAAAAACCAAACACCGCATGTTCTCACTCATAGATGGGAATTGAACAATGAGAACACATGGACACAGGAAGGGGAACATCACACTCTGGGGACTGTTGTGGGGTGGGGGGAGGGGGGAGGGATAGCATTAGGAGATATACCTAATGCTAAATGACGAGTTAATGGGTGCAGCACACCAGCATGGCACATGTATACATGTGTAACTAACCTGCACATTGTGCACATGTACCCTAAAACTTAAAGTATAAAAATAAGAATAATAAAAAATAAGGAATTATAGAATTCAAACAGTGCAATATTTTTTTCAGTCCCTATCAGTTTAGTTGGTGTTATACAAAGGTATAGAATTTACCACCAATAGTTCTATTAAATAATTCAAGAATTTCATAAAATTGTCTCCACAAATGGAAAAACTCATAGCTAACCCTCCAAACTGTGAATATCTTTGAAATGAAGAGGCAGAGGTTGTGGTGGGCCAAGAGCACATCATTGTACTCCAGCCTGGGCAACAAGAGTGAAACTCCAACTCAAAGAAACAAAAGAAGATAGTATCAAATACAGTATCACAACACTTAATGATAGGGACATGTTCTAAGAACTGCATTGTTAGGCAATTTAGTCATGCAAGCATCATAGAGATTACTCACACGAACCTAGATGGTATGACCTAGCCGTAACACACCTAGCCTATTAAGCTGTATAGCATATTACCATACTGAATACTGTAGGCAACTGTAACACAATGGTAAGTATTTGTGTATCTAAATATAGAAAAGGTACACTAAAAATGTGGTATAAAAGGTTAAAAATGGGCCGGGCTTGGTGGCTCACACCTGTAATCCCAGCACTTTGGGAGGCCGAGGCGGGTGGATCACGAGGTCAGGAGATTGAGACCATCCTGGCTAACACGGTGAAACCCCATCTCTACTAAAAACACCAAAAAAAAAAAAAAAAAAAAAAAAAAAATTAGCCAGGCGTGATGGCGGGCACCTGTAGTCCCAGCTACTCGGGAGGCTGAGGCAGGAGAATGGCGTGAACCCGGGAGGCGGAGCTTGCCGTGAGCCGAGATCGCGCCACTGCACTCCAGCCTGGGCGACAGAGCGAGACTCTGTCTCAAAAAAAAAAAAAAAGAGGTTAAAAATGGTAAACATGTACAGGGCACTTACCACGAATGGAGCTAGCAGGACTGGAAGTTACTTTGGCTGAGTCAGTGAGTGATGGGTGAATGCGAAGGCCTAGGACATTAGCGTACACTCCCATAGGTTTTAAAAACACCTTACACTTAGGCCACAATAAATTTATAAAAATAAAGTATGCTATAATGTTCCAATGGCTACCGTGTCACTAGGAGATAAGAAATTTTCAGCTCCATTGTAATCTGATGGGACCACCGCTATCCTATATGTGGTCCATTGCTGATCAAAATATCACTGTGCACCCCATGACGTTATCTCAACATTAAGTTGCTGTTTTTCAATCTGGTATCCTAAAATGGATTTGAATCACTTTCAGAATTGCAGGAGTATAGATTATTTTACTTACTAAATGTGATTCAATACAATTCGAGCTTAAAACACGAAGGTGATAAAATAATGACTGTATTTACTGAATAAAAATACTTCAGTGAAAACAAAGGAAACATATTTGACCACATACACACTTTTAAATCACAGTGTAAGTTACACTGGTAAAAAGTTATGTTACGGCCCATTCTGGAGTGTCTTTTTGGTAGCTTAACTCTGTTAACAAGCTGGTGTTTTATCTGTGAAATTTCCAAAGTGGCTCATCTATAAAAATATACTTAGAATTTCTTTTAGCTCTTTCTATGATAAAAATTTAAACGGTTTTAATTTTTTCTAGCAAATGATGATTATCTTTTGCAATATGAAGTTCAAATTTCATCACAATTATAAGTCATTCCTTGGTACATCAACCAGCAAAATGTACTGCACTTAAACTTGGGTGCCCAAAGATGTATTAGTGGCATAGACAAATAAACCATTGGATATGTTATGACCCATATTTGAAAACTTTTACACATTACACATATAAATATTTACATTTCAAATAATAACAAGCTTACCTACAACATATGTTAATAACTGAAGGCATATTATGATGTTGGGCATAAGCATAACTCTATGTTCTATATTTTGGCTGATTTTAACATAATCAAAAATAGGCAGAATTGGAGATTAACATAATCACCAAATAGTCTTGAAATGCATAGTTTCAAATTTCTTTAAAACTCAGTTTGATGCAATAGGAAGAGAATCAGATTGGGAGCCAAAACAGGGATGGTGTAAATAGAACACTAGGCTGGATGCTAAGATATTTTTCAGCCCTGACATTTCATGATCCTTTTATTCTTTCCCCACAAACCTTTATCTTCAGATTTCATATCCATTTATTTTTCCTGACAGAATTTCTGAGAGTCGAATGGCTGAAGTGGCCAAAGGAAGAAAGAGAAAAAAAAAAACCAAAATGAGAGAAATTGTAGCTGAATAAACCACCTTTGGTAAAGCAAAGATTTACAGTGGACTCTCCTGTTTTACACGGATTTAAAAATATCTGATTATTTTTCAAAATATGCCACACTTTTGAAAAGAGGACAAGGATTATTGACAAAGTAAACTGGAATTAGATGAATTTGGAGATCTTGACGCTTAGTATTACTGACATCAACTGTAGGAGGTTTTGAATATGTCAGGGTATTCAGTGAGGATAAAGGCACATTAAAAAAGAATACTATATGAAGGAAGGAGAAAAAATTAAAAATTAAAACATAAAATTGGTCAAGCTGTATAAAATATAAAAAGTCCTCTGAGGCATTTTATCATGATTAACATAGAAAGTTGTAATATTTTCAATTAAAAAAGGAGATAATACATTATGAAATGAAATGTAGGTCTCTCCAAGTTTTATTTCATATAGGTTCTTTCAAAGATCATCAAAAAAGGGCCGGGTGCGGTGGCTCACGCCAGTAATCCCAGCAGTTTGGGAGGCCAAGGCGGGAGGATCACTTGAAAGTCAGGAGTTCAAGACTAGCCTGGCCAACATGGCAAAACCCCATCTCTACAAAAAGTACAAAAAAAATTCGCGGGTGTGGTGGTGCATGCCTGTAATCCCAGCTACTAGGGAGGCTGAGGCAGGAGAATCACTTGAACCTGGGAGGCAGTGCTTGCAGTGAGCTGAGGTCACGTCTCTGCACTCCAGCCTGGGTGACAGAGCGAGACTCTGTCTCGAAACAAACAAACAAACAAAAACAAAGATCACCAAAAAAGGCTTAGTTTCAGCAATATTACCATAAAAATATTTTGGAATACCTTGATAGTATGTTCAAAGTGTTGACATTCATTCATCTCCATTGATACACAATTGATATCCATCACCATTAATATATCACGCCTACCCAGCAAAGGAAATAACATTAGCTGTTCACTAAAAACAATTATTTTGGGGGAAGGTTGGTAATTTCTTTAATAATCTTGATATATCAAATACAAGCAGAGTATTTTACTGGTACTGCATAGCAAACTGACTGTAAATAGCTGACATTCTATACTTACACATAAAGATGGCAATTTTGGGAAATTCTGAGTCCTCAAGCACCGATTTGGCATTCATCTTTTTGGACTGATTAATCAGCGTGCCTTGGACAGAGTAAGCCCTCTTACTCTGAATAAAAACTGAAAGAACTTCCTAAAGCTCTACTTCCCTCCTGTTGGTTCTCACCAAAACCAATTTCTAGCTTCATCATTACACTAGCAGCAGTTCTCAAGGGAAAGATTTCTCGATTGTTAATAGGTGTTACATGAATATGGCCCCCCTGCGTTAAATGGTGTTCTATGTATCCCGATGTGGCAGGAATTATCTGAAACATTACTATGCTAATACACATTAAGAGTCTTAAGAGGGGCCATATGGTATGTAGCAATCCCAAATACATTTATTCTGCGTCTGTCAGAACATCTTACGGAATGACTGCTTTGCCGAAATCACTTTGGGACTGTGGCTCTATATGACTGAAGCCTTTGGCCAATCAATCAAATTCCCCTTAAGTCTAGCCCCAGCCTTTCTCTATGCCCCTGACATAAGCCACCAAATAAAATAAATATCATTTTTATTTTTTTGCTGATCAAACACACAATCCCCTGGAACCCACACCAATCTCCTTGAAGGACACGCAGTGCGGTAGACACATTTTGATGTGCTTCTCTCGTTTGCATTTCTGTGTACTTGAGTTGCTCATTTGTGAGCCCAATGCACTGACCTGTCTGGTATAGAAAGGGCATTAGGGCTGTGATGGTAGAAATGAAAGAAAAGACACTTTGGGAGGCCAAGGCGGGTGGATCACGAGGCCAGGATATCGAAACCATCCTGGCTAACACGGTGAAACCCAGTCTCTACTAAAAATACAAAAATTAGCCGGGCGTGTTGGTGGGCTCCTGTAGTCCCAGCTACGTGGGAGGCTGAGGCAGGAGAATGGCGTGAACCCGGAAGGCGGAGCTTGCAGTGAGCCGAGATCGCGCCACTGCACTCCAGCCTGGCGACAGAGCGAGACTCCGTCATAAAAAAAAAAAGAAAGAAAGAAAGAAAGAAAAGAAACAAGAAACAAGGAAAGGTGAAAAGAAAGGGTCAGTTTGGTCTTTGATGACCAAATAGAATCCTGGAGTTGGGTTAACAGTCATAAAGGTCAGAATTGAGGGAGAAAAATTTTTTTAAGTCCTATTTGCTCTCACTTAGCACATGGAGAGCCAAGCCTGGCTACTAGATCTTAGAATTTATTACATGGCCTGAGTAGAAAGGTCTAGAATATGAGGTAAAGAAAGCAGAACACCCTTCCAGAACGACGGTGGGAAGAGAAAGATGTGGAGGCGAGGGAAACAGAGAAAGAAAACTTGACCTCCCCTCTCTATTTCAAAATCTTGGCAGGCAGGATTGTGAAATTTGGCTGAGAGCAATATTGAGGGTGAGGAGGATTTCAGCCTGCTTCCTGTTTGGGTTTTCGGGAACAGACTGTTTCCAAGAGTGCCTGGAAGAATGTGGGAGGTCCAAACGTTTGGATTCAGTGAGGAAACTTAAGGTCCCCAACACCTGAGCTTACCCTGCTGCTTTGGGGAGATGGCCCAGGTTTCCACTGTGCCCATTAGGAAGGAGGAGAAGGTTGTGCTGGCTGTGAACTTCCCAGCATGAACTGTCCCTGACAGCCTGGGTACAGGGTGAGGGTGGTCATACCAGGTCGGGGCCAAATGTGAGTTAGCTAGACCTCAGGAGGACGTATCAAGCCAGGAGAGGCAAAACCACAGTTCACAGCAGCAGTCTGAATGCCACGCACAAACCTTGATGCAGCTGAGTGGGTCCCAGCTAGTGCACACATGTGAACCAGCCCAATATCAGGAGGCCATGCTGAGGCTGGGGGCTGCAGATAGGCAGAGCAGATACTCTTCAGCCAGAACCTACAGGAAGTTAAGCTTTGCCTACTTTTTCAGGATGACAGAAGATGGTTTAAATGAGAAGAGATTGAGATATATTAAAAAGCAAATCCCAATTTCTCCCATCTGGTATGGTAAGAATGCAAAATGATCATATTAGTCATAGAAAAATAAACTGTGTTTTCTCTGCACGGCTAACTGCGTGAAAATTTCAATGCCTTCCCTTCTCCTAAGATGCTTGTTTTCTATTCCAGGCTTCATATTCCGTCTTGGTTTTCTATCTGTTTTTTGAAGTGCCTGACATGTCTTATACCTTCTGCTCTAACATTGTATCTTCATGAGGTTCAGGATACATCATATTTCTTATTATCAGCAAAGTACTAACACAAGTCACTAGAGGAAAGAAATTAATTACAATGCATTTCATAATTCAGTCCAATTCTACAATATATTTTATCATACTTGAATTATTTAAGAAATGCAGTATAACAAAATGAACCTAATAGAATTAAAAATTTAATGTTGAGGAAGTATAGTATCTTTTAGTTATCCATATCACATAAGAGTTCTCAAACAATATAGAAATGAGCGTTGTACAATTGTCACTTATATAATCATATAGTTGCTTTTACCCAGGAGTGGAAATCCAGTGTGGTCATTGTATGTTACAGATAACTAGACTGACATTTTTTAATAAGAAAAATAACGATATTTTAGATAAGTTTGCTGGCAGAAACTCTAGTGCATCTGATTTTAGAGTGGCAGTAAGTAGCATGTAGAAGCATTAGAAGTAGCGTGATAGAAATTAGGAAACCTAAGTTAAAAATAGACTTTATCCCAAATAAAGTGTTTTCAAGTTCTCTTTATAGTGAAAATAAAACTCAGCCCCCTCTCCAGCTTTGACTTTTCTGTGTGGCTTACCTGAATATAGTGAAATGAATTTAAAAATAACAAAAGATTTCTTACCAAACTGGGGTTACAGATTGGAACCATTTATATTACTGCGGTCTGAGTTAAGGGGATAGAGTTAAATATACTGTATTTGTTCACTCTTGGGTTTTTTCCCCCATCATAGGAGTGGCATAACTAAGTAGCCCCTGGCCTTTTCAAACCTGCACCACTATATTTCATTTACAGTGTCCAATAAGGTCAAAGGCAAATAATAAAAAACTCTCAGCACGGGCTAACTTTGTCAATTTAAAATGTGGTTCTCTATTCAGCCTGTTGTTAAGCAGGCTGTTCAAATAATGTCTTGGTTCACACGTCTGTGGGTCTCTGATAGGCTTCAAAGTCTGGGGAAAAGCCTATGCAAGTTTGAAATCTAACCTTCTTCACCCCTCCATCTTTCTGTCTCCTGTTTTCTGATCTTTTTAATCCAGAATCTTTAATAGAAAAATTCTATTGCAGGACTGCAAACAGCATGGGGTCAAAATCCCATATGGGTTATTTAAAGCAATGTCTGCGTCTTTTGAACGTTTCAAGAGCAGTTTAGTTGACCTCTGGGGACTCTTCTTCAAACATGTTCTATTAAACACACATAAACACAAGTAAAACATTTTAAGCTCAGATGATCAAAAGCAAAAATCAAAACAAAACAAAACAAAAAACCAAAAAAGAACCCTTCCCCCAAAAGGCAAATAGATCCAATGTATATTTAAAATAAAAACCTCTTTAAGCACCTAACTATACAGATATAGATATAGATATATCTCAGCTAAATTTATTAATGTAATGGCAAAATTTTGGGGGATGATGAACGTGAAGGAGAGGACAGCAGAATATAGCTAAACCAAATTCAATGCTTTTAAAGAACAATTACTTCTAACGGAACCAATAATCTGAACCTATAACGTAAGATAACAAAGGTCTATAGATATTACACACAGGGAAATGGAATTTCCTATATTCCTTTCAAAAGACAATGTGGTCTAGCATTTTCTGTGTCAGCTCAAAAAAGTGGGAGAGTCCACTATTATAAGAAACAAAATAAAATCATCAGATGTTGGGTATATTCAACTATGAAATTCACAGATCAAATGATTCGTGTTTTTTTTTTTTTCTCTCCTTGCAATTCATCTTCATCCTGGATAGCTCCTTGGTAATTCTTTTAAAGGAAAAAATCTCGGTATCAACAACATATCTAGAAAAACAGCAACTCTCAGTCACTAATTTATAGAAGGAATCAGTAAAATAATGTCTGTGCCAGTACAGCTAGAAATTTAGGGACATATTTGTTTCAGTAGCTTAATAAAAATGTTATTGAGAAGTAGGACTTAATCGCCACATTGTGCTGAGTACCAATGGAACATTAATACCGTACAGATGAAACCACCGTGACACAGGAGGAGGAGAACAGAAAAGCAAAGGAGGTTCTGGGTAACAATTTAGTCAAAATACTGGAGTAACACAGTATACGTAAGTAGCAAAAACTTCAGCAAAATGCCTCTATCTGGAGTTTTATGGTTTTATCAAAATCTGAATGGAGGGCATTTAAAAAATTCCAATAAAGGCAGAAAGAAGTAAAAGAAAAAAAGACAAGAAAATTCACATAAAAAGAATTTATGGAAGGCAAGTTTTCATCAACACTTAATCAGCCCCTGGGCTCTTTTCCAGACCGAAGAACAAAGTGTGTTGTAACTCCAAAGTAAGCTCTCAGAAAAAAGAAAAAATCTGAACAAGATTGAACACACACCAGCCTTCTCAGTGTATATCATTTCCAAAGTTCGCTTATGCTTTCTGGTTTGCCTTTTGGTTCTCACAGGCAATTCACATGCATCTTTGAAGTAGTACCTTGTACCAGAGCAAAACGAACACTTACCAGACAAATCAACACTCCCTGAAGCAATGAAGATAAAACACCACTTACCTAGGGAAAGAAAAAAGTAATACAGACATTAAGATGCTGTCATTTAAAAGCAATTGCAGCCGTTCTTAGATTATCCTAGCTCCTGTATTGCCAGTATTCTCTCAATGAACAGCATTAACTTTTTAGTAGAAAATCACGTTTTAATTTATTTATGGCCTAAAGGGAGTTTTGTGAGGAGTGAGCAAGTCTTCGACAAGACAGCACCATGTTGTTGCAAAAACTCTTGTGAGCTAATTCCATCCTAAACTACTGTAACATACAACCACAGGCAAGCAAAAGGGGGAAAATGTTAGCAGGAATCTCAAGGGAATAAAAACACACTCTTGTTTTTTATTCTATGCAGAGCAAAAGATGGTCAGAGAATCAGGAATGAAGTGATTTGCAAGGAATCGACATCAGGTTTCCAAAGGAAGGATTTGCCCCGTAAACGAGACCTCAACCATCCTCAGTTTGCAAACTTAGATTTGGCCAGGTGGTTTGTGGAATAACATTCAATTTTCTAGAAAGAAGCAATAACAATAGCTTATTGGCCCTCATATCTCAGATAAGTAATCATGAAATTAGGTATTTATGATTTCAGGTTAACTGTGATCCAAAATATTCAGAATTGTCAAGTTATTCAAAGTGTTGAATGTTGATAATTGGTATAAACTTTCTAATTTCAGTTGCTAATTAGTTATAAAGTAAAACTTTCTAATTTCAGTTGCTAATTAGTTATAAAATATAACTGTGGCTCTGTTACCTCAGCTACAGACCATGAAACACAGAAGAAAAAATAGCGCAGAAACTGTGCACTAGAAATTAAATTGTATTTAAAATTCATTGCAGTTGCAGTCTCCAGTACCTAAATAATTACTTATAATTGCAGTATTCTTAAATTAAAAATGCAAACTAGTCTGTTCTTTTACTTAAGTCTTGTGAAGATCAAGAAGGAATCCATAAAGATATTATAGAACATGAAACACAGCTGGAAGTGACTAGGAAACAAAATGAGGAAAGGGTTTCCAGGCAAAAGTCACCTCTACTGCTCCATGAAAAAGTTCTTAGATGCTCCATTCATTAATTTATTCCAGAGATGTTTATTGAATGCCTACTGTGTTTAAAAGATTATCTCAGGCATTGTATGAAAATCAGATACTTACAAAAACAACACTCATGTCCCTAAGTAGCTCACAGTCTAGGAGAAAAAGGATGCCTACCCACACATCAAGATGGTAGAGGGATACAGTGGTCAAAAGAGAGGTACAAATTAAATTGTGCTGACTGGTGTTAGGGTGGCCAGAAAGGATTCATGGAGAAAACTTGGAACATACTCAAGGGTTGGGGGAGAGAAGGGTGTGACATATCAGGTTGTATATGATATGAGTATAGGCAAAGTGAGATCTGCCAAATAATCTACACACAGTCCAGTTGGTAGCTAATTTTAAATTAGGAGTCTTTTATAAGAAAGTTGTGGGAAGAAAAGCTGAAAAAGCAGCCTAGGGCCATGGCTTAGTGGTCCTTGAATGCTCGGCTGACCTCTTCCTGTTCTCACCTCCCAGTAATAAGCTGGCCATGAAGAGACCAAAATGCATTTCTTCACATACACAAGCTACAACAACAGCTGTGACCACGTCTTGCTCTCTTTTTTGCATAACCCTAGTGCCTGGCACAAGGTAGGAACTCTAGAAACACAGTCACATTTATATGAGGGGACATGATAGATTGGCACATATTTGCTCGCTTCCTCCAACACAGAGCCAGGAGGAAGGTGGGGCTAACGTTCCTGCCACTGTTTACTCTGCCACCATTGTTCAGTCACCACCTCCCTTCACATCCACAACATCCACCTCATATACATCCCTCTCCAATAGCGTCACTTTTATTCATCACCCTCTAGGAAGTTTTTCTACTTTTCTGAAGGATTTTCTACTATATCCCTGACATCACCTCCAATGAATTCACCATCCTTAAGAAATAGTATTTTATTTTCTATTACTTGGCCAAAATTTTAAATGAGCATCTGACATGTATTTATACACGGATAAATAACGTTTGGGGGTTAAAAATCTGAAAATATATTGTTCTGTTCTTCAAGAAATGTACAATTTGGAGGTAAAGCATACACAAATAATAAAATATAAGGCAGCATGTGGTAAAATGATAGTACTGTAGAAATCCCAAGAAGATAGAGGTCAGTTCTGGCTGTGGATATCTTGAGCAAGGCAGCACTTGGCATGTGTGGAAGATGGATTGGGGTCTGATGGACAGAGCCACGGGGAGAGGAGAGGGATCACGAGGATGAAATAGTCGGGGGATAAAGGGCAAAGAGGTGGGAAAGTTCAGGGAACATTCTAGAAATGGAGAATAGGCAGGCAGGACTGGAGAGTTGGAGCTGTGGGACATTTGGACAGGAAGAGAGATTGGAACTGAATCTCTAAAGGCTTCCAGTGGACCACTATGGAGTTTAGATGCAATTGGCAGGCAATGATGGGGACTATATCTCAGTTGCGGAATATGTCTTAGGATGTATAAGACACATGAAGGGAGAAATCTATGTGAAGATGGAGGCAGAGGCTGGAACAATGGATCAACAAACCAAGGAATGCCAAGGCCTGCTGGCTGTCACCAGAAGCAAGGAAGAGGCATGAACAGATTCTTCCTCAGAGTGCTCAGAAGGAGTCAACCCTGCTGACACCTTAATCGTGGACTTCCAGCCTGCAGAACTATGAGACAATAAATTTCTGTTGTTGAAGAAATTTCGACAACAGTTGGTGGTACTTTGTTAGAGCAGCCCTTGGAAATGAATAGAGATTTGTGGACAGGAAAGAAGGAGTTATCTCTAAGAATCTTTGCTAGGATAGTCAATAGTTTTTCAGGATGGGAATTTGTATTCATTTGGGCCCTCTGAGAATCAGATGCTAATATGGTTTGGCTGTGTCCCCACCTAAATCTCATCTTGAATTCCCATGTGTTAGGGGAGGAAACCGGTGGGAGGTAATTGAATCACGGGGGTGGGTCTTTCCCATGCTGTTCTCATGATAGTGAATAAGTGTCATGAGATCTGATGGTATTAAAAACAGGAGTTTCCCTGCACAAGCTCTCTTTCTTTGCCTGCTGCCATCCGTGTAAGAGGTGACTTGCTCCTCCTTTCCTTCGCCATGATTGTGAGGCCTCCCCGGCCATGTGGGAGGCCATTAAACCTCTTTCTTTTGCAAATTGCCCAGTCTCAGGTATGTATCAGCAGCATGAAAAAGGACTAATACAGATGCTAAGAGAGGATTAAACATGCAAGGGTTTTCTTAGGGGAGGAGATGTATGTGTGTGAATGGGTATAGTAAGGAAGCTGAGAGAGACAGAGTGAGAGAGGGGGAGGGAAAATTGGATGGAAGCTGCCTCAATCACAGTCTATGGAAGATCTGGCAAAGCCACTGGGGAGTCCTTTACCTTCTCCAGAAGTAGCTTCCTTGGTATCCCCATGTGGATCTGGGCTTGGGTGATGATCCCAAAGGGCAGCCCTGGTGCCCTTGGTCCATCAGGAGTCAGCACATTCTCACAGCCTCCCAGCAATCAGAGAGCCAGGAAAAGGGGCCAGGAGAATTATGTGCACTGAGATGAGTTCAGTTTTTACACATGCAGAATTTTAGGCACCAGCTGTAAATTCAGGGGACTGGAAAGGAGGTTTGGTTGGGGTGCAGGTGAGAGGGCAGGAGTGAGATTTCTGAGTCCTCTGAAAAAAGGCTGTAGTCCCAGGAGGCTGGTTGACATTATGAAGGATAAGAATATAGCAGAGAACAGGAGAGATCCTTATGAATATGATACATTTGAGGAGAGGAGTTAGGGAGAGGAGCAGAAGGAGGATCCCAAACTATTGAAGTTTGCAGAGGTGAGTGAGAGAGGCAGGGGACCAGCCAGGTGGGGCTGCAGCTTTCTGGGAGCCTAGGGAGGAGGTTCGCTAGGAGGAGGAGGAGGAGGAGCCCTCAGAATGAAATACGCAGAGCAAAGGAGGAGGAGGAGGATGGAAGGATGCCGTGGGTTTTGGGGATTGGGGGACTTTCAAGAAGCAGATTGGGGTGGGAGTCTGCTTTCATGGGAGAAGAAATGAGTTGTGCAAGGTTGAAGCTTAGAGCAGCAAATGCAGACACTGTATTTTCTATTTTCCTTGTAATGAGCAGGAAAGATACAGTAGTTGAGGGGGAAAAAAACAACCAACTTTCCAAGGAACAACATTTGGCATTCAAAGATGACATCTAAAAACACAGATAAAATGATGTTCGTGCACATACAGTATTTCTCATCTCCTGATCTGTCTATAAAACATGGGTATCTGTTCTGGGATTCATACTCTCAGGCAAGATGAAGCAATAGAATGGGCCAGGAGTGGTGGCTCACACCTGTAATCCCAGCACTTTGGGAGGCCGAGGCGGGTGAATCACCTGAGGTCAGGAGTTCAAGACCAGCCTGGCCAATATAGCAAAACTCCATCTCTACTAAAAATAAAATAAAAAAAAATTAGCCAGGCATGGTGGCGTGCACCTGTAATCCCAGCTACTTGGGAGCCTGAGGCAGGAGAATCACTTGTGGCAGCGGCAGTGAGCCAAGATTGTGCCACTGCACTCAAGCCTGGGCGACAGAGCAAAACTCCATCTCAGAAAAAAAAAAAAAAAAAGAAGCATTGGGAACAATATAAGCATTACATACATTTTTCCTGTTGTGCTATTCCCAGTATTTAGATTGTAATCAGAAAGAAAGAGAAATTATTCACCATCTCTTCATTCTTCTGTCTAATTGCGGATTCTCTTGGCAAGCCCCTTAGGGGTCTACAGCTGGAGCTGCAGCTTTTCCACAGGAGCCTCTTAGCCAAGGATGAACAGATCAGTATCTGCATATTGTAGGAGACACTGGGCTTCCACAGCCACCACTCTGACCTCTTCAGTAGTTCACAGCTTGAAGGGCTTCCCCACACAGCGAAGAATGCCCTTCTATTCTTTGCTGATTGTGAAAAGGTTACTGAGAAGTTAAGCAAAGCATTTAGACACACAGATGTTCTAATGTCTAAAGTTCAAGTCGAATAGGACATTTGATCACATCTTACTTATATTTGCTTTTATTTTGCATCTTTTCAGGGAGTCCAATTGTTAGAGCTAAGCTGAGACCCAGGAAATGCTAATTCTCCGCAAATCTGAAAGCTTGGGAGTGCCAGATCTGGAGGTGATTTCTTTCTGGTTCTCATTTCTGTGCCCTTCCCACTGCACTGCCTCAAATGGAATTCAATACCATCTATTAGTAAATGTGCCCATTTAAAAAGCTTCACACAGCCAGGCGCAGTGGCTCACGCCTGTAATCCCAGCACTTTGGGAGGCCGAGGCGGGTGGATCATGAGGTCAGGAGTTTGAGACCAGCCCTGACCAACCAACATGGTGAAACCCTGTCTCTACTAAAAATACAAAAATTAGCCAGGCGTGGTGGCAGGCGCCTGTAATCCCAGCTATTCAGGAGGCTGAGGCAGGAGAATCGCTTGAATCAGGGAAGCAGAGGTTGCAGTGAGCCGAGATTGCACCACTGCACTCCAACCTGGGTGACAGAGCAAGACTCCATCTCAAACAAAACAAAGCAAAACAAACAAACAAACAAACAAACCAACTTCACACACACACACAATTTTAGTTTGAAATATTCTAAATTAACTTCCAAAGTACTATGATTTTGTCACTATATTTTAGAAAAAAATGTGTATTTTGTTTATGTAGGTTTCTGTTTTAAAATACCATTCTCATTGAGTTGCTCTGTAATACAAAGCAATATATCTGAAGAACAACTGCTGAAAGGATCAAACCTCACACACAGGTTGTTTTGATACTGTTATGTTGTGGTATTCACATTTTTTGTTTATAAATGTTAATTTTGCATGAAGTAAACAGATACGGTACCCCTAAAAAAAACATATTCTATTTCAGTGTGAGTTATTACAGTGCTTCGGCTATAAACTGAAATGTAAGCAGTTGAAAGCCTCCATGATGTTAAACCACTCTTTACTGTTACAAATGCAGGCACGTTTGGAATTCCAGTGCCAGGGAGGGTTCCAGCTTCATACAGCCAAGCCCTCCAGAGGGGAAATCTGCCAAAGTCCCTTTAACCACATGCCTGTAGGAATTTGTGCACTTAATTAAATGCACATACCGAGTAGGTAATCAGCAGAGTCACTGTTTATTCACACACATGGCCCTGAATCACCAGATGGCATGCATTAGAGACCTACACTCCCTGATGGCGTGCTGCATCATAGAGAACACACTAAACACAGGTAGGTATTGCCTCTAATATTGTGTATTGAAAATAGACAACACAGATACAGTATAAAGAAGAGGATAATCCTATACATACTAGTAACTTGAAGAAAAAAGTCTTTAAGATGTTTCAATCAGTAAACATTCAAGAAAGATGTTAGAGTAGTTGACTGAGCATCTGTTTTCAGGAACCCTGAAAACATGTTATGGCATAATTGAATTAACCATACATCTTTTTTTTTTGGAGATGAAGTCTCACTCTGTTGCACAGGCTAAAGTGCAATGGCGCAATCTCGGCTCACTGCAATCTCCGCCTCCGGAGTTCAAGTGATTCTCCTGCCTCAGCCTCCCAAGTAGCTGGGACTACAGGCATGCACCATCATGCCCGGCTAATTTTTGTATTTTTAGTAGAGACGGGGTTTCACCATATTGGCCAGGCTGGTCTTAACTCCTGACCTCAAGTGATCCACCTGCCTTGGCCTCCCAAAGTACTGGGATTCTAGGTGTGAGCCGCTGTGCCTGGCCTGCCAGACACTTTTGAACCATAATTTGCCTTTGACCACAAGATGATGCAGCAGATACAGTTTTTGTGGTAAAGCAGAATACATGATACTTGCTGACACTGCAGAAATATTTCCTAGTAGACTTTTCAGGTCATAAAATTTTCCCAAGATTAAAGTTCCTTCATGATAGAATAGTGGATTGTGCCAGAAAAGCTGCAATGCAGCCCACCTTTTCATTCACAAGTGGACTAAGTAAAAGCATACAGCAGGGCGCTGTGATGAACACGCTTTAAGGTGGCTTCAACTCCTGGTGCTCATGCCCCGTGTGTGTGATTTGCTTCTAACTAGTAGAATATGGAAAAGGTGATTCCACCCCCTAAACTACATTATGTTATATAAAATCCCATCCTGCTGGCTCTGTCTCTCTTTCCCTCTCAGCTGTTGGCTTTGAAGAAGCAAGCTGCCATAATTCCTACTGTTGCAAAAAAAAAAAAAAAAAATGAATTCTGCCAATGACCTGGGAGAGTCATCTCTTGACACTGATATTCTCCTCCCACAAACATATATGCTGCTCCTAGCTATATACTTTACCCACAGAAAATCTTTCGTAGCTCCCAAAGTGGGTCATACTATCTAACCTCTGGGCTTTGCAGGTGCTGTTCTCTTTGCCTAAGACACCTGCTGGCTGATTTCTATTCTCCTTTAGAATACAGCTCCGATAGTACTTCGCTAGGAAATCCTTCCATGTTCTAAACTGAGCTAGTTCCCTCCCAGATGATCCCATAACATCATATTCTTACCCCTATAGAAATATGTCTTGGTCCAGATACTTTCGGTAATAATAGAACTTCATTTGAAACAAGGCAAGGCTAAAAAATTAAAAAAAAAAAAATGCTGGGGTATCTCATAGAACCTGAGGCAAAGTTGAACAACTGTGCCTCTGGAAAGGTGGGAACCACTTTGTTGTCTGGGAAGCCATTGGAAAATGGAACTACCGATTGCTTGGTCTCTTTCTCTTCCTGTGTTGAGTCCTGAAGTCTCTTGCTACTATTTCTCCTCTACATCTCTTACATGTCTTCTCTCTCTGAAGGTCAGATTGCACTGTTAGGCATCTCCACGGCAGGTGTGATAAATACATATTTTGTCTTTGTCCCTAGGTTTCTGGCATACAGCTTCCTAATGCCTTGGAATTTCTTGGGTGATAGGAATATCTTTTGTTTTAAAGACGCAACTCTTGGTTGGTCCCTAGATAAAGTGAGGATGAGTGCTGGCTGCCAGAAAGACCAAGGCATGATTAAAGGGTTGGAAGTTTTACCCAACCTTCCCTTCCACACCCACCCTCAACCTCCAGGGAGGGGAGGGGGCTAGAGACTGAGTCATCAGTGGCCAATGATTTAATCAATCATTCCTACATAACAAAACCTCCACAAAACCCCTCAACAATGGGGTTCAGAGACCTTCAGGGCCAGTGAACACATGGAGGTGATGGGTAGGGGCTCAGAGAGCCCAGGGAAGCTTCTTGACCTTTGCCACATGCCCTGGGCATCTCTTCCAATTGGCTGCTTCTGAGTTGTATCCTTTATGATAAACTGGTAATGGTAAGTAAAGTGTCTACCTGAGATCTGTGAGTGATTCTAGCAAGTCATCAAAACTTAGGAGGGGGTTGTGGGAACCCCAGACTTTGCATATAAGTCAGAGAGTGTGGGTGCCCTAGTTACTTGATCCTAGTGACTGGCATCCACAGTGAGGGCAGTCTTGTGGAACTCAGCCCTCAACTTGTGGGGTTCATGTGAGAACTGAATTATAAGACAACCAGTCGGAGTCCAGATAGTTGGAGAATTGGTTGGTGTGAAGAAAAAACCCATGCATTTGGTATCCAAAGTGCTGAGAGTAAAAACAGTACATACCAAGTCGACCACTCCTCCTCCACTGGCCCCATCTGCTATTCACCCAGTTCAAGCAACCTACTCTGATACGCTAGCACTTTATTTCTCAACTCTAATACTAAAAGAAAGATATTCTGACTCACCAGTTGGAATACAGTGCCATCCTTGAAATAATCACTACAGCTTGGAAACATAGTCCTATATTTTAACATGGCTGTCAAGGCCTTCCCTTGTGGGTAGTGGGCTGTTCTCAGCCCAGCGAATGAGGATGGGTGCTGGCTGCCAGAAAGACCAGAGTGTCAGCTTATCACATCACATGGCAATTGTCTGCTTATTGGTCCATCTCTCCTACTAGTCTATAAACTCCATGAGTGTAGAGTTTGTACCATAATTTCCATTGAGCATCCCTTGTCTGATAGATTAGTAGCACAAAAGAGGTACTCACTAAATATCAGTTGAATAAATGAGGAGTGTTATCTTTTTCGTTTGATTAATACACTTTTAGTACTGTTGTCAGTAATGAGTTCTTTGATCTTTTAATGAAAGTATTAAACAAAAAAAATGTTTCCCTCCATTGTCATCAAAACAGCTGGCTAGGGAACTGAGAAACTGAAGCTCTGCTTAGCATAGATTAGTGATGAATATAACTGACTCACTTCTCCCCATTACATACTCTCTGATATAGATTAATCTCCTACTTTAAGCCAGTATCTCCTAGAAGTTGAACACAAGGCATAGGTTCATTGAAGACTCAATCACCTCTTGAATTACAAAGAAGTTTTACTTCATTGGAAGCTCTACTATTATTTGTAAATGACTCAACTTAATCAACCATGAATTTTCTCACTGAAAAATTCCCAATTGTTAAAGTGTCTTAAAGAGCTTGAAGTACCAGACCCTAGAAAAGCTGTGTATGTTTGTGTATATATATATGTGTGTGATTTTTAAATCTTGATTTTTAAGGCAAGCACCTGAGATAAGTCTTAGGCAATTTGAACTTAAAAAAAAGATATATGACATTATCAAATTTTCTTAAATCTATGGTGCGAATTAAAATTCTTATATACATATCTGATACTCACAGTCTTGCACTGAGGATAGTTTTAACCCTCTGGTTATTAAGAATTTTCCTTGATACTTTCCCAGGGGAAATTCCAAAGGCCATGTTGTCTGTAGTTTGAACCATTCCCCTGAAACGTAATTCTTTTTCCTAGCGAGTCCTGCCTCATTATTGCAAAACAGCGATCAACAACCCCTGCTCCCAAGTCTAAGGAAATAACATCTCTGTAAACATTTTCCTGACAGATGAAGCTGGACTGCTAGGTCATCCTCAGCCTAGGAGGATTCTAAAGAGAGTCCCTATCTAAGTTGGTACTTACTGGTCAACCAATTCCAATAAGCCTAGTCTAGGAAACCTGCAGAGAGCCCTACTTTAAGGAATGGTTAGGCTTGTGCTGTTACAGATGACATAAGCATGCCTTGCTAGAGGATCCAAATTTCCTTAGCTCTGGATGATTCCTGGACTATATCTCTTAGTCAACAAGAACAAGATTCCTCTTCTGGAATTTGGCCAATGAAATTTCAAAACAAAAAGAACCTAGAGGCTTTTTAAAGGCTTTAAATATTATAGCCTTCAGTAACTCTTGACTATTCTTTGTCTGATAGGGTAAATGGCAGAGACAAAGGTGGGTTGGTGGTATTATCTCAGTTGTTGAGGATTAACTGTTGATTCCCAGGATTATATGACTAGTATTTCTATCTTCCAGGCACTATTCAGGTCCATGGCAAGCAGGATCCAATTTTTGTTGACACCATGTATCTTTCTTCCTGCCCTCGTCCTCCCCTCAACACACACACTCACATTTACACAGTCCCTGTTCATGCCCATGTCATCTGCTCTGAAGACCTGAATACCAAGACTGATGACGTGTCACATAAAGGTACTTTCCTAAGGCCCCAGGAATGTATTTTCCTCAATGAAAAATTTCCTGCAAACTTCTTTTGGCATGAAAGCTGGCAATGCTAGATGGAAGATGAAGGGATAAATTGGAAGACAATGAATTGCCTTTCTACCCTGGAGGCCATTGGCATTTTCTTCTCTTTGCTTGTGATTCTGTTAGAAAATCATCTTATTCTTTTAATTTTAACCTTATGATGGTTGACGTAGTTTGGATATTTGTCCCCAACCAAATCTCATGTTGAATTGAAATCCCCAGTATTGGAGGTGGGATCTGGTGGGAGGCGATTGGATCACGGGGGTGAATTTCTCATGACTGGTTTAGCACTATCCCCTTGGTGCTGTCCTCATGATAGTGAGTTTTCATAAGATCTGGTCATTTAAAAGTGTGTGATCCCTCCCCCTCCCCCACCACTGCCCCTCGCCACTCCTGCTCTCACTATGTGATGTGCCTGCTCCCCCTTCACCTTCTGCCATGATTGTAAGCTTCCTGAGGCCTCCCCAGAAGCAGATGCTAGTGCTATGCTTCCTGTACAACCTGCAGAACCACCACGAGCCAATTAAACTCCTTTTCTTATAAATTACTCAGTCACAGGTATTTATTTATGGCAATGCAAGAATGGCCTACTAATACAAGGGTAATAGTCAGACCAGGGAGATTAACAGGCTGAGAAGAGTACAACATCCTAAGGGCCTTTGAAATGCTGCCTAGCATACCTCTAGGAAAGTTTTCTCTTCCCCATCTGTATCGAGAAACTACTCGTGACTGTGACTTTACTCTCTCTTGAACTCTGTCAGCATCAGTAGGGCTGACTCTCCTGGTGCCTGGTTTTACAAGGACTGCTGGTTAGCAAGTTTGTGCAGCAATATAGGAAAGAAAGCTGGCTAAGGCTACCCAGGGATTTCTAAATTTAAAGCTTACAAACTTATTGGCTCTCTCTCTCCACTCCCTCTAAATTCTTCAACTTTGTGGGAAAACTTGAGTTTAGCCCCAGAATTACTAATGTGGTCAACTGTGAGACATAATTGCACAGGGTGTGACTCTGGCATAGAACCTGGTAGATAACTTAGCAGTTTGCTTTTCCCTGGCTTATAAAGGATAGCAAGTTCCACAGATCTAGGGAGACCTTGTCAAGCTCATGCAGTTGACATCACAGTTCATTCTAGAACCATATCTTTTTGGTTTCTCCATTTTAAAATACAGTTTCATAAAAGGAGAATGGTTTTACGTGCATTCTTTTTTTCTTAAAAAACCTTATTCATGATATTGAAATACTTAAAAATTCTGCTTTAATAGACATAGTACCAAGAGGCCAATTCGTATGATGTTAAGTGTGAATTATATTCTGTAGGACATCACCTTAACTATGAAATATGTTGGCTTATGTTATTCCTTCTCTACTTTTGCTTCACATTACTAGTAATAGCTACAGTGTCAGAGGTAAAGTTGCCCATTAGTCATCTTTAAAACAGTAATCCATGAGGACTGGCCCATAATTTGGGTAGTGATGTAGCATCGCATCTATTAACCCCTTTAAGCTTCATCTTCCTTCAAGGCCATATGATATCACTATGAAGATGTGCCCACTAGTCCTGCAGTTTGACTGATCTTGAGAGGCAGGCAGAAGACATACATACCTAGGATGTAGTAGCATTGAGTCAAGCTCAACTGCCGATACCTGGATGACAACACAAACCTACACAGAGTTTGAGTCTATCTATTCCAACCTTTGCACAGGCCAGTCACACTGGAGACACTTGCTGTACGTTTGCTAAATCACATTGCACGTTACGAACCTGAATCAGTAAGGAGCAATGTCATACATTTGTTTAATGTAGCTGCTGCCTTGGCATCCATGTTTAGTCCTGACACAAGTTGTCTGAAACCTGAATGAGCTCTATGACCTTTGGCTCACAAGGAGGGAAGTTCAAACTTCCCCCCTTGTATGGTTGTTTGCAATTTGGCCCACTTGTTCCTTATCTCACTGACTCAAAAGCTGACATATCCCACAGCTACTGACCACAATAAAACCTAATGGTCAACAGCAGAATCATGTAAATATGTTTCCCCCTTCATGCACGTTTTCTTCAAACTAGCTAATCCACAATCCCCATGAGAGCCTGAGGGATAATGCCTATGGACCTTAGTATAGGCAGAATCTCACAGGTCCATAGGTTCTGTTTTGCTCCCTCTCTCTCTCAATCCTCTCTCACTTTCCCATCCACTGGTTATGTTCCCTGCTGCCTCTGGACTTCCCATCAGTCCTCCCCTGCACTCCCCACCACGTCACCCACCTGTCATTACCCCTTACCTATCTGGGACTTGTGAGTAACAAATTTCTTCCATTTCATGCATTTTCGTTTCACCTTCTCATTGTGTCTCACCTGACACACACACACCTGACCTAGTCAGGGGTATCCTACAGAATGGTGATTTTTCGCTTATGGCCACTCTCAAGAGAGACCTTGGAACCAAGTAAAATAAATGAAAGTGACAACATACAGTCAAATGTTGCTGAGTGTTTTCTGTTGCCAGAAGCATACAGTTATACCACATTTGGTACTTTACATAAAGATTCTAATTTTTTTCAAAGTTGTAATATAAACAGTTAAACACTTCTAGCTATGTGGGAAAATTCTCCTATTATAGAATGACTTCTTTCCTAATCAGTGAAGGCAACAAAGGTTTGCAATGAAGTGTCTTACCTTTCCTCCTCCCCCATCAATATCTTTAAATGTAAAATGCTTATAATACAAGGATAAATATGTTTCCCACCAGACTCGGAGTGGGTGGGGGAATTATGCCTCATTATAGGATATATTTTATGGGGGGAAAGTAAATTAGAGGCTTATATTAGGACGTGCCCAGGGGCACACCCATGGCAATGACCTTTAAAGAGCAGTATTAAGTTACGTGACAGCATAACCAGCAAGTGAATGATCTCACTATGAAAGGTCACCTGCAACTTGAACAATATTTCCTATTTTGGCACATAATCTGGTACCTTTTGACACATTTCTCTTCCTCAGGATATGATTTTTGTGAAATAGACCCAATGCATTTTCTCTGCTTTGTAATGAATGTGTCCAATTTGTGCTCATGGTAGTACAGATGCCTGTAAGCAGCCCTTGCTATTTTTGTTGTTTTTAATGCTAGATATTAAAAAGTGGCATTTGCATTACTCTAGGATATTTTGAGATGTCACAGAATTTTAGATTGTTTGGAATCGAAAGGGACCTCTAAAACAACACCTCAGTCTAACTCAATCCTTTTACAAATGAAGACACAAAGCTGGATAGGAATGAAGATACTTTGCCTGAGGTTATACAGCAAAGAAAGAGTAGAATTCCACTTCCCTATTCCCTAGCCTGCTCCAGTTTCCACCCTAATACAAGCTCTACACGTTTGTCAGCAAACATTTAGAAGAGGGGATTAGCAGTACCCTATGTTGAAATTCCTGTGAAATTCCTTAATTGGGTGTCTCTCTTCAATAGTCCCACTGTCTCCTATCTTCTTTCTACATTGTCACTTTCTCAATGGATTCCCAAGAACCTAACTTTGTTCCCCATGCAGATGTCATGAGGCATGTCTGGCAGGTCACTGCTTTTGTGTCTAATCTGATTGCATGACTTTATGCTCAGAGTCTTCACTCATTGTTCTAATGTGTTGGACCACGAGCATAGCTTATCAAATCTCCTATCCTGGATGATCATTGATGCTTCTCAATCTTCTGTTTTGTGATGGAATTTTATCCATACTATTGGAAAGGAGGAAGAAACTGTGCAAGCTGTCAAGTGGCTCTGCTCTTGGTCAAAGATCCTAAGTTAAACAGAAAGGCTATTATCAAGCTGGTTTAGATCTTGCTTGCCATTTTCCTCATCGGAGATGAAAAAATTGATGAATCTTATGCCTCCTTTAATGTGTAGTTTAAAATACTGTTTTTACATAATCATCATGATTTTCCTACAGAAATCAATTTACCGAAGTTCAAGAAAAGCACATCAGTCATCGAATGGCTATTCAGATAATGTTCAATAGGCAAACCCATTCCCTTTCCATCAGTCAGCAGACTCTGCCTGAGTGTTTACCATGAACACCAAAGTGAAGGGAAAATACTCTCTGTGGCTACCCAGCCATTTGTAAGTTCAGCTGGTGCAGGTGTGGTGTGCCTCATTTCCTCTAAGATTGAGCAACACCTTATTTTCATTCCCCTCCCCCAACACACACACACACACACACACACACACACACACACACACACACACACACAATTCTGTAAGACCTGACACAGCTCTATTTTCAGTTCAAGGAGAGAGGGTAAGAGTTGGGAAGACAATAATTTTAGTATTTAGTATTTGCTTGAGTTAAAGTATTACCATTCACAGTGTTTGCTAGGAAAAGTAGAATACCCTTTGATGACTGCTGATGACGTAACTGCACACCACTTTGTGGGGTATCTGAGTACATTAAGTCCGCTGACACTCCTGGGTCCTCCAAGCCATGGTTGAGCCTACTAGTTTGTGAGTCAGGTTCAACATGATCAGCTGGAACCCCCTGGCTTTCCCTCTCAGGATACCCTAGGACCCAGCTCTCTGAAAAGTCCCCTCTACCCTGACATATTTTGTTGCAGGTCTTTGCTCTTGTCTATTTAATGCCTTTGTACTTCAGTTTGTTTACTTACAAAATAGGAATAATGCTTGTCTTATCTGGTTCCACAAATATGCTATATATAATGATAAAACAAGGAAACAGAAAAGTGCTTTTAGCATTCCAGAAGAAAGGGACTAATTTAATGCTATTATACAAGAAAATATTACATCACGACATTTCTCTACCTCTTTATATGAAATAGAAATGAAAGATAGATGTGGAAGATTTCTGTGAAAAACATTTAGAACTCAGGCAAAGTACTGCTTTAAGTATTTCATTCAAAAGTGCCAAGAAAAATACTATGCTTATTGAACTGTATATTTCTATGCAATATATCACTACAGCATTGCATATTTTTGATATGCAAATTTCTATGAAACCAAAGATGTTTCAAACATCCTCCTCTGATTGCCACAGGCTTTTGTATAATACAGATAAATACATAATAAAATTGTAATTCAAAGAAGAATGTTCTTATCAAAATGAACAGACTGGCAGCATGTTTCCTTGCTCTGCAGCACAACAAAAATTTTTATGAAATTCTGTAAGTTAAATATGAATTTATTGATTTTTGCCACTTCTTGTTCAGAAATATATTGTATCAAAGAGAGAAATGCATTCGTCAATGTGACTTAAACAGCCCAATTATTAATTTCTAGAATGTCCATCTTGAAACCCAACTATGATACAGGAGGTAACTAGACAATTACCCTTAAGGACAGGATTGTCAGGCAAAGCTGGACTTAGGTTCTGCAAAAGAGAAGACAGAGATTATACTTCTAGTAAACAATTTTGAAAAATGAGGGCATTTTAATATAAATGCAAGATATATGTGCTTTAATATGTTTGAAGGAGAGAGCTGAATAAGGATGGGATATTATTTTATTTGAGAAATAAGAGAATGATCACATCCTATTTTTATCATAACCAACCCAGAGTTACATCCTCTGCATCATTTTCACCCCCACACATTTTTAAAGGGTAAGAAAAAATAGATTATTTATGATTATTATACTTTATCTCACAAAGAAAACTCTTTTGCACCAGGAAAGTCAAAACTTTTCTCCAAAAGCCTCTATTTGGAATGTTCTTCTGTCATTCTTGTAGCAATGGGAGGCAATACGACCTCAGTTCAGAGATTCTTTAAGAAAACTGGTAACTCCTGTGATGGTTAACATTAGCTGTCAACTTGACTGGATTGAGGATGCCTAGAGGGCTGGAATTGTTTCTGGGTGTGTCTGTGAGGGTGTTTCTGGAGGAGACTGACATGTGAGTCAGTGGACTGAGAGAGGAAGACCTGCCCTCAGCGTGGGCGAGCACCATCCAATCGGCTGCAGGCACAGCTAGAACAAAGCAGGTGGAAGAAGGAGGACATTCAGCTTTCTTTTCTTTTTTTGCTCACACTCTCTTTCTCTCTTTTGTAGCAGTGTACCCTTTCCTCTTCCTGCCTTTGCACATCAGACTCCAGGGTCTTTGGCCTTCGGACTCTGGGACTTGCACCAGTGGCCTCTCAGGGGCTCTCAGGCCTCTGGCCTACATTGTCAGCTTCTCTAGTTTTGAGGCTTTCAGAATTGGACCAAGTCATGCCACTGCCTGCCCTAGGAGCCATGCTACCAACTTCTCTAAAAGCCATGCTTCTATCATTCTCCAGCTTATAGATGGACTATCCTGGTACTTTTTCATCCTCTGAGCCAATTCTCCCTAATAAATTCCCTTTCTTTATATATTATAGAAACGTGTGTCAGGAAACCAATATGTTTCCTATTGGTTCTGTCTCTCTGGAGAGACTGACTGAAAATCGGTATGAGGAGTGGCTATAAAGACACTTGAAAATGTGGAAGTGGCTTTGGAACTGGGTAACAGGCAAAGGTTGGAAGAGTTTCAGGACTCAGAAGAAGACAGAAAGATGAAGGAAAGTTTGGAACTTCTTAGAGACTAGTTAAGTGTTGTAACCAAAATGCTGATAGAAATACAGATAGGAAAGGCCATGCAGAGGAGGTATCAGATGGAAATGAGGAACTTATTGGGAACTGGAGCAAAGGTTGCTCTTACTAGGCATAGCAAAGTACTTGGCTGCCTTGTGTCCATGCACTAGAGTTTCGTGGATGGCTGAACTTAAGAGGGATAATCTAGGGTATATGATAGGAGACATTTCTAAGCAGCAAAAGGTCTATGACATTTAGTGGACAGATGCCAGGGATGCTGCACAATCTACAGTGTGTAGGAGAGTGCCATACAATAAAGGATTTTTCCTCACATACATTTTAAATGCTGTACCAGACATTTATGTAGGTGAAAACTGGTTTGTAACTAACTTAACCCAGAATCAAACTATTTCAAACATAAATTACTTTTGGCTAAGTTTTCAGCTACACTAAATTTTCTAGGAATTTAAGTACTGTGTGTATCAAAGGAGAGCTGTACTTTCCCCCCCAATGTTACCAAGATTTGTTCACCAATTCAGAAAATCCCATCAACAGTGATAATCCAGTAGCAGAATATAAGTTGCCAACATAACCCAACTGCATCAGTCTGCATTTGTAGATGTCATTCTACATACAAGTGTGACCATCTGACATAATTATGCCCACCAGTGATGCCATGTCTAAGCATTACAGATTGCAATGCATATTATTTTATTATAATTTTTCCTTTTATTTCTTCATTTTGGTAAGTTTTAGTTTGGTTTTTAAAAATATATGCATGTTAGTTATATCATTTATGAATTACATTTCAAGGTGAGAAAGATAAAATTAGAAAATATTTATATTAAAACGGGGTGTTAGGTGTGATAGGGTTGAGACCCACTGGTGTAAATAAAATAGTGCATCAGGAGATTTGGTTTCCTGCTGTCTTGGCCAACCATTATGTGGCCTTAGAGAAGTGATGTTATTTCCCTGTGTCCACTCAATGGAAATGATTGGCTGAACTATGTCTCTTACAGCACCTTCTAATTTTAAATCTTGACTACCTGACTTTGACACCAGTTTAGGTTTGGGAATATTTAAACCCATTAAAAAAGTGAAGACAACTGAACTTACTGGGCAAAGTAAGTATTTTGGAACCAGGACAGTGTGGTTCTTTGTGACACATATGTTGAATGCATTTGAGTGACTGCTCTAGTTAAAAGACTACCATGAAAAACAATCCTCAGCAAATGCAAAAGAACCAAAATCACCACAAATGTACTCTTGGACCAATAAAAATAGAAGTCAAGACTAAAAAAAAAACACTCAAAACCACATAATTATATGGAAATTAAACAACATGCTCCTGAATGACTTTTGGGTAAATAATGAAATTAAGGCAAAAATCAAGCAGTTATTTGAAACCAATGAGAACAAAGATACAACATACCAGAATTTCTGGGACACAGCTAAGGCAGTGTTAAGAGGGAAATTCATAGCACTAAATGCCCACATCAAAAAGTTAGAAAGATCTAAAATTAACAACCTAACATCACAACTGAAAGAATTAGAGAAGCAAGAGGAAACCAAGCCCAATGCTAGCAGAAAACAAGAAATAACCAAAATCAGAGCTGAAATGAAGGAAACTGAGATACGAAAAACCATTCAACATATCAATGAATCCAGGAGTTGGTTGTTCAAAAAAATAGTAAGATAGGCCACCAGCTAGACTAATAAAGAAGAAAAGAGAGAAGAACCAAATAAATACAAATAGAAATGACAAAGAAGATGTTACCACGGATGCCACAGAAATAAAAATAACTATCAAAAAGTATTACAAACACCTGTATGTGAAAAAACTAGAAAACCTAGAAGAGGTGGATAAATCCCTGGAGACATTCATCCTGCCAAGACTGAACCAGGAGGAAATTGATTCCCTGAACAGACCAATAATGAGCTCTGTAATTGAATCAGTAATAACTAGCCTACCAACTAAAAACCAAAAAAGCCCAAGATCAGATGGATTCACAGTGGAATTCTACCAGATGTACAAAGAAGCGCTGGTACCATTAATACTGAAACTATTTCCCAAAACTGAGGACTCCTCCCCAACTCATTCTATGAGTCCAGCATCATCCTGATTCAAAAACCTGGCAGAGACACAACCAAAAAAAGAACACATCAGGCCAATATCCTTGATGAACATTGATGCAAAACTCCCCAACAAAATACTTGTAAATTGAATCCAGCAGCACATCAAAAAGTTTATCCACCACGATCAAGTAGGCTTCATCCCTGGGATGCAAGTTTGGTTTAACACGCACAAATTAATAAATGTGATTCATCACATAAAGAGAACTAAAGACAAAAACCACACAATTATGTCAATAGATACAGAAAAGGCTTTAGATAAAATCTAACATTTCTTCATGTTAAAAATTCTCAGTAAACTAGATATTGAAGGAACATACCTCAAAATAATAACAGTCATCTATGACAGACCTACCACCAACATCATACTGAATGAGGAAAAGCTGTAAGCATTCCCCTTGCAAACTGGCGCAAGACCAGGGTGCCCTCTCTCATCACTCCCATTCTACATTGCATTGGAAATCCTAGCCAGAGCAATCAGGAAAGAGAAAGAAATACAGGCATCCAAGTAGGAAGAAAGGATGTCAAACTATCCCTGTCTGCAGATATCTACGTGATTCAATATCTAGAAAACCCCATAGTCTCAGCTCAAAAGCTCCCTCAGCTAATAAACAGTTTCAGCAGAGTTTCAGTATACAAACTCACTGTGCAAAAATCGTGAACGTTTCTACACACCAACAACAGCCAAGCCAAGAGCCAAATCAGGAACACAATCTCATTTACAATTGCCTCAGAAAGAATAAAATATCTAGGAATACAGCTAACCAGAGAAGTGAAAGATCTCTACAATGAGAATTACAAAACACTGCTCAAAGAAATCAGAACTGATACAAACAAATGGAAAAACATTCCATGCCTATGGGTAGGAAGAATTAATATCATTAAAATGGCCATAATGGCCAAAGCAATTTACGGATTCAATGCTATTCCCATCAAACTACCAATGACATTCTTCACAGAACTAGAAAAAACTATTTTAAAATTCATATGGAACAAAAAAAAGCCCGAATAACCAAGGCAATATTAAACAAAAAGAACAAAGCTTGAAGCATTACTTTACCCAACTTCCAACTATACTACAGGACTGCAGTAACCAAAACAGCTTGGTACTGATACAAAAACAGACACATAGACCATGGAACAGAATAGAGGACCCAGAAATAAGGTCGCCTATGACCATCTGATCTTCGACAAAGCTGACAAAAACAAGCAATGGCTACAGCACTGTTCAATAAATGGTGCTGAAATAACTGGCTAGCCATACGCAGAAGATTGAAACTGGATCCCTTCCTTACACCATATAAAAAAATCAACTCAAGATGGATTAAAGACTTAAATGTAAAATCCAAACTATAAAAACCTGGAAGACAACCTAGGCAATACCATCTTGGACATAGGAATGGGCAAAGATTTCATGAAGAAGACACCAAAAGCAATTGCAACAAAAGCAAACATTGGCAAATGGGATCTAATTAAACTTAAAAGCTTCTGCACAGCAGAAGAAACTATCAACAGAATAAACAGACAATCCAAAGAAGGGGAGAACATATTTTCAAACCATACATCTGACAAAAGTCTAATATCCAGCATCTATAAGGAACTTAAAAATTTACAAGAAAAAAAAACATTAAAAAGTGAGCCAAGGACATGAACAGACACTTTTCCAAAGAAGACACACGTGTCCAACAAGCATATGAGAAAAAGCTCAATATTATGGATCATTAGAAAAATGCAAATCAAAACCACAAGGAGATGCCATCTCACACCAGTCAGAATGGCTATTATTAAAAAATAAAAAAATAACAGATGCTGGTGAGGTTGCAGAGAAGAGAATTCTTATACACCGTCAACAGGAGTGTAAATTAGCTCAACCATTGTGGAAAGCAGTGTGACAATTCTTCAGTGAGCTAAAAACAGAGCTACCACTTGAACCAGTAATCCCAATACTGGGTACAAAGTCAGAGGCATATAAATCATTGTACTATAAAGATACATGCACATGAATGTTGATTGCAGTACTATTCACAATAGCAAAAACATGGAATCAACCTAAGTGCCCATCAACGACAGATTGGATGAAGACAATGTGGTACATATATACCATGGAATACTATGCAGCCATAAAAAAGAACAAGATCATGTTTTTTGCAGGAAGATGGATGGGCTGGAGGCCATTATCCTTAGCAAATTAATGGAGGAACAAAACCCAAATACTGCATTTTCTTACTTCATAAGTGGGAGCTAAATGATGAGATGTTTCTAGTGAACACAAAGAAGGGAACAACAAACACTGGGGCCTACTTGAGGGTGGAGGGTGGGAGGAGGAAGAGAGCAGAAAACGCAACCACTGGGTACTAGGCTTAGTATCAGGGTGATGAAATAATTTGTACAACAAACCCACACAAGTTTACCTATATAACAAACCTGCACATGTACTCCTGAATCTTAAAAAAAAAAAAAAAAAAAAAGAATTCTCAGTCAGAATCCTGTGGAGGAATAATAGTTGAACATATACATTCTTTGAACATCTTTCAAACATTGACTGTCCCTTAATATTATGTAACTATTAAAATTTCAGAAGAGAATTTCAAAAACATAGGGAATACTAATAGATTAGACAACAACCAGGATACTAGAACTCCTGAATTAAAAAAAAAAAATTCTATTCTTAATTTTCCATAGTTCCTATAACAAGTGTTTATTACTTATTTAGGAAAAGCCAACTTAGTTTGAGCTGCTGTAACAGAATGCCATAGACTGGTGGCTTAAACAACAGAAATGTATTTCTCACAGTTCTGGAGGCTAGAAGTCCAAGATCAAGGTGCTGGCTGACTCAGTTCCCGGGAAGGATCCTCTTTTTAACTTGCAGTTGGATTTCTTCTTGCTGTATCCTCACATGGTGAAGACACAGAGAGAGAGTGAGCAAGTTCTCTCATGTCTTTTGATAAGGGCACTAATCCTATTCATAAGGGCTCCACCCTCGTGACCTAATTACATACCAAAGGCCCCATCTCCTAATACCAACACATTGGGGGTTAGAATTTCAATATATGAATTTTGCAGGAACATAAGCATTCAGTACATACCACTAACTTTATTCCCTGCCAAGTGGTATTTAATCAAAAAGTTTTATTTCAAAAATTTTTTGTTTAGAAATGTTTCATGCCTGAGTAAATACAAGACATTAAACTTAGCCTCTCTTAATGGTTAGTCAATCACAATGCCTCAAGGTCACAATTTCAAATTTTACATATCATCAAGAATTAAAGATCTGAAAGAAATAGGAGATGGGGTTGAAAGTATTTGCCCCAGCTCTAGTTTCTGAAGTTGATTTTATTTATTTATTTATTTATTTATTTATTTATTTATTTATAACAAAATTAAAACACCTATCCTCACAAGATCTATTTTAGTTTTGTTTGGTTATTTATATATATAATTTATGAATTTTGTTTTATTTTAGTTTTGTTTGGTTTATTTATATATTAGTTTTGTGGATTTGTTTTAGTTTTGTTCGGTTTATTTATATATTGAACTTTCCTACTTCCTATGACTAGTAAATGCTAGAAAAAATAAGCTAGTTCAAGTTAATAAAGGATTTAGTTGACCATCTTCATATGCCAACTTAGATTTAAAATTTAAAATTTTCAGATCAGGCTTATGTTCTGAAAAGCACATGGCACACACATGATTACAGGCCATAAATGTCAAATAATAGTAATATGAAGACTCTTTATAACTTGGTTAAATTACATTAAATTAAAATTTTATCTTCAGTGCACCCTATAAGCCTACTCATTACTGTTGAATTGAAAATGTAGTTCAGTTACATTGTAGATTCTCTTACACTGTAGATTCTCTTAGGTGTAAACCAAAGAGGCTACAGTGTTCCCCCTGCTAAACTAGTGTTTGTTATGATCAGTTTTAGTGAGAGTGAGTGCCCTAAGGTTCACCTCTCAGCATAAGGCTGAGTGAGCAAACTCTTTTCCCCCCATTGGCAAGGTCCCACTTCCCCACCCCATCCCCATATATACCAAAATTGCCATGAGTGCAGGAAGTAACCAAATAACACAGGTATATGGGGAAGGGAAGCGGGCAGCCATTGAACCTTTGACTCACCCCACTGGCAAGGAGCACAGATACCTCTTCTGCATCTCTGTTTTAGGTACCTAGCCAGTTCCTTAACCATTGAATAGAGAAGATTCAGTCAAACCTGACCATCTTCCAGGTTCCTGCTAGCAAAGAAAGACTTGTGCAAGATGGGGTGTCTAGGCCTATATATGCCCAGCACCTTTGCTGGTGACAGCTGCCCCTTCCTGGGATGGGCATCCTTGAGGATTCTCCAGCCCCTCCCATCAGGGGCCCAGGTGTCATCTATACAGTGTAAACCTAGAGATTTACTTTGAGCTATCAGACTTCAAGTACAATTCTGGAACCACATCGTGTACTGAAATAGAATACTACTATATAACTGGTTCTGTGAAAGCATCTTGACTAGTAATTAGCTCTACATCCAGGGTAGGTTTCTGAACCTCCCTCAACCAGTTTTCTCACCTGTAGAACATAATTAACATCTGCCTTAATTTACTGCTTTAAGACCAAAATCTAAACCGAAAGCACTTTGTAAATTGTGAAGTGCTAAATTAATGTCAAGTTATAGCATTAAAAAAATTCATCTAAGTGCACAGGACAACAGGACCTTGGCACATTCTCATTGATTCATTCAATATAATGGTGATAATTATTGGTCTTTTTATTGACAAGCCCATCATTGCCTAAAACTGATTGGCAATGATGTGGCATATATACATAGAAATAACTAAGCTCATGCTAAAATTCATGGACACACAAGTACATTGCTAAAGATGATTCATTCAGCATATCAAATACAGAATTAGAAATGCACTATATTCAGATTTGCACTTGTTATAAACCCGCATTCTGGAGCTCCCTATTCGATCCAGTTTGTTTAACTTCACATGTTGTTTTCCTTTAGTTTCAACACCGGTGGGCCCCATAAAAAACGTTTGAGACAGACGGTAACCCCATTTGCTTCTCTATTGGTTTGTTTGCATGTTGGAATTTTTTTTTATCATCGTTACTCTGTGATTTAACAGTAGGTGGCTAATGGAAATGTTATTCGCGGCAGTGGCAGACTAAATCAGTGGGAAGTGAGGGGGTGCAGGGGCAGAGTTGGGGGAAGGAAAGAAATGTGTTTACACTTGAAGATGTCACATGAAACAGCTGGAGTCCTGAGCCCTTGATGCTGGAACTGGCATTTTCTTTAAAGAACTCATCTCCATTATTACACACTCCTTCACACTTAGAAATCTATTAATTTACAATTAGTTGTATTGATTTTTTAGTAGATTTGTAATTTCTGTAATAATTTACAGAGTAATACTGAAGAAATTAACTACACCCCTTGGAAAGATAAGCATTACTGAAAAAATAGATCCCAGCACGAGTTATTGAACACATCATCGAATGTCTGGATTTTTAGCTTTAAATTCTAAATTAATTACAGCAGAACTGATTGGGGAATGCCACTTTACTATCCAAGAAATATCCCTCCTCACCTTATCTGCACTCATGCTTATAATATTTTAGTAAGGATTCTAACCTGGAGATACATGTAAGAATATATTCTTTTTGATTTTTAGCGTAGAGGGGCAGAGCCACCTTAAGATTTAAAACAAGAGAAATTTTTCCTAACAACCCACATACACCCGGAACTGTATTTTTCCCCACATTACGAGGTGTAACAATAATATTAGTCAGAAGAGCATGCAAATGCTTTTAACTGCTTTAAATTATTAAGTTCCCTTCAAAGTTCTAGTGAGTACTAGAATGTACCAGATATTGTCAGATCTGCTAATAAGCAGTGGAAATCGGTTTGCTCACGGCATGGAGAGGGTTAAGTGTAGTGAGGGAAGCAGCAAGATGAAGAGACAATGTTGGCACAGTGTCCCGAGTGCCATGACAGAGACACACACGGGCCCTGGGGACTCAGAGCGGGACCTCAATCAAGTCAGGAGAATGGGTATACTGGGGAAGTGACCTAGGAGAAAGTGATTCTGTATCTAAAGCAAAAAAGAATTGAGTTGTTATGATGCTTGTAAGATCAAATGCAACTGAGTTTTTAAATTGTGTTTTCCATCGTGTGTTCCAGTATCATTTCAGGATAATTTCTGACCATTATATAAAATACTTCTATCCTTTGCTTGTGTTGTTTAACTTTGTATTGTTTTTCCCATAATGAAGTATTTTTCAAAATGATTCTCCCTTGAACAGTAAATGGTTATATGGAAATACTATTCTCTGTTCTGAGATGAATACATCTGAGGTCTCAGTTCACTTTAGGTCAAAATATGACAGCACCATGGGCAACAGGCCAGGGGGTGCTGGGCTCTGGCTTAAGAAATGTCAGCTGGGTGGTTGCCCTCCAAAACAGAATCACCTCGATCCAACACTACCACCTCCCAATGCACGGAGGTTTGGGATAAAGCAGGATTAACATCTGCAGCTTACACACAATTATTGTGTGGTCTTGGAAAAGTCCCCTGAGTCCATTCAATGGAAAATGATGGACTTAACTAGATAGACCTCTATTAGTACCTTCCAGTTTTAAACCTTAACTCCATGAGTTGACACTAGTGTAGTCATGAGACTATTTAACCCTTTCAAGAAGTGAAAACTGCTGCACTAGCTGTGAGGGCTGTGGTGGCGGCACTAATCTCTCATAGACTCCTACACAACAACTATTCTAATACGAACATGTTTCCTTGGCTCTCCTTTGGTAAGACTTACCTGTTTCTTCTTCTTCTGGTTTTGAAGTGTGTGTGTGTGTGTGTGTGTGTGTGTGTGTGTGTGTGTTTTATACTCTCTCTTTTGTTTTAAGAAAGTGTTCTCTGGTATTGTGACTGAATGAATTTTATAGACAACCACAGTCAGTGGTTTTCCCGTTTGACTGTAATTTCTTGCTAGCCTGTCTTTTCTCAACTCTCAGTTCCGTGAGGACACTGGCTATTCAGCAGTATCTTATTCTGGACCAATGTCTGGTTCAGAATAGTTGCTTCAATAATAATGTGATTAAGGAATGAATTAAAGAAATATTGAAATGTCTAAGGGCCTGAATTCAGGCAAGTTAGGTTTGAGATTTTTAAGAATGTTTTGTGTTTTCCTCTATTTGTAAAATAATTGTAACAGAGGTGAAAACACAGTGGATATCATAGCTATGGGTAATCAAAGAAGCATTTTAGTTCTAGAGAATTTTGTCCTATTTTATGTCATTATCTAACATGTTACTCACCACCTACAGTGTTTTCGTATTGTTCCTGAAAAATAATTCCATTCAGAAACTCAAACTGAACACCATTGCCTGAACAGTAATGCCATGAAGCTAACTAGGCTTCTGAACCAAGTGTTCTTTGCTTATCATCCTTATTATTACCAGCATCAACTCCTTGGATGGATGGCTCCAGATGATTATTTTTTAAAAATTGAAGAAAATAGCTTGAGGTTTACAGTCTACAATTATTTGGTGTTAAATAGTGTATTAGTCAGTGTTCTGTAGAGAGACAGAATAGGATAGATGTATATTTGAAGGGGAGTTTATTAAGGAGTACTGACTCACACGATCACAAAGTGAAGTCCTACAATAGGCCATCTGCAAGCTGAGGAGCAAGGAAGCCAGTCCAAGTCCCAAAACCTCAAAAGTAGGGAAGCTGACAGTGCAGCCTTCAGTCTGTGGCTAAAGGTCCAAGAACCCCTGGCAAACCACTGGTGTAAGTCCAAGAGTCCAAAAGCTATAGAACTTTGAGTCTGATGTTTGAGAACAGGAAGCATCCAGCACGGGAAAAAGATGAAGTCCAGAAGACTCAGCAAGTCAAGTCCTTCCACGCTCTTCTGCCTGCTTTATTCTAGCAGTGCTGGCAGCTGATGAGATGGTGCCCACCCAGACTGAAGGTGGGTCTGCCTTTTCCAGTCCACTGACTCAAATGTTAATCTCCTTTGGCAACACCCTCACAGACACACACAGGAACAATACTTTCCATCCTTCAATCCAATCAAGTTGATGCTCAATGGTAACCATCACAAACAGTTTGGCTAAAATGATTTTTAAGGTCAGTCAAAGGGATGTTGAACATTAAATCAAATCACAAGCACAGTGGTTGGTATAAAAGGGATTTAGTAAAAACCATGTATAATACTAAAATAAGCACTGGACAGGAGGCACTGAATTCTCAGTGTCTTTATGACGTTCACTAACTGTGAGTCCTTATGAGGTCACGTTGCTTCCCTGGCCTCAAAGGAGGACAGATGTGATAATCTCTTAAATTTTCTCCAGCTATAAAGTTTTATGATTTTACATCCCTTGAATGATACTCATGAAGACAAGGAAGAAGAGAAAAGAAACATGAACCAACTTTAAAAGTCAAGACAAAACTCAAGTTCAAAAATGGGAATTGGTATTCCACATGTCTTCAGACAATCAGTCAATATGGTCAGGCCTTCCAAAGGAAAAGTATTGTGGTTTTTTCCTCCCCAAAGAGCTTAAAGCAGGTATTTAACATGAAAGAGTGGCAACACATGAATATTCTGAATGCTAATGCCAATGAATCTTTGCCATGTTTCAGGGTCATAAATCTCATTCTCCTTGATCATCATAAATCAGTGGGGCCTGTTGATGCTTACTGTCTTATGGTGTTTGTTTCTGCCAGGCCCCAAAGAATTTAACTGCTAGCGCATGGTTTCTCATTTCAAATATTAAAAAAACATGACGGCCCCCAAGTTATAACTCACTTTCTCCAAGAACAAGTGAACCTCACCATGACAAAAAGATTTCTGTGATGAACATGGTGGTAGCCTGGTTCCCCCATGTGAAGTCTCTAGATTTTTGATGGGGCAGAGGCTTGGCTCACACATTACCAATTCGTAACACGTGGCTTCTTAAAGTGCTATGCCTTTTTTCAACCATCTCCTTGACCAATGAGACAATTAGTGACAAGCGTGTAAACTACGCCATTTGCCAAGGGACAGATAAGGCATCCAAACTAAGTTACTCCCCATCCCTAGATTGGATTGTCCTCCTTATTTCAGCTCAATTCTGGGCCCACAATATGTTAGCCATCTGGAGTTAGAAAATGCAATTCTTGTGACTCATGCCTGTAATTCCAGCACTTTGGGAGGCCAAGGCAGGCAGATCACGAGGTCAGGAGATTGAGACCATCCTGGCTAACACGGTGAAACCCTGTCTCTACTAAAAATACAAAAAAATTAGCTGAGTGTGGTGGCACGTGCCTGTAGTCCCAGCTACTCAGGACTCGGGAGGCTGAGGCAGGAGAACTGCTTGAACCCAGGAGGCAGAGGTTGCAGTGAGCCGAGATCACGCCACTGCATTTCAGCCTGGGCAACAGAGCGAGACTCTGTCTCAAAAAAAAAAAAAAAAAAAAAAAAAAAGAATGCTTGTGATTTTTGCACATTGATTTTGTATCCTGAGTCTTCCCTGAAGTTGCTTATCAGCTTAAGGAGATTTTGGGCTGAAACAATGGGGTTTTCTAAATATACAATCATGTCATCTGCAAACAGGGACGATTTGACTTCCTCTTTTCCTAATTAAATACACTTTATTTCTTTCTCCTGCCTGATTGCCCTGGCCAGAACTTCCAACACTATGTTGAATAGGAGTGGTGAGAGAGGGCATCCCTCTCTTGTGCCAGTTTTCAAAGGGAATGCTTCCAGTTTTTGCCCATTCACAAGTATTCTTATACACCAATAACAGACAAACACAGAGCCAAACAATGAGTGAACTCCCACTCACAACTGCTTCGAAGAGAATAAAATACCTAGGAATCCAGCTTACAAGGGATGTGAAGGACCTCTTCAAGCAGAACTACAAACCACTGCTCAATGAAATAAAAGAGGATACAAACAAATGGAAGAACATTCCATGCTCATGGTTAGGAAGAATCAATATCATGAAAATGGTCATACTGTCCAAGGCAATTTATAGATTGATTCAATGCCATCCCCATCAAGCTATCAATGACTTTCTTCAAAGAATTGGAAAAAAACTACTTTAAAGTTCATATGGAACCAAAAAAGAGCCCTCATCGCCAAGACAATCCTAAGCAAAAAGAACAAAGCTGGAGGCATCACGCTACCTGACTTCAAACTATACTACAAGGCTACAGTAACCAAAACAGCATGGTACTGGTACCCAAACAGAGCGATAGACCAATGGAACAGAACAGAGCCCTCAGAAATAATACCACACATCTACAACCATCTGATCTTTGACAAACCCGACAAAAACAAGAAATGGGGAAAGGATTCCCTATTTAATAAACGGTGCTGGGAAAACTGGCTAGCCATATGTAGAAAGCTGAAAGTGGATCCCTTCCTTACACCTTATACAAAAGTTAATTCAAGATGGACTAAAGACTTAAATGTCAGACCTAAAACCATAAAAACCCTAGAAGAAAACCTAGGCAATACCATTCAGGACATAGGCATGGGCAAGGTCTTCATGTCTAAAACACCAAAAGCAATGGCAACAAAAGACAAAATTGACAAATGGGATCTAATTAAACTAAAGAGCTTCTGCACAGCAAAAGAAACTACCATCAGAGTGAACAGGCAACCTACAAAGTGGGAGAAAATTTTCGCAACCTACTTATCTGACAAAGGGCTAATATCCAGAATCTACAGTGAACTCCAACAAATTTACAAGAAAAAAACAAACAACCCCATCAAAAAGTGGGCGAAGGACATGAACAGACACTTCTCAAAAGAAGACATTTATGCAGCCAAAAAACACATGAAAAAATGCTCACCATCACTGGCCATCAGAGAAATGCAAATCAAAACCACAATGAGATACCATCTCACACCTGTTAGAATGGCAATCATTAAAAAGTCAGGAAACAACAGGTGCTGGAGAGGATGTGGAAAAATAGGAACACTTTTACACTGTTGGTGGGACTGTAAACTAGTTCAACCATTGTGGAAGACAGTGTGGCGATTCCTCAAGGATCTAGAACTAGAAATACCATTTGACCCAGCCATCCCATTACTGGGTATATACCCAAAGGACTATAAATCATGCTGCTATAAAGACACATGCACATGTATGTTTATTGTGGCACTATTCACAATAGCAAAGACTTGGAACCAACCCAAATGTCCAACAATGATAGACTAGATTAAGAAAATGTGGCACATATACACCATGGAATACTACGCAGCCATAAAAAATGATGAGTTCATGTCCTTTGTAGGGACATGGATGAAATTGGAAATCATCATTCTCAGTAAACTATTGCAAGAACAAAAAACCAAACACCGTATATTCTCACTCATAGGTGGGAATTGAACAATGAGAACACATCGACACAGGAAGGGTAACATCACACTCTGGGGACTGTAGTGGGGTGGGGGGAGGGAGGAGGGATAGCTTTAGGAGATATACCTAATGCTAAATGACGAGTTAATGGGTGCAGCACACCAGCATGGCACCTGCATACATATGTAACTAACCTGCACATTGTACACATGTACCCTAAAACTTAAAGTATAATAATAATAAAATTTTAAAAAAGACATTTATGCAGCCAACAGACATATGAAAAAATACTCATCATCACTGGCCACCAGAGAAATGCAAATCAAAACCACAATGAGATACCATCTCACACCTGTTAGAATGGCGATCATTAAAAAGTCAGGAAACAACAGGTGCTGGAGAGGATGTGGAAAAATAGGAACACTTTTACACTGTTGGTGGGACTGTAAACTAGTTCAACCATTGTGGAAGACAGTGTGGCGATTCCTCAAGGATCTAGAACTAGAAATACCATTTGACCCAGCCATCCCATTACTGGGTATATACCCAAAGGATTATAAATCATGCTGCTATAAAGACACATGCACATGTATGTTTATTGCGGCACTATTCACAATAGCAAAGACTTGGAACCAACCCAAATGTCCAACAATAATAGACTGGATTAAGAAAATGTGGCACCTATACACCATGGAATACTATGCAGCCATAAAAAATGATGAGTTCATGTCCTTTGTAGGGACATGGATGAAGCTGGAAACCATCATTCTCAGCAAACTCTCAGAAGGACAAAAAAACCAAACACCGCATGTTCTCACTCATAGGTGGGAATTGACGAGTGAGAACACTTGGACACAGGAAGGAGAACATCACACACCGGGGCCTGTTGTGGGGTGGGGGGAGGGGGGAGGGATAGCATTAGGAGATATACCTAATGTAAATAACGAGTTAATGGGTGAAGCACACCAACATGGCACATGTATACGTATGTAACAAACCTGCACATTGTGCACATGTACCCTAGAACTTGAAGTATAATAATAAACAAAAATTTGCAGAAAATGCAATTCTTTCCTCTTGGAGCTTTCAGACTACTTTGAAAAAAGAGAATCTTCACCAATAAAGCAGTTGATGTAACGATAACCTAAGTATGTTTAGATGTGAATGGAAAAGCTGTCATTTATTGAATGCATACTCTGTAGGGCCAGGCACTTTGCTAGTCACTTGATGCGCAATGGCTTATCCTCAAGAGAAGACAAGAAAGGTGATATTCTTGTTTCTCTAATGAGGAAACCAAAGATCAGAGAAATTAAGTAGACTCCTAGGTTACACAACTAGTAGATAGTGGACTAGTATTCAAACTCATTTGTCTTTTTAAAAAAATGTTTTAAATATTTTAATTGGACATAAGTTCAAATTTACAGAAAAATGGCAAAAACAAAGTCCACCTAACGTTGACTTCATTTGCTTTATTATTGCAGACTCTCTGTTTTTCTATAAATACAGAAATTATGTATCATTATGTACTCAGAACTATTGGAGGGTGTAACGTACATCTTACCCATTTCTCCTAGGTACTTCAGCATGTATTTCATGAGAATAGAGATGTTTTCTTACCTAACTACAGAAAAGCTATCAACTTCTGTGTATTTAACATTGACACAATACTTTTATCTAATCTACTGTCTGTATTCCAATTTCATCAATTGACTCAATAATGTCCTTTTCGGCATTTCTTTCCCCCATAGTACAGGACCTAGTCTAGGGTCAGATACTGAGATTAGTTCTCATGTCTCTTTAGTCTGCTTTGATCTGGAACAGATTCTCAGTATTTATTTTTTGCCTTTTATGATATGTAAATTTCTGAAAATGAAGACTTCCTGCTCCCTTTTTTATTTTAAAAAGTCCAGGATTTTGCATTTGTCTGATGTTTCGTCATGATTATCATTCTCATCCTGAATATTACAGGTGACATTATGTCTTTCTTATGATATTACATCTGAAGGCACAGGTCTCATTGATGGCAATAATTTTGATCACCTAGTCAAGGTGTGAAACTGATTACTCCACTATATAATTACTGTTTTTCCCCTTGCAAGTAAAAAGCAGTCACTGGAGAGATATTGTAAGTCAATGCAAACATATTCTGCACCAAAATTTTCCCCTACATTTAGCAATGCTTGATGATTTTTGCCTGATTCAACCTTCACTTTGATGGCTGCAAAAGGCTGACTCTCCAATTCAGCACTTCTTCCACTCCGAGTTCACCGCAAGCAATGACCCTCCCTTTTCTGCCATTATCAATTTATTATTGACAGGGAGGCATGAATTCCTCCTTTTTTCCAATTCTGTGTAATTAGTTACTATAATTCTTTTGCTACTCAAATTGTCCCAGCTCTGGTCAAAACAAACTCCTCAGTAGCTGACTTCAATGCCTTGTGGTTATCTTGTTGTTGTCGTTGTTGTTGTTGTCTGTTTTCTTTTAGCATCTCCTTCCTTCCTAACATGACAAAATCTCTAGCACTAGGGGTGCGCAATCTTTTGGCTTCCCTGGGCCACATTAGAAGGGAAGAACTGTCTCAGGCCATGCATAAAATACACTAACACTAACGATCGCTGATGAGCTAAAAAAAAAAAAAAAAAAAGTCGCAAAAACAATCTCATAATGTTTTAAGGAAGTTTATGAATTTGTGCTGGGCCTCATTCTAAGCCATCCTGGGCCGTATGCGGCCTGTGGGTCGCAGGTTGGACAAGTTTGCTCTAGCCTCATCTTAACCAGGACTCCACTGCAATCACCTATTTCTCCAGGGAGCCCTGGTTCCTTTGAGCAAGGAATCGTATGAAAGACCAAGATCTGGATGCTGTGTGTGCTCACTGCTCATGGGTGTCTTTCAGTGGTGAGTGAATTAGGAAGCACGCACATGCACCCACACACTTGCTTACACATACATACATGCACACACGTATGTGAATGCATATATACACATGCATGTATGTGCATAATGTTTTTAAAGAGATAGTTCACATAAATACATCTAATTCAAGTCCATCCCCCACAACATTTCTTCTTATGTTCCCCATTTCATTTTTTGTTGTTGTTGTTTTTTTGAGACAGAGTCTCGCTCTGTCACCCAGGCTGGAGTGCAATGGCGTGATCTCAGCTCACTGCAACCTCCGCCTCCCGGGTTCAAGAGATTCTCCTGCCTCAGCCTCTGAAGTAGCTGGGATAACAGGCATGTGCCACCACACCCGGCTCATTTTCATACTTTTAGTAGAGACAGGGTTTCTCCATGTTGGCCAGGCTAGTCTCGAACTCCTGACCTCAGGTGATCCACCCACCTCAGCCTCCTGAAGTGCTGAGATTACAGGTGTGAGCCACTGCCCCCAGCCCCCATTTCATATTTGTATGATTCTTCTTCCTCATGTATGTGTTTGATCAATCCTATAATACATTTAAAATTGTTTCAAAACTGCTTCATCCATACCAATATTTGCTTGAAATTCTGCCCCTACCCCTATCTGCCCGATACTGAGGACAGGTAGTCAGATATGATGTTCCCAAATTACCTGAACTAGTTCTTCCTTTCTTTTTTTTGCACTGATTGTGGTTGGGATATTCATTTAAAATACAATCAGGTTGACTTGTTTCAATTTGCTTTCATTTTCAGGTTTCTAAAATCCTTTTCCTCTCTAAAGATTTAATTATATTTTTCCAATATGTACTTCCTTAGTTAACCTCAGGATTGAAAGGATAGAGAGTGATGCTTCCTAATGTGAAAACTGTACAAGAAGGTATACTTAGAAAAAAATTTCTCTTTACTGTATATTTTCCAACCTATTCTCTCCCACTCCTTGAGGATAACCAACTTCATTGCGTTCTGGATTATTTTTCTTGATTTTTTTTTTTTGTAAAATAAGCAAAGGTACATATATTTTAATAATTTCCCTTATTTCTTATATAAAATATAGCCTATGTTCTTTTGGATGTCACTGTTTTTCTTTAACACTTTATCCTGAAAATCACTCTGTATCCGTTCCTGGTGATCATTCTCATACCATTTTTTTCCAGCTGCATAGTAATCCAGTGTATATATGTACCATAGGCCATTCAATCACTCTCTATGCTTGGACATCTAGATAGTTTCCAATATTGCAAAGTTACAAATACTGATGTAATGAATAACCTGTGCATCTGTACTTTCGTATTGTTGGAGGTGTATGCTCAGGGTGAACTCCTAAAAGGTGGACTGCTAGATTGAAGGATAATGCCTAGATAGCTAGAAATGGACCTAAGATGATTTTTACCCTTTTATGCTCTATTTAATAGCTATTTAAAGTTAAGCAGCTTGTTCACTGGATTTGGCTTTGGCTCAAAGCAGACAATCAGGAACTGTGTGTTGGAGAGGGCCTCAGTTCCCTCATTTATAAATTGAGGGGACTGGGCTGGATATTTAACATATCTTCCAATTTTAAATGATTCATATGTTAGGGCTCCAGGCCTAGGTTCACATCTACATAAACTGATTGCAAGAAATAGCTCCAATTCTCCACTCCTTCCTCTAATCACACTTTGCAGTTTTTCCCACTAAGAAGTTTTTAGTTTCTTGTGTTCTAAATTTGTGCTTCTTAGAGTAAGCTTACTTAATTATAAACATTCAGCATAAAAAAAAAAAGAAATAGAATCTTTTCCCCCACCCTTTGTCTTGGACTGGCTTTGACCAACAGAATCTATGAGAAGTAACGGTGCATCAGGTCTGAGTCTAGGCCTCATGGGCCTTGCATGCTTGCACACACTCTTTTGAGAGTCTGTCCTTGTTTTGTGAAAGAAAAATCTGTCGTAGCATGATGAATGGCTAGAGACATATGGTCTAGTTACAGCCATCACTCTTAGCCAGGCAATCACCAGACAGGTGAGTGAGGCCCTTCTAGATCTGGCAGGCCCCAACCAACCCAACAGCTGAGAGCTGATGCATGGCTAGTCTGTCTGGGATCAGCTGCATCTGGCCCAGACCAGCTACTCAGCTGACCCACAGATTCATAAATAATAACACATGGTCATAATATTAGGACACTAAGTTTTTGGGTAGTTTCTAAAACAGCAATAGATAACTGGTACAGCAAAGGCTTGGCACTGTCTTGAAGGTAACTCTGTGCAGATCTCCTAGAATGTGCAAAAGGGCCATCTTGGTCAAAGGGAAAGGCATTTCTAAGAAAGACACTATTGGATTGAACAGGGAAAGGACTGGCCAGAGATTGCTAACATATTTTGCCCCACAGATCTCAGGAGTGTGGAGCAGGGGCCCTAAATTTGGATCCCAGTTTTGGCTTTGTAGCTCAGAGTCCCTGGGCTATGACATCTTCATGTATAAAGGAGGAAGAGGAGCCGAATCTTCAGTTTCATTTCACTCTAACTTGTCAGCTGATGTGTTAACTTCATATGGTGGAGATCTAAAGTTTTGGTGAGTTAACCTGGGAATCCTGACTTTTGAAGGTAACAGAAGGCAGTAAGATAAGGAGGCAAGCAGGCAGTGTTTACCTCTGCTAAACAACCGTGTTGCTACAGCATTGACGTAGCCATCCAGCTAAGGCAGGGTCCAAAGAGAGCTTCCTTCTCATTCACTATGGACACTTTAAGGAAAATAGATCATAGAAAAACATTCCACAATTTTATCCCTTTGTAAGCATTTCTGTTCAGTTACATGCAGGCTTTTAAAAAATCATTTTGCCCAGAGGTAACAGGCTAAGTCAAGGACGAATAATATCCACCCACCTCAAAGGATCTCAAATAGTATTTGACAGAACATTCAATTCTCGAGAAAACACCACAAAGAGATGTATTCTATTCCTGAAAATGTGACTAGCGTCAACAATTAGTACTGTCTGTCAAGAGATCAAACAAATCCAGGTTTTAGTTGTATGCACTACTGTGTTGAGGATCCCGATCACTGAAAACATCATTACAAAATATATTTGTAAAACTGCTATTTCTCCAAATAAAATATAACTAGTCATTAATTATATGCGATTTGTTGTATAGGTGGAAAAAAATCTTTCTTTTCTATTTTTTGAAAATAACATATAGACTGGCCAGCACAAATTATCTGGCATGACAGAGCTCCACCGTATTGTGTAAAAGTCTGAAAGATTCCAGATAATGGGCTCCTCTCATTCGCAGCCTGGACACATATGGATCCGAGGTTTTTTGGGTCACTTTATAATAGTTCTCTTTAGATCAAACAACATGAGCCTTTCGACTCATTGCAGGGAGTTTTCCATGAGCCCTGAGTCCTTTTGAGTGGCATTTTCTACCCAGCAACAGCAGGGTCACTAAAGAAATGGCTGAGAAGTAAAGAGGGCACCGCTGCGCCCGGAGAGAGTAGCAGGTGGCAGCAGAGATATAGTCCCAGTTCTCTCTTGCTCATTCCCTCCCTTCTCACTTCTCTTGCCAACCCCTTTGCAAGTGAGAGCGGTGTGACGTCAGGAAGCATCTTCTCCCCCAGATACGCCACTTGCCAGGAGCCCTAGCACCTGGGTGGCCTGGGGGTGGGTAGGCAATGAGAACTGAGGGTCCCCAGGGTACCATTCGCTTTGGTGAATAAGTGATCCCTTCTATTTGAGGGGAATATCTGTCACTAAAATGGGCCAAGTGTGGTCATTGAGAACATTAAAAAAACCCTACTGATCACATTCTCTCTTACCAGACTGGGAAATGGTTCTTGAGGGATTAGATGATAATTTCCTGAAGTTCTATGAAAACTAAATGCTCTAAAACATCCTTTGCTCTCCCCGAAAATTGTCACCATACATCAAGACACTGGAGCACTAAATGAGTTCAGATGGGGATAATGAAAGCCTCATAACATCATGCTCCGGGTCCACACGAACACCTGACAAAGTTCCTGGGGTGTAACATGAACCGGCCTTGTCACCGTAGACTGAATGGGCATTCCTGGGAGGCCTGTGATTCAGCTCAGTGGTTAGCAAACTTTTTCTCTAAAGAGCTGGATAGTAAATATTTTAGGCATAAGTTTTCTGTCACAGCGACTCAACCTTACCACTGCAGTGTAAAAGCAGTATGGACAATAAGCAAACAAACGAGGACAGCTGTTCCACCCTAAAGCTCCAATCAAACTTTATTTATGAGGACAGATGGTACAAAAGACAAGAAAGAGAAAGAAAGAAAGAAAGAAAGAAAGAAAGAAAGAAAGAAAGAAAGAAAGAAAGAAAGAAAGAAAGAAAGAAAAAAGATGGATGGTCACAGTTTGCCAGTACCTGTTCCCCGTTTGAGCTCTTTTCCCATTTAATAATTATGTTTTATTTAATTTTCTTGACTCTCTTCTCCTGTGTCAAGTGGAGACATTAGCAGTTTATGTACCCCACAGGTTTTCAGAAACTACCATGTAAACATTTTCAAAGGTGTGTAATACCATACAAATACAATGGGTTTTCATTTTCAGTGAGATCAACATTACTGACTCGAATTTAGTGTAGATTCTTCAAGGACTTTACTGTACAAAAGCAGCCTCCAAGATTCAAATAAACACATTCACAGATTGATGGTTCCTACCCCCTCCACATCAAGGCCTAGTTTTTTTGTTGTTGTTGCAGGGTCTCCAGCCTAGGCTGGCGTGTGGTGGCGCAAGCAAAGCTCACTGCAGCCTCAACCTCGCAGGCTCAAGTGATCCTCCTGCCTCAGCCTCTGAAGTAGCAAGGACTGCAGGTGCACACCACCATGCCGGCTAATTTTTAAATTTTTTTGTAGAGACATAGTCTCTCTATGTTGCCCAGGTTGGTCTCGAACTCCTGGGCTCAAGTGATCCTCCCACCTTGGCCTCCCAAAGTGCTGGGATTATAGTCGTTGAGTCACTGTGCCCAGCCTGAGGCCTAGTTTAGATGGATGCCTATCTCAGGCTTAGCCTGCATCTGGTATTGAAATACACATTCACTTTTGGGGCTTCTTCAGTCATGTGAGGCAGTCATTACAGAAACCTATTTCTCATCCTCAGCACTAGGGTTTGAATTGGGTAAGCAAATCCCAAGATCCCTTCAATAAGCTTTCCTGACAACGATCTCTTTCCTAAAATTTTCTCCTATTGTTTCAGTGTCTCTCTCTGTTGGTTTCTCTCAAGCTGTATGCACATATATGTATCTACACAAATCCACAGGAATATATATGCAACATATAGTTGTTCTCTTTCCCTGCTGCAAAGTGGTACAAGCCCACACAGAGACCCAATGATCCAGCTCATGACAGACTCACTTAATGGACAATGAATCGGAAGAGGATAACAAAATCATATGCAGGCACCACGTTAGGTTAGGTTCACTACTTGAGTCTTGCCAATGGAAGAGAAGGCAATAAAAAGAACCCCATTTACTTCCACTGTCATAAAACCAGAGTTCACAAGCAGCATTTCATGTAGCATGAGATGTCCACAGGCCCTGCATCCACACACAAACATCTTTGCATTCCTGTTCCGTTGGATTCTGACCTTTGCCAGCCTCAGCACAGGACACGGAGCCCACCCTAGGACAAAATTTATTGTCAGAAACTTTGAAACAAGTAGCTGCTAAATAGAGGTTCCATAATAGAGTCAAACTCAGCTGTCACCTGCTGCTCTGTTTTGCACTGCAAATGTAGGAATATAGAAACATTTTAAACAGCTTAGGGGCAGAAATAATGGAAAACTAGTGATTTGGGTAATTTACATATTTATAGAGGCTGTGGAGATTTTAGTCAGGAAACAATGAAGAAAACAGAGTTGTCAATGATCAAATGCTGCCTGCCATGAAGAGCTAAAACCAGCAATTTACAGCTAAGCTCAGTTACACCTTTGAAATTACTGCAGAAAAAAAGGGAAAATAAAACCCAATAATACACATTTTGGTTGAGGTTATCAGCTTTAAAACTCTATAAAATGAATGCACCTGAGCATGTGAGATTTCATACAGGTAAAAAAATATCATTACAGAGAATAATAGCACAACTGAAAAATGAACTGTGCACATGGATGATAAGGTTTCCTGTGCTGCTGTCTTGGGAATATCTGCATTTTTATGGAAACAAAGGCCTTAGTCAAAGGAAAAACTCTCTAAGAGGGCAATCCAAGATATCACAGGGAGAGGAAAAGATTCCTCCCACCCCTGTGGGGTCCTGGCTGATGTCCTCACTGTGTCTCAGACCAGTGGTCACCTGCTGTTTGTAGGGTCTGTTTTCTCCACATTATTTGCTCCAAAAGATGAGTTAAACTTCCATATCACCTACCAAGCACAGTGCCCACGTGAACACAGAGATATTCCCAAGGTAGATATTAGGTTGGTGCAAAAGTTATTGCATCTTTGCCATTAAAATAAGTAATGGCAAAACTGCAATTGCTTTTGTACCAACCTAATAATATGGGGGACACTTTTCTTTCTTATCCTGTAACGTATGTGCAGATTTGATGTCCATTGCCCAGCATAGAAAAAGCAGGAAGGGAGGAGAGAATATTTACTGAGCTCTTGCTGTGTGATTTTGTCACAATAGCCTTATGCCTCCCAAAGTGCTGGGATTACAGGCGTGAGCCACCGCATGAGCCAATGTACCCTGCCAGACCCGGGATCTTAAGTGGGAAACCACCTCAATTGCAAGAGTGAAGACTACTTTAGAGTACTGGGTTCTTCCAGACTGAAAGAGATTTGGGGACAAACTGAAGCTTCAGAGGAGGCCCTCTGCATTTATCCTCTGACTTTCTGTGAAGAAGGTGCCCAGTGTTGAGGCAAAAGGAAGATTAATCAGACTTCGGCAGACCTCAAGCATCAAAATGTTCTGTAAAAGCAGAGGGAGGCAGCTATTGCACTGGCTATTACAAGAAAATACCTTTGAAAAAACTATTTGTCAGGACAAAGCCACCTAAATCCTCAAGCTACAGCTCTCAGCCTAAAATAGTAAACTTAAAAATTATTTCAGCTAAAGTTAAAGTTACTCTCCTATGGAATGTCAAAAGAAATGTGTTATACAGACATTAGGAGAAAAACTTAAAACGCTACCTGCCTCGAGACTTTTCTGGAAGTGTGCATTGCATGTTGTTTGATCTATTCTTAAGGTAGTTTATGATTTTATGTAAGTATGTAGACTTCTCCCACCTCACTGAGCACTGATTCCTGATATTCTACCAAAAATGACTTACGAATTATCCTACCCATGCCTCTTCCAGCAGCTGTCCCTGCTGACTAAGCATCAACAGGGAAAGGGCATTCTTCAAGAATAAATCACTGCTCCAGGCACTTGTCAATGGCCGTCACCAGATGGATTCTTTTCAGGCTTGGCCCTCTTCTTCCTTGAGTAATTTTAAGGGTGTTCTGTTGGCCAGAGACAGGATCTGTAGAATCTGGGGTGTAAAAGCCAGAAGGAAGGCATGACAGAGGCCATTGAGTCCAACCTTCTACTTTTACCCGTGAAGAATGTAAGCCCAGTGGCAGAGAAGAAAGTTGGTATATCTTCAAAATGCAAGGTAAAAATTCATCGTAGTCTAATTTTCTGTCTGAGGCTGAGCTCCAGGCCCTGCCAATGTCACCAAAAGGCAGAAAAGAAGAAAAAGGCAATCAAAATAGAGAAAAAAGTATCAGCAAAAATTCAAGTAAAAATATCTATGGTGAAAAATCTTCAGAAATTATTTTTCCTTTTTTCTTCATTAAAAGCGTTCTCAAATCTGAAACAATTTGGCATTGGGATGCTGTGTGACTATTTTCATAAGAAATACTTGAGGACACAATTTATAATTTATAAACTGTCCAGGGCCACTAATTCAAAAAGCATTTTCTGAGATCTCGCTGTGGACCAGGTGCTGAGACAACAGGAAACAAGGCCCCATGCAGCCCTCAAATTGCTCAGCGTCTAGTGGGTTTCAGAGCCTGGAGCTTTGCAACATATCAAAACAACTACATATCCCTTTGGCCCAATAAAAGGCAAGCCTCAGAGGATAGGCGTCTTTGGCATTTGGTTGAGCATACTGGAAATTTATAAGAAAATTATCTTGGGGGCCCACACATTTTTAGAATTCATCTAAAAGTTGGTATTTACCCTTCTCTGAAATCAATTAATTTTCTGGAACTCCCTGGTGTATTTTATTCATGTGAAAATTAGATCTGTGGTTTTAAGTAGACCTAAGTTTTCATGTTCAATTTCACGATTTTATATATGATCAGTAAGTCATGAGTTACATACCAACACATTGACAGTGATTATATCTAGGTGGTGAGATTAGAGGTGATTTTGTTTTTTTGTTTTTGCCTATCCATATTTTCTAAAATTTCTAAACATTTGGAATAAAAAACAGGCATAGGCCGGGTGCAGCAGCTCATGCCTGTAATCCTAGCACTTTGGGAGGCCAAAGTAGGCAGGTCTCCTGAACTCAGGAGCTCGAGCCCAGCCTGACCAACATGGCAAATCCTGTTTCTACTATAAATACAAAAAATAGCCGGGCATGGTGGCACACGCCTGTAATCCCAGCTGCTCCGGAGGCTGAGGCAGGACAATCACTTGAACCTGGAGGGAGGCGGAGGCTAAGCAGAGATTGTGCCACTGCACTCCAGCCTGGGTGACAGAGTGAGACTCTGTCTCAAAAGAAAAAAAAAGGCCGGGCGCAGTGGCTCACGCCTGTAATCCCAGCACTTTGGGAGGCCGAGGCGGGTGGATCACCTGAGGTCGGGAGTTCGAGACCAGCCTGACCAATGTGGAGAAACCCCGTCTCGACTAAAAATAAAAAATTAGCTGGGCGTGGTGGCGCATGCCTGTAATCCTAGCTACTCACGAGGCTGAGGCAGGAGAATTGCTTGAATCCAGGAGGCAGAGGTTGCAGTGAGCCGAGATCGCACCATCGCACTCCAGCCTGGGGAACAAGAGCAAAACTCCGCCTCAAAAAAAAAAAAAAGGCATAAAGTCTATTTTAAAACCATTATGTTAGTTTTGAGTTATGTTCTAATGAAGAATATCACATATGAGTAATATAAAAAATTAGACAAAGCAGTAGAATTTCTTCCAAATTCAGAGTATGTGACGGGGAAAAGGGATCTCTGTGGTAAAGCTGGCAACCGCAAGCGGGAAAAGCAGTCAAGAGTCCCAGGCTCCTTAGCTTAGCTTGCAGGGGCTGCAATTTGAGAAATGGAAGATCAGCCCAGGCAATCAGGTGTGAGGTGAGTCACTGACTTTTGTGACAAAGGAATCTGGCTTGGGAAAGAGAAATCATGAGTATAAGTGTATGAGGGCAGGGCAAATGACTGTAACAAACAGACCCACACTGTAATGGTTCAAACACAATAGAATGTTTTTCTTTCTCACATAATCCAAGCTGGGTGACTAGACTGACAGAGGCTGTGTTCCATGAAGTTCGTCAGAGACCCAGGCTAGGCACTGGCTCTGCCATCTTCAACATGTGGCTTCCTCCTGTAGCTCTAGTCTAGCCATAGGACTAGAGCTAGAGTCCATGGGAAGAGGATACTGGAGCACATTTGGAAGCTTTTTGGGGCCAGGCTTGTAAGTTATACCTATCATTTTCATGCACACGCCAATGGGGAAAACTAGTCCCCTGGCTACGTAGGAGGCTGTTAAATGCAGCTGGGCAGTCATAGATCTAGCTGCTATTAAAGAAGAGAGGAACCAATGTTAGTGAATAGCTGGCAGTTAGTGCCACAGAAGGATGAACCACAGGAATGAGACAGCTAGTAGAGATTGGTTAAGAGGCTTCTCCTGGAAGCAGACTGATTAAACACAATGTGGAGAATGTACAGCAACATTTTGTACAGTCTGCTTCATAGACAAAGAAATCTGGGGACTCCATACTCTAGGACCACCTTGGAAATTCACAATGCCTGTTAGAATATTAAGTGATCTTAGAAGATTTTTTTTTTTTTTTTCCAAGATGGAGTCTCACTCTGTCGCCCAGGCTGGAGTGCAGTGGCATGATCTCGGCTCACTGCAACCTCCACCTCCTGGGTTCAAGCAATTCTCCTGCCTCAGCCTCTCAAGTAGCTGGGACTACAGGCATGCGCCACCAAGCCCGGCTAATTTTTATATTTTTAGTAGAGACGGGGTTTCACCATGTTGGCCAGGCTCCTCTCAAACTCCTGACCTTGTGATCCACCCACCTCTGCCTCCTAAAGTGCTGGGATTATAGCCGTGAGCCACCGCACCCGGCTGATGTTGGAAGTTTCATAAAAAATAAATCTAATGTTTACAGAAATATCTGCTTAAGCTTCCTAGCATTATCCACACATATTTGACAGTGAATCAGCTTCCATTTGTGGTCAGTCCACCATCTTGAAATGACTGCTGTTAGACGATGCCATTGGCCATGCATCACTTCTGAATCTGCACTGAACAGGTGCACATTTAGCAAAAACATGCATTTCCTTAGTCCTAGTGTTACAATCAGAAGATGTTCAGGGTGTTAGAAATGGACTCAGATGAGTTTTTATTTTGTTCTATCTTTACCATAAGGAATAACCTTGAGGTAATCAATCAGATCAATGTTTTATGTCTTCTTTCCCCATCCATATAATGAGGGCCAGGATATTGACCTAACTTGTAACGCATTTTACAAAATCAACATAAAGTTTTATATTAATGTGATTAATTAAATTAGCAATGAAATGACTAATAAGTAATTAGCCATGGAACAGTGGCTCCACTATAATTGTATGTGTGAGGATTTGCTACCTCTCTTGAAGGCCTGACCTCATAGAGGAAATAATTAACACTCCTCCTTACCTTTTGATATTATAGATGGCCAAGATTGTGGCTTCAAAAGATCTTTTCTGGCAAATGAATTTTTGGAAGGTGTATAAAAACTGATGCCTTACAATGTAGCCAAAAATATTTATTAAACACTTATTTTAAACTAGGTTTTATAGGAAATCCAAAAAGGAATTTTGCACTGTTTCTGACTTCAGAATATACAGGTGTGCACATAATTATGATAAAAATCAGAATGTGATAAGAGGGCTGCAGGAAATTGCTTTTTAGGATAAACTGGGAGAGGAACAGAAAAAGTTTTAAGAAGATGATAGTATTTAAGCCACTCTTTGAAGAATGATTAGAAACTCAGCGGACAAGGTCAGGATGGTGAGTAAGAAACACAGGATCACAGGATATTTCTCACAATTAGAATCAATTAGAATTAAGAGAATAATTAAATCTTTTATTAGCATTAATCGCAGAAGTAACTAGGAGGACACAGCTCTTTAGAATGGCTTTCTCAAAGTGTGTGCAGATGATTTGTTTTGGTGACAGGTTCATGTAGATTCTGAGAAAAAGTAAGGCTCCCATGGTCAAAAAATTAGTTGGAGAAATACTAGGTTAAATAAGGTTAATTCTATTTCATTACCATGTGTTCCTGGGAGCACAAGGATATGCAAATGAGCTCTATGAATCCCTAAGAAGATGCGGAACAAAGAATTTTTCAAAACTAAATCAAGGTCCAAACTTTCTCGGTGTAGTTTCATTCACATTATGCCTTAGGAACAGTTAAAACCCTAACTGGATTTTATAATGCGGCTTTGATACATAGCATTTTTGAATGCAACAAATGTGATAAATGTCAAATGAACACAGTTTTAACAAGGGTTTAGAGCCATCTCTGAGAGATGTGTGGGGCCATTTGGACCAGGAATGATTGCTTTTTTTTCCCCCTTGATTGCCATACTATTCAAGGCTTAAATTAGAAAGCCACAATTACAAAAGCAATGTAATATCAGAAAATATTCAGGCCCTATGTCATAAGAGGAGACTATTGATTTCTGAACTAGAAACAATACCTAAGCCAAGGAAGAATGAGGACAGGTGGCCATTTTGGAAATAAAGAATATCATTAAGTATCATGTTAGGGCTGAGGGGCTGAGAATCTTCAATAATTCAGAAGTTCATTTACCTGGTGGAAACTAAGGAAGTGGAACAGGGATATTGGTAGGGGATTCCTAATGGAGTGTAAGGAAATCAACACAAAGACATGGGTATGAAGGGTTGCTTAATAATATTCTACCTATAAAAAGTATAACATGAAGTCTTAGCACTGCCTCCTAGTGCTGCCTATGGAATGAATGCTAAATAAGTGATTATACCTATCGAAGCTTCCAATATTGTGGTCAAGTTTCTGTTTCTTTTCCACTCTTTCAGATACAGATGCCTATCCTCATACTTTAGTTCCAGAAAACTGGCAGATTTCTGGCTACCCTGAGTATAATAGAAATGGCCACATCCAAATGTGAAAATGATGTACAAAGAAGTTATTTAATCCAGCATGGAAAAAAACTACTTTACAAAGGGCACATAGTCTTTTAACATATTACAATAAATGAATACAGAATGAACTTTAGGAAAGGAGAAGATTAGTTCTTATGTAACCATACCAAATTGTCATTTTGCAGTCTTCAAGAATGACACCTGATGAACTCTCTTATTTGTAAAAATTTACTTTCCACTTACATAATTGAGATAAATATGCTTTAAATAACTGTTTCAATTAACTATCCTACTGTATAAACACATAGATATGTATGGATGTATAAACCATAAATTAGCTAACATTTACCAAGTAGGTACTGTGGGCTAGGCATTATTCCCAATTCTTTAGGTATCTTAACCTATTTAATCCTTATAATATCTCTATAATACTGGTACTATCATTAGCCCATTTTAGAGATGAAAAAATTGAGGCACAGAGATGTTAACTGACTCGCTCAGAGTGATACAGCTAGTAGTTGATGAAGCTGTGACGTGAACCCTGACCATCACACTCTTAAGCTTTTAATGCTATTTCTTCTATGTGCATATGAATATGCTTATTTAGAAAAACAAGGTTCTGAGCCCTTAGACCCTACCTAAGTATTCAAATAAATTTTTTTGTGATTCTAAAAAAATCCCTATCTTTTTGTTTTATAATAGAAAAAACGAGATAAGGCAAAACATTCATAATAACTACCGAAAGGACAGGCTAAAAGTTTATGCTTTTGAAAATCATAATAAAAACATGACAGGTGGCATTACATCTAATCTGGGGAGTCATCTGGCCTTCTCCTTCCTTAACTCTTCCAGCAATAGGATGGCCTGCTGTGTTTGAATAGGCGAGCTGCTTACATTCAAAGCGACACAGATAACTGGCACAATTAGTGACAGTGAAAAAACAGAGAGGGTTTCTGTTTTCCCCTAACTATCTAGGTAACTCTCCTGTGATTCTTCATTCCTCCTCGGCAGGTGAGCTGCCGACCAAGCACACATTAGCCTCCTGTCTCCTATCTCACTTGCATCAGCATCACGGGCTGGGGCAATCCTGTTCATTACGGGGCTGGTCTTACTACCGCAGCACTGCTCATTATACGAATGACCTGTGTGCACACTTTTGCGTCTCCAGCAAAATGATGAAAGACAAAATAGGAGAACTGGCTCGTTTCCCAGTGAGCTCTTGCAAATTCCTTGCATGTTTCAGAGTGTATCATGGCTGATAAACCTTTATCAACTCAATATCAAGGAAATGATCATCATCTCTGCTTCATGTGAGCCATTTTGGTGTATGGAAGCGACGTGTCACAGCTTTCCCCCTCCTTTGACCGATCCTCCATGGGTCCTGACAAGTTGGGAACAATACTTGCTCTACAGCTGTTACAATCATTCCCTAGTACAGAACTGTGCTGGTTCAAAACCAACAGGACATCCAGGGGCTGTAGATTAGGACTTAGTCTTCAAGACTTCATGGAGACTGGGTCTATCCTAAAAGAAATAAAGTCCAATGAAACTACCAGATAGATTCACATTTGCTTTTAGCATCACCAATTTACCTTCTTGCTTCCCTTCTTCCTTCTTTCTCTGGGACTCCTTCACTTGCCTGCCTCCCTGGAGCTGGACAGTCTCTCCCTCAACTCATCCAAAACTTCTACCAGGGAAGGGGCCCAGCTAAAAAAATTTTACAACTTGGTGTGAATAATTTAACTCTACCTAGAGTGTGAGCTCTTCTAACTAATTGTGGAATACAAGCCTTTGGTCTGTGTAAATTAATTTCAACTATCAGGGAGGAAATATTAGGGAGAGGCTTTTGTAAGGGAGAGCTTTCCCAGAAACCCTGAAATTAGTCCACACACAAAGGTCACAACTCAAATGCCTACAGATGCCATTCCGGTAATGTGAATGAATAGAACAGGCTGGAGTAAGACAAGAGGGAGCGGCAGGGTCTACTACCTGCTGGAGAGCTCATGCCTTCTCGAAGGATGCTACCACTGTAATTATGCAAGAATACTAGCCTAGCTCTGCTAGTCTATTTTTTCCATAGAAGTAGACAAATATGTCCTTTTCTGTGATTTCTTCTCATTTTTAAATTTTGGCAATCAATTGAAAATCTAAAAACATTCTGTAGGCCTTATAAACACACACTGTGGGCCTGAGCTGTTTCCAGGACATGCAGTTTGAGACCTTGACAATTATCTTCTCTCCAGCTGGTCCTTAGCCCCAAGCCTCACAACTCCTATGTATTTAGGTTAGGTGTAGTGATAGTGCCAAATTGGATCTGGTTCCCAAGGCTGGTCATTAATATCTTGCATGAGGAAAATACTTTACAGTTTTCAATGCACTGTTGACACGTTATCTTTTTTTTTTTTTTTTTTTTTTTGAGACAGAGTCTCGCTCTGTCACCCAGGCTGGAGTGCAGTGGCGCGATCTTGGCTCACTGCAACCACCACCTCCCAGATTCACGCCATTCTCCTCCCAAGTAGCTGGGACTACAGGTGCCTGCCACCACGCCTGGCTAATTTTTTTGTATTTTTAGTAGAGACGGGGTTTCACCATGTTAGCCAGGATGGTCTCGATGTCCTGACCTCGTGATCTGCCCGCCTCGGCCTCCCAAAGTGCTGGGATTACAGGGGTGAGCCACCACGCCCGGCCAACACATGTTATCTTATTTGATTTTCACAATCATCAATCAGCACGCTCTTATTATTGGCTGTAGGGTGAAATATTATTATCTGCTTGATCATGACTATATATGTGTGTATATATATAAGCACATGTATGTATACATATGAATACATAAGTTACATATGATAATACTATATGATTATATGCTATAATGTGATACAGCAAGGCTCTCCCCAAATTCTTAAAGGTAAACTACAGAAATTATATGCAATGAATAAGACCAGATTATTCAAAAAGAGATCTTGGAGATAATATTTCCTGAGTCAGAAATTTAAAAAGCAAACCATTAGCTATATTCTAACAGGATAAAGAACTGAACATAACAGGATACTGATCTTTTGGTAGTGAGGTTGCTGGTGAATCTAGTAAAGATGCTTGTGCAGGGAGGAAGTGCCCATCCAGGCACTTCAGGGAAAACCAGTTCTGACCTAAGCACACAACCTGGCTTGTTCTGTCCTAGAGGGAGATAAATAAGTGACTATCATAAATTGAACCCACTGGCTTACTGGAGCCCAGAATCTGCTTTTGTGATTCACTGGTAGCTCACTGAGTAACCTTCTGATCATAATTTGGCATTTGATTTAGATTTTTTTTTAAAGGGAGTAGATGCATTGGCTGGGAGAAATGAGTACTGAGTCTTCTTGGCAGTCATATATCACGCTGTAAATTTATAAATCGGTAAGCTAGCATATAAGCCCAAGTCCTGTGGGTATGCTTAGCATTGGCCACTGAAGGAAGGGTCAGCTTCAAAGTCATAGAAATTAAGATTTGGAGCCTGACAAGACAAATACCAGGCCCTCAGCTGTGATCCACTTGCCATGGTCAATGTCATCTTCTGAAGGATCCTGACAGCCTGCAGCTGGCATCCTACATTCTCCTCACCTGGCTACTTTTTTTTTTTTTTTTTTTTTTTTTTTTTTTTAAGAAAAATCTCACTCTGTTGCCCAGGCTGGAGTGCAGTGGCCCGATCTCTACTCACTGCAACCTCTGCCTCCCGGCTTCAAGTGATTCTCCTGCCTCAGCCTCCCGAGTAGCTGTGATTATAGGTGTGTGACACCAGGCCTGGCTATTTCTTGTATTTTTAGTAGAGACAGGGTTGCACCATGTTGGCCAGGCTGGTCTCAAACCCCCGACCTCAAGTGATCCACCCGCCTTGGCTTCCCAAAGTGCTGGGATTACAGGTGTGAGCCCCTGCGCCTGGTCTGGCTACGTTTTTATAATCCAAATTCCCATTTGCTAGAGAAGAATTGAAGGTCCCCAGGAATGAGGTGATTTGCCCCAAGCCTCACAACTAGTAAGCACATAGTTGCTGGGTCATGACCTTGATTGCTCCTATGAGGCCGCTTCTCTTTCCACCACACCATGATTTCCAGTCTTGCCCTGCTGTTACGGCTAGAAATGACCTTCATGCTCCAGTCATTTTCCACAAATGTCTAAGTGCAGGAGCTGACCTGGCCCCCCTCCTCCAAGACTGCTCTCCTTTGGGCAGTCCAGAATAGTCCAGACGTAAGGCTGGTGATGCAGTTCAAGAAGGATCGCCTGCTGTCACCCAGGATGCATTTCAACACACGCACAGTACAATCTAGCGGGTTATCTTTTCCCCCCTCTAGTTTGTGTCTAAACCTGCAAATGAAGCTTGTGGTTAAGCATGTAAAGCTGGGGCTATAAGATTTTTTAAACAGCTTTATTGTGCCATAATTCACATATCGTAAACTTCACCCATTTAAAATACACATTTCAGTCATTTTTAGTATATTTAGAATATAATCTAATCATCATACTTTCATTTTAGAACATTTTCTTTTAACCTCAAAAAGAAACCTCATTCCCATTAGCAGTCACTTCCCCCGATCCCACCTCCAGACAACCATGGATGTACTTTTTGCCTCTACAGATTTGCTTCTTCTGGATATTTCATATAAATGGAATCATGCAATACATGGTCTTTTGTGACTGGCCTCGATTGCTGAGTACAATTATTTTGAGGTTCGTCCATGCTCTGCAGGGGTCAATACTTCAATATTGGTGCTATGAAGACTTGGAGAATAATGATTATGGCCAAATCCCCAAACTGCACACTTTCACACTTTGCTGGTGATGCGTTTTTTTTTTTTTTTTTTTTTTTTTGGTTAATGTTCTTTTCTAATATTCAGTGAATTTTTTTAAAAAAACTCCCACAGTATAATATTTCCACTTGAAGAATTTTTACTACCATCATTTTAGTTTAAATAATATTGTTACTTTAAAAATTACAATCTGTTGCTCTTTCTGTTACTGGGTTAATTTTTGCACATCCCGTCTCCACATCCACCTTTCCTCCCTGCTGGCCAGATCATGTGGCAAACCATCCTGCAGAGACTCCGGCTCCCTAACTGGACCATGTACCTCCTCTCCTTCCAGAGCTCTGAGATCAGCCTATTTAGCACCAAGGAAGCTTCCTTCAAGTCCACAGGCAGAATGAATTGTCCTGTCTCCGAGCTCCCCCAACCCCAGCCCCAGCCCCAGCTCAGAGTCCAGTCCTTATCTCAGGGATTTCTAGTTGTTATTCTGAACGTCTCTGCAGTGATGCTGAGCTCCATGAGGGCAGGAATCAGACCTTGGCCGTCTTATCCCTGACACACCACACCCACCACACAATGTGTTCAACAGATGTGTTACAGATCAAATTGAATTAAAAGACAAGGACACTAATGTGACCATTCTGGAGAATGCAGAAAGTAACAGGAAAATAGCAAAGTTCCCCAAAGTCCTCAGGTGCACTATCAGGACTACCAGGAGAATAATTTAATCACACAGAGGTTCCATAAAACCTGAATAAAATGTTTGAAGATAAAATAAGTTTGTGGAAGCTATGCCACGTGCAACACACTCCCTCTTGCCTTCACTAATCAAATATTAGTGCTTAAGACCCCCAGCTGTCTCTTCCAATTTCCCTGACTTTGGAGTCCTATGTTCCAAAAATTGTCTTTGAAGACAACATTTCCGGGTCCAGTTTCTTGGGAATAGCATGGTTTATTTGGTACAGTGTCTCTGTCTACAGGGGAAGGCTTTACCCACAACAAAATCCGATTGCTGTAGGGATCTTATAGGCCACTTGATTTTCTAATGTGGCCGAGGTCAAACCAGTCAGCCTCTTTCTTCAATCTTCTATCCCTGTGTTGAAGTGCCATGTGCTTTTATTAGGATTTGGAGGTATATGATTGGCAGCAAAGTCAAGGCAGTGTAACGGAATCAAGCCTTTCATTACTCTCATTTGCTCGGCTTTCAAGGATCTGAACAATGGCAGGAATAGGAAGGGAACAGTGGATGCCACCTGCGATGCTCTATCTTGGGCTCACCTCCTCGCCTTGGACAGTCTCCCTCACTCTGAATTCCCCTGGCAAATGTGTCATCATCTGATGCTGCTTCCATTTTCATTCTCATATTTCACTCTAGGAGCCTGATACATGGCTAGACCTGACAAGAATAAATTTATAAGGATGCAAGCTACAGAAAGCCTTGAATATATTCCAGTTAAAGGTCTATGGAGGCAACAAAGAAATCATCTCTAACTCATTTTTGGAGCACTGTAACAAGGGCATTTTCCAGGGGAAAAAAAAATCATGTTTTATTGTTGCACTTGTAATGTTCATGGGTCTTAAGGACTTTGTCACCTCTAAATGACAATACATTAAAGATAGCATTTCAGCATTTGCAAGAAAAGGCAGGGCCAGTGCTTAGAGCTGGCCTGGGCTCCTCCTAAGCTGCACTTTTCATCAAATAAAATCGATGCCTATATATCTTGATGTTAGAGTTAGGCTATTGGTTTTTAACTAATCAAGCTTTGTAGCAATTCTTTCCTGCAGAATAATTTTTATTAATGAGAGGTGAGATGAGAAAATTCCACTTTGCCTTGAGCAAATCTGATATGCTAATACTTCCTATTACCGAAATGCTAATGAATCAAAATTTAATCCTCAAATAGACAGAAAGGAGCACAGAGTTTAGAATCATGACTTAGATGTGAATTTCTTTTCTGCCACTTGCTGGAGAGGTAGTTTCCAAAAAATGAGCCTCAGTTACTTCATTGGTAAAATGGGCTTTTCTTGAGTATCAAGTGAGATCGTGTATGTGTCTTGAATATAGTAAAACACACCAAAAATATAAATTCTATGCAAATAGAAAAACTGTCTTCATGAGTGCATATGAATATTCATGTCCTCAGAGATAAATGGGGTCTGTTTCTGCTGTGTTTAATATGGGATTTCCTAAAGAATTGCTTAAGAGGGGTTATAAATACTGCTTAGCAACATGTTTCCCCCCAGTAGGTCTCACGGATGCACTGCTGGCATCATTGAACAGCAGCATCAGGACAAGTCTCAGAACTGTATCATTAGGAACTGGGCAGATTGGGAACTTATTTTTCTGGGTGACCTACAGAGTCAGTATCAAAAATGTGGCATTAGGCTGGATGTGGTGGCTCACAACTGTAATCCCAGCACTTTGGGAGGCCGATGCAGGCGGATCACAAGGTCAGGAGATGGAAACCATCCTGGCTAACATGGTAAAACCCCGTCTCTACTAAAAATATAAAAATTAGCTGGGTGTGGTGGCGTGCGCCTGTAGTCCCAGCTACTCGGGAGGCTGAGGCAGGAGAATCACTTGAACCTGGGGGATGGAGGTTGCAGTAAGCGGAGATTGTGCCACTGCACTCCAGCCTGGTGACAGAACGAGACTCCATCTCAAAAAAAAAAAAAAAATACAAAACAAAGAAACAAACAAAAAAAAAACCAGTGGCATTAGACACATGGAAAAGAGCATAGAAATCCCCTCAAAGATGATGAATTAAATAAAGTACACCTGTGTCATGGAATACCATGCAGCCTTTGAAATGATGCTTTGGAAGAATCTTGCATGACATGGAGAAATAGTCATGATACATATTATGAAAAATGAGTAGGCTATTAAACAAAAATGTATATATTCATTTTTATCTAAACCTGTCTATGCAAACTTACATCTAGAGAAAAGACCAGAAAGAAATACACCAAAATTACCTCCACCTGAGTACAAAAATGGGTAAGTTCTGCTTAAGAACTGTTCATCTTTTAAAGAGAAATTTTAGATGACTATAAAATTAATATGAACAGCAATTTTACCTTGGATGCTAAAAAAAGAAATGCACTCATAAGCTGCTGAATAGACAAAGTATCAGTACAGAACAGGTCAAGCAATAGTGTCAATAGATCCTGTGCTGCTTAGAACTAACCTGGTGGAAGCTACCACATTTTGAGGAAAAGGTTGAAAAAAAATGGAGTTTATTCAGCGAAGGAAGATCAACAGCCATCCTCTTGCTAAGTGTTTTCCTCCTAGCGGGCCATTTACTCCTTACCACAATCCTGTACATTATATTCTTAAGTTTTACTATGGTTTTTAAATTTCTATATAATAATAACCAAGAGGTGGTGGAATGCAGAGTGCTTAAGACCATGAGCTCGGGAGTCAGATTCTGGCTTCAAATTCTGGGTCCATAACTTACTAAATGACTTTGGGCAACTGATGTAACTCCTCTAATCCTCCATTTCCTCATAGGTAAAATGGGGATAATAATAACCAAGAGTATAAGAGTGTCAAATACTAATCAGAGTCCCTGACACATACTGAGTACTTTTTTTTTTTTTTTCTAGACAGAGTTTCGCTCTCATTGCCCAGGCTGGAGTGCAATAGCGTGATCTTGGCTCACTGCAACCTCTGCCTCCCAGGTTCAAGCGATTCTCCTGTCTCAGCTGGGACTACAGGCATGTGTTACCATGCCCGCCTAAGTTTTTGTATTTTTAGTAGAGACAGGGTTTCACCACGTTGGTCAGGCTGGTCTTGAACTCCGGACTTCAGGCAATCTACCCACCTCAGCCTTCAAAAGTGCTGAGATTACAGGCATGAGCCACCACACCTGGCCCATACTGAATACTTTTAAAATGTTAGTTTTTATTATTCAAAAAGTGCCAGTAATTGAAGAGACCTACAGTTACAATTATTTTTTTTAAATGAAGAGATGAGTATTACAGTTGTGGCAATAGATTCTGGGCAGAATCTAAATCTAATCTGAAAGAATTTCAAAATACAGGAGCAGATGGTGGATGTCTCTAGGAGTAACCCCTCTGCTGTGTATTAAGGCGCTGCCTTTCCCATCCCATCTCTTATTCCAAGCTCTCCGAATATTTCCTTTTTAGTTAATTAGCAACTGGAGCCATTCACTAAGGATTAAGTATTACGTGTGAGAGATGGGGAAAAGATGTAACTCAAGGAGGGAACCAAGACAGGACCTACAGGGCAGCAGAAGTAGAGATGTAACACTTAGATGTACAGATCCCTAACTGGAATTTTGTCAGTACAGACAGAATTACCCAGGGAGTTTAATTCATATCAAATAAAATAATAAGGGATTGGTTTATAAACCAAAATGGTAATTCATTTGCAATGCATACTACAATTACCTCTAGAAAGTAAAGCAAGAAATTCACAATCAGTGAATAATATCCCTGATAGGGCAGCCAATTTTTACATTCAGAAGTTTGAATTCTGAAAATAGACCAAGAATGAAGGAGGTATAGCTGTGAAAGAATTTTCTCTGTCGAGGTCACTGCTGTATTTCCAGAATCTCCACTACAGCAATGCCTGACACAGTAACTGCTCAGTAAATTGTTGATGAATAAAAGGATGAAAGAAGGAAACAAGGAGGCAAGAAGGGAGACAGGAAGAGAGGGAGAGAGGAAGGACGGTTTCAGGAACTAGTATTTGCAACCCAGGAGAGCCTGACTGATCCAGCATTGTCGGCCTAAGGCTAGCCGTGCAATGTGACTGGACTCGGCATCAGGAGCCCGACGCACCCTCCTCACTGGAGAGGGCTGTTGACCCACTGACAAATTCTTGCTTAAGCAAACCATCCCACAGAAACCCAGAATCTGCAGGAGGGCTACAGCCAGCAGAAACAGGACCTTACGGAAACTCAGCCTCTGCTCTTTCTTTTCCAGGCACGTCTGGCCACAGGTTCATACCATGGACCTCTGCTTTCCTGCCAAGCTCTAGGTTTTTTTTTTGTTTTAATTTAAACTCTGTCACGGTGGAAAGCACTGAGTATTTACAGCTGATGAGCTTTCATCTTAGATCTGGGGAGAAAGCTTAAATGAGTTCAGAAATGGATTTCTCATTTTTTAAACTACATTTTCTTACATTCGATTTTTTATAATATTACCTGTCTGTCCTTAACAATCAGCTGGAAATGTGAAAGCCTCTGCCTTCCCTTATCCTCAAATGGAATTGCTTCTCTTACACATTTAATCTCATCATAGGGCCCCAAATCCACATTTTACCAATGAATAATGAGTACTTACCACCCCCTAAAATTCTATTATGTTCCTCTATGTCCTATGGCCCCCCTCAACACAGACCATGAATGAATAAAGCAACTTAAGTATGCCACATGATATCCACTAGTCTGCCATAAATCTCAAGATTGCATTTTTTTCCTTCTTTTCATTTTCCCTTTGAACTTTTTCTCTTTCATTTTGGCATGAGTTTTCCCCATGTTTTAATTTTATAATGACACAAATAATACATAGACTATTCTAAGAATTCGAGTGATACAGAAGTTATGTAGACTATGCAATTCTCCCTCTAACTGGCTCCCCTTTTCCCTTCCTCCCCAAGAGGTAACCATGGCTGATACTGAATTCATAGCCTTCCAATATTTTTTAATGCTTTTACATCTTCATAAGAATATATTCTCTTATGTAAGGTTATTTTGAAGACATCTGTGGGATCTTACTAGACGTATTCATCTGTAATTTTTTTCACTTAACATATTTTAGAAATATCCATATGCAATCATACGGGGCTACCACATTTTTTTAGTAGCTCTTTTATTTTCTGCAATACGGATGTAACATAGTGCATTGTGCCATTGTCAACTGATGGTCATTTAGGTTGTTTCCAATTTTATTTCAGTGAATACCTTCTTTGAAAATTTGTATGCACATGTGCAATTAGTATTAAATATAGGACTGCCAGAACTGAAAGAGGATGTACATCTAATCTTTAACACAAATTATTTAACTTCTGTTAAAAAAAAAAAAACTATCCAAATATCCATAGCCTTCATGAGTCTCTATTTTCCTGCATCTGTATCAACAATGAAATTTATTGATCTTTTTATCATTTAAGATAATTGAGGCCTGGCACAGTGGCTCAAGCCTGTAATCCCAGCACTTTGAGAGGCCAAGTTGGGTGGATCACCTGAGGTCAGGAGCTTGAGACCAGCCTGACCAATATGGTGAAACCCTGTTTCTACTAAAAATACAAAAATTAGCGGGGCGTGGTGGTGTGTGCCTGTAGTCCCAGCTACTTGGGAAGCTGAGACAGGAGAATTGCTTGAATCCAGGCAGCGGAGGTTGCAATGAGCCGAGATCATGCCACTGCACTCCAAGCTGGGCAACAGAGCAAGATGCCATCTCAAAAAAAAAAAAAAAGATAATTGAAAAAATTATACCTCATTTACCTTATCTTGTTGATTAATTAGGTCAAGTGTAAGTTTATATGCATTTTAGCTATGTATATTTCTTCTTCTGTGAATTTGACTGTTATTATCTTGGGTTATCTTTTTTTCTTAATGATTTATGTTTTGTTTATTTTTAATAGTAGTATTTTTTTCTGCTACACATGTCAACAATATTTTTCCTCAATCTCACGTTTGTCTTTATATTTGCTTATAGTGTTGTGTTTCTTCCTGGTTCAAAACATTTAAAATTTTTCATATTATTAAAAGTAAGCACATGATGATAGCCCCAGCCTACTGTCTCGAGAGAGTTTTTAAGCCATGGTGCAGAGAGTGGGTTCCTAGGCAGAGCCTGGCAGCCCTCCTGAGTTAGGATGACAGAGTTTGGAGTTTAGGGACACCAATGCCAAAGGGAGCATATCAGAGAGGAAGGAGCTGCACAGACAGAAAACTCCAGAGATCTGCAGAGAGTTTCCTGTAGGAACGCAGTGGAGTCCTGATCAACGCATATGTCTGAGGAAACTATCTGAGGTCCATGAAAGAATGTTCACCCCAAAGATCAGACTAAACAAATGCCTGGAGTCCACACAGAGCCCAGGAGTAGTGTGTGTTCTCAACAGCTAGGTTACCTGTGGCTCATAATCCCGTCATTGTTGGGGAGCATATTTAGGATACTAGGAATTGTCTTACCTCCGTAATGGGAAAGAATCCTTTGACGCAAATTTTGTGACAGAACAAAGCTCAAGAATATTTATAGGAATAAAAAATATCCAGCAACCAATAAGGTAAAATTCAAATTGTCTAGCATCTAATAACAAATTATACAGCATATAAAGAAGCAGGAAACTGCAAAATCAATCAGTTAAAACAGACCCAGAAATAACACAGATTATAGAATTAGTGAACAAGGAAATTGAGGCAGTTGTTCCAACTGTCTTTTGTGTGTTCAGGAAGCTAGATGAAAGATTGAATACATTAAATAGAGGCATGGGAGGATATTAAAAAGACCCAAATAAAACTTCTAATGATTAAAAATAAATATGTGAGTTTAAAAATACAGTGGATGGGTTTAATGGAAGATTAGACATGACAGAAGAAAAAATAGTGAACTTGAAGACACAGCAACAGAAACTGTTCAAAAAGAAACAAAGAGTGAAAATAACTGAAAACAATGAACACAACATCCATGAGCTAAGGACAACTTCGAATGACCAAATACACACACGTAATTGGAATATACAAAGGTGAGAAGAGGATGAGGAAACAAAAAGTATTTGAAGAAAAAGTGGCCAAAACCTTTCCAAATTTGATTTGTAGTTGTAGACTACAGGTCCAAAAAGGTCAACAAATTAGAAGCATAAGAAATATATGAAGAAAACTATACTAAGGCATATCATAATCAAATTGCTTGAAAGCAGAGAGAAAAAGAAAATCTTTTTTTTTTTTTTTTGAGATGGAGTTTTGTTCTTGTCACCCAGGCTGGAGTGCAATGGCACGGTCTTGGCTCACTGCAACCTCTGCCTCCTGGGTTCAAGTGATTCTCCTGCCTCAGCCTCCTGAGTTGCTGGGATTACAGGCACCTGCCACCATGCCCAGCTAACTTTTTTGTGTTTTTAGTAGAGATGGGGTTTCACCATGTTGGTCAGGCTGGTCTCGAACTCCTGATCTCAGGTGATACATCTGCCTCAGCCTCCCAAGCTGCTAGGATTACAGGCATGAGCCACAGTGGCTGGCCAAAGAAAATCTTAAAAAGCAGCCAGAGAAAAAGGACATTACATACCAATGAACAAAAATAAGTATGACAACAGATTTCTCATTGGAAACAATGCAAACTAAAAGACAATGCCCCAACAACATGAAAAGTACTGAAATAACGAGCAAATGCAACTAATAACATGGCAAATGCAGCCCTTTTCCCAGTGAAAATACCTTTCAAAATTAAGGCTCAGTGAAAATGTTTTCAGATAACAAAAGCTAGAAGAACTCATCACTATCAGGCCTGCACTCCAAAAAGTGTTAAAGTATATCAAGCAGAAGAAAATAATAACAGATGAAAACGTGATTTACACAAATTTATAAAGATTACTGGAGAAAATATTTGTGACCTATGGTGAGGCAATGTTTTCCTAGACAAAATGCCAAAAGCATGATCTATAAAAGAAAAATAATAAATTGAACTTCATCAAAATTAAATGATGCTCTTTAGAATATACTGGTAAGAGAATAAAAAGACAACTCTCAGAAAGAAAATGGGATTTACAAATCCCATGTTGAATAAAGGAGTTTCATCTGGACTATATAAAAAACTCTCAGTATTTGGTAATAAAAACAATCCAATATAAAATAGGCTAAAGACTTTGAAAAGACACTTTACCAAGTGTGGTAAAATAAGAACATGAAAAGATGTTTAACATCATTAGTCATCAGGGATATACAAATTAAAATCGCAATGAGATATCACTACCCACATAGTATAATGGCTACAACTAAAAAGACTCATCATACCAAGTGCTGGCTGTGGAGGAACTGAAACTCTCACACATTTTTTGTGAGATGTAAAATGGTACAACAGTTTTGAAAAACAGTTTGATATTTTCTTAAAATTTAAACATAGGTACCATATGACCCACTTACTTGGCTCCTAGGTGTCTACCCAAAAGAAATGAAAGCATATGCCTATACAAAGACTTGCACATGAATGTTCACAGAGTTCTATTTGTTGTAGTAAAAAACTGGAATCAACCCAAATGTCCATCAACAGGTGAAAGACAAACTGTGATGTAGCAGTATAATGAAATGCCATTCAATAATAAAAAAAGAAATAAACTATTAATTCATGTTCTCATAGGATGAATCTCAATGTGAGATGGATCTCACTCAATGGATGAGTGAAAGAAGCTAGACAAAACAAGAGTACATTCTAGAATTCTTGAAGATGCAAATTAATCTATAGCAATAGAAAGCAAATCAGAGGTTGGATGGTAATGGGGGTCAAGAGAGGGATGAGATTACAAAGGGACCCGAGGAATCTTTTAGGTGTGATGGTTGTGTTCTTTATCTTAATCATTTTGGTGGCTTCACAGTTGTGTGTGTGTATATGTAGTCCGAATTTATCAAATTGCACACTTTGAACAGTTCATTGTATGTCAATGTTCTATATCACATCATTAAATAAAAACCTTAAATGTTATAAAAAGTAGTGGTGAGAATAGACTGTATTTGTTATCTATTGCTGCAATTTTTTTTGAAACTTAGCAGTTTAAAACAGCATACATTTATTTTCTCACAGTTTATGTGGGTTAGGAGCATGAGCACTGCTTTGCTGGGCTCTCTGCATCAAGATCCACTAGCTGCAATCAAGATGTCAGCTAGGCTGTATTCTCATCTGGTGGCTCAACTGGAAAAGAATCCATTTCCAAGCTCACTAAAGTTATTGGCAGAACTCATCTCCTCATAGCTTGTAGCTGTAGGGCTGGGAGCTTTAACATTTTTTGCTGTCTGTTGGCCAGAGCCTTCCCTCAGCTCCTCAATTCCATTCACAGCTTCCTGTCATGTGACCCTTTCCAATTACCAGTAGTCGCCTCCAGAGAAGCCTTATTGGCTGAGATACTGCCACTGCGCAAAGCTATGTGGCTCTTTCCATTGGCAGTTCATAATATGGCCGTTTGCTTCCTCAAGGCCAGTAGGAGAATGAGAGAGAGATTAAGTCTGCTAGTAAGATGGAGTCTTATATAACATAAAGTAATCCAGGAGTCACCTCCCATCACCTTTGCCCTATTCCGTTGGTTAGAAGCAAGTCACAGGTCCCACCCACACTCAAGGGGGAGAGGATTACAGAAAGGCAGGACCACCAAGAGGCAGAGGTCACTTTAGAATCTGGGTGTTATACAGATATTTCTCTCTCCTCTTCTTCATAGCAACTTTAATGGGAAATTCTTCAAAAACTTTGGTTTCATTTTTGTTAGATGCCCTTTATCAAGTTTTCTTTGTATTCTGAGTGTGGTTTGAGAGGGATTTTGTTTTGTTTTGGGTTTGCGTTGCTCTTTTTTGTTTCATTGTTTTGGTCTGAATGTGGTATTCAATTACATCGAATGCAATTTTGGCATCGGCAGAGCTGAGTGTATAGATTGAATTTTTAGAATCCCTTAATATGGTGATACTAATTTTCAATAAATTATAATCAAGTATCAATAATGAGTCATGATTGTATTCCTGGGAAATGCTCTTTTTAATACACAGTTGGATTTCATTTGTATTTTATTTCAGACTTTTGCATCTAGGTTCAGAAATAAGCTTAGACTATAGCTTTCTTTCTATTTTATGGTACTTTATTATGTTAGCCCTAAAGAATGAGTTGGAAAACTTTTTGATGTTTTCTCTTTGAAACTATTTGTATAATATAGAAATTATATGTTCTTTAGACATATGGTAGAATTTTCCCATGAAATCATCTTGGCTGTTTCGCTGCCCACAGAGCAAAAAAGCCAAGGCTGGAAAAGGGCTGACTGGCTGGGCAGCCCCAAATACAGCTGCTGTATAATCACCATGATCATTGCTCCAAGGATTTCTCCCACTACTTATGTTCATTGTTCATGAGCTTGGAGTACCCCTAGAAAATTCTCAGCAGCAGTCTTCTCTTATATTTAACCTGGGTAGTGTTTTTGTTTGTTTTATTATGTTTGCTTTGCTTTTTTACAGTCTCTTTTTCTTTGTGGCTCTAATCCTGCTTGCTTCTAAATTTTTTGCATTTCCTTAAAATGTCTTATTTCCTCATGGTACATGTTCTTGTTTACCAGAAGTATTAATTATCAAAAATTTTACTTTTTTTAATTTGAGGGAACTTGGGGTAAGAGAGGAAACAAAATATTTTGTTATAACTGCCATCTTGACCCAACCTTATTTTGTTTTTAAAGAAAAAAGGGTTGTGTCAAAATTAGATGATAAAACTTGTTATCAAGCGAAAGTCCTAAAACTTTGGATGTATATCTGAACTTGTTTCAGACTTACAATACTATAAACTTAAAAAAAATTGTTGTGGATATGAGGTCTTGCTATTGCTATGTTGCCCATGCTGGTCACCAACTCCTGGCCTCAAATGACTACCCCTCCTTGGCCTCCCAAAGTGCTGGGATTACAGGTGTGAGTGACCACACCTGGCCTACAGACAACACTATAAGAGCTGTCTTAGGATCCATCTGAGAGACAAAAGCAATACTGGCAGTTCATGAACTTTTAGGAAGCAGTATATAGATAATTAGACTTATAAAATTAATTGGCACAGCATATGATTTTAAAAACTTTTTTTAAAAGGCTATTCAAAGTTTTTTAAATCTTAAGGATGCTATCCTGGTTCTAAAGCAACATTGGAAGCTACACTGTCTGAGATAGCAATATCTTCTATTATTAAGTGAAGCTATGGTAAATAGTTCATGATTTCTATTTCTTTACAAGATGACAACTCCCTAATAATGCAAATATTGCGCCAGACAGCTAAGTCATGCAGTTATATTTAGGTGCTGTCATTCAATTCAGTATTTGTCAGGTAACCATGAATGCCACAGAATTAAATGGATTCAGGTAATTAGTGTTTGTATAATTAGCACATCTAATATAAAATAATTAAATTAAAATAAGATTAGCCAAACAAAGCCACCTATATCATGAAGACAATAAACATAAGAAGGTTGAAAGTTTTTTAAAATCTATCTTATACCCTTCCCTTCTATTGTAAAGTGATTAATTCATTGCAACATCCCATAAGCACCTTCAAAATTACCTGTGCTTTAGAGAATTTGAAAGTAGCTCAAAATTCATTTGTAATCAAAGGATTATATTAATTAGGGGAGGTATTACAGTTCTGTAGGCAGGTAACTAACCAGAATATCTGAGATTGAGGCACCTAGCTTTCAGAACTTGAAAACACAAGTCCTTCCCAAAGACTCTGCAACTGCAGGTGTCCCGGGAAATCAACCTGGGGCTGCCTTAGCTCTCTACCTGTCCACCAAGGAGGCGTCTTGGTGGATGCAAAGGAAACGTATTACACGCTCATCAATCTCCGTTCCACCTTGGACCATGCCTGTTTAAATGCGCCAGCCCTCCCTAGAGAATGGTACCCTATCAGTTCTCTTTGCCAACTGTACATCTTAGGCAAGACGTCTGTACTCTTCCAGAGCCTCAGTACTCTCTATTGTAAGGAGAAACTCCACCAGTGTATTTCCCAAGATGGCCAAGGGGAAAAATGACTGCATGAAAACAAAAACAAAAACAAAACCCAAAAACGACTATAGAAGAAAAATACTAAAAATGTAGTTGTGCCTAACAAAGAAGCTGTAAAGAGGAAAGAGTGGCTCAGAGACTAAAAGCTTAGAACTGGCTGGTTTATATAAATTTGAATTCTTGAGCAATAACCTTTCATTAATTTAGGGCATTTAATAACGCAGATTTAATAAGATAAAAAGAAGTCTTGTGGTTCTCAGTTAGGAAGAGGCAAATATTCACACTCATTTCCACATTTCAGTGGCCTTTATTATTACATTTGCAGTGATATTAGAACATCAAAACCTATACCTTTGTCTCCAGCCCAGCAACTGATTAATGTCAAAATGTCACATCCTTTTCACTGTCAATAAACAGTGACTAGAAGCTGGTTATTTCTCTGAAAGATTTTAATGGTGCAAAGAGAAGAAGCTGAATTAGCTGAAGCCTTTATAATCCTTTGGATTTTCAAACACCCAATTTTGTAAAGGCTACATAATCTCAGAGATTAAGGAAAAAGAAATAGAAAGGATTTACAGAACAGTTTTCTATGTAGGAAAAATACACTAAACTCTGAAATGTATAGCTGTGAGGGAAAGGGGAGACGGTTTGATGTTTTTAGTCAATCACATCTCTGAGTTTCTCATCTGCTTTGTTCCAAGGATGAAGTCTTTATCGTCTGTATCTTTAGAGCATCATAATGCCAAATTACATGACTCAGATCTGCTCCAACCCACTCCAAGGGGCAACTCTGAAATAAAATTAGAAATGGCACACTAATCCTTAGCTTTTTATTATAATTTTACTTTATTTTTAAGTAGCACTTACATTAGAACAAAATGCCCCTTGTGTCTGCTAGACTCTGGTATAAATGAAGTGGAAATTAGATACACAAGCGTGCCTACTACATTCAATCACGGAAAACCTTCATTCTTGTGTAAATTAAAATGATCCTCTGCACAGATGCAAAAGAACTCATCCAAGTAAAAACATTTACATGTAATTTACAGAATGTTTTCTCCCTCGGAAGCAATTGCTTCTTCCAGAATCATAAAAACCTACATTTTAAATGTTGACTAATGCTCAAAGACACTGAACCAAGCTAATAAACTACAGAAATTGAAAGAGATCCAAATGGGAAACTGTAAAATAACCATATATTTTGATCTTCTCAAGAAATGTTTATCTGACAGTAATTTCAGGTATTGTATTAAACAAATTACTTAAATTGTAATTACTTGTCTTCTAAATTTTGCTTCCTAATAACAGGGCAAAACATATGTACACAAGATCTATATCTTTTAATGTGGAGCGTTAAATTTTATGGCAAGTTTTTGTTTTAAACATTTTATTGGTCCTCACACCGGCATGGCTTACCTGACATTAGAAGGGCTGGTTTGCTGAACAAATGCCGTATCAACACAATGAGTGGCTTCGCCAGGGTTACATAACAATAACAACAACCATAAGAATATTTTTCTTTTAATTTTAGAGGCAGAGTCTTGCTATGTTGCCCAGGTTAGAGTGCTTGGCTATTCATAGTGGCAAACATAGCGCACTGCAGCCTGGAATTCCTGGGCTCAAGTGATCATTCTGCCTCAGCCGCCTAAGTAGTTGGGACTACAGGTGTGCATCACCACATCTGGCCAAAAACATTTTACGTAGACTCAGAGCATGTACTATGACTACACACTGTGACTTTTCCATTCCTTTGTTTACTGTTTACAACTAACAAAGTTCCTAATGGGACTTTGTCAACTGGGGCAAATCACTTCATCTTTCTCTCCTTATTTTCCTGCTCTATAAAATAATGATAATAAATATATTCTTGGATGTGGTTGGGAGAATCAACAAGATAATATCTAACTCTATGTCTACCAAAATGCCAAGTAATAAGAGGACAAAGAATAGGAATCATTCTATCCTAAGCTTAAGTAAAAGAAAGCCGCTACAACTGAGAAGAAAATTTAGCCCTGGGATTTTGCAGCTCAGGCAAGGAGAGACACATGATAAGTTAAAGAGCTCTCATTATCTTATAAACGAATACACACCTTTTCATCGGAAGAAAAACCCTTTTAGGTGAGCCTGGAAGTCTGAGAAGACTTTCTCATGCATTCATATCGGGCACTGGACAATGTAATGGATGGGGCCCGCCAGAGCCACTCTGCAAAATGCCAGGGCATTCTTCCTGTGGTAGTTTCTCACATCGATCCCCCCAGATCGAAGCCAAGGGCATCATGTTAAATTCATAGCTCAGTTGAGGGCATTGCTAAAGTCACACATTCCAAGTACCCGTGTAACTTCTTGAAGTGAGGAATTCTCCCAAAGTGAGGAATTCGCAAGGAGCCGATTTTGGCAGGCCTGGTGGGCTGTTGCTCTCAACTAGGATTTTATGGGAGCAGACACTGCCGAATTGAGATGCAGAACACAGCCAGCAGCTATTGTGTGCTGTTGTAAGGAAGAAAGCTCAGGGGGCTTCGGTCTCTGACAAGCAGGAGTCAAGCTGGTGCTTTGTTCTGAAAATCAACTGCTGGAGGAACACCTCTACCGTATGGAGGCCACAGGAAGATGACAGGCAAGCAGCAATTTTGGACTTTTGATGCTCCAATGCTGTATTATGTCCCCAGGGAGGATATGACAAGGCCACTGAAGAATGTGAGGGTCTGATGTACCACTTATCCACCTCTGCCGCGGGGAACCTTGACGCGGGGCTTGGAGAAAGTTTCATTTTGAGTCAGGTGGCATCTAAATGATCCTGTTAGAATGACTTCGTTGCCTAAGTTAGCCCTAAATAATGAAATGCCTCACCCTGTTGTGTTGCTGGGTCTCACTCTTCCTTTGAATGTTAAGAGTTCCTGTCAAAAACAAAGATCTTAGTTTTGCCATAATTGCTACAGAGCTGTCATTTCTGAAAATAACTAGCCAAGGGGTTCTGTTGCTTGTCAGGGCCACTGCTGGGTTGAGATAGTAGAATTGGGTCATCCATATGGAAGAGGGTGCTTGTCTTCCTATTTGTTATGGCAGGTGGACATGCTTCTCAGCTTATCTAAAACCTGTGTCAAACTGCTCAAGTAAAAGTTAAAAAGGAAGAATGAATCTACCCCAGTGTCTAGGGTATTCAGGCCTACAGATTAACATCCTTGCCCAAGAAAAGGCCCTTGAGAATGAGAAGGATATCAAGTTAAGGGTAATTCTAAAATCAGATGTTTTTTTCAGGATCTAGTACAATTTTACCAAGAATCTAACCAAAATTTTGATTTGTATCTTAGAATTGCCTTCAAAAAGTATCTGTTGAGTTGTTGGGATGACGGACAGTCTGTATGATGTAAAGGCTGAACGACAAGGAGGAGCTGCCCAGGAGACAGAGAACAGCAGCTGGACAAGAAGCTGGGACATTAAAACCACCCACGAGCTGAAGGAGAGGACAAGGTTCCCAAGTGGGATTGTCTGAGGGGTTCCGAGAAAACGTCCAGACCAAAGCCACATTCTTTACAGATTTTGAGAATCCTTTCACAAAGCAATTCTTTCTACTAAGCTTCACCCTCTCCTTGACCTTTTCTATTAAAATGCTCAGGGAAGGCGCAGTATATTAGGTCTCTACCAATCGAGTGTGAAGGAGTTTATCAGATGTTTTTACCCAGTACAACAGAGGTCTGGAAGTACAGAAGGGGGCAGAGGTCATCTGTGTTTGTGTGTGTATGTGTCTCTGTGTGTGTGTGTGCAAGAGAGACCCAGAGAGAAAGAAAGAGAAGGAGAGGGAGAAAGAGCAACAGAGAGACAATGAGACAGAGAGACAGAGAGAGAGAGAGAGAGGAACTGACTTGTACTTACATGAGAAGAAATAAATGGAAAGAGACAAAGTCGTTGGAACTTTACCTATTTAGACAACCTTGGACTGATTACCTGACACCTTAGAATCTCAGTTTCTTCTAGAGAAAATGGAAACAAAAATGCTTCTTCTCTCATATTTCACAGGATTTTTATGAAGATTAAATAAAATGACATATGGAAAACACATGACCCATAGCAGATGTTCCATAAACATTCACTTATGACCATGTTGGTTTCTGGCTTCATTATTTTGCTTAAGAGTTATCCTAAAAAGAAGCAAAATAACAAAGGGGTAAGGGTTGTCTTGACAGAGCAGGAACAAGGTAAGTTCTGTTTTCCTTCTCATCAGGTCCGTGTTGTGCAAAAGGAAAGAAACCACGTCTAGGTGTCCAATGCCACGGGTTAGAACAAGCTAATTTATATTTACATACAACGTTCCATCAGCGAATCAGAATCCAGTTGGTTTCTAGGTGAACATGCTTATTTGCGCACCATTATTCTTTAAACATTTGCTGAGCACTAGCTGATAAATGGTCTTTTAGGACATGCTTTAAAAAAAACCAATCCCCCATTGCTTTTCATGCACTGTTTTCAAAAGCCTCCATTAATAATAGCATTTCGATCAGATCTCTTAGTACAAATGAACATCCCATCAAAACTATAAGGGCAATCCATGATATTATCTTTGCCAATTGAAATTCTCAAGGTGAAATACATACGTGCTGTAATTGGCACCTTTGAAACATCATTTTCCCATGGAAGGCTTTCAGAGTTGCTGCCAGCAAATGCAGCCTGGCAGGTCCAGAAAGCTGAGGTCTGAGTATGAATGCTTCATTACCAGCAGGGTTTTACCCAGGTGACAGAGTTGCAGCTATCTGTCAATCACGCTCATCTCTGCTCTCGGAGGAGTCCACGGGCACTAAGCTTAAGGCATCAGCCTGCGCAGATAAATAATTACCCTGGCTGAGCCATTTCATGGAAAGGCAAAATTCTTTATCCCTATTGCTTGCGCAGAAGCAGTTGTGAAATCGCAGCTTCTTCAGCGCAGCCTGGAGGGCAGAGCAATGCATATGAGGTAAGCACAAAACAGGGGGCAGTAACAGTCCTGACTCTACACACATTCTTTGTTGATCTGCAATATCTTATCTTTAATTTCCATTACAGGAAAGTGTTTTCATCAGGTATCGCAGTGAGGATTCAATATCCAAGTCCTTCCTTAAAATAACTGCATTCCAAAATATTTATTTTTGTGAGCCAAATGCTCAATGGAATATCACATCAATACTGTGTGATAATAGAAAAGTAAAAAGTACTAAAAATACAAAAAATTAGCTGGTCATGGTGGCAGGTGCCTATAGTCCCAGCTACTTGGGAGGATGAGGCAGGAGAATGGCGTGAACCCAGGAGGTGGAGCTTGCAGTGAGCCGAGATTGCGCCACTGCACTCCAGCCTGGGTGACAGAGCTTGTGTTATATTAGTCATTGTGTTGTATTAGTTCTCTAGAGAAATAGGACCTATATATAGATATACAGAGATATATGCTAGATATATCTATACACTAGATAATATATCTACATATAGATATATAGATACATGTATAAATCTCTGTAAATATATAGATATATATACATATATATCTATATAGATATATATGTATATATATCTATATAGAGATATATCTAGTATATATATCTTTATATAGTTCCTATTTCTCTAGAGAACTGTGACTACTAATAATAAACTATGTCATTAATATTAGATACTAATCTATAAATAGAGATGTAGTATGTTGAAATTCTAACCCCAAAATTGATGGTATTAGAATGTAGAGCCGTTGGGAGGTGATTAGGCCATGATAGTAAAACTTCATGAATGGGATTAGAGGGGTAAGCGTTGTCTTGATAGAGCAGAAACGCAGTCCTTATAAAAGAGACTCCAGAGAGCCCTCTCATTCCTTTCCACCATGTGAGGAAACAGCAGTGAAAATATGGCTATCTATGAATCAGGAAGAGGGTCCTCACCAGGTACTGAACCTGCCAGCATCTTGATCTTGGACTTCCCAGCCCCTGGAACTGTGAAAATGTTTGTTTTTCAAGCCACCCAGACTATGGTATTGTTGCTATAGCAGTCCAAATTTTATATATATATATTATGATAAATATATCATATATAGGCTGGGCCATGGTGGCTCACGCATGTAATCCTAGCACTTTGGGAGGCTGCAGTAAGCAGGTCACTTAAGGAGTTTGAGGTTACAGTGAGATAATGATCTTACCACTGATGTCCACCCTGAGTGACAGAGTCTATCTATCTATCTATCTATCTAGCTAGCTAGCTAGCTATCTATCTATCTAGCTATCTATCTATCGTGTGTGTGTGTGTGTGTGTGTGTGTGTGTGTGTATTTATATAAAAGGAGAGAGGGAAAGAGACTTTAAGGAACTGGTTCAGTGATTGTAGGGGCTTACAAGCCCAAAATCTGCAGGGCAGGCTGGCAGTCTTGAGTTGGAGGTAGAATTCCTTTCTTCTTGCACAAACCTCAGTCTTTTTTCTTAAGGCCTTCAACTGATTGGATAAAGACTACCCACATGATGGAGAGTAATCTGCTTTACTCAAAGTCTACTGATTTAAATATTAAACACATCAAAAAATACCTTTACGGAAACACCTAGACTGTTGTGTAACCAAACAACTGGGCACCATAGCCAAGCCAAATTGACACAGAAAATTAATCATTGCACTTGTCAAAACAAATGTGTCAAATACATTTTGACATTGTATTTCTGTCTTCCTATGCATAACCATTTGTACCTCCATGCTTGCTTGCCTACTAATTTGAAGTCGGTTTCTCTGTTGTAAGGTTGAATTAATGAGTTTATCATGTACACAATCTGGAAAAATATACAAGGATTATCTATTACACCTGGAATTTCTTTGATTACAGGATTTCATTTTGGCTTCAGTTCTTAAGTTTTCATAGATCTTAATTTTTAAATCTTTCTTGACAGTTAAAAAATAATATTTTATTTAGTATTTAATATTTAGTTAATATTTAATACTATGCGCCAGGTATTGTGCACTAGGATTTCACTTGGACTGTCTTGTTTTATTCTCAAAACAACCTTATAAAGTAAGATCTATTAATATCCTTATCAATGATTTTTTTTTAAATAAAAACCTAGGGTTTGTTGGGAAAAAAGAATTTCATTAGGTCCTGCTGTTAAATGATGGGTCTGCTTTCCACTGGGGCCTGTCTGCCTCCAAAATGCAGACTCTTAATCACTAAACTCTACTATCTGCCAAAACTCTATTTTAAACAATGATTGATGCCTTGATTATCTGATTTTAATACAACAATCCTTGTCATCGCAATTGATCTTTGCAAAGTCCCTGACAGGGCCAGTGACTGGCTGAAATAGCTATTTGATCACCCATAATTGCCTGGCTAAAATATTCCATTTTCTAATGGTAGTAGCAGAAATAAGTGAAAATAGGAACTCCCCAAAAAAGTGGTTTAAAGTAACCTAGCCTCAAATGAAGACATCACTATTCTCTGCCAAGTCAAACAGAGTTATTTTTCTAGTACAAACCAGTATTTTTGTCCTCTGACAATGTATCATAAAGTGTACTGCAGATAATAGAATTTATTTTCTTTTGTTTCCTCTCCTTTAGTTGTGAACCCACCAATATGGAGTCACAGAATTAGAGATGGGTCAATTCAGAGGTGCCATTCACCAACCAAAGGTTCTCAGCCTTTAGTGAACTGAGAATCATGGGAAGTCTATGAAAATACAAACTTCTTGGCCCCATCCCTGAAGACCGTAATTCATTTCTCTGGGCTGAGGAATCCACCATTTTTAGTAAGTGCTTCTTGCATTAATGTTCACTGACATACTTTCTGAAACAGTGCACTAGAGGCTAGTGACTAGCTACTCCGAAATGAAACTCACAATGATGAAGAGAGACTCTGCAGAGCTCAGGGCCTTCCCAGTTCCTCACATCTTCTTCTCTCTCAGAACCAGCAGGGAAGAAGGTGAGGCTCAGCACAAGATTAAAATGCAGGACCCCTTGTTTAAAAATTACTAAGATTTTTAAGATGGCAACAGCAGAGCTTTCAGCCAGGCATAGGGATCTTCTGAGTGTGTAAGTTGCACACTTGTGAAAGTGACCCGCTTCCTCCTCCAGTGTTCTAGGGCAAAGGAGGTCCCCAACCTTATTGGCACCCAGGGACTGGTTTCATGGAAAACAATTTTTCCACGGACCAGGGGACAAGGGGATGTTTTGGGATGATTCAAGTGCCTTACATTTATTGTGCACTTTATTTCTATTATTATTACATTGCAATACATAAGGAAATAATTATACAACTCATTGTAATGTAGAATCAGTGGGAACCCTGAGTTTGTTTTCCTGAAACTAGATGGTCCCATCTGGGGTTGATGGGAGATGGTGACAGATCATCAGGCACTGGATTCTCATAAGGAACGTGCAACCTAGATCCCTCTCCTGCGCAGTTCACAATAGGGTTCACACTCCCATGAAAATCTAACGCGGCCACTGATGTGACAGGAGTGGAGCTCAGGCGGTTTTGCGAGTGATGGGGAGTGGCTGTGAGGACAGATGAAGCTTCCTGGCTTGCCCACCACTCACCTCCTGCTGTGTGGCCTGGTTCCCAACAGGCCACAGACCAGGGGCTGGGGACCCCTGTTCTAGGGGATAGAACACTCAGCTGACAAGAGAGTAGAAGAGAAGAGGGATGAGATAGTCGAATGGAAATTATTAGTTATAGCTGCTTAACAGCTCTGGGCAGGCTGGACTTCAATGCATACTAGAGGCATGTGGGGGTGTAAAGAAGGTCATACCTCACAGACAGTAAAAGAGTTAAGAGGGGACCACTACTTGGTCGTTGCTCTAAGTGGTGCAGGCCATTGGTGTATCTTCAGTAACTAGAACTCTGCTGGGTTCAGTAAAACTGGGCATTCTAATCACATAATTCACATTTCTCAAATAAGGTTGTTTTTAAGGTCTTAGGGGAAAAATAGTGCATATAATGTAAACCAAAATAAACCTGACAAGTATAGAATTAGTGTTAAAATTTGAGAAACTGTCTTTCTAATCATGAGAGAATTTTAAAGTGACTATTATTATTATTTTAAATGAAGAAGTTTTAAAATTCAACTTGGAAGTGCAAACACAAACTTAAAAGGTAAGTAAATGAACAATCTTTGCTTAAGAAAACAGTAACATGCGGAAATAGGCAATTAAGAGAGTTCCTCTCTTACCATTTGGGCATTTTCTCTGAGTGAAGTCATGTGAGCCTCCCAGAAAACTCTTAACGCAGCTTAACATAATCAGGCCATTTTCAAAGTCCTGCCCGAATCCCACAGACGTAATTTGTCACTATAAACATGTACAATCATAAAGGACCACTAAAATTAAAGTAAAACCAATGCTGATTATCAAATTTATTTTTGTGAAAAGTCCAAATCTCCATGCTGCCCCTCCCAAAATTCTTGTTCGACATCTTCAAAAGTACTGATGCTGTGAGTTCTGATTATGAAAGCACAGAGATCCTCTTCACAGATGAACTTTTTCTTTGCATAGCACTTGTCCATCCTTCTTTATAGTCCAAATTCAGACCCAATGCCCTGTCTTTGCTGTGGACTTAAAAAAAGCAGCAATGACTACTCGGCCAAATGCTCCAGCTCCTGCCACCAGCTGGCCGGAGGGCCGGCTGTCCTGAGCAAACACCCTAAGAATGTCATTGCCCACGCAACAACGGGCTTCTCGGTCCTCATACAAAAGCTTCAATTTAATATGGGTTGCAAAGCTAGCTTGACAAAAAATCCAAGAAAAGGTCATTTTAGATTGAACACAGCTTTTCAATAATAGGAATTACCTAATGCAACACATGGGCATGTTCTTCCTTTACCCGAGAGAGCTAGAGACATTTTAGATCAATAATGGGATGAAGAAATCTAAGATCTAATATGAAATGGGTAAAGACCTTAAGAGTCAGATATGTAATATTTCTGTAATGCCTAAACTGTGAAGCCATAATTAAGGAAGTAAAGCCAATCAGCCTGTTTCCCCACCCTAGGAAAAAGCCTTCTATTCTTGCTTAGCATTGCCTAAAGTTTTTTGAGCAATTAAGTAAGCATAGTATCATGTTCACTAAAAGCAGACAGTAGCTGAGACAGATTTCTCCTATATACATGGTACATTTTTTTAAATGCTGTAACTTTTGATGACTTGTTCTCAAGAGACATATAATATAAAACAATCCACTGACTCATTCTATTTTTCCTATGTATAAGTTTGCTGCTAATTTGGGGTTTTTGAAATAACATTGGTGATGCATCATAAAATACTTCCTAACTTTCCAGAAGGTATATAGGACATTAAAAGAATCTATGCATGGAAACCACTGTAGCTAGCTCAATGAATAAAGAAGTAAAGATAAATCTGATAAAAAGAAAGTACTGAATATTTTAATTACAAGGAAAGGAAGCCAAATTAAATAATAAGTCATTATTTTAACTCAGGTACTTTAAAATTTCTCTAATTATAAAATTAGAACCACTTAATAAAAATTTATACTTTTAATAAATAATCCATATAATAACTAGTAAGTACCATTAGCATTAGTACGATATATACACAGAAAACCTTCCTACATCATATGAATATTTCAAAATAATTTTATTTTCATGTCTTGGGTCACTCTTTTTCCTCTTTCTATAAAACTCACATTACAATTAATAGCAACATGCATTTTTTTAAACCCTAGACTATTGAAAAATCAACTAACAACACAGTCAGAATAGATACCAGACAAATATACTTAGTTGTTAAATTACTTTTTTTTTTTTTTTGAGATGGAGTCTCACTCTGTCACCAGGCTGGAGTGCAGTGGCGCGATCTTGGCTCACTACAACCTCTGCCTCCTTGGTTCAAGCGATTCTCCTGCCTCAGCCTCCCGAGTAGCTGGGACTACAGGCGTGCACCACCACGCCCAGCTAATTTTTGTATTTTTAGTAGAGACAGGGCTTCACCATGTTGGCCAGGATGGTCTCAATCTCTTGACCTCATGATCCACCCACTTCAACCTCCCAAAGTGCTGGGATTACAGGCGTGAGCCACAGCACCCGGCCTTAAATTACACTTTTAATATACAGCTAGTTTCTCATCATATTTAAGAGTGCAATTTTTAAGGGCAATGCTACCAAGGCATAGATCAATTCAGTTCGCACTTGTGTTGATTATGTGCTTGTACAAGGCACTACGATGGCCCCGAAGCTGATTAAAAAGAAAACACCAAGGAAAATTGTTTAAAATTGGACACACTTCCTGTCTTCATGGAGCTATGGGACTTGTTGGGGAGCAGAATTTCCAATTTGAGTTAGATTTTTTCAATATGGCATCAGGTGGTACTGACCCATCCATTTGTTCTCATTGATTAGCCATCATTAGTGTGGCCTGAACACAGTGCCATCAGACTGAGTGTAGGTGATGGGAAAGGGATTTTCCTCATGTCTGTTCCATCACGGACCATGAAGTGGGCAAGTCCATGAGCACCAGGTCAGTCCCCATGAATACTCATTCCATACTCCACTAGGGAAAAGCAGTATAGAGGAGTGATGCAAACATGAGTTCAAATCCAGCTTCTTGCCTCCCCCTAGCAATGTGACCTTTGGCAAGGAACCCAACCCACTGATGTGTTTCCTCATTTGTAAAATGAGGATAATAACCCACCCTTACTGGGATGCTATGAGGATCAAATTAGTTAATTCAGGCAAAGCGCTTAACAATAGTGCTTGGCATAGAGCAAGTTTAGAATGATTACATAATAGACCAGGCACAGGTAGCTCATGCTTATAATCCCACAAGTTTGGGAGGCTGAGGTGAGAGGGTCTCTTGAGGCTAGGAGATTTAGATCAGCCTGGACAACAGAGCAAGACCCCATCTCTAAAAAAAAACAGCCAGGCATGGTGGTGCACACCTGTAATCCTACCTGCTTGGGAGGCTGAGGTGGGAGGACTGCTTGAGCCCAGGAATTCAAGGTTACAGTGAGCTGTGATTGTGCAACTGCACTCCAGCCTGGGTGACAGAGCAAGACCATGTCTTAATAATACTACCACTACCACTAATACTAATACTAATATAGTGTGTTTATGAATCAGAATAACGTTGTTGCAAACTGGAGAAATGCTCATGATTCTTCTCAGTAGGTAAGACTGTTCTCCTTTTCTTAATTAGAATCACTGGATTCCTGTTAAATTAAATTTACATATATATTATTTTTCTGAATGCTAAGTTTCTCTTTAATTACTTTGAAGAAAGAGAGTTACAGATTTAATTCGCTATATTAGAAACAACTGGTTGGCCTCATGAAAATAAAATTTAGAACGTAGCAGGAATTACAGTAGGGGAAGAAAGTCTGAAAGAAAACTGGAAAAAACTGACAGATTTTTGAACGGTGTAATCAAACATGCCTTTTCCTAATACTGCTGCCTTGCCTGATGTCTCTAATAGGACAAAGGGGAGGACAAAGTGAGTTGCTTAAGGTTCTAGATAGCACTAGAGATAAGCAATAAGATGTTGCCGGTACCCAAGGAATAAACTGGAATGATATTGTTAATTTTGCCATTCTGATAAAGTGAAGAGAAGGACAAATAAAATTTCCTAACTTTTCTCACCTTTGTATCTCTCTTTCCTTTACTTCTTTTATTTTGAGGCTCTGCCCAGTCATCTTTAAAAAGAGGTTACATTTTAGAGATTTGTCTTGTCCTGTTTTTGTTTTTGTTTTTTCCGTTTCAGTGGGAAAATGAGCCTTAAACAGTTGCCTAATAACATCAAAGCTAGAGAGGTACAATGGTAAATTTGTATAGTTTTTATAGTTTTATTCTTAAGCCTAAATGTATCTCTTTTGATATTAGTAATTAAAGAAAAAAATTTGTCATATGTAACTCTAAAATATTAGTTTATTTGTGTATGCTTTTCACTCTGTTGAAGTAAAAAAAAATTGATCCTGTTAAGAAACAGATTTCTAATTAAATTATCTTAACACTCTGCCGAAAATGTTTAGATTTGGTTTGTATTAATGGTGACTTGATCTAGGGAGAACACTCCAGAGTGTGTACAAGGGTCTTATTGTTTTGTTTTCTAATGAAGCAAGTAATTATATCAAAACAACAGAATCAAAGGCTTCCTTTACAAACTTCACTATGGCTGGCAAGCAAGCATATGCACAAGTATTTCCAAAGCTACCCCTAATCCCAAACCATACGTTGTCCCTGTTTTACAAATGTGGACTTTATCCTCAAAAGCACAGTAATCCAGTGGAAAAATTCTGAGAAATGCTATTTCATAAGCCTGGATGAGCTGTGTGCTTCAAAGTTTTCCTTCCTTCCTCCCTCCCTCCCCTCCCCTCCTCCTCCCTCCCCTTCCCTCTTCCCTTTTTTCTTTTCTTTCTCCTTCTCCTTCCCCGACTTCCTGCCCCCTCTCCCCTCGCCTCCAGATTTCCTCTCCCTCATTTCTGCTCTGTCTTGATGTGTGCAGTCTGGCATTCTTCCCTCATCTGAATTGCCGATTGAATTTTTTTTATTCAAGTTAACAAATATTTATGGAACACCCCCTTGTGTGTCAGGAAATTGACATGAATAAGGCACCAACCCTGTCCCCAAGATGCTTAAAATTTGCCAAGGAGAATATTGTAAAGACATAATTATGATGCTGTATTAATAGCAATATATACATATATATATACACACACACACACACACACACACACACACACACTCACACACACACACACACCAAAGGGGATGTAGGGAAAATAGAGTGCTTCTGTGGCATAGAAAAGAGCAACCTTCTGTCTTGGAGGCAGGGAATGGGGATGGAAGAAAATAAGGGAAGGCCTCTGAGAATACTAAGCTCATGCTTGACAGGTGGGAAGGATTCTTCCGGCCTTTATAATGAGCACCTATTTAGTTTCTTCCCAGCACCGTGCTAGATGCATACCCTGGAGGTTTGTATGTGTTACCTTGCTATCCCATTCATTACCTAGAGCTGCACTGTCCGGTATGGTAGTCACTAGCCACAGTGAGCTATGGAGCCCTTGAAAGGTGGCTCATTAGCCTTGAGATGTGCTATGCATGTGAAATATACATGAGATTTTGCTGACTTAGTATTTTAAAAAAGAATGTAAAAAATCCCATTAATAATTCTTATATTGGCCGGGCGTGGTGGCTCACATCTATAATCCCAACACTTGGGAGGCTGAGGTGGGAGGATCACTTGAGCCCAGGAGTTCAAGACCAGCTTGTGCAATACAAGGAGACCCCGTCTCTAAGTCTCTAAAACAAACAAACAACAAAGAAAAAGTTAGCTGGTTGTAGTGGTGAGCACCTGTGGTCCCAACTACTCAGGAGTCTGAAGTGGGAAGATCCCTTGAGCCTGGGAAGTCAAGGCTGCAATGAACCTTATTGCACCACTACACTCCAGCTTGGGAAAAAGAGCGAGACCCTGTATCAAAGTAATAATAATAATAATAATTATATTGATTACAAGTGGAGATGATAAAATACATGTTATTGAAGTTAATTGCACCTGTTTGTTTTTTACTTTTTAAATTGTGACTCCAAGAAAACTTTAAATCCCATATGTGGCTTGCACTGGATTTCTGCTAGATAGCATTCATGTGTATTCTCTAAGGGACTTGGCCACAAAGCCCTGTCCACTCACTGAGCATGTTGGTAGTCAATTCCATTTTCCCCCATTCCATTCAGGAGCTACTCAAGTAGGAAACACTTCTGCCTCCACGTGAGCCCACATGTTGACCCAGCATAACTGCTTTGGAGGCAGGACCTGAAATCTATGCCCATTTGAAGAAAACATCTCCCAAGCCCTCTGGAGAAACTGTACAACCTTGAGAGAAATGCCCTTCAGAAAGCTGCAGATATCTGGACTCCAAGGGCCACAGCATCAGCTGACTATCACAATCAGAGGGGACCCCTTCATCTGCACACTCGTGCCTCATTTAGAGCTTTCAGAATGTGTTTAGATCCTTTGTAACTGATTCACATATTATTCTTAATCAGAGAAATTTCTTTCTCAGAAAAATCTTTCTCAGAGGAATTTCTAGGATGAAAAATGAAACGAACATCCGTTTTCCTTTTGTTTACTTAAATGGTCACATCCTGCTACCCAGTGCAAAGCCATCACCATCTGTTTTCTGTGATCTAATTACAAATGGAATAAGCTCTTAATTCCCCTTTCCATCATTTATGATCTATGATATGAAAATGCCTCTGCAAATACTTCTAGAGTACTTATTTTTGGTCATGTCTTTGGTACAACTTATAGGGGCAAAGTTATTTGTGCAGAAATAAATTTCACTCAGAGGTGTTTACATGACAGAGATTGATATGTGTTTTATATCTGCACACTGCCTGGTTTCCCAGTTTGTTTACTGCAGCCTATCTCAGGAAACCAGGGAGGAAGTGTATTTAATGGCAAGTTAAATGCTTTTTAAAACCATGAAAATTTCTCATTCTTTTAAAAATAACTGTCACAGACTTGAGAGCCTTCTAAGCCAAATGTTACTGGATATGTAATTTGGTTTCATATTTCCAGTACACCACAGAGTGGCTTTTTCTTTTCTGTCATAGTTGATCTTCACCCTTTGCCATCTGGGGAATTTGAACTCTATTTTTAACATTTCATGAGTTGCCAATTTAATGCATTTAAAAGAGGGCAGAGCAGATGTCTAAAACATTGAAGGTAATTAATTAAGTCCCACAATTTCCAGACTACACAAAAACAATTTGCCATTGCCTGTAAAATGGTATAATTGAGTATTATAAATGTTTCCAGGCCAAGTCTTGCTATGAATTATTTAGTGCATCTGTCCTAATTAAAGACCTATTGGAAGATTAATGTCTCGTAACCTGACAAACTACTTTACTTAGTAACAAATTATCCATATAATGACCTCAAACTAAATTTATATAACCCAAGAAGCCATCTAAAAGAACTCACAAGCATGCTTTGGTAAAAGGAATTTTCCCTGCACATTTACCTTCATCTGCTCCATATTCTTTCAGCTTTGAATAGTTGTAAAGGGAAATCAATCTGTTCCAAAATAAGTTTTCTAATGATATTTCTAGCTTCAGTCAACATCTTGTAAAAAGTATATAATTCACATTCCCTCCAACCCTCTTGCAACATAAAGAATTATGCAATAAGGATAAGTAAATTTTTAATATTAAACACATTGGTAATAGTGGAGAATCTTTTTTAAAACATTCTTATTCTAGGCTTCTGTTTTCAGGATGAGAACACCCCAGAGGGAATAGAATTGTTTTGTTTGTTTGTTTGTTTTAGCAATAAGGAAGACACAGAATATTCAGCCACCAATTTTTTAAGCTGACTATTTGGGACATTGACCTCCTGGGGCTGAATCTTAGTGAATCTGATGGAAGTACAATACTGAGGTCATTTAAACCTAAACTTAAAAGCCAACTAGAAGGACCAATCCTCCTTTGGCCTTAGCCACTTAATGTGCACACTACAGCTGTAATCTCTATGACACTATTAAAATAAATCAATAGGCAATAGAAAGGAGACCCCTTGGCCTCGGCTGATTGCATCGCATGATATAAAGTGGTTGGGAGAGGGGAGACGCAGGGTCAGCCAGGGGAAGACTTAATTTTTTTTCTTTTCAAAAATAGAAATCATTCCATCCCATCACAAATGAACTGCCCTTATCACGAACTTCTTTAAAAGGCATTTTACATATTATTTCTAAAGCTTAAGAAAAAAAATCTTTCCACCAAGGTTTCACAGGAAATTTTCTGATTTTTCACCAAGTCCGAAGATATCTTTCTCTCTCCATATATTCACAGGTGGCATATTTTAGAGTATAAAAACATTATCAGTGTTAAGTAAAAAAAAAAAAAAAAAAAAAACCTTTTTGACCAAGTATGCTACAGTATGGTTAATTGTCCCAGAATTGTGAGAAAGTAAATAAGAGTGAATTAGATATATAACAGTAGCACGGGCCAGACATATCATATATACAGGGAAGAAATATTTGGCAAAGTGTTTTTACCGTCATCAGGCCAACAGCAGTGTGTTTGTAAATTATAGTTCACTCTTATCTGGATAGAGAGATTAATATTCGGAAAATTTTCCTTTTCCTAGCTTGGATCTTAGCATTCATAAAATTGTTGCTATTTAGCATTTTGTCCATGTAAATTTCCTTCTCATACAGACTTTCTCACACTGGAAAATAACTCAATTTCTTCTTTAACAGCTCTGTATGAACAATATATATTAACAAAATTTCAAGTCATATGCTTTTAAAGGAAATAAGCCCAACAGAATCACATGGATAGAATGCTACTGTGCCCTTCTCTCTTTCTTTTTTTGTGTCTACGATGTATTTGGTATTCTTTTAAAACGATTTTAGCCAGAATCTACACCATGCAGAAGTATAAAATACCTCTAGTTATATACAGTGGGTTTACTGACTATTTTACCAGGTTGCAGGAAGAGGGTAGTGAAATTGAGTGGGTAAAAGAGAGAGCTAAGTATTTTTTCATAACATTTGTTTTCTGAGTAACCATAGCTCATTGTAAAAATTTGGAATATAAGGAAAAGTATACAGAGGATAATTAAAACTGCCCATAAATCCATCAACCAATGATAATCTTATTGGCATTTTGGCGTACTTTCATTTTTTTCCTATGCACCATTATATAATAGGATCTTTCCTCCCAGAGTTTAGTATCTTTACCGTCCCACTTTTCATTACATTGCGAACACTTTTAAGTAGTCTTGGCATCTGACCTGTCTTCCTGGAGGGAATGCTTATTCCTCATCAAAACCACATGTATTGTTGGTGTAACACAAAGGAAACGTATCCTTCCCATGTAATGAAGCTTCAAACTCCTCAGCAATGGCAATTCAAGAAACTAGTTCTAATGTACTCCCTAAGATTTCTGCTCAGCAGTGGACAAGTTATAAATTGATCAACAAGATAAATGTGTCTATGTGTATGTCTGGTTGGAGGTGTATGATACACACCCTGGTATTTCCGCATTCTTGGAAGTAGTTTATCGGGAAAAAAAAAAATTTCAGCTCACTAAGATACAATGATTATTTTAAAAATTAATGTTAAAAATAATTGTATAAATGAAAACCTGATTCTTTTAATTCAGTGCTATTAAAAACATAAAGGTTTCAAGTGTGTATTTTAATCAAAAACCAGAAGTAGAAGCCAGTTGGAAAAGCTTTAAAATTTATTATATTGTGCTTACTATTCAAATATGCTTTGGAAAATATATTTTCTTCCTAAATAGGTTATTAATTGGCATAAATGCATTTTCTGCTCCAAATAACCAGTTATTTACCTGTGTAAAATGGATTTTTTACTCAAAACATATTAGGTGTCAGCAAAACAAAATGAAAGAGAGTTTTCTTTTTCCTTTTGCCTTAAAATACCCCTGAAGTGGACATTGAAGGCTCAGCTTTGCAAATATTCATAATAATCGTCCTCAGTTGGCATCCATGGCTCCCCAAGAAAAACCCTTATTCAAAGCCATTTCAGAAAATGTCAGGAAAGCATCACAACAACGGGGACCTTTGAGGCATTCATTCATGCATTCATTAATTCACACAAAATGTATTACATGTCAATACTTAGAATTGCAAAGCTGCTAAATTACTATTGGAATAAAGAGGCAAAGCCTGCAAATGTGTTACATCTATGCAGCTGTTATATAAATCCTAGGTTCAAACAATCAGGTGGCCTGATCCGGGGCCAATTCATCTTTCCTTTTTTTCCCCTTTTCTTTGCCCTCTCTATCTCTCTCCCTCTTTCTATGACACACACACACACACACACACACACACACACACACACACACACACTTATATACCTACATGTACATACATATACACACACTTATATACCTACATGTACCTACACACATACACACACACACACATCACAGTCTGTGTCTATCATATATGGTGAAACCCAACACTCTGTGTGAATAAGTCTTGACATACCTGCCACTGATTCTCATCAGTTCACTCTAAAGTAAGAAAGAATATGATTCATGGAACACTGGCCTCAACAGATGCCCAGAAGAAAAGAAATAAGTTAGGTGAAATAAGTTTGGGAAGCAATATATTTTACTTCCCTAATGGAGGTTTTTGATACATATTAGCATAGTAAAGGCTCTGGAAGAATTTTTGCAGAATCTTGCAAATCTTGCAGGTTTCACTTACATAGGTGAAGCCTATTTCCAACTTTTTGGCTCCAGAATGTTTTAAACTGGAAGTGTGTGTTTATTTACTATACACTACCAGCTGTAGGGCACAGACAATGATACTTAGCACAGAGGACCTTATGATTAGGAGGCATCACATATCATGAGTAGACATATGTGGGATATCATAAGGTTCAGAAAGTAACCATCTTTCTCTCTAGGACCCTTTGAGCTTGTTTTATAAAAATGATATAACCTGAAAAACTGAAAACATGAAGGCTTATATTCACACACCACAACAAATAAGTTAATTAAATAAAAGTGACTGTAGGTTCTCGTCTATCACAGGATTCCTTTGCAGATCTCTGATTTAATAGGTTTTGTAAAAGGTCTGGCATTGCTCTTTTCCTTCCTGGCATCTATGAAGCTAATATGGTATTCTAAGATCTCCCCCAAATGATGCCTGTAAAGGACATCTCATTTCTAACACCTTTCTGGGATGTTACTGTGTGGAGCACTGCTCAGAGACGTAGCACAAGATGGTCGGTTTACCAACTGCATTTATTTATTGACCAAATCATTTCTTTATGTTCAGAATATTTTTAAAGGAAAACAGGAGAAGATTTGTGAAACCAAATTATATCCACTTTAAGTACACTTAGAGGCTGACACTTTCTCTTAAGAATTCTCGAACAGTGAAACCGACATTTTTAGCCAGGTCCCTCAGCATAAAACACAAACAGAACATTTTCTAGGGCGGGAAAATTCAAGTTACTCCACACACATAGGTGAAGATGATGTTTATGCTGTTTGGTGGCAAACCTCTCCAGCTGGACGTGGTGGCTCATGCTTGTAATCCCAGCACTTTGGGAGACCGAAGTGGGTTGATCATGAGGTCAGGAGTTTGAGACCAGCCTGGCCAACATGGTGAAACCCCGTCTCTACTAAAAATACAAAAATTAGCCAGGTCTGGTGGTGCGTGCCTGTAATCCCAGCTACTCGGGACGCTGAGGCAGGAGATTCACTTGCACCTGGCAGGCAGAGGTTGTGGTGAGCCAAGCTTGTGCCACTGGACTCCAGCCTGGGCAACAGAGCAAGACTCTGTCTCAAAAAAAAAAAAAAAAAAAAAAAGTGGAAAGAAATCAAAGTGAAATGATGAAAAGAAACAACTGGCTGCTTTTCCACCTTCCAAAGGCAAGTGTTTGAGTGACAGACAAAACCTAAAGACTGGTGGGGGATGGACACCAAGATACTATGATGTCAGGTTCATCGTGAAAGGTCAGACCTTGGGTCCTATCTGAAACGATGACATGGATGTTATCTATAAATGTCTGCCTGAAAAAAAAAATGCCATAAAAGAGACAAAAGGGGAGAAAAGGGGGTCGGGGAAGATGTTACCCAGCTTAATCCTTAACTCCATTTCACAGCTATCTGATAAACAACCTTCTACTTAAGTTTTTGCTTCAGTGGCTTTCATAGTAGGTAACAAAATCTTTTAACTTCACATCATAATGAGAGGCAGGAAGGTGTTTTGAAACTTGTTATGATTTCTAGTTGGTGAAGAGTTATGTCTTATCTTACAAATCAGGGCACAGTTATAATACACCAGAGAGGGGTTTCCTTGAGGGTAGCCCAGTCTCCCCTGCCAGTTTTCTTTACCAATGTGACTCAATTCTAAAAAGATATTCCTGAGGGCCTGTGTAAACTTAGACCTCTAAGTCCCCAACGTGAGTTTGGAGAATGCAGCAAAACTGTAAAGATGCCCAGTCTCTGAATTTACTTTCCAGTATGTCAAGAAATATTGCTTCTGAAATTATGACCCTTTACCTATGACAAGGATCCTGCCAAGTGAATGATTTCTTCCTCCAAATCCTTGTAAATAAGATCAATTTGTAAGGGGAAATCATTTAAAAATATGTTGGAACCTGCTGTGACCTCTCATTCCCTCCTCCGTACCCCTTGCTGTGATTCCCCAGCCTACATTTATTGTGCTTTTGGAAATACTCTTGGAAGCTAAGACTAATAGTCAAACACATTCAGTACAATGGGCAGTTTCTATATTGATAATTTTCTTTAGACTCAGACTAAAATCTGACCACAAAAAAAAACCTCCTTTCTAGAGAACATATATCACATTTAGGTTAAAATGCAAAATCAGACAATTTCACATTTGAGATCTTAAAGAGGCTATTCTTGGAAGTGACAAGAATAGGGAGTTATGAATTTTGCTGACCACAAAATTCTGTTTAATAGTAATGTACTATCACATGTGAGCTCTATTTGATAACATAAAAATGCTATACTTATTTTAGGGTAAATTTGTTACACTATTTGATACCAGGAAATAAGTTGTAAATAACAAGCAACTGCTCTTCCCTCACATCTGGCCTTTCAAAATCCCTCCCAGCTCCCGGGGTGCAAGTGAAATATCCGGAGGCTGCCAGGGTCCATCCTAGAGAGCAGAGGGGGTGCGTGGAGCTCCACATCCCCTACAGGGTCTTTTCATCTTGGTAGTAGGCACGCAGTTTTAGAACCCTCAAGAAATAAAATATATAAAGGAGAACCAGACTCAATCAAGAGAACTGATAAATTCTAGAGAGCTTTGGCTTAGAAACTGTCAAAGGATAGGATTTCCAGGCAGTATTGAAGTCCAGTAAGGGAACAGCAGCATGAGTTAAGTTTTCCACCACAGATGACAGGCATTAGAAACATACTCTCGAGGGAGAAAGGCAATGAGGGCCTCCTTGCAACACTCAACCTGATTTCCAGGGCACTTAGATAACCATAAAAATAATTATCTATTTAAAAAAAAAACTAAACAAGAAACAAATCCCATCTCTTATCTGATTTGTCAATCGCGTATGGTGGCTTTGAATGGACTTATCTGCTCAATTTTTAAATAAAGGAAGGTAAAAGCTCAGAAGGCCAAAGGACAGCCTCAGAACATTCTTAGTGAGGATACTTTCTGGCCCAAAACTGGACCTCCCCCTTTCTGAGCTGTCATGTCCATCAGGAAGAATGAAAATGTATCTATTTATGTGCAAGGCGCTATGCTCAGCTGGGCTGCTCTCACCTCAGTGTCACAGAATAACAGCTGCTGTCACAGAGCCAGAAAGGAATATCTGTCCCAAGTTCACATGAGGGGCATCCCCTCAGAGATTCTACTTCTTGGGCTTTCTTTTGGCATATTTTCCCTTGGGCTTTAAGGATGGGTCCTGGAAAGGAAAGTCAGGGTATGGAAGTGGACCCGAGGGAGGCACCAGCAGAAATCCTTCCCAGTCCAACAGAAACCTACATTTCCTTTTGATGGTTTTAAAGAAATCTGGTAATAGAAAAAGTGTTCCTGGGCCCTGAGCATCAGGTTCAAATTGAGAGCTAATGAAAATGAGTTTGTCTTTTCTACCTAGAAACCTAGACTGTAAGTGCGGGCAGGTATCTTGGGCTGTGATGGAGGGAAAGCTGAGGTTCTGACTCGCCAGGTGACTTTTAGAAATAATCACAGTGGGTTGGGCGTGGTGGCTCACACCTGTAATCCCAGCACTTTGGGAGGCCGAGGCGGACGGATCACTTGAGGACAAGAGTTCAAGACTAGCCTGGCGAATATGGTGAAACCCCGTCTCTAGCAAAGATACAAAAAATTAGCCGGGCAGGGTGGTGGGCACCTGTAATCCCAGCTACTGGGGAGGCTGAGGCAGGAGAATTGCTTGAACCTGGGAGGCGAAGGTTGCAATGAACCAAGATCGCGCCATTGCACTCCAGCCTGAGTGACAGAGTGAGACTCTGATTAAAAAAAAAAAAGAAATAATCACAGTGAGCTGCAGAAATGGAGAAAGGGCTTTCTGTGTGCACCACCAACTGCTAACCATTGGAGCTGGAAAGACCCACTACAGATGTGATTCATCCTGTCAGCGGGAAAGGCCAGTGACTTAATTTCTGCTTTCCTTTTGCAACTGTTGAGCCTACTATGGCAAGGGAAATCTTAGCTTTTACATCACTATACATATGTTTTCTACAGTTCAACTATCCACGTATTCCTGTTATCTCTTCATTATTGTTGTATATGGAGATGGAAAAATATGACTCAGCTGATTCAAATAATTCATTTTCTTTCCATTTTGAAATGACATATTCCTATGGAATCCATTCATAGAAAAAAAGTCATAAGTAAGGTTTTGACAAAACAAGCTAACAAAACACAGAACATAGTTTTATGGAAGAAAGCTATCTTGTCATCCTCTTAATTCTTGTGTTCCTATTAGAAGCAGGTATTAGGTCAAGCTTCTCGTATCTAGCCCACCAACTTCTTTTCCAATTCATCCAAAGTGCATGTGGGGATGTGATCAGCCTGAGGAATGATAGCTCCTAAGGCTCTTGCTGGCAACTAGTGAAATCTTTACTGTTCAAAGATGCACAGGTGGATTTTATTCAAATTCCAAGGACTTCAAAGTAAAGAATCATCTTTATGAATATCAATACATGAGTGGCTTAAAATATTTGACCTGTTTAAAGACGTGCAATGGAGTCACTAAGATATTAGTTGTTATGGGTTGAACTATGTTCCTAGAAAAGATATGTCAAAGTCCTAACCACCACTCCCACCTGTGAATGTGATCTTATTTGGAAATAGGGTCTCTGCAGATGTAGTTCAAATGAAGTTTTATGGGATTAGGGCGGACCTTAGTCCAATATCACTGGTGTCTTTATAAAAGAGAAGACAAACGGAACACATAGGGAGAATGCCATGTGACAGTCCATGCGGAGATTAGAGTGATGCATCTCTAAGCCAAAGAATGCCAAGGGTTTCCAGCAACCAAGAAAGCAAGAAGGGATCCTCCCCTGGAGCCTTCAGAGAGAGAGAGCAAGGCCCTGCTGGCAACTTGATTTCAGACTTCTAGAATCCTAAACTGTGGGACGATAAATTTCAGCTGTCTTAAGCCACCCAATCTCTGGCACTTTGCTATGGCAGCCCTAGTACATTAAATGTACTAGGTTAAATATTTTAAAACAAGTTTGATAGTTAATTTGCATAATAGAAAACTGACTTTATTTGGTGCCTGATAAGTAACATCTATTGTATTTAAATATGGACAGACACAAGTTATTATCTGACCTATGCTCAGGTAATTGCCCTAAATTCCAGTAAATGAATGCCAGAGATAAATTTTTAGCAGTTTGGTGAGGAAACTAAAAACAAGAACAAAAACAAACAAACAAACAAAAAACCCAAAAAACAGAGTAAGAACTGTACGCTTCATTAGGTTACATGCAACCTAATGAAGAAAATGCTTTTAAGTGTGTTGTGTTATTGATTACTTATCACCCTGGGTTCTCTTGTTGGACAGTAATTAGTGAAACCCAAAGGCAAATGAATATTTACAAAGTTTATCTAAAAACTGGATAATTGTTTTATCTTTTAGCCACTAATGTTTCGCCTACTCACGTGTCAACTTATAAAGGAAAGCCAACAAAGTCTCATCATCTCTATTCTATCTTTCCTTACAAGGAGCTTTTCCTAAATCAGCAGACATCAGTATTTAACAGGGCTATGCTAGACACATTTTTCTCTCTCTGTAAGCCACATGATGTCATTTGAAACGAATTTGTTTTGTTTGCCTTTGTTCTTTCAATTGTTTCCTATGGTAGGCATGGCCAGATGCTTCAGATCTAGGTAGAAAGTAAGCCAGAAAATTCAGCCCTAACCAGGACAAGAGTGTTGACAGGCTATATAGTAAATCACGTCCCCCTATGCTTTTGGCTCAGGCAGTAGATTACTGCACAAAGGGAGGCTCCACTTGGGGACATGGAAGCACACCTGGGGGAATGCCCATCTCCGAGGGTAGTAAACATTGCTTTACTCGACAATTCCCAAAACACAAAGGTCTTTGCTCCCAAGTCATCTTCATAGTGAGGTCCTCCCTGGCCCCTAGTGAAAAACAGAAACTCCCTCATTGAGGTTTCAATCTTCCCTGCTTTTGTTTTTCCTTCTTAATATATATCTACATACTAATATTGTACTTATTATGGTGTTGTCTTTTTTCCATCCAGAATGCAAATCCCAAGAGGGACTTTTGACTCCATGGTTCACGGCTGTATTCCCAAAGAATAGTGCGTGGCACATGGTAGGCACTGAATATTTACTTATTGAATCAATGAACTACAGAGGAAAGACTTGTGCTTGCTTTCCTTGTTAAGCATGAGAAGTGAATTCACCATGCCACAGCTTCTGACCAATTTACAAGATGGAACGAGTAGAGTTCTCACTTAGCTTAAATATTTCTAAGGCCTGATGGGGCGATTTAATGAGTGAGCAGAAGAGCTGATGGGTGATTGTTTCTCTAGGCCACCCAGTCAAGCATCTATCATCAACTGTACATTATAAGCACTTTATCATTTTTGAGAATTGATTACCTCCAACTGCCAAAGCCACATTTTGCTTAATTACTTCTGAAGCATTATCCAAGTGTACAATATCTAAGGACCTCATAAATCAACTAGGGGAGGATCAGGTGCCTCCAGTGGCCCTAAACTAATACAATAAATTGCTCAAAGAGGACAGAATAATAAAGCCCAAATTAAACAATTCTTACCAAAAGCATCAAACAGAGCAACCTAAGAAGATGCATGAAAACAGAGAGCAATATTTGAAGAAGGCCCAAGAAGTATACTAGCACTTATGGGAGTGGACTGCAAATTCTAATCTGGTCTATTAACAAAGTGCTGCTAACTGACCAATGGCAATATGCGCAGGCAACAGCGATCGGGTTCATTTAGGAAATATCTTGTATGCTAAACCACCATGATCAGAGGCAAATAGGGGGCTACAGATCCCCTCCAAAACTTGATTACAATTGGTTAGTTATGACCAAGGCAAGCTTACCTCCAAATTCTGCTAAAAGTACCACTGTTTCATTAGCCGGCAGCCACAAAAATGCCTCTGAGAGCACCCTGAGTGAAAAGTTTGCCCTAGGCATATATGATGATATTCTGACAGGGGATGAGGCAACAATCAGACTGGGGACAGAACCCAAGGAAGGGATAATAAGAATAAGCTATCTCGAGACTTCAAAGGTGACAGTAAAGGTATCTGGCTTTGGGGCTTGCCTGTAAGGGCAGTGGTATCCAAAAAGTTCTTTGCTGTAAACTTCATGGAAAATTATTATTTTACCGATTTTATGCCAATTAATTAGCCCTTTGTACATATTTTGATAACTATACAAAGTATAAGCTGTCCCCTCTATAGTGTTGATTCCTAATAAAGATATTTCAAATGAAAGAAAAAAAAGAAGAAAAAATTCTAAGGTGAGGTTTATAGCCCATTTACAGGCATACATACATGATACAATTTATGCCAAAGTACAGTAAACCTACCTATATTGGCAGAAATGGGGCCCAAGAAATTTAATGCATAAAATGCACAGTACATCATTGTCATTATTATCATTATATAATTTTTTTAGAGATAAGGTCTTGCTCTGTCACTCAGGCTGGAGTGCAGAATGCAGTGGCATGGTCATAGCTCACTGCAGTCTCGACATCCTGAGCTTAAGCAATCCTCCCACCACGGCCACTGGAATAGCTAGGACTACATACACATGCCACCTTGACTGGCTAATTTTTTTTTTTTTTTTGGTACAGACAGGGGCCTCACTTTGTTGCTCAGGCTGGTCTCGAACTCCTGGACTCAAGCAATCCTTCCACCTTGGCCTCCCAAAGTGCTGGGATTACAGGCATGAGCCACTGTGCCTGGCCCATAGTTGCATTATTATTAGGCAAACAAAGTGACCGAAATGAGCCTGAGTGGCAGGTGACTGGGAATTCTGGGGTTCTGGCTTAATGTTCCAACTGTGTCTTGTTCTCTACAGTGGTTGGTACCATCTGGTAGTAGTTGTCTGCTCTGCCTTAAATATTGATGGCAGGAATCTCTTGATTAGATGGCATCCATTGGCACCCATTTTCTTAGCTCCCTTTGTGCTACTTCTCTTCACCCTGCAGAAGTGAGAGCAGAACTCAATGGAAAAGGGAAGCTAATCACCCTCTGCTAATTCACATTAACACAGGATGCATTGTTGCCGACATTTTTTGCTACTAAAAAAATCCTTACAGAATTCCAGAAAGCTTAAAGCTTAACACAAGCTTCCCCCCCCCCCCGCGCCCCCAGAAAACTAAGTCATTAAGCCACGTGGGTGGATTTTGAAAATGTCAATGAAAAAGCACTAGATTCTTGGACTGCTGACGGTTAAAAGGAGGAAGATGGGTTATACCTATTAAGCCAGCTTTGGATCCTTTGGCTCAGCGAGCATATCTAGCACAGTGTCTGTTGATCATGCAGATAGTTTCTGGTGGTAGTCCAAGTAGCCTTTATCCAACAATCATTTTTGAGAGTCTCCTATCAAGTGTAAGGTCACTCTTCTACTCTACACATCCTGTCCTATCTTACATCTCTTGAAAGAAAACATTTATGAATAAATTCTGAAATTACATTCTTATATGGCTACTTTGTAACTTCTTGACTTTTTAAAATCACAATGGTATGCCAAACTGCACATATTAAAGCATACAATTTGATATATGTACTTACATGTCCATGAAATTAGTGCCACAATTAAGATAATGAACATATGCGTCACCCCAACTTTCATCATTCTCCTTTGTCATTTCTCCCTCCTGCCCATTCCCATCTGCATTCACTACACCACACCCACCCGTTGACAACTATTGACTTTCTTTCACTAAAGTCTAGTTTGCATTTTCTAGAACTTTATATAAATAAAATTTTACAATATGCTCACATCTTTGTGTTATAGACTTTTTCCACTTACCATAATTATGTTGAGTTCATCCCTTATCACATGTATCAACAGTTCATTCCTTTTTATTACTGAGCAGTATTCCATTGTATCGCTATACCATAGTTTACTCATGTATTCATCTCTTGATGGATATTGGCTTGTTTCCAGGTTTTGGTTATTACAAATACAATTTGCATGTACATTCATGCACAAGTTTTTGTACAGACATATGCTTTCAATTTTTCTTGGATAAATATCTTGTAGTGGAATGACTGGATCATATGGTAGGTGTATTTTTAAGTTTTTAAAGAAACTGCCAGAGGATTTTCCAAAGTGGTGGTATTGCATTGAATCTATTTGTGTCTTTCTCTTTCAAATTTGTTTTTTATAGGCAGAATTTAGTTGGGTTGTGCTTTTTATTCCAATGTGAGAAACTCTGCCTTTTAATTATTAATATGCTAAGCTAAGCAGAAGCCTTCTGGGTTCTTTTATTTTTTTATTTTTTTGGTCCAAACTTAGCCACGTGAACCCAAACAAATTCTAATATTTGCTGCTTAAACTATAAGAGTTGGAACAAACTTTGAAGATCTCCTAGTGCAATGCCTTATTTTATGCTTGAAAGTCTTCTATAACATTCTCACCAAGTTAATCCTTTGAGTAAAAACCAAAAGTGATGAAAAAAATTTACTGGCAAGGGATATAATTTCAGTTTGCATGAAAGTGTAGTGTTGGCATCTGCTCTTGGGGCATAATTCTGCTTTCTGGAAAGTCATAGAGTTTCTAGTGAAAGCCTCCCTCGCTTTCAGATATTTGAAGACACACAATTTCTCATTTTAAATTTTATCTTCTGTAAGCAAAATATTCCTCCAGTGGTCCTGATAGCATTAAAACTAAAATTCTTGATATGGTTATTATAACCTCTATGTTGTATCAGCGTCTTCATTTATTTCCTTTATCTCAAAAGCCCTATTTTATGTCGTCAATCCAAAATCTTGCCCATCTTTAGAGCAAATTTTAAGACTGATTTCACTTAGTCATTCAGCAATAAATAAACATTTATACCGTATAATGCAGTAGTAACTAAATACTTATTGAGCATCCACTAGGAGTAAAATAAAATGTATCCTTATTCTCCCTGAAGCCTCCAAAACTTTTTATATTTTCTTCTGAATGCCACCTATACTTGTGATCTGCATCACAGCATTAGTACAAAACTGTGCACTGTTATTTCAGTTAGGCTAATTTTGTTCCTCCAACCCAGTAGTACACTCCCTGTACATTCTCTATAGTGTCTACTATAGGAGTAATAAGTGAGTAGGTACAACTACTGATTAGTTCATTTATTCAAATCTGTTGAGTAAATACTAGATTTTTTTAAAAGGACACTTGGTATTAAATGCTATCTTTGTTATGTTTTAATTCTTTTCTGCTTCTTTAGTACCAAGGAATTAGTTGTTGAAATCCTTGTGGATCAAGAATATTATTAGGTTGGTTCAAAAGTAATTGTGGTTTTACCAAATATTTTTATCTTCTGGGCACAGAATTAACATGATATTTACAGCATTGTTGATAACATTTAAAAATCGAGTACAGGAAGCGATGATGTTTATTTGGTGATCCAAGGTACAATAGAGCAAGTCAGTTTGGGACAATCATAATCTGTCATCATCTCTCACCTGAATGATGCAAACCTCTGCTAATTTCAAAGTTCTCACACTCTAATTCATCCTCCACTTCGCAGGTTTTTCCTCTTAAACAGAGATCAGCTCAGGCCATATTTGCTTCTTAAAAATGTGAAGATATAGTGGGTCCCTGTGACCAGCTGAATAAAATTCAACTTGTCAGCATGGCTCTGAAGGCTCTTTTCAGTGTGGTCCTGACCAAACCTTCTCGTTTCCTCTGGTCACTTCCTTTCTTACCTGCCCAAGAACAGTTGGTCCAGTCCCACCAAGATTGTGTCAAGCCTCTTTGTTTCTTCTCCATTCTTCAACCTCTGGGAAATTCCTACTTTCTCTTTGGTTCTCTCTCAAATGTCACCTATCCTGTGAAAGCTTCCTGTCCTCCTTCCAGACTCAGGCCTCCTGAGCGATGATTTTCAACTTAGGCTACATATTAAAAACCCAGAGAGATTTTTAGAAATGCCCATGTCTAGACTAGTTAAATCAGAATAATGTGTGGTGCATAATAGTTTCTTAATGAGTATTTTTAAGCAATCGACTTATTCAATAGAAATGGGAATTGATTTTTTTAAAAAGCAATAATGGAATGTAACTTAAAAACATTTAGAATTGTTTTGATATTACCTGTACTGTTTGTTTCTGACAGTAAGGACTATTAATGATAATGAATAATATTACTTATTCAACTTAAAGGGATTGTTACACGGAAAAATTCATTAACGATGATAAAGCATTTTATCCATATGCAGTGTTAACTAAAAGGTCAGAGTCATTAAGAAACATATCCAACAGAGCAAAGTTTTTCTTTTGCAGGAAATTAATGAATGAAGCTTTTGGAAGGAAACATTAATTGATATGTAAAAAAAAAAAAAATTCTCATGCTTTTCAAAAGGTAATTTACCTAAAGAAAAAGAAAGTATTATTTGGATACAATTGATACAGTTTGGATCTTTGCTACTTCTATTACTTTGACACACCTTTGAAAATATACTATTCGCTACCCTTTTCTGCTTGATCTGATCAGGAATATAACCTAACAGGTCTACTCACTGGTGGTGGTGGAGAATTAACCCTAAGTTAGCTCCTGCTTGATATTAATTTAGCTTCCTGCTACAGTTCACAGGCTCACATTCTGGAATTTGAGTTTCAAAGGAGCCCAAAGCATGGGAGGTGTTATCACCCTAATCGTTCACAGGGCTTTCCCTTCCCTTCCTTGAGAAGCCATCTTTTCTTAGAGTTCCTGTGTCAGGCACCCAAGTGACAATCCAATTACTGAGACTTAGAGGAAAGAGGCCATGAGAGAAATGTATGGCACCAGGGCATCTATATATTTCCTTGGCTTGGCAGATTTGACCTGTCAGAGAGCACTGCTTCAAACTTTACCATTCTTTAGAAGGAAACTGAAGGAGACATCAGAATCTGTACAATCTAACAAAGCTTGAATTAAACTTTGGAATATAGGTTTGTTTTCTGCCTTACTGATTCTTGACCAGTAAACCGGAAGTGAGTCACCTCTTCTAATGTAGAAAAGATGACAAATCGAATGTTTTAAGGGCCTATGAAAAATAAATGTAAAAGTTGTGTATGGCACTTATGCTTTAAAATATTCCTAACAAATTAGTTAAATTGGCTGTAATTTAAGTCAAATGAATGGATGGGAGGCATGGCCTAGAGGCAACAGAAAAGAGCCATGTGTTGGTTCAGGAAGAAAAGGGTAGTTCTTTGCTATCTCCTTAGTATTTTTTAATTTAAGAAATTGGTTATCTTCATTGCTCATCGTGACCACTCCTCTTCTGTTATGTAGCATACTGATAAAATCACTGGGAGATTTAGCATAGAGTATGAAGCAGTTCTTTGCGGGTATTTTTCAATTAAAATGCAGGTCTGTACTTATTTTAAAGCACTATTACTTGTATCTTGCATTAATTTGCATTTAATCAATTCAGTCTTAATGGTAAAACTCCCAGCTAATCAACTTTTTTTTAGATAGAAAATTTTATTATTAGAAATATGGGTACCAAGAGTTTACTGAAAAAATCAAACACATGTTCATAATACAATGTGCAAATACTCAGGAAATACCACGTAATTATTCTCAGGTCTTCAAATATGTCTGAATAAAAATATACCAATATTATTAATTGGTGGCACTTTAAAAGCTTGTTGACATTATTTATTTTACTGAGTTTAAATATAAAGGTCCATATGGACCATAAGTTGAGGTATCCATATGTAGTATATATGGATAGGGTATTTACATAAATACAGCTGTATTTATGGAAACATTATATATGCCAGATAAATAAATACTTGTATATCAAGTAATGTTGAGAATATTTATGAACTATAAAAGTGATTTACATTTTCTATAAATTTTAGGGCCTTGCAAAACAAATGCTAGTAAATATAAAAATACAGTACGTATAGATTTATTTTAGGAGTTTTATGATACTGAAAAATATATTTGACTAATAATTGTATTTTGGACTATAAGCAATTGCTGGCTTTTGTCCTGAAGAGTATAACGTATATGAGTAAAACTACATCATGATTTAGAAAAGCACCTATGTATTGACATGCAATATTTTATTTCCTAATACAATTTAAATTAAATTTGGGGGATAAAAAAATCTGGATATTCTTTTTCATTATGCAGTTTATTGGAATACCCAAACTAATGTGGCCTGTGGGATGGCCATCTGCTCCCAGATTTAAGGCTGGCTGGAGGGGACAGTTGATCTTATTTAATTATCTATCAGTACTCTCTGGATAGTAAATATATTCTCAAAATTTTTTTAAAAGTCTAAGTCAGAAGTATTCCTTGATTTTCAGGAGTGTTAAACCAAGAACAGATGGGAAATAATTACCTGGAGCCTGGTCATAAAAAAATCAAGAGGTGGTACGAGTTGAGCTAAGGAGGCAGAACATGACCACTTCGTACTCTGTGATATACACTGAGGTTCTATTCACAAGCCTTCACCTTGAAGTTTTGCTTTCTAAATAATACTTACCTTTCAAAGATGATTCTGTGAAATAGTTTAAGATTCAGAATTCAGTATAACCTTATAATACCGTAGTCTCCCCTTATTTGAGGGGGGTATGTTCTAAGACTGCCAGTGGATGCCTGAAACTGAGGACAGTACCAACCCCCATATAGACTATGTTTTCTTCTTATCTATACATACATATGATACAGCTTAATTTATAGATTAGGAACAGTAAGAAATTAACAGCACTCATTATAAAAATGGAACAATTGGCTGGGCGCAGTGGCTCACGCCTGTAATCCCAGCACTTTGGGAGGCTGAGGCAGGCGGATCACTTGGGGTCAGGAGTTTGAGACCAGCCTGGCCAACATGGCGAAACCCCATCTCTACTAAAAATACAAAAATTAGCCTGGCACAATGGGCGCCTGTAATCCCAGCTACTTGGGAGGCTGAGGTAGGAGAATCCCTTGAATCTGGGAGGCAGAGATTTCAGTGAGCCAAGATCACGCCACTGCACTGCAGACTGGGAAACAGGGAGAGACTCTGTCTCAAAAAAAAAAAAAAAAAGAACAATTATAACCATAGGTCAGCATCACTACTCTTGCACTTTGGGGCCCATTAAGTAAAAGAAGGGTGGTTTGAACACAAGCACAGCGATACTGCCACAGCTGATCTGAGCTCACCGAGTCTGCTACTCGGTGACTAAATGGGCATAGCACAAACAGGACTGAGGCGCTGGACAAAGGAAGGATTCCTGGATTCCTATCTTGGGCAGTACAGGGTGGGATGGCATGAGATTTGAATGTTATAAACGTACTGTTTATTTCTGGAATTTTTCATTTTGCATTTTTAGACCATTGTTGACTTTGGGTAACTGAATCCTAGGAAAGCAAAACCAAGGATAATAGGGGACTATTGTAATTAAAATCAAAACAACACAAAATTTAGGATTGTGTAACTGACAAGTTATTTTTATTTTTCTTAAGGCGAAAAGTGCCTACTTGCTGAAAATGTATTACTGCTGTATTTCTCCTGGCATTATGAAATATTAACTTCCTATAAGTAAAGGGTTCATTTAGAAAAGCTCTCACATGGTATTTCCTCTAGTGAAAGTAATATAAGTTTAATTTTAGATACAGCCCTCTGCCGGTTAATTTAAAAACCAGTTAATTTTCATCTCTAGCAAGTCCTAGATTTTCTAACTTTATCATAGTGTTTTTTTTAAACTAGGCTAAATATGTCCATAATAAATTGTCTTGGTATGTTATCATTTAATTAACGCAATAAGTACATTCTATGTCATGTTGTCTTTGCAAAGCCAAAGACCATAACACTTGCTAGGTTTGTATACATATGTTTCCTCTAGATTCCAGATTCATTTAAACAGCATTCATGACACTGTTAGGCACTATGAATTTTTATATAAAAATAAAGGAATGCAAGTCAAGTTTAAACAAATTTATTAAAGCATACATTGTAAAGAAGCCAAAAAGATCAGACTGCTCTTAACTCATACTATTTGCTTTCTCTCATTTTCATCACAACACATCTTAGGTTACCAAAAGTATGTCACTCTTATCTTCAGACAAATGCCTTTGTCCCTGTGTGCCAGAATCCAACTAAAAATTGAATACAGCTGCATGCAGACGTTGTCTTCAATGCTATGCAGCATACCAAATATTTAACTCTTTGTCTAGATTGATCCCTCGCCTCCAGCCCAGGTTCTGTCTGCCCCAGTCTGAACAAGAGCCTCAGGTGATAGGCTGTGTTCCTTTAGAGGAGACGGTGATTGTGAACGTGCCCTCGGCACTCTGATAACATACAGAGTTTTGAACTTTTTTTTCACACACAGGCTTGCCTTGAACTAATTTGGACAATTAATCGTAAAGCTGCATAGATCAGCAATAATCCAACATTAGTGCTAAATCAGGATACAAAAAATAATGCTGAGCGTCCATTAAGCACTTTAGTACCAACATAATGCAATACTAACAGTACTTAAATATGACCTTGAGCGTTACTCTTAAGTAAATCAAAACCCATGTATATGAGCCCTCCTTAGGAGAAAAAAAGTACGTATTTCTTTCAGAAGCAGAAGAAAAAAACTGGCATATCTACTAGTATACTGAAACAACCAGAGGAAATTAAAAAAAAATTTTTAAAGCAATGTCTTCAAAATTAGATAGCACTTTGCCTCTTTTTGATTATATAAGATACATAACCGTACCTGTGAATTTTTTTTCTCAAAGTTTAAAGAATTACTTTTGATATAAATGGGAACTTTTTTAAAAAATTAAGGGATCATATGCTTAGGGTAGGCTCTAAAATCCAGAATTGTAAAAAAAAAAAAAAAAAATTCACATATAGAACAGGGAAATTTATCTTCAACTATTACACCTTTGGCTTATCCAAAGAAACCATTACAGAGAATTCCAAGTTCTCTAAAGGAGGGGTTGGCAAACTACAGCCAGGTTTTAAACCACAACAGCAGAGTTGAGGAGTTGTGACAGCCTTTACTGCCTGCAAAGCCTAAAGTATTTCCTATCTGTCTCTTTACAGAAAAAGTTTGCCAGTCCCTGAGCTAAAGAATTCATATATAGGCAAGATTTCTGAATTTGTATGAAGGAAATGATTCAAATGCCTAAGGGAATTTATGCATGATAGATGAAAACGAAATGGCTAAAAGTCCAAAAATGTAGCCAGGACAAGTTAAAGTGCTGTGGCTGATCTGAATTGTGGAGCAGATTGTTTGGTTGAGGTCTGCATCATGTCTCACAACGTGTGGCAATTTATGTCTACAGCTACTTGAATGGACAGGGTTGCTTTATCACAACATTTCTAGGCAAAGCCCCTAACTTCACAAGCAAATAGGGTCTAGTGGTTAAGAATTGGAGTTCTACAGGTAGATGGTTTGAGTTCCATCTCTACCATTTATTAGCAGTATTTATTAGGTGAGTTTGTTGACCTTCTGAGTCATAGTCTCTTCATTTTTAAATTGAGGATATTGAAAACAAGAGCACCTTCTTCAATGAATTGCTTCAGGGTTAAATAAATTAGGACATATGAGGTACTTAAAACAGTGTCCGGCGTGTAATCCATGCACAGTAAACATTCGCTATCACTGTCTTCTTTACTCAAAACATTGAGAGACCCAAGATTTAAGCCTTCAGGATGTGGGGCTCTGAATTATCACAGAGTTCAGAATCCTGAGAAATTAAGCAACGGGAATAACTTTAGAGCTCATCCAGACCGCCCCTTCACTTTCTAGATGAGGAAACTGAGGCAAATGTACAGCGATTTGTCGAGTTTTTGATCCACTGCTATGGGTTTTATCGTGTAAATGCTCTTTAATGTAAGACAAGCTTAACAGAATTTTCTTATTTCCCTCTAGGCCCATCTGTAGTGAGATTTCATCAAGCACATTTTCTATTCTGGAAACAATATTTTGGACATCAAAAGTTATGTTATGGAAAAATAATTTTATGGAGAAAAAGGGAACAATGGATACTAAAGGGATCAGGCTAAATCTGCCTGCTTCCTCTCTTATAGAGATTCTGCAAAAATGGACAATGCCATATCCTGCCAGTGGTCAAAAGACAGAAGACTACATATTGTTGCCCAGGTAATATTCTTTGTTGTTGTTTTTTGTTTTTTGTTTTTTTGAGATGGAGTCTTGCTCTGTCGCCCAGGCTGGAGTGCAGTGGTGCAATCTCAGCTAACTGCAACCTCTATCTCCCAGGTTCAAGCGATTTTCCTGCCTCAGCCTCCCAAGTAGTTGAAATTTCAGGCATGTGCCACCATGCCCAGCTGGTTTTTGTATTTTTAGTAGAGATGGGGTTTCACCACCTTGGCCAGGCTGGTCTCGAACTCCTGACCTCAAGTGATCCACCCACCTCAGCCTCCCAAAGTGCTGGGATTACAGGCGTGAGGCAACACACCCAGCTCCAGGTAATATTCTTTGGATCTCATATTTTTCTTGCAAGGAGAGTTTTAAAATTGACTTCTTGTATTTAGGAGTCTGTTTTAGCCACCAAATGCTGAACCTTGACATCAAATTATCTATTTCACTAGAAACTAATACTGAGGTGGGTTTTTTTTAAAGTTTTTATAAGAAAAGCTTTTCATTGACTGTTTAAAATCTTAGAATAAATCTGCTTTGTTGTGAGCAACAACGTGCGTGGTGTACTTCAGGGAGCAGCAGTTTCTGCTTAGAGTTAACTGACTCTTATAAATGAGAACACTTGAATTAGACTGCTCTGGAGCTAGTCTTACCTAGAGATTATACAGAAACCTGCTTAATAAACTGGGAGATTTTTCCTTAAAGGAAGGAAGGAAGGGAGGAAGGAAGGAGGAAGAGAGGAAAGAGGCAGGCTGTCTTTGGTCTTCACTGGTTTGAACCTCAGTGGGCAAGTCAGGATCCAGTAAATGAGCTTGCATCGGCTTGTTTGTATGTGGTTAGCAAGAGGACTCTTTTTCTTTGAACATAAGCAGTTATTTAACTTCTTGATATCTACCAACCAAGTAGTTCATGATTTGTAAGAGTTCATTTATAACAGGGACTTATAACAATAGTGTTTAACCTTTACTTTTCTATTACTTGGGACATGTTGGTAGTCTGGCAACATCCATAATGAGAATCATGTTTGGGTTTTTTGACTTTTTAAAAAGCTCTTAACTGTTTTGTTTTGTTTTTCTTGGAGACAGTTTCGCTCTGTCACCCAGGCTAGAGTGCAGTGACACGATCTCAGCGTGCTGCAACCTCTGTCTCCCAGGTTTAAGCAATTCTTATGCCTCAGCCTACCGAATAGCTGGGATAACAGGCGTGTGCCACCACACCAGGCTAATTTTTGTATTTTTAGTAGAGACTGGGTTTCCCCACGTTGGCCAGGCTGGTATCAAACTCCTCACCTCAAGTGATCTCCCTGCCTTGGCCTCTCCAAGTGCTGGGAGCCACTGCACGTGGCCTAAAAAGCTCTTTACTTTGAAATAATACTAGGTTCACGGTAAGTTGCAAAAATATATACAGGGAGGTCAGTGTACCCTTTACTGACTCTTCCCCCATTGTTAACATCTATGTATGCAAACCAGGATATTGACATTGGCACAATTCACAAAGCTTATACAGATCTCAGTAGTTATACATGTACTCATGTGATTGTGTCTGTGCATAATTCTATGCAATTTAATTAAATACATGGCTTTGTGTCATGACTACTACAGTCAAGACACAGCACCACTCCTTCAGTTCGAGTTTCCTTGTGCTACCCCTTTACAGCACATATCCCCGAAATCCCTAACCTTTGGAAACCATGAATCTATTTTTCATTTCTGTAATGTTTATAAGTATTATAGAAATACAAGTGTCACATACCTTATGTGATACTTTTAAAATAGCTTTTTTTTTTTCACTCAGCATAATTCCTTTTAGGTTCATCCAGGTCATGGTGTGTATCGATCATTCATTCCTGTTAATTGCTGAATAGCATCCCACAGTATGGATGAACTGCAGGTTGTTTAATTGTACGCCTCTTGATGGAAACCTGGGTTGTTTCTAACTTGTAGCAATTGCAAGTAAAGTTTCTGTGAACATCCATGCTTTGTTTTTGTGTGAACATAGTTTCTCATTTCTCCAAGATAAATGCCTAAAAGGGTAATTGCTAAGTATAGTAAGTGCATGTTGAATTTTAGAAGAAACTGCTGAATTATTTTCCAGAGTGATTGAAACATTTTCTTCCTATCAACAATGTATGAGTAATCCGGTTTCCCCTCATCCTCACCAACAGTTAGTGTTATCATTATTTTTTTTTGGCATTTTGATAGGTGCATAGTGAAATCTCATTGTAATTTTAATTTACATTTCTCTGGGGGCTAATGATGTTGATCATCTTTTCAGGTACTTATTTGCCATCTGTATTTATTCTTCAGTGAAATTGTTCCTCATGGATTTTGCTCATTTTTATTGTTTTTTAAAATTGTTGAGTTTTGAGAGTTCTTTATGTAGGCTAGATGCAAGTCTTTTGTCAGATGAGAAATTTATAAAAGTTTTCACCCAGTCTGATTGCCTTTTCATCCTTTTGACCTTTCACAGAGCAAAGATTTTTAATTTTGATGAGACCAGTTTATCAATTTTCCTTGTATAGACTATGATCTTGGGATCAATTCTGAGAACTCTTCACCTAGGCCTAGGTTCTGAATAGTTTTTTCTTTTTCCAAATACTTTATAGTTTTATGTTTTACATTTAAGTCTGTCATCCATTTTGAATTAATTTTGTATAAGGTATGAGGTTTATGGCAAGGTTCAATTTTTTTTTAGGATGAATGTCAATTGCTCCAAGATCATTGTTGAAAAGCCTATTGGAAAAACATATTTTTAAAATTTTATTTTTAATTGATACTTAATAATTGTATATTTACGGGGTACAATGTGATGTCTTGATACGTGTATACAATGCGGAATAATCAAATCAGGGTACTCAGCATATCTATCACCTCAAATATTTATCATTTATTTGTGGTGAGAACATTTGAAAGCTTCTCTTTTAGCTATTTGAAATATACAACACATTATTATTAAGTATAGTCACCCTGCTGTGCAATAGAACTTATTCCTCCCGTCTGAAACTTTGTACCTATCGACCAACATCTTCCCTTTCCCCATCACCCCTGTTCCACCCTAGTCTCTGGTAACCACTGTTCTACTCTTTATGAGTTTATCTTTTTCAGATTCACATAAGTGAGATCATACAGTATTTGTCTTTCTGTGCCTGGCTTATTTCACTTAACATAATATCATCTAGGCTCATCCATGTTGCCACAAATGGCAGAATTTCCTGTTTTTTTTTTTTTAAATTGTTTTAGGCTGAATAGTATTCCATTGTGTTTACATACTACATTTTAAAAATCCACTTATCCACTGATGAGCATGTAGGTTGTTCCCATATTTTGGCTATTGTGAATAATGCTGCAGTGAATGTGGGAGTGCAGACATCTCTTTGACACACTGGTATCAATTCCCTTCGGTGTATGCCAGAAGTGGAATTGCTGGATCATAAGGTAGTTCTATTTTCAGTTTTCTGAGGAATTTTCTTAGGTTTCCAAAATGGCTATACTAATTTACAATGCCACTAAACAGTGCACAAAGATTCCCTTCTCTCCACATCCTCCACAACATTTATCTTTCATCTTTTTGATAATAGCCAATCTAGTAGATATTAGATGATATTTAATTGTGGTTTGAATTTGCATTTCTCTGATGATTAGAGAGGTTGAGCAGTTTTTCATATACTTGTTGACCATTTGTATGTCTTCTTTTGAGAAATGTTTATTCAAGTCTTTTGCCCAATTAGTAATAGGGTTATTTGTTTTCTTGTTATTGAGTAGTTTGAGTTCCTTATGTATTTTGGATATTAGCCCCTTATCTGATGTATAATTTGCAAATATTTTCTCCCAATCTGTGGGTTGTCTCTTCACTCTATTAATTGTTCCCTTTCCTGTATAGAAGCTTTTTAGTTTGCTGCAATCTCATTTGTCTATTTTTGCTTTTGTTGCTTGTGCTTTTGGGGTCATATTCAAGAAATCACTGTCCAGACCAATGTAATGCCGGTTTTCCCCTATGTTTCTTGCAGTCGTGTTATAGTTTCATGTCTTACATCTAAGTCTTTAATACATTTGGAGTTGATTCATACATAAGGGTCAGATAAGGGATAATTTTCATTCTTCTGCATGTGAATTTCTAGTTTTCCCAACACTATTTATTAAAGAGACTATCATTTCCCCATTTTGTTTTCTTGGCACCTTTGTAAAAAATCAATTGACTGTAAATTTGTGAATTTATTTCTAGATTCTTTATCCTATTTCATTGGTTGACGTGTCTGTTTTTATGCCAGTATCATGCTGTTTTGATTGCCATAGCTTTGTAATATGTTTAGAAATCCCATGGTGTGATGACCCCAGCTTTGTCCCTTTTGGTCAAGATGGCTTTGACTGTTTGAAGTCTTCTGTGGTTCTATATAAATTTTTGGATTTAAAAAAAAATTTCTGTGAAGAATGACATTGGAATTTTGATAGGAATTGCACTGAATTTGCAGTTCACTTTGGACCATACAGACATTTTAACAATATTAGCTCTTCCAATATGTGAACACAGGATATCCTTCCATTTATTTATGTCATCTTCAGTTTCTTTAATCGATATTTTATAATTTCTAGTATACAGATCTTTCACTTTTTTGGTGAAATTTACTCCTAAGTATTCAGAAAAATATTTTGAAAGCATAAAATACATAGGAGTATACTTGAAATCAACTTCATTTAAATACAGTTATCATATGTTTTAAAAATAAACATTTTCTGGCCAGGTGCAGTGGCTCACGCCTGTAATCCCAGCACTTTGGGAGGCCGAGGTGGGTAGATTACCTGAGGTCAAGAGTTCAAGACCAGCCTGGCTAACCAACATGGTGAAACCCTGTTTCTACTAAAAATACAACAATTAGCTAGGCGTGGTGGCAGGCACCTGTAATCCCAGCTACTTGAGAGGCTGAGGTGGGAGAATCACTTGAACCTGGGAGGCAGAGGTTGCAATGAGTCAAGATCGTGCCACTGCACTCCAGCCTGGGTGGCAGAGACTCCTTCTAAAAAAAATTTGTGATATTTTTGACATGTTAAATAACATCTAACCATATGATGGGCAACTATCATCAATTCAAATGTGATGGGCACAAATGCCTATTTCAAGATATGTGCAACAACTAAGATTTCATGAAAATGTGTGTGATTTCTATTGATCTTAAAGCCATAGGTACTACAAATACTACTGGGCTTATTTGCCTACATTTACAATCCAAATAAATTCTATGGCTGAGTCAGATGTTATTGAAAATAAAGACGCATTTTTTTCATTCAATTTCAAGCATGCCAGGTCTTCTAATTCCCTGATGTAGAAGAAGAAATTGATTTATTTCGTATGGTTCTAGAAATGGTAAAGATAGAATCAGTTGGTGGATAGTATACTATTTATCACTAATAAATTATTTCTATTTCAGCTTAAACCATGAAAGAGCATTACAACAATTAGCTGTTTCTAAATGCACCTCTGTTGCCTGGTAAAGAAATACATTTCTTGTCCAGAAAATTCTCCAACAACCTGGGAGAGCACTCACCAGGTACACAATGCTGAGGGTTGTGATGGACAATGGCTGAGACTTCCCATGAGCCACTGAGGTTTTTCACTTTGGAGAGAAAGCGTGTTAGGTCCTTATGCTTCCAGATTAGTTCTATGGACCAACAACTTTAACCAGACCACTGAGAAAATAACTGAGTCACCCAAGCCAAAGGTGTTTGAAAACAGTCGTTAATTTTTTCTCCCTGTTTTTTTAACCATTTAATAGATTGCTGACTGATCAGTATCAGAGAACTGTGCTGTTTTCATTATTACATGTAAATTAATCTACTGAAAGAAGAAAGCACAAGCATTTAGGAGCACAAGGTTGTCCTATTTTGACAGCATTTTAGTTATGGGTTCAAGAGTAATTACTGAAATAAATCATCAATAGGTGGTGGCAGTATTGATTTTGTGTCAACACCTGAGTAAACTATAACCCAGCCTCCATCTGGAGCCATGTTCATTGTCTTTTGTGCTTTATTTTTGAACTGATGTCCAAAAAAGGCTTTTTAGCTTCCACATGAAATTGCCTACTGAGGTGCTTTTCCCAGGAAACCTCACTGCCCAAATCACCTCTCCCTCCCCAGCTCTCACCCTGAACAGTCTCCTTGGACCATTTTACCACACTCTCTTAACTAGTGTGACATGCTAATATGGATGGCTGTGATTTTCCAACAAAGAGAAAGGAAAATGTGATTACTGGTCAGAGGGTTTCATATTAGCACTTGCTTCTGCTAATTTAAAAATAGGTTAGACGGCAGGAAAACCAATTTCCTCCTTTAATGTTAGTTTGTTCTGGTGTTCTTTGTTTAATAAATATCCTCTGGGCCCAAACTAATGTGAATAGGAGAAAGAGAACTGAGCTCTCATTCTATTAAATGCAAACTCAAAATCTAGATGGCTTTAATCATTTTGAAGATCACTTTAAACTCGATCTTGAATCCCAAATAAAACAACCTGCATGGTTTTATTTTATTTTATTTATTTATGTTTGCTGGCTGGCTCAGACAGAAAATCTTCTTTGTTGTTCCCAGTTTATTGAAGGTGAGTCAGGTAACTCTGAATGGCAGGGCACTGAATCTGGATAATCTAACCTTAAATAAGCTCTGCTTTAATAGTTTTTGCTTCAGACCAAGAAATGCTCCTCTGGATGATATCAAAACGCAGATAATGAAGCAGAACATATAACCAAAGCTTCTACACTTGCAGAATCACAAATCTCCATCTCCAGAGTTGTCTCTTAAATTCTGATGAGGAGTAGCTATATGTGCACCCTAGAAAAATAACTCTTCTCATTCCTCTTTAACAGTGCTATGTATTTTGAATGACTATTTCTGACTTTTATAGTTCAAACTCCAGACTCCTTTCAAATTTCCAACTGTTATTTTGCCTCTGTTGATATATACGTATAAACAAAACTCTCCTTCTTCCCAGCTCCATGCTCGAATCCCTGGTCAATCATGGAGCATGCATTTTACCATGTGTCTGCTTCTGTTCATCTCCAAGATTTTCAGAGCATTAAGCAAAACTTAAATACTGATCATTATATCATTTTGGCATTCATATATCCCTTTATATTTTACTAAAATGTTATTACATCATTTGAAAGAAGTATCATTACCTCTCTTTTACCAATAAAGAAACTGAGTTACAAAGAATTAAGTTATATGCTCAACAGCAAACATTCCTTAACCAGCAGAGATAATTCTTGAATTCTTGCTTTCCACTCCATATCCTTTGCTCTTCCACTACTACAGGTAAAGTGCTTTTTTATTATAAATGTTTTCCAGGTTACTTCAGCCCTTTTATCCTTCCTGTTGAGTTCTTTCTTCTGCTGAGAGCAGGTGCCCTTTCTCCCAAGTCTAATTGTCTATGTTTGGGTTGCCAGGAATACACCTGTTTCTCACAGATAAATCCCTAAAGAACACATGTACATGCATTTTTGAACCTCTGCCCAGAATAGATCTTGAAGAATGGTTGCTCTTGCAACAGATGTTATATGCAACTGCTCCTAAAAGATTGTATATGTTTCACCCCAGGCACAGTGCCTTGTACACAGTAAACATTTGATAAGTGTTTGTAGAACGAATCAGTGAATATACATTTGGAAATCTCTGACATGCCATCAAAACATTTCCCAGCCTTCTCTAGAGGGTGTGAAGCTAATGTAAATGTGAGCAAAAAACTCAGCAAATGTCAACAGGCTATAAATAATCACTTGGTCTATCAGTGCAGGGAATTTACGTATACAGACATTTCCTTTGATGAATGCTAAAGCTCATCATGAAAAGGAACATGAATTTAGAAAAATTAAACAACAGAACTAATACAGTGAAAAAACATGGGTTTTGGATCAAAAGCCTGGCTTCCCATCTCAGCTCTGCCAGTTTCCTCAGACACATTATGAATATTTCTGAGCTTCTGTTTCCTCATTTTAAAACAGGCTTACTAACACCTCCCTCACATGATTATTGTGTGGGTCAAATGAGATAATGTCTGCACAGTGTCTTTGGACACATAATAGGCACTTATACTGTCACTTCTATCATTTTCTTTTGTAATCCATGAGAATACTATCCATGTTTTTACCTTTTGTTTTTCTTTGAGATGGAGTTTTGCTCTTGTTGCCCAGGCTGGAGTGCAGTGGTGCCACCTCAGCTCACTGCAACCTCTGCCTCCCTGGTTCAAGTGTTTCTCCTGCCTCAGCCTCCCGAGTAGCTTGGATTACAGATGCATGCCACCACACCCAGCTAATTTTTGTATTTTTAGTAGAGACTGGGTTTCGCCATGTTGGCCGGGGTGGTCTCGAACTCCCGACTTCATGTCATCCACCTGCCTCAGCCCCCCCAAAATGCTGGGATTACAGGCATGAGCCATTGCGCCCGGCCCAAGTTTTACTTTTTAAGAATCGACAAGTCTCTGAATTGATCCAAATATAACACTCTGATATGCTGATTACAAATCTAGAAACTTTAAAAAAACATTATATTAGATTTATTTTGGATAGCTGATAGCTCTTAAACTCTGATCTAAACAGTAACAGGACTCTGCAGAGGTGGAATCCTTTGACATATAATCATTCACCTAAATCCTAAGGTAGGGTCTCAAGACGATGAGAAAAGAATAGGATGTGGTCCCTTTTATCAGGAGTCCAGTTTGGTGCAGGATGAGGGGCACACATGTGAGAATTTGAATACAACAGGGTAGGTGAGTGTAGCACAGAAATATGGGCAGTGTGAGAAAGGGTTCATAGGTGGAAGTCAGTAAGTTTGGAAGAACTGTGGATGGTATCTCAGAGACTGTAACATTTGAACTACTTTAGAAATTTATTTCAACTTTGTTCTACCTGTATAGAAATGTCGGAGGTGAATACCAAAAACTGTGATTTATTCCAGGCCCCAGATGGCCTTGCCTTTGACCCCAAAATGCTCAGTTGTTGCCCTGACTTGTTGCACATGCTTCAGGCCTCCTGTAGCCGCATTGGCCTGTGCTTTACCTTTAGTGTGACACGGCCCTTACCGATGATATGTGGAGGGCTGCTGCCTTGCTTCCCTTACCCCCAACAAGTGAGTATGCCTCACAAGTTCTAATTTAATAAGGTTTCTTCTTCAACACTGACTCTAGATAAATCTCATTTATCTGTCATCTGTCCCTGGGATGTGTCAACTCAGATATTAGCACAAATCTATGGCCAAGGTGGTCTCACTCCTTCAGAGTAAGATTGACTGAACTAACTCAGAAAAATTGCATCAAGGAACAAAAAGTTGAGGGCTAACAGTTATTGCTTATTGATAATATATAAACAATAACTACGGGGGGGGGGCAGGATATTCTTAGTTCCTAGTGTGTTTTAGGCAATATTATGTGGACATTTATATATAGATACGTTTCACTTGATTCTTACAACACCATTAAACAGTATTATTACCCATTTTACAGGTGACAAAGGTTGTGCAGAGGTAGAATCAGGAACTGAACAGAAAGGTCTTTCTGATTCCAAGGTTCATGAACTTAGTTCTTAACCATGATACCTGCCTCCAGGTTCTTATTCAATCTCCAACCCATCATTTCATATTTTATGGTATTTGTCAGAACTTTTTGATGGCTAATTTATGCCTCTCTCAACAGTTCCATAGTTTTGAGACTCTTCTGTTCCATACTTGCTGAAATTTATGAGTGTAGGGCTTCTAGTCACTCAAATTTCTCCTTCAAGTTCCTCTATATTTGAGTATCTTAAATTCTTTCTTAGTCTCTTGAGTAAAACCAGCACTGCCTATATACACACACTTAACAATATACATATTTTGATAATTAAATACTCCATATAGATAGTGGACCATTATACCCTGAGCATCTTGAGGGCGGTGACTGGAAGAAGGGCAAGAAAGAAAGGAGGAGGGCTAAATCACTGTGGAGGCATGGGAGTTCCATCCCTGTGGTTAATTCACTGCTAGGTGAATTTGGCCTCTCATGTTTAGAGACTTCATTGACTCACCGTTTGAGTCGAGTATTTTAGTTCTCAGAGTGGCATTACAGTTTAGATGCTTTAAAATGCTTTGAAAGAAAACCCTACTCCAAGGTTTTGACTCATAAAACAGGGAAGCCTAGAGGTAGGAGTAGTCCTCATCAAAACACAAGAGACTGACACTCCATGGTATTTAAGTGAGTCAGACACTCCAAGGTATTTCCAAGGACCCAGTTAACTTCTGTCTCTCTGCTTTGACTTCCACAGAGTCAGCTTTATCCTAAGGCCAGCCGCCATTGTGGAAGCAAAGATGTTTGCTGCAGGTCTAACCTTCATATCTCCATACCACGCAGTGTAGAAGGGGACAGAACATTTTGTTCTAACAGTTTCCTCAGAAGCCTTTAGATTTCTCCTCTTATGTGTCACTGATGTAAATGAGGTCATATGCCCTTTCTTAAGCTACTTTCTGTCCAGCTTGGCCAGAGGAGTGCCATGAGCGAGTTGGCTTATGTTTTAGTTATTTGAACCATTTAGATAACCCAGATGTAAGGAGAATGGGACTTTCGTGATTGGTTTGGACTAGAGTGTGCCCAATCCTTAGCTGAGGAGAATGCCATCTTATCCCAGAGTCTTCTGGGGTAAGAAGAAGCTTTGAGAAGGAGGTACTTAGGAAGGAGGAAGGGGGAGCAGACACTGAGTGGACCACCAACAACCAACAGTATCCACTTAAATAATAAGAAACAAATTCACCACCACAATACAAGAAAATAATTATCGAGACAATACTCTTGCTAACTCAAATGTGAGTCTATCTCTAGGAAGAGCATATTGAAATTCTCATCATGTCTACCGGCACATTGTTTGTGGTATATGTTTTTTATATATGTAGTCCAATTCTCTCAAGTTTTTTACAGAAACAAATCCCTTCTGTTTTTCTTTTGGATTCTTCCCAGCAATGAGCAAAATATCTATCATTATTAACAGAGGAGAATTTTTATATAAACTTCATTTTTAGTTTGAATTGCCATTCACTCATTTGTCAAATATTTTTGAGCACTTAATTTGTACCTGAAATTGGGCTAGAGACATGAGGTATACAGACAGAAGATACAGTGACTGAGTTTGAAGAGCTTACAATTTAGTAAGGTTGAGAAGACGTGTTTTAAAATGCAGGTGGTCCCTAATTTACATTGGTTCAGACTTAATGCTTTTTCAACTTTACTATGGTACAGAAGTAATTTGCATTCAGTAGAAACTAAAAGTGCCCATACAACCATTATTTTTGTCACTTTCAGTACAGTATTCAATCAATTACATGACATATTCAATACTTTAATATAAAATAGGCTTTGTATTAGGTGATTTTGCACAACTGTAGGCTAATGTAAGTGTTCTGAGCATGTTTAAGGTAGGCCAGGATAAGCTGCGATGTTTGGTAGGTTAAGCATATTAAGTGCATTTTCAACCTATAATGAGTTTATTGGGACATAACTCCTTCGCAAGTCAAGGAGCATCTATAATGGATTTAAAGCAGAATTGGCATATGTCTTAATGTAAGTACAAAGGACTCCAAAAGCGCATAAGTAGACAGGTAATTTCTGGCCATGTGCACTAGATAAATAGAACTTGGAAGAGTAATCTTTCTGAATCTGCATACTAACCAACTAAAAAGGAGGCATATGCTCATTGATGAGTCTATGTGGCTAAAGGAATCAGCTTAATGAGAAATTCTGGGTTCAGCCTGCCTTGAAAATACTGGGGTTGGGAGGTGGGATGTACATGAAGTAGTTACAGTGAATGGATATATTAGGCTCTAACTAGGGAAATAGAAACCACTCTTTGTATTTAAAAAGCGTAAAGCTGGTGCCAAGCCTTGTTCACACAGGTAATCAAGAGGTGAAATGCCTAATGTGAACAGTAATTGAATGTGCATGTAAGCATAGCGAGACGTTGCTGTTAACTTTAGGAATGAGGGGCAGAAGGCAGGTGTGGGGTGATGGGGACGAAAGGCCTCAGTCACGAAGGAAAATCTGGAACCTTAGAGGACCTATCTAGAGAGAGCTGGAGACAAGGAGGTGATGCGGGTCCTTCTGGAGGTGCTGCCCAAGACAAGTGGAGGGGAAGAAATACCTCAGTTTCTCCTTGCTTCTCTCCAGTCTCCCTCCTGTGTTCATTGCCCCAACTTGCCAGAATCCAAGCGATGTGGGGGCTGTCGGCTCAGCTGCTTGTGATATGGGGCAGAAGAGGGGGAAAGTTGGAAAGTCGAGGAATGGTCCTCGGGGTAAACAGAAATGGCATGGCAGGAAAGTGCAAAGCCAAGCCACTAAGTCTCTGCCAATAGTGACCTCTATAATAGATGACTGAGGCCACTTCACTGCTCTAAAGAGGGTAAAGGCATAGACCATCATGACTGGAGGCTGCATTCATGGAGTGAAGTAAGATGAGCTGGAGAGAAAGGCTCCTCCGTAATTGTTTAAATGAAACAGCAGCTGAGGAAAACTGATGCCCCCTTTGAGAGGGAAGATGTCACTATGGGAGAGCCTGGAACTGGAGCCAGAGGCTCACAGCTTCTCAAAGAAACCAGATGATGAAACTGGTCCAAACACAACAGCCGCTGCACAATCTCATATACTGTTTTTTTTGTTTTTTTTTTTTTTAAGATGGAGTCTCACTCTGTCACCCAGGCTGGAGTGCAGTGGTGCAATCTCAGCTCACTGCAACCTCCACCTCCCAGGTTCAAGTGATTCTCCTGCCTCAGCTTCCCGAGTAGCTGTGATTACAGGCAACTGCCACCACATCCGGCTAATTTTTTGTATTTTTTAGTAGAGACGGGGTTTTGCCATGTTGGCCAGGCTGGTTTCTCGAACTCCTGACCTCAAGTGATCAGCCCACCTCGGCCTCCCAAAGTGCTGGGATTACAGGCGTGAGCCACCACACCCAGCCTCATTTTTCATTTCTGTGTCAAAAGATAAAATCACATAGTACTATTTACATTTAATTACATACTTATGGAGTCCAAATTAGGTGGAGTTTCCACATCATAGTTTCCCATTGAATCAAGCCAATGACTACATTTCTCATTTAGGGCATAATCTCAGGTCTCAAAAGCAGCTCTCCTACCATGGTGAGATAGTGCAAGTGTTCAAATACAGGTAGAATATCAAGCACAATCCGAGAGGCCAAACTGTATTGTCTAAGTCTGGCCATATTTCATAAGAATGGTTGCTATAAATACAGTGGTAAGCCCGGACTAGGGCAAGAACAGATGATGCAATGCCTATAAAATAACCCAAGGGAATACAAATGAGTGCACATATCAGTGTCCGAACCCCAACAATTGAACAGCTGTGTGCCTTCTCATCCTTGTCCTCGCCTAATCACTCAGGCTCTTCCTGTGTTTCTTATCACTCCGGTGCTTTTAAGCCTCATCCAAAGACTAGTCTATTTCAACAGATTCTTTCAAATGGCTACACTCGCTATAATGTCTTCAGAGAAGATGAATGCTTCTTCAAAACAATAACACTGCTTTTGGGGATGATTGTAACTACCTAATGACAGATCAGTCATATGACTGACTATGCACCCCAACTCTCCTCTTACGTCAGCAAAACAGAGAAATAAAGGAGGCTTTACAGTGTATATACTTCATATGCTATAACTCATATGAGATGAAACCCCTATTTATTCATCTCTTTTAGTAGCATGCATTTGTAAGTTGCCTGCTCTGTGGTTTATAAATTATTTTAAACTCTTATGCCACTGCTCAAAAATATAAATGTGTGTGTTAATGTTGTAGACTGGAACTATGCTGCTGATAATACAAGGGAAATTTAACTAGCTTATAAATGTTAAAATGTAAACGCAAAGGAAGTCTTGCTATTCATCTTCTCTGCAATATTCAGACATTCATGAAATTGAAAGTTAATGTACCAGGGACTTTCATTATCTGACCCATTCCATCCTATCTATTAGCTTCACAAAGCACTGGAGACAGAGGACCAATATGTCACCAACACAGGACTGGAAAGGTCACAAAAACGAAGCATCAATAAAGGACTACTTCTGAATTAAATTTCACAGTGCTCAGCAGAAAATATGTTCCATGGACTAAGAATATTTGTAAGAATGGAACTGATAGCTAGACACAAATTGAAGAAAATAGAAAAGTATTTCTTGATTGAAAAAATTATGTTAAAACTATGTTTACATACACAGGAAAAAAGTACTATTTTATATGCCTAATAAGGAATAAAAAGAACTCTGCACTGGAACCACAACAAGGTTTTACAGTCACAGAATTCACTAGAAAATGATACTGTCCTGCAAAAATACTCTTCTTTCTTTCATTAAGCATTTATAGAAGGATATTACAAAGGATTTGTCAAATCAATATGGTTTTTGATACCTTTCCATAAACACAGTCTAACGTATAATTTAGAGTTTATCATAATTTTGCTATTTTTACTGTCTGAAATACACAATCTTAGTTTCCTTAATATAAACTAATCCATCCAAATCCATGATTTCTTTTAGCTCCCCAAATTTGGAATAATTCTGAATACTCAATTTTTCAACAAGCATATTTTTGAGATTTGCTGTCAACACTGTAATCATAAATAGGTGCCACAAAGAAGAAGAAATAAGTATAAAATGAGGCTCTAAATTAGCTGCAGGTACAGGGAAATATGTAAGAGCATAAAGAGCCACACAGCCTCACTGAATGGCCAATGAGTTCTACAAAGTTACAGGAGGTCTCCAGAGGGGACAATTGTCATGGCCTGCTTGGGATGAATTGTCAACCAGTGGTTCCCAGGCACTGGGATTTCAGTTTCAAAATATTTGAGGGACTGGTATTAAATTGCTATTTTATTAAGAAAAGTAAAAACAACAATTCTGCTATTTAAAACCACTATATCTTATTTTCATAAAGGAAATTCTAACACCAAAAATTCAAGAGAACATTATCTGAGAATAAAAATTATCAGACAAGTTGAGCTTAGTGACTAGCTCACAACATTATTACAATTTTTTCTTTTATTCTGGAGAAAATTCTTTTACAAAATAGGATTTGGGAGCGTTGGGTTAAGTGCTTAGTGTGTACCGCAGTACAGAAGTGATAGAAGACAGTATTCCTGGCCATAGGAACTTACAGTCTAGAGGAGGAAGCAGCAAATATTGATGTGATAAAGTAATTAGGTAGTGAAAAGTATTAACGAAGCAATAGATGAAATACAAAAGTAATTAGAATCATCAGATAGCCTAGTGATCTAGGTCTGGAACGGGGTGTGACTTCTGTAGAGAGGAGGAAGGAGGGGACATTTAAGCAGAGTGGGGATGCGCAGGCGATGGTAGTCTAGAAAGAATGAAGCTAATGAATGGGGTGGACCATCAGGAGACTAGACAGATTGCAGGGACAGTTTTATTGGTAGAATATTGGGGGAATTCTCCTAAATGCACTCTTGTCAGTAAAATCAATTGGAGTTAAGTACACATAAAAAGACAGGGAAATTCACATCGTTTTTATTTTTTATAGCTCTGTCAATAAAAGGAAACAAATATCAGTTTAGATAACAGTATGAGAAAAATTAAATATGAACACTCATGCCTGCCCCTAATAATCTTAAAAGATAACTTGGGTAGCATTAAATAAATAAATACACACACTCTTAAGACAGGGCAAAAATTCTTATAATTGAACGTACTCTCTATACCTAATTTTTTAATAAGTCCCACAGGCATTTAATAGCAACGATTGCTTTCATCCTATGTATTAGGTTTTTCTTCCCTTTTTCGTGACTGAATTATTTTCTCTTCCTTCCTTTCTCTTCCATATCACACAATTTAAAATATTTTAATATTAGCCTACTGATTTGGCAGTTGAGATTCCTCTAAAACAAAAAAAAAATAACTTCTTGAAAAATGTGGTGTAAGATCATTTCTTTTAGATTTTAATAAAAAGAGATTAAAATCATAGTTCTTTGAAATAAAGGAAGACACAGCCAGATATTCTACCAAATCAAAAGAGTCTTGCTCTGACAGCCAAAATGTCACTGAGCTACATAATGCATGAGGCCTTAAATGACTTGGTCCATTAAATTAAAAAAAAAATTCAGCTGAGAAATTCAGTGTGCACATTCAATAATTGGCTGTCCTAAGTGATCACATCCTTTCTGGATCTCCCACATGTAGTTAGTTGAAAACAAACACTCTGAAACATCCACCAGTTTTCCCCTGACTTGCCTTGGGAATGAAGATCTTGTAAGATATTTTAAAAATAACTCTTTCTCTGTTTCCCTGAACACAGGGCAGCCACGTTTCCCAAGCCTACAGGTCTGTTTTAAATTCAAATGGAATCCAAGGATCTTGACAGAAAGGACCCCAGAGAGGACTTGTCCAACTGACAACAGAGAATCCAATAAGTCTTTTCATCTTAAGCCGTGAGATGTTATGTTGGGAGAAAAAGAGGAAAGCAGGAGCAGAGGGAATGCTAATAACTTGAGCAGATTTGGGGTGGAAAAGTGTTTTTTCTGTTCCTCACCATTCACATATGCTCAAATATACCACGAAAACTTTTCAGTTAATAAGTGTGGTGGTACTAACAGGAAGAGAATTTCTAGCTTCACAATGCGACCTACCTTTTTATTCGATTTGGAGCTTTGATAGGTTTATTCCATAATAAATATCTTTTTTTGTTTTATTCTTAAGATAAAAACAATTTGCATTCACCTTTGACTTTTGTGACTTATGGTTTATTTAAAGACCAGGTATGTAGTCAGATCTAGATATTTTTAACTTTATCTTCACACCAGACCAAAAGTGAACATTTTCTACATTTCTACAGGAACCTCTGTTCCTCTTACGTGTGCCAGGGGCTGAAGCTTTTATGTTTGTGAGATGTACGTAACTTCGTACTTGAATAATTCCTTGGTACACAGACTGTATATTCCATTGGGAAAGTGTACTGTAAAGGTTAGAAGAGGTAACAATAGCGGGAAAAAACTGCCTAGCAAGAATCTATTTAACATGTTTCTTGTTACTATTCCCAGTGACTGCTAGTATGGTTTAATTAGATCTTCCTGACAAAATTCATTACAGAAAATCCTGCATTAGTGAAGAAAAAAATAAATGCAGCTCATTCATAACCTATTAGTTATTTTGCTTTTAAGGAAACAGAATAATTTTTTTCCTTTCTTTCTTTTCCCTTATCTAGAAGACTAACGTTACAAGTAGTAAAAGAGGAGCAGATGAAAGCAGGTGGAAAACAAATAAACAAAGTTCACCAATCTGCCTGTCTCTTATTAGCAAAAGAAGTGCAAATTGAAAGAGCTTACTGGGGCCGGGCGCGGTGGCTCATACCTGTAATCCCAGCACTTTGGGAGGCTGAGGCGGCGGATCATTTGAGGTCAGGAGTTTGAGACCAGCCTGGCTTACGTGGTGAAACCCCGTCTCCACTAAAAATACAAAAATTAGCCAGGCGTAGTGGTACATACCTGTAATCCCAGCTACTAAGGAGGCTGAGGCATGAAAATTGCTTGAACCCGGGAAGTGGAGGTTGCAGTGAGCCAAGATTGCACCACTGCACTCCAACCTGGGCAACAGAGTAAGACTCATTCAAAAAAAAAAAAAAAAAAAAAAAAAGAAAGAAAGAAAGAAAGAAAAAGCTTATTGGGAGGGAGTAGAAGATAAAAATAGTCTAAGTCTAAAGCATCTCCTATTCTTTCTCTCCAATTCTATTGCTACTGTTGTAAATTCAGGCCCTATTTTTTTCTCTCTCCAATATTAACAAATCACTTCTAACCCAAGAGATCTCTTTGGCCTCACTCTTGCAATGAATCCACTCTCCACCCAACATCTGGAGTGAGCATTCTCACACACAGATTTATCATGCTTCTCTCATGCTTGAAAGCCTTCAATGGTGTCCCATTACCTATGAAATAATGAACACATGTATAATAGAGCATCCCAGGACCCCCATTATCTGGCATCTATTTAGATCACCAACCTTATTATGTTTCAACTCCCCTTCCTGACACAGCCCATCTTCATCCAAAGTTCCAGCTGCCTGTGTAGAACCATCTGCAGCTCTTCAGAATGGGAACCACACAGGCAGTTTTGCAGCTCTGAGTATTAACTCACATGGCTGCCTCCACCTGAAATGTTGCCATCTCCATGTCCATCCACCTGGAGAACACCTGGAAAGAGCTCTTGGTGGACCACTGGGAAATGTTGCCCTGTTGATCTAAATGTGCATGCATGCACACCCACACACACACTACATAAATGCATGTAATATTCACGTATATGCATATATAAATATATTCATGTATGTGTATATGTGCACACAAACTTTGGTGCCAAATTATTATCTACCAGATTTTAGCAAAAATAAGCAATCATTTCAGAAAAAAATCATGAGAAAATTTTCCTCTCCCCTTGGTAGGTTGAATTGTGAAGTCAGGTACTGAAACTGAGACTACGCCATGCATGAAGTTCATTGTTTGTGAATTAGGAGAGGACCACTGCTCTAACTTAGCTGTAGAACAACCCTCTATCCAGGGGGCAGAGTCTATGAGCCTCAGAGCTTCTCCTCGCATTCTCAGGCACAGTTGCCAGGTCACACACAGCAAACAGCTTGAGGCAGGGGCCCCATCACCTGACTGTATTTGCTCCACTGGCTTGAGTTTTATATATCCAGTTTATTCGAACGCTGAGAATAATTAATCATATTAGCAAACTACTTCCTATGTTAAACAGGACTTCCATTTGGCCTAAACTTACCTCTCTGAAGTTGCAAGTAAGTTGGTTCCCTTGCAATAACATTCCAGGATTAGATGAACAAATGTGTGTTCACTATATTCATGTTCCTTGTTGGTTTTAGACTTTGATCGTAGCTCCTTGAGACTCCATATTGAAGGGGTAAAGCCCTAATGGTTTCATCTATCCTCTTCTGGGATGCCTGGCCAGCTCTTATTCCTTTGAGCGTTCTGTCTCCTTTTATGGTACCTTTGTGTCTTCAGCTTCCCTGGGCTTTAAGGCTGTTATCTTCCCTTGAACTTCAGTGGCCCAAATTGCACAAAATCTCCCAGGTGTGGCCAAACTCTGCTGCATTAGTCAGTGTTCTCCAAAGGGACAGAACTAATAGGACAGACGTACATATAAAAGGGAGTTTATTAAGGAGTATTAACTCACACCATCACAAGGTGAGGTCCTACAATAGGCTGTTTGCAAGCTGAGAGCAAGGAAGTCAGTTTGAGTCCCAAAGCTGAAGAACCTGGAGTTCGATGTTTGAGGGCTTCCTCCAGCACGGGAGGAAGACATAGGCTCAGAGGTTAAACCAGTCTAGTGTCTCCACGTTCTTCTGCCTGCTTTTATTCTGGTTGCGCTGGCAGCTGATTAGATGGTGCCCACCCAGATTGAGGGTGGGTCTGCCTTTCCCAGACCACTGACTCAAATGTTAATTAATCTCCTTTGGCAACACCCTCACAGACACACCCAGAAACAATACTTTGCATCCTTCAATCCAATCAAGTTGACATTCAATATTAACCATCACAACTCCTTTTTTTTGCAAGGGCAGGGCCAAGGTTTATTTTGGGTTCCCAGCCTTCCTGATTATTCACATGGAGCATTTCTTTGCCATTTTAGGAAAAGAATTTGTATGGTCCACTTTAATTCAGTTCAACACAAGAAATATTAATTGAGCAATGATCAGGAGTTTAACACTCTCATAACTATATTTAAACAATGGTTAAAATCCATCATTTTGTAAGGTTAGCAAAGACAGGGGTATAGAATGTCACGTTGGGCCTGGCGCGGTGGCTCACGCCTGTAATCCCAGCACTTTGGGAGGCCGAGGCGGGCAGATCACGAGGTCAGGAGATCGAGACCACGGCAAAATCCCATCTCTACTAAAAAAAAAAAAATACAGAAAAATTAGCCGGGAGTGGTGGTGGGTGCCTGTAGTCCCAGCTACTCGGGAGGCTGAGGCAGGAGAATGGCGTGAACCCGGGAGGCGGAGCTTGCAGTGAGCCGAGATCGCGCCACTGCACTCCAGCCTGGGCCACAGAGCGAGACTCCGTCTCAAAAAAAAAAAAATGTCATGTTAGCTCAGGCAGAATTTAAGAAATCAGCAATTCTGTTAGTTTCAAAACTTCCTATATTCGGGAAGCATTTTCTTCTAATGCAAGCTCATTAGAGGGCTCATAATATGAAAGCAGAGCTGTTCTAGTAGAAGTAGCTGTTCCAGAGACAAGAACACTTCCTGAGAGCCATCGACACTGCATAGACAGATGCATTCACAGAACATGAAGTTTCAAAATCTTGGCTCGGGCTCCACTATTTAATTTAGAAAAGCAACTGAGGTTAGATGAGGTGGAAGACCAAGATTGTCTGACTCCTGGTCCAGTACAGGTTCCGCTCTATTGTTTGTACTTTCCTCTCATTGAAATTCACCTGTGATTTTTTTTTCGCCCATTCCTTGTAGTGACATTTTTCTCAGTTGACTTACTGAGTTTATCATTTCACTATGCCTATATTTATTTACTATTCCTTCCTTGTTCCCTTCCTTTTTTTCCTTCCTTCCTTCCTTCTTTCTGTGTATATGTGTGTGCAACGAACAAGTTTTTCGCACCATCCTGTATTTAACTTTCCAAGGGCTTCAGCTGGCAGAAGCCTGACCTCACAGGCTTCTAACTTATGCTTCTACTCAATCAGACAAAGTAATCTCTATTTGCACTCCGAGCTAATTTGTCATAAATGTATTCTGAAAGCATTTACTTGTTCTAATTCCTTTAACCTAACTCATTTTCCTATATTCCTTTCCCTGATCAAGGAAGATGATCTGATTAGGGTTTCTGTGAAAGCAGCCCCATGGTCTCTAAAAGTCCCTTTGATATCCTTGCGGGTGTAGGATGATTGACATTCATAATAGTACCCATTCAGCTCCTCTGTAGGACGTGAGCAGCCTCTGAGGCTGCTGCAAAACCCACTGCTGCATGTTTTGAGACCTGCCGGGAACAGTGACATGCTAGCCTACCTGCAACAACAAGAGCACGGTCCTGATGGATGAGGATACATATAACAGTGGATAGGACCATAATAACACCACAATGATGACCCTAGATTAATCTCCTGCAGGGCAATAGCACACTCATCCCACATGGCCTTAGTTATAAATGTAATATGACACACATGAATGATGATCAAAGGAAGAACTTGGGCCACTTTAAGAATTGTCAACTTTTTAATGCTGAAAGTTAATACAATAAAGAGACTAGACACCAGATGAGAAATATGAAAACGAATTCTCACCTCATCCTCACGATGCTTTGTTATTGGACCTGGTGATCTTCGGAGGAGTAAAGTATATAGGAGGAGACTGAAGAACCATTAGTAGAATATTCTGTGGCATTAGAGGCTCCCAGGATTGATGCTGCCCTTTTAAAGAGAGCCTGCTGAGCTTGGCCAGACATTAGTGACACATCTTTTTCTCAGTTTTGCATTATCACAAATGATCATTCTGGAAATGCTAGCCATTGAGGGTTACTTCACCACACTCTAGGGTCAAATGAGGAGAGGACGGAGAGAAGGAAAAGAGGCTAAAAATTGCTCTAATTTCCTAATCCAATGCATTGTGACTACTAAACTCAATAGAAAGCTCTTCACTGGAAGGCCCACCAAGGGGCCACCTGTCTTTCTAAAATGCACATTAGCTATAGTAATACCACAACTCTCAACACACACATTTAAAAGAGACTCGTAGCATATTCTTCAAGTTCTATGTTCCTTGAACAAAAATGTTGCCATGGAAACCTCTACCATAAGGCAGGTGTAGTTCTGCAAAGGACTATGGGCTGTGAAATCAGGTTCCCATGGTAACATTTTTGTTCAAAGCCTGAAGAATCTTAAATACATGTGCCAATACATATTATTACCCAGCAGGAAACACAGGTGGGATTAATAAAATCCAATATTTACTCAACTAAAAGTTATAATCGTGGTGAATGTAAATGAATTAAAATCAGTTCCTATGGATAGCTTATATAAACAGAGTTTGGAGTTGTAACACTACTTTCACATGAATAAGTAAATCTATGTGAAGTACTAGTAGATGACTTTCTTTCATTAAATTCACAAGGCAGAGAAATCGTCACAAAAATTATGGGATTTTAAAATTTTGAAATATATCTTCAGCTCATAATTCACTGATGAGATTAAATCACTCAAGCTTACCAAAGGAAATTAAGATCATACTACCCACCTGTAATAGAACCAATTATTATGGTGACGGAACAGTAAAAGAAAAAAAATGCCAGGTTGATTCATCTATGTTATATGAGCTCATGCTAATAAAATGTGCCATCTGGAATATTTATGATAATTGCCATTTCTGTAGCCTCAACACATCCATATAAATATGCCAAGAACCAAATTAAGAAAAGCTTTTCTCTTTATCTTTTACAAATAATCCAGAAAATAATAATCATTCATTATAATAATATATTTTAGAAAGACTGTAAAGAAGATACACTACAAAATGGAAAGATATGACCACATGGAGCTAAGTTTTTTGTTTGTTTTTGTTTTTGTTTTTTGAGACGGAGTCTCACTCTGTCCTTCAGGCTGGAGTGCAGTGGTGCAATCTCGGCTCACTGCAACATCTGCCTCCCAGGTTCAAGCAATTCTCCTACCTCAGCCTCCCTAGTACTAGGATTACAGGCATGCACCACCACGCCTGGCTAATTTTTTGTATTTTTAGTAGAGACGGGGTTTCACTATGTTGGCCAGGCTGGTCTCGAACTCCTGTGACCTCAGATGATCCCCCTACCTCGGCCTCCCAAAGTGCTGGGACTACAGGCATGAGTCACCGTCCCCAGCCCTGAGTAGGTTTTTAAAAAGAGAACTTTCTTATTCGTTGCCATTTTACATCTACTAGTCCCATAAAAGTTCAAAACGAAATTAATAAACTACAGTGCACAATCTAAGAGTTCAGAGACCACACTCACCATTGCTTTGCATGATGCCTGGAACACACTAGGCACTCAATAAATATGCACTGAATGAAGGAATGAATGAATGAATGAAGCACATTAGTAATTTAAGTAACAAACAATCTTAGTTTACTAAAGGTGTCTTTCACAAAATTATTGTATGTAAGTAAAATTGGGGTGATTTAAATGAACTCTCTCCATTAAATTTTAAATTTACATTTAAAATTCAGAAACACTTTATCAAGCTTTTTGATTGTTTTGTAATTAGTATTGATTCCCAAACCTTTGGCAATTTTTCCTCTTTTTTTACCCCAGCCATTTAACCAAGTGGTTAATGATCCGCAATCAAACATTTAAATGCACTGGGAGAGCTGAGCACATCAAGGAGCGCTGAGGACCTTTTCATAAAGTAAAAAAATCCACTTTTTAAAATGCAATTAACCAATTCCTAGTTTACTTGTTTTGTGTTATTTTCCCTCTGTTAGGTTTTTTAGAGTGGCATGCCTGTAAACATTAGCATATTGAACTCATCGTTTAAAAACATTTAAGCCCAAACTTCATGGAATTGATCATAGTTCCCCGAAGATGCTAAAAATTTAGTCTTTAGAATGTGACCACAGTTATCAAATTTAGGCCCACAATTTCATGCATTAGAATTAGGTTCTTAAGAGAGATCAGTTTATCACAACTTTCCAAAGCAATATGTCAGCTGCAGCTTAAAGATAGAATTTAAAAGCTGGCAGACTACTCCGAGTTGCTAAAGACTTCCAAGTACCCAAGTGTTGAATGAAGATGGCCAGGCTCTGAGCACTGAGGAAATCCATTTGGCTCAGGGGATGGTCTGCATTTTCCTCCATCTCTGCTTTGCTGAGAGGCCTTGGGTAAGTCAGAGTCCTTTCTGAGCCTAAACTCTTTCATAATTTCATAACTCCATAATTCAAATGGAAATTCATAATTTTCAAATGGAAATAGTAACTCTCAATGCAGACAGGTTTGATGAGAATTAAATGAGATGAGGTATGTAAAAAGTATACACTGGAATTCTATTTACCTCTAAATATATAAATGTAAGTTAATGTTGTCGGCATTACTGTTTTATTAAAAGTTTCTAAAAATTAAATAAGCTAAGAAATACTTAAATGCTCATGGTGGAAAAAGAAGAGATAAAATAGCATTTAGATTTAGCTTACATCTGTTTCTCCTTAGCCTCCCGTTCAGTTCTTGTGCCTAATTATCTTCTCTTTTTTTTGGTACTTTTTAAGTTATCTTATTTTATTTTACTTTAAGTTCCAGGATACATGTGCAGAATGTGCAGGTTTGTTACATAGGTATAGATATGCCATGCTGGTTTGCTGTAATTATCTTCTAAAAGGTAGGTATCCAGGTACGAGACCGCAGGTTCTGTTCCTGGCATTTAAACCCTAAAGAGTTGCAATTATATTTTTAGATTTTGTGGGTTTTTTTATGCCACTGGAGTTAAAATGCAGTATTACTAAAGAGTTAAAGCAATTCCAATAGTTCTTAATTTTAGGAATCTCTTAAGTCCTGGGAGAATTTGGTTGGGGGTGATATGATACCCTTGGAGGAGTAGTTAGGAAGCTTAAAGGTCTCCCAAAGCTTACTACAGGCAAATACTTGTAGTATTTTTCAGAAATCTGCCAAAGAAATATTAAGTTGTTAAAGAAATCCAACTTTATTATTTCCATCAAATCAAAAAAATAGCAAAATATAAATAAGTCAAGCACACAAGGAAATATGCAAACTTGTATTTAAATAATATTCTAGGCTGGACTTAGTGGCTCATGCCTATAATCCTGGCACTTTGGGAGGCCGAGGCAGGTGGATCACTTGAGGTCAGGAGTTCGAGACCAGCCTGGCCAACGTGGTAAAACCCTGTCTCTACCAAAAATATAAAAAAATTAGCCGGGTGCAGTGGTGGGCACCTGTAATCCCAGCTTCTGGGGAGGCTGAGACAGGAGAATCGCTTGAACCCAGGAGGTGGAGGTTGCGGTGAGCTGAGATCGTGCCACTGCACTCCAGCCTTGTTGACAGAGTGAGACTCTGTCTCAAAAAATACATAAATAAAATAAACAATATTCTAAGTCAGGCCACATTAATGGCTTTGCATTCAGTCACTCACTTGGAGTACATTCACTGCAGTGTTTCTTAAACCTGGGGGCACAAAGGATGAGAGGGATAATTGCTGGTTTTGCAAATCCTATAGGAAATATTTAAAATTCTGCATCACCCAAATGACTTCTTATAACCAAGGGTTGACACATAAATAAAATGACCCAAAGTTTTTACAGAGAAAACTCCCGAGGTGGCATAGCATTGAGAAATTCAGAACACCTTGCAATGGTCATGAGCACCATATTTATGTTGTGACTTGGATATACCAAGTCTATATACTTAATTTATAGCAGGTATAGAAGTAAACATGCAATTGAGAATTTACCACATATGGTATTTTTTAATAAATATTATATTTTGAGGTGATCTATTAAATTAGCATATCAAAACAAATGGTGATTTAAATTCACATTCACCGTTAAAGGAATAATAACCAAGACAATGATGATGGTTCAAATAATTGTGAATAACAATTGTCAAATAATAGTAAGACTCAAAATTGGAAGATTCAAATTGACAAGTGGAAACAGATTGTTAAACATTGTAAGAATTACACCAGTTTGGACAAAACATCACCTGTCACATTACAATAATGTTGTTAGTGCCAACTGGATTGATCATATAAATTGGTATGTATTTAACATGTATATTTGGTCTAGTCTTACTGTATAAGAGCTTTGTCTACAGGTGTTCATACCTAGTTAGTTTCAGGTTATAGATATGGTGCAAATCAATAATATTAGATAATGCATTTTTGAGTTAACAGTAAAGATGCCCAAATTTTTTCTTTTTTAACTTTAAAAAATGTGTTTCTATTACTTCATTCTGAAAAAATATCTAGACATTGCACTAGGCTCTAGGGATATAAAGATATAAAATACCTGAACAGACTCTTCTCTGGAGGAACATGGGGTCCGGGGCTGGAAATGGGGACATACTTATAAAATACAATGTGGTATGAAAAAGTCAGAGTCTCACAGAGCCTTTTTCAGTTTCGTAGCAACCAAATGAACAAAAGTTAATGCCGTTTTTAAAGCCACTAACAAGTATACTGCAGGGTAACTTGCCCAATCATCTTCCGTTTTACTGGAAAACTAAAGTGAAAATTGCAATCTGTCTGCTGTAGAACACACCAGAGCATAATCTCAAACTGATTACAGACTTGTAGAATCGTATCAGCATCGATTTATAAGGCAGAACCCCGCAGCATGTCAGCGTGGTGCCGCTTCTTAAAAGTAGCACTTGGCTCTCCTATTTGATTCTGGAGCAAAGCCGTGAGAGCTTTTGTTGGCTGCCTTTGTGACTGTCAGGTTGCTGGTCGTAGCCTTCAGAGGTTTCCCTGCAGAACCACGTGGAGGGGTCTTGCAGGACACTGGGGTTCTTCCCTGAGCTAAAACACCGTTAAGGGTATAACATCATCTAACGGCTGCCTACACTGCAAAATGGTATTTCCATTCTTACAAAGACATCTACTCAAAACAAAAAGCACCTTTATATCACATCCATGGAAGAAGACTATGTGTTAATTTTTGCATTACAAGAAAATTATAGAATATAAATGTTTTTAGATCAAAGTATGTCAAGCTTCCTAGACTGGTATGATGAAGTTATAAAATATTGCATCTGTTGCTTAAGAGACATTTGGTTCATTTGTTATTCATTCGTTCTTTAATAAAAATGCATATTTACTGAGTCCCTACTGTGTGCCTGGCACTGCAGTTACATGCACAAGGTGGAAAAATGCATTAACTGATAACTAGAACTTTAATAAAACTTCACACATTAAGAAAAAGAAGAGTCCTAATTCCAAATGAGATACTTTTTTAGTTACAGAAATCTCTTGCTGTTTCCTAAGCAAATCAGTTAAAAGATGTCCATGCTTTGCCAGATTTTAGTGACAAAAGTAATAACTGAGGTGGCCACAGAGCGAGCCCATTGTGAAGCTTCACAATTTCAGCTCCGACACTCAGGAGACATTTCTTTCCTTTGACCTTTCCACCCGGCAAAGTGATAGAACTCCCGGGCACAGAGCACAGGTCAGACATCTCTAACACTGCACAAATACCATTCAAGAGCAAACACTCTGTCGCCCAACTTGATTACATGGAAATTGGTTTTGTACAATAGAAGCCCTTTTGTTCAGACTACTATGGTCTCCTACGGTGTAACTTTCTTTACAGAGTTAATAGAGTAGGGATGGATTTTGAATTTCACACACATACACAAAAGCCTCATTACCATTTGCATTTGTGCATGGCTAACAAAAATTAGCAGGAGCTACCTCAAATCATTAAGACTGAAAAATGAAATCGAACCGAGGTGAGAAAAGCCTGTTTTCTTAAAGCCCATTTAGTATGGATTAAAGTTAATTATAATAGGATATTCCAACTATAAAGAATAATTGGGCTTTCTTTTTTAGATGTTCAGAAAAATAGATATCATCATTTAATTTTTAAATTCTTTTTAACGTTTGGATATCAGGGTGCTGGTTTGTCAAATACTCACCTCTAAAACCTAAGTCTGAACTTAAAATGTTGATTCTAACTTGAAATGAATCAGAAATATGTTTAAAGCAGGTGAATAAGAAATAATGGAGATAAAGGAAGGGATATAGAAAAACTCCAGGAGTACCTAGTTTCTCCAACTGAAAGTATAAAATCAAAGAAATTCTTATCCACTCTCAGTAGGCCCAGAGGCCACCTTAATCCCCCACACCCGACCTCCCATAGACTTTGGAAATGCTGCCACCACACCTTGTCTCTTCTGTCCTCTCCAGTCAAACCCCATGTTTCTGACCTACTCAGCCTCCTGGTTCCCCTTTCTCTCCTCCTCGTGTGCCAAGATGCGTGGTGTTGCCACCACGACTATGGGAATTATGGGTATATCTGCTGACACCCTGCCTCTCCTTAGCTGCCTCTGTTTCTCAGGCCCTCTCTTTTCCCACATTCTTCTTAACTCTAGCAATTTTTATTGTCACCTCCTTGAGCCCCAATCCCTGCCTCGGCTCTCAGGCCTGGACCTAACAGGTACAGATCTGGGGAGCCCCTATCCAAGGTCCAGGGCTGAGTAACCTGGAGACCTATTCCAGTCCCCATGTGGGGAAAGCTGGGACTGGAATTTGTCTTTTTCTACTGCTAAGAGGCTTCTCCACACACAACTCATTGTCCTTTGTTAAAACTCACTTGGGAATTTGCAAACTCTTTCTTTTTTACTCTATTTCTACAATTTTGTCTATATTTCTTGCAGTGAGTAGCAAGAAAAGAATTTATTAAGGTAGCAGCTAAAAGCAAATTAATCTGATTTTTGTTGTGTTTTTTAACTTTTATTTTAGGTTCACGGGTGTATGTGCAGCTTTGTTATATAGGTAAATCTGTGTCAAAACCTGGTACCCAACAGTTGTTTCTTTTCTCTGCTCCTCTCTCTCCTCCTATCCTCCACCCCCAAGTAGGCCCCAGTGTGTGTTGTTCCCCTCTTTGTGTCCATGTGTTCTCATCATTTAGCTCCACTTATAACTGAGAATATGCAGTATTTAGTTTTCTTTTCCTGTGTTAGTTTGCTAAGGATGATGGCCTCCAGCTCCATCCATGTCCCTGAGAAGGACGTGATCTCATTCCTTTTTAAGGCTGCATAGTATCCCATGGTGTATATGTTCCACATTTTCTTTATCCAGTCTACCATTGATTGGCATTTAGGTTGATTTCATGTCTTTGCTATTGTGAATTGTGCTGTGATGAACATATGCATGCATGTGTCTTTATGGTAGAACGATTTATATTTTGGGGGGTATATACCTAGTAATGAGATTTCTGGGTTGGATGGTACTTCTGTTATTAGCTCTTTGAGTAATCGCCACACTGCTTTCCACAATTAAATGTAATGGTTGAATCTGACAATTAAATTATTAAGACATAAAATTAACCATGTAGGACTGAAGGGTCACAAGGGGTAACTGTAACTTGCTGGTGTCACAGTCCTTCTTGTGCATTCTGGATTATCACTATTTCCTAACTTCACCAGTGATGAGACAACTTGCTGTCTCTTTCCAGACCAGAGACAGGTCCGGGCCATTGGCGTTGTGGATATTGAATGGATACACACGTGTTTAGCACAAAACTCACCTACAATTAGTGATTTTCCTAGATCCTGGAAGGAGTGTTGGATGATTACAGAAATAATGCATGTGGGCATTTGCCAGGTTAACACATTGGCATTTGTGTTAGTTCACTACCAAACCTCTTCCTGCGAGGTATGTGGAGGGGCCTTCCAGTCCTGCACACTAAAATTGTGTTCTTTATTATTTAGGTAATAAGTACATACAATAACTGCATATATTTATATTTAAAGTATACAATTTACTAAGTTTTGACACATGTATGTGCCTGCAAAACCATCACCACCATCAAGTCAGTAAACATATGCATCTTTCCCAAAAGTTTCCTCATGCTTTGATCAGCACACTAAAATTTTGAGTATTCTTGCAATGGAAGAAACTGTCAGCTTCATTTTCCAAAAGGGACCACAAATCATACCATCAGTTCAATTCTATATGGCATGACCATCCACTGGAAGTCCCTAGAACTCAAGTTCCCAATTGTCCAAGGCTCAGAATGGTTTAGTTCGTTCCATTGAAGGTGTATGAGAACATGCATGTGTGCGGATGTGAATGTGTTCACCTGTGTACATAGCTTCACAATACACCTTAATGTGATATGCACTAGAAGTAGTGATTTCTTCCAAAAAAAGTAAGCTACCCTTTTAACTAAAGTAAATTTTCATAAAGATTTCTTTTCGCTGAAATGTGTCTTCTTTTCACCATATGGAACCAACCTTTCTGGCATAGTCTAGACACAAGCTTAGAAACTCTATTATTAGAACTCCAACTGGCCATTCAGATGAGTAGAAAGTACTCAACTGCATGGGGTTAGAAGGACACAAACAGGATCCAAACAATTAGCTCCTGTCACTCTTGCTATGTGAAAATTGAATGATAACACTCACGACAGGGGCACTGGGCTCTGAGAACCAAGAGTGTGGATGCTGCCACCCATGCAGTTCCTGGATCCCACATAAAACTCAGGCTCCCATGGAGATTGTAATAATTCAGCCAAATCCTCCACAAACAACTGTTTTCTGGGTTGCATCTTTTTTACAAACCATAGAGCTGTGGTTTAATAAAGCGAAGCGTCTGTCTTTCCATATTTCTAAGAGTGTTATTATTTTCCTGCATAACAGGTGCATGACCTCATGAAAGAAAGGACTGTTTGTTAAGAAAAAAGACATGGTGATGCATGTCAGAGGCTACTGACTTTATGAAGAAACCTCTTCCTTTGCCACATGGCATCAGAAAGAAGCATCAATCAATCGGCACTTGCTGAGATCAGATGTAGTCATTTTCCTTCACTATCAGGAAGTTGTCAGATTTATAAAATAGCTTGCTTGAGCCTGAAATGAACTCTTTCTATTACAATACTACTGTATGCACAGCTGGGCCATTCACTTTCCCATGAATATGTACTGAATTTCTACTACATGCAAGGTATTGTGGGGCATATAAATATGAATATGACATAATGTGGCCCTCAGGGAATTTACATCATGGTAGAAATGCATATGGCACTCAAGAGAACATTTAAGTCTGATGATGATGAAAAAAGGGAAGCCTGGCAGGAATAGAGCAAAGGCTTTCAGAGCAAAGGCTTTCAGAACCAAGGAAACTCGTGATGAACCAGGCGGGGTCTCCATTTTAATTAACCACTTTCTCTTTTTAACCTGATCAGATACCTTTTATCATACTTGTAAGGTATCTTTGCCTGTTTTTTTTTTCTACATGTCTCTTACCTGAACTAGACTACAGGACCTTCGAGGCCATGGATAAACTTATCTTTTATAGCTTGATATCAGCACATACGAGGCTGTCTTGTTGGTGAATGAATGAACAGAGTAGAGACTGTATCATTTTCTGTGCAAGAGTTTGAAGCCAGCCTCATCTTAGGAGATGGTCCTCTAGGGATGGCTAACAGTATCCCTATTGTCCTTTCCTGAAGGAGGACTTCTTTCAATTCGTTACCTCCAAAATTTATTACAGGAAAAAAGAATATTTTCCATTTATAAAATGAATGCAGCTTCATTGTATAGTTTTGCAAACACACAGAAAATCATAAAAAATAAATAATTATCTTTTTGTAATACAGTGTCCAAAATAACCATCACTAAGATAACTGGCCTATCTGCCTGCCTTTTGTATGTGATAATATTACATAAGTACTCTGTAGATACTTAATAGTCTACACTCAAGATATATTCTGTACATGTTTAATATTAAATACCACTTCTAAAGATGTATATTTAACCAATACTCTGATCCAGTAATTTATTTTTCCTTCTAATTATATATATATATAAACTGCATATATTTATATTTAAAGTATACAATTTGCTGTATATATATATATATATATATATATATTTTTTTTTTTTTTTTTTTTTGGAGACGGAGTTTCACTCTTGTTGCCCAAGCTGGAGTGCAATGGCACAATCTCGGCTCACAGCAACCTCTTTCTCCTGGGTTCAAGCGATTATCCTGCCTCAGCCTCCCAGGTAGCTAAGATTACAGGCGCGCGCCACCACACCTAGCTAATTTTTTGTATTTTTAGTAGAAAAGGGGTTTCACCACGTTAGCCAGGCTGGTCTCAAACTCCTGACCTCAGGTGATCTGCCCGTTTGGCCTCCCAAAGTGCTGGGATTACAGGCGTGAGCCACCGTGCCCAGCCTTCTTTCTAATATACTTTTATTAGAATAGTACTGTAAACAAGAGAAGCATAGCAAGCTTAAATTCCAAAAGGGGCTCATTTTGTTTTAATCCACTATCAAGTATACTCATTTTTGGAATCATCTATTTCAAAATGAAATTGAAGCCAGATTGAATACTCTGTTACAGGTTCCATTTGGAGGATAACTCATAGGACACTGACCCATCTGACTCCTGGGAGGGGGCTCATTCCACCAAGAGGGCAATATTTCCATCTGGGACATTTTCTGTAAATACCAAATATCAAGCTCCTGATCCCTAATAGACACAGATAACTCAGAAGAAATGAGAAAGCTTAGAAAAGCTCCAAAGGGCTCTGTTGAAAGACAAAGTTATTAAACAAAGAAAGAAAGCATTACAGCATGTCATGCCTCCAGACCCTTTCTAGAACACTTGTCCCTGCTGTGTCTGCCTCAGGAATCACTTCCATAGCCGAACCCTTCCTGACCTCTAATGCTACATAAGGTAGAACAGAGCACTCCCTTCTTGGTGCCCTCTTTTCCTATACTTGCTTTTACTACCATGCCACAGATACCTGGGCACACTGATGGGGTTTTATGCCTTTCTGCTCTTCGACAACAGAGTCTTTAAAGGGTTATACTATCACGTGTATTTTCCTATTCCCATTGTCCAGCACATCGCCTGGCACATAGAATGTGCAATTCATGTTTGTCGAATGAATGGCTGATTGAGCCAAGTTCTAAAGAGTGGACAAGATTTGGAAAGAGGGCAGTGAACGAGGCTGGTAAGGGGAGACCCTCTGTGTGATCAGAGTCACTGAGCTCCAAGAATGATCTCTTTAACAACCCTTGGCATGAGGTCTTGCTTTACTGCCTTACTTTGGGATCTAGGAACTCCCAAACCATTTTCTTAATATTCTTCTAAATCAGTAACTGTCCCCAGACAGTTGGCCTATTGGATGGCACTCAGCCCCTCATTGTCCCTTTCAATGCAAAGCCTGGCCCCTGTCCTAGAGCCTCTCCTTAGATCTGGTACCTGTCCTTAGCAGGGGTCCTTACCTCAGACCTTCCTTTCTCCATGATTTCTCCCATTTCCCCTTGAATACCCAAAATTTGGGGGAAATGTTTAAAACCTCCATTCCTGCCAATTACATTTCCCTCTGGCCTATTTACTACTAAACACTGATATTTTCAGATCAAGGTTTAACAGAAAAAAAGAGGCTAAAGGAAATTTGCATGGCAAAGGTACACAAATCATTTTAGGCATGCAAATTATTGTTTTTAGAAGAATAAAAGGCTGTAAATATTTTGAGAAGTGGGCCCCTAGTGCCTCTTAAGTATTCTAAACTACACGGTGTGCTTCATAATTATGTAATATATAGAATACCAGCTGCTTTGAATGGTGCTCTGGAGGTTTGGATGGTATCAGAAAGCTCTCCTCCCCCAGTGAGAGCCATAATGAAGGAAGCATACCATAAAGCCAGATCCAACTGACATTGAGTTGCCGGATTTTAACACACTTTACAACAGATGTTAAGTCTGTGTGGTATGGTTGCAGAGGAACATATTTTTTGCCTAAAAAAATATAGAATCTTAGGAAGTTGTATACCTGTAATATGTATTAATATTTATCACCTCATTAACATCTGTCTAAAGGGAAACATCGATTGCATTTGAATATGCGTGAATATACTTATAAAATATATATGTAAATATTTATGTCTTTTCATTCAAATACACACATACATTTACTTAAAAAACAAAACCCTAGATTCTTATTTTAAACTGTGACAAAGAACAGAGATACATCTGAGTTTCTGGAAGCAAAAAATGAAGCATACTAATGTTTTCCATTGGATCCTATGCCTATGTAGGCATCTTTCTGAAGTCTTCCTATAAAGATAGATGAACTATATATAGTATTAAAAATCTCCCTCCGAGTTGCATAGACCCTGAAAAATATGAGCCACGTGACAGCTTTAACTTCAAAGAAAAACGATGGAGCAAAGAATAGAGTAAACACAACTTCTCTTTCTAGGAATTCACACATAGCCAGTCCCAATAAGGAAATGGTAATTTAACAAAATCGTCTTACAAAGAAAGAAAGAGGTAAGAAATTTAAAGTCCCATAGCCTTCACAATTAAAATATAGACATGGATCTGCAACCATGAGCTTCCCCTTGGAAATCACAGGTACTCAGTCCAAAGAGTTACTCCTGCCATTACTTTTAGAAGAACAGAAAATTAGCTGTCCCCACAGGCTAGAGCAAAAGAAGGCATATTGCTACTTTAAGAAGAAAATACAGCTTTATTCCTGAAAGTCAATGGAGCAAGTTACTCAGACCTTAATTTGGCTAAAGCTGCCTCAAGATACAGGCATTGGGGTCAGACTGTATTATATTCCAGCTGTATAACTGAGTAAACATCTGACATTAGGAGGCTATGTGACCTTTCTAAGCCTCAGTTTTCTCATCTGTCAAAGGGCAATATTATTTATCTTAAAGATACATATACATATATATACTTGTATAGCTCTTGCATTTTAAGATGGAATGAAAACACAGACAAATCCACAGATAGGTTTTACTACAATTTCCCAACTTGGTAGTCATAAAATACTTTCAGCAATCAACCAGTCTGGGTATCTAGAATTAAACTGTTTGCAGTCTCAATTCAATTTGAGTTTGAGCAGAACAAAGGTACTTTGGAGAAGACTGAATCTGATAAGTAAACAACCTGCAGAAAGTTAAAGAAATTACAGAGAACCCTGAACTGAAACATCTCCAATGCACCTACTCTCGTGTATCTCTACCTCCCTCCTTTCCTATCGACCTGTGTCTTGTGGAAAGTCCATGGCCTGCTTTTAATTTAACACAAGCAGAGAAATTGACAATTTTAAAATATATTTCAAAGAACAGATAAGAAGTACTTGTCTCCTGATTTAGTGGAGTTACTCTTGAAGTTCTAATCACTACTAATTTTCAGTGGTGCTGATGCAATAACAATACTGCAAATGGATCTGCGTTCTGTCACCATTATCAGTGGTGTGAAGCCAATCATTTTAATAGGTAATGAGAGGCCAATATTGACAAACGAATTAAAAGTAATACTCTTGAATGGAAATGTTTCATAGTTTAATTTACCAGCATTTTAAACTGTCACTTATATCCACAACATATACTATCATAACTATATCAAATTAAAGCCCTGTGTTTCTGCCTGTCTAAAAATAATCTCCCCACAACCTGTTTCTCATTCAACAGAGTTATCTAGTGCCTGTGGTAAGCCTGGCACCTTTCTAGAGCTGCTGTCTCTCTTAAACCCATTATGTGTTCCAGAGAAGCGAGCTGCAACCTCACAGGCTGTGTCTCACCTGCAGACAGGCTTTATTTGGCTTGGACAGGGGTTTTAAAAATTTGGGGCAAGATTTTTAAATATACAGATCCCACTTTTTAAAAAAAAAACTAGATTGCCTACTTCATTTGAAAAATCAAAACTGCTGGTATGACTGGGCTCGCATTTCCATATGGCAACAATTAATCAGGGCTGAAACAGTGCCTGAGCCCTTCCGCTCCCCAAACCCTTCCTCTATGCACATACTACACACGGAGAGACACACCCATTCACCCACACACAAGCACACTCTTTTTTTCAAAAACTGACCCCTGAGAATGGAAATTTCCAAGGTGGGCATGTGAATTTGCCGAGCCTCTTCCATATAAACACTGCAGACTTTTCCTCCAACATTCATTCCTTACCACAATATTTCCTACTCCATCACAGAACAAAACATCTTCTCTTAACAAAAAAATACTCTGATTGTCAAGTCCCATGACTAACCTAACTGGTCCTCCTCAGCCTCTCTGAAATAGCTGAGTCCATTCATCAGTGCTGCTTCCTGGAGTCACTCTGTCCTAGGCTTCTGAGACTCTCCTTGGTTCTTGGCTACCTCCCTCCTGCCCTCCTCTGCCTCTTTAGGCAGGGCTGCTCGTTGATCTACTCCCCTCTCTCCCCAAAAGTGACGTCCTTTATCCTTTCTCCAGTTCCTTCCACCATATCAACCTAAACACCTTTTGGATTTCTGTCTCTAGCTCAGATTTCTGTTCTGGAAAGGAGATGTTTGTTGCATGCCCCAAACAGATGGCATCTCTAACTTAAGATGTCAAAAGTGAACTCATCAGCCACCCTGCAGCTTATATTTGAGTTTTCTGGATGTTCATTACTGCTACACAATCCTTCCAGTGACTCATTCTCAGTATCTAAAGTTCATTGTTGGTATTTTTTTGTCTTGAAACAACTCTCTTCTCCACCTTCACTGGATCAGTCAATTCCATCATCAATATAACCCCCTCCCCCTCTTCTCTGGCACTCTCGTGGCCATCAGCACCATCAGCCCAGCCTGTGTTCTCCAATACAACTGCCTCCTTGTTGTGCCCTGGAAGCCTCTCTCCTCCAATCAAATCCATCCTGCATATGCACGGCAGAAAAATCTCCCTAAAGCACTGCTACTGTTCTGTTCAAAAGCTATCCATGGGTCCACATTGCCTAAGGAAAAGCTCCAAATTCCCTAACCTGAGGCTAATGTAATGATGTGACCTCAGAACTTACCTTTTTTACCTTTTCTTCTGCTATACTCTTTCTTGCCATAAATAAACCTTAGGATTTTCCTATTTTATGAGCTCCCCTGTACTACACTTTTATTTATATTATTTCCTTGAGAATGGGTTTCCTGTTACCAGATGTTTAAGTGTTGCCAGTCCTTCAAGCTTCAGTTAAAATAATACCTCCATGAACTCTCTGGTACACCCAAGTAAACAAACCTCTCACTCTACTATTACTCTACTACTCTATGACATTAGTTAAGTACTTACTATATGCCGAACATTGTATTCACAGCAACCCCACAGGTGGGTGTTATTATTATCCCAGTTTTTGAGAAAACAGGTTTAGGTGAGTTAAATACCTTGCCCAATGTTGCACAGCAAGCAACACATAGCACCTTGTCATTTCTTCTTCTATGGCACTTAACATGTTCTCACTTGGTCCTTTGTGTATTATCTCCTCTACCAGTTAGATATCAGCTTCTTGAGGTCAGGGAGAATGTTATGTATGAATACACTGTATTTTATACACAACACCCAGGGCAGGGAGTGGACTCCAATGATGTCTATTGAATTTATCAATTAACCTCTCTGTGCCACTATTTTCTGTAAAATGGGGACAATAATAGTGCATTCTTTGTACCATTATAATTAAATGAGTAAATCCAATAGAGTTCTCAGAACAGTGCCTGGCCCTGTTGCCAGCGCTACCGAAATGTTAATTGTGCTAAGACCTGCCATGTTGATGGCTGCCTATTTGTTCCTCTTAAAAGGCCAAGGAGGAAAGTGTCAGCCTTAAGAAGATAAACACTTCAGCACTATGTTTCATTCCTTTCCTGGCTTTTCTACCATCTCTATTTGCTGCCTCTATTTCCTCCACAGGTGACTCAGAACTGTCACATTCTCTAGGAGGTACCAGGACCAGCTCACAATTGTGCTGCCTCACTGGGGCAGGGTCAAGCCCGCACTACACACAGCAAGGTGCTCCTGGGTCACAGGCTCCTGAGGGCCAGTTGGAACTAAAAGGACCAATGTCCTTTCACCAGCCTTTCTGGAAGATACATGACATCCCTTTAATAGAACCAGACTTTATTAGGACCATGGCATCCTCAGAACACTATGCCATGAGGAAAGAATGATAAAGATACTGATACTAATATCTCTGAAATTCACAGGAATATACCTATGCAATATAAATGTGTTACGTGATTATAACTAATGAAGAAAAGGGAATTAATAATTACATTAAACTTATCTTCATCGTAAAAGGTCTTCTAGAAAAACAAATCAAAATACCTCTCATTTTAAAATAAACTATATATGTATTGATATATTCAGATACCAAAAAAATGGTTACATACATAGAAGCACCAGTTTCATCTTTTCAGTCATTTAATTGACATTTACTAAGTAAATGCTAGAGCTAGACATGGCTAGGGACCAGAGGTACAAAGATGAAAGATGAAATGCATCCACTGGTTCTTAATCAGAGTAGGGGGGTTTTGCCCCCAGGGGACATTTGGCACTGTCTGGAGACGTTTTTAGCTATCCTGGGGGATGGAGTCCAGCAAGGCTGCTAAACATTTTACAGTGCACAGGACAGCCCTCACAACCAAGAATGATCTGGCTACAAATGTCAATAGTGGCAAGGTTAAGAAACTCTGATACAGACTTAGGGTGTTGAAAACTTACTCCTGATAATCTGAATCCAAAACTGAAGGTGAAATCAACATCTACAAGGCCATTGGCCAATGGAAGAAAGAAGAAATGAAGAACACCGCCCCACATTTAATTTTCTGTCATTCCACCCAATCGTTGATACATTCTCTGAATCTGTTACCTTTATGTTTGTATTAATTGCATTTGTTCTTTAAAAAGAAAATCATTTGAAACATTATTTTCCCTGAGTTTTTTTTTTCTTTTAATTTTCCAAGTGGCAATAGCTTTAGAAAGCCTGTTTCATGGAGTGCCCATGGCTGAAAGGTACAGCTGTGTGGTCCGTTCTCCACAGTGCCACTCTGTTTTCTCTTCATTTAAGCTGGGGAGGAGGTGGAGTCACCATGCCCAGGCTATAGCAGCTAGAAATCTGTACTGTGTCTCAGAACTGTCTTTCTGGATAATATCTCAATTTCCACATAAAGGAAAAGCACTGATATTTTTAAACTGTGGAAATACCATCTACTGTAGAGAAATGAACACAGAGAAAATAATGTATGCAGAAGGAAAAAAAAAGAAAAGAGCCTCCTTTTGACAAATGGCAAAAAAGATAAGCACAGGTCTCCAGGACGGATCAGTGATTCTGGCAATGAACGTCTGTTTTACTATAAGATGTTAAATTCTATTTTTTCCCATAACTCACTATACATGCAATCCAAAATCCATTAAATTAAGCCCTAACATCATAAACTTCGCTTCTGTCTGTTTATAAATATACAGCAAAATTATTTGATGGAATTATCATCTTCTTTCAAAAGGACTGCTTAATATGAGGAAATTGGGCTTTAGTTTAGGCCACAAACATTCTAAAAGGAAATGGATTATTGTGCCTCGCTGCCCTCATATCCACAGCTTTGCTTTTAAACTGCTGACACAAGCAGAACTGCTTCATACTCCGAGATGAATGGGTTTCATATACAGCTGATGAAATAACATTAACAGAACTATGACGATTCAATATATTATACATTCAATTCATTTTTTTAAACTGGGAAAATAAAATAGCTGAACTTTTGCCTAGAATGAAACTTTAAACAAGATATTTTCCCTAAAACAGACCCAATCCTAAAGAAACAAAGTTAATTCTTATAATTCCTTGGAAATAAAATACCCTCTTACTTCTAGTGTCACGACAAGCTAAGACTGAGTCACCTAGAGGCCACAGAAAGTGCTGAACCAGGCTGGGTGCAGTGGCTCACATATGTAATCCCACCACTTTGGGAGGCCAAGGTGGAAGGATCATTTGTGGCCAGGAGTTCTAGAACAGCCTGGGCAACATAGTGAGACTCTATCTCTACAAAAAATAACTTTAAAAAATTAGCTAGGCATGGCAGCATATATCTGTAGTCCTAGCTACTCGAGAAGCTGAACTGGATCACCTGATTCCAGAAGTTCAAGGCTGCAGTGAGCAATGGTTGCATCACTGCACTCCAGCCTGGGTGACAGAGTGAGACCCAGTCTCTAAAAAAATAATAATAAATGCAGAAATGCAAGACCAAATTTATAGCCACAAGTTGTTCAGTGGTTGGCCTCCCATAGGTTGCCTTTCATGGAACTGACCATAGATCCCAACAGGTTTCTCTGAAGGATGATGCTACCAGCTTGTCTAGACTCTCATTTTGAGGTCTCTCAAAAGTAGTGTGTCTTCTTTCAGAAAACATTCAAGATGGCTGAGGAGGAAATGAGGATCAGATTTTTATTTATGCTTTTCTGCTTACCTGTATATACACCACTAAAATATGATAAAAATGTATTACGATTAGATACTATCTAACAGAAGCCACGTGTCTGGTGTTTAGCTAAGTGCTATATTATTGAAAGTCAATAGACTAAGTTCTACAGTCTAATAATGTAGAAGCAATTTGGATACACATGCCCTTATGCAAATACATTGAAAAAAGGTAAGTCCTGGGTAGAGACACAAGTAAGACACACGAAAGGTTCTAAATATAGGATGTATACCCATTGTCTAAGCTTGTAGTCCTCAACATCTTACACATAAGGACGATGGACAATTTAAACCTTAGCTCTATTTTAGTAATGACATGTTTAGTATGAGGGTGGGGCAAACTATCCAATTTTTAATGCAGTACTGTGTGGCGAAAAGACCAAAGATTTTTTTTTAGTAAAATGGAGTACTTAATAACTAAATTCTAAGACAGAGTGCTTCATTCCTCTGAGTCTTGTTTTTCTCATTTTAAAGTTCCTCTCTGTATTCATCTGCTTCGGTTGCCCTTAAAAATTACTACAAACTGTGTGGCTTAAACAACAGAAATTTATGGCTGGGCACAGTGGCTCATGCCTATAATCCCAGCATTCTGGGAGGCCAAGGCAGGCGGATCATGAGGTCAGGAGATCGAGACCATCCTGGCTAACACGCTGTAACCCTGTCTCTACTAAAAGTACAAAAAAAAAATTAGCCAGGCGTGGTGGCAAGTGCCTGTAGTCCCAGCTACTCAGGAGTCTGAGGTAGGAGAATGGCATGAACCTGGGAGGCGGAGCTTGCAGTGAGCCGAGATCGTGCCACTACACTCCAGCCTGGGTGACAGAGCAAGACTCCTTTCCATCTCAAAAAACAAAAAACAAAACAAAACAAAAAAAAACAACAGAAATTTATTTCTTACAGTTCTGGAGGCTATGAAGTACAAGATCAAATGTCGGCTAATTTGGTTTCTGGTGGGGACTCTTTTACTCCCCTGCAGATCTTTTACTCCCCTGCAGATGGCCACCTTCTCACTGTGTCCTCTCATGGTGGAGAGAGAGAGCAAACAAGTGCTTTGATGTCTCTTACAAGGCCACTAATCCCATTATGAGGGCCCCACCCTCATGACCTCATCTAAGCCTAGTTACCTCCCAAATACAATCTTCAAATATGATCCTATTGGATTTGAGGGCTTTGACATATGAATTTGGAGGGATGTAATTCAATCCACAGCACTCTCAAAGTTGCTGAGAGGATTTCATGGTGCTTGGCAGGGAAGGATCTCAAAAATTAGTGCAGGCAAGAGGTGCAAAAAACATTAAGAGCAAGAAATGGGGGGAAAGAAAAATGTGGCCAGAAGCCAACAATCAGGAAGGTTCTAGTTCAGTGGTATAGGCAGGCAAATGTTTACAAATGATGAAGCATGCATGTGCTAGAGGTCAGAGCATGCCAGAGAGGCTCAGTCCCAGCAAGTAGGCGGGAGCTTGTTCCAAAAACCGTGGCAATGACTCAAAACAGGTACATGGCTCCACTAGAAAGATGTTGTGACTTGGGCAATTGACACATCTATTGTGTTTTTACTCTGATAGGACCAAAGATAAGGCTTGAGGGAGGTGACTGGAAGTAGCAGCAAATGCATCACAATGAGTGTGTGTGTGTGTGCGCGCGCGCGCGCGCATGCGCACACTCGTTTTTGAAGTAGATTTCCCTTAGTGTCGCTGTTGATGTAGCCGCATAGATTATTAATCTTGTCAGAGGATGTCTCATTAGCAAAAACATATCCCACGGATTCACCCACCAGCAGACTGAGTAGCCCTGGAAGATACCATGTGTCAGCCCCATTTCTGTAGCTGTCTTTCTTGTGGATAGGGCTCCATGCCATGCACTTCCTGTGGCTCTTCCTGGTTCCTCCCCTTGGCTGCTGTCAAGTCTCCAGCACACAAATGGTTTCCTGCTTGCTGTGGTCCCCAGATGAACTCTGAGACTGTCTGGATGCAGCTGATCATAATAACAAAACCTAGAGTGAGGGGTATGCTACCTAACAGCATTGCAAGCTCATTATTTTCCTTGCAAATTTCAGAACTTTAAGTGGATCAGTACCTTATATCTCTTACCTCCTCCCATTGATGAAGCCGTTCAATCTCAGGTCAGTGAATTGTGAGTGCCCCTTCAATATTTTTAATTTTGTTCTATTGGCACTGTACTTGGTAAGAAATTCCTAAACATTTTTAGATCTCAGCCAATACTCTTCCTTTTCTGAGGCACTGTAGCTTTTACTCTATCTTGCTGAGCTTATTGAAAGGAAGACCCCATATTTTCATCTGTGAATTTGTGTCTTCAGGATTGAGTCTTCAGGATCTAACATAGAGCAGGACACACAATTCACTATTCAATAAATCCTTGCTAGCTTGAAACAATACATGATTTCAAAGTTGTTTTCCTTTTCTTTTCTCTTTTTCTTCTCACACGTCCATTATTATTGGCCAATTTCCCCTATACTAGGTCTTTTCAAATCAGTTATCATCATTTCAATAAAGGAAGTTGGATTTCCATTACTACAATATAACATAATAAACAGAACTGAGTAACATCCTGTATGTAAACATAGCTGAGATCAGATGGGGCAATGAGTGACATTGAAAAAGACACCCACTGTCAATATTTACAATGGAAATGGAAGACTTATGCTGCACTTGGGCACTTCCAAGCTGCTGCTATTCACATCTGATGCATCTGGTCTGTAATTAATATTTACAGAAGCACAAGAAAATTCTTAATAAATATCACATAAGCAGACACTGAAGGTGTTAGACTCATATAACTGGGCTAGAAATTGTTAAACTACATACAACTGATTCTCCTTTGCAATAAACCCCATTTGAAGAGGATAAAAGAAAGAGATTGCCATGGGTATGATTAAACTTCACTAAGGTCTATGTTTCAGTTCCTTCAAGATTGCAGGTATTTTATTTAATTTTCTATGTTCACTCATGGAAAGATGATTTTAACTCACCATAGGTAGTTACTGAATACACCTTTTTAATCTCAGCTTCTTGTTTGTAACAATTCTTTCTTTTTCATTTCACTCTAATCAAATATGCCATTCAAGGTCTAGAATTTTATAGAGACATAACAGTAGTTATTTATATGCTGGGAGCAATCCATTTTTGAACAGCTGGCAAAGCAGCTTAATATCTCAGCCAATCATTTTAAGCTCTAAAAAATTCAACACTCTCTAGTGCTGTTAAAGAGTAACCTCATAATGTTACGCAGCCTAAGAAACGAGATACTACCCCTCCCTTTTTTTCCGCTTTTTGATTTTTTTGCACTTTTCAGTTGAGCTTTAAACTGTTTTATAACTGTCTGATAAATGAGTTACAAGGGCAGGTCAAAATTAGGCAAAAGAAACTTTGATGCTAGATTATCTGGCAGTAAAACATTCATTTATTAAACAAGCAGTTGTTATGAGCCTTCTTCTCTGTACGTTAAGGGCTGGGAACAGCAAAGATGGGGAGGACTTTGTTCTGGAGGTGCTCCAGTGAGGGGAGAAAAACACATAAAGATACCTTCAGGCTGGGCGCAGTGGCTCACGCCTGTAATCCCAGCACTTTGGGAGGCTGAGGCAGGTGGATCACAAGGTCAGGAGATCGAGACCAGCCTGGCCAACATGGTGAAACCCCGTCTCTACTAAAAATACAAAAAAAAATTAGCTGGGTGTGGTGGTGTGCACCTGTAGTCCCAGCTACTCGGGAGGCTGAGGCAGGAGAATCGATTGAACTCAAGAGGTGGAAGTTGCAGCGAGCCGAGATGGTGCCACTGCACTCCAGCCTGGCCGACAGCAAGACTGTATCAAAAAAAAAAAAAAAAAAGATATCTTCAAAATAAGAAAAAATAACAAAGACAAGAATGGGCCCATGGCCAACATGCTGTGGCTGAATAGACCTATGGGTGACCTGGAGAAGTGTGAAAAAAGCTTTCCCAAGGTAGTGGCACCTAAGTGGGAACTTGAACAATGGAGAGTCTGCAAGGCGAGAAGGAGCAGGAGCTTCAGAGGAAGCCATGGGAACCAAAGGATGGAGGTGTCAAAGAACACAGTGGAGCTGGCTGTGGATGGAGGGTGGATGCCCAGGGCTGGAGGAGACAAGTTTGAGTAACAAAGGCTGGAGGAAGACCCTAAAGAGAGGCAGTGTGCGTAGTACATGTGTATCTGGGCTCTGGAGTCAGACAGCACAGCTTCAAATCCTGACTTTGCTACTTGCCGATCACGTGTCTTTGGGCAAGCTGCTTAACAGATGGGTCAAATGTCTTGTCTACATGCTGGAGGGTGAGTGTACTCACTGCACAAGGCTGTTACAAAGATAGCATGGGATTATAAACATAAAACATGCTGTCTACCACATTCTAAGATTACCTTCATTTTAAGTGTAATTATATGCTATAAGACATGGGCATGTGGACAGTGGGAACCACTGAAGGTTTCTAATTGTGAGTATTATCATCATATTAGGATTTTAGAATAAGTCTTCAGCATGAAGGAAGACAGATGAAAGAACTGACTAGAGGCAGGAACATTGTGTAGGAGACCAATGTGATGTCCAGGTGAGAGACGACGATGGCCGAACAAAGGACAGAGGCGAGAGAGTGAATTGAAGATATATTTTACAAGTGGAATGATCAGGATCTTTTAAATGACTGAATTTGGCAGAAAAAAATTCAAAGGTTTGTGTGAGAATCAACGAAGAAACATATACAATCTACATAATTTATACAGTAGCTTACTCAACATGATCTATGTAAAACACACACACACACACACACACACACACACACACACACACACACACACACAGAAAGGAAGGCCAAAAGTCTTATATGTTATATAGAGAAAAGAAGTATTTAGTATATGTCCATTTGTCAACATTTATTGATTTTTGAATTGAAATATGATTTACATACAGTGAAATGTACAGATCTGAAGTACACAGTTTGATGACTTTTAGCAAATGCTACATTTGTGTGATACACAACCAGTCAACACATAAACACCCCCAGAAAATTCCTTCATGCCCTTTCCTGGTCAAATGGTGCCCCTAGTCCACAAAAGGCAATCACCCATGTGAAGTCCATAAAAACTGTGTCATATTGCTCACTGTAGAACTTTGTATCAATGGAGTCTTATGGTCTATACGCTTGTATCTGGTTTCTTTCACTCAGCATGTATTTGACTCTTCTTTGTGTTGTGTGCGCTGGTAGTTAATTTCTTTTTATTGTTATACTTTATTATATGACTATACTGCAATGTGTTTATACATTCTCTGATGAACATTTGGCTTGTTTTCAGTTTTAGACTTATGAATAATGGCGCTACAAAGATTCTTGCACAAATCTTCTGTGAACATACGCTGTCCTTTCTTCTTTCTCTACCCAGGGGTGGAACTGCTGAGTCATAGGCTAAATGCATGTTTAACTTTATAAGAAACTGCTATACTACTTTTCAAATTGGCTGTACCATTTTCACTCCTATGGGCAACTTATGAGAGCTCGAGTTGTTCCACATCCTTGCAAAAATTTGGTGCTATTCGTCTTTTTAATTTTAGCCATTCTAGTGTTTTCACAGTGGTTTTCATTTGGCTCTTTCTTGCATTTCTTTAATGACCAACAATATTGAGCACTTTCCTGTGCTATTACTGGCCATTTGTATATTTTCCTATGTTAAGTTTTTGTGTAAATATTTTGCCTATTTTTGAAAAAAATCAGGTATTTTGTCTTTGTACAAGTACATTATAGCAGTTAATTATATATTCTAGATACACGTCCCTTGAAAAATACATGTATTGTAAACCTTTTCTCCCAGTGTGTAACTTACCTGTTCATTTCTTGTGTCTGCTAATGAACAGGACATTTAATTTTGATAAAATTTAGTTTATCAGTTTTTTCCTGTAATGTTAGAAATCCTATGCCCTAGGAAATCTCTGCATGTCCCAAGGTCATGAACATAGTCTCTTTTGTTTGCTTCTAGAAGCTTTATAGTTATAGCTTTTATGTTTAGGTTTATGATTCATCTCAAATTAATTTTGTCATACAGTGTGAAATAGGGGTCAAGGTTCCTTTTTCCCTATGGATATTTAGTTATGCCAACACCATTGATTAAAAAGATTTAATTGACCATATGTGCGTGGGTCTAACTCTGTACTCTCTACTCTGTTCTACTGATTTGTTTATCTACTTTAATGCCAATACCACAGGCTCCTCTGTCTTTGGGCCCCATTTTCCTGTGATGTAGTTTGGGAAGTCCAGGTAGAAGCCAGAGTGAATGTGGAGTTTTCCTTCTCTAAAGGACAACAGCCCTGTGCTACCTGTTGCCTAATGTCTGAAAACAGTTGTTTCATTCAGAATGCCTGAAAACAACTTCCACACTGGCCACTGTCTTGTCCTCCCAAAGAGCAGCCTGGTGAGAAAAGAAGGCTTTGGAGAAGGCTTCCCTTTCTTTCGCCTTTCTCCTTCTTGCTGGTTCCTGAGTTGGTTCCTGTGTTTACCTCTGTCATTCTAATACAGGGTTTTCAATCTCTGTTTTTATTTTCATCTCTACCACTGAACATGAACTCCTTGAAGTATTGATTTGTTTTTGTGTGGCCAGGACCAAGCAGACTGACAGGCACAAGTGGGAACAAACTAAAAAAAAATATAGCTGTTAAATGAGTGGGTAAAGTCACTTAATGCTTTAATAGTAATAAAATTAGGATTCCATAAAGTAAAACCATTTCTCTGACCTGGAATGTCTGGTTTTTCAGAATTTTTAATAATGATGTGATGTGTGAACCATATTAATCCTTGTACTATGTCAAGCTTCAATTGTAGGTGTTTTAGATGTTATCTAAAGGAGCACCGTATGTGGAGAGCAAACTTCTTTCTACGAATTACATTAAAACCAGTAATGTCTTCTCAATTTTAACTGATATAATAAAATACATGTATTACAATAAAATTTAATATTCAAATCAAATAATAAAAATAGGTTATAGGTATATGTATTTTTATATGCCCTTATCAATAAAATAAATTTTTATTTACTTTATTTCAATAAGGTAAAAACTTGGTTAGAATAGTTTCATTTTATGAAAATGAAGGTATTTGTTACACAAATGCACATGGTTTACTTAAATAATGTAATTTCCCATTAATAGGTTCTAAACATTATTTATGGATTTGATTCATCATGAAAACTATTATTATTAGTGCTATTTTTAAAACAGTAATAATTCATTAGGCTTTTAGAATTAAACATTAAACCACTAACAATGTTATTTCAAATAATCAGACAAAAATCTTTTTAGATCCCTCTTTAAAAATAGGATGGGCAAAGCAGCCGGGAAGCTCGAACTGGGTGGAGCCCACCACAGCTCAAGGAGGCCTGCCTGCCTCTGTAGGCTCCACCTCTGCGGGCAGGGCACAGACAAACAAAGAGACAGCAGTAACCTCTGCAGACTTAAATGTCCCTGTCTGACAGCTTTGAAGAGAGCAGTGGTTCTCCCAGTATGCAGCTGGAGATCTGAGAACGGGCAGACTGCCTCCTCAAGTGGGTCCCTGACCCCTGACCCCCAAGCAGACTAACTGGGAGGCACCCTCCAGCAGGGGCACACTGACACCTCACACTGCAGGGTACTCCAACAGACCTGCAGCTGAGGGTCCTGTCTGTTAGAAGGAAAACTAACAAACAGAAGGGACATCCACACCAAAAACCCATCTGTACATCACCATCATCAAAGACCAAAAGTAGATAAAACCACAAAGATGGGGAAAAAACAGAACAGAAAAACTGGAAACTCTAAAAATCAGAGTGCCTCTCCTCCTCCAAAGGAATGCAGTTCCTCACCAGCAATGGAACAAAGCTGGACGGAGAATGACTTTGACGAGCTGAGAGAAGAAGGCTTCAGACGATCAAATTACTCTGAGCTACGGGAGGACATTCAAACCAAAGGCAAAGAAGTTGAAAACTTTGACAAAAATTTAGAAGAATGTATAACTAGAATAACCAATACAGAGAAGTGCTTAAAGGAGCTGATGGAGCTGAAAACCAAGGCTCCAGAACTACGTGAAGAATGCAGAAGCCTCAGGAGCCGATGTGATCAACTGGAAGAAAGGGTATCAGCAGTGGAAGATGAAATGAATGAAATGAAGTGAGAAGGAAAGTTTAGGGAAAAAAGAATAAAAAGAAATGAGCAAAGCCTCCAAGAAATATGGGACTATGTGAAAAGACCAAATCTACGTCTGACTGGTGTACCTGAAAGTGATGGGGAGAATGGAACCAAGTTGGAAAACACTCTTCAGGATATTATCCTGGAGAATTTCCCCAATCTAGTAAGGCAGGCCAAAGTTCAGATTCAGGAAATACAGAGAACGCCACAAAGATACTCCTCGAGAAGAGCAACTCCAAGACACATAATTGTCAGATTCACCAAAGTTGAAATGAAGGAAAAAATGTTAAGGGCAGCCAGAGAGAAAGGTCGGGTTACCCTCAAAGGGAAGCCCATCAGACTAACAGCGGATCTCTCGGCAGAAACCCTACAAGCCAGAAGCGAGTGGGGGCCAATATTCAACATTTTTAAAGAAAAGAATTTTCAACCCAGAATTTCATATCCAGCCAAACTAAGCTTCAAAAGTGAAGGAGAAATAAAATACTTTACAGACAAGCAAATGCTGAGAGATTTTGTCACCACCAGGCCTGCCCTAAAAGAGCTCCTGAAGGAAACCCTAAACATGGAAAGGAACAACTGGTACCAGCCGCTGCAAAATCATGCCAAAATGTAAAGACCATCGAGACTAGGAAGAAACTGCATCAACTAACGAGCAAAATCACCAGCTAACATCATAATGACAGGATCAAATTCACACATAACACTATTAACTTTAAATGTAAATGGACTAAATGCTCCAATTAAAAGACACAGACTGGCAAACTGGATAAAGAGTCAAGACCCATCAGTGTGCTGTATTCAGGAAATCCATCTCACGTGTAGAGACACACATAGGCTCAAAATAAAAGGATGGAGGAAGATCTACCAAGCAAATGGAAAACAAAAAAAGGCAGGGGTTGCAATCCTAGTCTCTGATAAAACAGACTTTAAACCAACAAAGAACAAAAGAGACAAAGAAGGCCATTACATAATGGTAAAGGGTTCAATTCAACAAGAAGAGCTAACTATCCTAAATATATATGCACCCAATACAGGAGCACCCAGATTCATAAAGCAAGTCCTGAGTGACCTACAAATAGACTTAGACTCCCACACATTAATAATGGGAGACTTTAACACCCCACTGTCAACATTAGACAGATCAACGAGACAAAAAGTCAACAAGGATACCCAGGAATTGAACTCAGCTCTGCACCAAGCGGACCTAATAGACATCCACAGAACTCTCCACCCCAAATCAACAGAATATACATTTTTTTCAGCACCACACCACACCTATTCCAAAATTGACCACATACTTGGAAGTAAAGCTCTCCTCAGCAAATGTAAAAGAACAGAGATCATAACAAACTATCTCTCAGACCACAGTGCGATCAAACTAGAACTCAGGATTAAGAATCTCACTCAAAACCGCTCAACTACATGGAAACTGAACAACCTGCTCCTGAATGACTACTGGGTACATAACGAAATGAAGGCAGAAATAAAGATGTTCTTTGAAACAAATGAGAACAAAGACACAACATACCAGAATCTCTGGGACACATTCAAAGCAGTGTGTAGAGGGAAATTTATAACACTAAATGCCCACAAGAGAAAGCAGGAAAGATCCAAAATTGACACCCTAACATCACAATTAAAAGAACTAGAAAAGCAAGAGCAAACACATTCAAAAGCTAGCAGAAGGCAAGAAATAACTAAAATCAGAGCAGAACTGAAGGAAATAGAGACAAAAAAAACCCTTCGAAAAATTAATGAATCCAGGAGCTGGTCTTTTGAAAGGATCAACAAAATTGATAGACTGCTAGCAAGACTAATAAAGAAAAAAAGAGAGAAGAATCAAATAGACACAATAAAAAATGATAAAGGGGATATCACCACCGATCCCACAGAAATACAAACTACCATCAGAGAATACTACAAAACCTCTACGCAAATAAACTAGAAAATCTAGAAGAAATGGATACATTCCTCGACACATACACTCTCCCAAGACTAAACCAGGAAGAAGTTGAATCTCTGAATAGACCAATAACAGGAGCTGAAATTGTGGCAATAATCAATAGCTTACCAACCAAAAAGAGTCCAGGACCAGATGGATTCACAGCCGAATTCTACCAGAGGTACAAGGAGGACCTGGTACCATTCCTTCTGAAACTATTCCAATCAATAGAAAAAGAGGGAATCCTCCCTAACTCATTTTATGAGGCCAGCATCATTCTGATACCAAAGCCGGGCAGAGACACAACCAAAAAAGAGAATATTAGACCAATATCCTTGATGAACATTGATGCAAAAATCCTCAATAAAATACTGGCAAACCGAATCAAGCAGCACATCAAAAAGCTTATCCACCATGATCAAGTGGGCTTCATCCCTGGGATGCAAGGCTGGTTCAATATATGCAAATCAATAAATGTAATCCAGCATATAAACAGAGCCAAAGACAAAAACCACATGATTATCTCAATAGATGCAGAAAAGTCCTTTGACAAAATTCAACAACCCTTCATGCTAAAAAGTCTCAATAAATTAGGTATTGATGGGACGTATTTCAAAATAATAAGAGCTATCTATGACAAACCAACAGCCAATATCATACTGAATGGGCAAAAACTGGAAGCATTCCCTTTGAAAACTGGCACAAGACAGGGATGCCCTCTCTCACCACTCCTATTCAACAGAGTGTTGGAAGTTCTGGCCAGGGCAATTAGGCAGGAGAAGGAAATAAAGGGTATTCAATTAGGAAAAGAGGAAGTCAAATTGTCCCTGTTTGCAGATGACATGATTGTATATCTAGAAAACCCCATTGTCTCAGCCCAAAATCTCCTTAAGCTGATAAGCAACTTCAGCAAAGTCTCAGGATACAAAATCAATGTGCAAAAATCACAAGCATTCCTATACACCAACAACAGAGAAACACAGAGCCAAATCATGAGTGAACTCCCATTCACAATTGCTTCAAAGAGAATAAAATACCTAGGAATCCAACTTACAAGGGATGTGAAGGACCTCTTCAAGCAGAACTACAAACCACTGCTCAAGGAAATAAAAGAGGATACAAACAAATGGAACAACATTCCATGCTCATGGGTAGGAAGAATCAATATCGTGAAAATGGCAATACTGCCCAAGGTAATTTATAGATTCAATGCCATCCCCATCAAGCTACCAATGACTTTCTTCACAGAATTGGAAAAAACTACTTTAAAGTTCATATGGAACCAAAAAAGAGACTGTATCGCCAAGTCAATCCTAAGCCAAAAGAACAAAGCTGGAGGCATCACACTACCTGACTTCAAACTATACTACAAGGCTACAGTAACCAAAACAGCATGGTACTGGTACAAAAACAGAGATATAGATCAATGGAACGGAACAGAGCCCTCAGAAATAATGCCACATATCTACAACTATCTGATCTTTGACAAACCTGAGAAAAACAAGCAATAGGGAAAGGATTCCCTATTTAATAAATGGTGCTGGGAAAACTGGCTAGCCATATGTAGAAAGCTGAAACTGGATCCCTTCCTTACACCTTATATAAAAATCAATTCAAGATGGATTAAAGACTTAAACGTTAGACCTAAAACCATAAAAACCCTAGAAGAAAACCTAGGCATTACCATTCAGGACATAGGCACGGGCAAGGACTTCATGTCTAAAACACCAAAAGCAATGGCAACAAAAGACAAAATTGACAAATGGGATCTAATTAAACTAAAGAGCTTCTGCACAGCAAAAGAAACTACCATCAGAGTGAACAGGCAACCTACAAAATGGGAGAAAATTTTCGCAACCTACTCATCTGACAAAGGGCTAATATCCAGAATCTACAATGAACTCAAACAAATTTACAAGAAAAAAACAAACAACCCCATCAAAGAGTGGGCGAAGGATATGAACAGACACTTCTCAAAAGAACACATTTATGCAGCCAAAAAACACATGAAAAAATGCTCACCATCACTGGCCATCAGAGAAATGCAAATCAAAACCACAATGAGATACCATCTCACACCAGTTAGAATGGCAATCATTAAAAAGTCAGGAAACAACAGGTGCTGGAGAGGATGTGGAGAAACAGGAACACTTTTACACTGTTGGTGGGACTGTAAACTAGTTCAACCATTGTGGAAGACAGTGTGGTGATTCCTCAGGGATCTACAACTAGAAATACCATTTGACCCAGCCATCCCATTACTGGGTATATACCCAAAGGACTATAAATCATGCTGCTATAAAGACACATGCACACGTATGTTTATTGCGACATTATTCACAATAGCAAAGACTTGGAACCAACCCAAATGTCCAACAATGATAGACTGGATTAAGAAAATGTGGCACATATACACCATGGAATACTATGCAGCCATAAAAAATGATGAGTTCATGTCCTTTGTAGGGACATGGATGAAATTGGAAACCATCATTCTGAGTAAACTATCGCCAGGACAAAAAACCAAACACCGCATATTCTCACTCATAGGTGGGAATTGAACAATGAGAACACATGGACACGGGAAGGGGAACATCACACTCTGGGGACTGTTGTGGGGTGGGGGGAGGGGGGAGGGATAGCATTGGGAGATATACCTAATGCTAGATGACGAGTTAGTGGGTGCAGCACACCAGCATGGCACATGTATACGTATGTAACTAACCTGCACAATGTGCACATGTACCCTAAAACTTAAAGTATAATAATAATAAAAAAAAATAGGATGGGATCCATAGTATGTATTCATTCATTTTTTTTAATGAGTCCCATTAACAGATTTCTGGTGTATAGTACATACTCTTTAATTAAATAGATTATATCCCTTATCTTGAGGTCCCTGTCTGTGTAGGGTCTTCACTCACCAGAAAGGATCTCTAACTGTTCATCTTCCCTCTTCACCGCCGTCAAAGCTTTCGGTATTAGTATCACCAGGAAAGCCAAATTAACAGGTGAGTCCTATAATGACCTGTTAAAAGGGTAAGTCTTTGCAGGCTACAATACCTAGGGACATTGGCAGAAATATTGTACATCTGTTCTTTACGTATTACTGTGCCTCAAGGGCATTCAGTTTTCATGCTTCCTATGCCTTACCCCATATGATCATATCATATGAACTCGAATAATCAAACATTCAATGGAGAAATCGGTAAAAGTTCTTAATATTCATAACTTTACCATCTTTTAAATTATATATTTACATAGTCTCAAAGTTATGTTTTTTACAAAAATGTAATACTTCTAAATCCATTAGCTTTAACATTACAAATGTTTAATGTATCCTAGGGTGAAATTAAATGCATTTATATGGAAGTCTTTTTATATGATGCAATACTGTACTTTAAGTGAGTATGATGTTAAGTAATAATTAAAGAAATAATAAGTCTTATAGTAGACAATTATGTGAGTTTATATCCTGCATAAGGCTTTTTGTAATGAGAAAATGGGTTAACTGTAAGAAAAGTAATATTTATTGAATACTTTTGAAGCTCTAAACATATTTAAACCTTACTGGCTCACCAATTTAACTCTCCCAACAATCCTGAGGGTAGGTGTTACAACCATTGTATAGTGTGATATTTATCAAATAAACATAATCGGATTTGAATATCTTAAATATTCAAATTTATTCATTCAAATAAGTGCTATTTATTAAAGAAAATGCCTTGGGAAGACAGATGCATTTTTTCCCACTGGTGTTGCAATTGCTCAAATATTTTGAGGATGAATATCCTCACCTTGGAGGCAAGTTTTTAAGAGTGAATTTGAATTACTGGAGCAGTGAACAATTATTTAGAGTCTGGTATAAGTGAAGAAAAGAATCATGACCAGTAAGCTGTCTTGCAGGTACCAGCAAACTGACTCTAAAATTTATATGGAAAGGCAAAGGGATTAGAATAGCCAACATAATACTGAAGAAGTTGGAAGACTCACACTATCCAATTTCAAGATTTACTGTAAAGCTACAGTAACCAAGACAATGTGGCACTGGTGAAAAAGTAAATGATAGAACAGAACTTAGAGGCTGAATGTAGATCCACAGAAATATAGTCAACTTTTTCTTTTTATAAAAATGTATGTATTCACCATTGTCAAAAAGGGTAAGAAGTAAGATGAAAACAGCCTAAATAGGTACCAATAAATTTGTTTCCTTACACATTCCACTACTTCCATCCATACAATAAAATAATACCCAGTTGTTTGAAAAAGACATAGATCTATGAACACTGGCATGATACTGGCTATATGTGTATTTAAATATATATGTATATACACTTGTTCTAATTAACTAAAGTCTATACTTTATTCATATCTTCTTGATTTTTATTTAATGTCCTTTTGCTGTTCCAGGATTCCATCCAATACAACATAATACTTAGTCATCACATCTCATGAAGTTCCTCTTGGCTGGGACAGTTTCTTAGACTTTCCTTGCTTATAATGACCTTGACAGTTTTAAGAAGTACTAGTTAGGCATTTTGTAGAACGTCCCTCAGTTGGGATTTATCTGATGTTTTTCTCATGGTTAAACTGAGATTATGGATTTGGGGGGGATAAGGCGCCATAGAAGTAAAGCTCATTTTCACCAGGTCTTGTCAACTGTACTTGCTGGCAACATGACTTGTTGTTGATGTTGACCTTGATCACCTGGCTCAGACAGTGTTTGTCAGGTTTCTCTCTGCAAGGTTATTCTTTTTCCCTTTCCCATACTGCACTTTTTGGAAGGAAGTCACTACATGCAGTCCACACTTAAAGAATGGGGATATATGCTCTATTTTGAGGGTAAATTATCTCCATAAATTATATGAAGTTTTTTGCATGGGAGATGTATCTATTCGTCTCCATTTATTTAATCATTTATTTATGTCAGTATGGAATCACAAATATTTATTTTGTAATTTGAGTTACAATCCATTACTACTTTATTTTCTTATTCAAATTGTTCCAGTGTCAGCCATTGGGAGCACTTTCAGTTGGCCCCAGTGTTCCTTTGACATACATCATCATTGTTGTTGGTTTTTGTTGTTGTTAATCATGTTTCTTGAGTACTTCCTTACTTTCTAGTCCTACAAAATGCTACAGGCTCATCTTGTATATTTCCTGCCCCAGTCACAGAATCATCCATTTCTTCAGGGATCCTTGATTCCTTTTATTAGAGGATGAAATTAGAAACTAAGATCTGGGCACTAGGTGTGCTTGTTACTAGTGAGGTGTTGTTGCTTCTAGATTCTCTCAGCTGACAAAGCAAGGAAATAGTATATGAATCTGTATATGCACACATATGCATAAATATTTCTATATATACATCCATATGCGTCTATATTAGCTAAACATTAGTTCACAAACAATGTCTGCATTTCTAATCTGTTACCAAACGGAGCATTCTAGCTTTCTCCCTTTACTTATTTGTAACCTCTTACTCCAGCAAAGAAAACATCTGACTTCCACCACTCACTATTCATTTGCTTAACTGTTCAATTTTAGTACATTATTATACTTGTTTCAGAATTGGCAACCTTTTATCAACCAGAATATTATGCTTATGTACAGTTACTTTTGCATTTAGCGATACAGTCTCTACTCATTTCCAAAGTTATTTATGTTTGCAACTTGTCTCCCCACCCCCTTCAGTAACGTTGTTTCATAAATTTATAATAAATTCCTTTCTCATTCTGCATTCCACCCTGAGATTCCCCCAATCTCCTTAAGAATTTTTAATTTGCTATAGTAAGAGGCACTCTTTGTACTATAAGGTTCTATGGGCTTTCACAAATGCATGTCATATACAGTATTTACACAATAGTTTCACTGCTCTAGTAATTCCCTGTGCTTCACCTATGCAATTCTATCTCCTCCTTAAGTCCTTGATAACCACCACTCTGTTTACTGTCTATAGTTCTGCCTTTTCTCGTAAGTCATATAATTGGCATAAAATATGCAGCCTTCTCGGACTGGCTTCCTCAGCTAGTAATATGCATTTGAGAGCAACCGATCATAATGTGGAAAGACATAATCTTAATCCCAAATATTGAAATCTGGAAAGATCAAAATCTCAAAAATATAATTCTGGGGAAAAATTTTTTTAAAAATTAAGGATATTTATTTACACTTTTAAGGGGGATTTATTTGAGAAATACAAAAATACAATGAAACGATTCACAGGCCACTTTACACAATAAAATAGGCAATAATAACATATTTTTGCATGCATAAATACTCAGGTATACTAATGATGGTCACATAGGTCTAACAGTTATGAGTAGACAAGCTGTATTCATAAAGAAATAGGCCAAAAAGTGAAAGGTATAAACGTATATCACTATGGTCAGTAACCACATGCACCCAGCTTTATAACTGTAGTCATCTGAAAAACCATGACAAACAACCTAAATTTTTGATGAGATCTATCAAAAATCAAGATGCATAGACAGTCACCTAAAGAGCCGAGATCTTTAGAAACTTTATCTTTCATTTATTTATTTATTTATTTATTTGAGACGGGGTCTTACTTTGTTGCCTAGGCTGGAGTGCACAGTGGCACAATCACTGCAACCTCTGCCTCCCGGGTTCAAGCGATTTTCCTGCCTCAGCCTGTCAAGTAGCTGGGATTACAAGTGCACACCACCATACCCGGCTAATTTTTGTATTTTTAGTAGAGGTGAGGTTTCCCCATGTTGGCCAGGCTGGTCTCGAACTCCTGACCTCAAGTGATCCGCCCACCCCAGCCTCCCAAAGTGCTGGGATTACAGGCGTGAGCCACCACACCCGGCCTATCTTTCATAGATGCAGATGTGCAGAAAGGACATCTCGGATGTTTTTACATACACACACAATACTTAACACAAAGTCAACATGATAATGCACTTTCACAGAGTCAAATTTCTGATGTTCAATCTGACATCCAAGGAAGCAGATGAAAAGTTTGCCCCAGCTTTCAGAGAGAGAGGAGACAGAGAAGAGAGAGAGAGAGAGAGAGAGAGAGAGAGAGAGAGAGAGAGAGAGAGAGAGAGAGAAAGAGAGAGAGAGAAAGAGAGAGAGAGAGAGAGAGAGATCGACCAATTCATCTTTTGTATTTATTCTCTCTGGGCCCCTGATTGGTGCCCTCTAATACTGAAGGCAGATCTTCCCCAGCTAGTCCACCCATACTCACACACAAATCTCTGGAAACACCCTCACAGACACACCCAAAGTGATGCTTTACTAAGTATTTGTTAATCCAGTCAAATTGACACCTAAAATTAAATCCACAAGTCACCCCTTGTCAACTTTGCAATCATACACATCTTTTTAAACCACACTTAATTTCCAAATAAAGATAATAGCAAGGCAATAGTCCTACCTAATGTGATGCAATTATCCTGTGACTGTGATTTTCAGGGTTTTAGATATTAAGGACTTAGACGTGAGAGGTTTTGATCATTAGGCATTTTGATCTTTTGGGATTTCAACATTTGGCACATGGAATTTGGGATCATCTTTTGGGATTACAATTCAAACCTCCATTTGAGATTCATCTCTATGGATGGCTGAATAGCCCATTTATTTTTATCACTGTATAATATTCCATTGTATAGATATACCACAGTTTGTTTACACATTCATCTACTGAAGGACATCTTGCAGTTTTTGCTGATCATGAACAAAGCTGCTAGAAATATCTGCATGCCATTTTCTTTGGATTTAGGTTTTCAGATCAATCAGATAAAGACTTAGGAGCACAACTGCTGGATCATACGGCTACTCTCTGTTCACTTTGTCAGAAACTGTCTAAAGTGGCTGCATCATTTTGCACTCCCACCAGCAATGAATGAGAGTTCCTGTTGTTCTGTATTCTTGGCAATGATTAGTATCGTCAGGCTTTTGGATTTTAGCCCTTCTAATAGATGTGTTGTGGTACCCTGCTGTAGCTTTAATTTATATTTCCTTAATGAGAAAACCACCACACAAATCCCAATTGAAGGACATTTTGTTTACAAAACACCTAAGCAGTACTCCTCAAAACCGTCACAGTCATCAAAAACAAGGAGGTCCTGAAAAACTGCATAGCTAAGAGGAGCCTGAGTAGACCTGATGACTAAACACAATATGGCGTCCTGGGTGAGATCCTGGAACAGAAAAAATCAACGAAATCTGATACAGTATGGACTGTAATGATAATAACAATGTATCAGCATTTCTTCATTAATTACAATAAATGTGCCAAGACATGTAAGATATTAATAATAGGGGAAACCCATGTGGACCATATAGAATAGCACTCTTTTTGCAACTTTTCAATAAATCTAAAAATATTTTCAAATAAAATGCTTACTTTACATATCATCCTCCTAAAAAATAACTCTCAAAAATTAAAAAAATATATCTCTGGGCAGGGAGATGGCAGAAGCATGAATAGGAAGTGCTGTTATAAAGTTATGGCACTTACCTGTATGTATGTGTGTGCGGTAGTGTTTTGGGTTTTGACTGTGTGTGTGTGTGTGTGTGTGTGTGTGTGTGTGTGTGTGTTTTTCTAGAGACTGGGTCTTATGCCATCGTCCAGGCTGCAGTTCAGTGCAGTGGCATCATCCTTGCTCACAGTAAGTTTGAACTCCTTGGGCTTAAGCAATCCTTCTGCCTCAGGCTCCCAAAGTGCTGGGATTACGGGCATGACCCAGTGTGCCTGGATGGTGGTGTTTTTTTTTTTGTTTGTTTGTTTGTTTTTTGAGACAGTCTCCCTCTGTCACCCAGGCTGGAGTGCAGTGGCGTGATCTGGGCTCACTGCAAGCTCCACCTCCCAGGTTCACACCATTCTCCTGCATCAGCCTCCCGAGTAGCTGGGACTACAGGCACCTGCCACTACGCCCGGCTAATTTTTTTGTATTCTTAGTAAAGATGGGGTTTCACCGTGTTAGCCAGGATGGTCTCGATCTCCTGACCTCGTGATCCTCCCGCCTTGGCCTCCCAAAGTGCTGGGATTACAAGCATGAGCCACCGCATCCGTCCTGGTGGTGGTTTTTAATAGGCCTCAAATCAAAATTTATAAAAGAAGTGACTTTTGCCACTCACTGGCAAGCATCATCACACCTCCATTAGCCAAGAGCTAATATTCACATAGTACTTAATATTTTCTAGAGCTATTCTAAAAACTTCACTCATATTCTTAACCACTACGCTATATCAACTATTGGAAGTGGCTACATTGACTCGGAAAATCTTATTTTGAAAGTATAGACTTTTATCCACAAAAGCATCAACTCTTGCAGGTACAAGCACAGATGTGTTTCTATATTTAAAAAGAAAAATATTTGTATTTTTATAGCCACATTTAAAAACATCTATAATCCTCATGGGAAAAAATGCAAATACTTCACTATTAATTTTGTAGCCTACTTTCAATTTTCTCTCAATATAATATTCAAGTTCATGTATATGATGTTTTATTCAAGAAAGTAATATGCCAAACTCTTCAGTAATTTCTGTTTACATTTATTAGTGGTATAAACTCTCTGTAGCTGTCACTAGCTTTCAAAATAATGTAGGTAGCCTTAATTATACGTGCAATATGTATACTGAAATATCCATAGGATTCTGTTTCAATGTAAACATTTTACCTTAAATATTTTGAAAACAAAAGATTTAGAATTGTAAACCTTCAGGGCAGACATCTGTCAGTTCAGTGTCTGCCATTTCCAATAAACCCACCCATGCAACTCCAATTCCTTAATCAAATAGCAAGCTCAGCTGTTTGGGTTGACATCCAAGCAGACTTTTTCAAATTACTGTCTCACATTAAAAGAAAAGCCTTATTAACCATTCACCGAATACTTATGCAACCCTTGATGTAAGCCAAATATGTTCTCCTTTGACAGCTGACAAAGAAGCCCAAAAGATACCTTTAAATGGCCAAATGAGCCTTGGCGCTACGGAGCTACTGATAGTACACGTAACTCATTCTGCCTTTACTGTAAGAATGTTGTGTTGGAAAAGGATACAATGACACTTTGCAATCCAGTGCCAATGCATCTTTTCCAAATCTTTTTTCGGTACTCCATGCTTGACCAAGCAGGGAAAAGAAAATTTGCATCACACAGAAGCAAGAACGAGGCTTTCATATATTTGTCTCATAACATTTCATCTTAATACAAATTGTCCACAACAGTCACTGCAGAAAATTGCTCTCTGTTTGCTGCCACCACCAGGATGCCATCATTACTGACAAGATTGAGAAACCTGTCAGTGACAATTCAGGACTGAGTCCAATTGTGGCATCCATGTGAAATGCAAGTGGATTTTTTTTAGGGCTCTATTTGTGGATCTCTTTAATTCTTATTCATGTCTACTGGTCTTTGACTTACATGGAAACTCAATGCAATAAAGGCTTCAGCTCAAATTATTTCAATTTCAGAAATTATCAAAAAGTAAGATTTATAAAGTAATTTTTTAAAACTCTCCGTGACTACCGCAGGTGAGAGAAATACACTTTGAGGACTTTGCATCTGTGCTATCTAGAGGCACTGTCCTGCTCCATCATGGAGGACAGCCATTCTATTTCAAGTTAACGAGGCTTAATTCCATTTCCATGGGCAATTGGAAAGAAAAAATTAGCCATTTCATTGAGAGATTTCTGTAACAAAACTCTTTATGATTGGAGCCCACCCCACAAATTGTAGGTCCTTTTTATGGACATACAAATAGATTTTTCAGGATAATTTTTGAAGGTTATTTGTTTAACATTACATCACAACTTCTGGCTAAACTCCTTATACTTATAGACTTCCTGTCATAAATTATTTTTCTCCTCCAATGCACTTTAATGAAATTACTTAATTCTGTATGCAAAGTATTTAACCAAGGTGAAAGACAAATATCCTTGCAAATCTCAAAATTCTAAGAAGTCAATGTGACTGCAGAGTGTGGCTGGTCATGCCTTGTAGTTAAACTATCAAGTCAAACATACTAGAATATTCCAGTACAGCTGATGCTCAAGGAAATACTCCCTCACCCACACCTCTTGCTTTGGAAAAGCTTAAGAAAGAGTGAATGATTTTAAAATAAATTAGAAAACCTGGCAGCAATATGGATAGCATCAAAATGAGCCCAACTCCTGTAATTTAGGACAATCAAATGAAACCATGTCAACCATATGTTAATAGTCTGCTGTTCTCTGCACCTGAGAAAATTTTCCACATCAGCCCCTGTCCTTTAAGTAAGTATAAAGCCAAGGCAAATACATACTTTGACTGATGAAATTCAGAAATGACAAGTTTGCTTCAAGGTCTCTTAACTAGGTATGCACAATATATTCTGAAGCAATGAGAATATTCATCTAACTTTACCACAAGGGAGTATATGAGCTTATATTCGCCTCACAAAATGAAGTTTTGACTTTCCAGATGAATAAATTAGACTGCAGATCACTATGTTCATCCACATGGAAATAACGTCACTATAAAACAAGCTTCCAATGGAAAAAAATAGTGTTTTCCAAGGATAATAGATTATTATGGAATGTTTACAATTAAATAAACAGAAGCATAGGCAATCCATCAAAACTAGGTATTTCACATTTTAGTTGATATAAAGGTCATAAGGCTATTTAAATCTGCAAAAACAATAGTCAGGCACTGGGAGAATATGTTAAAAACAAGAAAGCTAGAGATGAATAGGCTTAGGAGACATTTTGCGGAACTCAAAAGTCTTAGTTTCCTAAAATTTACACTCCAGAGTAAACGGAAAATGTGAAAAAGTGAGCATGCCTTCCTGCTGTAATTACAGCGGGAGATTAAACAGAGTTGAGCAGCAGCTAGGATATTCATATCACCATCACTGCAAGAACCGCCAGGAGAATTCCATGTAGCATGGACTACAATTATGTGGCTAATTCAAGAAGCGATTGTTGTATTTGATTCTCAACTCAGAAATTAGGAATTTATCAAAAGTCATTATCTGGCAGGGATAAAATTAATAATCTCTTGAGATCTTCCTGTAGTAACACTGTTAATAGGCAATGCTTTGTTATTTTCTTCATCATTTGCCTCAGTATCTGGAGAAGTATTTCTTTTAAACCTTAGCATTTATACTTTTTGTCCCTTGTACTCATTAAGCATTCCCTCAAATGTCACCACACTATTTATATATTTAATTTTATGTAAGAATATGGACATAACTGTAAGGCATATGTGCACACTTCTAAAAATCATCTTTCCCATCTAATTCTCACTATCAAAGGGAAGTCTGGGCTGGGGTATTGGCCCAGAAGATTCATGCCTGGAGAATGTCAGAACCAGGGCTGATTGGCGATTTGGCTGGTGTGGCCAGGACTTTGAGAGATTAGACAGAACTAGGAGGGTTTAGGAAGGAAATCAGGTGAATGTCAAAAACCCAGTAAGATGTGGTCCCTACCAAAGGTGATCTAAGCCAAGGGGATCTGATTGGGGGCAGTGGTGGGTAAAGCACAGTGTCGGGGACATCAAGAGCTGGGAAATGGAGCTCGTGACAATGAGGAGGAGTTCTAGGACAGGATTCCAGTTCTGGAAGAAGTGAGGTAAGGAAGGAAGGCACTCTGGCACGGGGAGCCCAACAAGTACTTTTCATTTTCTAACTGGAAGCCAACATGATTCCATAACTGGAGAATAAGAGGTATGTGGGGAGCTTAAAGATTTTTGGATATTTGGGTGGAAGGAATGAGTCAATATGCTCATACCTCTTTTTGAGAAATAAGTAGATATAATTAGAGCATATGGATACAGCAAGGGATCCTTAATTCTCAAATAATCTGGGGCCATAACTTTATAATCTACTTAGAGAATTCATTTAAAATAACAAATATATTATCATTTGATAATATATTTGCTGGTTTAGCATTTGAATGAAATTAACAAGTTAAAAAGGAAGCTTTCACTATCTTTATCACTCTAATTTTAGAAGAGGTTTGTAATTACAGATACAATGCAGTTTGTTTTAGCTAGTGCTATTGACTTTAAATACCAGACTGTGATTCATTTTATTTAATAAAGTTCAGGGGAAAAAAATCAAAGTTTTCATTACCAATTTCCTTCAATCTATAAAAGGAAAGCCACCATCTCATTACAAACTTTGTATTTATTGGAAAGGACTTGGCTTGTGGCTAGTTATCACTGGCATTAGACAGCACCATTTGTATTGTCTTGAAGGAAAAATTCGGAACATTATCTCTAAAATGCAATTTACCGCAGTAATTGCTGCATTTGCAAATTTACCAGGCAGTTTCATGTAAAATATATCAATAAACTTAGTAGGGTCTGGCAGTAAACAAAACATATATTGAGATGTCATGGAGGTTAATAAGAAAATTTTCAGCTTATATGGGAAACAAAACAAATCATAAGATGGTATTATTTGGGCAGATAACCCAGTAAAGCCATAAGTGGGTCAGAACAACCTTTCACATGTGTTTTAGAAAATGATCAGGAAAGCAGAGAGAGAATATTTTTAGAATGGTAAAGTGATTACATGTGTGTGTCATTTAACTAGTCACAGTTGATTATTATGTACAAAGATACCATCCATCTGTGCTTCCTATGGGCTAGAAAAGAAATTAAACATCTTTCAGCTTAAAAAAAAAATTCCCTTAATTTAAGAAAGTTAACTCTGTTTCAAGTGGAAATACCTTTAAAATAATTTTTCTCTTCTACCACCGTTTGCAGGGGTAGGTGGTGGCTCTGAAAGGATTCAGAGACGGTCGAGGCAAAAGAAATGAAAGCAGTAGGATAGAAATCAGTGCTTTCTCATCCATGCCATTGGGTCCATGTAATTCCTCCCTCCTGAACCTGCCATTGCCAGGACAGACCACTCTCTGCCCTGAGGACTCCAATGGCAGGCACAGGTATGGCCCAGAAGACTCGAAGGAGAATTTTATTTCAGATTCCACCTCTTAATCCACTAAGATGCTGTCAATAGCATTGATTCAGTAGCTCGATAGAGAAAATTTGGCAAATCCTAATTCCTAATTTTTCCTAGGAGGAAATGAAGAAAAATACCTCAGTGAAAACACATTCCTGGTAATTAAATCTCATTACAAGCTAACCAGAAAGTGAAGAGGAGAAATATTATAAAAACGTATTTTCTGGCCAGGCATGGTGGCTCACATCTGTAGTCCCAGCACTTTGGGAGGCCCAGAAAGGCAGATCACTTGAGGTCAGGAGTTAGAGACCAGCCTGGTCAACACAGTGAAACCCCGTCTCTACTAAAAATACAACAAAAAAATTAGCCAGGCGTGGTGGTGGGCATCTGTAGCCCCAGCTGCTTGGAAGGCTAAGACAGGAGAATCACTTGAACCCAGGAGGTGGAGGTTGCAGTTAGCCGAGATTGTGCCACTGCACGCTAGCCTGGGCCACAGAGTGAGACTTCATGTCCCCCCGCCCCGACCCCCCGCAAAAAAAAAAAATGTATTTTCAACATTGAAAATTTCACAAAGGAGTAGATTTTAGATCAGGTCTGATGTATTTTGAGGTCCAATGCTGGTTGATGTTCTCGTATATTATTATCATTAATATTTTTAATACCAACAGTGGTTATAACAGCCAGATCCTGAGAATTTTTCAAATTTGAGATCTCACATAGAGAGTATAAGACTTAATAACTGCCATCAAGTAATATTTAGGTCACACAAAACATTGCAATTTCTGCTATGCTTATTGTTTTAAACAAGGAAAACAAAAAATAATATGAAGATTTGTATTATTTATAAAGGGAAATCTTAAAGATACACTAAAATGAGAAGTCCCCAGTCATCACAAGAATTAAACACTCTTTTAATCTTGTTGATTTATTTTAGTATATGATTAAGTTCCATATTTTAGACTTCAATTACAGACACAAAAATCATCTCCCTAAATAACCAGCTAGAATAAAACAGTTCCAACAGACCCTGGATTACAGAAATGCCGAAATACAATGGGAGCATATTACTAGAAAATGATTATTTGTTTAATGCTAGCTCACAATTCATCAGTAAGGGACCATTTTGTGGATCAAGATTTTAATTTTTGAATAAAATGCTTCTTCATAAAATGGTATAATACCTTTTAGACTCTTTTCTTTAAGCTCCAGGAAGTCAGGGCACATGATTTTTAAACAAAGCTTTTGCTCTCTGCCATTAATCCTTCCTGAGTAAGCAAATAAGTAATCCTTTTAATCGCCAGTGCTGATACTACCCTATTGGTGAATCATCAGATAGTCCCCTGCTGACTGCAGGAGAATAATTCCCACAGCCTGGGAGAAGTGCAGGATAAACATCTCCATATAGGATGTCATGGCTGAATTAAAAAGCACTGCACTAGGAGCAGAGATGGATTATGATTTTATTGCATTATAATCCATGGCATCATTAACTTGGATGGCATGTTCATATAGTCATATCCTTCTGTCAAGCTGCCATTGTGTGCAGATAACTGGCAACCATTTATACGGGATAGATGAGAGTGAAGAAAGAATGTATCTGAACGCAACTTTTAAGCATGAAATACTGTGCCTGACAGGAAGTGTTGGAGCTTTGTCATATTCTCTAAGTGGAGCCATTTAAATGAACCTTTTTCAACCTTTAAGCCTAGTACTGAACATATTTATTTTCTTTGACCTCCTACAAAGTATAACTTCTGGTCATTTATTCTTTTTAGTTTTTTTTTTTTTTCCTGATCTCAAGGAACACAGAAAGATTTTATGAAATAGAATGGTTAAACTGGAATGTATTGCACCATCAGCTCCTGGAATGACTTTTTTAAAGAACATACATACGCTTTGGTAATAAAATTAAAACTCACTTCCACTACATATTGTCTACCACTCCATATTGTCCCTTTACCCATCATGATAGATTCTTAAAAATGACAAAACATTCCTTTAATTCCTTTTTGATATCCTGGGAGGCTGAGGACCACCACCACCACAACCACCATCAATTTTATAGTTAATATTTACAGAGCACATATTAAATGGTGGCCCTATTTCCAAGCTGTGTGTGTGTGTGTGTGTGTGTGTGTGTGTGTGTGTGTGCGCACACAAATTATATACATTATATATACAAATTATAATACTATAGTAGATATACTAATATTTTAAATATATACATCCATTTAATCCTAACGTGAATTCTGTGAGGGTGCTTCTGTTATTACCCCTATTTACAGATGAAGAAACTGAGGCTCTGAGCAACTAGGTTCTTGCCCAAGGTCACAGCACTAGAAAGTGGCAGAACTGAACCGGAACTCTGTCAACATTTGGTGGAATAAGGAAAGCTCTGTGAGTTTGCTTCTCAGTAAGATGAACATCATTAAGCTAAATAAGTCACCAGGAGCTTTCAAATGGGTTTCAAATGATGTACCTAGATTTAAGTAAAACAGGAAAGTTTGCTCTTAAGGTCTCAGAGGCAACATTAAATGTAAGGCACATCACCAACCTGGAAAACATATAGTGAGACCCTGTCTCTACAATTTTTTTTTTAAATTAGCCAGGAATGGTGGCACGTCCCTGTAGTTCCAGCTACTCAGAAGGCTGAGGTAGGAGGATCACTTGAGTCTGAGAGGTGGAGACTGCAGTGAGCTGTGATCAAGCCATTGCACTCTAGCTTGGATGACAAAATGAGACCCTGTCTCAAAAAAAAAAAAAACAAATCCAAAACCAAACCAACCATCGAAACAAAAATTTGAGGCAGATGACAAAATTATTTTTCATTGCCTAAAATTAGGACAATTAAAAAACAAAAAAACTAAGAAAACATTGAGTATGTATATTGTATGTGTCTCTCCTTTGCTCTTTGCTGCCCAGCAACACTCAAATTGTATTTTTTTCTTTTCCTGAACTTAAATAATGTGAATTATTTCATTACATGTAACAAAGGCTAAACATATTTTATGAATAACAATGAAGTATCTAAAGAGTATTTGAATAAATCAAAGAATTAGCATGTCAGGCTCAGCAAGGTCTCAAGTCCCAAAACAGGTCATCAAGTTTTAAAAAGTTCAAAAAACAAATTGTTATATTTTTCCATAAGTAGCTTCCACTTTTTAAAAGACATTTATTATATGAAAAAGTTAAATTATTTTTAAATTTTGGTAGCAAATATGTCACTCTAGAAAAATATTAATTAAACCTATCTGAACGTAAGATTTCCCATTTCATTCATGTATAGAAATCAATAATTCCTCAAACATTACTGAGTCAAATGCTTTGGTTTTGAAACACTGATCCATATTTCACTCATGGAATATTTCTTTAAGGAGTTTTAAACTTTAAAATATAATTCAAGAATTAAGTTTATAGGCCCGGTGCAGTGGCTCACGCCTGTAATCCCAACACTTTGGGATGCCAAGATGGGCGGATCACCTGAGGTCAGGAATTCGAGACCAGCCTGGTCAACATGGTGAAATCCTGTCCCTACTAAAAATACAAAAATTAGCCAGGGGTGGTGGCGGGCATCTATAATCCAAGCTACTTGGGAGGCTGAGGCAGGAGAATTGCTTGAACTCAGGAGGCAGACATTGCAGCGAGCCAAGATCACACCACTGTGCTCCAGCCTGGGGGACAGGTGACAGAGCGAGACTCTGTCTTAAAAAAAAAAAAAAGAATTAAGTTATACATTGATGGAAATTCTGAGAGAATCTTTACATCAGGATACTGTGATCTAAGAAAAATAAAATTGAATGAGACAAAACATGCAGAGATGCCTGGCTGGATGTCCAGCTCAGTGGCTGGAATAGCAGGAGCTCAAAAGCTTATTTAATTTGACCTGAATCAGGCTTAAAGTATGTGTTTATATTTTCTATGACTCTTTTATTCTATGAAAATGAAACATTATAAGAAGAGATGTAACAACAACAACAACTAATATCTATCACAATTTATAATTTACTTACTATAGGACTATAGGCCTACTCTATGGAAGCAGGAAGTGCTGAGAGCCTTATATTCCTTTTGCTACTAACAGGGAAGTACTTCACAGTGCCAAAAATTGTCAGAAATGATTTCCTCAAAGCCACACAGCTGGCAAATGCCAGACCTTGAGCCCACATCCATCTTCCCTTCAGTATACATATAGTGCTATCTCTCCAGGAGGAACAAAGAGATAGTGTAATTGTCTTGTGCTGAAAATATTTGAAACCTTCAGCAATTATTTAGTGAGCGTCTATGCCTGTAATCCCAGCTACTTGGAAGGTTTAGGCAGGAGAATCGCTTGAACCCAGGAGGCAGACGTTGCAGTGAGCCGAGATTGTGCCATTGCACTCCAGCCTGGGTGACAGAGTGAGACTCTGTCTCAAAAAAAAAAAAAAAAGGATGACTTCAGGCATTGAGAAGAATGTAGAGCTGCTCAGGGCATTGTTTTGTCTTCAAGGAACTTTCAATAGAATCTCTAATGCTAAGAACATTTTTAAAGTTCTGTGGTCATACTAATACAATTATTTATTATTTATATGTGATCAATTTTTAACTCATAAAATGCATTTCATATTATACTAGCAGCATTTCACCCTCTCTTACTCAGGACAAAATTCTTAGCAAACTAGCAGCAGTTTCAAGGAAAAATAACTGCCTATGAGGAGGGCCTCAACAAAAATGGATTCTATAAAATTAAAAGTAGCCACAGCAAAATAATGTGTGTGTGTATATGTGTAGGTATATATACATATATAAATAAAATAGCAACACTAACTTATTAAGAAGTTTGCTCAATATCCTGTCTCTTAGCAGGAAAGTGTCTAACATGGCAAAAACACTTTCAACTCAAATAGACATGTTTTGGTCACATGATGAGGTAGGATTTATTTGGAAAAAAAAAAAAATCCATTTTCCCCGAAAAAAATCCAAGCGGGCTTCCTGTTTTTAGTTGCTTCATATATAGAGTCTTGATTTCATTGCTTCCTCAGGGGCAGACACTGTATCTTCCACTTATCCTGTACTCATCAATTTTTTTTAGAGAAATCAGTACTCTTTCAGGCAAAGGAGACAAACCAGAAAACATACCAAGTAAGTTCCTGCCCTCACATGATGGTGCAGGATATGAAACTTACATATATATGATGTCAAGTACTCTGAAGAATAGAGCAGATAAGGGAATGGAGAGGGAGGGAGCAGGGGCTGTTTAACTTGGAGAGGTTGTCCTTCTGCAGGTAACATTTGAACCAAGACCCAATCAAAGCTCTGTGTTAATTTTGCAAGTAGAACCAACTTAATTTGCTGGTGTATGTAGAAAGAAAGGAAAAGAGAAAAGGAAGGGATGAATCCAAGGTTTGGAGCCTGAGAACCAGGTAGAATGGAGATGCCATTGACAGATAAGTGCAGTCTGTGGGAGAACCAGGTTCATGGTGGGCAAGGGATGAGGGGCTTGGAATCTGCCTTCGGTTTTGGACATTTTAAGGTTGAGGTGCCTACTGAACATCCAAGTAGAAATGCCCACCAGGCAACAGCAGTGAGAAGCCTAGAGTCTGGCAGGAGGTAGGGGCTAGCAATATACATCAGTATGTCCATGGTATTTAAAGCCAGGGGGCTGGAGGAGATCACCAAAGGGATAGAAATAGATGGGAAAGGGAAGACAGGGAGACTGAGTCCTCAGGTGCTTCAGTGATGACAAGTTTGGAAGACAAGATAGAACTAACGACGAGAACCCCACACCCTCTGGGTTGGCTACTATAAAAAAATAACAATTGTTAGGATGTACAGAAGTTGGAACTCTAGTGCATTGCTGGTAAGAATGTAAAACTGTGAAAAAGTAACTGCGGAAAACAGTTTTGCAGTTCCTTTAAAAAAGTTAAAAATATCATTACCATATGACTGAGTAATTCTACTCCATTTATACATCCACGTCCATATCAGCATTATTAACAATAGCCAAAAGGTGGAAACAACCAAATGTCCATCAAGAGATAAATGGGTAAATATGATGGGCTATATACATACAATGGAATATTTTCAGCCATAAAAAGAAATGAAGTTCTGGTGCATGCTACAACATGGTGAATCTTGAATACATTATACTAAGTGAAATAACCCAGAATGAAACACACAAATATTGTATGATTCCACGTATATGAGGTATCTAGCAAATTTCATAAAGATAGAAGGAGAGGTTACCAAGGGCTGGAAGAAGGAGGAATGGGAAATTATTACTTAAAGGTTACAGTTTCTATTTTAGGTGATAAAAAGTTTTGAAAGTAGACAGTGGGGACTGTTACACAACATTGTGAATGTACTTAATGCCACTGAATTGCACACTTAGAAGGTTAAAATGGTAAACTTCGTGTTGTGTGCATTTTACAACTTTTTTAAAAAAGAGAGCTAAAAGAAGAGACTGAGGAGTGGCAAATGAGGTAGGAAGAAAACCAGGAGAGAGTGGAGGCCAAGCAAATAGTTTCGTGGAAGGAAATAATCAGATGGGTTAAGAACTTCTGAAAGGTCAAGCGAAATGACTGAGAAATGACAGTGGAGTGGGTGGACGGATCAGGAACCCTTATATTATTAACATAATTAAAATAATCCTTGCCCTTGAAAGACTCATTCAGTTTCCATTAACCAATGTCATCGGCACAAATCTTGGTATTATTGGGGCATGATGCGAGTTATAACTAATTGCTGCAGAGTAGCAGAAAGTGCAAGAGAAAAAATGAGAGAGAGAGAAAAAAAAAGTCAAATACTTAGCACAGACACCATTTTTTACTGGGCCTAACATTCATGCTTTTATTCTCTGACCTCACCAGTATGAAATTAATCTATTTTAAAAGAAAATAGGGGACAGGGTGCTGATGGAAACTAATCAATCAAGTTGGGGAGGTGATTAATAGAAGGCAGTCTTGAATGTGCTGCAGGCATATCTACAATGCAGGTTGAGAAGTGGTCATTTTATAGTTCATTACATATCTGTGTGATGTTATTTATTGTTTACTTAAGCAATAGCAATTGAGGCACAGGCCAATTCCTGGGAATTAATGACCCGCTGGGAGAGACCATTACCTTTGGACGTTAACCCCAGTCAGTTCACAGCTTTTCCAGGAAAATCCCTCTGAAAAACTGTTTGTTCTCCATCCCTTGTCACCGCATTTAAAAACAATACTTTAAGTATTCTTGTGATGAAAGGTCATCGAACTATACTAACAGTTCTACACTTTGGAAAGCAACAGTTTCTTTAAGATGGTAGGGGAGAAAAATCTACAAAGACCACCTCTTGATGGCCTTTCTCAGTTCATCCTGCTGTGGACAGCAACCCACAGAATAAAAAAGGAAAACAGAAATGTGAAGAGAGAAACACATTTCCATGTTTCAATGGGCCTATTTTTGAAACCATCATTTTAATTTAAGTATTCTCAGGGCTTGCAGACTCCCAAACATCTCCAAACCAGAGTGCGAAGGAGCTCATAATTCTGCTATTTTTTCTTGGTGAGAGTACAAAGGAAAAAATATAGAAGTTGTTAACAAGAAGAATGCAGTTAAAATACTGGCCCAACTATGAGGTGTAACCTGTAAGCAGCTAGAAAATGGGCTCAGAGTTTGAAATAATTTTTAGGGTTATGTTTGTAAAACTTAAATTCTAGCTTCCTGTCACATTTTCCAAAGCAACTAAATAACCAATATTTCCTGAGCAAGGCATAATCCTGATCATTACCAAGACAATGATTCAGAGCATGTTAAAGCTGGAGAGAAGCTCTGTGGTCCCCAAGGTTAGGAAAAGTAATATCACTTCCCTCAGGACAGATAACTCATATCTTCTCAATGTCTAGTCTATAGTTAACTTTGACTTCAGCTTTGCTGCTACTACTCGGTTTCCAGCACCTATTCTGGACATTTAAAAAATTAAACAACATTTATATTCTGTTTATACACAGTACTGATATAAATGTCTTCTAAATATTAACTAATCAAGTCCTCCTAATAACACTATAAAATATCATTATCGCCATCCCTTTCTCTGTAAGAAGGCAACCAAGGCTGAGAGAGGTTAGGTAACTTGACTTGGATCACACAGCTGGGAAAGTGGAGAAGGGATTTACATTCAGTCTGGCTCCAGAGAAGGTAAACTGGTCAGTACACTCAGCTGCCTCTCTTCCCCAAAGTCCTAGACACTCAAACCAATGATCCTTCTACCACAGTCCTCTGTCTCTTTCTTCTTCCATTTCCCAACTGACTCCTGATCCTCCTTGGGTATCTGATCACCCATACATAAAAGGAGTAAAAGAGAACAGAAGCATTTCCAGACCATTTGAATATGTTGAAACAACTTCCACTGAATTAATATACATTTATTTGATATGCATATTGGGCAGAGGTAAGACAAGGAGAGAAAGTGATCAGAGAAAAGAATAGTGATGTGTGAGTACTAACTCCAGTGATGACATTAATAGTTAACATTACTTTATTAAAAGCTTATCTTAATAAGCTTAGCCTGGTGCTATATAAACACTCTATACTCATGTAGATTATTGCAGGTAATCTTCATGACAACCTTTTGGGTAGATGCTATTTGTATTCTCATTTAACAGATGAGAAAATTGAGGCTTACAGGGGTTAATTAACTTGCCCAGTTCCTGCAGCTAGAAAATGGCAGAGTCAGGATTTGAACCCACATCATCTGACTCCAGTCTGTGATCTACACACCAGGCCTCGCAGGGACCCAGTCAAGGTTCAAGCCTGCCCAGTGAACCTGGGGGACTGAGAAGCACTGACTGACACATAAGCCCGATAAAATCAAATCTCCTTCCCAAGACCCCATCCCCTCCAATTTTACTCCTGAAATATGCCAGGACTATTTAGGCCAGGAGGTCGCCCCCTCCTGGCTTTGTTTAGGGACTTCATTTTGGGCCTTCTTCCATAATCTCAAGGCTTTAAGTAAATGAAAGGAATTGTGTATGTTGGTTGTTTCTATGCCTTTGCATGTTATTTTTAATCATGTGTGTGTGTGAAGAGGAGGTGGGTGTGAAGGGAAGGAGTAGTTTGGTTAAAATTCAACCGTAAAATTGCAAGAAACATCATTAAAATTTATAGTCAGCCCTCCACAACCATGGGTTCCACATCCACAGATTCAACCAACTGTGGTTTGAAAATATTATTTTAAAATCTATAAAAAATAACAATATAACAATAAAAATAATACAAGTAAAAAAAATCCCTCCACTCTTCTACAACCACAGATTCAACCAACTGTAGATTGAAAATATTGTTTTAAAATCCATAAAAAATAACAATATAACAATAAAAATAATACAAGGAGAAAAGACCAATACAGTATAAAACTACTTACATAGCATTTACATTGTACTGGGTATTATAAGTAATCTAGAGATGATTTAAAATATATGGGAGGATATGCGTAGGTTATATGAAAATACCATGCCATTTTATATAAGGAACCTGAGAATTTGTAAATTTTGGTACCCAAGGGGACGCTTGGAACCAATCCCCTATGGATATCAAGGGACAATTGTACTTTAATTAAGCCTTTATTGCATAATTACACTTCATCCATATTATCTCATTCAGTACCCCTGCAATGAACCAAATGTTTATGTCCCTCCTCAAATTCATACGTTGAAATCCTAACCCTACCAGGCCACAGTACAAGGAGGTGGGACATTTGGGAGGTGAATAAATTGTAGGAGTAGAGCCCTCATGAATGGGTTAGTGGACTTATAATAGAGACATGAGGCCAGGCGCAGTGGCTCACACTTATAATCTCAGCACTTTGGGAGGCCAAGATGGGAGGACCCCTTGAGCCCAGGAGTTTGAGGTCAGTCTGGGCCACATGGTAAAACCCCATCTCTACAAAAATACAAACATTAGCTGGGTGTGTTGGTGCATGTCTGTAGTCCCAGCTACTTGGGAGGCTGAGATGGGAGGATAACCTGAGCCTGGGAGGTCGAGGCTGCAATGAGCTGTGATCATGCCACTGCACTACAGCCTGAGCAACAGAGTGAAACCCAGTCTCTTAAAAACAAAAAGACCCCAGAGGGCTTCCTTGCCCCTTTCACCACCTGAGAACACATTGGGAAGACAGCATCTATGAACCACGAAACCAGATCATTCATATGTTGACATCTATTCCCCCATATGATGCTATTGGGCGGTGGGGCATTTGAGAGGTGATTAGGTCAAGAAGATGGAGATTTCCTAAATGGGATTAGTGCTGACATAAAAAGAGGCACTAAAGAGCTTGCTTTCTGTCTCTCTGCTCTGCACCAGGTGAGGACACAAAACGAAGACAGCTATCTGCATATCAGGAAGCAGGCCCTAACCAGATACCGGATCTGCCAGCACCTTGAGCTTGGATTTTCCAACCCCCAGAACTGTGAGAAATAAATATCTGTTGTTTATAACCCATCTGTCACATTTTGTGACAGCAGCCCAGATGGACTATGACACTTCCCCACACTACTTGGCCATCCTCTTTTCTCCTCTGTACAGATGAGTGAACTGTGATTTCAGAGATACCTAGTGCCTTGCTCAAGCTGCAGCATCTGTATCTGATGGGGCTGGTTCTCAAACCTAGTTCTTCTGCCTGGACATCCAGATACAGGGTACAACATGAACTGGCCTGTTGAGAACTGAGAGATGAATCATTGTAAAAACAAGTTACTAACATTTAAATAATGTGTACCCCAAGATTTCCACATGCAAAATCAGGCAGAGCCAGCAACACAGAAGCTGAAGGGTATTGAAAATTCATAGGAGGGGAGAGCCCCCAGGGTAATGTTAGAAATGGCCAGTGGTTGAGAGTACTGGGTTTGTGAATATCCCTGTCCATTTCATCTAAGACAATGGCCATGTGACTCTATGGACTTCCCTATGAGAGACACGCTATATGTGAGTGTCGTTCCACCCTCAGTGGATCAAAACAGCATAGCGGGCACTCAGTGCTTACTTACTGCCTATGTCATCAGTTTGCAAGTCAACTTCTCACTTCGACACTGTTATGGGCCATTCTCTTGTTTCTCTCCCAAACTCATATGTTGAAGCCCTAATCCCCAGGTACCTCAGAAGGTGACTGTATTTGGAGATATGTCCTTTAATGAGGTGATTAAGTTAAAATGACATTCTGATAGTGGGCCTTAATCCAATCTGACTAGTGTCCATGTAAGAAGAGAAAATTTGGACACTCAGAGACACAGGTGCACAGAAGAAAGACCCCGTGAGGACCCAGAGAGAAGGTGGCTCTCTGTAAGCCAAGCACTGAGGCCTGGAACAGATCTTTCCCTTATGGTCCTCAGAAGAAACCAACCCTGTAACACCTTGATCTTGGACTTCTAGCCTCTAGAACAGTGAGGAAATAGATCTCTCTGACTTAAGCTACCCAGTCTGTGGTATTTTGTTATGACAGCCTGAACAAACTGATACAGACAGAAAATTTAATAGCCTGAAAATTTGATTTTAATGTTTTGCCAGAGCTCAGGCATTTAAATGTGAAATATTTTAAAATGCTTCAACATGTCCCCATCTAGGATGGAGTTTCTTCCCTGCCCTTTCTTGAAGTTCTGAGCATCCCATTTGTCCAGCTGACTTCTAAAAGTTCTACAAGTGCTCTCTGTTTCATTTGATGTAGACTACTTTTCCCCTCAGGCAGGTTTTTAAATTAAACACTTTCCTAAGTTATCTGGCATATTCCCAAATAATGTATTTGACATTTCGATGCAAATTGCAAGCGAATATTTAGTAGCAATCCCACATCCTGAAACTCAATTACTGCCTTGTGAAGGAGAAGAAAAGGAGAACTATGACAACTGAGGCTCATCATGAAATAAGATGGATTTTTGAGTCTCTATGACAACAGAATATGTGGACTCTCTTTTTCAGAAAAAACTTTCAAGTGTCTAAATCCAATTTATTTTCTTTCAGTAAATGTTTATTGAGCACTTAGTAGGTGCTAGGGGCAAGCATATAATATTTTAATGTAGCTGTCACGGCAATGGAGGGTTTGGGATTAGGCAAATTTGATTTTATCTTGGAGTCATTTAAGTTAGAAATAAAATGTTGTATTTAAAAACTCCAACAATGTTTGCAGTAGACACTCCATCCCTTATCTTTCCTTTTTGATGAACACAGGATGAAGAGAAAGACACCAGTGACCCAGGGAGAGAGTGGAGTTGAGGGGTGTGGGACCAATTTCTAGAATGTTTGGTGATGAGGACCTTCACATTTTGACTGAAGCCTGTCAAAACAGCCACCATGTTATACTGGAGATAAGACAATGCATAATACTGACTTCCCATTATGGCCCTTAGAATTGAAAGATACTGTCATCCTGTGAATCCACTCATTTGAGAGGCATGAATTCAATTTTAATTAAAATAGGAGAAAAGAAGAGACAGAGGAAGAATGTGACATGCTTTATGAGTTATGATTACCAGGGCCTTCATTCCTTTTTATAACCAGGGTGGAGTGCTACCGCTTCCGGAAAGGGGATGCGTGTGAGGGAAAGGATAGAGAGCAGGAACCACAACTGCAACCATTTCACGCTTTAGCAGTCAGTAGGGATGTGCCATCACAGGCATACCCACTGCTTATCCCAAAGTCAGAAAAAGGTACAAGAGCAATTAGGTAACACAGAGCATCTTTGAGTGCTACTGCTGACATGTTCAGAGACATGTGTTTCTTATGGAGTTGCCACAAATAATAGGTTGAAGCTTGGAACCTACCATTTTTCATCTTGTTGTAGGTGAGCAAGCATTATTCAGAAGCCCTGATTTATCCTCAAGGCATTTACCTGATAAAAGGTCATGAAAAAAAGTTAGCAAGATGTCCTCCCAAAAAAGAGCTGCTACTTATAAATAGTTGTAGAATTTTAGAAAGGACATTCTTCCCTTTCTACAAGTATATGATGACTTTCAAATGCCTGAGGATTTATAGTCCAGGTTTTTATCATCTCTGTAGAATGAACTTAGTTTCACTAGCAATCACTAATGAATTATTGGCATTGTTTCTTTCACTTGAATTGCACAGTAGCTAGTTCCTAAAGTTTAAATAACTTCTCCCAGCCCATTAGGTTAGTTGTCTAAGGTCTGGAATTTATTTTTTAAAAGATGTTCATTTATGAAGAAATATTGCAAAATATTCAAATGCCTATAATTATAAAAAAATAAAAAGCAAATCATCTTAGAATCAATATTGAAAGTCTTTTAACTTCTCTTACAATCTACATCATTCGAATCTACTCCATTGGTGAAAAAATAAAATGAAAAGCAAAATCCCTCAAAGTACTCAGTTAGTTGTATTTCAAAACAATTGTAATGGCAGCCCCATTTCATATCAGATTTAGGATCGACATTGCCAAAAAGAATGGTCCATAAAATCATTTCAGTTTTATGCTTAACTCAGTCAGTCAATGAATGGCAAAAGACTCTGATTTCCCGAGTCAGCAGTCTCGTTACTTAAATCATGCTGATAGTCATAAGTTCATGTGGATTTAGGCAGAAATCGTCCGTTTTAATAAATAGCTCTATGATCCAGATGCTTAATCTCTTTCCCTACGTGGAAAGGTGATCCTTTTTTACTGCACAGACCTCAATCTAAATCGACACTAGATTTTTTTTAAAAAAAATTAAAGTACAGTCAATACTAATGGAAGGCAGCAGGGACCAAGATAACCTCAAAAGGCAGCTAATCCAAAATGTGTTTAGCTTTGGCTAAATGGAGATTTAAAATGGATAAGCTGGGAGCTGATCTGATCATAATCCCCAGCTATATACCCAAGCATTTCTTTTTTCAATCTTAAAATCATCTGTTGGTTCCAACTAAGAAACTAAAGTAAAGCCAGTAAGCAGTTAGCCTATTCCCAAAGAGTGCATCAGTTCTACAGCTTACGGGAAGGATGCTAATCAACAACAGCAGGTGTCAGTTACTCTAACAGCTTCTGTTCCTCAAGCGCCACTGGATTCATGCACACTCTGCGCCATTTCAAACTCACAGTACAATTTGTTCTTCTATGACACTTTAAGTAGACCATAGACCAAAGGGAAAGTGTAATTTCCATTTCTTGAGACAGACCAAGAAAACAGACATGTCTGGCCAAGTATGACAAACCCATTCTAACTCCCTAATCTCCTTAGGCAGAAAATACAGGGTTAAGCATTGCAAATAGAGATTTTGCAATGGTAAGTGAAAGCCTATTAATATACCAAACTGTGTAAACATCATTATTTAGACCTTGGGAACACATTACTGACATAAACCTGAAAAGGTTATGAAGACGCTGCCATTTAGCAAAATAAAACAAACATGTACAAATGATTATAATCTATTAATCTTGCTTTCTCTTCCAAAAGTAAGGCAGCAGAGGAAAGTGACATTATACCCAATTCCATTATCACTGAGTAAGGAAGTTGTTTGATGTGTGTGTTTGGGAGGAAATGGGAGTGGAAGAAGCCAAGCACAGAGAAAATAAATAATTGAACAAAATGCCTTATAAAAGCTTAAGGTGTATACACAAAAAGAAAGGAAAATGAAAATGAAAAGATGAAGTGTAGGAAATTAATGGTATTGAAATGAAATAATGGAGCTTCACTCTCTAGAAGCAGCTGGGGAGCACTTGATTCGTTGCAATCTGCTTTTTCAGACAAATACATAAAAATGGCTAATACGTACTAGGCACCTACAAAGGGCCAGGCACAGTCTCTTTGCTTTGTGTCTGAATTCACTTCCTCTTCCCAAGGAGTCAGTGAGGCAGGTTAACATTATGACACTCACCTTACAATGCCAGAGGCAGCAGGCGTGGTGGCTCACGCCTGGAATCCTAGCACTTTGGGAGGCTGAGACAGGTGGATAACCTGAGGTCAGGAGTTCGAGACCAACCTGGGCAAAATGGTGAAACCCCATCTCTACTAAAAATATAAAAATTAGCTGGGCATGGTGGCACGCACCTGTAGTCCCAGCTACTTGGGAGGCTGAGGCAGGAGAATCGCTTGAACCTGGGAGGCGGAGGTTGCAGTGAGCTGAGATGGTGCCACTGCACTCCAGCCTGGTGACAGAGCAAGACTCCGTCTCAAAAAAATAAATATATAAATTTTAAATGTTCTCACCACAAAAAATAAGTATGTGAGGTGATGGATAAGTTCCTTAGTTTGATTGAATTATTCCACAATTTAAATATGTATCAAAACATCACACTGTACCCCATCTAGATATACATGATTTATTGATTAAAAATAAAATAAAATAGGTATAAGTATTAAAAATCATTTAGCACAGTGTTTGGCACATAGTAAGAGTTCAATTTATTACCATTATTGTTATTATTGTCACTATTCTTTGTTTTGTTTTTTTCTGTTTTTTTGTTGTTGTTGTTGTTTTGTTTTGTTTGAGACGGAGTCTCACTCTGTCACCCAGGCTGGAGTGCAGTGGTGCGATCTCTACTCACTGCAACCTCCGCCTCCCGGGTTCAAGTGATTCTCTTACCTCAGCCTCCCAAGTAGCTGGGATTACAGGCACATGCTACCACGCCCGGCTAATTTTTGTATTTTTAGTAGAGACGAGGTTTCACTATGTTGGCCAGGCTGGTTTCGAACTCCTGACCTCAGGTGGTTTGCCCACCTCAGCCTCCCAAAGTGCTGGAATTACAGGTGTAAGCCACCACACCCAGCCTAAACCACTGTGCCTAGCCTCTTCTTTGAACATTTGTCAGTGTTGAAGATTGGTACACCTAGCTGTATATACCATCACCAAAAATGGCATTATATTTAACACTTTGCTTCCATAACTGGATGCAGTTGAATTGTTAATTTTAAAGTAACTGTTAATTCTATCAATGTCATGGGTGCACATAGCTAAAATCAAGTAATGGTGAATGGCTCATAACAAAAAGAACCTGTTCTTGTCCACTATGCCCACCTTCCTCTGCCAGTTCTAAATGTGTTTGCTGTTTCCTGTGCCACTTACCTCCATGTTTCTAAATAATATGCTTTTATTTCTATTTTTGATTTATCAGTTTAGTTAAAATAGCCTTCAATTGTAAAGGGCCACCTTGTCTAAGACCATGATCCCTCCTGTCTTAGTTATGACCCCTCATGCATTAGCACACACCATGACAAATACAATAAACTGGGTAGTTTAGACAACAGGTATTTGTTTCTCACTGTCCAAGATCAAGGTGATGGCAGACTGGCAAATTCAGTCCCTGGTGAGGGCTTTCTCCCTGGCTTGCAGATGGTCACCTTCTTGCTGTGTCCTCACATGATGGAGAGAGAGAGCTCTCATGCCCATTTCTTTATAAGGGCTTCAATCCCATCATAAGATCCCCACCCCGACAAACTCATCTAACCCTAATTATCTCCCAAAGTCCCCACCTCCAAATACCATATTGGGGATTAAGGGCTTCAACATAAGAGTTTCGGGGAGACACAAACATCCAGTCCATAACATCTCCTTTGGTCAGCTCCAATGACTGATAGATTCTGGGGGTAAAAAGGCCCAAACTCTTTGATTTAAGGCAGTACCACTCTGGGGGGCCATCCAGCTCTAGAGGGAGATTTTTGTTGTAACTGCATCAACATCACAATTCAGCTCCTCTCCCTGCCCTATCCTGCTTCCTTCTTCCTCCACAGGTGTTGACCTTCAAGACAGATACTTCTCAGTAAACTTTCTGCACAGAGTGTTTCTTACAGGGAACCCAACCTAAGATACTGTTGTAGACTTTCTGTCATGGTAGTGAATCTAGCATACATGCACACTTGCCTTCTAATCCTCTCAGTATAGTTACATAACAACTTTTGGTTAAACAGTCACCATTTATATCACTATAACAATGAAATACTGTTTACTGATGAGCTAAATAGCATCCTATTATTACCTTTCCTTTCTCATGTATATTTTGTTTTGTCTTGCAATTAATAAAGCTACTGTGTGTTCATCTGCTTAGTTTCTACAAACTTTACTTTCTCCCAATATGTCAATGGACCTGTCAAATGACTCAATTAACTTTTGCAAATCTCGTATATAATAACTATTCTAGCAACTCTATTTGGCTATTTCATAATTCTCTCCTGCAGCTCTTTACCTTCCCGCTCTAATAGATACTTATTGCTCTACACAAGTGTCATTCTGTCAACTCTCTTTATCATTTTTCTGTCAGGACCTTGATTTCACAAATCCCATATATGTATCTTTCTTGGTTTATTCCTTTGTTTTGCTGGGGTCTATTCTTTAATAACTTTCTCTAAGACGTGGGAGGTTTATTTTGGAAGTACATCCACATTTGTTTTTCTTTACTTACATGTTATTGATACTATGCCTGGGCATAAAACTGTTGGCTGAAAACACTTTTTCTCCAAATTTTTAAATTTTCTTTTATCCAATGTTAGCAAAAAGTCAAAAGTCATTCTGATACTCTTTTCTTTGGGTATGAATGGCTCATTTTCTCTTGAAGCTTAAGAAAATTATGTTTTATCCCTGGTGTTTTGAAATGTTGTGATGTGTTGGGTTAGTCTATTTTTTATTCATTGGGCTAGGTGCTTGGTGGGCCCATTTAATTTGGGTTGTTGTGTTCTTTTCTGATCTAGAGAGAATTTTTCTTCATTATGTCTGATAATTTTCTCATTGTTTCCTCTCACTTCCCAGGAATTCCTTAAACTGGAGACAATGAACTTCTTATATTGATCTTATAATTCTGTTTTCTGTTTATGTTCTCTTTTTTCCTACTTATTAGAAGGTTTCATCCATTATTTATGTCCCAATTCTTTTTTTGTGTTTTTTTTTTTCTTCCATTGCTTACCGTATTTTTAATTTTCAAGCACTGCCTTGGTCTCTGTTTCTTTTTTAGAGATTCCTGTTTTCATGGGCATATTCCTCAAATATTTGTATATATTAGATATTTTTTTCTTACGTTTTCTTCTGCTCCCTGAAAAATCCTGTTTCCTCTAGGTGTCAATCTGAGGCTTTCTTAAAATGCTGCGTGATTCTTGATTTTTTATTCTTAACATTTACAACTGAGGTTTTTCACTATTTATCCCTGGATCTCACTTCAGCCTTCAACTGGTGTCTCTACATTTCTCTAGAGATAAGAGTTCCAGTATCCTCCAGGGAGGATGAGTTGGGGAGAAGATCTGATGTACATCTGTTGTACGGCCTTTCTGGCAAAGCCTCTCTCTTCAGCCCGTGCCTCACCACAGCCTTTAGCAGTTCCGACGTCCCTAGGTAAAGTTCCAAGGAACATGCTGACTAATTTCTTGGTGATAATGTCCTCTGCAGGCTAGGTGGAAATTTCTTCTGCTCTGATAAATTAATTACCATCTGCTTCCTTGCTTCAGTAATGTTTGTTAAAAGATTTTTCCACTGTTGCCTTTTCTCTGGCTCTCTTTGTCCTTGTGGATTAACATATTTTGGCTTTTCTTAATGCATGTTAGGTGGGTTTGAAGAGGGAGAAAATACAAGTATGAGCACACTGTCATTTTTAAATAGAAGCCCTATAAGATGTTTTATTCCCAAATATGCATTTATCATTTCACAGGTATTTATGATGAAGAATTCTTTCTAACACAAGAATTTAGCCTCCCTGTAAGATGAGAGTCTTTATTCATCGAACTTTGAGAAAATGGTTCATTCCTCATACAGAGCTAACAAAGGAGAGTTCATACTTTGAAAACACAAAAAAAAGACAAGAAAATAAAACAAGATTTCCAAGGTAGGGAGTCATAGCTTTTTTGTAAAACTCAGTACAATTTTTTAAAATGTGTTCTTAAATACACCTTTCTTTACAGAGCCATTTAGTAGCGTAAAATATGCAGGCAAAATATACGTTGTACATTTTGCACAGAGCAGACAAGCTTGGGCAAAGAATCTTGACATGTATTGTTCTATTAAGCAAATCTCTCCAGAGATCTATAGATTATAAACTGTAAATGTTATTATTCTGTGAAAACTTAGTGCCAGCAGTGAGATGGTATCAAACCACCGTGCATACAAAGAGAAGGCAAAAGTGCAATCTTGACATCAAAGGCCATCAGCTAATAATTTAATGGACATGGTTACATGATTAAATTGTATCCATGTACATGATATGCAAACAGAAAAAAAGAAATGAGGCCATGTGACGAAATAGAGCCTTTCTTTTAAAATTTTGCTCAAAAATATTGCTCTGTTTTTATATATAAGAAAAATGGGTGTAAGAGAAACTCAGATGGGAGGACTGAAGAATATGGGATGTATTTGGGACATTTAGGTCATCTCTTTGGCAGAGTTACTACACTTCCAGACGTAATGACTTCTGTAAATTATTGAAACTTCCAGACTTGTAGTAATGATTTGGTAATAAGTCCAAATGTATCAGGGCATGAGAGAACATCAAAACATTACACTGAGGGTTAAATGTTATCGTCTGGTCCAGAAATTATGTCAGTAAATAACATCTGTTGGAAATAATTATCCTGCATTTCAGGTGCAAAATGATGAGATATTCTGGGAAAGATTAAATACAAACTTTATATTTATTTGTTGTAAGAATTCAATAATAAAAGTAAAAGTAGAATGCTACTAGATGTGGTATGATTAAGAGCAGACCCATCCCTGGCTTCTGGCTTGTCAGGTTTATGTGTTCATTTTATTGCACTGGTATGAAGCCTGATCTGAGAGCTCAGATAATATGTACACTATGGAACTCTGGATATTTACAATCAGAAATCTGTGGCTTCACCCATAAATACTAGTTAACATACCTGAGTTATTTATGAAATACGCTCCTACTTTGCATTGTATACCAGAATTACTTTTCTTCCCCCACATTTTAGCAATTTGCCCATTGGGACTTAAGGGCTTTTCTTTTTTTGGATAAGAGCACTTAAAGAAATATCTCTCAAAAATAAAATACTCTGTCTCTGCGTGCACGTGTGCACCCAAGTCAGGACTAGAGGAAGCCAAGTGACTCAGTCATTTCAGGTGCAAATCTCAGTAATCGAGATAAACAATATTTTAATATAATACTTTAAAAATCAATATTGTGGCTCATGCCTGTAATCCCAGCACTTTGGGAGGCCGAGGCAGGCGGACCACGAGGTCAGGAGATCGAGACCATCCTGGCTAACACGGTGAAACCCCGTCTCTACTAAAAATACAAAAAATTAGCCGGGCGTGGTGGTGGGCGCCTGTAGTCCCAGCTACTCAGGAGGCTGAGGCAAGAGAATGGCTTGAAGCCAGGGGAGGCAGAGCTTGCAGTGAGCCAAAATCGCGCCACTGCACTCCAGCCTGGGCGACAGAGCAAGGCTCTGTCTCAATATTAATGCAAAAAACACTATGTGGCATAACAACTAAAGGTAATGTAGTCCGGAACAGGAAAGAACATTATGTAAAAACTAAGGAAATATGAATAGAGCATAGACTCTGGTTAATAAAAAAAAAAATCCATGATGGGCCAGGCGCGGTGGCTCACACCTGTAATCCCAGCACTTTGAGAGGCCGAGGCGGGCAGATCACGAGGTCAGGAGTTCAAGACCAGCCCGGCCAACATGGTGAAACCCTGTCTCTACTAAAAACACACAAAAAAATTAGCCAGGCATGGTGGCGCATGCCTGTAGTCCCAGCTACTCAGGAGGCTGAGGCAGAAGAATCGCTTGAACCCGAGAGGCGGAGGTTGCAGTGGGCCGAGATTGTGTCACTGTACTCCAGCCTGGGTGACAGAGTCAGACTCTGTCTCAAAAACAAACAAACCAAACAAAAAACCACAATGAAAAAAATCTCAAAATTTTAAATAAAGACAGACTGTATCTGTCTTTATTTTCACTTTTGCATCAGACTCCAATATAGCTTGGAATGGGGCATTGGTATGTGTTGTGTATTTATTTCTCAAGCTTTTTTTAAAATTTTGTTGTAGGTCCAAAAATAAACAAAAAGGTAGCTATGATTCCCAATTTCTGTATTGTACAAAAGTTATTAAATCCTACCAATGAATACTATTATTTGTCTAAATAGTTTATAAAAAAACTGCTCAGCTACAAACTCCCTGAACACAGCAAATAGCTTATATTTTACTGTACCCATCACATCACCTAAAACTTCACTATTTTACATGAACTATTAAATAAATATTTTGACTGATATGGGAGTAGAGTGAAAGTACTAAACCGGAAATAAGGAGACCTAAGCTCTACTTCGGGTTCTGCTACTATTTCAGGCAAGGCATTTAATATCACTGAGGCTCAGGGATATCATGTATTAAATTTGTTGAGTCACACAATGATCTCTAAAGTTCCACTACTTTTACGAGTTTATAGATTTGTAAGTTTTTTAAATTTACTTTTTACTAGCAGCAATTAATTAAGGAAATCATATTAAAGAAGACATGACAACATAAAAGAGTACAGTAATTGGTTTTGGGCCAGGCACGGTGGCTCATGCCTGTAATCCCAGCACTTTGGGAGGCTGAGGCAGGTGGATCACCTGAGGTCAGGGGTTCGAGACCAGCCTGGCCAACATGGTGACACCCCGTCTCTACTAAAAATACAAAAATTAGCTGGATGTGGTGGCACACACCTTTAATCCCAGCTGCTCAGGAGGCTGAGGCATGAGAATCACTTGAAGACAGAGGTTGCAGGGAGCTGAGGTTGCGCCACTGTACTCCAGCTTGGGTGACAGAGTGAGACCGTGTCTCCAAAAAATAAATAAAATAATTGCTTTTGCCACTGTTATTCATTTGACATAATCAAAAATGGGACTAAAAGTACATTATCATAGAACCCATGAGTTCTTAGTGGGATAAAAGCTGAATATTGTATTGTAGCTACAGTTAAGATGGACAAATATACTTCTGGCATCCAAAATTCATACTGTAAAAGGAATTTCCTATTAAAAATGTAAAAAAAGGCCAGGCGTGGTGGCTCACATATGTAATTCCAGGACTTTGGAAGGCTGAGGCTGGTGGATCAACTGAGGTCAGGAGTTCAAGACCAGCCTGACCAATATGGTGAAACCCCATCTCTACAAAAAATACAAAAATTAACTAGGCATGGTGGTGAGTGCCTGTAATCCCAGCTACACGGGAGGCTGAGACAGGAGAATCACTTGAACCTGGAGGCAGAGATTGCAGTGAGCCGAGAACTTGCCACTGCACTCCAGCCTGGGCTACAGAGTGAGACTCCGTCTCAAAAAAATAAAAAATAAAAAAAGTTGTTTTATTACCAGGCATTCTACAAAAGCTTACTTTTTAACCCATTATTGATCTGATATAAATAATCTTTTAGAATCCAGCACATTTGTAAAAATTATTCTATGGAGAGAAATAAAGTTCTAAAGTTAGCATATAAGTTTTGAAATATAACCTTTATTATATAATAATTACATTATAATTAACTTCAGGTGATTTTTTTAGAGAGACTTCTATACAGTACTGAAAAAGTTACAAAAATTATATTTCTTTGTCCTATCAAAGCCCATATCTTGTTTTATATACCTTAGTCTCTTTTATTTAAATTTCTCTAGTAATGCCATATTTGGGCCATAAAATCCTAATTTCTGGATTTCACAACGAAACAGAATAATGACAATTACCATTCATTTCCAATAAGCAAGTTCACGACATTGAAAAAATTTAACAAAACGTTCAATAGTAGCTTGTAGGCCTTGTAGGGTATATATTATCATTCAGATTTGTGGAAATTAAGAATATTAAGGTTGAAATTAAGTTAAAAGTTTGAGTCAAAAATTATTTTTTAATGAAGTTTACTTCCCCACAAAGATACAAAGTAAAAGCTCTAAAGGATTTTAATTAGAGAATTGTTAGGAAGTTATTTATAAATAGAATAAAATGCTAAAGAAGTTTTAAATGTATTTTACATGTATGAAAACTGCTAAAAGAATTTTAAAGGGGTTTTAAATGTATTTTACATTATTTCCTGCAGGTAGGATGAATGTTATTGTTGTGCTTTATTTGAATTCGAAGTAATTTATTTGTCAAATTGTCTCTTCCTCATTCCTGAAAACAGAAAGGTAAATGTATCTATACCTATTTTTAAAAATTTTGTTTCTACAAATTCTAATTGAAAAGAGGTCAATGAAGACTAGAAATCATGAAGGAGGTAGATTAACACAGAAATTTAAGCAAATTGAATCTAGAAGTTTAGGCAAAGCCAAACCTCCTCAGATCACTTCTAGATACTGACACGGTTGCCTACACTGTCTTATTTACCTACATTCATGTGATCTTGTAAAGAGTGAAAAATAATCACTTAAATTCAACATCAGTGCTCTCAATATCATAAAAATGAACATCCCTCTTTGATTGTGTTCCCACTGGCAATTCTTTGAGATGCCTCAAAAAGGAGAAACTATAGCAAGTAACTTATGAAGTGCTTAAAATGGCAGCTAGTTAGTTTTACAATCTAGTAAGCCAAAACCCATAGCTCTGGCTCAAGTTGGTTTGCTGAATTTGTTACTTCCTTTTATCTACAGTTTTTAAAAGTTACTACCTTACCAAATAATGGGTCATTTTCCATGACAGTCAAAAAAATAATCAAACATAAGCTTTTGGATGGTCATGGCAATTTTAATTATGCTGTGCTTTCATACAAAACTATTGTTAGGAGACATCCAAACATATACCTCAATTGTCCATTGCGGCTCGGCAGATGGTGGTAGAAGGGAGACCTGTCATTTAAATGAGGCACCATTTTCATCAACATGCTCATTGGTTATGAAGCAAAGATAAGCTACATCTGAGTCATTACTTTCTGGCCTAGGATATAAAAAATGATCCATTCATCTATGTAGTTCCACACTAGATCCTTTTTATAATTCCGTATGTTTACCTGAAAAAGCTGCACTGTGTCATTTATAATTGAGCCATGCAGAAAGATTAGACACAGTCCTATTTATTTTCTTCAATTCTGAGCTCAATTTTACACAATGAATTCATAGGGAAGAGTGTAGATATGGAATTTTCATGAGGTTGTACTTAATTCAGGAAGCATGTGCTTTAAGAATTTACATATTCTGTATAATATTGTAAAAAAATGAAATTGCATTTGAGTCTATTTTTTCCAAACTCTATTTGTGCTTTGGTCTTAAAGAAAGACCACACAGAAGGCTTAGACTTAATTCATATAGGATACACTGATTACTCCATTTTGAAATCATGCTGCCAAATGATGACTTCACTTCATTGACTGCAGATAATTTTCCCACTACTCCTGCCTTGGGAACCTAGACTTTAAGAAATAATTGTTTATTCTGAAGTTGGCAGTTTTTATTTTCAGCTAAAAATTATTATGTGTATGTATATATAATAAATATATAAAAATAATATATGTATAAGTTATACATATTAGATATATACATATATATCTTACCCTACCACTAAGGACAACAAATTCTTCTTTTGAGATATTAATGCTATCAGATCATTATCAAAACCAAACAAGAGTTATTGGCCAAAAGGAGTGTGTCCTGGCCTGTACTAGACACAGCTGTAGTTCAGTTGGCCCAGCATCTAGGCCCCATCTGTAAAGCTTGGATGCTTGGTGACACTGGCCAGTCTGAAGCCTATTTAAAGACGCCTGAGAAAGCTAGGCAGACAGATGGTAACGCAATACAGTAATGAGGAAAATTTAGCTTATGTTGATTTCTTCTGCCTTCCAAGAGGATGTTGCAACTACCAAGTAACACTCCATAATGGGGCATCTATCACTCAGAGGCATGCAAACATTTGTGCTCATCCACAAAATATCAGTTAAGGTGTACATACATTTCACCATATGTAAACAGAACACAACATACGGCTAATATGACAATTAGCAATATGCATTGCCTACCGCAGTTACTAAGTGATTTTAATTCCATTGGCTTAGCTCCTACCCCATTCCTCTCTTAAGGAGGTTTTGTTGTTTGTTTAGGTTTTGTTTTTTGGTTTTTGTGACTCAGCTCGAGTGAAACTAAAAGTATTAGAAATAATGGATTACATCCAATGCAGAGTAAACATTAAGATGACCTTCTTTTAGAGTACCCCCCATTCTTACAGAGTACCCTTCTTTCAGAGTAGCCCGAAGTACTTCTTTCAGAGTACCCCCAACAGGAGGAGGGAAGGAACCGAAGCAGGCCGGTGTGCTGGAGCCCAGGAAGTGAGGTCAGATCACTTCATGGAGTTGGATTTAATCCCAACTGCAAGTAAAAGATGCTGATGATTTTGACTGGGGAGAAGGTATGCCCTGACTCGATTTCCATTTTAAGGCTCTCCTTCTTCCACTTGCTGGGTAGAGAATTGGTTAAAGAAGATTAGAAAGCCAGTGGCAAGAAAACAGATTAGGAGACTGTTGCATTTTACTGCAAAATGAACAATCCAGCTCAGTGCTGAAATATCAAAACATTTGCAACATCACTGATAGGATGGGCAGACAGGACGGCACCAGCCATGGTTGCTGGCTCTCCCTGGCATGCCTCATTTCTTTATGAAGTTGCTTTTTGTGCCTTAAATCTCTGTGCCATTATGATTTATGACCACATGCAATCTTTTAAATTAAGATTTGTTTGATTGTCTGTTTCTATTAAGGTGACCATAATAGCAATTTTCCTTTTCCAAACAAATGTTTTGTAGAGTGCTGCAACTCAGAGTCTGTGTATGGATCATGACAGTGATTAATTTCTGTCGCTAAATTCTTTAGTTTCTTTAGCTAATTTAAGATAGCTGCCACTTTTTAATAACTAAAGGATATAAATCCAGTGGGGTATTTTTTCCTAAGTAATTGATATAACATCTTCATATTAGTGACTATAAATTATGGCTCTGTTACCCCATTCTGTCACCCAGTAAGGTTTCTCAAAGTAGGCACAACCCAGGCTGTGGCTGTGCTGTGGTGCATACAACTTTTCCTAAACAACAAATCATAGAAGCAAACACTGTCTAAACCAGTAATTTACATATGATTTCATTCAGTTGAATGAAAAACTCACTAGGCTTGCAATGCTGCTTTGTTTACTGATTTTTTTAAAGGTTAGTGTTAAACAAGTTAAAGAAGTCACTCTCTTAGGTAGAACCGATGTTAAGATTGGAAAGGGGAAATACCATTTACCTATTTTATTTGACCAAAAAAATTAAGTTTCCAAAATATCCTTAATTAGTAAATAGAAAAATAAAAACCCTTAAAATTTCCAAGGATTAAAAAATTCCCAACTTTGATGACTCATTTCTTCTAAGTGAGCACAGTTCCTCTCAGTGCATTTAAACATTGCTTCCTTAAACACATCCACAGACACCTATCACTCTTAAAGGGAATCTATTGCTATGATACAAACACTAGCAGAAAACTGAAGTACCAGAACTGATGCCAAATGTATAAATGACTTTTGGATTAAACCAGTGTTGGCTTATATGTGACATAATTCTGTCTCTTAACCAAATAGAGTGGGAAGGGGTTCTAACTGGTCTCAAAATGGCATCCAAACTGCTCAGAAAGAATGAGGACATCTGTGAGTATTTATACTCATAAAAACATGTCAGTCCATTCTTAGATCAAGGAATCCCAGCTGCAAATGAATGAGGGTCCCTGAAATGATGTTGTCAACCCCTTGCAGCCATTGGCAGCAAAGACACCCCTATAGTAGCACCCTGAATACTTATATATAACTATAATTGATTACATTTAACTTTATATGATTTGTAGATCAATGATGACTGCATGTTTATGCAAAGTGTCTCCGTAAAGAAATGAGACTAATTTTCTTCTTGAATAACTTGTGAAGACAGAAGAGCAATCACATTGCAGCAAGAATCTATGGCAGCATGTTTCAACGAGCAGCAGCAGTATTTCCAAGTTCAGCCAGTCAACTGTCATATGCTAACAGCTGCAGTGAATATTGCTTTATGTCGGAACAAAAATGGGTGATCACTTAAAGTAAAAAATTAATGTGGAGTTCTATGTGATAAATCTTCAACACATCCACTTGACATGCTAAAATAAGCCTCTGGGAATGAAAGGATGTTGAAAGCCACAATTTTAATGCCAACAAACTTTTTAAAGGTTGTGGAAGATGTTTATGTTGCTACACGACACGACTATCAGATCAGTCTCTGAGATTCATTCATAAAAATGGTGAAAACATTAAAGATTTAGATCATTTAATTAAGACACAAATGGTGGCTACAGACTTACACTAAAGGAAGGAACAAATAACTGCGCGAGCGCAGGGTTGATAAGGACATTAATGTCAATTCAGTCTCGCCTTCTCTATTTACAGATAAGGAATCTAAGCTCAAAATCAAATGACTCCTAAATGGTAAAATTAAAACTAATTTGATTTGTTCTGAAAGTAACTATGTTGCAAGAAAAATTTCTACAAAAATTATGCTGTGCATTTTAGGTAACAAAAGAAAACATTCAGATGGGTCATTTTCTTTAGTCTTCCAAAAAAAGTACCTTAAAAACCACTTTTTAAACGTTTTTAAAATTTCCTGTAACATAATCTAGATGCAAAATGCTTAATGTATTTACTAGAAAACTCCAACATCCCCAGGATCCAAATCAAATTATAATTTGATTTGAACACCAAGATTTCTTTTTTTGCTATCTGGTTTTGTTGAAGTAGCAAATCTTGATTTCTGTGTATGCTGCGTATTGTATTAATAGCCCAAATCAGTTTTAGTATATGTCAAATACTCAAGGAATCTTATATGACACAAATATGCTGACTAAGACTAATGGTGGTCTTCTTTATTACAGCAACTCTTTGACTGCAAACATGGTTTTTGTTTTTTTCAAACTTGACGTTCAGCTTTCTGATTGTAGATCTCACTCATCAGACATGCCTACAAATGGTTTTTGATTCTTTCCAAAATTCTGGCAAATGACATGCATTATCCTCCTTTGAGAATACTAAAAAACGTAATATAGGTTCTAAAATGCTCTTGAGAAATGGCCTTGTTATAAGTTTATATTGTCTGTGCAAGGAGTCTACTTTGAAATGAAAAGCATTCATTTGTGTTCAATGTTATTTTAGAAGTCAGTAACTTAACATATATTCTATAATTAAAAGTCTTTATTTATATTAGCCCCCTTTTTACAGTTTAATTATGAACTCTGAAGAAGCACTGTATTTCCTCTTATGGCTCTCCATGGTCCCTGGCAAAATGAGATGTTCTGTATACAGCCTGCATTCAATAAGAGTTGCTACAATGATCTTCAACTCGTCTAGGTTAAGTTATATTCCCCAAATCTGGAACTGCATGAAATTAGTATTAGTAGTGGGAAAGCCTTGGCTTAAATACCACTGACCCAAGCAGGCCTTTTCCATAATGGAGGAAGTGAGGATGATATAGTTGAATTGCACAGTTAGAAGATAATGGTTTGACTTTCATATCTGTACAGAAAATGCACTAGACAAGCAGTTTTACATTTTCCCACTTTCTAGAAAAAAAGAGACACATCAATATGAGTACCATTGACAGTGGCTGCCATATATGACAACTTCAGCTTTTATGCTGAAGATTGCTTTTGTACTCCTTAACTATATTCTTGAACACTAAAAATACTGTACTAAAAAAGAAATTAAAAAGTAATACCATTTACTATAGCCACGCATAAAATTAAATACCTAGAAATTAACTTAGCCAAAGAAGTGGAAGATCTCTATAATGAAAACCATAAAACACCGGTGAAAGAAATTGAAGAGAACACCAAAAAATAAAAAATATTCCATGTTCATGAATTGGAAGAATCAATATTGTTAAAATGTCCATACTACCCAAAGCAATCTATAGATTCAATGTAATCCCTATCAAAATACCAGTGACATTCTTCAGAAATAGAAAAAAAAATCCTAAAATTTATGTGGAACCACAAAAGACCCAGGATAGCCAAAGTTATCCTAAGCGAAAAGAATAAAACTGAGAGAATCACAGTACCTGACTTCAAATTATACTACAGAGCTATAGTAATCAAAACAGCATGGTACTGGCATAAAAATAGACACATAGACCAATGGAACAGAATAGAGAACCCAGAAACAAATCCATACACTGACAGTAAACTCATTTTTTATAAAGGTGTCCAGGACATATACCAGGGAAAAGACTGTCTCATCAATAAATGGTGCTGGGAAAACTGGATATCCATATGCAGAAGAATGAAACTAGACCCCTATCTCTTGCCATATACAAAAATCAATCAAAATAGATTAAAGACTTAAATCTAAGACTTCACACTATGAAACTAATACAAGAAAACATCGGGGAAAATCTCCAGGACATTGGTCTGGTCAAAGATTTCTTGAGGAATACTCCACAAGCACAGGCAACCAAAGCAAAAATGGACAAATAAGATCCCATCAAGTTCAAAAGCTTCTGCACAGCAAAGGATACAATCCAGAAAGTGAGTAGATAACCCACAGAATGGGAGAAAATATTTTCAAACTACCCATCTGACAAAGGATTAATAACCAGAATACATAAGGAGCTCAAAAAACTCTATAGGAAAAAATCTAATAATCTGATCCAAAAATGGGTAAAAGATTTGAGTAGACATTTCTCAAAAAAAAAAAAAAAAGACATACAAATGGCAAACAGGCACATAAAAAGTGATCAACATCATTAGTCATCAATGAGAAATGCAAATCAAAACTACAATGAGGTATCAGCTCACCCCAGTTAAAATGGCTTATATTCAAAAGACAAGCAATAATAAATGCTGGTGAGGATGTGGAGGAAAGGGAACCCTCGTACACTGTTGGTGGGAATATAAATGAGTACAGCCACTATGGAAAATACTTTGGAGTTTCCTCAGAAACCTGAATACTGAGCTACCATATGACCCAGTAATCCCACTGCTGGGTATATACCCAAAAGAAAAGAAATCAGTATATCGGAGAGACATCTATATTTTCATGTTTGTTGAAGCACTGTTTACAATACCTAAGATCAGGAAGCATCCTGAGTGTCCATCAGCAGATGAATAAAGGAAATGTGGTACATATACACAATGGAGTACTATTCAGCCATAAAAAGAAATAGATGCTGTCATTTGCAACAACATGGATGGAACTGGAGATCACAATATTAAGTGAAATAAGCCAGGCACAAAAAGACAAATATGTTCTCACTTATTTGTGGGATCTAGAAATTAAAACTGTTGAACTCATGGACATAGAGAGTAGAAAGATGGTTACAGAGGCTGGGAAGGGTGGTGAGGGGCTGGGGGGAAGGTGGGGATGGTTCACGGGTACCAAAAAAGTAGAATGAATAGGACCTGTTATTTGATAGCACAACAGGGTGACTTTAGTCCATCATAACTTAATTGTACACTTTAAAATGACTTAAAGAGTGTAATTGGATTGTTTGTAACTCAAAGGATAAATACTTGAGGGGACGGATACCTATCCCATTCTCCATGATATGCTTATTTTACATTGCATGCCTGTATCAAAACATCGCATGTACCCCATAAAATATGTACACCTACTATGTACCCACAAATGTTAATGTTGTACTAATGAGAATGAAGTGAAATAAAATGAAAATATTGTACTAATGATAGCAAAGCAGTTACAACTATGAGTAGGGGCGTCTGTGTGTGTGGTGTTTTCCCATTCAATGTATGCCTGTGACATGATAAGCACTGTATAAAAGTCCAACAAATTCCTCTACTCCTGGACAGGGCCTGCCTCCCATGAACTCTGCACTTCCCAGTGAATGCATGTTTAAATCATGGCTGCAGCAAAGGAAAGCAGCATTGGCTTTCTGAATGTCGGAATCAACACTGATAACAGTGTTAATATTTAAGCAAATGCATTGACTGTTATGTTTCTTTGTCAAAGTGAAATCGGTCATACTCCTTGTAAAATCATATGAAACAAGCATCACATTCCAATTCTGTTGTAGTCTGACAGTTTACTGCTCTAGGGCAATAAGGCAAAAATAAATGCAGTCACCCACAAATTGCTTCCAATTGTATGAGAACTCCTTAAGTATACAGTAAGTAGCTCTAAAAGCAGAAATCTGGATTCCAAACAAATTCCAACATGCTTCAAATTGCTTCTAACATATTTCTTTTCGGAAATGCTTAAGTGCAGAGTGCTGAAGTCTCTAGTTAGCATAGCTTTCTGTGTTCATTCCTGCCTTAACTGAGCCACCATGAGGTCAGATTCCATAAGTGTGCCATGAGAGGACCCTCTATGGTGTCATCCTCAGTTCCAGAATATGTAAATATAATACAATTTCAGGGAAATATGACATAATTAGAGGCTATTATGCAGCCTTCCATGAGCCCTAATTTGCATGTTTCCAGTAAAAGTACACAGCTCACAGTGAGTACACACAAACTGTCATTTTTTCAATACTATAATTATTACTTGCAAGCCTTGAAAAATATCTCTATCAATACCAGAAAAGGGTTTGTGGGAGATTACTGCAAATGACGATGGAATAATTAACAGTTCTTTCTGCTTTCCAAAAATTTCCATTGTGACAGTATGTATATTGAAAAATTCATAAATATATAAAACATGAATAAAAATTCCTATTATTAGGTTTTAAACTTCAAGAGTTAGAAAAATACCTAAGGAAGACTGAGAACTGGTATCACAATGAAACACGATTGCGTTATTTGAGGCCTGGTGTTTCTCTGTTGTTTTTGATAAAGACAACAGTTTATTTTTAAAGGCAGAGGTGATATGAGTAAGATTTTGCACTTGTCAGAGGGACATATCAAGATTATAAATTCAGACTTCAAGAACAAGATGCTTATATCTTCCATTTTACCATAGAGATAATGAGGAATAATACTGACATACACATGTACACAAAGATTCTCTGCTCTACAAATATATTATATTCAATTTTATCAAAGAATTAAAAGCATGGAGCCAGGGATGTAACTGTTTTCAAGGTTCTGATAGAATGCTACAATGAGATATAATCAATTGATATTTAATATATGATGAGAGTTTCTATTACTAGTTATTACTATATTACCAGATTTTCATATAATTATTTATGTACCATCTTCTATTTATTATATACGTTTGTATTTCCTGTAAATCAGTTCAGATCTCTTCTGAAAAAAAAGAATATTTCCACAAGTATTATTCTTTAATCCAAAAAAAGAATAAAGAAAGGTCCTAAGAAGAAGAGAGTTAGCGTCTCACCAGCAGAAACTCAACTCTTTTGCACCTAGTACAAGAACAGGCCTCAATCGTGTGATTAGTGTCATCTGGTTTGATCCATTTTTTTACGGGGGTTAATAATTTCATGTCTTTCAGGATATAAATTCCCGAAAAGTAAACATTTTCTGCAAACCCCTAGAGAACTACGAGCCTTCGGCATGCATTAATTATAACCATCACTGACTGAACCCTATTTTGTGGTTGCAATAATTCTTTTGGATCCCTGTTGTAAACTCTTAGTGAATCTGTCATTCACTCCTTCAACAAGTGCTTGCTGAGGCTTACTATGTACCAGGAACTGTTCAAGGTGCTGAGGATACAACAAGAAAGCAACCAAATATAGACAATTCCTACACTTCCGTTGCTTACGTTTTACTAGGGAGACAGATGGAAAAAAAAACACTACACATAAATAAACTATATAACATGTTAAACGGGTGAAAGATAAAAAGAGCAAGGAAAGAGGGTGGGAAGTATTGTAGAGCAAGGGGGAGTTGCAATTCTAACTTCAGCAACCAAAGAAGCCCTCATGAGAAAATAACATTTAAGAAAAAACCTGAAGGGTCTCGACAAGAGAACTTTCCAAGAAGAAGAAATAGCCAGTGCAAAGGCCCTGAGATGGGACAAGTCTGGTGTGTTCCAGGAGCAGAAAGGAGATGTGTCGTTGGAGCCATGATGTGGTCATCTGCCCAGCAGCAGCAGCACCCAGAACTCTGTCAGCAATGCAACTTCTCAGATCTACTTTGTCATAATCTAGGGCTGGGTGTGGAGTCCAGCCATCCATAGTGTTTTGTTTGTTTGTTTGTTCATTTTGAGATGGAGTCTTGCAATGTCACCAGGCTGGAGTGCAGTGGCCCGATCTCAGCTCACTGCAACATTTGCCTCCCGGGTTCAAGCTATTCTCTTGCCTCAGCCTCCCAAGTAGCTGGGACTACATGCATGTGCCACCACACCTGGCTAAATTTTGTATGTTTAGTAGATGGGGTTTCACCAGGTTGGCCAGGGTAGTCTCAAACTCCTGGCCTCTAGTGATCCACCGCCTTGGCCTCCCAAAGTGCTGGGATTACAGGCGTTAGCCACTGTGCCGGGCCCAGTCATCTGTGTTTGAACAGCTGCCTTCCTTCTCCCATTATCCTGAGCCTCATCAAACTGTGAGAAGCCTGGTCTAAAGCAATGTGTGCAAGGGAGGTCACAGGAGAGGAAGAGAGAGAAGCAACGGATCCTTGCATTTTTACTCTGAGGAAGAAAAGTCAGGAGACATGTGGCACTGGAACAAAAATAGATGAATACATATAGACACAAAAACACACATTAAATAATTAATTGAAAAAGAGAGTTACTAGGATAAATTGATAACATAATAACCCAGATTGGGAATATGGAGCCAACTAAGTGAAATACATTATTTTCAGGAAATTCTGTCCTGTATTTGCATTCATCTAAAAAGATGCACATTTTCAATGACCTCATCTGTGATTTAAAGCAGATTTCATATGCTATTTATGCATGTTGACACTTAGAGTCAAGCGATGGTTTTGCTTAAGACAATACCTATCTCTCAATATGTTCAAATGTAAATTCTAAGCAGGTAGAGGCTGTGTTTTCTAGAAGTTCTATAAAACACATAATTCTATGTCTCCTACAGGAAAGCTCCCATATGTGCCAATAACCTTGATATATTTTATATCATATAATAAACCAGTTTCTGGCTCATGAGGGGTGTGATATGCATTCAGCAGATAAGGAATAAGAAAGAGAAAAGGAAATAATTTATCAAAAGTCTGAATGACAACAATTTGTACAGTGATGAAAATAAGCGGGTTTTATTTAAGAAAAATCTCATTTCATTGCTTTTTATGTATATATACATCTAGAACCACACTCGCATGCGCATATACACACTACTTTAGTAACAGAATGGAATAAATCACTTTTCTATTTTTGGAGGTTACAATTTTCTTCACATTAATTGTGCCAAATGAATACCAAGATGCCCTCTTAACTCTTCTACCCTTTATCTTCAGAGTCAATATATCCTCTGAATACAACTCAAGGTTCCTCTGGCTTCTTTGCCATTCACATCTATCATACACTCTAACCCGGTCATATTCCATCAAATGGTTTGGTATAAACTGCTTGAAATGATTCGTACTCCTTTATTCATTCAACCTATATTTACTGAAAACTTATAATATGACATCATCCCCAACAAGAGTCCTCCACACATTTATAGGATGGTTTCTCTCCCAACAAATTATTACTAACAGGTTGGGCACAGCGGCTCACACCTGTAATCCCAGCACTCTGGGAGGCCAAGGTGGGTGGACCACGAGGTCAGGAGTTCAAGACCAGCTTTGCCAACATGGTGAAACCGTATCTCTACTAAAAATACAAAAATTAGCCAGGCATAGTGGTGGGCACCTGTAATCCCAGCTACTTGGGAGGCTGAGGCAGGAGAATCGCTTGAAACTAGGAGGTGGTGGTTGCAGTGAGCCAAGATCACACCACTGTACTCCAGCCTGGGCAACAAATCAAGACTCTGTCTCAAAAAAAAAAAAAAACAAAACAAAAAAATATTCAGTAACAGACAACATTTCCTATCAAAAACTTGGGTAGCCAAAGAAAGTTATAATATAGAAGCCAAAGAAATACATCTCAAGATGTCAGCAAGTTGAGGTTATTAGCATGAAAATATCATTAAATGTCATTAACCAAAATGCAACTTAGAGAGAAGGCCCTTAGCCTTTAAATCAACAAGAGTCAATAAACGGAGAGTACCTTAGTAGGCATCCATTGACTTAATTGTACTGCCAGATCAAACTACTGATTATGGGGGTCATTCAGGTTGGTTCAACCCATATATAGGGTTGGTTCTATCATTGGCTGAATGCTTCAGAAGTGAAATTTATAATAATGACCCAATGGCTGTTTGTATTAACTCCAGAATTTGCTTTTTTAGGGAATTACTGTCCATCAATGCAATGGACTTCATTTCCTGGTAGAAATGAACAACAGCATGATATCAGCTGTCATCTTTCCCTTCCTTTCTTTCTCCTCTTCTCTCTCTTTTTCATACATCCCTTTTTTCTCTCCAAGTGAAACTGTGGCCCCACTGTCAAACCAGAAGAGGAACCAAAGAGGTGAAGGAGAACAATTAGTCTTTCTTTATTCTTTTTCCAAGTAAATTTTCTCCACTGGATTGGCCTTATGCATAATAATGATGATAAAAATCACTTATGTAGTACTTACCACCCATGTACTGCTCTAAGTATGTATATACAAGAAGTCATTCAAACATTACAACCACCATATGCGGTGGGCATTATTACTATTTCCTTGGCACAGGTGAGGAGACTAAGGCACAGAGTTTAAGTAACTTGCCCAAGGTCAGATAACTGGTTAGCGGTAGAATCTGATTCTAATCCAAATGACCTGTGCTCCTGAACGATGAATGTGCCACAGTCTGTCCCTTCCACCACACACATACCAAGAGACTGGTCTCCTTGAGTAAGGGACATCTTTTCCCCCATTACATGGTGGACTCCATTTCAAAGGCTCTTCCCAACCAGACTTGATAATTGGGATAAATCTGCAATTTTTGAACACTTACCAAGGTGAAAATATAATACTCTTAAGTAATTACATGTTGTATTCAACTGAGTTGGTGAGAAACTTTGGCTTGATGAGTGAGGTTTTGCCCTCTATATATAAAGAACAACTTGTCTACTGTGACTAAGTCAGAAGGGCCAGAATTGTTCCCACCAACATGTAGGGAGAGATATATTTTCCAAAATCCAAGCATGATTCCTTTGGTTTTTGTCTTCTCAGAAAAAAACAATTACTTTTGGAAACTTAATAGCTATTTGAAAATGACAGAAAATGGTATTAAAATTAATGGAAAATACTAAAGACAACCAACGCAGCAGCTATAAGAATTCAAGAAGGAATAGAACAGAGTTTCTACCTTCAAATGGCTGATAAATAAAGATAATAAAACAGGTTTATCGGCCTAGGGAACATGGTGAAACCCAGTCTCTACTAAAAATACAAAAAAAATTAGCCGGGCGTGGTAGCGCGTGCCTGTGGTCCCAGCTACACGGGAGGCTGAGGTGGAAAGATTGCTTGAGCCAGGGAGGCAGAGGTTGCAGTGAACTGAGATTGTGCCACTGTGCTCCAGCCTCAGTGATAGAGACCCCGTCTCAAAAAACAAAAAGACAGGTTTTAAAAAATCACGGCTTGGCAAAATTACTACAAGAATGGTATAAGTCAAAATTTAGAAGAGATCATATTCAATTGAGTGAAGTCAAAACAGTGTTTGCCCCCATCTTCACCATCCCCATTTAATTCAGCAGCAACCTTGTTGCCTTCATGCCCTGAACAACATCCTGCCCCTCCATTTGCAGGGCCAGTCCCTCAGGGCCTAGACCACTCACTTCAGCCTCACAGAACTTCCAGCCATGTTTTTCACTGTTGTCCTAGCAATCCCTGCGGTAGCACTTCCCAAAAAACATAGATAAGGAAACACCTCTTTTTCCTCATATTCAAATGTTGTGAGACAGTGCTCACATGTCCCACAGGGATTCTTTTCTTCCAGCAAACATCCCTGACCCATTCAACTACTTCCTAATTTCCAAACTTGACATCACCTTTAGTGTCAGCATCCCTCTAAAACACTGGTACCCAGAGGAGAAGAGCAGGCCTTTCTTTTGACATGATATTTAACAGCCTGTGACTGTTACTGAACATGGTCCTCACGGGTAGATTGAGGGGGTGTGTTACTTAAACGCCTGAAATCCTGATAGAGTTACATGTGTTGCAGCCCATGACCTAGTCTCAACCCCATCATAAAGAAAATGAGCCTACTTTTGCATGCCTTATTTTTGGCAAATCCAGGCTGCCGCCTAGTGACCCCTGCTTTACGTTCGAGATGTTTAGTAAAACGTACTAGTCCTTGTATTCCAGGCTACCACTGTGCATATTGAGTACCAACCCATAGTTTTTGAAATCCACCTCTGCCCACTTTTGGTTCCTTAAATGTCTTCTGAGACCTTCCATGATAGTTTCTTGAAGACATCGGACTGGCTATGAAGACATATCTGTAAGCCTTTTCAGTATCCTTTGACCTCATTTTAACTAAATTTGTATGCTCTCTCACACTGCTTTCTCATCTTGGATTTCCTCTTTAACTCTAATTATTTTGGCATTTCTAGTCTACAGATTACTCTCCTTGACAAAGTACATGAAAGTGAAGTGGAAAGTAAGTACCATAAAATCTGTAAACTTGAACCACTAAGGCCTTAGAAATAATCTAGCATGAGTGTGTGCAATCAACACACAACAGAGTAGCAAGGAAGTCCCAGGTCACTTCACCTACACTGTTGTACTCATTCGCAGCCATCCCTGAATACAGGACACCAAGGCCTCAGGGAGTCTGAGCAGCCCAGGAGACAGCTTCAAATTTTTCACTCCACTCAAAAGAGGAGGAAGGGAGGGAGGCAGTCATGAAAGACACAGTTCTAAACATTCATTCTGTGCCCAGCACCGAGGATCCAGAGGAGTGAGCTTCTTCGTCTGATCCCTTCAAGGGTCTCTGTCTTCAAACTACTCATCCTCACAACCATCCAGTGAAACAGGGATGGAAATAGTAATTTTTACAGGCGAAATGAAGCTCAGATAAAGAAAGTAACTTGCTGGCTGGATATGGTGGCTCACGCCTGTAATCCCAGCACCCTGGGAGGCCGAGAAGCGCAGATGACTTGAGGCCAGGAGTTCGAGACCAGCCTGGCCAAGATAGTGAAACCCCGTCTCTATTAAAAATACCAAAATTAGCCAGGCGTGGTGGTGCATGCCTGTAATGAGCCTGTGAGGTGGAGGCTGCGGTAAGCCTTGTTCCCATCACCATAGTCCAGCCGGGGTGATAGAGGGAAATCCTGTTTCAAAAAAAAAAAAAAAAAAAGAAAGAAAGAAACCTTCCCAGAGGCACACAGCTAGTACAGGAGCTTTTCACAATGCCTGGCCTACTCTCCTAAATCACTAGTGAGACACAAGATGGGTGTAATTAACATGTAATGCACCTGGACAGTGTGCACTTTGTGAAAACACTGTTTGTGAGAATGGCACTCTCCTGGTTTACCCACTCTGGATGGACAGCAGTTCTCAGGAGCAGATTTGTCTGATGCATACATCTATCCCCTCTGGAAAACAGACTGCTGAAGAGCAAAGATTGGGCCCATATTATCATCTGTTAAACGGGTATAATAATCGGACCTACCTCATCAAGTTGTTGTAAAGATTGAGACAATTCATCTAAAGCACTCTGTAAATATCAGATATCATTGTTAAGAACTCTGAGAATAGTTTTTCCAGTAAAGACATTTTTTTCCATTAAATTTTTTTTCACTATGGAAATTTTCAAACATATAGAAAAGTATTATAGAAAGAATGGCAGACTGAATCTTCACATACCCATCTCCCAGCTTCAATTTTGACACTCATGAACAATCTTATTTCATCTATAGTCACACTCACACACACACAGGCACACACAGTTATTTTGATCAAATTCTAGGCGTAATTTCATTTGTAAATATTTGTGTATATAGCTCTAAAATAGAGGAATTTTGTTTTTAAAAATCACAAGAATACTATTATCACACTTAAAAATTTTAATGGTAACTGCTTGATATTATCAAATATACAATTGACGTCTCTACTTCTCTACCATCTTATAATTGTTCTTGTTACAGTTTAGTTAGGGTAGGATCCAAGTAAACCTCACACCCGGTGATTGCTGGGTCTCTTTTACTTACTTATTTATTTATTTATTTATTTATTGTGAGACAGAGTCTTACTCTGTTGCCCAGGCTGGAGTGCAGTGGTGTGATCTCAGCTCACTGCAACCTCTGCCTTCCAGGTTCAAGTGATTCTCCTGCCTCAGCTTCCCAAGTAGCAGGGATTACAGGCACGTGCCACTACACCCAGCTAAATTTTGTATTCTTAGTAGAGACAGGTTTTCACCATGTTGGCCAGGCTGGTCTCAAACTCCTGACCTCAGGTGATCCGCCCGCCTTGGCCTCCCAAAGTGCTGGGATTACAGGCATGAGCCACCGCGCCCAGCCTGGGTTTCTTTTAATCCACAGCCTTCCCCTTTTCCTTCCTTGTTTCTCCCTTGTAGTTTTTTTGGTCGAAGAAACTAGGTCATTTGTTTTCACCGATACAATTTCTCACAGAATCCTGTGAGCTATATAAAAATCATTTCTCTTTCAGTATAAGCAATTCTACTTTCCTTTCTTTAGCTCAAGAGTAATTTTCTGCTTAACATTTGTTACACTTTTATCCTTGTATAAAAAGTTTACTTGAGAAATAGTTATATTTATTTTACTTAGATAAGTATGTATTTAGCATTTACTATGTCTCAGGAACTATTCTCATTTCTTCACAAATATTAGTTCATTTAATTACCATAATAATATTATCTTCTTTTTACAGATGTGATGTCTAAGACTCAGAGAGGTTAAGTAACTTACCTAAGGTCACACAGCTAGTAAATAGGCAGACAGCTCTATTTAGAAACTAAGATTGAAAGAATATTAAATGTTCACTTGATCTAACCATTTTTGCAGTCAGTGCTGTACAGCTGAAAAGGCACTGGACTTGGGTTTTGAGTTTGACTATTCCATACATTAGTTACGTGACTCTGAGCAGGGTATTAAGCCTCTCTGCTTTCTTGATATACAGTGAGCATTTAATAAACACTAAACATGAACCCCACCCAGAAAGCCATTTCAAGGGCTAACTGTGAAATCCCTTTTTATAAATTTCACCTTATAATAAACCACGCCAGTTAAGAATGCTGTAGACAGACTCTATTAAGTCCCAAATCTTTGGGCAGTTTTTCTCCAGCATTCAGTTATGAATATTACTTATGAATTAACATTTACTAAGTGGGGACTTTGAGTCACAACTAAAATGCCTATTGTGAATTAATTGCAGGATGGGTTAACTGGATTAATTAAAGAGATAACAATTGTCATCTGATAAAAATACATAAAATATTGTGTTAAGACATTCAAGAGATGAAAAAGCAGACAGTATCAGTTAAAATTATATGCATTTGCTTCAAATAAAATGAGTGAACTTTAGAAGATAAATTTCCTATTTAATATATTTAATACAAACAATCTATAGTATGTGAATAGTTGAGGAGTAGTTACAACTTTTTTTTTTTTTTTGAGACAGAGTCTCGCTCTGTTGCCCAGGCTGGAGTGCAGTGGCACGATCTCGGCTCACTGCAAGCTCCGCCTTCCGGGTTCACGCCATTCTCCTGCCTCAGCTCCCTGAGTAGCTGGGACTACAGGCGCCCTCGCGCCTGGCTGATTTTTTGTATTTTTAGCAGAGACGGAGTTTCACCATGTTAGCCAGGATGGTCTTGATTTTCTGACCTTGTAATCCGGCTGCCTCAGCCTCCCAAAGTGCTGGGATTACAAGCGTGAGCCACTGCGCCCGGCCTAGTTGAGGAGTAAATGGACTGGATTAAAGTTAAACCATAACCCCAAATTCAGGTACAAATTTATTATTGATCTTACTGAGCTTGGGTGTTAGCATTCCCAGAACAATTATCTCTAATAAATTGAAGTATGTGCTCAGATTACTTTCATAAATTGATGGGTTGTCAAAATAATGGAATATATGGTGTTCTTTAAAAATTCCCTTCAAATTTAGTTTTACAGTAATACAGCAATTTAGAGAACAATCACCTTCTTGTACCTCCACATTTTAAGATTTATTTCAAATACACTTTCACATATAAAGAGAGCACCACACAATGATAGCCTCTATGTACAACAAGTAAAATTAATCATTTATTATTTTTCTACTTCTAATTTTTCTTTAGGAAAATAATAAATAAGAAGTTAATTCCTTCCTGAAGAGGGAAAATCATTTTTAGTTGCTCATTTGTCCTTTAGAAAACCCTGCAGAGGTGATCAAGGAGAAACTTCATTATCTTAATCTTCGGGAAGCCTCTGTTACATTCCAATGTCCAACTGTCCAACTTCGTTAGTTCTTAACTGGATAGAGTACTGCCCCCTTCAGCCCATGGAGAAAGGCAAATGCCTCCTTCAGAGTCTACCTAATGCTTTCTCAGATAAATAAGCATGAAGAAAAGTCAAAGTCCATTCTAGCTCTAAAATAAGGAATGAAATGTTTTCCTGATATGATTTTTTGTTTTCATCTGATAATAATTTTATATATCACAGAAACAGCATGGTACGTATATCCTACCAGGATAGCCCCAGGATAATTTTCTTAAAACACGCAGGTCACGCGAAGATTATTATTGGTTATTTCTGCAGTACAAGGGAAAGAATCATTTCAATTCAACAATCAAACACCCAAAGCGACTCAGAGGCCCATAGCAGGCAACTTCCACTGCATGTAAAGGAAAAAAAGCACAGACACAAACACACACAACACACACACACAAACACACACACACTAGTGAACATGCACAGGGCAAAAGACGACTTAGGCCAGACAAAACCAGCCTGCAACTGTTTCATAATACTACCACAATTTTGTTGTTATTACATTTTTGCACATATAAAACTCATATTTTTTTAAAAGGATATTGATGACACAAACAGGCCATGGTCACTGACTAAAATAATTTCTTAGGTTTTAGATATTTCAACAATATTGTCAGTCTTTGCATGTTGAATATGGGTTGCAAACTAGAAATCATGAAACTTTTTATTTATTTCTTATATAAACACGCAGAGGGGAAATAGACGTGGGTGGGACCTAGTTTTGAGGTGCCTAATAAGAAATATGTTTTTCCATATATTCAAGGTTCTTACTAAACCTCTTCAAAGAAATGGCAGCATGATGAGCTTTGAAAATGTGAAAGAAAAGAGCAGAGAAGGAGGGCCCCATGCACACACACCCGAAGAAGAATTGTGTTTCGTGGTAACACACTACCCTCAGGTTCAGACCACACTCAACCTGTTTTTCCATATATTCAAGGTTCTTACTCAACCACTTTCCCTTCTGTGGGGTTGTGATCAGAAGCCTCGTACTGTTCCTACCCTTGGAAACGGCGCATGGGATACCTGCCAACAACACATACGCACTTCATCATGGACAGCAAACACACTCGTCATTCAAAACCAGCATTCACGGGAAAGCACTGTTTCTGTTTGCCTTTTTATGTTAATCCGCATGCAACATATTTTGAAAACAGATACACTTCAACAGTTCAGAATATGCTAGTACTAATAAAACCAACATGTTACATGCTGAAGTAATTGCTCAATTCAGTAAAACCCCTAGACCCTCGGCAAACAAATGTGAAATTCAAGAAAATTTTAAATGATTATCTCATCAAAGACCCCCCAGGGCAACAAAGAATCCTGGGAGGGGGTGGCTTGTTCAAGGGTCATTGTATGTCAACGGCTTCAGGAACTTGGCACGGTCTGGAGACCCCCAGCAAAGAAAAATGTTTCCTCTGGGGAGCTCATTCTTGGGTTTCTCAAACCCCTGGTTTGAAAACTAAGGTTTCATGTCTTTACCTCTAGTAGATCTAATGTCCATATGTCTTACTGTAAAACCAGGACTTTGACCCAACCCATGATTAACTTGCCTTTCAAGAAGTACCTGAGACACAATACCAGAGGCGCCATTCCATGGTGAATACTTGAATGTATACCTGAAGAAAAAGTCTCTTGTTTTAAAAATTAAACAGCACACTTAACACAGTCAATTTTGAATCCCAGCCTGTATATTCAGGTCATGTCAGGTTTCTCCTAGTAATGCCAACTGCTTTGGCAGTTAACTAGGAAACAACAAGACAGAGGATTGGTCAGAAGTTAATGAAGCTTCGTGTGTATGTTTAGCCTTGATTCTAAAATTCCCATATAGACAGGGAGGGTCACATGGTACATTATGCAATTCATTTGATCTTGTTTACTTATTTATATATTTCTATTTCTTTTATTTAAAAAATTCAACTAGGTATATAGGGAAAAAGGAGCATTTTAAGAATGGCCTCGTTTTTCCTGCTTTCATTTGTACATCTGATAATATATTCTGAAGCAAGAGCTGAATTCCAGAAAGGTGAAGGAATAGTATGGCAAGGTTAGGCCTGTGTGATCTGTGATCCAAAAATGTCAGCCCACCGTGCCACAGACAGGGAGTGGAGGCACATGTCTTCACTGAAAGGAAGTTCTGTTTTAGCTAAAATGAAGCACCTGTTCACATTGGAATCCTATGCGTAAGTAACTTGTGGTGAAATTTAGGTTTAAGAAAGAAATGTAGTGGGAGATCAATTCAAACACAGCCTAAAGCTCATCTGGCCTAGTGTTATCTTCAGAAAGGCACTTTTATATCACATAGGAATCTTTTTCAAAATACTCATGTGTAGCTCTCACCCCCAGATATTTGAGCAGTAGAGAACCATCCTATTGTTCCTGATGCGTATCTCTGGGTAGCTTACTTATTTTAAAGAGGCAGCGTTGCATGACAAAGGAATAGTTTAAAAATGAAGCAAGTCATAATGTAATAAATGTAAATACTTTAATGTAATAATGGATAATGTAAATAATTTAAAATAGTATAAATGGTCGGGTGTGGTGGCTCATGCCTGCAATCCCAGCACTTTGGGAGGCTGAGACAGGCAGATCACGACATCAGGAGTTAGAGATCAGCCTGGCCAACATGGTGAAACTCTGTCTCTACTAAAAATACAAAAATTGGCCGGGCGTGGTGGCATGTGCCTATAGTCCCAGCTATTTGGGGGGCTGAGACAGGAGAATTGCTTGAACCCGGGAGGCAGAGGTTGCAGTGAGCTGATATCATGCCGCTGCACTCCAGCCTGGGTGACAGAGCAAGCCTCCATCTAGGAAAAATAAAATAAAATAAAATAAGAAAATACAAATAAAATTAACAAGTATAAATAATTTAAAATAATGTATCTAATTAATGTGAATAACAAACATAAATAACTGCCTATTCAAAAATGACTTTGCATCTATTTGATTAGTAAATCACCCATTTTCTCTTTTTCCAGAAAAAAGAATGACAGTACTAAAAATCTCTTTCCATTGATCTAAAAAATTGGTACTATTTTTGTTTTTGTGTTGAGACAGGGTCTCACTCTGTGGCCCAGGCTGGAGTGCAGTGGTGAGATCTCTGATCATTGCAGCCTTGACCTCCTGGGCTCAGGCAATCTTCCCACCTCAGCTTCCCAAGCAGCTGGGACTACAGGCACATGCCACTACGCCTGGCTAATTTTGTTTTTATTTTTGGTAGAAATGAAGTCTCACTATGTTGCCCGGCTGGTCTCAAACTCCTGGGCTCAAATGGTCTTCCGGCCTGCGCCTCCCAAGGTGCTAGGATTACAGGTGTGAGCCACTGTGCTTGGCCAAAAATTGATACTATTTATAGTGTATTAAGTCAGTTGCTATTCAAATATTCTTTGGCAAAAAATAAAACTAGGATCCAGGGCTTTAGTAGCGCAGAGTCACTCAAGTTTTGGATTTGTGCATGTTTGACTAGGCTCAAGGAAAACAGAACTAGAAACACTGCCCTGCTCTGTCTGAAGGGAAACCTGTCTTGATTACTGTGATGCTTTTTCCCCAACACCATCCTAGACAGGCAGAGCTTTTAAATGGTCAGGTGATCTCCCGAGGAAACCACTGATGAAACCACCAAGGATCTCAGTTTGCCCCTCCGGGTTTTCTCACAGGCTCCAGGCTGACTTTGTAATTCTCTTAAACTGGCAGGTGGCCCACAGGATGAGGTCTGCTCGTGGGTGGGGGTGTGTGGTGTGCTTTTCATAATATGTCAAGGAAAAGGTTTTGAATTATTTCCCAGAAATTCAAAATCAAGAGATTTCACATATAAATATCCAGATTAATGGCTTCTCTTTAAAACTTGGAAGCTGTACCAACTGTGGGCAGTCAGCCACAGTCAGGGGTGGCCAGACAGGTCTCTGAGCTCAGTTTATGGTTTTTCATCCCAGGCATTACCTTGTTTGAGCCTTGTGAACTCTGAGTTTGTAAAACCTGCAGATAGACATCTGGATGCATTTTTCAGGCCCCTATGTCAATTACTCCACCCTCTGCTATGAAAATATTCAAAACTACAATCACTAGTTTATATAAAATATGTAGAATAACAAGCTCATAATGAAGCCAAGTATTCCAGCCTCAACATGCATTTGAAAACATTTTTCTCCTTTCTTGCTTTCAACCTTGAAACATACTTTGAAACTCTTAATTTCTCCCTTTCACACCAGGAACTTCTGCGCACAGTGCTTGCTTATCTGATTATGTGCTTGCTTAGAAATTCCAGAGACCAATTTTGAAACGAAACAGGTAAAGAAACCAAGTGGCAGAATCCTCCCGCTTAGAAGGAGTACGAATAGTTAGCTCACCACTCTCCGGCCCAAGTCAGGATGACACCAACCCAACAGGCAATTACTCAAGATAAACATCGGAACTAGACATGCAGACCTGCGCCTTCCTGCACCACTACCATATATTTCCCATACCTTTTCCTGCCAAAACCCCTTCACTCAGCCCAAAAGGCAGAGATGGCTTCTTTGAGGCAGAAGCCCGGCCATCTCCCATCTGCTAGCATTTGATCAATAAAGTTGCCTTCCTTTCCTTTCACCATGCCTTGCTTCTCATGTTTTTGGTCTCTGAGTGGTGAGCAGCTGATTACTGGTTACAATAATAAAATCTCAAAAGATCTTAACTGTTATTGTTTTGATCATATCATAACCCCTCTCTTTATCCTCCGTAACTTATACATTCCTTTCTGTATGTTTTTCTTTTTTCTCTTCTGGAGACTAGATTAGGAAATAACCGATGTCCTGGCTTGTGCAGAAAACATAAGTATATACATTTATATACACTGTAAGACTGAAATTTGAAACGTGTGCATGTGTATGTAATATATATATATATAACATGGGAGAGGCTGGTTGGGAGAATTGGGATGTTTAATACTCCACTCTATTCCAGCCCAGGGGCAAAAAAAAAAAAAAAAAAAAAAAAAAAAGCCCTCAATCTTTGTTTCCTTTCCAAGCCTATACTTTGTGGTACTTTAAACATCTTTTCCAGGATTATTCTTATTTTAAAACTTCAGTTCTAAGGATATGTACTGAAACAAATAACTTAAATGGATCACTGTCCCAAAAGGAGGACCTGCTTTTTATTTGGATGTGCCATCATACAAACACTGCCTTCAGTATTCTGGCAAAACAACACACAATGGAGGCAAAATTATGTGTCCAAAGAAATGTCAATACATCTTCTTATAGTCATCCTGTAATAGCGTGGGATTGAGATGATTAAATTCACAGCTCCAATAAACAGCACGCAAATTACTTCTTGAAGGTAGCGGCATAATAATACCTGGAGCATAAAAAGAGGAAATGAAGTTTAATTAAGTGTTGCCCAGTGAAATCATAGTGAAAAAGCACGGTGAAGGGGGAACTGAAAACTCACCCTTCCCGAGGATGGGAGGGACATGCTGTCAATTATAAAAAAACCTGATAAAAAAATACATTACTATATATGTATGTATAGTATAACACATATGTAACATATAATACACTATAATGTATATAATATACATAATATGCATGTACATAATATACATGCATTGCAAAGTTAACCCAATCATAAATCAATCTCCTCATTTTCATTTGTACTGAAATGTTGATTTATCTTTGTTTTTTAATAACACTACTATAATCATAAAGAAGTCAAAACCCAAATAAGGCTGGTATGTATTCTGTAGTTAATATGAATAAATATAAATACCTCCAAACACATCTAGTATTTATCTGTTAGCAATATTAAATCAATGCCCCAGATTAAAATTTGCATCTTCAAGGGAAATCATGGCCCCTTGAAGAATGAAAACTAAGTCACAGAAGAGAAATCCAGTTTTGAGACTAAATGCTAAGATACATGCTTAAAGATTCGTTTTTGAATATAATATACCTAGGTTTTCCTTGGTCAAAATATCAAAATTTCAGCCTATCTGAAATGGCCTTGTGAACTATCATCCCCAATGCCCAAGCCCATCAGAACATGCTCTCAAGAAAGTCTATGTAAATAGTTGGTACATGTATATAGTAATCTCTTGCTTCCCTGTGCCCATCTAAGTCCATATGTTCACTCTCCTGAGTTACGCTGCACTTAGTAGCTGTTCAATGAATGTAGTCTGTGTAAATTATCTGTATAAGTTATATATAATTGTACAAATTATCATTATGGAAAGCAAGACTTTTCTCGATTTATGATATTTCAAACATTACATATCAAATTAGGGAGAAAGTTTTGACAGTATTTTAAAGAAAAGAATTAAAGGATGTAAAATGGCTATGATTTCTTGAGAACTTATTATCATTATACTACTAATTACAGCAAACACTTCACACATAACACATACTATGTGGCAGGCATCGTTCTTTGTACCTTACATTATCAACTCGCTTAGTCTGTGCAACAACACTGAATGAGATTGATAATACTACTATCTTCACTTTACTGATGAGGAAACAGAGACACACAAACGTTGCATAATCTGCCTGATGTCACACTGCTAGCAGGTGGCACAGCCTAGATTTGGAGACAGCCAACCTGCCTCCAGTCTCTTAACTGTGCCAAGTATTATGGTAGGACCTTAATACACATGATCTCATGAATCCTCACAGCTACCCACCTAGACATATAATATTAGTCACATTTTACAGATGAGAAAAGAGCCTTTAAAATGATGCTCAAGGTTGCACTGAGAAAGAGCAGGTTTTGAAGCTAGGATTTGAAGCCAAGCCTGTCTAAATCCAGAGTTGACACACTTTCCAATTAATTGTAGTACTCCTTGAACATATGAAAACAAATAAGGAAGTTTCAAACTTGAAAAACACGTCAACTATCTGGTTTTTCTAAAAAATACATCAAGTCTACAATGGTGACTCTGGATTTACAGATAACTGCCTGTCTTAAAATCCCAGTGAAACTCCCTCCTTGAATGGAAAAGAATAGACTGATGTAAAAAAAAAAAATAGTAAAATAGATGATACGATCTCTGAAACTTTAAAAACTTCACACTATTCCTTAAATTTTGATTAAATCAGAGATATATCAATCAATTACATTTAGCACATTTAGTTTCTATTCAGAAATCTCACCATCTCCACCCTTGATTACAGATCCTTTCCCTCTCTCTCTTGAAGCTGAGAGGTCACAGTTACAATTCATTAGTAATACTTAGGGCTTTGAGATGAGTTCTCAGACTACCATAGTTCTATTACAGTGAGCAGTAATAGGAATCAGGCATCTCTTCACACACAAAAAAGTCATTTCCGATAACAATCAAAGCCACAACAAAAAACCCTCTTCTAACATCCTATGCCATTATAATAGCTGTCTTTGACAACTAAATACCAAGTAATCAAAACAAATGTTAATTAGCACCCATCATTTACAATTCATAGAGACAGGCCATCATCCATTAATTATCAGACCAATAACAGAGTATTGATCACAATTTGTCAACTTGCAAATAACTGAAACCAGTAAAAGAAGAAAAGAATCTTTCAATAAACAACAGGCTTTCATTTCATAAACATTTAACCAGCTCTTTTATTGTACATTACTCCTCTCATCAATAAATGCTTTTCATATAATTGTCTGTCTCTTGATTGTGCTGGCTTTTTAAAACAAAAATTACGTGGTTTAGTGAGAAGATATGAGGCACATATATCATTTTGGCAGCCAATATCAAGTCATGATGGAATTAAGAGTCAATACCTTGCAGAAGTCATAAAATTAGCGCTTCCAGCCTAGGTGCCTTACCTTAAAATACCATTAGTTCACTTGCAGTTCTCATCCATTTAAAAAACATTTACTGAGTATCTATGTGTGCCTTTTAAATACGGATTTAATTATCCAGATATTTGATTTGTGTTCTAAATCTTTTTTTTTTTTTTTTTTTTTTTTTTTTTTTAGATGGAGTCTCGCTCTGCCGCCCAGGCTGGAGTGCAGTGGCACGATCTCGGCTGACTGCAAGCTCCACCTCCCGGGTTCACGCCATTCTCCTGCCTCAGCCTCCCGAGTAGCTGGGACTACAGACACCCAACACGCCCGGATTATTTTTTGTATTTTTAGTAGAGACGGGGTTTCACAGTGTTAGTCAGGATGGTCTCAATCTTCTGACCTCGTGATCCGCCCGCCTCGGTCTCCCAGAATGCTGGGATTACAGGCGTGAGCCACCACGCCCGGTCTGGGTCTCTAAATCTTAATAGTGAATGCAAGGATACATAAAGCAGACATCTTCACAGAAAGAGGCAAAAACACACTATCTGCTTTGTCTTAGATCCCTGAGTCAATGTAAAGTCAGTTTTCAATCTAAAGAAAAAACAACAGACTTTACAGGAATCTGAATGAAACACAGACCTTAAAATATGATCCTTCCTCACTAATCATTTCTTCCAGAACCTTCATAATGATTTTACAAAGAAATGCAACACATAAAAACTAAAACCACTTAAGGGATGGAATTATGACCAAATCCACTCTTACATAAATAAGCTATCATGATGCTTAATAGAGTTCTCCAATTATCCCAACATAAACATTTTATGTCATAAGGAAAAACTTATCTTATAGGGAAAAATAACAAAAGTTTTAGTTGTGAATATGAGTTAAGATAAAATGGAAAGGCCTAATTTTTCCTTATTTCGGATCCTGTCCATTTTGGACAGAGAAAACAGGACAGGATTAGTTCCAATTTTGAGGAACTGGAAATTGACTCAACTCATAGTTAACACTGTCCGAGGGAATGGCGCTTTTCCAGCTGCAGGGACAGGCCAAGTGTTTTAACTCTGCAAAAATCTCAGCGGCTTACCTTAAAACTGGCTTTAAAACAGCTTTTCTGTGATAACCATATGTGCCCATTTTCTGCCTGAAGAATTTCCATAATTTTAAATCCTAGAAAACATGAATCACAGCGGGGATTCAGATATAACATTTAGTATAGCAATTCTTGGATAAGGGAGGAGAGAATAAAGTAATTATAATGGTTATCAAAGTTCTACCTGGAGAATTGGATGGCTAAATGGATTACCCCTTGACTTTTCACTCCTGAGACTACAGTTGGATTCAAGTCCTGACTGGAGTGACTAAAAAATCATTCTGACCACTGATGTGAGAAAGGCCTGAAGTGAAATTAGAATGGTGGTCTCAGTCCAGTTGTTTCAATGCCGTTATTTCCAAATCCCCAAACCACAGCAAACCTGTACTCCGTGCAGAAAACGCACACAAAACCCACACTTCCAGGAAAGAAAAAGGTAAAAGAACCAAAAACTGCTATTAATAAACTATAAATCACACAAATACACTACCCAAGTAAAATCCTGTTACTAAACAAACATTACATTGGAAAAAAGAAGAAACCTGGCTGTTTAATCCTTGGCATCCCTTCAAACTTGATGCTGTTCAATTATTAATGCTTTTGTTATGACCTACTTTGTGCTAATCCAGGAAAAAGGTAAACTTGCTCAGGTATTTAAATAAAAATATTGTCATTTTCAAGTGAATTCGCTTCAAGTATAAATGAAATAAAAGCTAGAAATGTCAAAATGTAGGCAGCCTGATAGACCTAACTAGGAATGAAATGGAATCAGTTGACACCCAACGAAATACACAAAAGCTTCCAGTAGTGCTCAGTCCCTTCTTAAATGAAGGAGTTAACAGACCTAGCATGTTTCAAGAAAAACAACCTGTTAAATTACAATTTACAACCAGTTCTGTGTATCATTTAGAGTGAATAATTCATTTGTGCCTTAAATTTTTTCTCTGTGTCTGATTTAAAACACTGCTTCTAACAACAGGTGCTTATCCCTGTAAATTACTCTTCTGATTCTGTTGGATAATGGCTGATTACAAGCACAGGAGAAGAGAAAGATGCTGGGGTGTTTATGTCAGAGCCAGCTATCCTCTAACAAGATTCCAAAAACAAATACCCTTGAACAAATAGTATTACACCAGGGAAAACAAGACCCATGCCATCAAAAATAAATCTGAAACTCAGCCAAATAACATCATATTCATTTTTCATAGTGGGTTACATGCAATGTTCCTGCCTCATCATTTCTAGCTGTATGAGCAGGCCAAGCTCTCACCTTGACATAATTCTTGTGTTTCCCATAGACTTACGTAAGAATTCAAGCTTTATATAAAGCAACAGCAATTAAACCAATAACTCCTATTTTCTGCAGATGATATTACTGGCTTCCCTATTTCAACTTCCATATTTGATTTAATTAAATTAGAGAATTATTAGCAAACCTAAAACACTAAATCATAGCAGTAATATACGAGAGAAATTGCAAAACTAGTTGGCATGCCCTGTATATGAGGAAGATTTTCAAGTATTGCTCCTTTCAAGACGCTTGATTAGGAGGCTATGATTGCAATCACTAATTCTTTTCTCAAGGGTCACGCAATTGTTCAGAAGGCCTAGAAATTGTAATTACAAAGCAAAATGAGGGATGCTGGCTGGCTGATGGTCCTTTTTCTGAAATCCAATCCTCTTTTAAAGTACACTGCATTCCAATAATTGCTTTTCATCAGTCCTCCATTTAATAGTAATATTTTATGATTTTGCATTTTCATTGAAAACTCCCATTAGTCCACAAATCATTTAGTTGTGTGAGTTTTCCAGTCATCAAAAGCCTTGTTTTCTACTTCCAAACCTCAGAATTTCTACAATTTTAGAAATAGTGTAGTCAATCTGTTTCCTTGGCAGCCACATTTACTTATAAGTGCACAGGTCTTGCCCCTTAACATGCTGCTGACACAATTCCTCACCTTTGACAGACCTTTGCTCCACAAATACAGAAAGTGAATGAATGACAAGCCACTCTAAATTCTGTTGGTTGCTTTACTATTGGAGCTAAAAAGTGATGACTAAAAGAATGGAAGGAAGGAAGGAAAGAAGGAAGGAAGGAAAGGAGGGAGGGAGGGAGGGAGGGTTGCATTCAGGATTTTTTTTTTTTTTTTTTTGTAGTGGCCAGAGAGAAAAGAGAGGGTAAAGTGTTAACAGTAATTTTAAACGTAGATTATTCACTGGGAAACTAAATAATGGAGAGTTTAGGGAGACAGAGGGTACAGAGTACAGAGAATATACAATAAAGGAAATAGATTTTCAAAGTTCATGGCTGTGCATTGTTTTCCATAGCTACTAAAAGAAAATTAAGTCAGTTTTCTCCATCACAGCAGCCCATGAGCATTCCTCTCTGAGTTAACAGGTTATAAAGAATACAGAAGCATTTCTATATATATTAACCTTCCAAGACTTTCTCTGCATTCTATGTTCTTCTGACTGACCTATGTTTCAGCCCTGGATATGGGCTATGCTGTTATGCAGCATCACTCACCTGTGACACTGTCATCATAAAAACATCACTTTAAACCTAGACTTCAAATGGGGAGATGGTGGAGCTTGGGCACTGGTGTGAAATGTCTGGGCTCGGACCTGGTTCCATTGCTTGTCAGCTGTGTGATGGAGAACAAATCACTTGTCCTTTCTTGTGTCTCAGTTTCTTCATCTATAAAATGGGAATAATAATAACATCTCCCTCATAAGGTGGTGGTGAAGACTGAGTTACTTAAGTGCTTAGAAGAGCCACGCCTGCTACTTAGTACAGGCTCAATATTTACCTATTATTGTCATGGTTACTATTCCTCTAAACAGACAATTTTTGCTCCTCTCATATTCTCTTGAGTCTACTCTGACCAGGCTTCCAACACCACCTCCATTAAAACTGCTCTTATCAGTCACCAGTGGTCCACACACTGCCAGCACCAATGGTCAACTCAGAGTTCTCATTTATGTGCCAAAACACAGAACACTGTAGTCACTCCCCTTCCTTAAAACTCCTGGTTGTCTCTGCTTTCTCCTTTCTCTGTCCCCTCTTTTTGGTTCTCTCCCATCTAACATTGGAATGTCTTAGGGCTCAGTTCTCGGACCTTGTCTATTGTCTATATATGCTTATCCTAGGTAATCTCATCTCATGGCTTTAAATATCATCAACATGCCCACATCTCCTAGATTGTTCTTCTGAAGTCCAAAGTTAGACATCCCAAATGCAAGCTACCCCAAACTGAACTCCTGATAATCTTCCCCAAACCTGCTCCTCTGGAAATGGCATCCTTTGTCCTTGCAGTTTTAGGACAAAAACCTTGGGGTATCTTGATTTCTCTTATTTGGCTCAACCTTCAAAAATATCCAGAATCCAAGTACTTACAGCTTATCTTACTGGACCAAGCCTCTTCTGTTTGTTGTTGAGGTTATTGTAGGCACCCCCATACTGTTCTCCCCACTTTTATCCTTGTCCCTCTTTAGTCTGTGTTTAGTCCCTCAACACATCAGTCAAAGTGATCCCATTAATGTAAGTCAGGGAATTTCATATCTTTGCTCAAAATCTTCTGATGTCTTCCAATTTCAACAAGAGTGAAAGCCAAAGGCATGCCCCCAAGGCTCTTTCCCGAAATCATCATCTTTCTCTCCCTCTCTTTCACTCTGCTGTAGCCCTACCCATTTCCTTTTCTTTTTTTCTTTTCTTTTTTTTTTTTTTTTTTGAGACAGAGTCACCCAGGCTGGAGTACAATGGCATGATCTTGGCTCACTGCAACATCCACCTCCCGGGTTCAAGCAATTCTTCTGCCTCAGCCTCCCGAGTAGCTGGGATTACAGGCACACGCCATCACACCTGGCTAATTTCTGTATTTTTAGTAGAGACAGGGTTTCACCATGTTGGCCAGGTGGGTCTTGAACTCCTGACCTCAGGTGATCCACCTGCCTCAGCCTCCCAAAGTGCTGGGATTACAGGCATGAGTCGCCACGCCCAGCCTCCTTGCTGTTTCTTGAACACATCAGGCACATCACCTCTCAGAACCTTTGCCACTGCCTAAAATGTTCTCCCAGCTTTCCACATGGTTCATAATTTCACTTCCTTTAGATCTTTACTCACATTCGCCTTCTCTTTGAGTCCTCCCTTGGCGGCTCCATCTAAAATCATAGCCCTTTCTTGTCACTGCTTTCTTCTTTTCCTACTTTTCATTCCTTAGCACCTATTACCACCTAAAATACATCATATTTTGTTGTTCTTTGTTTCTTGTCCAGATTTCGAGATTCATAAAGAGAGAAATTTTGCCTGTTTTGTTCATCATTGAATCTCCAGCACCTGTAACAATTCCTGGCATACAGTGGGCAGCCAATGAATGTGTTGGAAATAAATAAATTCCTCCATTGGGGCACTTTTTAATATTTTGCAAGGTCAATCTTGTCTTAGACAGTAGTGAAAATAGTTAAGGGAAACACTGGCTTTTGTTACGGGCTGAATTGTGTCACCTCGAAATTCATATGTTGAGTCCTAGCCCCAAATGTGACTTTATTTGGAAATGGGACCTTTAAGGAGGTAATTAACGCTAAGTGAGGTCCTATGGGTGGGGCCCTAATCCAATATGACTGGTGTCCTTATAAGAAGAGGAAAAGACACAAGGAATGTTTGCATACAGAGCAAAGGCCATGTGAGGACACAGCAAGAGGGCTGCCGTCAGCAAGCCAAGGACAAAGGCCTCAGGAGAAACCAACCCTGCTGGCACCATGATCTCTGACTTCCCACCTCCAGAACTGCGAACAAATAAACTTCTGTGTTTTAGTCCACCCAGTTTGTAGCATATTGTTATTGCAACCCAGCAGAAGAATACAGCCTTGCACAATCATTTTTTTAAAGAACACTTTTATCATATTTATTTCAAAATTAAATAGATACAGAAGCCACACAGAACTGCATAAAGAGTTTATTATAAAGCTAATACTTTGTAACCATCATGCAGAAAAACAGAACTTTTGCTACAATCCTTTTACAGAAATCACTTCCTTGTGTTTTAGAGTTTTATATAGAAAAACTCCTGGACACTTCAGTTTAGACTGGCCTATTTTTTAAAATTTGATGTGTTAAGTCTCCTTTTATCTACAACTCCCTCTATTGCTTTCTTTTCTTTCGTTTGTCTATTGAAGAACCTGGGTCATTTGTCCTGTAGAGTGTTTCCCAGGTTGCACACTCAGCCCGCGGTTCTATGTTCCTCTGAATTTTCTGCAAATTGGCAATGGGATCCAGAGGCTTGATCAGACTCAGGTCTAATCCCTTTGGCCAGAATGTAGGTTTTTGCTGTGCTTCATTCCTCAGGAGACAAATGATAACTGGTTTGTTTGTTTGTTTGTTTCTTCTTTGAGAGGGAGTCTTGTTCTGTCACCCAGGCTGGAGTGCAGTGGTGTGATCTCAGCTCACCGAAACCTCCACCTACTAGGCTCAAGCAATTCTCGTGCCTCAGCCTCCCGAAGAGCTGGGATTACACGCATACAAGACCGTGTCTGGCTGATTTTTTGTAGAGACAGGATTTCACCATATTGGCCAGGCTGGTCTCAAACTCCTGACCTCAAGCAATTTGCCCACCTCGTTCTCCCAAAGTGCTGGGATTACAGGTGTGAGCCGCTGGGCCCAGCCTGGTTATCTCTGTTTTTGTGATGTTAGCACTCTGGATACTCAGTACTAGACCTACTAACTCATCAGAATTACAAAACAGTGATACTAAAATTTTATCATTTAATTTTCATTTACTGATTGGAATACTTTCATAAAGAGGCAATCACCCTCCTCTACTAGGTGATTACCCCTGGTGCAGTCTGTACAGAAAAGGTAAGAGAAATGCTAGATTCTGTACTTCTATTTAACCAGTTTTCAAAATAATGCATTGATTCCCTATTATATGTTGAATGTGGTCAATTAGTTTGTTATTTAATCATTGACTACTCTGGGACAAAAAGGTAGTATCATTTTAAGTTTATTGCTGTCTGATGCTTTTAGGCACCCAACATACATGACTCCCGCCATTAGCTGAAGTAACCAACAGAGGATAATTGTTGTTTTCACCTTGGGACTCTGGTGGGTCTTCAGCAGACCAATCTGGGGAAAAAAAAAAAAAGCCAGATGCCTAAGTCTCTAGTGGCCTGTTGTTGAAAATCATCTAGGAAGAAATGACTTTCTCTACTGAGGTTCTAAAGATACACCAGGAAACCATGTTTACTCTCCACATTCATTGGCTAATAACTTACTGAGTGCCTCCCTTGTGCTGAACCCTGAAAAAAACGAAGAATAAGGCAATACAATTGCTCCTAGGAACCTACAAATTTAGTGGGAAAACACTACCAGACAATTAGCTTCAATGCCATGTGGTAAGGGCTATGACCCAGGTACATTCAAAACATTATACAGGCAACTAGAAAGGGCACCCTTCTTAGAGCATATAGGGATATAAGAAAGACTCCTTGGAGGAGGAAACGTTGCTGCTCCTGGCTTTGAGGAATGCATAGGAGTTTGTCAAGCAAATTGGGCCAGCAAAGGCATTCTGGACAGAGGGAACAGTTTGTGCAACTGCATGATCTGTTCAGGAAATGGAAATGATTCCCTGTGGTTGGAACACAGTATGTGTAAGGGCAAGTGGAGAGAAATAAAACTTAATTGGTAGGCAGGGGACAGGTTATGGGGGACACAGGATACTCCATTAAGGACTTTGTATTTGGGCCTGAAAGTTAAAAGGCTTTCAGCAAGGGCATGACATGATCCATTCTGAATTTTAGAAATGCTAGTTTTTAGTTATGTCAAGGAAAGTCTGCAGAGAGGTGAGGCTGGAATTATGGAGGCCAACTGAGAGGCTACTAGCAAAGTCTAAGTGAAAGGAAATGACAGAAGAAGTAAGGCAGATCTGAAAATTAATTATAAATATGAAATAATAGCATGGAGCTGTTATACAGCGATTATAACAAGCCAGGTGCTGCCGTAAGCCCTCCGCCCACCTCTTTCTTGGAATCCTTATGATGACTTTATGTCACATGTACTGCTATTATCCCATTTTATAGGTGAAGGTTCTTGGGAAGGAGAGGTTAGGTCATGCACCAAAGATAAGCTCTAGCCACAGTAGAGTTAACATTCAAATCCAGAGTATTGAGCCACAAAGTCCTTGCTCTTAACCCCCACACCCTATAAAAGTAGGAGATGACTAAAGTCAAACAACAGCTTTGCAAAATGTGAGGGCCGGGGCCTGGGCCTGGACCTGGGCCTGGGCCTGGGCCCCAGGCAGGCCTGGCATACAGACTGCCTCTGAAACCTCATCTGAAATGGAGCATGACTTGATCTTCCTGGGTCTCCGTATAAGCAACTATAAAATCTTTACAAGTCTGAAAACTGCTTTTTTGCAGGATTATCATAAGGAATAAAATAATATACGTAAATTGCATGTACAATGTCTGGTGCAAAGAAAGCATTTATTATTACTGTGGTTATTCAAAAATATTCCCTATATTCTCCATGTAAGTGATATTTACCAAGGCAAGAAAAAATGGATGCAGAAGTAAGGAGGAACGGGGGTGGGTGGTAGTTAGGGGACAGAAGATAATTTCAGATAATTTTCCATTTGTGAACAGCCTCATTGAAGCAGAAACCAAATTCTCTTTTATTTCTTGCAGTTTCTAGCAATAGTAGTTTCTCAAATATGTGTTGTAGGGTTGTAAATTTAACTCATAATGCCATACTAATATTCAGAGGAAAAGAAGTAATTTCGTTATTTTATCTACAGCTAATCTGTTTGCCTCACAAGCTCTGCTCAATGGGTTAATGGTGGAAAACATTTTATATTCCTATCCAGTTTAAAGCTTAGTCTGATCCAACAGTGTTAATAGCCCCTTCAGGTAATGCTGAATCTCCTTTTTAAAAAATAGTAATCTCAGTCTCTCCCATCATTTCTCCTTTTGTCCTGCCACTCTTTTTTCTCTTCCTAAAATAGTAACCAGATGTATGCCTCAAGTCAGGATAAACTCACTTCAACATAATATTCCCAGGAAGCAGGCAATGAGACAACAGCCACTTCAATATTCTATAAAGTTCTCCTTTTAAAGACAGGTAAGGCTGGGTACAGTGGCTCATGCCTGTAATCCCAGAACTTTGGGAGGCCAAGGCGGGTGGATCACCTGAGGTCAGGAGTTCGAGACCAGCCTGGCCAACACGGTGAAATCCTGTTTCTACTAAAAATACAAAAATTAGCTGGGCATGGTGGTGGGCACCTGTAATCCCAGCTACTTGGGAGGCTGAGGCAGAAGAATTGCTTGAACCCAGGAAGCAGAGGTTGCAGCGAGCTGAGATTGAGCCACTGTACTATAACCTGGGTGACAGAGCTAGACTCGGTCTCAAAAAAAAAAAAAAAAAAAGCCAGGTCAGTCCAGGCCCTGCTGAGGCTAGTCCACCCCCCACAAGATTTGTGGATGAATTCACTCCTCCTCCGCTGCCTGCTTGGTCCATGTCTACTTTGTGTGTTGGGATAACAACCATCAATCAGCTAGTCTGCATTGGGCCTTCAAGGCCAGACAAGAACTAAAGATCTCCCCCAACTGATTAAAAACGTACTCCTTATTAAAGTTCAGATGATACGGATATTATATATTGCAAAAGCTGCATTTGAAAGTATATCAAACCTAGTTATATGAAATTTGTCATAAAAACTTGGAAATCATTTACGTATGAGACAAAGAAGAATAAAACCTCGGGATGGAAAATAAATAGGGATCAAGTTTATGCCTATCAACAAAAAATATGACTGGTTTTGAAGGTTCTGACACTAGTTGTAGATGCAACAAAATCTGCAATAAACTCATACATTAGCTAGTTTTTTTTTGTTTTTTTGAGGCAGAGCTACCTGCATGTTTGTCTGAAATTAGCAGTAAACTTTAAATCACCAAACTCTTAGGTTTGGGTATGACATTTATAGGATATGAGAAGTCTTTAAGAAACACTTTATTTCTAATTCAATATCTTGCTTGGTAGTTTCATCTTTTGAAGATGAAAATTGATTTTTTTTCAACACTGCAAATAGGCTGTTCCCTTCCCCCATCTCCATCATGAGCCAGAAACACCAGCAGGACAATATGCAAAGCCCCGTGAGCAGCCTCACGGCTCACTACTCCAGCAGGATCTCCACAGGGGGCCAGGATAAGGTGACTTTTTCAGTTGCACATTTTAAAAGAATTTTCTTCTTTTTAATATTGGCAAGAAAGATAGTTCAATAGTACTTCTGTCATAAGCTGTCATAGTTATTTTATCTGAATTTTTGTTTCAGGCAACAAGTAAAAAGAATCAGCTCAGATTTGCCTTAAAAATGACCCAATATGTTTATTTGTGACAGGTTAATTTCTTAGGATGACTGAAGGATTAAAAATAATTGGATAAAGCTTAAAATTTGCTGCCATTTAATTTCTGAGCTCTGAAAAAAAATAAAGTTAAGCCAAGAGAATAAAAAGTATTTTTCTAGCCAGGTGTGGTGGCAGGCGCCTGTAGTCCCAGCTACTCAGGAGGCTGAAGGGGGAGAATCGCTTGAACCGTTGAGGAGGAGGTTGCAGTGAGCTGAGATTGTGCCACTGCACTCCAGCCTGGGTGACAGAGTGAGACTCTGTTTCAAAAAATATATATATTTTTTTCATGTACAATTTTACTCTCATTAGAAGAACTGATGAGAAATGTTAAAGAAAAATGTTGAATTATTTCCCTGCAATGTGATTGTGGATTTTTTGCATGAGGATAAATGTGGCTCAATACAATTGAAGAAGTATCTCCTATATCCCAGCCTTCTGCTGGGCCCTGGGGCAGTTAGTGATTATACTTAAGGAGTTCCACTTCCACTTGATATGTAGAAAGCCACAAAAGAATATTACTCTCACCTTAACCATAAAAAGAGGCAGATAACCTACAAAATTATACATTTTCTGGAGTCCATCAGAGAGCCAAAGTCCCAAGGCAACCAAGTGAGTTGAATTCCAAAGACAGCAGTTCCCTCCAAGGAAAGATGGGCTACATAAACTGTTCTGCTGTTGGCAGGATATGGGGAAACTTGGTAATAAGAAAGTGGCTTATGTTTTATGAATTCTTAAAGACTGAGTGTGTGTTAGCATCACAATTAAAAAAAATCAGGAGCCCCAGACATGAGGAGGATTCACACACACCTGCAACTCTCTACTGCATGATTATGAACAAGATTGAGGGCCAGGGAGAAGTCTGGGGGCAATAGCACAACCATGCAGGAGGTAACTGGCTGCCACTTGAGTCAATGCAGCAGCTCCTCCTCTTCCCCAGATGCTTCTTGTATGTGAAGAAAAAGCCTTAAGCTGCTAGGGGAAGGGTAGGCAATCCTCCTGTTCCATGGCAGAGCCAAAGATCCAATGATTTTGGGGGAAGAATAAAAGCAAAATTCCTGTCATGTGTGGAGGGGTGTAGGAAATGCTCATGGACCTAAAATCCTGCACTGATACCAAAAAGACATCTGCTACTCCAAGACCACAAAACTCCTACCTGAGTTTTGGCTACCATGGTAAAGAGAAGGGGAAAAAGGAACAGAAATGGTGAGAAAGCCTTACCCTCAAGGTCCAGGCTCACAGGACCATCCTGAGACTGAGGATGGATCATGAGAACTGAGGAACTCCTCACACCACTGGCCCTAACATGGGCTGAGTACTTAGTAACAAGTGAAGGCAATCTATTGCTGGAAGAAGGGTAAGAATGGCTGCAGTGTGCAAGGGCTGCTGAAATATAAGGATGGAGTAGAAACACTAGGAAATAGCCTTCAGCTTCCCAGACCCACACTGAGCACAAGGTAAGAGTAGCCCACTGCTGGAAGAATTCGAAGTCCAAGAAACACAAAGATTAATTATAATAACAACAAAACCCAGGCCCAACATAACTACAGACTAGACTGAGTCAACCACCTACAATAATGGCCTCACAGAACAAGAAGTGTGTTCATTTCTAGGTGTTAATACTATTGAGTGCAGTCTCTTCTGTTATTTTATACACAGTGTCTGACATTCAATCAAAAATAACAAGGCACATAAAAAAAGCAAGAAAAAATATGACTAAACAAGCCTTTGTCTTCATTAAGTTCCTGCTTAGGGGAGAGGCCTATTAGCCAATAACTAAAATGGACTATAATAAAGAGCTGTATTAGGAATATTTCAAAGTGTATTAGAAATATTAAATATATAGGGAAATGAACAATCATTTCTGCCTAGGGAGAGGGGCCAGGGAAAGCAAATAAGAGACGTTAAATGAGAGTTTTCTATGAGGACAAATGGAAAAAGCATTTCAGTAGAGGAAATTGCTTGTGCAAAGTGTGGATGGATGACGAGGGCATAAAATATTGGCAAATACATGCTTAGGCCAATACAGCCTTAGGGGAAAAAACAGTTCTCTCAATTGTTTGGTGCTTTTTTCATGGTGTCTGTGAATGCGCATCTATATACAATGCTAATTATTCTTTGGGAAAAAAAAAACACAAATCGACTATATACTGGAATGAAGTGACCCCACTTACCTCTTGCATATCATTGAGCTCATTCATAAGCTGGTATTGGCAAGGTTGGGTTTTCTTGATACTGTGATTGCTGTCATTTAATTAAAAAGACACTCTTAAATGAAAATACCTGTAATAATTGAAGCTTACTGGGTATCCCAAGACACAATGTTGTAAAAATAGGCATATTGGCATAAATTTTCTGCATTTCTCTATTCACAGGAAATAATACCAAGCATATTTTTTTCTTTCTTTTATTAAAAAGTTGAATGAAGAGAACTATATGACTTGTAACACTTCTCATTAATCATAATTAGTTTCTGTATTGGAACATCATAAACATTCATATATGTTTTTTAATGGGATATAAAAATTATAACTTTATGGAAATAACCCAAAACAACATTAAACTATGAAAGCTTTGGATATAAACTATATTGAGGAAATGGTGCAATTGTATAAAACTTTCAACACAATTGGCTTAAATTGATTTTCATTATGAAATTTAAAGTCTTAGCAATGGCAACAAAAGCCAAACTTGACAAATGGGATCTAATTAAACTAAAGAGCTTCTGCACAGCAAAAGAAACTACCATCAGAGTAAACAGGCAACCTACAAAATGGGAGAAAATTTTCGCAACCTACTTATCTGACAAAGGGCTAATATCCAGAATCTACAATGAACTCAAACAAATTTACAAGAAAAAAACAAACAACCCCATCAAAAAGTGGGCAAAGGATATGAACAGACACTTCTCAAAAGAACACATTTATGCAGTCAAAAAACACATGAAAAAATGCTCACCATCACTGGCCATCAGAGAAATGCAAATTAAAACCACAATGAGATACCATCTCACACCAGTTAGAATGGCAATCATTAAAAAGTCAGGAAACAACAGGTGCTGGAGAGGATGTGGAGAAATAGGAATGCTTTTACACTGTTGGTGGGACTGTAAACTAGTTCAACCATTGTGGAAGTCAGTGTGGCGATTCCTCAGGGATCTAGAACTAGAAATACCATTTGACCCAGCCATCCCATTACTGGGTATATACCCAAAGGACTATAAATCATGCTGCTATAAAGACACATGCACACGTATGTTTATTGCCGCATTATTCACAATAGCAAAGACTTGGAACCAACCCAAATGTCCAACAATGATAGACTGGATTAAGAAAATGTGGCACATATACACCATGGAATACTATGCAGCCATAAAAAATGATGAGTTCATGTCCTTTGTAGGGACATGGATGAAATTGGAAATCATCATTCTCAGTAAACTATCACAAGAACAAAAAACCAAACGCCGCATATTCTCACTCATAGGTGGGAATTGAACAATGAGATCACATGGACACAGGAAGGGGAACATCACACTCTGGGGACTGTTGTGGGGTGGGGGGAGGGGGGAGGGATAGCATTGGGAGATATACCTAATGCTAGATGACGAGTTAGTGGGTGCAGCGCACCAGCATGGCACATGTATACATATGGAACTAACCTGCACATTGTGCACATGTACCCTAAAACTGAAAGTATAATAATAAAATAAAATATAGACTTTAAAAAAAAGAAATTTAAAGTCTTATATACAGTCAGTGTAGATTATATTTATAGGCTGCCACTGAGAAGTTCAGGAAGCTGCAAAAACACTATATAATCAATCTTTACTCCTCTCCTCATTTTTTCTGTGAGAAAGTTCTCCTTTGGTATCGTTTCTACACAAGGTAGAATAGAATATGTGGGTTCTACTGGAGCTGGGGGAGACCGTGGAAGGTTTTTTTTTTTTTGAGACAGAGTCTCGCTCTGTCGCCCAGGCTGGAGTGCAGTGGCGCTATCTCGGCTCACTGCAAGCTCCGCCTCCTGGGTTCCCGCCATTCTCCTGCCTCAGCCTCCCGAGTAGCTGGGACTACAGGAGCCCGCCATCGCGCCTGGCTAATTTTTTGTATTTTTTCAGTAGAGACGGGGTTTCACCATGTTAGCCAGGATGGTCTCGATCTCCTGACCTCGTGATCCGCCCGCCCTGGCCTCCCAAAGTGCTGGGATTACAGGCGTGGAGACCATGGAAGGTTTAAATCTCCATTGGTGTCACTGATCCTCTTTCCCCCTCTTACCTAGATAGGGAGGGACGAGACACTGCAGACACTGTACGTGCCTGGTGTTTATACAGTCATTGCAATTCTGCATTCCTTTATCTAGACCTGTGAAAGACTACATGGGATAAAACACAGCCAGAGCAATGAAGACTATAAGCACATCCATGTTTCTCAGATAGGCAGGTGTGCCCCAGAGGGTGTGCAAGAGTGTCAAGAGTTCAGGCATTAGGGATAAGCATGGAGCATCTTCCCGGATTATTCATTTCTCTCAAACTTTCTGTAGAAAACATTATTTTTTTGGTAATTAAACATAGTTATATGAAGGATTAGAATGCAAATTAGCATTAGAATAGTTTCAAGCTAAAACAATATTTTTTAGGTTTTTTAGCAAAAAATCTGTCTTCACCTTTGTCCCAAGATAATTTCCCAGATCCTCCCAGTTTTTCTGCTTATGCTCTCCCACGATTTACTGAGTATATTTGTACCTCTAATGAGACGTACCATAGTGGATATTGTATGAAATTCTGATACTTGCTGAGGTAAGTTAATATGTAAAGTGTAGAAATCTGGAGGGATAGCAGTAGCCAATAGGAGGCAGTTCAGTGATAGTCATGATATACTTCCTCAAGAGGTCACAAGGGTTAAGAAATGGGCTCAGCAAACAGAGCTACCAGGAACTACTCATCAAAGGAGATGATGAGGCTAGAATGTCTGCTGCGCCTTTGGTTTCTCTTGAGCCTAAGAGCCATAGGCCCTCAACAGAATGAATCAGATATCCCTTTCTCAATTTTCTAGGCTCAGCACCCCCATCTTTAAGATAGGCACTCCAGGGAAAAGCCCTAAACCCAGTTAAAACAGTAGCAAGAAAAAAAAGAAGTACTCATAAAATCTGCTTAAGCTACCTTGGAGCTCAGATATTCTGGTACCTGTTTCCTTGCTCTGGGTCCTGATGTGACTTTTTCCAGAGAAGTCAGCTTTCTGACTCTCTAGAATAGCTCTGGGAGCATCCCTTTGACATCACAGCACTGACTGCTCACTCCAACTGATACATGAAGCTGACACTCAGCAGCGTGGGATCCACCATAGCATCTGCTGAGCAGCAAAAGTCATTGGTATCTGGCTGGTTGTTTCCACAAGAGAATTTACATTGTTAAAAGAGACACTTCGGCCGGGCGCGGTGGCTCACGCCTGTAATCCCAGCACTTTGGGAGGCTGAGGCAGGCGGATCACCAGAGGTCAGGAGTTCGAGACCAGCCTGACCAACATGGTGAAACCCCATCTCTACTAAAAATACAAAAATTAGCCAGGGGTGGTGGCACATGCCTGTAGTCTCAGCTACTTGGGAGGCTGAGGCGTGAGAATCACTTGAACCTGGGAGGGGGAGGCTGCAGTGAGCCAAGATTGTGCCACTGTACTTTAGCCTTGGCAACAGAGCAAGACTTTGCCTCCAAAAAAAAGAAAAAAAACGAGAAAGAGCCACTTCCAACAACATTACATAAAGGCCACACTGTCCAGCACCAATGCCACACCAAAACCTGGTTAAACCATCAATTCCTTGAAGTTTCTATATGTCTTTGGATTTACTTTGCTTAACCCAATAGAGCTCTATTCTTTTTCTACTTCAGTAAATTGTGGAAAATTTTAAACCTTGAAATAAAAATTCATGAGGTGGTAAAGATAAATAACCACTCATTCTGCTAAGGACACACTTCGGCAGCTTTCCCGTTCTTCCTCCTAACTTTCTTCCCTCTAGTTCAGCAAACTAGAAAACCATGGTAAGAATTCCTTCTACTGTAAAGGAGCCTTTGGAGACATCCGCATTCTCCAGGTGCAATGTGTGATTTAGGCGGTTTTTCCATGCACACTCGGTGGGGGATGTGCACCAGTCACTGCATCTGCTCCTCAATGCTCAGCTTAGTAGACAATAAATACACCACTCTTCAGAAAATTACCTCTTCCAATGTACTAAACGATACCCTGGTGCCCTGTAAGAGCTGATTTCCATCACTGTAAAAATTAATTCACCTCATATAGTACGCAGTCTACTTCTTGAAAGTAATTTTGTTATAGGATCAAAGCCAATACTTTTCAAAAAGGGGAAATTTCTCTTGTGAATGATACCACAAATGGAAATCTTGAAGCAAGAACATTTATTGCTTTTACTCCAGATACTACTTAGAAAATCCCAGTTTTAATTTCATATCTTCCAACATTCTACAAAAAGGAAACAATGTGAATATCTTGTTGGTGGCATATCAGAAGGCAGTTTTTTTGTTTTGTTTTGTTTTGTTTTGTTTTGTGTTTTTGAGACAGAGTTTTGCTCTGTCACCCAGGCTGGAGTGCAGTGGTGCAATCTCGGCTCACTGCATCACTGCAACCTCCACCTCCCAGGTTCAAGTAATTCTTCCTGCCTCAGCCTCCCAAGTAGCTGGGACTACAGGTGCCCACCACCTGTAGTTTTTGTATTTTTTAGTAGAAACAGGGTTTCGCCATGTTGGCCAAGCTGGTCTTGCGGAAGACAGTTTTAAAATTCATTGTAGATAATTTTATTTTTCATGTACAAACCAGCACAGATGGAAGGTGAAGGAGAATGGACACGCGGGGTCCTTCCCTTGTTCTGACAGAGTGATTCCTGAGCAAAAATATCTGGAAAACCATTGAGCCAGTTAGAAAGGCAGATAACCTGAGACTTGGGCAGAGTCCGTCCATTCCTCACTGCACTGCCTAATAGCCACTTCACCTTAGTGTCAGAGAAGAGCTTAGCTGGATTTTACGGATCCATGAAAAATCAGAACTGTCCAACTAGGAGAGGATACAATCTGGGAAATGAATATGCCCCCTGGAGTCTCATGAACACCAGTAGAAAAGACCAGTTGTCCATTTTGGAAAGAAATTAAACAACACATACATTTCAAGCTCTGAAAGGGATATTCATTCACTCATTCATTCTTTAATTCACCAACAGTTGTTGAGCATCTACTTTAGCCTAGGTACTGTATAGGCTATGAGGACATAGAGGTGAGTGAGACAGAGACATTTAGCAAGGTGGATCATGCAAAACCTTCAGATGAAAAATTTGGATTTTAGCTAAGTGCAGTGGAAGTCACTGGAGGTTTTAGACAAAGGAGTAATGTGATATGGTTTACATTTTAAATTATGGAGAGATGTATGGAGAATAGGCTGGAAGGAGTGAGGTGGAGCTGAGTAAGAACGTGTCATAAGTCAATCAGTTCAGCTGTACGAAGAGACATCGTAGTCACAGGTGGTGTCAAGATTCAAGTAAAGTTTAATGGGAAGAGATAATTTCCCCTTTTTCCTTGAAAACTCAGAACTTGACTTTCTCTTTCTTCCTCCTTTCCTCTCTTCTGCCTATTTTCAAAATAGAAGTATCTTTAGTTTAATGCAATAAAAGCTGCAAAAATGTGCCAGCAATGGCAGCAGTGACCCATCTAGAGTGGCTGCTGCCATGATGCTGGCTGCACTGTGGGAGGTGTAGCTGGGGCTGGGTGCTCCACAGAGCCGACAGGAGCCGGAAACAGGTGGAAGCCCCACCTCCTTATGAGTTGGCAGGGCAGGAGCTTCACATTCCCTGGGTGCAGCTGTGGCTGCCCAGCCGTGTCTGCAGACCTGGGCATCCCTGTGCTCTTGGGGGCCAGGAACAGGCAGGAGTCCCGCCTTCCCAGGCACAGCTGCAGTTGCCAAGCCACAGCTGTGGACCCAGGCATCTCTGCACTCTCAGGGGCCTGGGAAGGAACCCCTACCCTTGCAGGCTCAGAAGTGTCTGCTCCCACTGCCTGGCCTCTCCCTGCTCCTAGCACCCACTCTGATCTCGGAGCAAGGTTGGGGCTGAGCCAGGCACTGTTGCAGCCCAGCCAGATGTGTGCACACCCAGAGCAGCACTGATGCACCAGTCCCTTGCCACTTCAGCCCCCTCTGGACTTTGGGGGGTGACGAGCACAGGAAGGAGGCCGAGGTGGTGCTAAGGGCAACCCATGCTGGCCTGCAGGCACCCTTTGACAGGAACAGCATAGGTGCCATGAATGGCGGCAGGAGGCAGACAGGCTCCTGGGAGTGGAAGGGGGCAGGTCCTTGATGAAGCTCTGCTTCAAGCCCTGGAAAGCCTGAAAGCCTAAGGGGAGGGATGCCAGTCCCATGGACCAGAGTGGGAACTTATGGTGCTTTTTCCAGGCCTACTCATGGCCACCCATGGACCAATCAGCACGTACTTCTTCCCCTCTGAAGCCAATAAAAGCCCTGAACTCAGCCAGACTCCAGGAGAGGAGGAGAGATGGATGACCAGCTGTGGAGAGGAGCTACCCACTCCAGGTTCTCCTCTGCTGAAAGCTGGACATTCATCAGGACACCCCACCTGCAGAAAGGACCTATCCACTGTGGGTCTCCTCTGAGCTGTTCTGTTGCTCAGTAAAGCTCCTCATCATCTTACTCACTCTCCACTTATCCACATACTTCATTCTTCCTGGACGCAGGACGAGAACTTGGGACCTGCCAAATGGCAGGGCTAAAAGAGCTGTAACACAAGTAGGGCTGAAACATGCCCCTTGCTCGCCTCAATGTGGGTGACAAGAAGGAGAGGGGAGAAGAGCTGCAGCCCTTTGGGGAACCCAGACCTAGGAGCTCCCTGAACAAGGCAGCTCCTGTGACAACCTCTCTGGGGCTCTGTGGTTCCTGGCATCTCCAAGCTTCCAGGCACCACCACATTCCCCAGTGCCAGCTGTGGAAGCTGCTTGCAGTACACCTGGTCCAACCTCAGCCTCAGAGGGAGCCGGCACCCATGCTGGTGCCTGGAGTTGCCTGCCCTGCTGCATCCACCAGTGTGCCTGGCTGTGCACAGTGTTTGGAGCCCATGCTCACTCTCAAACTCCTCACTGCTCTGCGCCTGGCTCACTCTTGGCGGGCATGAGATTTGGGCCAATAGCACGAGCTGAGAGAAGCCTGCCAAGCCAAGAGGGTGGAACAAGCCCAGCAGGCCTGAGTAAAAACTTGGGCAAAGGCACCACTAGCCACAGAACTTTCCAGCTAGAAAAGAAACACCCTAAAGATCCCGTGACACCACTGCAGGAAAGAGTGTAAAACTCTACCCTTTCCTGTAACCTCATGCCAAGAAGATAACCATCATTTACAGTTTCATGTATATATGCCCATATTTTCCCTATGAACATGTAAGCAAATATATGTATTAATAATAGTAATTTGGTAAACAATCATCAGGATTAATAACTAAATTTGAAATGGCTAAGTAATGACCCACAATACAAAAATAATTCAGAAATGGATGGATAAGGAGGAAAACATTCACAGATTGCGTTACTCAAAGTATGGCCCCAAGACCACCTAAGTCATTCGTTTTTTTGGCATTCCTACTCAGTGTCCAAGAATAGAGTCCAGGAATCTGTATTATAACAAGCTGTCCAGATGATTCCAATGCACACTAAATTTGAGAATCACTGATTCAAAGTATATAATTTTTGTCTTAATTAAACAGTGAATAACAATTACACATAGACAAAACCAAAACACCTTTAACTTATCTTTCAATCATAAGAAAATTGGATTATCTTTTCCTAACCATTTAGTCTCTAATATATGTTTAGAAACAGAAAAGCAATTGTCCCCCTCCCCTCTTCCAGGTAGAAGGACCTCAATATATAAGTCAACACCATGCTCATCACTCACTCCTCCATAGAAGGAGGAGAAACTTAACTGACTGACAACTGTGGAGAAGAAGCAGGACGTGCTTCTCCAGCCCCTTCTGGAACTCTCTTTGGGATGCCTTCCCACAGAGTGCATGATTTTCTTCCAATTTCTGCCAGACCATAGACTTAAGAGATACAGCTCATGACTAAGTCAGAAAGTCTATTTGGAAGCCCAGTGTTGCCAGCCAGGCAGTTCACATCCTCCAGTTTACTCTTCAGTAATAAAAAAGCAGACCAAAATACCTACCTCTGTCTGACTTCCATATCTGTCAATTGGCTCCTAGTGAGGTGGGAGGGGGCCTATTTAGTATCGTCACTGAACTTCACTCAACACAATCTCAGTGGGCGAAGGTGCCCATTATTTTCATAACCATTTAATATAAACTTTATGTTCTTTTAGGGCTGTTTTATTTTACTGTTAAGTGGAGTCAGTTAATTCCACAAATGCACAGAAGTAAAAATACAGACCTGTTTTGAGAAGAAGTTCTAAAAACACATCTCAATACATATTTCTTCATAATTTATAGGAAGGGAGGGATGAGGAAGGGACAAGAGGAGAGGAAAGAACAGAAGAGGAAGGAGATGAAAGGGGAGGCAAGGGAAGAGTAAGGGAGGAGAGAAGAGGGGAAAACTGACTACAGCTTACCCTTGTCTCACCCTTTTCTTTGTCATACATACTACTTTTGCTTGGAAAGATAAAGAAATAGCACTGAATTTGGGTGACAGTTCTGTTCAGCTTCTACCCCATACTCTGTGTACAAGCCACCAAATATTATATCACCCTTGGGCCCTAGTTTCCCCCAAACACTCTTGGATAGACACTATGATCTCTTCTACCATTTAACTTTTTCCTGCTCCTACAGCTTATGCATGAGATTTCATGATACAGGGTCATTCCCTTTCCAGATGATGTTGGCTGACCCAGCTCTGCTGCCGCTTGCTTGCAATTCTCAGGCAGAATTTACCAAGAATGCAACATCCTAAGATAATGAGGAGGTATCCAGAACAACCCAGGTTATGTCCTCATTCTTCTTAGAACAAGATGTAGATGTTTTACAGCACTCGACTCGGCAAACCAAGTGGAACCCAGGGTATATAAATCAAGGGTATATACATTCAGGGTCCCAGAGCTGTAGTTTGAGTGTTGTCTCAGTGAACTCATGCAACTGTTAGAGAACCTTTGCATCCTTTGTTTTCTTCAAACATAGCAGAACAATTTTTAAATGTCAAAGTTGTATGTCAGGAAAGCTTGTGAGTTCTCTAAAAGACCAAGGATAGCAGAGTTTGCAAAACGCAGTCAACAAACAGGTATTGCTTTAAGAAGTGATGAGATTATCAAACACAAACATTCTTTCCTTTAAGTAGCAACATGCTTGACATCACAAGCTCTGGACCATGACTCAGGAGGTCTGATCTTTTGTTTCATTTTTGCTGTCAATTTACTGCTTGACTTTGAGAAAAAAATGCTTTGCATTCCCGATGGTTTGAATAATAGTTTATAAAAATGGATCATAATCACTAATAGGAACCAATAAACTGCTCCAATCCTTTTTGTATGAGTAGGATTATTTTAGTCTGCTATAACAAAATATCATAGACTTGGTGGCTTAAACAACAGACTTTTTTTTTTTTTTATAGTTCCAGAGGCTGGGAAGTCTAAGCCAGCAGATTTGGTGTCTGGTAAGGGCCCACTTCTTGGTTTGTAGACAGCCACCTTGCCTTTTCATTGTGTGCTCCCATAGCCTTTCCATGGCACATGCTTCTGCAGAGGGAGATGTCCCTCCCTTTCTGTTCTTAAAAGGGCACTAATCCCATCAAAAGAGTGCCACCCTCAAGATGCTATCTCAACTTATTTGTCTCCCAAAGGCCCCACCTCCAAATACAAGAACATTGAGGGTTAGGCCTTCAACACATGAATTTAGGGAAGAGGGAGAAGCAAACATTCAGCCCATAACATGAGTGGAGCGGAAAAAACATGGAGCTAGGTGACTTTAAGTGAATTACTGTAAGTCTCTGGGGATTAATTTCTCATCTGTAAAATGAGGAAAACTGGATGACAATTTTAACATCCATGTCTGTTTTAAAAGTCTAGAACACAAATAATATTCCTGGAAAAAAATAAATTGTTGTTTTTCTATATCCATTTGATGCTAGTATGTGTGAGTGGTGGCACAGAAGTGGGAGGTTAACTTTGTAAAGCTAAAACTCCAGAATGGCTTTCAAAATATAATTGAGTTGCTTGGCTGAAACTTTACATGCAGAATCAAAGTACACTTAGAAAATATAAAATATAGAAGATAGTATTGTGCTTTAGCTAGCTATAAAGGCCACAAAATATTATGCATTTTAATAACTATTATTTTTAAAAATTCTTATAGTTTCCAATCTCTAACTGATCAGACGAGAGACATTTTCTTCAAAAATTTCTTTATCTCCCCTGTAATGTCTCTTGGATTTCTGTAAGAAAATGCTCATTTCTTTGTCCCAAGGTACTGAAGATACATCTTAGCTTAAAAGATGGTTGGTGCAGACCTCTGAGTGGGCCCCTGGTGTTTATGTAAATAGGGCTTTCGATTGGCAAGCAATTAGCCATTCATGACATTTGACACTGTTACTAATGTCATCAGAGTATCTAATTAAGTGTACTTACGCACATGACACTCCATGATGTAAGGAACTCACAACACAAACATATTTCCCGGTTTCTGGATACCACAAACTTAATACTTCAGCTGAAATTCATTACAATCTGATTACAAATTCAGCAATGACCCCTTTGAAGAATGCAAACCACTATTTTCCAAGAAATTTAATTTGGCATTCCTAGCCTTTTCTTTACTCTCTGCAATATTTTCTACATCCTCAATTAAATGAATCAGCTCTGCTACAGCCACCGTTTATAGTGATTAACAAAAATAGGCCAGTGGGTTTGTTTTGAGCTTCTTTCTATTTCAGCCTAAAGTGCAGGAATCTTGGCTAATGAGAAGCAGCTGAGAATTAGAGCGGCCTGGCTTGATCAAGACTGTGGTGAATACACCAGGTGATTATATGACATCTTTATCTGTCCCATGATATGGCTAGAAATGGGACAGGGAGCACAGGGTCAGGTTGGGGGATCAGGCAGATCTGCATTCAAATCCCAGTCCCACAACCTACGAGCTGTGAAACCCCTGACAATGGGCTGAACTCTCCGAGGCCCACTTTCCTCATCTGTAATTAGAGATAATAATTCCTGCTTCAAAGAGCTGTCATGAAGATTTAATGAAAGAGACTGGTAGGATAAATAATAAGTTCTCCATTAATACCAATTCCTTCTCTCTACAACACCCTCCCACTTCTGATACTTTCCATTGCCCCCTTCCTTCCCTTCCTTCCTTCCTTCTTTTCCTTCCTTCTTTCATTTTCCTTCCCTCCTTCCTTATTTCCTTCCTTCCTTTATTTTCCTTCCCTCCCTCCCTCCTCCCCACCTTCTTTCCTTCCTTCATCACACATATTCTTTTATAATTTGACACTAGCTAGGTAGTGTATATATAACAGGCACAAGACACTGTTTCTCCCTTCAAAGTACTTACTATCCGGTGCAGGAGACAAGTAACAAGTATAGTAGTCCCCCTTATCCAGGGGGGATACATTCCAAGACCCCCAGTGGATGTCTGAAACCATGGAGAGTACTGAACCCCATATATACTGTCTTTTCCTATATAAAACATACCTATGATAAAGTTTAATTAATAATTTAGGCACAGCAAGAGGTTAACAATGATAAAATAGAACAACTAACAATTATAGCAATATGCCAGCATCATTACTCCTGCACTTTGGGGCCATTATTAAACAAAATAAGGGTTCTTTGGGCACCAGCACTGTGATGCTGCCACAGTCAATCTGATAACCGTAACGGAGTGGGCCACCAAGTAACTAACAAGCAGGGAGTGTCTACAGTGTGGCCATGCTGGACAAAGGCACGATTCACATCTTGGGTGAGATGGGGCCAGACAGGGTTAGATTTCACCACATTTCTCAAAATGGCATGCAATTGAAAACTTATGAACTATTTATTTCCAAAATTTTCCATTGAATATTTTTGGACCACAGTTAACCATAGGCAACTAAAACCTCAGAGAGTGAGCCCAAGAATAAGGGCGGGGTAAGTGTACTTTCAATACAGTAATACATACGGGGTGGGTAGGAGGAGCACATGGAAGTAACATTCAACCCAGTCTCATAGCAGGGAAAGTCTAGATTGAGCTGATGGAGAGCAGTAGGTGGCTAGATCAAGAAATCTAGATGTCAGAGAGCTTGTTCACAACAGGAACATCACATGCAAAGGCCCGGAGGCATGAGAAAGCCTGCAACTGCAGGTATTTCTGACTGACTGACAACAGGCACAAAAAGGTAGTTGCAGGAAATGAATTTGGAGGTAGACAGAGGCCTGATCGTAAAGCACTTTGTAGACCTCACTGAGGGATTGAAACTTTATATGGAGGGTAATCAGGGGTGACTGCACAGTTTTAGGCAGAAGCGGCAAGACACAATTGTGCTTTAGAAGTATGGTGGAGGAGGTATAGCAGTTAAGATAGCGAGGCCACAAATGAAGCCTTTGAAGTCCTCCAGAGAAAAGATGATGGGTACCAGAAGGGGAGTAGTTAGAATTTTTATTATCTCCTCTTGGAACTGAGAACAGCCTCAGGAACTTCTGAGAACTTTTGAGCTAATCAAATAAGCTTATCACTTTTTCCACTGTGCTGGGTGTTAACAGTTTATAAGCACGAGTGAATACCTGCTGTTATCACTTGTGTATTTCCTTTGTGACTCATGGTATTTAAGCTACAGTTAGGTCCAGCTAATGACTGCTGTGGAGTCACCTCTCTGGGTGGTGACCAATGTCTTCTTTCTGTGCCAGGAGAGCACTCTTTACAGAATTATCTTAAAACCAAACCAAAGCAAAACAAAACCCTGATTAGCCTTCTAAAGAATCAATTTGATTATGGTTTAATTTTATGTTTGTGTGGAGAGGGAGAATAGTTCACAAAATAAAACTCCCCCACCTACATGACCTTCCCTAACTGCTGCTATGACTTCGGAAGAACTATTAGTGTTTAACAAAACATGTTGCATCAAAGTAGCTGAAGGGCAGAGTAGTTAGAGAATCCTAATATCTTAAGAGATTTGCCAATCCTGACATTTTTATAAGAAATCCAGGCACCTAAGAAATTACTCAAAATTATAATTTTACCAAACTTCAAATTAGAAAGAATTATTCTTCAAAGGTACAAAATAGGAAAATAATACTTATTTATCTTGAAGAATAGCTTGCAAATAAAAGAACTTTCTTTAAGTTAAAAAGGGTAACTTGGCATGTAAAGCTGATATTTAAAAAAATGTTCCCTAGATCCACATAAATACAGCCACCGCTGATTATTCAGAGAGGAGTATGAGTGAATAGCAGGAGGCAACATTTTAACACTGGCAATTTTTAAAATTATTTGGGCTTGCACTATTTCTTTGCCAGAAAGCAATGAAGTGCGAAACCAATCCAACAAAACCAGACAGACTGGGACACCACTGCTTACATATTTTTACCAAGCATTCAACTTGCAGACACCATCTGAACCCTATGGTTCAAAATCATAAATCCTTCTGTGAGGCTCATTTGTTATTATTTGGGCTCATTTATCATCCCCAAAAGACAACCACAAAGAAAAACACAATTGGATACAGTCGATCCATAAATGCTCTTATGTTTGCAGGGGGCCTAATTTAAATAAAAAGAAACTTACCTGAATTTCCTTCCAAACCTAACTTCCACATCTACCCAGGCTTTAAGGATTCAAATATATTTCTAGAAATATTTCCACTTCTGTTCCCTTCTCTAGCTCTGATCATTTTATCAAGCTCCCATTTGCTGAGTGTCTTTATGCACCATAAGCTCTTCACAGTGTCTGATCTATTTACAACTGGAGTGTAAGGTAAGTTGTATTCATTTGCAAGGGCTGCCATAACACAGTACCACAGACTGGGTGGCTTAAACAACAGAGATTTCTCATAGTGAAAGGAGAGGCTGGAAGTACAGAATCAAGGTGTCAACAGGGTTGGTCCCTTCTGAGGGTTGTGAGGGAAGGAACAGCTCCAGGCCTCACTCCTTGGCTCGCGGATGGCCGTCTTTTTCCTGTATCTTTATGATGTCTTCCTTCTGTCTATGTTTGTGTCTAAATGTCCTCTTCTTCTGAGGACATGAGTCATATTGTATTAGGGCCCACCTGGCTGACCTGATTTTAACTTAAGTACCCTCCATAAAGACCATATCTGCAAATACAGTCACATTCTGAGGTTCTGGGGTTAGGATTTCAATGTATGAATTTGGGAAAGGAGATCTGGCACAATTCAGCCCATAACACAGGTATAATAGCCTCACCTTACAGGTGAGGAAATTTGGGTTTGGAAAGTCGGAGGCCAGAAAGATGGTAAGTTGTGAAGTGAATATTCTGGATCTTTTTGATTGCAAAGAGCTCCTACTCCCCACCCTAAATTGCTCCCTAACCTTAACCCCACCCCATATCATATCTCAACCCCCTCATCCCCAGCCTCATCAGTGGTATTACTGATGAAGCAATCCAGAAAAATACTTTTCCACCAGAGGCAAGGAGAAAGGTAAACAAAAGCACACTGAATGCTTTTCTTCAGTATCTGTTTAGTATGGGGTGGTAATAAGCATCTTAGTCACAGAATGTAAGAAAACTTGACCCTGCAATCTAGGAGCTTTCAATTAATGACAGACCACACCAATGCAAACAAGTTCAAAGGACAGATGCTAAACTCTGAATGAATGTCTCTAGTAACTAAATAATGAAAATTTTACATTAAACACAAGCAAAGAGATAAGCAGGGCTGGGAGGAAGTTGAGGGTGTTTCCTATTTAGATCAGGCTGGTCTGAAGGAAATCTTCATCTCTCTTCCTGTGGGAAGGGTTTCAGGAGCCTCAGAGAACCACTCAGTTTTTCATTAATTCATTACTTTAACACCATTGCAGCCTTTCAACATTTTGTTCACCTTCACTGTCAGCAACATATTACTATTACAAACTCTGTAAACATGCTTCTGAACAAAATGGTGTATTCACAAAAAATTTTAATTACTTAAGTCATAAAAAATCAGTCTAGCATCAACTCTTCTGAAAGTTTGGTTCTATATTAAAACATAAAAATTAGCTGAAGAGACATCTTGCTAAGCTTCTCAGTCACTGAAGAGCAAGTCAAGAAGTCCACAATATTCTTACCAATATATAAACACTGGAAAATGTTCCTTCTAAGCATGATAAGGATGTGAACAACAGCACCTCTCTAATGACTAAAACTTCTGTTCCTCAAAAAACACATCATTAGCCAACAACTTTCTGGCAGAAGTTGCCTTTAATTGGCATTTGTACATAACCAAGTGTTAGTCTGTATTTACACCGTAAGTTAATTTGGACAAAATTAAAAGCTAATTGATCACATATCTCAACCTCAGTCATAAATAGTGTGGGCCCAAAATATCAGTCTCCCCATGGATTTATGCAGACGATTTATGGGGAACCAGAGGAAGGCCATTTTTCAGCATTGTCCCAATGAGTGAATTAATTAGAGAAACATTAATTTTAGCTTCTATTTTAGGGACAATGAATTTAAATACAGCCACACCTTGGTATACACAGGAGATGGGTTGCAAGACTCCCTGCATATAGCAAAATCCACGCATACTCAAGTCCTGCAGTTAGCCCTGTAGAGCCAAGTACCAGAAAAGTCAGGCTTCACATCCCCAAGAATTCTGTATTTTCAATCCATGTTTAGAATAAGTGGACTCTCACAGTTCAAACCTGTGTTGTACAAAAGTCAACTATACTGTTTTTCCTCTTTCCTTCATAAAGACTTGTCATGGCTGGGTGCGGTGGCTCACGCCTGTAGTCCCAGCACTTTGGCAGGCCAAGGTGGTCAGATCACCTGAAGTCAGGAGTTCGAGAGCAGCCTGGTCAACATGGTAAAACCCCATCTTTACTAAAAAACTACAAAAATTAGCCAGGCATGGTTGGTGGCGGGCACCTGTAATCCCAACTACTCAGGAGGCTGAGGCAGGAGAATTGGTTGAACCTGGGAGGCAGAGGTTGCAGTGAGCCAAGATCGCGCCACTGCACTCCAGCCTGGGTAACAAAGTAAGACTCCGTCTCGAAAAAAACAAAAACAAAAAAACCCAGATTTGTCACAAGGTAAGCATTATTGGTCCAAGACACAATCATAACCAAATAGTTAAAATTTCTTATAATGCAAAACTTGTCAAGGAAACACACACACACAACACACAACACGCAACACAGACATTTTAATCCACTTAAATCTAGGAAATGGCTCCAAGCTCAGGTATGTAAAGGAATATGATACATAATTATGGATTGTTAAAAAATAAATATAGAAACAAACATACAAAAATCATCTTTCTGGTTTCTCTGGATGGGATTATATCCAGTGGAAAACTTCAACCCACTAAAAGGCCTAACAATGGATCCTTATTGTTGGAAACTATAGTGTTGTCCTCAAACAGTAATATATTTTAACCATTTCTCCTAATCCCACTGAAGAGCCCAATGACACAATTCCAATGCATATGTAAATAATTACTAAGCAGCAGATAATTATGCCCAAATCAATAGCTGGACAGCTGGGTTACTCTATGTCAAAACCTAGGCAATTCAACAAAAGCTCCCCTAAGGAATATTCTCAGTTGTTATGGTGAATTTTGCTGTTACTTTTGCATTTTGATTGATTAATACACAATGCACCTTGGCATGTTTTCTATTTGGAATGCAAAATGCTGGTAACACATGAGAGGATACAGTAGAATTCTCCTACTATTTCTTAATGGAATTTTGCTTTAATCTTTCAGAAACACGGCAGAAATCTGAAGTTTCTTTTGTATCTTAAAAAAACAATAATCTAAAAATAATATGATAGCATAAAATGAATATTTAAATGGATAGATGCATCAATAAATTATTCTAGGAAAATTATTCGTTTTAAAATTTTAGGAAATTATTCTTTTTATAATATCAAAGCAAGGAGTTGATGGTTATTCTTGGAGATTTATAAATCTGACACTATAAAGTATATAGTTAACTTTATAGATATCTACATTAGTTCTAGGCACTCATGGAAAGCACATATCCTCTACTCAGACAATACATATAATATTAACTTTCCAAGGGAATGGTTTTTATACAGGAGAAGAAAAATGAGAAGGACACTCAGAATATTAAAATATATTTCATTAGACAGCAACAAAATCTATTCCTTCTCCAGTTTTCTTACTGTCTTACAAGGTTCGCCTCTACCTTACTGGTCTAGTGGGGAGAATTCTAACATCTTTTATGCACAAGTGTTCCAATCTTCTTCTCCTAAATCACTGCTCACAGTTCCCAGCTCACTTTCTCAGTGCCAACAGCCATAGTTACTGGTGACAAAATGTGGCGTTTCATACCAGATGCCCCCTGGGGATGACAAGTTCGAGTTTAACGGATGTGCTATCTCAACCAGACTGGTAACATGATTCGGGGAGATGGCCTGAGCTCACTCAGCTAATCCCCAAGGAGGAACAGAAAAGCTTCAACCAGTGCTTTTGGCACCACTGCACATTTCCATTTCATCTTGTATTTTTTAAAAAACACAGGCTCCCTTTCCTCTTTGTTAGCTACCCTTTGAAAGAATGGACCTCATGTATTTCCATCCTTATTTTTGTCAACCTTAAAGGGATCTGGTTATCTTTCTTCCAAGGCCATCATCACACAGGAAAACAATATATTCTTCTTCCAATCTTTCCCACTCCACACCCCCACTACCTGTCACAGCCCTTTTTTTTTCTGATTTGCATCAGAAATATAATTTGTAATTAACTACAAATTAACTATAGAATTTAAATTTCTCTTCCGGGATTACTAGAGTAGTTCAATCTATTTTGCATCAGTTTCTATTTGACATGTGTATTTAAATGTAATTTTTTCATTAGAGAGATGATGAGTGAAGAACATAATTTAATAGAGTTGTGCCTAATACAATGAGAAGGGTTTGGACAATAATTACAAGTAGGGATTTTTTTTTCTAGAAAATTAAATGTTGAGGGCGCCTGTATGCCTCTTTTTGTAGGCCACATCTTCTCCTATCTTATGATTCCTCTTGTAAAATATTAAAACTAAGGTGTTTCAACTAAAGGGTTTAAAATAATGGCCAGGCGCAGTGGCTCACGCCTGTAATCCCAGCACCTTGGGAGGCTGAGACAGGTGGATCATGAGGTCAGGAGATCGAGACCATCCTGGCTAACACAGTGAAACCCCATCTCTACTAAAAATATAAAAAATTAGCCGGGCATGGTGGCATGAGCCTGTAGTCCCAGCTACTCAGGAGGCTGAGGCAGGAGAATGGCGTGAACCCAGGAGGTGGAGCTTGCAGTGAGCCAAGATTGTGCCACTGCACTCCAGCCTGGGCGTCAGAGCAAGAATCCGTCTAAAAATAAATAAATAAATAATAAAAGAAAATAATGTAGAATTTCCAAGTATAAATAGGTGTGTTTCTAGATACTAGATTTTCAAAGGAAATTTTTTTACATCTTTTTACACCAGCACTGCCCATGGATGCTTCCTACTTCAACCTCATCATGATAAAGACAGGAGTGCTCACATGGAATGTACTTACTCTTCCACAATATCTCTAAATTGTACCACTCAAAACATTGTCTTGGATATTTTTGGCCATCTCTAGCATAGAGAAAGGAGATTGTGATTTGGACTTTGTAGCTCAAATATCTTGCCCACCCACTTCTCCCAAATAAAACAAATACAGCAAAGTCAGAACAACCTGGCAATATGTAAACCAGGGTCTTCCATTCTTTGAGGTTTTGCATGATAAAAGTTCTCGTGTGTGGAAATGTGTTTCATTATCAAACTACTTAATGGTAAGATACCGTTTGGGCTCTGCAAACAATAGGGACCAAATGAAATGCAGACCGTCAAAATCAAGTCTAAGATTAACTATTCAAATTACAAGTGAGTAGCCGGGCATGGTGGCTCACGCCTATAATCCCAGCACTTTGGGATGCTGAGGTGGGCAGATCACCTGAGGTCAGGAGTTTGAGACCAGCCTGGCCAACCAACATGGTGAAACCCCATCTCTACAAAAAATACAAAAATTAGCTGGGTGTGGTGGCAGGCACCTGTAATCCTAGCTACTCGGGAGGCTGAGGTGGGAGAATCACTTGAACCTGGGAGGCAGAGGTTGCAGTGAGCCGAGATCATACCATTGCACTCCAGCCTGGGTGACAGAGCAAGACTCCTTCTCAAAAAACAAAACAAAACAAAAAAACGAAGTATAAGGGAATGAACAGACAAGGTATTGTAACACATGGTGAGTAGAAATACAAAACTCAAAGGACAAAATATATTTTAAGGTCCTTCCTGAGTTCCCCACCTTCAATTTCTGGACATTTGGCCCAAGAGAACAGGCTCCTTAAGGCCTAGTTATCAAATACAATTCAAGATAGAAAAGATTTGTATGTAAGCTTTCTGGGAAACAGGCAGACAGACAGACACACACACACACACACACATATACAAATAGACTAAACACTGTTTCTAATCCTTAAAATATCAGAGGCCAGCAGCTCCACTGGTCCATTATTAACAAGGCCACTTAATGGAACAGTATTAGGAGCACTCAGTAAAATTCACAGCAAGAGAGCTTGCACCCAACTGAACTTGTGATATTAAATAGTAATCATCTGACCACAAAATGGTGAATTTTTCCCTGTCACTTGTACATGAACTCCTAAATTCTCTAGCTTCCCAAATTATTTGTATTAAGCAATAACCTTCACACACCATAATTTTTATTAGGATGCTTTATCCCTAACTCTGTAGAAAATCTTTTATCACCAAATGTATCTAGTGTTTCTCCTCTGTAAATCAGTTCAAACATATGTCACCCCTTATCTATTATTCTGAGCTTGCTCAAATGTTCAACCTCCCAAATGTTTTATTGCCTCTCATCTAGAGTTTCAAAATTTTGCATACTGAATTTTACCTGGGGGAGTCTGATATAGTTAGGCTGTGTCCCCACCCAAATCTTGAATTATAGCTCCCATAATTCCCACATGTCCTAGGAGGTACCCTGTGGGAGGTAACTGAATCATGGGGGCGGGTCTTTCCCATGCTGTTCTTATGACAGTGAATAAGTCTCACAAGATCTAATGGTTTTTCCCCACACATGCTTTCTCTCTTGCCTGCCACCATGTAAGATGTCCCTTTGCTCTTCTTTTGTCTTCCGCCATGATGGTGAGGCTTCCTCAGCCATGTGGAAATGTGAGTCCATTAAACCTCTTTCCTTTATAAATTACCCAGTTTCAGGTATGTCTTTTTTAGCAGCATGAGAACAGACTAATACAGGGGCCCTTCCCGTTTCCAATTCTTTAGTCAGGTTCCTCAAGTCTAGTCATAATTTAAAAACATATAAACATATCTAAGGATTTCTCCCATTTAGTCCTAGATGAATTTTCTCCCCAGTTATCTTTTAAGTAAGTTTCTATGTTCTCTCTCTCAAGCTCTATTTACCCAAAGCCAGTATGGATGATCAGCTTGTGTTTGGCAAGCATATTAAGGGACACCTTAATTTGATTATCTAAAAATATACAATTGTGGCAAGTGTTCCTAATCAAAATAAAATGAACCCTCTAACTGAATACATATCATTCAGTTTTTAATTTTTTTTTTTTTTTTGAGACAGACTAGCTCTGTTGCCCAGCCTGGAGGGCACAATTTTGGCTCACTTGCAGTGAGGCACAATCTTGGCTCACTGCAACCTCCACCTCCCAGGTACAAGTGATTCTCACGCCTCAGCCTCCTGAGTAGCAGGGATTACAGGCGCGTGTCACCACGCCTGGCTAATTTTTGTATTTTTAGTACAGACAGGATTTTACCATGTTGGCCAGGCGGGTCTCCAACTCCTGGCCACAGGTGATCCACCTGCCTGGGCCTCCCAAAGTGCCGGGATTATAGGCATGACCATCATGCCCAGTCCAGTTTTAAAAATATTTATATCTTGCTTAGAATTGCGTTTTATCTAATGTGTATATGCATGCTTATATATAATTTTTTATATTTATCATATATTATGCTTATATCAGTACTTACAAAAATGTACAGTGCTTGCAAATATCTAATTACTTTTCTTTAATCTTACCCTTTAGTGAGGATGTTGAGATCAGTGTCCAGAACCCCTCAAATAACGGCTGTTTATTATAATAATGATTGTTATTACAATCTAAACCCTAACTTCCCATGCAGAGGCCCTGGAAGCCAGTTTCAGTGTAGTTTACAGGAAGGAACTAGCTCATTTGTTTAGCTGAATATGTAAGATTCAAGGATCCTTTTCTACCAGCTAGAAGCAATTATAACCAGGCACATTAACAAGACTCTTGCTTCTCCCATGATTTATCTTCCTCTTGAATCAGATAAATTTTATTTATTATCTTAGGGCTGTGTTCTGCTGGCACTTGTTCTGGTCTATTCTCCTAGTGAATTTTCTAGCCAAGAACGTAATTTAATCTGTGACTTCAGTTTCCCACCAGCCGATCACATTTGCCCTTATCCTTCCTAATTTTTTAAAATATGCCAGTTGTTCTTTACTCTGTAAAATAATACGGCTAAAGCCAAGTCCTTTTGATAAAAGAATGTGGTACATACTTCTAATGTAGACTTGCTGTTACTTCCAGAGATCACCACGTGTAGCAGAATGATCATTCAGGGCCAGATGTTTGCTGCTATACAAATAAAACACATGTGGACAGGGCCTGAGATACAGAGGCAAATGCAGACCTGTTATACCAGCTCACTTGGGGGCAACCTACCCAACACAGTAGTTTACAGTGTCACAGGGTTAGGTGAAATAGACCTGAATATCTGGGGGGAAAAAATCCTGAACTTAGATTTCTGAACTCCTCTGGGACTTAGATAAGAAAAATGGGGGTGAAATCTAAACTATGCACCTGCTTTTCATTAAAACAGCTCTATGATCAAGATTAATCTCAGGATCTAATAACACAAAGCCTCAGTTTTCTGATCTCTAAAGAGGCAGATTAGTCTAGACCAGTGATTCCCAATTAGGATCACGCAAGGCAGGATGGAGCAGAGGTGTGGTTTGAAAATTAGATTTATCATTATAATAAAATCTTACACTGTATTTAAAAAATCTTACGAGTTTAATAATACAAACTAAAGAGAGGTTGAAGAAAATAAAGGCAAGGGATCTTTTTTAATCGAAAGGAAGCATGGGTTTAAAACATAAAAAACTGGACTAAATTCTCTTTCAGATCTGAGGCCTTCGATTTCCTCCCAGAGCATAGATTACCACACTATCAGCATTTGGCACTGAACTTGGAAGGGCTGGTTATTTCCTGTAATTAGTACTGCGTATCAGCAGTAATAATGAATTTCAATCTTGCTTTGATTAAATATAAAACATTTAATTCAAATATTAGTCAAACACAGATAACACAAACATTCGTTCAGGTCCTTGCATGACTCGCTTCTCCTAACCTCAAACAGCAGCTTCATAGTACCCTGAGTCTTGCTCATCTTGAGTCATGTAAATTACACCCTGAACTGTTTTGAAGAATTTACAACTCGCTGGTTAATAACTAGCTAACAATATGCATCCTGTTTATTTTAAAATCACCCTTGATAGAGGAATGGGCTTCAGATTCATTCATGTGGACTATCTCCTCTGTGAATAAAACGTTTCACACTCAAACATTTAATATTTAAAGATCAGGACTCTTAGTTAAATGAATTAATCTGGTGTGAAAACTATTTGCATTTTTAACATCATCAGAATTTCTCTCACCCCCAGCTGTTTAGTTCACTGCTTGTATGATTATAATTAGTGGGAGGGGAAAAAACTCATTTTATTCAATGTTAAATTATATTCAAGAATTCTTAAACAACTTGTAAAACCTCTCTAATACTACAGTACAAGTAGGTGGGGCAAGGGAAACCTCAGGGTTCTTTTTAGATAGAAAGCATCATTTCTGCAAGAAGGCAGTGTCTTCTTAAAGCAGTAATTCATTTTCCCATATGTGTCCAGTATTCAATTCATTCATATGCAAATGCAGGGAAGATTTACTGAGCCTCTGCTTTGAGCCAGGCGTCAGTCTAGGTGCTGAAGGATACCAAGTCAAGGAGCCTATGGTCAAAGAATTGGGGTGCTGGTGGGGGAAGGTCCGCTAAACAAGATTCCACTGGGAGTTGTCAGAAATCAGGCACATGATTTCCAGCATCCAGGGGGTGTTGAGAACCAGGAAATCCTTTCCATGTTTGGCCTGAGCCTCCAACCTCCTCTAATACCACTATCTCTACCCCAGCACTCCCAACTCAAGCTCACCACATATGGCCAGCCACACCAGCCTCCTTTCTGTTGCCCAAACATGCCAAATTGATTTCTGCCATGAAGCCTTTTCATCTGATACCTCTCCACTGAAAGTCCCTGCCTGGCTCCTCCCCGTTCTTCCATTCTCAGCCTCCAAGTTCCTCCAACTCTGCCCAGGAATTCCATAGAGCATCCTGTTTAATCTCCATGATATCACAATTCTCAACAGTCTTGTTTATTTGTTTACCAGTCGATTGCTTGTCTGTTTCCAGTAGAATATAAACTGGGCAAGTACAAGGGGCTTTATCTGCCTTGGCCACTACTCCCAGAACTTCTAGCCTGTCTGCTGGGGACATGGTAGATCCTTTGTGTAAATGTATTTTTGAAGTGAATTGGTGGATGAATGAATGAATGAAATGACTACTCTATAGCAATTCATGCTATGACAGAAGTGTGCTCAGAGTACTAGGGGGATACTGAGGAAACATGCCTTTTGAGTCTGAATATTATTTTTTTCCACAGGACATCACATCTGGGCTAAGTTGAAAAACAAGGAGGAGTTAGCTGGACAATCAAAGGGAAAGGAGAAAAAGTGTTTTCCAAGTGTAGAAAATGCCATTATTATGGGCTGAATGTTTGCGGCTTGGCAAAACTCACACACTGGAATACCCAAGATGATAACATTAGGAGGTGGGGTCTCTGGGAGGTAATTAGGTCCTGAGGTGGAACCCTCATAATGAAACCCACTCAATAGTCCCACAGATATGGGGTCCCCAACCCCGGGGCCACAGACAGGTACCGGTCTGTGGCCTGTTAGGAACCAGGCCACACAGCAGAAGGTGAGCAGCCGCCAAGCAAGCATTACAGCCTGAGCTCCGCCTCCTGTTGGATCAGTGGCAGCATAAGGTTCTCATATGAGCACAAACCCTACTGTGAACTGCGTGTGCGGGGGATCTAAGTTGTGTGCTCCTTATGAGAATCTAACTAATGCCTGATGATCTGAGATGGAACAGTTTCATCCTGAATCCATCTCCCACCCCAGGACTCTGGAAAAACTGTCTTCCATGAAACTGGTCCCTGGTACCAAAAAGGTTGGGGACAGCTGCCCTACATAGTTTTTTTAGCTAAACATAGAAACTGACCCTTCTGGTCTTATGAACCTTACATTTGTTTTATCTGAGTTCCATCCGCAGGAACTGATCTTCAGGCCTCTCAAGTAAAGTATAGAAGAACTGAAACTCACCATATCCCCACATCCAGACAATGAGATGCTGGATCTCTCATTCATCATGATTGTTTCCTTGCTCCTCCCTAGTTCCTGCTTTCTTACACGTTGTTACATTTCTTCCTTGCTATATAAACCCCTAGTTTTAGTTTAGTTTTTTTATAGATTTTTTTATTGTTAAGCTGCAACATACATGATTTAGTACAACAAAAATAATTAATCAAGTGATAAGTAATAAACTGAACAAAACGCTGAAACATTTTCCACTGGAAACATGTTAAGATAAATCTGAGGTTTGATTACCATCTTGCTGTAATTTTGTTATGTGTTACTAGCCTACATACCCCATGTTTTCTGTAATCATGCAGATGTGAGTGGAAGTTTGAATGATTAAATAAACGAAAGTCCATTTACTGCAGGGAACCATTCCACAAGGCGGCCAAACTGGGTTTAGAGAACAAAACTATTCAAGAAATTCTCCATGTATTTAGGTTCATTTTAGAATCCATGAATCTAGATGGATTTGAGACTGAGCTCCCATCTCCTTGGCTGCAGCGCCCGATTAAACCCTTCTTCCTTGGCAATACTGGTTGTCATCTCAGTCATTGGCTTTCTCAGCGGGCAGCAGCAGGACCTAGATGGAAACCCTGGTGTTTCGGTAACAATACATGGGATTAGCGCCCTCCCAAAAGGGACCTCAGAGAGTGCTCTGCTCTTTCCACCACATGAGGACACATCTGCACACGAGGAAGTGGGCCTCACCAGATAAGGGATCTGCCCACACCTTGATCTTGAACTCTCCAGCCTCCAGAACTGTGAGAAATAAATGTCTGTAGCTCACAGGCTATTTGCTTTAAGAGACTTATGCTAAATATTTTTTTCTTTTAATCTCTACCCCAGTGGCCTTGCTACAGCCTAAAATACCCATAAGCAATGGCAAGGCAGGTTAATGGAACGCACCCTATATGGAAATTCCATGTTGACTGTTTTATGTATATTAACTCATAGAATCCAGTCCACATTTTAATCCCATGAAGTGGGCGCCGAGATGCAAAAGAGTTAAATAAACTGCCCAAAGTCACTCAGCTAACAGAAACGAGCCAGATATCCAACACAGCTTAGGAAAACTCCTACACTAGATATCCCCTGCTTTTGTATTAGGGCTTTGAAGGTTCCTAATCAAATGCTGGGAATCCACAGGAAGGGAAGAAGACCAGAACTCTCAGTGCATATGCTGGGCTAAGGCAGAGTGCACACGGGTAACAGGGGTGCCAGACCCATTGGTCCTATCAGGCTTGTGGTGACCAGGGAGGCCTGGGTAGCAGAAGCCCAGGATGACTGCCTGAGACCTTAGTGACCTATGTGTTACTCCAGGATGCCAGAACAAATACTGTCATTCTCTACATCTGCTATCTTATGAAGAATGGTGACACAGGCTGGGTAAGCCATCATCAGACATTAAGAATTTAGTATAAATTAACTTGTCGAATTAGGTAATCCCCCACCCAACCTCACTAAGAAGTTCAGGAGAGAATGAGTAAAAGGATAAGGAGAAGGCAAGTTTGGAGGGTGGAAGGGGCAGATTGAAGTGGGGTACCAGGGATCATGGAGTTGGGGGAGGGGGTTGAGACAAAGAGCACAGAAGAAGTAGGGTTCCTCAGTGAACACCCTACACTGACTTATGCACAGCCTGGTCTGCCACTACATACATCAACTGTCCACTACAGACATGAACCGTCTAGTCATCCTTATCTGAAACCCAGGGTTGTGCAAGACATGGCATGAGGAAAACACCACCTAGTTTCTCTTAACTAGAGGGTGTTAATTTGATAATTCTCAGAAGATCTGAAAGATAAAGAAGAGGTGAATTAAGGGGAAGAAGAAGTTTTCTCTGTTCTGCTAATACTTTTGGATTGCTTATACATGTAGAAGAGAATTATAAGAAGCATATATATGTATAAAGTATATATATGGTACAAAGTCTTAGTAATGTCTCTGCTGTGCCCTTTACTCATTTCTCACCTGGCTCTTACTTCTGTCTGGAGAGTTTACTAGCTTTAAATTTCCTGGGTTCAGGACCCTGTCTTATTCCAATGTCTTTGTAGACACTGGTAGCTAGCACAGTATCTGGCACATAGAAGACTCTAAGTAAATACTGGATGAATAAGTGAATGGAATAACACTGATAGTTTTTTAAAGAGATAATGCAAGTTGAAAGAAAAAGTTATCATATTCTTTATTTCTACTGACAAGTACTTTAAATAGCAGTATAAGATCATTTAGTTATTTAATATCCTGATCCACTTAATATGCTAGGCCTGCATTCTCTAGCTGTCAAAAAGCAAAAGCTATGGTATCACCTAAATTATCATCCCAAATAAGGAATAATTTAAACACATATGCACGGTTGGCCTAAGCGTAACGAAGGCTTTTGATTTTTAGAGGGTTTTATGGAAAAAAAATCATAGAAACTCAAAGCAGATCTCATTAATTAAAAAAAAATTTCCAGTGGGGAAATTTATCTGACAATATTTAATTAAACAATGAGAAAACAGTATTTCAACAAGTCACAGAAATTTCTGTTCATTGTCCAAGAAAGAGAAATGTAACATCTTTATTTTAAATTCCTAGATATCACATATTTGTTTCACGGGACAGATACGCTGTGACTTTCATGGAGTAACCTGAAGGAGAGAAAATACCTGAGATAGAAGACAGATGGGATGAGCCTTCAAAATTCAGACAATGACAGAGCTTTGAAGTGGGTATGAGACTTTCATATTATGGGCTGTTATTTACTCATGCTAGTTTCTGCCTTTCAAAATCAGTTTCCAGATTATCAAATATATAGTCTTGTAATCAAAAGACCTTTTATTGACTGCTTATTGATATGAGTTCAGAATTTCCAGAATATCACTGCAGAAAAAAAGTCTTATTTCATAGTTCTGATCCTATGTGATTTTTTATAACAGTGTTTTGCTCTGTCGCCAGGCTGGAATGCAGTGGTGCAATCACAGCTCACTGCAGCCTTGACCTGTGGGGTTCAAGCAATCCTCCCACCTCAGCCTCCTGAGTAGCTGGGACTATAGGTTTGAGCTACCGTGCCTGGCTAATTTTTTTGTTTTTTGTAGAGACTAGGTCTCCCTATGTTGCCCAGGCTGGTCTCAAACTCCTGGACTCAAGCGATCCACCCACCTTGGCCTCCCAAAGTTGAATTTTTATCTTATATTTAATAATAGCATATGCTGACTGGATAAATCAACATTATTATTTTCACCAGTAGAATTTTATGTTTGATGAAGAATTCTGCCCTTTCATATGTGAAGAAGGCAAACTCACCACCAACCTATCACATCCCATGAGCAAAATCATAATTATTTGGGAAAATAAATCCCAATAAGTTTGTAACAGATTATGCCAGTCATGAGGGGCCACTTCACAAGGAAATCACTTGAAAGATTTTTGTCTTGATCACCTTTGATGATAAATCTATCTAACAAAACTGAAAAAGAGAGAATATGAGAAAAAGGAGTGATAGGTTAATTGTTATCACATTACACTTCTAAAATGTTATCCCACCTGGCACCCCTTACCAGATGTTTCCTAAGCAAACTGCCGCAAGTGAACAAAGAACTTTAATTTGCAGAGGAACCAACTCCACACTATCATAATAAAGTCACTTCTTGTTGTCTCTTCATAATGAGCTGTCAGATGGCTTGCTTTGATTAAAAACAACAAAAACAACATCCTGGTATAAAAAGAACTGCTCCACGTGACACTCCTTCCTCTTGGACGGGATCTTCCCAATTTTTTTGAGACAAAGTCTCACTCTCATCCAGGTTGGAGTGCAGTGGTGTGATCTTGGCTCACTGCAACCTCCACCTCCTAGGTTCAAGCGATTCTCCTGCCTCAGCCTCCCGAGTAGCTGGGATTACAGATGCCCGCCACCACGCCCGGCTAATTTTTGTATTTTTAGTAGAGATGAGGTTTCACCATTTTGGCCAGGCTGGTCTTGAACTCCTGACCTCAGGTGATCCCCCGCCTACCTTGGCCTCCCAAAGTGCTAGGATTACAGGCATGAGCCACCGCGCCCGGCCCCAATCTTTCTGATTCTCTCACTAACCTAGCTGTGGTTCACCTTGTACGGAATTCAAACTTGAAATCCTTAAACATCATTCCTCCACTTGCAGGAACTGTGGCCTTATTGTGAACCAAAGTCTTCATTATTCCCTGTTATAAATAGATTATTATTTATCAAGGCTAGGTTTCTAGCCCCCACTGGAGTCTTGTCTTTCTCTCCTCCCCTCTCTGCCCCTTATTGCCCCAGGGCAGGACGTGGGGCTCTGCAGCATACGGCCTTATGAATCTTCCTCAAGTACCCAATTATCCCACTGTGCAGCCCTGTCAGCGTCCTGACAGCTGCGTGCAGGATGCAGGCCCTGCTGTCAGAGGTGAAAGACTGCAAGCAACCTCCCATTCCTCACCGCACCTCCATTACAATGTGGGGAAGAAGGGCACACACACTGAAAGGACTTCGTTAGGGATGCCATGGAGGTCAAAGACTGCTTAGAAGAAAAGGCTGAGGTGAAAATTAAAAAATGGAAAGGTGCCAGTGTAGTCCAGACAGGTGCTCGTGCTCTCATAGGGGCAGAATTGAAAGACTCCTGGCCCAGGCCTTGTGTAGCTATTGTCGGAGAGAGCGCACACTCAGGCTGATTTTAATTGAGATCAATTTAACAAGTACCATCTTCTGCAAAGTCCTTCAATTGATTAAAAACCAAATGAAGCTCTTGTAAGTGGTGACGGGTTTTTCTGTCATCTTTCCCCACTCCCTCCCCAATACGATGATTTTCTGAACTTTTGGAGATTGTGTGCTAAAGAGACAGCACTTAATCTGGGTTGATTTCTGCAGGTATATTTTAACATAATTATTTTTTGAGTTGTACTTTTGTGAACCTAACCTGCAATCTCAATTATTTGTCAACAGCAAACACTTATTAGTGGATCAGAATCGCAAAAGGCCCCAACATTCTGGCTGTTGCCTAGAGAGCAGCCTCTCTAAAAATTGACTGATTGCATTGTAGAGACCACAGGACCACACTTGTGTCACTGGCCAATTGCATCTTAAAAGGTGTTTGCTACAAGTAGTCATGATTTAGAGAATGGACTTGGGGCCGCACTTCTCCAACTGAGTGTAACGATCACCTGTGTCCTATGGTGATATCAACTAATAACCAGGGACATTTCATAGTAATGCAGATGTAAGACCTTCTTGGTGTTTATCTAGACTTACCAAAGACTGCACACGCAGGACAGACCCCTTTCTGTTTAACAAAGCTGCTAAATAAATGATGGCTCCAGTGACAGAAGAAAATGAGGCCCTGCAAAAAGAGAAAATACATTCTACAGGGAATTTTATGTGTAAGAGGAAACAATTCCTTGTATCAAGACCAGGATTAGATGAACATTTCTATTTAATTGCATCATGAGGGATTTAAGATTTACAACACAAAAGAGGTACTTACTGTAAGAGTTGCGCAGGGTTGAAATACACCATACTAAAGACAGTCATAGATGTTCTCCTCTAGAGAACTTCATGAACAATGAAGAAACATATGAGATGTGGCTCTATAGTATGGAAAGTTCCTTTTTAAACATCTACACTAGAATTTCCATATTTCAATAAGTTATCATCCACTTCAAATAATCACTCAAATAGTTATTGGAAGAATCAAGTGAGATAATGTGGACAAATCATGTTTAGTACCTGGCACTCAATCAGGGGGGTGTGTGTGTGTGTGTGTGTCACATACATCCTACTTATAGCTGAAGGCCAATGAGGCTGTAACTCTTCAAATTGCAAGTGTTTTGAATTCCCTCTGAATTATTTTCAGAACCTTCAGTCCATTCTCTTTAGCAAGATTTATGTAGTACTTAAATATCTGCAAAGAACAAGCTAAGACTGGAAAAACTTCCTGTGACATTGGCCTTGATTTCTGAACAGTGTTGTCATTCAGAAATGAGAATAATAAAAGAGTCTCAAATAAGCAAGTCAAAAAATATCATCTGGGGTCAAGATTGAGATATACACTATCAAAGCAAGGAAATAGTTGCTTTGGTGGCTTTCTGCCTAAGCTTACAGACGACTCCAAAAGAGGAGTTGCAAGATTGAGTAATGATGGCTTCAGCAAAGTAAATATGTAGCTTCCCAAGCTGCTACATTAAACCAGAGTTTGTTAAATACATATTTTTATCACTTTATAAGTCAAGCATTACTCTTTTAGGTAACAAACGATCTCTTGGTATATCTGAAAGTCATAGTTGAAAAAAATTATAAATGTTTAGTATATATATCTATAATTTGGAGAAAAGAAGATATTTTTGTATTAATTAATGACTGAATACAATCAAAATACACTGAGAAAAACAGTAGTTGCCTTCTGCTAGGGAATAGAGTTAAATATCTCTCTAAATAATAGATACCTAAGGCTGGATATGGTGGCTCACGCCTGTAACCCCAGCACTTTGGAAGGCCGAGGCAGGTGGATCACTTGAGGTCAGGAGTTCAAGACCAGCCTGACCAACATAGCAAAACTGTGTCTCTACTAAAAATACAAAATCAGCTGGGTGTGGTGGCACCTGCCTGTAATCCCAGCTACTCAGGAGGCTGAGGCAGGAGAATGGCTTGAACTCGGGAGGGGGGTGTTGCAGTAAGCTAAGGTTGTGCCATTGCACTCCAGCCTGGGCAACAAGAGTGAAACTCCATCCCACCACCCCCACACCCCCGATCCCCACCAAAAAAAAAAAAAAAAACCCGAGAGCTGGAAGGAAACAAAGGCACCATCTGGAGATTCCGTGCTAAAAGAAATCGCACTTATTCTGGGTTAAACCCTGTATGGGTGTTTTTAAATTATTATTATTTGAGTCAGATGGTGAATGCCAACATCTGGAATTCTAGACCAATTCTCTCATTTCCAGAGAGGAAACATAAAATTCAGAGAAGTTAACTGCTTTGCTCAACCACATAGATTGAAACAAGAAGAATGAAAAAAACTGAATCAAAGTCTTCTCATTCTGAATTTCCACCATACTTTGTTGTTCTAGAAATGGGATTTATTTATTTATTTATTTTTTGAGACAGTCTCACTCTGTCACCCAGGATGGAGTGCAGTGGTGCAATCTCGGCTCACTGCAACCTCTGCCTCCTGGGTTCCAGTGATTCTCGTGCCTCTGCCTCCCAAGTAGCTGGGACTGCAGGCGCCCGCCACCACGCCCGGCTAATTTTTGCATTTTTAGTAGACACAAGTTGGCCAGGCTTTTCTTGAACTCCTGACCTAAAGTGATCTGCCTGCCTCAGCCTCCCAAAGTGTTGGAATTATGGGCATGAGCCACCACTCCCAGCCTAGAAATGGGATTTAAAGAGATATATTAAAATTTTTTTAAACTATTTATGACATAGGTCAGCATTAGCCTACAAGTAGCTAAATAAATAGCTAAAGTTTTCTATTTTTAAAAAAGTAATAAATGTATCAAGTGAAGTGCCACAGAGTATAATATAGTTACTGGTTTGTATGGTTGAAGAATTATAATTTAGATTTAAAAATAGATATCCTAATTTTCCTTGTAATCAAACCATTTCACTTATTGTTATATGTGATTATATTATATTTACTTATAACATGTCTCCAACAACATTTTGATTCAAAATTGCACTGTTTTTTACTGTGGGGTGGAACTTTTTAAACCAACAGATATTTTCTAATGTCTTCAAATAGGCCCCACTGTGCAGATCCTCAGCCAAACTATTAACCGTCAAGGAAACAGAATTCTCTTTGAAATTTTTTTCCAAAATAACACTATAGCACTCTTTATACATTAATTTCCAGACAGAATTACTTTTTAAAAGTTGAAAGAAATTTAAAAGATTTTGAATTCAATTTCACAAGCATCACCCTGTGAATCTGCCATATCCCACCCCACACCCAGTTAAATTTCAACAAAGAGTGAAATCATTCACCATATCTGTTTCCTAGAAAGGCCTGCAGCATCAAGAAACAGAATTGTTTTTTACAATAAGTGATTGTTTTCCTAAAGCACCAACATAGCTTCTCTCTTTCCAAAATCACATTGCTGCCATTTTTAATGAGTTAACATATAGATGCACTTGCAAAGACATCTGACTACCTAGAAAAAAATGCCCCTTTAGTCACTTCCTTTTCAGTTCCTTTGACTGGGAAAAGGGAAGAGTTAGCAGAGATAAGTACCTAATAACTTCTATGTTTTATATACACTGTCTTTTTAATCCTCCTACTAGCAAAGTAAGATATTCTCACCATTTTACATATAAGGATAATGATACTCAGAGAGATTCATTAGATTTTCCAAGGTAATGAGTTGGTATATTTTGGAAGTATGGCTGAAGCCCATTCTTTCTGAGCTGACTCTTTCCATTTTAGTACTAAACTAATTTAGAATAACTGTAATGGTAAATAGAGTTTGCATTTACCTTTCAACACTTTCCAAGCCAAACCCCTGGCCTTGAATACCTTGGCTGCACTCTCTTGCCTGTGACCTTTATGCTGGGTCTTACTGGCCCATGAATGGATTTTGTCTTGCCCCTCTTTCCTGCTGACTTCCATCTTATTAAAACTTTCTAGGACTTTCAATAAACTCTACTCCTTTGATTCAAAGGCTAACCAAAGAAACCAAACCAGGAAAACATCCTGAAAAGAGCCTACTTCAAAGAATTCAAGAGAAACACATACTTCCACTACTTAATACATTGAAAACTCTAAAAAGGATCTCCAGTGAGCTACAGTGACATCTTAAACAAGAGAGCTTTTTGGTGCTTCACAAACTATATAGAGTAGGTTTCTGACTAGTTTTCTCATTAAAGAATGAAGCCAGGATTTTGACCTTTGGTGATGATGGACTAATTTGTTACAAACAAAAAGTGTCCCACCTGGAACACCTTGAAAATCTGGACCCCCAAAATTTCCATTTTAAGTGTTGGGGAGTTAATGAAGCAGCAAAGACTTAACAAGCAAAATCCTTAAGATGAGAGAAGCTTGGAGAAGTGAGCCTGATAGCTAGCACAGGGTTTCCTTTGAGGCACTTGAGTGGAAACTGAGAAGCTGCAAAGAACTTCTGGTAGTTTTAAAAACCAAGAATAACAAAAACTGGCCTTCAAGGTCCACTGGTATTCAGGTGAGAACCTCTCCCAATAAAGGCTCTATGCTAAAACTAAGAATGAACTAGAAATAGACCAGCATTCGCAAGGTTAAAACCAAATTTCAAATCAACTCAATCCCTCTTTGTATTCAAGCAATCTCCTTTATCCTAAGTGCTGCCTGAAATAAAAGTATGCCTATTTTGGATAAAGATAACTATCACTGAGAATCTCAAATTATCTCTACATTTTAGTACACTATATTTGGCAATAAATAAAAAATTACCAAGAATATTAGGTGACAAAAGCAAATTAAAAGAAAAACACAAAAAGTGAACACAAGAGAAAGAGGCAGTATAAAGTGACAGATTTTAGATATCATATATAAAATTTTAAAAACCAAGATTAATAAAGTTGAAATTCATAAGATGCAGAATTTTAGCAGGAACTCAAAACTAAAAAAAAGAAAGAAGGAAAACAGAAACAAAGGAAATAAGAGTCAAAAATGACATAAAAAAGAGAAAAAGAGAATATGGGACCCTGTGAAAAGTTCTGACATATATGTAATCAAAGTCCCAGATGGAGAGGAGAAAGAAAATGGCCCAGAAGAAACATATACAATATATGAAGAGGTGAAGCTGAAATTTTCATCTAAAACTGATGAAAGACTTAAACCACAGTTCCAAGTTCAGTGAATTTCAAGCAGGAAAATCAGACTTATACATGTCACATTACTATTTCATGTTGCCATTAGAAGGGATAAAAACACGTTACCCTCAAATAAGCTGCAATAAAACTTACAGCTGACTTCTCAGCAGAAACTATGCAAGCCAGGTGACAACTCAATTACATCTTCAAACTGCTAAAAGTGAGTGACAGCCAAAAACACTCTACAGGTGTAACAACATCCTTCATAAATAAAATATCCTTTATAAATGAAGAGAAAATAAAAACATTTTAACACAAATAAAAACTAATAGACTTGACCAGAAGTCTGCATTAAAGAAGATTAATGGTTCTTCCTCAGTCAGGGGTAAATGATTCCAGATAGAAGTATGAAGAGGGAATGAAGTACACTTTGGGAGGCCAATGTGGGCAGATTGCTTGAGCCCAGGAGTTTGAGCCTGGGCAAAATTGCAAAATCCCATCTCTTCAAAAAATACAAAAATTAGCTGGGTATGGTGGCGCATGTCTGTGGTCCCAGCTACTCGGGAGGCTGAGGTAGGACTTGAACCCGGGAGGTCAGGGTTGCAGTGAACCAAGATCACATCACTGTACTCCAGCCTGGGTAATGGAGTGAGACTCTATAACCTAAAAAAAAAAAAAAAAAAAAAAGAAGGAGGAGAGGAAAGGAAGGGAAGGAGGGAGAGAGGGAGGGAGGATAAATGAAGTAAAACAGAAATAATAAATATGAGAATATATCTAAATGAATACTGATTGTGTAAATGAATAGTAATTATGCCTTGTAGGGTTTAAAAAATGTGTGCATGTGTGCACATATATACATACATCCATAAAGATGTCATTTGTCCCAGAATTTATCTACAAATTCAATATAAACCCATAAAAATTCCAGTATGTTATTTTTATCAAATCAACACATTGATTGATTCTGAATTTCCATGGAATTACAAGAAGCCAAAAATATTGTAAAGAATATACCTATGTAACAAAACTGCACGTTCGGCACATGTATCCCAGAACTTAGAGTATAATAATAATAATAAAAAGATTGAAAAACCCACAGTGAAGAAGGTTGTTTTGTTCTGAGAAGCCAAATATTTAGCTTAGAAAGCTTCTTGTTTAATGGCCATGATTATGGAATATACTTTTGGAAATGCTGCCTTAGACTTCTCAAGCTTTTTCCTTTAAATAAATACGTTGAGTGAGGAAAAAAAAAAGAGTTGTTATAATGGATACCAAAACTTCTTAAAAAGCTATAGGAATTAAAATAGCACAGTATTGGAAAGCATAGAAAAATATACCAATAAACAGTATAAAGGAACCAGAAACAGACTCATGCTTATATGGACACATGACTTATACCATGTACTGGTATGACATGGCACAGCAGTAGTGATAGGATGATCTTTTAAATACATGAGACTAGGTCAACTGGATATCCATATGGGGAAAAGTGCATCTTGTTCCCTACCTTATATCAATACAAAAAATAATTCCATATGATAATTCTAAATATAAAAGGCATGACAATATGGCATTTAGAAGATAATAGAAGTGAATGTCTTTGTGACCTTGGAACTGGCAAAGGTTTCTGAAACACAGCGTAAAAACCACTAGCTATAAATGAAGAATTTTATAAATTGGACTACATAATATTGAGAGATACCACAGAGTGCTGAAGAAACACGTCACAGAGTCAGAGAAGATGCCTGCAATATATGACCAAAGAAATACTAATTCCAATAATATACAAAAATTCCTTATATATCTATAAAAAACGAAAACTTGCTGTTTTAAAAACGGCAAAATATATGAATAGATACTTTACAAAAGAGTACATCCGTACGGTCAATAAATACAGGTAGTCCACATTTTGCATGGCTTTGATATACACAAATTTTGTCAGTCACCAAACACAACGCAAATATCAGTTGCCACGGTGTATTAACTATAATTGTATGAAACAAAAACTTTGCTGGTATCTTTTCCACCTACAAATCACTAGGTAAATAATAATTGTGCATCAGGATCAGTGACCTATGACATCGCTTCTTTCAAAGTCTGTCATTGATTAGTCACTGTGTGTCTTTTATTTAGTGCATGCACAGACAGCAAAGCATGTAGTTGTGTTGCCTTCTTGTATCCCAGTGATAAACCCACATGATGTTCTACAAAAACGGAAAATCAACAGAGGAAATTGGTCAAAAAAAAGAAGAGAGAAAAAAGCAATACTATTGGAAGTACAATCAAAATTTAACATAAATAAAATTAGAGAAGAAATAGTTGACCTCAGGAATGTTGACACTACTGCCATTGTAAAGACTCCAGATATGCAGCCAGAAGAACTCCAAGAAGGCAAAGTTATCCATGTAAATGAAGAAAGTGGCTGTGATGAAAAGAATTAAGATGTCCCAGAGGAAGCGACTCCAGCAAAAGACTTCAAATTAAAGGAACTGGCTGGGTGTAGCGGCTCATGCCTATAATCCCACACTTTGGGAGGCTGAGGTGGGTGGATTACCTGAGATCAGGAGTTCAAGACCAGCCTTGGCAACATGGTGAAATCCTGTCTCTACTAAAAATACAAACACCTGTAATCCCAGCTACTCAGGAGGCTGAGTCAAGAGAATCGCTTGAACCTGGGAGGTGGAGGTTGCAGCGAGCCGAGATCGCACCATTGCACTCCAGCCTGAGTGACAAAGTGAGACTCCATCTCAAAACAGAAAAAGAAAACAAAACAAAAAACTAAAGGAACTGTCAGAGATATTTCACAACATTGGAAGTATGGAGGAATAAGCCATATAAATCTGATCCAAACTTAGAAAGGAGTATGACAATTTGCCAAGGCATAGAAAAGATGCTTGCTCCATTCCATAAGTTACACAATGAGAAGGCAAGCCCTATCCAAACTACTATTATTCAATTTTTTTACAAAGAAAGAGAAAACATTTTAATTCTCAAATTCCCACTGCTTTAAATTACAGTGAACTAAATAAGATTTAGTTTTACTAATTTTTTCATTTCCCTACATATTTATAACCAACAATATGAGAAGTTATTTTTTTAAAATATATTTTGACAAAAAATTTTAAAGGACCCAGAACAATTGTAATTTTCTCCAGTGATTATTAAGTTAGCTTTAGTCAATTTCATTTTACATGATAATTTTTACAGAACTGCAATCCTGTGCAAAGTGAAGACTGCCTGTATAGGAAAAAGATGTTCAATTTTATTAGTCATCTGGAAAATGAAAAGTTAAACACCACAGCACGCATTCCAGGATGCTCAAATCGAAAAAAGGATGGCAATGCTAAATGTTAGCCAGGATGCAAAGAAACTTGAATTCTCAGGCACTGTTGGTGGGAGTGTAAATTGAGTTAAAATACTTTGGAAGTATTTAGCAGCATCCACTAACACTGCACAAATGTACAACTTAGGACTCTATGACCCAGCCCAACTACCCCTAATATAAGCCCAACAGAAAGGCATATGTAGGTGTGTATACCAAAAATTATATACAACACTGTGCATAGTAGCCTTTCTCCAAATAATCTAAGAGACACAAATGACTATCAACAGTAGAATGGATATAAAAACCATAGTCTATTCACATCATTAATATAATTATTTATATAGAGAAGTAAGATGAATAGATTACAACAACAAGCAATAACATGGAGGAATCTTACAAGCACAATGTGGAGTGAGGAAGCCCAACACAAAATACAGACCATTGAAATCCACTTTTATAAAGCTCAATCATAGGAAGAACTAATCATAATGAAACGCTTAGCTCTGGGAAAGAGGTAATGGTGGGAAGGGGACCAAGCAGGGGCTTCTGGGATGCTGGTTTGTTTTATTTTTTGATCTGGATGGTGGTGACATGGGTGTGGTCACCTTGTGATAACTGATCAAGATGTATGTTCATGATTTGTGTGGTATTTCTGAATGACTCTTATGCTTTAATAAAATTTGTTTGAAAAATTAAAGCAAAGAATAATGTTTTAAATATGTAATATAAATATTTGTAATTATTTCATAAAGCATTAGCCTAGGAGTAATTCTGAAATGGTCCAAGAAACCCTGAAGATACCTGAAGTGCTTTCTGATGACCCATGAAGTCAAAATTATTTCAAAATCATCATGTGCATTTTCTACTGTTGTCATTTGTAATAATTATATCAAAGCAATGGCTGGAAAACTGCAGATTCCTTAGCATGAATCAAGCAGTGCTACCAAACTGTACTATTTGTCATCATATGCTTCTCTGCCATGCACTCACTCACTGCCATGCACTTCCATGCACCTTGCAAGGAAGGTGATCCATGCAAAATAGGAAACCATCTTTTTCTCACTGTAAGAGAAAAAGATGAAGAAAAAGGGGAGGAAGAAGAGGAGGAAAAGCCAGTTTCACTTAAGAATAACTGACAAAGTGGTAAAAAAATACCCATGTAATATATTTGTTATTTTCAAATGAATAGATACATATTTTAAATACATCTGCATTTTAATTCCTAATACAATAAATACCAATAGACAGAGATCTCTTTAGAGTCCTCAATAATTTTTAAAGGGAGAAAAGGGTCCTGAGACCAAAAAGTTTAAAAATCACTCTTAGGAAATACAGGGTCTGTGATTATTTTGCAACTCTCTCACCTATGTGTAAATAAGCCCCTTTTCAAGTATTTAAAAACTTCTGAAGTAGTTAAAACATTCATCATACAGTCAATTCTGTTTGTAAGTTTTATTTACATAGGCAAGCATTTCAAATGGCACGCAGTGTTAATGTTCATCCTAATCTCTGCCCCAATGATCAGAAGTTCCCTGTCATGAGGCAGAGTTGGGGATATGGATGAAGTTGCCTTCTGTCTATTTATTCAATGAAAGAAAATATGGTTCTATATAGCACAGAGAAAACGACACGGTTACTTGTCATCTGAAAATAAATACCTTTGATTACCATAGAATTTCACTGAAGAACAAAACCAAAAATCTATTTTTCACTGGATTTTTACATACAGTTTTAGAACAGAAGTATGTAAAGTAAGGTATTTCTACAAGTATGATTTAATAAGTTACTCAATGTCTCAAAATATATAAGAAACAAAGACATCAACTATATATCAACTCCAAGAACTGATGAGAAAATATATCCTACAAAGATAAGATTTAAAAATGTAAAGACCAGTAAGGATAATTATTTACTATTCTCAGCAGCTAATTCAAAACCTACTATTTGATTAATTCTGAAATTGCTGAAAACTAAATATTAAGCCAGCCTATAATTTTGATTTTTAAAATACATGTACATTCATTAAAAAGAAAGTTGCACGGCTTGGCTTTCCTCAGGTATAAATCTAGAAATGAAAGCAGAGCCCTCCTTACCATACATACAGCTAAATTTAGGCAAGTATGGCAACTTTTGTGAGGGCCCTAAATCCTCTCGGGTGCACCTTGGAGTGATCAGAGATTAGTAGTGACCAGAAGATGCTCTCTGGACCAACTGTGGACCAATCAAAACTCTCATAGACTTCTACTCCTGATCAAACAAACAGACTTCCAATTCTGGTCAAGATACAATCACAGGTACCGCATTTATCCTCCCACTTGAAATGACTACAAACCAGACAAAATCTATGAAACAAGTTTTTAACATTGGACATTAGACAATGAAGGAAGGTGATCCATGCAAAATAGGAAACATACAAGATGAGCCCTACCATTGCTCCACCTTACTGTATAGGAAGAATTTCCAGGCCATGAGGAAGAGGGGGATCCCAGGCAGAGCCTGATGCCACTGTAAATGGAGGAGACAGAGATAAGAGTCCAGGGAGGTAGGGGCAGGTAAGGTGGCAGGAGAGTGCCACAGTGGGATGACATGCACAGAATGAGAGATTCCAGGATTTGCAGAGGGTCTTCATGCACTGTCAGCTAAGTACTGATTAGTACATGTATGTTACTAACCCAACTACCCAGCACCAGGGAAAGAAACTCACAAAAGGGGCAGCTGGAAAGGAGCTGATACCTGCCTCACACAGGATTGGAAGCAGCCTCTTTTCCCACCAGCCAGAGTGTAACACCTCATAGCTCATGGGGTGACTGGGTTCAGTGCTCAGAAGAGTTCTGCCTAAGTGATGGGGTAAAATTAGCCCTAGAATAAACACTGTTTGGGTCCTAACTAGGGCTAACAAATCTTAGAAACAAGAACCGAAATCTTCAAGCTGTTTCCAGTAATTTAATTGCATGCCAGAACAAAACTCAAGAATATTTATAGAAGTAGAAAAAATTCCAGCATGCAACAAGGTAAAATTCATAATGGCTGGTATTCAATAAAATATTTACCAGGCATGTAAAGAAGCAAGAAAACAAAATCCATGAAAAGGAGTAAAAATAATCAATCGGAATCAACACAGAAATGATGCCAATTATAGAATTAGCTGACAAAGACATTAAAAAGAGTTACTATAACTATATTTGATATAAACAAGAAAACAGGGAACAACTGTGCAGATTAAATAGAGACACAGAAGATATAAAAAGGCCCAAACAAAACACTTTATGATGAAAAACACTGGTGCCTGAGATGAAAAAAACATACTGGATGCAACTAACAGCAGATTAGTTACTACAGAAGAAAAGAGTAAACTTGAAGACGTAGCAACAGGAACTATCTAAAGTAAAACAGAGACAAAAATTGATTTTTTTAAAAATGGAAAATGCATCAGTTGCCTGTGTGATAATGTTAAACAGACTAATTTAAAAAATAAATTTATAGTTAAAAGCTTTCCTACAAAAATAAATAAAATTCCATGCCCAAATTGCTTCACTGGTAAACTGTACTAAACACTTAAGGAAGAAGTAATGCCAATTTTATACAGATGTTCCAGAAAATTAGAGACAGGAATATTTCCAAATTCATTCTATGAGGCAGCTTAACCCTGATGCCAACACCATAAAAAATGACTACAGGAAAAGAAAACTAAAGATCAATATCATTCAAGAACACAGATGCAAAACTATGTAACGAAACTTTAGCTAATCAAATCCAGTAATACATAAAAATGAAAATACAGCCTGACCATGTGGGGTTTACCCAGGAATGCAAGGTTGCTTTAACATCCAAATTTTAATCATGTTAAAGGACCACGAAAGAAAAACCATATGACCAACAATGTAGATTCAGAAAAAATATTTGACAGAATCCAGTATCCGTTCCTAATAAAAACTCTAAGCAAACTAGGAATAGAAGAAAACCTTCTCAACCTGATGAAGGGCATCTATAAAAACCTACAGCTAGTATCTTACTTAATGATGAAAGAGTGAATGCGTTCCACCTAAGATTAAGTACAAAGCAACCACATCTGCTCACCATATCTATTAAACATAGTAATGGAGGTTCTAACCAGTGTAATAAGCAAAAGAAATAAAGGGCATCCAGACTGAAAGGAAGACCTAAGACCATTATTATTCGCAGTCCACCTGTCCATGGGTGTGTAAAAGCTTACAGAATAATAATGTGTTTACCAGAACTAATATGTGAGTTTAGCAAGTTTGTAGGATACAAGATCAAGATACAAATTTGTATTTCCATATGCTATCAAGTATGAACATTTGGAAACTGAAATAATAATATTATAACATCAAAATATGTAATTCCAAGAGATGATTCTGACAAAAAATAAGCAAGACCTGCACATTTATATCTACAAGGTAGAGCTGAGAAAGGTTAGGAAGACTGAAATAAATGGAGAGACAGTTACGGGTCAGAAGACTCATCATTGTCATTAATTCTTTCCAAATTATAAGTTATCTGCAATCTTAAGTCAAATTTACATGAAAATGCAAAGGACCTAGAAAATCCAAAGCAACTTTTAAAGGAGAACAATATTGGAGTTACATTACCTGATTTCAAGACTTATTATAAATCTGCAGTAATCAAAATAGTAAGGTACTGACATCAGATAGACAAATAAATTAATGGAACAAAGTAGAGTCTAGAAATAGAACCACAATATATGGTCAATTGATTTTTGAAAAGGGTTTAAATATAATTCAGGGGGGAAAATATATTTTTTCAACAAATGGTGCTGAAACAATTGGATACCCACATGAAAAAAAAAAAAAGTTTTTATCCATCCCTTACATTATACACAATAGTTCAAAATAAAACTTCCAGGAGTAAATATAGGACAGTATATATTGGGTTAGGCAAAGATTTCTTAGATATGACAACAAAATGATGATCAAAGAAAAGAAAGAGACATTGGACTTTATCAACATTTAAAAACTCTGCTCGTAGAAAAAATTATTTTCCAAATGAAAAAATAAGCCACAGACTGGGAAAAATAATTGCAAAAAACCTATTTGATAAAGTAATTTAATCTAGAATACATAAATTCATTGTGGAATTCTCAAAACTCAATAATATGAAAACAAACCCAAGTTAAAAAATGGACAAAATATTTGAACTGACACCTCACCAAAGAATATATACAAATGCACATAAGCACACGAAGAGATGCCTGACATCATTCATCATTAAGGAAATAAAAACTATAATGACATTCTACTACAAACTTATTTGAGTTTCTAAAATGAAAAAGTCTGGCCATCCCAAGCATTGACTATAATGTAAAGCTACTGAACTCTCATACTCTGCAGTCTGAATACAAAATGATACAACTGCTTTGGAAAATAGTCCAGAAGTTTCTTTAAAAGTGATACATAGACCCACTATTCGATCCAGCCACTCCACTCCTAGAAAAAGGTAAAATGTGATCTTATAAAAATGTGTACATAAATATTCATAGATTTATTTGTAATAATCACAAACTGGAAACAACCCAAACACCCATCAACAGGTGAATGGGTAAACAAATTGTGGTATATCTATCCATTAAATTGTGGTATATATAGCCATATATTAGTACACAATTATATTACTGAACATCACTCAGCCATAAAAAGCAATGAACTATTGAGACATACAACAATACACTTTTGGAGACGATGGATATGTTCATTATCTTGATTGTGGTGATGGTTTCATGGGTATACACCTGTGTCAAACTTAACACAATTGTACACTTGGAATATGTGCAGTTTATTGTATGACAAGTATACCTCATTAAAGGTGTTTTAAAAAAAGAGAGCTCACTTATGCCAAGAACACACTAAAGTAACACAGTGAGAAAACCCTTCCCTCTTCCATGAACTCCCATTTCTCAAGGCGTTCTTTTATGGCTTATTTCTCTATGCTGGGACATCCTTCCACCCATTTCATCTAAGTGTTTGGTTTTGAATAAGATTGTTGATGAGGAGAGGTAACAGGTATAGATGAGGTCCCCCATCTTTCTGCCTACCAGAAAAGAGAGTTTTGGTAGACTTAAGAAAAGCCCTAAAAAGGAAGAAAATTATCCTGATTTATTACTTATGTTACAGCGAGTGATCTGGCAGGAAACAAAACCAGCAGTTAATCTGCCAAGCTGAAAAAATGCAACCCCTTTGTTGGTTGTTATGAAGCATTCAGCTGTTTTATAGTGGAAGTCTATCAAATTCAATACATTTTACATGATTGCAAATTCCTTAAAATATGAAGACACTATAACAGCATAACAATGAGAGACTGTGTTAGTTTACAATAACAAATTTTGTTATTCTTTGTAAATCCTACTGTTTTATTTTTAATAGTGACAAGACAGAAAATGCTAACAATGTTATGTTAATATAAGTGAGTACGTGTGCTTTAATGTGCAAACGAGAAGATAAGAGTTGCCTTTGCCTTCTTTCAGAAGTTTAAGTCAGGCGTATAAAATAAGACAATCTTATGGGAAAATGCATCTATAAATATCTATGATAATTTACCATAAATTACACATTATCCTGCTCCCACCTCCACCCCTCAGTGGAGTAAATGCCCTTAACCAAAGAGGTAGGATGAGAACCAATTGCACCATTCTTTATCTTTTCTACATAAGCTCTGTTAAATGCAACCCTAAATGGAGCAGCTATTTTCAGGGTAATATAAGATGACACTTGGGATATTGCCAGGAGTGTTTCAATTATTCAAAAGTGCCTGAGCATGGAAGGGGCTGGCTTGCTCACTTTTTGGTTGGGCCTCTAAGGTGACAATTCACAAGGCTCCCTACTAACTACGATGCAACCACCATACACCCTCTAACCTCCCCATCCCTTTACAGTGCCGATGTCCCATGGCCTTGCTCCCAAGCCCCCGCCCGCCATCCCTGGGCACCCTTCCTGCTTCCTCCATAGTGGTGAGCTTGGCCCAGAGCTCTTCTGCTGCCCAGCCCCTTTATGCTACTCTGAGGCTTCATCCTCTTGGGGTTTTTTAATCCCATTATCTGTGTTAGATACTCAACTCAATCCCATTCTCTCTGTTAGATACAGATCACATTTTTCCTCCATTTTCTCACATTAAATGTAACTTAATTTTCCTCAAGCTCAAAGTTTACCCTCTAAACCTTCCCAATGGCAGCCACTCCTTTTCCAACACCAACTCATTGCTGCTTCCAAGTCATTGCTTTCCCAGTTCTCTGGGCTGTTTCTCCACTGAAGTTCCTTACCACACCACTTTCTCCCCCTCCTCCACCTCATTCAGGAACTTCAGAGTGGCTCTGCCATCATTCTTAGAAACTCTCTTACTACTCAAGTTGATAATTCCTTTAATATTCAGTTCTTCTCAAAGTCATTCCCTAGCCTTGTCCAATACAGAGAGGTCCGGGTTTGCAGACTCTGAGACATCCTTGCTGATGACATGACTATCCGCAGCACACCGCATTCCTCAGTCACCCTCCACTCCTAAACATCAGCAGGCTGACATTGTCGGTAGCTCTGAAGATTTGATTTATGAGCTCAAGTCATAAAAATCAGGAAAAGAGCCACTGTCTTTCTTTAAGAAAGAAAATCCTCCTTTGATTGAGCAAAGCCAGTCCATTTATATGCTAATTTTATTTTTATCTGGCCCCTCACCATCTGGCCCCAGCTTCTGTCATTTCTTACTCTCACTCCCCCTCCCTCAATTCTGTATTTCATCCAGCCCCCTCTACCCTGATCTTCTAGCTCCCCTACCCCCACCCCCACCCCCAGGCCACTCTTTCCTCCTTAGACATGTGCTTTGCTCGTGGCAATCTCTCTACTGGAAAGCTGCATCTCTCCTGGATATTTCTATCGCTTCTTCAAGGTCTGGTTTAAATGTTACTTTCTCTTTGAATCCTTTCTCAGCTGTCTTAGGATGATTCATCCCTACTCATGTATATACTGACTGCCTACAATGTGCCAGGCATGTTCTAGGGTGTAGGGATCCATCAATGAGCAAAACAGATGAAAATCCCTACCCTCGTTGAATTCACCTTCCAATAGGAGGAAATCAATAATATACAAGAGGTATAGACTTTAAAAATAGTACACTATTTACTAACAGCATACTCTACCAATAAGTGCTATAAACCAGGATAGAAAAATAATGAGTGCTGAGAGTTGGGAAGGAAATTGCAATATTAAAATTAGGTGGTCTAAGAAAGCCCCACTGAATAGATGATCTTTCAGCAAACACCTGAAGGAGCTGAGGAAGTGAGCTTGCATTTGAAGAATGGCAAGATCAGTGTTCATTGCTAGTATCTCGGTGTCCAGAGTTGGACTGTGAATTCTGTGAGGTGAGAGACTTCTCACAGGTTTGTACTGCCAGTTTCCAAAATGGTCCCCAGCATCTTGCCGGGGTTGAATAAAAATGATGTTTGAATTGAACTTAATACCTACAGCATGCTCTGCTTATTCCTGTCCAGGTCCATTTCCCATTTTCAGATGACTTTTCTCAGGGGTAACATTACAAGCAGGCAACTGAGTGAAAGATGACAAACTTCAATTACCATAAAAGCAACTTACTCCACGCTTTCACCATGCAGTGTAAAATAAACAGTTAAAAGGTAACTGTGCTTGGTGTTGATATATTGAAACTTAAGCTAAATTCTTGGTATTCTCCAACATATTTACAAGTGGGTAATAAAATGCAAAGGAAGTTTATTTCTTTTGCGTGGCATTAATGTAAATGACCAGCAGTTTCATTACCCTTGAACTTCAGTGATTTGCTGCAGCTCTGCATTAACAGAAAATCACTGTCAGTTCATTTTAAATGGATTCTATGAAGGTGTTATAATTTTCCCCTTATACAAAAAACATCCTAAAATCTACATTTAAGTTATATTACTGGACCAATCAATGGCCACAATACTGTATCAAATACAGCAAATTTAAGAGTGAGGCCTTAATGACATATACCATGTATACGTTTCAATTAAAATAAATCAGAAGCTAACAACCACTGGCAAAAACTCCTACACATACAAAACCCGCGTAGAATAAGTTAAAATGATTCATAAAAAAGAACAAAGAAACATTCATCCCTAATGAGATGACATCACTGAAGAGTAAAACAGTATCTAGAACATCTGTTTCAATTACGTTGTTGGGGAGCCAGTCATGTTTTATAGTACGGATGTATATGAGGTATTCACTTGGCAAGGTAACCTCAACAGGAAAGCAGAGGGAACACGTTCAGGATGGGTTCTTCACATTTCAGAGCTTACTTGTGGTTACAATTCTAAAGGAAGCCCAGGAACATAGGCTGAAACTCTGCTTCAGTCATAATTAAAGCATTTATTCTCCCTATTAGAATGATAGGCTATCCATAAAACCTAAGAGAAAATGGGTGTTTGATGCATGATTCTCCTGTTACTCTCTGAAAGTAACTGTTTTTGTATGAACATTCTGGTTTTTATGTCTTTGAGGGTTTTTTGTCAAAGCTGTGGGGCAATACATGAGGTTCTTTATACATGCCAATTTCAATTGATTAATAGTAGCTGGCCAGATCACCATACTGAGACTAATGTAAGCCAAATAGGTGATCAGCATGCAAGACTGCAGTGCTCAATTATTGATGTCTGCCATGGGCAAGGGTTAGTGTTTTCTCATATGCTGTTCTTGGCTTCAAAGAATGGTAATACCTTAGTTTGTGAATCAGGTGTGGTGGTGGAAGAAAAATCTAGCTTGAGAACTGAAAATAAAGGGGAAACAGCAGAAGGAGAGTGGGCAGTTTCTTTGTTCAGCTGTCTCTCCTCACTTGTAGATTCTTGGATTTACATCTTTTTTAATAGTGCAGGTAACTCATTCACAGAGTACAAGCTATCTACCTCTCAGGACACGAAAAATAACAAGAGAATGATAGCACATCTGTCAGGGTTTGGACAGAAAAGCAGAATCCACTCCAATCCACTCCAATTTCAGGCAGGAAGAGATTTTATCCAGGGATCCTCCGTAGCTGAACCAAATACTGAAAGGAAGTCCTATACAAACAGTGCTGTAGTGCCTCTGTGCTACCCCAAAACCCTGGTTGGAGTGCATTGAGAAGGACTCAGATTAGAGAATGCCCGCCAGATTTTAGTGAGAAAAAAACTGAGTTGGGTGCGTGCAAGGGGTGTAGTGTTTGTGCTATGAATCGAGGCTTTGAGATTGGTGTTACTGGGTGGGAAAGGGAGGGTGGAACCAGGAAAATTTAAAGCCTGGGAGAGAACTGGTGAGCCCCACATAAGCACGGGCTGCACATACCAGTGGCCAAGAGGCACATGCTTCTGTGACCAGCAGCCCCCTCCACCCTCTAGTGTTCTCCATCTCCATTACCTAGGAGAAGCTTTGATTGTCTTGTTTTTCCAACCAAACTCTGTACAAGGAACTCCAGGGACATGTAGCACTTAGGAAATTACAATTAATGACAGCCCCTGTCCCCCTTTTCTCTCTTACCCCAAACAGATATAAAAGTAAAAAAACAAAAGAGTAAAAGAGCAGTTTTCAATTTACATTTACAGCACAACATTGTGTCATTAGCATAACCATTGAACAACTGTGAATAAATACCAAGTCATACTTACTGTTAATCCTTCCTAATAATCACAGAGCTTAAAATTGCCTTGTACACTACATTTTTATTAATTACCCAAATACCTGAAGACCTCTAACCCATTATCCTTTTTTTTCTGACAAACTGACCTCCACTTTCTTTTAAAACCCTATTCCTGCATAGATTAAACCCTCCTTTTCCCTCCATCTTTCATTCATGTTGCTCTTATTGACAACACTCTAGATATAGGTGACCTTCACCATAGTCTCATCACCGAAGAATTGATGTTTAAGGTTCTTAATTTTTTCTTTTAATTATATTTTTCATGGATTTGATACATCTGATTAAAAAAATGAAATCAGCATTTAACAATAGTTAGGTTACTATATCTTGCTTTTATTAAGCCAGGAAAAAAAAACCTGATACCATCAATAAATAGAGGAAGTGTCCGCACAAGTATCATTTTCCAAAAGAAAAGGCTAAAAATCTTATTTTAAAAAATGGTTTTTGGCGGGGTGCGGTGGCTCACACCTGTAATCCCAGCATTTCAGGAGGCCGAGGCAGACGGATCAAGAGGTCAGGCGATCAAGACCATCCTGGCTAACACAGTGAAACCCCGTCTCTAACAAAAATACAAAAAATAAGCTGGGCGTGGTGGCAGGCACCTGTAGTCCCAGCTACTCAGGAGGCTGAGGCAGGAGAATGGCGTGAACCCAGGAGGCGGAGCTTGCAGTGAGCAGAGATCACGCCACTGCACTCCTGCCTGGGCAACAGAGCAAGACTCTGTATCAAAAAAAAAAAAAATGGTTTTTGCTTTTTGGTATCAAAATTTATCTGAGCTGAGACATTTAAATGTTTATTTCTAAACAATTAATCAGCATTCAAGGTATTTCTGTAAGAGCCAAGGAGCCAAGGACAAGATAAGAAAAATCAGTATTATTATTACTATTCAACATTATTCTAGAAGTTCTAGCCAACAAAATAACACAAGAAAAAGGTAAGAGTAGCATAATTGTAGAAAGAGAAGAATTAAAGCTATCACTTACCTAGAAGATGCAAGACAAAAGTAAGTCATGCTATACTGTTTGGTCTAACAGTAAACTATGTTAAACAGTTACAACAATGTAAATAGTGGCTTTTGGTTTAAAATAAATAAATAAATAAATTGTGAAATGTATTATTTGGAAGGAACTTAAGGAGCAAAAGAGAGGGATTTTTAAAAAGTAAATCTTCACCTAGAAAATCAATAAATGATGAAATACCAAGAAAGAGCAGTATAATCAGAACATTTAGAAATATGAAGATATATGCAACAAAAAAAATTGCTTAAAGTGGCCTCTGTGGAAGGTGGATGTGGGGGATAAGGGTGGGGGGCTATTATAAGGAGACTGATTTTCTTCAATATAAGCCTTTTAGTGTTATTTGCTATTGATTTATTTAACTATGTTAAACATTTCCTGGATAAAAATATACCATGATTATCCATACAAAGAATACGCAGTTTCTCAAAAGAATAGAGTACATCCCCACGCACTAACATGAAAATATCTAACACATTGTAAGTGAAAAAATATTCATGTTGCAGAACTGTTCAAAGTGATGGAGAAGCATTTTCTCTTTATATTTTATAAATTTAGACTTTGGAAAATTTACCACAATATATACTTTAACATTTTGTAATTAAAGAATTTCTCAATCCAAGAACATCCACTGAACATATGCTAAAATTAATCAAAGTATACCATAAAGTGACTAGAACAAGGTAAGCAAAAATCAGTTTCCTTGTGTATCTTTAATAATAATTACAACACATAATGGAAAATTTTCCATTCACAATAATGGCAAAAAGTATAAAATACTAGCATTAAGACAAATAACAAAAGTACACATGCTATAATATTTTATAAAAAGCTACAAATAAAAATCTGTAAGTAGAGAGGTTAACCATGTTCCTGGTTGGAAAACTCAATATTGTAAACACGTAAACGCTCCTAAAATTTATTTATATATTCAATGCAGACTGCAACAAAATCCCCAAGAGAATTTTCTATGGAATTTGTCAAGTTGATTTTAAAATCCATCTGGAAGGGTAAATGTGCAAGATGAGCTAAAAAAAAAAAAAAAAAAAAAAATCCTGAAAAAGAAAAATGAGAAGAAACATGTCCTATTAAATATAAAGCATATTATAAATTTCCAGTAATTTTCAAAATGTGGCACTAGAGCAATAATGAACAAGAAGATAAATGAAAATGGGAGAAAAGATAAGCAATTGACATTCAAAAAATAGGACGGACACATAAAAAGATCCAAAATTTTTATGAAAACAGAAGAAATAATTAAGTAATGGGTGGCTTGTTGCTCAATTTGTTGAAGATATTAAGCAAAAAATTAATAACACCCAATGACCAAAGACCCACTAGGAAACAATGTTCTCTTATGCTATTGGTGTTAGCAACTTGTTTCAGCCATTCTGGGAACAATTTGGTAGAAACTCTGTATGTTAAAAGTGCTTAAACCTTGACTTAGTAAGTCTACTTCTGAAACTCTGTCCTACAGATATATTAATCCGTATATCAAAAATACATGCATACTTCATTTTATTGTGCTTTGCTTTATTGTAGTTTTCAGATACTGCACTCTTCACAGATGGAAAGTCTGTGGCAAGCCTGCATCAAACAAGTCTTATGGCGCCATTTTTCCAACAGCATGTGCTCACTTTGTGTCTCTGTGTCATATTTTGGTAATGTTTCAAACTTTTCATTATACCTGCTATGGTGATCTGTGATCAGAGACCTTTGATGTTACCCCTGTAGTTGTTGCGGGGTGCCACAAACTGCTCCCACATGATGGTGAATTCAATCAATAAATATGTGTTCTGACTGCTCCACTGACCTGCCATTCTTCTGTCCCTCTTGCCCTTCTTAAGCCTCTCTATTTCACTGAGACACAACATTGAAATTGGGCCAGCTAATAAGCTTACAATGATCTCGAAGTGTTCAAGTGAAAGGAAGAGTTGCATTTCTCTCACTTTAAGTCAAAAGCTAGAAATTATTAAGCTTAGTGAAGTAGTCATGTCAAAAGCCAAGATGGGCCAAAAGCTAGGCCTCTGGTGCCAAACAGGAAAGATGCGAATGCAAAGGCAAAGTTTTTAAAGGAAATGTAAAGTGCTACTACGGTGAACACATGAATGACAGAAAACCAAAATTAGCCTTATTGCTGATATGGAGAAACTTAATAGTCTAGATAAAAGATCCTAACAGCCACAACATTCCTTTAACTCAAAGCCTAATTCAAAGCAGGGCTCTAACTCTCTTCAATTCTAAGAAGGCTGACAGAGGTAAGGAAGCTGTAGAAGAAAAGTCTGAAGCTAGGAAATGTTGGTTCATGAAGTTTAAGAAAAGAAGCCATCACCAACACATAAAAGTGCAAGGTGAAGCAGGAAGTGCTGATAGAAAAGCTGCAGCAAGTTATTCAGAAGATTTAAGATCATGGGTGAAAGCAGCTAAACTAAACAACAGAGTTTCAATGTACATGAAGCAGCCTTCTATTGGAAGAAGTTGCCATCTAAGACTTTCATAGCTTTAAAGGAGAAGTCAATGTCTGAGTTCAAAGCTTCAACAGAAAGGCTGATTCTCTTGTTAGGGACTAATGCTGCTGACTTGAAGCTGAAGCTAATGCTCATTCAATCATTCTGGAAATCTTAGGGCCCTTAAGAGTTATGCTAAATTTACTCTGTTTGTGTTCTATAAGTGGAACAACAAAGCCTGCCTAACAACACATCTCTTTACAACATGGCTTATTGAATATTTTAAGCCCATTGTTGAGATCTACTTCTCAGAAAAAGGAAAAAAATCCTTTCAAAATATTACCACTCATTGACAATGCACCTGGTCATCCAAGAGCTCTGATGGAGATGTACAAAGAGATGAATGCTGTTTTCATGCTTGGTAATAACATCCTTCCTGCAGCCCATGGATCAAGGAGTAATTCTGACTTTCAAGTCTTATTTAAGAAACACATTTCGTAAGGTGGTAGCTTCCAAAGATTGTGATTCCTCTGATGGATCTGGGCAAAGTAAATTGAAACCTTTTGGAAGGAATTCACCATTCTAGATGTCATTAAGAAGATCCATGATTCATGAAAGAAGGTCAAAATATCAACATAAACAAGAGTTTGGAAGAAATTGATTCCAATCCTCATGAATGATTTTGAGGGGTTCAAGACTTCAGTGGAGAAAGTAATTGCAGATGTGGTGGAAACAGCAAGAGAACTAGAATTAGAAGTGGAGCTAGGCTGGGTGTGGTGGATCACGCCTGTAATCCCAGCACTTTAGGAGGCTGAGGCGAGGGGATTACCTGAGGCTGGGTGTTCGAGACAAGTGTGGCCAACATGGTGAAACCCCATCTCTACTAAAAATACAAAAATTAGCTGCTGGGTGTGGTGGTGCACACCTGTAGTCCCAGCTACTTGGGAGGCTGAGGCAGGAGTGTCGCTTTAACCCAGGAAGCAGAGGTTGCAGTGAGCCGAGACCATGACACTGCACTCCAGCCTGGGTGACAGCATGAAACTCTGTCTCAAAAAAAAAAAAAAAAAAAAAAAAAGAAGTGGAGCTTGAAGATGCAACTGAATGGCTACAAGCTCACGATTAAATTTGAATGGATAAGGAGTTGCTTCTTATGAATGAGTCAAGGAAGTGGTCTTTTGGGATGGAATCTACTCCTGGTGAAGATGGTGTGAACATTGTTGAAATGACAACAAAGGATTTAGAATATTCCATAACCTTAGTTGATAAATAGTGGCACAGTTTACGAGGATTGGTTCCAATTCTGAAATAAGTCCTATTGTGAGTAAAATGCTATCACATAGCATCACATGCTACAGAGAAGTCTTTCACGAAAGGAAGAGTCCATTGATGTGGCAAATTTCATTGTTGTCTTATTTTAATAAATTGCCACAGCCAGCCCAACGTTCTGCAACCACCACCCTGATCAGTCAGCAGCCACCAAGATCGGGCAAGACCCTCCTCCAGCAAAAAGATTATAACTCACTGAAGGCTCAGATGATTGTTAGCATTTTTTGACAAAAAGTATTTTTAATTAAGTTATGTACATTGTTTTTTAGACAAAATGCTATTGCACACTTACTAGACTACAGTCTAGTATAGATATAACTTTGTTTTTTGTTTCTTTTTAATTTGAGACAGTCTTGCTCCATCTCCCAGGCGATGTTGGCTCACTGCAACCTCCACTTCCCAGGTTCAAGCTATTCTCCTGCCTCAGCCTCCCAAGTAGCTGGGATTACAAGCCTGCACCACCACGCCCAGCTAATTTTTGTATTTTTAGTAGAGACGGGGTTTTGCCACGTTGGCCAGGCTGGTCTTGAACTCCTGAACTCAAGTGATCCACCTGCCTCGGCCTCCCAAAGTGTTGGGATTACAGGTGTGAGCCACCACGCCCAGCCAAACATAACTTTTACATGCACTGGGAAACCAAAAAGTCATGTGACTTGCCTTATTGCTGTGGTTACTTTATTATGGTGGTCTGTAACCAAACCCACAATATCTCCAAGTTACACCTGCGTATGTACATTAAAATTTACTTACAAAAAAACCCTGAAAATTACTTGTCAATCATTATGGGAAAAATTATAAACTATGTAGCCATGAAATCAATGTGGTAGAGTCTTATGTATTGATGTGGAAAGATCTCCAAAGTAATTTTGAAAATGAAAAAAGCATATTGTAGATAAATATGTCTAGTACGATACAAGCTATTTCTGATCTACATACGTATGTGCGTATGTATATAGATGCACAGGAGAAGGTTTGCAAAAATATACATAGAATGTTTAACAAAGTTTCCTTCTGAAAAGGAAAATGAGGTTGGGCAGGAGAATAAAAGCAGAAATTCACATTTTATTTTATATATTTTAGTATGAATTTGAGATTTTTGTTTGGGGCAGAAATTCTTGTATCGCATTTTTAGTTAGACGTAATTTTTATAATGCAATTTTAAAAATATTTTAAACCAACCTACCAAAAAACAAAAGCCTATGGCAAGTATATTTTTTTCATTTCATGTTTAACTTGGAATGTTAATTTTATCACCTGGACTTTTTATAGGACAAAGAAATAATAAGCAGTACAAAATCTGAAAGTATATGTTCAATTTTCAGTTTCATATTATTTCATGATCTTTTATTTTCTCTTATTTACTCTGATATTTAAACTGTTTGTGAAGAAAGAGAATGGGAAAAGGAGACAGAAGAAGAAAATAAGGAAACTTTGAGTAATTCTAGGAGACATGCAGAAAGCCCAACTGTATTCTGCATGATGTTGCTAGTCATCTACCTCAGTGTGATGGAAAACATCAACGTCCTTGAAAGCAACCCTTTTATTATCATAATAAAAATAATCAGGAATTTAAGTTGTTACAGGAATTTAAGTTGGTGAATGGAGAGAACCTAACAGCCTTCCTTGCACACAGAAAATGCAAACAGGACAAGGAGAATCTGTTCTGCCCTTGGCTTTTTCTTGGCCCCTTTTAGATTCTGTTGCAAAGCTGTTCCAGACCAGGCTTTGCCATTAAGTCTTCCTCATTATATGCCAACGCCTTTTTGTAAAACTGCAAATAGCTACACAAGTTGTTAGATGTGATTATTACCAATTCCTGCAAATTACTTTTTAATGTCTTTCTTTCTTTTTCTAATCAACACCTCACCATTAAAAAAAAGATGCTGACGATTCAAATTAAACAACAACAATAACACCTTACCTAATAAGTGCAAAATTCCAAATAATAAACTGTAGGAAAACAAGAGATGAATAACACACAGGCCTTATGCTTATCTCTGTAAACTCTAACAATGTAATAGTGAGGACCCGGATATGTAAGCAACCACTTTCATACCAGGCTGAATTCAATAAGGACTTTAATGATGGTGCAGCTCATGGAGAGCAGGGCAATTTCCAACCAGAAGGGCTCTAGAAGGCTTCATGAGGGAGGTGACATATCATCCAGGCCTCGGAAAAAATGGGGGAAAGGGCTACTGCAGGAAAGACACATATGACAAAAGGCTTCAGGGTGAGCACTGCCAGTAAGTTGGTGAGAAAGCTTGACGGATAGGGAAAGGGCCAGGGGAAAGGGTGGCAGATGTAATTTACGGGAATAAACAAGCTGGGACAAAAGTTATCAACAGCATCCCAGTAAATGTCCCACTCTTATTTGAGGATGCTATGGACTTTTTCCGGCTTGGGATTTACTTCTTGTCTATGGGGGCCACATAATATGATGACTTCCCTGTATATCCCTGTATTTACAAAATTTGGCATTTTGAATCAAATACGAAAGCTTTGTTATTCCCAAATCACCTCATTTTAAATCTGATCACAAAAAGAAAGGAGATCTCCCTTCAGATAGAGAGGAAGAGTGTGGCTTGCTGAGGCTGCCAGGGGAGACTATTTCAGTCCTCATCTGCTTTCTAAAGTAGTTTAAGAAACTAGAGAAGGAAAGCAAGCTCTCTGACAGGGAGCTGAGGAGGAAGGGCCTGAAGCTTTAGCAGCCAGCACAAAAGCAGAAACAGGCTGGAGGACGCACACTGTTCTCACGCACAGCATGTGAATGAAGTCGTTTTGGGAATGTCTGGAAAATATTCTTATTTAAGGCCCTCTTCTCAAAATACACATTGCAATAAACTGGTACAAATACATCCGATACACATCTTTTAAGTCAGAGTAAGACAAATTTACCAAATCACTTCATAATAAAAGTAAAAATTTTAAAAAACGGCCGGGTGCGGTGGCTCACGCCTATAATCCGAGCACTTCGGGAGACTGAGGCGGGCGGATCACGAGGTCAGGAGTTGGCGACCAGCCTGGCCAACATGGTGAAACCCCGTCTCTACTAAAAATACAAACATTAGCCAGGCATGTTGGCGGGCGCCTGTAGTCCCAGCTACTCGGGAGGCCGAGGCGGGAGAATCGTCTGAACCCTGGAGGCGGAGGTTGCAGTGAGCCGAGATTGCGCCACTGCACTCCAACCGGGGCAACAGAGTGAGACCCTGTCTCAAAACAAACACACACACACTCACTGAGAGCAATAAGATACTTCTTAAATGGGGAAAAAAATAACTTTTTCATAGTATTTGCTTACATAAGCAGCCTAGGAGAAAAAAACACACAGAAGGTTGAAAACACTGTTGAATTAATTTCTAAGACTTTCACAGAAAAAGAAAAGACCTAACAACTATCTTACTCAATTTTGCAGACTGTCACCCCAGAGACATCTCCTTCATTGAAAGATGGTATCACATTAAGGATTATCTTGGCAGAAATTATGTCTGTTGATGCTTCAGGGGCTCCAGTTGTGGAAATGGTTTTGTGGCTGGTTGAAGGGGCAGTTTCCTAAAGCAGCAGGAGGTCACCCTCTCATTACATCAGGCATAAATCTTGACCATGGAGTTGATTAGTGAAATGTGCACAGTAGGAATTCCATAAGCACCTGTGGGCAGCCTGGTCTTCACTCATCTCCTGTCCCTTCTTTCTAAAACACAGTTCTTTTTCTCTTCTGATTATAGTAATAATTCACAATCTCAATTTTTATAAGGTACAGAAAATATTCAATGAAGGAAATAAAACTCATCTACCATCATACCATGTAGACATAACAAGTTTTCATTAGATACTTCTCCCTGTTTTCCCCATATTATTAAAACACTTTCAAAACATTCATTGATAGGATACCTCGTAGGATTTATTTGACTGATATATATGAAAAGGAAAGACACCTGTCTATACAAAATGAAAAAAGAAGCACCCTGTAGAATCATATGAACTACATTAAACTATGTTTGTAGAATCAGTTGCTTAAATTTTAAGTCTAAACACAGTAAAGGCAATACAGTAGAAAATACAATGAAAACATTCTTTTAAGGGAAAAATCTTGATTATCAGAAACATTTTCCACTGTAACAGAGCAAATGCCCATTCTAGTTAAACAAGGTTGAATGATTCCCCACTTGTTTCTTTACAATCTTGGGAGACACTAAAGAAATTGCTACCTAGGTAAATTTTGTAAAGGTTACAGCAGGCCAAACACAGAGAACAAAGGAAAAAAAAATAACAACAGTATTCAAAGCAGCAGCAAAAAGCAACACAATATAATTCTACCAGCAAATGCTTGCTTGGTGCTATTTTACCATTTGTATGTTTTAGAATTTTTTTTTCTAGTTGCAAAAAACTCCAAAAACCTAGATACTTTATGCTTCTGAATTTCATATACATTATAAATATATATTCAATTTTCAACAAATTCTGCAAATATCCAATTTAATCTCAAGAGATTACATAGAAATCCCAGTTAAATTTACATACGGTATTCAGTGTTTCTAGATTTGTGTTTTTATTTATTTTCATTATATGGAGATTGTTATTTGCTGAATATTAGCAGGAATTTCCACTTAAAAAAGAGTCCTTCAATCAACACTACTGGCATACTTTGGTGTGTAACATATTAACATTTTTCCATGACAGGATCAGAAATACAGCCTTGGGTATCACTGAGAAACGAGTCTGATGGAGGAAATCTCTCTGCAAAGTACCCGGACCTTAAAAGTATCAGGACAAGTTTGATCCACTCAGAAGATGGCTTATAGTATATTTATCTCTGCTAGTCTCCTGGAGTTATAATGATTACTGTCAGCAGGGATGCCCTTTCCTCTGACAGAGCTGACACTGCTGAGTACAAATTAAAGCAAAATCAGATTTTTTAGTCTCTGAAAGGGTAGTGGAAATGGGGGAGGGGCAGAATCTTTCCTTCCTTATCTGTCTCCTCACTGTTTCAAGTTTGTCAAGGAAATCCAGCACCAGAAAATTTAAATAGAGATGATACAGGCTGAATGGGGAAGGTTTTATTGTTGAGTGAAGGTGGAATGAGACAATACTGCTGAGAAATTGCCAGTGGTCCTTGAGATTTCTCTAACCATTTCAAAAACAAAGAACTCCTCTAGTCCTTCTAAGCTTACGTTTGTTCTCCAAGCTTAATCTGTTAGAACTAAAAATGTGACGTTCTGTTACAAATTTTCAAGACTAAAAAGCAGATTTCTAAAAAAAAAAAAAAAAATTTACATGTAAAAAATTCAGATAAATGGATTACTGTCATGATCATAGAATTTTTTTTTTAATCAGATGATAAGGCTTTTTCTTTCTCTCTCTTTTTTTTTTTTTTTTTTTTTGAGACAGAGTTTCGCTCTTTCACCCAGGCTGAAGTAAAGTGACAGGATCTCTGCTCACTGCAACCTCTGCCCCCCGGGTTCAAGTGGTTCTCCTGCCTCAGCCTCCTGAGTAGCCGGGATTACAGGCGTGCACCACCACACCTGGCTAATTTTTGTATTTTTTTTTTTAGTAGACACAGGGTTTCCGCCATGTTGGCCAGGCTGGTCTTGAACTCCTGACTTCAGGTGATCCACCCACCTCCTCGGCCTCCCAAAGTGCTAGGATTACAGACTTGAGCCACCACACCTGGCCCCCTTGTTTTCTTTTTTGATTAACTTTTATTTTAACTTCAAGGGTACAAGTGCAGGTTTGTTACATAGGTAAGCTTGGTTCATGGGGATTTGTTGTACAGATTATTTCATCACCCAGGTGTTAAGCCTAGTACCCATTAGTTCTTTTTCCTGATCTGTTCCCTCCTCCCACCTTTCCCCCTCCAAAAGGCCTCAGAGTGTGTTAGTCCCTCTATGTGTCCATGTGTTCTCAATTGATAGAATTTTACATCAAGTATTGGAGAGTCTTGTATTAAGGTTTCAGTGTTTGACACTGGCAGAAACAATAAAGTGTTTTCCAGATGCCGATGAACAGTGTAACATAAATGCAATACTATTATTAATTCTAATATTCACATTTTTCTCCAGCTTCATGGTAATTCACACTAGAATTGAAAGCAAATCCTTCTTCTGACTAAAGCCTTAATTGCATAGGGGTATGCTAATGTGGTAATGACACATTATCAGATGTCATTGCTTTTACAAAATATTCTACAAGACAGTTACTAGTATACTGTGAAATATTAATAATTAAAAACAAATCACACTTGTCAAAATAACTACATTTGTCTATTATAATATTCTTGTTTCTTTATTTGCACTTGTTTTTTGAAGTGGCAGGTGTCAAAGTGGATCTTTTTGTTGTAGTACATGTAGCCAATTATGCACATGGTGTAGAGGGGACCTGACAGCAGATTGAAATGATTACGTGCATGCAGAAGACTGATGTAGCAGAAGAGGAGAATTCTCTGGAATTACTGTTCTAGGAGAATATTCTGTTAGTGATATTTACCCCAAGGCTTTTCATCTGGACACTCTCACCCATGATAAAGAATCTAAGTGAGGGGACCTGATACACCGATGTGCATTCATCAACAAGGTGAAGGCTATCGATATTTCCAGGGGGATTTCATTTATTAAACAATTTACTGCACAATTCCATGACCAGGTTCCTTGGTTTCATATTTAACTTTTAAATCCTTTCCTAATTCATGTAATTTTCTTACATATTGAAATGGAAATCAGCCATTTTTCTTCATTTCTAAGATTTGGCTTCCTCATTCATTTCCATTTTTAAAACAAACCAGAGTGAGTTTACAAATTTAGAATGAAGCTGTTAATTGCCAAGAGCACTACAGAGTCGCAGAGTTCTGCTTGGAGCATCCATCTCTGAAAGGAGATACTTATAATCTCATTTGTTGTCTGTTCCCAAAGTCTGATAAATAAAAAATGGGATGGACTTCAGCTGTGTCATTGAGAAGTATAAGGCCAAAAAATACTATACTCCTTTCATCTTCTGCTTAATTCAGATCATTACACCAAAGAAACATGCTCACCAGTAAGCATGGGAAGCCCTGCTAGTCCTAGTCTCTTCCCCATCAAATAGCATGTGGGTCATCGGGGCTTTGCTGCTGTTCTTCCTATTTTTGTGAAGATGTGAAACATAAGGAGAGGACGAAATGAGTCAAGGAAGAACTTCAAGGGCTACAGAATGGGCAACCGTGAACTTAAATTAAGTGGCAAGCATCTTATTTAAAAGAACGGTTTTAGTCGCGCCGGGCGTGGTGGCTCACGCCTGTAATCCCAGCAATTTGGGAGGCCGAGGTGGGCAAATCATGAGGTCAAGAGTTCGAGACCAGCCTGGCCAACATAGTGAAACCCCGTTTCTACGAAAAATACAAAAAATTAGCCGGGCATGGTGGCAGGCGCCTGTAATCTCAGCTACTCAGGAGGCTGAGGCAGGAGAATCGCTTAAACCCGGGAGGCAGAGGTTGCAGTGAACAGAGACAGCACCACTGCACTCCAGCCCAGGCAACAGTGAGAGACTCCATCTCAAATAAATAAATAAATAAACAAACAAACACAAAGAGTGGTTTTAATGATCAAGGTCCTCCTAACTAATAGAATGCTATGGTTAATGTTAAGCATTGCTCCTTCCAAAAAGTCAGTTTCCTAAACGATGGGTATTCATTTGAGAGTGACTAATAATTTGGGGGCTGGCAATTTCTTCAGAGATCATATGATGCTCCTACACTTCAAAGATATTAATGAGAACTTTTAGAGAAAACCCTTGCCTTAAAATTTAAGAGACTGTTCTCCCATCACGACAATATCTCATTTCATTCTGCAATGATAGCAGATCTGTTTTCCCAGATATTTTACGCATTTACTTCCATGTGAAAAGCAGCACTTTTTTTATATTTTTAAATTATATTCTTTCATAAAAAATCTGAAGGTGAAGTCTCAGATGTAAATGCCCTTTAAGGATGACAATTATTAGGAATCTCCAGATTCTAGTTTCTTTTTCATGTTCTCTTCCCAGGAAAAGAAAAAAAAATTGGTAGATTTTGCTTCTAAAGGGAATATATATACATATAATTGCCTATTGTCATCCAGAACTTTCACACCGGTAGCCAATATGGAGATTTATATACTCCTGATCCCACAGTTTAGGGACAAATCTACGCACAACCTCATTGAGCACCTTGGCAGAAAAAGGGTGTTGTAAAAAGGAAACTTGCAAGATCTGTCTTGAAACACTGTCCCAAAGAAACCTGTGCCTGACTTCCCAGTTCCTACCTGTATTAGTCGGTTCTTGCACTGCTATATAGAACTATCTGAGACTGGCTAATTTATAATGAAAAGAGGTTTAACCGACTCACGGTTCCACAGCTGTACGGGAAGCATGGCTACGGAGGCCTCAGAAAATTTTCAATCGAGGTAGAACGCGAAGGGAAGTAGCCACATCTTAACGCGGCCAGAGCAGGAGGAAAAGAGAGAAGGGCGGGGGAGGAGCCACACACAAACATCCAGATCCAGATCGCCTGAGAACTCTCTCACTATCGCGAGAACAGCGAGGGTGGGAGATCCGCCCTTATGATCCAATTACTTTGTACCAGGCCCCTCCTCCAATATGGGGGATTACAATTCAAAATGAGATTTTGGCAGGGACACAGAGCCAAACAATATCACTACCAGATCATGAACTTTAACAAGCCTAAAGGACTATAATGGGGTGACAAACCCTGGAAATGTCTGTTTTGCCCAACACTGGCTCAGCATGGTAGGGAAGCAGGGTGGCTGCAGGGCAAGGCCTAGGAAAGGAAGGGGTTCTGCACGTCCCTCTGTAAATCCCGTCTCCCAGGGCATGGTGAACTTCAAGGTTCAATACAAGCCATTACCATACAGACAACATCCATGACTTACTGCACTTCCATGTAATAAATGGTAGAATATGAAGAGATATAGGAGATGAAATAATTTAGACATTCACATATATACAGTTCCAATTATTGCCTGAACATCCTTCTGCAAAAGGAGCCGGGGCATTTCCGCATATCATAAGGACAGGCCGACTTCTAATTCAAGACTCTCAAGAAGACCCATCAGCTGTGCAGCAACCTCAAAGCTTCCTGTCAATGTTGTTAATGGCAAGGCTAAGCACCTGAGTGTCTTCGGTCAGGGTGCTCCTAATAGCATCGTGATTGCCAAGTGATTGAGAACAATCATGGAGAGAAGACAGAAAATGGCCTATTAGGACGTCCTGGCCAACTCTCCTCCCTCTCGACAAAGCTGGTTTCTTTCCACAGGCACAACAGGGCGGTGACCTACAGGAGATTTGCCATAGCTTTTCCCAGTCCTGTTTCCAGCTACTACAAGTTATGAAAATCTATCACCGGTGATGGGGAGGGGTGGAATGGAAAATACACCCTAATGCTATAAATATATACCCTATATATAGAGAGAGATATTTCCAAGAAATTATTTGATGTAGCTTATTACTTTAGCCACTACTTCTCTCATTTTTGTTTAATGAAAGCAATTTAACAGAAATTCCTAAACGGAATACACTCATTCTTGTATACTTTGGGAAAGCTTCAGATAAAATTATGCTTTCTTCTTTTCCTAATCACGTCTAAGAATCTGTTATCTTTCTAATGAAAACCTCTCCATCATCCAAACCATCCCATTTATCAGCCAGAAGTTGAGCTAGTATAGAAGACTCAAGTTGGTGATCAAAAATGCTAGAATACAAATACCAATACAAATCCTGTTGTTTTGCTCTCTTCTCATTATATATTCTTTTGAGGAATCTTGCAGGTCACATTGATAAGCTTTGCTGATAGCAAAACAATTGATAAAGAAATTCACAGAACCAGGGACATGAAAAAAAAACAAAATTTCCCTGCCACATTCAATAATGTTAAAGTTATTTTTTTTTAAATGTACTGAGAACATGCCCTGTTTCCCAATTTTACTTGATTAGGAAACTCATTTCCCCAAAGAATACCTATTAACCTATTAACAACTCACAGCACACCAAGTGCCATCTGCCAATTATAAAGCAGTTAAGAACACACTGGTCTAAATGTTTCAGTCCATTCTGTTACAAAGCCATAATCTGCAGTGTTTTCTGTAAGGAAGTTTGCCTTTGAGAGGATGTCTTCTAAACTCATTCTTTTATTCTGTATTAAATTCCCTTAATCTCAGAGTCAATCTGCTTTAGTAGTTCAGGCTCTGGAATAATTACCACTCATTAACTGAGTAAATTATATCTCTGTGCCTGTTTCCTCATCTCTAAAATGAACGCAGATCAAATTAGCTGATCCATACAAGGGTTTAGCACAATGTGTCCCCAGAACACTCAATAACTACTAGCTAGTACTTCCATCATTAGTATAAAGCCAAAGAAGATTGAGATCAGTTCTCACAAAATAAACATAATCCCCATTCATGTTTAGCCCAATTCTTACCTTAATTCCATGTGCTCAAAGAATGCTGTCTTCCACCCACGTTCTGACTTGAAAGTGGAAAAAAAAAAACCCAGTAGGAGATGACAATCTCACCCATAATGTCTTTAATGCCTCTCATATCATTTCAATTAGTAAATCATTTTTAAGTACATAGGTGAGCAGAAATCTGAGCTAAGTCCTTCAATAACCAGTTTTCTCTTTCTCACTAAGGTTTGCTACACTTTGAGATGAATAGTATCAATTATCTCAGTTGCTAAATCAATCATCATCTTGTACTCATAAAAATTAAAATATATATATGAATAAATAAATAAATAAACCATCATCTTGTGGGAAAAGATTCAAAGGGCAAAAAGACACAATTCCACATCTAACTGTGAGCTTGCACCTTGGGCACTACTGGTTTTGGTGGCTTTAAGCAGAGACAGCTGCCTCTGCAGTTCCAAAAAAGAGCTATGAAATAATACTGATTCCCAGACAATCTTCTTAACATCTTCTGAATAAAATGTGCCCAGCCTCACTGGACTGGGCTGGGACACTGGAGAGGCTTCTGAAGAGATCCTTGAACTGACCCCAGAGGTCATAGGACTGGCCTGAAAGTTTTACACTATTCCTTTGAACAAAGTGACAAGAATCATCTTTTACCACCTGTGTAAGTCCCCTTTGGATGCATGTGAGAAGTCTATTTTTTCCACATTTTTAAAGATATTTTATTTGGAAATAGTTTCAAACTTTTGAAAAATGCAAAGATCAATACAAATAATCCATACAAAAGTAGAACAAAGAGTCTTCACTTAGCTTCTCACCAATGTTACAGACTGAATCTTTGCATCCCTCCAAAATTCATATGTTTACATCCTAACCATCAAGGGGATGATATTAGGAGGTGAAACTTTTGGGTGGTGATTAGGGCATAAGAGTGGAGTTCTCACGAATGGGACTGATGCCCATATAAAAGAAACTTCGGAGAGCTTCCATGCCCCTTCTACCATGTGAGGGCGGAGCGAGAAGGCACCGTCTATGAACCAGCAAGCAGGCCCTCACCGGACACCGAATCTGCCAATGGCTTGATCCTGGACTTCCGAGCCTCCAGAACTGTGAGAAATAAATTTCTGTAGTTTATAAGCCACCTGATTCATGGTATTTTGTTATAGCAGCCTCAGCTGACAAAGACAACCAGCTTCACCTAGTTTCAACATTTTACCTCATTGCCTTATCTGTGCTCTCTTTCATTTCTCTTTCTCACGCTTACTCACTCTCTCTCTCGCTCTCTCTCATGTTTGTCCTGGAGTATTAGAAAGTAGGTTACATACCCCTTTATTAAAATAAATTACATAGACCAAGCTCTCTACCCTCCAAGAATAGGGCTATTATCTTACATGGCCACAGTACAGTTATCAACTTCAGGACATTTAACATTAATGTAATAATTGTATCTAATCTACAATTAATATTCCAAGTTTTATCAGTTGTCCCAAATGTGCCTTTTATACCATTTTCTACCCTCTAGCACAAGATCAGTATGTTTTCTAATTTTTCCTTGTTTCATACCTATAAGAAAGTACGTAGCTTCCTTATACTCTCTTGCACATAGCTTTTTTCACTTCAGTATATATCCTGGAAATCACTTTATTATAGAAGTGAAAATTCCTCATATTTTTTACAGCTGCCTAATACACAGTGCGTATAAATACTATGCTTTATACAACCGGTCTCTATGCTTGGACATTCAAGTAGTTTCCAACATTTTGCAATTACAACAAATGCTTCAATGAACAATGAATACCTTATGGATACACACACACACACACACACACACACACACACACGTATACTGTATTGTTGGAGGTTTATCTTTAGAGTAAATTCTTAGAAGCGGGATTGCTAGGATAGAAACCAAATGCATATACAATTTTGTTACATATTGCCAATCCTCCTTCATAGGAATGGTACCATTTGCTATTCCCACCAGCAGTGTAGGAGAGCTCCTATTTCCTTACATCCTCTCCAACAGAATGTATCGTCAAACTTCTAAGTTTGCCAATCTAATGAATTAGAAATAGTACTGGTGTTGTTCCAATTTCATTTCTCTTACAATGAGAAGAAGATTTGAACATCTTTTCATATGTTGTCTTTCTGTGCATTCTTGCTTCATTTATTTGCTCATTCGTTCATAAAGTTTTTGTTCATTTTTTCTTTTAATTTTTAAAAGATGTTTACAACTTAGGGGTATATGCCTTTTATGGGAAAAGAACACTGAAAATATTTTCTCCCAGTGGTCATTTGTCTTTTAACGTCTTTGCTTTTGGTGTTTACCATTTTGAGTAGATAGTTTGTGTATTTGTTTGTTTTCAATTTTTTGCTTTTGACTTGCAAAAGTTTTATTTTTATGGAGCCACATTTATCTTTTGCTTTGTTGTATAGGGATTTTTAAAGAGTAGAAAGTCTCTCTGTGTTCAAGTTGTAGAGGGATTCGGTCATGTTTTCTGCTAGCGTGTGTATAGTGTTATTTCTTTTCACTTTCAGATCTCTGATGCACTTGGAGTTTATTTTTGTGTGTGGTATGAGCAACAGATCTAATTTTACCTTTTTCAAAATTGCTTTCCAGTTGTCCCAACACCATTTATTATAAAAAGACCATCTCTATCTCATGGTCTTAAATACTACCTTTATTTTATACTGGATTTTGATCCATAATTAGATGACTCTGGTGTTTGTTTACATTTTATTCCATTGGTTTCTATTTTATGTAGGCAGTTGCTGTGTTATTTGGTCCATAGATATCCATAACTGCTATAACCTTGTTGTAGACTGTGGCTTCTAATGTTAGAAAGTGTTATTCTTTCTTTTATCTAATGCTTTTACACTTGAGTTCATTCTTTCTGTAAACCTATATGATTTTTGCATTTATATTGTTTTAATTGTCACATTCATTGTATTATATGATTAACACACTTTTTCACAATGAAAACAGCTTTGTAACTAGAAAACTACAATGAAAAATCAGTTGGACATAAGATGTGAAGAGTTTGCAACCTCTCTGTTTACTTAACGTGGAAATTCTAGAGAATCAAGTAGATATTGTAATTAATAAATTACATAAATATTCTTTAGCATTTGTCGTGCCACCTATAATGATGTACTGCAAGAGCTGATTTTGTTACACAGATTCTGATTAATAAAGTCACTCTGAATGTCTCTGTGTACAGATTTGTTTTTCTGTCCATTCAGTAGTATTCTAGTTTTAAGATGCTTAAAGGTATTATAAAAAAAACTAGGGCAACGTGGATATACATGCATAAATATTGTTTCAGAAGAGAAAATTTATACAAATAAAAATAATTGAATTTTTTAGTTGGGAAAGGCATACATGTGACAAAAATGAGGACCAGTAAAGTGACTTACCTAAAGTCACATAGCAAGATAGTACAAAATCTCTCCTGTCATGCAGGTTGCTTAGCAGCTAGTCAAGTGTTCTTTTTACACTTACATGTTAAGCCTGTTTCTGTGTGTATATCAGAAGAAGTGCCTTCTTCACTTTGAGAATATCTTGGGAAATGGAAAATTTGTGTGCCCAAACTAGCCTGAAATGAAACATTAAGAGGAACCAACATATTCTTCAGGAAAAAATGTGGGGAAAGCAAGGAAAATACAGAGGGAAAGAGCAAAAATGAGTTTCAATGTTCAGAAGTAAAATTGCTAGGTGCCTTGATGATGATAACTAAACACACATGTGGTGAATCATCACTCATGGTCCTGATCACTTGGGTTCATTGTGCTTGTCAATCAAAAGGACCCCAGACGTGCCTGCCACCAATCCCCAGGCTGACCCAGATGCTTCTAGTGACTCAGTTAGGAGGATGGAGGGCAAACTGACAACAAGCAAAATTCTAATTGTTGGGAAGGTATTTTGGGTTTCCTGCACTTTGTTTTATATTTTTTTTTTTTTGAGAAAAAGATAGTCAAACCATCCAGGCATAAAATCATTCTAATAGAAAAGCTGTTGAGAATCATGGAGAAAAAAAATAAACCCTGTACACTGGAGCTCACTGCTTACTCACAGGCACTTACATCAGGATAGCAGCAGCAGCGGCAGCAGGAGCAGAAAAACAGGCTAATCAGAAGGAAGAAAAAACATTCTCTGAAAACGCTAAAATGGAGCAACAGTAGTGGCCTAGAAAGGGGTATCATATGTTTTGGTAAAAATAATAATAATAATAATAAGCCATGTAGCAATGGAGAATTGAAATTCCTGAGAGTCACTGAAACTGTTCAGGGGCTCCTTTCATTCTCTTCTTCACTTCCAAACCCTGCAAATCCCCCACGGAGCTCTTTGTATAGAGATAATTTCTCAGACTACTTAGCGGAGAAATTCATACTTTTATAGAAAGGTATGTGATGATGGTGTATTTATGTGTGAAAGAGAAAAGAGGAATTTACTGGTCTCTCCATCTTCAAGAAAGAAAATTCTAAGAATTTTCACATCACCACCTACAGACCATGACAATGTCTTCCAGAAAAATAAACATTGTTCCTTTTATGGCTTTTAGAACTAGAATGCAGAATTCAATTATTTATTTTAAAATCCCTAACAGGATTTTATCCTGGAGGAGAAAGCGTGCACAAGTAAAAGGAATTGTAAATGCTAACAAAATAAAGGAAAAAAGACAAAAAGGCTCATTATAGAATTTTCAGTATCAGGGGATTCTAATTCTAAACTGTGGATTAAATTCGTGTCATTGTTGATTACATCTTCTGGGCTGTGACCAGTGTTGTAAAAGAATAGGAGAAGCATGAAGTCTCAAAGGCAACTTCTCTTCTCCATGCCCATGGGAATATCTTAGAGCTCACAATGAGTTAATAAAAAGCCCCTGATTCTTGATCTCATGGATAAAGAGCTCACCAATTAACAGGCCCACAGGAAAGAACAAAGCAGCTTCATATCGAAACAGAAAAAACAAAAAACAAAGCCCTGCAATTTGCAAATGTCCAAGAAGTGCATGGAATATCAGTAAATAATGGAAAGGAATACAATTTTTAAAAAAATAGGCTCTGTGCATATTTGAAAGTGTCTTTTTTTCCAGATAAATAATTCTAGATGAACAATTTCATACACACAGAGCATTTGAATAATTCCATAGAATCCATTTTACCAGATCTTTCTGCCTAATTACAAGTCTTTGAACCAGACACCGGTACTTGAAAGATCAATGCCTGGCTGCACAAAGCATATATAAAGCATAATTAAGAGGAGGACTGCTCGACGGAGCCACGGATAACATGCATATGGATGTGTGAAGTCTTCACATGTACACACTTTATAGCTGTGATATGCACATCAGACACATACTCTCACTGTCCAAAATGTCTTTGGCTGCCATTTTATAAATGAGGCAATCAAAGGAAAATGGAATTAAAAACAAATAATAAGGTAACCAAATTTTAGATCATCTTCTTATTTGAATCTCTGAGTATAAAGCAAGTCTATTTAACTCCATTTTGAAGTATTTATCTCTGAAAATACCTTACTTCCTATTTAGATCAAAATTTGGTACATTTCTAGGAAATACGTGGATTTTAAATGTGAAATGATTTGTTCAACTTGCTTCTCATTTTTTTAATTCCAAATCAATATAATCAAACATTAACACTTTGGACTACTCAGAAAGTATATTTATACTTTCAGGAAGGAATATGGTAGAGTATGTACTTAAGTGGGAGCATTTTGTGTGTAAACTAGGAAGGTTGGCTTAGTCTCTGGGAGGCAAACAAATCGAAGTCGCTGAATTCTGGGGGTTCTCAATGCTCAGAGGAGGCAGCTGTAATGAATGGAAGAAAATGACAGGCAAAAAGACATCTAAGACAGTTGCTGGCACCAAGTAAATAAATAATAAATAGTACATTAATGCTGACCAAACAAAGTGACAGGATTCACCAACACATCATATGGGATAAGAAAAAGTGTGAAGAATCAGAAATTGTGATAAAATGAAAATGTGTGTCTTGACTGTAGGATAATAAACTGTTAGAGTTGCCAGGAACCTTTAAAAACAATCTAGCCCAATACTTGTGACATATTCAGGAGTGAATACATAGGGATCCGAGATGAGGAGCCCCAGAAGGCCACTTGGCCAGCCAGTCCAGTCTCCTGCCTCCCCTACTACTGCTGCTGAACCATGGTGTCTCACATGTCTAGACCACCATTGCTACTGAACCAGGGAGCCTCCTCCATGATTGCTACTGATCCATGGTGTCTCAATGTCCTTGAGCTTTGGTTCAATAGCATTACAGAAAATTAATAAAAGCTCAGAATCTCTACTTGATTGTCCTTTTATCTATATGTTTTTGCTAGGTTGAGAGGAGAAAGGCAATTATTATAAAACACTTATAATATGGTTTCAAAAGTCACTTTCTAAAAAAAAACCAACCAACCAACCAAACAAACAAAAAAACCTTCAGCTATTAAACCAGAGGCAATATTTGGAACCTCTGATGAAACCAAGTAGCTTTTAGTGCAATTAAGTAAAGGACATATAACCAGAAAGATGACACACTTTGTATATTTGCAGTTACAGTGGAAAATGCTAGCCTAAGTCAACTGTGTAAGAAATGCACCTTTGTCTCCTTTCATTTTCTGTCCCTACATTTTGACCAATTAAGATACGTTATTCTGATCTTTTATTTATCAGTATTGTGAAAGAGCAAATGACTTTTAAATGGCAAAAATCATCCACAGGGGCCTGGCTGGTAAGAGGCTGAATGCGGGGGTTGGTGTTGAGCTGTGGGACTCCGACCCCCACTCTGTGCGGGCCTGGGTGTGGTCTTGGAGGAAAGCACTGAATCACTCTGGTCTTCAGCTGCCTTGTCTAGAAAAATGACACAGTTGGTAAAAGAATCTCTAATGTGACTCACAGCTCCCATATTCTCTGATAATTCTTGCTCTGATTTAATTTTGTTCTTTATGTAAAAGTTGAATAGTAGTCTTCATCTGTTTGGGCCACTATAATAAAATACTTCAAACCGGGTGGCTTATAAACAACAGAAATATATTTCTCATGGATCTGAAGGCTGGGGAATCAGAGATCAGGGTGCCAGCATGGTTGGGTTCTGGTGTCTGCCTGCAGATGGCCACCTTCTCACTGTGTCCTCACACGGTGGAAAGGGCCAGGAGCTTCCCTGTGCTTCTTTTGTAAGGGCTCTAATCTCATTCATAAGAGCACTTCCCTCATGACCTAATCAACCTCCCCAAAGGCCCCACCTCTTAATACCATCACCCTGGGGGTCAGGATTTCAACATATGAATTTGGAAGGGACACAAACATTCAGACCATAGCAACTAGCAAGACCAGCAACTCTCAGAGGGAAAATCATATGTTAAAGAGTTAGCAATGGAGAAAGTTACAGTGGCTACAATGTGTGGGGATTGTTTGTGGAGTTCAATGAACCAAAGGCTTCCTGTTCCTACAATGCGAGCTGGACCGTAATCGTTTGCTATTTTTAGCCAAAGAGCTTTAATCACTTTTCTCTATTATGAAAGGGAAAGAATGGGGAATGTTCTAAGTTTGATTTTTGGCTAAAAATCTCTTTGCCAATTCCTTTGGACAATACATTCTGAATAGTGGCGTTTTATATCTTCCAGACAAATGTTTCTTTCATGAATATGGGTGGGGATGAATACATTTCAAAATGTCATAATTTTAGCTACCATTTATTCAACTCTATCACAAATTCAATAACCTTGAACCAGAGTTAATAGAAATTCATAAGTAATAAAAATCCAACTAGCCTCAAATTCCCATGGCTTTAAATATGCCTAAAAGCCACCAACTCCCAAAATCTCTCTCCCTGACCTAGATCTGTCTTCTGCGTTCCAACCAAAATTGCACAGGTAGGTATCTCCGCCTGGATGCCCTACTGGAGCCTGAAACTGAACACATGGAAACCGCATCACCCTCTTCCCTTTCACCCAAACCATCTCCTCCCTGAAAGTTCTGTTTCTGTGAATGTTTCCACCATCCAGACTGGTGCCTGAATTTGACTCCACAACTCTCTCCTGTCCCTTGCACGTTGATGCAACCTCCTTAATCACATCAGATACACCTCAATCTTTTCCACGAGTAACACCTTCATCCAGAATTCTAAAATGCAAGTCTGATGACTTCTCTGTTTAAAACATGCCCGTGTCCTTAGGGTGAAACCCAATCTCTACAGCATTGCATACCAGGCGGTTCATGTTCAGCCTCGTCTTCAGCTACTCCTCTTCTTTCCACCAAAGGTTCAAACCATCCTGGGCCTTTTGCAGTTTCCCCAATTCCCATATGCTCTGTTGCTTCCAATCTTTGCATAAATCACTTACTGTAGGGAGAATGCCCCTTGCCCCCTCCTTTGCCACCCTAACTCCACTAATCCTTTGAAAGTTACCTCTACCTTCCCTGAGAGTCCATATGGCTTACAATATGACAGGTGTCCTTCACCACAGTCCCTACTGAGTGACACTTTATCTTCTGCTGAACTGTAGGCCCTTGTGTGTTTTATTAACTTTATTAATTAATGTCTGGCATTGAATAAATGTTCAATGAATGCGTAATAAATGAATAACTTCGTGTATGGTAAAGGGTCTAAGTGGAGGGCAATACTAGTTCAAGGTGCCTGGGACAGTTCAGGTACACATCTGTTGTGCCAGTCTGATTGTTAATAGCACCTTTCACTCTCCAAAGTGTCCAGATGTAGGCAATAAATTATTTTGTCACTCTCTGTAAGTCAACATATAAGGTACACTTATACCCTTATTAATAAACAATACCATTTAAAAGGCATGGTAATATATTCACAGAGCAAGAGTTCTGGGGAGAGCGGTCACTGAGCCATGTTCTTGCCCAGCTGGTAAAGTTTCAGGTGGCTTTTTTCCACCTGTTGGTACTTTTTTTTTTTTTTTTTTGAGACGTTGTCTCGCTCTATTGCCAAGGCTGGAGCGCAGTGGCGCGATCTCACTTCACTACAAACTCTGCCTCCTGGGTTCAGGCGATTCTCTTGCCTCAGCCTCCAGAGTAGGTAGGACTACAGGCATGTGCCATCATGCCTGGCTAATTTTTGTATTTTTGTAGAAACGGAGTTTTGTCATGTTGGCCAGGCTGGTCTCGAACTCGTGACCTCAGGTGATCTGCCTGCCTTGGCTTCCCAAAGTGCTGGGATTAGAGGTGTGAGCCACTATGCCCAGCTTGTTTATACTTTTATTAACTGACTTTCTTTTCATTCATTGAGCATACATCCCTTTTATAAAAATAATGAAGCTATTTTGAAAAAGTCACAGTATAATTCATTTCATGTGAATTTTCTAGAATATTTGGTTTTATCTTTAGAGCTATGAAACATGCCAATATTCCGCAAATTGGAAGTCAGCTAAGCATATGACAAGATGGCCCCATCATAAAGATAAAAGACATCTGAAGCTTATGATTATATTCACAAATATGTGACCCAAACCCTCATTCCATGAAAAACAAAACTAAACTAAAATAAAATAAATAGTTCTGGTGGCCAGAATGCCAGATTATGCAGGCATTTGGGTAGAAGCTGCTGCCTAGGGTCTGGACTTCCACAGCTGGTGAGAAGAATAAATGCAAGACCAAACTTTCAAACAGTAACGGCATATGGAAAACATTACATGGAACATAAACATTGCTAATAAGAATCCAACAGAGGTCATCTAAAAAATATTCTCTTATTTGAATGCACTTCCACGATTAATTCTTCATTGCAGGGTGATGGCTTTTATCAGTTCAAATGGCTAAAGTTTAATGCAATGTTAGTGTGGAAGAAAAATAATGTTTTCTATCAAGTTTTTATGGTAATTAAATGTATATAGTGAAGCATCATTGGCCAGTGCCTTTTAACTGGTACATAAATGCAGAAGTTAAAAGTAAATTTTTGATTGAACTACAATTCCAAATAAAGTTTTGGACCAATTACTTTCTTTATGTTTCTTGATGACTTGCAGATGCAGCCAAAAGAGTACCAAGCACATTTCTCCCACCTGAACAGAGATATTTTAGACACATCATCTCCAAATCTGAGGATCCAAAGTTGAGACTACTGTTTATATCTCTTTCAGAGTTTTCTATTTCTAGCAGAAGAATGGTTGTAAGGTCTTGTACATCAGCTAAAAGGAGGATGACAGTGGGGGTGGACCCTTGTCAGCCAGAGGCTTTGAGCTCCTTTATTGGAAGTGGACTAGTTTATGCACTGATGTTGTTTGGCTGTGTTTCCACCCAACGTCTCAGCTTGAATTGTAATCCCCATAATACCCACATATACAGGGAGAGACCAGGTGGAGGTAATTGAATCATGACAGTAGTTTCCCACATGCTGTTCTCATGATAATGAGTGAGTTCTCACGAGATCTGATGGTTTTTTAAGTGTTTGGTAGTTCCTCCTGTGTTCATTCTCCTTCTTGCCGCCCTGTGAAGAAGATGCCTCACTTCCTTTTGCCTTCTGCCATGACTGTAAGTTTCCTGAGGCCTCCCTCGCCATGCTGAACACGGAGTCAATTAAATCTCCTTCCTTTATAAATTATCCAGTCTCAGGAGGTCTTTATAGCAGTGTGAAAAAGGACTAATACATGCACTGATGCATTTCACAAATCTGCTTCTATAAAACAGACAGCTGGCCTTAGAGGGAAGTCTCCCCACTAACAGGATCAACCTAACTGATCATGGGTTGAAGTCAAGACCTACAGACCTGGGTTCAAATTCTGTCACGTAACCTTGATCAATTTACTTAATCTCTTGTAGTGGTCCAACAGAAGAACGGGTTTGAGTGAACATCAACACTCTGTTACCTAAATTGTAGAGGCATTATCTTTTACTGAGATAAGCTCAAAGGCTACATTTTCAGAAGAGGGTGTGAGTTATTCAGTGAGCGATGCCTCTCAAGTTGCCTAAATTTCCTCTTGGAAGGTGAATTCTGAAGGGTGCTGATATTCTATCTGTTCAGAGTGACATCTTGCCAGGGCATCAAGAAGCCCTAATGAAGGCTGCTTTTAGCAACTCACAATGTCTGGAACTAATACTCTCAAAGTGTTTGTGCTGCTTCTTAATACACACCCTACTGTGGCCAACTCATCCTCTTCCATATTTTCCCTCACTATCTACCACTTATAATCATCTATCCAGCCTAAGTTGCTCCCTAGAGCATCAAACCTCTCCAAATGACTTCTGGAAATTTCCACTTGAATGTCCCACTGGCACCTGAAACTCGGACTCAACCCATCCAAACCTGATTGCTTCATCAGCCACCCCCTTCAAACCCCCCTCTTTCAAGCTCCAAATCTTGGTGAATGGTTTCACCAACTGCACAATTAATTAAACCAGAAAACTTAACCTCATCTTGATCATCCCCTGCATCTATTCAGTCACCATTTCTGGCCTGTTCTATGTTTTAAATGTTTCTTCCTCCCTTCAGCCACTCAACATGAAGATGACAGAATAAAGAACCTTATGATGATCTATTTTTACTTAATGAGTAATAAATGTATTTTCTATTCTTTATGATTTTCTTTTTCTGAGGTGGAGTTTTGCTCTTGTCACTCAGGCTGGGGTGCAATGGCATGATCTTAGCTCACTGCAACCTCCACCTCCCAGGTTCAAGCAATTCTCCTGCCTCAGCCTCCTGAGTAGCTGAGATTACAGGTGCCTGTCACCATGGCCAGCTATTTTATTATTATTATTATTATTATTATTATTATTATTATTATTATTAGAGATGAGGTTTCACCATGTTGGCCAGGCTGGTCTTGAACTCCTGACCTCAGGTGATACACCCACCTTGGCCTCCCAAAGTACTGGGATTACAGGCATGAGCCACCACGCCTGGCCTTTATGATTTTCTTAATAACATTTTCTTTTATCTGGCTTGCTTTAAGAGCACAGTGTGTAATACATATAACACAAAATATATATGATCAACTATTTTCTATGGTAACCCAAAGTGAAATTTCAAGTTTATTTTATACACATTAAAAGAGATAAGAAATGCAGTTTTTTCTAAAGCATGATTACTCTAATTCTAAAAGAAATAATTCTGAATATGGTTTTATTTCTGCATATATTTATACAACACTACAAGTGCCACCTGAAGTTTTCAAATTACAAAGTTTTCTACAGATTATTGTGCAGTGATAACGATAAGCTCTCTAGTTTAGCATACTACAGTACACAAGTACTGTATCAAGCTGGATATTATTAAGCATGAGACATAAACAGGCCAATCGAAATCCTTTGAGATTAAGAAGTGATAGTTACCAATAAACATAAGTGGAAACCGAACAGGTCAAGAAGGATTGAATATTTAAGAATCCATGAAGCATAAACAATTGATGCAAATGTATCTCTCATTTTATTTTTTTGCGATAGGGCCTCACTCTGTCGCCCAGGCTGGAGTGCAGTGGCATGATCATGGCTCACTGCACATACCACCACGCTGGTCTATGAATTGACTACTCATGTTATCAGTAAGGCTTCCTTCCAGTCACCAGTAGAGTATTGGTACTTTAAGTTTTGAGGGAGTCAAAGCTATACTTGAATTTTTGACTGCACAGGGGGTTGGCACCTCTAACCCCCATATTGTTCAAGGGTCAACTGTGAATAGATAAGACTAGATAGATAGATAGATAGATAGATAGATAGATAGATAGATAGATAGATACATAGATAGATACATAGACAGACAGACAGATATAGAAATAGAGACAAAGATAACAGTTGACACAGAACTTGACATATACTAAGCCACTGGTAATGATCCTAGTCTATCACAAACTGATGATCCGAGAGCCAGTTCCGGCCCGTGGATGTATTTCATTAGATGGCAAAGTTTCACCTAAAAACCTGGAGTGTTAATTTATTGTGAAAGCAAGTCTTAAGGTCTGATAGCACTGGGTCTGTATTTCTCACACAATCAGCAGCTAGAGCTGCATAGGACCAACTCAACTCATATGACACTGAGGTGCCACAATTTATCACAGACCTCATCAATTCTTAGGTTTTCTCCTTGGCCTACTTCACCATTATCCGAGCTTATACCCTGCTCCTATATAAAACTATGGGAAATGCTTTGAGATGAAAAGTATTCACACACCTGTGCAAGATCATATGTAACACATTAGAATTCAATGTAACTTGCTCTTTTTCCCAGGATGGCCTCTGTGCTGAATCTGCAGTAAGTGTATAAATACATAACGTATAGAAAAATTCTATTATTCTAACATGGGAATCAACATTACCACCTCAAGCAGAGGAAGGGTCAATGTTCTTTTTGCTTTAAAATTATATTGCGTGGGCTTAGAGAAATGAGCTTGGACAGTATTTCTTGAGAATGATTTCCAAATCAGCTTCCATGGGTGATGCTGATTGGAATGTTTACCTTACATAGCCCAGGGGAGCTGGCCTTTGTTCAATTTCTTGAAAGAAATATGTCAGGCCCAGTGACCCCCAAGTGGCGATTGTCATCCCTCCTTGCACATGCCATCAACTGCTAGTGGCATTTCTTCAAATCAGTAAGATGTCCTGTCGTGTGGGGTTGCCCCAGCCTGGAAGTCCCACGGAGCCTCTGATTATGGCATCTCCTTGTTAAAGTCCGGGGATTCTGGCATTCCACATCTTAAGAAGCGGGCATCCTGCATGCTCTCTGATGTTTGGTTTTGTAGTGTCTTTTCAGAGAGTACAAAAACCTATCTGTGAGCATCCTGACCTCTGATTCTATGCATATCAAACCACAACCAGTATGCTTCAACAACAAACTCAAAATTCAGCGTCCCTAGTGAACTCTAATTCTGACACTGATCCTAATTTATTGTTTGACCCTGGGCTAATCCAAGGGTTTCCATGAATCCCATGTCTCTTGTGATGATTTGGAGAATTACTAGGTTAAAATGTGTAATACACATATACTGCAAGTTGTCACGGCAGAATACTGGGGAAAGTTTTCCATCATTCAATCACTATAATCCAATTGAAGGAAAAGCTTAAGAAGAAAAGTGACCTTGGAAAATCAATGTTTTCAATCAATGGAAATATTTGATAATATTTCTCCAAAAAATTAAGAAACTTTTTTTATCAAGTTCTAAGACTCTCTAATTATAAGTTTTGAAGACATACTGATGCATTATCTAGAAAAAACTTTTTCCTTAATAGTCTCACAGCTGAGATTGTGTTTATTCCTGCAAAAGTATTAGCTTTACAAATTAAAAAGCACATTAGATCAATATATAGAGAAACATTACTAACACAAAACAGTATAAGAATAATAAATCTAATTTATTTTAGAGACTTCAAAAATATTTTCCAAAGAATGTGAGTAAACTGTCTTTGTCCATTTATCTCTAATGCGTCTTGGAATTATATTTCCCAGGTCCACTCCCAACTCTCCTAAACCTAAAGCAATACATGAAGGCAAGTCCTTCCTCAAAAGTGTAGAATTCCAAGATTCCTCCCTCCTCTGATTGGGTTTTGTTTGTTTTGTTTTTTAAAAACAGTTTTCTAATTAGAGCAGCATTTCAGGAGCAGACACTTCTAGGCTTGGTGTCTACATTTTACAGTCAGTAAGAAATATTGTTTATAATTTCATGGAAGGTAAAACATTTCACCAAGGGCAAACATTCATCATGCAATGAATCAACATCCAGTCACCTCTATCCCCATTCACATGCAAATAACGTACCAATTTTCCTACTTGTCATTATGTATGACATTTAAATCCAGTTACTTTGGACCTACAACACTAGTTAACCCCAGGCAAGTTGAGATCCCAGACAAACCCTTGCTCATGTATTAGGAACTTATCATTTCTTTCTTTCCTGCCTCCCTTCCTTCCATCCTTTTTAGTAAAGACTCTTCTTTACCTTAGGACATTCTTTCTTTCTTTCTCTCTCTCTCTCTTTCCTTCCTTCCTTCCTTCCTTCCTTCCTTCCTTCCTTCCTTCCTTCCTTCTTTCCTTCCCTCTTTCTCTTTCCCTCTTTTCTGTCTCTTTCCTTTTAGTAAAGTCTTCCATAAAATACACCAAATTCTGAGTAACAAAATACTTCAGACTATACACTTTACTGGAGCAGAAAACCGCAACTTAAAATAACTTCTGATTGGTAAATAAGTGGTAAGTCTAATGAATTTGGGAGATTTTCCAGTTAGAGATTGTATTTCTCTTCCCTCTAAATGTTGCCACGGGGTAAAAGAAGTAAAGTTTAAGTCAGACCAGGCGGCCACTTTTTGACTACATCAAAGTCAAATGAAGGAATAGAACTACTACACAGCTGGAAAAAATTACCTTCTTTACTGTGTGTTTTAGTTGTTTTTTTCCCCTTTTTAACATAGACAATTAAGGGGAAAAAATCTACCCACATGATTGAAAGAACTGTGGAAGGCACATCTAAGCAAATATTTAATTCCTTTAAAAATTAATGGAACACTGAAGCCCATAAAAAAAAGCATATTTGAGTTAACTACAAACAAAAATAAATTCTTAATTTACAAAAGAAGCATTAATATACGGAATGAAACATCACCTTTCTGATTCACCAATAATTTCACATGCCCTTCAACGTGAGGATTTGCAGTATCAAAGAGAGGGGTCAAAGTGGAGGGTATGAAATAGATGTAAAGCAGCTGAAGTATTCCTCACCAGGATTAATAATGAATAAAATTGTTATTACAGTGTGATGAGTTTGCTAAATTTCTTGGATCTGGGGAAGTAACAGTTATTTTCGCAGAATTAGGCACACCTCAGTGGCATGTGCTTCTCAATTATTTATTCTGGGGTGACAACAGTGCAGATGGCAGCCAACTAACGACTGGGACCCTGTTCATATTAGCACTGAGGCCCTGCACCCCAGGCAGGAGAGAAGGGCTCCCATAGAGGCAGTAGGTAGGTCTTAGCCTTAGACAGAATGTTTACAGAATGAGTTTTGTGGTTTTGAAGCCTTAGTTTGGGATTATTTATAGTAAGACTGGGATTGCATAGCTATTAGAAAGAAAACAAAAAGTCAGTTTATATGCTTTCCTATTGATGTTTCAATAAAACACTGTTTTATTTTTCTTATCTGGAAAATGAAAGGGTTGGGCTAAATGGCCGCTGGCAGACATCTTTAAGAATGAATGTCTTTCAGGGAATCCAGAGATGACGAACTCGCAGTTTGAATGTAAAGGTCACATCTCAAGAATGTGGAACATGAGCAGGGTAATTCAGCCACTGAAATGACTTGTTCATCTTGCTCACTGGTATCATTAAAGTGGCACCTAACTTAGAGCTTTGTGAGACCTCTGGGATCATCTCATACAACTCTCTCATTTTACAGATGAGGAAACTGAGGCTGAGAGAGGCAGCACATCTACCAATGGGAACATTATTCGAGATCTTTTTCACAGCCCCTTGTCATATAGAATTAAATGCACTAAGACAATAGGTAGAATGAAAAGAACAAAAAGATAAAAACTTTTATCCAATTTTTAAAGTAAGAAAGAGGAAATGGACTTCTTAAAACAGAGAAATAATCACAAATGCCACAAACATTCTTACAGTGTGGTTGCAGTCTAGCTCATTATTTTCTTACAAAGAAAAAGAAAAAAGTTTTGTAATGTGTGTATAACAACCCTGTTGTTCACTTTCCATTAAACAAAAGAGAAAGTTTTAACAAAAGGTATAATTCATTACTTCTGGATCTGTATGAATTAAAGCAGAACAATAAAATAGGAAAATAAATCAAACATCTTCATGTTAGACTGTCATTGTTGTATGACAGAAAAAATAAGTATTCTAAGAATAAGATTTCCTTCTAAGCATTTTATAAATAAATTGAGGGGAAAATGATTTTAGGTAAGCATGAATTCAAACTCTAAAGAAACAAACAAGATTACTTCAAAACATTAAAAGTTAAGTTATTTAAAGTTTACAGGTAAAGTTAAAAGATTCTGTAACCACAAAGGCTTGGCAACAGTGAAGAAAAGAGCACAGCGGAGTTTTGAGACCGCTGGATGTTAACCATGTACATAACTCTTAAAAAGCTAAGATCTGAATCATCATTTAAAAGTACACACACTCGTTACAGACATTTTGAAAACTTATGAGAATATGGGCATACAACCATTAAACTTTTGAGCAAAAAAAAAAAAAAAAATTAAAGACAGAGAAAGAGAGTTAGTTTGTTTTACAAGGCAAAAACCAAGTTGAAAAGGTTGTCCTGACATGCAAAATGTCTGCGACGTGCCCCTGCTTTCTCTGGCTGTCTCCTGAGCACTTCACTTTACCAGGTACAAAAGGTCCATCTTCCAAATAAAGGTCAATTGCTCCATCACATATATTGTGATGAGGGTCCTTTGACTTCACCGTAGCCAATGAAGCCCCCAAATTGAGCTCCCCAGCAAGTGGGCAGAAAATTTCATCATGTGCTGCCGAAGCCCATTAAAATGAAGAAATGTGAGAAAAGAAATTCTTGGAGGAAATCTTCCAATGTTGGACATCCATATTTGAATCAGATATCTTAATTGCTGGAGCTGGGCATTTCAGGAGGCTCTCATATGAAGAAGAATTTAGAGATTGGGTTAAAAAGCTGAGCTTCTGAGATCCTGTGTCCCACCCCATTCAACAAAGCAATCACTATCCATCAGTGTCCAACCATTGTTAACGTCTACTGGATGTTAAAGCAGGTTTACAGAGGATTAAGGAATCAAACTTACTATTATGCAATTTTAAAGTTTCTACAAGAGTCTAGCGAATTTTCAAAGGGATTTTTGAGGAGGTGAGGAGGCAGGACAAGGGAAGCTAACATTAAATTAAAAAATACTTAATTGCTAAGCAACAAGATAAGAATCTAAGTGATCTTAAAGACAAAGTCCTCAGGTCTAACTTTGTAGGTCAATAGCATTGATGCACAATCTTGCAAAGCCTGTGGCTGTTTGGCTTGGCAACTTTTCTAGGTGCTTTTCCACTTTGGTATTGAGGAAATAGCATCATCATACAATTTTATTTATTTTAATAATGATGCTTCCCATTGAACCTGTTTTAAATGGGATGGGACTGGTTTATTTGGGTAAATGTTGAAGTTAATAATATGTCCTTCTTCAATATGTGAGAAAAACTTTAGCATTAACCATGCTTAAGGCTTCCTCCTTGAATCTTGACTAGATTTTGCAGACTTCTGCTTAATTTTATGTCTGTTATTCTTTTTTTTTTTTTTTTTTTTTTTTTGCGACAGAGTCTTGCTCTTGTCACCCAGGCTGGAGGACAGTGGCGTGATCTCAGCTCACTACAACCTCCACCTCCCAGGTTCAAGTGATTCTCCTATCTCAGCCTCCGGAGTAGCTGGGATTACAGGTGTACACCACCACACCCGGCAATTTTTTTTTTCTTTTTTTTTTTGAGATGAAGTCTCACTCTGTCACCAGGCTGGAGTGCAGTGGTATGGATTCTCAGCTCACTGCAACCTTCACCTCCCGGGTTCAAGCGATTCTCCTGCCTCAGCCTCTGGAGTAGCTGGGACCACAGGCACGTGCCACCACACCCAGCTAATTTTTGTATTTTTAGTAGAGACAGGGTTTCACCATGTTGGCCAGGATGGTCGCGATCTCTTTACCTCGTGATCTGCCCGCCTCAGCCTCCCAAAGTGCTGGATTTACAGGCATGAGCCACCGCGCCCAGCCGTCATTCTTTACCATGAAGCTTTTTAGCCATAATGTGTGTGACGGCAGCTGAACAATTCAGATTTCAAATTACTCCTTTCTCCCATCTCTACCTTTAAAAATAACTTCCAATATTCTTTCCCTTTACAGTCAGTGGCAACCTGTTCTAATAGAAAAGAAAAAAAAAATCTCAATTAGAAATTGCCCTTGTTTCCATATGGTTATTAAAAATGATCTACACTGAAGTTTTTAGAGCATGACTGCCAACCAAAACAGAATGGATGTTCAAACTGATCAATCTGAATAACTCTTATCTCATGATTTACATGAAAAATTCTCCCAAAGAAAGATGCAGAGGAAACACAGGCACCTTTTTCAATGCTTCCTAATCAGAAAGGCAGCAGTTAGGAAGGAACACAAGCCTTATGCTACCCTCTGCTCTTGCTATTCTTCCAGGATTCCTGGCTAACAAAAGAGGAGAATGTTGCTGGGACAGGGGAGGATGGAGATGTAGCACCCACCCCTTGGGAGTGAAGCCCGCTGAGATGAGGATGAGCCATAGCTCCTCGGGGACCCCAGAGCTGCAGCTACAGTCTTTCTTACTCATCACGGGCTGTGCTTTGAGGGATCTGAACACAGCTATGCACAAAGTGTATTGAAAATACCATTCACATGCATAAATATATGTGTGGGCTACATAGAATAAAACTTTAATATCCTATCTTGGATACATGTATATTTTCATAGACCAAATAATGAATAATGTTTCTCATTTTAAAAATTATCTACTTCATTAATTGTTCTTTTATATTTTCTTAATTCATACAATTATAGTATTCTGCTTAGACTACATCAAATTGAAACCACATCAAAGCTAGAAATTCTGGCTTCCTGTCATGGATTCCAAGACTAGAAAATTCAAAAAAGGTCAGAAAATGAATAACTTTCATTTGCCAAGTACTCGCAATTTGCAGTTTAAATAACTAACTCCGCCTTGTCTATCTTTAGAATCACAATAGATAGCACAATGCCTGGCACAGAACTCACCCAGGTCAGCCAAAGTCTATATATCTGTCCTAACTTTTCGATCTCATTGGGAAAAATCAGCCAGTATTTGATCTGATACAAACAAATTAATAAACATATTAGAAAACACTAGCTTACTAAGTCATTATCTAGTAAAGAAATGTATTGTTAAATTTTTTGTCAAAATCCATATTACAGGTAACACAAAATCAATTTACTAGCACTGTCTCTGAATTCCAGAAGTTCATCATGTAAAACAGAAAATATTGAAACTGACACATTTATGAAGAATAAATCTGCATTCAATTTATTCCATAATAGGCTATAAAAGTGTTTGACATCAAGGATTGAGGTCTCCCACACTTATTTGCCAGAAGATGAGTTGGCCAACCCACTGGCCACGCACACACAGTTACCCGAGCCCACACATCTCAAAATAATGCCTCAAAACTGAGGGCAAGTCCTGCTGGGCAGAGCTGAATTTCAAACCAGGCTCAGGAGATGAGAAAACATCAACACGATCACACACCAGTCACTCACATCTTCCATTCCTCATCAGGGTTTTCAAAGGAATTCACAAGGGAGCTGTGATTCACAGAATGGATGGAGAAAATGTAATTATCCTACTTTAAAACAAAATCAAATTGCCAAAGTATATATTTAGGCAGAAAAAATACCTTTATTAAATTTCTTTGAAGTCTTTGGTGAGCAGAAGGAAAAATTTCAGTAGTTTAGATAAATGGACTAATGCTAATGCTCCTAACTGATAAATAAGAAGTAAGTTACGTGTGCCATCACTATCCTGTTTCTTATCGAGAAGCAATGCATTTTCAGAAATAGACACGTTTAAAAATAGCATCGAAAATGACTTCCTTTGCATTACGCTATATTTTTCCCAAATTTTTGGTGGGGAGAGAGAGGGAGGGAGAGAGAGAGAGAACACTCAGTCAAGCAGGTATAAATGGCAAAGCTTTTCTCTGTAGTCTCCATTACCATTACGAAGTGTAATTGAATGTATTAGCAGGTCTCTGTAGGAATGTGATATGCTAACACACTCTAATTTTCATTAGTTTCTCAAAACTGTCATGTGAGGAATTTGAAATATGTGCATGAGAGAAAATAATAATGGCTGGTACTGAACAAAGGTATTAAATTGGTTTAAAATGAAAAAAAAAAAAAACCGAACTTGCTTTTGAAAAGGAAGATGCTTAAATCATACTCAGAAAAGCACTCTGATGACAGCCTACCATTCGTTTTCCTGAAACAGCTGCTGTGCACAAGAGTGAGAATGAACCTGTAAGTCCTCATGTCCCCATCATGGTGAATACCATTTTACTGTATGAGGGTCAATTTAGAAAAGCTAAAATGTGTTCCTGAGGTGAACGGTTTCTTTTTCCTTTCTCAAAATGAAAAGGTGTATAATCCCTCGCCTATGTCTTACCACTTAGACTGCAGGTCTGCCTAGCCCTGCTGAGATGTAAATACCTTGGCACATCTGGGGAGTCACAAAATGGCAATAGCCTTATAGCCCTTCATCCCTCCCATCAAATAAGCACATTAGAGAAGTCTGTTTATAGAAGGTATTTCATTCCATCCTTAACCCTGAGGGTGATGAATAGGTATTATCAGCTCCACTTTTATTTAAGAAAGCTGAGGTTCAGAGAGATAAAGTCATACTTGTCCACAAGTTCACTAGGGATCTGGAGCTGAAATGAGCTTATTCCATTAAGTGTGAGGTTTATGGAGAGCCTGGTATGTCACACTGAGCTGAATATGATGAGGCACTCTGCTCACCCAACCAGGACTCCCTCAGTTGTGGCCTGGGATCTCTTCTTTGTTCATATGGGGAGGGCTTGGCAGAGGGAACCCTGCTACCTGGAGTGATCTGGCTGGTCCTAGAGAATGGCGGCCATCTAACACTTGGGCTATTCTGTGCCGTGTGAACCCATGTGAGCTCCACGGGCTTCCAGCACCCAGACCTCAGCCTGCTGGGGCCTGCTGCCACTCCTGCAGACTTGTCACTTCTCCCTCTTCATTGTTCTCACTTGGCTAGATCGTTATTGCCCTGGATGAGTGATTGTAAGACACCCCTCTTCACCCAATACGATGTCTTTAAAAAAAAAAATTCCTTAAGTCTATTGTGTGGTCTGAACTGAAAAGTATTTGAAATCAGTCTGTGGACCATAATACAATAGTAGGTAGCAGTAGTTGACAGCTAGCTGGGTCTCAGGGTTGTTCATCAAGGGTTTAGATCAAACTGAGTAAAATGTAACATTTGGTAACCACATGGCTGACCCTTTATAAGGATTATTAGGTGTAGAAAAGTTAAGTAATTTGAGAGGCTTGGATCTTCATCAAGGTCTGTCTGACCCCAGAACCCAAATGCCTAACCATTGGGCAGCACCACCTCTACCCACCATGCCAGGTAGTGACCACAAAAAAATTGGTAAAAAGTGACAGATGCAGCAATCCAACAACAGATATTTTATTTTTATAATCCAGGCTAGGTGATATGAAAAAGAACAAAATGAGAAGATTTTGTAGTTTCATTCTTACAGTTTCATGCATGCGTCTTGATTACATGCTCATATCAATGAATTACTGGGAGAGATTCTAATTTCTCAATTTTTGATAAGGGATATTTAATTTCTAAATTTTTTGATGAGGATATAATCTCTGCTAAAAGTAGGATAGTAAAACTTACAAAAATGGCATTTCTTGGTGTTTGGAGGAATTAAATTCTAGTTATTACAGAATTACCTCGCATGTTCATAGTCCCTCAGCCTTTCTGAATACCTCCACTGTCATAATATCCTCTCCTCAGACCTCCCCGAGCATAGATACAGTGGCCTGCTAGGGCACTTACCAGATTTTATCGTGTCTTCTAATAATGTATAGACACATTGTTTTTCCTGACTCAAAACTAAACATCAAGACAATAAAGACTTTCCCATGGGTGTCTTTATATGTCCAACACCTACAATAGTAACTGGCACATGGTACAGAATCAAATCAGTCATGGTTGAATCAACTGCTAAATGAATGACAGAAAAAAGAGATCCTATTGTAATAGATACTATTGCCAGATAAGTCTGTGTAACAACCACCCCAACCCAGCAGCTTGTAATATCAAACACTGATTCTCAAGCTCATGAATTGGCATAGTTGAGCTGATTTGAGTGACCTTCAGGTTGAAAGTCAGCTGTGTTGGCCCCAGAGGGGTTGTTTCAAATCGGCTCCATACGTATTCATTCTAAGGTCCCAACTAAAGGGGCAGTGGCTATTTGGGCATCCTCTTCTCATGGATCACCAGTGCATGAAAGGCATGCCAAAGGTTGCAAGCACATTTAAGGCCTCTGCTTACATGATGTCTCCTATTATTCCATTGGCTGTGGTCAGCCACGTGAGCCCAAGTTAGAGGGGTAGAAAGCACCCACAATGGGAGTGGAAGGGGTATCCATATTTGTTGACAATGATACAAACCATCATAAAAATGAAATCAGCATGAAGTCGAAATAGACTGAAGGGGAAATTAAACTTTTGGGAGCTTCAACTAAAAACTACTTTAGAAAATATATAGGCAACAGAGTCAATCAAATGCAGTTTGAATTCCAACTTCATTTTTCTCATATGTAAAACTGGTGATATTAATAGGTCCTGCCTCATAGGATTGTTAAGAAGACTAATGAAATAGCTCATGTAAAATGTTGTCACATAGTGCCCTGGGCACCAGGAAATGGCTATTTTTCATGAAATTTTAATAGGTGTTTGACAAATGTTCACGATGGTGATGGTGGTGGTGGTGGTGGTGGTGACAACAGTGATGACGGCGATGAGGGTAGTGACAAGTTACAGAAAGTCTCAGTTATGAACTAGTTTTACAGTCAAACCCAACAATTTCAGGATATCTCTACAGTACAAACTAATGGAACAAAGCTATGTACACAGTTATCTCTGCCAAAATTTTGTATGTGATCTGTGATGGGTACTCTTAACATTTTGGCTCTTACTCAAACTGCCTGTGTTGGTCTGTGGGTGTCTCCATTTGGCTGTTACCACTCTATCTATGAGCCTTCTTCTTCAGGCAAAGGTCCTCTGTGTACTACTAAGTGGCTTCATGTCTCTTCTTTATCTTTCCCTTTTTAATTTCACACTCATTTAATCTAGTACATCAAACCACTTCTCTCACTTTCCCATTCCTCTCTTCCCTAAACAACCTTCACTCTGTCAAAGCCAAAAAGATGCTGAACTCATTTTTTCCACATTGACTTCTGAGCATCAGTTCAACAGTATCGAATGTCTATTATGTTGTAGGTGCTGCATTCTATGGGATGAAAAATAAAAGCTTAGTAGGGGGTAAAATCCCTCCTTCAAAATAGTTGTACTCTAGTTGGAAAGATAAAACTTCAATGCTTCAAGAAAACGAAAGAACTAAAATGTGGTATATCCATACAATGAAATATTACTCTGCTGTAAAAAGGAATAAACTTCTGATACGTGTCACAATGTGGACAGATCTTGCTATGGTTGAATTTTTTCCCCACCCAAATCTCATGTTAAATTGTGATCCCCAGTGTTGGAGGAGGGAGGAGGGGCCTGATGGGAGATAATTGGATCATGGGGTCAGATATCCCCCTTGCTATTCTTGTGACAGTGAGTGAGTTCTCATGAGATCTGGTTGTTTAAAAGTGTGTGTACAACCTCCCCCTCCTTTCTTCCTTCTGCTCTGGCCATCTAAGAGGGGCTTCCTTCCTCTTCACCTTCTGCCATGACTGTAAGTTTCCTAAGGCCTCCCCAGCTATACTTCCTGTACAGCCTGCAGAACTGTGAGTCAATAAACCTCTTTTCTTTATACGTTACCCAGTCTCAGGTAGTTCTTTTTAGCTATGTGAGAATGGACTAACACAGACCTTAAACATATTATGCTAAGTGAAATAAAGCAGACACAAAAGACTACCCATTGTACGATTTCATTTATATTAAATGTCCATGGTAGGCAAATTTATAGAAGCAGAAAGGAGATTAGTAGTTTCTGAGGGTTGGGGTTGGGGGTGGGAATGAAGCTGGAGAAAAATGAAGAGTGACTGCTAAAGGATAGAGGTGAATAAAATGTTCTAAAATTGATTGTGGTGATGGTTATGCAACTCTGTGGATATAGTAAAACCATTAAAGTACATACTTTAAAACAGGTGAATTGTATGGTATGTGAATTCTATCTCAGTAAAACAAAGGAAAAAATGAATACACTCCTTTGAACACACACACACAAAATGCAAGATGAAGGAAAAGAAGAGGAAGGAGAATAGGCATCATAGCTTGCTCCATGGCTGTAAAAAAAAAAAAAAAAGCATTATCTGAAATTTTAAAAGTATATACAAATTACCAGATTGGGTTCAATACTTTGCATGGAAGCTGTTGTATGTTGTATGTTGGTCTCCAGAGGAAATTACTTCCACGCTAATACCAGTACTTTCCTTTATTTGGAAAAATAGCCCTTGTCAGCCTATGGTGGTATAAGCTTCCTCCCTCAGGCTATCTCCGTAAAATGCTAGACTGTGCTAGTGTGAGCAGAAGATGTCCCTAGTCATTCCCAATTATTCAACAATCAGCAAAGCTAATAATGTCATTGGCTATTTCCCCCGCTGGCGACAGAAGGAATAAGAAACCGCAGCCCAAAAGAGCCCTCGGGTCAGGAAACTTCACAAACAGAAGACATGGCAGGCGGTGCCCGCTGGAATTTTTCATCTTTTCAAAGCACGTGGCTTGTAATTCTGGTGAAAGATTATCTAAAGTAATTACTACAGTTTAAAGACAAAAGATCTGGGCACTTTGCTTCTGGAATGCTGTATTTGGTGTATTTGAGAACAAAATTCATCACGCCTTTGCCAATGAATAACGTGGTCTATTTTTTCAATGTTTCCCCTTAAGAAGGCATCCAAAAAACTGAAAGTGCCTGTATTTCTGTCATTTGATTCAGTTTACCTCTTCATTCAAGGGTTACATCTTAACACTGACTGACCAAGTTTTACTCTATTTTTGTTCTACAGCACCTGTGGCATCAAAGGTGCTTAATAAGGAAGGAAGAAAGGAAGGAGGTTAAGAAGGTGCAAAGGCATGACTGTGGAAAGGAGAGTGGGAAAGAAGGACTTACATTAATTTTAAGATGTTTGAATTCAAATTTTTATGTAGAAATTCTGCCCTAATAGCCTGTTAAAATTTAAGTTATAAGTAGTACTAATCTAACAACTGCCATGGAAAAATAATATTATTTTTAAGGCTTATTATTATTTTAAGAAGAACATTAGACATTTACATAAACTTTTAAATTTATGACTCAGTAGGCTAGAAGCAGTCAATACTGTGTGGTCGAAATTCTTACCCAAGGACTGGGACCACGCCCTGTGGCCTTTTTATCCAAAAAACTTGAGATTACTGTTTTAGCCTAGCCCTCATGTCTGCATGCGGCGGCTCCCACTGCCTTAATACTTTTAGAGGCCCTCAAAATCACAAACTGTGCTCAACTCACTCTCTACAGTTCTCATAACTTCCAAAATCTATTTTCTTCCTCACACCTGACTCATATACTTTCTGCCCCTCTCCACTACCTCTCAGCAAGCCGAACTCATTGCCTTAACTCGAGCCCTCACTCTTGCAAAAGGACTATGCGTCAATATTTATACTGACTCTAAATATGCCTTCCATATCCTGCACCACCATGCTGTTATTTGGGCAAGAAGAGGTTTCCTCACTATGCAAGGGTCCTCCATCATTAATTCCTCTTTAATAAAAACTCTTCTCAAGGCCGCTTTACTTCCAAAGGAAACTGGAGTCATTCACTGCAAGGGCCATCAAAAGGCATCAGATCCCATCGCTCAGGGCAGCTCTTATGCTGATAAGGTAGCTAAAAAAGCAGGTAGCATTCCAACTTCTATCCCTCATGGCAAGTTTTTCTCCTTCTCATCGGTCACTCCCACCTACTCCCCCACTGAAACTTCCACCTATCAATCTCTTCCCACACAAGGCAAATTGTTCTTGGACCAAGGAAAATATCTCTTCCCATCCTCATAGCCCCATTCTATTCTGTCATCATTTCATAACCTCTTCCTTGTAGGTTACAAGCCACTAGCCCACCTCTTAGAACCTCTTATTTCCTTTCCATCATGGAAATCTATCCTCAAGGAAATCACTTCTCAGTGTTCCATCTGCTATTCCACTACTCTTCAGGGATCGTTCAGGCCCCCTCCCTTCCCTACACATCAAGCTTGGGGATTTGCCCCTGCCCAGGACTGGCAAATTGACTTTACTCACATGCCCTGAGTCAGGAAACTAAAATACCTCTTGGTCTGGGTAGACACTTTCACTGGGTGGGTAGAGGCGTTTCCCACAGGGTCTGAGAAGTTCACCGCGGTCATTTCTTCCCTTCTGTCAGATATAATTCCTCGGTTTGGCCTTCCCACCTCTATACAGTTCCATAACAGACTGGCCTTTACTAGTCAAATCACCCAAGCAGTTTCTCAGGCTCTTGGTATTCAGTGAAACCTTCATACCTCTTACCGGCATCAATCTTCAGGAAAGGTGGAACGAACTAACAGTCTTTCAAAAACACACCTCACCAAGCTCAGCCTCCAACTTAAAAAGGAGGACTCTGTCAAGGATAGAGCCCAAAAACTCACCAATCAAGCAAGTAATTATGCTGAACCCCCTTGGGCACTCTCTAATTGGATGTCCTGGGTCCTCCCAATTCTTAGTCCTTTAATACCTGTTTTTCGCCTTCTCTTATTCGGACCTTGTGTCTTCCGTTTAGTTTCTCAATTCATCCAAAACCGTATCCAGGCCATCACCAATCATTCTATATGACAAATTCTCCTTCTAACAACCCCACAATATCACCCCTTACCACAAAATCTTCCTTCAGCTTAATCTCTCCCACTCTAGGTTCCCATGCTGCCCCTAATCCCGCTTGAAGCAGCCCTGAGAAACATCGCCCATTATCTCTCCATACCACCCCCACAAAGTGGTGCTTGCCACTAAGGGTGAAGGATCAAGGCAGGTGTCCCCGCGGTGATCAGACACCTCTGAAACATGGGTGAATAATCAAGCAGGCATCCCCGCAGTGATTAAACACCAAAGGAAGACTGTCTTCCCGAGTCCATCACTGGCGCTGGAGTTTTGGGTTTATGGATAAAACGCATCTCCTCTGTCTCTACCAGAAAAGGAAAGGAATTGAAATTAAGAGAAGGGAGAGATTGAAGTGTGGCAGCACCAAATTTCATGGGTTTTGGCATCAAATTTCATGTGCTTCTGTGTGAAGAGACCACCAAACAGGCTTTGTGTGAGCAATAAAGCTTTTTAATCACCTGGGTGCAGGCGGGCTGAGTCAGAAAAGAGGGTCAGCAAAGGGAGATAGGGGTGGGGCTGTTTTATAGGATTTGGGTGGGTAATGGAAAATTACAGTCAAAGGGGGTTGCTCTCTGGCTGGCAGGGGTGGGGGTCACAAGATACTCAGTGGGGGAGCTTTTGAGTCAGGATGAGCCAGGAGAAGGAATTCCACTAGGTAATGTCATCAGTTAAGGCAGGAACCGGCCATTTTCACTTATTTTGTGATTCTTCACTTGCTTCAGGCCGTCTGGACAAATACGTGCAGGCTTGGACTCAGAGGCCTGACAAACACCACAGTCTTGTCACAAGTCTCTCTCACATCAATCCTGTAGTACAAATCACCCATGACCCTTTGATCCATTCTTTTTCATGAATAGATGAAAAACTAGAATTATTTCCTCTTAAGAAAACCTGGCTGGGTGCGGTGGCTTACACCTGTAATCCCAGCACTTTGGGAAGCTGAGGCGGGCAGATCACCTAAGGTCGGGAGTTCAAGACCAGCCTGACCAACATGGAGAAACCTCGTCTCTACTAAAAATACAAAATTAGCCAGGCGTGGCAGTGCATGCCTGTAATCCCAGCTACTTGGGAGGCTGAGGAAGGAGAATTGCTTGAACCTGGGAGGTGGAGGTTGTGGTGAGCGGAGGTCATGCCATTGCACCACAGCCTGGGCAACAAAAGCGAAACTCCATCTCAAAAAAAAAAAAAAAAAAGAAAAGAAAACCTATGGGTCGTGACTCTTCGAAAACTCTTTAATGGGTCAGTGTTAGACTTGGATCCTCCAGAGCACATAACTGCTGAAGGTTCAAAGGGTAGTCATCACACCTTCCCTTATCCACTCGAAGCTGGAAGGAAGAGGTGCTACAACAGGATATTCTTGACACAGCCCCACAAGAAGAAACCACATGGTCAGGACATGTTATCTAGGGATAACAGTCCATGTAAAATGAAAGAAAAAGCACTATGTCTGACAGAGTAAATGTTTCAGAATTGTTATTACCAGGCTGAACACAATAGTTAGGTTACTTCTGACCATCAAATAATATAAGATCTTCTGTCACCCTGTCCTAGATAGTATCCTTTTACTAGCCTCCACTAGTTTTCCCTTTAAAATCAACTGAAAATGCCAAACCTTTCTCATACCTGTTGCTGAATTATATCCTGCATGTCTTATATGTATTGGTTTTATGAATCTAAATATGGGCTTTTCATCCATCCCCACTGAATTTCATCCTATTGGATTTCTTTGTCATTCTACCCTTTTGAGACCTCTTTAGAGTCTGAATTTGCCTTCCAATACATTAATATTTCCCCTAGCTTCATATTCAGATTTTTTTTATTATTATTTTTTGGATGGAGCTTTGCTCTTGTCGCCAAGGCTGGAGTGCAATGACACAATCTCGGCTCACTGCAAACCTCCACCTCCTGGGTTCAAGGAATTCTCCTGCCCCAACCTCCTGAGTAGCTGAGATTACAAGTGCTCACCACTATGCCTAGCTGATGTTTTTTTGTTTGTTTGTTTTCTGTATTTTTAGTAGAGACGGGGTTTCATCATGTTGGCCATGCTAGTCTCAAACTCCTGACCTCAGGTGATCCTCCCACCTTGGCCTCCCAAAATGCTGGGATTACACGCGTGAGCCACTGCGCCCAGCCTAGGTTCAGAAATTTGATCACCAATATCTATCTACCCAAGAAATTTTAAAAATAGGAAACCTGAGAAATAGAGATAAAGATCTGTGACATTCCACTGGAGAATGCATTCTAGATTGTCATGAATGTGATAATGAGCACTCTTTGGGTATGGCTATTCAATCAATTATGAACCCAACCAAAGATGTCATCACATAGACCAGTGATTTGCTCTCTGTTCTCCACAGAGAATGATGAGATCCATGGGCCAGCAGAGTGAGGTGGCCTCTCCCCTATTCCCATGGCCAGATCTTTTTCTTCCTTTTTTGGAGGGGAGGATGGGTATCATATTTCCTCATAATCTTTTGTTTGAAAAAAAATCCTTTCTGTTCAACGGATTGTTGAAAAGCATTGATTTAGGCCAAATTTCTCTATTTTCTATGAGAATATCAAGATAACCTCTGATAAATGCCTTTGAGATTCAGATAGACTGTCCTGACCTTTCCCTCCCTATCACTCCAGTAATCCCATCATCAAAGCGAATAATCTTAGGAGATCCATGTGGCTCCTGGTGATCTGTTGCTTTTTCATTTCTTTCATTCTCAAAATACGTTTAAGAGTCTGTCTTATACTAGGTTGGAATAGGCATAAAGTTTATCATTTTTGAAAATCAGGAGTACATTTGCCAAACCATAGAAATTAAAAAATTATCTTTTATGTTAACCACAGATCCTTTAAAAATGAACAATAATGATCTAGAAATAGAGTTTTCAATTTCTTTAGTATATTAGATTGTAATTCATTTATCTCAAGTTGCTTAAAGGAACTAGAAGTTCTCTTGTCCCCTGTCTATTTGGGTCCTTACCAAGAGCCTGTGACTGGATTACAGAAACTTCATCAACATTAGGGAAAACAAACAAGCAAACCTACCAGCAATATCTGTTGGACCACAAATATAATATTTTCATTCATGAGGAACTATATGTTTTCATAGGCTGAAAATATTTACCAGGCCTTTCATTCAGTAGTCGATAAGTATTTTGAACAAATCCTGGGCAGGGGAATACAACAGCCTTTATTATTAACCCTTTCACACACAAAGATGTGGAACAATAATTGACTGGCAGGAAACATCTGTTCAAAGAAGAAGTAAAACATCCATGGACTGTAAATAGTATTTTTAAAACTCTAATAAAGTTTCATTTTTGCCACTGGCTTCCTTTTTTTTGAGACAAATTTATCCAGGTATACGGCGAGCAATGCTTTAGGCTGTCATCCAGATACAGAGAAATTTTCACTGCAGATTTACTAGAGAGCACTGCAAAAATCTAGACTGGGCATCATAAAAAACACAGGGAAAAGGAAGGATGATTATGTAAAGCCAACATTTGAATGCATTGTGTGTGGCTGGTAGACTTCTCCTGACTCGCATTAATATTCACACCGGGCAGTGTGTAATGATGCCATTCAGAATGGGAATGTGGAGCAGGAAGAGGTACAGAGGCAATCAAAAAATAATTTATTGCAATAGAAATATTCCTTCTTTTGAAGCATTTAAAAAAAGAGACACTATTTTTTCCCAGTTCCTAATTTTACTAAATAGATTCACTTTCCTGTCAAACCCCCAAGGGTTCTTTATGAGAAATACAAATTAGTATGATAAAAATTCCTACACAAAAATGTTTATCTCTCAGGTGCCACACCACCCCGGTCCTCTAAAGCCATCACTGAGTGGTAAACCTAAGCAAGGGCCTTCAGTTGGTCAGGAGGTGCTCTCTTAAATATTTGTAATCAGTTTACCAGGTAACTTTTGACACACGGAAAGAGAAAAAAAAGTGCTTCCTCTGCTGTCTTCTGTACTCCAAATCTGTCCATATAAATATTCAAATGAAAATTCCACCCAGGAATGAGAGCTCTTCAGGTTATTTCCAACATCAAACTTAAAGCTTCTCCTCTTTAGGTAAATATTTTCTGAGTAGTTCTAAGGCCATTGCCTTCATGCCATTAGCAAAGGGATGGGTTTCCCATATGACCTAAAGTACTTTTTCCTTTGGTAAAGACCTAGAGAAAGAAAGAAGAGGAGGAAGAAGAAGAGGAATAGAATAACAACAAAGCAACAGCAACACAGCAACAACAGCAAATATTTTTGAGTGCTATTTATGTGCCAGGCAGTATGCTAAGTACTTCATATGGCTTCACTTCTTTTCTTTCTTTCTTTTTTTTTTTTTTTTTTTTTTTTTTCATAGAAACAGTGTCTCGTTATGTTGCCCAGGTTGGTCTTGAGCTCCTGGCTTCAAGCGACCCTGCCGTCTTGGCCTTCCAAAGTGCTGAGATTACAGAGAAGAGCCACCACAATTAGCCAATGCCTTAATTTTTTATTTTAAGGCATTGGTTCTTTTTAATATTCAAAAGGACCTTACAAGGTAGGTACCAATATTATTTCCATTTTAGAAATCTGAAAACTGAAAGGGTAAGTAATGTTTCAAGACTATACAGCTGATCTAAATGGCATAAAAATCACACTAGTTACAAAGGCTAAATCAGTGTTCTACTACATAATGAGGGGATGGGGGCAATTATTTACAAAAACATAGATCAGAAAATGTCCAGTAAACTCTTGGTGGACCCAAAATTATTTCCTTGAAAAAAAAAAGGAAAGCAATTGGGATTTTTGAGGTTTAACGGTGCCTCTAGCAGTAAGAAAATATTAGACTATAATTGTTTTAACAGCTAAAACAATTACAGTGTCTTAAGAAAACAGGAGTTTAATTTTCTCACACATAGCAAGACATCTTGAGATGGGGGTTGCTGGCACTGGTTCAGGAATGTAAGGGCCAATGACACTGTGATCCTTTTGGCCATTTTCTCATGTCAACAAGAGAGCTGCTGCAACTCCACCCATCATATCACACTCAAAGAAGTAAGGCCAGCACTGTCAAATAAATACAATAGAAAGCAAAAGCTTTTCCTATACCCTCCCTCAACTCCCTGCCCCATCAATCAGAAGACTTCCGCTTAGGTGTCATAGGTCAGAACTACATTGCATGGCTACCCTTAACAGCAAACAAGCTGAGAAGCATGAACGGGATTGTCATGACTGGTTCTGACCCACTGTCTGCAGCTAGGCACCCTGTGGCCTGGAACCAAAGTGGGGTTCTTTTAGCAAGGGTGGGACTGGATGCGGAGTTACCACAGTTTGCCACAATGCCTTAGGGGCCAGCAAACTCTTTCTCTAAAGAACCAGATAGTAAATACTTTAGGTTTGAAGGCCAGAGAGAGTCTTTGCCACAGAGTCATCTTTGCTTTTGTGGTGTATGTGTTTTCTTTTAACGACCCTCTAAAAGGGCTTAGTTTGTGAGCTATCTAAACATAGGCTATGAGTGGGGCTGTAGTTTGCTGACTGGGGATAAGGCTGCAGGTATTAAGGGTGGCACTGAGGAAAGCTGGATTAGGTAATGCTGTTTAGGAATCTTAATATATCCTTATATCTATACTTTTATTTTCTCAAAAGAATTGCAACTCCAAGTTAGAAAAACCAGACTCCTAGCCAATTCTTTTAATAAACAATTGACTGACTTAATAACTTCAGTAATTTCAGAAGCTCACCTAATAATATGACTTCTTCCAGTGCCAGTGTTGACTTTATTTGGTAGCATGAGAGTTAGACTAAATGAAACATGAGTCCCTCCTGGCACTAATACTGAGTGATCCTAACATTACGAAAGCATCAGAAATGGAAGTGGCAGCATTTACCATGACGACTAAATACCCAAACAGTGGAAACACCATGTCCACATGAAGCACTAAATATGAGCAGACTGATTCCATTATCCCTGGGAGACCCTGGGCCCTTCTCAGGCCTGGGATATGTATGCGGATAATCACCAGGATTCATGTAAACCCTCCAGGAACCCCACATACAAACCACACCAATCGACTAACTGGTCTGGAACAAAAGGCACCTGTTTCGCCCAGTCTTTTCAAGTGTCACGCCTGCTTCTACCCTGAGTTCTGGGCGCTGAGCTACAGAAGGATTGCCCTAAACAGGCAGTTTTTATTTTATTGTTTGTTTTAATTTTAAAAACTCAAGCACTTCTTGCATTCTCTCCATAATCTAACCATGTTTTAGTTTTTTAATAGTTTTTTTTTTAATTTTTTATTTCCATAGGTTTTTGGGAAACAGGTAGTGTTTGGTCACATGAGTAAGTTGTTTAGTGGTGATTTGTGAGATGTTGGTACACCTATCATCTGAGCAGTATACACCGAACCCAATTTGTAGTCTTTTATCCCTCACCCACTTCCCACCCTTTCCCCCAAGTCCCAAAAGTCCATTGTATCATGTTTATAGCAGCACAATTCACAATTGCAAAAATGTGGAACCAGCCCAAATGCCCATCAATCAACGAGTGGATAAAGAAACTGTGGTATATACATATGATGGAATACTACTCAGCCATAAAAAGGAATGGATTAATGGCATTCTCAGCAACCTGGATGGGATAGGAGACTATTATTCTAAGTGAAGTAACTCAGGAATGGAAAACCAAACATCACATGTTCTCACTCATAAGTGGAAGCTAAACTATGAAACGTAACGTTTTTAATTATTTTAATTCTGGAGGAGCAAAACGCACACTCCAGGTGGCTGAGCCTTGCTTCCTGTGGCCTGTGTTCTTTGGGGCACTGCCACATCCCCTGGGGGGTGGGCTAGGGATGGGGGTGGGGTGGGGGAAGCGAGCATGCCCTAATCAGGACCCTCAGCTGGGCTCGGCCTTCTGAGCACACTCCACTGTTAAGTTAGTTACAAGCCTAACTGGGGTTTCTAGATTATTTACTCTCCATTGATTTCAGAATTTAAAAATTTTGGTCAGGCGCAGTGGCTCGCCTGTAATCCCAGCACTTTGAGAGGCTGAGGCGGGTGGATCACTTGAGGTCAGGAGCTTGAGAGCAGTCTGGCCAACATGGCAAAACCCCGTTTCTACTAAAAATACAAAAATTAGCTGGGCGTGGTGGCACACGCCTGTAATCCCAGCTACTTGGGAGGCTGAGGCAGGAGAATCGCTTGAACCTGGGAGGCAGAGGTTGCAGTGAGCAGAGATGGCACCACTGCACTCGAGCCTGGGCGACAGAGCAAGATTCTGTCTTGATTAAAAATAAAAAAATAAAAAAAAAGACTAAAATAAACTGATCCAGGAAATAAGTCCCACTTAAATTTCAGTCTAATTGAAACATTCTAACTACCATCTACCACTTACCAATTCTTCATTTCTCTAATGTGCTCAGTCTTACTTAAATGTAATGGCTCTTTGAAATCTTAAGTTTTTTCAGATACATCAGGCATAATAGAGTCAGTTATGATGAGCAAAAACTTATTTTTCTGCAATATACTTTGTTTTTAGAAAGAACTGTTGCAAGTATCTGCTGGGTTATATTATTTCCTTCAATGAATGTGCTCTAACAAGAAAATACATCACGAAAATGGCAAAGATAATATCAGATTACTCAGTCTAGTCCTTCCTGTGTATGTCAGTGGGGTGGGAGGCAGAGCAAACTCCTCTTACAATGTTAGTGTAATATGTGTTACAATTCAAAGCACATGTCCTAAAATATGGATATACAATTTTTGTGTCAAAGTCCTTTGATAATCAAGTAGTGACTTGACTATTAATATTATTAACATTATTTGTCATATGGGGCTACTTATTTATTAAGAATCCCACTATGTGGGAGAAATTACTGGAAGAGAATAGCTAAATGGCTGATAAGAATAGCAGACAGGCTCTGGGGTGTCTGGGAGGCTCATGAGGACCCCTCTTGATCCTCCCTTTCCTCCCCCACAACACACAGCTGACAGGCTTATAAACTGTAATTTCACAATCCTAGAGAGCAAATTTAGCCAGGCTAGATGGTCTGTCCAAGAATGTGGGGTTAGAACTGATATGGTTGGGCTGTGTCCCCACCCAAATCTCACCTTGAATTGTAGCTTCCATAATTCCCATGTGTTGTGGGAGGGACCTGGTGGGAGGTAATTTAATCATGAGGGCTGTTTCCCCCATACTGTTCCCATGGTAGTGAATAAGTCTCACAAGGTCTGATGGTTTTATAAGGGGTTTCCCCTTTTGCTTAGATCTCATTCTCTCTTGCCTGCCACCACGTAAGATGTGCCTTTCACCTTCCGCCATGATTGTGAGGCCTCCCCATCCATGTGGAACTGTGAGTTCATTAAATCTCTTTTTCTTTATAAATTACCCTGTCTTGGGTATATCTTTATCAGAAGCATGAAAATGGACTAATACAAGAACCAAATAACATTTTGAGTCAGTCTCCTGAACCAGAGGTGCAGCTGGCCAGGCATCTTCCTGTCGCATGGCCTGAGAAAGGGAGAAAGCCCATTTTCACCAGGGATGAGTGACAGGAAATAGTTCCTGGTGGGCTGGACAGTCCCAGACTCTATCCCTTCCTGAGCCCCAGCTTCCTACACTTGGCTTCTAGAAGATATTCCTTGAGACTTAGTATAAATTCTGCTTTGGAGTGTAAGTCAGTTCAAGATACTTTCTGCTGCTGTGTTGAAAAGAACAGTACTAAGTACAGTTGGCCCTCCATATCCGTGGGTTTCACATCCCAGGATTCAACCTGCCATGGAAAGAAAATATTTTTTCAAAAAACCACAATAGAAAAATAAAAATGATACATATAAAAATAGAGTATAATGACTTTACATAGCATCTGCACTGTATTAAGTAGCATAAGTAATCTAGAGATGACAAAGTATACAGAAGGATTGTGTGGATTTATGGAAATACGATGCCATTGTATATCACAGACTTGAACATCCATCTGAGGATTTTGGTATCCACAGTGGGGGGTCCTGGAACCAATTCCTCACAGACACTGAGGGATGACTGTACCCTGCCTATCTTTGGGAATGTCAGGCTCCAGCTGGTGAGAGAGACTCTGAAGACAACCTAGGAAAGCAAGAAAGCACAGCCCAGGCAAAACTCTTCATCTTCTCTCTTCATCTACTGGCACCAGCACAATCACGTGTTCCTCCTCCCTTTTCACATTCCTGAGAATCATTTTATCCGTTCAGATATGTCTGGCTACAGGTAAGAAAATACTAACAGTCCAGATGCATCTGATCTCACTTAGCAGACAGGCTGAAGACACATGGCTCTCCAGTTGGTTCCAAGCTCAATAACATCAGAACTCTAGCTGGTTTGTCCATGATTCTCTTGGCCTCCCCTTCACGGTCCAAAAATGCCTGCCATGGCCCCAGGTATCATTATAGTACAAAACAGCACCCACAGAAGGGAGGGAGAGCAGGGAACAAAAGGCTGCTCCTCGGCAGCTCTCCTTTGGCAGAGAACCCCTAGCTGACTTATCCTTTTATCTGGCTTGTTGACCTGACCTGGGTCATATGTCTACTCCCAAATCATCACTAGCGAAGAAAAATGAATGGCCTTGACAGGCTCAGGCCAATCATGAGTCATTCTCTGGGATGGGGGATAGCTCTGTGTCAGCAAGAGAGAAGGAGGGATGGCTGTTGGATGGATTCCTGAAGTGGCTGCAGCTGTAAGCATCACCCAGTTACCAGGCTGAAGGCTCTGGCATCATCCCTGACTCTCCCTTTCTCCTGCTCCCATCTCCAACCTTGACTCATGCACTGGATTTCCTCCAATCAGAAGTCAAGCTCCATTGACTATCTTTCCAAAACACCTCCGGCATCTGTCCAACCTCATGATCTCACTGTCACTGTTTTATTTCACGTTTCATTATTTCATACTTCTAAAATTTCATAAGCTTTCTCCAAGGTCTTCTCATCTCCAGTCTCTCTCCCCCTTTAACTTGAGAAGTATGTAAAAGCATACAGGAAGCTTGGCTCTGATTACATCATTCTGCTCTAACTTCAGAGTAAAATTCAAGTGATTAGCCCGACACGTAAGACCCTCTGTGATGATGCTCCAACCCACCTTTATGATTGCCTATTTGCAATTTGCTATATTCCAAATTTTTCCCTACATGCGCGCGCATGTGCGCGCGCGCACACACACACACACACACACACACACAGAGGCACATACACAGTCATACACACACAAACATACACTCACATACACAAACACACAAGAGCCACGGTTCTTTCTTCTAACTTTGTCTCCCTTCTAACTATTCCTCAAACACAGTCCCAACATCCAAATTGACCCCCTCTTTAAGAAGATGTTCTGATCAGCTCCACTTGGGGACACACATAGGACATGAAGCTCTTTGTACAGCCCCTGAGGTAAGCCTCCAAGCCAGCCACGTCCTTCCAGCAGAGGCGATGGCTACTTAATTCACCTGCCTTCAACTCCCAGCACACCAGTGAGAAAGCTCTTCTTTGGGGAACACAGTATCCTTCACGAAATCACTCCGGGTCCTTCTAGAAGTGTTTTCTCCCTCTGTAATATATCTTATGGCTCTTATGGCATTTACTTCTTCTACCTTGAAGCAGAATTAGGTATACCTGTGGCTTATCTCCTTCACTGCTGTAAATTCTTTGAAGGCAGAATTTCTGCCCAGGCTTTGCACATAATTGGTGCACAATAAATACAGGTTACAGGCATAGAAATGCGAATCAAATGCTGTGAACTGTGCCCTTCATTGTGAGAGCAGCGCTAAATAGAGAAGTGATCAAAGCTGGCTGGGTAAGGGGTCGTACGGGAGTAAGGCTGGGGCCAGAATCTGTGAGCAGAAGAGACAAGAATCATCCCATGGATGGGGAGAAGCACAAGAAGAAAATGAGCAAGGGCGCTGTGCAGGCCAGTGCTCAGAGCTGCAGAAGTGGCGTGGAGAGTGGGTGGTGGATGGAGGAAGAGAAGCTCGAGGAAAGGAAGGATGGAACGCACGGGGCTTCCCTAAGCAGGGGAAGGGCACTGTGATGCCAAGAACAGTGTCATTGCTCATTCCCACAAGGGCTACACGTGGCTCCGGGGACCAAACAACAACATTCAACTTATTTTGATTAAAAACATTATATTTCACGTAGAAGCCTTAACAATTCAAATGGTAATAATGTATCACTAAGTCATTAACCATAAAAGAAGGCAGCTGAAGCTTCCTGCTGTCTCTTAGGATTCCACTAGACCCTCTGCAGTGACTCCATCAGGGACAGCCAGCAGGGCCTTGGAGAACTCTCAGGACTGGGTATCAGCCTTTGAGGAGTTATCATCAAGTAGGTGGCCTCCCCCTTGTCAGGCAGTAGGCTCCACTTTGTGATGGCCTCTCCAGACACAGGGTAACCATGATGATGGTCCACCCTCTCTTGCAGCCAACAGTTATCTGTAGGCCCTGATACTGCTAACACCTTTCCCCTGACTGGTCTGTTTCCAAAGAATTTCTGAAGGGGCCAGCTCTTCCTCACTCTTAGAAATAACAGAAAAGCAGAAATAGCACAATTTTCCTTCTTCAATTCTATTTATTTAGAGACAGATAACAAGGATCTCTTCCTGGATTAATTTGTGACCTTAGGACTATCAAGGAATATCTTTACTTAAACGTATCCTCACAAGTATCCACATATCTGCCTCATGAGTATCTGCGTATCTGCCTCATGAGTATCTGCATATCTGCCATGGATCTTATACAAACTCGGGAAGTTTTTCTCAAGATTAAGGTGTGTACTTCTTTTCTGCAGGAATATGAAAAGTAAATAACCCAATGCATTTCTATGTTTTTATCTTGGCCGCTAGGAAGTTCAGCTATAAATGCAGAATTCATGTCAATAATTCATTTCAAATACATGGTGATTTCTATTTTTTCTCATTTTAGATGTCTTGCTTCATACTTAAAAAAAATAAGATTGTGAAAGATGTCTTGTGCACGTCACGGCCCTGCCCACAGCATAAAAACATACAGGGGTGAGGGAGATGAGCAAGACAGCCAGCTTTTCACAAGAGCAGGAAAGGCCGGGTGCTGCGGCTCACGCCTGTGATCACACAGCTTTGGGAGGCAGAGGAGGAAGGACTGCTTAAGGCCAGGAGTTCCAGGCCAGTCTGAGCAACATAGCAAGATCCTGGAAGGATAGCTCCCATTTTTGCTATGTTTTTGCAAAGAATTCCAACTTCCTCATAAGACACATCCTCTTTAAAAGATGAAGTAACTTAGAAATGTTGACAAAACATTGATTCAGGAATATAGTACTTTGAAGAGATGAATCTCCTAAGTAGAAAGGTGTTGTTCAGATGACTTCGTAAAAAGGGGAAAGGTCACAGGAACAAACTTGGGTGGTTTCTTTAAATATCCTCGCTGAGCTCATGAGGCAGTCAGGTGCCCTAAGGGGCAAGCTTCACATTGGTCAGGGGAGGGACTGAAGCTCTCCAGACTGACTAGATAATGGGCTCCCGCCAAGGACTGGGTGTTAGTGGTACTCTCCGTCTCCTCACAACACGGTTACACAGAGGTGACAGTCACCCTGCGTTTCTGATCTTACCTTGCTCTATCTGTTCTGTTTCTCATCACTTACTTTATTTGACCTCCTATATCTTCACCACTGGCTGCAAAGTACTCTTGTAGGACCAGCCTACTTCCCAGAGATGCCCCAGGCTCCAATCAGCCCCACCTTCCTCCCAATCTCTGGGAATCTGCTCCCCCTCATGTTGCCCCACTACTCAGTCTCAAGTGCTACCAATTATCCCTTCATGAGACTCCCCCCAACACTGAGCTGCCTGTCCACCTTTTGGATTAAACACAGGCTGGTCAATTTCTCTGTTCTTATCCTTCCTCCAAACCTACACGTTAATGCCGATGAGCATGGCGCTGTCTTATTGCTCTGTGTATTCCTAGCATCCAGCCCAGTGCCCAGAACATTCAAAGCACTCAACCAACGTTTGAAGAACTCACTTCACCTCTTTGCCTTAGTTATATCAGTTTCCTCACCTATAAAATAGAGATTCTAAGGTTACTATGAGGATTAAATGAGTCAAAACATAAAAAGTAGCCTGTTGGAGTATATTCTAAGCTGAAATTTATTGAATATAAAGTTTTGTCATTCTTATTAGGCACTCAATAAATGTTTGTTGAACAAAAGGCTAAATGAATATTGATATAATGACAGAATCAATATTAAAAAATTAAATTACTCACTTGCTCAGTAAGTTTTATCTTTGAAACACTTTCACATTGAATCAATATCTACAAACCTGGGTGGTAGTTATGGAAACAGGCATTATTATTGTATACAAGGCATCTGTCAGTCACAGACAGACTTGGATGCCATTGGAAGTATTTGCTATATGGAGGGCAATGGCCAAATTCCCTTTCTCCTAGCCCTAGCCCTGTGCGCATTCCCAGAATCCAGGACAGTGTGATGAGTTCTGCATGTGACACAGTGGAGAAAGAGACCCCCATAAGCTAATGTAACCCAGCATTTGTTTCCGGCATCTGCCAGAGCAATTTCAATTAGCTTCCAGAATAGATACTGCCATGTAGCTGATGCAGCAATTTCCATTTAAAGCACTGTGGAGCAATTCCATTTCATAAAGCTATCCCTGCAGCTTAGATTCAAGAGTATGCCACATTTGTGAAGATGGAAATGGCATAATTATGTTCTAAGTAGAGTCTATAAGTCACAAAACAATTCCAAAGGCCAATGAATCAGAAAAGTTGCTTTTTCCGGGTACTTTTCCATAATTTGAGGCCCAAGGGCATGGAGGCCAGGGCTGAACACACAACCACCATAAGAGGTCCTTATTTTCTTGAAGTTCCTGAGTGTCTCTCACCTGCTTGTCAAGGTATACTCTCCCTGAAGAATAATATTGCCTATAAACCTTTGAGTTAGTGTAATTCTGCAAATCTCCAATTCAGAGGACAGCATCTTTTCATATCAGGTATGAATAAGACTCACCTAAAGAAAGACCATCCAGGATATGATACCCCTCACATAACAAAGAAAGAGAGATCCACAAGAAGAGAAGAGCCTCAACTAGATCTCAATAATTAAATTACCAAGGAGAAACTTTTGTCCCATAATTTCAACTTGCTCTATCCAACTAGGATAAGGTTTGGCTCTGTGTCCCCACCCAAATCTCGCCTCAAACTGTAATCCCCACGTGTCAAGGGAGGGACCTGCAGTCCTCATGTATCAAGAGATGGAGTGATTAAATCATGGCAGTGGTTTTCTCCATGCTCTTCTAGTGATAGTCAGAGAGTTCTCACAAAATCTGATGGTTTAAAAGTGTGACACTTCCCCTTTAGCTCTCTTTCCTGCTGCCTTGTGAAGAAGGTACTTGCTTCTCCTTCACCTTCTGCCATGATTGTAAGTTTCCTGAGGCTTCCACAGCCATGCGTAACTGAGTCAATTAAACCTCTTTCCTTTATAAATTACTCAGTCTCGGGTATTTCTTTATTGGAGTATGAAAACAGACTAATACAAACTAGAATTTATTTATTAACACTCCAAACAAAGGAACAAATGTTATCTGAACCAAACATCACTCCCTCTCTGTTTACTAATTAATATTCTGAAAGTATCATATGGCTAGTGAATAGAACTATTAAAGCCGAAGAGCAACAGTATGAATGCAGTCACTGCTGCAGACTAATGGCAGGTCATAGTGACCGAGGAATCCCCAGGAAAAGAGGGAGGGAGGGGAACATTTATTGAGCACCTATTATATGCCAGACCGTGGCATATAATGAAATAATAATTTCATTATATGAAATATATATGAAGTATATATGAATAAATATATATGAAATATATATGAAGTATATATGAATAAATATATATGAAATATATATGAATAAATATATATGAAGTATATATGAATAAATATATATGAAGTATATATGAATAAATATATATGAAATATATATGAATAAATATATATGAAATATATATGAATAAATATATATGAAATATATAATGAAATAATCATTTCAGCTTGTCCTATCACTCAGTCCTCACAGGGACTGCACAAGTAGTTGCAGATGAGGACATTGAGCCTCAGAAAGGTTAAGGCAAAGGTCCAACATCACACCACCTACGAGGTTGTGGACCTTAAATGTAACCACACATGTGACCCACTCCTCATTCCCCAGAGCCTCTGCAGCATTTTGTTTTATCAACATAAAAGCCAAGATGAAAGTCGTGACCTCTCATCTAGAAGAGCAGAATCATAGTAAAGGAATTTATGTCTTTGGTATATTTCAAACTGTGGTTAATGTAATTTATTTATTTAAAAAATACTCAACTGCAAACATTTCAGTTAAATCATTCCAGCCAATATTTTCTTACCACTCTGTTGAGGAAGATATGTTTATACCGACCCACATTTCAGGCGTATGCCAAAGAACTAAATATTTATTAATATTTGGATTGTGCTAATACTTGCATGGCAAATTCTTCAGCCATTTCTGGAGGGCTTTTATAAATGAGTTCGCAACCATGAATGAAATAATTTTCATTCATTCATTTCATTCATCTACCCCTCAAAATAAGTAATATCTTAATTTTTCTGTTTTATTAATTTTGATGTAAATAAAAATGAATGCTTTTCCCAAAATCACAGAAAATAGGTGCCCAAAAGGCATGAGACAAATATTATCAGTGATTTATTTTTAAGTTAATAACTATTACATGGTTCACATTTATTGAATCTAATCTTAAATTCAGAACTATAATTTATTCACATGGCATTAATATAGCCTAATTTAAAATTTCAATGAGCTTTTAAAAACCAGAAATATAAATTATAAAATCAGGGCTAGTGTCTAATATGCTTTGTTTGACTGTGTTGGTATTTTAAATGTACTGTTCTACGTGTATACTTTTATTCTGCTTAGCTTTTTAAAAAATTGCAGTATAATTTATATACAGTCATCCTTCGATATCTGTGGGGGATTGGTTCCAAGATGCTCAAGTCCCTTATATAAAGTGGTATATATTTGCATATAACCTCCATACATCCTCCTATATACTTCAAATCATCTCTAGATTACTTATAATACCTAATACAATGCAAATGGTATGTAAATAGTTGTCATATGATATTGTTTGGATTTTTTTAATAATCTAAACATAGATATAAATGTGTTTATAACATAATAATGACAAGAAAGATGTTGTAGATGTTCAGTATAGATACATTTTTTTCCCAAATATTTTCAGTCTATGGTTGGTTGAATCCACGGACACAGAAACTTCGAATACAGAGGGCCAACTCTATGGTAAAATGCAAAAACCTTGAGTGAAGTAAGTATGCAGCTTGATGAATTTTAAAGTATGTATGTACTCATGTACTCACTATTCATAGCAAACTGACAACATTCCAGAAAGTTCTCTTGGGTCCCTTCCCAGGCAATACTATCCCCAACCCTTCCCCACCCCAAATCTCCGGTAACCACTTTCCAGCTTCCTACACCACAGATTAGTTTAGACTGAGTTTCATCTTCATAGACATGGGATCATATGAGTTTCTCTTTTGTGTCTGGCTTCTTTTACTCAACACTGTAGTTCTGAGATTCTTCCACGTTGTTGCATGTATCAATCATTTGCTGGTTTTTATCAGCTTATCTTTTTTTTTTTGGAGACAGAGTCTAGCTCTGTCGCCCAGGCTGGAGTGCAACGGCACAATCTCAGCTCACTGCAACCTCCGCCTCCCAGGTTCAACTGATTCTCCTGCCTCAGCCTCCCTGGTAGCTGGGACTACAGGTGCCCACCGCCACACCCAGCTCATTTTTTGTATTTTGAGTAGAGACAGGGTTTCACCATGTTGATTAGGCTGGTCTCGAACTCCTGAGCTCAGGTGATCTGCCCGCCTCTGCCTCCCAAATGTTGGGATTACAGGTGTGAGCCACCATGCCCGGCCTATCAGCTCATCTTTCTACAGGCTGTTCACTCTGTGTCAGATGCCACCTTCGCTGCCTCACAAATCTTGCTGATCTTACTGAACTCACCCAATGCCATCTCCTCCATCAGGCTTTTCTCGATCTCCCCAGACAAAATTAGCAGCTCCTTTTCTGCTCTTGTTGCCTTCTTTAAAACACATTTCATTTTGCCACCTGTGGTGTGTTGGTACTCCCTGGGGGGCAGGAAGTGCTGATTCCCTCATTCTATAGAGCACTCACCAGAAGGATAGGAGAGGACACAGACCGATAGAGACTTGGTGGATGAATGCAGCTGGGAGGCGGAGCCACGGAGGACAGAGGGAAGAAAATGTTTAATTAAGGCCCAGATGCATTCTCACCATTTTCCTTCCCTTTTTCCTCTCCTGCCACCTCTTTTCCTCTTCTTTCTCCATCCTTCCCCCTTCTGCTCTTCCTCTTCCTCCTCCTCTACCCTTTCTTCTCCATCTCTTTCTGTTTCTCTCAATCTCATTCTCTGTTTTCTCTGCCTTATATGTCCATTTATTCCTGTTCTTGTGTTAGTGAATTCACTTGACAAACATTTAATGGAATATTAGCTACTAAGTTCCTGGAGATTTCATTATACCTCTACCCAGACAGCAGGCAGCGGGCCTGGTGGTCATTGTTCAGGATATCAGGGGAAGAAAAAGAGTGGTCTCAAGGTGGCAGTGGAAGAGAACTGTTAGGAGGAGAGAATAATCCCTGTCTCTGAGCCTCGGTGAGTGCTGAGTCTCGACTAGCCAGAAAGGGGGCCAGAAGTTTGACAATGGATCAGACTATCTCTTAGTGCGTGGGGCTCTCAGAAGTCATTTAAGAGGATCAGGGGCTCAATAAGGAAAGAAACCCACAGATTCACAGGACAAAAACCCATTGACTAGACGCACTCCTCCTGTACTACACAGCTGCTCTAGGGGGTGCAGGAAGGCAGGGGAGCAGATGATAGGACAAATGCTTCTATGAGATATAATCATAATGAATTTTTATTTATTTTTGATTTTTGAGATGGAGTCTTGCTCTGTCACCCAGGCTAGAGTGCAGTGGTGTGATCTCGGCTCACTGTAGCTGGGACTATGGGCGCATGCCACTACACATGGCTAATTTTTTTGTATTTTTAATAGAGACAGGGTTTCACCATATTAGCAAGGCTGGTCTCGAATTCCTGACCTCAACTGATCTACCCGCCTAGGCCTCCCAAAGTGCTGGGATTACAGGTATGAGCCACCATGCCCAACCAAATTTTTCCATAAAAGCTGAGACTTTGTGACAACTTCAGGAAGGAGAAAACAGAGTTAGAGGGAAGACTGAGTCATGTCACTGCTCAGACCTACAGCAAGTATAAAATGAAGAAAGGAGCTTACATAACATGATAGAACTCAATAGAGTTTATAAATGAAGACAATGATCCAGGGAGAACCAGTGATTTATCCAATTTTACACAGCAGGTTCCTCTGTGCTTCCACGGGTTTCTGAGGCCAAATCTAGCATTGTTCCTACCATATTTCTCAAAAATAAAAAAAGTTCAAGAGCAGGATTTGAGTAGGTAAAGAAATTTAAAGAGAGCAATATGAGATGGTAGAAAAAGTTAGAATAGAACACTAATGGAGGAGGAAGTTAGGAAAGTAGTTTGGGCCTGATTAAGGATTTCAGTGCCAAGTAATGAAGTGTAGACTTGATCCTTCAGAAGCAGTAATGGAATTAGGTTTTGGTTTTTAAATCAGAGGCAATATAAAATAAAAAGAATGATTTAAAAGTCTTATTGAAAAAATAGGAGTGCGAAAGTCTTAATTAAAAAATATGATTTAGGCCATTAGGTTAGTATAAAAGTTGCACACATTGTGACTTTTTGGGCTGGTTATGCTTTAGGCTAAATAGGTCTCAGAATGGTACCAAACTCACAGTCTCTGCCAACCGACAGTGTTCCTCCATGTGTCACCATATGGAAACCACGTGACCTCCCCATCATGACGAGAGATGGGTTAGAGTTAAGGGTTAGGAACTGACCCAAGATAAATCCACCTATTCACTGGACAGCAACTAGGCCATAATATGATCAACTAAACCTATACTACCCTTGAGACACACGATGATAGATAAACAATTGGTAATAGTCATAGATGACTAAAGGCATATATAGGAAAGCAGAATCAGAGGGAGATGAGCTACATCGATGGCCCAGCACTCTAGCAAGTACCTACAGCTGTTGTGCTCAGGTGTTGGGAAGATAATCAGAAGTTCCACTTGTCTTAGAGCCCAATGACAATTGTCCTTTTCCCAGATTACACTTTCATCTCCATGAAGCTGACGTATGACTGCAACCAGGGTTCTAGGCAACCTCCCTGAGTGAGATTCTGGCCACAGATCCTTATAACTAGGCTGTAGTACTTCAGGTGACTCTGAGGAGTCTCTGTTCCTCCTAACTAAAGAATTTTACCAGCAGCAAAGCTCAAGACTGGCTCAACTCCAAATCTTCAGAGGAGTTCAATGTGCCCTTCACGTTTCACATTATGAAAACCCCCACTGCAGGTCACAGTGGTTGTCCCTCACTTTCTGCGGTGATTTATTTATTTATTTATTTATTTGATTTTAAGAGACGGAGTCTTGTTCTGTCACCCAGGCTGGAGTACAGTGGTGTGATCTCGGCTCACTGCAACCTCCGCATCCTGGGCTCAAGCGATTCTCCTGCCTCAGCCTCCTGAGTAGCTGGGATTACAGGCGCGCACCACCATGCCTGGCTAATTTTTCTATTTTTAGTAGAGATGGGGTTTCACCATGTTGCTCTCAAACTCCTGGCCTCAGGTAATCCGCTTGCCTCAGTCTCCCAAAGTCCTGGGATTACAGGCATGACTTCTAAACAAGCTTCCACTTGCATATCATTCTCCGTCTCTTCTTTCAAATTCCTCTCTTGCACTTTCCATCTAAGGGTTTGTATGTAGTTCCAGAGCTGGGCTTCTTAACTTCTGACGATGAACTCTGGCCTTGGCTGGGTGCAGCGGCTAATGCCTGTAATCCCAGCACTTTGGGAGGCCAAGGTGGGTGGATCACCTGAGGTCAGGAGTTCAAGACCAGTCTGGCCAACATGGTGAAAAACCCCACCTCTACTAAAAATACAAAAATTAGCCGGGCGTCGTGGCATATACCTGTAGTCCCAGCTACTCAGGAGGTTGAGGCAGGAGAATAGCTTGAACTCGGGAGGCGGAGGTTGCAGTAAGCTGAGATCACACCACTGTACTCCAGCCTGGGCAACAGAGTGAGACTCCATCTCAAAAAAAAAAAAAAAATTCTGGCTTTTATTAATCCTGTTGATTTTATCCGCATCAATCTCTCTCCAGTTGGTCACCTATCCCAGGACATCCTCCTGGGCTCAACCCCAAATCCTGATCAAACCTCCTGCAACCATGAGGTTGCAGACACTGCAACAATGAGGGCCAGACACTCACCAGAGCAACTGATTCAGGTCTCTGGTCAACCTCGTGAGACTGAGGCCAATCAGGATGCTCCTGAAACAGTCAGTGTGTGCAGGTCTGATTAAAAGAACTAGTGGGCAATTTGAATTTCAGAGACATTCTGGTGCTACTTTGTCATGTCCAAAAGTGCCTTACTTTAGGAAACTACTGGTAATGATAAACATTTCAATTCCATGCTTGAATACAATTTTAGAGGAAATATATTGCATAACAGATGGCAGTGGGGAGAGACTGCTCTGGAATCACCTCCCTGGAGCACTGCTTACATACAACGTCGCCTGGCATGGCAATTGCTCTCAGGAGTGTCGTCGTTGCACCAACACCGGTCATGTCTTGAATACAGTCTCTTGTTTAGAGGGGACATTTTTTTCCTCCTATTTTTTACATCAATGGGGTAGATCAGTTAGGAATAATAGGAACTGCAACAGACTAAATGCTTCAGGTAAATGATCCATTTCCTTCCTTTTGCTGTGTGTTTATCAGCCAGCCCAAATACTTTTCACATATAAATGTAAATGGAAACCTGAACACGCACAGTGTAAGATGTGTAACCAGAGATTTGTGCCCAGCATGGAAAGTATCTCATAAGTGAGAAAATTATGTTCATTGTTTATAGAGCACAGCACACAGCATAATGTGCAATCTTCATACTTGGTTCGTGGCTATTTTCCCAACTGTTTGATGAAAACAACAAAAGAGACAACAAGTTGTGTTCTTTTGAACTAGACTGTTAAAAAAAATTAAATCCAGGTGTATCTCAAAAATAAAAAAAATAGAAATGCTTACATAGGACAAGTATTTTTCTTTGATCCACTAAATATGTTCTCTCTGGCCGGGCGTGGTGGCTCATGCCTATAATCCCAGCACTTTGGGAGGCTGAGGCGGGCGGATCATGAGGTCAGGAGTTCGGGACCAGCCTGCCCAACATGGTGAAACCCTGTTTCTACTAAACATTCAAAAAATTAGCCAGGCGTGGTGGCGGGCGCCTGTAATCCCAGCTACTCAGGAGGCTGAGGTAGGAGAATCGCTTGAACCTGGGAAGCGGAGGTTGCAGGTGGCAGTGAGCCGAGATTGTACCAGTGCACTCCAGCCTGTGCGACAGGGTGAGATTCCGTCTCAAAGAAAATTTAAAAAAAAAGATTAAATATGTTCTCCCCTTAGCAATCCAGTAGTGATGGGAAATAATGTCTTTCAGGGAGTGCAGTAGTTTTCTGGGGCTGCCATAACTAAGAACTACAGACTAGGTGGCTTAAACAACAGAGATTGATTGTCTCACAGTTCTGGAGGCTGGAAGTCCTAGAGTGAGGTTGGCAGAGTTGGCTCCTTCTAAGGCCTATGAGGCAATGTTCTATTCCAGGCCTCTTTCTTTAGCTTGTAGGCGGCCATCTTCATGTTCACAAAGTGCTCCCCCTGTATGTGGGTCTGGCCCCAGATTTCCTTTTTATGAGGACACAAGTCATATTGGATTAGGGCCCACTCTAATGGCCTTGTTTTAACTTGATTATCTCATTAAGGTCCTGTCTTCAAATAAGAACATATTTGGAGGTACTGAGGGTTAGGACTTCAGCATATGAATTAGGGGTGGGGGAACACAGTTAAGCTCAGAACAAGAAACTTGAAAAATAATAGCTCTTAAAAGGTAACTCTTACCCATTTGATACAAGAAAACAAGTATCCTTTAAAAAGTGATCACTGTCTATTTTATTTAATTTTTTAATTTTATTTTTTAAAATTTTTGTGAGTACATATATATATAGTAGGTACATATATTTATGGGGTACACGAGCTGTTTTGATACAGGCATGCAACGTGAAATAAGCACATCATAGAGAATGGGGTCTCTATCCCCTCAAGAATTTATACGTTGAGTTGCAAACAATCCAATTACACTGTTTACATTATTTTAAAATGTACAATTAAGTTATGGTTGGCTATCATAAGTTGATTGTGCTGTCAAATAGTAGGTCTTATTCATCCTTTCTGTTTTTTCTTTTTTTACCCATTAACCATCCCCACCCTTCCCTGCAACCCCTACTACCCTTCCCAGCCTCTGGTAAGCATCCTTCTATTCTCTATAACCATGAGTTCAACTGTTTTGATTTTTAGATCCCACAAATAAGTGAGAACATGTGGTGTTTGTCTTTCTGTGCCTGGCTTATTTCACTTAACATGATGACCTCTGGTTCCAGCCATTTTGTTGCAAATGACAGGATCTTATTCTTTTCAATGGCTGAATAGTACTCCATTGTGTATATGTACCACATTTTCTTATCTGTTCATCTGCTGATGGACACTTAGGTTGCTCCCAAGTCTTAGCTGTTGTAAAAAGTGCTGCAACAAATATAGGAATGCAGAGATCTCTCTGATATACTGATTTTCTTTCTTTTGTGTATATACACAGCAGGGAAGGATTGGTGGATCACATGGTAGCTCAATTTTTAGTATTTTGAGGAACTTCCAAACTGCTCTCCATAGTGTTTGTGCTAATTTACATTCCCACCAACAGTGTATGAGGGTTCCCTTTCCTTCACATCCTCACCAGCATGTGTTATTGCCTGTCTTTTGGATATAAGCCATTTTAACTGGGGTGAGATGATATCTCATTATAGTTTTGATTTGCATTTCTCTGATGATCAGTGATGTTAAGCACCTTTTTATGTGCTTACTTGCCATCTGTATGTCTTCTTTTGAGAAATTTCTATTCAAATCTTTTGCCCAGGTTTGGATCAGATTATTAGATTTTTTTTCCTACAGAGTTGTTTGAGCTCCTTATATATTCTGGTTATTAACCCCTTGTCAGATGGGTAGTTTGCAAATAATATTCTCTCCCATTCTGTGGGTTGTCTTTTCACTTTGTTGACTGCATCATTTGCTGTGCAGAAGCTTTTTAACTTGATGTGTCTGTATTTGCTTTGGTTGCCTGTGCTTGTGGAGTATTGCTCAAGAAATCTTTGCCCAGACCAATGTCCTGGAGAGTTTCCTCAATGTTTTCTTGTAGTGGTTTCATCGTTTGAAGTCTTATATTTAAGTATTTAATCTGTTTTGATTTGATTTTTGTATATGGTGAGAGACAGGGGTCTAGTTTCATTCTTCTGCATATGGATATCCCCCAGTGTATATCCTTGGCACCTTTATCAAAAATGGGTTCACTGTAGGTGTGTGGACATGTTTCTGGGTTCTCCATTCTGTCCCATTGGTCTATGTGTCTGTTTTTAATGCCAGTACCATGCTGTTTTGGTTACTATAGCTCTATAGTATAAATTGAAGTCAGGTGTTGTGATTCCTCCAGTTTTGTTCTTTTTGCTTAGGATAGCTTTGGTCCTAGGTCTTTTGTGGTTCCATGTAAATTTTAGGATTTTTTAATATTTCTGTGAATTATGTCATTGGTATTTTGGTAGGGATGGCATTGAATCTGTAGATTGTATTGGGTAGTATGGACATTTTAACAATATTGATTTTTCCAATCCATGAACATGCAATATTTTTCCATTTTTTTGGTGTGCTCCACTTTCTATTTAAAAAAATTCAAACTTCTATGAGAGTTAATAAAAACAATTCTAAAAATGAAAGAATTTTTTTAAGGCTCATCAGATGACTATAATGTCCAGCATGGTTGCAAGCCACTGCTTTAAAATGTGCCATAAGCCTGGAGTTAGCCTTGCTACTTGAAAAGCAGAAGGCAAGGACTTCATATACTTCTCTTTCTGTTTTTTTTTTTTTTTGGATAAAGCTGCTACAGATTTGAATGACTTTGGATAATACAGTTCTCTCTGTTCCTCCTTTAACTATGTGTAATAGTCATTGAAAATACATTCTCTGGAACATTCTGCCTGGATTTGTCTGACTTCACTAATGTGTGACCTTGTGAAAAGGCTGTGCTTAATCTCACTGTTTCTCAGTTTCCACATCTGCAAAGTGAACTATAAACATGTTGTGAGGATTAATTGAGAGTATATATGTATATTTTATACATATTTATATTTATATTTATATTTCTTAGACTAGTGCCTGGCACAGTTAGTGGTTTGAAGGTATGTACTATTACAGTTGTTACTGTGATTCCTCTATCTGTTACCCACTATCTAGACTCTATTTAAAAAGTCTTTTTTTTTAAGTTAGCTGTCATTTTTTAGATAATAATAAATAAATAAAAATAAAAAGCAAAAATGCAGGGGTAACAGATGTTCCATGTGCCATGCAGACATAAAGATTATTGCAATTAAGGACTTACCGTGGGCCATCAGGCCTGCCTAATCTCACCCATGGCTTTTTTTTTTGTTCTGTTTAGTTTTATTTAATAAGTCCAAGAGCACTATTAAAGCCTCAACATTTGCCAAGAAGGAAATCAAGTGGGAATCCAAGAAAACAACCCAACAACAACAAAAGATCACTTTACAGTACATCAGACACAAAGGGGGCCACCAAAGTCACTGAAGGCCACCAAAGCCACGCGTGCCCACCTTCCGCACATTTCTTGGGTCCTGTCTACTGCACCCACGCCATGGGGTCATCTAGTCTGGGCTGGGCAGGAATCCCCCTGAGAGAATGCCCATCCTCCTGTAAACAGCCGGAAGATAAAAATGTTCTTCCTTTTATTGAGCAGAATAGAACCTAATTCTGTCTGTGGGATCAAACAGAACCGATCTAATTCCTTCCTCACATGATAATCCCAGAGTTTTTGAATGCTGTTATTCATGCGTTCATCAAATATCTGCTGTATCTTGTGTGCCAACCCTGCTCTGGGCCCACTAGAGTCTTCTCTGTGATAAGCACTCCGTGCCTCAAACATACCCCATGGGAAACAGTTTTATTCCCTTTGCCTTTTTGGCTTCCCAGCTTAAAGGAGGAATTTTTCTCCTTTTAAGGTACACTGCCCATCATCAGACACAGTCCTGATGGTAATTGTTTTTATCTTTCGGCTCAACTCATCACTCCATCTTGGATTTCTGTATGATAAATTTGCATAAATTGCAATTAAATTAATGTGAATTCTGTGGAATTTAGGAAAGCATAAAGGGGGTAAGTCTCTGATTTTAATGGAATTTCAATAGGTTTTAAAAATGGGTTAATATTTTTTTAAATCCCTCCCATTCACTCTATTTTCTGTACATTGCTTTGTTTATAGAAAAACCTGGAAAAGTATTTCTTTTCCAAGCATACTACATGGTACTATGGTTTCCAGAATAGGTTGAAGACTGCAAAGATTACTTACAGATTCTTTACCATCCATTCTTATCAATACATTTTATGAAATTAAAATGCTAAAAACAAGGCCAGGTATGGAGGTTCATACTTATAATCCCAGTGTTTTGGGAGGCCAAGGTGAGAGGATCACTTGAGGCCAGAAGTTTAAGATCAGCTTGGCCAACAGAGTGAGACCCCCATCTCTACAAAAATATGTAAAAATTAATCAGGTGTGGTGGTGCATGCCTGTAGTCCCAGTTACCCAGGAGGATGAGGCAGGAAGATTGCTTGAGTCCAGGAGTTCAAGGCTGCAGTGAGATATGATCATGCACTCCAGCCTGGAAAACAGAGCCAGTCCTTGTCTGTTAAAAAATAATAATGAAACAAAATGCTAAAAACAGCAACATGAGCATGACATTGAACTAGTACTGAAAGTGACAGAAGACAGTGTCAGAGAAATCTTAGATGTGGAAATGTAACCAGACCATAAATTCCTTATTTTAGTGGTCAAGGCTCTGATTATCCCTCATATATAAATCAATGGCCACACTTAAGAGCTTTAGAAATTCTTCCTCAAAACCTTTTTAGTTCCCCACTATCTTTTTTATTAAATTTTTAAAAGTCATTATGCTATTCTCCATGCTCCAGCAATCCAATAAGGTATACCCTGGAGTTTTCCTAACATCAACACATGTAGACTGCAGGTATTCTAGAAGACGTATGTAGAAAGCTATCATTAAGGCAATTACGTAGTAGGTAAATTTATTCAGTAAATTTGCCAGCTTTGGTTCACATATTCCATGATGCTGAAGCTTAATTAAGTCAATGCGCTGGAGAATCAAAAGAATTCTTCCAACCAAGCTGAGCAAAAGCTCCTTGGCACTCCAATGAAAGATGAGCCAAAACTAGTTGCATTCTTGAAAACCAGAATTGAAATTGGATCCCCACCTAATGCTGCTGGCATGGGCTCACGTGTTTCAAAACTCCCCAATTCTGCCAACTATGTTTTTCCCTCTCTTGAACGTGATTTTGTAATTACATAGCACTTAACCTAACAGGAAAACTATCTTTTGGCTGGAACTTATGTGGTAGGGGGAAAGGGGCATAATTTCCTCAAAGCTCATTCCAACCGGAGAACATGTTTGCTGTCCTCTTTCTTTTGTCAAAAACTGTCAGGTCTTTATAGGAGGAACAATTAAGGGCAATGTTAAAAATGAGACTTTTCACTGATCTAAGAATAACTCAAGTCATAAGTTCTGATACTTAAGCATCATTTAGTAAAAAAAAAAAAAGTTAGTACATTGATGTAAAAAGTAATCTTGTCAGTCTGGCATAACTCACTTTGGCTGTTGTGCTAAATTTGCAATTTTTCTAGTCGTCAGTCTTCGTGTTAGAAACAAAACATTATTTTATCATAATATTAAGCCTATATTCCAGATTAAACACCAGGGTTATTAAATTTAAAATTGTGTATTTTTAATCCAACCACTATGGGAAATTAAGGCCTAAAAATATACATGCCACCTCATAAGCTAAGATAGAATGTCTTCTAGAAAGAATGTTAGAGAGTAGTATCAACGAAAGCTAGAAGCATACAGAGACTAACTCCATCCTGCCCAGCTTTCAATTTCTGCATAAACATGGACAAATCAAACCCTCCAGCTCCCAGTAAGGAAGATAGCTTGTTTTTTGTTGTTGTTGTTGTTTTTTTTTGTTTTGTTTTTTAATGAAATGAGTGTACTCTGTTCATAAATATGCCAAATGTCAATTTACATGAACCCTTTGTGAACAGCTTAGTGAAAAGGTATTGGTGAGGAAATTGGGAAACCTGTGTTCCAGACTTGGCTTTACACATAACCAGTTCTGTGACACTGAGCTGCCCTCACTGGTTCCCAAAAGAACTGAAGAGCAGCCAGGCCCTGGTGCTGGGAGATGCAGCCACTGAGAGGCTGTCACATTCTTGTCGCTCCTCCAACTCAACTTACTATTGTCAGTTTCTAACTAGAGCAAATTTGAAGCACTGATCCCTGTAGTTTTGAAGTAAGGATTGCCTTTGGGGAATGTCTGACTCTAATAATAATAATTTTTAAAAGGTCAAAGCTAGAAATCTAATGAAAAAGGATCTCTCTGTTCATCAATATAAACCCATCAGTATAACATCTATATATACCTCCATGCTCAGAAAAATTATTGTATAGGGCACTGAAAATATTATACTGGGTAATATATCTGTGGGCCTGAAATTGTGTTGCCAATAGACTGTTTTATTAATATGTCCCCGAAACTCAATTTAATTTCTGTTGTAATTACCCTGAAATAACTTCAGTTAACATATTTGATGTAATTCCCCAAGAAGAAACATAAGATCTGTTTCTTTTTACAGAATGAGAATCTTGAACTTGGGTAGTCTTATCTTTTCAATTTCATCTTTACTTTTACATGGCCTTAAAATTATAGCACAGTAATTTGTGTATACTTAGGAAATGTATTTCCATTCCATCCATTCCTTCCATTTCAGTTGATTCTTATCAACTTCAAATAATGTAGCCCCTTTTCCATTAGTTCCAGACAGAGTTGTGCTTTCAGCATCCCTCAGCCTCCGCAACCACACATTTCATTTTAGCATTATTGGCCTGAATATTTCTCTCTTCTATTTTTAATTATCTATTAATTTTTCTTATTCTAGAACTACTCTATTTTATTGGGTGAGTTTTTTTTTTGTTTGGTTGGTTTTTGTTTCTTTGTTTGTTTGTTTTTTGAGACAGAGTCTCACACTGTCTCCCAGGCTACAGTGCAGTGGTGCAATCTTGGCTCACTACAACCTCCGCCTCCCAGGTTCAAGCGATTCTCCTGCCTCAGCCTCCTGAGTAGCTGGGATTACAGGCAACCGCCACCATGTCTGGCTAATTTTTGTATTTTTAGTAGAAACGGGGTTTTGCCATGTTGGCCAGGCTGGTCTTGAACTCCTGACCCCAGATGATCCACCCACCTTGGCCTCCCAAAGTGCTGGGATTACAGGCCTGAGCCACCACGCCTGGCCTATTGGGTGAGAATTTTTGTGACAATGTTTGTTTCCACAAGGATCACTTCAAACATCGCAAAGGAACACTTCTGAAATATGACCTATCCCTATATACTATCCCTATAGGTAATTTGGAAAAAAATACATTAGTATAATTTTTAATGCAGAATTAATGGCATTAACTCAGCACTGTTACCCCTTCCAGTCCAGTTGTTTGGTTTAGAATTGAAAATGTTATGTCAAAAATGACACACTTTCATTCTTTAGCCTGTCCAACCCAAATGGGAATGAAAGATATCTAAGAAGTGAGAGGTTTGACCAGTTCTCAAGTTGTTATGTAGTTCTCAATCTGTGTGAGGATATTTTTAAAATGTGAAATGCATTTGTGTCTCTTACAAAGTAAGACAGCAAAACCAGAATGAAACAAGTTGCTGCAATTTGATGTGAGCAAATTCAGGCAGCTGCTGTTATACTAACGAGATCGGAGGTCTCTTCCAACTCTGCTGAGTCTTCAGCCCCTTCTTTTAGGACAATCGAGTGCTAATTCAAGTGAAGGAGGCAATGCACCAAGATAGCTTTCACGAAATATGAACACTCCCTAGCACCCATTCCTTCTGGCAGCTGCTTCTTCATGAAAACCCCAAAATGCATAATTGCATTCACGGTGAAGTAAGCTGTTTTAAATCTATGGGTCGACCGGCAACATACCATGATTCATCCTTTAGTACCATATGAGACATGAAGAACAGTAACATGAGACAAAAATAATGCTTTCACTTAATAATTTAATTTTGTTTCTTATTTTTTGTCTTTCTAACAAGTGTTTCAATTCATGACCAGGACTGAGCATTATAATCTACGGTATGTTTATCTTCAAACGACGTGTACATGGACGTGTGTTCCGTTGGGAAGGTCTGATCAAAGTGTGCGCTCAGGACATACCAAAGTTCCTACTCTCTAAAACAATATTAAACTGACGTGTACAATTTTTTTTTTAAATCACAAGTTACAGTCAGATACAAATCATTCAGTAAATTAAGTCCTTACATGAGTTAGAGAAATTGTTCTAGACATAAAAATAAACTGATTATCCAAATATCTGAATGAAATAGTTGCCTATAGTCCAGCAAAAAAAAAAAATCTGATTTATGGTGTTCAGGGTATGTACAAATAAGGTACATTTATAATCTATAAACTCATATGGGAGAAACCTGATGGATTTTGTGATTTGCTTATTTTTGGATACTCATTTCCTAATGAACTGCTGCCAAGTTGCTGGCTACACCACACTGATGGAGAATAAAAGATGGATCTCAAACATGCTCCACTGGAGGAGCATGCAAACTTGGTCGCATCTGTCTGGGGTCAGCTTGTGTATTCTAAATGAAACCAATAGAAAGCTAATAAATCTGTCAGCCTTTCATGTTATGTTTGTCACCCAAATAAAATAATCATAGTTCAGTCCCAACCACAGCAAGAACATCCCACCTGTGTTTTTGAAGATTCTACGATTGTGATGATCTAGTTTTAAGTCTTAGGATTCACTCCATATTGCCTGGTGCACTGTTCACACACAGTCAAGGGTAGAACTGCTACAGCAGCATTCGATTTCCTTAAGGAAGCTGATTCGAGATAGCCTCATCTCACCTTTGCCCTCATCCACAAGAATCCATAATTTGTTCTCACACTTTCTGCTTTCTCAAAGTCTCTTGAAGATTCCTATTACCATCCGACAGAACATAGAGACCCTGTGATCAAGTCTTGACAAGCCTCATCTCATTAGTGCCATTTTTAATCATCAAGGGTGACAATCCATGATAAATTATGTCAAAACATAGGATTCTAAATGAGGAGAGGGAGAGTGGAGAAAAGTGATGTACTCCAAGAATAGATATGTTTCTTTATCTAATTTTGAAAGTGAAGAGAAAGACAAATCTGAGATCAGGGAACCCTGTGGACTAGACAGGAGGGTGGGAGGAGGCTCCATATGAAACTCCCAAGAATGGGAGGCTGGTCATTGCTCAGTGTTGTTTCTTTACATCTTTTATCTATCAAGGAATAGAAAATCTATCTGAAGCCAAGAAGAAACATCAAAGAAAAGTTTGCCATCTCTAAATATGGATTCCTCCTTAGTTTCTATGCAGGCACAGGCTGAGTCCCAGGTGAACTCCCTAGAGCAGGGCTGGAGTGACAGCAGAGATACCTGGGAGACGAGGGGTCAGGGAGAACTGCTGCAGAAGTCATTACAGTTCCTGACTAAATAGAATATCCATGAGGAACCATTCCTACGACCCTTTCCACTGGGAAGGAGCTCCTCATGGACCCAGAGGCTTAATATCTAGCACCTGTTCTGACCACAGTGCAAAGAGGATCCATGTTCCCTGGTCACTTTTCCTCTGAGTGGCCCTCACTCCCAAACCAGAATGCTCCAGGAGAAACAGGCAGCAGGAGAGGGATGGGGTGACCACGACTGGTCCCACACACACCTCCTGGTCCCATACACACCTCCTGGTCCCATACACACCTCTTGGTCCTATATATACCTCCTGGTCCCATACACACCTACTGGGACCTCTTGGAGCCCTAGCAGTACACTAAGTTCAGCATTTGTTTCCTTATTGCCACAGAGGTCAGGCTGGTCCAGTAAAATACATGTAAATAACACTTTTACATGAATAACTGAGAAACAGCCAATGACCAGCCTGGTAGTGAGGGCTTTGGCTTTACCAAGCAGTGAAGCAAAATTGTGTTCATTTCACAAACCTCTTGTGACAAGAAATGGAACAGAAATATGAACTGACAATGGTTCTGGTTCTCTTCACTTCTAATTCTAACTCAGGAAAGAAACATCCAAGTCGAATGCTGAGGCCTCAAAGGAGACCACAGAAAAGTATGTGGACATGTCCTTTTACCCCCAAAGGATTTCACTAGTCAAAATCTTAGATTTTATCTGGAAAAAAAGAATTTAAAAAAATTTTAAAAATATATTTTCCCTCCATTTCTGACAACTTCTATGGCTAGATTAGATTAGAATTTGTACTTTAATAATTAAAATGTGCTCACAGATTCATTGACATTTTACAGTTTTAGAAACCTTATCTCACTGCAAATTTTAAATTGTTGTGGCAAGCAAAATTATCTGAAACTTATCACAACATTGTCCAGTCTGAAAATACAAAGCTCTTAGCCCTGTTTGTCTCTTTTACTGCCTTCTTGCCTTTAGAGTCAGGCTTCTTTCAAGAAACCTATACATTCTCCTTCTTATCCACTTCTCAACCCATAGCAATTTGGCATTCTTTACCATCACTCCATCAAGGTCACAGAAGTCCTAGCCTTGCCCAATCAAAGGGACACTTGGAACCATTTGGTATGCTTCCACTTGCCTCTTGGAACTCTCCCTCATCTGCAACTTCCACCGCTGTGGTTCTCAGTTCTCCTCCTGCTCCACTGACCACATGTCCTCAGTGTTCCATGACACAGTGTCAGCGTTCATTACTGAACAACTCTCCTGCCCTCCCTTGAAATGTCTGTGTTCCCCAGAAGAACATCCTCAGCCTTTGTCTTTTTAATTTGTGCATATTCAGTTCCAGTGAATCCATAACCTCAACTCCTACCCAGGTTTTTTCTTCTCTCCTGTCCTCTTCCCCAACTTCATGCACTTGGGACACACCTTCAGGACACAAATCAACACAGTGCTAAATATTAATAATAGATACACAGTAGGTGCAGATTGATGAATGAATGAATGCACGCACATGTCAGATGTACAGAAGAGGATGTTCTTAACTCTGCAGGGGATTCAAGGGCTGGATTCCAGAAAGAGGAGAACGAGATGTCTGGATTCTATTCGGTCTTCCCAGTGCAATTTCTCATGGCTACCTGTGAAGTCAGCATCATCATGATTATCCACTTTTTAACCTATGTAGACACAGGGTAGATGAATGCCTCGAACCCAGGGCTTTCTGATTCAAAAATCTATATTGTTTTCTGCTGTACTATATTGCTGCCAAAAAAGCAGGGGAAAGAGAACCATGCTTTTTCATTTTAAAAAGAATATGCTAGCCACGGTGGCTCATGCCTGTAATCCCAACATTTTGAGAGGGTGAAGCGGGCATGTCACTTGAGCTCAGAAGTTGGAGACCAGCTGGGAAACATGGTGCAACCCTGTCTCTACAAAAAATACAAAAATTAGCCAGGTGTGGTGGTGTACACATGTAGTCCCAGCTACTTGGGGGGCTCTGGTGGGAAGATTGCTTGAACCCAGGAGGCAGAGGTTGCAGTGAGCCATGATCACACCATTGAAATCCAGCTCGGGCAACAGAGCCAGACCTTGCCTCAAAAATAAAACAAAATCAAATAATTGGTAAAAGAAAAAAAAAAAAGAAAAGAAAAAAGAATACCTGGCAACTTTGTCAGCTCCAGGACTCCACTGCATCAGTGGTGTGGTGGTAATGCCTGGAGGGCCTGCATGATCCAGTCAAAGTAGCATGGCACCAGGAAGGAGGGAGCCATCCGAAGGAGCAGCTGTGCAGGGCTGGGGTGCTCTGAGTGACCCGGCCTGCAGGGTGGTTCTATCTGGGCAGTATCTAGGTGACCAGATGACAGGATGGGTCAGTCATGCCCAGAGGAAGAAGTCACCCTGTAAGCTACTGGATCGTGACTCCCTGGTGATTCCTAGCTACAGCCACAAAAGGACTGTTCAGGGAACCTGGGGCTCACGTGAGTTTGAAGCAAGAGTCAGGAAAAAACTGGTTGCAACATGAAGTTTTGCCTTGGAAAACAATGGCTCTTGAAGAGATCATGAAATTTATATGACTAGAATTACTGGTATAATTTTCTTGCTTTATTGAAATAAATAAATCATGTTTTAGAATGTGATGACTCTTCTCTTTTCAACTGCCATGTTTAATTTTGTAAGTACGCTTTCCAGTAGGGTAAGAGGAAATACATCTAAAAAGCTATTAAGATTTTATCAAATGTTATCAATTCACGACAGAGAAGTATGTCACATACGTGAGTGAGAAGGATAACCTCAAGTAATTACAAATAGATTTTTGCTCGCAGCAAACCCACAACTGGGCTCTTTTAATAAATAGTCTCCTTTTACTGTAGAGTTGAATAAGTGAAAGGGATTAATTCATGGTCTGAAAACACATCTCAGCAGTGCTCAAGGGACAGTATCTCAACAGACATCTGGAGAAGCCACTGATTAATTAATAGATTAATTAATCAGACAGCTGTACTCTTAGGAGAGAATTTAATTGTTTGGATTAATAACCCTACTAATTAATCCTAAAAATCATCAACCTTACAGTTGAGAAAATGGTGATTTTTCTGAAGATCCGTCTGTATGATAAATATCCTTCTAAAATATTCGCTGGCTAACTAGACCATGGCATCCCATGCTATAATGAATCCAGGTGATTCCTCAGCTGGGTGTCCGCTCCCCACATTCCCACCATAACCCAGAACCATAAGGACTTAAGGCACAAGAGAAAAGTCCTCAAATGACATTTATCTGAAACTTAAAGCACATGGCCCCCAAAAGTAACCCATTTCCTCTGAAATGGGAAGGTTCTGAATAAATGTAAAGAAACATCACCATCAGCTGGTGCAACTGGTCCACATGGCATTTTTCCAAATAGAATCAAACCAGACATAGACCCTTCTTCCACAACACCCATCTAACCAATGAAGCAGATGTGTACAAATGTTAGTGAATGGGCAGGTTTGTTAAGTAAATTTTAAAAAAATAACTGTAAAAGAAATATTGTTTATGAAGTGTGGCTAGAGTAAATCTAAGTGATGTTTATCATTCTCATAGTTTTATAGAGTTTTTGGTAACAGCTCATTAATAATTGGGGAAAGAGAACTACTGGAGTGCTAATAACTCATTATTCAAATTGAATTATTAACATGACAATCTTACAGCAAATGATAATCCCATTTTCTCTGAAAAATATATTTGTAGAGAATGAACATTAGTCTCCATTATAATTCATATATACACACAAACCAAAATTTGGCCAGAGTAGCAATTATGGCCATAACCACAGACTAATAGGTCTAATAAATATGCAACTGAAAATTACTTTTAAATCAATGTTTAAAAATCATACTAAGTTTAATGCTTGAGAATATTTTATAAGAAAGTTTACAGTATCGAAGGCACTGAAGCAAAGACAGTCATCGGCCAATAACCCATCTATACTATGATATATTGCTTGGAAAAGTAACAGGAGTCATTTTAAAAAATGGAGAAAGAATCAACAAACACAGAATCCTGGCAAAGAGGAGAAAGCACATGAGGACAAAAGAAATCGTTAAATAAACTGGTTTTCCAGCCAATTTTCAGTTACTTTTCCATGGCCTTGAGTTTCTTACTTAACAGGGAAACTGACAAACATAGAAGGGATTACAGCTAAACTCATCATGTAATCAGCATGTATTCCAAACATATTTTACATTGATATCCCTGGCTAGCACAATCTATGCTGCTAAAAGTCTATCCCACATTCATGTACATCCTAATAATAAGAGTAATACTAATACGGAGCTGTATATAGGGCCCCTGTTATCACTATTTTCCAGGTAAGAAAATTGAAACATGAGGAATATGGATGGCTTGCCTACTAATTAAAAAAGTAGTAGTTTAGACTGGGCACAGTGGCTCACACCTGTAATCCCAGCACTTTGGGAGGCAGAGGCAGGTGGATCATGAGGTCAGGAGATCGAGACCCTCCTGGCCAACATGGTGAAACACTGTCTCTACTAAAAATACAAAAATTAGCTGGGTGTGGTGGTGGGCACCTGTAGTCCCAGCTACTCAGGAGGCTGAGGCAGGAGAATCTTTTGAGCCTAGGAGGTGGAGGTTGCAGTGAGCCAAGATGGCACCACTGCACTCCAGCCTGGGTGACAGAGCAAGACTCTGTCTCAAAAAAAAAAAAAAAAAAAAAAGGTAGTTTAGTCACTACTAAAAACGGAGTAGGGGGTGGGGATAGTCCAGGGCACATTTATTCTAGTGGCTTAATAATAGCAGTTCACCAAAGACTGGGTTGAAGAGCCAGGTTATAATTAAAATCTGGGCTCTACTGGCTAACTGTTGGGAAAGTTATTCTAAGTTTCAAACTAATGGTGTAAATAAGAGTACTCTCATAGCTTGATGTGACTACTAAGTTATATATCGCATATAAAGCTTTTTGCATGGTGTGAATAAAGCAATGCTTATTATTGTCATTATTCTGAAAAATAGATCTCATAATTTGTGCAAACATTCCAAATGTATCAGGCATTTTTTAAGGAGCTGCTCAAGGCAGCATGAATCTCTGAGCTAGAGCAACTCTCAAGACGTTATATTTTGTAGTGTGGTCTTAACAGGTACAGCAAGTACTAAGATAGTATATGAAACTTATTCTAACACATAAAATTAATAGCTTCAGCAAGTTTTTCATCTGTAGTTTTAGTCAAGTAGGATAAGTTATATTTTCCACCTGGGGTTAGAAAAGGGATGTACTAGTTGAATAAAAATTCTGGTAAACAGAACTGTCATATTTCAAGATGCAGGCATCACCAACTTCTGAGGAAAGAATATACAAATAGTTAATAAAATGATACTGAAGTTACTTCAGTCTTCCTGTGAGGCTTCAGAGGCTACTTCAACCTCTTGAATTACCTGAAGACCATCAGGTTGGACCCCAATTTTCTTCATATGGCCAAATTTCTGAGAGATGCCTGGTTGGTGAGCATTTCTGATTGACTGTTAGTGAAGCATGTTTACAGTTATCTTCCCCAAGTAAAGCTGTAGTTTGAATGGGCCCTGAACTTCCCCCTGCTCCATCCTCCTGTCTGTCTTTCTCCTTTGACTATTAAAAGGAAACTTCTGTCATCATAACTCTATTATATCTGTTTAATAATAATAGACTTTAAAGTGGAAACAGCAATTTGCCAATACCTGCCTTTGTAATATAATGGATTAGATAAAAACTTGTAGAACAAACTCGGTCTCAATTATGTCTGCTACTCAGAACTTGGCATAATTAAAATCAATGACATTATCCGTGAACTTAGTTATAGTCTCATTTTACCTTCAATCTTCTCTGCTCCCAAAACCTTTTACAACAGCTGTTAACAAAAAGGAATAGAGACTATTTCATTCTCCACGTTCTGCTCTTACCTAACTCTGATCGCATCTTAGCAAGCAAATGAGCGAGAGATGAGCAAAGGAGAGGGAAAAAGGGATCAAAGTGCTCAGCTATTGACAATTCACAAATGGTCTACTTCAGACTAGGAAATGGAAGTGCTTATTGTTGCACTTTATTCTTTTGCTCCCGTTGCTTTTTTTGTTTTGTTTTGAGACCAAGTCTCACTCTGTCACCCAGGCTGGAGTGCAGTGGCGCGATCTCAGCTCAGTGCAACCTCCATCTCCCAGGTTCAAGCGATTCTCCTGCCTCAGCCTCCTGAGTATCTGGGATTACAGGCACCTGCACACCAAGCCAGGCTAATTTTTGTATTTTTAGTACAGACGGGGTTTCACCATGTTGGCCAGGCTGGTCTCAAACTCCTGACCTCAGGTGATCTGCCCACCTTGGCCTCCCAAAATGCTGGGATTACAGGTGTGGCCACCGTGCCCAGCTGCCTGTTGCTTTTTTATTTTACTTTCATGGGGATGAGTCTGCAAAAGAGTCTTAGAGCTCCTACAATGGATGTGTCCTCTAAGCCTTCAGATGTGGAGAAGGAAAGCAAATTCAAGACATGACTATGGAGAAGCGAGCACAGCAGAGTCTAACTTTGATGCATGCTTTTGCAGTTTTAATCATTTAGAAATCTGTGTTCAAGTTATGTCACTCTCTGAAAAACCTTCAGATGAAGGCAGCTTGAAAAACGCTGCATTCAGGCAATTGCAAGTGACTAATACTAACACTTCAATACACAGCTGGGGCATTGGTTACTATTTCCAACACATTCGCTATAAAGAATATACCAAATTTATTGACCAAACATTTTATGGCACTTCTATAAGCTCTATTAAATCGGTGACTTTTTGAACAGATGGCCTTTCTTGGTTCCTTAATCTAAAGTAGGTTTCTCACCCCTTCCCCTTAGCCTCCCTCTCCTTTTGCTTCAGTGTATTGATGATACATTTATCATACATTTACTTGGATATTTACTTGTATGTTGTCTGTCTCCCTACTAGACTCTCAGCTCTGTTAGGATAGGGAGACAGGTCTAATTTGCTAGGGACTATAAAGCCGTTTATTTTCCTAGTGCATGATACAGAGTAAGATCTTAATGTTCAGTAAAATGAATAAATGAGTGAATAAATGAGCAAATGCATGAGTGCTGGATTCCAGTCCCAGCCACTAACTTCTGGCCAGATCGAATAAAGCCGCTTCCCTCTACCACACCATTTCCCCAACACATGAACCCAAACCCAATCCCTCACAACCTTAATTACCTCTGCAGTATCCCAGGACTCTACCACATAGCTGTTAAAAAAATCAAACACCTAGACTACATGATCCTGAAGTCTCTTCTAGCTCCAAAAGTCTAGGAGCGTTCTCTGGCTTAAGGAGGTTCAAGATCTCAATGGTGGATGAATGTTATGGATCCTGAATATAGTGTAAGAAAAAAGAATGTTGGTAATAGCTGTGCTAACCATCTATAAATCCTACTCCATGTCGGATCCCAGGCTGGACACTTAACATATGTTCTCTCACACATTCTCCATGCATCCTTTCAATATGGGTATTATTATCTGTTTTACGGAAGAGCAGACTGAGGCATAGAAATGCTAAGCATCTTGCCCAGTCCTTCAGAGCGAACATGTTCATCATCATCACCATCATCTAGTTGCTGGGTGTTATTAACACATGAACCTAGGCTTTTACGAGCATAGAGTCTATCTGAATTGAGTAGAGCTTTGTGTATTTGGATGTCATTCTTTAAATTATGTTCACTCTTTAAATCCACAGGAGCCAATTTCTTGTGTTGGGATGTGCTGGCTGCTTAACCAAGATGCCCCTCTTCCTCTGGGAGCCATCCCTGAATATCTGCGACCATGTGAAGTGCCTCTCCCGCACTCCCATGGCAGCCCACGCCCACCTCTTTCCCTGGACTGACCCTACTTCATTCTAGCTGCCTCTTCATTTCTATGGTGGGAGAGAAACCTTCTGCAGCCACTAGGGGAGTGGAACAATTCATAGGAGAAAAGGTAGGTCTTTGTTTAGGAAAATACCTGTTTAGGCAGGAGGATCGCTGGAGCCTAGCAGTTGGAGACCAACCTGGGCAACATAGTGAGATCCTGTCTACAGAAAAAAATAAAAACATTGCCTGGGTGTGGTGGTACATGTCTGTAGTCCCATCTACTCAGGAAGCTGAGGCTGGAGGATCGCTTGAGCCCACCTCCTTGAACATAAAGGATGAGGCATGTCAGGGCCTCAGGAGAGAGCAAAATTCTCTACTACTTTCCAGCACTAACTCTGATCTGTTTTTCCTAATGCTCCCGTGGCTATCTTACCCACCAGGCTAGAAAAACTGGGGAGACTTCTAGAGACAGAAGAGCTGCTTGCTGAGGGAAACCGCCTCCTGAGCCCTTCTCAGAGGTGGCACAGGAACTCTGAGAAGGCTCTGGGGAAGCACCTGAAGGAGGTGCTTCCCTGGGGGTCAGGGTGACCTGTAAATGTAGATGCTATATGCTTGTCACAGCTTCAGTCATTCTCCAAAAATGCCACAGACATCTTTATATCCTTAGCTTTTTCAAATTAGTGAAAATCCCCTATTTCTAAATGAATAAAATCCCCATTTCCATGGAAAACTGAACAGCCTTTTATCCAGATGTATGACTGAATTGGTTTTGTGCTAGAATGCCCATCCTTATAGTGCAAGCCATAAGATGTAAGTTTGTCATGAGGAAATGTTTAAAACTATGCATAAAGTGTCACATATTCCAGCAGGTCAAGCAGATTTCACATTAGTGAACTCTGTTCTTAGTATGTAAGTGGGAAGAAAGAAAGAAAACTGACACATCCAACAGTGGCCGACCCCTCCCGAGTGCGGTGACCCTCTTTAATTCAGTGAACACTCCCTGAGCGCCAGCAGGTGCAGGGTCCCGTGCTGGGCACGTGAGGGATACAAGGACAATCAGGTAGTGCACGCTCTGAAGCAGCTTTATATGCCACTGGAGTTCCACCTCTTTTGAGTTATACACTGAAACCATCATGGTTGAAGAGTGAAGTGCTTTTCTTATCAATATGAGCATTCTGTGAAATGGTTGATTTTAAGAGAGGTAGTTGCTCTGTTGACCTTTTCCCCATCTTGGGTTTTTTTTTTTCCCCCATAAATTGATGCTCTTATGGAAACAATATGGGTAAAAGTCTGTCTTAGATAAGTAATTTTTTCTGTCTATTGTCTCCGTGGTTTTACATTGTTTAACAGCTTTTTAAAAGACCTCGAAGAATAGCACTAATACACCCAGGAGAAAAAGTCACATAAAGTTATAAGGTTCATTTCATTTTAACCTTGAATACATTTCAACAAAGATAAATAACATCCAATGTCAAAATAATCTTAAGTCCTTGACCACATTTTAAAAATAAAACAATTTATTACCATTTAGTTACTTCTTACAGGAAAACAGATACCAGTAGGTAACCATTAGATTTTTCTAGGTGAAAATCATTTCTGAGAAAGCATTCGCTTTACCAAAGCAGTATTATTTCCAATAAAGAAGTCAATCATTCATCTAGTCTTGGTATATTAAACAGTTACTGAGGCCAGGCGCAGTGGCTCACACTTGTAATCCCAGCACTGGGAGGCTGAGGCGGGCAGATCACTTGAACTCAGGAGTTCGAGACCAGCCTAGGCAACATGATGAAACCCTGTCTCTACAAAAAGTACAAAAATTAACCAGGCATGGCAGTGCGTGCCTGTAATCCCAGCTACTCAGGAGGCCGAGGTGGGAGGATTGCTTGAGCCCGGGAGACGGAGGTTGCAGTGAGCTGAGATCATGCCACTGCACTCCAGTCTGGGCAATAGAGCAAGACTCTGTTTCAAAAAACAAACAAACAAATAACCGTTACTGAGGGCATACAATGAGCTAAACACTATGCTATGTAGGTGGATTTTTAAATGAGAAAAACACAGACCCAGCTATCACGGGTTTCTTTGAGAAACATTAAGTAAATAAAATTACTCCTAGTTCCTTTGTGGAGATAGGTATGGGCCTTTAAGAGATAAATACAATCTCTCTCTCCTGCAAAAACCCAAGGAAATATTTAGGACTGTTAAACCATCATGATTCTGGCTCTCACTTCAAATAAACAGGATAAATAAACCTCCCTTCTCTGCATTTCTAATTTAGCAAAGCCTTTATATACCCTTTAAGAGTAAGTGAATTTCATATTTGCATCTTATTTGAAATGTGCTGGCATTTTGCTAGATTTTTAACTGCAATTTGGCAGCCCTGAACAGTCTATTTGGAGAGATAAAGCAATATCTGCTCAGAGTTTCTAATTCCGGGCCTATGCACATACAAATGTATGCACATATTTAGAATATCTGTGAAGAATACATCATTGCTGGGATTAGGCAGGGATAGAAACCAGAGACATTCCAGGTAAGTATCCAGTGACATTATTGGATTTCATGAAGTAAGTGCTGACTATGTGTTAGGCATCACATTTATACTATATTTAATCCTCAGAGCACTAATAACCATTGCTAACATATGCTAAGCACTTTTTATGTGCCAAGCTATATTTTAAGACTATATTTATCAATGTGTTTAATGCTGTCACAGCCTTAAGTTATGGTGGAGTCATACCCATGCAGTTGGATATGAAAGTCTAGGTTGGTACCTGCTATATTTTACTGCCTTTCTAAGAAGTGCTACTACCATTCCCCTGTGCTCAGATGAGGACGCCGAGGCTTGGAGAGGCTGGCTAGCCTGCTCAGGATCACAAAGACAGAAAATGGCTGAGCTGGGATTTGGACCCAGGTAGTCTGACTCCAACTCCTAATCCTTTATGTTTCATACTGGCTAAGCTAGATTTGTCTCTGTGGCACATTTGAGAAAGACAGGATTGGTCTGTGAGAATCAGAGGTGGAGAGAAGTGGGGAAAATATGTGGAGGGTGTTTTAAAAGTCCCTATAGATGGACTAACATATAAATTACTGTCTAAACTTTTGAAAGTGAAAACGGGCATTGTTAAAATAATAATGCCAGGTAGGACATGGTGGCTCACACCTGTAATCCCAGCACTTTGGGAGGCCAAGGCAGGAGGATTGCTTGAGCCTAGGAGTTTGAGACCAGCCTTGGCAACATAGTGAGATCCTGTCTCTACAAGAACAATTTTTAAAAATTGGCTGGGTATGGTGGTATGAGGTAGTCCCAGCTACTGGGGAGGCTGAGGCAGGAGGATCACTTGCGCCCAGGAGGTCAAGGCTGCAGTGAACTCCAACTGTGCCACTGCACGCCAGCCTCGGCGACAGAGCGAGACCTCATCTCATAATAATAATAATAATAATGCCAGGACCACAGGCATAAACCAGAAGGTATAGTCCCCCAGCAAGGCTGTCTGTAACATGAAATCATAACCGTATTTCACGAATTGAAGTACTGAGTACTTGAGTACTCAATACATGAATTGAAAATTAGTAAAAAGATGGATGGGGAAAACAACCCAGTACCAGTTTCCGTAAGTTAAGTGATCCTTATAATAAGTAAGCCTGGTATAACGTCTTGATAAGCAAACTGTTATAGTAGTGATCTTCCAAAAGCTATTTCAAAATTGCATCACAGAGTAAAAAAAAACACATTTTATTTGGGGAACTGAAATGATTCATTGAAACTGGACAGGCTGGGCGCGGTGGCTCATGCCTGTAATCTCTGCACTTTGGGAGGCTGAGGCAGGCAGATCACCCGAGGCCAAGAGTTTGAGACCAGCCTGGCCAACATGATGAGACCCTGTCTCTACTAAAAATGCAAAAAAATTAGCTGGGCACCGTGGTGTGCGTCTGTAGTCCCTAATTGGGACTACTACTTGGGAGGCTGAGGCAGGAGAATCGCTTGAACCTGGGAGGCGGAGGTTGCAGTGAGCTAAGATCATGCCACTGCACTCCAGCCTGGGTGACAGAGCGAGACTCCGTCTCAAAAAAAAAAAAAAAAAAACCAACAAAGTAAAGGAAAAAAAAATGGCCGATATTATTCATATTGTGCATTTAATTAAACTATTTGAAAACAAATTAAGATATGCATCTATGTTTCAAGTTCCCACCGAGATTTGTTAATTAGCTTATAATAACTCCTTTTGAGAATGAATGAGGGAGATTTAAGTGACTGTACCCTGGACTTTGTTCCTTAGCCTTCAACTGCCTGACATTATTGCTTGTTTCCCCTTAATTTATTTGCTTTCATTTATAAACCCTAGGAGCACACACATATCTCCTTCAAAGAAATCTATGTATAGAGAGCTAAATTTAAAAAGTTGAAACAGTAGATCCACGACATATTTTGAAAAATGCAAAGCTTCAAACACTGAAAGTTTCCAAGTTGTAGAACATACTTCAGAAAAATAAATCCTCACAGTTCAGCTCTATTTGTTATTATAAACTTAGACATGAAATAGAGAAAGGAGGTTAAGTTCTAGGAACTTAACAAAATAAGTGATTGCTCTGGTAGACTGGGAAGAACAAACTACGTCAAATAGTCAAAGGGAGAGCCCAGAAGACGAAAAGTCCTACCAAGTCTTGAAACTGCTGCAGGAGAAAAAGTAACTCTATAGTAAATTCACCAGCCAGAAAAGCATATCCCTGTTGGCATATTAATATAGCCATTATAACATGGGAGTAGATGATCTCTCAACTGAAATTATCTATTTTACAAAATTTTCAATTTTTTATACCAGATGATATTTTTCTAGAACAGCATCAATAGTCATTGAAAAGGGCCGGGAGCAGTGGCTCATGCCTGTAATGCCAGCACATTGGGAGATCAAGGCAGGCGGATCACTTGAGGTCAGGAGTTTGAGACCAACCTGGCTGTCATGATGAAATCCTATCTCTACTAAAAATACAAAAATTAGCCGGCACAGTGGCACATGCCTATAATCCCAGCTACTGGGGAGGCTGAGATAGGAGAACCACTTGAACCTGGGAGACAGAGGTTGCAGTGAGCAGCCATCACGTCACTGTACCCCAGCCTGGACAACAGCGTGAAACTCCATCTCAAAAAGCAAAAAACAAACAAACAAACAAAAATAGTCATTGAAAAAATATTTTTAGCAGGAATTACAATTGCTCTAGGTGCTGAGAATATAGTGATGAGAAAGACATGGTCCTTACCCTCTGGAAACTTACAATCAAGCAGGAAAGATATGAATTAAACAAGTAAACACACAAATAAATAAATACTCAAACCCCAAAACTAAATCTAACAGGAAAATAACATTCATTTTGTTGATATTCACTGTACAATCAACTCTGCAAGCAAGCAGATATTTTTCAAAGCTTAAAATATCATATATAAAACTGTAGATGAGGAACAATGGAATTAGTGTTAATATAATTTATGTACAAATAATTGTTTATTAGTTCTCATAATTCTGAAATTTTATTTTATAACATATCAGAGAAAGAGAAAAGTGAGAAGAAAGAAAACTGGAAGAATGCTAATAGATTTCCTCATTTGGAGTTTTATTTCAGTAATTGTCTTTTACTTTATTTTATTTTGGCTACCGTAGGCGCTTTTCCATATCCCATGTGTCATTTATTTATCTTTATATTATTTATATCTTTTTGTTATTTAAAATATAAATTATTATATCTAATACTTTAACTCCCACAATTATCACAGAGTATTGAAGAAATAGTGATTAAAAATATCTAGACAATATGGACTTATTTAAAGAAAAACCGTGGTAACGTTGATTAGTTTAAATGTGGAGTCCAGGTGGAGAGATTTTAGCCTCTCCATTCCACAATTTCTCCGTAAATATCCATAGAGCTGTTTCACATGAACATCAACATAGATATTTCTACTTTTTTTTCCCTTGTGGAGGGCACAAGCATATTTACCTAAGGGTAAAATTTCGTAAGACTTGGTATTTTTTGAATGTATGTGTACTAGGGTTTCTCCCCAGTCTCTTAAAATAAGTAAAATATTTCTGTTTCCAGAGCTTTCCAAATACACACACCCTGACAAATTGGTTTGTGATGATATGAGACTAGGCAGTTTGCCCGTAATTGAAGACATTTTGCCAGCAAGTCACAGGCTGCCAAGAGAAGCAGCAGCAGCACTGTGAATATGAGCGTATGATCCCTATGTAAATATTGGGGCTTTCTGCCCTTTCCAAAGTGATGATTGAAGCCCAGATGACTGGCAGATACCTTAATTAATCATGGCGCCCTACAATGGCCATCCTTGAGGAAGACTGCTATCTCAGCTCCCAACTAAAACTCACCCCCTTATTCTTTGATGTGACCCATTTTTTTCTGTCATGACCATGTTGCTCTGAACTGCGACATGAAGAAACTTTGATTTAAATTACAACCTTTATCTTTTTTGAGATGCTTTCAACAGGATTTATGTCAACACTGAATTTTTACTTTTTCACCAGCTGTTTTTAGCCTTCACGGTGTGAATGTATGTATATATTCTCTCTCTCAAAAGTGAAATGGCACGAGGTCTTAAGAAAATCAAAGTTCTTTAGAAATCCATCAAATAGAATTTGTATGCAAGTAATTAAAGACCAAAACTCAGAATTCTTTTTTAAATGATGAAGAAATGGCTGGTTTTTAATATTGTATATGGGGCTTGTTCCTCCTGCCAAGAGGGGAGTAAATTGCTACTCTATGGAACACTTTTCTCTCAGGCCATGAAGGGGTGATTTCCTATGCTAGAATAGCAATTTATTAAATAAATTCCTAGTGGCCTAAGAGAGTTAATGCACCTTCTAAACAGGAGTCCTCTGGTGCCTTCCCATTACTAAGTTCTTGCCCATTACATAGAGTTCGTAAGAGTCAGTACTGAGCCCGTCACAGCTCTTAAGAGCAAACTCTTACTCTGTTTGGTGAGATCAGTTATTGACTTTGGGGAAATGTTTTCTGACTAAACCTGTTGGCAGGGGCTCATGCTGTAATGTCACCGGCCTCATCCTTTCCTGTCTCCATTCCCTCTGATAATAGTTACAGTGGCATTTGGAGTTATCTCTATAACTTTTCACTTGAACTTGTCAATGTTTAAAAATCCTCCACTCGCTTCCACCCCTCTCCAGAACAGATCCTCCATCTAAGCGCCATGATATTCTCCAGATTCTTATGTCACTATTAATGGGTCTCAATCTTTTGCCTGCCCCGACACACCTCTCATAAGTAAGAGTGGCTCATGGAAGTGGGTGAGACATTGAGTGGAGGTTGGGGACAAAGCACATAGAGTCAACATGAGTGGGTACAATTTATAGAAGAGCTCTCTCCCATCCTCCAAATGCTTCTAGTATACTCATACATTTAGGCATCCTGAAGTATTAAGGACCATTGGTTTGTAACATCTATTTTCACCAGCAGCTACTTTTGCAAAATCAACAGATTTTTCTCTCATGTGCCTTCTTTCCTTTCTGTCACATTTTCTAATAAAGGTTTTATAGCTGGTAACATATTTGCCATGGATAACACACATGTTATATTTTGCTAACTTTCAGAGCTAATCTAATTAGTGGTCTGAAACTCTCTAAAGGACAATACATACCCTCATTTATTTATTCTAAGAAGGCATATTACACTAACAAAATATGTATATAATTGTAATGCACCTATTAATTCATCATTGATAAAATGCCATGTGAATCAGATGAACAAATGCCACCTACAGCTGGCACTGTCTCGGATCCTCATTAGCTGATAATAAGGACTATGGGCTAGGAACTGGCCAAGGCAATGGTGGTGAGGCCAGGGCAGCCCTGGCTAGTCCAGGCCTTTGGGAAGCTGGGGGAGGACATGGGCTGAGCCAGCTGCAGGCTAAGTGGCCACTGTCCAGTACTCCGATGCTGTGGTCTTTGGCATGAGGATAAGAAGCATCCATGGCAAAGAGTGACAGAAGCAGTAGATCAAATCACAAAGATTAAAGAATTTCCTCATCAATATAATACAAGATAAAGGCAAAAGATAGTTCTTTGACAAACAAAAGCAAGTGCTTGGTTAACATCATCTGAATGATGTTTATGAACCTCCCATCACAGTCTACGAAATGCTTAGGGTGTTACTTGTTTAGTGGGTTATATTAATAATATATTAATGTATGGAAGTAATACATGCTCAATGCTGATATTCACTAATAAAGGAAAAATAATAAAAATGCCTATAGTCACACCAATCAGAGATAGGAATTGTTAACACACTGCCATTTGACTTTCCAGTATTTTTCCTAGATGTGTAGACTATATATATATTTTTTTCTAAAATCATATGCTCTGAAGTACTTCAGAGCATTTTAAAGTCTTTCTTAAACTTGGCAATATAAATGAACATTTTTATTTATACTTGTTTTAGAAATGGAAAGATACTCAAGAACTTTATCATGTATTTGTCAAAGAGGATTGACTAGTTGTTTTTACTAATAAATTTCTTCAAGGTAAATAGCCATTTTGTGTGTGTGTGTGTGTGTGTGTGTTTGAAAATTCCACTTTTTTCCCTTTTATCAGGTCACTCATTCTAGACCAACAGACCTAGAGCATAAATTTCTCCCGCTGTTCATTTTACCGTTCTATGGGGCAGAATGGCAACAGGTTATAAAGTAGTTGATGAGTATTTTCTCATTTCAGTACAGGGCTGATGGTTCCTGCATTAAAAATTACCTGTAACCTTCTAGATCTATCTTCCAAGTAGTTATCTATGTAATTTAATATGCTGGTCCAGGCATATCAGAGTCAGCTAAATATATGGATTGTGTGTGTCAGCTCTTTCTCATAAATAATAATGTTGTACTTTCTCTCTCAAAACAATTGGCTGCCACAATGACAACTGATTGTAGAAAAAACAAAGAGGGTTTCTTGTGATGGATCCTTAATACGTTTTAAATAATAAAAATTAGAATGTGGTAAGCTCAAAGGCCTAGCAATTACATTCCACTTGTTTAGAATGTAATCCAAATTCTCACATTAATTCCATGCTGTGTGTTTAAATTTTAGTTCATTGAGGCTTACTGATTAGATCAGATACATCTTGTAGCATTTCTTTCGATATCTAGCTAACTATGGTATTGGATTTAGCAACAATTCCCTTCAGAGCCCTGATGTGGCATCTGGAGAAACAGCTGCTCAGTTTCATGTTAGAGAGATATTCACAGAATGAAATGTCTATGTGTAAAACTAGATATGGATTTTATATGTCCTGTTTTTATTTAATGAAAGGGTATGTTGCTTTAAGAAATCTTTAAGTCTTTTAATGTTTATTTATATTTTCATTTTGCATAACAAGGTTTTCTCAGACACTGATGCCACCCAGATCCCAACACACTCCATGTGCCTGAAACACATGTGTTTTCTAGGACCTGCAAAGGTCACGTCTGAGCTGTACACTGTGGTAGGCACACGTTACAGACCCCACTGTCCTCACAAACAAGTGCTGCTGACCATGAACACTGGGCCAATGAACACAGTGCTGACCCAACCCCAAGCCTCACTCTCTGCTTAGGGCTCTGCACCTTAAGCATTCCAGGACCGTTTTTATAGTTTTCAAAATTAGAATCATGCACTTCCAATAGAAACGGCAGAGAGAAAAAGCCAAAACAAGTATTGTGCTTGATTCTGGCTTTCACTTTAGTCAAGGGGAAATACCTAAAGCTCCGCTTCACTTTAGAGCTTCAAAACTGACCGCTGCTAAGAAGTCCTTCTGCAGATGAGACTGGACAAGTCGGCTTTCCTAAAGCCCCATGCCGACTTCAAATGCACAACTCACTTGGACTGGGATGCTTTTTATGAGAACGTTTACATTAGCCCCATTCAAACATAAAAGTCACTTGAGGAATATATAGACTCTTAGATATAAAATTAGTTTTGGCAAAGCCGGCACAGAGACAGGACCTCTCTCAACCACCATCTCCTGAGCCTATTAACTTATCTGCAGCCACACCCATCCTTTCCTTTTTTTTTTTTGGTGGGGGGGTGCGGATCTCAGCTCATTGCAACCTCCACCTCCTGGGTTCAAGTGATTCTCCCGCCTCAGCCTCCCAGGTAGCCAAGTAGCTGGGATTACAGGTGCGCACCACCATGCCCAGCTAATTTTTGTATTTTTAGTAGAGACGGGGTTTCACCATGTTGGTCAGCCTGGTCTCGAACTTCTGACCTCAGATGATCCACCCACCTTGGCCTCCCAAAGTGCTGGGATTACAGGTGTAAGCCACCGTGTCCAGCCCATCCTTTCCATCTTAAACTGAAAGTCATCCCTCTCTCTGCCTAGGTCAATGTGTCTCTCACCACCTGTTCTCTAGACCCCAACCTCCTCCCTTTTCAAGGGCTGGCTCCTTAATGATCTCATTCCCTTCTGTGTCTTTATCCACTGTCTACCAACCCCTCTTTTTGCCACCAGTATTTAAACATACTCTAATCTACTTTCAAAACAAACTCTCCACCCACCTCTCATCCTCCTGCCCCACCAGGTATAGCTATTCCAGCTCCCTCTCTTCACAGCCAAATAGTTAAGCTCTCTATACTTTTTATCTTTGTTTCCTCACCTTCCACCCATCCTTCGAACCCTTGTCACCTGTTCTGACACCGTTCTCACTGAGGTCTCTGATTTCTACGTCATAGGGCTCAACCTAATGGATACTTTACAGTCCTTCCATTACCTTGACAGTCCCACAGCAGGTGGCATTGTTGAACATTCCTTATCTTGGACTTGTCTCCCCTTTCATCCTCGGTGACTGCCTTCTCTTGGTTTTTGCCCTCCTACTTGGTTCAAAGCTCCTTCCTGTTCCTCCATCCATCACTTCAATGTTGGTGCTCTGGCTATGTTTCATCACTCATCCTCTCCTCACTCTTCCCGCTGTCCCTGGGCCATCTTATCCTTTCCTGTGGTTTAATTAGCATATACCAATGACCCTGGCCCAACATTCATCTCCAGGACAGATCTTTCTCCAGAGATGCACACATATAGGTAACTTCCAAGGACATATCTCAACATAAAGACCTCAAACTCAACATGCCCAAAAGGGAGCCCATTATCCCCCTTGCCCTACAAATGTATTCTTTCTCTTGCACATGATTTAGGAATGAATGGTGCCATGCATGGAGTCACCTGTCAAGCCATATACGTCTGCTCCTTCTCCTTCGTCCCACATCCATTAGCAACAGGAAGCAGTGAGGAGGGATCACATCACAGTTTAAAGTACACTGTTATCTAAGCAGAGCTACCTCTTTCCTCTTGCAGTTCTTACCTTAGGCAGCCTCTTTGGAGAAAAGAGAAAAAGAGACAAAAATAGAAAAAACTGCTCTTTTCCTTGGCTAGAGAATGTCAAGAGGTAGATTAGAATAAAAAGCCACCTCAGAGCTTTACCCCCAACATAGCGTCTCTTTCCTGGCTGCTGCTATGACTCCAAGGTCAGGTGTAGACAAAGAGTGACATTCTCTACTACTTTCCTGCTCCTAGAACTACGTGAGAATTAAAAAAAAAAAATCATAGTTTAGCTGCAAAAAAGAAATTTATGTCTTTAAAAGCTAGATAAACTGAATGTAAGAATTCACCAGATATATATTGTCAAGGAAATAGAATACAGAATTGGACATTTTCATGAACATCTAGACCTGTGCTAATATGCTACCACTGGCCATACATGACTATTTAATTAAAATGAAATACAATTTTAAAGTCTAGTCCTCAGTCACACTAGCTACATTGCACATGCTCAGCGTCCACACATGGCTAGCTAGGGGCTACCCCAGTGACCAGCGCAGAATAGAACATTTCCATCATTACAGAAAGTCCTATTTGACAGTGCTAGTCTAGACAAATATAATTACAGAAATGAGAATGGCAAATAAAACAAAGAGAGGTAGGATATAATGAGAGAGGAAAAGCCCAGTGGTGAATTTACAATGGAAATAACTATGTCTTTGGCCTTTATAACGTAAGAGGAGGTCTGATAAGTAAGTAAGAGGTGTCAGGGGATGTTTAGGAAAAGGTTGTCCCTGACCTGGTGGAATGGTAGTGTTCAGAGGAACTTGAGACTGGCCTTGACATTAACATTCTCTGGTTCTTTCTCAGGTTACACTACTGCCCTCCTGGAAGACCTGAGCAGCAGTTGTCAGTGCTGGGGTCCAGACACTCAGAAGAGTTGGCCTTGATTTTGAGTGCACTAACAATCTGCTAACAACTGTATTTAAAGCAACATTTTGTGCATGGTGTGCATTGTTATGAGTTAGACTCTTCCTATCATAATCAAATTATGAGGGACTTGCATTTTGATACTCCCTCCTGCGTGAAGGAGAAAGTAGTAGCCAGCATTCAATTGCCCACACTATATTTCTCTAGAAAGAAAATCTCCATGATGATAGGAGTTAAATCTAGTTTGTTCTAACATTTACAACAGCGCCTGGCACAGAGTAAGGATTCCACACATATTTGTTGCATGAAAATATGTTGGGCATCATTCATAAGCCTAAAGAAAGTTGGAAAATACCCAGCCTATAAAATAAAATATGCCCTCCAAGTATAACATTTAAGAATTCAGGGCAGGGCCCTGATTCAGTGGCTCATGCCTGTAATCCCAGCACTTTTGGAGGCCGAGGCAGGTGGATCACCTGAGGCCAGGAATTCAAGACCAGCCTGGCCAACATGGTGGAACCCGTCTCTACTATAAATATGAAAATTAACCAGGCATATGCCTGTAGTCCCAGCTACACGAGAAACTGAGGCAGGAGAATTGCTTGAACTTGGGAGGGAGAGGTTGCAGTGAGCTGAGATCACACTGCTGCACTTTAGCCTGCACTGCAGAGTGAGACTCCGTCTCAAAAAAAAAAAAAAAAAAAAAAAAAAAAATTCAAAGCCTGCTTCCAAACTATCGCAGGCATATCTTCGCTTTTATTCTTCTCCTCAGCCTAGACTGCAAAGCCACTGGCCAATCACTTTTCTTCCACAAAACACCTTGCACTCTTGTCCCTTTATGCTCATCAAAATCCTACCAATCTTTTAAGACTGTTCATCTCAGTTATATACATCTTCTCTTTACTTTCCCAGTATGTAAGCATGTATCAGGAATTTATTTGACACTGGTGCCACTCTGTTTTGATAGAGATTAAGTTCTCTGCATGGCTATCTCCTCTTACTTATGGTAAATCCTTTATTCATTCCTCCTTGTGTTCCCTCAGAGACCAATGCAGTACCTGCAGGGCATACTGCTCAATCAGTTGTTCTCAAACTGGATTGTTTAGGAATTTGTCAGGACTTGATTCATCATACAGTCTTAATATTTGTCAAATATGTAAATGAATTATGATGATGATAGCTAACACCTACTGAACATTTACTACGCATAGAACTAGGTAAATTATTTATATTATCCTGAGGCAGGCAATGTAACTTGCCCAAGACCACGTGGACTTAGGTGGCAGAATGAAATTCAAACCCATGTCTAACTCTTCTTTCCTTTGAAGCAGTGTGTTTCATCATATGTAACAAATATAGATTGGGTTTTTTTTTTTTACTTCGCAGATATTACTTTTGATGTTCTGTATGAAATATAAATGATTATTACCCACAAACAACTTTTAACACCTGCCATATATTTGCCTATGATTATGAACACCAAATTGTTTTTTAGGCATTTTAGTACCTAACATGACCTACAACCTACTGACATTTATCATTCTCCATGTCTACTATAATCAATTTAACCATTAAAGGGAAAATTAATTGTTTTCTGCAATTAGATAATCCTTCAGGATTATTTATGAATAACAAAAAGAACAAATTCATCCCTTATTATAAAGACATATTCTCATGGAATTTTTAATAACTGATGTGATTTTTAAAGCTCCCTCACTATCTACAAAAGTGAACAGAGAGAAGCATTAGTCAGAGCATGTTTTTATTGTAACTTAGGATCACTCTTCTTCAAGGATGTGGGAATGGAAATGGGTATGACACGTTAGTTGCTCAACATTATTTCCTGTTTATGAAGTCAGGTAAATTATACGAGAGAGAGAAACAGAACATTCTACTAACAACACAACTAAATAGCATGGTATCAAAATAACTTTTAAGCAACTAATAATTAGAGTCAAAAAATTCAAAGGCAAGATTCAAAAAATTTATAAAGTAGAGAGAAACCTCTTCTGATGGACAGTAAACTAAATGCATGGCTCTTTCTTATCCTTCTTGATTCTCTCTACTATATATAACTTTGGAAAGTGAGCTTTGTAAATGCATTTCGACTTCTCTCCATTGCATGGCAGAGTAAGAAGCTTTGCCTTGTTCCTAAAATTGCATTTAACAGATCTGTTATTTTGGTAGACTGAACTTTTGTAATAGTGTACCTGATTCTAGAATATAGCTTTCATTGGTTTATTCTTTTCCAATTATTGGTTTAGGTTATGCTATGGTTTGTGATGTGGAAATACTATACACTAGATTTACATATATATTCAGTTGCTACAGCCTTTTTAAAAACACTCTATCATCAAAAGTACATAAAACCTGGCTATTTTCCTTATGAAAATGGCTATTTTGGTTTATATCAATGATGCCTCTGGGGATTTTAAGTGTAAGGATAGATTTATTTTCATTCAAAAATCACTTTTTTGCCAACTCTCTCCTCATGCCTTCAAAACCAGGAAATGTGCCAAGATTTTTAGAAAATATATTTACTTATTCTTCAAATGTACTTGGAAGGATATTAAAGCATAGAAAAATAAAAGCAGATGAATAGGATTTGTAGGCTAAAAGAGATATATTCAATTCATTTAGTTGTAGGTTCCAAAAAGGAAAGAGAGAAAAAAAGAAAGAAAGAAAGGAATGAGGGAAAGAAGAAAGGAGGACAGACAGGCTCAAAAATTTGAGGCAATTATTGTAATGTTTCTCCAAAACTATGCCTTAATTAATTACACCTATCAAATTATTGAATTAACTTCTCTTTTAAACATGTGTATAAATATTACTCTTCTTTGTATTGGTAGGGGCAATGACAAACGTTTTCTAAAAGGAATATTTCTAATGTGGACATGGAAGTTTTATAAAGATAAGAACTACTAGAAGTTATGCATTCAGCAAGACGGTTATTGATTCACAAAAGTATAGACGATGTTAGCTTGCCTCACCCAAAGATCCACTGAAAAAAGACTTTCATCACTGTGAAGTACAAATTCCTTCAATTTAGGCATGAAGGAGAAGATTTGCAGGCAGTAGGAAATCCTGGGCATTGGTATGAAGCTGCCTACTGGTTTTCTTAATTTTAAAAAATGAGGATTATCAATCACATAAGACAAAACAGGTAGAATCAAATTGTGTAATAGAAAGTTATTTTTATTCCAGTTTTAAAATTCTAAAAAGTGTATTTTCCTCTTAGAATCTGTAAGGCTATTTCAAAGGGCAATTTAATACTCCTTGGGGAATGGAGGATAAAAGCAATTAAAAACCAGTGTAATAAAATTAGATTCCATTTCAGTCACCAAATATGTGCAGTGTGCTTTATGCATGTTACAGCTAATATAGCAAGTCTTTGTTTTATAAATCTAAGGACATCACAGATAACAGAAGTTAATTTTCTAAGGTACTTAAACTCTCTGTGCCTTAGCTTCTTCACCTGTAAAATGGATCAGTAACAACAATTGTTTATTGGGTTGCTAGAAGGATTGAATGAAACTTGTACATAACTTGCCTTGACTAGTGAAAGCACTTGGTATTTTTTAATGAAGGCCACCTGGTAGTGAAGAGTGTGAGGCCACTTTCTCCCTGGTCCCAAAGCCCCACCCCCTTTCCACTGTACCACACAGACTCTGAGCATAAAGGAATGGAAGTCTAAAAGCTCCTGAAAACATCTTAAAACTTGAAAATATTTGGTCAGGCACAGTGGCTCACGCCTGTAATCCTAGCACTTTGAGGCCGAGGCAGGTGGATCACCTGAGGTCAGGAGTTCGAGACCAGCCTAGCCGAAATGGCTAAACCCCGTCTCTACTAAAAATACAAAAATTAGCCCGGCATGGTGGTGCACGCCTGTAATCCCAGCTACTCAAGAGGCTGAGGAAGGAGAATTGCTTGAACCCGGGAGGTAGAGGTTGCAGTGAGCCAAGATTGTGCCACTGCACTCCAGCCTGTGCAACAGGAGTAAGACTCCATCTCAAAAAAAAAAAAAAAGTTTAAAATATTTTAACAGAATTCTAATATTTAAAGGCCAAATAGTAAATTTTGAGCTGCCACTTAGAATTCTAATGAAAACATAGTATTTCTTGCCCTGAACCAGCAGTGAGAACAAACTCCTGCTCTGCTTCCAGTAGTGGGTGTGTGTATTGGTAATGCAAGGGGTAACGCTATAATCAGGCATTATTATTAAAAATTAAAATAATAAAATAAAAAATTGATATTGTTCCATGAGGGAAGGTGCTAAATTCTATAAAATATGTCTAAATAATGATTTAAAGACTTTCCATGAGCCAGGGAGCTCCATGAAATACAGAATAATGGCAGTAAGCCAAACACAACCGGTATGTATTGTGTATCCACAGGGTAAATCATGTCAGAGACCCACTGGAGAATAATATTAGCAGAGAGTCAACTACAAAATATATCAAAAGATATTCTTATTCTGAGTCTCAGGCAGTTACACGCAAAATGACTAATATATCATTATCAAAGTCAAGGGACAGTTGGTAAAATGAAATGGATGGTCCGAATTTCCTTGTAATTTCATTGATTTGAATGCACATATTTTCAAATTTAACACGTATGAAACCAGAGTTGAAAACAGGAGATGGAGAATTATAGTCAATTTTGACTGGCAGCTATTGATACAGTTGCCACAATGTGCAAACACACAAATATGGCTGCCATTCGTGGTGGCACAAATGCAGAGCTGCAACCCACATTTGAGCCAAGAAACCATTTAATGGCCATTTGAGAAAAGAATGAGTTACTGTCTGAAAACTTTCTGCAGACAGCTTCTGGGGAGATCAAGAAAGTTCCAGCATATAAATGCATAGAAAGGTTTGGATGAAATCCAGATATGACAGAGGGGCTCTCTGAAGTGCTACTTTAGCAATGCCTCCCTGGGCCAGAGAACCTGTGAGGACAACAGGGCCATAGATGGACATGAATTGAAAAGATTCAGAAGAAACTGCCTACAAAAGTCCTATAGAATTACCTTACATTTACTTAGCTTTGCTTTCATTGTTATGTATGTTCAACTGATAAATCATAAATATCTATGTAGAAATAAGCCTAAGATAACTCTATCAGTAAGTTGAAAATAAAAATCTAAATGGAAAACATATTGTAAACTTTTAATATAGTTAAACTGGCAGCATTCTCCTTTCTTAATGGTACTTACTGGTGGTGCTTTTCATCTTAGATTTGATGAAATGCAGTATATCTGACACAGAATGCTACAGTTTGAATATGTTCCCTTCAAAATTCAGGTGTTGCCAATGTGATAGTATTAAGAGGTGAGGCCTTTAAAATATGAGTAGGCCATGAGGGGTGCTCCCTCAGTAATGGTATTAAGTTCCTCATAAAAGAGGCTTCACAAAACATTCAGTCTCTTACCCTTCTGCCTTCTGCTATGTGATGACACAGCCAACATTCTCTGGAGAATGCAACCCTCACCAGACAACCCAACCTGCTGGCATCTTGATCTAGGACTTCCCAGCCTCCAGAAGTGTGAGAAAATAAATATCTATTCTTTACCCAGTCTCAGGCATTCTGTTATAGCAGCACAAATCAGACTAAGACACCATTTTCATCTGGTCTCCTCAACCCTCAAGCACTCCCTCTTTTTTGAGAACTTTGTCAATCTTCTACTGTCCTGCTTCTTGATATGTGGTCCTTACATTTGATTCTGCATTAAGTTTAGTCCCTACAGAAGATAAATAAAGGTTAAGAGGACAGGCCTAAAGTCACACTGCTGAGATTCCAATTCTAACTTTCTTGGTTACTGGCTGTGTTACATTGGGTAAATTATGAAAAACCCATCTTTTCCTCAGATTCCTCATCTGTAGAATGAGAATAATCTTAAGATTAAATGGGATAATACATGGAAAGTGCTTTGAATTAACCTGGGCACATATTAATTTTTTTTTTAGTGTTGGCAACCATATTTTTTGATGTTTGTGTTTTGTAATTGAGTAATGAATGTAAGTTTTTTGTTTTTTTTTTTTGAGACACAGTCTCGCTCTATCGCCCAGGCTGGAGTGCAGTGGCGCGATCTCAGCTCACTGCAAGCTCCGCCTCCTGGGTTCATGCCATTCTCCCACCTCAGCCTCCCTAGTAGCTGGGACTACAGGTGCCTGCCACCACGCCCGGCTAATTTTGTTTTTGTTTTTTTAGTAGAGATGGGGTTTCACCACGTTGGCCAGGATGGTCTTGATCTCCTGACCTCATGATCTGCCCTCCTCGGCCTCCCAAAATGCTGGAATTACAGGCGTGAGCCACCGTGCCTGGCAATGAATGTACGCTTTTATTCTAGCATATCTTGAAAACAATTTTCATTAATGAGTCACAAACTTCTTTTCTGTTCCCACCCTCCACATTCTACTGCCCAGCTGATATGTAGTAAGGACTTGTGTTCCTCCAATACAAAATCCTCTATCATTATCTTACATTTCATTTTGCTAAGTTTTCCCAGAAACCCTCTGATGGGGCTATTAGTAACCTCACTTTTCAGATAACAGAACAGACTGGAAAGGATTTAGTAACTTATGTAAGGTCACATGGTGACATAGTTTGGCTGTGTGTCCCCACCCAAATCTCTTCTCAAATTGTAATCCCTATAATTCCCATGTGTCAAGGGAGGGACCTCATGGGAGGTGGCTGGATCATGGAGGCGGTTTCCCTGATGCTGTTCTCATTATAGTGAGTTAGTTCTCACGAGATCTGATGGTTTTATAAGCATCTGGCATTTCCTCTGCTTGCACTTCTCTCTCCTGCCACCCTGTGAGTCCTTGCTTTCCCCTTCACTTTCCACCATGATTGTAATTTTCCTGAGGCCTCCCAGCCATGTGGAACTGTGAGTCAATTAAACCACTTTCCTTTATAAATCACCCAGTCTCAGGTAGTAGCTTTATAGCAGTGTGAGAATGGACTAATATACACAGCCAGGTGTGAAGAACGGGGCTTTGTATCCAGGTTTGTGTGACTTCAAAGCTCTCATGTCCATTTCTGGCTCCCATGTAATCCGTATATATCAGAGGAAGAAAAGGAAAACAAGACACATAATGACTGCAGAGTTGCAAGCTCATTCTTAAGGCAAGCAATTGTAATTCTCAGCAGCTTTGTGGGATTCAAAGTCAGATCTGAATGACCCTGGACTGTTCTTAACTACTTCACTCTTTTTTGCCTTTACTTTGGTACAGGGTAGATGTACCCTTTGGGGAAGAAATAATTATTTCCAGGGACAAAATTATGGGTCACAAATTTATATCAAATATATCCAAAAGGGGATGTGTCCAAAATGTAATCTAAGAGGGAAATTAGGGTTTGTGCAAGACACATCAAAATGTCTTGGTATTTTGTCTGGCAGTATACCATATACTAACATGTATGTGATTAAGTACATTAACTATAGTTTGATTAGCTATAATTGCAGAAATCAATTGATTATTAGTTTTAATTGCATATATCCCTCTCATAATTCACAGTAGGAATATATGATCTAAAGAAAATCTTAATTCAAATAGTGCAACATTGGGAGTCTGAGGTGGGAGGATCTCTTGAGCCCAGAAGTTTGAGGTTGCAGTGAGCCACGATCATACCACTGCACTCTAGCCAGGGTGACAGGGTGAGACCCTGTCTCACTGTGTCATTTCAGTATTTTTCGTGTGCTTTCACAAATTACAATGTTTACTACATTTCTGCAACAGAAAACCTAATTGAGTTTATAAAATTTTATTTTTTGAATTTTATTTGCATTTATGGTTTTATACAAAAGTAAACAGGAAAGTCAGAAAATCTGAATAATAACAAAATCACACCATAAAGTGAACTTCCAAAAAGGAGAAACTTGGTTTCCCATGTATAGGGGAGAAAGCCACTATCCTTCCAACACAAAGCCACAGTGGTTCCTTCAGGTTCCCCGAAAATAGGAAATGCCCTGTCTAACCATCTCACATAACCTCAACATTCAGTTTCTTCAGGCTTATGAGAAAGTTCACTTAGTCCTTCATTCATTCTACAATACTACTGAGCACCTGCACCATGCCAGATAATACACTAGGAACGAGGGAAGCACCAAGTGGGGAACAAACCCAGTGGGACAAACCAGATGTACTGATGGCCTGGTGGAGGTCATCAAAAAAAAAAAAAAAGTTGAAATTACTCACAGATCCCATCTGTGTCTCAAACCTTTCACAGGGTGTGTTTAGCAATGCTGTCCACTGAGCACTTTTGCAGATGGGAGACTGAAGGTGTAAAAGGAAGTGACTTAGACAGCTCTGCTCACCAGGAAAACCAAGAGACTGGATTTAAGGACTTCTGATTTATAGGCAAGGATTTTTTTAAATTAAATGTATATTCTTCACTCAAAATGGCTATTTTTGTAAATGCTATTATGTAGATTAATTAACTTCCAAAATGAAGTTGAAGTTAAATTGATTGAGCTAAAGGGATCTAAAACAATGTACACTGAATATACAGTGTTCACAATTGGTGCTCATCATTCAGCCAAGAAACAAACGAGATTCCACAGACATCCTGTCATTGGTACATGAATGTACTTTAAAATAGACGAGTTAGTCAAAAAAGTGTCCATAATTACACGAATGTACTCTGTCCTCAGGGTAACTCTAGGAGGTGGGCAGGGGGGCGGGGTGCGGGTAGAGTAAGTTTTTCATTTAAAATTATTCAAGATTCCTCTTTTAAATTAAAAAAAAATCCTCAGTGGGACAGCGAATGGCCTGGAATGAAACTAGAAGATATTCATTATCTAGATTCAGATGAAAGATGTTTTCAAAGCTGACTTACGTGATGTGATTTCATTAACGATATAAACCATCCTATTCTTTAACAAACACTTATTTGTGAACTTTACTGCAGGCATACATTTCCCCATTTTTAAAAAGTACATTTTAGGGCTGTCCACCAGTATCGTGAACTTTTCTAAATATGCTTATCAGATCAAGGAGGACCTGAAGCATAAGGTTTTAAGGCTGAAAGATCAGGTTTTCAAGCCACAATGCTGGCCCCTGCAGAGCCCTGGGGCAGCTTGGAGCTTTAGTTTATGAACAAAAGGGCTATGACTATGTCTTAAAAACCAGGGATCTAAGTTCAAACTAAGTCCATTCTAGAAAAATGAGTCTTTTTTGAAGGAGCCACAGAACCCTTTAGGTATACTTCCCAGGATTTGACATCAGACAAAAGCCAGGATTAGAGGATGTGGAAGAACGCCAATCGTCTGCCACCAACCTGGGGTGTTATCATGGGCATGCCACAAACTCACTCCTGGCACCTTAGTCTCTTAACTACACAATTTATGAATCAGACTAGGTTATCCTTAAGGTCCTTTTCATTTCTAAAATTCAAATTTGTACATATTTCTCCTAATATTTACCATATATTTTTTTTGCTTTAAATTTACTTTCTTCTCATTTTGCATCCAGTGGGAATAAAAACATGCACATGATTTGATTTAAATGATTTGATTAAAAATCAAATCATTACACATGATGACATTTATATAAAACCCAAAACACTGTGATAAAACTTCTTCAAATTAATGTCTGGGGACTGGTGACTGTGTTAAGCATGCACAGTAGTTAGTCCATTTGCCAAAGGTCCTGAGGCCAGAAAGTAGTAAGGCTGGGATTCAAATCCAGCACTCTGCGTCTAATGAACACGGAAATATTGCTTATCTGTAGTTGAATCACAACACATTTCAGGTGATAGAGATTCAGGGCTGTAGGAACCATAGCAGAAACACATGTACAGAAACTCCACACACAGCCCCTCTTACCACCCGACAGCCCCCACCATCCCATCTCCCACCGCGGTGAGCCACCATGACTGGCACAGAATCACACAAGAGAAGGCGACAACATACTCACATATAACAACCATACCAAAGGATCCCAGCTCGTAAGATGGATTTATTTCACTTTGATGTACAGTGTGGCAAGACCCACTTTTTCCTTTCTTTCCCGTTAGAACTCTGATTTCCCATGCTGACCATAATGCATACCATAAATATTTACATATTGTCAATTTAAACAATGCACAAACTCCATCACATTCATCAAGATGTGGAAGATTACAAAAGAGGCCAAGGCGGAACCGCTGTGAAAGCCGTAACATTTATTGAAGAGCGGACATATGTTTGCAAATCACAGTGTGCATGGGCATGCATTACATGGTTCATAATGCTATTCCAATTAGGCTTTTCATAGTGCCTTCTCATAACGTCCTTTAAAAAAAATAATAACTGAAAGGGAAAAGAAAGTGTCAATTGCAATTACATTTACAAAACCAAACTGCTGCTTTCAATTAGAGTGAATCTGTGCTTCGCTACTCAGATATACACATGTAGATTTTCCAAGGCCCATGCACACACTTCTGTAGGGGCAGAAATTTTCTATGAATAATGGCTTTAGCAACCCGAATAGTATCTCTAAACATTGACAAGCTTGGGGAACAGGGCAACAAGTGCAATGAACAATACAATTTCTAACGTTTGTCCCAGTCAACATACCACTTTGCCCTGGAGATATTTAACACAGCATTTCATTTTTGGAATGATAAGGGATAATTCATCTAATTAAGGGTATTATACAGAATATACCTATAAAAGACATTTCCCATCTTAAATAATATTTAGAAAGTAGATTTATTGTAGATTTATTTCCTTTTGGTCCAGTAGAAGAAATTTTGGCAAAATTGTTAAGAAAAAAATACTACTTAGCTCTTAACATGGAATTTAGCCTCTTGTTTTCCTCTGAAAAGGTATCTCTCAACTGCAGTAATAAAAAATAACACTTAATTTCCAGGAGTTTAAACAATTTTAAAAAATTATCTATTTCATAAGTAGAAAAGTTATGTTCTTCAATTTTTCTTTTTTCTTTTCTTTTTTTTTTTTTTTTAGACAGAGTCTCACTCTGTTGCCCAGGCTGGAGCGCACTGGCGCGATCTCAGCTCACTGCGACCTCCACCTCCTGGGTTCAAGCCATTCTCCTGCCTTAGTAGCTGGGATTACAGGCGCACACCACCACACTCAGCTAATTTTTTTTGTATTTTTAGTAGACACAGGGTTTCACCATGTTGGCCAGGCTGGTCTCAAACTCCTGACCTCAAATGATCTGCCCACCCCGGCCTCCCAAAGTGCTGGGATTACAGGCGTGAGCCACCGTGCCCAGCCATTTTTTTCTGAACTACCTACCATTTTTTTTTCCCTTTAAGCCTTTTATGGAAATATCTAAAATAGTAGGGATTAATGATCATGGACTAGAAAGTTATTTGATTTTATGTCCTCAGAGATTAATAATGTAAAGCTGAAGATGATTTTTTAATCAAAGAATCTGATAGTGTAAAATATCTGATGTAGGAATATGTAATTGATGACAACTGAGGGAGCTAATAAGAGTAAAATTAGAAAACTCTAAAAGAGAAAGCCTAATAGATTTGCTCTGCTCTGCACAACTCATTTGATTTAATAAAGTCACTATGTGTGCATCTATATGGCTTTACTGTAAGCACAAGATGTCAGCTGATATAAAAAATTCCTAATACTTTGTACTTGGTCTGAGAATTGGCAATGTAGGGTCAGACTTTCACTTATTTCTCTTATTTTCCCTAGATGCAATGTTCCACCCTTCATGCCTTATTTGCCTTGAAATTCAGAACTTCCACCTGCCTAAACCTATTTTGATACCTAATCAAATATTACTTGTAAGAATCTATATAAAGCAAATGTTTTGTCCAAGCATTTTAATTATGTTAACTTCTTTTTTTATTTTTCAACCCCCTGTGCAAGAGACCTGTTACAATACTCAGGCTCTTATAAGGGAAAAATTCAGACATGCTCATATCAATTTTCAAGCAGGTGCTTTCCAGTCCCTGGTATATCTGGTTTTTCTTTTCATAGAAAAGAGTTTGCCGATCCACCATCATCTGCTTTGTATCTTGGTTGGATTCTTCCCAGAAGATGCTATCGGGGAACAGCCCATTTGCACTCCTAATTTGTAAATCAGTCATAAAATCAGAGGAAAATATACATATGTCACTCACTCATTTGTACCTCAAATTCATCAATCTGAAGCTGCCATAAAGAGAAGAAAGCTAATGAAATACCTTCATATAATCTGTCCATGTGCCTATTTCCCCAGACTTGAAAACTGCTGGCCTTTATGAATTTGCTGTTTTGTTTTGTTTTGTTTTGTTTTGAGACGGGATCTTGCTCTGTTGCCCAGGATGGAGTGTTATTGTTTCCTTAAATCAAATTCTTTTCATTCAATCAATAAACATTTACTGAACTCCTATGAGCAGGTACTGTAGCCTTTTTTATCCTTCCTGAGAGAAATCAAAGGGGACTTATTCAGTGGGTTTCAGGCAATGATAAGGAAATGTCAATTTATGTCTGAGTTTTCTAGTCAGCTTTAAGGTAATCTCTTCTGCATAAGAAGAAATAAGACAACTGAGAGTAAAGAAGGGAAGGGAGAGAGGCAGTCAGCACCTGCTACATGCCTAGCACTGAGCCAAGGACTGTATGTGGGTGTAAGCCATAGAACTCTTAAGCCTCTTAAGAGCTATAGAGGTATTTATTTTTCCCATTTTACAGACAAGGGAAAAGAAGCTTTAATGAGTTTCATAACTGTTCAAGATGATTCCCCAAGCTACACTATAGCTTACATCCTTAACAGATTCACCGCAGGAAAATACTACTAGAATAATTTTAGAATTTAAACTCAGATCTGAGTAACTCCAAAGTGAAAGCTCAATGCTTGTTGTTGTCATTGTTTATTGCATAACACCAAGATGCTATAAATATCTCTGAACTGAGAAATTGCTCGTATGCTCCCAGTTGAGAAACTACTATCCTTTGTTGCTATAAATTCAGTTTTCCCCACAATTACTGGTTCAGCTCCCACTTGGGTAAGGAAGAAGCCCTTAACATTACGCCTTCCCTATGCCAAGAAATCTTTTATGTGAATAAAATCTTTTTTTACCTCCCTAAATTTTAAGATGAACTAAAGAAAATTTTGCTATGACCCTCCAGACTCCTCAATATTATCAAGTGAAAGTCTGTAATTAATCTCTTTTAATACTCTAGGAAATGTAAATCAAGATAATCCCCTAGTTTTTATAACATATTTATTCTTAGTCAATTGCTACTTCTTTTATATTCAAAAATTAAGTATATTATTGGTGTTTAGATACAGAGGAAAAACGCTGAAAAAATTACTCCTTCTAAGACTAACTGTCCCCAGATACAATTCATGGTAAAAATAATCCCTTTCTCTTATATTCTACCTCTTACCTCATCTTGATTTTAATGCAAAGGAATTCGTGGGCATCCTTCAATACTTCTTTGCTTATTTGAAGTTTTCTTCCTCTAGCTTTAACTAAGATGTCTTTTTAAAATCCATTGGCTTTTTTTGCTGACTGTGACTCTTACTTTAAGCAGAGCATTGTTATTTTCAAATTCTAACCACAGACACAGAGAGAAGGTTTAAACCTGGCAAAATAATTGAAGTTAGATATTACTCTAATAGAAAATAAAACTTGAAATGACCAAGGAACCCTTTTTCCATTGCAGTAGATTGCCTCATAAGGCCCACAGTGAAAATAACAGATTTTTCAAAAATTGAGTCCTTCCTAGCAAAGTTCAACAAGTACATGCAAATGTACATCTGTGAAATAAATCAGCCACGGATGCGACACCTGGAAATGAGGTCAAACAGGAAGCCATTTGTTATCACAATAAATTATATCTGTAATCTATACAGACTCCCCTACCACTCAAAAGAATCTACTTAGGAATTTTAAAGACCCTAGTTCATTTGGAAAAAAAAAAAAGATGAAAGGTTAACTGGAATATAATCCTGATGAAACTAAAAGCTTTTGTATAATTTAAGGACAACCTATACATGCTTTTAAAATTTAACTTCCTTACATTTGTATATGATAATGAGACTGATTTTAGTCAGTGCCTGAATTAACCTACAGAAATAGCTAAACTATTTAAACTTCAGATTTTTAAAGCAGTATTGTGTTAAAATTGTCCTTAGAAACCTAATATCCTTCTTAATGGCCTATCTATTCTTAGGAACCAAAATGGACCAGGAAAAAGTGAATGTAAGTTTCTTTTCCTTTGAGAGTTTCTTATTCTTCTTACCATGACGGTGCCGATGGGAACTTACATCTTGTACATTCTTCTAAGTAGTAGATTCCGTAATGCAGTACTACTTGGGAGCTCTAAACAATTGACAGCCTCAGGAGCCAGTTGTACGTCAACATCTTTTGCCATGGCTTCTTTCAACTAAGTTTTTGGTCCCATCAACATGGTTGCGTTTTCTAAGCAGAAAATAAAACTACCAGCATCCAGGCCGGGTGTGATGGCTCACGCCTGTAATCCCAGCGCTACTGGAGGCCACGGCGAGTGGATCATTTGAGGCCAGGAGTTCAAGAACAGCCTGGCCAACATGGTAAAACCCCATCTCTACTAAAAATACAAAAAAATTAGCTGGGTGTGGTGATGCGTGCCTGTAATCCCAGCTACCAAGAGGCCGAGGCAGGAGAATTCCTTGAACCTGGGAGGCGAAAGTCACTGTGAGCCAAGATTGTGCCACTACACTCCAGCCTGGGTGACAGAGCGAGACTCTGTCTAAAAAAAAAAAAACTACCAGCATCCAAACACAAGAACGATAAGACGATAAGAATTAGAAAAACTCTAGATTCCTGTTAATTTCCTCCCCCCACCTCAATCTACTTTCTTTTTCAGCCGTAGTTCTACAGGGCTCCTCAGGCCACTGCCGCTGCCCACCTCCCGGCCCCCACAGGCCTGAAGTCAGAAGCCTGGAGAGCAAGGTGGGATAAAGCACTGCAGCTCAGAACAGGCTGTGAGCTGCGGCCCTGGCAGTCTCCACAGAGTGCAAGAAACTAGCTATGAAGTAAAATAGCTAGCTCTTGCTTGATGCATGTCAGAGCAAGACACTTGTATTAGTCCTAATACTAAACCTCAGCCAGATTAAATTTAAAAAGAGAAGTTAGAAGAAATTGTCCTCTCTTGGTGATGTTCCTTAATTCATCACCTTTAACATTGTACCAATATACAAAATAACTATATAAAAGCACCTTAAAATAAGAATTCCTTCACCAAACTATTCTACATAGAATTATGTATCTTATCTTATAAAAACATGGTCCTATATGAAATGAAGTAGAATGTATGCTTGAATATAAAAATTAAAGCTACTGTTCTCAAGTTAAAAGCAAATTTGGAAATAATATAATTACTACTTACTGTCAGAAATCTACCTTTTTGTTATATTGTACTTAAACTAAGTTATGACTCAAATGCCTTAGCCAACCTCATCTGTTTTCATTAAGAATGGAAGGGAGAATGCCAAGAAATGCATAAGACTGTATCTCATCATGATATCTTCTTAAAAAAATGAACTCAATACTTCTTTATGCGTGATAGTTCACTGCCTTATTTCTAGCTGTTATAAGCCAGTTACCCAGTTTACTAAGTTGATTATTCCAGAATTTGTCCAAGCAAAAAGTTAAGCTGATGAGTATTTCCAGGGTCATCATCCATTTCCCTTTTTGAAAGAAGGTTCTAAATATGCCCTTTTCCAGTCTTCAGGCACCTCATCAGTCCTCCACGAGGTCTCAAAAATGATATCTAGCGGCTCTGTGATGACTTCGGCCAATTCATTAAGTACTCTAGGATGCCAGCCATTGGGACCTGTGGATTTGAACATATCTGGGTTATTGAAGTTCTCCTTTACCCATTCTTCCCCTAGTCCATCATGGATTTCTGCTCCTATTTTTAAGTCATTCTTGTCCCTTTCTGCTTACCACATGGACTTTTGAAGAACAGCCCTAAGAGTTTTTGCTTGTTATCTATCAATTTTCTCTTTCAAGCTAATTAAAAAAGAATGCATTTTATCCTTGTCAAGCCTATATTTTGTTTAAAAAGGCCTACTTTATTTTCCTTTTATGTTCCTTCTAAGAGGTGGAAACTTAAAAAAAAATGGTTAGATAAAAATATACCTTGTAATAGTTTGCATTCCTAAGTCACATTACTCAGTACTACACGTTAGCAACGTTAGTACTAGAGCAATAGTCAATACATTGTGAGACATTCCAAAGGCGACCTATCTCATGCTGGAAGAGCACTTATCTTTTCAACTTGTAGCTGCAAGTGCTAGTTTGAAATGCATCTTCCAAAGTAAAAATGATTCACAGTCATATTTAATCATTATCATCTGTATGTATAAACAGTAACTTTTTCACATAGGCATGTAAAAACCATAGTTGCACGTGAGCTGGAAAGAGGTTAATTAAGTATTTCTTACAAAGCAGCAACCTAGTCGAATTCATTTGCTGTGTGGTCTTTGCCATCAAAGTTCTTGGGTTTATATTACACTAATTATCTCCAAGCTCTGATAGGTGTTGACAGTTTTAACCCCTTCATTGTCACAATGATCCCTCTGAAATTGAAAGGCAGCAGTAGATTACAGTGCACTGCCCATCTGTCATGGCTCTGCTGTGTGCCCACAATCCCTTGACAGATCTAGATGGACAAAGAAGAGGAAGAAAAGGAAAGTTGGAAGGAAGAAGGATGCCTGAGTCTTTCCTGGAAATTTTGTGCTGCTTAGATTCAACCGCTTGCTTATTGAATTGGAAAACTTTTGGAAAAGGTTAAATCAATTTTGTTCTCCTTTGTTTTGTTTTGTTTTCCTAGTCTCTATCTCTGCAACCTCTCCAAGCCTTGTAAGCTCCCAAAAAATAAAAATCATACTGCAGACATCATCAAGACTCTTTAAAAGAAGAATTCTGTACATTTCTCTAAGGTACAGCAATTTGTTTTAGCACCTGCCATTTTCACCCCTGCTCAAACAGCCACCTGCTGACGGCAATATGTTAGCTAATATGTCATTATTAATTAGTTTGGGTGACACCATCAGGCAATCACATCTAAATAGATGGTAAGTATTACTATCCAGGCTTACGAAGTTTCTTTCTCCAGAGAATCATCCTATTTTGCTGTAATACTAAGTAACGATATCCTACTACTATTTAATATATTCAAATAGTCGCCAAAATAAAGCCATATGCAACCCAATACCTCTATTAAACATCAGCTCTTGTTATAAACTGCGAAAAAGTAATCTTCAACCTATCTGAACAAACCAAGTTGTTGGGCTTTTGTGGGGAGGAAGGAGGAGTGAGGGAAAATTCCATAGAGAAGGGAAGTTACCTGAATATAAACAAGGTAACACTTTGGGTTTTATTTATTTATTTATTTTTTTTTGAGACGGAGTCTCGCTCTGTCTCCCAGGCTGGAGTGCAGTGGTGCGATCTCGGCTCACTGCAAGCTCCGCCTCCCGGGTTCACGCCATTCTCCTGCCTCAGCCTCCCGAATAGCTGGGACTACAGGCGCCCGCCACCAAGCCCGGCTAATTTTTTGTATTTTTAGTAGAGACGGAGTTTCACCGTGTTAGCCAGGATGGTCTTGATCTCCTGACCTCGTGATCCACCCGCCTCAGCCTCCCAAAGTGCTGGGATTACAGGCGTGAGCCACCACACCCGGCCAACACTTTGGTTTTTAATGCTCTAATAAATGAATACATAAAAAGGTGTTAACACCAAAAATTGCATTTACTATACAGTACAAGAAAACAAGCTATTTGTGTCAGAAAAAAAATCCAGGAAAATCCTTAGGTTATAGTGTTAGGGGTCACTCAGATGGCAACAAGACTACTTCCAAGAGAAGAAAAGGCCACAGAGGGAGTCCGCTTTTCTTGAAGACATTCTCATTATAATGCAAGATTCCATGTCTGCCCCATGTTCAACAGACTTCTGCCTGAAGTCAGAGACATGATGCTGCCTTCCTTCAAAGGTCACTTTGCTCTAGAAACATAGAAAAATAAAGAAAATGCCTTTGGACAGATTATCATTTAGCAAGTAAAGACACCCTGCCTATAAACCCATCTAACGGTGTGGACTATGAAGTCATTTCACAAATCTAGTGTCAAACTAACAGCCTCCAAAACCTCTCATGCCTCTGATTCCACAAAAACAAATCACATTCATTAAACAAGTCCAGCCTTGCAATCTGCTATTTTTCATTCACTGAGGGAGTAGGTGGGGGGCAGATGAACAGGATTTCCGCAATGGGTCATGGAGAGTTTCAAGATGTGAGAGCAGTCACAGAAAACAGTAATTAGTGGAGCATATGTTGCTTCATGACCATAGGAAACGTCAGTGATTTCCCTGTGCCGAATGCGCCGTCATTCTTTTCTGGCTGATCACATTGTGGCACTCCAGAGGCTGGTCTTGATAGATCTCACTCTTCAAGTGGAACAGAAATGAACGGTTTTAAAATTCTGACAAGCTTGAAGGAGGTAACTGCTGAAGACAACTATTACAGAGCTGTCCCCATACGTATCACACATTTCTCATATTTCATTTTCCCCCTTAATTATTAGGCACACCCCTATGAAGAAAATAAAAGCTCTTTCTTCACTCCACCAAGAAAAATAATCTATTCACATGTGTTCACAGTCTTCTTTCTCGGTTATCATACTAGGTTGACTTAAAAATCATGAAAGGCATTGATCCCTTCTTAAAATTCATGAAAGCCAGCCAGGCACAGTGGCTCACGCCTGTAATCCCAGCACTTTGGGAGTCCGAGGCAGGCAGATCACAAGGTAGGTTAGGAGATCGAGACCATCCTGGCCAAAATGGTGAAACCCTGTCTCTACTAAAAATACAAAAATTAGCTGGGCGTGGTGGCACGTGCCTGTAGTCCCAGCTACTCAGGAGGCTGAGGCAGGAGAATGGCTTGAATCCGGGAGCTGGAGGTTGCAGTGAGCCGAGATCAGGCACTGCACTCCAGCCTGGTGACAGAGACTCCGTCTCAAAATAAATAAATAAATAAATAAATTCATAAAAGCCAACCTCTGCAGGAATAAATACCAAGTTATATTTTGGTGTCTTAACACCCCTAACATTTTGCATTTTTAAAGACAAGGTTTTGTTATTGTTGTTTTTTAAAGTGATTGCCAGAAGTTTCTTTGTAGTGTGCCAAATTATTATCTCCCTATTTCTAGGAAAACATTGCTAAAAGGTTTACATCACAGTTAGTCTATTCTCCCCCTTTGACTTTGAGACCACTCTCAATCAGGAAGTTCTTACATTCAAGCCACCCAAACCTAATTCTTGGGTTGTGACTTTCTCAGTTTCATTTGTTCTAGGCTTTTATGGGGTTTGAGGGGCCTTTCATTTCAGAGGCTAGGCAGTTCTCCTATGCCAAATCTCCTATCAGTGTTAGAATTCTAATCTGAGAAGCAGGGAGAGGCAGTAAAAGTTATTCAATGAATAAAGAAACTATTATCCTATGGTTAAAAATTAAGATTTATGAGATTGCATTTTTTTCTCAGTTGATTACTCTGATTTTTAACTGACTTCAAGTCTGTTACTCTTTTTAGCTTGTGATTTTCCTCCTAATTAAAGGCAATCAGAGTGATATGCAGGCTAAACACCATTCAGAAGTCATTTCTCTATTGTGACATTATTCTAAAGGATGTAGCTCAATTGCAGCTGTAGAACCAGTTGACACACATTTTCCATATTTGGTTGCTGAAGAAATATAACCGGTGACTGTATATTAATAGTATGAAATTTGCATACAATTTGGGAGACAACTGTGTAACAAAAAAATTGATGACAGTAGGAGTGTTGCTTTCCATCCTTCTGGGTAACACAGGGGCACAAAGCAGAGCCTTTGGGTGGTTGGTGACAAGACACAAGATTTTTTGACCTCATGACATAACTCAACTTCAGTTTTCCAACATTCAGCTACGTTACACTGGCTGTTACTATAGGACCAAGAAAGGTGGGAATTTGCATGGAGAGCCTCACTGTAACTGTAAATTTCTCCAAGGGCAAAACCCCCACATTTTACATTTGTTCATATCTCCTATAGGAGCATTATATGTAATGTCAGCCACTACTACTGCTGACCGATTGAATCGTCCCTACTATAATTTTCACAAAAATTTTTCACTAAACTAAGTTCCTATTGGAAAAGTTTAGTCTAGAAAGTCAGATAGTCTTTATTGCCTACACAATAAAGAAAACATGATAACATATGTTCACTGAGCCCATATGTGTCTTAACAATCATCTTTCCTCTAAGCATCTCCTCTTCGGCTTCTACAATGGGGAAGGCTCAGGCTGGCTCCAGAACCCCAACAGGCTGAAGGATGCAATGTTAGGTTATACAAATAGCTGGCATACACACGTGTCCTGATATGCTCTTTTTCTATTTAAAGAGTTTTCTAGGGTACATTTTCTAAGATTCTATAGAAGAGAAAAATGTTTGGCCTACTCTAGAATGATCCACATTATGATCTACATGTATTTTCTTTTTTTTACTTTAGAGGCAACTACCCAAATGTCATCCTAATTATAAACTCTTCTCACTGTCCTGTCTTCCTCCGAGGTGTGTCCTTAGTAAGTGAAATAATTTTCTCTACTTCCTGGAGAAAAATTCAGGGCTTCTCGCTGCCTCTTCAGGGCCACACAAGTTCTAAACTTCATTCGGGACTTTTCTGCAGCTTCTACACGGTTTCTAACCTTCATTCATGACTTCTCTGCGGCTTTCAGCAAATGAAAAGTATAGTGGAGAGGCTGGCTGGACATTTTCCTACTGCTTTTTCTTCAGAAAAAAACTATCAGAAACAAATTCAGAGTTAAAAAAACAAAAGCCTCTTTGTTTATGCTATCCTGGGGCATTAACCGATTTTATAATTTTTCCAACTGCATAGCTATGCAAATTCCCTACTTTCTTAAAAGTACTTTGCTGTACTCATCACTGACGCTTCTGAGAATGCCAACTTCCTACACAAAAGAACACCCCACAGGGCTGTGGTCTGCAGGCTGCCGCCAGTGCACCCAGAGACAGTTGCTTCTGAGGCCAGTGCCGCCTTACCGCCTGGAGTCAGGGCCGTGCCTTATCTCAATCAGGAAGAAATGACCGGGAATTTAACTGTTGGGAATTCTGTACTGTACTTTCAACCATTATTTAATAATTAACAGCTGATCACAACAAGAAGTGGGGGCTAGGTCACCACTCTTTCAAGAAGTTTAATAGAACGATTAAGGAGGTATTTGGTAGTTGGAAAGGACAGCGATTTTAAGAACGAAGAGGGAGCTTGGGCATATTTTCAGGCGGAGTGGAAGGATTCCATGGAGACAGACTAAATGCAAAAAACAAAGGGATAATTATGAACCATAATTATCACCTGGGTCGGAGTAGATGAGGTGGGAGTTAGCCTTAAAGGGGAGTGGGGTAATTTCTCATCAAAATCAGAAGGAATGAAGACAGATGGGTCAGTGGGCCCACACATTTGGAGGTGAGTGAGGGAGGGCGGGACTGTGCCACGGACCACTTCTCAGTTCTGATGGGCCAAAGCTACCTGCAGAAGAGCCCATGAGAGGGGCAAGGGCAGAGTTTCTAGGAGGACGGGGGGGAGATTCGAAAATAGCCACCAAGAGAGCTGTGACAGGAAATCAATTTGACAGCTGCAGGAGGGCAGGTTTAGATTGGATTGTCTGGAATCACAGTGATAGATGCCTTTAGATTTTTCCTCTGTCTTGTGATTCAGGTTCTCCGAATACCATCCAAAATGTGATCAAGACACAGGCCTTATAATTACGCAGCACAAGCCCAGAACAGAAATAGCCATAAATGCTGGAGTGTGCTGAACGCCAGTGTCTGGCCTCTACTGCAGTTCGTTAAAATATGGTGGGTCTTTGGATACAACACTTCTGTTGCCTGGCTCTCATCAGGCTCCTGGGCTGCTCACTTGAAGTTCTCATTCTCTCCCTCCTTCTGTCTCTGTCTCTCATCAACCTATTCCACAGGAAAATCATCTATTATTGTATACTAATTGTCTTTGAAATCACCATTAACATTAATCTGCTAACTCATACTTCAATTATCACCAATATAATTGCCATGACGGTATGCTTATAGAACATACTATGATTATTATTACCTGCCTGCTCCAGCAACAGCAGCAAACGGCTGCTAATATTTACTGAGTGAACTCCCTCTGTGCCTACCTCCCAGGGACTGTGATGTGAACGTACACTTTTACATAATCACCTTTACTGCTTACCACAAGCCAATGTGATGGCGATCCTAGACCCAACTTTATAAATGAAGAATCTGAGGCTTTAAAGTGTAGACAACCTACCAGGGTCAAACTGCTAATCAGTGGCAGGGTGGGTCTGTGCAACAGCAAAGCCCACTTTATCAAAACTACTTCTATGCTCTGCAATCATTTTATGTTGGGAAACTGTAATGGTTGAATAGTGTCCCCCCTCACAAAATTCACATCCACCTGGAACCTCAGAATGTGACCTTATTTGGAAATAGAGTCTCTGCAGATGTTCTTAATTAAGGATCTCAAGATGAAATTATCCTGGATTTAGGGTGGGCCCTGAATCTAATCCCTGGTGTTCTCACAAGGAAAGGAGAGGAGAGGACACAGGGACATACCAACAAGAGGCCAGGTGAAAGTGGAAGCAGAGAGTGGAGTGGTGCAGCCACAAGCCAAGGAATGCCAGAAGCCACTGGAAGCTGGAAAAGACAAGGAAAGAGTCTCCCCTAGAGGCTCTGGAGGCAGCATGGCCTTGCTGACACGTTGATTTCAGACTTCTGGCTGTGAACTGTGAGAAAACAAACTTCTGTTGTTTTAACACACAGTTGGTATTATTTTGTTACAAGCCCTAGAAAACATAGGCTCCTTTGCAGGAAAGATAGAATTTTAAATGTTATTAGAAATGTTTTTTAATCCCTTCATTGATACAAAGGTGATTTTAGACAAAAGTATTTTATTTTTATTCAGAATATAAAATGTTATGCATGATGCTTATTTAGTTATATTTAATGTCATAATGAAAAAGTTTGACTTCTTCCTATTCAATAAATGATGCAAACTTTAAATTATGTATGAAAAATATGATTTGTTAAAATACATTAAAAACTATATGTTTATATGTTGACTCCATGTATATTAATATGCAGACTGAGATTTAACTATTGGTTACAGCATCAAAACTAGAAAACAGTCAACATACAGAACTACTGTTTTTCTTTTGCTCAAAATATCCGCTGGTTTATTTATTATTTACTTGAATATTTGTGATTTATTTTAAATTGCAAGACAAGAGAGAAGGTTTTAGTGGCCACTTTCAAGCATTGCTCTATAAATAACATACTATCGTTGTAGATATAATTTATTTCTGATAAATTAAAATTGAAAATAATTGCCAGTATTTTTGTTTTTATATCAGTTATTGAAGAATGAGAGTTTAATATGTGATGTAAGCATATTTGAGCTCTACAAAGTTTTCATTTTAAAGATAAAATTATTTAAGTAATTGTCTCTGATGTATTTAAAACTATATAATGAAAAGTCACTATTCCCAACCTGGGAAACTTTTTGTAATTTCATGACAGCTCAGAAACCTCCACTTGAGAACACTGCAATGTTGTATCCCGGCCATTCTCTGGTTTTGGTTCTAAGAGCCATTTGAATTCTTAAAAATTACTGAAGATTCCAAATAGCTTTGTTTTATGGGTTATAACTATTGATATGTACTGTGTTTTAAATTGTAACTGTGAAATATTTAAAATACATATTTAATTCATTTAAAAATAACACTAGTAGCCGGGCACGGTGGCTCACGCCTGTAATCCCAGCACTTTGGGAGGCTGAGGCAGGTGGATCACGAGGTCAGGAGATCGAGACCATCCTGGTTAACACGGTGAAACCCCGTCTCTACTAAAGATACAAAAAATTAGCCGGGCGTGGTGGCAGGCGCCTGTAGTCCCAGCTACTCGGGAGGCTGAGGCGGGAGAATGGCATGAGCCCAAGAGGCGGAGCTTTCAGTGAGCCAAGATCACACCACTGCACTCCAGCCTGGGCGACAGAGCAAGACTCCATCTCAAAAAAAAAAAAATAATAATAACACTAGTAAATGCATTACATATTAACACAAATATTTTTGTGAAAAATAAACATATATTCTCCCCAAAATTAAGAAGAATGGCATTGTTTTACATTTGTGCATATCTCTGTATGTCTCTTTATATCTCTCTATATTCAATCTGTGGCAATATGTTTTTAATTGAAGTATATGAAGCACATCTGACCTCACAGAGAAGTATCATTGAAAAAGTAGGGAGTATCTGAACAGACTTTTCAGATAAATAATTGTAGATATTCATTTTAATACCATGGCAAAACTTGACAAGCGGCGGTTTCTTAAAAGTCACTTGCCATGTGAAATTTGAAACCATATCAATGAACTTTTCTTACTGTTTATTACATTAAAATCATTGGTCAATCTTCAACTTTTGATTGACTTTTTCCCCCATACATGATTTTATGGTATCATGTATTGGTCATTTGGAAAATATTCAGTTTCTGAATTACGCAGATCTTCCAAATGTTGACACATATCATTATTCAATATATTTTAAAAATTCCATGTGTTAATATCACCACCCAAGGTAGCCTAATCAAAAAAAATATTTAGGCAGTATGAAACTATCAAACTCACTGGGGCAAGTATAAGTTTTCTGAAATTCTTGTTTTCACTTGAACATTCAAATTTCATCATTAGCAACAGATACTGTCAATTATGCTTCTTGAAATATTAGGTTCACTTTAGTTATTTTTAAGAAATCTGCCAAATACCCAAGTCTAAATAAGCATGGCTTGTTCTCAGTTGTTCTTTCAAGTGAAAATGGTGTTACATGGAAAATGCAGCCAGTTCAGCCAGCAACTCAAACAAGAGCACAAGTGGTTTGCAAGGAGACAAGATTTACATACACGTCCATTTGCAACAGAAGTGCTTTATGAGTAGTTCTCATTTTGTTACACAGAATATTCAAAATCATGTACACAAAGGTGGAGATTTAATAAACATTAATTTCTACTGCTTCATCAAGGCTATTTTAAGGAAAAATTGCTTCTTTTGGCAGGTATATGTGGGTGTGCATATGGGTGAAGAATCCAGTAAGTACTAACACAGGTCGACGTTAACATTTTTATCCACTGTTGCTTTTGTGCTGCCAGTACAAATGCCCTCCCAGTGAAAGAGGCAAATAACATCACATTATAGTATTGTTATGCAATAATTATTACCTTGCAGACCCCCTGAAAGGGCCTTGGGGACGGCACTTTGAGAACTACTGCTCTATACCACTTCTGGATACAAGAAGTTAAGGTAGGCATCACAAAATCAGCATCAAGCGTCCAACCAAGTCATCAGTCTGAAATAGAATTCTGCCCATTCAAATGATAGCTCCATCCTAGCAATCGCTCCACATTCACCCTTCTGGCTCTCATCTGGCTCAGTCCAAGGAACTGGGAAGTCTGGAACCTTCCTGCCATTAAGGTGAGGTGACTTTTCTCTCCTGTCTGGTGAGGGGGTTGCAAAGATGGCTGCTCTGCCTGGAAAAAACATGCTTCTCTGAAGGACTGTGCTTGCCAGCCTTGCCAATCACAAGAGCTTTTGAAGTGACCCAGCAATTGTGAGTGCAGCCAGCCTGCCATATCAAAATAGCCTGTGGCCTCCTGGCAACCAAGCTCAGTTCCCCAAACACTGAAGCCTGGCCTCCACTGGCCACGACCTCACTTGATGAATCGGAAGGGGCAAGGAAGCAAGACAACAGCGTCATCCTCTTTAGCGATTCTTTCCCAGGCACATTTGCATGTTGATATGGTTTGGCTGTGTCCCCACCCAAAACTTATCTTAAATTCTAGTTCTCAAAATTCCCCATGTATCATGGGAGGGACCCAGCGGAAGGTAATTGAATCATAGAGGTGGTTACCCCCGTACTGTTGTTCTCATGATAGTGAGTTCCTGCAGGATCTGAAGGTTTCATAAGGGGCTTTTCCCCCTTTTGCTCAGCACTTCTCCTTCCTGCCACCATGTGAAAAAGGACATGTTTGCTTTGCCTTCTGCCATAATTGTAAGTTTCCTGAGGCCTCCCCAGCCCTGCAGTTCTGTGAGTCAATTAAAGCTCTTTCCCTTTTGAATCACCCAGTCTTGAGCAGTTCTTTAAAGTAGTGTGAGAATGGACTAACACACATGTTTAGTGGCAGCCAGAATGAAGGAAGTCCAGGGTACCCGTGTTGTTTTCCGTCCCATTACCTCGTCTCCAATTTTGGCAGGGCTGAAAAAGAACACTTTCAGACTTTTCAGAAAAAAAAAACATGCTGTGATGTGGCTTTCAAGTTAGACCATGGCTAACTGCTTTAAAAGAACAGTGCTTATAAAGTCATCTGAATAACCCTCAAGACACTGACCTTGTCCAAATGAACTCGGAAGAAACACAAATGTGTTACCTAAAGCAGGAAAACACGTAAATAGGACTGAGTTGTATTATGCATTGGAGACCTTACCCATTCATGCTGGGTGTTATGCAGTGACAATTCCTAGGGGAAGGTTTAGGAACAAAGCCCAGACCAAAGGACCTCTCAGCCATTGTCCAAGGTAACCTTATGGCATCGTGTCCAGCGTGGGTCCAGAGTGGTTGTAGGTATGTGAGATTGTATATGAGAAAGAGAAAGATACAGAAAGAGAGAAAACAATTTGGTAGTTGGGGTTAGGGAGTGGAGAACACATGAGGCATACTACCTCAAACCAAACCAGCCAGCCTCTAGGTATTCCCCAGCAGTCATCCTATCCCTTCCTGCCAGGACAGACATGAAGTCCTCTGATGGAAGCAGGACAGGGCAAGGGATCTGCTCAGACTCTGGATTCAAAGTCCAGCTCTGCCATTTCCTGGATGGATGGCCTTGGGCATATTACCCAACCTAACCATTCTCCGCTTCAGTTCCCCCTCTACAAAATAGGAACCACAGCAGTCCCTACATCCCAGAGAGTTATCATGAGGATTAAATGGGCTAATATCTACAAGACTGTTTAGAACAGTATCTGGCACAGTGGAAGCCTATATAACTGGTTGATTTTTCCAGTACCTGTTCTATACAAAGACATGGAATTATATATCTTAGTTCAATCACTGAGTGATGTAAACCCACCCCTAAGGAGGCATAGATACTTAGACACATCTTTAGAACAAAAACATAATGGATGTTCAGCACCATTATTAAGTTAGTCATCCACAAATGTTATTAGAATAAATCATGAATAATGTGTATGCTTTAAGCACTGTTTAGTCATTAACTTTAAAATTTTTCATTTAGCTTTGTGAAGCATGCCCTACAGAACATAACTACCATAGTAGTTCTCAGCTTGTTAAAGCATAAAGACCTCTTTAATTGTTTTTAAAAACACAGACTGCGCCTCCGCAACCCCGCCCCACACAGGCATATGTATGCATGTGCACAAACACACACACAGAGTCACCTTACTGTTAGGCTTTTCTTATTTTCCTGCTACCCTTTGATTGAGAAAAAGTACTGCTTTAAAAGTGACCAAAAATGTAAGAACACCTTCAAATGTGTTTATATAAAACACTATTTATGCAGATGTTCACTGACAATGGTTGATGCCCAAATAGGTTCCAAGAGTCTTGTATTAATTCCTCAAGGGTCTATGTTCTTTGGATTGGGAGCCACTTTCCCAGGGGAATGGTATCTTCTGAAGTGGAAATTGGATTCTTAAAGAAAATTCAATTACATTAAAATAAAAATTCATTAACTGAGAAAAAGGTGAACCCCAGAATCCCAACTTCAACTATAACATGCTTGCATTGGTTAATGTACAACAGGCAAGAGGTCTTTACAGTATTACTTCAAGAAGCAACAGGCCAACATTTTATATGTCTTCTCTCAGAATAGCTGTATTTCCTCTCCACATAATCTCCCACAGTTAGCCTTAAAACATTTCATTGTTTACTCCTTCAGGAATCTGTCTCACTGCAGCAAAGACATTAAACAGCAAAGAACACAGATAATCCCTTGTAGTTTCTGCAGGAACCTCAATTCCAGAGATAAAATAGAAAGGACCCAAATTTCCTGGAACTAATACAGACCCATGGAAACATCCCAGAGCAAGAACATAGAAGCTCAACGGGTGGGATATTTTTCAGAAAATTTAAACTCCGATAACAAGGATTTTAGAACCTCTCTTCTGCTGATAGGAGCTTCCTCTGTGTGACATAGAATACAAACCCAAACACTGGTTTTTCAGGTTTAAAAATATTACATATATATAAATTAAAATGTTAAAATACATATATACATATATATATATATATATATATATAACATATATATAAGAATCACATTTAAGAATAAGGTCTCCAATTCTTTTCTTCTGTGCTTTTCATTTCGTTTGAGATCGAATAAAAAATAACCTTTCACATTACTGCATTTTACTATCACTTTAAGGGAGTTGTTTTTATTTTAGGACATAATGTGCAAAATCATGCTATTCAACATTACATTATATTCACACATCATGGAAGTTAAATAAAGACACCTTGCTGATTTCTTAATATAGATTCAGCTAAGATTAGTTATGCATCTGCCACCTTAACATTCAGATTGGGGGTAGAAAAAAAAAGGCTTAGTTAAAAATCACACTCGCATGGTAAGTGCTTAGAATTTCATGGTTCATTTAAGAGCATCACAATCAAGAACTTAATTACGTTAAAAGAAAATGGTATTTCCTTAACAGCCAAAATTACATTCCCCCTTAATTTCTCTCCTTCACCCCACAAAGTAGAGCATTTTCCTTAACCTCTTGTTTTTTGACCTATGAAATAAGGGAGTTAGCTAGATTATTTTAAGACCCGGTTCTATCATGCTGTAATTTTATGATTTTTAGGGAATAGACTGATGAGGAGGCAAAAAGGGAACAGAGCCTAGACACTATGAGAATTTGGCCAATTCAATTCCTAAATGAAACAGTATTTCTCCTGGCACCTAACAACTGAACTGTGCCCCAGGGCGCTGTCAGTGGTCTGAGAACTTCGAGTGGAAGGGCAGCAAGGTATTACAGAATGACAGCTATCCCAACCCCTCTACTGTGCTTCCACATTTGAAATTTGTGTCTAACAACATGCTATTCAATCACTGAATGTCAAAAAACATGGATGCCTCACAACGAAAATCTGTGTGTTATGGCACCAGGATGGACTGAGAACTAATAATGGGAGGGTTTATATATATATATAAATATAAGAGGTATAAGTGCAGTTTTGTTACACGGATATATTGAGTAGCAGTCAAGTCTGGGCATTTTTAGTCTAACGGTGACCCCAATAATGTACATTGTTCCCATTAAGTAATTTCTCATCCCTCACCTCTGCCCACCTCACACCCTTCTGAGTCTCCAATGTCTGTTATTCCACATTCTAGGTCTATTGTACACATTCTTTAGCCCTCACCTCAAAAGTGAGAACATGCTGGTTTTGACTTTCTGTTTCTGAATAGTTTAACTTAACATAATGGCCTCCAGTTCCATCTATATTGCTGCAAAAGACATAATTTCACTCTTTTATATGGCCGAATGGTATTCCATTGTGTATATATACCACATTTTTTTAATCTAGTCATCCATTGATGGATACTTAGGTTGATTCCATATCTTTGCTATTGCGAATAGTGCTGTGATAAACATATGAGTTCAGGTATCTTTTAATATAATAATTTCTTTTCCTTTGGGTAAATATCCAGTAGCAGGATTGCTGGATCAAATGGTAGTTCTATTTTTAATTATTTAAGAAATCTCTGTACTGTTTTCCATAGAGATTGTACTAATTTACATTCCCACCAACAGAGTATAAATGTTCCCTTTCCCTTCAACATGCTATTTTTTGACCTTTTTGTTTTAAGAGAGACAAGAGTCTCATTCTGTTGCCCCGGCTCTAGTGCAGTGATCATGGCTCACTGTAACCTCAAACTCCTGGGCTCAAGCAATCCTTTTTCTTCAGCCTCCCAAGTAGCTCAAACTACAAGTGGGCCACCATGCCCATCTAATGTTTTTATTTTTTTAGAGACAAAGGTCTTGCTATGTTGCCCAGGCTAGTCTCAAAATCCTGGGCCCAAGTGATCCTCCTGCCTTAGCCTCCCCCAGTGTGGGGATTACAGGCATGAGCCATCTCGTATGGCCTATTTTTGACTTTTTAATAATAGCCGGTTGATAGAGGATTAATGGGGGAAGGGAGAACTTATTTTTAAATCAGCAAATCTAACAATAACTTCCAGTCTAAGTAGCAAACTGTTTGTGTTCTGCAAGTTACTATAAATGTACAGTATAATCCTCCATGCTATAGAAGTACATAATTTGCTCCGGTGGTGGATAATGTTCAAGTTGGTTCAATTCAAAGAGAATCTAACTGGTGATGAGTCATGTTCTCCCAGTAAACAAAACATGAGGCAAAGGCTCATATGTAGATAGTTTATTTGGGAATGTGATCCTAGAGAGTAAAAGGAAGGAGTGAGTGAAACAAAGAAGGAAAGCCCAAAACCGACGCGATGTGTGAAGGGGTTGGCTGCTTGGTGATGTGTTGCTCTATTATGGAAAACCTTTCCAGGAGCCTTAGGAAATACATCTCAGAGCTGTGCATGAAAAAAGAACAAGGAGAGAAACATTTATCCATCACCTTCCATTACTCATTTGTCAAGGTTTGTCTCATGGATGTTAATATCCTTGCACTTCCTGTTCATACATGTATGAGTGCCAGTCAGTTCCCACAGGAGTACATGACAAAGTTAGAGGAACCTCTGGACTGAAAGCAAGAAGCACAGGCCTAAACCAATGAGCTGCTAGGGTGCACCTATGTGATGCTGGTTGAAACTCATGCAGAGCTGTTTGCTCAACCGTGGCTGCAATAGGAATTCAGGCCAAGATGATTTGAACTGGTGCACGCAAGTATCAGGCGTTTATCAGTCAGGATGGGCCAGTTCTGCTTCAGTAACAAATGACCTCACAGTTTCAATGGCTTTCAACAATGAAGTTTTATTTTTCACTCATGCTACAAATCCAGTATGGGTCAGCTATGGTTCTGTGCCATTTTCTTCACTCCAGGATCACTGCCAGTCATTGTGACTAAGGGAAAAGATTTAATTTGTGAACCATGCACAGTTTTGTAAAGCTTCTGCTTGGAAGAGAGCCACATCACTTCTACTCACCTTTCATTAACCAAAGCATGTCAGAGTTCAAAGGGTTAAGACACATAATACTCCTGCAGGGAGGGGCAATGCAAGAAAGGTGATTTCAAGAGGAGAAATACAATCTGTCATACTCTGCCTTCATTTTCATGGGGAGAAAGCCAAGGGTAAGAGAAACAATTCACTTCAGGGAACCCTGTGCAAATTCCTTCACAGCACCATCTTTTCTTTCAGCACATGACCACCCAATATTTTTAGAAATATTAAGTCCTAATCAAGAAAGCAGATCATTTTGGAAACAAAGGGAAAAAAGGCATAGAGGATACCTTTGGGAGAAGCATTTGAAATCATCTAATTCCTCTACTGTACATTCTTCATTTGATAGATGTTGAGATGAGTTCTGTTCTCAGAATCACAAACGAATTGACTTCTAAGCAAGTTAGTCACAGACCTGGGACTAGGACTTGGTTCTCTGCATTTCCCATTCTGGGGTAAAGTTAACAGGGAACACATAATTCTGTATTCAAATTGGGAAGCAGAGAATAAACAATTAGACATGTAACATAGACAATTTCAAATTCTGCCACGTTCTAGAAAGACAGTAAGAGAGTGATATGATAATGAGTGGTGGGGTACCGAAATGATGGTCTCTCTGAGGAGGCAACATGTACAAAAACTATTAAACCATTCATATAAAATCACAACCTGATTTTTAATAATAGTTAGCAACATTATCCTCTAAGGGATACTGTTCATCTATTAAGATCTCTGAATGGCTTTTACCCTCTGTGCTGTCTCTCTACTTCCCACTCCCCGCTAAATCTCTTTCTCTTAATTGGCTATTATTATATTTTTTCTTGTTGAACTTATTAAATGAGATTTTATGAGTGCTGTTCTTAATTTGAAAATCAAGGAAGTAAACTATTCTATATGCCCATTACCTAAATTAAGTTGCTCTTTAAGTATTTTCTGTATATCAAGAAGCCTTTAAAAGAAAATTCATATTCTCTCCCCACCAGCTTCAGCCACCTCCTCTTCCCCTATCAGTATCTAATTCTTGTTGAAGAAAGATTTCTTACTTTTCAATTCTGCATTTGGGCAAAACTACAGGTTCCATGAAAAAACTTCCTTCCTAAGCTATATTTCTTGGGCAGAAATAAACGCAGTCAACGGATTTCTAAGAATGACCCCAGTGATTCCTCTTCTTGTGTAATCCCCTCCGTTTCGAGTGTGGGTGGAGCCTGTGAATATATGATAGATGGCGCTCCCACGATGAGCTTACAGTACATGACAAAAGGGAGATTATTCTCTCGGGTTGGTCTAATCTAATACCTTGAGCCCTTTAAAGTCATAGTGTTTCTCTGGCTGGAAAATAATAAGTCAGAGAAATTAAAAGTCTGCGAAGATCCAACCCACCATTGCTGGTTTGAAGATGGAAGGCGCCACATGAAAAGAAGTGAGGGCAGCCTCCAGCTCAAGAGAGTGGACCATGGCTAACAGCCAGCAAAGCAAACGGGAACCTCCTGTCTGTAGCTGCAAGGAATTCTCCCAACAAACTAAATGAGCTTGGAAGTGGATTCTGCCCCCAGAACCTCCAGATAGGAGCCCCGGCTGGCTGATACCTTAATTTTGGCTTTCTGCAACTCTGAGCAGAGAATCCAGTCAAGCTTGAGGCTTGCCCAGAATTCTCACCCACAGAACTATGAGATAATAAATGGATGTTATTTTTAGCAGCTAAGTTTGTGGCTATTTATTATGCAGCAATAGAAAACTAATGCAACATGTAACTAAATTTATCAACCGAGGTGTTCTGTTAAACAGCTAAATAATGACTCTTTCCCACCTTCAGAATGTGCACCATTAATTCTCACAAAAGAAAAGAGCATTCAACAGGGGAAAGAGGGAGGAGGTCAGTGATGGAAAGGCAGGACCCAAAGTGGGACCGACTAATGGGAAACGCCAACGCTGCCCAGCTGTATGGTGTTATTCTCAGGTGAGGCCATCAACTACTCTAAAGAAAGAAAGAGGCAGAGTAACTAGAATAAACTACAGTGTACCAAGCCACTAGTGATAGGAATCTAGATACAACCAGCTAATTTTCTTTCCAATTCTTAGCACATAGGGCAGAAGGGAATGGGGATATCAAGAAATTTTTTAAAAGATGCCATGCATTTTTGGCATTTTTCTGATTGTAAATTCACATGATTATATTCAGAGAGTTCAGAAGCATTTTACATACTACAGCAGACAAAACTCTGTATTCATCTAATGCCATTTGATTTTCCTCTTTCTTAGCACACACACAAAAAAGGCTTTAGTTCCCAGGGTCTCTTACAGATAGGTTGGGGCCACTTGATGGAGCTCTGGTCAATGGGATGTAAGCAGAAATAACAGAAGTCACTTCCAGGCCTCACTCTATTTTTTTTTTTTTGAGACAGAGTTTCGCTCTTGTTGCCCAGGCTGGAGTGCAGTGGCGCGACCCTGGCTCACCGCAAACTCCACCTCCTGGGTTCAAGAGATTCTCCTGCCTCAGCCTCCCAAGTAGCTGAGATTACAGGCATGCGCCACCACACCAGGTAAATTTTTGTATTTTTAGTAGAGATGGGATTTCTCCACGTTGGTCAGGCTGGTCCCGAACTCCCAACCTCAGGTGATCCACCCGCCTTGGCCTCCCAAAGTGCTGGGATTACAGGCGTGAGCCACCGCGCCCAGCCCAGGCCTCAGTCTTAAAAATCATCCTGCGCCAGTCTTCACTTGTCCCTGAAGAGGTCATGTTTTAAGATGATAGGCCACCAGATGGAGGGAGCTTGGACCCCTGAGTCACTGAATGGAAGAAAGCCTCCACAGACCCTAAGGACTTCGCAGGAGCCAGAAATAAGCATTTATTATGTTAAGGTTTCGAATTTGGGGGTTGGAGGTGGGGCAGATATTTTCTTATTAAACCATACCCTACCTTATCCTGAATAATACCCACATATTTTCTCATTTGATTTAACAGCTTTATATGCAGTCTCTTTCTCTTAGATATTTATCTTGTTTTAGCATAACACCCAAGCATTACACAGGAATTTGAATATCAAATTTAATTAATGTTACAAGAAATTCCTATCCTAATACACTTTGATGTTTATATTAGATGATTTCTGTCTTACATAAAATATAAAGAAAGGTATATAACCTGATTTATGTATGTATATATGTGTGTGTCTGTGTTTTATATATACACACACACATGCACACATTTGTACTTGTGTGCACCTGAGTATAAATATATACACACATATATGTAAATTTATACATAATTACTAGTAATAGGAATAATGACAAACTCCCTTCTGCAATGCCAAATTAAAGTCCGCTTATCCTTAACTACATTTCCATCCCCCACAGCCCCTGCCCCCAAATCAGGCAAAAAGCCTCCCTCTCAGATCTTTTCAGCTAATTTAAGGAATGTCAACATGGAACAAAGACAAGTTATTGCAAGAACTTGCATTTGTTTAGTGTGGAGAAGGACCCACAATGAGAAATTTGGAAAAGGTGTTAACTATTTACAAACCAGGAGGCAAAAGTAAATTCACTGAACTCTCTAACTCAATCAACTCATTTTCCATTTACTTGAATTTCAAAAGACCTAAAAAGAGACAAAGGACTAATCCGTATTCGTTAATGTACAAGATTATAATTAATCTAATGTCTGCTTCAAATTTACTATTATCTATTAAAGAATAAATAATTTTACAGTCCTCTAATGTAGGTCTTAAGCTTTAAATCACTGACCATAACTAATAAGCAGCTTAATAGCAAGAATGCCCTAAATAGAGCCACAGACCACAATTTCACCGAGCATAAATCATCATCATTTTTAATGCAAACGCAACAGCAAATCTCTGTAATTACTGGGTGCATTTTGAATCATTTTTATTATTACTGCACTGGCCCCATTAAAAACCCAAAACTGAACTGCATGGAATATAAAACTGGAATTATGACACACTACAAACTCTAATTGAAATCCATAAATTTTCTACTAGTATCCAGAATTTATTTTGTTGTCAAAGAATTTCAGCTATGCAGAATTAACTTTGAAAGTGTTCATTTTGTCTACAGCAATAAGTAACAGCATTTTACACTGCCAAATTTGGTGGTCCATTCTGAAACAAAATTATGTGAATTGTTTCTTATTCGCTCAGGATTTTACATTTCTACAGCAAATAATGATATGCAAAAAATAGAGTAAAAATCATATAGAATATACCATCAACAAAAGGATATAAAGCAGTACATCACTTCCCATCCCACTGCAAAACCTCCACCCATCAGAGCTGACTACAACAGACCCTGCAATGTCAGCATAAATGAATCTCCTTACTAAAAATGGCAAAGGTATGTCGCTAAATTTGCAAAAGGGTAACAAGGACACTATGACAACAGTTTTATTTGTGTGAATATAAGAAATGAATACAGGATAATCCACCAAGCCATTCTGAGAGATGGCCATACTCTGAATATAACTTTCTATATAAGTTTAAGTGCTTATAACTTAATAATCACTTCTTAAAAACCCTTAATACTCCTCTGATGAGGGATACTCTAGATAACTATAAGTCATGTTGTTTTGCTACACATATAAATTTATATAAATGTTACTCTGGGAAGAATGATTGGTTATGTGGGAAAATCTAAGATAGTGTATCTTTCAGAATTTCAGATAAATATTCCATAAATACTGGAATTCACATGGACATATCTAAATATACTATTTACTATTAACATCATACAGCTGATCATGCAATGCAAGTCAGCTCACTAAAATCAAATCTTCTATATTTTGACATTAACTTGTCTGTTGTCCACAATGGGGGTTACAGCCCTGCAAGCCCAACAATTTTCTTATAAAAATGTTATGCCACCTTAGGAAGTATTTTATAAATTATCTGCATTATAATTTTCTATTCACAGTATACTGTTAAGGGCCATAATCTCTTGTATCTTAACTTTAAACATACCTTTCTCATTACCTTTAAAAGAGAGGAGCTTGCTCTCCCTTAAACGTTCCTTTCCCACGCTACACGTCTGCTTGTCTTTTACACTCTCCTGAGATGCCTCCAAAGCTTCTCCCAACTCATATCTAGACCTGACCGCAAGCCCAGATCACCTCATCCTGAAGAATTCATTTTCCCTATTCCGAACCCCTAATTCATTTAATAACCATCCTGATTTCCCATATTTGCTGCCTCAAGCTGTCACTTAACTTATGCATTTAATATTTCACAGATTTGTCTTTGTCAACTGTAAGTTCATCCTTAGAGACCATATCTTAGAGTTGCAGTAGTAAAGAAAATTGTCCATAATTCTCAATACCTAGCCCTTGCATAATTTCAGAACAAGGTATCCTTTCTCAAGTATACATACCTAAATATTATAAATTATGGTAATTATAACCAATTCAGTATATCCTGCATAATGTGGGTAGGTGTCAAGCAAATAAATCAAACACACAAACACCAATATGAAGACTCTGATAGTAAATTGTTTTTAATTTAAATTTTCTGTCATGTAGGTTCAACTTAGTTCTATAATTCTGCCCTCACTCTCATTAGAACTTTCTCTAGCAATGGAAGAAATGAGAGATCTAACAAAATGCTCTGTTTTTAAATTGCAAAGTTGTTTCTAGGTATCAGAACATGTGTGTTTAGGCAAATTAATGTAAACAGGGATAAAATAAACATCTTTCCATCAAGAAAAAGAATTTTGCAGTTAGAAGGAACAGGACTTCCGCTCTTAATTTTGTCATTCTTTGATCCTGGGACAGATATAGGTTCAGTGGCTTAAAAAAACTAGGATAGGGGAGCGGGGTTAGAATGATGCCAATCAGTGGTTTTCAAGTCACATTCCTCACAGTTGCCAGGCCTGCCCAGGGGAGCTGGTGACCAATCCTGAAACCGTCTTTGCAAAATTATAACTGAGATAGTGAAAGAGATTTAACTTAACTGCTTTTATCTTGCTTTTAACCTTTAAGCTGTCCTTGTTTATTCCTGGGTGTGGGCTGAACTAACTTTTGGAGAAACTTAGTTTATAGTTTATAGTTTAAACAAAGACAGTAACAGCCCTTTCCCAAGCAGACCTCCTTCATGCCTGGGGACTAGATTGCTTCTGTAGGACTAATGTTAGCGACCAAATTAAAAATTATGGTTTAGGAGTTATGCAGTTTGAGGCTACAAAATTTTAACCCTCTCTAAACTGCTCCTAAGATCAGTGCTTGAGATATTTTGCAGACCCTGCCCTTGACGGATCAGCTGGCACCAACCAGATCAATCAACTGGCTCATCTGATCTTGCGGCCCCCACCCAGGAACTGACTCAGCGCAAAAAGACAGCTTCAACTTCCTATGATTTCATCCCTGACCAATCAACACTCCTGGCTCACTGGCTTCCCCCCACCCACCAAGTTATCCTTAAAAACTCTGATTCCTGAATGCTCAGGGAGACTGATTGGAGTAACAATAAAACTCCAGTCTCCCACACAGACGGCTCTGTGTGAATTACTCTTTCTCCATTGCAATTCCCCTGTCTTGTTGAATCGGCTCTGTCCAGGTAGTGCGCAAGGTGAACCCCTTGGGTGGTTACAAATTTGGGGGCTTGTCCGGGATTGTCCTTGTGGCTACCTGCCCCTGGTTCAGTGGCTCCCCTCCAGCAATGGATCCAGAAGCCAGCCCAAGCGGCCACCTAGTTCTGGGGACTGGGGACTGGGGACTCTGGTACTCTCTCTACTGGCAGGGTGCTGCCGACCCAATATGCATGGATTTAATTGCAATGGAGAAATAGTCCTGGGAAGACGTCCCTTAACTGTAGCCCTATGACAGGGTATCTGTCTGTAGCCCCATGGTGGGTGTCTTTCTGTAGCCCCATTGCGGGGTGTCTGGATTGGTGAGTATCCTAGGCACTGCCAATGCCTCCTTCCTTCTCCAAACTGGTTCTGTAGCCCTATGGTGGGGTGTTTGTAGCCTCACTGCAGGGTGTCTCTTTGTAGCTCCACTATGGGGTGTCTGTCTATAGCCCCATTGTGGGGTGTCTGTTCAGCTCCTGGGGGATCTTGGTTGGCTCTTTCTAAGTAGTAGGAAGAGTCCTGGTTTGGGAGACTTCTCAACCAGGAAGATTTTGAGGAGGTTTCTCAGACGGAGAATAGGACAATCATTTGGAAGGGATACTCTTGGAGTTCTTGGTTAGGGATCTGATTTGGAAGGCCTTCTGTCTGTCTCGTCTTTGTGTGTGTTTGTATATGTGGAAGGGATCTCAGAAGGGGTTGCTGATGGAAATCCAGCATGGCTAACTCAGAGAACCCTCCTTATTTGTCTGGTCACATTCAATGAGTCCTAAAGAAGGCTCAACAGGCCTGTCTCTCTGGGTAACTATCTGCTCTTTGCCTTGCCCAGAGACCCCATTGTGAATTACCGTTTGGAGGTCGTCCCTTCCCACCTGGAATGAATCAAAGACAACAGGGACCAACGGGAAAAAGTTTGAGCTTTGCCAGGTTAATACTTGGTGCCGAACAAGGTGACTAATGTTTGTTTTGTTATGTGTGTTTTGCTGGAATGGAAAATGTTAATTTGATCTCCCCTGCAGCCCACTGGGCAGCATCTTGCAAATTAAGAATCTTGCATATGGTTCCATAAAACAGGAAAGGGTGATTGTCTCTGGTAAAGTGGCTTGAAGGGCCTGGTGTCGTGGCTTACGCCTGTAATCCCAGCTCTTTGGGGGACTGAGGCTGGCGGATCACTTGAGGTCAGTAGTTCGAAACCAGCCTGGCCAACATGGTGAAACCCTGTCTCTACTAAAAATACAAATATTATCCAGGCGTGGTGGTGGACACCTGTAATCCCAGCTACTCAGGAGGCTGAGGCAGGAGAATCGCTTGAACCCAGGAGGCGGAGGTTGCAGTGCGCTGAGATTGTGCCACCACACTCCAACCTGGGTGACAGAAGTTTTGAGAAGACTCCTTCTCAAAAAAAAAAAAAAAAAAAAAAAAAAACGCGTGGCTTGAACCCCACAGCTATGGTGCGGTGAGCAGGGTCATCAGAAGCCACTCCATTCTTCAGGAAGCTGCAGAGAAAGGGAGCCCGGAAACCTGGTATGCTGGCAAAAAAGGGTAAGAAATTCCTACCAGCCAAGTTTCTGGACCCCCCCCCTCTCTCTCTGTCTGGGTAAACAGTAAATGTCACTACTTGTCTCTCTGCAAGGGTTTGATGAACAGAAAAAGGATTTGTGAGACTCGTCTTAGGCGGTAGCAAATCTGGTGTACTTTGTGCTAAGAATTTGCTTTTCTGTGTTCTATAATGGAGAAAGGAGTATCACAGGATAGAATGTGGGTTTAAGACCCCCATAAGCTTGCAGCAGGCTGGTCAGTTACAAACTTTGCTACAGGTCTCTGAAACCAATAAATACTGTATGAAATTCCTCTGTCTTGTTCTGTGTCCTTAAGAGCTTAACCTTGTGACTATGTGGGGATACTTTCTCTTGGTTTCCGCCATCCAGAGGACAGGAATTTTGAGGTCCATGTCATAGCCCTAAAAATTATCTTAAGCAGTTAAAAGCCATTGCAAGCTTGAAACTGGCTTCTCTAGGCTCCTTCTGGGAGGAGCAATAGAAACTGCTCACTGCTCTCCGACTCAGTAGCTAAGGCTTTGCTTTTTGACAGTAGCAGCCTGGGTTCTATTCTTGGCTTCCGGAATGATTCCTTTCCGGTTTTTTACTTATGTAACTTTGCCATTTATTGAGGTTTTCCCCCCTATTAGCTTCTGATTCGCAGTCTTAAATTTTCCTTTCTCTAAACTACCCTGGGGGACATTCTAAATCTTGTAAAAGAAAAAAAAGAGAGAGAAAAAAAAGAAACTGCTCACCATCTCTTTAAGACACCTATGTGTCCATGGTTAAGTTATAACCTTAATTATGTAAATCATTAAAGTAATTATGCAAATTAGTAAAGTAAAACTGATTAATTTCATGTGGGACGTTACCTGTGGTAAAATTCAAAAGCCAAAAATATTGGCTGCTTGGCGTGGCTAAAGTTGGGTAATAAAAAAATTTTTAAGGATTTTTTTTTAAACACTATGATTAAAAGCCAGCTTAATTAAAAGTGGATAAACAAACTATAGATATATTTAAAAGGCCTTTAGGTTTTTCTCTTCTTGGAACTTGTTTTTCTAGAAAAAAGTTTTTTCTTCTCAGTCAATTGAATTATTTTTCTCCATTTTTTTTTTTTTCATCTTGCCACTCTTAACACACATGTAAGAGGTCCTAAGATAACTTCTGGTAGCCTGGAACTCATTGGGAAAAACAGAAGGCACCGCAGGCCCCATTTTGGGAAAAAAAACAAAAACCTCTGTTTTCCTCATGAAACCCCAGGAATTAAAAGCGGATAAATCCCTCTCAAAATCAAAGGCACTGTTCTGTTTTGCACTGTGATATCTGACGGTTTTGAGTTTTGGGGGTATCAGAAATTACTTCGCATTATGAAAGAACTTTGGTGTGTAATAACTAGGTAGGAAATATACTTCAAGGGATTGCTAATAATAGTTATGGAGGGATACTTGACTCTTTGCACACCTGGATCGGAGAAGCATGCTCTCAGCCACCTGGAAGACAAGGAAACATCCTCGCCCGCGACTGGGAGATGAGACTCCGGTGAAGGGGCTGATTACAAAATGGGCTGATGGGCTTTGAGTTGCCATGCAATGAAATGCAGAGTAGCTGCACCGCACTGTCTTCTCCTGGAGTTATTTCCCTCCTTTTGGGGATCCAGGATCCAGTATAAAATGGCACGCCTAATTTTGGGGATCTGTCTTTGCCTTCAGCTGCTTACTTGCTGCTTCTTTGGCCCTAGAAATGCATGCTTTCCTAGCCCTGTTGCTCCAAGCGCTCCACCCTTAAGCCAGTAATCCAATTACAAAACTGGCAAATGAAAAATCTTCTAAGTGCCGAATCTTCTGTCTGCCTGTATGTATATGTGTTGTGTGTGTGGGTGATGTTTATATATAAAAAAGCTCTGATTAATTGGCTTAAAAAAAGCACTTAAGTCAAATATTTTGTCAGAAAAATAAAAACTTTAATGCCGTTTTGTTCACATGACCTCGGTCATCTTTTGGAAATAAGGACAGTTTTAAAAATTATTAGTAAAATAAAATGTCTTGAAAATGTAAACATTTGGTCTAAATGAAGGTCAGATATCCGATTTGCTAAATGCTTTAAGGTCAAAGTGTTTCTTTAACTTTTGAAAATTGTTTGATTTACCTACTTTGGAGCATTAGATTATAAATAAGGCCTGGGGACATACGAAGAGCTATGCCCGCTAGCTATGCTGAAAACAGTCAAACCTTATCTTCATTTCTGTCTGACGTCCTAGGATCCACCCCGGTATATAGTTAAAAATCACTTACTTATCAAGTTTTTCACTAAAAATAAAAGTTGCTAAAAGTTAACATTATAACATACAATTAAGACAACTGGAGAAACAGTTTTACATGCAAGGTGTGTAAAACGTGTTTTTGTTAAAAGATTATAAAAAGGCACAGGAATATGGCTTTTGTTAGAGGGAATATAATTTTGACTAGTTCAGAGGGTCTTAAAGATTGTCTTAACCTAAAAGAGTAATGAAACAAAACTAGAAGTTCAAGCAAAGTGAAAGGGTTTGTAATGCGTTTATCTTATTAAAAAATTCTGTGGGTCTAAACAAGTTGGCTAAGATTTAAAAAAAATTATTTAGCTTTTTTCCATAGGTTAAAACACTAAAATGATACTGTTATGGGGCCAGAATCTGGGCCCATGTGTCCAAATAACAGGGTTTTCTTAAAAAATTAATCTACTATTTGATGGAAAATTGTAAAGGGTTCTAAAAAGTTTATAAAAATCTTACCTTATGGTCAAATTAATTAAAACTGAACAGATATAAAATTGTATTTAAAAAACTAGCCTTAACATTAAAAATTCACTAATACAAACATGAAATTTACTTTTCTCTTTCAAAGACGATTTTTATGTAATGTTAAAAAATAATAAAAGGGTTTTATTTTCTCCTTTGGGTAAATGGCAAGGAAAAAAGGGAGAAAAGAAAAGAGACAAATTTAGTTGGCCTCATGCTATCTCTATTGGGTCCTGTTTGGAAAGCTGAGTCTCCTCTATCAGAGAAAAGGTTTTCTCTTTTTTTTTTTTTTGAGACGGAGTCTCTCTCTGTCACCCAGGCTGGAGGGCAGTGAGTGGATCTCGGCTCACTGCAAGCTCCGCCTCCCGGGTTCACCCGCCATTCTCCTGCCTCAGCCTCCCGAGTAGCTGGGACTACAGGTGCCCGCCACCACGCCCGCTAATTTTTTTTTGTATTTTTAGTAGAGACGGGGTTTCACCGGGTTAGCCAGGATAGTCTCGATCTCCTGACCTCGTGTTCCGCCCGCCTCGGCCTCCCAAAGTGCTGGGATTACAGGCTTGAGCCACCGCGCCCAGCCGGTTTTCTGTTTTAAAAATTTTTTTGGAGTTACCATTTTGGCCAAATGAATAACTTTGGTTATGGTGACCTGGAATTCTATTTCGTGATATCCAGTGTTTTAAACCTTTAATATTTAACAAACTTTCCAAAATCAAATTTTAAATCATGTCTCTTTCAAACCTAATATTTTAGATATTAGGTCCTCTAAAGTCTAAAAATGGCATTTGGCTTATTTGGTACAAAAATCAAACAGAAAGCATTGTCAAATATAAAACGGCGTTTAGCGTTCTTTGGTCTATACTTGTGTAAATGTGTTATTGGTATATATTCCAAAATTATGTAAAACTGCTATAATTCTAATATGACTTACTATATGTTATCAGTAATAATTACAATTATTATGTTAAATGACTATGTGCCACAGAGGTAAATTTCCTCATCAATTGTGACTTTAACTGTGGCTGCTCTAAAATGTTTCTGTCATCCACAGACAGTTATTGTCTCACTTTGGTCCTCTTTAAAAAATAATTGTATAATCAGCTATAAAATTTAACAGGTGCTCTTAAATGTGGGTTTCTGATAAATAACTTTGGAAAATTATAACATTAGAATAAAAAACCTGTTCAAATAAAAGAGTGAATGGTGTTTGGTTTTCTTTGGACTGTATTTGTATAAATATGTTATTATATATATTCCAAAATTATAGAAAAATTCTGTAATGTTAATATAATTTAGTGTACATTATCAATAATTATAATTATGTAAAATTGTTGCATGCCACAGAAGTAACCAAAATTCCTAGTCCATTATAGCTTTAATAATAGCTACAGACTTGTCATCCACAGATATTTTGTCTTGCTTTGGTCCTTTTCAAAAGGCAGTTTATAATCAAATATAAGGCTCTATGTGCAGCTCTCAAATAACTTTAAAAATTGTGCTACTGGAATTAAAAAAAAAACTTCTTGGACTCTCATAAAAAGCTAATGCATTAAACATTGCTAAACCTTTTGTTTTCTAAGTCAAAAAAACTTATTTCTTTAAAGCTATTTGCAACTTTTAACAAGTAAAATATGCTCCTGTAAACAAAACTTAAAGCATATTTTGTTCCTCTCTACCTTATTTCTCCAGAATTTAAAAACTATTTGTAAGTATTCCCAATTTATGGCAGTATAGTTAATTGCATATTACAATAAAAATCTGTTTTCTTGGCCGGACGCAGTGGCTCACGCCTGTAATTCCAGCACTTTGGAAGGCTGTGGAGGGCAGATCACGAGGTCAGGAGATTGAGACCATCCTAGCTAATATGGTGAAATCCCGTCTGCACTAAAAATACAAAAAATCAGCTGGGCATGGTGGCAGGCACCTGGAGTCCCAGCTACTTGGGAGGCTGAGGCGGGAGAATGGCGTGAACCCGGGAGGTGGAGCTTGCAGTGAGTCGAGATCGTGCCACTGCACTCCAGCCTGGGCAACAGAGCGAGAGTCCGTCTCAAAAAAAAAAAAAACTTGGTTATTTTATTAAGGCTTTGACTGAAATGGCATGGTTCCTTTAAAGAATCAAAGTTGACTTACAGAGCCAATTAAAGCCCGTTACGGCATCTGGCCTCATACCTTGTCCACACAGAGTCCCTGTACAAGGTTCCTGACCTGTGGTAAATAAAAAATATCACTTTCTAACAGGCCTAGGAACCCCAGATTATCTTAGGACCTCCAGAGAAAAGGAATTTGCCCAACTCGTAGATATTTAAGGATACAAACCATGGCTAGGCTCGACTTTCAAAAAGTCTTATCTAAAATTCTTCATAGAATAAAGTTCTATCAAAGCCAATTTAAAAAGCCTAAGTAAAAAATAATCATTCTTGCTACACTTCATGCAAATAATCAGGCCAAGTACAGAAAGACTAAAGTTTATTTTGTAAACAAATCAGTTCTATCATGATTTGTTTTTAATAAAAATGGGGACTAAAGAAAAAAATTATGCTTCAAAAGAAAAACTATAGTACACTGTTGTTAGCTGTTCTTAAGGCTTTTTCTGCAGTTTAAACTAAATTCTAAATTATGTGCAGGTTAAAATCCCCAAACTAATGTTTTCAAATCTTTGCTTTTAAAATCGAAATTTGTACTCCTCATCCTAGGACTTGTTATTTACCTTATAGTAGGCTGTTCACTTAAACACTGTAGTAACACTATAAATAAAAATACTAATGTTTGCCCTGCAAGCCTTGGAAGCTCAACCAGGGCTGCATGAGCACGCTCACACAATTACAAAGCGGTTACACGCTTCTCACCTTGGGGTTCACTCCCATTCCCACTACGTCCCCTGTAAGCAGGAAGAAGTCAAAGCGATCAATGGCCATTTCCTGTCTTCATAGCCTATACCTTAAAATTAAGATGTTATAAAACCCAAAGGAAGGGATTGAAACCGCCTTTGCAAAATTATAACTGAGACAGTGAAAGAGATCTAACTTAACTGACTTCATCTTGCTTGTAACCTCCAAGCTGTCCTTGTTCATTCCTGGGCATAGGCTGAACTAACTTTGGGAGAAACTTAGTTTATAGTTTATGGTTTAAACAAAGACAGTAACAGCCCTGTCCCAAAGCAGACCTCTCCTTCTTGCCTGGGGACTAGATTGCTTTTGTAGGACTAACATCCGCCACAAAATTAAAAATTATGGTTTAGGAGTCATGCAGATAGAGGTGACCAAGATTTTAACCTTCCCTGAACTGCTCCTAAGATCAGTGCTTGAGATATTTTGCCTGCCCTTGATGGATCAGCTGGCACCAACCAGATCAATCAACTGGCTCATCTGATCTTGCGGCCCCCACCCAGGAACTGACTCAGCGCAAAAAGACAGCTTCAACTTCCTATGATTTTAACCCTAACTCCTGGCTCACTGGCGTCGCCCCTCCCACCAAGTTATCCTTAAAAACTCTGCTCCCTGAATGCTCGGGGAGACTGACTTGAGTAATAATAAAACTCTGGTCTCCCGCACAGCCGGCTCTGTGTGAATTACTCTTTCTCCATTGCAATTCCCCTGTCTTGATGAATCGGCTCTGTCTAGGCAGCAGGCAAGGTAAAGCCCTTGGGTGGTTACAGTCCTTGCCCCAACCATTCATTTAGACAAGGTACTTTGAACTCTGTTTGGGGAGGTTTGGATTTCACATGAGATTTTGCTTCAAAAAGGGTGCCACGAGAAAAAAGAACACAGTCCTTTCGCCCGTGACTCATCATGTCTCTACAAGTGCTCTCACTTCACCCAGCAGAAAACTCAGGCTGGAAAGGTAAAAGGGCTCACCGCCCTCAGGCCCAAAACAAAACTAGCTAATGGCATCACAGGGTTCTGAACTCCACATTCCTCTTGCAGTCCTTCACCTCTATTCTAGGTACCCCGGGTCATGTCCACACTGTGGGAGGAGATGACCTGCCCTCCTGGCCCTCCTTATGGGCTAGGCTGAGAATCTACACTGGGGCTTCTGATGGTTAATTTTAAGTGTCGACTTGGCTTGACTGTGGTGCCCAGTTTATTTTTGTAAGACATCAGTCTAGACATTGTTGTGAATAGTTTTTAGATGTTGATTAACATTTAAATCAGTAGATTCTGAATAAAGCAGATTAGCCTGCATAATGTGGGTAGGCATCATCCAATCAGTTGGTGGCCTTAAGAGAAAAAGACTAAAGTCCCCCAAGAAAAAAGGAATTCTGCTTTTAGACTGCCCTCAATCTCAAGACCGCAACATCAGCTTTCTTGGATCCCTGGATCTGCAGCTGCCAGTCTGCCCCACAATGGTGTCACCAGTTAAAATAAGAGAGGAGGCGGGGAGGAGGAGGAAGGGGGAGAGGGGAGACACACATCCTCTAGGTTTTATTTCTCTAATACAGGGCTCCTCATTCGGCTGGACTCCTGGTGACTCTCTCCTCGCTGTCTTCTGCCACCACTGATGCTCTTGCAAATCCTGTCCTCTACCTTCCTGATGTCAGACTAGAAGCTTCTTGGTTTCTTTTCTTTCTTTCTTTTTTTTTTTTTTTTTTGAGATGGAATTTCGCTCTTGTTGCCCAGGCTGGAGTGCAATGGCGCGATCTCGGCTTACAGCAACCTCCACCTCCCGGGTTCAAGCCATTCTCCTGCCTCAGCCTCCGGAGTAGCTGAAATTACAGGCAGGAGCCACTGCGCCCGGCCTTGGTTTCTTAAATGCTCTCTCTGCTTGATCAGTAGGTCTACCATGAAGTTGAGGCCTCAGGCCCTTTACCTAATTTTGCATTCTTTTGCTTTAAAGAAGACCTTTACATTTCATAAACATCATGCCCTGCAAGCCCTGGACCTGCCCCGGGGCTTGGTGGATTGGTCTGGGCCCCTATGTTGGGTCTGGGCTCTGGGTGTGCTGGCCTCTGCTGGCACCGCCAGCCCCCTTCCCAACCCAAGGCCTGACCATGGCTGCACTGCTTTCATTCTGCTGTACAGGGAGGACAACACAGGAGGTAAAACACCACCACTCCCCTGAATCTCAGTTCAAAAGAACTTTGGTTAACATTTACTAGCCAAAATCTGAACTAGAAGTAACCATAATAAAAATGCCCTCTCGGTAGTGCAGGGCTAAATGTTTAACAACTGGCTCTCCGGGAGGAAAAATGTATGCACGTGGACCCATTCATAACCTCATTATAACTATGTTATAAACCGTACTGATAGAAAGGCTATGTAGATGTTGGTGTGGATGTGGTGAAAAGGGAACACTTTGATACTGTGGGTGGGAATGTAAACTAGTACAACAACTATGAAAAACAGCATGGAGATTCCTTAAAGAACTAAAAGTAGAACTACCATTTGATCCAGTAATCTCACTGCTGAGTATCTACCCAAAGGAAAAGAAGTCTTTATATGAAAAAGACACATGCACAAACTTGTTTATAGCAGCACAATTTGCAATTGCAAAGATATGGAACCAACCTAAGTGCTCATAACCAATGAGTGAATAAAGATAATGTGGGATGTGGAATACTACTCAGCCATAAAGATGAATGAAATAATGTTTTTTGCAGCAACTTGGATGGAGCTGGAGGTCATTATTCCAAGTGAAGTAACTCAGGAATGGAAACCCAAATATCATATGTTCTCACTTATAAGTGGGGGCTAAGCTATGAGGATGCAAAGGCATAAGAATGATATAATGGACTTTGGGGACTCAGGGAGGTGGGGGAAGGTGGGAGGGAGTGAGTGAGGGATAAAAGACTACCTAATGGGTACAGTGTGCACTGCTCAGGTGACAGGTGCACCAAAATCTCAGAAATCACCACTTAAGAATTTATCTATGTAACCAAAAAACACTAGTACCTCCAAAACTGAAATAAAAATTAATTATTTTAAATATATATATGAAACTCTATGTGCCAGTCACTGTTCTAGGGGATAGTAATAGAGCAATGAAAAAAGAGACAAACATTTGTTTTCTGGTAATGTCTACGTTATAGTTAGTTTTACTATCTCTTTTGTGATCCTATTCTATAGAAATGATTACTCCAATGAATTTCTACAAAATTTTTCAGTATGTTTATCTTCTCCAAGAGAAATTATTATATTGAGTATAATTCTCCTATTTCCTCCTTTTTAAAACTGTTTGATGATATAATCTCGTACAAATTTCTATTATGGGTCGTTTTATTACTCATCTTTAAATAAAATTAATTTTTTCTAGACCGAAAATATAAGGCTATGTAGCACACAATTTACAAAATAAATAAACTCTATAATATCCCTCATTATCAACTTCATATATCCAATTGATCCTCACAGAATGTTTTTTGTTGATTTTGGCCAAGCTCTTATATGGGAAGCCATCCTACAGTTGCAATAATGAGTAATAAGTTCTGACATGAATGTTGGTTGATAGGTTTGTTTGCACTGATGGGCAAAATGAAAATGGAGGAATGTGTCCCAGTGAGCATTCCATTCAGAGCAACACTCACTGGGTGCCCGCCAGGTACCAGGCATTATGCCGGGCCTGGGGCAGATGAGATGAGTAAGGCATGGGCCTGCCTTCACATTATATGGAAATAAGAAGATTTAAAACAGCCATTATCCTGGTAATAATCTAAGATTACAATTAAATACTGCAATTTTGGGCAGGATTTTGAAATGCTTAGCCAAAATCAGTTCTACAATTTACATAATCATAACTGATTATTATGGCTTCAGTGTAATTTCACATGTGGACTGGACTTTATTCACATAAACAGGATTAAAATATTTTTCTAAAACATCAGAACCAAAATTAATCAAGTAATTTTTTAGAACCTAAAGAACCTCTATCATCTCTAAAATTGACAAAAAAAAAAAAAAAACTTTTAAGACTATCATTTTTAAATCCTCAAAAGTTTAAATGTCCTGGGATAACTGAAAAATATATCCTGGTTTTCTTATATAGACCTCTTCAGCCAGAAAGGATTTACAGTAAAGAGAAAAAGGTTTATGTTTTATAAACAGAACACTATTTAGTGTGCTTCAGTCATGATTGTAGTTTACAACTTTAAATAAGGCTAATTCTAAATGAAAGTAGGTCAAGTTCAGAGGTTAACTTGGATTAACTTGGATTTGTGTTCCACAATTTTATAGGTCCCAGAATAACAGATTAAGACATCAAACAGTAGAAACAGCAAAGAAGGCTGATTACGCAAAATGCCTGGGGCTCAGAACCCTGAATGTGCTTTTTCTCTCTGTGTTTGGGAACCACGGCCTGGTCCCGCAATTCCTCAACTCCACCCCAAGCCATTTGCACCTTTGCTCTCTTCTTTTCAGTCGGTGATTCTTAGCTTTTGCAGGAATTCCCCTGTCTGCAAGGTTTGCCTCTCACTGGTGGTTCTGCTTATTAAGTGCACAAACCTCAACAAGGACCACAAAGACAAAAAGCAAAACCACAAGCCAGTTGTGGCTCAGGAGGCAGGTACTTGGGCAGGATGGCATATCTCCAAGATGCGAGGGGAAGGAAGGAGCTGGTTGGCCCCAGAGGGCAATGCCGGCTGCTTCCCTTTGTGCTCCTCAGCATATAGGAAATGAGAATTGACATGCCCTATCACTGAGAAAAAAGCCATCCGCACCTGCCGCCTTTGTGCTGCGCACACACCATGCTCTTCCGAGGTAAATCTTGACAAGTAAAACGTCCCTGCACATGGGCAGTGCTTGTGTGCACAAGGTGGTAAGTTACCGTATTGCCAAAAATAATTTCTCCTCCAGTATCAATGTGTTTCCTGTCCACAACACCTCCAATGATAGTTCAAAATCTAAGGTTAATTATTACTGCACAGAAATCTCAAACACAAAAAATAAATATTGTCCTTTCTGCAGCGAAACCTCTAATATGTTTGTTTGATAGTTCTGTTTGGAGTTTACGCAAAGCCTAAATACCAGGGGGAAAAAATCGTCCCCATATATGGTAAAAACATACTTTAAGAAAATAAAAAAAGAAACACCATAAGAAAAGGTGCTGAAGAATCCCAACTGCACATGACATTTTTAAATGTCTTCTCAACTGATTTCTAGAATAAATCTTTTTTACTAACTTTATTCTTATAAACACATAATACAGATCATAAGTATCTCAGTTGCCATATGCATTGTATAAACTGGGAAATCCTGAAATAACTGTTTTAATGACAATATTCAAAAACAGTCTTATAGTACAAAATATTTGTAAGTGCCCAATTCATTTTTATTGGATATTTAAAAATGTTCTAAAATGAGTATAATACTAGCAAAATAAGTGGTATGAAAAACATTAATAAAATGAAATGCTTTACTTAGAGGTGGAGATGAAGTAGGCAGAAAGTAAAAATGACCCAAGGAAATCATTACTGATGAGTTTATTCAGCATTTTCTATGTGTGCTATATTCCTTTATGCAAACCTTCTGGAAGGCTTCCTATGAGGTTGTCTGTAATGAAACAATAACAGTGTCCAATCATACTATATATCTTAGCAACACAAAGGAATAGTTCATCTGCGTGTATACATTATAAGACAATTAAAGTTTATACTATTAGCGGAAGAGAATGTTCAATTCTAGAAGATAAATACACCTAAATTACATTTAAATTGGTATTCATCGAACTCTTGGATTAAGACCAATTAAAGTTATTCTTGAATAATATTGGGGTATAGATAAGAATAAAATCTATGTCTTAATTGATAAGGTTAGAAGAACAATATTTATAATATTTTAAAAACATGATTGCCAACCTATGAAAACTTATTTGATTTACATAAATATAAATGCAAATACTAATATTTCCCTAGTAGTTTTATTGCTAACATGCCTGTGAATAGATCTGCCATTTTCATCTTTAATAAAAGCTAACACTGAATACATAATAGTTTACTAAGTGCTTGCTATGTACCAACCACTAAGCTAAGTGCTCTACATACATTTTCTGACTTAATCCTCAGAATAGTTCTAGGCAGGAGGAAACACTGTTATGTTAGATTTATCTATAAGGAAACAGTGGCAGGGAAAGCTGAAGCAATCTGGCTGAGGTCACACAGGTCAAAAGTGATGGAGTCAGGACCATGTGAATTGGGAGTCTGAGATTTATTTCATCAATGGTACTGTTTGGCCCTTGTTTAGGGGGTTATTCTCTAATAAATGCCATGCAAATGTGCAGTGGATTTATGTTCATCTTTTCCAAGCCTACTTAAAGTTATTGCAATAGTGACTGCTCCTGCATGTGGTAGAAACTGAACTATTTAGAGGAGACCACTTTCACTAGGCAACCACCTAGTTTCATCAGCTGTTAGATTCAAGCTCCAATTCCTACCACATGTGACTGGGATTAACTTAACCACTGACAACATAACTTTCTAAGTCAGGTGGTACAGCCTGGATTAACTCCTCAGGTCAGTCTTATGGGGTGAACTGCATCCCCCTAAAGTTAATATGTTGAAGTCCTGACCCTCAGAATGTGACTGTATTTGGAGACAGGGCCTTTAAAGAGGTGATTACAGTAAAATAAGGTCACAGGATGGGTCCCAATACAATATGACTGGTGTCCTTATAAGAAGAGGAGATTAGGACACAGGCAAGATACAGACAGAGGGGTGACCACGTGAGGACACAGTAAGAAGGTGGCCATTTGCAAGCTGGGGCACGTGGCCTCAGAAGTCCACAACTTGATCTTGGACTTCAAGCCTTCAGAACTGTGAGAAAATAAAATTCTGTTGTTGAAGCCACTCAGTCTGTGGTATTTTATTAGGGCAGGCATAGCAAACTAATACAGTCAGGAGTTAAATCCATGCTTAACCCTTGCTGGTTTATCCGGTTCCTGAGTGATACGGTTTGGATCTGTGTCCCCAGTGAATCTCATGTCAAATTGTAATCCCCAGTGTTGGAGGTGGAGCCCGGTGGGAGATGATTGGGTCATGGGGTTGGAGTCATCATGAATGGTGTAGCAGCATCCCCCCTTGTACAGTGAGTGAGTTCTCACAAGATCTGGTTGTTTAAAAGTGTATGGCACCTCCCCGTACGCGCTCTCTTGCTCCTGTTCCTGCCATGTAAGATGCCTGCTCCTGCTTTGCCTTCCACCATGAGTAAAATCTCCCTCAGGCCTCTCTAGAAGCAGATGGTGCTATGCTTCTTGCATAGCCTGCAGAACTGTGAGCCAATTAAACCTCTTTTCTTTATAAATTACCTCTTTATAAAAAAAACCTTTCTTTATTAAAAACACCTATTTTCTTTATAAATTAGTTCTTGGAAGTAACTAACTAGTTTTTGATTTTACAGGCTCACAGGTGAAAGGGACTAGCCTTGTCTGAGATGAGACTTTGGACCTTTCAGTTAATGCTGGAATGAGTTAAGACTTTGGGGAACTGTTGGGAAGACATGATTGTATTTTGAAATGTGAGAAGGACATGAGATTTGGGGAGGGGTCAGGGGCCAAATGATATGGTTTGGATATGCGTACCCACCCAAATCTCATGTTGAATTGTAATCCCCAGTGCTGGAGGTGGGGCCTGGTGGGAGGTGACTGAATACGGCAGTGGACTTCTCATGAATGGTTTGGCTCCATGCCCCCTTGGAAATGTATAGTGAGTTCTCAAAACATCTGGTTGTTTAAAAGTGTGTGGCACCTCCGCCCTTGCTCTCTGTTCCTCCTGCTCTGGCCATATTCAGTGCTGGATCACCACTTTGCCTTCCACCAAGAGTAAAAGCTCTCTGAGGCCTCCCTGGAAGCAGACGTTGCCATGCTTCCTGTACAGCCTGTAGAACCAAGAGCCTGTTAAACCTATTTTCTTTATAAATTACCCAGTCTCTGGTATTTCTTTATAACAATGTGAGAATGGACTAGTACACTGAGTTATGTGCCTTTGATCAATGAAAAGAGGAAAATGAACTGATTATCACTGAAGCAATGTAGCAAAGCTTTTCAATCCAAAGCTTCAAAGCTGGAGGATAAGGTGGGATACAGTAAAAGGGGTGACTATGGATAAAGAGATTAGGAACTCCTGAAGAGAGAATGGGAAAGAAATCCAAAAATGTTAAAAATGTGAAGGAGCTTCATTAAATAAACAGGGTTAGGTAATTCTCCAGGTCAAATATATCTGACAGGTCCCAGTTTCTGGAATGAATTCTAAACTCATTAGTACCACAGGGAAGTTCCTCAACAGCTCAGCCCAACCTTATGCTTCATTTCTCCCATCCCATTGCCGCCCAAAGTGGACCACTCACCAATCCAAACCTCGCACTTTTGTCACTCTGAGATTTTGCTAATGCTGTTTCATGCATGCATTCATTCAATAAATATTTATAGCAAGCTGCTGAATATACAAAAAGCTTATAAATGGACAGTATCCCTGTGGAGTTCACAGTCCAGTTCCCTTAGCTTCCAGTATACAGTCCACACTGTGGCTCTGCCTAGTAAAATCCTACCTATCCTTCACATTCAGTTACGGCTGAAAGATACTCCAATACCTCAGTCAAAATGAATAGTTCTCTCCTTGGTGCTCCCACAGGTTTGTATTTCATTTTGGCATTCATATGATGCTGAAATGTTATGTTTACTTACATATATATCTATGAATGGATGGATCTGTGGATGTGTGTGTGTTTATCTTTCTCCAGACTGTAATTTCCATTAGGGCACATTCATAGTATTGTCACCTTTGAATTCCCCGCATCACCCCAACAGTGCTTTGCACATTCTTGGTGCTCAATTAATATTTGCTGAATGTAAGTAATAATATTAATTAATAATCACGTAATAGGCTAAAATGCACAATTAAACACAAATATGAAACTCACAAAACCTAAGCCTATAAAACTCCAGTTTTAAAGTGGTTTCCCTGCAAAACACTGCTCCCATTCCCTCTGCACATATCCATGCTTTTTAGTTGAATTGCAACAAGCCCAGTTCATCATGTCCTAGCTCTGCCCTAGGAATTCATTTCTAGCAGGCTATTTGAAGAGTGTGGTTGTAGGTGACACTGATGAAGTGTCAAAAGGCAGCCAGGTGTGGTCTCTGTGGTATATCCAAAGATAATGGCCAACAGGCTGGGCCTATACCTGCTGCTTGTTGAAATTGAAGATTAGTTTGGAGATTGATGTCACCACCATGAAACCATCTAGCTTTCCAGGAGGCATGCTGGCTTTCTTGGTTGTGCTTTTCTTCTTGTACGTGAACACATCAACAGACTGATCCTGCTAAAGAAGCAGAACTGGTCAAGAACATTCAGGGACATTGGCAGTAACCAGTGCCTCCCTAATGCTGACTGGCAAAGGCTTCTCTCTTCATCAGACTTTGTGACATAGGTGTTGATTTCGCTCACATAGTAACCAACCCCCATAGCTCACACCTTGATTAAATTCTGAACCACTCACTTTAGAAGGCCGATGACTGTGATTTAAATTCGGCCTTTCCATTGCCAGTAACAACAATGCCAAGTCACAAGCGGGAAAAGTTACAGTCATTACCCTTGTAACCTCTAGCTACTAACACTTCGGATATCAATTAATAGAGTTTACTGAAAGATTAAACACCATTTCCACAGATTCCAATCTATTCTTATTTCTCCATGTATTAGTGTTCTATGGACTTTTCAAAATGTATTCCCACTCCAGGCTGGCCAAATTGATGACACACTTGCCTCCAACACACGTCTTCAGGGGTCAGCCATACCATCACCACCTCCATGAAAATCTTCCTCCCTGCCATACTAGATGCCCATTCCATGAACCACATAGACAGGTCCCCACAGCTACTCCTCCTACTTACCACAGTCAATGTAAACCCTACTGATTGAGCAGTTATTGCCACAATAAGTTCTTGAGGGCACAGGCGGCTAAGTCTTCCTCTTTTTTTTTAAATAAAAATCTCTAAGACATACCCACTCCCTATACCATATCTATTTTTCACCAACAGAGAAACAGACAGTTGCCAAATCTTATAAAGCAATGTTTCTTGGAGAAATTGCACAGTGATGAGACCCACGGGCTCTGAGGTCAGTACATGTGGCTTTCAAATGAAATTTTCTAATTATGTGACTTTGTGTAAGTTACTTAAGCTCTTTAAGCCTCATTTTCCCTGTGTATAAAACAGGAATGGGAAAAACAGTCTCTACCTTAAGGGTTTGCTGTGAGGATTGAAGGAAATAATGTGGTAAAGCATTCTTCACAAATGATAATAAATATAAACTCACTACTGTTTTTGTGATTTGACATATTTCAAGGCTTTTTCCTTATGTTATTAATATATCTGACGAGACCACCAACAGCATGAAGCTTCTCCCAACTTGTGTGAGTCTTATTTTAAAAAGCGAATCTAGGTGCGAATGGAAAACAATATTTTACTTTTCTAAACTCCACAGGGAGAAGGAGGTAGGTGGTTCAAGCAAGCAGAGAAGTCCGCTCCAGATGTGAAAAGGAATGGCAGACATAACTGTGACTAATTAACATATAGCTGAATGAAGAAGAAGTCAAATTATTACAATCAATGAAATCAAAGCACGATGAAAAGGTTTTCAGAATAAAGCTTCGGTTCACTATTATAGGCGCTCTTGCTTTTACAATTTGCCTGCTTTCAAAAAAAAAAAACAACAAAAACAAAAACAAAAACAAAAAAACCCATTACTCTTCCCCTTTCCCCCCAAACCACTGTTACTATAATTTATCATGCTCATCCAAAACCAGCTATGTTGGGGATGATCAAGAATATCACACTTGCTGTCGGAGAGCAGGTCAAGTGGGTCATGCCACAGAGAACACATAAAGTGGGTCATGCCACAGTGTTTGGAGAAGTGATCAGAAGAAGAGCGGAAGAGTCAATTCACCACCATTTTCAAGGTAGGTATATCAACATGAAGGATCACATTAAGAGAGAGAGAAATACACTAGCCCAAACTGCTATGCCAAAAAGTGGCAGTAAAATCCCTGACTTAAAATGACACTGCAATAAAACTGAAAAGTTAATGTCACCAACCTAACTCTGACTCTCTACCAACTCTCTGTAATGAAGTAGGTCTCAAAGAGTAAATTCCTTGCATACCCCTGGCTCAACTCTAATCTATAATGGGTTCAATATGAATATCCTGATTTTGTTTTCCTACTGTACAAGCCTAAGGAAGCCAGAGATACACTGAGTTTGTGTGATCCCGGGCAGCAACTATCCCATCCTTTCTTCAGATGCCTATAAATGACAGTGACTACAGGACCAGCTGTGCAGGTAATTAACAGATTAGCAAATTATCAGTTTCCACTTTCACATTTCACGTTTTGCCCCTTAACCTGATCCTGAAGGAAGCAAGTCCTAAGAATTGCTCCATGGATTTTCATGTAAAATCTTTTCTCTTCATAAAGCTCATCTTTAGTTTTATTACTTTCTGGCCATGAAAATACTGCTGCTACTTAACACAGTACTATTTTTGTCAATCAAGAACTTCCCAGAGGAGTGCATCTTAATATAGCAGTGTTCCATTCTGTATTGATACATTGTTGTTTAAAGTGGCTATATCTTTATTGCATGATTGATGGTTACCTTGGAAAGTGTTGGGTGCATTCATTTCTGCAAACTCAGCTGAGTTTAGCACTCAATTGAGGTATTTTCTCCAGAAAATACTATTCCTGTACCCTGTTCTTAATCCTTGCTTCAATGACCTTTTTAAAAAATCCACCTATTTGATGTTTCAATAAATGTTTAAATGTAAATCAAGGATTTGTTATAGTAATATTTCTTGTAGAATTTTCAATTTTACCTTTGTTACACATTGAGTTGTTGTTTCTATGCAAAGCCCATGATTCAAATTAGAATGAATGCCATTTCAATTTATTTTATAAGGGTTTTCAATTTGACATGGCATCTGGCAAGCAGCTCCTAAGTGTATATTTCACTGAAAGGTCTGGGGTGGGGTAGGAGCAGGAAGGGAGCCGACTATAGGGGATTGAGGGGGAGGTGAGTAGAAGAGTGGAGGATGAAGAAGAATAGAATTCCAGAACCTGGGAGGAATTTCCTCAACTATACTGAGAAAAAAAGCCCCTCTTTACTGTGAAAAACAGTAAAATCAGTAGAGATTCAAATTAACTCCTTGCCCCCTCACAGTCTCTGTCCCCAGTTCAAAAACAGAATGTCTGCAAAAGCCAGAAAAGGAAACCTTTACCCACAACTATGTGGCTGCTGCCTTTTGAGCAACAGGGGTGCTGGTCCCCATGCCCCACTTCTATTGCTGCCTCATGTACCTGTCTAGACAGAGACCGAAACTTCCAAAAAGTTACTGGCAGGAAATCAACTGTAGTGGTATCATGACAACAACCATTGAAGTGATTACACAACTGAAGGTAAATGTCAAACATTTTTCATGAAAGAAAAGATATATAGTGTAAAAGAATGTATAATGGTCTTGGAGTAAGATTATTATGAATTCCTCATCTCACACTCTGCTTTCTTTAAAAGCTATAGTTTCATTTTTTTACTTCTTCTCAGTTACGTAAAAATAGTTTAAGACTAGGAAATCTGTTAATGTAATATTAATACATCACAATATTGGGCCCAGTTTAAAAAGCTCTCGATTATTTTTAAGTTGCCTAAAAGATGTTTCATAGGATTAAATATTCAATCCCAATAAAAACTCCTACAAAATTAGGAAAAGAAGGATGTTTTCCTTAATGCTTTTCCTTAATATAGTCATGAAAACTACGTTAAACTGACAGCCAGCAGCAGGATAATAGCAAAATACTTTCAGTATTTCCATTTAAATTGGGAAAATTATAAGAATACCTAGTTGTCATTATTATTTAACATGGCTATATAAATTCTAGCCAATGCAATAACACTAGAAGAAAGAAATAAGAGCTGTAATTCCTGTAAAGTAGGAGATAAGATTATCATGTGTGTGTAATTTTATAACAATAGAGCTTTACCTTATATCACATACTAAAATAAACTTAGACAGATTAGACAGTTACATGTAAAAATGAAACAAAAACATTAATGGGAGATATGGGTGAAAATTAATGGATTTTGGACAAGAAAAAGATTTGGAAAGATAAAAGCAATCACAAAAGAAGGTTTGCTTTCTCTAATTAAACAAAGAAAACTAAAAGGCAAATGACAAATTGAGCAAATTATTTTTTAATGGTTGTGACAGTAAAAAAAGTTGTCGTTCTTGTTATTTAAAGAAGGTTTTAAAATTATGACAAGAACACCCACTCTCCACAGAATGGCAAGGAAATGAACTAATAATTTAAGATAAGGTCTTCACATTGAGAACCACTTCACAATCATAACATTATGTATAACATTATAAATATTAGTCAGATGTTCTGTGTGATTACTGTGTGGCAGGCATTATATGAGGCCCTTTACATACTGCTTCATTGATTCCTCACAATAGCCTTAATAAGTAATATTACATCCATTTTATAGATGAGGCAATTCAGGTTTACAAAGACTAAATAACTTATTCAAGTAAACAGTAAAGAAAGAATTGACAATTTTGTTTGAGACTGCACCCTCTCTATTTCTCCAATTTGAAAGAAATAGCTAAAAAATTACTGAAAAGGCAGAAAATATAAGAATTTTACACTTCTGGACATCTAAAAAACTCATAAAATTATGTGGTAAGTTACATTCTTATGTTTGGGAAAAATATGTGCAATCTACATGAAATAACAATTGTTTTCTTTAATGCATAAAAGCTCTTCCAAAGCAACAAGAAGTGGTCTAAGACCAGTAGAAAAAAGAAGCAAGTACCATGAACAGGCAATACATAATTATACATAAAAAGCCACAAATATAAAACTATATGAACTGGTAATCTAAGAAATGTAATTCAAAGAATGATGAAATACCACTTCTCAAACGTGACATTTTCAAATAATAAAAAAATAATAATTAGTAGTAACATGGGTAAGATTTCATGCCAATAAGGATATGTTTAAATTAATTATGGTATTGACTTGAGATTGAATATGTATTAGGATTAAAATCATTTTTCAGGAGGGAAGGAGAATGGGAAAATGTTGGGTAAAGGGTATAAAATTTCAATTAGACAGGATGAACAAGTTCTGGGATCTATTATACAGCATGGGAACTACAGTTAATAATAACGTGTTGTATACTTGAAAATTGCCAAGAGATTATATCTCAAATGTTCTCATCATTAAAACGTAAGTATGTGAGGTAATGGATAAGCTAGCTTGATTTAATCATTTCACAATGTATACATATATCAAAACATCACACTGCACACCAAAAATATATACACTTTTTATTTGTCAATTATATCTTAATAAAGCTAGGAGAAAATCATTTTTCAAATGACAGCTACTGACAAAAAAATAGCCTGACTCTTATCCATTTAGACTGTGATACTAGTTTTGTGTATCAGTATAAAACATATATTCTGACACATAAATGATTTTTAAAGAAATACAGTATAATGTCATAAATTGTAATATAGACGATTTTAAATTATCAATCTGTTTCACTGTTCTCCAAATTTTCTCAATACAATGTGTTTGCTTTTTAACAGAAATAGTTTTCAAATTTTGTTATAAACATAATGGTTTACTCACTGTCAGTAAGGGCACTTAAAATCTATAAAGTTCTCAACCGGGCATGGCGGCTGTAATCCCAGCACTTTGGGAGGCCAGGCAGGTGGATCACCTGAGGTCAGGAGTTTGAGACCAGCCTGGCCAACATGGTGAAATTTAGTAATCTCTACTAAAAATACAAAAATTAGCCAGGCAATGGTGGCAGTGCCTGTAGTCCCAGCTACTTGGGAGGCTAAGGCAGGAGAATCGCTTGAACCTTGGAGGTGAAGGTTGCAGTGAGCCAAGATGGTGCCTCTGCACTCCAGCCTGGGCAACAGAGCGAGACTCTATCTCCAAAAAAAAAAAAAAAAACTATAAAGTTCTCTTAGAATTTTACAAAGCAACTTCATAAGTATTATCTCATTTAATTGATACTACAGCTCTGTGAGACAGTCATTGGCACCACTGTACAGAAGAAATAAACTTCTCTTAAAGTGATCACGTTTCAAGGACCAGGCAGAGGGAAGGGTCACTTCAGTTGTAAGAATAAGGGAGTCCTTAAAAACAAAACTTTTTATTATGAAAATGTCCTGCTGACAATTTTAAACAATGTCAGTGTTAAACACTTCACCTTGAAAAAGTCTTTTGTTGGCCTCGATGCTAATTGCTGCATGTTAAGTTTTCATGGTTTGTATAAGCTTCAAATTAGCATCTTACGTGTCCTTTAATAAGCATTGTATTCTACATGGAAGTTAATTCAGAGGCCCCCAACCCACATACTTGACTAAAGAGTCCTTTTCAAGAGTAAGTTTGTAAAGCTGCCCCATCTTCCCCATGAGACTACATATTCTTGAGTTAAACAGTCAATTTGAAATAAACAATAACACCATGATATATAAAAATGAGCAAACAAAATTTGAGATACTTTAGTTCTTTTATTCTTATGTGACCACTTGAAGTTTTTATTTGTGTTGAAAAATTAAAACAGTGAAACAATACAAACTGCAAGGTATAATGCTTGAGTTTGGTAAATGCAAATTCTGTTTTGCAGATGAAATATTTTTACTAAATTTTAATACTTTAAAAGGTATTCCTGTGTTTAATTATTAAATGCTTTAAAACTAAAGAAGGAATGAGGACAATAATAATTACTGTGTATTATTACATGACTATTACTTAAAGTAAATTTTCATATAAAAGTGAAGGTATTAAAAAATGATACATTTTGGGTATCAAATGCAGTAGGTACATCTCTAGTCTTATTATAAAGTTACATTATATTCTAGGGGAAAAAATCTTTAAATTTGTCAAATCTGTGCATTACAACTTTGCTAAATAAAGAATACATACCAACTGTTTTCCTTATCTTTCTGACATGTTCCAAATCAAGGAGGTCTTACTTTGTTTGCATTTTTAACTTTATGGAAATGTAACAGTAAGATTTTAGAGAGCATCAGACCATTTATTTCAATTAGAAGCAGTAATGAGATATCTTTAAACTATTAGATGTCACTTAGTCTTTATGTAAGACAGATTGTATGTTTAATGCCTTTTGGCATGATCCACAGTCATTGGCCCTTAGTAGTTTTTATATTGACTGAAAATGGGGACTCCCTCACTACTCTCAGGCCTCCCCAAGTCCAAATCAGTGGCTGATCTGAAACAGCATTTTTTCATAAAACTTAGAAAATCACTGATAAAAACCTTTCAACTCAATACTAGTAGTATTAATAGTAATAACAAGCCTTTCCCATAGCCAGAAATGCAATGTTGTTTCTAGCTCTGCACACGCTATAAACTTGAGAAGCTGTGTGTCATCAATTATGGTTCCCAGTGTACTTTATTCCACCCCGGACAGTGTTCTTTCATCTTCAGGGTGTCTTCACCTCAGGATGGCCCTTCTTTATTTCTGGGACCAGCCCTCATCAAGTCCACGTCATCTGACTCGCCTTACTTCAGGAAAATTGGTTTCAGAACATATTTCTGGTGAACTAGAATCTGAGCACTTGAACAGAATCTGAAAAGAATTGCATGTTTATCCATATATATAGTTCTTATTTCTACCTTATTTTTCATGGGTATGCCTAAGATAACTACTGAAGAACAGACAAAGTTCATGAGGGCAGCTTTAATATTGCTACCCCTGCCTTTAGCACCTTTTTATTCACTCAAGAGTGGGGAGGAAAGAATGAGTACAGCTATGATCACGTTAAGACTTGATAAGGTGGTAGTTTCGTAGAGGGCTTTCTAAGAACAGAAGGACCAGCAAATGAAGAGCCCTAAAAACACCGTTACACTATCCAAATCCTGATTAATCCATCGAGTGCTGCACAGTTTACTGATATCCGGGCACGATTTACCTAATTCCTCTCCTTTTGGGCCACAGACACCTTTACACTAAAATTCTATCTGGAGAGACCATGACAGGTGCCTTGCTCTTTGCAAATACATGGGGAATTGACTTTCGTGTTTTGAAAAGCATTTTGGAGGAATTTGCATATTTATAAACATGGATACCCACTAAGAGCATTTTTAAAGTGTTTAAAACTAGGGAAAATGAGTATAAGTATCATAAAATCTGAAAACCATTCCATAAGTCATACCAAAAAAAAAAAACACCTCATTATTTTGTTGCCAAGATTACATTTTCCATTTCACACTTTACTGAATGTCATTACTCTTAACTGCCTGATTTGACTCCAGATTACTTTAGGTGTTTACCCCAAACCAGATCTATCTGATAAGAATGAAGGCTTGCCACCACTGAAGATACTCCAAAGAATGTTTTGTGACATCAGAGTTCTAGAAATGTTCTAAGAAACAGCAACACAGAAACAGCAACACTGTGATCTTCCAAGTGACTATTTTCAAGATTACTACCTAATTTTGAATATCTAAATTTTGAAATGTTATTTTTAAAAAAATCAGTTTTGTTATTGCATCCTCCGGTACACAGAAATGACTGGGTATCATTTCCACTAAAAATCATCAAACACCCCTATCATTAGGAATAAGATCTGGGTCAGCAGACCCTTCTGTACACAGCTGACACATGGCCACTACGATGGAAGCTGAGATGTCCAAGCAAACCCAGGTACAGAAGAGCTACCACAGGTGAGCGCTTACATAAGCCAGGCTGTTCATCTGGCAAATGTTTCTTTTTCCCTCAACACCTGTTAGTAAAGAACACCAGAAGCAGGTTACTTTCAACTGGAAGGCCAGCAATACAGCTTCACTGTCCTACCTCTCCAGCACTATGTCATGATTTAGCCAGCAGGGGCCTTGATTGCCCTTCTCTTCCACAAGACATCATTGTTGTCCATTACATTGATGACATTATGCTGTTTGGATCTAGTGATTGAAATGAAGTAATTACTTTAGACTTACTTTGCATGTCAGAAGGTGGAAAATAAACCTGACAAAAAATCAGGGACTTTCTACCTCAGTGAAAACTGCAGGGGTCCAGTGACATGGGGCAAATCAAGATATCCCTTCTAAGATGAAGAATAAGTTGTTGCATATGGCTTTTCCTACAACCAAGAAGGACACATAATATCCGGTGAGCCTCTTTGAATTTTGAAAGCAACATATTCTTCATTTGGGTATGCTACAAAAACCTATTTACTGAGTGACCCCAAAGCTGCTAATTTTGACTGGAGCCAGAAAAAAAGAAGGTTCTGCAGCAGGTCCAGGCTGCCGTGCAAGCTGCTCTGCGACTTGGGCCATATGATCCGGCAGATCCAATGGTACTTGAAGTAACAGTGGCAGACATGGATGCTGTTTAAAGCCTTTGCTGGGCCTTAGAGCTGACTCACAGTGCAGGCCTCTAGGGTTTTTGTGAAAGACCCTGACAGCACCTTAATCTTGGACTTATAGCCTCCAGAACTGTAAAGAATAAATTTCTATTGTTTTAGACACCTAGTTTGTGGCACTTTTTATGGCAGTTCTAGGATACATAGAGACGTCGATCTAATAAGTTCATGAGTGTTAGCTCATCTCATCTCCATAACAACCCTATGTGGTAATCACTAGTTTTGCCCATATTTCACAGAAGAGCCAACAGTGACCTAGTATGGAGCAGAGCTGGGACTCGAACTCTGATGTCTGGTTCTGAGCCTGTTGCGCTGAACCACTACACTACAGTATCAGCAGAAAGCAGTACCATTCTTACTTAAATGAATTCCATGGGCTGCCATAGCTCCCAGAAGCCATATTTTCTTAGTCGGGGAGATGGGCACTGATAGATGTGCACTGATATGGTTCTCAGCACATTGCTCTTGAGGACAGGTATTAAGCATAGAAGAGTAGGTGACTTGGTGTATGATTTGAGGAATGCCTACAATACCTCTTAATACCTAATATTTCACAGTAACTAATTTATTTTGTTAATGGTGGTCAGCCATCTAGCCCAGCCTGGACTTGCATGAGCCTGAGAATCAGCACCTCCTTCAATTTTGTGTCCTTGGTGTCATCTCACTTGCTTTACCCTAGTCCTGGCCATGCTGCAGAGAGAGGTCTTCTTTTAAAATGTCCTACAGGAGTAGCATTTTCATTCCCAGTTCTTCTTCATTAACCCTTGAGGAATAAATATTTTGATTCAAAATTTCATCATTCATTATCTTTACTTGGGTTTTAATCAGAGTTGATTTTTTTAAACATTTGAAATAAACTCAAGTGCAACATCCTCCAATCCTTCATGTTTGCAGAAATAACATTCAACTTTGATATAGTGCAACTATTATACATCAGGCATTAGGTTAGGCCTCCACATACAAGCAGAGACCATGTCTGTCTAGTTCCTTGCAATTGTGATCTTAAAGCCTAGCACATGGGCATGTGCTTAGTATTTGTTAAGTGGAAGGATGGATGGATAGATGGATAAATGGATGAATGGATGGATGGATAAATGGAAGGATAGATGAATGGAGAGATGGATGGGTAAAGGGAAGGATGGATGGATGAATGGGTAGATGGATGGTTAAATGGAAGGATGAATGGATGAATGAATAAATGAATGGATGGATGGATGGATGGATGGATGGATGGATGGATGGATGGTTGGATGGAAGACGGATGGATAAATGGAAGAATGGATGGACAGATTAATAAATCGATGGATGGATGGGTGGACAGGCAGTTGGCTGATGGTCCACTTATGTGGAAACTCCACAGGCAGTAAACTGTGAGGAGTACACAAAGGCAGAAGTCCCCACACCATCAAAGCTCTTGTCTCCTTCCTGCCCCCACTTTTTTCCACAGTGTTCCAATCAGGCACTGAAAGCAAAAAAAAAAAAAAAAAAAAAAAAAAAAAAACCTGGAAGGATATAGGTTGAGGGTATTTGAGGACACTGATTGAGTTGGAGAAAGCTGAAGTTTTCCAGCTTCCAATCTGTCCCTAGTAATGTCACGAACGCAGAAGGAATTCTTGGGAGGAGGAATATTTATTGCCATTTCAGCTTCTGCCAACACACAAGGCAAAACTCCAAAGGACACAAGCACATCTTTGCCAATCTCTCTCTTTCCTTTCTAAATATTTCACCCTGGCCCCAGTGACAGAAACCTTCCTACTACCTCTGTCTCTTCAAATTCCTTCATTATAGGCCATCTCTCCAGAATATCCATAAATAGCCTTATTAGCATGAGATTCTTGTTACCTCATAAAAGTCACACGAAGGGTATGAATGAAGATGAACACTCCTACGAAAGTATTAAATAATGTTATACTAACTCAAACAATTTTAATTGGTACATGTGGCAAGGAGCAACTTTTCAGTGAAAAAATCTAGATGCCTCCCCCACACTATTTACCCTAGAGCCTGCCTTTTGCTTTGACAAGTCTGTTAGAAAATAAAATATATTTACAGCCCCATACCCTTCACATCTGCCACAACCCTATAAGCACTGCTAGACATGATGAGATTCAACAAAACGTCAGCACAACCTGTAACCTACAGCACGAATATGTGAATGGTGAGCGTACCTTCTTAATGTGCATACTTAGAATCCTATACATTCCATCATGTAATGTTTATGACCATGTCTAAACATTACATGATGGAATGTATAGGATCCCACTAGATCACAACATCTAACATTTCTATATTAATACAATGTTCTCCTTAAACCTCTAATCCTTCCATCTCCTCCCTCACTGGTTCCACTCAGTCAGAAAGAGAAATGAGAGCTCTTTGGTGTAACACCTCTAAAGGTCCCAGTCTCCGGACCCCTTCTTCTTCCCTCCCCTTGACCTGGAGGAGAAGCTACCCACCCGCCAGAAGCAGAAGCGAATGCTCCCTTCACTTATGCGCTCTGGGCACAATTCCCTCGCACCTCCTCCAGGACCCTGGTCTCCTGGGTTGTCCCCCAACATCTCCTTTTCTCTGGCTACTTACCATTCACACTCAGATATACTCCAGATTCTCTCATCCTAAACACAAACAAATCCACAAAACCCTTCCCTTGACAACAAAGTCTCCCTTCCTCCTCCGGCTGTAACCTTAGTTCTGTCATCTCATCAAACTTGGTTTCAAAGTTGTGGGTGATCCCTGTCTGCACTCTCACTGGTCCCATCATCCAAATCTGCTGTGGCAAAGGTCCTCGACGGCATGGTTACCACTTCCCATGAAGTGATTCTGTTCTTGTCCTACCTGGCCATTATCTGACTTCCTGACCTGTCCCTCCTCCTTGAAACATCACTGCTTCCAGTGGCTTCCAGAACACCCCTTCCTTTTGCTTACCACCTACCCTCTGCTTACCCTTGTCAATCTCTCCACACTATTGACCCTAGAGCTTACCTTTTGCTTTGACAAGTCTGCTAGAAAATAAAACATACTTACAGCCTCCCTTAGAGCTTCCTCTTCCTCTGGCCGCCTCTGAAATCCTGCTGTTCCCCAGGGCTCCTCCCTCTACTGCTCATCTGTAGTCACAGCTGCAGTGTGCTGTGTGTGATGTAGGGACATTCCACAGGCATCTCACACTCCGTATGTTTCAACCTGAAGGCAATATCTTTCTCGCCCAAACTCGCTGTTCTCCTGGGTCTCCTACATCACATCACAATCTTAAACCAGGAATCTGCATGTCATTCCAACCTCTCTCCCCTCCCACCCTGTCATCCAAACAATCATTTAAGTTCTGTCAAGTCTACTTCCATTGCTGCTGTCCTACTGTCATAAGTGGCCCATGCCACTAGTGTCTCTCTCCTGACACTGCAACAGTCTCCTAAGTGTTTGGCTTGCCTCTGGTCAGGATGTGTCAATAGCTCTCTTCTGCTCACAAGATATACTCCAAATTCTTTAACATGACTTCTAGGCCACCCAAGACCAGCTGCCACCTGCCTCTCCATCTCCTGCCACTTTCTCCAGGCACTCAGTGCTTTAACCAGACAGAATTCCTTGCCATTCCTGTTGATGCCAAACTTCCTCCCCTTCCTGGCCTTTGCACACACTGTTCTCTGCTGAGAACACTCTTTCCCTTAAGACCCTGCTCCTCTTCAGGCTAAATATGCTCAACCGTCAGTACTCAGGTCATAGGCCAGTTCTGGAAAAACTGAGATGGTGCCCAATCCCTGCAAACTGGGTTGGATGCACCTGTTCATGGTATCATGTACTTCTCATCAAATCAATCGTCACACATTATCATTATTGTTCATTCCATTTTAAGTCTTCCCTACTAGATGCTAAGTTCCCAGAGGGCAGAGCTTTCACATCCTGCCAACCACAGTAACCCAGAGTCCAACAGAAGGCCTGGCATAGAGAAGCTTGGTAAAAAATTATTTTATCCCCATTTCACAAAGGTAGAAATCACAGCAGTCAGAGAAGCTACATACAGGGCAGAAGAGGAACTCTTCCAATGATGTTTGATTTAAAGCCTGGTGCTCTCTCTAAGCTCCTGTTTTTTCAAAGCTATAGAGTTCCCTTTGGAAAACAAAAGAAAATTTACTTTTTATTTACGTTTTAACTCACTGATCCCTAAACCGCATAACTTTGACCATTACTGGATCAAATCCTACAATCCTTTCAGGTGATTCTTGGGAAGACCCCTCAACTTACTTTCCTCTGTAAGAGACTCACTCTCCCTATCTTGATAATCTTTGGCATAATTCACCTTCAAGCCATCTAAAATTCTCAGCAAAACAAAATCACAGGCATCATTGATGCAAATGACTGCAAAGGAGACTGAAAAGCCCACTCCACCAAGCAGAATTCCAAATGCACATCAAAAATACTACACATTCTGGCGGGGTGCGGTGGCTCACTTGTAATCCCAGCACTCTGGGAGGCCAAGGTGGCTGGATCACCTGAGGCCAGGAGTTCGAGATGAGCCTGGCCAACATGGTGAAACCCCGTCTCTACTAAAACTACAAAACTTAGCCGGGCGTGGTGGCAGGTGCCTGTAATCCCAGGTACTACTTGGGAGGCTGAGGCAGGAGAATTGCTTGAACCCAGGAGGCAGAAGTTGCAGTGAGCCGAGATCTGGCACTGCACTCCAGCCTGGGCAACAGAATGAGACTCCATCTCAAACAAACAAACAAAAAATACTATATATTCTGATCATGACAAAGCCAAGGAAAGTGGAGAAATTAGAATGTGGATCACACAAGAAAAGAAAAAGTTCTAGCACTGCTCATGAAGAAACTAGCTACATCAGAAAACAAATTCTTCAATAATTTAAAATCCAAAACTTAAGAGGCAATGCACATATAAGCAACAAATCCAGAATGATCAACGTGATCTGGTACTAAACATTTGTATGCTCAGTTTGCTATATATGTATATTAATTATATGTGTACATTAATTATATTTTAATTCCTATTTCAGTGTGTGTTACAATAAAGTTTGTCAGTGCCAGTTTTTTTTTTTTTTGGTCCCCAACTCAAGGATCAATGAGGGAGATAATGAAAACACTTCTGTTTCTATTTTATTCTTCCATCAGTTTGAGGAGAATTAAATATGTATAGAAAGTGAATAGGAGCATATCTTTGTTATCAAGCATTATTGCTATGGGATTTATTTTAAAGCAAAGTTGACTGAAGTAATTATTTACATGGAAAGTAAATAGTATTGCAGTGCAACTTGGCATTTTCTTATGTAAACTGCACTTATGCAAATGCACTACCATAGCACCCACTGATCTAGGCAGGAGACCAGAGTTCAAAGCCTATGTGCTGACATTTCTGATGACGTTTCATCCCCTTAACATCCTTTCCAGCCTCTATGTTTGATATGTAGGTCTGCCTTTTGCTTTTTAAGAATCAGAACTAAAATGTGTCACTTCAAGCTTACGCTTCTCACCTCCAGCCCACGGTGTCCCTGCTCTCCCCGCCCCATTACACAGCACTTTTCCTGAAGAATAAGTAAGCTCTAGTGACACACTTTGCTCTCTGCATTCCTTTCTTGCCAGGACTTGAACTGTGCCCTTATCAAGTGCCCAGGTACTCACATTCTCTCAGACTAAGCCCACCTTACTTCCCGGGATGCTAATAACAAACATCTAACTGGCTTTGATCTCCTTTGACCTGCTGTGTCCAGGACCAAGCCTTTATACTGATGACCAGATCTCTCTATCCACACCAGACATACATGGAACTCCTACATACAGGCAACTGCCTGGGAAAAGTGTTCTCTCCTTTCCTGCTTTGAGCACACATCAGTGGCACAGAGTGGGTAACTGGAACACGTGTTTAATTTGAAGCACTCTGTCCTCCCAACCTGCCTTCTTTGTATCCTCCTTAAAAAACCAATTAACATGGTCAAGCAGGTGATCTGAATTGCCTATGGTACGTGCAAGGTAGTAGATAATATTAAACCCCTTATTCCCATCTACCTTAGGTATTGTTATCTACTCTTAACAAAGCTTTCCCTTTAACTTCCTTAACTCCAGGCATTACAGCCTTTACTTAAGATTCTACAGCAATACTACCAGGGCCCAAGATACCCACACAACACTGAGATTATCCACATTTCCTATTAGGGAGTTGGGTTTCTGTGGCCCACCAGCTGAGTATGTTTGCCATCATTTTCTCCCTGGGCTCTTCTAAGTCTTGATTTTTAAGCTGAGGTGCTCATATTCCTGTGCACCTTCTGCAATCCTGAGCGTTACCTGTGCTGTCTACTTCTCTATCAAGTCAGGACCCTCTACTCCGACAGCCGCCTGAACTAGAAACCTAAACGGAACAGACTCGCAGCTAGAAGCAGAGCTCTGGTGTGAAGTACCATTTTCTGTTAATTACCCAGCTCCCACTCCACATTTCGGAACTTCCAGGTTCCTTCCCTGAGGCCCCCGGTGCAGAGGATTCCCCTTTAGTTCACTTGTGCTCGGTCCTCCTCTCCCAAATGCAGGTCCACTCACACTTCCTGGAAGTCACAGTTGTACCTACTTCATCTTATCTGGCTTAATAATAAACCAAACTCGTGACAGCCCAGACCTCTGAAGCACATCCTGTGGCCCGATTATCTCTGATGTCCTTAGCACCTTATTGCCTCCAGTATACACAAGTTTAGGAAATCATCTCAAGTGGACTGACACGTGCTTCCTTCACTTTTCCTCTTAAAATGCTCATGTGAATGGTAAGCTTCTCAAATTTGCAGCAGCGCTGGGATTTTTTATGGAATTGAGAAAGGCAGGGCCTGACTTTCCACTCTTTAAAGAGTTCACCGATTTCCCTTAGGAGTTTCTCAAGACTCAAAAAAGGAAAAGAAAGAGAAAAAGGAAGGTAGAAAGCAATGTAGGTATTAACCATTTTTTCTGGTACTCTTCAAACCCAAAACTACTATAGAGGGCGTTAGGAATTCCCCCTGGCTACCAGGTGAAGCAGCGCGAGTCCGATTCCTGACAGGCGAGCACCAGAGAGGATGCGGAGTTTTGGTCGTTAGTTTAGAGATAACATCTGGATGCGGGGGCTTGTCTTACCAACCACTGGAGACACCAGGAAGGACGAAATAATGGGCTAATACAGAAAGAACATAGAAAAGGGTCCCAGATACCCAAAGCCTCCTGGCCTCTCCGTCGTCACCTGGAATGGGTTGCAAAGCCTTGGCACAGGCAGCTGGGCTGTGTCCCCTCCCGCCGCGCGCCCCGGGCCGCCCGGACGGCACCTCCTTACCTTGCGGGAGTACGGGGGCTTGCTCAGGTGGATGCCGTCACGGACGAGCTTATCCCTGATCATGATCTTCAGCTTCAGTTTGGGGTAGCTCACCAGCTCCCTGCTGCGGGGGGCGGTCGTGTGGCCGCGAGAGTCCCCGCGGGTGCCCTGGGCCGGGCCGCCGCACGGCTCCCCCCGGCGGCCGGTGGGGACGGCGTCGGCGGGCGGCCCGGGGGGCGCCGGCTGCGGCTCAAGCGTGAAGTAGAGGCCGGCGGCGTTGGCGTCCTGCTCCCGCAGCCGGCGCACGGCCTCCAGGATACGGCGGCGGTGCGCGGGCGCCAGCACCCCGATGGCATCCAGGTCCGGGTCCCCGATCTGCTTGCACACCTCCAGGTCATCGTAGCCGTTATCCACGAAGGACTCCGCGTACTGCGGAAGCTGCAGCGCTTTGAGCCACTCGTAAACTATGTTGGTGCACATGGTGGGACCGGGAACCCCGCCGCCGAGCACCTTCCCAGCGCCCAAATGGCACGGGCGGCACCAGTTCTTGGAACTTTTAATCCTCTCCTCCAAGGGGAAAAGGGTATCGCAGTAAAGTTTTCCTTTTAAAGGAAAGGCTCGGGCAGGAGACGGAAAACCATCAGAAGAAGCCTGAGGAAGGGAGAAGCGAACAAGCAGCAAAGTGAATTCCCCAAGCAGCAGCGGAGCTCGCAGGCACTGGCTGCTGGGCTGAGCAAGGCTCCGCGCCGCCCCTGGATGCGCCGCCGACGCTGCCGCCGCGGGGAGGGGCGCGCGACTGGCGCGGGAGGGGGCGGAGACGGGAGGGGCCGGGGCACACCCCTCGGACCTGCGCCGGGTCAGCGCTGCGCAGTGCCGCCCGCGAGTTTTCCCAGCCGGGACGGTCCGGCGGCTGCGCGCCGCATCTCGCGCTCTGGCAGCCGCCGCCGCCGCTGGCGCGCTCCGCGCCGCGAGGCGACTTCTCCACGCAGACCCGCGGCCGCTGGGAGCGCCTAGTCTTCGCGAGTGTCAGTCACTGTAGTCCTCCCGGCGGGAAGCCGGTGGCTTCTACGCTGCTGGGCTCCGTTGGCTGCCCTGGGTTGCTTTTCACATTTCTGTTTAATCTGACTCTTCTACCCGTGGAAGTCTGTGCTCACTTCTTCCCGACCCTGCCGGACTCCAGCTTCCGCGCCCGCTGGCAGCCCAAGGACACGTCCCGCCGCCCCACGGCGCTGGGGACGCTGCGGGGTTCAGTGTCCCTTCCTTCCGGATCCGCGTTTGAATCCCCCTTCCTCGGATCCCGTACGCAGCCCAGAGCCCGGCGATCTGACTTCTTCCGTGGGCGGCCACTCAGTGACCCGAGCGGCGGCGTTTTGGCCCGGAGGGTGGGCGCAACGTGGGGACCGCCCGGGTCCAGCCGGCTTGCGCGCCGCCCCTCCTCGCTGCAGCTGGGCACGTTGGGCGGCAGGAGAGGCTGCTGTCTTCCTGGCTCTCCCTTCCTAAGCTCCCGGGTCTGCGAAAGTTTGGGGTGGGTTGTACTTTCTCCTAGGTCAGTGTGTCCCACCCGGTACCCCACCCTCCTTTCTGCCCGGCCCCTCCCCCTCGTCGGCGCTATGCTTTCTCTCCGGGCCCCCCACCTAGTATACTGCACGGGCTCCCGGGGTGGCTTTGCCCCCGGGGACACTGCCAGGCGTTCGGTCCTGGAGCCCGGGAATCCGAGCCTATCCTCTCGCTCCCGCCCGGGGATCGCGTGAAAATCAATAGAGCACCACCCAGCTCGTGTTGGAAGGGACGCTCAGACATCTCCGCCCACGGCATTTTCCCTCTAGGAGGTAACAAAATCAATCGAGTTTCCCCATCATGCCAATGTCTGAGCAGCCTCTTGGGACTGGGGACTCGAGTGGCAGGTGGAACAGACCAAGCGCCTGGGCCCCATTTCCCGGTGTCTGACCTCTTCTTGGGACTAAGGGAAGTGAGGGACGGCGGGGGCAGGTACTGTCTCCTCTCTTTCCGCAGAAGGGCGATTCAGCTTCGCACCTGAGCTGTTTAAGGACCAGATCTGACCTTTTTTTCTGAAGATTGCCCGTGGGGCGTGCCAGTCTCTCGCCCGACCTTGGGAAGTGGACAAGGAGTGATTTCAGAGTCGTTTCTCGACCTGCTGTGTGTTTGGCATTTGGGTGGGTGGTTAGGTGGGCCCTCTTATCCTAAACCAAGAGAGCTTAACCCCCTCTTGGGACACGAACCCCTTAAAGAATCAGATGACAGCTTCTGTCCTTTTGCCCAGGAAAATACCCGACATAGGCGCACCCAAAACGTTCCCTACAGTCGCAGGGGGGTTCTGGTTTCCCAAACCCCGGGACTCACGAATCTCAAATTAAGGACAGCTGGCAGAAAGGACTGTCTGCTTAGGGGGAGGGGAGAGACCAACGCGGAGAGCCGGTGGAGCTGCTTGTGGCCCCAAACTTGGGTCACCCGGGACGCCCTTTCCGGAACCGAGTTAAGGTCTCGGACCCTGGTAGGTGGCGAAGCTCCTGGGCGCTGGGATGCTGGAAGGGCGCAGCCCTCCCCGCCCCGCGCGGGCCGCCGCCTCTCCCTCGCCAAAGCGGACTCACAGTGCCCCCTCGCGTCCGCGCGTTGACCCATTTTAAGGCGTTGTCCCTGTCCCCAAACTCATTCTATTCAGCAGAAGAAAGTGGGCTTTATGGCTTTATACTGGTTCCCCTTTGAAGCACAAATGTTTTTGTCACGTTTATCTTTATATCCCAATACTATCTCAGAAGGACCTTTGATTTTTTTTTAAAGAAAATATTTCAGCAGTTTGAATGATGCTGCTAAGAAACAGAAATTATCAGCAAATATTTATTGGGAAATTACTGTATGCCAGGCATCTATTCACAGATCTGTACACATATGGTAAATAGTAATATTATCCCATATCTTACAGAAGAAGAGATTGAGACATCAAAACTAATTTGCCAACGATCTCACTGTTACGGATGGAGCAAGGGGTTCGAATTCTGGGGGGATAAATTTAACATCAGCCTTCAGCCGTCCAGCTACTCACCTTCGAATCACAGTCCCCAGCCTGTGCTGTGCTGTGCAACATGTAGGGGGAAAAAATGGGCAGGTTGTATGGGGTGAGGATTTTTGTTTGTTTGGGGGTTTTTTGTTTGTTTGTTTTGGGACTGGAAAACTTAAAGCTCAGGAGTTTTTTTGTCTTTTTTTCTTTCTTTCTTTCTTTCTTTTTTTCTTTTCTTTTCTTTTCTTTTTTTTTTTTTTTTTTCTTTTTAACAGAGTCTCACTTTGTCGCCCAGGCTGGAGTGCAGTGGCATGATCTCGGCTCACTACCACCTTCGCCTCCTGGGTTCAAGCAATTCTCCTGCCTCAGCCTCCTGAGTAACTGGGACTACAGGCGCCTGCCACCACGCCCAGCTAATTTTTGTATTTTTAGTAGAAACGGGATTTCGTCATGTTATCCAGGCTGGTCTGGAACTCCTGACCTCAGGTGATCCGCCCGCCTCTGCCTCCCAAAGTGCTGGGATAACAGGCATGAGCCACCGCGCCCGGCCTATAGCTCAAGAGTTTTGTTGTGTTGTTTTCTTTCCCAAGTTGTATGAAAAGTCCAACAGCACGAGTCTGTAGTTCTTTGCCTTCTTATATGTGGCCTTTTCCCCTCTGGGGGCTTAAACATATTCATCTTGTCTTATAAATCCTCAGCGAAGGCAGTGAGTATTTTTATTTCCGTTTTACGATTAGGGATACTGGTTGGGGGAAGACGAATGACTTGCCCAAGGTCACACAGTCAATCAGGACACAGACGAGAACATGCTTGCCCTATCAAAGTGCTTCCCTGACAGGCAGCAGCGATCCTCCTTTATTTATGTGCAAAGCACTCTCCAATTAGGAAATAAAGCATTCTGGTGCTCTCTTTGGAAGGGAAGCCCTTTATAAATTCATCACTTGTTAATCAGTCATAAATAAAACCTACTCACTTTTGACCTCTCAGGAAACCTGCTTTCTGGAGACTTCACTAGTCTGAGCTATAGAGACTTTTTTTTCCCAGGTTTCCCTTCTATTTCTCTTGTACACTTCTACACTTACTCGAGTCCTCTTTGGGTGAACCATTGAGGCTTGTATCTTTCCACTGCTTGCATTAGCATATTGAACCTTTTAATAGATTTCATTCTAGAGGCTACTACGCTAAAATGTGTCTATCTCTGTGGAGACTAATGGCTAAAGTTCAAAGTGACACTGGCAAGAATGGCTAATTTTAAGATTTAGAACTGTAGCCTTTTAGAACTAGAGGTCATTGGAGGTCATACCCAGCATCCAGATTTGCATGGAGGAAGCCAAGGCCCAGAGAGGTCAAGTTCCTTACCTAAAGTTACACAGCTGGTTCATGACAGAACTGGGACAAGAACCCAGATCCGCTTCCTCACATTGCTCTTTGCAATGTACTGCATTACCTCATTTTTGCTGCAAGCTCTTGGCTACTGTCAAAATCATTCATTTACTCATCAAATGTTTATTAAGTAGGCACTTCAGTGCCAGGCACTGAAGCAAAAAAAGAAGGGTTTTCCTTCATTAATTGGAATGGGAGGGACTTCAGCATTTTAAATATGTAGAGAATAAATTGACAGCTTTTTCAAATATGTTAGTTCATGAATTGTAAAGATTACAAAGATACAAAGCAGTGTTTTCTTCTATCTGTAATATTTTCCAAATTCTGTGATCATATTAGCCAAAATTCAAAATTAAACTGTATTTGAAATCCAGACAAAAATGTACTTTGAAAATGCAAGTGGCTACTCTGCTCCTAGTCACAGCGTTAGAACACACAATTTACTCAGAAAACATGGTCAACTACCTCTAATTTTGTGTTACTTTTATCATTGCTTTGTTAGAGTTATATAAAAATTTTCAAAATATTGATCATGCTGATTATTATTTAATATGTTTGGGGCCACACTTACTTTTGCAGAGGGGATGTCTTGCCTAATGAAAATCAATGGGAAAATAGGTTATGGAGAAAGTTTCTTTTTAGGCACCATTTTAGAACTGTTTTGCAATGGTAATCACTATGGCAAAATGCCTGTTGATCCTTTCCATGTAATTAATTAATGATAATTATATTCAGGTTTTAAATTCTAAATATCAGAAAACAGCTTTTCTACTTTGCTCAGTAACTTGATTTAAGGATATAGAGTGAAAAATAATTTGTTATGGAATTTTCTTGGTGCCGTCTAAGGTTTCAGACTATTTTAGAAGATAAATGCTCACACCTAGTGCATGTAAAAATTAAATTCCATTAACATCTATTAAATGTCAGTCCCCAGGGTGTCTAGCCTTGTAAAAGTCAAAGATATATAATATTAATCTTAAAATGCAAAATATGTCTTGCCTCTGCTTAAACCAGGAGCTAAAAAGCATCTAGAAGGAGTGGATGCCATAGGGAGAAAAGAGAATAATGGGCTTGAGTGATGTAACAGGCAATCTCTTCTTCGGTGGCTGGGAGTGAGGTGCTGGGTTGGCAACTTAATTGGGGGCAGGCAGGGTGGGGGTGTCTCTTAATATGTCTGAGCTGTATACATTAGACTTGTGTGTGACAACACACATATGAAAGAAGGAAAGACAAGGAGCAGTGGGGAGTGCCAGCAGGATCCCATTAGATTATTCGTTGCTGTTATAACAGGCCTTTCTTTCTTTAAAGAAGGAACAAAGGGGGAGGAAATGCATGTTCAAGAAGTCATTCACTTAGAGGTCACTAACAAAAAGAGAGCCAAGCTACAGACTGTGTTTGTGACAGAAAATCAAATACGAACCATTTTTCAAAAATTTTATTCTCTCATCTTTGGTAATCCCCAAAAGTTCTACGTTTTAAAATGTACTCCAGAAGAGGAGGAAAAGGTTAATCTAGTGTCTTCTGAGGTAAAAATGATAGGTGCAGTATTTTGTTAGATAACAATGGGCAGCTCTTAGGAGTACCTTTATTTTATCATTCTAAATGAGCAAAGCTATTATAATTTAGCACCTAAATGTTAGGTTATGTAACCCCATACAAGTGAAATTATATTGGTCAATGCTATTTCAGACAAGTGCAAGTCATGTATATAATCACAACAATGAAATCACTCAATTTATGACCAATGCAAATTGACTAAACAACATTTTTCCCATCTGACAGTTTCTTCCCATTCTGGAGTTAGGACAAGCGATCCCATAGAGCCTGCTTCCTGAGACCTGCATGGCTACTGATGACTGAGAGGTGGTTGGTTTTCTCTCTTTAGGCAATGTAATTTTATGTATTTGTTTTAAAATTTTCAGTGCTTCTTGTCTGGTTTAAACTTGCTATTGGAATTTATACTTTATAACTCTTGAATTCTTAAATTATAAGAACCCAGCATAATTAGAGCTCTTAGTAACGCCTGAGATCTTGCCTTTTTGCAGCTTTGGAGCAAGGCAGTGTGGAGTGCATCCCAGTTTTGAAACTATCTCTGACCTTGGAGGCTATATATATATACATCGTCTCTTAGACCCTATTTATAAATGTGCAAATACAAGACGTAGGTGAGGCATCAGATGCCTACATCAGAAAAGCTCAGTTCCTAGAAATAATCCTGACAACCTGAAAGTAGGAGATGTTTTGAATATTCCCTCAAAACTTTTGTGCTTAACAGTTTCACAAAAGCCAAATTTCAGACCCTTTCTTGGAGCTGTTCAACTGTCTTGTCTTAGTGAGCCCAGATGCCCACAGCTTGGACCAGGGCCGTGGCTTGGGGTAGTATGCTCTCAGCCAGCATGCTGTGGCCTTAGAGGACTTGCTGGGGTCATAAGCAAGCAGAGAGGGTCTTCAGGGACCTGCCCAGAGAAGTAACATAGATGACATTTTCTTTATGCTTTACAATAGGATAAATTCCACGTTTCAGAAATGTAAAGATTAAGATGAAACAATATACTTAATTAAAAGGTAACATGGGTTTATTCCTCTATAATCCGAGTGGAGAGAACTTTCCTAATTTTGATTCAACTTCTTGAAGCAATGGGGAAAAACCTTGATACTTTTGATCATATAAATATGATAAACCTTTGCATGGGAACAAAAACCTCTGTTAGCAAAGTAAATAGACAACAGCTTGTCCTTGTGGGAAAATATTTAGAATTTATATGGTAACCATAGATTGGTATAGCTAATGCAGAAAAAGCATTAAAAATAGAGAAAATAAAAGGCCAGCAGGGCTATGGAAAGATGGGTCAGAGAGTTCTCAGAAAAAATAGACAAGCAAACAAATAGACCCTCATTTGAAATGATTCTCAAGTAGACTCAAAGTAAGAAAAATGCAGTTTAGGAGGCCAAGGTGGGAGGATCACCTGAGGCCAGGAGTTCGAGACCAACCTGAGCAACATAGCAAGACCTCATTTATATTGGAAAAAAAAAATGGCAAGCATGGTGGTGCATGCCTGTAGTCCCAACTACTGGGGAGGCTGAGGCAGGAGATCGCTTGAGCCCAGGAATTTGAGCTTGCAGTGAGCTATGATCACTCCGCTGCACTCCAGCCTGGGTGACAGAGCAAGACCCTATCTCAAAAAATAAAAAGAAGAAAAGAAAAATGCACACTCAAACTACACTGAAAGACTATTCCTACCTATTAGATTAGCACAAATCATAAGGTTTAGCAGGCAAGGTTGAGAGAACAAGCATTCTCATAAATTATGGGTAAAAATAAAGATAAAATGGTACAATCCCTCTGTTAGCCAAATAGCACTCATATGATTTAATTTAATAGAAACAGAATTGTTAATCAGGTATTGAAGAGTCTGAAAGATAAAGTAAACTCTGAAGTATACCAGATGTGGTAACTTTAGGAAGTGTTATATTGGTGCAAAAGTCATTGAAGTTTTTGCCATCGAAAGCAATGGATTATTAATTATCCTTAAAGGTTGGGGAAACAAAGGAAGAAGGTTGGGATTATTAGAATATAGAAACTTGGAAGAGGAGCCCTTCTGAGCTGGGACCCAGAATTCTGAAAAGGGAGTGCTTTCTGCTTGGTTAGGAGAAAGAACCCCATGAGGCTGGGCCCAGACCTCCAAGGAAGGGAAACCACCTGGACATACAGGAGCCCCGGGGGCCCCCACAGAGCAGAGGCTCAGACTTCTGAGCTGGGCTGCTGACTGGCTGGTGTGGATACTGAGAAGGTTCTAGGAATGTAGAAAATTGGAAACTGTAACCTACCCCTACTGGGTGAAAAACTGTGGCTTGGGTGATGCTGGCAGGAAGAGGAAACAAAGCAGAAAGCAGCCAGTCTCCTGGTCATTCTTTTTCCTGCTGTTCAGTCTACATTTTGCATGCTTTTGGAAAAACTCGATAGGGAGCCAGCTAGTAAAGCAGAAATATGTGTAGAGTCCTGGCCCCAGCTTCTCAAAGTGGAGGGTGTGGAGACAAAAGTAACTCCATCTTTGATGCTGATCTGCCATGCTAACGTCTGATTAATCCCAGTCCCGTGAATTCCTCCTGGTTTCCACTTTATGTACTGTCCCTAGTGAAAGAACAAGCCAACCTTGATGTTATTGCACAAATTATAGCTCTTATGCACATAGCATTCTTGCCTGTTCTGGAAAGTGCCTTTAATTATCTTGCTGGTGTACATATGCCCTTCCCCTATGGTATAGAAGCCTTGGGTCTGGGGAGTAACATTGTAGAGATCTACCTATCTTGCAGCTGCCCAAGACCATGCTTCTATCTGTAAGCTCCCCCAATAAAACACCCCAGACTGATAAACTGGATTTATTATATTTGCCTTGGTCTTTTCTTGCTTGACTCCTTTAATGTTTGGAGGTCATTTTGCACATACGGCCCTTTCACAGAACAGAGGATAAAATGGGAAGTATAGAAACGAGAAAAAAATAACTGAATACTCAGCACAATGCCTTTGGAGTGGGATTTGTCAATATCCAGCACATTTCATATGCATTTTCCCTTGGATTTAGCAATTCTACTTTTGGGACTCTATCCCAAAGATACACTAGCAAAAATTTTAAAAATAAGATAATAGTATGCACAAGACTATTCATCACAGCACTCTGTAACAGCTAAAGACTGGAACCAACCCAAATATCCATCAATAAAGGACTGATGGAATACACCATGGTACATCAACATAATAAAGTACTTGGCAACTGTTGAAAGAATTGAAGACTACTTCTATACACTAGAATGCAGTGATTTCCAGGATATATCACTACAGTTGACTCTTGAACAACACCAGTTTGTACTGCGCCAGTCTGCTTATACAAGGACTTTTTTCCACCTCTGCCACCCCTGAAACAGCAAGACCAACCCTTTTTTTCAGACTAATCAACATGAAGATGACAAAGGTTAAGACCTTTATGACAATTCACTTCCATTTAAGAAATAGTAAGTACATTTTCTCTTCCTTATGATTTTCTTAATAAGTTTCTTTTCTCCAGCTTGCTATTGTAAGAATATAGTATATAATACATATAACCTAGAAAATATGTGTTAATCTACTATTTATGTTGTCAGTAAGGCTTCCAGGCAACAGTAGGCTATTAGTAGTTACAGTAGTTACATTTCTGCAGACTAAAAAGTTTTACTTGGATTTTTGACCGCGTGAAGGTTGGCACTTATAGCCTCTGCATTCTTCAAGGTTTGGGGGGAAAAGCAAGATGGAGAAAAGTATATATATCATGCTACTCTTTATTTAAGGAGGAGGTAGGACTATATAATTAAAATAAAACAATGGAAGAAAAAACACTTAAGAAATGATTACCTAAAAAGGGGTAGGCAGAATAGAGTAGAGGGTTGGGGACAGGACCTAGACTTCTTTGAATATATATTTTGTGGATTTGACTGTGGAGCCATGGAAACGCTTTACATAATCGTAAAACAAAGTGAAATTTTAAAAAGCAACCTCGCAAAATTAGAAGTAAAATAAAACAAATGAACCTCTGTCTTAGAGTAGCGTGACCAAACTGAGAGGAGCTATTCCAAGAGACTTTTAAAAATAATAATTTGATTGTACATGCCTGATTGAGTTACTGATATGGATTGGCTCTTTGTCCCCATCCAAATCTCATCTTGAATTGTAATCCAAATTGTAATTCGCAGGTGTTGAGGGAGGGATGTGGTGGGAGGTGATTGGATTATAGGGATGGTTTCCCCCATGCTGTTCTCCTGATAGTGAGTGAGTTCTCACAAGATTTGGTTGTTTGATAAGTGTCTAGCACTTCCCCCCTCTCATTTGCTCTCCTGTGGCCATGTGAAGAAGGTGCCTGCTTCCTCTTCTGCCATGACTGTAAGTTTCCTGAGGCCTCCTGAGCCATGCAGAACTGTGAATCAATTAAACCTCCTTTGTTTGTAATTTATCCAGTCTCAGGTAGTATCTTCATAACAGTGTGAAAATGGACTAATACAGTTACCCTGAGGAAAAAAGAACAGCAATAAATCATAAACTATTTTCAGTAACGTGTTGGCAGGAGTATGAGAATTATACTGAGATTGTTATGTGTATAATACAGTATAAAAAAATGAATCCTTGTTAGTGTTGTAGAGATCCAAGATTTTTGGCATAATTGAAAGGAGATACAGTTGTAAGATCAATGAGTTTAAATAAATAGTCTATAATCCTAAATTTTAATTTGAAATATCAGTATGAGCTCATAATGTATTTTTCTCTTTTTAAAAAACCCATAATTTTTAGCTCTATGAAAAGATTTAGAGCAATGGTTGACCCAATTGTAATGAGATCTCTAGCATCCAAATTTATTCTTGAATACTGTTTCCCAGTAAAAGGAACTAGGGCTCCTTGAAGAAATGCCTGATTCTAGGTTTAAAATCCTGTTTGTCAGCAACAGCAGTAAATGAACAAAATGGACCTGGAAATTTTTTTCATATCAGAAAGCAAGGAATTTATCAAAGATGATTAAGATCATGCCAAAAAAAAATCAGTGGCCAACCTGAATAAGTTCTCATCAGGCAAAGATGGAATAATTTGAGCATCACCAATAAGGATGACAATTGAATTGAGTTGAAACCCATCACATATGTTTAAACTCATAAGCTCATCTAATATTGTAATAAAACCTTAATTGGTAACCTTTAAAGAATGTTAGAGAACCACTTCCTTATTCTGAAAACTGGCACATATAGGGAGTGTATCAAACACTTTTTATGTTTTTTCTATGTGATCTGTACCTGAGGAAACAAAATCATTCAGGAGGAGGGGTTTCTTTATACACATATTCCAGCTAAGTAAATTACAGTATCACTAATGCAACTTCTAATAAAATAAAGTATCTGAACCAGCAGATTTCTGGGTATGGGCTGCTGAACATCCCTAGGACCCTTTTAGGGAAATCACAAGTTCAATATTATTTTCATGGCAATGCTAAAACATTATTGGCCTTTTTCCCTTTGTTCACATTTATATTGGTGATACAAAAGCAATGGTGGACAAAAAAGCTGGTGCCTCAGCACAAATCAAGGCGGTGGCATCAACTGTGCTACTGGCAGTTATATTCTCTACCACCACATGCTGCAGGAGGAAAGGCCAGTTTAATGTAAGAATTTCCTTCATGGAGCAGTAAAAATTATTACTTGTATTGAATCTTGAAATTTGAGTACTTAAAAAAAATCCATGTAATAAAATGTGAAAAACACATGAGGCACTTGTACTGCATTCTGACCCATGCTGGTCATCTCCTTGAAAACCACTCATGTGATTGTTTGAGTTGCCAGCTAAACTAGCCACATTTTTCATGGTACATGATTTTCACTTTAAGAAGTGACCGACAGAAAAATTATGGTTATACAGATTTGGATCTGGCAGATATGTTTTTGAAAATGAGTAGAATAAATCTGACACTTCAAGTAAACTGACAGTACTCACTGCTCAAGATAAGATTCAAGCTTTAAATTAAAAATTTGAATTTTGGAAAACTTCCATTTGCCAGCATTATTTGGACAGCTTCCCAATATTGACAGGCTTTTCTATCTAATAACATTGATAGTTACTAATGCATGTGGTGTTTCTTTGACATTGAATAATGAAATTTTTCCACAATTGTAAGATCACGTATATTAGTGACTCAATATTTTCCAACTAATATCACAAAATAAGGCAAGGGTAAGATATCTATTAAAAGACTAAGATAAACCAAGGGATTTTAATGTAACAGAATGAAAGTTTGTTGACATGGTTTCAGATTATACACTGCAACTAATCTTTAATAAATTACCATTTCTCAAGTTTTGGTAAAGAAAAATATGTGCAATTAACCGAAAAAGTGCTAAAATAATTTTGACACTTTCAAATATACATCTTTGTGAGGTTGAAGTTCTTTAGATACTTCAACTAAAGCAATAGATTGCAACAGATTGAATGGAGAAGCAGAAAGGAGAATACAAATGTCTACTATTAAATAGACAGAAAGTAAAAAGATGTAAAAAATCTAAAACCGTGTCCCTCTTGTTAAACATTTTTTATTTTTGAAAATAATTATTTTCAATAAAAATATTTCTGTCACCTTAATAGGGCTTGTTGTTAGTTTAAATTAATAAATATTTTAAAGCTCCTTTCTCTTTAATTCCTAATATAATAAATATGAATAGATAAAACCCACATTTAAAAAAAAGCTCTGCAGGACACTCAGTAATTTTTAAGAATGTAATATGCTCATAAGAAAAAGTTTGATAACTGCTGATCTACGTAATATCATCAATGGCTGATAGCATCAAAAAATAGAGAAATTCAGGCATTATTATTACTTTCTTCTGAAAGTAGACAACACCACCTATGAAGTAGTCTTGCCAGAAGTTATACTGAGCCTGAATCTGATCAAAGCTGCGAATGTAACTACCAATTTATAGGAAATACAACGGATGAACACGTGGGAGATGAAATCAGCAAAATCCAGAGTGAGGGAGACTGTGAAGAAAAGAATGACCTGGTTTCTTAAAAAAAAAAAAAATGGGTGCAGAAGAGAAAGAGAGGAACTGAGAGAGGGAGAGAGAATTCCACAAGAGACATAAAAGGCAGATCAGCCAATTTTTAAAATGTGAAACTTTTCTGGAACCTGATTCACACAAACATTGTCAAAAATTATTATAAAAAAACAAAATAATGTGTATACTGACCAGAAATTTGTTAATATTTAAAAACTAATTGTGAATGTTTAGCTGTGATCATGGTTTTGTAGTTATGTACATTTTCCTTTTTTGATAAATGTAGAGATTCCTTATACATTAAAGATGAAACTTTTACAGATGAAGTCATATAATGCTTGGGGTTTACTGCAAAATCATCCCAGAAGGGAGTAAGTGATAACATAATACATAAAGTCAGATTAGCCATGGGTTCATTGTTGAAGCTGAGTGATATTGCATTGAGTTCATTATCCTACTCTCTTTACTAGTTTATGTGTTTGCAAATTTCCATAATATGTTAAACAAATATACAGGTTTTGAAAACTCCACATTGCCCTATGGGATGATCTGTAATCCTGTAGATAGGCACAAGATAGTCTATTGTAGTTAAAACAGAAAATGGACCCTCTCTCAGGGAGTGAAATTGATGATAACAAAGATCAGAGATGTCATGTATAGGTCAGCATTGAGGAGGCCTGGAACTAGAACTACAAAAGGAGCTGTTATGGAATGAATGTTTGTGTGCCCCCCAAAATTCATATGTTGAAGCCCTAACCCCCTGTGTGATATACTATGAGGCAGGGCCTTTGGGAGGTCATTAGGTTTAGGTGTGTAGTGGGATTACTGCTACTATAAGGAGACCAGAGAGTGCACTTGTTCGAGTTCTCTCTCTCTCCCTGTCTATCCCCCTGACCTCCACCATGTGAGGACACAGCAAGAAGTCAGCCATCTGCAAGCCAGGAAGAAGACTCTCCCTAGGCTCTTGTTGTCACCTTGATCTTTGACTTCCCAGCCTCCAGAACTGTGAAAAATACATTTCTGTTGTTTAAGCCAACCAGTCGCTGCCACAAAAACAAAACAAAACAAAACATAGTTTTTTCTAATATCAGCCTGATATGGTTTGGCTGTGTCTCCACCCAAATCTCATCTTGAATTGTAGTTCCCATAATCCCCATGTGTCATGTAAGGGACCCAGCGGGAGGTAATTGAATCATGGGGGCAGTTTTGCCTATGCTGTTCTCAAGACAGAGAGTGAGTTCTCACAAGATCTAATGGTTTTATAAGGGGCTTCCCCCTTCACTCAGTTTTTACTCTTCTCTCTCCTGCCACCATGGAAATAAGGATGTGTTTGCTTCCCCTTCTACAATGATTGCAAGTTTTCTGAGGCCTCCCCAGCCTTGAGAAACTGTGAGTCAATTAAACCTCTTTCCTTCATCAATTACACGGTCTCAGGTATGTCTTTATTAGCAGCGTGAGAATGGTCTGATACACAGCCCAAGCAAACAAATACAAGAGCTCTATATAAAAGAATATGGCCAATATCCAGTGTACCAAAGGGGTGGAATCAGAATTTAAAATTTGGAAAATACCTTATACCATTGATTGTCTTGTTACTTAATATCTACTGAGCATCTATTATTATTTCAAGCACTTCTCTCAGCATAGAGAGGCAGCAGTACCCAAGAGAGACAACGTTTCTCTCCTCATGGAGCTTAAATAAATATATCATTTCAGGTGAAGATAAAAAAGATGAAAAAAAAAATAAAGTGGAGAAAGGAATAAAACAAGTCATGAAGTACCTGGAGGAAGGAGTGTTCTGGATAGAAGGAACTGCAAACGCAAGGGTACTGAGGCCACACCCAGGAGGGTGTGTTTCGGGAGCAGAAAGAAGGTCTATGTGCTGGAGCAAAGTGAGAGTGGCAGCAATCAGTACTGGGGAGACAGGGCCAAATCACTGTAAGGGTGCTGCAGCTTGTTCCACATGTGTTGGGAGCCACTGGAGGGTTTTGAGCAGGGGAACAATATGAGCTGATTCATGATTTAACAGGACTACTCTGGCTGCCCCATGGAATAGAGACCACAGGGACAGAGAGCAGAATCAGCGAGGCCACTTAGGAAGCTGCTTCATAGGCCAGGCAAGAGATGAGAGTGACTTGGACTCAGGCATGATGATAGTGGTACAGTTAGTAAGAAGCGAACAGAATTTATGATACACTGTGATATGCGCTGAAAGCAGACCGAGAAAAAGAGAGAAACCAAAGTTGACTTCTAAATTCTTGGCATGAGCAAGTGAGTGAATGGACTGCCACATCCTAAGATAGAGAAGATAGGTGATGAGTGATTTTGGGGTAGGGGTGGGGAGGAACAAGCCATTTCTTTCCAACACAAACCCTCAAATGGAGCTGTCCAGATGAGTCTAGCTAGGGGAGACAGGTCGCAGAGATATAAACGTGGGCCATTTCAGCATATAGTTGGTATTGAAAGTCACAGGACAGACTAGATTGAACAAGGCCAAGACTAAAACTTAGGGCACTCCAACATGCAGAACCTAAAAGGGACTCTGAGGAGCGGGAGGAGGGGAGGGAAGGAAAAAGAGCAGCCAGTGAGGTTGAGATCTAGAATCTGTGAATAAAGCTGTTTCAAAAAGGGAATGGGCCACTGTGTCCAATGCTGCTGATGGTTCCTGAGAGGCGAGAACTGAAATTGACTTTAAATTGGACACCACAGAGGTCAGTTTCTGACTTGGTCAGGAGCAGTTTCAGCTGGAGCAAGCTCAAGAGAGACTCAGAGGAGGAAGAGGAGGTGGTAGAATGAGCAATTGCTCTAAGGAGTCATACTGCGAGGGATATGAGAAACGGGGCAAGGGCTGGAGAAGGGTGAGCAGCAAAGGAAGAGTCTCTTCTAATGGTGGGAGATGATCTATTCAAGCCATAGTTATCAAAGGCTAAATTTTCAGTGTAAGATAAATGGAGTATTCTTCATTATCCCAAAAGGATGAATAAACTCAAATATGTATCACTTGTGCTATATGTCTTAAGATGTGTTTCCAAGAGCATCTGAAATTTCGTTTGTACATATATCTTGATCATTTATAAAGCCACTGTGATCTATAAATCAAGAAAATCCATTGTCATGACCATTTGTAAAAGTCAAAAATTAAGACATCCTTAATTAAAAAGTTTCAAATCTAGACATTAAATGTGTGTGAATGTACAAAGATAACAAACCATTTCTAACGCTGTTATATACTAGAGAAATTTTGTTTTGCTTGCTGTTTTAACTTGACAGGTGAAAGGCTTTAGTTGACTTCATACTGTAAGAACTGTTAATAAAAGTTATCAAGTAAAAAGCCCTATATCTAAAAATACCTTATGAACAGTTATTCTATCAACTTTTCGAGGTTTTTAAACCTGCCCAGAAATTACCTCGGTATCTGAAGTTTCCCTCTGTCTCCTCCTCTAATTACGCTTATTTGTTATGCACCAGCATTGGGGATAATACAATTTCTTGTTCTGTGTAAAAAACAAAAACAAACAAACAAAATTATCCCAGGTGGATCTGCAGAAAGGAACAATAGAGGAGAAAGGAAGAAGCTGGTGGTGCAGGAACAAAGTCTTTAGGTGGCCGGGAGGGGATGGAATCCAAGGCATGAGAGGAGGACCTGGCCTTGGGTGGGAGCCCAGATGGTCCATGCATTTGTAACAGCTGGGAAGGTAGAGTCTGTGAGTACAGATGCAAAGTGAGTTTGTAGATTTGTTGACGGGAGGATGTGGAAGTTCTGTTTTGATTGGTGACCACAGGCAAGGTCATCTGCTGAGAGAGCAGGAGGGCAAGGGAGCTGGAGATGGTGCAGAAATAGTCATCCCAAGGAGAGTGAAGGGCTAGATAAATGGAGCAGGGGTGCCAGGAATCCCAAGGTCACACTTGAGGCTGATGGTCATTAGCTCCAGTGAGACCAGTCAGCAGGATTGTGTGTTCTCCTTCAGTTACATTAAGATGCTCAGGTGCAGGTGCAGAGCTAGTGGAGGGTTTACTCTAACCAAACCTGGATTTGGAAGAAAACACAGAGTAAAATGCAAGAGAGGATTTTCACATAGGAAATGAAAAACTGGAACAGTCACACAAACCAGCTTAGAAGTAGAACAGTCTTTCTGTTATTCAGCAGAGAGCAAAGGAAGAGTTATCTAGTTCACCAAATAATATGATGAATAAAAACTTCATAATACACGATCATAACTTTTTTTTTTCCTTGAGACATAGTCTCACTCTGTCACCCAGGCTGGAGTACAGTGGCATGATCTCAGCTCACTGCAACCACTGCTTCCCAGGTTCAAGTGATTCTCCTGCCTCAGCCTCCCAAGTAGCTGGGACTACAGGTGCGTGCCACCACGCCCAGCTAATTTTTGCATTTTTAGTAGAGATGAGGTTTCACCATGTTGTCCAGGCTGGTCTTGAACTCCTGACCTCAAGTGATCCACCCACCTCAGTTTCCTAAAGTGCTGGGATTACAGCGGTGAGACACCGTGCCCAGCTAAGGATCATAAACTTCTTTAAGTCTTAAAGATTTAGTATGATAAAGTACCTACTTGAAGCATACTGGCAACCTTCTTGATGATTCTGAAGACCCCTGGCACCTTGGGGTTATGAGCACCAGTTACTGCACTAGTGAAAGAAGTACCTGTCCTGATATTAGAGAGATGAAGAAGAGTTGACTATACTTAATGGAATTCCAGAGAACCCAACTTAACATTCTAATCAAAATCACCTTGATATAACCTACCACCCTGAAAATGCTTTAGGAAAGGAAATCACAGGCCTCAAGAAATCTTTTTCCAGGGTCTCAGATCAATGGTGTAGATGGGCAAAGACGATTTACAAGTCACTGACTGTAGGCACAGAGAGACATAAATTTCAGGTACAAAAGAAATAAAAGAAATGAGCACAAAAGCTATATGAAAGGATGATTTTCTTCTTTAAGTTTTATTGCATTAATTTAATTCTACTCCTGGAAATAATGGGAAATGACTTAAGGCAATTTTTTTTTCTTTCCAGAAAATTCTGAAAGATTGTGCTTTTGATTGGTAAAAGTGGGAATAACTTATAAAAATCACCATGAAAGATTTATAAAATATAAAACCTATAAAGTAGACTTTTTCTGAAGAGGTAGAAATTTAAGATCTTTGAAAAAAGCTATGTTCTCCAAGAAGTTCCACGAGATTAATAGAGAAAAGGTTTAAATTTTTTTTGACAAAAAACTTAAGGTCCACATGAAAATGGAAATTTGCTGAGGAAGATACCAGATGATAAATAAGACTACAACAATACGTTACATAACCTTGAAAGAACTTAACGTGCACATATCTTGCAGTTCCTTATGGAATTGCTAGGTAAGGGCAGGTTTCTTTGAAGCAAATGGTGTCAACGTTAGTGTGTGGTAGAAAGATACAGGATTGTGCCTTTCTTTAAAATACACACAGCTCCTTTAAAAACATACACATACCTCCTATACTTTCAAAGGAACTCTTATGTGATATGATGAACTAAGGGAATTAGCTAATTTTTTTGTAAAAGACTTGCATAGTATAATCTATAAGCAAAATATTTTAACCTGACCATATTTCAGTAAGATTCCATTTTTTTCTGAATATATTACATTCAGAATTTCTTCTTCATATAGGCATGTCATATTTCCTACAATCAATTAAGACAAAAAGGATGAATGAAATATTTTCTACAGACAAAAGAAAAACAGAGGTTGTGCATTTCCTACTACCAATGCAAACTAAAAGCCTCTGTTGAAGACACTGATAAAATATAAATTTTCAGACCCGGCAGCCTCTGCTTGGTTTTGTCTGACCCTAACATCTTGCAGTCTAGGACACTGATCCTTTCCGTTATCCACCCTCCCCTTGGCCTTGGTGACCATCCACAGGTTTCCCTCTTGCAGCTAGACTTTTCTGAGCCTCCTCTTCCAGCCCCACTTCAGAAGAGGACCCTTCTTCACTTACTGCTAAATCAACTTCTTTTCCGTAGTGCTCTCAATTTACTTCCTCCCCATGCAATTCACTGATTTGCTAGTAACAACTCAAAAGCTACAGCTGAAACTTAGTCCCTAAACTATCTCTTCTGCTTTTAAATCCAAGGTTTTAGGTTTCCATAAGAAAAAATATAAAATATACATGACTCTCTCACTATCAATTAAATTGATAATTTAATTCCATTTGCCCAAAATATAATCATCTTACTTCCCAAACTGATTCTTCAACCCTCTGTTCACTTTCTTTTCTTTTTTTTTTTTTTGAGGTAGGGTCTCACTCTGTTGCCCAGGCTGGAGAGCAGTGGCTTGATCTCGGCTCACTGTAGCCTCAACCTCCCCAGGCTCAGGTGATCCTCCCACCTCAGCCTCCCAAGTAGCTGGGACCACAGGCATGTGCCACCACACCTGGCTAATTTTTGTATTTTTTGTAGAGGTGGGGTTTCGGCACATTGCCCCAGCTGGTCTCCAACTCCTGGCCTCAAGTGATCCTCCTGTCTTGGCCTCCCAAAGTGCTAAGATTACAGGTATAAGCCACCACATCGGGCCTGTTCTCTCTTTAGTAGAGTCAACAACCATGTAGTGAGTGCACTGTGAGAGGCCCTCTTGCTATAAAAAGTGAGTAACTTGCTGTACAATGGGAAGCACAAATACTAAACCCTAATGATAACACAATGAACACATGCTTGGCTGGTTATGAGAATGAAGGGCTGTGGTTTCCTAGCCAATTGCATGCCAAGCAGCTTGGCCTTCATCTTGTATGTAGAGATGATCTACGTGACTTGTGGTTTTAGATGCTGCCATGACTATGTGAAGAATATGCTGGAAAATGCCAGCTATTACCTTGCCAGGTATAATAAAATGCCAAGTATAATGCCAAGTATACTATATAGATAGATGATAGGTAGGTAGGTAGGTTAGATAGATGACAGCTAGCTAGCTAGCTAGCTAGACAGACAGACAGACAGATAGACTTCATGTATTGCTGGGAGGTGAAGTAAAGACGCATTTAAAGATTCAACAGTTCCACTCCAGCATGTGTATATGTATGTGTATATGTATGTGTATGTGTGTGTGTATGTATATATATCCCAAATATGTTCTTGCAAAGGTCTATAAGGATATTCATTGCAATGTTACTTGTGATGATGGGGCCTCAGAGGCAACCTGCTGTTCACGGGAGGGTGGATAGGTAAAGACATGGGGTTTGTGCAGCATGGGGTAGCATCCAGTAGTTAGACTGTATGATGGGAAGAACACATTCTTTTGTCACTCAGAATAGAAGGCACCGATAAGGAACTGAGGGTAGAGAAAGAGAAACTTAAACGTAGCATCTCTAATATGGGTATACGACAGAAGAAACGGAGAGATGGAGGCTGCGATGGTCTTAATTTATCCTCCAACTTGAAGAGGATTTGTTAAGAGATCCAATCAAGCTAAGTCTGTGTCTTAGGCTGTGGCTGAGAACTTGGAAGGGTAAAATGTATCCTCCCACCACAACCCTCAAGTCCTGTTCTGGGAAGGTCTCTCTGGTAACCCCACTCTCCCTAGAGAGTTTTACAATGGATCCCCCTGTCGGAGCACCTACTACACAGGGCTGGAATCTTTGGGGAGATGGCAGAGAGAATGGTGAGGTATCTGAACTTTTAGTGACACTGCCTGGTTTAGTATCCTGACTAAATCCATATAGTCACGTGGCCCTGGGCAAGTTATTGAACCTCTGTGAGCTATGGGATTTCCTCTTTCAAATGGTGCTTATGGTACCCGCTTCACAGGCTGCCCACAGAACTAATTAGATAATCCAGGGAAAGTACTCAGAATGGAGTCTGGCCCATGGTAAAAGCTCCATAAATGTTGATGAATATTATACTTATTAAGCTTCTTAAGACACAAACTAGACTTTTATAGCTTTGTATACACAGCAACAACCCAAGTTAACATCTGTTGGTGAAGATGAAACTTACTTGTGTATTGACCCAATGGTATATAAGTTTTCTACCTATGTTTTTCACAATATAGTTAAGTTGTAGGAACAAACGAGGTCTTAAGAAAATGTTATACAACAGGCCACAGGCCTTCTTCCTTTCTTTCTTTCTTTTTTTTTGAGATGGAGTTTTGCTCTTGTTTCCCAGGCTGGGGTGCAGTGGTGCGATCTCGGCACACTGCAACCTCCGCCTCCTGGGTTCAAGTGATTCTCCTGCCTCAGCCCCCCAGCAGCTGAGAGTACAGGTGCCAGCTACCACACCCGGCTAATTTTTCATACTTTTAGTAGAGACGGGGTTTCACCATGTTGGCCAGGCTGGTCTCGAACTCCCGACCTCAGGTGATTCACCCGCCTCGGCCTCCCAAAGTGCTGGGATTATAGGCGTAAGCCACCGCGCCCGGCCCACATGACTTCTTTCAAAGTCATTTGTTCTGATTTGTGTGTGTGTGTGTGTGTGTGTGTGCATGATTCCAATGTCAGTCCCTGCAGGATATCCCCAATTCCCAGACACTTTGGTAATGGATAATGGGCATAACCACATTATTTTATATCAGTAACTAGCAACGATTTACTTTTTAATTAATTCAAGTGCTTACAGTGCCATATCCACTATCAACTTTTAATAAATTGTGGCATAAATAAACAATTCTCTCTATGTGAACCTGGGCAACTGGGGCAGGGATTGTCAACCTTTTTCTGTAAAAGACCAGATAGTAAATATTTCAGGCTTTGTGTTCTGCACAAAGATCTGAACATACTCAAGCTGATGATTCCACAAAGTAAAGGGTCCAAAATGCATTTCCCCCTTTAAAAATAAATGTCCATCTGGATACATTTGTATTGATTATTTCACTCAAGTGTCTCTGATGCAAATGCAGTGGAAATATGTTCACATGATTCCATGATCCAAAGTCGGCCCTGTTTTGATGAGCCAGGAGGGGATTTACTGGGGACCACCTTGAGAACCAAGGTGTTTCAAGGTCCTTGGACATTGGAGGCTTTCTTTGCAACACCCACAGCAGTGACTACCTTTCCCTTATGATAGACCTAACTTCATTCATTTTATAGTGGAACTATGTGAGTTGATATTTACCATATAGAGTACAATGAAACAGATACGAGCAAGGAAGACTAGGAAACAGGAAAGACAGGACAGATAATTCCTTTTCTTCTTTTCTCCTGACTGGTGGTAATAAAAAGTCATTTGAAATATACCACTAAGGAGTTTTGAGAAGGTGACAGTTATAGGGATAAATAAATCCCACTCTATCAGTCTTTAAAGCATCATTGTCAAACCTCCTTGAAAATTTTTAGACAGGAAAGTTTGTGATTCTTTCTGAATTTAACAAGTTCTTTAAGCACCTGAAACATAGAAGTGGGAAAAGGATGTGGATTTCCAAATGTACATTGTATTCTTTGCAGAGTGAGGTAGGAACCATTGCTCCCTTGGTGATTCTTAGCTCTACAGACACACTGAACCAGGTCAAGTTGGAATTCCAGCAGTTTCTTGACAGCAAAGTGAAAATAGATGTGGTAAAAATAACACTTCTCTAACAAAGAAATACAGATTTGCAAGATTTTACAAAGCATAGTAGTTTCAGTTCTGTTTTTAAAAAAGCAGAATAGGCTTAAAGCATCACCAGTAATGAAAGGGAAAATTGAATAGGAATGTTAACTTTTCTATATAAAAACTTTAAAAAGAATGATTGTAGCAAGATTTCATGGACAAAAAGGTACATGTAAAGTAACTAAAGTTACTAAAATGTACACCAGAAAAAAATTTATCATTTTTAAAATAATTTTTTTCTTTCCTTTTTTTTTTTCTTTTTTTCTTTTTTTAAATTTGAAACAGAGCCTCACTCTGTTGCCCAGGCTGGAGTTCAGTGGCGTGATCTCGGCTCACTGCAACCTCCGTCTCCCAGGTTCAAGTGATTCTCCCGCCTCAGCCTCCTGAGTAACTGAGATTACAGGCACCCACCACCACACCTAGGTAATTTTTGTATTTTTAGTAGAGACGGGGTTTCACCATGTTGGCCAGGGTGGTCTCAAACTTCTGACCTCAGGTGATCCACCCACCTCGACCTCCCAAAGTGCTCGGATTACACGCATGAGCCACCATGCCTGGCCATATTCATTTTTTTTTTCTAATTATCGAGACAGGAAGGAAGAAAAATATTAACAGTGATTGCCTTAGGATGGTGAGGCCATGAGTGAATTTTAATTTCTGTGTTATATTTAGCTGTGTTTTTAATTTTTTTGCAATTACCATGGGTCTGTAAGCAAATATAAACAATAATAAAGCAAGAAATATTCTTTTCTTAAGATTCATATTACTCTGGCATAATTTTCTCCAGGAAAGCTTCCTAATCACACCCTACTCCTCTGAAAGGGATTACAGACCATAATAGAGAGTCTGGCTCCAGTTCTGATGATTGACTGCTGACGGTTTGATGCCTCACCCATTCCTTTCCCCTTGTGTGGCACAACTAGCCAAGCTCATGTGAAAGCCCGAGTTCCCCCTCCTTAGGCTCCAGTGGGAGATTCAAACTCAGCCCCTAACCACAGTAAAAACCCAGAGCTAGTCTTCCTTCCTTGCCTCATCAAGTCATTTTGGCCCTGCTGGAGGGGGCTGCCTTGCTCTCACCAGAGACCTGTGTCATGCAAGTAATAAAGCTTCCCATTCCCTCTTGGGGTGTGTGTGGCATCATCAATCTTGACATCTGATCCAAAATTTGGGTGGGGGTCCCTCCTGCTTTTTCAGACTAGCCACAACAGGGAAGGCCCCTTTATCCTGTAGTCCCATAATGCCATGTACCCCTGTTATCATTGCACTTATTAAACTGTATATTATCTATTTATGTGTCTGTTTGCCCTACTACTTGCGAACAAGGGTATGTGTCATTCTTTTTTATTCTTTATCTAGCAGTCTCAGGGTTACAGTAGGTATTTGTAAACATACAACAGTTAGGAATTGCTCCACAAATTTCAAAAGAATGAAACATTTATTTCTTTGTTTTCCTAAAATTGGGCCACCCTTATGATCTGGAGGTGGCAGGAAGGATAAAATCTATCTCAAGATTGCCCACCCCCTCCAACTTTGTCATTGTCATAGTAGAAGAACCCAGAGGCTCTGTACACCAGGAAATTGGAAAAAGACAAAAGAAGGACTAAAGGCTTCGGTTTGCCCTGGCTGCATTTCGTTTTCTTTCTTTTCTTTCTTTCTTTTTTTTTTTTTTTGAGACAGAGTCTCACTTTGTCACCCAGGCTGCTGGAGTGCAATGGCGCGATCTTGGCTCACTGCAACCTCCGCCTCCCAGGTTCAAGGGATTCTTCCACCTCAGCCTCCCTCGTCACTGGGATTACAGGCACCTGCCATCATGCCCGGCTAATTTTTGTATTTTTAGTTGAGATGGGGTTTCACCATGTTGGCCAGGCTGGTCTTGAACTCTTGACCTCAGGTGATCTGCCCACCGCAGCCTTCCAATGTGCTGGGATTACAGGCATGAGCCACCACACCTAGACTTCCCTGGCTGCATTTCTTTGTCCAGTCCCTTGTGGGGTCTCTGCTGGTGACATCTCTAATGCCAGGCTCAGTCTCAGTGTACATAGGTCCCAGCTAAATACAAAAAGTCCTCAGAGTGGGGTTCTCCACCTCTTCATTGCATTCCAAAGGGTTGCAAGTCTTCTCCACTGGTAGAATCTGCCATTAGACAGTCATCTTCCCATCCCTCCTCTACCCCCATTTCCTTTGCCATATCCCATCTGTTATGGACTGAATGTTTGTTTCCTCCCCAAAATTTATATGTTGAAGCCCAAACCCCCAGTGTGGCTGTATTTGACATCAGGCCTTTAAGTATATAGTTAAGATTAAATGCAGTCATGATGGTAGGGCCCTGATCCAATAGGGTTAGTGTCCTTATAAGAAGAGACACCAGAGACCCCACTTACTCTTTCCATGATGCATAAGGGAAAGGTCACATGAGCACAAAGCAAGATGGCAGCCATCCACAAACCAAGAGAGGAGGACTTGCAATGAATTCTAACTTACCAGTCTCTTGGTCTTGGACTTCCCATCTTTCAGAACTGTGAAAAATATATTTTTATTGTGTAAATCAGCCAGTGTGGGATATTTTGTTAGGGTTGCTTGAGAAAAAAGCCCCAGACTCAAAGTCCTGGCTTGCCTTCTTGGTTAGCAATTAATTTTCAATAAAGTCTGTTACAAATAATTGTTCAATGAATAAAAGAAAAATTACTTAAACGTTTAATCCAATCTAAGTTTCTTCTTTTAGTATTGGTGTGGTGGAAAGGAAAGATAGGTTCAGTTATTGTGGTAAGTGGTATCTTTTTATGCACTTGTTGCCATCTTTTAAAAATACATTGATTTCCTAGGAATCAAACTTACAAGTGATGTGAAGGACCTCTTCAAGGAGAATTACAAACCACTGCTCAATGAAATAAAAGAGGACACAAACAAATGGAAGAACATTCCATGCTCATGGATAGGAAGAATCAATATCGTGAAAATGGCCACACTGCCCAAGGTAATTTATAGATTCAATGCCATCCCCATCAAGCAACCAATGACTTTCTTCACAGAATTGGAAAAAACTACTTTAAAGTTCATATGGAACCAAAAAAGAGCCCACATTGCCAAGACAATCCTAAGCAAAAACAACAAAGCTGGAGGCATCACACTACCTGACTTCAAACTATACTACAAGGCTACAGTAACCAAAACAGCATGGTACTGGTACAAAAACAGATATATGGACCAATGGAACAGAACAGAGCCCTCAGAAATAATACCACACATCTACAACCATCTGACCTTTGACAAACCTGACAAAAACAAGAAATGGGGAAAGGATTCCCTATTTAATAAATGGTGCTGGGAAAACTGGCTAGGCATATGTAGAAAGCTGAAACTGGATCCCTTCCTTACACCTTACACAAAAATTAATTCAAGATGGATTAAAGACTTAAATGTCAGACCTAAAACCATAAAAACCCTAGAAGAAAACCTAGGCAATACCATTCAGGACATAGGCATGGGCAAGGACTTCATGACTAAAACATCAAAAGCAATGGCAACAAAAGCCAAACTTGACAAATGGGATCTAATTAAACTGAAGAGCTTCTGCACAGCAAAAGAAACTACCATCAGAGTGAACATGCAACCTACAGAATGGGAGAAAATTTTTCCAATCTACCCATCTGACAAAGGGCTAATATCCAGAATCTACAAAGAACTTAAACAAATTTACAAGAAAATATCAAACAACCCCATCAAAAAGTAGGCGAAGGATATGAACAGACACTTCTCAAAAGAAGACATTTATGCAGCCAACAGACACATGAAAAAATGCTCATCATCACTGGACATCAGAAGAATGCAAATCAAAACCACAATGAGATACCATCTCACACTAGTTAGAATGGCAATCATTAAAAAGTCAGGAAACAACAGGTGCTGGAGAGGATGTGGAGAAATAGGAATGCTTTTACACTGTTGGTGGGACTGTAAACTAGTTCAACCATTGTGGAAGACAGTGTGGTGATTCCTCAGGGATCTAGAACTAGAAATACCATTTGACCCAGCAATCCCACTACTGGGCATATACCCAAAGGATTATAAATCATGCTGCTATAAAGACACGTGTACACGTATGTTTGTTGCAGCACTATTCACAATAGCAAAGACTTGGAACCAACCCAAATGTCCATCAGTGATAGACTGGATTAAGAAAATGTGGCACATATACACCATGGAATACTACGCAGCCATAAAAAAGGATGAGTTCATGTCCTTTGTAGGGACATGGATGAAGCTGGAAACCATCATTCTGAGCAAACTATCAAAAGGATAGAAAACCAAACACTGCATATTCTCACTCATAGGTGGGAATTGAACAGTGAGAACACTTGGACACAGGATGGGGAACATCACACACCTGGGCCTGTTGTGGGGTGGGGGGAGGGGGGAGGGATAGCATTAGGAGACATATCTAATGTAAATGACGAGTTAATGGGTGCAGCACACCAACATGGCACATGTATACACATGTAACAACCCTGCACGTTGTGCACATGTACCTTAGAACTTAAAGTATAATAATAAAAAATAAATAAATAAATACATTTATAGGACTTCCCTTATGTTTAAATATTAAAAAGGTATATTTAGGTATAATTTACATCCAATGAAACTCACCCATTTGCATTGTATAGTTCTATGAATTTTGTCATACATACATAATCCTGTAACTAGTACCACGATTAAGACATAACATTCCCGTCACCCCAAAAAGTTCATCTTTCCCCTTTGTTGTCAATTCCCACTCATACCCTAGCCCCAGGCAACAACTGTTGTGCTTCCCTCACATGATTCTGCCATTTCTAGAATTTCATATAAATGGAATCACAAAATATGTGGTCTTTAGTGTCTGGCTTTTTTTGTGTAGCAAAATGTATTTAAGATTTGCTACATTTTGTGTAGCAAAATGAATGTAAGATTCATCCTTTTTGTTGTGTGAATCTGTAATTAGTACCCTTAGATTGAGTGGTATTCTAGTGTAAGAATAGGCCACAGTTCACACTGCCCAAAGTAATTTATAGATTCAATGCCATCCCCATCAAACCACCATTGACTTTCTTCACGGAATTGAAAAAAACTACTTTAAATTTCCTGTGCAACCAAAAAAGAGCCCACATAGCCAAGACAATCCTAAGCAAAAAGAACAAAGCTGGAGGCATCACACTACCTGACTTCAAACTATACTACAAGGCTACAGTAACCAAAACAGCATGGTACTGGTGCAAAAACAGATATATAGACCAAGGGAACAGAACAGAGGCCTCAGCAGTAATGCCACACATCTACAACAGTCTGATCTTTAACAACCCTGACAAAACCAAGAAATGCGGAAAGGATTTCCTATTTAATAAATGGTGTTGGGAAAACTGGATAACCATATGCAGAAAGCTGAAACTGGATCCTTTCCTTATACCTTGTACAAAAATTAACTCAAGATGGATTAAAGACTTAAACGTAAGACCTAAAACCATAAAAATCCTAGAAGAAAACCTAGGCAATACTATTCAGGACATAGGGATGGGCAAGGACTTCATGACTAAAACACCAAAAGCAATGGCAACAAAAGCCAAAATTGACACATGGGATCTAATTAAACTAAAGAGCTTCTGCACAGCAAAAGAAACTACCATCAGAGTGAACAAGCAACCTACAGAATGGGAGAAAATTTTTGCAATCTATCCATCTGACAAAGGGCTAATATCCAGAATCTACAAAGAACTTAAACAAATTTACAAGAAAAAGACAAACAACCCCATCAAAAAGTGAGTGAAAAATATGAACAGACCCTTCTCAAATGAAGACATTTATGCAGCCAACAAACATGAAAAAATGCTCATCACTGGTCATTAGAGAAATGCAAACCAAAACCACAATGAGATATCATCTCATGCCACTTAGAATGGCGATCATTAAAAAGTCAGGAGACAACAGATGCTGGAGAAGTTGTGGAGAAATAGGAAGGCTTTTACACTGTTGGTGGGAGTGTAAATTAGTTCAACCATTGTGGAAGACAGTGTGGCGATTCCTCAAGGATCTAGAACTAGAAATACCATTTGACCCAGCAATCCCATTACTGGGTATATACCCAAAGGATTATAAATCATTCGACTATAAAGACACATGCACACATATGTTTATTGCGGCACTACTCACAATAGCAAAGACTTGGAGCCAACCCAAATGCCCATCAATGATAGACTGGATAAAGAAAATGTGGCACATATACACCATGGAATACTATGGAACCATAAAAAAAGGATGAATTCATGTCCTTTGCAGGGACGTGGATGAAGCTGGAAACCATCATTCTCGGCAAACTAACACAAGAACAGAAAACCAAACACCACATGTTCTCACTCATAAGTGGGAGTTGAACAATAAGAACACATGGACACAGGGAGGGGAACATTACACACTGGGGCCTGTCGTGGGGTTGGGGGCTGCGGGAGGGACAGCATTAGGAGAAATACCTAATGTAGACGACGGGTTGATTGGTGCAGCAAACCACCATGGCACATGTATACCTATATAAAAATCCTGCACGTGTACCCCAGAACTTAAAGTATAATTAAAAAAAAAAGAAGAATAGGCCACTATTTATCCATGTAACAGCTGATGGACACTTGTGTCAACCCCAAAGGAAAAAAATGATGTTCTTTCTAGTTCTTGGCTTTTATGAATGCTGCTGCTATGAACATTTGAGCACTAATCTTTCTGTGAATTGATGCTATGCTTTCATTTACCTCAGGTAAAAACCTAGGAGTGAAATTGCTGAGTCATATGATAAGAATAAGAAACTGTCAAAATGTTTTCCAAAGTGACTGAATGACTTTGCATTCCAACCAGTGATGTGGGAGAGTTTGATTTGCTACACATCGTCCACAGCACTCACCATTGTCAGCCCTTTTAACTTTCACTGAATGTATTTAATTTCAACTGGATGTGTAGTTGCATTTCTGTCGTGATTAATGATATTGACCATACTTTCCTGTGCTTATATCTTTTTTGGTGAAGTGTCAAATTTTTGCCCATTTTATTTTATCAAGTTGTTTTAATATGTGGTAACAAAAGTTCTTAGAAAATCTGGATACATGATTTTTATCAGATATTTATACTTCCCAAATAATTTTTCTCAGTATATGGCTTGTCTTTTCACTTTCTTTACATAGTTTTTTTAGGACAAAATTCTTAAATTTTGTTTAATTTATCAATGTTTTTCCCTTGGGGTTCACACTTTTTGTGTCTTGTGATGGTTACTTTTTTTTTTTTTTTTTTGAGATGGAGTCTTGCTCTGTCACCCAGGCTGGAGTGCAATGGCGTGATCTCAGCTCACTGCGACCTCCGCCTCCAGGGTTCAAGTGATTCCCGTGCTTCGGCCTCCTAAGCAGCTGGGATTACAGGCATGCACCACCATGCCTGGCTAATTTTTGTATTTTTAATATTTTAATAGAGACAGCGTTTCACCATGTTGCCCAGGCTGGTCTTGAACTCTTGACCTCAGGTGATCCACCCACCTCGGCCTCCCAAAGTGCTGAGATTATAGGCATGAGCCATCATGCCCAGCTGTGATGGTTAATTTTATGCATCAACTGGACTGGGCTAAGGGATGCCCAGATAGCTGGGAAAATATTATTTCTGGTGTGTCTGTGAGGGTGTTTCTGGGAGAAATTAGCATTTACATCAATAAACTGAGTAAAGAATATACACCTCACTAATGTGGGCATGATCCAATCTGTTGAGGGCCTAAATAGAACACACTCCACGTGAGCTGGGACATCATTTTCCTGCCTTTAAACAGTACAGCTCCTGGTTCTCATAGATTGAAAACCTCAATATGTTAAAATTCAATTTTCACCAATTTGATCTATAGATCCAGGCTTTATTAGGATTGTTATTATTATATGTAGAGACTGACAAGCTCATTCTAACATGTACATAAATTGCAAAAAATTTAGAATAGCCATAACAACTTAGAAAAAGAAGAATAAACCAGAAGTATATCTGATTTCAAGACTTTCCGTATAGCAACAGTAATAAAAAAAAAGTTTAGTATTGGCCTAGATATAGACATATAGCTCAATGGGACAGAATAGATAGTTCAGAAATGAACCCACACGTATATGACCAATTGATTTTCAACAAAAATATCATGACATTTTAATGGAGAAAGATTAATCTTTTCAATAAATGTAGTCTTCAATGTACAGTTTCTGTAAACTTTAGTAAAAGTTTATTCCTAAGTATTTCATATTTAGCTATTGTAAACACTGTTTTAAAAAATTCCAACTTCTGATAATTTATTGGCCTTATAAAGAAATACAATTGATTTTTTCGCATTGACCTGGTCTCCTGTGGCCTTGCTAAATTCACTTCTTAGTTTGAGTAGGGACTTTTGTTTGTTTGTTTGCAGGTTTCCTAGAATTTTTACATAGGCAATCATGTTACCTGAGAATAAATGAAGCTTTACTTGTTTTGCAAATTATTTCATTTCTTCTGGTTTTATTGCTCTGGGTAGGCCATCTAGTATAAGGTTGAACATAAGGGGTGAAAGCAAACATCCTTGCCTTGCTGCCTCAAGAGAAGAGAACAGCTTCCTGGTTCCTCTTCCTAAGTACAGCAGAGGCCTACGTCTCCCACAACTTTGAAGCTAGGTTTGGTTTGCTCTGAGGATTCCTGTTCCTCCTCCTACCTTATTATATAAAGACTTTCTGAATTGCTTGCTCAACTACCACTCCTTTGGATGATTGTCATTATAGTACCTTATGCATAGGTTTTAACACTTTTAGGTGACCTCAGAATCACTGTTCTGGCCCGACCTTTCATCATCTCCTGCCAAGATGATGACAGTAGCTCTTCATTGGTCTCCTTGCCTCTGCCCTTCCTACCGTACCATATGTTCCCATCCAGCAGCCACAGTGATCCTCTTAAGATGGAAGTCAGGCCATGTCTATCTTCTGCTCAATGCCCACCATTTTTGCTTTTCTTTCAGAGTAGAAGCCAATGGTCTCACAAAGTTCTACAAAGCCATAAAAGATGCTACCACATCTAGCTCCACCAACCTTCTCACGTCCTTATTCCACACAGGGACACTTGTCCCACTGCTAATCCTCAAATGCACACATGCTGCCCCCTCAGAACCTTTACTCTTGCTGCTTCCACTGCCTGGAATGTTCTTCCCCCAGGTATCACGTCCTTCTTCAAGTCTTTTCTTAAAAGGGCTTTCCCTAGCCACCCTAATTAAATTACCAAACAAACAAATAAATAAACAAAATCCCTAGCCCCACCACCTCACACACTTTGCCCCTTCTTGGCTTCTATTTTTCTTACTGGAACTTACTATCATCTAACATAATATTTAATCTAGGTTCAATGACAGCAGAGATTTCTTCCGGGTGGGAGGAAAGTGACTGTTTTGTGTATTGCTATATACTCATGGCCTAGAACACTAGCACATGGTAAGTGTTCAATGAATATTTTTTGAGTGAATGAGGGGTGATTAGCCATGTAGATGTTCTTAAATAGATCAGGAGAGACATGTTTGGTGGAGAAATCCACAAGGCACATCTAGACCTAACAGACTAGTGTGAAAGAGTTTGTACAATTTCCGCAAATTCTTATTAAAGAAAATACTTTCATTAAGTACATAATGAGCAACATTACTCCAATTATTTGGAAACCCAAACATAAGCAGAAGTCAAAGACACTTATTTATTATGATTTTAAAAGGCCTCTATTTAAGTTATCTGGCTCTCTTGGTCTATTCCTCTAAATTAATTTATTTTGATACATGTGGTGTCTAACGTGTTTACGGATTTACAGCAGTGTGATTATAGCAGCTTCAAAGAACTTTGCAATAAAATGAAAATTGGTCTTTTTCTTACTAGCTCTTTGTAACACTTTTCTAATTTATCTCCGTCGCTTCATTGTTCAGAATTCAGTGTGCCATGTTGCATGCTCCTCTGCCTAGAACTGTACCTGTACCCCACAGATAAACTGGAATAGAATGAGGTACTAATGTGTGGGCTCCAGAGCATGGTTGGATCTGGGTTTTAGCATAAACTCAGAATATTAACAAAGACAAAATAGCAGATTCAATTATAGATGTGGAAAGCCTCAGAGACAGTAGGAGGAAGGGAAGACAAAGAAACATTCAGTCTTAAAATAACAATAGTGTTAGTATTTCACTGTACAAAGCACTTTCGAGAACTTTATCTTTGTGAGCCTCATTCACTCTTTGAAATAAGCATTTTTATCCCTTTTAAGATGTGGGAACTAAAGCTCACAGAGGCTGTGAGTCCTTAATAGCCATGTAACTATTAAGTGACAAAGGATTACCAACTCCACGTCCAACAGCTCTAAATTATATGCCCTTTTCACTGCATTAGGTTCACATACTAATTGATCCTTATCAAAAATTATTAAAGTGTCTGAAATAAACTGATTTTTAAAAAGCAGTGCAAAAGCAGTAAAAGAGATAGCACAAAACCTTGCAAACAGGAGGGCTTCTATAATAATTTTAAGTAAAGGGAAGCAGTCGAGATACAGGAAGGAAACCAATGGTCAGTGTCAAAATGAAAAGAAGTGTCAAAATAAAGTAAAAACCAGAGACGTAACAGAAACAATGATAGTAATAGCAGAGATAAATGGCTTCTCATGTGCTGTCTGCATTTCTGTGGATCCACTGTGAAAAGAGAGTTCTTTTGAGCTGAAGAACTTCCTAAGCACTCAAAAAATGATGGCCATTATTATTAAAGGCAGGAAGGAGCTTAAAGTTAAATGAGCCCCTCTGTGTGGTAGATTGCTAAGCAGTCTTAATAATACCACAATCTAGTATGTTATTTCCTTATAGTAGTCTCATAAAGTATTGCCTAATGTATTTTTTACATTATAAAGATTTTGGCCTGGTTTTCTGCTATCACACTAGAGGTCAATGCTCAAAAAAATAATAGACCTATGTTATAAATTTGGATATAATCAGAATTTCAGAAACAAAGCCAGTGCTTTGATGATGTGGAAAATATTTCATTAATGAATTGAATGTCTCGTGCATTTTTTAAAATACAAGAAAATAAATATCTTATAAAAATAAAGTAGCAGATCCTGCTGTTGGAGTAAGTTACATGGCCAATATAATATATTTCTTCTTTAATATTTCAGGGAAAAAAGTTGTTCTAGAAGATAACAATGAAAATTAAATTAAATATAAAACCACTGTGTTGTTTGCAAGACCATTTATAATATAAATGAGTTTATGAGATAAATGTGAAAGAAAGACTGAGCTTATTTCAAATTTTTCAAAGCAGAGTGTATAATAAATTAATTATCTCCAAGGATAAATTACACTTTTGTATTCTAGGCATTTATTTTGTCACCAACTTGATAGATTCTAGTTATAAGTTTTAAGAGGGACAACCTGTAAGATGGTAGAATTATCACATTTAATATTTCTTAAACATTTGGTTCACACACTTTTAGTTTACCACAAGGCTTTTCATTTTATCATAATTTATACACCTAATGTAATTTTTGTGAATATACATAAATCAGTTGATTGAGTTGTACATTCATATGCAATGCTTGCAGGTTCAGTAACAAGGCAAGCTATTCTCTTTTTAAAAAAATGGCCTATAATTTTATTTTTTAATCTTCAAAATTATAAACTAGGTTTTGGAATAAACATTCTTGCTTGAAATGGTGAACATAGAAAGTCAAAACTCTTATAGACATATGTCTTTTCTGACTATACTGCACTTTCATCCATGAATGAGAATTCTTTTTCCTTATCAAACTATATTTAGGAGATAATTATCATGAGGAATAATATCTGCACACGTTTGATGAAGCTTTTGATACATTCACCTGTTTAAAAAGAAAATACTTTTCTTAAACTTGCTTTTTTAAAATTTCAATAGTTTGGGGGGTACAGGTGGTTTTTGGTTACATTGATAAGCTTTTTAGCAGTGATTTCTGAGATTTTGGTGCACTCATAACCCAAGCAGTGTACACTGTACCCAATAGGTACTCTTTTATCCCTCACTCCCTCACCCTCCTTCCTGCTTGAGTCCCCAGTGCCAATTATAGCATTCTTATGCCTTTGGATTTTCTTAGCTTAGCTTTCACTTATAAGTGAGAACATATGATACTTGGTTTTCCATTCCTGAATTACTTCACTTAGAATAATGGCCTCCAGCTCCATTCAAATTGCTGCAAAAGACATTATTTCATTCCTTTCTATGGCTGAGTAGTATTCCATGGTGTATATATACCATATTTTCTTCATCTGCTCATTGGTTGATGAGCATTTAGGTTGGTTTAATAATTTTGCAATTGTGAATTGTCCTGCTATAAACATGTGTGCACATGTGTCTTTTTCATATGACTTCTTTCCCTTTGAGTAGATACCCAGCAGTGGGATTACTGAATCACACAGTAGTTCTACTTTTTGTTCTTCAAGGACTCTCTACACAGTTTCCCATAGTGGTTGTACTAGTTTACATTCCCACCAGGAGTGTAAAAGTTTTCCCTTTTCATCCCATTCACACCAGCGTCGATTATTTTTTGACTTTTTGATTATGACCATTTTGCAGGAGTAAGATGGTATCTCATTGTGGTTTTAATTTTTATTTCCCTGATAATTAGTGATGTTGAACATGTTTTCATATGTTTGCCAGCTGTTTGTATATTCTCTTTTGAGAATTGTCTATTCATGTCCTTTGTCCACTTTGTAATAGGATTATTTGTTTTGTTTTGTTTTTTTCTCACTGATTTGAGTTCCTTGTATATTCTGTATATTAGTCCTCTGTGGGCTGCATAGTTTGTGAATATTTCCTCCCAATCTGTGGTTTGTCTGTTTATTCTGCTGATTATCTCTTTTGCTGTGCAGAAGCTTTTTCGTTTAATTAGGTCCCATTTATTTATTTTTTGTTTTGTTGCCTTTGCTTTTAGGGTCTTCTTCATGAATTCTTTGCCTAAGTCAATGTCTAAAAGAGTTTTTCTGATGTTATCTTCTAGAATTTTTATGGTTTCACGTTTTAGATTTAAGTCTTTGATCCATCTTGAGTTGATTTTTATACAAGGTGAGAGATAAGCATCCAGTTTCATTCTTCTACATGTAGCTTGCCAGTTTTCCCAGCACCATTTATTGAATAGGGTGTCCTTTCTACACTTTATGTTTTTGTATGCTTTGTCAAAGATCATTTGGTTGTAAGTATTTGGCTTTACTTCTGGGTTGTCTATTCTGATCCATTGGTCTACATGCCTATTTTTATACCAGTACCATGCTGTTTTGATAATGATAGCCTTGTAGTATAATTTGAAGTCTGGTAATGTGATGCCTTCAGATTTGCTAATTTTTGCTTAGTATTGCTTTGGCTATGAAGGTGGCTTTTTGGTTCCATATAAGTTTTAGGATTGTTTTTTCTAGTTCTGTGGAGAATGATAAAGTTATTTTGATGGGAATTGCATTGAACCTGTAGATTTGCTTGGGCAGTATGGTCATTTTTGCAATATTGATTCTACCCATCCATGAGCGTGGGATGTATTTGCATTTGTTTGTGTCATCTATGATTTCTTTCAGCGGTGTTTGGTAGTTTTCCTTGTAGAGATCTTTCACCTCCTTGGTTAAGTATATTCCTAAGTATTTTATTTTGTTTTATTTTTTGAAGCTCTTGTAAAAGGGACTGAGTCTTTTATTGATTCTCAGCTTAGTCATTGTTGGTGTACAGCACATTTCTCAGCAGAAACCTTACAAGCCAGAAGAGACTGGGGCCCCATCTTTAGCCTCCTTAAACATAACAATTGTCAGCCAAGAATTTTGTATCAATCAAAACTAAGCTTCATAAATGAAGGAGAGATAAGAGTCTTTTTCAGACAAACAAATGCTGAAGAAATTGCCACTACAAGAAATGCTAAAAGGAATTCTAAATTTTGAAACAAAACCTTGATATACACCAAAATAGAACCTCCTTAAAGCATAAATTTCACAGGGCCTATAAAACAATAACACAATGAAAAAACAAAGTATCTAGACAACAACTAACATGATGAATAGAACAGTACCTTACATCTCAATATTAACATTGACTGTAAATGGCCTAAATGCTCCACTTAAAAGATACAGAATGGCAGAATGGACAAAAACAAACAAACAAACAAACAAAAACACCAACCAAATATTATCTGTCTTCAAGAGACTCATCTAACCCATAAGAAATCACATAAACTTAAGGTAAAGCGGTGAAAATATACATTCCATGCAGGGCCGGGCATGATGGCTCACACCTATAATCCCAGCACTTTGGGAGGCCGAGGTGGGTGGATCACCTGAGGTCAGGAGTTTGAGACCAGCCTGGACAACATGGTGAAATCCCATTCCTACTAAAAATACAAAAGTTACCTGGTTGTGGTGGCAGGTGCCTGTAATCCCAGCTACTTGGGAGGCTGAGGCAGGAGAATCATTTGAACCCAGGAGGCGAAGGCTGCAGGGAGCTGAGACCGTGCCATTGCACTCCAGCCTGGGAGGCAAGAGTGAAACTCCATCTCAAAAAAAATAAATAAATAAATAAAATAAAGGATACTCCATGCAAATAGAAACCAAAAGCAAGCAAGAGTAGCTATCCTTATATCAGGCAAAACAGATCTTAAGCAACAACAGTTTAAAAAAGACAAAGAAGGACATTATGTAATGATAAAAGGATCAGTCCACCAGGAAGATATTACAGTCCTAAATTTATATGCACCTAACACTGGGAGCTCCCAAATTTATAAAGCAATTACTACTAGACCTAAGAAACAAGATAGGCAGCAACACAATAATAGTGAGGGACTTCAGTACTCCGCTGACAGTGCTAGACAGACCATCAAGATAGAAAGTGAACAAAGAAACAATGGACTTAAAGTATACCCTAGAACAAACGGACTTAACAGATATTTACAGAACATTCTTCCTAACAACTACAGAATATACATTATTCTCATCGGCCCATAAAGCATTCTCCAAGATAGATGATATGATAGGCCACAAAACAAGTCTCAATAAATTTAAAAAATCAAAGTCATATCAAGTGTCTTCTCAGATCACAGTGAAATAAAACTGGAAGTCAATTCCAAAAGGAATCCTCAAAACTATACAAATACATGGAAATTAAATGATCTGCTCTTGAATGAGTTTGGGGTCAACAATGAAATCAAGGTGGAAATTTAAAAACTATTTGAAATGAATAATAATCGTGACACAACTTATCAAAACTTCTGAAATACAGCAAAAGTGGTGCGAAGAGGAAAGTTTAAACTTATGTTAAAAGAAATATATACTTTTGTTGAAAATCTAGATACTAAATGACAAAGAAGAAAATAGGACTTATTTATAATCTCATCAACCATGGATAAACACTGTTAACATTTGGTACATTTTCTTCCCACTTTTCTATCTAAATATAACATGTAAGTTTTCTTCCACTAGTATAGACATATAATTAATATCTTTGTACATTCTCCTTTGTTCACATTTCTGATTATTTTCTTAGGTTCAGTTCCTAAAAAAGGAATTACACCATTAAAGTGTTTGATACATATTGCTAAAATTACTTTCCATAAAGATTCTACCAGTTTCCCCACCACCAAATGTGCATATGTCTTACTCAGTTCTAGGCAATATAAGTAATTTAAAAATTTTTTCAACAACCAAAATTAACATACCAATATTGTTTATACCTTTATCTCTTTGATTACTAGACAAGTTACACTTTTCAAAATGTTTAGTAATAATTTGCATTTGTTCTTGGTAAACTATTTTTTTTTTTTTTTGAGACGAGTCTCTCGCTCTGTCGCCCAGGCTGGAGTGCAGTGGTACGATCTCAGCTCACTGCAAGCTCCACCTCCCGGGTTCACACCATTCTCCTGCCTCAGCCTCCCGAGTAGCTGGGACTACAGGCGCCCGCCACCACGCCCGGCTAATTTTTTTTTTTTTGTATTTTTAGTAGAGACGGGGTTTCACCGTGTTAGCCAGGATGGTCTGGATCTCCTGACCTCGTGATCCGCCCGCCTCGGCCTCCCAAAGTGCTGGGATTACAGGTGTGAACCACTGCACCCGGCCAGTTCTTGGTAAACTGTTTGTTCATATACTTGGTCTATTTTTACCAACTGGTACTTTTAAAATTTATTTTACAGAGTGCTTTATTTATTTATGATATGGTACCCAGTTTGGCTTTTAATTTTACCTATAGTTTTTTTTGAAACAAAAATTTAACATTTTATGTAGTCAAATCATTTATTCTCTATTTTTGCTTTAAGAAGTCATTTCCCAGTCAAAGAGGAGCTAACTAGGTAAAGAACCTCTTTAGCTTTTATATCATTTGATTTTTTCTACTTAACCCTTTAATTCATCTTAAATTTGGTTATAGTATATTGTTAAGTGAGAATATAGTTTAAAAAATAATAACTAGCTATTTTATTAGCTTATCTGTTTGACGATCCTTCTTTCTCCACTAGTTTGTGATGCCAACATTTTCTAATTTGGGGTCTGCTGCTGCACTGTTTTCTGCTCTGTTCATTAGCTTATCTGTTCTCGTGCCCATACTATACAAACTTAATTTTTATTATCTTTTAATCTGTTTAGAATCTGTCTTAAATAAAAAATTTTAACCAAGCCTATGTATTCTTCCCAGTACATTTCACAATCATTTTGTTAAGTTCCTTTTATAATGTAATATTTTTGAATACAATAGCCTTAAATCAGTCTTCTACTTCAGGAGTAGAGTATAGAGTGTATCTTACTTTTTCTTTTCGTCACTTTCAGTAGCATTTTTGTATTTTTCTTCAAATGGTTTCCCAAACTTTCTGGAATGGGTTTACCTTGACTGACCACCCTGAAGTATTAAACCCCAAACCCTCTTTATCTTACTATTTTTAATGCAAATTCCTTCATTTCTTTGATTCTCCCAATCATTTGCATATGCCAATGGGTTCCCTTCTATTTTTGTAAGATATTAGCTAATAATTAAAATCCTTCTAGTTTATACTGTTGTTTCACTGCACTCATCTTTAGTAGAATTTGCTTTTTTATCTTATGAGCCTCAAGTACTAAGGCTCAGAAATAATGTAGGTGTCCACCTTGCTTCCCTTAATTCCTTGCAAAAATAGATACAGTTAGCTGAGACCCTTCCCATCTACCAAAATTTGCCAAGCTACCTGCCTCCCCTTCTTGATCTTGGCTCACTGCAAACTCCGCCTCCCAGGTTCAAGCAATTCTCCTGCCTCAGACTCCTGAGTAGCTGGGATTACAGGTGTGCCACCATGCCTGGCGAATTTTTGTATTTTTAATAGAGATAGGGTTTCACCATGTTGGTCAGGCTGGCCTCGAACTTCTGACCTCGTGATCTGCCCTCCTCGGCCTCCCAAAGTGCTGGGATTACAGGTGTGAGCCCCCGTGCCCGGCCACTTGCCTCCCCTTCCATTGTAGTGAGAGAAGCATTCATGTCCTGAACTCCACCAACCTCTCCACCAGAGCGACAGCAGTCCATTCCTCCATTGTCTACAAGACTCTGCTTCTGCAATTTTACCTTCTCTTTCCTGTATCAGTTTCTCTATCTCAACTGAATTATTCTCATCTGCATACGAACTTCTCCAACATTTCCTTTCTTAAATACTTCCTGGACTCTATGGCCTGCTCTGGGTACAAAACTCTTTCCTGTTATTCTTTTAGCAGAACTCTTGAGATTTTTAATCTAGTCCCTATTTTTTCCTCTCTCCTTAACTTCTCCCAGTCAAACACCTTTTCTCTCCACTCTCTTGAAAGGTTACCAATGATTTCTGTGTTGTCCAATCCAAAGGGCTCCTCTCTGTTCTCTCAGCAGAACGGAATTAACCACTCCTTCCTCTGGAAATACTTCTTTTCTTGGTTCCTGTATCACTAAACCATCCAGGAAAACACATATATATCATGCTTTCTAAATCTAGGCGAAGAGGGATGGAATTTAAGGAGTTTAAGCCCTGGGCTTTCCCCCAAGTGACCACAAGGTGTAGGACTAGAGAACATCAGCCTTACTCCTGTGTGTCTCAAGTCTGCAGTGCCAGGCATGTTGGAGGCAGGTTAGAAAAGCAGATAAGCCACTTTCCTCCCAGAGCTCCTCATATTTGTTGAGAATAAGTAGGTTCTACTAAAACCACCTTAGAAAAATAAACTATCAAACTTTTACTTTTGTCAAATCCTTATTAACCAAATATGGCAAAATGGGTCTTTAAGGTTTTACAGACTGATGAAAATGTTACGAGTATTGGATACAGTCATAGACTTTGTTCCGAATGTCCTTTGAACATTGACCATAATTCAGGTTCAAAATTGTTTGTTGAACCCACATAGTCTTAGACCCTATCATTACATACTGTTTATATTAGATCCTGTTATTGCTGTAATATATCCTAGAAGCAAACTAATTAAGTGCCTTTTGATTTGAGTGAAGTGAGAACAGTTAGAGAGGCTAGGTTCTAATTTGCTTTTAAAGTTAATGGAGTCATGGACTGGGGGGAAGTAAAGGTGTTGAAGGAGAAACTCAGCAGGGAGAGAGAGCAGAAAGACCCCCATCCTCCTCCCAAATTAGGCTACTTCCTTTGTCAGAGAGGAACACTTGTTAATTATGAAATACTCATAAATCTGCCTCAACTTAAGTGCCCAAGAGCCGAGGATAATGGAATGAAAAACAATTTAAATCACATTATATAGCAAGCAACTGAATAATGTATTTTTGTACCGTCTCAGTGCATTTCATTACTTCAAGGCCACAGACTTGCTCCTGCAGCTTCAAATAGCAGAAGGAAACACACTTGGGTTATATTGTTCTTTATGATTCATGGGTTCTCAGCAGTCAACAGAGCATTTGCTGCCAGAGGGTTTTTCCTTTTCAATGCCTGCTACCAATTTATGGGTTGTTTTCTGAAGGGCTTTGAAAGTGTTGAATCTGCTGAAAATATAGTTATCTTGAATGTTATCAGAAATTTTAGAATTTCTATGACTAACAACTCTTTTAAGGAAACCTAAACCATATCTTAAAAAGAAAAAAGTAGTTATGAATTATTTTCAAGGACATACATTGTTATTTTACCTCTTCTGGGTACTATTAAAATCCATGAGAAGGAAAAAAAACCTTTTACTTTGGTATATTTTGTTTTACTTTTATAATATTTGAAAATGGAGTTACAGTAGTCATTAATCAGATGTACAGGCCCCAGTGTAAGAACTCCCACTAGCTGAGAGAAAATGAATGAGTCACTCAGGTCAGAGAAAAGCTATACGTTTGAGTAGAACTATCTCATCCTTACTGATATAACTCTCTGAATGCGATTAATAACAATCAAAGATCCCATCCAATTAAAACTTATTGCACCTAAGAGTCGTGGATATTTATTGCCGGAAACGTCCATAGAGGTCATTTGGTCTAACTTCCTCATTTTTCACAGATGAAGTTACTAAGACACAGAGGGAATTAAAGACTTACCAAAGGTCGTACTGCTAGAACCAGGATCAAATTCAATACTTTTTAACTTCAATTGGAGTGAAATTAAAGAGATATTAATTAGGTTCCATTGCAGGCCACCTTGTAGACTAAATGTCCAGAAGAAAGGAAAATTGCTGTAAAAAGTGTTAAAATATTTTACAATGCGTGGTTGAGCTGGCAGAAAAATACAAATAATAAGAAGGGCACAAATGATAAGAAAGTACAAATTGAAAGTTGCATATAAATGCTGGAGTTGTGTTTGTTCATGGTATTTGCCAATCCCTGGGATCTCCAGTCCTAGAACTTAAGGAGCCACATGCAAAATCTGGAGCCTGAGCTGGGTGGGGTTTGGGGCAACTGACCGCCACATAAAGCAGCAACTGTAAAGATGATAACCTCAGCAATAGGGTGAAGTAGAAAGAGAGTTAATAAATTCACCTTTTGTCAAATTTGGCTCTGAGTGTCGGGTGAACATCCAGATTTGCTCCTGCAGCTTCAAATAGCAGAAGGAAACACACTTGGGTTTTCCCAAAAACACAGGTTTTCCTGGAAGATTCCTTTCAAGAAACTGGCACTCAGTGGGGTTTGGAACAGGAATGCATGCACTTCCACTGTGGTAAATCTTCACCTACAAATTTAGCTCCAAGTGACCATGGCTTGGCAGCATTTCCAAGGATCTGGCAGAAGCAAAGCCACATACTCTCTGAACACCTTCAAATAAGCTTCACGTCAGACCTGCAATTAAAGTTCCAAGAAACCAAACAAAAGCTGAGCCTCACCCTTTTGAGGTTATGCCTCTATGATATGTAAAAAGAAAACACAAGAAAAATATACCTGTGAAGACTTCAGATACTAAAACGATCAGATACTGAATAAATTCTGTGCCTACGAGTCTGAATCTGCTGTCTTTTTTTTAAATAATAGAATGTATTTTTAGAGCAGTTTTAGGTTCACAGCAAAATTGAACAGAAGATACAGAGATTTCCTGTATACTCCTGCACCCACACATGCACAGCCTCCCTCACTATCAACACCCAACTACCACCAGAATGGTGCATTTGTTACAATTGATGAACCTACATCGACGCATCACTATCATCCAGTCTATAGTTTACATTAGGATTCATCCTTGGTGTTGTACATTCTATGGGTTGAAACAAATGTATAACTACATGTGTCCACCATTATAATATCATACAGAGTATCTTCATTGCCCTCAAAGATCCTCTTTATCTCTCCCTCCCCACTAACTCTTGGCAACCACTGATCTTTTTACTGTCTCCATTGTTTTGCCTTTTCCAGAAGGCCATATGGTTGGAATAACACAGTATGTAGCCTTTTCTTATTGGCTTCTTTCACTTAGTGATATGCATTTAGGTTTCCTCAATGTCTTTTCATAGCTTGATAGGTCATTTCTTTTTAGCACTGAATAATATTCCATTGTCTAGATGTTCTACAGTTTTCTTATCATTTACCTACTGAAAGACATCTTGGTGGCTTCCAAGTTTTGGCAATTGTGAGTAAAACTGCTATAAACTTTGTGTGGGCATAAGTTTTTAGCTCCTTTGGGTAAATACCAATGAGTACAATGGCTAGATTCTACGGTAAGAGTATGTTTTAGTTTTGTAAGAAACTTCCAAACTGTTTTCTAACGTGGCTGTACCATTTTGCATTCTCACCAGCAATGTTGCTGCATGTCCTTGTAAGCATTTAGTGCCTTCAGTGTTCTAGATTTTGGCCATTTCAATAGATGTGTACCCGTATCTTTTGTTGTTTTAATTTGCATTTTCCTGATGATATATGATGTGGATCATCTTTTCATATGCTTATTTGTCAGCTGTACATATTCTCCAGTAAGGTACCTGTTAAAGTCTTTGGCCAATTTTTTAGTTGCATTGTTTGCTTTCTTATTGTTGAGTTTTAAATGTTCTTTGTATATTTTGGATAATAGTCTTATCAGATATGTGTTTTAAAAATATTTTCTCCCTTTCTGTGGCTTGTCTTTTTAATCTCTTAACAGTGTGTTTTGCAGAGCAGAAAATTTAATTTCAATGAAGTCCAGCTTATCAATCTCTCTTTCATACATTGTGCCTTCAGTGCTGTATCTAAAGAGTCACTGCCAGATCCAAGGTCATTTATACTTTATGCTATCTTCTAGGAGTTTTATAGTTTTGTGTTTCACATTTAGGTTTGTGATCTGACCATGTTTCATACTAAGAAAAAGTATTAAAGCATGAACAACTAAGCCAGTATGGAAAAAAATACCAACAGGACTTTACGTAATAAAAAAATACAATAATTGAAGTTAAAATTTAATTGATGGAATGAACAGTGCAAAAATGAAATTACAAAAAATTCCTATTTACAATAGCATAAAAATAATAAAGTGCTTAGAAATAAATGTAATAAAAGTACAAAAATCTGTATTCTGAAAATTGTAAAACATTGCTTAAGGAAATTAAGGAAGACCTAATTAACTGGAAAGACATCACATGTCTGTGAATCAGAAGACTTAGTGTTGCTAAGATGACAATATTCCCCAAATTAATATCCAGATTCAACATAGTCTTTATCAGAATTCCAGATGACTTCTTGCAGAAATTGTTAAGACGATTATAAAATTCATATGTAAATTCAAAGAATAGGGAGAGGAAGGAAGGGAGAAAGGAAAGAAGAAAAAAAGAGACAGAAAGCAAAGAAAAAGAACAATGTTGGAAGACTCTCATTTCCTGATTTCAAAAGTTACTACAAAGTTACAGTGAAGTGTGGCATAAAGATAGACATGGCGATTCATGGTCTAGAATTGAGCATCAAAAAAAAAAAAAGCCCTCACATTTATGGTCTATTGATTTTTGACAAGGATGCCAAGACCATTCAACAGGGGGTCTTTTCAACAAATGGTACTGGAACAACTGCATAGTCACATGCAAAGGAATGAAATTGAACCCCTGCTTTACACTGTACACAAAAATTAAGTCAAAATCAATCAAATACCTCAGAGAAGAAGAGCTAAAACTATAGAAGTCTTAACATAAAACATAGACACAAACTTTTCTTTACCTTGGTTTAGCTAACAGTTTCTTAAATATGACACTAAACATAAAAACAACCAATTAAAAATAGATAAGTTGGATTTCATCAAAATTAAAAAAAAAACAAGTACTTCAAAGGACACATCACAAAAGTAAAAAAGACAACAGAATGGAAAAAAATTTGCGAATCATTTTCTGATAAAAGACTAGTATCTAGAATGTATAAAGAACACTTAAAATTCAACAATAAAAGGACAAATAATCCAGTTTTTTAAAAGGCATGATATTTGAATAGACTATTCTCCAAACAAGATATATGAATACACAATAATTACCTGGAAAGATGCTCAACAAACAACATTAACCATCAGAACAATTGAAATGACAGAAATGATCATGATATACAACTGATAGGATGGTTATAATGAAAAGACAGATAATAACAACCGTTGGCAGGAATGTGGAGAAATTGGAACACTTATACAGTGCTGGTGACATTGCAAAATGATGCAACTGTTTTGAAAAAAAAGTTTGGCAGTTTCTTAAAATGTTAATGTAGAGTTACTACATTACATGACCAGCAATTCCACTTGTAGGTATATACATATCAAAACATATATTCAAACAAAAACTGATACAGGAATGTTTATAGGAGCACTATTTATAATAATCAAAATGTGAAAACAATCTAAACATCCATTAAGTGATGAATGGATAAATGCAATGTGGAGGCCAGGTGCGGTGGCTCACACTTGTAATCTCAGCACTTTGGGAGGCTGAGGCAGGCGGATCATGAGGTCAAGAGATGGAGATCATCCTGGCCAACATGGTGAAACCCCGTCTGTATTAAAAAATACAAAAATTAGCTAGGTGTGGTGGCACACGCCTGTAGTCCCAGCTTCTCAGGAGGCTGAGGCAGGAGACTCACCTGAACCCGGGAGGCAGAGGTTGCAGTGAGCCAAGATTGCACCACTGCACTCCAGCCTGGTGACAGAGCAAGACTCCATCTCAAAAAAAAAAAAAAAAAAATGCAATGTGGAATATCCACACAGTAGAATATTATTCAGCAATAAAAGGATGAAGTACAGATATATGCAATAACATAGGATCCTTGAAGATACTATGATAACTGAAAGAAGCTAGTTACAAAAGACTATACTGTAGTTTCAACTTATGTGAAATGTGCAGACAGGCAAATCTGTAGAAACAGAAAGTAGATTAATAGTTGACTAGGGCTGGGATATACAGGTTAGGGGAAATGGGAGATGACCGCTTATGACTATGGAATTTCTTCTAGGGGTGATGAAAATGTCTTACAATTCATGTTGGTGGTGGTTGCATAACTTTTTGAATATATTAAAAGCCATTTAGTTGTATACCTTAAATGGGTGAATTTTATGGTATGCAAATTATATATCAATAGAGCTGTTTAAAAAAATCAATGTAGGATTTTTGTTCTAGGAAAGATGGAATGAACACCTGCCACTTTCTTCAACTAGTAATTATGAACATTCTGGAAACATATTTAAAAAAATAGAAGATATAAAAAAAGAACCAAGCTGAAATTTTAAAATTAAAAAAGAAAATAACCAAGATCAGGAACAAGGCAAGGATGTTCATTCACCCTTATCATTCCTATTGACCGTAGTACAGAAAGTCTTAGCTAGTGCAATAATGCAAAGTGATAGATAGATAGATGAATGGATGAATGGATAGATAGATGGATAGATGGCTATCCTTGTCAAAAATTGGCATGGTTGTGAAAAATCAATAGACCATAAATGTGAGGATTTTTTTAGATGCTCAATTCTAGACCATGAATTTCCATGTCTATCTTTATGCCACACTGTCATTGTAACTTTGTGGTAACTTTTGAAATCAGGAAATGAGAGACAGAGACAGCTAGCTAGCTAGCTAGCTAAAATACTGATAGAAAGGGAGAAATAACAGTGTCCCTGTTTGCAGAAGATATGATTGTCAACACAAATTATCCCAAGAAGTGTACATGAAACCCTTCTCTTTTTTTTTAACTATGCTTTCAGTTCTGGGATAAATGTGCAGAACATGCAGGTTTGTTACATAAGTATGCATGTGCCGTGGTGGTTTACTGCACCCATCAACCCACACCTACATTAGGTATTTCTCCTAATGCTCTCCCTCCCCTAGGCCCCGACCCCACAACAGGCACAGTGTGTGATGTTCCCCTCCCTGTGCCCATGTGTTCTCATTGTTCAACTCCCACTTATGAGTGAGAACATGTGGTGTTTGGTTTTCTGTCCTTGTGTTAGTTTGTTAAGAATGATGGTTTCCAGCTTCATCGATATCCCTGCAAAGGACATGAACTCGTCCTTTTTTTTTTTTTTTTTTTTTTTTTTTGCTACATAGTATTCCATGTTCTATATGTGACACATTTTCTTTATCCAGTCTATCTTTGATGGGCATTTGGGTTGGTTCCAAGTCTTTGCTATTGTGAATAGTCCCACAGTAAACATATGTGTGTATGTGTCTTTATAGTCGAATGATTTCTAATCCTTTGGGTATATACCCAGTAATGGAATTGCTGGGTCAAGTGGTATTTCTGGTTGTAGATCCTTGAGGAATCACCACACTGTCTTCCACAATGGTTGAACTAATTTACGCTCCCACCAACAATGTAAAAGCGTTCCTATTTCTCCACAGCCTCGTCAGCATCTGTTGTTTCCTGACTTTTTAAAGATTGCCATTCTAACTGGCATGAGGTGGTATCTCATTGTGGTTTTTATTTGCATTTCTCTAATGACCAGTGATGATGAGCATTTTTTCGTATGTTTGTTGGCCGCATAAATTTCTTCCTTTGGAAGTGTCTGTTCATGTTCTTCACCCACTTTTTGATGGGGTTATTTGTTTTTTTCTTGTAAATATGTTTAAGTTCTTTGTAGATTCTGGGTATTAGCCCTCTGTCAGATGGATAGGTTGCAAAAATTTTCTCCTATTCTATAGGTTGCCTGTTCACTCTTATGATAGTTTCTTTTGCAATGCAGAAGCTCTTTAGTTTAATTAGATCCCATTTGTCAGTTTTGGCTTTTGTTACCATTGGTTTTGGTGTTTAGTCATGAAGTCTTTGCCCATGCCTATGACCTGAATGGTATTGCCTAGGTTTTCTTCTAGGGTTTTTATGGTTTTAGGCTTTACATTTAAGTCTTTAATCCATCTTGCGTTAATTTTTGTATAAGGTGTAAGGAAGAGGTCCAGTTTCAGTTTTCTGCATATGGCTAGCCAGTTTTCCCAACGCCATTTATTAAATAGGGAATCCTTCCCACTTTGCTTGTTTTTGTCAGGTTTGTCAAAGATCAGATTGTTGTAGATGTGTGACATTATTTCTGAGGCCTTTGTTCTGTTCCATTGGTCTATATATCTGTTTTTGTACCAGTACCATGCTGTTTTGGTTACTGTAGCCTTGTAGTATAGTTTGAAGTCAGGTAGCGTGATGCCTCCATCTTTGTTGTTTTTGCTTAGGATTTTCTTGGCTATACAGGCTCTTTTTTGCGGGGGCGGGGGGGTGGTTCCATATGAAATGTAAAATAGTTTTTTCTAATTGTGAAAAGAAAGTCAATGGTAGCTTGATGGGGATAGCATTGAATCTATAAATTACTTTGGGCAGTATTGCCACTTTCATGATATTGATTCTTCCTATCCATGAGCATGAAATGTTTTTCCATTTGTTTATGTCCTCTCGGATTTCCTTGAGCAGTAGTTTGTAGTTCTCCTTGAAGAGGTCCTTAACATCCTGTGTAAGTTGCATTTCTAGGTATTTTATTCTCTTTGTAGCAATTCTGAGTGGGAGTTCACTCATGATTTGGCTCTCTGTTTGTCTATTATTGGTATATAGGAATGGTTGTGATTTTTGCACATTGATTTTGTATCCTGAGACTTTGCTGAAGTTGCTTATCAGCTTAAGGAGATTTTGGGCTGAGATGATAGGGTTTCCTAAATATACAATCTTGTCACCTGCAAACAGAGACAATTTGGCTTCCTATGTGAATACCCTTTATTTCTTTCTCTTGCCTGATTGCCCTGTCCAGAACTTCCAATACTATGTTGAATAGGAGTGGTGAGAGGGGAGTGGTGAGAGAGGTCCATGATGAAGGTCCTGGCAGATTCACTGTCTCCTTAGGTCCTGCTTCCTGATTTGCAGATAGCTGTCTTCTCTTGTATCCTCATGTTGTGCAGAACAGAGAGAGAAAGGAAGCAAGCTCTCTTGCATCTCTTCTTATAACAGCACTAATTCCATTTACAAAAGCTTCGCCCTCATAACCTAATCACCTCCCAAAGGCCCCACCTCCAAATACCAACACATGAAGGATCAGATTTCAACACATGAATCTTGGGGAGATGCAAATTTTATTAGTCAGAATTCTCCAGAGACACAGACCACAGTCAAGTTGACACATAAATTAACCATCAAAAAAACATTCAGCCCATAACAACAGGTTTTTACAAAATTGAAAATACTATTATACAACCCAGCAATCCCATCAAATATTAGAAAACCCTGTCCTGGATTACAAACACAAATATCCATTCAAAACAGCCAGACGCTCCCTGGCAAGGAAATATCCAAAGAAGAAATCTTTTTCATTTTCAGATGTATAATCACTAGGCTGACTTCCCAACTTAATTTAAGGAAGTCATTTTCTCTCCAGAGATGATTATGTGCTACACTGATGACATAAATATTGGGAATTATTGACTATTTTGTTTTTTCATTGCAAATTATCTACTATGTTTCCACTTTACCACTGTCTTTGTCAATGTGCTTGCCTGATGACTTTTGGGTCAATGAATTAAGCCATTTCTGAAACTGAAAATTTGAGAACTGAAAATTGAGATTTGAGATCTGTAAGACACTGCCTGACAACCAGTTATTCTGTACTAAATCATTGTTCTCCAAGGTCACATTAGATGCCAGGAATCTTTAATCCATGGGACACATAAGACAGACTTCATATTTGGAAGGACAATTGCTAAATCAAATTAATCAATGTTAACAAATGTTTGAGTAAGTATCTAGGAGATATAAAATTATGTCAACTAATCACCGCATCTAAACTCAGCACTTGTAAAGATATAAGTTATGAATAATAATAAGAGACATGGGGTCAGTCCTCCTTGGAGGAGTGCCTATGCCTCACAGAAATTGTTTTGTTTGGTACTGTGAATAATATTAGAAAGAAATTTTCCCTAATTTCTTATGTTCCCTGGGCTTCAGTTTTCTCATCTGCATATTGGATTTGAACTATAATCCCACTGAGGTCCCTCGAGTCATAATGAGTTTAATGGACTGGGAAGGTGACTGGGATGTTGGACCGTCCATTAAACTCATGAAAGTACCATGAATTCCAAGCTCTGGGAGAACTCTGTGGTGGTAGCACTGTGTACTCTGGTGGCCTTGGCTTCCTAGACAGCGTTTCTCAGACTTTGACCTGAGAATCACCTTTCTTTAAATTGCAGATTTTATAGCTCCTCTCCTTGATATTTGGATTTGGTAAATCTTGAATTGAGCCCAAGAATTGCACTTTAAGCAAACACTCCAGGCAATTCTGATGCAGGTCATCTGTTTGAAATCACTAAGATATCAAAGTTAACAATACCATAAATTGGTTTCATTAATGTAGGTTAATAATACAAATTGGCTACATTAATGTAGGTTAAGCTTTGCTAACACTAAGACATCAAGGTTAATAGTACTATAAATTGGCTGCATTAATGTAGATGGCTGAAGATCACTATATCACTATACTGTGTCCTTTATTTTGGAGAAAAATAATCAAACAAACCTTTATGCAAGGAATTTTGAGTCTGTTAGTTTTCTTTAGAAAAGGAGTTTTAGAGGAAGGGGTTAGACAGAAGAAAGAACAAAGAGTTTTCTCTTTAAACAGATTTTCTGAGATTGTTTAATTTTCCATAAGTGCTTTCCAAAACTAGAAAATGTGCATTCTAGGCTGAAACTTCTTAAAATAAGTCCAATGCTCTATTTGATGAGATCCAGAGGCAACTCCCTTTTATAACTGTGAAGATGGGATGGAAAGCAGGAATAGCCATGAGGGTGCAAGAAAAAATTATATAATTCAAAGGAAAGAAGAGACAGAAGGAACTGGGGAGAAGATAATGGGTTGTAGTTTGAGTACAATTCAGAGATTAGAAGATATTTCCACGTGTGAGTCAAAGTAGATGGGCTCATTCAGAATTCAGGTGTTGTAATTTATCATGAGAGGAAGAGTGAGGAGTGAATGGTGATGTCTTGAGAAATGGAATGGATCCAAGTCCACTGTGTTCAAGTTCAGCTCGGACATTTCCAGACTGTGTGATCTGGGGAAAGCTGCTCAAACTATCTGACCTTTGTTTTTTTTCAGCCTTAAGATGGCATAATAGCAACCCATATCATGGGTTTGTTATAAAAATTAAGTAAATTGACACATGCAAAAATCCATTGTGAAATGCAAGGTTTATTAAAATGAGGGAATAATTACTTGTATGAAATAATTTTCAATTTACCCTAGATAAAATAATTAAATTATATTTTCTTATAATGATAGCAAAAAGAGCACTGAAACTTGAAATTATAAATCCTACAAACCGATGGTGGTTTTGCTCCACCTAAATCTGAGATTTTAGGCAGCAAATAATAGAGAAGGTAAAATGAGAGCTCTCAAGAGATGGGCTTTTGTTGCTCATTGGGAAAAAGAATTGAAAGTGTTTCTTGGAAGCAATACAAAAAAGTTTAAAAAGAAATCACACTTATTATATAACTAAATAAGTGTCAAAAGTTTCTGAAAAGCAATCAACAAAGCCATGCATTTCAGAGACCACTGAGCCAAAGAAGCTTGGGTATAATTGTATGAGTTTAATAGATGGGCCAACATCCCAGTCGCCTTTCTCAAAAAGTCTGAATCTCAGTGCAGAGATTTCCAAGGGTTTATTCTGCACAACAAAATTTCCATTTGACCTCAGAGTGTCTTCATTCTATGAAGCATTTTATAGCTATCATTGAATGCATTGTCTGATCAGCATTTTTGTTGCTAAGAGAAAGCCTTTTGGTCTGTGATTCATTTAGAAAGTCTTGACAACTCACCATAGTGTTACCTATAAGAAGATATGAACATTTTAGCAGTACAGGGCCCGATTTCAATATTGATGTAAGAGGATGCAAAGTTGTTCAGACCAAGGGAAAAAATCAGCGGAGTCATGAATGGGAATATGTGGGCGTGCAGGAGGGTGTGCTTGGAGTAGGGGGTGATAACGGACAGGAATCCACAAGCTACACTGTGTCCTGGCATAATTAGTAATTAAACTCCTTTCAATCTCTAAAGCATCCTCAATTGTGCAATAAATTATAGCTCACTTTAGTGATAGGCCAAATTGGAATTGTGAGTTTAGTCTGCCTGATGTGATCAATTCAGGTGCTGAATTTTCCTTATCCCAACCGTGGTCTTTTTACTCCTGGTCTCTGTCCCTTTATGACTCTTTCAAGAAGATCTCTGGTTCCTGAAACATCAGCCTTCAACACTGCCCCTAAGCAACCTGATAATGGTTTAGACCTTCATAAGAACCTACAGCCAACTCTTGGTAGCATTCAGATTCCAAGCACACAGCAAGAATCAGCAGGGCCAGTGTAGCAAAGACACAACAGAGTACTTGCTGCCATCCACAAGATATAGCTCCAAACCTTAATAAAATAATCTGTTCATCCGGGTTAGGATTCTCTGCATTTTATTTGTTTGTTTGCTTGCTTGTGTTTAAGATTGGAGCCACTTCTCCAGCTCTGTGCAGGATTAGGGGGGTTAGAAGAATGCTGGGATCTTCCACTCCCCACTTTACCAGAGAAACCTCATTCATATTTGTTTCATCTGTGGTGCATCGTATGTAGGGTTTTATATTGGAAATACAGTGTTTCCCTGCTTTAAAAAAGTTGCCACTGTGCAATTGAAGGGTACCTCTATTAGACAGAGTTGAGACACTTGGTATTCTTCTGACAACCCCTACTCCCTTACTACCAACTGTGGTAGGATTGCAGCTAGACACTCAGGCAGTTCCCAAGTGAAGGCATCACGGACTAACACTGAGGTCATTTCCCTGGTCAATTCCCTGTTTGGGGGATTGTCATAATAAGGTAATTATGTCACTTTTGTAGTGATGCCTTTAGGGTTCTGCTCATGTGATCAGCCCTTTCTGATTATAAAAACTCATAAAATGACTGAATGGGGAAATGGGTTTACTTGGACTTAAATATTTCTTCAAGAAATTAAATAGTAATTCTTTTGGTGATCACTGGAGGACATAAGAATCTCCAGGTGTTCATGTTTTTAATGGAACATGATTACATTTGAATTTTATATCTGAGGAGACAATTGTTTATTATGTGTTAATCCCTGTTCTAAATACTTTACATATAATAACTGATTCAGTCCTCCCACGATCTTATTAGGTAGGCAGTATTGTTCATCTTACTTTTTTCCCCCCACGAATCAGAAAAGGAGCTATACAGAGTTTAAGCAGCTTGCCAGAGTTCTCATCACTAATAAGGGGAAGAGTTGAGATTTAAATCCAGCCAGTGTAGCTCCAAGGGTTGAGTTCTCACCGCTGACCTGTGCCACGGAGAAATGATCTGGTGTGGAGCAAAGAAATTTGCCAACCCTATCGCATTTTCCTTCCTCCTCCTCCATAACAGAGCCTCGATTGTCTTGGACTTTCACTATATCTCATCTTAAGCCTCCTCAGAGAAGGCTCACTTTATCCTCTGGAAAGAACTTAATCTAAGAGTAATTGATTTCCCATTATAGTCTCCAGATCAGGCATGTGCCTTACACATCGAGATGTGATGTGATATTTGTCATGACTAGAAAAGTTTTTTTTTTTAATTCAAACTTATAAAAAGTTGTAAAATAAAAACAGTACACTTGGATATTCTTTACTAAAACGTGTGCAGGTTTGTTACATAGGTAAACTTGTATCATGGGGGTTTGTTGTACAGAATATTTCATCACCCAGGAATTCAGCCTAGTACCCATTAGTTAGTTTTCCTGATCCTCTCCCTCCTGCCACCCTCCACCCTCCAATAGGCCCCAGTGTGTGTTGTTCCCTTCTATGTGTCCATGTGTTCTCATCATTTAGCTCCCACTTATAAGTGAGAACATGTGGTATTTGGTCTTCTGTATCTGCATTAGTTTGCTAAGGATAATGGCCTCCAGCCCCATTCATGTTCCTGCCAATGACATAATCTCATTCTTTTTTATGGCTGCATAGTATTCCAGGGTGTATATGCACTACATTTTCTTTATTCAGTCTACCACCGATGGACATTTAGTTCTTTCTCACTCTTCCACAGAGAGCCTATTGAAGCCCCTGTGTGGCAGTGAATAGATGTGAACCCTGGAAATGCTGCAGTCATCGGGCTTCTCTCTCCAGAAGGAAATCTGTACCTGGAGTTGCAAAGTCAGAGAAACTATGGAGAAACAGAGCCACTAAGTTACATCCACTCTGTCGAATATCCTAATCCTGGACGTCTAATTATGTGAATCAACTAATTTCCTTCTTCATCAGGACATCAAGTCAATCCTTGGCTGTTTTATACCCTAATATATAGTGAGATATTTTCTTTCAATGATGTAATTCATATTTGAACATTTTCACTGTAGCAAAAAGAATCTGTCCAGAATTGTTTTAAGAGGAAGATGATATTCATGATAAGGAGTGAATTACTAGAACAAGAAATTATAATTTGATAAATAAAAGTTTTCAACTAATAACATGTTCCATATTTACGAATGTGTTGAATCATCTATTTTAAGTCATATGTTAAATGCTGATGGAGAGAAACCTTTTGTAGATGTAATCTATGGACCACTGAGCTCTGATAGTGATGAAAGTTCATGCAGTAAGAGGGGAAATAGTGTCCCTAAAATTTACTTGTTTCTTGATTGGTATATTCATTTGCAAGGGCTGCTGTAACAAAGTGCCACTGAATGGATGGCTTAAACAACAGAAATATATTGTCAGCTTAAACGACAGAAATATATTGTCTCAAGTTCTGGAGGCCAGAAGTTTGAGACCAAAGTGTCATCAGGTTTGGTTTTTCTAAGGCCTCTCCCCTTGGTTTGTAGGTGGTTGTCTTCTCCTTACATGGTCTTCCCACTACACTTGCCTATGTCATTACATCCTCTTCTTATAAGGACACCAGTCGTATTGGATTAGGGCCCACTCCAGTAATCTTATTTAACTTTAATTTCCTCTTTAAGGAGCATATCCCCAAGTACAGTCATTCCGAGATAATGGGAGTTAGGACTTCAACATATGCATTTTGGAGGAGATAAAATTCAGGCTGCAACAATTGGCAGCAAGGAAAGTTTTAATAAATTTTTTTAAAACTAAGCACACTACAATCAAAGTTAAGCATAAGCTCTGAGTGAAGTCATTTGTCAGTAATAAACAGTCTTCAGGAAGTGAGGCTTTTTAACTTTTTTCTACTTTTTAAAATGTTTGCTATGGGTTGACAAATTCTATGAAATGTTTTTATTTTATTAAAACTAAGTGGCAAATAGAGATCACGCTAGGGAAAAATAAGATACCATTTTAATTAACAATATTTAGGGCATCAGTTTCATTCTAATTTAAATCCACAATCCCTCCTTGCTAATAATTGAACAGTCCTGAGACCATAAGGCTGTGCCAATGCTTTCAAGCTGCTTCTGCTCCTCAGAGCCTCATCCACTGTGCACAGGATGCATCTGGGAGGTGTGCTGGGGTGGGGGGCGGGGGTCACGTGGAAGGCCTGGGAACCCCCAAAGTGCAGGAGTCTCACAGCAGAAATAAGTTGAATGTGGTCAGGTTTTTGAATCTGAATGGCTTTAGAGTCAGTAGTGCTTATCCTTTTTATCATTCACCTTTGATAAATAGTTTTACGGGAGGAGACCACCCCTCATATTGTCTTATGCCCAATTTCTGCCTCCAAAGAAAGAAGAAGTAAAAACTAAAAGGCAGAAATGAAATCCTCAAGCAGACAGCCTGGCGCCAAACCCTGGGCCTGGTAGTTAAAGATCACTCCCTGACCTAATCAGTTATGTTATCTATAGATTCCAGACATTGTATAGAAAAGCGCTGTGAAAATCCCTGTCCTGTTCTGTTTCCTTCTAATTTACCGGTGCATGCAGCCCCCAGTCACGGACCCCCTGCTTGCTCAATCAATCACGACCCTCTCACGATCACAACCCTCTCACGCGGACCCCCTTAGAGTTGTGAGCCCTTAAAAGGGACAGGAATTGCTCACGTGGGGAGCTCAGTTGTTGGAGATGTGAGTCTTGCCCAAGCCCCCGACTGAATAAAGCCCTTCCTTCTTTAACTCGGTGTCTGAGGGGTTTTGTCTGAAGCTTGTCCTGCTACAGTTTTGGAGTGCCTGACCCCAGGCAAAAAAAAAAAATTTATTTATACATTTATAAATGTCACAGAAACAGGATATTTAAAAAACAAATGCACACAGTTAATCTGTTATTTTCTTGCTGCCCTTCTTTGTTTTGTTACGCACATTTCCTGGAGAGTTGAAGCCCCATTTTGGAGACCATTGACTTAGATACCTTTTGTTATTGGCAAGCACCTGTGGATACACACCTGGAAGAGACATATAAGTCATTCTGGGGGAAGGTGGAATGAATGTGCAGGTTTTCTCACAGCCCATCTGGCTTTCTCCAGATGCGAAGATTGCACAGGTTGATGGGACCAAATGATCTCTGGTCGCCAATGGTCTTTCCACATTTTCTTACCTTTGAACACACATCCTTAAAACAAAGTGAATTTTTTATGTGTTTAATGCTAACGCTGTTAAGAGCCACCTCCTAAAACTGTGTGACTGTATTTCTTGACTGTTGCCTCCTGCAAAACCTGCTGCACCTGCCATTTCTCTTGAGACACCACTGCACAACCTCCTACATGGACGGGCTTGGAAAGAGCCTTCTCCAAAGTCTGCAAGGGAGGAGGCATGATTTTTATGGTCCTTCCAACTTGGGAAAATATCCCATTGGAATCTTATGTTTGCTCAGAGGCCAAGAAAACAGACATCAACAGAGGGGGCCTTGGCTCTGCTGCTCACTTCAGGTTTACAGAACCAGGTAAATTCTCATCAGAAGCTGCATGGTGACAGACCAAGCAGATAGATAGCTTCTCCTTAATAACTTACCTTGTGTGTGTGTGTGTGTGTGTGTGTGTGTGTTGTTGTTGTTGTTGTTGTTGTTGTTTTCTTATTAGTAGAGGAAATGGCTGGCCTTCTCTTTGGCCATATGGATTTTGATAATTTGAAGACAAGTCAAAGAACTTGTACACATTCATTGCAATATGTATTTGTGTGCATAAGTACACATATATAGTTGATCCTTGAACAACATGGATTGAACTGGGCGAGTCCACTTATATGTACATTTATTTTCACCTGTGCTACTCCTGAGATAACAAGGCCAGGGAAGACAACAAGTAAGGGAAGGCCCTTACTCCCCCTCCTCATGCTACTCAATATCAAGATGCTGAGGATGAAGATCTTTATGAAGATCCACTTCAAACTCAATAGTCAATATATTTTCTTTTCTTTATGATTTTCTAAATAACATTTTCTTTTCCGTACCTTACTTTATTGTAAGAATACAGAATATAATACATATAACATACAAAACATGTTAATTGACTGTTTATGTTGTTGGTAAGCCTTCCAGTCAACAGTAGGCTATTAGTAGTTAAGTTCTGGGGGAGGCGAAAGTTATATGTGAATCTTCAGCTGTGTTTGGGGTTAGCAACCCTACCCCTGAATTGTTCAAGGGCCAACTGCACATATTTGTTATACATAGGATGTCATATATGTACAATAGGGGGTTATACATTCTCTCTGCATTTATTTGCTTTCTAGTCATTTTACTTTTTTTTTTTTTTGAGATGGAGTTTCCCTCTGTTGCCCAGGCAAGAGTGCAGTTGTGCAATCTTGGCTCACTGCAACCTCCACCTCCCAGGTTCAAGCAATTCTCCTGCCTCAGCCTCCTGAGTAGCTGGGATTACAGGCATGCACCACCACACCCGGCTAATTTTTGTATTTTTAGTAGGGATGGGGTTTCACCATGTTGGTCAGGCTGGTCTCGAACTCCTGACCTCAGGTGATCCACCCTCCTCGGCCTCTGAAAGTGCTGGGATTACAGGCATGAGCCACCACGACTGATCTGGTCATTTTACCTCTGTGGCTTTTCTACTGTAAACTGCAGATGTTTTCTTTTGCCAAAGAGGTAAGTAGCTCATAGAGCTGTAGTTTTAGGATAATTAGTATTTCTTATGTCTCACGATGAGTAACTTTTCACTATGTTGCCCTCTGGTCGGTTCAGTTTTTCTGGTGCTCCCTTCCCACTGCTGCCAGAGGTAGAGAATTAGGAGCTGGCTCCCAAGGCTGGATGCGCAGGGTGACTGGCCTTGTTGGTTACATTATCTCTTCTTTGTTGTCACCCAAAGCTACCCCAGTTGTCTGATCATTCAGACAACTGGAGATATTGTCACACCTCCACATATTGACCATCACTGACATTACAATGTAAAGGCAATGGGTTTGGGGGTTTTTGTTCATTATGTTTTTGCTTGATTTGTTTTGTTTTTGTTTTTACAAAGAACTCATAGCTATCATATTTCTGGAACTCTTTCATGTTTGAGAAAGTCTATTGTCTTTTGGTTTAATGAAAGGTTGACTGTCTATAATAATCTTGGATCACCTTTCCTTTCTCTTAGAACTTTGAAATTTCCACCAAATATTGCTGTGAAGTCTAAGGCCAGCCTGATGTTTCACTTATGTTAGTAAATTATTTTTTCTTCCTGTATGTCTAAAGAATGTTTACTTCATCCTTGATTTTTAATAATTTAATCTGGCTATTGTTTTTCTCAAAATACAGTGCACAGTGTTTTTTTCAATCTGTATATTCAGTTTTTTTCAATCTGTATATTCAATCTGTATATTCAGTGTGTCTGTTTTGATTTCAGGAAAATTTCCCCAGATTACTTTTTAAAAAATCTTTTCTTTGTTCTATTTGTTTCTCTGCTTCAGATATAACTATTGTCTTTATGTTGACTCTCTAGTCCCAGAACTATCATTTTTTACTAATCGCTTTCATAATTTTCCTTGACTTTATAATCATGATGTGCTTTTCTCTCATGGCTTTTGTCCACACTAGGAATTCAATTTTTAGTTGTGTCTATCTGTTCTTCTCCGTTTTTAATACATTTATTAACTTTGTAAAACTGTGTTCAATGTTTCCTATGATCCGTAAAGTTTTTCTTCTCAATTATATCATCTTATTTTTCAGCTCTAGTTTTATAAATGTTGTTTTAAGCTGTATATAAAATATTATAAACATATATAATATTTGTAGTGTTACTATCATGCTGTGTTTCCTTCTCTCCTTATTCATTTCTGTGGCATGTTTTTGTACTGCTGAAGAGGTTCTTCCTGCCCACTGCATAAACAGCATAGTGTCAGAGGCATTTGAACCAGAATGTCTCCATCTTGAATGGGGGCTGGGTAAAATGAGGCTGAGACTTACTGGCTGCATTCCCAAGAGGTTAGGCATTCTAAGTCACAGGACAAGATAGGAGGTCAGCTTGAGATACAGGTCATAAAGACCTTGCTGATAAAACAGGTTGCAGTAAAGAAGCTGGCTAAAACCCGCCAAAACCAAGATGGCAACGAGAGTGACCTCTGGTTGTCCTCCCTGCTACACTCCCACCAGCACCATGACAGTTTACAAATGCCATGGCAATGACAGGAAGTTACCCTATATGGTCTAAAAAGGGAAGGCATGAGTAATCCACCCTTTGTTTAGCATATAATCAAGAGATAACCATAAAAATGGGCAACCAGCAGCCCTCAGGGCTGCTCTGCCTATGGAATAGGCATTCTTTATTCCTTTACTTTCTTAATAAACTTGCTTTCACTTTACTGTATTGACTCACCTCGAATTCTTTCTTGTGTGAGATCCTAGAACCCTCTATTGGGGTCTGGATCCGGACTCCTTTCCAGCTGTAGTAGAGAAAGAGTTTAACAGACATGAGGCTGGCCACACCACATGGGAGATGGAGTTCCTACTCAAATCATCTTGTTCAAAGCTCATAGGTTAGGGTTTTTTCAAAGGCAGTTTGGGGGAACGGGTGGGGGTGGCCATGCAACAGGGGCTTGCTGCTGACTGGTTGGGGCAGAGACGAAATCATAGGGGGTTGATGCTCTCCTCATGCCAGCTGAATGGCTTCAGGGTGGAGCCACAGGAGCGGGGTTGTCTCTGCAGGTGGAGTCATCGGTTCCAGGTGGAGCCATGGGTGTCAGACATGCAGAAAACCTGGAAAGGTATCTCCAAAGTCCGATCTACAGCAGTGGTGGTATTTGCAGGAGTAACTGGGGGAAGTTGCATATCTTATAACCTCCGGAATACTTGTCTGCACCTTAGCAGGACGCAGGCTCCTCTCCTCCCCTCAGCCTGATGGCCTCCTATTAGCTTTACAAAAGCGATTGAGTTTTGGGCAAGGCCTATCATTGATACGGCTCTGATGGGTGGAGAACACTAGGTTCTTCGTCTCGAGTCAAATTAGAAAAAATGACGTGGACATATGTGGAGTCGTTTTAAGGAGGAGGGAGTTTAACAAGCAAGAAGGAAGGGGGAAGAAAGAAAGAAGAACCTCCTCTGTACAGAGACTTAGGAAGGGGGGCTCCAAAGCCGAGAGAGGGAACCATACCTGCCAGGGTTACCAGCCAGGTATATACACAGAGGCTGGAGGAGGCGGTGTCTGATTTGCATAGGGCTCAGGGGATTGGTTTGAATAGGCATGTCATTCACATAGTCCGTGAAAAAGCTGGCCGTCCCACCCTGGCCTTTTAATATGCAAATGAAGGGCGACAGGATGTTCTACACTCTGGGGAAATGTGGGGGCGGCCACGTGCGGCAAGGGCAAGAAGGCAGCAGTAATCGCAATGTTTGGGTGGACCCAGTTTCTAATGGCCTGCATTTGCATATCAAAGGTTGCCAGCCTGGCTCTAAGAGCCAGGGCTTTACAAAAAACGTTTCTGGAGCAGCTTTAAAAATGAAACTTCCCAAGGACCCCTTTTCCTCTCTGTCTGCCTAAAATAATTTCTTAATAACTCCTACAACATTATCATTTAAACGGTACCCTAAATGTCTTCCGAAGTTAGCTTGGCCCAGTAGCCCAGGAATAATTAAGGGAAAGGCAAGATAGGGGTTGGGTTAGCTTAGCTTACTAAGTTTCTCACTGATACAACTTTTGCAAGGGTGGTTTCATTCACATAGCTGCCGTGCCATTTCTTGTCAGTTTGCTCCTGCTTAACCTGAGCAGCTGTATTCAGACCTTTGCTTTGCTCTTGCATAATGTGGGTGAATTCTCCCTGATGTCCTTCCCCACCTTTTTTTGGAAACTTCATCTCTCCCCACCTTACATATAGCCTGAGCTACTTATGAAGAACTGACTTGTGTGTACTTGATTGTGGGCTGAGCGTGCAAGACATGGCAGGGAAGGCTCTTTGGGGGCTGGATGTGCTCCTTGTTAGAAGCCTTGTGCTGTGCTGTTAGATGTCCTGGGCCAGTGCCTACCCATCCATGCAGGAGGTTTAACAGTCCCCAGTTGAGCAAGAACCTCAGGAACTGGGAAGAATGGGTAGTACTTCCTACCTTTTTTGAGATTCTAGAAGTTTTTTTATTGACTTTTCTCCAGTCTGCTTACTTAGCCCTTTAGATTACTTCTCTACAAATCAGGATACTGCAGGGAGTGTGTGGAAGTGGGAGCATGCTAGGGGAACAGGTAGAATTGGCAAGGTATTTTGACAATTCTTTAAGGGTTTATAAAGGAATCTTTCCTCATTGCCACTTCGGAGTTCTAAGAATGCCCCGCTGTGCCAGAACGTTTCTTTTTCTCTGCTTGTCAGACTTTGGAATTTGAAGGGTAAGTCTCTCCTTTTTTCTTATGAATGCTCTACTGATAATTGGGGGCTGGGGGCAAGATAGAGGAGCCCTTCTCTTTTTCACTTCTATAGGTGTTTAGGATGGGAGATGCTGTGATCTCTTTCTTCTGTCACCTTTATCCGAGATCCTGCATGGAGATTATCTTTCCACTTTAGTTATTGTGATGCTCCGGGACAATGAACACATCTGTTCTGATAACATCCTAGGGAACCTGGGTGGAATACTCCGCATCACAGAGGTTTAATATCTTTATTCCTCAGTATTCTAGAGAAGAGAATTTTATTTGTTCTAACATATCAAATTGGAAACAAAATGAAAAAAATAAAGCAATTCCTTTAGTTCTATGACTGCGTCATGTTTATTTACTTCACTAGAAATTGAGTTTTCTTATTTACTTATTTTGCCAAAGCTTGACAGCTCTTGGTCAGCCTTGCTGTTAGGCACTTTACATGTAGTGGAATCTTTAAGCTTTTGTTCAATTTTATAACTTTGAAATTTCAAGTAATTTCAAACTTATAGCAAAGATGCAAGAATAGTACATCATTTCCAATTGTTCACATTTTGCCCCACCTGCGTTCTCATTATCTTTTTACCCTAAAAATGTCATTATGTATTTCTTAAGAACAAGGACATTCTTTTATGTGACAGTATAATTATCAAAATTACAGAATGAATATTGATGTCACCATCTAAACAAGATACTGTATTCAGATTTTGCCAATAGTCCTAATAATGCTCTTTACAGAAAAAAGAAAAGAAGAAATTAAAATAATTTTATTTTCCTGATCCAGAATCCAAACTGAAATTATATATTACATTTAGTTGTCATGTCTCTTTCATCTTTTATAATCAGGAACAGCTACTTATCTTTAAAAAATGTGGTTTTGTCTTTTATGACCTTGATGTTTTTGAAAAGTAAAGACTAGTTACTTTGTAGATGTTCCTCATTTGGGGTTTCTCTTATGTTTTCTCTTGATTTTGCATTTTTGGCAGGGATACCTCAGGAATGATGATTTGATCACTTTGCTAAGGTGGTGTCTGCCAGCCAGGTTTCCCTGCTGTTAAGTTATTATTTTCTCTTTCTAACTATTAAGTAATTTATAGAAGATGCTTTGATACTATGTCAATGTTCTCTTCCTTGTCAAACTTTAACCTACTGGTTTTAACATCCATTGATACTTCTTAACCCAGGATGTTTACTATGATGGTGTCAAATAGCAAAATTCGAATTCCATCATTCCTTCTATGTTTATTAGTTGGCATCTAAGAGCTTCAATAACAAAGGGCTTTCTTTCTTCCCTAGTTATATATTCATTTATATGAGTATGAACTCATGAGTTATTTTATTCAGTGGTATATTATCTGTTACTATCATTATTTTTTTGTGTATCCATGTGTCCATTTGTCCACGGTGTCATGGTGTGCAGATGTGGCCTTTGATTTATCACCTGTATCTTTTTGACTGGTCCCCAATCATCCTCTAAGCACGCACTTACTTTTCAGTGTCACAAGATATTCCAGATTAATCTTATACTTTCCCAATCACAGCCCTGGATTCAGTCATTTTGCTGAGAAGTCTTGTCCCTTTTAGTGGAAAAGGGTATTTAAAACCGAAATGTGAGCATTAGATATGGTAATTGCTGTCAGAGTATTGCTGCTTCTAGGGCCTCTAAAAGGACAGAAATAGGAAATACATGTAGGTGTTTATCATGCACACACACTATACATACATATATACATATATATAAGGTTGGTGCAAAATAATTGCTGTATTTACCATTAGCAGTAATGGGAAAAACTACAATTAACTTTTGCACCAACCTAATATATGTATTTTTGTTTCTATCTATCCACGTATGTATCTAGCTATCTATCTATCCATCCATTAAAAGCCATAAGTTTATTTGGATATTGACAATTCCAATCCTGCAGCACAGTGTTCATTCTACTCTTCATTCTTCCTATATTGGTAACTCCCTTCCTTTTTTCACTATTTTACTACTTAGAGTAGACTTTCTTTTTCTGGGAATGATTTCAGCACAACCCTCTCTTCACTGTTCCATCTAGTTTTTCCAGACCCTCCCCTCTCCTTTGCTTTCTGCAGGGGTTTGTGGCATGAGCTTCAGAGAAGGCACTGCTGAGAACTCAGTGCACAATTTTCTACTTGTGTGTAATTTGAAGTTTGAAGAGTTTTGTATCTTCTAGTTATGCTGAGGATTTGCTTCTTCTTTGTTTGTTTGTTTGTTTTGTTTTAAGGTAAGAAGCTCCAGGTCTTTGTATTGCTTCTGGAATATAGACTAAATTATGAGGTACATTGGGTTATTAAAGGTATGGACGATAAGTCTAGAAATTGCCAGAACCAAGGCTTGAGGGTTTAATTCAGTTGTTCTACAACAAGCCCCCATGAGTGTAGGAGCAGATGGGCAGGCAGGAATCATATGTCCAGTAGTGTGAAGGATACACCTGACACTTGGCACAGGCTGAAAGTTCAGCATAGAGCCTGGATGCTCCGCACAGTCAGCCACAGGGTAGATGATACCCTCAGCACCATTCTACACCACCATCACCTACCCAACCAGGACGTCTCCCGAGCAGGAACTCCTCCATAAAACCATCTAGTTTCTCCACTCTCTACTGACCCACTCTTCTGAGGATCCCCTCAATCATCCTTTTAAATGTTAGACACATTCTACAACCCGCTTGGGCTATGGAGGGTTCTACCCACGTTGTTTTTGAAGATTCAGTAAGAAAAAAGCCGTCCTTGAGTAAATGTGCTACTTCATTTCATTCAAATGGTGCACAGACATTATCATGACAGATCAAATCACCTGGTATCTGGTGATGCCAATTACTCACACAATAGTCAGTTGAGAGCCAGCTGCCTCTGCTTACTATGGTATTTATAAAAGCACTCACCAACATCCAGGAGGGCAAGATGAAAAGACTCTGGATGTGGTATATCCATAATTGATCAAAATAACTGCTACAGTTGTTTTCTATAGGTCCGTTAACAAGCTTATTAAGACCAGCATGATTATAACAGCCTCTCTGACATTGCTAGAAGCTGCTTATGAATATGTAAGATTCTCCCTTTTGTGTCACTTCCCTTAACATTATCCTGTCACTGTGCAGAAACCTCCCAGGAAAGGATTGGTCTGTACTGCTGGGAGAAATAGTCTAAAGCCTAACTTCAGAAACAAGTCTCAAGATTTCTCAAGGCATTCTTTAAGGATCCATTGTTATTTCAGATGGATTCAGTAACTGCACCCATTTAATTGGCACCAAAAATGAAAGTTTATTTTATATCTTGTTTTTCTTTGCGACGGAGTTTCACTCTTGTTGCCCAGGCTGGAGTGCAATGGCATGATCTCAGCTCACTGCCACCTCTGCCTCCTGGGTTCAAGTGATTCTTCTACCTCAGCCTCCTGAGTAGCTGGGATTACAGGCATGCACCACCACGCCATGCTAATTTTGCATTTTTAGTAGAGCTGAGGTTTCACCATGTTGGTCAAGCTGGTCTCGAACTCCTGTCCTCAGGTGATCCACCCACCTCGGCCTCCCAAAGTGCTGGGATTACAGGTGTGAGCCACCGCGCCCGGAGGGAAGTTTACTTTAGGGAGAAATATGAAGCAATCTTGAAGATCTAATTACACAAAGAATCTTCAGCAGTTACCTGCTCTAGCTGGTCTATGCTGGTGACAGCAGAAAGTACGTGGATTCCAGTTTTCCTCTGCTATTTATATTGGCCATGCCATGAAAAACCTTGTTCACTGCTCTGAACTTTAATTCCATCATTATAACTGATGAGGAATCCAGTTAGATAAAAACACTGAGTCTCCCTTTTGGGCCTGAGATACTCTCTGAGTAAGTTCAGGCTGCCATAACAGAATACCATAGACTGGGTGGCTTAAACAGTACACATTTATTTCTCACAATCCTTGGAATTCCAAGGAGCCTACAAATCTGGTGTCTGGTAAGGGCTGCCTTATTGGTTTACAAACAGCCATCATCTAGTATCCTTACATGGTGGAGAGAGGAAAACTCTGATCTCTTTTCCTTTACTTATAAGGGCATTGATCCCATCATAGGGCACCCCACCCTCATGACCTCATCTAAACCTAATTCCTCCCTAGGACACCATCTTTGTCAATATCATTTTGGGGGTTAAAGTTTCAACATATGAATATTGGAGAGGGGAACACAAGCATGCAGTTCACGACAAATTCCTGGGCTCAAGGGATCATGTGAGGAATCCCTTTCAAGTGTCACCAAACTACTAAGTTAGTAAAAGCCTATAGACTTGGCCAGGTGCAGTGGCTCACGCCTGTAATCCCAGCACTTTGGGAGGCTGAGGTGGGCAGATCACCTGAGGTCAGGAGTTTGAGACTAGCCTGACCAACGTGGTGAAACCCCGTCTCTACTGAAAATACAAAAATTAGCCAGGTGTGGAGGCACGCACCTGTAATCCCAGCTACTCGGGAGGCTGAGACAGGAGAATTGCTTGAACCCAGGAAGTGGAGGTTGCAGTGAGCCGAGATGTCACCATTGCACTCCAGCCTGGGCAACAGAGCAAGACTCTGTCTAAAGAAAAAACAAAAAAGCCTACAGACTTAAAATTACAAGCATATTTTCGATGAATATCTAAATATTGGTCTGAATTTTGGGTGAGCATGTTTCACTGGGAGAGGGTAAAGACACATCTGGGTGGTAATCAATAAGGCTTCTAAAATGCCAACCCTGGGGCTCCTTCCTGAGTGCCTTATAGTAGGAAGACAGAGGCATGACCTTCCCAGCTTTGCTTCTGTCCTGTGGCACACAGCTGAGAGCAGGTGTCCCCCACTTAGAAAAGGGAGACTGGAGAACCTCAGGAATTTGAAGGCCTTCAAGAAATGTTCTCCTGCCTTTCTTTCCACTAGCATTTGCCAAGTCCCTCCTGGTAGAGGACTGCAGAGTTTGTCCTTCACCTTCAGGGCCTCCTTCTGCCCCTTGTTTGTCCTGTTTTGTTCAAGCTAAGCACATCCTTAATCAGCTAAGCACATCTGTAATCAGGCTGTTACTTGAGTGACTGACTGGCCATTTCTAAGTCAAGAATAATAATCTCCTACTTTCTGTCATTATTGAGAGGTTTACATTACATAATATATGAAAAATGCCATGCACGGTGCCAGGTAACTGACAGGCAGTTGCTCTTATTATTGACCTTTATAATAATAATCCTAAAATGCCAAAAATAAAAACCCAAGAGAAAAATCCATCTTGATTCATGTAAAACTAAGCTTGCTCTTTTGCAGATCCTGTTCAGCTGGAGGACTGGCACTTGCAAACTTGTCTGGCATAGTTCCTGACCTAATCCTCATGAAGAATGAAATGCAGTTAAAGGCTCACAGGGTCATACATGCTGACTTGTGCCATCTGGTATTAGACTTGCTGCTGCAGTTCCCAGCATTCATTGTGCCTGACTGAGTTCTGGTGACACGGAGAGCATATTTTATAAACTGAAAAAGCTCTAATATGGCCTTGTTTGGGAAACACTCCTTTAGGCTCAGATAGGCTGTCTTAGAGTAGGAAATCCACAGGTAACAGCTAGACTCATTTGCAGTATACCCTATGGAGTTGAGATCACCCAAATCAAACCAAGAAAAAGTCAGTTCACTCAGTCATTGAACAGATATTTATGGACATCACAAAGAATTATCATGGAAGAGGTCCTAGATTGCATGGCTGTGCTAAAATCTTCAAGGGCTGAAAACTTCAACGGAGAGACAATGACAAAAACAAAAGAGAAAAGTATTGGGTGTATACTCTATAACATGTGAGGATGAAAGTGGAGGCTTTTAAGGAAGACAGATGAAGAATAATCTGGAAACAGCAAAGAGAAACAAGAGGAACACCTCAAGGAGCAGTGGAACAAAGGTGGTAAAAGAGGAGGCCATCTCCACTTGAGAGTGTTGGCAGAAGCATGATGTCTTCAAAGGAGAGCCAGGCTCAGGTGCGATGAAAGTGAAGAGAAGCCATGGACACAGGTATGTTCTTGCTGATAATGGGCTTCTTTCATCATGAGGACAGTGGTTTTCCAACTGCAAGTTGCCACATATTAGCATTTTGTGGAATCAACTTAGCACATTGTGATTAGTAGTTTTAAAAAATAAAACAGGATTACATAAACAATATGAGTGGATAGTAGAATGAAGTCCAGCTTTATGAATCTGTTGTTTCAAGCATATGTGTGCATGTGGTATGTACTTGTAGACATGTTATGTGTGATGTGTATATGGTATGTAGGATGTGTTTGAGTGTTGTCATATGTGAATGGTGTGGTTTTGGGTGTGTGTGGTGTACCTATGTGTGCATAGTATATGTGTGTATGTGTACATGATATGTTTGTATGTGCTATGGTCTGAATGTTCATGTTCTACTGAAATTCATATGTTGAAATCTTTATCCTCAAGGTAATAGTATTAGGAGGTGGAACCTTTGGGAAATAATTAGGTCATGGAGACAGAGACCTCATGAATGGCATTAGTGGCCTTATAAAAGAGGCCAGAGAGACCACTTGCCCTTCCACTATGTGAGATTAGAGTGAGAAAACGGTCATCCACGATAAAGCATCCCCCACCTCACACAGACACCAAATCTGCTGGTGTCTTAATCTTGAACTTCCCAGCCTCCATAACTGTGAGAAATAGATTTCTGTTGTTTATAAGTCATCCAGTCTATGGTATTTTGTTATAGCAGCCAGAACAGACTAAGACAGTGAGAGTAAGTGTGTCTACATAGGATGTCCTGGTGTCATATGATTCATATTGTTTGTGTGGGTCACGGTTTGGTTAAGGGGATGTACAGACTCATGTGGTGATGCATGGTCACCTAGTAGTAAGTAGTCCTGGGCTTCTCGTGAACTTACAAAAACAGGAATAATGGACAAAGACAAGATGAGGGCCATAGTTTTTTATCTTCAAGACAGCCTGTAGCAAGAATGAGGCAAGCCTAATCTCCAATCCTGACAGTTATACAACCAAGAGAGGTAGGGCCAGAGGGGATTTTACTGGGTTTGCCAAGGCCAATGGAAAGGAAGCCAAATGATATGGTTTGGCTGTGTCCCCACCCAAATCTCATCTTGAATTGTAGTTCCCATACTCCTCACGTATCATGGGAGGGATCTGGTGGGAGGTAATTGAATCATGGGAGCAGTTACCTCTATGCTGTTCTCGTGATAGTGAGTTCTCATGAGATCTATGGTTTTATAAGGGGCTTTTGCCTCCCCTTCGTTCTGCACTTTCTCTCCTGCTGCTGTGTGAAGAAGAATGTGTTTACTTCCCCTTCTGCCATGATCGTAAGTTTTCTAAAGCCTCCCCAGCCCTGCATAACTGTGAGTCAATTAAACCTCCTTCCTTTATAAATTACCCAGTCTTGGGTATGTCCTTACAGTAGCGTGAGAATGGACTAATAAACCAAATATCAAAATAACAAGGCTTAGGCCGGAATTTAGGACAAAAGATCGTCAGTTACGAAGAGTTCTTTCTTCAGCAAACATTGTTTGATGTCCTGGGCCTGGCCTGTGTGAGCTCAGTGCAGTTGCATTTGGAATTTGTGGGAAGTTACTGCCAGTCTTAGAACCATCCTAACTATAGTCTTAGACTCATAGATGTCCAGGGAACTTGGTGGAGTCAGGGACCAGTTGGTTTCTGGCAATTTAGGAGATTTTATTCACTCATAGTTGGAGGACCTTAAAGTCCAGAGAGAGAAAAGTATTCAGGTCTAAGTTCTCCCCAAATCCTCTAACTCCTTTTCTCTTGATGTTAACCAGAAAGCTCTAAAGGGAAAACTCCAGGGATCCATCTAGTCCTCTCCTCCAGGCTCTGGTTCTCCCACGCTCCACAGGCCAGGCCAGGCTTCCTTTTTTACACTGCGCCTTTAAGGATCCCATTGTCCATATCAAAGGACTGGGCTCTATCAAGATGACAAAGAGCAGAGTAAAAGAGGTATTCTAAAGCAATTAGTGAGAACAAACAAAGGAACAAAAAGCAAGTCATTATGCAAATATATGGCCATCCAAGGCACTTAGCCTTTAAGGAGTGTTGTCATTTCAAGAAGATTCAGGGTTTTTGGTTTGGTTTTGTTTTCCTTTTTGGTTTAGTTCAAACAATTTTGTGTGAAAATGTGACCTCCTTGTGATTGGTCTTAGTAAAGCTTTATAGCATAAGACTTTACACCTATATATTTTGCCTAATTAAAGGTTAATTAAGTTTCTTTTCCTGGTCTAGGAAGGCCCAGCAAGCCCTCCACTAGCTCCTAGTAGCAGCCGCAAGGTGGGCCGGTGCAGGTCCTGTTCCCCAGGCTGCCTGGGGAGAGCGGTGAGCCACAGGGCCCTCCCTTTTATGAAACTAGCTACGTGCCTACTTATTCTCACTGAGAGCAGCCCCACACCAGAAACTGTGCTATATTCAAGTAGCTAGTAAACCAGCAGTCCTTTAAAAACAGTTTTGCTAGGCCAGGCACAGTGGTTCATGCCTGTAATCCCTGCACGTTGCGAGGTTGAGGCGGGCAGATCACTTGAGGCCAGGAGTTCAAGACCAACCTGGCCAACATGGTGAAACCCCATATCTGCTAAAAATACAAAAATTAGCCGGGCATGGTGGCACATGACTCTAATCCCAGCTAGTCGGGTGGCAGAGGCAGGGGAATTGCTTAAACTCAGGAGGCAGAGGCTGAAGTGAACTGAGATCACACCACTGCACTTCAGCCTGGGTGACAGAGCGAGACTTAGTCTCAAAAAAAAAAAAAAGTTTTGCTAAATGCCAACCCATGCTTACATTTCAAATGTAATGAGGTGGGTTGGTCAATTCTACAAGGCAATTTTTCTGAAGGTCCTTGCATCCTTTGTTGGTTCTGCTGTCTCACTGGTGAGTGATTTTGGCATTAGAATTGTGAGGAAGGGTTTACATTTAATATAAGGCTACGATTTTTAAGATACTTAAGTAAGGAAGTCTCAATGGATAGGGTCATCTTGACTGAGAAAGATGTTAAATTTGGTTTCCCCAAAAGATGTGCCCTTGGGGTGTCTTGTCGTGGGCTCTGCATACAAGATGACACTACTATGTTTCTGTCGATAAACAGTCCCCAAGTTTACAGTGTTGAAATGGTTGACATAGGTTTGAAGATGAAAGCAGAAATGCTCTTGCTATATCTTACCATTTTTGAGACAGTAATTTGATCACAATGAGTGGTAGTATTTTTGTAAAATAATTTCATTGTGTGCTTTAGTACATATGAGAACACGTACTATGACATGCAGCCATCAGGATCATAGCACAAATCTATTTAGGGTCCCGTGTTCTGTTTTTTGCTTTAATATAGAAGGAAAGACTCTCAGTTCATAGATGCAAAGGAAGGAGATGATGACATCAACTTTCAATGTGCCCATAGCTCACAGCTTTAGGCTGCAGTTTGGAGTTGATTACTCTTCCAGAATAAATTTAAATGGCTCTTTAGTGTCTGCTGCCGGCCTGCTTTCCATTCTTTTCAGAAACATGCAGTCATTTCCAGATGTTGTGTCTGAGTGGCCTGGACGAAGGGAGAGGCTGAGTCTACCCTAGCATGGTAGTTTGTTTTAGCTCAAACACAGAATTAGCCAGGCCTACCTTCTGGTACTATTCAAATACAGATGCCTGATAGGCATACTAAATAAGAAGCCAAAAAGAATAAGAAGTACCCGGGGCTAGGCGCAGTGGCTCATGCCTGTAATCCCAGCACTTTGGGAGGCCGAGGTGGGTGGATCACCTGAGGTGGAGAGTTCAAGACCAGCCTGGCCAACGTGGAGAAACCCCATCTCTACTAAAAATACAAAAATTAGCTGGGCGTGGTAGTGGGCACATGTAATCCCAGCTACTTGGGAGGCTGAGGCAGGAGAATCACTTGAAATCAGGAGGCGGAGGTTGCAATCTCTACTAAAAATACAAACATTAGCTGGGCGTGGTGGTGGGCGCCTGTAATCCCAGCTACACGAGAGGTTGACGCAGTAGAATTGCTTGAAACTGGGAGGCGGAGGTTGCAGTCTCTACTAAAAATACAAAAATTAGCTTGGTGTGGTGGCAGGCGCCTGTACTCCCAGCTACTTGGGAGGCTGAGGCAGGAGAATTGCTTGAAACCGGGAGGCAGAGGTTGCAGTGAGCCAAGATTGCACCATTGTGCTCCAGCCTGGGCAACAAGGGTGAAACTCCATCTCAGAAAAAAAAAAAAAAGAATAAACAGTACCCACTTTCCAGACTAAACAACTGCTCCCCTAAAAACATCCAAGAAACTTGGTAACCTCCATTCCTCTGAGAAGTTGTTGGTAACTTTAAGCTATTTATTTATGAGATACAGGGTTTCACTCTCATCGCCTGGTCTGGAGTGCAGTGGCATGCTCTTGGTTCACTACAACCTCCATCTCCCTGACTCAAGCAATCCTCCTGCCTCAGCCTCCCAAGTAACTGGGACTACAGGTGTGTACCATCACACCCAGCTAATTTGTGTATTTTTAGAACAGTCTGGGTTTCACCATGTTGGCCAGGCTGGTCTTGAACTCCTGACCTCAGGTGATCCGCCCACTTCGGCCTCCCAAAGTGCTGGGATTAAAGGTGTGAGCCACTGCGCTCGGTCACTTTAAGTTATTTAAATCAGCTTAAGGATATTGCTTGACATAATCTCTTATTATTTTTAATCTATTTTATCCTTTTTCTCTTTCACTATATTTGCTTTATTTTAGTTTTTCATTTTAGCAATTTATCTCATTTTTAAATCTTTTGTTTTAATGGAAAGTTGGTGTAAAGAAAACAATCTCCAAATAAAGTTCATATGTCCTTCTTCCCAGTCCTCCACAGTCCTCCACAGTTAGCTCCACCAAGACCTTCTCCCAGTCTCACAATAAATCTTCCAATTTCATCCTGAATTATTCTGTTGACATTAAAGAATTCCCCATGGGAAAGATTCCCAGTCTCAAATACAACTCACTGTTCCCTGGAAAACCCCAATATAGCAGCAAGCGCAGCCCCTACAACCCGAAAGCTATTAGAAATGAGTGGCTAAATGAGTCTCACAGAGGACTAGAAAGGAGGAATGTGCTTAGTATCTTTTGTATTGCTATGACAGAATACCAGAGACTGGGAACTTTATAATAGACAGAAATGCATTGGCTCACGGTTCTGGAGGCTGAGAATTCCAACATCAAGGTGGAAGCATCTGTCTCGGGCATTGCTGAATCATCACATGGTAGAGGACGTCACATTGCAGAAGGACAAAGAGAAGGGGAGAGAGCATGAGCAAGAGAGGGTGAACCCAACTCCCTCAGTAAGGAACCTAATCTTGCTGTAATGACATTAACTCATTCATAAAGGAGGAACCCTCATGACCTAAATAATTCTTAAAGCTCTCAACTCCCAACACTGTCACTATGACAATTAATTTCAAAATGAGTTTTGGAGGGGTCAATCATTCAAACCATAGTACGAGAATGAGCACAAGCTCATGAACAGCTTGGAGACTGTACTCTACTCAGTTGACCATAAAGCCACCATTATTAGCAATAATGGCTTTCCTTAGATGTGTTCCTTCATGATTTTCCTTAGATGTGTTGGAACATAAAACATGTTGAAAGTCTTTGCCATGGAGGTTGGGGAGTTTTTGAGAAGATTTTAAGGAAAGGCTAGCCCAGTCAGATGTGTATAGAGGAGACCAGATTACTTTGGCTGTAGCATACAGGATGTCCTAGAAAGAAAAGTGAGAAATTAGAAGGCTGTTGTAAAGAGCCAGGTGGGGTGTCTGAAGCAAAGCAGAAGCTTTGGGAAAGGAGGTGAGGAGGCAAATGTTAGGGATATTTGGGAAGTAAACTGTCAGATAGAAATCAGGGAACCCAACACTACAATTAAGAGTCCTATGACTCTAAGAAAATGTTTTGCTCCTAAGCCAAGACATAGATTATAGTCCCAGTCTGAACTGACTGAGTTATTAGAGGAACACAGATTTCAAAATAAACTCTTGATTTGGGAAGGGGGATTTCAAGGACTGGGCAACTTGACCCAGGAAAATTTGCCAATTACAAATATTCCTTAGAACTCATGATTCTGTTGCATTAGAAGACATTAAAGTCCTGGTGTCCTTTAAGCCACTAGCTCAAAGTATTATTTTGAGGAAGCAGAAAAAAAGAGTGCACAAAAGGGCAGGATGGAGGGTGGGAGTGGGCACAGCTGGAAAAACATTTTTAAAATACATCCTTTTGGGGAAGTCTGTTTTCATCAGTAATTTTTATTTTTTCTGGCAGACAGTTATCTAAGAAGTGGTGAATTTGCTGAGAAATATCATTACAACCTGGTATGCAAAGGCACACATCCATGTCTGAGGTCTTTTTCTTTTAAGAGACTCTTCTTTTTGGTGGTGTAATAAGTTTGTGAAATTGCACTGTATCCAAAACTTTTGAGGTCTTGAAATATACAACAGAAAGCTATACAACAGAAAATGCTGACTCTCTCTTCCTCGTTTTATAGTTTTCTTTTAAACAAAGCATACCAATGAACTGGGTTAAGTCAAACCCTCATGTCTGGTTCCACGAGAATGTGCATGAGCAGCTGACAGCCTAGATCTTGCTGTGAACTGCAAGGGCTCAAGACTTGGCATGTCTGCGATGATTCACACATGGCCATCTTTCAGTAGTTACTGACAAATTAGGCAGGAGGACAAAAGTTTGAACTAATTTCTTTTAAAGATGGATGGTCGGTCTCCATTGCAGAAGCAGTTTTCAAGCCTGTTCTGTAATTCCAAGCTTCCTCAAACCTGGCTATGCGTGAGGACACCTACTTAAAAGTCAAATGCATCCGATTTGGTTGGGATTCAGAGAGCTGCAATTTTGGGAGAAACTACTGCTCTAATAAATGAATGTGCTAATTATTTTATCCTGCTAAGAAGATAAGCCCATGTTTAGTTTTCAGCATCTAGCATAGATCACACATGACATTTATCATAAATCCTACATGACTTGACAAGTATGTCATGGACCAGAGAAAGAGCTCAAATAATTTCCCTGGGGTTATAAATATGCGAACGTCAAAGCCACAACCAGAATGCACAGTCCCTGAATTTCTAGCCCGTGTTATGAGATCTGCTGTCATCCTTCAGCCCATCCTGATATAGTCAAGTGCAATGACGGTAAAAGAAAAAGAAAGAGCTTCTGAGATGTTGGTATTTTTAAGTTTTCTTTGGTAAGTTTTAGGATGCAAGGTCAGAGTCCTGAGTATGATGAGAGGGATTTTTAATATGGAGTTATATTTCAGGTAACAAAATTGTGAATTAAAAATGATTGCACTGGAGGCTGAGGTGAGAGGATCACTTGAGCCCAGGAGCCAGATGTTGCCATGAGCCAAGATCACGTCACTGCACTCCAGCCTGTGTGACAGAGTGAGACTTCATCTCAAATAATAATTGCAGAACAAATAGAGACCTAAAATCTGAAGAGACTTCAAAGCTTGGTGATAGAGGAGGAAAGACAACAGAAAAGTACACAGCATAAGTCTAAGGACTGGACACAGTTACTAGCCTAGGAACAAAAGGGCAATAGTTGGGTCAAGAATGATGTAAAGGAAGAGGGTTCACAAGTTATGCAAACCCAATTCAATTTAAAAGAAAGACTTACCATATTCTATCTACTGCTGATATGAATAACCCAAACACTAAACTCTTGGCTGTTGGACATACATTGACATAGCCATACACATGTATGTTGTATGTTTATATAAGCAGAAAGAATATGGATTGAACTGTGTTGGTAAGATCCATGCAAAACTAATTTTAAATGTCTTTAATTATGAAACTAAATTGAAGTCAGTGGTGAGGGGCACAGGGATGACCTTTGGTTTGGGGATTTCGAGGTTTGGGTTCCTGATCAATGAAGTCTGTCATGGGACCTAAGAAGGGTCTGAAAGGCAGTGGAGAGCAAAACATCTGATCCAGAATGAAGGCTCTGCCTCTAGGGGCTAGCAATTGGCAAAGGGAGCCAAAGAGTTCTTTTGAGGCAATGGCCTCAAGTAGGAGAGTGGAGATTCTCCCTGGCTTGGGACAATCCCCTGCCTGCACCCTCAAGTCTCTGAGCTATAGGCTCATTCCCAGGACCTCAGAGAGGAGGAGGATGGAGCCTGGCCTGAGAGTCGAGACCAGTCTTTATAGCCTCCTTTGTGGGGCAGGCGTGGTCTGCAGAGGTTGAGGGTGGGTTGGGAGAGGAAGGGTAGAAAGAGGTTGGGCTCCAAGTGATAGAGGAGGCTCCCAAACTGATGACCAAGGAGCAAAGAAATCTGTTGGGTGTGGGATGGGGAGCCAGTGTCATAAAGGTAAAGGCATTTGAGTTGGCCTTGGAAGAGAAGGATTAGAAAAGTGCAGTGATTTTGGGGAGTGGAGGAGGGAAAGTAATGGAAGGTGTTGGAGGGCTGGGGTGTAAACTGGGGACAGATTATGAGATGACTTCACACCTTTTAATGTTATTCTTGGCATTGTAGGCCAAATGTAAGGAGCAAAAAGTTTACACTACAAAGAATAATCTCTAACTTCAAGGAATTTTCTTTTCTTTTGAAAGAGTCACTCTGAAGCGTTATGTGTGGTTTGAGTCCCGTCAAGAGCCTAAGCTGTCTGGGCACGGTGGCTCACACCTATAATCCCAGCACTTTGGGAGGCCGAGGTGGGTGGATCACCTGAGGTCGGGAGTTTGAGAACAGCCTGACCAATATGAAGAATCCCCATCTCTACTAAAAATACAAAATTAGCTGGGCATGGTGGTGCACGCTTGTAGTCCCAGCTACTCGGGAGGCTGAGGCAGGAGAATTGCTTGAACCTGGAAGGCGGAAGTTGCAGTGAGCCGAGATCACGCTATTGCACTCCAGCCTAGCAGCAAGAGTTGCCTCCGTCTCAAAAAAAAAAAAAAAAAAAAAAAAAAAATGCCTAAGCTGCATTATTCATCCTCTGATTCAGACATGCGTAGCTGGGTTTGGAGAATTAGTGGGGTGGTCTTTTCAGGAATTCTATTAGCAAGAGGGACCAACGTGGCTTGTAAGAAAGAATGCACCCTAAGTGAAGTATCAGTCACAGCCTAAAAGTTTCAGGGTTGAGGGTCAGGACACACAATATTCTGTCACATGGAGCATACCTGTGGTTCACTCCTCGCTCCCAGGGAGAGGGGTCTGGTTCAGAGTGTGGAAATTAGCCAGTGGGGACGTCGACTGAGGGCTGTCATACCCAAGCTTCCGCAAAGTGCTGAGTCCCTAGTGCCAGCAGCAGGTGGGCCAGGCCTGGCACAGGCAGCGCTGGGGACTCGGCCGTCCTGTGCTCCCTGCGGTCTTCACAGCAGTTTTCTGAGCCACGTCCAGACAGCCTTCATAGCATCCTCAGAGAGACTGGGGCAGATAAATGGGAGAAGAGGAAGGGGGGGTTCCGCTGTGGCTGAGAGCATGTGTACACATCGACATACCAGGCAGCTCCTAAACAGATTTATCGGGCTTTTTAACTGTGAAGTTAGACATCCTGCTATCACAGGAAAGAACAAAAACAGCCAGAATGCATTGTTCACCTGGGCTGCCAGAACCTGCCAGCTTGGATGACACGGGGTAAATAGAGGCTGCAGGAAGCGGAAGAGGAAGGAGCGGAAGTTCCAAAGTGGGCTGGCCTTATGGAGAAGTTGGCTTTAAGGATAAGCAGAAATTTGGATTTGAGGAAGGTACAAAGAACATATTTAAAGCAAGGAGAAGAGCTTTACCCAGTGGTTCTCAAAGTGTGGTCCCTGGACTACTGGTAGTAGGATTACATGGAAACTTATCACAAATGCAGATTATTGGACCCTATCCCAAATCTACTGAATTAGAAACTTTGAGAGGCAGGACTCAGCAGCCTGTGTTTTAACAGGACCTCCAGGTGATTCTGATACAGGTTAAAGATTGAGAACCACTGGTCTAACCCCTAAGGCCCTTATTCCCAATATTGACTTGCAGTCTGGCCTGCTAGAATCACCTGGGAACTTTAAAAGACTGATTCCTGAACCACACCACAGAACAACTGCGGCTCTGAATGTTAGAGCTGAGCACCTTAGATATTAAAAAAAAAAAAAAAAAATCCCCCAGGTCATTCTGTTATGCAACAAAGTTTAGAAATAATTACCTTTCTAAGACATGGAGACCAAAACGAACTGAAAGTTTCAGCCAAATGATTGTAGAAGGGCTCATTTGTCAGGTTGTGGAGATAGCATAGACTCAGACTAATAATACAGATTTAGGAGTCAGGCAGGCTTGGGCTAAATTCCCAGAATTATTCAGAGGCTAAGTGTTCTTATCTCTTAAGGGAAATAAAAATAGGCCTACCTCAGGGTACTGTTATACAGATTAATTGAGATGATGCATATAAAGCCCTTAGCACAGCGCTTGGCATGCTGTAAACTGTTCATATAGTAATATTAATCTTTTGAAATGAGACTGGATGTTAGGGTGGGGTTGAATTAAGGAAGACCTTGAAACCTGGGTGGAGGTTGTCTTAGGGTTCTCCATAAAAACAAAAAATAGGAGATTATATATATACATATATATATAAATAAATAAATAAAATGTATTATAAAGATTGACCACAGAATTATAGAGGCTAGGAAGACCCAGGATCTGCAGTCTATAAACTGAATTCCCAGGAAAGCTGGTGTTTTAGTTCCAGCTTGAATCCAAAGGCCTGGGAACAAGAAGAGCTGATGGGGTAAGTTCCAGTTCCAGGGCAGAAGACCAATGTCTCAGCTCAAGTGGCGAGGCTTGAAGCTCTCTCGTTCTCAGCCTTTTTGTTCTATTTGGGTCTTCAATTGATCAGATGAGACCCAATCTGCTTTACTGAATCTGCCAATTCAAATATATATCTTATACAGAAACACCTTCACAGACACACCCAGAATAATGTTTGGCCAAATATCTGGGCACCCTGTCACCCAGTGAAATTGACACACAAAACTAACGATCACAGAGGTATCTGGCCTGAGCCATTGGATGTATTTGACAGATGAGTGATATACACAAGGCTGTGTCAAGAAAGATACTGAATTAGTTACAAACAAAACAAGATGAAAAAACTCAGAAGTTAGCACAAATGCAATAGTCTATATTCATATAAAAACATGTTATTTATTATAAAATAAAACCTGCATTTCAGTGGGCAGAGGCAGGTGTGAATTAAAGTATTTGACAAGAGTTCCATTGGACCACAGTCCTAATAGGGGCAAAGTACAATTTGTGCATTTTGATCTTTTGGCAGCTCCATTAGGAAGAAGCCCATCAATCAGCAACAGGAATGCGGGAAGTCAGCAGAACCGCATCTCAGCTGAGAGATTTGAGGGCTCAGCAGTTTATAATAGATGTAAGAATCATGAAGAGGCACCGACAGACACTAAAATGCATCTAATAAAGGAAATATTTTTAAAGGAATAGATGTCATCCCTGAAGATAAATGAAGGTTATGTACTTTCAAGGAAAGAGGATTATGGAAACATTTGTCTTCATTTGTTATCTGGACCTTGTGAAATACTTTTCATCATCATTTAGTAATCAAGAAATAGTTTTGGTGACTTTATGTGCATAAAGTACATTCAACTAAAGTAATATTTAGATTTACGGGGATGGTTAAAGAATTTAAGAATTCTTTTCTTCCCAAAAGGAAATACAAATGTACAAATAGTAAAAATTTTCTAAACTTACAGATTTGAGAATTGAATTTTTTCTATTAGATTGGTGCAAAAGTAATCATGGTTGTTGCCATTACTTTTAATGGCACCAACCTAATATAAATATTAGAAGTAAGGTACTAGAAGAGATCATCGGAACAACCCCTTATTTTATAGCTGAAGAAATCAAGTCCACAAAAGGTGACCTGAGATGGCCACAGTCACCCAGTGAGACAGTGGCTGAGAAAACACTTTGGTCTCTGATTCTCACTCCTTTTCTCTTCCCACTATCTGCTTAATAAGACTCTTGGGGGCCAGGCACGGTGGCTCATGCCTGTTATCCCAGCACTTTGGGAGGCCGAGATGGGTGGTTCACGAGGTCAGGAGTTTGAGACCAGCCTTACCAACATGGTGAAACCCCATCTCTACTAAAAATACAAAAATTAGCTGGGCGTGGTGGCGCACGCCTGTAATCTCAGCTACTCAGGAGGCTGAGGCAGGAGAATCGCATGAACCCGGGAGGCAGAGGTTGCAATGAGCCGAGATCATGCCATTGCACTCCAGCCTGGGTGACAGAGCTAGACTCTGTCTCAAAAAAAAAAAAAAAAAAAAAGACTCTTGGAATCTAGCAAGTATTCTCAGGTGCCAGACTTATTAAAGATGTTTTCACCCACATTTTCACAATTTTCACATTTAGTCTTCATAATGATCACTTCAATAGGTGTGGCTAGGATTTTCATTGTCCTTTTATGATGGGGCCCACTGAGCTTCTCAGAGAGCAAAGATTTGCCCGCGGCACACAGAGCAGGAAAGCTAGACAACCGAGAATCAGCCTCAATCGACTCTAGTTTTAGCGGCCTTTTAGTGACCTCCCAATGCAGGAAACAAAATATTAAGTTACACCTGGGGCAGATTTACTTCCATGTTAGTCTCTTCTTTATAGTAACATGGAACTATTTTTTTTCTATATGATCTGAATAAAGCCTTTAGTTTTTGCATGATCAATAGCAGTGTTTAAAAAATGTTTGAACTGAGTAATTAGGGTGACAAGAATGTTGACAATACATTAAGATATATAAACCATGGGGAGTGCCTCGTTGAATTTTGTCATTGATCACTGAGGAATTAGCAGATCTCTTCCTCCTTTATTATGGTCCTGAGATGATAATAATGGTTTTTGGCAGAAACAATTGTAACACAAATGAAAAAATCGAATGTATTTTAGCTATATGGCAAGATGTCCAAGATGCCTCAATTTTTGTCTATTTTTATTTTATTTAGTTTCATAAAATCACAAAGTAATAATGCTTATCTATAGTGGGACTATATAAAGAATAATTATGCCCAATCTAAAGTATAATCTTCCATAATCTTCTTCATGCCCATAACAATATGAGCATATGCAGGTGTTTTGTTTTTTTTTATCCAGATAGAATCATACTGTGTTCATTTATTTTGGAGAATTTATTTTGGAGAATTTTGGAGAATTTCTCATGGACATTCATACAAGTTAATCTTAGACATATCTCTTTTTCAGTATAGTTTCTTGTAAACACATGTATTTCACAGAAATGAAACATTATATTGTGTGTGTGTGTGTGTGTGTGTGTGTGTGTGTGTGTGTGTGTGCTTTTTACGTTCAGCCTTTTTTTTTTTCTTTTTTGTTAGTCTCCCTATGGACTTTCTCATCCTTTAAACACGAGGCTTCTCAAGCTAAGTTAGTAAACTGTTGTGTCTCTTTTGGCTTTTATTTGGTCGATGTACTATGCATACAGACTGTATTACGTCAAATCTGAGACGTCATTTTTTTCACATTTTAACATCTCTGAAACTGCAATTTCTTACCATCTGAGATTTAATGAAATAGGGTAGGCAGATGTATGTTTGGGGGCTTTTTCCTTCTTTCTTTGTTTTACAAGAACAAGATTCTGTTTCCCATGCTTTTCTGCATTTTGCTTTCTCTTTTACTTTGTGGAAATCTGTCCAAGACAACTAACTTCACTCTGTTCCTTTTTAAAAACATGATTGTAATATATTCAATATTCCTTTAATGATGGACTACATCTCTTTCCTATATTGTGCTTTTCTCTGCAACAAAAGTGCTTCAATAAGCATCCTATGTACTGATGCTTTTATTTCTTTGAGATAGATTTCAAGGAGTAGTATTTCTCCTATGAAGGATGTTATGCTTTTAATTTTAAAGTGTTACCAGGTTACTTTATGTAATGGTTGTAGCAAGTCAGTCTTGTTTTGGCTACTCATTGCTACATAAAAAACTACCCTAAAGCAGCGGCTAAAAGCAACAATCAATTAAGGACTTTCCCAGTGAATCTTCTTTTGGAGCAGAATTAATTGGGGAATGGTTTGTTTTGGGCTCTACATAGTGTCTGGGCCCAGAGAGGGATGGCATGGATGGCTGGGGGTAAAACAGCGATGGCTGTGGGTAAAACAGTTGAGGGCTGGCCAGACAGCTTTCTCTGTCCATGTATTCTCAGGACCTCTGTGTCACCTCCAAAACAGAGGCCTCTCCAATGTGGCAGTCCCAGAGCTCAGGTGGAAGCAGCCAGGCTTAATGAAACCCAGCCTTGAAACCCCCATATAGTCACTTCCTCCATTTTCTGTTTGTCAAGCAAGTCACTTAAGGCTGGCACAGATTTGAGGGGTGGAGAGCACATATACCCCAAATCCCATTATCAATGAACACAAGAGAACTTTTTTCCTGAATCTTTTCCAGCCTGGATCCCTCTGTAAAACTTTTTGTAAGTATTGTTCATTTGACAGGTAAAAAAACAGGCCATTCATTGTTACTTTTTATATTTTCATGAGTGCAGGGGAAGATGAACGTCTTTCTAGGTTATCTGCCACCAGAATCACCTTTTCTATGAAGTGCTTGTTCATATTTTGCTTATTTTGAGTTGTATATCATTTTTTTGATAATTAGTAGGAGCTTCTTTTTTTTCCTTTTAAAATACCTTCATTGAGATATTAATTCACATATAATACCATTCAACCACTTAAAGTGTACAATTCAATGGCTTTTAGTATACTTACAGAGTTACTATAGATATATATCTATCACCACTATCAATTTTGGAACATTATAATTACCCCCAAAAGAAATCCTTAGCCATCATCTCCCAAGCCCCATTTCTCTAGCTCTAGTCAATGACTTGGAAGACATCATAAAAATTTCTTTTAAATTTCATATGAAACCAAAAAAGGGCCCGTATACCCAAGACAATCCTAAGCAAAAAGAACAAAGCTGGAGGCATCATGCTACCTGACTTCAAACTATACTACAAGGCTACAGTAACAAAACAGCATGGTACTAGTACAGAAACAGATATATAGAACAATGCAACAGAACAGAGGCCTCAGAAATACCACCACACATCTACAACCATTTGATCTTTGACAAACCTGACAAAAACAAGCAATGGGGGAAAAGATTCCCTATTTAATAAATGGTGCTGGGAAAACCGGCTAGCCATATGCCAGACCCCTTTCTTATACCTTATACAGAAATTAACTCAGGATGGATTAAAGACTTAAACATGAAACCTAAAACCATAAAAACCCTAGAAGAAAACCTAGTCAATACCATTCAGGACATAGGCATGGGCAAAGACTTCATGACTGAAACACCAAAAGCAATAGCACCAAAAGCCAAAATTGACAAATGGTATATAATAAACTAAAGAGCTTCTGCACAGCAAAAGAAACTATCATAAGAATGAACAGGCAACCTACAGAATAGGAGAAAATGTTTGCAATCTATCTGTCTGACAAAGGACTAATATCCAGAATCTACAAGGGACTTAAACAAATTTACAAGAAAAAAACAACCTCATCAAAAAGTGGGTGAAGGATATGAACAGACACTTCTCAAAAGAAGACGTTTATTTAGCCAACACACTATGAGAAAAACCTCATCATCACTGGTCATTAGAGAAATGCAAATCAAAACCACAATGAGATACCATCTCATGCCAGTTAGCATGGTGACCATTAAAAAGTCTGGAAACAACAGATGCTGGTGAGGATGTGGAGAAGTAGGAAGGCTTTTACACTGTTGGTGGGAGTATAAATTAATTCAACCATTGTGGAAGACAGTGTGGTGATTCCTCAAGGATCTATGTCCAGAAATACTATTTGACCCAGCAATCCCATTACTGGGTATATACCCAAAGGATTATAAGTCATTCTACTGTAAAGACACATGCACACATATGTTTATTGAGGCACTATTTACAATAGCAATGGCTTGCAGCACTATTTCCAATAGCAAAGACTTGGAACCAATCCAAATGCCCATCAACGAAAAACTGGATAAAGAAAATGTGGCACATATAAACCATGGAATACTATGCAGCCATATAAAAGAATGAGTTCATGTCCTTTGCAGGGACATGGATGAAGCTGGAAACCATCATCCTCAGCAAACTAACACAGGAACAGAAAACCAAACACCGCATGCTCTCACTCATAAGTGGGAGTTGAACAATGAGACCACATGGACACAGGGAGGGAACATCACACAGTGAGGCCTGTCGGGGGGTGAGGGGCAAGGGGAGGGAGAGCATTAGGAGAAATACATAATGCATGTGGGGATTAGGGGCTTAAAACCTAGAAGATGGGTTGATAGGTACAGTAAATCACCATGGCACATGTATACCTACGTAACAAACCTGCACATTCTGCACATGTATCCCAGAACTTAAAGTAAAATAAAAATAAAAATAAAATTTTCTAAACCCATCATCTCAATGTAAAATACCTTCTTGTTCTTATTCTGTTTGTTTTCTTTTTTTAACATAAATTTCAAACATATATCAAAGTAGAAATAAAGTAAAATAGTGAACTTATATGTACATAACACCAACAGTAGAAACTTCTTGTACATTAGAAATGTTACTTTTTTTTTTTTTTTTGAGATGGAGTCTCATTCTGTCACTCAGGCTGGAGTGTGGCATGATCTTGGCTCACTGCAACCTCCACCTCCTGAGTTTAAGCAAATCTTCTGCCTCAGCCTCCCAAGTAGCTGAGATTACAGGTGCCCACCACCACACCTAGCTAATTTTTTTTGTATTTTTTATAGACATGGGGTTTCACCATGTTGGCCTGGCTGGTCTCAAACTCCTGACCTCAAGTGATCCGCCTGCTTTGGCCTCCCAAAGTGCTAGAATTACAGGCATGAACCACTGCGCCCAGCCAGAAGTGTTACTTTTAATCTTATCATACATACTCTGAATATTTTTCCCAATATAATTTTTAAAATTTAAGTGTGTTTTATTCTGCATAATAAAATTTTCTGTGTATTAGAGATAAATATTCCTGTCTATTCTTTAGTAGCTTTAATTTCCTTTGTTGCTGAGGAAAATTGCAACCATTAAATAATTGTACATATATTTAGCATTTTCTTCTAGTATATTTATTTATGTTTGTCTGTATTACTTTTGATTTAACCCAAATCCATCTGGAAATTACACTTTTGTTTTAGTTTCTATAGCTTTTTAAAAAAACAATAGGGCTTTGAACAATATCTTTGAAGCTATTGAGAAAAAACAAAGCCAGAAAGAGTGTGGACCTAATTTGTTTATTTAACACTTATTTATTTAGCACCTATTATGTGTCTAGGACTTTTTAGTTACTGGAGACACAAGGCTAAACAAGACCAGTAAAGTCCCTGTTTCTATAGCTTACCTTCTAGCAGGAGAAAGAAAGATACACAAGTTAACGAAAGAAGCAGAAATGAACTTGGCATTTTCAAGGATAAAAAGATGAGCAGCGTGATTTAGGCATAGTTGGGGGAAGAGCAAAGGGCCAAGAGTTTAGATCAGAGAAGCAGCAGGCAGGGGTCAAATCGCAGAGGGTTTTGTAGGCCATGGTCAGGAGTTGGCTTTTATTTTAAGTATTGTGGGAACCCCAGGAAGTAATGTGGTTTGATTTACATTTTTTAAATGTCTTGTTGACTGCTACAGAGAACATGCTATAGAAAGACAAGAGTGGAAGCAGGGCATCTGTCAGAGTTGTAGGGGTAGATGGTAGAGGCCTCCACAGCAAAGAAGAGGAGCAGATGCTTATAGAGGAGCTTTGGAGATGAAGGTGACAGCACATGTGCGCAATTTGAAATTAAGGGGATTCGGGAGGTTGAGGAAGGTGGCTGTGCTTGTGCCATTTATTGAGACAAGGAATACCAGGAAAGTGATGCAGGATTTCTCTTGGCCACTTTTCCAGTCTTGCTTGGGCCCACACTCACCACAGGAGATACCCCGAGTACTCGGCCCTCCAGGCTGCGCCTTGCTCGCAGTCTGGCACAGATCCTGTGGCCACTGCAACTGTGCGCTCAGCCCCTGGTGGTAGGGGGTGTGCGAGTGAGCAAATGTAGGGTCCGGCTGGCCATTCCAAGCAATGGCACAGGAGCTGGGTCCGTGCAGGGCTTGTGGCTGGACCAGGCATGTTGCAAGCAACTCCCACGGTGGACTGCAGTGTCCAGACAAGGGGAGTGTGGTGGTGCCCAGATAGGGGTGCCTGTGACCCTTGAAGCCCCAGAAGGGGGGTTACAGCATGCTAATTAGCTCTTTTAGTCCTGCTGTCTGCAGCCAGATGGATGGTAGCATGTTAACAGCTCAGTCAGTCCTGTCGCCCCACTCTGGCCCAGGGCTCCAGGGCTGGCTCAGCCATGCTGCTGTTTCCCACCACATAAGGTGGTTGCCCTTCACCAGAGGAGGGCAGGGGGCTACAGTGTTATTGCCTTTTTTGTACGCATGTTTGGTGGATCCTGAGTTCTTGTCTCACATCCAAGAAAAATGACAGTCGAAGGGTGGAAAAGAATTTTATTCAGTGATGAAACAGCTCTCAGCGGAGAGGGGACATGAAGTCAGACTGCCTGAAGTCAGGTGGTCTCTCTTCCTGTGTGGCTGAGTCCAAGGCTTTTATGGGCTCAGGATGGGTGAGTTCATGATGATTGGTTTGTGACTAGGCAAAAATGGTTAAAACAAAGGCACCACTCAAAGATGGGCATGACAGTTTAAAAAAACAATTAGGGAAGGGTAGGTATATGTAAAATGAAAGGTGAGGATCAATCAGAGGAAAGCATGCCAAAGGGTAAGGCAGGTTCTTAATCTGGTTGGTAGATTTGCCTGGGACTGGTAACCAGGCTTTAAATTGTCTTCAGCTTGAAGGTCGGGTTTCACTGGGGACCGACCCCATCTGCCTAGAATTTGTCTGCCTCCTGGTGCTATCAAGAGGACCAGGTTTAGGTGAGGAAGGAAATCACAAGTTCTGTTTCTTTTTTCTTTTTCTTATTGAAGTCAAATTTACATAACATAAAATAAACTATTTTAAAGTGAACATTTAGTGACATTTAGTACATCTAAAATGTTGTGCAACCTCCACCTCTAACTAGTTCCAAAGAATAAAAGTTCTGTTTTGAATGTGTTAACTTTGTGATGTCAAATGCATTCCTTCATTTGGAATCCTGTCATTCAGAGATCTTGGCTGAAGAGGTAAATTTGGAAGTCATGGAGCTCAAAGGATTAAATGGGATTACCAAGGGTTTTAGTGTAAATAGAGAATGTGTCATACAATTGGTATAGGAGAAGGAGTTAATAACAAAGACAGAAAAAAATCCAGTGCATAAGGAAGAAAACTAGAAGGTAGTGTTTTAGAAGCCAAGAGAACAAAGTACCTTGAAGGCTGCTGAGAGCAGGGAAGACCTCATTGGATTTGACAACCTGGAAGTCATCAGTAACCTTGACTCAGGCAGTTTTTTGTTTTTGTTTTTGTTTTTTTTTTTGAGAGGGAGTCTCCCTCTGTCGCCCAGGCTGGAGCCATCTCGGCTCACTGCAAGCTCCGCCTCCCGGGTTCACGCCATTCTCCTGCCTCAGCCTCTGAGTAACTGGGAGTACAGGTGCCCACCACCACACCCGGCTAATTTTTTGTATTTTTAGTAGAGACGGGGTTTCACCCTGCTATCCAGGATGGTCTCCATCTCCTGACCTCATGATCTGCCCGCTTTGGCCTCCCAAAGTGCTGGGATTACAGGCGTGAGCCACCGCGCCTGGCCGACTCAGCAGTCTTTTTTTGTTTGTTTTGTTTTTTGTTTTTTGAGATGGAGTCTAGCTCTGTCGCCCAGGCTGGAGTGCAGTGGCACAATCTCGGCTCACTGCAACCTCTGCCTCCCGGGTTCACGCCATTCTCCTGTCTCAGCCTTGACTCAGGCAGTTTTAAGAGAATGAAAGTGAGATATGTGAGAGTTAAGAGAAATAAATTATGGAGACAGTGAGAACAGATAACGCAAGTCATTTTGCTATGAAATTGTGAAACTGTGGAGATTTGGCCCGGGGTCAAGGGAGTATCTGTTTAAATATAGGGGACATTAGAGTCTATTTGTGTGCTGATGACAGGGGAGCAGCTTGTCATGATATAGAAGGAGAGGGAAAGATTGGAGGCAAAGTCCTTGAGGAGGCACAAAAGACAGAATCCCAGGCAGAAGCAGGGAAGGTGTCCCCATCAGAGCCGGAACACTCTTGCTGAGACAGAAGCATGGCAGAAGAGACCAGTCCAATGCAGGTGAGCTGGCACATTGTATGTTGAGAAGATGAGGGAGTTCCCACCCAATTGTTATTTTTATCAAGAAAATAGGCAGAGTTAAGCAGAATGCCTACTCTTTTTCTAGGCCCTTTGGGAGTTGGGATATGAGAAACAAAAGTAGCTTCTACTTTGAGGGTTGCAGCAAGAAGTGTCATCAGGGCATAGTTAGAGCAGCTAAGTCAAGGAAGTGAACCATTTAAGGAGTAGGGAAATATGCTAATGATGGTGCTTTTAGGAGGCACAGAGGAATTCTCAAGGCATGTGTGCATGGACTGGGGGTACCTATAAAAGGAATGGGAGAATAAGTGTGGGAATGGAATTGTGGTGGTGATGGAGACCTGGCTCTGTCATCATGCAGTGACAGAGTGAAAAGGGATGGCTAGGGTGATGGAAGAGACCCGAGGGTGTCTTGGAAAACAGACCGTTGGTTCAGCTCCCTCCAGGGGCTTTAGCTCAAGATGTGGGAGCACTGAGTGAGATTCTCTCCAGCCAGAGGAGACACCTCCCTGGACTCACAAAGCCGTGATACACTTTTTTTAAAAAAATTATTTTATTTATTTACTTTAAGTTCTGGGATACATGTGCAGAATGTGCAGTTTTGTTACATAGGTATACATGTGCCATGGTGGTTTGCTGCACCCATCAACCCGTCATCTAGGTTTTTTTTTTAAGACAGAGTATCACTCTTGTTGCCCAGGCTGGAGTGCAATGGCACAATCTTGGCTCACTGCAACCTCTACCTCCCGGGTTCAAGTGATTCTCCTGCCTCAGCCTCCCAAGTAGCTGGGATTACAGGCATGTGCCACCACACCCAGCTAATTTTGTATTTTTAGTAGAGGAGGGGTTGGTCATGTTGATCTTGAATTCCCAACCTCAGGTGATCCTCCCACCTTGGCCTCCCAGAGTGCTGGGATTACAGGCATGAGCCACTGTGCCTGGCCTGTCATCTAGGTTTTAAGCCCTGCATGCCTTAGGTATTTCTCCTAATGCTGTCCCTTCCCTTACCCCCGCAACCCCCGACAGGCCCTGAGGTGTGATGTTCCTCTCCCTGTGTCCATGTGTTCTCATTGTTCGGCTCCCAATTATGAGTGAGAACATGTGGTGTTTGGTTTTCTGTTCCTGTGTTAGTTTGCTGAGGATGATGGTTTCCAGCTTCATCCATGTATCTGCAAATGACATGAATTTTTATGGCTGCATAGTATTCCATGGCATATATGTGCCGCATTTTCTTTATCCAGTCTATCATTGATGAGCATTTGGGTTGGTTCCAAGTCTTTGCTATTGTAAATAGTGCTGCAATAAACATACGTGTGCATGTGACTTTATAGTAGGATGATTTATGATCCTTTGGGTATATACCCAGTAACGGCATTGCTGGGTCAAATGGTATTTCTGGTTTTAGATCCTTGAGGAATCGCCACAATGTCTTCCACAACGGTTGAACTAATTTACACTCCCACCAACAGGAATGTAAAGGCATTCCTATTTCTCCACAGCCTCGCCAGCATCTGTTTTTTTCCTGACTTTTTAATGATCGCCATTCTAACTGGCATGAGATGGTAAAAGCTGTGATACACTTTTTAAGGGCACCTGACTTTTTGGAGCTCAGCAGTGCAAGCTATGCAATCTCCCAGGGTTCCTAAGTTCCTCAACTATGACATGGAATGGTCTCTCAGGTCCTTTCCACTCCTAAGACCCTGGATTTTAAAAAATTGTTTGCTAAGGGACCACCTTTGTGCAGTTTGAAATACTGCACTGGACTACAAATAGAACTCAAACATATCAATGTCTCTGGCTACTTTTGGTTAAAATTCAATTTCGTTAGTATAAATAATGTTTTGAAGGCAGTGTTGTGTGATGAAAAGACAACAGGAGTTTGGGAATCATATACATCTGATTAAATCTAAATCCCACCCCTTACCAGCTATGCAACCCTGGGCATGTTAAACCTCTTTTCATAAACCTCAAGCCTCAAGCCTCATTTCTCTCTTATAAAATAGTTAAGAATACTAAATGAGAAATTTGGAAAGCCCGTGGCACATAATGAAGGTGAGTTTGCTTGCCTCTTCTGTTTTGAACACGAAAGTCTAAAGATACATTTGTTAAAAACAGGATGGAAATAAAGAGCAAGTGGGACAGAAGGAATAACTAGAAAAAAAGGTAATGGGATATTCTCAAATGAGTTTGAAAGGGGTGAAGGTGGAGCAAGTGGAGCTATGAGGGCGGCTGCCAGAACAGAGGTAGGAGGATGAGTAATAGGCCCAGGGAAGCATGAAGGAAGAGGCATTGAAGAGGCAATTGTGCAGAGGAAGCTAAACATACACATATATTTCAAACCATGGCAATTCATTTGGGAAAGTGAAATTGAAACGGGGTCTATGCAAAATATTAAGGCTGGAGTAACCCATGCAAGAAAGGGAGGTCTGATCAGGATACACACTTGAGTTCCAAGTCAGAGTGACCTCTGTACGGGGGGAGAATTAGGAGCGAGCTGAGAGCAAAACTTCATAACAGGCCTGAAGATACAGGGCTTGGCAGTCAGATGACTGCAAGGCAAGCGGCCTTCAGGTGGGCTCCCGTGGAGCTGCTGAAATGAATTGGATTATGATGTTGGATAATCTTAAGTAAATATATTCATAATTGCTCTGAATATGAGGATTACAGCATGGCTTCTAGTTTGTCTTCTAAAAAACGAGAAATTATCTTGATCGTTGTTGCTGTTGCATTTTACCTATCAGAACCCCGTGATAGTCTGTCGTCATAGTTTTGGAGTTCAAAAGGGGAGTGCAAACCTTGTTGAACCTCTACTTCCATCCTACAGTCATAAAGCCTAAAGTAGAGCAGATCTAAAAAGCGCCATGGCTCACAGGCTCTGCACCCTAGAGGATGAACGGGACGTGCAATGGCAGTAGCCACCTGGAGGGAAGAGAGTGTTCCTAGGGAATTCTTGGTGGGATGGTGCATGCTCTAATCATGTGCTTTTAATAGAAGACCCTCTGAGAAGATAGCTGTCCTACACAAACAGCCTATCACTTGCACACAGTAGAGGCAACTAGGATCCCCCTCTCCACTCTGGGTTTCAGAGCCCAGTGAAAACATCAGAACTTTTGCACTTATGCAGTGATAGCTTCCAAATGAAGCCCAGGTCTCATGTTAAAGGGTGGCTTATGAAACCCCGGGGGAGGTGGATAACAGGAAAGAAAAACAGTAAGGTTTCAGTGAAGGAAGGCAAGTATGTGCTAATAGGAGAAGGTGAGAAAGGCTAATGAGATGTCTAATTCAAAGAATGACCTCATCCAAGCCCTAAGATGTGTGCCTGAACCTGCACTTTAGGGCTACAAATAGAAAGGAAGGGAGCCACTGGTACCAAATATTCTGTGAGGCTTTGGGGCACAGGCAGTACTTGGCTGCCATCTCAGCATGTTGAGAAACAGGCAGCAAGAGAAGCAGCCGCAAACTCTGCCCAGATCCCAGGGTGGCACCAGCTTCCCGGAGACCTCAGAGGTCCCTGCCTAGCTCTAGCCTTAGGAAGAGGCCTAGGGGGCATATATTGGACACTTGCATTTGCCACCAAGTTGATCTAAGTTGGAAAGAAAAACATGATGGGTGCTTTAAGGAGGTTGTGTGACTTGTTTTTGAGTTACCACTGAGTGCCTCAAAAATTACTGGGGAGAGGAAGAGTGGATTTTACAGAGGTCTCAAAGTCCCCACATAATAATTAGAGGCAAGTTTCAGTGAACAATTTTTGTGCATTTTAAAAAATTTGCTTTTTCTGCTTTGCTTTTAAGCTATAAGTTCTTTTAAAACACCAGTGTATGTGACACCAATGACATCATAATGCTTGAAATATTATTTTACTGATCAAAATTCTTATTCAAAAGAAATTTTAATCCTCATGCAAAGTACTTGGGGCTTTGTTTGCTGTCAATGAATAGACATGTGCACACTTCTGATAGAAGAACCGCAAAAACAAAGTTCCATTTTACTCTTTGGCCTAGACAATAGCTCTAAGCGATTTTATAAGAGCAGGACTGTAAGGACAGTCAGAATTTCACCTCATTAAAAAAACTTGTAAAAGATATACTTTAGTTCTTTAGGGTGGTATGAGGTGAGTGGAGAACAGTGTTAGGAGCTATGAGGGTTGAGCCTGTGGAGGTTTTAGAGTCAAAAGATTTTCCTACTTAAATATTCTGAGCCTCAGTTTTCTTATCTGTGAAATGGGAATAGTAACATTACTCAGCCTTGTAGAGTTATTGTGAACAATTAAGTGAAATTGTATATTTAAAGTGCCATTATGGGGCTTGACCCAAGTAAGTGGTGCGTAAGTATTAACCGTCATGGCGTAATTCCAAAGCCTTTGGAACTGTCCTTGATTAAAGCTGTGCAGAAATTGATGAACTCTTTGGCCTGTAGTGATCAAACGTATAGTCAGTTCACTCACTGCCCCTCAAGTTAGCGATTTCCATACTAAATATGCCTGCAGTTCTTAAACATAGTCTACTCCATATCCATCCATCTTCTCTGGTTTTTGGGTTTAGTGTCAATCTTCTGTGGTCCCCTTGGAAATTGCTCTGATTGAGATAAAGGGAAATAATGTATAGGAAAGCATGGAGATCTGGTTCGGTTCTTTTGCTTCTATAAGTGGCAACAGCAGATTGCTCAGAGAAATTCCTTCTTCTTTGGTGGGGTCCTATCCCTTCAGGGGACTGTGGGGACACCAGCTTGTTTTCTCTTACTCTCCTAACTTTGCATCTATGTTCACGAGAGGTATTAGTCTATAGTTTTCTTTTCTTTGAATGTCATTGTCTCACTTTAGAATCAGAATGACGCTGACCACATTAAGTACATGGCGAAGTGTTCCTCTGGATACTACCTTAATGACATCCCACAAATTTTGGTATGTTATATTTTCATTTATGTTCAGCTAAAAATATTTGCTAATTTTCCTAGAAGTTTCCTCTTTGGATCGTGGATAATTTAGAAGTGTGCTGTTTCCTTTCCAAAGGTTTGGAATTTTCTGTTGTCTTCCTGTTATTGGTTTCTAGTCTAGTTATATTAGGATCTGAGAGCACACTCTGTGTGAGTTCAGTTCTTTTAAATGTGTTAAGGTTCATTTTAAAGTCAAGGATGGGGTCTATCTTGGTGAATGTTCTTGTGCTCTTGAGAAGAATGTGCACTTTGCTGCTATGGAGTGAAGTGTTCTGTAAGTGTCGATTATGTCCAGGTTTTTGATGATGGTGTTCAGTTTTTCTATATTATTGCTGATTTTTCCGGTAGTTCTATTTGTTACTGAAATAAGAGTGTCTAAATATGCAATGATAATTGTAGATTTGTCCATTGCTCCTTCAAGTTTTGTCAGTTTTTCTTTTTGTACTGTGAAGCTCTATTGTTAGGTGTATACCCATTTGGGATTATAATGTCTTCTTGCAGCATTGAACTTTTTATGATTCTGAAATGTCTCTCTCGATCCTTGTTGGGATTTTCTTTGCTCTGAAAGTTGTTTTGTCCGATATTAATAGCTGCACTCCAGTTTTCTTCTTGTGTTCTTCTATTTGTTCTATTCAATGAGTTTTCTGCTGTCATATTTTGTATGTCATTTTAAAATTTAAATTTTATTGTCATTAAATTGTCATTTTGTAATTCTTTATATAATATTTTTTGTTGTTTTTAGCTTTCTATTGATTTTAATTGTGTTCATGATTGTTTGTTGGAGTATCTGTAATAATAATAATAAATAATTGCTTTCAAGTCCTTTTTTTTTTTAAGAGATGGGTCTCACTCTGTTGTCCAGGCTGTAGTACAGTGGTGCAATCACAGGACACTGCAGCCTTGAACTCCTGGGCTCAAGTGATCCTCCCACCTCAGCCTCCTGAGCAGCTGGGATCACAGATCTGCACCACCACGCTCAGCTAATTTTTAAATTTTTTGTAGAGATGGGGTCTTGTCATGTTGCCCAGGCCTCAAACTCCTGGGCTCAAGTGATCCTCCTGCCTTGGCCTCCCAAAGTGCTGGGATTACAGGTGTAAGCTACCACATCTGGCTGCTTTCAAGTCTTTATTAGATAATTCTAAATCTTTGTTACCTTAATATTGGTACATGTTGATTTTCCTTTTGATATTTTCCCAGATCTTTAAATGGCATGTAATTTTGGTTTGTATTTTAGGCATTTTAAATATTATGAGATGTGGGGGCCTTTTAAAATTATTATGAATATGTGGATATTTTTGTTTTAGGAGGCAATTGACCAGGTCCGAGTTCAGGCTGCAAGTTCTAACCCACCTTCTATGACCTCCAATTCCAATGTCAGCTAGACTTTGAGATTATTTCCATGTATTCTGTGTGTACACCAATCATTGTTCTCTCTGGGACCCCAGGTTAACTCCACTTTTGAAGTTTTCTGTATACCGATTATGATCAGATTCATGTATGTACTACTTAGGGGTGAGCCCACGTGTTTATAAGCAAATTTCTAGGATTGCTTTGCTGAGCTTCTCCATGTCTGGTACTTTTTTATTTTCTAGGGCTCCTCTATTTGGTCCTACAGCCAGAAAGCTGGGGCTTTATTTAACCTACACTCTCAGAAACTTTTGCAATTGCATCCACATCTGGGGTCAAGTGGTGAAAGGACAGAGACACAGGGGAAAAAAAGCCACTGGAGTTCTCTGATTGGAGGGGAAAATTTCCTCACTTAGAGATTTGGTTCAAACCATCTTCTGTGGTGGCTTCTGCCACTGTCCCCAAAGGATTGCTTCAAGGCTGTGGTATAAGAGATCATATGGCAGAATAAAAGCTTATTGGTATCTGCATTCTCTGGGCATTACGAGTTTCTTTTTTCTACTCTGTGTGCTAGTATTAGAGGGCCACTCCTAGATTTCTTTCTTTATCTAAGTGTCCATTTCCAGGTTTCATGCTAGATTTTTGTATTCAGATCAGGGAAAAATGGTGCCAGATTGATAGCAGCTTAAATTCTATGCTTCTCCCATGACCTGACTGATCTTATTACCTTCTCAGAGTTCTTATATAGTTGTTCCAACTTGATAATTTCCATACTGAACACACCTGCATTGTCGAACATTCCTTGCCTTCTGTCCAGCTCTTATATTTGCATTTAGCTGGAAAGACAAGGTGGAGCAGGCATACTCCATTTTACCCAGCACCAGAGCACACAATTATCTCTTAGAGCAATTAAAAATACGTAAAAAAACCAAATTTTATATTTCCTTTTTTTTTTTTTTTGAGATGGAGTCTTGCTCTGATGCCCAGGCTGGCGTGCAATGGCACGATCTCGGCTCACTGCAACTTCCACCTCCTGGGTTCAAGTAATTCTCCAGCCTCAGCCTCCCGAGTAGCTGGGACTACAGGCATTAGCCACCACACCTGGCTAATTTTTGTATTTTTAGTAGAGATGGGGTTTTGCCACGTTAGCCAGGCTGGTCTTGAACTCCTGACCTCAGGTGATCCACCCACCTCGGCCTCCCAAAATGCTGGGATTACAGGCATGAGCTTTAGCTTTAGCTTTAGCACCGTGCTTTCAGTGCTCTTTAATTTTTGTGTAGGCACAAGTTTATGTCAGATAATATATTTCTTCTGCATAACTTTAACATTTCATTTAGTGCAATTCTACAGAAAATGACTTTCAGTTTTTGTTAGTCTAAAAAATTCTTTATTTTCTCTCTGCAGTTTTGAAATAACTTTTTCTACTTTTTCTTTGTTTTTCAGTTTGGGTGATTTCTATTTACCTATATTCAAGTTCATTGATTGTTTTCCTCAGCTGTGCTGAGTCTCCTAATGAGCCCATTGAAGGTAGTCTGCATCTGTGTTACTGTGTTTTATTTCTAGTATATATTTTTTCAGCCATACTGAGGTATAATTGACAAATAAAAATTCTATAAACTTAAGGTATACAATGTGATGTTTTGATATACATGTAGATATTGCAAAATGATTATCATAATTAAGTTAATTAATATATCCATCCTGTCACATAGTTATGAGTGTGTAGTGAGAACATTTAAGGTCTATTCTCTTAGCAGATTTCAAGTACATAATACAGTATTATTAACTATAACCATCATGCTGTATATCAGATCTCCAGAACATGTTCATTGGGCATAACTAAAGCTTTGTACCCTTTGACCTACATCACCCCATTTTCCCCACCTCAGTCCCTGGCAATCACCCTACACTCTGCTTCTATGAGTTCAGCTTTTTAGATTCTACATATAAGTGACATCATGCAGTATTTTCATTCTGTGCCTGGCTTATTTAGCATAATGTCCTCCAGGTTCATCTATGTTGTCACAAATGGTATGATTTCCTTTTAAGGATGAATAATATTCCATTATATGTGTGTGTATATACATACACACATATACACACCTATATATATGTGCTTATCTATATATCTCTCTATATATGTTCCCTTTTCTTTACCCATCTATTTATTGATAGATACTTAAGTTGATACCATGTCTTGGCTATTGTGAATTATGTTGCAATGAACATGGTAGTGCAGATATCTCTTTGAGATGGTGATTTCCTTTTCTTTGGATGTATACCCAGAAGTGGAAGTGGAATTGCTGGATCATATGGTAGTTCTATTTTCAATTTTTTGAGGAACCTCCATACTGTTTTCTGTAATGGCTATACCAATTTACACTCCCACCAACAGTGTATGAGAGTTCTCTTTTCTCTACATCTTCTCCAACACTTGTCTTTGTCTTTCTAGTAATAGCCAGTCTAACAGGTATGAGGTGATAGTTCATTGTGATTTCCTTGTGCATTTCCGTGATGATTAGTAATGTTGAACATTTTTATATAACTTGGCTATTGGTATGTTTTCTTTTGAGAAATGTCTATTCATGTCCTTTGCCAATTTTTACATCAGGTTTTTGTTTTTTTGCTACTCAGTTGTATGTACTTTGGGATATTAGCCACTTATACATGGTTTGCAGATATTTTCTCCTTTATGTAGATTGCCTTTTCAGTTCATTGATTGTTTCCTTTGCTGAAGCTTTTCAGTTTGATACAGTCTTATTTGTCTATTTTTGCTTTTGTTGCCTGTGCTTTTGGTGCCATATCCAAAAGTCATTGCCCAGACAAATGTCAAGAAGCATTTTTCATATGTTTTCTTCTATCAGTTTTATAGTTTCGGGTTTATGTTTAGGCGTTTAACCCATTTTGGGTTTATTTTTGTATATGATGTAAAATAATGGTTTAATTTCATTCTTCTGCATGTGGATATTTAGTTTTTCCAAAACCATTTATTGAAGAGTCTGTCCTTTCTCTATTGTGCATATGTGACATCTTTGACAAAGATAAATTAACTAAATGTGTGAATTTATTTCTGGGCTCTCTGTTCTGTTCCATTAGTCTATATGTCTGTTTTTATGCTAGTACCATGCTGTTTTTGTTACTATAGCTCTGTAGTATATTTTGAAGTCAGATAGTCTGATTCCCCCAGCTTTGTTCTTTTTGTTCAAGGTTGCTTTGACTATTTGGGGGTCTTTTGTGGTTCAAGAATTTTCCTTGATTTTTTTTGGTAAATATTTCACATTATATAAATTTTATTCTTTTCAGTAATTTTTAGTTATATTTACAGATTCTTAAATCATTACCACTGTCTAATTTTAAAATATTTTCATCAGCCCAAAAGGAAACCTTGAACCCATTAGCAATCACTTCTTTTTTTTTTTTTAAAGAGTTTAAGGAAAGAATATATTTGAACCACATAAACAAACAAAAAGGTATTACATAAGAAAAAATAATGTAACAATTTATGTAAGTACCTAACATATGAGCATGCTCTTACATCTAAAACAAAAGATAAAAAGTAACATTAGTACTACATATATATATATATATATTTGACAAGTGTGCATTAAATAATTCTCTAATATAAAAACATTTAAAATGTGGAGAATACTTTTTCAAGATACAGAAAACAACTGTTATGATAGGCACAATCACAATTCTTATAAAAACATGCTTGCAAGGATAAAATCCACCTGAACACTCATTTTTCACATGTACCAATGCTATAAAAGTGTTAAGCACTGAATATTGCCACCCATTTTTGCAATGTTTGAGTTTCAACACCGATTGGTATGAATTCTGAATTACACAATTAATTACTGTTATTTTTCAGTCTTTCTGCCATGTTCCATATAGAAGGCATCTATTTAATATGAATACTTAAAACAGCAACATTATTTGTAGCAAAGTCACTTCCCTGTGTTCATTTTTCCTTTAAAGGCATTATATTTAGAAAACAGTTATTACAACAAATAGTGCTTTAGAAGATCTGAATCTCCAAATCAATGTGCTCCATGAACGGTAAGTAGATCTAAGAAGCCCTGAGTGAAAAGAACACAAATGTAAAAAGCTGATAAATTTAAAGATTATAAAATTGGTTTATTATAAAAACAATTCAAGAATACCCAGTTAAAATCTTATCCCAATGCTACCCAACACAACCAAGAAGCAGTTAATCACTTTTACATCAGGAACAAGGACATAAAACCAGATACCACATCAAGGCTGTGATTCAAACTCAAAAAGAGAAAGGACTGTTAGGTCTCCTTCAGGTCAGTACAGAAAGTATCGTAATATCAAAGTACTGCTACAACACTGAGGTATAACTGGGCAAATTAAAGTCGAGGAGAAATGAAGATCTCCATATTCTTGTTTTGTGGGTGTACTTAAGTGATTTAAATTCTAGGAACAGCTGCCTTTAATGACAGCAAGATGTAAGACAAGTCTTTATTAAAGAGAAAGAAGTTTATAAGGTTCTTTATCATGGCCCCCCTAAATCTTCACAACCCCCCAAACCTTCCCACCCTCCCCTTAAGCTAAAGTTACTCTGCTGATATATAAGATATAATCTTAATTTGTGGCTACTGGCAAATTATAGGCACTCCTTCCAAGAAGCTTTGATCTTCTGCACATTAAAAAAAAATCCCAACCACATGCTGTATAATTCATATACCCAATTTTGCATTCTAGGTAGAATTTCATTATTACTCTAAAACTCCATCTGCACAGTGGCCATTTCCTCCCAGACTTAATTCAAGATTTAATCTTTCTGCTGTTTTCTTAATAAAAGCCTTAGAGTCAATTATTATGAGTGATTGGCCTATGAACTATTATATACAACACAGTGACTGCATTTTTTTGAGCACTGGAAGTACTTAAAATAAAATTTCTTACTTCCAACTTTTGCACTCCTGCAAAATGAAGGGCCAAAATACTTAGATTTTGTAACTGGGGGAAAAAAATCTATCTTCCCAAGCTGAGGCTTTTCATAGCAGCTTTTGCCAGGAGAAGAGATTTTATGTCTGTTATAAACCCTTGAAAATAAGGGCTTATTCTAGAAATATTGGAAGACCGTTAAAACATAGAGGTGCTAGCCGGTGCCAATTTAATTCACAACCAACTTTTACTTCATAGCTTATATTGAAGAGTTAATTCATGCTCATTTTGTTCCTTTAAAAAATATTCTTTGGGGCCGGGTGCGGTGGCTCACGCCTGTAATTCCAGCACTTTGGGAGGCCGAGGCAGGTGGATCACGAGGTCAGGAGATCCAGACCATCCTGACTAACATGGTGAAGCCCTGTCTCTACTAAAAATACAAAAATTAGCTGGGTGTGGTGGCATGTGCCTGTAATCCCAGCTACTCGGGAGGCTGAGGCACAAGAAGCACTTGAACCCAGGAGGCAGAGGTTGCAGTGGGCAGAGGTTGCGGTGAGCCGAGATTGCGCCACTGCACTCCAGCCTGACGACAGAGCGAGACTCCATCTCAAAAACAAAAACAAAAACAAAAACAAAAACAAAAAACAAAAAACTCTTTGGAAACTGTTATCATTCCTGTAGACACATACTCTAGTTACATAATCTCTTCCTGTAAAAATAAAGGTATAATCATGATTATCTGTATTTCCTTGCTAAATTCAACTATCAATATACATTTATTAATCTGATCACTTTTCCAGCTAACTCATGACCTTATAATATTCTATCCAGGGTCAATTTTCACCACAGAAGTAGGAGCAAGTCTTATAAGTAAGAACAATCTTGAAGGCAATATTTTAATCTAGTCTTTAATGTGTTCATTACAAATGAGAACTACAAACTAGAACTTACTTTCAAAACTAAGGCAAAGGTAAACTTCCAAAGCTAAATGAAGGTAAACCACTATAAAGCTTATTTCTGTCATGGACATTATGAACCTACTCAGTGATTTCCAACCAAGACATAAAAATTAGTCCAAGGGAGTCCAAGGGAGAAAATAAAGCCATTTCTGGTTTGCTCCTTTCCAATTCATCAGATAATACCTATCATATGCCCAGAGGGCGTGGAGCACTCCCCTAGACACTATCCATAGTAATAGCTCTTTCTAGAACACTAAACTACTTCAAATATCTGCGGACTGCCCCAACCAGATTTAAACTACCAGTGAAATATAAACTACTCGCCACGTATTCTAAATGTATACAAAGCGCTACCATTTTAAAAATTAACTGGAAAGCAGGGAAACCTAACAAAAGGATACATTCTGCTACCACACTCTTATAAATGTTATATTTGTGTGTGTGTATATGTATATAAAAGAGAGAGCAGATAATCAAGATTTAAATAAGGTGGTAAAAAACCAGGAAATGAAGATTTTACCAAAACAACTACAATAACCACCACAAGCTACAACTATGAACAGATTCACTAATATGGTCATTTGCCTAGGTTCCGACAAAACCACGTCATTAAGGACATCAGAACTCAGAGTTTCCTGCAGACTTGGCATCATCTCCTCTCCTTCTGTGTTCATTCCATCTCCTTCCAGTGTTCCAAGGTCCACTTTTGTCCCAGGAATGGCTTCCAGGTAGTCTGGGAAATGGTCCTGCTGTGAGGGCAAGGTGCTTTGGTTGATAGTATCACCTGTATCCATCTCATCCACGTTGTTCAGGAAGTCATCTGCGGTGCAAGGGTCACTAGCTGCCCATGCTTAGTCCACTGTCTGTACTCTCATCTCGAGAGTGATAGGTGCCACGGTTAAGGAAAGGATCTGAGCTATTGGCTGTCCTTGTTCTCAATTCCTGAGACATCCTGGGAGAAGACACTGGATTTTGAGTCCCACCGTCCTGCTCCAGTGTTGGTAACTGGCTACGCAGTGCTAACTCCTGCTGAAGCAGTTATTGCTGTTTCAGCTGCAGCCTCTCCTCCATCTGCAGTTGCTGTGGTCGCATCTGTCGCTGCTGGTTGGAGTTGCTGCCACCATGACGCCTCCTTGTGGGCTCTGGGGAACCAGGGGTGGTGGCTGTTTCACTGGAGCACTCTGATTCTCAGGTTCCTGGCAAAACGAGTGTCAAGCCTTGGGTCTAGCCAAGAGGCGGTCTTGTTCTTATGGTTTATACAGTAAATTTATCCATCCTGAGTCATGGCTTGTTCCCATCCATCAGGAAGACGACCTGAGGCCGAGTTCATCATATTCTGCTGCACTGGTGGATTGGCTATAACATTCATCTGAGACAGCATGGTCTTCCTGGGGGTCCTGCTGTGTTGTTTTCTGATCGATGTGATTTAAGAAGTATCTCTGACCAGAAGATGTCTTCGCCATCTCCCGAGCTGCTGGTAGAGGTACATCATCAGGTATCTCAAAAGAAGACTGTTGAAAATGCTGAGCTGTGGGTGTAGCTGCTGGGCCAGAAACTACTCCAGTGGGGGTCAGTGTCCCAGGAGAAACAGCTCCCAACTGCAGAGAAGCTGGAGAGGAATGAGCTCGAACGTGCTGTGGAGTCAGGGCTCCTGCGGTGCCTGCCTCAGTACTGACCCGTTGGGAGTTGGACTTGGGCTCGGGCGGCTTGAAAGAGTCGGGCAGCTTCCGGAGCCTCATGGGCATGGTCTGGTGCACGTTGGCCATCTTGGGGTTCATGAAGGCGTTGAAGAGCGCCTCCAGGTTCCTCTCCCAGTCCCCGCGGGCGTGCAGGATCTGACGCCCGGTGGGGGTTGCCTGTGGCGCCGCCTGGGTCGCCGTGGGCGCCGGGTGCCCTGGTCTGGACCGCGGGCCCTGCCCCTGGGGGGCGCTGCGCCGGTGGCTGCCCTTGGCCCTGGGGGGCCGGTTGAGGCAGTTGCTGCTGCCCGGGATCCATGGCTTCTCCCACCCCTGACACGCACTCCCTGACCAGGCGAGCGAGGGCTCCACCTGGATGCCCAGCCAGCATCATTCACCACCAGTAAGGGCCAATGCTTTCTGTCAGACTGGACAACAGCATCATCAAATCTGTCTAATCAGACGTTTGGCATCAAAAATCGTGTCGGTGGGGTTCATTGCAAGTTGATTCTTTGTGGCATCACCAATCAGTCGTTCAGTGTCTGTAAAGGCGACATAGCTTGGAGTGGTTTGGTTTCCTGATCATTGGCAATTACCCCCACTTTTCCGTGCTGGAAAACACCCACACAAAAGTAGGTGGTGCCAAGATCAATACCAGCTGCAGGTCCCTTCGACATGGTTCCTGGTGTCTAGGCCTGGCTCCCACTATGAAGAAAGACACAGAAACCCCAAGAGCTGCAGGCGAGTTCAGTGAGACCCAATATTTATTTATTTATTTATTTATTTATTTATTTATTTATTTATTTTTGAGACAGGGTCTCCCTCTGTTGCCTGTCACCCAGGCTGGAGTGCAGTGGTGCAATCTCGGCTCACTGCAACTTCCACCTCTGGGTTCAAGCGCTTCTCCTGCCTCAGCCTCCTGAGTAGCTGTGGCCACAGGCACGTGCCAGCATGCCCGGCTAATTTTTTTGTATTTTTTAGTACAGACAGGGTTTCACCATGTTTCCCAGGCTGGTCTTGAACTCCTGGCCTCAAGTGATCTGCCCACCTTGCCCTCCCAAATTGCTGGGATTACAGGCATGAACCACCACGTCCGGCCTATATTTATTTTTTAAATCTATTTTCCTGATCTCTGCCTTTTGAATGCAGTGTTTAGTTCATTTTTATTCACATAATTACCGACAATTAGTTGAAATTCCCTATTTGTTCATGCATACCTTCTGTTTTTTTTCCCTAAAGCCTTTACAATATCAATAATAGTATTTTAAATTCCTTGTCTGATAGTTTTCACATGTGGATCCCATTATAATCTGGTTCTATTGATATATTTTTTTGTTGAAAAAGGGCTTTTTTTAAGCAAGCAGATTTAACAATTGTAAACATATATCCACTCAACAGTGGAGCACCCACATAAATAAAGCAAATATTATTAGAGCTAAAGAGAGAGATGGACCTTAACACAATAATAGCTGGGAACTTCAACATCCCACTTTTAGCATTGGACAGATCATATAGACAGACTGTCAATAAAGAAACATCGGACTTAATCTGCACTAGAGACCAAATGGATCTAATGGATATTTACAGAGCATTTCATACAATGGCTACAGAATATACATTCTCCTGAGCACGTGGATCATTCTCAAGGATAGATCGTATATTAGGCCACAAAACAGGCCTTAAAACATTGAAAAAAAGGAAATAATATCAGGCATCTTCTCTGACCATAATGGAATAAAACTAGAAATTATTAACAAGAGGAATTTTGGAAACTATACAAACACATGGAAATTAAACAATATGCTCCTGAATGACTACTGAGTCAATAAAGAGATTAAGAAGAAAATTGAAAAATTTCATGAAATAAATGATAATGGAAACACAACATACCAAAACCTATGGGATTCAGCAAAAGCAGTATGGAGAGGGTAGTTTATAGTTTTAAGTGCCTAAATCAAAAAAGAAGAAAAACTTCAAATAAACAACCTAATGATACATCTTAAAGAACTGGAAAAGCAAGAGCAAATAAAACCTAAAGTTAGTAGAAATAAAGAAATAATAGAGATCAGATCAGAAATGAATGAAATTGAAACAAAAAAATACAAAAGATCAACAAAACAGAAAGTCGTTTTTTGAAAAGATAAACAAAAATGGACAAATCTTTAGCCAGACTAACAAAGAAAAAAAGAGAGGAGACCCAAATAAATAAAACTAGAGATGAAAAAAAAGAGACATTACAATGGATGATGCAGAAATTCAAAGGGTCATTAGAGTCTACTATGACCAAGTATATGCTAATAAATTGGAAAACCTAGAAAGCATACATAAATTCCTAGATACATACAGTCTACAAAGATTGAACCATGAAGAAATTGAAAACCTGAACATACCAATAACAAGCAACAAGATCAAAGCCGTAATAAAAAGACTTCTATCAAAGAAAGCCCTGGACCCAATGGCTTCACTGCTGAATTTTACCAAGCATTTAAAGAAGTACTAGTACCAATCCTATTTAAGGTATTCTGAAAAATAGAGGAGGAGGCAATACTTCCAAACTCATTCTACAAGGCTAGTATTATGCTTATACCATAACCAGACAAAGACACATCCAAAATAAATAAATAAATAAACAAAACTACAGGCCAATATCTCTGATGAATATTGATGTAAAAATTCTCAACGAAATACTAGGAAACCCAATTCAACAATACGTTAGACAAATTATTCATCATGACAAAGTGAGATTTACCTCTGGTATGCAAGGATAGTTCAAAATATGTAAATCAATCAACATGATACCACATATCATCATAATGAAGGATAAAAACCATATGATCATTTTAATTGATGCTGAAAAAATATTTGATAAAATTCAACATCCCTTCATGATTAAAAAAAACTGAAGATAGAAGGAACATAACTCAATATAATAAAAGCCATATATGACAGGCCCACAGCTAGTATCAAACAGAATGGGGTCTGTAAGATTTGGAAAAAAACAAGGATGCCCACTTTCACCATTGTTATTCAACATAGTACTGGAAGTCCTAGCTATGGCAATCAGACAAGTGAAAGAAATAAAAAATATCCAAATTGGAAAGGAAGAAGTCAAATTATCCTTGGTTGCAGATGATATTATCTTATATTTGGAAAAACCTAAAAACTCCACCAAAACACTATTATAACTGATAAATTCAGTAAAGTTGCAGAATACAAGATCAATGTACAAAAATTAGTAGCATTTGCACATGCCAAGAGTAAGCAATTTGAAAAAGAAATCAAGAAAGTAATCTCATTTACAATTGTAACAAATAATAGTAAATACCTAGGAATTAACCAAAGAAGTGAAAGAGCTCTACAATGTAAACTGTAAAACACTGATGAAAGAAATTGATGAGGATACCAAAAATGGAAGGGTATTCCATGTTCATGGATTTGAAGAATCAATATGTTAAAATGTCCATACTACCCAAAGTAATCTCTATTCAATGCAACCCCTATCAAAATACCTATTATATTCTTCACAGAAGTAGAAAAATATAGTCCTAAAATTTATATGGAACCACAGAAGACCCAGAATAGACAAGCTATTCTAAGCAAAAAGAACGAAACTGGAGGACTCATATTACCTGACTTCAAATTATACTACAGAGATATAGTCACCAAAATAGCAAGGTACTGGCATGAAAGCAGACCCATAGAACAATGGAACAGAATAGAGAACCCAGAAACAAATGATCCATCTACACTAACCTCATTTTCAACAAAGGTGCCAGGAATATATACATATATATATATATTGGTGGAAAGAACAGTCCCTTCAATAAATGGTGCTGGGAAAACTGGCTATCCATATGCAGAAGAGTGAAACTAGACCCCTAATTCTTGCTGTATATAAAAATAAAAATGGATTGAAGACTTAAATATGTGTCCACATACTATGAAACAACTAAAATTAAACATCGAGGAAACTCTTTAGTTTTTGTTTTTGTTTTAGTTTTTGTGTTTTTTTTCCCACAAAAAGCACAGGCAGCCAAAGCAAAAATGAACACATAGGATCTCATCAAGTTAAAAAGCTTCTGCACAGCAAAGGAAACAAACAACAAAGTGAAGAGACAGAATGGGAGAAAATATTTGCAAACCACCCAACTGACAAGGGATTAATAACCAGAATATATAAAGAGCTCAAACAATTCTCTAGGAAAAATATCTAATAATCTGATTAAAGCATGGGCAAAATATCTGAATAGGCATTTCTCAAAAGAAGACATACAAACAGCTAATAGGTATATGAAAATATGCTCAACATCACTGATAATCAGATAAATACAAGTAAAAACTACAATAAGATATCATCACACCCCAGTTAAAATGGCTTTTATCCTAAAGACAGGCCATAACAAATGCTGCAAGGATATAGAAAAAAGGGAACCCTCATACCCTGTTGCTGGGAATGTAAATTATTGAAGCCACTATGGAGAACAGTATGAAAGTTCCTAAAAAAAAAAAAAAAAAAAAAACAAAACTAAAAAAGAGCTACCATATGACCCAGCAATTCCACTGCCAGATAAATAACTAAAAGAAAGAAAATCGGTATGTCAAAGAGATATCTGCTCTTCCATATTTATTGCAGTACTATTCACAATAACCAAGATTTGGGAGCAACCTAAATGTCCATTAACAGATGAATGGATAAAGTAAATGTGGTATATATATACAATGGAGTGCTATTCAGCCATAAAAAAGAATGAGATTGTGTCACATGTGACAAAATGGATGGAACTGGACAACATTATGTTAGTGAAATAAGCTGAGGACAGAAAGACAAATTTCACATGTTTTTACTAATTTATGGGGGGTAAATTTTAAAACAATTGAACTCATGGAGACAGACAGTAGAATGATGCTTACCAGAGGCTGGGAAGTTGTATTAGTCCATTCTCACACTGCTACAAAGATACTACCTGAAATTGGGTAATTTATAAACAAAAGAGGTAATATGGTTTGGCAGCATCCCCACCCAAAATCTCATCTTAAACTGTAGTCCCCATAATCCCCATGTGTCACGGTAGAGACCGGGTGAAGGTAATTGGATCATGGGGGCAATTTCCCCCATGCTGTTCTTACGGTAGTGAGTTATCACAAAATCTGATGGTTTCATAAGTGTTTGGTAGTTTCCTCTGCATTCATTCTCCTTCCTGCCACCTAGTGAAGAAGGTGCCTTGCTTCGCCTTGGCCTCCTGCCATAATTTTAAGCTTCATGAGGCCTCCCCAGACATGCAAAACTGTGGGTCAATTAAACCTCTTCCCTTTATAAATTAACCAGTCTCAGTGTGAGAAGTAACTAATATAGTAAATTGGTACCACGGTAGTGGGGCACTGGATAAGGATACCCAAAATGTGGAAGTGACTTTGGAACTGGGTAAAAGGCAGATGTTGACACAGTATTGAGGGCTCAGAAGAAGACAGGAAGATGTGGGAGTTTGGAACTTCCTAGAGACTTGTTGAACGATTTGGACCTAAATACTGATAGTGATATGGACAATGAAGTCCAGGCTGAGGTGATCTCAGATGGAGATAAGGAACTTCTTGGGAACTGGAGCAAAGATGATTCTTGCTGTGCTTTAGGAAAGAGACTGGTGGCATTTTGCCCCTGCGCTAGAGATCTATGGAACTTTGAACTTGAGAGAGATGATTTAGGGTATCTGGCAGAAGAAGTTTCTAAGCAGGAAACCCTTTGAGAAGTGACCTGGGTGATCTTAAAAGCATAAGTTTTATGGATTCACATAGAGATAACTTGGAATCAGAACTTATGTATAACAGGGAAGCAGAGCATAAAAGTTTGAAAAATTTCAGCCTGATGATGTAAAAGTAAAACCCATTTTCTGGGGAGAAATTCAAGCCAGCTCCAGAAATTTTCATCAGTAATGAGGAGCCAAAATGTTAGTCACCAAGACAATGGGGAAACTGTCTCCAGGGCATGTCAGAGATCTTCATAGCAGCCTCTCTCATCACAGGCCCAGAGGCCTAGGAGGAAATAATGGTTTCCTGGGCTGAGCCCAGGGCCTCACTGCTTTGTGCAGTCTTGGAACTTGGTGCCCTGCTCAGGCTGTTGCTTCAGTGGATGCAAGCTCCAAGCCTTGGCAGCTTACATGTGGTGTTGAGCCTGCAGGTGCACAGTGTCAAGAATTGAGGTTTGGGAACCTCTGCCTAGATTTCAGAGGATGTATGGGAATGTCTGGGTATCCAGGCAAATGTCTGCTACAGGGGCAGCAGAACGCCCCAACACAGAGCTCCCACTAGGGCACTGCCTAGTGGAGCTAGAGGGCCACCATCCTCCAGACCCTAGAATGGTAGATCAACAGACAACTTGCACTGTGCACCTGGAAAAGCTGCAGGTACTCAGTGCCAGCCTGTGAAAGCAGCCAGAAAGGAGGATGTGCCCTGTAAAGCAGCAGGGTCAGAGCTGCCCAAGACCACGGGAATCCACCTCTTGCATCAGTGTGCCCTGGGTGTGAGACACGGAGTCAAAGGAGATTATTTTGGAACTTTAAGATTTAATGAATGCCCTGCCTGGGTTTGGACTTGCATGGAGACTGTGGCCCCTTTGTTTTGGCCAATTTATTTCATTTGGAATGGTAGCATTTACCCAATGCCTGTACCCCATTGTATCTTGAAAGTAACTAACTTGCTTTTGATTTTAAAAACTCACAGGTGGAAGGGACTTGCCTTGTCTCAGATAAGACTTTGGACTTGGACCTTTGAGTTAATGCTGGAATGAGTTATGACTTTGAAGGACTGTTGAGAAGATATGATTGGTTTTAAAATGTGAAAAGGACATGAGATTTGGGAAGGGCCAGGGGTGGGATGATATGGTTTGGCTCTGTGTCCCCACCCAAATCTCATCTTGACCTGTAATCCCCATGTGTTGAGGGAGAGACCTGGTATAAGGTGATTGGATCATGCAGCAGTTTCCCGCATGCTGTTCTCATGATAGTGAGTTCTCACGAGATCTGATGACTTAAAATTGGCACTTCCTTCTTCGCTTGCTCTCTCCTCCTGCTGCCATATAAGACATGCCTTGCTTAATCCTTTGCCTTCCATCATGATTCTAAGTTTCCTGAGGCCTCTCCAGCCATGTAGAACTGTGAGTCAATTAAACCTCTTTTGTTTACAAATGACCTAGTCTCAGGTAGTGTATATATATATATTTTTTTGAGATGGAGTCTCTCTCTGTCATCCAGGCTGGAGTGTGGTGGCAAGATACCAGCTCACTGCAACCTTCGCCTCCTGGGTTCAAGCAATTCTCCTGCCTCAGCCTCCTGAGTAGCTGGGATTACAGGCGTCCACCACCATGCCTAGCTAATTTTTGTATTTTTAGCAGAGACAGGGTTTTGCCATGTTGGCTAGGCTGGTCTCGAACTCCTGACCTCAGGTGATTCACCTGCCTCAGCCGCCCAAAGTGCTGGGATTACAGGCATGAGCCGCCATGCCCAGCCTCAGGTAGTATCTTTATAACAGTGTGAAAATGGACTGATACAGAGACTTTTAAAGGTTTTTTTTTAATCAAATGAGAGAATTAAAAATTTATAACTACAAGACCCATTAGAGTTATTAATCTAATCATTTAATTTTATAGATAAAGAAATCAAAACACAGAGGCCAGTTTGCTCTGGGTCACTTATTTGCATAGGAATAGGCTTCTATTTATAAAGCACTTTTACATATATTGTTTACTTTTTTCTCTCAACAGCCCTATATGAGGAATAGGAAACAGCCCATTGTGTTTCCTATTCCAAAAATGAGAAAATTAAGGATCATATATCATTTGTGACTTGCCTAAAACTCTAAGCTTCTAAGTCTTATGCTCTTTTCCCCAACCCTGTTAAACCAGACCAAGTCTCTGGAGATCTGAGTTCATTCAATAACTAATGATCACCTGTGTGCCTGGCCATCTTCTGAGTTTAGGAACACAGCAGAGCACAACGTAGGCAAAACACCTGCTGTCATGGGACTTATGTTCTATTGAAACGGACAGATTAAAAAAATAACAGGGGTATAAAAAAGATAATTGTGATTATGATAAGTGTTTGAAGAAATTGAATAAGTTTCTCTAATAGAAGATGGCCTGATATGGGTGGGGGTGGGGATCAGGTTATTTTAGAATTTAAGTTTAGACACAGAAATCAGAAAAGGCTTCTTTGAGGAGGTGACATTTAAACTGAGACCTGAAAGATGCAAAAGAGCCAGCAGCGTGAAAAGTCAGGAAAGTTCCTGTTGAAAGAGGACAGCAAATGCAAAATTACTGACAAGGGAATGAGGTCAGCATCGTTGAGGAGTGAGGGAATACTGGGATAAGTAGAGGCCAGGTGTGTAGAGTCTTGCAGGCCATGGGAATTTTGGATTTTACTCTAAGCAATTCTAATCTTACCACTGCCACTACGTGCCTCTGTGAACCTAGGCACATTGCTCTCTGGCTTCTTTGACATCAAATTTTCTTTTTTTTTTTTTTTCAAATTGGAAGCTTGGAATTCTATGCTTACATGATTGTAGAGTGATTTTGCTCCTCTTCCTTCTGTTGTAATGATACCTGACCTACATTTTAAGATTTTAGTTTAGTACCAATTATGATAATAAATAAAGGGCTCAATCTTACATGTGCAGACAAAGCATAACTTTGTTAGGAAGCTAACTAGATTTTTAGACACTCAAGATTATGAACAATTTTTCTACTCAGCCAAAGTTACCTTGTATTATGAGCCCCACCCTCATCCCAACCCAACAAACATGAATACGTTTAGTATCTTGCAAATTTTTGTCTTGTTAAAGACAAGGTAGAGCTATTTATTATATATCTTTAACCCAGCACGTAGTACCCAATTCTTATTAGTTTACTCTATTGCAGTTTCTACTTTTCTTTATTTCATAGTTTCAAACCAGGATCCCAGGTCTTTCCTGGTGATACTAGTTCATGGACTAACGAGGAAAAAAAAGACAATGAGAGAAAAAAAGACTAAAACGATTCTCTTTTGGATTTTACTATTGTTGTTTCTCACCTTAAAGCTGAATTTAAATATTCCTCTCTGAGAAATTAAATGATCATGAAACAGAATGAGAACCTGATAGCTTATTTCAAACCATTGTATCACTTGATTTGGCAATGCCTAAGTTCTTGCCTTTGACTCATGTTTTTGACTGTGTCTTCTTAACTATCTGAGGAATCTTATTTAAACAGCATATTAAATATAGATACAGAGTACAGAATATAAAGTGTTACAGATTAATAATAAACTTTCAGATACAGTCAAGCTGTCAAAACTGTCAGAACTATGAAAGCCTTCAAATAGAATATTAGTCTATTCAAAATAAAAGGCAATTTTGTATTTATGGATACGTTCCAAAAGAAACATCAGCAGCTACTGAACATTTAGGACAGAAATACGGATATATTAAATTACAAAACATCTAAAAATATATGTGCGTGTAGGTACATATGATGGTTTATGCATGTGTGTAAATATGTAAAAACATTATCAACCAATATTAACGAACACCTTCTAATTGACAGGTATTATGCCAGATACTGGAGCTAAAAAGATGGACAAACAGCCTTTCTCAAAGAACTCATAAACTGGAGAGGAGATGTATGCAAGAACAACAAGCTAGACCACATTGTGATAAGGACTTATCTAATGGTATGAAGAAGTGGTGTAGCAGAGAGGAGAGAGCAATTAATCCTGGGGCATGGACGGCCTTCAAGAGAAGAAAGTGATATTGCAGCTTGATCATAAAGGGTTATGGGAATTTTTCCAGGCTAAGAAGGAAATGAAGGGTATTCCAGGCATGAACAAAAGCACAGAGAATTGACAGCACATATTGTTTAGGGGAAGAGCAAATTGCGGGAAATTAGCTTAGAATGGGGTATGATACCCAAATAATGAAATATGGAAGGTAGAATGTTAAGGAGACATCTCACCAAATTAAAGCGCTGAACTTCACTAGGGTCACTGGAGGAGCCTTTGAAAAGTTTCAATAGGAAACAGCCTAATTGGAGCTGGGATAGAACACATTGGAGAAGGAGGAGACTGAACAGGGAGACCCATCAGGAGTATCAGTAATTCAGGCTGAAGATGCAGAAACAGCGGCAGGCCCTGAGCAGCAGGGAAAAAAAGGGAAAGTTGAGAGCCACGTGGGAAGTAAAAAGGACCCACTGGCAACTGATTAGATGTGAGTGTGGAGGAAGGGAGAATATGTGCTTAATAAATATTTATGGTGGGATAGTATTTTATGTTTTAAATGATTTATTTCCTCATCCCATATACAAAATACCTTGTTTTTCCTTGCTCGGTTAGCTAGGGCACTTCCTCCTCTTTGTCCTGAAGTTAGAGCTATTGATGAAGAACCAAACAGAAAGAAAAATGTCACTGTCACTGATACAAGTTCCAGAACAGGGTCTCGGTCACTTTTCTATTTCCAATATTTAAAATAGAGTCTGACACGTCCTGGGGTCCAACAAATATTTGTTGAATAAAAAAAAAAGCTGGGAATTGAATTTCAAAAGAGAGTTTTGGAGATTATGGTATAGACAATAGCTTTCAGGCAAAAAGTTTTTGAGTAAATGGCAGCTTGGTTTAAACATCAAGAGCTGAGGTTCTGGCCTAAACCAGAGGCATACAGATAATTGTTATCATGCTATGCAGATGAAAATAATCTCACAGGCTGGGGTAGAGTGTGGACAGGGTTCTGAGCCGGACCCCCAGGGGTTAGCTCTAAGGAGGGGAGAGGAACGATGGAACTCTCTGAAGAATTTGAGGATAAGTGGGAGGACTGAGGCTCTACTTCCCCTTGGAATACACAGGCGGTCCCCACATGAGAGTAGATACCTGGATGGCATGGTTCAGCTGAGGACTGGAGAGAGCTCCCCCAGTGTCTAGTGACCCAGAGGGACACAGAAGAGCATCTTACCTGAGATGCAAGTGAAAGCTTAGATCATTCTTAATACATATCTGGGAGCCAGAGTCTAAGGGGAGAGAAGGATGGAACATTTGACATTTGAAAGTCTTCAGGGAGTACTGGGCAATTAAAAATTCAAAAGGAAAAGGGCTATGAGAAGTGTTTTGGGGGCTTTGAGTTGGGTCCCTTTTAGAATCTTTTGAGAGAGTCAATAAAGAATGGAATTCCTTTATAAGTACTTTTCATCTTTTGTATTCTGCTGCCTGAAACAACAGGACCTAACAATAGGACCTACAAACAGTCCTGACCTAAGACGGAACCATGTGAATCCTAGCTTCAGTAGCGCAGCATTCAAAAGACCTGTGCCTAGGGAAGCACTTGAGAGGAATTTTTAGGTCTTTCCTCCTCTTCATGGTGGTTACTCTTGGAATGCATGTGATTACAAGTAGACAGAGGGAGGGAGTCTTATTTTCTAGTACTCCTAATAACAGTAAACATTCATTGAGTGCTTACTACCAGATCACCAATTCCTAGATAGCCATCTTCATAGTTTTAAATCTTTAAAAAATCAGGATATGTCTTTTAAACACAAATTACCAGTGTTTTTGTTTGTTAGTAGTACCAATAATGGCACATATTACTCTCAGTGGCATCTTAGTTTAATGCAATGCTGTATGCATCAGATACTATCCTGAGCATTTGAGATGTACTATATTAACTTCATAATCATTACCATTTTACAGATAGGAAACTGAGGCGTAGAGAAGTTTCATAGCCTGCTCAAGGCCATGCATATCATGGAGCAGGCAGTTAAAGTCTGGAAAGAGCCCACACTCAAGTTCCTATACTCTGCTGTCTCAGGCTGGAGAGCCCAGGGTGCCCCCACAGGGAGGCTGCTCTGCTGAGTTATGTGACTCACATTCTTACATGGAGTCCATCAAACAATCTCAAAGTTGGCACTGTTTCTATTATTTAATATTTGAAGGAAATAAGTTTTTTTTTTTTTTTTTTTAAAAAAAAAAAGCTTAAGTAACTTAAAGTCACACTATTGGTAAGCAGCATTGGCCTGACTCCAAAGTCTCTTTTTTACCTGCTTAATTAAGTCTTTGAGAGGCAATCTGCTCTATAAAAGAACAGGAAGATAACATTCTAAATTAAGATAATTTTTATATTGAGATATTTTATAAAGAATCTGTGAAAAGTATGTTAACTATGCTATGACTAAACCTCCAAAAGTATTTACTGTCTATACCAGATAGGAAAAAATATGCATATATGAATTTAAATATTGACATGGTTAGGCTTTGTGTCCCCACCCAAATCTCATCTTGAATTGTAATCCTCCTAATCCTCATAGTCCCCAGGTGCCAAGGGAGAGATCAGGTGGAGGTAATTGAATCATGGGGACAGTTTCCCCCATGCTTTTCTCATGATAGTGAGGTGTCACAAGATCTGATGGTTTTATAAAGGGCTCTTCCCCCACATTTCACTCTGCATTTCTCCTTCCTACCACCTTGTGAAGAAAGTGCCTTGCTTCCTCTTCACTTTCCACCATGAGTGTAAGTTTCCTGAGGCCTCCCTAGCCATGCTGAACTTGAGTCAATTAAACTTGTTTCCTTTCTAAATTACCCAGTCTCTGGCAGTTCTTTATAGTATGAAAACAGACAAATATAAATACATTTGTTTTAAAAAACAAATTTCCAGGTACTGGGATTTGGTTACAGTTCTGTTTTGAAAGGTAACCAGAGTAATTTCAGTAAGATCTTGTATCCTGATGATAGCTGGCAATAAACGCATCCTGAGCTGGCTCCCTGGAGTAAACACACAACAAAGAAAAAATTCAGTTGAAACGAAAGGTGCTTATGAAATTCAAAGACATTTTGATCTTCATTCTTTTATTAAAGATAATGTATCAATTTTTATCCTGATTATAGCAGTAATAATACTGATTTGCTGATCCTGATATAAGACTTGCTATTTGTTCTTCCTTATTCAAATATATCTGATTCACAGAGCTTCTAAACGACTAAGATTTTTAAGATCATAAATCTTTGTGTATGCTAATTGTTTTTCTAATGATTTTCAGACGTTATTACATTCCCTACAGTGGCTGAGGTAGGGAAGGCTAGTATTTAGATCACGGTTTTATAAATAACAAAACTCAGGCAAATAGAGGTTAACTTGGAAAAGGTCATTGGTATTGCTGGTAAACTTAGGGACAGAATTCTGGTCTTCACACTCAGACAGACGTGCTTGGCATTTGAAATGAGCTCTATATAAATGCCCACTTTTAATGCACTTAAATACTAGGCAAATGGACTTGTTTAATAATTAACCAATAATCACAGATTGAGTTTTGGTTATCAGAAAAAGTGAAAGTTTCCAATACTAATGTTATATAATAGATGTTTATAATCTGTAAGAATCTATATAATCTTCCTAGAATGAATTCATTGCTCTGTTTGTCAAGATGAGTTTTTGTTAGGAGAAGCATACCATATATTGATTAGTGTGTTTCAGGCACAAATTTATAAAGATAAGTCTTGGCTCTCTAATTCACTCTAGTTCAAAAACAGCTTAAATAAGAAAGTGAATATAAATTTGTAAGAGGAATTAATGCAAACTGCTCTAAAATTCCAAACTAGCATTTAAGTAGTCTATACTTTCATGTATATATTATGGCATAACATTTATAAACATATTCGTGACAGTCCCACTGCATGGGAACAAATTTGAAAAAGGATGGGTCCTATTGCAGGTTCTACTCTCTGGCCCAAGGGTTCAAACGTCAGAGGGTGTGAGGGGCAAAGTGAGGCTACAACGGGAGTGAGGTTAGGAGGGGATACCCCCTTCGGAACGTTTTAGAAATATGTGTGACTTGTCTTTGTTCTTCTTGTGTGTAACCTCAGCATTTGCATATTGAAATACTTTTTTAAAAATTATAAATTGCTTTCATTTCATATCTCTGGCACATTAGTTCAGACACTATGTTGATTTTTAAAAATTGAATGTATAGGCAAGCATATTATCTATAATTTCATTACCAGATAGTAACGGAGACATCTAAACCATGTGATACAGAGAAGACACTGCTTCTAGGGCATTGCTCTACATCAGGGTTCTCAGTAAGTGTGGTTTGCAGACTGGCACCTTCGGCATCAGCTGGGAACTTGTTAAGATACCAATCCTCGGGCCCCACTGCAGGCTTACTGAATCAGAAACTCTGGGGATGTGATCCAGTGATGTGTTTTCACAAAAGTTGTGTATCCAGGAGATTCTGATGTTCAAGTTGGAGAACCACTGCTTAGACTAATGGTATCTGCAGTCACATTGTTATTAAAGGAACATGGAGGTTTTCACTTTCTGAAATGTGTGGTCTTCTAACTTTTGTACTCATGCAATGCTGTAATTTCTGGGCATCTTTGATCTTGAAAGCTAAAACACCTGGCTGGGTGTGGTGGCCCATGCCTGTGATTCCAGCACTCTGGGAAGTCAAGGGAGGAGGATCGCTTGAGCCCAGGGGTTCAAGACCAGACTGGACAAGATAGTGAGAACCTGTCACTACAAAAAAATGAAGATAAAAAACTTAACTGGAAGTGGTGAGGCACATTTGTAGTCCAAACTACTTGGCAGGTTGAGGCAGGAGGATTGCTTGAACCCAGGAGTTCAAGGCTGCAGTGAGCCATGATTGTACCACTGCACTTCTGCCTGTGTGAGAGTGAGACTGTGTCTCAAAAAATAAAAAAGCAAGCTGGATAAACACCCTAGTGAAGCAGCAGTGTGTTCTATCCAAACATACTCCTGCAGTGCTCTTGGGAGTTACAATTCTCAGCCTCAGCACAGTATTTCTTCCATGTACTAATGTGTTTTGCTTTATCTGCTGATATTTTGAGTGTCTGGAGGTAACAAAGAGTAGGGATGGCGTTATTGTATTTACAAACATTATTTACAAATCTACTCAGTATTTAGGAGGGGCCCTGGGAAACAGAGGGATTGCATTATTTCCCTGCTAAATGGGCAAAGAAAAGTAGTTAGCTAAAATAAAACATACTAAAGAGTAAAGAGAATTGGGGTGAGAGGCATGGGGGGCAGGAACAGAAATGAAATGGAAGCAGCAGAGAGAAGTGGAAAGAAAGGTTCAGAGTCGAACTCAGCCCGGGAGAGATGAACAAGGAGGTCTCTTGTTTGGTGGGACACACACACACACACACACACACACACACACACACACACACACTCTCTCTCTCTCTCCTTAATAACTTTAAATGAAGTCCTCAGACTCCCTTCCTTTGCTACTAACAGAATATTCTATTTTGTTGGAACCTTGTTAAATATGTATCTTACTTTCATGCTGTTTTTGAAAAGTTATTAAAAAAAGAAGCTATGGGGTTTTGTTTTTTAAAACAGTATAAAATCATATAAAATGACTAAAACTAAATGTTAGAATATTTCCATAAGTTTAAAGTTAACAGAATATACATTATTGATATTAAAAAGACAGACTGAATTTGAAAAAAATAAAATGACAGGTAAGTATTTTCTTATTTAAAAGATGTTTTAGTCTAAAAAAAGCATTTTGAAAGCTTTCCTTAAGGTACCTAGGACAAAACACTTTTGTACAAAAACTGAAAAAAGCATAAAAATGGGGCAAACATACAATTTTTAAACTAATGGAAGAAAATCAGAATCTTCCTGTAAACTCCTAGAAAATCAGAATCTTCCTGTAAATTCCTATGAAGGGTTACAATGACAACTTAAATTTTTATCTAAAGCAGTGGATAGCACTGTACTATTTACACAGCACATACCCAATATAATGTTCTTTAAAAAGGCATGACCGGAGACATGAAGACAATCTTCAGTTTTTAAAATTTTATCACTTTATGCCTCTATTTCCTAGAAAGACACTGAAAAATTTTTTGATAATAAACCAGATCACTCTACCAAATGATTTACATAACTTTATAATACCTTAGGAACATATTATCTGTTCCATATCTAAGAGTGTTTAGTAACTTTCTGGATAAAAAAGTATCATGAAAATTATCCTTTGGAAAGTCTATGTTTTTTTCCCATGTAAAATTGTACTGCAACGCTTCTTGCTAAAGGCTCACACAGTGAGACGAGACTGCCACCATGTGGGATAAGCATGTGTCACAATAAAAAATATATATATTTCAAAATCAAATAATCCTTCAATGTAATAAGAGAACTACTACGTCTTTTATTCTAAAACACAACAGAAACAGTGGTAAGTACTGTTTGGTCTTCTTTACATTTTTCAAGATTCATTAATGTGATACTCATTTTTCGTACAAGTAGTTGGACACTGACACTCTGTGGAAACTATCCATATCCTTGCTACTCAAAGTATGTTCCAAGACCAGCAGCATCTATATTAGCTTGAAGCTTGTTAGAGATGCAAAATCAGGCCACACCTCAAATGCAATGAATCAGAATCTGTATTTTAATATGATCCTCAGGTGATTCGCGTACACACTAAAGGCCAAGAAGCATGCACTCAGATTTCATTCCTATTCCTTAACTCTCACCCTGTCTCCTTTACTCTCAATCCACCCAACACAGGGGTAGGTGTTTTTCACCAAAAACTCCAGATAGTCAAGAAAAATATAGTTGGTATTACCTGAGTTATATGATTAGCTTCACTTTCAGTAAATGTGGGAATCTATTTTTTTAATCAATTATTTTCTTAGGTTATTAATAGATTAATTCCATAATTCAGAAAAAAATTAGAACAAATTTTCCAGGAAAAAGGGCTTGTTTAGTTTCAGGAGAGATTAGAGTATTTTATTTTGCCCAATCAGAGCCCTTCAGCATAAAGAGACATTCATATACATATATATGAACATTTTCCAGAAACATTAATTAATTTATAATACATTTTTTAAAATACCAGCTTAACGGTATTTATTTACAAAAATATTTCATTACCTAATTTTAAACTTTTTGCTGTGATGACAGTTTGTAAAGTACAGGAATGCAAAATAACTACAAAGTTTAACACGTTTTTAGTGTTTCCAATAGTGCTTTTCTTTTTAGATGAAACAATACACAGATTTTTTTTAAACCGTATTTCAAAATGCATATTCCAGCAATTACCTTTGAGATAGTTACTGGGACTGAGCAAGATTAAATAAAAAGTGCAGCAACTGAAAAACACCTGCAAGTTACAGTTTAAGGTATACACAAGCTAGAGCTCTATACCAAGCATGCTTGCCCCTGAAGTGGACAATGTTAGAAAAACTTAATCTTGCTCTTTTTCATATTGTCTTTTGGTAATGCATTTACAATGAACCAATAGTATAACTAGAAAGCAAAAGTGTTTTTCTGGTTCTAACTATCATGTGGAATAGAGGTCACACCTAAAGTATCACAGTACTATTTATTTACAAAAAAAAAAAGTTAAAAAAATTAAAACAAGATTTACCCTCTTTGCATTGCTTTCCATTGCTATGTTGATTGTATTTTCAACTCCTTACACTGTCTTCAGTTGAAGCAAAGTTTAGACAATACAAAACAAATAGCAAAAGTAAATAAACAAAAACAAACAAAACCAACTACCAAATAAATAGGATTCCATTGCCATTAACCTATATCCATTTGAAATGCCTGAATCAAACAACCTACAATAAATACTGGTTTATTTACATGTCATACACTATAAAATTTTAAACGATAAGCCTCATTGTAAAATACTGGCAAAACTGACATTCATGATTTTTCTGATGTAAAGAATAAAATAAAGAGACCACTTACATGTAGCCCTGGACTACTGTACTGAATTTGTAAATGAATTGTGCCTATATTGTTAAAATTAATTTGACTGTATTAATAACTGAAGAAAGCAATGTTATAACCCTGGTAATTGGGAAGTTATTAAAATCATTTAATTCATCTGAGAAAGGTAAGCCAGTTTTCCCTTTTTTTCTTTTTTTGGTTGTTTTTGGTTGCAACAACTGTTTTCTGTCTACAGAACCTTTTTTAAAACTTCGGAGGCAGTAGTAAAATCATTAATATTCACAGGAAAAATAATTCCCATAGCACTTTACAAGAAATTGATCAGAGTGATGAAAAGTGCAATTAACAAAAGCTGTAAACAGTATCTTCACATTCATTTTCAAATGAAAAGAAAAATCTGTGGGCATAAATTTCAATCCAAGAGAACAAATACCCTAAAAGGGAAAAGAAAAAAGAAGGACATTTAAGATATAGGAGTGCTTTTTTCCCCCCAAAGTAAATACAGATTAAAAAGTCTAAGAATGTTGATCAAGTATCAAACTGATAAGGAACAAATTCTATAAACTACAAAATAAAAACCTTCATTGACAAAAATACATAAACTCTGTTTTCATTTTTGGAAATTTATTTTTAAAAAAGGTAGAAGAAAATACCTGGAAAACTATTTTAAATATATATATATATATCTATATTTTAAAACAATAGTTAAGGTAGGCATCCAACAGCAAACTGAAGCTATTGAGAAAGATCTTGCAATTATTGTTGTGGGCATTTTCCCCCAAAATAAAATTAATATTTGAAAATGCTCAATAGAGGGTTTTTTAAAGCATAGAAATGATATCTTTCCTGTTCATGTGTGAAGATTTTTAAATGATGTATGATTTTTTAAAATTAATTGTATCTCGATATGAGATACCAGTATTTCTTATTATAAGCGTAAAACATAACTTTTTGTATGGATAATATACATACTTTTTAAGTACTTTGACTTAAACTTAACAAGTTCACCATTTTAAAATTAAAGTACATTTATAAAAATTCCATTTTAAAACTAAAAGTATATTTTCTAGCAGTATGTATAAATATAACATGTTACTGTATGATCTTAAAACAAATCTGAAAGTGTTGCAATAATTTAAGACCAAGAACACTGAAACATACAGCAGATTATTTTACTATTTTTTAAATCTATATAAAACCCTATTAAAGGTTTTAAAACTGATCAGTTTATTTAAGGTACAGCTAGCAGCATATTCATGATTTTGGTATGTTTTATACACATGTATCACTTGGTTTAAACTGAGCAATGTGGATTAAATGATAATAAAAAGTTTTCATTACCTAAAAAAGTGCAGAAAAAATTCAAGTTTAAAGTTCAGTGCTCTTTATTTTGCTGAAACAAATAAAATCCCAAAAGTTAAAGTGTAAAATAAATCTTTGCCACAAAAAATTTACCTTTGGATATAGCTTTTCTAATGTCACATGAGAAATGCCTTAAGCAAAACATACATGGAAGATAGAACTCAGGGTAAAACTTTGAACTCCGTGGTGTCTTCCACATATTCTTCCTTTCCTCAGCTGTCTCCCCAGCACCCCTGTAACCTAAAAGTATGTAACACTTTCAGACTTGTTTAAAACACTCACATATCTACATGAAATCGCTTCAGAGGAACCTACAATTAAGAAGTTCTAAGCCAAAAAAAAAAAAATTGCTTCGTTCTTTAAACTATTGTACTTAATTAAATTGTAATATACTTACACATAATAACATAGACAAGTAGCAGCATTTTTCACATCCATAAAAAATCAAATGGAGAAGTTAGTAATAGCTCAGTCGAATCTATAACCATTTTTTTGGAAACACTTTGTACAATTGAAATGCAAAGCAAAAGTGTTAAGATGATGCAAAACTTCAAATGGATGTAATGTACAGAATTTGTCAGAATATAAGATTTCAAATAACTTTCTCAGCAAATACATATGGATTTTAGTTTGAAAACTGAAATGAACTGGATATATGGTACATACAGAAAAACCACTTCCTACTTACAAACTACTAATCATGAATACTTCAGTGATTTTAGAGTCAAGGACAAATGCAACAAAAACAATGAGGATATGGAGAGGGCACACAAAAATCTTTCATTTTTCTGATATTTTCTATTTTGACTTTTTTTTTTAGTCAGTTTTCCTGAAATCGTGGCTTGCTGGTGACTATTACTTTCTGTATTTAAAAAGAAAAAAATAGAGATGTTACCTCTCAAATTACAGTAAATTCCCTGGGTTAGTTATTACTGTAGACTGTCTCTTATCTACAGACAGAATCAAGTATAACTCTGAGAAGCTTATTTCCTACACTCAAACATACTTTAAGCTTTCTAATCCTAACTGAGTCTCTAGTTTGTTGTGCATAATTTGTAGATTAATTTAAAAATTAAATAACTCAAAACACTGATTTAAGATTTTCTTACAAAATCTTGGAAATCCATCTAATGTATATACTTCTATATTTGAAAATAATTACAAGATTAGTTCATTTTGTATACAACAGGAAAAATGACAGTAAAAATGAAGTTAATATACAAATATATTTGTGTTATATAACACAAAATAACACAGCAAATTAAATAATTGCAGCTAATATGACCTTCCACATAGATAGGGAACCAACCAGTATATTAATCTACATAATGCTTTCCCAACTTCTTCAAATCCATAACTGTTGATTTTATTGATGACATTCACAAAACTGTACCTTTAAAATAGGACCTAACAATTCCTGTGACATATCATGGAACTATGGGTTTACTGGATAATAGATAACACAAATTAAGCAATTTATAAACTGCTGAATGTTCAGGCAGCTGACATTAACGAAACAGAAATATGTTATTCATTGGTGCTTTCTATAAATTCAAAAACTTTTGAAAAGGGCTTATTTAAAAAATATTTCTTTTGGCTTGATCAATTATCTCTATCACACACATTTAGTCCCTACCAAATGATATTTAAAGTAAACTTTGATGTAAACTTTTGCATCTAGTAGTGCATGTTATAAAATGTAAACATAAAAGCTTTATTAATGAAAAGTAGAGGAAAATATGCATAACAGACTGTATGAAAAAGTTAAGATGTCCTACATATTCCTTTAATGATCATATAGAATAGAAAAACAACCATCCTGTTTACTATCAATTTGTGCTCTGATTATCTCTTAATGAAAAAACAAAATCATTTAAAGGAATTTTTTATAGAAGACAATATTTAAATTTCATTAACATTAATTTTAATGCTTCCATTTTGCTTTTGCTGGGTTGCTTTAACAACAATCAATAATAATCTCAGATTAGTCTGTATTCTGAGATTGCTTACTTCTAGATCTACTAGGTGGTTTCTTTCCTGCCCGTAATGCTATTCTATGAAACAATCATTCATTGTCCATTGCTGGTCTCAAATTGTATTATATTCCAATACAGAAATAATTTAGTTATCACAGTGTACATATTTTCCTTTCTTTTTGGTTTTTTAAAACCTTGAAAGGATATGTACAGATTTATAGTATATTTCTACACAAAATATTTTGTAGGTCATCAGACTAAACTCTTATATAATTATTGACAACAGATGCTTGTAATTTTCCATGCGATAGCATGTGCACTAACATTTAATTGGCTCATCACCTGAGTGTATTGGAACAGTTAGCAAATAAAGGGCATTTTGAAAAGGGAGCTGAGCATTTTACTGAAATAATGAAAGTTTTTTTTTAAGCAATTTTAATTAAAGAATGCAAAGGTACATTTGGTTAAACATTTTATAAAAATTCAAGCAAAATTTAAAACACAGCCAATTTCAACATTTCTACAAATTTAACCAGCATTATTTTGGTCAAATCCACCTTTAGCTGAATTAATGAGAACAAGGACAAGGGACATTGAAGTATTCTCCTCACCACAATGGAGGTTTTTCTCACTTTCCACACTGCATAGCCACTACATGGAAACTCCCAGAATGATGAGCAATTCAGTCATGCTCTACACTTTTCTTTTCAATGAAAAGTGATGTATCTTCTTGTTTTGCTTTTGACAAAATATGAACTAAATACAAGTCTATAATAACAAGAATCCAAGAGTAGCTCATACACAAGTCAACTATGTGTATGTTTTTATTATTTAAAGCCCACCATTCAGCTTATCTGTCTAAAGAGATGATAACAAACAATTTGTTTCTTTTTCACTAATGATACTGATGACCAGTCAGTGTTAAGAGAGGGAAAGTCCAAGACAGCTGTTTATAATCCAGTCCAATGACACACATATAACTATTTCAACTTCAAGACTTCTGACTTATTGCCTCTGCCCTAAACAGGTCAAACACTGATGGCAGATAAAACGGCACAAACCCTTTTGGCATATGAAAGTTTAATACAGGAATGATCCAGGATTAGTCCCTGCACCAGGTCTCCTCAGCAGCCCCCTTGGTTTCTTCATCTGTCACGTGTGACCTGTTTAATTCCCAAATGGTCAACTCATAACTGGCACACACCATATACTCCATTTCGAGTGCGTGTGAACACTCCTCAGTTAAAGCCACATGACTGAGGTAAAACAGTGCATGACTGTGCTAGGAAAGAACAGTATTCAGTGACGAACATCCCTTTAACGTTAACTTTCCTAAAGAATGTAATAAAAATGGAAAACTTTTTTCCTTCTGGCTGAAGTTGGACTTATTGGATTCTGGTTGTCAGAACTGGTACCACTTCTTATCTTTGTATTTCAACATAATCTAAAGGGGGAAAAAAAAGAAAAACATGCTTTTAAAATGCCGGAACAATAACATTTATAAGTGATTTCTATATTTTTCCAAAACATTATGTCATTCTGCAATATTCTGTAGTGCTACTATATGCTTACTTCAACTTATTAAAAGCAGTAAGAACTATTCTATTTGGAGGAAAAAATACGATATCCATTAAGAACTAGCCTAGAAGTTCCACAGATTTCTTAGAAATGTGACATAATTTGGTGACCTAAGCTAGTAATATAAAAGTAAGATAATTTTTATTTTGTACTATGAATTAAAAATAATGCTTGAAGAACTGGCGAATTAAAGGTTGAAAATGCTACTCCTCCTGCCATCTCAAATTTACTGAGCATCTATTCTGAGCCAGACACTGCATGACACACTTTTCCTACTTGATTTCAGTCATAACCATTCTTGGGCTAGGCACTGTTTTTCTCCCCATTTAATAAATGAAACTGAAGCTTCTAGGGGTTGCCCAAGGTAATGCAGTAGTGAAACTGGAATTTGTGCCCATGCAGTCTAATTCAAGAACCTGTGATTGTAACTACCTCAATGTACTGTCTTCCTTAGACTCTGAAATATGGCTCAAGAACAACTGGTAGAAGGGAAAGTTAACAGTGTGAGATTAAATATTTCCTAAATATTCAGAGTGTGAATATATTCCGAAATTGACTGAAATGCTACATGCTGTAGAGATCATACAATCGGGTGTAGGGTTATGACAACAAAAATCCTGACCTAGATTGACCACCACAAGCCTGTATCTGAGGTGCCTGGGTATAGTACAAGTAATCATAAAGGATCTCTGAACCTCTCTGAAGCCCTAGACAAGTATCTTCCAGGTCAAGTTACCTCTTCATGCATTCTAGATTTCCGCATTTTTGAGCAAGGAGGAAATGACTTTTGGTTGAAAAATTTAAAAAAGAGCTACCACTACAGATTGGGTGCTCAAATATAAAAACAACCTTAAAATTGTTTCTTCAGACAAATTCAAAATGTCCTCCAGGGCCAGCCTAGGAACTAGATGTGTGAAGTAACCTAGTGTAAAGCACCAAGGAAAGGCAGGCCTGTGTGTCAAAATGAAAAATGTGTTATTTCCCGTAAAGGCTTTTAAATTCAGCTTTTTAAGAGCACGATGTGGTGTAAGGGGGCCAGTCAGGGATCCCTACTTTACAGCGTGTGTTTCTGAGCTCTATCATGACTTCCTAGGTCCACCATTGCAAAATGCATCTCTCTACTCCTCCATATGAATTGGTCCACAACGCGGACTTAGTATTGTTTATTTAAATAAAAAGGTTTGTCAATTTTAGTTATTTATATCTATCTGGAAGACTCAAGGAGGCAAATTATTTCTTTTTCTAGGACAAAGTGGTAGTAGACTCTGAGGCATTAAGAAAAATTAACATTGGTATCGCATTCCTTAAGAAACAGTTGCAAAGCTGGTAGCTTTGCTTACCAAAAGCCTGAAGGTGGGCAGATTCCTTCAAAATTTATAATCTTATAGTAAGAAACCAAAGGCTATTAGAGATACATTCCTGTAATGGTTCCCTCTGGTGGCAAAAATCAGGAACTTGCAATTGTACAATGAATATATGCAAATTCATGGGTGTAGAAATACAATAGCTATAAAAATAAAGTAACATTCACACTTGCTTTACCTAGAGCTTTTTGTTCAAATATCTGTTTGAGAGTCGTACCTCATGAGCATGTTTAGAAAATGACTCTGCACTTGATAACATGGCCGCAGTTCTTTCTTCCAGATCGCCAAGTTTCTGCCCTCTTTCATCTAGTGCCAGCCTGGCTCGTGCTAATTCACCAACAACTCCAGATGCTGCCCCTTTTACGCCTTCAATGCCACCAGGGCCAGGAATATGCTGTGCAAGGCTCCTTGAAGCCTTTCCTGAGGACGATTCTCCAACTGAACACATTTGATAAATCAAAGAGTAACTCAAAACATGAACATTTTACTAATATAAAATCCTACTACATTAAAATACAATTTTTGGATTGAGTGGTAATACAACTGAAATAAAATTATAAAGTGAAATATGCTTAATACATGCTTTCTTTTGTTATGATTGGTTTAATAATTTTTAGATACTTTTTCAAACATGCAAAAACACAATGTACATTAAATATTCTATACTAGTTCATACAACAAGACATACTAAAAAGGAGCTGGTAAATATTTAATGAAACAAATAAAGGTATATTGTTACCAATTACATAATGGCAAAAACTGCTCTTTTGTGCAAAAAACGAAAGATATTTAGCTTCGAATATACAGATTTAAATTTAAATATACAGATTTGATTATGTTTACTTACTCCACACTTCCTCTTACTTAAAAATATACTGTGCTTAGGCTCAGAAGTAAAGATAAATGAAGAATTTTATTCAGTAGTCTATTTCGGTCTCCAAAAATTGTAGGCATGCTATATTCTTTTCTTTTTCTCCATTTATCTTGTCATTTACCAAATGGATCACATTTTTCCATCAAAAGACCTTGCGATTCACTGTTTTCTTTCCCTTTGCTATCCAGATGCTTTTTACCTAACACTTAGATCACTGCAAAAGTCTTAAATTCTTTAAAGGCTGATCTCAAGTTTCCTGGTTCCTCAGCTTACATTTCTTTCTTTCCTTTTTCTTTAAATATAACTCGTATACCACAACATTTGCTCCTTTAAAGTGAATACATTGGTGATTTTTACTTTATTCGTAAGGATGTGAATCACCACCACTACTAATGAATACCAGAGCATCTCATCACTGCAAAAGAAGCTCCATGCCTGTTAGCAGTCACTTTCCATTCCCACTCTTTGCAGTTCTTGGCAATCACTAATCTACTCTCTGTTTCCATAAATTTGCCTATTCTGAGTATTTCATTTAAATGGATTCATACAATAGGTGGCCTTTTGTAGCTGGCTTCTTTCACTGAGAGTAACGTCAAAGGTTATTGATGTTGTAGCATGCATCAGTACTTCATCCCTTATTATGGATGAATAACGTGTCATTTTATGGATAAGGTGTTATTTTGCTTATTCATTCATCAGCTGATGGACATCTGGGTTGTTTCCACTTTTTGGCTATTATGAATAAAGCTACTATGAACATTTATACAAATGTTTGGGTAAATGCATGTTTTCAATTTTCTTGGGTATATGCCTAGGCATAGAATAGCTGGGTGATGTGATAACTGTATGTTTAATTTTTTGAGGAACCATCAGTTTTCCAAAGAGGGTGCACCCATTTTACATTTCAACCAGTAATATATATGAGGGTTCCAATATCTCCACATCCTTGCCAACATTTGTTATTGTGAATCTTTTTGATGACATCCATCCTAGTAAGTTTGAAGTGGTATCACATTGTGGATTTGACTTGCATTTCCCTAATGACAAATGATGTTGAAGATCTTTTCATGCACTCATTTGTCATTTGCATATTTTCTTTGGATAAATATCTATTGAGGTTGATATGGTTCGGCTGTGTCCCCACCCAAATCTCATCTTGAATTGTAGCTCCCATAATCCTCCAGTGTCATGGAAAAGACCCAGTGGGAGGTAACTGAATCATGGGGGCAGGGTTTCCTGTGCTGTTCTCATGAGAGTAAGTCTCACAAGATCAGATCTGATGCTTTTATAAAGGGCAGTTCCCCTGCACATGCTCTCTTGCCTGCTGCCATGTAAGATGTGCTTTTGCTCCTCCTTGGTCTTCCGCCATGATTGTGAGGTCTCGCCAGCCATATCCAACTGTGAGTTCATTAAATGTCTTTTTCTTTATAAATTACCCAGTCTTGGGTATGTCTTTATTAGCAGCATGAGAATAGACTAATACACAGATCCACCTAAAAATCAGTCTATTTGTCTTCTATTATTGAGTTTTTAAGAGTTCTTAATATATTCTGGACACTAGACGTAATCTGATATCAGATATGTGATTTGCAAATATTTCATCCCATTCTTTGGATCATCTTTTCACTTTCTCGTTAGTATTCTTTGAAGCACAATGTTTTAAATTTTGATAAATTCCAATCAATCTTTTTTTTTTCCTTTGGTTGCTTGTGATTTAGGTGTCATATCTTAGAAACCACTGCCTAATCCAAGGTTACACAAATTTATACCTGTTTTCTTCTAAGAGTGTTACAGTTTTAGCTCTTATATTGAGGTCTTTGAGCCATTTTGAATTAATTTTTGTGTGTGGTGTGAAGCTGGGGCCCAACATCTTTTTTTTTTTTTTTTTGCAGATGAATATCTAGTTATTCCAACATCACTTATTGAAAAGACCATTCTTTGGCCACGTAATTTTCTTGGCGTCCTTGTAAAAAAAAACAATTGACCATAAATGTATAAGCTTATTTCTGGAGTCTCAACTCTATTTATGTATCTTTATGCCAGTACCACACTGTCTTGATGACTATAGCTTTGTAGTAAGTTTTGAAACTGAAATGTTTGAGTCCCTCCAGCTTTTTTCTTTTTCAATATTTGTGTGTGTGTGTGTGTGTGTGTGTGTGTGTGTGTGTACGTGGCTATTTTGAATTCTTTGTATTTTCATTTGAATTTTAAGAACAGCTTACTGCTTTCTGAAAAAAAATTGTTGTGATTTTGATATGAATTGTGTTAAATGTGTAGATCAATTTGTGGATACTGCCACTTAACAATGTTAAATCTTCTAATCCATGAACATGAGATGTGGGTCAACTGACTTACATCTTAGTTTCTTAAAATGATATTTTGAAGTTTTTATTGTACATGTCTTATACTTCTTTGGTTAAATTATGTCTAAGTGGCTTATTTTTTGATACTGCTATAAATGAAACTTTTCTTAATTTCATTTTTGAATTATTCATTGCCTGTGTATAGAAATGCAATTCATTTTCTATATTGATCTTGTATCCTGAAACCTTGCTAAAACTGTTTATTAGCTATAATTAGTTTTATGTGGATTCCTTAGGATTTTCTATAGATAAGATTACATCTGCAAATAGAGACAGTTTTACTTCTTCCATTCCAATTTGCATGCCTTTTACTTGCTTTTCTTGCCTAATTTCCCTGGCTAGAGCCTCCATTCCTATGTAAAATAGAAGTGGTAAGAGCTCTTTGAATATGCATATAAAATTTAGAATTAGCTATACATTTTTGGAAGGATTTTTATTAGAACTATATTAAGTGTATATGTGTATATATACATACAGACATCAGTTTTGAGAGAACTGGTATCTTTTATTGAATCTTCTATACCATGTTCATGGATTATACTCATCAATTTGTTTGAATCTTCTTTAACTTCTCTCAACAAATTTTTCTAATTTTCTACTTTCCCCATGGAGATTCTGAACATGTTCTCTTAAGATTTATTTCTAGATAGTGAATTAAAAGAAATACTATGGGTGATAGGCAGAGTAATGTCTCCCTTCCCCCATAGATGGCTACATTCTAATCCCTGGAACCTGTGAATATGTCACCTTATATAGGAAAAGGATCTTTGCAGATGTGACTAAGGACCCAGACATAGAGTTCATCCTGCATTATTTAGGTAAGCCTAACCTAATCACATGGGTCTTTAAAAGCAAAGAGTTTTTTTTTTTTCCAGCTGTGGGCAGACAGATGTGGCTTCAGAAAAATAGAGATATGCAAGGTTGTTGGCCTTGAATACTGACAATGGGACCAGAAACCAAGGAATGCGGATGGCCTCTAGAAGCTAAAAAAGGCAAGGAAATGGATTCTCTCCTGAAACTTCCAACAAGAAACACAGCCATGGGAACACCCATAAGACCTGTGTTGATTTCTAACCTATGGAATTGTAAGGTAATAAATTTGGGTTCTTTTAAGCTAGTAATTTTGTGGTAATTTGTTATAGCAGCAACAGAAAACTACACAAATAGTAATTTAAAGTTTTTCATTTTTTATTACTGTTAATATAAATTAAATTTTATTTTTGTATATGATTACATCTAGTGAGTTTGGTAACCTGTTATTTCTAACAATTTAGCTATAGATTCTTTTGGTTCTTCTAAATATGTCATCATATCAATCATTTGCAAATGACTGTTTTGTTTTCTGTTTCGTATTATAGTACTTCATTTGTTCTTCCCTTTCCACACCCTCTAGGGACTTGAAAAGAATGCTGAATGTATGTGTTAATAGTGGGCACTATGTGTGATTCCTAATTTCAAAGGAATAATTTTTAATATCATTTAATGTTCCTGCATTAAGAGTGACATTTGCAATTTAGTTTCTAGGAGTCTCTATCAGGAACGGATAAGAATTTTTTTTTTTTTTTTTTTAATGATAAATCAACTTTGAATTCCTGGTACAAACCAAACTTGGTCTTGGTATATTATCTTTATTACATATTATTTGCTACCTTAATATTTCACTTCAGATTTTCTATCTATAAATGATATTTGTCTTGATTTTTCCTTTCTAATACTATTTTGGTTTTTGGTATCAAGGTTGTGTTAGCCACACAAAATGAGTTGATGAGTGTACCTATTGTTTCCTATCTTTTGGAAGAGTTTGTGTGAGAGTTGAATTATTTTTTCCCTAAATATTTGGAAGAAATATTAGTGAAGCCCAATTTGTACCAGAAGTTTACTTGTAGAAAAGTTTAAAATGATGGCTTCAATGTCTGATAGTTACAGTACTATTAGAATTTTTAGCTTTTTGTCGACTTTCATTGTTATAATTGGTAAAACAATTAAATTCCGTCAAAAATAAAGTTATAGATTACATTCTCTTATTTTTAACTTCAGTGTTATTCCTTTTTTTTCCATTCCTAATAGCATCTACTTGTGCATTTCTTTTTTCGTGCTTCGTTTCAAAAGAGGTTTATCATTTTTATTAGACTCTTAGAGAATCAACTTTGGCTTTTGTTATACACTCAACAGTTATGTCCCCCACCCTCTCCCCTCAAGTCATATGTTGAAATCTAATCCTTCCCTAATGTAATGTCAGAAGTGGGGGCCTTTGGGAGGTAAAAAGGGTATTGTCCTCATCAGTGGGATTACAGCCCTTAAAAAGAGGCCAGAGAGGTAGCTTGCTCTCTTTCCCCCAGGTGAGAATGCAGCCAGAAGGCTGTCTGTAAGCCAGGAATAGGGCCCCCAAACAACTCAATCCTGCTGGCACCTTGATCTCAAACTTCCAACCTCCAGAGCTGTAAGAAATAAGCTTCTGTTGTTTAAAAGCCACCCAGTTTATGGTATTTTGATATAGCAGCCTGAACTAAGACAGCTCTGTTAATTTTTCAATTGTATTTTACTATTTCATTAATACCTTAATCTTTTTTATTTGGTTTATTTTGCTGTTTTTCTAACTTTTTGAGATGAATGCTGAGTTCACTCATTTTCATGTTTTCTTTTTCAAATACTAATACATATTTAAGATTAAAATTTTCACTCTTAAGGATTACTTTAGTTGCATACCAATGGTCATAAATTCTTTGACACAAGGGTTATCCAAAGGTAAGTATATTTCTGTTTTCAAACATGAGGATTTAAACTTATCTTTGTTATTGATTACAAGCATAACTGCACTGTGATCAAACTGTATACACTAAAGTTATTTTAACTCTTTGAAATGTATTGATACAACTGCTTATTATTAAATCTACAATTAGAACTTATGATGATGATTGAGAAACTGTCTCTTCTATTAGCTATGTCAATATTTGTTTTCACATATTTTGAAGTCAAAATAGTAGGTACATTCAAATAATGCCTTAATGTCTAATTTTTCTTATATTAATATAGTTATACCAGCTGATTCATTTGTGATCATGCTTTTCCATCTTTTTAAATTTCACCTTTTTGTGTCCTTATGTTTTATATATGTCCCCTATAAACAATGTACATTTCTGTTTAATTAATTAATTAATGTATTTTTAGAGACAGGGTCTTGCTCTGTCACTGAGGCTGGGATGACAGTAGTATAATCATGGCTCATTACAGCCTCAAACTCCTGGGCTCAAGTGATGCTCCTGCCTCAGCTTCATGAGTAAGTGGGTCTACAGGTGCATACTACCACTAAATTTTTAAATTTTTTGTAGAGACAGGGTCTTGTTATATTGCCCAGGCTGGTCTCGAACTCCTGGTCTCCAGCAACCCTCCCGGCTAAGCTTTCCAAAGTGCTGGGATTACAGGTGTGAGACTCGACGCTGGCCTTTTCTTTTCAAATTCAGTCTAACCATTTTTGTCTTTTAGCTGAAACATTTATTCTGCCTACATTTATTACCATTATTTATATTAAAGCTAAATCTACCATGCTTTATGTACTATCTGTTTATCCCACCTGCTTTGTATTCTCTCTCTCTTTTTGCTTTGTTTCGGAATGACTGTGATTTATCTGCTATTCATCTGGAAGTTATGTTCTATTTTTCTAAGTTTTACAGGTTATCCTATAAATTACATGTGTCCTTATCAATGCCAATGAATACTTTTTACAAGTTTCCCAAAAAATTCAAGAATCTCAGATCACCTTAAATCCACTTACTGTTTTTAAACTCTTTAATGTTATGACATATTTTGGGCTATGTTATTGTCTGTGTATGTGTGTACACACATGCCATACACCTTTATTTTGCAGTTCATAAAGATTATATTAATTATATTTATGCACATCAGTTTCGTTCCAAATCACTGTGTGTCTCTGACATCCCATCCAAGATTATTTTCCTTCTATCTGATGTGTACCCTTTAGAATTCCCTTTAGTGTGATGGCAAGGTTTACTTATTTGTCTAAAAATGTCTCATTCTTAAAGAATTTTTGCGTATAGAATTATGGATTAAATATAATCAATATAATTTTCTGTCAATATACAGAAGATCATCTTACCATCTTTGGCTGTTGAGAAGTCATGTATCAGTCTCTATTTGTTAAAAAATATCTATAATTTTTCTCTAGCCACATTAAAGATTTTCTCTTTGTCTCTGGTGTACTATATTTTAATGAGATTAGTTAATTGAAAATTTTTAAAAACATCATTGGAATTAATTAGGCTTCTCAAATTTGTGGATCACTGTATCAATTCTAAAAAGTTTTCTGACTTCTTTCTTTATATATATATTTATATTTATATATAAGTATTCTTCTTTGCAGTCCTTCCTATTTCCTTCTTGAGAAAGTCTAAACTTATGTTAGATCTTCTCACAGCAACTTCTTTTTTTAATCCTCTCCTACATGTTTTATTTTGTTTCTTTGTGCTGCATTTTAGATGACTTCTCCTAACGTATGTTTAAGTTACATAATTCTTTCTTCACTTTTGTCTAATTTGTAGTTAAGCCTATCTATTGGGTTTTTAATTCTAGTTTTTGAGTATTTCAGGTCTAGAATTTCATTCTGGGTTTTTTCACATCTACTGCTATTGACTTTTACAGTTTTCAGTTACCTGATACAATGTTCAGGCATGATACTGAGCCTCTTGAACACTATAATTATGATAATTATTTTGTAGTCTGTGTTTGATAATTCCAATATGTGAAGTATCTATCCTTCTGCCTTTTCTATTTTATTAATCATGCTGTTGATTCCTAATGTTCCTGGTTATCTATGAGTGGTTTCTGGTCATCTATGTTCCTGGTTATCTATGACTACATATTTGAAAAATTATTTGTAGAGATAATTTGAGGACTTGGAATGCACTATATTCTTTCTGAGATCATTTTTTCATTTGCTTCTGCCAGGAGCTAGGGACTCTAGCAGTCTGGAAAAATCTTAATTAACAATTAGCACTGAAGATTTTACAGGCCACCCAGATATTTGAAGCTGAGCTGAAAGTTGTGAGTGTGTGTGGTGGGGGGAGGTGGGTAGTTTATTCCCAGTTCACCCTTACTCTTAAATTATAGCCCTTTGGTGTCTTTGCAAATAGCAGGAGTTATTTTAGGGTCCCCACTCTTGCCAGGTTGGGGAGCCCATCTTGCTAGCTCTAGCACAGCTTAGTACCTCAGCCTCATTAGCAAAGTACTGCAGAGTCAAAGTGCCCCAAGTTGTCAGGCTCTCCGCTCTGGGCTTCTTTCCCCACAGATAGTTCTTGAAAACTTCTTACTATATGATTACTTCTTTGATGTCTTTAACAAATTTTAGAAATACGTTTTCTGAGTTTTATATAACGTTATAAATTTTCCTCAGTGAGAATTTTATCCCAAATTATCAGTCCCCACTGACTTGAACAGTCTTCATTTTTTAAACTGAACTAAAACTACAGACCAATCATTTGGGTAAGTTTAAAAAAATTTCATTGAACTGCTACTTACTGCTACTTAATGTTACAGTTTTTCCATTAGTCAAACAAACATGAAACAATTCTAAATATTTTAGAAAAAAAAAATCAAAGGATAGATACTAGCTGCCATTCATAAGAAAGGTCAAGCATTCACTGATTCATTAGTTCATTCAAGGACAAACTATTTACTTGTATCAACTACGTGGAAGGTACTAAATGAACCAGAAGGTTTATCTTATGATGAAGGTTAAATGAACTAGAATAGTTTTAGAGGTTTTGAAAGACAGATTAAATGTTAAAGTAAAAACTTTTTCAAAGTTAAGGTTATCAGTTAAAGAAAATCATAGCATTAACATAACATAAAGTAAGTACTTCCTACATTATTTACTTAAAGTTGTGAATACTACTTTTTAGTAATCAAAAGTTATTCTGATTTTGATATTTCCTTGAGTAAAGTATTTCCCTGATTTGGGATAGAATAACAGAAAATAATTTTATGTATTTTGTTAAAACATGGAAATAGTAATTGTGACAAAGAGAAAAAAAGTGAACATAATTTACACGTATAAAAAAATTTTTGTATGGCTTGTTCCTGTTTTATAGATATATTATCCGAATTAAATAAATCAACTTACATAGTTCTTCTCTGTCAAGAGATTGTGCACCACCTCCAAATAAGCCTTTAAAGAATCCCCTGTTTGGTGCTTCAGGTGTTTCTACAGGAGTGAAGAGTTCACCCAACATTTCCTTTAAAATCAAAACAAATTGTCACTGTTGAAATTTCAGGGAAACTAAACTATAATGAACAAAAGTATCACTGTAAACTCCTTAACTTAAGCTCAGAACATTACCTGTTGAGATTCACAATTAATGAGTACATGTCCTACGATCAGATACAGAACGTGCTGATTTATTCAAACAGTGTTTCTAAAACTAAAATATGACTTATTTGCTGCTTGCCCCTTTGTTTGCATTTTAGGCAAACAGTATTTTTGCTTAAGAGTGTCAGGAGATTCTAATCTTTCAGACAAAATTTTCATATAACTCATATCAATTGATAATAGGATTAATAATTACATTAGAAAGAAGTTTTTTTTTTTTTTTTTTTTTTTTTGAGACAGTCTCACTCTGTCACCCAGGTTGGAGTGCAGTGATGCGATCTTGGCTCACTTGCAGCTTCTGCCTCTGGGGTTCAAGTGATTCTTGTGTCTCAGCCACTGACTAGCTGGGATTACAGGCACACGCCACCATGCCTGGGTAATTATTGTATTTTGTAGAGACAGGTTTTGCGCCATGTTGGCCAGGCTGATCTTGAACTCCTGGCCTCAAGTGATCCACCCACCTCAGCCTCCCAAAGTGCTGTACAGGCATGAGCCACCATGCCCAGCCAGAAAGAAGAAAACTTTTTAACAGCAAGTATAAAAGTCCAGTGTAATAATGATGATATGTAGTTTTGGAATTATAACTTTTAGCTGAGTCAGAAAATTTATAATTTAGACACCAACTTCTTTTCTCATAAACACATGCTAGGAAGAGAATTATGCCAACATACACCTGGAATTTCAGAAATCTGGCAGAGAGATGGGAACTCTTCCCTTGTACATCATCAGATTTTTCTGAAATTACTGTCAATATTTTTTAGAGTGCAGAAATGATAAAAGGAGAAAAGACTGCTGACATGTTACTGGTTTTGTTGACAATACAAAAAGAGGAAAGAAGAGTTTTTCTAAGACAAGGATGGTAGTGACTGGGCACGGTGGCTCACACCTGTAATCCCAGCACTTTGGGAGGCCGAGGTGGGAGGATCATGAGGTCAGGTGTTCGAGACCAGCCTGACCAACATGGTGAAACCCTGTCTCTACTAAAAATACAAAAATTAGCAGGGCGTGGTGGCCTGCGCCTGTAATCCCAGCTACTTAGGAGGCTGAGGCAGGAGAATAGCTTGAACCCGGGAGGCGGAAGTTGCAGTGGGCAGAGATTGCACCACTGCACTCCAGCCTGGGCAAAAGAATCTGTCTCAAAAAAAAAAAAAAAAAAAAAAAAAAAAAAAAAAAAAAAAAAAAAAAAAAAGGAAAAGGACGGTAGTAACATTTATATAGGAGTTCTGCTATACTCTGGTATTACTACATCATTATAGTTGGAATAAAAGTATGTATTTTTCAGGGTTTCTTCCTTGGGGCTGGGCTAAGAAGGCTGGTAAAGGCTGTTCAGGTTTTCTTTTAGACATATCCATATTAACATTATCCCTCCACCCAGATTGCATATGGGAGGAAATAATTATTAACATTACACAACAGTTTTATTTATAAGACTGAAGTGGACTGAAGCTCTTACGTTTTTATTTTCCTTCCTCTGGATTTCTATAAAGTGTAGTAAACCTGGAATAAAACACTTTCTGAATTCAATAAATCAAACTTGTTAAAACCCACTATAGAATATACTGATGTCTATTATTATATTGAATTTATATTAAACTCTATAACAAAGGCAATTTTAGGCATATTTTAAATCTTTTAAAAACAGTATTTCACAGATCCTAATTTAAACTATATGTATTAAATTGTTACAACGTAAAAAAGATCAATAACAGCAACACAGCTATCATTTGGGTGTCTCATGCTAAATCAAAAGAAGAATATGACATACCAACAGCGATAGTTTAAAGGTATGCTTTTTAAAAAATTTTACCTCATTTTTAGAATTACAGTTTGCATTTCTTATTTGGTGTTTAATGAGCTTACAATTTTACAAGGGTAAAGTAAGAAATATAAAAACACCAGATTAAACTCATTATATTCTCTGTAGTAGAATGAGTATAAACTTTGGAACCAGATGGACCTGGATTTGATTCTCAATTTCTGCCTTTTACTAGCAGGAGACTCTTAGTCAAATTAGTCTGTCAAAGAAATGGCTTCTTCAACTTTAAAAGGGGGAGATAATGATAACTGCCTCTCAGGAACATTACTAGGATTAAAGATAATGAGCATATAAAGTGCCAGGAGTAGACATCAATAGTGTATGTACAGAAGTAGAAAAATCTATCACATAGAGATGAAACCAATTAGAAAATACACAAGTCATTTATCTACAGGTTAACATTATGAACAGACATCTTTAAAGGGAGTTGAAAACTCAATGTTTCTTAAAGTCTAGATTATCTGCAGTCTTAATATAAAGGTTTTGGGAAAATACATAAAATATATAGGTATTTTTTCACTTCTATTTAAATAAGGCTTTTTATTATAAGTAAATCTACTATTTAGAATGATTCATGTTAATGCTAGTGTATGTTGGTGAAATCTAAAACAGATTTGTTATTTCTGTGATCTTGCTACATCTATTCATAGTAGATGGTATTTCTGAAACAAGACATTGGACTTAATTACTCTTCTAAAATATAAATATTCAGAAATAAATATACTTGTCTGATTTTAGACTCTTGCATATCATTTGTCTTGCATGTAAGCTAACAAGGTTAGAATGGTAAAATTTAGGACTAATTTCATGAATGGGTCAATGTATGGGCTTTGGTTATCCATACATTAGATGCCACTACAAAGTCCTTTACAGTGCATCAAATAATCACTGATTTTAATCATTTTAAGAAAACTTTATATTGTAAGAGTATTGAGTCTGAAAAAATAAATATCTCCAGGATAAACACACAGCAATAAACTTCATACTGAATACACAATATATATAAGAAGCTAAACAGTTCAACTGTCATCAGTTGTTTACAGTGATTACTTGGGGTTTTGTTTATAAATTATAATCCTGAGGTGCTTACCAGAGTTACTTACTTAGTTGTTTTAAACTGAATTAATTGGTATGTTCCACCTCTACGATTATAGCAAATTTTGGTTAGGGTTCACAAATGAATATATTATAGTCCATTTGAAAAAAACAGTTTATTATAAATTATCTCTGTGTTTTTCACTATGGTACAGTTAAGAATAATACTGTAAAAAGAAACTTAAGTATTTCAATCTATAAACATACCATTGACTAATTGCCTGTCAATGACAATTAAAAGTCCTGAATCCATTAATCTTTTACACAGCTTTACTGAAGTATAATCGACATACAAAAACTGGCATATATTTGAGGTGTACAATTTGGTGAATTTCGCCATATGCATATATGCATGAAACCATCACCACAATCAACACTGTGAATATATCCATCACTCTCAAGTGTCCTTCTGCTCCTTTGTACGACCTTCTCTCATTCCTTCTTTAACAACCCCATATCCAAGTTATTGCTGATCTGCTCTTTCACTATAATTTGTATTTTCTTGAGTTTTTATATAAATAGAACAACATGTACTCTTTTTCTTGGCTCCTTTCATTAAGCATAATTATTCTGAGATTCACTGATGTTGCTGATTGCATCGTTTACTCCTTTGTATTGCTGACTAGAATTCTACTGTATGATAAACTGCAATTTGTTTTTCCACTCATCTGTTGAGGACATCTGGGTGGTTTCCAGTTTTTGGCTATTACAAATAAAGCGGCTATGAATACAAATTTCCTTTTCTTTTAATTTAAAAAAAATGAGTAAAGTGGCTGGGTCTTTGGTTCATGAATGTTAACTTTTTAGAAAACTCCAGAATTGTTTTCCAAAGTGGTTATAGTTTTTTACATTCCCATCAGCATTGTATGGAGTTGTAGTTCGTCTATATCCTTGCCAAAACTTGGCATGGTATTCTTTTTAATTTCAACCACTCTCAAAGGGGTTTAATGGTATCTCACTGTGGTTTTAATTTGCAGTTCTCTAATGATAAATAATGTTGAGAATCTTTTCATGGTGAGCTTTCCTTTTGAATATTTTGTCTATGTTTTTATTGGGTTGTTTCTCTTCCTTCTGGTGAGTTTTAAGGGTCATTCATATATTCTAGAGACAAGTCCTTTATTAGATATATGTTTTGCCCAGATTTTCTTCCCATCTATAAATTGTCTTTTCATTTTAAAAAGTGTCTTCTGAAGAGTAGAAATTTTAAGTTTTGTTGAAGTTATCAATTTGTTCTTTTATGGATGTTGCTTTTGGTGTCATGGCTAATAAATCTTTTCCCAAAATAAGGTAACAGATGTTTTCTTAAGTTTCTTTCTAGAAATTTTGTAGTTTTGGGGTTTCCATGTAGGTCCATAATACATTTTGAATAAATTTTGGTATATGGTGTGAAGCGTGGATCAAAGCTGATTTTTTTTGCATTTTAATATCCAATAGTTCCAGCACTACTTGTTGAAAAGGCAATCCTTTCTCCATTGCATTGCCTTGCGCCTTCCTTAAAAAAATCAGTTGTCCATGTATGTGTTTATTTCTGGATATTCTATTCTGATCCATTCATCTCAATGCCAAAAATACCATTCTCTACTGATTACTGCAGCTTTATAATAATCTTGAAATAAGGTAGTGTTAGCCCTTCCATTTTTTTCAGAGCTGTTTTGTGTATTTTAGTTCTCTTGTATTTACGTATGAATTTTAGGATAAATTTGTCAATTCCTACAAAATTTTCTAAAAAATTTTTAAGACTTTAAAAAATTTTTTATTAATATTTTATAGTTTTTCAGTGTAGAGATCTTTCATTTTCTGTTAGATTTATCCCAAAGTATTTCATATTTTTGTTGCTATTATAGATGGTATGGTTTTTAAAATATCAATTTCCAAATGTTCATTGCTAATATATAGAAATAAAATTATTTTTGTATATTTATCTCATAATCTACATCTTTGCCAAACACACTGATTAATTCTAGTATCCTTTATGGTAGATTTTATTAGATTTCCTATACTGATGATCATGTCATTGTGAATAAAGACAGCCGCTTTCCTTTTCTTTTCCTTGCCTGAGTGCACTGGTTAGAACCTTAACTACAACACTGAATGTAAGTGGTGAGAGTGAACATTCTTCTGTAATTGCTGATTTCAGGGAGAAAGAATTAAGTATTTCATCACTAAATATTATTTGAGATGTGGGTTTTTCTTACATGTCCTTTAAGTTTTCTTCTGTTCCTTGTTTGTAGAGATTTTTAAAAATCAGGAATATTTGTTAGATTTTGTCAACTGCTCTTTTTTAAGCTTTTTAATAAGATGGATCACATTGACTGATTTTCAAACGTTAGGTCAATCCTACTTTCCTGGGATTAGGTCTCACTTGGTCATAATGTATTATCCCTTTGATATATTGCTGAATTCAATTTGCAAAAATTTTTTTTTTTTAACAAATTTTGCTTTTATATTTATGAGAGATATTGGTTTATAGGTAGTTTTCTTTTCTTATAATAACTTGGTCTAATTTTGTTATCAGGTTAATGCTTCCTTCATAGAATAAGCTGGGAAGCAATCCTAATTCAGTTTTTGGAAAAGTTTGTGAACCGGTGTTATTTCTTCCTGAAATGTTGATAGAGCTCATCACTGAAGCCATCTAGGCCTGGAAGTTTCTTGGTCCAAGGTTCCTAACCTCTATTTCAATTTCTTTAATAGACACAGGACTATTTCGGTTATCTATTTTTTTTTCAGTGAGGCTTGGTAATTTGTCTTTAAAGAAATTTGTCCATTTCATCTAAGGTTTTGAATATTTTTGGCATAAACTTGTTCATAATATTCACTTTTTATCCATTTCATATCTATAGAATATATAGTAATGAGACTTCTCTTATTACTGATATTAATAGTTTATAACTTCTTTCTTCATATGGCTTGAGATTAATTTTATTAGTTTTGATTTCATTGATGTTTTTCTATTGTTTCTTTGTTTTCCACTTGGATGTTTATTATTTTTTTTCTTGTGTTTACTTTGGGTTTAATTTGCTTTACTCAGTTTTTGTTTTTTTGTTTTTTGAGACAGAATCTCGCTTTGTCACCCAGGCTGGAGTGTAGTGGCGTGATCTCAGCTCACTGCAAGCTCCGCCTCCCGGGTTCAAGCGATTCTCCTGCCTGAGCCTCCCAAGTAGCTGGGACTACAGGCACCCACCACCACGCCCGGCTAAATTTTTGTATTTTTAGTTGAGACGGGGTTTCACTGTGTTAGCCAGGATGGTCTCGATCTCCTGACCTTGTGATCCACCCGCCTCGGCCTCCCAAAGTGCTGGGATTACAGGCGTGAGCCACCACGCCTGGCCTTTTCTCAGTTCTTTAAAGTGAAAGTTGACATCATTGCATTGAGACCTCCTTCTTTCCTAATATAGGTGTTTTAGTGCTATAAGTTTGCCAAGTTCAAACACTGTTATTTTTTTCTGTTGCTATACTTTCAAGTACACTATCTTTTCTTCTGTAATGTCAAATCTGCTGTTAATGCCATTTAGCATATTTTTCACCTCAAACACTACAGTTTCTCATCTTTAGAAGTTTGATTTTATTTTTGTATCTTTCATGTTTCTAACTTTTTGAACATATGGAACGCAGTTGTTATTGTTTTAATATCCTTTTGTGTGCCAATTCTGGTATGTATGTCAGTTCTGGTTTGGTTTCTGCTAATTGTTCTCCTCATGATGGCTCATGTTTTTCTGTCTCTTTCCATGCCTGGTAACTGACTGGACACCAGACATTGCGATTTTTACCTCACTGGGTGCTAAATAGTTTTTATTTCCTTTAAGTTTTCTTGAATTTCATTCTGACAGAAAACATTTTCATCCTTTTGATTCTTGCTTTTGCGATTTGTTAGGCATATCTGGAGTAGTGGCTGATAACGGACCATCCAAGGATATCAGGTCCTAATCTCTGGACCAACAAATATTACCTGGCAAGGAAAAGGAGTCTATGCAGATGTGATTAAGTATCTTGCTCTGGGGAAATTATTCTGGACTACTGAATGGGTTATAATCCAATTACAAGTGTCTTTTTAAGAAAGAGAGGTAGATTTGACACCCAGAAGAGGAGGTAATGCAGCCATAAAGGCAGAGATTCCAGTGATGTGGCCCAATGTCAAGGAATACCAGCAGCTCCTAGAAACAAAGGGGCAATAAGTAATTATCTTTTAGAGCCTCTGGAGGGAGCAAGACCCTGCTAGCACATTGATTTTGCCTCAGTAAAACTGATTGTGGACTTCTGGCTTCTACAAGTATGAGCAAGTAATTTTCTACTGGTTTTAGCCACCAAGTTTGTGGCCTCAGGAAACTAATATCCACACAAATTATGGGTTTCTCCAGTCTGGTTGTTGGGATCAAGCACTGTTCCTGGAATGGTTTCTACAAATCCTCTATTCCTTTCAGATGGTTCTTTTTCTGCTCTGAAAGCTTAGTCACGTGTACGTGCTGAATAGCACGTATGGTATACTCAGGGGGACTCTGCACATCTCCAGGGTTCTTTCTCTTTGTAGCTCTTTTCTCTCGAATTTACCTGGTGTCCCCAAACTCTTGTTCCTGCCTCTTCAACTTGGGAAGTCTGCCAGGCTTTAACTTAGTACCTTCGCCCTGTGCCATGTCCTGAACACTCTATTAAGGCATTAAAGCTGGGACACCTTCTTTGATTCCTATCTGTCAGAAATTACTTTCCTTCATTGCCAGATGTCCAGTAATTTGAAAACCATTGTTTCATGAGTTCTGTCTGCTTTGTTTTAGGTTGTTTCAGGAAGGAGGGTTAATCTGGTTCCTATTATTCCATCTTGACTGGAAACTCCATAAATATTTGTAGGCATCTTCTTTATTTTGGGCTAAAGTTGAAGGAATGCACAATGTAAAAGGGTACTCAGGGAACCAAGGTATAGTGTTTATCAAGTTCATCATAGTCTTCAACAGATTTTACCAAGGCATTATTTCTGGGTACTAAAAATACAAAGGTAAATAACATGTCAATATTGCCCAAAGAAAACATTTTATCACAAGTTCCTTTAAGATAGTCCATTTTTTGTTTATCTCTGTATGATGAAGGCACATAGCAGATAGTTTAAAATATAGTTTACTACTAAAAGACTATTTCATTTAAACATAAATGAGTAAACTATGGCTGCTATTAACTTAAGAATAATTAAAGAAAACACCAACTAAAGGATAGAATAAATTGATCCCAGAAAAGTGTGAAGTTTAGATTTTCAAGTAGTTGAATTAAGACCACATTTCAGATGGAAATGAATTAATATTCAATTGTCAATATTATTTCTTAACATAACATTTTGCTAGTGAAAGGAAATGCTAAAAGGAAAATTTTAAGGTTTATCCTTCCGACAGAAAACAAAATTTTACTTCAGAAACTTAGGAATCTTTGAAAAATAACTTTCACCCAAACATAAATGGGAATTTAAATCTAATGTCAGATATGTAATTTTGTTTTACTCTCAAAGTTTACAATACTACTCAGGACTAGGTTTCCAGTATAGTATAGCTTACTGAAATAATAACACAACGAGGACAACAACATCTGACATTTATTAAGCACCCTCTGTACCAGGGGCACTATGCTAAGCACATTACATGCACTGTCTCCTTTAATCCATATCATATCCTCTGAGATACCACTTCTATGCTAATTTTAAAGATGATGCTTAGAGTCACTGAGTAACTTGTTTATGATTACATAATTGTATAGTTAGCAAGATGGACTTGAATTCAGCCTTCTTGACTCTAAAGCTCATGTTCTAAAAATAATAAGCCACAAATTCAAATTTGCAAATGTGTAAAATAGGGCTAAATAATTGCAAAAACTTTCATTATAAAGTTCCTCTAGATAGTACTTTCCTCTAAATATCAAATATCAATCAATATTTTAGCTCAATATTTCCAGAGCACTTTTACTTTGGAAGGTAAAGCTAAACTGATCACTTCGAATACACACAGAAGCACATACAGCACTCAAATACTTAAAAAAGGACACATTTCTGTATATAAAGAATTTGTATATAGTCTCTCAAAAACAGATCAACCAACATACTAGAGGAAAACTACCAAATAACATTTTTTTCTTCTGTGTAAATATCCTTGTGAATAGGAGTTGAGATTACAAAATTTGCCCGAAAATAGACTCATTTATTTTCACATTAACACACTTCTTTAAAAAGGACTGTGTGTGTGTATAATAGATATTTATTCTATGTAGAGAGTAGTTATAAAATGTATGCACCAGTTCATATTTCTCTGCCATCACTGGAAAGACCGATATGGATTAGTAAGATGAAGCTGCTTATAGCAGATGTCTGAAGATGATACTTTTAATCATGGGAGTCTCAAAGCATGTGCTCTGAAAGTCTAATTCAACAGTCTGGATTTTCCCAAGCAGGCTCACTTGTATAGTTCCATGAGAATAAGGGGCAGACAGTATACGGGCCCTCAGAGAATACTTTACCTCTGAAGAAATTACAGTAATATTTTTATTAATTACCTGAAGATTTTCACAGGTCTCTTGACTATAAGTAAGTCTCTGGATTTCTGTAGGTGAAACAAGGTATAATGCTTGTCCATTGTTGGTAAAGCAGAACGTTCTGGCTATCCGCATATTGGTAAGGGGCAAGTAATACACATCCAACAGAGGTCTTAAACTTGGCAAACTTGAGAAAAAAATTAAAAACTTGTTAATAATAAGGTAGGTTTTAGTCTTGAACACACTATCATTGTTAAAAATGGCAGAGACCTCATAAATCTTATGATTTAGTTTGTATACTTGAGTGGGAGATAAAAAATGGTTTATACTCCTCATATACTTGTTCACTATTAACAGAATAAAAATAAATTCTCAGAGTATAAGACTATACACACACAAAAAGCATTTCTTTTAAACAATTCTGTAGTATAGTTTGAGGGAGGAAATGCTATATCTGTGTTTTAAAACATATCTAACTCTTACCTAAAAGTCATTATATGTCCATTGGCACAGAAACAGGCAAGGCAGATACTGTTACTCAATGCTACAATATCTCCACGAAGCACAAACGAGGTCTCTGTAATATTTTGCTTATAAGCACAGTTCTGGGTTGGCAGTGAGATTACTTTTGCTTGCTTTTCAGAACATATCACTGCATACTGGTTTTCACTAATTTCCTGAGAAGAGGAGGGGGATACTGAGACAGGCCGCCGTTTTTTCAATTTCTCCTTTTCGTCTTTTTCTTCAGGAACATTGTGCTCTCTCCAGGGTTCATACGCAGGTGGTATTAAGCAGCCTGTGGTATCCAGAAATGCCATTCTCAAGATTGCACCTTTTAACCTCAATATAGTACCTAAAATATAGAAGTCTAGTAAATAACTGAAATATTTTAATCAACAGAGTAAACACGTTTATTCTAACTTTGACATACAGTAGATACTTAAATATATGCTGAACGCATATTGAACTGAACACTGGCTCATTGACAGGATTCGGACTTTAAGCGTGGTATTTATGAGTCTGGAAAAAGATGTCAACTTACATGCTCCAAATAGATAAATGCCACTAATGATCACTCACAATTTAATTACATATGATAAATTTTGCAAACACATATCTGATCTTTAAATGAATAAACAAACGACATGCTGGAGTATCTGGAACTGTTTTCTCTTATACCCAGTAAGTGCACTACCAGTCAGCAGGAGAGCAAGTGGATAGCACCTGGAGCAGTCAGTGTGGGGCCACATGTGGCTGCAGAGCACTGGGAACGCGCCTTGTCCAAAGTGTGTGAACAACTGCAGCGCATGGTGAGACTCAAGCACATGCCCCATCTGAAGACTTTAGCACTCCAAAAAGTTCAATGTAAAATGCCTCAATCACTTTCAATAATTACATGCCAAAATGATAATATTTGGGACACAGTGGACTAAATAAAATGTTATTAAAATTAATTTCACCTGTTTTTTACTTTTTTAATGTGACTGCTAGAACATTTAAAATTATTTATGTGGCTTTGCATTGCATCTCTAATAGACAATACTGATCTAGATGGCCAATGAAAAAAAATTCACACATTTCCAACCATTACCTCTAAAATCATAATTCCTCTTAAATGATTTACAACAACTGTCAAATATACTTAAGGCATTATTTTGGTCAGTTTATCATCTTAATGTAGGGGTTACATTTTTTGACTTGCTTCAGTTAATGGTACCCTTTCCCCCTATATCCTTGATAATGTACAAATATGCTTTATGCTCACTTCTGAGTAAACTAAGTGATAACATTAATGGAATGGAAGGCAGGGTAGATAGCTGAGTTAGCATTCAGTTCTTAAAGATTTTTCATATTTTGTTTTAAATTTATATAAGGTTTTATAGCTTGCAGTATTTTTTCCACATATTATTTTCTTTTATTTCTAAGAAAAAGAGTTCCTGATGTTTTCTCAAAACATTTTAGAAGAAAAAATATTCTTTCCTTTCCTCTCTGCATTTATGTTTTATCAATAGTAAGGTTGCAGCCTTCTATTGAGCACATATTTCAATTTGAATTTCAGATAAACAATGAATACTTTTTAGTATAAGTATGTCCCAAAAGCTACATATCTGTCCAATGCGACACACTTATATTAAAGTATTTGTTATATCAATTAAAATTTGACTGGGCATCCTATATTTTTATTTACTAAATCTAGTAACCCTACTCTACATCCAAGTTTGGTGAGCAGATAATTTCACTATTTTAAGCAGCTTTGTAGAAAACTTCGAAACACAAGACAGTTATAATCTTACAGTTTTAATTATTATTTCAAACATATTATAAAGCTAGCTTTTCTTTCAAGATCTCTTATTTTTTATTCTGGTCCACCCAAAGAGTCCTTCCGCCTTTAAAGTTTTGATGAGGTCAGCTGAATTATCCATGCTAATTTGGGAACTGTTTATAGCACATATATTGTTCTAGTATGTAGATTTTTTAAAAAACTGGCCTAAAATAACCGTTAAATGTATGCTTGTCCTATAGTTGATGGGACTTTAGCATGTTTCCTAGTAGATTCGTGGTTAACTGTTGAATCTTCCTCTTGAAGAAAAGAAAAAATAACAGCAGACAAAGTAGACCACTTTAGGCTCTGAAGCACAGAAACCCATCAGCCTGAAAACATCTCTTTCTTCTCAGGGCTCCAATACCGATGACATGAGTGTCACTGATATATTTTTAAATAGGCATCTTATTAAAAACAAACCTCAAGGATTCCATCATTGAGAAGAAACTAAGTTTCTTTCTTACATATGAAAGTTATTTTTGTATTCACTTTACAGCTAATTTGATTTATTGCAAGTTGGAAAGTATACTAAATACTTTTTGTGTAGTTAACAGTAAATTATCTATATTTAATCCCGCTCAGTCATTTTCATTTATTGGAAACATTTTTTTCTTATTACAAATTGGTGTATGTTTGCTGTAGAAAATTTAGAAACTACAAATCAGTAAAAAAATGAAAATAAAAGTAACCCCAAATCCTACTTACCAGTGATAACTCCTGTTAACATTTTGATTTTCAACTTTCCAGTTTATTTTATTCCTATACACATATTTACTAATAAGAACTGAGATTAGTAAGAATATCATTATGTAACCTGTTTTCCTTAATCTAACAACTTGATGTGCAGTATATACTCAAGCACTTATAGAGCAAAATGAGTAAATTAAACTGATTATTTAATGTAAAGATGGCTCAGAAATATAATCATAAATGCAGTTTAACTTCTAAATTCCAAAAACTGTAAAAGTCGGCACAAACAAGAGATAGATTTACAAGCAAAATCATGGTTGTTTCTATCTGGATGGGCATAAATGAGTAGTAACAGAAATCAGAATTCTCAGTTATCTCCTCACCTAACAGACTCCACAAACATTTGACAAAATCCAATCTCATTTTCAAAATATGAAGTCTAGTACTATTTTTTAAAATTTGCTCTCAAGTCACCTTTTCCTAACACTTCAAAGTAGAAAAATAATCTCAGGTTTCACACTTGGAGATGAAAAATAACCATGTGTAGAATGTTTAAAAATGCACTTTTCTGTTTTTCTCCTAAATTTATAGCATTCTTTTGCTTGAGGTATTAGGAATGCATTATTGTAACTTTTAAAAAAAATTTTCTTACATAGTAATTATTTTACACAAGATCCCAAAGTTTAAAAAAAAATGGCAAAATTGAATGGCTGTATAAACAAACAACATCCTGAAATCTTGCTCTATGTATTCTTTCATTAAAACATAAGGCCATTTGTGTTGGTTCCAAGTCTTTGCTATTGTGAATAGTGCCGCTATAAACATACATGTGCATGTGTCTTTATAGCAGCATGATTTATAGTCCTTTGGGTATATACCCAGTAATGGGATGGCTGGGTCAAATGGTATTTCTAGTTCTAGATCCCTGAGGAATCGCCACACTGACTTCCACAATGGTTGAACTAGTTTACAGTCCCACCAACAGTGTAAAAGTGTTCCTATTTCTCCACATCCTCTCCAGCACCTGTTGTTTCCTGACTTTTTAATGACTGCCATTCTAACTGGTGTGAGATGATATCTCATTGTGGTTTTGATTTCCATTTCTCTGATGGCCAGTGATGGCGAGCATTTTTTCATGTGTTTTTTGGCTGCATAAATGTCTTCCTTTGAGAAGTGTCTGTTGATGTCCTTTGCCCACTTTTTGATGGGGTTGTTTGTTTTTTTCTTGTAAATTTGTTTGAGTTCATTGTAGATTCTGGGTATTAGCCCTTTGTCAGATGAGTAGGTTGCTGGAACCAACCCAAATGTCCAACAATGATAGACTGGATTAAGAAAATGTGGCACATATACACCATGGAATACTATGCAGCCATAAAAAATGATGAGTTCATGTCCTTTGTAGGGACATGGATGAAATTGGAAATCATCATTCTCTGTAAACTATCGCAAGAACAAAAAACCAAACACCACATATTCTCACTCATAGGTGGGAACTGAACAATGAGAACACATGGACACGGGAAGGGGAACATCACACTCTAGGAACTGTTGTGGGGTGGGGGGAGGGGGGAGGGATAGCATTGGGAGATATACCTAATGCTAGATGACGAGTTAGTGGGTGCAGAGCATCAGCATGTCATATGTATACATATGTAACTAACCTGCACATTGTGCACATGTACCCTAAAACTTAAAGTATAATAATTAAAAAAATAAATAAATAAGGCCATCACTGTCCCCATTTACTTTACATTTTGGAATTCTTAGATCAATTCAAGAATGAAAAACAAAGGCTTCTATCATAGTAAATCACACCTGTAATGTAACTCTAAGTGCAGCAGCAATACATACCACTTGGAGACACAATTACTGGCTGAAGAAGTCTTTGCTCTCCCCCTGGGGGAAGGTTCAGTGCAATGACAAGCACTGTTCCTAGCGTTGTTCCAACCCATAGACAAGGGGAAGGGGACGAGTCCGTCTTTCGAGTAAACGTTTCACAGAAATGAAGAGCGGAGATCGCTTCTCGGGATTCTTTGTCAATGCTTGTTACACTTGAACTCCGTGATCGGCTAAAGGAGTTATCCTTTACATCTGAAATGGTTAAAAATGTTGTGAGATTGCTCAAGTTATAAAAGAAGTTATTTGTGTTGTTTTTTAATATAAATTTGGTCAAATAGTTAATCTGCAAGAAGACAAAACCTACGTCATATTTAATATTCACTTCATTTTAGTTGATCCTTGAACAACATGGGTTTGAACTACACAAGTCCACTTACACATGGATTTTCCTCCACCTCTGCTACCCCTGAGACAGCAAGACCAACCCCTCCCTCTTTCTCTTTCTCTTCAGTCTACTCTATGGAAAAACCACCTTTGGGATGATCCACTTCCACTTAAGGAATAGTAAATACGTTTTCTCTTCCTTATGATTTTCTTAATAACATTCTTTTCTCTAGCCTACTTTATTACATGAATACAGTATATAACACATCTAACATACAAAATATGTGTTAATCTACTGTTTATGTTACTGGTAAGGCTTTCAGTCAACAGTAGGCTTTTAGAAGTTAAGTTTTTGGAGATCAAAAATTATATGCAGAGGAGTTGCTGTCCTTAACACCTGCATTGTTTAAAGGTCAAGTACAATTGAAAACAAAAACAATTTACTTTTATGCTAATAAATTTTCCCTTTTTCTTAATATACAAACAAACAACTCCACACTCCTCAGAACTGAACCGGGTGCCTCCCGATGAATATCTGAATGTGCAATCCTTGGGGTCCTGGCTGCTTAGCCCTTGGCACCTTCTTTCTCATGGTACTGTGCCTTCCTTTGGTAATACAATCCATGACTGGTAGAGTGTGACAAATGTGAGTCTTTTCCATTTTCTACCTTTAAAAAATGCATTTAGAAGTACTCTGATACTACCTTCTAATTTACTGTATGATGGATCTTTTTTTTTTTCAGATTTGCCCAAATAAAAACCTTTAATCAATAAAAGTTTAGCTTTTTCCCCACTTTTCTTCAATGCCATTTTAACTGCAATCCACATTCACTTAAGGCATTTTCACCAAAATGTACAACTGCCATCTGGCTCACACTTGATACCAGGCAAATTCCTTTACCCAGCTCTGTCTGTAATGACAGGCGCATTTAAAAAATTATACTAATAAAATGTCTCTCATCTTCAGCTACCTTCCCTTGTTGCTAATCCCAAGCTTGTCTCAAGCCCTAGCCTTTTCCTTTTTCTCTTGGAACATCATTTCCAAATACTTCTTTGACTTTTTTCCAGTTATGTCTCACTATGCAAAACCAAACCATATAATTTCCCCCAAACCAGTAAATTCTTCGAATGGCACTATTTATATTAATGACACTTCTGTTCTCATAGGGAGAAACACTTAAGATGAGCCACAGTTTGGGTTTCTCCTTTTCATTTGACCTATACATCTGATGGCATGCCAAGCCCTAAGGTATTTTATTGCACATTTTTGTTTCCTTCCTTCCATTGGTAATCTACTTCCATTATCCTAAGTTCGGGTTCTCCTCACCATTTACTTAGACAATTCCCAGCTGATCTCCTCACCCGCAGCATCTCACTACTAACACAACATAATTAAATTTTATAAGGCATAGTTATAATTCTGTGGCCTCAATCTAAAAAATCCTTAGTAGCTCCTTTTTAATCATGCTTATAATCTTACTCAAGTTTTTAAGACTCTTCACAAAATATCTTTAATCTACCCTCCTGGCCTTATCTCCCAAAGCTACCCTATTTCAGTTCATTGTGAGAAATAAATAGAGCCACACAATTTTCTCCAAACATAACCTGCACTTACCTACTTTTAGGCTTTTGCTTGAGGTATTCTGATTGGTGCCTTTGCATCAGCCTTTTCTCCTACCTATCAAGATTCTGCTTATTTTCCACTTCAGTTACTGTCAACTTCCTGAAGTTTCTCCTGATTCCTACAACCTATATAGTTTCTCTCCCTCTTGACTACATACCTATAGCCATGTATCTCTCCCATGACACTTAGAGTACATTTGTTCTGTAGTTATTTCTGACTTTTCTCATGCCTCACTCTAAAGTGACTGCAAGTATCTTGAAAGCAAGGACTGTGTCGTTTTGATATCCTTTGGAATTTCGCACACTGTCTTGCATGTGAAAGGAATTCAATAAACACTTGCTGAAGGCAGATTTATAGTTGAGAATGTCTAAACCAACGCTTCTGCTGTTCCATTAGGATTTATTAAAATTCTCAGTAGCTTCTACTACTTACATCTAATAACTCCCTAAATCACATGCTTTCAATGCTATTGTGAAAGAAAGGACTCTTCAAAATGTGAAAACTATAAAACATGTTAAATTCTAAGTTGTACTTTATTAAATAAAAAAGGTATAGCCAAATCTTAATTACACCTTACAAGAAGTTTTTTGCAATCAAATTTAGATTCATAGATTAAAAATATCCCCAATAACTATATGCAACATAACTTTGATTATAGGTAGCCTCTGAAAACAATGTTATTAGTTATGATAATACTATGGATCATTTTTTTAAACTGTAGTTTCTAAAAATGTCTTTCTTTTGCTTGAGATTGCATTTCCATAATTTACAAATTATGATACGGTAGAAAAGAACTACTTACTATAAATGAAACAACTTTCCATAATCAACACCTCAATACAGTTTGAAATGATATTAATTACAAATATTTATTAACTCTTTATGGTTTCCAAAGTTATTTTAGCAAAATACATTTTTAAAATTTTACAATGATAAATACACTTGTTACTTGTAAAGCATACATATACAAGGCAAATGAACATTTTCAGTTGTGATGTAGTGATAGTAATAGAAAACAATGATATGAAAAAAGTAGATAATATAGATTTCATTGTAAATTAACCTGTAGAAAAACTCTTACTGATAACTATTAAAATTACAAGAGGTGATTCACAACAACCTATATTTTAAATGTTAACTCATAGGTCAAATGAGCAATGTTTGAATTTAATAGACTAATACTATATAAAATGCACAACCTAAAATTGCATTTTTATTACATAATTTATCTATAAAAATTAGATTACCAAAGCAACTTCTAAAGCTAGATCAAAATGGAAGAACTGCCTGAATAACAGTCAAGTTTGAAACTGATAGAAATAGGTTGCTTATTTTATTATCTGCCTAGACTTTTGAAAAAAAGTCAGAATTTTCAGCAATTCATGAATTACAACTTCCACTTACTCCTTTTAAGTTAAGCATTATGGGTCTCTGTGGGCTTATTTATACAAGTTTGGCAAAGTAAATAAATGGAATAAAAGTTTAATTTTAGTAGCTCTAGTAATAAGAGCAGAAGTGAAAATAACTAACACTAAGCAAGGCCTACCATGTGCCAGGCACTAATACTTTACATTTATCATTTTATTGAATCTACATAACTACCTTGAAAAGTAGTATCATCACAATTTAACAAACAATTAAACAGAGGCTCAGAGAGATTAAGTGACTTGCTCAGAATGACCAAGCTAGTATGTGGTAGAGTCAGAATTTGTGTCTGTCTCCAAGTCTAAAACTTTCTGTTAGGCAACTCCAGACAGCCATATCATCACTATCATACAGCTGGAACGCTATGGTTATTATTGAGAATTAAAGTTCTAGTTTAGATGTCAGAAATGTGCTTGAATATGTGATCTTTTTAGCTGATCTAAACTCAGACAAAATTTGTCATTAATGCCTCCATCCAGCTGCACCTGATACAATCATGCCATAAAATCACTGTTTTCATGCTACTGTCTGTATACTTACAACATGCTACTTGTATGTATCACTTTCTCCTCCCCACAGAGAGCCTTATTCAACAAACTTTTATATTCCCAAATCAAAACATAATGCCAAGATTTGAATCTGTTCAGGTAAAAATCAGGGTAAGAAACTAATTCATATCAAAGTATATAATGGTTCTGATGTTTGCCTCCTATGGCTGACATTTGAAATGTGACAATCATAAGTGTAACAAAATCACCCATGGATTCTGACTTCTGGGTTACAGAATCCAGGATGGTGAAGCTATAGTGCAAGTACAGTGCTGCACAATTTCCCCATAAGCAAAAATGAATTCTATGCACAGAAGCTTCTGGAGCTGCACAACAGCTCATTGGCCTCAGTGCTTTACCAACATCTGGCAGTTTGAACCTATCAATATAGTTGGAGTTATTCCCCATTGCCTCCCTGACCAATGTAAATTAGCAGCCAAGAATCTCTACCAAGTAACAGTTCAACAACAAAATAACTTGAGGGACATTACTTAGGCAACACAGGAATGTTACAGGTATACATTAGTCAAAGTTATAATTGGCTTAGGGCATACATGGGCATGCTAGCTAAACCATGAAGTGAATAATCTATGAAAGCATGGAGTACATACTTTAATTAAATTACTTACATGATTTGTAAATGTGAGTATGCCTTAAAAAATAATTGGCTATGGTATTTTTTATAATTTTAAAAGTATATTTACATGTGTTTACCCAGATTTTTAAGAAACTAAAATACACAAAGCCACTTTAACTAGTAATATTTAATGCTATTGAAATCCTGGGCCTCTGAGAGTCTGATGAAAACTCTGGATTCTGCTATAGGGGAAAAATGCACACTGTGTGCCTCAGATATACTTGTTTTCAAATTATACCTGTTTTTTTTTTTTGGTGGAGAAAACTATGACCTTCTCAAAATGTCTACTATCCTATATTCTATGATTAACTCTTGTTCCCTTATACTAGGGATATTATAGGGTTCTACTAAGTTGTTTTTCCTATGAATGAAACTTTCTACAAATGACAGTGGAATATATTGTATGCCTACTCACTCATAACCACATGCTTTCTATCAGCATAACTGAAGTAAGATAATGATTTGGAAATGCTAAAATTAGTATGTTTAAATGGACCAACACCTAAGTTTGTATGATGCATAGCAAACATAGTCAAGAAATCTAGAGAATAAACAGTGGTGAGGGGTGTGGGCTAATGCAAGGGAGAAAACCTAGTTATCTCTAAGATAGAGGTGGGTGAAATCATCCTTACACAATCATACCTATTTAGTTAAAGGCAACAGAAATTTCTTAAATAAAAAATGAGTTTAAAAAGATACCATGTTTTATATGTATTACATGAAATCTTACTTTTATCTTTTTTGAAATGTCATTTGTCCCTATGTGATATCAAGGTGCTGTTCGTGGGTTAGATATAAAGCAAAATGAATGTGTGAATATATTCATCCTGCTTTCATAATAAATGAATTGCACAGAAAGTGCTGTGGAAGAAATATTTCCCAACTTATTATAATCAAAAAGTTAGTAACGATGATTCTTGCTATGATTCACTGTAATACAGAAAAAAGTTAATCTATTTTAAATTTTAAGTATTTCATTAGTATAAAAATAATTTTATAAAGTTCAAAATAGGTTTTCACATGGTTAAATGGGATACAACCACTTTTAATAAAAATTAATCTAAAATTGCACAAATTCAATCTTATGCTAAGTTCTGTTCAGACAAACTATGAGAGGGCTAAGAAAATATATTCTTGCGGTTTGCTTGAATTTGTATTATAATTGTCATTTTAAATTTACAGATAGCATTCTAAAGACTATTCCAAAGAATGTTTAAACCTTAAGCATCTTAGTCATTTTAAACTTGCTTTCCAATGACTATCTTACAGTAACTATAAATTTTCTGATTTCCTTGTCTTCCCATTATAGGGAGTTAAATTATTTTGAATATTTATTTTACTTACCTAAATCAGGCTTTAGGTCAGTAGGTAAGCTTAACTTCCTTGACATCTTTGCTGAAAAATAAAAGACATTTTTAAAATTCTGAAGAATATTTGATTCATACTAATATCAACTGATTTTCAAGATAGAAGTGAATACTTTTATTACTAAATCTAGATGCCGAGATAAATAAAAGATGAGTAATATTAGGAGTGGAAAGTAAATCCTTTCAACTTTTTATTTTCTAATTTTTTGAGACAGGGTCTCACTCAATCGCCCAGGCTGAGTGCAGTGGTGTGACCAAGGCTCACTGCAGCCTCAATCATCTGGGCTCAAGTGATCCTCCCACCTCAGCCTCCCAAGTAGCTGGAACTACAGGCATGTAACCACTGTGCCTGGCTATTCTGGATGTTTGTAGAGATGGGGTCTCACTATGTTACCCAGGCTGGTCTCAAACTCCTGCCTTGGCCTCCCAAAGTGCTGGGATTACATGCGTGAGCCACCATGCCTGGCCAACTTTTTAAAAGTTTTTACTTACTTGATGTAATATCTTTTTGTACTTAAAATTTTTACTTTAAGGGAGCCTTTTAAATTCTAACTTTTAATTATTTCTTAGGCTCACAGGAAAGGGTGAGGCTTTTCTGAGTGAGAAACAGTAACTTCTCAGAAGAAAGGTGTTGCAGATAAAGAGAATAGAGGCCTAAGACTAAGTTTGGGTATGTGATATAAAATCTTTCCAGCTCATCATCTTCATAGCTACTGGGTTCATTCTTCTTTTTTTTAAATTGAGGCGAATTCTCACTCTGTTGCCAGGCTGAAATGCAGTGGTGTGATCTCGGTTCACTGCAGCCTCCGCCTCTCAGGGTCAAGGGATTCTCCCGCCTCAGCCTCCTGAGTAGTTGGGATTACACGTGCAAGCCACCACTGCCAGCTAATTTTTGTATTCTTAGTGGAGATGGGGTTTCACTCCTGACCTCAAGTGATCCACTCGCTTCGGCCTCCCGAAGTGCTGGGATTACAGGAGTGACCCACCGTGCCTGGCTGGGTTCATTACTTTTTAATTTCTAGCTTATAGGCCAAACTTATATCTAATCAAATTTAAGTATTTGATTACATTATACAATATCTGACTCAACCACTCCTTGATATAAGTTAACTCTTCTATTTACATTTTAGTGAAAAACAAAATAAGATCATGCATAATCTAAAACTACGGTATTTACATAAGATGCAAACCACAGTCATTTTTCTGTAATCTTGGAAAAAGAATGAATGTATAAACTTACTGGAATCCACTTTCCATCCTCAAAATCAGTTATTGTCTTAATCTAGAAAGTGATTTAAAGTTAGGCGTTGTTCAACTATATCTATTATGTTAGTGGTAGTGCATGCGTAAAAGAAAAGTGCTTCCTATGTGAAATTTTCAAAAAGCATTTGTTAATACAGGAATGAATATATTAGGTTAAATTTTGGACTGTTAGGAGATATTTAAAGCACAGACCCTGCTAGTCCATAAGGGCGCCATGTAAACAAAGAGAAATCCAGTCATACATGACTTCCACATCTAAAAAAATGACAAATCCAGTGTTAGGAAAGAGGCATTAGGCAGACTGGGAAGGAATGGGGGTTGGAAGGGACATCAAATTTTCACTTCTCAGCTTCATTAACTTAATTAGTATCCTTTAGCAAACAAGAATGGGTTAAATTTATAAAAGTCACCCCATTTTCACCAACGTAAAAAATTTCAGTTAAAAAAGAAAATGCAATACAAAACTGAAATGGCCAAATAACATCTGCAGTTAGTTGATGTCACATACATGGTTGTTCTTGTGCTTGAAATCCAATACCCTTAAAATTAGAAAATATTGTATCTCTAAAACAGTCCTCCAAAAGGCAACATTACACATTGAAAAATCCAGAGATTTTCATCACATATCATAGGTGCAATATACCTAGACTGATAAGTAGTATCTATACAATGTGCATGATATCAGATGTAGAAAATAAATTTGGCACAGTCTAAAGGTAACTCTTTTAGATAAAAATCATATGATATGGATGCCGCCTCTCTAGACATCACTACTCTGATTTGATAAGTTATTTTAAATCCTTTGCTTCTCAAACTTGAATGTGCACACCAGTCACATGGAGATCTTGTTAAAATCCACACCCTGATTCTGTCCTCTGGGGCTAGGGCTTAAGAGACATTTCCAATGAGCTCCCAGGAGCTGCTGATGCTGCTGGTCTGTGGACCACACTTTTGAGTAGCAAGGTCCTTAGACATTAAGCAACTTCATGGTAGTAACCAAGACAAAACTATTAATCCCAGTACGTCTATATAATTAGGCCCACCAAAAACATTTTGTGAACAAGCCTCAATAAACGTGGAAGAATAAGTATAGTGGTTAGGACAGGGTTTGGAATCAGCTGAAACCTAGGTTCAAACCCACTTTAACTAACTACTACATGTGTAACCTTAGTAATCACTTTGCCTCTCTAAACTTCAAGTTTCATCATTTGTCATATGAGGATAGATAGCTGAGAGGATTATGTAAGATGACATAAGCAAAGAACTGAGCATAATACCTGGCACATAGTATGATTTAATAAATGTTATTATTTATTGTTAATAATAAGGTGAGATATAAACTTGTCATAAAATGTAAAACACTATACAGATGAGCTACTACTATACTTGCGAATAACCTAATGTTCCTTCATTCTAATTCTATGGCAAAATTCTAAGAAACTAAAACAAAACCATAAAAAAAATTTAGCACAAAAGTATAGAATGCAATGCACCACTATAATAAGCTCAACCTTTTAAGTTCATTTCAAAAACTAAATATATATGGCTAAACAAAGAGTAATAACTTCAGTGATTTATAAGATAAAAGTAACAAATTCATCTCTGAATACATTAAACGTTAAATACATATTTTAATCAATTAGGAACGTTTATTTAACATATTTATGCTTTCATTCACCATCTATACATACATTGCTGCCAAAAAATTTACCAGCAGAAAATTTCCTTCTGAATTTTCTAGGTGCATGCTTTTGATCTTCCTTAGGATTTCTACTAAAAAATTTTTATATAAGCTCAAGTATTCTTAAAAATTTAAGTTAACCTCTCCCATAGAATAAAAGTTTTTTTCTAGTACTATTTTAAATTTATTATGTAAAAAATACTAAATATAACTAACCAGCTTTCCAAATAATTCTCAGTTAGTCTAGTTTCAACATTTTTATTGAGAGGTTAAAATCACACACAAAATGACTGGAAAGATTGTTGAATACAGTAATTTTACTATAAATGTCATATAAATTTTAATATAGTCAATTTATTATTTTCTCCCAAAACAGTTTGCAAGTGGATATCCGCAACCTGGACACCAACTTTGACAGATACTTCAGCCATATTGCTATTATATTTGGATAAAATTTTAAGCAATCTCCTTGAATGCAGAACTTGAAATGACAACATTAGAAGATTAACTTTTGTTACTTGTGTTAATTCTAGCTATCAAGTAATATTTAAAAATACAGAGTTAAGGCCTTCCATGAGTACAGAAAAACCTGTTACATGTGGAGGTGTGAATATTCATTTATTAAATATCTACTGGGCATATGTCTGTAATGTGCCAGAGGGCAGGGATATACTTCTGGCCTCCCAGGAGCTCACATTAGATGAAACAACTCCAAAATGTAGTATGTACTACTCACAAAGGTAGGCACAAGGTGTCAACTGGAGTACATGGGATTTATACCCTATCTCAGTCTGGAACACTTATCTAAGACCATGGGATGTGGAGACAAAACCAGCGAGAGACTTTGTACATTTTCACGAAACAAGATGTTCCCCAAACATTTCTTTTTTGGTTAACAGTATATTTTCTTTTGATGTAAAACTTACATACACATGCAGAAATTTTAAAGTATATTCACTGAGTTTTGACAATATATACACCTCTGTAACTCAAACTGTTAGAACGAGCAAGATAAAGAACATTACCACTCACCCCAAAAAGGACATGCATGCTTCTTCCTAATCAATCCCTGTCCCATTTCCGGGAATAACCAAGGCTCTAATGCTTTTTAAGTACAGATCAGTTTTGCCTGTTCTACAACAATATACTGATGAAATCACAGTATCAACTCTTGTGTAAGGTGTCTTAAACTCAGGATGTTTTTTAGCTTCCTCCTGAAAATATTTTAAAGCTTGTATTTTTTTTTCAATGCACAGAATGAATGTAAATATGTATCCTCTTAATTAACAGATTCAGAGGGCTATATCAGATTATATTCTCTTACTGTATCTTATGTTATATATGCTTTTTTATCTTTGAGTTATTTTGAATTATGTGTTTTCATAGCAAATTTGGACAATAAAGAAACAGAAAAAAGGTCAGTATTAATGCCCATAGTCAGAAGCAACATTTTTGCATATTTCCTACCACTTTTAAAAGTCCACTTTTCTTTACATAGTTGAGATCAACTATATAAAGAAATCAGTATCCTGCTGCTTTTCACTATTAAAACAAGCATTTCTTAATGTCATTAACTGTCAGTATATTTTAATGGTTGCATATTTATATGAACACTTATGAATCAGTTAGGCATTTTCCAATTTTTCAGTATACACAGGAATAAAAATGTTGTACATAAATCTTTGCATATATTTTGGATTTCCTTAGGATAGAGTTTTATAGGAGGAAATTAATGCCAGTACTACTCCCCCAACTCCAAGGAGCTCTGAAGTGTGCTTTTAGTATTTTTTCAAAGGTATATTAAGTATAATACTACAAAAACTGTTTAGATGAAAACAAAGAAAAACATATGTAACTTTGGTAAAATGTCAAAGTTTTGCTCACAACTATATCCCCTCAAAACTTAAGAAGTTGGTCCATTTTGTTACTGTATTGAGTGCAGCTGAGAAATCTGAAATGTTAACTAGTTATCGCTTATCTACCTCTGAATCTTGTCTATTTTGCATGCATGCCTTTCACAGGGTGGGGACAGGGAGTAGGAGGAAGGAGGTGAGGGAGAGGGAGGGAGGGAGGGAAAGGATTTAAATCCTAGGATGTCTGTAATGGGTTTCTTTCCCTTGCATGAAGAGGCATCTATCTAAATGCTTGTAAGTGGCAGGCAGAAGAACTGTGCAGTATCTACCAAGGCTTTGTCTTGAGTGGCAATGTTGACTTGGGTTGTGATCACTTATCCTTACCTAATTCCTGCTGAAACTGAATGTCCATGTTTTTCTTTGATTTCATAGGTACTTTAGTGTAAAGCTGGGAAAACTTCAGAGAGCAATTGTTAACCAGATATAATGTCATTACTAACATTTAAACTAAAATTTTAAACTGTTTTTGTAAAAATAATTCATTCTTATTATAAAGAATTCAAATAATACAGAAAAGTATACATTAAAAACAATCACCCAACATCCTGCTAACCAGAAATAATCATTAAATTAATTGAACATCCATCTGATATCATCCTTTGTATAGAGATAGCCACTAATAAATATTTGCAGACACTTGTGATACTATATGCTTAAATACAATAAACATTTGCTTTTCCTTACATCTAACTAAAGTGAAGCTAAAGGAACTACTATATTTCAAACTTTTTTTTATTACAAGATGTATCTTTTCTTAAAAGCTCCAAGGACAGGAAAATACACTGTGTAAAACATTCAGAGGTTGAAATATTTCTGTAACTATTAGACAGTAAATATTGGCTCTCAGCTACGAAAGATCAGGAAAGTAGCCCTCTTTTCCTTTTATGATCAAACATTCCTTCTTCTTGATTTGTATTAGTTATATTATTTTCACATTTATAAGTTTTACAACTGGTATATTATAATCACAATTTGCACAAAGGTTTAGTGTAGCTTTTAAGTTTAAATGGATTTAAAGATCAACATCAGTCTTCCTACCATGGCTTTCCATCTCTTGGGTTATTTTGCTGTAGTACTTAATTGTGGAACTTTCATCATGAGGTAGTTCTTAAAAATGACTGCTGTATTCCTTGGCTTCTTTCATGGTTAGAAATGTCTGCCTATTGTCTTCATACTTGAAAACTGTTCACCTTCATCCTTGAAAACTCTTTACCTCTATTATTTATGTATTATTTCATTGATATCTACTTTGTGCTATTTTATTCCTTCTATTAACTTGGCGTTTAATTTGCCCTTCTTTTTCTAACTTAAGACAAAGACTTGAGATCATTGGTTTAAAACAGTTCCAATGCAAGCATTTAAAATATACAGTTCTCAGGACCTAGTTTGAATGTCCAGAGACTTCTAGAACTTCTTGGAGCAGTTCCTCCTCTCTAGCAAATATTCCAGTCATGCCAGCAACCCAGAATTCCACTCTCTGCCTCCTTAGGTTCTGATACTGCAGCTCCACTTGTGCTGCAACGGGAACGTGCTCTGTCGCAGAAAGCTGAGCAGAAAGGTGGGAGAAACGTGGGGCTCACCTCATGTATCTCCATTTTCTCAAGGATGACAGTCCTGGAAAGCCTGCTGTTCAATGCCTGGAAATACTAAGTTTGTATCTTTTGACCAATTTTTATAGTTGTTTTTAGTGGGTGGCTAAGTCCCAAACCTAAGGCCTAAAGTTGAACTTCTGGCTAAAAGTTTGTATTTTTTTTTTTGAGGAGACTCACCCTGTCACCCACACTGGAGTGAAGTGGTGCAATCTTGGCTCACTGCAACCTCCGCCGCCTGGGTTCGAGCAATTCTCCTGCCTCAGCCTCCTCAGTAGCTGGGATTACAGGCGCCCGCCACCATGCCTGGCTAATTTTTTTGTACTTTTATGAGGGACGGGGTTTACCATGTTGGCCAGGCTGGTCTCGAACTCTTGACCTCAAGTGATCCACCCACCTCGGCCTCCCAAAGTGCTAGGATTACAGGCATGAGCCACTGCGCCTGGCCGTGTATCTTTCAATTTTTATGACTTCTGGGGAATATACTCGCTTCAGGTCTGTTTAGCCAACCTCCTTGATGGCAAGACCACTACAAGAAGTAGACCCATCTCTGGAGAACCTCTAGTCAGTCGGTCCTCCTGGCTTGTACTCTGTACACTGGTATAACTTTGTGATGATGGGGTTGTAGACTTTGTCCAACAATTTTATGATGTTCATATTTCTAATTCTCAGGAGTCCCAGAATCACTTACGAAACTCATTTACCCAGCTAGCTCGTTTCACTGTACTTATCAAGAAACTTCTGTTCATGTCTTGAAGTTACTCATCTTCTATTGTGACCTTCAAACTGAAAGCATGCAATCTGGATGAGTTATTGAAAGACACATTGTTTCTGTTTTCTTCTTCCACTGTGTATTCTTCAACCCTTGCCTCTGACAGAAGGTTTCTTCAGTCTGAGGAAAACTAGTCTCAGAGAGTGTAGGCAGGTTGTTAAGGTGGGTCATTGCTCTCTTCTTATAAACCTGAATAAGGACATCAAACTGTCTGGTTGTATAAACAGTAAAGAGCTGCATTTGTTTAGTAGGAATAACGAAGTTATACCTGATCACAATAATTATGTCTGCAATGCAAATTTCAATACCAACAAAAGATGTATGATGTCCAAGAGAAGCAAATTAAACAGATGTTTTGTAATTTCCCTTTAGTTTTTCTACCCACTGTGTCCACATCTTTTTTCTAAACAAGCATTCTTGAAAGAAAAACAGAACTATAACTTCACTTTTTAGAATCTGAAATTTATAGTAAAAAATAACGTAAAGGTAAAAGGTAAAAAGAACTATGACTGATGAAGCTGTCATAAAAGCAAGTTGATTTTTGTTTATACCGAGAGTTTCAACAATTAGAATAAAATGACAATATTACTTTTGTCACCACAGGCAGAGATCCAACACTACTCTCTTGAAAGGGATAATGTTGGAATGTATTTGTGTTAAATAAAACAACTGAGATAGTAAAGGAATTAAAACTCAAGTTTGCAGGATATAGTAAGGAATCCAAGAAGAAAAGTGGAACCAAGAAGTAGAAACTCTCTTGTCATGTATCGTATGTATTTTAGTAGCCATTAGAACTAATAATACCAATGTCTATCTCCCATGCTAAAACATCCCAGGAGTTCAGAAACAGAATTTATCTTGTAAACGCTCTATATATGTCTGTTTCCAGCATTTAATGTGTGTTTAATAAACACAATGAATAAATAATTGCAATGAATAAATGAACCAAAACTGTCATTGGAATTTTACTTATATAGAATGATGAATTTCTTCACAAATGAAAAGAAATAAAGTGAAAAAGAGGGCAAATTAAATACAGACCTGTTAATCAAAAAGACGACTTCTGAAAATACCCATAGAATCTATATCTATTACCTGAAATAGAGGTAAATCTTTAAAGATATGAGTACTTGTCTAGTAAACACTTGACTATACCAAGTTCTTTTCATTCTTGAACTCCCAGAGCTTTTGTCTTCAATTTTTTTCCTGACCCATCTGCTTTCCAAGCATTCATAAAACTTAATGTCTAAATAACATCATAATTAAACTCTTTGCAACATCTCAAAGAGAATTCTGTACCGAATACAAGGTATTACATAAACCTAACACAGTGTTACGGAATGAATTGTATCCTTGCAAAATTCATATATAGAAGCCCTAAGCCCCAGTTCCTCTACTATACTAGGAGACAGGCCTTTAAAGAAGTGATTAAGTTAAAATGATGCCCTTAGGCTGAGCCCTAATCCAATTTGATTGGTTCTTATAAGAAGAAGAAATGTGGATACACAGATACCAGGGTTGTACTCTGCACAGAAACCCATGTGGGCATACAATGAGAATGCAGCTGTCTGCAAGCCAAGGAGAGAGGCATCAGAAGAAATCAAACCCACTGACACCTTGATCTTGGACTTCTAACCTCCCGAATTGTTTAAGCCTCCCAGTCTGTGGTATTTTGTGGTGGCTGTCCTAACAAACTAATAAAATAAGTAATGACAGAACATAAATTGCCACATTTATAGTTTTGTTCAAATAATAGTTGACAAAGGTTTATTTCAGTAATGTGACTAACTCAGACTAATTTTCTTTATGCTAGGAAGCAAACTACAGTTTATTTCTAGAAAGGTCATTGCATATCCTTTTAATGTAAAAAAAGACAGTTCAATAGAGGGATAAGTACACATACAGTAAGTACAGGAATATGAAACACAGACTTTCCAGCACATTTTATTAAGAAATTTGACAGAAAATACATTCAAAAATAAAATTTAAATTTAAATATACAATATGCCAATACTTTCCAATTTTTATTCATTCTAAAAAAGAAAAAGAATTTGTTAGTACTCAGACTCATATAATAATTTTGAAGTATCTGCCTATAAAATTTAGTTCTTGACCAATTAAGGGCAAGAAATAATTTTCTTTCAAAATAGAAAATATTAAAATCACCTGTAAAAATGGTATCACTGTACACTACTAATCATCCCTTTCAAACTGAGCATCTCCTTTCAATAGCCATCTTGTGGATTGAATATAAAAGCTAAATTCTACAAATTCAATAGCCACGTTTCAGGTTGAATACTGGGGAATGTAAAGTAGAAATACTAGCACTATTTTGAGTTTTACAATGAATAAAATAATTTGATAACTTAAAATACGACTTAATATACACTTTTTCATTCATATGGCAACAGATCTAAATGAACCTTTGTGAATTTATTTTTTAACTTGTAGATACAAAAGAATTGAGAAGACACACAAGAAAAAGCAATCACATAAGAAAGCAAAAGCAGATAGTTGAGTATGAAGTGTGAAACATGCTATACATAGTAAAACAAGACTCAAGAAGCCTGGATTCCAGTCCTAAGTCACTACCATGGGGCATTACTTTGGATGTGTCACTTAACTTCTCTGACATTCAATTTCTTTTCTTGAAAAATAAAGGTGTTAGAACTGCTTTAAAATTATGTGAGTTAATGAGTTAGTGATGTAGAATAAAACAACAAAGAGAAGACTTTAGTTATATTGGAACACTTTAAAAAAGGAATCACTGAGATTCATGTGTAAGAGAACTAATAAAAACAGCACTTGAAAGAACATTATTGTCATTTAAACTGAATTCAAAAATTATTCCAGTTTTTGCTAAGTAAGTTAACCCTTACCTAAATAATTATGTTAACTCAGAATTGGAGAGATAAAAGTAACCTTGGAAACATAATTTTCCCTCCATTAATAAATACCACATAAAGAATACCTGGTATAGTGTCTAGAATTTAGGAGGTGCCCAATAAATGAAGCTATTATTTCTACTTGTTTTCGGCAAAGCACTCATTTAAGTAACCATAATTTCGAGTCATTATTTTTTATCCTTGGTATTATTTTCCCCTCACAACTTCATGTAACCAGAAGGAATTTGGTAATCATTCCTTCCATAAGAAAATTAGTAATAAAACTGGATATAGGCCAGGTCACAGACTATGGGTTCCAGCTAGAAATCTACTTTTAGCATGAAACAAAACCATAATGAAATAGAATAATCTTTAGAAAAGGTTAATCATGTAGTTTCAAATTTATCAAACAATGCTAGCATGTAGGCTGTATTTTATTCATAAGGATATCATGAAAAATTTGATTCATACATTAACCAAGATATGCATTGTAGGACTATTTTATATAAATTAAAAATAACAAAAAGCTTTGTGAAACTCTATACTTTCAAATTTTTGTAAAACAAATAACAAGTAAATAAAAAATTGATAACCTATCTTATTTTCTAAGTGATTTATAGCAGTACAGAAAAACTATGGATTTTGAAAATGTTGGTAATCAAGATTTTACTAATAAAGATTTATAAGGTATACACAGGCAAAACAAATTACCATATGCATACATACTACATGCATGAAGCTTTCTTTGTGGATGCTGCAATTACATTATATTCTGTTATGTTTTTGCTGTCAAACTCACAAGACTAAAACTATTTTTTTATAGGCTGCTCTTCTTATGCAAGATCAAGGTCATTGTCAGGATCATTCATCTGATTTAGTTTTCAATCAGGAAATAAACTATGAAGCTAGGCTTTGGGTAGATGGGCTAGGGTACTCCAGAGTTTGCTCTAGCTATCCTTCCTTTGAGTCTAGTCTTTGAGGAAGGTAGACTTCCAGACACTATATTATACTTGAGTGATGGGTACCAAGATGGCATCCATGATCTGGCTCTAACACAGAACTTAATCTTTTTTTTCCAGATTATTGTGTAGATAGAACAGGGCCATAACCAAATTATCTGGTTATTAATCACACCATGAATTTGCTTTTGAATCCTTTAGTTTTCTGTAAATTGTATTAAGAGATAACATAGCACAGTGTTTAAGAGGACAGACCATGGAGTGGGGCTACCTGGGTGTAAATCCTGCTCTCATTTATTAGCTGTGTACCAACAAATACATTACTTATATTCAGTTTCCTTATCTGTAAAACAGGGAAACAGTAGTAACTAACCCGCTGGGATTATTGTGTGGATTGAGAAAAATTATTTATAAAAAGCTGGCACATGCCAGAAAAATTATAAGATAAAGGCTAAATACATTCAAAAAGCTTATCATTATAGTCTCAGCTACCTCAGCTGTACTGTCAGGCAGTTAAAAAAAAAAGGTAGGGTGGTTGATTTCCCATGCTTGGGTTAACCATTAAATTGTGACTGCCATCCTGTACCACCCACCCACAACACACCCACACACACCCACACACACAAACTGACACCAGCAGCAGTTACTCTCGAAGAACAGGTAAAACTCAGGGGCAAACTTTCAGGGCCAAGCTATTTACTCACCTTCCACACAAGGTGGCTCTTTTACTAGTGCAACCCTGGAGGTACTAATTCTTATGTTTTCCCAGCCACTGTATAACTACCTATAAGTTGAAGCTATAAATGCTTGTATATTGAGGAAGAAGAGGTGGTAAGTTCATGAGGTTCAGGATACTTCATAGCAGGTACCAGATCGGATGATACGGTGAGTTCAGAATGCTCAAGAAGTCCTAATACTTTTGACACCACAGCTTCATGCACAAAATACCAGTCTTGACAGGGAGGTCCTCAGAAGATCTATGAGTTTTTTTCCAATGTTTCATTGACATTTTATGTTTTTCAATAGCATATTTTATGCTAATTCTTATAACAAAACTAAATACTAATGTAGGGAGATAAACTAATGTGTTAGTTTTTCAAATGCAAAAAAACTTTACAGTCTAAAATGGGGCAGTCTCCCTTTGAAAGAAGAAAAAAAACGTGACACTAACTTTCCTTCTGTATACCCAAATCTTGTGATTTAAAAAAACACACTGAAAGGTTCAAACAAAGCCAAAGGATATAACAATGCTTCCTGAGGTTTAAAAATAATTATGCATAACTGTACTACCAAAATTTTGAAAAGCTGAATGAAGTTAACATAACATGCTTTCCCCAAAATATATAACTACAGAAACTGGAGTGACAAAAAGTAAAACTCACCAATAAGATAAAAATAAAGCAAGAATGTCATCAAAGAACTATCCTTCCAATAACATTATCAACACTGATAAATTTTCTAATGTAGTCTTTCAAATAGTCAAGCTCAAGTATTACATGTTACATATTCTATTTAAAACAAGAAAAAATGGGAAGGTAGTCAGTACATTTAATAAATAGAACCCCAGCACAAAATATAAGACAGAAAAATTGTTTTTAAAAATTTAATTATGTACAAAGTCCCTTTCATGCAAGGTAAAATCCCTAGGTAATTTAATTCTTAAAGTTGTTTAGTAAAATGTAAGTAGGAAAATCTTTTCTTTTTGCATAATATGACAACAAAAGAACCTCTAATGTACTATTAAGATAGAATACACAATAAATGAAATTGGTTAAAGACTATTGTGCCATAGTGCTAGTACATAATTACAGTGATTTAACTATTACCAAAAGAGTCACTAAAACCCCACAAATACAAAGATAAATAATTGATTCTCCATAAATGAAGAGCCCTTTGCCCAAGAATAAACCACCTTATTTAAAAAATGACAAGGGGCTAACAGTCAGCCACCGTTAATATGACTAAACAGGGTTCAATTTATAAAATACAGACAACATGGATGTTACTTCTAAGAATTTTTGAAAATTTAAGCATATCTAAAACATTATCAGTTGAGAAAAAGTAAAACTATTCCATCTGCCTAGAAATTCCTCTAATTTGACTGAATTCAAAGAATATGTGATAGAGGTTTTGGGAGGAAATAATACAATAACTGTATGATAAAAATTTAGAATTTAAATCAAAGATCAAATTTATCCTCTTTTTCTAAAAGTGTTTTTCAAGACTTTAAAAATCTTTGGAGAACATCTGAACTTTCGTGACCTTGAAACCCTAATTTGATTATGTCCTCAAAGTTTGATTATATATTTTGTTCCCTAATTTTAAACTTTGAGAACTTTGGACTGAGCAATTCATCTCAACATATATTCACAAAAACAATCACAAGAAGCAATGCATTTTTTACTTGCGGTGAGAGAGTAGGGGCAGTCCTAGAAAATTCCTATTTAACTTTGCCAAAGGCGGTACAGATTATAGACTAAAAGAGTCAATCTTTTAGAAAACCATTTCCTTGAAATACGGGGCCTTGAAAATATGAGAGAGACAGAATAAAGGTAGAAAAAACACAAATAAAACTATAAAGAAACCATTGCTTCAAAACTTCGGAGTATAAAATTGTGTTACTTACGGCATAAATTGAACCCTGCTTTATTTTAAAGTAAAGCAAAAATAAAATTAACAGAGAAATTCACACTGTAAGTCAGAGAAAGAACTGCAACCCAATTGAACTGATTTTTAATAATTATTGCCCCAATGAGTTTAGAAGAGACACAGCCCAAGAGATTATTTTTTTAGCATAGGAACAACAAATTTACACAAAAATGCAATGCACTGGATAATTCTGGTGTTGGGTTAGCACTGCATATAGCAAGGATTAGAAACAAAATAGAAATTTCTATTTCCTACCTATATCATTGGCTACCATCTTGGAAAACTTTCTGCTTTTGGTCTTCACTGAAAACAATATTTTGATATAAAATGTCAAAATCTAGTCAAAGTAAACTAAATAAATTAAACATAAAAGAAAATACTTTAAAATCAAGATACTATACCCTTTTCTATAAAATTATTCATTTTTTGTTCATCATCTGAATTGTGTGGTGATGAAGAACCTACACAAATGAAGACAACGGAAGGAATAGGTAGATGGTCAGTCATAAATACTGAGCTGTAACAAGAAAAATGTACAAATAAAAAATCTGGTAACTTTCAAAACAAGTTATCATGTTAGTGACCACAAGAAGAGGCCATGTATAAGTAAATAACAGTTCTTATACTATTACAGTATAGTAATAAGTAGTGCAATATCTTTCATGGTAGACCCTGGTATATATAAATATTAACTCTACAACAATTTGGCAAAATCTTGGTATATTAGATGTTAGAAAATATATTAAAAAAAACTATAAATAGTGTTTAACTGTTTCTTCGAAAAAATCTGGAATTCTTGATAGTATTAACTGAATAAGGTTTCTCTAGCAGAACCAAGATCTTGTACTATAAATTTGCTGGTAAAACTTGTTATTTTAGAGTTAGACTGACAGTTTAAAACTATATATTCATTCTACTACATATCATAGAAATCTTTAAAATGTACAATAAGGGATCTTTAAAATAGTGAAGATAATACTTATATTTGTAGATATGTTCAAATGTCTACCTAAATTTATGGAGGTAAGAAATATTTAATTTTATTTTGGCTGTGACTCCCAATATTATCATATAATCTTACCTAACATTTCTTTAAGATTTTTTGGGTAATTTTTTCCTTAAAAACTTCTAATTTCTCATAGTATTTCTTTAATTTATAACATATCTTTTATTATAAATGTGATCTCAAGTAGTATTTTGGTTGATCACGTTTGGACATCTCTTCTTTAAAGGCACATCTCAATACCTCATCCATTCAATTTTTCAGTCTCCTCAGCTATAAATCACTTCTCCTTTGAGTTCCCTTAATGTTTTATCTATATATTTCTCATATGATGCTAACCACTTAATACCTTATTATTTTAGATTTATGCACATATGACCTTCCTCACTGGAATGAACTTCCAAAAGGCAGGGCCCACATTTGATTCATTTTTGTATCCCTTTTGTGATTAGTGGAGTGCGTTACATGTAGAATTCTCTAAGTATCTGCTGAATTCATAAAGCTTTTCTGCCAGAGGCAAATACCTACGATGTAATTGGAAGTAGATAAAAGGTTTTCTTTCTCTGCTTTAAAAATATCCCAGTAAAAGCACTGAATCTTAATGAATCAGGTCAAAATTTGACACCACATATAACACTCTCCAATAAAATTGTACTTCTCTCCCTTGGTCAAGTGGTGAATGTCCTTGACAGCTTTTCTCTGACCGAGTAAAACCTGCCAGCATTGGCAGAACCATTACTTTTATAGTGGTCTTAGAAGGTTACTTTTTTAAAGTCCATGTTATTTCTGTTAAACATCATTTACAGATCCTCATAAATCCCACTTCAAAAAATATCACACACGTAACACTGAGCTCAGTAACATTTCCAGGAACAGAAATACATATAGTTGTTTTTAATGTAATTCTGAATTTAATTCTAAATAATGGTTATATGTTATATATATTTTAAAATATCACTATCTCTACAAAATAGCCACATGAATGTACAAAAATGTATTATTGATACTAATTTTGATATATTTCATATCAAAGAAATAGCAGGATAACATATCTATACATAATAAAATCAGAAAAATATTTCATATTTTCAAATACAAGAAGGCAACATAGGCTGTAATGTAAACAAAACAAGGAGGTTTATTTTTCTTCTAACTAAAAATACTTACTACTGATTGTTATAACTTCTGTGACAGCTCATGCAAAAGCTCCAAAATAGTTTTCTGCTTATCCTATTTGAATATATTTACTAAATTTCTACAATAAAACACAGATAATATCTACAGCTTATTGTTTTTTCATGATTTCATTTAAATCATGAATGCACTTGAAGGCACCATTTACATCATGGTATGTGTGGCCCTGGGTTTTCTTCAGCTTGAAATAACCTAACAGTTTAAAAATTTATTTTAACATGACTTCTTGTGTGTGTGTGTGTGTGTGTGTCTATGTATGTGTATATATATATATCTTTGCATGCAGTACTAAAAAAATTCCAATAATACTAAAGTGTTCAGTGAAGCAATATAAGTTCTTTGATGTAAGGATCAAATGAAAGTCTTTCCCTTCATTCGTTCAGGATGCATATGTTCAGTAGGCAGAATTAACTTTCTCTATTGGGGGACCACTGGTTTACATAAAAATAAATGAAAAGGGCAAACTATATGCATTACATGGATTTTTCTCATGATGATTTCTGAAGATAGCTTTGATTTTAATTAACTAAACAGTTGAGATCACAAATCTTGATTATGAGATTTAAAAGGTTTTCTAAAAAGTTTCCCTTCATATATGAATTATTTTAAATTAACTTACTGGTTTTGATAAAGGCATATGGCTACTTTATATTTCTATATTGGTCTTCCACTTAATATTTACAAGAGACTCATTTTAACTCCCAATCCACTTTATACATTTCTTCTTTTCCCATAAATACCAACTTATTTTATATTAGCTATATCGGTTTTAATAATCTATAATGCATCACTCAACTATTTTACCTCTTTATATCATTCTCATTGTGGAAACTATTTGAGGCTTGTAATTTAATTACTAATTTTTATGTTTTTTAAAACATGATCCCCTTGTGGTTCTTTTGATTCACTTCAAATTCATCCCATCTGTTATTCTTTTTTGACCACCGTGAAGTAGTAGAATTTGCATGTGTTGGCCAAAGGGGTAATAATAAATTATTTCTTTATTTTCCTATTAGAATGTTAACAGGAATGAAGGTTAAAAAACGTTACAAATATACAGAGTAAGACAATTAACCCATAATAGATGGCAAAAATTACTATTAACAATTTTTACATGGACAAGTTGAGAAAGACACACACAAGCTATAAAAATGCAGTGTCAAAATTATTTATATTAAAATAGTTTTCCAGAATCTCACTCTAGTTTCTACTGTAATGCTCTTACTAGTTGTGCATAACTGCTATCTCCTGCTATCTGAAACAACTATTCCCTATTAAAGTTTGACTTTTTGTAAAAAAAACAGTATTTCCTGATATGGAGAAACCGACATAATGTCTCAGAGAATTCCTATGTTTTTCAGAATATAATCAAAGCCTAAACAAAGGTTTCTATATCTAATGATAAGAATACATGATTTATCAATGATTTTTTGAAGTCGCAATTTTTACTTTGCATTTCAAACATGCTGAGATAGAAACAATGAAATATCTAAGGACATATGAACTTCTCTATTACTTTCCTTTTCACATGGACCAAAGAGCAAAATATATTTGAAAATGCTGAACCATGTTTGAGTTTCTCTGTTTTGAGAATTTACAGGGTTTTTAACCTTTATTTACTTTTTCTTTTTTTCTTTTTTTTTTGAGACGTAGTCTCGCTGTCGCCCAGGCTGGAGTGCAGTGGCGCGATCTCGGCTCACTGCAGGCTCCGCCCCCTGGGGTTCACGCCATTCTCCTGCCTCAGCCTCCCGAGTAGCTGGGACTACAGGCGCCTGCTACCTCGCCCGGCTACTTTTTATATTCATATACTTAGATTTAAATATATACTTATCTACAAATATCACGTTTATTTCAAAGGGCTAGATGTATCCACTTTTTGAAAGTCTGGCCCAGGATAAAAAGGAATACTAATTTATTTGGGCTGAATCTTATTAAAACCCATCTCCCATGGTATTTAATATATTTAAGTGTAATATATCACATGTTCCATGTCCAAATTGTTCACCCTGGCTTATATCCTTAACATATTGACAAATGCATTTACCGATTTTGGGGAAGATGAGAAAGTCAGAACATTATTTTATGTAGTTAGAAGGAAAGTAAGAACTAAAAGATATTACAATTCTAAATTCCAAATTCAGAAATAAACAGTCCTAGGAGACAGAAAACAGCTCCTGCTTCATATTATTCATTCAAACTTAATTCTACCAATGTTAAACCTTATTAGGTATTAATTATGTGACCAATTCCTCCATATGTTTTATTAGTTTAATGAATAAATTTAAATATGAAGTTTAAAGAACAAGAAAGTCAGAAAATGCATAGGTACATTTTAACTTTAAGAAATAATCGACTAGTTAGTATCAGGAAAATGCAATTGTAAAAGGCAAACATAAAAGCTTTTGCAGTCTTAGATATAATAAAATATTACACTAAAATGTGAGGGAGTAAAACAAAATACCCTTCTCAATATTTCCCATTCTTACAATTGTTTCTGATGTAGTATACCAGCTATGGAAGGATCAAAACCTGTCTTAACAACAGTGTTACTTATGCTAAGAATGATCTCTTCACTAGAAAACTGGTGAATAATATTAACTTTATGAAGGATTAGAAAAGGATCAATCCACCAAAATAAAATAAATTCAAGATCTTCTTAATTTTAAGAGGTCTCCAAAGATAATAAAAATTAATATTCTTTTGAAATGTTAATATACACACAGGTCACATAAAGACCCATTTATAGATAAGAAATGAGAACTGCTTTAATACAGCTATAAATATATCAGAAACTATTTTCATCATAAATAAAAATACATACAACTAGTCTATAATTATTCTAATTGTCTACACTCATGATTAGATTATAAGTGTTAAACATTTTTCATAACATTTAAAGATGGTAGATAACTAAGACATTTGATCCAATGGCAAGGAGTAAAATATATTTTCTCTAAAAAAGGTGTAAATATAAGAACATTAAATAAACAATTACATGATTCTCAGCAGGTAAAGTTTTGGATTTTTATTTAGCACAAGCTACATTTCTTTCCACTTAATCAGAATTCAAAGAATGCAGTTAAGATTTTAAGACTAAATACGTGACACAAAAGTTTTCGTAGATGTATTTTAAATGCATATCTATCAAAATGTACACTAGTATGCTATCTTGGATTTTGTAAATCATAATTATTAATGAAATAAAAAAAAACCAAATTACCAGAGGTTGGAGATTTGCAGCGATCCTCTGGAACAACAGTCCCTTCACTAATATCACACAGACCGGCTACAAAACAAAAACAAAAAACAAATCAACCCATACATTTATGTAAGTGCAGTTTTGTCTTTTATTTATAGTACACATTTAACTACTGTCCATTTAAAAGAACCCAATAAATTAACAGACTGTGGTACTGATACCATGCACATTGGGTTTGAGATAGAAACATTTTATATTAAAATACCTCAAACTAATACAGCACTCATCAGTTAAAACAAATAAAAATATAATCTATGATAAAATACAAAGTAAACAATATGTTATAAATTTGCCTGGTGATTGACGTTATAAAAACCCCTGCAAATTGTCTAAACATTATAAATAAACAAAAACACATCAAGAGTTTGGACTAGCTGGGCAAGGAGTTACATGTCCAAGCCTCAGAAGTCAGGTGTCACATCGATGGATGAACAGGATGTGTATGTATCACCAGTATCTGCTTTTCTATTACTTTGGTAAAAGACATGATGTCACATTTCCAACAGTCACTGAGAAAGCTTTCAAAGTAACATTTCCTAAGAACATGAGTACTGAATTCAGCTTCTAAGAAAAGTTTCCCATTTTGAGGCACATATTAGTTTTTTTCATTAGATAGGAAGTTCTTGAATGAGAATTAGTCATATTTTTTGTTTGTTTTTTATGACGGAGTTTCCCTCTGTCGCCCAGGCTGGAGTGCAGTGGTGCAATTTTGGCTCACCGCAACCTGCGCATCCTGGGTTCAAGCGATTCTCCTGCCTCGGCCTCCCAAGTAGCTGGGACTACAGGTGCGCCCCACCATGCCTGGCTAGTTTTTTTGTATTTTTAGTAGGGATGGGGTTTCACCATGTTGGCCAGGTTGGTCTGGAACTCCTGACTTCCAGTGATCCACCCACCTAGGCCTCCCAAAGTGCTGGGATTACAGGTGTGAGCCACCATGCCCAGCCTGAGAATTAGTAGTTTTAAAAAAAATCTTCATCAAACTAATGGTCCTGGAAGAAAACCTGGTTTTTACAGATCTAAGATGATAGATGTAATTATAGGTATGCATTTAATCTTTGATAAAATATTTGTTTATATACATGTACTCTTTATTGATAGAACACTAAGAGGATCTCTAAACAGTAGTGATAACACTCCAGTTTTATGACGTGACTAGTACTGAATAAAAATGGTAAAATTTGAAATTTTACCCCCTTGGTATTTTTGTCAACTGCTACTAAAGATTATACTTAGGGGAAACCACTTTGAGGTTTGAGTTGAGGGTCCTTATGATATAATAATTACTGAACTTATTGACTAAAAAAGTTCTTAAACTTATATGATATAGTTATCATTCTTAAAAAGGCCTAGGAAGAAACATTTAGGAGTTGAATTACAGAATGTGGATAGAGAGGATTTAGTTTAGATATTAAATTAAACAACTGTTAAATAAGCTAAAAATCCATTCAGTGCCTTCATCTCACTCAGGGTAAAAGTCAAAGTCCAACCCTACTTGGTTGGGTGATGTAGATGATCCTACAGTATACTGTATCCTGTTACCTCTCAGACTATCTGCTGCTTTCACTGACTTGCCCACCACTGGTACTCTCTCTTCTCCAGCCACACTGACTCCTCATTGTTCCTTGAACTCACCAGGTGTACTGCTTCAGAGCAAATTGTGCTTGTTCTCTTGTATGAAATGTTTCTTGTTTGACTGACTGTTTTCCCAGACATCCTCATGGATAATAGCTCTCTCACGTCCTTTAAACCTGAAATCATCTAGACACTCTATTTTATTTTAAATTTAACACTCCATCATTGATATTTCAAATCCTCCTTCAAGTACTTTTCCCCTCGGCACTATTAATGTAATCTACTGTATATTACTTATCTTCTTAAGTGTGTGTCTCTTTCAGTTGGACATGAGTTCCATGAGGGTAGAGAATTTTGTCTGTTTTGCTGCCTATAATGGTGCATAGCACATGGAAGCCTCAGTATCTGTTGAATGGTTGAGTGAATACATGTGAAAGAATTTCATAGCATGTAACTTAATCCATCCCCTCTGTTACTGCCAGAATCCCTTCAACAAATATTCCTAGCAATACAGCTACCTAGGCTCTGTTCAAACCTATCTCACTCAACCCAATTAGCTAAGTGGTCTTAAGTGACATTTACTGAATACTTACTATGTGCCAGATATGTTTTAAGTGCTTAATTCATTTAACCCTAACAGCAGCAAATGAAGTAGATAGTATTATTCTCATTTTACAGAAGAAGAAACTGAGGCACTGAGTGTTGTAGGCATTTTATACAGGAACAAAAACCTAAGTACTTATAGAAATGGTCCACTTAATTGCCACTCTTAGAGTTTTGTGTGTTTTTTTTTTTTTTTTTTTTTTAACTGGTAGAAAAGCTCTGCATGCTTTAGGACAAAATCTGCTTTTTATAATGCCCTGATTTAAAAATGAGGGGAAAATACAACATAAACATAGAACTGTAATTTTAACTGTTCTAAACTTCTCACATTAACATATTCAGCAGTTCTGCCACATTACTGGCACATACGAAGTTGTGGTCAACAGTAACAAAACAACCACCTGAATGCCAGCAATGTTCACTCACATGATTAGGTATGCCACATTGTGTCCTCTCACTTAATAATCACACCAACTTCATGAGGGAGTCACCACCTTCATTTTATAAATGAGGACACTGAGCTTCAGAGAAATATCCTTTCTAGTATCACAAACTTATAAAAAGAGCAGAGATTTAAACTTAGATGTGCTTAAACAAAATCTCCAATTATGTTTCACTGTGTTTTCTGTTCTATATGTAAACAATCAATCTTTATAACCTAAACTCAGGACTCAACATGTATTGTTGATAAATCTCAATTCTTTGGTTTAAATTTACTGTTTCTACCTATAAATTATCTTTTTGAGTTGTTACTCTGCCATCAAATGCAATAGCTACCTCCCCCTTAAACAGTGACCCTTCTTATAAGCATATCTTCTCTTTCAAAAGTCCAGACAGGAAGCTACATTTACTATTTAAAATATTCAACAAAACATAATCCTATGTTATTCAACACAATACATCCATTAACTGAGGCACACTACATCAAGGTAATTAGACTACACATTAATCCAGTACCATGGTTTAATTGAGAGGGCTGGCAAATGTTTTCTGTAAAGATCCAAGTAATAAATAGTTCAGGCTTTTTCAGCCAAAACCAAATATTCAGCTGTTCTGTTGCAGCACAAAAGCAGCTATAGACAACACATAACAAATAAACATGGTATTTTTCCAATAAAACTGTATTTACAAAATCAGGCACTAGGCTGGTTTTGGCCTACAGACAATAGTTTGCTGACTCTTGATTTAAGCAATCTTTCCATCATTAAACTGAACTAGGTATTTAGGTCACTTCTACCTGTCTGGTTCACAAAAGTACCGTAAAATTATCAATACCTCATTAACTTCAGGCAACATTATGTCAACAGGCTGCCATAAGTCATCAATGTAGTTACCAGATTAAAAAAGTAAAATTGATTTTACTACAACTTACTTTTAGTGAACTTCTGCTGACTTCTATTGATCATTTCTATTTTCTATATGCACATAGCAACTCATTCTAGAATTCTGACTAATTAGTGCCTCAAATCAGCTGAAATGTAAAATGTTTGACCTTCACCAACTGGGGATCCCTTTTAAATTCACCAATTATCTTGATATTCTTTTTATTATTGCTTGGTCTGCCTCATTTACATAAAGGAACTTAGGATTTAGTTTCTCTTTATTATAATAATAGCTTTCATACTTTCCAGAGAAAAAACGATTCTTCTTAATGTAGCACTCAGTTACTTAGTTCTGCTTTCTACTAATATACACACAATCATTAGTATATTTAATATACACACAATCATTAGTAGTTTTATCATTCTACTGAATGATAAAATGACCAGCAAAACAATATATATATTATCCTACAGTTCATTTTTAGTAGAATCAGATTTTTAGCAGATATACGGGTAGCTGAAATACTTCATTACTGTTTGTCCTTGTGACAGTTCTAGAATTTTTATTACGAAAACACAGCCTATATTTTACTCAATAATGCAACTGTATTGTAATACAGCTATGACACATTTAAACTTAGCCTAAACAGTTTTGTCTTAAAATTCATGTGAACTACATTCTTTATAAAAATATATCAGCATCTATTTGTAGGAAAACAAAAAAATTTCTCCAAACTGTTCTTTTAAAAAAGCCTGAAGAGGCCGGGCGCGGTGGCTCACGCCTGTAATCCCAGCACTTTGGGAGGCCGAGGCGGGCGGATCATGAGGTCAGGAGATCGAGACCATCCTGGCTAACACGGTGAAACCCCGTCTCTACTAAAAATACAAAAAAAATTAGCCGGGTGCGGTAGCGGGCGCCTGTAGTCCCAGCTACTCGGGAGGCTGAGGCAGGAGAATGGCGTGAACCCGGGAGGCGGAGCTTGCAGTGAGCCAAGACAGCGCCACTGCAGTCCAGCCTGGGCGAAAGAGCGAGACTCCGTCTCAAAAAAAAAAAAAAAAAAAAAAAAAAGCCTGAAGAACAATTTGATGATATTTGGTCAACACCTAAGAACATGTTATAAAATACATGTGTTAGGAAGAATATTATTTTTTACATCATGACAAAGAATTTTTATACCAATCATTCTATATTTAATTTTATTTCAAATATTTATAAATTTGGGGGGATCAGAGTCAGAAATATTCTTAAGATGTTATTTTAAAACATACTTTAATATAATTTTAATTTTTATTTAAAACACAACCCTAAATATTGACAAAGCGAGACATAACAATGAGTAAATATCTTAAACTAATAAAGAAAAACTCAAATAGTTCTCCTGTGCCTAAATAGCTAATTCTTCAATAACAAAATAAAGCAAATAATAATATAAATATAATATAAAAATAATATAAATAAAATATAAATTTTAAAAAATATTTTTAAAATTAGATGGTAAAAATCAGTCTCTATCCTTAGATAAATCTAGGCATTTAATTTCTAGCAATTTTACATAAGCTAGTATAAGGTATAATGGAGAAAAGGGGTTAATTTTATGGATAGTGTAATTTTTACCACATTTGTAAAATAAACTAAAGGTTTTATCTTCAAAAAATATTTCTTCTCTATCATGATAATTTTCTAACATTCTAGCATTAAATACTAGTATCTTGGCTTTACAAAGAAATAGAATTGGGGCACAAGTATTTAAATAGCTGTTTTCATATACATGTCATGAGATGAATCTAAGTAATGAGTACAGTGTTTTAGACATAGAACGTTTTAATAAGCTCTTTTAAAAATGAACACAAAAACTCCCAATGATTTTACAAAGAACAAACATGCCAAGGCATAAATGACTTACTTAAAAAAGAAGAACGTAGTTTTTTCATAGATTCAGAATATAAGCTAGAAAGGCCGCACATGCAAGAAGTCACAATCAGCACACCTTAGTGAAGCAATGAAAAGCGGAAGAAATAAAAGGAGACAAAAATACTAGAATGGTATGGTTGGGACAACAATCTCTGCTGAAGATATTACATGACAAAATGATCACATTAAAAAAAAATGGAAAAACAAAACTTTGGAAAGAAAAATTCAGTCATCAAGCCAAAGTAACAGAAAGGTCTATATCCCCTAATTCTACCCCCCATGAATTGTAAAATTTGCAGTATTAGTTAATAATGTACCGAACACAACTGAAAAATGATTTGCAGAATGAATTTTAATTCAGAGGGGACTGAGTTAGGAAGTACAGACCAGAGCTTCCCAAACGGTGTTTCAATACACACTGGTATTCTGCAAATGAGTTAAGTATGCCTCAAACAGGTTGCCCTCAATCTCTGGTCCAGTTGGGCAGGACAGGCCCTGGGGAAACTGGATTCTGCAGGCCAGTTACAACTGGAAGTCTCATTAGTGTACCCTGTGTGCCATATATCAAATGCCATCTTTTTGTGTGTGTCATGAAATAAAAAAAGGGCAAGAAGTACTGGTATATATAGCTAAGTATACATGTGTACCTTGAGGTATTACAGTAGAACATTTAAAATTAAGACTAATTACCTAGCAAACATAAAAGAACTCTATAAAGAGAATTCTCAATGAGTGTGGGCTTACATTTAATCAAAGCTATCTAAGAATGGTATATTTTCAAAGAAATAAAATTTACTTTTGCATTTTCCTTTTTTTCCCACATGGGAATGATTCCTTTGAATTAAATCGTTTAAACAATAAATCACTGGTCTTACAAAAACCAAACAATGAAAAGGAGCAAAACCTTACAAAGTAACTTTTTTTATATAATAATTATACAAATATTCCTGTCATTATATTTTAGCTGAAAAGTTTGATCCCGTGGTTCTTTCTCAATGTGCAATAAAATCCTAGAATATTAAAAAGAAAAACAGGCTGGGTGTGGTGCCTCACGCCTGTAATCCCAGTACTTTGGGAGGCTGAGGCAGGGGATCACTTGAGTCCAGGTGTTTGACACCAACCTGGGCAACATGACAAAACTCCATCTGTACAAAAAATACAAAAAACCAGCTGGGTATGGTGGCATGTGCCTATGGTCCCAGCTACTCAGAGGGTTGAGGTGGGAGGATCACCTGAGCCCAAGAGGTCAAGGCTGCAGTGAAGGCACTACTGCACACCAGTCTGGGTGACAGAGTGAGACCCTGTCTCAAAAAAAAAGCAAAACCACAACTATAGAAAACAAAAATAAGACTCACAACTTTTGCTAGTTTTTGGCAGTTTATATATACAGACTAAATCAGGCAAGCTATTTACCTAACTATAATACTTATATTCACAAAAGTAAGCCAGCATTTATAGAAATCCTAAAGCTCAGAATTTTCTTTTCTTTTCTTTTTACCTCCTGAAGGCTGTCGAGATTTACGAGGAGATCGGGGTTCTCTCCGATAAGGATCATTAGAGCCATATAATTCAATAGTGCCCAGGTTGAGCAGCACTGCTTTCTGGAGGTAGTCAACCATAGCAATGCCATTGCAATTGCCAAAAACCACCCTGGGAATAGGAAAATAACAAACATTTTAGCACAAACAAATAATTCCAAAAAAATGTACTACAGTCTATAAGGCTGAAGAAAGAAGCATGGTGGGTCTTTCAGAAAATTCTTTGAAACAAAAGACAACTATAGGAACTGAAATACAGGTTACATATGCCTACTCACGGAACTGTTTAGATCTTCTGCAGACATTATTTAATATCACTAAATCAATCAACTGCATTATTTATAAAAATATTTGGCATAGGAGTTGAAACTTGATCAGAGATATAAATCTCTCACATCTCACAACGCAACATCTATTTTTCTACCTTGGGGGCATTTTGAGCTCTTCATGGGTGGGAGACATTCCCTTCTATTAGGAAAGTAGGAGATTATACTTTGGGGTAAGTTTTGGTAATCATTCAAGTCAAGAATAAAAAGTAGAAAGCATACATCTTGGAGGCCCTTTGGGGTGTTCTAAATACCTTCTCAATTATGAGTCAGGAACTATAAACCAATCAACTATGAATAAAGGAAATTTATTCTTTTAAGATCTTTTAAGCCAGGAATGGAGAACTGACATGTATAGAGAGCTATATAACTAAGTAAAAGAGGACATGTAAGCATCATGGTTACTTAAGATTGTATGGCACATCTAATGAGGAAAAGCTTCAACTCAGTTCCAGATGAAGCTGCCATGGAGAAACACGGACACGGCCACATAATCAGATTTTTAAGTTGGAGCTCTAAGTATGGATTTATATAGTCTTGGTAACTAATTAAAATTCTAAAAATACACAGAAAGGGCCAAACAAAATACAACTGTAAGCCTAGTGAGGTCTGTAATAGATTCCTTTGAAACTTCCTATTGGTTCTTTTTCTTATTTCCTATGTTTTCTTTATGGTCGTGGAAAATAAATATTTAAAAGAAGAAAGTTTGTGCTCTTACATTGTGTGGCAGCAAATAAAAGATATGAAAGAAGACTATCTCAGACTGTAGCCAGTGTTAGTTTGATGTACAGTTGTCCCTTGGTTTCTTCAGAAGCTTGGTTCCAGGACCCCCACAGATACTAAAATCTGCGGATGTTCAAGTCCTCAATACAAAATGGCATAAAATTTGCATGTAACCAATGTACAGTCTCCCATATACTTTAAATCATCTTGAGATTATTTACATATACCTAATACAATGGAAATGCTATATAGTTTTTATATTGTATTTAAAAATTTTTTTTAATTGTTGTATTGTTTTTTGGTTATATTTTCTGAATATTTTTCATCTACAGTTGGTTGAATCCGTGGATACAGAGGGCTAACTGTACAGCTGCAAGAGACAGAATAGGTGGTGGGAGCTACCAGCAAGAAAAAAAATGAATGAGTCCCTAGGGCTAGCATCAAGCAAGGAGACAATGAACTACACATGATAAATAGCTCTGGGACTGAACAGTTAGGAAGCAGTTTCTTACACTGCAGTGTTGATTTCTGAAACAAGAAAATAACAAATGCTTTATAAGTCTATCATATTGTAATAAAAATATGTATAATTAACACTATATGGCTGAAGGCATGAATTGATAAAACAGTATACTACAGTATAAATGAATATTAATTATTGTCATGCTTTTACAATTTATACAAGTTAATTGGAAGTAGAAAGAAAAATTACACAACTACACTTCAACATTTACAAAAATCAGTTTTATAACAGTTTTCTGGGTTCATATTGTTAGATTTCCATTATAGTAATTATTAATAAGAAAATTATTTCTGGGAGTATATTTAGGAGAGGATATACTGACTTTAAAACTTCATCACAAATAATTTATTGGTCCATGAGGCATTTAACTTTACATCAGGAAATACTGCATGCATACCCAAAGTAAGTTATTCAGAATGAAATTATGTTCCAAATAAACAGTCAATTTCGTCTGAAATCAAAATTGTAGAATGCCATTTTAGGTGACGATATAACAAAGACCATCCTTTCTATTTTTAAAAACAAAATGACATATGGAATACTATGAAGAGACTTAGAAAAAAACGTAACTTATACTTACAGTCCATAGGAAGAATTGACTGCCAGGCTGGTTATTTGTTGTGGTGGTTCTCCACCCACCCAAACCAACTGAATAACTAGTTCTGTTTGATAACCTGGAGACTGTTTAAGTGGTGAGTTTTTAACTCTAAAATAAAAGAAAACATGGTATCTTTAAACCATTTTCAACTATTGGCCTATATGATTATAAATAACTTTTTATATGAAACGATACTAGATACTTAAATATATAAAAATCAGAATCCTGTTTTCTAGAAGCATTTAACCTAGTTGGAGGGACTAAGTATGTAATTAACAAAAATAACTCATATGCAAACTCTACATATAAAGTGGGGGAGGACAGCAGGGGTGAAGGAAAAGGAGAAAATAAGAGGTGAGGAGGAAGAAGAGGGAGAAAGGAAAGAAGGCAGGGAGGGCTGGGGAGAAAGCTGAGGAGAAGCGGCAGTCCAAGGATTAAGAAGAGAAAAACAAATCAAGTTAGAAAAAAATGTAAGTTAGAAAAGCAGGTTTAAAAATGGCTGGGTGCAGTGGCTCACGCCTGTAATCCCAGCACTTTGGGAAGCCGAGAAGGGCAGATCACCTGAGGTCAGTTCAAGACCATCCTGGTTAATATGGTGAAACTCTGTCTCTACCAAAAATACAAAAATTAGCCTGGCGTGGTGGTGTGTGCCTGTAGTCCCAGCTACTCTGGAGGCTGAGGCAGGAGAATCGCTTGAACCCGGGAGGCAGAAGTTGCAGTGAGCCGAGATCGCGCCATTGTACTCCAGCCTGGGCAACAAGAGCGAAACTCTGTCTCAAAAAAAAAAAAAAAAAAAAAAAAACCAAAAAAAAACCCCACAAAACTTAAAAACATGAAGTAACATAACGAAAAACTGTCCAAAAACAAGTTAAAAAAATGAGTTACAACAAATATGAGCAATTTGTGTGTGTGTGTGTGCACCTACTTTCACTGTAAAACAAATCTACCTTGACTTTGAGGTGACAGTATTTTTGTTCGCAGAGACTCTTTTTTAATAATTGCTGGATAATGCTACAAAAAATGCTCTTGCAGAACACAGACAGAAAACCCATGTTCAAGGATTGATAAGTGTTAAGTGTGGCCACAGTGGTAGGAGTGTGTAGTAAAAGTGAGAAGACAGCAAGACAGGCCAGGGCCAGACTTTAGAGGGTCTTCAAGTCCTGTCCACAAAGGTTTGATGTTGGTAGAAAGAACTCTCAGCAAGGTGGACTTTGAGTACTGATTCTGTTACTCACCAGCTGTCTTTTCACCTAGAAAGTGGGAGTATTACTACCTAGTCACAATGTGAGGAACTTGTGACTGCCTATGAAAAGTACTTTGCAGATGGTCAAATTAGACAAAGGTAATATATTTTCATTATTAAAGAATTAAGACAGGCTGGGTGCAGTGGCTCACACCTATAATCAGAGCACTTTGGGAGGCCGAGGTGGGCAGATCACTTAAGGTCAAGAGTTCGAGACCAGCCTGGCCAACATGGCGAAACCCCGTCTCTACTAAACATACAAAAATTACCCGGGTGTGGTGGTGAGCACCTGCAATCCCAGCTACTCGGGAGGCTGAGGCAGGAGAATCGCCTGAACCTGGGAGGCAGCGGTTGCAGTGGGCTGAGATGGCACCACTGCACTCCAGCCTGGGCGACAGAGTGAGATCTCCGTCTCCAAAAAAAAAAAAGAAGAATTAAAGGCCAATGAAGGTTGATAAGAAATATCTGGGGAAGATTAATTTGGTGAACATAGGTAAGACGAAGTAGAACAGGGTCACCAATTGGGAAGTTCCTGTGATTCTGATGTGAAACAAGAAAAAGGGAGATTGAAACACATTAATGGAGTAAGAACAGACAAGGCTTTACATTTCAGGAAGGCAGAAACCTTGCAGCTATTAATACTTTTAACACTGGCACAAAAGAGGTACTCAATATTTACTGAATGAATTGGAGGTTGAGTAGAGGTAGGGTAGAGGAAGAAAAGAAGAAACAGTGAATGTACAATCAGACAGAAGGAAGGGAGGGAGGGAGGGATAAAGAGGTAGTTTTAGGAGACCATGGGGTTAAGTTTGAGATGATGGTAGAGAACTACAAGTGAAACTAGTCAGCAGGTATGACTACCTATTCCCAAACCTCATGAATAGTTAAATCCATGCTGAACTAAACTTGTCATTAGGATTTTAGAAAGGAAGAGATAAAGAGGGGTTTAAAAGAGTGTGAGACCTTCTGAAACAATACCTGCTATACTTGTACCAGAAAACTTCAAGTGTACTTGAAAGGCACATTTTTTTAAAAAATGTGAACAATTTTAGTGTGTGACTGCTTTTATTGTAAAAAACTCTACTATGACTTTAAGTTAAAAACATTTTTGATTGCACAACTCTTTGCCTAGTAATTGCTGTAGCAAAACATATGCAAAGCCTGGTTACTTCCGCAATTCTTAAGGCTTCTGCCTTGAAATGACAGTGTGTGAGAGAACAGCAGGAAGACTACTCGATGTTGAATTTCCTGCCACCAAACTCAGAGGTAAGAACCCTTCTGAATTATTCAGTTGGTATTTCTAATGTGGAAGACCATGGCACCTCGTGTTTTGATGACATACATGCTAGGAAACAGCGAAAGTTGTTCAGACTTCAGGGTAAATGTGAATCACTGAGGGCACTGCTTATACGAATTGAACTACAGTTCACTTCTGGCTGGTCAAGGTTTGCAAGGCAATGCATTCAGAACTCTACACTGGCTGATGCAAAATTTCTGAATTATTCTTAGGGAAATACCCACTAATCAGCTACAGCTCTCCATCTCAAGCGACAGAGTAACAACTGAGGCATTTCATTTCTTCCCAGAGTCAGCCTTGACACAGGAGTAGACTGAAGGGTCTGAGTGGTCTATCTTCTACTTCTATGAATTAGGTATAGAAGGTTAGGGTCAAGGAAGTGTCCTCCCTCCCTCTGGCATATTAAATGTGCACGACAAATTCTCAAGAGCAGAACCAGGCATTCCAGGGATAATTTTAGAAGTACATATATGGGCACATTTAAGATTTAAGTGACCAGGACACACAGAACTCATGGAATTCTTATTTTAGTTAGTATAAGGAAACAAAAAAACGTTCTTAAGTAAAAATAAAAAGGCAGCCAAACATGATGCAAAATGGTAAAGGATGAGAAACCTAAGCCAAGAAATGAAAGCAGGTAAGTTACATTTTAAAAATATGAAATGGGAAGAGGGTGTTATGCTTTATTCTAAATGGTTATGGTATAATTTTAATGTTTTTAATATATTCAAGTTGATTTGTTTACTTTTTAAGGAAAAAGTTTTATAAAGAGTTCCATAATTTGTACAAACGTATTTTAAATGTTAAAGTGATGCGTAGAGCCTCACAGTTTCAAAATGATTGTTTGAGCAAGTACCTTGCAAAGGGACAATAAAAATAATTCAAAAACATAAAATTTCATTGCTAAAAGAAACAAGTCAAACGGCTGCCTTTTCTTTTTTACCTCTTTTTTTAAGAGACAGAAACTCACTCTGTCACCCTGGCTGGAGTGCAGCTATGATCATAGCTCACTGTGACCTTGAACTCCTGGGCTCAGGCAATCCTCCCACTTCAGCCTACAGGTGATGTCGCCACACCTGGCTAATTTTTTAAAAAACTTTATTGTAGAGATGGTATCTTACTATGTTATCCAGACTGGTCTTGAACTCCTGGTCTCAATCAATCCCCTTCCTTGGTCTTAAACAGCTGCTTTTAAAATGTTTCTTCAAATAAACCAATTGTAAACAAAGGCATTTTATATGAAAAAAGCCTCAATATTATATTTTAACATCAATTTTTGTTATACTTCTTACTTTAAGAAACTGGCCTCTAGGACTGTGGACCAAAACAATGTCAAGTTAATAAATACCTGCATTTATTTGAAGACTATTAAAAGAAAAAAATGAGGTATAAGTTGTTTGTGATTTTTAAAAAAATCACTAATATATAGATTTTAGACAAAAATGTCCAAAACTTGTACTTTATGTCTTTCACTAGCTTGTACAATATTCTACTAAAAGACTAGTTATCTCTCTCATGACTCTGTCTCCAAAAATTGGTCCTTTAGTAAGGTAATACTAGAGAATTATTATTACTAACAAATTAATTTTAAGATAATGGCTGAAGAAAAGGAAATAGTTATCATGCAATCCCTATGTTTACAATCTTCCCATGCATTCTTGTTCTTGGGTTTTCTCTAAAATCCAGAAAAAGGATCAAAATAACCATAACTGTATCAATAGAGCCATTACTTTATGATATTTTTTACTATGATTTGTTTATATTTCTAGTTTTAAAAATCAATACTTAAAATTTTAAGTAATGTTGTAATTTAAATGTATAACTTGATGTAACAATATATAACATTATCTATTAAAGTTAGTAAGAATTTGCATTTATGTGACCAGCCAAACCACCCCCCATGGCTGCCAAAAACAAAAATCAAGCATGTGTACACACACACACACACACACACACACACACACACACACACACTCAAATTAGCAGGACTGCTTCTCCACATCTGTTGTATTTTCTTGAGTGTCAGTGGAACTCCTGGGCTTCTCTCTACCCTCTTTCTAACTCTATCCCAGGAATGGTAGAGTCCCTATGTAGCCGGTAAATATGGAAATAATTAATGTAGCCCTCTCATTTTCCCCTCAACCTGTGTTCATTTGGGAGCAAGTCTGCCCAGGGGATGCATTTTCTTTTCTGCTGCTGCAAAGGCAGTGTTCTTAATACTGCCACGACTGGGAGGATAAGGCTATCTCTGTATACAGGTCAGTCAGTACCAGGAAACCTACCTGGCTCTTGTGCTAGTTGGCATCTTTACCTTTAACAATAATTAAGGTGATATTTTTAGTCACCATCTGAAATTATTTTATTTCTTAATGTGTTAAGAATACAGATGGGGGCCAGACACAGTGGCTAACATCTGTAATCCCAGCACTTTGGGAGGCCGAGGCAGGCAGATTGCCTCCAAGTTTGAGACCACCCTGGGTAACATGCCGAAAACCCATCTCTATAAAAAACTACAAAATTAGCTGGGCAAGGTGGTGTGCGCTTGTAGTCCCAGCTACATGGGAGGCTGAGTTGGGAGGACTGATTGAGCCCAGGAGGTCGTGGCTGCAGTGAGCTGTGATCACACCACTGTACTCCAGCATGGGCAACAGAGCGAGACCCTGTCTCTTTAAAAAAAAAAAAAAAAAAAAAAAAAAAAGAATCCAGATAGGTAAAGAGAAGTATAATTACTGGGCTCCTTCGTAGATTCTAGTAAGCAATTACAGGTGACAGGACTCTGGCTGAATCTCCTATGTGTGTCTTTAAAGTCTGAACTGCTTCAAAGTTCCATCCATTTTATAAAACATACTGACAGGGCAGTTTACCTCTATCTGACACCAAACGCTACTTCCAAAAAGAACTGTCCCTTAAAATATTAAGTCTCAAGATAAAATGAATTTATAAAGTTTTATTATACATGAGGTTAGTTGTTATAAAGTTTTATTATACATGAGGTTAGTCTACAAAAAACCAAAACAGAAGAAAAATTATTAAAGTAACTCAAAACAATGTAATTGCCTTATGAATCACTTGTCATATGCTCAAAGGTCTAAAGGACAGCTGTCATGTTATATTTTACTATTCATCTAGTGTTTTACTATCAGTGGTAATTTTAATACTACAATTTTGGACTTACTTTTGTTAACAGATAAATAATATTAAATGGAATAATTCCAGGCTAATCAAATTATAGGAGAAGAGTGGTTTGGGTAAGAGATTTAAAATTATTTATTTACATTATATAGTAATGTAAAAACTCAATGAAAAATAAAAGAGTTTTAATGACTGTTTTTTAAAAAACAACCCCCCCATTTTTTTTAGCTCTTGTCACCAGGTGGTCTACTATAACAATATACTGCTTATTAAAAATAATGTTACAAACATTTCTAAAGATCATATTTTGGTCTGTTACCCTGTGAGGGCAAGTAGTATTCAAAGCAAGTCTAGAACATCTTGACAGAAATTAAGGATGGTCACAAAGTTCTGAGGTGGTGTTAAGAAGACACAAACACCAACTTAAAAGAAGCTCCCTCTAGAAAACTGTGACAAAATCACGTTAAGTTGATTAAATTCAGTAAGTTAAAACAAATTGCCTATAAAAAATACCTAGAGTTCCACAGTGATATTCAAAAGGAAAAAAAACCATCAAATCACAGTCATTAGTTATTTTAGGATTCAGAAAAAACTGTTAAGATGTTATTGCGTGTATATCCCAGGATTGGCAAAGTGTATCCATACACAAAAGATAACAATTAATGCCAACAACAAAAAGGACTCTCCTCACATGTATCATTAATGGATTGGCTAATGAGACTCTCTGTCTACTGGGACTAACCAGCAGCTTAAAAGGAATTCTTATATTAAGTGACATTCCATTAAATAATTACAAAAGATTAATAGTGTGCCATAACATTCCATCACAAGTATGAAAAGTCCTCCCAAACAAGAAAGATGGCCATACCATAATCTCAGGTCCATGAACAATAAAGAAAACTCATAATTGCAGAACGAAGTCAGTATTACCTTTAAAATGGATTTGGGTACTGTTGTACTCTGCATTTTGGTTTGCTGGTTTTAACAGCTGCTGCTGGTTGCTGCCTTAACTATTATCCTTGCTCTTTCAGTCAGTAAAAAAACTGGAAAAAAAAGGCCTTTCTAAGAACAGAGGACAAAGACTCACCTATCAGGCTGGCCTTTAACTTTAACCTAGAAAGCCAAGGTAAGAGGTCTTGTCACTCTGGTCCAAACAGTACTGCTTCTCCTGTCAGTACTATTTCCTCTGACCTATCTTGTCATGAGAAAGCAGTGCATTGATGGTGTTTTTTCTTCAGGTAGGAAAAGAATTTAATGTTTTATACTGCTGGATCTCTGGCCACAAGCCTAAAAAACTTGGAGGCATCAGAAATTATGAAGTACAAATTAAATAAATCATTCTAATTCTGTTGAAGATAATGTATGTTTATATGGAATTGTTATTTTGTTAAAATGTCACTTCAGTAGTTGAAAACACTATTTCAGAAATATAGAAATACGTTACAAAAAATGCCCCAAAGACAAATTGTACTACGTATGTCATAAAAATTAAATGTAACAAAGGGCTTGGGAAAAAAACATTGAAATCAGAAACAAGGGCATTAACGGAACATTTACAATTTTAAGTATAAAGTAGTATTGAAGAAGTAATAAAGGGGAAAAGTGTAGAATTCTGTATTCCCAAGTCTCATTCTAGTTAAAACATGTGCTAGAACTACAGTTATAAGTGTGTATATTCTAGTACAGGTATGAGAGAGGGAGAGGAGAGAAAGAAAAACTTGATACCTTTCTGAGAAATGTAGCTGCTTAACCTCAATGGGTATATACTGTTTGGATCAGAGGTTCTCATCCTTGGCACTACTGATGTTTTGAGCTGGTAATTCTTTGTTGTGTGCACTGCCTTGTCCATTGTAGAATATTTAACATTATCCCTGGCCTCTACCCACTAAGTGTCAATAGCATCTCCCTTCCTCATGTTGTGTCTACTAAAAGCATCTCCAAATGTCCCCTAGGGAACAAAATCATATGCAAATGAGAGCCACCAGCTTAGACTACATGACCTTCAATTTTTGTAAACATATAATTTTCTAAAACTCTGTATTTTTAAAATGATTGTAATATAAAAAAAATCTATCCGTTTTATCTTTGGTGTGAGTGCATTATTCATTACACAGACATTCTTCCCAGAAATTATTTATCTACCAGTAGAAGAGACTCAAGCAGATTAAAGTAAAATAGTGCAAAGCCTGGTCCTTTTAATAAATGCAAATTATTTCTCTTACTTACTACCCTCTCTACCTTGAACCTAGTACACTCTGGCTTTTGCCCTCTACCAATCTACTGAATCTCTCTGAGTGCTACCAGAACCACCTTTCCGTCATTATCCTAGTTGAATTCTTTGTAAATATACTATTAATCACATAGTCTTCATGTACTTTTTCAATGATTTTAACTTCTTACTCATTGTTTTATTTCTCTGCCTCTATCATTTAAACATTTTAACCACTCAATAATAAAAATTGGACAGAAAAAATAAAACTTCATCCAATTTATCTCTGTATAAAAGCAAGATATATTTAAATTTAGGATGCAACAATAAAACGTTTTAAATAAAGATACGGTGGTGCTAGTGAAGATTCAGAAAAAGAAAATGATTAGAAAACAACTGAGTCTTAAAAGACTTAAACAGAATTTTCAGAGTTGTAGAAAGCAGTCGGAACATAAATCCAAGCTACATATAAATCAAGACTAAAAACACTGATGGATTTAGAAGACTGAGCGATATATACAGGTTAGATCCTTGCTGCTTTACGAGAATGTTTGGAGATTAAACCTTAATATTTTAAGGATAATATCATGAAATGCAATCATATTCCTCTTGATGTCATAGAAAAATGAGTTGGACTAACCATAGCAAAACACAGGAAGAACCATTCTTATGCCATTTTGCTATATCAAAAGAAAATGTTACCATAGCTCTAATGCTTACAATTTATATAAATTAAAAGATAATATCCAAAACTCCTCTGTAGTTTTTTATAACTTACTTTAAACAAGGTACATTATCACGAAGCCCATCAGATGAACTGCTACTGGTAGATGGATGAGACTGAGGAGGGATGGGCTGAGGGTTGGACCCTCCCACGGGTGTTGGCAAAGGTGGTGGCTGCTCACCCTCCGGAGTTTCCACATCATTTATCTCATATAATAATCGAACTTCAAGCATCTGTTGTAAAAGTAAGGTAGTTTACTTACTCCTAATAATTATTGCTCATTTTATCACAATTTATACACACATACACACACACTTTACATAAACTTCAGTGGCAAGAAGATTTTTAAAGGTAAAAATTTAGCAAGATTTCAAAAAATAAGGATTTAGCAAGAAAGAAAACGTTCTTGACTCAGGGAGTACACACACAAACGTGCATTATGATTTTAGAATGTATGGTACTCGTGTTAATATCAAATTAGAGTATACTCATATTCATATTAGCTTTCCTTAAAGGAAACATATCCTATACTTAAGGATTTAAATAATCAGTGAAAATATATGCAAAAAATGCTGTTTTTTACAAAAGAGAGATAATAATATAAATACTAAGGTGTTTTCAAAAGTTCTGCACAAAACTGACTGCAAAAAGTCTTCCAAATCATCCACAAATTTAAAAATGTGGATGAAAATAACTTGACCATGAAAATAACTAAGACGTTATTACCGGAATGACTTCTGTGATTACTTCCTGCTTGCTGAATCTATAAATAATGACATGAGCTGAAACTCCAGCGATGCACAGCATTCTACTTTCTGGACACCAGGAGATGATCTGAATGGCATATGGATCTTCATCTACAATGTCTGTGTTTGGCCTGTCATCTTTATTTCTTGACTTTTCAAATACTTTAGATGTCTTTAGCTTATATAATACTTGTAGAGTTACTGGAAAAAAGATAATATATGTCAGATACTTTAATATAAAATGATCAAACATAAGGTAACATTTAATCACTCATACTATGTATAGAAAATGGTCCATATTTAACTACATCATATTTTCATTTCTCAATTTACGTTAGTCTATTAAACATTTAGATAATATATTCTTTGTTCTCATTGACCAAACAAGAGTGTGCTCATTGTATTCATGAAGAAAAATCTATTATCACAATGGATTTTAGGTAATCTTAAAAAAATGAGTAATAAAAACATTTTGGAAAAATAATGTGTAAATACATGAAAATAATAAACAACACAGTTTGCTTCCTAAAATGATTTTCTATGTATCTTCTCTAGAAAAGATACAGTACCAATATAATTAAACATTCCTACATGAGGAAACACAACATATCCTGAGTTAACTGGATTCCAATTGAATGCTTGCCATGTGTGTTTTGAAACATTAATCATTAAAGGCATTATTTCTTTTTTTGCTACTATGTAACCACCAGATTTATTTCGCAAAGACAACATGAACGTTAGTGATACAAATTTAGAGTCAGGCATTAAAATTATTCTAGAAATTTCTGTTGATTTGGAACACATTCCCACTTCCCCTAACTCTGACTTAGGAAGATAAGGTTTGAAGAAATTTTGAAGGAAAAAATAAAATTGAATACTTGTGTTGCCAATTATTCTTGATTTACTAATATTAAGACTATATTAAAAATTCTAAACTCATGTATTTAATAAATCAAGCATTAAATTTATAACCTCTACATTTCAAATTAAATATTGGTTATGCAATTATTATAAAACAGGATGCATAAAAGCAGTGATTGTATAACATATAACAAATAATGAATATTAAAAATACTTACTTGCAGAAGCATCCCAGAACTTAACTGACCCATCAGCATGCCTAAGAAAAGCAATGTTAAGAATGTGATGAATAAAATTACAGTTCTTCCTTCTTTAAATGGGTACTGCTATTAAAAAGTCAACAAAATGAGTAAAAAGGTAAAAAAAATCAGGGTAAACTGGCAGGTTCTTAAGAATAACATTTCTTATTATATTACGACATAAAGGAAAGCTCTACCTGTCCAGTAAGTTAACATTCATGTAGTCTCAATCAATTATATTTAGCTATTATAGATTTACTTGGTGAAGACAGACTTTTACTTACCCTGTAATAATTATTTCTGGGTAACTTTGAGCACCCAAGCCCCAATTACCTCCGTTGATGGGCCATTCCTATAAAAAAAGATGACTGTATAAAGCAACTTGCAAGCATACTACATACCTCCGTGTGTGTGTGTGTGTGTGTGTGTGTGTAAATAATCCAGTGAAAAACATATTTTGCTTGCAAAAATAATTTTTAACCTATTTTCCATAGAAAAGGTATAATGTTATCAAATACTCCAAGGTGATAAATATAGAATAAATAAGAAATATAACATTAAATACTGAAGCTCATGTTCAATACCTTTTTGCTGTAACCTTGACGTTTCTGTCTAGCTCCAACAGAATAAAGTGCAGGAATAAGGTCCACAGGACAATCCGCAAAATATTCGCAACATGTAACAGGGGACTCATGTATACTCAAAGGGTAGGGATTTTCAAATATAGGATATCTTTAACAACAGAAAAAGAAAAGTATTTATTAATTTAATGAATTATACCATATGATTAATACAAAAATAAAAACTTTAAAAAACATACATTCTATCATAGAGATTAAATTGATTTAATTTTTGTAAATATATTTAAAAATGGAAGTCTTTTATAATGAAAATTGCTCAATTAGAATAGTAAACAGAAAGGCTCTAGTTGCAACTACATGCCATATGCCATACACTACACTAAGTGCTTTAAATATATACATCTCATTTACTTCTTGCACCAAACTTACGACATAGGCATTTTACTGAAGAACAAAGGCTTACAGAGAATAATGTGTCAAAAGCATGCCTGCTAGCAAATGGTGGAATAACACATACCTCATCCTTATGTCAGCAGAGCTAACAAATGTTCCATTCTTTTTCTCTCCATAAACATGATACCTAGTCCAATATTTAATTCAGAATATTTTTCTTGTTTTGGTAATAATACATAATAAAATTCTACCTTAAATGTTTTCTAGATATGAAGTTACTTTATTAAATAAAGCAAAAAATGCTTTTAAAAATCATGAAATTAAAGTAGAATCCTATCTAAATATAAAATATTTCTTTTCTCATTTTAAAGTCCTTAGAATGAGAATAGTCTGGAAAACCAGAAACTGGCTAAAAAATTTAAAAAGTGCAAAGTGGCTAATTTGCAAAAATTAGATCAGTCTACTACTGACAATTTTTTAAAACAGAAGAGAGAAATTTCCAAATAGTCCCTTATAGACTGCAAAATGAACCCAACTATCACCACTCCCACCTCCAGGACCAAACACAAACAACATGCATTCATAAAATGACAAAACGGCAAGCAACTTTCTTCTCTTTATAACACACATTATTTCCTTAGCTCAGTGATTCTATTATTACCATACATTTAACTGATACTTTTGCTAAATAAAATGCCTAGTCACAGGTTACTTGCATAGTATTTTCTTTGACTTAAATGTATCTCAGTACAGATCACATGTGAAAAGTCTCAATTATTTGAAAAACTTGCCTAAGGGAAAAAAATAAAAGAAAATCATATTAAGAATAAGTTATTCTAGGACAGAAATAATATTTTCAAATTATCTTGTTATTTTGAAAAGACTCCTCACAATTGATTAGTAAAAGTAGCAGGTACTAAAGTAAATTTAGAATTGCCTAAACATCAGGTAAATGATACTGTTCACCTAATTCAGGGTCGCCCAACCTCAGTACTATTCACATTTTGGACGAGATAATGTTCTACTGTAGGGAACTGTCCTATGCACTGTGGATGTTTTGCAGCATCTCTGTCTTCTACCCACTAGATGCCAGTCGCAACACCCTCAAACCCACTGAAAAGGTTTCCACAGAGATCGCCATATATTCTCTGGGTGGGAGAAGGGCGGGGCTGGGGGCAGGGAATGCAAAAATCACCCTTGATTGAGAAACACTGCAATACTGAATGAGTAAACTCAATTAAAAACCATACTTAATGATTCTTTCTCCAAAGATAAATAATACAATGTGCTTCCATTCAAATAATTTGTAAGTAAACATTATCATCTATGATCCAAAAAGCAGAATATGGCAAATACCATGAAAAGTTACAAAGAAGCTATGGTGTGAAGTTACAGATCAGATATAATACATCTGGTAAACAGAGGATAGGAAAAGCCCGAAAAAGATAAGAAGGTTGACTTTGAAAGTTATATAGAGTTTTATGGCAGTGAAACAACTAGTGTTTCAGGTATTGGGAATTACATAGGAGAAGACATAGAAATGTGATGTCTGTTGAATACATAGTTCTGTTTTCCTAAGGAATAGACACTAGTGAGAAGACAGAGATCAGGTTGGAAAGAAATCCTGAATTCCTACTGTTTGGAGTAGCAGATGTTTTTAAATCAAAAAACAATACTGAACCATGGTTTGAAGAGGATAGTACAAGATTGGAACTGTGTGTAAAACGAATCTGGCAAAAGCACGTATAAACATTGCAACTGAGAGTGAGTAGACGTAGAAAGCCTAAAATAGCTTATTTTGGAGGTAAATACTGATGGGATTAATTTTTGACGTGCTGATTTTGTGTGGCCCCAGGATATCTAAGTGTCAGGTTGAATCATGTGAAATTTCAGAACTACAACAAATTTTTACCTAAAAATGAAAATTTTATGAGATTCAACATAATAGAGAAATTTGAGTAAGTAGATATGTGAGTCTGGAGCTCTCAAAAGAGGTCAAGGTTATGGATATAAATGTAGAGTTTTCAAAGAAATGAAATAGCTAATGCTATGATAAAAGGCATCTTTTTTCAACCACATACTGATAGAATCACTCACCAAATTTTATTTCTTACCCATTTTGTGCAAGGTCTATAAGTACTAAATCCTTTTCTAGAAGAACAACCACAGCATATGGTTCTTGAAAATCTGGAATTGGACAATGCATGAATTATAGTTTCAAAAATGCAAGTGGACAGCAAATTAGATAAATGTTTCTTGCTTGATTTTATTTAGTTTCATTCTCTTGAGTATTTAACATTCTGATCCTATGATACTTCATGCATGTTATTTAAGGCTAGTAAGTTTTATGAGATCATCTATTTACTGACCATTTCAAAATTATTTTACTTTTGTAAAAATGAGTAAGACAGAAATTTCTATGGCATTGCAAATTTCAAAGCTGCACATGGACAACAAAACTAAAATTTAAATCTGAATACACACAAGAACAGTTATCATTTAATCTCACAGGAACCCAAAAGAGTTCTACTATAATACTATCTTTCTTGGATGTTTCATATGTGCCTGTCAATAACTGTAAAATACATTACATCTTTACACCTCAATGAATTTCAACTGAAGTGAAAAAAGGTCCAGATTTAAATTCTTCTTGAATTATATACACTAGCTCTGATGGTTAATTGTATGTGTCAATTTGTCTATAATATGGTGCCCCCAGCTGTTTGGTCAAATACCAGTCTAGACATTGCTGTGAAAAAAAAATATACATATATATACATATATTCAGATGTGATTAGCATTTAAATCAGTAGATTCTGAGTCAAGCCCATTACCCTCTAAACGAATGGGCCTCATTCAGTCAGTTTAACGTCTTAAAAGCACAAACTGAGGTTTCCTGAAAAAAACGCAATTGTGCCTCAAGATTGCAACATAGAAACCATGTCTGAAATTTCAATCTATAGATTTCAGACTCAAGACTGCAACATGAATGCCTTCCTGAATTTCCAGCCTGCTAGCCTGCTCTACAGGTTTCAGACTGGCCAGCCCCCACAACAGTGTGAGCCAATTTCTTAAAATCAATCAATCAATCAATCAATCAATCAATCAATCACTTTCTCTCCTATGAGTGTGTGCGTCTATGGAGAATCCTTACTAATACATTACTATCTTAACAGAATTTTAAAATGTTTCTTAATATGAATAGCGTTTTTTTATTCTTCAAAACAGATTAAATTTATTAAACCACTTCTGAAATAAAGTTTGTAGATTATGAATGCAGCAGCTCTTCTCCAGAAGAATTAGCACAATAGGATGAGTAGTTTTATCTAAACAACCTAGGTCTTTTTTTTTTTTTTAATATCAGCTCTCTATAGAGAATGAGCTTTAAAGTTGCAAAGCTTACCATTTGGGTATGGTGTTTCACACAGCGTTAGAAAATCAACAATTGAATAGTCCATTTCTAGCACAGCAGTGCTTTTCCCATGCATCACTGTTAAGCAAGGTCTTCTTCCTACAGTATCATATGACAAACCTCCTGATAAAATAATAAAAGGCTCCCTGGAAATAAAATACATATTAAGATTATTAATGGCATAGTAAAGATAATTTTCTTGCTACATCATAATTTTTTAATTTAGTGAAATAACAAAATCTTAAATTCTAACATTTTTACACATCATATAATTGAATTGTCTCATGGAATTTTTAATTGGATTAGTTAAGACCCAAGTGAATTGCTGAAAATTAACCTGCAATAAAAATAAACATTGACTAAATTTAACTTTTATACCTCCCTAAAACTTTATCTCCTAAATAAAATTTTCATAAAATTCTCTCTGGCTTTCTGCTGATTAAAGTCTCTAAAATGTATTGCTTTGACTTCCAATCCTAACCAGGCCTTCTCAATAGAAGCTCCCACAGAGAATCTTAATGCCTTGAGGCATCCATTGTAGGTAATGGATTAAATTCTCAAGAACGCATCAAGAATTGTACTCAATACAAATCACTTTTGAGAGAACTGCGAAGTCACTCAAATCATGCCTTAATTTCTTCTAGAACCTTGGCTGATGCATTCTCAAACCATAGCTCCCATACACACATTTATCAGTTGCCAGCCTGATAATTCTAATTAGCCCCATAACTCTGTTATAACTAATTTTCCCATTCTCTCTATTAGTCATTATTAAACCTAAATTATTTATCTAGACTCATTTTCAAAAACTATTAATATATGCTTATTTTTTCACATATTATGGTCTGAGTATATTTCCACGCATTTGACTTGTCTTTCCATTTATTGGTGGTGAAGTTATTTATGGTACATTATACAGATGAATTAAATTTTCTGTATATTATTTTCTTAAGTATCTCCATTTATGATTTCTTAGTTTTTAAATGCTTAATCTAAGGTCAGTGTATCTATCTTCCTCCTTACCCATTATTCATGATGTTACTTCCTTCTTTTCCATCTCTAGAATTTTTAGTCTTCACATCTATAAGCCATACGTAATAATATCTAATGGTTAAAAGTGCTAGTTCTGGAACTAACCCAACTGCATTTAAATCTTAGCTCTGGCTTAATTTCTGTATGATCTTTGGCATGTTGCTTACCCTCTCTGTTCCTAGCTTCTACATGTATAAAATGGATATGTAGTGATAAGTATCTAATCTCAGATAATTCTTAAACTGGACAGTGCCTGGCTCAGCACATCCTTAGTAAGAGTCACCTACTTTTAATTATTATATCATCAAATTGTCATTATCATCTATTGTGAAAATTTCCCTTCATGGTGTGTGGGAAAAACACCCATTAAAACCACTAAATTATATTTATTTTTATCTAAAACAAGAGTAAATCAACTTCACTAAAATTTAATTAGATGGGTAATCATATGGGTATGTAGTTTATAAGTAAACTTAAATATCAATGCAATAGATGTATGTGCTTGTGTACATAATACTTTTATGAAACTACACCCTTATGTATCTTTCCTTGCTTTATTTTTTCCATAGCAATTATCACTACACAAATTTATTTATTTTGCTTACTGTTTTTCTCATTAAAATGTATGCTTCATGAGGGCAGTGGTTTTGTGTGATTTGTTCATTGCTGCATCCACAACAGTGCCTGGAACAGTACCTGCCATATAGTGGGTAGTAATTAAATATTGTTTCAAAGGAATGAATGAGTAGAAATGTGTGTTGCACTACTCATTTGCTACCTTACTATCATTTATTTTTTAGCACTAATTGATTTGGATAATGTTTCTCTAGCTAAATAGCAGTTAGGGAGCTTAAAATGTTATCCTAAATAGAACCATATCCATACATTCAGTGTTTCAACCTCTCAGCATACTGCAATTATTATGACCGTGCTCAGGAAAGTATATTTGATTTTCTTCCACTTTTTATCACATATAACGAATAAACAGAATACATCTCCACTCTTCTATACCTTGAGATGCAACATACAACTGAATTCAAATAATCCAAGGACAGGGATGAAGGGACCAGTGGGGAACTAACACTTGTTAAATTTTTAGAATGGAAGACTTGAGCCAGGTATTCTATATGTAATATTTCGAGAACAGCTGGTAAGTGTGCTTTTAAATATAACCTGTTTTTTTAAACTGTGTTATTAATGCCAGAACAATGAAGAGAGATTATAGCTGTACATTACAGAATAAAATGTCCACAAAGCACCCAGGGAGATCAAACCGGGTAGGTGACCAGTTTATACAATCTTGACACCATGGTAGCTAGGTAGGTTTATCCTCGGAAGGCAAGTAAGTTTTTCTTCCGTGGCTTTGTAGGCTGCCTGTACTTATTTTCTAAACTTATATTTACAAAAGAGAAACAGTTTGAAAGAAATGCCAACTGACCTGTCACCAAGGTAATTTTCCTTTTCATAATAATAAACATTTGCCAAATCTATTTTACTTGTGTTATTTTATGTGCTGTCTCTTTAAAATTGTCTGTCTGATTGCCAGGCAAGAACCATCCAACCCGTGAGCCTTCACAGGTTATATGTTTTTTCATTATAATGCCTCAAACTTGAAGAGTAAATATTAATAATTATCTTAAAAAAGAAATTAGTCATAAATACAATGATAAAATAAAGTTCAATATTTTAGCACTTCACAGCAAAAATTATGAAAATTTAAAGTTTTTGTAAGCATTTGGAATTGTATTAAAAGTTCCAGGGATCTCAACTATTTCTAGGTAACATGAATTACAAAGGTGAAGAATATTAATATTCTTTTAAAATAAAAAGGTAAGTCTTTTGATGTCATAAGGTCTAGAGATAATAGTTTTTACTTGATTACTTTAAGTAGAATTTTAGTAGAATCCCTTTTAATGATATTGGGTGTTAACCAAGACCCTTCTCATTTTGGAAGACAGCCAGGTTAGAAAGACGTCAGTTTGGAAGCCTTCTAGTTTGATTAGATTTTTTAAGAAACTAGACACTTGATGGAGTAAACACGCTTTCTGCCAATGATTACCTTCCCAGGCCTGCCTTAACAATAGGTTCAGCTGAAGCTATGTTTCCATATGATGCCTTCTTCACTTAAAAGTGCCACTTCTATCCAAAAAGCCATTTGTATAACTAATTTGTTAAACTCAGCTCCATAATACTACATATTCATTCACTGAAGTATTTTTAGCACCTGTGTTCCAGGGAATAAAGCAGTGCTCCTATGTCTAGTCTACGCAGACAACACACTGATAGGTATTAATATTATGAAGATCAATACAAGGCTCAGTGGTAGGCTGACTGTGAGGGCAGGGCCACAGGAGCGATAGTGAGACAGCATGACGAGGACAGTCCCCAGAAGGGATGGCAGTTGGGCTGGGACCTAAATGAATAGGAGCCAGCCATTCAAAGAACTGGGTTTGTGGAAGAAGGAGGTCCACTCTAGTCAGCAGGAATAGCCACCACAAAGACCAGAGGTCAGAAACGAGCTGGGTGTACCTGAGGAACTAACAGGCCATTGGGACTGCAGGACAGTGAGTAAGCCAGGACATGATAATGGGTGAAAGGACTCCAAATCATGCAGACACATCCTGTTTACTCCATTAGGATCTCTAGAATCTGTCTCCTCCTTTTCATCTCCACAATTACTTTTGTATGATAGCATTCAGTTGAGTTGTTCATTGACAGATGTACTTTTCCTCGTTTTCTGTTTAGTCAGTTCCTGTTCCTCCTTCAAAACTCATTCCAATCATCACCTCCTCAGAGAAACCTTTCCCAGCCCAGCCACCCTGGCAGAGTTGGGGGCCCCCTCCATGTTCCTAGCTACCTTCTGTATACCTCTACTCAGCATTACCACATTTCACTGTCAATGTTTATCTGCTTTGCATGTTCTAGCTCTGCATCCCCAAAACCACAGCTAGGTACCCCAAGGTGCTTGTCAAAGAAATATTCAAAATACCACTAACCCTACAGCTGAGCTGATCACTGCCTCACCAGACTTAATGGACTGGAAATGCTGGAGCATGGGGCCCAGGATTTCAGATGCTTCCCACACATGGCCAGATTTGGGGAACATACCTACAGCAGGGTGGAATTTAATTGCTGTGCCATTTTAATAATTGTTCTGCATAATTAGTACCTATATTATTCAATATCTCCATGTATTTAAAAAATTGGGATTTAAGCTCTAGTCAATCTCATATGACATTGTCTACATTACTAATTGTCTGCATTACTGATTTTACCAAACCCTCAACAATTTTTTTTCAAATGGAAATGTACAATTCCATTTTAGAGGGAACACTTAATAACTATATGTTTGGTAAGCAGAATTATACCTTAGCTCTTGAGAGCTACCTGGTAACTAATACCTAAACTTTACCACTCTACTCCTAGTGCTTAGCAGGAAGTCCAGAGACATATGTATTTACTGAATGAATAAATAATTATTGATTTTACAAGACCCTATATCAAATTCCTAAAATTCTTAACTCAAATTTCAAACATAAACTATTAATACCTAATTTGAAAAGTCTAATAGAAATTCACACTCTCCTATTTGGTATTAAATTATTTTTCACACAAAATAAAAAAGTTTAGATTTATTTTGCAGATTATATGTCAATTAAAATAGGTTCATATGCATAAATTGTTAGAGTAAAAACCAAACTTGTGGACACTCGAAAAATATTAATAATCTTTTTCTACTAAGTTTTTTAATCTACCAAATCAAAATGAAATAATCCAAAACAACATTTTCAAAAATCTCTTTAATAGAAGGGCTGAGAGGAAAAAAGAAATAAAATTGAAAATATCAGAAGATGAATTTGATGTACTTGTCTAAATACATGTTGCCTTGAACACTGCTTTCCAAACTGTGGTCAAGAAGTATTTAAATTTTTTTTTAAATTTGTTGAAAAGCTATGCTTTTGTAAAACAAACAAACACAAACTGTGAATACGTATGTAAATGCTGCAACAATGTCAAGTGGCATTCAAGTGTCTACACTCAGTCTTGATTTCTGTACTTATCTTGTCTTAGATCATTTAGCACACAGGAACTCTTTACAGCCATAATTTGAGCAACACTAGCCTAGCACAAAAATTGAGACTTCTAATACTATTACTTGACTTACTCTATCACTGGGTTTGTGGGGGGAATGTGAGGATGCTATTGAGGATCTCAATCCAAGCCTCATACCCCCTCACACTCTGGATGTAATCTGAAACCACGTAACTCTAGCTAGATACAATGGGGATACAGGCATTGGGTAAATTCCAATTTCTCCCATTCCAAATGGGAGAAATTGGCCAAAATTAAGGGGCTACAGGCCTCATGCAAATCCAAAATCCAAAAGGGCCATCATTAATCCTTAAATTTCCAAAATGATCTCCTTTGACTTCTTGTCTCACGTCCAGGTCACTCTGATGCAAGAGGTGGGTTCCCATGGTCTTGACAGCTCTGCCCCTGTGGCTTTGCAGGGTACAGACCCCTCCTGGTTGCTTTCATGGGTTGGTGTTGAGTGTCTGCAGCTTGTCCAGGTGCATGGTGGAAGCTGTCAGTGGATCTACCATTCTGGGGTCTGGAGGATGGTGGCCCTCTTCTCACAGCTCTACTAGGCAGTGTTCCACTGGGGACTCTGTGTGGGGGCACCGACTCCACATTTCCCATCCACACTGCCCTAGTAGAGGTTCTCCACAAGGCTTTCACCCCTGCAGCAAACTTCTGCCTGGACATCCAGGGATTTCCAAACATGCTCTGAAATCTAGGTGGAGGTTCCCAAACCTCAATTCTCGACTTTTGAGTATTTGCAGACCCAACACCACATATAAGCTGCCAAGGCTTGGGGCTTGCACCCTCTGAAGCAATGGCCTGAGCTCTATGTTGACCCCTTTTAGCCATGGCTGGGACACAGGGCACCAAGTCCAGAGACTGCACAAAGCGGCAAGACCCTGGATCTGGCCCTCGAAAACATTTTTTTCTCCTAGGCCTCTGGGCCTGTGATGGAAGGGACTGCTGTGAAGGTTTGTGACATGCCCTGGAGGCATTTACCCTATTGTCTTGTTGATTAACATTCAGCTCCTCATTACTTACGCTAATTTCTGCAGCAGGTTTGAATTTCTTCCCAGAAAATGGGTTTTTCTTTTCTAGAACATCATCAGGCTGCAAAGTTTCCAAACTTTTATGCTCTGCTTCCCCTTGAACACTTTGCTGCTTAGAAATTTCTTCCACCAGATAACACCAAATAATCTCTCTCAAGTTCAAAGTTCCACAGATCTCTAGGACAGGGGCAAAAAGCCACCAGTCTCTTTGCTAAAGCACAGTAAGACTCACCATAGATCCAGTTTCCAACAAGTCCCTCAGCTCCATCTGAGACCACCCCAGCCTGGACTTCACTGTCCACATCACTATCAGCATTTTGGTCAAACCCATTCAACAAGTCTCTAGGAAGTTCGAAACTTTCCCATATCTTTCGGTCTTCTGAGTCCTTCAAGTCTCTAGGAAGCTGCAAACTCGCCTACATCTTTCTGTCTTCTTCCGAACCCTCCAAACTGTTCCAACTTCTGCGTGTTACCCAGTTCCATAGTCACTTCCACATTTTTGGATATCTTTTCAGCAGTGCCCCACTCCTGGTGCCAATTTACTGTATTAGTTAGTTCTCCTGCTGCTAATAAAGACATATCTGAGACTGAGTAATTCACAAAGAAAAGAGGTTTAATTGACTCACAGTTCAGCATGGCTGGGGAGGCCTCAGGGAACTTACCATCATGGTGGAAGGTGCAGCAAATATGTCCTTCTTCACATGACAGAGAGCCGAGCAAAGGGGGAAGCCTCTTATAAAACTATCAGATCTCATGAGAACTTACTCTCTATCATGAGAATAGCATGGGGGAAACCACCCTCATGATTCAATTACCTCCCACCAAATCCCTCCCACTTCACATGGGGATTAAGGGAACTACAACTCAAGATGAGATGTGGGTGAGAACACAGTCAAACCATATCAGTACTAAATTGACAAAACAAAAATCATCCTATACTGATCAGATTATTTATGAAATTGGTATATTTTATACTCACTTCTTTAAAGTATACACAGATACTACTGAAAAGCAATATGGCAATTTGTCGAGAGCCACGGAAAACCTCTTTCCTTCAAAATTTCACCATGGGAAATTCATTATAATGAAATAGCTCAACAAAAGATTTTCACTACTGAATTATCTATGACATCAAAAAGGAAAGCATACTCACTCCTATATTTGTATTTACTATGTAAAAAACCTGATTATAAAAATCAATAAAGACATAATTGATATCTGTATCTCACCAAATACATGTTATACGCCAGTATGCATTTTCCCTTGTGAATCCACCAATTTGGAGTACAATGGCACCATCTTGGCTCACTGTAACCTCCGCCTCCTGGGTTCAAGTGATTCTCCTGCCTCAGCCTCCTGAGTAGCTGGGATTACAGGTACATGCCACCATGCCTGGCTAATTTCTCCATTTTTAGGAGAGTCGGGGTTTCACCATATTGGCCAGGCTGGTCTCAAACTCCTGACCTCATGATCTGCCCACCTAGGCCTCCCAAAGTGCTGGGATTACAGGCATGAGGCACCATGCCTGGCCTTGTTTTTCTTTCTTTTAATGTCCCTGCATCCTGGCTTGTGTTTGAAATGATGCTAATAAGGTACTCTCACAAATTAATCCTTCCTACAATATATCTCCTGGCCTTCCTTCTGTTATCATTCTCATCAATTGTTCTGTAGCCCCGAACTATCAAACCAAACTATCTTAGCCTCAGAGCGTATTATGCTGGCTTTCTTTTTGTAGGTGTGTGCCTGTTCAGAATCTCCTAGCCCTCTTTTCTACTTGTTTATTTTGGTGTCTTTCAAGACAAAATACCAGTGTTGGGAGTTTTGACTCTAAAGGGTTCGGAACTGGCAGGAAATCATTTTGTAGGTGCTAACAGTAGGCATATAACATTAGGCTTCATTATATATGTAATATCAGTTTAAATTCAACAGTGATGAATTAAAAAACAAATATAGGGAATAGCCTAGAAATAGAGGGGCAAGGATTTTAGCACTTCAAATTGAGTCATGGATAAGTCCAATCTTGGGCATATACTTACACAGCTACTAAAAGAGGTGTTCTAATGTCAAAAGACAGAGTTATCAATCTAGTAGACATAATTTTCTGGCAATACGGGATTATAACACAAAGCTATAATAGTCACCTTTCCCCAGACAAGTGATTAAAAATACAGCAGTAGCAGGTCTGAAGTCACGAGAACACAAAGCAGTGTGGTAATCTCACCATGTGAGCTGGCTTGATTGCTCCCTGTATTTGACCACTTACTACAGGTAGAATTATCCACTAGTTTATTATACAGTGTAGGGAGAAGACATCAGAATTGTACTAAGCAAATGCAAGTCAAAATCTTATCTTAAAAACAAGAAAGTGAATGGCAATTTATCATAGTTAGGTGTGAGATTTGGGGATTAAGACTGGGAGAAAATATTCTAGTTTTGAGAGACTAAAGATAATATAGATAAATCTGGGCTGGGTTGTAGAATGACTATTTCTGAAGACAGTGATAAAGCAAAAATCAACCATTTAAGGTTAAAACTTTTTGACTGACATACCAAAAGTAACATGAAAAAGGGTAAGGTTAACTGATGAGGCACTTCAAATTGTAAAAGTCCATAGACTCAAAGAGATCTTTACTCATTAGATGAAATTACATACATATATGCCTGTGGACTTTTTCTTAACAGACGTAAGACCAAGTGCCATAATCACAAAGGGAACATGGGAGTGCAGATATTGCTTCAACATACTGATTTCATTTCCCTCAGATATGCATAAAGTAATGAGATTGTTGGATCATATGGTAGTTCTATTTTTAACTTTTTGGGGAACCTCCATATGATTTTCAATAATGGCTGCACTAATTTACATTCCATCAACTATATGTATAGGTTCCCTTTTCTCCATATACTAACACTTTTATCTTTTGTCTTGTTTGATAACTGCCATTCTAACTGGAGTGAGGTGATATCTTATTGTGGTATTATTTGTATTTCCCTGATGATTAGTGATGTCGAACATTTCTTCATATGCCTGATTGGTCATTTGTATTTCTTCTTTTGAGGAATGTCTGTTAAAGGTTTTCTGCCCAATTTTTATCAGATTTTTTTTTTTTGGCTATTGAACTGAGTTCCTTATATATTCTGTATATTAATCTTTAGTTAGATGTATAGTTTACAAATATTTTCTCTCATTCTGTAGACTGTCTCTTCACTTGGTTGACTGTTTCCTTTGCTCTGAAGAATCTTTTTAATTGGATGTAATTCCATTTTTCTATTTTGGCTTTTGTTGCCTACACTTTTGAGGTTCTATCCAAAAAAATCTTTGCCCAGTCCCATATCGTGAAGCATTTCCCATGTATTCTTCCAGTAGTTTCATACTTTCAGGTCTTACATTTAAGTCTTTAATACATTTTTTAGCAGATTTTTGTGTTTGGTGAAAGGAGTGTGGCTTTAGTCTTATCCATGTGGATATCCTATTTTCCCAGCAGCATTTATTGAAAAGAATGTCCTTCCAATTTTTGTTCTTTGTATCTTTCTTGGAAATCAACTGGCTATAGATACACAGATTTATTTCTGGGCTCTCTATTCCACACCATTGGTCTATGCATCTCTTTTTATGCCAATACCATGCTGTTTTGATTACCACAGTTTTGTAGCATATTTTGAAGTCTGGTAGTGTGATGTCTTCAGCACCGTGTTTTGTGTTTACTTGTTTGGATAAATATTACTTTCACTATTTACATTTTTTGTGGTTTCATATAAATTTTAGAAAGTTTCCTATTTTTGTCAACAATGTCATTGGTTTTTGATAGGAAATACATGGAATCTGTGGCTCATTTTGGTTAGTGTGGACATTTTAACAATATTAATTCTTCCAATCCATGAAAAAGATACACTTCCATTTGTGCTCTTCAATTTCTTTCCTCAATGTTTTATAGTTATCAGTGTAGAGATCTTTTATCTCCTTTGTTAAATTTAATCCTAGCTATCTTTTTTCAGTAGCTATTGTAAATGAGATTGTCTTCTTGACTTCTTTTTCAGTTAGTTCACTATTAGCATATAGAAATGTTACTGACTACCATACATTTTCTATCCTGCAACTTTATTAATTTCACTTATTAGTCTTAACAGTTTTTCAGTTGAGTCTTTAGGATTTTCTATATAAATAAAACGTCATTCTGTTTGCAAACAGGGATAATTTGACTCTCTCCTTTCCAATCTGGATGGCTTTGTCTTGCTTAATTGCTCTGGCTAAGACTTCCAGTACTATGTTGGACAGAACTGGTGAAAGTGCACAAGAAATTCCCTAGGATGAATCCCACTTGATTGTGGTACATGATCTTTTTAATGTACTGTTTAATTCAGTTTGCTAGTACTTTGTTAAAAAATTTTGCATCTATGTTCATCAGAGAGGTACTGTTGATAGTTTTCTTTTTTTGTTGTGTGTTACTGGGTTTTGGTATCAGGGTGATGCTGGCCTCATAGAATGAGTTAGGGAGGATTCTCTTCAATTTTTTAGAATAGTTTCAGGAATTAGTATTGGTAAGAGAATAATGCTGGTTTCGTATAATGAGTCTGGAAGAATTCCCTTCTCTTCAATTTTTTGAAACAGTTTGAGGTAGACTGATATTCTTCTTTGTATGTTTACTAAAACTCAGCACTGAATATGTCCAGGTCTGGGCTTTTCTTTACTGGGACACTACTTTTATTACTGATTCAATTCCCTCGCTTGTTATTGGTCTGTTGAAATTTTCCATTTCTTCCTAAGTCAATCTTGGTAGGCTGTATGTGCCCAGAACTTCATACACTTTTTTTTTTTAGATTACTCAATTTGTTGGCATATAATTATTCATCATAGTTTCTTGTGATCGTTTCTATTGTACGGGTTGTAATGTTTCCTTTTTCATCTCTGAATTTATTAATTTGAGTCATCTCTTTTTCTTAATCTTACTAAAGGTTTGATTTTAACTTTTCAGAAAACAAACTGTGTTTCATTGATATTTGGTATTTTTATTTAGTCTCTATTTTGTACAAACTGTGTTTCATTGCTACTTTGTATTTTTATTTAGTCTCTATTTTGTATATTTTGGCTCTGATAATTATTATTTCTTTCTTCCTACCAATTTTGGGTTTGTTCACTTTTTTCTAGTTCCTTGAGGTGCAATGTTAGGTTGTCTATTTGAGATTATTGTGCTTTTCTGATGGAAGTATTTATTGCTACAAATTTTCCTCTTAGGACTGCTTTTGCTGTATTCCATAGGCCTCAGTATATTGTGTTTTCCCATGTTGTCTCAAGAATCATTTATTTTCCATTTTCAACGTCTTTATTGACTCATTGGCTATTCAGAGCATGATGAGTAATGTCCATGTATTTTTACAGTTTCCAAAGTTTCTCTTGTTAATCATTTCTAGTTTTATACCACTGTGGCCAAAAAAGCTACTTGATATGATCTCTATCTTCTCACATGTGTTAATACTTGCTCTTGACCTAACATATGATCTCTCCTCAAGAATGTTCCATGCACAGTGCAGAAGAATATGCATCTGCAGCTATTGGATGGAATATTCTATAAATGTATGTTAGATCCACTTCGTCTACATTGCAATTTAAATCCATTGTTTCTTTGCTGATTTTCTGCCTGGATGATGTGTCTATTGCTGAAAGTAGGGTGTTGAATTCCTCTACTACTTACCTACTGCAGTTTCTCTCTCCCTTTAGATGTAGTAATAATTTGTGTGCTCTAGTGTTCAATGCATATATATTTGTAATTCTTAAATCCTCATGCTAAATTGATCCCTTCATTGTTACATAATGACTTTTTTGGTCATTTTTTACAGTTTTTGATTTAACGCCTATTTTATCTGATATTTTATAAACCTGCTCATTTTTGGTTTCGGTTTGCATGAAATATCTTTTTCCATACTTTCACTTTCAGTCTATGTGTATCTGTACAAGTGACGTGAGCCTATAGTAGGTAGCATAAAGTTTTTCTTTTTTCATTCATGCTATATCTCTTATAATTGGGAAATTTAATCCACTTACATTCAAGGTAATTACTGACAGGTAAAACTTACTCTTGCCATTTTGTTAACTGCTTTCTTGCTTTTCTGTATCCTTTGTTACATTCTTCCTTTCTTGTTTGGCTTTGTGGTTTGATGGTTTTTCTATGGTACTAAGTTTTGATTCCTTTCTCTTTCTTGTTTGTGCATCTGCTGTGATTTATTTCTTGGTGGTTATCATGAGTGTAACATAAATAATCATGTGGTTACAACAGACTATTTTAAGCTGATAACAACTTAACTTTAGCTGCATAAAAATATTCTAGACTTTTACCCTTCTCTCAACATTTCTCAACCCTTCTCTCAACAAAGTAACATTTTTGTTATATATCTCCTTATTTATTGGGTGCTCCTTAACAACTACTTGTGGCTGTAGTTATTACTATTTTGACTTTTAACCTTCAGAGTTGAGGTCTGAAAGATTTACACAGCATCATCATAGTATTGTAGTATTACGAGTTTGATTACAAATTTATCTCTATCTGTGAGTTTTATAATTTCTGATGTTTTCATGACAGTAATTACCTGCTTTTCACTTCTTGCTGTAGGACTCAGCATAATCATTTCTTGTTAGGCCAATCTAGTGGTGATGAATTATCTCAGCTTTTCCTTGTCTGGGAAAGAGTTTATTTCACGTTCATTTCTGAAGGATAGCTTTGCTGGGTACAGTATTCTTAGCTGACAGGTTTTGTTCTTTCAGCATTTTGACTATACCATCCATTCTCTACTAACCTGCAAGGCTTCTGCTGAGAAATCCGTTGATAATCTAATGAAGATACCCTTACATGTGACAAGGCACTTTTTCTGCTTTTAGAATTCTCTTTGACTTCTGACAGTTTGATTATAATATGTCTTGGAGAGGACCTTTTGAATTTAATCTATTTGAAACTCCAGAGCTTCCTGGATCTGAATATACATATCTCTCCCAACTTGAGCAATTTTCAGCTACTATTTCATTAAATATGTTTTCTGCGCCTTTCCTCCATCTCTTCTCACCCTCTATAAATATTATGTGAATATTTGTATATTTAAATGCAACTCTTAAGTTCCATAGGTTTGCTTCATTCTTTTTTATTCTTATTTTTTTTCCACCCTCTGGCTGGATTATTTCAAAAGACCTGCCTTCAAATTCAGAAATTCTTTCTTTTGCTTGATGTAGTCTGTTGCTGAAACTCTCAATTGTATTTTTCATTTAAGTTCTTCAGTTCCAAGATTTCTGTTTGCACTTTCCAAAAATGCTAACTTTGTTGAATTTCCTATTTTTTTTCTGATTTTGTTGAATTGTTTAACTGTATTCTCTTGTATCTTGCTGAGTTTTGTTTTTAAGAAACCATTATTTTGAATTTCTTTATGGGCATATTGTAAATTTCCTCTTCTTTGGATTCTGTCACTGAAGAATTATTGTGTTCCTCTGGGGATGTCATGTTTCCTTGCTTTTTCATATTTGTGTTCCTATGCTGAATCTGCACATTTGGTTGAATAGTCACCTGTTCCAATTTTATGGAGTAGCTTTTTAGGGGAAGATTTATTCCTGTATATGGGTGTTATGCTAGTTGGGTAGGGTGTGTTGGCTTTGGTTCTGGGTGGAGACATGATGTAGTCTCCATGCAATTTCTTCAGCTGTAATCCATGTCAGCCATGTCTGTGAGTGCCTTAGTGGCTTAGGTTGTAGACGTCTGTGGCAAGAGGAGTACAGCTTAGCCAGGTTTAGGCTTGATGGGCTGATTTTCAGGTTGACTTGGGGGGTGAACCTAGTAAAGGCAGGTTTGCTGAGCTTTTTTTTTTCCTACTGAAGGCACAGGTTCATGCCAGTTCAACTGGTTCAGGCACTCATCTGCCAGGTGAGGGTCTGCTGGGCTGTTTTTCCAGTCAGGAGCAAGGACATGTAGTACTGCAGCAGCCCAGGGCTGCCTCCCTCATTGTACAGGACCATCTGTTTTTTTTTGGGGGGTAGCATGCTGTATGGGTGTGGGCACCAGAGCCACAACTGTTCCTGGCCACAGGCACTGAGCAGCTGGGATCATGGCATTGTAGTCACCCATGTGAGCATGGTGGAATGACAGTGGAGCCTCAAGAGTGGACAAATGAAGTGGCTACTGGTCCCCTGAGCAGAGCACTCAAGCACTGGCTCCAATTTCAAGATGGCACCATACTATAGCAGCTTGGGTCATGGGGTGGTGAGGGTACACACATTGTTCATTCTCTGGAGCATTGCAGCTTCATGGAAATTCCTTGAGGCTCTACAAACTGGGCTCAGGGCCTATGAGTACTGTAGAATTCTATCAGAGAAGGACTGCATGTGCCTGCAGTGGTAATGGGGACTGTTGGGGGCCTATGGCTTACGTTTTCCCCACAAGGGGAAGTGCCTCCTGGCTCAAAGTGGGAGACAGGGCAGCAGAGTCAGGGTGTTTTGCTCCCCCTCTATGCCGTCATCCTGGGTTGCCATACTCCATGGGGAATTGGCCACTCGCTTTCTGCGCTCTATCACTTTCCTTCAGAGGCTCTAGTCAAATTTTAGTTGTCTGTTCTTTTTGGTCCTTTTGTGTGTGCGTGTGTGGGGGGGATGGTGATTAACACCAGGCACCTCTAGTCAGACGTCTTGCTCAAGGACCCAATATTCGCTTTTAGGTTCCATAATAAAGAGATGCTTTTCCCAAAGCTGGTAATTATTTGAATGGTGATCATTTCTGGAGAAAACTAACTCTTCTAATGCTCTGTAGCTCAAAACTCTAGAGTTCATCTGAGTACCTATTTGAACCCATCCAAAGTTGTTTCTTGTTGAAAATCTGGCCCCACTGACACCTTCTTATATAGTCTACTAGTGAAAAGAAAAGTGTAAAGTAGAAATGAAAAGAAACTAGAGTTATCAAACACCTATAATGTGCCAGACATATATTATTTCATTTAGTCCTTCATGAAGAATTTTGTAAAGTGGGAATTATTGTCTCTGTTTTATTAAGGTAAGGTAAAAAGGTCAGCGAGGTTAGGTAACCTACCAAAGATAATACAGTTAGTAAGTGGCAGAACTGGGATTTGGACCCCAGTCTAATAATCCAAATCACCAATTATTTCTACTAAATCAGGGACTTTCAAATATTTTAATAATGCCCCATAGGAAGAAGTGCATTTTACTTCATAATCCAGTATACAGACAAATATATACCACTGAATAAAATTTCATGAATCAATATTTACCCTTAAAATATGCAGTGCTCTCTATTTCCTATTCTAGTTTATAAGTTAGAAATTGATGGTCACAACTGGCAAAACTATTTTCACAACCCACTAATGAACCATCATATGTGATATCTAAAAATTTTTTTTGACATCAAAAAGGACTAAAATACTTTTTTAAATCACAGCCTTTCTCTTTCAGATAAATATGATTCTCAATTTAGGAAGGAATACTAGATTCTTCAGTTATAAAATTTGGTCAACCTTGCCACTTGTACACTTGCTTTGTGGAAGCACGATAAGTGAACAACTGCATTTTAGGTGTTTGTCAGAGGTAATCAAACATCTGAGACAACCAGTATGTGTGAGACATATACCAGTGGTGTATGTGACACAACTGGTATAAAGAGCACGTTACAAGTGCTTTATATATTTATCTAATTTTTTAACAACTCAATGAGGTAGGCAATATTATTATTCCCATCTTACAGATAAAGCAACAAGCAGAGAAGGCTTATTTGGTTTGCCTAAGATTACATAATGAGTAAACACCTGAGGTGGGATTCAGACCCAAGTAGTCTGACTCCGGAGTTCACACAACACTGTGCTGACTGCCATTCACCATGGGATTTCATACCTGATTCACATTAGTTTCTCAAAGAAACAACTTCAATGGAATTGACTTAACATTTAATTTCTAACTTCTTATAAAGAAAGAACTGGTTCCATAATAAAACTGCCACTAAAATACTTTATTTCCCTATGCTAGAGAACATCTGGTTTCTCCAGATCTAAGTTTTATTTGCTTTATCTCATCAGAAAATAAAAGCTATGTAACATCTCAATTCCATTTTTTGTCAGAATTTGCCTTTGCCTCAGAGTTAAACTAAGCACTTTTAATAGTTAGCTCTTTATCACTATCTTTTCAATACACCTGCCTATCTTCTTCTTCACATTCAGCACCACCATGCTTTCACTGAGGTGAATGTTTAATGTGGGTGACATATATTCAATAAACAATTTCATTACTAACGATATGTATGGGTTGTAGAAAGAAAAAGTACTGCATGTTTTGAGAGTATATTATTGGAGGACCTAACCTGGCCAATGAGGCTAGAGTATCTTTAAGGTTGCATATTTTTGCTGAGCCACAAAAGATGGTAGGGAATCCACCTCAAATTATTTCTAAGCAAAGAGAAGAAAATGTAGAAGACCCTGAGAATAAAAGGATGGCTTTTTATAAAATTTGGTAACTTGCCAAAAGGAACTGTACAATACATTCTGTTGGCATCTGCTTATGATACCTGATAGGAACAGGAAAAAGATGAGTGCTGCCCAGCTTAATGAATAGAGGCTGATTCTGCTCTAGCTGGAGTGGGTAGCACAGTTCTCGATTTAGGCTGCATAGTATAATGTGGAAAGCTATTTCAAGGAAAGAGGCCAGGGACTGAGAGAAAAGAAGAATATGTTGAATTTACTGAATTTCCCATCTTAGGTGACAAAAGAAATTGAGAAAGTAGAGAACACTGTTACAAAATGGTGATCTTACTGATCCAGTTAACAGTATAACTACGTCATTTAACAACAAAGGATACCTTCTGAGGAATGCATCATTGGACAATTTTGTCATTGTATGAACATCATAGAGTGTAACTTACACAAATCTCGATGATATACTACATATCTAGGCTATATTGTATAGCCTATTACTCCTAGGTTACAAACCTATATAGCATATTACTGTACTAAGTATTGTAGGCAACTGTAACACAATGGTAAGTATTTGTGTATATAAACATAGAAAAGGTACAGTAAAGTACAATATTATAATTTATTGGGACCGTCATTGTATATACAGTCCACCACTGATCATGATGCTATTAGGTAGTGGATGACTGTATTTACAAATGCCTACAAAAGAGCAACATTTTAAATTTTCATTTCTAATTCTATGAAAGGAAAAGTATTACTGCCATCTTGAAGAAACCTGAACTCATAAATATTAACATTATTTAGGAGTAAAAACTGGAACAGGTGAAGCACAGAGGAAAAAATCTTCCCTGAACTGCTGCCTTTGTTGCCAGTCAATATTTGTTAAAATAACTAGATAAGAATAGAACCTAATTAGTCACTATTAATTTAAATATTTAGCCAATTCATTTTGTATTATAATCATAGATTTTTTTTTTCAGATTTTCTTCCTGTTTTTCTTTCTTTGCTACCATGCTTTTCCTATTTTAATTCCTTTGCCATAGGACAAATGTAACAAATAAAAATCAATTGGTGGCAGGGGATTTCCTTAAAAAAATGGCTTCTCAATCATTTATAGAGTTTATTATATACCAGAAACTGCTTGAAATGTTTTACATACATTATCATCTCAATTAAACAACTAATGTCTGACATTTTATCCATCTATGTCATAAGTGAGGAAAATGAACCACAAAGAAGTCAGATAACTATGCTACAGGTCACACAATGAAGGATGCAAGAGTCAAACAGATGATACACCTCTTAGAGTTCATTTAATCTATTGTTGGAATATAGCTATTGTTGGAATATATCTGTTGGATCTCAACAAACCCTAAAAAGAAGGAAGGAAAAGATAACGACATTTTTATATATATATTTTAGCCTGGTACCTTTACTCAAATGAGTTGAATTGAAATGGGAGGGGAGATTAAAAAGTGAGTGGGCCAGTTGTAATATCCAGTGGTTATAAACTGGTATACAAAAAATACACCAGTGTTTCTAAATGTTAGAGTGCATCAGCATTTCCTGTAGGTCTAGTTAAAACACAGATTGCTGGGTCCCGACCCTAGAGTTTTTGATTCAGTAGATCTAGGGTGGAATCTGAGAATCTGCATTTCAAACAAGTTCTCAGCTAATGCTGTTGGCAAAGGGACCACAATTTCAGAACCTCTGCACTATACTATATATACTCACTGTCCAACATAGCTATAGCAAATAAAAGCCATAGTAAATAAAACCATATACTTTTCCTGGGGAACTAGAACATAAATAAAAGAGTTTCTTTTAGAAGTTAAAGAGATGTGGAATCTTCACAGATATTTTATGTTTTTTTCTTTATATTTTTTAATCTAACATTTGACACAAAAATATACATAAAATATATAAATGTTTAAGCAATCTAATTTTCATATGTAATTCATATAGTGACAATCAATGTCTTCAACTACAACCAACAAACTCCCTTTAATATTAAACTGTATTTATTTTCATAATTGGCAGATACTCATATAAGATTTAATTTCTGAAGAATACATATAACTTTCATAACATATATAGTAAAAATAAGTTAAATTTTAAATCTTTTTTTCTTCATTGCTTATTCCACAATGATCACTAGTGAATAAACACTATTGCTACTGAAGACTGATCTAGAGAAGGCACGAAGTTTAACAGGAAAAATAATTCAAACTTTCCAAGATAATGTGTAAAACTACTAAAGACAAGAACACAAAAAAGTATTTTATCCTAAATTTACCAATTTTACTTCTTTTGTTAAATAAAAAAAGCATAAAATTTAAGAATGGTGTAGACTATTCTAAAATAGGCCTTCAAAATTAATGATAAAATAGCCTTCCATGCTATTTGAGGACTTATATACAATGAACATTGGCAATGAAGTAAAATCTTACCCAGATCTAGTCGTTTTGAATTCCACCTTGAGGATAGGTTTGCATGGTTCTGGCTTCTTCCCATCCTTTAACTGTTTTCCTAAAATATATTTTCCTGCATTAAATTCTAAAATTCTAAGTTACTCTACATTCTTACATTGATAGTTTATAAAATGAAAGTGAAATATAATGAAATCCACCATGAAACATTTTAAAGTGATTCTGAAAGAGGCATTTAATACACAGTAAGATATTTTTTAAATGATCAAGCAAAGTTACCGTTTGAAATTCAGTGCTAAAAAGCAAATATAATTAATAACTTAGTAAGAACATTTATGTGACAAAATTCTAGCAGGAGAAACTGATAGTTTTTCCAATGTTCTTAATTGCAGATAAGCAACATAGAATTTCAACTTGCTAAATGAATTCATTTTAAAACAGCAAGATTTGAGAAAAATAAATCTACATCACATTTTCACCCCAGTGTGACAGGCTGCAATATTAAGCCCTATGCTAATAAAATCATTTATATTTATTCTCCTTAAGTAAATACATCCACTGTAATACCCAAAAGACTGCTAAAATACACCAACCTCTATAAAATGTGTCAGAGACTCATTTTGCCAAAGAATTCTAATTATTTTTTAAAATGTTGATTTCAGTTATCTATTTCTACATGTTCACTGTAGAAACTATGGAAAAGTAAAAAATAAAGAAAATAAAACATTTATTTCCCATATTTCAGAGATTAACCACTGTCCACATTATAATACTTCTTCTGGCAAATCACCTAACTTGGGAATGGTCTGAGGAATTCCTGACACTCACCCCTAACCTAACACCTCTTACCCTCTTTCACAGCTTTATTTTTTCTCCATAGCACTTGTCACATTCTAGTATCCTTTATATTTACCTTCTTTGTTTATTGTTTGCCTAACTGGCATGTATGTAAATTCTAGGCAAGCAAATTTTTTTTCTTTTTTTTGAGACAAGGTCTCACTCCTGTAGCCCAGGATGGAGTACAGTGGCATGAACATGGCTCACTTCAGCTTCAACCTCCTGGGCTTAAGTGAGCCTCCCATCTCAGCCTCTCAAGTAATTAGACCACGGGTGCATACCACCATGTCTGGATACATTTTTAAAAATTTTTGTAGAGATGACAGATGGGGTTTTACCATGTTACCCAGGCTGGTCTCAAACTCTGGGCTCAAGGGAGCTGCCCGCCGCAGTCTCCTGAAGTGCTGGGATTACAGGCATGAGCCACTGCACCCGGCCAGGAAAGCGAACATTTTTAGTGTATTTGTTTTCTGTTGTGGTATCCCTGGTGACAAACATTGTTTGGCATATAGTATATCTGGGTAAAGTTTTATTCTAGATAGGTTGTGCCAATTTATAGTTCTATCAGCAGCGTAAGACCGTATTTTGCCATATCCTCCCCTAGCAATGTTTTTTTTTTTCTTTTTGCTGATTGTTAAATAAAAAGAGTAACTTATTTTAATCTGATGTGTTTGGATCCCTAACTGGTCATGTATACTTCTTTTAAAAAATAGCTTGCTGTTCTTTATCAATGCTTCTACGTCATCTTCCTTGTATTAGAAAATAAATTTTACTGTCCAGGCTTATTAACATTCTGTCAATCATGTATGTTGCAAATATTTTCCCTAGCGAATTCCTACAAATTAAAAAAAATTGTACAGAAATACACATCTAAATAATCAAGTCTATCAGCCTTAATATGTTGCAATTTAAGAAAATATGAAATCCTAAAATATCGGTTCTTCCAAAATTAATTTATAAATGTAATGTAATTAGAATCTCAACAGCTTTTCTTGAATTTGGACAAAGCGATCTTAAAGTTCACCCAGTAGACTAAATGTCTATGAATGGCTAGGGAAACTACCAAAAAGATCAACTTCCAAGATGATACAGTGAATATCATAGGTAGGTAGGCATGAGTGGGGCAGGAGAGGGCTCTAGAAATGTCAGATGATGGTTTGACAATTATCACACTGCCTCACTAAAAGTGATATTGGCAGCCGGCGCCAGGGAGAACCCATTTCCTGATGGTCCACACCTGCTGCACTAAAGTGTTAACTGAATGCAAGCGCCAGGGAGACGCAACTTCCCAGGCATGGGCAGTAAGTAACAAAATGGTGGAGTATGACCTTCGGGGGGCACTCCACTGGAAAACAGAGGGAAGCCTCAGATGGACGTGTGTACGAATTCCTAAACACACTGCACGTGTTCACCTACCAAGGGTAAGGAGGGCACCACACATAGGGGCAGCACACCCTAAGGGAAGAATCATGGGAAAGGGGCAAGCCTATGAAGTCCTAGGGTCAGAGTTAAACACTGCACTTGTTTTCCAAGTTGCCCACCTGGATCTCTTTCAAGTGTTTCTTCCCTGTTCTAAAGCCTTTTTAATAAACTTCCACTCCTGCTCTGAAACTTGCCTTGGTCTCTTTTTTTCTTTATGCTCCTCAGTTGAATTCTTTCTTCTGAGGAGGCAAGAATTGAGGTTACTGCAGACCCATACAGATATACTACTGGTAACTCAGATATATGCCACCAGTAACAGGAGGACCTCGATGAACTTGCTCTCCCACAAAAATGAAAGTACTATTAAAACAACTAAAGTTAAACATTTTAAAACTCTGGAGAATGACCAAGCCACTAACAAGATGAAAAATCATCTACCCAATAGATACTACTGAACTTCAGTAACATGAGGGGTTCGGGGACAGGGGACTGTGGTATTTTTAAGGAAGGTCTATTTCTATCCCCTAGCTACCCAGCTCAGTGGTAGGCTAGCCATGAAAATGCAGTAGTATCAGCCAACAGAGAGGACTGAAGTTTTCTTGGAGCTCTGTTAAAACCACTTTTGCTACAGCACAATCAACATTTTGTGTGAACCTGCAGCTCCCTGGAACTCTATTCCCAAAGTGCTGTGGCTGTCTCATTTGACACAGACCTCAAATATGGGAGACAAAAATCCCTACCCCCAGGGCATTCCAGAACAATAGCAATCTGTTGGAAGTATTACAGCTGCCTAAGGCTGTAGTTTCAGTTGAGGCAAATGGAACTCAGGCAGAAATTTAAAAGAAAAGCTCCGAGAACTAGACACATTCATGGCGGTCTAAAAGGCTGCCTGCCCAGGAAAGAGTGAGGAAAGGAGAAGGCCCCAGTCACTCATTTCTGGCCGACTTTGAGATCCTGAGCAAACAGGAAGAAAAAAAAAAAGTAAAATGACTCATAACACCTATCACTGGCAAGGACACTGGAAAAGGGATACTCATACATGGCTGGTAGAAATCTGAAGAATATAGCTTTTTTTGAAAAATGGTTTGAGAACATTTATTAGAAATAATAAAACTTCAATATTTCGGGGTGGAAATTGTACTCTGAAGTATTTATTCCATAGAAACAAAAGGACCAATTCCTATGGCATATGTACAAAGATGGTAGCTGCAGCATAATTTGCAATGTTTAAGAAATGAAAACAAAGGGAATGCCCATTAATTTGAAATAGCTGAATAAGTTGTGATACAAACAACTGGCTCTGACACAGCCATTAACATAAAAGAAATGCCAGAACATTTGGAGGAATCTTCCTAAAGTACAGTGATTAAGATGCAAAAAAGGAGTTACAAACAATCCAGTTCCACTCTTTAAAAGTTACTTTAAAATGTACAGGCCGGGCGCGGTGGCTCACGCCTGTAATCCCAGCACTTTGGGAGGCCGAGGCGGGCGGATCACGAGGTCAGGAGATCGAGACCATCCCGGCTAAAACGGTGAAACCCCGTCTCTACTAAAAATACAAAAAATTAGCCGGGCGTAGTGGCGGGCGCCTGTAGTCCCAGCTACTTGGGAGGCTGAGGCAGGAGAATGGCATGAACCCGGGAGGCGGAGCTTGCAGTGAGCCGAGATCCCGCCACTGCACTCCAGCCTGGGCGACAGAGCGAGACTCCGTCTCAAAAAAAAAAAAAAAAAAAAAAAAAATGTACAATTAAGTTATTATTGAACTATAGTCACCCTATTGTAACTCAAACGATAAATGTTTGAGGGGATTAATACCCCATTCTCTATGATGTGCTTATTTCACACTGTATGCCTGTATCAAAATATCTCATGTACCTCATAAATATATATATCTAGTATGTACTCACAAAAATTTTAAAAAATTTTAAAGATGCAAAAACACTAACATAATCCTAATTTTTGTAAAACAATGATCAGAAAAATAATCTCATGTTTATTTGTGTGTATGTGTTAATACACATGATTTTAGAAATACCTATATTTTAGAAGAATATCTGTAAGATTTTTGACATAGCTTACCTGGTGGGACAAGAAAGGAGATTGGGCTGCTAACATGGGAAAAGGCTGAGGGAGAAGGAACTGGTATGATAGGATCTCATTTATGTATAATGATACATGTGTATGAAAAAAACTATCCGTCTTTTTGGTCCCTCCCCTCTTTGGTTTTACGCTTGGAAAGTTCTTCCCCACACCAAAATCACATAAATCTGCTTTTTCTTATAATTTAGAATAGATTCATTTATTACATTAATTATTTTCTGATGTGTATTTTGATACAGGGAAGACATTTTCCTCTTAATAATTAATAAGCTATCAATCATCTGAGTGCTAGTTTAATAGCTCTACTGAGCTATAACTGCTAAACAAAAGTACACTACTTAAAGTGTACAATCAGATGAGTTTTGACATAAATATTTACTTGCCAGCTCAATTTATTGAACCATCATTCTCTCCTCACTAGTATGAAATATCACCCATATTAAATTTTTATAAATATATACTTGTACACTGACTGGTAATGGAACATTGAATCCTGTCTTAATTTAAGATCCTAGAGAATAATCCCTTTCCCCTCCTTATGAAGAAATGGTTGTACAGGGAATCTTGAATCTCTAGCAGCCCAATTTACAGGAACCAAGAAGTGACAGAAGTGACCAAGGAACTGGAAAGAACTGCCAGAAGAAAGGAAAGGATTGTTGAGGTGGGAGAGAGAATTGCAAGGAAAATAAAAGGTATCGAAAAAAGGAGGCTTAAATCTGAAAAGTAGTCCCTTGTGTTATACAAGGAATAAATTAAGAACTTCAACCTCTATTCCAATCTATATAGAGATGTATATGACCTTTCAGTAAAAAATTTAAATGTTTGCTCTGAAGAAGGTCAGCTGGCTTTTATCCTCTTTCTACCATGCAGAGTTCTAGTGGGAGAGTCAGGCTGACAGAATTTAGAATTATAGACACAAATTTTACATTTAGGTTCAAACATGATTTTGTTTTATGAAGTGAAACAATTATTCAGAAATAACTCCTTTAACTTACTTCAATATTCAACATCAATCTTTCAGAGGTTGGAACAAATTCTAAAGGACATTAGATGGTATTTGCTAAACGCTTCCAAGCCTGAGCTTCTATATCTTGCAAAAAACCTGGCTAGGTACAAAATTCTTAACTTTCTTCTTGCTCAATAGTCCCTTGATATTGCTCTATTGTGTTCTAACATTCAGACTTACAAGTCTAAGTCAGTCTGATTTCTATTCCTTTAGAAGTTAACTTTTACTTCTGTCCCTCTGAGAGGATGTTAATAGAGTAGTTTCATTTTCTCTGTAAATGAAAAATGTTGCAGTGTTTAGAGTGATCATCCTGTATTAATTTTGCTTGAAAAAAACCCAACAAATCCTTGGTCTGCATATTCTGATATCTTTCCAACCAAGATGTTTTAAATAATGTCTCTGATTACTGCTTATGGTCTAGATAGGTTTATTTATTCATCTATAATTCTAGGCTAAGCATTTTCTAAATCAAATCAAATAATAAGGTACTACCCATGATTTTAAGCACATATAAATGGAAAGACATTTAGGGGATTTCACCACTAGGTGTCATTTTACTTCTTAAATGCTATGCCACCAGAGGAACAAAAATACGTGCTTGTTCTTTTAACTATCCGTGAACTACCTTGACCAGTCAGTTAAAAGATCTGATTAATTATAAAACCTCACTTAATAACTCACATAAACTTCCATGCCACATCTGATTTCTCCTTCTTACTATGGCCTATTTCCCCACCCCTCAAACCACCAAGCCTCAAATAATTGGTTTAAGTCCTATTGATTCTAATTCCAGAATTTCATTCATACATGTCCATTTCTTCCCATTTCCTCTAATAAAATCTCCATTATTTATTAATGCAAAGCTTCCTAATTAGCCACCCTCTTCTGCCTCCAGCCCACCTGATGTACTATCATTAAAGTGATATTTTTAAGATGTAAACTTAATGCTTCTCACTAAAAACTCAATTACTAGGTCTCCATTATGAAGTTCAAACTTTTTATCATACTTTGATATATAATCTTGCCTCTGTACATGGTTCTGTTTTCACTTCCTGCTACTTGCCCAAAGGCGTTTTAAACTCTGGTCATATTAAACTATTAGCAGTTTTCCAAGAACACCCCACTTTTGTTTATGTCTTTGTGCCTTTGTGCCTTCTAAGATAACTTTGCCCTGCTCTTTGCTACCTTATACCACCAGTATCATCCTTTAAGACCAAGTTCATATACCCTGAATTTGTGAAATAGTCCAACACCTTTTACCCAAAACCAGTCACCACTTATTTGTTTCCATATCATGTTATACATGCCTTTATCAGCACTTATCACAATGTATTATATTTATCAGTTTATAGATCATTTTTATTCACTTGATGATGAGCTCTTCAGGACAGTATATTTTCAGTATTTAATCTCTGGTAGGTAGGAGGTGCTCAATGTTTATTCAATGAATAAAGATTCATTTAAAATGAATAAAGATTACTGACAAAAACAGTTGCTTTCTAAAGTTTTAATTTTGCCAGTTAGGATGAGGAACATATTTTAAGTGTTATGCTTGTTACACTGCAGTTATGTTCTCAGTCTAGCGTGGCTATCCAATAGGGTAGCCGTAAGTCTACCGTGCACTCAAAATGCACGGACAGCGGGACACGTAAAATGTATCTAGTCCAAGTTAAGATGTGCTAAATACACACTAGATTTCAAAGATTTAGTACAAAAAAAGAATAAAATATCTCAATTTTATACGTTGATTACATCATGAACTAATAGTTTGCATATTTGGGATTAAAGAATATGTTATTAAAATTAGTTTTACCTGTTTCTTTTTACTGTTTTTAACATGGTTACTAGCAAATTTAGAATCACACACGCAGCTCACGTTACCTTTCTATTGGACAGTGATGTTCTAGAAAATAAAAAGACAAACTGAAGAGCCACATTGCTAATAATACTAGTCTGCAATGGGGAGGAGGGTTGTTCCCTCCTAAATGAGTGTACAAAGTTGATTTACGGCTGGACTTGGACCCCTGAACATCTGTTTTTTTACTTTTGGCCAAGAAAAGGACAGTGGGATTTATGATGTGTTGTTTAAGGCCCAAAACTTCCCTGGTAACCACCAGTGTATAGTTTTGCTGCAGGTTGGCAAACGGCCTAGTTGATTTATTAGCAAGACTGGCTTGATCATTACAAGGGCCTTCCTGAGAGTTTCTCTGGAGCTCTTCAGAAGCCAGATCTTGGTGACTCGAGGTGGACTCAGCACAATCCTCGTGTGTAAGTGCTCACTGGGAGCTCACATAGGGGAGGGATGTTTCAGAATACCTGCCTGCATTCTCTTTCTCCTCCTGTATCATATCCTTCGCCTTTAAATCATGGTCTTGTTTGAGTATGCTCTGTGGAGTCTGGTAAGTCTTTTCAAATACATAAACTGGGGAAAGGTTTGTGATGAATCATAAGGAACTGAGGTATAATTTTATTATTTACTGAATGTTTTAGATTTCAGGTGAATCTTAAAAGCAGATTAATGGAATTCTTTACACGTCTCATCCTTAACATATTAAGCTGACGTACTTAGGTGAATTTGAATTTTATTTTTCCCTCAGTGACCTTCAACAGAATAAAAGTTCCCCAATCTTGGTTTACTTTTTGATAAGTAGATTGATTACATTGATGAATAAGCTTCAGAAACTAAATTTAAAATATCATTTCCTATAATAAAAATCTATGGGTTTTGACTGTCTAGCACAAGCTTGTCCAACCCATGGCCTGCAGGCCACATGTAGCCCAGGACAGCTTTGAATGTGGCCCAACACAAATTAGAAAATTTTCTTAAAACATTATGACATTTTTTTTTTTTAGCTCATCAGCTATCATTAGTGTTAGTGTATTTTATGCGTGGTCCTAGATAATTCTCCTCCTTCTAATATAGGAAGGCACCCCTGGTCTAGCACCTCCATTTCCTTAGGAAACCATCTGATTCTGGTAAAGCTGACAATCACAGAAAATCTTACTCTGCAACACATCACCCTCAACCCTGCGCTACAGGGGAGGTCCTGTGAGGCCCTGGCCCAGGAAATTACAAAACCAAGATGAGTGCTTCAGGGTAAGAATCTGAGCCATGCCAATACTGTCGAAGTTATTCCCTCCTAAGTAATGAAACCCTATCTGCCATGGGAGAGAAACAAGCCAAAAGAGAAACAGCTTACTCCTAGATGTACCATACAGAGATGCAGAATCTATGGCCCACTGAAAGGAAATAACCGCAGAGTCATTATATGGAACCAAATCCTGCTTAATTTTCACATATTCACTAAACTTTGTAGCTTAAAAATCCTGTTCAATCTTGCCATTTTACAAGTAATAAAGCTTAAGTCTCAGAGAAAAGGAATCTCCACAAGGTATTTCACACATAGCACTTACAATTAGATTACAGGTTGTCTGACTGCCAGGGAAATGTTTGAGACTCATAAAAGTGAGATTAAAGGGACCTATCACCTTTTGTTTGTTTTTGGTAGTCAAAAATAACCTGTTGAATCTTAAAGTGAAGAAAAATGCTCATCTTTAATTCAGTATTTCTAAAACTTCTTTCACTATGACATACCTTTTCCACCAAACGAATCATAAATATAAGAAAAACTAGTCTTTGTGGAATATATTTTGGGGGTTCACTAATCCATTCTACCAAGTAAATAACAAGTTCCACACCTACACTTCCTAGAGCCATATATGAATAGCACATCATAATTTCCGGGTAATTTCACTTCCATTTTGATTATTTGAACCACAGCTAAGAAAAGTGCCTATCACACAGTAGAACCAATAAATATTTGTAGAATGAGTAAATACAATCCTCACAACAACTGTATGAGACTAGGTCAAGTTTCATTATTATTTGTATTCATGGATGAGAATATTAAGGCTCAAAAATGTTAAATGACTTCCTAAAGGTCACAGAGCCAGAAACTATGGAATTAGTGCTTAACTACAACTCTTCTGGCTTCAAAATCCCATGTTATATAAATGCAACATAATACCTTCTGAACAGATTCTTCAAGGATATCTTAACCTATTTTTAACACTAAACACCCTAACACTAAAACTCATCGTAAAGTACTGGTAGGAGACTTAAATTATAATCAGTTCTTGGCAATCAAGGTAATACTGTAAATGTTTTTTAAGACTAAGATACTTGAACAACCATTAGATGAACTTAAATAAGAAAAAGTAAAAAAGTACTCAATTGTAAAAGGCTAGTATATTTAAACTAATTTACCATAACTGTTTGGCTAGAAATTAAGAGCAAGAAACCACAACAGACAATAGTAATGAGAAAGTAGAACAAAATTTCAATCCATCGAAACAGTTAATATAATGAAAATGATGTACCACAAATGTGATCTCTATGGAATAGATGATACCCTTGTTATGGTATGCAGAATGTAGTTTTGTACTTTAATGTATAAAAATGTACTCAGCTGGCCAGGCATGGTGGCTCATGCCTGTAATCCCAGCACTTTGGGAGGCTGAGGCGGGTGGATCACCTGAGGTCAGGAGTTTGAGACCAGCCTGGCCAACATGGTGAAACCCTGTCTCTACTAAAAATACAAAAAATTAGCCGGGCATGGTGGCAGGCGCCTGTAATCCCAGCTACTCAGGAGGCTAGTGCAGGAGAATCGCTTGAACCTGGGAAGCAGAGGTTGCAGTGTGCCAACATCGCGCCATTGTACTCCAGCTTTGCCATGAATTCAGTTGTAGAGTCAACATGAATTTAGCTTTGGTTAGTTACCTGTCACTTGGTAGTTTTTACTGCCAAAAAGAAAGCTGGAAACCCTATTACACTTGAAAGGAATTCAGATTTTCTACATATAGCTTATATAAAATAAAATAAATATGCCTTACTTTATATAAAATTCTGGCCATCTACTATTAGACTGCTAACACTACACAAATACCATCCTAATTTTTAACACCAGCCACAGAAAAAAATCCATTTATATTTCATTTGGATTCTAATTTTGAGAAAACATTAAGTCACATATTGTCTTTTTTATTTAAAAATAATTTTAGCTAGTGACCCTTTTCTGCTAAGACAATATAAACACTGTAGAAACTGATTTATACCACTTACTAGAGTCTGCTTTCAATGACCTAAGCTTGTAATATAAAAAAAGATTAAGACCAGCTAGACAATCATTATTTGGCAACCATCACAGTAATAGTGAATTCAGCTAAGAAACATCAACAGATGCTAAAACTAAAGGGGAAAAGTTTGATGAAGTATAATATGTTCATAGAGTCTTGTGGAACTTCCTTCAAATCAAAATACTTAACAATTATAAATACAAAATTTATTTCTCAATTTCAAAAGTAAAAAGAAAACCTTTTTAATAATGGAGAGAACTAGCAGAAGACAGAACTTTAACCAAAGGATCAGGATATGAGATACCACTAATATGGGACAAATCAAAAACGAGTTCCACTTGAGAGGATGCAAAAAGAACACCTCAATCCTTTTGGGATACTCCTGCCAAAAACGTGCAACCTAAATCTCATCATGAATAAACATGAGACAAAACCATACTGAGGCACGTTCTATAAAATAACTGACCTATAATCTTTGTAATTTATCATATATGAAAGTCAAAATGTTCAGGAACTGTTCCAGTTTCGAGAAGAAACATGACAACCAAATCTAATCCACATAAAACTCTTTTGAATAAAGGCAAAACTTGGTTATATAGAAAAATGTCCTTATTAAAAAAAAAAAGACCATGGAATATTTGCAAGTGAATCAGCACCACATTGACAACTTACTCTCAAACAGATCAAAAGAAAAAAAGATCCTTTGTACTATTCTTACAAAACAAGATAAAAACAGATAATCTTCAAGCTGCAAAACTAGCATTACATATTTCTATCATCTTTGACATGAGTTTCATTTTCTTCTGGGTTTAAAATGAAAGATTTTTGAACTAACCACACCTTATTGGTACTTTTTTGTTTATCTGAATTCGTAGGTTCCAGCAGGGTTAGGAGATTCTAAGATTCATGGGAATTTTTAGGAGTGTCGAGATGAGGAACCTAGATACTAATAGAAGGAAGGAACAAAATACATTAAGAAAAACTTGAACCTACTATCATAAGAAATATCCTCTAGATGCACTCATAAATAGATGTGTAGGGAATTTCATGTAAGTGCTTTCCCAGAAGATGATTGCTGTCACAAAGCAGTGGTAAAGTATTTCACAATATGTGGTTTCAAGAACTGTTATTTTTCCCAGAAAACAAGCAAGCCTAAAATCCCATATGCCACAGATAGATAAAACTTGTTTTTAATTTTACTGTTTCTTTCATTTCTATATTGCAGTAAGTCAAAATATGTCAGCTTTTTTAAAAAGTAGGTATTCAAATTTTAAAGCAAACAATGAAATACTAGCAATAGCTACAAGGACAATCTTGAATATACTATCAATTTATAGAACAGTTCCTTTAATATGAGTTCCCTAAACTTGCCAGGAAGGATTCTCGTAGGGTGAGGGTGGAGAATGAAGATTAATAAAGAAATACAAATTCTAAAACAAAAAAGGTGGCCTTCATAATCTGTTTCTAATAAATATTATAATAAAAATTTCTTATAAGTTTTGTTAAGTACTACTTATGCAGAAAATAGTTAACACAGCAGGTCTGTGGCTGCTATCACTACAAAGATCTGCTTACAAGGTTGGCCCTTGGCTGATGTCTAGGAACTTGGTTTTCAAGAAAACGCTCATTATTCCCTGAGGAGGATGATTTACTCTGCCTAATTGGTTTGTACAAAGAATATAGTTTATGCTGAACCCCTGCCTTGCTTCTGGGAGTCTCGAATTGTGGTACCTGCTAAAGCAGAGGATGCCTGCATGACTGACCCCAATAAAAACCCTGGACTCCAAGGCTCAGGTGAGCTTCTCTGGTAGACATATTTCACACATGTGGTAACAACTCCTTGTTAGTGGAATGAAGCCTATTCTGTGTGACTCCATAAGAAAATAACTCCAAGAAGCTTGAGCCTGGTTTCCTCTAAACTTCATGTGTTTTTTCCCTTTGCAGATTCTGCTTTATGCCTTTTTGTTGTAATAAATCACAGCAATGAATATGACTATATGCTGAGTCCTGTGAGTCTTCCTAGTGAATCATTAAATCTAGGGTGATTCTGAGGACTCCTGACACCATATTTTGATATATAAAATTACCTTCTACAGGGTTCCAAGTATTTCAAGTTCACTGTTATTTATATATTAACAACCTGCAACTGACAGCTTTGAGATGGAAAAGCTTAATGTAAATCCTGCATCATTTTCATTCACAAAACTATTATTTTCTGGACTATTAGAGACATGATATTCAGAAAATAATATAACATTTTCTAAAATTTCAAATTTGCAATTTCAACTGTAAATATGCTTAATTTGAAATTTTATTAACTGGTTGTTAGATACTATTTCTATAAGTGTAAATATTTTTAATTCCCTAAAAACAGAAGGAAACCCATCCTTATCCTAAAAATCAAACAAACAAATCAGAATGCAAACTCAAACAAAACAGTTTACTGTACGTTACAATTAGGTGGTATTTAAAATTGATGCATTCTTACCATGTGGAGTGATTGTCTGTACTGGTTTAGCAGGGGACCTTACATTCCATATAGTCAAGGTGCCATCTGAATGACTGCAAATAAATTGTTTTCCTTCATGATGCCAAGCAACAGAGTGGATAGCCTATAGAAGGATGAAAAATACCATTTAAAAAATCTATTTAAACAGTAAACTATTTGTAAATGATCTCATCTATTAATTTTCATTTTTAACTTTTCTTTATTTCCTAAGGTTAACATGTGAACTTAACATTTCCATAATAATTTGGCCCTCTTGTAATACAAATGAGATTTTATTTCTTCATATTAACACTGTTTTAATTCTCTGTACTTACTTTACTCCTTAAATCAGCATAAAGAAGGCATGATAGTGACATCTACGGACAAGTTCAGTGAAACAAAATGTTTTCTTACATTATTTTTAGCATAAACAATACCTAAACATAAATTACCAAATTATTACAACCAGTGTCCCAATAGAAAAACTAGTTGCAATGACAAGATTAGAATAAAATGTGTTAATTGACCATGATCCTAAGAGCCAAAATGTAGATTTGGAATTAAGATCAATACAAATGTTTCAGGTTGAGCTATAAGACATGTTCCTCATCTCTCACAGTAATTACTGAGGCAATTTTTAATCTCAGGGGACACTGTTCTGATAAGAAATTTATTTTGTACTTCTGGGTCGCTTAAAAACTATCTGGAAAATATTTTTATATCACCAAAGTATGATACCCCTCATTTTTTTGCTCTAATATTATTTCAATTTTGGTATGTAAAAAAAACTTTTTAAATCACTCTCCCATGCGTCCTTTGAATTATTTCTTTTCAACTCAAGTTGATACAATTTTAGTTCTTAATGGTCAACTGACTTAAAGCCACCCTACTGGAATGCAAGAATTGCAGAGTATAGCACAAAAATCGTATAACTGAAACTCAAAACTTCTGTCACATATAAAGCCAACATTTTCTATCATGTCATCTATTTATTTGAGTTCTTTCTATACTTATAAATTTAAGCTAAATATTATAAAATATCTTGGTATGAAATCAGATGGATACAGATAATCAGCTATACTTCTAAATGACAATATTTAATACAATGTTTTTTATTCAAAGTACAGATGCTCCTCAATTTACGATGAAGTCATACCCTGATAAACTCATCATAAGTCAAAAATATCATAAGTCAAAAATGCATTTAATGCTACCAACACAGCAGATGATCCCTTACTTACGATGGTTCAATATGCAATTTGTCAGCTTTAAGATAGTACAAAAGCACTATACATTCAGTAGAAACCATAATCGATTCTAATTCCTAAGGAGCTCCTTTACTTATTACGTCTTGGTAAACCAATTGTAAAGTCAAAAAAATCATAAGTTGAAGAAATATTGTAAGTCAGGGACCATCTGCATCTCTTACAAAATTCTAAATAAAATCTTAAAGCAATAATAAACTGACATATACATATGACATTTTGAAAACTCAATTTTAAAATAAGCAATCCCTTAGTAGCCTTTACAAGTAAACTTATTTCTGCAAAAACATGAGCAGTGCTAAAAAGCTATTTAAATGTTTTTTAAAAAATTCATAAGGGAAAATACAAAAGAGGTCTATAGTGCTATCTGGAACCTATAGATAAAAACATCTTAATAGTATCATGTATAAATGTATATCATGTATATAAATATGTATCATATGTAGAGAAATACTTCTACTTTGCTAAAGAAAACAATGTGTATCTTTGTTTAAAAGTGACTCCTATTTATAAAATATTATTAAATTATTAGGCATTCCAAAAACAAATACTACCTAATTACTGGAACCAGTGGTTCACAATTATTTTGGACAACAGAAACAAATAACAGAAAACACCCCACAAAAAAGCAAAGAAATAACCAAATATGGACATGCAACAAACATGCAGTATTTACTTATACAATTTTCTATATGCAAATCCAACTTAATACAAGACGTGTTTTCTAATACTAAGTATATATGTAGTGCATAGTATTACAAGTATTTAAAAATATGTATACAGTATCTACCATGCATAAAACATACAATTTATACTTTTTCTTTAGTATTCTTGAGAAAATGACAGAGAAATTTACGTAAACAAAGTGAGAAAATCAAAACTCACCAGCAAATCTGACACATGCTCAAAATCAGAAGCAAGGTGGGTTAGGAGCAAATCTGAATAATTCATGGGAGAAGATATGAGATATAATGTAGGAAACATAAATTGGGGTTGATAAATTTTGTGTGTGAATTGGCTTATCTGTTTTTCCAAGGAGAAGATATAAAATTTCCAGGTGATTAAGAATATTTACTTGTTTATGGCCAGGCACGGTGGCTCAGGCCTGTAATCCCAGCACTTTGGGAGGCCAAGGCGGGTGGATCATGAGGTCAGGAGATCAAGACCATCCTGGCTAACACGGTGAAACCCCGTCTCTACCAAAAAATACAAAAAATTAGCCAGGCGTGTGGTGGGTACCTGTAGTCCCAGGTACTCGGGAGGCTGAGGCAGGAGAATGGCGTGAACCCGGGAGGTGGAGCTTGCAGTGAGCTGAGACTGTGCCACTGCACTCCAGCCTGGGCAACAGAGCGAGACTCCATCTCAAAAAAAAAAAAAAAAAAAAAAAAAAGAATATTTACTTGTTTAAAAAAACCTGAAAATTATACATATATATGAATAACAGGATCATGTTAGAAAGAGGAATAAAGGACAGATGAATGGAAAATAGAACACAATAAATAAAAGACATACAAAAGCCATGGAGGACAAGATGAATCCAGGGTAGAGAAAAAAAAGTGAAGACAGAATGAACGCAGATGATATAGCTGTTCCCATAATCCACAAAGCAACAGTGCATGCAATTCTAAAAGCTCTTTAAAAGATGTAGTATCTGACAAAAATCGTAACTATGAGAAGGTTCATGAAGGTAATTAAGAGTCTGACATCAGTATTTTCATTTATGATAAAATTAAAGAAAAAACAAAAAGCACTGCCTACTGTGACACATTTTTCAAAAGGAGTAATATTTAATTATTAGGGTTTGGCAAAAGTAGTACCTATGATCCTTCTGCTATTCTTATTAGACAAGACAGCATCTTGTAGAATAATTTTCTAGGAAGACAAAACAGGCTAACTGCTTACCTATCAAATTTTACATTCACTAACTCAAAATTGTATGGAAACTGAATAAATTCTCTACATACTGGTTTTGCAAACTCATCAGTATTATTAGAATCATTTCACAGTAAATGTATATATTAATAAATCCTAATCCAGCTGCTCTTACATTACACATATACTAATTAATATTCTTAATTTTAATTATTTTAAAATAATTTCTTTTCTCATAGATGTTATTTTAACATTCTATTCAAAAGCTGCATTGATTCCCAATGTAACTATCTATTATTGTCAAAGCCCTCAGAAAAATGCCAAAAAATGACAAAAGAAAATGTGTAATGTAGACTTTCATTTAAAATTACAACATTTGCAAATACATGAAAATATTGAAAATACTCTGTAGTTTTATTATTCTTATATAATCAAATAAAGTACATGCTTATAGCACATATGATTTCTTACACATATAAATAATACATTAAATTGTACAGCTTTTGTCCTAGTATTTTAAACTTGTGAACTTTTCAATATAGTTACACCATAGAAGGGAGACAACCATAATACTATATAATTAAATGAGACAATTATTTAAAAATACATTTTGTAAGGTAGTTGATAAAAGTTATTATACATTGGACATCAAATGATTTATAGCTTTTTTTCCTTTCTCTCTAAAGATTATAAATAGTTATAAACTGAAACCACTGCCCTTTCCATTAAAAATAACCTCCCCCAACCCCATTGCACTCCAGCCTGGGCAACAGAGTAAGACTGCCTCTAAAGAAGAATGAATGAATGAATGAATGAATGCATAATCCAAGTGGAACTTTCTTCCATTATTTTGAAAATGTGACCAAATTATTCATTGTTTTAAGGACTGTTTTACCTTTGGGAAAGTGTATTTGTGTGTGTGCATGTGTATGTTTGTAAAAATAAGCAGAAAATAAGCTGACTTAAAAGCACCAGTCTAAATATGGGAGAAAAAACCCTTAAGGGAGAATAAATGCTTCCATGAATATACACAGTGCAAAAAAAAATTCATTTAAAGCTGTTATGATTCCTGTGCTGTGAGCTGCAAACATATTATTTCAACTTTTTTTTTTTTTTTTGCCAGAGTCTCGCTCTGTCGCCCAGGCTGGAGTGCAGTGGCGCCATCTCGTCTCACTGCAAGCTCTGCCTCCCGGGTTCATGCCATTCTTCTGCCTCAGCCTCCCGAGTAGCTGGGACTACAGGTGCCCACCACCACACCTGGCTAGTTTTTTTGTATTTTTAGTAGAGATGGGGTTTCACCCTGTTACCCAGGATGGTCTCGATCTCCTGACCTCGTGATCTGCCCACCTTGGCCTCCCAAAGTGCTGGGATTACAGGCGTGAGCCACCACGCCCGGCATCAACGTTTTTTTTAAAAGGCTTCTGATGGTCTTGAGACTTAAATGTGCCCAGAGAGCTAGCAAAGCACAAATTATTGTTTTGTCATATTTTACTACCAATATTTCTGATGCTTCTCAATCTACCAGGAAAAACCAACATGAAACCAAAATACAAAAGTCACTGACAGATGACCCTAGACATATGACAAAGAATAATCATAAAATAAAGAAATTCATAAGTATTATTGTCTTAAAATATCAGTAATACTGCACTTCTTTCCTGCCACACTGATTACTACAAAAGGAATATTGATACTTTATTTTTAGAAACAGGGTCTTGCTCTGTCACCAGGGCTGGAATGCAGTGTTGTGATCATAGCTCACTGCTGCCTTGAACTCCAGGGCTTAACCCATCCTCCCACTTCAGCCTCTTAAGTAGCTAGGACTACAGGTACATGCTACCACTACCAGGCCTAGCTAATTTTTTTTTTTTTACTTTTTTAGAGGCAGGGTCTTGCTATGTTGCCCATGCCGATCTCAATCTCCTGGCCTCAACTGATCCTTCTGCTCCTGCCTCTCAAAGAGCTGGGATTACAGACATGTGCCTTTGCACCTGGCCAATACTTGATATTTTAATACATCATAGCCTAAAAAAAATGGAATGTCCATTAAAGAGATAAAATTTTATATAGATGAAGTATCATCTGTAGAAAATATCTGTAAAATATTAAGAATGCTATCCAAGCACACAAAATCTATCATTGAGACACAACCAGGGGAGAGTAGAGTAGAGTTTGTCAATTAAAAAAATAATAACTATGGTTACAAAGCAACAAAAGCTCAAGGGTGCAAAGATACATTTCTGTTCCCATTACTCCTACCCATCTGAATCACCCTCAAGAGATTAAATAAATAATTAAAGCTGTACTGAGTAGAACTTGAATTATATTAGAAATGTTCTAAATTGTTATGTCATTTAATACATTTGTGCCTGTGTAATAAAAATGAATTTGAATACAGTAATATACCACTGAATAGAACATAAATATTAGGGGAGGGGAAAGGTAGTATTTTGTCAAAATCTTAAATTTTTAACCCTCACTAGTGAGGAAGAATTATGCCTATAATAATTTCTTGAATATCTGAAATTGTACACCTGGCAAAAATGGCACTGAGAATCAAATTCTATGACAGAATAGCACAAACTCATGGAAACAAAGCCAGAAATTTTTACTCAGTTTACATTACAAGTTAATTTAGAAGTTAGAATTTATACCTAACTTAACACCGTCATTTAGAACACATGATTTTCATTTTGAATATTAACGTGTGTTAAGAATAAGTTTTATGACTTAGGCATCTGTGTTCACCAAGGATACTGGTCTGTAGTCTCCTTATAATTTTTTTTCCAGTTTTGTTAAAGGGTAATGCTTGCCTCATGAAGTGAGTTGCAAAGTGTGCCCTTCTCTTCCATTTTTAAGAAGAGTCTAAGTACAACAGGTATTATTTGGTAAAATTCACCAGCAAGCTTTCTGAGCCTGGTGTTTTCTTTGTGGGAAACATTTTCATTACAACTTTATTCTTAAATTACAGAGCTACTTAGATTAAGCATTTCTTTCAGAGTGAGCGTCGGTACTTCCAAGAAATTTGGGATCTTTCAAGGAAATTCTCCATTTCATCTAAATTGCTGGATTTATTGGCATTAAGTACATATTTCCTTATCAGCCCCTCTGTATTTCTGTAGAAACTGGAATGATACCCTTTTTCACCTCCATAATGGGTAATCTGCGTCTTTTTTTTCCTCACCACTCTGACTATATGTTTATCAATTTTATTGATCTTCACACAAATCCAGCTTTTAATTTTATCACTTTTCTCTATTTTTCTGTTAGCTATTTCATTGATTTCGGCTCTTTATTATTTCAGTTCTTCAGCTTACTATAGATTTAATCTGCTCTTTTTCTTCTAGTTTCTTGTGGTGAAAGCTGAGGCCACTCGCTTGAAACCATTCTTGTTTTCTAATACAAAGCATTTAATGCTATAATGGATACTTTAGCTGCATCCTACAGGACTTGGTAAATCGTTTTTTTCAGTTCAAAATACTTTAATTTTCCTTATGTTTTCTTCTTTGACTCATGGGTTATTTAGAAATATGTTGTTTCCCTTTTCAATATTTATAGATTTTCCATCTATATAACTGATTTCTAATTTTAGCATAGTAAAATAACATTTTATATGAGTTTAACCTTTTAAAATTAATATTGAGATTGATTTTATGACATTAAATATAGCATGTCTTGGTGATATTCCGTGTATAGCTGAAAAGAATGTCTACTCTGTTGGTGGGTGAAACACTCTGATACCTACTTGGTTGATATTAATATAGTCATTTTGGTTTCCTTTTGATTACTGCTAATATTACTTTTTCCATCTATCTTTTTTTCCAACATATCTGTATCTTTAAAAGTGGGTTTCTTACAGACAGTATGTGGTTAGATCTTGCTCTTTTATCCAATATGATAATTGCTGTCTTTTAAGGGGTGCTTAAACTATTAATCTGATTATTGACATAGCTGGATTTAAATCTACCATCTTGCTGTTTGTTCACTGTTGCTTCCATCTATTCTTTGTTCCCTTCTACCTTCCTCTGGATTGAATATTTTTAAAATCTCAATTTATTTCCTATTTAGCTTAACTCTCTGAGTCGCTGCTGTTGTTGCTTTGGTATTTCCTTTAGGATTTACAATACATATCTTTATCATAGTCTACCATCACATAATATTATGCTACTTTATGTATAAAATAATAATCTATTAATGGTCCTCTGTCTTCTGACCATGTCTTCCGACCATTGTGCTATTGTTGTCTGTTTGTTAACTCTATGTATGCCAAAAATCCTACATTTTTATTATATTTGGCTTGGATAATTAATGATCTCTTAGATTTAGAAAATAAGAAAGTTTTTATATCTACCACATATTTGCCATGTCTGGAGTCTTTCATTCTTTTGAATAGATCCAAATTTCCATCTCATAACATTTGTCTTCTGCATGCAGGACTTCTTTTAACATATCTTATAGTTGAGGTCTGCAAGTGATTAATTCTTTCAATTTTTATGTCTATAAAAGTGTTTATTTTGCCTTTATTTTTGAAAAAAAAAATTTCACCAGGTATAAAGTTCTAGGTTGACAAATTTTTCTTTCAGTACTGTGAAGGTGGTATTCCACTGTGTTCTGGCTTACATTGCATCTAAGAAAACAAAATTTGCTGTAATTTTTTTTTTTTTTTTTTTTGACAGAGTCTCACTCTGTCGCCCAGGGTGGAGTGCAGTGGTGTGATTTCAGTTCACTGCAAGCTCCGTCTCCCAGGTTCAAGCCATTCTCCTGCCTCGGCCTCCCAAGTAGCTGGGACTACAGGCGCCTGCCACCACGCCCAGCTAATTTTTTGTATTTTTTAGTAGAGACGAGGTTTCACCATGTTAGCTAGGATGGTCTCGATCTCCTGACCTCGTGATCTGCCCGCCTTGGCCTCCCAAAGTGCTGGGATTACAGGAATGAGCCACCGCACCCGGCCTCTGCTGTCATTTTTATTTTTGCTCCCCTGTACTTAATGTGGCTTTTAAAATTCCTCTAATTGTTTCTCATAATCTTCTCTATTACTAGTTTGTAGGAATTGAAGATTGTGCTTTTATGTAGTTTGTTTCGTGTTTCTTCTGCCTAGAGTTCATTCAACTCTTTAAATCTCTGAGTATATAGTTTTCATCAAATTTGAAACTTTTGGTCATTGCTTCTTGAAACATACTTCCTCTCCACTCTCCTCCGAGGATTCAAAATACACATATTAGTCTGCTTGAAGTCGTACCACAGTTCACTAATGATCTGTCCTTTTTTCCTCCATTCTTTCACATCAAGTAGCTTCTACTGCTATTTCCTGAAGCGTATTAATCCTTTGGCAGTACTGTTCAGAGTATTTTTCACCTTATTTTATCATTCATCTGTAAAAAATCCACTTGTGTGATTTTTGCCTTCCATGTCTTTTTTCAACATGTTCATACTTTCATCTACCTTCTTAAGCATATGGAGTCTATTTAATAATACTTGTTTTAATATTTTTGATGCCAATGGTATCATCTTGTCATTTCTGAGTCTGTTTCTATTTTCATTTTCTTCTCATTATGGGTTGTATATCCTGGCTTTTTGCATACTTCATATATTTCTATTTGGATGCTAGACATTGTAAAATTTATATCGGGCTACTATTCATATTCTTCTAAATGTTTTTGGGTGTTTTTCCTAGGATGTAGTTACGTACTTAAAAACAGTTTAGTCCTTTCAGTCCTTTCAAAGTTTGCATTCAAGATTTGTTAGGATGAACTTAAGCCAGCCTTTAGTATAGGGCTAGTTTAGTTCCACCACTGCAACAACAGCTTTCTGAATACTCTTTCTCATACCCTGTGTATTACAAAGTTTCTCTACTCTGTTGGGAATGTGAACTATTCCCAGTCCTGTCTGTGCTACAGAAATGGTTCTACTGTTTCCTTTTTGGTGGATCTTATCCAAGCCTTATACCCATGCAATAATCAGTATTCAACTGAAGACTCAGGGCAGGGGTCCTTTTGTAGACTTCTACAACTCTCTTTCTAAGCTCTTTGCTCTCTAATACCTTGCCTTCTAAGCTGCAGATGTCTTAGTTTCCCCAGTTTCCCAACTCTGACTTTTCAACTCAGGGAGACTTCTCAGCTTCCACCTAGGTTCCCTCTTCATGTTCCAAGAACTGGAAAATCTCTTCAGGCCATTAGCTAAAGCAATTGAGGGGTTTACCTTCTTTGTTTCTCCTCTCTAAAAAATACTGTTCTACATGACCTGCTGTCTAACTGCTGAAAACTGTTGTTCAATATATCCTGTCCAGTTTCTTTGTTTAAAGCAAGGAGGTAAACTAGTCCCTGTGACTCCATAATGGCTCAAGCCTAGATCACTATTTAAAATAATAAGCAAAACCAAAATGTTCAATTTTTAAAATCTGCTTTCATCTGCAGACCACAACTACAGATCACAACTACACAGAAATGATAGGAACTGTATTTATTCAAAACATGCTTGTTTAATTTGAAGATCCTGACTAGTGAGCAGCAAAAAGTATACAGTCATAAAAACAAAGGGAATTCCCTTTCAGTCATGCCTAAAAAGATAATGTACAAACATGTGCAAAGTATTCAAATGTTGCTATAATTACTCAATAGGTTCTGATGTCTCAGTAACTGAACATACCAATATGATTATGACTAAGATTATGATGTATTTTATCTTAAACAACCACTTACACATTTCCTAGATATAGCTCTACTCACTGAATTGGAAACCATGAACACTCCTGATGTCTAAATTATGGCCACCAGACATGGCACTGAAAGAAGTCATAGTTCCATAGAAAAATACCTTATTCTAAATTTGATTCAGAAATATACAGATTAGTAGGGAGGAGGTACACTGACCAAAGTTGGGATAATGTGAAAAGCAACAATAACTTCAGTGGATTGAAGTATATCAAATATGTTTAAGTTGTTGAGCACACAGTGAAACTAAAAGTCAGAATAAATTGGTCATCATGGAAACCATTAGAGAACAACCCCTTAAGATGAATACTAAAATAAAGGAAAAGAACCACATATTTATCCTGCCTTTGCTATATGAACTGTCCTATTATATAAACAAATAGCAGATAAGAGGAAGGTTCTCTTTACTGAAGTGACCTACATAATAAGTAGAGAAGGAAAGACAGAATTAGAATGTCTCCTATTTTGCAACTACTATACAGTAACAGATCTCGGCCTCAACCACCACTGGCTTCCAACATCTGAAATAGACACTAAGGTTCCACCAGCTAAATGAGTATCAGTATCATCTATGAAGTAGTCTTGCCAAAATGAAAAATAAACCGGCATTTGATCAAGCCTCAGTAAATTATCCAATTTATAGGAAATCTGAGGGCAAAAACAAAAAACAAAAAACAAAAAAACATGTTAAAGACAATGGGGATGCAGCCAGAAAAAGCCAGCATCTGGAAGACTCTATCTTCAACAAATAAATGCCAAAAAAGGAGAGGTAAGGTAAGGAAGGGAAGTGAGGAGCAAAAGGAGAGAAAAGACTTATCTGTCAATCACAATTAATTCTTACTGGTTCTTAAAGTGGATTATAAATGTCTATAGTATACTATCATTCGTACAAAAGAAAAAATAAGATATATTTATGAATTTGCTTGTAAATGCACAGTGTCTCTTTGGAAGAACATGAGAGAAACTGGTAACATGCTACCTGTAAGGAAACTAGATAACCAAATGGCAGGTGGGAAGAAGATTTTTGTTATCTTTTGAATTGTGTGAACATATTATCTATTGTAAAAAATAAATTGTGTATTACTGCAATTACAAAGTTTGCCTAAAGTAAAATTACCAATTAAGTTTTTAGAGAAACTGCTTTATATGAGAGAAATGACCATAGCTTTTACTAGCAAAAATAATATTACCTCATCATATGTGTATCTGTAGTCGGCTTTCTTTGATTTGAGGTCCCATAAAACTACTGTTCCAGATTCAAAGCCAATCAAAAGCTGTGATAAAAGAAAAAGGCACATTACCTAGGAATGATATCAATTATAAAACATTTATTTGCTGACAATGAAAATAACTACTATCATTCAAATGCGTTGAGTATAAATGTATAATATAAACAAACATCTGCATTGCTAATTAGTAATCACGTAAATGACAAATGAGAACACTGTATGGCATATTTATATGTCTTTGATGATTAGGGACTCAACATACAACTGACTTTTGAAAACAAAAACAGTACCATTTTGAAGTCTTTTCAAAACTTTTGTATGTATTTTCAAGTTTACAAACTTTTCAAATTCTACACACTATGAGGTAATCTCATCTATTCCAACTATATATTGATTAGTTCCAAATCATACCCAGCCTACATCCCTCTGGTGAGATTCAGACACATAATTCCAGTGGCCACATCTCCACTTATCTACACAAAAGCCTCAAAGTAAATGTGCCCCAAACTGAATTAATTATATTCTCTAATCTGCTTCTCTGGAATTCCCTGTTGCAGTGTCTCTCACCATTCCTTATCACGTCTATTCGGTGGCACCAGCTAGAAACCCGGAGCTCATTCTTAACTAGTCTCTCCTCCAACAGGTAAAATCACCATGTAAATTTAAGTTACATCCTATTATCTAATTTACTTCTCTCCATCTCTAGGGCCTCTTCCCTGGTTCAAGACACAAAGATTCCTTTTCGGGTCTCCTTGACTCCAGTCTTGCTCCTATTTTAACCCATTTCTTATTGTAGCTAGAGTTAAGAGTTCTAGAATACAAACCGAACAGGGTAATGTATGCTTCTGTTTAAAACTTTTAAATGCCACACCATTATTTTTAGGATAAATTGCAAATTCAGTAATATGACCTACAAGTTCCATCATGGTATGAGCTCTGTTTACCTCTCCAGTTCCATCCCTTACCATACCATGGCCACTCAATACATTACAGTATATTCTTAAGTTCATATTCTCTCTTACCTTTGAACCTTTGTACATGCTGCCTCGCTACCTGGGCCACTCCATTTGAATGTCATCCTTTTTGCCTGACTAGTCCTTCTCATCTTTCAGATGTCATTTTAGTGATCGTTTCCTCTGGGAAGCCTTCTGTGACCTACCAAATGTAAGTCAATACCCTCCCTATGTGCTCCAATAACACTTTGTACTTTTTTTTTTTAATTCGAAGGATCACCACACAATATAATAATGGACTTTTCCTTATTTGAATTATCGTGCAGTCTGTAAAACCGGGATATCGGGGCAAGGATTAGTTTTTATCTTGTTTACCACAATACCTCTAACGTAACACACAGGGCCAGGTATGTTATAAATACTTCTTATGAAATGCATCTATTTCAGAATGGAATGCATGTTCCTGCCTCACAAACTATGTACGCTGCCCACAGTGTACCACAGTGTACCCCCAGGCCCCACCTCAGTATTTTCCAAATCTCAGTATGAGATTTCCTCTGCTTAAAACCTCCTCCCCTTTCATTCAATAAGCAATCCTCTACTAATATTTTAAGTCTAAATTCAGTGTTGCTTCCTGGTTAAGTCTACCCAGTTCCTCTAGACAAATTAAGATGCTCCTTTTCTTAAACTAGTACCATGCATTTTCATCTATATGTCTCTAATATCTAATACACTTCCTAATACATAGTAGACACACAATAAATATTTGTTTAATAATTAGAAAAATGATTAGTCTATATCTGTTTGGGTAATCTGGGGATATAAACAAAATTTGGGCAGAACCAGTAATTTTAATAGGACAAATTTAGAAGATTTCAGAGTACAGGGGCAGCTGGAGGGACTAACTATCAAAACTAACAAAATAAGTTTTCCTACTTTAGTACAGAATACAGTCAATTTTTCTAACCTTATCTCTTCTTTCCTAGGCAATCTGAGATACATACACCTTTTGGAAAAAAATGGTATTTGTTTCCTCTCTCTTTTCCCAGTCTTTTCAAATATCTTGGACATGTGATACAGCATTTGAGAATAAGGAAAGAGAAGAAAAAGAATAAAATGTAAGGGTTGATATACACTGTAAACAGCACTGCACTGCTTAGGACCTAAGTAACCTGAGTTCTAGTATTAAATCTGCCACTTAATAGCCATATAACTTTAAGGAAATAATTTTATCTATCCAGACCTTAATAACTTAAGAGGGTTAAACTTTAACCTCTCTAGCCAGCTCTAGTATTCTAAGGATATTAGAAATATGTGACAACAGGTTAGAGTTTTATGCCCATAATCTTCCAGCTTTTCAATTCCTTTCTTTACAAAAGCAAGAGAATAATAAATATTTAAAAATAGAAAACTAAAGATAGAGTACTTAATTAAAATTGGAAATTCTTCAATGCTTATTCCTACTAGAATCTTTTATAACCCATAGAGATGTTAATTAGCTTACATACTAATGACTAATTCCCGTCTAATTTTTCTCTTTGAAAAAGCATTAGTGTGTATGTGGAATATGAATACATTTCTCTACAACGTATATAACCAGTCTGTATCTAGAAAGAAAGCTTAGCATAACAGAGAGTACTCCTGGGTTGAAATTAAAGAAATTGGTCTTCAAATCTCAGATCCGCCAAAGTCTAGCTCTGTATCTATGGAACACATAATGTCACCAAGTCTCTGCTTTATAATTTGTAAAGTAAGGGAAATTTCTAATTTACAATTTGTTGAAAAGATCAAATGAAATCGTGTATATAAAGTGGCAAGCACAGTGCTTGAAACATAGAATTAAATAAATGGTAGCTATTCCTATCATAAGTCTAACCTATCTAATGTCTAACCTTCCTTGGCCAAGACCTTCACTTAATGTGGCAGTATCCACCGGTAAGGTTAGCATTGAAGGAACTTGCCCTGTCACCTTACATGATTTTTCAATGACAAAATGTCTAGTTCTTTGCAAACAGGAAAGAGTCTAAAAGAAACCAAAGTTTAGATAATATAGTTTATTCTAGCACCCTAATATTTTTTAAATTTTATATATATATATAACTTATTTACTCCATCCTCATTATTTATGGAATGAATTATATATATAATCCATATAATTGTATATTGAGCAGTTGGTATTTTTATTATAAGTTAGATGCTATGGCAAATAGAAACCTGTATAAATATTACCTTTGTGCTTAACGAGTTTCAAATTCAGGGGAGCTGAGATATGCACACATTTCTAATACAAAGCATTATGTGATAAATACCATAAAATTTCATAACTAAAGTACTAATAAATGTGAAAGAAAGAAAAAGCATTTTCTGTCAGGATTATCAGGGAAGAAATCACAAACAAAAAATATTTAATCTGGGCCTTAAAGTGTAGATAGGAATTCAGCAGAGAGATGGAAAGAGAATTCCAAACAGAAGGACTCACTTAAACAAAGGTATGGAAACATCAAAGAGCAGTTCATAACTGAAAATACAACTATTTGCTTCAGCACAACATTCAGGTAAAGATATCCTGAAAAATAAGGAAATCTAGGGCTATATTTCAAGAAAAACTGATTTTATTTGTTAGATACTACAGACCCACTGAAAGCTTTGAAAGAGTAGAACACTAAGATTAAAATGGCAGTCTAAACCAGGCACAGTGGCTTGTGCTTATAATCCCAGCAGTTTGGGATTACAAGGCAGGAGGATCACTTGAGCCCAGGTGTTTAAGACTGGCTTAGGCAACATAGTGAGACTTTTAGGAAAATTAAAAAATTTAAAAAAAAAAAAAAAAAAAGAAAGAAAGAAAAAGAAAAGCAAAAGGCACAGGAAGAATTAAAATGACTTGATGACCAATTAGAGATGGAAAGGAAGTTTTGAACTCTCCTACCATGCCTCCCATTGAAAGGCTTGGCTTTTAAAACAATGCTATAATTATGACCTAACTCCAAACGGTCTAATTATCCTTTTGTTTACCCAATGGCAAACTAAGAGAACAGTGTTAAACAATATATCAGCTCAACCTCTCCCACAATTGAGGAAATGAAAACCCTGGTTAAACTCCTGCACAAAATCCAGAGGTTTCACTTTACTGATTTCTGATAGCAATAAACTTCCTGGTATTTACTTAGCTTAAGATCATAAAATTATATAGGTAGAAAAACATCATTATTAAATAGAACTATCTGAAAGACTGGTTTGAAATAGAAAATAAAAATTCATCCAAAAATATTTATTATTTTAAAAGATTTAAATAATCTAAATTAACAATAGCTAGATACTGATTATATGAAACTGGTTTCAGAGTATTAAAAATTAAATAACATTAAAAAAAACTCTACATTATTAATTAGAACTATTTATGACAAAAAATTTTAGGGGAGATGAGGTAACAAGACAACTATAACGTAAGGCAATCTGTGATTAGTGCTACAAAAATTGTACAAAGTGTTCAAAAGAAGCCAAAAACCAAAAGCAAACTTTTTACCAGGATTAACAGAAAATCAGGGAAAACAGTCTGAATAAGCCAAATATAAATTAATAACCTGTAATTATATGCATTAAGTTTGACTTATGTTTTAAGGTATTGTTTTGTCCTTTAAAATTGTAAATGATTCTAATTCTTTCATTTGTTCTTAATAATTAATAATAAGCATTAACTGTATATGATACACAACCTTCAATGGTAATCTCAATTTGTAATAAGTGTGATCCTGAAATAGCATGTTTATTGAAAAATACTAAAATTTGTGCATTTAATATATAATTTTTTACAAAAAATTCTACCTTTCCCTCGTCCATTGGATTATCACTTATATGGACCACAGGTCCTGGGTGAGATTTAGATGACCTAAAAAAGAAAAAGTTAGTAAGATTTTCTCTTCAGTTAAGAATTTTAATATGGCTACATATTTCATTCCAATAAAAATAAATAGAAAATAAGTTATATTTATAAAGAAAGAAAGGATTTCAGCAAGAGATAAATAATAGGCATATAGTTCTTAATATGGATCAAAATAGGGATCAGGGAAGAAGTGGTGACTCATATAACTAAGCAAAATTCACAATTAAGTACACTTTCTGCATAGGAAAGAATCTTCAATTTAGTCAAAGATTTGAGCACAGGAAATCTATTGTCAAGGTAGAATTCTCAAAATTACTATTTTTGAATAATGCAGCACCTATCTTATTTTACTGAATTCTAGCCTCCAATTTAGGCATCCCATTTAGTTTCAATAGAAATAGAAAAACATTCTATTAAAAAAAAAATAATGCCACCTATATCTGCTCAGAGAAAAAGAAGTTCTACAAATAAGAATATGGTTGAACTGATGCCTATAGAGTAAAAATAAGCATACCCCTAATTCAGAAACTCCCAAGTTTGACAGATCACTCCATTTCATGAGAGCCATCTGTGAAACTATACAGACACCTGCACTAGGCCTACCTAGTAGATGTCATGATCAATTCAAAGAACAGACCATGAAAACCCACCCTACCAAAGGACTGATATATGATAATATTCTTGCTACAAGAAGAAAAACCAGGATTAATACACTATTACAGCTATACTAACACATGACTTAAGAGATACGTCACAGAATTATCCTTATCTCAAAAAGAGGTAAATACCATGGAATGCAACAATACAACACTATTTGCTTAAAATCAAAAAGAAACATTCAAAAGGGTCTTGCTGATATCCTTAAACTTTGATTTTTATGTCCCAGAAATGTAAGAAAAAACTTGTAGAAAGAGATAAGATACAAAAAATTTAAGACAGAGTGAAGAGTTAGCACTAAAGATCCTTAGGGCCCTATAGTTTAACCTAGTTTTTGTTACTAATATTAGTAAATGAAAACAATCATTATTTATAAAATTTATCAAAAAGTAAAAATTTATCAAAATTAAGTAAAATCAAACAAAATTAATTTGATAATATATTAACTTTAGCAAACATTATATTTGATGATTATTAAAACATATCAAGTAGTAGTTTAAATCAGTGTTTTCCAAACATTGGTGGCAACTCATTTGTGGGTCATGACCATCATTTGAAAGAAAAATAATTAGAAGATAAGAGAACAGAAAAAATTAGATGATTTTCATTAGTAGGAATGACTGTTTCCTTAAACTAGTGTTACAGTGTACACAAATGTAAATATATACATATGTAATGTGCATATATCTCTATATACATATGCATAATTTAAATTTACAAATTGCCATGTCAAAATACTACTCATAAAAAACTAATAAATCTGTACTTAATATTAAGAACATCTGTCACATATTTAATTCCATACAGATTTACTGATTGGCTATGATGTAACGGTATTATTATATATAGAACTGATGCTTTCAGATACAAAATATTTGTTCAAACTCACAGTTCAATGGCTTTATTCCACATAATGACGTAGCCTGAGAGTGTGAAGGACTCCACATTGACAATATGTATATTACCTCGTTCAGTGCCCACATAGAGCCACTTACTCTGGAAAGGCAGATGGCAAAATGTAACCCTGCAAGAGAAAAATATACTCAAAAAAGAAATTTGAAAAATGGCAAATTTTACTAATTGCATTAGAGGGTTGATTATGATATATAATTCAGGAACAGCAAAACTGGTATATAATCATCAGATTTATCTATTCATTGTGACTAATATTTAATTATGCTAATTCAGCTTATACATCAAACATAAGGCCTTACAGCAAATAGATAGCATGGCACGATAGAAGATGAATTTTGAAGTTAGAATGTGTTTCAAATCTGGCTGTCCTCCACTAACTGCGTAACCTTGGGCATACCACACATTTACCCTTTAGGCCATAAGCTATGATTTCAACATCTACATCACCCCTGAGTACTACTGTGTTTCTCAGGCATTACTAAGCACATTAATCCATCTCAGTACCTGTGGTTACTACTCCTTCCAGGCAAAATGCACCTCCTTGATATTTTTCTTCTCTTCAAAGATTCAATTCAAATACCACTTGCATTTAAACTGATGTGATACTTTTGTATCTCTATCAGGCTTGCCTTATATGATTGTCAAGGTCCATCTTTCTCATTAACTTGTGGGCCTTTTGAAGGACTGAGATCACCTGTACTCAGTCTTAGACAATGTTTCTGAAATATATTTGAACTATTTCTTCCTATGTTCTGATGATATGGCAGGCCTTCATTAACAAATTACAATAATTTACATGCATTTGCTAAAATTCATCATTCTGACAACTGCAGACAGTTTTCATACTGGCTCATTTAATTTCAAGGCAAAGAATGAATACCGTCTTGTCCTGTTTTTTTCTCTTGTCCTTTTCATAGCACTTATTTTTAGTTAAAAAAAAAAGGTATCTTGTGAAAATCTATAATGCTTATTTTTTTTCCTACAGACCCCCCCATTTCGTCTCTCAGAAAAGACTTTATAATTTAAATAAATAGCACTTAAAATAACACAAATGATAATAATGACTGCCAGCCTGTCAATACTAACATTAGGCACTCGGCAAAGCATACAGAATATTTTGTATTTCCATTAACACACAATTTTATTACAGAGATTTTCAAGATGAAAACACTTATCAAATAAATACACACGCAACTCATTCTCATTCTTTCTTAGAGGTAATGTTCAGTTAGATAATTACTTAAGCTTCATCTACTTGTAATTTCTGTTGAGTGTTTTATATGATAATGGTCTCTTTCTAAAGAATTTATGTAAGTTTAACCAAGTATAGACATGTCTACTGTATAAACAAAATGATTTGATAGTACTTTGTTACTCACAAGGCTCACTTTCTCAATATTAGCTATCATCCTAAGATTTTTTTTCCTCAGTCAACTGTAAAACTAACTTACATGACTGAGATATTTTAAGCATCACTATGTTTTCCAGAAGTGAGAAGAACAAAATATTTAGTATTTAATACATTAACAAGAAACTTAAACATTCATTTAACTAGTTTAGCACCAACACTTTAATAAGGTCTCTAGAATGACTCATATATTTTTTTAAAAATATATAAATAATGGGAGTGTATTTGTACAAAGCACCACCAAACTTAAAAATTACTCTGCTCTATAACTACCATCATCATTTAAGTAAACTGAGAAGAGAGAAAAGTTTAATGCTTTTTAAATCACAATGAACTCAAGAATTTCTTAACTGGCAAATTGTCATGGCTCTGAACATGTAGGAACAGAAGAGTGAAAAAACTAAACTTCCAGTTGCAACCAAACAAAACAATACCATGCCAGTGATATTAAAATCCTTACCTTATGGAGGGTTTAAATGATAAAATAATTAAATAATATGAAAGATTTTATATAATACATTTAAAAATATATTGACTACTTAAAAGGAGTAATGTGTTAGAGCACTTAAAATTATGTGTTATGGGCTGGGCGCGGTGGCTCACGCCTGTAATCCCAGCACTTTGGGAGGCCAAGGCAGGCAGATCACGAGGTCAGGAGATCGAGACCATCCTGGCTAACACGGTGAAACCCCGTCTCTATTAAAAAATACAAAGATTAGCCAGGCGAGGTGGTGGGCACCTGTAGTTCCAGCTACTCAGGAGGCTGAGGCACGAGAATGGCGTGAACCTGGGAGGCGGAGCTTGCAGTGAGCCGAGATCCACTCACTGCACTCCAGCCTGGGTAACAGAGCAAGAATCCGTCTCAAAAAAACAAAAAACAAAAAACAAAAAACTATGTGTTATGCGTGTGCATGTTTGTACACAGAGAGAGACAGACAAGACAGAAGGTATCGTTATTTAATAATTTTAAGAAAGTAATCCACAAGAAATCTTTTTTTAAGGAAATGTTTGAGTCACATGCAATAGAAATCTAACATTTTTTAGTGAAAGTAGTCATGAAACAAATGGCACTGAACAGCTTTGAGACAAACAGATTTCAAACGTAGAAGATTTCAGATTACATTCCCCTCCCACACTGACTCTAGGATTGATCGTGTGGCTTGCATGCGCCAATGAATTATTAGCAGTTGTGCCACAGGCATAGTTTGAAAAGTACTTGCAAGGAAGAGGGGCTTGGTCTCTTTTTTAATGCTTTCAGAACCCAAGTGCCATGTGATGAAGCCCAGACTAGCCTGTTGGAGACCCTGGCCTGGCCCATAGCCAGAACCAACCACCAGACATACGAGTAAGGCAAGCTAGATCATCCAACCTAGTCGTGCAGCCAGATAACTACAGTTGTGTAAGTGACTTCAGGGGAAGGCACTCCTGCTGAGCCGACCCAGGTTGCCGACCCAACAGAACTATGAGCCAACAAAATGGCTGTTATTTTAGCCTCTAAGTTTGGGGTTGTTCTTCTATGCAGAAATAGAAAATTGACCTATTAGTAATAAAATAAACTCAACTAAAATAAAGCTATAAAAACATATAGGAAAATAAATTCTTATAGTTCTAGAGTTAACAAGACCCCAACAAAACTTTTCAGGAATGCAAACAGTGTATGTTTCATGAAGCTGAAATACTGCTGTGGATCAAAATCAACTCTTCACTTGTTTTTCTTAAAGATTATTTTTTAATTTTATGGTGATATAGATCATTAATGATAATAAATAACAATGACTCATATTTTTAAGTACATCTTTTACTAATATCAAGAGACCAAGTTAAGTTTTGTAGTGCTGGTGTCTATTAGTAGAACATAAAATTGTACTGAAAATAGTAACATTTAATAATATATATAGTTGAAACCCACCTAAGAAACACTAAAACTTAGGAAACACTAATAAGGTTATTTATTTTAATATTATAAGAACAGCATATTAAATTGAGACTGAAAAGTTACCTTAAAATGGATAAGCTGAACCAAGAGAAAAGAAAATGATTGAAACAATGTAACAGAAATACACAGATAATGAAGTTGAATCCCCTCAGTATGCCACTAAATACAAGTTGTATTTAGTGGCACACTGAGGGGATTCTTGTAGAATACAACTTGTATTCTAAATCCCTATACTGCACTTGACTTAAACATATCTTACAAATCATGTTACTGGGAACATGACAGTTCTGTATTTGCTTAAGGAATTTAAGATATCTATAATGTTAAGTACTAGGGAGTAACACATACATCCTATTTGCTATAATATTTAGCTGTGACAGCAGCCTGTCAAATATTATGTAGTCAAGCACAAAATTTGGAAGATTTTATTATTACCAATTTTCTTTGACAGAAGAATATGTACAGCTTCCTAAGTAATGTTGAAATTAACCATTAGATTAACCCAACATAATAGAAAATGTCATCACATTTATATTCTCAGCAAATATCATAATATCTTACACCTAATGAGTATTCAGTAAGTCTTTATTAAATGAGCAAGAAAACCATACAAAATATGGGAACCTATCATAGTAATTAATAAAACAATCAGACATTCCCAGCGTACTCCCTCTCCATCCTTACGGCCTGAGCCTAATTTAAACCATTATCATTGATCGTCAAATCCATTCTAAACTGCCACAAGAGTTATCTTTTCGAAGCCAAGAAAGTTCACATTATCTACTTGAAAGACTCTAATAGCTTCCTCCCTTCTACCATAATGCTTCTTAAACCATATTTAGTGAAACCATATTCAGTGACATTTTGTGGTACCTATATCTGGGAAAAAAGGGTAGAGATACACAGTGTGCAGGATTTGGTCACTTGGTACTCAGTACCAAAGTGCTGGGATTACAGGATTTGCACTTCCTCCTATATGCCCTTCTATACTGCAGATACTGGAAAACTAAAACATACTTCTTTCAGCTAAGGTTCTAGATGATATTACATTTCTACTAATTGGATGTGTTTGAAATGTGTAGGCAGAAGTGAGGCAGAGACTATCTTTCTGTTGCTATCTCTGCTGACAAGGATGTTTACAGAGATCTGAACAGTAGAAGACACTTATGGAGCAGCAGCAGTGGGGACCAAACACAGTGTTCCAAGTCTGCTCATGAGCTTCATGTGGTGAGAGGTGGTAATCATGAAAGCAGCCCTGTTTCCTATTCCCTGCATTGAAGCTATGGCAATACGTTCTAAAACTCAGTAAGTCTGTACCCTTCCAAACATTCTTTTAAACAGCTAGGTTCTTGTGTTAAATCCTCTTATGTGTAAAATATCTGCAGTGGTTTCTGTTCCTGCATTGAAATACAGCAAGGAAATAATCTGCAATTTGTATGATAGTCTACAGTCCAAAAAATACCTGCTTATCATGTATCTTAAGATGATGTTACTAGATTAATTATTTAAAGTTGAAAAAAGGTTGAGAATCTAACTTTCTTATAATTGTACAGAAGGCCTTTTCATGGCTGGGCACAGTGGCTCACACCTGTAATTCCAGCACTGTGGGAGGCCAAGGCTGGAGGATCACTTGAGCTTAGGAGTTCAAGATGAGCCCGGGGCAATATAGTGAGAACTTGTCTCTACAAGAAATGTATAGCCTGGTTTGGAGATTCATGCCTGTAGTCCCAGCTACTCAGGAGGCTGAGGCAGGAGGATTGCTTGAGCTGAGGCAGGAGGACTGCTTGAGCCTGGGAAATTGCTTGAGCAGTGAGCCATGACTGCACCAACCCTCCCTCCTTAAACAAAAAACAACAACAACAACAACAACAACAACAAAAAGGAACAAAGAAAGTCTTTCATGAAGTAGACCTTTCTTGCCTTATTTGTTCTTGACTACCCACCCAGCAATGTCTAACTACAGGTCCTTAAATATGGGAGATTGCTTCATGACTTTGTGACTCTGCACCCATCAAACCATCATCTACATTAGGTATTTTTCCTAATGCTATCCCTCCCCTAGCCTCTCACCCTCCGACACGCCTCAGCGTATCATGTTCACTTCTGTGTTCTCATTGTTCAGCTCCCACTTATGAGTGAGAAAATGTGGTGTTTGGTTTTCTGTTCCTGTGTTAGTTTGCTGAGAATGATGGTTTCCAGCTTCATCCATGTCCCTGCAAAGGACATGATCTCATCCTTTTTTACGGCTGCATGGTATTCCAGGTGTATATGTGCCACATTTTCTTTATCCAGTTTATCACTGATAGGCATTTGGGTTGGTTCCACGTCTTTACTATTGTGAATAGTACTGCAATAAACATACATGTGCATGTGTCTTTATAGTCGAATGATTTATAATCCTTTGGGTACATACCCAGTAATGGGATTGCTGGGTCAAATGGTATTTCTGGTTGTAGATCCTTGAGGAATCACCACACTGTCTTCCACAATGGTTGAACTAATTTACACTCCCACCAACAAAGTAAACGCATTCCTATTTCTCCACATCCTCTCCAGCATCTGTTGTTTCCTGACTTTTTAATGATCACCATTCTAACTGGTGTGAGATGATATCTCATTGTGGTTTTGATTTGCATTTCTCTAATGACCAGTGATGATGACCTTTTTTTCATACGTTTGTTGGCTGCATAAATGTCTTCATTTGAGAAGTGTCTGCATAAAGTGGCTGTGTAAATGTCTTCATTTGAGAAGTTTGCCCACTTTTTGATGGGGTTGTTTTTTTCTTGTAAATTTGTTTAAGTTCTTTGTAGATTCTGGATATTAGCCTTTTGCCAGATGGATAGATTGCAAAAATTTTCTCGCATTCTGTAGGCTGCCTGTTCACTCTGATGACAGTTTCTTTTGCTCTGCAGAAGCTCTTCAGTGTAATTAGATCCCATTTGTCAATTTTGGCTTTTGTTGCCATTGCTTTTGGTGTTATAGTCACGAAGTCTTTGCCCATTCCTATGTCCTGAATGGTTTTGAATAGGTTTTCTTTTATGGTTTTTATGGTTTTAGGTCTTACATTAAAATCTTTAATCCACCTTGAGTTAATTTCTGTACAAGGTGTAAGGAAGGGGTCCAGTTTCAGTTTTCTGCATATGGCTATCCAGTTTTCCCAACACCACTTATTAAATAGAGAATCCTTTCCCCATTGCTTGTTTTTGTCAGGTTTGTCAAAGATCAGATGATTGTAGATGTGTGGGTTGTTTCTGAGGCCTCTGTTCTGTTACATTGGTCTATGTATCTGTTTTGGTACCAGTACCATGCTATTTTGGTTCTATTCTAGCCTTGTAGAATAGTTTGAAGTCAGGTAGCGTGATGCCTCCAACTTTGTTCTTTTCGCTTAGGATTGTCTTGGCTATACGGGCTTTTTGGTTCCACATAAAATTTAAAGTTTTTTTTTCTAATTCTGTGAAGAAAGTCAATGGTAGCTCGATGGGGATAGCACTGAATCTATAAATTACTTTGGGCAGTATGGCCATTTTCACGATATTGATTCTTCCTATCCATCAGCATGGAATGTTTTCCATTTGTTTGTGTCCTCTCTTATTTCCTTGAGGAGTGGTTTGTAGTTCTCCTTGAAGAGGTCTTTCACATCCCTTGTAAGTTGTATTCCTAGGTATTTTATTCTCTTTGTAGCTATGGTGAATGGGAGTTCACTTATGATTTGGCTCTCTGTCTCTATTTGTCTAGGAATGCTTATGATTTTTGCACAATGATTTTGTATCCTGAAACTTTGCTGAAGTTGCTTATCAGCTTAAGGAGATTTTGGGCTGAGACGATGGGGTTTTCTAAATATAGAATCATGTCGTCTACAGAGACAATTTGACTTCCTGTCTTCCTGTTTGAATATCCTTTATTTCTTTCTCTTGCCTGACTGCCTCGGCCAGAACTTCCAATACTATGTTGGACAGGAGTGGGGAGAGAGGGCATCCTTGTCTTGTACCGGTTTTCAAAGGGAATGCTTCCAGCTTTTGCCCATTCGGTATGATGTTAGCTATGTGTTTCTCATAAATAGCCATTATTTTGAGATACGTTCCATCGACACCTAGTTTATTGAGAGTTTTTAGCATGAAGGGGTGTTGAATTTTGTTGAAGGCCTTCTCTGCATCTATTGAGATAATCGTGGTTTTTTTCATAGGTTCTGTTTATGTGATGGATTACTTTTATTGATTTGCGTATGTTGAATCGGCCTTGCATCCCAGGGATGAAGCCGATTTGATCATGGTGGATAAGCTTTTTGATGTGCTGCTGGATTCGGTTTGCCAGTATTTTATTGAGGATTTCTGCATCAATTTTCATCAGGCATGCTGTCTTGAAAACTTCTTTTTTTGTTGTGTCTCTGAAAGGTTGTGGTATCAGGGTGATGGCTGGCCTCATAAAATGAGTTAGAGAGGAGTCCCTCTTTTTCTATTGTTTGGAATAGTTGCAGAAGGAAAAGTACTAGCTTCTCTTTGTACCTCTGGTGGAATTCGGCTGTGAATCCGTTTGGTCCTGGGCTTTCTTTGGTTGGTAGGCTATTAATTACTGCCTCAATTTCAGAACTTGTTATTGGTGAATCTGACAATTGTGTGTCTTGGGGTTGCACTTCTCGAGGAGTATCTTCGTGGTGTTCTCTGAATTTCCTGAATTTGAATGTTGGCTTGTCTTGCTAGGTTGGGGAAGTTCTTCTGGCTAATATCCTGAAGAGTGTTTTTCCACTTGGTTCCATTCTCCCCATCACTTTTAGGTACACCAATCAAACATAGGTTTGGTCTTTTCATATAGTCCCACATTTCTTAGAGGCTTTGTTCATTCCTTGTCATTCTTTTTTCTCTAATCTTGTCGTCATGCTTTATTTAAGTTGATCTTCAATCCCTGATATCCTTTCTTCTGCTTGATCAATTTGGCTACTGATACTTGTGTATGCTTTATCAAGTTCTCAAGCTGTGCTTTTCAGCTCTATCAGGTCATTTATGTTCTTCGCTAAACTGGTTATTCTAGTTAGCAATTCCTCTAACCTTTTTTCAAGGTTCTTAGCTTCCTTGCATTGGGTTAGAACACACTCCTTTAGCTCTGAGAAGTTTGTTATTACCCACCTTCTGAAACCTACTTCTGTCAATTCGTCAAACTCATTCTCTGTCCAGTTTTGTTCCCTTGCTGGCAAGGAGTTGTGATCCTTTGGAGGAGAAGAGACATTTTGGTTTTTGAATTTTCAGCCTTTTTGTGCTGGTTTTTCCTTATCTTTGTTGATTTATCTACCTTTGGTCTTTGATGTTGGTAATCTTAAGATGGTGTTTCTGTGTGGATGCCCTTTTTGTTGATGTTGATGCTATTCCTTTCTGTTTGTTAGTTTTCCTTCTAACAGTCAGGCTGCAGGTCTGCTGGAGTTTGCTGGAGGTCCACTCCAGACCCTGTTTGCCTGGGTATCACCAGCAGAGGCTGAAGAACAGCAAATATTGCTGCCTGTTCCTTCCTCTGGATGCTTCATCCCAGAAGGGGCACCCACCAGCCGAAGCTCTCCTGTATGAGGTGTCTGTCGACCCCTGCTGCGAGGTGTCTCCCAGTAAGGATACATGGGGGTCAGGGATCCACTTGAGGAAGCAGTCTGTCCCTTAGCAGAACTTGAGCACTGTGCTGGGAGATCTGCTGCTCTCTTCAGAGCCGGCAGGCAGGAACGTTTAAGTCTGCTGAAGCTGCGCCCACAGCTGCCCCTTTCTCCAAGTGCTCTGTCGCAGGGAGATGGGAGTTTCATCTATAAGCCACTGACTGGGGCTGCAGCCTTTCTTTCAGAGATGCCCTGCCCAGAGAGGAGAAATCTAGAGAGGCAGTCTGGCTGGGCTCTGTCGGGGTGGGATCTGCTGAGCTACACCACTTGGCTCCCTGGCTTCAGCCCCCTTTCCAGGGGAGTGAACGGTTCTGTCTTGCTGGCATTCCAGGTGCCACTGCGATATGAAAAAAAACTCCTGTAGCTAGCTCGGTATCTGCCCAAACGGCCGGCCAGTTTTGTGCTGGAAACCCAGGAGGGCCCTGTTGGCGTAGGCACCCAAAGGAATCTCCTGATCTGTGGGTTGTGAAGACTGTGGGAAAAGCGTAGTATCTGGGCTGAAATGCACCGTCCCTCGTGGCACCATACCTCATGGCTTCCCGTGGCTAGGGGAGGGAGTTTCCCGACCCTTTCCGCTTCCGGGTGAGGCAACGCCACACCCTGCTTCGGCTCACTCTCTGTGGACTGCACCCACTGTCTAACCAATCCCAATGAGATGAGCTGGGTACCTCCGTTGGAAATGCAGAAATCACCTCCCTTCTGTGTTGATCTTGCTGGGAGCTGCAGATTGGAGCTGTTTCTATTCTATTCGGCCTTCTTTTTTTTTTTTTTTTTTTTTTTTGGAGACAAGGTTTCACTCTTGTTGCCCATGCTGGAGTGCAGTGATGTGATCTCAGCTTGCTGCAACCTCCGCCTCCCAGGTTCAAGCGATTCTCCTAAAGCATTTATTCTTAAGCAAATAAATGAATTTTGATCTTAAACACAAGAAGTTAAAAATAAAGTAGGGAGAAGAACAGATATAAAAATTGATATTAATAAATTAGATATCAATAAAACAGCAGAACTGTCATGATACATCCAACAATAGGATACAATTTTTCTATTAATTTCTTTGTCCTAGAGTAACCAAAGAAAAAAATTATCTGCTCCCAAACACACCCAGCATGCAGAGGTGGGATGGATATAGGTTACTGGTTACTGTTCTACCTTGGTATCCATGGGGGATTGGTTCCAGGAGCCCCATGAATACCAAAATCCAAAGATATTCAAGTCCCTCATATAAAATGGTATAATATTTGCATATAACCTACACAAATCTTCCCATATACTTTAAATCATTTCTAGATTACTTACAATGCCAATACAATGTAAGTGCAATGCAAATATACTATTTTTTTTTGTATTTTTCCCCAAATATTTTCAAGCCATAGTTGGTTGAGTCCAGGGATACACAACCTACAGATATGAAAGGCTGACTGTATAGAAATTCCCATTGAAATTGAGAGAAAGTGGAAGGTAAAAAGGAGTTTATTAGTCCATAACAGTCTTGAAATTCGTTGTGGCAAATGGTGGATTTTTCTTAGGATTCAAGACCAGGGACTAATTCTCTGTGGGTCTAAGCTCTACTCTCTTAATCATTGTTCCTTTTTCATGTAAGTTACCACTTATTTGCAGCTGAGTTCTTTTATCAGCCTGCTTCTGGCTACAGCTTCCTTTTATTTTGTACTCTCTCTGTCCTTTTCAGTCCAAGCTGGCAATGTTCTACTGATGCAATTTTCTCAAGAAACTTGCAGGTCTTAAATAAATTGTATTGGGTTTTACTCCTTTAGACAAAAGTCACACTCACAAATCTTTTTTCAGAGAACCCTTTCTCCATTTTGGCTCCTGCTGAAATGCCTGTGGGATGATACTTTTAAAAACTTTCTAGATGCTCTGGTTTCTTGAAAAGATCTGTGGGGTACACTGTTAATCTCTTAAAAAGGGCCCTCTGTGTGACTGAATGCTCTGACCTTTTGATCTTTAACGGGTTTTTAGTAAAAAATTATACAGCTGCACTCTCACATTTTTCTCTGTGCCACACTTTTAGAAACAATCTCTCTCTTTTGCCAGCTGCATCACAGTAGGAATTCCCCAAATTGTCAAGTCCTGGTTCCTTTAAAACTTCTTCACTCAATTTCTCTCTCCTCTTGCATTTTATTATAAAGCAGCAAGAAGAATCGGCTCGCACCCTCAACACTTTCCTTGGAAATCTCTTCAGCTAAATATCCAAGTTAATCACTTACCTATTGTGTAGGGGACAATTCTGCTAAGCATTCTGTTCTCCCACTATACAACAAGGAACCACTTTCTCCAGCCTCTCCCTAGCAAGAGACTTAAGTACTGAGTCCTACAAACAGCTTGTTTTGGGCAGTATGTGCTTTTCTATCATACTCCTCGAAATTCTTCCAGGTTCTACTCACTGCGAAGTTCCAAAGTGACTTCCACATATTCAGATATTTGTTACAGTAGTATTCCACTTTCAGGTACCAAACTAATACCAGGTGTATTTTTTTTTTTTACTGATTTTGTAACAAGGTATCACAAATTTAATGGCTTAAAAGAATACCCATTTATTATTTCTGTAGGTTAGAGGTGCAGTCACTTAATAGGGTCTCTGCTCAAGGACTTACAGGCTAAAATCCACATTTCAGCCATGCTGCATTCCTGCCTCCCTTTCTGGAAGTGCTGGGAAAGAATCTGCTCCCAAGCTCATTCAGGTTGCTAGCTGAATTCAGCATCTGTGGCTGTAGGTCTGAATCCCTGTCTCCCTGCTGTCTGTCAGGGGGTATGCTCCTAGAGGCCACTGGTATTCCTACATGGCCCCCTCCATCTTCGAAGCCAGCAAGAAACAATCTCCTGTCCACTGGATCCTTCTCACACTCTGAGCCTTTTGACAGGAAAAATCCAGTCTCTTAAGTGCTCACCTGCTTGTTAGGCCTACTGAGGATCATCTTCGTATTTTAAGGTCAACTAATTTGGGAACTGAAATACATCTGGCAAAATGTCTTCACCAAGCTAAGTGTTTGATTAATTAACAAGAAATAGCTATGTGTACATCAAAGGGTAGATACCTTGGGGCCCATCTTAGACTTCTGCCTACCACAGGTACCTGTTTAGGAATAAAATTGCTGGGTCATGGAGGATGTGAATACTGCCCAAGAAACTTCCGAAATGACTGCAACACTTAAAATTCACATCAGTAAGTTATGAGAAGCTCCAGCTGCATCACAATCTAACTAACATTTTAGCCATTCTGATGAGTAGTTGTTGTTTTAGTCTGCATTTTCCTGATGACTGACTTTTGTCTTCTTTAAAAAAAAACTCAATTATTTCATCATATGTTTTCATATAAACCTCTAAAATCACATTCACTCATATTGTAATATACATTTGCATCTCTACTTTAATGTAAGCTATTCATGCATTAATAAAAAGCTCATTCTGTTTATCAGTTCATTGGCAGAGCTAAGTAGTTTTTTTTTTTTTTTTTTGAGATGGAGTCTCACTTTGCCGCCCAGTTTGGAGCGCAGTGGTGTGATCTCACCTCACTGCAACCTCTGCTTCCTGGGTTCAAGCAATTCTCCCTGCCTCAGGCTCCCGAGTAGCTGGGAATACAGGTGCCCACTTCCACGCCTGGCTAATTTTTGTATTTTTAGTAGAGACAGGGTTTCGCCATGTTGGCCAGGCTCGTCTTGAACTCCTGACCTCAGGTGATCTGCCCACCTTGGCCTCCCAAATTGCTGGGATTACAGGCTTAAGCCACCCCACCGCACCCAGCTGAGCTAAGTACTCTTCTTATATTCGCCTTTGGTTATATACCTCCTCCTTCCATATAATCTTTTAATGTCTTTTTATATAATCTTTTTATACCTTTAACACATTGTAAGGCCCTTTTGGAACTAGAACAGTCTCTTTAAATATATTTCCCCTATTCCTTGACAGAAGAAATTCCTGTCAGGAAGTTGTAAAAGAGTGTTTTGCTGAGTACCAGCCCCTAAAAATCTATATAAGTGTAACAAAGATTTTAAATTAACTAACTGCACACGTTAAACAAGGACAAAATTAATCACAATATTGAAACAAAAGATGCAGAATTGTAGGAGAAATTCTGACAAGGAAAAGGGTAGAGGTATTCAAAGAGACTCCTTACTATGGATAATTTTATTCTAGGAGGTGATCCAATACTGCCTGAACATCCTTTCTTTAACAGTTTCAAGTTTATCAAATCATAACTGTCTTTCCTCTGAATATTAAGAGAATTTTTCTTTTATTTTAAAATTGTGCTTGAATATGTGATACTCTATACCTACAATTTCCAAGATGACTCATCATTTCCATATCACCAACCAGTTGTCTTTGTAGATCAGAATTAGGTCCAGAGTAGCAGATCCCCCATCTTCCCAACAGGATTGGGCATCATTTCATGCCTATGTTCTAGTCCTTAATTTCATCCCATCACATCACTCTCATTTCTAATGCCTGTACACTTTTCATTAAGCTGTTTTCAAAGAAACGAATTTTGATAATGTTATGCGATTAGCAGAGAAACTATAATTCTGTGTCTTTGTTTCAATACTGTGATTAATTTTTTCCTTGTTCAACATGTGCAATTAGTTAATTCAAAATCTTAAGACCTGTATAGATATTTTGGGGTCTGGTACTCAGCCAAACACTCTTTTATAACTGTCTAAGGTTATGTCTTACTAATATATGCACTAATGTGCATACTAAGCAAATTACAAGCTTTATAAATATGCAAAGCACAGTACTGTAATAAAATAATAAGAGTATAATGTAATAAATGAGTTTTCGTTTCTATATACATTTACTTACGATACTGGGAAAATCTGATGCTAGGGTGTCAACTCATTGCTACAGTACATTATAAGCACCAAATCTCCCCTCGCTGTGCTGGAATCTGAACAGATTAACTTCATTTGTCATACGGTTGTTTTTTTCCATGAGAGGACTGTGAACATGAATTCTCCCTTGATATTTAAGTTATAAAGTCTTGATTATTAATGTATTTCATATAATAATTTTCCTTCCCTTTCATTACTTTAGAATGAAAGCACACTTATGTTATTCTCTAAACAATGATGCATCTATCATCAAATAATAAAAGTCATATAGAAACTGTAAATCAGACTATTAGAATAAAGAAAAAACATACGTCTTTAGAAATATATTAACTTTAATATCAAGATTCAGCTTTTCTGGTGTTTAATGTACTTACAGGGGAAAATATTCTATAAAATTTCATTAAGGGAAATTTTCTTAACCCCTGAGAATAATTATTTATGTGAAAAGGTTTTACAAACAATAAAGCATTATATAAATCAAGAGGTAAAAATATTAAACAATAACATTAGGTCCTAAAAAAGTCCACATATAATTCAGTTTTCAGTCTTAAAAAGCTTCACATATCATTAGTTATAAACTTATGCAAAAACTTAACATGATTGAGAATACTGGTCATACTATACTAACTCATGGTGATGAAAAAAGACTAGAAGAGAGTTGTAGCTGCTGATCAACCCACGACTTGCTCCTATTTAAACTTCTTTAAAGGAAAAAACAAGGTATTAAGCTAAATGGAACATATTCTGATACTGCAACTTATCTGTCTTACTTATCAAATTCTCAGTTTCTATGGGAGCAAAGAACATCTCTTTTGCATGTATAAACCTAATGGCACATATTAACAAGGCTCACCAATATCAAGGAAGAGGAACAAAGGTGATATGTGTTTCCTAGAGCTGCCAAAACAAATCACCACAGCATGGGTGGCTTAAAACAACAGGAATTGATTCTCTCACAGTTCTGGAGGCCAGAAGTCTGAGATGAAGGTGTCAGCAGGGCGCTGCCCTCTCTGATGGCTCTAGGGGAGAATCTGTTGCATGCCTCTCCCCTAGTTGCTGGTATCGGCAGCTATCCTTTGCATTCCTTGGCTTATAGCTGCATCACTCAGTTTCTACCTCCTTCATCACATGGTATTGTCTGAGTTTCTGTGTCTGTGTATCTTCAACTCTTCTTATGTGGACACCAGATTAGTCTCCACCTTAATAATCTCATATTAACTTGACTACATCTGCCAAGACTCCATTTCTAACTAAGGTCACATTCATAGGTACCAGGGGTTAGGACTTTAAGATTATCTTTTCTGGGAAAACAATTCAATCTGTAACAGAGGACAGGTAAGTAAAGTACACACCCCTAGTATTCTACTATGACATACTGTTGCTACCAATTCCTTTCAGGCTACAGAAGATTGAGATGCTGTAGCTACTACTATCGGCAAATTTGTCCCTGTGATAAAAATTATACAGCAGACAAATCCCTGAGCTGAGTCTGGCAATTGGCATAATAAGCTACATGCTAATTAAGGAGGATATTTAAAATTGTATGTTTTTCCTCAACTTTCAAAGTATATTTACTTTTTCTTTTGTTTGCTGATTTAAAAAAATTCCATCTTGCATCCTGGTTGGTTTTAGCCTACTTTTGTTTTACAGCTGAATTGTGTGCTGCCCTCCTCAATTATATGGTGAAGTCCTAACCCCCCAGTACCCAAGAATGTGACAGTATTTGGAGACAGTGCCTTCAATTCAAAGAAAAATTAGCCGGGCTTGGTGGTGGGCACCTGTAATCCCAGCTACTCGTGAGGCTCAGAAGAATCGCTTGAACCCAGGAGGCAGAGATTGCAGTGAGCCAAGATCACGCCACTGAACTCCAGCCTGGGCAACAGACCAAGATTCCCTCTAAAAAAAAAAAAAAAAAAAAAAAAGCAGCTCAGCAAACCTCAAGCAGTATAAATATGAAGAAAATAATAGCTAGGCATATCAATGCCAAAGTGCTAAAAACCAAAGATAAAGTGATAATTTTGAAAGCAGCCAGAGAAATAGGACTCATTTCACACAGGGGAGTAAAAATTCAAACAACCACTAATTTCTCATAGAAACAAAAAAGGAGGGCAGAAAATCGTGGAATAACAACTTCAAAGTGTTGAAGGAAAACCACTGGTAGGTCATAAAACTCATAATCAGAAAGTCCACTACAAATGCTTCAAATTAATTACAAACTGTCATTTCATGTAATTTCAAAATCACCAAAAACTGTATTTCACTGATTCTAAATGCTATTGACGCTAGGGCATGCCATTATTTTTATTTAGTATTAACAAAATTCACAAAACATTTTCAATTAATTATAAGACACCATTCATTAATAAAAACATTGCAATTTCGGAGACGTAAAAATGTTAAAAGTACAAAATAAGTAAATGCTACAGTCAATAGTCCTCTTTCAAAAAGCCAAATCAAAATCCTAGCAAGCTATTGTGTGGATATTGACAAACTGATTCTAAAGTTTATATGAAAAGGCATAAAACCCGTAATAGCCAACATAATACTGAACAAGAAGACCAAAGTCGGAGGGCTGACACTACCCATCTTCAACTTGCTACAAAACTACAGTAATCAAGTCAATCAGTCATCCCTCCATATCTGTGAGGGATTGGTTACAGAAACCCCTCTGATACCAAAATCCAATAATGCTCAAGTCCCTTATATAAAACTGTATCGTATTTGCATATAGCCTATGCACATCCTATGCACATTAAATAATCTCTTGATTACTTCTAATACTTAATACAATTTAAATGCTAAGTAAATGATTGCTATCTTGTATTTTTATTTTTATTATCTTTTTATTTTTCCCCCAAATATTTTCAGTCTGCTGATGGTTGAATCCAGATGTGGATCCCATAGATACAAAAAGCTGATTGTATTAGAAAAATAACAGACAAATAGATTAATTGATCTATCTTAAACAGAATAGACAACCAGAAATAGATCTACTTAAATACAGTAAATTGCTCCCTGATAAAGGAGCAAATACAATTCAATGGGAAACAGATAATCTTTTCAACAAATGGTTCTGGAACAACTGGACAATCATAAGCAAAAAAAAGAATTAAAAAAAGAAAAAAAACTCTAGACATAGAACTTATATATATTTCAAAAAATTTAAATCAACATGGATCACAGATCTAAATGTAAAATGCAAAACTCTAAAACTTCTACAACATAACACAGGAGGCAATCTAGGTAGTGATCTTGAGTTTGGTGATGGATGTTTTAGATATAAACCCCAAAAGTGTAATCTCTGAAAGAAAAATTAATAAGCTAAACTTAATTAAATAGGAAATATCTGCTCTACAAAGACACTGTGCAGAGAATAAAAATAAAAGTCACAGACTAGGACAAAATATTTGTAAAATACCTATCTGATAAAGGTACCCAAAACATACAAAGAATTATTAAAATTTATCAGTAAGAAACAAACAGCCCAACTTAAAAATGGGCAAAAAATCTGGACAACTCATCAAAGCAGCACATGAAACAAAGAAGAATATGAAAAGATAACCCATATCATGTGTCACTAGGGAACCGCAAATTAAAATAACAATGAGGTAACACTACACAGGTATTAAAATGGCTAACGTCCATTAACTGGCAATACCAAATGTTAGTAAGGATATGGAGCAAAAGGACCTCTTATTCAATGCTAGTGGGAATGCAAAATAGTATAGCCATTAAGGAAGACAGCTTGGCAGTTTTCACAAAGCCAAAGATAGTCTAGCATATGATCCAGCAATAGCACTCCCAGGTATCCAACTGTGTTGAAAATGTACATCCACAAAAAAACTGCATGTGAATATTTATAACAGCTTTATTCATAATGGCCAAAAAAAGCAAAAACCAAGATATCCTTCAATAGGTGAATGGAAATACAAACTGTTACATTTGTAAAAGAAATTTACTGATAAAAAGAAATGACTTAGCAAGCCAGAAGACTAGTAACATTAAATGCATATTGCTCAGTGAAAGAAGTCTAAAAAAGCTACATGCTATATGTATGATTCCAATGACAGTCATGTGTCACTTACAGATGGCTATGTTCTAAGAAGCCCATCAGCAGGTGAGTTCAACATTGTGTGAACATCATAGAGCATACTTACACGAACCTAGATGGTATAGCCTACTACACACCTAGGCTGTATAGTACAGCCTATTGCTCCTAAGCTACAAACCTGGAAAGCATGTTACTGCGTATTACATATTGAATACTGTAGGCAACTGTAACACAAAGGTTAAGTATCTGTGTATCTAAACATAAAAAGGTACAGTAAAAATGTAGTATAAAAGATTAAAAAATAGTACACCTATAGAGGGCAGTTATCATGAACGGAGCTTGCAGGAATGGAAGTTGCTCTGGGTGAGTCTGTCAGTGGTAAGTGACTGTGAAGACCTAGGACATTACTGTACCCTAGTGTAGACTTTATAAACACTGGACTCTTAGTCCAGGCTAAATTTATTTTTAAAAATTTCTTTCTTCAATAATAAATTAACCTTAGCTTACTGTAAACTTTACGTCATAAACATTTTAAATGTTTTCACTTTTTGACTCTTTTATAATAACCCTTCACTTACAAACACAATGTAAAACTATATAATTTTTTCTTTATATCCTTATTCCATAAGCTTTTTTATATGTTTAATTTATTTTTACTTTTACTTTTTAAACTTTTTTTTTTTTTTTAAAACTAAGACACAGTCACACACATTAGCCTAGGCCTACACAGGATCAGGATCATCAATCTCACTGTCTTCCACCTCTAGATCTTGTCCCACTAGAAGGTCTTCAGGGACAGTAACACACACTGAGTGATCATCTCCTATGATAACAATGCCTTCTGGAATATTTCCTGAAGGACCTGCCTGAGGCTGTTTTTCTTAAATAAGTAGAAGGAATAAACTCTAAAATAATAAAATGTGTATTCTAATAAATATATGACAGTAACAGTCATTTGTTATCATTATCAAATATTATGTACTGTACACAATTATATGTGCTATACTTTTAGACAACTGGTAGCACAATAGGTTAGTTTATACTAGTATTACTACAAACATGTGAATAATGTATTGCACTAAGATGCTATGATGTTATGACAGCTATAACATCCCTAATCTATAAGATGCTATGATGTTATGACAGCTATAACATCCCTAATCTATAAGATGCTATGATGTTATGACAGCTATAACATCTCTAATCTATAAGATGCTATGATGTTATGACAGCTATAACATCCCTAATCTATAGGAGTATTTCAGCTCCATTATAATCTTTTGGGACCACCATCATATATACAATTGTCACTGAGTGTAACATCGTTATGCAACACATGGCTATATATATGACATTTTGGAAAAAGCAAAAACTACAGAGACAGGAAACAGATCAGTGGCTGACAGGGGTATGGATAAACAGGTGACACATATTGGTTTTTCGGTCAGTGAAACTATTCCACATGATACTGTAATGGTAGATACATGACATTACGCATTTGTCAAAATACATAGAATTGTTCAACACAAATAGTGAACCTTATTATGTTATGAACATTAGTTAACAACAATGTATCAATTTTCGTTCATTAACTGTAACAAACTTACCACACTAATGCATGTTAATATCAGAGAACACCATGAATGGGGAGATTGAGTTGGAATGAGGGTGGTATATGAGGTATATGGAAATTCTCTGTAGTATCTGCTCAATTATTCTATAAATCTAAAATTGTTCTAAAAATAAAGTCTGTTAATTTAAAAACTGTGCAAGTTAAAATCAAAGAAATGTGATATGGTTCCCTGTTTTGGGTATCATAATACAGTAAGAGTTAGAAATAGAGAGACAGACCTAAGACTACAACTACAAACTTCAAGATATCCCATTTTCTGTTTAACAATCAAATACTTACTAAGTACCTACTATGTCAAAAAAGTCACCAGTTACCTCATCATGACTTAGCTGTGATTATACCTATCTTTCCTTACATCTCCCAACTCTCTAGTCTCTATGCTTGCTTTTTACTCTTTGCCTTATTCCAAGTTTCGTTTCTCCCAAACCACGTTTCTCACTAATTCCATGAAATGTCATGAGAATCAAGTAAGACAATCTAAGATAAAACCCTAGAGCTCACAGGTTTCCTTCCTCTACTTTAAGTTCACACTTCTTACCTCTACTGTTATTACAGTTGTTATAACTATACTGTTCTCACATTCTCTTCTTCCACCTTTATTGTCAACAGGTTTTAACCAAAATTTTAGACATTAAAAACTAAAACTTGACTGGAAAAAAGTAGCCACTTGAGAAAACAAATCAACTTTTCCTTAGAAATTAAAATAAAAGAATCAAGTACTTCCATTTTGGTATTCCTATAAGATTCAAAATTTTAAAAATTTCCTCAAAATATATATTAAAAAAGATTGTGCTTTTAATGCTAACTACATAAATATTATATACATACATATATACAACTACACATGTATACAAGATAAACAATATATGTCTCTCAAAACTATTGAGGGAAGGGACTATATCCTTACTCATATTTCGTGCCAAAATAAGTTCCATATAAATCAAAGATTAAGTATAAAAAATAAAACTTTAAGAGTACTACAAAGGCCAGGCTTGGTGGCTCATGCCTGTAATCCCAGCTCTTTGGGAGGCTGAGGCGGGCAGATCACTTGAGGTCAGGAGTTCGAGACCAGCCTGGCCAACATGGCGAAACCCCGTCTCTACTAAAAATACAAAAATTAGCCAGGTGTTGTGGTGCATGCTATAGTCCCAGATACTCAGGAGGCTGAGGCATGAGAATCACTTGAACCTGGGGGGCAGAGGTTGCAGTGAGCCCAGATCATGCCACTGCACTCCAGCCTGGGCGACAGAGCAAGACCAGGTCTCAGAAAAAAAAAAAAAAGAGTACCACAAAAACATATAGGGGATGATGATTAATCAAATTGGGGTGAAAAAGTTTTTCCAATCAAAGCCCCAAATTCACAAGTCATATTAGAAGAGATTTCTATGACCAAGCTAACCTACTTCTACAAATTTATCTTATGGATATACTTGTATATGTAGACAAAGACATATGTAACATAACATCACAACAGAGTAAAATGAACAGCAGACTGAAAATGATTATGTGTCCACTGATGAGGAATGGCTGAATAAATTATGGCACTTATATAGAACAGAATATTATGTAGTTATGAAAATGATTCAGGAAGATTTAAATGTGCTGATATGAGACAATCTATGGGATATGTTAAGTAAATACAAGTTACAGGAAGAATATGTAATAGCTTCCCTTTTATGCAAAAAAAAGCAGGGGAGCTATACAGAGATTTTTTCTTTTATACATACACTGTAAATCCTTCCAGAAGGACACAAAAGAAATTTATGTGGTTGCTGAAGAAAGTAAGATGGATCTAAAAAAGAAGGAATCTTGCTTTTATTGTATATCCTTTGAAGCTTCTGAATCAGTTTTTAGATTGTGCATAAGGTCCATCACACACAAAAAATCAAAGACTGAAATTCAAGAAAATATAATAGTAAATATCCTATACATAAGATAACTGGGAGAATTCTTACCTTTCTCTGCAAAATTTAAGCGAATGTAGTATGGCAGGCCTCTTCTGACGTAAATTCCATAAGTGTAAGGTGTCATCAGCCAAGGCACTCACAAGCGCTCCCTTAAAAATCAAGTATAACACATTTCATGTATAATATATTTTATAAACATGAAGTCTACTCAATAGCTGCCAGAAATATCTCCTTCCCAAATTTCAAAACTTTCTGCCAACAGATTTAGATCTAAGAAACATTTGCCTCATTCAAATTCAAAACAGCAGATGTAAAAAGTGTACGTGTATTACATGCATGTAAATACGTTAACTTCTTCAATACTTTAAAGTATAATTTAGTATCTCATAAGCCAAAACTATACTAGGATCTAGTGGATTAGTATGGTTAAGATCTAGTTATTTAAAATTAGAGGTCAGACTGTAAGTTACTTTGTAACTATTGTACATACTTCCTTGATTAGCAGAGCAAAACATGGTATGAAGTAACCTCCACATTTCATTTGGCTTAAGACAAATTCTTATGGAAGTACTATACCCAGATCATAATTCTACTACTAGAATGGTACGGAAAATAAACATAGCATTTGGCACACTGTAACCTCCATGTCTGAAGGTTTGAAATCTGACTAATTTAGAATGTTAAAATGTCTGATACAACTAAATATTATTATTTATAGGGAAGAAAAGGCCTGGCAGTATTTGAGAATCATTTAAGTGGCTCGTTCTCACCCAAACCCAACAAATCAGAATTTCCAGAGTGCTATGGTTTAGACGTGGTTTGCAATGCCAAAACGCATCATGTTGAAATTTAATTGCCAGTGAAGTGGTGTTGAGAGGTGGTGAACCATCCCTCATTTGGGTCATAAAAGATCTGCCTCTGTGAAGGGTTTAATGCAGTCTCCAGGGAGGGAGGGAGTTCTTTCCCTCACAGGATGGATTAGTTCTTATGCTAGTGAGTTGTTATAAAGTGAGGCTGACCTCTTTGCTCTCCTGGCATGCACCAGCTTCCCTTTCTGCTTCTCTACCATGTTATGAGGCAGCATGAGACCCTCACCAGAAGTCAGCCAGATGCAGCTGCTCAGTCTTAGACTTCCCAGCCTCCAGAATCAAAAGTTAAATAAATTTCTTTCTTTATAAATTACCCAGACTCAGGTATTCAGTTGTAGCAACAGAAAATGGCCAAAGACACAGAGCAAAGACCTATGGAAGTATATTTTGAAAAACCTTTGAGATGATTCTGATTTAAATTGTGAATGCAATGTGATAATTGTGAATAAAATTAAGACTGTCTAGACTAGAGCTGATTTATTAAGACATCTGAATGTTTTTCCTCAAAGGACTCAGAAATCTATCATCAATACTGAAAGAATAAGACAAGAGATGTAACATGCAGAATTTACATTAATTTCAAAAAAGATTTGCAAGACCAATCTTTTAGGGTATTGTAAGAAATTGTAAAGTCTCCCCCTTTCAAAATAAGAGTTTCTCATCTACTCAGAAGAATTAAAACAGCTGTCAGGACAAGATTTATATTAAATTATCTCTCCAACTCCTTTCCACCTTCAAAATTCTATGAGGGCTACCCTAGTGTGTAACTTCTGTTGCCAGGACATGACAACTGGAAAGCAGAAATACATAAAGTCCACACTCTCTCCATTTCACTAAAAGCATCGTTTTATCTACATCACTTTGAAGTAGAGAAACTCAAAGGATTTAGGGTGTCAAAGATTTGTACTGCTATTTCTTATTTCCATCAAATATCAGGCGATGTCATCTTCTTTCTTAATGTTTACCACATCTTAAAATCTCAAGGAAGAAGAGAAGACATAGAGCCAAAATAGCAATAATAGCTGTCTTCTTCTTATGGTGGCTCCTTCACCTATACAGTATATAGTTTTCCAAATCTGAAAGCAAATAGGTGCACCTAATTGTCAGATTTCCACTTTTTAAAACAAAAAAAACCCTATCTTTATGTATTTATAATGTATTTATAATTTAACAGGTCAAAAAAAATGGCCCTTCCAAAGAAGTCTATGATCAATCTTATTGAAGAGAAAAAGAATACTTAATATGAATAAAAATAGCATAAATTTAAGATTTCTAAAATTTAGGTTACAGTAAATGATTTACCGCATTTTATTAACATTGGCTCAAATGTTGATTTAAAAAATAATCTTAACACAAGTATAAAAATGAAGAACAGGTCAGGCGTGGTGGCTCACACCTACAATCCCAACACTTTGGGAGACTGAGGCAGGCAGATCACGAGGTCAGGAGTTAGAGACCAGCCTGGCCAACACAGTGAAACCCTGTCTCTACTAAAAATACAAAAACTGGCCGGTGTGGTGGCAAGCACCTGTCGTCCCAGCTACTCAGGAGGTTGAAGTGGAAGAATCATTTGAACCCGGGAGGCGGAGGTTGCAGTGAGTCAAGACCACGCCATTGCATGCCAGCCTGGGTGACGGAGTAAGACTCCATCTCAAAAAAAAAAAAAAAAAAGACAGAACAGGTTAATAGTTGCCAGGGACTGAGGGTGAGCAGGAGTTCAATTACAAAGGGATTCCCTTAGTGCTGAAGGCACTTCTTTATTTTCCCTTAGTGCTGAGGGAACTGACCTGTATCTTGATGTGGTAGTCCTTACATGCATCTGTACATGTGATAAAACTGAACTACATGCACACACAAATGAGTCCATATATGAACTAGAGAATCTAAATAAAGGTCTATAGTCTAGTTAATAGTATTGTTTTGATGTCATTTTCCTGGTTTGCTATCATACTATTGTTATATAAAATGTAACTATTGGGAGAAGCTAAAAGAAGGGTACACAGACTCTCTCTGAAACTATTTTTAAACTTAACCATGAGTATAATGATTCCATAATAAAACATTATTTAAAGGAGGAAAAATAATCTGAGTCTTCATATATGGCTTCGACAACTTTCTACATTTTAATTAAAAAAAATTTAACATCTTAAAATGCCTAATATACAGTTCTATACAGGATACTGAAGTTTTTAAAAACACATCCTCTGACCTTGAAAAATCTAGACAACTGCAAATTATTTGGATTATAGTTTTATGGAGGTTTTTACATTGTCATAATTATCTTTTTACACCCATGATGCCTTTCTTAAATCCTCTGGTATGAATATAACATTTATCAAAAGCCAGAGGTATTCAGGAATTTATTTTCTCTCACATACATTTAAGAAATTATTCCACGGAGCCTAAGGGTTTAGGGACTAAAATAATGTCCACAATCTATCCTCATATCTAAGGAGATCAGAGCCTTTTCTGAAGCAATTTCTCTTTCTTCCTTCTACGACTAGCTTTCCCTCTCTATCAATACTTGCAGTTAACATCTATTGTCTGAGCTGCTCGTATGCTCTTAAAATATGCAAAAACAGTGTTTCCTATGCCGATAAAATGCTGTTTTCTCTAGCTCCTTCTATACTTTCAAAAGGAAAGGCAACATCAATTACTTAAAGCAATTAAGTGACACATTTGGGTGTTATTTAAGAACTCTGGGCAGAAACTACTTTCTAATGAATGAATGCTGGTTTCTTGGTTGTATTTCAAAGCAATTCATTAAAGAAGCACACTCTTTGATTTGTAATAAGCTCAATCTTTTAAAAAATATTTTAATATAGAGTTCTATGTTACACAGTATTCAATATCCCTGGAATTTAAATGCAGCACCTTTTACCAAAAACATTTACCTTAGGCCTTTCAATTTACAACACTGTCTTGAGAAAACATTTTACATTATTTATGTAACTGTCCATGACGGTACCTTAAAACGAATTACTACTATTTCTGATCCATTATAAATTAATTTTTGTTCAAATATGTAAATAAATTGTGAATGCATGTAAGAAATCTGAAAGACTAGAAGTGGCCCTATTTTGGATATAAGTAGAAATGATTAAAACAATTCACTAACCTCATTAATCAGGAACTGGAGCTGGATTACTGCAGCTCCACTGTCATGCTGGCAATAACATTCTACTCCTGGACGACCAAAGCTGTAATTAATTCCATTAAGGAGTTTATGGTATTTGTTCGGTTTTGAGAAACTGGTAAGTTATATAATAGGCTGATAAATATTCCAATGACCTCATATTCAATACAGGCCATTTACTGAAGTTGAGATTTAGAGTTAGGTTTGTTACACATCAATCTAATAGTTTCTGTTGAGAAGTCTCAGAGATTACAGGTTTAAACAAAACAAGCAAATTAGAAGAAAATGAATTATTAACATCAGCAACATATTAAAACAAGATAATATATAGGTAATACATTTTATGCTGGCCCAAATTATTTTCTTCATCTTAAAATAACAAAAAGAAGACAAAAGGTGGTTGGATCTATAGAACATCCAATTTTGCTGAAGTCAGCAAACAAATCTGAAAAGTAGGCAAATGTCATTTTGGAATGTTGCTTTTAGGAATAGTAATGATTTTACTGTCATTTTTCATTTCTGCAGTGTAATTTTTAAGTAACGCTAAAAATATAATGAAGAACCACATAACTATGTTTCTAATTGAAACATGATTTTGTTTCACCAAATGAACGTGTCAATCTTTTACTACAGGCATGGATACTGATTAAAATGAATTGGCATACAATAATAACAGCAAATATTTATATAACATTTTCCACATTAGGCATTATTATGAAAATGTTATTTATATCAACTCATTTAATCCTCATAACTCACGAAGAATGTTATTTTCCCCCACTTAAACAGATAAGGAAACTGAAGTACAAAGAAATTAAGTAACCTGCCCCAAGTCACATAACTAGAAGTAGCGAAAATAGAATATAAATAAGCTTTCTGGCTCCAGAGTCTACACTCTAAATTAATAAAGTATGCTGAGTAAAAACATCAAAACAGAACAGAAAAAAAAACTGTACATTTGTAGAACTCACTATGTGCCAGGCACTGTTATATGCATTTTACCTTCATAAACTTGAAACAAGAAGGTAGTCATTTTAACTGGCTGCTAAACTAATCTCATTTTGCCAGTTATTAACTATTACCCTAAAGTAAAAAGCAAAATGTAAAAATAAAATTTGGTGGGATTTAATAAAATTATAGTTGCCAGTATATAAATTCACATTCAGGTATGGTCTGTTTCTATATTCTATTAATACATGCCACAAAGTTCTTAATGAAAAAATTGTGCCATAGGTTTAATTCTTATTGGCTATGATTTCTTCCTTTGGCTTTCTAGAAATTTTCTAGATGGTATTCATTTTCAAGAGTTTTTTCCATTTATTACTAGCAATTAATTATATATTTTATAAATTAACAGGTTGAGTATGTTTAGCTCATAGTATCCTACTCTTTAAACACCTAGAATTATTGTTAGTAGTAATAGTAGTAGTAGTAATAGTAGTAGTAGTAGTAGTCATAATAGTAATAGTAGTAGTAGTAGTAGGAGTAGTATTTTTGCTATACCAGTTGCTCAAATACAACTGCAGGAAACTAGAATTCAAATTAATAGTATTGGCAATGTGCAAATCACACCGTGATAGGCCAAAAAAAGAAAAGTCTGTATCTCCGTTCACCCATTTATTTTTTCAGAAAAAGAAACTGCCCTTCTACCCAGTATAGTGAGTCTAATTCTAATCGCTTCAGCTAAATTATTCTTTCTGGCACCAATCAGCATATTTTATAATTCCCATTTTACATGAATGTCAAACCTCTCTTCTGAGACCAGATCGGAATCAATGAATAAGTTGATTTTTTTAAGTGAGTTACTGTAGAAAATCATAAAAATTATACTTACTGTAATATTATCACAAAACATACATAATATTGCTAATCTTTTGATATTAGGCAAAGACATTTTCTTTAAGTATGAATCTATTAACTAAAAATCAGAGTTGTTTTTCTTGAGTAAAACATAGCTATGACTATCCAGGTATAAGATTTCCAGTTTAACTTCTTAAAAGGAACTTTAAAGATAATGTCAACCAATACGAGTGCAGCATTCATATACAGTCTATTTCTTTTCCAGTCATTTATAGGTATGCACACCAAATCAGGAGGGAAATTTTAAGTGACTGACCTTCATGAAGTCTTTCAAACGCATTCATCTTAGATGTTTGTTTAAAAATGTCTCTTTTGGCATTTGTACTTCATCATTTTATAGAATATTAAGGTGATCTACCTGATAAGAATATCTAATACAATAGACATAAACAGATTGGGAATACAGAAAAACTGATTCTTGGTAAGTAAAGAATAAGCAACAGGTCTACTAATTTGAGCCTTCTAAGAAGTAGTTTACTGGTGTTGAAACTTCAAATTGCCATGGGCGTCAATCAATGTTTTCTCCAAAGAGAATGAAAAATGTCTATAAATTCAGGGAGTCAGTTACACAGAGGTCAAGAGACGTTTTACTCTTGGGCTATGTATGACACTACTCTAAACAAAAAAATGTACTTTTAAATTGATATAACATAGTTCCTTAACTTCTAGCTAACATGATAAAAATAATTTCTTAATAAACAATAAGAACCACTTACTGAGTAGCTACTAAATGGTTAGGCACTGTGCCTTAAATACATAATTGCACCTAATCATCACAGTAATTCTGAAAGGTAGTTATTATTCATGTTTTACAGGCGATATATCTAAGGCTCAGAGAAATGATTTTTTCTCAAAGTTACTTATTTCATTCCCTTTTCCTGTAAATAAGGCAGTATTATTATACAGCTGCAGCTAGCCCCAAGGGGTCCTACCACCAAAACTGCCCTATGCAGTAGAAGAAAAACTCGTAAGTTATTACTCCATAACAAAAAATTTAAAATTAAGTTTTAAAGAATTGATAATGCCTACATATAATCTTGAGATACTAACATAGAAAGGACACAAATTTCAGAGCAAGTAGTTCCCTATCCTGGTAGTTTATCAGAATTCTGGCCCCACTGCAAACTTGCTACACCCAAATTTCCAGAGGAGATGCCTGGGTAGGTTGTTTGTTTATTTGTTCATTTATTTATTACTTATTTACTTATTTGTGCCACAGGAACCATCTGAGGCACAATGAGACTTGAAGACCTCTATTTTCAAGTTAGTTCATATGCCAGCTCTGCCATTAGATGCTGTGATCTGGAGAGAATTACTACAGGTCTTAACTCTCTAATCTATAAAATGCATATAAGACCTATCTAGACTAGCTTGCAGAACTGCAGTGAGGATTAAACTACATAGAGTGTACTTACCAAATGGTATCCATTATTATTTAAGACAATGTATTATTCACTATGTTGGCTAGAACTAAATGTTCCCTGACAGTGGACATACCATTATAATACAAGAAAATGTCAACATTGAATTTATCACAAAACATTCATATCTTTTCACATCTATAATTATTATTCCTTGCACACATGATTCTTCCTAATACTGACATTTCTGAGTTAACATTTTTATTAAGAAATAGTCAAACACTATAATGAAGATCTGCTTAGTAAGTGATTTCCACTTACTGTGGCTATGTTCACAATTAAATGAAAAAAATTAAACGTCTGAAACTAAAATGAAGAAAAACCAAAAGATTATACACTGAACATTCTTGCAAATTTATTAAGTGAGGAAATATTCACTTACTATTCTAATATTTGTTTTTATATATGTATGCATCAATTATAAGGGAAAGGTAAATATATTTTTCTGTCACTGTATCTTAGCTTGTAACTCTAAACTTCAATGTATTCTTTTGAAGATAATACAATATTCCTATCTCAGATACATTTCTGCTCTCGATTTTTCTATTGCTTGACTAACAGCTATGATATCTACCTAATCCCACTAGTAATTCTTGTTTTTAAAGCAAATCAGTTAATTTATCTGACCCATGATACATGTCAGATAATTTCTGCACAGCTAGACTCATGGTCCATGTCCAGACAAGCACCATTATCACTGGCGTATTTATGAAGAGAAGATGTATGTGACAAAGTTAAAACAGATCAGGAGCACAGTCTTTGAACACAAGGCTGTGTAATTTAGACATGACCCTCTATGTAAGCAATAGGAAAAAAAGAAATAATCACAGGAAAAAAAAACATGATAAAACTAGCAGTTAATGAATAAGCAGGAAGAGGTATACAGGACACATGAACAGAAACAAATGCCAGAGCCAGTAAAACCTTATCTATTTATTTTTTTTTACAGTAGTGTATATCAAATTCAAAACAAGCGTCACTCTAACTGCCTAAATGGCTTTTTCTGGTTGATTGGTTGAGAAGGGAGGAATAAATGAAGAATTGGGAGGCCTTTAAGTACATCACCATCATCATCACCATCATCATCACCAGCATCATCACGGAAGCTGAGATTTACTGAACACTTAAGTTGTGTCAATTACAATACTACTACATATGTATTATCTCACAATAGTTCTCTACGATAAGCTCTGTTTTTACAAATAAGGAAACTCAGGCGCAAAGTTTAAGTAACTTGCCCAAGGCCACTCACCTAGTTAGTAAAGAAGCTGAGATTTGAACCAAGGCAGTGTAATTCCAGAACCCACAGTATAAATTACCAACCCTTATAGCATACATGCAAGCAAACACACACATACACACACACACACACAGCAAAATATATTGAGCCAATTTTCACATGTAAATGTTATTTCCTGCTTTATTATAAATCATCTTAAAACTGGAAAAGGAACATATATTTATAATCAACGTTTCACAACTGGGTACTTAATAAACCCAGATTGGTCTAATTCTATAAAACTAGACCAAATGTAACTTGTAGTAAATGAACATCATACACCAATTAGATAGTAAACAATATGCTAATTTAAATAATAATATACTACAGTCATTTTTCATGTTAGCTTAGGGTACCATGTTTAAAAATTAATTTTAATAATGAAGCAATATGGCCCAGCAAGATAAGCAAAAAGCTAGAATTCTGTATTCTAATTCTAGTTGTAATTTTGAGAAAACCTCCTTACGAATATCTCCACGTATAAAATGATCAGCTAAAAAACATTTTAAAGCCTACAGCTACTGAGAGGACCAATACTTGGCAAAATTAAATAAGAAATAGAAATAAATAAACAATCATCTTTAAAAAGTATACGGGATCAATGGCATACACGACGTTAGAATACAGAGCACAACCACATATCTCAACGGGTGTAGAAAAAAATCTGACAAAAATCAACACCCTTTTATCATTAAACTCTCAACTCAATAAAACCAGAAATAGAAGGGAATTTCCTCAACATGACAAAGGGCATCTATGAAAAACTCACAGCTAACATCCTTCCCAGTGGTGAAGGACTGAATGCTTTCCCACTAAGATGGGGAAAAAGACAGCATGTCCATTCTCACCACTCATCTACTCAACATGGAATCTAATGTTCTAGCCATGGAAATGTGCAAGAAAAAAAAAGTGTTCAGAATAGAAAGAAAAAAAGTAGAACTATCTTTATTCATAGGTGACATAATCTCATATATAGAAAATTCTAAGAAATCCACTAAAAAAAACTGGAATGAATAAAAAAGTTCAGCAAGGTTGCATAATACAAGACCAATATACATAAAAATCATACCCTGGCAATGAATGATCTATAAATGAAATTAAGAAAATAATTCCACTTACAATAACATCATAAGGAATAGAATATTTAAAAATAAATTTATCCGAAGAAATGCAAGACCTGTAACATTAAAAACTACAAAGTACTGCTGAAAGAAACCCTAAATAAATGAAAAAATATCCTATATCCATGGAACAAAGACAATATTATTAAGATGGCAGTAATCACCAAACTGATATAAAGAACCTAAACAATCTCTATCAGAATCCCAGCTGTTTATAGAAATTGACAAGCTGGTACTTACATATCATTATATGTAAGCATATCTCACTAAAGCTGTTAAAAAAAAAGAATTAGCTTGTATGAATGATAAATACTAACACCATATATGAATAGGTAATAAAAAAAAGGCAATGAATTTAAGGCAAGCAAACACTAGAATTATTCACGAAAACAAATTAAAACATACGATATTCTTAAATATGTTTTTGTCTGAAACATTTAAATATTTTTCATAAGCAGTGAATGAATTTAACCTATTTAGCAACTTAAATGAAATGCAGCACAGGAGGAGAAAAAAACAAGACAAAGGTTTAGCATTTTTGCAAGTGAGCTACTTACTTCCTTCTGTCCTGCATTTGACTTTTTAAATTTATTTCATCCACGATTTAAAAACAAGACGTATTTAACAGATGAGAAACAACAAAGAAAATTCAATATTCTTGTAAACAAATAAGAATGTTGATCATGTAAAGAATAGTATGGTCTTAGAAATACATGTAAGTAAAAGTCCCAAGAAAAATATCTTTCCCTTGTAAATTAAAATCATTTGTATTTCTCACTAATAATTTAAAATCTACATTAATTCCTAAAATATGTTGATGAAAATTGCTCAGGAAATCCCAATTTTGGATATTATAATGACTGAAAAGTAGTGAAAAGAAGTCTTTGGTCCAAGATACCAAACTGAACATACATGTATGCTGTCATTTCATTCCAAGATCCCTTTAAAAAAGTAAAGCCAAAAAATAAAGGACTAGAAAATATAAAAGAAAAAGTAAGCAATATAAAGGATCATTTTAGAACATGTAACATCCAACAAGAGAAAACAAAGGAAAAGAAGAAGAGAAAGTATCAAAGAAATAATAGAAGAAAATAGATTTTACGCAGCTTCTAATGAACATGGGTCCTTAGATGGAAGTACACAGAATGATAAACGAAATTAGTCCCCACCTAAATACACCACTCTAAAATGTTCCTTAAGGCTTCCTACAGACTTCCAGGTAAAAAGAAACAAAAAAAAACAAACAAGCGACCACTTGCAAAGAAATGATCAAATTGCTAGTTGCTAGGAAACAGTGAAGTAATGTCCCCAGAGTTATAAAGATATTCAAGCAAACCCCTGACAAGATCTAATTATAGAACAAAGACTTTTAGATATTCATGGGCCTCAAAAATCTTATCATTCTTTTTGTAAGTCATTTAAGACTATGCTCCAATAAAGTGAAAGAGTAAACCACACATAGACACACACATGCACACACACACACAAAACAAGGCAATGACAGGGAATCTAATAAACACTGAATTCAACTCAGAAAAAAGATGAAAAAGCCCAGGAGGAAAACAGTACAGTTGACATAAACAACACTGGCCCAGCTTAGAGAAGAACAAGGAGGTATTCACTGGAGGCAGGTTCATGAGAACAAGAGGGCTCCAGAGATGTGACTCCATCCTTGAGAAGCCTGAGGCATTTAAGCATGAGATGACAGCAGCCAATGCATAAGGGAAGTGGGGGAGAAGGAAGAAAAGCAGCTGTACAAGAAAGGAAATGTACTCAAAAGATATCACTTGACTTTGAAATAAAAAAGTCATCACAGGAAAAGAAAAAAAGGTATAATACGTACTGTTCACCCATTTTCAACTTTTAGAATCAAACTAAAAGTTTATATTAATTACACGTGACTACAGTTCGCAAAGGAAAGGAGGAAGAAAAAGGAAACAAACATGGAAAAGTGATGGGTTAACTTTCTCATTTACAAAGTGGGGAGCCAAGAGCTAGTATGCATAATTGACAGAGCAAGAAATACAGAATTAACTATAAGATACTTATTGAAATTTACAAAGGTAACAAGGAAACAAAGTAAAAATAGGGACAAGACTACAGGGGAGGGGAGATATGAGGCAAATGCTCATTTATCAAGGCAGGAAATCAACTGATAATTTCCAAAGTTGAGGAATCAAAAAACATTGGCAAGAGATTTTATTTAGAGTTAGCAACATGACCAGAAACAGTTAAATGGATCCTTCTGGGGAGCAGGGGTAGGCATGGGCAAGGTAGGGCATGTTCTTTTCATCACAGCCCCCACTACACTATACTACTTAATCTTTACACCATGTATATGCCTTTGGAAAGGTGGTTACCTTTAGAGTGTTTCTAAAGTGGAGAAAAGTAGCAGTACAGAATCAGACATAGAATTAGTGGGTTTATTTCATTATGTTACTGTATCCCTCTAACTGACTTATACCATTAATACTAGAAACCCTGAATCAAGATCTCTCTCTAGATCCACACAACAGGAGAGCCTTGTTTTCATCCCTCACATTCTGGAATTTTAAACCACTTACTTAGTCTCTCTCTCTTCCCCATAACCACTGGTTTCTTTCTAACCCTACCTGCTGTCATTCACTACTACACAGACTTGTGTGGCAAGAAAAATGGGCACATTAAGGGGAAACAAATCAGAGCTTCTTGTACTAATGATCCTAATTACCCTCCATGTTCGCTCATTTAGTAGCTCCTAGGAGGTAAAGATACAAAGCTATAGAATGATATTCCTTAACCATGTTTGCTTAACTCATCAATTTTTCTTATTTGAGAACTTTAATAGGCACTGAGGGTACAAATCTCAAAAGTTTAGCAACAGAATTATAAAAGCAATATAACAGTTAGGTCTTCAGTTACTCCAAGTAGATAAGAATTTCATAGGTAACAATATTACTTGGAAAAAAACCTTTTCAATTATTCTCACAAACATCAGTTCATTTGAAATTTTAGCATGTCTTATGCTATTCTTATATGTTCATGCCATTCTTTGCTTTCCCTCCTTGCTTATTATACAGTCATACTGAATTCTGTACCTACTTCCTTTTCCTTCAGTTGGGACCATCTTTGGCTGAATTACACAACTATGTTTGACAGCCTATGCTATACTTCCATCCTAGAGTGTGGAAGGCCTTCAAACAGTCTCAGGTAATAGGAACGTGGTAATCTGCTCTTTTTACTCCCAAAGGCTGGAAAACCGTATGACACATAGCAGACACTCAATGAATGAATGAGTTTTCTTAAAACCTAAGAAACATGTTTTATGTCCAGTAATATCTTTTTTTTTTTTTTTGTAAGGGTATCACTGTCACCCAGGGTAGAGTGCAGAGGCACAATCATGGCTCACTGCAGCCTCAACCTTCTGGGCTCAAGGGATCCTCCTGTCTCAGCCTCCAGAGCAGCTGGGACTACAGGCACTTGCCACTACCCCTGGCTTTTTTGTTTGTTTGTTTGTTTTGGTAGAGCCAAGGTCTCGCTATGTTTCCTTGGCTGGTCTTGAACTTCTGGAGTCAAGCCTCCCAAAATGCTGAGATTACATGCATGAGCCACCATGTCCGCTCCAGTCATATCTTCTTAGGTAAGATTAGTTCACTTTTCGGAAAACCAATAAAAAGTATACAACAGTGGAAAAACGTTCTAATCCTGTCACTATCAGGAAATTGGACTCGATTTTCTCTAGGATCCATTATAGCCCTTAAAATCCCATAAATTACATTTCCAGCCCATTCATTTTATCTTCAATGACTTTTGTAGGTTGTTATTACAATCACAACAATATTTCCTCTTATTGCTTATTTTTCCCTGTGGGATTTGTACTGTCAGCAAAGTAGAAACAAAAAATAGTAAAATAAACAGGCCATGGGCCCGCAGTCAGTGATAAAGTCTGAGAGTATCGCTCCTGGGCAAGTTTTCACTACCGTCACTACCACTGTGTATTATGAAAATGTCTGACACACATATTCTGACAACCTCTACTTTTATATGAAGAATGAGACAGTATCAAAACTGGTATATTCATTATAAATTGTTAATATTTTGTAAGATTATATATCTTTTCAGAGAATCTGTTCTTCAATTATTTTCAATGAGGAACAAGGCAAAGAAAAGTAATGATATTATTCTAATCTCTACAGAAGGGACATATTCAATTTCCAACCTAGGAATGGAAGACTAGAGTACACATAAAATAGAAAGCAACTGGAGAACTGTGATATCCGGTGAGGTTTCTGGAAATACATTTATATCTTGCAAAGTTTAAAGATAAGAATAAGGATCATGATATTTTCTATGAACTACATTTAGAAATGACAATAAGTTATCCTATAATAGTATATGTTTAATTATATAATATTCTGTGAAAGTAAATTTCTTTGAGTAGATATTCTCCTACTAAACCAAGAAAAAATTTAAGGGAAAACTGTTCCTTCTTACCACAGTAAAAAAGGTAAACCCAAGAGCACAATTTTAATTCATCAGAAACACTGAAGGTTAACCTCTCTTACCATTTCTTTCAGTACATTCTTTTACTTTCAGCAAACAGGGTAATTTAAACCTTTTTAAGTATTTTGATATGCCTTCAAAATGTTGCTACTCTGAATTGCCTTACTACTCTGAATAAAAAGTCAGTAGATGATTTTTACTTTTAATGGCCTAAGTCTTGAAGAGATTTAACCATAATGTGATTATTTTTCAATAACAAAGTTAAAATCTAAATACCACTGTAATGGGATCAAAGAATATTGATGGAAGCATTTGTGAAAAGAGGATGAGCTTTAGATTAGGACCAATACTGTCCTTTATTTTGTGTGAACATAAAAACAATTTAAAAAAATTGAGCATCATCAGAAACCTTTGATTTCTTCATCCACACTGTTATGGGGGATAAATGAAAGTCAATAAATAAAAGCAGCAGTACATGATACATTTATCCTACTAATGATAAAAAAATAAACTTTCTGTAAGTAGCAGGTTACCAGGAAAAAATGAAAATACATTAAATGATCTGTAATAACTAAAACAATCTAACTGTGCTGTAGTTTTCTCATCTGTGAAACGTCATTTGCATTCTTAACCTGATCAGTGTGAGGATCACCTGCAACTTAATTTTTAAATTTTATTTTAATTTAGTTTAGTTTAGTTCGGTTTATTTTATTTTATTTATCTGGAGACACAGTCTCAGTCTGTCTCCCAGGCTGGAGTTCAGTGGTGCAATCACAGTTCCCTACGACCTCTGCCTCCCGGCTGTGAAAGTGATTCTAGTGCCTCAGCCTCCCAGTAGCTGGGATTACAGGCATGCACCACCATGCCCGGCAAATTTCTTTATTTTTAGTAGAGACAGGGTTTCACCATATTGGCCAGGCTGGTCTTGAACTCCTGGCCTCAAATGATCCGCCTGCCTTGGCCTCCCAAAGTGCTGAGATTACAGGCATGTGCCATCGCACCTGGCCAAGCCCTGCATGTTTAAGAATAGACTTTTCAACCATAATTAGACTTCAAGGTCTTTTATATTGCTCGTTCTCTTGACCAGTGATAAACTGCTAGGAAGGAAAAACACCATAACTCAAGACCTGGAACTCCAGTTCCTTTCCAAATATTTCACGTAACAGTTTCACAGCCCTGTCTCCAAAGGCAGTGGCAGAACAAAAAGGCAGTGTATTTCCTCATGGTTACACCACAGATCTCAAGATGTTATGACTGCTTTAAAACGACATCCTCTCTATATACAGTAATTAACATGTTTCTTTTCTACCATCTGCCTAAGAATACTGCTACCCAGCCTGTCAAACACTTAAACCAGTATTTCTCAATTTTGGCTCTATATCACAAGCATCCACAAAGATTTAAAAAACAAAAAATTACAGATGTCATGCCCCTTGCCATACTCACTGAATCAGAAGCTCTAAAGAAGAAATCCAAGCATGTTTGGGCATTGTTTGTACATTTTGGTTTTTTCAGCTCCACAAATTATTCTAATGTATAGCCATAGTTGAGAAACACTGGGAAACCTTGTGGACATAAGTATAATTAAGCATTACCTTCCCTAAATAATCTATTTATATACATATAATCTATTAAATAACTTCTCTGATTTCCTTTTTTTCTAATTGAATAATCATGAATTCCCTATCTCCTCCCAGGTCTTATTTTCCAAATGTTTAATAATTTTCTACTCTCATCTAAATTAGCTTCTGACTGACTTAATAGAAATATGCTCAAAACAACAGTTTAGTAAGTCTTTACCAAAGATGAACATAATGAAGAGCACTTCATTTTGTATATTATGGGCTATGAATGTGCTTGCAATCCAAAGCCTTTGCCAACTGATTAATTACAGTTTTAGAGTACCCCATTCCATAGTTGCACCTACTTGATAAACGTCAGTTTTAAAACCTCTTTTTGAAGACCACCTATGTTTTCACCAATAAAAGTTAATATCAACTTCTCTTTTCCAGTGTAGTGTGTAAGGAGCATGGAAATCATTTTATCTTAACAAGAAGTAAAAAGCTGAACAAACTGGAAAATCAACAACTCTTCTTAAAGATCTGTAAGAGAAGTGAGACACAAGAAAAACCACTGCCCCCAAACTGGAAAGACAGACAGGTGGATACAGAGAATCACAACTTGCTGAAAGCAGAAACCCATAAGCACAAACCTCTGTGAAAACCTGTGTCCGGGTAAGGAAGCAAGCACTGTAACTGAGGAATAGCCGGAGGCTCAAAATAGGCAAGTCAGAAAGTCAAAAACTCCAGGGGAACCCAGTCATAGAGATGTCCCCACATCTTTGTAAATTTTACCTCTAAAGCTTGAGCAGGTTCTCACAATGAATATTGGAGAAAATTCCCTCATGCTACCAGCAGAGGGAAGAGAAAAGGCAACCATTTTTAAATATGCAAGAGCATATTCTGTTCTTAACAACAAGGACTGCCTTCAGAAATAACACTTTTACGAGAGCCTAACCTGCTGGGGTTTTATCAGGGACCAACTAACCTGAGAGAAGAAAAATCACTCCAGTGGGCCCAAGCCTTCCAAGTAAAGGAAGAGAAGTACGCAACTCCAGCCCACTTTAGCCATCTTATTCCACCTAAAAGGGAGTGGGAGGAAGTGTGGGGAGAAGAGATTAAGAAGCACTCCTGAAGTTCACAGTCCAAGAGCACAGACTCACTAAAAAACTGACACCTAATGACAGGACTATAGCACACTTCCCTTCCCCCCACACCATTACCAAAGGCCTATTTGCAGCAGTTCCTTTTACTTAGTACATCATGTCCCGATATCAGGAAAAAATTAAAAGGCAAAAAATACAGTTGGAAGAGATGGAGCAAGCATCAGAATCAGACTTCGAAATGGCAGTAATGTTGCAATTATCAGACTAGGAATTTAAAACAACCATGATTTATATGCTAAGGGCTCTAATGGATAAAGTACACAATACCAAACAACAGATGGGCAATATAAGCAGAACGATGGAAATTCTAAGAACCAGTCAAAAAGAAATGCTAGAATCCAAAAACACTTTAACAGAAGTAAAGAATGCCTTTGACAGACTCCATAGTAGTCTGGACACAGCTAAGGAAATAGTCTCTTAACCTGAGGATACCTCAACAGAAATGTCCAAAATTGAAAAGCAAAGAGAAAAAAAACTGGAAAAAAACAGAACAGAGTATCTGAGAACAGAGAGACAACAACAAAAGGCGTACATGTAACAGGAAAACCAGGAGAAGAGGGAACAGAAAGAAATATTTAAAGCAATAATGACTGTGAATTTCCTCTAAATCAATGTCGGATACCAACCACAAATTCGAGAAGCTAAGAAAATACCAAGCAGAATAAATGCTAAAAAAAAAAAGAAAGCTACACCTAGACATATTATATTCAAATTGCAGAAATCCAAAGATTAAAAAAAAATCTTGAAAGAAGCCATTGGAAAAAAACCCCTTACCAACAGAGGTGCAAAGATAAAAATTATTTCTGACTTCTCACAAGAAACCATGCAGGCAAGAAGAGAGAGAAATAAAACATTTAAAGTGCAGAAAGTTAAAAAAAAAAAAACTGGAATTCTGTACACTGCAAAATTAGCCTTCAAAACTGAAGAAGTAATGAAAACTTGCTCAAACAAAAACTGACAAAATGACCTGTGCTGCAAAAAATGTCAAAGTTGTTTTTTTCTTAAAGAAAATGACATAGATCAGAAACTCAGCTCTACATAAAGGAAGGCAGCATCAGAGAAATAGAGGCAAAAATAAAAACTTTTCTGTTTCTTAACTGATCTAGTAGTAATAGTTTCTTCAAAATAATAACAGCAACAATGTATCCAGTTTATGTATGTTTACATATATAAACACATATGCTTATATATAGGTGAAATGAATGACAGCAATGACATAAGTGATCAGAGTAAAGAATTACAATTTCTTTTTGTTATTACAAGGTACTCATATGACCTGTGAAGCAGTACAGTGTTCTTTCAAAGTAGACCCAGATTAACAGTAAATATATACTGCATATTCTAGAGCAACTATTTAAAAAAATAAAAGAAGTATAACTGATATGCTAAGAAACTGATATGCTAAGAAAGGAGAGAAAATGTGGAACCATATAAAATGGTCAATTAAAACCACAAGAGGCATAAAAAGAACGGGAAACAAAAATAGAAACAAAAACAAGGGCAACAAATAGAGAACAGTAACAAATATGGTAGGTATTATTTGAAGTATATCAACATTCACTTTAAACTTCAATGGCCTAAATGCACCAATTAAAAGACAGATTGTCAAAGTGGATCTAAAACTAAGACCCAGCTATACGCTGTCTGCAAGAAATTCACTTTAAATATAAAGACACATATAGAATAAAAGTAAATAGATGAAGAAAGATATGCCATGCTTTCACTAATCAAAAGAAAGCAAAGTAGCTATATTAATTTCAGACACAGACTTCAGACCAAGGAAAGTCATTAAAGTGGGGCATTACAAAATGAAAAAAGAGTCAATTCTCCAAGAACCACAACAATCCTTAAGGTGTATGCACCTAAGAACAGAGTGTCAAAATATATGAGACAAAAACTCATAAAACTGCAAGGAGAAATATATGAATCCGCTATTACAGTTGTAAACTTTAACATCCCTCTATCAGAAATGGACAGATCCAGCAGGCAGAAAAAAAGTGCCAACAGAGCTGAACTCAACACCATTCTTTACCAACTAGATATAATGGACATCTACAGTCTACGTTATCCAATAACAGCAAAACACACATTCTTCTCAAACTCACATGGAACATTAACCAAGACAGAATATATTCTGGGCCATAAAATATACCTCAAAAAATTTGAAAGAATAGAAACTATACAATGTCTGCTCTTGGAACATAATGGAAGTAAACTAGAAATCGATAACAAAAAGAGAGCTGGAAAATCCCAAAATATGTAGAGATTAAACAAAACAATTCTATTAACACTTGGGTCAAAAAAGATATTAAGAGAGAATTTTTTAAATGTTTTGAACTAAATAAAAATGAAAACAACTTATCAAAATTTATGGGAAACACAGAAAATAGTACTTAAAGGGAATTTATAGCATTGAATTCATATATATTAAAGAAGAAACAGGTAAAATCAATCACTTCTGCTTTAAGAAACTACAAAAAGAAGAGGAAACTGAACCCAAAGTAAACAGAAGAAAATAAATAATAACAGTTAAGGAAGAAATCAGTGAAACTGAATACAGGAGATCAAAAGAGAAAAATCAACAAAACTAAAAGCTGCTTCCTTCAAAAAAAAAAAAAAAAAAAAACAAGCTTCTAGCCATGCTAAGGAAAAAGGAGAGGGGACACAAATTACTAACATCAGAAATGAAAGACAGACATCACTTTAATTTCCATGGACATTAAAAGAATAAAGGAATACTAAAAACAAATCTATGCCCACAATTTTGATGACACAGATGAAATGGACCGACCAACTCCTTAAAAAATACAATCTACCAAAACTCAGACAAGAAGAAACAATCTGAATAGGCTTCTATACATTAAAGAAACTGAATCAATTAATAGATTCCCAAAATAGAAAGTACCAGGACCAGATGGGTTGACTGGTGAATTATAACAAGTTTCTAGTCTCTTTCAGAAGATAAAGGCAGAGGAAATATATCCTAACTCATTTTATGAGCCCAGCATTACACTAATATGAATACCAAAGGCATTACGAGAAAAGAAAACTAAGATCAATCCTTCTCATGAAGATGGATGCAAAAATTCTCAATACAATTTTTACCAAACTGAATTCAACAGTGTATAAAAAGAATCACACAGCATGACCAAATGGGATTTATACCAGGTATGCAAGTCTAGTTCAACATTTGAAAACATTTAGAAAACATTTTTCTAAAAAAAGAAAAATCACATGATTATATCAACTGATGCAGAAAATCCAACACTCATTCCAGATAAACACTGTCGGTAAACTACGAATACAGGTGAAGTTGCTCAACTTGATAAAGAACATCTACATAAAAACTACAGCTAACACACTTAATAGCAAAACACTCAAAGCTTCTCCACTACAATCAGAAACAAGGCAAGGATATCCCTCTTATCACGCCTTTCAACACTGTAATGGGAGCACCAGCTAATGCAATGAGCAAAGGAAATAAAAGGTATGCACATAGATTAGGAAGAAAGAAAGAAAACTTTCTTTGTTCATTGATAACATGATCAACTATGCAGCTATCAGAAAGAATGAACAGAAAAACTCCTGCAACCAATATGTGATTATAGCAAGGTGGCCAGGATATGCAAGGTTAACATACAAAACTCATTCACACCCAGGCACAGTGGCTTATGCCAGTAAACCCCAGCACTTTGGGATGTGAGATCACTGCAGCCCAGGAGTTCAAGACAAGCCTGGCCAACATGCCAGGACCTTGTCTCTACAACAAATTTAAAAATTAGTTGGGTGTGATGGTGTGCACCTGTGGTCCCAGTTACTCAGGAGGCTGAGGTGGAAGGATTGCTCGAGCCCAGGAGATCGAGGCTGCAGTGAGCTGTGTTTGTACCACTGCACTCCAGCCTGGGAAACAGAGCAAGACTGTCTCTAAAAAAGAAAAAAAAACCAAAAAACATAGTCATTCATTTTCTTATATACCAGAAAAGAACCAGTGGAATTTGAAATAATTAATTTGAAATTATTTGAAATTTATATTAGCACCCCAAAAAATGAAATACTTAAATATAAATCTAACAAATATGTACAAGATCTACACGAAGAACAGCACAAAACTCTGCAGAGTGAGAATATTCTGTATGATATTATAATGATGAAAGACATGTAATTATATTTGTCTAAACACATAAAATGTGCAAAGAATGAGCCCTATCATAAACTATGGACTTTGGATGAAAATGATGTGTCAATGTAGATTCAATGTACCACTCTGCTGATAATGGAGGAGGCTACGAATGTTTTGGGACAGGCAGGGAGTATATATAATATCTCTGTACCTTCCACTTACTTTTGCTGTGAACCTAAAACTGCACTAAAAAATGAAGTCTATTTAGAAAATATATTAAAAATGAAGATAGCCACATCATCATGATAAGAGTAGGCAAAATTAATTTTTACTGCTTACTCAATGCTTATATTCTGCTAATCTCATTTAAGAAAAACTACAAAATGAACTATTTCTGCAGTAAAAATTTAACAAGATGCTAAGAATAGCCATGAAAAATGTGCACATCAACATTTAAAACTTTAAGTCAAGACAACTGTAACATTTTACAAATGTCCAACAGTATCTGAAAATTTAGGTCGGTCAACTGCTTTTTTGTTTTAATGTGAATAAAACAAGCACCAAAACAGAAAAGTAATTGCAACATTCAGACTAATACATAATTATAGTATTCACTGGGTTGGAATAAGCCTCTAGTTACCTCCTTCCACTATTATTTTTAGTAAGAAATTTTTTATTATTTGTGAACAAATTAGAGTGGTTGAAAACAATCATTCTTAATATTCACTGTTTTGGAGTTAGGACTGTTTTTGAAGAGGCAAAAATGAATTATATTTGTCATCACAGGCAATTCTTTAGAATGGCTTTTGATAGATAAATATACTTTTAAAGGAACCACTTGCTCAAACTACTATTTACTACGTAGTCATAAATAATAGTGGTCTGGGTTAAATGAACAAGAAAGAATGTAAATTCTCACATATAAGTAAAAACAGCTTTTTATCCCAGCATCCATTCCCAGATGCCTAATGGCTAAGTTCTTTTCTCAAGTATGTTAAGTGAATTTTAAAAGAAAAATACAACACATTATGAAAAATACAGTACAAAGACTGAACAGATGGAAAAATCTGTTTCAACACTTTTTTTTTTCCTTTTCAAAAGACAAAAAGAGACAAACGCACAAAGGAAAACCATTTAGCAGAAAGTACTGCAATAGCTGATGCGGCCAGATTTATAGTCACCTTTGACAGAGAGCTGCTGTGAAACAGCAGAGGTACTGCCATCACAAGAAAAGATTACGTACTTTAAAGAAAGAGCAGGATTAAGCACTCAACAAACAACTTCACAAGGAAAAGCTTCAAAGTTCCAGACTGCACTTATTTGAAAATAAAAAACAAGACCAAACACTATTATTAAAACACCTCCAATTGTTTAAAACTTGCTGTTTAACAATAGCTACCATGTGAGTTCTAGGACTCGTCATATATCTTACAAATAACAAGCTGTATAAAGCAAACCTTATTTTTCAAATGAAGATTAATATAAAACAAAAATTATCAGCTATTTTTTATTTAAAAACCTTTCTGGGTGAATGCTCACGTTAAAATCATAGCTCCAATAAATATAAAGAAATATGCTCAGCATGTTATCATTTCATTTATTTGTCATATATATATTTTTACATATACTTCCAAAAGAATACTAGTTGGAGAAATGGAATCAAGTAAAAATTAGCCTCATTTACTAAATAAAATTATATCTATATTTACTGCTACTGGATAATGCAAAGAGTGGTCAGTGGGCAACTATAAAATATTTTCAAAAAGTAGATAAAATTTCAGTTTCCAATGAAATTACCATATATGTTCTTTCCAACAAGAGGCATGTAATATATCTGATTCTAAAGAAAGTGGCCAAGAATCTGAATTTTATTCTGGGAGCCTTATGAATTTTTTTGTTTTGTTTTTTGTTTTTGACATGGAGTCTCACTCTATCGCTCAGGCTGGAGTGCAGTGGCGCAGTCTCAGCTCACGGCAACCTCCGCCTCCCAAGTTCAAGTGATTCTCCTGCCACAGCCTCCCAAGTAGCTGGGATTACAGGCACCTGCCACCACGCTCGGCAAATTTTTATATTTTTAGTAGAGACGGGGTTTCACCATGTTGGTCAGGCTGGTCTCAAACTCCTGACCTCAAGTGATCCGCCTGCCTCAGCCTCCCAAAGCGCTGGGATTACAGGCGTGAGCAACCGTGCCCAGCCATGAATTTTTAAAAAATACATTATTCATTTTTCAGGTAGTTTTTTCCCGGTTATTTTTGACAAACATCTGTAACATCAAAGAAGTCACAATATTTTAATAAAATGCTTACATTCACTTTTATCTTTAAAGGCATCTATCTAAATGTACCTACACATATGTATATGATATTAAGAAAGATATTAAGAAAAAGCTACAAAGGCAAGTATATTTTTAATTAAAATTAGGAAGTCAAGCTAAACACTTCAATAATTGAGCTAATCATTAAACTACCCTCAAAGGATGCCTAATTAAGCTACCTTTATTATTATACTAATCATAATTCCAGAGATAACACACCTCTCACAAGATTTAAAAAAAACCTATAAAAATAATTTACCTTGATATATAGAGTTACTATGTATTATTAAAAATTACTGATTAAAAAATTGGCTCGGCGCAGTGGCTCACGCCTATAATGCAAGTACTCTAGGAGGCTGAGGTGGGCGGATGGTTTGAGCTCACGAGTTCGAGACCAACCTAAGCAACATGACAAAACCCAGGCTCTACAAAAAAATACAAAAATTAGCCAGGCGTGGTGGCGTGCACCTGGAGTCCCAGCTACTTGGGGGACTGAGGTGGGAGGATCCCTTGAGCCTGGGAGGCAGAGGTTGTAGTGAGCCGAGATAGCACCACTATACTCCACCTGGGCGACAGAGCCAGACCTTGTCTCAAAACAAACAAACAAACAAAAAAAAATTACTGATTCTTTTTAAGACTCTTATTTGTGACAAAAGGTTAAATTTCAACTAGTAACAAGTGCTACTAATGAAGTTTAAATTTAAAAATGTATTTCTTACTGAACATTCTTCTCTGTATATCCTTTAAAAACAAGTCAGGCTGATAAACTAAGGCAGAGATTGGAAAACTTTGGCCTGTGGGCCAAATCCAGCCAACTGCTTGATTTTATAAATAAAGTTTTACTGACGCACACTTATTCATTAGATATTGTTTATGGTTGCATTTGTGCTAATATAGAAGCAGAGTTGAGTAGCCGTCACAGAGACCATAAAGCCTACCATAATTTGCTATCTGGTCTTTTACAGGAAATGTTCACTGACTCCTACAGACTCAGATCTTCTTTAAGTGTCTGCACACACACACATACTCATCCACCCTATGATCCTTACTGAAGGACATAAAGTTGATCATTTAGGAATCTGTGTGTTCCCTCATCTTGATTTTATAATTTATACACTCCTACTGTCTTAATTTCCGGACTCTTGATAAAGGAGAGGATACTGGCTGATTTTGCTGATTTGCATTACTTTGGACTGCACGGTATTTTTTCATACCCTGTAACATTCTTCGTAGTTTATTTTAAAAGAAAATGCCATTCCATATTACAGCTACAATTTCCAAAAGGTCTATTTTTAGACATTTAATGTCACATATTACTTATAAAGAAATGGCAATGCGGAAATCAAAATTTTAAAGGCTCAACTAAGAAAAAGATGGCTAAATAGGATGGAAGTTGGGATGGAATCAAACCAAAACATATATCACAAAGACATTGGGTTTTAAACATAAGAATTATTTAAACAGAGAAAAGTTTATTCTAGACTTAAGGACTCACTAAACACATGGCCATTGAGGAACACTCACTAGTAAGCAGTAAACTATGTCAACAATTCTTACCCCTACCTCCTTCACCTCAGCTTACCTTCCACTCATGGCCAAAAGAAAAAAGATAAGTTACATGGTAAACAGAGCTGGTGTCCAAAATTTATTTAAAAGTAAATATGAGGAAAATAAGAGATTAAACCAACCAACTAGAATTGCTAAATCTGAAAGTAGATGATGGCAATATACTTATTCAGAAATATTAAGAATGATAATACAGATATACAGAAGATCATGAAAAAGTCCTTATTTTTATTACTGCTAATAAACATCAGAAATGCGTTCAAATTAAAGTGCAAAATAATTGTATTGTATAGAAACCTGAATGTCTCTACAGGAAGTCTAAGTAACTAAATTAGAAAGCACCATAACTTCTCCTTAGAATAATGTGTGCTGCATATGACTAAGGGAAGAGAAATGTATCAAGTACCTTTTGGCAGTTTTTTATTATTATAGTTTTATGAACTCTTGGTTTATTTCATAAAAATCATGTCAGTAATCACTTTGTTTTGCTTCCCAAGAACTTCTGTAGAACTATATTATGTTTAAAATCTATCTTAATTCAAATTCAAATCTAAAAGGTATTAATAGTGAAATGCCCTTTTCTTTATATCAATCTGTTATACTCTTAAACAGATAAACATCTGTTTAGGTCAAACCAAAAAAACTATTTCCTTATCTGCCATCCCAAAATACCAAGTATACCTTCTGAAGATGCTAATATAGCAAATCAGGTCAGGAAACTTTCATTTAAACATCGAAAACAAATACACATTCTGATTATTACTAATTATTACTGCTACACTACTGATATCCTAATTATTAATTTTCTTCTTGTAGCTGGGAACAGTAGCTCATAATCTTTAATCCCAGCTTGAGCCCAGGGGACCAGCCTCAGCAACATAGTATGACCCCATCTTTGCAAGAAAGAAAAAAATAAAAGAAAAAGAAAAAATATATATATGCGCGCGCACACACACACACACACACACACACACACACACACACACACACATATATAAAATTATGTGAGCCAGGTGAGGTGGCTCACATCTGTGGTCCCAACTACTTGGCAAGCTGAGGCAGGAAGATCGTTTGAGCCCGGGAGGTCTAGGCTGCAGCGAGCTGTGATTGTGCCACTGTATTCCAGAAAGAAACCCTATCTCAAAAAAAAAAAAGAAAGAAAAAATTCTTCTTGTAAATAATTGCCTCTTCCAGTGCATAAAGGTAAAGCCAAATTGATCCAACAATTAAGCTTATCTTTAGTGATACTCAAACCTATAGTCCAGTTACTTACATGTACATGCCCAGCAATTATTACTCCAAGTTATTACACTATACAATTACCAAATTTAGTACTCAAATTACATACTAGCAATTCAAGAGAGACAGTCTCTATTAATAAATCTCTAAAGATTATTAAGATCATGTGATTAGGAACTCAATATTCTTGTTTAAGTTAATTTATTTTAATTTTACATCCTGACATTTAACAACCAAGGAAGAAGGTGAATTTTGTTAATGGTATTAAAAAAAAGTCCTGGTTTCCTATTTCATAATGAGACCTTATCTGTTATACACAGAAAATGCTACAAACCACCATCTTAGTATTCAATGTGAGCTACTGTTTCAAGGAAAGACATTTGTGTTAGTTCATTCACATGCTCTTTCCTGGTCCCTTCTGTAAACAAAGGTTTACACTTGTGCTTCTACTGACTTGGATTATGAATGTAGTCAATGGACACAAAGCTGAGGGAGCCGCAATGGTATGGAGTCTAACACTTCATTCTCTTTAACAGGAACTCAGAGCAATCAACCAGAAGATCCCTCTACAGGAACACAGTCCAAAGAATTCCTAAATCCCCCCACAGAAAAAGAAATTCTAAGGTCCAAAAGTTGGAAGGATTCTTGGAAATAACACATCCCAATTTCCTCATTTTACAAGAAAGGAAACTGAAGCACAGAGATTTTAGTTGACTTATACAAGGTAAGTCTGAAGATTATTGGAACAAGAATCTCCTAATAATAAGGCAATTCTTCCAAAATGCCTTTACTTTTTCCTTTAGGATGGCAAAGTTAGGTTGTAATTTCAAATGAATCATACTGAAAACCAAACAGAAAACAAAGAATATCCAACAGAGATAAAAACTCATCTTACTTAAAGCAGAAAGGCTTACAAAGCACGGACTTGAATCTCCAATAGTTAACATATTCTTTTCAATTCCATGGTTTCTATCACATTTGTTTCCTTCCACAAGAAATCCACTGCGAAATAAACTGTTTCCAAGCAGATTCCATTTCTGGTTGTTCTGAAATAAATGTGCCTATTCCTCCTGCTGCGGTAGTCCATGCTAAGAATCACAACTTACAGCTGATACAGCACTTATTCTTCCTTTTATGCAATGTCCTCTTGAATGAGGAGCTAAAGGAGCTAACAGTTGAGATATGAGCTGAGTATTTCAAGCTCCTTGTTTCTCCTGCACAACTACAATTCCAAATGACCGGAACTCTTCCATGAACAAAAAAGGATGGAGGAGGAGGAAAGTAGCTATGAACAAAAATGATGGGGAGGGAGAAGAATGGATAAAATCTGGCGTGGTGGCTCATGCCTGTAATCTCAGCGTTTTGGGAGGTTGAACTCAGGAGTTCAAGACCAGCCTGGACAATATGGTGAAACTCTGTCTCCGCCAAAAATAAAACAAAATAGTGGTGGCACACACTTGTGGTCGCAAATACTTGGTAGGCCAAGGTAGGAGGATTGCTTGAGCCTAGAAGGTGGAGGCTGAAGTGAGCTATAATCCTGCCACTGCATGCCAGGGTAACAGAGTAAGACCCCGACTCAAAATAAACAAACAAACAAAACACACTGGCTAAATTCTAAACTAATTATTTTACTTTTAATTATTTCAAATGAAAATCATTTCCATTTTTTTTCCATGGTATAATTATGTTTTATATAATAAAATTAAGTAGCAAGTCAAAATATTCTAATGCTATCTTGTAAGTACAGTACAGAAAGTCATTAATCAATTTAGCATTTACCATATGTGAGAAACTTTCACATACATTATTATTACATCTAAGTAGCAATTTTGAAAACTTGTGGTTGAGAAGAACACAACCTTTTTTTTTTTTTTTTTTGAGACAGAGTCTTGCTCTGTTGCCCAGGCTGGAATGCAGTGGCACAATCTTGGCTCACTGCAACCTCTGCCTCCCGGGTTCAAGCGATTCTCCTGCCTCAGCCTCTGAGTAGCTGGGATTACAGGCGTGCACCACCACGCCAGGCTAATTTTTGTGTTTTTAGTAGAGATGGGGTTCCACCACGTTGGTCAGGCTGTTCTCAAACTCCTGACCTCATGACCGCCTGCCTTGGCCTCCCAAAGTGCTGGGATTACAGGCGTGAGCCTCTGTGCCAGGCTGAACACAACCATTTTAAAAACAAACTCAAAGAAAAGAACAGTGCTTTTCAGTATCTTTTCCTCAAAGTTTGTATTAGCTACAAAAATAAATGAAATGAAGTCCTTCCTACACAGTTGCCACTCAGTATTCGCTGAGAGAAATGAAGGACCTGAAAATTAAAGCCACAGAAAAACTCTCATATTAATAATAATCATGTATTATAATAATAATGTAATAATCATGTATCCACCACAATATCCCTTCATGATCGTAAAAGCTACACACACACATTTTATTAGATTTAATCGTGACAATAACCTCACAAGCTAGGTAGGGTTATTATTCTTATTTAACTGGTGAAGAACTTGGGCTAAATGCAGTGGTTCTCAACCAGGGGCACCTGGAAGTGTGTTGGAGGGTCTGGGTTGCCACACTGACAGGGGAGGCAACATGGGCATTTAGTAGGTGGGAGACGGGGATATTAAATATCCTGCAATGTGCTGGACAAACCCACAGAATTATTCTGCCCAAAAAGCTACCACTTTGAGAAACACTGACAGAAAATAAATGGACAATGCCAAACAGCTACTAATGACCTTAAATATAAATTCAGTAACAAAATTCTGGAAATCACCAAGGACCAGCCAAAAAAAACCAAAACAAAACAGTGAAAGTATATCAAATTCTCACACTAAAATAAGAAGTCTAGGCTACTCTCCCAAAATGATAATACAATAAAAGTTAAAGATAACATAATTTCAAACTCAACATTTCTCTGCCACTTCTTTGCCAAGTTTTTCACTTCGCTTGTAATTGCCTCATTACTTTACTTGCAAAACCTTATCATCTTTAGTTACTCCCTAAGATTTTATACAAACAAGTCAAGCCCTTCTCCAATTCCCATTCTGCCACCCCTGTTTTGGATTCACTTTACTACCTATATGGATTAATAATTTTCTGTGAAGTTCACTTGGTCCATTCTTTTCACCTATACCACTACTCCACTAATCATGCTAAAAAATCATGCTTTCTTCCTGTCAGCATCTCCTATTACATAACTATGATTCCTAACTGAATATCATGCAGATACCTCAGGTTAAAATTGCAGACCCTCAACAGCCTCCTTATTTCTCCTGCTAACTCAATTATTCCAACTAGCCTCATTAGTATTCCTCCAAACTCGCATAATTCCCTTTTCCATGCTTTTGCCCATACTGTTTTCCTTGCCTAGAATAATTTTCCCACTCCTTCCTCCCTGTCATTCTGAATACTTATCTACCAATGTATAGAAATGTTCATCAAATGCAACAAATTTACATGTAACCTGACTTTGTGTAATGTCAGTAGAGCCCCAAATAATTCTCAAATTTCAACTGCTTATTTAGTTCCAGTCCTTTGGTTAGAACTGGAAACTTTTTGAAGGAAGGATCACATTTTCATTTCTTTTGTATTACTCCTCTAGAATACATAGCTACTTGAAATCATAAAATTCTTCCTTGAAGAAATCATTTAATACTGCACCTTCATTTTTATAGTAAGGAAAAAAAAAACTAATTCAAGGACATGTAATTATTTAGTGGAAAGCGAAGAACCAGAATTCAGGCCACAATTTATAATCTAATGTTGTCTGACACTCAAGTGCTTGTTAAATCAACTGTAAGGTAAAAAAATCACTTTGTAAGCCTGTCTCCAGCAACATTACTCTGCATTAAAAGACAATCCATGCCTCATCAAAACAGAGATTGTCTATTTCACTGTATTTTCCACCAGTCAAGAAGACAATGAATGAGGTTCTTCGATAATAATTTGACAATTCATTTTTAAACCTCAAATTTTTACACAAGTTCAGTAAACCTGAAATTCCATTTTTCTGCTCAGTCCTTGAAATATTCATATATATAATGACCTCATTGTGTTTAGAAAAAAAATTTACTTTAAAAATAAGATCAGGGTAACCCATGATTAAAGTATGAAGCAATTTGAAATTTTAGTAGTAAATCAGAAGTCTAGATAAAGACAGTAACATTATTAAAAATACCTTCATTCTTCAATCTCATATTCTCTCCAGAAGCCAAGAAGGTTTAGCATTCAGCATATTTATATCATATGTCATTTGCTATACATTAATGTAGTAAATACATTTAATTTATTTTGCCTCATAATTTGTTATGTATTATTAAAGGATTAAGATTTTTCACTAATCCTTGTCTACAAACATTAGCTATCAGATATATCTTTCTTCTTTGATTTTTTGGTTTTAACCCAGAGTAGATAAATCAATTTAGTAAAGTCTTCTAACATTTAGGAAGATATTCATCAGTCAAATTACATACACATTTGGAATTGTAATAGCCTAATCTTACTTCTGAAAACATCGCCTACTTTTCAATCTGCAAGGAAAATACTTTATCTAGAAGTCTATTTTCTGCTCTAATGATATCTTTTAGGATAACTGTGTTACAGACTACAAGAGTCTAATACAAGAAGAGAATAAAGGATCAAAAGAAACCAATTACAATAGGAAAATATACAAAAGATCCAAGTCAAAATATACACACTTGTAGTAAATCTGCACGTTAACCAAATGTGGAGATTCGGAATTTAGGTGTCCAGTTTCAAAAATAACAAAGAAAGAGACACTAACATATACCTGAAAGCACATATATGGAAAATGAGATAAAATAAAAAGGGCTTAGTCATTTTCTATAAATCAGAACCATAATAAATAAAGCTCATAAGCTCATCTGCTACTTAAACCCAACAGAAGGAATGACTAGGTGGTATTACTGGCAAGCAAGCCAATTTAGCACTCTGGAATGTCCATAGAAATCTCATAAAAAGGCAAAGTAGAAGGTAATTTAGTAAACAGTTTTCCATACTTCATTCTTAGTAAGGAGGTTCTAAAAAAAAACTTTAGAGTATAATTGCAAACTATAATTACAGGTTCACTTTTATTCACATAATATTTAACTATAGAAAGTACACCAAAAGTTATATACAAGTGACAATTTTGGCCACCTGATCCTTGATTTTAATTGGCAATTCACACTAGGCCTAACGCTTTACACCTTTTGTGCCAACTTGCTAATTACACAAATGCATTAGGGTAAAAGTGTTGTCTAAGAATCTGGTTTTATAAAATCAGCCTTGCTGGTGGTACTCACTTATAATTATACTAAATTATAAAAGGGCCAGATTGGATGTTACAAGGAAAAGAGGTTATTTACCAAAAGAATGTCGAGACCACACTGGGAAAACAATAAAACCTAAACTCATTTTACAGAAAAGCAAAATAAGGGAAAAATAGCTGATTTAATTCAACTTTACTTTCCTTCTTCTAGTCCAGTTATGAAATTATCTTGTTGGGAAAAAAAAGAAACTGCTTTCAGTTCCAAAGAATGCATCTAGATCCAACGCTGTACTAGTCTCGTCACTACAGAGTTTTGCTGAACACTCAGGGCCCACACTGACAAAATAACTTCATTCCCGTCTTCACACAACCCTAAACTAGATGGTCTTGATCACTGAGTTCAGGAATAAAAATATCTAACAATTGAAGCCAAAAAACATTCTGGTCATAACTATCTAGATATTTGGGCAAGAGCACTTCAGACACACCGTCTCAGAAATTAACAGATTCAGATCTAGCCTGGTCAGATTTTGTCGTTTATAAAGGTATGACTGCGTAGTATTTACTATGTATAGTAGACTTCACTTAGTAACACAGTTCAATAGTCCATCCTAAAACTTCTATTAGCATTTTGAAGATAGCACATTAAGTGACAAATAAAACTTGAGGCATTATCTATCTATCTATCTATACATATATATATATTTGTATGTATCACATAGTACTTCTTTGAAATAATGACTTTAAAATGTAAGTAAAATGCCTGGCACATGTTTAACTCAAATGCAGGTTCCCTCACTCCTTCTCAGGAACCAGAAAAATCTAAAATATAAAGGGGTAAAGCTCCTCCCCTATCGTATATTTCTTTTCTTTTTTTTGACAATAGTAATGTCTACTGAAATCATCTAGTGATTTTTTTTTTCTATTTATCACCAACACATTACTCATTAATATGCAGGAGGTAGATATCCCACAGATAGATGAATCCAAATCTTAAGTTTAAGAATATATTTAGGTTAAGTATGTTTCAAAGTCACAGTAAAAGAAAACACATTTCAACATAAAAATAGAAAGTGAGTCGTCTGTACTGTTCTCACTAAAAAATTATCTTGAAAAAAATCTTTTGAAGTATTTAAAAAAATGCTTGATAAAACTAATATAGTTCATACACAACCAGGAAAAGTAATTCTATACTACTAGTTTAATGTATAGTAACCTAACAGTTTTTACAAATACATAACAAATGTAGACTATGAGAGAAAAAGTATATCAAGAGAAAAAATTTATCCCCATGCATTTTTCAAGAAAACGCTCTAAAAACTGGTAGAAATATTAACCATTTATAACTATTCATAGAAAATTAATTTGCTACACTTCTGCTAATTGTTTTTCTACACGGACATGCCAAAAACAACCAAATTCAGATTGAAATCCAATCTCTAATTTATTAGAATAGGTCATAAGTTCAATATCTACCATGCATAATATTTTTAAAAGTAATTGTCTTTAAACCTCATCCTTAACATACCTCATTCATCACACCAATAGTATAGAAGCAGATATATTTTTCCTTAGAAACTTCTATCTCCTTACAAATAAAATAGTTATCATAAAAAAACTTTAGACCTCTATTTGGATATATGTTTAGCTACTATAAACTAGGAGCTGAGAAACATCACAGCAGTATATAAGCTGAATTATAATCAAGGGAAAAGCCAACACATGATTTCTCATAGTATATATCTAATCACACCAACAGGAAAATAAAAACTTTCTTTGGAACTAATCAGCAACACAGAAGGACTGGGGAGAACAAAGTAGAAGTTAAAAAATAAAATTAAAGAAAGGATACAGCCTTAAAGCACCAGTCTGAGTTCCCACTGCCAGGATCTTCTGTACAGGATCAAAGGCCAGGGCTGAGGGTTGATAGGGAAATCCATGGCGAACAGTCTAGGGATGGGCAAGTGACATCACAGCAACCAAGGCAGCAAGCGAAATTTTAAAATAGAAAGTCAATAGAGGCGTTAGAATTTAGAACCACTACCACTGATGCAAAACACATACACATGCACTTACTGCTTTTGAAAAAATAAGTGAAACCTACATTAACAAAGTTATTCACATAGAACCTGAAACAAACAAAAATCTAGTCCAGTGATATACTTTAATTTCGCTTTTCCATAATACTGGTATTCCATAGAAGAAAATCTTTTATTAATATTCTATACTACTACATCCGACACCAGATGACTAAAGTTTGCAATGGTCCAAAATTCTGTAAACCCATTAAATGCAATTCATACTTTATTTTGGCAGTATTCATTTCATCATTACTTTATTTGGATGCTAACGCAAGTACTTCTAAGGAAAAGCTGTCATATAATTACTTTAGTCAAGCATTCAGTAGAGCAATAATCAAACCTCTATCCCAACATTTTACACTTGTAACAGAATGAAGATGAGTACAACATACATTTTTGCAATTTACTATTAAGGCCATAATCATTTTAGGGCATTAGACCTATATATATATATATATATATATATATGCACACTTTTAATTAACTCTGACATACAAATACATGGCTATTTATGAGAAAGGCAGGTATTAAAACCGAGGCAAGTTTGTGTTTCTCATTAAGCAGCTGGTGACTTAATTCGCTGCATCATTCTTTCTGAATTACAGAACGCTATGGCAATTATCGTGCCATTAACAGGCAAAAATCTCAGTACTTTTTAACAAACATAATGATAAAAAGAACCCTGTGATTTCATATCGTAAGCCACTTACACCACATTTTAAGGGAAAAGTGATGAGCAAAGGTGTGGTAGAACAGGTTTGGCTTTTTGATAAACAACATTCATTAGACACCGTTTCCAAAGGAAACTTCGAAGTTGGTGAATCATATTAAAACGCTTGAATATAAAAGCTTCCAGGTTATTACTGGCAGTGTCAGAATACGATTAAAGGTCGGATAATAGTTTGAAGCAACCTTGAACTGATTGCTGCATGTGCAAAGGGGAGAGAGAAAAATCAATGAAAAGGAGTAAGGTATCAATCTCCAAAACAACCCACCGAAGAAACGTTTGCCAAGGGAGGAGCGAGCCTTTTATTAGAGTTATTATTATTATTATTGGCGTTCTCTTCCCTTGCATTCCCATGTAAAGCCCGAGTAGCCCCCTTAAAACAACCCCAATTTTTCAATGACGGTGTCGCGGGGCTGCGCGCTCCGTTCACCTTGCAGAGCTGAAAGTGCTCGGACTGGAGCGTTTCCTGGATCTCCGGCTCCCGGTTCCCAGGCGGATGCTGCTGCTGTTGCTGCTGCGACGCCGAGGACGAGCCGGCGGTCAGGCCGTCCAGCACCTTCCTGATGTTGAATTTCCTCATGGTCTCGGAGGGGCTCCCCCGCAGCCCGGGAGGGGAGGCACAGGGGGTCCCCGGGCGGGGGAGACCACCCGGGGCCGAAGGCAGCTTCGACCGCGGAAACGGAGGAGTGGGAGTGTGAGGGTAAGGAGGCAGCTGGGGGGAAGCAAAAGATAATCCGAACAGGAAATACTGCGACGACAAGAGCGGCGGCCGCAAGAAACCTGGGCGGCGACCCCTCTTCCTCCGAGGCCGCCGCTGCTTGGCGCGGCTGCTGTGGTGCCGATTCAGCCGCCGCCGCCGCCGCCTCGCTCCGCGGCCCGGCAGCAGCAGCAGCAGCAGTGGCGGCGGCGCCCGAGCCCGCTCAGCCCAGCCTCACCTGGCCGCGGGCGGACTCTGCGCCGCGCCGCCGCCCCGGCTCGCCCCCGGCGCCGCCACCGTCGCCGCTGCGTCCATGGCCCGCGGCCGCGCCGCTGCTCGCCCGCCCCGGCCCCGCAGTCCCTCGGCGCGTCCTCCGGCTCCTTCTCCTCCTGCCGGGGGTCGCCGGCTCTCTGTCCGCGGCCGCCGCTCGGCCTCGCACACAAGGCGCCTGGTGTGGGTCCCCGCGCCGCCTGCCTCGCCCCGCCTCGCTCCTCCGCCGCTGGACCGGCCCGCCCTCGCCGCTCCCGAGCCCGGCTGCGTTCCTCAGGCGCCGCCGCGGCCGTCGGCTCTCCCCGCCCAGCCGCTCCCCATCGCCTGACAGGGCGCCTCGGCACACGGCACCAACGCCCGCCCGGAGCAGCAGCGGCAGCCGCGGTTACAGCGCGGGCCGCGGCGGTGGCGGCAGCAGGGCCTCCCAGGAGCCGGGCTGCGGTACCTGCGCATGCGCGCCGCAGCCCGGTTCCCCCACCCTGGCCCAGCAGGCCCCCAGCCCCCCAGCCCGAGCGAAGCTGGGGCTTAAATTATCTTCTGCGAAAATCCCAGACGCTGGCTAAATTTCTCCCACCCCAGTCGAGTTGCCAGAGTATGCAGCTGCTTCTCTTGCAGCTGGCATAGTAAAAATGTTGACGACTAACAAGCAGCAGGAAACCTTTCTTTCCAATTCAGTCATTACAGCAGGGGTTGATGCTTTCTCGCCGTTAATGGGGTGCACGCTCCTGGCCGCTGGCTGCAGTATTATTTTTCTTGCTTTATTGACGGGCGTTGTTTTTGTTTGATTGGATTTGAGTTTTGAAAAAGAGCGTCTAGACAACGATATGTCAGTGGCAGGAGGATGATGGACTTAGGTACTAGGAAAAGGAGAGAAACCTAGACGGGAAAAAACGGGTTCTTTCCTACAGCTGTTACTGTTGGTGGAACGTGTCTGGTCTTAGCAGTTAGCTGCTGGGATGGAAGAGGCTGCCAGCGGGGAACGGTTCCAGGGCCGGTGTCAGCCCGGGCCGATGACACTACCCCGCACCCAGCCCCTCGCCGGGGAGGAGCGCGGGTGGCAGGAAACGCCGCGCTGCCACTATTTTTCAGAACCTTCAATCTGCCCTGACGCTGATGAGCCACTCAGTAATGCCCTGGGAGCTTCACTCTAGAACGGGGAAAGGGGGATAGGATGAAGTTTTTGCTCAGATCTTTCCGAGGCCGCACTGCCCATCTCGCGTGAATGCTTGGAGACAAATGCCTGGCTCAAGTTGGAAAAGACAGACAAGAGATTGTGCCGGGGAAACCCCCCGGAGAGTGCGTTCAACAGGACAGGTGGACGGAAGCACAGGTACTTGATTAGGAAGGATGTGGAAATAGGAAAGACGTAAGGAAGGAAGGAAGTGCAGGAAGACTAATCCTAATTCGGGGAGAGGGGGACAGGTTCCTAGCGAATGACTCCTCGCGCGCTCTGGTCTGCGGAAAAGCCACGGAACCGCCACAAAGGGTTTTTTTAAGTTCCAAACCTGTCAGAAGCACCCGCCCTCTTCTTTGTGAGGTCGGCTCCCTCTCCTTTAGGGAAATTCTCGTCACCCTATTGGTTGAGTTAACCAGCATTCAAAAGCAGTCAGCGAACCAACTACGACTGGGCCCAGGGATTTCGGGAAATGTAGTCCACTCTGCAGCTTCCGCATCCCAGGACGATGTCTTGCATTTGGAACCTACAAAATTTTGATTTGTCGTTTAATATTTATTGAATTAGTTGATTCGCTGGGTGCAACGACCAAGAAAACAAATGTGAGGACATTCCTAAACTATTTCCAAGTGGCTCTGAATTTTTTATTAATTTAGTTCTCTAACATTTTGTTGTCAGGCGGTGTGCTAGGTACTAAAGACACGAAAATGCAATCCTTGCTTTCAGCAAGCTCACTACGGTCTAACGGAGACGACTTTTAACATAAATAGTAATTGTAAAACGATGTGATGAGTCCAATGATGGAATAATGAAGGAGGACGGCAGAGGGCCACTTAACTGGCCAGGAAGGCTTGGACATGGTGACGCCCACCATAGATCATGCCGGATAAGGAGGAGCAGACCTAGCGAACAGGAGGCAAAGACCATTGGAAGACAATGGGGAAGAGAGCCTCAGAATTACCTTGAGAGCTTTTTAAAAGTACATGTGATTCCACAGGGGGAAATTGCAAAACAGACAGATCACAACCCCATAGAATTGTATGATCTGCCTTTTTACTTACCTAGGTCTAAAATAAATCTATTGGATAATTTTTCATCATTGGATTATAAAACTTTCTAGAAAAAAAAGACAACTTCTTGTTGAGAGGCTTTGTGGTGTAGTGGGAAAATATAGGCTTTGTTGTCAGCCAGCCATGAACTTCAGTCCAGGCCATGGTAATATGTGTAATCTTGGGCAAATTTTAAATTTTTCTAGGGATCAGATTCCTCAGGTTTAAAATGAGATTAATACCACCTTCTTAGAAATTTATGAGCATGAACTGGAGGGGGAAAAGAAAGAATATGAAAAGTTTGTACTGCATTGCTTAGTACTCTGTAGACACTCAAAAATGTCAGTTTCCTATTCTATCAGGGTCCTTGAGGTAAAGGGGACTTCAAAGAGTCACCAATTTAAGCCAGTTTCCTACTTCTGACTCTAGAATGTTTGTTTTTATTTCTATACTCTATCTTTTCCATCAGGTTATGAACTCATTCTGACATTCTCAAAATTTCAGTTCTTAGTGAATACCTGGAATTTAAGATGGATATAGCCTACCTTTGTGAACTTGCAGTCCATCCTCTGTGCTCAGAGACACGGGGACTTATCCGAAAATCCAAATGGCCAAAACCAACAATGGCCCAAAATAACGACCTTTATTATAGCAAAGGTAAAATAATCGATCCTCAAACTCACAGTAATTCTTATAAGTCAGTTAGAATTAATCAATTTGTTTTTTCAAATTAGAACTGAAATTTTGAGAATTTTATTTGGAATTAAACATTTTAAGTTTAGAATTAAATACATTAAACTAAATAATCTATATTATTCATTTTTAAATTGAGCACAAAACAGAGAATTTTACCCATCATAATTTCTCAGAAAAGTTGTGTTTATTTGTTTTATTTGAATGAATGAGTAAGTATGTTGATTTCAAGCAATTCAATAGCTTCTGCCTTTAGGTGACATTCTCCTGAATGAAATTATTTCTTACCTGTTTGAAGAATGGACCATAAGGTGATGATGTAATAGTATACTACTGACAAATTATAAATATATATCTTACATTTAGCTGAGTCAAGGTGGCACTAAAAAATATTCTGCCAACACAATGAAAATAATAAGACAACTTTTTAAGAAAACGAAACTACACATACACTAAAAGAATGTTAGCATATGAAATTGACAGGTGCAGAAGACTAAAGACCAAGAATTCATAACATTTCTGAATCTATCAGTCCTCATTATCCAGTTTAAAGGTTACCAGACTAATGCAGGACCTGGTACAGATCGCAAAGGTAAGCTGGATGCTGATTGAGATGGAGAAGGCAGAAACTGAAAATAAACATTTTAATGAGAAATTATTTAATGGCAAAAGCTTTCTGGAAAGTAGAACAAATCTACCTCACTTGCTAGCATTCATTTTTATTGACTTAGTTTCAGTTTATTGAGTCCTGAAGGCTGTGTGCATGACAATAATTAATTCACTACATAGTTTAATAGACTATTGAATTTAAATTATTTGGAAATTGCAGCACAGATGTTAATTAGTTGGTTTGTCTAGTTCAAGCCACCTTTTCTGAATGAGTTCCCTAGCCCCTGCTAAATGACGGGCCTGGGCAACTCTATTTTAATCAGGTCCCCTTGTTTCCTGGTCCAAACCACTAGGATCTGAGACTGAAACCAGAAATAAGGCAAGCCAAGAGATAATCTTCTGGGAATTTGGAACTGGATTACAAAATTACAAATTAATCTGAATGAGGAGGAAGCCATGTTGTCCTAGGGCTAGGTAGTGTGTTTTATTTCCTACACACCACAGCTGAGTGTACCCATTCTTAGACAGAACTCGGGAGGATGGAGCAGACACAGAGATGACAGAGAATGACCACCAGTGACCCAAGGAGGTCGAGAGTAGAATCTTGATTTCTGACTTTCTGGTTCCCGAATCTTATGCTTTATGGAAACTTGAGACATTCTTTCCTTCTTTGCGTTAAGTAGTTTGGTTATATTTCTGGTTTTTGCAATCAAATATTCTGATAGCAGTTTAGATACAACTTGCATCTAATTGTAAAAGAAAGTAGAGATCATTGCAGCCATCTGTCACTCACCATTTTTACCTTCTACTGTCAGTTCTTCCTACAGTGAAGAGATGGCTGCAATAATCCAGCAAGGGGTTGGTGGCTTGGACCAGAATGGTTAAAAGTGATTGTAGTGCACAGGGGGTTAGATTCGGGGTTATATTTTAATGGTAGAGCCAAACGGATTTGCTGATGGTATGGGGGTATCAGAGACAGGAGAGGTAAATATGATGCCTCGAGTTTTGGCCTGAGCACTTCAAAGTGTGGTACTACAATTTCATTTCCACAATTGTGACTCCTGACTAATTTCTGGTTACCATTTGTTCCTCAGTGGACTCAACAAATATCATTAGCTAAATGCACAAGACTCATCTGGGAACTAGCAATCCACTATATTATGATTTTTATTTTTTTAAGATGGAGTTTCACTCTTGTTGCCCAGGCTGGAGTGCAATGGCATGATCTCAGCTCACCCCAACCTCCGCCTCCTGGGTTCAAGCAATTCTCCTGACTCAGCCTCCCAAGTAGCTGGGATTCCAGGCATGCACCACCATGCCTGGCTAATTTTTTTGGATTTATGGTAAAGAGGGGGTTTCTCCATGTTGGTCAGGCTGGTCTTGAACTTTTTTTATTTTTTTGATGCCAAGTCTCACTCTGTCACCCAGGATGGAGTGCAGTGGCGTGATCTTGGCTCACTGCAACCTCCGCCTCCCAAGTGCAAGTGATTCTCATGACTCAGCCTCCCAAGTAGCTGGGACTACAGGCATGCGCCACCACACCTGGCTAATCTTTGTATTTTTAGTAGAGACGGGGTTTCACCGTGTTGGCCAGGCTGGTCTTGAACTCCTGACCTCAAGTGATCTGCCCACCTTGGCCTCCCAAAGTGCTGGGATTACAGGTGTGAGCCACCACGCCCGGCCCATTGTGATATTTTATAAGCTCTGGCCTTTCTACAAAAACAGATCAGGCAGATGTTAGTGAGCCTTGACTATTGCAGAGATTACCTCTGTAATTTAATATTTAATATTATTTGTAAGGGTGTAATTAAACTATAGACGAAAATGTCTAGACAAGGGTCAGAAAGTCCGAGTGAAGAGAAAATTCCAGAAGTGCAAAACAAAACTAATAGAACCAAATGTACAGTTAAATGTAAATTAGTAGGCATTAATATATAATATGAGTGAAAAATAACGTCAAATTCTAAAAACCTAGACCCTGATCAGGCAATCAGAAATTGCTTGATACATCTTCATATATTTCAAGTGCTGTTTCTACAATGGGAATGGTATTTCTAAAATGGGAAGAGTATCTGAGGTAAGAAATAATGCTCCCACTAGTCTTAATTTTAATATTTTAGGATTTGAATATTATTGTAAATACATTGAACATTTTGCTAAACTTTTCCCAAAGGGTTTGCTTTTCTTTTCAAATAACTCATTAAAATTTGATTTGTGGACTAAAGAGCAAGCAATAAAGCTTGTTCCTTATGGAATTACTCACAGCTAATATACTGTGGTAATGAAATAAGCTTGAAACAGCAGTGTAAGTTAATATTTTGTTCCTTCCTCACCTTCACTGCCTCCTTCCACTGCATCCCGCATTCCACCCCTGGATTCGCACCTATATATATATTTATATATAGACAGCGACTAATCGTATATCATATTACTTCTAAAAAGTATTCTCAAAGGGCAGGCCAAGCACACCAAGTGTGATTCTGAGGGCTGTCGCCCAGGCTGGAGTGCAGTGTCCCGATCTCAGCTCATTGCAACCTCCGCCTCCCTGGTTCAAGCGATTCTCCTGTCTCAGCCTCCTGAGAAGCTGGGATTACAGGCACCCGCCACCATGCCCGGCTAATTTTTGTATTTTTAGTAGAGATGGGGTTTCACCATATTGGCCAGGCTGCTCTTGAACTCCTGACCTCAAGCGATCCTCCCAGCTTGGTCTCCCAAGGTGTTAGGATTACAGGCATGAGCCACAGCGCCTGGCCATCTTTTTTTTTTTAATTAAAAACTATGCAGCACGCAAAGTAGTACTCTTCATCTGAAAAATAGGTCAGTAACTAAACACCAACATACTAATAGAAAACTGTCTGCTTTTTCCCCTCAGAGAGAGTTGCCTGACAGGGCAGCCCAGTGAGACAGTGTTAATTGAGACCGATGTAACAGTGCCTGCCATCGTAGGCTCTGGGGCTGTGTCACCCCTCTTAGTCACTGAACTGTGGAACATTTAGATGCAAACTCTTTTCTTTCTGGTCAACCCTAAAGATTACCACATAAGAAATCAAAAAGGACCAAAACAAAAACCTTAACATAAGGAGGGTGGGAACACTTTCTCTAAAGACCCATCAGAGCCAAGAGAATCATATTAATACTAACAATGAAAACATGCAAAGGATGCTAATTAACTCTTAGAAGTTTTTTGCAGAAGGTAGGAAAGCACAGTCTGTATCCATGGGATGGAGTTCCTCCAAGCAGGACTAGGTATCTAGCTTTAAACTCAGAATGGATTTTTTAAAATGTGTTTGTAGGAAACACTACACACTTGGTCCAAAGATAATGTACCTGCAGACCTAAAACTGGAGTACCTGCTTCCCCCAGCCCGGGTCAAACAGCTTCCACTTTGGGGTAAATTTCTGGCCTCCTAACTACCTTTAGGCTTCCGCATCAGCTGCTCTTTTTTTATGGCATTCTATTATTCTATTTTCACACTTCCCTAGTCCCAATTCCACCTTTAGTAGCCATCACACTGTTCCTGATTCTATGACCAATGGCACAAACTAAGTTCCTTTAGGAATGCAATTTTTTAAATGCAAAATCTCCATTAAATTACCTGGTAACATGTTAGTTAACCAAAATGTTAGTAAACCAAAATGTTAGTAAAATGAATATAAAAAATATGGACTCTACCCCAAATAAAACTGGGCCTTTTAATTCTCAGCATACTCTCTCTCTTTCTCTCTTTCATGCAAACACACACACACACACACACACACACACACACACACCCCTAGCTCCAAAGACTTGGAAAACAATTTAGATATTGTTTTAATCTGTTAAGGCCACTTTTGAAGGAAGATAAAACACTTAGCATAGAAAAACATCCTCTGAGTTCTCTTCACCCTTTTATCAGCTTCCCCACCACCTTCTACCCCAGCTCAGGGCAGTTTTTCAAATACTCCCCCGCCACCCCCATGTCCCTCTCTCCTCAGAAAGCCCAGCCTTTGCTGGATGGCTTACTTGCTCTCTCCAAATACCCCCTCATCTCACCTCCTAGACTGTTCTGTTCTATATATTTTCTTATGTAGCACTATATACTCCCTTCTCCCTGACACTCAGCTGATAGCCTTAGCTAATCAGGAAGGGAAAAAATGGTGAATAGGTCAGAAGCACAAAGAACGAATATTCTTTACAAAGGAAGGACAAGCAATGTAACTACTTACACTTTGGTATTTTAGTTCCAATCTATTCCTGGCCCATAAATAAATCGAGAGAAAAAAATAATCGTGATGTTGGGGACACAAAATGATTAAAGTCTATAAAGCAAGGGAGGGATGGAAGGTAATAGTGTTAGTGCATTTTCCAAGATAGAGGATCAAAAGTCTGAATCTTAGTGTTTGTTTACCTGCCAGCAGGGTGAGCATTAGTATTTCATCCCACAAACATTAACTGTGGGCCTACTATGTGACAGGTATCTTGCTGGATGTTGTGGGGAATACAAACATGATTCAACTTGGTTTTGGTAACCAATGGGATGGCAATTTAGTGGTAGGGAAGCAGAATCCCCGAAAGGTAAGACAAACCCAATGTCAAAGGCATGTTTTTATTCTCCTGAGGATAATTACTCTGTCTCATTTCACACTCTGTAGAAACACTCTCCCACTGGGCATATACTCATCACCACGGTACTTGGTCCCAGAGCATGGGCCTCCAAGGATAGAACTCTTAGGGTTGGAAAACGTGGCGGGTGGAGGAGGCAGTTCCCTGAAATCATTCAATCCCTTGTCACTCATTCAGAACCTCTAACTACTCCCACTAAATTTCATCCAGGTCAGCATGACCCAAATATTTGTACCAAGACTTAATCTCCTTGTTCAACAGGCCCCCAGTACAACTTCCCTTCCTTGGTTTCCTCATAACCGTAATGACAGTATAACCTCAAGGTGTGGCTTCATAATTAAAGTAAATGGGGGTTTTCACATTTGCATACAAGATAGTCACTATTCACCCTTCAGCATGGAGTGCCATGCCTCTTTCCATTTTTGTTGTGATGAAATAAGAAATGATCCTTTCATTCCAAGACTATAGGAAGAAAAAGAAAAGGGATACCAGGCTGTTTCTTTGCTTCACATCATTTTTTAGCAGCTGGATATGACTGCACTTTTGAGAAGAAAGTGAAAACAAAGTAGTTTGAGACTATCAGTCAACCAAAAACATTTTTGATTAGGGCCAATAGATTTGTGAGGGTAAAGGAAACACCGTGAAGATTTTAGTGACACTGTGGGTTACATCTATCAATGAGTCACATTCTCTGCCCTGTATTATTTCAAATGATTCATATTTACTTTTCAGTCATGAAGTTTGTTTTTTCTAACTTAATATAGGATGTGTCCAGTGACCTACAAGAGCATCCAAATTTAGTAATCTGTAGTTTGCCTAAAATGTGCATATCATTGATACATAAATTCCTAGGCAGTGGCTGCCTCTTAAGCTAGAAATGTTCTGCTTATTCATGATGAGAGGGTTTGTTAAATTCAGGAAATTGAGGAGGAAGTTCCATGAGAACATTATCATAGTTTACCAGTCTAGTGGTTTCCTTAAAGAGGTGTCTCACTGCAATTGAGACATAGAGGAGAGGTACCCACCCGGTGACAATATTGGTGTCAATGTGCTACCTACTTCAGTATTTGTTTTTTTGTTCAACTATTCAAATATTTGCTACTGATGCTCAGTCTTTTGTATTTCTATTTCTTATGTCATGACATAACAGTGAGGTCTCAGACCGCTAAGGCAGACATACCTAGATCCTGTTGTTAGCAGTGGTGAGCCTGTATGTGTCTGCAGCAGCTCGGTTCTTGCCTCTTCAGAGGAAAGAATTCAACTGAGGGGCATAAAACAGATAGACCGAGGGAAGCTTTTGAGCAGGAGTTCATCAAGAAGTTTTGGGCCAAGTATGGTGGCTATCTCAGCACTTTGGGAGGCCGAGGTGGGCGGATCACCTGAGGTCAGGAGTTCGAGACCAGCCTGGCCAACATGGTGAAACCTCGTCTCTACTAAAAATACAAAAATTAGCCAGGCATGATGGGGCGTGCCTGTAATTCCAGCTACTCAGGAGGCTGAGACAGTAGAATCGCTTCAACCTGGGAGGCGGAGGTTGCAGTGAGCCGAGATTGCACCACTGCACTCCAGCCTGGGCAACAGAGTGAGACTCCGTCTCAAAAAAAAAAAAAAAGAAGTTTTAGAGTAGGAATAAAAGGAAGTAAAGAACAATCTGAAGAGGGCCATACAGGCAACTTGAGAGATCCAGGTGCCCGGTTTGACCTTTGACTTGAGCTTTTACATGTTGATATGGTTCTGGGCTTTTGCATCTCCCCTCTCTTGATTTTTCCCTGAGGCAGGCTGTCCGCGTGCACAGTGGCCTGCCAGCACTTGGGAGGTGAGCGTGCTCAGTGTGTTTACTGAAGTTGTGCACAGGCTCATCTGAGATGTTTTTCCCTTACCATTCAGTGTTCCTAAAGGAACGTCATATACCATAGACCACTTAAACACTGCTATTTTGCCTCTTAGTGTGCATGTTTGAGCCCACTCAACCAACTCCTGAGATCTTACTGGGAAGCTGCTGATCACCATCTTCAGGTGTTTTCTATCTGTTGGGACATGGCCTTTCCTTAGCACTAGCTGCAATCAATTATTATTTTAGCGAGACAGTTTAACAATTTGCCTGCCCATTACCTGACATTCCTGGAAGGAAGGTTGGGTCGGGGGGACCTCTCCCGCTCTGCTCATGTCTGCCTACTGCCTCCTCTAACATTTCGCTAGCTAAGTAGAGTCAGACAAGTCACTTCACACTTTTCATTTCCTCGTGTGTAAAATGAGCATACAAATACCTAAGTAAAGTGTTGTAAGATTACATAGCAAACTTTAGTTCCTAGCTCAAAATTGTCACATGTATTAAGTGATAACTAATAAAATCATTCTCTTTAACGTCTATAACCATTCTCTAGGTGACTTAAGATATTAAGATGACTTAAATATTATCTAAACATTGATGACTCCCAAATTTGTATGTTTACTTCAAACTTCTTCCCTGAACTCCAGATTTTATTTGTGTATGCTTTTCATTTATATAAGAAGCTTATATCCAAAAGCCATGTAAAATTTAATGTCCAAACTAAATTCTTCACTTCCAACTTCAATCTATACCTTACACCTCCCAAAATCTTCCTATGTCTGTTAATGGTGATTCTACCCTCTCAGATGTTCAGGCTCACATCAGTAACCTCTGATCACCTGCTCTCCTCACCTCTCACCCCTGGCCATCACACACATACCTCTATTTTAAGTCCATTGGCAAATCCTGTTAGCTCTATCCTTACAATATTTTCAGAATTCAACAAGTTCTCACAGTCTCCACCCTCATACTTTGGTTCAGGCCAGAATCATTTTTCATATGGGTGATTGCAGTATATGTTAAACAAACCCCCTTTCACCTAGTCAAGTTTTTGTTGTTGTTGTTTTTTAAATTTGAGACAGGGTCTCACTCTAGAGTGCAGTGGTGTGATTATATCTCATTGCAACTTTGAACACCTGGGTTTAAGCAATCCTCCTGCCTCAGTCTCCTGAGTAGCTGGGACTACAGACATGCACCACCACAGCTAATTTTTATATTTTCTCTAGAGATGAGGTCTCTCTATGTTGTGCAAGCTCATGGCCTCAAGTCTCCCAAAGGGCTGAGATTACAGGCCTGAGCCACCATCCCTAGAACCATGTCATCTACTCTAAAGAGAGTGCTGAAGTTAAAATATGTCATGTCAGTTCTGTACTCAGCATCCTTATCTCCCTCTAAGTAAAAGTCAAAGTTCTTTACAATGGCCTATAAAGGTGCTATAGGATCCAGTCCCCACTCTCTACTCTGTCCTTACCTACTCTCCCTCTCCCCTTGCCCATCCCAACATAGCCACACTTGCTTTCTTGCTGTTCCTTGATGATATCAAGCAGCCTCGGGGCTTTGCATTTGTTATTGCCTCTGTGTAAACCAGTAGTAAGCAAACCTTTTCTTTAATGAGCTAGATAGTAAATATTTTCAGTTTTGGGGGCCACATACAGCCCAAGTTGCAACCACATTGCAACAGTGCCAGTGTTGCACAAACTGTGCAAATACAGCCGTAGATAATATGTAAACAACTGTGCTTGGCTGTGTTCCAGTGAAACTTTATTTACAAAAACAGGTAGTGGGCTGGATAATCCCTGGCCTATACTTCTCTTCCCCTAGATATTTGCAGGATCCATTTCCACATTTTCTTCTCGTCCTTGACCATTTGTGACAAATTGGTGATGTGAGAAACTGACATTGATGTCACCTCATCAATATAGCACTCCTTGACTTTTTCTCATAAACTAGGAGTAATTTCTGATATGGTTTGGCTGTGCCCCCACCCAAATCTCACTTTGAATTGTAATAATCCCCACGTGTCAAGGGTGGAGCCAGGTGGAGATAATTAAATCATGGGGGTGGGTTTTCTCCATACTGTTCTTGTTGTAGTGAATAAATCCCACGAGATCTGATGGTTTTATAAATGGGAGTTACCCTACACAAGCTCGCTTGCCTTCCACCATAAAAGACGTGGCTTTGCTTCTCCTTTGCCTTCTGCCATAATTGTGAGGCCTCCCCAGCCATGTGGAATGGTGAGTCCATTAAACCTCTTTTCTTTATAAATTACCCTGTCTTGGGTTTGTCTTTATTAGCAGCATAAGAACAGACTAATACAATTTCCCTTCCCCCAACACACACACATAGGCACTTCCCATGTTCACCCCAGTCCCCCTGCCTGTACTTATTTTTCCCCTTAGCTCTAACCACTACCTAAGGCACCATACGTTTATGTGTAAAGGACTTGGTTTTCTTCTCTGTGGCATCCCTGAGGCAGAGGACAGTTGATCGAGGAAAAATGAATCAGTAGACTCTGGACCAGAAGGCAGGAGTTCCTTTTAGCTCCAGTGTAGCCAACATAGCACCTACCACGTAATTTAACCCCTCCATTTACACATATCTCTTTGTAAAATGGAGGAAAGTAAGACATGCTGTAGAAATCAAACAGTAAATGCCAAAAAAGTCCTATTGAAAAGTAATCAAAATGTAAACTTTGTTAGTTGTTATACCCTAATTAGGAAAACTATAAATACCCTTCAAATCAAAGAGCTTTGAATAAATGTTTGATTTGAAGAACTGACTTATTTAAAGTTCTAAATAACTAGAGTAATTTTCTCTTTATGGTAATGTTCTCTACTTCAAACTTTATATAGAGAGAAAAATTGTAAATCTTCAGGAGTAATTTGAAGATCCAATGTAATTGTTTTCTCATTTTCCCAAACATCCTTTAATAATCTAAGCATCCACTGCACAGGTCAGGCACAGGTGATCATCTGGACCTCCATTTTATAATTTCATAACTAAAGGTTATTTAATTTTAATTAAACCTAAAGTCTTATCGTTGAGCCACCTGTTTCACTAATTTGACTTGCAAGCTATGATTTATATTATCTCTAAAGTGGAAATATATGCCAGAATATTATTGTCTAATGTTTATGACTTCTAGTTTCTTGTGAATTGATTATCATATTAACTCTATTCTAAAGTGAACAAGTTTCAGAAAAATACAAAAGCTCTGTCCAACTGCAAACCCTCATCTTCCACAGAAGGCCTTGGCATCTCCAGATATAGTGCAATGAGCATTCCCTATGTCTGGGTGGAGAATCGGGATGCTATTGGCCAGGAAGATACTTCAGGGGTCAGAGAACTGGGAGTGTGACTAACCCAAAAATGCAAGCCAAAACAATTCTGGCAGAGTGAAGCCCATTTTACTGGTTGCCCCTGAGCATGAATTGCTACGTCCAATTAGCAAACACAGGATCTGAGATTTTCTTGGCTGCCGCACAACTCAGATCGCTGCTTCAGTGGCAGCCAAATGATTATCCAGGAGCAAATGAGGGAGAAGGACAGAGATCCCCCATACAGCCTGTTTGAAACATTATTATAGCAGCAGGCACAAAGCTCGCAGCATGCAGGTGAAACTTCTTTCACTTTCAAATGCTAACATTAATTTCTAACTTGAAGCCTACTCATTTTTTTTAACTTGATGTAGAAAATTAGTCTCATCATATCAGGTAAGCTAAGGGATTTTTTAGCCATTCCCAGTTTTAAACTCAGTCATTTCAAGATGTTCGCTTCTTGCCTTTCTCACAATGCTGCCATGGTGGTGAATGGAAATGTGTTGACTTCTTAGCCTTGGTTCATCCTGCCAGGTTCTCAGCACAGGTTATGAACCTCCACCTTTCAAGGGCAGGGATGGTCTTGGGAAGCTTACTCAACTCTGCAGCTGAGATTTGGCTGAGATGAAGCCACGGATTCAGATTTCCAGTGGGGAACGCCCGTCACATAGCCATCTAATACGATACTTTATCTAATTGTAAGACCCACACTAGGGCCAAGAAGCCTTTCTCCAATCCTCTCCTCCCTACTGTAGTGCTATGTTCTGACTTTATTGGCCATGCCAACTGAGTGGGGTGGGTGATTTCTCTGGGAAGCTGGTAACATCCTAGAACAGAAGACACAGGTTACTCTTAGATCACCAAAATGAAAGGGGGCAAAGAGAAAGAAGATACTTGAAGAGATAGATATTGTTATGGACTGAATGTTTATGTTCATAAATTCATATGTTGAAATCCTAACCCCTAATGTGATGGTGGAAGCTTGGAAGGAAATGAGGTCCTGAGGGTGAAGCTCTCATGAATAGGATTAGTGTCCTTATAAAAAGGACCCCAGAGATGTCTGTCTCTTTCTACCAGTCTGCAGTCTGGAAGAGGGCCTTTGCCAGAACTCGACCATGCTGGCATCCTGATCTTGACTTCCAGCTTCCAGAACTGTGAGGAATAAATGTCTGTTGTCTATAAGCTACTCTGTCTATGGTACTTTGTTATAGTAGCCAGAGCTAAGACAGATATGTTTGTGAGGTGCCCTTCCTCAACTCTCCATCCACCTGTGGAAGGAGGCTTGAGGTATAGAGCTCCCCACACTTGCACCTAACATTTCAACTTTTCTCTTCCTTTCTTCCTTGCTCATATTTGCCTAGAGAAGGCAGAAAGAACAGACAATTTTTTTCCCCTCAGTCACATTTGTCTGCTTCGTAACTCTTTCCATTTTAAATTAAGGATTGAAAATTAAGACGTTGCCCCTTTTGTTTGCCAGCAAAGTTTTCGTGATCTCCAAGTGGGCCAAAAAGGGACCTACTTCTCTGAGCCCGAAAGCAAGTAGGGTCGTTGGAGGGATGGACAATGAGTGAGAGAAAAATCATGCTCCTTACTACCTATTTCCTTATCCTACCATAATTACATTATATTCAACATTCTTGTAACATTCTCATTCTTATTTTACTGTGACATAAATTTATAAAACTCTTAAAAAGGAGGAACTCATTGATTTTAGATTAAAATATTATAAAGATCCTAAGAGTTAGTTATCCACATTCAGCTTGGGTTTTTCCTTCATACTTCTAAAAGTACCACACTTTTTCTCTTTTTAAAGGGGAAAAACATGTCGTGCAGGTAGTCTGAAGTCATGAATTCACATAAGGCAAGCGATGCTGTCAGCAGCGTAACATCTCACTTTTTCTTTTGAGACGGAGTCTTGCTCTGTTTCCCAGCTTGGAGTATAGTGGCACAATCTCGGCTCACCACAACCTCTGCCCTCCCAGGATCAAATGAGTCTCCTGCCTCAGCCTCCCGAGTAGCTGAGACTACAGGTGCCCATCACCACGCCCGGCTAATTTTTGTAGTTTTAGTAGAGACTGGGTTTCACTATGTTGGTCAGGCTGGTCTTGAACTCCTGACCTCAGGTGATCTGCCCGTCTTGGCCTCCCAAAGTGCTGGGATTACAGGCATGAGCCACCGCGCCCAGCCTAACATCTCACTTCTTAACATTATCAGACCGAGCCCCTCTGACATAAATGACCAAACACATACCCCTTGAATTGACAGTGCAGTCATTTTTGTATGAGCACCCAGCTCCTCCACACAGCAATGACCTTCCAAAGAACTGAAGTCACTCACCTCTCCAGGGCCTTATTATTCCCCTCTCATTTTGCCTAGGAAAAGGGGTAAGTAGGGATAAATCTCAGAATTTATGGCAGGTAAGCATTATTTATTTTTCTCCACATTTCAATTTCAATCTTCCATTCCATTTTTTAAAAATTATTTAAAATATTGTTCTAAAGCATTTTGTAAAATTTTTGTTAGTTTGTAGCTTTGTGGAAATGGTTAGAATTTAGGGATATACCTTATTAATGAAAATTTCAAGATTCTGAATCAAGGTTATAAATAGCATCAATAGCAAATATTCTATTAATTCAGTTTGACTTTGTCTTTCCTCCTAGGTTTAATTAAGCACTCAGCAGAGATTTGTTTTATTCCCTTCCAGTTTTCATTGTATTTCATTTTATTTCACTTGTCCAAGATTTTAGTTGATTTTCTACCCAAGTACTGGAATAAATATAATTCCTCCTAACATTATCTCTATCTTTGTGATTTTTTTTTTTTTTTTTTGGTGTTAGCACTGAATTTTCGCCTGCTTTTTGATCAGTGACTTTTCTAAATCAATAACTTTGAAAATGTTATATAGATTCCCACTGCTTATAATCCAGACAGTCAGAAAACTTAACTGACTCTAACAATCCTAAGACTCAGCATCATCTGGTAATAGTAATGTTGCTGTCACAGTGGCTGAGGCTGACATCCCCAAAGAACCCTCTTAATAAATCTACGCTGAGCGCCAGCACAGCAAACCAAAACTTTACATTAGGCTGATATCCTACCAGCTGTCAGACCCTAACCTCATTGGCTCTGTTCTTTTGTCCTGTTTCACTCCATTTTGTGAAACCTGTTCTACCCCTATAATTACTAGTGGTGAAAGTTGTCTGGTTGCAGTTACAAACATGCTCATTGTACTAACATTTTGTAGCAGAAATATTGTAATGAAGGAAATGAATGTAATTTCCTTCTTCAGGAGTTCATCATGCAGCTTATTTCTCACCTGAAATAGAAATGTATTATTTCATAAAATAGGCAAGCTTAAGTACGTTGTCATTATTCTTGAAAATTGGAAACTTACAATAGAAGTCACAACACTACAATGAAGCCTGAGGAGATTGCATAATAAAACTCATGTAATTCAAAATTTACTTCTGTTTAACAAGGCATAATATGGGGTGGTTTCACATGTGCTCCTAACTTACATATTTGGATTGCAATTTCTAATATTGAGCGCAGACAATAGATCTGTAGTAGCTGTTATCAAAATGCCTTCCTATTGAGAGTTGCAACTATGATCCCCATTCTCTACCTCGAAGATGTAACATGTTCCCTCTCCCTAAGCAAATTAACACAATTCCCCTTTTATCAGGTTATCTTATACCTTCTTACAAGCCATTACCAGGCTACTTTTTTTATTGTGGAAAGTTCTATTCCCAGAAACCCAGGCTCATCATTCTACAAATAGCAAAAGTATTGTCTTCAATGATACTTTTCTTAATAGCTTGATAGGGAAATGACTATTTCTTCATGTATATGTATTTGTTTGCCTCCATGTTTTACTCTGAGCTGGCCATTTCTCACACTACATACTTTGATATTTGTGTTTGTCATGTTCAATCACTTTAGCCTGAGGGTGGTTGTTCATGTTGGCTTATTTTACAGTTGAAGTACTGTTCTCTAAATTCTGATGGATGATGGATAGAGTTTAATGATTTTTATGGAATGACCACCAGGGAGTTTCATCTAAATATATTCTTAATAAATGTGCTTTTGATACTGGTATAGGAAGGTAGGTGGTACTTATTTCTTTTTCCTAATTAGATGTTTTCAAATGCTAACTGTAAACCTACCTGGCTTCATCCATATTCTTTGCAAATATGAGGACACAAGCTAAACATCCTCCTGATCAGAAGATACATGCTCTATCCTGCCAGCATTTTCCAGAAAATCAGCCTGACAGCAAAGGATGGATGCCTTAGAAGAGAGTAAGTAAGCTCAGTGCTCACCTTGGTCAGGGCTAGCGTCAGTCTTCCCTGCTCCCTTGGTGAAAGTTGGCCCTGAACTGCCAGGCCACTTCCCTCTGCAAGTTGCATGGTTCCCTGACATGTGTCACATACAAATATAGGGGGGCTATATAGATCCTGAAGTCACCAGTTCTTCAGTGTCAGTGAAAGGGAAGTGAGATTTAAATAGCCCATTGTCATGTGGACATTTTCACATGAATGCCATCTAGGCACTAAGTCAACATGTCTAAAACTAGGCTGCTCATCTCTTCCCTTGAACATGTTCCTTATGTTCTCTCCTTCGGAGAAGACTACCACTATTTGTCTCTCACCATCACATTCGTTAGTCACTAAGCCCCAGGACTCTTACTCCTCAACAGCTCAGGGCCTGTTTCCTCCTCTTCTCCCCACTGCACCACTTGTCCTAGTTTGAGCCTTCATTATTTTCACTTAGATTACTGCAATATTGACTTCCTTATCTTCCTGTCTCTAGTATGGAATCTCTCCTTGCTACCCAAGGATTATTTATCCAATGTAAAAATCTAATCAGGGCTGGGCGCGGTGGCTCATGCCTGTAATCCCAGGACTTTGGGAGGCCGAGTCAGGCAGATCACCTGAGGTCAGAAGTTCAAGACCAGCCTGGCCAATATAGGGAAACACCATCTCTACTAAAACTACATAAATTATCAAGGCATGGTGGTGGGTACCTGTAATCCCAGCTATTCAGGAGGCTGAGGCAGCAGAATAGCTTAAACCCAGGAGGCAGAGCTTGCAGTGAGCCAAGATGGCACCACTGCACTCCAGCCTGGGCAACAGAGAAAGACTGTCTCCACAAAAAAAAAAAAAAAAAAAAAAAAAAAATCTAATCAGGTCATGTCTTTATTCAAAACTCTTCACATCTCTTCACTCCCTCTGGGATACAACTTTTACTCTCTATATTCTCACCACCTGGTCCCTGCATGCTCCTCTAGTTTATCTCGGGTTACTACTCACCTTGCATATTACTTTCTAGAAATATGGAAATCTGTCTTTTCCCCAGCCCTGATTTTGCTGGTGCTGGAACATGACTTCTTTCTTAACATTCTATTAATCTCAAGTCCTGTGTCATCTGATACGTGATGCCTCTGTCATTTCCTTAAAGACTGGGTGCCTACTCATCAATGTCCCCACAGCCCACTCTTCTTTTTGTTTTGTAACTTCTTATAGGACTTCTGAGCAACTCCAAGTAATAGCATTCATTCCCTAATCTACAAAGTAGATGCCTTGCCTTCCCACCCCCGACCCCCAGAGTTAATACAGCACACAGCATCTATGTGAGTAGAGGGTACTCCTGACTGTTTGCATGCCTGTGTCTCTGATAGGCTGCAATCTCTTAAAGTACAATAATTTACCTTTAGTTGTTTTTATCGTTAGTAGCTAGCACCAGTGTCCGACCAGGTGTTCTGTTAAATGCATAGTGAATATATATATGTGTGTGTGTGTGTGTATATATATATATATATACATATATATACACACACACACACACGTATCTATGTATCTTGTATCCATCTGTCAATCATCTATCCATGCATATGCACATGCACACAAACATTCCCTAAAAATAATTTTCCCTCCTCCTAAGGAATGTAAGCATACAATATAGAGGCATATATTAAAATTCTAATTCACTTCAATCCAATTGCATCAAATCTAATCCAAATTAAGTTAATCCAATTAAATCTCTTCAATGATTTCATAGCTTAAATTTCAAATGATTAGAGAATTGTGTTAGAGTTTACAGGAAAATTCCATTTTCACTTTTTAAAAAATGTTTTAAATTAATGAACTATATTTTTGAGAATTTTAGGTTCACAGAAAAATTGAGCAGAAAGTACAGAGCTCTGATATATCCTCTTCTCCCCACCACCATGCAAAGACCTTCCCTGCTATCAGCGTCTGGCACTAGAGTGGTCCATTTGTTACCATCACTGAGACTACATTGACACATTATTATCCCCTAGAGTCCATGGTTTACATGAGGGTTCACTCTTAATGTTTGGTTTATAGATTTTGACAAATGTATAATGACATGTATCTACCATTGTAGTATTATATTGAATCACTTCACTGCCCTGTTTTATTTATTTTAAATTTCTGCATTCAAGTACATTACTTTTGATTTTCTTTTTCCTGGATCTTTTTATAAATGGTGGATATATTCTACTTTCCCTAAAGTGGTTTTTTTTTTTCTATTTCTTAGAAGATGGCACCAGTGGTGTCCTTGAAAACCTGTGTGAATGTAGCTGTGAAATGAACAATTTCCCAAACCCGCAAATCCCTTTTTTATAGAACCCACAAAGTGGAAACTTTCTTGTAGAGAGAGAGTGGAACTCTCTCCACTGCCTGCCTTATTTGGTGACTGCAGGCAACGAGACACTAGTCTCCCAAGTACCTTTCTTATGTTGGCTTATCTATTTTTCTTCTTACCTTTTCAAAAGCTACATGTAATTTTCTTTTTAATGGTTTTTATTGGCTTTTTAAAAATCACAAAAGTAACTGCAACTAACATGGGAAAGTTTGGAAAATAAAGACAAGATAGACAAATGTAGGCCCAACAATAAACATATTTAACATTTTGATTCATTTCCTTCTATTTTTCCTATATATACTTGCACAGATGTACATGTCTGTAGATATGTATATTTGAGTCATGCTATCTAACCTTGCATTCTCCTGTTTTTAACTCAACATTGTATAATAAGCATTTTCTTATCAAAATTATCTGAAAATATTCTATTGTATGCACCATGGTTTATTCAATCTCTATTATTTGATATTTAGGTTCTTTGAAGTATATTTTTGCCAATATGAATAACATTTTTGTGTATAAACTTTGATATGCAATGATAACTATTTCTTAGGAATAGATTTCTAGAAGAGCACTCTTGGGTAAGAGGCTAGCCACATTAACTAGTATTACCTCTACTCTTTTATGGAGTGTTTGCAGTCTTGAAGGTCTTTGTCATTCACATGTAAGTAGGAAGGACAAAGACAAGTAGGCACTATTTTTGTGAACAGGAGCCACTGGGTTCAAGTCCCAGTTCAAATCCTTACAGGGTGTGTGGACAAGTTATTCAATATCTTTCTGCTTCAGTTTCCTTATATGTAAAACTGGGGTAAAAATCATTTCTTTGTAGAGTTCTTGCTAGGAATATAAATATACTAAATATATGTGATATGTTTTAAAATTCATTTAGTACATACACATGTATGTTTATTGCGGCGTTATTCACAATAGCAAAGACTTGGAACCAACCCAAATGTCCAACAATGATAGACTGGATTAAGAAAATGTGGCACATATACACCATGGAATACTATGCAGCCATAAAAAATGATGAGTTCATGTCCTTTGTAGGGACATGGATGAAATTGGAAATCATCATTCTCAGTAAACTATCGCAAGAACAAAAAACCAAACACCGCATATTCTCACTCATAGATGGGAATTGAACAATGAGAACACACGGACACAGGAAGGGGAACATCACACTCTGGGGACTGTTGTGGGGTGGGGGGAGGGGGGAGGTATAGCATTGGGAGATATACCTAATGCTAGATGACGAGTTAGTGGGTGCAGCACACCAGCATGGCACATGTATACATATGTAACTAACCTGCACTTTGTGCACATGTACCCTAAAACTTAAAGTATAATCATAATAAATAAATAAATAATTCATTTAGTGACTGGTGTAGTTGAATTATAACGCTAAGGCCAGAGTACTCCATTAAGAATTATTTTGCATTCCATGTTAGCTATGGCAGTTGTGTCCTGAGGATGAAACTGCCCCAAGATATTGTCATGCCTATAGCATATTTTTAGCTTATATGGGATCACATTTAATATCCTAAAACATAACTTTTAGATCTAGACTTCTACTTTTCTTTCTCTTTGAAATTCCATTATTGAAAGCTGACTACATAGGTGATTGCTAGATGATGGTCCGATCACCTTGGTTGGTATAAGTTAAAACATAAAAAATTATATCAAACAACAACCATGTTAAAGTAAACAAGAGTTGAAAATCTTTTCCGTTCTTTAAATTTGTACATAGCAGATGGAAGTTGCTAGATTAATGGATTATGGATTTATTATTTTTCATTGGAAGTATTTACCAGACTCGGGAAACAAGCTATTGCTAACTACTGGGGTCAGATTCAAAACTTTTTTAGTTTCTAATTTTAACATAATGTTTTACTTACAGAAAGGTTGCAAAAAATATTATAAAGACCTCTATATCCTCTTCCCAGACTCAGCAATTCTTAATATGTTGCCCCATTTAGCATTTGTTTCTTTCTCTTGGTGTCTTCTCTTTTGCACAAATACTTCTGTATGTATTTCCTAAATACTGTCTTACATAACCAAAGTACCTCCTTCGAAACCAGGACAGCTAGCAACAATATTGTTATGTGATTCATAGATTCATAGTTTTTTTGTTTGTTTGTTTGTTTTTTGTTTTTTTTTTTCCCTTGAGATGGAGTCTTGCTCTGTCACCAGGCTGGAGTGCAGTGGCACGATCTTGGCTCACTGCAACCTCTACCTCCCGAGTTCAATTCTCCTGCCTCAGCCTCCTGAGTAGCTGGGACTACAGGCATGCACCACCACACCCAGATAATTTTTGTATTTTTAGTAGAGATGGGGTTTCACCATGTTATCCAGAATGATCTCAATCTCTTGACCTTGTGATCCACCTGCCTCAGCCTCCCAAAGTGCTGGGATTACAGGCGTGAGCCACCGTGCCCAGCCATGATTCATAGTTTTTACCCAAATTTCACAAATTCTTATAATATCCTTTTTTTGATTCTGGATACAATTAGAATAACAGACTGTGTTAGTCGTCATGTCTTTTTAGTTTCCTTGAACTTGAAACAGTTCCTCAGCCTTTCTTTTTCTTTCATGATTGTGCTTTTGAAGAGTAAAGCCAGTAACTTTGTAGGATGTCCTTCAGTTTGGATTTTTGTTTCCTTGCAATTATCTTCAGGTTTGTATTGGTTGACTAAGGAAAAACAACGAGCTTTTAAAGAATTAAAGTTAGTTTCATTCAAATATCTTACCGATGCCTATACCTTGGGAACAGCATTTTAGAGAGGTTTTATCAGACTTCTCCAGCACAGGGTTTCAGCCCGCTACTTAGACACAGGTGCTGGGGTCTCAGTACATGCAAAATCACATCAAACTTGCTCAGAAGTTACATTAATGCAGAATCACATGAAGGTCTGGGTATAAAGGTTATAGAATACAGAGGTACAATCACTAACCCTATCAGACATTATCTCGTGTAGGAAGAGGCAAGGAATAGCGTCATTTATCTTTTAAAGAATACAGTGATTCAGGCAAGAGACATGGGGGGGTCTTGTGATCTATCCTTTTTTGTCTTCAAAGCGTCTTTTCAGAGATCTGCACGTCCCAGAGTCAGCGGCTTTGTGAAATTATCTTGGCAAGCAAAAATGAACAAACGTGACTTTTTACATTTGCTACTTTGTCTCATGTGTTTTTCTTTTTTTATTTTTTTTAGACAGTCTTGCTCTGTCGCCCAGGCTGGAGTTAGTAGTGTGTTGCAACCTGCACCTCCCAGGTTCAAGCGATTCTGCTGCCTCAGCCTCCCGAGTAGCTGGGACTACAGGCATGCACCACCACGCCCAGCTAATTTTTGTATTTTTAGTAGAGACAGGGTTTCACCATGTTGGCCAGGATGGTCTTGATATCTTGAGCTCGTGATCTTCCCTCCTCGGCCTCCCAAAGTGCTGGGATTACAGGCATGAGCCACCGTGCTTGGCCTAAAATGTCAATTTGTTTCATTATTAGCGACATTAACTTTGATTACTTAAATAAATTTGGTTGCTAAATCTACTGTAAAGTTACTATTTTTCTCTTTGTAATTAATAATTTATAAGAGATTACTCTGAAACTATGTAAATATCTCCTAAATATCTCCTTGCTCATCAAACATGATTTCATCCACCAGTTTTAATATCCATTAAACTGGATTCTGTATATATTTTTTAACGTGTCCCCATTATTGTTTTAATACTTTCTGTACAATAAAATGTTCCAGGCTCTTTTTACAGTTTCCAAGCCCCAGCCCTAAATGTGGCCACTTCTTTATGGATCCCTGATCCCGTCTAGTGAAAAATGATATTTAGAAATAGATCTGAGTGTTTGATGTGCTCATTGCTATTGTGTTGTTTTTGCTAAGAAATGTACACACACACACGTTTATAACTCTATCAAATACATATTTGTAGTATGTAATATGTAATTATACATAATGAATTCATACTGATGCCTCAAATTCCAGTTCAATACCATAAGGATCACAACATTTTAAAAAGTTAGAATAAATGGGACTTGACATTAATTGGATGTGGTGGGAAGGGGGAAGAAGTCAAATGTGATTGTAAGTTGTAAATATGAGAATGGCATGCCTAAGAGCTGAGTATACAATGTTTTGTGTACCATTGTTTTTTGTGGTATGTGCTAACAAACTAATAAAGCCTAAGACTGCTTTACTTTCTTAGCAATTATATCATAGTGTTCTGGAATATTGATCTTGTGGTTAAATAAAACTCAAGGTCTTTTCGTATTAACTGTTGAGCAAGATCTTCTACCTCTTACGAATTCAGATTTTTAAAACTATACAGCACGTATGCCTAGGAAATTTTATCTTGTTAATATTAAACCATCATTCTTTTCAGACCCCTATAATCCTGGTTTAGCCAATCTACTAGTTGTCTCTACAAATCATCTGTTATGCAAATGTTTTATAATATGCTTTCTATGTGCTTCAGCTGATCTCCTCAGCAGATAAAGCAGAAGGTCAGGAAGGCAAAGCTGCAGCATGCTGTTAGTGGTGGGGGTGACAATTCTGGAAATATAACTGGAATTGGGGTCATTTCTTACCACAGTGTTATATATTATGAAATAGACAATTGGGAGTCACGTCACCAAAAGCTCAAGAAAAAAGCAAGGTAAGAAATATGTCTCCTGATGTTTTAAAGAGATGAGGGAATCTGGAATCCAACTGATGTCTCTCATGCAGCCTGAAAAGGACTAATAAGATACATGAGTTCTGTCCTTGTCCTTTTCTTCTCAGTTTACTCATTCTTCCTAGGTTATCTAATCCACACTTCACTGGCTTTAACCTCTCCAGCTACTGTTCTATAGCAAGGATTGCTAGAAATTCCTTTTTCCATAATAGAATTTTAGCTGATTTGTGTCAAGCAAGCTAGGGATTACATTTCTTGATCCCATTGCAGTAGACATAGACACCTGGTGGTTCTCACATATATGATATGATTAGGACTATGTGCAACTTGTCCCTCACTTAAGAGGAAACATTTGGCCTCAAACTTCTATGCTTTTCTCCAAGCAGAGACAGAAGAGAGTCATGGATAGGTATATTGAAATACCTGTAGTTTTTTCAAGATGCCAAACTGTGTCATACATCTTTATGCATGTTAATTCCTTTGTGTGAAACTCCTTGTTTCATTGTCTTTTCCTAACTTTTTATCCATCTTTCAAATCTCAGCTCCTATGTTACCTCCTTTAGAAACTTTATATGATGGTTTCTGTTGTGGTTTAAATGTATGTTCTGTATATTTCCAGAAAATCCTGTGTTTTTCTTTGTTGTGGTAACTAGGATAATGTTTGATAAATGTTAACAGTAGACATGTTTTTGGTGTTTGCCTGGCTCATATTCTTTTCTTTGGGTATTATCCTGACTTGATGGGCTTTAATGGCATTATTTATGTAAATCTTTCACCATGATTATCACATCTGATTAGAACATGCTCAAAGACTAGGCTGAGACTAGTTGGTATGTCTTGAAAATTTCAATGAAGAGACAAAATTATGGCTGGTAAATATGGGTGCTAGACTTGTAAAGCATGGAAATTTGGGTCCAGAGTCCATGCCTTAGGAAGGAAAAAAGACAAAAAAAAAAAGCTTACACATGCAAAATCAGACAGAATATAGAAAAAACAGGAACAATAAAAGTGAATCTTCAAAGAGAAGAATAGAACTGATGCTTGGAGAGAAATGGAACAAACCATTCAACCTAACTGAGCAAGAAGCAGCTGTCTCATGAATTTGAGCTTGGATTGATTCACTTCAGTAGAGAAGTCTTTGTAGATGTCAGAGAAAAGAAAGTTTACATCATACTTTAACTTTCTTTTTCACTATAATTTTTATAATAAATAACCCAATGATACTGATTAATAAAGTAACCATTGGAATTGTGGTGCTGGTCTTCTGTACATTTTTAACTTCAAAAATTAAAAATAACATTGATTTTCCTTTTTGACTCAGATGAAGACTTTCATATAATATACAGTCCAGAATACAGTGACTGATAACTAAGGATCATATGCAAATCAATTCTTTCTGCAGTCAGCATAGAATGGCAAAAATAAGCTGAAAAAGTGTTCTGTGTCTCAAATAATGTTATTGAATAAATTATTAAATCAAGGAACTAGGGGCCAGGCATGGTGGCTCATGCTTGTAATTTCAGCACTTTGGGAGGCTGAGGTGGGCGGGTCACCTGAGGTCAGAAGTTCAAGACTAGCCTGGCCAACATGGTGAAACACTGTCTTTCCTAAAAATACAAAAACCAGCCAGGCATAGTGGCATGCCTGTAATCCCAGCTACTTCAGATGCTGAGGCACAAGAATCGCTTGAGTCTGGGAGATGGAGGTTGCAGTGAGCTGAGATTACACCACTGCACTCCAGGCTGGGTGACAGAGCGAGACTCCATCTTAAAAAAAATAAAAATAAAAAATCAAGGAACTTAGCAACTAGCCTTCTGAAGGTCAGCCTTACAATTTTTTGAGGACTCAAGCGTAGTATTTCAGAAAATGTTTTCTTTTATGTTTACGATGTGGTTCAAAGCTCATATTTTTGCTTTGTTTCTCTACCTTTTCCTTTCAGCTCAGTTTTGTATTCCATATAGTTGTATATTTCTAGTCATCAGAAGGCCAAGGTTCTAGACTCAGTTCTGCTATTTAGTTACATAATCTTGTGTGAGTCAATTGACTGGCATTCTCCCTTCAGTTATCTCATTCCTAAAGTAAGGATCATAATCTCTTTCATGCTTATCTTGGAGTTGTAACAATCAAATGTACACTTTGAAAATGCTGAGGATTTATATTTAAGAAAACCTTATCAATATCTGACAGTAGAATTATTGGCAAGGGTTGACTGCAGTGAGTTGTCGTTCCAAAGATATTATACTGCTGGTGGTTGGTTTTGTCTATACAACAAAGGATGCTTCCAGTTATATGCCACAGTCCTTAAAAGCATAGGATCTTAGTTTTCTGAACTGTAAAATTGGATTTAATAATTATACAAGCAAATGGTACTGTAAAGAGCTTAGCACAACTCCTGGCACAAAATAAGGGCTCAAAGAAAATTAGATATAGAAGTAAATGTTAGCTCTGTTCTTTGACCCAGAATGGGCTTTGGAGAAGGGAACTGCTGGTAAGAAGTGTGAAGCTGACCAGGTGTAAAAATGTGGTCCCAGGTGTAGAGTTTCACAGCAAGTTATCTCTTTGCATAACGACCCAGGTATGAAAGAACCTGGTTCCTTGCATTTGTCTCCTGGGAGATTGATTGTTACTGGTCATTAATTCCTGCTAAATGTCAGTGAATCAGATAGCATTTTCCCAGCCTTCATTTCCCAACAAAATTTTAGATACAGGACTTTTTAACCAAAGGTTTGATGAAACCTGTGGAACAAATCAAGTACAGATTTAGGATACATTTAACCAGCCCTATCTAGTTTAAGTTCTTTCCACAAATATTTACAGAAAGCTATTATTGAAATACCACTTCTGTCCTAATATAATGGCAAACAAAATGTAAGATGACTTTAGATATAGATTTATTACATGACAGTGTACAAGAAATACTTGGGAAAGTGATAACATGTATGATGAACACTACAGATACACAGTATCTTAAATGGACTAGTGACATTAATTTAGAAGAATAAATTTAACTTCTTCTGCTATTTAGACTATTAAGTTAATTTTGGCTGTTCCAAATACATTCACAATTGCCTGTAAGACATCATGAGTATGGTAGAAGGCAGGGCATCTAGTTGACTAAAAGGCTGTCATTGAGAAAACAACTCCAATGTGGCAAAATTAAGAATCACGAACTATGAACTATGAATACTAGAAATATAATATGCAGAGATAGTACCCTATAGCAGTAATACAAGAACAATGTAATATGCATTTTCAGAAAACAAGAAATAGCACCCTTGTAATGAAACACTGGGCATGCATCCTTGAGAATTTACCAGTCATTGTTTTAAATTAAAACATACAGGGTTTTTTTTTTTTTTTTGTCTTAAAATCAAACCTCAAAAAAACCCCCAATTCACCTCTAGAGTGCATAGAGTACCAGGTTTGTACCAAAAGTCACTGATGGGAAATAGTGGCCCCAGGACAAAGAAGAGTACCAAACTTAAGCTAGAATTCTTGATTATCTGTGGACCTTCTATATTTGAAACACCATGTCCTGGTTCAATGCATTTTAGAAGCTGTCATGTTTCTAAATATTATATACAATTTAAACTCTAACCTATATTAGTGCTTAATTTTAATTATGGTTTTTCTTTTAGAGTAATAAAAATGGTGGGATACAAAAACATTACCTTTAGATGACAATTTCTGCTGTTCTTTTGGTTTGAAATGCTCTAGCATTTAAAGTCTCTTTTAAGAAACACTGCAAGATTAAATGCTTGCTGTACTTCTGTTTTCAGCACACTAAAAGACAACTCCTTACACCTAAAATAAGCTAAATGCTTTCATTAGTTTTGTTTCTTTTTTTTTTTTTTGTGAGACAGTCTCAAATAAAAAAAAAAATGCTCTTCGCCCACGCTGGAGTGCAATGGTACGATCTCAGTTCACTGCAACCTCTGCCTCCCGGGTTCAAGCAATTGTCCTGCCTCAGCCTCCCAAGTAGCTGGGATTACAGGCATCCGCCACCACCCCTGGCTAACTTTCATATTTTTAGTAGAGACGGGGTTTCCCCATGTTGGCCAGGCTGGTCTCAGACTCCTGACCTCAGGTGATCTGCCCGCCTCGGCCTCTCAAAGTGCTGGGATTACAGGTGTGAGCCACTAAGCCCGGCCACCTTCACTGGTTTCTAAGACTAATTATTGGGTAGTTCTCCAGGATTCAAAGCTACATGAGAAATCACTGAGGGCAAATATGTGAAAGTCCATTTGGAATGTACAGAGAAACCATTCTTTAAAGCAGCTTAAGAAGTCAGGTTTGAGATTTTTAAAGTATATCATTTTTGGGTATATTAAGTAGAAGTGTTTTTCCCTATTACAGTAATTCCACTTGTGTTAATGTACACAACAGATCCTGATCGTCAGTGGTTCTCAAACTTTAATATTTATAACCATTCCCTGAGTTCTGAATTAAAACAACATGTTCCCGAATTCTAAATCTCCTCTCCATCTTGCAGGGCTGGGCTCAGGGATCTCCAGTTTTAACAAGGCCCCGGGTGATTTTTCTGCAGGCGGTTTACCCATCATATTTGAGAAACTCTGAGAATTCTGAAATAGATATGAGAGGAAAACAGTTTATGTTCTAAGTTATCCAATTTTGATATATGCCTAGCAGCTCCTAAACACATAGTACTGGATAGAAAAATTGTTTTAATCAGTTAACATTAGGTTTGAGCCATTGTGCACCCAGTTACAGATTTTGTGTAGCATTTCTTTGACCTTTGATTCTGTTAAATGTGTGTGTGTGTGCATGCATGTGTGCAAGCATGCGTATAGATTGTTATTTTTAATGTGCCTTCCCATCTTGGGAGATTCTGTGCTTCTGCATGTCTGCTTTTCTTGGCTTCTGGGTTGGATTTTGCATGGGCATAAGACCACTTCCTAACAGCACTTTGTGAGAGCAGAATGGAAGTAAGTGTTCTTCTCAATCTTCATAAAATCAACCAGAATTATTTTTGAGAGCCTATGATGGTCTTCTGCTTTGGAAAGAGAGAATTTGGTAGAATGAAAGCGCAGGTCCTATAATTTTATGTATTTGTAGGAGTACAGGAAATGAAGTTACATAATCATTGAAGGGCAGAGCACATCTTGAGTTTCATCAGTGGGCAAAGATATTTATGCTACAAAAAATGAATTTTGTGTCGTTTACTATTTACAAACTTATATGATTAAGTAAAATAGATTTAGATGTGATATGACCTTCTGTTTTCTCCGTTTCTAGGCATTTAAAAAGGTTCTTGGTACCTTAAAAAAATTAAAACTGCCAGAATAACTTAATGTGAAAATGAACTTGGGGAAAACAGCATGGCAGCTTATATCTAGCGCTAGCATCTGTCAATAAGTTTCATGCTTCAGTAACCCATAAAAGAGGAAAATAAAAGTCCTTTGATTTTTCTGCCTTGCAACTCTGAAACAGAATGTCCCTGACTTTAAAATGGATGATCTCCAAAAAGAGAAAAGCAAAAAGATAACTTGACATGCTATTAACTCCTAGTATTTTTAGTATTTTAAAAATTCACTCTATATCTCTTCTCAGAGAAATATGCAATGATGACATTTCCAAGAAGTGATGGCATCTGGCGCTAAGGACAAAGAATGGGATTTTGCCACAGGGATCTTATTCTCCCACATGTTCTGTCTGAAGGAGAAAGTTATCTGAGGCCTTATATGGTGAGACATAAACATGTAAAATTTTGTTATTTTTCACCAACACTATGACTTGTGAATAATAGCAAATAATTAAATATTGCTAATTTAGATATTAAGTACTATAGATCCATGTGTGTATATATATTCATATAATTGCCATGATAACTGTCATTATCTTCATCTTACAGATGCAAAACTTTGGACTCAAAGAAATTAAATCACTTGCCCAAGGTTACATAGCTGGTAAGTAACAGAGCCTGGATTCAAACCCATGCAATGTGACTCCGTAGGCTATGTTCTTAACTAGTATATAACACTACCTTTCAATGTAAAATTAGTTGTCCTGATAAACGGACATCCGGGGAGGCTGTACAGTTAATCCATCTATGTTGGCATTACTGAGAACATTCTTAGATTTACTTTAATGTGATTTATTGCTGATACATTAGAAGCCAGTTCAAATACAGAGTGAAATGCCCCCCAGCAGCTGAATCTGGCACTATAAAAAGGAAGTGAGCTGTCGTAGAGACAGCCCACAGACAAGCCTGGTTTGGTCTTTAGTTTTGGCCTTTATAGTATCTTACATTTTAATTAGTTACCAAAATAAACACAATAAAATTTAAAAGCCTTATATACGAACCTGAATTTCTGTTCTCTCCGAAAATTAGAGCCTTTACATTGGGCTTGTGTCACCAGCTTCCCACAGTCCCCACCATCTGGTCTCCCAGAAATGGGTTGAGGGTCACTCCGATCCCATCTACATGGGTTCCACTTCATTTGTGTATTTTACCTGCCTGGTCACTTCAACATTTGATTTCGTGGTACTTGGACAAAAACATTGTTCAAGGAGTAAATGGAAACAAAGCAATTATTGCAACTTGTAAAAGAGAATTTCGGAAGGGGGGCTTTTAGATTAGAAAGGCATTTATTCCTGCTGCATATCCAAGAGGAATTAAGGGATGAATGCCAAGCATTATCATGAGCAAAAAAGAAATAAGAGACAGATTAAAACATAAAACGTAAAACATTAAGACTTTATGGGGAACATAAAAGTTAATTCTGGCCCTTTTCTAATTTTCTGTGTGCCCTCAAGCAAGTTTCTCAGCTTTCATGGAGAACAGTGTAATTTCTAAGTTCTGGGTTCTATTATTCACACTACACAATAATAAAAAGAAATATTTTCATCTGTGTACTGTTCCAGGGAAGATCAAAATGTTAGCAGAATGAAGAGAAAAAAGATTCTGTAGCAATATCACAAATCCCTCTTTCTCCCAAGGATGCAAAATTACTGATTCTCCAAAAAAAAAAAAAAAAATAGTATCCATCAGAGTAATCATGAGAATAGACACTAATTTCATAATGTCTGCCGAACAAGAAATGGACAAACTTGTTTCTCTAATGTGCTGCTGCTATTTTTACCATGATTAGAAATGTGCTCAGTGGCTGGGCACAGTGGCTCATGCTTGTCATCCCAGAACTTTGGGAGGCTAAGGTGGGTGGATTGCTTGAGCTCACAAGTTCAAGACAAGCCTGGCCAAAATGTGAAAACCCATCTCTACAAAAAAATGCAAAAATTAACTGGGTGTGGTGACGCTATCCTGTAGTCCCAGATACTTGGGAGGCCGAAGTGGGAGGATCACTTGAGCACCAGGAGGCTGACATTGCATTGAGCCAAGATAGTGCCAATGCACTCCAGCCTGGACAACAGATTGAGATCCTGTCTCAAAGCAGAAACTTGTTCAACAAGAGCTATCCCATACAGAATTCCATAACCAAATATGCTTTGGACTGTAACTTTAAAATGTTTACCTTTGTCCATGATATATACAAAGTACTTTATGCTTTTAAAACATTTGCACTGATAGGATCTGTGGAGTCATATACCCAAACCTCCGGGTATTTAGTCGTTGGTTCATTCATATATTCACTATCAAGGTATTTACCAGCGTGTACCACATGCCAGGTTCTCAGCTCATTATTGCAACTTATAACCTGACTGGGGATATGATTAAAGCAATGAAGGATTTTCAACGTTACTATGGAGAACCCTCTCTGTGCTCATTGTTATATTTAGAAGTTTGAATTGGGTTCTTGATATTAATGAAGAAATGTTTCCTCACATTTGAGTTCCAAAATGATTAGCAAAGTAGCAAGCATCCTAAATTTATGTTGCCTTCAATGTTGTTTGTGACCCATGCTAGGAAAGTGTCTCCATAGCAGTTTAGTATCAGTCTGCTGGCACCAAAGGGGAAGTGATGGCAAGATTTTAATGAAATGATTATCTTCATGAAAAATTGCCAATTTGCTTTTCCCCCTTCTATTATTCCTCAAAGTCTGTCTCAGACCCTTTGAAGCTCTGTTGCTGTTTGTCCAATTGGTGTGTGTCCCCTTGGCCTAGCGGCTTTCTCTTCCTTGCAACTTGACTTTTAGTATGTCAATTTAGAGAAGTGTTTTTAAGTCGAGTATACCAAAGCTTCCTTCACACAATATACAGATGATATCAGTGGTTAAGGTTTTATAATATCTTCAATTATTTCATCTAATACCAAAAAGGGAAATCTGTGATACTATTTGGATCTCTTAAATTTTCAGAATTACAATTGAGACAGAACCATTAAGCAATTATTTATAAGCCTGCTTCCTTTCCTTCCAAATGTTAAACCACAGTAAACAGCACCTTGGTCACTTGCACAGTGAATGGCTACAACCAGTTCCAATTGAGATTACCAGCCAGAAGTCCATTAACGGCCTAATGAGAACAAATTATTTGGTTTTTTTTCTTCTTTTTTTGGGGTGGGGGGACCGAATTTCACTCTTGTAGCCCAGGCTGGAGTGCAATCGCACAATCTCTGCTCACTGCAACCTCCGCCTCCCAGGTTCAAGTGGTTCTCCTGCCTCAGCCTTCCAAGTAGCTGGGATTACAGGTGCCTACCACGACGCCCAGCTAATGTTTGTATTTTTAGTAGAGACGGTGTTTTGCCATGTTGGCCAGGCTGGTCTGGAGCTCCTGACCTCTGCCCACCTCGGCCTCCCAAAGTGCTGGGATTACAGGTGTGAGCCATGGTGCCCGGCCTAATGAGAACAATTTGTATCAACTAAATAATACTGAAGACACAAGAGGGAAAAGGTTAACACTGCCATATTGGTGTCTTAGTGAGTTAAATGAAAACTACAGTTCACTCTTTCCTCTAGTGTCCTGGGTGAAAATTAGAAATATAAGCTATGTTGACTAGAAGTATTTTTGCATTTTTTCTTTTCACTTTATGGCTCAGCACATATTCATTTGAAAACTATTCTCTGCTTTTATTTCACAATCAAAAAGTTTCTTCTGTGATTCAAATGTACTTGGATGGAGTGAGTAAGATGCCCATGTATGCATGTGGGGGTTGGAGGAGGTGGGACTGGAATTCCAAAGAGAAGGAAATCAAAATAGCTCCAAATGTGTCTTTTTTCAGCCAGTTCAACCAGTGAAACACATGTTTTATTGCGTATTTAACAAACTCCCAGACTAGTATCTAATAGGTTCAGCCCTGTCAAAAATCTATATAGTTGGAATTCTTACAAGGTGGAAACATTTTTTGTAGGGATTTATTTTCTTTTCCCTGAGAAAGAAAAGTACAGGTAATTCACAACATACTATCATCATCTTCAACATTTGTGAGCATATTGGCATAAATATATTGTTCTAGGCCTTGGAGATACATGAATACATGACAGTGTAAGGCATCATTTGTTTATGTTTTGCTTTTCAGCCACCCAGGAGCTTACAATTTATGTGAGGAAACAGATTGTATACATATACAGATAATTAAAAATATATATGGTAAGTGCTGTAGACAATAACGATGTAGACCACGGTGAGATCAGAAACTGAAATGAAAAGTTCCATGGAGAATTATTAGCATTTGACATTTGCTGAGGTTTGATGCTCTAAGGCTTAATATCAACCATAAAAAATGACTATTCAAAAAGAATGAAAGAGAATCCAGTGGAAAGAAAACACATTTGATTTCTTTCCCTTCAATTTCTCTGCTAGGGATCTGACTCTTACCTTTGGCCAAACTACCTAGCCTAAAGCTGCTCACCTGTGACTCTTGACATTGTTTCCAACTAAGTGCTCTAGAATAAGGGTTGGTAAACTTCTGTAGAGAGCCAGATAGTAAATATTTTAGACTTTGCAAGATATGTGGCTTTCTTTTGTCATAGCTGCTCAATTACACAAGTGTAGCATAAAATCAGACGTAGACAATATGTAAAAACTAAAGAGGATCATACACCAGTGAAACTTTATGGACACTGAAATAAGGATTTTATATAATTTTAATGCATCATGAAATATTTATTTGATTTTTTTTCCAGTCACTTAAAAATATAAAAACCACTCTTAGCTCATGAGCTGTACAAAAATAGGTAGTAGATAGGATTTGGCTCACAGGCTATAGATTAATGACCCTGGCATTGAAAGACTTCAGCATTTACCAACCCTTACCGTCACTCTGGTCCTATTCAATTTCCTCATCTAACTGATAGAAACCAGTCTAGGTGCTGTATAAAATTTAGGTAACTTGGGATCGTCAAAGAATAAAGCCAAAATTAATGTCTTGGCTTATTTGATAGTATATGATTTATTATAACTTCAGATCAAAAGAAGTCTCCTGGATAGGTTAAGCATCAGGGACTGCTGTCCAGGGAGAAGTCAAGTAGCTAGAATGTATGTTGATAGAGGCAGAGTCTATATACCCAGTAGGATAGCTGAGTCTCCTTCCTCTTGGCAACTAGGCTTATGCCCTTCGATGGGAGACCAGATAATTCCTCTTTGCAGAAGAAATGGGCCAAAAGAAAAGACTTGATACAAGCACTTGTTGATTCTACAATGAAAATTCTTCAGTGCTCCATTTTATTTTGAAATGTGAAGGTAAATACTAAAACAGCTTTAAGTGTACACCGTGGATGCCTGAGGGAGGAAAGACTTGGGGATGGAAAGAGGTGAAACAGAGAAATACTGATTTTATTTTAAGGACAGCAATAGTATTTGAATTTTAAAATCATATGTATGTATTTTTTATAAACATAAAAATTTAATTAGAAATAAGAAAATGAAACCCTCTGGTGGCTCCCTTTGCCTACAGAATAAGTTCAAACAATTTGGCATGCCACACAAAACCGTCTGCAACAGAACACCTTCTTGGCTTCACTGCAGTCATTCCCCAGCACACAGGCAGGACCCTTCTGTCCAATCCTCTTTTTTTTTTTTAATCCCTGTGTTCTCATTCCTGTTAGTTTCTCTCTTGAGTGTTCTTTTCTCACTGTCTTTTTGGTGAACTACTTAGTTTTTAAAAAATATCAGCTCAAATATTGCCTCCACTTTGCTCCTTTCACAGACCCCATAGGAATCATTAATTGGTTCATTCTATGTGAACTCTCAGCATTTTTGACATGTGGGTACCACAGCACTTAGCATGGAGGATTATTTATGATATCTCATTTTGGTTAGACTGTGAGGATCTCAAAGCAGGGATCATGTCTGATTAATCTTTATATCACCATTTCCTAGCACACAGTAGGTGCTCAGGTAATGGTTTTCAACTTAAAGATGGATTTGACAACAGTCAGCCTCTTAATGAAGGGAGAATTTATGTGATTAGTGACTAATTGGATTTAAAACATGAAAGCCCAAGTCAAAGATTATTCATTTAAATTATTTTGAGTAGCTGATAACTAGGAGAGAGTGCCACTGATTGACAGGTAAGGGGAGGAGCCTTATCTGTGGCAAATATGAAAACTTTGGTTTTATTCTTCCTGAGCTATGGATTGATGGTGAGCTATCTAATATTTCTTATCAGAAGTTAGAGAAACCAATTGAATTTCAAAAAAGAAACCAAAGAAAAAATATTTTGCTTTCATTAGTATATCAGACTATCTGCAAATCCAAGATATTTTATGAGATTTCTGAGGTAGATCATTACATTAAATGGTAATTCTCAACTTCGGATATGCATAGAATCATCTGGAGTGCTTGTAAAAATAGCAGTTCCTTGAGCTCCACCCCCCGAGATTCTGATTCAGAAGGACTGAAATGGAGCCCATGACTGCATTTTCACAGGCACCTTTTGATGATTCTGATGTACACAGCCAAAATCAATTATTTGAGGAATATTGGCACAGTGGAAGTAGGAAGGGGTTGAAAAAATTTGCTTCGGAGAGATTTGGAAGGCTGGGAGAAGACGTGTACTTAAGGAGAGAGGGCTAGACTGCTGCAATTTGGAAATGGCTTTGCTATCTGCAGAAAATAGAAAACACTGGAATTAGCATTCAGCAGTTACTTTTTCTTCAGAATGACTTCTAATTCATGGCTTGAATTTTAAAATGTCCTCATGTCACAGAGATCATAAACAGCTCACCATAAGGACTGAGAGGATATCTGGGAACTCATGTCACTTTTCAATTTTGACTGTTAGAATCCCATGATTCTAAGTATCATGCTGTTTTCTTCCACTTACCAAATGCTTTTTCTGTAATAAATTATAATTTCAGATTTAATGCCCTTTTGTTAAGAAAATTATATAAAAAGCCTTTATGTATTTTTTTACTACATAAAAATCTCTTTGGTGATGACTCATCTTTATGTGCAAAACCAAAGAATCTAAAATTGCATGAATTACTATTGAAAAGTTTGCTTTCATTGCTAACTCTGGAAATGAATGAAGCCTTGTGAATATTTTCCTTTAGCAGTCTAAATTCCATTTTTACTCTAGTCATAGCGAGTTCTATAAAGGAAACAAGTCCAACTGAAATTTGTATGATAAAATGATAAATATTAATTTATTTCAGTGAATTATAAATACATATATATTAACCAAACATATGTTACTGTTAAATTTGCCAACTGCTTCATTGCAGTAAATGATATTAAGCATGAAAACTATCATTGCCTGCTTACTACATGTGGAAATAAATGAAGTCCAACCAAATGAGAATAAGCAGGGACTATTTATTCAGGGCTTGTTATAGCAAAAAAATCAGCAACCATCACTTGTGTTTTGGCAGAGACTCAAAGGGAGGCAGAGGAGTGAGAAAGCATTGTGGTGGAAGAAAGAGGTCTTCACTTAGGCTCTGATTGGAGGTTGCTGGCATGAGGAAGCTGTCAGAGGGCTAACTAGAAGCAGGGCAGCCCTGTGATTGGCGAAGGGAGCATATTTGGCTTTCTCTGATTGGTCCTAAGTTGGAAGCCAGGACAAAAATTAGGGAAGCTGTCAGTTATTAATCAACCCCTAATTGCTTTGGGCTGATTGTTAAAGGGCTTATTGTTTGGCCTCCGGGGCTGGTTGCTAGATATGGTCATCTGACTTCCTACAAGTCAGACTTACAGATAATAGAATGGCTTCCCAGGATGGTTACTGTAGATAAGAGTATGGTTTCCTGAGCTGGTTGCTGAGCCAGAGTTCTGTTTTTATATATGGCCTGGCCATTGTGTATTTGTATACTGAGTCTTTCATACATAATATATATGATTTCTAAAGGAAATTTATAAAGTTGGCTAGAACTTAAAGACTTAAGAACAACAAAAGTTGAAAAGAGACACATTTATTATTATGTAAAAAGAAAATAAAAAATTAAAAACCTATCTAAACAGTACTATAGATGTTTAGCCAACATCTAATGTTTATTATGTTTAACACCATTAGATGTGAATGCATATATTTATCAGAAGGTCTGAAATGTTATGCAAAAAAAATAACATGATGAAAAGCCCAAGAGAATCACTAGGATAATGAATGAATAATACAGTTTATTCCTACACCCAAATGCAATGCAAAGAAAGCAGGTTTTTATTTTTTTTGTGGTGGTGTCCACGTGTGTGTGTGTGTGTGTGTGTGTGTGTGTGTGTGTGTTAATTTAGGATTTTTAAGATGAAGAGCCACCTCTTCGATGATTAAGAATGATACAAGAAGGAAATAAAAATGTTTCCCACTTACAGGTCCTGGGGGGTAGACAACACACCTGGAGGCCACACGCATGCTGGTCAGGGAGCTCAGGCAGGGAGAGAGAGGCACTCGTGGGCCAACACCTTTTTTAGGTCCAGCACTGTTATCCAACCATGTTTCCTGTGGAGAGTTTAATTGGTAGGTTTAAGGCAATCAGGGTCAAGTTCCAGGAGGTCACTCTGTGAGAAGTGGTCACTGTGGCATATCTGCCCAGTCCATGTGGGGTGTGAGCATCAGCAGGGCCTGTCAAGGAGGCTATATGTAGCTGTCCCATAGGTATGTGATCACCAGGAGACAGTTTTATATGGCGGATATCTGGATCAACCACATTGAGAAACTGGGAGGAGGTGTAGATCTGGACATTGTGTGAGAAAGTCCAGCTTATATTCAAAATGGATGCAGAGGCAACATAGAATTACAATAATTCACTATGGTGAGAGATAGACTTTACACATGGGCAGGAACCTAAGGTGGCAATTCAAGGCGAATGAGCCACATTCCCTTGACATCCATATTCCAGAGAGGAATTCTAAGGAGTTGGAATTCTGAATTTTTATTTCTAAATTCTAAATTTACCCTCTCGATGGCTATGATGGTATATTGTCAGGATAGGAGGATATGACGTATTTTATCAGCTTATTAGCTCACTTTATAATTTTAAACTATTCCAACATTTGGCAAGTGGCCTCCATTGTTCTACAAGTATTATGGGTAAGCCTGAGACAACCTCTACTGTTCTAGCTGTTCACCCAATCAGAACCTGTTTTTCCTTTTCCCTGTCTCAAGACATCACACAGTGAAGTCTGTCTATGGAAGACCCAGTTAGAAGGCTGGATTAAAAACAACTCTTCCCAAATACCTTATTTCTGGCTATAAGAGAAACATACCCATCTGTGTCTAATAAGGATGATAAATTGTCCCACAGATCAAATTTCCTTAAATACTTTAACATGATTCTGTTCAGATTTTTTTTGTTTTAATTCTAAATGGAATGGAAAACTATTAGATGACTAGGAGAAAGGGACTTTCATTATCCAATTTTGTTTCTTTTTAAAATTGGAAATATGCTTACTGAAAAGTTGAAAGTAACATACAAATTTTTTTTCTTCACTGAACGATTTGAAAGTAAGTTACCCATACAAAGTCTCATCAACTCTAAATATTTCAATGTATATATCCCATATCCTACAAACAAGGATATCCTTCTACATGTACAAAATACAACATACAACCATCAAAAACAGTTGCTATGGTTTGGATGTGGTTTGTTTGCCCCCCACAAAGCTCATCTGAAATTTTATCCACAATGTGACAGGGCCGGGCCTAGTGGGAGGTGTTTTGGTCATAGGGGAAGATCCCTTATGAATGAATTGGTGCCATTCTTGCGGCCATATGTGTTTTTACTCTTGCAAGACTGGATCAGTTCCCACTAGAGTGGGTTGTTATAATGTAAGTTTCCTTCATAATAACATGTTTTCTCCCTTCTCACATATGTCCACTTCCTTTTTGACCTTCCCGCCATGTTTTGACCTAGCACATGCCCTCACCAGAAGCAAGGCAGATATGTGGCTCCATGTCTCTTATACATCCCAATCTGCAGAACCATGAGCTAAATAAGCCTCTTCTCTTTATAAATTACCAAGTCTCAGGTATTCTGTTATAGCAACACAAAATGGATTAAGACACCACTAAATTAACATTACTACCTTCTAATCTTCAGACCCCACTCAGGTTGTGCCAATTGTCTCAGTAAATTACACATAAGACCATGAATGATCTGGCCTCTGTCCATCTCACCAGCCTTATCTCCATCATCCCCCTGGCTCAGGTGGCATCTGCTACCCACAGTCTTTTCAATACCTGAAATGCATGTGGTTCTTTTGCATTGGAGGCCTTTGCATATGCTGTTTTCTCTGTCTAGATGCTGACACTTCACCCACTAAATCCTGCTCTTCTTCCAGTCAAACTAGTCATGCCCTCAGAGAGGCCTGCCTTAACTCCCTAATCCTAAAGTAACCCCCTTTCCCTCCCTTCCACGTTCTTATAAAAGCTGCACATTGCACTCTTCATGTTGTGGAGCTATGTTCTTATTTGTGAGATTATTTGTGAAATATCTAATTCCCCTTCTCTAAGTTCTTTGAGAACAAGGATCATAATATTTTGCTCCTTATATCTGGAGGGTCTAACATACTGTCTAGCATTTAGATGCTCAGTAAAAATTTTCGAAATGAATGAATACATAAAATGAATAAACTGTCATTTTCTGTTCAATGTTACGCAAATTAAAGTAATATTTTGATCAGGATTACAATGACTGAATCACATTTTGGACTTCTCGAGAGAAAGATAATTAGAGATTTTGTCAAAAAAAAAAAACAAACACAGATTTGTCTGGGAGTGGTGGCTCACGCCTGTAATCCCAGCACTTTGGGAGGCCGAGGTGGGCGGATCACGAGGTAAGGAGATCGAGACCATCCTGGCTAACATGGTGAAATCCCGTCTCTACTAAAAATACAAAAAAAAAAAAAAAAAAAAAAATTAGCCGGGCGCCATGGTGGGCGCCTATAGTCCCAGCTACTTGGGAGGCTGAATCAGAATGGCGTGAACCCGGGAGGCGGAGCTTGCAGTGAGCCAAGATTGCGCCATTGCACTCCAGCCTGGGCAACAGAGCAAGACTCTATCTCAAAAAAAAAAACAAAAACCAGATTTACTTATTATGATCTAATATTAAAGACAATTATTCTATCAGACAACAGAGTATGCACACATATTTCCTTTTAAATGTGCCTTTTATACATTGAAGGTGATTATATTTTATATTGCCTGCTCTTATGGTTTATTTCAAAGTAATTTAAGGTGAGACTTATAATGAGCATAGATTCTGGTAAGATGATACTGAGGAGTGTTTTGGTCTTTTTTGTTACGTGCAAAATTATTTGAGAAGCACCTTTGTTATCTTAGAGACATGCCATTGTAGAAATGATCATTGTACAAGTCATACAGGATATTTTATAATGTGGCAGAAATTATAAACGCTATAAACTATATATGAGAAAAATATAAGCACTATACATTTTTAAAAAATGTTTAGAAATTTTACTGTTTTTAAATAAAAATTGAATACATTTAATGAAAATGTATTACTCAATTATCTTGCTGAAAATGTCCTTTTTTATGTGCTGTGAGTCTTTAAAGATTTTGACATTTCATTAAACTCTATCCATTTAACCTAGAAAAACTGCAAATACTAACCCTGAATCACAGCAAATAGGAAGAGAATTTGATTTATTCTACTTATAAGAAGATAGAAGTAATGTTTCATTCTTATTGTTTTCATGGTCATTGTATGTATAATAAGCAGTTATACTCTGGTATAAGGATATATATGGACATATATAGAATTTGTACTTAAAATACCAAGTAACCCAATTAAGTGCAAATTATAAAAAGTACAAGAGTAGATCTGTTGATGAGTTTTATAAATATTTATTTTCTATAATGTGAAATGCGTTACTAAGGCAGAAAAGAAATTTTTTCCCACCCTATTCCTAAAGATAAAAAAGATGGAGGTGAGTCATTACTTTCTGCTGTATTTTATAATCATCATAATATACATGAAAACTATCAGTGACTCACACGCAATTCTTTTCCGGCAGCACTGTGTGTGCTTGTTCACATGAACTGACCCTCATAACTGACAACTAACAGTAAAACATATGTCATCATGCTTTAAACAAATATGCTTTGAGGAGATAGCCTTCTCTATTCCACCCCCCACCCCACCCCGAGTAACAAACTGAGTGCATTTAGAGCAATGCACTAGTGAATTAAAATGTGGGCCACATAAATAAATCTGAATTGTTTAGTAGCTGCACTAAAATATGTAAAAAACAGGTGAAGTTAATTTTAACAATTTTATTCAGCCCACTATGTGTTATATAATTTCAACATGTAATGAATATAAAAAATTATTGATATTTTATATTTTTTAATAGAAATCAGGTATGTTTTTTATGCTTACCGTATATCTCAGTTTGGGTTACCCACATTGCATGTGCTCAATAGCCACAAATTGCTAGTGGCTAACATACCCCACAGTGCAGGTATAGAGTTTATACAAGAAAGAAAGGGAGGAAGGAAGAAAGAAAAGGAGGAGGGAAGAAATTAGGCTTGATTCTTTCAAGACAGTAGCAATATTTTTTTTAAGTGAAAAGTATACATTAATTGTAGAATTAAGGGCTGAAGGTAAACAAGAAACTGTGTAGCTTTGGTTTCCTACGAATGTGCTGAGTGTCTTCCGTGGAATATGGAGTACTTAAGGGCAGGGACTCTTCTTATTCATCTCATTACTGTCAGAGCCCGGCACATTGTCTGGCATATATTAAACATACATATTTGTTGAGCATGTGAATAAGTGAATCAATGGCACTATGATACCCTAAATATGCTTATTTTAAAGATTAAGGATACCCAGCTAGTTATTTCCATATTAGCAAGGGATTTAGGCAGAGTATGGAGGATGTCAATTTCAGAGATAGGAAGAGAAGTTATGGTTGATACTTTCATCATCAATATTTGTGAAATTCACTGAGACAAACCAACAAGTATAAAAGTGAGACCATCATAATACAGCCTGCTTTTAGAAAGCAATCTTTTAAAAAGATGGCTCTTAGGTAGAATTTCATCATTTTACCTAATTCTAAAAGATTTTAGCCAAGCCTCGTAACTAGATAACTAGATTAAATCTGTCATAATAAAATTTTATATTAAAAGACTTTAAGAAATATGCTGCTGTGTCTCTAGTTCATATATTACTTATTTCTTTCTCATTCTCTTTTTCCTTTAACCTAATGTATTTTGTAAGGTGTGTGCTTAAATTCTGAAAGGATTGAGTTCCTCAAGGAGAAATCAAATTCCTATTAAACTTCGTGTCTAAAAGAAAAAAAATTGCTTGGGTTTAAAGAACAAGTGAAGTATGTATTTCACATTTAAAGGAAGACTTGCAATGCCCTCATTTGCTTTCTGTCAAACTAACCAGATATCACTTTATTATCAAAACAATTTTGCTGAGTGTGACCTAAGACATCTTTAAAAATAGCACTTGTATTTTTCTTTCTGATGTAAAAAACAACTCTTCTGCATGGTAAAACATTTGCAGAAGATTCTAAAGAAAGAAATAATAATTACCCACAATCTCATCATTCAGAGATATTTTAATATTTTAGTATATTTTCCCAAAATCATTTTAAAGAATATAAATTATTAATTTTATAAAATTTGGCATATTACATCAGCTTATATCTTGTCATATAAGAATTTTCAAAATATTCTTTGAAACTAAGAATTTATTGAATGCATAAGATACCTATGAAATTTGATACATGTAATGAAGTAAAAACATGATATTCACATATTATACTTTGGAAGAAAGCATTGACAATTACTGGTAAAAAGCTGCTTCTAAAACTATCCTCTCCTTCCTTCAACTTGTCAATACTTCACTTAACCTTTCTATTCATACTTAAGCTTCAAAATTCAGAGGCTTAAATGTTAATGGTATAAAGGTTTCAATGGTGTTGATAAGTTGTTCTGAGTAAGATAAGAAAGTGTGTTTTGTTGTTTTGCTCCTGAAAGGGAGGAGAAGATAGGAAGGTAAGAGGAAGCCAGTCAAATGGCAAAATGCAGTGTGGTGTGGATTTCTATCTTTTCATCTCTTCTTCTGTCAGCTCTGATGATTACTAGATTTCTACTAAACTCAGAAATGTTTTAGTGAGTGTGATTTTTATGAAAACTGGTGATAATGCTTGATGCCAAGTGTTCCTGTTTAGGTTGACATGGAGTGAAATAAACACTGTAAAGTAGATGCCTGGACAACGGATAAAAGGTTTTGAAAGGATAAGCCCTCAGGAACTACAAAATATGATGGGAGGGCTTTGGGCCACTACCAGCCATGTTGTAGTTACATTCCTTGTCTTGAGTCCCATGGATTTCTCTTTGAAATGGACAGATTTATGTTTAATTTTCCTCTATTTTCCTACAGTAAGCTATCTCTTTCTCTTTCACACTCCTCACATTCCCATCTCTGAGATCTATCACCTTTGATCTTTCTATCTCAGTAATTTTTGAGTCCTTTTCTTCTTGCACCAGCATTTTCTCTGCTTGGAAAAGCCTTCCTGTTGGTGGTTCCTGTCTCTACCTATCTGGCAAAGGCTCCTGGCTTTTCCGGGTTCTGATTGTAACTGGATCATGATCACATTGCTTACTGTGTTCCTTCCTGGGTTCACAACATACAACTCATCCACTTAAACAAATGGAGAGAAAACAGCAATGCTTTTCAGACCTTGTGTTTGTATTTTAGTCTTAATTCAAATTTATCATTTGTCTCTACCACACCCCCTTAACTTACTTTGTTCAAGTTGAAAATTACGGTTTATCACATTTTTGGGGGGAGAAGGGAAGAAAAAGAATTTACAAAGTGTCACTAGATGAATTAGTCCTACAGTTTAGTTTGAATTCCCGGTCTCAATTTTATATTTTGTCTAGAAAACGAAGCATTTAAGAGTTCATTTTTTAAGTGTTTATGGTGAAGAGTTAAAGAGTTTTATAAAGTGTCTATGCTACAAATACTATCAGAAGAAGAACTTATCATGCAAAAATGGTTGCATGTTTATTCTTCCTTGGAGAATTGTTCTTCACCAAAAACCCTGTTGCAAGAAGCAGTTAGGTACAGTTAAGAGCTTGTTGTGCAGAACTCAGGTTACTTCATATCCCTTTCAAGAAGCTGTGGTCTGCCTCATCAAAATGCTTTCTAACGACTGTGAACAGTAGATTTCTCCACACAACATCTTAAGAAAACTTATACTTACTTGGAAATTTGCTGTAAGAGGATTGCTGGTGTGGATTTGCTGAACGGAAACCATTTCTGCCTTCTAGAAAAGAAAAGAAAATAATGAAGAAAATTTGCCTTAACCACGCTCAAGCCTAGCTATTTTCTCTGAATGTTTCTATTCACTTTACCAGAATATGTTAAACAAATATTTATTGAGTGGCTACCATTTTCAGACACTGTGCTAGAAGCTGAAAGAAAATAAGACAAATAGATTCCTTAGGGCAAGATCATGGGATTTGTATTTATGTATATTTGCTTAGTATCTTGGTGCTATCAGCTAAGACTTTAATTTTTTTTTATACTGCATTTTCATTGCTCTACATGCTGGCTTTCACTAATAAAATAACTTGTGACTTGGCAGATTATTTGTAAATTTTCTTAGCCAGTCTGCAAAGATAATAAAAAAGAAAAATTCCATTTTAGGAAACTCATTTACCTTGTACTACTAGGATAAACTGGTCTTCCATGCTTAGACAAAAACCAAACAAACAAAAATAACAAAATGAAAAAAATAAACAGTGTAAGACTTTTTACTTTTTCTTTCTGTGAAAATTAGTTACAGTAGGTAGTACTAAGAAAATAAGCACCACATAACAAATAATGATTATGTAGAACAAAAGAAAATATATGGTTATTTTCTAATAATGGATTTTAGGATTACTTTATAAAAGAAAACGTTACATTAAATGTAAGGCTTAGGTGGTTATGGTGTGCTACAGGAACAAAGTTCTGTATTCTTGGGTAAGAACTTTATTCTCTTGTGAATTAGTTGATTGGCTTGAAAGACTGAGCTGTATGAACTAAGCTCTATGCACAAAAAATAGAAAATAGAGTTCACTTCCTCCTATTTGCCTTTAGCTGAAATTTTATAGTTAGGCTCTCAACATTCATGATGTTAGTCCTTCAGTCAGCCAATCAGTTAGTCTTTTGGTTACATTAGATCTTATACCTAAATAGTTTTTTAAAAAATGATAAACTTATTCAAAGAATAGTTTAAATTTCGATTTGTAGTTTGAACATTTATGCCAATTAATCAAACATACAATCTAGCACCTATTGGGTTAGGTTGATTTATAGTTATAATCCAGATGTCAGATAGGAGAAGAAACTTTCCTGCTTTTAAAAAGAAAAATGTAAGATTCAGAGACTTTCCCATTGCAAAGGTCTTTTGTAGTATTTAGAGAAAATAGGTAACTCTAAGCACAAAGCAGTCTTGTGTTCTTTTTCACAGGCTTTGTGTTTTTATTTTAGTACTTGAAATATAACATCCTATCTTTATATTGCATATCACATTTTTTCAAACTTTTACATATCATCTATTATGCTCCTCATGAGAACCCTATCAGGGAGACAAGCCAATGTTCCCCCAAATTTGCCTGGCAAGTAGTAGAGTAAGTAGTAGAGCTCACGGACCTGGGCTTTAAGTTTAGGGTTCCTTAAATAGTGTTATACAGATTGATCCTCTACGTTGTTTTAATGCTGGAAATTTCTTCTAGTGGGACACAAGAAATAAAGAATTGATAAGCTTTGTGAGATGTACCACCAAAACACAGACCTACAGAAGATTTTCTTTTCTTACAAGCCAAACTCTTTAAGTGCCTTAAAATAGCTCAAGACATCTGAGTCAAGGTCTTAAAATAGCTGAAGAGAGGTTCCACTGGATTACAGGAATCTCCTGCCTCTAAAAACTATGTATAAGCCTCACCCAGGAATACCTGAAGTGACATCCAGAAAGTTCTGAAGAATGCAAAAATAATTACTCGATCAGTCCCTTCTTAGCCTGTTTCTTTGGAAATGACTCCAGAATATTTATGCACTCTTCCTTACTGGTGCCCTTCTGGGAACAGGACGTTCTTGCACTGGTATATGCTCATGTGGAGATCTGAGGATGATGCTAGTGGAACCCAAGAGAGAGAGTTACACTTGTGACTCATCACAGTTTGATATCACATGAGTGTTCCCAGTTTTTGCCCTCTTCCTGACCTACTCTCTGTCTCTGTCTCTCTCCTTGCGTTTATCTAGAGAGTGTTCTTTTACCTTTTGTGATGGGAGAGGAGAAGAGTGAGAAGGACTCAGAGGGTTCAGTAGTTTTGGAAAGCCTTAGGAATAGTTCTTGGGTTTGGTGAACGTGGATGGATGGAGAAAAGGAGATTGCAGATGAGTTTGAAAGGATGCTTGGTCATCCCATCTTACTCCTCCTTAGTCCCAGTAGAGAGCCTATACACCTGGGCTGAGCTGCAGCTGAGGATGGGGCAGGTGGGCAGGTGGCTGGGTGTCAGGGGTTCTAGGCTCTGCAGTTGGCTGGACAGGAAATGCCAAGTAATCTCCTCTTTGCACTGGACCACAGCTTGGAAGCTAGCACTGGAGAGTGCTGGGGTAAGGAATTAAATGCAGAGGATATTAAGAAGATTCTAATGCAGTCTGTATATTCTCAGGCAGAAGATCAGTATCAGCCCAAGTTGAGTTAGCCTGCTCTTTCTGGCACTGCAGGAGCTGAAAAGGGCCTTAATGGTTTGCCTGATGCCTCTCTACTCCTGACACCATGAGGGCAGACAGAGAACAGGAAGCAGAGAGGCTTTTGTCTGCTCTCTGAGAGCAAAAGATGAAGACATCAGCTGGGGTTAGGAGTGGCAAAGCCATGGTGAAAGAGAAAGGCCTTTATCATTCCCCTCCTCTTCCCTTTCCTGTGCCATTTATTCCCTTCTACCTTCCCAATGCATTCCTAGACCTGACCTGTGCTGAGAGAAGCAGAGAAGAGAGCTGGGAGCAGTCTCTGAGTGTGGGTGCCTCAAATGCATTATTACATTAAGTCCAACTCCAACCTTGGTGGTAGGTTTGTTTGTTCCAGACTTATATGTATGGAAATAGATTCAGGGACGCAAGGAAACCTGCAATCACCACAAAGTAGAGATACCGGATCTCCAGTACATTGATTTTGCTGTGCTTGTGGATTGAGGTTGCTGGGGGAGAATGAGAAGAGATTCCGGTCCAAGCCAGTGGAGAAGGAAGGAGAGAGACGGGAAATTCCAAATATTGTACTGGGAGAGAGAGGAAAGTTTATTCTTATCATTAGCCATAGACAAATTGTTTTTTGCATGTTTTGTATGTATGTATTTGGGAGTTTACCTGTGTTTATTATCTCCCTCCATTAGCCTATCAGCATCTTGAGGAACTGTATTCCTTTTACCCTCTAGCATTACACCCTCTGTAGTGATAGAAGAATGAATATTGAACTTGAGAACTGTCCATAAATTTATTATCCCAGTGCTATCAGTACATATGGAATGAGCCACAAAGAAAGTAGCAGGCATTAGGATTCCCAAATTGCTGCACCAGGCAGTTTGTAGTTGCTGATTTTTGGAATACAATGAGCAGGAAATACTTCTTAATGGAGGGGTTAGGAGGACAGCAGTGACAGTACTTGTTACCTCATTTAAAAATTAGCCCTACTTGAAATTTATTAATTTGGGTTATACTGAGACATAATGAACTGTCTCAGAGATGAATTAAGTAGAGATGATGTCCTAAGGTGGCGAGGCATTTATCTTTTAACATAAAATTGTAATGAATTCAAAACTAATATTAGAAAAATGTTACTCCTGCTCCATTAAGTGTCCATTCAGTAGAGGAGAAAGGAATGAAATTACACCTGGCTCACAGTGACTTGAGTCTAACCCTTGAGTCCAACTATTTAAGAGTAAGTGTTAAGGTCAGTACCATTGATGGAGAAAATACTGAGAACTACAGTTTCTTGTCTTGTATTTGGTCCTTACAACATTGTGCATTGTATTTTTCATCATATTTTACATGCACCTGATAGCTTTCCTGTTACACAGTAAGCAACCTGGGGTAATTCTTGCGCTGTTTTTCTGTACCCCACAGTCTTTTTATATGGCACGTGCCCTATGTAACTACAATACAACCATCAAAATAAGGATGTTAACGATGACACATTATTGCCCTCTAATCTTCAACCCTCATTTAAATTTTGCTAATTTCTCAATAATGTCCTTTATATTAAAAATGCATGACACTTAAGGACATGCCTGATGTGACACCTGTTTACCTGATTTAACAGCTTCTTTCTCAATTTCTATTCTATGTGAAAACTAAACACTCCACACAAAATAAATTGCAGCTTCTAGCCAGGTGTTAGTCTTAATACAGAGGCCATATACAAGATGTTTAACCAGGCACACCCTTAAAATTCAACCCTGTTTGTGTTTGCAATGAACACACAGGGTTGAGTCATCATGCATTAAAAAAATTTAGTAATACAGTTCAAACAATCTTCAGGATGTTCTCTTCCCAGGAAGCTTCAATTTTGAGGCTACGTGTCTACTCATGACAGTATCACTGTGCTGACTGGAGAAAATTCATCAGGCTGAAGAATAGATGGCTCCAGCTGGCTGTCAGACAACTGCACACTGATTGTCCAGGGCAGCCACTGCCTGGAGAGAAAATAAGAGTGAGTGAGGGCAGGCAGCCCTGGGGTCTGTTTTTCACCTTGCCCCTTCCCTCTGCTACATGGTATAAGGGGGATTGTGTCCTTGTCCCTACAAAACACTGAATTGTGTTAAGATGCCTGCTTGTGTATAAAATGAGAGGTTGAACACTGGCTGCCCCAGAGTGACGAAATTGACAGAACCATTATGGAGTGCCACTATGGGCTAAGAAGGGCCAGGAACGGTAGCAGGGTGAAATCTGGATGGAATATGGGGCAGGGTGACAGTTTATGTAACACTCTCTGTTTTAGAACACTGGAGATGACAGAATAGAGTACAACTTACCTTTCCATTGTAGTTCTGAAATGCTAATAGCATCTAGTCAGACTGATTCAAGTCCAATTTTTAAATTATTCAGCCAGATATCTTTTTAAACTATCTTGCTAAAAAAGAAAAACTTTTGAAGGAAATGTATGTTTTTTCTTCATTGGGTAATATGTAAACTGCCCTCATTTCTTTTTCTTTTTTTTTAAGCACCTCGGTTATGTCAGGACCATGTTCCATGCTAGGCACCCAAGGGTGAAAACAGTCCTTGTGCTCAGGAGTTCAAAGAACTTGTCATGTGTCATGGAGAGAAGGAAGTAATTCATGCAGCAGTAGAGGAATGTACATGTGTCCAGGGTGGCCTTGAGGTGGGATTTATAATTTACCAACAGTGGCAATTTTAGTTTTACATTTCAGAATAATTTTTCTTTTTTCTGCTTGCTTGTTTAGCTTATTGATCTTAAGGAGGACTTTTACCTTTATTTCTACTCTTAGAACCTAGTGTTTTCTAAATTTGGTTGGTGGCATACCTATAAATACTTGGAAGGGACCCTTCTCTTTGTAATGTGTGTGTGTTCTTACCTGTATAGTGAGAAAGCAGGATCACAGCACAGGCATTAGCCAGAGCATGGTGAGGGGGATGCCTGGCTGGTCTGGGAATCGGATCAACAACAGGCTTTGTACCTCTCTGGCAAGCTGCAATTAAGCCTTTGCCCACAGGCCTCTGAATGCGTGGACATGAAGTTATTGGAGCTGGGGTGATATGAGGTGTGAAAACAGGAAAGGGAAGGTGAGAACGGGTGGAGGGGGTAGTAGTTTTATAGAGGAAAATCAGGTGCTTTTACACTGTTTTTGGGAGAAGGAGGAAATGGAAAGTGAACTCCAGAGTTAGATACCCTTGGTTCAAATCCCACTTTCTCCTTGGGCTGACCTTCTTGGACAAATTACTTGATCCCTCTGAACCTCAATTTACTTATATGTAAAATGTGGTAGTTAGAATGTCAAATAAAATATTCATGTAAGCTCCTTAGTGGTTGTTTGCTAAATGAGGAGAAGGATGGGACGGATGATGATGAAAAAGATGATAATAACAAAAATGTGGGATTCTCATGGTGGATGAGGTGGATGTGGTCTCTGCTCTCCCAAGATGTATAGACAAGCAGAAAGGTAATTACAGTGCAATAAGATCAATGCTATTGTAGGGGAAATAAAGAATGTTCTTGGAGCTCATAGGAGGGGTCTCAGGTCAACACTTGGGAGATCAGGGAAAACTTCCCTGAGGAAGAGATATCCAAACAAAAATTTCAATTCCAGATAAGTAAGTGTAATCCAAACAAAGGAGAAGAGGGCAGGTTAGGGAAGAACAAAAGAGCATATGAGAAGACACAGAGGAGTGGAGAACAAAGTGATCTCAGGTGTCAACAAACTAGAGGACAGCTAGAAGGCTGGAGTAGGCAAGTGCAAGATGGGGAGTGACAAGGAATGAGCCTGAAGCATGTGTAGCAAAGTACAGACTTGGTACCATATTCTTGCAGGCTTGGGGAGCCCTTGTGAAGTTTTAAGCAAATAATAAATGACCAAATTTAGATTTTTGAAAGCTTCCTTTGATGGCAATGTGGAGAACATCCAGAGGAAATGAACCTGAGAGTAGAAATCAATTTGGATTGTTGCAGTAATCCAAGGGAGGGATGATAGTGGCTTGAACTAGAAACTGATATTCACTATAGAAAAGGCAGACAAATAAGGAATATATTTAGAAGGTAGAATGAATGACACTTCACAATAGACTTGTATGGGGCAAAGAAGAGAGAGCTTAGGGTGAAACAAGGTTAAGATGAAATTCTGGTTTTGACAATGGGGTCCACTAAAATGCTTTTGGCTGCAAGTAGTAAGGACATTGTAGGTCAATTATTTACACCAGTGGTTCTCAAAGTGTGTCCCATAGTTAAGCAGCACAGCATCACCTGGGAGTAAGTTTTTTTAGAGTAAGCTGTAATCTAGAGCTACTGAATGAAAACCTCTAGGGGTAGAACTGAGAAAGTTCTAAGAGGCCTTTTAAAGTGAGTGAGTCTGATGCATGCTAAGTTTGAGAGCCACTGATTTGGGACATCATTCGAAAGAAGAGTGGCCTGAGGAACAGGACTTGAGTTCTGCTTCTCCACCATTGTTTGGATTCCAGTTTACGTCATATCATGTGTTTTTTTATTAGGCAAACTCCTGCTGAAAACACAAGAAGCCTGCAGCAGTTTCAGTTATCAATCCAAGCCCAACAACATTGAAGGAGAACCAAGGAGCAAATTCTTCCTGTATCTTTTATTTAGAGCAAGACCTTTCACCAGAGCCCTCCATCAGACTTCTGCACGTGTCTCATTCACCAGAATTGTATCACATGCACATGAAAACCCACTTACTGGCAAGGGAAATGACTCTGACATTATTGGTTTAAAGTACTTTCAACCAAGCAGGACACATCAGGGCAAAAGTTTGTAGATCTTATACAGGAGGGTAGAAATCTATACCAAACTGGGTTTTCTTCTGGGTGTGGTGGGAGAGGGAAAAAAGGTCAAGGATGGGTTTTGGATAGGTATCCAACTACATTTGCTACTGCTGTGGCACCAGTTACTGGGATATAGAAGCAGAAGTTATGGGAATAATGACTTCAATTTTAGATGTATTGCATTTTGGACTCTATCAGACATACAAGTGAAGATGTTCAGAAAGCAGTTGATTATAGAGATGTGAAGCTCTGGAGGAAATTCTTTGCTGAAAACTATTTGAGAATCATAAATTTAGAGATAGGATTTGCAGCCAAGGGAGCAAATGAATTTACCTATGGAAAGTGTATATACAGTAAAAAGTGGAGAGTCACCAGGACATCTAGTGAGGAAAATCAGCATTTGAGGGGAGGAATATGAGGTGAGTTTGATGAGGGGGCTCAAAACATGGTCCAGAGAAGCAGGGAAAAAAACTGAGTGAACAGTATTAAGGAAACCAAAGAAAGAGTATTTTATAAGGCAAGAGCGGCCAACTATTTCAAATGCTACAAAAATTTCCAGTAAGATAAGGACTGAAAAGTTTGAATTGATTCAGTGGAATAGGTGGATAGAATTCATATTTCGGTGACTAGATAATGACAAATGGAGACACCAAGACAGACAGTCCTTTACTGACATACAACCCAATGGACAATGAGTTTTTACGGATGAGAAATGAGATAGGAAGAAGTCTCAAAATTATATTTAGACAGTTCAAAACCAGTGTAAAGTTAAAAAACTTTCAGTTAGGAAGGTTTTATGGTTGCAACATCATTTAGATGAATAGGGAGAAGAGTTGAGGCATTTGTTCCCTGGGAGAGAGCTAGAATGAAATGGAATGAGGCCAAGCATACTCCATGAATAAACGGAAATGAGTGAAGAGAAGAGGAGAGGGTGATACTGAAATTTAAGAACTCTAGGAGCATATTATTAAAACATGCAATACTAATAGAAGACAATAAGATGTTTATTTGTGTAGAAATTATTGTAATTGCAATTGGAAGTTGGTGAGATTAATGATTAATCCACTGTCTTAATAGACAACTTTTGAAAACCATGTGGTATGGTTTAGAGGACAATAGTAGTCCTCTCAGTATAATCTAGGGATGACTAGATTTTACTATGACAACTTTGTAGGAAGGGCTTGGCTCTGCATATACTTCTAAATTGCCCTCTATAATGATGCACAATCATTAACTAGATGTCCTTGTTGTCTGTGCCTCCGTTACCAAATGAAAGTAGCCTTTAAGTACTGAATGATCCAACTGAAGGAACACTTAGTCCATGTCATTTTATGACATACTGTATCATTTAATGTAGAATTATGTTTTTTTCCCAGAATAGTTCTATTTAAGTAATCTAACTCATCAATTGCTGTGAAGACAAATATGAAAAATAAGAGTTTTTTAAACCTCATTTCAGCCACAGAAGACTGAAATTAAAAACAAAACTACTTGATAGATGAAAAAATGCAAAGATCACAATACAATAATTAGCAAATGAACTTGCTTTTCACCCTAGCATTTTCTGAGTTTGTTTTTCTCTCGGTGTAGTATACTCTCAAATTTAGATGCTTCTGTGTTTTTCCATTATGAATTCATTCTCTGTAGAGTAGAGAATTATTTTTTTGTAGTGTCAGCAAGTAAAAGTACAGTCACAAAATGTTTCTTCTATCATCAATCATCCTGGATGAGAATTTAAGTCCAAAGTGAATACTCTTTGTATTTAAGTACAAAGTACATTTTTGTACTTAAAATTTACAAAGTACGCTCTTTGTATTTCAGTACAAAGTGAATACTCTTATGCAGCCTGTTTTTAATAAAGACCCTTGGCTTGCATTTCGATATATCAATTTTACAAGTAAAATTTAATATTAATTTATTAGCTGTATCTTACAATTTGTTGTCCTAATTTTAAAAATTTTGATTTTTTTTATTTAGATCTTGGAGCTACCATTTAATAGTGTTTCTCTCGAGTAGTCACCCAAGTACATGTATGCTCATATTCAATTGTTCTTCATATTTGCAGAAGATTTTCCTGTAACATTACCTGCAGTCATGTTTCATAGTTGAAATGCTGAAACGCCCAATTTCCTTTAGTAGTTTTTTCCTCAGTTAGCACGCAAAATTGAGTTTTCATAAAATTAGTGTCAATATTGGTGAACTGACTGTACTTTATGAGTTCAATTTTGGTAAGATTAATTTGCTACTAGTAGCGATGTGTATTAAAAATAGCATCCAAAAATATATCCCTCCATAAACAACAACAACAAAACCTGGCAAATAGAATAAACTTTTTCAGATCTTTGGAAATTAGCCAAAGGCTTTTAGCAAACCAGGAAGCATTTATTTAAGAAAAGCTGATGAATGTTGGTAAGAACAGCAAGGTTTGTGGTGTTTAAACTTACCTTAGTCTCATTTACCACTTATTAACTTAGAAACAGCTTAAAAAAAAAAAAAACCCGTATTCTCAGTACCAAAAGGAGCAGACTAGAGCTGGAGCTCTTTCAAAACTTCATTTCCAAAGAATTAACGTTATTTGATCTTTCGATCTGTCTGCTCATTCCCTAGAAGACCCAACTGGAAAGGCATGTCCTTAATTGACCCGATTCGAGCTTGCTTAGTGCTAAAATCTTCTCCCCAGAGAGACCATTTGATGAAAACATTTATAGGCAAGTGTTTTGACATCATGATGCCAGAGGTGATGGCTGATACTTGGGGCAAACAATAGACTACTCAAAAGGGTTGAAAGACAAAATCGAGGCATGGGGTATCCATAGGGGCTTTGAAAATCTCTGATGTATTCTTGGGAATCTAAAAAGTCATACACATGTTTAAGGCTGAGTGCATACCCAGGAAGGATCTGAGAAGGCCCTCAGCAATTAACTCTGGCTCACCTTGAAGCTCTGCACAAGCAGGAAGTGGAAGTTAAGGCAGACTTGTAAACTAAATGTAGGAGACATGCCCCAAAATGCATACAAAGCTCCTCTCTATAAAGACTGGGGGATTTACTGGTTCCAGGTACTTAAGAAATTACTGTTTACTCATTAGCTGATCACTAAGCTAACTGAGTAGAGATTGCAGTGGCTACATGTGACAAAGAATAAAGACTACTGAATTAGTCCAGAAATATCACTAAACAAACAACAGTAATAACTGGTGAATTCTACCAAATATTTAAAGAATTGGTAACACATATCCTTCATAAACATCTCCACTCCTCGAGAAAAGAGGAGAAAACACTTCTGAACTCATTATGAGACTGTTCTTACTCGGACACCAAAACCAGACAGAAAAGCAAACTATAGACCAATATCTTTTATAATGTTGATGCTAATATCCTTAACAATATACTAGAAAACTGAATCTAAGACATATAAAAAGAAATATACACCTCAACCAAGTGAGATTTTTATTCCAGAAATAAAAATGCAAGGGAGTTTCAACATATGAAAATCAATGTAATACACTATATTAAGATAGAAAAAAAAAAACATGATTATCTCAATAGACAAAAACCAAACCAAAGCAAAATAAACATTTGACAGCATCCATTTCAGGATAAAATACTCAACAATCTAGGAATTGAAGGGAACTTTCTCAATTAAGGGCATCTACCAAAAACCTACATCTAATATCATAGTCAAGGTAAAAGACTAAACGAATTCCCTCTAAGACCAAGAACAAGACAAGAATGCACTGTAATGGTTAACTTTATGTATCAACTTGACTGGATGTCAGGCTGCCCAGATATTTGGTTAAACATTATTCTAGATGTGTCTGGGAGGGTGGTTCCAGATGAGATTAACATTTGAATAGGTAGACTGAGTAAAGCAGATTGACATCCCTGTTGTGGATGGGCCTCACCCAATCAGTTGGAACCCTGAATAGAACAAAAGATGGGGTATGGGAGAATTTAATGTCTCTACCTGTTTTTGGCTGGGACTTTGGTCTTCTCCTGCATCTGGACAGGAACGTATACCATTTGCTCTTTTGGTTCTCACACCCTTGTACTAGGATTGGAGCAATACCACTGGCTGTCCTGGGTCTCCAGCTTGAAAGACAGCAGATCATGGGACTTCTCAGCCTCTATAATCACATGAAGCTCTTCCTTTAATAAATCAGTATCTCTTTCTCTCTCCCTCTGCCTGTCTCAGAGATGAATAGAAGGTATAGATTCTTTTTCTCTGGAGAACCCTGACTAACACAAGGCCCTTTCCCTCCTCTGCTTGCATCACATTTTCTCTTATCCCACTGGCCAAAGCAAGGTACACAGTAGGACCGGAGTCATCACAGGTAGGGACTCTTGAGTGCAGAGAGGAATATTAAGGCATTCATTTTGCAAAAATTTACCAAACTGGGCAAACTTCTCCTTATGTATTCTACGTGGTAAATCCCATAGTTTCTGAGCAACCGTCCATGGATGGTAGTAGTCTCTCACGTTGGGTGTTTCCCTGAAAACTAGGAGCAAAACTTGAGTCGATCTTCTATATTCCTTAAATCATTTTAAAGCATGGGTGCTCCAAACATGTTAGATACCAGACTTATAAACCTTTTTCTCTGGGGAATTAGAAATGGATGAAGATGTGTTTAATTATGAAATGTGTCTGACAATGATCTGAGTTACTAAGATGACAAACCTGGATGTTTCTAGCATCTAGGTTGCTTATAGGTTTCAGATTTAGGTTCTGAGCTACATTAGGTACCACAACTAAACTACGCAAGCTGTACCATAACAACAATAACAATATTAGCAGTAGCAGCAGCAGCAACAGCAGCTATCACCAATTGAATTATTGCTGTGTTTCAGGTACTATTCTAGGTGTTTTAATTGATCAGTTCAGTCTACACACAACTTTATTAGATTGGTCTTATTTTCATCTTTGAGCAGAGGAAATGGAGGCAAAGAGAAGTTATGCCAGAAGTGTGAAGTGGAAAGGACTTAATAGCGTTTTTCTTCAAGACATGGTGAAATAACATTTTTTGCTTAGTACTTTAGTCTGTCCTAAAATGATCCCAGTTTTAATAAAAGTTCTATTAAGACTTTAATAAAAAAAGTAGATAATTGCATACTATTATTGTAGAGAAAATAATTGAAATACATCAATTAGATTGCAGTTAAAAGCATAAAATGGAGAAAGTTCATTTCTGTTTCACATAACTTCTGAAACACTGCTTCTGAAAAGATCAAAGTCAAGATTCACCTATAAATAGAGCTCATGCTTCTTCCAAATATAAAACATAGCATTGTGTTATGAAGTTCACATGAATTCAGGAGAATTAAAATGATTAAAACATTTTAAATATTTACATATTATTTACTTGGTATAACACTGCATACCTGAATTTCTTTTTCCCTGGTAAGAGAACTCAAAGGCCAGAGTAAGTGAAGAGAGATATAACTACTTTATAATATCAAATATACAACTATGTTTGTTAAATTCCACAAGTGATAAAAAAGTTTTGCTTCAGTTTGCTTTAAGGTAGGTCAAGAAAGAGGGAAAGTGACAGAGACTCAGGTGGTATAGGTGCCAGGGCAGCACTTTTTCTAAGAAGTCAGAGAAAACATTGCAGAGAGGAAGCACTAGGCCTGAGAGGAAGAGGTAGAAAGTGAGGAAAATGGAAAATATGAAACAAAAAAGGAACAAGAAGAGAGACCCATAAACAGACAGGTGGAAAGGGAAGAAGATTAGATGGAAAGACAGAGGAGAAAAAAGAGAAATGATATTTGGATAGATGTATGGCAGTAAGGCCCAGATCCAGAAATGAACATGGCAACTTTGCCCTGTGGGAAAGCTGATCTCAAATTACTTTTCGTGAATGGTCAAATATGTATACGATTTTATGAGTGGTCAAATACAACCTAACGAAAGAAACTGAGGCGAATTAATAGAGAGGATTTATTTGGGCCAAGGTTGGGGACCGCAGCCTGGGAAACACCAGCAAGTGCGCTATTCGGCCTTTGTCACAAAAAGGTTTTTAAAGGCGAAAGGAGACAAGAAGTGTACGATATAAAGGTGTTAGAAATTCTCATTGCTTTACAGAAGTAACATTGATTAGTGATTGTCTACATTGTTGAACCATAAGGTATGCATTATGGTGTCCAGTGTAGGGCATTTTATGGCTAATTGGCATCAGTCTAGAGCTCACATAGCAAATGAAGAGGAAATTATTTTGCTTAAGGGTGGAGAGATGTTAACTGCTATCACATTTTAATGCCTCTCTGGACCTGACAGTTGAAATGGGCTCATATTCCTCAGATAAAAAGTTTCTTTCTCAATTTTAATGTCTCAAGTCAAATATCATCTCCTCAGAGACCTTTCCATACCACCCAATTAAACCTACCCTGCCAGTCACACTTACTTATCTTCTTCATGGCACTCATTATTTCCTGAAGTGATCTCATTTACCCATCCACATGTTTATCCCATATCTCTTCTCCATAACATAAGGGCTTATATTGAGGTCAGGGCCATTCCTTGTTTTCCAGTACATTTCCAATGCCTAGAAAATCAAATGTTTGTTGAGCACCTATGCTATGCTGAGAAAAGTTCCTGCCATATAGTAGGTGCTCAATAAACATTTGATGACTGTTGAGTAGGAGAAATATATATATATATATATATATATATATATATTTACTTTTTTTCATGAGCTCAAGACCATATACCTTAAAAACAATTATATGTACAATATCTGGAAAAATGATTCTACCTTTTACTATTCTAGAGAAGTTTCACTAGTCTAAAATTTTATAAAAACACAAAGGATTGGGAAGATGATTAATTCCCTAAAGAGCCAGGATATTTATAATAAGTAAAAATACAGTAACTAGGATTTATTTAGGGGAATATGGAGTGAGTAGGAAAAGTTGCAAGGTGTCATTTTAGGGAAAGAATTAATAGAGCATTATTCACTATGAATTCTTTTCTTTTTTTAGAGATAGGGTCTTGGCTCTGTTACCTAGGCTGGAGTGCAGTGGCACAATCATAGCTCACTGTAACCTCAAATTACAGGGCTCCAATGTTCCTTCCACCTCAGCCTCCCAAGTAGCTGGGCACCGCTACACCTGGCTAATATTTTATGTTTTGTAGAAATGAGCTCTCACCATGTTGCCCAGGCTGGCTTTGAAATCCTGGCCTCCTTCCTCAGCCTCCCAAAGTCACTACTAAATCTTAAAAGGGGTTCCTTATTCCTACTGTTTCCCCAAGCCAGACACCCCTTGCCTATCGTCCATCATGCTACCTTCCAGCCAATGAATAAACTCACAGCAATCCTGGACTTGACAGTCTACAGATTTCTTCTCATAACAAAACAGGGACTCTCAGGCTGTATAAAAACAACAGCTGTTTTTCTCTAAACTTATTACGTGTTAGATAATTTTTAAAAAACAGAAACTTCAGTTTGCTTAGCATTCCTCCACAGTGGAATGAGTATTTTTCTGTATACATCTGCATGAGATTGGGGCTTAAAGAAAATCTCCTACTCCTCAATATCACCTTTACTTTTCCCCTTTTTGGAGAGGCTTGCTCCTTTCTATCATCACTTTTTCATTCCTAACACCACTTTGCTGAACAATAACATGACATAAAAAACAATGTGTCAGGAAGATAAAAATTTTAAATGTTTAAAGGGTTTAAACAGAAAGACACGGGTAATTTTGTGAATCCTCAAGAGTCAAGTAGCTTACTTGTATTAGTAACTGTGTTAGAATCAAATCTGTGACATGGAGAGGAAATAAGTAGAGGATTGCTTCACCTACCAAAAATACAGCCATCTGAAGAGCAAAACCTAGAGGCTATATAGAGTTTTTTGGTTGTAGTATTTAAAAATGAAAATAAAGGAGTTCAATTAGAACTATGAAGGGATACTTTGGTGAACTGAATTCAGTTACATAGAGAACCAAACAAATTACCACAAGTAATAGTGTTTATTTTTATTTTTTATTTTGAGATAGAGTCTTACTCCGTCACTCAGGCTGGAGTGCAGTGGCGTGATCTCAGCTCACTGCAACCTCCGCCTCCCGGGTTCAATTGATTCTCCTGCCTCAGCCTCCTGAGTAGCTGGGATTACAGGTGCCCATCACCATGCCTGGCTAAGTTTTGTATTTTTAGTAGAGATGGGGTTTCACCATATTGGCCAGGCTGGTCTTGAACTCCTGACCTAAGTGATCTGCCTGCCTCAGCCTTCCAAAATGCTGGGATTACAGGCATGAGCTTCCATGCCTGGCCAATAGCGTTATTTTAATCTAAAGTTGCAAAAAAATTTTTGGAAAATGTTGCTGAGCCTCTATTTTGAATCTTGCACTCAGTAGGCCCGTCAAGAACCATCATGGAGTTGAATATGGACCAAGTATTGGGAAGGTAGAGGAAAGAAGGATTCCAGAGTAGTCCAGTCCTTGAATTTTCTACAAACTTCCCTAGTAAAAGTCTTTTAAAGGATCTGTATTCAGACAGCAGAATTTGATCACTTTGTATGTAAGGGTTCCTGTTAGGATAGGTCTGGTACGGTTGTGAAAATTAAGGCATTAAATGGATTGCTTGGTTTATTCCAGGGCAGACACATTCCTGAGGTTAGAATGTAAAACAATCTGGCCTATCCCTTGGGCACTCAGAATGAAGGTAACCAAGGTCAAGTCAGATTTAGAGGGCTTCTAAGGGATAGAACAAAATGCCTAAGGCCAGACCCAATCTAGAGTCTCTGGATTGGCTATAGAATCAAGCCAGCTGCCAGAACTGGAGGTGAGGCAATGTATAAACAAGTATTACGAAACTATAAACTATGTTGTCTTCTATACCATGTTGTCACCTCATTCCGTGGTGACCTAGCATCTCAAATATATATAATATTGTTTTTACATTTATTATTTATTACATTTATGGACTCAAAAAGACCCAGCAGCTTAACAGTATATAACCTCAGTTTATCAAGTCCATATGTCATTTGGTAAAACCTGCAATAGCAATTGACACAAATGCTATGGTTCAAAGAGTTTGAGTGCCACAAAAATATTTATCCTCCTTCTGCAAGTAACTTTTAGAACCTATAAGGAGGCAACTCAACCCAATCCAAAACAAACCAACCATAGATCTCAAACTTTCAGGTACATAAAGGTTTTGTAAGATGTGTGAACTATCAAATAGATTAAATAACTATAAGGGACATAAATTGGGTCCACTTGCTTCTTCCATTGCTCTCAGAATACACATTCTAGGAATTTTGGCAGGGTGGAATTTTGGTTGGAAGGAATTTTCAAATCAGAGTTTCAGTCTGGACACAAGGCTAGTGCTTTTTACCAGTCACCAAAGGAAGTCTTTTCCTACCAGTGAACCGAGCAGGAGCACCGAGCCAATCACTAAGTTACGACACTATATACTTTACTAAGAAGGGAAAAGGGGATACTCACACTGAATACAATAATAGCAGATAACCTCCAAATGTAGGTTAAAGCTGGCTCAGGATGGTATGTATGCAGAGGCATTTGGTATTGGGGGAAGGCCCACTGGGCTTTGGGATAGATGAGTTGGCTTTGAACCTTAGTTCTGCAACTTAATGGCTTTGAGCTCTTGAGAAGTGGTAACATTGCTGTCTCTCTCCTTTCATCTGTATTTCCATCTGCCCCATTTAAGTCAAGGATTATGTCACTATGTGTTTTAGGGCACTGTGAAGAAGCATAAAATTTCTAAGTTATATTATATGCATATCAGATTCTAGATATGCAAGGCCTGAGAAGACTGAGAGGGAGATTTATGGTGTGTGACTCAGAGCATGCAGAGGAAAGATGGATGAGACACTCATGTGCAAACAGCTCCCTCAAGTACAATGTTACAGAGGGAGATCAGCCACCTGGCTCTATTGTTTCTTCTCATCTCCTTGCTTCATCTTCACCTTCTTGCCCCTAAAGCATAGCCTTCACAAAAGCCTTCAACTCAGCAAGGTGCATTTATCTTACAGGGTTTAGTGAAGGGTAACTTTGTGGAAGCATATAAAAAACTATTATATAACTCTTAAAACCTGCATTTATTTACGTATGTCTTTCAGTTTTCCCTGTTCTAGCTTAGATTTATACCTTCACACTTTTAAAAGAAAATAGTAACATATAAAATCTATGTATGATGAACTTTACTAGCAGATTTACTTGAAAAAAAATAAAATATGTAAATTTTAACTTCAGAAGGGAAAGAACTAACGACAGGAGGCATTAGGTAATGTAATATCTTATTTTCATTGAAAAATCATATATGGATTTCTGTTATTAGGAAGTCAGTGTAATTTGTGACTGACCTCTTACTTTTGGTAGCTTTTCATGGGTTAAAAGGGAAAGTAGTGGAGTATTTAGGGTGTTAGGAACTGCTCTTTGAGTATAAAAGCACTGACATCCACAAGATTTCTTTGTAGACAAAATGAAGTGGGCAGTGAAGATCAAGTTCTAGGAGGGTCTAACTTTATTCATGTTGAATATCATTATGGACTCAGAGATTTATTTTTTACCTTGGATTATAAGCCAATACTACTTTATTTTGTTGTTCAAATTTTCCAGCTTTGACCATTGGTAGGTCTTTTAGTTGGCTACTCTGTTCCTTCCATAACCCAGAGTTGTTGTTCCTTTCTTTCCTTTTTTTGAGCACTTCCTTACTTTCTAGCACTATAAGATGCTGTAGGCCCATATTAAATATTTTCTGCACCAATCCTAGGATCAGCCTATTCTCCAAAGAGCACTGATTCTTTTGATTGGAAAATGGTATTAGAAAACAAGATCTGGGTGTCAGGTGTCTGCTGTTGGTAATGGGATGTTGTTGCTTCTAGGACCACTCCACTGACAGAGGAAGGAAATACATTTGTGGATACTAACCCATGTATATATACATATCTATAATTGCTCCCATGTATAACCATCTGTATCTGCATTAAGCTAAATATGAGTTCATATTGATGTCTTCAACTCTAATCCATGACCACATGGATCATTTGGTTCTTTCCCTTTCTTATCTGAAGATCTCACGCCAGCAGTGAGAAACCTGACTGTATCATCCAGTTCTTATTTACTTAATTGTTCAATTTTAGTGTGTGTGTATATATATATATAGTGTGTATATATATATATAGTGTGTGTGTGTGTATATATATAGTGTGTATATATATATAGTGTGTGTGTATATATATAGTGTGTATATATATATAGTGTGTGTATATATACAGTGTGTATATATATCCAGTGTGTGTGTATATATGTGTGTGTGTGTGTGTGTGTGTATATATCAGTATCAGAATTGCCTATATTCCTATGAGGAACAATATTATTCACTAGATTACACTGCTCATGTACAATTTATTTTTCCTTTAGCCTTACACATTTCTCTCATTTCCAAAGTTACTTAGATCACCTTTCCTTCCCACCCCATTCAGTGAGTTTGTTTCATACATTTTTGTTTGTTTGGTTTTTTTTTAGATGGAGTCTCATTCTGTTCCCTAGTCTGGAGTGCAGTGGTACGATCTCAGCTCACTACAGCCTCCATCTCCCAGGTTCAAGCGATTCTCGTGCCTCAGCCTCCCAAGCAGCTGGGATTACAGGCGTGCACCACTACTCCTGGTTAGTTTTTGTATTTTTGGTAGAGACGGGGTTTCATCATGTTGGCCAGGCTGGTCTTGAACTCCTGACCTCAGGCAATCCACCTACCTTGGCCTCCCAAAGTGCTGGGACTACAGGTGCGAGCTACCACACCTGGCCGTGTTTCATACATTTTTAATACCATTAGATTTATTTTATACATTGGTAATACAGTCAGCCTGGTCACATTCTGTGTTCCATCCTGAGGTATTCGAATCTCCAAAATGGTTTTGATTTTTAAAATTTGCATACAGTAAGGTTCACTCTTTATGCTGAAAAGTTCTATGAGTTTTGACAAAAGCATAGTGTCATGTATTTATCATTGCAATATCATACAGGATGGTTTCACCACTCGAATAAATCCCTGTGCTTCATGAATTCAACCGTCACCTAATACCTCCCAAACACCTAGAAACCACTGATGATTTGCCCATTGCTATAGCTTTGACTTTTCTAAAATGTCAGATAATTGGCGTCTTTTTCTTTATCAGCATAGTTACTAGCCTACATTTATTAAGTATTCACCATGTGGCTTTTTCTATGCTACGTGTTCTTCAGGTACTATCTTATTTTAATTCTCAGACCAACTGTTTACAGGAGGTACAATTATCATCCTTAATTTACAGAAGAGGAAACATAGAATGGCTATGTGTCACTCCTAAAGTTGCATACAGCTTAGAAAAGGACTTGTCAGTTTAAAACAAGGGCCATTTGGCTTTGAAATTTGTGTCCAACCTAGTATATTATACTGCAAAATTCATATTCAGAATAGAGAAATAGTGCCTGCTTCAGAATGCTCCTTCACTGTGTTATATTTTGATAGTTCTGTACATAAAACTAGGGGACTTTTTACAACTCCAAAGATGTATTACTTTCATAGGAAAATATGTTAATACTAAAAAGGAAGGAAGGAAGGAGTAAGGAAGGAGAAAGCATGTCAGGTGCAGGAACAGGTTCTGTCGCTCTGTTAGGTTCTGCTTAAGGTCATGCATTATCTTGAGAGGGTGCACTGCAGCGAACATTCTGCTGAATCAGAGCAGCCCTTGAGTTCTACCAGCCCTGGAAAAGGTAAGTCCAGAGGGGCACATTTCATAACTTTTGCCCTAAAGAGGCTGTGATGTTCAGCATATTATATTTTATTCACATTGCCAATTGACTCGAGAGCATAGTAAAATTTGAAAGTTCTAGTTCTTTATCTTCTTTGGTAATGTGGCTATTAATACAGATTGCAACTATGATTCATGCCATGTTTTTAATCTTTTCACAAAACCTCAAAGAAGGCTTTTCCACCATGCTTCCCATCAAACCCTTAAAAGTTAGCCAGTAGATGAATTATTGATTGTTGTTAAAATAAAACACTTTCTTGATATTTGAGAATGTTTTAATGTGAATTTAACCTATGAACCAATGGGTAAACAATTCGTTCTGAGTATATAGATGTGTTTTGGAAGCCCAGAATAAAAAATTTAAATGATCACTTATGAATCTGGTATCAGATTTCTGATAGAAAAGCATTCTCTCCAGAAAAAAAAAATTAGCCTTCTTTTAGCAAATGATGGCAACATATTAGGAAACACAAAAGGTAATATTTACGTAAAATCATTTGCAAGTGTTCCCTGTGAGGCCATAAAATCACATCTGGAATTTCAATCATCTAGATATTCTGTTGTGAACTGGCATGACCATGGCTTTACACACATGGCATCCTGAAAGAGGGAATTACCTTGTTCATTAGCAAGAGGCTTAGATTGGTCATAACGTTTCTCAAAGGTACTTGCATTGGTTGGCTGGGGCCGCTGCAACGAAGTACCATAAACTGGGTGGCATAAACAACAGGAATTTGTTATCTCACAGTTCCAGAGGGTAGAAGGTTGAGATTAAGATGTGGGTATGGTTGCTTCCTTCTGAGGGCTGGGAGGGAGAATCTGTTCCAGGCGCCTCACCTAGCTTCTGGTGCTTTGATGGCAGTCTTTGGTGTTTTTGCCTTGAAGATACATCACCCTGATTTCTGCCTTCATATTTACATGGCCTTCTCTTTGTGTCTCCTTCATGATTTTCCCTCTGTGCATGTTTGTGTCTACATTAAAATTTTCCCTTTTTATAAGGACATCAGTCATACTGGATTAGGATCCATCCTTGTGACCTTGTTTTAACTTGATTATCTCTATAATGGCCCTCTTTCTAAGTAAGGTCATATTCTGGGGTATTAGAGCCTAGGACTTCAATATGTCTTATTTGGGGGACACAAATTAACCCATAACTCTACCACTGAGGTTTATTCTGCTAACACAGAGCCAATAGCCTGTACCATGCCCTACTTAAGGTCCTTTTCCTCATTCTTTCCATTTACTCTCTGTTCAAACAGCAAATTTCCTGGATGAATTTGGCCTGCAGAATGAATTGGGGGAGAATGAGGATGGGATTTACATTAGGCAAGAGGCTGAGATGGTGTGAGTGAACTAAAAACTCAAAAAACACGTGATTCTGGGCAACTTATACCGAAGCTGTTCTTTGACTCTCATGAAAAGACGGAACCTCTGAAAGTTTTCACTAGAGCATATTGATAAAGAGGTCACACTCCGAATTTGGGCCAGCTTGGTAATAACCCAAATCCACCATTTCCTTTGGCAGATTATTTAACATTTCTGCGTCTCAGTGCCCTAATTTTAAAATGGAAATATTAATATTAATATCCATTTCATAAGATTGTTTTGAGGATTAAATGGGATAATCTGTTGAAAGAGCTTAGTACAATGTCTATCACATAATTAGCACTCAATAAATGTTATTCAGTGTTATTACTGTTATTTTATTTTTCTAGTCTTATTATTTTTGTTGCCCAAAAGTAGACATGAGTTCTGCTCTTAAGGAGTTTGTATTTTATGAACTACAACTTGAATATGGATGTAAGAGTCTAAGTTCTCTTTCCTATTCTCAGTCTTTATTTCTCTCTTCTCTTTATTTTCTCTACCTTGAAAATTTCAGTTTCATCTATTTCTACCACTTACATTTTCACCTCTTGATATGTTATTCCTAAATCCTTATCTTTGATTCCAAGCACTTTTGTGACATATTTCATATCCTATTTTGGATTGGAATTCTCTATCTTTATGTATTTCTAATTATTAGGAGTCAAATGAAATAATCTTTGTATCACTCACAGTGCCTAACAGAGTGCCTGACACTTAGTAGGTGCCAAACAAATATTTGGGGATAAATGTATGAGCTAATATTTCAGAATTTAAAGTGAATCTAGATGATTCAGGACCCTAAGAGTTTTCCAGACTTAAAGGGAGAAATGATTATTTTTTTCTCATTTCTTCTATTTTGTTTTGAAAAAACAACTGGTCCTTTTCTCAATTTCATGTGGATCTAGAGGCACAGTCAATTAAGGTGTCTGGTTATCACTCTGGCCATAGGCATGGGTCCATGCCCAGGCTGAGTTATTCACAGATGCCCTTATTTCTGGCACAGTGACTTTTTCTCAGATAGGTGTATGATCTGTTTAGGATTCAATCGTCTTCCTTGAGATTTTTCCATGGATAGGAAGGGAGAGAGACAATGAAAGAGAGATTTTTATTTAATTGGTGTTGCCAATCTGGTATAATATGAAGTTGAAATTATCACCAGCTTTGTCTTTATCATACACAAATGGCTTGTCTGTAGCTATAAAGAATAAGGTAAACTCTCAAAAAAAAAAAAAAGGGAGAGTGAGACTTCCATTGAATCCAGCTGTGATTGAAACCAGATCTACCCACGGACTTCCCAATTACATGAGCCAATGAATTGCCTTTCATTTTTGCCTAAGCTAATTGTAAGTTAGATTGCTCTCGTTTGCAACAGAAAGAGTCTCAACTAATACAAATAATTAGTTTCATTTCTTACTGTCTTTGCTTGAAAGTTCTCATTGAAAGTCAGACAAACATAGAGTTAATTATTTTCTCTATGTAGACAGGTAGCAAAATCTTATTCTATGTTTTCTTGCTCCATGGATTTTTAGTGAAACAGAAGGATCTGAATCTGTAATTTCAAAGGAAGCCATAATTACACAATCAGCGATGCAAATATTTGTCTTATAAGCTACCTGATTAAGCTTTCATTGTCCTGGGATAGGACATCAATAGGTATTACTAAATACCACGTATGTATATTGTACTGCAGCAGATTCAGAAGACAGTCTCTTCCCTTAAGGAGCTCACAATCTAGCAGAGGAGATAAAGCATATGCACACAAACAAAAAAAAATAGAACAGTACAACTATCCAATCAATAATTCATGTTGGACTTAGAAGCGTGTTTAGAATTCTAAAAGGGAAGGGAAGGAGAGGTGTGGAAAAGGGATGAGGAATTTCAGTGGTGACATGGAGTAAATAAAAGCAGAGATGGAAAAGTGAAATGCTTACTTACAGGCCAGTGATTCATCCATTTGGCTTGGGAAGGGATACCTGCAGAGGAGTGATGGATCCCAAGACTGAACAGTTAGACTGTGGTTGGATTTTTAAAAGCTTGGAATGCCAGTCTAAGGAGTTAGATTTCAGGTTTAAAGGAAGGAGAGTGGCTACAGGTATTTGGGTGGAGTGAGCTGCAATGTGATCAAGCTCTCTTGTCTTAGGTGTTTCAGGATATAGGGCTATAGTGATCTGCCCTAGGAACTCTTAAGGCAGAAGCTAAAGCAGGGAGTCATGCCAGGAGCTATTGAGACACCTAAGGCATGACGCGATGAGAGCTCAAATGTGGTTAGGGCCAAAGAGGAGGGCAGGGTGAAGACACATGAGAGAGGAAGCACATCTGGAAGAATGGACAGAAGCCAAGTCTAGACTGGAGGAGGAAGATGAGGCAATGGATTTTGAGCTGGGATGAAAGGTTGAATTTTGTGGGGCAGAATGAGGAAATTTAGGAATTTTACTGTTTGAACTTTATATTTATTTACTTATATATTTATATAAATATAAAATAAATATACTTATATTTATTTTATATTTATTTATGTTATCATTTGAATAATGTTCTTCTCTCATTATAGACTATACGCTCCTTTAATTTGTGGACCATTTCACTATTTGCTATAGTTTCACATCCAACATTTAGCATGGTACCTGAAACCTAATAGTTGCTCAATAAATATTTGCTGAATGAATGAATATTTAGTATGGTATGTAAACTGCCATTCAGTATACACATTAAATTATTAATATATTTATTTGAGCTGAAATTGATATAATGTTTGAATCATTTTAGAATGTTAAAGCAACTCTGTAAGAAAAGTTGTAGAACCAATATTTTCCCCAGTTTTATTGAGGTATGATTGACAAAAATTGCATTTATTAGGGTATATATTGTGATGTTTTGGTATATGCATACACTAAAAAATGATTACCACAATCAACCCATGTAACATATCCATCACTGCACATTGTTAACGTTTTCTTTCTGTGGCAAGAACTTTTGAGTCTACTCTCTTAGCAAATTTCAAGTTTACACTACGTTATTAACTATACTAATTGTGTTGTACAGTAGATCCCTGGTACTTATTCATCTTATAGTTAAAAGTTGGCATCCTTTGACCAATATCTCCTCTTTTCCCCACCCCCAAACTCTCTGGTAACCATCATTCTACATTTTGTTACTGTGAGTTTGACTTTTCAGATTCCACATGTAAATGAGAACATGCAGTATTTGTCTTTCTGTGTCTAGCTTATCTCACCTAGCATAACACCCTCAAGGTTCATCCCCATTGTTGCAAATGACATTCTATAAAATTACACTTTTTTAGGCTAAATAATCTTCCATTGTATATATGTACCACATTTTCTTTATTCAAATGTTGACAGACACTAAGGTTGTTTTCATTATTCACTGTTGCAAATAATGCTGCAATGGATATGGGGGGGTGCAGATATCTCTAAGATCCTGATTTCATTTCCTTTGGATATATACTCAGAAGTAGGATTGCTGGATCATAGGGTAGTTCTGTTTTTAATTTTTAAGGGAAACTCCCATACTGTTTTCCATAATGGTGGTTTTCCATAACATTCATACCAATTTACCATCTCCACAGACATCACACAAGTGTTCCCATTTCTCTACATCCTTGACAACACACTTTTTCTTTTGACTTTTTGATAACAGCCACCCTAACAAGTGTGAGATAATATCTCATTGTGGTTTTGATTTGCATTTCCCCGATGATGAGTGATGTCAATCTTCTTTCCATATACATGTCGGTCATTTGTATGTCTTTGGAGAAATGTCAATTCAGTTACTTTGCCCATTTTTTAATTGGGTTATTTGACTTTTGGCTATTAAATTATATGAGTTTCTTACATGTTTGGATATGAGTCTTGTACGAACTGTACGGTTTGCAGATTATTTTCTCCTATTCTGTAGGTTACCATTTTATTCTGTTGATTGTTTGCTATGCAGAAACTTGTTTATTTTTGCTTTTATAGCCTGTGCTTTTGGTGTCAAATCCAAATAATCATTGCTGAGACCAATGTCAAGGAAAATTTCCCCTATGTTTGTCTTCTAGGAATTTTACAGTTTCACATCTTATGTTTAGGTCTTTAAATCATTTGGTGTTGATTTTTGTGTATGGTGTAAGAATAATGGGTCTAATTTCGTTATTTTGTTTGTGGATATCCAGTGAGGTAAACATCATTTATTGAAGAGTCTATCATCTTCCTATTGTACATTGTCATTTGTAACCAATAAAGAAGGAAATGTTTTCAGGTAAATATTTTCTGAATTGCTAAATGTTACACTAACAGCAAAGTCAGTCATCAAAAGTGTTCATGGAGTCAGCCACAGGATTATCTGCTTTCTGCTTCAATGAATTCTACATAAAGGAATTCTTGCTCAGTAGAATGATGATGCAATTTTCAATTTTGGTCACAATGAGCAACAGGGAATTATCTTTAATTTCTGTTTAAACATCATAAACATTTGGAGTTAGCCCTGACTTAAAATGCCAGCTGTGTTCTGAACTAGCCGTGTGACTTCAGGCAAGTCACTTTATCCCTCTGAGCTTCAGTTTTCTTACCTGCAAAATGGGAATAATAGTACCCACTTTCCTGCTTGTATTGTTGTGAGGATTACATCATCTAGATAATTTACGTGAAGTCTTTAGCATGGTGTCTGGCTCATGGCGGATACTCAGTAAATATTTTTAAATTGTTGTTTGCACTTTTATTGCTGTAATTATTAACTCGACCTGTGAGTTTTTCATAGAAGGGATTATGTCTTAGGCATCTTGTACCTAATGTCCAACATGTTGTTGTAACCCCAACACCTAGCTCAAGCATGTTTACAGAATTGAGCTAAGATCCTCTTGAGAATGCTAAATGAGAAGAACAAAGGGGCTGTGTAATAAAGAAGTTCAGCCTTTGTAATTATTCAGCCATGTGCTTCTAATTCAGGTTAAAAAAATTTGAAGGCCAAAGAATCTTTTTAAACATATCTTACAAAGGAAGGTAGATTTAACTATTTAAATGGAGTCACTGGCAAACATGTTCTAGGAAAATAATAATGAACTAGTGCGATCAAAAGGTGATCTTTACTATTGCTTTGTTAAAAATAGTCTTCTCATCTAAAACTGTTTTTATATATGCAACTTTGTGAGATCTTTTTATAATTCTTGTAATGGAAAAGCTAGAATGATATGTTATTAGGAATTTATCATAATATATAATATATAACATTACCTGACTTAAGGAATGACTAAATATGTGGAATAATTAGCTATGTTATAGTGAGATTCTCTTCTTTGTGGATTACATGAATGCTTTAGAAGGTCAGTAGCATTACTATTTCTACTGGAGAACTTTCATTTTTAAATATATTATAAAAATGACTTTCAATAATGACATAAAATATAGAACTTTTTTTATTACAGGAATTATAAAACATTTTTGCACCAACTATGATTGTAATTTAGGCTGAAATAATGCCAGTTATTTTGCTACTTTGCTGAAGTCCCCTTTTTTGAGCCTACACTGAACCTGTAATACTTATGGAAAGAGTTACCATAGCAACCTATATTGATGTCACAAGCTCAGGCTTCTGACTTCATTGCATAATGCAGTAGCCACTGGATTTGCAGCAGAAACACTCTGCTACAGAACAAGTGTCTTGGTTCACAGCAAAGAGGACAAAGAAAACAGCAAGTTTTAGGGGGTTGAATCCTGGATTGTGAGTCAGATTACCTGAGTTCTTATTTTAACCCTCCCTCTCACTTGTTGCCTTGTTTTGAGTAATTGTGTTTACATGTGTGCACTGAGGTTTGAAGCAAGAAAGCTTCTATCTCTAGGATGAACAGAGCAGAGAAAAATTCAGGATATCTAATGTTTTGCATTTGGTAGAGAGCTCAGTAAAGCTAGAACACCCTAAAAATAACTTGGCAGGAAAGGAATTACTAATGCTTTGTAGTAGGTATCTAGCTAGCTCACAAAGATATTAAGGACACTTTGAAATTAAAAAGCATCTGGCTGGGTTTTTTATTTTTACTTTTTGAAATAGTAATGGGTAAAGGACAAGATTAATGTCCTAATCTTAATTTTAGTAAGAATATGGAGAACTTGTACATAAATATGTCACTATATCTACATAACTATATTAACATAATGGTCTATTTAATGGGTATGATGCTTCTTATGTTTATACTGTATACATTAAAAAATAAATGTGTTCTAATTGTGTCATATAAATGTTGATTCTCATTAGAAAACAACTGAATAAGTGAAATGGGCTTGCTAATTTAAGATGACATTTTAAACAAATCCTGATGATACAGTTCTTAAAAAGATCTAACCTTTTCATTGGAGCCTGTTCATTATTTCCATTGCTCTGGCTTCTTGTTAAAGACTAGATTTTAGAAATGAGATATGAATATTTTGGGATTTGAAAAGGCACTTAAACAAATCAATTTCCACACCAGAAACTACGGTGAAAACACGATATGTCTTTTTATTTTTATTTTCTCTAAGGTAATAAGGCTAGACATTTTGATAAGGAGAACTATGACCCTTTATAACCTTTCTATTCATAAGCTTCAATCATTCCAAGTTATCAGCCAAAATATCACAAGCTGTAAACCTCATTAGCTCAATTCAATGTTGAATAGACCCAGTGAAGACACAGTTTGTTATGTCTTAGAAAATTTTTAAGTTACTCTTGAAAAATGTAGAGTGAGGTAGAAGTTGGAGGGCATATTTTTGAATAAGCACTTAAATGCAATTAAGCTCCACATTATAATGCAGCACAAGCATTTGTATGAGGTGCAAAACCATCTTTTCAGAGCCAGAATTTAGTGTACAGTGTTTTATAGAATATCTAAGAATGCAAATTGATTCTTTCATCATAGACATCATGCCTATCAAATTAGCTAATGTAACCTTTGTTTTTCCTAGCAAAAACATGTGTGTTTGTGTGAATTTAATTCAACAGATTTTTATTCACTTTATTGACATGAAAAGGTCCTAAATGTATATAGTAACGTTTTGTAAAAGAACAGGTTGGCCCCCATTTTTTTTTTATCTTAAGCAAGAGAGCAATATTGGTAACTTTCTGGACTCTGTGTAGTCCATCTGCTAAATTCTACCATTTCCTAAATACAACTTCTATGAATAGCAGAGACTCAGCACCCACTGCAAAATCATGAATATCAAGGAATCATATGTATAGAAGGAGCTTTACTTTATTGACCAAACTGAGATCTGATAGATTTAAGTAACTTTCCCAAAGTTAATTGGTAGAAGAATCCATACCTCAGCCAAATACTTGTTCTATCGCATTAGACTGTATGGATCCTGCTGGACAGCTTCTATCCAGAATCACCTCCTTGACTAATCTTGAAAATTCTGTACTGTCCATTTCTTGAGATCTGTTCTTTTAGCTAAGTTTGTGACTATAAACTAAATTTGGCTATTGATAGTTATTCAGTTAAATTTATTCAACATTTTGAAATGTCTATGTGTGCAGAGTTTTATAGTATATAAAAACAGCATAAGAGTATTTATAAAACTCTGGTGGGGTGATATTACTTTGAAGAGTAAATCAACCAGAAAACAAAATCAGATGCACAGTAATGCTGTCAAAATCATATGCATAAGAGTTAAGGAAATTCCGGGAAAGGGAATAATCAGAGGCAATGAAACCATGGACTTAGCCAAAGAATGTTTCTTAGTGGTGTAGTATTTCTTACCTTTTAAACCTTCTTCTGTCCTGTCTCTCTATTGCTCCCCCCTCACCCTCACTGTTTTTTTTTTTCATCATAGAAGTAATCCATGTTTATTGTTAAAACATTAGGTAGGAGAGTTGAGCAAAAATAAAAGGATAATTCTATGATCAAAAGATTATCTACAGCATCTTCTGCATGTCTTTTCTCAAAACATTTTAATCTCACCTGTAGGCTCAAACATTTTTTTTTAAATGGGAGCATATTCTGCATATTACTTTGTAACTTTTTCTTCTTACATAACAATATCGTGTAACAATCTTTCTGTGATTATAATTAGAGATTTATCTGAATTTCAGTTACATAAAAGTCTATATACGGCTGTACCATAATTCATTTAATCATTTTGCTATTTTTAGACTGTAGTCAATTCCCAGTTTCTTGCTGACATAATTTATATATAAATTAAAACCTATATGTGGCCAGGCACAGTGGCTGTAATCCCAGCACTTTGGGAGGCCGAGGCGGATCACTTGAGGCCAGGAGTTCGAGACCAGCCTGGCCAACCAGTCTCTACTAAAAAAAACAAAAAATTAGCTGGGTGGGGTGATATGCACCTGTAGTCTCAGCTACTCCCGAGGCTGAGGCAGGAGAATCGTTTGAACTTGGGAGGCAGAGGTTGCAGTGAGCCGAGATCATACCACTGCACTCCAGCCTGGGTGACAGAGCAAGACTCCATCTCAAGAAAAACAAACAAACAAAAAACCCCACGTTTATACAACCTTGAACACTTATTCAGTTTTTTATTTAATTGAAAATAATTTTGTTCAAAGTTTTTGAGATATAATTGACATACAATCAGATGTTTTCTGATTGTAAAACCCTAGAAGGGGAATAGCTGAGTCAAAGGGTATAAATTATTTTAAGCATTTTGATACATTTTGAAAAACTGATTCCTAGAAATACATCAATTGATAATGTCGTAAGAATGAGATGTATTTCCCTGCTCCTATGCTACTACTGGATATTAGCATAATTTTTAATCATAACAAACTGCTAGAGAAAAAAATAGTACTTTAATAAAATTTGTGTTGTTTTTGTGAGATCTTCTGATGTTGAACAGCTTTTCATATTTGAATTTTATTCAATTAGAATTCAAATTTCTTCTTTTAATTGACTATGTATATCCTCTAGTTAGTTACCTATTGGGTGCTGGTCTGTTTTTTAAATTAATTTAGATGGGTTACTTTTATAGTAAGGTATAATTGATTGCCACATACCATGCTAATTAGTGTTCTAGTTGGCCATTTGTCTTTTAACTATGGCTTTCATTTATTTGTTTCATGTTATTTCATATTTTTTACATATACAGTGTATTAGTGTTCTCTTTTATGGTTTCTTCTTTTGGCATCAGCCTCCAAAAGATCATATAAATATTTGCCTATTTTTTTTCACAGCATTGATTTTCTTTTCATTTATTTCTTCTACAATTTATTTTGACTTAAGAAGTGAGATATATTCAAATATTTATTTGAATATTTTTCCAAGTGTTTTTCCCCACGCTTCTGAAATCCAAAGTTTATATGTAATTTAAAAAATTCTGTTGCGTGATCTAATGTCAGTATCACAGTTTTATTTAATTAATTATTGTTTAATAATTAAATAATTGCTTATTTGCTTAAATAAAACAATTGTTTTATTGTTTAAATCTTTTGGTATCATACTTATAATAATGTTGTGAAAAGAATTATAAAACCTGTGCTTTCTCCAATGGATATACCAAAAGGGGATATTGCACTAGACTGTTTCCTTTCATTTGCTCTTTTAATCCAAGACTCACAATTTTATGTTTGTTGTATCTAGTTGAAATTAATTAATTTTAACTGCTATATTATATTTTTATTGACTATATAATAATATGTTACCTTATCTTTTCAGGAGGCGTTTGATTAGTTTATTTGTATTCAGTGCTTTACAAGAATCTAGTAAGATGATTTTATGGTTTTTATTCTTAAGCTGTTAGTGAAGTGAATCACACTGGTAGATTTTTCTAATGATAAACGACTTGCAGTTTTGGCATCAACTCAACATAGTCATGATAGTATCATTTTATAGACTATGGGGGTTCAACTTAGTGATATTTTTATTTAGGATTTTCACATATATGGTCTCCAAGGAGATTTTCCTTTCTCATACTATCCCTAGTTTTGATATGAGGATCATACTTGCCTTAAAGGATGGGATTGGAGCATTCCTTCTTTTTCTTTTTTCCTGGAAAGGAAATTTTGTCTGTTCCTCTATTTATGGTAGAATTTTTCGTAAAACTGTTGGATTTTGCAGTTGTTCTTGTTGTTTTTATTGTTTGTTTTGGAGAAGTGTGACTCCTTGAATTACGGTGGAATTGCCTGTAAAGCTATGTGAACTTTTGTTGTTCTTATTCTTGTTTGTTTGGGGGAGGGATGGAAGAATATGTAATTTACTGGTTTCAGTTCCTTAGTGGTTATATAAATCTATGTATATATGATTTTGTTTGGAAAATTTCTGCTTAGTTTTGTTTAGTAAATTATATTTTTTCTAGAAATTTGTTTTATTTATTTTCAAGTATTAGTTTTATCTTTTGAATGTCTGAAATATAGTTCTTTTTAATGTTTTATTTGTGTCTTCTCTTTTTTTGTCAATATCACTAGAGAAAAAATTCTTCAGCCTTTTCAAAAAATAAAATTTTAACTTTCCTTACACCTCTTATCATTTGCTGTCTAATAAGGTAGGTGAAAGCTGAGTGGCTTAAAATAATCATGATCTTATTAGTTCATGAATTTGTGGATCAGAAATTCAGATAGCGTTTGCCTAGGTCATTCTTTTGCTCCATGTGATATTAACTGGGTTTATCTCGTGGTATTTGCTGGTGGCTAGTCTGATCTGGAGAGCCTAAAATAGCTCTACTCACATGCCTGGTGCCTTGGTAAGAACAGCTGGAGGGCTGAACTCTCCTCGGTTTTTCCTTCTACGCATGCAGCACAGGGCCACTCCACAAGTCCTCTCCAAGAGAGTAGTCAGACTTCTTACGTTGCAGCCAGTGCTCCAAGAATGTTCTGAGAAACAGAAAGTATAAGTTGCAAGTTTTCTTAAAGGCTAGACATAGAACTGGCAAAGCATCACTTCTGCCATATTTTTTTTTCCAAAGTAGTCATAGAATGAAGATTCCAGGGAAGGGAAATCACGCCTCTCCCCACTGAGATTAGTAACAAAGAATCGGGGCCATCTTCATTCCATCCCATTGATCCTTTGTTCTATGAGTTATTTAGAAACATGGTTAGAAAATTCTGATCATTTGTATCCTTAACAGTGTGTCTCCTTGGGACCTAGAAGACATATCCATCAATTGCAATATATGATTCTAATTTGGATCCTGACTTGAACAAACAAAAATATGAGATAATCAGGGAAATTGAACACTGACTAGATGTTTGAGACTTTTTAAATAAAGGTATATGATGATATTTTGGTTATGTTAAAAACAAAAAGACCTTCTATAAAGTTACAAACATTTATGGATGAATTTGTTTCAGAGAAATATCAATGGGAATGAATATGTAGATTGGCTATGAATTGAATAATTGTTGAAGCTAGCTGAAATGTACATTTGCATTCCATATACTATTTCATCTACTCCTGTAGTTGTTAGAAATTTTCATAAAAAAGTTAAACATTTATCTTATTGATAATGATTTCTAATTTAATTTCATTGTTGTCAGAAAAAGTAGAATGCACACTTCCTCACTCCCACAAATATACACACACATGTACTTATACATATAAATTAAATGAGACTTGCTCCTTTAGACCTTAATATATTCAATTATTCAATTTTGATAAATGTACTATATATGTTGGAGAAACTATGGAATCTCTCTAATCTATTTATATATACATTAAATAAAGTTTTGTCCTAAATTTTCATTTTTATATACTTTTTGTGCTTAAACTGTTAATTGAGAAAGGTGTGTTTAATCTTCATATTTTTATAATGATGTGTTAATTTCTATAGTTCTAGAAATGTTTTGCATTGTGTGTAATTTGAGGTTATCTTTAGCTTCATATTACATGTCTAGTTGTTATATTTCACTGATATTTAAAGCTTTAAATAGTATCACTTCTTGCTAATAATCTATTTTATATTAGAGACTATCTTTAGAATATTGATATAGTTTTCCCAGCTTTTGTTGAGTTATTATTTACCTGCTCTATCTTTATTTTTAATTAAAAAAAATTTTTTTTTATTTATTTTTAGTTTTCATGGGTACATAGTAGGTATATATATTTAGGGGGTACACAAGATGTTTTGATATGACATGAAAGTGTAATAATCACATTTTGGAGAATGGAGTATTCATCCCCTCAAGCATTTATTCTTTGTGTTACAAACAATCCAATTATACCCTTTTAATTTTCTTAAAGTGTACAATTAAATAATTGATGACTATAGTCACTCTGTGAAACATACAAAAACCAGTAGTATTTCTATATGCTAGTGCTGAACAATCTGAAAAAAATCATACAAGTAATCCCATTCACAATAGCCACACATAAAATTAAATACCTAGGAATTAAAAAAATGGAAAGCTCTCCATAATAAAAACTATAAAACACTGATAAAAGGAATTAAAGAATATACCAAAAAATGGAAAAATATTCCATATTCTTGGATTGGAAAAATCAATATTGTTTCATCAAAATGTCCATACTACCAAAAGCAATCTACAGATTGAATGAAAAATACCAATGACATTCTTCACAGAAATTTTTTTAAAAAAAGCAATTTTAAAATGTATATGGAACCACAAAAGACCCAGAATAGCCAAAGTTAATCTGAGCAAAAAGAACAAAACTGGAAGAATTATGTTACCCAACTTTAAATTATACTACAGAGATAGCTCTATTCTGTTCTGTTGTTCTATGTGTCTGTTTTTATGTCAGTACTATGAAGTTTTGGTTAGTATAGCTCTGTAGTATAATTAAGGTTCTTTTGCGGTTCCATATACATTTTAGGATTTTTTTGTTCTATTTCTGTGAAGAATGTCATCGGTGTTTTGATAGGGATTGCATTGAATCTGTAGATTGCTTTGGGTAGTATGAACATTTAACAATATCTTTCCATTTTTTGAGGTCCACTTCAATTTCTTTCATCAGTGTTTTGTAGTTTTTATTATTGTTATTATTGCAGAGATCTTTCAATTTCAATTCTTTAATTCCTAGGTATGTAATTTTATGTGTGACTGTTGTAACTGGGATTACTTTTTTTGATTTCTTTTTCTATTGTTCACTATTGTGACATAGAAATGCTACTAACTTTTGTATGTTGATTTTGTATCCTTCAACTTTACTGAACTTGTATATCAGTTCTCACAGGTTTTTGGTGGAGTCTTTAGGTTTTTCCTAATATAAGATTATATCTTCTGCAGACAAGGATAATTTGACTTCTTCCTTTCCAATTTGGATGTCCTTTATTTCTTTCTCTTGTCTTAGACTCTCTAGATTTCCAGTACTGTGTTGAATAACTGTGGTGAGAATGGACATATATTTAAATCATTTTCTGTCTTATTTTATGTATGTCCCTTAAATAGAGCATATAGTTGAATTTGTTTGGTTTGCTTTAATTTTTTTTTTGTTTTTTAAGTGACAAGCTTGGTCTATACATATAAATATTGTGATTAGTGACATGTTTTTCTTTATTTCTGCAATCTTTCTGTTTGTCCTCTGCTTGTTAATTTTTCTGTTTCACTTACCCTTTTCCTTTCCGTAAGTCCCTCAGATTTTATGTGAAAATACTAGAAATATCTTTAATTTACTCTGAATCTTGAAGAAATTTTTAGATATAAAATAGTAGATTAAGAATCATTTAAAAAATAATTTCCTGAAGAAATTATTCCACTTCTAGCTTCCATGATTTCTACTGAGAAGTCTGCTTTTATTTTAATTGTCATTCCTTTATAGATGGTCTCTTCTGTCTCATTAGGTTTAAGACTTTCCTTTAAGTTGTGGGATTCTGCATTTTTCTACAATATGCGTAGGCATAGATATCCTTCATGTATCTCTCCAGAAACTTTCATCAATTCTGGAAAAATTTCCAGTATAATGTCTTTGAATATTCTTCTCACTCATCCTTTATAGTATTCCTGTCTGAGCTCTTCTCATTCAAGTATTCATGTACACTTGTCTTTCTTCCACATGTTTCATTTTCTTTTTTCTGTCTATTCTTTCTGTAATTTCTTCAGAGAAATCTGCCAAATTCCTAATTCTCTCTTGAGTTATACCTAAACTGCTAGTTACTTCATCTAGAACATTTTATTACATTTATTTTCATTATATTTTTCATTAGGTCCTTTAACCTTTTTTAGGTCATTTTAATATTTTTTAGGAATACAGATTTGTTGAAGACATGGAATCAAATACTGCTTTTTAGATTGGAAGTCCATAAATTGTGTTCTGAAAAGGAAGAATTCAGGGTGAATTTCTATTTAAAAAGTATTAAATGTATTTAATATTATTAGCTTGATGGGGAGGGAAAACATTTAATGTTACATTTATCCAAAAAGTTAAAATTATCACTTTTTTCATAGAAAAGTAAATGATTTGATGAAAACTATTAGAGAAGAATGGCAATTATGAATAATATGAATGCAGTTAGGAAGAGACTAAGATTAGAGAAACCAGGTTAGAAGCTCTCAATTAACTAGGTATGACAAAAGGGCTGAATTGATCTGGAAAGGAAAGCTACTCTCTAAGGGACTTAAGTGTTGGTAGCATTTAAGGAGTTAAAGGTGAGAGAAGGAATCAACATGCCAGTAATAATAATGCTGATGATGTCATTACTACTACTGGAATATTTTATTTAATATTCTTTTTATGCCCTGAGAATAAATATGAAGTTGCTAAGCTTTACAGCCTAAACGAGCTATGTCTATCATTGCATTCTGTATCCAACACCTCTTATATCCCAATTCACAGTCTTTCAGCTTCATGTCTCTTTTGTTTCAACTGCTGCTGCAGTAACCAGCTGTGTGTGGGTTTAGAATGATTTCACTTGGAACTTGACAGTGCCTTACTTTAAGGCCATGCCATGTGCTTCTTACCTCTCAATCCAGGACTCCCCTGTTGAAAATGAAGTTTGAGTAATCTTACTTAGTACCCACAAATACACGGTCTGGAATTTCAAGGGAATTAAGTCCCAGGGAACAAACTTTGGACTAATGGCTAATAAGATAAATGATAAATACTTTCCCTTTCTTCTCAGCTATCTATGGCCTTGAGGTACAGTTGATGTGGCTTTCCATAGGAAAGTTCTATGACATGAAGAAGGCTAAATTAGTGCTAACTAGTTTAGCAACACACTCTCCAATCAGCTTCTCTTTCTTCCCTACCTTGTTTTCTTTTACACTCACTCTTTAATAAAAAATAGTAGCACATAAATCTTTATGCTGTGCTTACTGAGGTGCTGAGGCTAAAACACCTGCCCATATCTCAGCCTGTACTGAGGAGACATGGCTATTTCCTTCACATTTTTCAGAAGGGGATTGAATAGGGATGGACATCTAACACAAAGGCAGACATACATTTCAGCATCTAAGCTAATTATTTTACTCAATGTGTACAAGGAGATGGGAGTCTGCTTCTTTAGTTGGGCTCAGTTCCACTTAACTCATGGATTATGAGCATCTAGCTAAATGGAATGTGAATCTATTATACATAATAGATTATATACATAGAGATTTTATATATAATATAATATGATTTTTTGAGACAATACAGATCTTAAACTCAAGCCAGCTGGTTCACCCAGGACTCAACCAAAGAATCAGCAATCTGTTCCAATAATGGATGGGAAATGGCCTATGGTGGCGTTACTGAGAGACTGTTCCAGTGTTATACCTTTCAAAGGGGTTTTTAAGGGTAAATTTGTTATGGGAATTTCACTTTTAATTATGACTTTAGAACCAAGATGTTACCTCTATAGAGTACGGAATTTTGGGATGTGAGGAGATCTCTGCCAAAAAGAATAAATGTTAGAATGGCTTAAGAAGAAAGAGATGTGGTATTGAAGCCAATGTTATCATGGATTGCCTTAGTCCTGCTTTTCTAACATTAGGGAAGATAAATAGAGCTACTAAGATGGAAGACACAAAGTTGCTTGAGGACCCCACATTTTTAAGTAGAGAAGTTTCTTTCCCTCCCACTTAGCTCCTCATTTCTGTAGCCCACATCTTGTTCAGCCTTCTTCACCTTGTGGTCCAGGTAAAGGCATTTGAATGCCAACCATGTTCCAGGCCCCTGACTAAATACTTTATGTAGTTTTCCTTATTAAAAATCTATAACACTGTCAAGAAGTAGTATTATCCCCAATTTACAAATGAAACTGAGGCCACTCAGCTAATAAGTGAAGGAGTTAGAGTTGAAATGTAGGCAAGTCTAACAATAAAGCTTGTCCTCTTTCTGGCACACAAGACCCTATCCTTTATGTTTCAGACTCTCTGGTCTTATCAGAGTTTCTTGGGGTTGACTTGGAATGCCCTTTGTAGGAAGTAGAAGTGGTCATTTCTTTCCACCCTTACATGATAAAATTTTCCTAGGAGTCCTTAAATTATAACACTGCCATCTTTTCTTTACAGCATTGCCAAAAGTGGAATGAGGTAGTGGGACCAGAAAGGAGGCTAGAGGCCATGCCCTGCAACAGTGGCTCAGTTACACTTCCCTTGATACCTGTTTTGACTTCATAATCCTTTGTCTTACAATTTTGGTGGCATTTAGGTAAAGCCTAAATGTGAAAGTGGATGGTTTAGTTTTCCTGATGGAAAATTTAATTTAGCTCTCCAGTATGTTGCTTGTAGCCTGTTTGTAGATATAATTGTTTACTTAATGAGGATGCATCCTTTCAAAGCACTGCCTTTAAAATGAATTTCCATAGATTTACATAAATTCCCTGGGGATCACTATAATGTGAGCAAAGAAAGAATTGCCCAGCTGTGCACTGATTTAATGGAATTATGACACTTTGGGGCATGGGCTCTGAAAAATATATCTGGGGGAAATAGTCACTCAAACTGTTGGAGAAATAATCCCTTAAGTGAATTTTCTCTCATTCCAATAGAAGATTTTAGAAGCCAGCATCAACCCAAGGCTTAAAAAAAAAAATTTGTCTTAAGAAAAGCTTGTGAAAATGCTGTTCATTTAAGAAATAATTGGTTTTATTTGAGAATGGATGTTAATAATTTATTATAGCAATTTTTGGGTAGAGGCATTGATTTAAAAATAGTTTGGTTTAAAATGAAGAGAATTAGCTAATGCCCAATATTTCATGCTGTCAAAACTTGAAACTAGCAGCATCCTCAATACATTTACCCTTAAATGTAATGAGGGTTCCACACCTCATCAGGGCCAGAGTTTATTAGTGTTGCTTTCTATGTCCTTCACACCTTAATCATTGTTGGTGATGTTTAAAAATCCAAGAGGTTATCTGTTTAATGGGCTCAAGGGTTTTATCTATTCAACTTACCTTGCATCTTTCTTTAGATGGTGGTGTCTCAATTATGTGGTTTTATACTCTATGGCTGGTTCTATAGGTCAGTTACAATAATAATAAGGGTAAGATCTTATGATTCCCTTGGCATGGGAACATAGTACTGTGAATTACGTCCTTTTCAAGATAATAGCTCATCTTTAGCCAGCTGTCTATAAATGCATATCTTTGGTTTAAGGGGACTTATTCAAGAATATGAATTGATCAATATTAATTTATATTATGTGTTGGAAAAACAACCACTGATATTGAGTCAATAGGTTCACCTTTGTGTATGAATACATAAATCCGTCAATAAATATTTAGCAATATATAGAAAATTCTCTGTGGGAGAAGCAGAAAAGGAACAGATATTGTTTTCATGGCATCAAGGAGTGTTTAGCATCCATACAAAAAAATAACAACAATAATAATTCACACATATTGTACATTCATTATGAACAAGGATTTTTCTTTCATTATTTCATATAAACTTCAAAGCAACCTTATGATACAGGCACACTGATTATCCCATTTTACAGAAGAAAACAGAGGCACAAAGAGGTTAAATTACTTGCTTCACAATTAGTGTGTAGGGTAGCTGGGCTACCAACCTTGAAACTTTGACTCCATACCTTATGTTCTTTTTAAAATTCAATTCTTACTTTTTTATAATAAAATATGCATATCATACCGTTTTAACTATTTTTAGTGTGGATTTCAATGGTATTAAGTACATTCACACTGTTTTGCAAGCATCATCACCATTATCTCCAGAACTTTGCTCATCTTTCCAAATTGAAATACTGTGTCTATTATGCAATAACTCCTAATTTCCCTCTTCCCTCCAGCCCCTGGCAAACACCATTCTACTTTCCGTCTCTATGAATTTGACTACTCGAAGTACCTCATGTAAGTGGAATCATATACTATTTGTCCTTTTGCATCTGTCTGATTTCACTTAGCACGTCTCTGGAGTTCATCCATGTTATAGCATTTATCAGAACTTCATTCCTTTTTAAGGCATAGATAGGTGGCTTCCACCTTTTGGCTGTTATGAATAATATGCCTCTATGAACATGAGTGTTTCAATGTCTGTTTGAGTCCCTACTTTCAATTCTCTTAGATGTGTCTGTTTTCTGTTGCTGTAAAAGAATACTATAGACTGGGTAATTTATAAAGAAAAGAAACTTATTTATTACAGTTATGGAGGCTGGGAAGTCCAAGGGCATGGCACAAGCATCTGCTTGGCTTCTGGTGAGGGCCTTTTTACTCAGTCATAACATGGTAGAGGCAAAAGGACTAGAGAGGATGCAAGAAAGGCAAAAGCCGAGAAAGCTGAGGAAGCCGAGCTTGCTTTTGTAACAATCCACTCTGTGACAATTAATCCATTTCCTCAAAAACTAAACAAGTCTTTCAAGAAAGACAATCTACCTTAAAGACCTGATCACCTCTTAAAGGCTCCATCCCCCATCACTGTTACACTGGCAATTAAATTGCAACATGAGTTCTGGCAGAAATGAACCACATCCAAAACACAGCAGGATATATACCCCGAAGTGGAATTGCTATACCCTATGGTTATTCTGTTTAATTTTTTGAGGAACTGCCCTACTGTTTTTTATGGTGGCTGGAGCATTTTATATTCTCACTAGTAATGCACAAGGATTCCAAGTAATTTCTCCACATTCTGGCCAAGACTTTTTTGTTTTTATTTATAGTTTTCACCCTAATTTGTATCTCATTGTGGTTTTGATTTGTATTTCATTAAGGATTATTGACTATTTGTAAATCTTCTTTAGAGAAAGTTCTGTTTAAGTCATTTGCTTTTTTTTTTTTTAATGGGAGAGTCGTTTTATTGTTGCTGAGTTGTAAAAATTATTTATATATTGTGGTTATTAATCCCTTATCAGATACATGATTTATAAATATCTTCTCCCATCCCATGGGTTGTGTCTTCACTCTGTTGATAGTGTTCTTTGATGCACAAAATTTTTAATTTTATAAAGTTCAATTTATCTATTTTTTTTAATTTTCTTGCCTGTGTTCAAACCCTATGCTCTTAATGAAGCATACAATCAAGACTGTAATGTGCGAAATTATTTGGTACCAACCATATCTCCTGATGATGAAATGAGAATGAGGGTCTGTGTTGTCGAGGAATGCAATGAAGAAAGCAATGAAGCCTAGTACATTATAGATGTGTTTAGGGCATGTTTCTTGGTGTGAGTTTATTTTTCCACAAGAACTGAAAAAAAAAAAAACGTTGATTGAACAGTATGGCATCTCCCTGTCCTTTCTTATGTATTTCTTGGGCATTTAATAGAGGACAGAAGGGTTGGAGAAGGGGTGGGTTGCCTGGTGGTGAATAGGTAGAGTTGCCCATCTCTTAGCTGAAGATACATCGTCAGGATGTTTTCTGGTAGAGATTTTATTAAACTGAATTTAAAGCAGTAAAACAAAACCTCTCTGCAGTCTCATTCACTCCCTGCCACTGGAAGCTCACTTTTCCTTGGAGCTTAACCAAGACAGAAAGTGAAAGAGAAAAAAGCAATCCTTTCTCTTGCCTTTTCTTCTCTGCCTAGAACAGCACTAAACTCTGTCCCCTGGGTATTATTGGGGCAGAGGCGATAGACAGAGAACTGATCCCATATTGTGCTCCTTCGCCTGAAGAAGGTGTTGTGTGACTTCAGAGTTCTTTTCTTCTAACTACATACCCCGACTTTTGTGTGTTTTTTCCCTCTGCTTTATAACTTAGCCCTCTTGCTCTTTTTTTTTTTTATATGTGAACTTGGGATACATGGAAATTAAACTTTTTTTCCCTTTTTCTCCCTATGTGGTTTGTGGATTATTAATTTCATGCCTCAGACTCAGAGGTTAGGCACAGATGCTGTAACAATAACAATTGGCAAAGTAAATAATAAAAAACATCATCCTTCCCATGCAAGTATAGGGATACGCCTCAAGTACTCACATTGTAGGCACATGCTTTCTCTAGGCTCTTAACATTCTCTACATTTAAGGTAACCATAAAAGGGGTTTGCAAATGTAATGGTGATGGCTTCCAAGCTGTCAGGAAGTTTGCAATACGAAGAGCTCTTTTGTAAGTCTCCTGCTAAGCCTCCATAGCCACAATATTAGATGTAATAGTTTCCTCTTCTTGCAATGGCTTGGGTAAGAGGGGTGAAGATTGTGATGCTGCTTGATTAAGCAGCAGAGGAGATGAAGATAGGAGAGCATAAGGAGGGTCTTCTAGGCTGACCTGACTGAATTTCATATGATGATCTCCCTGCCAATATAGAGACTCAGTGGTCCAGTAAACCCAGAGTTTACTCCCTGTAAACTCAGGGTTGCGGTGTCCTGGTCATCTATGGACTCCAAATGACTTCATTTCACCTTCCAAGGTCTACTCTAGCTTGACTTCAATTATCTTACACAAGGGAACAATGAGGTCTCTGTTCCATAGCAAAGGCCAAGAAGAAGATTCATTTTGAAAGATAATTTTAATAATACTATTATTCATTGTGCTAGGTGGTTAATATTTCATTAAATTCTGAGAACAACTGTAGAAAGATTTTATCATTCCCTTTTCCTAAGGAAATTGAGGCTGGGGAGGGGAGGGGAATTTGCTCACTGTAGTTCCATCTGTGACGTGCAAAGCTTGTAGTCTGAGCAGGTCTCCCGGGTTCCACAGCACCTCCTCCTTCCCTTCTTTGCCTCTATCTCTTCCTAGTCTTCTCTCTCTGGCCTTTGACTCTTATTCCTTTCAAACTGTTGTTATAGATTCCAGAAAACAAAGGAGAAACAGGGATGCTTTATATGGGACTTGTTAACTTAAATTGGAAACAATTACTGCCTTTCGGAGGAGAGAGCTGCTGTTCCTTCAGCATTTTAGAACATAAGGTCGGATATAATCCAGACATTAGTTGATGGTCCTGTCCACATGATAAATGAATCTAGTACACACTCCGTTTGATGTCATTGTTGTTTCATCCACTAGCACAGTTGACTAAGGAGATGTGAGATGCAGTTTTCACACTGCTTATGGAAACGACTGGGTGAAAGAATTGCTGCACAGGTGGAGATATGATCATTCAGCTGCAATGAGGGCAATTTGCAAGAGAGAATGCTCTTGCTCATGCTGAGGCCAATGACAGGCCTTGGATTCTCATTTCATGGCAGAAACTACTTCCTGACACATTTTTTCTTTCTGCAGCTCAGTCGTTGGCTTATTCTTACCTGTTTTTATCAGAATAATGATTTTTTGTAGTGTCAGTTTCTTGGCACAATTATTCTGCCAAATCCAGTACTCAAGGCAAATTAACAGCATTATATATTGACTTTTAGAGAGAATAGGTTTATTGTGCTCTATTTATTCTTGAATAAGCTAATTTGATACCCTCCAAAGCCCCAGTAGGGTTAGACAATACTACTAGTATATATAGTTATCCCAATAATTTAGAAAATGTTGTATTTTCCTAAATATAGCATAAATATCAGAGTTCTAATCATTTTTCAAATGATGCTTACAAAGTAATAAGAAAAAAACTCAATTTTGCCTGTTGAGAATTATAGCAGAGGTGCTTGACAACTTCCTTGGCATCTTGAAAAAAAATTGTTGTAAAAAATTTTTTTCTTGAAAAAAAAATTACAACCAGGTAGAAAGGGTTTCACTTAGTAGCTATTATCACGTGCTATTAACAGATATAAAAAGAACAACCATATTTATTTCTTAGACGGTCACTAAGTACCAGAAAAGGAGGCAGAGGGTGTGTCCTTAAGCTGTAAGGTATTTCTAAAGTTAGTGCTTTGGGTGGGGAGTGGGCATCATCTTCTTCGTCATCATAACAATAATAGCAAACAGATAGCATACCAAGGTAGTAGGCAGTATTATGAACAATCTACATGTCCTAATTCATTTACTCCTCATGGCAAACCAAGGAGGTAGAAACTATTCATGTCCTTACCTCACAGTTGAGGATACTGAACCACGAAGAGGTTAGGTCACTTGTCCATGATGACATAGCTACGCAGGAGAGCCAAGAATAAAACAGCTTGGCTCCAGAGTTTATGCTCTTACCCCCTACCCTAGATGGCAACATTTATTAGGTCATATTATATGTCATGTCACGCATTATGCTGGGCATTGTGAGGGGGGAGATAAAACTCATTCAAGGGATTTACAGTTGAACACACATGTATATAATCTGTCTCCTTCCTACCTTGAGAGGTCATTTTCAAAGTTTCTGATGGTAAGGAAAAATTTCCCCAACTGCCCATGATTTATGTGGATTTTTGTTAACAAAGAAACACTGCTCTCCATGAATGAAGTGTCATGAGGATGCTCTGAAAGTTAGAATGAAGTCTTAACAACCACTCTGCCAATGACTGTGTATTGAGCACTTCCACAAAGCAGGCATTGCACTAAATACTCGTATGTAGTCTCACAGAATACCCACAACTACATGAGCCAGGACTTTAATTAGAAAGAATCACCATCTCCAGCCCCACTCCTGCATTTGTGCTTTTGGGTCAGTTTTGTTGGATGTACTTCTACGCAGCATTCTTGCAATGTGCCTTGAGTCACAGGGAGGTGAAAGATATTCTCTTGTTGGTTTCATGGTTTCAGCTGTAAGACATCTCTTCTTACATAAAACCCAGAAATCATACCCCACACTTAAGATAGTCTGTTTTTATGAATTTTGTAGGGGAAAAAAGCCAGCTAATTTCTACACTCCTCTGATCCTGTTATTTTCATGATCACACTTCCCTGCATTTCCTAGTTTCAGTTAGGGCTGAAAACAATGTGCCAAATTGCAGGAGTGTCTATTCTCAGAGTGCTTCCCTCTCCGCAGACAGAGAGGAGGTGGCTCTTCATCTCACCCAGATCCAGAGGCTCATTGGACTTCTTGCCATCCATTAGATGTAGTAGACTCTTAGAAAATGAGCAAGCTTTAGAAACCTACGCAGAATTTGAGGGCAGTACTTAAAATGAACTTCGAAGACATTTAAAGGTTTGCCTTCTGATGCTCTTTTCTGGCTTCAGCAGCTAGAACCATGAAATGTTAAATTGGACAACACTGGGTTATAAATATCCATGATTCATATTTGAATAGCTAAAGATTTCATCGTAATACAAACAGTTCAGTTAAACTCTATGTGAAATGGTGAAAAGACCCCAATTATGAAGACTGTCTCATCTGCAAAGACCCATCTTTAGCTGTTATAAAACCCCAGTGTCAGTATTTGATAACCTTGACCATAAAGTTTGAAGAACATTTCTTTCTCTCTGCGTTGCCTCCTTATATATAAAATGTCTGCACAGGTGCAAAGAATACTAGACAAACAATTGAGAGAGAGGAGCTAAGGTGAGGACACTCTTATTTTATACTTTTGTGTACTGGAATTTTTAAAAAACAAATACATTTTACTTTTGAAATTTTAAAAGTACTTTTAAAATAAAGAGGTTGCCAGGTAAGGTGGCTCTCACCTATAATCCCAGCACTTTGGGAGGCCAAGGCGGGTGAATGACTTGAGGTTGGGAGTTTGAGACCAGCCTGGCTAACATGAAAAAACCCTGTCTCTACTGAAAATGGAAACATTAGCCAGGGGTGGTGGCAGATGCCTGTAGTCCCAGCTACTCTGGAGGCTGAGGCAGGAGAATCACTTGAACCCAGGAGGTGGAGGTTGAAGTGAGCTGAGATTGCACCACTGCATAATCCAGCCTGGACAACAGAGTGAGACTCCATCTCAAAAAAAAAAAAAAAAAAAAAAACCAAAAACAAGTAAATTGTTTTAGATTACTCAAAAGAAAAGAAACATATGCCTCCTTTGTTCTTTGTTGAGAATAAAAAACAATATTCTCAGGGGGTGTTAGCCGTTCCCTCTCACAGTCTTAACCTTCACTTGAACAAATGCCTAAATTTGCATAACCAGTTACTAAAATAATTTTCACATTAAAGCAACCATTTTTAAAGTGTCCTTTATACCTCTAGTTTCAGTCCAAGATCACTTATTGCCTTTAGTTGTCATTTCTCTCTTAGACTCATTTAATTACGAATAGTCTCTCATTCTTTTTCTCTTTCTCACTAAAGCAACCATTATTTACCTGACATACTACATGACAAAATAGTTTTAGAGTGATTTTATAATTATACTTTTCTGAAGCTGTGCTTTTGGTTGCCAAAAGTCAGAACTGCCAATCTAACGTGTATTTTTATATGTAAGAAAAGACTAAAAATAGGTGATTTTTAAAAAGTTTGTCATTTTATTGTGTCACCCTTAGTAAAATTATAGCTCCAGAGCAGATACTATAAAAACATTTTGATAGGGCAGTTTTCTATTAGCAGTATCATGTTCTTTTAATGTAAATATCAGAAATATCTGGATTACCGACACAATATAAAAGAAAAAAGGAGGCTAAAGCCTTTGGCATCTTTAAATTAAATTTGTTTCTCGTGATTACAGAAATGCAAGAACACATATGATTTAAAAAAGAAAAAGCAGTTGTTATCTATAAAAAGTTCCTGGTCTTCTCTGCCAATGTTTGGAGACAGTTTTAGCTGGGAAAAAAGTGAAGTTTATCTTCACAGCATCTGTTCACCTTTCTTTTCCCTTTCGTAAGTTGCTATTTCTGTTTCTGGAATATTTATGCATCCATGCTCTCTTTTGGAATGCTTCTGATAACCTCATTTCCACTTAGATGTTCACATCTGATAGCCTGTTGTTTTCTTTCCAGGGAATATATTTTTAAGTAAAAGGATTAAATCTCTAATGGTTGACTATTGAGTACAAGGGAACAGGGGATAATCTGGGAGAAGGTCATTTCCCAATGCCTCAGAAGTGATAAAATGAATATATATATATTAATATAAAATAATTTATATATATATAAATTAGAGTGTGCTTTACCTATCTTGGTATTCCAATAAAACACACTTTGAGAGAAAGCATATGAGTTGAATGCATCTTCTATGTATTAAATCCTGGTGATAAAATTGTCTTTTCTTACATTTTATTTTTGCTAATACCATTATTATCGTTTTAAAGTTCAGGTTTTAGCTTACAATAATTTAGAATTACTCTGAATTTAATTTTAAAAAAAGTAGCCCAAAAAATATTTTATTTCAATATCTTTGTATTTAAAACATCCAAAAACTTGGAATGGTTAAAGCATCTATTCTGAAACATTAAATAACATTAATAATAACCAGAAAAATATTAAGAATGTACAGTGTGCCAGCACTATGCTAAATTATTCTTATGGATTATGGTTTTTAATATTTGCAGAGAACTGTAGGTTGTGGGAATTATTTCCTCCTTTCCACAGAGGAGAAACCTGAAGCTTAGAGAGTCCAAGCAATTCGTTCAACTGTTAAACCAGAAAGTGGCAGAATCAGAATTTGAACCTTGTTCTGTTTCCCTCCACAGCCCTTCACTCCTAATTGTTACACTGTAGATCTAACTACATGTCTTGCCCATCCTTATTAAATGCCACCTGTGTACCAGGCACTGACCTCAGATACTTATATACATTTTCTTTCTCTTTTAATCATGCTTAAGTGGGCTGTCCAGTTTTACACAGCTTAGGAGTAGCAGAGCCAGGGCTCAGATCCACGTCTTATGATTTAAAGTTGAGTAGTGTTTCTAGCACAGGAAGCTAATCTCTCAATCAAGCCAAGTCTGATATAAAACATGGAGAAAGTTAGAGGTGGGATCTTCAGTGACAATCCACTCCAAAAACTTTCGGCCTACCTTTACAACAAAGAGAAGTATGCAGTTCTCAATTGTGCACTTACTGAGCAAGGCATTAACGTAAAGTCATAACTAAACTTTATAGTTGCCATGCATAATTTCTAAATTAAATATTATCCATTCTATATTTGAAACAATTTAGGTGAGGATATTTTGTTTTTAGCTGCTGGAAACTGATTTACTCAATGTTAAACTTTAACTGTTTAGGGTACTGTATTTCCAATAATGAATGAGGAGCAGGAATGTTTTTGTGTAATGATACAATTGATGCAGGGCAGGCAAGCCCCAAAGTGCAGCTTAGCCTGCTGAGTTCTTGGCTTTGCCCAGGACAGAATTCAAGAGCAAGCCAGAGGTAGAAGAACAGGCATTACTGAAGAGGCAGTGATCCGCCTGCTTCAGCCTCCCAAAGTGCTAGGATTACAGGTGTGAGCCACCAAGCCTGGCACACAGTGATTTTTAAACAGTCACACTTTCCAGGCTGGGTGTGATGGCTCACGCCTGTAATCCCAGCACTTTGGGAGGCCGAGGCGGGTGGATCACGAGGTCAGGAGATCGAGACCACCCTGGCTAACACGGTGAAATCCCGTCTCTACTAAAAATACAAAAGATTAGCCGGGCGTGGTGGCGGGCGCCTGTAGTCCCAGCTACTCGGGAGGCTGAGGCAGGAGAATGGCGTGAACCCGGGAGGCAGAGCTTGCAGTGAGCCGAGATTGTGCCACTGCACTCCAGCCTGGGCGACAGAGCGAGACTCCATCTAAAAAAAAAAAAAAAAAAAAAAAAAAAAAATCACACTTTCCAATGCAGTTTAAAATGTTATCTAATCGTCACTGTATTACATTCCTAGGGCTCCCATAACAAAGTACCAGAAATTGGATGACTTAAAACAACACAAATTCATTGTCTCACAGCTCTGGAAAACTAGAAGTTTGAGATCAACGTATTAGCAAGGCCTTGTCCTTTCTGAAGGCTCTAGGAACAAACCCTTCCTTGCCTTTGCAGCTTCTTATGGTTCCCGGCAATCCCTGGCATTCCTTGGTTAGAGCTGCACAACTCCAATCTCTGCCTCCATTTCCACACGGCCTTATTCCCCTTGTCTCTGTGTGTCCTCTCCTTTTCTTATGAGAATATCATCATTGGATTTTGTACCCATCTTAATCCAGTGTGACCTCGTTTTAACTAAGTACATTCTGGGGTTCCAGACATGAGTTTTGGGGTACACTAATCAACCATCTATAAAATGTTGGTGTGTGTTTAGGCACTTGTGTGGCACTCAGATCACAATGGTGAGCAAAAATCAATGTGGTTCTCGTCCTCGTGGATATTACAGTCTAGCATAGAAATTAAGTATACATCAAATAATTGTGATATCAAGAATATTGAGTTTATTAAACGATTGGTATTTCTCACAGTTTATAGCATTAATAATCAGATTACACCCAAACTCTCATCTCCAAATACCATATACCACTAAAAGAAGCCAGGGGATTTTGGTGAAAGGTCTGATTCCGAGTTTGGAGTAGGAAATAGACTAGATATCTATCTTGTTACAGAAAGGAGTAAGGAAATCAACAAAGACGACTGGATTTGTATCAAAAAGTCTTAGGAGCCAACTTGAAGAAGCTTCCTACCGGCCAAAGATGGGACAATTTGAGCATCAACAGGAAACCATTAAAACCACATCAAAACACATCACGTGTTAAAATTCATGAGTACAAAATGATATTTAAACTTTGGAGGATGCTAGGGAACCCACTTATTATTCTAAAAACTTATACTTTGTGAAAGAATCAAGCATTTAACTTGCTTTTCCTAAGTAACATCTTCAGAATAACCAGAGCTGGTGAAGATAGATTTCTATCCACAGGTGTATGTGAGCTAACATATGATGAAGGGATGACAAAGTAGTACCATATTTTAAACCTCTCAAGAGATAATAGATCTAGGCACTGATCACTGATGGCTAGCAATATCATCGAAAGAGAGACAACTGGATATGATGTGCCTCTACAAAATATTCTGTCCCAAATTTGAACTTGAATTAAGTCATGCTTCTTAGGTCTAACTACCAATTTACAGGAACGCATTAAATGACATGATAGAGAGGCAGTAACAAAATCTTAGAATATAATGAACCCTGCAGAAATCAATGATCTGGTTTCCTTAACAAGTAAAATGCCAGGAAAAAAGGGAATGAGGGCCTTTTAATGGAAAGGGATAAAAAACTGTCAAACAAATGCAATATGTGGTTGGTTTGGATTCAATTTCAAACCAGCTCAAACAAACAAACATGTATTAGACAGTAAGAGAAATTTGAACACAGAATGAATAGTTGATGATGTTAGAAAATATTACTTTCTCTTGGAGGAGCAAGGATGATGATATTTTAACTATGTTTATTTCATTTTATTTTATTTTTTTAATTTTGAGACAGGATGTTGCTCTGTTTCCCAGGCTGGAGTTCAGTGGTGTGATCACAGTTCACTGCAGCCTCGACCTCCCAGGCTCAAGCAGTCTCTCACTTCAGACTTCCAAGTAGCAGTGACCACAGACATACACCACTATGCCCAGCTTTTTTTTATTTTTTAATTTTTTATTCTTTGTAGAGACAGGGTCTCACTGTGTTGCCCAGGCTGGTCTCAAACTCCTGGGCTCAAGCAATCTTCCCACACTGTTGGGATTACAAGGGTGAGCCACTGTGCCTGGCCTGATATTTTGACTGTGTTTAAAAACAGATTTCTTATCTTTTTGAGGTGCATACTGAAATATTTATGAATGAAATAGTATAACAGTGGAGATTTGCCTCAAAATATTCCACTTGTGGAAAAAGGAAGAAGCAGATGGGAGAAAAGATGAAATAAGCAGGAGCCAAGAGCTGGGTTTTGTAGCTGGGTGACAGGTGCATGGAGACAGCATAATTTACTTTTTTTTTTTTTTTTTGGTATTCTCTCCTTTGTCAATGAGAAGTAAAAGAAGAGAAAAAACATCAATTAGAAAATAGAAAAGAGCCCTCCCTGGTGAATTCCTGCTTCTCCTCCATGTCATCATAGGTGTTGATGGTGCTTGCCTCTGGATAATGCTGACTTCCTCTAGAGTGGTCACCAAGGTAACACACTATTCTGTTGCATCTCCAGGCAGGGAACACGGCAGAGTTATGAGGTCGGGCTCCCTTGAGGTCTTTTAAGTATTGAATTATCAAGTACCATAGGAAACTGTGAAAGATGATGAAGACCACAGGAAACTGTGAATAAAGCTGTCTACCTTTGATTTTTTTATTTTTATTTTTTTGTTTGTTCTTTTTTTGTTTTTTCACTTACATGCTTCTTAAAGGAAATGGAATAGAGAAATCCCAGGAAAGAAAGTATATGGTACATGTGAAAACGGACACCATGTTTCTCTTTTTCCTGGGCATGAAGAATTTAGGCTAAAAAATAAGTCAACAGTTTAAACAATAGCTACTTGATCTTTTTTAAAAAACTCATTGTGTAAATACTATCTTCGAGTGAACAATGTTTGCTTATAACGTTACCTATATCATTGTGAATATTCCTCCTTTTCCTGAAATTAATTGCTGCTTGAAACTTAAGTCAAATTAAAGTTGAATATTAGTTTTTAAATTACTTAAGTTATTTCTATGTTGTTTGATGACTCTATAAGAAATTAAATTTATTATCGTAGAGTCTGTCAGAAATATCTTCTGGTGAAAAAGATTTTATTACGGGTTATATATACTGCTGTAGGCACAGGAGAAAAGATGATGAAAATATCAGTATCTACTTATTGCAATTTATTAAATACATGTGGCAATCATAAAAACAAAATCATAAACTTATTAAGATATACTATCAATAAGTATGCCTTAATAAAATATAAATTGTGTCAATCAGGCAAGAAAGTAAATATGCTGATAACACCTACATATATTCCAGCTTTAACCTTTCTCTTGTGCTCTAAAATGACAAATTGACTTTTGGACATTTCCACCTGGATGACCTTCCCACAAACAATGACAAATCGATACACTTAATTGAGTTCAATTCTGCTTTTATTTATTGAACCCCTTTCAGGAGATGTGTTAGGAGCTGAAGACATAGAGATAACTAAGATATAGCCTCTGATCTGGAGAGGTCACAAATAAAACACAATTGGTTTTTCACCAAAACTTTCGCTTTCTTTTGAGCTTCCTGTCTTAATTGATGGCAGCACACAATCCCCAAAGCTAGAAACGTTTGAATCATCTTTGACACACTTTGCCTCACAAACAGCATTCAACCCATTTCCAATTCTTTCTGATTTTGCTTCTAAAAATTATCTGATTCTATATCCTCTCTTTCAGTTCTGTTAGTGACTCACTTTGCACTTGATTATTTTTCTCCCGGACTATTGCAACAGCCTCCCAGCTGATTCCTCTGCTTTCAAACTGTTCCCTTTCCCTGCACCCACCCACTGCCCCACTGGAGTTGCTTCGTGCAAACAAAGATCATACTCTATCATTCTTCCGCGATACAACCTTTCCTAAATACATTCTGTGCATCTTTGAAATCTGCAGGAATTTCTGCAAGGGGTCACACGAAGGCCCACAGAGGACATGCAGGTGACCCTAGGGAGAGAAGAGCCGGTACTCTATTGAAAGGGACAGAACTACTCCACTCCAGCCCTGTGGCAGTGCAAGTCCAGTTTTGTCTAAACTTTTTTTTTTTCCATCAGAAGCTAGAAATTCTGATTTCTTACTGGTATCTCTTTGTTTTAAAATGTTGGCATGTATTTTAAAACCACTCTGTGGGCCAGTTTGTGACCCCCTGCTTTTGTGCCTGGAACCTCACCTCATTTTGTAGTGTTGCAAACTTCTATTCATCTGTTCTCAGGACACAAATCAAATGTCCCTTCTCTAATCCTCATCTAAATTAATAGCTCACTAGTTTAAACTTCTGTAAATTAAGAGAGTTTATTCTGCCAATGACTCAACAAAGAACTAGCAAAAATGGTATGTTAAATGGTATGTTATGGATAAGCCAACCCAGGCATTGGATGGAGAAAACGAGCACAGAAATGGATAAAAATATATTAATTGTCTTAATTATTTAATATAAAAGTAACTATTTTAAAAAATGCTAAAACCAAAATGCTCAAAGACAAGATGTCCAGGACTGCTTTGGTTTTCTTCAGGTAACTAAGGTAGTCATGAGAATGGAAACAGAATAATTGTTGATTTTGTTCAAAATATATAGATAAGTAAAACTAAGCAACTAAAAAGACAAAATCTATAACTTCAAAACTAATGGAAGAAAAATGAAGAAAATAAATTATATATGCAGTGGAAGATGAAAAAGAAGATGGAAAAATCAAGAAAAAATGGTGAACAGAAAACAAAATAAAATAGTACACATAAGTTCAAATACATTAGTTTTTATAATAGATGCAAATAGATCAGAGTCTTCTATTAAAATATAGAGTTTATCAAAGTGGGTTTTAAAAAATTCAGCTATAATTTATGAGATAAACTTAATACAAACTATATTAAAAAGGTGAAAATACAAGGATCAAAAGAGACGCATCATGAATATACTAACCTAAAAAAGTCGATACAGCAATATTAGTATCAGTCAAAAACAGAAATTTAAGGCAAGGACATAAATAGTGAAACAGAATGATTTTAAATGATGATAAAATGAACATTCCATCAAGAAGGTAGAATAATAGGCCGGGCACGTGGCTCATGTTTGTAAGGACTCCCAGCACTTTGGGAGGCTGAGGGGGGACGATAGCTTGAGGTCAAGAGTTTGAGACCAGCCTGGTCAAGATAGTGAGACTCTCATCTCTACAAAAAATTTAAAAAAAAGGTAGAATCATGAACTTATACACTTCTAATAACATAGTCTTGAGCAACCAAGTACAAATTGATTTAGACGAGAAATGGACAAATCTGCAATCACACTGGATTATATATATCTGTATCTATATCTACATCCATCTATCTGTCTTCTGTCTATCAATCAGAAACAGAACTAAATGTGCCAAAGGTTAATGAGGATTAGCAAATCTGAACACAATTGACAAGGTTGATCTGTATAGATTATTATACACATATGTACATAAAATCTCCTATGCAATATTAAAGAATATGCGTTCTTTTTAAGTTTACATTGAATGTTTATAAAAACTGACCATGAAAAAGTCATAGCACAAGGGAATATCTACAATTTTAAAAAATTGAATTCAAAGAGGCTAGAATCTCTAAACAACGCAGTTACATTAAAAACAAGACAGTTTTTAAAATCTATTTTTTTAAAAAGTGCTTTGATATATTTGGAAGTAAAAGCATTAAAATTGAGGTCCAGCTTTTAATTCTTTCCCAATGTGTACCAATACCATTTATGGATTAAAAATGTTACCTTTTTATGTGAACTATTTCCACGTGTATTTGGGTATTGTATTGAACTCTGTGTTAGACCCTATCAGTAAAACAGTACCAAATTAGCCTTGAAGCTCTGTGATATGTTTTAATGGGCTAATTTCACCATATTATTCTTTGTAAGAATTTTCTGGAATGTGTATTTTTCCTGATTACTTTAAATATTATCTTGTAAAGTTTCAGAAAAAAATTAATTGAATTTTAAAGTTGACTGCGTGAGATTTTTCTATCAGTTTAGGAATAATTGCTATTTTTACAATGCTGAACCTAACCTTCCTATTCAAGAACAAGACTTGTCTTTCAATGCGTTTAAGTCATTTTTGTTCCTTAGTGGCATGTAAATGGTTTTCTTATATAGGTCTTGTGTATTTCTTGTTAACTTATTTTTAGATATTTTAATTTTTTGGTTGCTGTTATTACTGGCCTCTTCCCTTTTATTGCATTTTTCTTCTTCTTTTTTTTTTTTTTTTGCATTTAGACAAACAGGAACTAATGTCTGTTGTTTTTAACTAGGCACATTATTGAATTCTCTAATTGTTTATAGTCTCTTGCAGTTGGTTCTCTTAGATGTTCCTGTCTTAACTCTTATTTCTTGCTCTTCCCTCACTGCATTAACTCATTGCCTCCAGGAAACAATGGTTAAAGAAGTCAAATAGTAGTGGTGCTGGCAGGATCTTTCTTTTGCTCCTTATTTTAGTGAGAATGCTTCTACCCTTTCACCACTAAACACTCCCCTTCCCAGTTAATCAATAACAAACAAACAAAAAAAGGCAGCATTAAAAATCAGACAATATAATTTTGACCAATTAAGACTAAATTATCTGTTATATCCATATATATAAATACTATAAATTCATCTGATAAACTTAATTTTCAGATTAGATCAAAAAACCGAACTAAATACTTAATACAAAAGACATATTCAAAAAAAGTAATTCAAAGAGGTTAAAAAGGCAGACAAGAAAATAGAAAGTAAATGCTAAGCAATAAAAGATGGAGTTATGATATTAATATCAGACCCTCAAGGCAAAAGTATTAATGAGACGCTGAAGTGTATTTTAAGAATAATAAAGGGGAAAATCCACAAATGGATGTAACTGTTTTAAAATGTATGCAATAAATACCAAAATGAGAAGCCAAAGCTGGCATCAGGCTCTACCATCTTTGTGAGGTGTGTATACCCTATACCATGATCAGAGAAAACAAAACCAAACCACAAAGCTTCATCTTAGATAAACCACAAAATATAAGAACAATGAGTTTCCTCAAGAAATAAAGCCATGAGGCCCTTTCCTGTAAGTTTCTGACCCCATGGGAGACCAACTTTATCTCTGACATCTAAAGATATACAGTAATTCCTGCAGATATGATAATCATGTGAGGGAGAACATCCTTTCACCACCAAGGAGAAAAATGAACACACTGTAACTTCCTGAGCATTTTGTATTGCTTTGAATATTGGCTCCTTCCTCTATTCAGGAAACTCAGTTTTTCTGAAGGCTGAGCTCCCCTGAAAACATTACAAATAAAAATATTGTTCTTAATGATCAAATTTTTCTTTGAATTTTAACTTTTTTCTAAGAAATATGATTTTGCTCTATTGTCCAGGCTGGAGTATAGTTGCAGGATCATGGTTCTCTGCAGCCCTGACCTCTTGGGCTCAAGCAATCCTTCCTCCTCAGCCTCCCTAGTAGTTGGAGACCACAAGTACATGCCACCGTGCCCAACTAATTTTTTAAAAATTATTTTTTGTAGAGATGGGGTCCTACTACATTGCCCAGGTTGGTCTTGAACTTTTGGCCTCAAGCAATCCTCCCACCTAGGCCTCCCAAAGTGCTGGGATTACAGGCATGCGCCACCACACTCAGCCCAATTTTTTTTTATTGTAACATCAAAGTATATAAAGCATGAAAAGTAGAAAATGTAAGGAGAAATGGACAAAAGCAGGATGATGATGCAATACGAACTCACCTTTTTTGACCCATGACAAATTAGGGAGATAAAAATAAATAAAGATGCATACCATTGGAAAAAAAGCATTATAGTGATATTCAAAAATATACTTTTGTTACTTCTCAACTTCATCATTGTTGATTGCCCATAAGAAAGATGAAGATATTGATGGACTTCAACTGCTTTCTCCCACTAACTCCACATTTTTAGTTGTTTGTATTGCTATTGTTGAATAAGTTAAATATTGCTAAATTATTTAAATTTGGCATTTCCTTTATAATCCTATTTTGCACACATCTATTTACTGCTCATCGCTAATCCCTTGGCATGGACTCTCCAGTCATCTCTTACCTGGTTATCAAGCAGCATCCTTTTTTGCAAGAAGCACTTGTAGGTCCTCTCTCCTCTAAGTTCTCAACAGTTTGACAGTCTCCATCTAAGGATACTGTAGTTGTTGAGAGTGTAGTGTTGGTAGAGAGCTGCTTAGGTTTGAATCTAGCTTTGCCACTCACTATGTGACCTTGAGCAAGTAACTTTGCTTGAATTTCTTTATTCTTAAAACAGGGAAGTCTATATGTGCTCTTGTTTGTTGGCCCAGTCTATTTCAGCCCCAGATTCACTCTCAGCCCTGCCCTACCCCATTCTATACCCCAGAGGGAAGGCTGACCTCTGCTCTTGGCATCATCTGGACTGGTTGACCCACTGGCTTCCAACTGGGTTTGCCCAATGGGAAGCACCTGCAGCGAATCAGAGGGTGGGAGGAGAGAAGTGGGCATTATTTCCCTGATTTCTCCCCACTTCAGGTGCCTGTCTTGGGGAGTAACTGTACCCCTTGTGAGGATGGTTCTTGGAGGTGACCACTCCTTCAAGGATCCAGTGCTCCTTGAATGCTGATAACACGTTAATGGTATTCCACTGCTCCTCTTCCCTGGATACCCCACCAGGCCTTCTTCCTTGAACCCTGACTAACTTTCTAAGCATTGCCTTTATTAAAGTTTCTTCATTTGAAGTATTTGGGTCGAACTGTGTTACCTGTCAGAATCCTTATTGACACAGTACTCAGGGTCAGGAATGACCTTAAAAATAGAATTCTGATAAACCCTGATTTCTCAAGGTTGCTTAATACCCTAGGCAAATTCATGGATGACCTCTATTCTTGAGAACACACAACACTTAGCAGTAGGTATGTGATGTGGCATCATTGTCTCTTGAATGGTCATCCTAGTGGTGTGAGATGGAGAGCCAGCAGAGGACAAGGCTTTGGAAAGTCACCAGACTGTTGTACCCCTGATATTGTCACAATGATGACGACACATGTTTCAGGTGGTATAAGTTACTTGACTGTGCCAGAGAGCTTGTGTAAAGACAAATATTAGTATATTGCTTTATCTTCAATTCAAGACAAAAGTAGAGAACCAGAAAGCTTCTATGGAGGCCTTAAGAGAATCCCTTATTGCCTATAGCTGCAGCACAGACATGAATAAGGATTAGACCTAAAATCGAATTATGTGGTTGCAGAATTCCAACTCCAGTTAAATGCACAACTTTCAGAAATCTCTTGTGTTAAAGTTAGAACCCAGGATGAGAACAAATGAGATTCTGAGACTTAAGATAGAGACATTTGTGCAGACACAATTGTGTACAGTAGTTGCTTACTATTTGCTGAGCAGGTAAATGCCCACTGATGACTATTAACTGAGAGATACTCGAGTCTGAGTTCACCAGGTCCCATTTCTTTCTACCTATTTGACCTGGGAGAATCGTATCCTGAATCTTTCTCTGCTCTAGCCTCCCCACTTGTGCCTGGGTGACTATAGGTCCAAGTTTCATATCCATAAGTCTCAAATTCGGAAGGCTCCAAAAACCTTATCATTTTTGTAAATTCGGCACAAACACATTTGGTGGCAAAAACTGACCTGATCTCAATTGATATGAGTTATGTATAGAATTAATTTTTCCAACATAGTGTGAATATTCATAGACTTCACTGCAAAAATTAACATATTTGAATATAGGGGGCTTCTTCAGGACTTGTGAATTTTATGTCTTATATAGCACATCTATCTCATTCCCTTTCTAAAAGCTGGAAAAAAATGAATTTTGAGAAACATTTGGCTCCAAGGTTTTTGAATATGGAATTGTTTACCAATAATAGTACCTAACTTATTGGGTGGTTGTGTGGACTCAATGAATTAATACATGTAAGGCTCTAGTGACAGGCACACAGTAAATAATAAATGTTCACTTTTTAAGTGAATACTTTTTAAGTATTATAAAACCTTTCCCCCGCTGATATTGTGGGAGTGAGAACTGTTTAACTCCTTTACCATCTTATTTGAGACTGCTTATATCATTGAGAACTTGGCATGAAGGCTGGGTAAAGTGGGTTGTGCCTGTTTTCTGTTGCTAGAGGGGCAGGGAAGAAAAGGAGAATTGATCAGGACTTGGTTTGTGAATCTGATCTTTGCTTTCACTATTCCAAGTTGGATTAAAGCCCTGGCCAGAGTTTACTACAACTATCTTGAGGTCTTGTCCAAGGCTGAGGGAGATACCCAGCTTGGGGTGGAGCCTGGAATCTGGTTTGCACAGAGACAAGATGCACTTCTGCCTCTTCACGTGTGTCTCCTCAACTGCTGTTCCTACTTCCAAAAAATAGGTGAAACTTGAGGGCCGAACCCACAACATTATCATTTGCTGGGAGAGAGTAGCACTGCAACTGGGGTCGTTTGTGTTGCTTCTCACCCTGGACCTCTCACACCATCAGTGGTGCTTATTCTATTTCTCTTCTGTTCATATTTTTTTGTTTTTAATCTTCTGTTTTGCAAGATACATATATTTTGTTGGCTATAATTAGCTCTAGGTGATTGTGAATAGACTGCGTTTTGTCTGCAGCTTCGTTCTCAGCTAGGAAAAACAACAACAAAAGACACAAATAGTGAGCTCTGGATATTTTTTTTTACTGATTCTGGAGAGACACTGGTGGGTTTTTATGTTTGTTTTCTTTGGCTTTGGATGCCTTTAGTCTTATTCCTGCTTTGGAAGTATTACACATATCTATGTTATGCATAGGCCCAGCAGCATGGACTTCCCCTTCCCAAGGCTAATCTGGCTGCCACTATTGCTGAGTGTCAAACCTATCTACAGCACAGGCCAATACTAAGCTCCTAGTATGGCTCCATTCTTTAGGGGAATGAGCGAGACACACTGATAAATTTAACATGTTGGCTTCTTACCATTATGGAGGGGGAAGCTATCTTTACAAGAGTCACATTCTGGATAAAGATCATGCTTCTCATAATGTGAGCAGAAGCTGTATCTCTTCGTTTGTTTGATGAATACTGATTATTTTTTTTTTTTTTTTTGAGGTGGAGTCTTGCTCTGTCACTCAGGCTGGAGTGCAGTGGCACAATCTCGGCTCACTGAAACCTCCACCTCCCGGGTTCAAACGATTCTCTTGCCTTAGCCTCCTGAGTAGCTGGGATTACAGGCGTGCGCCACCACGTCCAGCTAATTTTTGTATTTTTAGTAGATATGGGGTTTCACCATGTTGGTCAGGCTGGTCTCAAACTCCTGACCTTGTGATCTGCCTGCCTCGGCCTCCCAAAATGCGAGGATTACAGGCGTAAGCCACCACGCCTGGCCCTGATTTATTTTTTATGTCTTGTTTTACCTAAAATTTATAAGTTTCTTTAGTTATGCTGGGAGAGAATCTGTGATGGTTTCACTCTGCCAACTTACTCTGAAAATCTCATCTACTGCATTATCTGTTACAGTAAGAAGGCATGTTGCCCTAGAGGGCAGTTCATAGGAATTCATGGATAACTGTAATTAGACACAGGGTGATTAAATTTGTGTGTGTGTGTGTGTGTGTGTGTGTGTGTGTGTGTGTGCAGAAGGAAGATGGAAGAAGTCCACAGATTTGAGCCCTGCTAAGTGGCACAGCAACTTTACCCAACTAAGTTGCACCGATCATTCCCATTTATACTACTCATTTTTCTTGAGCACCTACTATGAGCTGGGGATCTGCAGATAGAGCAGAAGGATGAAAGAAACATAAATTCCTAATTTTATTTCTATTGGAAAAAATAAACAGGCAATAAACAAATATGTACATCATGTAGCTTATTAGAAAATGTAAGAGCTATGGAGAGAAATAAATCAGGGAAGGCTGAGAAGCTTCCTCATGGACAGGGGGAGGTTGCAATTTGCCCTACTTGGGAAAGTCCTCACTGAGAAGCTGTTAGTTGAGAAGATTTAAGAAGTAGAAGGAAGCAAATCATGCACATTTCTGGGGAGAAGAACATTCCAGGCAGAGAGAATAACAAGGTAACATTTTGTTTCTCCTCCTTTCTTCTGGATATAGCAGAAAAAAAAATCCCTTTAATGATCTGAGCTGTTCAGAAAATTGTTTCAATTCTTCACTTTACTATCCATGTATTACATAGCCTGAAGGGGCTGCATACTTTAGAGCAATTATTTATAATAAAAATTTTAGTATATCTTTTGGCTATACAAGAATGAGTATGCATAAATCAGTAACTGTCAATACATGTTCTGATAGCTTTAACTTGCTACTTATTTTTGAGTTACCACCTGCAGGTGGTTGGTTTGAAGCCCAGGCAGAGGAGCAGAGTGGTCCTCTGCAGAGACATGCTTTGTGAGCTTGCAGAAGATCTGCCAGATTCTTTCAAGCAAAAGTGTGTTGCTCTTTTCTGTTTGTATCTTGGTCCCTCTTTTAATGGCCAAATGGTGGTCCAGATTTGAATTGTGATTTCTTCTCTAGTCTTTGCAATGATCTACTTTAGAAAGCAGAGGAAGATAATCTAAAAAGAAATATAAACTTTTGCTCCAGTGGTTTGGATGGTTTTACCAGCTGATATCAATCTGAAAGTAAATTATTCTCTGGAGAATATATGCATGTTGCTTTTTTTGAGAAAGGATTTAATAAATAACTTTCAACCTATGTCTGGTTCTTCTTGAAAAAGACATCAATAATACAGTACTTAGAATTTAAAATAATGACCTAAAAATAGCTGAGAGACTGTACTCCCATTTGGGAAAAAATCACTATAATATTATTTTTTTTCGAATCTCATGCTGAGCATTACATAAAGCAAAACCAATTCACAATAACTCAGTATATTCTGAAGCGAAATCTCTAGTCATTTCCAGCTCCAGACCCTGGAGATCTCATTATATTGACATCCAAAACAGACCTGCTCCAAGCTGTTTGCAAGTGAGTTAAACAAGCAGCACAGAGATGGCCATGCAGATATATTCACTAGTTGCTGGTACATATATTCACATGTACAAATACATCCCATGCACCTCACTTTATGGAATACATATATTTTTGAAAAATTGTGTTCTAATTTGATTGTATCTTAAAGGTTTTACACCATTGATTCTCACAGGGCACACTCCTCGACCAAGTTTCTCAGAATCATTGGTATTTGTGGAAATTCTAGGTTACACTCCAGCCCTATTCTATTATATCCTTTGAGGAAGAATGTGTCTTCTCCTTCCAAACCCCTGGTTTCCACTGAGGATAAGAATCTCCACTCTAAGGAATTACTGTTCTTGTTTGGAGAATGTGACGGATCACAGAAATGTTGGCATGAACACAAGGTTGAAAACTATAGTGAGGCTTCCTTCTCTGTAGTTTTACAGAATCTGGTCTGAACTTCAATCTTAAGGCACATACCACAAGACAGTGTAATTCTTTGTTCCACATGTATAGACCCTACCTACTAGGAGCATCTTGAAGACAGAGTGGCAATTGCTCACTTTGTAATACCATTTACATAGCAACTGCTTAACAAATATTTATCAAGTAGATGAATGAATAATTTTGAAGGTATTACATTTTGGCTGGGCGTGGTGGCTCATGCCTGTAATCTGAGCACTTTGGGAGGCTGAGGCAGGCGGATCACCTGAGGTCAGGAGTTCGAGACCAGCCTGGCCAACAGAGTGAAACGCCATTTCTACCAAAAATACAAAAATTAGCTGGACGTGGTGGCACACGCCTGTAGTCCCAGCTACTCGGGAGGCTGAGGCAGGAGAATCACTTGAATCCAGGAGGAGGAGGTTGCAGTGAGCAGAGGTCATGCCACTGCACTCCAGCCTGGGTGACAGAGTGAAACTCCATCTCAAAAAAACAAAACAAAACAAAACAAAACAAAAAAACACTGCATTTTGAGAAATCAAAGATTAGCTTGAGCCTTAAGGGATTTAAAATTAATTAGCAGAATTAAGCATACTTATGTACAGAGGAAAAACAAATCTTGGGTTAAAACACATCAGTTTTCTAAGGAGAATAAATCCTACTACATGAGACACCATTTTAATTTGCTGAGCACCTTGATGTATTTGCATATGCAAATATGAGGCTGATGCTGATTTTGAGATTAAAACCTGGAAGGAATTGAATTGCTCCACCAAATAGAATTTTTAAAAAATGGGAGTTTCTAGTAGGTGTTCCAGAAGGGAAGGGGGAGGAATTGAGGATGACAGATGGGGATGGGTGAGAGCAGAAAGAGAGAAACCAATGAAGTAAAGATGGGAGCTGCAAAGTGTGAAATGGCCTGTGACACCCCCGATATAAATCCCTAGATTTTAATATTATGTTACTCTTTTTGAATTGCTATGAAGTAGACCCTTGCTGTGTCTTCTCATTTAGTAATGACTGTTCAATCCAGATCTGTGACTACAAGGTATACACGCTCATTTGATATACAATATATGTACATATTTCTGAATCAATATGGTACAAAATAGCAACTGACTAGGCATTTTTATAACTGTGATACAAATCTCTTCTGTTTTTGAAACTTTTGGTAAAGTTTGTCATTTACACAAAAGCTTATGTGAGTGGGGTTTATTTGCTTATTTGGTTGGTTTTGTTTTGTAGACATCAGGAAAGGGGCTGAGTTCCACTTCTGGATTGACCAGAGGCAGAATTAGAATAGCAGCATAATAGAAACAGCATGCATAGGAGAGGAAGATGACCCACATCTGAATTAAGTCCACAGAAGAAGGGTTTCAGAGCCAGAGATGTCTGTGAGCACAAAATTCCCCCAGGAATTGATTGGAATCTTGTGGTATGTCAAGGACTGGCAAGAGTGGGGTTTGAGACACACTCGGATAGATCTTAATGGGTAGATAGGATCTAGCTGACATCTGAGTTACAATATACGAAAAGAAGAAATTGAAATTACAATGCAATATATTATAAGTGGCAGATAAATGGCAGATAGATAAATAGTAGAGAAGTTCAAAGTCAGGGAAGCCATTTGAGCTGAGACAGATGGAAAGGTTGCTTGAAGGAGTCAGGACTCAATGTGAATCTTGTGAAAGAAAAGATTTCTGATAAGGGATTCTTATTCGTAATATTTATTATGCTAACCCTCTTTTATTTTCTCATAAATATTTATTTGGCTTCTAGACTATGTCAGTCAGTATGCTAGACTGTCCAGATATAGAGATCATTAAGACGTAATCTTTGTCCCCAAGGAACACAAAACCTAAGGGCAAAAGTGATTTCATAAGCAAGTAATGATACTATCTTACAATAGAATGAGTCCCATACCGATATATGAGCAAAATCCTATGAAAGAACACATATGGGGATAATGCTTTCTGCTTGGGTTATTTTAGGGAGGATTTCACCAGGAACTTGATCTATGAACTGGGTCTTGTGTGATGCATGGACTATGACTCATTAGAGAATAAGAAAGGGTATTTTAATCAAAAGGAATCACGTGAGCAAATCTAGGAGACTTGAAGCATGCGGGTTGGTAAAATATGGCAAAGTCCAATGTGGCTGAAGAACAGGGAGAGTGTTAGGAGAAGACAAGGAGCTGAAAAGTTTGGCATTATTTATAGGTAGCAAGGGGTCATCACAGGTTTCTTAGTTGGAAAGCATAGTTGAATTCATTTTGGAGAAATGATTGAATGGGGACAATGGCAACAAAAGAAGATAATTTAATGGCTACCATTTGCCTATATTTACTTGCTAAGTACATTCTAAATATTTGACACATATTAACTACTCACAGCAATGCTAAGAGGTAGATCCTATTTTTTTTAACTTTTATTTTAAGTTCAGGGGTACGTGTGCAGGTTCGTTATATAGGTAAACTCCTGTCATGGATGTTTGTTGTACAGATTATTTTGGCATCCAGGTACTAAGCCTAGTACCCAGTAGTTATTTTTTCTGCTCCTTTCCTTCCTCTCACCCTCCACCTTCAAGTAGGCCCCAGTGTCTGTTGTTCCCCACTTTGTGTCCATGAGTTGTCATCATTTAGCTTCTACTTATCAGTGAGAACACGCACTATTAGGTTTTCTTTTCCTGCATTAGTTTGCTAAGGATAATGGCCTCCTGCTCCATCCATGTTCCTGCAAAGGACATGATCTCATTCTGTTTGTATGGCTGCATAGTATTCTATGGTGTAAATGTACCACCTTTTCTTTATCCAAGGTACATATTGTTATTAATCTCATTTTATAGATGAGAGAACTGCTATACTGGTTCTGTAGCAAATAAGTGGTGGACTCAGGTTGGATTTCATCCTGTCTGATCGCAGAATATGTACTCTTAAATGCTACAGTGAACTGCTTCTTAAAATTATGAAACCAAGGCAAAAGTTCAAGATGGAGATTATGAGATTTTAAACTAGAAAATTATATACAAGAATGGTAAAATGGGGATGGGGCCCAAAACCACTGCAGGGAGTATGGGGGGAAGAGGTGACAAAGATGAATCAGTTTTCTTGTTTGGGTTGCCAGAATATCAGGAAGATATTAACCCAAAGAGACACACCACTTTACTAAGAAAGATGAAAAATACAGCCTTTCAATATGTCATGGTCTTTATGCCCTCAACAAGTATCTAACCAAATGGTGGCATTGATACTACTATTTTAGTATGTATGGATAACCTCAAATTTGTGGAAAGAATACAAGGCTGATGTTACAAACTGTTGAATTAAATTTAAGTATGTGGTACATGATGCCAAAAATTCAAGTAGAAAGGAAAGATTCAGTTAATCAATCAATCACTCCATGGTTTGGTGTCACCTAATGAGAACATCTGGAAGATCGAATGAATTTCACTTTTAATATAGTTTCTCTGCCATTATGTAGCTGCCATATTTAAGAAATGAGGCCAACCTCAGAGATATGTATGCAAAGAAGCAGGCAATAATAGCATCTGTGTCTGTTTCTGGAATGTAAAAACTTTCTTAGCCCCTGGCATGTGCATATAGATTGCTGAATTTCATGAAATAAGAAAAATAATAATGCTTCATATTGGTATAATGCTTTACATAGTTTCAACACTTTCCCAGAAAAAAAAAATACAAAAGCCAATATGCACACTTATTCCAAGATGATTAGTGTGATAGCAGCATGTCTATTTAATTATTCTTCATGTTTCTTGAATGTCCACAGTGTATTTGGAACTGAAATAGAGGGATTAAAGGGAGTTCAGTAGAGTCAAATCACACGTGTTTTGCTCCTTGCATATTTTCTAAACCAGCTGGGAGAATGTTAAGATGTTTTTATTTCCTACAGGCTGACCTATTTAGAAGATAACCTCCCTTTGCTGAGTCCTATGCTTATACATGCTAATATGCTTTCTACTTGTTTAGTTTTTAAATTTGCTTATTCACTTAGTGTTTGTTGAAATATTGCTTTTTTTTTTCTTTTTTTGAGACAGAGTCTCGCTCTGTCACCCAGGCTGGAGTGCAGTGGTGCGATCTCGGCTCACTGCACGCTCCGCCTCCCGAGTTCACGCCATTCTCCTGCCTCAGCCTCCCGAGTAGCTGGGACTACAGACGCCCGCCACCATGCCTGGCTAATTTTTTGTACTTTTGGTAGAGACGGGGTTTCACCGTGTTAGCCAGGATGGTCTCGATCTCCTGACCTCGTGATCCACCCGCCTTGGCCTCCCAAAGTGCTGGGATTACAGGCGTGAGCCACCGTGCTCGGCCTGTTGAAATATTTCTGTGTTCACTAGTATGATCATTTGTTTGAAGCCACTAGACAGCAGGGCTTCTCTCTGCTTACCCATGACGCATAGCAGAGAGATGGACAAAGGTGTGCTGTCCACAGAGAGATAGACAAAAGTGTGCTGAATTAATGACTCTCCTCGATGACAATACGGTGCATAATGATAAGCGAATAGCTTTAGGGACACTTAGATAATTATTTGGAATATAAAACCCATCAATTTTAGATATAGGATATGTGTAGATGTATATCATATGACAAAATATATGACAACTGAAGGAAAAAATGCCTTTGTTTCACATCTACCCAGGAAAGGTGGACAAGTAAAATCTTCATCTCTGAGACATTTAAAGAATAGCAACTGATCATTTTATTTTTGCATCATAATACCGTCAATAGCTACCAGCTCTTGAATGCTTGTCCTGCCATGTACTTTACAGATTAAAATGCTAAGCACTTGAAAAAATTTTGAATTTAATCGAGTGTGGACAGCAACCTAATGAAGTAGTAATATTATTTTTATTTTAAAGATAAAAAACTTAAAGCTCAAAGAGATTGAGTAACTTTCTCAAGGTCAGATTCTTAGGAAAGCAGACCTTGAACACAGGTGCCCTAAAGGCTGTGTGCACTCTTTTTACCTACTACAAAATCCACAACATCACAGGAGACTCAGCAAGATTTAAGAGATCAAGGACTAAAAGAACTTCAAGGAACCAATTCTATGGTTAGAATATAGAAGCCACTTGCAGATTAAGAGTCTAGCAAAGTCACTGAAAACACTGTATTTATATTCAATATTTAAGCTTGATGCCCGACATACCTGGACCTAGCCATTTACCCATTTGGTGAGCTTGGAGAAGGTAAATCATTCACACATACTATTTGAGTGACAAAGTACAAAAAGCAGTGAAACCAAGTCATACTTGTCCCAATTTATTTGAATAATTCAATTACTTTCACACAAATTCTACATTTAATTTTTTTTGTTTTGTTTTTTTGAGAGGGAGTCTTGCTCTGTCGCCCAGGCTGGAGCGCAGTGGCATGATCTTGGCTCATTGCAACCTCCACTTCCTGGGTTCCAGTGATTCTCCTGTCTCAGCCTCCCCAGTAGCTGCGACTACAGGAACTCACCAGCACACCCTGCCATTTTTTGTATTTTTGGTAGAGACGGGGTTCTGCCATGTTGACCAGGCTGGTCTTGAACTCCTGACCTCAAATGATCCACCCTCCTTGGCCTCCCAAAGTGTTGGGATTACAGGCGTGAGCCACCACGCCCAGCCTACATTTAACTATTAATTGAGCATCTATAATATGTAATTTATTGTTATAGGCCCTACTGCAAGGCTTAAAAACAAAAAGAAAAAACAAATATGGTAGCTTCTCTCCTTAAACTTAAGGCTAGTCATGCAGGCAGAAGAGTAGACCAGGGAGGAGCTCTCTGTCCCCTGGGTTTTGCTTATCCACAAGGTGTCTTTGTTCAGCTATTTTCCAGCATCTTCACTCAAAAAATCCTAAACAAAAATTGCAAACAATGGATAACTCTTATAGTTTGGGCAACACTTTATAAAACTGAATTAGTGAAATCAATGTATAATAGATATGATTAACTGTTAGGGGAAGTAAACCAAGAGATTGCAAGTACAATTGCAAAAGGCAGACCAAAATAATCTGAGATGTAATCCCAGGGCTGAGATAATAATTAGGATTAGAAAGTACATATAGGCTGGGCATGGTGGCTCACACCTGCAATCCCAGCACTTGGGAGGCTGAGGTGGGAGGATTGCTTGAGCCCAGGAGTTTGAGAACAGCCTGGGCAACACAGGGAGACCGTGTCTCTTAAATAAATAAATAAATAAATAAATAAATACAAGTAAAAAAATGTACATGTAATTGGTGGAAATTTCAAAGGTAAAAACTTGAATTTATAAAGCCCATACTTAATTTTAATTTTTCTATGAAATCTGAGGGTTTTTTTCATGAGTTACCATTTTCATCAGATAGCAGAAAACTAAATTTGCTCTCATCCAGGTGAACTTGGTCAAAGCCATGACCGAGTATCTGTCAATATACTCTGTCAACTCAAGGTTTGTTTTGCTTCCCCTTATTGCGTCTTTATTGAGTTGTGTTGTGTTTGAGTTCCAGGAGGTTTATATGAGGACCACTGCATTAATGAAGTGGGAAGATCTGCTCTGTGAGCGTTCTCTGTCCGCTTTGTATGTCCTCTGGTTCTTGTGGTTGGTTGATCTGTTTCTGATTTCCCATGTTCCTGGTTGCTAGGTCCAAGTGCTCTGAAGTTTCCTCCCTTGAAATGCAAGACCCACTCTCAACCTGACGGACTTCCTCTTAGAGGACTAGCGAACTGTTTTCCTTAAAATGCTCTAGTGGTGCCCATGACTTTGCTAGTCAGCTTGTAGCTTGCAGGCTCATCGTCTAGTTTGCTGAGTCAACAATGGACATTTTAATGTTCCTGTGCCACTGATGATGGAAAAACCAAATTCTGCCAAGATATATTTAAAGAGGTTTATTCTGAGACACTGTGAGTGACCGTGGGCCAGGGATACACAATCTCAAGAGATCCTGAGAAAGTGTGCTTGTGGTGATCAGATTACGGTTTGGTTTAATACGTTTCAGGGAGACAGGAATTGCAGGTAATATCATAAATAAATACATGGAAGATATGCATTGGTTCAGCCCCAAAACGCAGGACATCTCAAAGTGGGGGGAGGTGTGCTTGTAAGTCATAGGTTGGTTTTAGGGATTAGTCAGTTGATGGTTGACAGAGTTAAGCTATTGTCTAAAGATTCGAAATCAGTAGAAAAGAATGCCTGATTTAAGATAATGGGGTTCTGGAGACCAGGGTTCTTATTGTGTAGATAAAGCTTCATAAGAGGCAACCCTCAGAGAATAGATGGTAAATGTTTCTTTTCAAACTTTTGAAGGCATCAGATGCTCAGTCTCTCCTAGACCTGGGAAAGTCATAGAACAGAGAAGCATGGCTGTATGAATGGAGATTCTTTACAGATGCAAATTTCCCCTACCTTAATCTGCTGGCCTTGCAACAGCCATTTCAAAATATGTCAAGAAATACATTTTGGGGTAAAATATTTTCATTTCCTTCAGGGTCTGCTATCTGTGATGTGATGCTATACTAGAGTCAGGGTGGAAAGTAAGCCACATTATATATGGCTCACAAAAATCCATCTAATGAGATTTTTTGATTTGTAGGACATGACTCCCCAGACCCCTTAGATAGGAATTTGGGTAAGAGAAAAGAAAAAGGTCAGAGTTTAGTCCTCACCATGCTGGATGGAGGGCCTCCTTCATGAATTCTGAAGCCTCTCCAGGCTATATTTTGGGAAGGGAGGCACACATCTTCTCTGTTCTGAGATACACACAAACTTACCTGGCTTTTCTATGTTTCCATACTCTAGGCTCAGCTCTTTTTAGGGGGCCAGAGCAGGACCCTCTTTCTTGGAGAACCATGGAGCTAACTAAATTAATTTCTTTTTTCCATGTCCAAAGATTTTTCTTCAGCAGCCCAGAAATCTTTTCTCTCTGACAGGTTGGAAGCACTGAAGAGACAACCATCTTTCCAACTCCACTTACAAGTCTGTCAGGGTTTTGGCTCTTCATGTTTAAAGCCAAACTTCTGGCACTTAAAAAACTTTATTCTATTTTTTAAAAGCTTGATTCTTGCAAATCAAAACCACCTTAGCTTTCAAAACTATTGTTTTTGTTCTAAGTTTCAAGATCTATTTATAGACTAAATTGGCTCATATTCTCAGATACATCTATCTTTCCACTAAGGAGACAAATGCCAAGTGATTCAGTATGTAAAAGGTTGTAGGACAATGAGCAAAATGCTGAAAAGAAAATGGCTGGTTTTCACAGAATTTTATTTCTGCACACTTAACTCCATGCTAAATGTCTTTCTCCCTGTGAAAAACATGGGTGAGTACTCCCTTCCACCCAATTCAGGCATTATTCACTCAAGAAAATGGAATTGAAGTATCTGTCCAGCATCTCTTTTCTCCAGATGTGTCCTCCCATGTATGAGGGAGGGTAACTGCCCAGTGGGTTTGTTTTGTCCACTGCCCAGAAAAAGCTGATTTATGAGACAGGAGAATTGCAATAGAGAAAGAATTTAATTCACTCAGAGCCCACTGAACCAGAGATTGGAGTTTTATTGTTCCTCAAATCAACCTCCCTGAAAATTCCCAAGGCTACAGTTTTTCAAGGATAGCTTACGAGGAGGGGATGTTGCTAGGGAGTGAGTGCTGCTGATTGGTTGGTGGTGCAATCATAAGGATATGGAAAATGGTCCTTGTCTGGGCTGAGTTCACTTCTGGGTGGGGCCACAGAACCAACTGGCAGGTTCAGGTGGAGCCATTGGTAGTGAGAAATGCAAAAATCTGAAAAGACATCTCAAAAGGCCAATCTTAGGTTCTTCATATGTGATGTTATCTGCAGGAGTAATTGGGGAAGTTGTAAATCTTGCGACTTTTGGAATAATGACTGGTAATCATTTAAGGTGACACCTTAGCAGGATACAAGCTCCCCTCATCCTCCTAACCTGGTGGTCTTTCTTTAGTTTTACAAAGGTGGTTTAGTTTTTGAGAAGGGCTGTTATTTAAACTATAAACAATTTCTCCCAAAGTTAACTTGGCCCATGCTCAGGAATGACTGACTGCAGTTTGGAAGTTAAAGGCAAGTTGGAGGTGGGTTGGATCAGATCTCTTTCACCATCATAATTTTCTCACTGCCATAATTTTTGCAAAGGCGGTTTCAGCAGTACATGAATGTGGGATCATGTCATCTTCTGCTCCTGGCATTAAAGTGTTAGGTAGGAAACTTGGTTTTTGGGTAAAGTTCTCTCTTTTCTTAGCTAGCAGCACTGTTGTTCTGAAGGGTCTCCTTTGATTCAAGGTTTCCTAGGTGACTCAGACATGAAGGTAAGAACAGCTTTCTTAACAGGGAAAAAGAAAAGAGGAACAGCAGCTTTTACAGAAAGGTAGCAAATGACTCTCTTGGTCCTCCCCACAAAGCCTTCCTTTCTGCAGGGTCATGGCCCCACCTTTGAGCCCCAGATTGTCAAGGTCAAGTTGGCAATGAGACATAGTCAAGTCTTGGCTCTTGAAGGAACAATTTGACCCCCTCCCTGTCCTTTTCTGATTTCTTAAAACCTCACAAGCCTACTAAGATGTGTATTATTATTCACAATATTCCTATACACAAAGCAAAAAGTGAGGATCTTGCCTTTTAAAAAATCTTAGCAGCTCTTTTACAACATTCTTCTGCCAGACTAGGCTTTGCTCAATGCTTATTGCATAAACTAGACATGCTGGAATGGTTCAGTACTTTCCAGGGAGGAGAATTAGATTTTTTTTCTTTTTGCATTTTTAACATTTCTGAGTATTTTTGATGCTCAGTTAAATTTAGGTTTTGCCTCACCCACTCCTTTCTATCCTCTCCTAAAGTAGAAGAGAAAGGATTATGTATTGTCAGAACATCAGGGGAGAGGGACTTGGCATCAGGGAGAGGAGTCTGGTCCACTGTGTAGGCATTCATGTACTTTGGCTTCCAGGGAGAGTTGCAGTCTCCATTGGCCTTTGGTCATTCATATCCATCCAGGCTGGCATCTGAGAGATGATGGATAAGTAGTCAGACTGTATGTCTTCTATGTCACAACCACACTGCTATCAACACTATTATATAACATGATATTTGCCATTTTAACAATTTTCTAGTGTTCAATTCAGTGGCATTAATTATATTCACACTATTGTGGAAGCATCACCACAATCGGCTTCTTAAACCTTGTCATCACTCCGAAAAGAAACTCTGCTGGCATCAAGCAATAACTCCCCATTACTTCCTACCCTAGGACCCAACAGCATCTGATATCCTTTCTGTATCTATACATTTGCCTATTTTAGATATTTCATATGAATGGAATCATAATATTTGTCCTTTTTTATCTGGCTTCTTTCACCTAGCTTAATGTTCTCAAGGTTTATCCATGTTGTAGCATGTATCAGAACTTCATTCCTTTTTATACCTGAAAAATATTTCATATATATATCCCATATATATACACACACACATACACACACTCAGATATATAACCCATACACACACACACACATTCATCTGTTGATAGCCATTGGGTTGTTTCTACCTTTGGGCTATTGTAAATAATGCTGCAATGAATATCAACGTACAAGTATCTGTTTGAGTTTCTGTTTGCAGTTTTCAGGGGTATTGTACCTAAAACTGAATTGCTGAGTCTTAGGGTAACTCTATGTTTAACTTTTTGAGGAACTGCCAAACTACTTTCCATAGCAGCTGCACTATTTTACATTCCCACCAGCAATGTATGAGAGTTTTTAATCCCTCTATATCCTCACTAACACTTGTTTTCTGTTTTTTAAACTATTGCCATGCTAGTAAATGTGAAATAGTATCTTATTGTGATTTCAATTTTCCTTTCCCTAATGACAGAGGATGTTGAACATCTTTTCATATATTTATTGGCCTTTTGTATATCTTCTTTGGAGAAATATCTATTCAAGTCCTTTTCCCATTTTAAAATTGGGTTGTTTTTCTTTCTCTTTCTTTCCTTTTTTTTTTTTTTTTTTGGTTGTGTTTTAGGAGTTTAATAAATATTCTGGATATTAACTCATTGGACCTAAGATTTGAAAATATTTCCCCCATTCTGTGGGTTGTGTACATTTTCTTGATAATTTTCTTTGTTGCACAAAAGTATTTTAATTTTGAGGAAGTCCAATTTACCTATTTCTGTTGTTTTTGCTTATGCTTTTGATGTCATATCAAAGAATATTTTGCCAAATTCAGGTCATGAACATTTATCCTTATGTTTTCTTCTAAAATTTTTATGATTTTAGCTCTTATATTTAGTTGATCCATTTTGAGTTTTGTGTAATTTTTGAGTATTGTATGAGGTACAACTTCATCCTTTTGCATGTAGAAAGTCAGTTGCCCCAGCATCATTTGTTGAAGAGATTACTTTTTCCCATTGAATAGACCTGACACTCTTATCAAACATCAATTGGACATGAGTACATGTTTATTTCTGTACACTCCATTCTGTTCCACTGATCTATATGTCTATTCTTAAGCCATATCCTCCCAATATTATCTCATTTTGGACAGGCAAACTGCCCTTTAATCTTTCTGCTTTGTTTTCAACTCTATTGCTTATGTATAAACCTTTGCCTGCTAATTTAGATTTCGTTCTTGAATTGTCAAAGCCAAACATATAAATAAATATAAATTCAATAAACTTTCCTCTCTTTTTCTCAAAAATATCTGGCTCTTTTAAATGGCAACCCCTTAAACTATACTCTCTACTGGGATTGTTTCAAAATCTATCTAGAATCTCATTTAATTTTTAAAACACCTCTGAATTAAAAATTCCTGGGTTGTCTTTTATCTATCCTTTGAGGTAATGGCAGGCAATGGAGACAGTTTCAAGGGGAAGAAGAGGCCGTAAGTAACTGATTGGCAGTCAGGGAAAATCTGGTAGTTATAGTGAATCTTGTACTACCACACTATTATTTGTATTGCCTTGCTGAAATGTAATATGAACAAAAAGATCATCTGCTCCGAAGAATAATTTACAAAAAAGAATGGGAACGAGGAGGGAGAAGGAACACCAGTAGAAGGGAAAGAAAAATAAGGAAGATAGAATATTATCTAGGACATCCCATGAATAACAGTGTCAAGATTTTTAACATGAACCTATACCTTAGTATTGCATCCTATGTGAAATTTAATAGGGATGAAACTTAATAGATCACTATGACAAAAAAAAAAATACTAGTAATAAGGAAGAGCACCCATATTTGCTTTTTCCTTTTTGGCAGAGTTTACATTCTAACAATACGACAGTATGACATCTGCTTGTCTATAGAGCCTCAGCTTGCTTGCTAGCCTATAAATTATCAGTGGATTAATTAGCACCTACGAGTCAAGAAAATGGTCCAAGGTCATATGAAAGTCTCAAGATGAAAACAGTTGAATTTTCTTGGTGCACTTGTGATACCTTTTTTTTTTTTTTTTTTTTGAGATGGAGTTTCACTCTTTTTGCCCAGGCTTTAGTGCAATGGCGCAATCTCAGCTCGCTGCAACCTCTGCCTCCCGGGTTCAAGCAATTCTCCTGCCTCAGCCTCCCAAGTAGCTGAGATTACACGCGCCTGCCACCACACCCCACTAATTTTTTGTATTTTTAGTAGAGACGGGGTTTCACCATGTTGACCAGGATGATCTCAATCTCTTGACCTCGTGATCCGTCTGCCTCGACCTCCCAGAGTGCTGGGATTACAGGTGTGAGCCACTGCGCCAGGCCATGATACTTTTAAACGATAAATTGGCTGGGCGCAGTGGCTCATGCCTGTAATCCCAACACTTTGGGAGACCGAAGTGGGTGGATCACCTGAGATCAGGAGTTCAAGACCAGCCTGACCAACATGGAGAAACCCCGTCTCTATTAAAAATACAAAGTTAGCCAGGTGTGGTGGCGCATGCCTGTAATCCCAGTTACTTGGGAGGCTGAGGCAGGAGAATTGCTTGAACCCAGGAGGCAGAGTTTGCAGTGAGCCGAGATCACGCCATTGCACTCCAGTCTGGGCACCAAGAGCGAAACTCCGTCTCAAAAAGAAAAAAAAAAAAGATAAATCTGGATCCAGGGTAACACTTACTTTGCATTTTAAAAATATTTTAAGATAGCATTTAAACAACAACAAAAAAGATCTTTGTTATCCATGAATGATATTTACCAGGTCATTCACAATTGCCATTGTAACATCACAAACATGTTGTGTTGTCCACCCACATGGTTTCCTCCACCTCTGATGAGACTGTGAGAGATGCCTCGGAGAATATCATTGGTAAGCAACTCTCACCCACTTTTGGAGAGTTTGACTTGTTCTTTGACTGGTCACCACTTAGAAAGAAATTGCTATATATCTTAGACGTTTACGCTGATATCTCTGTGGATATGTATACAGGTATATTTTCAGGGGGAAGGGAATGAGAGGGGAAATTTGAGAAAGAAAGTAAGAAATCAAGTAGTTGTCTTGATTTAGACTTTCCCGAATTTTGTGGTTTTTCTTAGAAACACATGGTCTAGCGCAGAGGTTTTTCTCATGAGTTGACCGATTTAAAGATTAATCAACAAGCTTCAGAATTGCCAAAAAACTACCTAAAATAGTATAAAAATTTTTAGTATGAGAATAGTTTTTCACATATGTGAATTTTTCTGGATACAAGGTTCATAGACTGCACAGGTGTTCCTGATTCAAAAAAAAAAAAAGCTAAGATCAAATCTAGAGCAAAGGCAGCAGAGAGGTTTTATCTTAATCATCAAGGTAAATTTTTAAATAGTGGATTCTTGGAGCACTATGTTGAGAACAATTTTGAGATTCAGCAGAAAAGGTTGATAAGCAATATCTGTGTTTACTATCCTTAACTTAAAGTGAATTTTTTGCTATCCTTAACTTAAAGTGAGTTTTTCCAGAACACTCAGCAATTGTCTTTGTTCTTAATTCCCAGGATCTAAGGAAAGTGCAATACAAAAGGGAAATTTCAGCTTCATCTGTGGATGAATTGTAAATTTGTTTTTAAAATAATTGAGCATGGATTTAGGTTTCTAGTTTTTTTCTTTCTTGATATTTTCTGTACTGGAACCATTTGTCCTGCTTCAGCGGTATTTAAGACAGGTGCCACTGTAGCGTCAAGTTAAGAAATATTCCATGGCAGTAAATTCAGTAGTTAAATGCATGAACACAGCGCTTGATTAATGTAATAGCAACTGCGAGTATGCATTAAAGACCAGAATTTGGCCATGTGTGTCTACAATTTTGAGAAAACGACATGGATAAACTATGAAACTCTAAAACTTGTATACAGGAGGATTTGTAATAGAAATGAAATGAGCCCTACACTTAATATTGCCTGAGTCACTCTGCTAATCATTTAGAGACCTGGGAACCATAGAAACATCCTTCTTTGTTCACTCAGTGCTTCTGGCTTCCTTGATGTCCACAGGAACCCAGATCTTGAGAAGAAGAGGACTTTTGCCCTCCATTCTGTCTTCATAAGGAAAAGGGAGAAGTGGAGAGTGAACAAATGGAGACACAGTTTAACGTTTATCTAACTGCGTGCTTCATTTAGAAAGATGCTTGCAATTTGTGTAGAACTACAGGGATTCTCTATTCTTCTCACTTCCAACTGGCAAAAGTGAGAACCTGGGAGAGGCTTTGGAAGAGGAGCCCCAAGCCCTTTATATGAGGCTTCAGATGGTCAACAAATATTCACTCATCACAAATTGGGGGCAAGATATTGGGCTTGGTGCTGGGGACATGGACATGAATTAAACATGGGTCCTGCCTCCAAGGCTCTTAAAATCCAGTACAAGACCTAAGATGTGTTTGCCAATCACTCCAATAGGAGGTGGAAAGCCAAAGTGCCATAGGAGAGGTGAATTGTTTCCAGAGTTCAGAGGGAGGATGACCTTAGTACATATAGGTGCCAGCCAGTCCTTCTGGTTTGCTGGCTGGCTTTTTAAGTCTGTGCATGTGTGATTATGGGGCAACTCCTGATTGGTGTTCTTTGCTTAGCTGCATGAGTAGCCAGAGTATGCATACTCACCTTCCTGGCCTTGTAAGAGAAACTGAACTCATATTTTTAGGTATTTATAAGTATCTTATATGATTTGGCTCTTTATTTAATATGAGCACCGTTGAATTTTTCTTTATGGCAGAACATTTTTTTTTCTAGATGGATTTTCGCTCTTTCACCCAGGCTGGAGAGAAGTGGTGCGATCTTGGCTCACTGCAACCTCCACCCCTCAGGTTCAAGTGATTCTCCTGCTCAGCCTCCCAAGTAGCTGGGGTTATAAGCCTCCGCCACCATGCCCAGCTAATTTTTATATTTTTAGTAGAGATGGGGTTTCACCATGTTGGCCAGGCTGGTTTCAAACACCTGACCTCAGGTGATCTGCTTGCCTCAGCCTCCCAAAGTGCTACAATTACAGGTGTGAGCCACCTCGCCCAGCACAATGCAGAACATTTTCATGATTCGTTGTCTTAGTAAAGTGTCATGTTCATTTTATTTTCAGTAGAGCCAGGAGTTTATGGGCTGCATTGACAATAAATTATCCTCTCTAAGCATAAGTCAAAGGGTAGAAAACAAAGAAAAATATTGTGGTACTGTGGTAAGTGCCTGCTATTTATAGTTAAATACACAGTTTTTAATGTTTCTGAATATGTTATATATCTTATAGATTCAAACTCTACCAATTGGAAGAAGGCAAATCAGAGGAAAATCAATTATTTTGTAGCTTTCTCCAAATAAAAATGTTTCCTTTAGTATGTATAAATTACTAATTAATATCAAACAGTGATCTCTAGGAGAATTTGATAATTACTGTTTTCAATAGAAATCTTGTAACTCATAACTTAAAAATAGTTCTTTAAACCTATAACAATTTATTATTGAATTCAGCCAAAGCCTACTGAAGGAATTCTAGAATTCTTGAGCTTTTGAGAGGATCATACAAGGAAAAAAATTACCTACTGTGTATCTGGGATGAACTAACAGCCATCCTCCTTAAGTTATAGGACACTAAGAGAAGACCAGGATGTGAGGAGTTAATATCCACTCCAACCTCATCTGTTCCTTCATGTTATTCTTTTTCTCCTTGTCCTTCTTTTGGAAGCAATCTCCACCCATAGACTGACAACTTTCATGTAGCTGTCATTTTTGAGGAATGCAGGCAAACCAGTTTTTAGAGATTGCTGAGTATGACTCCTATCCACAATGACCTTTATGCTGTACATTTATGTTGGAAAATAATTAAAATGAACAGAGTCGACAGTGTGCAAATAATGCGGCATAATTTGGTTTGGCTACATTTGACCTTCTTTGTATGCCATGTTTCATTATTTAGCTTCTTTTGCACACAGAATCTAGTCAAGCATTCATGCATGTGCATGGCAAGAAATAGGTTTGCAGGATGTTTGACAGCTCAGGGAAAGTGATAAAGCAATGTTGTCAAACAGCAGCACAAAAGGCCTAAGAAGCACTAAGTGAGTCGTCAATAAGTGGTAACGTCACTATAAATTATCAAATCAAAACATCTTCAATGTGAAAACAATAAAGTCGTGAATTCCTAGAATTCTTAGAACTCAATCACTTAAAATCTTAAGGATTTTAACACTTCAGAGACAAAATGGAAAGTGAGATTCGGATTCTCTTTCTTTTCTTTCTTTTTTTGAGATGGAGTTTCGCTCTTGTCGCCCAGGCTGGAGTGCAATGGTGCGATCTCGGCTCACTGCAACCTCCGCTTTCCAGGTTCAAGCGATTCTCCTGCCTCAGCCTCCTGAGTAGCTGCAATCACAGGTGTGCGCCAAAGTGCCCAGCCAATTTTTGTATTTTTAGTAGAGATGGGGGTTTCACCATGTTGGCCAGGCTGGTCTCGAACTTCTGACCTTAAGTGATCTGCACACCTCGGCCTCCCAGAGTGCTGGGATTCCAAGCGTGAGCCACTGCACCTGGCCTAGATTCTCTTTCTATTGTTAGTAGATCCTGTGACATTGGCCAAGTTATTGAATCTCTTTTTTATTTTCCTACTCTGTAAAATGTCACTGATGATAACTGCTCTACCTACCTTTCAAAGTGGCCATGAGGGTCAAAGGAGAGGGTGTCTGGGGAAGTGCGCTAAAGTGCTGTGCAAATAGTAGTCATTCTATCCAGCCTCCTGCACAGAGAATGAAGGCTCAATAAATGCTTGAGATGTCAATGAGCCAGGTGTGATGGCTCCTGCCTGTAATCCTAGCACTTTGGGAGGCCGAGGTCGAAGGATTGCTTGAGCCTAGGGGTTTGAAACCAGCTGGGCAAAAAGTGAGATCCTGTCTCTACAAAAATAACAATAAGAAAATTAGCCGGGGACTGCTATTCAGGAGGCTAAGATGGGAGGATCCCTTGAACTCAGAAGTTCACAGCTGGAGTTAGCTATGATCCTGTCACTGCACTCCAGCCTGGGTGACAGAGTGAGACCTTGTCACACACAACAAAAGTGAATGGACTGTGACTCTAACACACCTGAAGTTTTTGAAACCATAAAAAATCATGATCTCAATGATCAACATGCTAAATTTGAAAGTGAGTTTAGTATATTTTAGGGAATAAAATGAACAAGAATGGCAAAGGAATCATAACGTAGTTTGGTTTCTCCAAACATCTGTAATTGTAGATCATAGATGAGAATGTCATTCTGACATGCAGACTTTGGATAAAAAGCATCATTTTGACTTAGCAATGTTTCAACCTAAATCCAAAAGCTTCTGGTTCCTCTGTAATCTTTATTTCATTTCCTTGTGGTTAAAAATAAAAGCAGTTTGATCTACAGTCCACACGTTTCAAACACTAAACCACATGTAAGTTATTTTACCAGGCCCTTAGAAAATATGGCTTCGGCCCATTAGAGACTGGGAGCGTCCTAAGCAAGGCATTATTATTTTTTAAAGAGTGACTCAAACAATCAGTTGAGTGAGGAGATAAGGGTTATAGGAGGTAATTCAGGGAAGAAGGAGCAGCAGCATAGGTAAGGTTTGAGCTAAATTTAAGGAGCTGGGCATGTAGAGGATTGAACAAGGTAGTATTGACTGTTTCATTTTTATAGTAGTTATTTTCCGATGAAAAATTTTCAAAAGTAGGGCCGGGCACAGTGGTTCACACCTGTAATCCCAGCACACTGGGAGGCCAAGGCGGGTGGCTCATAAGGTCAGGAGATCGAGACCAGCCTGGCCACCAAAAATACAAAAATTAGCCGGGTGTGGTGGTGTGCACCTTAGTCCCAGCTACTCAGGAGGCTGAGGCAGGAGAATTGCTTGAACCCAGGAGGCAGAGGTTGCAGTGAGCCGAGATCACGCCATTGCACTCCAGCCTGGGCGACAGAGCTAGACTCCATCTCAAAAAAAAAAAAAAAAAAAATTGAAAAGTATTGGGAACCTTGCCTTTTGAGAAGAGAACTATATTTTGTTTCTATCAACATTTCTGTTATTTTTGTTGCCATGGCTTGTTTTCACATTAGATAACTTCTCTTTGAAACAGTAGAAATCTTAAGTCCTTGCTGAATTTCAGAACTGACTTAAGTATTGCATTGTGATTTTTAAATCTTACTGATATTAGCATTGACCCTCTAATTGATGGCAATATTGAGATGCCTATCCAACTTTTCAAAAAGCCCCCAATTTCATCTGTCCACTGCTAACTTTTACCAAGTTTTTCTGTGAACATGACTTCATTGTTTACAACTCAGCATGACCTCAGGTAGAATTCCAGAATGAGCTGTGGTGGCCCTTTCACCCCATCCTGTGCCAGATGTTCCTCTGAGATTCACTAGATGTTTTGCTACTGTTTTAAAAGCACTGGTGAAATTTTACACCATGAAAGTCCGGTTGTGTATTCATTAGCGCTCTCTGGGCAAGCAAATGCAGTATGCTCTGATTCAGTTTCATGGATTTAGCTTTGACTTTGTGTAGGTTTATTCCAATTTTGAGTTGCTTTATTGAGGTAATACTCACTCCCCTCCCCAAATTTTGCTTCATTGGCCTGGATGGTTGCAAATGGCAGCTCCCTACAGGGAATTCACACCTTACTGCTCTAGAAATCAGCACTCTCTTAGTAATTCTAATAACTGACTGTTCTTTATATACTAAATGATATGGCACATAAACACCTTTTATTGCCAGTTTTAGGTAAATCACTACAATCAAACACCAGGGACTCATTTGGATGGAGAAGTAGTGAGCAGGAAGTAAAATGGAAAAATACAAAGAGAACCTTCAGACCTTCAGAGATTGAATCTGAAAGGGTCAGAGGCCCCGTGCCAAATCAAATTCATGTTGAGGAGGTTTGTTCCAGTTTCTCGTGGTTCACAATTTGTCTCTGTTTTCTGCTGTGGTTCTTAGGGGTTGTCAAGCTTTACCTCAAATCTTTCTCTTCTCTCCTTCATGATTGCTCCTCTGAGGTTCCTGCACAGTCTAGCCTAACTTGTGGATAGGAAAAGTAGTCAGCTGATTTTCCTATAGTGACAATAAAACTGGTTTGAATTCTTAAATTATTACAATTTTTAATCAACATGGCCATGAGGATTATCTTTGGTAAGAGGAAGGGTTGATCCCGATCTGAGTTCTGGTCCATGTTAGCTCATTTTGGGGCCTCAGTTTCTTTATAAAGTGGAGCTAGAAATAACTTCATGGGGTTATCAGAAAGATGAAACATCCTAATGTAGGTGAAAGTGCTGTATATACTATAACATGCCGAATGAAACTTACTTCATAGTCCAAAGGAGGCAGGCTCACTGTTACAAGTAGCCATTGCTTGGAAGAGGAAGCCAGGCAGCTCCCCTGGGTTTTATTTTCCTTTACATGAGAAGAACCACAAAGGGATTTGCTGGAAACATCTTTTAATTAGGACAGAACATACTAGTTCAAATGGAACATTTCCCTGAGATGTCTCCCTGGGGCAGGCTGGTTGTGTTGTTAAGAAAGCATTGCCTATACCAATTTCTCCTACCACAGATGGTCAAGAGACTGCAGGAGACCTTACTGATAATCTCCCATCAATCTGGTTTCCTGGATACACTTGTTCAGTTCCCGTTTATGGGCATTCTCCTCTGAAGTTTGGAGGCAACTGGAGTCTGTGCAGCGTGGTTGCCCTGTTTCTCTCTTCTTGGATTTGTACCTGCCTGTTAGTGACACAGTGTTCCTTTACAAGGTGTGTGCCGGGCATGTTGATGGCTCCAACAATGGGGCACAAGGCCAGCCCCACCAGCACTTGACCTACTTTGAATTGGCTTTGATGCCAGTGTTTACCCGTCATGCCAGCGGCTTCTCAAGTATTAATGCTGTCTTTGATTCTGCTGCAGGCCCTGTTAAATTTTAAAGTTATTTTTTCTTCTCAGCTAAGCAAGCTTCTTATGGCTACACAGTATCATTTAGTTTAGGGTGTAGAGAGTATTTATAGCTACTTATTAAATATACCTATATTTTACTTACTGCTGCAAAATCATTATGTCCAAGGGCATAGCATTTCAAGGAGTTGATTGATTTATTGGGGCTAAATATTTATTTTTTTAGGCACAAGATTCCCTCAGATACCTTGTTACTACTAATGTTGTTTTTCAGTCATGCTTTTGGAATCTGACTCCCTGGATTGAAATCTCAGTTCCATTTCTTACTAAGAAAACCCAAGACACAGAATACAGTGAATATACCAGTGAGGTAGACAGCTTTTTCTCTCTCATGAGAAAGAGAAAGCTTAGGTATCTCAACTTTTAGTAGTCAAAACTTTTGCACATTTTTTTTTGGGCGGGGGGCCGTAATTTGGGATGCCCAAATGGTGTTCCAGCTGCCATTCATTAAAAATGTATTCAATGCTTTTCAGTGTTTGGTGGGCAGGAAGATCTTGAAGAAGCTTATGATTTAGATTGGGTTTATGAAATGGATTCATCCAATAAGCATGGATTGAGGGCTGCTTCGTGCCTGACCAGGCACTTTGGCTCAGACATAAAGATTATAGGTGTATTAGTCCGTTCTCATGCTGCTATGAAGAAATACCCAAGACTGGGTAATTTATAAAGAAAAGAGGTTTAATTGACTCAGGGTTCCACATGGCTGGGGTAGCCTCAGGAAACTTACAATAATAACAGAAGGCACCTCTTCACAGGGTGGCAGGAGAGAGAATGAGTACAAGCAGGGGAAATGCCCGATGCTTATAAAACCATCAGATCTTGTGAGACACAGTATCACAAGAACAGCATCGGGGGAAACCACCCTGACGATCAGATTACCTCCACCTGGTCCCACCCTTGACATGTGGGGACTATAGTTCAAGATGAGATTTTGTGGGGATGCAGCTAAACCATATCAATAGGACTATCCCTATTCAAAAAGCTGCTTGCTCACATTTGAGACACATTCTCTGCTGATTTCCCTCCTTCAGTGCCACCCTTTCTTTGCTGTATTTGTATGAACTTACTAGGTGGTCTCAGCTCTAAACCCTGACTACTGAAGCTACACTATTTTCACATTATGTCTTCCCTTAATCTTCAGAATGACACAACCAACCACCATGTGCTGTGATGCTATATTATACATTTACTTAGTAGCCTAGTTTCTTCCCTCATCTGGAATCTAAGGGCCGTGATGGCAGAGGTTGCCTGTTCACCTCTGCATGCTACCTAGGATATGCTATGCATCAAAGATGAACTCTCAGTAAAAAGTTTATTAATGAAAGAATCCCTTTGTCTAGAGCTTTCCAGTGTACAGTGAGATACTGTGCTGTAACCTTTCCATATTTACTCCCCATTTCCTGGCTAACTTCTTTTACTGTGGCAACTGTCATGCCCAGTGCTTCTCCAGGGTGTTCTGGGAATGAGACCAAATGTGCAGTATGTGCACCAAGATGGCAGATTTTTAGAGACTTTCTTTGACCTGTGGGTCAGAAACTTGGGTGTGTGAAATTCTGTAGGGAGTTGTGCTTCCTCAGAAGGTTTCACTGTTCAACTTACAAAATTCTTTGCACTCAGAAATGGAGTCTTCGTGTCATGCCATCTGGTTTCAGTGCTGGATTGTGAAGTGTGGGCTTCCAGATGGATGCTCTGTGCCTGGATGCTGACCTGAGAGTGCAGCAGGGAGGGCTCTGGGGAGGAGAGGTGGACCTTGATGGATTTTTTTCTTCTATGCTCTGTCCTAAGCAGATCTTCTTTTTGATTTTGGTTGTGTTTTGCTTTCCCATCGTTTTCTTCTTTATAAATGTTTAGGAATAATTTTTTGTCGGGATTTCATGAAATAAAATCTTCCATTCCAATTTTTATTCTCAAGTTTTCCTGGTTCATAGATAAGACAGCCTTGCAGAGTACAGGAAGTGAGAAATAAGCATTTGGGGAAAAATAACAGTGAACCTCCTATGATAAAATCCTCTTTTCCTCTGAATTTAATCTTCTATTAGATACAAAAATAGTTTTCAGATGGCATGTCCCTTCTATGATATTGATTACTAACATCTACGTGTGCATATTATGGGCTAGTCACTTCTAAATGTGTTAAAACATATTATCCCAGTTAATTTTCACAATAATTCTAGGAGGCAGGTTTTATTATCCCCATTTTAGAGGTGGGGAAACTATAGAGACACCAAGAGATTAAGTGCCTTCCCAAGGTTAGCTAGGTAGTAAATGGATTTGGTGGTTCTAGATCTGTGTTCTCAGAAAGTAAAGTGTGCTATGATTTCTATAGAGCTAACTGATGTTTTTATGGATTTTAGGTGAAATGTTGGTGCCAAATGAACTTTTCTGGTTCTTCTGAATGTAAGTACATATTTTGTGCAAAACATTATTTAAAAGCCTCTTAAAAATTGCTCCCCTGCTTCCAGTTAAGACAAAATTTCCTAACCTGACAGTTGAAGTGTTACTCATTAAAAGCCATTTTGCCTTTCTTAAAATTGTATTACTTTTCCAGTCAATTTTGTCTCCTTTATTTAAAAAAGTTAATGGAAGAATGTTAAATAATACAATGTATTGGAAACAATTAAAAATTTCATAATACTGGTACTTATACTTTCTAAATGTGGCATTATTTGTAATGATCAAAATAGCAAGTATGATTTGAAGATATAATTTATGCAAAATACTCTTTATATGTGAAGCTATTCAATGTCATTTTTAAAAATGAATTAATATTTATTTCAATGTAATTCTGCCTTAGTGAATTTCTTAAGCACCTGCTCTGCACTAAGTGTTAGGTTTAGAGCTCTCAGGATATTAAATAATCTATAACATGGTCCAAGCTCTGAATGAGCTTAAAGTCTTATTAGACAAAAATATTATGGGAAATTATAAATTACAAGTTTGTAATGAAAAACAACAAAGCAATTAAACTACAAAAATGAAGTAAAGAAGTTTTCCTTGTTTATACTCATTTATACTCTCAAATTCTTTCAGAAAAGGATTTCAAACACTTTGGATCAATTATGCTATTTTTCATATCTCCTTCTATATTTTTTACTCATTCATCTGTTCGTTCATTCAATATTTATTGAACAAATATGTGTAGAAGATGGCCATAGATTCTTTCAAGGAATCTTGACATTCTGTGGAATAGAGTTTGATAGCCATTTTGATAGATAATAAAGATATTTAGCATTTAGAATATCAAACAAAATGATGGCTTCTGCTTTCATTAAATAATTTTAGGCTGGTGTCATAGATAAAATTGGTTTAAATCAATCTGTTTTATAGAGGACCTCTTAGTTTAGAAACTAAATTAGGCATTTGGCGTTTAAAAATACTAAGGTGCTTTTCTTGAAATCAATGAAGGGGAAAAAGGAACAATCCACAGTTGATTATAATGCAACAATGAGTGCAAAAAATAGAAGTGAGCAAAAGGTGCCATGGGGGACAGGGAGCACAGAGAGCGTGTAAAACAGCTCAGAGAGGTCAGGAGAGGTTTCTGGGCAGATGAAACCTTAAAGAAGAGTGAGAATAGAAAGAGACAGAATTCCAAGTTCCTGAACTGAAGGGGAGTGTGCCTTATTTAGTCTGTGTGTGTGTGTGTGTGTGTGTGTGTGTAGGTGTGTGTGTGTGTGTTTGAGAGAGAGAGAGACAGACACCCCCCACACACAGGGGGGTGGTGGAGGAGAGAGAGAAAGAGAATGTATTTTGAGGGAGTTGTTACAAGAAATTATTTATATTGAAGATTTAGATTGAGTTCCTCATTTTACAAAAACTGAAAATTGTTTAAGTCACTCTTTCTTAGTTCTTCCAAGGATGGTGCATACCTGAATATCCTAGATGCCAAGGAGAGAACTTAATTAATATGCAATGGATGCCCTAGAGTAGTATGAGGACTTAATTCTCTGAGGAACTCCAGGTGAGCAAGGGCCTAAGATGAATGAAGGTGATTGTTAAATGTGACTCTTTGGTATAAAGTTTTTGAATTAAAATTACTTTTACTTTTGTTTTTATTTTTATATTTTTTCTTATTAATGTTTATTCTGAGGATTTCGGAATATTGTTTTTGAGTTGATTGCACCCCCCGTCTCCATCTCTTTTTTCCCTCTTTCCCTCTTTTTACTTTAGAAGAGTCCTCCAAAGAATTGGCCAATTAGAACTTTCTTCCCTTGCATGGGCCCAGAGTTTTTGTCCGAGGCCTTAATTAGTATAAAATTCTATACTGTTGTGCCAATTTCCATCCTCTGCATTAGATTTAAGAAAAATTTTCATAGCCAGAATCAAAGTTCTGGTCTCTGTCATGGTAAAAATGAAGTATAAATTGGCCCCAGAGAGGTGATTTTTAAGCTCATTTGAGAAAGGAGACTTTCTTTTCAAAGTGACTGATTGTCCAAGGTACACTTCTGTAACAATTTTCTAGGCCTGCAGAGTAAAGGAAGCTTTTTCTTTCTCCCTTCTTTTCTTTTTATTTTTCTTTTTGTAAAGGTTAATGTCTTCAAATGTCTTCCAAACAATGTGCTTTGTGTCTCTTTTTACATTTTTGCAGTTCTGGTTCACTTCTTACTTTGCTGGAGAGAGAGTTAGTGAGTGTCTCGCATAAATAAGTCACTTCTTTTGAGGGCAGTTGAGATGCAGCTTCTGCCCTTCAACTCTGCTATCATGCTTTCTGTCAATCAGAAGTCTTCCTTAGAGAAAGCTTCCAGCTCTTTGTGTCAGGGGCTTCCTGGCACAGGTTAGGAGTAAGTAGTGCTGGTCCACAAAGTTTGGCCTACACGTTGGCATCGTTTTCCTTACAGTTCTGTGTACAGGCCAAGAAATAAAGCTCTTGTGACTTCCTTTTAATTGTGCCATACTGATATAAAGAGAAAAGATTCACTCTTTTAGAGAGATGCCTGTTTCTTCATCTAAGCCTTGAATATAAATTTTCCACAAAACATGCCACTATCTAGGGAACTAGAGCCCTATGATTTGTTTGAAATTTGGTTAAAGATACCAAATTTCAGACCCTGAAGAGACAGCATGGTCATCCAAGCAGGATGGTCAGTTTGATCAAAATCAGGAACAATCATGACATATTTCCAGGACTCTTGTTACATGGATCAGACCACATATACCTCTAATACCATTCAACTGCACATGTTTGTTTAAGAAAAGAAGCAAAAAAGAGGAAGAAGACTTTTGCCAGTTGAGTAAAGCCACTGTTAGAATAGTGACTACGGTTTTCTTAATGATAGAGAAGCAAATGACTTGCTCACATGAAGAAACCGTTGGTCCATTATTAGATGGGGAAGGCTGAGTTCAATGGATTCATCATAGAAATGCTTACACTCCAATGTACAAGCAGTCTGGTTTTATGGGCCTCCTACATGGGTTGTAGGCCTGGCTAAATACAAAATGAAATCCCCTTGTGTTTATTCCCTTGTGTTTATCTCAACAGTTTCTGTGGCCACCATTGCTTTTAGATAAATCTCATTATGTGCTCCGAGCTTCTAAATGAAAAGTTCCTTTCTGCCAGCATACTGAATAAACAGTACTCCTGCTTCTGGAATCCTTGTGAGTTATTCTGTGCATCAAACAGCTGCATCAACTTTATCAGAAATGAGTTTGTTCCTGGGCTGGTATTTCTCAGTGAAGGCCATGTTTAGCATGGCCTTCGTTTTGATAAGCAATGCAGAAAGCTTCATAAAAGCACAACTTCCCCAAGTCTTCTTTCTTTCTAAAGCATGTAAGTTAGATGCTGATTTTCCAAATATTTATAATAGTAAATTATATGCATTTCCCTTTTTGAAATTTTACGCTGCATAACTGTTACCATTAGAAGGACCAATCCTTATTTTGGATCTCACTTTCTTTCAAGTCATCAGGAGTTCCATATAGAAATTGAAATGAGAATCAAGGCTCTTGCTATTAGATTAATTATTCTGAGACCCATTAAATTCTTCCTTTAATGCATTGGCTTAAAATACTGAAATTACAAACTAAAGGTAATGCTATGTTTTGGCTGTGACTCCACTCAAATCTCATCTTGAATTGTAGTTCCTATAATCCCCACGTGTCATGGGAGGGACCCTGTGGGAGGTAGTTGAATCATGGGGGCAGTTTCCCCCATGCTGTTCTCGTGATAGTGAGTGAGTTCTCAGGAGATCTGATTTTTATTTATTTTATTTTATTTTATTTCAAACACAGTCTCACTCTGTCGCCCAGGCTGGAGTGCTCCGCCTCCCAGGTTCACGCCATTCTCCCGCCTCAACTCCCGAGTAGCTGGGACTACAGGCGCCCGCCACCACACCCTGATAATTTTTTTTTGTGTGTGTTTTTTGTTTGTTTTTTGTTTTTTTAGTAGAAATGGGGTTTCACCGTGTTAGCCAGGATGGTCTCGATTTCCTGACCTTGTGATGCACCTACCTTGGCCTCCCAAAGTGCTGGGATTACAGGCTTAGCCATCGCGCCTGGCCAATCTGATGGTTTTATAAGGGACTTTTCCCCCTTTGCTCGGCACTTCTCCTTCCATGTGAAGAAGGACGTATTTGCTTCTCCTTCTGCCATGATTGTAAGTTTCCTGAGGCCTCCCCAGCCCTGCAGAACTGTAAATCAATTGAACCTCTTTTCTTTGTAAATTACCCCATCTCAGGTATGTCTTTATTAGCAATGTGAAAATGGACTAATACAGGTAAATTATTGTGATTTTATTTATAATAACTAGAAGCTATATATTTTTCTTTTTGTGGTTTAAAAAAATATATACAGCCCTGTGGTTCAATCAGAAGCCTGTTACTTTTACATTTCCAAATTTATAATTTACTACACTTACGTGACTCCAGCGAGCATTTATAAGCAGCAAAGCTCTTGTACTTAAAAGCACTGAATCATTTTTATCCACAAAAGAACCCTATTAGGGATGTAATGAGATTTTGAAAATTAAAAAAAAAAAGCTCAAGCCATTGACTTATAATGGTTCGCAAAACAGATCACATTAGATGAAAGATGCTTGAATCTTACTTTTCAGTTTCTAGGTTATTATTTGTTCTTCCAGATTTCAGGAGGCAAAGCGAGTGAGAAGACAGGCAGGAAAGGGACACAGGGAGCTTCTGCAGAGATGACAACTCCTCTCCTCTAAAGGGCACTGTCATTCCCAAGGGCACCACCAATCCCAAGGCTTCAGTCCCTATGAGACTATGGCTGCTTTTGTGGCATCCATGGGTGAAAACCTGGCCTCAGCTGGCATGGAGGCTCTCAGTCAACAGCTGCTATACCTCCTCTTTTTAGCCGTGCAGCCTAAACTCACCAGGCAATTTTCATGCTTTGGTTCAAGTGCACAAATCAGTGTTTGAAAGCATATCAGAACCTTGACCTCTTGCACTCTCATTCGGGTCACTCATGATTTTCAGTGGCTGAAACGATGCAGGATATTTCTCGGCTACTGTGCCAACTGGGGACCTTCATGGCCAGTGATGCATGCCTGCCTGGGCCTCACTTGGCCCTGGGCCTGCCACTGGAGGCACCCCACCCACTTGGCCCACCTATGTTACAGATTGTACCCGTGTTTGGTGGTTCCTGAGCTCTTGTCCCACATCCAAGAAGACTGAGGTTATGCAGACAATTAGAAGGATGAGAATGAGTGGAGAAGAATTTTATTGAGCAACAGAATAGCTCTCAGCAGAGAGGGGATGCAGGGTGGTTTTTCTCTCTGTGTGGCTGGGTCCAGGGCTTTTTATGGATTCAGAATGGAGAGTATGTGCTGATTGGCTTGTGAGTATGCAAAGAAAGGCTAAAGCAAAGGCACCACTCAAAGATGGGCATGGCAGTGTAGAAAACCAATTAGAAAAGGGTAGGTATATGTAAAATAGCTGAAGAGTGGGGTTCAATCAGAGGAAAGTGTGCCAAACGGGAAGACAATTTTTTAATCTGGTCCGTGGATTTGACTTGTAGCTTGCCTTTCAGGCTTTACACTGTCTTCAGCTTGGAGGTGGAATTTCACTAGGGACCTGCCCCTATCTGCCTAGGCATTTGTCTGCCTCCTGCTGCTATCTATACTTGATGGATGGCTATTGATGAAAAAAAGATCAAGAGTTTGGTGGAGGTATTGACGAAAAAAAAAACTATTGATTAAAAAATGATCAAGAGTTTGGTGGCTAAGCATTTTCACATTCAAAGAGTGACTGAGAAGTCTATCCTGATTTTCTTTTCTTCCTTTCTTATATTCTCACTCAGTTCAGAGAATCTGTGAGTACTGTATAATTCTCTTTAGGATTTGTTTTAGGAAAAAGGCCAAAAATATTGGGATTGAGGTGAGCTTGTAATTGGCGCAAAATATTCTATGCCCATGCAATCTGCCCTCTGCTTTTGTAGTAAAGAAGATAGTAAATAAAAATGATGACTTCCTGAATACTGATATCATGCATTATCCTATATATTTGCTCTGCATTATCTCTTCGTTCTTGCAAGACTCCTATGATAGCAGCTGCTATTATTATCCCCATTTTAGAGATGAGAAGATGAAGCTTAAGAGAGGTTAAGTAACTTGCTTAGTATCACAGAGCTAGCACATAGTTCTCTTAGGGAAGAAAAAAGCCTATTTTGTTTGGGAAGTTTCACATTAGTATATTTTCTGATTTCATTTTTATTTTGATACTTTCATGAATGTAAACTAGACCATCAATGAATATCGGTCTAGAAGAATCTGAAACTGGACAACAGCATTTGGTCAGTGGACAACTAAATACACCTGCTTGAGATATGATGTTACAAAAACACATCTGTGTCCAGGAAAGCCCAATTAATTAGTCAATAATGATTGAGACACTGGGCATTTCCTAAGGGAGTATTAACCAGCTGGGAGGAGTTAATGGACCAAAGCATGCTACAGGTCATTAACTACAGCAGTAATTATTCCTGGAAAATATCTTATTTTGAAGTTAATTCTCTGGCTTGAATATGCATATTTAAAACAGTTTGATTCTTCTTATACTGCATGGACTGAAGAGGCTATAATAAGGGAAAGTCTATTAGAGGCACTGATTGTAGTTTTGTAAAGCAAAATATGAAAAAATTATGTATGCGTAAAAAGGGAAACGTAGATGAGTACTTCAGATTCCATTTTATTTTTATATAAACTGGAATTTATGTATCCTCTCTTTTTTTCCCCACCACTTTGGGAAACATAATACCCTAGAAATAAGATCAAATAAGTCTGATTTACCTGTGGAGTGGCAAAGCAGTGCTACCCAAAAAGTATACAATCAGGAGAATAAGGACCAAGGGTGAGGTGGGGCAGGGGAGAGGGGAAATAAAGAGGGAATTGAAAATGTCAGAGTTTCAAAGTAAGTCAGCAGAAGGAATTGGCAAAAGGGAAGAAGTTAAGGGAAAAGAAGGAGAAGTATAGGTGACCTCACAGACTGTTCTAGTCACTTGATATTTTTTCTCCTTTCTCATTTGTAAGCCCCTTACACAGTTTCTATCTTCAATACCTGTTGGTTTCAGGTTTTTCACAGAATCTGTCATCATCCCTTCCACTCTCTTCAAATACCCTGACCCACTCCCCATCACCAGGAACTTCATTTCCATTTCCAATGGAGCCAAGGTTTGAGCACCCCAGGCAGGCTGCTGGTTTGGAACATTTCAAACCAATGTTGTTTAGATTGAGGGTCCCCAAGCCCTGGGCCATGGACTGGTACTGGTCTGTGGCCTGTTAGGAACCAGACCACACAGCAGGAGGTGAGTGGAGGTTGAGCAAACATTACCGCTTGCGCTCCGCCTCCTATCAGATCAGCTGCGGCATTAGATTCTCATAGCAGCACAAACTCTATTGTGAAATGCACATGGAGGGATCTAGGTTGCACAATCCTTATGAGAATCTAATGCTTGATGACCTAAGGTGGAACAGTTTCATCCCAAAACCATCCCCCTACCCAGTCCGTGGGAAAATTGTCTTCCATGAAACAGGTCCCTGGTGCCAAAAAGGTTGGGGACTACTGGCTTGGATAATTATTAAAGGGAAAGGAGGGACGGATCAACCTTTCTTCCATTATTTTAAGCAATTCAGCTATGGCCCCAGACATGCACACTGCATTCTGCAAAGCAACAGCTCTGCAGATCAGCAGAGCCTCCCCTCCCCTTGTACAAAGAGGTGTAGTAACCGTTTTTTGTTATTACTGTACTAATGCCTCTTATCCCTACCACTCATCAAAAACTCATCTTTGAAACAGTTACCAGAGTTAATTTTCTAAAATAAGAATTTGATCGTGTTATGGTAGGCAAATGAAATAGCATGTTTAAAGCTGGGGGTATATTAAAATAAAAACACATTTTTGGGTAACCTCAAGTAGTTGTTCATGGCTGGATATTGGGTTTGCAGATGAGACCAGAAAGGCACTGGGGGAACTATGGGCCTTCTTGGCAGAGGGAAGAGTGTTTCACTTTTCTCCACCTCAAGAAGGAATTGAATTTGCCTTCCTACCATGTAGAATACTGCAGTTTCCCTGTGAGAAGTTCTAGTAAAACTAATTTTCTCTAGTGACATGCTAATACCTCGTAGAGATTGGTCCCCTGAGAAGCTTTAAGCTGGCTTTCTTTATAATTTTACTAACCAGGAGGGAACTCCCTCATCTTCCATTGTCTCTTTTTTTTGTTTTCAACTCAATTTCCAACTCATCTCTCTTCTTCTCTCTCATACACAAAAAGTCGATTCTAATTTGTCACCTATGCTCTTAATTTCATCCTTTTCTATATCCTCCAGAACTGTGAGTGATCAATTATAACCTCTCTTTATACAAACACTGTTTATAGTCTGTAAACAGGCTCATTTTTCAAAATGAAAAACAATCTTATTCTTTTGAGCTTGTGCCCCCATAGCCATAATCTTATCTATCTTCTTGTAAAGCCACAGTTTTGGTAACAATAATAATTCATAATGATTATTAAATATTGGCTATGTATCAAGCACTTTAACCTCTATCATTTTATTTTATAGACATTTGTCATAATAGTCATTTGTAATTAGTGTAGTTTCTATTTTACCCATGGAGAAACTGCCACCTGGAAAGGTTAATTAGGCTTCACAGAAAACAGGTGTCTGAACTAGGATTTAGAGCCAGATTTGTCTGAATCTAAAGCCTTTCAAACAATAGCAGTATAGTTTCCCGACAAGCCTATGTTTGTTCTTTGCACTTCCGTATTTTCCAGAACCTGAGAGGAGAGTGACATCATCTAGTCGCCAATCCCATGGCCACTCTCCAGTCTTTATTGGTCTTAATTATTCTGCAGCACGTGGCATCCTGAAGCACTGTTTTCTCGTGGTTTCCACAACACCATTGTGTTCTGGTTATTTCTTATTTTAACCAGTTCTTCTGTCTTCTTTGCTGGCAAGTTTTACTTCTCCTGTCCCATGCATGGTAGCGTTCCTTGGGTTCCAGCTTTGACAAGGATTTCATCTGCTCTCACAGTGCCAACTCCAGCATCCAGAACTGTGGCACCAACTTAGACCTTTCACCTGAATTTCAGCATATTCTTTCTAGCTGCCTACAAGATTCTTGGCTGGGCACAGTGGCTCACGCCTCTAATCCCAGCACTTTGGGAGGCTGAGGCGGGCATATCACGAGGTCAAGAGATTGAGGCAATCCTGGCCAACATGGTGAAACCTGTCTCTATTAAAAATACAAAAACTAGCTGGCCGTGGTGGCACGTGCCTGTAGTCCCAGCTACTTGGGAGGCTGAGGCAGGAGAATCGCTTGAACCTGGGAGGTGGAGGTTGCAGTGAGCCGAGATAGAGATTGTACCACTGCACTCCAGCCGGGCGATGGAGGGAGACTCCATCTCAAAAAAAAAAAAAAAAAAGAAAAAGAAAAAGAAAAGAAAAGAAAAGAAAAGAAAAGAAAAAAGATTCTTACACGTGGACATTTCACACAGAAACTGAAACTGAAAATGCAACAGCTAGGAGGTTGAACCCATTATCTTCTTCCCAGAACTGCCTTTTTCTTTTTTTTGGTGAATGGAAATAGCATCCTCCTCTTACTACATTTCGAGCTCTGTTGGCTTCCTAGACTCCTTCTTGGTCTCCGCAACTAACAAATATGTTCCATATCTTTGCTATTTTTTTTCTGTATCCATTTCCTTACTATATGTTTCATATCTACGAATTTTACACCCTCCTCTGTACTTTTTCAGACTTTTGTCATCTTTCTCCTGATCCATTGTTGTGGTCTTCCTCCAGAATCCTGTACCCCTTATCCCTACCACCCATCAAAAACTCACCTTTGAATCAGTTACAGAATTAATCTTCAAAAATAAGAATTTGATCATATTATGGTAGGGAAAATAAATAGCATGTTTAAAGCTGTGGGTGTATTATAATCAAGACACATTTTGGGGTAACCTCAGGGAGTTGTCTATGGCTGGATATTGGGTTCTGCAGATGAGGCCAGAAAGGCACTGGGGGAATGGATCAAGACGTCTCCGACACCACTCTCTAAATAGGGGGTCAGCAAATGTTTCCTTTTTTTTTTTTTTTTTCTGAGACAGAGTCTCGTGCTGTCACCAGGCTGGAATGCAGTGGTGCGATCTCAGCTCACTGCAACCTCCGCCTCCCAGGTTCAAGTGATTCTCCTGCCTCAGCCTCCCGAGTAGCTGGGACTACAGGCACTCGCCACCGTGCCCAGGTAATTTTTGTATTTTTAGTAGAGATGGAGTTTCACCATGTTGGCCAGGATGGTCTCAATCTCTTAACCTCGTGATCCGCCTGCCTAGGGCTCCCAAAGTGTTGGGATTACAGGCATGAGCCACCACGCCCGGCCAGCAAATGTTTCCTTTTAAGTGGGGCTTTGTGGGCCATGTACAATTTCTGTCCCATCTTATCTTATTTTCTCCATCCTTTAAGATGTGAGGAGCATTCTTAGCTGCACACCTTGCACAAACAGGTCATGGGCTAGATTTGGCCAGTAGGCCTTAGTTTACTAACTCCTGCTCTAGAGATTGGATATCATCTGTGGTGGTTAGCAGGCAATGAATGGTTTTCGGCAGGGAGTGCACCAATCAGAAGGGAACTGAACTTTCAGGTGAGACAGAGTGACACAAGGCCCTGCTCTATTTGGAACACTTTACTTTTCCTCTAAAGTGGTGATAGTGGAAGCCATGGGGTGGTGACCCCTCTGGCATCTTCAGCTCCCAGCACTTTCTCCAGCCAACCCAACCCACAAGGGAAGGGAACTGGACACTGTCTTAGTATAGATGAAGAAGTTGTTGATGCTGGGAAGTTCAGGGAATGCTTCCCAGTGGCAATGAGTCATTTAGTAGAAACTTATGAGAACAAGAGTTAAGAAGTTATACAAAAGGCAGAAGTGATGGTAGTTGCAAAGGTTCACAGGCACTAATGACCATGACTTGTCACTTTGGACTGATTTATTTTTAGCCACTTGAAACACCTAAGGAGATACTTAGTAGAATGCACCATACTGGGATATTTTCCTGTTGGCACTGAGAGAGATCAATGAGGAATCTGTCCTCACTATCTTTGGGTGAGCATGCTATTACACACTTCATTGGAATGCACTTGCTTTTTCCTAGAGTGTGGAACTCTCAATGTTAGTATTGTAAAAGGCAAAGTAATGTCCTTGAGCTATAACAATGAATACCTTGAGCTGTAACAATGAATGAAAGCAGAGGTTCTCACACTCTGCTTTCATTGAATGGGGTCTCGGTAGATGTATGTTGAGTGAATAACACATACATTCTGGAGTGGATGCTCATGGTAGATCTTGGTGTTCAGAATGCCTTGGCAGTTTGTCGCTGGGCTATATGGATTTATTCTTCTCTAAGTTGATTCTAGTGAGTTTGAAACGTCTTGTGATGCCACTAGGGAACCATATTTACAAAACTCATATTCAGTGTAGCCTTCTACCACTTTTGGTGGTTACCTTAATGAACGTTTCTAATATACATATGTTATATATAGAAATTCATGCTCTATTGCTCTTATTTATATACTATCATAAAAAGATGAACTTTAAATTCTATACTGAGAATTTCTCTAAATTTTATGTGTATTTCCTTAGGGGATGCAAAATAAAATTCTGTTTTGGGGTGTTCTGAATATGCTGGATTATCTCTATTATGTTTTATTTATTTAAATTTTTTAGAGGTAGAGTTTTGCTGTGTTGCCCAGGCTGGTCTTAAACTCTTGGCCTCAAGTGATCCTCCTGCCTCAGCCTCCTGAGTAGTTGAGACTATTAGCACATGCTACCATGCCTGGCTTATTATTTTTTATTGAGTCATAATTTATAAACCACAAAATACGTTTATGGAGTGGTTTTCCTTCAACTGATTCCTGGCAGAGTATTATTATCATATTTTTCATTTGTACTGACTTTTGTCATTTATAAACCATTTTACCCACATGGTCTCATCTGACCTTGCCGCAGGTACTGTTTCATGAATCTTACATGCCATAGCTTATAAATGCACCTTTAAAAATGTACCACTATGAAAGCAAAAAATAATTCTACTTAACCATGACAAAATACTTTGAGTCACTTATAAAATTTATTTTATGCCTCTTATAAATGTGCTTTGAATCTTCCCTTCAGCCATAGATGAATTCCCTAATTATTCCATGTGACTTATGACTTGAAGTGCCTCAAATAGGTGCATTATTATAGCAAATAGGTAAAAGAACTAGGTAATAGATCAAGGAAATTTACCTTGTTGCTACATCCCACATTAAATTCCTGAGTTCTCAGTCTGGAGGCTTCCATACCCAGGTTCAGCAGAGAGATGGCTTGAAACAGAGACTATGCATATAGCTAGGAAGAACTCTGGAGGTGGTGACAGAGACATTACCAAGTTCTCACCTTAGCAATTCCTTAGCTTTATACTTCTGGAATACCAGGGCAGCCCTAAGCAGCAACTTGGTCCCAAACACTGATGTGGAGTATTGAAAGCAACCATGCATGGTGATATGCACCTCAATTTCAGTTGCTAATATGGAAAGAGATGTGCATCTAATAACCACCAAGGGTATTTTATTACCATTATGTAAATGAGGAAATCTAGTTGCAGGGGTTTACTAGTAGCTGGAAGAGGCAGTACCAGGAATTACGGTTGGTCTTTCCAAGGTAAATTCTATGCTCATTAGTCTCTGCCATAACTTCCTCATATGTTCAGGCTATTGATCTGAAAGGTAAATTCAGTTTTCAAAGAGAAGACCAATAAAATTTGCTTGGATCTTTTGGAAATTCCTTGCTTTCTTTTTCCCGTAAATCACTCCTCAAGAAATTCTAACCTATAAGACTCAGCTTAAAACACTCAAATGGATGAGGACATGGAAAGTCATTTTCTTTGAGCCTTTTCACATCTTTCAAAACTTACTTGAACCAATGCTGTGTGCATGTGATGATACCATCCCACAGCTAAAAACAGTCTATTTCAGTGCTGCCTGAAATTGACAGAAAATGAAATAAAATCCCATATAATGACAACCATTTAAAAGTCTCTGTCCTCTAGGAATCAAAGGACTCAGCAGCATGTCACAGAGGAGGACTGAATCACAAATGAAGTAGATTTAGAGGTACCTCTTTAAAGTAATGATGAAGCACTGATTTTTCTAATGTGTCCCCCAGCACCGGTGATAGTAAGTCACTTCTAATTACCTTTTCCTTTCTGGGCTATATATAGATAAATGCTTGGGATATTAAAATGCCTTGTGGGCTGGTTATTTAATTGCTACAGAATTGATTTCATGAAGGAAGGAAAAACAGATTAGATCCTAAGATGTAAATGTGAGACTTGACAGACTGCAGTGTGTGCTCAAGTCTATCAATAGAACTGCCAGCCCCCAGTCTCTAGCTGGCTATGATGGATCCTTGCAGCACAAGAGGAACACATTTGACAATTACAAGAGCAAATGCAACTGTCCTCCCCTCCAAAATAACAAGCAATGGTGCATTTTTGTGTTCTCATTTCTCATGCCATCTAGTGTATTATATACATTATCAAAATAATTTTAAATTAGAATGGCTTCCCTGTTTGCTTATGAAGCCTTCATGCTTCCCTTTTGCTCTTTTTTCTTTGTTTATTCTTTACTTCAATATCACAGGTGGTGGTGGTATGCTCTATTTTGGACACTAGAGAAGTAGGTTTCGTATTTTTTCTGTGTCTCATGACTACAAACTAGGAAACACATAAAATACATTTTCTCTGATCTTGCTTCAGAGAAATCTTGCCATTTCAGATGAGATACCCACATAACAGAAAACATCAGGCTTAATATTACTTTAAAATTCATTTACCTAACATTTATTTGTTTAGCAAATGTCAGCTTAGTATTTACATTGTGTCAGGCACTGCTGTGTGTGCTGTGGATTCAGTGATGCATAAGACAAAGTCCTTGCTCTCACTTTCCCTCCTCTCTAAATGGGAAACACACCAAGAGCAGAAATGTAACAGATTCCCCTCAACTTATGATGGGGCAATGTCCCAATAACCCATTGTAAGTTGAAATGTAAGTAAAAATGCATTTAATGCTTGGGCAAAATCATCTAACACAAAACCTATTTTATTATAAAATATTGAATATCTCATGTGATTTATTGAATACTCTACTGAAAGTGAAAAACAGTATGGCTGCATGAGTACCTGATGTACAATTTCTACTGAATGTGTAAGGCTTTCAACTCCATTGTAAAGTCGAAAAATCTGAAGTCAAGCCGTAGTAAGTCAGAGGCAGTCTGCATTAGGTCATGACAAGAGCAATTAAGGTATATTTTATTAATATATTTTCAGGTATATTTTTCTTTATTGCAATTATGAAGGTAGGGTAGCATATTAATCTTCTTGAACTGCCATAACAAAATATCATAAACCGAGTGGCTTAAACAACAGAAATTTATTTATCCCCATTCTGCAGGCTAAGAATTCCAAGATCAAGGTGCTGGCAAGGTGGGTTTCATTCTAAGGTTTCTTCTTTTGGCTTGTAGTTGGCTGCCTTTTCTCTACATTTTCTGAGAAACCGTTTTTTGTGTGCTTCCAGAGAGACAGAGAAAGAGGGAGAGAGCTCTCTAGTGTCTCTGCTTATAAGGACATTAATTCTGGCCGGGCGCGATGGCTCACGCCTGTAATCCCAGCACTTTGGGAGGCCGAGGCGGGTGGATCACTAGGTCAGGAGATCGAGACCATCCTGGCTCACATGGTGAAACCCCATCTGTATTAAAAGTACAAAAAAATTAGCTGGACGTGGTGGCGGGCGCCTGTAGTCCCAGCTACTTGGGAGGCTGAGGCAGTAGAATGGCGTGAACCTGGGAGGCGGAGCTTGCAGTGAGCCGAGACCGCGCCACTGCACTCCAGCCTGGGTGACAGAGCAAAACTCCATCTCAAAAAAAAAAAAAAAAAAAAAAAATATTTTAAAAAACACCTGCATATGCTCATATTGTTATGGAGACAGGGTCTTGCTATGTTGCCCAGGCCAGTTTTGAACTCCTGGTTTCAAATGATCCTCTTGCTTCAGCCTCTCAAAGTGTTGGGATTACAGGCTTGAGCCACTGTGTTCTGCCTATCAACATGTGGAAAGCATGTGTGTAAATAGATAGCATAAAGGTAAACTTAGGCTATAAACCCTTTAACATTTCTGACAAAGTAAGGTCTGAATTAACGGCATTTTCCTTAATCAATTTCTTTGCAAAGTGTTGAGATATATGCTAGTCAACCAGCTATGTTCTTTACATCTGTGCAACACCTCATAACTACATACTCCAAAAGAATGAGGGAGACATTGTTTTTCCCCTTCTTTTTTAAGCTATAATAAAGTTCCACATTTTCTGCCTAAATGGAGGAAATTAGATGAGACTCTAAAGTGGAATTCACAGAGATGTGGGAAAGGTTTCTTACAATGCCTAAAAGATGGTTAAAGATTAGGGAGAATGACCTTGTAGGGAAAAGTTCAATGAGCACAGAAAAGTTCAATGATTCAGGAAGAGCAGTGTGGACAGAGCCCAGTGGCCTCCGAGGTCCTGCAGACAGCTTGGCAGAAGCTGATTAGATGATCTGGATTTAGGGTGATTTTCCAGGGCTAGGAAGGGAAATGTCCACCAGCCACCCATGAAAAACAGCTGGTGCCTAAACATATGGGAACATTTCTGGCCTAGTTTTTTTCATTGCCTGATGTGCTGGGCTTACAGTAATGTATTTCATAATACCCATGCACCTGGGATATTTTGGGTATTAGGCATGAGGGGGATGAAAAGGTTTCTAAAGTGACTCACTTCTTTTGCTTTGTAAATATTTCTTTGGAAGTTTAACCTTAATATTCATTCAAAAATTTGTAAATGATTACCAATGAACTGTATTTCTTATGGTTGATATTTAAATGCTCTCACTCTGTATTTAATTAACATCAGCTGGGCAGTTAGAATTGAAACAAAAAATCTGACTTCTTGATTTGTAGAAATTCAAATCCCATAGACAAAATTCCCATCTATCTCTATATAATGATGAGTGAAATATAAATATATTTACCAAGGGCAGCTATATTGTGAATGTGTTTTAAAAATTAAAAATATTCTAATTGGTGGCCTTTTCCCTATCAGGACTTTCTATTTTGGAGTTGAAATAGTAGGTGTTATTCAATGAAATAAATATGTAAGAAGATATATTAAATATTGAGTACTTTTCTCCCCTTCAAAAATTAGATACTGCTAATACTACAGCTATAAAGCTCATGGTAACCTTTGGATAAAATATTGGAATTACATGGTTAAATGCCAGTTCTTGTGCCCCTGTAGTCTAGGGCTGCCAAAGTCTAGGCTATGGAGTGAGATGGCCAGTTCTTGAAGAGAAAATGGGAGGAGTGGGGCTGGACTATGCTTTCAAAATTTCTCCTAAAAAACAATGGGATTGATATTTTTCTCCCTTGAGGGAGTGAAGAGGAGAAGAGAGGCCAGGAGTGCCCCATGAGGGCAGCACCGTCCATATGGAAAGAAATACTAAGGGTGGGCAGAAGCAACCTCTCCCAAGAGGAGGAAATCTTTCTGCCTGCAGTTTATGAATTGCACTTGGGCTGTGCTGAAGAGTAATGAAATTATGAGGTCATTCAGCCTTGGTGGTATTCAAAGAAAGACACAATCTAACAAATGGATTCCTAACATCAGGGATGCAGTGACTTCTCCTTGACAGAAGAATTACCTATGGAAGGCATCAAATTTTATGTCACAGAGGTTGAATCCTGATGAACAGGGAGGATACTCCAAGTACTGACAGTTTTGCCTGGAGGCCGTCATTCCAGCTTGCACAGACTTTGAATGCATCAGCTGTACCAGATGCATTTGTTTTTCGCTTGGTCATTAGATTTTATACTACTGCAGAGAAAAATAAAATAAAAATCATTTCAGAAGAAGCTTATTAGGCTGACATTTTTGTTATGAGTAGCCTACTTTTTACTAAATATGAATTTAAATCATTGTAAAAAAGAAGAAATATTCTGGTGACTTACTGTACAGGGCTAAAAGCCCTCTACTCTCCCTCTTTTTTTTTCTAAAGGAAAGTGAACATATTTAGTTTAGGAGATAACAGCTGCAATACATTAAAGATTGATATGTACCCTCCGTTTTTCACATTCATGACAGTGTTGATCAGGCCAGTTAGCTCAATTCTGAAGAATAGTTTTCCCCCTTATATTTACTATTCACATGCTTGTGTTCTCACCATAGGTTTTATTCTCATCTCATACAGCTGTCTTAGAGTGTGTCTCACTGGTCATAGGAGGATAAAAAAGGAGGAACAAGAAGGCATTATTGTGTAATAGAAAAGCATGAGACTTGGAGTTAGTTGAGAAAGGAAAGAGAAATGGACAGGTGCCCCCACACTATGCCAAGCATCTTCCCATCATTTATCTTATTTAAAAGCATGTGAGTCTTATAGGCAGGGGTTGCTACCATTGAGGCTAAGAGGTCTCCACTGAATTGCTCTGGGCCACAGTAGGTATCAGGATCCAAATCCACCTTAATCAGCTTCTAGAGTCAGGGCTTGTTCCACCTGCCACAGTGCGTCTCAGGGGCTGAGTTCTGTTTAGCAAGCCTATGAGCATTTCTATAAAGTAGGAATAAGTACCAACATCAGATTACTCTTGTTAAAATAGTATATCACGATATATGTGTTGTGCTTTGTAAACTCTAAAATGCCAAACAATGGAGATGATGTATTGTGGATGTATTATTGAAAATTTAGCATGCATGACTCTTTTTTTTTTTTTTTTTTTTTTTTTTTTTTTTTTGAGACAGAGTCTTGCTCTGTCACCCAGGCTGGAGTGCAGTGGTGCAATCTCGGCTCACCGCAACCTCTGCCTCCCGGGTTCAAGTGATTCTCCTGCCTCAGCCTCCTGACTATCTGGGACTACAGACACGTGCCACCACACCCAGCTATTTTTTTTTTTTTTTTTTTTTTAGTAGAGACGGGGTTTCACCATGTTGGACAGGCTGGTCTTAAACTGGGGAAGGTAACTTAAAATACTTATGCCTCCAATGTGGTATAGTTCACTAGAGCCATCTTCATAACAAAAACAGAAAATCATAATTAAGACGCATATTATTGCCGATAGCAATTTGTGCATAGAAAGCTAGAATCACTAAGAGGAGAACCTCTGAAGCAACTATGATGCTTCCAATTGACTTGAAAACCATTGTGTACACAAGTATGGTTTTCATAGGTGGAACACGTGGCCACAGCATAGGAAAATATTAGTATGATTAAAATGTAGCAAGAGCAGAGAAATGTCAGTGGGTGGTGTTAAATATAAGATTTTTTTCTAGGTACTGTCAGGGAAAATCTTGTGCTTGCTACTTTCCTAAAAAGAAAGAGGAGAGTAAGTGGGGGAAAACACACACATACTTTTACCCTTCAAAGACGTATCCCTTCATTCATACATAGTAATCAGACACCACCGACTATTTCTGGCTCACAATCATTTGCAAATTGCCTGGCTACCACTCACCTTGTTTCATCCTTGCCTACACATTCGTCAGCCATCAGAACCACCTACAACGGCTTCCACTCAGAATAGCATGGTTACTAACAAATCCCCTCAAAGGGAAAATGAATGTGTGCAGTTGGGTGACACCCTTCCTTTTTCCTTCTTCTTCCCCGTGGCTGGGGCCCACTTGGCACTAAGCGTCCTTCTGTCCAGATGGTGCACTCTTTTCTGCTCCTGCTTTATCACATTCTCTGCCAAAGCACCAAGTGCCAGTTTTCCGGTGAGAATCTGCTTGCAGAAAGTTAGCTGCCTAGGTTATGTCACCGCCTTTGTAGTTTACTGGGGTTACAGTGAGACAATGGCTAGGAACAGAGAAGAGAAAGGAGGTAGGCAGAGATGGAGTTTGTACAAAAAAGAAAATTACTAGAGAAATAGAATGCATTCACTCACTTGTGTGAACTTTATTAAGTTATTTTGACTCTCTGGACTTCAGTTGTCTCATCTCTAAAATGAAGGAGTTGAACTGGATGATATCTATTGCCTCTCACCTCTTAACATTCTACAGGCTTGTGGCTATTTAGCTTATATTGCTTCAGATGATGCATAGGAGTGAGCTCTATTGTGCTGAAAACCTTTTACATGAAAGTGATGACTGTATTATGGCCAGCCGGCAATTTGGGGGAGGAATAAATAAGTTTCAGATAACTGTGGGTGGTAGCTTCTTTATAGCAAAACTAGGTCTGCCTGATGAAACATTTCAGTGAGGTCCTAATTTCAGACTGTCGTGTTCTTCAATGTGGAGAAGGGTTTTCTACGCAGGTGCAGGTTTCTTGTGATGTAGATAATTAGTCTGGTGTTGCTGATGCAGGAAAGGATGATTTACTGGGTTTTTACTGTAATTTTGGTTTCAGGGACATAGTGGTAAACAATTTCGAGCCTAATAGCCATACAGCAGGCTGTGCGGTGGCTCACACCAGCAGACTACAGGCAGTCTTTCCACTAGAGTGCCAGATTATGGCTACCTGCCTTTCAAATATTTTTGCTGAGGTGGAGACCATTCTGAAAGGCTTTTAGAGGGGTCTGACTTCACCCTGTTTCCTACTGTGGCCATCAGAGAGCTGTGAGATCACTACTCAGGAGCTCTGGACAGTTTCTGGAGCTGTCCAGGATTCCAAGATTCCAGGGAAAAGTCTCCAGCATTTTTATAGGACTCCGGGCTCTCACTCAACTCCATGCTCTGCTGTGTGGCTATAAATGTTTCTTTGTAGATTCTGTTATATACTATGTAGAAATAAAGAAGAATGCTTGAGGTAAAAAAGAATACTGCTGTTTCGATATTGAGCTTTCACACATCTGAATTATGAGTCATTCCTACATCAATATGTTCTAATAACTATTTTGAATATGTAATAACTACATATTATGTGATATCCCCACCTTTGTTTCCTATTAAAGTTTCTGCTTGGGGGGTATGGGTAGAACTTGACAGAAAAACAGGGTTTTTTTTTCTTTTTAAGTATGCTGGGGTTCTGCATACAATTATGTATTAAAATGGGTGGTGGTCTTTTGTTTCCTATACTTTTCATTTGAAACATATTTATTTTTCCTTGTGGCACATACCCTGGCGTGCACAAGAACAACTCAGATCACAAGAATTATATATAACCCAGAGCTGGGGAAATTTTAGTATTAAAAGTATATTAGTCTGCTCAGACTGCCACAACAAAATGCCATAGACTAGGTGGCTTAAATATCAGAAATTTGTTTTCTCACAGTTCTGGAGGCTCAAAGTCCAAGATCAGGGTTCTAGCCAATTCCGTTTCTGGTGAGGGCTCTCTTCCTGGCTTACATACAACTACCGCCTTCCTATGTCCTCATATGGCCTTTTCTCAGTGTATGCTTGTTGGGAGAGAGTGCACACTCTGGTGTCTCTTCTTATAATGATGCTAATCCTATTACATCAGGGCCCTACCCTTATGGCTTCATTTAACCTCGATGACTTCCTTTGAGGCCCCATCTTCAAATACAGTCATGCTGGGGGTTAAAGCTTGAATATATAAATTTTGGTGGGATGCAAACATTCAGTTCATAACAAGAAGTACACTTCTCAGGGGAAGTAGCGTAGGGTTGAAGATGGCGCAGTTTAGTGGCTAAAGAGTATGGTCTTTGGAGTCAGTTACATCCTAGTTTGATTTCTTGTTTTACCACTTACTGTGTGATCTTGGGTGAATTCATTCACTAAATATTGTTTTAGTATCTACTGGGTGTTATTTGAGGAGTTGGTATAGAGTTGTAAATATGACAAAAGTAACAATACTGTTCATGGAAATCCTTAGAAGAGTAGATGGAGCATGGGAAGTATTCAGCAAATTCTAGTTTCCAAAATTTTTCAGTTAGTTCAGTCCTAGTAGAAATAGGTTCTATTTTGTTTACAATCCCTTGGATTTCCCAGGAATTGAGTCAACTCCCAGTGGGACTATGCTTTAGCAAACATTGTACAGTTTCTACAAGGAGAGTGGTTATCCCTGAGGTGTATGCCTGTACTTGTGTATATGAGAAGGCATGTGTTCAGGTGGGGAGAAGGAAGGCTGGTCACAGATGGCAGGGACAATAGAGCTGGATGTAAGCAGATACTAAAAAGCCCCATTGTGCGCTGACTGATGGGGCTTAGTCATTACAGATTGTGCTATAGGAGAATTTGTTCCCTGATGGTCTCTTGAAGTCACCCATTGTCTCTGAAATTCTTTCAGGTGAAAGGTGAGCCACAGGAGGTTCTTCTGTTGGAGATTCTGCCTGGATTTTCCCAGTCTATCTTAGGGAGCCTCTCCAATTCTAAGGTCATGTAGATTTCTTTTCCCGCCTCAATCAACAGATGCATATGCTCATGTGCACACACTTGTGTGGACTTATTCGAATATGTACACATACACACACATACTTTTAAAAGCTTACGATAGAGGTTTTTTAGGTATAAGAGCATTGAGGGTATAAATATTACAATCAACTTTGTTTTCTGCTAAGGGAAAGAAATGATTCAGCAGCATCCTCTTGCTGTTTAGAATCACAGATAACATCTTTTAATTCTTTATTGATTTTAAAATTAATTTGTTATCATAACAATCTAAAGGTGTCTTAAAAGCTGTCCTCTAGAATCTAATAATACCTCAAGTACAACCACTGACTTAGAGTTTTCTCAATCACTTGAAGGTTTTCTAACCTCCAAAATTAATTCTGGTGGCATCAGAATGCTGTAGAAAGGACATCGGGCTGAGGGAGATGGGAGGAATTGGAGGGACTCTAGTCCTCCATCTGCCCCAAGCCAGGAAGGACCTTGAGAAAGTCACCAACAGATTCCCTTAGAAGCAGACTCTAGTCTTCCAGTTTAATTAATCTCCCTGGGACTTAATATTCCTATTTGCAAAATGAAGGTGTTAGAGTAGATGAGCTCAAATGCTCTTTCCAGTTGATCCTTAAAAGTGGCCAGACTGAAATGTCACAGACATTATGCTTTATGTGCATTATCAAATTTGATTTCCTCATGACACTTGTCACTCACATTATCCTCATTTTGCAGACAAGGAAACCAAAGCCTAGAGAAGTTAAGAAATTTGCCCTGAGATCCTATGGCAAGTAAGTGATAGTCTTCCTCAGACTGCATTCATAACCATTACGTGATCTTGTTCAATAAACTAAAGTAGCCCTTGTTTGTCCAGACCTGAGCTTGGCTGTAAGAGGACGCGATTAAACATAAGACAATTTTCTGCATTCTTGTGTATCCAAGTCAGATTTGGGAAACAGAAAAGAAACAAACATACAAAAAGCATACTTGAAAGTGATTAGGTTTTTAACTGCTGTCTAAACAATAATTTGGCAAAGGAAGAGAGAAATTTGGGCTTGAAGTCTTCAACATGGGTATGGGATTAGCGGGTGGTCTTCAACCATGGGTAGGATTTGAATAAACAAGGGATTTACAGGAGAGTGCTACAGAATGTGAACATAACAAGAGAAAAGGTGAGACAGAAGTTGTGTCTAGTACAGATAGTAGCTGGGCTTTCTGTGAGTTGTGGAGGTCTGTGTTATGAAATTAACTTGGAAAGATATAGGGCTGGTCTAGGGATGAGATGGTGGGAATCTAGGGAGATCATTCCAAGTGACAACTAAAGGACAAAAGTAGATTTAGGGACAGTTAAGTTATAGGGGATGCAAGAAAAGGAAATGTCAAAGATGACTCAAGATTTTTTCACTGGATTTCTAAGAAATGTTAATATTGCCATACTGCTGTGTGTAAGACATAAGAAAGGATTTTTGGGTGAAGAAAAAGCAGGAAGATAGATAGAACTTTCTGGGAGCTGGAACTTACAGTGGAAAGAGACATAGAAGAATGGGAATATTTTATATTCTTATTTAGAGGAGTGTGTGTGTGTTGTGTGTGTGTATGTTGCTTCTGTCTTTCCAAAACTTTTGTAAAGTCTGCTTTACATACAAAGGATTTTGGAATGCTCCTTTTTGTTTCTTTTATTTTTGTTTTTGGTGGAAATCAAGGAAAGGGGCTATATTACTCATATGGTAGATTGATATTGTGCAGAACAGGAACAGTTTGTGGAGATACTGAGTTAATTTAGCTAGGTTTTGGAGCCAGATGGAGCATGAGAACCTACCCTTCCCAAACCAAATACACATCCCTACCTCACCCCTGCCCCTCTTAAAGTTTGCATTAGACTCTCAATAGGATATGGAATGGGAATTAGTTCAATTTTACCAAGACCTAAGGAAAAGGATGAAGCACTCAGCTGATGAATGTGTTAGATATGGAACTGTAATCAAGAAAAGTAGACAGCAAAGCCATATCTATGAAAAGCAATCTAAATGAAGTAAAACAGTTCTAATCCTATGAGATCCATTCATAGCATGATTATTAATAAGTTGGTTTATTTAAATGATCTTTTATGTCCCTTTAAACAAAGCCTTTGGAACTTTAAAAAGTAAAGAAGCTAGGATAAGCTCAAGGTTTTCTAATGCATATTCTGCCAGGTTTTCAGGGAAGTATATATTTGGCAGTCGACATTTATTGAGTACCAGTTACAATTAAGGCATTACACTTTGTCTTGTGGGAATATACAAAAGAATCATGTCTCTGCCTTTGCAATCTAGGGTTTACTTCACACGTGGTGATCCTTTTCTATTGACAGAGAAGGTATTAACTTGGAATTTTATGTTTTGAAAGGAAGTTAGATGACTATACTACTCTTTCCAAGTCTGCAATGCTTTTTTTTTTTTTAAACAAGAGATATTCCAGCAGCATCCTTTGTCCTCTGTTTCTAACTTGAATCTCAGCAAATGTTGAGGACATTCTAGAAAAATCAGAGCTAGTAGTGCTTATAGTGATTAGAACTTGAGTGTGTGTGTGTGTGTGTGTGTGTGTGTGTGTGTGTGTGTATTGGGGAGAAAGAAGGAGAGGAAGGAGGGGCATAAAAATTAGTATAGAAAATTGAGAGATGACAATTGGAATTTTCAAATAGAATGAAATATTTATAGGTCTTAAACATTTTAAACTGATTTAGAAAACTGGAAACATTACTAAATCAAATTTAGGTTTGCAAGCTATTGAGTTGTGTCCCATACTTAATTTTAAAACATTTTCTTGGCTGGGGGCGGTGGCTCACACCTGTAATCCCAGCACTTTGAGAGGCTGAGGCAGGCAGATCACCTGAGGTCAGGAGTTTGAGACCAGCCTGGCCAACATGGCGAAACCCCATCTCTACTAAAAATACAAAAATTAGCCAGGTGTGGTGGCATGCACCTGTAATCCCAGCTACTCGGGAGGCTGAGGCAGGAGAATCATTTGAACCCTGGAGGCGGAGGTTACAGTGAACTGAGATTGCACCATTGCACTCCAGCCTGGGCAAAAAGAGTGAGACTCTGTCTCAAAAAAAAAAATTATTTTCTCCATTTCCATTTGTCCAAATGATACATTCAGTATAAGTCAGCCGTATAATTTCATTCACAGAATAAAAGTATCATAGACCGGCATAAAATTGTGTATCTAGTGTGACCATCATCTCTATGACTTTTTCACTCATTCTAAGCCTTCAAGAAGGAGAAACTTCTCCTTCAGTGGATCCCAGGATATCATTGGAAAGCTTGGACTATGTAAAAGATCCTGAATTGAGTTGAAATTTGTCTTCCTGTAGTTTCCATTTATTTATGCCAATTGGTAACTTAGAAATACAAACAAAATAGGATAAGCCCGTTCGTAATACAGCTATGAAAAGTTTGAAGCTTTCTATCACGTCAAACCAATCTCCATTTGCCTCTTCTGCATGTTTCCTCTTCTCCAGGCTGAGCATCTGCATTTCATTCTTCCTTCCTTTGTCCGGTATGACTTGAAGTTCTGTCATTGACTAAAAAATATCCAATATGCCCATATTCTTGTTGGTGATCACTTAAATGATCTTTTTTGTCCCTTTAAACAAATCCTAAGGTGACCTAGGAATGCCTCACTGAGGAGATAAGTCTTAAGTAAAGACTTAGGAACATGAAGGAATGAGTTTGTGGATATTTGGAGAAAGAGAGTTCCAGGCAGACGAAAGAGCAAGTTCAAAGGCCTTGAGGTGGGGCAAGGCTGGTATGTTAAGAAAATGAAAACAAAATAGTAAGGAGGCTAGTGTGGTGGAAAAGGAAAAGCTAGAGCAGAATTAGGAGATGAAGTCACAGTGGGGTTAGATCATTAAGAACTTTGGCTATGAACCTGAGAGCAATGAGGAACTGTTGGAACATTTGGAGCAGAGGAGTGACTTGATATTGCTTTTAGCAGAAACACTCCGGTTGCTAGTGCTGGTGTTGATTAGATAGAAAGTGAAGCAGGAGGACCAGTTAGGAGACTACCACAACAATGTAGGCAAGACATGATGGTGGCATGTGGACTGGCATAGCAGTGGAATCTGTGAGAAACAGTTGAATTCTGGATATAATTTGAAGCTAGAGCTGATAAGATTTGCTAGTGAATCAGAAGTGGGTTGTGAAGGAAAAAAGTGGTGTCAAGGATAACTGCAAGACTTTCAGCCTGAGTCACCATTTACTGAGCTGAGAAGAGTGGGTATAGGGAGTGAGGAGCAGGTTGATGGGGGATGATAAGGAGTTCAGCTTTGGATCTATCAAGTTCGAGCTGCCCATCGCCACATGAGTGGAGGTCTGGGTTGGAGATAAACTTGTGAGAATTATCCGCACAGAGATGGGATTTAAATAGAGGTGCTTGAAGGTTATCACCAAAAGGGAGAGAGTTATGTAAGAGAAGAGAAGATAGTCGTGAGGGCTCCTAGGTAGTTGACCCACACAGAACTGGGCAGACTGCTTCCTCTCCTCCTACGTGTCCACTTGGACTAAAGCCCCTTAAGATCACTTTAGTCTTCTGGCAGCTCTACCATAGTGTGGACTTGTACTGAGCTTTCTGTTTCTGACTTTCCCAGCCTACCCTCTGAGTCTTTTTCCTGCGTGCTACTCCTAACCTGCATCCTCCTCCATCCCTCCACCTCCGGGTTATATCCACTGTGCAGAGGCTGATGGACCCCCACTAAAATTCAGTTTGGATGTCAAGACTGATAATGCTATACTCCAACACCAAGGGTATGAAAAGGTTTATTACTTACAAAATAGAAGTCTCAGAAATCAGGATGGGCTTCTCAAGGAAAGGATACTGGCTCCATATTTATATTGTGGAAGGAGGTTGGAGCTGGGTCAAGGTACCCACGTGTGGGGAAGGGCTTGTGTGGTTTGTATCTCCTGCAGGAGCCAAAGAAGGAAACACCCAGGCTGTTGTAAAAGCTTTCCCAGAGGTGGGGCAAAAGGGAAAGAATGAGGAGTGAGGATTAAAGTATGGCAGTAGTCAAATATCAAAAAATGGTGTTAGATACATTATTATATCGTGCTTTTGTGTCATTAATATTCTGGACTTGAGTTCAGGGATCACCCATTTATCCTTATTCAACTCACTCTTGTCAAATGTAGCCCATTAACCGAAGCTCCTAACATCCCCTTGGATCCGATTCTGTGAAAGAGTATTTTTGCAATACTACCAAGCCATTTATCATTGGAAAATGTAATGATGACAACCTCAACATTTTTAATGATTGATTTTAAAACGTTGAATATGACAAAGCTAAGAAGAAAGCACTGCGGCACCCCACTCAACTATTTCCTCCAGGTTGACATAATCCAGTAGCTACCCTTTGAATGTAGCCAATCACTAATTTGCTACATTAAACTGGCATCCAAACCTTATTATTCCAGAGTGTCTCAAAGAAGGTTATTGTATTAGTCTGTTCTTGTGTAGCTATAAAGAAATACTTGAGGTTGGGTAACCTATAAAGAAAAGAGTTCTAATTGGCCCATGGTTCTGCAAACTGTATGGGAAGCATGGTGCTAGCCATGGCTTGGCTTCTGGGGAGCACTTGGGGAGCTCTTACTCATGACAGAAGGTGACAGGGAGCCGGCATGTCACATAGCGAGAGCTGGAGCAAGGGGGAGGGAGGTGCCACACATTTTTAAACAACCAGATCTCACATGAACTCACTCATCACCAAGGGGATGGTGCTGAGCCATTCAAGAGGGGTCCGCCCCCATGATGCAAACACCTCCCACTAGGCCTCACCTCCAACACTGGGAATTACAGTTTAACATGAGATTTTGAGGGGACAAATACCCACACCAGATCAGTCATAAAAAACAATGTTAATTCTCTTGCATAAATCTAGATGATTTACCAGATTAATAATAGTATCAAAGGAAGAAACTTGGTTATGTTTGCTTTGTGATTAGCTACTTGGAATGCTGTTGGGAATCCATCACAAATATACCTCCCTGAAGCTTTTTGAATTCAGTTTCATCCATTTTTGGTCTCCTAATGCTGCTCTTAGTTCCCAGAGATCTCAATGGCAAACTATTTTATACTGTGTTTATAATTCATCATTATAAGGAGATATGAGTTCATTTAGAACTTATAGGTGCTGTCCAATAGTCTTTACCCTCATTGGGGTTCAATTTCTTCCTAATAATGTTCAGCTGGGGTTTTGGAGGTTGAACACCATTATCTTTATATCACCATTATGTCATTAATTCAAAGTCACAGGCCTTCTTTTGCTCCATAAGTTATTTTGGTATTTTTAATCCTCCCTCCTCCTAATCTCATCTCATTTGGGACTCTAGTGACTCTGACGTGAATCTAACTTGCCCTACCATTTTCATCCTCATCATTCATTTTTTCCTTCACTCACTTAACAATACTTTCTATTTGCTATGTTCCTAGCACTGTATTACCAAGATGATGAATACAAAATACATGAATACTTTTCAATTGTATTTTTCTTTAAAAAATATCTGAAGCTACATTTTTGTTTAGTTTTCTTTCCCCTTTCCTCCTCATTTTATCATTTAGCAATTGCTCTCAAAATTGTATTTTTGAGAACATCATAACACTTTTGAGTCATAATCTCCTTAGGAGTCTCATGCCATGAATAATGCATATCTTTTCTCTAAACATTTTGCAGACATTCATCTAGTCTAGGGTGTACAACTCGTGATGTCCAGTTTTCTTTTCCTTGGAAAAGTCAAAATTCAAGATAGCATGGTCACTTTCTTTTAGATTTCACATTACTTTCACTTCATCAATAAGTTCCCCTTGTTGTCAGAGCTAGGTCCAAAGTGGTTGTTTCCTCTGGCTATTTCCTTGTCGTTTTAGAGATTAAATTGTCATTAATGATATTCAAGAACCTTTTACATAGTTGGCTTTTAGCTAGATAAGTCTTTTTGTCTATTCATGGCTGGTTGATATCTTGGCTCACTGCTGATGAGAACAGGAACCTTGCCTGTCTTGTTCACCACTAATTCCTGCATCGTGGTGGGGCCATATGGCCAGTGATGTTATTACTTACTGCTTTCTAGTGTGCTCTGCCTTTGGGAAATGGAGATGTCTATGCAGCATTAATCTTTTTAACCTTTAACACTAGTCTGCTTCTCCACTTAAAAAATCTGTTTCTTTTGAATAAGACAAATCCTTCCCTTACCGTGTTCTAATGTAGAGGGCAATCACATCACATTTCAGAGATTCATTGTTTCATATTTTTATTGATTTAACAAATATTTATTGAGTGCCTACATTAGAATAACAGTTACATTAAAAGCTGTTGTGATTGAACATCAACTGTGTGTCAGGCACTTTCTAGGGCATTTTACATAAAGTAACTAACTTGATCTTTACAGTCCAACTGGGATGCAGAGATATTGAGAGAATTTTCCAAGGTTAACATTTTAAGTGGAGGAATGCGGCAGTATTCTCGGCACTGGTGATCGAGCAATGGACAACATGGGCAAGATTCCTCTTCTAAGGGAGTTTACATTTCAGTGAGGAAAGTAAATGGTAAATGAATTTTAAAATGATACTTTGACAGAATATGTGCTATGAAAAGAAAACCATGAGGATTTGCTAGAGAGAAAGTGCAGAAGAAAATACCTTTTATCAGATGGCCAGGGAAGGCCTCTCTGCAGAAGCAACAGTTTAGCTATGGTTCCACCAGAATGTTTTCGGTGGCATGTAACAGAAAACTGAACACACAATAGTTTAAATAATAGGGGAATTGTTATCTTACATAAAAAATGCCTTAAGCCAGGCATGGTGGTGCGTGCCTGTAGTCCCGTCTACTTTAGAGGCTGAGGTGGGACGATGGCTTGAGCCTAGGAGTTTGAGGCCAGTCTGGGCAACAAAGACAGACCCCATTTCTTAAGAAAACAAAAGATGTCTTAAGGTAGAAGGGCTCTGGGAATAGTTCAGAGGGTAAAGGTGTAAGGAAATATTTGTTCTTACATGCCTATCTCAGCATGTGGACTGGCTGCAACCTTGCTCAAAAGATGGAATGACACTTCTAGACATTCTGTCCTCATCCACATTAGGCAAAGTTCATTGGCAAAAAGAAACAGTTTCTTCCACAGGTCTCTTTTTTTACCAGCAAAAAAAATTGTATTAGTCTGTTTTTCATGCTGCTGATAAAGACATACCTGAGACTGGGTAATTTATAAAGAAAAAGAGGTTTAATGGATTCAGAGCTCCATGTGGCTGGGGAGGCCTCACAATCATGGTGGAAGGTGAAAAGCATGTCTTCCATGGCATCAAGCAAAGAGAGAATAAGAGCCAAGCAAAAGGGGTTTCCCCTTATAAAACAATCAGCTATCTTGAGATTTACTCTCTACCATGAGAACAGTATGGAGGAAACCATCCCCATGATTCAATTGTCTCCCACGGAGTCCCTCCCACAACATGTGGAATTATGGGAGCTACAATTCAAGATGAAATTCGGGTAGGGACACAGACAAACCATATCAGAAATCTTTGTTCCCAGCAGACTTCATATTATACCATATTGGCCAAAATTCTATTACTTGCATGGGGAATGATGTTACCATGACTGGTGCAGAGTCTAAGTTTTAGTTAGCCTGATTGAGAGTCAGTCACTGGAGCTTGGGTTTGCATCACTTTTCCTAAGTACAAGAACAAACAGAGAAGGGTAAACAATTAAAAAATTAGGTACACAAAAGGGGATAGATTGGTGTACAAAATGAAGTAGAGGTTCATTCCTCTTCTAAGGAACTTATTGAGAATAGATAGTAACCTCTCTTAGAAGCAAAATTTACTCAAAGATCTGTGCTAATATTCTTAAATATCTGCTAGCCATAATTAAGAAATCAATACACTCCGTGCTCTTAGCTCCCACATTTTAGCCTAGATATTTGTCCCAGCATGCCTGAACATGTCCAAGCAAGCATTAGGTCATAGCTTATTCCTCTTTCCTTATTTGGAAGTGTTTTTGACTCTCTCACCATTCCACAAGTTACTTCCTCTTTTCCTTTGTTCTCCTCTGCCTTTGCCTCTTTTAGGAAGTTTTACATTGCTAGTCAATCAGGACAAGTACAGAATGTGAGGTCTTGTTCCAGCCAATGGAAACCGGACACAGCAGTAGGGTGGATGCGTCACGTTATAAATGACCCTGTCTCCTTTGTTCGTGTGTGCTCTTGTGACAAGATTGCTAGTGAGTGACACCCTTTCTGCAGAAAGTAAACTAGCCTTGCTGAGAGATCCTTTGTTTCAGTGTTGATTTTTCTGAGAACCTGTCCCCAATAATTGGGATAGGCAATTGCTAGTGCCTGTAATAAGCCTCATCCTGAGAAATGAGAAGGTATCCACCATATGAGGATCTGGGGGAAGAATTTTCAGAGAAGTAAACAACAGGTACAAGTCCTTGAGAGCAGGAATTAGCTTAATACATTCAAGGAACAGAAAGAGGAGTGTTTGTCACATAGTCACCTGGGATCACAGGAAGCAGGAAACGGGAAGAGGTGAGAAGTGAAACGGTGTAGTGTTTGAATGTGGGCTTAGGAGCTATAGTTTCTGGGTTCAAATAACAGACCTGCAGACCTGTGTTTATTATTTATTTGTCATTGCACAAATTATCTAAGTTAGCTGTGTCTCAGTTTCCGCATCATTAAAACACGTATAAATAATTATAAACTCATGAAATGGTTGAAAGATAAGAAAATAAACAATTAGAACAGGGCATAGAATATTGTAGGTGCTCAATAAATGTTAGCTATCATTATTGTATCACTGGTTCAGGGTTCAGATCACATAGGATCTTGGAGGCCATAGGACAATGGTGTCAATTTTATTTAAATTAAACCATAAAGCCATTGAAGTGTTTTATGCAGGCAGTGATCTAATATGATTTAGAATTTTACAGAATAGTTTTCTTTTTCCTGCTATGTATAGATTAGAGTATAGGGAAGTGGGTAAAGAGTAGATGCAGGATAGTTAGTAGGATTTTACAGTAAACTAGGTCAGGGGGGTTTGACTAGGGTGAAAGCACTGGGGAGGGCCAACAGAACTTAACAGCTTACACTTGAGCTTGTGGTTTAGGGAAATAAGGAATTCTGAATGTTTGACATGAAGAACTGGAAAAATCATGATGCCCTTTATAGAGATAGGGAAGGGCCCCATAGGATTCATAAAGCTGCCAAAGGGGTCTACGGAACAAAAATGTTAAGAGCCCTGCTTTAAAATCCTTTGTCCATGAATCCACTCTTCCACATTTCTTTAGAGTTTTTCTTTTATCCTTCCTGTCTTCTTGATAACTCACTTTCTCCCAATGTACACACTTGATCTGATGATACATAAAACAATCTGTGAAGATGATTTAGGTCAAGCTGGTTTACCATACAGCCGAAGTGAGAACACAATGAATTTAGCACTAGCTTGTTGAATATGTCCCAGAGCTTTCAAAGCCCAGCTGTTCAAGTTCAGTAAATGACTCTCATGAAAAGTGATTGGTAGTTATGTTCATTTTTATTTCTCCTACCCTTTCCTTCCAGCTGCTAAAGCCTAATTTTTACTGTAGGTCAAAATAATTTTAATTTCTTTCATTCTCAAAGTCAAGTTAAAAGCAGATAGAATAGCCATCTCGGTTTAGCCTGATTGCATTCCATTGACATAGTCCAGATGGCCTTCAGTGATGGGTAGATATATGCCTCTCTCCTACCTGTCTCTCAAAGTGTCCTGTGAGGATACAGTCTATGTAGACATCCATCTTTGCATACCACATGGACTTTTTTTTCCACATGTTTTACTGAATATCAACATTTAATAAGGGAGTTCATAAAGTTCCTGCAAATAACTCAAACCTTATTGCATTTTGATGGCAACAACAAAAACAAAAGCTTATAAACTGTACTTTTTTACTGGCAAGGTCCACTCTCATGTTTGTGTGGTTCTGCAAGTACTATAACTCAGAGGATAAGTTTTTTGCTATACCTAAAGATGATATCATTGACATGCCACTAGTATTTGGGCACATAAATTATCTTTCCAGTAGTGATGATGAAGTGAGCTTTGAACTACCTCTTTCCACTTTTCTTCCTTATGGTAAAAATCACTATATCGTTCAGGACACTTTTTGTTGCAAATTATAGAAACCCAACTTGAGCTAGTTTTGGCAGAAAATCTAGGCATAAAGATCAAAGGAAGAGTTAAAGACATTTTTACAAGGCAAGGAACAGAGCAGTTTTGGGAGTCTCGGGAGCGAACAGGCACTGATGTTTGAACACTGCCTAGGTTCCTTTTCTTTCCATCTCTATCTCTCATCTTTTTTTTTTCTCTCTCTCTGAGCAGAACACCTTCTTCCACTGACAGCTTTGAGGCTGTATCTTTCCAGCTTTAGTATCAGAAAGGAAAGGAGTCTATGTCTCAGCTCCAAATGGAAAAATCCTAAAAAAGAACACTGATTGGTGATGTTAGGACAGAAGCCCAACAGCCATCAAATCATTGCAACAAGAAAATGAAGGGTACATCGTAAGATAGCAGCCCTCAGATCATGACTTTAGATGAGTAAAGGGGTAGCTCCCCAAGAGAGTGGGGGATGCTGTTCTCAGAAGAGAACCCTACTCAACAAAAACAAAACAATTTTTAAAATGGCAAGTGTTTACTAAAAGAACCCATTTGCAAGATGGCTGGAAGGAATTGGCGTTCAACTCAGCAACTAGGGAATAGATTTACTGGTTCGGGAGAGGTACATGCCTCTCCTTAGTTTTCAGTCTCAACAGTTAAACTCGCTGGATAATTTTCTCAATATACTTAGCTATCTAATTCAAGATCAGCACTTTTCCAGCAATCATATCTTATTGAATTGTTTTGCTTTCTTTATGTCTCTGTTTTAATTTAAAGAATTTTTTTTGTTGTTTTTTTCTTTTATTCATTACCTGTCATGTGGTCCAGGGAATTTCCTCTTCAAGAAGCCGTCTGGTATATGATGAACCTGAACTGCTTTGGGGATTAATCAGTATTTTCTATATATACCAATAACTGGTTTATAGATGAGCAGAATTGTTTGGACTAGATAATAACACATATCTGGAAGAAATTTTATTTATAGCTGGCATAATCCCTACATTTTACCAACCAAGTCAGATTCAGAGAAGGTAAATGATTTGCCCAAGGTCACACCTCTCATTATGAAAAAAGCCAGCACTAAAACCCCAGGATGGCCTGACTTCTCTAGTTTTTTATCTTTTCCATTACATAAGGCTTAGTGAAGAAAAGTGAATATAAATTCGACAAGAATGCACATGAATATAAGGTTGGGTCATCCCAGTTCATGTTGATGAATACCTGCTGCCATTAGGACTTCGAACATCAAGGGCAAACAGGAGGTACCTTGTACAGAGAGAAGCTTTCCTCTCTCGTGTGTGCAGGACCTTCAGTGTTGGGAATATTATGGGCAGCATAAAAGAACTTGCAGAGGAGATAGATTCTGTCTCTCTTCTTTTGACCCATGTCCAGCCAGGTTCTACTCACCATGTATCTCTCCAAGCAGCCTCTCCTTTGCTTTGCCACTGATGCAGCAGCTCCTTATTTTCCCTGCTTCCCAAACAGACTCCTTCCAACCCATCATCACCATAGTGATCTGTCTAAAATGCAAATTGGATCGCATCAGGCTCCAGCTTAAAATAGTTCAATGCCTACCCCTTCCTTCAACCAGACAGGATAAAATTCATTCTCCTTGCACCATCATTCCTCTCTGCCTCTATTCTCAATTCCTGCCAAACCTTGTGTCTGATTTGTTAAGATTCTGTACAGACCTACTAGTTAGAACTCCTAGAAATTAGGGCCATGGAACCTTATTCATCTTGACGTATCTAGTAATGCCCAAGTATTTATTGAACTGGATTTCTTTTGAACCAGACTAGGTCTGAAAATCAAACAAAACTATTTGCTGAATAAGTTAATGTTTTTCTGACAAAACCACAACTATAAATAATTGCTCTTATATATTACTTTTTGGTCTTCTGAAACTAAATTCATTGCTATTATAATACTATAAGCAGCTGATGAAATAAATGGAATTTGAATTTTGCAATCTGATTTGCAGCTTGAGGGAATATTATGAAACTTAATGCAAGGCTAAATCCTGACTAAATATGGGGAAGGAATTTTTCTTTCTTATGTGGTTTTTGATACTCTGGGACTATTTAAGTTTTTTGCTCTTTTGAATCTCTTTTCATGCACTTCTGCTGCAATTTTATTTTTGAAAAAGAGTGAATGGAATTTTAAAAAGAGCAGTTGCTACTAAGAGCAGAAGACTGTAAGCCCTGATATACACAGAAATCAAACCATGCTGGAAGAAAGATGTAATTCTGTGAGGGCTATCTGGATTGCAATTCACTGATTCCAGTGTCTGTGGACCTCCCTCAAGGTGGGAAGACCTGCTACCCTGGTCAGCTGTCAATAAGAAAGTTAAAGCTGAGGATGCGCTTTCCATTGAAAGAGTGAAGATTATTTCTGAGATTGTTAGCGAATATGTTTTTTAAGATATATGTGAAATAGGAGAAATATTTGTATAACTTTACTAACCTCAGGTCTCCTTTAAAATAGTGTCATTAAAGATGACTGAGGCCGGGAGCAGTTGCTCATGCCTGTAATCCCAGCACTTTGGGAGACCAAAGAGGGCGGATCACTAGGTCAGGAGATCGAGACCATCCTGGCTAACACAGTGAAACCCCGTGTCTACTACAAATACAAAAATTAGCCAGGCGTGGTGGCGGGCGCCTGTAGTCCCAGCTACGCTGGAGGCTGAGGCAGGAGAATGGGGTGAACCTGGGGGGCGGAGCTTGCAGTGAGCAGAGATCACACCACTGCACTTCAGCCTGGGAGACAGAGCGAGACTCCGTCTCAAAAAAAAAAAAAAAGAAAAAAATGCCTCTGAATGGTATTATGTAGGGACATTAAGGAGCCTAGAGAAACGTGGGCCTGATTAAGTGGCGCTAACTCAGTTAGAGGAAGGTTGAATTCAGAGAAGTTCAGCCGTAGTCGAAATTGCTGTGTCTTCAGGGGTAATATTTTTGTATGATCAAAATAAAGAGTGGGGATAAACTTGGAAGATAGGGGGAAAGTTTTGACTGTGGATATAACTGGGCATCAACTTCAAAGCATCAGTTATTAGCTTTTCCATAGCAAGACAGATTTTGTATTCTGTCATTCTGATACTAATTGCATTGGTCTAGATTCTTTTTGGAACTGAGTGGGGCTGAGAGCTGTCATGGTCAAGCATCAGTGACTCTGGAGTAGGTAGGAAGCAGAGACCAATATCCTCATTTCCAATTCCTTGGCCTTCTCTCTGTCCCCATTCCCTGGACCACGTTTGGTACACAGAGGCATGTTATAGACATTTATTACATAAATCATATCTTACCCTTTTCGTCATATATGTAGTTTAGAAAACAGATGGAGCTTGTTGTTTCAAAGAGATACTTTCTGAGACATTCTTTTTTTTAATTTTTTGAGACAGAGTCTTGCTCTGTCACCCATGCTGGAGTGCAGTGGCGCGATCTTGGCTCACTACAACCTCTGCCTCCCAGGTTCAAGCGATTCTCCCGCCTCAGCCTCCTGAGTAGCTGGGATTACAGGCATGCACCACCACGCCCAGCTAATTTTTTGTATTTGTAGTAGAGACGGGGTTTCACCATGTTAGCCAGGCTGCTCTTAAACTCCTGACCTCGTGATCAACCCACCTCAGCCTCCCAAAGTGCTGGGATTACAGGCATGAGCCACTGTGCCAAAGACATCTTCTCTGCCTCACCACTGACCTGTGTGACTTTAATGTCTCCTGGTTATAAGCATTTATTTCCACAACCAACTTATTTTCCTTTGTCTAGATATCTTCTGTTCTGATGGCTCCCACACACATCAAGGCTGGTCGTATCCAGTCAACAGCTCCATCCCTAAATGTTCCCCACAGACACATGCCATATCTCAACCAGTCTGGTGTAATTTTCATTCGACTCTCCTCTTCTTGTCCCATTCTCTACATCCCTGGACCCTGTTTCTATTTGGCTTCATGATTCTTTTCAAGGATCCAGGCTTAAAAACCTTGGAATCTTTATTTTTATTTTTTAACTCAGCAGAGGCTTACATTTCCCCATATCCAGTGAGTTAATATGACCTGCCCATCTTCCTTCAGACTCTTTCTTATGATTACTTCTTCCTTTTTACTCCTCTGCAATCACCCCCGCCCAAACCCTCTTTGCCTCATATGTAGATTATCACAGCCTCCCACAAACTTCTCCTGTCTGCAGTCTTTGCCATCCACAAATCACCTGGCATTTTGATGTAGACAAATTTTCCCTACAGAGATTTTCTCAAGTTACCAGCTTGCTGACTTGTATGCAATTTTAGGTTGTGCTATTTTGCAAAGTGCTTTGCAAACCAGTGATCCATTGTTCCTGAAAATGTGTAAAGCTCGATCCTTTTCTCATGACTTGGTTTATGATGGAGCTCTTGCCTCGAAAGTCTTGCCTTTTTCTCTGCTACCTGTCAGGGGTTAGTTATAACATCTCTTACCACTTAGTTAACTTTTTCTTTTTTTGGGGTGTAAGGAGGTCTCACTATGGTACCCAGGCTAGAGTGCAGAGGCTATTCACTGGGACCATCATTGTGCAATGCAGCTCCAAACTCTTAAAAGGAGGCTTAAGCCTCCTCTTGCCTCAAACTCCTGAGTAGCTGGGACTCCAGGCATGCATCACCACCCCGGTTTCCTTTAGTGAACTTTTTTGGTAACTCTTTCAGTCTTCACTGAACTCATCCTTGGCTAATCTTCAGCTTGTAGAAGCTGTGTTATTTTGTATGGTTTCCTTTTATTTCATCTATAATAATATTATGTTGTCAGATATGTTATAAGTTCATTGATGTTAGAGACCTTGCCTCACATGTCACTGGTGGTCACTTTGGTACAAGTCTAAGTATGCACAACATTCTGTGAGCTTAATAAATATAACTTTTGCTTAAAAATATGCTGTTAGTACAATTTAGTCTCTTGTTTCTAATTGCCAAACACCAGCTATTTTAAATCTCAAAAAGATAGTCAATGTTGTTTGCAGCTGTTTTGTGGTCCTTATGTTCTAGAATCTTTTGGTCAGGCTTCCCAAAGGATAATGGCTAAAGAAAGAAGAGGTTCCCTCTGTATTTTAATAAAGAATGCTGCAAGCATGCAGAGCTAATGTTAACTCCATAACGTACTTTATAGAGAAAATTTTAGTAGGAATGATTCAACATCCAGTGTTTTTATAGTCGTCACTTTTATTCTTTTATTTCTGTAGTTGAAAATGAGTGAACTCTACTTACTACTCTCATATCCAGTGATTTCAATGCTCGTCTTTGATCACTTAGTAGTAGCAGTTAATGGTAAATAATAGTAATAGTAAAAGTAGTAGATGTTAACAGTATAAGTAAAAATAGCAGTAATATCTGCCATTTATGACTGTGATCCAAGCAGTGTGCTAGCTATGATACGTAGATGATTTCATTTACCCTTTTAGAACCCTATGAAGTGTTTTTGTTCACCATTATAACGCAGGAAACTTACTCAAAGAAGATAATAAATTGCCTGGAGACTACAGATATCTGTAGACCCGGACCCAGGCTCAAATCTGTCTAATTTCAAAGCCAGAGTTTAGAGTAATATTACTTAGCGAAATCAGTGGGAAAAATTTATTATAGACTTTAAAAAATAAACTATAGGCTTTTACTTACATTTTGTAGGTGCCTTCTTGTATGCTGTGATTATACACTATTAGTTGTATCCTGAGTTTTTAAAGGTGCTAATGTGTGGTCTACACAATCTTGGAGACTGCATTTGAGCAATTCAGAGATCCTGTATAGGATAATCAACTCTTAAACCCCACTAACCTTTCATCAGACATTCAAGCTTGAGTTCTTCAGATATTTCTATTCACGTAAGCGGGAAATGTGATATTGCAGAATTCACCTTAATTTTGACTTTTCCAATTTTAAATAACAAGTTTATTAAAAAAAAATTATATGAAATTCCTGGGCATTCATGATATAAATAATTTACTAGTTTTTTTTGAGTCCATTAAAGACTGAGACTGTGGAACTCAAGCTATCTCCCCGAGTTAATCCTAGTAGGAAAGTTATCATTCTTCATTTATTTAGGATTTCTGTCGGCACATGTTCTTCATGGTGCAGCTGCTGTGTATGTTGAAGATGTAATGTGTGAAGCTGGTCTGTAGTTGAACCAGTTGCTGTCTGGCAAGTCTTATTTGTGGTTCATTTCATAGTCCTATGTGATGTGTGCATGATTTGTTCTTGGCACTGACTCAGAAAATGAAAACCAGAAACATTTAACATATAAATAAAGAAGTGTTTTACACTGGTCTTTTGGAAGTGTTAAGATATTTAGCTATTTCAGTAGTATATGCAGTTTATTTTTTTTCATCAGGTAACACTGGTTAAGAGTTAATAGGAGTGTAGAAATAGTGTTCTCTGACTTCACATTGTAAGCCAAAAATAAAATTCTAAGCCCCCAACTGACTGAATAGACCCCTCTCTAGGCCAACAGGCTTCCAAAGAAACCAGAAAAATGAGTCCAGGCCGTGATAGGAAGGGGGTAGGTACGTCAGACAGGCCTCATTATGCCCTCTCTCTCTTGGAGTTTAGACAGGACTGACCAGTATTAACATTAAAATAGAGATCCTAAGACTGACAGAACAGAGTCCTCTAGCAATAAGATAACAAATTCCAACTTGACTCTAGTATAACATCACATGACAGGTAAAGAAAGAAATAAAAATATTTTACCCCCAAATATGTTTCCCTGACATATTTTGAAATGGCCCTGCAAAGCTGTCTCTTGCGGTAGAAATCTGCATTCTCTGGAGCACCTCTTTCCCTTACTGGGTCTTTTCTGGAGTGTCTGGCACCTCTTAAAAGTCTAAATAGAAAATATTTGCCATCTATTGTCTCTAAAGGCAGCCACACATGAGACTTAATCTATATAATAAGATCCTTGGTCTCCACAACACCTTATTTTAACTCATACACTCATGTTTACTGATTCCAAGTCTTTAGATAATAAGTTAACTCTTTCAACAGATTGCCAACCAGAAAAACTTGAAATCCACCTATGATCTGAAAGACATCCCCTACCCACACCCTACTTAGAGATATCCTGCCTTTCTAGGACAAACCCATGTTTACTTCACATGTATTGATTGATGTCTTATGTCTCCCTAAAACGTATAAAACCAAGCTGTAACCCAACTACCTTGGGCACATGTTCTCAGGACCTCCTGAGGCTGTGTCATGGGTTATGGTGTTATCAGAAAGGGGTCCCGATCCAGACTCCAAGAGAAGGTTCTTGGATCTCATGCAAGAAAGAATTCAGGGAGAGTCTGTAAAGTAAAAGCAAGTTTATTAGGAAACTAAAGGAATGAAAGAATGGCGACTCCTTAGACAGAGCAGCGTCCAGGGCTGCTGGTTGCCCATTTTTATGGTTATTTCTTGGTTATATGCTAAACAAGAGGTGGATCATTCATGCCTCTCTTTTTTAGACTGTATAGGGTAACTTCCTGATGTTGCCATGGCATTTGTAAACTGTCATGGCGCTGGTGGGAGTACAGTAGTGAGGATGAGCAGAGGTCCCTATCGTCACCATCTTGGTTTTGGTAGGTTTTAGCCGGCTTTTTTACTGCAACTGGTTTTATTAGCAGTGTCTTTATGACCTGTGTCTTGTGCCGACCTCCTATCTCATCCTGTGCCTAAAAATGCCTTAACCATTTGGGAATGCAGCCCAGTAGGTCTCAGCCTTATTTTACCTAGCCCCTATTCAAGATGGAGTTGTTCTGGCTCAAACACCTCTGACAATGGTCTTCACATTTCACTCAGAATAAATCTCTTCAAATTTTTTTTTACAAGATTTGGCTTTTTTTGGTTAACAACATCTCCCTAGGATTACACAGCTCTCAGTCCTCCTTTGAAGGAATCTCTAGTGGTGTCTCAGGATGCTGAGGAACAGTTGAGTTATGATGGTGAGAATGATTCTGGAAAACTTCTACAAATGTGTCCCTTGACATTGCCAAAACTCTACTTTGCAATATTTGTGGATGCCAAAGCCACAGCTGCAGGGAAGTCCAAAGCTGTTCTTGTCTTTGAAGACAGATAATCTGCTGCCCAGTGTTGGGCCAGGTGTCCTACTAAATGGAAAAGCTTCCTCCTTTCTCTGGGGACACATACTTCCCAGATTCAATTCAGAACCATTTGTGCTCCTGATGGCTGTCAGACACTTCTCTTTTATCACAGTCATTTATCCTAGTTTTTTTTTTTTTTTTTCCTTTGTAAACTAGTCTTTATTCCTACAATAACCTGTGATCTGCCCTTGGCTGTCCAAATAAGAATAATGCTCTGAGTATGAGTGGCATTACAAGGGCCCCCCTGTTTCTGTCGTGTTCTGAAAGACCCCACTTGTCATACAGGGTCTGGTTTCTTTCTTGGCCTCAGGACCCCACTAGTGGCCGAGTGTGATGGGGGCCTTTGCCTGCCTGGTCTAAGGGCGGGTCTTGAGCGTGGATGGAACTAGCGTGGGCAGGTGGCGAGTTCCCCTGGCTGGGATTTTTCTCTTTTTGTTTGTTTGCAAAACACTGTTAAAAGATTATTATCCTAGTTTTGAGCCAAGTTCACGGGCTCTGAGGCTGAAGACGTATCTGTGTATCTGAGGAAAGGTAGAGCCTGCTTCCTTTAAGTAAATTATTTTATAGAGCTCAAGCAGCATTTAACCAACAGGACTGTTGCTTATCCTCATGGGGATGTGTTTTTCTTGTGGGGCTGTGCTCACTAGAGGATGCAATACTTGAAATTGCTTCCTCTGCTTCAGCCTGAGGGCAGATTCCTACCCAAGAGAGATTTGGGTTTGTCATGCAAATTAACCTCTGGAGGAGAGTTCCACAATCCAGATTTGTCCTGAGAGTTCCACAACTAAATCTTAATGCATTCCCAAGTTAGGTCTGAGCTAATTCTACAGGTTATTGTTGACTAGTATTCCTGAGCCCTGTATATGTTAGCTCAAAGTGCCTTCTTTTGTGAAATACAGTAGCCATTATGTTCTAGTTAATGTAACAAGAAGCTAATGTAGATTTGTATTAAGTGGCCTTGGAAATAACTTTCTCCTTTCTCCTGTGTCGTGTGTTCTTTATTCCTCTTTCCTCTTCTGCTTTCCTCCCTCTGTCTCTTCCTTCCGCCCTCTCTCTTTTCCTCCCTGTCTCCCTCTCTATCAGCTCAATTTTCCTGTTTGTGAGTGGGGTGAGCTTTCAGTCAAAATTCACCTGCCTCAGTTGCAAACACAGCATTGCTGTTGTGCCCCTTCACTTTTGGATAACCTCTAGTGATAACTGATATCGTTAATGTTTCAAATCTGTAACAACTCTACTTCTCCCAGAAATACTGCCTACGCCCTGCTAGTTATTGTAGGTAAATACTACTTTCTAGTTGAGGTGAATCTATCTTCATGTTCCATCATGGTCAGAATCACACAGCACATTATGCATTCAGGTTTTTCTCATGATGTTTGGTATTGTGACATGCTGCATTACACCTAATCTTCATTTCTGTCATAAAATCAGCATTGGAAATTTGAAGAGTCGGACTTGTGGCATTTGTGAATATTTATATACAATTTTAGAATTTTTTTGACAGAATTAACTGAACATTCAATATTGAGTAAGGAGCAAACTTCATGCACAAAAAGAAACTGTTCATGTATTAAATGTCAACCATGTGTCAGGTACTATTCCAGATGCAGGTGTACAGTGGGGAGCAGATCAGCTCTGGTACTCCTGGAGCTTACAGTACAGTAGGTACGGTAGGAAAGACATTCATTGAGCAGGTAACCACAAGTACAGGATGCCTTGGGAGCACAGAGTTGGAGGATATAAGGGAACCATTCCCGTTGCTGTGACATATTGAGATAAACAATGCAACAAATTAATCCAGTGGCAAATATAAATATTCAGTTACATGAAGAATATTTTAATAAAGAAAACCTTGAAATATGTTATTTTTATTCAAAATAAAATCTTCTCCTAAAAGTACCTAAGTTTTTTGTAGTAATTAATCTACCCTTCTTTTTTATATTTTTTTAACATTTATTTTAAGTTCAGGGGTACATGTGCAGGTTTGTTATATAACTAAACTGGTGTCATGGAGAATTGTTGTATGGATTATTTTGTTAACAGTTATTGAGCCTAGTACCCATTAGTTTTCCTTCCTAATCCTCTCCCTTCTCCCACCCTTCATCATCCAGTAGGCCTCAGTATTTGTTGCTCCCCTCTAGGTATCCATGTGTTCTCATCATTTAGCTCCCACTTACAAGTGTTTTCTGTTGTTGCATAGGTTTGCTAAGAATAATGGCCTCCAGCTCCATCCATGTTCCTGAAAGACATAAATCTTGTTCTTTTTTGTGGTTGCATAGTATTCCATGGTGTATATAAACCATATCTTTTTAATCCAGTCTACCATTGGTAAGCATTTAGGTCGGTTCCATGTCTTTGCTATTGTGAATAGTGCTACAAAGAACATACATATGCATGTGTCTTTATGACAGAACTATTTTATATTCCTTTGGGTATGTACCCAATAAAGGGATTGCCAGGTTGAATGGTAGTTCTGTTTTTAGATCTTTGAGATATCACCACACTGCTTTCTACAATGGTTGAACTAATTTACACTCACACAAACAGTGTAAAAGCACTCCTTTTTCTCTACAACCTTGCCAGCATCTGTTATTTTTTTGACTTTTTAGTAGTAGCCTTTCTGACTGGTGTGAGATGGTATCTCATCGTAGTTTTGATTTGTATTTTTCTTTTCTTTTTTTTTTTAAGTTCTGGGGTACCTGTGCAGAACGTGCAGTTTGTTACATAGGTATACATGTGCCATGGCGGTTTGTTGCACCCATCAACCCGTCATCTACATTAGGTATCTCTCCCAGTGCTATCCCTCCCCTAGGCCCCTACCCCCTGACAGGCCCCAGTGTGTGATGTTCCCCTCCCTGTGATTTATATTTTTCTAATGATCACTGATGTTGAGCTTTTTTTAATATAATTGTTGGCCAGATGTATGTCTTTTTTTGAAAAAGTGTCTGTTTATGTCCTTTGCTTACTTTTTAATGAGGTTGTTTGTTTTTCCCTTATAAATTTCTTTAAGTTCCTTATAGATGCTGGATATTAGACCTTTGTCAGATGCATAGTTTGCAAACCTTTTCTCCCATTCTGTAGGTTGTCTGTTTACTCTATTGATAGTTTCTTTTGCTTTGCAGAAACTATTTAATTTAATTAGATCCCATTTGTCAATTTTTACTTTTGTTGCAATTGCTTTTGATATCTTTGTCATGCAATTTTTGCCCATTCCTATGTCTGGAATAGTATGGCCTAGGTTGTCTTCCAGGGTTTTTGTAGTTTTGGGTATTACATTTCAGTCTTTAATCTATCTTGAGTTGATTTTTGCATATGGTGTAAGGGAGGAAGGACCTCAGTTTCAATTATCTGCATATGGCTAGCCAGTTATCCCAGCACCATTTATTGAATAGGGAGTCCCACAACATTGAAAACAGCAAAACATAAAAACATGAAAAAAGGAAAATAAACGAACTAAACCATAGAATGAACTATGGAAAAACAGTGTTTGTAAAGGCTTGTTCCCCACCCCCACTTCCATCTTCACTGCCTACCCCAGTTCCTCTAACAATTCCATGCTTTTTTGGTGAACTCCAAAATATACTTGAAAACTAAAACATAATTCTTAAGAGGCCTGTGATATGCACCTTATTTATGGCTAGCAAAGGAGTGAGCTTAGGCATCTATGTGCGCACATGGCTGGCACAGCCTGGTCCAGCCTTGTTAATGTGTAGTATAGCTTGCCAGCCAGTTGTATTAGCCCTGTGAAACATGTAAAATGGGCCTGGCTCTTTGGAAGGTCATAGAAGACTTGGTGGTGGTTGAGGTTGAGTATGAGAATATGCAGGAATAAAGTACTGAAAAAAAGACATTATTCTTCAGCACATTCAATATCATCATCACCGCTCAGCTTTAGACTCTTCTACTAGGAGTACTTAAATTTAAGAAAATGTCCATGCAGGAAAAAGGAAATCTTTGTCTTTTTTTGGCCAAATGCCTGACTCAACAGATGGACTTTGCCTAATGCCCTAGACTTCTAGCTCATTTGTGTGCTTTGGACCAGAAGAGAAAATATTTCATAGCTCCATTACCCTTATAGAACAAACTCTGTGTTTCATAACTCACTACCTCTAATTCTAGAAATTTCTATCAGTGGAAAGGAAGAAAAACAACAGTAAAGTCAGCAGACTCCAGGCCTAGTAGAACCACACAGATTAAGGACAAACACCTTGATGCTCACTTGGAGGAAAATCATTTTACAGGCTACGGGAGCCAGGTGTGAAGCTGATACACTAGTGGGAAATTTTCAAAGTGATTTTTGAGCAAGCTGTAAATATTTACCATGTCAATTTATTCCACTGCCATTTACATTAAATGAAAGAATAAAGATTTTGCAAGATTTTTCAAAGCAAACAGTACTAAACAAATGTCAGGTATTAGGCTTACATCCTTGTGTAGGTGGCTCATATGGTAATTGCAACTCTGTTTATGTCTGGGAGGAAACAACCATTTACTGGTCATGAGAACTTAATCGTCCCATAGTCCCACTGTGCACTTGCCTGAAAGTATCATTTCAATTAAGTTGACTCTCCTCTGCCCCTAGTTTTCTGATGCTGTGGACCATGTCAATTGCAAATGACCCCAATAATAAAGTTTTTGTATCCTAGGATGGACCACATGCTATTAATTTGGAGAACTAGGGAATCTCACACAATGTGCATGTCAAGTGAATGTTTTAGATGAGGCAACTGCGTCTAAGAAGCAATCTTTCTCTAATCTTGTCCTTTCCCTTCCTCGGGGCACAGTCAAATAGAAAATAGCTGTTTCTGGGCCCTTCCCTATCCAATGTTCTATTAAAGTATTTAATATTATTAATATATGCACTGGCTTGGAAGTCAGGGAGAATGGAGCTTGGTTTCCAAATCTTCCAATTCTTAATCATGGTCTTTTGACAAGCTGTTAACCTCTTTGGGTGAATTGTCTGACATATTTAATGAATGGGACTAAGAAGGAGCTGCCAGATGGGTAGGAGGGAAGTGAGCTTGGCATGGTGTCCCAAAAGGCTTTCTTAGGGACTGGGAACTCCCTGAGAGTTCTTGAATATTGAACCCTGAATTTTCCAACATGCTAATGTCTGGTCTATACAAATTGTGTTCAATGCCACCCACTAATTGAAGAAACATCAAGCAAATGCTCAATCACTGAAAAATGAGAGAAACGAGATGCATGCTGCAGGTGGAAAAGGAGTCACAAGAAGATTTTTTTCCTTTTATGATCAGAGAAATAAGAGCTTAATTATATTGTACTGGGAATCAATAAAGAGAGGAAATGATTGATAATGCTGCAGAGAAAGAAATAAAATACTAGGCAACATCCTTGAATACATTATTGGAGATGGGATAGATTGGATATAAAGTTCAAGATAAAGTATAGGTCTTTGCCTATATCTTCTACAATTTTCCCTCAGATAAATTGATTTTTTAAAATATAAAGCATGCCTGGAACGTTTTCAATACTCACTATTCAAGGGTTACGAGTCCTTCAAAACCTTCATTAGTTTACCCTTTCTAATAAGGTTCACTCCAACCACACAGACAATCAAAAAAGAGCAGCAAGTGGATGCTACTGGGCACCCAAGATGATAACGAAAATTAGACATAAATTTGAATTTGATTTCAGTTATTTGTCAGCTCAGGCAAATAGCATGTCGTATTAGTTAACATAATCTTCATTTTCTGTCATAAGAAAGCTTTCAAACTCCATTATCTTCATTTAAATTAGTTAGAAGAAAATAAAATTTAAAATTCCTCAGTCAAACCAGCCACATTCCAAGTGCTTATTAGTCAAATGTGGATAGTGGCTATAGTTTTGGAGAACACTGAATGTATAACATTTCCATTAATTGAAAATAATACTGCTAGACAGCACTGGGATCAACTTCAAAATATCACACAGATATAGTTAGAATATTTCCTATATATACAATGCTTGATGCCCCACAGTGATGCACAAACAAATCATGTTCTTGCCCGCATGAAACATACAGTCCAATCCGATAGGGGAACTAGATGTGTAGACATGATGTAGACATAAACATGAATACATAAGAACACAGAGCTGACTCAAACTAGGTAATATCTGGAAGTTACACAGAGGAGAATACTTTTGAACAGAATCTCTATAAGGAACAAACTTGACTGAGAAAGGAAGAACTTAGTTTTGATCGAGGTAATAGCATGAACAAAATGAGAGTGCGCATGAGGAAGTTAATATGTATGAGCATTAGGTGTTATTTTGTTACTACTAAGCTATAGTGAGAAATAATAAGAAATGCCAAAATTTGTCTCAATTAATTAACTTTCTCTCTTGAAATTCCAAAAGGGACAAATAAAAAGCCAGATATTGTTTATTAGCTGGGTTACTGCCAATGTGCTTTGTGTTGACTTCTGATGAGGCTTGTTTGAAATGTGCAGCTTATAGCAAAGGCAATGATAATCTGTCCTGTTTTCTAAGCACAAATCCAAATTTGGGAATGTTACTACACTCAGGCCAGCTGTTTTGTAAAGTGGGCTGAAATGATGCTGAAATAGTTAGGCACACAGGTGAGGGAGGCAGATGAGCTAGATGACCCATCTCAGCCTATGGGGAAATAGGAAGTAGATGAGTAAGTTGTACATTGGTGGATGATCTTTTATCTCCCACAGTGGCCTTATCCATGGGCAGTCCATAAGCAGTGTCTAGGTATATATGTATCTTTTATATATCCAGCAACCTAGTTGAATGTTCTAAGTTCTATAACATCTAATCACATATACACACAGGTTTCTGGGAAGGTGATCATACAACCTGCAAACAACAGCAGCAGAAGAACAATTATGATCATCCTGTTACTTTTATTGTATCATTGTATTGACTTGTCTATCCAATAAAATACATGCATGACAGAAGTAATAGAATGCAGTTAAAATAATTCTTTTATAGCTCTCTTTAAAGAGAATGCTTCTAAAGTTCCATCCTTAATAATGAACCTTAAACAAATATAAAGATATTTGTAAATATATTTACTTAGGGTAAGACAGTTTCCTTCCAGTTGTAAGTTAACAGTTGTAAAAAAACATGAATGATTATTGAATCTTATTAAATGTTTGCACTTAAAAAATGTATTTAGGTATTGCTTAATGACCTCTTGTGAAAAAGAAAGTAGGTGGTAATATGACTTTTCTCCCTTAATCTATTAATACTATGAATTTCATTGATAGAATTTTTTTTTCACAAGTAAAATTGACTGTTGCATTTATTTTCTTGTAGCCAGATAGTTTCAATATCAGAGTTTTATTGGCTTAATAAAGTAAGGTGAGTGGCTATTACTATTTTTATTTCTCTGGAACTGCTAGTATAATACTCTCTGTTCCTTGAAGGGACTCTCCGTTCTTTGAAAGTTTGTCCATGAAGTTTTTTGAGACAGATTCCTTGACGAGGGAATATGGGTTGTAGGGTGCTGGAAGAAAGGGAAAATTTTGGTCACTGCCTTAATTTATATATCTGGTTATTGGTATAGTTAGGTTTTCTCTATATTTTTGAGTCAGTCTTGGTAATTTGTTGACATAAATACCATTATCCCAACCTTTTTTTGGTTACTAATTTCCTGGTACATATTCTTTCTGACTCTTTAATTTTAAACATTCTGTGTCACTTTGTTTCAGTCCCAGCTCTTGCAAATAACATGTAACCAGATATGTAAAACACAATCTAAGAATATGTTTCTTTTTATCCGTGACTTTTAAGTTTCTTTTTTCTTCAAACATCTCATCCAAGATATTTGAGAGCTTCTGGAGTGTGATTTTTCCTCACTTTACCTCCTTTAGTGGCTTTTGCTAGCTAGATGTATATAGTGACATCATCTACTTGTTAGCAATATTTAACTGTAATAAAATTCCTAATGGACCAAGTGAAGCCCATTCCTTCAATTATTTTAGGTGTACTCATTTATTTATTTGTTTATATGTTTGAATGTATATTTTGCCAATCTATTTTACACATGTTTCTATTCTACCTTCTCTTTGTTTTTATCCTGCATTTCTTGCCTTTGAAATACTAAATTATTAAAAATTTAGAAAACTAAATTGCCCTTAATTTCCTATACCACTCTCAAAGTTAGAAATGTGACTTAAATACATTAACAAGAATGCCTATATTTTCCCAAGATATTGTAAAGTTAATATTTTCTTCCTCTTCCCCCAAAATAATCTTCTTAGTTTTATCTAAATTCCCTTTCCAACCCCATGTATCAAGATGTGTGAAGGGCCTTGGATTTCGCTCTACTTGCAAACTAACAAGTTAGCTTGCTACAGTTCCATGGATGCTAGAATACACAACCTGGGGCAGAGATGAGGAACTTTTATTACTCAGAGTAATAGCAATAGCCAGAGTATTGGCATTGCCTTTCCCAGTTCCTAGAGCCCCAGTTCCCAAAGAGGGATATCAAGAGGGAGGGCCAGGTGATACTTGGAAACACAGTGGGTTTCATTACAGGGAGCAACACCCTGAACTTAGAAAGCTTGAATCTTTTATAAAGGGCAGTAAGCATGGATGTCCTTTTCTAGGGAGGAGATGCTCTCTCAGTCTTCCAAGGCTGTAAGGAAAACTATCCTTTACTCTAAATAGAGGTACTCCACGTACAAGGTAGTCAGTGTCTCTGCTTACGAGACCTGCAGAAACAAAAAGAGACAGAGAATTATCTCACAACACCATTTTTTTCTATAATAGTTGTTGTTTCAAAATACATCTGCAAATGCTAATTTCATAGTTGATTGTCAACATAGTAGGTTTATCACACATTAATTATCAATTAATTTGGTCACATCTGCTTCTAACATCTTGTTCTTTCCCATTGGGTTGATTGTTCTTGGTAAAGGATCTCCTTAGTGGTATTATCTATGGGAACCTGTAGATAATAAACTTTCTAGATGCTTCTTTTTTAAAAGAGGATTCTTGATTTGTCAGTAAAAATGGGTATAAAATTCTAGACTGATATTTATTTTCACTTAGCGCCTTGAGTATATGACATGGTCTCTTCTGGTATCCACTGTTGCTTATAGGAGTGTTCTCTCAGTGTTATTATTATTTCTTTTATAGGTTTGCTTTCTCTTCAGTAGCTTGTGGGAATTTTTCTTCCTCTTTGATAATCTGTAATTTTACTACAGCTTGTTCTGATGTCTATATTTTAAAACAAACTTCATTGAACCTTGGCATTCAGTGGATTTTTAAATCTGAGAAATCATCTTTTTTTCAGCTCTGTAACATTCTCAGCCAGTCTATTTTAGTATCATCTGTTCTTTATTTCTTCTGCTCTTTACTTTACAAAGACCTATCAGAAAAATATGAGTGATAGTTTATCCTCCTCATTGGTTACATCTTTCTACATTTTTCATTTCTTTATCTTTGCAATGCTACAGGAGACATTCTCAATTTTCTCTTTTAACTTTATTTTCACCTGTATTAAGTCCATCATTTAGCCCATTTGTTGAGATTTTCATTTTAAAGGACACTATTTTATTTCCATAATTTTCATATTTTACAACAATGTGCCTTTGTTCCATGATTATCTGATTTTATTTTATGTCTCTCTTTGACCTCTTTGAAAATTTTAAACATTTTACTGTCAAAGTTCTTTTTATATTATTCTCTAATTATATTTCTTCAGATTCAGAGTTTTTTACTTATTGACTTATTGTCATTTATAGTAATGGGCAACCTTTTATATTTTCTAAATCTTGCCCAGTTTTGTCTTCTGGCACTTAACTATGCATGCAGGTTTCAGCCTCCCCCTATTTGTGAGGTGCAAGACTTAGCTCCCGGGCCTTTTGCTTTTGTCAGTGCCCCCAAATTACAGCCCATGTGTGGTCTCAGCTTTCATGAGACTTTTTGTTTTATCTTTTGCTTACCTCTGTGGAATCTACCTTTGTTTATGGCACCTGGAGGCTTCTCTTTTTGGTTTTGGAACTCAATTAGGTGCATTTATTTTAAAAAATTTCTCTATGTTTAAATATTTTGAGGAGAGTATCTTGTTTCCATGTGTGTATAATCAGCCATATGTCACTGAAATTACTCCTCAAAGAAGGTTTGCAATGAAGAAGCATGTATGATAAAAGAAAAGTAGTTTGAGGAGAAAACTAGTAAATAAAATAATTTATAGAAAAAGAGAGACAAATTTATTTGTGGGAAGGAGTGGCGGAGGAACCAGAAAAGGGCAATTTGACAAAAGAAAAGGGAGAGAGAGAATCACTGAAGGGCTAATGGGGATGGCATCACAGGTCTAAGGGGACTTTTGTTGCACTTAGAAGACGATGTCACAGATCTGGCATCCCGTGAAGCTGGCTGGATGCTCAGATATCACTTCAGTGAGGTCAGGCTAAGCTGTGGCTGGATTATCAGCTCTTTGGAGGAAGAACTTTATGCCAATATGGCTGCAGATCCTGTTTCTCAGGGATGAACTCTACCAATTAAACTCACAAGAGAGTTGTAAACCAGAATATCTATTTTTAAAATGAGAAGTATACTTGGCAAGAGGACTAGAATGTTTATGACTCTTTCTAGAGGCAAGTTACCTAAGAAGTCAAATTACCAAAAGCAGATTGGTTGATGAGGAAAGAATCAGAATAATGAGAGTTGATAGAATCATTTTAATGTATTGAGCTATGGTAGTCCACAGGAATCTAACTATCAAGAGACTGGCTAATTTAGATCCATTGGTCAGTAGACAGCTGTATAGTACACAGTCAAATCTGCCCCTTTGAATCATTTTTCTATGCTTCATAATTGTTCTTATTTACATAGTGAAACCAACAATGACCCCAATCAGTACTATTTCTACAACTACAGATTCAGCCATCATTGTTTGTTGAGACTTACTGTGTATAGGTTATGTGTAAATTCTCTAATTTAAACTTCACAATTATGTGAAGTGTATACCACCAAACTTATTTTACAAATGAGAAAGCTGAGGCATGGAAAAGTTAGATAAATTAAACAAAATTATACAAAAAGTAGTTTCACTAGGATTACTTAAACTAATGTCTGCCTCCAAATTTTATGTCTTTATGATTCAGTTGATTACCTGTAGTCCTAAATAGGCTAATGATTCTCCAAGAGGACACTGAGGGCACCGAGGCTGATGATTCTGAAACACTTTGGCCTTTCATTACTGAGGGACATTTCTTGTACAGATGATTGATCTCATTAATTACATTTCTCTCAATTTCATTCTTAGCATGCAAACTTGAAGTTATAAGGAATACCTCGCTTACACCCCTATCTGCTTTACTAGAATATCTCTGTAAGAAAAAGAGACTCAACTTCTAAAATAGGAGTCAGGAAAAAAGGAAAGGAAATGGGTGAATAGTGAGGAATTTGGGAGAGAACAAGAGGGAAGCCAAGGAAGTTTCTATGTGGTCACTTCTGTGTTCTCTGTGAAGTAGTAACTGAGGTCATTCCCCTGCTCTGACAGTGAAAATTCTCTTTTTAAGGTCAATGCCTTTAGTGGTGTTAATGACTAGGTGATAATAGGGAAGGAATAGGAAAAAAATACAGGGGAGAATAAATTTGTAAAGATCCAAGAAGCAGAGCCACACAATCTACTTTAGTAATAATCAGAAGTTGAGGAAGTAGAGAGAATATCCCAGTAAGTTTATGATGTGCAATGGATTTCTGTTCTTGGGTTCCAAACATAGATCTGGGCTTGGAAGTATGATTTTGATAGTCATCAGTTTGACCAGTACTTGAGAACTGAAATAAATGTAATGAATGAGATGGCCCAGGCATGGAGTGTCGACCAAGAATGCAACAGAGCAGAATGGAATCTTGGAGATGATGTAAGGTTTGGGCAGGGAAAGAGTAGCCCACAATGGAGACCGGGAAGTAGCAGCAAGAAACAAGAAGAAAACCACAAATGGAGAGACAAGGAATCACTTTTGAGTGTACACAGCCTCTGTGTCTGACTCATCACCACATACACCTTGTAGATGGTATACACACATAATAAATACTGGGTGAAACAGATACATTAATGATTATATTTTCTAACAAACTCTAAGATGCTTGAAAGGCAGCCTGGTAACATAAAGAACACTGATTTTCCACTTGGGAGGCTGAAGCAGGAGGATCTCTTGAGGCCAGGAGTTTGAGACCAGCCTGAGCAACACAGTTAGACCCTATATCTAAAAAAAAATTAAAAAATTTACCTGGCATAGTGATGTGCCTGTAGTCCTAGCAACTCAGGAGGCTGAGGCAGGAGGATACCTTGAGCCCAAAAGTTTGAGGGTACACTCAGCTATGATCATTCTACTGCACGCCAGCCTGGGTGACAGAGTGAGACCTTGTCTCAAAACAACCAACCAACCAAAACCCTCTGATTTTTATAGTTAGAAGGCATAAGCTTAGGCTTAGTTATTAAATATTCTGTGTGATTCCATCAATGTTTATGAAAATTCTTTATACATAGAAAGTCACTATACAAAAGAGAATTATTGCTTTTTTTAAAGGTTGTTTAAAGTTAGAAGCTTTACTATTTATACTTAAGCTTCCTTATTTAAAAATTTAGGCCAGGCATGGTGGCTCATGCCTGTAATCCCAGCACTTTGGGAGGCCGAGGTGGGCAGATCACCTGAGGTCAGGAGTTGGAGACCAGCCTGGCCAACATGCTGAAACCCTGTCTCTACTAAAAAAATACAAAAATTAGCCAGGCATGGTGGCGCATGCCTCTGGTCCCAGCTACTAGGGAGGCTGAGGCAGTAGAATCGCTTGAACCTGGGAGGCAGAGGTTGCAGTAAGTGGGAGATCACGCCACTGCACTCCAGCCTGGGCAGCAGAGCCAGACTCAACCTCAAAAAAATAAGTAAAATAAAATAAAAATTTATAATTTATGATGGGGAATGATTTTTTACACTCTGGTGTCAGAAGCTAATGTATGGTGTAAATAAGATGACAGTGGATATAATTTGTCTTAAAACCATAACTAGGTTTCATGTCTGTAAAAGTTTAACTCATATATAAATTGCTTTTAAGAGAATATTTTATTCACTTTTATCTGGGATATTTCTTTTTGCATTTCTGTCTATTTTTGTTCTATTTATTTTGAGGGTGATGCTATGTGGCACATTCAGGGTCTTCCTCCTCAGGAATTGTCCTTTATGTTATTGAAAGTAATAGTTTTCTTTATTTCTAACATGGCTTTTGTTTAAAATCTCAATTGGCTGGTATTAATGTTGCGAACAGCTTTTACAAATACCTTTTGTTTCTTTAGTATTATCTTGTTTTATTCTTTCCTATTTATTAAATGTCATACTTCTGTAATTTGAGTATTTTGTTTTATAAAACAGCTAAGAGCTGTGATTTTAAAAACATTCCCATTTTAGAATCTCTGTGCTCTTAAGTTTAACCCTTTTATATTTCTTTTGTCTTTTTTTTTTCCTGAGACAGAGTTTCACTCTTGTTGCACAGGCTGGAGTGCAATGGCGCAATCTCAGCTCACTGCAACCTCCACTTCCCGGGTTCAAGTGATTCTCCTGCCTAAGCCTCCTGAGTAGCTGGGATTACAGGTGCATGCCACCATGCCCAGTTACTTTTTGTATTTTTAGTAGAGACAGGGTTTTGACATGTTGGCCAGGCTGGTCTCGAACTTCTGGCCTCAGATAATCTGCCTGCCTCGGCCTCCCAAAGTGCTGGGATTATAGGCATGAGCTACTGCACCCGGCCACCCATTTATATTTCTTTTAATTACAGATTTGGGATAATTTTTACCCTCTTAGTTTACCTATTTTGTTTACCATGGACTTTTGTTTTTGTTTGAAATCTTTTGAATAATTATTTAGCTTGTATAAAATGATAGACTGATGTATATTTTTCCATTGTCTTCTGGCCTCTATTTTTACTGACGTGAAATCTGCTATCCCTCTAATTGTCATTTCTTTATGGGTAATGTCCATTTCTCCTAGATGTGTTTAACATTTTCTTTTTGATTTGTTGTCTGAAGTTTCATTTAGATGTACCTTGGTACTAATTTATGCTTTAATTCTGCTCAGCATCTGCTATACTTGTTTAAATTGTGGAATGATCTACTGTTCTGAAAACTTATCAGCTATTATCTTTCCATTTATACATTGCCAGCATTTTCTCTGTTATTCTTTTGGAAACTCCTATTTGAAAATATGTTGGATTTTCTCTATTTTTTTTGTCTTTACCTTGTACTCATGTTTCCTATTTTGATGGCTCTGAGTGGTACTCTTGATAATTTTTTCCAAACTATTTTCCAGTACACTTGTCTGCTTTTTGGCTGAGTTTATGCACTGTTTTATCGATTCTGTGCATTTTAGATTTTAGTGATAATTTTTAAAAAAATTCTAGAATTATGTTTAATCTTTTTCATAATCTGCTTTTTAAAATTGTATCATTAATTTTGTGAGTGCTTTATTTCACATTTTAATAATTTTAATGACTGAAATATACCCAATTTGGAATATTTTTAATATATACTATTTTAAAGTTTGAATTAACATGCTAATTACCCTGTTGTATCTACTGACCCATTCTCACAGTGATTCATTTCCTTATATGATTTATAATTTCACAGAGCTAGCTCACCTTCACAAGCATTTATCTGTGAGAGTCTTATGTGATCTGGTTTCTTATAAATTAGTTGTGTATTTTATTGCTTGTTTACTTCTGCCACAAATATTAGTTTCCATTGATCTAGGATCAATTTTCTTTTCAAGTCTCATTTTGCAGATTTGAGTCTCATGCACCAGTTGGATACTGCACATTTAGATCTCACACCTAGTTAGATATACTGTTTTAGTTTTTCTTTGGAAATTTAATTTTTCCCTACCCAGTGTTTTAAATCAGCTACAGGCTTCCTTGCCACTTCTAGTCCAATTTTCATGGAAAATATGGTTGTTATTAGGGTCCTGGCTTTATTTCAATGTCTTCTGTTCCTGGATAGCTATTGAAAGCCTAACCTTCTACTAACAAGATCTATATTGGAACCTGATGGGTTCTTTCCCTCTCAAAGATAAAGGCATCAAACCTGACATTTTCTTCTTTATTTATAATTCTGTTATTTCCTTTAGGATTAGTTTTGTATTTTAAAAATGTTATATTTATCAGGGGTTTCTATATATTTGAAGTGAAAGTAGAGTCTGCAACAACTCAACCAGTCATATTCCCAGAAGAGACAGTATATATCAGGCTAACTTTAATTAATATATATCTTCAAAAAAATAGATCTTTCAAATATTTTACAGTTTAATGCTTTTGTTTAGGTGATTTATCTTTCCTGGCCCAATTGCTCTAAAATATAACATACCTTAACATTTTTCAGAGTAGGTCTATAGAGTAATATATACAGAGCTTCATTTTGATGGAAACATTTGAACCTTGATAGGATGTGCTGTAAAACTTGCATTAAAACTGTAGATACTTTGGAACTGAAAGGGGGAGAAGGTAAAGTTATCACCCTGCTGCTGCTTTTCAAATCTTGCCACATTGGACCTTACTGGGAATTTGACACTGCTACTTACTCCCTTTCCTCTTTTGTTCTCTAGTAACACTCAACTGATATTTCTTGATCTCATTCTTTGTTTCTCACCTATCTGGCTTTTGCTGTCCCTTCTTTGTCCAGCCTTTCTGTCCTGAAAACAACTGTACCTGCCTCCCATCTCCTTGCTCCCCACTACATGGTCCTCTTTCTGTAGGAAGCAGCAGACACAGCTCAGGTGCTTTCCCCTTGGAGGGTGAATGAATGAATGTAAGATGTGTGCGTGAGTGGCTGGGGTTCTCTTTGGCATTGAATTATGTTCCCCACAAAAGACAGGTTAAAGTTCTAACCCCCTAGTATCTGTAAATGTGACCTTATTTGGAAATAGGGTCTTCATAGATGTAATCAAGGTAAGATCAGGTCATTAGGGTAGGACCTAATCCAACATGACTGGTGTCCTTGTGACAAGGAGAAAACAACATGTGAAGACAGAGGCAGAGACAGGAGAGATACAGCTGTGAGCCAAGGAACTCCAAGGACCAATGGCTTTTTCTGGAATCTTGGAAGAGGCAAGGAAGGATTCTCCCCTCCAGGTTTCAGAGGGAGCATGGCCCTACTGCCACCTTGATTTTGAACTTGTGGCCTCCAGTACTGTGAGACAATACCTTTCTGTTGCTTTAAGCCACGCAGTTTGTGGTATTTTATTATAGTAGCCTTAGGAGACAGATACATGATTCTTCAGGGGGAGCCTTTGTTTTTCTCAGAAATGAGTTGTGGAGTCTCTTAAGCCTTTGCACATGGTGAAAATCACAAAATCCTGACCTCAGAGATGAAAATCTTTATTTGTTTGTTTATTTATTTATTTATTTGAGAGTGTCACTCTGTGCCCAGGCTGGAGTGCAGTGGTGTGATCTTGGCTCACCGCAACCTCTGCCTCCCGGGTTCAAGCGATTCTCCTGCCTTAGCCTGCTGAGTAGCTGGGACTACAGATGCGTACCAGCATGCCTGGCTAATTTTTTGTATTTTTTGTAGGGACGGGGTTTCACCATGTTAGCCAGGGTGGTCTCGATCTCCTGACCTCATGATCTGCCCGCCTTGGCCTCCCAAAGTGCTGGGAGTACAGGCGTGAGCCACCTTTTAAGGTGAATAAGTATCAGCCTTCACTTTTGTTCTTTATTTCCCTCATACCTGATCGTCTTTGCATATGCTACATGAGAATCTTCTATTTCCGTGAGAAAGTGAGACAGTCACACCTGCTTTCTTCACTCAGAAGGGGTCACTGCTGAGGAGATACATTAGGCTACTGCCTGTCTCAGTATATCACTCTGCCTTCCACCCCAAGAGGTTATCAGGAAATAAAATGCTTAAATGGTTAAAAAAAAAAAAAAGTGGAAGCAGCTTGCTATTTCATTCCTTTCAAATTTCACTTTAAGGTCTCTTCCCTCTGCATATCTGCTTCTACTATATGATGAGTTAAACAAGAATAAGGGCATGAATTTTCATTGGAGTCCACCACCCCATACTTTAAAAAAAAAAAAAAAGGATGCACTGACACTTCTGAAGCCCTTTTTGTAGATAACAACTCTGTATCACCGCACTATTCTCTGGTAGAAGTGAACCCTTTTCAATTGCTTTAAAATGGCTTGGAGTGGGAGAAAAGTGGAATCATCCTGCTCTTTTTATGAAGGTCAGAATGACTGACTGTCTCAAATGATCACACTTATTTTACTTTGTCATTTATTCCAAGCAAGTACAAATGTATCTCTGATTTCTTTTCTTTCCAGTGACCCCCATCCACCCACTTACCACCTTTTCTTCTTAGTGATTTCTCCTTGCTACCTAGCCCACCTACCTATCCTCAATCAATTTCCCAAAGAAGGTTGTGTGCAGAGGATGTACCCGTTCATAAGAAGATTAAGAATTCTAGATGGTGGAAACGTATGGCAGGAAATGAAAGCTGTGTGTCAACAGGTCTTCCAGGAGCGTGGGGTGTTGAGAAGGAAGAAGAAAGTGCCCTTTTTGTCTCAGAGCACAGCCCTCTCTGCTTTCATTTTGTTGTTATCTAGTGCCATGATGTGGGCTCATTGCCTCAAGATGAAAAAGTTGGCCAAGCTTCCCTACTTCTCATGTCCTCTTCTAGGTACAACTTGTTCCCAATATCCTTTTTGAGACATTCATATTAGCCCTTTGTGCTGTGCACAGGGTGGTGCTAACTGATGAATAAATTTACAAAGTCCTTCTTTCTGTCACGGGCTCAAATCCTGACTCTATTAGCTGTAAACACATTCATGAACTTTTTTGAGTCCAGTCAGTTTCTTATCTGTAAAGTAGGAATAATAACCCCTACGTAGGTGAGTTGGCTGGCGGAAGGATTATATAACATAGTGTTCGTTGTTGGCCTTGAACACTCACCGTGCTCGTTATTATGAATATTGTTGGTAAAATTTAGCTCCATGCACATTTCCAGGTGACTGTCAATGTTCTATATTAGAACAGGTTTTTGTGTAGCTACTTAAAAAAATATTGCTATTATGTGTGCATCAAGAAACAGAAACCTTTGACTGCATGTGAACAATTTTGTTGTTGCTCTCTGAGGTTTCTTAGGCATCCTCCACCTTGAAAAGGGAGCGCTGAAGGTGTGGAAGGTAGCACAGCTCCTTTGGTCTCTGGCTTGGCTGGGAGTCCTTGTTGGAGCAGAGTGCAGAGACAGCACTGGCCGGCCATCAGCACTCAGGCTGGGGTTGAGCTGGGGATAAAGGACACTGAGGCTGCAGCCATGAGAAGGCCTGGCTGAGGAGCCCTTGCGTGTAGCAGCACAAGGACATGGGTAGCAATGCTTTAATGCCAGATCTGCAATTGCTTAGACGCATATTAATGCATCTGTCCCCCGCCCCCAACTTCTGTCAAGTGGATATTGTATGAATTTTACAGATGGAACCCAAGGTGATGAGCTTGCCCTCTCCAAGACTAGCCAGGCAGCTAGTTGGAGGGAAAATAATACCTTAAAAGTATCTTTCATATTTCTCCATGAGGGCACCTTGCTAATGGTACCTAAATAAGTGAATCTGTCTAGGTAACTCCAAAATTAATTTAAAATTACATAGAAATGAATAACCTTTTTATTTACACTGAAGGGGAAATTTCTGTCTCTGTAAATTGAAAATTAGAAAATGATAGAGTTATGGCATAGGTTTTGTATTTCTGTTTGTTAACTGATGAGGAGAAATGCCAATTTAATTAGTTTGGATGACCTATAGTTTATTATTTGGAAAGTTTTTCCTCTTTTTTTATTACTTTTTTTTTTTTTTTTTTGAGACAGAGTCTTGTTCTGTCAACCAGGCTGGAGTGCAGTGGCGCAATCTTGGCTCACTGCAACCTCCACCTCCCAGGTTCAGGTGATTCTCCTGCCTCAGCCTCCCAAGTAGGGATTATAGGCACATGCCACCATGCCCAGCTAATTTTTTTTATTTTTAGTAGAGACAGGGTTTCATCACGTTGGCCAGACTGGTCTCTAACTCCTGACCTCAAGTGATTCACCCACTTCGGCCTCCCAGAGTGCTGGGATTACAGCCATGAGCCACTGCACCTGGCCCTACATTACTTAATTTTCGTCTGCTTTTTAATTTTCTATTTCTGGAAAGGATATAATTCTTTTATAAAGAATTACAGAAAAATAATTCATCTTTTTTCATCTTTGTTTTGTTTCTTTCAGGCTTATTGCTTTACATACAATAAAATTCACCAATTTTGTATCCAATTAATAAATTTTAACAATTTTAACAATTTTATACAGTAGCACAACCAACCAACATCATATAGAACATTTCTGTGTCACCAAAATTGCCGACTGTTTGTTTACAGTAAATTATCTTCTTTAACCTCCTGTTCCCAGGCAACAACTGATTTGCTTAGTATCATTACAATTTTGCTTTTTCTATAATTTAATTAAAAATGAATTCATAGAGTACACAGTCTTTGTGTTTGGCTTTTTGACTTAGAGAGCTATCCATATTGTTGTAAGTATCTGTACTTTGTTCCTTTTATTGCTGAGTAGTATTCTACTGTAGGAGAAAATGCACATTTTGTTTATCCATGCATCAAGTTAGGGGTGTTTAGATTCTTTTCATTTTTGACTATTATGAAGGAAGCTACTATGAACATTTGCACACACATGTTTGTGCAGACATATGCTTTATTTTCTCTTGGGTAAATCCACTTAGAAATTGCTGGGTCATAGAGTAAGTGTATATTTATCTTATAAGAAGGGTCCAAACTGCTTTCCAAAGTGCCTTATAGTAATGCAGTCCCATGCTCAATATATGAGGTTTCTGGTTGCCTCATATTCTTGCAAATACCTGACAATTTCAGCCTTTTAAGTTTTATCCATTCTAGTGGGTGTGTAGTATCTCACTGTGGCTTTAATTTGCATTTCCCTAATGGTTAATTATGTTGAATATCTTTTCATGTGCTTATTTTCCATCTCTATATCTTCACTGTTGCACTCTCAATTAAAATATTTTATTTATTTTAAAAAGGGGATTGTTTACTTAATAAATTGTAAGAATTCCTTATATGTTCTTGATACCAGTCATTTCATAGACCTAGGTTTTATAAATATTTTCTCCTAGTCTGTGAATTGTCTTTGATTTTTTTAAAAAATATTTCTGTAAAGCAAAAGTTTTCACTTTCACCAAGTTCAGTTTGTCATTTCGTGGTGCTTTTTGTGTCTTGTTGAGGAAACTTGGCCTAAAAAAAGATTGACAAAGATTTTCTTCTGTATTTCCTTCTAGAAGTTTTATAGTTATTAGTACCAAATTTGTAGGTCTATAATGCATTGTGAGGTAAAGGTCAAGGTTAATTTTTTTGACATTGGATGTCCAATTGTTTAATGTTTGTTGAAAAGATTATTGTTTCCCAACTGAATTACCTTGGCACCATTGTTGAAAATCAGTTAGTCACATAGTGTATGTCTGTTTCTAAACTCTACTTGTTTCCATTGCATGGCTGTTTTTACACCATATTATTGCTATTTTTATTGCTGAGCTTACTTTATCAGTAAATCTTGAATTAAATTTAGTATGCCCTCTAACTTCCTTATTTTCCCAAATTTTTTTGGCTAGTCTATACAAATTTTGTGATCAGAGTGTCAATTTCCAGTGAGAGTTTGGATTGTATTGAATTTACATTAGTTGAGGGAAATTACTTTAAAATATTGAATCTTCTGATGCATGAACATGCTATACCTCCTCATTTTAGTGTATAGCTCTTATGCATATTTTGACAAATTTCATATTATTGATGCTATTGTAATGTTATTTTAAAATACAATATTTTTGAAACAGTTTTAGATCTACCAAAAAATTATGAAGATAGTACAGGTTTCATATATCTGCATCTAATTTCCCCCTTTTATTCACAGTTTACATTAACATGGTGTATTTATTACAGTTAAGAAACCAATATTGGTACATTATTGTTAACCAAAGCCCACACTTGATTCAGATTTCCTGTTTTTACCAAATGTTCTTTTTCTGTTCCAGAATCCCATCCAGGATATCATATTCTCTTTAGTCATCAGGTCTTCTTAGGCTCTGTTTGTCTCTGATAGTTTCTCAGACTTTTCTTGTTTTTGGTGACCTTGATAGTTTTGAGGAGTATTGGTCAGGTATTTAGTAGAATATTCCTCACTTGAGATTTGTCTGATGGTTTTCCCATAATTAAATTGGGGTTATGGGTTTTGGGGAGGAAGATCACAGAACTAAAGTTCATTTTCATCACAACATTTCAAACGTACATTCTATCAATTTGACCTAACATTGTTGATGTTTATCTTGATCACCTGACTAGGGTAGCGTTAGATTTTCCAGTAGAAAGTTATTCCCTTTTTCCCCCTTTATTGTATAATGTACCTTTTGGAAGAAAGTCACTATGTACCATATTGAAAAAGTAGGGAGTTATATTCCACATTTTTGAGGGCAGAGAACATACATAAATTATTTGGAATTCTTCTGCACAGAATTGTCTCTTTTTTCTGGTTTAATTATTTATTAAGTCATTTGTTTATATCAGTATGGACGCAGGGGTACTTGTTTTATTCTTTGGGTTATAATCCAATACTACTTTATTTTGTTGTCCAGTTGTTCTTATTTGGGAGCTCTTTCATTTGAGTTCCATCTTCCTTTGCATAACCCTGTCATTGTGTGGTTTTGGTTTTTTCTTCGTTCTGTTTTGAGCATTTCCTTACTTTATGGCACTATAAGATACTCAAACTCATCTTGTATATTTCTTTTACCTGCCTTGCAATAAGCTGTTTATCCCAGGCCCTAATTCCTTTTATTGAAGAATAGTATTAGAAATAAGATCTGGATATGAAGTGTGCTAGTAAATAATACATTTACAACATTTAGTTTCCATTTTTTCTTAGTTTATAGGCATGCAATTGCTATTTGTGTCTTCATATTGAATCTTGAGACATTGTAGAACTTACTTATTAAATATAGTAGCATTTTTCTAGGCTACTTGGGATTATACACATAGACAATCATGTTGTCTGAAATACAGATATTTTTATTTCTTCCTTTCCAATTTGTGTTCCTTTTGTATCTTTTCCTTGCCTTATTGCAATATCTAGGACTTCCAGTATGATGTTTCATGAGTGTGGTGTGAGTGAACATCCTTGTCTTGTTCTTAATGTTAAAGGAAACCATTATATAGTCACAGATTTTCACTATTTAGTATAATGTTAAGTGTCTACAGATGCCCTTTTTCAGGTTGAAGAAGTTCTCTCTAATTCCTAGTTTGATAAGAGTTTTTATGATGATACATTTTAATTTTTTCCAAATTCTTCTTCAGCATTCATTAAGATGTGCATGTTTCTTTTTTATACTTTTGGCATAGTAAATTACATTGAGTGATATGTGAACGTTGAATACATCTTGTATTTCTGGAATAAATTCTATTTGGCCATGATATAGTAAGTATCCTTTGAATATATTGTTGAATTCAATTGGCTTATAATTCATCAAGGGTTTCTATGTCTATGTCCACGAGGGCCTATTGGTGTTCAGCTCTTTCTTTTTTTTTTTTTTTCTTTTTTGGCTTATTTTGGTTTTTGTTTGCTTTTTATCTTCATGTAAAAGACTGATTATTAATTTGATACCTTTTTAAATATTAGTGTTTAATGCTATAATATTCTAAGCATTGCTGTAGCTGCATGACACAGATTTTGATATTGTGTATTTTAGTTTTTATTCATTTCAAGATGTTTTTTATTTCTTTGACTACAGATATTTATAAATATGTTGTTTAACTTCCAAATATTTAGGGGATGTTAAAAGACATCTTTCTGTTGTTTTTTAATTTAATTCCATTGTGATTAGAAACCATACTTTATGTAGTTTCAATCTTTTAAAATGTATTTAGAATTGTATTATGGCATATAACATGGCATATTTTGGTAAATATCCCATGTGCATTTGAAATGAATATGTATTCTGCTGTTGTTTCCTGAAGTGCTCTATTAATGTCACTTTGGTTATGTGGTTTGCTGTTGTTGTTCATGTCCTTAAAATTAACAAGTTAATGTATTTTGTTCTATTATTGAGGTAGAGATTTTGAAATGTTCAACTATAATTGTAGATTTGAAACTTCTCCTGTTTTTTTCTTTACTTTGAAGCTCTGTTACTAGGTCACATACATTTAGAAATCTTATGCCATCTTGATTAATTGAATTTTGTTTCATAATAGAGTATCCCTCTTTACCTCGGTAATATTCTTTCCTCTGCAGTTTGCATCTCTGATGTTATTTATTGTCTTTATGTTTTATTAATATTTGCATGACATATCTTTTTCCATTCTTTTACTTTGTGTATTTACATTTAAAGCAAGTTTTTTTTTAGAGGGCAGGTAGTTAAATTTTGCTTAAATTAAAAAATTTTTTATTAAATCTAAAAGTTTATGCCTTTCAGTTGGAATGTTTAGGCTATTTAGAGTTAATGTGATTATTGATAAAATGTTGATTAAATATATCATATTGGTATTTATTTTCTATTTGGTACACATGTTCCTCCCCTTCCCATTTTTCTGCCTCCTTATGGACTTATTGAGTATTTCTAATGATTCATTTTTTCCCCATTGTTTTCTCATTAGTTATGCATTTTTTAAGTAGTTGTTGCTCTAGAATTTACTATGTAACTCAGCATTGTCTACTTTCAAATAATAATATCACATTTCTTGTGTAAGAAATATAAAACATTAGGCTTTCATTTTATTTTTTGTAGTACTTTGTGCTGCTATTACCATACATTTGACTTAGGTAATAAAGCCCACAAAAATAATTATGTTTGCTTTCAATCATCAATTATTCTTTAGAGAGATTAATAAAATTGAGAAAAAAGTGATTTTTTACATTCACCTATACATTTACCATTTTCACTGTTATTTATTCCTTTGGGTACATTTAAATTTTCATGTGCTATCATTTCCTGTTGTTTGAAGAATTTCCTTTAACATTTCTTAAAGTGTCATTCTGTTAGAGATGAATTCTCTCTGCTTTTGTTTGTCTGAAAAGGTCCTTATTTCAATTTCACTTTTGAAACATTTTTTGCTGAGTGTAAAATTCAATGTGGGCATTTTTTCTTTCATTACAGTAACTATGTCCTCTGTTTTCTTCTGGCATGTATAGTTTTTGATAAGTAGTTCCCTGTGTATGTTTTTCTGTATAATATGTCTTTTTGTCCCCTGGCTACTTTTAAAACTTTCAGTATTTTAAAAAATTGGTTATAATGTGCCACTATATGGTTTTCTTCCTGTTCCTTTTATGCTTTTTTGCTGGAGGCTCATTAAATTTTTGGATCTGTAGGTTTTACTTTTCATCAAGTTTGGAAAAGATGGATCATTGTTTCCTCAATTATTTTTCTCCCTTACCATATCCACTTTCTTTTTGGAAATAAATCTAAGTTCACATATGTCAGACTGTTAGATATTTTCCCTCATTCACTGAAGCTCTATTTATTTTTCCATTGAAAGAAATCTATGTTACATTTTATTTAGTTCCTCTTACTAAATCTTCAAATTCCCTTATCTTTTCTATAGCAGTCTCTAATATGTTGCCACATTCATTCAGTGTATTTTTTTAGTTTAGGTGTTTTTAAAATATCTTTAGAAATTTGGTTTGAGTCTTTTCAGAATAACTCTTCCATTTCTTCCCTCGTATGTATGGTTTCTTGTACATTCTTGAATATATGGATTATATTTTTAATAGTCGCTCTAATATTCTTATCTGTTAATTCTATCATATGTCTTCTTTCTGGGTCTCTTTTTATTGATTGATTTTCTCCTATTATTGGTGGTATCTTTCTGCTAGTTTGAATGACTGACAATTTTTTGTTAGATGCTAGACCTTGTGTGTTTTACATTATTAGGTGCTGAGTTTCACTGTATCTCTTTAAATAATGTTGGCCTTTGTTTTGGGATTCAGTTATGTTTACTTGCAATCAGATCATTTCAAGCTTGCCTTTAAGGTTTGTTGTGGTGGATTCAGAGCAGGTTTTCTTCTTGGATTAATTTGACCCCACTACTGAGGCAATATCCATCTGAAGAATGCATCTAACGTCCCCTGTACTAGGAAATCTTTCCATTCTGGCTAGTGGAAACTCACAGGGTTCCTAGGCCTGTGTGAGTTTCAGGGATTGTTTTCTCTACTCCGTTCTAGTGATTCTTTTTCTGGTTCCTTTTCTCAAATATGTGTGCTGATCAGTACTTAGCTAAAGATGTGACAGGCCCCCTCTGTATATCTCTAGTGCTTTCTTTACAGTTTCCTTTTTTTTTTCAGTATTTGCCCTACAAAAGCTAACTTCTCTGACCTCCCTTAACTCCATATTCTACCCTCTCAATTCTACAAGACTGCCAGGTTCTTTTTGGGTTTCCCTCCACAGCTTGGAAAATTTTCTGAGATTATAAGTGAGGCTACGGTAGTATTTACTTCATAGTCCTCTGTTGACTTTTCTAATGTCTAAAAAACATTGTCTTACTCCGGCCGGGCGCGGTGGCTCACGCCTGTAATCCCAGCACTTTGGGAGGCCGAGGCGGGTGGATCACAAGGTCAGGAGATCGAGACCATCCTAGCTAACACAGTGAAACCCCGTCTCTACTAAAAATACAAAAAAAAAAAAAAAATTAGCCGGGCGCCATGGAGGGCACCTGTAGTCCCAGCTAGTGGGGAGGCTGAGGCAGGAGAATGGCGTGAACCTGGGAGGCGGAGCTTGCAGTGAGCCGAGATCGCGCCACTGCACTCCAACCTGGGCCACGGAGCGAGACTCTGTCTCAAAAACAAACAAACAAAAAAAAAAAAACATTGTCTTATTCCAACTTCCTGGTTATTTAATGAAGATGGATAAACCTAGTCCCTATTACTTCAACATGGCCAGATGTGGCGGTTCCTATCATATAGTTTTTATATTCACTTTCTAAGTATATTAACTTATAGCCATAAATAAATAAATAAACCTAAACCCCAGTGTCATTGTGTTTAGATTCAAATTCTGGATTTTCCACTAATACCTCTGTGATCTTGAGTAAATGAATCTACCTCTCTAGACCTTAGTGTTCTCTTTATGTAAAGAAGGATTTGAGTGTGACCCTTTCTAGATCACTTCCACGGGGTTCTATAGCTTTTCCCAGGCAGAGCCCCCGTTTGTAGGATGCAAAGGTTACCGGGCTCTAGAAGACACTCCTGAGAGTCAGATGGGACAGGTTACATAGTGGCTGATGTTGGGACCTCTATGAAAGATACAGAGCAGGACACAGAATAAAGCATTTTGCTTTAATGATGTAGGTAAAGGCCAAACTCCCAGGGTCACCACTTTTCATACTTCAGCCCCAGAAGATGATAGTCACATCAGCATTTCTGTGTGTGTCATTTGCCTGGAGTTTTGTGACACACCCTGGTTGTAGTACATGACAGACCTGAAAACACCATGCTGCTTCAATTAAGCAAAATAAGTATTTAGCTGGTTAGAGCTTAGGCTGTAAAACTGGAGGAAAACTCTCATCTCAATATGCACATAGCTCTCTAAAATGCAACATTTTAATTTCTTTGGAGCAATCAACAACCCTGGAGAGGACCAGTGAGAGAGTTAAAGTTCAGAAGGGGCTATTCTTTGGGAGGGCTGGGGGGAGATATGAAATAATTATCTACTCCCCTGGAAGATGAAACATTCTATGAGGTTATCACAGGCCTTAGAACTAGAGCTAGATTTGAATCTTGGCTCTGTCTCTTTTTAACTATGTGATCTTCACTCCCCTATGCCTCAGTTTCCTCATTTGTAATATGAGTATAAAATAGAACTTTCATCACATAGTTGTTATAAAGACTGCATTAATAAGTTAATACATAAAAGGAATAAAGAAACACAAAAAAATAAATTAGTACATAAAGTGAGACTTGGAAGAGTATCTGGTGCACAGGATATTTCAAATGTTCACAATTTAATAATTATTTAAAAACTATTGATATCTTTTTGTTGTGTCTCTGCCAAGTTTTAGTATCAGAATGATGCTGGCCTCATAGAATAGTTTAGAGATGAGTCTCTCTTCCTCGATTTTTTTTTTTTTTGTGGGGGAATAGTTTCAATAGGATTGGTACCAGCTCTTCTTCATATGTCTGGTCAAATTTGGCCATGAGTCCATTTGGTCCAGGGCTTTTGCTGCTTGGCAGGCTTTTTGTTGCTGATTAAATTATGGAACTCATTATTGGTCTGTTCAGGGTTTCAGGTTCTTCCTGGTTCAATCTTGGGAGGTTGTATATTTCCAGGAATTTATCAGTTTCTTCTAGGTTTCTAGTATGTGTGCATAGAGGTTCTTGTAATTGTCTCTGAGGGTTTTTTGTATTTCTGTGGGGTCAGTGGTAATGTCCCCTTTGTCATTTCTAATTGTGTTTCTTCAGATCTTCTCTCTCATTTTCTTTACTAATGTAGCTGGCAGTCTATCAATCTTATTCTCCCCAAGAACCAACTTTTAGTTTCATTGATCTTTTGTATAGTTTTTTGCATCTCAATTTCATTCAATTCAGCTTTGATTTTGGTTATTTATTTTCTTCCACTAACTTTGAGATTGGTTTGCTCTTTTCTCATTCCTCTAGGTGTTATTAAAAAGTAAACAAAATAACATGCTGGCAAGGTTGTGGAGAAAAATAATATACACTGCTGGTGGGAAGGTAAATAAGTTCAGCCACGGTGGAAAGCAGTTTGGAGATTTCTCAAATAACTTAAAACAGAGCTACCAGTTGACTCAGCAACCCCATTGCTGAGTATATACCCAAAGGAATATAAATTGTTCTGCCATAAAGGCACGCATACATATGTTCTCGCTCGTCGGTGGGAGCTAAACATTGAGTACACGTGGGCCTACTTGAAGGTAGACAGTAAGAGGAGGGTGAATATAGAAAAAGTACTTGTTGGGTACTACTTATTGGGTACTATGTCACCTGGGTGACAAAATAATCTGTACACTAAACCCCCACAACATGCAATTTACCCATGTAATAAGCCTGCACATGTACCCTTGAACCTAAAATAAAATTTGGAAAGAAAATAACAATTATCTTTATGGTCATATGAAAAAAGCTATTGATATCTTGTTAGGTGGACCCTGTGTAACCTCAGGAAGTAAATAAGTTTTTCCTTGGTTACATCTAGTTTAGTTTGTTTAACTTCCATTATCTGTACCCCATTCTATAAAGCTTTGTTATCAGCCAAGCTTCCATGCTGCAAAGTTGAATTCACAAAATAATCTCTCATAATTGCTTAAGATGTTTCTCCTCCCAGGAACATTTACATTTTTAAAGGAGACTCTAGAAGATACAAAAGATTCCTAGTTCTAATTAATCAATTGCTTTCTCAGGCCATTCAGTCAGGGCTGATATGTTGCAAAACTTCAGGGGGTGCCATACTTGACAATGAATGAGGAAAGAATTTCCTATCATGGTTTTCACACCTTGCTTACTGGAACCTCTGAGATTATGGAGGGGCTAGAGAGAGAACTGAAAGAACTCTTATTTTCTTCTACCACCTGTAGGTTTTTTAAAATCCAATTTCCATATTTTGGACATCTTCTACTTGAAAAAGACAGTTTGAAATCCGCAGGGTTATGATAGGATACTTTTTCAAACCCTGTTTTTTTTTTTGTTTTTGTTTGTTTTTTGAATGAATGGATTGACAGACTACATGGGAAAGATTTTTTTACCAGTAGAGCATCCAAATCCCTTTGACTTTGACTGTACCCACCTGACTTGGGATAACATGTAAGATTCTCATTATCGAGTAGCCCATTACTGTTTACAACATACACCTTCATCGCATCATTGCTGGGTAATCCAATTCTATGAGGCTCAGTGAAAACAAAGTGTCATTGTGTGCTTGACATGGTGACTGTTGAAACAGCTGAATTTCTCAAATGTTAAAGGTCTCTTAAATTTTCTATTCACAAATGTGTTTATACAACAAACTCAAAGGGAGGCTGCATAAAACTATTTTTTGATTATAGAAACAAAATAGCAAAATCCCTTACATTCTCTCCATCCTCCATCCTCTATTTTTTTTTTCTTGGCATTCACACAATGTGCATATCTTTGAACATTTAAATATTGTCATTCACTATCAGAACTGGAAGAGGTCTTACAAAGGCCATCTCAAGCAACCTCCTACCAGGGAAGAGATTTTTCTTCATCATTTGTCATAGAATCCTACATTTTAAAATCTATAAATGGGAATATATTGTAAAATTTCTTTAAAACACAGAACACATCCTATAGAGACTGGCATCTGAAAATTGCTTGAGTTAAGTTACATAAAATGCCTGAGGTAGTGTAAGGTAAAGGTTGAATCCTCAAGTAAAAGTGACAGGAAATATCAGCAGTGGAAGGATTGCGGGGTGCAAAGAATGCCTATGTTACCAGCTATTTTCTTCCTGTTAAAAGCCTTATTTCCCCTCCTGTGAGTAGATCTGATCCCCACCCAGTTTTTTCAACCAGCCAATTATGATTACTTCTTCTAATATTTTCTCTGCTTCACTGGCCTCTAGTCATTATGCAGGATCATTAACACCAAACACGGTAAGCCCCATTAATTCATATCTGGGGATGGCTGGGCAAAAGAGCTGAGTAGGTTGTTGTTTGTGCTTTAAGGCAAGAAGAGATCAAGAACTAGATGTAATCCCCAAGCCTGATCAACTCTTCAAACAGATTCAAAAGGGAGTTATATAAAAAAGAGAAGTTGGGGTAGTGAACTGGACTGGAGTGTGCATTTGCTTTTGGAATTTTTATTTTTTTGTCTGTCTTGCTAAGTTTTTTAGTAAGAGTTGGTCTTTAGGGTTCCTTATTCTTAGATACATGTTTTGGTTTAGTCAGCAGGCCCAAATGACTTAGCCAAGGCTATGTGAGTCCTGTCACGTGGGAAGATGCCGCTTTGAATTAGACATGGCCCTGGGTTCATCTTAATAAATATGCTCCATGGGATTACCAAGGAAACAGCAATCCAAAGTCTGAAAAGTCAAGAGAATGAACTACATGGATACATGAGCTTTGACTATCTTCTTTCTTCACTTTAAACCTCTACCCTACAGTAAAGAGGTCTAGGTTACTATTGGTCTTGACTTAAGACAGACCTCCTTCTTCTGGCACAAGAATGAGGCTGTTTGCATAACCCTGAAGGTTGAACTGTGTAGTCAACATAGATTAAGGTCATGTTTGTATACAAGGCACTAAGATAATGTGGAGATGGTGGAGATATGGTAATGATGGAGATGGTGGAACTCCTTGTACTACCCTTCCTTGTTTCCTGCCTTTAGGCTCATTTCTCTTTCTGATCTACCTTTCAGGTACCCCTGTGCTCCCACACATTCTCTTTGTTGTTCTTTGCTTCTATTAGCTTAAGTCAATTATCTTTCACTCTAGGTTTACAAGTGAGTCTCACTATGGTTGTCATACTTAGGGTGCTCATGTTTCAGCAATTCTTTGTAGCACTTTTGAAAAAAGATGAGTGTTTTATAAATCGTTAATAGGTATTCTAAGAGGGGTCTATGGTCAAACATGTTTGGCAAAGCTACATTCTACATCTCTGTATATACATATTTTACTACTAAAAGGACCAAAACATATCTCAAACAAATTTAAGCAATAGCAGAAAGAGTAGTTAGGTAATTTCTTGGCTCAGGCAACTGGGAAATCCAGAGATAGAGCTGTCCTCAGGGACTTTGCCAAGAGCCCAAGGAATGTCATGAGGTCTTCTTTCTGTGTCTTCACTGACATTCCTACTGCAAAATGTTTTAGCTGTGCTTGCATCTGTGAATTTTGTAATTTTCTTGTGTTGATGACTTTATACCATTCAATGGCATGATGGTGGCCATAAGGTAGAGAGAAGAATGTATCACAGAAATATTAAGGCTAACATCATCTTAGTTTAGTGACCTCCTAGATGAAATAGACTTTTCAACCAGAAAAATGCATGCAAAATCTCAGAACAGGCTCTTATTTGCCTAATTTGGATTATAGTCTAAACCTGGTATGTGGTCTCATAGCCAGCATAACTGGGGTATTATGATTTGCCAGGATTTGGTTCCAAGGCTATGTCTTTTGACCAGGGCATCAGCTTATTATGATTGGAAAGTCCACCAAGATTGGGTAGAAAAAGGGGAAATTCATCAGGAGAAAGAGGCTATTCTTGACAGAAGTGGGAGAAGGGATGCTGTGCACATAAAAACAGCAAATATCTCTAAATACTTTTGCATATTGGAATTACCTGGGGAGATTTAAAAAAATACTGATATACAAGTTGACCCCCATTGATTTTGATTTAATTCATCTGGGGTATGGCCTGGGCAATCAAGTCTTTAAAAGTTCCCCAGATGATTCTAATGTGCAGCCATCGCTGAGCGCCCATTGTCTGGTTGCTTTTCAGGTCATTATTTTACACATAACCAAAGATTAATCCTTCTAAATCTCAGTCCTCTGGTCTAAACAAACCTCTGACTTTGAATGAATGCATTCAGGACCACTGAAATTTGATTTCAACTTCCCTTTCCAATCTTATTCCACTACTATTCTATTTATACCTTGTGCTCCAGCAAATGTGGCATGCTTACTGGTGCCCAAGTATCTGTAAAACACCTGTAGTTTCCTATGGATAATTATCACATTTTTTTCAAGTTAGAACAGAGCATACCAACAGATTTTTTTTGCAATGATGGAAATATTCTATACTGTGCAATTTGGTAGCCATTAGCTACATGTGGCTACTGAGCACTTGAAATGTGCTCAATAGTATGACTGAATTTTTACTTTTATTTCAGCTCAAGTTAAATAGTCACATGTGGTTAATGGTTACTTTAACATAACAGGCAGAATGTCTTATTCTGTGCATCTCAATCAACATTCTGTAAACATTTTCAAGGTTCATGGTGTGTAACCCACTGCCCTGAAGATTTCCCGGATGTTTCCGGCTAAAGGACTCCTCTTCTTGTTAATTACTGAGGACTTTAATTGGACCATAGATGTGACACTTACCTATACTGCCCCATATTGCTTTTCCTATTATGGCTCTTGTCTCCAATCTTGCATCCCCAAATATTAGAAATTTCCTGAAACCAGGAACTTATTTGAGGGCTTGTGTTTAATAAAATTTCAATAAGCATTTGTCAAATAAATGCAGGCAAAATTGTCAACAGATGCATACACATAGAGGTTCATATGTTCAAAAGTGTTGCTGGTTAGATGGGACAGAACATGTCGTGGCTGTGTGAGAGAAACTGGGTCAGTAGAATAGACAGGAGAGGATGACTAATCTGTGAAATGACCATAGGGTGCTTGCCTAATTTCTTTGGCTGGGAGGTAAAAATAATTGTGGCAATCAGAAGTACAAATGATTTTTATTAAAGTAAATGAGGAGGTGTGGCCACTCAGAATATACTCTAAATTAACAGTTCAGGAAGAATTCTGGGATCTGTCCTGGTAAAATGGTTATAAATTCATCCTGACTCACACTTTTTTTCCAGAATGAATTTATAAAATGATGAACTCTCACTTCCTAAATTTTCTGCAGATGCCACTGTTGCTGGAGAAATGTCACTGCTAGAGAACAGAAGACTATTATTCCAAAGGGTATTTGAGACTGACTGAATCAGGTCTGGAACATTATTGAAATGGTAAGATAAACTCTAGTACTTTCTGGGAAGAGAAAAATCCTTTTTAGAAAACATGGTCCCTTCTGAATTATGGGCAAATGTCATCGACTCGTTTTCAATGAAACTTTATCTACTAACAGTGAGGAAATGGGACAAAGCTCTGAGCTCCCCCCAGGAGTCCTGCAGCTGAGGTTTCTTTCCCTTGAGATCGTGGGTATTGGAAACAGCTGAAGTTAGAGGTCATTAACATTTTGAGAACACCACAAACTGACAGTGTGTTATGTTATGACATTTCATCCCAAGACATTTAATCTCTTTTAATTAGTGTTTATGTTGGTGATACTTCACAGTTATTTCCTTTCGCATAAAAATGGAACACTTGGGCATGTCATTAACATAAGACTGATTTGCTTATTATCCATAGTAATTGTTTCTAGATCTTTTTCTCCTTTCCTTCCTCCTTTCTGTGTTCTCTTCGTTGATTTTGACCTTTGCTTTCATTCATGCTATTTTTGAAAACATTTCCCATTTTTTCCTTTGCTGATATTCAACCTAGCCAGTTCATTGGTTGGGGTTCTCACACTATATTCTTAGTAAACTTTAAGTGTAGAGTTTGGAAGGGAGCCCATCTCACCTCTCTGAAAATGCTCATGGCCCCCTTGTTGTTGATTAGAAACAGCTTCTCTGAACGATGTTCCACGGATGACTCAGCTGCACAAAACTTCCCTCTCCCCTGCTTTCCTCCTCTCCTCGGCTTAGAATATTGTTGTAAGCTTCTGGCATCTGCCTTCCTGCTTCCATTTCTCTTTCCTCCTCGTGCCAGGTGTAGTACTTTGTCTTCCTTTAAAGTTACTTAAGCTTTTCTTGCCCCAAAAACCTCTTCATTAAATCCAGAAATGATGAGTGTTGATTATTTTATATTAGAGAAATAATAGATTCCTTTGCATAAAAAAGTGGATGCACATTTTATTCCATGAACTAGTGAAAATTCCATGCAATTTTCTTTACTTTTAAATAAATGAACGTAATTTTTATTATAAATCTTTATTTTGCCATAGGATTAAAACCTAATCTCAGTTTAGGCAGAGTTTCTCAGCCTTGACACTATTGAGATTCGGGGCTGGGTAATTATTTGGGAAGCTGTGTATTACAGAATATTTAGGAGCACCCCTGACCCATGTCTGCCAGATACCAGCAGCACCTCCCAGTTCTAACAACCAGACACATCTTCAGACATTGCCAAATATCTGCTGAGAGGCAAAATGATTCCCTGTTGAGAACGGCTAGTCTAGTGGGGTTCCCCTCCCTTTCTCTGGGTTTGTCCATAATTGAAGGCAAGGACTTAGGGAAAGAGGGAGGCTGGTCCTTGAAATCATTCTGCATCCACACAGACGCATCTACAGCATCCCATTCCCACTGTGACCGTGAGGCCCTGGTGCCTTTACCTTGATCCGACTAAGGGCTCTCGGAGCAGCTGTCTCTGCTCTGCTCTCAGGCATAAGGGAACCTCCCATTCCTTGTAGGGCTACAAGGTGCACTGGGAGGTAGACTTAGGCCTGTCTGTAGTGCTGTTCTAGGGAGCCAGGCTGAGGAACAGGAACACTGGGATCTTGCTGGCTCCAGATTGTCCCCTGGGGATAGGGGCCCAGTTTGGTCTGGTCTTGAATTCCTAATTCTCTGTGGGACTTTCCGACAGAACACCCAGCTCTGGAGCCTGACATCACATAAGCTCTGTTTCTGCCATGACTTTCCTTGTTCCTTGCATGCCTGCCATCTTTGTATAGTTTGAGGACAAGGGAGCCTGGAGTTTCATCTGGTTTTCCAAATATAATGTTTTATGCCCTAAAAGTTATGTATTTCATAGTTGTGCTTTTGACACCAACCTAGTATTTTTCTCTGCTTTTCTGCTGTGTTCTTCCTTCCCTGAGGCAATGAATTCTGCCGAGCAGTGGGTGGAGAAAAGGATACAAGAAAATAAGAGAAAAAAGTTTTGATTGAAATCAACTTTATAACATCCTTACCCTATTTTTAAAATTTGAGATTCCTATGCTTTTTTAAAAAAATGAGTTTCCTCTCATATGTATATTCTGCATAATATTTTTCTTGTGGTGTTAGATACAGAAAATCTCTGTGAAATCATTCTCTTAACTTTATTCACTTAAATTCTTTATTTCGATGTGATTAAATCAATTAATTGATGTCTTTGGAGTTTTAAGAAGTTCTTCCCTTACCCTAGGGCACATTACCTTCTATTTTTATAGTTTTCCTTGATTTATTTCTTTAATATATCTGAATTCCATCCTTTTATGTGGTAATAGGTGTGAATTTTTCTCCATAATGAGCAATTTTCCTATCATAATTTATGGAACCATCTGATTTGCATGCCATCTTTATTATGTATTAAATTCTGAGATATAAATGTATCTCACAGAAATCCTGGTCTGTAGGTCAGCTTTGTTGCTTTTTGCATCAATATCATACCATTTTTTAGCATAATAAACTCGTAGTTATTCTTAGTAGCCGTTAGGCCAAGTTTTTATCTCCTTTGCTTATGTTAATATTATCTAGAATTATAATTCAGGGTTGCTTTTAAACAAATAAATACAGACTATCTGTTAGACTACACACCAGTATTTTGGCGGGGTAAATAAATGGAAATGAAAGCAGTAGAAAGTGTTGAGCCTATTGCATTCTGGGCCACAGCATAAACATTGAGTAGAAATCACTATTAGACTGGGAGAAGAAACTCCAGTTTTGGGGCTACAAGGGTTAAGCTGCATGATTAAGAAAGCATTCACCTCTAGAAATTTTAAAATTGAAAACCATAACGAATGTAAAACTTAAGTGTTGCATAGTGTAATAGAAGCATCTAAATGGAGAATTCATGAATTGTAATATAGATCTGGAAAATTTATTTATTTATTTATTTATTTTTGAGACGGAGTCTCGCTCTGTCGCCCAGGCCGGACTGCGGACTGCAGTGGCGCAATCTCGGCTCACTGCAAGCTCCGCTTCCGGGTTCACGCCATTCTCCTGCCTCAGCCTCCCCAGTAGCTGGGACTACAGGCGCCCGCCACCGCGCCCGGCTAATTTTTTGTATTTTTAGTAGAGACGGGGTTTCACCTTGTTAGCCAGGATGGTCTCGATCTCCTGACCTCATGATCCACCCGCCTCGGCCTCCCAAAGTGCTGGGATCTGGAAAATTTTTATGGAATGCAGAAGGCAGAGGCCAATAGTTGGAAAATAAGAGGGGTTGATAAACATAGAAATTGAAATAATGGCAAATAGGTATCTAATCAGTATTCTAGAAGGAGAAATTTATAAAGTAATCATGAATCAATAATAATAATAATGCCCAACTTGTAGAGTAGACACAACACAACAAAGAGCTAAATGTTTGGGAAACAACAGCAGCAAACAGTGAGGGAATGATTGGGATTACCTTAGAAGGTTCTTTTGTTCTTGGGCTGAAGGTAAGTATACTGATCACAGTTAGACTTTGCTAAGTATGCATATTAAAATTTCAAGGGTAATCACTAAGAAAGAAAAACTGAATGTTTATATACCAAAATTAGAAAAAAAAGAAAACCGGGGAAAAAACCCCAATCAATCTAGAACACGGCAATTGTAGAAAAATTCTTTTTTTTTTTTTTTTTTTTTTTTTTTTGAGATGGAGTCTCGCTCTGTTGCCAGGCTGGAGTGCAGTGGTGCGATCTCAGCTCACTGCACCCTCTGCCTCCCGGGTTCAAGCGATTCTACTGCCTCCGCCTCCTGAGTAGCTAGGATTACAGGAACACGCCGCCATACCCAGCTAATTTTTATATTTTTAGTAGAGATCAGGTTTCATCATGTTGGCCAGGTTGGTCTTGATCTCCTGACATTGTGATCCACCCACCTTGGCTTTCCAAAGTGCTGGGATTACAAGCGTGAGCCACCGTGCCCGGCCAAAACAATTGTAACTGGAGGGTCAGTAAACTGATACAGCCTCAGCATTTTAGATTTTTACATAAGCAAACCAATGCACAATATAAGCAGTACAACCAAACTAGAGACTTTACCAGTCAGAAGCCACCAACTAACCTCTTCCTAGGGATTTTCCACTCTAAGCCATCAAATAGATTTTCTTTGCCTTCCTTCCATGTCAGCCTGTCAAAGCCTTCTGCCCATGCTACTGCAGCTGAGCTCTCTGAACCCCTTCTGGTTCTGAGTGCTGCGTCATGCATGAATCATCTTCTACTCAAACTGTGTTAAATGTATTTTCTCTAAAGTTTTTTTTTTTAATTTAACAAGAAAAAAATCACAAAAATTGAGACAAAGAGAAAATACAAAATAAAGCAATAAGAAATCCAAATACATCAGGAAACACTATGAACTGGCATAGGTTGTTGTATGGATGCTTTTAAAAGATCAAGCTACATGCTGTTTATTAGAGACATACCTAATACGAAAGCACACAGAGAAAAAAGAGAAAACTGACAAGGCTATTGGATTGAACTCTATAAATTTGCCACTTATTAACCTAAAAAAACAATTTCATATTGTTCTAATGTAATAGTATAAGAACATAGACCTTAAGACCTTAAGACAGAAACATTTGAGATCAAGAGTATCATTATATATTAATGCAAGTTTGAATCCACTAGGAGAATATAATACTTCTTAAGAATATAATAGCAGAGATTCCTGGCTAACACAGTGAAACCCCGTCTCTACTAAAAATACAAAAAATTAGCCGGGCGTGGCGGCAGGCGCCTATAGTCCCAGCTACTCGGGAGGCTGAGGCAGGAGAATGGCGTGAACCTGGAAGGCGGAGCTTGCGATGAGCCGAGATCGCGCCACTGCACTCCAGCCTGGGCGACAGAGCCAGACTCCGTCTCAACAACAACAACAACAACAACAACAACAAAGAATATAATAGCAGAGATTAAAAGCATATGAAGCAAAAAATTGACAAAATTACAGGGAAAAATAGAAATATCCAGGATCATAGTGGGACATTTTACCACCACTCCCTGTCATTGATAATTGAACAATGCAAGTATATGAAAGATTTGAATAATACAATAAAGAAGCATAATCTAGCAGACATGCGAAATATTTTTCTATTGGAAAATAGACATGTTTTTCAAGACCACGAAGAACATTTTTGGAAATAAATCATATTTAAAACCATAAATCAAGCATCAGTAAATATCAGGGGACCGGTATGATAGAGTTTTTTCACCATAGAGCAAGTAAGTCTCAACAAATTTTAATAAATCAGAATTATACAAACTATATTTTTGACCACAATACAGTTAATCAAGAAATCAATATTTACAGAATAATTTTCAAAAATCCCACACTGTTAGAAATTAAAAACAATCTTTGAATAATCCATGTTAAATGTTTGAAAGAGAACAATTGAACAAATTCACAATAGAGGATAGCATATAATATATACAGAAGTATAAGTCAATGAAAAAGGAAACATCTCTTAGAATTAATAAAAGCAAAAACTGCTTCTTTGGAAAGAAAAAAAATGAAATTATCCAAATGTTGACATAATTGATGTGCAAAAAGAAAAAAAAGAGTTAGATAAACAATATGAACTATAAAAAAAGGTATCTCATTAGAGACAAAACAGAGTTAAAAGATAAGTGAAAATGCTGAAAAACTTTAAACTCAAAATTAAAACTGTAGGTGGAGTAGACAAATCCAGGAGGAAAATGTAAAACTGATTCAAGAAGAAATAGAAATCTTGAATAGATTTATAACCATAAAAGAAATTGAATTAATAATTAAAAATCTTTCCAAAAAGAAAATACAAGGCCAAGATGATTTCTGAGTGACATCTGCAAAACAAATAAGAAAGCATACCAGCAATAATATATGTTATTCCAGAGCCTAGCAAAAAGAAAGGCACACTTTCACCACATTTTCTAAAGCTAGACAAATGGTAACAACAAGTCCAAATAAAGACAACGCAAGAAGAATGATTATAGGCAAGCTCCATAACATGCACAGAATCATAAATGCAGCATTACCACATAAAATCCAACAGTGCGTTTAGAAAGATATCACTTTTAATTTGTATATGCATCCCAGTCATGCAAATGTACTTTAACATTAGGTAATATAAGTACTACATTAACAGATTAAGGGGAAAATGATTAATATGTACAGCAAAACATTTTACAAAATTCATTCATAATAAAAAATCCTGAGGTTTTGAAATAGAAGGCATCCTTTCTAACCTGACAAACGGATCTATCAAAAATCTACAGTGAGCATTTATATTCAATAATGAAATACTAAAATGAGGAATGAGGCAATTAAGCACCATCACTGCTTCTATCTATTATTGTCTGTAACACTGTAAGTTGTGCATTTGAGAAGGAAATCTAATCTAAAATTATTGAAAAGGAAAAAGCAAAACTATCATTACTTTTGTACACAGTAAAGCCAAAAGGATATACAGGCAAATTATTAGAAATAGTGCAAGTTTAATAAGGTTCTTGGATGTAAGATGAATAACTAAAAGTAGCAATGGTGTTTAAAAGTCAATTAAAGAGATAACATTCAGCATTACACAATTAACATATATACGAATAAATCAAAGATGTGCAAACCCTACTGAAAAATTTAAACCTTATTAAAAGACATTAAACCGTGTATGTGTGTGCATGTGCGTGTGTGTGTAAAAATGAACACATAAACATATAGCATTTTCATGGTTAGTAATCAAAGTAGTAAAAATGACAACACTGATCTGCAGATTAACCTAATCTATATATTAATCAAAACAACTTGTTGTATTTCCCATGAAACTGTCTGAACTAAAGCTAAACTTTTATAAAAGAGTGAATATCCAAGTAAAGGGAAAATACTCTTGAAGAAGATTACAGTGTGAGAATTTGGTTTACCTGATGCCAAGATTTCCTATAAAGCTGTGTTAACTCAGTGTTGAAATGACACAGAGATGGACACACAGACCAATAGAAGAGAAGAGAGCCCATAGAGAGACCTACACATGTATGAAAACTTGATACATAACAATTGCCACACTAGATCTCGGAGAAAAAGATCGACTATCTAATAATCTTTTAGAACCAGATCAGCACACTTATTCCTAACTGATCAGATGTAAAAGTTTTTGGCTTTGTGGACCATATGGTCACAGCTATCAACTCTGTTCTTCCAGTGCAAGGTGGCATAGATATTATACAAAAGAATGGACGTGGATGTGTTTCCATACGCTGTATTTACAAATGTGAGCTGCAGTTTGCTTATTGCTGTTTTAGAGGGCAATACAAGAGAATGTCTGTAATCTCAGCATAGCGAAAGCAAGAAAACAGCTCACAGCTGAAAAATAAAACATTGATAAATTCAACATTAAAAAGAAGAATCTCTATTTATCAAAAGATTTCATCAAGAAAACTACAAAGCCCCAATCTAAGATATTTGCAACACAGAAATAAATTAAGAATTAGTATTTATAATATATAAAGAAGTCCTATGAAGTAAAAAGAAAATTCAAATAACAATCCAATAGAAAATTGAGCTAAGTATATGAACAGGTATTTCACAGAAGGGGACGCACAGTGGTCATTAATTACATAAAACAACAATAAACCTCATTATGGTAGTGCAATTTAAAAGTGCAATTAGTTATTATTACACATTTGCTCTACTCATATACAAAATCTTACCATATGTAGTGATGGCAAGTATGGGAATCAAGGGAACTCTTAAATGTTGCCAGAGAGAGTCTACACAAGGTATAATCATACTTTTAAAAACAAGTTGGCACTATTTTGTAAGGTTGAAAATGCATGGCCAGGCATGGTGGCTCATGCCTGTAATCCTAGCACTTTGGGAGGCTGAGGTGGGCGGATCATCTGAGGTCAGGAGTTCAAGACCAGCCTGACCAACATGGAGAAACCCCGTCTCTACTAAAAATACAAAATTAGCCAGGTGTGGTGGTGCATGCCTGTAATCCCAGCTATTCGGGAGGCTGAGGCAGGAGAATCGCTTGGGAACCCGGGAGGCAGAGGTTGTGGTGAGCTGAGATCGTGCCATTGCACTCCAGCCTGGGCAACAAGAGCAAAACTCTGGCTCAAAAAAAAAAAAAATTCATGAACCCCATAACTGAGCAATTCTATTCCTGCATGTGCTATATATTATAAAGAAATACTTGCTCTTGTATCTAAAGATAGGTACAGGAATATTTGTATCAGCATCATATTAGCAACAAACTGGTAATAACACAATGTTCTTAGAAAAATTAATGAATATATTATAGAATATTCATATGATGGAACATCTATTCAGCAGTGAAGATGAACTACAGCAATGTGAATCAACATGGGTGAATATTAAAAAGTATATTGAGTGAAAACAAAACACAATAATATAAGATATACATTTTATAAATTTCAAAAATAAGCAAAACTGAAAATATATTTAAAAGAAACGTAAAGATGTGATTAAAAATGAAAACTCGGGCTGGTAGGTCCTGCTGATGAAGAGTGAGGAAGGAGGAAAGGATGATGAATAGCATTGATATTTAGTTTTTTGCTTTATTTTTATGTTCATCACTTGCACATATTTTATACATTCTTTTTGCATATCAACTACTCCAAATGTAAAATTCTGAAACACGAATCTTTTATCTCCATTAAATTGACAAAAATTTGTCCACATGTGCTATTTTTTCCTTTATTTCTGTTTTTAAAGATAGAGTCTCTTGCTGTCACGTAGGCTGGAGTACAGTGGCATGGTCATAGCTCACTGCAGCCTTGACCTCCCAGGCTCGAGTGATCCTCCCATTTCAGCCTCCTGAGTAGCTAGGAATACAGGCACATGCCATCACATCCAGGTGACTAAAAAACTTTTTTTCGTAGAGACAAGGTTTGTCTATGTTGCCCAGGCTGGTCTTGAACTCCTGGGTTCAAGCAATCCTCTCACCTCAGCCTCCCAAAATGTTGTGATTACAGGCATAAGCCACAAGCCACTGTGCCTGGTGTTTTTCCAATATTCTAAGATAATTTTTCTTGAAAATCACTTTCTATCCCCTTTCCCCCACCTTTTTCATTATTGTGCTTATATTCATCCAAATTGTATTGTTTGATATTGTTACTTCAGTTTAATTGTTTTTAACTGTTTACTCCACTTGATGGTAAGGTCCCTGTGAAATGATTTCTCAGTTAATGCCATCCTATCCATTTTCTGCACTTCTTAGCTCTGCAGTATATGCTCAGAGGCCAGAGGCTATATCACCTTGGTCTCCTTGCTCTCATATTTCTCTCTGGGTTGGCCAATGGAAAGGTCTGGTTGGAGAATGGAATGAGAGAGGAGAGAGATATTGGGATGTATCTTCCCTCAGTGTTCTTGTCTTTGAACAGTATCTCTATTCCTCGTGACTTCCAGGCAGCTCTCACTCCACGTCTGAAAATCTCATTGGGTTCTGTACCATGTACCGCTTGCCACTTCAACAATGGGTGTGGTAGTAGCTTCTCACTGTTGCTGGTCTTGGGGTCTCTCAATTTCCCCTGTTTATTTCCTAAACATTTTCCACCATATATAAGTAGCTCTTTCATCGAAACCATTTAATTTATAGCATCTGGGGTAAATTTTTATTCCTGCCAGAATCTTGTTATCTTCTTTTTTCTGTTTTATTCACTGCTGTTTCCTCAACGTCTAGAATAATACCCGACAGAGTAGGAACTTAAAAAAAAGGGACGAATCAATGAACTCATGGTCACTAGCAATTACCACATGATTTTGCCCCAGCAGCAGCAGCTGATTAGGTCAAATTAAGGTTGGGAAATTGATGATGCTCTACCTCCCGGCTAGCAGGAGCCCAAGATGGTTTGGCATAAGAGCTTGGCCAAAGCTAAATGATAGTGACTAACACATCAAATTCTCTTCCTTGGAGAATTTCAATGCAAAATACATATATATATAAAATTGTTCCAGTTAATAGTGAAGGGTGAAGGCTGATGTTGAAACCGACGCAGAAGACAGATATCAAAGACTTTAAGATGACATTCGTCATGAAAGGCTATAAATATGTAGAGGCTGTCAGTACATTCAAGTTCAAAGTACAGACGTCACGACTAAGCAGAAACTAAACAATATCCAGCAGTAGAGACTCAGAGAGGAACTGAGTCATCATATTGGCAAGAGACTGTCTAACTAGAGAGTGACAAGTTAATGTTGTTAGTAAAATGACCTTGGACCCTAAATCATCTTTCCTCTCCTTTGACATCCAGACTATACCTGTTACAAGATTAGCAAAGATTCTCTTTGTTTTTTTTCCTTGTATGTATTTTGTAACAAACCCCTCATTATTTCATGTTCCAGCAAATATAAAAAGCTACTGGAAAACCAAAGCTTCTGTCTTCCTGTTTGGTGTTTCTTTTCTATCATATCACTGATACTGAGCTATCAATCAAATTGTAATCTTTTTTTTTTTTTTTTTTTTTTTGCTGCAAATTTATTGCGAAGAGTGAAAGAACAAAGCTTCCACAGTGTGGAAGGGGACCCGAGTGGGTTGCCCCAAATTGTAATCTTATTTATGATTTTTTCTTATTCTAGTTTAGTTTAGAGGAAGTTATAAAACCCATTATTTCATGGCTGGACCATACAATGATTGCTACCCAATTTTGTTCTTTTCTTTCACATTATGTGTGAGTTTTGGAAAACACTGACAGCAACCAGAAGGTAATCCACACGGTAAGCTCAAAATTTGCCAAAACTCCATTGTATGTATGTTTACAAGTGATCTAAATTGTAAGTGGGAAAATAGAAACATACAAATATCTGGGGATAACAGTAAGGAGGATGACAAAAAAGATTAGTAATTTCATTCTTCTTGATATCCCAAATTTTGAGCAGAATTGCTCTGAGAACAGAATCTCAGAAGGAATGTCAGTTTGGCAGGAGAACAAGACAGAATAAAATGATAACTCACGAAGCAGGGACAGAAAGGATAGCAGCAGCTTCAGGGCTGTGCTAAGGGTAGCTTGGCACAGGAATGCGTTCTTTGAGACAGATTCACAAATGGTTGATTAGTATGAGAGGAATGCAGGGGTATCATTTATCTGGATTGTCCCAAGGCCCTTGACAGAATGTTTTCCTGAAGACTCTTATACAAAAAGTGAATTCAAATTGCTTTGAAAATTGGCTGATGAGTCCAAAACAAAGAAAAAAAAAGATAAATTGCAAATGTAGCCAGCTCTAGCAAAGTGCCTGAAAATGACAAAGGAATTAATGTCGATTTTAAGTCTTTATCTTACATTTTCAAAAGTTACCTGAAAGTAGTTTATTAAAAAAAATGCAGTGACTCAGACTTACTGTATATTCAATACTGAGTTAGGTACCCTGAGTGCAGTGGCCATATATGCTGAGCCAAAACGAAGAATAATTTTATGTCGCTTCTGGATGCAAGAGGTAGGAACAAGCGTGAGTGACTCTTAGTAAGCATATAACTCATTGGTAGAAACAGAATGTCAACATCCCAGAATATTAGCTGTGAGCTTTCATCCTTTAACAGATAGCTATAGGCAAGAGGAGTCTGTTTACTAGAGGTCAGTTGGGAGAACTTCTACTGTTTTGTAATTATAATTACCTTATTAACAAATAATATAAAAATAATGTGGTCTGAAAGAGTAAATACAACATATTCTGAAAAGCCTCCAATATTTAGGCTACAGAGGACTTGACACTGTGGATCACATACTGATCTTAACTTTAGGGTATGACTATGACTTTCAGATGAAGAACAGCAGCCGTTATGTTTGTGAATCAAGATCCTTTGTATAGTACTCATTTAAGACTAGGTTGACTTTTTAAAATGGTGAACTGAAGATGGTTTCTGGTGCAAATGGAATAAGTGTAAAATTCAAATAGACTTGTGAAATTCACAATAATTTACACTTTGATGCTAATGGTGTTAATGAAAATAACTTTTGCATTATAGCACATTTAAAAGGTTTTCAGGAACATTATGTCATTTGAGCCTTGCACCCCTATGACCTCAGTACTGTACATACAGTCATTACCCTAGTTTCAAAGATGAGGAAAGTGAGGCCCCAAGAGATTAAGAGATTTTTCTAAGGCTTTACAATATTAATAGATAACTGTAACTCAAATCACATTATTTTACATTTTGTATTTCCCTATCGTAGCTTGTCATACAATAAAGTATCTTGAGGAGGAAAGCTCAGTAGGGAGCCAAGCAATTAGTTATTATTAGTTTTTTCCCTTTACCTCCATCACTGCATGTTTACTACACTAAAAATGCATTTATGTCTGTACAGGTTTGTCTTTTCTACTAGACTGAGCTGCAGGAAAACAAGAGATCAGCTCCTTTTTGAATGCCAGCCCTCCTTATCTAGTGTGGGTCTGCTGACATATTAATTTGGCTGAGCTGAATTCTAAGACATGAAGCTTTATCCATTTTAAGATAAGAATATATTCTAGAAGCATGCTATATTATTTCTAAACAAAATCTGTTATTTTATGATAATGGAAGGAAGAAGAGAACTTGGAGATTGAAAAGGGAGAATACATCTTTATAACAGAATGATTTATATTCATTTGGGTATATACCTAGTAATGGGATTGCTGGGTTGAATGATATTTCTGCCTCTAGGTCTTTGAGAAATTGCCACTGGCTTCCACAATGGTTGAACTAATTTACATTCCCACCAATAGTGTAAAAGTGTTCCTTTTTCCCCACAACCTCACCAGCCTCTGTAGTTTTTTGACTCAAAAAAATTTTTTTTTATTAGTTTATTAGTGTTTGGTTTTCTGTCCTTGTGATAGTTTGCTCAGAATGATGGTTTCCAGCTTCATCCATGTCCCTGCAAAGGACATGAACTCATCCTTTTTTACGGCTGCACAGTATTCCATGGTGTATATGTGCCACATTTTCTTAATCCAGTCTATCATTGATGGACATTTGGGTTGGTTCCAAGTCTTTGCTGTTGTGAATAGTGCTGCAGTAAACATATGTGTGCAAGTGTCTTTATAGTAGCATGATTTATAATCCTTTGGGTATATACCCAGTAATAGGATCGCTGGGTCAAATGGTATTTCTAGTTCTAGATCCTTGAGGAATCACCACACTGCGTTCCACAATGGTTGAACTAGTTTACACTCCCACCAACAGTGTAAAAGTGTTCTGATTTGTCCACATCCTCTCCAGCATCTGTTGTTTCCTGACTTTTTAATGATCACCATTCTAACTGGATGAGATGGTATCTCATTGTGGTTTTGATTTGCATTTCTCTGATGGCCAGTGATGATGAGCATTTTTTCATGTGTCTGTTGGCTGCATAAATGTCTTCCGAGAAGTGTCTGTTCATATCTTTTGCCCACTTTTTGATGGGGTTGTTTGTTTTTTTCTTGTAAATTTGTCTAAGTTCTTTGTAGATTCTGGATATAAGCCCTTTGTCAGATGAGTAGATTGCAAAAATTTTCTCCCATTCTGTAGGTTGCCTGTTCACTTGATGGTAGTTTCTTTTGCTGTGCAGAAGCTCTTTAGTTTAATTAGATCCCATTTGTCTATTTTGGCTTTTGTTGCCTTTTTAATAGCCATTCAGACTGGTGTGAGATGGTATCTCACTGTGATATTGATTTGCATTTCTCTAATGATCAGTGATGTTGAGCTTTTTTCCATATGATTTTTGGCCACATGTGTGTCTTCTTTTGAGAAGTGACTGTTCATGTCCTTTGCCTACTTTTTAATGTTTTTTTTTCTTGTAAATTTGTTTAAGTTCCTTATGGATACTGGATATTAGACCTTTGTCAGGTGGATAGATTGCAAAAATTTTCTCCCATTCTGTAGGTTGTCTATTTACTCTATTGTTTCTTTTGCTGCACAGAAGCTCTTTAGTTTAATTAGATCCCATTTGTCAATTTTTGCTTTTGTTCCAATTGCTTTTGACATCTTTGTCGTGAAATATTTGCCTGTGCCTATGTCCTAAATGGTATTGCCTAGGTTTTCTTCTAGGATTTTTCTAGTTTTGGGTTTTACATTTAAGTTTTTAACCCATCTGGAGTTTAGTTTTGTATATGGTGTAAGTAAGAGGTCCAGTTTCAATTTTCTGCATATGACTAGCCAGTTCTCCCAGCATCATTTATTAAATAGGGAATCATTTCCCTATTGCTTGTTTTTGTCAGGTTTGTTGAAGATCAGATGGTTGCAGGTGTGTCATCTTATTTCTGGGTTTTCTATTTTGCTCCATTAGTCTATATGTCTGTTCTTCTACCAGTACCATGCTGTTTTAGTTACTGTAGCCCTGTAGTATAGTTTGAAGTCAGGTAATGTGAGGCCTCCAGCTTTGTTCTTTTTGCTTACAAGTGCCTTGGCTATTTGAGCTCTTTTTTGGTTCCATATAAATTTTAAAATAGTTTTTTTCTAATTTTGTGAAGAATGTCAATGGTAGTTTAATGGGAATAACCTTAAATCTATAAATTGCTTTGGGCAGTATGGCCATTTTCAAAATATTGATTCTTCCTATGTATGAGCTTGGAATGTTTTTCCATTTGTGTCATCTCTGATTTTTTTGAGCAGTGGTAAGTAGTTCTCCTTAAAGTGGTCCTTCACTTCCCTTATAAGCTGCATTTTTAAGATATTTTATTCTTTTTGTGGCAATTGTGAAAGGGAGTTCGTTCATGATTTGGCTCTCAGCTTGCCTATTGGTGTGTAGGAATGCTAGTGATTTTTGTATATTTATTTTGTATTCTGAGATTTTGCTGAAGTTGCTTATCAGCTTAAGAAGCTTGGCCAGGAGCAGTGGCTCACACCTGTAATCCCCGTACTTTGGGAGGCTGAGGCAGGAGGATCACGAGGTCAGGAGTTCAAGACCAGCCTGGCCAAGATAGTGAAACCTTCTCTCTACTAAAAATACAAAAATTAGCTGGGTGTAATGGTGGGTGCCTATAATCCCAGCTACTTGGGAGGCTGAGGCAGGAGAATTTCTTGAACCCAGGAAGTGGAAGTTGCCGTGAGTCGAGATCGTGCCGCTGCACTCTAGCCTGGGCGACAGAGCAAGACTCCATTTCAAAAAAGGAAAAAAAAGAAAAAAAAAAAGCAGCTTTTGGGCTGAGACAATGAAGTTTTCTAGATATATGATCAGAGATACATGCACGTGTATGTTTATTGCAGCACTACTTATGATAGCAAAGACATGAAATCAACTTATATGCCCAACCATGACAGACTGGATAGAGAAAATGTGGCACATATACACTATGGAATACTATGCAGCCAACAAAAGGGATGAGATTATGTGTTTTGCAGGGACATGGATGGAGCTGGAGGGCATTATCCTTAGCAAACTAACGCAGGAACAGAAAACCAAATACCTCATGTTCTCACTTACAAGTGGGAGCTGAATGATGAGAAAACATGGACACATGGTGGGGAACAACACATACTGGGGCCTGTCAAAGGGTAGTGGGTAGGAAGAGGTAGAGCATCAGGAAGAATAGCTAGTGGGTGCTGGGATAAATACCTGGGTGATGGGATGTTCTGTGCAGCAAACCACCATGGCACATGTTTACCTATGTAACAAGCCTGCACATCCTGCACATGTACCCCTGAACTTAAAAGTTGGAAATAAAAAAAAGGGAAAAGGGAGGATAATACTTCAGTGTCTTTTCAAGAGAACCTTGGGATATATTTCATGTTATGAAACTTATTCCTACATTCTTAGGAAAACCATTGACTTATGTTTACTTGTTAAGTCAATGGTTTATCTATTTTTAATGCAATATTTTATTCTTTATTTCCATTAATTTCTTTATGCTGTGTGTGTGTTTTCTAACTACTTGGGTTGGATGTTCATTTGTGTTTTTTTAAATATTGAAAACATAAGATTTTGAATTTGAATAAATATTTTGTCTTAGCTATTTTTAAGTTACACATGATTTTATATATCTTTTTTTACTAATTATAAAAATCCACTCAATTCAGAAAAGCATGAACAAGAAAGTGTCACTCGTGATCTTAGCAATAGAGCAGGGATCTGCAAACTATATTTCACAGGCCAAGTCCAGCTCACTGTGTTTTTGTTAAAAAAGTTTTATTGCAAACTAGCCACGCCCATTTGTTTACACAGTGTCTATGGCTGCTTTTGTGTTACCCATGGTAGAGCAGAGCAGTTGTGACAGAGATCAAAAGGCCTGCAAAGCCCCAAATGTTTACTATCTAGCCCTTTACAGATTTTTTTTTTTCCTGATTCCTGAATTAGAGAAAACTATCAACATTTTGGTCTCTCTTTTTATCTCAGCTCATTTATTTTTTATATCAAAACACTGGCGTTTATCTTTTTACCTGTCTGGGGGAAATATTGTCAGTGGTCTTCCTAATGCCATTTTTCCCCCTTAATTCTTATTTAGAGAAACTTGGTTGTTTGAGGGAATGTGCCTAGGTAAAAATATTTAATTTTCTCTACTTTTCTTCAATAAATAATGATGTTGGGATATAATTCTGAACAATGAGCGTCCTTCAGTTTCTGATTTCTATAGGGCATACAAACTTAGTAACTTAAATAAATATTTAAAGTGTCTGGACCCTTCTGATCTGGACGTGTCTCAGCTGATCATGGCCGGGCTTATTCGTGTGTCTGTGGGCATCTGGTGAGCTGGGTAGAGGTTGGTTGCACTGGGGGGCTGCAGGTGGGGACCATTCAGCTCTTCCTCATGTGTCTTTTGTATGAATATAGCTGGTTCCTGGCAGCGAGAGGGACTCCATGGCAGTGCCAGGAGTCCAAGAGAGAAAGCAGAAATGTGCAAGTTCATTTTCAAGTCTTTGCTCTGTTGTTTGCTACTGTCCTGGTGGTCAAATCAAGGCACGTGTCCAAGCTCGCAGTCACAACCAAAGGGCATAAATATAAGAGGCATGAGAAACTGGATCCCTACATGCAATCGATTTACCAGATAGACAAACGTAAAAGTGCATGAACAGGGCATCCCTTCCCAAATAAAAAGAGAAGGTATTTCTTCTGCCCGAAAGAGAGATGTGAAGTCTGGAGGTGTGGTCACCATCTTATGCCTTTGAAGTGACATATACAAGAACAAAGGCCGATCTATTTGTTAATTATAGTGGAGCACAAAGATAGATCTTGCATTCCTGACATTCTGTTTTAGCCTCTTGAGCAATTGTAGAACGAGTCTGTTGTAGGAGAAAAATAAACCCTTCCTGAATCACCTCCTAGCATAAGGTTTCTGCTAAATATTGCCAAGTATGTTTTTCAGTTAATAATACATTGATAGCATTTCTTATTTGTACATATAAATCTAAATTAGTACATACAAATCTGTTTTCAGAAATGGCTTGTAATATATGACTCTACCAAAACTTATTTAATGAGCCTCCTCTTCAAGATATTTAAGTAGCTTCTAGATTTTCAGTATTACAAATCATGCTTCAGTGATCACCTTTACACATGTATCTTTGCACACTTCTCCAAGTGTCTTTATAGGGTATACTTCTGTTAGAGAAATTTTGAAAATGAACATATTTATGTTGTTAAACATATGGCAAGAAAATTCTGCAAAAAATTGGTAAAATTGACTCTCCTATCAGTAATTTATGATTATATTTATTGTCCCAAAACTGCTCCAAATTTGGGTTTTGAAAATCTTTAAAGATTTTACCAATCTATTTGAAAAATACATATCCCATATTTGTTTTAGTTGATAACGCTTTGATTTTTAGTAAGATTGGCCCCTTTCCACATATTTGTTATTTACATTTTTAAATGAACTTTCTGCTTATACCTTTTTCTCATTTTTCTACTTGTTTGCCTGTCTTTTTCTTGCTACATTGTATTTGCTTTCTACATACTGTAATATGATTGATTGTATTTGCTTTATGTGTTGTACACATGTTCTCCTAGTTTATTGTCTTTTTCTTTGTTAATGTATATTTTCCATGAAGAACCTTATTTTTGTTCAGAAAAACCTACTAGCTTTTAAAAAATAATGTTTCTGGGTCTTGTCTATGCTTATAAATCCCTTTCTTAAAACTACAAAAAAATTCTAAGTTTTCTTTCCATTACTTTTGTGGTTTTAAAATATATCTAAGTCTTCAATCCATTTGAAATTTTTGTATGTGTATAGTGTGGGAAGAAATATAACAATTTTCTTTCAAATAAATGACAATTAGTAAAAGTGATCTTTGTTGTGTGTGTGTTTGTGTGTGTATACACATCTTTGTCAGTTTATGTTATGAGTCTTATTTTGGCTTTGAAAAAGATAATAGGAAGATTTTTATCTTTACATGATCTGGAAATGTTTAAATAACATATGAATATTTTTGAAAGGCTTGCAAAGATTTCTTATAAAAACTGGCAATTTTGGGGAGTAACTTTATTTCATTTGTTATTTTTGGTCTGTTTAGGTTTTCTATATTTTCTGGAATTTCTTTTGATAATTTATATTTTCCTAGAAAACTATCAGTGGTTAGCTACCACTTTGTTTTGTTAAAATATTTTTCTACCCATTTGCAGGCAATTTACTTTCACATATATTTACCCATTCCAATTTCTATTTTCTAATTCATTAATTTCTGGTTCTTCTTTATTCATTCTTTCATTTTGCCTTTCTTAGGGATTTTCTTGTTGCTGTTGTTCTTGAAATGAATACTTTATTCAATACCTTATTGTTCAGTGCTGTAAGTGTTTCGACTACCAATTTTCCTCTCTGTACAGCTTTGACCGTATGTCTTAGTTTTCAAATTTCAATACTTGAAAATTAAGAATTTTCATTTTTATTATTTTGTAATTATTCTTTTGACTTATTTCAATAATACACTTTCTGAGAAGGAGTTTACGTTTTTAAGAGATTGGGTTGTTTTTACTACATTTCAATTCTGCTAGTACTTGCTAGTTTACGGAATTCTAGATGAAAATATAAATTATTTGTACTTTTTGGTATCTATTCATGTTTTCCTTGAGCGTTAATATACAATCACATTTTCTAAATGATCTAATGATCTACAGGTGCTTTATGGTGAATTCCCCATTTTTATGGCAATATATAAAGTATCTAATAACATATATATGTTGTATTTTGCCATCAAATAGATACAAAATGTATTAGTATTTTATATTATTATGTTACTCAGCATAATCTTTCAATTCCCTTTTCCTAAAGCCCCTGTGATGCTGTTAAAGCAGATTCCCGGGTGCCATTCCTAAAGACTCCGATTGGGTGAGTCTAAAATCCAAAGAAAAGCCCTACTACAGTGAGCATGCTCTTTGCTGCGTGGGAGATAGGAGTGGCTGAGGGAAGCCCTGTACATTCAGATCTTTTGTTTGACAATCTGTGTTTATTTATTCAGCTCAGCTGACTCTGTTTAGCAGCAATACAACTAACTACTTCTTTATCTCCTTCCCCTTTTTGATCTCCAGATCATTTCTTAGGGTTAGAAGTATTATGATATATTGGCACTCTGTGCTCTATCTCAATTTTGTTAAAAACTTATTGTTTGGAGTGTATCCATTTCCTAGTTTCATTGAGCATGGAATTTGCTCTCTCATATTATTTTGCTGCTCTGGTGGTTTTAAAGAGAGATCATTTTCAAGAGAAGTTTTTTTTAATGTCTTTTTTCTTTAGTTCTGCTATTTCTTTTATTCATCTCAATCTGTAATCTTATCTCTTATCTATCGCTTTGCAAAGTCTATGTTTCCCTTAATTTTCTCAAGTGCAAAGCATTTTCTGCCTAAAAAAATATTCCAGAGTCAAACTTCTTAATCTGGTTTCAGTGTGCTACATTTATATTCTCATTTTGAAATATTCTTCTTGCATAGTTTCTCCATCTTCTCTTCTTTTCTATTTTATTTCAATAACACAGGCTCATGTAGGTTTGATCTCCCTTCTCCCCAGTGATAGTGTGGTTGTATTCTTGGGATCACTACCTATTTTCCAGGGAATTATTAAGTTCCTTCCTTTAAAGTCCATGTTGGACAATTTAGCTAATTCCATATTTCAGTTATTCAGCAGCCTGAGCATGATAGAAAGTTGAGTACCTTGTCAGTCACAACTGGGTAATTAGGTAAAATTCTGTGAGACATTTCTTGATGTTTGAAAAATGGTAATAGAGTCCAGTTTGAGAAGATAGAGGTAATCCTTTCCTGCCCAGAGATGTACACATCCGTTGTGGAGTCACCTTCTTCAGGGACAACTTGTCACACTAGTTTGACAGTGCTTGGGGGAAATATTTCATGGTTCACGGACTTTCTGTCTCAGAAGGTGAATATGTTTTCTCCACCATGGATCGCTGCCCTTGGTGCTATTGATTGGGAGCTGTGAAAATGTCAGAAATTCAGTCTTTCTCTCATGCCTTATCTTCATCTTCAGACTTTGCCCCTTTAGTACATATTTTGATAGCAATACAATGTACCACAATGCTCTTTGCAGATAAGGCAACTAAGTCATGGAGATGTTAAGTAAATCAATCAGCCCCAAGTTTAGAGATGGAATGTGAACACAGGTGACCTAACAGCCTGGCTCTTTACCACTATGCTATCCCTTCTTTCTACCAATATTTACTGAAGGCCGATGATACAAGGCCCTTAGCTGGTAGGGCATCATAATATGATTTCATGGGAGAGCTTGAGATTTTTAGATCTACAGATAATACATAAGACTTGTTTAAGCAAAGTACCCACTGTCTCTTCAATTTATGAGTCTTTCAATTTATATGCTTGCTGATGTCCCTTTCTGCCAATTCTCTCCTGGAAATGCACACAGACACTATAATAGCTAAAAGGCATTCAGCCTGAGAGAGCAGAAGGAGAATAGAGGTACAAACCATCTGCAAATGCAATAATCAACCTCTGGATAATTGAAAACTGATTAAATCATATTATGATTATTTTTTCTAGGAGATTTGTCCAAGGCTTTCTAATAATAATCCAAAACACGGTAGTTGTTTTGTAACTTTTGTGATAGGCCTACTCTTTCAGGTGTCTGCTAAAGAGATGATTAAGAGGAATTCATTAATTAATCAAACATTCTGTTCAGTTCTTCCTTTTTTTTTTTTTTCATTCTAACTGCAGTTGATATTTTTCGGGGTACAGGAAGTATCATGATTCAATTGGCTGAGGGAAACAAAGAGCATTTTTCGATAACAACTCAGTCAGAGGTCAGTTGCCAGGATTTTATTGTTCATCCCCACACAGTAAGATGATTTCTTTTCTCTTGTCTTTAGCTTGACACCAATATGAGGAAGCCTAAGTTTCCTCTGCTATGTTTGGTGATTGATTTTTGTAGCTGGGGAAGCATCCTTTCACTGCATGAAGACCTGGGTCTACCAAGGCTTCTGCAGGGAACTGCTGGAGCACAAAGTATTCATCTCAAAGTTTGTTTTAGAGAGACTTGGGAAATTTTAAAAGCTTACCGAGGCAGTACAGCAAATGCAGCCTAATATTAATACCATATACTACCAGGAATAGCAAGTCCAGAGCAAGTAACCCTACTTCCCACATCCAGGCTGGCAAAGCTCATTGGTCAGGTTCTCTAAACTATGCTCTGCCCATATCCACCTTTAAATTCTTTCCAATATCCCAGAAGCTAATATACTCCATAAGGCTAAGAACAAATAATCCAAGTTAATATAAAAGCAAGTAAATAAACGAGCACCTATCTGACAGCCTTGCATGGAGCGACAAACCATCTAGGTAGTCCTTACAGTTCTGAAGTTTTCCTCTCACATTCAGCAGAGCTCTCAACCATCCTTCTAGAGTTTGCCATATTGTTTAGCTCTTTCCCTTAACAAACAAATGAGAAAACTTAAATAATAGTTGTAATTATGTAGGTTATTCTACTTCTCAGTAGAAGTGTGATGCAGGGTATTTTGGTCTGTCTTGAACTAGGCTCAGCTCCCTGGTTTTTGTAGAATCACGGACTCATTTCCTTCGTGCCATTTGGATTTTTTTTAGCCTCTGGGTTCTTCTCCTCAACTCTACTCTAAGAGCCAGTAGTATTTATTGAAAGAGTGCTATGTTTCTAGGCATTTTACATCATTACCTTTAATCCTCCCAAGAACCCTAGCAGGCATCTATACTAATTCTGTTTCACAAAGAAAGAAATTGAGGTTGAACTAGTAAGTCGTGGAACCTCTGTCTGAGCCTGAGACTTGACTCAGGACTCTCTCATTCAAAGTAACCATAGAAATTTCAGTTTATATAAAATGGAGAATCTTTATGCCAATACAAGTTTTCAGGGTTTGAGGAAGATATCAATGAAACCACCATGAACTGGTTCACTTTATTATTTCTCACAAAAGGTAGTTGTTGCAAGCTTTTTTGCTTAGATTTTGCTTTGTACACAGTCTGTTTCTATGTAGCATGGCTTGAAAGGAAGAGAAATTATTCAAAATCCAATAACTTCTGTGTTGATAAATATGGATATCAAATCCAGATGATACAGATTCTTGTTTTTGGAAAGGAGAAATAAAGAGGCAAGGTTTATGTAAAGAGGATTAAAGAAACTTCTCCAAAATCCAACAGCACAAAGCGATTTTTATTAGCTTTACAAACAAGAATAGAAATTTGAACAGTTCATAAACTCTAAGTCAGTCTGACCCTTTCCCAGGAAACACGAATTCTCTTTCCAGTGGGTAACAATCAGTGTTGGCTTAGTCAGCACCTGTCCCTCTTCTTCCCCATTTCATTTGTTTCTGCTAAGAAACTGGCAATTATTTGCATTTAAGGTCTTCCCTATTGATTATATTTGAAACTGTGAACTGGATTTGCTGTCTGAGGCAGGAGGTGAATAGAGATAAAAGGAAATTAACCCTAGCAGCAGGTGAATAAGATACCAGCAGTTTTGGAAAGGTGAAAGAACTACAATGCAATAGCCTTACCCCTCCAAAATCAAGGGCAGAAAGCTTTTTAAGAAGGGATCATCACTAGAGTCAGATGCTATGTAGAGTTCAAGAATGACAAAAACTGATCAAGGGGCCATTAGTTTGAATGATTAAGGGGGCAATAATTTCTTTTCATAATGTTATTTTAGTTTTCAGTGGTAGGGACAAAAGCTTTAAAAAGGGAGAAGTAAAAGGGCCACATCCATGTGAGCTATTGTTATATTTATTCTATTATTTAATTGTTCTGATATTCTTTCCTAGTAATCCAACCTAAATGCTGATCAAAAATTGACTTACGTATGTATGTAGTTATTAACACTGAAATGATTTAAAATAAATTTTAAAAATGCCAAAAGCTGATTTTTCTCTCCTGGAAGCTGAAACGACTGCACTATTAGGACCATCTTGAGCAGAGAATTTATTATACAAGGTACAATCTCACTGGGTATGCTGCCCAAGTAACCTTGTTTAGAAGGATATATACGTTTTTGGTTTAGTTTAAAAGAGGTGACTAGGAGAAGAGAAAACAGCAAATTACAAATAAGATGCAATGCCTACCTTGGGTCTTTTAATTTTTTCCCTGCTCCGAAGTCTATAAAACTCAATAAGCCACAATGAGCATAATATAATAAGGTGTTCATAGTTTCCCTTTATAGACTTTCAGGCAGACCAGCCCTAGAAGTTCTGTAGCTATACGCTGTTGCTCTAACACAAGGGAGGCTGCATTTCTGTAGATGCTACCACTGATCACACCACCTGAAAATGCTGAGTGAATTGCTTTAAAGAACATGGCTGTCAGACCTCCATAGCGTCAAGTGTGTATTCATTTAGTTAGAGCTAGGAACCAACAACAGCGAAATGACAATGACTAAAATCAAGAGTCTCTGATGACCAGGGAAATTGTTACAAATGTCCAGGGTGTATTGATTCTAAATCAGGAGACCCCAGTTCAAGGCCCCATGGTGTCGTTTGTGTGATTATGAATAAGTTATTTAACCTCTTGATGTGTTTCCTCCTTGTATAAAAGAATAATGACATAATGACATCTGGACCACAAACTGTCCTGCAGAGTCATAGAAAGAGGGCCAATGTAAATCCTCAAGCAACTACACGTGAAAGTTATTAGTGTTGTTAGCATTTCTGTTTTGATTCCCCCAATGCTTGATTTTATATTTGGCATTAGAAATATTTTCTGGACAGATCTGCCAAGGTAGAAAATGTTAGCAATTGAGAACTATTTTGAAATGATCCTTTTATTTTGTACCTAAAAATCAAAACCCCCAAATCCAACAAATAAGCAGCATTACCAACCTACAAGCAAACTGAACTACTGAGAGAAGTAATTTTCTCAACATTGTCCAAGTAGTGAGTGGAAATCCCTAGAAAAAAACACATTCTTAGACTTCCAGATTTTTATGTCTTCATGCAGCATGATAAACACAAGTACTCAATAATTAGTTTTTAATGAGAAAATAAAAATAAGAGGCATCTTTTTCTAATGAGTCAGTTGCATCTTTCTGTGAAATAAACCCAGCTTCTAACATTTTCTTCAGGGTAGTTGTGCCTCTCCACCTCTCTCTATCCAGTTGTAGCAGGAAAAGCTGTATTATACCCTTACTCTGCCTCTTGGAATGAGGCCATGGCGGAATGGTCCAGTAATGGGCACCTGCCCCTAGGAAATGCTCTGGGAATTTTCTGTCTGGATTCTGGGGGTATAAGTTGTGAAACTTGGCAGCTGTCAGTGGCCTTGTTTCCTGTATAAATTTCTGGAGTGCTAGAGAGGTGGTTTGGAGGGAGGAGAAGAAAGGAGAAAAGAGAAGAAGAAGGATGGGGGGAGAAGAGAGAAGAGGAGAAAGCTCTTCTATAGAGTGGAAAAGACACCAGTATGAAGCCCAAGTCTTTTCAATCTTAGTTTCAGGCCAGACTATTTATTTCAGCAGGCTAGTGTTTCTCTCTGGATCCTTTGACAGACACACTGGTGAGCATATGGACTTTGGGGTCAGCGGAACTGAGCTTGAATCCTAGAGTCACATTTACTGGCTGTGTGACCTTAGGAAAATTATTTAAATTCTAGAGTCTCAGTTCCTTAATCTGTATAAGAGGATAAAAAGTCCCCATCTTGTAAAGTTTTTCTAAAGCTTAAATAAGATATTGTGTGCAAAATGCTTAATTTAAGCCTTGCACAAATTAGACACCTAGTAAAATGCAGCCATTAGAATCATAGATTTTTGGAATTAGGGAATGCTAGGGCAGAAAGGATTATTGGAAACCATCTGGCTCATTGATTCTCATAAGACCCTTCAGAGTCTTAAGCGCTCTCTAAAGACAGACAACATAGGAATAAAACAGGACCTCTGCACCTCAACTCTTACTTCACACGGAAAGCCTCTATTTTTGTGTCATATTTTGGAATTTCTAGTTTAAAAAGTAATATGAGGGAAGACTTTTGCAAAAGGAAAGTTTGAAAAAAATATATTCTAGTGCAACTTACTGACTTTATAAATGAGGAAACTGAGACACAGGAAGTCAAGTGATTTTCTTCTTTGCCCATCTTGTCAGGGAACTATGGGGGTATACACACTCTTCATTAATATCAGCAAGCCCAATGCCGGTATATTCAGCCATTGGCTCTCCTACCATGGTAGCTTCCCCAGATTCAAGGCTACAGTCAAGAGTGGCTCCAGTCTGCTTTCCCATTCTAGGCACCAGGTTCTGATTGAAATTACAGAGGGAGGCTGTGATCAGATTAATTATCTAAAACTATTTCCGAAGACAGTGAACAGACAATTAAAAAATGAGATGTCTAAACCCATGCTGTGGAATAAAAACTCTATACTATTCTCTCAAGTTATTCAGGCAAAATTAAAAACAAGGAACTCTGAAGAACATAAAGTAGACTTTGAGATGGACTTCCAACTCTTACTGGAAATTGGTAAAGTCTTTAGTCATGTATCATTAAGGGAATTGTCTCTGTTATGGTCCAGTCTAGATATCTCTTCATCATTCATGTTCTGCTGATACAGTTCATATCCCGCCCCAGACTGGGATGACATTTTCACTTTCTTCAATCAAGCTTTATTCATGATTACTGTGAAATTTTTAGTCTCTGCATCTGCAATTGCTCAAAGATGATACTGTAAGTCAACTGATTTCTAAGAAAGCTTCAATTCTGAAAAATGCCTGTTGCCAGTTAGCAACTCATAATGATTAAAATGACATTAATGGACAATGTTTATTGAGCACTGCAGTGCTTCAGCCGGGTCACAGATTGACAGGAAGAGACCCCCCTCACCCAGCACACACACACACGTACTGCAAGGTTAGATTAGGGTCCTGATCTAATTAGCCAAGGATGCAAACCTAATCAGAAGGGAGGTAGCTACACAGGAGAAGACCAGATGCTGCGAATCTCAGCATAGCTTCCTGGGCTGCCCCCAAAATCTAACAGGAGCCCACAGCTTCCAGAGGCTCTGTCCATTCAAGGTGCACAAAAGGGTCTTTCTTGACATGGCACTGCCCTTTGATATTCAGGGTGTCCATCATTTTCTAGATGGAATTGTCTAACAACCTATTTGCCTCTTGAACCCAGTTCAGGGTCTGCAACATCTCATCTTCAGCAGGGGAGTAAGCAGTGTCAGGGCCTGGATGTCCCAGAATCAAATCTCTGCTTTCAGATTTTCAGGGTCCTGGGAAAGACTCAATTTTCCATTCACCAAGTGCCCTGGCTCTCACGCATCATCTCATTGAATCCCTGGGAAGAGCTATTAATGGTTCACAATAATTATCCCAAACCCTCAGGGTCATATGAATTTTTCAATTCAGAGCTTTCAGATTTCAGTCAAGCTGTGTAGTGCATGTACCATATATTTAATTTGTACCACCTCCAGGGGGGTCTGAGGCAGCACCCCATAAATAATCACTTTATAAGAGGAATAAATAAAGGCTATGAATTGACTTATCTTAGTTCAGTCAGGATCTGCTACCAGATGCTTTTGTGTCAAACGTATGCCAAACGTGCCAAATGCTTTTGTGCCAAAAGTCTTTTGGCTCTAAGAACATTTTGGACATTGCAATGCAGATTACATTTGTTTACCTACATTATTATCTTCATCTTGCAATGGAGGAAGCGGAGGCTTAGAGACAGACCTTAAGAACCTTGCCCAAGGCAACAGCCAGTAAGTGGTGGGATTAATATTCAGAGTTAGGCCTGTCTAAATTCCAAGCTCACATCTTTAATCACTCACCATAACCTAGCTGTGGCTCCCTTTCAATTTGAGAGAGGTTTAAATGTTCTGTCTCCCTCTAAGAGGAACTTGACTAGGGGGAGGATAGTGAGACACCTTGGGTACAAAAGGAAGGGGACATCCAAATCTCGGTAATCAAGACAAATCAATTTTAACATAATATACTTACAATTAAAATTAATGCAAAAAATCCTCAGTTTAAAAAATATAAAAAATTTAAATCAAGATGGGATCAGCGTTACTGTCTTTTAATTTTGCCTCAAATGCCCATATGGCTAAGAGCTGTGTGAGTACTGCTGTATCTAGTCTCTGCTTTCCCTGAAATAAGAAAAGGTATGATACCGCATTCCTTTTGGCAAGAAGGGTGGCTCCAGAGTGGGTCCCAAGGGAAGTGGTTCTTCAGTGTACAGAATTTGTGAACACTACCATGCTTCCTGATTACCAGGGTTAAACATCCCTTCTGGCTACAGAAACCCAACATTATTGTTGAACTGTTTCATTCCAGCCTCAATTATACCAAGAGAAGAAAGGTTATGTTTTTGTAGACACTTCAACAGAGTTAAGGGATTGGAATGGAAAGGTTTAAGTTGCTCTACTATCAAGTTCACAATTGTATCCGTGAGGCCTAGTGAGAAACAGAATCCATACCAATGAAGAGAGTTTAATGAAGGAATTACTTATGGGCTGAGGAAACAGAAAGGATATTAGGATACTCAGAAAGGAGCAATAGTACATTGCTGATACTACCCACTAGCCCAAAGGGGAGCAGGGGAAAATGGTGGTCCTAGAATCTGAGAACTGATTGGTGCAAAGGAGCTGTGAAGCAGAAGCTCTGGTTGTGGAGCAGCACTGCCCCACAGCAGGGACGGAGAGGGGAATAATTCCCCAGCCTATTGCTCCCCTGCTTTATCCAATCTCATGCCAGAGCCTCCCATGGGCTGGACCCATAGGAAATAGCCAGAAGTGGGCCTGGCCGGTGCCGTGAACACGGGTCAATGTGGAGCACAGAGAAAGGCATCAGAGGGTGGAGAAAGGATCTGGGGCAGGGAGAAACTGAAGGGAAACCACAAAAGTTTTGTTCATTGATTTTCACAAGCTCAGACACCATCAAGTACACAGCCTATTTCATGACACAGTGAAAACAGAAGGAATACAAGGACAGTCACTTTAGCTAATGATTTCACTACCACTTAAAATGAAATTATTGCATGCAAAAATCACTATTGAGTATTATTATGTTGGTGCAAGATTGATTGCCATTAAATGGCAAAACTGCAATCAATTTTGCACCAACCCAAAATTCCCATTGTGCAGAAAAGAGTGTGATTTTATTCTCCTTTTTAATAAAAGAAACATTTATATAGAAAAGAAGATGGTTCATGTTAATATGAGTCCCTGGCAATATGACGCAGATTTCCTTTTTATTCCATTCAAAACAATAAGAGAAAGACTAGGAGATAAGGCATTGAAGATTTTAAACCCTAAATAATCCGTCTGAATCAGCATTCAAAGACAACAAAAGGACTCAATGGGGATTTAAGTAAAGTGGCTATTTTTGTACATCATTTTAAGAGCATGGTTAAAAAGTGATGACCATTGATTTGGTATGACTCATGGCCACTGACGTGGATATATTCTCTAAATATATGAGACGTCTATCCTGGGGTAATTACAGATTTCTTTTCCATACGAATGACTACATTGGGATATTATTTAGGCTTCTGATAAGTAAGGAGGATAAGGAGAATGCGAGCAAGATGCTCTACCTGCCCCTGAGGACCACCAAGGGAAAAGATGCTACTTAGGCCACAGAGCTCTTAATGCTAGTGTCTTTTCACATCTTTATGATTTCATGCCAAAATTTAAGACCAAATTACTTGATTCTGTCTTCTAGCACCAAATTCCTTTAGCTGCTGCTTGGCTCAGTTCTCCATGGGTCATCTGGATCTTAAGAATGTCTAAAATATTAACTTTTCACGTTCCCCTTTGGTATAGTTGGGTAAAGTACTTGAAGCCAATATAAGTCACTGTTAGAAAATACTATTAGAATTTTTCTCCTACAAATTATATCAGATAAAGAATATACGCATTTTTAGAAGTATTTTCCAGGCTACCTGTCTTATTGGTTGAATCTAGTATATGCTGATAGCACTCTTTCCTCCTTAGTGTGGATGCTTAACCACACTTTCAATATTCAGTTTGTTTTTCTGTCTCGGCTTTTCCCTTCCCACTTGAACAAAATTAAATATCTACTTTTTAACTTTTGTCTTTCAGAGACCCACAAAAGAAGAGATACTGAGGTAAATTTTCAGAATAAATTAGATTTGGGAAAATGCTTATTAATTAAGTTATATATAGTCAATGTTTATTGTATATTCTTTATATAACATTGTGTTATATACTGGGAATTTAAAGATAAGTAAGGCTTCCTTATTTTCAGAAATATCAAATCTAATAAGGAAAGCAAACAGGTAAAGATGATTTCATTTAATATGCTAAAGATAATAACAGAAGTATAAATAATTTTTTCTGCATACAGGCATTCTAAGCCCACTCATAAATTACTGGCAAAATGAATTCAAATACTTATTCTTTCATTCTTAGAATATTGCCCAAAGCCTTTATTTGTAAAGCTACATGTTTTTTGACTTGCTTTATCAGTTGTATAGAGTAGGATAGCAGGGAATCTTTATATCATAAACATTCATGCTGACAACAAAACGGTGTGTCACTTTTGTTGCATAGAGGTAAACGTGATTGCAGTGTGCACTTGAAAGATGAAACTTTATAAATACAACTGCTTTGGAATTTAACTTAGAGGTCACGTAGATAAATGCATGTGTTGGAAAGTCTGAGAGTCCTGGATTTGATTTTTGGTTCTGCCATTTAATAGTTGTGTGAAAGGTTACGTGAAACCATTTGAAAATAAAAATATTAATTTTTAAAGCAGGGATGAAATACCCATCTAAGACCATGGTGGTGATAATTTAATCATATAACATGCATTTGGAAAACATAATTCCCACCATAATCATCCAATAAATGGTAGTTATTATTATTACTTAATGACTCCAAAAATTGCCTGTGTTACATAATCCTTGCTTATACAATTTTCTGTTAAGGAATCACAAGGATCATCATTGCTCAACAAATTAGCTTATAAAATTATAATTTCAATGTATATAAGTATACAATTATAGAATAATTTTTTAATGATAAAACTGACTCTCACTCACTTTCAAGATAGTAATACTGAGATTTAGAGGGCTTTAGTAACTTGCCCAAGTCACTGAGGTGTTTAGAGAATACACAGCTATTAACCCCAAGCAATGCCTTGCACTTCAGAGTTTACTTGTCCCCCCTGCTCACTTCATCCCCACTCTCCCAGTAGTTTCCTTCTGCATTACAAATATTCCTTTTCTCATGAACATCTCTGATTCATGCTCCTTTAACAGGGAAGCTAAACTGTTCTATCATTGATGAGGTGTGGATGAGTTCCTGTTATTAATACAAACAGAGGCACCCTCTGGGTATTATGCATTTATCAGATCATGCATCAAAATATGAAACTACAAAAACAACTAATGAAAACAAAATGAATATTGTTAGCTAAATTAATGCTATCATCTTCAAGTGTGTCTTCAAAATGAAATGGTCCAAAGGCAAAAACAGAACAAGCTGAGAACACTTAGTTCCACAGTGTAGAGGGTTTGAAACACAGACTTAATTTCCAACGTGTTAAATCACTCAAGTGTCAGTGGTGATAAGTATCAGCATATGAAGACCCATCCCCAAATTCAGTATTCTCCTTCCCAGCAAATCTAATAGAATTATAACATAACGCAAGAGCCACATCAACAAAACGAATCTACAGTTTGAAGCGTGACTCAGAGATCCCCTCTCTGCTTCCTGCTGTAGGCGTTTTGAAGCCATTGCCACTGTTCCTTTCTATTGCCAAAATACTTGTTTTAGTGGCCTCTACAAATAATTCCAATGGAGCAGGGATACCAAATCAAGGAATCATGTTACTATGCATGTTTATTTGTTGAAATTATGTAATGCTCTTGAGGTTAGTGAAATTAGCATCTGTACCTGTTAGACTCATTTTCACTCCTTTTCAAGTCAGTGCCATTCTTTCAGTGTTTTAGCCCTTTGTGATAAATGCTTATAAAAGAAATGCTTTAGAGGCTGTATGTTCTGGGAGCATGGTGGTTGGTCAAGCTTCTTTGGTCACCTGAAGAGTTGCCTTAACTTGAGGACAGCAGTGATTTGAATAGTGTTGGTTCAAGGTAGTTTTGTCATTTAAAATAATAGGTGGGAAAGGGGCTGCTTATGATTCCTTTATGTTTTCTGCATGTCTCAATGAGGATGAGATTTTGCTTGAGGAACTCTAGGTAAGAACAGGTAGGATGATTCCACTTTGAGGAAAGGTACTTTGTTACTAACGTTGGTAAGACAGCTTCTGCTATAAATGCTCTTCACAATCCACATGTAGAGAATTCTGGACAACAGTATCAGTCCAGATGCCAGAAAATGCACAGTGAGCATGACATGCTCATCGGCTGAGGCATTCTGACTTCAGCTAAGGACGCAATGATATTTTACTTGAGATTCAGGAATGCAGAGGATAGATTCTGTGGGAGAAAGAAAAGCTTTGTTTAAGTAACTGATCTAAAGACATTACAATGTTAGCTGCTTTCACTCCTTCAAATCCCAAATATTGCTTAATATTTGATTTGCTTTGCATTGAGAATTTGGAAGTAAATAAGATATAGTCTCTGGCATCCAGAGGGTCACAGTCAAATAGGAAAGGTATGGATGGATATTACCCAAAAATATGAGAGATTCTTTAAGTTTGGAAAACTTAAAGGAAAAGGCAGATTGATTCTCTAGTGCTGGCTGCAATGGGCGATTCCTCAGAGAAGGCAGGAGAATGATTGTCACCTGAGCTAATCCTTGAACACATAGAAATTCTCTGGACAAGATGCAAAAGTATTAGAAACAGAGAAAATAATATATGCAAGGAATGGTACGGATGGAAGCTGTGATAAAAATGGCCATTTTGAGGGCTTTTTGAAAAGTGTCAGATTATCCATTTAGCTTCCTTGCATTCATTTTATTTTACCTGGAAGAAAATAAATTAGTAGCACATGAAAAATAAGAAAAACAGGCCGAGGCGGGCGGATCACGAGGTCAGGAGATTGAGACCATGCTGGATAACACGGTGAAACTCCGTCTGTACTAAAAATACAAAAAAAAATAGCCGGGCGTGGTGGCAGGCGCCTGTAGTCACAGCTACGCGGGAGGCTGAGGCAGGAGAATGGCGTAAACCCGAGAGGCGGAGTTTGCAGTGAGCCGAGATCGCGCCACTGCCCTCCAGCCTGGGCGACAGAGCGAGACTGCGTCTCAAAAAAAAAAAAAAAGAGAGAAATAAGAAAGACAAACAAAGCATATGTTCTTGTTAGTCTTGAGGACCTAAATATATATCATAAAATCTTTACATACAGACCATTCTCAAACTGTGGCTATTTTTATGAAACTGTTAAGATATTGCAGGTACCCCATTGACCATTACCATTCAGTGATGATTGGAGGTTAAAATTTATAAAGAGACTTTTATATTCTGATAAAATGATAGATGTTTATGCTATTCCACAACTGCACCACCTTTTCAAATACCATTCCATTACTATTGCTTCTTAGATGACTTGATGCTGGATCACATTGGATATGATATTTCATGCTGAAACTCCCTAATATGCTCCTCAATCTGACATTTGAATTGCCTTAGGGGAAGTTTCTAGTCAAAAGCTTGCATAACTTCATGTCACAGAAATTAAAGGAGTAGCTATTTACACAAATAATATTTTTAACATGCAGGAAAGAATTCTCTTTTGAGTCAATAGAGTATGGGAAATAATAAATTCTTGGAAATCTGTTAAGGTATAGATGCCCAGGCTTAGAAATTTTTACCAATAAGCTACTTATAAATTCAAAGACATAAAGTATAGGTGCTGCACAAATAAGGGACATATTGAGAATGTTTCCTATCCAGAAATTCTTGGCATGAAGCCTAGAAATGAAGTCACTAAACTACTCACATATGTTGGCATCGAATGTCCTGGCATTGCGGAGAAACCTTAAACTACTAACAGCACTGGGAATGTTGAGTTGTTAGTGAAAGCATTCGTATATAGCATGAGTGTAATGAAAGCCAATATTAAGTATGGTATATCATTAATTGATAAAGATGCCTTTTGTGATATTTTTCAAACTATTTGCCGATAATATTAAAAGAACTATGTGTTCTCTAGCAATGTAACACTTAATGAACATTTTTAAATTTTCTTACTATGTGTTAGTTATGGCATTAGCATTCTGCAATGCAAAAGATGAAAGCAACCAGTCTTTGTCCTGGTAGGAGGCAAAGTGTGAATGGTTGCTGTGGCTGGAAGCTGTGTTGCTTTCTTCACAACCAAGCTTACCCCGTCAAAACAAATGAGCCAGGCAAATCCTTTTCTTGAGGGGAAAACCTCACAGAATCTAAACACTTTAACTGTGATTCTGATCTATTTATTTCTCCTCTCCTTCCTTATACTCTGTCATGTCTGGAACCCAGCAATGATTAGAGTCACAGGACAGAGAAGAACTGTTGGGGGCAGAGTTTGTAGATAGATAATGTAGAACCTTCTAGACCATGGCAGGATTTTTGAATATTACTTTGAATGACATGGAAAATCATTAAAGAGATTGAGGCAAAGAGAATCGTATATCTGAAAGGATTATTCTGAGTTCTGTAGAGTAAGAAAATATCATAAGGTATAAGGAGCAAAGCAAGGGATCTAAATGGGAGGTTATAGGAATAATCCAGGCAAGGGATAACAGAGACACAGACTAGCCTGCCAGCAATAAATGTGAAAAGTTTTCAGATTCTGGATATATTTTGAAGACAAAGCCGGTAGGATTTGCTGAAAAATTGAATTCAGGATGTAAGAGAAATGATTCAAAGATAAAACCACAGATTTGGGTTTTATAATTTGGAAGAATGGAGTTGCTACTAACTGAGATGGAGATGACTTCAGGGAGAGCAGGTTTGATGATGGATATTGGCCATTTTATTGGCCATGTTAATTTGAGATGTCTGATATACATGTATAAATGTGACATGAACAATTGCATATAGGTCTGTGTTTCAAGAAAGAGGTCTGGCTGGGCAAATAACTGCCAGCTGACAATATGTAGTTGGTAGTTAAAGCCACAGGACTGAAAGAGATCACCAAAGAATTAAAAATTACAGCATTCCAGTATTCAGAAACTGTGGATATAAGATCCCAACAGATAAAATTCATAGGCAGAATTGGAGTCTATGTGCATAACTATGTCAACTAGTGTCAAGTCAAAGAAATAAAAGACAAGGTCAGCACAGTGGCTCATTCCTGTAATGCCAGCACTTTGAGAGGCTGAGTGAGGAGAATTCCTTGAGCCCAGGAGTTTGAGACCAGCCTGGGCAACATAGTGCAACCTCATCTCTACCAAAACTTAAGAAATTAGCCAGGCATGGTGGTATGGTGTACACCTCTAATCCTAGCTACTTGAGGGGCTGAGGTGGGAGGATTAAAAAAAATAGTATGACAGCATATCTTATGTCAGGAGACTTGGAATAAATCTTAAAAAGCAACTGTTTTTCTTGAGAATTGACCATATAGGAACTTTTGGATTTTGATAGTTGTATTAGTTTATTCTGCACACTGCTATAAAGAAATACCTGAGACTGGGTAATGTATAAAGAAAAGAGTTTTAATTGGTTCATGGTTCTATGGGCTGTGCAGGAAGCATAGCACCTTCTGCTCTGGGGAGGCCTCAGGAAACAAACACTCATAGTGGAAGGCAAAGGGGAAGCAGGCACATCTTACATGGTGAGAGAGAGAGAGACAGAGAGAGAGTGAGAGAGAGTGCTACACACTTTTAAATGACCAGATTTCAGAAGAACTTACTGTTGTGAGGACAATATGGTAGGGGAAATCTGCCCCCACGATCCAATCTCCTTCCACCAGGTCCCACCTCCAACATTGAGGATTGCAATTCGACATGAGATTTGGACAGAGACACAGATCCAAACCATATCATCCAACCTCTGGCCCCTCCCAAATCTCATGTCTTTCTCATATTTCAAAATACAATCTTACCTTCTCAGTTTCCCGAAATCTTAGCTCATTTCATCATTAACTCCAAAGTCAAAACTCTCTTCTGAGACAAGGCAAGTCCCTTCTGCCTATGAGCCTGTAAAATCAAAAACAAGTTAGTTACTTCCAAGATACAATGAGGGTACAGGCATTTGGTAAATACCCCCATTCCAAAAGGGAGAAATCAGCCAAAATAAAGGGGTTACAGGCCTTATGCAATCTGAAACCCCAGGAGGGCAGTCATTAAATTTTAAAGCTCCAAAATAGTCTCCTTTGATTCCATGTCTCACATCCAGGGCACACTGGTGAAAGGGGTGGGCTCCCAGAGCCTTGGGCAGCTCTGTCTCTGTGGCTTTGCAGGGTTCAGCCCTGAAGCTGCTCTTAAGTGCTATTCAGTGCCTGTGGCTTTTTCAGGCACAGTGAAAGCTGTCAGTGAATCTACCATTCTGAGGTCTGGAGGATGGTGACCCTTTGTACTCAGCTCCACTAGGCAGTGCCCCAGTGGGGATTCTGTGTGGGACCTCCAACCCCACATTTCTCCTCTGCATTACCCCGGTAGAGGCTCTTTCTAAAGCCTCTGCTCCTGCAGCAGGCTGGACATCCAAGCTTTTCCATACATCTTCTGAAATCTAGGCAGAAGCTCCCAAGTCTCAATTTTTGGATTCTATGCACCCACAGGCTTAACACCACATGGAAGCTGCCAAGGCTTATGGCTTGCACCCTTTGAAGCAGCAGCCTGAGTATGTGGGCCCTTTGGAGCCATGGTTGTAGCTGGAGCAGCCAGGATGCAGGCAGCAGTGTTCCAAGGGTATGCAGGACAGTGGAGGCCTGGGTCTGGCCCACAAAACCATTCTGTCCTCCTAGGCCTCCCAGCCTGTGATGGGAAGGGCTTCTGCAAAGGACTCTGAAATGCCTTTGAGACCTTTTCCCCATTTCCTTGAATATTAACACTTGGCTCCTTTTTTCTTATGCAACTTTCTGCAGCCTGATTAAATTCCACCCTGAAAATGGACTTTTTTTTTTTCCTACCACATGGCCAGGCTGCAAATTTTCCGAACACATTTATGCTCTGCTTCCCTTTTAAATATGTTTCAGTTTTAGGTTTTTTGTTTTGTTTTGTTTTGTTTTTTTTTTTTTGCTCACACATATGAATGTATGCTGTTAGATGCAGCCAGGCTATACTTGAATGCTTTGCTTCTTAGAAATTTTTTCAACAAGATACCCCAAATCATCACTCTTAAGTTCAAAGTTCCACAGATCCCCAGAGCAGGGGCACAATGCAGCCAGGTGCTTTGCTAAAGCATAACAAGAGTACCTTTACTCCAGTTCCCAATAAGTTCCCCATTTCCATCTGAGACCTCCTCAGCCTGGGCTTCATTTTCCATATCACTGTTACTATTTTGGTCACCACCATTCAACAACTCTCTAGGAAGTTCCAGACTTTCCCTCAGCTTCCTCTCTTCTTCTGAGCCCTCCAAATTCTTCCAACATCATTCAGTTACCCAATTCCAAAGCTGCTTTCACATTTTCAAGTATCTTTATAGCAATGTCCCACTCCTTGGTACTGATTTTCTGTATTAGTCTGTATTCATACTGCTATAAAGAGATACCTGAGACTTGGCAATGTATAAACAAAAGAGGTTTAATTGGCTCACAGTTCTGCAGGCTGTACAGGAAGTAGAGTGGGTTTTGCTTCTGAAGAGGCCTCAGAAAACTTATAATCATTGTAGAAAGTGAAGGGAAGCTCAGGAAACATAATCATGGCAGAAGGTGAAGGGGAACAGGCATGTCTTACCTGGCTGGAGCAGGAGCAAGGGAGAGAGAAAGGGGAGGTGCTATACACTTTTAAATGACCAGATCCCTGGAGAACTCACTCACTATTGTGAGGATAGTACCAAGGGGAAAAATCCATCCCCATGATACAATCAACTCCCACTAGGCCCCATCTCCAATGTTGGGGATTACAATTTGACACGAGTTTTGGGTGGGGACTCAGGTCCAATCCATACCAATAGTCTTATTCTGAGAGTACCTGAAAATCTCCTGAGACCCATTATCAATCTCAGGACTGCAAAAAATCAAAGTTCTGTATTCACTCATGAAAATCAGCCATCAAATACTGTTTTATAAGAAGTAGTCATTTAATTTGACCAAGCTTAAAGAGTTCTCAGGGAGGAATCTTAAGCAGAATGTCACCATTGCATCTCTTCATCTGAAGAAAAAGATTGGTTTAAGAATGTAGTACAGACACTACAGCTGCCATAAAATGGAATGGTCCAAATTTACCAGGTTTCTTTCCACCCTCAGTGGTAGGAAGCAGTCCATTTAGTTGGTTTTCTTGTAGAGCCATGTCTCCAAATATGCCACAACTACCTGTATCTAGATTGAGCTTAGCTTTGGTGAAAGAAACAAGACCTAATTCTGATGAACCTGTTCTTCTATGCATTCTAACCACAAAACAGCTGGGACTCAATGTTGAAATATAGTAGTTTAAAACTTCCATTGACTTAGAGGGAATGTTGGTCCACATAGTTTATAGAAATACTAATGATAAAAATCACTCCCCAAATTAAAGCCAACCTGGATTATTTCAAAATTTATTCCTTTCCTGTTTCACTGGTACCCAACTCCAAAGCAGTGATAAATATTTGAGATAATCTGAGGTCTTAACTTATGCCTGACTTGTTTGCCACATAATAAATTTTAGGTATTAAATATATTGCTATTGTTTTGGGGGCATTGTCAGTTTTTACACTTTCTAAATAGTCACAGATGCTTATGGATGTGGATACCATGTGAAGAGTTCATCTCATTTCTCATAGTTTCAAGGAAGACTGGATTTAATCTTTTCCAGGGACATACCCAGAGAAATTCCCATAACCTTAGTGACTAACCTGATTTCTCTTGAAAATAAAATCTCTGATGATAGGAAAAGCTCCCCCATTGTTGATCTCTCATAAAAGCTCCAGTTGCATCCACCTCACCCTCACTGTACTTCTGATGAGGTGGTTGAGATGGTGCAATAAAGATCAAAGCCATTAGACCACATTTCTAAGAGAGCCATTTGTTTTTGGCACTTGGATTTGCTTATTTTTACTTACAGGAAATTTTATATCACTAAATTTATGTGGTCATGTTATTTTTAAGAATATATATAAAAAGAATTACATAACTTTAAAAATATACTCTGCTTTTGTACCACCTAAAGTCATCTTGCATAATGGAAAATAGACCTAGAAAGTGTCAGTTCAGCCATGACCTCAGTGCATTGATCTCCTTTGCAGGTTAGCTGTGGATTATCAGATTAGTTCAGTGCATTGATTTCCTTTGTAGGTTAGCCCCACTAGGGATGTATCTCAAACATCAATGTCTTAGCTGTAAAGTGAGGATGTTAGGTCAGATTAAATTCTAAAGTCATGTTCATCAATAAAATTGTCAGGTTTCTGCGTAGTTCAGTCTTGACTCAACACAGAGTTCAGCAGGCCTGGCAGGCATTTGCACCTGTCTGAATACCATTACATACCTTCTCTTTAGCCTTCCCTCTTCTAGACTGGATGTCCCAGTTCATACTTCCCTTTGTGTCTTTCATGTACAGTAATTCAGCATTTCCAGTGACATCCTTCTGGCTGTGCTTCAAAGGGAAGATGACGCTAGAGCTGGCAGCATGACCAGCACTGTGTAAATCACCCAGACAGACAACAACACAACATCCATGAATAGATGGCAGAGTTAGCAAGAAAAAATAGCTTGGAGGATGGAAAAACCCCAAAGGTGTGAAATCTCTGGCTTTTTTTCCATTTTATTTAGCTTTGCTTATCATTATTTTTCTTTTCTTTCCTACCCATTTGCCTTTATGTTCTAAGATGTAGTAGGAATCTTTAGTAGTGATGGATCATAATTTTTGAGTCCACAAGCAGACATTATCTGATTTAATAAAAAAATTGGAAAGGTGGACCTTACCCATTTAGAACAACTTCTTATTAGCAAATCAAAACTCTGAGCAAGAGTCTTAGAGCAGGGCCTATAAAATGAGAAGGGCCATGTATTAGAGAGTTAGCTCAGACCTCCAGAGTCAGCCTCACCTACACTTCTGACTTAGGCCAGGCTACAGGTAAGCAGGATAAACAGGAACATCTAGTTCTTTGTTTTGTATCATAAACTACTTGGATAGGAAGTTGTCTTGTTAGAACATGCCCCATGTTTCCATCATCTTGTCTTAATATTGATTACACCCAACAAAAAAGACAATAGCACTCACAAGTTTTCAGCATAATAGAGAAAATGTGGTGTCACCATTGTAATGGATCCGATGCATAGCTGGCCAAGTGTTAACCCTGCCTGGGGAATATATTTTCCCATGGACCAGGCATACTGCATGCTTTTCCCCATTTCTAATCAAGGGGATGTCTGTGATCATTAGATCTAAGTAGATAAACATATTGTCCTCAGATGCAGGGTTTCATGTCCTTCCTGGACTCATTTCTGCCCTTGTGTAAATTCACACAAAATGGTCTCCTTGGTTAATGCAACTTGCTGTATGTAAGGTTTTTCAGTGACTGCACATCATTGGGATTTTTCAACATTTAGGTAATTACAGATTCTTCTATAAAGGGGATGTGTTCACTTAATTTTTTTTTGTATTCAACTTTAAGAGGTACATGTGCAATTTTATTACATGCATAGATTTTATAGTGGTTAAAGTCAGAGTATGTAGGGTATCCATCATCTGAGTAAAACACATTGTACCCATTAACAACTTATCTTCATCCTCCCACCAACCCCTTACCCTTCTGAGTCTCCAGTGTCTATCACTCCACTCTCTACATCCACGTGAACAAATTTTTTTAGCTCCTACTTATGAGTGAGGACACGCAATGTTTGTCTTGCTGTGCCTGGCTTGTTTCATTTAAGATAATGACCTCCAGTTCCATCCATGTTGCTGCAAACAACATGATTTCATCCAGTTATGGCTGAATACTATTCCATTGTGTATATACACCACATTCTGTTTATCTATTCATCCACTGATGAACACTTAGGTTGATTCTGTATCTTTGCTATTGTGAATAGCACTGCAATACACATGCAATTGCAGGTGTCTTTTTGATATATTGATTTCTTTTCCCTTGGTTAGATACCGAGTAGTGGAATTGCTAGATCAAATGGTAGTTCTATTTTTATTTGAGAAATCTCCATACCTTTTTCCATAGAGGCTGTACTAATTTACATTATCACCAATGGTGTAAAAGAGTTCAGAAGTATTTTCTTTAAATCCTGCCCATCTAGCTACTGTGTAGGCCTAATTGACGTTTTCTCTTGATCCAAAATATATCCATCTTTATATTGCTTTGCTATTAACTTAAGAAGGAGGAAAATAATCTCACACTTATTTCTAGATAATTTATTCATTCATTTTTTAACAATGAATGCATATTTTGTAAAGACCTCTTCTATAATCCAGGCGCTGTTCTATGTGTTGGGGATGCAGTGGTGAGCAGAAATAACCATTCCTTACTTGTGAGGCTTAACATTTTAGTTGGGGACTCATGCTATGAACTTACTGTTCTGAATATTGCAATTATGTTAGTCTTCAGTGATTTGTAAACACAATAATCTGTGAGAATATTAATGGACACTGATTATTCAGAAGATAATTGGTTATCATGCCGAATGCCATTATTTATAATAATTATTGTTATTTATAAACTCCTAGTGTATGTGTGCATGTATCTGAGCATGTTTAAAAAGAACTGAACTGTGTGGCATGTGTCGTCAAGTACATTCACAGGAGTATGAATTTAGGTGAGGATTTTGTACAGTTATTAATTGCTAATGAATTCATCTCAGAAGTACAAATGATGCAATGCATATGTTTATATATATATGAGAACCATTAAGAGTTACATGAGTAACTTAATTAGTTGAGAAAAACAGTGGCTTGTAAATAATGAGTGAAGTGAAAATTAGCCAGCAAGAGTGCTAATATAGAAATTTTGTCTGTTTAGCTTCAACTTTACTGTTAGAAACCAAGAACTCAGTTTGCACAGTTTTCCCTCATAACTTCATTGGAATAACGGTTGGAGTCACTTGTGTCTTTTGCCATCCCAAGGGGAAGTCATTTTGCAGATGATAAAGTTATATTTAGACACTATGTAAATTTCTTCAAATTTTAGAGAAAAGGAAATTACCACCAGCCCAATTTAAAATAAAATGCCTTGACTTTGTATTTCTTGGGGAATGTCAAGTGGACTCTGAAACTGTAAATATCCACTGGCTGAACTTGGTAATTTAGCAAAACCACCCAGATAGATTCGTGTTAAAAACACCTTTCTTAAACTAAAAAACTGACTAGAATCACATTTATTCATGAATGTTATCACTAACTACTAATTCCTGCATTAACTTGTCTTGTGTGCACTGTGAAAAGTTCAACCTTAAAGGAAAAAAGGAAATTTCTGACTTTTATATGCATATGAGACAGTTGTTTAAAGGAGAAACATGTAAGCATCGGTGAGATTTTTTTAATAAAATGGCTAAGTTTGAGAATGTTTTCTTATGTCTCAATTGAAAATATAAAGCTCGCTTTGACTAAGCAAAGGCAAAGTCATGCAATCCTACGGGCTATAACCATTTAAATGTGGACTAGAAAAGAATATTTGTCTGAAATGAGTTATATAACAGAATATGTGATTGCAATTTTGATCCTTCTAAAATCTGTGCTTTTGGAGAAATGTGATTGTCAGAGTGAGTACAGTAACTCTCTACCTGTGATCCCAAGTTTCAAGGAAAATAGGTTGATAAGATTCAGTGACATTACAGGGGAAAGATCTGGTAGCTGTGATAATTATCCTGGCCATGCCCTTTGAAGATTAAGATGGGAATGGCAGCAACCATCAAATGAAAGGCTGGCAAAATTAAAATTGATGACCACATTACACTGAAGCTCATATATTATACTCAGTGAAAGGAACCATGCCATACAAATAAGAGAGCCGCAATTTCTTCTCATTCCTAATTATATCTCTTTTTTCCATCTGTTTCTATTCCAGCACCTTAACTCATTCTAGTAGAGAAAGAGATAAGTTTCTTTAGGATTTAGGAGCCAATTTTAGTGCTTTTTAATGTAAAAAATGTAATACAAATATGAAATAAATTCTACCATTTTTGACTGAAGGGTCACAAGGCCACTGGAAATATGAGGTTGTGAAGGTTAGTGCCATATATGGAGAAAATATGGTTCTTGATCCAAGACACTGATGTGAGATTTCAGACTTTGATATGCCAAACACTGTCCCTAGGCACTGACAGGTTTGGGACCCACAAGAAATTAACCCTTTATTCAAGGTTGGAAACATGAAGTCAAATGGTTTCACCTCAGGAAGGAACCGTATTTTTTTCCAAGTCCAAAGCCAGTAAATAGATGGATAGACAAGGTGCTTTCAAGTTGTAATCAACAGGATTACACAGTGGAGAGTACTTACTGGGGAAGCGAGGGCCACTTTAGTTTGAGGTCAATGAAAAGTAAGCCTGTGATGAACTAGTAGCAGGGAAAATGAGAAACTCAATACATTGTCTTTGGTTGATGCTGTGACAGAATGTGTTGCTACAGAGATCTGCCTGTGGAAGATCAGGGTGCTGTGTGTGCTGTTTACTATGATTTTCCACAGGGAAGTACTCCGTTCTTAACCTCCATTCAACAAACATTTGCCCCACAAACACACATACTTATTTTATACATTTTGATGATTGTTTTCTATTTCCATTCCTCATTTCTCTTTTCCTTCTGGGATTTTTAAACTATCAAACCTGGCCTCTTTAGCTTCCCTTTCCAATAAAGCCTATATTAGTTGTATGTATTATTGGAGAATAACCTCATCGTTTTTGCTTGGAATACTTCTTCTTGCAACCTGATATACCAGGACTCTCCCGATTGGTTTAGTTAGGACATGGCCACCTTCCCTCTAGACTGCCACAACTCTTTGCCAACTCCTCTGTTATGGCACTTAACGCAATTGGTTGAAATTCTCTGTTTACGTTCCTGTTTCTCTAACTAGACTATAAGCCCTTTGAGAGTAGGGAACTTCTCACCAACGCCTGGTTCAGTAGCATGTAGTGGGTTCTAAATAAATATTAACTGTGTACTGGCTAAAATTTTTATATTCACTGAATAAAAGAATGAATGAATATAAGAAAGGTTGATTGTATAACAGCACTAGGGCTATGCTGATTAACCTAATTAGCTGAACTCCCTTAGGGCTAGGATATTCATAAGGAATTGATAGCACATTTTTCAACCACGTAATCTGCTTAGAAAAGCTGAGGAATAAAAGCAACAAATCAATACTTGAGAAGAGTCCGAAGGCTAATATTTTCTGATGCTTAAATGCATGAAAACCTAAGTCAGAAGAAAAATTAGAAAATTACAGAATGGAAGTGACCTTAGAAAACATTTAGACAAACTTCCAGAAAGAATATAAATTAACTATCCTAAGGCCTCACGTGTGGTTATTGGCAGAGGGCCAAAATTCAAGTCTCTAAACTCCCAGTCCTGGGCAGTTTTCTCTATTCTTACTGCTGTGACAACTCCATTTCAAATGCTTATGCATCCAGCATGAAATGCAGATAATGTGTTTCTCTTGTTTTTTGCTCTCACTGAATAATTTTCAGCAGCTCCTCTGATTGCTTTTTTTTTTTTTTTTTTTTTTTTTTGCTGTGCCCTGCTGTGTTCACCCTTACAGAGGACATCTGGTCATGTAGCAAAGAGAATTATTCAGTACGTTTTTCCAATATCCCCTCAGTCAATCAGTCAACAAGTTATTTATTGAGCACTTGCTGATGTGAGCAACACAGGGCTAATATGATAGAGTTGGCTGCTTTTAAACTCAATGCATCAATTAAATAACACTGCATGATTTTGACTTGGCATACCTCAAAGGACAATATTTTCCAAGGCCACTGTGAACTCTGTAATGGGAAGCTCACCCACTAATTTCACATGGAATCATGCATTTTGGCCTCATCCCCAGTGTAAGCTTAAAGGCCGTCAGATACAAAACATTCAAGACCAAATTCTGTCCTCAGGTGTTCAAAGACCTTGCTCATCTGGTCTTTACATATTATGACTGAGAATGAACACCCAGAAAGCAAATAGAGTTGGCTGCTTTTAAACTCAATGCATCAATTAAATAACACTTTGCATGATTTTGACTTGGCATACCTCAAAGGACAATATTTTTCAAGACCACTGTGAACTCTGTAATGGGAAGCTTACCCACTAATTTCACATGGAATCATGCATTTTGGCCTCATCCCCAGTGTAAGCTTAAAGACTGTCAGATACAAAGCATTCAAGACCAAATTCTGTCCTCAGGTGTTCAAAGACCTTGTTCATCTGGTCTTTACATATTATGACTGAGAATGAACACCCAGAAAGCAGTAGAATAAGAAGGACATTTCTTTTTTCAACATGAAGTTTTGAATGTTTTCATAAATTTTGGATTAGAGACCAGGATACAGTGGGAGTAAGAATGACCACTGGGAGTTTGTGACAATGCTTGCTGACACTTTGTCATCCGAATACTCTACCCTCTGTGACTCAGGCTTCAATGGACATATAAAGAGATTAATTAAACCTTTTGGAAAGAGGGGTTTCTGGTAACTCAACTCATTAATTCACACTGCTCAGTGCACTGGGCCTGAGGAGGTGGTTGGCTTGGGAGGAGTGGTGATGTAGGGCCGTGACCACATCACAAGCCACAGGTGACTCTGGAATCTGAATAATTCTTGGGGCCACCCTGGCATTTGGCACAAGATGGGAAAGCCAAATTTTCACATGGGTGTTCTCTTCTAGTTCAGTGGACAACATTTGAGAATGAACTCAACCCAGGATAGTGTTGCCAGATAAAATATAAGACACTCAGTGAAATTTGAATTTCAGGTAAACCACAAATAATTTCTTAGTCTAAGTATGTCTAAAATATTGCATTGGACTATGTATTTTTAAAAATTATGTTAAAATTTAGGTTTACTTGTAATTCAGATTTACCTGGGTATCTTGCATTTTTTATTTGCTAAATCTGGCAATCTTAAATCAGAACTTTCTCTCTGTCAGTTACATTATAAGCAAGAAGCAGCTTAGGGTGTTACTGTGAGACTTTCTGTGGATTCCATCTTGCATAGCTCTGTAAATTAGTCCTAACTCATCTGGCAGTACAAGTTTAGCAAGGGCAACTCTTGGTCAACACTTGGATGGGACACTACCTGGAAAAAGCTTTAGGGGCATTACTGCACACTGGTTAATAATGTGAGTTTGGAGTCAAGTGACATGAGTTTGAAACCTGACTTTGCACTGCTAGTTATGTAACTTAGGGCCAATTACTTAACCTTCCTGTACCTCAGCTGCTTCATCTGTGAAATGGGGATAATGGTATCTAATCTAAAGTTGTAAGGATTAATGGAGAAGTACACATAAGGTGCTTGGCAATATCACAAAAACTATGTAAATATTATTTTTGCTTGTGAGATCCAGATAAACTTCTGGATATATTTTTACTTATTGTAAAAGTTAATTAGACTGCTTATATTAACATTAAACTCAAGTCACCAATTTTAAATTAATTCATTGCATAAAAGGGTTTAACTTAATCATATGTTCCTGAGTATCTGCTTAATCAAACCATGCTATAACTATTTTAATTGCATGACTCTGTACACAGAACCACTGGAGTCTCCATGTTATTCAGGTTTGTCAATTTCTACTGTAATATCACACCAGGGGAATGAGAATGTTCCATGAAAAAGATCCAGGGAAAATTAAAAACTTTTAAAATTATTTTTAACGTAAGTAAAGCAATATCAAAAGTAAATGTCTCCATGAAGTCCAGGTACAGTTTACATTAAATATGTCTGTTCTGAAAAGAGCAGTCTCCTGAATTCATGGAGAAAATGTGTGATGATTCTATCAATATGAGATGAGAAAATAGAAAATATGAGATAATGAGTTCAAGAGCTTTTAATGAGGAAAAGAGACTAAAAATTTGCTGAGCAAGAAAACTCTATCATGCCATTAAATGGCAAAGTATAAATATAATTTAGAATTCCATCTTTGGTCTATGAAAGAAGACTCATTCCACCCAATCTCTTAGTTTTTAATCAGCCAGACATAGTAAATTTTTTCAGCTTCAATTGAAACATAAATGAAAATATAATACCATTTACATATAAATGAAATTATATCCAGTTACAGAGTAATTTCTACTTGAAATTGGAGAAAACAATAATGTATTTCAAAAGGTCTGGAAAAGGGAATTTTGAAAAAGACCTACTCGGAATTGAAAACCCATTGACCAACGCCAGCTGCGTCTATAGGCCTGGTGTCCAATGCCTCCAGGGTTCATGCTGTTTTTCTGGACTTGGCCCCTTGTGAGTCTGTGGGTGCACTATTCCCAGAGAAACTTCAGTTCTTACACACATCTTTTCAGCAATGGCATTTGCAAAGGGCCTCTCAGAGCCATGAAAGGGGCATATTCAAGCCCTGACACCCAGGGAAGGATCCCTAGTGTAATGATTCTTCTGGGATGGGGCTAGGTTTCCTGGTGCTACTGTAAGAGCTTCCAGGGAAATATACAGAGACCCTGGGGTAGTCCTTCAACTCTTGCAGAGGAGCCTTCAAATGCTAGCCTCATTGCTGATGAGCAAAGGGGCAGAGTTGCTAGGATGAGGTGAGGAGATCGAGACCATCCTGGCTAACATGGTGAAACCTCGTCTCTACTAAAAAATACAAAAAATTAGCCGGGCGTGGTGGTGGGTGCCTGTAGTCCCAGCTACTTAGGAGGCTGAGCAGAATGGCTGAATCTGGGAGACGGAGCTTGCAGCGAGTGGAGATCGCGCCACTGCACTCCAGCCTGGGTGACAGAGCGAGACTCTGTCTCAAAAAAAAAAAAAAGAGGGATACAATTGAGATCAATACATATAACGTACGGTACATAGCATCACATAGAAGGACTCATTGAGCATTTGCCTGTTCACATGGCTGGGCAGAATTCTTGCTCTCACTCAGGTCTCAGGGCCTTTGTCCTGTACTCCACAGAGGGATTGTGCAGGCCTTTGTTTTCCATTGGAATTAATTTGAATTCTTTACCTAAGTGGTACCTGATATGCTTCAACCCAGTTCTTGAAAACAAAACAAACGTGTATGTAAAGCTTCTTTGGAACTTTGAGTAAGAAATTTGGCCTATTTTTAAGTGCCAAGAGGGAAAAAGATGAATACTTAATGGATTCCATGGCTTTTTGTGAGTTGTGTTGTTTGGAATAAATTGAAAAAAGTTTTAAGCAAGCTGTTATGGCTTATAACTGGATAAATGTAGCAATCTAATATCCTGTTTTATCCAGGTTCATAGGAAGTGAAGATGGTTTCCTATCTGCTGATACTCTCTGGAAAACTCAAACCACTTTATTATTAATTTTTCCAAGGCAGCTATACATATACTTGCTTGTGATCCTGTACTTAAGCCTAGTCTTTGGTAAGCAGGTATGCAAAGATGACTAAAGTAAGTGGCAAATACAGCAGGTGAGAAAGCTAGAACAAGAGCAGTGTGGACTAGCAGAGAATCCAGGAAGAACTAAAGCTTACATGGATGTCCATAGTGAAAAGCCACAGGAGATGGCCACCTGAACCCAATGCATCTCTTATAATTAATTTCAAATAAGAATGTTAGAAAACACATTTCTGTTCTCTGGAACAATGCTATATTGGACGAAGCTAGCCAACAAATCTGTTAATAATTATAAAATACCTGAAGCACTTTTTATTTGCAATAAAACATATACAAATGCTTTGTATTATTTTAACCAATAAAAAGGAAAGAATTTAAATAGATTTTTATGTACCCTGATATTTAAACCTACTCACACTGCTAATTTGGACCTCAAATTTTGACTTGAAACTCAGTCTTCATTTTTTCTTTTTTGACCTCTATGTAACTTCCTCTTTGGTCTACATCTCTCCTGGTTTATGAGGCAGAGTTTCAGACAGATGACCTGAGCTGGCAGATCTGCTTAATGTGGTCCTGTAAGGTGAGGACTTTATGTTAAGGGACTGTGGAGTAAAAGATAATTAGGAGGAATTGCTTAGCAACTGGGAATAGAGGTGAGTGAAACCTCATCTGACAGATGAGGGAACTCAGAGCAATTTCAATCAAAATGCTAAAGGGAAATTTTTGGTTTGTTTGGTCTTAAAGTGATCCTGGATTTAAAAAAAAAAGAAAAAATAGTGAAAACAGCCAATATTTTTTTTAAATCAGGATTTCCATTGTCATATATTAAAACATATAATAAAATTTTAATGAAGACTGTGACATTGACCTAAGAAAAGACAGAACAATGGAACAGAATAGAAAGCCTAGAGCCTGATGTTTATGAAATGTTACTATATGATAAATATGAGTTGCTAAACAATGACAAAATGACACATCATTAATACATGGTACGGCAAGAATTAATTACCATTCAGAGAATAATTAATTCTAAAACCTCATGTCCTTTATCAAAATACAATACAAATGAAAAATTGACTCAAAAAGAGTAAAAATATAAACAAATGAAAAAATAGCTGGATATTTTTGGGATAAAGTATATATCCACCCCTTCCAAAAATCATAGATGATTTCTCCCTGAAGTTTCATAAAACAATAGCTGCCGTACATAAAATAAAAAGATCTCTTTAACACATAGATTTTGTAAATTAATGAGAAAATGAATATAATTTTCCATAAAGGCAGAAACCAATAAGCTATCTGTCTCTCAGGCCTCCCCCCACCTCCACATGTTCTTTTTCCTCAATCTAGCCCACTGTCTGGCACATTATAAACACTCAATATAAATGTGTTGAATGAACAAATGAATTATTGAAAAAGATAAATATCCCACTAGAAAAAAGATAGTTTGAAGAGCAGTTACAAAAGAAATATAATAATTTATAAACATAAGAATCTCTAACCTCACTAGTAACCAAAGAAGTGCAAATTAAAATGCAATAAGATAGCATTGCCTGCCCTTCAAATTAGTAAATGTTCATACAGTTTAATGCTCAGTGTTTGAAGAGAATGATAAAAGAGATGGCAAAATTATAAATTATTATCAGCTTTTTAGAGGTTTAATTATATATATCAAAAACTGTAAAGTATCTTTATCTTTTGATTAAGAAATATATTTTAATGTAATTATTAGAGCTATTCAAGAAGGTTTGGGAGTAAAGTTATGCATTGCTTTATTTTTTGAAGATTGGACTTGATCTGTATGTCCATACTGTAGGGTTATTTAAAATAATTGCAATGCATGAATAATGAAATAATAAGCAGCTATTAAAATTGAGTTTTAGAGATTATTTAGTGTTATGAGGAAATGATTAGGGCAGATAATGCAAAAATAGCAAGTTAAAAATAAATTTTAATTCTCGAATGTTGTTTTCATTGTGTTGACTATATCATAAAATTATAATAATGAGTGGATTCAGTTCCGTGAATTCCCTGAGATCCAAGGGAGGCAATATGTACAACCTTGCCCTATCCGTTTTTAAAAATTATGTTTCATAGGGAAAGATTGTTTAGGCATATGTATACACAGAAGAGTGGTTTCCTGTATGAAGTGGGGCCAATGCGGATTTTATCTATTTAATATTCTGATGTATTTTTTAAAAAATCATCTTATAAGTTGAATTACCTTTATATTCAGAAAAAAGCATATTTTAAATAAAAAATTGAGTTCCTCTAGGTTGTTTAAATGCTCAGTGAAAGGTTGAAGAATCTTCCAGAAAGAAGAAAGGAGCCTCAGAGACAGAGACCTGTCTCCCCAGAGGAGATGGAGACAGAGTGGAGCCTGACTGCCTGGAGTCGTTCTGCTGGGAGAAAGCCTGGTTGCTGTGGCACATGCGTGGCAGGCTGGAAATGATACCCTGTGGGTATGGTGCTCTGTTCTGCATTAATTCAGGCTCCAGGCTCCCTACATCTCCTGTAAGGACCAGGGGAGCAGGCAGCTGCAGGAGAAGGGGGATGCGGGGGGCCATGGGATTACAAATTCTCACAGCAGCCGAGCCCAGGCAGAGAAACCCTCCCTGTGAAGTGAGTTGAATAGTGTCCTTCCCCCATACCCCCTAAAAACTGACGTCCACTTGGAACCTCAGAATGAGAACTTATTGGGAAATAGGGATTTTTGCAGATGTAATGATTTGAGGATGTCAGGGTTAAAATGATCAGACTGGTGTCTTTATAAGAGGAAAGTGAGGAAGGTTGGGACACAGAGGCACACAGCATAGAAGGCCAGGTGAAGATGGTGGCAGAGGTTGGAGTGATGATGCTGCCTCAAGCTAAGGGACACCGGGAGCCACTTGAAGCCGGAAGAGGCAAGGCAGGATTCCCCGCTAGAGCTTTCAGAGGAGGCGTGGCCCTGCCAACACCTTGATTTCAGACTTTTGGCCTCTAAAATTGTGAGAGAATAACTTTCTGTTTTGTTAAAGTCGTCCAAGTTGTGATAATTTGTTTAGACACACGCAGGAAACTAATACAGCCTGGTGAGATGATAAGGCTGGGTAAAGTCCAGGAAACAAAGGGGCTTTCCAGTGCTTTTTAGTGGCAAAGTTCCTCATCACTATGGTTGTGAAACAGGACAGCTCTATCCAGGAAACTTGCTCTGACTTCCTGTCTGGTGTCGGTAGCAGGTGATTGATATCTTCCTTGTAAGTCATGAGTCTTAAATTGAGTGGTGCCTCCATTTAAGAAAAGGAGGTTAGTGCATATTTCTGAGTGCTTGCTTCTTGAATGAATTTGAGAGATATTCACTAGAGACATTGAAGTAGGTACTAGTCACAGACAGTGACCTCATGGCGTTTTAGCAAAAGGAGAACGAGTTCTGTGAATTTTGGTAAAGTGCTTTTATGTGGCCTGTTGGAAAAGGCAAAGGAGAAATCTCTGTTTTTTTTGTTTTTTGTTTTTTGTTTTTTGTTTTTTTGGCTAAACTGGGCTGTGAAATCCAAGTCTGAGATTCACTGGCCTCTTGTGAAGCTCTCCGACAAGGCATGGAGGTTTCCAGGAGGGAAAAACCCTCCCTCCTCCTATGTTAGAAGATGACTTTCCACGCAATTCTTAGTAATTTAGACAGAAGAGAGGCTGTGGAGGAATTCTTCTTTCTCTGGCACTGTTCTTGCCATCTCTCACAGGTAAATTCCCAAAGAAGACCTGAGGTATATGTTGGATGATAAACAATTCAAGCAAAATGAGATTTCAGAAAATTCTGATGTCCATATTTAAGGTTCATCACCTTTAAAAAATTCTTAGTGATGAACACTGTTTATAGTGTATCAGGGAACAGTGTGAACCTGTAGCTTTGTAGGGTATTCACTGATGCCAAATGAATCCTGTGGCTGGTAGCTTATTTATGGCTGTGCTATCATCTGAAGCAGAACACAGAGAAGCAGCTATTGCTGATTTAGTTATTAGACATAAGAACAAAGGGTTAGGAGCTTCTAGGGCATTATTCATTGACAATAATCCACAGCCTGCTATGAACAATGCTGCATGCTGTGCAAATATAGCAAGAGTGCCTTCATAAATAATGCCAGAAACACTAGTGGTGCCAAGGCAGATAGAATATATCGATGGCAAGTTAATGTGTTAGGCCCCTGGGTTTGCTTAATTATATAGGCTGTTTTACCATAGGCAAATGAAGAAAATTGCCTTAGCTAAACGCAGATTTGGGAATCCATAATCCTGTCTCTCTTCCCTACCCCCAGGTTTAAGATAGATCCTTCTAATAATGATGCAATTTGCTTGGCTCCCCCTGAATTCTATATTCTTACAAGACCCAGTGCTGTTGTTCTCATTTTGGTGATGAGAATGGAATGTGTTTTTTCTTCTTGTAATTATCTTCTACAAGCAACCAAAATGGATTTTGAGCTTGTCCAAAGATGTCAACATCTGCTTATTTTCAGGCTGTTTGTCTGCATAGGAGGTAGTAGTCTAAATCTATTTCTCAATTTATGCAAAATTGCATCACCCACACATTCAGGCCATATTCCTGAGATGGGAAAATGGGAGATAAGTTTACTTATAGGGAATTTCTCTCTAGAATGTGATCATGTAGCACGTATTTAAAAGATAAGAGAGAGAGTTTTCATGGGGTTGCATAAGACAAAGGTGAATTGTTCTCAGAATCATACCAAATGACAAGGTGGTAGGCAGAATAATGGCCCCCTACAGATGTTCACATCCTAATCCCTGGAGCCTGTGAATATGTTACGTTACATCACAAATGACATTTTGCGGCTGTTATTAAATTCAGTATCTTGAGATGGAGAGGTTATCCTGGATTATCTGGATGAGCCCAGTATAATTATGATGGTCTTTATAAATAGAAGAGGGAGGCAGGCCAGTTAGTGTTAGACTGATGCACCATGAGACTCAACTGGCCATGGCCGAGTTTGAAGGTAGGCACGAGGCTACAACACAAGGAATGTAGGCAGCATATAGAAGCTAAGAAAGGCAATGTATCTTGGCTGACACTTTGATTTTAGCTGAGTGAGACTCATGTCAGACTTCTGACCATCAGAACTGTCAGATAATAAATGTGTGTTGTTTTAAGCCATCACATTTGTATTTTTTTACAGCAGGATTGGAACTAATACAGAAAATAATAAGTAACTCATACCATCACCTCTGTCTTAGTCTGTTTAGTGTTGCCATAAAGAAATACCTGAGGCTAGATAATCTATAAGGAAAAGAGGTTTATTTGGTTCATGGCTCTGCAGGCTGTATGAGAAGCTTGGAATTTTACAAGAGGCATCTGCTTCTAGAGAGGGCCTCAGGCTGCTTTCATATATGGCAGAAGATGAAGGGGGGCCAGTGTATGCACAGATCACATGACGAGAGACGAAGCACCTCCACTTCTGAATGGGAGGTACCAGACTCTTTAACAATCAGCTCTTTCAGGAACTAATAAAGTAAGAACTCACCCCCAAGGGGAAGGCATCAATCTATTCATGAGGGACCTGCTCCCATGACCCAATTACCTCCCCTTGACTCCCACTTCCAACACTGAGGATCAATTTCAGCATGAGGTTTGGGAGACAAAAATCTAAACTATAGCAACCACTATGAAGAAGATGATCTGGTTGAGTTATTCAGTTACATTAAGGGATTTTTTAACTAAGTGATTACTACATACCAAGCATTGTGCTTTTGCATTGGTGATATATCAGCAAATGACATATGAACATTCCTTTATTCTCAAAATAGTATTGAGTTTCTACCATTTGCAAGGTACTGTTCCAGGAGAAACGTGGGTAAGATAAGATAAGAAAGATGAGATTCCTGCCCTTACTTAGCTTATGCTCTTGTATAGGAGAAAACAAATAATAAGCAAGTGAATAAATAAGGTAATTACAAGTTGTGTTTAGTGCTATAGAGAAAATTACATAAGGCTAGGTGATAGAGGTTAAATGAAGGAAATCTCCCTTAGGTCAGTGGCATAGGGAAAGCCTCTATGAGAAGAAGAAGTGAAGGGCAAGAAGGAGGCAGCCCTAATAAGCTCAGATGTGGAATGTCCCAGGCTTAAGGGAAAGAAAGGAAAGGCAAAAGCCTAGAGATGAGCATGAGCTTAGGGAACAAGAAGAACTGAAGGTCAGTGTGAAAGGGGAGTAGTGTGCATCGTGGAGAGACTGGTAAAAGATCACTCGGGGCCATGTTAAGGAATCTGGCCTACAAAGAATAAAAATGGTTCTAAGAGAAATGGGTAGGCAATGAAGGCATTTAAGCAGAGTGGCATGATGCAATGGATGTTACACTGTATTGGATGGCCTTGAAATAATTTAAAGTGCTTTTATGGTATTATTTGAATTTTGAACCTAAAGTGAATTTAGTTATCATTAGCTACATTATTTTTTTCTTAATGGAAACTGGTGCCCACACTGGTTGATTCACTTGTGTAGGACACAGATCTCTTTGTGTGTGTCTCTAGTTGCTACTGTTTTTATTGTGCTGCCTGCCCAACATGTGTGCTCGGTTTCACTAGTTTTTCTTTAGTATTGATTATTCTCTCTTTTTTCCCCCCTTTTTAAATAAAATCAGTTGGGAACCAAGATCTGCTTTATAGGGACTAAAGAAGTTCACAACTACTGGAACTGGACTCGAATTAGAAAGAAAGAGTCCATGAGAAATAGAATCTCTACTGTCCTCTTTGTGAACTTATACTCATGAATGACTTACTGTAGTTCATTCATATTGTTTTATGAAATAAGTTATTTCTAGTAACAACCTGCATAACCTTTTGATTTTTTTTTCTTTTTATTTGACAAAGAGAGAAAAGGATAGCACTGAAAATTGGAGGGTTGGCTGTTGCTAGGCACTAAGCTGACATTCGGGAAGTGGAAATGAAACCCAAGAAGATTTAAAAAATAAACAAGCATTTTAATCTTTAACTGCAACTCCAGTGATTCAAATTAAGTTATCTGATTACTAGTATTTCCCAAACAGACTTTTAACAAGAGAAATGGGATGCTATTTTTGAACTATCAGTACTCTGTCTGTTGTATTTATCAGTACAGTTATTTTTGTTCCTAATATATTTGTCAGAGTCACTGAAATTTATAATTTTTAGGTTTAGTGGTTAGAGGAGTAGACAGTTGTTTGCAAGACAAAGTCAAATTTATGTCATTTAAATTTCAATAGAGTTGGCTTGAATATTTTCCTAAAGAGACCTTTGAAATATAGGTAAAATTGAATAAACAGTTGACTCATTCCACTATCATTGGTGTTTTTGTCCACCTCCATAAAGAGCTTCATACCTTTGACCTCTGAAATAATTGATTCAGACCCTGAGAGATGTCACCAATTGCGTTTCCTTTCCTCCAAAACATTCTCTTTTCATTCATGGCTGTTCTGAAAGAAAGGCGTGGCCTCTCTCCTAAGCTCTGTGGAGACTTAGTAATCTCTGTGATAGATGATGCCAGCTTTGTGTACTGATGTGTTTATAGTCGTAATGCCAATAATAAATGAGGTAGGCCTAACTCTACCAAGAGGAGCAAAAACTGGACACTGTGTAACTTCACAGAATTAGCAACACGGACCCGTTACACATGGCAGCACTGTGCAGTGGTTGGAAGTGCAGCCTTCAAAGCCAACTGTTTGGATTTGGAATCTTGCTCTTCCATTTACAAGCTCTGCAACCTTAGGTAAGTCACTTATCTTCTCTGTGCCTATGTCTTCATCTTTAAGAGGGAAAGTAACAATAGCTACCTTATTGTTATTAAGATGATTAAATGAGATGGTATCTGTAAAGCTCTTAGAAAAATGAAATGATAAATACTAAATAAATGATTTGATAAATCAAATAACATACAGAGACATACATGTGAGTAATCTCTCAACAGATCGTAGTATTTTCTTCCACTTTTCTCTCCTATTTTCTTAAACTACACCTAGAAAAAGGAGCGAATTAAATGCTTCCAAAAGGCAGTCTTTATGAACAAATAAATACACACATCATTCCTATTTATAGAAAACCAGTCCTTGCTTTGCACGGTTCCCGAATGCATGAATTTAAGTTGCCACAGTTTGTTAAGATGGTCCTCCAACAACTTGGCTCCAATGACAGTTACCATGGTATATTAACTGGATAATTACATAAAGTACAAACTTCCTGTTAGCACTTCTGTCCTCACCCATTGTACAAATGACAGATGTGCATCATGATCACTGACCAATCGTGTCACTTCTTTCAAAACTTGTCAGCGATTGATTACTGAGAATCTGTTTTCAGATCACATACAGACAGCAAAGTGTGTAGTTGTGTTGCTTTTTACACAAATGGATAATCAACAGAGTAAATTGACCAACAAAAGCGAAAGTGTAACAAAGAAACAAAATTTGAATGTGAACCGAATGAACATAAATGGAGCTAAAAAGAAATAGTTGTTACTGGCCCCCATTTGAGACATTTTTGATCTGCCGCCAGAGGGCCTTAATGAAGGTGGATTTATCTCCATAAATGAAGAAAGAGGTCATGGTAAAAAGAATAAAGCTGTTCTAGATGACATGACATTTTTACATTAAAAGAACTCTCAGAGGTATTTCATGACATTGAGAGCACAAAGGATGACACGTTTGAAGCTGATCAAAACTTAGAAAGCAGAGTAATTCCCCAAAGCAGAAACAATGCTCCCTCTGTATCTTAAGTTACACATTGATGAGAGAGAGAAGGCAAACACTGTTCAAATTACTTTTGATGAAAATATGAAGAAATAATTTCAACTCACTGTGGCTTTAATATATTAATATAAAAATATTTCCAAATCAATATATGTCAATAATATCAAATGATCTATCAAAGTAATATCAAAATGTAATATCAATATATTTCTGTTGTACCAAATAAATATTAGTTTTACTATTTGTTGCATTTTCTATACATTTATAAACTATGGTAAGAGTTTTTTAATGTTTGAGAAAAAAATTTAAAGGTCATGGAACAGTTGTAGCTTTTTTTTTTATAGATTATTAAGATCCATTTGTATGGTTTCAGCTTGCAGGATCATTATAATGGGCCTGCACAACCATGAAAAGTTAGGACTACTTGTACTATTTTACAGGCAATGCTAAGCCAATGGGAGGAGTGGAAAGATCATCTGAGGAAAATAGCTGTGCTGGTTGGGGTAGTGGCTGGCTGGTTCAAGGCTGTGCTGCCTTGAAAACAATAAAGGTTTCACTTGAACAAATGGTAAATTTTCCTGTCCTTGAAATGTTTTTTATGCCACTTTTAATCACTAAGTGGTGTCAGAAAACATCATTCATTTTGATTGCCCAAAATCAGAGATTCTCCACATAGATCAATTTACCTGCAGTCAGCATTCTCATTTCCTGATCCTATATTTTTCATGGGAAGAAGTAGAAAGTGTCTTTCTTTTTCCTTCAGCAGTTTCAGAGAGCATATTATTAGACATAAATTATATGCTCAATATAGTATATGAATGTGTAAAATCCCATGATAAAGGGCACTGAATGCCAATATTCCTCTGAATGAACACAGAGAATATTGCCATCATTTTATCCAACTTTAGAAGGAACACACAAACAGATTCCTGGGCAAGATGGCCGAATAGGAACAGCTCCAGTCTGAGGTTCCCAATGAGAGCAACGCAGAAGGCAGATGAGTTCTGCATTACCAACTGAGGTACCCAGTTCATCTCACTGGGACTGGTTAGACAGTGGGTGCAGCCCACAGAGGGTGAGCCAAAGCAGGTTGGGGCATTGCCTCACCCAGGAAGTGCAAAGGGTCGGGGAACTCCCTCCCCTAGCCAAGGGAAGCTGTGAGGGACTGTGCTGTGAGGGATGGTGCTATCCAGCTCAGATACTATGCTTTTCCCACAGTCTTCACAACTCACAGACTAGGAGTTTCAAGCACACAACGGGGTGGCCATTTGGGCAGACAGCCAGCTAGCTGCAGGAGTTTTTTTTTTTTCATACCCCAGTGGTACCAGCAACACCAGTGAGATAGAACCATTCACCCCCCTGGAAAGGGGGCTGAAGCCAGGGAGCCAAGTGGTCTTGCTCAGCAGATCCCACCCCCACAGAGACCAGCAAGCTAAGATCTACTGGCTTGAAATTCTCGCTGCCAGCATGGAAGTCTGAAGTCAACCTGGGAAGCTCAAGGTAGGGGCGGGGAGTGGGGGCGGCACCCGCTGTTACTGAGGCTTGAGTAGGTGGTTTTCCTCTCACAGTGTAAAAAAAGCCACCAGGAAGTTCAGACTGGGTGTAGCCCACCACAGGGCCACAAAGCAGCTGTAGCCAGACTGGCTCTCTAGATCCCTCTTTTCTAGGCAGGACATCTAGAAAGGCAGCAGCCCCAGTAGGGGGCTAATAGATGAAACTCCCATCTCCCTGGGACAGAGTACCTGGGGAAAAGGGCAGCGGTGGGCGCAGCTTCAGCAGACTTAAACATTTCTGCCTGCCGGCTCTGAAGAGAGCAGCAGATCTCCCAGCACAGTGCTCAAGCTCTGCTAAGGGACAGACTACCTCCTCAAGTGGATCCCTGACCCCCATGTATCCTGACTGGGAGACACCACCCAGCATGGGTTGACAGACACCTCATACATGAGAGCTCTGGCTGGCATCTGGCGGGTGCCCCTCTGGGATGAAGCTTCCAGGGGAAGGAGCAGGCAGCAGTCTTTGCTGTTCCGCAGCCTCTGCTAGTGATACCCAGGCAAACAGGGTCTGGAGTGGACCCGCAGCAAACTCCAGCAGACCTGCAGAAGAGGGGCCTGTTAGAAGGAAAATTAACAAACAGAAAGTAATAGCATCAACATCAACAAAAAGGACTACCATGCAAAAACTCCATCTGAAGGTCAACAACAACACAGACCAAAGGTAGATAAATCCACAACGATGAGGAAAAACCAGCACAAAAGCTGAAAATTCAAAAACCAAAATGTCTCTTCTCCAAAGGATCACAACTCCTTGCCAGCAAGAGAACAAAATTGGATGGAGAATGAGTCTGACAAATTGACAGATGTAGGCTTCAGAAGGTGGATAATAACAAACTCCTCTGAGCTAAAGTAGCATGTTCTAACCCAATGGAAGCAAGCTAAGAACCTTGATAAAAAGTTAGCAGAATTGCTAACTAGAATAACCAGTTTAGAGAAGAACATAAATAACCTGATGGAGCTGAAAAACACATCACGAGAACTTCGTGAAACATACACAAGTATCAATAGCCGAATTGATCAAGCAGAAGAAAGGATATCAGAAATATCTAAAATCACCCACATAATTGGAAGTAAAACACTCCTCAGCAAGTGCAAAAGAATGGAAATCATAACAAACAGTCTCTCGGGCCACAGTGCAATCAAATTAGAACTCAGGATTAAGAAACTCACTCAAAACTGCACAACTACATGGAAACTGAACAACCTGCTCCTGAATAACTACTGGGTAAATAAAGAAATTAAGGCAGAAATAAATAAGTTCTTGGAAACCATTGAGAAAAAAGACACAACATAGTAGAATGTCTGGGACATGGCTAAAGCAGTGTTTAGAGGGAAATTTATAACACTAAATGCACACATGAGAAAGCGAGAAAGATGTAAAATTGATGCCCTAACATCACAGTTAAAAGAGCTAGAGAAGCAAGAGCAAACAAATTCAAAAGCTAGCAGAAGACAAGAAATAACTAAGATTAGAGCAGGACTGATGGAGATAGAGACGCAAAAACACCTTCAAAAAATCAGTGAATCCAGGAGCTGATTTTTTTAAAAAAGATTAGCAAAATGGACCTCTAGCCAGACTAATAAAGAAGAAAAGAGAGAAGAATCAAATAGACACAATAAAAAAATGATAAAGGGGATATCACCACTGATCCCACAGAAATACAAACTATCAGAGAATATTATAAACACCTCTATGCAAATAAACTAGAAAATCTAGAAGAAATGGGTAAATTCCTGAACATATACACCTTCCCAAGACTAAACCAGGAAGAAGTCAAATCCCTGAGTAGACCAATAACAAGTTCTGAAATTGAGGCAGTAATTAATAGCCTACCAACCAAAAAAAGCCCAGGACCAGAGAGATTCACAGCTGCATTTCTACCAGAGGTACAACAAGGAGCTGGTACCATTCCTTCTGAAACTATTCCAACCAATAGAAAAAGAGGGACTCCTCCCTAACTCATTTTATGAGGCCAGCATCATCCTGATACCAAAATCTGGCAGAGACACAACAAAAAAAGAAAATCTCAGGACAATATCCCTGATGAACATCAATGTGAAAATCCTCAGTAAAATACTGGCAAACCAAATCCAGCAGCACAACAAAAACTTATCTGCCACGATCAAGTCAGCTTCATCCCTGGGATGCAAGGCTGGTTCAACATATGCAAATGAATAAATATAATCCATCACATAAACAGAACCAGTGGCAAAAACCGCATGATTATCTCAATAGATGCAGAAAAGGCCTTTGATAAAATTCAACACCCTTCATGCTAGAAACACTCAATAAACTAGGTTTTGATGGAACTTCTCTCAAAATAATAAGAGCTACTTATGACGAGCCCACAGCCAATATCATACTGAATGAGCAAAAGCTGGAAGCATTCCCTTTGAAAATCAGCACAGGACAAGGATTCCCTCTCTCACCACTCCTATTCAACAGAGTATTGGACATTCTGACCAGGGCAATCAGGCAAGAGAAGAAATAAAGGGTATTCAAATAAGAAGAGAGTAAGTCAAATTATCTCTGTTTGCAGATGACATGATTGCGTATTTAGAAAACCCCATCATCTCAGCCCCAAAACTCTTTAAGCTGATAAGCAATTTCAGCAATGTGTCAGGATACAAAATCAATGTGCAAAAATCACAAGCATTCCTATACACCAATAATGGACAAACAGAGAGCCAAATCATGAGCAAACTCCCATTCACGATTGCTACAAAGAGAATAAAATACCTAGGAATACAACTTATAAGGGATGTGAAGGACCTCTTCAAGGAGAACTACAAACCACTGCTCAAGGAAATGAGAGAGGACACAAACAAATGGAAAAACATTCCACACTCATGGATAGGAAAAACATTTCACGCTCATGTGAAAATGGCCATACTGCCCAAAGTAATTTATAGATTCAATGGTATTCCCATCAAGCTACCAATGACTTTCTTCACAGGATTAGAAAAAGCTACTTTTAATTTCATATGGAACCAAAAAAGAGCCCGTATAGCCAAGACAATCCTAAGCCAAAAGAACAAAGCTGGAGGCATTACGCTACCTGACTTCAAATGATACTACAAGGCTACAGTAACCAAAACAGCATGGTACTGGTACCAAAACAGATATATAGACCAATGGAACAGAACAGAGGCCTCAGAAATAATACACACATCTAAAACCATCTGATCTTTGACAAACCTGACAAAAACAAGCAATGGGGAAAGGATTCCCTATTTAATAAATGGTGTTGGGAAAACTGGCTAGCCATATACAGAAAACTGAAACTGGGCCCCTTCCTACGCCTTATACAAAAATCAACTCAAGATGGATTAAAGACTTAAATGTAAGACCTAAAACCATAAAAACCCTAGAAGAAAACTTAAGCAATACCATTCAGGACATAGGCATGGGCAAAGACTTCATGACGAAAACACCAGTAGCAGTTGCTACAAAGGCCAAAATTGACAAATGGGATCTAATTAAAATAAAGATCTTCTGCACAGCAAAAGAAACTATCATCAGAGTGAAAAGGCAGCCTACAGAATGGGAGAACATTTTTGCAATCTACAAGGAACTTAAACAAATTTATAAGAAAAAAAAATCCCATCAGAAAGTGGGCAAATGATATAAACAGACATTTGTCAAAAGAAGACATTTATGTGGCCAAGAAACATATGAAAAAAAGCTTATCACTGGTCATTAGAGAAATGCAAATGAAAACCACAATGAGATACCACGTCACGCCAGTTAGAGTGGCGATTATCAAGAAGTCAGGAAACAACAGATGCTGGAGAGGATGTGGAGAAATAGGAACGCTTTTACACTGTTGGTGGGAGGGTAAATTAGTTCAATCATTGTAGAAGACAGTGTGGCGATTCCTCAAGGATCTAGAACCAGAAATACCATTTGACCCAGCAATCCCATTACTGGGTATACGCTAAAAGGATTATAAATCATTCTACTGTAAAGACGCATGCACACATATGTTTATTGCAGCACTATTCACAATAGCAAAGACTTGGAACCAACCCAAATGCCCATCAATGTTAGACTGGATAAAGAAAATGTGGCACATATATACCATAGAGTACTATAAAAAAGAATGAAGTTCATGTCCTTTGCAGAGGCATGGATGAAGCTGAAAGCCATCATTCTCAACAAACTAACACAAGAACAGAAAACCAAACACCACATGTTCTCACTCATAAATGGGAGCTGATCAATGAGAATACATGGGCACAGGGAGGGGAACATCACACACCGGGGCCTGTCATGGGGTGGGGGGATTGGGGAGGCATAGCATTAGGAGAAATACCTAATGCAGATGACGGGTTGATGAGTGCAGCAAACCACCAAGGCACGTGTATACCTATGTAGCAAATCTGCATGTTCTACACATGTATCCCAGAACTTAAAGTATAATTTAAAAAAAGGAACACAGAATTTAGGGGTGTCAAAGTAAGTATCAATATTATTTTGATGTTTATATTCTCAATGTTTTTACATTGAAGGTAGACCTAAATAGTTTTGTCATCTGTTTCTCATCCATTTCTAATATTTAAATAAATTCTAATTGAAAACATGTAAACAGAAGTTTCCTCACATTGGAATGATTGGTCATTTGGGAAAAGATGATATTAACTCTGCTGTGATAAAACTGAGCAAAGACTGAGTTTTAATCTTTTGAAAATTATCTGTAAAGTCCTAGATAAAAGTTATCTTAAGAGAATATTATGCAAAGATAAAACTGTCTTTCATAAATGAAACCTCTCACTAGAAGTTTAAGAGTTAGAAAGCCAAGGTCCTGCTTTAATAATTTTTTAAAAATTACTTGATTTATCCACTGTAGCCTTGTTGACATAAGCTCAGTGAATAACTACTTGGGTTTTGGTGACTTATCTAAGTATAAAAGATTAAGAGGAAAGAGCACTCATTCCAGAAATCTCTAATCAAAGAATGACTTCTGCTACATCCCTTGGAATGGAGCCACTGCTTCTGTATCCTCCCTTAAGAGGGAGAGAAAGAGGTAGTACGAGAATCATAAGAAGGTCTTTATGATTATTCTTCAATCTGCATATGGTCAAAACAAAATTTGGAAGAATTAGAACATTTAATAGGGTCTGGGGCTTCACAGCTCTGGTTATTGGCTCTTGTTGCCCAACATTCAGTTTTCCTGATTTCTTTCCCTTGGGAAGATTCTCAAAATTAGTTTCAGCCCTACTTTGGCTTTGTGCTGCTTTTAAGTCAGTTAAACATTACTAGAAAACATATAAAAACACACAGGAAACAGCTGTAATTGCAAATTGTTCATGTTTATAAAATGTTCATTTCTACTCGGAGGAAGAGAAATGCAATGAAGTATATATCATCACTTTAATAGGCAAAGTCAATAGGTTGACATTATGTCCTGTTAATGGTTGCGGGGGAAAACAGTGACCTTCAGTTGTTTGCTCCAGTGTAATTTGGTATATATGTCTGTATAGAGGCATGTAAACTAGTATAAACATCAATTTGGCAATATCCATCAAAAATAAAAATGGGGACTTTCTACCATTAAATAATTCTACTTGATCTTATCTAACAACTTGAACATGTATGAAATAATGTATGTATAAGAACATTCGCTGCGGAATCATTTGTAATAATAAACAACAAAATACCAGGAATTGGTTGTTAAAAATAAAATTTCTAAGATGTCAGTCAAGGGAATTTTAGATACTAAATAACCACAACACAGATCTCCATGTTCAGGGATTACCAGGGAAATGTTATAGAAATGGTTTTATGACTCTTGGACCCATCAGCCCAGATAAAGAATGATAAGGAAGGGTTAGAGATTGGAGAGAGGATCTGTAAGGGTTATGGTTATTGCTGAGAGGGAGAAGCAGAGAGATAATAGCACTTGAGGTTTGCTGTTGCTGGAGAGGATCACTCAGAAATGTGTTCCTTGAAGTTGAGTGTTTCCAAGAACTTGGTGCTGGGCCATGCTCAAGAAATCTCAAGTGCCCGTGACAGTCCATAAGGTATCTGCATTGACATCAGTGGCACTACATTTGTCAGAGCAAGTAAGGCATGGTTATTGGCTATTTGTGCATAGGTTATGAGTAACTTTTGCACAGATAGCCAATGTAACTGTAACCTATGTACAGAGAGACATAGGCTTCCTGTACACAGATATAACTGACTGAATAGTGGATGTAGTAGGCAAGATCACAACCTCCCAAAGATATCCATATCCTGATTCCTGCAACCTGTGAATGTAAGTTACATGGCAAAGGGAATTAAAGTTGCAGGCAGAATTAAAGTGGTAACCAGCCAACTTTGAGGTGGAGAGATTATCCTTGGCCCCATGTAATCACAAGGGTCCTTGTAAGTGAAAGGTGGCAAGAGAGTTAGTGTCAGAACGATGCAGCATGAAAAAGACTCAGTTGGCCATTGTTGGTTTTAAAGATGGAAGGAAACATGAGCCAAGGAATGCAGAGAGCCTCTGGAATCTAGAAAAGTCAAGGTCATAGATTCTCTTCTAGAGCCCCCAGAAGCAACACAGCCCTGCAGCTACCTTGATGTTAGCCTCCTGATACCCATGTCAGACTTCTGACTTCTAGAACTGTAAGATACTCCATTTGTGTTGTTTCAAGCCACTGAGTTTGTGGTACATTGTTAGAGCAGCAAGGAAATTACTACAGGAGTTCTGCATAGCCCCTGGACTAGGAAACATGATAGCAAGGAAGGTGGACAAGGAAGGAGTCAGAAGCTGTTGCCAGTAGCTATACCCAGGACTCAGATCTGCCTCAGTCAAAGGAAATGCAAGAGATAGTTTTCCACCAATGGTTCTCTGGGGAACTCAGGGAAGCATTCATCAAAAGAAAGAGTCTGCTTTAATCCTTCTGTAAGTATCAGATAGTGAGGAAGAGTATCCCTGCCCCAGTGGGAAAGGAGCAGCTAGAAACACCCACCATAACCTCTGCTTCAATGCAGCCAAGCAGCCACCAAAATCATGCCTTGGCATGAGAGCCTAACCTTTGAATGCAGATCCAAGCATTTGAATAATACCTTGGACTGGGCATTCTAATTTCTGTATTGAGACTCAAGTTATCAAAGGCATATAAATCAAGTCATGTGCTCTGTTCAAGTCTTACATGGAAGCAGAAGATGATTATTCTGATGGCATAAGTATCAAAGGATCAAAGACATCCCATGAATTGTGTGTAACATATCGATTACCCGCACAATGTAATACGAGGATAATGGTTATATAATGTTTGCCAGATTACGTATACTGGTGTGAACTACCCCCAAGATTCATCAATAAGTGAAAAAAGCAAGATGCATATATATATTTATACAGAGGGATACTATTTACATGAAACTGTTGCACTTGGATATGAATAGAATATCTCTGGAAAGATACATAAATAATGTGGGAGTGGTTGCCCCTGCCGAGAAGAAAAGGAACTAGGTGACTAGGAGCAGCGGTGAGGGGGGAAATGTAAAATTCACTGAACATTCTTTTATTTATATATTGCCTATGTAACATTCGTTATAATACCAACAAGGAAGATAAAAATATTCTTAAAGAACAAAACTTAGACTGGGAATAAAAGAATAATTCCAGGACTGGAGATAAAGTTACTGGTTGAAAGATGAAGGAAACAGTACAGAGAAGAGGGCCCCTCCCCAGTGGTTATGAGGGTTGCTGTTTACCAAGTGGAAAGTGAGTTAGAGTTTCAAAGGCAAGGTGGGAGGAAGGGAGGGGATGAAGCGCCCAGCAGGAGAGTGGTTTCTCCCTGGCACTACACTCACTGAAACCCTCAAAAAATGAGGTTATACATATAGCCAGTACACATGCAGTGGAGCCTCATTATTTCAGATTCACAAAATTGCATATGCACTGAATTTTGTAACCCCCAAGTCAATACTCTGCTACTTTTATGGTCATTTTTGGGCATATGCAGGGTGATGAAAAATTTGTCACACAATGTGCGCATGTTCCCAGCTTACGTGGAACAAGGTGACTCTCTGCCCTCTGCTTTCTCGTTTCATTTCTCACAGTGTAAATAAGGGTTCTTTCTCTTCACGGTATGTTCACTGGCACCTTTTTGCATGTTTGTATTTTTTGTTCGTGATTTTGCTGTTCAAATGGCCCCCAAGCATAGTGGTGAAGTGCTGTCTAGCATTCCTCAGTGCAACAAAGCTGTGGTGTGTTTCCCAGAAGAAATACATGAGTGTAGGCTTGAGTTATTGTGCTATTGACTGTTAGATCAATGTTAATGAATCAGTAATATATATTAAATAAGGTGTTTTTACAGAAATGCACATAAAACAAGGTTATATATTGATCACTTGATAAAAATGTCACTAGAGGCTCACATGAAACTAATTCTGTATTTCCCCTAGGAGCAATAATTCAGTATTTGCTAATTCAGGGATCGATGTAACTTTCTAGAACTTAACTACTGTAAATAAGACTCAACTGTATCTGTGTGTGTGTGTGTGTGTGTGTGTGTATTCTTGTGAAAGTGTTAAGTTACCACAAATCTGAAATATTATACAATCTTCTAATTGTGTTGTAGAATTCTAGGGTCAAATATACCCAAGAAAAGGAAGACAGGTGCTATTTGGCTATAGGGAAAATGCTTCTTTTATGAGGAACAGGAGTTTCCTGTAGGAAATAACTTATCCTAATGTAACAAAAAGACTAGGTCCAAGAGTATGCTGAAAACAATGGGTCTCTCAGAAGGCATGGGGAGTCTGGGATATGCCTGGGTGTATTACTCAGATTATCAAAACCCTCAACTACAGAAATTTGTGTTAGAACTTGGAAAAGAGGAGAAAGTAACACCCCCCACACAGCTGGTCATGGGTGAAAGGCTTTCCTCTGCTTCAGCAAAGTGACTGTTCTGTATCAAGGAGACACAGCAGGCAAGCAGCAGGTGACATCAGAGTGGGCAGGAGTCAGAGAGACATGGAACCCTGGGTAGTGTGCCCACAACAGTGGAGTGGAGGTTTGGGGTTGGCAGTCTGGGACTGTGACACCATAGATGGGAGCAGCGGAATGGAAAGCAGGATGCTAAAGCTTTGACAATAGTGCTCTTGGCCACGACAAAGGAGCACTATTGCCCACCAGGAAATGAAGGAACTCATTCACCCATACATTCAGAAGCACAAGTATAAGGCCCATCAAGGCTTCCTTAATGAGTTTGGGGAAAGTTGGAGTGGATGGAAGACAGGTTATGGCTCTCTGAAATTCTACTGAAAGTGACTGAGTCAGAAAAATACTTTTTTCTTTTCTTTCTTTCTTTTTTTTTTTTTTTTTTTGAGACAGAGTCTTGCTCTTGTCGCTCAGGCTGGAGTGCAATGGTGTGATCTTGGCTCACTGCAACTTCCACCTCCCAGGTTCAAGCGATTTTCCTGCCTCAGCCTCCTGAATAGCTAGGATTACAGGCATCCACCACCACACCTGGCTGATTTTTGTATTTTTAGTTGAGGCAGGGTTTTGCCATGTTGGCCAGGCTGGTCTCGAACTCCTGATCTCAGGTGATCCACCTGCCTTGGCCTCCCAAAGTGGTGGGATTACAGGCGTAAGCCACCGTCCCTGGCTGGTTTTTTTCTTAACAACTTTGAGCATTCTTCAGCTCTTATTTAGTGTGATCTCAAAAAGTATGGATTAAATTACATGGAAACCAACTCATATTTTAGAATTCTAACTCATTTTTTACTTCTGTCTTTTCTATCAAAAGAAATGATTTTCACATTAGGAAAAGTAGGGTCACTGTGGTTAAGAAAAAAGTCAAATCCCAGCCTAGGTAAGGAGATGATTATAGCATATTTCTTTTATAATGAAGAAGTTGCTAATACAATTGTAGAACCATTATAAATTATCTTAAAAATATGGAAAGTAGAGGAGGTTTATAAGTCATTTTTTCTATGTTTTCTAAGCAGAAAAGGTCATTCTGGGATTATAAATGTGATTTCAATGCTTAATGTGTTTCCAAAAAGGAATATGAGGATTTTTAAATGACAGATAGCTAACATGAATTTATCAAGAACGTGTAATATTATTTAGATACTCTTGAGTCTCTAAATTTCATCATGAGTGAAATGGAGAAATATGACTTTGAGGATAGTAATATGGCAGCAGCCGTCAAAGTATGTGGCCCTTTCCTTTTCAACTTTATCAATAACTTGAATGAAGACAAAGGTGGCCAGTTTGTCCAATTTCTGAATGATAACAGACATAGGCTTCTGAAAGATGAAAATTGTCAACAGGGTGAAATGGTGAATAAAATATTAATGAAATTCAACAGAAATGAGTATAAATAACCATACCTATGTTTAAAACATTAAATGCAAAATACGGATTTTGGAAACTTTAACTTAATGGAAATTAGTATAAGGTTTTAGTTGGCCAGTACAACATAGTGGATGTGAATGATGAAAAGGCTTCCAATATCTTTTGCATAAATGGAAGTTTAGTGCCCAGACCAAAGAATGTAAAAGCCCATTATTCTCTGAACAGAACAGACCATATTGAAATCTTGTATTCAGCTTTATCAGGTTTTATCAAAGACATGGACAGAGTGGGACATAATTATTGATGAATGACCAGAATTGGAGCAATTGATTACACTGAATAATAGAAAACTTAGGTTGTACACAATAGCTGTACTTAAATATTTGAGAGATGGTCATGAGGAAGAAGTGTTAGGTTTGTTCTCTAGATGTTCAGTGACAAAAAAATGCAACATGGTGGTAAATAGACTGCTGGAACCGGAGGGGTGAGAGAGGAGGCTGGAAGGTGGGAAGGACCCAAGGCATGAATGGGTAAGCCATGTTAAGGAGGGTGGACAACAAAAAACCAGAAGGGCTGTGAGTAGCACAGCAGCAGGGACACAATTGAATTTCGGGAGGATCTATTGGGCTGAGCTGGGAAAGCAGAGTCTACCATCCAAGATGTTGTAAAGAGGATGCTCCCAATCGGTGGGGGTCTGGTTGGGGTAACCTTCAAAACTGTGGATTTTAACTACAAATATACAACTTCGGAGAAAATCAAAATACTGCTCACTTGCTTTTTCAGTTCCTCTTATAATTAACAGAAAGTCAAGATTTACATTTTCTTGAGAAAATTTCAAAATTCTAATCTAGAGATAGCTCACACAGAAATAAAATGAATAATAAAAGGGAACACCATTATAAATTATAAACTGGAATTTAATTAGCAGGGAAAGCTAAGCATAAAACAATTCAAAATTCATTTCTGTGAGACAGGCTTTAGTTTCTGAAGCTCTAGAAAATAAACTTACTTGTACATGAAGAAAACTTGGAATTGAGATATTGTTACCGTTATACCATAATCATCAATAACAACACAAACTCCAAAACCTCCATGAATGCTACCAATATGGTGTAATTTTTTTCTTTCAAATATATGACAATAGAAATGGAAGATATTGTGGATTCAGAATAACTAAGTTTGTGTTTCGGCAAAGGATGTGTCTGTTTATTACTGCTGTGAGGACGACTAAGTAGCAAATTTAAGTAGGGTCTATACTTCATTTCTTAACTGGGATCACTTATTGGCTTGAACTAATTTCATTTTATTTATTAGCTTTATTAGTGCTATCAGTGAATGCCTACGTGTGTGATTTTTTTCTAAGCTTTTCCTTTTATAGCAAGAACCTGTGGTTAGCCCATATTTTTATGTCCCCTTCTTTGTGCACATGAAATAAACTACTGAGCTAACAGACTGGAGATATAACGGCATAGTAAAATGATGGCTAGATTACCAGAAGCCCTAATTGAATGGAGTCATGGTTAAACATGCGTACTTTGCCACCAGTTTGAGTATATTTCAAATTTTGATTCTGCCATTTACAAAGCAATATGATATGGTGTGAATTACAAGTCTTTCTGTGTGACTTTCTTTCTAGTGAACTACCTCATAGAATTGTTGAAAGGATAAATTAAGTTGAAATTAGTAGTCTTATACTGCCCCTGGTGCCTGGTAGATAGTCAAATTATGTTAGCTGTTCCTCTTAGTCCTGGCTCTGGCTCTACTGGTTATTATACAGATCAAGATTGTCAACTTCCTTGGAATTAAATTTCCTCATCTCTAAAATGAAGACATTAGACTAAATATTGGCAAATAATCCTTCCAGGTCTCCTTAGTCAACATAGTCATTATTCCTTTTAGTTTCTTCATCTATTTGTTATATGTTGACTGTCCGTAGTGTATAAGGAATTATGCCTTGGATTAATAGTTTAAATAGGTATTTCATTGGCCTTCAAGAGTTTACAAAGTATCAAGGAGATAAGACAGAGAAATATAACCTGGATGTAGGCTCTATGGGACAACTTTTGTGCACTCCATACTGTGTATAAGCTTCAGAGTGGGCAAGAGAGTAGGAAATAAAGGAGGGGCACTGGGGCAGAGGTAATACAGAGAAAAAAGGCATGAAGGTAGGAAAGAACAACATTTATTTAGAAATGGGGCATATATCAGTTTAACATGGTGGAGGGTTCCTATAGTAGGAATAGAAGACCAGGTTGGAAAGGGAAGTTGGGCCACATTAGAAAGCATACTGAATGCCTGCCAGAGAAGTGTGGATCATTCCCTAAATAAAAGGAAGCTGCTTATGATTTCAGAGCAGTGTCATAATCCTGATATGAGGAGAGGGAAGGGAGTGCTGGATAAAGGAGAGTGAGAAGATCCTAGATAACAGTTAACCACAATTCACCCTTTACCTGGGGATTGTCATCCTTCTTGAGAACTTCCTTGGCATTCACTAGCTCCTTGGATCTCTACTCAATATGTTTCCTATGCATACCCTGTCTCCTACCCTCTGATGTTACAGCTGGGTAGGTCCTTTCCAGGAACATTCCACCATTCTATTTCCTTTAATGATGCTAGAAAGAATTGGGAAGACTGGCTGCCTGTAACTTTGTTGCTGCAGCTCTCTCTCCTTTGGTCATGTACATTAGGGAAACTTCACCTCTCTAAGACTTGTGTCTTATCCAGCCACCTACATTTGTGCTTAGGTTCTAATATGAATCCATCTGGACTCTTTTTCCTACCTGGGGCTTTTGCTTTAAACCTTTTCTGCTCTTCTGTCCTGCAGTACTCTACTGGGCAATGTAGGAACCTCAAGATCCTTTCTCCTTTCCTTTAAAGCCTTATTATGTATAGTCAAGTCTTAAGTATCCCTCTTTGCTTTGTCCTCTCTGGTCTTCCTGACCCCAATCAGATCTCCAGAGCTGAAGACACATGGCAACAAAAGGAACACCTTGCTCCAAGGCAAAGAGCATTCAGGAGAAGGAAGAAAGCTTTGCTAATTCTCCCGATTCTTCCTCCTCTAAGTTTCCACTAGCTAGGCCTAAACAAGGGTTTGCTGGGGCATTGCTGAAGGAGGCTTTTTTAGATCCTCGATGGAACTCTCCCATCTGTATTTCCTAAGGAGGTTAGAGTGAAAAAGGCAGGGAGAATGGAGCAAATGATACTCTAGAAAGAGCATGAACTTGAGAATCATACCTGCCTGGATTCAGATTCTAGGTCTCCCACTTACTGGTGGCAGATACTTCTCTAGACTTCTGTTTTCTCAATTGTAAGTGGGCATAACATCAGGTAGATTTGTTTTGAAAATACAATTAAAAGATATAAGCAAAAAACTACCACATAGGAGGAACTCATTAAATGCTATGTCTCCTGCCACTTCCTGTAGCGAGGCCCTTCTCCCCCATTTTTCATGACATTTAGTGCCTTCTGGTTGGTTTGTTATCTACTCAAACTTGTCACAGAAAAGAATCTATTATCAGTTATTTTGATGATTCCATTATACTACCTCATTTTGAAATATGTTATCTTTAGTAGTAAAGTAAAATGTTTTGCTACTTATTTAAAATACTTCAATCATTTTGTTGTTTGAATGCTCCAGAAATCAAAACATCACAATAGCCGCCTACTGTAACCCCTTTTCTGCCTGGCGATCTTTTGTCCATTCCTTAGGAGCTACCTCCTCAGATATGTCTCTTCTCTGACCTTTCTCCCTACCCTTGTGAAGTCAATCAGGGTTTTTTCAGACCTTCTCTGAACTGTGCACACATCTTTATGAGAACACATGCTTCATTATAGTATAATGAGGTGACGTGTCTACTTACACCCTCAGAGTGAGAACTCTGTGGGATGTCTGTTGACAACTGACTTTTTCTCTTGGGCTCATTATTCCCTCTTCCTCCCCAGTTTAAGCATTCAGTGTTCTCATAGCATCCCCTTTTTTCCCAAGGGCACCTTTATACCAGCCCACACGCAGCCCTAACCTTCTAGAAGGTTTTCTATGCTTTTGATCAATCTACATTCATTCCCTTCAAAATATTTCTATCCTGTGACCCAATCCTAATAGCCAAGCTATGTAACTAGCTTGCTATTATTCATGCTAAAATGTTATCAGGCAGTGGTTCGAAATGTAAGTTGTATGGAATACTGATACATGCTGATATTTGCCTTAAAATGTAACTGTTGAAATATATATCAGACATTGCACCTGGCTAATGAGTATCTTTTGGAGCAGAAAAATAGCCTTTCTCTCTTAAATATCATGAGATATTATAGGGCTAGCTCTAGAGCCAAATTGTGTCATGTTATTACATTGGTGCAAAAGTAATTGTGGTTCTTGCCATTGAAAGTAATGGTAAAACCCGCAATTACTTTTGCACCAACCTAATAAATCCCTGTCACTTTCTAATTATATCAACTTGGGCAAGTTATTTAACTTTCGTGTTTCTTATATAAAGCAAATTTCCTCATAATAATGGATATGAGGATCCATTATTATGGATTATAATAATGGATATGAGGAGATCCATTATTATGAGGATGATAACACAGTGGATGATAACAGAAGGTTACTTTCTAGGATTATCCTGAGGATTAGTTAATTTAATACATGTATTGTGGTAAGACAGGACCCGCCATGTAATTGGCCCTGTATAATTATAAAGCCTACTCTTTTCCTTGTACATCAGCCACCTGATGATGGAGTCATAATCTGATACAGTGAGAGATTTCACTTAAGAAAATGTAAACCAACATTTTCACATTTGGTGTAAACCCGCAATTTCACGACCATGTGCAGCAGAAAACTTGAAAGGGAATATGTGTTTGTGTGTGTTGCATTTGAAAGAGCACTGGATTAGGAGTTAGATGTTTCATGTTTATTTCACCACTTACCAGCTGTACAAACGTGAGGTCTTGGTGTTCTAGCTGATCTCTAGAAAAATAGCACATTACCTGCCTCCCTAATTCACAGGATGTTGTTAGAATCAAATGGGTTAAAAAACAATCCCTTGGTAAATTGTAAGGTGCATGCAAATAGGAGTCCTACCATTGGACTGTGAGCTTTTTCAGCAAAGGAACAGCTCTTGTTACAGTGTCTGTCAGACAGTAAGTGCTTATTGTGTGCAAATGACTTCTTAAGGAGAGTATTTTTGCATTAAACATTGCTAGGATGATATTTTAAAACTTTAAAAACTATTATAAAATAAAACAATATTTTATAATTTCATAATCTTATGGAGCTGTAAGACTTGAGAAATGTGAGGGATTTTATGCATTCTTTCATTTTCATGATTTTTGAAAATTGTTTTCAAGCCTGCGAAGTGTTTTAAGGGGAGCTTTTGCTTACAATATTACCTTAGTAATTTTCTGGAGTTACGTGAGTGCTGGTCCCTGTTCCCCTTACGGAGGGCTCTGGATCTCACTCACTTCAAACCACTGCAGTGCCCAAGGGAGAGCAAAACTCAGCACATGCTGGTTGAACAAATGAATGAAGGGGTGAGTGAATATTTTCTATATTCACTCAAAAGAACAGCACTTAAAGTATTCATAATTTTCCTTCGACACGAACTATTCATATTTTAAGGGCTTTTTGTTTGTTTTGATTTTTTGCTTGGAGTAGAGTGGCATGGAAACAGCGTCTTTCTTTACAATGATTGTCATGAAAATCATCATATATCAATTGCCCTGTTAACAAATTCACAATGTTAATTTCATTGCTGTGGTTTATTTACTGCTGTGAAATCACAGCATATCATATTCTTGTCTGCCTTAGTCCCCTGACAATGTTCACTAGAGAAATGTAGAGGATTAGATGCTACCTCAGAGATATGTGGACATAGACCTTAGTTAATTGAGGAGAGAAAAACATGCATTAGTCCAGTTTCATTTTGAAAGCAAAAGAATAAAACTATAGATGACATAAAATATATCTGATTTAATCAGCATTGATCATTTTCAAATTCAGAAGATCAGTTCATCTTCCTAAAGTCAATAGAAAATCTAATATATGTACAATGTATATAGATAATTGCTTCCCATTATAAATTTACTTGAACTTAGTGTTGTGTTAAAAATTGTGGCAGAGAGCTTCGTGGGTCTTACCTAAAATAGATTTCATGCACAGATATTTGGGACTAAATTTAAGTGTCATTTTAGATCTGATAAAATAAAAACTTTGGCCAAATTAAATTTAAAAGAGTTTAATTGATTAATGAACGATTCACGAATCAGGTAGCCCCCAGAATCACAGCGGATTCACAGACACTCCAGGGGTGCCTTATGGTCAGAACAAATTTATAGACCAAAAAAAGTGACATACAGGAACCAGAAGTGAGGTACAGAAAGAGTGAGACTGATTATAGCTCAGGAATTGCCTTATTTGAGTGCAGTTTGAACATTACACAGTCTATGAGTGGTTGAAATATAGCCACCGGGATTGGCCAACATTCAGCTATTTTTACAGGTATGTACTAATAAGTTAGGTTTTTAATTTTGTCTATTAAGCTAGGTTACAGTTCCTCCACAAGGACGCAACTATAGAAGTATAGAGTCCTTCTCAGACCACATTTAGTTTGCTCTGACAATTCTCCCCTTTTGGTCATTTTCTCAACATTGAGAGATTGACCAAAACCTTAGTCATTGATGTTACTATCACGATCGTAAATGTACTTATATGGTTTTGAAACTCACTGGGAAACAGTAGAACAATGAGTTTTACAAAGAGGTAATAAGGACCGAGTAGAGGGTACCTCCTTATGCTGGAACATTCTGTTAACAGTAGAAAAACAAAACCTGGTCTGTTCATGTTAGCATCTATGTGTTTTCTTAAAGGCTTAGCTTGACTATGTCATATTTAGCATGAGTGACTCTATTTTAGTTTGGTTTGTTGGGGCCTAGTGCATGAGCTCAGTCCAAAATAATGGCCTCCCATAATTTTGTTTAAAAAATATTCCCGTTTTCTGGCCAGGTTCTTACTTAGGTGAGAGTATGACTAAAACTTATGATGTTAGCGCCACTCTCAGTTATGATCATCCTGGGTTTCCGGTTTCAGCATGTCATTCATGGTTTACAGTGTCCTCATGGTCACACATTTCTTTCAGCTTTTGTCATTCCTGTTGAAGAGAGACTATTTGAGGTTCTAGAGATGGCTGCATGCAAACATTTAAAAACTTTGAGAAAATACAGTGCATCAGGGAGGCTATTATTATGACTATTGGGAGGATAAAACCAAGAGTTTGGAATATGCTCCATACCCAGGGTCCCCATAATCCAAACCACCTAAAATTAAGTAGATAAAAGAATGAGCTAGATGAGGAGTTTACTCACTTGACTAAATGTCTTTTCATTAATCCCCTACAACTGAATTTTTATAATCTACATTTGATGTATTTCTCCAAAGGCCACAAGTCTCAGCAGCTGCACAGGTAATTTTATGTTTAGCTAATTCTAGTTTTTAGCATACATACTCTGTATTTTTAGAAATACAGGGTCCTTCTCAGGCCATATTTAGTTTGTTTTAACAGATCAAGAATACAGCACAAATTGAAGTAATATTTATTTTCTCACACAGGTAAGGTACTACTGATAAAATTTCACCCCATATGAGGTTCATTTGGGGCTTAGAAATGACAGCCTGCAGTAGCCTATTCATTTTAAATCTTGATACTTAGAGAATGTGAATGTGATTATTTTGGGGCTGATGTCCTTTGAATCTACCCTGAGGCTGTCTCTCAGTACTGCATTCTCCTTTCCATTCCCAAGGAACAGCAGGCCACCGCAGGATTGTCCTGTCTTGTTTGTCCTAAACTTTCTGATAAAAAGCCAAATAGCTTTTATCGGATCAAGATTCCAAAATTTCTGTTTGACTGTGCCACTCCCATGCTCAGAAACTTTCCTTGACTCTCCAACTGCTTCCGGAATAAAAATCCAAACCCCTTTCCTTGGAATGCAAGCTGTTGTATGGTTATGACATTATCTATTTTTGAAGCCTAAACCTAGCCCTAAAAGTCCCTGAAATGAATCCAATGAGATGGTCCAATTGTACCCACTTCCCAAGCATATACACTATTTTACTTCATATTATTCCATGTCATTCCTCCAAATTAGAATGACTGTGTATCTGCCTAGTGAAACCCTTTACCTGTAAGTTAACTCTCAGATTCTTCATAGCTCTATTCTCAACCATAATATTCAGAAAAATATCTTTCCTCTTACAATTCTTGTGAGTCTTTGTTGGAATGATTTTTATTATTTTGTAATTATTGAGCAGTGTTCCCCATGTCTCTATTTTATTAAAAAATTATGTACAATGGAATTATTTCATCTTTAAACATTTGATACAATATTGTGAAGTTATCCAGACCTATTTTTGTGTGTGTGTGTAGGGGGAAGATTTTAAATTTTCTTTAATAAATACAGGGCTATTTGGATTTTCTGTTTTCTTTTTTCAGCTTTGGCAATTTGTGTTTTTGAAGGAATTTTCTCACTTCATCTAAAGTAATGGATTTTTTGGTCTAAATCTGTTAGTGTGTTTCTCTTTAAAGTCTATTTTCTGCCTTTAAGTTCACTGATCTCTTTTTCTGAGGCATCTAATCTGCTTTTAAGCTGATCCAGTGAATTTTTAATTTCAAATATTGCATTTTTCAGCTCTAGACATACAATTTGGTTCTTTTTTAAGGTTTGATTTTCTTATTTTGTTCATGATTTCCTTTAAATCCTTGAACATATTTATAATAGCTTAAATACCTATTTTAATAGTTAAAAACCTAGCTTGTTGATTCATCCTCTCATAATATCTGGGTCTATTTTTTTCTTTTCTTTTTTTTTGAGATGGAGTCTCACTCTGTCGCCCAGGTTGGAGTGCAGTGGCACAATCTCGGCTCACTACGACCTCTGCCCCCCAGGTTCAAGCAATTCTCCTGCCTTAGCCACCCTAGTAGCTGGGATTACAGGTGCCTGCCACCACACCCAGCTAATTTTTGTATTTTTAGTAGAGACAGAGTTTCACCATGTTGGCCAGGCTGGTCTCAAACTCCTGACCTCAAGTGGTCTGCCTGCCTCGGCCTCCCAAAGTGCTGGGATTATAGGCATGAGCCACTGTGCCTGACCTATCTGGGTTTATTTCTATTGGCTGATTTTTCTTGTAATTATAGGTTATGATTTCCTACTTATTTGTACGTGAAATAAATTTTTATTGGGTGCTGGACATGTTTGATGTTTCATTGCTGACTATCTGGGTTTTATTGTCTTCTTTTAAAGAGTGTTAAGTTTATTTTGGTCAGAAAGCAACTTACTTGGGAATCAGCTTGATCTTTTCAGTGTTTGTTTTTAACTTTAGTTAGGGCTGATACAGGGCATCCTTTATTGTTTTGTTAGGTTGGGCCTTTTCCTAAGTCATGGCTATTCTCTAATCTCTACTGAATATCAGAGTGTACATCAAGTTCTCTTCACTCTGGTTGGCTGGAGCATGAATGCAGTCCAGCTCTGTGCAAGCTCCATTGGTTGTTAAATTTATAGTTCCTTGGCAGTTACTTCAGTCTTAAGTGTCCCTCGTCATGGACAGCTTTATTCCACCACTCAAGGTTAGCCCTGTGAAGGTTTCTGGAGCGCTTGTCTGTGTACTCCCTTCTCTCCATTTCTGTTCTGCTCTTCCAAATACCTCACACTCTGCAAGCTCTAATGAGTGAGATATTTATGCTTTGCCTAGGTTCCTCTTTCTGCCTCTCTCAGAAAGCTTGGGTGATCACAGGGCTCATCTTTCTTTATTTCTCTTCTTCAGATATCACTGCCTTGTGCTACCTATTTTCCAGTGTCTGAAAACATTATTTTACATATTTTGTCTAGCTTTCTAGCTGTATACAACAGGAGGGTTAGTCCAGTATCAATTGCTCCACGAAGGCCAAAAGTGGGGGCTCATATTCCCAAAATACAATTACTTTAATCAGAATTTTTTTTTAACTGGAAGGAATTTTCTTCTAGAAAATATAATTTCTAAATCAATTTTCTATGTAGCATATGCAAATACTTTCTCATTCTAAAACAAACTTATTCCAATGAATAAGTTATTTCTGTGTAATTTTTAGAATTGACGACATGATCATTGATAAGATTGGTGCCTATTAAATTTTACTGGTCATAGCCTCTGCAATTTACCATACTAATTTGCTCTGGCAGTTTACCAATGACATAATTATGGCCAAAGACGACGTTATCATTCAGTCCTTATCTTATTTAATTTTGAAATTGTTTTTTTTCCCATCCCTTCTGAATCGTGACTCTCTCCTGGTAGTCCTCCTTCCTATTTAAAATTCTCCTTTGCTAATTTCTCTTGTTCTAATGATAACTTAGGTGTTTACATTCTCCAGGAGTCTGCTATTGAGACTTTTTTTGTTTTCCTTACAAGCTGTCTCCAGGCAAGCTTATTACTCTCTGAGTTTCAACAGTCACCTATGCTGATGACTTGTAAATCTGACAAACATTTTTACCCAGCTCAGGCCTCTCCTGAACTCAAGACTTACCTGTCTCAACTGTCTACCACTGAGATGCATCTCAGATGCTTCACATGTCCTAAGCCGACACCATCTTCCACAAACCTACTTTTCCTTCTGCAGTCCTCATTTTAGAAATTCACCAAGCTATTCATGACACAAAGCCAGGAGCCACACTAGACTTGTGTCTTTTTTTTTTTTTTTCAATCCTGTTGTCTAATCATCACTAAGTCCTGAAAATTACATCACTAAGTTCTTAAACTCCACCTTTCTAGTCAGGCCCTCCTCATCTCTCATCTCATTCTGCTGATGGTCTTCTAACGCATGTGGGTCTACAGTTTCACACCCTCCCACGACACCCTTCACATTGCTGCCGTTGTGAGTTTCTGAGGAAGTTTGATAATAAGTGACCCTCATCTGTTCAAAATGATCAGTTTTCCCATTTACCTATGGATAAAGGACAAAATCCATCTTACAAACCCCATGTTCCAGAGTGTAGCAAAGAAAGCCATCTGAATCCTGCCTCCATCTATATTAGCTGCGACCCTCTTCCTGGGCTGCAGGGAAACTGAGGCAGTCACCATGAATGGCAGGGTGCTGACATTTCCTTAACATTTCTTTAATTTTTTTGCTTCTTACTGTACTCTCACTCTCAACAAATATGCATAGTACAGGCACACAGTGGGTATGTTGGGTGAACAAATGAGTGAATAAACACTGTAGTAGAATTACTGTGAAAATTCAGAATAGGCAGTGAAAAGCTTTTATGGTTTATTTTATATGAATATAAACATCCTAATATTCTTAAATTTTGCTTTTATTTTAATAATAGTTGTACATCTTTACTCTCAATCTGGCCCAATAAAGTCATTTTGACAATTGAAACGAACTTAGAATATTTTCATTTACTATAAATGTTATTTTGCTGCATCTGGTTGGTTTTAGACTAGAATAAGAATCATTTATCATATATTGCTCCTTTGGCTCTTTATTTTATATATATATATTATATATAATATATATACATTATCATTTCTAATGAATATTTTTCATTGCTAGTTTATTTACAGTTCTTAGGATCATTTTAGAATCCTTGCTTTTCATTATTTATTGATTTTTTGACGTTTTATTTTTTTTAACAGAGTAACAAGTAAATTTGAATTTACTCAGTGAATCATATTGTGAATTTCATAGTAATGCCTGAATTTATTAGGCTTAGTGTCTTCAAGTGTCTATGTGTCTATGTCTTAAAATTATTTTTAATAGCTTTAGGGTTACAAGTAGCTTTTGGTTACATGGATGAATTATAAAATGGTAAAGCTTGGGCTTTGGGTGTACCCATTACCCAAAAAGTTGGGCACATGGTACCCAACAGGTGATTTTTCATCCCTAACTTCCCTCCCACCCCGCTCCCTTCTGAGTTTCCAGTGTCCATTATACCATGCTGTATGCCTTTGCATATCCACAGCTTAGCTTCCACTTCTAAGTGAGAACATGGCAGTATTTGTTTTTCCATTCTTGAGTTACTTTACTTATGTTAATGGTCTCCAGTTCCATCCAACTTGCTGAAAAATACATAATTTCATTATTTTTATGGCTGAGTAGTATTCCATGGTATATATACACCAGATATTCTTTATTCACCCATACTTTGATGGACACTTAGGTTGATTTTCAATTGTGAATTGTGCTGTGATAAACATAAACGTGCAGGTGTCCTTTTGATATAATGACTTCTTTTCTTTTGAGTAGATACCCAGTAGTGGGATTGCTGGATCAAATGGTAGATCTACTTTTAGTTCCCTGAGAAACCTCTAAACTGTTTTCCATAGGAATTGTACTAATTCACATTCCTACCAGCAGCATATAAGCATTTCCTTTTCAGTAAATCTGCGCCAACATCTATTGTTTTTTGACTTTTTAATAATGGCCATACTGGCTCAGGCAAGTTGTTATCGCATTATGGCTTTAATCTGCATTTCTCTGATGATTAAAACTGAATAAAATGCAAAATCTGCACTGATGGTGTGAACACTTGATTGCAGTAAGCAAACGGATATTATATAACTTCATTCTATACAATTTGGCAGAGAATTTGATCAGAGGTTTTAGAAGAAAATTTTATACATAACTTTCTCTTCCCCATCTTCCTTTTGTCTTCATTTATTTATAGGCATATTTTTACTTTCTCAGAAATGCTTTTAGAATAAATATCTGCATTTCTCAACATGAAGTTTAAGACCTGCATTTCAGAAGCTGAAACATATGCTAGGAGAAGAAGCTGGCTTAAATATCAAATAATTTTTTTAAATTAAAAGCTTCCCTCCTACTTATCCTCAGATTAAACATAAAGAAAAATCTTAAAGAGGAAAATATACAGAGATGCATAGGGGATAGATAATATCAAGGAATATGGGCATTCATCATCAGAAAACAGGTAAAAGGAAACTTATTGCAATACATGGGTCAACTGCTTAGTTCTTGCTAGGAACATATTGGCTATTCTAAGATCAAATGTGAAAAGAAATGTACTCTCATGGGTTGGTTTGAGCCATCTGGAGAATCACTGATGTCCCCTTAGCACACCGGTAAATTATAATTCCAGCTGGTTATATAAATAAAAAGGGAGTTGGAGAACAAGGGTGGAAGATAAAGAGACAGGGAAACGCTCACCTCCATTTAGTTATATAAGAAGGATATTTGAGCATTTGGTTCTAGTCTGCCGTTGTGTGAAGGACTGGAAAAGGAATGAAGAGGTTTTGGCATGCGGATCATTCTACCACATTAGCTTAATTCTAAATTTAATATGAAATGATTGTTGCTGAGATATGACACTCATTAATACAGTCTGCAGGATGAAATTGGTAAAATTCTGAGAGGAATTTTTAGGGCCAATCTCGTGAACTTGGACAGAAGGCAGGGAAAGAGAGCAGAGTATCGGGCCCCTTCCTTCTAAACTGTTGATTTTTTTTCAAAGGCACACAGGCAATAAGAGCCGGGCACTTTCTGAAATGAAAAAGAAGGCAACTTTGTATGACAGATTAGGTTACCCCTGGATGAGCAATGAAATTCTATGCTAAAACTGAATAAAATTCATGGTGCTAAATCAGATTTTTTGCAGCAGTGTTTTGTTTCTCAAACAGGCCTTCATGTTACCAATCACCATGTTCCTGCAGGTGGGATAATATTTTCAAAACACTCGCTTTAAGAAAAAATACAAAATAAAAAAATATGAAAGTGAGGCTATAACTTTGACAAGAATCACCTTGACAGCAACCTGTGTCTGACCATGCAAGACCCTCCCTGGCTTCATCTTTTAAAGCAGATTCGCTGTTCAGATGTCTCAGTGGGACACAGCCTCTAACATAAAGAATAACTGTCACACTACCTCATTAATCATACATCCAATGATTTATCATGATAATTATGGTCATTGTAAATCCTTTGCTTTTGGGAGGAAATGAGAAAAGAAGAAAAATGAGCAGGAGACTACAAAACTACCAGAATTTAGTACAGTCCTGGAGTCATATAAACATTTGTAACTATGGTTAGTGGGGAGAACAAAATCTATGATAACTTTGTAACAGAAATAATTTGTATTAATTGAATCTACATAATAAGCAACTGGATTAAGTACTTTGCATATATTATTGCCTTTACTAAAGGTAGATATTGTTATATAGGCTTTACGCATGAAGTAACAGGTTCAGAGAAGCAACCGAGCCGAGAGATATTGGTCAAATTATGTAAGCAAGTATTTACAATAAACAATTATATTAATTATACTTCAGCATGATTATAAAATCAAAGATAAAATTCTGAGGTCTAGCAAAACTAATGCTTTATTAATATAGTATTTTACAGTTTCTGAAACAGTTTTTAAAAACTGATTTATATTAAAATATTTCATAATTACTGGAACATTTTTACAAACCTTAGATCATTTGATAATATTCTAGTGAGATGATGGGCAGAGCCATTATTTTCTCTGCTCTACAGATGAAGTAACTGGAACTCAGAGACATCAGGTGATTTATCTGTGGTTCCAAAACTTGCAAACTGAGATTTGGATGCAGGCCTTAGGTTCTCAGTCTCACATGCCTTCCAGTTTTTCTGGTGTCCTGGATGGTACAGTAATCTAGTAGTGGCTACTAGTACAGATTCACCTGAAGATTTAAGTTTTACTATGAATTCCTTCAAATAGTATGAAGGTATTTAGAGTGTACAGGGCCCATTCAGTGTGTTTATGTTTTCTAAGGCTTAACCAATCCATTTTTCTTCAAAGCCTAAATTTCAGCCTACTAATAAGTTATAGTAACCAAAATTATTAATAATTATAACTAATTGCTGACATCTAGAAAGTGTCACCTGAAAGGCATGAGTGCTTTATCTCCAACAAACATAGAGTCATTCAAGGGCAAACTAACAATGACTCTGGTATTTTTGAATGCCCTCAGAAGAGTTCAGGGCATCCTTATTCTGAAGGATGTTTCTCCGACATAAGTAAATGGCTAACTCAACAAGAGGGTATATTCTACTTTAGCTGGTAAAATGCAACTGCTTGGAATATTGTAGGCACTCAGCAGTACCTGGATGTTGACAGCATTAATGAATAGATGATAAAGCATCCTGATCCATTGAAATCACTTCCTGTAACGTTCTTAGAGGTTTTTATTTTCTGATGAAGAAATTTGCTACAGTTTAAATCTGATCAGAAGTCAGTACATTAATGAAGCTGTGTGTATGCATATGTACAGAGTAAGTCAGTTAAGTAAATGGAAGATGTCAGTCATTCATATTTTTGTGAGAATATTGGTTACATGTAAAATTGTGGGAGGCAGAAGTTGAAAATGAACTATCAAAACATACGAAAACCTAAATAATGTGAGAAAAATTATCTAGAAATTCCTTTACTTAAAATAGGATAATAAAGAAGCCAAAAAAAAAAAAAAAAGGCTGGGCGTGGTGGTGCGTGCCTGTAATCCCAGCTACTCGGAAGGCTGAGGCAGGAGAATCACTTGAACCTGGGAGATGGAGGTTGCAGTGAGCCAAGATTGCACCACTGTACTCCAGCCTGGGCAGCAGAGAGAGACTCCATCTCAAAAAAAAAAAAAAAACAAAACAAAAAAACAAAAAAAGAAAAACATTCATTGATGTGAAAATACACAAAACGAGGTTGCAACGTTGTTGTTGTTGTTTTTCCCCAGCCCAGTACGTTTATGAGTCAGACACATTCTGCTGATAACATTGACTAACACGCGTGAAGGGGGTTGGGGAGGGGAGGGTAATGGGAGATCTGCTTGAACAGGTTGCTCAGGTAATCCTGATGTGCTTCTCTTCCCTGACTCCTCCCATTGAGAATTACTTGTCTATATTTCACTGTACTCAAAAGTATAGATGCACTAATGGAAAATTTTGCCTGTGATAACCTGTTATAATTTTATAACAAAGATGTTAGTTAATTGACATCCGCCTGAAATACTTGAGTGTGATATGTGCATAAATTACACTCTCATCTTTATTAGTTGGAAATGATGTAAATAACATACAGGATTAAAGCCTACCTGGAACTGAATCCCAACCTTGAGGAAGTAACAGAACTTCCTTGGTTCTCAGTGTCTAGAGCAATGGGGATAGTGCCACATCTCATATAATTCTTAAGGACATTCAGTGAGAAAACAGATAAAGAGTTCCTGCTATTATATCTGGCAGATAGTACTTGCTCTTTGCCTCATCTCGGTCAGTCATCCATAGTTAAACTTGAGTAACTCTTATTGAGCAAGCTGTTTTATTTGTTACATTTCTGCAGTTGGTTTTCCTTTTAAAATCTGGACTGGGGCTGTGGATTCCTGAACAGAGCTGGACCACAGCTCTAGTGTGGTACTCTGATAGGAACAAGAGCCTTTTGGGAACAATACATTCACTGAAGGTGGACACAGATGGTCACAGGTGAACATTGTGGGCGGCAAGGTCAGAGAGGTCAATGCTTCCAGGACAAAGCTAGGGGCCTATCCTGTGCTCTCTTACTGCCATCTCTTCCACGTTTTTCTAATCTTCACCTTTATCATTTTTTTTATTTTCACATATTCTAACAAAAATGCTCTCAATCCATGATAATTTTCTTGGCTTTTTTTTTTTTTGCATATGAGAAACATGCTGCTATTCTGACCATTTTTGTGCTAATCATTGATTGCTGCTCACCCACTTGAGATATGGTTAAATAGTTACCATGGACTGAATTAGCCCTTTCTGTTTATTGTTGAGGAAGAACAGATAATTTCATTCCTTTGCTATCTCAGTCATTTACTATTTAAGGTCGACTTTTCAGAATTTTGTTCAAAATGGTTACTTTGAGTCAAATACTACTTTTTCAGTGGAACTGCTTCTTGGTTCTTCACTGGAACCCACATCTACTCTTCCATCTTCAAATAACAGGAAAATGGAAATTTGTTCCTGTTGCATTCTTCACCCTCAGAATTCATCTGTTGTGCTGGGTCATCCAATTTTCTATTCTTCCCTTCCCCAAAAGAAGTGGCATAATCCAGTGGATGTCTAACTTAACACACAAAGGCAGAGAAAAATGGGTTCTAGTTTATTCCTTGGTTGTTGGGAGGTGGAGGAGTTTGACTTACTCCATGACTCACTTTTCTCATCTGTGTAATGAGGATAGTCATTCTAACATAACTTCCTCCATTTCAACTTCCTGCCTGGACACTTTTGTTGGAGCCTGAATGCAAGAGCCATTCTCACTGGGATGCCACAGCTCTGGAGACTTCTTATAGATGTTGTTTGGAACACTCCAGGCTTGGAGATGGGCCTTTAGACACTGCCTGTAGTACTGCTTAGCAACAGCTCTACAGACATAAAGAGATTGCAGTGGCTGCTCCTTCCTGGCTCCACCATTCAGCAAGAGCTCCACAGGTAATCTGATGACCATGATTGTAGCAATAAGGCTCTATGGCTTAGAGTCTTGGCTCTGGAGCACTTTAAAAGATAGAGTCAGAATTTAGTTGTTTGGGCTCAAATAAAATTTGACTTTCCAGAGTACTGAAAATAAAAGAAAATGTTTATTTCTAGTATTTTTATTGTAAAGTGGTAAAAACTGTCTCAAGATAGTTGTAGGTGCTGAAGTGATCAAGGAAGTAACTAGTTATAAGCAGATTATAAAAAACTAAACCTATGGTAGCCAACCTTTGATTCTCTGTATCTCAAAGTGACCTCTCTCTGAGGACATTAATTTGAATCTTCCTCTGGTGTGATGAAAAAAGAAATTCTTATTTTCATTTTGCTTTGTAAGGAATTTCTTTACCCTTTCCTATGCTTATCAGCATATCGTTTTCAAAATCAGCTTAGCAGACCGACTGTGACCTTCCAATTGAAATGAAACATCTTCCTTTTTATCAACCGAAGGTTGTGGCTTTTGGCATGAAATTACCCAGATGGATTTATTAATTTTAGCCTCTTAACACAGACTCACTCAGACTCACCTAACTGATGAGTTTCCAGATAATAAAGAAAAAGACCATTTTAGAATAAAAATAACAACTCAGAGTCTGAACTGAATTTGCCTGGAGAATTTTCATTGGTTCATACCGGATGACTCACTTTACAGTAAATTCCAAGTCTGTGGCCAGAAAATTTGTGAGTCTGAGTCAGATAGACAAGAACCTTAATAAAACAGGAGCCAATGGCCCTGGCATTCCGCTCAGCAGTGCCTTGAAAACACAGGCACTAATAAACTGCTTTGTGAATTGTCTTTCTGGGAATATCTGTATGTTGCAGAAGGCTCGTTCTCCCTGCAGAAGCCTCTATGCTCTCCTGTGAGAGGGCTGGGAAGCAGGACTTGCTGTGCTCTTGTTCTTTAATCACTTGTGAGGCAACACAGGGTAATATTATTGTATCATCTGGCCAGCTGACAGGAAGAGATTAAAAATTATTTCAACAGCAATACATTGAAACTCCAAAGTAGTCCAGGGCATTGCGGTGACCTTCAACGAACCCTTGCTATATGACTCAGAAGCAAGATGCAGCCAAGTTGGGGCCAAGATGGATTTTGAGAAAAGGCAAATTCTGACTTTTCTGCCTCACTGGATTCAGCATCTCCTGCTTACCCAGAGCTGTCTGAAACAGCACGAGAAACTAGCGGAGTCTCATAAAGTGTGTTACTAAAAAAGCTTAGAGGACATTTATTTTAAATGAGAAGAATTACTGCTCATGGTGGTTTAAAATCCTAATGGTCACTGTGGGTCTCCTCTGAATACCAAATCTCCTTGTTGAGCACTTGCTGTGTGCTTCTCGACAAAAATGGAAACCCGAGTCAAAAGGATAGCCTTGAAGTCTCTTTCCTCCTTTGTCCCCTCCACGTGGCAGAGCGTATTTTTGTAGTTTGAGATCAAGTCTGCCAGCTTGCATTAGCATATCATCCGCCTGGTTACCAAGAAAATGTGCCTGAAGAAGAAAAACAAGAGCGTGTTCGCGGTCATTAGGCTCACATCATGAGCATGAATCAGCAGTTTGGAATTTGCGAGGCTGGGGCTGAAGTAGGCTGGGGAGCCAGCAGAGCCAGCAGAGTGGGCAGGAGAACTCCAGGCTGCCTGACTGCCCCTTGCCTCCTCCTCAAGTGCAGCGCAGCCACCCCTGGTTAAGGAAAAGGCTGAGAGACCCATGACGCAAGGATGTCCTAATCCCTGCATGTCTGCGTTTTCCTGACTTCTTTAACAAATGTTGACCATCTGTAAAGGCAAAAAACGCCTTTGATAGTAGTTATATATGAATCTTTGTATTTGAAAGAAACAGAAATTAATGCAAAAAAATTAATTTACTCTGATTTGCTTTGGACATTTTCTATCATTGGTGTTTGAAAGCAATACTAGTATGCAGATACTAGTGTGGCTGATTTATGCCATGCACAATAAATATACAAGAGATGAAAGATAATTTTAAACTCCTGTAATGCTAGCAGTAATGTAGATAATTGACAATCTGTCTTTTCGCTCCTACACCTCGTGTGCATAAAACAATGCCCACCTTGCAATAAACACTCAGGAAATGATTAATAAATTAAGTCTGTCTTTTGTCTTTCCTACATCCTTGTGTTACAACATCTCTCTGTGTGTTTGTTCCACAAAATGTCTAAATGAAGTCATAGCTGCATTTTTAAAGCACCGTGTTGCTTTGCATGTACCTTTTCATTATCTTACTAAGCTCTCACAAAACACCCTTTAAATCTTCACTTATCAGATGAGAAAACTAAGGCACAGGCAGGTCAAGTGACTTACCCAGAGTGAGGGGAGTTACTTGACGGTAGAGGCAGGACTTTAACCCAGATCTCCTGGCTTTTCAGGGCTTTCATGCTCTCCCACAATGAACAAGGCTGTATCAGTCAAAAACTCTCTCCTAGTTATCGTGACTTTGGGTGAAGACTTTGGGCTACGGTGTTGCATCTCACAGGAAGTCTGTGATCAGGGGCAATTGATCATTTGACCCTATTGTCAGTCATGAACCCTGCAGAAAGCTTTGTTTTATCAGACAGCTGTCTAAAGAAGCAGAAGGTTTAGAGCAGTTGCCTTCAGAAGCAGCACTTCCAGGAGACAGGGAGGGCTGGAGCAGAGACAGGGTGGTGTTCAGGATTGGGCACCAGGAACGTGTAGATGCAGAACCCCCAGGTGTTCACAAGAAGGGCAGCCAGGAAGGGACATGGGCAATGCTTGGGCCAGACCACACTTCCTTCTCTGTTCTGCCTGTGTCATCTTCTCTTCCTAATCTGTGTGGGTTGCCATCATTCCATGGCTCTCCTGGGTGATTCTCTAGGGCCCATGACTTAATGCTGATGGGATTAATTTTAATGGCTCTACACAAAGTCAGAATGCTCTTTTAATAATATACTATTGATTTTCTCCATGCATTGGGTGTAAGCTTATTTCTGCATGGGATTCTGTGGAGCAATAGGAGTTTACATTTATATTCAAATCTGGCAGCCATACGTCAGGCCTCCTCTCAGGATGAGCACAGACCACTGTGGTGCACCACTATGAATCTGTATAATGAAAACTGCCTTTGCTACTTTCCTTTTTCATTTTAGGAAAAGGAAATACATTTTGTATACATCAATGAAATTATTAGAATACCCTCTGATACAGAGCTCAGCTCTCTTGGGAAACCAGACCTCTTATGGGTGAAGAGAGAAATAAAATATTAGGAAGCTAAATCATATGTATCTTTATCTTGGCTCTTAGCAGCAAGGCAACTTTATAAAATGTGATTATGAATTATTGAAATTTTTCTTAAAGACAGAAAACTATAAATAAAAGTCATCCAAAGGAAAAACATTGCCATGATTTATGTGCATTCTTTAAATAATTCACCAAGAGGAAATTAGAAATATTTGTTTATATGCTTGTTTGTTTATGAGATGTTTCTGTCAAAAAGAATTTAATAGGAAATCTGTTTTCACTCAAGTCCAAATTGAAATTTCAGAAATGGGCTACCCCAATGCAGAATTCATCATCATAAATGTTAAGGATTTGGGGACCGTGAAGGCACCCTCTTATCAAAACTTGTGGGCACATATGTGTGGCTGGGTGTGCCGGGTGGGGCAGCAACATGATGTCAGGTTGTGTCCTTGCTCTTCTTATTCTTTAGAGCTCTTCTCCCTCAGGATACTCCAGCTAAGAAAGTATGGACGCTTCCCCTAGTTTAGAATGCACTTCAGATGGATTCCAAGCTAGAACAAGGTCTATCTGGAGGTGAAGTCATGTGACATGAACTAATGGCTAGATTTCTACTGAGGAAGCTTGGGGTCCTTGTCTATAAGGTAAAACTATCAATATTATCAACCTCTTATGATTAGTGAGGATAGAATGACATCATGACTATGAACATCTTTTATGAAGTAGAATGTTGGGCTGAGGTCAGCTGTCTTTTCTGTCTAGAGGATGAAGAGATCCTCCTAGCTTGGCGGAATACTCTGCTCTGATGGAAGTACCATCCTGGTCCAAACATGAAAGAATTCCCAACATCAAGATTGATTGAAACATATTCAATGGGTATGTGTGATCTTCACATATGTATCTATTGGAAGTATAACAAAATTCTTCCATTTGTGTGGTGGTGAATGTAAAATTTGTATAGCGGTGAATGTAAAATCAGAATGCAAAACCAGAAAATCAGAACCTGGGCTACTCTCCACTGTCCTCCACAAATTAGCTCTGTAAACTTGGGTAAGTCACTATACCTTTAGGCCTTATTTTTATTATTTGTAAAGCATAGGATTTGGATTAGGACATATGACAAGTATTAAAACTATGATACTAAAAGAAGTATAATGAGTAGATCTTTTAAAATGGTAGCTCCTTTAATATAGTTTAAGCCTTGATAAGAATCAGGGGAAAATAGTTCAACTCAGCTTCAGCTTCTCAAAAATCATGATTTCCACATAAGAAAGATGACCCTCCAGGGGAGAGGGAAAAGCAGAGAGGGACATGGCACCCTGCTGTGCAAGCCACAGGGAGGACACACATTTTGTCTGAGAAGACACATGTTTTTATTCAAACGGGACTCTACACCTGTGAGGAACTTACTGTGGTGAAGGTAACGTGCTCTATCCCTGAGAATCAACTTAAAAAAAGGATCCCTGAGAATCCTTGAAAAGGAACAGAACTCCTAATCAGGAAACACTGCATAGAATTTAAACATTAGAAATGAAAGTGTGTGCTAAGAATGAAACAACAACAATGACATGGGCCTTTTTTCTTACCATTCTGTTGCCTGAATTCAACATCTTCCTTTGGAAGTGATTCTTGTCTCCTGTAGCTAAACCGGTGTCTAGAATCAGGGATGGGAAGCAGTAGGCAGGGATGTGTGGACACACAGAGACATGGAGGTGCAGGAGGAGCAGTTATTAACAAACACTCCAGTCACAAGACAGGCTTGAAGACAAAGCCTTTGAGACAAAGACTTAAAGTCTAAAGGAGCACTGGTAGTATTCATCTTGTACAGGGAAGCAGCTGTCCACAGAGAACTCCACACCCATTTTGCCTTCACTCCTTGCATAATGGGAAAATATACAGTATTTTATTTGGAGCTGGTGAAATTTTTCCCTTTTGTTTTGGCTTTTCAGTGGAGGGAGGATTAGCAGAGGGCAAGAAAGAAAATGCAGTAACTCATTTAGGAAGAAGGTATAGGTGCTAGAAATAGTCTTTGTGGAAAGAATATCATATTTAAAGCAAGAGGGTAAATTTTGTTGCAAGGGAAATGAGGAACAAATCGATACAAGGTAAAATAGTTGCCAAGTCATAGGAAAGAGTAGAGACAAACATTTTTTAGACTTGTCAAAACAACTCATTATTGTACTGTCTGTGCCAAGGTCTTCAGAGTCGGTACATTTATTTATGTTTGCTCCTCAGACCACTATAACTATTTAGTTTCTCTCCCAGCAGACAGGCATTGCTGACTTGATATTCTGGATTTTGTGTTGGCCATCACACTTGGCCATTTAAATGCTTTACTTGGACCATGGCCCTGGCACACCTTTATCTCCAAGTTCATACTAGAAACCTTTATTATAGTGGTTTAATGGGAATTTAGTAGATTTAAACCAGCCTGAGAAATAACCACTTAACAACTTGCTTCTATTGGATGGCTTCAGAATCTATTCACTCGTGCCTCCAATAGTTGTGTGTTGTTGCCCAAGCATGTCCAGAGAGGTGAACTGACAGCCAACCACTTCTTTCACAAGATCACCCCGTGATATGACACAAAATGTCACCATGACTTGGAAATCCCATCTTTTGAATTTCTATCTCTGGTTATTCCATGAAAGGAAAATGTTTAACAATATCTTCAGAATGTAGAGCTTTAGAGCTCTGTTTCCTGAGGAGTAGCTTAATTAAGCACAAGTAATTTCAGCCTATGCACAGGAGGTCATGAGTAGTAACTGGTTACTGTTTGATGGTAGGATGCATAGTTTAGCTCCCTCAGGACAATCCAATGACTATATGAGACACTAAAGAAATCATCAAGGCCTGCCTTTGATTTTACGGTTGGAAGAACTATGGTTAGAGTGGTTGCTGCTTGTTCAAGGTCAAACATTAACTATGCATAGGCAGAATTAAAACTGATGTCTACTGACTCTGAGGACTGTGATCTTTCTTCCTCGCAGTGCTGTCTGCTACAAATAAGTATTTCTAAAACACAACAGTACATAATGTGCAGATTATAAGTGGGCATCCTTTCCTCTAAGTAGCTGACTTTTCAATTTGTTCTGTTCAAACTTGGTTAAAACATTTATTTTTCTAGCATTGACTCTGAGATTCTTCCAAATACTTGGAGACACCATGCACAAAGATACAGCGTGCAGTGCACTTAATGTCAAATGCACTTGCTGCCAGAATGATCAAGAGTAAAAAAGAGAATTGCACACAAAGGCCGACATAGGAACCAGTCTCCAACTTCCTGTACTTCAGAAATACACTGTAGATAATTGGATGATATTCCTCTATACAAGTGTAAATGGGTAAGGTACTTCATCATCAGACTGCCTTGTGATTTAGCAAGTCTGCATCCAAAGATATCTCTAAATGCACATAAATGACTAAGGCTTCATAAGCCAGAGAGAATCATATCTCTTCATATCGCTTCATAAGCCAGAGCGATCAGTCAGTATCTCAGAGAGTTGGTGCCAAGAGGATGGAAGTAAAAATTGAGAGGAGCAATCTATAGCCAGGTCTGGATGTAGAAGAACATTGGTAAGGAAATAAACACTAAAAATTCAGCATGCACACTTCCACGAAGAAACCATCTTGACAGAAATGGTGTCATAAAGGGTAAATGAGAAAAGCCCCTTCTATTTGTTCATGGTGTTACTGCATTTTTATTATAGATTGTCCCAAGGGAGCTGAACTATGTATCCTAACATCAAATGGTAACCAGTTACTACTCACGTCCTTTTGTGCATAGACTGAAATTACTTGTGCTTAATTGAACTACTCTGCAGGAAATGGAATCCTCCAAATATCCTCAGCTTCCTAAAAGAGATTGCTTTAAAAAAGTCATAAAGTTACTGCTCAGAATCTCAAATTTTATAAAGAGGTTTGTAGTTGTATACTATTCATATGACACATTTTATTTTCCCTTATGTATTAGGCTTCCATCTCTGGGACCTAAGACCCTCCAAGAAAATACTACCTGAATTTTTTCTTTCTGTTACCAGACTATTTCCCATAGGCCTTAGATATATAGCTGACTGAAGTTGCTTTTAAAAATAATATACAGACAATGCTCTGTGATGTAAATATGACTGGCTTTTAGCTATATTTCAAAGATGACCATTGAGTAATATTTTCCCCAGGGAGCCCCAGCAGTGAAATACCCCAACACTATTGATGTTTTTCGCAACCTGACCCAGATATCTGGTTACCCTTCAAATGACTGCGCGATTGTTCTCTGACTGCCTGGTTACACCTAATATACTCAGGATATACCTCTTTGGCCCCAAAAGAAAGGAAGTCCAGTGTCTGTAATTCCATTGCAGCCGAAGGCAACAGGGTTCACATCCAACGACTGGCTACAGCTCTTAGCACTACTGAGTTCCGACAAAAGTGTTGTCCCTTCTCCAGCCATATAAAAATGGACTTTGTTTTCTCAAAGACTCATGAGTGTCCCAAAAATTCTACTCTCCCTTCTCAAATATAAACATCAGAATCTTCCTTGGAGAGGTGAGAGACTCGAACACTTCACTCTCTTCTTTGGTTAAGGATTCTTCCCTTTCAGGAGGCTGAGGATTGGCTATAATATTTGCTTGTGTTTCATCCTTTCTCTTTGAGTCTGAGTCTCTGTGTGGAGGTCCAATTGTCTAGGGGCAAAAATAACCCATTCTAGCTCCAATCATTGAACTAGAACATTAGTCCTTATACAAATAACTATATTAGGGAATATTACTGGTTTCTACAGGGAAAATAGATTTTCTGCTAGAATAGAAATGTGAACACTTCCTCTACTTTAAAGTACAAAAAATATTCTATTTCACCTTTCACAATGCCAAAGGCACCTCTGTATCACTCAAAAGTATGTGTTGATTGGCCAGGCATGGTGGCTTACGCCTGTAATCCCAGGACTTTGGGAGGTTGAGGCGGGCGGATCACGAAGTCAGGAGCTCGAGACCATCCTGGCTAACATGATGAAACCTCATCTCTACTAAAAATACAAAAAATTAGCTGGGCGTGGTAGCACACGCCTGTAGTCCCAGCTACTCAGGAGGCTGAGGCAGGAGAATCACTTGAACCTGGGAGGTGGAAGTTGCAGTGAGCCAAGATTGTGCCACTGCACTCCAGCCTGGGTGACAGAGCAAGATTCTGTTTCAAAAGAAAAAAAGAGTATTTGTTGATAAATAAAAGTTAAACTTTAAAAAATATATTGTTTTCCCATCACTTTTATTGTCTGATTGAGGAAAATTACCTCATATTTGTCTCATTCAGTTCATCTTTCAACATGGGATTCTAACTATAGAAGTTGTCATGAAACCAACCAAAGTTATCAACAGAGCCCTGGCTTTAGAAGATACTGCCTTGGGTTAACAAAGAGGACAAAAATAACCTGTGTTTAAGTGTTTAATTCTGTTTTCATAATGTATTTATTTCAAAGATTTTTAAGTGGAAATATGGGACTTTGTAAAATAAGTTTTTAAAAATATCCTTAATTGTTCATGGCCAGAGGAGATGAAATTGCCAGAATAAGGATGACATGGAACACCCAGGGGTAGACTAGGAGGGATGTAAATGTGAAGATACCAAGAGATGGCATCCTTGTATCTCCATCAGTGCCTGTCATCACAGAGCTACCTTAAACGATCACATAACCTAAGGAAAATGAGTGGGCTTAGTATGTAAATGCAACTTTAAGACAATCCCCAGCTTTTCTTCCAACATATTGCAGTCCCTGAGCCCATAGCGTAATAGAAATTCTGGAAGCTAGCATCTTCTAATCCAATAAAGCTCAATAGTAATAACAAAAACCTCTAAAGAAGTCGTATCTCAAGCTTGAAATAACTTGTAACCTCCTCATCTCTTTTTCTGTATTGTTACTGAGTAGCAATCTTGAATTCAAGCAATTAAAAAGTGGAAAATATTTGTAATATTCCTATATCAATAACACTGGTTAAACACTTTATATATATATATATATATATATATATATATATAAAATACACTTACATGAAGTGCATAATTTAGCACTTACTATAGACCAGATTCTTAATTTTGTGCATTACCTCACTTGTTTCTCAAAGCAGCACTGTGTGAAGTAGATACAATTCTTTTACCCATGTTAGTAGTTGAGAAAACAATCTCAGAGAGCAGAAATGACTTGCTGCAAGTTATACCATGAGTGACAGAGCTGAGAGGTTAGCACAGTCTCTCTGACAGGAACACCCTAGCTTATAACCACCATGTAACACTGCCAAAACAGTAAGGAGGTATTTGAGTTTTCAGGGTCTGCACACATATGCAGTTGATGGCTGTTGGGAAACTAAATATGAAAATAGCTTGGCTTATGCAGTACAGAAAAATGTTTATTCTATTTCCTAGGATGTAGGCTGGTGGCAGAAAGTAGACCCTGGAGAACAGGAGCACTTGGTTTCAAATAAAATACCTGCATTAAATATTCAGCTTTCCTGCACCTTTATGTGAGTACAGTACCAGAGGAATGGGCAAACTGGCAATGGCTCAGCCTTGGTATAAACAAATCTCTGCACTGGCCCCACTGAAGGCCTGATACTTTATCAACTGGTGAGACCCAGAAGGGGTACCAGGAACACACAGTTTCCCCAGGGCCACTGCTGCAGCCTCCCTGGTTAGATCGTGGTGCCAATCAGGCCTCCAGGTTGATAGGAATTGATGTGGATTAGTTTCACAAAGCTGCCTCTCTTTAGCCCCAGTCAAATGCAGCTGTCCAGGTAAACCTAATGCCAGCAATGGTCAGATAGGCATCTTTGTGGTTGCTTGGATAATAGGTATGTTTATTTCCTCTGTGATGTCTGGGCAAGTGCCAAGGTTCAGGCCTCTGGCTAAGGAAGCAGAGGGACTCAATGGGAAATTGCCAGAGGGCTGACTCTAGCTGAACATTTTTGCCAGCAGCTATTTGATCATTCTAAAGATAAAGAGGACAAGGAAGAGCCAAATTCATTTTGCAACTGGAGTCCTCTGGGTGTTCAGTCTCTTTGTAATATACTGTTAATGTGATTAAAATGGAAGCATTTAGACTTAAATGGTTGTTGGAATAAATTAGGGACATCAAAATTGGCAGAGTTTAGGTTTTGAAGAACTCAATTCTGTCAGCTCTCCATGAAAGTTAATCACTCCAATATTAAGCTATTTTTTTCATGATGTGAAATTTGGCAGTGAACAAAATCAACAGGGTCACAGCTTCAAAGAGGAATCCACTACATTTTGGCAGAGAAATGTGCCTAAGAATGCCTCTTTTAAAGGACTTAAGAGGAAGCATCTATTAATCAGAGGGGGTAGAAGAGGTGTGTGTGTGCATACATGTACCCAGTATCTGAGAGCCAGTCGGTGAAACTGATTTTTTAATGTAATCTGCTGTCTTCAAACACTTTTCCATTGGTCTTCAAAAATAAAAAGAAGCAAAAATTCAAATAGCAAAAACACCTCTAAATGTACATGTGACACAGACATACGCATACATGTATATAAACACATATACGCAGACAGGTAGCACGTGAAGAATAAGATGGTGAGAGATGTGTATATATTTATATGCACGCATGCACATGTGCACACTGACATTTTGGTTGCCTGGGTAGCAAGCAGAAACAGAAAGCTTCTCAGAGTAGAGCTAGCCACTTCTTGAAGATCTGACATGTCTCAGGCAGTCGTGGGTAGCTCAGAGCAAAATCTTTGAAGAAAGCAAATTTGAATGTCTCTTTATGATCGTATTTATACCTCAGACTTTTTTTTTTTTTTTTAATCCTCAGACTCCTTAAGTCCATGGGGAAAGGGCTGCAAAATAGGAGTTTGGCTTTTTGGCCTATGAATTAATGACAGTTTCTGGATCAGCTATTTCCCAGAGAACAAATCTCTTATTTCCCTCAACACACACACACACACACACACACACACACACACACACGGATACAGAATATACACATGCACTCAACATTATCAGCTCTTCTGTATATGTGTGTCTAACACATTGTTAATGGTTTTCATTTTCAGTGTTTTAAGGATTTCCCTGAAGGTTATCCAAATAACAGCTTTGCAAAAAAATACATAAAAGGCCACGTTCAAATTGTCTTTTGAATGATGCCCTTGCTAGTCATGAAAATAAGCTCTTTCTCATACGCCCGGTGCAGTACTAAAAAAGAACCTGGCACCAGCCGTGATGAAAATCCAGTCTGGGGACTAGGAGAAATGAAATATACTGTGCCCTTTCTCTGAGGTCATGACTCCATCCTCAAGAAGGCTATAGCAAACAATGTTTAGGGGTAGAAAGTGTCACATGTAAAATATCCACTGGGAACTTTGGCTTACGATACTCCTGCATATGCTAGAGAAGAAAACAAAGGTTTATTTCCTATGATATATCAATCTTAGGCTTTTTATGTGATCAGGTAAAAGGGAGTGTGGGCTACAGGTCTGGGGACCAGTTCTCTATTTTAGGCATTGATTCTACATAGTTTGTGACCTTGGACAAATCATGAACCCCTATTCAGAACTTATCTGTAAAATTAGGATGAACATGTCAACCTCCTCCCCATTGTGGCTGAGAAGAACAAAGATGATTCTTAGATGTCACCTGTGTGAAACCAACAAAGTGCTTTATAAATATGAGCTACGGGGATTTACATAGAGGGAAACTAATACATGCAAGTAGGGAGTGCAACGCTTCCTTCTGGAGAGGAAGAGGCCTCAAGAGGAAGGCACCCCTGCAAAGGCGGGAGGGACTGGCTGCTATTGTCTAACGCATGTTGAATGAGTAAGTCCTCTAAGGACCTTTATCATCTCCGTCTTCCAAGTGCCCGCTTGGTTTGAATGCCCACACGGTCAATTTGAGTTGAATTTCCAGCCTGCTAATGTGTGTTGATGTTGTTGTTGCTGAGAAACTTGCATTTCCCCTATAGATTAGTTGATCTGCCTTTCTATAGAGTCTGAGTTCCTGATCTTTCCCCCACTTTAGTGCTAACGTAATAAAAATAGAATTGCTGCATAATGATCCAAAGCCCTAATTGATTCTCCAGTTACTGTAATTGTGTCTCAGACCTCCAAATCCACACTGAAGTCGGCTATTGATGAAGCATTCTAACCAGAACACAAGACTGGAATGCATGGTGGGAGAACCTCAAGAAAAGGAGATCTTGTTTTAATTAAAATTAGCCCTTACTAACAAAAGAAAACAGTTGTTCTCAGGCCTTGGATGCTAACAGGAGCAAGATTCCTCCTGAGGGGAGTGAACCTCAATGTTTTTTTAAAAATGTTACCAGCTTTTCAAATAAGTAGGCTGCTCAGTCCCTTAACAACCTAGATGGGTAGCCTTTCTATAAATAGCTCATCCCATTACATTCTTGTTTATTCTCTGTTTATGTGGTTACTGGCTTTATTCTTGCCTATTGTGGGTAGATGCCCAGGCTCCAAGGCAACTTTGTATTTTTGTCTTTTGGCAAAGCAGAACAAGGGGTGGGAGTGAAGAAGATGAAGATGGCGACTCTCCCCCTACACCTACCAACACAGCAACCTACATACTGTCTGTCTGAATGTCCCCAAGGGCTCCAAGTAAATGACAGTTTTGTCAAAAATGCAACTGAATGGTTAAAAGAATATGAATGATCTAGGTAAATTATAAAGCCTAAGATATACACACACATGTATATGCATGTGTATGTGTGTATACACATTTACATAGCTATACTATGCATACATGTGCATATGTATGTGCATATAGGTATATTCAAACTCTTAAATATGAATGCATTGAAACTTTAAATAAAAGGGAAGGAAGACAATGAGTGCCATCTCGTGGAGAGGAGAGCTACCAGTAAATTTTCCAAATTGTCTGTACTTCAGACATTTTTTTAATGACTAACCAATATTCCTCGGAGTAAATATTTTCTTCCTGCCTTTCCAGGTTTTTCACCTAAATAACAATAAGTGTCCACTACATGAACACTGTCTTGTTCCTTTGTGCCAGGATATGCTTTAAGGAATGAACTGCGTTCATGGGAGTGGGTGTTTTGGTGTATCAGAAAATGCATTCATTACTGACCCCAGCTCTGGCAAAAGTCTCAAAAGTTGTTACAATTTATAAGAAATATGACAACAGACTCAACGACTCACTGTGTTTTAGGGCTGTGACCAGTTGATGCTGTTACAGCTGCCACTCCCGACAATGTCATCCCATCACATTGTTCACACTCCGACTGTCCATGCACAAAAGCTCAGTTGAATCCAAGGCATGTGTTTTTACTTCAACTCAATAAATTGGCATCCCAATCTACTGCCCTATCTACACATATAGTCCTAGAAGCTATAGTAATGCACCTTTGGCTCAGTTGCCTGAGGTGCACACATGGACAATTATGCCTGCTCATACTCTGTTATGTGTACATATGGACAAGAAGGAGAATTTACTTCTTCCTAGTGCAAACATCATCAAGGATAGAGGTTCATATCCCAGGGGGTGGTGAGAGTCCATGGGAAAACTGAGTCCTGCTAAATATTACATGAACACAATTCACTAATAGAAGCTCATTACTCAGCATAGGGGTAGGAAGTGTGTTAATAACTATTAGACAAATAGGATTGGAAAAGGGTAACAATGTCTGAGCTTCTGAAATTGAGTAAGAAAGGGCATTGCTAGTACAAGTAGCTTACATGTATCCTTGCATGTATTCTTTCACCAAATATTAGGTTGGTGCAAAAGTAATCATGGTTACTTTTAATGGCAAAAACCATGATTACTTTTGCATCAACTTAATATTATTGAGTGCTTATATGGTACCCACACTAGGCATAATGGAAGAGATCAAACGGGCAAGAATGGACAAAACTCCGTGCTCTTGAAGGACTTATGTTCTAGTAGGGAAATACAATAAATTAATATACCATTTGTTGTAGGATGACAAGAATTAAGGAGAAAAATAAATAGGTAGCGGGGAAAGGCTCTTGGATAGAGAGAATGTTGTAATTTTAGATAAGGTGGCAAGCGAAGGCCTCACAGAGAAAGGGAAACTGAAGTCAAGATTTGGAGGAGGTAACAGAGCAAGCTTTGGAAATATCTTGGGCAGAAGCACTTCAGGCAGAAGGATCAGTGAAGCAAAGAGCCCGTGGCAGGCCTATGCCTGGCATGTCAAGAAGCAGCAATCCGTGCACCAGGCGCCGGGGCAGGTTCTTCTCCACATTTAATCTCATTATAACCTCTTCACCACAGTGAGAGAGAATCTGATTAAAATCCCATTTTATAAAGAAGAAAATCACTTTAACCAAATGTTCACAAGCGCATATAACAAGCACACCAGGGGACTGAACAGTGTGCCCAACCTGGTCAGTGGTGAAGTTAGCTTGACCCCTGACCTTGCCCTGGCCTTGATATTTTTGTACCCTAAGCCTAGTAGCTGCAGGGCTGAGCAAATGGATCTCTCAAAGGTTGGAGAATGAGGAGGTAGAGTGGGCGCAGGAGGAAAGGATGTTGTTAGGGCAGATCTGGACGTACGTAGAATTTTTAGCATTTTTTTTTGTAAAGAACAGTTGGCCAGACTATGTTCTTTTCATAAGTCCATATATAGAATTTCAGTGTGGAATCTCTTTTGATTTTCATATTTTAATAAATTAGGCTTTATAATTTTTCTCTTATTTTCAAAAGCTAAGGAATAGTTATAGTTTCTGAAGTTAATGCATCAACTACTTGAAAATCATTACGTTGTGCTAAAGAATCTGATTTCATATCGCTATTACACATCTATTCTTTCACCAAATATTAGGTTGGTGCACCTCCTCTTAAGGTCTAGAAATCACCTTTTGTGCTCTCTGTTTTAAAAACTGATAGATGTTGGCCGGGCAAGGTGGCTTATGCTTGTAATCCCAGCACTTTGGGAGACCGAGGCGGGCGGATCACCTGAGGTCAGGAGTTCAAGACCAGCCTGACCAACATGGTGAAACCCCATCTCTACTAAAAACACAAAAAATTAGCTGGATATGATCGGGGGGTCGGGGGTATGGCACCTCTAATCCCAGCTACTCAGGAGGCTGAGGCAGGAGAATCGCTTGAACCTGGGAGGCAGAGGTTGCAGTGAGCCAAGATTGCACCACTGCACTCCAGCCTGGGCAGAGCGAGACTCCGTCGCAAAAAAAAAAAAAAAAGAAAAGAAAGAAAATGATGTTAAATGGTTAAATGTGTTCTGTTTTTTCTTGACTTCTTTTTTTTTTTCCAGTTTTCTTATCTCATTGGCTCCCTTCTATCTCTCTCTTTTTTTTTTTTTTTTTTTTTGAGATGGAGTTTCGCTCTTGTCACTCAGGCTGCAGTGCAGTGGCATGATCTGGGCTCACTGCAACCTCTGCCTGCCAGGTTCAAGCGATTCTCCTGCCTCAGCCTCCTGAGTAGCTGGGATTACAGGTGCCCACCACCACACCCGGTTAATTTTTGTATTTTTAGTAGAGATGGGGTTTCGCCATGCTGGCCAGACTGGTCTCGAACTCCTGACCTCAGGTTATCCACCCGCCTAGGTCTCCCAAAGTGCTGGGATTACAGGCATGAGCCTCCGCACCCGGCCCCTTCTATCTCTTATAAATGAAACCATCATTAGTTAAAGAATCACTACTCATTTAGAGGGCTATTCAGAATTTCAGCATGAAAGATCTGCCATGAGCATAGTTATAGCTAAATGGTTTCTATGGAGAGGTGGTGATCAAAGGGAAGATGTTTGACAGGGGTGGGATGGGGTGGGGGAGGGGCCTATGATGATACAGGGAAAATGACGGGTGACAAGGAAGGGGCAAGGGATGGGGAAGATGAGCTGTCACAGAGCTAGGAGCTCCAAAAAGACTATTGTTGGTCCAAGCACCAAGTTGAAGTAGCTTCTTCTCCCTCCCCTCCTAGATGGCACGCCTTCCTGGCCCGCTCCCTGGGATCTGCTTTCCTCAGATTCTTTCCTTTCCACCTTTCTCAAAATGTTCAGATAAGAAATAACACCAGTGATAGCTACCATTACTTCTGTATGTGTGATACTTCAATACTTCCTATTGTTCGAGCTTATAAAAATCCTACATTCAACACACATGAAAGAGATGCAGAGAGATGAAGACATTTGTCCAAGTTACATACACAACTACAAAATAGCAGAGCTGGAAATTAAACCCAAATCTGATAGACACTGAACCCATCTTTTGTATATACCATGTGACCACTTCGTGCCTGGGGATGAACTGTCCTAGAATTGTTTGCATTTTAATCATGAGCAACATTCAAAAGGTAATGGAATGGGTTCCAAGGTCAAACTTCCAGACACTGGAGAAGGTGGGAGTAAAACAGTATTGGGTTTTAGGAATCTTCCCAGTGTTTGTTCCTGAGACAAGTCCCTGAGGTAGTGTCTTGTCAGTTCAGCTGGCATTTATGAAGCACATACATCCACCATACTTGATGCCTGGCTCTGGAAATAATACCGTTGTTATAAGCGATGCTTGTCTTCTCCTTCTCTTGACAACCTACCCCTCTCTTCTGGAAAGTTCAAGTTGTGGAACAATGTGCCCAGGATCTAGTTCTTTTCTTTTTCATTAAGGATAATTCTCTTCCTACATTAGCAAAATCATATGACATCAGTTACTAGGAGTGTTTAAATTTTTTCATATCTACACCATCGGCTGTAATTTTTGAATCTAGATTTCATCTGTTTATCCGTTGAAAACAGGAAGCATTTGGGAGATGGCTTGTAGTATGCCTCATATGTAGCATTTACTAAAATAAAGGACACTGGAGAGAGTCTAAGGTTTATCACCAAATTACACCAGTAGAAGCCTGCAAAGAGTCTCCAAAAAAAAATCATATTTTTAATTTGGCAAACTGAGTCTCTTTTCCATGAACACACATTCAGGTTATTGAAGGCAATTTTCTTGTCCTGCAAGTTTTTAATTATTTTTAATCCTAGTGAGACATGCTGAACTTCTTCATCTGCTCCTTGGGTGAGTGAGGTGATTTTTAGGATCCTCGCCTTTTCTGTCTCTCTCTCTCTCTCACAGAGTAGTCTGCTTAGACATCATTTTTCTTATCGTGTGGTGTCCAGGGTTAAAGATTTTATCTCAGATAGGGGTTCATGAGGCAGGAGTTCATGGTGCCTCCCTTTATCTGAAACCCACTTTTCATGCTGTCTTAGATATGGTCCACTTGTTTATCAGTTCTCTTCCAGAACTGGTTTATATTGAGCTCATTCGCTCAAGGTCTTTCCCTCACAAATTCTTTTAAAGCCAGTTCTCTGTCCTTAAAATCAACTGAATTTAACGTAAAAGACATACATTTAAAAATGTTGAAAAGGAGACTTTTCTATTTATGCTGATAGCATATCATCTTGTTAGTATCAATATATCTTCCTGGCCTTTCTAGATGTTTCTGAATCTTCATAGGAGTGGAGGGAGGTGACAGCGCTGCTGAAACAAAACAAGTCATGTGAAGAGAATGGTTGAAATTAAATGACAGGTCCATAGGGGTCCTTTCTACTGTCCTGTCTATTTTTGTATGGGCTTGAAATTTTCCAAAATAAAAAGTTAAAAAAAATACCCAAGCATTATCTTCTTGCATATACTTAGTCTTAGCCATCTCAGCTCACAATTTGACAGAAAATTTACCCAGTGTTTTCCTTAGATCAAAATACTTGATTTCAAAAACATTCCTCTCAGTTAAGTGGTAAATTTATCAGAATCCCTCAAGTTAGAATTAAGCATTAACAAATTAAATGAATAAGAACATTCTGAATTTATCAGGATCTCTATTAGTTTTGTTTCCAATCTTGGCTGTACCTGTGTTACATGTAAAAATATTGCCTTGTGTTTTTAATCCCTGACACGGTATCAAAATTGGCCATTTATATATATTTTGGGACCTTAGTGATTGACAGAGCTGAATCAAAGGTTAGACAGCCTTTGGCATCAATCTGTGAGGGGAACTAAACGTCACTGATTACAAAGACATCAATGGGAATATAACAAGTATAAGAAATCATATTTACCAGAATTCCTCTAGGGAAAAGTGGTTGGAAGAATTAGTTTGATAAGACCCTACAAACAAGAGAAGAGACTTTCCAGACTCGGGCTCAGGTGACTGTGAGGAATGTCCTACCTGATTCTGAGGATGGTTGGTCAGGAAAGGGCAGGCATATTTTGCAGAGTGTTAGGCACATTTGAGATCCCGACTAAATTGCTCAGAACAGTTCAGCACAGCCAAGAGCAGCTCTTCTTTTCTGCCACACCCTACAGCACATAACCTCTCTCCTTAATGCACACTGGGAAAATACTTTTAAAACATTAGTTTGAAGAGGCAACAAATTATTAACATGCTCTCTTGTTTAGGTGAGCCCTAGGTTTTAAGACTTAATTTGCAAGAATTAAAATTATAACCAGAATATTGGAAAGTAAAGAAATACTTCCACTCAAAAGATCTAACTCTAAGATGATTTTGCCCCATTTGGTCTCAAGAATTACACTGTTCCATGACCAGGCTAGGACTGTCTTAACAATTCACTATTCAAAGGAAAATATGCATGACTAAAATAAGTGAAGGACAATTGACTGAGCCACAGCTCAGGAACTCCCTGACACCCCCAAAGACAAACTGTCCCTTGGAAGACTTTACCAGCCCTGTGTGGCCAGAGCTGCTACAAGGGCTATTTCCAACATTTCACATAAGCACTGCAGACACAGGCACTGCAGATACGAAGAACATCAAATTCAGCCAACCAGCTTCAGGTTAAGAGAAGGGCAAATATAGTCAGAACAGTGCTTAGAAATGTTTAATGAGCTTTTTTTTTTTTTTTGGTACCTTGAAGAAGACAGAAATGTGAAAGGCATGGCCTTGATAGACCTCCACATCTTTCTCATCAAGCTGTGGAAATTAGAGTCTCCTCTTGTTAAATAGGAAAGGTTAGCATGTAATAGTTAATGAAGCCAAGGAGAATCTGAACAGATAAGACCCGAGTCTGTACAGGCTGCATTTGGAGAATCCCAAATCCTCTTATCTTTTCTCAGAAACTCTGCTGTTTGCAAGATATTGTTTTAAGCAGAGAGGCGACAGGAACCGCAGCAGATGCAAGAACTACTACCTTTTTGAAGGCACGCTAAAACAGAATCTAGGAAGACGTGCTGCTTTGCACTTTCATGGGGCACTGTGACAACACACTGTGTTTTTCCCCTAGATTCAAAACACGAATACCCTGGCAGCTGACCTTTAAAATATTTACAGCATTATGGACACCTTCTGAGCTTCCTACTTTTCTTTGCTTCTTGCATGGCTCTTTGATGTATTTTCTTTCGCATGCAAGTTGCTTATAATACTCACGTGAGGAAATGTTCTGAGCTGAGTGAACCTCAGGAGGGAAGAGGGGAGCTAAACTTTCTCTTACAATGGAACTCAACACGCCTTTGGGCTAAAGGTTATTTGAGGTCTGACCATATATAAGGTACGTATCTTGCCCCAATCCAACTTTCTTTTCTCCCCTTTATGTCTCTTCTCCTCAGATAAATCTAACACCACCTCCCCAATTCCCTACACAGTACCATCAATACAGGTCATAAATAATTCCTTTCATAGGAGCCTTTTTTTATTTTTTATTTTTTTGAGACAGAGTTTCACTAGTGTTGCCCAGGCTGGAATGCAATGGCACGATCTCGGCTCACAGCAACCTCTGCCTCCCGGGTTCAAGCAATTCTTTCTCCTGCCTCAGCCTTCCAAGTAGCTGGGATCATAGGCATGTGCCACCATGCCCAACTAATTGTGTATTTTTAGCAGAAACAGAGTTTCTCCATGTTGGTCAGGCTGGTCTCGAACTCCCGACTTCAGGTGATCCACCTGCCTCTGCCTCCCAAAGTGCTGGGATCACAGGTGTGAGCCACCATACCCGGCCCCTTTCATAGGAGCTTTATCCATTGCTCCCGGACAGCATTCATTCTCCATTCAATTTCATTCACTTCCCCAAGAAACCAATGCCTCCTGTCCCTCCCACTCTGGTGACAGTCCAAAACAACCGCTCCTCTTTCTCTGTCCTCTTCCATCCTTTCTTTGCAAACACTTCTTTGCTTTTTCTCCTGTTGCCCAACTTTTCACTCCCTCACTCAGAACAGTTTTCTTCTATACCCTTTCTTATCCTGTATCTATAAGTCTCCTATGCTCTCAGCTGCCTCACTGAACATTCCTTCCACATTCTTGCTTTAGCTGATGGTTCTCTCACTCTGAGGACATTGTTTCCCCCGTGTGGAGGTGGCCCAATTCCTCAGCTCCAGTAACTTAGCTCAGCACACTTTTCGTCTTCCAAGGTACTTCCAGGCCACAAGTCCTCCTCACGGAAGCAAAAATCCTTGCTCTTTTGAGGCTTGGGATAGCTCACTAAACCACCATCTCTCCATGTCTCACTCCCTTACCAGATTCCTAGATCTCCTCCTCATGCTTTGGAAGCAACAAGCCTGTAGCCTTATTCTCCTCCCCACACCTCATCACCATCCTGGTCTACTTTTCTGTTCACATGGATCACCCATGCAACACCCTGGCTGCTTGAATTTATGATCTTCTCGGCTCCAGTAACCTTTACCCTTCCCTGCTTCAGCTCTTCATTCTTATGGCCCTGCCCTCACCAAGGCCATTCTCTGATCAGTGTCCTGCATTCTTAGCTTTCTCAGTCTATGAGGTCCACAGATTGCATTCATCCACCCTGTCAAGAAGTTCAGTCCCTCCACTAGTCCTCTGTCTTTCTGTTCATCAAACTCCTTCTTCTTTCTAATGGGGTTAGATCCCATGATACCCATGGTAGGGGTACCTCAAGCACTTCAGTCATTCTCTTTCAATGTTCTTGCCTGCCTGTCTTCTCATTTTACTTGCCCAGCTAAACCCCAATCAATGTAGCTGTAGAGCTTCTCTGTTCCTACCTCTCACAACTGATGATTCTGGTGAATAGCAAACAACCCAGTGTATTCATGCCATTCAGATTCTATTGTCTCCAACACCAGTCTTGTCTTTTCAGTGTTGTCCTAAATGTGAATTCCTTTTTCTCTGATTCCATGAAAGGTCACCCCTGCTTCTCACAGAGCATTTTGAAGGTCTAGTATGAGTTCAGATCAGGTTGTTGTCTAGTGTCGAGGGCCTGGGAATCACTCTAGATCTTTAAGCTGACTTTGATACATCTGCTATAATTTATTATGGATTGATTTGTGGTTTTATACATTAGATTGATTTGTAATTACATGTTTCTCATTTTCAATTTCACAATGACCTCTTCTCTGTAGTTCTCATCTGCCTATTTTATCATGTGTCAGAAATTATGTGAGCCATTGTGCATATGCTATGATGGAATTTATTAATTAGTGTTAATATTCATATTCTTACATATCAACAAATAGTTCTACAATCCCATGTTGGTCACTTCAATAGGCTTTGACTTCCTACCAAATTTTCTGCTCTTTTTCCTTGTCTACTTTGAGTTTCCTTGAAGCCCCTGTTTGATCCTTGTGGGTCTGTTTGGTCCAGTCAGCCTCAACTTTATCCTAAGGAAACACAGACTCAGTTTTAATGCTTGCTTGAGATCCCACTCATGGGATATGTGAACTTAAGTGACTTCCTTCTCTTTCTGAGTATATCTCAAAGTTAGATACTGTAGCTTCTTCAGTGTGAAGTGGAATAGTTATTACTGCGTCAGAAGTGTTGGTTAAAGTCTTCTGACTCTAGAGGAAAATTTAACTTGAAAGGAATTTAAACATTGTATTGTTGGAACAAAATTATGACTCTCATTCATTTTATAAGAATAAATCATAAAATCTACTTTCTGTGTAACTTGATATATTCCTTTCATTTGAAACACAGAAATTAAAATGAGTTGATAGTGCTATTTAAGAAGAATTCTTGCACTCCAACTCCATAGCTAGAGTTGAAGTTTTTATCATCTACTAAACAAACTACACCCCTTACTTTTAAATACGTGGAATAAAATATGTATCACTGAATTATAAAAGAAACTCATGAGTATCTTCACCATTATTAATTAACTTAATGGTAAGATTGATACTTCTTTTTAAGCTAATGGGCTTCAGTTTGCTTGTAGCAATTCAGAAATGATAATAGTAGTTCCTGGGCTAACCATCTTAGTCTTATCTCTCCCCAAGGAGTAGACATCATTATCCCCATTTCGATGAGTGAACTGAGGGAACATGAGAAACCAAAGATCACACAATAAGTACTTGGGCTGAGATTTAAAAACAGGCTGAACACTGAGCATTTCCACTCACAGGAAGTAAGTTAAAAACTTCCAAATGTAATTGCCAACATTTTTCAGATACCTGTGTTCCACCCCCTCTGCCTCCTGAGTCCTACTCATCCTTCAAGTCCCACTGAAATGACAAATCCTTCAGGCCACATAGCTCTTTCTCACCTGAAGAATGACTTTTGGGGGTTGGGATGGGTTGGTATTTAGCAAAGCAGAGGCAGGGACTTGGGCGATCTGCCTGTGGTGTGTGGAATGGGCTGCCTGGAGATGCATGTGGGCTGCAAACACTAGGGAAGCTCCAAACCAGACCTACCTCATGAAGAGTGGAAGGAGCTGACCAACAAGCCAGATGGGATGATAAACAGGAAGGCTGGGTCATTCTACCAGAAAAGAGGATGTTAGGCTGACTCATAAGCATAAGACCACTAACTTGAAAGCATACTTTTGCTTAAAGTTTAGGAAGAGAAATACCATTCAATCAAAATTTATTTTGTTTTGTAACATAAGAAAAAAAACCCAAATTCCAATAAACGTGTTAATTTAATCCAGTGGTTTAGAGGTATGTCAGAATGCAATCAGAGTGCCAACATTTCTCATTTAATCATAACATGCAATCCTTATATTAATGACACAGTTTTAAAACAATATTGGGGATCTTAAATTAGAACTCACAGTCACTCATAGAAGGGGCTGTAACATCATCATCTGCCTCTAAAACCTTGTACATCAAATCCTTCATCTTGCTGCTAGAGTTATTTTTTAAAACACAGATCAGCTTGAGTAACTTTCCTCCTCAAAAACTTACAATGGCTTCACACTTCTTGGGAGTAGATTTCTAGCAGTGTTCTAAATTCTCCATGATGGAGCACCTTTCTGACTCTCCTGGTTCATCACCCAGAGCTTCTCTGAATTAACACTTACCTTCCCTGCCGAAGCTTGTCTCAGGCTGTTCCTGAAATTTGTTTACCTTTCCTCATCTCTCTGTATGGTAAGATCTTTTCATCCTTGATCTAACACATTCCCTCCATGAATCCTCTTCTAATAGTGCAACCCCACATACCCTGTCCCTCCAGGGAACTCCCAGGCTCTGTCATACTCATACAGCTGCAACTTACAGCTGCAACTTAAGGCAACTCCAGAGTTTCTCATTTGGTAGTTCTGGGCCGAGTCCCAAGAATGTACATTTCCAGCAGTTTCCAGGTATTGCTGATGCTACCGGTCAGAGAACCCCTGCCCTATATAGTCTAGCATAATGCCTTAAAAATAGCAGGCCCAACAAATACTTGGATAATTGGATAGGTCAAACAGCCAGACATTTTGACTGAAAATTTAGAAGGTGTTTTATGAAGACTTTCAGCAGTGTGTTGAAGAATATAAACATGATGATTTTCATTTTAGAATAGGAAAGAAAGTAGAGTTTATATAATCTCTGAAAGTTGACAAATTTATGCTTAAGTATTGTCCAAGCTGTTCTGATCTGTATGGGACCCTTGAAAGGGGTCATAGGGCCCATGGTGAATGAAGATCAAGCTATAGGGAATTGGAAGGAAAGGAAATTGAAAATTTTCCTCAAGGACTCATGTCAGTCAAAGTAGTTCTTACTTAATCAACAAGGAAATGCAAACTCAGAAAAGCCACATAGCAAGGACCTGAGCTCCATCTGGGTCTGCAGTCCCCCACACTCAGTGCGCCATCTGCTAGCACTCATGACTCCTCAGAAGCGGTAGCATCTCATGTGGAACTAAATAACACAGACTGTGAAAATATTAGGTTCACGCCCAGGGCAACAACCCCCAAAAATCCCAATTTATTTTGAATGAGTTGTAATGAGTAGGTGGCAAATTTATGACACCAAGCATGTGCTGTTCTATCACTTGGTATTCCCTAGGCAGCATTCATTTCATGCCTCCTAAGCCATGACATGGAAGCCTGGCCTTCTGTTTTTGTCTGGTCAAGACCTAGAGCTCTGTGGGAACAGTTTTTGTTTTTGTTTTTTTTAAACATTTACATGGCCCTTTTCTGCTCTTTGGGGAAATGGGAGAGATTAGAGCTGCTGCCACCCAGAGGGTGGAATAAGTCAATGGAATGGATGAGTTAGCAGGGAATGAGCCTATACCTACAGGTAGGAAGCGAGGTTTTCATGAATCTCTAAATGCCATTTATCTACTTTCAGAGATAAACAAACAAATAGATCTAAGCCTTTTCTGTGAGAGTCAAGTAGGTTATTCCCGAGCCCAGACGACCTTCTAGTGTAGACTCAGTGCAGTGTACAGTGTGACCTAGGAACATCAGCATCGCTGGGGAACTTGGTAGAGTTGCAAGTTAGGCTCTACACCAGCCCACCGAGCCAGAAATTCTGGCGGGTGGGGCCCAATAACCTGTATTTTAACAAGCCCTCCTGGCGACTCTGGTGCAGACTAAAGTTTAAGAATTACTGCTAGTATTTAGTTATCAAGAAATAGGCAATTCTAAAAACTTCAAGTCTCTCTTCAAGGACTGTTACTAAATCATAAGCAATTAGTGCCAAAATTCTGTAGTTATGCTGAAGTGTTTTTGGACATCAAAGGTCTTAATTTTTGAAGAGGTTTCAGAAGAATGCAAAAAATTGGTTGTTGTTTTTTTCTTTTGTTTTTTGTTATTTAAAATTTTTCTTTGTATTGAATGTGTATTTGAGGACAAACATTTATGTCATAGTATGGAAAAAGACCCTGCCACAGACATTTAGAGTTGAAAGGTCACCTGAAGTATCATCAGGCCTAATCCTTTTGTAGAGTTGAAGAAAGAGGCTCAAAGGTTGACATGACTTCCTGGGATCCCAGCTCCTTGCTTTCCACGTGGTACCCCACTTTCACTGGGTTTGTGGATAAGAAAGGGGGGCATAAATAATAGCAAGAAAGAAAAAATAAACGGTCTATTTCATTTACCCTGGCCGTCATTTACCATAGCTCTGTAAGACAATACCCAAGTAAACTACCTCCATATAGTAATTCAGAATGTCTCCCTTGGGCCTCTTTAAGATTATAATTTTTATTCAAGTTTATAGATGTATTGAGGTTATAAACTATACTTTGAGACTCTGATAACATTTAAGAATCTTATTTCTGAAATATTCTCTTCATCTAATACACATATGTGTGTGCACATGCACATATACACCCACACATACACACTCGATGTGATTCTGCTTCCAATTGCAGAATTATCCCCCTTGGACTCTGTCCATGAACCCTCAGAGGCCCCATGGAGTTGAGGTTAAGAATTTCTTCTTTAAGAAGAGTCATTTACCATTAAGGAGGAAGGAGCATCTTTCCCAGATTATCCTTTCCATCTAGAGATTTTCTTTGGGAAAGTTTTTTGCTCCTCCATGAATGAAATGTAAGTAACAGTCAAGCTTTGTTTTCCTCGCCCTCCCCTCCATTGCCCCCAATTTAGCCCTGCATTTGCAAATGCCCAGCAGTGGTGTCCAAGGGGTAGATCCTCCAGTTTGTTCTCCATAGACCTTCTATGTCCACCTCCACAAGGACTCCTGCCCTGCCACACTGCACTGGCATTGTGAATATTATTGGATGGGGGAAGGAATCTCTAGAGGCAATTTTAATATGCTGCATTGTACCGGAGATAAGCAGAACATACAACTCACTGCTGCGTGCTGGTCATACAGATGCAGCAGAAATTTTATGCACATTTGGAAAGCTTGCTTATTTCAGGATTTTGTTCAGAAGTGAGTCACTGGAGCTTCTCTTTCTCACTCGCTTTCTCCTTTGTGACTGTCTCTCAGAATGATAAAATTCCCAACTAGCAGCCTCAACGTGAAGAAGCTCATCCAGTGACAGTGCCAAGGGACCATCACGGCAGAGTTACAGTTTCCACAATAAATAAGGGACTGAAGAAGCCCAGAGGGAGGGTTTGGAGATGAACATAAAGTAGGCTCTGGGGTGACGAGAGCTGAGGGAGCCACAGTCTGGAGAGACTAGGAAGACAGTTACAGTGTCTAAAATCTGTTATGTCCGAGGGGGCCACAGTCGGGAGAGACCAGGAGACAGTTACAGTGCCTAAAATCTGTTATGTCCACAGACATAATGCTGTTAGGAGGTCCATGGTAAAAATGTGATGGTGTGACCTAGGTGTAGGAATTCTAGAATCCAGTCACATAGATTAGTTGATGGGTCACATAATTCAGAAAGCAAAATTTCAATGATTCATCATGGATACAGATATTTGCATTGGGGTGCGTTAGGGTGGTGAAGTGGGGGCCAGCTGACTGGGAGGCTGAGCTGAGAGAAGCACACCAGGTGGGCCACACTGGTGGCTGGGGTAAATGACAGCTGCGGGAGGACTTAAGAGGTCTGATGAGTGGTTAGAGCTCCATAAATCAGATTTTAAAGTTTATTTTTTAATATTCCCATTTTTTTGAAATCTGATTCAAGAAGAAAGGGCCATTACTAGCTGGATTGAAAAAAAAATCTGATTTTGTTTGAAACCCTTTTGTAGAACACTCAGAATGATCCTGGCAGGCCATGAGTGACTATGTAAAAAGGAAGCCTAAATAAATAGTTCAGAGTTTAAAATATTAAAATTATCTTAAAATCCTATTTAAGGCTAGTAGACCATTTTCCAAACGGGCTACCATTTTACTACCTTTCATGAAGTAAAATGTCACAGGTTTCATAGTCATAAGCTTTAATACATATGCTTGGAGTAAGGAAGTACTGCATGGCTAGTGTGTTCATTCTTCATGACAATTCTACATGCACCATTTTAATCTTCATTATTCTTTATAGACATTAGCTAATTTATGCAGTAGGCACTAGAGAGTGCAGTGTTATTTCTGCTATTGGGCAGGCAGAGGAATTAATGCACAAGTGAAGGGCCTTGATTCTCCTAGGTCCCATTTCTGAACACTGATGCAGCTGAAATATCGAAGACACAATGACAACTTTCTGTTGACTGTAAGCCACAGAAAGATAAAATATTTGCCAGTTTGATTGGAAAGTGTCGTCACTTACCCTGCAAGTCACTTACTCTGCAAGGCTTAAATGAAGCAGAGATTTACAAGCAATTAAGAACCCATGTGCATTCCCACTTTAATACTGCAATTACAATGCCAGACTCTTTGCTACCTGCAGTAGCACCGAGGAGTGCCTCAGGTCCTTCTCTCTAGGGAGAAGGAGGCAGCTTTGCTTTTCTTAGAGTTCTGTGTTCTCTTTCTGCAGCAGTTATAATGGGACCTTCTCAAAGTGAGCATTTGCGCAATCAGGCAGGTTTGCAATGCTCTCTATCCCAGGCAAACAACTTTTAGTCATTCTTTCCCTGACCTTTGTGAATTTCTTTTGGTCAAATGTATTCATTGCTGGGGAGAATTGCTGGCTAGCTTCTTAATGTCCTAGGTCCGGGAAAACTCCACTACCCATTTTTTTGTCAATCATTTTGACATTATTGCTTGGTTCTGTCAGAGGTGTTCGAACCAGAGCAACTCCATTTTGAATAGGGGCTGGGTAAAATAAGGCTGAGACCTGCGGGGCTGCATTTCTAGGAAGTTAGGCATTCTAAGTCACAGAATGAAATATGAGGTCAGCACAAAATACAGGTCACAAAGACCTTCCTCATAAAACAGTGGTGGTAAAGAAACTGGCCAAAACCCACTAAAACCAAAATCACAACAAAAGTGAAACTGACCTCTGGTCGTCCGCACTGCTCATTATATGCTAATTATGATGCATTTGCATGCTAAAAGACACTCCCACCAGCGCCTTGACAGTTTACAAATGCCATGGCAACATCAGGAAGTTACCCTATATGGTCTAAAAAGAGGAGGAACCCTCAATTCTGGGGATTGTCCACCCCTTTCCTGGAAAACTTATGAATAATCTGCCCCATGTTTAGCATATAATCAAGAAATAACCATAAAAATAGGTAACCAGCAGCCCTTGGGGCTGCTCAGCCTATGGTGTAGCCATTCTTTTATTCCTTTACTTTCTTAATAAACTTGCTTTCACTTTATGAACTCACCCCGAATTCTTTCTTACATGAGACTCAAGAAACCTCTCTTGGGGTCCGGATCAAGATTCCTTTCTGGTAACAGTCCCCCTAAAAGTAGTACTGATGAAATTAACTAGAAATTAATTTTGGAGGATCTGATTGAGACCTAGATAGAACGTTAAGATTGTGTAACTCTTGATCCCTTTTGGACCTAAATATTTCTTTTGGCATTTTCCTGTAGGCTGTGCAGATTTGCATGGTTCCACTAATTATTATATAAATTTGGAAATTTGGGCAAATTGTTTTGTCTCTTTAAGTTTTAGTTTCCTCATCTATAAAACGGGGGTGATCCAAGTGAAATGCTTAAGTAATGCCTCATTCATAACAAGCATTACAAAGTTGTAAGCAATTATTCATTATTTCATAGGAATCACAGTTTGATAATTAAATGTAATAAAAGAAGGTGAATCTTTTCATCAGGCTAATGCATTCCTTTGAGATTTTTTGGAAAAATATTCAAAATTTCTTTTAGTTTCTCCTTTTACAAAGAAAGTAAAGAAAATATAACCTTTATAAGAACAAAAATAGCTTGGCAAAGGTTTCCTAGAATCATTTGAATTTTGTTACTAACAGCAAACCAGTATCTCTCCAGCTTTGTGCTACATCTGCCTATTCTTTTTCTGAAATTCCTCTTTGAAAAACCACCCACATTTCTCTATGTCTTTCCTCCAATTTTTCAATCATCCCTCTGGCTCAACTGGGACTTTGTCACCACTCTTTTTTCTGCCATTTCCTTATTGTCCACATAATTTCTGAAAAATAGAGAGGCAAAAATGGAATATGTCTGTCCACAAGAGATTCTCACAATGAAGAGAAGAAGAGGGGCATGGAGGGGAGAGAGCGTTCATTTTGATACTGGCAGAAAACAGAAGATCCTCACAAGAACAACACCTTACATTTCATTTGTTTCTCCTTGGCTCTTCTTTTCCTCTGAGGAACAGTCATTACTGGAGTTGTTTCTCTTGAGACAGTGTCAACAGAGAGGCTCAGCAGTAGAGAAACTTTTATTAACCCTGGCACCAGCCCGTTCACAGGGCAGGGAGCTCTTTCACAGCCAGAAAGCAGTCAGTGTTGGAGAAAATAGACATACGAGAATTAGCAGGGAGGAGAGGTGGGCAGGAGGTATGAACAGGCTGCAGGTAGCAATGATGAGAACATCTTGGTGTAGCATCTTTCAGGTTTGTGCAGACAAAACCAGGGACCTTGTTCCTTTTCTGGAGTTTGCTCTTCCATGACAAGGGGATAGAGTAGTGTGACAAGGACCCCATTTTTAGCTGAACAAAGGAGAAAGTCCTACAACAGTAGCCTATTGGAAAATCTTCCACGCTTTCTTACATTTTGAAACAGAATACAGAGATTGGCATTGTTGTTCTCAATTTCAAAGCAGTAAAAGATTGTGTGTGAAATGAACTGGATGTCCCATAGTCTGATGTCCAAGGACTGGGCAGTATAAAAGAGAAAGCTGAAGTAAGTGGCTGCTTTGGGAAAGTTGGTTGTTGGGAGAACAGCTCCTGTTTGGGGAACATTTTGGCAATATCACTTGCATAAAATATATCTAATATTTAACACCCACAAACATTTCCTTAGATGAACATACAAATTTTAAAACATGCATAGATGTTGCCCAAAGTTCTGCTATTTTTTTCTGAATTATAGTCTTTGTGATAAAGAAAAAAATCTGCTCAAAAAATAACTAATCTTATAAACCATTCTAAAAATATTTATAATATCAAGGCAGCTATTACAAATTCTTCTATTTTTTTAAATGACTATTTTCTCTTATGTTAAATCAGGTTTTGGTCTGATTTGGGAGTGTTTGTTATCCCTCTCTTCTTACAAGAACCTGTATTGATTCTTTCAACGGTAGAAAATAATTCATTTAGTTTGATACTGCTTCCCAAATACCTATATTTACTCTTAAATATCTCTATGAAAAGTTGCCCTTTCTCTTATTCTCTTTAGACATGCAAAGGTCACTTTTTCGATAAAAAGGAATAACTCCATAAACAGTCCTAAACTAATGACTGTAAAACTGAAACCCAACACTTTCATCAACCTTACTGAGACTGTCAGCCTCTCACCACCCCTGATGAGCAATTCCAGTTAATGTTTTACCTCCATGAAAACTCAAAGGCAGAGAAGCCTAGCTCTGAACTTATTGTAGGGCCTTAGGCTAACTCATTGATTTTTCTGGGCCTGCTCTAAGATGTTATATAATAATTTCCTCCCTAGTCCTCCTCAGAAGGCTTGGAAGGAATTGGAAACTAAAGGCCTAACCAAACCTTTACCATGTATAATTTTAGAACTTTGGCTGAGTATGGAAGACACATAGGAAGGCACAGCTGAGTTACGTGTAAGGGCTGGGGAGTGTTGAATTTATTTCTATAAAAATATGCGAGGAAGTTAATCTTTTTATTCATAAGAGCATGAATACAGAGGAGCTGGGATGAGTGACGCTGGAAACATAGGGCAAGACAAATGACTTTTAATAACAAAAATGGCGAATACTCAATTCTAAATTTTTGGTGAAGAGGAGCCGTAAGGCTTTTCTTTCCTTTAACATCTCTACAAGCCTTCAGTGAAGTCCACTGCCCACATAGAGGCTCTTTTATGTATAGAGAAATCAAAGAAAAACCCTGAGCTAAGCATCTGGGTTAGTGCAGAACAGGAAACACTCATTCATCAGGGCCAGGAAGGTGGAGCCATGAGGAGCCATGAGGATCTATGAGAATGTAATCCTGGAGACGTTATAGAAATCTTAAGAAAGGCAATGGGTGCTCTCTGGGTTTGTTATAGGAATGAGGGCCCATCTTACCATGAGCTTAACAGGGCAGTATTGCCCCTCATCTCTCCTTAGTTCAGCTAAAGACGAGGTCCTTGCTCACGGCCACAAAAAATTAGGCTCACAGACAATTTGAAGGGTGAGAATAATGGAATTTATTGGCGAAAAGGAGAAAAAGAGGGAAATAAGGACTCTCCACAGAGTGAGAATCCTGCTAGTATAGACTTCCTGCCTTGCAGCTTGAATTCCAAGTTCCACCCAGGAAGAGGAGGGCCCAGGCTCCTCCCCACTGCAATAGGCAGGAACTTCTGTGGCTCCACCCCAGTGTGCAACCCTCCCAGTGCACAGGTCAGTTGGAGGCTCTGCCAGGGAGCCCTTCCCACCTGACTGTCTCAGTATGACCCCAAATGGCAGCTGATGATCAGTCTGAGACTCTGACCAGGTTTGAAGCCAGACTCAGCCATGCTCTAGCTAATTAATATGGGGAAGGTACAAATTGGAGCCTAAGTTTCCTTATCAGTAACTGCCAATGTAACAATTGATTCAGGGTCACCAATGGGTGTAAAAATAGTTAGGTAAAATATTGTTGAAGAAAGGAATAATCTCAAAGTAAAACTCCCCATATTACTTTCAAATTATAAGAGAAAATACACTCTTCCAATTGAGAGAGTAGGCAGATACTACCTTATCTGAGTAATCAAACTTAACATCAATAATGAGACTGATGATGGTACATAGATTTTTGTGGAAGAGCATCCTTGTTTCTAAGAGATAGATACTTAAGTATTTATAGGTGATATATCATGATGTTTACAACTTTAAAATGTATTGTCTATTTCTATATAGAGAGAAAGCCAAGAAGCAGCATAGTAATAATCAGTGAATATAGGTGAAGAGTATGTAAATTTTTATTGCATTATTATTTCAAATTATAAGTAAAATACCTAGCATCATATCAGGTTATGCTAGTCTGTGCTAGTTGCATGTTGATTACCTCTTACTCTTCCTTCCTTTTTCCTGTGCTAGACTTTTTCACTTTTCCTCTATCATGATAAGCACTCATTAATGGTTATTTAAATATATCTTGGGTATAGTTATATTGCCCTCAAAAAAAGTAGACTCTGAAAAAACAGAAAGCACCAAAAGGGCAGAGTGTTGTAGAAATGCCAGGAAAGGCAATAACTGGCAGCTCTGCGAGGTTGTCCTGTTCTCCAAGGGGCATCCCATAGTGTGACATATTAGATATTTTGTAGAATTAAGAGGAAGAAATTAGTAGCTTGGAGAAAACAATGCCCAGAATATTAATTTCTTAATAAATATGGTTATAGAACAGACATTTATTTCAGAGTGCTGATTTAGTAATGAAAAACCATGATTTTCTTTTCTTAGAACATTTGCCCCCAAGGTAATAGGTTTTAATGCCTGTGGAAATGATGAGCATTTATTTGGAAGTTGACCCAGGGGTCTGAATTTTGGGCACAGCTGATAATATACCATGGAAAGATATTTCTGCCAAAGCAGCTGGTCAGTTTCACTGGTGGCCAGTGCCTATCTTGATTTTTAGGATAAACACTTCAGGGTTCTGGGATATTTTTTCTCTTGCTGTGCCTACTTCACATCTTTAAAGGTGAAATGGAAATAGAGAAGAGATGAAGGAACGTGCTTCCTTTGGCTGTCTCTGGGGGCCATGATTCTCCTAAATTCCACTTCTTCTCTTTGTGACCTTGTAAAATGAGGCTTTTTATAATTTTATCATTAATCCTCAAAGCTCTCCCGGTAGAGGTCAGTGAGTAGTAAATTAGTTATCTTCACAACTTGTAAGGCAAGAAAATAGAAGCATTCATTGGGAAATTATTTTCTAAAATCATGTATCAAAAACTGAGTTTATCAATCAATCTTTCATTCCACGTGTACAAAGCATTATGTGGCATATAGAAAGATGTGGGGAAGAAAAGAGTTTAGGGCATAGTTTCTTCTACGTCAATGATAAAAATAATATAAGGTAGTGTGTGTGTGTGCATGTGCATATAAAATTGCCATACAAATTGTAAATTTCTGCCCAAATGTAAGCTGTTCGTATTATTGTATTCATCCAAGTTATCATCTTCCTCCTTCTCATCCTCTATGTTTATAACTATGGAGTTCTAAGGGTTTGAGAAGGAAGAAAAATGATTTACTGTTTGGAAAAACTCAGTGTAGGTAAATCTTGAGTGAAAACCATCATGCTGAAGATTTTAATTGATACAGGCAAGGATCAGGGCACATGTGTTCAGATGGAAAATGTAGTATGTGTGATAAGAGAGAAAGGATAACAAAACTTCCTGATTGCATCAGAATGGTAAATTAATAGGAGATATGGCAGTTGGGTCCAAACAAACGTGGGAGGATAGGAAATGCAGTAGCTGGAAAGCAATAAAGTCCATGGTCTTAGATTTTAGTTGGATTTAGGAAGCAATAAAGAGTAACTGTAGGATCCTAAGAAAGGAAATATCATGACAAAGTGATGCTTTCAAGTGTTTTGAATAGATTGTGAGCAATTGAAACCAGAAGCGGAAGGAGGCTTTTAAGATAGATCAGATTCAGGGAAATAAAGACCTTGCTTTGGTTGTGATATTAAGACAAAGACAATGGCTGTTTGGGGAGCACCCCGCTGGGTCGTGTGCCTGAGAAGGAAGGCTTTGCTAGGTGTTCAACATGTGGGAACCAAAGAAGGCTAAAATGATCTAAAATCAGAGAAGATTCCCGCTGGGGAAAGAATGTGAGAGAGGAAACGCTACTTGGAAAGAAAGATAGTTCTACTATAGCCTGAGGTGTTAGGTGAGACTGGAAATCAGATTAGCATTAAAAACTGGTGTTCTTTTAAGCGCTTGTCACTCTCAGTCACCTTTGGAAAACAGCTGATCACTGATGTCTACCCTCCAGTTTTTCTCCTTCTTTCCAGACTTGTTGTGGAAACATTATCTCTCCATCTCTGAGCTGCCGGGACTCTGGGTGCCTGTTTGTGGCCTGTCATTGTGGGTTGGAAGGGAGTTGGTGCCACAGTGGTGGCGGTGCTTGTCAGCTTGCTGAGGCATGTATTTTAGGTATTGCTGTTGTTTCTTTGTTGTTGTTTTATTTTAGAGAATTTCAAATAACAAGTGAATCCAAAAATTTATCGTTGATGTAATCTCTGCATTGCTAGCTCTTGACCTTTTCTTACAAAGAAAAAATTGCATTCCCTGCAACATTCTCCCTCAACCCAAATGTGCTGTGTGGCACAGTCAAATGCATTTTATATGAAGAAGGAGAACAGGGTTGCTGTACCTGCCTGGAACTGCTGTCTTTCCATGGGGCTCCCACTTTCCACACAAAGTTTACCTAACCATAGTTTACCCTCTCTGCTGCTCAGTGTCTTAGAAAAAAACAATTCTAGTCCTCTTTTTTTTTTTAATACTCAAATGAGCAGGATACTTGAACAGAACTCTTTTGCCATCAGATCATATATTAATCATGAAAATGACTGTTACATAAATTTGTAAGGACAAGGGCTGGAAGAACAATCTGTGTATTGTACAGAACTCACTGTGCTTATATGGAATCTTTGGAAAGAAAGGATGTCAAGGGCTGTGTCCCCAAAGCTTTAACCTCCCCATCTCATACGTGAACCCCTGGGACCCCTGGCTTCTTGTGGATGCAAGTAAGAAAGACTCAAGGTGTAATGGGGCTGGATAAGGGATCATGTCCTGTTTGGCCTTCTGTCATGTCTCTGCTTCCCTTTGCTGTCACATGGCTGTTCCCAGACTAAACCAAGGGCCAGGCTGCTTATTCTCATAGCCCAATAACAAGATGCAGATGAACTGGGGAAGAAGGGAGTTTATTTCTACAACCGGGTACAGGGAGAAGGCCTGGAAAATATCACCAGTCCAACACAAAATTACAGAGTTTTCCAATATCTAAAGCTTACCTTCTAAGCTTTATGTCTACGTGTAAGTGTGCATTCATCTATAGACATAAGTGACTAACTTCTTCTAACCTGTAACTAAAATCTGAGTCCTGAAGACCTTCCTCTGGAGTCTCAGTCAGATTACTTAATCTAAATGGGTCTGAGTGCTGAGATGGTTACCCTCATCTTGTCTTGGGCTAAATCATGGAGGTTTGGGGAGTTTCTTCAGAGCCCCAATAAACTTGTTTGTCCTAAATCGGTCCTCTTAAGAATTGCTTCGTTATCTTGTCATGCCCAGGAAAGGCCTAGGCAAAACTCTTGGTGGACTTCTGTTACATTCCAGCCTTTGTAGAAGGGTGCTGGCTCTTTCCACTTTTAATATTTGACTTACCCCCTCAGTCAGTGCTGAGAGAGTTGTTATGGAGGCCTGTATTAGTGAGACCTGGCCTGCCACATGACCAGTCCTCAAATTCCAAAGGTAGTTGGTATAAATAATTTGTCTAAGTGCTCTCACCTCTTCTGAGTGGAGACTGTCATGCCTGGACAGCATAACCTTAGTCATAATTAGTTTGGGTTCCTTTTGGATCCTTTATCTCCCTGTCCACACCCCACTCCCTGCCCCCACCAAAAAAACGCTGGGCTGGGGATTCTTTAGCAGAGGCTGTGGGCTAGATAGTCTCAGCACGGAGAGGTCTCTAAGTATGGCAGCCCTATGACCTACATATCCCAAACACCTCCATTCCAGCCAGTGCAGGTACTCACTGCACCCCAAACCCATCTTTGTATCTTGCTACTGCTTTTATTCTCCGGTGTATGCCTTTTCCACCATTGGTAGGGTTTCTTCCCTCACTTTAATTGCCCCAATCCTATCTACCCTTAAAACACAATTGAAACTGTCCAAGAAGCCTTTCATCCTTATCTCAGGGGGAGGTGAATGCTATCTGATTATGCTCTCGCATGGCATTTTAATTCATGTATCATTTATTTAGCATCACTCTTTACTGCTTTCTATTATCTATGCACATGTGTATTTCTCATCTCCTCAACTACATTACATACTCTTTGAAGCTAAAGAATAGGTACTTTATAAAGGCCTATTAATTGAGAGTCAATTCTAAAATCTTGGGAAACTCAATGGGGTCTTGATTATCTCTTGTAAATCAATGCTGTAAAGAGCTTCCCCATTCTCTTGTGGTACTAGTGTTATGGAAGTGTACGAAGGGGAAGGGAAATAGCATATCCAATAAAGAGACAAGTCTCAGAGGAAGCGCTGACAAGGAGATACAGAGACCTTGATTACTTAATTTTAGAGTAGCAAGCATTTCAGATTCCCAGAATCTAACCTATTCCAAGTAACACCACCAAAAGACAATGGAGCCAGATTGGTGGATTATGAGAACTTTTTTCCACTAAGGTTATGCCACCCTGCCAACAAATATAGAAGAGAAGATTCATGAACTGGAACATTAATTTAGAATCTAGAGGGAAGCCAAAGGCTGTGATAGTTTGACCTTTAGCACACAGTCTATTTCAGACTAAATTTTATTATGGAAGCACATTCCACAATATGCTTGTAGTGAGAAATAGAATCTAATCAGAGCTGACAGCAGCTCCTAGCCTCAGCAAAACTAATACAGTGTGAGTAAGAAACTGGTTTTGTGGGAATCTGAAAGCAAAATACATTGGTAGCATAAGAGGACAGTGTGCCCAGGGTAACCCAGGGAGTGGCTGCTGCACACCCATTAGTTACATGGATTTGATCAGTAAAGGTCAAAGTTAAATAACTCACTGCATTAACAGCTAAATAAATGCTGTTTGTGCAGCTTGTCAACAAAAACTCAAATAAGAAGAGAAGTAGCTAAAATATTGTATATTGACTTAAATCAGAGAAAATACAAGAGAAAGAAATGATTTACAAAATTAGTTCTTTGAATTAAGATGATTGACATTAAGATATTCTACTCTGTTTCTAAGGTTCCCAAATAAAGAAACAATTTTTAAGATTATGAAACATGTTTGCTAAAAAAAAAAAAAAGAAGTGCAATTCTGTGGTTTATCTTTCAGCATTACATTTGATTTGCAAAGAAGATAGAAGTCTTAAGTCACTGTACAAAGAGAAAGATATAAAAGTTTAAAAAGATACAATGACTTTCCCATAGCTAACAAGGAGCCAGCATGGGTCCAAGTTTTGGCATCGATTTGGGGAAAATGCTTTCAAACTCTAAAATCTTATAAAGATGGGGAAAATAATTACTAATAAAGGCCTACTACGGCCTTTTATATGGTAAGTGCTTTACTCGTGGTGTTGAATTGACTGTACACAGGAAATTGTTTTATGTTTTTTCATTCTTTTTCTAGATTTTTTTCTTTCTTGAATTATTTAATTATCTTTCTTTGGTCTGGATAACATCTGCACATGTTATAAATTAACAAGTTTTCCTATTTTTATCCCTATATTAGCCACTTTTGTTGGTTTCTTATGTATCCCTTTAGGGTTATTCTATGCACTGATAAACATACATGAGCAAATAGAATTATATTTTGCACATTATTCTGAACATGGTTTTATAATTAAACTTATACCATATGAACTTTCACATATTTATCTGCCTTACCATTCTTAAATGCTAAGTATTTTATTGTACATATTTATAAGTTAAAGATATAGATTTAAGAGCCTTCTGCTGGTACACATTAGGGCTTTTTTGTATTACCAGAAGTGCTTCAATTAATATCTTTGCTCAAATACATTTTGCATGAGTATGAGTACATCAAAAGAATCAATTCCTAAAAATGAAACTTGGTGGGTTAATGGTAGGGCGCATCTGTAATTTTGATGGATATGGCCAATTGCTCTCTGTAGACCTTCTGCCAGCTATATTCCAGCAACAGTGGATAGGAGTGACAGTTTTTCCAAACCCTGATCAATAAACATGTTAACTTTTAAAAACAGTCATTGCCAGTTTTATCCATGTGTAATGTTATCTCAGTGTTTTACTTTTTCTCTTTTACTTTGAATGAGAATGAGCATTTTGTCATGTTTAAGGGTCACTGATATTTGTTTCATTGAATAGCCAGAATCAGTTTTCAAAAGTATCTCATTTTATTTTAAATTTAATGAGTAATTAAATTAATTAAAAATTATTAACAGTGCTTTAAAATATATTGATAATTTCTACCTTAGTGACAGTTGACACATTAACACTTGACCTCCTATAGTTTCCTTCGAGCCTTCTCATTTTTCTCATCTAAAAGTGGAGGAGTGCGTGTGTGTGTGTGTGTGTACGTGCGAGTGTGTGTGTGGAGTGGATTATCACCAACGTGGCTTTTATTCAGCATATCACTTACATGATTCCTTTGGCAAGCTTATGTATCTGTCCTTGTTAATGTCATTAAATGTCCAATATTCATGAGTAGAGGTTGGGCACATATGCCAATAAATGACTAGATTGACATCAATGAGGGAAAATGAATAAAGAATAAAGGTGAGGCTTATTCACTTTTTTCCCTTGAAAACAATCATAAAAGGATTATTTAAAATTTTCCCTTGTGATGAACACATTCTGCAATTTACAAATTCTTTCCGTTACTTAAATTTGCGGTCAAACCTAACTTCCCTATTTCATCTTAGAAATTCTTCTCTATTCACAGGATGGGGGGAGGTGAGATAAGCTATCTAAATCATTTAGGAGGCTCTGAGGTCAGCAGAGGAAGCCTCATGCCAAAGGAGACGACTTTCACCGGAAAAAGGGACTTACTTTATCTTTGAACACACAAATAAAGGCTGCACTATCAATGGAAATGCCCTATGGGAGACCTTGTGGAATGATTGATGCCATCCCTCATGTCTGTTGAAAACCTCCCTGGGCTTGCACAGGCCACATTTCTCAAATCTTATTTCCATGAAAACTCCAGGGGAGAGTGACAGCCTCTATCTGGCAACACTAGACTGTGTCACATGACTCAGCAGGGCAGATCAGAGTTGGACAAAGCAACTGTGCTGGTCTCTGTTGTCAATTTTATTGACAGAAAAATGAGTCATTAAAAAAGGGCATCTGAAATTATAGACCTAATTTAGTTCCTGTGTATTAACCAGCAATTCAATAAAGCCGAAGAGCAGTTTTCATGCATCTGAAATAGCTGAGTGTTATGGGTTTAAACATCTGTTTAGTCCCTGAAAAAATCAGAGATCTGCTGATTTATCCCCCCTTCTCCAAAACATACTTACCTGCAGCCGTGGAAAGTATTCAGTGCTCTGCAAGATGGTGAAAGCATTTCACAACCTTCTCATCCCCGCCTCTCTCTTTAGGCATACTTTTGGGAGAAAAAATATTTCTTCTCATTTGTGTTCTAATTTGAGAATTTGGTTTTATGCTTTAAAATGTTTCATTAAAGTCTTTCATTTTCTTAAACTTTGGTACTACTGTAGGAAAAGATTTGCTTACGAGAGCCATTCATTTGACTCTAATCGTATCTCTTTATTGCCATCGCAAACATCATTGGTAAAATTACGATTGAATGTGGAAATAACTAGGGGAAATTTGACAGAGAGATTTATTAAAAACCAAAATGCCTGTAAATTAGAAAGTACTCTGAATATTTCAGCCTGTATACCTTTGTTTTCAAAGAATGCATCTTAGTAAACTTTTTAGACGTGACAGCTAAAATCAAATTGAGAAAATTCAGAGAATATTCTGTGATTCTTCCAAAAGTATTCCCTTATACAAATATATTTTTTAAAAATAAGGAGCCACTCAAATAATTAGGAATTATTCTTTCTGTTTATACTGCATATTCCAAGACAGTAACAGAGCAATATTTTCCTCCATAGTTAGTGTCTTTACAGACAGAATATGACAAACAAATGTTATGGTCTGATAGCTGTCTGGAAATAAAATATTTATAGTTTTTAAGCCAATAATAATCATATAGAAAATTGTAAATAATAATCATATAGAAAATATAATAGGAAAAATATAGAATTAAAAATAGCAACAAATATGACAAATATCTAGGAATTACCTGAAAAGAAGTATTTAGCTATATGGAGAAAACTACTAAACTTCATTGAAAGGCACATGGATGATTTGAATAAGTGCATTCCAAGTGGGAAAACAAAAATATTCTGTTGATGTCAATATTCTGTTGATGTTAAATGATGTTTACATTTAATGCAATCTCAAGTCTTCAAACATTTGAATTTTTGAGAAATTTTCTAAAATTTATCTAAAGGAATAAACTGGTAGGAATTAAAATGTTTGAAAAAAAATAAGATGGAACTTGCATTATCAAAGATTAGAACATATTAAAAATCTATAAAGCATGAAACAGTGTGGTATTAGTGTCAGGATGGACATTCAGATCAATGAAACAGGGTGGAAATACTAGGAAAATACCACGTATAGAAGTTTTAATTACGTGAATAAAATGACCCTTCAAATAAGTGGGGGAAAGAATCAAATTGTTCAATAACTTAGATGGTTGGTTACTTATATTTTAAAAGGTCATGTCTTCAGTTGCCTCATACCAGAAATGCCACAGCACAATGGCTTGCTGGGACTTGGTTACAGATGAGCTAGGATGTGATCATCTCAGTTGCCCAGGTGGCTGATAAACCCTAGCTGTGAACAGCCTCATTTGTTTACCCCAGAGTGCCATGAAAACGTGTATGTTTCTATGTGCGCTGTGATGCAAAATATGCTAGAGAGTAGTCTTTTACTATACACTAAAATTAATTAGAAATTGTTTTAAAAATTAAATGCAAATGAAACAATAAGAAAACTTTGAGAAAATATGAACAAATATCTTGGGTCCAGGAAGGCTTTGGAAAAATAAAATGAAAAATAGAAATTATAAAGGTAAACAAAAGAGATTTGGTGAGCTAAAATGAGTATTTCTGAACCTCAATAACAAGATTCTCAGAACTAAAGGACAAGTCACAAACTGGGGAAAAATGTGTCAGGCAAAGTGTCAAATGAGTGGAAGGATTCTACAGATCTACAGAGAAAAGATAGATACCTACATATTTTGAAAAGGAAAAGGCAATAAACAAGCAATTAATACAGATGATTTTTTAAACTATCTTATGAAAAATGTTAAAGATCATTAATAACAAATACATGCAAATTTAAAGAGTGAGATTCTCTTATCATGTATCAAATTGGTAGAGCTAAAATGATTCATAATTCCCCAGGTTGGCTGGAGTGTGAGATACTGAGAATTTTCTTTTTTTTTCTTTTTTTTTTTTTTTTTGTGAGATGGAGTCTTACTCCACTGCCCAGGCTGGAGTGCAGTGGCACAATCTCTGCTCACTGCAACCTCCACCTCCCAGATTCAAGTGATTCTCCTGTATCAGCCTCCCAAGTATCTAAGACTACAGGCACATGCCACCATGCCCGGCTAACTTTTGTATTTTTAGTAGAGATGGGGTTTCATCATGTTGGCCAGACTGGTCTCGAACTCCTGACCTCATGCTGGGATTACAGGCGTGAGCCACCGCACTTGGCCATTGAGAACTTTCATACAGTGCTGAATAAATTAAACTTCTAAAGGGAAATTGAAAACAGATTTCCTAGGCCTTATGATTCCTATATGAAGTAGTTGTAGGGATGTATCCTAAGTAAATAATTAAAGATGGGGCCAAAGTTCAACATAAAAGGATGCTCCTTTCAGCATAATCTATAAAACAGGCAATTCAAAGGAATCTAAATGTGATTATAAAAGTTCTTACGTATCTACTACAGCATCAGATCTAGTCACTGAAAGTGTTACAGAAAATACTTATATACTGATGAGACAACATTCACAATATAGAGCCAAATAATAAAATGCAAGTTGTGAGAGTACAATACTATTTCTTTAAAATAATATACAAACAAACCAACAAACAAAAATAGTAGAAGGGCACATAGCAAAATATAAATGATGATTATGTATCAGGGCTGAATCATAGGTAATCCTTGCTTCTTCCGTAGTTTTTCCGTTTTTAAAATTATCTGCACTGAACATACATTCCTTTTGTAACTATTTTAAAAAGATGTTATTAAAATACAAAAATAAAAAAGTTATAATTTATTCAGTTTCAACTATGCTTATACAAGCATGATTGAAACTTCAGCCTCATATCGGGGCTAACATTGTCAGAAAATTCAGTCTTCTGATTATTGATTTGCTGCAATCATAAATGATTGGTACATTTTAGAAGATGACAAGACAAAATAGGATCAAAATATTCAGAGGGATGGTGCACTAGCCAAGACTTCACAATTCTAGCCTTGCCATCGACTGAGATGGCATCACATGAATAAGAAATACCTTGTACACGGCTGATAAATACTTGATAGTTTTTGATAAATTTTGATAATTTAAAAAATTTCTACTCTACTTACATTACTGAACACATTGCATAATTTATTCTAAAAAAAGAAATAAAAAATTTGAAACTATCATTAATGTTTACATTATGAAAATTTCTCTTTAATGCTATACTTTAATCTCATATATTAGTAAAGGATTTGTGTTCAAGATTATAAATAAAAGAGGCATCCTTAATCTAAGCTGTCTCTGTGGCATTCTCTGAAGTGGGATGTGGCCTTAAGTGTTCATAGCTTTGGGAATTTAACAAAATGTAATGATCCGCTGAGATGTATTTATTTTTATCAGATGTAGAATATGGAAATCTGACATTTTCATGAGCATAATTACAAGGACAATGCATATTCTTATTTGAAGTTTTAAAATGTAGAGGCAAATAATTAGGTTTAAAGAAGAGGAGAGAGAGTGTGTGCTAGGGAGTGCACACTGTGTCTTAAATACTTAGGAGTATTCAAATATGCCTTGTAACTTAAGGGATTCATTGGAATAAAACTGATCCAGGATGATGTGCAACTTGTGATATCTTTTTATTCATTCTGGGAAAAGTCTGATGAGTTGCCTTTTATATTGGAGAGCCCCCTCACTCTCCAAGTGAGTTGTGGCTGCACTTGCACCTAGAATGCACACGTGGAGGGCCCTCTTGACAAAAGTCCAAGAAGCGCCTTAATGGATCATGGTTAGTGTTCCACAGCGTGAGTCACTGGCGTTTCGAAGCAGCATCAATTTGGCCATAATATGTTTCCATGGTTTCCACAGTTATCACTGTCTGCCTGAATAATGAGCACCAATAAAATATGACCTGACTGGATTATAGCAGGGGAAGAATCTGAAGAGCACTCTTTTTATAGTTTCTTTTCTTATAAACCACTTGACTGACTCCCTTTCTAAGGTTATCCTAGAATTTACTGTACTGTGCAGTATGAGGTAATTGGCTTTCGGGATTTCGGGAGGGTTCTACTCTGCAATCAGATCAATATTGTGTGCTTTGCCTGTGTTCTCAGAAGAAAGGAGTATCTGTTTAGGAACTGGAGTAAGGGGGAGAAAACCTAGAAAACATTAACTGATTGAGAGTGGCATAAACAAGAAAATGCCCATTGCTGCCAAAGTCCATAAAATGCATAAAGTGTACAAAAATTTGCATCTGTTATGGATTAGTAACAGATGGAGCTGTTAGGTAATAGTAAAAAAAAAATCAATTGTAATACAAGTGATCTACGTTGGAGCGACTTGGAGAGTAGACACACTGCATTCAACCCTCAGCTGCTCAGGGAAAGGGTAGGTGATAGAAGGAGAAGGGACAGCTTTTCATGCCGCAATAGTTTAAGAGTCACTCAGTCGACAGGGCACAGTGACTCACGCCTGTAATCCTGGCACTTTGGGAAGCCAAGGTGGGTGGATAACTTGAGGTCAGGAGTTTGAGACCAGCAACATGGTGAAACCCCGTCTCTACTAAAAATATAAAAATTAGCTGGGCGTGGTGGCACGTGCCTGTAATCCCAGCTACTCAGGAGGCTGAGGCAGGAGAATCACTTGAACCTGGGAGGCGGTGGTTGCAGTGAGCCGAGATTGTGCCACTGTGCTCCAGCCTCGATGACAGAGACTCCGTCTCAAAAAAAGAGTCACTCAATCACATGTTGGGCCACGTAAGTGGCTCAACAACTACTTATGTTTTCTGTGCCACTTACATGGCCTTGTCATTGATAGGAATTCCTATTCTGAATTTCCCTTTCACAAAAAGGGAAATTCCCCATGATTGGAAGAAGGGGCCTGTTCCCTGAAACACCTACCCAGGTGCCGCCTCCTTCAATGCATCCCCCTCTCATTCTCTGCTCTCCTGCACCTGACTTGACTAGCTGCTGCCCCTTGGCTTCTCTTGTTGGGAAGGGGCTGTACCAATGGGTTTTTTGGTGCCTGTCCTGGTAGGTGAAAGTGACATAATTTTGTTGTCACGAATGACAGTGAAACCTCCAGCACTGAGTAGGGCAGTACAGCAAGCCCGGCCCCTGCTCCTCCAAGTCAGTGCAGCCTGGCAGCAGACACCCTTACTGCTTGAGCTTTTACTGCTGATGAGGCCTAAGTCATGCATAGAAAGTCTCTGACAAAAAGCAACAGGGATGTGTTTTTCTGAGTATTGGGAAAGCCCCTCTAGTGACCACTGATGACAGTTGGAGGAAGCCAAGTTTATTATTTTTTTTTCAAAGCGAGAGAGAGGAAGAGAGAGAGAAAAGAAAAGAGGAGAGAAGAGAGAGAAAAGATATCAAGATTTAAGAACTGAGAAGAGAGTGTGATGGCTCACACCTATAATCCCAGCACTTTGGGAGGCCAAAGCAGGACTGTTACTTGAGCCCAGGAATTTGAGACCAGCCTGGGCAACATAGTGAGACCACATTTCTACAAAAAAAAATTAGCTGGGCATGTTGGCACACACCTGTGGTCCCAGCTACTTGGGAGGTTGAGATGGAAGGATCACTTAAGCCTAGGAGGTTGAGTGCAGTGAGCCATGATCATGCCAGTGCACTCCAGCCTGGGCAACAGAGTCAGAGCCCATCTCACAAACAAAACAAAACAAAACTGAACAGAGGTTGCACAGTGACCATGAAAACTCCTGTCTATTTCTATATTCATATTCAGAAATCCTAGAGAGCAAAGGCAGAGAGTCCTGGAATAGGGACGCCATCTTGATCAGAAATTTTCCAAACATTTATGTCTAGATAGAGAGCTCTGGTGATGGCCAAATTATTTTATCACTTGCTAATTGTGAACATTAAGCAACTTACTTGGCAACTTTCAATTACAGTTTCTCATCTGTAAAATGGGAATAATAATGATTCCTACCACACAGTAGTGAAGCTTAAACAAGATAACACATCTGATATGTGGCATAAGATAGAAACCCAATAAATGTCATTTATTGGTACTATGATTTCAGGGAAACAGGATATTTTCTAATTACTACACATTTTCTGTTATATGGATAGGCTGCTTTTATTCAGAAAAAAATAACCTTCATGAAGTGCTTTTATTTCTCTAGGGGCTATTAAAATGTCTAATCCTATTATAAAGACTTTTGCTTTCAGCCTAACAGACACACTCAGAAATGGAATGGACTCTCGGGCAGATAGGGCTATGGATTTAATGACATCAGGTACATAATGAAGCCCACTTTGGGCTGATCGGAAAATACCCTCTGCCCTGTCTAAACCACATGGCAAGTCCAAATCAAGCAAGCTACACAGCCAAGAAATGATTTCTGGGCTCTTGGGTCTGTTTTCATTAAGTCTTTGTCAATAATGTATTGAGTATTTATTGAGTTCCATACGGGAAATGTTACATGCTAGCTGCTTTGGGACTGTATAAACATACACAGTGTGGTGATCCCCAGGGGCATACGTATAGTAAGAAAAATAATACATGCAAAAATAACCACAATAAAAGTAAACGTGAAAACTGTTACAAGAGTTTTGTGAACACAGAAGCTCAAACGCTTTCACTTTTTCCCACAAAAGATGTATGGATTTTTGCTGGATAATTATGCATTGAAGAAAAAGGACCTCAAGGAGAAGCCGATGGCATAAACAAACGTGTAAACATGCTAAAAATAATTTCAGTAATAATAAAAATAACCAACTTACATTTTTACTATGTGCTGGGTAAAATATATATGCATCAGATCAAATGGACAAAGCATAGATAAGTGCTAGGTAAAATATATGCATATTATATATATATATGCAAATATAAATATTTATATCAAATGGATGCTAGAGAATGTGTTGTAAGGTAGGCAAGGGATTAAGCCACAAAGTAAGCTGTGGTAAAAAAAAAAAAGGATTTCAAAGTCTTCTGTGATGTCAGAACTCCCTACCAGGAATAAAGAGTTTTCTGGAACGGGGGTGACCTTCTGGCTGTGGCACCTGGTGGCTGGTCTGGGATTAAGTAGTTCACAACCATCCTCTGAGGGAGGTAGTGAGCGCATTGTTATGTCCACTTTGCAGGTGATCAGAATGAGGCACAGGAGTTGTGAGTGATGAAACCGGGGTGTTTAGTCCATTTCAGAGCTGGAATTAGTATACAAATCGTGCTTGGCTGACTTCCAGTGCTGTTCCATTCTCATATCCAGGTTCTTACCCTGTGGCTCTGCAATACCTCATGTTGTTGATTTTAGAATGAAACAGACAAAACTTTTATGTCCAAAGATCACTGTAACAGGTTAGAGTAAGTGGCAGCAAGCCCAGTATGCTTCAGCTACTTGAACTGCATGTAAATTGCAGAATTGATAGGGGTTGAGGTTGTCTAATATTTACTTGCAAGGAGTAATAGGGTTTGCTTTAAAGGACTTGGAAGAATCCAAGAATCTGAGTGTTCATAATTCATCAGATGTATAATTCTAAAAGTGGGAGAAGATTTGAGACCATCTTATTTCTTTATTTTACTAGCGAGGAAACCAAAACTCAAAGAGATTAGATGAATGGCCAAAGCAATACAGAGAGTGAATGGGGCAGGCCCATGTCTCTTTACCCTTGGGCCAGTGGAGCCTACAGGCCTCGGCAATTGGTCTTCTAGAAGAAGCATTCAAAGTCGCAACAGATGAGATGGGAACTGGAAGGGTGGGTTGAGCACGACCCTCTGTGTGCAGAGGGGAAGCTGGTTCTATAAACGAACTCCAGAACATTTGCTAGAATAGGGATACAAATATAAAATCATAAAGCGTCCTACCTCTCCTCTGAGATACTGCCTCTAATTTTATAAAATTCCTCTCTCAGTGAGGAAGTAGAAAATGGCAAATAGCCTTCAGTGTGCTTGATTTTTCAACCCAGCATGATAGAGACATCAACAAAATTTATTAGGTTTAAATGGGATTGACTAGATTAAGTTCTCTACCTAAGAAAAATTGGGGGTTCTGTGTCATATGTTAAAATTTGGCTTCAGGAAGAATGAGATCACGTCCTTTACAGGAGCATGGATGGAGCTGAAGGCCATCATCCTTAGCAAACTAATGCAGGAACAGAAAACCAAATATTGCATGTTCTCATTTATAAGTGGGAGCTAAATGGTGAGAACTCACAGGGACACAAAGAAGGGAACAACAGACACTGGGACCTACTTGAGGGTGAGGGATGGGCGGAGGGAGAGGAGCAGAAAAAAATAACTGTTGGGTACTGGGTTTAGTATCTGGGTGAAAAAATAATCTGTGCAACAAACGCCTGTGACACAAGTTTACCTATATAACAAACCTGCACATGCACCCCTGAACCTAACATAACATTTAAAAAATAAATAAAATTTGCTTTCAGAAAGTAAGATTATGGCTCAGGAACACCTGAGAATATGATAGTAAAAGTTCATACTTGTAAAATGTAGGGAATAAAAAGGATTCTGAGGCTAAAGAAAAGCTTTAAAAACTTCTGATCTACTAAACTGGTAAGTTAGAAAATTCCTAGTCTACTCTTAATGGAGAAAATAAATGATTTTTCTCAGATTACAACACAATAACAGAGACTAGAGCAAAGACATGATCCAGAGATATTTCCACCCTTCACTTTAAGAAATCTGTGCAAAGCAAAAGAATGGCAGGTGTCACTGGGCATTGAGTGGAGTAGGATCCTTTCCAAGTGTGCTGTCTTCTATGATGAGGTTTCTTGGAGTGGGGATTCTTGATTCTGCATAGGGTGACCCAAAGCTTGGTGATACCTAGGTAGGTTGAAGAGACACTCAACTGTTCTGGGAAAAGAATAGACCAGGGCCTTCTGCTACTTGAAGGCTTCCCTCTCTGTGCCCTAAAAAATAAATAAATAAATAAATAAATTAATTAATTAATTAAATAAATAAATGGTGTGGAATCCTTGGGGCTTCAGGGAAGCAAGGAACCGAGGACTGAACTTTGTGTTTGAAGTTAGGATAGTTTGTATCTGGATGACTTAAAGATCCGTTGGCAAGAATGGAAACCAAGTCTTCCAAAGAGAAACCTACAAGAAGGAATGTGGTCAATTGCCCGGGTGACTTTGGTGCAACCAAAAGCCTTTGAGTGTTAGCCAGGGAGGGCTGGTTCAGATTCTGCAGATCCAGTTTCTAGCAGTAGAGCCTGGTGTCAGCATCAGTAACTAGTACACTGACCAGACTTTCCAGTTTTTTCTCTCTTCAACCGGCTGCCTAGTGTTCTTGTACAGAATGAACCCTTTGGAATGAATAAGTCCATAGTGTTCTTGGACAAGGCAGTAGGAGGGAACCTGAATAGGTTATACTGGATATTTTTCTAAAAACCAAACTGTGGGAACTGAAAAATTAATTGAGAGGGGAGGCATACAAGAGAAAGAGATGTGATTTTATTTAACTACAAGCTGAAAAACGTGACCCATCCTGGCTACCTATGAATATCATTAGTTCGATTAATCTGTGGATATATTATGAGATTCTCTAATTCAACATTTGGAAGTGCTTATGGACTTGAAACGTGTTGGTCAATGCTGCGCTGAAATGGGCAGCCTGGGAAGAATACTATGGGAGAAATGCGAGGATCTCTGTGACTCTCCAGGGAGCAGCCTCTGGAGGGGAACTCTTCTTGCTCCTTTTCTACAGATATCGGCATATTTTAGAGGAGTCTGTTTTCAAACAAAAATGGCAGAAAGGACCCCTTTGTAACATGAGCATTTCTTTTAGGCAAATAAGCCTCCCTGTGACCTAGGTGTTAAGAGCTGCCTTTATGATGATTTTCCCTGGACTTCACAAATGACACCCCTTTTGAGTGGTTCAGTTTGAGTGTTAACAGAAACCTATGTGTGAGTAACACGTATCCACAAATATGTTGTCTAGTTGGAAGATAAATATATGCAAGGTCATTAAGGTCACAGGGGAAATGTAATAAAAGTCCAATTATTTTGGCAAATATGTTACATCTAAATATGCATTTGCTTTTGATACTCTACAGTTTAGGCCCCATAAAGATGATTTAGGGTGTCGTCTCTTCCTTGGCTAATTTATGAGCCCAGAGAATATGCGTCTACTCTGACCTCACCTGCTAACTTGCTAAGTGGCTTTTCTATTCCCAGAAGTTCATAGCTGTGTGCAGAACAGCCTTTGTGACTTAGAGGTAGATAAACAAGTTGGTTTTCTTCACTCCCATATTAAGCTTCTGCTCAGCACTTTCTAGAGGCGCTGCCTAAAAGTCTAAGATAAATAAAGATGTAACTGATAGGTTTTCTCTGTTCTTTCTAAAATAATCACCTTTTTGGCGACTGTATTTGTTAATAACTTAGAACCACTCAATAGGTTAAGTGAGTGTGTGGGGGTAAATGAAATCTCATTCATGGAAATAAACTTGAAACATTGAAATATTAAATTGATGATGCATGTGGCTAGACAAAAACACTTTGTAAACCAGCTACAGTTTTGAGCTTCTCATGGAATAGATCCATTTCATTTTAACTGTGCTGTTCATGCCAATGGCTGTTAGCTGGGTTTCTGACAGATGTCAGCAATGCAACGAAATCCAAATGCCTGAATGATCCTTCCTCCTGGATGTGATGCAAACTGTATCAAGTTTCTGATGCCCAGACCAGAGCACTTATGAGTCTCCAAACACAGTTCTTCTATGCTCTCCATGACCTGTCCTGTGTCATTTCGTTTAACACATAGATTTATATTCAGAAAATATAGCTATATATGCTGTGACTCCTTAGAAGACCTGATGACCCTTACAACCTAAACAGGCACTAAACACTGCTATGTTGTAGAGTGCAGGATCTGCAGTGACAGGCAAGTCCCAGGTTACCTTTTGTGACATAAATTTTGACCTTTGTCCCATATATTGGCTATGCCTCATGCTAAATTTGGGGCTCTGACGGTCAGCTCCATCCCCTGGTCAGCCTCAGGACCATGTCACAGGATGATGTAGCCAAGACATACGTGAGGACCACCAGTTATCATACTGTTGGCTCTGCACACTCATGCTACACCATTGAAATAAAACACAGAAATTCATCCCCTCTTCCTAGGAGCTGAACTTCTGCAGCTGGCAGAGACTCCCTGCATGTTTTCTGAGAAGAGCTCAGGGACATAAGAATTCATTCTGTGGAGCATAACCAGGCTTTTAGCCTCCATCCCACACACAGCTACACATGCTGTAGTAGGGGAGAGGCCAAGGACGTTGTCTGGAAAGGTGTAAGGCCAACCACAGAGTCCCCGGGCCGCGTCCTGGACCCACGCTAATCATTCCACCCCCAAGTAATTGTGGGATAATGTGTTCCCTTCTTCATAGGCAAAGCAGGTTATGGAAATTATTTTATGAAAAGTACCTGGGAGTGTTGCCAAGCTAATTTTTGGTTCATTATACCATCTATTATTAATACATTATCACATAATGATTGTATGGTCTGATCTTTCCCTCATACATACTATGGTGGTTTTTCCGTTTGTGTGTGTGCAGTGTAACTGGATCTTGGTTCATGCTGAGCTTAAAATTTGATCTTCTGAATATCAGCAGAAAGACTCTTTCTGGTGAATACAGATCTTCTGAGCAATTATCGACTGACTTTGTCATTAGACTGCCCTTTCAGAAGGTACAAAAAAAGAAAAAGAAAATTACTACTGTGAAGTGAAGTCTGAGCAACTGGGAAGAAATGCAAGGTGAAATGAAATGGTGAAGGTAAATGAACGGGAAGAACCTGGGGAGATGGTAACCACGTTAATCATAGTAAACTGGGATGAAAAGACAGAGAATAACACAATATAGAGACTTTTTTAATTATTAGAGGAAAAGATAGGTCCAATAGCATGACTAGAGGCTTTGAAAAGTAAAGACAGCTCAAAAGGAACAAAATTCTCAAAGCATTGTAATTGTACAATCCTAGCTCACCTTCATGAGAGGAAAGTTTAAGAAACAGGCAGCAGGAGGGGGCTTGCTGTCTATTTTTAGAAAGATTTTGGCCAAAAAAGGAAGTGTTAGCACAAAAAGAAGAGTCAATTTTTACAGACACATGAGGGGTAGTGTTTTCCAAAAAGACCGAAACGTGGCACAATTGTATTCACCTTTGTAACTCCAGCACCCACTATAAGGGCAAGGCCCCCCAAATGTCTTCCATTGATTTTGTCATTTGGAGAATTTGCTCCCAGGTTCATATGAGAAGGTACGGCTGACATTGTATGGTATGTGGGATTTGCTTCAAAACAATCCAGGGAGGAGAAAGCAGGGGTGAGGGTAATGACGAAATAAGATTGACTGGCCGGCTGCAGTGGCTCACGCCTGTAATCCCAGCACTCTGGGAGGCCAAGGCGGCCGGATCACGAGGTCCGGAGATCGAGACCATCCTGGCTAACACCGTGAAACCCCGTCTCTACTGAAAAATAGAAAAAATTAGCCAGGCGTAGTGGCGGGCGCCTGTAGTCCCAGCTACTCGGGAGGCTGAGGCAGGAGAATGGCGTGAACCCAGGTGGCGGAGCTTGCAGTGAGCCGAGATGGCGCCACTGCACTCCAGCACTCCAGCCTGGGCAACAGAGCGAGACTCCGTCTCAAAAAAAAAAAGACTGACCACAATTTGATATATTTACACCTGGGTGACAAATACTAAGGCATTCATTACTATATTATATCTACTCTTGTATGTTTGAAATTTTCCACAATAAAAATAAAAATCAAACCATATCTCTCAATTTAAAATAAAATGTTGTGGTTTGCTAAAAAAAAAAAAAATTCCACTTGAAATATACAAATACAGATCTTTAAAAAAGAAACTCACAGGAACAGAAACAGTGAAACCCTTAGGAAAAGGCTAATTGAATTGAAACACAGGTCACACATTTGATTTGCAGTGGAGCGAAGGGGCAAATCTGGGACTCTGGAAAGTTACTCTGGTGCTCTATTTTATGGCTGACTTTCAGTCAAAGGGCATGGGTGTCAGAGGGAGCTCAGTGTTTTCTGGGTCGCTAAAGGGGAACCGATCAACCAAAGTTACACAACAGAATATGTTTACTGAAAATAACAAAAACTTTTCCTTCAGCTGGGGCTATTGAACTATACAAGGGGCTGTTCTCAAGGTTTTAGACAGACCAGGTGTGGATGAATACACTAGTAGAAGTTTGATGGCCACGTGATAGGGATGCTGCAAAGAGAATTTCTGTATCACTCGGAGGCTGGACTAAATGACCTTGAAACTCCCTTCCCACTGGATGATGCCCTAATTCTGCAATGAGATGATCCTTCCTGTTTAGGCACATAACTCATAACTCTTGCAGGAGGCATGCCATTTGTCACACATCATGAGTACCTGATTTGAAAGAAAGAAAGAAAAACACGCTTGATTTTCAAATAAAAACTTATATAGTCCTTCACCAGCTAAAACTTAAAGATTCAAATTATTAATGCTAAATAACTAGTTTTAGTAAGTTGGGCTTTAATCCGTGTGTATTGAATTCCTAGAAAGTGTAAGGTGTTTGGATAGTAAAGGAGACCAGCGCCTTTGCAAGTACTGAGTGCTTGGATGGGTTTGGTGCCTCCAGCCTCTCTCCTCCTTTCCTGGGAGCTGCCCATGACATGCTGCTCTTGAGTTGTTCTTCTTGCATGGAGAACAGCTGCAAAGGTTTGGATACCCACCTTGCAGAGCCATTTTTTAACTTAAAGCAACATGTCACCAATCCCAGTGATTTTTCTTTAAGCTTTATTTCTAACTGCAGTACAAAGATTTATTTTTCTCAAAAAAAAAAAAAAAAAAAAAAAAAAGAACTATTGTGTCAGCAAACAAATGGGCTAAGGGTTGAGGTCAGCATTCTGAAATGACACAGTACAACCAGTGCAGCTATTCTGGTGCTTCCAGAGGGAAACTAAGCACAGTTTGGTCTATATCAGGGTAGGTCAGCGGCCTCTTGGCCTCAGACTGAAGGGGCCCACTCTTCAGGACCTTAGTTAGCCTTGCAATAAATGATTGGGAAGGATATGGTGCTAGCCCTCCAAAGATCTGGAAGGGACTCCATTCTGTCCCACGATATTATTACCCTTTCTCTGTTTCTTCTCCAGTTGTCAGTGACATGAATCTTTGCTCCCTTCTTCATGGAATATTTCTGATCTAATAGCCCCTATATTTCAAAAGATGGATATAAACATCAGATGAATATCACAGGAAAGCTGGATTGCTCTGCAGTGAGTGAAACGTGGAAAGGCCTTTCCCCACCAAGCAGTAGGCCAAATTGTAACAGTAAGATGTATTTGAAATAAAATGGTTCATAGATCAGAGGTGATCCTGTCTTTTTTAAAGCGTGAAAGTGTTCCTTCTGCAGAATGAGGCTCAAAAGAGGAACATGAATAATTTGATATTTATTATGTTATGATCTGCTTTAATCCATTATATATATGAAATAGTGTGTGTGTGTGTGTATATATATATATGTATAGATGATACAGAAATATGATTCTTTAAAAGGCTACATATTTAATATGCTTTCACTCTTAGCCCAGAGCAAAGCTGGTTTCTTCCTGCAGATAAATCATCCCCAGCTCTGGAGTTCTATATAGTTGACTTTAAATAGTCACTTGGTCTCAGATTTTGCTGGATTTCCAGTGTGATAGATGAAAGGATGCTGCACTTCTTACTCAACTACATCTCCTCTTTTACATTTCAGGCCATACCTTTCCATTAATTAATGCATACTGTCGTCAGCTCAGTCTTCCATCTTCTTTAATCATTTCAGCACCTGATCCACAATTTTGCTTCCCACACCACCTCTGACAACATCCTTGTACTGGTCAAGTTTATGAGCATTCTGGCACCTTACCATTTAACACATAACACCCTGTGTTGGTAAATATATTTTTATCTCCCTGCACATCGAAGTATAACTTGGCATTTCCCATACAGAAACCATAATGATGCACTGCAAATAACTCAAGCTTCACAAATATTTGCTCTGACCCAATGTGTGGCAGGGCAATTTTAATCCCGGATTCACCATCCTTACCATTCCCACCACCTTTAATCCTCTCTAGAGTCCAGCATCTACCAAGGCTGTGCTAGTAGAAGAGGGCTTTTGAAATGTAATCAGGCTGGGAAGAAAATGCACTTTTATTTTAGGAAAATTCAGGAGAAATTGGCAGGAAGCTAATCTCAGTGCAGCATGTCTGCTTATCCCTTTTTCTCTCCTGCAGAGGCCAGTTCACTATGAGGGCTCTGCTGTCCTTGCCAGCCTTCAAGCAATCAACGGCTCTTGTCCAGCAGTGGCTCAAACTCCTGGCCATTCACCCCAGGGACAGAAGCCAGTGGAGGGAGCAGTCATTGTTATTTACTTTTCATTGGCAGGTGGTGACCAGATGGATATAAACGGGCTGTGGAAAAAGAGAATGCATGGCCAAAAATGGTGGTGCTCTCTGTCCAAAAACTGAGGCCCTATGACCATGAATGAAGCCAGAGGGCAGGTAGGAATAGGTAAGAGAAGTTATTTCCAAATCACCATCCCCCTTTAGACTTTGAATGTTTTGAGTGTTTCATTAAATAGTGTTACAAGTCCTCTAAGATTCCACATAAACGTTTAGCCAGCCAACAGTTAAGTCTGTACCTCCCAAGGCAAGTGATGAATGTTGAGATTATAATTGTGAATGGCATAATCTCAAGGTCTAGGTGAAGTACAACATTGAACGGAAAAGGACTAAAAGAGGAAAAGAAGACATTTCCAGAAGAAGGTGCCAAAGTAGGGCTCCAGGCCAATTTGTTGAAAGCCAATTTGTTAAAATTAACTTGATGAATGACCAATTTACTGACTCATTGAGGGTTTTTGCTTATGTTTTAGTTTAATTCCTGCGCCTGCTTCTGAACATGACCCTGCCTCTGTAACAAAATAGTCTGGGCCAACTTCACAGACAGGGACAGGGAAAGTATAGGGTGAAGAGGAAAAGAAAATCTTCTAAACATCCTTACAATCTCACAAATTGGACATTTGGCAAATTGTTTTTCAGTCAATTGACTTGCTTCCCCAAAGCACAGCTATCTTCTAATTGTCTCTGTTTTCTAGCACAGGTTCCTGCTGCTTTCACATGCAGGTAAAATAAGGAGGGATGACATTCCCAAGAGCACGCACATATGCACACCACAAGGTGACATGTGCAAACCTGTGTCCACAACCCACTTCCTGGGTTTCTGTACAAGGTGAAGAAAGCCTTCTCAGAAGTCATCCCCTTCCTTCATGCTACAATTTTGCCTTATGTTAGGCTACCTTGGGAAAAAAAAATCACCAGAATTCTGGTGCTCAGTAGGGCTTTTAGTCATCATAATTGAGTAATCAGATTGAAGACTAATTCCAACCTGGATCCCCTCTCTAATTTTCTTGGCTGTAAATCTATTCAGGCCGCTGTAAAAACAAAACAAAACATACATTGGGTGGCTTATAAACACAGAAAGTTATTTCTCACGGATCTGGAGGCTGGAAAGTTTAAAATGAAGGTGCTGGCAGAATTGATGTCAGGTGAGGGCTCACTTCATGGCTCATAGACAGCTGTCTTCTCACTGTGTCCTCAGCCAGTAGCTGGCAAGGGAGCACTTGGGGGCCTCTTTTAGAAGGGCACTAATCCCATTCATGGGGGCTCCACTCTTGTGACCTGATTACCTCCCAGCCTTACCTCCTGATACCATCACATTGAAGATTAGATTTCAACGTATGGATTTTGGGAGAACAGAAACAGTCCACTGCAGGTCCGGAGTGCCTATAAAAGCATCGGTCTATGCAAGGGACATTGTTTCATCAAGTCTTAAATATTTTCACTGCTACACTCTACCGCTACAGTTCCCTGGTTTCTTTAGCTGTTACTCACTCTTATTCTTTGTTGCTTATATCAAAATTGAAGACCTTTGGAAAGATCCTTAAAGGAGTCTGAAAAATTCAAGAGAAAAACACACAAGAATGCAAATTAGAACAACAATAAAATACTATTTGCAACCTATAAAATTGTCAAAGCACATGAAAAGGAACTCTACTGGTATTGGCTCCTAACCATTGGTGAAAACGCAAATTGGCTCGGTGCTTCTAGAAGACCATTTGCAAATACATGCTGAGTAGCTTTAAATATCCACTGATCTTCAATTTTTCTTTTAGAGATTTTTCCCAAGGAAATAGAAATGTATGTAAAAGTTATTGACCTAGTGATGTTTACAATAGAAAAACAGAAAAAAATAGTGAAAATAGCTTTAATATCCATCCTTATTAAATTAACTGAATGTATTTTGTTACATTTATATGACACATGATAAACACTGCGCAAATATTTAAAATTATCAAAATATTTTAAGTAAAGAAAACAATAGATTGTTAATCTATGTATAATACTATAACACTTTCTAGTATAGCATATAGAATATTAGAAAAAGATCCTTACTTGATATACTAAATTAAATAACAATTATTGCTTGGCTAAGAGATTGTAAGTGCAGTTTATGCTTTTTCTTCTAGATCTATATTTTCCAGATTTTTAAGTTAACATGTCTTCAGTGAAGGAAGCCTGGTTTTGAATTCTTATAATTCTTTTAAAAATAACTTCATAATTTTTCTTTTAACAAAATTAAGAAAGCAAAGGGATTAAAAAAGCAGCCTTATTTACCAGAAATAATCCCATTGTACCTTTTCTCTCCCTGTTAAGCACAAATCTTCTCTAGAATACAGAAATATTCTAGAGATCACTGACGCATTTGAGGGAAATTGAAAACAAAACGAAACAGAACAAACAGAAGCCTTAAACAGTAAAATAACAGCAAGATGAAACTGATTTAAGACAATCAAATAACATCGTTTCCTGTTCATTCTCCAAACACAAGCTTTCTCTCGCTTTGACAGGTAGAATGAATCTGGGAAGGGATTGGTGTCCTCTCCTCTTCCCTCCTTCCGTCCCTTTCTCCCTGGCTCCCTTTTAAAAGCAAGTTGCATTGAACACAGCAGGGAGGTCTGATGGGAGGCACTGGTGGGGCTCCTTGCTGCAGGATGAGAGGATGAAACACACACAGCAGGGGAACATACACAATCAGCATCAAACCCCTAGCACCGGGAAGGCATAGAGGGGCTGTTCAGAAAAGGGTGCCTATGATGACTATTATTATTTAGTCTTAAAAAAACAAAAATCAGGGCAGCCCCTTTTGGAAAACAAACATGAGCACTGAACCAGTGTCACTGGGTTCACCGGCAGCTGCCAGCTGCACGCAGCGCAAGTCAACCAGAAACTCAACTAAGCAGTTTCCAGGATTTCATGGGAAGGATGACGATTCCTGAGAGTCCTTGCTCGCCTCTGGGGAAATGGGCCACTTGGGCCCCAGATGTGCGGGTCTTTTCCGGACTCAGGCCTGCGTCAGCATCCTTGGCCCGCGAGCCTGCGCCCTCATCGTTGCGTAAGAGTCTGTGCGGCCTCGCAGCCCGCGCGCTTGTCATCGGCGCCCCCTGCTGGACACACAGAGAAATGGCGCCTTCGCAGCCATCTGCTTGCCCCAGTCTGTCTCCACTTTTAGGACATTATTTTCTCCCTGTGCCACCATGAGAGGGGAATTTTCTACAGAGAAGGAAAAGAAATAAATCTTACCGCTGGAGCACAAAGCATACCCTGGAGCCCCAGCCAATATATGATTTCCATGGGAGGAAGGGCTGATTCTCAGCAGTTTATTCACACGGGCTCCAGTCCTTTTCTTACACCCGTGCACCTGCAGGACAGAGAGGCCAGGCCTCAGCCTGACAAAGCAGAGAAGGGGACCAGATAGGATTTCTCAGTGCTTGGAGGAATGTGAAGGGGCAGGGCTTGCAGTCCTCTCATGATTTTAACTCTACATCCTGTCACAGAAGCAGAAAGACCCGGAGAAGGCCGGGATGTCCTCAATTTCCTTCTTTTCTGCTTACTCCTTTAAACATCTCAGCAACCGCCTGTCACATCTCCAGAATTACATCGGCCTCCCTTGAAGTGTAAGCTATTACCCTCACCTAGCCATACAGATTTTATTTTATTTTATTTATTTTTTATTGTACTTTAAGTGTTAGGGTACATGTGCAGAACGTGAAGGTTTGTTACATAGATATGCATGTGCCATGTTGGTTTGCTGCACCCATCAACTCATCATTTACATTAGGTGTTTCTCCTAACGCTATCCCTCCCCCAGTCCCCCACTCCCCAACAGGCCCCGGTGTGCGATGTTCCCTTCCCTGTGTCCATGTGTTCTCATTGTTCAACTCCCACTTACGAGTGAGAACATGCGGTGTTCGGTTTTCTGTTCTTGTGATATTTTGCTGAGAATGATGGTTTCCAGCTTCATCCGTGTCCCTGCAAAGGACATGAACTCCTCCTTTTTTATAGCCATACAAATTTTAGAGACATTTAGACCTGCCTCAAAATCTTCTCTGCCCAAGCGTTGGGACTCCTGAGCTTGGGTGGGCGGCAGCCGCACAGTTTCTCAAAATGCACACTCCCTCGAGAAAGGTGGTACCATTATTGTTCAGCTGAGAGAAAGTTAGTCATGCTACCGTCTTCTCTTTGCTCAGTTTGAGTCAGATGTGCCACATCTCTCGCCTGAGCAGTGGCTAAATTTGTGGTCAATGGGGCTGAGCAGAGATAGAAGGGCTGTCAGTCCTGTGCAGGCCAAGGGTGCAGGCCTGCTGGGAGGCTTTCCTGAGAGCAGTCCCTCTGAAGTGTTCAGGATAGCCTTGCCTTTTCATTTTAATCCATGTTATTCGTGCCCTCATCTCCTCATGGTCCTCAGTCTTAGCTGCACTTTCAGATCACCCAGGAATCTTTTAAAAATCACTGATGCTCAGGAGCTGCCCCAGACTCATTCATTTGGAATCTCTGGAGATGGGGCCAGGGCAATGCATCTTTTTTTTTTTCTTTTTTGAAGATTCTCAGGTGACTATAATCATAAGCCGAGACAGAACCACTGACTTCATCTCTGTCTCCCCCAGCTTGTAGGGTGTGACCTTACAAAAGGAGGAACTCAGTAATGAATTCTGATGAATGAATGAGTGAGTGACTGTATGAATGGATGAATGAAGACTGAGAAGGGAAAAACACAGATGAATAATCCTTTATGACAAATATAGAAAACAATTGTGATTAATGAATTAATTACTAACTAAAAGTTAGCCATACAATAAAAGCAGTCACCAAACTAGAGGTGGACCACTCAGTGGATAGGCTGAAGGGGATGAGCCAAGGTATCCAACATTGATGGGAAAATGCTTCAAAGGGACCTGTGTTTACTGTTGGAACTGGTCTGGTAAAATTCTCCCTTTGGAAGACAGAAGGACAGGGAGGAGGCAGAGAGTGGGGAAGTAGTTGAACTCATGTAGCTGACTAAGAAGAGGATGGCAGTGTTGCCCCTGTTTCAGGGAGTCAGGCCCACAGAGGCCCTTGCTGTGCACACAGAGGTCCTTGCTGTGCACACAGAGCATATGGAACTCAGAGTTCCCTGGGGTGACTGAGGCAGAGACCAAGTTGCGATGTACTTGCAGAAAGCAGGACACAAACCCACCTAAGAGGCTCAGGAACAAGAATACATATGTGAGAAGTCTAGGCAAGTCCAGTCTCTCACTCTAACTAGAAGGTGAACTCTTTGAGACCAGAAATAATATCTTTCTCAGACCTTTTCTGAAAAGTTTCTATTTCTCCAAGTATATGGGAAGAGACTGGCTTCTAAAATAAGTGTAAGCAAGAAGGGAACCAACAGAAAAATGAAGGACAGTGTATTAATCAGGATTCTCCAGAGGGACAGGACTAATAAGATAGATGTATATATGAATGGGAGTTTATTAAGGAGTATTGACTCACATGATCACAAGGTGAAGTCCCACAGTAGGCCATCTGCAAGCTGAGGAGCAAGGAAGCCAGTCCGAGTCCCAAAACCTCAAAAGCAGGGAAGCCTGCAGTGCAGCCTTCAGTATGTGGCCAAAGGCCTTAGAGCCCCTGGCAAACCACTGGTGTAAGTCTAAGAGTCCAAAAGCTGAAGAACTTGGAGTCCAGTGTTTGAGGGTAGGAAGCATCCAGCATGGGAGAAAGATGAAGGCCAGAAGACTCAGCAAGTCAAGTCCTTCCGCGTTCCTCTGTCTGCTTTTATCCTAGCCGTGCTGGCAGCTGATTAGATGGTGTCCACCCAGATTGAGGGTGAGTCGGCCTCTCCCAGTCCACTGACTCAAATGTTAATTTCCTTTGGCAACACCCTCACAGACACACCCAGGAACAATACTTTGCATCCTTCAATCCAATCAAGTTGACACTCAAATATTAACCAACACAGATAGAATGCAAATTCAATGAGTTTGCAAATTGGTATAAGATTCATACAGTGAAACGTGGTAACCATCTGGGCCAGGATATGGCTATAAAGAAGCCAAGTGATTAAGTCATGCCCAGAAGGAAAATCAGTCACAGGGTAGGACTAGGTTGGCTCTCAAGGAATTCTATCTCCAGGATTTCAGCTCATCAATTTTCACAGACAACTAGCATGGTTTCTTTCCTCATTATTAGAGTCTCCATATTCAAAATAGAATTAATAACAGAGCTTCCCCCCAAAGCTGGCACAAAGCAATATATCTTATTGCCCACTACACAAAGGTTTGCTTTCTAATTCTAAAGATCCAAATCTCTCCCTAGCTAACGTTTCAAATACAGCTGGTTTACTTACTGCTTTGGATTTGTCAGATAAAGGCTAAAGTTCTGGAAGACAGTTATTTTTCTACCCTGGGGGATGCTAGGGACTTTTGATGAGGTCTTAGATACTCACACATATCCTTTCATTTGCCATAAATTATTAGCCTGGTTCAGTCTAATTATTACATAATTCTTCCACTGTTATAATACAAATTCTGGATGCTCATATGATGCCAAGCTTCTTCCTTCCCCTAGCATTGGCCTAACCAGGCCCAAGAGACTGGCGGGGAGGTTGGAGGCACAGTTGGCTTTCTCCCTACTTCCTGGCTACACATCTTTCCTAACTTGATGGTTACTTTATAAAAATTCCTCTGGAATTAGGTCCAGAGTGACAGATGAATCTGGAGAAAGCGTGCAGGGTTAGAGGCTGGTACACATGTCATCCAGTGCTGGTGCCCTCTGGCCAACTAGATGGTCAAAGCTCTCCTGTCGGATGTTGGTTGTGAATCTTTGGTGGTCCTTGACCTGCAGCTCCCTGGAAGTGGGAAAGGTGTGTTGCCTGTCATCTGGCAGTAGGGTGTGATGGCCAGCTCAGCCATTGGACTCACAGTACTCCACCCATCTCTTAACAGTTGCTATGGACTACATGTCTATTTTCCCCAAGAATCATATATGGAAGCCTAAATCTCCCCAGTATGATGGTATCTGCAGGTGGGGCTTTGGGGAATAAATTAGGTCATGAAGGTACAGTCCTCATGAATGGGATTAGTGCCCTCATAAAAGAGATGAATGAATGAATGAAGAAAATGTGCAAGCACGCTCTCTCTCTCCATATATATGTATATAATGCATTGTATATATGTAACAGACTATTATTCGGCCTTAAAAAAGAAGAAAACCCTGACATTTGATGACATGGATGAACCTGGAAAATATGCTAAGTAAAAGAAACAGAAAGACAAAAACTGTATGGTATCATTCATACATTGAATCTAAAAAAGTCAAACTTACAGAAACAGAAAGCAGAAGGGTGGTTGCCAGGAATGCTGGGGGTCTGGAGGAAATGAGGAGATGTCTGTTAAAGGGTACACATTTTTTTCAGTTATAAGATGAATAAGTTCTAGAGGTCTAATGTGTACCATGGTGACTATAGTTAATATATAATTGAAATTTTCTAAGAAAGTAGATCTTAAGTATTCTCATCACAAATTATAAAAAGGTAACCAAGAGAGGTGATGGATATGTTAATTCAGTTCATTGTGACAATCACTTGGTGATGTGGTTTGGATCTGTATCCCCACGAAATCTCAGGTTGAATTGTGGTTCCCAGTGTTAGAGGTGGAACCTGGTGGGAGTAATTGGATCATGGGGGCAGATTCTCATGGATGGTTTGGCACCATCCCCTTGGTGCTGTTCTTGTGGTGGTGTATTAGTCTGTTCTCATGCTGCTAATAAAGACATGCCAGAGACTGGGTAATTTATAAAGGAAAGAGGTTTAATCGACCCACAGTTCCACATGGCTGGGGAGGTCTCACAATGATGGCAGAAGATGAGGGAAGAGCAAAGTCATGTCTTACATGGTAGCAGGACAGACAGTTGTGCAGGGGAACTTTCATTTATAAAACCATCTGATCATATGATACTTATTCACTACCCTGAGAACAGTATGGGGGAAACTGATGATCAGTTATCATCCCCATGATCAATTATCACCACCTGGCCCCACCCTTCATATGTAAGGATTATTATAATTCAAGGTGAGATTTGGGTGGGGACACAGCAAAACCATATCAGATGGTGAGTGAGTTCTCACGAGATCTGGCTGTTTAAAAGTGTGCAGCACTTCCCACCTCTGTCTCTCTCTTGCTCCTGCTCCTGCCATGTGGGTGCCTTGCTCCCCCTTTGCCTTCCACCATGACTGGAAGTTTCCTGAGGCTTCCCCAGCAGCAGAAGCTGCCATGCTTCCTGTACAGCCCACAGAACCATGAGTCAATTAAACTTCTTTTTTTCTATAAATTACCCAGTCTCAGTTATTTTTTTACAGCAATGAGAGAACGGACTAATACACTAGGCAACGTACATGTATGTCAAAACATCACGTTGTACACCTTAAATGTATACAATGTTTGTTTGCCAATGATAACTCAGTAAAGCTGGAAAAAATAAAATGCGAATGAAGTCAAATGAATAGAGAGGTAAAAGAAGTAGACACAAGAGAGCTTGCCTCCTTGCTCTCCCTCTCTGCTCTCCACCATGTGAGGATGCAATGACAAGATGGCCATCTGAAAACCAGAAAGCAGGTCCTCACCACATCTGATCTTCTGACACCTCCATCATCTTGGTTTCTCAGCATCTAGAACTGGGAGAAATAAATTTCTGTGGTTCAAGCCACACAGTCTTTGTGGTATTTTGTTACAGCCGCCCAAGCTGACTAAGATGGGGTCATATTGTGGCTCCAGGCATTTCCTATGAGTGAGTCTTTTTTCCAGATGATGTCAAGTCAGCACCTCACAGTGTTCACACTTCTGAAAATCTCTGTCCTTTTCCCTGCTGAGGTGAGAGGAAACTTGCTCTTTAATGCCTCTCATTCTGCTATGTGGGGCTTGTGCACATGACCTCTCACCTTTTGACTTTTCAGATATCTCTCAGAATTTAGTCCACATGGTCTCCATATTCCAGAACATACAGGCCAAACTCTCTCAAGAGTTTCCTTCAAACCCCTCTCACTTGGGCTTAAGCAGCGGGGTGGGGGCAAACACACTCATCCCTTTCCCTATGTTGCAAGGATTCAGACAACACAAAAACTAACTTCAGATAAGTTCTCTGGACCTTTCCACCTAATGTCTCATACAAGTTGCAAGTGATGCCTAGCACCTCACTTTAGAATATCAAGGGTGCTTGGCACCTGCTGTAATTTAAAAATATTTCTATAACTTTTTTATACTCTTCCCTTTAAGAAGTCGAGTCTAATTCCCTTAACTTTGAGTATAGACTGGTCTTGGTAAATTGCTTTTAGCAAACAGAATACAAAGGAAATGATGTATGAGACTTCTAAAATTAGCTGGTAAAAGAACTTTTGACTTCTTGCTTGCTCTCTTTTTCTATTTTAGATCATTTGCTCCAGAAGAAGCTGGTTGCCATGTCTTGAGGACAGTAAACCCTCTGGGGAGGTTCCTGTGGTAAGGAACAAGGGCTCCTGGCAATAGCCTCTGAGTGAGCCACCTTGAAAATGGATTGTCCAGCCCCAGTCAAGCTTTCAGATGACTGTAGCTCCTGCCAATGTCTTCACCACAACCTCATGAGATCCCAAGCTACAACCACTCAGTTAAGTTATGCCAAAATTCCTGATTCACAGAAATTGACATACAGGAGAGGTCACAGTTAAGATCTTGATGTTCTATCTTGACCCATAATATAGGAACTTCATCTTTTGGGAAGCACCAGGGAGAGCTGCCTGTGCCTGGCAGAAGCTGCCCATGCCCCACTGATACCCCACAGTACTTCCTGTTCTGCTTAGTACTCCTGCTTCTTTCTACAAACAACTGTGATTCTCTACCTGGGAGCTTCCTCTGGCCACAGGAGCCTGCTCACCTGATTGGGACACCCTAGCAGTACTGGTGAGTTATAGCTTCCAGGAGCAGCTCTCTTCCAGCAAAGGAAAGGGTTGGCTGAACAGTACTTCAGCTGCCTCTGCTAGTGTGTGGGGCAATGTTAAGACATGCTCCACACAGTAATGCAGGGGTCCCAGCAAGGTGGAGCCCCACTTGTCCACAGTAGTAACTTGCCAGTAGATGCCTGCATTGACTTTCTTCCCTGCTGTGCCTTTCTTTCCATTCCCCTGCCAGTGCTTCCTGGAATCATCTCCCTCATCAATCATTTGTTCCTAAATTCTGTCTGAGTCTGTTTCTGAGGAAACCCAACCTGAGTCATCGTCCCTCTTCTCCCCTCCTCACATTCTCTTCACTGGGGGAGGATGGATTGAGTTGACTGGCAAATTCGGGAGAAGGAGTTTGCATCGGAGTGCGTGACTCAGCTGAGGCTGGGCTCTGTTTCTTCAGAATGAAGTGCATTCAGATTCGATGTGTATCCTGTCTCTGGGAAGCCCCATGCTCTGCTCATCTTAGCATGATTACTAAGGTACACTCTGCCCTTGCAAGGGGAAGGCCCGAGATTTGCTGCTGGCAGGCTCAGTGGGAGTTGGATGTTTTATGTAACCTGATTGTGGATATAGATCAATTCATGCTTTTCAATTCAGTCCTCTCTCTAATAAACTGCTGTCATAAGCCCCATTTGTCTAATTATTATCTATTAAGTTGTTTTAGTGCTCAGTAAAGAACAGAGTTTTTTTTTTCATTTTGTGACCTAAAACTTCATTTACATGTAAAACATAGGAGGAACGAAAAGTCTAATGTATAAGCAATTTCAAATGACCTACCAAATTCATTGTAGAACATTATGCCAATTAGCAGTTTTTTGTTTATAAAAGGAAAACTCAATAATCTTCAGTAAAGGATCATGTTAACTGTCTCAGGTAACCAAGTCCTATAAAAAACTGAAAGGGGAAAATCATTAACATGGCAAGAAACAAGTGTGTAAGTCATGCACATTTGCATCTAATGCTGTTAGCAGAACCCTGGTTCATATAGTTCTGGGATGATGTCAGGATTTTTAGCTTCATGAAATGAAACATTTCTTTTCTTGGTGTGAATTTTCTTTTTTTTCCGCACAAAGAAAAGTCCTTAGTCACAAGCTTCTGAGTATTTTTTAGTCAAGATGGTGTTTAGCATTTACTTTTTAGCTGCATTAAGCTAAATTCTACTGCACTCCCACACGTCCCCACTACCATTTCCTCCCAATCACCAAATAATTAGAAATGATAGATAAATGGATAAGAAGTTTATTAAAATAAAAAGAATGTTTCCCACTCAAAATTTAGATTTTCTTTGAAAGAAATGGAACAGAAACGCACAGTAGAAACTAGAGCGGAATCTGTGGACATATTTTCTTAGAGGAACAGAAACAAGCATTTGAGTTCTGTGGCATGATAGAGACCAAACACACCCTGCAGAGGTAGGGAATATAAGCCAAAGTCATTGTCCCAAGTTACAGGCTGGGGTGGAATTCTTCCTCCTATAAAAGACGCCTTCATGCGACATCTTATTAGGCTTAGACAGGAGCCTGCTCACTGTCGAGGGCTATGACTTATGGAAGCTCTAAGGTATGGAGGAAGAATGTGGTACAACCAGTAACTGGGACAAGCCACTTGCCCCCTCCAAGCACAGACCTCTGATCTCTCTGGTATAATTTCTGGATAGGAACACTAAGCTGACAGGATAAGACCTGGGACCACTTAGAAGGAAACTAAAACAGCAGTGCCACACGGGGAATAGTGAAGGCAGAGAGAGGGCGAAAGTGTTTACATTCAAGTTAAGCCTGCAAACTGAAGTTCTATGGCTATCAAGGAAAAATATTGTTAAGAAAGACATCCAACAAAATCAACATGGAAACCCGACAATTTATTGTCAATGAGATGCAAGTAATAGAACACTCTGAATAATACAAAAACGTAATTGTGGGCCAGGTGCGGTGGCCCACGCCTGTAATCCCAACACTTTGGGAGGCTGAAGCAGGCGGATCATCTGAGGTCAGGAGTTCCAGATCACCCTGGCCAATATTGTGAAGCCCCGTTTCTACTAAAATACAAAAATTAGCTGGGCGTGGTGGCACACGCCTGTAATCCTAGCTACTCGGGAGGTTGAGACAGGAGAATCACCTGAAACCAGGGGGCAGAGGTTGCAGTGAGCCAAGATTGCACCACTGCACTCCAGTCTGGGCAACAGAGCGAGACTCTGTCTCAAATAATAATCATAATTGTGTTTAATATATAGACATTGTTTTAAGAACTTTACATGTATCATATCATTTGATAAAAGCAATAGAACTATAAAGTAGCTACTATTACCTTCATCTCACAAATGGGGATACAGGACAGAGAAGTTAGGGAACTAATTCTAGGGCTCACAACTTGTCACTGTGAGTGCAGAAATAACATATGCAACAAGATCAAGAAGTTATAAACAAGAACAAGAAAGTATGAAATTAAAATATGAAATTGTGAAATTAATAGAAAGAATAATAATAGGTGCATATAGAAAAGAACTAATTGTAAATCATGTAAATATTTTGAAATGATGGTCAAGAAAATATCCTCAAGAGAGGATAAACTTCAACTAGACATAACTGAAGGACAATTTAGCGAAGTAGTAACGAGTAATTTACTTAGAACTTGGCATGGCAAGCTAAATCAAATATATATGAAGCAGATGTTAACAGTCACGGTGAATAGAAAGAGGGGCTCCAACATGTATCTCAGAAATTCAGACACTAGACACTTGAGAGAATGCCTAAGAAATCACTATTTGAAGAGGTATCAGCTGAGAAATTTCCAGAAGCAAACAGAGATCTAATTTCTTAGATTAAAAGCACATACTGAGTGCTGATCAGGATAAACAGAAATGCTCTCACACCTATACATATTGGAATGAAACTGCAGAACAAGGTCGAAGGTAATATCTTAAAAGCAGCCAGAGAGAGAAAAAAATCATGTTATATACAAAACAATCAAGATTAGACTGACATCAGGCATCTTATCAGCAAAAATGGATGGCAAAAGTCAATGAAGTAATATCCTTAAAAGGCCATAGGAATTCAACCATCTCCCCAGAGTTCCCTTCGTGGTCAAACTCTCCTTCAAGGGTGATAAAAGGTCTGAGGAAGCTTGCAACTGTGGACTCTCACTGAAATCATTAGTGAAGGGTGTACTTATTAAATACTAATACAAGAAAAAAAGCCCAGAGGAAATGAGTAGAATTCCAGACAATGCAGTGAGCAGGGAAATTGTTTCAACATATCAGGAAAAGCTGAGCTGTCTGTATTCATGAGCCTTGCTAGTCTGTTAAAATGCTGATATATAACAGTCTTCAATTATACATCCCTGCAGGTTTTTCTGAGAGATGAAAGTCAGTTATTTTGGTTAAAATTTACAATAAAGACTGTATTAGGAACAATAGTGACAGAGAAATACAAGTGTGGTTATGCTACTGTTTTTAAGGAAAAAGAATAGTTTTGTACTAAAGTAGTGCCAATTTGTCCTAGAATATGAAAGAGCTTAGTGAAGAAAAAATCTTGGAAAGTAAATTTTACTTGCCTTGTTGTATAATACCTAAGTCAAAAAGAAGTCATAATAAAGTTTAAAATTTTGGCAAGCTAAAATTTTGGATGAACTAAATCTAATGAAATCTCTGCATATCAGCATACCTATAACATATATCTAAGTGAAAAAAATGATTTTGTAGGATATATAATGACACCGTATATATTTAGTTTTAAAACCATGGTAAACATGGGTAAAACTCATATAATCATCACTTAAAAATAGATTAATACCATCATCTCATATTTCTACTTTTATTCCCCGAGAAACTCTCTAATTCCTAAATGTAACCACTATTCTAATTTCTAACACTATGGTTTTGTTTTCAAATTTTATACTAATGAAATCATCCAATATGCATTCTGTGGTGTCTTCATTTTGTTCAGCATTAAATTCATGATATTAAAGTTTTTGGTTTGGGTTCAACTATCTTTGGAAGAAAATGCTATCTCACTATCTGTCTATCTGTCTGTCTGTCTGTCTGCCTATCAACTGTTTATTTTGAAGTCATATTTTATTAAATTAGCCAGGATACATGAAGCCTATCTTAATAACAAAAGGTTAATAACACACCTGGAAGAGCTCAGTGAATAAACACAAATTGTTTATTTTTCATTTATACAAAATCCTTGTAGGTCAGGTGAATCTTCACAGTTATTGGCCTCCAAATGTGATTTGGAGATCCACACTGCTCGGATCTCATAGTTCTGACATTTCAATATGTGGTCTCCACATTTGCTGCCAATGGAGAAGCAAAGTGATATGGTTTGGCTGTGTCGCCACTCAAATCTCATCTTTAATTGTAGTTCTCATAATCCCCACATGTTGTGGGAGGGACCCAGTGGAGATAATTGAATCATGGGGGTGGTTTCCCCCATGTTGTTCTCATGATGGTGAGTTAGTTCTCATGAGATCTGATGGTTTCATAAGAAGCTTCCCTGTTCACTGGGCACTTATTCTCCTTTCTGCTGCCATGTGAAGAAGGACATGTTTGCTTTCCCTTCCACTATGACTGTAAGTTTCCTGAGCCCTCCTAGCCATGCTGAACTGTGAGAGGTCTAAATCTCTTTCCTTTATAAATTACCCAGTCTTGCGTATGTCTGTATTAGCAGCATGAGAATGGACTAATACAGTAAATTGGCACCAGTAGAGTGGGGTGCTGCTGTAAAGATACCCTAAAATGTGGAAGTGATTTGGGAACTGGGTAACAGGCAGAGGTTGGAACAGTTGGGAGGGCTCAGAAGAAGACAGGAAAATGTGGGAAAGTTTGGAACTTCTTAGAGACTTGTTGAATGGCTTTGACCAAAATGCTGATAGTCATATGGACAATAAAGTCCAGGCTGAAGTGGTCTCGGATAGAGATGAGGAACTTGTTGAAAACTGAAGTAAAGGTGACTCTTGTTATGCTTTAGCAAAGAGACTCATGGCATTTTGCCCCTGCCCTAGAGATCTATGGAACTTTGAACTTGAGAGAGATGATTTAGGGTATCTGGCAGAAGAAATTTTTAAGCAGCAAAGCATTCAAGAGGAAGCAGAGCATAAAAGTTTGAAAAATTTGCTGGTAGACAATGCAGTAGTAAAGAAAAACCCATTTTCTGGGGAGAAATTCAAGCCAGCAGCAGAAATTTGCGTAAGTAACATGAAGCTAAACACTAATTGCCAGGACAATGGGGAAAATGTCTCCAGGGCATGCCAGAGACCTTCATGGCAGCCCCTTCCATCACAGGCCAAAAGGCCTAGGAGGGAAAAATGGTTTCCTGGGCCAGGTCCGGGGCCCCCTGCTATGTGCAGCCTGGGGACTTGGTGCCCTGCATCCCAGACACTCCAGCTGTGGCTAAAAGCGGCCAAGTTACAGCTTGTGCTGTGGCTTCAGAGGGTGTGGACCCCAAGCCTTGGCAGCTTACACATGGTGTTGGGCCTGTGGCTGCACAGAAGTCAAGAATTAAGCTTTGGAAACGTCCACCTAGATTTCTGAGGATGTATGGAAACACCTGCATGTCTAGGCAGATGTGTGCTGCCGGGGCAGAGCCCTCAAGGAGGACCTCTGCGAGGGCAGTATGGAAGGGAGATGTGGGATTGGAGCCCCCACACAGAGTCACCACTGGGGTACGGCCTAGTAGAGCTGTGAGAAGAGGGTCACTGTCTTCCAGATCCCAGAATGGTAGATCCATTGACAGCCTGCACTGTGCACCTAGAAAAGCCATAGACACTCAATGCCATTCTGAGACAGAAGCCAGGATGGGGAGCTATACCCTGTAAAGCCACAGGGGTGGAGCTGCCCAAGGCTGTGGGAGCCCATCTCTTGCATCAGCATACCCTGGATGTATGACCTGCAGTCAAAGGAAATCATTTTGGAACCTCAAGGTTTAATGACTGCCCTATTGGATTTCAGACTTGCATGGGGCATGTAGCCCCTTTGTTTTGGCCAATTTCTCCCATTTGGAATTTTGGTATTTACCCAATGCCTGTACCTTCACTGTATCTAGGAAGTAACTATCTTGCTTTTGATTTTACAGGCTCATAGATGGAAGGGACTTGCCTTGTCGCTGATGAGACTTTCGACTTGGACTTTTGAGTCAATGCTGGAATGAGTTAAGACTTTGGGGAACTGTTGGAAGGGTGTGATTGTGTTTTGAATTGTGAGGACATGAGATTTTGAAGAGGCTAATGGCAGCGTCCCCACCTAAATCTCTTCTTGAATTGTAGTTCCCATAATCCCCACGTGTCGTGGGGTGGAGCCGGTGGAGATAATTGAATCATGGGAACACTTTCCCCCATGCTGTTATTGTGATTGTGAATTCTCACGAGATCTGATGGTTGTATAAACGCCTTCCCTCTTCGCTGGGCACTCATTTTTCTCCTTCCTGCCACCATGTGAAGAAGGATATGCTTGCTTCTTGTGCCATGATTGTAAGTTTCCTGAGGCCTCCCCAGCCATGCTGAACTGTGAGTCAATTGAACCTCTTTCCTTTATAAATTACCTAGTCTTGGATATGTTTTTATTAGCAGTGTGAGACAGGACTAATACACAAAGGATTTGAAATCACAAAGGAGCTGTTTTCTGCTCCACCATGGAAGTCTCACATGCATCACATCTATTCATATCCATTTGCCACAACTAGACAAAAAGTCCTTTTTAAAATCTGCCTAGAGATCAGGAAGTATTATCTCTGGATGCCTAGGCAGGAGAGGTGAATCAGATATTGGTGGGCACTAGTGTGTTCTATGATACATAGCTTAATAAAAATAAGTTTCAGATAAATCTAAATATACATTAGAATACTGTAACCACAGTAGAAAAAAATATTGGCTCCTTTTTGTGATAAACTAATGATGGTAAATGCACCCTATTTAAGCAAGAAAAGAAACTGATCTGCCATAAAGAAAACAATGACATATTTAACTACAAAATATGTTACAAAATATTAATATCCCTAATGGACAAATGAGTTCCAATAAATGGATAACAAAAAACCAATAAGTCTGTAGAAAAATGGAGAAAATATATTTGCAGAATATTTATACAGGTGGTAATGAAATTGACAATGATGTTTATCATCAGCAGTAAACAGTAAAAAGTTTCACCCACCAGGACTATAGAAATTTTTCAAATGGATAATTTTCAGAATCAGCAAAGTTATAGAAAAGTAGGTACCAGTTGCACATACCATTGGAGGAAATGTAAAATATAGTTACCTTGTGGAAAGTAATCTGATGTAATATATTAAAATTTTATCCATGTATGTCCTATAATTCAGCAATTCCATGTTGGGGAATCCATACAAAGAAATACTTATACACATGCAGAAGGAGCTAAGTTTAAGAAAGCACACATTTCAGCGGGTTGTGGTGTCTCACCCCTGTAATCCCAGCACATTGGGAGGCCGAGGTTGGTGGATCACCTGAGGTCAGGAGTTTGAGACCAGCCTGGCCAACATGGTGAAACCCTGTCTCTACTAAAAATACAAAAAATTAGCTGGTGTGGCAGTGGGTGCCTGCAGCTACTCAGGAGGCTGAGGCAGGAGAATCGCTTGAACCTGGGAGGTGGAGGTTGCAGTGAGCTGAGATCACACCACTGCACTCCAGCCTGGGTGACAAGAGCGAAATTCCATCTCAAAAAAAAAAAAAAAAAGAAAGAAAGCACATATTTCAATATCATCTGCAATGGTATAAAATCATGCTAATTTAAAAATCCATTAATAAGGACTGGTTAAACAGTTTATAGTTTATTCACTATATGTAATTTTATAAGTTACCAAAATCATAGACTTACTGTAAAATGATTTTTCAATTAGTAACTTTTCACCATAACTTTTTTGGGGTAATTTATACCACTTTTTCGATGACTCTTCTTGTTTATGCTTTCACCTGAAAACATACAAACTAAATATAATCTAAAAATAATATTTTTTATTTTAGACAAGAACACACTCAGAAATTTTCTCAACACAGTTTCTATGCAGAGAAGAGATGTGGGACAGATTTGAACTGCTGTCATATTTGTATGAACCCAAGACATTTTCCAAGACCAAGAGGGATAAAGACAGCAATTTCTATGACTGGCATTTTACGTGCATGCACTGTTTCCAAGTGTTCTTGTGTTCTGTGCCTTAAACATTCTGTGTTGCAACTTTATGAATTGAATTAAAGATAATCCCAAGCCCCCAATTGTCTCAAAAAGTGAAAAAGTAAATGTTATAGAAAGAAAAGCGGGAAAAACTTTAAGCATGAAATAAAAGATGGGTTGTGATAAAAGAGGACTGAAGAAGGAAAAGGAATGAAAGGTTCTGCCATCCTTCATGGCAGCCCACTCCACTTGGTATGAGATACTGCTCCCTTGGCTGAAAGTTAACTGCTGTACTCCCTCCACTTTCTATAAATGACTCCCTGTGCCTTTCCTTCACCACACAACTCACACTCTCTTCCTTCCTAGTGAGTCCACTAAGGCTTCACTGCATTATTACATTTATTTCATTTAGGAAAAACTGACTTTATTTTCCTTCAAATTGTTTTTTATTGTTTATATGAGCTTGGTTTTATTGTCATTCTATTTTTCTCCATGAAAATAGAGAAAAATAGGGTCGAAAGGTTAGGTTGGGTGGAAAGGAATTATATTTTTTCTCACTAAAATTGATGTAAATATCGTTTTCAATTGAATGATTTTACACAGTGGCACAGTTTCAGGTATGTTGCTAAGCAGGAAAGTTGTTAACCAAAGCATGAATGTATTAAGGAGATGTATGCAGAATGACATGCAAGGTTATCTATGATTGCTGAGTGAGAAAGAGCAAGTTGCTGAGTATTATATAAGTATGATCTCACTTTTGTAAAAAAAAAAAAAAAAAAAGGCCTGGACTGATCTGAAATGACCCTATTAATAACAATTATGTCCAGGTCTGTATTGCATACTTGTCATTCATTACAGGATCTTGAGACACAATGCAAAGGATCACATCGCAGCTCTGTAACTTGTTAACTATAAGATTTTGAGTAACATAACACCTTACTCCTTAAAATTGCTTAAAAAAAATCTGAACATCAGGAATATTCTACTTCACAGGGTCGTTGTGATAATTAAATGTAGTAATCAATGACAATAGTGCCAGATACAGTAGATAGCCTACACTTTGCAGCTACTATTTCTATCTATCATCCATCTATTAATATATATCATCTATCTTTAACTTATCATCTATCTTGTTCCAGTTTTTTAAAATGAACATGTATTAACTTTGTAAAAAATTAAGGCTATAAGATGTGCTGAGCTTTTGGAATAGATTTTCCTGTACTATATATGACTGCCAGTGGGAGAATTTGAATAAATGTGTAAATTTGACTAAATCTGAATAAATGTTCATTTGACGGGACCATAGATTTGGGGGTCTAGCACTAGCTCTGTTTCTACACTCCTGCTGCTGCCTGATAGAGATGCCTCTCTTGTTTTGGACTCCAAGGTAAAGTAAGCCTTTTCATTTTGTGCATCATAATTTAAAATGACAAATGGAATCTATTTTTTTCTCCATCTAACGCATATATAGCTACCATTTATTAATTCTTGTTTCCTTCTTATGTTGCTCTTTGTTGTCATTTTTAAGGGAAGAAGAGACTGGGTCACGGGAATGCTTTAATGTGGAAACCCTGAATTCGTTCCACACATCTGCCTTCTGGGGACACAGGTAAATGAGGCCGAGTAGTGAAGTGGGAAGTTCCTGAAAATGTGACAGCAAGCCTCTGTCCACTGCCAGACCGAAGACAGGGAGGCGCTCATCGGCAAATTAATGGATGTTAAAGGGAAGCAAAATAACACCAAGATAGACTCATGAATTACCCAGTGGCAGCACTCTTTGGTAGAGTGCAGTCTAATTAAGTCTTTGATAGAGTGCAGTCTAATTAAGTATTCAAAGAGCACAGAGTGAACAGACCTTCCTTCCTTGAGATATAAGCATGTGTATGTCTTCTAGCAATTGTGAGGAGGAGATGGATAGAAGTGAAAAGTAAAAGGAAGAATATGGGAGAACTAAGGGGAGGATATTGAGTCACTGCAGATTTATACAAACAGCTCTATTTTCTGTCTTGCTAATGAAAAAATTTACATAATGAAATTTAATTTTGCTGGGAATTGAAGTAAATTAATTTGCCACATCAAACTTTTTTCTTCCTTGGGTTTCTTTGGTTTTAAGTCTTTACAGATTATGATTATTCTGGGTACTCCATTACTCAGCATTGCATCTGAGGCCTGGGAATCATTTCACACCTCAACAGATCTTTAAATGTAGCATCAAGCGATTTCATAATTAACTTGTCTTCACTCTGTGTCTTAACACACAAAATTCCAGCCAAATTAAAGTGTAACAGATGGGAAAAGTCACTTGGAAAGGAATGCTAATTAAGTAGTTTTCATTTCTCTTTGGAAGCCAGGATTAATATACTGATTTCAAATAATTGAGGATGTGTTTCAAATGCTTGGTATGTGGGTTGAGAATTCAAGGAGCAATCAGTGCTTCTTTTGAGCCTTTAAGGAAAATCTCGCCATTCAAAGTGTTTCTTTATCATCCTCATGGTTTATCATCACCCTGCTAAGCTCTTGTTTGTGCCTTGAACTTCTCATTGTGAGAGCAGCGGAGACTGCTGACAACCTTGTGCTTGCTATAATTCAATTCATACCAAGGGATAAAGCAAGCAAAACATAGCTGGTCAGGGCAAATCTCAATAGAGCCCAAGCCCCTCAGGGAGAGAGCCAGTCAGTATTCTGCTGTAGTATAATGTCACAGCCAGGATACTGACATTGATACAATCCTTCCATAATACTCAGATTTCCATAGTTTTAGTTGAACTCATTTGTGTGAGTTTATTTAGCTCAATACAATTTTATCATCTAGGTAGGTTTGTGTATCCACCACCACAGTCAATATACTGTGCACTTCCAACACGACGAGGGTACCTTGTGTGGACCTTTATGACTAAACTACACACCTTCTTCCAAACCCTGGTAACCACTAATCTGCCCTCCATTTCTAAAATTTTGTCATTTCAACAATGTTATATAAATTGGGTGATACATTCTATAACCCTTTGTGATTGGCTTTTTTCACTCAAAATAATTCCTAGAAGATTTATCCAACTTGTGGCATGTATCAATAGTTCATCCCATTTCATTGCTGAGTACTATTCCAAGTTGTGTGTGTATGTGTCTATGTATCTATCTCCATCCATCTATCCATCCATCCATCCATCCATCCATCCATCCATCCATCCATCCACATACATATGTACACTACAGTTTGTTTAGTCATTTAACTATTGAAATACATTGGAGGTGATTCTTATTTTGGGCAATTACAAATAAAGCAACTATGAACATTCTTGTAAAAGTGTTTGTGAGAACATAAGTTTTTATTTCTCTGGGATAAGTACCCAAATGTTCAATTACTGGGTCATCTGGTAGTTGTAGGCTTATTTTTTTTTAAAGAACTACCAAATTGTTTTTCAGACTGGTTTTACCATTTCATATTACTACCATCAATATATGAATGATTTAGCTTCTTTGTGTCCTCACAGCATTTGGTATTGTCGCTATATTTTATTTTAGACCTTCTGACAGGTATGTAATGATATCACATTGTGATTTAAATGTGCATTTCCCTAATTGCTAATGATGATGACCATCTTTTTTGGGCTTACCATCCCATATCTTCTTCAGTAACATCTGTTCATGTCATTTGCCAATTTTCTAATTGTATTGATTGTTGTTGAGTTTTGAGAATTCTTTGTGTATTCTAGATACTAGTCCTTTGTCAGATATGTAGTTTGCAAATATTTTCTCCTAGTGCGGCTTGACTTTTCATCCTCTCCACATGTTTCACAGAGCAAATTTTTAATTATGATGATGCCCAATTCATTGATATTTTTCCTTTTATGAATTGTGATTTTTGGTATCAAATCTAAGAATCATGTCTAATCCAAATACTATATTCTATGTTTTTTCTAAAAGTTTTGTAGTTTTACAAGTTCAGTCTATGATCCATTTTGAGTTAAATATTGTCTAAATTGTGAGGTTTAGGTTGAGGTTATTTTCTCTTTTTATTTTTTCCCATGGATGTTCACTTTTTCTGGAACCATTTACTGAAAGGCTATTTTTCCTCCATTGAAATGGCTTTGTATCTTTGTCAAAAATTAATTGGGCATATTTGTGTGGGTATATTTCTGGATTTACTATTCTGTTCCATTGATCCATTGTCTATCATTCTGCCAATAGTCCACTGTTTTGATTGTAATAGCTAGATGATAAGTCTTAATGTTGGGTAGAGTACTCCCCCCTACTTTATTGTCCTTTATCAGTATGGCTTTAGATATTCTAGGGTTTGTGCCTTCCCACATAAATTTTAAAATAAGCTGGTGTGTATCTATAGAAAAACTTAGGAGAAATTTTAAGTGTTTATCTTCAAATTATCTTCAAACTCTAGATTAGACTGGGGAGAACTGACATCTTTTCTGAGTCCTCCAATTTATAAACAGTGTGTCTTTTCATTTTGTTGGATCTTCTTTAATTTCTTTTATCATCAATTTATAAATTTCAGCATACAGGTCCTGTACATAATTTGCTAAAGATACTTCTAAGTATTTTATTTTCTGTGGAATGGATTATAAATTGTATTGTGTTGTTAATTTAGGTTTCTATATGTTCACTGTTAGTGTATGGAAATGTAGTTAATTTTTGCATGTTAATCTTGTATCTTGTGACTTTTCTCAACTCATGCATTAGTTCTACAAGGTTTGGTTGGTAGATTTCTTGAGATTTCCTACATTAGTAATCATGTCATCTTCAAATAAAGATTTCCCTTCCTTCTTTCCTTCCTTCCTCCCTCCCGCCCTCCCTTCCTTCCTTCCTTCCTTTCTTCCTTCCTTCCTTTCTCTCTATCTCTTTCTTTCTTTCATGTGTTTTTTTATTTTTTATTGCAGTAGCTAGAACTTACAGTATGTAGAATAAAAGTAGTGAAAGCCAACATCAGTATTTGTTCCTGATCTTGGATAGAAAGCATTGTCTTTCACTATTGAGTATGACATTAGCTATAGGCTTTTTGGAGATATGTTTAGTCAAGTTGAACATTTTCCTCTATTTTTATGATTCTGAGAGTTTTTAACATAAATATGTGTTGAATATTGCTCATTGTTTTTTCTACATTGATTTATATGATCATGTAAATTTTCTTCTTGTATTCTGTTGATGTGGTGGATTACATTGATTTAAGAATGATGAATCAGCCTTGCATACCTGGAATAATTCCCATTTCATAATGGGGCTTAATTTTTTAATATACATTGTTGTGTTTTGTTTGCTACTATTTTGTAGAGGATTTTTTGTGTCTAAGTTCACGAGAGATATTGGTCTTTAGTTTTCCTTGGTTATACTGGCTATGTCTGGTTTTGATATCATCAATGGTTTCAGATCAAATGATTTGAGAAGCATTCCCTTATCTCTATTATCTGGAAGAGATCATGTAAAATCGTTGTTTATACTTTATTAAATGTTTGGAAGATTTCATCAGTGAAACCATCTGGGCCTGAGATCTCTTTCTTAGGAGCTTTTAAATTATGAGTTATATTTCATTTATCATCATAGGGCTATTTAGATGGCCAGTTTAATCTTGGTTGAGTTTGGTAGTTGCTGTCATCGAGGAATTAGTTCATTTATTCTAAGTTGTAAAATATGTGAGCATAAAAGTATTCATAATATTATCTTTTTCTTCTTTTTTCTTTGATGAGTCCAGGATCTACTTTATTCCTGTTGGTGATTGTGTCTCTTATTTTTGTCAGTCTTGCTAGAGATTTATCAATTTATTTTCTGAAGACCAACCTTGCTATTTAATTGATTTTATTATTTTTCTATTTTTAACTTTATTGATGTTTTTCTCTTATATTTATTATTTTTGTTTGTTCTGGGTTTTTTCTTCTTATAAGCTCTCTATATTATTTTATTTCAATGGAGATGTCCTCTTTGACCTATATATTATTTAATTATTTTAAACTGTGTTTAATTTTCATGTATTTACTTTCTGATTTTCTTTCTGTTACTGATTTGTACTTTGACTCCATTATTGTTAGAGAACACTCTTATAATTTCAAGTTTTTAAAATTTGTCAAGGCTTATTTTATAACCCAGAATATAATTTACCTTGGTGAAGTTTCATGGGCACTCAAAAAAAAATTTGTATTCTGCTGTTGATCAGTGCAGTGTTCTATATAGGTTTTATATTTCTAATCTAAAATCCCAAATCCAAAATGCTCTGCAATCCAAAACTTTTTGAGCACCAACATAATGCTCAAAAGAAATACTCATTGAAACATTTTAAATTTCAGTTTTTGTTTTTTTAATTGGGGTTGCTCAATCAGTAAGTATAATGCAGGTATTTTAAAAATCCAGAAATATCAAAATCTGAAACAGATCTTGTCCCAAGCATTTTGGATAAAGGGTACTCAACCTGTATGTGTCACTTAGATCCTATTGATAGACAGTGTTTTTAGGATATCCTATGTCCTTGCTAATTTTCTTCTTAGTTGTTCTATCAATTTCTGGGGGAGGCTATGGAAATCTAGTATGTTTGTGCTTATTTCTCCTTTCAGTTCTATCAATTTTTGTTTCATATGTGTTGAAACTCTGTTAGTTGGTACATATGCATTTAGGCTTGCTATGTCTTCCTAGTGGGTTAATCCCTTTATTATTATGTAATATCGCTCTTTGTCTCTAGTTTCTTTGCTATATTAATATAGCCTTTCATGCTATTTAAATATTAATATTTGCATGATTTTGCCCACTTTTACCTTTCTACCCATGTTGCTAAATTTAAAATAAGTTTCTTGTAATCACTACAGTTGAACTGTGCTTTTCTATCCACTTTGCCAATGTATCTTTTTTGATTGGTCTATTAGATAATTTACATTTAGTAATTATTGATATGTAAGCACTTAAGTCTGCCATTTTATTATTTACTTACTACTGGTTTGTTCTGGTTTTGTTTCTCTGTTTCTTTTGTCTTACTTTCCTGTGAGATACTTGAAGAGCTATTTTTAAGATGTTATCTTGATTTATTTTTAGAGTTTTTGAATGTGTATCTTTGTATAATTTGTTGTGGTTGCTCTAGATATATATATAGTATATATACACATATATAACATATATTTATATGTATACATATATATAGTGTATATATACATATATAGTATAATACACATATATATATATACACACCCATATATATATATATATATATATATATATATATATATATATATATAAAACAGTCTACTGGTATCAACATTTTACCACTTCGAGTGAAGTATAGAAGCCTCACTTCCATTTGAGTTCCTTTACATTTCCAAACTTTAAATATTATCATCTTGGATGCAAGATGCTGTGATAATTTGTAATTTTAATAAGTTTATAAAGCTCATTAGAAAAATGCTCTGTTATTCCTTCTTCCTTCCTGATGCTGCAAGATTACTTCTTTTATCCTTTTCTTTCTTTTTGAGAATTTCCTTTAACCACCATATCTCTGATAATGCTTTTAGTTTTCCTCCTCGTGAGAATGTTTTTATTTTCCTTCCATTTATGAAGGATAGTTTCACCACAATTCTGTGTTGACAGTTGTTTTATTTATTTATTTATTTTTCTTTCAGCATTTGAAAATATTATGCCACTTTCTTCCTGGCTTCTGTGGTTTCAGATGAGAAATCTATCATCCTTTAAGTGAGTGTTCCCATATAGATAATGTATCATTTCTCTCTGGCTGGTTTCGAGACATTTTCCTTATTTTTGCTATTCAAAACTTTAATTAGGTATTTTGCCATAGGTTTCTTTGAGTTTATGCTGTTTGGGATTCACTCAGCTTCTTGGATCCGTAGGTTTGTGTCTTGTGTCAGCCATTATTTCTTCAAACACTCTTTCAGCCCCACTTTTTCTCCTTTTCTTCTGGGACTCTGCTGACATGAATGATGGATTTTTTTGTTATCATCTTACAGGTCCCTGAGGCTTTGACGTTTTAAGGAATCTGTTTTCTTCCTATTGTTCACAATGGTTCTTGTTATAAGAGTGAATTTGATTATTCTGCTTCAAATTCATTGATTCTATACTTTGTCATCTCCACTCTACCAATGAGCTCTTCCATCAGATTATTTCTTTTTTTTTTTTTTTTTTTTTTTTTTTTTTTGAGACGGAGTCTCGCTCTGTCACCCAGGCTGGAGTGCAGTGGCGCTATCTCGGCTCACTGCAAGCTCCGCCTCCCGGGTTCACGCCATTCTCCTGCCTCAGCCTCCCGAGTAGCTGGAACTACAGGCGCCCACCACCGCGTCCGGCTAATTTTTTGCATTTTTAGTAGAGACGGGGTTTCACCATGTTAGCCAGGATGGTCTTGATCTCCTGACCTCGTGATCCGCCCGCCTTGGCCTCCCAAAGTGCTGGGATTACAGGCGTGAGCCACCGCGCCCGGCCAGATTATTTCTTTTATTGTATTTTCAGTTCTACGATTTCCATTTCTCTTTTTAATAACTCCTATTTTTTTCTGATATGTTCTACTTATAATTTGTTTCAAGAGAATTTATAATTGATATCTGAAGCATTTTTATGATAACTACTATAAAATCTTTGTGAGATAATTCCAACATCTGATTTATCTCAGTGTTGATATCAACTCCTTTTCTCATTCAAGTTGTGATTTTCTGGTTCTTGTTATGAAAGGTTATTTTAAATTTCATTCTAGACTTTCCCCCCTATTTTGTCAGGAAACACTGAGTCTTATTTTAATCTTTTATTTTAGAGGATTGTCTCACTGCTTAGTTTTAGCATACAGGTCTTTGCTTATTTTTGTAGGTTGTAGGTATAATGGCATTTTGATTGTCAGAGCCTTTGTGGTATTATTTTCATCCACCTGGTTTATCTGGTGCTTTGGGAGTTCACATTGGTTTCTACTGGTGCTGCCTAAGGGACAAAATAGGGTTTCTTTAGGCCAGCTGCTGGATGTCTCTTAATGGGAATGGGGCATGGTGGGATTCCCCTACCAGTGCCTTCTGCCTTCTCTATTATCTCTGGCCAGGGGAGAAGACTTTCCTGCTGCAGGCACAAAAAGACTTCCTATATAGGGCTACTTGCTATAAACTGAGTTCTTTGTTTCCCTGCCTGGTATCTGTATCTCTAGGTGGGAGAAGAATCTTGAGTTCATGGGGACAAATAGGCTTCCTTGACCAGGCACCAGCCATAGCTTGGTACCCTCTGCCAGCTCCGTTGACCTGCTCAGTACCTCTCAGTGGAAAAAGGGAGTCTCAGGACAGGCAGGGAACGTTAATGTTTCCATTGGCTGCCTGTTTATGGCAAGGCTGTCAATCAATCACCATTACCAGTGGTGTCTGTTCACCTGATGTTGTCAGAAGGACTCACATTCTAAGCAGGAGAAAACAAAACCTACCTTGGCTTCCTTCCTTTGCTATTTTGCTGGTCAGAAAACAATAGGTCTGGGTAGCATTTGTGTGTTGGGTGGGTGGCAGGGGGAAGGCAAGCCTCCGTGCTGCTGTGCTTTTCCCCCAGCCATGAGGTCTAAAATCAGCTCACCTTCTTACCACTTTTCAGAGTTCTACTTTGGTTTTCTGCTGCATCATTTCCAGAATTTACAACTGTGATTTGTGGGGAGGCTAAAAAATCAGATTGGAAGTCAGAGTCTATCAAATAGATTTTTGGAAAAGCAAATAGATAAATGTAAACCAAAAATAAAATTCTAAGCCCCCCAACTAATTGAATGGACTCCCCTTGGCCAAAGGAATGCCAAAGAAACCTGAAAAAACTAATTCAGGCTATGACAGGAAAGGGGGGCAGTTGGACACGCCTGTTATAACCTCTCCATTTGGAGTTTAGGCACAACAGGCCAGCATTAACAATAAAATAGAGATCATAAGACTGATAAAGTAGACTGTTTGTAGCAATAAGATACCGAAGTCCGACCTGACTGGTATAGCATCACAGGACACATAGGAGATCCTGAAGCAATTCAAAGTATTTTATCCCCAAATATATTTTCTTTTACATATTTTGATATGGCTCTGCAAAGTCATCTCTTGTAAGGAAAACTGTAGAGTATCTTCTTCCCTTTCTAGGTCTTTTCCTAATCCAGGACAGACTTAACTGAGAATCTAACACCTTTTATGGTCCAAGAAAAGACATTTACCATTGATTTTCTCTGAAGCCTACTACCTGAGGCTTCATCTACATAACAAAACCCTGGCTTCCACAACTCCCTTATCTTAATTCAGGCATTTCTTTCTGCTCTGACTTCAACTTCTTAGGCAAAACTTCACTCTTTCAACCAATTGCCAATCAGAAAATCTTTGAATCCACCTATGACTTGTAAGCTCCTTCACCCTTTAGATGTCCCAGTGACCCACTTTCCAGGCTGAACCAATATATACCTTTCATGAATTGACTTATGTCTTTACATGTAACTTCTGTTACCACTGTAAACCCACCACCTCTGTAACTCAACCAGTTGAGGCACATGTTCTCCAGACCTCTTGAAGCTGGGCTATGGGCCATGGTCACTCTTATTTGACTCAGAATAAACCTTTTCAAATATTTTAGGCTTTGGCTTTTTTCACCAAGGTAAGAAACTTGTTATTTAAATGTAAAAGGTGAACTGGTATATCAAGAGCCACACTTGACCCTTTATGCAGGATTGAACAGAAATTTTACTTGGAAAATGTGTGTTATATCCTCAATTAACCAATGTTCTTGTACTTTATTAAAGTGTTTTTTTTTTTCTTTTTTCCCTTTATCAAGAATAGAGTCTGGGCTAAATTCCAATTTTAAATAAGTATACTGAACTTCCAAATTCTCTTGGCAGTGTAAATCACATGCAGTTTTCTTCATGTTCTGTCTTTAACTTGTGGAACAGAACATTTGCGTACATTGAGATAGATGGTGAGTTCTACCAAAAGCTGCCTGGACAGAAAACACCTTTCAATTAATTATTCCACCAGATTTACAAGAACACCAAAGCCTGCAAAGTTGTATATTTGAGTAAGCACTCTATTTTTCTCCCTGATTGAAACACGCTTATTTTCTTGCCGTAGTGTTTGGATCTATTTAACACTTTTGTAAACATAAAGAGGTTTGTTTGCTAAACAACAAACAAAAATTCATGTTGACATTCACAAATGCAACATTTGGGTGGTGTACTAATTCGAGCCAATGAATCTTTACTCACCTCAGTTCTCTAACCTCCCACATGACAGTTCTACTCCAGAAAGAGAGAGTCCCCACCTTTACTTCTCAATTGAAACTTTCCAGCTAAATACCTGTGGAGGCCAAAGCAACTCTATTTTGGATGCTAATCTGTCATGTTGCCTTCTGTTTAATGACATTTCTGGGAAGGCCTTTAAGATTTCCAGTTTATCTATTATTCCTTGTGTAAGGGCATGTACTTACCTAAATGTACTGCCCTTACATCAAAACAACCTTGATGTTGTTGTACTTCAATTCTCCTACATATCCCTTCTGAATCACATATTCTTTCTCTATGGCAAATAAACTCTGAGTCGGGTGGGTAATGGTGCAGGAATCCACTATCTTGTCTTGCTGCCATCTGAGACACAGACATGGTTTCTGTTTGTAAATCCTTATTAAATGTTCTCTTCTGAGAAACTGGATATGTCAGTCTCTTTCTTCAGCTTCTTAGCTTCCTTGGACTTGGAGGTAGGTTTGCATAGACCTGCTCCCTGTAGAACATCTCTTTGCTCTTATTCCCTTCTTAAAACCTGCTGGCCTACAGCTCTGACATGATAAATTATTTTGTATTTACATATCATCCTATTTTTGTTCACAATATGAAATCTTGAAGCATAGGACTGGAAAGTATTCAAAATTCCCAAGATAACCAACTCAGTCTTTTCAAGGAGGACAAATTTAAACCAAAGAATTTACATTATATTTCAGGACCTTCAGAGAAATAAATTTCATAATATCTTTTGTAGATATGTAAACCAAAAAGTATCTGAGACAGATCTCAATTAATTTAGAAGTTTATTTTGCCAAAGTTAAGGATGTACCCATGACACAGACTCAAGAGATCCTGAGAACACGTGCCCAAGGTTGGGCTACAGCTTGGTTTTATATGTTTTAGAAAGACACAAGACATCAATCAATACATATAAGATGTATGTTGGTTTAGTCTGAGAAGGTGGAAGGACTCAAAGAGGGACTGGTTGATGGGCTTCCAGGTCATGGGTGAATTTGAAGATTTCCTGATTGGCCATTGGTTGAAAGGGTTTCTCTAAAGACCTGGAATCAGTAGAAGGGAGTGTCTGGGTTAAGATAAGAAATTGTGGAGATGGAGGCTTTTATTATGTAGATGAAGTCTCCAGGTAGCGGGCTTCAGGGAGAATTGATTGCAAATGTTTCTTATCAGACTTAAAAAGGTGCCAGACTCTTAGTTAATTCTCTTCTGGAAAAAGACCTGGAAAGGGAAGAAGATTCACTACAGAATTTAGATTTTCCCCACAAGAGGCAGCTTTGCAGGGCCATTTCAAAATATACCAAAGAAATATATTTTGGGGTAAAATACTTTGATTTCTTTTAGGGCCTGCTATCTGTCATGTTGGCATCTTATTGCTACAAAGAGTTGACTTTGTAAGTCTTAACATCTCTGTTTTAATGTTAATGCTAGTCAGCTGTGCCTGAATTCCAATGGGAGGAGAATATAATGAGGTATGTCTGATCCCCATATCCCCTCATGACCTGAACTAGCTTTTCAGGTTAAGTTAAGAATGACCCTGGCTGAGAGGAGGGTTCCATTTAATTGATTGGGGAGCTTAGAATTTTATTTTTGGTTTATAGATACATTCTAATATCAAATAGCTTTAATTATTTCCAAGTGAATTTCTCCAAGTAATTAAGCCATTCTTCAAAAAAAAAATTTCACTAGATGAAAATCTTTTATTGTTGTACTTCCTTATGCTATTTGAAAACTAAATTTCCAGAACAGCAGTATTTTATGGTTACATATTCTTTAAGAACCTGATGAGGGTTGGGCACTGTGGCTCATACCTGTAATCCCAGCACTTTGAGAGATCAAGGTGTGCAGACCACTTGACCCCAACTTGAGACCAGCCTGGGCAACATAGTGAAATCCTGTCTCTACACAAAATACAAACATTAGCCAGGAGTGGTGGTGGAGCACACCTGTGGCCCCAGATACTTAGTAGGCCAACGTGAGAGGATCACTTGAGCCTGGGAGGTTGAGGCTGCAGTGAGCCGAGATCATACCACTGCACTCCAGCCTGGGTGACAGAGTGAGACCCTGTCCCCCAACCCCTCTTAAAAAAGAACCTGATGAAAGCTATGAATTTCTATAAAAGAAAATAAGTACAATTGTGGGAGGTTTAGGTGCTACCTGAATCTCATCCAAAGATCCCAGGTTAAGAACCTTTGCTCTGGAGTATGGATGTTTTTTCTCAGAACTCTTGAGGTGTCTCTTTTAAGTTTCAAAATCTCTAATGTGGACCATTTTCAGGAAGTGGAAACCAAAGTTGGATTTGAGTGTGTCAATTTTGATTCTTTGGTTTTATATAACAGAAACAAACTCTGGTTAAACTTAAGAAAAAAAAGCCATTGGAAATATATTTGAGTAAATCATAGGTTTGGGAAAAAAAAAAACACAACAAAAAACAAAAAACACCCAAACCAGAAAGGATAGAAGTGATACTAATTTAATGGACAGCCTCCTTGAGATGCTGCTTATGACTCAGCTTCGGCTCTTTTGTTGCTGTTATCGAACAAAACTGGGGTCCACTTGCCAGGTGCAGTAAAACCAGATATCCACATAGAGGTTTTTGCAGAGACAGAAACGAAGGCATTATTATTTACAGGTACAAAGCAAGTAAGACCAGGCAGCTAATGCTCAAATTTTGACTTCCTTGATGGCTTGGCAGTAACAGTTTTTAAAGGCAGGGGAAAATTTCAGGAAAGCAGAAACTATAGGCCAAACCATAAATCAATATATGGAGGTTACACATTGGTTTTGGCCTAAAAGGGTGGGATATGTTGAAGGGGGGCTTATAGGTGGTAGGTACATTCAAAAACTTTCTGACTTCTAATTGTGAAGGAAGAGAGAAGCTTTGTTTAAAAATTTGGGGTCAGCAGAAAAAAAAAAGTGTTAACTAGCCTGGGTGTGTGACTCCCTCCAAACTCCTCAGGAAGAAATTTAGAACAAATTACAGTGGTCAGAGCTTAGTGTTCAATTCCTCCTTATCTAGGGTTTATGTGCCAGTGAATCCGTTTATGGGGATCTCGGTGGGAGGCTGGTTTTCTGAAAGACAACTATGGGACATATGTTAAAATGCTATATTTAGTTTCTATAGGAAACCAAACACATCTGGACCCAAACTTCCTTGGCTATTGTTTGAGGCTATTATTGCTGTTTTGCTAATCAGGTTACTTATTTACTTCTCAGGGCTAACTAGGTGCCTGGAATTTCCCTTGAAGGAATTCAAGATTTTCCGTCTTTTCTATGCTGGGGTGGCCTGTAGGGCCCTAAAATGGGACTCTCTACTCCATCTCATTTCTGCTACTAAAAAAACAGTGGAAGGGATGTGAAGTAGAAGGCAACCAAAAAAAAGTCTGTTAAAATAGTCACAGGCTTCTGAGAAGGTGACAATGGAAACCACTGCTTTCTGTTATTTTAACTGTCTTTGATATTTTTATTGTGGCCACAATTATTCTCCTACCTCTTATTACTTTATATCTACATACAACAGACCTATATGAATTATGAGAAACCAGGCTGCAAACACTGGTCAGCCTCCAAGGACATATTTTCAAACAGCCACTTCCAATGTAACCAGTGAGTATAACAGCAAGAAGACATTCTCAGAAGGTGGACCTGGGGGCATGGAGACCAACTGAATGGAGAGGAGCTGTTACAATACGGAATCAGACCTGATCAAGGCCTGTCACCACCTCCTGATGAGGCCTTCACAATGTCTACCCTGAGGGATTTCAGAACTGCTAAGTGCCGTCTCCCATTCCTCCCCTTTCTGAATGAAAGTGTTGTTTATTCCCAGGTCCAACATTCTATATTAGATACGTGTGGGGGAAGCAGGTAAAAAACAAGGGACACCATTGTGGCCAAAGGAACAGGTAAAAAATATAAAGTGTCATAAATTTGGAACCATCTCACTTTAACGGCATGACTATGAGCTTCCAGATCAGTGACTCCCTGTTTGCCTTAGTGGTGTATAAATTAGAATCCTATTTGGAAAATAAAGCTGTTTCTACTAGAATATGATCCATGACTTCTGTAAACATTGTAAAATATCATTGTTGACAATCTGCCATCTGGCATTATCACAGTCTCTTAAGAATGTGAATCTTTTTGTAAAGTCCTGTAAACTGTGTTTTTCAATATCTTCACTTGAAGACCAATATGATGGATTTTTGATAATGATCATAAGTTTTGATATAGCCCCTTTTAGACAGCAGCCTAATAGTTAAAACAATGCAAATACTTAATATATTCAACCATATTCTATCAAAAGCCTATTCTGTGAGGTTTTGGGCTAGGTTCTATGCGTGATTAAAAATAACCTAACAATGGCTGGGAGCAGTGGCTCACACCTGTAATCCCAGCACTTTGGGAGGCCGAGGCAGGCGGATCATGAGGTCAGGAGATCGAGACCATCCTGGCTAACAGATGAAATCCCGTCTCTGCTAAAAAAATACAAAAAAATTAGCCGGGCCTGGTGGCAAGCTCCTGTAGTCCCAGCTACTTGGGAGGTTGAGGCAGGAGAATGGCATGAACCCAGCAGGTGGAGCTTGCAGTGAGCTGAGATCACACCACTGCACTCCAGCCTGGGCAACAGAGCAAGACTCCGTCTCAAAAACAAAAAAAAGAAACCTAACAATTATGATATAGTTGTTTCTTACACTCGAGATTATAGCTCATTAAAATGAAATCTTTTACAAAGTATTATAAAAATGGTCTTTAGTGTGACAATCTAGTTAAACAATAATGACACAATTGAAAAAATAAAACTTATCAGTCAATATTGTGGCACCAAGAGTACTGAAGACTAAAGGCTACTGAAATCTGCAAATGACTTATGAGCAGCTCATTAGGAATGTGAACTTCTTTCAAGAAAGTGTGTATCATATCTGCAAATTACAAATTCAGCCCTTTGAATTTTCCCATGTTTTCTTCATCTTTGTCTTTATGGAACCAGAAATAACTAATGAGGTGACTTAAATGTTGATAAATGAAAAAGGAAAAGTAAACATAAAGAATCTGTATGATTCATAAATTGGAAATTAGTCTTTACATTCTAGTTGACTATTCTAAGAACTATTTTCATGGTATCTAATATTAATAATTTAATGACTTTAGATGATATGCTAAAGAAATGATGGTTCTTAGAAAAGCTTTAATATTATTTTCCAAAGGTTGTTTTGCACACATCATATTATAAAACATGCAGACTTTGGGCACAGGCTACGCCAGGAGTAACTGAGCTAAAAATTAGCTAAATTCATAGAGAAATATACAAATATTTCAGAGTTCCTTTAGAATAAATTCATAGCAACCATTTTGTATTATTAAGGTAATGGTTATTGATCAGGTTTTATCTAATATGGTTTTGGACATTTGCACAAGTTTAAACTTTCTGGTGAAAATAGCATGTTTTTCCAAGCTCTTTAAAATGTTATAGTGATGTTAACAAAGTTAGCCCGTTGTCACCAATGAGCCATAGTCATGACTTAAATTATTTAGTCATTTAAATATTAACTGATTAGTCTTTGTTATGTGACATATTTATTTAGAGTGTTTCCATGAAGTCAAACAGCTTTTTATGAGGTTTCTTTGTATCTGTCTGAATATATCAATCACCTACAATGGAATGAAAGATGCCCAGATGCTATCTGAATTGATGATTCTGAAATCAACAGCTTGATTAACAGTGACAGTAAAGAGTATCATTATGTTATATACCAGATGGAAAAGGTATTTACAGATTAGATAAGTGAATTTTCATAATTAGCAAAATAAATTAAAAATGCTTGGTTTATTTGAATTTAGAATTGTTTAAAGTTATGAAAATATACATATGCATAGTAGGGTTGTTTGTTATATAAGTTCACTTCAAAAATAAATCATACATGTGGTAATGCTGCCATCTGTGCCTGACCAAAAAAGTAAAAAACAAGGATGTTTAGCTTAAAGTTCTAAGCACATTCAATAGGTAATGAAGCTATTCCATAAAAACACATCTGTGGTTGGAAACTGTTTTATGTAAATTAAAATGACTAAAATCTGTTTTATAATTGATTAGACAAAATACTTTATGACAATTTGAAACAAAGTTTCTTCATAATGTTACTTTCAGAGATATTCTATAAAGGTTACTGAAAGCTTTTATTAATCTGGTATAAATAAACCCACCCAGGGCAGGGCCCAAGCCAGGGGATGGAGGTGGCAAGACGCGTGTGAAACTGTCTTTGCAAAATTATAACAGTAAGAGAAGTCTAACACAACTGACTCCACCTTGCTTCTAACCTCAAGCTACCTGCCTTTTCTCATTCCTGTATGTAGGCCAAGCCAACTATGGGAGGAATTCAGCATAATTCCTGTCCCAAAACTACCCGCCTCCTTGTTTGGGGACTGAAAGTGACTATATCAGACTAATGAAAGACCACAGGTTACAATTATGTTGGGGGCTTGAACTGTGCTAAGATATAGGCATAGTTAAACAATAGCTGGTCATTGTTTCCTAGCTTGCTTTTTTATAATTGCTTACTGCTCAGGATTCTTGTACCCAATGCTCACAAATTTTATAACTTCACCAATTGCTCTTACAGGTAACTTGTGAAACTTGAGACTGGTCTTTCAAATATTTTTCAGACTTTGCATTCTGGTAGACCAACTGATGCCACCCAGACCCATGACCCATGCCAAAGAACTGATTCAACTGGTTCTGTGACTCCCACCCATGAAGTCACTCAGGACATGAAGACAGTTTTGACACTCCTGTGATTTCATCCCTGACCAAATCGCAGTTCCCATTCCTTAGCACCCCACACACACCAAATCATCCTAAAAAACCCTCACCTCCAAATTCATGGGGAGGCAGATTTGAGAGATATTGCCCATCCTCCCCACTCAGCGGCCCTGCAATTATTAAAATTATTTCTTTGCTGCAACATCTACTGTCTCAGTGTATTGGTGTTTTCCATGCAGTGGGCAAGAAGAACCTCACTGGGCCATAACATGGATTTTGTTTCTCTTTGCCAATTCTCTCTTTATTTCCCTGTTTTTCAAGGGGAAATGAATGCAAGAGTTTGTTTTGAATAAGACAGAAATACAAGATAAATGTCAGTTAACAGATCAGAGTTTACACACATATTTTTTTGTGTGCAAACAAACTAAATATAATGAGAGGCTCTAGGACTAGAATTCAATGTTTTGTTTGAAAACTTGATGTCTAGAAGCCAGTTAAAAGTTTATTAAAGCTATCAGCCGTTTTTAGATTCATTTAAATGAAGACAGTTACATTTCCAAAAACACTTTAGTGGGCACTTTGATTGTGGAAAAGGGGAAGCTACAATCTATTTTTTAGTGGAGTTGTTGGATGCGATGAGGAGTTAAATTACTCCATATAATGGTGCTTCATTATCACCAGAATTGTGCCTCAGGGATTATTTCTATCATCTCAAAGGCAAGCCTATGTCTTCAGAACAAGAACACTGTTTTCTCTGCCCTTATACCAGCCCAGAGAAGGGACAGCTTGATCTTGAAGTACTTGAAGGGCTGAAAAGAGGTAGGTTGTAGGAGGCTAAAGAGAAAGAAACTGAATGGGGGGCCAGATATTTTGCCAAAGACAATGGCCTATGGATTGTAGGAACTGTACATGCTTTATAGACATACCCTGGTTTACTCAATATGATTGCACATGTGTATATTGGCAATGTATTCCAATAGTCATTTATTAACTGTGATCCATAGACATTACTATCTCAGCTTCTCAGCACTCTACTATTCTTCTACATGGGAATAATGTTCTCCATGGAGACAGTGCCTCTTCTAGGGAATATTTAGGAAATACATGGGGACATTTGTGGTTGTCCCAATAATAAGAGAGAACTGCTATTTAGTAGTTGAAGACCAAGACTATTAGACATCCTGTCATTTTGAATTTTAATAATTGCAGGGCCGCTGAGTGGGGAGGATGGGCAATATCTCTCAAATCTGCCTCCCCATGAATTTGGAGGTTAGGGTTTTTAAGGATGATTTGGTGTTTGGGGGGCTAAGGAATGGGAACTGCTGATTGATTTGGTCAGGGATGAAATCACAGGGGTGTTAAAACTGTCTTCAAAATGCATTTTGAGTCACATGGAACAGAGAATTGTTTTACCTTCTATTTGATTTGAATGGCCCACCATTCGTATAGTTGAAAAGCAAGTTAGTAATCAAAGAATCTAATTCTGTGAGACATATAAAGTCAAAGTATTTTTTTTGTACAATTTTAATGTTCATTGAATATTTCAGAAATAAAATCATTGCATTGTTGGGGGTCAGAAAATGATACCCCATAATATGGCACCTTAACATACTGAACTGAAGAAGCCACAAGATCTCTCTGAGCTTCATTCTCCCACTACGAAGTACTCCCCAACCTGCACTCATCTCTCAATCCTGTGTCTCTAATTAAATGTTAGTTAATTAAATATTAAGTTTTTAATTAGAATATTATTCCATTAACATTTAAATTTAATCTTATGTTTAACATATAGATTGATGTGTTTTGTCAGTTAACTACTTTTTGATGACTTTACAGCTTCATAATTGTCTCCTCAACTACTACAATCTGCTATTAAACTTAATTATTGAGTTATTAAATCCAGTAATACTTTGTTTTAACTTTTCCATTGATCATTTTATCATGTAAACTTTTTATTGAAAGATACATAAACACAGATATGTAAATAAATTTTAAGTTTACTGATCCATAAATATTTACAAAGAAGGCCAGGCGCTCACACCTGTAATCCCAGCACTTTGGGAGGCCGAGGTGGGCAGATCACTTGAGGTCAGGAGTTCAAGACCAGCCTGGCCAACATGGCGAAACCTTGTCTCTACTAAAAATACAAAAATTAGCTGGGTGTGGTGGTGCGCACCTGTGATTTCAGCTACTCGGGAGTCTGAGGCATGAGAATCACTTGAACCTGGGAGATGGAGGTTGCAGTGACCCGAGATCATGCCATTGCACTCCAGCCCATGAGACAGAGTGAAACTTCATCTCAAAAAATTAAAAAAAAAAAATTTTTTTTTTTTTTTACAAAGTAAACTACCTGTGTTACAGTCATTCATATCAGTATTGAGATTATTATCAGCATCTAGAATGGCCTGTAATGACAATTCCTGATACCATTTACTCCTTAAATTTAACCATTATTATGACTTTTAACACCACAGATCAGCTTTCCTAGGTGTTGAAATCTAAATGCATAAAATATTTATTAAAATCATCCATGGTATGGAGAATAGCAGAGATTCCTTTATTCTGATTATTGCATAGTATTTAGTCATATAAAAACACCATGATTTGTTGATGTGCTCATTGTACAATGAATGGAAATTTGAGTTTTCCCCAATTTTGGACTATTATAAATTGTGCTGCCATGAATATTCTTGTACATGTCTCTGCTGGAGCTGCAAGTCATTTTGTGATGATGAAGGAAAGGCAATATTACCACAGAGATATTTGCTCTAGATTTTGAGATGCTAACTTTTTATTAAGTTAGATAAATATCCTTCTATTTAATTGAGCAAAAGTAAGTGACTTTTTTTTTGCCCAGGCTGGAGTGCAATGGCATGATCTCAGCTCACCACAACCTCTGCTTCCCGGGTTCAAGCAATTCTCCTGCCTCAGCCTCCTGAGTAGCTGGGATTACAGGCATGCGCCACACACGCCCAGCTAATTTTGTATTTTTAGTAGAGACGGGGTTTCTTCATGTTGGTCAGGCTGGTCTCCAACTCCCAACCACCCACCTTGGCCTCCCAAAGTGCTGGGATTACAGGCATGAGACACCTGGCTGTAACTGACCTTTTTATTACTTTTAGCTTAATATATTTTTAAATGATAGCACAGTTGAAAGGATAAAGATTATTCAAAAACAAAAAAATAAGAAAAAGTATTGTTGAATTCTGCAACATACCTCTCAGAACTAGACAAATGAAGTGGATTAAAACTAAAAAAAAGAGAGTAAATAATGAATATATTTGACTAAAATAAACTTGAAAAACATTGTATATAATTTTCCATAAAACTACATACACGGTTAAATTTTGGAAATGAGGCTTTTCTAAAATTAAAATTTGCATTCTTTTCAAGCAATTCTTATTGCATATATATATGCAAAGTTTACGATCATCCTACACATTTATGTCATTTAAACCTCTACTTAGTTACATAGAAAGTCTTAATAAATTTTTTAGAAGTAAAAATTCTAGGGACCGTGTAGTCTGATTATAAGCAAATAAAATTATAAATAAGTAACACACTTCTAGTGGCAGGATAATGATGTGTCATATTTTTGCTTTTCCCCAAAACTACTCCTGAAAACTATAAATACAATTGTGATGGCAAAGCAAGTACACACACACCCCCCACAAAAAACAAAACTCAGATAAATTGCTAGCAAAATTAGATGACAAGAAATTCCCATAAACAAGAGTGGTATTGAGAGTGGCAGGAGGCAGCCAAATGCCTAGGCAGATAGGGGCGGGCCCCTGGTGAAACCCCACCTCGAAGCCAAAGACAGTTTAAAGCCTGAAAGCCAAGCTACAGGTTAAATCCTCCATGCTTTCCTCTGATTGATCCCCACCCTTCACCTATTTTACATATACCTACCCTTTCCTAATTGGTTTTCTACACTGTCATGCCCACATTTGAGTGATGTCTTCGCTTTAATCTTTTTTGCATACTCACAAACCAATCAGCACACACTCTCCATTCTGAGTCCATAAGAGGCCCCAGAGCCAGCAACAGGGGAGGGATTTTCCTGCCCTCAGATAGGGGAACCACCCCTATATCCCCTCTCCGCTAAAACCTGTTTCATCGTTCAATAAAATTCTTTTCCACCCTCCTCACACTTCAATGTACAGTGCATCTTCATTCTTCTTGGGCGCAGTAGAAGATCTTGGGAACCACAGAACACAAGTACAAGCTATAACACAGGTGAGCTGGGGCACAGTATCATCCCCGAGAGCGGCCCAGGTAGGGCATCACTGGCTGGGGGTCCCTGGCTTGCAAAGCGACCGAGAAAAAGAAAATCCTGCCTCTGTAGTTGTGGCCCAAATAAAGACAATCAGCAGGATTATCTGAGCATTTAGACCTGTATGGTTGGCACAGGTGAAAACACAAAAACCACCAACGGACCCTAATATCCATGAAATTCCACTTGAAACTCTAAGAAATATCCAGAAGAACTTGCCTTAAAGTAGGAGAACACCGTTTGAAGAAGTAAGCAAACTGAGAAAAATGCTGGCGAAAGGGGAGAAAGAATGCTGAGACCAAAGGGTCACGGATTCAGATTACCGCAAGAGAAAAAATATCTAAAGATAGAACTGTCTTGAAAACCAAGGTCCACAGAAATCTAGGAAACAGAGGCTTAGAGGCAAAAAACTCAAAATCTGTCATAAAGCAGAATTTTCTCTGACAGACAGAGAAATGGGAAATCAGGCCATATTTTGATGATTACAACTCTAAAGGAAAATAAAAATCTCAGATCCCCCAAACTCATTACGCCAAAGGGAAAGATAAGCCTGGAGAGCCTGGAGGCTGAGTCATGCAACACTGCCATTCTTTTCCCAAATGAATAGCTTGTTCTTCACAACCTTGTGTCAAAGCATTGTACATTTGTCAGACCCCACAGAAAGGCAAAAAGCTTCACTGTCCAAGCTGTTCCTAGGTGAGTTCTTTGCTGGCCTGGAAACCTTTCAAAAATGTGTACGTTCCCATAAAACAAGGGCATGTCAATTACAACTTTAGATCTGCAATCCAAGTCTAGTACCGAAAACTAAAGTCTGTTAGAATTCACACTGACAATGTCGATAACAAGTTTGTCTTCCCAGGTGCAGAACATACAAGAAGGGATCAATCATTCCTCCACCTAACCTGAGATGTCTGCATGGTTGATTCTTCCTTTACTCCCTTGTTCTTGGAATGTTCACCTTATCTGATATAAAATGTGCATTTCATGGGCACTGATTAAAATCTCACAAAAATGTAACCATTTGCCTCACCACGTACCTGCCTCTTCCTACATGCCTTCCCCCCTTTAAAGAAATGTATAAACATTGAACTTCCTGAAAACCCCTTCAGAGAACACAAGCACAGATGTTTCTGTGACTCGTGTTTTTTTGTTTTTTTTTTTTTTTGGGCACCCCCTCAAGCTTAACAAATCTCGAGACATTGATGAAACTCTTGCCTCAGTCTCTCATTGTGGGGCATCCTCCATCCATAAAGCTGGGAGAGTTCCTTTAGATTCTTTGTCATTTATATGAACCTGCTTCTAATAGTTTATAAAACTCAATCTCTTAAATAATGGGGGAAAATCTGTTATTAAAGATGAGATAAAATGAAACAAATAATAGAAAATGAAAACATCCCAGAGAAGTATGCTTTGATCAGAAGAAAAATGTAACATAATGATTCAAAATAAGCTACAAAAAAACTATCAGAGCTTTGGAAAAATAGCAAAAATCAGAAATAGAAAAAGCTTAAAGAGTAATAGTTTAAAAAACACAGCAGGCTGGGCACGGTGGCTCACATCTGTAATCCCAGCACTTTGGGAGGCCAAGGCAGGCGGATCATGAGGTCAGGAGTTCGAGATCAGCCTGACCAACATGGTGAAACCCTGTCTCTAAAAAAAAAAAAAAAAAAAAAAATTAGCCAGGCGTGGTGGCACACACCTGTAATCCCAGCTACTCAGGAGGCTGAGGCAGGAAAATCACTTGAACCTGGGAGGTGGAGGTTGCAGTGAGCTGAGATCACACCATTGCACTCCAGCCTGGGAGACAGAGGGAGACCCCATCTCAAAAAAAAAAAAAAAAAAAAAAAAAGGCACAGCAAGAAAAGTAAAAGAAAGCAAGTGAAAACTATCAAACAAATAATAGCAAAAAATATCTGAAAGAAAGTAATTGATCAAAAATACATCATTTAAATTATAATGACAAATTGTTTGCAGATGAATTTTTATCTAACTTAAAGAATATATAATATTAATGTTAGTACTTGAATATCCTGAATATATATATACACACACTACCTGAATATATATATACACACAGACACATATATGTATATATAAAATTCATAAATTTATGAATAAATTATGGTATATTTGTACCATGGAATATTTCATAACAATTAAAAAGAATTAACAGTGACTTCAAGAGATTCTGTGTTGTTTGGTGAGAAAAAGCAAGACACATTGTATTATGCTTTAAAGAATGCCATTTTGTAAAACAAACCAGGATATAATATAAAATATTGAGGTGTGAGCATATGAGATGAATGAAAAATATGGAAACATTCAAAATAGGTTGTTTCTATGTATGTACTTTGGGAGCTGGGGTCATAAGGTTGTGAAGCTAAGAGTAGGCAAAGAATAATGTAAAAATGCACATTTGCATTTATTAAGTAACATTACATATACAACTGGGGAGGTGTATAAAATATTAACTTTTTCATGTAAACTTAAAAAATTTTTTGAAAAATAAACATTGTATATTTTCAAAGTATACCACATGATGGTTTGATATATGTATACACTGAATAATGATTAATATATTCAATTTAATTACTACTATTGATTCTGATGGCACCATCCGTTCTGTGCCTGAGATACACAATTTGTCAGCTTATAACTAAATGTTTGTACTCTTTGACCAACATCTCCCCATTTCTCTCACCCCTAAGTCTCTGGTAACCACTGTCCTACACTTTGCTTCTATGAGTTCAACTTTCACAATTCCACATGTGAGTGAGATTATGCATTATTTTTCTTTCAGTTTCTGGCATATTTCACTTAGCATAATGCCCTACAGGTTCATCTATGTTGTTGCAAATGGCAGGATTTCCTTCTATTTTATGGTTCAATTATATTCCATTATATATATATATACCACATTTTCATTATTCATTCATCAATTGATGGACACTTAGGCTGTTTCCATATCACTATTGTAAATAATGCTGCCATGAACAGAGGGTTGCAGACCTCTCATAGACATACTGATTTCGTTTCCTTTAATATATACCCAGGAGTGGGATTGCTAGATCATATGGTAGCTCTAGTTTTAATTTTTTGAGAAACTTCCATACTGTTTTCTGTAATGGCTATTGCAATTTACATTCTCACCACAGTGTGTACAGGGTTCCCTTTCTCCACACCCTCCCCAACACTTATCTCTTGTCTTTATAAAAGCCATCTTAACAGGTGTGAGGTGATACCTCATTGTTGTTTTGATTTGCATTTCTCTAATGGTTAATGATGCTGAGTACCTTTGCATATACCTGTTGGTCATTCCTGTGTCTTCTTTGGATTGGTGTTTATTCAAGTCCTTTGCCCATTTTAAAACCAGGTTATTTGCTTTTTTTGCTATTGAGTTACATGAGTTTAATATATTTTAAATATTAGCCCCTTATCAGATATACAGTTTACAAGTATTTTCTCCCATTCTATAGATTGTCTTTTCATTTTGTTGTTTCCTTTGTCGCGCAGTAGCTTTTTATTTTTATGTAGTCCTACTTGTTTATGTTTGCTTTTGTTCCCTGTGCTTTTGGTGTCATCTCCAAAAGAAATTGCCAAGACCAATGTCAAGGAGATTTTTTTGTAGGCAATCTTCTAAGAGTTTTATGAGTTCCAATGTTACATTTAAATCTTTAATCTATTTAATTTTTTTATACAGCATAGGGCAATGTTCCTATTTTATTCTTTTGCATGTGGATATTTAGTTTTTCCAACATCATTTTTGAAACGATTTTCTTTCATCATGTGTATTTTTGGCATCCTTGTCCAAAATTAGTCGACCATATATGGGAGTATTAAATATTTTTAAGCTAGGCATGGTGGTTTATGCCTGTAATTCCAGCATTTTGGGAAGCAAGCTGACATGGATGGATCTCTTGAACTCAGGAGTTTGAGAACAACCTGGGAAACATGGCGAAACCCTGTCTCTACAGAAATTGGCCGGGTGCCATGGCTCCAGCCTGTAATCCCAGCATTTTAGGAGGCCGAGGTGGGTGGATCACCTGAGGTCAGGCGTTCAATACCAGCCTGGTCGACCTAGTGAAACCCCCGTCTCTACTAAAAATACAAAATTAGCCAGGCGTGGTAGCCACACCCCTAATCCCAGCTACTCAGGAGTCTGAGGCAAGAGAATCACTTGAACTCAGGAGGTGGAGGTTGCAGTGAGCTGAGATTGCGCCATTGCACTCCCGCCTAGGCAACAAGTGTTAGGAAAAAGCTGAGTGTTGGGACAAAAACTGAGGCAGGGCTTGCATGTCTGACATAATGTCCTCTGGAATGTGTCTAGACTTGCTGGCTCCTTGCTTCTAGCCCTCCTAGGCTCCTATTCCCATTATCTCAAGTAGCAGAACATGTTCCACATAAATGCTAAACCGTCACAGCTGTAGATGATGCGCCTGCCCTTTTGACCTCCACATTCTCACCACCTGTTTCTTTGTTGATTACCAATAAATAGCGTGGGCTCCCACAGCTCGAGGCCTTCGCGGCCTCCACGATCGCAATGGCCACTTGGTCCCAGCTTTCTCTCTCAAACTGTCTTTTTCTCAATCCTTTGACTCCGCTGGACTTTGTCACCCCCACGACCTGGTGTTGGGTATGATCACCCCAATAACAAAAGTGAAACTCCATCTCCAAAGAAAAAAATTAGGAGGATGGCTTGAGTCCAGGAGGTGGAGGTTGCAGTGAGCTGAGATTATACCACTGCACTGCAGTTGGGCAACAGAGTGAGACTCAGTCTTAAAAAAAAAAAAAAAAAAAAAAAAGGCATAATTCTGAAGCATAGTTATTAGTATTTTTAAACCTTTAAAGTTTAAGACTAAATTTCTTCTAAGAACAAAAGCCACTTTTCTCATTGCTGAAATTTTCAAAGATAATCATGTTGCTTAATTTATGAACTTGTTTCACTTCTAATTAAAAATGCAGGCAGTTTAGAGTGTCAAACATATTTTATTAAATATTTGGAAGCTATTTTATTGAAATTAGAGCATCTTAAACTCAAATGGCTTCAAATACTAGCTTTCTGAGGAAAACTAACAAGTTAGCATTAAAATATTTCTAAGAAAGAGAAATTTCTATTTTCATTTGGCCTAATATCTTAACAGCAGGCAGTTAAAGATCATTACAAATAGATTTTTTCTCTCCAGAAGCAGGGTAGTATTGGACATCCCCTGGTTACTTTTTCTTTCCTTTCTTTTTTTTCTGTGTGTCAGGAGCTGGGGTCATCTTTTCTGTCTCCAGCTTCATGGCTGCTTCCTGAGCAGCCAGAGTTTCCAGCTTTAGGTGCTCAGCTTCCAGCAATTTGTTTCTGTACTCTTCCCGGATGTCGAAAATTTTCTGTCGGGCTTCATCTAAGGAGTCCTGTTCCAAAGCAAAACCCCAAACAAATAAGTTCCACTGGTAAAGGCTTATGTTCCCAGAAAGAAAAAAATGAAATTCCTTTACCCTGTCCTTACGCCCACACATTCATAGGCAAAATGATTGAAGATGAAAATTAGTGTATGGTCTCAACAGCTTATCAGTACACAAAACATAGCGACAAAATCATGAGATTTTAACACAGTATGGCAAAATAAAAACATTTGTAGAAAAAATAGTCAAAACATACTTTTTTTTCCCCAAAGGTATTCTGTTTAAATGATTTCAAATACAATTTATGAGTTATTAATAAGCCCAATGTCTCTTGCAAAGTAACTGTGCTCAAGAAATTACTAGTTCCCCACATGTATGCTATCCTTGACAAAATATATCTGAGCTGTACTTGATGATGAAGCTCCAAATAGTATGGCCAAATCTGTTGGTTACTTTGCTCTTGTCAGCTTGACTTTCATTCTCACCACTTTAGCAAAACTACTCATCCAGGATACCAAGGCCTTATATGTAGCTATAAATCCTGGATCATTTGTTGTTCTTATTCTTGCTTAACTGCACTCTCTCCTCCTGGATCAACTGATTTCACTTAGCTCTTAGATTGTCTTCTGTCTCACCAGCTGCTCCTATTCAGTCACCTTTGCTGATTTCTCCTTTTCTCCTTCGTCTCTTAAAAGGGAAGTGGCCAAATTAATTGCTTACTGTTTCAAAGATAATATGATCAAAGACTAAGGATTAAAGCACAGATGCTAGTCTGAAAAGACTCTTCTAGAGATGACTGCTTTGTCTTCATCCTTGAATTTATCAAGAAATGTTCCATGTTTTTTGCAACCAGCTTAATTTTATTGAGATGTTGGAAAAGCTGGATGTCAGAATCGGACTTCCTGAAGTTTTTACAAAAGATAGTACTGTAGCTACCATAATAAAACTGGATTGACTAAACCAATTGCACAAGTAGAAGATGATAGTAGTGACATATTAGAAAGAGAGCAAGAGAATGAGCAGGAGAGAGAGATTTTAAGGAGAGTTTGTAAATATGTTTAATATACATCAGTAATCCCTTGAGGAATGAGTATAAAACATTCATTCTCCTATCTGATAAAAATGTTCACGTTTCTTTTAAAATGGCTTCAATCAAAACTCAGGCTCTCTCTGTGCCTCACACATAAATGGGAGTGAACTCAAAGCTGTCTGAGTTAGGGAGGAAATGGGGATAAAATACTATCTGCTGCATTTACTTGGTTATTACACACAAAAACCACAAACAGCAATCCTGAAATTCCCTTTTGTTTTGTAATCTAATCTAATCGATTTCCCACATGGTAAATTGAATTTACACAATTTTAATATCCATTCATTGATTTACTGATTCATTAATTAAACAAACTTTTGCGAAACAGACATTCCTCTGAAGGTCTGGGGACACAACAGTGAATCTAAACAGAATATCTGTCCACATATAGTCTATATTCTAGCAGAGAACAATCAAAAATGAAAGCATAGTATTTATAATATATCCACATTTTCATACACCAATAAATACACATACAAAGTGACCGAGAAAAAAAATTTCTGCATCTGTAGTTGTGGCCCAAATACAGACAACCAGCAGGATTATCTCAGCATTTAGATCTGTATGGTTGGCACAGGTGAGAACACAATAAACCACCAACGGACCCTAATATCCATGAAATTCCACTTGAAACTCTAAGACATATCCAGAAGAACATGCCTTAAAGTAAGAGAACACTCTGAAGAAGTAAGCAAACTGAGAAATGCTGGAGAAAGGGGAGAAAGAATGTTGAGACCAAAGGGTCACGGATTCAGATTACCGCAAGAGAAAAAATATCTAAAGATAGAACTGTCTTGAAAAGCAAGGTCCACAGAAATCTAGTAAACAGGGGCTTAGAGGCAAAAAACTCAATCTGTCATAAAGCAGGATTTTCTGCGAGACAGGTCATTGGGAAATCAGGCCATATTTTGATGATTACAACTCTAAAGGAAAATAAAAATCTCAGATCCCCCAAACTCATTACGCCAAAGGGAAAGATAAGCCTGGAGAGCCTGGAGGCTGAGTCATGCAACACGGCCATTCTTTTCCCAAATGAATAGCTGTTCTTCACAACCTTGTGTCAAAGCATTGCACATTTGTCCGACCCCATAGAAAGGCAAAAAGCTTCACTGTCCAAGTTGTTCCCAGTTAAGTTCTTTGCTGGCCTGGAAACCTTTCAAAAATGTGTATGTTCCCATAAAACAAGGGCATGTCATTGAAAACTTTAGATCTGCAATCCAAATCTAGCACCTAAAACTAAAGTCTGTTAGATTTCACGCTGACAATGTCGATAACAAGTTTGTCTTCCCAGGTGCAGAACATACAAGAAGGGATCAATCATTCCTCCACCTAACCTGAGATGTCTGCATGGTTGATTCTTCCTTTACTCCCTTGTTCTTGGAATGTTCACCTTATCTGATATAAAATGTGCATTTCATGGGCACTGATTAAAATCTCACAGAAATGTGTAACCATTTGCCTCACCACCTACCTGCCTTTTCCTACATGCCTTCCCCCCTTTAAAGAAATGTATAAACATTGAACTTCCTGAAAACCCCTTCAGAGAACACAAGCACAGATGTTTCTGTGACTCGTGTTTTATGTATTTTTTTTTGGGCACCCCCTCAAGCTTAACAAATCTCGAGACATTGATGAAACTCTTGCCTCAGTCTCTCATTGTGGGTCGTCCTCCATCCATAAAGCTGGGAGAGTTCCTTTAGATTCTTTGTCATTTATATGAACCTGCTTCTAATAGTTTATAAAACTCAATCTCTTAAATAATGGGGAAAAATCTGTTATTAAAGATAATGAGATAAAATGAAACAAATAATACTTAGACAGAAAATGAAAACATCCCAGAGAAGTATGCTTTGATCAGAAGAAAAATGTAACATAATGATTCAAAATAAGCTACAAAGAAACTATCAGAGCTTTGGAAAAATAGCAAAAATCAGAAATAGAAAAAGCTTAAAGAGTAATAGTTTAAAAAACACAGCAGGCTGGGCACGGTGGCTCACACCTGTAATCCCAGCACTTTGGGAGGCCAAGGCAGGCGGATCATGAGGTCAGGAGTTCGAGATCAGCCTGACCAACATGGTGAAGCCCCGTCTCTACTAAAAATAGAAAAAAAAATTAGCCAGGCGTGGTGGCACACACCTGTAATCCCAGCTACTCAGGAGGCTGAGGCAGGAAAATCACTTGAACCTGGGAGGTGGAGGTTGCAGTGAGCTGAGGTCACACCATTGCACTCCAGCCTGGGAGACAGAGGGAGAGTCCATCTCAAAAACAAAACAAAACAAAAAAACACAGCAAGAAAAGTAAAGAAGAAGAAAGCAAGTGAAAACTATCAAACAATTAATAGCAAAAAATATCTGAAAGTAATTGATCAAAAATACATCACTTAAATTGTAATGACAAATTGTTTGCAATGATTTTTATCTAACTTGAGAATATATAATAATGTTACTACTTGAATATCCTGAATATATTTACACACACTACCTGAATATCCTGAATATATATATATATAAACACACAAAGACACACATACATGTATATATAAAATTCATAAATTTATATATGAATAAATTATGGTATATTTGTACCATGGAATGTTACACAGCAATTAAAAAGAATAAATTACCAGTGACTTGAAGAGATTCTGTGTTGTTTGGTGAGAAAAAGCAAGACACATTGTATTATGCTTTAAAAAATGCCATTTTGTAAAACAAACCAGTATATAAAATATTGGTGTGAGCATATGAGATGAATGAAAAATATGGAAACATTCAAAATAGGTTGTTTCTATGTGTGTATTTTGGGAGCTGGGGTCATAAGGTTGTGAAGCTAAGAGTAGGCAAAGGATAATGTGAAAATGCACATTTGCATTTATTAAATTAAGTAACATTACATATACAAGTGGGCAGATGTATAAAATATTAAATTAATTTTTCATGTAAACTTTAAAAAATTTTTTGGAAAATAAACTGTATATGTTCGAAGTATACCACAGGATGGTTTGATATATGTGTACACTGAATGATTAATATAATCAATTTAATTACTACTATTGATTCTGATGGCACCATCCATTCTGTACCTGAAATACACAGAATTTGTCAGCTTATAACTACATGTTTGTACTCTGACCAACATCTCCCCATTTCTCTCACCCCTAAGTCTCTGGTAACCACTGTCCTACACTTTGCTTCTATGAGTTCAACTTTCACAATTCCACATGTGAGTGAGATTATGCATTATTTTTCTTTCAGTTTCTGGCATATTTCACTTAGCATAATGCCCTACATGTTCATCTGTGTTGTTGCAAATGGCAGGATTTCCTTCTATTTTATGGTTCAATTATATTCCATTATATATATATATACCACATTTTCTTTATTCATTCATCCATTGATGGACACTTAGGCTGTTTCCATATCACTATTGTAAATAATGCTGCCATGAACAGAGGGTTGCAGACCTCTCATAGACATACTGATTTCATTTCCTTTAATATATACCCAGGAATGGGATTGCTGGATCATATGGTAGCTCTAGTTTTAATTTTTTGAGAAACTTTCATACTGTTTTCTGTAACGGCTATTGCAATTTACATTCTCACCACAGTGTGTACAGGGTTCCCTTTCTCCACACCCTCCCCAACACTTATCTCTTGTCTTTATGATAAAAGCCATCTTAACAGGTGTGAGGTGAGATGTCATTGTTTTGATTTGCATTTCTCTAATGATTAATGATGCTGAGTACCTTTGCATATACCTGTTGGTCATTCCTGTGTCGTCTTTGGATAGGTGTTTATTCAAGTCCTTTGCCCATTTTTAAAACCAGGTTATTTGCTTTTTTTGCTATTGAGTTATATGAGTTTTTAAATATATTTTAAATATTAGCCCCTTGCCAGATATACAGTTTACAAGTATTTTCTCCCATTCTATAGATTGTCTTTTCATTTTGTTGTTTTCTTTGCTGTGCAGCAGCTTTTTATTTTTATGTAGTCCTACTTGTTTATGTTTGCTTTTGTTGCCTGTGCTTCTGGTGTCATCTCCAAAAGAAATTGCCAAGACCAATGTCAAGGAGATTTTTTCTGTATGCAATCTTCTAAGCATTTTATGAGTTCCAATGTTACATTTAAATCTTTAATCTATTTAATTTTTTTGTATAGCATAGGGCAATGTTCCTATTTTATTCTTTTGCATGTGGATATTTAGTTTTCCCAACATCATTTTTGAAACGATTTTCTTTCATCATGTGTATTTTTGGCATCCTTGTCAAAAATTAGTTGATCATTTATGGGAGTATTAAATATTTTTAAGCTGGATGTGGTGGTTTATGCCTGTAATTCCAGCACTTTGGGAAGCAAGCTGACATGGGTGGATCTCTTGAACTCAGGAGTTTGAGAACAGCCTGGGAAACATGGTGAAACCCCGTCTCTACAAAAAAATACAGAAATTGGCCGGGTGCCATGGCTCCAGCCTGTAATCCCAGCATTTTAGGAGGCCGAGGGGGGTGGATCACCTGAGGTCAAGAGTTCAAGACCAGCCTGGTCGACCTGGTGAAACCCCCGTCTCTACTAAAAATACAAAATTAGCCGGGCGTGGTGGCTGCACCACTAATCCCAGCTATTCAGGAGTCTGAGGCAAGAGAATCACTTGAACTCAGGAGGCGGAGGTTTGCATTGAGCCGAGATTGCGCCATTGCACTCTAGCCTAGGCAACAAGTGTTAGGAAAAAGCTGAGTGTTGGGACAAAAACTGAGGCAGGGCTTGCATGTCTGACATAATGTCCTCTGGAATGTGTCTAGACTTGCTGGCCTCTTGCTTCTAGCCCTCCTAGGCTCCTATTCCCATTATCTCAAGTAGCAGAACATGTTCCACATAAATGCTAAACCGTCACAGCTGTAGATATGCGCCTGCCCTTTTGACCTCCACATTCTCACCACCTGTTTCTTTGTTGATTACCAATAAATAGCGTGGGCTCCCACAGCTCGAGGCCTTCGCGGCCTCCACGATCGCAATGGCCACTTGGTCCCAGCTTTCTCTCTCAAACTGTCTTTTTCTCAATCCTTTGACTCCGCTGGACTTTGTCACCCCCACGACCTGGTGTTGGGTATGATCACCCCAACAAGAGTGAAACTCCATCTCAAAAAAAAAATTAGGAGGATGGCTTGAGTCCAGGAGGTAGAGGTTGCAGTGAGCTGAGATTGTGCCACTGCATCCCAGCCTGGACAGGAGAGCCAGACCATGTCTCAATAAATAAATATTTTAAATAACAAAGATTAACAGTAGAAAGGATAAGTAAAATCACCTGCCAAAGTGAAACCGCTTTCACTGGTTAAAAAATACTATGAGAGTTTTGAGATAGTCATGAATTAGAAGTGTGCTTTTGGAGAAAGTCAATTTCCTGCTATGTGCCTCAGTTAAATCCACTCATTGCATTGTTCTAAGACTAGGGTATAACAACTTCATCTGTGTCTTAGAGAAAACACAACACTGGTGAGCATGAAAATGGATGTTTGAGATCACACGCTCTCTACACCCAGGTGACCATGATGGGTTGCTAGGATCTAGAGTCCTAACACTTTGGGTGGGCTAAGCCAGGGTAGTTCTTGGTCTATGAAGGAGGTTTCTTGAAGTTCAGTTTTTAAAAATGGCATAATTTGGCCCAAAGTGGTGGCTCACGCCTGTATTCCCAGCACTTTGGGAGGCCGATGCGCGCAGATCACTTGAGGTTAGGAGTTCGCGACCAGCCTGGCCAACATGGTGAAACCCCGTCTCTACTAAAAATACAAAAGTTAGCAGGGTGTGGTGGCAGGTGCCTGTAATCAGAGCTACTCAGCAAGCTGAGGCAGGAGAATCACTTGAACCTGGGAGGCAGAGGTTGCAGAGAGCCGAGATTACACCAGTGCACTCCAGCCTGGGCAACAGAGTGAGACTCAGTCTCCAGAAAAAAAAAAAAAAAAAAAAAACTGAAGCATAGTTATTAGTATTTTTAAACTTTTAAAGTTTAAGACTAAATTTCTTCTAAGAACAAAAGCCACTTTTCTCATCGCTGAAATTTTCAAAGATAATCCTGTTGCTTTATGAACTTGTTTCACTTCTAATTAAAAATGCAGGCAGTTTAGAGTGTCAAACATATATTTTATTACATTTTAAATATTTGGAAGCTATTTTATTGAAATTAGAGCATCTTAAACTCGAATGGCTTCAAATACTAGCTTTCTGAGGAAAACTAACAAGTTAGCATTAAAATATTTCTAAGAAAGAACAATTTCTATTTTCAGTTGGCCCAATATCTTATCAGCAGGCAGTTAAAGATCATTACAAATAAATTTTTTCTCTCCAGAAGCAGGGTGGTATTGGACATCCCCTGGTTACTTTTTCTTTCCTTTCTTTTTTTTCTGTGTGTCAGGAGCTGGGGTCATCTTTTCTGTCTCCAGCTTCATGGCGGCTTCCTGAGCAGAGAGAGCTTCCAGCTTTAGGTGCTCAGCTTCCAGCAATTTGTTTCTGTACTCTTCCCGGATGTCGAAAATTTTCTGTCGGGCTTCATCTAAGGAGTCCTGTTCCAAAGCAAAACCCCAAACAAATAATTCCACTGGTAAAGGCTTACGTTCCCAGAAAGAAAAAAATGAAATTCCTTTAGCCTGTCCTTATGCCCACACATTCATAGGCAAAATGATTGAAGATGAAAATTAGTGTATGGTCTCAAAAGCTTATCAATACACAAAACATAGCAACAAAGGGTTCATGAGATTTTAACACAGTACGGCAAAATAAAAACAGTTGTAGAAAAAATAGTCAAAACATACTTTTTTTTACCAAAGGTATTCTGTTTAAATTATTTCAAATATAATCTATATGAGATATTAATAAGCCCAATGTCTCTTGCAAAGTAACTGTGCTCAAGAAATTACTAGTTCCCCACATGTATGCTATCCTTGACAAAATATATGAGCTATACTTGATGATGAAGCTCCAAATAGTATGGCCAAATCCGTTGGTTACTTTGCTCTTGTCAGCTTGACTTTCATTCTTCATCAAGGATACCAAGGCCTTATATGTAGTTAAATCCAAGATCATTTACTGTTCTTATTCTTGCTTAACCGCACGCTCTCCTCCTGGATCAACTGATTTCACTTAGCTCTTAGATTGTCTTCTGTCTCACCAGCTGCTCCTATTCAGTCACCTTCACTGATTTCTCCTTTTCTCCTTCATCTCTTGAAAGGGAAGTGGCCAAATGAATTGCTTACTGTTTCAAAAGTAATATAATCAAAGAATAAGGATTAAAGCAGAGATGCTAGCCTGAAAAGACTCTTCTAGAAATGGCTGCTTTGTCTTCGTCCTTGAATTTATCAAGACATTTTCCATGTTTTTTGCAACCAGCTTAATTTTATTGAGATGTTGGAAAAGCTGGATGTCAGAATCAGAATTCCCGAAGTTTTTACAAAAGATAATACTGTAGCTACCATAATAAAACTGGATTGACTAAACCAATTGCACAAGTAGAAGATAGTAGTGACATATTAAAGAGAGAAAGAGACAGCAAGAGAATGAGCAGGAGAGACATTTTAAGAAAGTGTGTAAATAAGTTTAATATACATCAGTAATCCCTTGAGGAATGAGTATAAAACATATTCATTCTCCTATCTGATAAGAAATATGTTATTGATCATGTTTCTCTTAAAATGGCTTCAATCAAAACTAGGGCTCTCTCTGTGCCTCTCACATAAATGAATGGGAGTGAACTCAAAGCTGTCTTAGTATTTTTTCCCCGTTTCCTATCTGCTGCATTTATTTGGTTATTACACACAAAAACCACAAACAGCAATCCTGAAATTCCCTTTTGTTTTCTAATCTAATCTAAATTATTTCCCACATGGTAAATTGAACTTACACAATTTTAATATCCATTCATTGATTTACTGATTCATTAATCAAACAAACTTTTGCAAAACAGACATTCCTCTGAAGGTCTGGGGACACAACAGTGAATCTAAACAGAATATCTGTCCACATATAGTCTTTATTGTAGCAGAGAACAATCAAAAATGAAAGCATAGTATTTATAATATATCTACATTTTCATATGCCAATAAATAAATGCACATGCAGGGTAAGTGCCTTCAAGAAAAATAAGACTAGGCACGGTTACACAAATTTTGAGGGTAGTAATTGTGAAAGAGCAGCTGGTGAAGATCTCTCTAATAAGTGACCCTAGATAAGAGATCTCATAAAAGGAAAGTTTCACATTCTACACTTTGGGGAAAGAATATTCCAGGAAGAGAGAGGAGTGAGGTCAAAGGCCCAGAGGTGGGAACATGCCTTGCTGTTAGTGGAAAGGCAAAGTCACCTAGGCAAAAGGTGGATAAAAAGATCAGAGAGGAAAGCTCTGGAGGTCATAATCAAGATTTTGGTTTATTTCTTAATGAAATGTAAAGCCATTAGGGAAGTGAAATAATTCTACCTTCATTTTAAATATGCATTATGATAACCATTAGTGTAATTCACAAAATATTGCTGGTTATCTTCCAGGTACCTCGTAGCATTGCCCTCCCTCTTTATTAGCTTGCTGGGGCTGCTGTAAGAACCACAAATTGGGTTTAGACAACAGAAATGCATTGCCTCACAGTGCTTGATGCTACAAGTTTGGCATCAAGGTGTCACCAAGGTGGGTTCCTTCTTTGAAGTTGTATGTGACCATGTGACTTGCTCTGGTCAGTGAAATGTGAGTGCAAATGAATGTGCCATTTCTGGGTAGAAATAGTCACAGCCAATGTGCAATTCCCCATGTTCTCTTCCCCTGTTGTAATAATCATGGTAGAGGTGTCTCTATGGAAGCTCCTTCAGCCAGGGGATCTTGATAAGAAGGTTGCTCTATTGAACCGCACTGGACACATAGCTAGAATGAGAAATACCGTTTTACTGTTTTTAGCCAGAGTTGGTGAACTAAGGCCTGTAAAGTTAATCTGGCTTATTGCTTATTTTTCTAAGTAAAGTTTTATTCATTTTGCCATTATCCTATTTATTTAGGTATTATCTGTGATCTTGTGTAAAAAATGGTAATGTTGAGTAGATGCAACATAAATATTTCCTATTTGGGCCTTTACAGAAAATAAGTCTGCCAAACACTATGTTAGGCCACTGTGATATTGGGGGTTTTGTTACCACAGGATAAGCCTAGTTTGTCGTGATTGGTACAATTGTTTTGTGGCAAAGCAGAGACCACATTGTGGAGGGGCAAAGATGGAAGCAGTTAGATCAGTAACTGGGCTATAGCAATCCTCTGAATAAGAAAGAATGACAGGTTAGGCTAGGGTGGTGATATATATGTTGGATATATTTTCAAGGTAGAGTCGAGAGGTTCTGACAATTGATCGCACGTGGGGAGTGACAGAAGTCAAAGATATCTCCATAGTCTCTGCTTGGGCAACTGAAAGAATGCAATTGGTATTGACCGAGATGGAGAATCTTGGTGGGGTGACATATTTGCGCTGAGATGGGAAGGAGGGCAAGCATTCTTGAATTTGGATTTAGAGAGGTTCTGTTTGAGGTGCCTATTGGACAAACAAGAAGAGATGTCAAATAGGCACATTCATCACATGAGCCATTACTGGAAATGACAGTCTCACTGTAGCCAAAATATTTAGAATTTCCTATAGGCTTTAGTGTCTTTGGGGATGTGTAGGAGTGTGTGCGTGTGTGTTGCAGGGAGAAAAAAAGATTCTCATTATCCGTAGTGGGAAGTTATCCATATATATTTATTGAATTTCCCCTTTTCTAGTATGATACTCCCATTTTCAATAAAGTATAGTCTTCCACAATTTAGAAATCCTTTTTTCATTTGTTGTCATCTCTAATTAAAGGACACCTATTCTTCTACTGGGGTGAACGGATGACAATAATCTGGATGCAAAAAGTTGAAGTGGTGATCTGCAATTCCTAAATAGCCTTAAGCTGAACAAACCCAACTATTTTCATCTTCCTCCTACTTCACTTTTACTTCCTAACATATCTGCTGCCACCAATTGCTAAGCCTTTTTGGGGATTCTGTAGGCATTCTGAGGAGCTAATTGGCTTGTTAAGACTTTTCCCAGCTATCCCGGCAGGCCGCGCGCGCGGCCGCGTTTGAATGGCCCTGAGTGGGACTCGGCCCAGAAGCCGAGGGACGCTCTAGGCTGCCGGGCGCTGATTGTCAGCGCGGAGGCTGGGCTGAGGCGCCGCGGTACCATGAGGCGCCGGTACTTAAGAGATTATGGCATCGGAAACTCACAATGTTAAAAAACGGAACTTTTGTAATAAGATTGAGGATCATTTCATTGATCTTCCTAGAAAAAAAGATCTCTAATTTCACTGATAAGAACATGAAGGAGGTTAAGAAGTCTCCAAAACAGTTGGCTGCTTACATAAATAGAACAGTTGGACAAACTGTGAAAAGCCCAGATAAACTTCGTAAAGTGATCTATCGCAGAAAGAAAGTTCATCATCCCTTTCCAAATCTTTGTTACAGAAAAAAACAGCCCCCTGGAAGGTGGGGGCTGTGACATGGCAAATAAAGAAAATGAACTGGCTTGTGCAGGCCACCAGACTGAAAAATTACACCATGACAGTCGAACATATTTGGTTAACTCCAGTGATTCTGGTTCTTCACAGACAGAAAGCCCATCATCAAAATATAGTGGGTTTTTTTCTGAGGTTTCTCAGGACCATGAAACAATGGTCCAAGTTTTGTTCAGCAGGAATATGAGATTGAATGTAGCTTTAAGTTTCTGGAGAAGGAGAAGTATAAGTGAACTTGTAGCTTATTTGTTGAGGATAGAAGATCTTGGCGTTGTGGTAGATTGCCTTCCTGTGCTCACCAATTGTTTACAGGAAGAAAAACAATATATCTCACTTGGCTGCTGTGTAGACTTGTTGCTTCTAGTAAAGTCACTACTTAAAAGCAAATTTGAAGAATATGTTATAGTTGGTTTAAACTGGCTTCAAGCAGTCATTAAAAGGTGGTGGTCAGAACTATCATCCAAAACAAATTTTAAATGATGGAAATATTCAAATTTTAAAACAACAATTAAGTGGATTATGGGAACAGGAAAACCATCTTACTTTGGTTCCAGGATATACTGGTAATATAGCTAAGGATGTAGATGCTTATTTATTACAGTTACATTGAGAGATTTCATCTACTAAAGAGGATTTGGTTTTTCAAAACATCCCTGAACTGTGTAATTTACAAAAAAAGTCTCGTCTGAGAACTGTGAACTGTGGAAGAAATCAAAACTATTTTTTCTTTTAAAAAGCCACATAATGAAACCACTAATGAAATCCCAACAATCTGCTTCACATTGAAGTGGAAAAATATCCGAAAGGAGCAGCTTCAATTTCATTGAGGTGAAAGTGCACTATGTAGATTGTTCACCTTTGCTGCATTTGGGAATTATATGGTTATTTGGTAACATTAAGAACTACTGGATTTTAATGCAATCCTGCATAAAAATATAATTTATACTATGTGAAAAAATAAGACAGGACTTACCACTAGGAACCACCAAGACCAATCATCATTAACTTTAAGATTGTGTTTTATTTAAAAAACACTTAAAAAAAAAGACTTTTCCCACTGACAGTTTAGGATTTGTATGTCTCAAGCTGATTAATATGATCTTCATCCAGTTATTTTCCAACTTGAACAAATAATTTTGTTGTTGTTTTCTCTCCTATTCTTCCCATCTTTGAGGATAGATTCCCAATACTGCATTTTAGGGGGATTTTAGGGAGGGAGTGAGATGAGATGTGTAGAATCAAATTTGTGATGTTTTCCTAGAAGTTGTGAATAATAGAAACCTATGTTTTCAAGACTTATTTCTATACAAAATATTATTTAATTATATAATTTCTTTTTAATGTTACGAAAGAATTTGCCAACTATAATCTATGTATGTGCTTTTAGACTCACCTGCATTTCCTTATACATATCCAGGACTTCATCCTTTAACTTCAACCGCTCTTCTTGGTCAATGTTTCGAATGCTAAGGACTCTGGTCCTATGCTGTCGAAACTGATGAATTTCTTCCGCCTTTTGCATTGCCTGCTGCTGATTCAATTCATCTGTTTGCAGCAGAGGATCTGTATCTGTTTTCCTTGATACAAAAGTCATCAAAAGATACAGATTTCATTTGGGAACTCTGGAATAAGCTTCACTTTAGACATCAAATAATTTTAAATCATATCAACAGTGTGGTGGTCTGAGTCAAATAAAACATTAGGGATAGAAAAAATAAATGGTTGTTTTCTAGATATGCTATGCTCCATTTATTGAGTCACTGATATTTTAGGAAAACATTTTGGAGAATATCAGTGAATTTGGATTCACCACTTGATGAGGTGATTGTGAAACTTGTGTTCAAAACTATGAGAATATCTTGTAGGTTTTCCTTTGAATTTATGCAGCTAATAATTTTGATGATGTTTTCAAACTTATAAATATGCTTAATATATTTCTATCATCTAGTTATTAAAAATTGAATCTAATTAAATAATGGTAGCAGGTGTGATAGAAATTTTTTGTAGCTCATCTCACCTTAATCAGGCCTCAAATTAAATCTTTACAGAAAACATTTAAGTATTTTAATAATCGATTTAACAAAACACACAGTTGTCTGCATCAATCATGTTTATGAAAACTTACCGAACATATTGACTTAAATCCATAAATTCTAGTGCTTTTCGAATAAGTCGTGGAGATGTTTCCAAAATTGTTGGAGATCGTGTACGAGGTCCTGTTTCTTTAAAAAAAACACACACACAACAAAAAACCTAGGCTTTAAAAAATAATAATGACTAACCAAATGACTATATCTCATTTTAATTGGTTGTTTTTCAACAGAAAATATTTTCATTCACCGGACTTGTCTTATTTAACATAATGTTAATAATATATATAATTATATGCTTATATTTTGTTTATCCTCTAGCTGGTGTTACTATGCTTTTAGTTAAATGAGGGAGATGACAAAAATGAAAAATTTAAAAAATGCTATTCTAATCACAGTTAAATGGAGGAGAATTAGTCTCCATTAATAAGAACAAGTCTTATGTTAAGTTACAAAATTTCATTACAAACAAGTTAAATGGCCCAGTATTTAATGAGATTGGGCTTTGCCCAAATGCTACACTAAGTACTACCGGGCTTGGGATATAAATAGATTTTTTTTACATATTTATACTGAAATACTGAAAACAGTATTTTACCTTCAATAAACTTGTAGTCCAGTGGAGTAGGCAATATATAAAAGATAAACACTGAAAATCAAATTAGCAGCAGCTTTTTAATCCATAGAACAGTATCGAGCCCACAAGAACAGATTTAAAAGACTTGAGTCTAGGATATTAACTTTTCAGCATTTCCAGACCACTGCTTTTTTTTTAAAAAAAAGCTACTGAAGTATAATTTACACATATAAAATTCAACCATTTTAAGGTTCTAATTCAATACTTCTTAGTAAATTTACCAAGTTGTGTGACCATCAACAAAATCCAGTTTTAAAACATTTTCATCATCCAAATAAGATCTCTCTTGTGTCCTATAATAGTCACTTTGTGTTCTCACCACAAACTCCGGGCAATCATTAATCTACTTATGTCTCTACAGATTTGTCTTTCCTGGACATTTTATGTAAGTAGGAGTGGATTACTGGGTCATATGGTAAAATTCTTCAACTTTCAAAGAAAGTGTCAAACCACGGTGTTTTGATCATTATTTTTAACTTTATGACCAATTTTGAAATTACATAGTAAAAATCTCCCTGCTTGGTTCATTTAAAAAAAAAGAAAAAAGTTTATTTTTAAGAGCAGTTTTAGGGCCGGGCGCGGTGGCTCACGCCTGTAATCCCAACACTTTGGGAGGCCAAGGCGGGTGGATCACGAGGTCAGGAGTTCAAGACCAGCCCGACCAAGATGGTGAAACCCCATCTCTACAAAAAATACAAAAATTAGCTGGGCACAGTGGCAGCTGCCTGTAATCCCAGCTACTCGGGAGGCTGAGGCAGGAGAATCGCTTGAACCCGGGCGGCAGAAGTTGCAGTGAGCCAAGATCGCACCATTGCACTCCAGCCTGGGCGACAGAGTGAGACTCTGTCTCAGAAAACAACAACAACAACAACAACAAAAGAAACAGTTTTACGTTTCACAGTAAAATTGAGAGGAAGTACATACAGAGATATCCCATATCCCCCTTCCTCCTACACACACATTGTAGCCTCCCCCATTATTAACATCCCCTACCAGAGTGGTACATATATTCAAAATCACACTATCTGCAAACAAATACAGTCTCCCTCCCTCCCTCCCTTTCTTCCCTTCCTCCCTCTCTCCCTCTCTCCCTCCCTGCCTGCCTGCATTCCTTCCTTCCTTCCTTTTTTTTTTTTTTTTTTCTCCCCCCAGAGTCTTGCTCTGTTGCTAGACTGGAGTGCAGTGGCGCGATCTTGGCTCACTGCAACTTCCGCCTCCCTGGTTCAAGCGATTCTCCTGCTTCAGCCTCCCAAGTAGCTGGGATTACAGGCACGTGCCACCACGCCAAGCTAATTTTTGTATTTTTAGTAGAGACAGTTTCATCACGTTGGTCAGGAGTTTTCTTTCTTTCTTCCCAGTTAGTGTATCTTTTTAGTTCATTTCCTTGTCTGACTGTATTTTCTAGGAGTCTTGTACATGTTGAAAAAGAGTGGTAAGAGAGGACATCTTTGGCTTGCTCCTGATTTTAGTGGGAAAGCTGCTAATTCCTCGCCATTAATAAAATGTAGGCCATAGGTTTTTTTGTAGAGTCTTTATCAGGATGAGTAAGTTCCCCTCCCACTTGGATCTTCTTTTTCAAAATTATTTTGGCTTTTCTGTTTTTTTTTTTTTTTTTTTTTGCATTTCCATATAAGTTTTGGGATTAGCATGTCAAATTCTGTAAAATGTCTACTGTGATTTTGATAGAGATTATACTGAATTTATAGATCAATTTGAGGGGTATTACTATCTGAACAATAGGTCTTATAGTCCAAAACATAAATGATCTCTATATTTAGATAATTTAAAATTTCCTTTGGTGATGTTTTGTAGTTTTCAATACATAAATTCTACACTTGGTTAAATTTATTTCCGTGTATTTATTATTGATGCTGTTGTGAATAAAACTGTCTTAATTTCAATTTTGATTGTTCATCAATATGTAGAAATAAAAATGATTTGTTTACTAATCTTACATCATGTGACCCTGCCAAACTCACTTATTCACAGTTTTTTTTTTTTCTGTTTTTTAGAAGTTTAGCATATAGGAGAGTGTTGTCGGAGAATACAGTTTTACTTCTTCGTTTCTAAGATTGATGTGTTTTATTTCTCTTTCTTGATTGAACTAGCAAGAACCTCCATTAAAATGTGGAATGTAAGTGGTTACAGTAGACATCCTGCCTTGTTCTTGACCTTAGGCTAAAATTATTCAGTTGTTCACCTTTAAGTATGATGTTTACCGTAGGTTTTTCATAACTAGCCTTTATCGGTCTGAGGAAATCCGCTTGTATTACCAGTTTGTTGTGAGTTTCTTTCTTTGTTCTTTCTCCCACTGTTCGTGCATTATTTTTATATATGTTTGTACATTATAAGCCCAACAATATAGTTTTATAATAATTGTTAAATAAGTAAACAAATGGAAAAATCTATTTACGTTGTCTTCTAAAATTTACCTACATAATTACCTTTCTTTGTGAATGTGAATTCCCTTTGGATGTCACCTTCTTTCAGCCTGAAGGACTTCCTTTTGTATTTGTTTTAAGGCAGATCATCTGGAAACAAATTATCAAGTAAGCACAAACAAGTGCTTGTTTATTGTGAATGTGTTTAAATTTGCCTTAATTTCTATGAATTTTCTTTATTTCCTTTGTTTTCTGTCTCATTAAAATTTTTTTATTCCTTCTTTCTTTAGGCCTACTTTATTACTTTCTATCCAACTTTTTTTTTTTCACTGCTGAATCTCCAACTATTTACTTATTTGTTTATTTATTTATTTATGTATTATCAATAGGTTTTTTGGGAACAGGATATAATGCTTGTTTACATGGATAAATTCTTTAGTGGTGATTTCTGAGATTTTGGTGCACCCATTACTTCAGCTGTGTACATTGTACCCGATGTGTAGTCTTTTAGCCCTCACCTTCCTCTTATCCTTCCCCTAGTCCCCAAGTCCACTGTATCATTCTTATGCCTTTGTGTTCTCATAGCTTAGCTCCCACTTATAAGTGAGAACATACAATGTTTCATTTTTCATTCCTGGGTTAGTTCACTTTGAATGTGGTCTCCAACTGCATCCAGGTTGCTGTGAATGCCATTATTTCATTTCCTTTTATGGCTGAGTAGTATTCCACAGTGTGTGTGTATATATGTATATATGTATACGTGTGTGTGTGTATATATGTATATATATATACCACATTTTCTTTATCTACTTTTTGGTTGATGGGCTGGTTGGTTGATGGGTTGGTTGATGGACTGGTTCTGTATTTTGCAATTGCAAATTGTGCTGCTATAAACATGTGTGTGTAAGTGTCTTTTTCATATAGTGACTTCTTTTCCTTTGGGTAGGTACCCAGTAGTGGGATTGCTGGATCAAATGGTAGTTCTACTTTTAGTTCTTTAAGGAATCTCCACACTGTTTTCCATGGTGGTTGTACTAGTTTACATTCCTACCAGCAGTATAAAAGTCTTCCCTTTTCATCATGCCCACACCCAGATCTATTACTTTTTGTTTTTTTGATTGTGGCCATTCTTGCAGGAATAAGGTAGTATCACATTGTGGTTTTGATTTGCGTTTCTCTGATAATTAGTGATGTTGAGCATTTTTTCATATGTTTGTTGGCCATTTGTGTATCTTATTTTGAGATTGTCTATTCATGTCCTTAGCCCACTTTTTGATGGGGTTATTTGTTATTTTTTCTTGCTGATTTGTTTGAGTTCCTTGTAGACTCTGGATATTTGTCCTTTGTCGAATGCATAGTTTGGGAAGAATTTCTCCCACTCTGTGAGTTGTCTGTTTACTCTGCTGATTATTTCTTTTGCTGTGCTGAAGCTTTTTAGTTTAATTCTCATTTATTTATCTGTTTTTGTTGCATTTGCTTTTGGGTTCTTGGTCATGAAATCTTTGCCTAAGGGGTTTTTCTGATGTTATCTCCTGGAATCTTTATGGTTTCTGGTCTTAGATTTAAGTCTTTGATCCATCTTGAGTTGATTTTTGTATAAGATGAGAGATGAGGATACAGTTTCATTCTTCTACGTGTGGCTTGCCAATTATCCCAGCACCATTTGTTGAAAAGTGTGTCCTTTCCCCACTTTCTGTTTTGTTTGCTTTTTAAAGAACAGATGGCTGTAAGTAATTGACTTTATTTCTGGGTTCTCTATTCTGTTCCATTGTCTACGTGTCTGTTTCCATGAAAGTACCATGCTGTTTTGGTAACTATAGCCTTGTAGTATAGTTTGAAGTTGGGCAATGTGATGCCTCCAGATTTCTTTTTGCTTAGTCTTGCTTTGGCTATGCAGATTGGTCGTGCTTTCACTATGTAGGCTCTTTTTTGGTTCCAAATGAATTTTTGGATTGTTTTTTCTAGTTCTGTGAAGAATGATGATGGCATTTTGATGGGAATTGCATTGAATTTGTAGATTGCTTTTGGCAGTATGGTCATTTTGACAATATTGATTCTACCCATCCATGAGCATGGGATGTGTTTTCATTTGTTTGTGTCATCTATGATTTCTTCCAGCAGTGTTTTATAGTTTTCCTTTTAGAGCTCTTTCACCTCCTTGGTTAGGTAAATTCCTAAGTTTTTTTTCTTTGCAGCTATTATGAAAGAGATTGAGTTCTTGATTTTTTTCTCAGTTTGGTTGCTACTGGTGTATAACAGTGCTACTTATTTGTGTACATTGATGTTTCATCCTGAAACTTTACTGAATTCATTTATCAGATCTAGGAGCTTTTTGGATGAGTCTTTAGGGTTTTCTCAGTATACAATCATGTCATCAGCAAACAGCGAGTTTGACTTCCATGGTGCATATGTACCACATTTTCTTTATCCCATCTGTCACTGATGGGCATTTAGGTTGCTTCCATGTCTTTGCTATTCTGAGTAGTGCTGCAATGAACATTCACATGCATGTGTCTTTATGGTAGAATGATTTGTATTCCTCTGGGTATACATCCAGTAATGGGATTGCTACATCAAATGGTTGAGCTAATTTACACTCCCACCAACAATGTATAAGTGTTCCTTTTTCTCCACAACCTGACCAGCATCTGTCAGGCTATTAATAATAGCCATTCTGGCTGGTGTGAGATGGTATCTCATTGTGGTTTTGATTTATATTTTTCTAATGATCAGTGACATTGAGCTTTTTTTCATGTGCTTATTGGCTGCATGTATGTCTTCTTTAGAAATATGTCTGTTCATGTCCTTTTCCAACTTTTTAATGGGGTTGTTTTTCTCTTATAAATTTGTTTAAGTTCCTTATAGATGCTGAACATTACAACTTTGTCAGATGGATAGTTTGCAAAAATTTTCTCCCTTTCTGTAGGTTGTTTGTTTACTCTGTTGATAGTTCCTTTACTGTGCAGAAGCTCTTAAGTTTAATAAGATTCTACTTGTTAATTTTTGCTTTTGTTGCAATTGCTTTTAGGTGTCTTTGTCATGAAATTTTTGCCTGTTCCCATGTGCAATTGATATACTACATTGCAGTTACTCTGCATTCTGATTCCCCAAGGGATTATTGTGGGTTTTCTTTGTTTAGTTGTTTGTTTACTTAGCAATTTGCTTCTAGAGTCTTATTTCCCCTGCAATTTTCAGCTAATGATGTTTGTAATGATTTTCTTTAATTTTTATTTATTTTTAATCCTGGCTTCCTTGGGGTCACCAATGGGTCAGAATAGGGGTCATACAATGTTTTCTCCAAGATTTCTCTTAAACTCCTTGATTCAGTAAAGCTTCCACTCTTGACAAGGAGACCTTTATGTAGTTTAGGGTACACATTCAAAGTTCTGGCAGTGTACAAAGCTGTCCCCACTTTCACTGGTTTAAAGTCTCATACTCAAACAAGGACAAGTCGATAAGATGGACCCTCTGTAGTCTCTCCTTTTTTGTTGTGGTTCTCAGTTTTAGTAATTACTTTTTATTTAGTTTTATGCCTTCAGTTGATTTTTAGGTTTCTGAAACATTTTAATAATTTTTTTCTAGTTTATTGTTGCTTCTTGCTTTTTTTGGGAGAGGATGTGTCAAGTTCTCACTCTCCTATTCCCCAGGTCCCACCCCCCTTTCCTTAACTATTTAATTTTGCATGTAAATGTGGTTGTAATAGGCCACAGTAATATTTAATATTGAAAATTGCTTAATTTATAATTTGTTAGAAGTTATAACTCATTCAGAAATGTAATTTACTACAAACTTTTAAAAAATATAAAAAACAATAATATCCAAATTATTTTTTAATTTTTTCAAAAATATACAAAATCATGATAAACTTGTGAGGAAACAGTAAGGTTTTTTCTCCAATGGGACAATAGAACACGGGGAGCCACTCAGTTTGCTCCCAACACCCCTTTCCAGCCACTCACCGGAGCTACCTTGGCAAGTACTCTAGGAGTATGGGAAAATGAAAACAATAAACTCACAACCTTTTTAACATACACAACCAGTTCTGTCTACCCAGCCAAGGCATATTCTTCTTATGTGGAACTTCAACCTATATCTGCCTCCTTACAAACTGGACATGCACCTGTACCTTAGTCTTCCTAATCGCCAACATTAACATTACCCCAGGAAATCAGACCCTACCAGTGCCCCTCAAAGCTCAAATCTGTCAGCACAGGGCCATACAACTAATACCCCTACATATAGGGTTAGGAATGGCCACTGCTACAGGAACCGGAATAGCCAGTTTATCTACTTCATTATCCTACTACCACACACTCTCAAAGGATTTCTCAGACAGTTTGCAAGAAATAACAAAATCTATCCTTACTCTACAATCCCAAATAGACTCTTTGGCAGCAGTGACTCTCCAAAACCACTGAGGCCTAGACCTCCTCACTGCTGAGAAAGAAGGACTTTGTACCTTCTTAGGGGAAGAGTGTTGCTTTTACACTAACCAGTCAGGGATAGTACAAGACACTGCCTGGCATTTACAGGAAAAGGCTTCTGAAATCAGACAACACCTTTCAAACTCTTATACCAACTTCTGGAGTTGGGTGACATGGCTTCTCCCCTTTCTAGTTACCATAACAGCCATCTTGCTATTACTCGCCTTCGGGCCCTGTATTTTTAACCTCCTTGTCAAATTTATTTCCTCCAGGATCAAGGCCATCAAGCTACAGATGGTCTTACAAATGGAACCCCAAATGAGCTCAACTCATAACTTCTACTGAGGACCCCTGGACCGACCCACTGGCTGTTTGACTGGCCTAGAGAGCTCCTCTCTGGAGGACACTACAACTGCAGGGCCCCTTCTTTGCCCCCATCCAGCAGGAAGTAGCTACAGTGGTCATCACCCCATTCCCAGCAGCAGCTGGGGTGTCCTGTTTAGTGGGGGGATTGAAAGGTGAAGCCAGATTGACTTCCTGGGTCAAGTGGGGACTTGGAGAACTTTTCTGTCTTACAAGAGGATTGTAAAATGCACCAATCAGCACTCTGTAAAACACAACAATCAGTGCTCTGTAAAACGCACCAATCAGTGCTCTGTAAAATGCACCAATCAGCGCTCTGTAAAATGCGCCACTCATCAGGAGTCTAAAAGTAGCCAATCGTGGGGAGGATTGAAAAAAGGGCAATCTGATAGGACAGAAACAGAACATGGGATGGGACAAATAATGGAATAAAAGCTGGCCACCACAGCCAGAAGCAGCAACCTGCTTGGGTCCCCTTCCATGTTGTGGAAGCTTTGTTCTTTTGCTCTTCACAATAAACCTTGCTACCACTCACTCCTTGGGTCCATGCCATCTTTAAGAGCTGTAACACTCACTGCGAAGGTCCGTGGCTTCATTCTTGAAGTCAGCGAGACCAGGAACCCACTGGAAGGAACCAACTCCAGACACAACGGGGTGCAAACATTAAAATGATAATAAATGTTTTCAAGTGTTTGAGAAATGTCTTGAAGACATTTTGTGCTTGGAGATAGGCTGCTTGGTCTAGGTCCTCCTTTCCTGCTGACTTTTATCTTTCCTCCCTGTTCTTATTTCTCCTCTCTATGCAAAAGTATACCCGTTCACAACTACGTAGACTTTATTGCAAATGTCCAAAGACTCTGATGGCCAAAAGTGTGAAGAAATTAGGAGCAGATGAGCTGAAACTGGGGCTTGAGCTTCCATGCCTTACAACACTGGTCTGGGACTCTGGGTAAAAAAAAAAAAAGTCTGTGCTGTGACTGCCCCTGGGCTGGTATAAAATGATGAATCATGATTATAGTCAATTTTCTCAATTTAAAGATTACCTTATTAGTTTCAGAGCACAGTGCAGACTGCATGGGTGTAGGTTGGTGCAGCCTTGGAGAAAATATTGATGAAAGAAATTGAAGGTGACATAAATAAATAGAAAAACATCCTGTGTTCATAGACTGGAAGAATTAATGTTAAAATGTCCATACCACTCAAAGCAATCCACGAATTCAATACAATCCCTACCAAAATTCTAATGTCGTTCTTCAGAGAAGTAGACAAAAAGATTCCTAAAATTTGTATGGAACCCCAAAAGACACCATATATGCAAAGCCATCTGGACCAAAAATAACGAGGGAGGCATCACCAGACTTCAAAACATATTACAAAGCTACACTAATCAAAACAACATGGTACTGGCATAAAAACAGACACATCAACAAATGGAATAGAGGCTGAGTGTGGTGGCTCACGCCTGTCATCCTAGCACTTTGGGAGGCCAAGGTGGGAGCATAGCTTGAGCCCAGGAATTCAAGAACAGCCAGGGCAATATGGTAAGACTGCATCTCTACAAAAATTAAAAAAAAAAAAAAAAAAAAAAGCAAGGTGCAGTGGCACATGCCTGTAGTCTCAGCTACTTAGGAAGCTGAGGTGGAGAACTGCTTGAGCCCAGGAGGTTGAGGCTGCAATGAGCTGTTATTGTGCCACTGAACTCCAGTTCGGGTGACTGAGCAAGGCCCTGTCTCAAAATAAAAACTAAACTGAAAACAAATGGAACAGAACACACAATGGGAAAGGGAAATCTCTTCAATAAACGGTGTTTGGAAAACCTGATATTCACATACAAAAGAAATAAAATGGACCCTTATATAAGAATCAGCTTAGGCCAGGGTGGCTCATGCCTGTAAACCCAGAACTTTAGGAGGCTGAGGCTGGAGGATTCCTTGAGCCCATAAATTTGAGACTAGCCTGGGCAACATAGTGAGACCTCATCTCTATAAAAAATAAAATATTCACCAGAAATGGTGGCATGCGCTTATAGTCTCAGCTACTCAGGAGACTGAGGTGGGCAGATCACTTGAGTCTGGGAGGTTGAGGCTGCAGCGAGCCATGATTGAGCCACTATACTCCAACCTTTCTAAAAATAAAACAAAAACCAAAAATGATCAACTAAAAATAGATTAAAAACTTAAACATAAGTCCAGAAAGTATAAAACTACTAGAAGAAAAACAGGAGAAACAGCCCATGATATCAGTGTGGGCAATATTTTCTTTGAATATGATCCTAAGAGCACAGAAACAAAAGTAAAAATAGACAAGTGGGACTGTACCAAACTAAAAACCTTTGCTGTGCAAATGAAACAATGAAAAGTGATGAGTCAACCATGGGTTGAGATAAAATATTTGCAAACCATACATTGGATAAGAGGCTAATATTCAATACATACAAGGAACTTAAGCTACTCAATAATAAGAAAGCAAATAACTACATTAAAAAATGGGTAAAGAACCTGAATAGATATTACTCAAAAGAAGAGACACAAATGACCCACACATATATAAAAAGATGATTAACATCTCCAGTCATCAGAAAAATGCACGTTAAAACCACAATGAGATACTACCTCATACCTGTTACATTGGCTATTATAAAAAAAGATGAGAGATAACAAGCATTGGTGAGAGTGTGAATAAAAGGGAACTCAGGTACACTTTGGTGGTACTGGGAATTATTACAAGCCATTTGAAACACCAGTATGGAGGTTATTCAAGAAACTAAAAGTAGAATTACCACATGATCCAGCAATCCTGCCTGTGGGTATATATCCAAAGGAATTAAAATAAGTACGTAAAAGAGGTGTCTGTACTTGTATGTGCATTACGTTATTCACAACAGCCAATATGTTGAAAGGACCAAAGTACGCATCAGTAGAGGAATGGATTTTTTAAAATGTGGTATGTAGACACAATGGAATGCTCTTCAGCCTTTAACAAACAGAAAATTCTGTCATTTGCCACATTATGGACAAACCTGGAGGACAAGATGCTAAGTAAAAAAGCCAGCCACAGAGAGACAAATGCGGCATGATCTCATTTATATGTGGAATCTAAAAATGTTGAACTTGTAGATATAGATATTAGGATGGTGGTTACCAGAGGCTGGGGGGTCATAGTGTAGTGGACAAGGAAAGGGAAAATGTTGGTCAAAGGGTATAGTTAGTTTCAGTTAGCTAGCAGGAATAGGTTCTGGTGTTCTATTGCATAGCTTGGTGAACACAGCTAACAATTTATTGGATGTTTCAAAATAGCTCAAAGAGTGGATATTAAATGATCTCACTCCAAGGAAATAATAAGTATTTGAGGTAATGAATATATTTATTAGCCTAATTTGATCATTCCATAACCTATACATGTATCAAAACATCCCATTGTACCCCATAAATATATATAATTATTTGTTAATTAAAAATGAAATTTCAAAAAGGATTACTTTGTTAGCACATAAGTAAATAATTTGATATCAGAATTTAAGTTGCATTGTTTTGGCTACATTTTTCTATTTTATAGATCTTTAAATTAACTAAGGATGAGGAAAAGTTTGTGTTCAGTTCAAGATCACAATATATGGAGACCAAAGAGCTGGGTGTAAGTCCAGGTTCTAGCCAAACTGCATCAGTTTCCTGCCCTTGGGTGAGTTATTTGCCAATTCTGTCATTTTAGAAGTGGAGATAGCAATATATGCTTTCTCTAATTCCTGGAATCTCAAGTGAGATAAGAGTGGAAAAATTACTCTACAAATTAAATATTAATGGTAAATGAAATGTGTTCTAATGAGTTTTACTGCTACCATCATGTGAGCTATTACCTATTGAATGGGCATGTACTTTCAAAATATTGGTTAAAAAATATCAGAATCTCTTGTTAGTATAGTAAAAGATTCCTTTTAATTTTAGAATTTTCCTCTCAGTATGGAAATCACTTAAGGACATACTTTAGCTTTAAACACTTCTTAATTTAAAAATTCTCAGAATTGTTTAGCAATTTTGAGAAAAGAACCATTGTTGGCTTTTCTGAGAATGCTTCTTTCTAAGATTTCTTTCTTTGCTGTCTGGGTTCAAAACAAGTAGAAAAATAGAGTAAGATTATACTATTGATCCAGGTTTAATCGGAGGATGTAGCTTGATGTGAGAGACAAATGGGCCATGATCACCTGAAGCTGACTGACTGTTCCAGCACAGTCTAGGTAGTGCTCACACCTGAGAGAGAAGCAGTGCTTCCATGGGCAGCCTCATTCATTCTCTCCAAATGCATTAATAGGACATTTAGTTCCCTTTAAGACAGAAGGAGTTGAGGAGTTGCTTAGGAATTCATGGAAACCAGGAGTGTGGAAAGGCATTTTCCTTTGATCAGGGTTTTAGTTCAGTTTAGTGAACAGATATGAATCCATATAGAAATGAATCAGGTCAGGGTGACTTGTGCACCACTGAAAATTGCTCTTTTTCAACATTTAAAAAATGACATTCTTAAAATTTGCTATGAAAGGTAAAAAGGAAATCTATCTTGTAGCATACTACAGATAACACAAAAAAATCTGTGTTTAACGAGAAGTGTATGTGTGAATGCTGACATTTTATTTCTAGCATTTGTAGACACAGAAAACCTATACACAGAAAAAATACACCTGCAAATCTGTAGGGGGGCTTTTGCCCACTTTTGTCTTTTGGTTAATATTTAGTAGTCAGGTCCTTGAGCAAATTCCCAACTCCATTAAGTAAAATGAAAATCTATATATCGGAAAGACATCTTTTCTACTTCTATAGCCCTAGCCGTCACTGATGTTTAAGTTAAAATCTTTTCCATAATTTTTATTTGAAAATACATGTTTATGTTACCAATGACAGCAATACTTACGAATGTTTTCCTTCCGTGTGCTCTGCTCGCGCTCTTCTTTCCCTGGTGAAGACACTCCTCCACTTTCGCTACTCGTGGATTTTGCCACATCCCTCAAGCCTTTGGTCAATTGCCACTTCTTCCACACCGCACTCCCTGATCCTGTTTGTGTCATCTCTTTGCTCTCTGAACCTGCAGAATTCTTTGAGTTTGGTTCTTTTACGCCACGTGCAGCTGTTTCTACTACAACATGACATGTGCATTACTGAAAAAGCTGGCGTTCCATGAAATCACATGCAAACAGTAACAGGGCTTGATGATGGGAGCACAGATTTAGAGCAGATGACTCAAAAGCTCTATAACTTCTAACCAGAGCACTAGCAAAAGTAATGACTGTCACCCTAGAAGGCTGACCCAGGCAGGAAGTGTGTCTGAAAGCTGCCTCCATATATTAAAATGTCACATAAAAATAGAGGCTTTTAGAAGTTGGGACAGCATACATGGAAATAGGATATTTGAATTATTGGGGATGCTGTGAAGGTCGGCCCTGGAGGAAGTACAACTAGCCCTATGCTGACAATGCTTCATAATAGATAGGGTGTTCCTCTCTGCAGGGGGATCCCTGTATGCAGACATTTATTTAAAATTGTCTTAAAATAGAGCTGAACAGAGCTCTTTCTTGTGACATCATAAAGCTGGGAAGTTTTTTCTTGATACTCTGAGTCTATTCAGTGTTCCAGATCCCTAGCCTAGGAAAAACTATGTAAAACCTACCATAATTTCCTCATTATATAGAGACATTATTTTCCTATTTATCAATTGCAGGTGACCAAATTCATGTTATGTTCTGCATTGAATGAAAGGTGGCAATAGGAAAGTACTTAAGAGCATGAAGAAATGTTGAAATAAGAAAGGTGGCAATAGGAAAGTACTTAAGAGCATGAAGAAATGTTGAAATAAGAAAGGTGGCAATAGGAAAGTACTTAAGAGCATGAAGAAATGTTGAAATAAGAGGCAGATAGTCAGTAGTCAAAAGTCGATTCCCTAAAAATATTATTAAAGTTGATATATCCCTAGAGCAAGACTGATTGAGGAAAAAAAGGTAAAAAGGAAACTTATTCCAGTAAGTTGAACCTACATAAAATAGACAAATTTCTTATAAAATGAAGCTTACTATTCCAGGCACAGTAAGAAATAAAATAACTAAATAGTGAGACATACGGGGTACATATGAGTCTAAATTGAAGTTCAAGAATAGGCAAAATTATTTGATGGTGATGGGGGTCAACTAGTTGTTACCTTGAGGGAGGAAATGACTTGGAAACAAACGAGGAGGACTTTAGTATGTGGTGTTTCCAATCTTGATCTAAGCAGTGGCCACTGAGTATTCACATGCAAAAATTAATCGAGCTGTACAGTTACAATTTGTGGCTTTTATTGTATGTGTGTTCTATGACAGGGTCAGGGTCTCTGAGCCCTGTTCTCAACTAGGCCTTGTCCTTGGCCTGCTGACCCCAGTTTTAGCAAAAAATCCTGCTAAGTCAGTTTATCCAGAATCCTTCCCCACTTGATATCAAATCAAGTTCCTCTTTCCTGACCCTTGACACCTAACCAAGTTCCTCTTAGTAATTTACCATCTACTCCCTCACCTGGACTGTTGGTTTTAATTCCCCACTTGTTCCTGTTGTATCTACGGTTGAATTCAATCTTTCTCTCCTACTTCAGTAGCCTGGAAGTAGGGGAGACTTCCCCTATTTTTGGTCATGTTTAATGTATTCAGTGTAATATTTTATACACATACATTAAAACAAAATATAAAAAAAATAATAAATCTATAGCCTAAAAGACAAGAACTGAATCCTATTCACCTTTGTTTTCCTAGCATTACATTAGACTCTATTAGAGGAGTGAGTACTTGAGTTAGAAATATTTCAGATCCCAACTTCATCACTTTTGAGATGGATGACTTAGGAAGAATAAGGTGGCTCTCTGAGCTTTGGTCTCTTTATCTCTAAGATGAGTAGACTAAGTAATACATACCTCATAGTTGCTATAGGTTAAAGTGAGGTAATAAATGTAAAATGCTTTGCCTATCCCAGGATAACAGAATTAGGATGGTACTTGCTATTCACACTGTTCATATGAAAAGTTAAGAGATATTATTTTTATAACAATTATTGAATTACATTCCTGAATATACAAAAATGGAAAAGCATGATTTGGGATGTGAACGCCTTCTGCCTCCACGGACACCTCAGTGTGGCAATCGATGTAATCAGTCAAGTAGCTGTGAGAAGACACTGGCATTATGAAGGGCCTGTCTGCAGGCCAATTCTGTCTCTGGCCCTGAACTTAGACTATTACTGAGGGTCTCTGGTGCCTGTGTCCTTATTGATAAACTGGAATAATATTATAATATATACTTAAATATATATAATATAATATATACTTAAATATATATATATACTAACTTAAATATATATAAATAATATAATATATACTTAAAATATATATTATATACTTAAAAATGACTTCTTTTTGTTATTGTTTAAGTCTGGTACCTTTCTAATAATAATATAGTAGTAGACCTACCTTCAAGTTTTATACTGCTACTTTCTAACTAGGTTGCATCATTCTTTCTGGTTTTATCATTTGTTAAATGGAGAAAATCACATCTCCTTGCACAGTGTGTGTGAAGGGGGAGATGTAGGACTTAAATGGGAAAATGTGTGAAAGTGATTTGAAAATTGAAGCACTATTCATATAGTTATCTGAAATTGTGCGACTTTTTATAATCCTCAAGAAACGAGATTCTGAAATGTCTCCTTTTCACCAAGCACAACCCACTGATTATTTTTTTAAGAAGTGCAAATCACAGCTCTGTGCTCTGAGGCAGCTGGGGTGGTAGGATCCACTCACCTTCTTCTTTTGGTTTAGTTTGGCTTTCAGATATAGGCGGACTCTCAGCATCAGATGTTTTCTTAATGAACCCGCTAAGGTAATGCAAACGAGCCTGAGAAGCCTAAAAAACAAACATGAGCAGCTTTTTAAAAGCTCTTCAAAAGCAACAACCAGTACAGGTAATACATGTTAATGGTATTCAATCGAAAACGAAACAGGAAAATGTGAATTAAATAGGGCAGTCTAAATGAAGCAGACCAGCTCTTCTTCATTATCAGATAAACTCAAATTCTGAATCATCCATGATTTTGACAGTTATTTTTGAGAATAGATGAAGAAGCAGCCCTAAAAAGAATACATTTCTGGGCATACTATCTTAGATGCAGTGGTTCCTGAATCTTTTTCATCTGCCCAATAACCCTGAGTTGTGACATGAAGCACTTACATGGTAATAGTGTCACTATGGCAATCGCTCTTACAGGAAATAGGTCAGAGACTCTCTAGGGTCTCTAGACTCTAGAGACTAGGTGTGTATATTCCACAAGGGGGCAGCACATGGTTTTTAATCCATCTAAGGCTGCGCAAAGTGTAGTAAAGCACATATTAAACATTTGAATGCTTTCTTACTTGGGGGTGTTAAGAGCAGACGTGCAGAAAGCCAGGGCTATGTGAAAGAATGAGGTAACCCATAGTGTGGGCCTATAATTGGTACCACCATGTGCTTTGTTTTTGCAAGTCCTTTGGGTAATCAGGAGGGTAACATTTTACAATGTGTCCAAAGGTGGTCCTAACGTAGTTATTCAATGCCTGTCTGATAAAATTTCAGATACCATTACTAAAGGACAGGCTATATGGTTTTTACCAGCATGACTATTTTTTTCAGAGCATGCCTAAGGAGGAAAAGTAAAAGATGACAGCTTTTCGAAATCAGGTGACCTTGATTGCTCTTCCTGGCTCAGTTGTCTCCCAGGCTTGTTTCATGGCTCGGATTTCATCTGCCCTTTCTGTATCCTTTTTCACTTCAAATAATTCTGATTCATTGTGTTCAGTGACCAACCTCAAAATCCAGTAGGGTTTATTTGGGTCTTCTTGTTGAGGGTGAACAGTGGATATCTGATAAAATAAAAACCTTTGGGTTTTGCATGCTTTCCTTCTTTCAAAAGGGTCTAGATTTTACCATATGATACATAATTTCACTATTAGGTATTTACTAGAGATAAATGAAAACATATATTCACAAAAGACTTGTACGAAAATGTTCATTGCAGTCTTATTCATAATACACACAAAAAACCAACATATATGTCTATCAATCGAGGAATGGATAAACAAATTGTAATATAGTCATATAATTGGGCTCTGCTTAATATTAAAAAGTAATAAACTATTGATATACACCACAGACAGATATTATACTTTGATAAAGAAGTCGAACACAAAAGGGTACATCGTCTTGTATGTCATTAGTATGAAATTCCAGAGCAATTTAGGCAAAACTAATCTATGGTGACTGAAAGATCAGTTGTTACCAGGAGATGAGGTGTGAGAATTAGAAAATTGAATGCAAAGAAGTTTGAGATTATTTCCATAAACTCGGGAATTATCTATAATTTATATCTTGATAGGGTCATGGATTACATGGTGAATACATTGATCAAAACTCACTGAATGTTATAACTGTGATTTGTGCATTTCATGTATGCAAATTTTACTTAAAACTGTACACATTAAATTATAAATTGTAATTATGTTCACTCATAGCATCTCTTCATAAAAATGAGAGTAGGATAGTTGATCATTTCCAGGTCTGTATATACTTGCTACATATTCATCATGAAAATTAACAACATTTTAATGTCTCATGGGATCACCTGCATGTATCATAGGCTGGGAGACAAGTTTTACGTAGGTGAGGCTCATAGGTGGCAATTGGGTAGGAAGAGAGGATTGAAACTATTGTGGTTACATAGCACTTTACATAAGGTCGAGGCTATGTCAATTATCACTGATAAATAATGCAGCTGGGAAGAGTGGATTGATATAATCACTGAATACAGTTTCCACCTGCAGTTTGGTTTTAGTGTTACCAAATGACCTTGCTTTCTACAATATTTCCCTAATATTCTGGTGAGAATTGACTTTCACAATTGGAAATTATTTTATTTCCTCCTTTTAACACAGGGTATATTAGCTTTTATTATTTTTTAAATTGCTTAATACATGAATTTATCAGAGACTTTTCTGGGATCAAATTTTGATCAGGAAAGGGAGCACTGTGAAGGTACTAAGGGAGGTCTTCTTGTAGGAATCTATGGATTGGGTTAATCTTATTTACTTCTAAGGGTAGACTTCAGCTAAGAAATGAAATCTTTGAAATCTATAGGAACCATTCCTGGAGTCTGAAACAACAAGTCATCATCTCTTCTTATTTGTTAATTTTCCTTTATTGTCTATTTTCTTAATGGTACTGACATCCTACTCAGCTATTCCTGCTGGAAACCTGAGAGATATACTTTGTTCCTTCTTGTTCCTTAACACCCACTTTGGATTAATAACTGCACCCCACCTTTTGTTTTCCAGATACTTCTTGATCTGTCCCATCCTTCCTTTTTTCCTGTTCCTGACACACTTTGCACTCTTTTGCTTAGATTACTGAAGTATTTTCTTGAATTATCTTCCTCTCCTGTCTTTTCTCCTTTAAGTCCACACCCTTAAAAGCCACTAGGGTATCTGAAATGTAAATCTGATCATGTTAATGTGCTTCTTAAATACCCCTAGTTCCAGTCCTGCTTAACCTAGGCATAAATGGTGGGAAGATTTTGTACTCATAGGTATCTTGTTTAGAGTGCGCTGTTTTTTGGTTACTTGAAAATCTTTAGGCCTGTGCTTGTACTCCTCAAGTTTGCCATCCACATCCTTTTCCTTACCCCTAATCATGGCAATTTTCTAACTGGCCCTGAAGGAGTTTAGACTCATAACCTCTGGACTGTATATAGAGTCCCAGCCTTCCAATGACGCTTTAAGGCCCTTTTCCAGCTGACCCTTACTGACCCCTCCAGCCTCATCTCTCATACTTTAATGCTTCAAAAAACCAGGTTGAGTTTTCGCCTCATCACGTCTTTGCTTATTAACTCGGTTCAGAACTCAGTTCCTCCTGGAAGGGGCTGTATTAGAACCTATCCTTTCTACCACTGCACATATAGCATTCAACATTATAATTCTCAGTTTACCTTCAGTCTCCTCCATTATTAGACTGTGAATTCTTTTAGGGTTAGTACTGAGTCATATTTATCTTAGAAACCCAAGTGCCATGAATAGTGTTCTACATACTAAAGGTTTAATTGATAGTTTTTGATACTGAACTAGAAAAGGGAGCTTGAGGAAGGTGTCCAAGGAATGTCCTCAAAGTATCTAGATGGTTTCTGGAATCAGGGAGAAAGAATGTTTCACGGTTTTGTCCTCAGACGAGATAGGCAAATAGGAATCCACTGAACCTAAAATCATTAAGTCACTCAAATAAAAAAAATTCCACACCCACCTGAGGCTCAAAGCGAGGTGCTTGTTTTTCTTTGGCTGTCTTTTCTTTCTCAGAAGACTTTTCTTTGCCTTTCCTTGTTGTTTTGGAAGTTACTGAAGATTTTTGTCCCTCACTAATAGTGTGGGAGTCTGGGCTTCCTAAGTTAATTAACTCCTCGTGTCTTTCACCATAAGCTAGAGAGACATAAAAATAAAAAATGGTGAGTCATAATATAACAATAAAATGGTTTCACAGGGGACAAGGGAATCAACTCAGGGACATATGGTTAAGCTAATAGATTTGTATTTTTTCAATCACACAGATTTTTATAAAGGCCTGTTGGACTCGTTTTCATAAAATCTACATATAATTCATATACCAAACACTCACCATTGAGTGAGTGGATGAACCCGCAGGCTTTGGTACATTTATAAGACTGTGTAACCATCACCACTATACAATTTATTTCCAATATGGATGCCATTTGTTTCATTTATTGCATAATTGTGTTGGCTAGTACTTGTAATACAATATTGAACTCATTTACCTCTGCTGTAATCTTTATTATTCCCTTACTTCTGATTGGTTTAGACACAGTTATCTCTTCTTTTTCTAGTTTTCTAGTTTTTTAAGATGGAAGATAAGTTATTGATTTGTGATCTTACGTCTTTGTAATACAAGCATTTGTAGCTATATATTTCTCTCAACACTACTTTTACTGCATCCTCGGTTTTTTTTTTTAATTCATTTCTAAGAATTTCTTAATTTCTCTTGTGATTTCTTCTCTGTTCCATTGGTTAAGAGAGTATGTTGTCTAATTTTCGGGTATTGTGAAATTCTCCAATTTCTTTTTTTTTTTTCTTTTTCTTTTGAGATGGAGTCTCACTCTGTCGCCCAGGCTGGAGTGCAGTGGCACAATCTTGGCTCACTGCAAGCTCCACCTCCCGGGTTCACGCCATTGTCCTGCCTCAGCCTCCCGAGTAGCTGGGACTACAGGTGCCCGCCACCACGCCCGGCTAATTTTTTTTTTTTTTTTTTTTTTGTATTTTTAGTAGAGACGGGGTTTCACCGTGTTAGCCAGGATGGTCTTGATCTCGTGAGCTCGTGATCCGCCTGCCTCGGCCTCCCAAAGTGCTGGGATTACAGGCGTGAGCTACCGCGCCCGGCCTCCAATTTATTTCTTATTGCTTCTACTTCCTTTCAATTGTGACCTGAAAACATATTTGTATAATATTCCATAGTTTTACTTTTATTTAGACTTGTTTTGTTGATTTATACATGGTCTATATTGCAGAATGTTCCATATGCCCTTGAGAAGAATGTGTATTCTGCTGTTGTTGAGTGGAGTATTCTATAGGTATGTTAGGTCAAGTTGGTTTACAGAGTTGTTCAAGCCTTCTATTTCCTTGCTAATTTTCTGTTTAGTTTGTCTACTCATTATTAAAATTGGGGTATTAAAGTTTCCAACGATTATTGTTGAATTGTCTATTTCTTCTTTCAATTCTGTCAGTTTTTGCTTCATGTATTTTGAATTCTGTTGTTAGGTTTATGTATGTTTATAATTGCTCTATTGCTTGATGAAGTACCCTTTTACCATTTTAAAGTATCTTTTTTTTGTCTCTATTAACATTTTTCATCTTAGACCCTATTTTGTCTGGTATTACTATAGCCACTCCAGGTCTCTTTTGGTTATTCTTTTTATGGTATTGTTTTTTCCATATTTTTGCTCTCAAACTATTTGTATTTTTGAAACTATGTTGTTTACAGAGAGCATATAATTAGGTCATGTGTTTGTTGGCCATTCAGCCATTTGCTGCCTTTTAACTTGAGAGTTTACTTAACTTACATTTAAAATAATTATTAAGATAGGATTTATGTCTGCCTTTTTATTATTTCTTATGCACTACACCTTGTTTTTTATTTCTCAATTCCTCCACTACTGTTTACTTTTTAATTCCCTTGTTTTTTATTTGTTTGTATAGATTTTTGAGTTAGTTTCTTAGTGGTTGCTTGGGGATTATAATTAAAATGTTAATTTATAACCATCTAGTTTGAATTAATACCAGTTTAATTTCAATAGTATACAAAAACTTTGTTCACGTATTTCTGTCCCCCTTTATGTTGTTATTATCACAAATTTCATCTTTATACATATGTATATGTATAAAGCCCATCAACACAGACTTATGATCATTGCTTTAAGCTGTTGTCTTTTAAATCAGGAGAATACAGAGTGATAAGCAAAAAAAAATACATTTATATTGACTTTCATATTTATCTATGTAGTTTTACTGGTACACTTTATTTCTTTATGTAGCTTCAAGTTACTGCCTAGTGTCTTTTTTTTTTTATAGCTGGAAGACCTTCCTGTAGTACTTTTGTAGGGCAAGTTTGTTTTCAAAACAAACTGCTTCGGTTTGTTTTCAAAATAAATTGAAAAATATTTTCAGTTGTTTTTTTTTCTGGGATATCTTAATTTCTCCTTTATTTTTGAATGACAGCTTTTCTGGGTAGAAAATTCTTGGTTGATAATTTTCTTTGCAGTTATTTGAATATGTCTTCCCACTGGCTTCTGGTCTCCCTAGATGTTGATGTAAAAATTTGCTATTAATATTACCGAGAATCACTTGTATGTGATGAGCCACTTCTCCCTTTCTGCTTTTAAGATTCCTTGCTTTAGAGAGTTTAATTATGAGGTGTCTAGCTCTGGGTCTCTTTGAATTTTTCCCATGTGGAGTTTAACTTCTTGAATGTGCCAGTTAATGTTTCTCATCAAATCTGGACATTTTCAGCCATTATTAGTTCAAATAGCCTTTCTGCCACTTTCTCTTTTTCTTCTCCCTCTGGAGTTCCCATTATGTACATGCTGGTATGTGTGATGGTGTCCCACAAGTCTCTGAAGATCTCTTCCTTTTTCTTCATTCTATATCCTCAGACTGCATAATCTCAGACTACCATTTTGTGGAGAAAGCTCTGCACAATCAGTAGTTTTGATTCAGCTTTTAAGTGGAGTCTTCCAGGAAATCATCAAACAAGTCAAATAATGATAAGTCTTTGGGAATAAGACCTTGAAATAAATCCAACTCCATTTTACTTCTTCTGGCATCCGCCAGTATGTGCCAGGAATATTGGCTGTTTTTTTTTTTTTTTTCCAAAGCTACTGCTGAGCTGAGGAATGGGACAAGTTAAAATGCCATAAAGTTTCCTATTCTTACAGAAATCCAGCTGTTTTTTCCTTGAACAAACTTTTTTTGCTGCAGACTTTTATAAGTTTCCAGAGTTCTGAAAAAGTTGACTGTCATAATTTTTTGCCAGGTTTTTCATTGCTTTCATGGAGTTACTAATTTTTAGAGTTCTTACCCTGCCATTTTCACTGCCATTCTCCAGGATTTATTTTCTATCCAAACCTTCTGAGGATCTGTGCATGCTGTTTTTCTGAGATAGGGTCCTGGGATAGTGGAAAAATTCATCTAGCCTGGAGACCTTGTCACAAGTGTATGAAATTACAGAGCACTCTGTGGAGGAAGGTGAGATTACACTCTAAGCAGTTCAGCTCTTGCTAGTGATGGGAAGGAAAAATGAATATTGACTGATTTAAAAGTGAGTAAAAAGTTCACAGAAAGAGAATAAGGTTGTTTAAATGAGAGGAAGGATAAGGCTTAAAATTAGAGATTTAGAAACATCAGGATAAGAAGAAAAAAAGAAATAAAAACAAAGATTTTTATAGAAAACCACATATTAAAATAAACTTTTCTCAGAAACCCAAGATAGAAAGTAGGAAAGGCCACAGAGGACACCTTTTCTCCTACATTCTTTCACATCTTTTGTCAGCCATAAACTTTGGGGTGGCAGAAACACTGCCTTCACAGAAAAGCAAACTCAGTGCTGCTTCTTTTCAGTCTCCTCAGGCCTCCCCTGCCTCCAGGTGTTGCAGTACCAGCCCTTCATCCTAACCCAAATATGAGGTAACCAGGCTTCAACCACCCTCACTGGCCATAGCTACAACTTCAGCTTCTGGTCCCAAGAAAATCCAGGTCCTAGAGCTCTCAATGCCAATAGAGTGTGGGATTAACAGAATTTTAGAGCTCCCTTTGTGGCCCACTTTAGATAAGCCAATCTCATAAAAACTGAGCTAGAATAACTCGTTATTTTCACCTCGTGCTGCCAGACAAGTCTGTTACTAATAATGCTGTGTTTGTTGTCACAAAATATGGCTGCTAATGGTGTGCTTATTGTAACACAACAACTCACAGTTTTGGTGAGTGTAGAAATCATACAGATAACCTGTAAAATGCACATCTTGAGGCCCACCTCTCAGAGATTCCAACTCTGTAGTCTGGTGAGGGGCACAGAAATCTGCAGTTTAAAATGTACCTCACGTGATTCTGACACAAGTGGCCTGTAGGTTGTACTTTGAGAAACACTGCTTTAAGAAGTTGCTACAGTTTTCCCTTTTGTCAGAGAAGTGCTGCAAAGGGATGGGCTGAAGGGAAGAATGCCAATGACTTAGGATTCAAAGAAGCTGAAGGTACCCTCACAAGAGTGGTTCTCAAACTTTAGCCTGTGTCAGAATCACCTGAAGGGCTTACCATAGAACAGATTTCTGGGCACCAACCCTAAAGTTTCTGATTTGCTAGGTCTGTGATAGGGCCTCAAAATGTACATTTTTCACAAGTTTCCAGATGGTGCTAAGGCAGCTGATCCAAGGATCACACTTTGAGAACCACTGGTTTACTTTTAGAAGAGTATAATTACCTTTCCCCAACATGAAGGACATGAGCTTTATGCTTTTTTAACCTCTTCTAACAATTAAATATGGAAGTGGTGAGGGGAAAATATTTAAATAATTTATTTATTATTTAAAATAATATTTATTGAATCTTTACTGTGTTTCCTTCTCTTTTAAGTCTCAAGCATCCCAGCAGGGTATATTCAGAGAAGTTATATAATTTACTCAAGTCTCCCAACTGATAAGAGTTGAATCTGTATTCTCAAATACAAGTTCAAAGAACCTGTTAGTCCCTTTCAAAACTGGAGTCTCATGTAAATCACCCCATTAGCAATGTAAAATAGTAATTGTAAATAACCCATATTTATAAATTACTTGGTGCCCATTTATTAGCTACTTTCAAATTGGGGGACAAACCACCCTACCAGACTGCAAAGGGACTGTGAGCGCTCTATAGGAGTGGAAACTGTCCCTTCTGCCAACAATCTCAGCTGCTCAGAAGTCTTGCTGTGGGGAAAATCCTTTGGTCCAATAGTCAAATGACCTAGAGGTGAATTCTGGCTCAGCTGCTAAATAGGTTAACTTTTGTAGGTTTATTACATCCTTTGAGTCTAAGTTTCCTTCTCTGTGTAATGGAGATACTAGCACCATGCCCAGAGAGCTTAAAATAATCAATATAGAGCATTTAAAATAGGATCATATCTGGTATCATACACCCACTGGGTTTTTTAAATGCTTAACAAATGTCAGCTGAAATTGAATCTCAAGCTGCCCCATGAAGCATTTCTGGGGCTTTCTTGTCTTACTACACATAGTTTTTAGTGTTTGAGTAATACATTTAGGTGTATTTGATTCCACTGAAGTTAGCACATATAATATTCAAGTTTACATACACAAAGTACCTACTAAAATGTCAGGCACACGGCAGGTATGTGCCATCCTTCTTCTTTACATTCTTAATATACAGAATAAAATAATTTCCAAAATTTTTAATGGCGTAATTTAGGGTAACCTTTTCTCACATAAATTTTAAGTTCTTTGAAGGCCAGAACATCATTATATGCCTCATTTTAAATTCCTAATTTCATTTAGTATAATGTTGAACTAATAATATATACTGATTATCAGATTGTTTAACTTTAATATGTAAAGCTTTACAGGAAATACATATGTGTTGGGAGTACATATAGTTGTAAGATGCAAGAAAAAAACATTCTACTAGTCCAAGAATTATGAAACATGTTACTTCACATTGCATATTTATGTAATCAGAAGACCTCTAGAGGAAATGACCATTGGAATAAATTAATATACCCCTGGAAGAGAGGAAGTGCTTAGGGAGTATTTTGTTGATGAAATGAGCTCAAAAGGCCATTAGCATTATGCCTTTAGGTCTCCTCTTACAATATCCTCCATATATCCAGAACACAGTAGACAGAAATCTTCAGTGGATAACGAAACATATAAAAATTGTAAAAATTCAGTTTTGTTTTTATGATTAAAATTCAGTGCTTAGGTTTATATATCAGAAATAAAATCAGGTTGGAATTTGAAAATTTACATATTTCTAAGCTAGAATACTTGTTTAGAACAAAGTATATATTTATCAAGTACAGTTATACTTGATAAATATAAACAGAAAAGTCTTTTTATATATATAAATAATATACATATAACATGTATTTAATAATGTTTGGTTTCCTCAAAGACCTTGAATTGGCTACACCATGCATTGTGCCAAATAAAGAACAACAGTATAATATTAATTAGAGTTAAAGGAATAGTGTTATAATACTGCTAATAAAATTCAATGAGACTTGAAACCAAATATTTTTGAGAATGACAAATTTATATTTGTTTTTACAAATAGATTACAACTTCAAAGATCCAGGCCAGCAACACAAAACTGTAACATATTGGCAAAAGGAATTTAAAATCACAACACCAGTAATTATACATGAAGGCAGGTGACATCACTAAGTACTATCTGCTCAAGGTTCTCTAGCCTTCTATTTTCTTAAGTGACCATGAACCATCTCAGTAAGCAGTTTTTACCAAAACTTAGGTTTTAAAATATACTAAAGGTGGCACTGTTGCCTCATGTTAACCAGAGGCCAAGGTTTCTAAACATTTATAATAGAAATATCCTAAGTTGTACATAGCCATTATTTCAAGCCTTATTCTTTCTTATCATGGGTTATAAAGACATGAATTTTTGAAAAAAACCCCACAAATTACATATTGTATTTTTCATATAAATTAAATGTTGAGTATAAATAAGTGGGGCAACATTGACTTCAGGATGAATATCAAATTTAACTTAGGTCACCAGTGTACTAATAAAAAACAACAACAGAAAACCCTTAACCAATTTCTTCTTGATATAAAATTTTATATTTTAAAAGTAAGCTGGCTGAGCATGGTGGCTCATGCCTGTAATCCCAGCAACTTGGGAAGGCCGAGATGAGTGGATTGCTTGAGGCTAGGAATTTGAGATCAGCCTCACCAAAATGGTTAAACCCCATCTCTACTGAAAATACAAAAATTAGCCAGGCATGGTGGCGCACGTCTGTAATCCCAGCTACTTGGGAGGGTGAGGCACGAGAATCCCTTCAGCCCAGGAGGAGGAGGTTGCAAAAAAACCAAAGTAAGCTAAGTGGATAAATTAAAGACATTAGTAACTGAATTTTTCTATATATGTAATTTTTCTATGTATGGAGTAACTGATGTGTGAAATACATCATGCACTTCAAATCAGAGCAGGTAGATTTTAAGTTGTATATATAATTGATACATAGCAGCTGACATATAGACATGCTTTAATCAAATTGACTAAATATTTATAAACATGACATTAAAGACTTAATTATTCTGAATTTGAAAGCTGCTTGACTTTCAAGAAGATTGCCCAACAAAATATTCTTTCAAACAGAAAATTTTCCTACTTCATTTTAAATACAATTTAATTCTGAATTTCTTTGCTGCTTTTCAGCAACAAACATACTATGTAATCCAAAGTGTAATTTAATTTTAGCAGCTGGTCATTCACACATAAAATTTTCAAATGTGATATCAGGAAAGAAAACGTAATTATTTTCTGAAGACTTATTTTTTCTTTGGAATACATGATAATACCATTTTGTTGAGTGTTCACTCATATTATTAATTTTGTACCATTACCCAATTCTACATATTTACATTATTGTATTTCATGAATTAAACTACTGTGTTCATTTCAGATATTAATGTTTTTATCTAGTTTTCCACTAGAATCTTAATAGTTACCCATTAACAGGGAAAAACAATATGGGTCATATATATCTGACAGACGTCTTTATATTACTTTTGTGTTCACTAAAGTAATATAGATAAAGACATCTCTCAGAGACACTGTAAAGATATGAAGCCAGTACTACTGTATATTATTACTTTTCTCCATTCAAAGCCCTAGATGGAGTTTAATTTCCATTAGATTCTCAGCTGTGCCAGTCACTAGCTGTGTGACTGAGAGCAAGTTTCTTAAACTGTCTGTATCCCAGTTCCCTCATCTGTAAAATGACAATGCTGTAGTAATAACACCTACCTCATAAGTTTATTGGGAAGATTAATTGGGTCAATATATGTAAAGCCCTTCTTGGACATAAATGTTAGCAGTTACTACCAGTACCATCAATATCACCACTACCACCAGTACTATTATGACAATACAACTTGTTAGAGTATCTAAAGAGCTTACATGATATGGTGGAAGATTCTGGGCTTTGGAATAAATCAGACTTATGTTAGAACCTTCACTCTGCTCCTTCGAACCTATGCAAACTTAGGCAAATTATTCATAGCATCTAAGGCTCATTTCTTCATCTGTAAAACTGGGATGGTAATAACTACTTCCCAAAGTTTTTGTGAGAATTAAGAAGAATGCATGAAAACTACTAAGTTGAGTAAGATGGACATAATAGCACTCAATTATAATTAGAGTGATTAAACTTCTAGGTCTCTCCAGAGTTTTTCTTGTTTAAAAATTAAAAAGTACCATATTTTTTCCTGATTAAAATTGTATGTGCTCATTTAAAACTTCCCATTTATATATTTTTCATTAAAACTTGTTTCTAGATATAAAATACAAGTGATAAAGTAAAATTACTAATAATTTCAACATCCAGAACTAATTACTTTAATTGGTATGTACGATCTTTTTTTTTTCTCTATGTATGCCTTTTCTTCTTCTACGCATTTATGTATTTTTGAAGAGAGGTGGTAATTTAGGGTCACTAATGTCTAACGTTATGAAGTCTTAATATTAATAATTATGAATTTCTGTGACCTAAAGTGAGAGGAAACATTTCTGAATCTTTCCTCCCCACCATTTCTGATGTGGAAGGAAATGGGAATGGCCTTGAATAGTGAGCTATGTGCAGATACTCTCCTTGTTGCTCTGTCCCTCATGTTGTGCTCTCTGGCAGGAATCAGTCCCTCTTTAGGCACACGTGATGCCCAGTAAGTGCTCCTGTGAGTGATGTGAGTCCAGCACTGGCTCCTGCGTATAGCCTGAGACACATTCTCCTTCCCGCTACTTCTACTTCCAAAGCAAAGCTTTATTTCTCATGCTTGGTATCCTTCAAGACTTTCTTGTATAATACAAACTATTTTACCCTCACTTCCTCCACACATTTCAAGGTGTCATTTTTTTTTCTAAATATCCCAAATTTACAAAATTTTACATAACACACTCAACATATAAGTACTGAAACCAAATTTCTAGTTATCACAGAAAATATACACAGGTATTTAAATTATGTATATATTGTTTTATATATAATAAATAAATTTAGGCAAATATATTTCATATGATATAAATATAATATATAATATATATTATATAATTACATATTAATATAGGAAAAAACCATAATACAGCCCTCTATCAGAGACACAAATAAAGACGTGAAACCAGTACTACTGTATATTATTATTTTCCCCATTCAAATGCCCTTGATGGAATTTAATTTCCATTAGAATTCCCAGCTGTGCCAGCAACCAGCTGTGTGATATATATATATAATAAATATAATATATATATTTAACTAAATTTAATAGTATTGAGATATTTTTCTTTTGCACCATATTAGACATTAGTTTACTTTAGAGAATTGGGAGAAAGCAATTCTAGTCAATAGCATTGTACTATGTGATGCTATTTTTCCCTGAAAAGCTTAAAATTTTTTCACAAATACCTCTTCATGATTGCACATTTTTATGAATCTCATTTAAACATTATTCAGAAACAGGTTTTCCTTGTGAGCAAGATCTTCAATTGAATTCAGCAAGGTTGCTCTGTAGTTTTCCTTTTATGATTTATGATGAGATTATTTGTTTTCTGTCATATGGATCTGGGTTTATAATTTATAATTGCTATAAACAACAGTAGCATGACTATTTTGAGCTTATTGAGACAGGTATAACACGCTATTATAATACAGAAATCAGAATTATAAAGAGTTACAGGCAACTCATGAAAAAGCCCACACTGTCCAAAACAAAAAGCAAAACAAAACAAATCAGAACTGGCTGTCATTCTCTGATCCATTGAAATTCTTAATCCTCAGAAATGTAATGTAAAATCTACCAGTCCTATAACTTGAAGAACAAAGTGGAAATGAGAATAGCTTTGGTGAACACACAAGCTCATACAAAACTGTGCTGTTTCTTTATTCTTTGATTTCTATAATTGTGAATATTTTATTTGCACTTAAATCTTTAGCATAAAATATTTAATTCCACTGGTATTAGGCATATACTCTATCTACTTCTTTGCAGTAGGGGAACACAAAATTACCACATGATTTGTACCATCCATTATTTCAAACAGGTTTCTGTTAATTGATAGAGAAAAAGAAGACAGAGAATGGTGGGGGCCAGGGGCCAGGGGCGGGGGCACGGTATGAGCTAAGAGATTTTGCTTTGAACCACAGGGGAAGTAGGAATAGGGTAATGGTTACTTTAAGCGAGAACAAAAGTGGCAACCTGACGGGAAAAACATATAGAGAAAGAGAATATGGTAACATGCAAAGAGAAATAAACATAAACAACTGATTTTTTTTTTTCATTTATTTTCCATTAGAACTTGGTGGGTGTGGGTGGTCAACTGCAAAATAATCAAAGGGCTCAAATTCACAGCAGTAGATAATCCATAACACAGGGTTAGGCAACATTAGGTGGGTCCAGGAAACCTTCACAGCTGAAGACCCAGAGAAGGGAACTGGGCCGGAAACACAGCATCCGGGAACAAGCTGCAAGGAAGTGATTGCCAAAGCCAACCGCCTGTGCAACCACAACAAGGGAATCAACAGGCGTATTCGGGCGTATTCGGCTTGAGACGTGGCCTGCAAGGTATTTGCGGCTTTCATATGACATTTACTCACAGAATAATTGTGTTCTCTTCTAGTAGGCAAGAATATGAGATCGAAGCCTTGTCTGCTGTTTCAGACATTCTCAGTGTGCTGGGCTGTTAGGGGTGTTGGCTTTAGGAGGGGAGGTTGAAGTAGAATGGGCAGATGTTTTGGCAAAATTCATATTCCATGACTATCCAGGGAATGTGCGAAAGTGTTTTTATGTATAACACTATGGAGCAGTAGCACAGCCACTCGTTCAAAAAACAAGGTTTGAACACCCCATTGTCTGCTCTGGAGTTATCCACATACCACACACGAACAGCAAAGAGGCGGCGACTCTGTGGCCCCAGTGCTACCACTTTCTCTTCCTGTGTCTACGTGGAATATTGATAAAACATCACAAAACTTTCTCGTTGAGCCTGAACACAGCCTCAGAATCTTGCCCACACAGCAGGCCAGGATGCCATTAGGATTTACACATACCTGAGGTCACTGGTGTGGCATGTTCATGCATTCATTCATTAAACACTTATTGACATCTCCCACTAGTGCTAGAGATGCAATGATGAGACCGAGGAAGAACACATCCCTGCCCAATGAGAGAGGAACCTCAGAAGAGGCCGCACAGTGCGATGCCGTTGGAATTTCGGCAGTGTGATGCGTTGCTATGGAAGCACACTCAATACATTTGAGTGGAAATGGGAACTCTTGGTGTCATACATTTTTATAGCTTTTCTTTGAATTTTAAGACACATACTAGAATCTATACCTTCTAATAAAGTAAGCCTGGCAATAACAGTTTTCTCTTAACTTCTGTACACACAAACCTTTTTAAGCTCTTTCTTGATCAGGTCCAGGCAGATAATAGAAGCAAGCAAACGCCTGAACAGAGTTGTTGGCAATTAATAAATAAGGGTAATAATAATAGGAATAGCTTACATGTATCCTTCCATTTACTCATTCAGCTAATATTGTGGGGTGCTTACTGTTCATATGGGATCTAACTAGGGATAATGCAAGGGACGAAACAGGTGAAAATGGACAAAACTCCTCATTCTTCAGGGGCTTGCATTCTAATAGAGGAATATAAATAATAGATAAAATTTACTGTTTCTTAGAGGACGAAAAGGACTAAGAGTTTACGTCTTATCATAAGCGTGTTGTATGTATACTAAAAATTCTGAATGATGACAAAGCCCACTTCGGTGGTGGCTACCATCAAGTGTTTGAACTCAGGTTAATGGGACCCAGGAAGAAATGGAGGCTTTTACATTTTATGTTATACCCTTTTGTATTGCATGGGTTTATTTTATTTTAAAAATAACATGCATATATTATTTTATGATTAGGCAATCTAGCTTAAATTTGAAAGAGAACATAAATAGAAAATACACATTCTTTCAGATTCAATTATTAGATTGCCCAATGGGATATAAAGCTGTTGGAGATTTCCCTTTGATTCTCTTTTTTGAAAGCAACAAGCTTCCTGGCCAGGAATACTAGAGTAGTTTATATTTTGAAAAAATAAACCAGAGTACTCTTTCACTAGAAAATTATTCTTCTGGAATTGAAGAATTTGTGAAATATTTTAAAAGCTTGTATTTAATGCTATATATTCTCAAAAAATATGGGCAAATATAATTTTATAAATAGAAAAATGTCATACATTTTTGAAATGTTCAAAAGTATAATCAATTAGTAATTTTTATTAACTAGACAAAATGTGCTTACATTACATCTAACTAATCATATTTTTTCCTTATAAAACAGGCAGTAAAAATATTGAAACATATAATCAATTAACACAACAGGAAATGTAACAGGATATAGAGTACAAATTATAATGTGTAATAAAACATCATACAATGATATTTTCATGACTAAATCAATTTATTATTAAATATTTAAATATCAACTTATTCAAATGTAAAGTGCATGTTTAAACATTTAGGGTGACATACCTTTGGTATTACTTTTCTTTAAGTCTTTCAGTGCTTGAACAAATGTCAGCTGGCTTTCAGTGAGAGGCCAACTGTTATACAACACCGAACACTGTATAATATACTTGTAATTCTGTGAAATAAAATGCAGTGTTTAAAAATGATAAGAACATACATGGTATGTGCCTAATGTCATTTATTATGCTAGGTACATGATAAATGCAGAATTTTCCAGATCAGACAGTCATAATTTAGTTAAATCATGCTGGATGTTCTCCAAAACTCTGTAACGCTACACTTTATAAAAGTTTAATAGCCCCACATCCCCACCAACACCTGCCACTACCCAACTTTATAATTTTTGTGAGTGCAGTGGGTATAAAGTGAAATCTCACTGCTATTGTATTTTGCATTTTTAAGATTACTATAAAGTTTGAGTATTTTTTCAAAGCTGTTGGCCTTTAGGGTTTTCTCTTCTTTGTGATCATGACACAGAAAAAAATAGTCTCCTACATTATCTATTATTATATTTAGGGATTAAAATTTTACAATTAAATGTTCACTATATCTGGAATTCACCTTTATGTATGATGTTAGCTAGTGATCTAGTTTTATTTCTCTCCATGGAGATGTAATTTTCCTAGTACAACCTACTCAATAGTCCATCTTTTCTTCATTGGTTTATGGTGTTGCCTCTATTCTATATGAAATTTTCATAAAAATATGGATCTGTTTCTATCTTACTTTCTCTTATTGTTCCATTTACCTATGTATGCATTAATTAATACTATTTTTACTGCTATATCTTTTTGTCTTTGGAAATACTAAGACACACTTTGCTCTTTTTTCCCCAAGTTCCGTTAGCTATTTGTGAATTGCTATTCATTCCTATGAATTTTAAAGTATCTTTAGAAAATTTCAGAAAAATACAGTGGGAATTTTGATTGGGATTGCATTGAATTTAAAGGCAGATTGAGGATAACATATCTTTATACTGTTATGCCATCTTGCTGAAAAGCATGAAATGCTTCTCTATTTATTCAAGTCATCTGTGTCCATCAGTGGATTGGGTTACTTTCTGTAGCCTTTATTCAAGTGTTAAGCTTTTCTATGTGGAAAACTGATATATTTTTGGTTAATTCCTGGGTGTTTTCTGATTTTGTTGCTGCTATTATTAAAGGCATCATATTCTGATGTCTAATGCATAGTGCCGGTGTAGAGGAACACTACTGATTTTTGTTTAAGTTGTAGTAGCAGAACAGCATTGTGATTAAGGGCATGACCTCATGAGCTAGAGCTGTCTGGGTTGAAGTCCTGCTTTAGCACAAACCAGCTGTTTGGCCTTGAGGAAGTCACTTAAGCTTCCTGTCCTCCAGGTTCCTTGACTGTGAAATACAGATAATAAGAATACTTACTTCAAGAGGCTGAGGTGGGTGGGTCACCTGAGGTCAGGGGTTTGAGACCAGCCTGGCCAACATGGTAGAGAACCCCTTTGTCTACTAAAAATACAAAAAATATTAGCCGGGTGTGGGGGCATGTGCCTATAATCCCAGCTACTCCAGAGGCTGAGACGAGAGAATCACTTGAACCCCGTAGGTGGAGATTGCAGTGAGCTGAGATCACGCCATTGCCTGGACAATGGAGTGAGACTCTGTCTCAAAAAAGAAAAAGAAAAAAGTTGATGGGGAGAATTCAAGATCTATGTGTGAAGCACATAGTATCAGGTGCATAGTAAGTAATAAGTAAGTCAATATATTAGTTATTACTATTAATGTCTTTGGCAATCTTGCCAAAATCTCTTAGTTCTAAAGTTTGTTTATTCTGTTGTTTTTTCTTGGGCATATGATTATATTATCTGTGAGTAATTCAATGATTATTTAGAATAATCTTTTAATTATTTTGTTCTTTGTATCATTGTGGCTTTCCATTATCATAATAGTTCAGTATCATTAAATACTAACAATTATAGCAAGCATTCTTTTCTTATTCCAATTTTAATAGGAACACACTTACACTTCCCACATTAGTATAATGGTTTTGTATATGAGATTTGGCCATTAAGTGTAAAATTTTTGGCATGTAACATTTATGATGAAGAAGTTCTCTCCTATGCCTAGTTTGCTAAGAGCACATTTTAGAAATCCATAAATAGGTGTTAAACTTTGTCAAATGTTTCAGGATTATATGATTGTTCTCATCTAGTGTATTACTGTAGTGACTAATACTGATAGATTTTCCAATGGTAAAAGATTTCTGAATTTCTGAGAAGAATTCTGTCTGATTGCTTAATACACTGCTAGAATTGGATATCTATTATGTTATTTGCAATTTATCACCTATGTTTATAAATACATTTTATTCCTTTTTGTGTTACCTTTATCTGGTTTTGAAATCAGGATTACATTAATTTCTTAAAAAGGATTGAAAAGTTATATTGTTTGTTTTCCGTAAGAAATTACTTTTTAAAAGTCTATTGGACCTATCCTATAAAGCCAAAAGGGGGCCTATGGTTTTTTGGAAAGGGAAGACTTAGAGGACTTTGAATTATCGTTTCAATTTTATTATTCTTTACTGTTTTATTCAGATTTTCTATTTTCTTGTGAATCAACTCTGCGATTTCTCCTCTCCCCCACCCTCAGGAAGTTATGTGTTTCCCCCTCACCCCCAGGTTTAATTTAGTTTAATTTAATTTAATTTAATTTAATTTAATTTAATTTAATTTTACTGAGACAGAGCCTCGCTCTGTCGCCCAGCCTGGAATGCAGTGGTACAATCTCGGCTCGCTGTAACCTCCGCCTCCCAGGTTCAAGCGGTTCTCATGCCTCAGCCTCTGAAGTAGCTGGGATTACAGACACCTGCCACCATGCCTGGCTAATTTTTTGTATTTTTAATAAAGAAAGGGTTTCTCTACCATGTTGGCCAGGCTGGTCTCGAACTCCTAGTCTCAAGTGATCTACCAGCCTCAGCCTCCCAAAGTGCTGGAATTATAGGGGTGAGCCACTGCGCTCACCGCCCCCCTCACCCCTACCACCCTGTAGGTTTTAAATTTGCTGGCACAGAGCTGTTTCTAATACTCTTATTTTTTTAACCCATTGTCTGTTGTTACACCTCCACCCTAATTTTTTGTTCTGTATTTGGTTAATTTATATCTTCTTTTTCTCTTTTTCTTAGTTGGTCTTACTAGAAGTACGTGTATTTTATTAATCTTTAAAAGTACCCTGGGTTTTATTAATCTTTATTTTTTATTCCACATTTCATTGATTTCTGCTCTCATCATTATTAAAATCCTTTCTTTTATCTTTGAGTTACTTTTCTGTTCTTTTTTTGAATTTTTATTTCAATAGCTTAGCTCATTTGTTTTTAATCATCCCTGCTTCCTAATGAATTAATCTAGAAGCTGCATTGTATTTTTACTACTAAAAATAGTAGTAGTAAACAAATGCTATTTTAGATGTTGTTTACAAATTTGGATTGTTATTGAATCTTATGTATTTCATAATTTATTTTCTAATATTCTTTTAAACTAAAGAATTATTTAGTATATTTAATATATTTTATTTAGTTTTATTATTTATAGGATTTAAAACTCCTTGTTAATTATTAGTTTCTATTTTATTGCATTAAGTTCAGATAACATACTATATGATAGGGATAGTTTGGATTTTATTGAGGCTTCCATTTATTGTCTATTACATGATATTTTAAAAAAATCTCATGTGTGCCAAAAAAGTATATTCTCTGTTTATTGGGTAAAGTGTTCCATATAGATATCTAAATGATTAAGCTTATATTTAGATTTTTTTTTCAAATTCTCACAATTCTATTTACTTAGTTTTTCAGCTTGAACTGTCAGTTTCCACGAGGCATGGGTTAAAAATCTTCAATTATTCATGATTTACTTATCTTTTTATCTCTGTAGTTCTAATAGTTATTGCTTTTTATTTATTGTGTCTAGATAATTAGGTGCCTATATGTTAGTTATGGCCATGTCTACTTGATTTATTCTACCTTTTATTTTTATATAATGTTTCTATATGTATTAAAACTATCATCAGGCCAGGCACGGTGGCTCGCACCTGTAATCCCAGCTCTTTGGGAGGCCACGGCAGGTGGATCATGAGGTCAGGCATTCAAGACCAGCCTGGCCAACATGGTGAAACCCTGTCTCTACTAAAAATACAGAAAATTAGTCAGGTGTGGTGGCAGGCACCTGAAATCCCAGTTACTCAGGAGGCTGAGGCAGGAGAATCGCTTGAACCCAGGAGGCAGAGGTTGCAGTGAGCCGAGATCACGCCATTGCACTCCAGCCTGGGCAACAGTGCAAAACTCCATCTCAAAAAACAAACAAACAAACAAAACACTATCATCACAGCTCTCTCTTGGTTCATATTTGCCAGGTATGTTTTTCTAACATTCTATCATGAAACTTTCTACAGCAGTTTGTTTAAAATAGTTAGATCTTATTTTTATATAACTTTAAAATTTTAGCATTTTAGTTGATTAATTTGATCTATTTGGATTTATTGTAATTTCTGTGATATTAACATTTATTTCTGGCATTTTCTTTTCTATTCCTTTAATTTAATTTAAACTTATTTTACTTTTTGGTTTCCAATGGCTAGGTCATACCTTTGTCTGCTGTTTTATAAATATGTACATTATCTTTTTTCCCTTTAATTGTAAGCACATACAAATTAAGTTTTATTAATATATGACCTTTAATATGTGACATTTATTAATATGTGACCCACAAAGTTATATAGCTTCTTATAACCCAACTATAAAATTAGATAATTACAGGTACATTATAGAGTTCATGTACATATTAAATTTGCCAAGATGTATTCATGTACATATTAAATACATCTCTGTGCCAAGATGTATTTAAAGATCTTGGCACAGAGAAACTGTTCAAGACTCTCTTATTCTCCAATTCTGGCTATACATTGGCAGCACTGCACACTGTATATTGACTATTTTTAGGGAAATGATTGTTTTGTTTTATGTTAGGGTTTTAGGAACAGTCCAATTGAACAATTGTTTTTAATATACCTGCAGTGGTGTGCTGGAACTGTCTTCTCTAGTGGGTGTACTGGTAGTTTCCTCCTCCACAAGGGGTAGACCAATGTCTTGTATTGCACTTACAGCTCTACCCTTGGGGGATTTCTGAATTCCCTGAGCAGCTTTCTTCTTAACATACACTTCTTGCTCTTTCTTGGATGCAGAGTGAAATGAAAGAATGTGCTTGCTAGCTGAATAGGAGAAATACTAAGTTAAAGTTAAAATATGTGATATACATAGTTATTACTGACTAAATCAGTTACATTCCTTTATAAAACACTCAAAGGAATAGGTCAATTCTTTTGTTTTAGTGAGATAAAAAACAGTGTTTTTGGTTTATTGTTCTTAAGGAAATCTATTATAATAGTATGTGACATGCACAGAGCAATGTATATTCTGAGTAACCACTTATTTCTAAAAGTATATACAACAGTTCAACAATTTCTCATTTATTTTGTGCCACTTGAATGACCCTAAGCTAACGCCAGACACTGATTTTCTGTGTTTAATGCCACATATGTATGTTATCACACTTATAAAAGACTTTCTCTTTAATTTTCAATTTTTAATTATTTTCTAATTAACAGATCATATAAGTACTGCTGATAGGTTTAAAAATGGAAATGTGGTGAAGAATTTTTATTTTCAATTATTTTCTAATTAACAGATCATATAAGTACTGCTGATAGGTTTAAAAATGGAAATATGTTGAATGTTATTAATTAATTCATCAAACATGTATTGAAAAAACATAAGTGACTGACACAGGGATATTCTAATTCCAGCCATGACATTGGGCTTATTCTCGTACCACAAAAAATGATAAAAATGGACAAAACGTATAAAGCAACTATTTTTAGCCACCGGAAAATATACAGCCCAGGATTGTGATCCTTGAGACAAGGGAAACATACAAAGTGACCTCTTGATTTCCAGAGATTTCTGCCTGCAAGCACCTTCCCAACTGTATACAGGGAAGTACAGCCCAAAGTAGTGAACAGCAGTGCTGCTAGGTTTAGGAAACAAAGATGGGTGAGTGGGGCTCCTGCAACAAGTAAAATTTGAGGTAGGATACCAGAAGGGAGTATATGAGCAGTTAAGGAGCTCAGAAATAGACATGGTGTCCACTTGAGTCTTTAGCTGAATTCTAAACTTCATTTGTGCAAACACTCAACAATACCAGGCAGACAATAACTACTGGGGGGCTGTGAGCTTAATGAAGATTCTGGTAGTTCCACAGTGTTGAGAGACATTGAAATTCTGACTTGTCAAAATGAAGGGAATTCAGTGAATATGCAGAGCATTCAGTTGAGACCCAAGAAAGGCCAAGCTTTAAGAGTAGAGCTACCCTAACACTAGAGTCATGGCAACTCTAGAACTGACTTACTAAGCTCAGGACCAGGATCAAGCTGCCAATAAATTAACTGCCCGCCAGAACAAGATTCAACACTCTTTCAATTAAAAGAGCATAATCTAGACTCTTAGCAGTGTAGCACGCACAATATACAGCACACAATCAATTTGATAGATGAAGAAGCAGAAAATGTGACCATAACTTGAGAAAATAGTCAATAGAAATAGATATGAAGCTGATAAAAATGTTGGACTCATCAAACAAGGACTTTAAAATAGCTATTTAAAATGTGCTTAAGGATTTATGGAAAAAGATGAACATACTGAGTGAACAAATGGTGAGTATCACAGAAAAATGAAATATATGAAGAATCAAAATGAAATTCCAGATCTGACTATATCTGAAATAAAAAATATCTGGATAGACTTGAACAACATTTTGTCAAATTCAGAAGAAAAGATTAGTAAACTTGAATACAAGCAATAGAAATGATTGAAATAGAACCACAGAGTGAAAAAACTTCAAAAGAGGATAAGTGATTCATGGTACGATATTGTGGGAAGTGAAATAGTGACCCCCCCAAAAAAATATGTCCACCCAATAACTTAGAATGTGACCTTATTTGACATAAGGGTGTTTGCAGTTCTAATTAAGAAAAAGATCCTAAGAAGACATCAACCTGGATTAGGATGAGCCCTAAATCCAATGATGGGTGTCCTTAAAGGTGACAGAAAAATGGTAAAACATGGAGACATACAAATAAGAGGGTCATGTGAAGATGTTGGCAGAGATAGGCAGAGTTAAGTTGTCTCAAGACAAGGAATACCAGGATCCACCAAAAACTAGAAGAAAGGAGGAAGGATTCTCTCCTAGAGCTTTCAGTGGCAGTATGACCTAGACAATATGTTGATTTCAGACTTCTGCCTTCCAGAACTGTAAGGGAATGAATGTTCATTTTATTAAGCCATCCACTTTATGTAGTTTGCCGTAGCAGTCCTGGAGAATGAATAAAGATATCAAATTGCATAGAGTATGTATTTTTAGTCCTAGGTAGAGCACCACTAAAAATAAAATACTTAAATATGAAAATAGTAAAGTATATGCACCATCTGCTGACTCACAATATAAATGTTGCTGACAGAAATTGAAGATAAAATTGAGGGATGTACTGTGTTCATGGACCAGAAAGCTCAGTTTTGTTAAGAAGTTAGTGCTCCCCAAGTTCAGTGCAATCCAAATCCAATTAAAATCTACAATTTTGAAGAAAAGGCAGTGTTGGAGGAAGAGTAGTTATTTAGATCAACTGATCCAGAGTCCAAAAGTAGACCTATACACACATGGTTAAGTGACTTTTGACTAAAATGTCAAGGTAATTCAATGGAGAAAATATCATCTTTCCAATACGCAGTGCCAGAAAAACTGTATATCTACATGGGAATAAAGATAATTTTGACTGCCTACCTTAAACCATACATAAATATTATTTCAAGATGCATCATTGAAATAAACATGCATGCTAAGATTATAAAACTTTTAGAATAAAACATGAAAGAAAATATTCATGATCCTAGATTAGGTAAATATTTCTTAGATAAAATACAAATAGCACTAATTTTTTTAACAACTCCAATTTTATAAAAATTAAAAGCTTTTGCTCTTCTAAAGTTGCTGTTAAGGAAGTGAAAAGACAAACTTAGACTAAAAGATCATATTGGCAAAGCATACATTTGATGAAGAACTTGTATCCAGAAGATACAGAATATATGAAGAACAGGTTAATAATAATAAAGACAACTCATTAAAAATGTGGGTGTAATGTGTGAATAAATCCTTCAATCAATAAGTTATACACATGTTCAGTAAGCACACATAAGATGCTCAACATCATTAGTCATAAGGGAAATGCAAATTAAACTACAAAGAAGTAGTACAATATATAAGCTAGAATGATGGATTAAAAACATTGACAGCAATAAATGTAAGAAAAAATGTGAGAAACCAGAACATTTATACCTTGTCGGGAATGTAAAATGATACAATCCATTTGATAAACTGTTTACCATCTTAAAATAAATGTATACATATGTCAAACACTGACATACTAATTCAACTCCTGAATATTGATCCAAGTGAAATGAAAACATAAGTCCAAAAAAGGATTTGTACAAGCATGTCCTTATCAGCTTGAGTCACCATATCAAAAAACTCCAATAAACCCATATGTCCAATAGGAGAATGGGTAGACAAAGTGTGGTATCTCCATACAATGGAATTAATACTCAGAAACATAGATAGAAATAGAATAGTGTTATATGCAATAACATGGATATAACTTAAAAACATTATGCTGAGCAAAAGAAGCCGGTGTCAAAAGATAAATACTATATGGTTCCAATTTTATGAAGTTCTAGAACAGGCAAAGCTAGTCTATTGTGATGGAAATGTGAACAGTGATTGCCTCTTTGAGGGTGAGGAAATTGAATGAAAATGGCCTGAAGTATCTTCTGGGTAACAGAAATATTTGATACCTTGTTAGGGGTGTGGGTCATACTAAAGTATGTACTTATCAAAACATTGATTTATACTTTTTGCTGTATATAAATTATACTTTAATAAAAAATTAAAAATGTATAACACAAAGGCCCTGTCCTTTACTTCCTTCCATCCATTAGTCATTAATTCATAACTCATTATTTTTACAAAAACATTAGAAACACATAGGTAAAAGGGCAAATTTCCCTAATGTATGAGACTCTACAAATCAGCTAGAAAAGAATAGCTAACTTTAATTAAAAAATGGGAAAGCACTTAAAATTTTGCAAAGAAGGTAATACAAAAAGAGGAAATATAACACATAAAAATTTGTTCAAACCTCACTAAAGACAAATGAAACATAAATTAATATTTGTAGCATTCAGATAACAAAAGTCAAGAAATATAACTCTGTCAATCAGGGGAGCATGGATAAAGGAGGATAAATTTACTCAAACTCCAGTAGAGGGCAACTGGACAATGTATAAGAAAATAACAATGCATGCACCCATTCATTGACCTAGTAGTTCTACTTCTAAACATTTATTTCATATATATGCATGTACACATTCAGAAAATTAGATACACAGGTTATTTGTTAAAATTCATCCTTGAATTTTAAAGATTGCGCATATCACAGATCACTCTCTGTAGGAGCCTAATATAACCATATGAAATAAAATATTGTATTATTCCTAGCCTATAGGGCTTCCTCATACTCAGTTATCTAGAATGTAAATTTTATGGAAAATTATAAATTTCCCAAATTACAAATTTTAAAATTAGAAATTTTACAAAATATTCAATATTACAAGTTTTAAATTGACCTTATACCATAAGTATTAGTATAAGATTTTATTCTTTAAAAATTATAAGATATACAGATATTCTGTAAATTCCTATGATATGATACAGAACAGATATAAAGAAGTCTGTATATAAGATCTGTGACTGGCTCATTTTGAACTTCTGCATCCTTGCAATGAAGTTTTATCTTTCCTTTAGCATGTGGTAAGAGTGTTTGTGTACAGAATACCTATCAAGGTAGTGTGTACCTTGATATCCTGTAAAGACACACACACAGATTTTTTGCAACTATTAGTATTTATGTGGGGGTACTCCAGAAATACATACCGTAAAGGATATGTAAATAGATTTGTTTCCAAGAGAAGCCACGGAAAAGTGTTTATTTTTAAATTCAGTGTCTTTTATATCACACATAGACACAAATTAATAGCATCAATTTAAAAACAACACCCTGTTTGAAGTCTAAATGAAGAAATTATCTAATGTACAATAATAGTTCTATCATATGGAGAAATCTTTTAATCTTTTCTGTGAAAAATAAAAGAGGTCATGAATAAATGGAAATAGCCTTTCCTTGCATGCAAATTCGATATTGTAACAATGTCAGTTTCCTTAAATTATAGTATCTATATATTCAAGGCAGTCAGAAGAAAAACAGTGATTTCTGTGTGTTTTGAGAAAACTTGAAAAACTGTATTAAAGTTCATCTGGAAATACTAATGGTAAAATAGAAATATCATGTAAAATAAGAGCCATTATAGATGTTGGCTCTACTTTTGGATCAATTTCTGATCTCTGACCCAGTTACTCTTCCACTCAATTTTTCTGTATCTTTCTTGGCCAGAAGTAAACCTATAAAAATTGGTTTTAAATACTTATGTATACTTCTCTTATAAATGGTACATTTTCAATGAAATAATGATTAAACTAGATGACAAACTATAAACAGTGTTACCTGCAAGAATTTGAAACTAAAAATTGCAGAGAAAATTGGTGGTGGTAATTAGCTAATTAAAGAAAAGCATGAGGTCATAAATAGCACAGGAGAGCTGCACAAAAGTGCCCACTAAGATTTTGGAATTGAGTTCCCTCTGTGAACTAAACTATAATACCGGTGTAAAATGTATCAAAATAAAGAAAACAGCCATTTTAAAGAGTTAAAAACAGCATTCTGACTGACAAAACATGTCTGATAAATGGTCTTAACATATCTAAAGAAAAAACTAGAAATGGAGTTGGGCAAGTTTGAATGAGAAACCACAAAGGAGTAATGCAGCCTAAGTGCTGAAAACAACCCAGGAGATATTCAGGGGTGAAGGACAAGTGATGGAAGAAAGAAGACATGCTCAAAAGAACTGAAAGTACTACAGCTTTGCCCAAGCTCAACCCTACTAATATAGTACATGCATATCCCACTTCCCTGTGACTTAAACACTGCACTTGTGCCCTAATTATATCATCCCAGTGTGGTATTTCTTCAATTCTCCTCAAAGTCTTATTCACACTGGAAAGGCATATCCCTGGGTTATGATAACAATTCACACGTTATTTCCAAGGTTAATAGGACAGGATGAAGACAGCCTTCCTGTAAGGGCTTCTATTTTTCTTTCCAAATAAAAAGCACTCTAAGGATTCTTATTTATTTAAAATTATTTAAAACATTAAAATTTAAATTTAAAGTAAAAAATTTAAATTTTAAAAGTTTTAAATTTAAATAATTTAAAATTATTCTAAGGATCAGAACAGAAGGATCCTTACTTCTTTGTGCATCTTACTGTCCAAGTAAGCTTCAATTTACTATTCATGGAAGGCTGGAGTTAAACTCCCTGCTAAGACCATTGGGGTATTGTACAGTAACTAGTAATTAAAAGAATGACAGGAACAAAAGACTTTTCTACAAATGGATATCATATAATATACAATTTTTAAAAGAGAGATAGAGTATGTTCAAAGATCCATGCAGAATTAAACAGTCAAGGAACAGAGATAAATTCAATCTATATAAGCATTTAATAAATATATTATTAACATATTTGTTCACTATACATATTAATTAGAATGTGTAAAAAATTCCCAATAAAATAATTGTAAACCAAATCTACTACTATTAACAAAAACCACCACAATCAACTAGGGTTTATTCTAAAATAGCAAATATCATTGAATATTGAAAATATTTATATAATTTATGATAACTATAAATCAAATGGGGAAATATAAATCGTAAAAAACACTTGGTAAAAGTAAATATGTTTTATAAATTAAATTTTGTAAATGATGCAACATATAATACAAAGAGTTTTCTTTAACAAATTCCCTCAATCATATTTGTTGATGAATTATGGGTAAATCATTACAGGCATTCAAAATAAATCTAGGAACAGTGGCTCACACCTGTAATCCCAGCCCTTGGGGAAGCTGATGCAGGTGGATCACTTGAGGTCAGGAGTTTGAGACCAGCATGGCCAACATAATGAAATCCTGTCTCTACTAAAATACAAAAATTAGCCGGGTGTGGTGTCACGCACCTGTAATCCCAGCTACTTGGGAGGCTAAGGCACGAGAATCACTTGAATCCAGGAGGTGGAGGTTGCAGTGATCTGAGATCACTACAGCCTGGGTGACAGAGTGAGACTCCATCTCAAAAAAAAAAAATTTAGGAACAAAATGATGATGAACATGTTGATGTCGAGTGGGTAGTACTATTTATTGGGGCATTTAGAAGGGAAATATATTGGTACAGTGGGAGGATGGAAATTATGTTTAGCGAGCACAATTACACTGAGTTATGCAATAAAATCAGAAGAAACTTGAAAGTCAGACTAGAAATATGGAAAGAATGAAATAGGGAGAAACTAATCAGAGGTATGTATATGTAATATTTTACATTCTATAAATCATAATAATGAGATAAATGAAAAACACAGAGAGATTTCAAATAAGCAGTGTTAAAATCTTGATTAAGGTCACAGCCTGAACTGTACTCCTTGTCTCCCTGGAAATGGGATTCTTACCCGACGTTAGTGATCAAAACCAAAAACTGATTTAGGAAACAATACTCAGAAGTAGAGCCACACGTGGCAAGGTCTATCTTGCAGAAAGCTCTGGGGAGAATGGTAGGAAGGATTTGTATTATAGACTGAGTGCCTCCAGTCAAGTTAGTGTAAATAATAAATCCTTCAGTGGTACCCTTCATCCCACTAGCTAGGAGCAGTTCCTGGATAGAACACTGGACTGGGAAAAGACAGAGACTCAAACTACTGAAGCCTGTGTAAGATGATGGGATATCAAACAATTTGCAGTGATCTGTTGCTCAGCTTATACTCCCTAATTTGCCTGTAGTTGTTAAAGAGAGAGGGACAGGGAGTCAAAAGTCAGTGTCACCACTGGAATCTGTATTGCTCTGGAATGCCCACCTATATAACTAAAACAAAACAAAACAAACAAAAAAATACAGATATTAGGTAGAAAAGGGATATAAAGATTTTTACATATAGAAAAATAACAGTTATTTCTAGTAATTTGCTTGTAGGTTTAATCAAAATAAACACTATTGGGGAAAAGGTTCAGGAAGGGTGCTGATTATGAAATAGCTTTGCAAAGGTCAACTAGAAGATGTAATCAATTAAGAAATATAATGTGATGGAATAATTCAAAAACATACACATCAAAATTAATGCAAATGGACTGCATTCCCCCATTTTAGAGACAAGAATCTTGCATTTTATATTAGTCTGTCCTCACACTGCTAAAAATAACTGCCCGACTAGATAATTTATAAAGGAAAGAGGTTTAATTAACACACAGTTCCGCATGGCTGAAGAGACCTGAGGGATCTTACAATCATGGTAGATGAGGAAGGGGAAGCAAACACATCCTTTTTCATATGGTGACAGGAGAGAGAAGTGCAGAGTGAAGGGGGAGAAAACCCCTTATAAAACCATCAGATTTTGCGAGAACTCACTTACTATCCCGAAAATAGCATGGGGGAATAGCATCCCATGGTCTAATCACCTCCCACGAGGTCCCTCTCCCAACATGTGGAGATTACAATTTGGATTATAAATCAAGATGAGATTTGGGTGGGGCACAAAGCCAGTCCATATATCATTGTGTAGAAAAAATATCCATTTACAGGAGAAAGACTCACAGCAAAAACATGTAGAGGATGGAAAACTAAACAGATGAACAGTATCAACAGGCAAATAATAGCAAAAGGAAGAATAACAAAAGGAAGAATCAGTGATAAGAAATCCTGTTAAAGTTAAGAGAAGGTTGTTTTATGTTTATTTTAAAAATATAATACATGAAAAATATAAAGCAAATATGAAACTTACATAACTAGCAACATAGCATATACATATGTAAAACTAAACATATTAGAGTTAGAGATGTTATCACACATTTAAAAATAAAAATAGGTGATCTTAATACACATCACTAAGAAATTTTCACACCAGTTAAAGTATAAATGACAACCTTGACATTTTAAATATCATAATTAGCAAGTTTGACTTTTATGAAAGTGTATGTGTGCATTTAGACATCAAACTACCTCCAAAATAGAATTCTTTTTAAACCTCAGTGGGACAGTAATCAAACTTGATTTGAATCAGGAAACTGGAAAAACACCAGTCAAATCCTCAAAGTAGAAAATATATCTACACTTTCTAACTCCACAGAATTCAATTAGAAATTAACAGAAATAGGCTAAATAAAGCAATTTTATTATTTAGAAATTCTAAAAATGTTATAAATGCTAAGGTTAAAGAAAAAGTAAAAAATAAATCATAGCCCATGGCTAACATAACACTACATAAAAATTTTATAGCATTCTAAGTTATAAAATATAATAAAACATATGTAGCCAGTTAGAAAAATGTATAGCATTAAGTATATCCATTTAAAAACAAGATTTAAAACATGAAATAAAATTGCAACTGGCAAAGCTAGAAGAAAAAGCATTTGACTAAATTTTAAAAGTAGAGAAATGGTTTTAAAAGATAAATATAAATATTGACAAAGTAGATTATAAATCTAAAAGAGCCATTCGGGTTTGAATAATAAATCCAATTCTTTCTAAGAAAAGACCAATAATACAGAGTAAATTCAAAAAAGTCTGATTAGGAATAAATTAAAAATAAATAAAAAAGAATACATTATATTTATACAAACCCATTGAGAAGATATTTAAAAATTTAAAAAATCCTTTATGCAAATTTATGCAGATACATTGGAAATACTAAATGAATCTGTACTTTTCACTAAAAATATATTCTATAAAAATGAAAGGCAGTTAAAAAATAACCTTGGAAATTATTTTCTTATATAGTGAAAAAACAAATGAATGTCTCTCCCCTAAAAACATCAGATTTAGAAAGTTTTGAGGACAAATATAATAAATTTTTTAAAAAGAAATGAATCCTGGAGAATTTAAAAGTCTCAAAAATAGAAAAACTACAAAGTTCTCAAATTAATTTCAAGTATTCATTATAATTTTAGCTTAAGAACTAGAAAAGAATAATTGTACGGGTGCACATAGAGAAAAAAACTCATAGAGATACAAAGTTATGATTATGATCCAACAAACTGAGTAAAATTATATATTCTAAACATAGGAGTATGTTAAAACATCATGGCCAAATAGGTTTCATTCTAAGAATGCAAGAGTGATTCAAAATTAAAACTAAACTTATTAAACTCAAAGGAGTAAAATTTGATGATTTCTATAAACAACAACAACAAATAACTAATAATGTTCCAAACCCATTCAATATTAGAATTCACAGCTATCAATAGAAGGAACTTTCTCAAGTTTCATAAAGTCTAATTATTAGAAGCCACCAAAAAAGATAATTAATGATAAATGTCCCAAGTTTTCCTCCTTAAGAAAAGGAAATACGTCATCATCAGTTATTTAACCTTGGTTTGGAGGTCCCAGCCAAGGCCACAAAAAATAAATAAAGTTATTATTTTAAGAAAGAAGAAATATCAATGGGCAAAATAGGTAAGAACTCAGTTTTGCTTAAAATCTAAGTGCAAAAACGGAGAATGAAGGCATAAAAGCCAAAATATTTAGTGTGTTTTGGCAAAAAAGCTAAAATATTAACTTTTTTTCTGAGTAGCACGATTATAAGGCATTTCTTGTTCCCTTGTTTGTAATTTTCTATTTTTCCAAATATGCTACATTGGTAATGTGTGATTTTTACAGTCAGAATCAAGTTACTAACATAACTACGTAATACACCTCAGAGTAGCACTGCTAACCATTATTTCCAAAATTATTTTATTTATTTAATAACTCATTGAGAATAATATATTGCAAGTAGTAACTTTAGTTTTTGTTAATTTTAGTAAGTACAATATTTTCTGAAAATAATGAATTACGAATTTAAAAAAGTAAAAATATTCTTTCAAAATAATAAAAATTTGACTTCTTATTAAGAAGGCTCATATAATAGGAAAGTAAATTTTTCTCCAAGATGAAAAGGCTTTAAAATAAACCTATAATGATTTTCGGAGCCTAATTTGACATGCAAATGCTATACTTGTAATATTTTACTGTACTATGAAGTTTCATAATTTAAGTGGTTACTTGCTACTTTATTTTCATTTTTAAAGTGTCATGAAAACATAAATATCCATTTATGAATCTAACTATCCTGTTCATAAAGGTACACTTACACTGGGAGCTCAAACCTTTCTCACTCTTCAAGAAGTGAAATGCTGGGATTATAGCTTGGCCTTTTCCAGTGGAGCTCACCATAGTTTCTTCATTTTCTAGGACCTGCAGCTTGATGAATGCATCTGGTTTGGATGTGCGTACCTGTATTGTAGCAGGTTGTGGTGTTAGAACTTTAACCGAATACCTGTAAAGAAAAAAAGTTAACATTATAAGCAAGTATGTTGGTCTTTCTCTCAAGTCAGTAAGTGAGATAGTTTGGATATATGTCCCTGCCCAAATCTGCTGTCAAACTGTGACCCTCACTGTTTGAGGTGGGGCCTGGTGAGAGGTAATTGGATCTTGGGGACAGGTTTCTCACGAATAGTTTAGCACCATCTACTTGGTGCCATTCACATGACAGTGAGTGAGTTGTCATGAGATCTGGTTGTTTAAACATGTGTCCCCCTCCCCCTTTCTCTCTCTCTTACTCCTGCTCTGGCCATGTGATGTACCTGCTCCCCATTCCTCTTCTGCCATGATTGGAAGCTTCCTGAGGCCTCCCTAGACACTGAGCAGATGCCAGCATTATGCTTCCTGTACAGCCTGCAGAACCATGAGCCAATTAAACCTCTTTTCTTCAGAAATTACCCAGTCTCAGGTATTTCTTTATAGCAATGCAAGAACAGACTAAGACAGTAAGGAAAACTGTCTAATTTTCTGATATGATAACCTAAAAGTAAAACTACTTTTTAAAGTTCACTAACATCCTGAAAATACTGGAGTTATTAGAGACTTTGGCAAAGGATCCCAATATAGTACTGTAAAACAAAAGGAAATAGAACTTTTATTATCATCAAATCCTAGATATAAAAAATATAACTTTTTGTTTAGATGTAATAAGCAGTCACTTATAAAACTTGATAGCCCTACAAAGGATATAAACAGACGCTTCTCAAAAAATGACATACATGTGGCCAACAAACACATAAAAGATAGCTCAACATCACTGATCATTAGAGAAATGTGAATCAAAACCACAATGAGATACCATCTCATGCCAGTCAGAATGATGATTATTAAGGTCAGGAAACGATAGATGCTGGTGAGGTTGCAGAGAAATGGAAACTCTTTTACACCGTTGGTGAGAATGTAAATTAGTTCAATCATTGTGGAAGACAGTGTGGTGATCCTCAAAGATTTAGAACCAGAAATACCATTTGACCCAGCAATCCCATTACTGGGTATATACCCAGAGAAACATAAATCATTCTATTATAAAGATACATGCATGCATATGTTCACCGCAGCACTATTCACAACAGCAAAGACATGGAATTAACCCAAACACACATCAATGATAGACTGGATAAAGAAAATATGGTACATATGCACCATGGAATACTATGCAGCCATAAAAAGGAATGAGATCATGTCCTTTGCAGGCACATAGACGAAGCTGGAAGCCATTATCCTCAGCAAACTAATGCAGGAGCAGAAAACCAAACACTGCATATTCTCACTTATAAGTGGGAGCTGAACAATGAGAACACATGGACACAGGGAGGGGAACAACACTTACTCTAGGGCATGTTGCGGGAGGGTGGGGGGTGGGAGAGCAACAGGTAAAAGAGCTAATGCATGCTGAGCTTAATACCTAGGTAATGGGTTTGATAGGTGCAGCAAACCACCATGGCACATGTTTACCTATGTAACAAACCTGCACATCTTGCACAGGTACACCAGAACTTAATAAAAATAAATAAACAAATATAAAACTTGATAGCCCTAAAAGCCACCAAACCTCTTAATAGATCTGCAAACTACTGCCACGTCAACCCTCTCTATTACACAAAAAGCACTCCTGGCAGAAGCCTTTGGAGCTTCACTGATAATAGCATTTTCTGTGAATCACAAAAATACAGAGAAATTAGCTTCCACCTTCACCCCTCACCAATAGTTTGGAAACCTCTTGCAAAAAGACTGGAAACATGCAGTCTAATCCATTCTTTCCCGCTCCCCTTTTAATGCAATTAAAGAGTTGGCTTTTTGTTCTTATTTTAGGTGATTCCTCACAAATGCTTAGGACTCTATCAACTTTTAATTTCTCTAGAAATTTGCTTTTCTGAGTATCATGTCTCTCATATATATGACGACACTAAAAGACAACACTTTTTTCTCTCTATATATATGGAAAAGTTCACACAGGCTGGAGTGCAGTGGTGCAATCATGACTCACTGCACCTCAAACTCCTGGGCTCAAGTGATATTTCCGCGTCAGACTCCAATATAGCTGGGACTACAGGTATGCACCACCATGCTCAACTAAATTTTTATTTTTTGTAGAGACAGGATCTCACTATGTTAACCCAGGCTGTTCTTAAACTCCTGGGCTCAAGCAATCCTCCTGCCTCAGCCTTGTAAAGTACTGGGATTACAGGTATGAGCCACTTACCTGGCCCCTCTCCTGTATCTTAAATAAACCCCACTCTTTATTCCTCCTTGAAATTAGTTTGTGCATAAGTACAGTTCTCTCCTATCTTTAAAATAGATTAAAACAAAGCAAAAAACAAACCAACAAAACTTTCAGCCCACTTTGCAGTCCAGCCTCTACTGCATTTCCAACTTCCCAGCTCAGCACCTGAGAAGAGTGGAAGCAGACAACTCTCCTTATCTTACCACCTTCCACGTGCCTACTCCATCAGCAACACCGGTGATATGGTTTGGCTCTGTGTCCCCACCCAAATCTCATGTTGAATTATGATAATCAGGGTTGGAGGAGCAGCCTGGTAGGAGGTGATTGGATCATGGGGATGGAATTCCCCTTGCTGTCCTCATGATAGTGAGTGAGTTCTCATGAGATCTGGTTGTTTGAAAGTGTATAGCACTTCCCCCTTCTCTCTCTCTCTCTCTCTCCTGCTCTGCCATGTGAAGACTCTTCCTGCTTCCTTTTCGTCTTCTGCCATGATTGTAAGATTCCTGAGGCTTCTCCAGCCATGCCTCCTGTACATACTGTAGAACTGTGAGTCACTTAAACCTCTTTTCTCCATAAATTACTGAGTCTCAGGTATGTCTTTATAGCAGTGTGAGAACGGACTAACACACCAGGTGCTAAAGCTACTCTTGCCAAGGTTTCAAGGAGTTTGTCACCATCCTATAGAAACTTCAGTTCTCATCTTCTTTTACCTCTCAGGAGAACTTGACAGTGTTGACTGGACCCTGATTTCCTCCTCCTTTAAAAACTCTTCCACTATGAGCACAGCAACTTTTGTACTTTCCCTCCTGTTTGGGGGCTGCTTTGCTTCCATTGACAGACATTCCCACAAACATCAGAGAGTCTTCATATTCTGTCCTAGGTCTGATTCTCATTTTGCAAACTTTCCTGGGCACTTCCATGAGCAGTAACAGAATAATGACTCCCAAATCAATGTCTGCAGTGGAACTACCTATGCAGTATCACTTGGCTATTTCACTAGACCACCACATTTAAAAACTAAAAAGGAATCAGTTGTCTTCCTATGGCCCACCTTGCAAATGAGCTTCTCCCCTCTATCTAAGTAAATGACATCATCCAAACATTTTCCAAGCCAAACTCTAGAACTCCAGCAAGGCTGTCAATTTTACCTCAATATCTTAAAATCCTTTTTCTTCTCTCCAGATTCACTGTCACTGCCTGTTGTGGGTTGAATTGTGTCCCCGCCTACCACCAAAGATCTGTTGGAGTTCTAACCCCCAGTGCTTCACAATGTCACCTATTTGGAGATAGGGTCTTTTGCAGAGAATCAAGTTAAAATTAAGTCATTAGAGTGGGCTCTACTCCAGTATGATTGGTGTCCTCATAAAAAAAGGGAAATTTAGGACTGAGCACTGTGGCTCATGCCTATAAACCCAGCACTTTGGGAGGCCAAGGCAGGTGGATTGCTTGAGGCCAAGAGTTTGAGACCAGCCTGGTCAACATAGCAAGAGTCTGTCTCTACAAAAAATTTAAAAAATAATTAGCTGGGCATGGTGGCATGTGCCCGTAGTATCAGCTATGGTGAGGTGAGAGGATTGCTTGAGGCAGGAGTTAGTTTTTAGTGAGCCATGATTGCACCACTGAACTCCAGCTGGGCGACAAAGTGAGATTGTCTCTAAAGAAAAAGGGAAATTTGGAAACAGAGGCACACAGGGGAAGATACCACGTGAAGATGTTGGCAGAGATAGACGTGATGCTTCTAAAAGCTAAGGATAACCAAAGATTACCAGCAAACCACAAGAAGCCAGGAGAAAGTCACGAAACAGGTTCTCTCCCACAGCCTCAGTTGGAACCAACCCTACTGACACTTTGATCTCACACTTCTGTTAATAGTTTCCACAGCTCTGCAACAATAAATGTCTATTGCATAAGTCACCCACCCAGTGTGTGGACTTTTGTTATGGCAGTCCTCACAGGTCAATATGCTGCCCTAATTCAGACTGCCATAATCTCACTTCTGGTTTATTTCAAAGCTTTTACCTGGTTTCCCTCCCTCTGGTTATGCTCCCCTTCCATTCATTCAACACACTGCTGCCTTGAGTGAAGTTTTTTTTTCCATATTCCACGTCTTTTATGATTAAATATAATTTTAAAATAATATAGTTCTAACATATTTTCTGTTATAAAATATAATTAATGGGCTGGGCGCAGTTGCTCACATCTGTAATCCCAGGACTTTGGGAGGCTGAGACAGGTGGCCTCACTTGAGGCCAGGAGTTTGAGACTAGCCTGGACAACATGGTGAGACCTGATCTCTACAAAAAATACAAAAATTAACTAGGCTTGGTGGCATGCACCTGTAATCCCAGCTACTTGGGAGGCTGAGGCTTGAGAATCACTTGAACCCGGGAGGCAGAGGTTGCAATGAGCCAAGATCGTGCCGCTGTACTACATACAGCCTGGGTGACAGAGTGAGACTCTGTCTCAAAAAAAAAAAAATACATATATATATATATGTATATACACATGCATATATATATTTTTAAAAATTCATGCTATGCGACATAATTTTTAACACAAGTCTGATAATGTTTCTTAAAATCCTTTAAAGAGTCCCCTTGCTCCTAATGTAAAAATCCATACTTCTTGTCCAGTGAGGCTCTTCTCAGAAAGCTTTTGCTGACTTTCTGGTCTTACTACTTACTATAGCATGCCAAAACCCAACTTTGCAAACAAAACAATGTCTTGAGTTTCCAGAAAAGGTTGTATATCCTTTAATTTATGAACTTTCACTTATGCTACCTAAGCAGCTCCCTCTTCACCTTCCTCACCACTCAGCTTGATGACTTTAATACCAGCTTCTGGGAGTAATTTAGGTAGTAGGTTAAATTTCACTTTTTAGACTATTAGTGGCCCTGCCATGTGATACGATAGTTTTCTATCATAGTAGTTAAAATATTTTATCACAATTGCTATTTTTAGTTATTGGTGTGTTTCTTTCCTTCTGGGGAATACACATATTTTCCAAATTTTCTGTGCAGAGAAGTGTATATTAAAAAGAGAAGATAAGTATTCCAACAACTCGTTGAATAACAACACATTGTTAATGGAGGCCAATTATGTATCAGGCACTGTGTTAGGTCCTATATTGAAAATAAATGATTCTTGCCTTCAATCAATGTTGATTCTCACAGTGGCCAATGTGAAATTAACTAGATAAAATTTGATATGTCACAGTCTCAGAGAGAACAAAGGACTATAGGAACATGACCAGAGCCAACTAATTATATTTGAAGGTTTAAGCACAAAGTTTACTATTGAAAATTATCATTAAAGGTGATGATTTTTTTTTAAGTGGAGAGGTGGGGACAGGACACATGGGACAAGAGGAAATGCTCGAGCAAAATAAAATTTCTGGGCATATATATCAGGAGGTGGTTGTTAGTTCCATCAGGAGAGCACACTGTGTTAGGCATCTGTTCAAGAATGCTAAATAACATGCTATGTGCTTCGGAGTTTATCTGTAGTCAATGGAACGTTATCAAAGGTTTAAAAGCAGGAGAATCACATATTTAAATATGTGTGGTTGAAAGGCAATTACTGTGGAAGTAAAGGATGAGTATGTAAATGGATAGGGAGAATGAGAAAAAACTGATTAAGTGCAGAAAAGGGAATATAGTAGAGTCATGGATTCCAGAAACAAAACAATTGTATAGACTGAAGATAATGAGGGCTGGAAATAGTGCAGGGACATTGAAGACTGATTAATGAAAGAGAGTGGAATCTATGATTAGGCTATTTAAGGAGAACACTGCACATAGATGAACATAAAAAGAAGGCTGAGTTGGTTGATTAAACCCCCACAAAATACTAGCCAGAGATGGAGCAGAAGAAGAAGAAAATAGTAAGAGGAAGCCATGTCATGAAGAATCTTTAATCAAAGTCAAGTAGGATGAAGACTTAGGGAAATCTCACTACCATTATATGTAGCCATACAGGCTTAATCTTACGTAACACCCACATAATCACATCACACTCAATTAATTGTTTCCAAAAAGAATATGGAATTTGAAATTCAAAACCGACTCAGGATTTTACTGCAGAATTTATTTTTATCCTAAAATATTAATATTTTTTAAAAAATGCCTTTCCCCTTCTGTCATTTACTTGTACCTGAATAAAATTTTCTTATCATTGGGTATGTAGTAATCTCGGATTTCCTTTATGGCAAAGGAATTGCATGGAGAGTCTCGAGAGAGGCATGGCAGTGGAGCAGAAGAACCGATGAGACGCAGTTTCCATCGTGAGGCTGCTACATATGTGTCGCCTGTAAATGCTTCCGCCACAAAAGTGTATCCCTTCTATAAGAAAGACAAATTACACAGAAATGAATTATGTCGTTATTATTCTATCGAATGTACAATATCTAATAGTGCTAAATGTCTTATTATTATGATATACCTACAGGTCCCAAGATCTCTTAATAAACATAGAATCACTAGGATTATGTTTGGAATTTCTCTTAGAAAGCACTATCCTACAAAGTTTTCAGGAAAATAATAAACTCTGATATTTTCCTTTGTGTGGTTCCTTAACTATAAAATAAAGTGCTTAACTACAATAGATGATTACTATGTCCTCTTCTAATTCTTCTAATGCCTCCCATGGCAGATTTTTATCATTGCACCATCCCAGAGTAGCCCAAAAGCTTCTTACTTGATTTTCCTGTAACCCAGATCTATCTTTCTGGAATACTGAAGTAAGAAAAGCAGAAGAGTTCAAAGAAATGTATTCTGTTGACATGACAGGTAAAACTGTAAAATTAATAGCTGATTTGATTCCACAGAACCCAGATGTGTGATTGAGGATGAGCTCTTTAGATTGCAGAAAAGGAGCAGCTCAAGAGCCTGGGAATGGCTTACTTTATGATGGGGAAGAGCTTGGTTTAACATAATTGGATAGCTGACTAAAAAGTCAGTGAATCAAAAGCATGATATCATAATAGATGCAAATGTTCAAAGTAATTCTGAGATTATAATTCCAGATGCCCCTAATAAAGAATAAAAAGATAGATTTGTCTTCCAGCTGTACTCTGCCCACAAATAGCTCTCTGGTATGTTTAGATTTCCAGAAGTAAAAATTAGATATATATAAGCCAGAATGAATTTTTTAAAAGTTTCATACACATCTAGAAATATTAGCTGGAATTCCAGTCCCCATAATGAGATGAGAATTGCAACACCAGTAAGGACTTTATGACATCATGTTTGGGGCAAGTAAAAAAAATGTATAATAAAGCATTTTTACTGGCAAAGGGTAATGCACATATGTATTGATATTTTTATTATTATTTGAGTTCATTGTACTACTGAATTAAAGAGGCAAAGCAAAATTATTTTGTTTTTGCTCAGACTCAGAATGATTATAAAGGAAAAAGTTATTAAATGGTGGGATTAGATATTGGTAAGTGAAAATCCAAAGCTAAATCAGTGATAGGATTATAGGACAGAACTTGGCTATTCTAAATGGATTCAGTAGTAAAACATTTATATAATCGAGTACTGAGTATCGAGGAATCCCACAGACTAGTATTCTGAATTACAGTGTATGGTCTTGAGTATTTATGAAAAAAAATAGAGCAAACAATTCTGATTTTTCAAACTTAAGAAGAATATATACTCTGCAAACCACAGATTAGTAAGTTTAATAATAGTGCTTATCAAAGTTCTGCCGCAGCTCATAAAAAGCATGTCTCATGTGAACCTCAAAGATAAAACCTATTCTTAAAGCCAGCATGAGTTTATTGGAAACAAAACTTATTTACTTTTTTCATAAGATTAGAAGACACAACATCAGGTAAAAGTTGCATACATGGTGTTTATGAATTTCGGGCAGGCATATGTCAAGGCCTCTGGTGAATTTCGTATGGGTCAGGATGCCTCTGGATGAGCCTGCTGGGCAGAATTAGCCACAAAATTCCCACCTAAGATTGCTAAGTTATACAACTGCTCAATACAGTTTTAGACATTATCTAGTCGGCCAAAGATGTTCTCTCTTGAGGTGTCTCTTGAGTCCACCATATCAACATGCCTTGTAGGTACCCAAAGACTGATGCAATCACAGGGTACAAAACAATGGAGCAATGAACCTCTTTATGTTTTGTGGGTCAGAATTACTTTCAGAGGCAGCATTCAGTTCTGGGAACCACATTTTAGCAGGGACAAAGGTTGTTTGGATAAATGTTCAAAGATCAAGAATTATGAAGAGAGGAAAACTGCAGCACAAAAGGGTCCAATTAAGCTCTTTTTCTATTCACACAGCTTGACATACTCCTCCGCATTTCTCCACTTTTAACTTTTTTCTTTTTGGAGATGGAGTTTCGCTCTTGTCACCCAGGCTGGAAAGCAGTGGCGTGATCACGGCTCACTGCAACCTCTGTCTTCTGGGTTCAAGTGATTCTCCTGCCTCAGCCTCCCTAGTAGCTGGGACTACAGGCGCACGCCACCACGCCTGGCTAATTTTTGTATTATTAGTAGAGACAGGCTTTTGCCGTGTTGGCCAGGCTGGTCTCGATCTCCTGACCTCAGATGACCCACCCACCTTGGCCTACCAAAGTGCTGGGATTATGGGCATGAGCCACTGCGCCCGGCCTTAACTTTTTTTCTAAACAGAGCTGGCTAGAGTGAGAGGGCAGAAGAGATAAAATATGAGACAGGAAGTATGTTTGCTGCAATCTCAATTTACAACTTAAAAATAATAGTTAAGTGGAGCTGGAATGTTCTTCTGAACGTTGACTCAAAATGTATCACTTAGAACTATCCGAAAAATTCAAGTTTAATCTAGAGAGGGATGTCTACAATGGAGTTTCTAAAACAAAAACCAAACCCATCCCAACCCAAGGAGGTATGCTAGATGTAAATAATAATCAGATTCGTACTTGGTTCAACCAAATATTCTTTAAAGGTCTCTTCCAAAATGAAGTATTCAAGACTAGCATTAGTATATTTATCTAGTAATACAAAATTCATTGCTAGAATTTGATGACATCTATAACCTTGATAGTCTCCCTTTAAATTAAATCATCTTCTTCCTCTTAATCTTTGTGACTTTTGAATTCTAATCACAAATTAAATAAACTGTTTCTATTCAAAAGGAAGTCTAACTCAAACTTTAAAAACAAACATTCAAAAAATCATCTACTGGTGTGTGGACAAATTTGTTCGTGAAGAACTAGCTCTGTAGTTTGGTTTAACCCAAGGCATTCTGCTGCAGAAAGGTCAGGTTTAGAGGAGGGGTTTCCAATATTTGGCTTCCCTGGGCCACAGTGGAAGAATTGTCTTGGGCCATGCATAAAATGCACTAACACTAACTAAACTCAGAAGCTTAAAAAAAAAAGAATCACAAAAATATCTCATAGTGTTTTAAGAAAGTTTACGAATTTGTGTTGGGATATATTTAAAGTCACCCTGGGCAGCACGCAGCCTATGGGCCGCAGGTTGGACAAGCTTGGTTTAGAGATATCATTTATTAGAACATGGGGAAGAATAAATATAGTATAAAAGGAAATTGTGTGGGTCAAATAAAGTTTGTAAATACATGTCTGATGTACAGGAATTGAATTTTTATTAGCAAAGTATTCTGTTTTTAAGTGATATGTAAATGCCCTTTCAAGGTAATTAACAAAAACAATAAGTAAAAATAATATATTGATGCATTGACTTTAATCAAGTGAGTTTTTAAAAATTATGCTTAGGTGTATAATTCCAAATATAGATAACTGCACAAAAATACTGATGTTTATCAGATTTGCTTATAAAATGTAAATGTTAAATTTGCCAAATTTAATGCAAAATAAAAATAATTTAAGCTTAAGTTACAATTTGATAATATCAAATTTAATAAAATCTGATTGTAATATAAAAAATCTGTCTTATTAAAAATGATAGAAAAATATGCTAAGGGTTTAATGAAACATATACAACTTCTAATTATAATAAAATGGTAAAAAATCTTTCAAGAAAACAGATTATATATGTATATAATATACACATATACACACATATGTATCAATGGGGTTAAGTAATTTCATCGAAAATTTAATTGCCCTTATTTTTAAAATGTTTCCTAAAATCTCTAAGACAGCATGAAAGAGCTATTAGGATTTTTATGGAGTTAATACATTTTTAAATGTATCCTTCATTTATACAAAAGCAGTATTCATGAGATAAGTATGTTCTAATTTACACAAAATAATGTATAGAATCATAGGCTGAAATGAATCTCAGAAGTCAAGTACAGACATAACTCAAAAAGAAAAATGAAGAGGTTTAAAGACATAAAGCTGCAGAAAGGAAGACCAGAGCTAAAACAGCCCTCTTCATATCCAGCTAGGTATACATTATCATTTGTTGTGATTCTCTCTTAGAGGAAATGACTGAAAAGACAAATATGAGGTTTGAATAAACAGAGAAGCAATGTGGTTTGAGTGAAGGTCAGAGATCAGGGTCTATCATTTAGCCACAGTAAGGTCCCCAAGTACCTCTGGCTGGTAAAGCAATTTATTTAGCTCTCAAAATGAGGTGGTGATGGTTGGTGGCTATGTAACTACAATTTTCTGAAATATACAGGAGTAGAATAAAAACCCAGTGGGAAACAAAGATAATCATATGATTTGGTTTTGGGATAAGGCTAAAGGAGCTCTTTAGATTCATTTCTATTTTAAGCATTTATATGTTTCTTAAATTTCAATAATTAGAATTTCTAATGCTTTCTTTTTGTCATATTTTCTTTCGGAAGAAGAAGAAAGAGCGTTGAGAGGTAAAGAATGCTTTAGCACTTACATTTAATATCTCCTACTGTTAAATATATGGGACTTCTATAGTGAAAGATCAGGGCCTTATTTGTCTGTTAAGTAGATTAAAAACAACTCTACCCTCCCTTCAGGACCCTCTACAAGCTGGTAGCTTTTCACTGCCATTCTATCATATGTGGAGAATAAATTTTATACCTACCTTATTCTTGGTATAAAGATAAGGCACCACTTTTTGGAACACCTTTGGCACTTGCTCCATTGTGTCATTATTAACAATGTGTAGGATACAGATTGGAAGTGTAGTATATACTTTGGGAACCAAAATCATGTCTTGATGAACCAAAAATGTTTCTCTGTAATTACAAAAGCATGAACTTTCCCTTGATGTGAATTCTTAAAGGAAGTTTGAAATTTGCATTAATGCCAAGAAATTTTTTTAAAAATCCAAAGTTCCAAATAACTAAAAGGCACACATATTATTTTCTTTTAAAAATTACTATTAATATGTTATTTTGTCAAGTAAACGCAAACTCTATTAAAAAATCAATTTTATAAGTAATTTGTGACTTTTACCAAATATGCTATTGCTTAGAAATTAAAGGATCTTTTTCTATACTAAAAGCATATTAATTTGTTATAGTATTTTTATCATGAACATAAAAGCTTCTAATAATTACTAAACATTCTTCATATTTTGATGAAAAGAATAGATAAAAATTTCTATAATATCTCATTTAAAATGCCAAGTGTGGAAGAATTTTAACTAACTTATGAAAGCAACCCAGAAGCTAATACCTTTACTACTATCAGAAATATTCATAAATACAGATATTGCAAGCCATTTAGAGACATATTTGTCACTATATAACAACCTCACCTGAATACTATAAACCAAGAATTTGGTGGCTGTTCTTGATAAGTCACAGTATAATCTGCAAAAGCAATCTTAGTTTCTTCATCTTGATAGCATGGATAAGATTCCAAAGACTTGCACTTGCTTTTAAACATTAGTCTAGAAATATAAAAATAAATTATGTATCAATGGCAAAAGCCACTTTAAAGATAAACTCTATTTACAAAAAGAAATGACAAAAAATAGTATAAGATATTGCAAGTCATTGTTGGCTAGATTGAGATCTTGATCAAAGGGGGTCTGTGTAGTCCCTGATACATGGTGCCAAGAGAAGGGGACCCATTCTAGGTTAATCACAAAAGATGTCTGTCAAAGGTGCCCAAGGTTATCTGAGGCTCTCAAAGGAAACATGATTCATGATTGAGGGAGTAAAGTTTACAGGGGGAAAACCAGAACCAAAGTTGAAGCTATAAGGATAGAAAAACTAGAAGCAAGCAAACCAGCAACAAAACTGGGTGAGAGTCACTGAAGGGCCTGGAATTGAAGTAGAGAGAATGGAGACTGAAATGGAGTTTAAAGTGAGAAATACGTTTGGAAAAATAGATTTTAAAAATTTAAGGCTATGCGCAAGTGGAGAGTGCTGGCTTTCCTCCTGCATGATTTCTGAGTGTATAAGGGAGTAGAGCATACACTGCTAAACTAATTATGGAGCTGAGGTTTCTCCACGTTTTCCCCCTGGAAGGCTGTGACATATTCCAGAACATAATGGGAGTGATGATGTGATGGATTTTCCAGGTCTTATCCCTCCTATTCTGCCAGAAACTGGATGTGCCCTTTATAGCACTGGGAATATAAGGCCCTTTATATGATGTCTCAGGTATTAGCTGGGATGGAAGCATTATGGCCATAGCAAATGGTTCTCTTTTAGAGGTCTAGACAGAGCCAGAGGTGTTCTTGTCTTCCAGAAGGCAGATGTTTTCATCGATTGTCAGTGGAAAGCAAAGCCATGGTGGTCCTCATGGAAGACAAAAGTCACATACTCCATTTTATCATTGGTTTTTGTTGATCATAGGCTTTTGGTAGGAGGAAACTAACAGGATTATACTTGGAAGGGGTTTGAAAGGCCTTTTAAAATGGTGACAAAGACAAATAATAGGGTAACCATCTATCCTGGTTTGCCTGGGATAGCTGTGGTTTATACTTACAGTCCTAATTATTAACTATTTATTACAGTCCTAATTATTACAGGCCTAATTATTAACAGTTCTCCATCTTTTCTTGTCAATGTCCTAGTTTGGATGATCAATGGTATGATAATTCTAAGTAGGAGCTATAAAGTGCAGGTCTGTCAATGCATGACACCCCTGTAAATCACACAGGGCTGGCCTAATCTATACAAGGATGTTGGCTCAACCAACATGGGAATTAAGCTGGTCACAGTGGGAATTGACTGTAACAGGACCTGCCACCATTCTAAAATAAGAGTGTGATTTCCAGTCTTCCCAGACTGTCACTGTTCCCCTTAAACATTCTACCCGTTTAATGAATGTAGGGCCATCAAAATCCTGATGAGCTATATAGAATATTTTGAATGACCCAGGGTGATATACCTGACTGAGTTGGAAGATTTAGTCTTAATTAAGAATTAGTTTCAATTTAGTCAGATTTTTATCTGATACGATGCCCTCATAGGGGAGTTTGTTTTTTAGACATCATTTGCAAGAAAATTGGGTGCAAGATCTCACCCACAGATTTTCCTATGATAGGCCCCACAATGCAGAAGCAACTTGTATAAGAGGGTCTGTTCTCTCTGTGTGCGTCCACACAATTGGATTGAATTGTTAAGATGAAATGGGATTCGGCCGGGCGCAGTGGCTCACGCCTGTAATCCCAGGTAATCCCAGCACTTTGGGAGGCGGAGGCAGGTGGATCACGAGGTCAGGAGATCGAGACCATCCTGGCTAACACGGTGAAACCCCGTCTTTACTAAAAATACAAAAAATTAGCTGGGCATGGTGGTAGCACCTGTAGTCCCAGCTACTAGGGAGGCTGAGGCAGGAGAATGGCGTGAACCCAGGAGGTGGAGCTCGCAGTGAGCCCAGATCGTGCCACTGCACTCCAGCCTGGGTGACACAGCGAGACTCCATCTAAAAAAAAAAAAAAAAAAAAAAAAAAAAAAGATGAAATGGGATTCGAATGGGATTCAATCTTAAGACTAAATCATAAATTGGTAAACTCAGTCTTCCCCAAATTGACTTGGGGGAAGTTCTTCCCCTTCAGAGTTGAGAATGAAAGGCTAGGCTTCAGAACCTCAAAGTTCCACATGTAGTAGTAATGACAATACCAATGTTTACAGTGGCTACTTTTCTGTAATAATTCAATATGTGGCATTGTGCTAAGTACTTTTCCTGTCTACCTTAATTTATCTTTACAGATTTATGAGGGAATAGTACTATACAGTAGATATCCCTATGCTACATATAAAAATTAAGTTTAGAGAGGATAAGAATCTTATCTTAGATAACAATAATTAGTAGAGCTGGGGTTAGCTTCAGGTCTTGTGTCAAATTACGTGTTCTTAACCATAAAATTAATGCCTGCTAGGATAAGGTAGCTTTGGATGCCACTGGCATTTGAGTTTAAATAACAGACTTTTTGGTTTTATCTGTCCAAGAAATGTGTATGTAGAACTCAAAGCATTGAAAGAGCATGGCCTCTGTATCAGATATGAGCTGAGATTCCATGAAATGGTCTTGGCTGTAGTGGAAAGATCACATGGAGAAGAACAACAATCCCCTGAAGGTATTATGCTAGTGTTACACCTCCCTGGTGTACTGATCCTATTCCCTAATAGGGACACTCACTTTTTAGCACATCATTTTCATGAAAATTAGGTGTAGGATCTGACCTAGAGATCTCCTCCTGGTAGCCCCAAAATACAAAAGCAGGTTGGAAAAGAGGGTTTGTGCTCCTTATGTGCATTCATACAATTAAAACTTTAGGCAAAAGTGTAGCCCTTTTAGGAAATGGGTTCTGGAGTAAAGGTTAATCAAGTAATCTGCATGGGGTCTGTAGAGTCTCTTGAAAATGTAAATTGATGTCTTTTATCAGTTTTGGAAAGTTCTCACCTGTTATCTTTGTACCTTCTGTCACTCCAATTACTTACACACTAAGATTTCTGAGAATACCCCACAAGTCCCTTACGCTATTTTCCATTCATTTTCTCTTAGCTTCACTTGGGATACTTTTTATTGACATATTACCCAGTTCACTAAACTCTTCTTCTACTATGCCTAATCTGTGGTTAAATTCATCAATGAGTTCCTAATTTTGGTTATTAAAATGTTCATTGACGTACTTTCCATTTGTCTGTGTTTTATTAAATTCTCAAACTTTTCATCTATTTTCTCTTTTTTATTATTTATTTTCTTGCTCATTTTCATAACAGTCATGTTTAGAGGTTTTTTTTTTCTGCCACCTCTGAAATCTACATCACCAGAGGGTATGGTTCCACATATTTTCCATAATGTATGGTGTGTATATATATTGGCGGGGAGGTGAGTGGGTGTGTAATTTTTTTCTGTTTTTTTCAGGTTAGCTTGACTGTTGGACATGAGTTATGGCTAGAATGCAGTTTTTTTAAGGTTCGATCTACCTCTGCCTTGTCCCTGTTTAGAAAGTGTTGTCCTCCAAGGATTTCATCTGACTATTTGTTGACTGGGATCTCATCCGCTACCAGGTCCTAAACTTTAATTTTTGTCTTCTCAGTACCGTAAGATTTAAGGAAACTTTGTTCTGCTCCTAGAGGTTTTCTGCTTAGAATTTTAGTTATGTGCAATTAAAACATAAACAAAAAGTAGCAAGTACCATAGAAATGTTTCAGATAAAATATTGTGGAAGGTCCGAAGTAATGGTGTGGTTCTAGCTGCAGTGACTGGGGCGCTCTCAACAAATATGGTAGTATTCAAACTGGACTTTGACAAAAGGACAATATACTGCAATAAAAATATCATTTGACTGCTTTACCTTAAGAGAGAAACTGCATACTGTTCTAAATTCATTTCCAATACAGCCCAAACTTTTTGAAGAGTATCTGCAACACTGATATTTTCTTTTGTGTCTAAAAATAATAATAAATAATAAAAACGTTAAGCTTTAAGATGCCTGAAAGATCATCTTGTCCAAAGCCTTCATTTTCACAAATGAAGTTGAAACTCACAAGTAAGATGGTATTCAAAGTCATAGGCTTCATTAGCAGAAAACTCAGGTTTAAAATATGAGCTACAAACTTCTAGTCAAGAGCTCTGCTCACCGTGTTATGCTGTTTCCCTTCATCTTTAATTTAAAGTTTTAGAATATTGCTTGACCTAATTTAAGATAGTCATCAAAGTGTTTACATAAGGAGACCTCTGTCACACTAAAACTTTTTTTGTGACAGATCTTATCTCAGAAAAAGTAATCCATCCAATTTTTGTAAAGAAAAATGGCTAATAGGATTTTATTAGATCTCAATCTACTGCATTATCTGCAAATGGTTTAAAAGTAGATAATTTGCCAAGAAAATGTGAATCCTTATTAACAGCCTCAAATTTACTGTATCAGAAACTAACATTCTTTTTCTAATTATCCTATCTTAATTTCTTCATAGTATTTACCAGCATCTGAAATTGATATCTTCATATATTTACTTGTCTATTATATGCTTACTCTCACTAGAATACAAGATTCATCAGAGTAGAAACCTTGTCTGTTTCATTGACTGCTATAAGGCCAAAATATGTAACATTGCCATGCAATCAAGAGTTATTCAATAAATATATGTTGAGTGAAAAAAATGCAAACACCATTTAAAAAACATTTTGAATAGTTGAACACAAACTCTATGAAGTACATTACTAAATTGCCCATATTTTCAGTCTCTAAAAAGGGAAGTAAAATCATTATATGTAAATTTTTACAACATATATGGACAATAAAAGCATATTTTACCATATGCATGGTTTGAATATATTTCCCTAACTTTATGTGTTAGAAACTTAATTCCCAAAGTAACAGCATTGAGAAGTGGAACCTTTAAGAGGTGATTAGCTCATGAGGGCTATGCCCTTATGAATGAATTAATGTGATTATCGAAAGAGTGTGTTAGTTATCTCAGAAGTGGCTTCCTGATAAAAAGATGAGTTCTGGCTCTCTCTATCCCTCCTTTATCTCTCTCTCTCTCTTTCATGAATGTGCTCTCTCGCCCTGCCACCTTCCTCATGGGATAAAGGCTCTGTCCAGATGCAAACCCCTTGATTTTGGATTTTCCAGCCTTCAGAACTGTAAGAAATACATCTCTGTTCTTTATAAATAACCCAGTCTTTGGTATTCCATTATAGCAGCACAAAATGAAGCAAGACATCCTATATTGAGTTTGACGAATGCATATGTTTTGTAATGAGGAAAAAACCCATTGAATTAGACAACTATCATTAAACTATGTAATTTAGGGTTTTTAAACCATTGTGTATCTGACGTTTTTACTGCTTAAACATTTTAAATATTATCATTAAATGTTTTAAATAGATTCTTTTTTTTTTACAAGAAAGTTTTTCAATATATGTAAAGAATTCTATTGGAGGTAAGGCTTCTCCTATCAAAATGTCAGCAAAAACCACAGAATGAAAATAATTGAATATATATTTTTTGTTTTTTGTTTTTTTGAGACAAGATCTCACCCTGTCGCCCAGGCTAGAGTGCAGTGGTGTGATCTTGGCTCAGGCTCGCTGCAACCACCACCTCCTGGGTTCAAGTAATCCTCCCACCTCTGCCTTCCAAGTAGCTGGGACTACAGGCACATGCCACCATGCCTGGCTAATTTTTATATTTTTTGTAGAGACATGGTTTCCCCATGTTGCCCAGGCTGGTGTTGAACTCCAGAGCTCAAGCAATCTGCCCCCCTCAGCCTCCCAAAGTGCTTGAATATAAGTTTTGCATCTGCCATGTTTTATTTTAAGCTGATAAAACTGGCCTATTGGCAAAAAGATTTTATTTCATATACATAGATGTATCTGATTTAATAAATTTAAGAACACACTTAACATGCATTTTATGCCTTCTAGATGTGTGTCACTATGGACATACATAGTGGCTTCTTTATTATGCATTAGTTTATTCATTCACTTAATTATTCACTCATTTGTTTGAAAAATCATCTGGAAATGTGAAAATATCTATGACTTAGCTGAGGCTGACTGAGGTAGCACAGGTGCTAGCTACTTGGGATATATACAGAAAAAGACCAGTTCCCTGTTTTAAAAGAACTTGCAATAGATTGGGAAAACAAAGCTGATAATGCATTCATTTTTTCACTCATTCTTTCAGCAAGTATTTATTGTGTGCTTATGATGCACCAGGCACTGTGCCAATCCTGGGAACAAGACACTTGGTGCATTGGACATGCTTCCTGATTTCAAATAATTTCATTATTTAGAGGACTGAAATTAATTAGCCATAAAGTGGGGGACTCCAAAATACTTTCATTAACACACATAAATATTTATTCTTATACAAACAAGTTCATTTTATAAATGTTTGGACAATCATACCTGGTATTCTGGCTTTCATAAGCAATCTAACGTAAGTTCCTCTCCACATGGCTTGAATTTTAATTGCTGCTGCTACTTCCTCAGCAGAATACTCTTTATCACTTGTGGGCATACAATATTTAACGTCCAGCCATTCCACTGGAAAGGGAAAAACAAACTTTGGACTGAAAGTTATATTTAATCCCTTCCCTAAGTTTCAACGCCTTCAGCTGCCAAAGCCCTCCAACATATAAAATTCTACATTGCAAGAGTTAGCATCATATTTAATATTGCCGGCTCTAGGTGGTTCTTGTTAGAATGTAAATATTCTGCAGGAGGGAAAACACACAAAATAGGGACATATTGGTGAACTACTATTGATTCCTGTGTGAATATAGCCAGAGATTTTTCTCAAAAATAAAAGACATGTTAAAATGATGAGAGCAGAGCATGGGAAGAAGAGAGAAAAGTAGGGTTACTTGAGTCAGAGGATCTTGCCAGAATTCTTCAAATCAAACCATATAGATTAGTGACTTCCATATTTTTAAGGTTAGGAGTAAATAAAACAGGGAAATTCTCCCCTGTAAGACACTCCCCTAGAAGTATATGTGGTGGGGATTAGGGGTAGGGGATCCCCAGCAGGTCCTTGGAGCCCCTTGAGCTCTTAGAGCACTGCTTGAACTCCATGACAGTCCACACAGACTTATTCCACTTACTCCACAAACACATTTCTTAAATTATTTACCTTACTTAAAACTAGGAATTCCTTGATTAAATATATACAATTCATGGGTACCTAAAGAAACCTCTTCCAAGGAGGAATTGAGTAACTCCAAGTCCAAAACCATAGCCCGGAATGCAAATTTGAAGTTTGGAGGAGGTTTTGTTATTTGAACTTTTTTCATTAAACGCCATAAGGAAAGATGAAAAACCTGAAACACATAAATTTTTTTTATAGCAAGAAAATACCATCATCTGGCCAGAGAAGCTCTAAAAAATTTTTAGATACTCTAAAAATAAAAAATAAAAACCATTTCTCAGATGTACACGCAACCTAACAGAAGATTCTTTGAAGTCTCACCTGCCCAGTAAGAGACCAAAATTATCATTTGATTATTTCTAATTTAACAAAATGTAATCACTACAACGTTTATAATATAGACTCAATGAAAATACAGCATTAAACTGGTAGAGGAGGTAAAGAATAAGGTAAAAAAAATAGCATTATCCTTCTGCTTAAGCAAGTTAAATAGCTTATTTTATTGATTCTAAGATGCCATCCATTGTAAGACACACTATTATTTCATATGCTACATAAAATGAAAATATGTTTCTTAGAGTTTTTTTAATCACTTAATAGTAGTACTAACCTCATATTGAAAAAACTTTTAGACTTATTTAAACAAAGCTTTTTCATCATATGTCACATAGTTGTGTAATTATCTAAGTATAAAATGGAGATTTTTTTTTTTTACCAAAATAGCTTCCTTTTGCATAAGTGATTCATTCACCAAGACCCCTTACATATTAAATCAGGGCCAGCTACATTGAGCCCGTGAGGAGTAATCTTGGTAGCATGAAATGGTGAACCAACCACCTGGGCTCTCTTTCATCCAGGCTCAGTCATCTAACCTACCCGCAGCAGAAACTGACTCTGGTCTTTGATATGGTATAGTCCCCTGAGAAGTCCAGTCAGTTACTTGGTGGCAAATTGCTTTCAGTGGACTAGACTTCCATTAGGTGGGTCACCGATTCCTTACAAGAATTGACTCCTGCTTCAGCTATGAGTTTGCTTTCTGTGTCCTTGGTACCTCGGCCAGCATCCAAGAGGTTATAGAAAATCTGGTTTATAAACATGGGATTCAGCTAACATACCCGTGGATCAAGAGTTGCATTATAAAGATTTAATCACTGAGAATAGTCTGGAACATGTTGGTCCTAATATATACCATACATAGAATTGATAAAATTCCTGGTAGATTGCAATGACACATAGGAGGCTCGGTTAAAAAGCCAGCCTGGAGATGTCACTTGAAGTACGTACATATGGAACCAAAGACCAATATCTGGTGCTGTATCTGCATAGTTAAAACACACAGGCCTGAGATTCAAAAGTTGCAAGTAAGATTGGCCTCTCTCCCCATCATCTGACATGACCCATTTGCAGACTCCGTGCCCGATTCCCCCACAATAACGGGTTTGCTAGATTTCAGAACACATTTCTTGAGGGAAGAAAACAAGGGATAATTCCACCAGGGAATATGGTATTATTTACAATAAAACTAAACTATGACATATGTGTGGTTGCTTTGGGCCTCTCATCTTGGTGGATAAGCAGAAAAAAAGGAGTTAATATAACACGGTAGGAGGAGAATTCACATTGATTATCATGAGGTATTAGGGTTTCTGCTACATTGAGGGAGCAGGGAGAATTTAGTCTGAAACTTGCTGGGACACTTTTTAATGCTTCCATGGTAAATGAGTAATTGCAGCAACCATGGCTTGGCTACAGTAAGGTAGCCAAGATCCTGCACCCATCAGGATGGAGAGTCTGGATCACTCACCAGGTAAACAACTAGAACTGGCTGCAAAACAAGGCCATCTAGAATGGGTGGTAGAGGAGACAGGTGTTGAATACGGATTGCGGCCTCAAGGCCAGTGGTAGCTGTAGAGACTATAGCTTTTTTTTTTTTTGTCATATGGTGATTTAATTATTTATTTGTTTAATTTTAGACCTTGTGACCAGCTACCAACTTGAAGAATGGATAAGAGTTTACTTAAGGGTGGGGGCACTATCAGACTTGTTCTACAGGTGAATTATGGCAAATATTTCTTGTATATTACTCTCATGCTGTAGGTGAGTAGTTCTCAACTGGGGTTGATCTGCGCCTCAGGCAGCATTGCCAGTTAAATACATTACACTGTAAGGGGAAGTACAAATTAAAAAGTAAGGGGCTTAATCACTCCCTACGAAAAATAAGGAAAGAGGTTGCTCCCCCACATCCTTTGCCTTAGAGCATTTACATTTAGGACACTTGTAATGATAAGTTATCTCTCTCTGTTCCTCTCTCTCTCTCTCAGAAATGTATGTAAATCTTATTTATTTATTTTTGAGATGGAGTTTTGCTCCTGTTGCCCAGGCTGGAGTGCAATGGCGTGATCTCAGCTTACTGCAACCTCTGCCTCCCGGGTTCAAGCAATTCTCCTGCCTCAGCCTCCCAAGTAGCTGGGATTACAGGTGCCCACCACCACACCTGGCTAATTTTTCTATCTTTAGTAGAGATGGAGTTTCACCACGTTGGCCAGTACATCTTTCTAAAAAGCTAAATAAGCCTCTTGCCCATTTAATAGCCCAGGAATGTTTTTGTCCAGGACCTGAGTACCATTTATTTGAAATGTTAATCATCATGGAAGATAGCACCAGTATTTCCAAGTTTCTTTGGGAGAGTAGGAGACTACCATTGGTAGGTACCTTGCTGATATGAAGGTGTTACAATTGTATTTTTCTTTTAGACAAAGCTAATTACCTAACACAGATGGTCACCCCTATACCAAGTGAATTTGGGATGAAATATGTTGTGTGGCAAGAGGTGATATGGAGTCTTTTCCTTGAAGACTACATATTGCTTATCTTGATGGTATGTGTGAAATGGGCTGTATCTGCTTGGGGTAAGATTTTTTGTTTGTTTTTGTCTTTGCAATCTCTTAGCAGATTGTCTGTGATGTGCACCATCTTCTGGCTTAAACTTCATTCAACAGTAAATTGTTTTCCTTTTCTTCTGCCTTGTGAACAGGTCATCTAGGTTGGGAGATTTTATTTCTAGTTATATTTCCTCAAGAACCCCAAGCACCCAGTCAAGTTTGAATAATGGATAAAATAAATTTTTATATAAGTAATTTTATAAGTAATTATGTAAGTAATTTTAGAAGTATACTAGGACAGTAGTATACTTCTGTCCTAAATATTGCACATATGGTTTGTTTACACGCAAAATAGAATTTAACTGGGTGTCCTGTATTTGTATTTGCTAAATCTGGCAATGCTACCCCTCCCTGCAGGGGCATCTAGCAATGTCTGAAGTCTTTTTCAGTTGTCACAACTGGAATCTACAGGTGTTTAAAGGGTGGAGACCAGAGATGCTATTAAACATCCTACAGGGCATTACAAACGAACTGCAGAAATACAAAGAATCATAAGAATCTACTATGTAAAATGATATGCCAACAAGTTGGATAACCCAGAAGAAAAGGACAAATTCCTAGACATATACAGGTAATATTAAATTAGTAATAACAAGTATCCCATGTTGGCCAGGCGCAATGCTGATGCCTCTAACCCCAGAACTTTGGGAGGCTAAGCCAGGAGGATTGCTTGAAGCCAGGAGCTGAAGACCACCATAGGCAATATAGTGAGACCCCATCTCTTCAATTTTTGTTTGTTTATTTTTAATTAGCCAGGTGTGGTGGTGCATGCCTGTAGTCCTAGCCTCTTGGGAGGGTAAGACAGGAGGATCACTTGAGCCCAGGAGTTCAGGCTGCAATGACCTATGATCATGCTGCTGCAAGCCAGCCTGGGTGACAGAGCAAGACCCCATCTCTTGAAAAAAGAGAAAGTCTCCCATCAAATAAAAGTACATGACCTGACGGCTTTTCTGCTGAATTTTACAAAACATTTAAAGAAGAACTAATACAAATCTTTCTAAATCTCTTCCAAATAAAATTGAAGAAGAGAGAATAATAATTATTTGACCCAAAATGTCAATAGTGTGAGTGTTAAAAAGCCAGACCTAAGCCCACCTGGTTTTAGTGCAGCTGCAGTGGACAGGTCCATATGTGCCTTGTGAAGGGGTTACCAGGAAGTCTCTTTGCTTCACCCCCTCAAGGCTGCCTGTGAAGCTAGAATGCTGCTCAGCCTGGCAGAGGCACACGTTGTAAGTGTGAGGAAGTCAAAGCCCTTGAGAGCAACCACCTAACAGTGGGGAAAAGAGTTGGTGGAGAAGCACCACCATCTTGCCCTCCTTGAGTGGGAACTTTTAAAGGGATGTCCCACATAGTTCCTCAGGACACCCTGCATAGCTGATTTCCAGTAAGCCACAGCAGTAGTTGTCATGTCCTTTAATCAATTTCTTTCTCTTTCTCATTTCATTCTTTTTACTCCCTCATTTCTGCTTTCTGAAATCACTTCCCAAATATATTATCTCCATCCAAAATATTTTCTCTGGCTCTGATTTGGGAGGTCACCTAATGGAAGATATACCATTTTGAAAAGAAAGTTTCCTCTTCTGAACATTGTATCCCAAACAAGCTTACCCTGAAGTGCTGTGCAGTTAGTTCTTTATCATGGAAGGGGACAGGGTAGTGAGCTGTTTGCAGATCCTTCAAAGCTGCAGAGAGTTTACCCTTATCTTTGAAATTAGCAATCACATTTCCAATAGCTTTCATAATCAACAGAGACTGTTCCGTAAATCGGCAGCTCTCCTGTGAAGACAAAGCATGGCAGCCATCCTCACTCATCCTTAAGTGTCATCTAGTTTATACAAATTAATATCTGTTAAAATATGAAATCTCTGCTATATGATTCAATAATTCTTTATAGAGGATTTGATATCAAGGTAGCTTTACTAAATTCTGTAGTCTCAGAAAAAACAAGGAACGCAATTCTTACCTGAGTGGGAACCTGTAGGAGGAATATTCATCTCATATTGGGGATCACGTAAAATTTCCCCCACCGTATTAATAACCAGACCTAGTTCTGAGGACATTTAGGATTAGTCTGACAAAAAACTGTGTGGAGTTTGAGGACTGACGAACAGAGATTTCAGGGAGAAAGCCAGAAAGATAAAGACAAGAGGGTGACCTAGCATGGGCTGGTGGCTCTCTCCTGCTATCAACTCTTAAAAAAAATCATAAAGCAAGAAGGAGACAGGAATTTCAGGAAGTAACTAATTTTTAAAAACTGGAGAAAACTGTGAGGTGTTTGGAGCTGTTGTGGTTGGTGTACGGTGGGTGGTCCTGGAGTTGCCTGGAAGCAGCATGAAAAAAGTAAAATTGGAAAAAACAAAACAAAACAAAACAACTTTTTTCCCCTTAGAGGGCACCATGGTGCAATCATGATTCCCGATTCTCTCCTGAAATTTTGAGGAATGGCCCAGCAAGTGCACCTGAAGCACAGATGCCTTGCTAGGGTGAGAAACTGATGGAAGCAGATGCAACTGACTCGTTACTGGAACACACTGACTTAGAATCCTCACAAAGCCTACAGAAAGTTTCATCTCAGTGGTGTTTCTCCCTAAGGTGAAACCATGCCCAGAAAAGTTCTCTGGTCAAATATTAGATAGGATCAATTATGGTTCTAAGTAGCATTAGTCTCTCTGCCCTTGGGTCAGTCTATTCTCTTTTGCTTCTTGGACTTGAGCTCCAACAATCTTTTCAACATCAGGAAGTAATATCTCCAGGGAAATGTGAGCTCACAGACCAAAATAAATAAACACCTGGGGAGATAAATTATCTAAAGGAAGACAACAAACTGACAATGTATACCATATAAAGCAGAATTATTTTCTTAAAAAGACAACTTGAAATAAGCAAGATAAACATAGTTAGGGAAATAAGTGACATCTGTGTCTAAAATGAACTTGCTGATCTGTGTGATCTTGCTGTGGCTGTTGAGCAAGAGAGAAAGAGAGCTAGTGAGAGATGGCACAGCAAACAGAGGAGGCAGCCCTGGGAACTCTTGCACAGCCACTGCTCAGACAAGGAAGAATGCATGAGTGTGACATGTGTGGGGGCAATCTGCTTGCCACGAAATTTGCTGGCTGGCTTAGAGAATCCCATCAATACAAGGTTGTGCTATTTGGAATTTTTTTTTTTTTTTGGTAGGAAAGGGTTAGAGCTGAGAAAGCATCAGGAATTATGCAGTGGGAAGGCTGTCTGCAAATATTGTCCCAAATGCATGTGTACAAAGGACATCTAAAACCAAGGGAAGATTTTAGGGGACATACTGGTCCCATTGACCTCATCTCTTCTTTCAGACCCCGTCAGAACAGAAGAGCAAGAGAAACCAAGGAGAAGAGACCAAGAAGAATGAGAAGAGATGAAGGTGAAGAGACAGAACCTTCTGAGCTACTCCTTCCCTGCTAAATCCCAGGCACATGCTCCAGATTCCTTAGGCAAAGGAAGAAATGAAAGGAGAGAAAGAGACCAAAATTTTAAACTCTATTAAAAAGGACTGCACTGATATTTATACCCCAAAGAACCAATGATGCCATGGGATCTAACTAAGATATTAACAGATATGAAAAGAGATTCAACAGAGTAGAGGTGAGAGCAGTTGTTAGAGAAAAGTATACATATTTCACTTGTATACCTACAGGGTTCAGACTTCATTATAGACTTCATGGTTGCATGTGGGGATTTCTTGCAGAGTATACTTAATAGTTTTAAAAGGTAAAAAAAGTAAGTTGAGTATAAAATAAAAATGTGTTTAGTTCAAAATCTTTGAAAATAAAGCACATAAAAATTGCAGTTGTGGCTGGGTGCGGTGGCTCATGCCTGTGATCCCAGCACTTTGGGAGGCTGAGGTGGGCAGATCACAAGGTCAGGAGTTTGAGACTAGCCTGGCCAACATAGTGAAACCCCGTCTCTAATAAAAATACAAAAAAATCTGCAGGGTGTGGTGGCACGCACCTGTAATCCCAGCTACTTGGGGGGCTGAGGCAAGGAGAATTGCTTGAACCTGGAAGGCAGAGGTTGCAGTGAGCCAAGATCATGCCACTGCACTCCAGCCCTGGCAACAGTGCGAGACTCCATCTCTAAATAAATAAATAAATAACTTGCTGTTGCAAAAATACTTACTGGTTCAAAGTTGGGCAGTACAACGTGTTCATCCCCAATGACAAATGACACCATGCTGCAGATGTGTATGGAGTGTCCTACTGGGGAGTATGCGTTGAAGAGTAGCATGTGTCTCCTAAAGAGAAGGGATGCCGGATGATAACCGAGTGCTTCCTGGGTGGTGGCATTTGACCTGTGAGTTGCTTATTCACACTTTGGAACTCAAATGAAGTAAAAGGTTAGGGAAGAGTTCAATTTTTAACACAGATGAGATAAGGATCTTTGAATTTGCACTCTATAAGAACCCTACGGGATCATGAAATCTACGCTTTACTTATTATGTAGGACAAAAATAGTTAGGCTAAATACCAAACTTCTCTGCAGTACATGCTGGAGTGACCTCCCACACACTGCAGTCATGGTGTGAAGACTAGTCTTGATTTCTCCCTAACAACAAGAAAAACTCAAGCAGGTATAGGGCTGTGTAGACTTCCTAGTCTTTTTCTCACAAATGCATCATTTCATGTATGTTAATCGTGTCTCCTCTACCAGGTTGTCGTATCGTGAGAGCAGGGATATTCATGGTCCTCCAGTTATTGAGCATTTAGAGCAGCCATCCCCATTCTTTTTGGCACCAAGGACTGGTTTCACAAAAGACAATATTTCCATGGACTTGGTTTGGGGATGGTTTCAGGATGAAACTGTTCCACCTCAGATCATCAGGCATTAGATTCTTATAAGGAGTGTCCAACCTGGATCCCTTGCATATGCAGTTCACAATAGGATTCCCGCTCCTATGAGACTCTAATGCTGCTGCTGATCTGACAGGAGGCAGAGCTCAGGCACCGCTAACCTCCTGCTGCATGGCCCAGTTCCTAACAGGCCTCGGACCAGGACCAGTCCATGGCTCTGGAGTTGGGGACTGCAGATTTAGAGCATGTTCAAAACATACATGTTGATGGTTTAGGTTCTGTGGGGGGAAAAGCGGATATAAGAAGAATCTTTATTAAATTCCTTGTCCTTGGTTGTCTCAAATGAATAAGCACTCAGACAGAGTAATTTGATTTGCTGGAGTATAAAGGGGAGATGTGAGAAATGTCAGAGTTTCAAAATGTAGTATTTTGTAGAAGTACTAGATGCTTGACACAATTATTTTAGCATTTGTTGCTGAGGCTTTGCTTTTTGCATAAGAGACATAGCTTTTCATTGATCACATAGAATTAGCATGATTGATCTTGGGAAAAAAGTAAAAGCTAGTGAAAATGTTTATTTCAAAGCCTAGTGAAAATATTTCTTCTGAAATTTGAGGTAATATTTTGAATTTTATTCATCAAAATAAAATCTTTTCCATTATATGTATTTTCTTTAAAATTGAAACTAATGTGTTTAACCAGCTTTATCTGAATTAAAAATAATATCTAACAAAAATAAGCCACAAGAAAATCTAGATTGGTAGGGGAAAATGCATATTTCTCAATTTGCATTTAAATAAAATCAAGGTTTTTGCTAAGTATTATATTGGTGAGAAAACTTATAAGAAATATTTATGAGAAAATTCATACTAAAGTATTATAAATGTTATGTGTATAATATTTATAAATTAATTTTAGAAAATGCTGGGTTAAACAAGCTCAAGCAGTATTGTTGACTAAATATATTCCCAGAATCTTTGACAATTATGAATCTCCCAAAGGGATATTCATTGTACAGTATTTCTCAATGTAGTTTTTTGGAAATATTTTTCTCAAGAATAATAATCATGGACCTATGCCTTGAGAAATTGCTTTGAGAAACAATGTCTTAGAGTCCATATTGTTTACTTCTTTAGTAACCAACAATTTGCAAGCCTTCAAACAATTTTTATTATGGGAAAAATGAAGCCACTTCATACCCAACAGGCAGACGAACCACTGTAGCCTTGGTAGCATATGTGTGAATCTTCAGAACAAGACTGCCTGGTTTCAGGGATTTCCAAGAAAACGTTTCAGCTGTGAGAAGTCCAGGCTCTATGGGAGGACTGTCTTTTGTTAAGGCTTTAAGATAAGTAAAAAGGTATTAAAGTTTGATCATGAAAGTGTAGTTGGCATTCACTAGTACTGTCTTTTTTTATTAAGTAACAACATAAATAACAATAATCAAGCATTAGAAATATTACTAAAATGTTCATAAAACATTAGAAATTACTCCAGGTAAATTACTAGAAATAACACTTAGGTCTTCCTCCCTGTTCAATATTCTTCCTTGTAACAATCCTCTCAAGTGAAGAAACCAGGAATAGGAAAATTAGAATCAGGAGGACATTTTTCATTGTAGTATAGCATCGCTTTTATTATCTCTATGGTAATAACTACAATATCCTTCTAGATACAATTTTAAAGGAAGAAAACATATTACATCTTGAAAAATAAGAGATTTCTCTAAAATAGTGTAAAAAATAAATCCAAATATCCCACTGTTTATCAAAAAAATTATTTATTTTTTAAAGACGGGTTCTCACTCTGTTACCCAAGCTGAAGTGCAGTGGTGCGATCTCGGTTTACTGCAACCTCCACCTCCTGGGTTCAAGCAATTCTCCTGCCTCAGTCTCTGGAGTACCGGGGATTACAGGCATCTGCCACCACCCCTGGCTAATTTTTGTATTTTTAGTAGAGACAGGGTTTCACCATGTTGGCCCAGGCTGGTCTCGAACTCCTGACCTCAGGTGATCTGCCCGCCTCAACCTCCCAAAGTGCTGGGATTACAGGAGTGAGCCACCATGCCCAACCTGTTTATCAAAATTTTTATCTTTGATTCAGTCTTTGACATTATGTAGAAATAGCAAGCAATTAACAAAGTTTAAATTTAATATCAAGTTTTTTATTAAAAATGGATAAATAATATAGGCTAATTGTTCATCAATGACTGAGGGCAAAATAATTTCCCCCCTATTTCCAGAAAACACTGGAGTTGAGGACATAAGGTCACAACATTACCTGAAATGCCTTCATGCCTATAGAATTTAAATGTTCTGGGACATGGTGTGGCTTCAGGGCTTTTGGTTTGGTAGATGCACTAAATTTAGATCACTAAATTTTGGAAAGTTTATTATACAACAAGTATTTTCTAGCCACCTGCTCTATGTTAGACACCATTCAAAACATTGACGATATTTCAGTTTAAAAAAAATCCCTGCCCTGCATGTTGACAAAACATTCAGTATTAAGCATTTGGGAAATACTTATTGTACATTTACAGTGCCATGTACTGTTAATTTGAGCTGAAGAAAAATTCTTTAACAAAACAGGCCAAAGAATAAAAGAATGAAGTTTTGTGAGTGTGTGCCTGTGTGTGCGTGTGTATGCAAGGGTTTGGCCTTGTAGAGGAGCAGAGATTGTCTATCCATTAGAACAGAAGGAAGGTGGCCTAGATTTTGAGAAAGTTCATTGTGGGAAAGGGAGGTACAAATTCTGAAAGCAGAAATCCTTTCTGATTTCTTCTGTCTATTCAGTGAGATCAGCAGCAAGGTCATCATCTGAACATGAGTGAGAGTAAGAGTAGGTGTTGAAGATTTGAAGAGAGAGAGAATGTTTGAGGGTTTGCAATAGGTCATCTACAGGAATAAATAAGAGTGGGAGAATAAAAGAATGACAGAAATACTGGCAGTGCCTAAGGCCTTGTTGAGATTTGTGCTCCTCAAATGTAAGCAGGGCTAGCCAGTGTGTTTGTTTTTCTCCCCTCCAATCACATTCAGCTGCTCTCTTGAAACTGTGGGTTGGATATGCATCAAGTTTAACCAATAGTGAAGTTTTTCCAGGAAAGTAAGATGAGGGGGTAAAAAGAGCAAATGTGTGGAGGCTATCTCTGTGATGGACAGAGAAAAAGTGGCAGGGTAGATAGTAATGAAAGTCCCAGTGGCTTCCAAAATTGTAGGAGTGGGAGTTCTGTAGAGTGAACTAGAGAGTCAAGCAGTGAGCGGGGAGTGGGGTGCTTGAAATTGAGATGACTGAGATGATGCCCAAATTGGTAAACTTAAAGTCTACAAGGTAACCATGAAAGTAGGGGACCAAGGTGGGATAGAGGAAAAGATTGTTGGAATGTCAAATCAAAGAAAAATAGTTCGTTTTTCAATAGATTTTGAAATAATTAAGAATGATGACATTTATAGGTCAACAACTACAACACTAACAGATTGAGTGAGTACACCAAAAAGGTGAACAGATAGTACAACCAGAAGAGGTGCAGGTGGCAGCAGTGGGCATAATCCCTGGTGTCTGTGGGGTAAAAGCATCAGAGGAGGTGGTGTAGGTGGTCCTGTGGGACTCTGGAGAAACTCTGGAAAGGGAGGAAGTTCCTCCATCCACGGTCTTCTAAAAATATTTTTAAAATTTTTTTATTTTTTTTGAGAGAGAGTTTCACTCTTGTTGCCCAGGTTGGAGTGCAATGGCGCGATCTCGGCTCACTGCAACCTCCGCCTCCTGGGTTCAAGGGATTGTCCTGCTTCAGCCTCCTGAGTAGCTGGGAATACAGGTACGTGCCATCACGCCTGGCTAATTTTGGTATTTTTAGTAGAGACAAGGTTTCACCATGTTGGTCAGGCTGGCCTAGGACTCCTGACTTCAGGTGATCCACCCGCCTCAGCCTCTCAAAGTGCTGGGATTACAGGCGTGAGCCACCACGCCCTAGCCTGAACATGATCTAGGCTTTAAGGCTATCATTTTCTCAGAGCCCTCTTACCTCCATACTCCCCCCAGCGTACCAATGCAGAAAAGCAAACCAGTAGTTCAATAGGTTTTAGACTATCTACAAATAGATAGTAGGACACTCGTTCTTCTGAGAACTGCAAGAAATTAGACCAGTTGTCATACTTAATATCAGTTCATCAATGCTATTATTTCACTTCTAATGAAAACATAGTATAACATCTAAGAGTTACAGGAAACTTACTGTGTTGTAGGCACCACAATAAATACTTTATGAATCTAATTATATGAAGAAAACTATACTGGGTGAATGTTGGCAACCGTCTGTGGAAACTGGGTCTGCAGCAGCTGTGTTAGACTAGCCACCATATCAGAGAGAGGCAGAGCTCTCCTCTATGAGGACAGAAGAGGGATATGCTTGTTCCAGAAATGAGAAAGAGAAGAGGCCGAGCCCAGGGCAGAGTAGTACTCAAGCATGGGTCTTTGATGGGCAGGAAGGCCATAGAGTAAGAAACTTTGGCAGAGAATGGGAATGGCCAATTGGATGTCTTATTTTACAGGGTGGTATGTGAAATAAGCTCTCTCTTCCTTCTTTCCACAGGAGCTTCAGATATATACCTGTCGTGGTTTGGCTCTGTGTTTCCACCCAAATCTCATGTCAGATTGTAATCCCCACACGTTGAAGGAGGGGCCTGGTGGGAGGTGATTGAATCACGGGAGCAGACTTGTCCCTTGCTTTTCTAGCGATGGAGTTCTCAGGAGATCTGGTTGTTTGAAAGTGCGTGGCACTTTCCCCTTTCCTGTCTCTCTCTCTCTCCTGTTCTGCCATGGTAAGACGTGTTTGCTTCCCCATAGCCTTCCACCATGACTGTAAATTTCCTGAGCCCTCCCAGCCATGCTTTCTGTACAGCCTGTGGAACTGTGAGTCAATTAAACCTCTTTTCTACATAAATTACCCAGTCTCAGGTAGTTCTTTATAACAGTGTGAGAATGGCCTAACTCAATACCCATTGCTTGCTGATACAGCAGGCTGTGGGTTTTTGTTTTGGAGATGGAATAAAGTGCTTCGTAAAATCAAAACTCTCCTTAAAGGATAGTTACATAAACGTTACATGTATATAATTTCGGTTCATCCTATATGGGTACTATTAATGTATCTAATTATACATTAACAGTACTTATTAATAATACTTAATATAATTAGATACATTAATGTATATCTAATTACACAGAAAGGGTAAGCTATTTACCAAAGGTCACAGAGTTTGTAGTAGCAAAGATGAGAGAAAAAAGTAGGTAGAGCCATCTGCCTGACTCTAAGGCTGGTACTCTTGACTAATGCATTATTATTGCCTTTCAAGTTCTCAGTGCTTCAACATAATTGTGAGGGATGGCACACAGTAAATGTGTTCAATTAACTTAATTGAATTATACTATACTTTAAAAGTTTTTCACATTATTCTACCACAATATTAAAAAAAAGTTAATATATGAAAAACAAATATGTAGCAATGCTATGAAAAGGGAAGCCTTGTTATTTAATCAACTATAACAAAGATTGCTAGAAATGCTTGATACAATGCAATCATGACTTAAATGTTTACTCCTCCCCCTATGTTCCATTTGTTTTCATTTGACACTTTATTTGCATCCTGTCAGCTGTGACATGTTGTTGATATAGAGAGTTGTTTCAAACATTCACTATCTGAAAATATGAAGGACCCTTGGACTTGTGAGCCTGGCATGCATGCCTGAGGAGGAGTTTCTGCCCGGAGCTCATTTTCTGTCATTTTCAAGGGCCTGCGAATTGAGGGGTGGGGTGTTCCTGAAGGCCACAAAGGGCCTCTGCCCTGGTGCCAGCACATGGCACCATTGAAATGACCCTGCTCTAACCTCACACTGAGCACCAAGGGAACATCTGTGGATTGTGCTGAGGACAGGCCTCGGGCTCTGTGTCCCCAGCTCGGCAGGCCACTAAGGTCTGGAGTGTCTGGCCTCAGACCACAGCTGATCCTTCCTTTCAGGCCATGCTAAATGCCATTAAGATTATATTCCAATGACTTCCAAGAAAGTTATTTTCTCATACCATTAATTAAAAAAAATTCAGGGAAATAAAAGGAATGTCATAATTTTATTTCACCAAGCTGAGACTTTTAAAAGAAAAAAAATTCTGTGCTTATCATGACTTCATAAGAATAAGATCAGAATAAAGAACAGTTGACCAGTTTACCACATACACTTTTAAATTAGGGTGGTTATGTGTACCAAAAGCTTCTATGCAACTGTCTTTAGTAAATGGCAGCCAACATTTATTATTACTTACTAATAGGCATTCTTCTAAGTGTTTTACATATGTTATTTCACATTTGATCTGCTTCATTTTCCTTAGATGTAAAATGATGGTAATAGTATCTCTTTCACAGGGTTTGCTATGAGGAGTGAATGCAATACAGAACCTAAGGGCCTGCAACATCTATAAACCATTGTCATTTTACCACTAGCAATAGTTTAAATATGGAAATATGCTTAAATAAACTGTAAACTGTACATTATGCTGATATCATACTCTGGGTTAAACTATTCCCAATTAATTGTTGTGTTATCTCTATAAAGTCAAAGTATTCCTCTAGGTGTTTTCACATACTCCAGGACTAGGTGAAGGATTTCTTTCCCCCAGTCACTATTCTTATTTTCAGAGGAGGCAGCCAGCAACAAAGCAGCTCTTGAGGTCTGCTCAAAAGGTTTTCTCTGCCCGTTTTCATCTGTTACAAGGGCAATGGAAAAGTTTCAAGGACTCTTTACTTCCTCCAACTCTGCGTACTGCTCATGGAGGTGTGGGATTATCATTAGGGGCTTGGGTGGCCTTGTCCTATGACAGGACAACATGTAAATGTTGGTACAGTTTAGTTTCCCGGAATATGTGTCATAGTTTTTCTTAAAATTCTGCTCAATATGTGGTTTGTTAATTACTTTAATCCACAATTTTTAAATTGAGTTCCTACCTCATGGCAGGAATGTTCTTATAAGTGGTAAACAAAAAGATACAGCTCTTCTAAAGATGCTAACAGTAAGTAGGGGGAAGAATGGGCACAGGGAAGCAATCAGAAAGTTGGGAGGGTGGGAGGCAAATGCCAGGCAAACATAGAGCATACAGAGGACATGAAGCTGAGCCTTTTTTTTTTTTTTTTTTTTTGAGATGGAATCTCACTCTGTTGCCCAGGCTGGAGTGCAGTGGCGCAATCTCGGCTCACTGCAACCTCTGCCTCCCAGGTTCAAGCGATTCTCCTGCCTCAGCCTCCTGAGTAGCTGAGATTACAGGCGCATGCCACCACACCTGGCTAATTTTTGTATTTTTAGCAGAGATGGGGTTTCACCATGTTGGTCAGGCTGGTGAAGCTGAGACTCTTAACCCAGATTCCATGGCCAGGGAAGGGAAGCCTCACAGTGTCAAGGGCATCTGTGCTATTCTGAAGGATTTCTAGGCATTAGCTGAACAACAGCAATGAGGATAACAGGGATGAAAGGACAGAAACTCCTGGCAGAGGGATGATACGGGGGAAAAAATGCAGGCATAATGGTGGAGTGTCCTTATGTTTTAGGAAACATACACTATTCAATAAATACTAATTGAAACCAAATCTAGTGAATTTATTTGTGCATGTCCTTCATTTTTTCATAATTCAAATTTTTCTTAATGTGAATTTGTATAATAATTCAGGCCAGGATTCAACATAGTCAGATGGATCACATTTGTGGTTATGAGCTAGTGGAATTTTGCTTATTGCTTGGATAAGGATTAGTGAGAGACTCTAAAAATTAATTTTTAAAAATATAACTATGTTACAAGTTTAGAAATGTTTTGAGAAATTTGAAGATGTTTTCTACGGGTGCAATTCTACCAAAAATTTAAAGAGAATAGAAAAGATTCTAACATACTTACCTTAAATTCTGATTTTTGAAAGTTAAGGCAATATGAACTTGGCTTGTGGAAAATATATATATTTCTGAAAGAAAGACATTTTTAACAGGTTATTGTCATTATAGGCAAAGACTAGTACTACATGTTAAGTTTCTTATAATCAAATTATTGTAGGAAGAAAGTTAAAAAATAACAACAGTATTGGGTCAGTTGCCCTAAAGGGACAAGAATGATTCTAGTGAATAAGATTTCTTCATTTTAATTAAGAAACAAGCCTTTGAGGAAAAGCTGCAACTGGCCTAAGATTGGTTTGGCTATTAATGTGTTATATGGATAATCAATATATTTATTTTCCATTTTATAAATTTTATTTGATATTATACCAACACTAGGCTGTTATTGGCTTATTTTGGATGATGCTAAGAATTAATAGGTTATATAACCACTATATTAAATATGCAAAAATAAATCTTAATGTGACTTTGTATACTAATGCAGCTCAGGGTTTAACCACTACGACATAGTCAGATTGATCCCATTGGTATACTTACTGAAAGCATACACAGAAATCTTCAAAATCTAACCATATTTCTTTAGAAACACTATTATTTGTTGTTGGAAGTTCTTCCTGTGACTTTTCCTGTGTTGCTGTGGTCTGGCTGACTATCTCTCTTTCCAAGTTTAATCCATCACTCTGATGAGCATCACCCAATCCAAAGTCTGTTTGTTCATCTGTGCCTAGAAGACACACATGTCAAACACATCTTATATTGTTAAATAACAAGTTATTGAAATATGTAAAATGATAAAGGGAAACTTAAATATCAAAGTCTATTTTTGGGAAAATATTTATGAGATAATCCAGGCTTCATACATTTATGGAGGTCCACACAGGGACACATTTCATACACAAAGGAGAATTTAATCACAATTTCTATGCATATCAGGGTGTTCAAAAATTTCAGAATTACTTTGACGAATTTGTTCACAGATTCTTTTTTTTTTTTTTTTTTTTTTTTTTGAGACGGAGTCTCGCTCTGTCGCCCAGGTGGGACTGCGGACTGCAGTGGCGCAATCTCGGCTCACTGCAAGCTCCGCTTCCCGGGTTCACGCCATTCTCCTGCCTCAGCCTCCCGAGTAGCTGGGACTACAGGCGCCCGCCACCGCGCCCGGCTAATTTTTTTTGTATTTTTAGTAGAGACGGGGTTTCACCTTGTTAGCCAGGATGGTCTCGATCTCCTGACCTCATGATCCACCCGCCTCGGCCTCCCAAAGTGCTGGGATTACAGGCGTGAGCCACCGCGCCCGGCCCTCACAGATTCTTTAGAGATTGTGAAGTTACAACACAAATTAGCTAGATTCTTTACTGAAAATCTGCTCTAGATGGACATATTCTTATAGGAGGGGGTGGCTCAGACAACAGAAAGGGAAATGAAAACTTGAAAGATCTGGTGCAACAAATGTGTTTCAGTAACACATTTAATCACTCCCCACAGTCAGTGGTTCTAGAGCCTTATTTTATATTTACCAAGTAATGTGGCATACCATTTTTTTTTTTTTTTTTTTGAGACGGAGTCCAGGCTGGAGTGCAGTGGCACGATCTTGGCTCACTGCAACCTCTGACTCCCTGGTTCAAGAGATTCTCCTGCCTCAGCCTCCCAAGTAGCTGGGATTACAGGCACACACCACCATGCCCTGCTAATTTTTATATTTTTAGTAGAGACAGGGTTTCACCATGTTGGCCAGGATGGTCTCGATCTACTGACTTCGTGATCTGCCCGCCTCAGCCTCCCAAAGTGCTGAGATTACATGCGTGAGCCACTGCACCTGGCCGGCATAGCATTCTTAAAGACTTCTGGATCCAAAAATATATATATAATTTTGAATTCAATTCTTGGCCAAGTCTTTTATTTAGGAACTAAGGAATTTGCAGTGGTTTTAGTGTTTCGATCACAGGGTGCAGCATTAAAACACATGAACTTTATTTGTGGGTAATCAGATTCTCTTTCATTTTTATTTTTAGCTTCAATTTAACAATTGAAATTATCTCTTTTTTTAAAGCCCAGAGCAGACTAGACTCAGCAAATCAAAGGAGACACTGAAGAAAGGCTGCTGAGAGCCAGAAGGGAAGCTGTCAAGAAGCAGAGATGCCCCTCTGTATCTTGATGTACATTGAAAAAAGTCACAGGAAAATTATTAATTTACCTTTTCCAAGTATAACTTGTGAAGCAGTATTTCCCTATGAATTAAAAGAAACACACTTTGAATCCAACAAAACATTACAGCTATCCAAAGCACCAAAGTTACTAAAAGAGCTAATATAGTTTTTTTAAACTTTGAAGAAATAGATTTTTGGGAAAATTTACTAAAACCTACCAAAAAAATTTGTTTTTAACTTTAAATGTCAAAGGACATGAATGGAATTAAACAATTGACTGAGTATTTAAGCTTGTCACATTAAGACACAGAATATGTTAATTTACTAAATGATTGAATCTTGTAACAAGAGTTAAATTAAAACAGTAATATCCCTAAGTAGACATATTACTTGGCACAAGGTATCTGCTATTAATATAGATAACTTAATAAGATTATGACTGAAAGTAATGTACAGAACCTAAAAAGGCTGATTTCAATTATAAAAATGGCTCCTGAAAATTTTAACAAGGAATTTAAGTTGAATTCATGTGTATAACTTTTGTTTTAATTATTTAATATCAAATAATTGTGTTCTGGAACACAAAAATAAATATAAAAAGTAAAATGGTATAAACTCATACAGGCTAATTACAGGTAATGTCAACAATATTTTAAAAATTATGTAAAGTGGATGGAAGAGATAGCAGAGTAGAGATAGTTAAATACTAAGTGCAAAGCAAAGCCTATCCATGCCTTAGGACCTCAGAAGCAATTAGCAGGTATCTGAGCAGGAGAGAATGAGACATGGGCTTAAAACACCGACATGGGTTGAATGTCTGTAGAAGGATTTGCACTTCTTCTCCCTAATCTTTCTGGTTCAGCATCCAGTCTTCTTTTGCCTAAACAGCACACTTGAAATTGCTTCAAGTGGAGAAATTAAATGAGAAGTTTCTTAATCTGAACTCACAGATACTCTGGAAGTAGAAGAGTCTACTGTACAGACAACAGAGGAATTAAGTGAAAGTCCACAAGCTAAGTGCTGAGACTTTCAGCTTCTCTGTGCTGCTCGACCTTCATGGATGGACAAGTATATACCATTCCCTGTGATGAACTTTAGAGGACCATTAACTGAGAAACTCACCAGAGTCAGGGGAAAAAAAAAAAAACAAGATGCACATTGGGAGCCAGCCCCACCTCCAAATAAAACTCACTCATCCTCAATTATCCTAAGTTAGAGCCAACAGTTGATAAGCTCTGGCCATGCCATTGAGCTGCTTCTAATCAGCAACTCTTTGGTGCCTTAAATTTCTTAAATATATATGTACAACAAAGTACTGGCAAACAATTGAGGAGAGATTCTTATATGAAAGAAAGAAGCTAACAATTGTGGGTGGCAAGATTCATAGAAAACAGAAACAATATTATGAGGAGTAATTTTTAAAAGATTGGTAATATTGGAAAAATAAGAGGATACTCATCTATCAAATAAGAAACTTCTACAAAAATAATAAAGAACAAGAAAGAGCTCTTAGAAAATAAAAAATAGAATAAGTGGCATAAACAATACAAGCTTTAGGCACTGAAGCGGATACAGACAGAGACAAACTACAAAACTCCTAGAAGAAAACATAGAGAGAAGCTTCATGACACTGGATTTGGCAATTATTTCTTAGATATGACTCCAAAAGCACAGGCAACAAAAGTAAAAAATAGGTAAGTTGAGCATCAAAATAAAAAAAAAGAAAACTTCTGTACATCAAAGGATACAATCAACAGAGTGAGAATGCAACCTACAAACTGGGAGAAAATATTTGCAAATTACATATCTGATAAAGGGAAAATACAAGAATATATATAGAATTTCTAAAAAGAACAAAAACAACAAAATAACCCAAACAATGCAATTAAAAAATGGGCAAATAATTTGAATAGACCCTTCTAAGGAGACATACAAATGGCCAACAGCACATGACAAGATTCTCAATATCATGAATCACTAGAGGAATACAAACCAAAATTACAATGAGACACCATTTCATGCCCATTAGGGTGGCTACCATAAACAATACACATAGAAAATAATAAATGTTGGTAAGGATGTAGAGAAATTTGAGAGGCACTGTTGAGAATGTAAAATGGTGTGGTCACTGTGGAAAACAGTGTGGTGGTTCCTCAAATGATTACCATATCCAGCAATTCCACTCTTAGGTATATTCCCAAAAGCATTGAAAGCAGAGTCTCAAGGAGATAGGTGTACACCCAAATTCATAGCAGCGTTATTCATGATATCTAAAAGGTTGATGCAACCCAATATCTATTGACAAATGATTGGATAAACAGAATGTGACATACATATACAATGGAATATCATTCAGTCTTCAACAGGGAAGAAATCTTGACACACGTACAAACACGGGTGAAACCTGAGAACATTAACATTATGCCAAATGAAATAAGTCAATCACAAAAACAGAAATACTTTATTATTCCACTTATGTGAAGTACCCAGAATAGTCAAAGTTATAGGCACAGAAAGTGGAATGGTGGTTTTCATGGGCTGGGGGGAGGGGAGAATCAGAAGCTTTTAAATGCATATAGAGTTTTACTTTTGCAAGATGAAAAGAATTCTGGAGATTGGTCATACAATAGTGAAAATGTATTCAATACTACTGAACTGCACGCTTAAAAATGGTTAAGATGGTAAATGTTGTGTGTATTTCACTACAACTAAACAGTTTTAAAATATTTAAAATAAGGATAAATATATTAAAATAAATGAGAAAAAAATCAAGTACATTAGAGAATAAATTGGGAGAAAGGTAGTGTAATAGAAGATCCACAAAGCAGAGAAAATGAGAAGAGAAAATTATTGAGGAAGTGGTATAAGAAAATTCTCCAGAACTAAATAATTTGACTTCAGATTGAAGTGGTTCATGCAGTATGCAGCACAATTCATGTAAAAACAAAACAAAACAGAACAAAAAAAACAACCCAGGGCCTGGCATGGTGGCTCACACCTGTAATCTCAGCACTTTGGGAGGCCGAGGTGGGTGGATCACCTGAGGTTAGGAGTTTAAGACCGGCCTGGCCAACATGGCAAAACCCCATCTCTACTAAAAATACAAAAAAATTAGCCTGGTGTGGTGACAAGTGCCTGTAGCCCCAGCTACTTGGGAGGCTGAGGCAGGAGAATCACTTGAACCTGGGAGGTGGAGGTTTCAGTGAGCCAAGATCACTCCACTGCACTCCAGCCTGGGCAACAGAGTGAGACTCTGTCTCAAACAAAACAAAAAAAAACAAAACAAAACCCATACCAAGGCCAATGATAATGAAATTTCATAATGCTAAGAATGGAAAGAAGGTCCTAAAAGAGTCACATATAAAAGATCAAGAATCAGAATATCAGAATGTCATTTTTTTTTTTTTTGACAGGATCTGGCTCTGTTGCCCAAGCTGGAGTTCAGTAGTGTGATCTTATTTCCCTCCAGCCTCAAACTCCTGGGCTCAAGCCATCCTGCTGCCTCAGCCTCCCACAGAGCTGGGACAACAGACATGCACCGCCATGCCTGACTAATGTTTTTGGGGTTTTTGTTGTTGTTTTTTTTTGTTTGTTTTTGTAGAGATGGGGTTTCACTGTCTTGCGCAGGCTGCCTCAAACTCCTGAGCTAAAGCAATCCACCTGCCTCAGCCTACCAACATGCTGGGATTACAAGTGTAAGCCACCATGCCCAGCCCAGAATGTCATCTTTAAATCAAGAGCAATGCTTAAAATTAAAAGACAAAGGATTAAATAAGACCTTTACAATTTTGAGGAAATGACTTCCAAATTGAAATTTTATATCCTGCCAAAATATAAATTAGGTGGGAGAATGGAATGTAAGCATCTTCAAGCATGCAAGTGCTCATAAATTTTACTTCCTGTACATCTTTTCTTAGGAAGTACTGGAAGATGTGCTACACTAAAATTAGGGTTTAAACCATGAAAGAAGAGAGACCAAAAATAGGAAGTCCATCAGAGGAGAGAGACAAAAGGAAGTCTAAAGGTACCAGGAGCAAAGTTCTCTCAGTTTGCACTGAAGCAAGACAGCAAAGGAGTGCATGGGGTGGTTTAAAAAAAAAAAACAACAGGCATTTATAAAATATTTGATGTATTTGACTATGTAGAAAATGATGGATAGAGAGGTTATAATTTTTGTAGTGTTTGGAAAGACCTACTAATGCTTCCTATAGTAAAGTGAGCAAAGGAAAAAGTGCAGTAATTTGCTTGTATAAAACCTTGTGTAAGAAATGTTATCATATTTGCTTCAGCAGTAATAATCCTTACAAAACAGGAATGTTGTTTCAACCAAAAATTATGAAATGACAAAATCTTGAAGACAGGGGAAAGTGTAGATATGGGATAGTAAGTGAGTTCAGGTGAGCTAAATCTTTATCTCCCATAACAGGAAGTCAAGAGATAACGTCTAAATTAACAGATCAAGATAAAATAGCATGTAGTCATTCAACAAATATGTCATGGTGTTTGCTATATGCTAGGCATTTTCACAGGTGCCGAGGGAGAAACAAAATATAATAAAATAAATATCTCTGCCCTCATGAAGCCTACTATTTAGAATTATGGAGATATGTATCAGAAGAAGCAGTTAAATAAAATAAAAGTAGGTGACTCTGGAGAAGACTGAAAAATGAGGAGGTGTAGGGCATGCTGGCTATTTTTTATGATTATCTTCTGGATAATCTTTGTCTCTTTAAAACGAATACAATCAATAATTTAAATTTTTTTTTTAAAATTTCAAAAAATGTTGACAGATATTCATTCTCCTCAATCACCTATTAATCTCTGCTTTCTAATTAACACTAATAGATTTGTTCATCTGTATGTGATGATGTGCCCTCCAGAGTATCTTATACCATCACATAAGCTATCACATTCAACAAATAAGAGCCAAACCAATTAAAGAGGAGTTTTTCAAAGTTTCATTATGATTTGGAACATCAGTTTATGGATACCTTCTGTCTCTAAGAATCTATTGTTATAATTTAGAACTACATTTACAAGCATTATCATATTGCAATGGCTCAAAATTTTATTATAACGTTTGAAAGTTGCATAAGAATTCCTCTAAAAACAATTGTGTATCTATATGGGAAAAAATAAAATTGGTCTCATCATTTTATATCATACACAAAAATCAGTTCCCAATTAATTGGATTTTATAAAAGTAAAACTATAACATTTTAGAAGATGATTAGAAAAATAGTTTTATGACCTAAGAATAGGGCAAATTTCTTAAACCAGATATAGAAATCTCAATCATATATAATCATAATATGATTTTATATATATATGTAATATGATTATATATGATTGAGATTTCTATATCTGGCTTAAGGAACCAGATTTATATATGAATATATAAATAAATTCAACCACATTAAAAATAAAAAAATTGTTTATACAAAGACACAATATTCAGGAGCTCTTAGCAGTCATATGGAAGAACAAGACTTTCCTGTATTTGCCCCCTGCAAAAACATCAATTTGAAAAATAATCCACATAAGAAAATATCTTCATAAGAGCTAAAGAAACTTGGTGAAAGGTTATAGCAACTGAATGTAGCACAGAAATAAGACACATTGAAGAAGGTAGTAAGGACAGTTTTGCATCACACACATCACTCCCAATCCCAGGAAAAGAGAGATACCCTCTACTTGGGAGAAGGAAAAGGAAGTAAGAACTGGAGTTTGCCTTGGTCCTAAACACAGGCTGGACCAGTAAAGCAGTAAAGTAGATCCCTACCAGGCCTAGGGTCCAGGCCACCCAATAGACCCTGGTGGCGGGCTGGCCCCCATAAACTGAGGCCCCAGGCCCACCCTTGCAGAAGCTGGTACTCTAGGTCTATGCCAGTATCAGTCTAGCCTCTGTGGAACCAGATTTCAGGCTGGTTTCCAAGGACATACATTCTAGACCCAATCCTGCAGACGCAAGTGCCAGGGTTGCCCACCTGCTGATCTAGGCACTAGACCAGCCTGTTCAAGGAGTACAGTAACAAACCTGCCTGTGGGCAACCTGCCAGGAATCTCTAGATGATCTGACTGGTGAAGGGCTTTCCCAGACAAGGCCAGTCTGCAAGTATTAGAATAATTTACTACTCTTAAATTTACAGACACCAACTCGTGGTTACAAGGACCAAGAACAATAATGGAAACATGACCCCACCAAAAGAACAAAATAAAGCACCAAAAGCCAGCTCTAATGAAATAGAGATTTATAATCTGCCTGACAAAGAATGTGAAATGATTGTTTTAAGGAAACTCAGTGAACTTCAAAAATAGCAAAACACAATTAAGTGCTATCTGGAAAACAATGAACAACTAAGATAAGAAATTTAACAAAGAGATTGGAATTATTTTAATAAATTAAACAGAAATTCTAGAGGTGAACATTACAATGAATGAAATGAAATTAAAAATGCAAGAGAAGGTCAACAGCAGAATCAATCAAGCAGACAAGCAAAAGAAAGAAACTGTGAAATTGAAGACAGGCTATTGGAAAATATGCACTCAAAGTGGAAAAAAGAAAAGGAATGAAAAAGGACTACACAGTTTATGGGGCAATATCAAAAGAGCAAATATTTGAGTGATAGGAGTTCACAAAAGACAAAAGAGAGACAAAGGAGTAGAAACTTACTTAAAGAAATAATAGCAGAAAACTTCTCAAATCTGGGGAAAGTTATATATATCCAGGTAGAGGAAGGTAGAAGGTCTTCAAAATCAGATTTAATCCAAATAATACTGTGCACCAAGACATACTGTAATCAAACTGTCAAAAATCAAAGACAAAGAGAGGATTCTGAAAGCAGCAAGAGAAATGAAGCAAATAAGGAGTTATAATTTCTCAGCAAATTTCTTAGTAGGAACCTCACAGGCCTGGAGAGAATGGGATAATATAGTCAAGGTACTGAATAAAAATAATACTAAGAAAGTATACTGTACTTAAAAAAGATGTCCTTCAAAACTGAAGTGGAGATAAAAACTTTCCCAAACAAAAAAAGCTGAGGGAATTCATCACCACAAGATCTGTTTTATGAGAAATACTACAGGGAATTCTTCAAGCTGAAAGAAAAGAATGGTAATCAGTAACATTAAAAAATGAGAGTATAAAACTCACTGGTAAAAGTAAGTACATAGTCAAATTCAGAATACTCTAATACTGTAATGGTGATGTTTAAATCACTTACATCTTTAGTATGAAGGTTAAAATTTAGTATGAAGGTTAAAATTACTAAAATAATAATAATTGCAATAATTTGTCAAGGGATATACAATATAAGAGATTGTAAATTGTTACATCAAAAACATAAACCATAAGAGAGACAGAGTAAAAGTGTAGAGTTTTTGTATGCGATCAAAGTTAAGTTGCTATCAGCTTAGAATATGCCGTTACAGCCATAAGATGTAAGCCTCATGGTATTCATAAAGTTACAACCTATAGTAGATACATAAAATCAAAGCAAACCACTAAAAACATAACCTAATTACAAAGGAAAACAGAAGAGAAGAAAGAAACAAAGGACCTACAAAACAACCAGAAAAAAATTAATGAAATAACAGTAGTAACTGCTTACCTACCAATAATCATCTTGAATGTAAATGGATTAGATTCTCCAATCAAAAGGCATAGAGTGGCAAAATGTATTTAAAAAACAAAGACTCAACTATATACTGCCTACAGGAGACTTACTTCACCTTAAAGACACATATAGACTGAAAATAAAAAGATGGGAAAGGATATTCCGTGCAAATGTAAGGCAAAAGAGAGCAGGGATAGCTATATTTATATCAAATAAAATAGACTTTAAGTCAAAAACGGTAAAAAAGAGACAAATAAGGTTATTTCATAATGATAAAGGTGTCAATTTCTTAACAGGATACAATAATTATAAATATGTATGCATCCAACATCAGAGCACCTAAATGTATAAAGCAATATTAATAGATCTAAAGGGGGAGAGAGACTGCAATACAATAATATTTGGAGTCTTCAGTACTCCTCTTTCAGCAAAGGATAGCTCATCCAGACAAAAAATCAAAAGAAAACATCAGACTTAAACTACACTTTAGATCAAATGGACCTAACAGATATATACAGAACATTGCATCTAGCAGCAGTGGAATACACATTCTTCTCAAGCTCACAAGGAACATTCTCCAGGATATTCATATGTTAGGCCACAAAGCAAGTCTTAACAAATTAAAGAAGATTGAAATCATATAACTACCTTTTATAACCACAATGGAATGAGTCTAAAAATCAACAACAGGAGGCATTTCAGAAAATTCACAAATACATGGAAACTAAACAATGTGCTTCTGAATGAGATATTAAGAAGGAAATTTTTAGAATATCTTGAGACAAATGAAAATTGACATAGTAACATATCAAAATTTATAGGATGCAGTAAATGAAGCTCTAAGAGGGAAATTTAAAGAAGAATTTCAAATTTAAAACATAATGTTACACCTCAGGGAACTAGAAAAAAAGAAAGCAAACTAAACCCAAAATTAGTAGAAGAAAGGAAATAATAAATCTCAGAACAGAAATAAACAAGAAAAGTAAAAAAAAAAAAAAAAACACTAAGCTGATCTTTGAAAAGATAAACAAAACTGACAAACCTTTTGCTAGACTAATTAAGAAAAAGGAGAAAAGACTCAAACAAAATCAGAAATAAAAAAGGAAGCATTACAAATGATACTGCAGAAATACAAAGAATCCTAAGAATCTACTATGTATAATTATATGACAACCAATTGGATAACCTAGAAGAAACAAATTTCTAGACATATTATACAAGTTACCAAGACTGAATCATAAAAAATATAAAATCTGAACAGAACACCATGAGCAAGGGGATTACATTAGTAATAAAAACTGTGGCTTATGTCTGTAATCCCAGCACTTTGGGAGGCTGAGGCAGGTGGATGACGAGGTCAGGAGATCAAAACCATCCTGGCCAACATGGTGAAATCTCGTCTCTACTAAAAATACAAAAATTAGCTGGGTGTGGTGGCATGCACTTGTAGCCCCAACTACTCGAGAGGCTGAGACAGGAGAATCACTTGAACCTGGGAGGCAGAGGTTGCAGTGACCCGAGATTGTGCCACTGCACTCCAGCCTGGCCACAGAGCAAGACTCCATCTCAAAAAAGAAAAAAAAAAGAAAAAGAAAAGAAAAAAAAAACAAAAAACTGTCCCATGTTGGCCAGGTGCAATGCTTATGCCTGTAATTACAGAACTTTGGGAGGCCAAGGCAGGAGGATTGAAGCCAAGAGTTTGAGACTAGCCTAGGCAACATAGCAAGACCCCATTTGTAATTTTTTTTTTTTAAATTAACCAAGTGTGGTGGTGCATGCCTGTAGTAACAGCTGCTTGGGAGGGTAAGGCAGGAAGACTGCTTGAGCCCAGGAGTTCAAGGCTGCAGTTAAGTTATGATCATGCCACTGCACTCCAGCCTTGGCAACAGGGAAAGACCCTATATCTTAAAATAAAAAGTCTCCTATCAAAGAAAAGTCCAGGACCTTATGGCTTCACTGCTGAATTCTACCAAATATTTAAAGAATAATTAATACCATCCTTCTCAAAGTCTTCCAAAAAAATCTGACAAAGAGAGAATAATTTCAAACTAATTATACAGGGCAAGCATTATCTTAATACCAAAGCCAGACAAGGACACTATAAGAAAATAAACCTTAGGTCAATATCGCTGATGAACATACATGCAAAAATCCTTAACAAAATACTAGTAAACATAATTCAACAGCACATTAAAAAGATCATTTACCATGATTAAGTGGGAGTTTTCCCAGAGATGCAAGGATGGTTTGACATATGCAAATCTACAAGTATGATATACCACATTAAAAGAATAAAAGATAAAAACCATGCAATCATGTGAATAGATGGAAAAACAGCATTTCACAAAATTCAACATCCTTTTATGATTAAAAAACCTCTCAACTTACAACTAATATAAAGAATGTACTTCAACACAACAAAGGCCATATATGACAAACTCATAGCTAACATACTCAACAGTGAAAAGTTGAAAGCTTTACTTCTAAGATCAGGAGTAAGACAAGGAAAATAACCACTTCTATTCAACATATCACCTAAAGTCCTAGCTAGAGCAATTAGGCAAAATAAAGAAAAGGCACTCAAATTGGAAAGAAAGAAGCTAAATTTTTCCTCTTTTCAGATAATACAATCATATATAGAACCCCTTAAAACCCCATTAAAAATCCTGTTAGATCTAATATATAAACTCAATAAAGTTTCAGGATACAAAATCAACATACAAAAAACAAAAATAGAAATCAGTAAAATAATTCCATTTACAATAGCTACCAAAACATATTTAGGAATAAATTGAACTAAGGAGGTACCTATATTCTGAATACTATAAAATAAAACATTGATGAAATAAAATAAGACTCAAATAAATGGAAAGATGTCCCATGTTCATGAACTGAAAGAATTCATATTGTTAAAATGGCTGTACTAGCCAAAGCAATGTACAGATTCAATGTAATCTATCAACATTCTGATGAGATTTTTCACATACTAGCCAAAGCAATGTACAGATTCAATGTAATCTACCAACATTCTGATGAGATTTTAGACAGATATATTAAAAACATCCTAAAATCCATGTGAAACCACAAAAGACCCTAAATAGCTAAAGCAAAAGAACAAAGCAGGAGGCATCACACTACCTGACTTCAAAATACACTACAAAGCTATAGTAACCCAAACAGCATATATCACCATAAAAATAGACCAATGGAACAGAGTAGAGAGTCAAAAATAAATTCAAACTATTATGGTCGAAAAAGATTGACAAGAACACACAATGGAAGAAAGGAGAGTCTCTTCAGTAAATGATTTTGGGATATCCATTTACAAAAGAGGAATGTCACCTCATACCATATACAAAAATTAACTCAAAATGCATTAAGAACTTAACTTTAAGACCTGAATGTATGCTGAATGTATGAAACTATTAGAAGAAAACATAAGGGATAAGCTCCAAGAACTTGGCCTGGGCAACAAGTTTTAAGAAATAATCCCTAAAGCACAGGCAACAATTGCAAACAGACAGAAGGAATTACATCAAACTAAATTTTTTTTTTTTTGCACAGAAAAGGAAGCAATTATAAGGAGACAATCTATAGAATGGGAGAAAATATTTGTAAATCATACATCTGATAAGAGGTTAATATTCAAAACATATAAGGAACTCAAACAACTCATCATCAAGGAAACAACCCAATTGAAAAATGAGCGAAGAATCTGAATAGGCATTTCTCAGGAGAAGACATACAAATGGCCAACGTATGTGTTTTAAAAAATGCTCAACATCACTAATCATCAGAGGAACATAAATTAAGACCACAGTGAGATATCACTTCACACCTGTTAAAATGGCTGTTATCGAGAATACAAAAATAAGTGTTAGTAAGAATGTGGAAATAAGGGAAACCTTGTATATTGCTGGTGAGAAGGTAGAATGGTGCAGCCACTGTAGAAAACAGTATGGAGGTTGAAAAAAAAAAACTAAAAATAGGGCAATCATGTGATCCAGCAATCCTCCTTCTGAGTGTGTATCCAAAGGAAATGAAATCAGTGTGTCAAAGAAGAAAGAGATACCTGCCTTCCCATCTTCATTATAGCATTATTCACAAAGCCAAAATATGAAATCAAACTAATTGTCCATCCACAGATGAATGGATAAGGAAAATATGGTATATATACAAAATAGAATACTATTCAGCCTTTAAAAAGAAGGAAACTTTATCATTTGCAATAACTAGGATAAACCTGGAGGACCTTATGTGAAGTTAAATAAGCCACACACAGAAAAATAGATACTAAGTAGAATGGTAGTTACCAGGGGCTAGATGTGGGTGATTGGGAAAATACTGGTCAAAGGATACAAAGTTTCAGTTAGTAGAGATAAATTCAAGAGATCTGATTTGCAACACGGGGTCTATAGTTAATGTATTCTTGAAAATTGATAAGACAGAAGATTTTAGTGTTCTCACAACAAAAAATGAAAGGAACGTGAAGTAATACATATATTAATCAGCTCAATTTAGTTATTCAGCTATATATATATTTCAAAACATCATGTTTTACACTATAAATGCATATATTTTTTATCGATTAAAAATAAATTTTAAAAAGACAAGATTGAAAAGATAAACTTAGAACATATGAAATACATATCTAATAAAGAATAAGTCTCCATATTTCACAAAGAACATCTATGAATTGGTAAAATAGGAACATACAACCCAAATGGAAATTAGGCAAAAGACATAAGCAGGCATTGCACAGCAGCACAAACAGAAATGGCAGTAAATGTATACAAAGCTGTTCAGTCACAATAACAACCAGTTCAATGGAAAAGCAAAATGAACTACTTTTTCTTACCAATCTGATTGGCAAAATTTTTAAAAAATCCCTACACACTCCATGTGGCTATAAGGAAATATTCATACAACCTGGGTGTAATCTTATCGTGTATATTTAGCAATAATTATTTTAAAATTCCAATAGAATTGTATTTGTTGGCCAAACAATCCAACTACATGTACAAATTCATTCATAGCAGTAGTATTTATAATAGCAAAAGATTAAAATCAACCCAAGATTTCATCTATAGAGATTGATAGAAATAAACTACAGTTCATTTACATAATAAAAAATTATGAAGCTTTAAGAATGAAGATACTCTTTAGGTGTAGATTGGAATTATCTCCAGCATATATTAAGTATTTTTAAGATTATTTAATTTTGAGTAGAAAAAAAGGAAGTTGTGAAATATTGTGTGTGTGTTTCTTTGCATTTACATTAAAAAATCCTGAAAGTTTCCTACGGAGGGCAGAATGGTGAAAATGGGATAGAGAGGTACATAAATGGAGGCAAGATTTCTTTACATTTGTTTTACATTGGAAAGCTCAGCATCCTACTGTTCAAGGTCATTGCCAAGGTCTGATTTTTCAAATTCCAAAAATAGCAACCTCAGGCATATATGGGTTAATATGTCAATACATTATGCATTTATAATAAAAAATAAAATACCATTTTATACCCACCACATTAGCAAACATCATACAGTATCAAATGCTGTCATAAAGAAAACTCTTGGTGTTGACAGGTGTGGGTATTACTACACCCATTCAGAAAATGGTTTGGCATTTTATTGTAAGGTCAAGGAGGTGAATGAATGCCCTATTAACTAGACTCCTAGATTCATATCCTAGAACAGGGTTTCCTAATATGATATCCAATGAAGCTCATAGTTAAATTTCACAAATCCATTAATGTGGATGGTTAGAAAGACATTACATGTTTGACACTCAGCATTTTTTTTTCAATTACAAATTTGTCAATACAGGCAAGTAGTCACAATGTTGAGAGCAATAACTGACCCTATCCACAAAATGTCACAATATTTTATATTATATTATAGTTGTTGCAAATATCTTACAAGAATATGTAAGCTGATTACTACTTTGAAATTACAGCAGGTATTAGACCTGTTGCTGTATTTCATGTGGTCGTATCTCCCCATCTACAGATACTCCTGTGACCTATATAGCTAGGTAACTATAGCAACTATGCTTAGTAGTCATTCAACCACCAAATAGTGAAGTTGTATGTTCTCTCACAGTGCTAATTATGTTCCTTATCAATAATTCTCAGTTAATTAATATGGAGAAAAAGATGAGTTGTTTTCAACCTGTTAGAGTTTTAAAAAATTGTTAAGGGGAGCCATAGCACGTAAAGGGTTATGAACCCTGAAACTAAAGAAACTCTTGTACCTGTTTCAAGGGACATTTGAGAAAAATCATGGTACCGTTGCTTACAATAGTAAGAAACAAAAAGCAAGAATAGTGAGAAAGAATATTTCTTACAATAGAAACAAGAAGCAACTAATACAGCCACTAACACTGTGATAGACTAAAAACCATTTGTAGCATAATTTTATACAATAAATACCATTGGTTAGTGAAATGAACAGGACATGAAACAAAAGGGAGGAATCTCACAAACAAGATGTTACATTATAATTGGCAAAATGAGAAAAATATGAAGTTGTTTAATACCAAAATCTGAGTGGCCGACAGAAAATACAACCAAGAAGAAACACACAGGGGACTTCTATAGCAGATGACTATTTTCTAACCTAGGTGATAGATACATAAGAGATTTATTTTAACACTATTCTTTATACTGTTCAGATCCATGTTATACATTCTTTTGTATGTATAGTATGTTTCACAATGTAAGGAAAAAAATCTTGTCTCATTAAGAGTTGGGCCAACAGTAAGAGTAACATAGTCACCTGAGATGTAGCTTTTGTTATTTGACTCAAGTCTGTCTGGCTATGTGTTGCAGTTTCATCAGTTTCACTGACGGAAGGTAAATCAGATCCTGGAGGTATTCCTTTCTTAATTAAGGAGCGCACAAAATGCCTAAAAGGAAAACAAAACCCCAAACTTCTGTTATTTTGATCTTCTGTTTAAAGTTATTAATAAATAACTGCATTTTTGTCAACAATAGAAAGTTCTGATTGTGTTCTATTTGTCATTCTCATTCTTTTACTACCAGTAATGTTTTTTACCTCATGTTAAAACATTGGATATCTTTCTATGCTACTAAAAATACTGTATATTAGTCAACAAATTGATGTAAAAATTCTAGAACACTATTTGTTTCAAAGCTTTGGTGGTCATCTTTGAATTTTGATGATCAAAACAGAAATTTGATATGTGGAATTGATTTAATTATCAGAGTGATGTATCAGTGAAACAGAACTAGGAGTCAGAAATTTAATTATGAGTCTTGAGCACTTAAGTTTATAACTGTGACATTCATACCAGCTACCCGAGCATACAGTCTTCCTTTCAAGTAATTGGCTGATATGACTCCAAATTGCCCTTGCCATCGCTAGAATTTTATAGGTACGTAAAGACATTTTTGTAGTATATGTATTTTTTAAGTAAGTGTGTTTTAAAGATAAATTCCATGTACATAGACTTCATCAACTTGGATATTTTTTCCAGTTAGTGATCTGTAAAAATTCACTTGTAACTAAACGTCTCTGATTTACACAAAACTGCCACTAGAGGGTAGCACAAACTTGGTTGAGTCTCCAATTCTACCAGACATGGCCAGGAGCCAAGAATGGGTAAACCTGGAGTGTTGCTACAAAGACAGTGTTCCTAAGACAGAAAGTTGTGATAGCAGTCACTTTCAAAGGCTCACTAAAAAACAGGCTTGCTCTTATGTTGATCTGCGACAGCAAAGCAGGACAAGGGGCATGTCTATCACGTAGGATGAAATGCCATCCACATATCTCTGATTTGGCTCTGTCAGAGATGAATATGTAAATGAACTAATAACAGATTCAAGCAGTGAATAGATTAGTCGAATCCAATCAGGTGATGAAGCCACCTGTATCTGGGTATTAGAATTTCATGTACTTTAATCAAGTAATACAGCTGAAAGAAGATAAAAAGTAAGTAACTCAGGGAATTTAGGTTATGAAACTAATCCATTTGGGGTCCCTATTGGCATAGAGATTCTAAAAGGCTGGCTATGACTATTCAAATTGTAAGAAAATTTGTCCTTGAGGTCTGCAGTTCTATTTCTTACAACCCACAAATCTCTGATATGCAAACTCAACTAGCTGAGAGATAAACAAAAATTATTTTGAATAGCAAAATCATCATCTTAGAGAGTGTGGTGGTGAATTTTAGGTGCCATCTTGGCTGGCTTGAGGGCTGCCTAGATGACCAGTAAAACATTATTTCTGGGTGTGTCTGTGAGAGTGCTTCCAGAGGTGATTGGCGTGCGAGTCGGTGGATTGAGAGAAGATCCACCCTCAATGTAGATGGGTGTCATCAAATTACACCCATCTTCTGCCTGGGCAGAAGAAAGTGACAGAGGAAAGGTGAATTCACTTTCTCTCCTGGAGCTGGGATGCCCTTCTTCTCCTGCCCTTAGACATCAAAAGTCCAGGGCTTCTGCCCTTCGGACTCTGGGACTTGCACCAACAACTCCCTGGATTCTCGTTACCTTTGTCTTCAGACTGAGAGTTACACCATCAGCTTCCTGGGTTCTGAGGCCTTTAGATTTGGACTGAACCACGTGCTACTGACCTCCCTGGTTCCCCAGCTTGCAGACAGCCTATCTTGAGTCTTCTCAGCTTCCATAACCAATGAGCCAATTCCTTTAATGAACCTCCTGTCATATATCTATATTTGTATCTTTATCTATATCTATGTCGATGTCTATATTCCGCATTAATTCAGTCTCTCTGGAGAACCCTGACTAAAACAATGGGTAGCTTAAGCATGATATTAATCAGAAATCATGAAGCATTAACATTTTTATGTTAAGTTTAGAAAAACTCTGTGTGTGACTAAATGTTTGTGTTCCTCCAAAATTCGGACGTTGAAACCTGATCACCAATGTGATCAGGTTTATTACATTGATTTATTAGAAATTATAACACAAATTTTATGCTGGGCATGGTGGAACATGCCTGTAGTCCCAGCTACTCAAGAGACTGAGGCAAGAGGCACCACTTGCCTCAAACTCAGAAGTTTGAGACCAGCCGGGTAACAGAGCAAGACCCCATCTCAAAAAACAAAACAAAACAAAACCCCAAAAGTTTGAGAAAAAAACTAGATTTATTAATTTGCAACAATAGCAAAATTTTAAAACGAAAGTAGCAGGAAATGTTTTTTTCTGGTTATAAAGCTGTCCCGCATGGCTTGACATTGCCAACTGCCAATATTTGTCTAGCAGTGCTGTGCAGTGCTCCCTCCCTACCCACTTTTCAATGTTCAGTTGTCGATACATAGAACTGACAAAACCTTAAAGGTAAAATATTTGAAGAATATCTTTAGTATTATAAACTTAAATAGAATAAATAAAAGTGTAAATTAACTGCCTGTGATGTAAAGAGTATCTAAAAGTAGGAAAGCACAATGAACACGGTACAGATCTAAATTTTGACTGCTTTTCTCTTATCAGCTTATATTCCTATCATAGATTATAGTCTATCCAAGAGAAGGCTAAAGCCATATTTAATGGCCATTATATGTGTGACCGATGGTACAGACCATTCAATGATTTTAATAAAGTTTTATTGAAGCTTAAAATACATGTTTAAATGTTCTTAAACAATGAATGTACACTTGCTGAAATATCACAAAGTAAACACAGTCATATCACCATTATTCAGATCAAGCATTTTTCATATTACTAGCAATCCACAAACCCTGCCAGAAGCATGTCACAATCATGGCCAACTCTCCTCACCACAGATAACCACATTGGTTACTTCCAACACCATATATTGCTTTTTAAAATTGTTCTTTTCTTACTGTATATTAATAGGATAGCTGAAAACTAACCACGTAATTTGTGTACCAGACTTCTTTGGTCTAAATTTTGTGAGTGTATGTGAGATTTGTCCATATTGCTTTGTATAGCAGTCTTTATTTCACTTTTATTGCATTATATTATTGCATTATATTTGTCTTTGGCTTTACTATGATGTGTCTAGCTGCAGTTTTCTTTGTATTTATATTACTTAGTCTTTTTAGGACTTCCTGAGTCTTGACTTAAACTTTTCCCTTTAGGGATTCTTTTGGCCGTTAAGATTTGAGTTTTTAATTATTTCCAAATCTCTTTATCTCCTACTTCTGAGAACCACTGGCAAGTACGTTGGTCATGTTCAACGTGTCTCATAGGTCTTAACTGTACTTTTTTTTCCCATTTTTTTTGTCTCCATGCTTTAGTCTGGATATTATCTTCTAATCTATTTTCAACTTTGCTTATTCTCCTTTAGTCTGTATCTAATGTGTTCTTAAGCACATCTATTGAGTTCTGGGTCTTAGTCATTATACTCCTTGCTTCTAGAATTTCTATTTTATTTTTTAAACCACTTTACATACTTTCTTTTTTAAATTTTCACCACTCTATTGAAGGATAATTGAAGTACAGTTAACTGCACAAATTCAAAGTGTAAATTTGCTAGTCTTTGATATATGTGTATAACCATGTATTAGCCACCTATTGCTGCATTAAAAATTACCACAATTTTAACGGCAACCATCATACCCTGCACTCATATCACCCAATACACCAGTTATTGCTATTTGTGAAGTTCATGGTCACTTCTGATTCAATAAAAACTTCAGACCCAGCTTTACAGTCTTTCTTTCTATCCCTATTGTGATGTTCAAATATTAGTGAGTGTGGGTTCCTCTTCCTCCTCCTTCCCCCTTTCTCTTCATTGTTCTTCATTGTCTTTGCTGTTGTATTTAGTTAGTCTTTTTTTTCCCTATGAGTGACACACCCAGTTTTCCACATTTCTATGACAATCATTTAATCTTGTAATTTAATTAGCTGGTAATAACCGAAAATATTCATCAGTGCTAATGATTAAAGTAGGTAAGATGCTTTTTTGTTGTTCTAAAACAGTAGCCAAATCTGTAAAGACAGACAGATTTTCCCATCAGCATAATTACTAGAAACAAGAAAAAAAATTAGAGTACTTCTAAATATGAAATACACCAAGCCTCTCTGGCTCTCTTCTGTCTCCAGGCAATATCCCAGTTTCTTATCACCACCTTTAATCTCTCACCAGCTTGCACTCTTACATTGTCTACTCCTTTTAGGAACATAATTTGAGCAGCTTTGACATCTCACCAAAGCAGTAAAACAAACAATGTGAAAGAGAAAAGTGAGGGCATTTTTCAATAGTATCTTTGTTTTACATATAATATTTTCATATCACTTTATTTTTACAGTCAGAGTTTTCATTGATTAATTAATACATTTTTCCTCACAAAAACAGTGCCCTTTCTAGTTAATCCTCTGTGTCCCCTCAATACTTTATTTAAATATCCTTGGAATAAGGGGGCTCATTTAATTTATTTTTTTAAGTTTTATGATGCTAAAGAACATTTGAAGTAGGCCTTATTTCAACCAATTCAAAATTTATCTTAAAATAAGTATTTCTGGCTGGGCACTGTGGCTCACACCTGTAATCCCAGCACTTTGGGAGGCCAAGGTGGGTGGATCACCTGAGGTCAGGAGATAGAGACCAGCCTGGCCAACATGGTGAAACCCCATCTCTACAAAAAATACAAAAATTAGCCGGGTGTGGTGGCACACACCTGCAATCCCAGCTACTTGGGAGGCTGATGCAGGAGAATCACTTGAACCTGGAAGGCAGAGGTTGCAGTGAGCCAAGATTGCTCCACTGCACTCTAGCCTGGGCAGCAGAGCAGACTCCATCTCGGGAAAAAAAAAAAAAAGTATTTCTTACTATAAAAGGGAACTTAAGAAATATTGCTTTTGTATAATCACTGCAATGACACAAATTTTAGTATATTTGTCATGAAAGCATACATTTTTATTTATTAAATAAAATTGATTTAAAAGGTTGAAGTTGAAATGCTTTAACTATTAGGACAATTACATTCAACTGGTCTTCTCAATAGGGCAAAGAAAATGCCACTTAGTTATGTTGCATTATATGAATGAATGAGCTTTTCATTTTAATCTATGAATAGTAATATGGGTTAAAATAATAAAAACTAAAAATAATATAATACTGTTATAGTAAAATGCTACAATTATGGACAGGTCACTTGTTCATTCCTTTTAATATTTAGAAGAAACTTATGCAATGATGAAAATGTTCACTTAGAACATTTGACTACTGAGAACTTAAAATGTTGCTAATGCAACTAAGGAAATTAATTTTTAATTTTATATAATATTAATTAACTTAAAAAATTTTACATAGCCCCATGTGCCTAGTGCCTACCATACAGGAAAGAACATAATTTTAAATACTGAATAACTTAGGTGCTTCAAAATATTTTAATATTTTAATCAATTCAATTAATATTTACTTAATACCTATGATTTACTTAATGCCTATGATTTCCAAGTTACTATGTTAAATATCCAATTGTTACAGTGTAGATACAAAGCCCATATGCTAACTGTTAATGTCTTTATTATAAGTATATACAAAGCAACGTTAACTAATTCTAAAAATTTGGTGATGTTACTCATTACACCCAGAAAATTACAAACAAATTTGGAGAAGGGAAGGCTATTGGAAGCAGACAATATTAAGAACTGATAAAGACATCATTAGTACTATGAAAGCAAAATTAAAACTACAACTAAGCCAATCACTGAAACAAAGCCCCGGAAAAGCCAGTAGTCTCAGGTCATTGAATGTTAGGGTCATTGTTCCTCAAAGTCCTTGAGGTCCCTCTGTTAGAAGACAGTATAGTAATAATGCTAAGTATGATTCATCCAGGAAGCAAGGAAGGCTTTGAGTATGCTCTACTTAAGAAGGAAAGACATTATTTAATATATTAATAATGTGTATATTACAAGTGGTTAATTTAGCCCAAATTTTGACTAAATTAATGACACTGTTGATAACATTGCATTGCATTTCTATTATATTGCAGTATCAGTTAGGACTGCTTGTGTCCAAGTGACAGAAGGCTAATTCATAGTAGCTTTAATAAGAATAGAAATTCCACTGGCTTTTGTAACTGAAATGTCCAGTGGGACTGGAAAATAACTTACACAGTATTTTTTTACACATCTAGAAACCTAATAATAAGAGAATGGAGTGGTGCATATATAATTGTTGTCAAATATTTGAAGATTTTTCATGTAGATAGGGAGCTAAAAAAGCTGCAATGTATTATTTTAGGAGTTTTATATATTATTCATTTTAGGGGAAGAACTGGATGAATTTACAAAACACATCAACAGAACACACTACTTGCTAGATGAAGGGGAAGGAAGGTGCTATGGTCTGAAGGTGTGTATATACTTCTGCCATCAAATTTATATGTTGAGATCCTAAACCCTGAAATAATGGTATTAAGAGGTGAGGCCTTTGGGAGGTGACTCAACCTGCATGCATGGCATTAGTGTCCTTGTAAAAGGTACCCCAGAGAGCTCATTCACCCCTTCCACTAGGTGAGTACACAGTGGTAAGATGCCATGCATGAGGAAGCAGACCCTTGCCAGAAATTGACTCTGCTGGCGTGCAGTTCTTGGACTTCCCAGCCTCTAGAAGTATGAGAGATAAATTTTTTGTTATTTACAAGCCACAAGTCTATGGTATTTTGTTATAGCAGCCCAAACAGGCTAAGACAGAACATGAATGCTAGCAAGTGGGATTGCTGCTATGGTAACTACCTAAAATGTGGAAGCAGCTTTGGAACTGGGTAATAAAGGCTGGAAGAGTTTGGAGGTACATGCTAAAGAAAGCCTACATTGCCATGAACGGACCTTTAAAGATGATTCTGGAAAGGGCCCAAAAAGGAAAGAAGAGAGCTATAGAGAAAGCCTCAATCTTCTTAGAAAATATATACGTGTCTGTGAACTAAATTCTGGTAGAAATATGGATAGTAAAGGCCATTTTGATGAGGTCTCAAATGGAAATTAGGAACATGTTATTGGGCCATGGAGGAAAAGCCACCCTTGTTAGGCAAAGACTTTGGCTGATTTTCTGTGTTCCAGTGTTTTGCGGAAGGTAGAACTTGTGAGCAGTGAAATTAAATATTGGATTGAGGAAATTTCTAAGCAAAGTGTTGAAAGTGCGGCGTGGCTTCTCTTGACTCCTTATAGTAAAATGCTAGAAAAAAGAAATAGATTTGGACAATTCTCAGCCTATCCATATTGGGAAAAATGAGAAAGCCTATTTGAAAGAGAACAAGGAAGATGTGGAAACCACTTCCACACTTTCAGATATTTGTTACAGCTGCACCCTACTTCTCTGTACCAAAGTCCGTATTTGTTTGCTCGGGCTGCCGTAACAAAATACCACAGGTTAGGTGGCTACCATAGGAGAAATCTATTTTCTCACATTTCTGGAGACTGGAAGTCTGAGACCAGTCAGGATGGGTGCCAGCAGGGTTTGTTTCTTATGAAGACTCTCCTTCCTGCCTGCCAACAGCTGCCTTCTCTGTGTGCTCACGTAGCCTTTCCACTGTGTGTGTGCCTGGACAGACAGAAAGAGACAGAGAGAGAGAGAACTCTCTGGTGTCTCTCCTCAGAAGGTCACTAATCCTCTCAGATCAGTACCCCTGCCTTATCACTCATTTCACCTTAATTGCTTGCTTAGAGGCTTTACCTCCAAATGCAGCCACACTGGCAGGTCAGAACTTTAACCTATGAATTTGGTGGGCATACAAACATTCAGCTCATAACACACACAAGAAATTAGTAAAAACTATTTGTTAATTAAGTGGATTAATGTAACTACAAGCTATAAAAGGTCAAGAAAATGTCCTTTTAAAGTTTTTACATGTATTTGGGCTTATTTTAAAATTACTATTCTTCAAAATGCTCCCATTTGGTGTTATCTTTAGCCAGACACATCACAAAGTATTTACTAACAAGACACATTTGTGAGGAAGAATGTTAATACTTACATTTCTGTTGGAATTGTAAATGGAGTCATTCTATAATTCAAAAATGGACTTGAAATCTCAAGGAACCGTTCAGGCTTCTTTACTATTAACTCTAAAAAGTAGCAGTTAGAAAGTATGATGTACATTTAAAAAAATCTTTCAGGATTGCATACAGAATTTAACATTTAATACAGTGCTGGATAGATTAACTATTTACTCAGCAAATTTCAATAGTGTGAAATAGGAATGTAAAACCATACATAAAGCTTTTATTGAAAGAGTTTATAGATCTTTACGGTATTCAATTTCTTTTGTCTACTCTTTTCTTTCCAGATTATGTGAAACAAGTCTCAAGGGAGAAAGTTAGCAATGTCTTATAGAATTATTACTTGGTATTTGCTGCTATTTCAAGTACAGGAATGAGTTTCTATAAAAGTCTTTTACTAAAAAAAAAGTTCCCTTAGTTAACCTCTGTAACACAATTGCTTAGGATATAAGGAGGAAATGTGAACTAACATATGAATACGGCAGTGGAAGAACAAAAACTGTAGCAAAGTAATGATCATGAGGTAAAAAGAAAGCAGCAGGTCAGGAGAGGTGTTGTGGATATTCCTAAAGGAGTCTGAGGCTGATCCAGAAGAAAGAAATTCTCAATGAATAAAGGACACAGCACTTGCATTACCATGGTGAACAATGAAATTAAACATTAGGGGTGATTATTAGGAAAAAAAAGAGACTAGGACATGGAATACCTAAATTTTCTTTGACTGTACACAGCAATCAGTAGCAAAATCAGAAATTACCTACATGTTCACTATTCTTCCTTTCATTCAACTATTCCTCAATGCCCTGAATGAATAACTGTTTTAAGAAGCTCTGCAAATTTAACCAAAATATAACATTTTAAAATAAAGGATTTTGTTTTCCTTTCAAGTGTCAAACAGATGCTGGTCTTCCATTCAAGAAACAATAAAGGAGAAGATAGAAGGAAGGGAGGGAAGGAGACAAGGAAGGAAGGAGGGACGGAGAGAGGGATGGAAGGAGGAAGAAGGAAGGAAGGAAAAAACAAACAAACAAACACAAAAAACTGGGAAGTTTTTGTAACCCTAAAAGCAGATGCACTTTGCTACAAACTACTTTTCTATCACACTAATAATAACATCGCCATAACTCAAAAGAATGAGCTTCATATATGTGGTCAAGTCAGACATTAACCAAACTCCTTAGCTTCTGAGATGTGAAGAATTAATCCTTTAAAGACATAAAATTTTGGCATAAAATTAAACATAGGCTTCCAGCTACTCAGGAGGCTGAGGCAGGAGAATGGTGTGAACCCGGGAGGCGGAGCTTGCAGTGAGCCAAGATCATGCCACTGCACTCCAGCCTAGGCCACAGAGCGAGACTCCGTCTCAAAAAAAAAAAAAAAAAAAAAAAAATATATATATATATATATATATATTTATATATATATATATTTTTATATATATATATTTTTATATATATATATATATATATATATATATATTAAACATAGGCTTTAGAAGCAATGTTGGGTGATTTACCTTGACATACATCTTTCACCGCAGATGAAACTGTTAGACTTTCATACATTAATTAGAAGGATTTGAAGATGATGTGATACATACCTTGAGCTTCATCTGTTATAACAGTTTCCTTTTTTTGACGAATGAGTTTCCAGGGAGGTAGAGGAGGTGGTTTTGGTGGTGCTACCAGAGGACAAGACCTACTTCTAGTCACCAGCACAGGATGGCTACAGATGTGGGAAAGCCCATATTCTCTAAGTTTCTCAGCAGAATCTGCCTAGAAGATGGAAAGTAAATTGAAAAGCATTCTCCTTCATTCAAAACAATGCTTTTTCCAATGTAAAAATACTATCACGAACAGAGCAATATGGTGGTAGTAAGAAAAAAAATCACCCAATATCTCTACCTCTCTTAATATAAGCATTATTATCATTTGTATTTCTTTCCATCTTTTAAATTTTCTGGAGCCCTGTTTCTTTATTTACAAAATGAGAGATTGGAACTAGAATACACTTTTCAGTTCTAAAAGCTTAAGGATGAATGAGATTGCACAAAATCTTAGCACACCAGTTAGTCCAAAATTAATCAGCCATTATTTTTACAGGTTAATGCTTTAACACTAGTGCTTAATATGTAAATTAAAAAAAACTAGCCATTGCTACCTAATTTTTTTAAATACTACTTTCTTGAGTGTGTTCAGTGGTAAGTGGCTGTCTTGTCTACACTTCACCCCTCTTCCCCTAACAATGTGTTCCTCCACATAAGATCCCCATGATTACACATGATTACAATCAAGGAGTTGCCCAGGCAGATACTTCTCATATTCTAGTGTTAGATCTCCTGAAGCCAGTCTGCTTTGGAATAATTCAGAATAACAGCTAAGTAGAACTTACGTTACTGATTTACGGCTGAACAATGCCAAAGGAAATAAAAAGGTATATGAATGTTAAAGTGATATACACTATAGCCAAATTCTGATGTTCACAGCTTACTTTAACATTTAAAGTAAAATAAATTGAAATATTAACAACATTAAAATCAATTTTGACCGATTTTGTCAATAACTGTTTTTCTTCCTAATTATGTTGTCTCAATGATTTCTATGCAATAGCCACAATCCAGATTGCAAATTTACAAAACAGACACTTAAATTAGAACCAGAAACCCACTTATCAGCCTATTCCAAATTATTACTTCAACTGGAAACTGCCTTGCTCTCACAACTCTGCTGTAGAGCTCAATCTGCCCCGAGGTAGGAGACCCGTGAGATAGTAGAGTCCTTCCCAAGATCAGGATAATAATTTTAAGAAGGAGTTAATCAGTGCACTAGTGAGTCCAGCAGTGGCTTAAAATATTGTAAATATTCAAAATACAGACAACAGTGATGCAATAGTTGTTAAGTCACCGAATTAAGAAATGGAGGAAACTGTCATTTTCTTTTTATCCCTTTGGTATATTTTAGCAACTTAACTAAAAAATTTCAGAAAACTCTGGAATTATGTCTTAGAGTGCCTTAAAAAACTTTTTCATAGATGTTCTAAGATCTAAACCTTTTTCTATAACTTGAACCCTGTCGAGTTTTAAGTTTCCATGAGTCAAGCCACCACCTGAAACTAATTCTTTCAATGGAAAGAAAATGCCTTGGTATAGTAGTTATAAAAGGTGAATTACTGTAAAAGTTACATTTGAATAATATCCAAAATAGAAGTCAAACTCAAAGTGGTATTTAAAAGTTGAATAAGTTCCAGATACTTTACTAGTCATAATTTTTGGTCTACATATGTTAATTTCTTCCTGCCATTGCAACAAATTTTAGTCTAAAAACACTTTTTTTTTAGACCGTAGAGCATTAGAAAATAAAATGATTTAAAGCATTTGGAAATGTAAAGGACTGGTCCAAACAACAAATTCCAGTATTAGCACCTATTTATAATTTGAATAATCTGCCAAAGTACTAACATGATTTTGGCACAAGAAATTTAAATACAGCAATTCTACATACTTCATTTTATTTTCAATGTACTAAGCAATACTTCTGATTCATGTAAAGTAATGCTATTAATAATAGTTATAGTTTGATGCTGAGAAAGTTTGTTCAAGGATTTCAAAGTTCCTTGGATTACAATTAGGGGATGAGGGAGATTTACAATAGTGCCTGAAACACTGAGTTTTTCCTAGGCACTCAATATACATATGCTGCATAATTCATGTGTAAGACTTAAATTAGAAGTTTCCTTTCCTAAGACCCTTTCACTCTTTTTACTTCAGCTCATTTCAAACATTCTAACAGATGCAAGAGTTGGATTTGGGCAGGTGAAAGAGGCTTTATTAAAACTCTCAGATCTACATAAAACTAAAACCATTAGAATACCCAAGAGGAGAAAGAAGTTGGATAATGTAATTTGTAACATCTTGCTCCTTCCCGAGTTTTGTTCTTGATTTTCGTGTATTTTTCTTTTTTACCACTTCTTTAAATAAATGTAAGTTCTTGGCTTTATTTTACCTGCTGATCTTACTGTCTTTGAGGCTGTAACTTTTAGCAATGTACTCCATTTAACAAAATTTCATTAAGACAGAAATTGTTTCCTATAGGTATATTCTTAAGACATTGTATCTCCATTATATTCTGATATTTACCAGGGAAACCAGATCACCCTCACAGGATGCTAACCTAAAAGAATCAGCAGGCAAGACAGGAAGATGGTGACACACTAGTCAGTTCATTACAGCTTTGGAAGTCACTTACTGTTCCAGACACTGGGCTAATTCCAGAACCTCTGGGCACCTTAAGCCTTAAACTTCCCCAAAGGGAGGATTTATAATAATCTTTATGCCTTGGCTCTCACGCATGCCTCAAGCTGCCTTTAAGTCTTCTCCCCTTATGATGTCAATATCTAGTAGTTCCTTGAACCCAGTGGAATCTTCTTCATCTCCAAACTTTCCAACGTAAGATTTCCTCTGCTTTGAACACACTTTATCCCATTTACTTGCCTAACTTCTTTAAGATCTCAGCTTAAACAGTTCTCCCTTAGGGAGGACTTCCCTGGCTACCCATTAGAAAGGATGACATGTTTCTGTTATGTCTTTCATTCATTTTTTTTTTCATTCATTTAACCATATGTTCACTTGGTTACTCCTCCAACAAATATTAATTCACCTACACCTACTACGTGGCAGGCACCTTGTATGCCTTCTGTTCTAATTGTATTATTGCAGTTCACTCAGTTGTCTGCCTTCCTCATTAGACTCTAAGCTTTGTGGAGAGAACTTTGTCAATCTTGCTTATCATTGTATCTTCAGAAGATAGCATATTGTTTAGCGTATAATAGTATATCATAGATAATTCATAAAATCTGTTGAATTAACCAATGAATAAACAGATGTGAGTTTTTAGTCTTTAGTCTTAGTTTTTTAACTTAAAAATGAACAGTATTTAAATTTTAGTTTCTCAGTAGCACACCAAAAGTTCAAAAGGATTATTTTGTACCCCATTCTTTTTGTAATGCTTTTATCCTGTGCTTACACTTTGTGGTTTTAAAGGGGGTTTGAATACTTCTCAGACATGAGACTATGGCACTCCATAAAGCATTGCTGGTGTTCTTTTTTATTTTCTTTATTTCTTCTAAAAAGAAACAAACAGGATACAGGTACAGAATGTGCAGGCTTGTTACATAGGTCTATGTGTGCCATGGTGGTTTGCTGCACCTATTGACCCATTCTCTAAGTTCCCTCCCCTCAACCCCATCCCACAACAGGCCCTGTTGTGTGTTGTTCCCCTCTCTGTGTCCATGTGTTCTCAGTGTTCAAGTCCCACTTATCAGTGAGAACACGTGGTGTTTGATTTTCTGTTCTTGTGTTAGTTTGCTGAGGATAATGGCTTGCGGCTTCATTCATGTCCCTGAAAAGGACATGATCTCATTCCTTTTTATGGCTGCGTAGTATTCCGTGGTGCATATGTACCATATTTTCTTTATTCAGTCTATCATTGATGGGGCATTGCTGGTATTCTTCAGCAGTCCAATGAGTTAGAGCATTTACTCGCTAGCATATCTGAGACAGCACGTAGGCCAGTAGCATGCAAAGAGGTTAAAAGAAAGGCAGGCGTGAGAAGGCCAGCCCTAATCTTAGCAAGAGGCTTGACTTGGGAGAGGCTTTAGAAGTACATTTAGATTGTTGAATGTTGCTGGTTTTTATATTCAGTCCAAATTGCTGTTTCTGCTATTTAACCATGGCTAATGTTTTCTAACTTTGGATTAAAAATAGTGAAACTGCCATATTCAGGATGGCACATAATCCTCTTATGAACACTGTTATATAGTAAAATTTTTGTGGAAGGAATTATTTTTATCTAAAAAAGTGGAGAAGAAAGAATGGGAAGAAAGAGAAAGGGAAAAATGTTAGCAACGTGCCCCCCAGGCATAATCTAAAAGACAAATGTAATGCACATAGTAAAGTATAATAATCATTCAATTGGAATATTTATGTTTCAAGCTAATTTCCATTCAAGTTTTAAAACATAGCTCTTTCTAGCTAACTAAATGAACATTCATATGTAATCATATTGCTGCATCATGCAGTTGTATACTTTAATGTAGTGACTTCAGACTATGAAATCCTAGTAACAAAGTGTTAGATGTCTACAGTTCCCAAACAGAATTGGGATTCAAAAACCCCAAAAGCAGTAGGGCATTTGTTTAAATAAATTGTTAATAACTTGATGGACTTCACCATCACAAGGGAAGGAGAAAAGTTGTTTTTCTGTCCAAGAACAATAGATAGCTTAAAAATTATGAAAATGCATAAATACTACGCAAGCACTAAACATATTGATTAAAATTTAACATCATGAAAAAAATGTTAACAATATCTTGTGAAGTGAAAAGATGGTTTTCAAATGTAACATAAAGTGTGATTCCAGTAAAAAAGGTATACACATACAAACACAGAATATAGAAGAAAAATCAGAGTATATATGCCAAAATGTTAATAGGGCCTATGCCTTACCATTTATACTATAAATATTTTAATTGTATTTCCTTTCACTACATTTTCTAAATTTTCTACAATTTGTTAAATGTATAAGAAAACAATTAGCATTTATTTTGTATTATTTTGTGATACAAGAAAGGTCATAGCAGTATCTCTCCAGCCTGAGGGTGAATTCACTAATATCATCTTATTTTAAGAAAACGCATGTGGCCTATTTATGGGAAGGTCATTAATTATTACCTGGGAATAATTTCTATGATTTTCACTGAAATACATAAATCCTGTATCTTTCTTTTTGATTATAACAGAAGGATCTATAAAAATTAAAAGTGACTATGTATTTTTTCTTTTCCTTTTTTATAATTAGCCAGAGCTATTGCAATCATCTAAGATAATTTTGGATGTGTCAGATGCCTTAGGTCGAGTATCTAATTTTAAAGATAAGGAAACTGACATCCACAGATAGAATTTTAATTAAATTTTCATGTGCCTTCTACCACAGCAAGTAATCACACACACACGTGCACCCACACACACAAAATAAATAATACTGTTTCCTAAGCTTGAATGCTTACCATCTTCTCTAATGAAAAGATCTTGTTTTCAAACAAATAAAGAGGTGTAAATGTCGCATATACGACCATATGAGAGGTCTGTATTGCAGAAGAACCTGTAAAACAAACATACATTATGTTGTGAAAATTCTAGTCAAAATCGGTCTGTCAGTTGCTCACTCCAGATTGTTCAATTGCCTTAATGAATTTATCTTCGGGCTGGTGAAAAATACATAAAGGATGCAAAATGAATTTAACAGATGTTAAATCTCAAAGATGTATCTATTTTGTAGCCTGTCTCATTCATTTTAAGTTCACGTTGTTACTATTTAATAATTTAAGACCTTATTATACCTCATGAACAAGAGTTATTATATAAATATACTCTAGTTATTCGTCAGTGCAACATAGAATGGTCCACAAATGAGAATGTTCAAAAGGAATTATTTTTAAATTGAAGCATTTCTTTTCTTTCATAGATAGGATCTTTATTCTATGTTGAACTTACAGAAAGTCCAGGAGCTTCTATGTCATTTTGTCATTTCAAAAAGAAAGAAAACATAAGTAAAATGAATTTTTCCATGAAGAAGTAAGGCATAAATAATTTAGTTTGAAATGTTTAATGCTGGTAGAATTTGCTTTTAAGCGTTGCTTATTTGTTTGTAATGTTTTTCTTATCCTTGAAATTATTCTATTTGATTATTTTATTCAGTATTTTTTGGTCCTGCAAATATTTTGGACAAATAAATAGAAGTCAATTTATTTTAGCCTCTTTTTATATTTAATTAAATTTTTTTACAAACGTACATACTGACATTTAACTATATTTGATACTATGTTTACAAAAGAATAATATCTTTAAGACCACAGAACATAAATTAGTTGTCAGCCCAGTATATGTCTAGAATGGAGATATGAAAATCTGCCAAACTTAGAGAAACATACTTTTACATTTCAAAATTGAAATTTGTACATTTCTCATACACCTTGCCAACACATATTGATTGCCTTTTCCCTACATTACTCATTTATCTATGCTACATTTGTTTGATGATGTTAGTTATCATCTAATGTCCACAGACGCTGTCTCCCCAACTAACTTTTAATCCAAAGTTAGTTGGATTAACTAACTCTGCAGAGGCTTGGTTAATAATTTGACCTACTCCTTGTGGAATACAAGGTACTGTGTATTGTGTGATAACTTGTATGAAATAATATGTTTTTAAACATAACTAATCATCTTAAGTTTAAGGATGCAGCAAAATAATTATTCCTTTTAAAAAGAATGAATGTTTATGAAAATACTTTTCATGCACTCCTATCATCAGATAAGACCATTTGAGATACCCACATTGACCAGAATGGCCCTCAGCAGTGACCAGTAATTTACAGTCCAGTTACTTTTCTCACTGATCAATCTAATTGAAGCCCTCCAATAAGTCCTCTAATCAAAAGAAAGATTGTGAAATGCCTTTAGGTGTCAGCTGAGAGTTGAAGGCCAGTTATGGAGAGGAAGTTCCTGACAGTGATGACTGCTAAATATTAAAATGGATAAAATTTTAAAAATCAGTTTTTTTAATCTATCTTCAGAACTTTCTGCTCAAGGAAGAAGATAAGATTAAATGTACTTTCCAGGTTCAAGATTAAGCAGTTGGCTGTCTACACCTTAGGAAAGTATGAAGCATGAGAGGTGGAGGGAAGAAGAGTGAGGGTTCCTCTCTGAGCCTGGCTACTGAGCAAGATTGGGCTTCTTTACAAAAAGTCAGCTGAGTTTCCAGATGTTAAACACACACCTTACATAATGTTTGACCAAATGTCTGGGCACCCCATGGCTCGTTCAGGTTGATCTATTTCATTAGCTCTTTTCTAAATCTTGTTTTAAAAATCATAACGTGTAAAAGTATTTTGGTCCACATTATATCCCACATTTGTACATTATGCATTAGAAATTTTGATGTCTTCCCTAAAATTTTCTAAAGCTTAATATTTAATATTATCACATTAAGTACTTTGTCCTTGATCTTTAATAAGTCTTTTGAACTTTTATTTTCCTTATGATATTAAAAATAAAGTTTGTGATACAAGTATTTTGAAAAAAGTTCTCACTTACTTTATAACATTATGTAATAAAATATATGGAAACCTGGGAATTCCAGGTGAGGTCTTAGAAAACAATAACTTTAGAAACTTGGAGTAAAGAATGTGGTCTTGACATATTATAGAAATGATGTTGATGACAAAAAAATTTGCTCCAAATTTTAGGATAATCACACATTTTACATGGGATTGTAATATGTAATGTTGAAATATTAAAAAATAACACAAGTGTTTAGTTAAGGGTGAAGTTTTAAATATTTAATAAGTGGTATAGCATGGGCACAGATTAATTAAACTAGAAGCTGATTATAAATATTGGTATCACTATACTGGTGCTATTAACTAAATATCAATCTGTAAAAGCTGGATAGGAATGTGCTATTAAATAGGGATTTTCAAACTAAGTTTTATACATCTTATAAATGAGATTCAGGGGCCCAGAACTCAGTGAACTATTATGTAACACTGCAGATCTGTGTGCACACTAACTGCTTTAGTCTGTTTTGTACTGCTAAAATGAAATACCTGAGACTGGGTAACTTTTAAAGAACAGAAGTTTATTTCCCCACAGTTCTGGAAGCTGGGAAGTCCAAGATCAAGGTGCTGGCGCCTGGTGAGGAACTTTTTGCTGTGTCATCCCCTGGCCAAATAAGCATGTCATCCCATAGCCAAACTCACCCTTTTATAACAAACCCACACCTGGGATACCTAACCACTCCCATGATAATGGCATTAATCCATTCCCTCTGTCCTCATGGCCTAATTACCTCTCATTAGGCCCCACCTCCCAATATGGTTGCATTGGGGATCAAAATTCTAGCACATGGACTCCAGAAGACACATTCAACCAAGACTACAAAGGATTTGGAAAAAAAAGAGAGAAGGTTCAAAATTTTCATAAGATTTTCAAAAAAGTTTATTAGCCAAGAAAATATAAGAATTATTTGTAAAGGGTCTAAAGGGCCTTAGATAATTCCTATTTGTTCTATTATCTCTCTGTAAATATGTTGTGTGATTCTGCAATATTGGAACACCCATAATGCATTTTGATTTTATTATATATCAATAAAACTGCTTTTAGAATATCTTAAAGGCAAATGTTTAAATCTAGGGGCTCTATAATTTCTTTCAGTGAACTATGAATGGTACAGACCATGAAATTTCCTTATCTTTCCAGTTGTTGGAGTAACTTTGTATTGAATTAGCACAGCTGCATATAATAATGCTTAATAATTGAGAAAGAAATTTAAGAAAAAATATACTCTTGAATGATGAAATGAAATTTAACATCCTAGTCTCTAAAACTGCCTTAAAATATTTTGTACAGTAATTATGAGTCTTATATGGCCTACAACTGCCATACTAATTATATGTATTTTATTGCTCAAAAGAAGCTTTTGCTACATTTGTATGATTTAAATGTTTTATTTTACATGTGATACAGCTTTTTTTGCTTTCTATAAGCATATTTCAGAAGACTGCTATAAAATACGTAAGATTACTTAAATACCACTTTTATCATTGATTTCATTTTATGTTAGACATTTACTGTCTGAACCTATAAAAATTTCAGCCTGAAATTTTGAGTCCCAGTGAGATGAACCCCAAATTACTATAAATCCATAAGAAGTATTTGTTAAAGATTATATATGATTTTTTTCAGATGTGATATTTAGTTAATTTAGAATAGCTAACTTTCAGTGAATGCCTACTCTGTGCTAAGGCCTAGGTATTTCATATGAGTCAGTTCACATAAACCCTATGAAATAAATTCTATTTTTAACAGTATTTTTCAGGCAAGTAAACTGAGTTACGGATAGGTTAAGTAACATGTCCACTACACAATTAAGAAGTGTGAAGTGTAAAGTAGTCCCTGGTCTTTCTGGCAATTTTTTATTGTCTATGATTCTATGTGGCAATATCTAAAGAGGATAATGACTCGAATGTGTTCCGGCCCACTTCCTACCAGACAATGTTTGCAGGTCCAATATTTGATGCAAAGCTGAAAAGTAAAAGACTTTTTATACCAAGTCCATAATTTCTTAATACAAGTTTTAAAATAATATATATTAGTGGGCTTCTAATCTATTTCTTTCATCAGTTCCACATGTCCATATTCTTTCTTGAGTGTAATTCCCAAGGCTAATTTACTTCTTTGCTTCTTTGCTTCATAGAGGCCACTTTGAAGATAGCTGCAACAAAGAGGTTGCAGTCTTAATCTTTGACACAACCAGGTGTGTTGTTTAAGTTTTACTGGACTGTATTAGGCCATACTTGCATGGCTATAAAGAGATACCTGAGACTGGATAATTTATAAAGAAAAGAGGTTTAATTGGCTCATGGTTCTGCAGGGTGTACAGGAAGCCTAGATCTGGTATCTGTTTCTGGGGAGGCCTCAGGGGGCTTTTACTCATGGCAGAAGGCAAAAGAGGGAGCAGATGTCTCACATGGTGAGAATGGGAGCAAGCAAGAGAGTAGGGAGAGATGTTACACAGTTTTAAACGACCAGATCTTGCAAGAACTTACTGTCATGAAGACAGCACCAAGCCATGAGGGATCTGCCTTCAGGTCCACTCCCACCAGGCTCCACCTCCAGCACTGGGGATTACAATTCAACATGAAGTTTGGGCGAGGACAAATATCCAAAATATATCCTGGACTTTTGTTGTTAAATACTTAGGTATGGCCATGAAATTGAATTGTCTTCAATAGAATGAGACCAGAAGTGATAAACAGTACAGCTTGTTTTTACTTCAAACACCTTGCACCTGCAATCCTCCAAGCTCTTTTACTTCCCACTGGTATAGAACTTTAGAATTCACATGCTAGAGTATAGGAGGCATAAAAAGGGAGGAGCATGGCTCTCTTCAACACCAGCCTTATCTCCAATTAATTGTGGTAAAGAAATAGCCTTCTTTTTCAATTTTGTATGTTCTGTGATCTCAGAAATTTCTCTATTTTTCCCATTTATTTTGGAAAAACAGACAATTCTTCCCTGAACTCATTTCTTATTTGAAATATCTTGCTAACAGTAGATATTACAAACTTAACACTGCCTAGAATAGCAGATTTTCAACCACTTATTTTAGAGACTCAGGTTCACTGAGTACATGGCTAACTTCTAAATTGTCGCAGGTTCCAGTTTTACCAAATATTTTGCTGTATGAGGGAGATCTCCAGGTTTCCTCAAGCTTGAGATACCATTTATTCACTGCCTTCTACTCTACTGTTAAGCAGACACCACATATTTTCACCTTGTTATTAGTACTCAACTTCTGGCAGGAGTTAATTTATCATGAGGTAATTGTAGCTGCTATAAGGAACACACTAAAAAATGACTTAAACATGATATAGTTTCTTTTTGTTCATATAAAGTACAAAATGAACCTTCTTGACCAGCAGGCAGATCTCCAGGTAGTGATTCACATACTCCTGCTCTGTCCATCCTTGTGGCTTTGCCATCTTTAACACTGTGCTCTCAACAGCATTGAGCTAGCAAAAAGGGAATTGTAATTGAGAGCACGGTATAGGTCAGTCTACAGCTGGTATGTATCGCTTTGCTTCACATCCTGTGGGCTAGAAATTATACAGAAGGCCACATCTCACTTAAAAGAGGCTGGGAAAATATAGCAAAACTGTGTTCCTAGAAAGAGGAGGAAATTGTGAAAAGCTAGCAGTTTTTCTCACAGTCAGAAAATATCCAACTTACTATTCCACTGAGTCATATTCTAATGTTATTGATTTTTGCTTTTTTGAAACAATTTTTTAAAGTTACTATGATACTGAACTCTATACTAGAGTACTACACAAATTCTAACTTACCCTATAGTTAATAAGTTACTGGCAAAACTCAAATCTCTAATATTTCTCATAATCATTTTTTCTCAAATATTGGAAGGGTATGATTTATTCATTCTTATAGAACTTCGGTATTTGTAATTAATGTCATTATTTGCATCAAGGTTTCTTTTTAAGCTACATTTTCAATGTAGTTATTTAGAGAAAAAAGTTTTCAATAAGTTTTACAGTTTAAAATATTAGTATTCATAGATATCGAGAGGAGAGAAAACATAGTAGTTGTGTGAACTCTGGAGTAAGACTGTGGGTTTATGAACCCACTTTACACTTTATAATTTGGAGTTCCTCCAAGAGAGCAGAATCAGTGCCAAAGAACTTCCCCTTTATGCCAGGAAAAAGGTCTTAACAGGACTTTCTCAGCCAAATTTTAGAATTGCGAATGATGAGTGACTACAGTGTGTCCCCTGCTATTTTGTTTTATGAGTGGAGTTTATATCGCAGTTACTGTGTTCCTCTTCAAGAGTAGATGAGAGATGTGAATGGATACTTATGGGTGTATCTGTAAGCATGTGTGTGCATGTACATGACTTGGAGATCCTGGATATTTTAACTAGATGAAATTACTAGATAATAATTTAGACTGGGACTCTTGGTACGTATTGAACATATATGTGAGAAGAAGAGTGAAAGGGGTATCTGGTGATCAGGAAAGTGGAATGTGGTAAAGATTGATCATTGTTCACCAAATGGTTTCCTCTTTCTCCTGAAATGAGCGATCTTTAGCACGTCACATTCCATATTTCCAACTCCTCTTAAAGTCAGGTGTGGCCATTGGACTGAATTGTCTTCAATAGAATGAGACCAGAAGTGATATACAATACAGCTTGTTTTGATTTCAGACATCTTGCTCCTGCAATCCTCCAAGCTCTTTTCTTCCCACTGGTATAGAACTTTAGAATGCTAGAGGTAGAAGAGGCATAAAATGGAAGGAGAATGGGTCTCTTCAATGCCATTTAGAAAATAACTTCCTGCCAGTGATTAACACTAGTCTTTTTATTTTAATTGAGAAAGAAATATATATGACATTAGAATCATTTGTTAGTCATACCAGCTAGTGTACCTAAATGAATACACTTATTTTGAAAATAACAAAATGAAATCTTAAATGTCAAGTCATTATTAGGATATGCATTGGATAATATTAGATGACATGTAAATATATATAAATCTCTACATGTCTTCTGCCATTATAAAACTAAATCTCCTTGGCGTTTAAAACTGTGAGCGTCATTTTATTGTAATGACCGTTGTCATAAATATGCTACTTTGAAAAAATTAATAAAACAGGGGTTCTTTATATTAGATTTTCAGTGACTTATCAGAATTAACTACAACACCTCTAATATCAAATCATCAATAAACAATATAGACAGAGCGTGGTGACACATGCCTATAGTCCCAGCACTTTGGGAGGCCAAGGTGGGTGGATCACTTGAGGTCAGGAGTTTGAGACCAGTCTGGCCAACATGATGAAGCTCTGTCTCTACTAAAAATACAAGAATTAGCCAAGTGTAATGGCATGCGCCTGCAGTCCCAGCTACTTGGGAGGTTGAGGCACAAGAATCGCTTGAACCTGGGAGGTGGAGATTGCAGTGAGCTGAGATTGCACCACTGCACTCCAGCCTGGGCGACACAGCAAGACTCTGTGTCAAATAAACAAATAAACAAACAAACAATATAAATGTCATGTTATATTTTCCATATGAGTTTGAATTGTCACTCAATTACCTCTTGAACACTTACTGTCTATCCATTATCTCCTTTACAAGTGAAACCAAAGCAGCTGATTGAAGGAAATGAATTATAACACCATCAGAAATGCACTTAGATTTAACTCTGTGGGAGAAGGAAGTTCACATGGCCACCCTCATATTTATGCCAGATAAAGGACTCCAATAGAGTTCATTCTAACACTGTATCTTTAGCACATGTAAGAATTAACAAAGGCTTTTGCAATAAATATGCTAAAATGTAGCTCTACCAACAAGTGCTAAGCACTTTACCTGGATTCAACACTTGATTCTCACAAGGACCCTCACCAAAACAATAATGCTGATTTATAGAGATCCTGAGTTTAAAGAGGCTCTATCACTTGCCTGATACTTATACACTCAGTGTTGGAGCAGATATTGAACTCAACCAGCTTGACTCCACAGTCCAAACTGAACCACATTCTATGTGTTGGAATGACCTTAACTGTAAGTTCAGCAGGAGAAGGAAGGCATCATTACTTTTATTTTCACAAAGAAAGAACTCTCAGAAAGTTTTAGCCATTTTCACAAAGATGAAGAACCATCAGTAAATCTGCTAATGTAATGTTTCTCACTATCAAAAAATATTGCTTAAGGCATCAATATAAGAAAATGATTTTTAATGTAGAATTAAAAATACAATAGTGACTTTTTTCTATCCACATCACTAGACATGTTTCAGTAAAAATAAAAAGCCATAATTATTAAAATGTCCTCATATAAATCATCATAATAAGAAAAAAGATAAAAATTTATTAATAAGGCACACTACTAGATGTAAAAACACATATTTTTGACTAGCTAATAAAGGATGAGGTGAAAATGATAACCTGCACTCTGGAAGCACCAAGATAGATGAGCCAAAGCTGAGACTCAAAAGAGACACTCTAGTCTTCCTCCTGATAACCTCCTGAATAGGTTGCGGTATCATTTTTTTACAGCTTGTTTTCTTTCAACCTGATACAATTTGTTTAAAGGCTACTTATACCTAGACTGTTTTAGCTGGTACACAGGACAAAAATGCGGTAGCCAAGGGGTCTTTAGAAATAATTTGTAAGTCCAAATTGGAAAGATTAATTAAAATGAAAGAGCTCCAATGTGATTTTAAGTGATAGAGAAACCCTAGCATTTTCACAAAAATAGTTGACCTTTATACAATGAGGCTATTATAAATAGTTCTTGTACATCCACCCAGTCACAATGCGATACACAAAAAAGTGTGGTTGTCAGTATTGTGATATAAACAATGACTTCCAGAGTCTCCGGCCTCACAGTTACTTTCTAAAACACAGTAAAAGAGCTGGAGGCCCACTGTGAGCAAGGAGCCAGATGTAGGCTTTTTGTTTTATTTGGTGGCTGGCATCTAACCACACAAACAAGTAACTTTGAATTTACTTAATTTGGATGATAAATTCAACCTGAGTATTTTTTAGAGAAATACCTGAAAGCGACCAGCAGAAGCCTCTCCCACATGTGGATACTTCTTCTGTGACAATTGCACTGTAATTTGGACAACAGGCTTCTGTCATTGGTAGGACTTGGCCCAACACGCCCACCCATCTGAGAACCCAACATTTATGGCAACCTTGACTAAGTTTATTTAGTTATTTCAAAAGAAAAAATGTATTTCTATGTTCCAAGGTTTTCCAGCATTTTAAGAAACAACTAAAATAGTTATTATTCTAAGAAATTAGGAGCTTACAATCTGATAGGGACTGCACAGAGTACTGCACTTCTGATGAGGGTCTTGAACCATGAAGTGAGAATTTGAATTTTTCTTTTTCTCCATCTTTGCTTCTCTTCTTTCCAATGTCTCTTGCATCTGCTTTCTCTAACATATGAAAAAATCACAATAAATATTTTAACTAGACAATCTCAAACTATATTTCTTATTCAGTCATTGTCTTAAAGAAAAAAGGCCAAAATAATAGTATTATTTAATGTAAAATTATGCCATAATTTCTCCAAAACATGATCCCCTCTAATTAGAAACACCATGATAAAGCCAGGGAGAACTTTGAAAATTGAGATATATTATGAAATAAATACAGCATTGCTTTTTATCTACTGTATATAATTTTGTTTCATGGAGATAATTATTTGAATATATTTTATTTATATAAGATTATAGTATCAAGGTAATTTTCTCATTTTAAAAATAAAAACAAAACACAGCAAAGCCTGTGCTGAAAGTTAAGTCCTAAATGTAGAGCCCTCTCAGATTTTCCTTATTTGGGTCCTCCACTTACAGGAAACACAGTTTTCTGACTCCAAAATATTTTCTTGTGGAGCCCAGATTCCAACCAAAGTCCCAAACCAGCATCTTATTGCCTACATGGCTTAGGTAATAAAACTCTTGTATCCAGAACGATTCCCACCATTTGAATGCTCATTCATATACTCAATCCACAAAACATATTCTTCTTCAACCTAAAATACTTTTCTCAAAGATTTTTTTAATTCCCTAACAAATCTGTCTCAATTCTGAGACAGAAATTATAGATTTCTGTCATTTCATTCTCTGCATCATCTGCTAAGTTTGTAATCATCATTGGTCAGGTTGCTCATCTTTAAAATTTTCGTAAATAAAAACTGTGACATTATCTACTTATAATGTTTCTGAACATCCAAAATAGACATGTTTCATACCTTAGCTTTTTTTTTTCTTTTTGACAGGCTTTCACTCTGCCACCCAGGCTGGAGTGCAGTGGCGAGGTCTCAGCTCACTGCAGCATTGACCTCCCAGGCTCAGGCAATTCTCCCACTTCAGCCTCCTGAATAGCTGGGACTACAGGTGTGCACCACCACAACTTGCTAATTTTTCTTTTTCTTTTCTTTTTATTTTTCTTTTTTATAGAGACAGGATTTCACCAGGTTGTCCAGGCTGGTCTTGAACTCCTGAGCTCAAGTGGTCTGCCTGCATCAGCCTCTTAAAGTGCTGGGAATACAGGTGTGAGCAACTATGCCCGGCCCATATCTTAGCTTTTTCAGCAGATTTAACACTTAAATTAGATATAAAAGTAAAGATAACTATAACTTCAATCATAGGATAAAACATTTAACCAAGAAGTTTCTGTTTTTAAAAAGTTTATTATCAAAATTTTATTTGTGAATTTTCTATATATATTACCTTAATTCAATAAAACTAATTTTAGGAAGCAATATTTGAGTGCATGTATAATTTTCAAATAGGACTTTAAGAGCTTTCAAACTTCTATTCAGAATTTGTGACTTAAAAATAATACATAATAAAAATTATAAATAGAAAAAAATCAAACTGTTTCACATAGAAATTTGGATAGAATACAACAGTGCTCACCAAAATGTGTTTTTGCCAATACCCTAAATAAGGATTGCTCCTCTGTCATTTCATCCCACCCATCTGGCAAAACCCCACTCTGAATAAACTTGGCAGCTGAGTCCCACTGGAGATAATCCTCCCATAGTTCTGCAAACCTTGCCACATCTATTTTAAATCTCCGTGAGAATCTACATCTTCCACCTCCACCTCACTTTCAGCTCATAGCTAGGCTGTGTATAAACAAAAAGTAGAAGTCTTTGGTCTGAAGTCCTCATCTTCTCCTACCAAACCCGTTTACCCACCTACACCTGTATCCACTCTCCCATAACCTGTGCCCACCTATGAGAATGGAGGAGCCATTGCTCTCCCTGGGCTGGCCCAATCCCCTTATAGCTGGGGTGTGGAACTTGCTCCTTCTTCTCAGAAAACATATACTACTGCAGTCATCTCAGCAGGATCTTCCCAGTCATCACTTAAAAAAAAAAACCAATTTTCCTTCACTAGATTCACAAATATATATTCTGTCTGCCTCCCACATTCTTCTCTATCAGCTTCCACTTTGCAATTTCCTGTTCTTCAAGGACAAGCTTCTCACAGGGTTGTTTATACATTATTTTACTTCCCACTTCCTTCTTACTCCCCTCCAATGTATCTTCTACTCCTATCACTCACAAGTGCACAATGACCTCCATATCACAAATTGTAATTGAGAAATTTAAATTTTCATCATAGTTCATCTTCCCACAATATTTAATACAATCTCTGGTTCCTGCAACACTTTTTCCTTTGGCCCCGATGACAAAATGCTCTGCTGATGTTGTCCCTGCTCCTCTGGCCAGTCCTTACTCTTCATTCAGCAGCTCGTCATTTTGTACCAACCTCTTAGATGTTCCACTTCTTCAGGACTCAGTCTCAGCCTCCTTCATCTGCTCACTCTATACTGTCTCCTTGGTAAATATCATTCCTGGTTTAATTTTGCAGGAATTTGTCAACGACTCCCAAGTGTATATCACCAGCCTAGGAGTCTTGACATGAAAAACCCACTTGGTTGTCTTAAAGGCACCTCAATTTCAATATATTCAAAATCATTTTGTGATCTCTCCTAAATGGTACCACCATCTATCTTGCTCTGCAGCTTGGAATTCTACCAGTCATCATTGTCAAGTTCTGCCACTTTTTACTTTTTAAATAGGAAAAATATGTGTTTAATGGAAATTGAGAGCTAATACTAGATTAATTTAGTAGCATCAAAGTAGAGAATTGCTTTTTATTTTTAAAGAAAGCAAAATGTGGAATAATAATTAGCATATAGTAAACACCATTATAAGTCCTAAAGTCCTAGAAAAGAAAGATCTTAATTACATGGCTGTTGTCACAAAAACTTAAGAAAGGATAACGACAACAAAGATGCATTTCTTAGGGAAGCAGGAGCCTCAGAGGCCCTGAGAAACCCCATTTTAAGTTCAGCTCCATCTTAAGAATAACAAGGCACATTTCTTGCCAGTCATGACTCACAGTCATTACATGTTTATAGCTGAAGATACAGCCTAACGATACCTGCAAGGGACACACTCTTACAACAGAAGAATGTCCAGATGTCCCAATACTGATAGCAATATGTCCATATGTCCCAATGCCCCTAAAAAGTATGCTTTCAAGATAATTATTGTTATGCTTTGATGTACTTAATGCACTAGAATGCCAAGTATAACTTTCTTTAAATCAACAGAATACTACATTTTGTCACGCTGTCAGGACAGCTTAGCTTAGCTTGGGTTTTACATAGATAAGACTCCTATATAAGAAAAACTGGGCTGGATGCAGTGGCTCACACCTGTAATCCCAACACTTTGGGATGCTGAGGCGGGTGGATCACCTGAGGTCAGGAGTTCAAGACCAGCCTGGCCAACATGGTGAAACCCTGTCTCTACTAAAAACACAAAAATTAGCTGGGCGTGGTGGTGCACGCCTGTAACCCCAGCTACTTGGGAGGCTGAGGCAGGCGAATCACTTGATCCTGGGAGATGAAGGTTGCAGTGAGCTGAGATTGTGCCACTGGACTCCAGCCTGGGCAACAAGAGCGCAACTACATCCCAAAAAGAAAAAAAAAAAAAAGAAAGAAAAACTGAAAACAAAGACAGCACCTTTCTTTGCTTGCTGAAGATGCCCTACTCTGTAACTGAGGAGCTTTCAATAAACTATCTCTTCTTACTTCATTCTGTGACCTGCCTTGAATTCCCTACTGTGTGAGATCCAAGAACCCTCTCTTGGGGTCTGGATCAAAACCACTCTTTCCAGCAACACATCAAATAAAATTGTAAGGCATTTATATGCAATGTCCATACTGAATCACATTTTGATGTAAAATATCTTACCCTTTGGAACTTTGTCGCTTTTCTCAGGAGCCTTTAGTGTTGTCAAAGAACTTTCAGGTTTGAATTCCTTCACGTCTTTTACTTCCTTTCCATCCTTTATTTCTTTTCCCTCCTTCCCTTCTTTCCCTGGTTCTTTTAATTTAGAATCTAACACTGCTATTTTGCTTTCAGAGCTGGCCTCATCTGACAGCTTAAACTCAGGCAATATTTCTTTCAGGAGCTCCCAAACTTTGTCCATATATCCCGGGCTAAGAGAAAAGACAAAAACATTAATTTCCAAACGATGTTTTTTTTTTTCCTTGAACTTCGCAAGAAATTACTGACAGAAAAATCAACTTGCTATTTAATGAATAATTTCAATTGTTACTCAAATTTTTAGTTAAAAGAACAGCATTATGTATTAGACATTCAACAAGCTTTCATTGCGTGCCTACTGTGTGCTGGGCTTTGCTGATACAAAGCGACCAAAACCATGGTGTTATCTCAGAGATCACTCGCCCTGGTAGGGAAGCTAATCACGTTAACAGCCAGGACAGGGAAAGAACATGTCCTTGAGCATCTATTAAGTGGCAGACACTTTTGCATGCATGATCACTTATGTAGAAGGTCCTTATCTTATTAGGCTTCTCTGTGGAATGTGACAGTGTTGTTTCTTGCTTTTAATTCTTCCCTGAGGCTTCCATAACATCCCTCTTTCCTGGTTTTCTTTCTGTTGTCATAGAAATTACTTGCAGACTCCTTTGAACACTCCCTTTCTTCTGCTCACTGTTGACAATTTAATTCTTTTCCCACAGCTCTCCTCTTGGTGTTCTTGCCATTTTACATAGTATTTCCTCATATTTTGAGTTTATCCATAAATGTGTGTCACCTCTAAATCATTAGTTCCAGCTCAAACCTCTCTCCTGATATCCAGACTCACACATACAACCACCTAACAGGTATTTGTCCCAAGCAAATAAAAAAAGATAAGTAAACAAAAATGTCCTGCATCACCTTCTACTTAGTACTCAAAGCAGAAAATTCAGAATGACCAAGACTCTCTCTTTAAAATCCCCTTCAAATAAAACACAGTGTCCGTTGGATACTACCTTTTCTCAGTGCAGTGGATCCCCTTTTCTCCATTCTCATCACCACTTCCTTGGCAGAAGCCCTCAGAAGACCCCCCTCAAGAATACTGCACAAGCCAGTCTCGCTGTTCCACTCCTGCCATTTGCTGTTCTAAGGCTCTGAGCAATCTTTCAAAACCATGAGTCTGATACAGTCATCCTCCTGTCTACAATCCCTTAGTGACATCTGATCATTTTAAGGAGGTTGTAAAAGTGTCAGCATGGCATAAAAGGCCTATCTATCTAGATCCTATTTACCTTTCCATTCCCACATCCTATTCCTCCTCTAGGATTCCATAGCACATAATGCAGAACCACATGTTTTTCTGGGATGCACCCTGCTTTCTTCTATTTCCTTGATATATTTTCTTCTGTGAGTTGGATTCCCCACCTCAATCAGCTTCATTCATTTCAACTAATCCTTTGAGATAAATTCAAGTATTATCCTCTGCAGGAATTAAACTATAGGTTTCTGTTCTGAGTTCCCAAAGAATCTTTTACGCTCTCCTAGTATTCTAGTATAGCCTTTAAAAATTTTTTTTTTAATTCTCATTTTACACAATTCATTGAGCACATACTGTATCCCAGTCATTCCGTGTCACTGTTCTAAACACAGAAGGCACTACATTGAGCAAAACAAAAGAGGGTCCCTGTTCTTGTGGACAACTTTACATCCAATGGTTGGATAAAACAGAGACAGAGAATAACAACAGTGATAACTTCCATGATGAAAATGAAATAAGGGAAGCTGAAATGTGGCATAACTTGGGGAAGGAATAACTTAGATTGGATGCTCAACTAGGCCTGTCTAAGGAGTTGATGGTTAAGCTTGGTGAAACCCAGGCGTTGTGACATACCCAGCTAGGTGAATAATCTGATGAAAGGTCATTCCAGGCAGAAAAAAATAAGAGTAGCCCATGTAAGGACCGTAAGGTAGAGTGAGTTTCATTATATTTCAGAAACAGAAAGAAGACTTGGGTGACCAGTAAATGGTTGCCAAGACATTGATGTGGTCAGTGATGAGGTCAGAGACTGTGTGAATCAGACAGTGTAGATCTCTGAGGATCATGGTCAAGACTGTAAAACTTCATTCAAGTGTAATAGTTAAACACTGAAAGGTTTTAAGCGAGGAAAACGATATGATCTGATTTATACTTTAGAAAATTCTTCTGATTACCAACTTAACTAAAGGAGGGTAAAATAGACTCTAGGAGACCAGTTATAAGTCTATTACATGTGATCAGTGGTTGAACTAGGATGGTAATAATGCAGATGTAGAGAAACAAATAGGTTCAGAGTAAGTAGAGAATGTACTGTTGACAGATGCCAGTGAGAGATTTTATGTGAGAGGCAAGGAAAATGAGCAATGAAGGATGACTTCTAGTTTTTTTCTTTAGCTTGAATAAATAGGTGGTTGGTAGTGAAATTCACTGAGATGATGCATTCTAGGGATGGTGCAGTTTAGGAGGTTGAGAATCAAGAGTTCCTTTCTGGATATTCTGAGTTTAAGATACACTTTTGACATTCACATAGCTACGTAACTTAGGCAGTTGTAGATAAATACAGTCTAGAGTTCGGGCAATGGTGACCAGGCATAAACTTGAAAATCATTGTCAAACAGTTTGTTATTTAAAGTTACAGGACAGGAGCCCTGCTACACACCATCACTTAGTAGCTGTACTGTGGTTGAGGAACTATCCAAGAAGCCTGAGAAAGAGCAGAAAATAAGAAGGAGAAAAACCCAGAGAGTGTGTTGCTGAGGAAACCAAGGGAAGCAAGTGTTGCAAAAGGAAATAACTTGTTTAAGAGGGTCACATACTGGGATGCAAGTAAATGAGGCAGGAGAGGTGATCACTGGATTTGACAATATTAAGGTCTTTGTTGACTTTAAGAAGAGCCATTTCACTGGTGTGGTGGACGGGGAAGGTCAAACAGTCAGATGAGAAGAAACGGGGAGTTGAGGAGATGAAGACAGTGTGTACAAACCACTCATTTATTAAGATTTTTTTTCCTGAGGAAAACAAGGGAAATGAACTGGTGACTGGAAAATAATAATTGGTTTCCCTGTGCATCTCTGATCTGCTCGACTCCCTGAACTGCCTCCTATTCATCCCTGGATCTCCACTACCCAGCAGAGTGGCCTTTAGCACATTTTATTGTTTTTTCATTTGATCCCATGACAGCTCTGGAACATTATACAGTATTAACTGATGTTTAAGAGGTTGTTAAGTTGTATGGCATCACACAACCAGCAAATAATTGAGTCAGGATAGGAACAGACCTTTCTGAATCCAAAATCTAGGTTGTATTTCCCATCTACCACATAAAATATGCTGCACTATGAAAAAGACCTATTCAAACACCACGGAATGAGACCATATAACTTCTTGGATGATTAGGCTTAAAGACAGGGTGGCAGAGTGCTATGTTCACAGAGAGACCATGCATCAGAGACACGTGCCAACAAGAGTCCTTTGAAGTGGTTGGATTTCTAATTCCCACTCAGACATGTCACTGACTCTGCTTCTATTATTACATGGAAAATTAGAAGATACTCTGTTTTGATTTTCCGAGGCAAAATTTTATGAATTTTCTAGTTGTGAATTATTCTCGTCTCTTGTTTCTTTACCATCCTCTGGTAGAATTCTGATGATTTCCTGTCTCTGGTATCTCTACTGACTATTGCACAGAGAAAATTGCACAGGAAAAACTGTAAGCATTCCATCAACACTAAGTATAAAAATTTATAGAGCTCCATACTTTTAAAATCTCATTTTCTCTCTACTTCTCTCACTAACATTGTACACATTATGTCAGGAAGTCATTTAGATAATAGGAAAAGTTTCCAAAAGAAGATATAAAAGAGTGCTATCTTGGCCTTTCCTAAGATAAAAACAAGATCAGCTCCTACCCTCCAGTTTTTTCTCCCTGAAAATACTTTTATGTGAACAAAGCAACACCCAAGTTTATCCTGCTGAAAATATGGTGAAGATGGCAGAATCCAAGTTACTAGGGCCTGTCTTCAACCTCCTCTAATCTCTATTGCCCCTGGGGAATTGCAGCTTCCTATTACCAGTCAAAGATCAGAGATGGTCCAGGTTGATAACTGTACTGTAGATTTAATCATCTTGTAAAAGTCAGTATCTGAGTTAAGGGTATATTCAAATCTATTGTTATAATTCTTTTCTATGCACCTTATCTTGATTTGTTTCCAAATGTCAATGGTAAAATGATAAAACGGTGCATCTATATTCCTTATGTATTAAATAAAACGATCGTGAAATTATAAGTCAGCACTAAGTTGAGCAATGTCTCTATTCTATTCTTTACCTAATAGCTATTTTTGGACATAAAGAAGCAATTTCTCTATATCTAGAATCACATGAAAGAAAGACTGTGGGCTTTGGACCAGCAAGACTTACATGTTCCTAGTTTGGGGGAATTCAACCTCTGAGAGCTTTAGTTTCCTCATTTGAAATGATGTACACCTAGTTGATGGGGTCATATGGATGATTAAATAAGACTATCCTTTCAGGACTGTGATTTTTAAACGAGAAGTAATATACTAAAATACTTGATGCATAATAGTTGTCTTCTTATGATTATTTCCATATAGATGTGGCCAATTAAAAGTTGCTGTTATGTTTCTATATTGAAGTAAGTGTGACAGGTTTATAAGTGTAAAGGGAAGTTTGCAAATGTTTTACCATAATAAATAATTACCATTGTTTAAATATTTGTACATCGGATATTTAAAGATTAAATTCATAGTATATATATAAGTGTGGGAGACCTGCACATGCCACCCCAAAATATGAAGGACTGCTGAGCTACAGGCAATCCCTATGAAGAAGCAGATACACAGAAACTCTGTTTTCCCTCTATTTGCCTAAAAGCAAGATATAGATTTACAAAAACCAAGAGGTATCCTGCCCCTCACTCCCTTGTGCCAGAGAGAACAGGTGTTAACCACTGAAGACAGCTTTGGACCCTTACTGGCCTGAGGAATTGTACCAGAGGAATCTACATGAACAGCCTTTCATAACTAGCCTTTATCTATCATTTATTTGCCTTCCCACAAGTTGCCACCTGTAGAGGCTCAAAGTCATTTTCTTTTGTCTTGTCACTTCTGTAAAAATTGACTGTTCTTTGTTGTAGATTTCCCATGGAAATCCACATGGTAATAAACTTCTGTGTGTTTTTCTCTTGTTAATGTGTCTTCTGTTACAGGAGTCGGTTCCAACAAAGAACCTATGGGGGTCATTGTTCTCCTACATAAGGAAATAGAATTTACCCTGAAATTCCCAAGGAACTTTATATAATACTACAAAACGATATTTTCCCCCAAATTTTGCAAAACATGACCTTTCTTGAAATTTTCTTAAAGGCTAGGAATATTTTAAAGAAATCTTGGGAAGATAAAAAAAATAGATATGAGCAATTTAATAGTCAAACATACTGAAGAGAAATGACTTCTGGTAACCATCCTGTGAGCGCATGAATAACCGTGAACTCCCCCAGCTCTCTCCTGTCTGCTACATGGATGCTAAAAAAGAACATGCATAATGTTACAGGTAGCAAAATTTGAAAACACATAAAGATATATAAGAACTAGGAATCATTAATAAACAGCAATATATTCTGATTATTCATTATAGACTGTATTAAAAAATACTATCCCAGAAGCCAAATTATTTGTTAAAACACTGAAGTAGGATTTATAATATAATTAATTTCATTTGTATTTGCAAGGCATGTTTATATGCTTTATTTTTTAAGATCTAAAAGTAATATTAATGCTATATACATGAAATATATTCACATTATATATTATGAAATATATAATTAGAATATAATCCATTTTTGTATACTTCTTTTAAAAACAGAACAGTCTCTTTTATCATTCTGATTTCAGTAATTATTTTAAGATGTCTTTGAAGCTGTGTGTTAGATCAGTCTCATCTATGGCAAGTCAAGATGGGCATCAGAAATCCTTAGATAACTGTGGAGAAACCAGAAACATCTGTTCTGTCCTGTACAGAAGAGTGGATCTGTCAGCTTAGCATAAAGTAAAACGAGGATATGATTAACCAAGTATCACTATTCTCATTTAGACCTCTTATTTTTTTCCCTGAAGTTATTAGTCTATTTACATTTACATGCAAAAATGCCATATCTCCCTTCTGCCCGGGAGTCACGGCTTCAGCTGACTATCCGTCAGTGGTAGTGTTAATGGCATTACCAACACATGTGTGCCTTTCTTCAGAAAGAAATCTTACTATCTTAGTCACATATGCCATTATTTTAAAATGTGCACTGTTTTGTTGTTTATGGATTACAAATTTCTATATGTCTACGTATTTCAAAGATAATAAGTGTCTATTGGGATAGATCCCAGACTAGTCTAAACTCCTCATTGGACAAATTTATGAAGTGACTTTGCAAATCAAATAGAAATAATGCTCTTTTCTGTGCATATCTCACATTGACATTGAAATTACTATGTGTTAATTTGGAAAATGTAGTAAGCTAATCCTCATATAAAAGCAATCACTATGTACTGTAAAAATCTGAAAAAAATTATGGAAAAATATAAATTGTACCATGTAGGGAAACTTTCCACCAGAATTCCCAAGAAATGTATTACACTTAGCTTGTTGCTTTATTTACTAATTGGATTTTTTAAACAATAATAATAACCCTAATACTTATGTTGCTATAAATTTCTACTGAACTACAGCTTTAAGAAAGATAAAATACCACTCCAATTATCCAGGTCATGTATTCAATGCCTCACTGCTCTAGCAGCTCTGATTCTCAGAACTTCAAGTTATGTCTGAGAACTAGAAACATTCAGAACATTTTTTTTTCCCAAATAAATGAACATGCCACCGGTATGAATACTTAGTGCTATTCAGCTACCTACAAAGATCTGGGCTGAGTTTTTATGAAAATCATTGCAATTAAGTGCTAAAAGCTGGGTGAAACTAATTCCCAAAGGAAAACTGAGGGCTGGTAAGGAAAAAACAGATATGAAGAGGATGGCAGTAGGAGTGGTTGTTTTTGTTTTGTAGCCTTGGGAGAGAAAAATGAAGCTGTGCCTAAAGAAAATCCACACAAAGCAGGCCTGACTTCTGACTAACATTGCAATGTTTATAGAAGGGGAGGGGGCTGAGCTGTGAGCAAATCTCTAACATGTACTGTTAAAGCATGTGGGTGTGTCCTGTTAAATATCGAGAATCTTTGACAAACTGCAGGAGGTGGACGTGTATAAAATCCCAGCCTGTGCAATGTATGTGAGCATCTTCCAGTGAGCAATGAGGCAAAATTGCCATGCATTTCCAACACGATCATCAAAGATTTTTTGCATTGTTAGGGCCAGGATGGTATGACTCCTTTTCTCTGGAAGTGTAAGCTGAGGGAATAGCACATAGCAGATGTGTCTCATATATGTTGGTGCACAAGTCAGGCAGGAATATAAGACAGAAACCAATTTTGTAAGAATACTGAAGAAAATATGAGTAGTTTTCATCATGAATGTATCAAAAGTGAGCAATGTTACCAAAATCATGAAGCGTACATTGACATCTTTCAGAAAAGTTCAGGTTTTTCAAGATTAGTAAATTATTGCTGCATATACAGAACCTAAATCTTTAACTAGATTTCAGGATATATTATTCAGTATTTAGATGAACCAATATTTTTCTCCCACAAAACAATTTTTTCTCCTATTAAACAAAACATCATTTTCCATGATCAAATTTCCATTCATAGTAAGACAGCACTGAACATAGAATAATTCTTGGGTATATTTTTCTTGGAGGAATTTTGCATTATTGTTAACCTAATAGAAAAAATCAGTGGTTTTGGCGTATTTGATTTTATACTAGAGCATTACATTGTTTAGGGGAAAAAGCTGTCTTTTAGCTAATTTTAAAAAAATAAATTATGCAATACAAATGTATAGTTAATGTTTTTGTTTGCTTTTTTTATTCATGTGAGTGATAGTGTCATTACATACTCAATATTTGCCAGCTTGATAATAGCTTTAGACAAAAGCATTGGCCACAGTTCAAATTCATAAGTTGTAGCTGGAAGCAATAGATTGTTATCTTCATCAAAAGGCAAAAAGTCATCAATTGTTATCTTTCTCCAGCAACCCTAAAAATAAGATGAAAGAAATGTAATACCATCAATGGCTTACAGTCTTTTCTCTCGTAAATGATTGCACGTGGCTGACATTACTATTTACCGTTTTCCAATTTTATTTTAGCATCTTACACTGAAAGACGGAGATACTGGATTTCAATACTACTCTGGTTGAATATGTTAGCTTATTGCTTTATTTAGCATAATCACAGCTCACCCATGTCTATATCAATATTGTCTTTACTTATGAGGTCTTGTGAACAAAGTCTTGGGAGTCCCTTACTGCATAATGCAGGAAATTGAGGTGTTTCAAGGACCAGAACCAAAACATTATACAACCATGGATAAGCTTGGACATAATCAAATAACTTAACATAGTCAAAATACAAATTCTCCAAATATAACTTTAGTAATTATTGCTTATCTTGATGTATCCTCACTGATCTTACACTTCCAATTCTCATATTATTCCTGCTCCTAATTAATTTCTTGATCAACAAGAAACCACAGAGAAATAAGCCAGATGCAAAAGGATAAATACTGTATGATTACTGAACATGTATATCTATATTGAACATATCTATCCTGAACATATAAAAAATACGTTTGCGTGCATGTGTCTATGTGTGTATACATACAGAATGTTTCTCCCCAAAATTCATGTGTTGAAATCCTAATGCCCAAAGTGATAGAATTAGGTAAAAAGGAGGGTAAAGCCCTCATGAATGGGATTTGTGCCCTTTTAAGAAGTTGAAGAAACCAAAGTTTTTCTCTTCCACCATGGAATTTTATGGCAAGAAAATGGCCAGCCATTTATGAACCAGGGAGCAGGGCTTTGCCAGACACCAAATCTACCAGTGCCTTGATCTCACACTTCCCAGCCTCCAGAAATATAAAAAATAAATTCTTGCTGTTTATAAGTCACCAGTCTATAGTATTCTGGTATAGTAGCCTTAGTTGTTACAAGACTAATATTATTAAGGTTATATATACTTATATATATATAAAAAACCTTAATATTATTATATATAATATATAATATATAATAAATATATATTATATATTTATAATTATATATATAATTATATATTTATTATATTTATACTATAATTACATATTTATATAATTATATAAATATATGACCTTAATAATAAGATTATTTTGATCTATATTATTAAGATTATATAAAATTATGAAGATATATATTATTAAGATTAAGATATATATTATATACATTATAACATATATATTTATATGTGTAATATATAACATTATTAAGTTATATATATATTATATATAAGAAGATTGTGGAATGAAGTCTTATTATCTGGGTAGCAAACAAAAGTGGCAGACCAGAATAGTACATCAGAGGCTTTATAAACTAAACTGGCATTTGAGACACAGCCGATAAATGTGAGCCAGGATGTGCCTTCTGAATCTAAACACGTTGACTACTTGCTAAAATATAAAACTAATTAGCAATCAGAGTTGTAAAACATAACACTACAAATATTCAGGAAACTGTATAAAATTACCTATCATACCAAAACCCAGAAAAGTCTCAATTTCAATGGGAAAATACAGTCGACAGGCCACAAAACCAAAATGACAGAGAAATTAGAATTATTAAATAAGAAATTTACAGCAATTCTCACAAAAATGTTCCAACAAGCAATTATGAACACTCTTGAAACAAATTCAAAAATAGAAACTCTCAGCAAAGAAATGGAAGATATAAAGGCATAAAAATAGAAATTTTAAGCTTAAAATTAAACTAAAAAGCAACTCTCAATTGATGAGATCAATAGCAGAATGCAGATAGCATAGAAATTAGTGAACTGGACATTAGATCAATAGAAATTACGAATAACAGGAAAATATAGTATCAACAATCATATAAGGCTCAGGGACCTGTGCGGATAATGCAAAAAGATATAATATTCATGTCATTGTTGCCACTGAAAAAAAGAAGAGAAAGAGAGAGTGGGGCAAAAAATATAGTTGAAGGAATAATGGCTGAAAACTCTCCCAAATTGTCATAAGACATAAACCTACAAACTCAAGGAACTCAGACTAAACCAAATAGGATAAACTTAAAGAATTCTACAGCCAGACAGATCGAATTCCAACTTCTTAAAAGTTAAGACAAAAGAAAAAAGCTTGAAAGCCAGCAGCAAGAAAAGACCTGTTAGAGGGGAAGGACAGATTGCTCACCAGGAGCCAGGGAGGCCAGAAGAATAATTCTGGCTGGCCTGGAGGAAAATTCTGGAAGGCTGGAAAATTAATGGCACACTAAATACCAAATGCTGAAAGAAAATTACTGCTAACCCAGAATCATATCACTAGGGAAAATATTCTTTAGGAATAAGAGTAAAATAAACACATTCTCAGATAAAGGAAAGATAAGATAATTTGTCATCATTAGAGTGTCTCAAAAGGAATTGCGAAAGAAAATTTTTCAGAAATAAAAAGAAAGGAGAATAAAAGGAAAAATGGAACATCAAGAATGAGAAAGCATAAAGGAAAAATTTTACATGCCAGTTAAAATATTTACTTAAAAAATAAAAAATGAACATATGACTAAATGTGGTACTCTTGTCTTCAAATTTTTTATATTGTGTTTGAATTTAAAAGCAAAATTTATGATGAAGTTTTCAATATATACACAGGAAATGTTTAAAAAAACTATATCAGTGGTTGGGTGTGGTGGCTCACACCTGTAATCCCAACACTTTGGGAGGCCGAGACAGGAGGATCACTTGAGGTCAGGAATTCAAGACCAGCCTGCACAACATAGTGAGACCCTGTCTCTACAAAAAATAAAATTAGTCAGGCGTGATGATGGCATACCTGTAGTGCTAGCTACTTGGGAGGCTGAGGCAGGAGGATCACTGGATCCCAGGAGTGGAGGCTGCAGTGAGCTATAATTGTGCCACTACACTCCAGCCTGAGCGACAGAGTCAGACCCTATCTCCAAAAAAAAAAAAAAAAAGAAAAAAAGAAAAAAAAGTAAAGGAAAAAGGAAAAGAAAGCTATATTAGAAAAGGAGGAATATAAAGAAGACTAAATGGTGGTAAAGTATTTATATTCCAATTCAAGTGGTAAAATCATGATACTAGTTGACTGTGATAAGCTATGCATGTATATTTTAATTCATAAAGTGAAGAGATTTGCTTGAAAGCACTATAGGTCAATCAAAATGGAATCCTAAGGAATGCCCAAGAAACATACAGGAGTAAAGGAAAGGGGATTAAGAATGCAATAAATACAAAGTAACACACACAAAATAAGAAAGGTAACAAAGAACAAACAAAGAATAAAATCACAGACTTCAATTCCAATTACATCAAATATAAATGTTCTATACAGACAAATTAAAATACAAGAGTAACTTGAATATACTTATCAAAAATTAAGAATTTGCAAATATTTTGATGGAATAACTCCATATGGTAGAAATCCTAGAAAAAGAAGTCCGTACAAATGGGCAAAGACTATATACATAAAGATGAAATTTTACAGCATTGTTTGTTTTGGTAAAACACTGGTCCTAACCTAAATGTTTACCAATATCAAATTAGCAATATATATTATATTTACATATCTCACACAATGGAATACAAAGTAGATCAATATATATTAGCATAGAAAATGACTGTGTGTAGGGAAAAGAATAGTGTACAGAATAATACATTTCTATGACCCTATTGTTATAAATTATGTACAATAGCTTTATGTATGTTTATAAGAATAGAAGAAAGCTTAGGAGGATATAAATAAATCATTTGCTGTGATTAAATATGGTAAAATTACGGGGAACTTTCACTGCATACTTTGAACATTTTAACAGTAGTTGAATTTCCTGTTTTAAAAGCATGTATAATATTACATATAATGAAATAAAGCATTTCCATTTTGGAACAAAGTAATTGAATGATAGAAAAATAATTTTGTCATAGTTTATATCTTGCAAACATTGTTCCTCAAATTTAATGAACAAAAATGTCACTGGATGAGAGAGTTTTCTTATAATGCAGGATTGCAGGCTCTACCCTGGAAATTCAAACTCATGAGGTCTGGAGTGGGGCATGGGAAGTGGATGTTTAAGAAGTACAACAGCCAGTTTGATGTTGGGGGGTTTCTGTACCACAAAATTAGGAAACTCTGAATTCTAGAATAACATTGTGGTTAAGCAGTATAAGGCTCAATCAGAAATAAAGCAAATGCATTTTTATATAAACATATTGATGGCAACTGGGAAAAATTATTGGTCCTAATGTGTGTGTTTTCTCTGTTTATCAGAAACAAATGAAAGCACAGAGACACTCAGAGAAAAGCTGCCATCAGCAATACATATTTCAAGCGGAGAGCAATGGCTAACCTGCTTCTTTCGGGGGCCCAAAGGAATGCTGCCATTGGAAGGCACTTGACGAGATGATATGTGTCCCAGCATTAGTATCATCATTCCCAGGTGAAAGACGGGAGAGAGCTGCTCTGTGTCACAACCCTGTTCTTAATGCTACTCAATAAATTTCTATCTGGCTGAGGTCAAAGAACTTGATACAATTTACTTAGAATCCAAACTGGAAATAATAAAAATACTTTCATAGAAAAAATGATAACCTGGTGTGAAAATCAGAATTTTTAAATGTCATGCCAAGAGGCTCTGAGAGGTTGGTTTGCCTCAAAGAAGTGATAAAGGTAAATGTTTTACAGGACAAAGTGAATGAGGGAGAAGAATATTTGTGATAAGGCAGAGAAGAAAAATCAATTTCCAATAAGAAAAAGGTAAGAAAGCTTTAAGAAACTAAAGAAGAAAAACAGTGAGAAGAAGACTCATCATGTCTCATAAGATGGGAAACGGGAAAGAAAATAAATGTAGGGTATAAGATGAATCTGTAGTGTATTGTACTGAATCAAGAAGTAGAAGTAATAATGCATATTTTATAAACATGTTTCCCAAATACTTGCAGAGAGAAGCAAATGACAGACATGTACAAGTGCTCAACTAGAATTGGAAGAGAAAAAAATCAAAATCAAATTGAGTGTGTCTGGAAAGGAAAGAAACGGATAAAAAACCAACCACATAGGATTTGCATGTAAGACAGAATTGACTCTAACTTCTTACTAATGTTAATATGTACACAGATATTGACTCAGCCCTATCACCTGGGGATCAGGTAGAAAGAAATAAAAATTTCTGCCCTAAGCCTAGAGAGAACAGATTCTACTAATCAGAAAACCAGGCAGCTGCCTCTCTATCACATGCCTACCAAAATAATTCATAGGGAACTGGTATGTCAGTGCTCACAGCATCCTCTGTAGGCATTCCTCTGATGAGACCACTGAGGAAACAGAGGGAGCCAGTGGAGCTGAGGTCCAGTCTCTACCACATCGTTCCCTAAAGGGCTAAATTATCTAGAGGTGGGCTAAATGACTGGACCAGACTGAGATTTCCAAAGTGGGCTCAATACATTTTTAAACAAATTTCTGAATCAAGTGGAGTTGAGCTTGTGAATAATCAGTATGATTAAGGAGAAATAAGTCACATTTTCTTTGCAAAATGGAAAGTGATGTTAATGAATGTTAACTCCTATGCAGGAGGAAATTTGAAAACCAAGGAGGGATGTCAGGAAGCAGAAAGAGAGAATGAGAAATAAATCAACAGGGTTGGTTCAATGTTTCAAAACACTTCATAGTTTTGACCTTCCTCCCACCTCAAGTTTAGACAAATGTGGGACAGGAACCAGGGCATTTTATCTCCTCGCTTTTCCTCTGCGTACCTTCTTTCTATACTCCCTCAACACTATCCACTAGGTTTTTCACCTTTTTAATATCACCCTTCTGCTTGCTCCTCTGCACAGATTTAAAACTTAAAGTCTAGTCTAGATAATAGTCCTCTTGATTGGTAAATAAATAAGATAAAGTAACTTAGAAAGTTATTTTCTCTTCTAACAAAATTTCAAGGCCAATTGTCTTGCTGTGGATGTTTAAAAAACAAAAATCCAATTTTGGATATTAGAAGCTATATTACCTTTTTCCCTTTGCCCTTCCCATTGTAATTATCCTAACAATTTCTCATTATTGGCCCTTCAACATTCCCCATCCCAGGAAGCTAGATGGCTCAGGCCTATGAAAGAAAAAGTTACATTTTCATAAATATATAATGGAATTATTAACTTTTAATACTTTCCCATTCCTTTAAATGTTCAAGGAGGACATTCTTTTCCAGTGACAAGGGCCAAGAAAAACCCAAAGAGTTTGATATGATCTAGCATTGCTAATTTAGTGTGTGTCTGCTTTGCCATATTTATAAGGGGTTTTGGATCCTCTGTTTGTACTTCCTACTATTCTATTTGCTTTCCTTTTAGGCAGAGGTAACATCTTCCTGTCTCAGGGTAAGATTTGCTTACATGAAAACAAATCTCAAGTTCAGGACCAAGAACTGATGGGATCAGGCCCCTCAGCTACAGCAAAAGCCAGAAGAGGACTGGACCATGGGCTAGCACTGCCTCCTGCCCATGACCCTGATACCACATCAGAGAAGAAAGAGGAAGGTGGAAGCCCGGTGCATCCACCTGCCTGCCCCGCTCGCCTCAGCATGAGAGTGCAGAGGCAGTGGCAGGACCAGCATCTACAATGAGTGGCCATACCTCAGTGGTCTAGGCAGAACCTGTTTAAAGTGCCCATGGGACTGACATCACAGGAGAAGCTACTGTGTTTCTCATTAATCACAAATTACATATGCAGGACAGTTTCTCTCTGTAGCTACACAATTGATATCCTATAAAAACTGCATTATCTTGTACTAGCCTAAGTAATGGTGTGCAAGGCAACCTTCCTTTCTTCCTTCCTTCCTTCTCTCTCTTTCTTTCTTTCTTTTTTTTTTTTTGGAGTTTTGCTCTTGTTGCCCAGGCTGGAGTGCAATGGTGAGACCTTAACTCACTCAACCTCTGCCTCCCGGGTTCAAGCAATTCTCCCACATCAGCCTCCGGAGTAGGTGGGATTACAGGCACCCACCACCGTACCCAGCTAATTTTTTGTCTTTTTAGTAGCAACAGCATTTCACCATGTTGCCCAGGCTGGTTGCGAACTCCTGATCTCAGGTGATCCACTGCCTTGGCCTTTGCCTCCCAAAGTGCTGCGATTACAGGCATGAGCCACCATGCCAGGACAAGTATATTTCAATATGAAAGACTCATGAGTTTTTATGCACACGAAAATGGACTTACCATCCAGTAAAGTTTCACAACATACTTTCCATAGCTATTGAACAAAGGCATATGACCCTTCACAGCCTTGCACAGAGAGTATATGTGTTCCCAGGGCTTCCAGGGGAGAAGAGGAGGTTCCCCTGAAGTCCCCTTAAAATAATTGCTCAAAATTCCTCCATTGAAGATCTTCCACACTGCATAGATTTCACTGATAATCCATCTCATCAGCTAGAGATAAAAAACATTAGGGTTAATTGGTTATTTTTCAGTTGTAGGTACTGTAATTTAGGGATAAAAACAGTAAAAAAATCCACTTCCAAGAATAATATTAAATTATACATGTAATGTATTCCATACTTTCATTTCTGATCTACAGAATAAAGTTATAGGTCTTGCTTTTGTTTTTGGGAAATACAGTCACAATACAAACTAAAATGTCTCATACTAAACATACTCAGCTAAGAAAGCTGTCTGCTGAAGTAAACTGTGGGTGATTTGGCACGACTTCTATTTGACACTGATATTTATATGAGTGGTGTGTTTGTGTGTGAGAGAGAGAAAGCTTCTGAAAATTGTGACAAATGAGCAAGCTACTCTTTTGTAAATGTTAGATATTTGATAAGGATATTATCTCTTGTATGTCAATAGGACAAATTAGAGAAGGAATGAGATGTGAAAGAATTAAAATGGGGTAGACACATAAATATACTGTAAATCCCACATTTCATGGGTTGATCTGTAGCTGTTGAAATGCTCTAAGTAAAACGTCCCCTTGCAGTGTTTTTAACAGGCAGCAAGGCCCAGTGGGTGGATGGACTTCAGAGTGGAAACAGAGATCAGGATTTGAATCCTCTTTCAGATCTTCACAGCCTTCTGCTGCTGGGAAAGTTGCTTCCACCTCTCTAAGTTGCAGTTCTTCATTGTAGAATGTAGATAATAGTAGCTATTTTTCACATTTTTTTTTGTGAGGACTAGAAACAGTATGTAAGAAATCTCTAGGTCACAGTGGGTGTTCAATGAAGCCATTGTTACCTCAGTAGTATCTGATTTTCTGAATTATTCATCTCATGTTTAACTGCCTGGTTTATAAGGAAATTAAATATTTAATATTGACCTTGCAAGATTTATGTTTCTCTTAATTTGAGTTATCTAGGAAATTCTTAATGTTTGATAAAGTAGAAAAAGACAAAACAGATATCATCCTGTATATCTGGAAAATTTATTGTAGAATATTTTATACTTTCCTTCCCTTGAAAAATGAAAAGCGAAAGTCTAAGTGGGATTAGGATTCATTAAATAGGTGTATTTTATACTAAAACATAAAATTATTTGGAGATAATTTTATACTAATATGTATAACTGGTTGAAGAAATATAATATTTTGATTTTAATATGGGTCAAGATATTGAAGATAAGAAAAAGTATTTTAATCAATATTGACTATGCCCCACTCCTCTGAGTCTTAGCAGAAAATAATTTTTAAAAGTTCTTGTTTCTGATTTAATTAACATAGAGGAGTGGAACAGGCCTGCTTGTGATGGATAAATCCCAACCCAACATGGGGCAGGGAGGTGGGGAGTAGGAGGTGGGGAGATGAGTTCCCACAGGAAGTAGGACAGCTGTGCTGAAAACCTTGCTGGTTTGGAAGAGGTATTGTAATCCAAGTACACCCCAATTTCCCTTGCACTATCACATCATACAACATCACTGTACCCTCCTCTTGACATGGCATAGGGCAGGATGGGCAGCCACTTCATGTCCATTGCTGGTCATGTGGATCTCAAGGAGAAAAGCCCAGAGGGAGAGAATACAGCTACTTTGAGACCAGGGGCAGGAGAACAGAGGCTCACTAAACTCAGTTAAAGAGACTTCATTTCCCTTTTGAATGTTGGTGTGTAAAATACCATTACCTTAAGTGAAATAAGCCAAACAAAGACAAATAACTGCATGATTTCACATATATGTGGAATCTAAAAATACAAAAGTCTGAGAAACAGATAGAGAAACGGTGGTTACCAGGGTCTGGAAGGAGGGGGATATGGGGCGATGTTGGTAAGGGGTACAAAGTTTTACTTCTGAAAGATAAGTTATGGAGATTTACTTGCAACAATGCAGCTGTAGTTAACAATATTGTATTGTATACCTGAAATGTGCTCAGAGAATAGATCTTCAGTGTTCTTAACACACATATACACACACACAATAACACACACAATAATACACAATATTAACTGGCAGACACAATAATAACTGAGTTGATGGTTATGTTGATTAGCTTAATTGTGATGAATATTTAACAATGTATATCAAACCATCAAATTGTATACCTTAAATATACACAATTTTTGGCCAGGAACAGGGGCTGATGCTTGTAATCCCAGCACTTTGGGAGGCCGTGTGGGAGGACTGCTTGAGCCCAGGAGTTCAAGACCAGCCTGGGCAATGTGGTGCGATCTCGTCTCTACCAAAAAATTTAAAATTAGCTGGGGGAGATGGCACATCCCTGTAGTCCCAGCTACCAGGAATCTGAGGTGGGAGGATCATTTTTAGCCCGGGAGGTTGAGACTGCACCGAGCTGTGTTCACACCACTGCACTCTAGCCCGAGCAACAGAGCAAGACTCTGTCTCAAACACCCACCCCCATATATATTTTTTGGTATTATATATATATATATATAATACCAAAACTTAAAGGTGAGCAAGGGAGAGTTGAAATCGACTGTCTGGGAATGGTTTAAGCAGGACTGGAAGTCATTTCATGGTGAGACTTTAGTTCATATTTCTGTACATACCTCGCTGCAGAGTAAATGTTCATTTGCTGAAAATAAGTCAAACGTGATTTCATTTTTCACAACTACTGGAGTCTGAAAAAAATATATATGTATATATTACTCCATAAGAAAAATAATAAAAAAGTAATTTAATGAAATAGTTTTAATCCATTTATGCCTGAAGTTGCAATTTTTTGAATTTTTGCAATCAGACCTTGGCAATGACCTTGAGCAGTAGGATATAAATAACTCCCACATGCTTAGCGTTCCAATAATGGAACACTAGGCATAAATTGGTTGGTGCTGGAAATAGGCCACCCTGATTTCAGTTCTCACAACCAGAGAAATAAGAAATAAACACATTCCTTAAGATAATTCTTAGAGCTATAGGTGATAAAAATGTAATTTAATGCCAATAAGATACAGTATTTTACTATAGGAGTAAAATACATATATATGCAGGTAAATTTTTATTTTTATTTTTTAACTTTTAAGTTTGGGGTACATGTGTGGGTTTGTTACATAGGTAAACTTACGTCATGGGGGTTTGTTGTACAGATTATTTCATCACCCAGGTATTAAGCCTAGTACCCATTAGTTATTTTTCCTGATCCTCTCCCTCCTCCCACCCTCCACACTCCAGTAGGCTCCAGTGTGTGTTGTTCCCTTCTATGTGTCGATGTATTCTCATCATTTAGCTCCCACTTATAAGTGAGAACATGTGATATTTCATTTTCTGTTCCTTATGCAGATAAACTTAGCATGAACAGATACACAAACTGAGAGATTAAAAAGTACTTTAAAACAGTGGTCCCCAACCTTTTTGGCACCAGGGACCAGTCTAATGGAAGACAATTTTTCCACGAACCAAGGAGTTGGGGGTGGTTTGGGGATGATTCAAGCACATTACATTTATTGTGCACTTTATTTCCACTGTTATTCCATTGTAATATGTAATGAAATAATTATACAGCTCACCATAATGTAGCATCAGCGGGAACCCTGAGCTTGTTTTCCTGCAACTAGATGGTCCCATCTGGGGGTGACTGGAGACAGTGACAGATCATCAGGCATTAGATTCTCATAAGGAGCATGCAACCTAGATTCCTCACATGCACACGCAGTTCACAGTAAGTTTCACACTGCAGTGAGAATCTAATGCTGCTGCTCTGACAGGAGGCAGAGCTCAGGTGGTAATGCAAGTGATGTGGAGCGTCTGTGAGTACAGATGAAGCCTTGCTTGTTCGCCCGCTGCTCACCTCCTGCTGTGTGGCCCGGTTCCTAACAGGCCACAGATTGGTACTGGTCCATGGACCAGGGTTGGGGACCACTGCTTTAAAATCTAAATCAACCACTGAAGCTAAACCTGAAAACTTAGTTAACGTCTGATAGGAGGGAAAATATCTTCATCTTGGATGACTAATATTAGCCATGATAGCTTTTCTCCCATTTAATGATTATTGTCTATTTTGTTAGTGTTAAAATTTTTTTTGAGATTGTGATAGCTTTTTAAAATCTTGTTCAAGTTAATATCCTGTTAGATTAAAAAATTATTTTAATGGTCATTATTTAATTAGTACACTTCTAAATCAGGTACCAATAAATAATAATAATATAAAACTAATAGGGAAATACAAATTGTAACTTTTTTAAAATGAGCTATAATTCATATCAAGTATATATATTTAACATACCAAATTAACATGAAAACAGTTTTGATTAGAGAATCAGGTTTTTAGGAAAAGTAACACTGTCAATTACTTTCACTCATCTATACAAGCAGCATCTTGAAAAGTCAATAAAAAAAGTTAGAGAAAAATTTACCTAAAACTACCTTAAAGGCTTGAATTGACTCTGCAGATCATAAATTATAAACATAGTTTCTTCTGGCTTGACTGACTGTGATGGAACGCTTCTCAAATGCCCCTATACTTCAGTGATTACCAAAGTTGATAAGCTATACATTAATAAGTATTAGATACCTCAAGTTTGAAGTATTAGTCTTGATAGCCTCCTGCTGACAAGTGAAAAGTAGAAATTAAGTTTGTAAGAGACAACAAATATTAAGGCAGAGGTCTCTACAATGGCACACTTTCACACTTTTACTGCCTATACCTGTACCCGGGACAGGATAAATCTTCAGACATCCTAATCTATTCAACACATTCAATGCTCAAGGGTCTGGGCCACTCATTTCTAGTTGTCAGAAATAAACAGGTCTGGTAAGTTACTCTGTGATCAGAACTTGTTAACCTTTTTGGTTGGAAGGGCTCATGTTTATTCTGCTATCCTAAAGTCAGGATTTTAAGGTATTTTATAACAGTGTAATCGAGTAGCTTAGCTTCAAAATGCATTTTGAAACTTTTTTTCCTTTCTTGCTGTTAGCCATAAAATATACTGTAAAACTTAGTTTCCCTCCTTTCCCACCAGGCATCTCCATGCACAGTGCTCACTTATCTAATTACATGTTTGCTTAAAAATCCCAGGGGCTACTTTTGAAATAAACCAGGCATAGAGACCCAGCTGCAGAATTCTCCTGCTTAAGTGGAGTTATGAACGATTAGTCTACCATTATCAGGCCAAAGTCAAGATGATATCAATGATATCAACAAGAGCTGCAGATGGGCAAATATTCAAGATAGCCATTGGAAGAGACTTGCAGACCTGCATCCTCCTGGACCGCGGGTACATGTTTCGCCTACCAAGTTTTCCTTCTTAAACTCCCTCAATTAGCCCCCAGAGCAAAAATTGTCTTTTAAGGGCATAAGCCTGGCCATTCCCCAACTTCTAGCATTTGAATAAAGTTACTTTCCTTTCACCACATCTTGTTTCTCGTGTTCTGGCCTCTGGGCAGTGAGCGGCCAAATTTGAGTCGGTTACTAATTTGGTGCCCTTTGTGAGACACTGTGTGTTTCAAGTGACTCAGCCTGTACGCCTAGTTTCCAATGAGTGGAGCAATTGCCTGCAGCAGTGTGCCAGGGATTATTTGTTAATGCTACCAGGCAGGGCAGGGGCCACTTGCAAATGCCAGCAGCTCATGGCTGGTTGTCCCCATACCTGGGACCAGCAGCTACCAAGACTGCCTTTGTCTCAGGGAATTTCCCTTCCCTCACGTTCATGGCATCATCTCTTGCTATCATTCTCTGTCTGTGTGAGGAAAGCAACATCTGGGAAGTCAACAGGCTTCAAGAACTGGGTAAGTCAACTGGAATGCACCTAAAAATCCTCTGTCGCTGCCATCTGGTTTCTCTAGCTGTCTAGACTTAGTGTATGTCATCTGTGCTGCTGTGTTGGCTTCTGTGACATCTGGACTTAATGCAGGACAATTAAACTGTGGTGCTGTCAGCATTTGAGACAAGGTCTGAGGACATTTCTCCAGTAACCCCTTTCAGGGATTAGTTTGGAGCACTCTGTCTGCGTCAGATCCGTTGGCGTTTGTGTCTGTTTAGTCTTGCCCCTACCTCTGAGGGTGCTTTGAAATGGTCTCAATTGCACCAGCCAAGACCAGGTCCATCGGATTGTCAGAATTCAGCAAAACAGGCTTCTCCTCTCCTCACTAGGGGAGAAACTATTTCCAAAATCCTGGCCCCTGATTTTTTTTTTTTTTTTTTTTTTTTTTTTTTTTTTTTTGGTGGGAGGGACTCAGGAGTATTTATTGTATCTGTGTCAAGCTTTGTGCAGGAAAAAAAAAAACATGTGAATTATTTTCTAGTTTACCTGGGACTCCAGCTGGTTACATATTGTGGCTTGTTTGTGTGAAACAAACTGATGGGCAAATTCCAATAAAAAAAGTCAGAGCTCAAATACTTAACCTGCAACTATAGAGTTAAGGAGAGTCTTCTAAAGCTCTCTATTTCTCTTTTCTTTTCTGCCTGTTTTGAATCTGCTGTTATTAAGCTACTGGTGTTGAAATAAAACTTATGATTTCAAGGTTATTCGGACATTTTATTTTTCTTATACAGTTCATCCAGTTTTGGCTAAAATGTAAACATTGGAAACTCATTTAAAACAGAAGACAAAAGGATAAAACATGTTTTTAAAAATGACAACAGCTTTACCCAAAATTTTGGTCCACAGCTATTATAGGATTACCTATCAGGGCAAAGAAAGTTTAGCCATGTGGACAGGTCCCAATTTTCTAAAAAATAACATGGATCCAGCTATCTTTCATAGGGCAGTGAGTTTTTGATGCTGTCTCATGGCTAGAGTTCTTAGATAAAAACTATTGGATCTTTGTGTGTGTGTACATATATAATACATATACACGTTTAGATATGTTTAGGTATATGTATGTGTATTGTGCTATTCGTTGTGTCTAACATACTACCAAACTGGCTTATGAGTAAGTGAGTATTCATAAAATAAGTCCAGATGCTTTTCAAGTTCATATAAATCTTTGGTAAATAAAACTTGTTTTAAAATTATTAGTACAATAAAGCCAGTCATGGTGGCTCACACCTGTAATTCCAACACTATGGGAGGTGAAGGTAGACAGATTGCTTGAACCTAGGAACTAAGAGACCAGCCTGGAAAACATGGCAAAATTCTGTCTCTACAAAAAATAGAAAAATTATCTGGGCATGGTGGTGTCTGTCTATGGTCCCAGCAACTTGGGAGGCTAAGGTGGAAGGACCACCTGAGCCCAGGAGGTTGAGGCTGCCATGAGATGTGATCATGCCACTGAACTCCAGCCTGGGCAAGAGTGAAACCCTGTCTCAAAAAAAAAAAAATTAGTAAAATAAAAATAAAAATAAAAATGTCTTCAGAATCATCAGTATACATTTTTGTCTAGGTAAGTTTTATGTTTGTTTGCCTTTGCTAGTTATTTTAAGGTGTCAGAGTTTGGCACAAATATTGTGAGACTATCAACCCAGCCAAAAACAAAATAATCTTTGTGTGACTTTTTTTTAAAACAAATAAGACTAACTTAATATTGTTGTTTCAATAAAAATGGATAAATCTTCTGAGTTATCAGCAAAATGCCCACGTATTTCACTTTGAGATTCTTATTTAGGTGAATACCCGATGTTTACAGACTTCATAAATGTTTAGCAAAAAAAAAAAAAACAAAACTTTAAATAATGACTACCTTTGTTTAATATCTCAGTTTTCAAAAGTAATCTATTATACACTGTTAAAAATAAAAAATTGAGTACATAAAAATGAGATAAATGCTTGTAGGAAGACTTTTTGTGTAATTTAAAATCTTAAAATGATTTTGGATGCTTGTTGGATATCTGGGTCATTTCCAACTAAAATGGGTTTAATATAATATATGTGTTTCTAAAATTTGTAAAATGGTTTCATTTATAAAATGCTAACATCTGATAAACAGTTAAGGATTTCTTGCTGCTTAGGTTTTCATGAAAATTTAACATTACTAAAAATATAAATTTTAGTTAATATATAATTCTATAAATTTTCTTCTTATTTAAAAATAATTTTATATAATTTAGGGGTTATTTAAAAGTTTTTTATTTAAAAAGGTGGCTTATATGGTTTGGGTCTGTGTCCCCACCCAAATCTAATGTTGAATTGTAATTCCAAACGTCGGGGGAGCAGTCCATTGGAAGGTGATTGGATCATGGGGGCAGATTTCTTCCTTGCTGTTCTCATCATCGTGAGTGAGTTCTCATGAGATTTGATGGTATAAAAGTATATGCACTTCCCCCTTTACTCTCCCTCTCTCCTGTCACCATGTGAAGAAGTGCTTGCTTCCCCTTTACCTTCTGCCATGATTGTAAATTTCCTGAGGCCTCCCCAGCCATGCCTCCTGTACAGCTTGTGGAACTGTGAGTCAATTAAGCCTCTTTTCTCCATAAATTACCCAGTCTCAGGTATGTCTTTATAGTAGTGTGAGAATGGACTAATACAGTGGCTGAACACAGTGGCTAATGTTTGTAATCCTAGCACTTTGGGAGACCAAGGCAGGAGGATCACTTGAGTGCAGGAGTTCAAGACCAGCCTGGGCAACATAGTGAGATCCTATCTCTAAAAATAAAATAAAGTAAAAAAAGGTAAATAAAAGAGAGATAGATTTATATAAATATGAAAGTATATTTTTGGTTAAAAAAGGTTATAAAAATAATAATTTTGTGTAAAAAACTCAGATGGTAAATGTTTGGCCTAAAATAAAATGACTTATTATTTTAAAAAGACCACATAAAACAAGAAAGTCCAAATGTGTCATATATGGTCTGTGTAAGTTGTGACAATGTTCATAAAGGGAAATTTATTTTTAAAACCTTTGTATGTGATAAAGTTGACTATATATATTTTTAAATTATTTTCTAGAGTCTTTCTAAAATTGGACCTTATGTTAAAGAAAGGTTTTCTTAAGGTATTTATTTTCTTTCAATAAAATTACTATAAGTTTTTATTTAAATTCTATTATTTGTTTCTTTTAAAAACTTATCAGAGTCATATTCAAAAATTCAACTTTGTTGTGTTTTGCTGCTTTCAACTCTTTCTCCCCTTCAGAAGGACTAAGATGATAACTTTCTCCTTCAGCTTTTTCATTAGATCCTGTAACTTTTTTCATCTGGTTCTAGTTGTTGTTGTGGCCTGATGCTAAAATGTTTTATCTTAAAAATAAAATAAAAGTAATAAATACAGAATAAACACAATGTTTTCCCAAACTATAACTTGATTCTGTGCTCTTCGCTTTTTTAATATGTCTAAATTTTTCAATGAAATCAGAAAACCTCTCATGTAGTTACTAAAAATTATGTATTCCCCTACTATACTCATAACCTTGAACACACTCTTCCTGTGTCTGATTCACTTCAAGTACTTTTTTTCATCATGTTTGACTTCTAGGTTATCTAAATGGGCTTTCTGTAAGGAAAATCAGTCACACTAAAAAAGATTTCTCTTTGCTTTTTGGGCAACCGGCTTTAAAATAAACAAGATTTTATATTTTATCAAGATAATTCCTATATTATTATTATTATTAGATTTTTGATTGCTTAAAACCCTGAGACTAAAAAGAGTTAAGGTTTTTACATCCATGTAACCTTATATATTGCCTTTAAAGTCTTTTAACTATCAGACCCAGGAATCTGGTTTTTTTTGTTTGTTTGTTTTTTGTGTTTTTGTTTGTTTGTTTGTTTTTTGTTTTTTGTTTTTTGTTTTTTTTTGAGACAGGCTCTCACTCTGTCACCCAGGCTGGAGTGCAGTGGCGCAATCTTGGCTCACTGAAAATTCTACCTCCCAGGTTCGAGTGATTCACATGCCTCAGCCTCCTGGGTAGCTGGGATTACAGTCATGCATTACCATGCCTGAATAATTTTTGTATTTTTAGTGGAGATGGAATTTTGCCATGTTGGCCAGGCTGGTCTCAAACTCCTGGCCTTAAATGATCCACCTGCCACAGCCTCTCAAAGTGCTGGGATTACAGGCATGAGCCACCATAGCCAGCCTGTGATTCTGTTTTGATCAAATATTTTGAGCCCTTTAACATCTTTGACAAATGTCATCAGAAGTTAAATTCTTCTAAATTCAGCCTCTGATTTGTTGCTGAAACTTATCAAAATTATAAAAATTAATCACTACAGGGTTGTAAAATATTTTTTACAACTTCCAGTCAGGTCATGGACTCTAGTATCACTACCTTCACCCCACTGAAAGGTTTCTTTTCAGGTGCTATTAACTAATCCTTCTGCTGTTAAGTTACAGAGTCTTGACTCCTGGGCACACAGATGCCTAAACAGCTGATAGCTCAACACAATAAAACTTAAAGACAGGTCAGTTTTGTAACCTTGCTTTTTGACTTTAGTTTGGGGCTCTTATATTACTTGAGAGGGCTTTAATATTTAATAAACACCTGTCTACCTCTATTCCTATCTTGCTTAAAACGGTTAATTGGCTGTAAGTCTTTTGACTCTAAGTCCCTTGGCTATAGGGGTGCCACCAAAGAACATGATGGCCTGGCACAGGTAGCCACACCAGCCTGACATTAATATGAGCCAAAATAAAACCTTGACCATTGATACTGCCTCTGGCATATCTTGCCCAAAAAGGAAAGGGGGAATACATACTAAAAAGTAACATCCTAAGGCCACCCCAAATTACTGGGCAGACCCACCTCCTTGACCAAGGGAACCTCAGGGAAAAAACTTTTTTACTTATCCAAATTTACAACATCATCATCTTGTGGAATTCACACCCTTTATTTGTATGAAATGTAAGCTATGTACTTATATTGAGCAGAGACTGAATATTGTTAGTAACACATTAATATTAAATACATTATATTAATATCACTGAATTCATATTCTTCATGTCAATGTTATCTAAAACTTAAAGTTATCTAAAACTTTAAGTTACTATAAGTAACTTAAAAGCATGGCTCATATATATTCTATTTATTTTATTTCAAATATCTTATAAGTAGGCATTCAAAAAATGCTCTGGCTGATAGGATATTATTTTTGCATCTTATTTAATCTTTGAATTTAGATTCATCTGATTTACTCAACTAGTAAGAGTACTTGAAAAATATGGTGGACATATCATATTTTCTTGAATTAGTAGCAGTTCTAATGGGTAAAACTTTTAGGAATAAAGTAAATTTCATATAGATACATAGCTTTAATGGATTCCACAAATGTACAGAACAATCAGCTTTATTACAACAATTTGACTACTTCTAAATAATTTAGCCCACTGGTTTCCTATGCATTAGGTGAAAGTAATAGCAGATTCAAGGAAGAAAAAAGGCATTAGTCATAATTAAACCCTTGGAAAAGCTAAATATATTCAAACTAACATATAGCTGTTATGAGGATAGACTAGGGTGTCTGAAGATTTAATCTCTTAATCTCTATAAGTGCTATTTAAAAATGAAAGTTTATTGAGTGACATTCCAGTCAATATGATTCACGTAGTTGGGCATGAGATCCAGAAATAAAAGTGTTCTCTGGAAAATGCTTCAAGAATCCCTGAAATAGAGGTATCTATGTGCAAAACTCTTGGGCTGGAATATTAATGCTAATAAGCACCAGAGAAAACAGACCTCCATGCTATGAATGTTCATGCAAAGAAGCAGAAAGAAGTGTGTCAATCAGAAATTAAGGAACAACTTCATACAACATTTTAAGTTATAAGTTAGCATTTTGGAGGGAAGAAGAAAAATCAAGGTTCTAAACAAAAATTCAATAATCTCTTAGAAGCCAGTACAAGAAACATTAAACTATATTAATAAACATTTAGTTTTGATTAGTTGCCAAAAAGCAATTACTTTTTTACTGAATACCACAAGAGAAAATTACCCTAAATCATTACAAAAAATGCAAATTTTTATCAGTAGGATAATACATCCACATAGTAAGTATTTTATTTAATAGAAAAAACTTTCTTACCTGACTAAATAAAATATCTTGTGGACGTTTCCAGGAATAAATTTTCAAGGATGGTGGTAACTCAATCTTTCCTTCAGGGTCCTCAAAAAAATGCTATATAAAAATAAATTGAGTTTTTTCTGCATATTCTTTTATTAAAATAAAAAAACAATTTTAATAAAAAAGAAATAAGTGCATAGATTTGGTCAATCAATAAGCCTTTACAAAGCAGTTTGTGTTCTTGTTGTAAGAGCTAATTCATGGAGTATTTAAAGAATACTGAATTTAACAATACTGTATATAATTAACATATACTCATGGATTACATGTAATATGCTCATTGATTGTTGAGTAGCATTTTGATTGTATAGGAGGTAGCCTAAACAAGCATGAGATGCTGTGGAAACTATATTAGATACGGCAGGAAAGCAATTTACGATGGGCCAGATATGGCCACATTCTCCATTGAAAAAATTTTTTTTACCTGAATGGAGAAGATTTAAAAATATTTATTTAATTTTCAACTGTAAGAATCATAAACAAGATTATATATAAATAAAACTTGGATGTTTGACCTGATTTTCATTTATTTATTTTAAAATTAATTTCTTTCCTTTAAGATAATTATAGATTCATATACAACTGTATGAAATAATACAATGGGTTCTTATATGCCATTTACCGAATTTCTCCAATTGTAACATCTTGTGAAACTGTAATACAGTATGACAACCAGGATATTGGCATTGACAGTCAAGATATAGAACAGTTTTATTACCACAAGTACCATTCCTATGCTTTTTCATAGCCATACCTATGCTCCCACTCCCCATCCCATACTCCATCCCTAATACTTGGCAACAACTTCTCTGATCTCTATTTCTATAATTTTGTCATTTTATACTGAATGTCTATATAACATTCAGTAATGTTACATAGATGAAATCCCACCATTTGTGGTATAATTGTAAGGAAGTATGAAATCTTTTGGATTGGCTTTTCTTCTGTCAGTATAATTCTCTGGAGATTCATCCAAGTTGTTTCAGGTATCAATAGTTTGTTCTTGTTTATTGCTGTGTAGTATTTCATGTAAAGACGTTTGTTCACCAACTGTTTATTGAAGAACATGTGGGCTGTTTCCAGGATTGGGCTATTACCAATAAAGCTGCTGTGAACATCTGCATAACATAAGTTTCCATTTATCTGGGATAAATGCCCAAGAATGCAATTAATTCACTAATTTTTGAATTCTTATTATGGGTCAGTTAGTGAGCTCTGGAGAAAGAATAATATCCAAATGCGTACTCTCAGATGCTAGCAATCTAGTAAGTTAAAAATGCTTTGGGCAAGTACTATGTAAGAGTTCTAAGAATTTATAGGATACTGGGAAATAAAGGTCCTTACAAAAAATAATATTAAAATTGACAGGTTATAAACGAAATGCCTGAGGAATATAAACTATCTATACAGGAAAAAGAGCGACTAAGTTTCACCTGAGTTAATAAGGACAGGAAGAAATAAATACTGTTTTGTGATTTTCACAGTAATCACGTTTTTACCCTAAGGCCGGTGTGGCCTGAGAAACAGGTTATATTTGAGGGCATTGTGTACAGTTTGAACATTATAAGTATATATGTTTATCTGGAAGATGTAGTTTATTGTCACCTTTAAGATACTGGAATAATTTGAATGAAGACAAAATGTACGTCAATATCCAGGCAAGAGTCTCAAAAAGCGAGTCATCGAAAAATTGACTGAATTTCCAGGAGCTGTTGCTACACTTCTGGGGTTTCCCCACATCATTTTCCCCTCCTTTATTGCAAATATTTAGTTGTTGTAAAGTCCTTTATCTAACAATGCCAAAATCTAAGATGTTCATGGATCAGTTTCTATTATTTGATTTCTCCTCTTCGTTTTCAGTCGCTTGATTCTGTTTCTTTTCATGTCTGTTAATTTTTTTAAAAGAACCCTTTTATTTTATAATTGGGGGTACATAAGAAGATTTGTTACACAGGTAAACTCATGTCACAGGGGTTTGTAGTACAGATTATTTCATCACCCAGGTATTAAGCCCAGAACCCAATAGTTATCTTTTCTGCTCCTCTCTTTCTTCCCAGCCTCCCTAATCAAGTAGATCCCAGTGTCTGTTGTCTCCTTCTTTGTGTTCATAAGTTCTTATGATTTAGCTCCCACTTAGAAGTGAGAATGTGTGGTATTTGGTTTTTTGTTCCTGCATTAGTTTGCTAAAGATAATAGCCTCCAGCTCCATCCATGTTCCCGCAAAAGACACGATCTTGTTCTTTTTTATGGTTTCATAGTATATACGTACCACATGGTGTATATGTATCCATAGTGTATATGTACCACATTTTCTTTATTCATTCTGTCATTGATGGGTATTCAGGTTGCTTCCATGTTTTTGCTATTGTGAATAGTGCTGTAATGAACACTCGCATGCATGTGTCTCTATGGTAGAATGACTTATGTTGCTCTGGGTATATAGCCAGTAATAGGATTGCTGGGTCAAATGGTGGTTCTAGTTATACCTCTTTGAGGAATTGACATAGTGCTTTCCACAATGGTTGAACTAATTTACACTCCCACCAACAGTGTATAAGCATTCCTTTTTCTCTGCAACCTCACCAGCATCTGTTCTTTTTTGGCTTTTTAATAATACCCATTCTGATAGGTGTGAAATGGTATTTCTAATAATAAGTAATATTGAGCTTTTTTTCATATGCTTGTTGGCTGCATATATGACTTCTTTTGAGAAGTTCATGTCTGTTTATGTCATTTGCCCACTTTTAAATGTGGTTGTTTGTTTTTCTCTTGTAAATGTGTTTAAGTTCCTTATAAATACTGGATATTAGACCTTGGTCAGATGTACAGTTTGCAAATATTTTCTCCCATTCTGTAGTTTGTCTGTTTACTCTGTTGATAGTTTCTTTTGCTGTGCAGAAGCTCTTAAGTTTAATTAGATCCACTTGTCAATTTTTGCTTTTGTTGCAATTGCTTTTGGTGGCTTCGTCATGAAATCTTTGCCCATTTCTATGTCCAGGATGGTATTGCCTAGGTTGTTTTTCAGGGTTTTTATAGTTTTGGGTGTTACATTTAAGTCTTTATTCCATCTTGAGTTGATTTTTGTGTATGGTGTAAGAACAGGGTCTAGCTTCAATCTTCTGCATATGGCTAGTCAGCTATCTCAGCACCATTTATTGAATGGGGAGTCTTTTCCCCATTGCTTGTTTTTGTCAGCTTTGTCAAAGATCAGATGGCCGTAGATGTGTGGTCTTACTTATGGGCTCTCTACTCTGCCTCATTCGTCTATGTGCCTGTTTTCATATCAGTACCATGCTGCTTTGGTTACTATAGCCTTGTACAATAGTACAGTTTGAAGTCAGGTCGCGTGATTCCTCCAGCTTTTTTTTTTTTCCCGTGGGATTGCCTTGGCTATTCAGGTTCTTTTTTGGTTCCACATGAAGTTTAAAATAGTTTTTTCTAGTTCTGTGAAGAATGTCATTGGTAGTTTGATAAGAATAGCATTGAATCTGTACATTGCTTTGGGCAGTATAGCCTTTTCAATGATAGTGATTCTTCCTATCTATGAGCATGGAATGTTTTCCCATTTGTTTCTGTTTGAGCAGTTTTGTAGTTCTGCTTGTATAGATGATGTTTCACTTCCCTGGTTGGCTGAATTCCTAGGTATTTTCTTCCTTTTGTGGCAATTGTGAATGGATTGCCTTTCTGATTTGGCTCTCATTTTGGCTATTGTTGGCGTATAGGAATACTAGTGGTTTTTATACATTGAATTTGTATCCTGCAAGTTTGCTGAAGTTGTTTATCAGCTGCAGGAGCTTTTGGGACAAGACTGTGGGGTTTTCTAGATATAGAATTATGTCGTCTTCAAACAGAGATGTTTGATTTCTTCTCTTCCTATTTGGATGTGCTTTATTTCTTTGTCTAGCCTGATTGCTCTGGCTAGGACTTCCAATACTATGTTAAATAGAAGTGGTGAGAGAGGGCATCCTTGTCTTATGGTGGTTTTCAAAGGGGAATGCTTCTGGCTTTTGCCCATTCAGTATAACGTTGGCTATGAGTTTATCATAGATGGTTCTTATTATTTTGAGGTATGATCCTTCAATACCTAGTTTATTAAGAGGTTTTTACATGAAGGGGTGTCAAATTTTATCAAAAGCCTCTTCTGCATTTATATAGATATTCATGTGGTTTTTGTCTTTAGTTTTGTTTATGTGATGAATCACATTTATTGATTTGCATATGTTGAGCCAACCTTGCATCCTGGGGATGAAGCCAACTTGATCATGTTGGATTAGCTTTTTGATGTGCTGCTGGATTCAATTTGCAAGTATCTTGTTGAGGAATTTTGCATCGATGTTCATCAAGAATATTGGGATGAAGTTTTCATTTTTTGCTGTGTCTCTGCCAGGTTTTGTTATCAAGATGTTGGTGGCTTCATAGAATCACTTGGGGAGGAGTCCCTCCTTCTCAACTTTTTAGAAGAGTTTCAGTAGAAATGGTACCAGCTCGTCTTTCTACATCTGGTAGAATTCAGCTGTTAATCCATCAGGTCCCGAGCTTTTGTTTGGTTGGTAGGCCCTTTATTACTGATTCCATTTCAGAGCTTGTTATTGGTCTGTTCAGGAAAACAGTTTCTTCCTGGCTCAGTCTTAGGAGGGTGTATGTGTCCAGGAATTTATCCATCTCTTCTAGGTTTTGTAGTTTGTGTGCATAGAGGAGTTTGTAGTAGTTTCTGATAGCTGCTTTTATTTCTGTGGGGTCAATAGTAACATTCCCTTCATCATTTCTAATAGTGTTTATTTGGATATTCTTTCTTTTCTTTGTTATTAGCCTAGCTAGTGGCCTATTTTATTAATTTTTTCAAAAAACAACTCCTGGATTTGTTGATCTTTGAAATTGTTTTTCATGTGTCAATTTCCTTCAGTTCAGCTCTAATTTTCATTATTTCTCGTCTTCTGCTAGCATTGGGATTAATTTGTTCTAGCTTCTCTAATTATTTCAATTGCGAAGTTAGATTTTTAATTAAAATTACGGACCTCTTCACGAATTTGTGTGCCATGCTTGTGCAGGAGGCATGCTTGTGCAGGGGCCATGCTAATCTTTTCTGTATCATTCCAATTTTAGTATATGCACTGCTGAAGTGAGCACTGTATACTGATTTTGCATCCTGAAACTTTGCTGCAGTTGTTTACCATCTGAAAAAGCTTTTGGTCTGAGACTATGGGGTTTTCTAGATATAGAATCATGTCATCTGCAAACAGGGATAGTTTGACTTCCTTTCTTCCTATTTGGGTGCCCTTTATTCCTTTTTCTTACCTGATTTCTCTGGCTGACTTCCAATACTGTGTTGAATAGGAGTGGTGAGAGAAAGCATCTTTGTAATGTGCCAGTTTTCAAGAGGAATGCTTCCAGGTCTTGCCATTCAGTATAATGTTCGCTGTGGGTTTTTCATAGATGGCTCTTTTTATTTTGAGGTATGTTCCTTCATACCTAGTTTGTGGAGAGTTTTTAACCATTTCCCATTTGCACCCAAGAATACTCACCAGCAGTGCTTGCAGTTGCAGTGTTTATCCCAAGATAAAACATGCTTGGTATAAGAAATTCTTTCGCCACCTCTAAATATCAAAGCACTGAATTCCTACATCCTGTTCAAGAAGGACAATCCTGAGCACATGATTAGCCATGTAAACCTCAGATTCCCGTTGATTAAAAAAATGCTGGAAAAGCATCACAAGCCAGGGCAGCAACATCTTCAAGGTCACCCATGTTCTGGTGATGCCACACCTCTTCATCTGTCTGGAAGACATTTTGCCCAAAAGCCTATTACCAATATCAGGGAAATGAAATGAAATCCAAGTAGTCACTGCAAAGTTTGAGGCTTGCACAACAGCAAGGATGGCAAGACGATCTGGAGAGAAATGCATTTTTTTTTTTTTTTTTGCAGAAGGTGATGCTCCACTTTGTGTTGTGCTGTGCTTTGAAACTTATCACATGATGAAAATTATTAAACACTGATCATCACATACATTTCTGTTACATTAAGATTATAGACAAGTTCTGTTTAGAAATAACTCTAAGAACAGTTTTTTTTTTATTATACTTTAAGTTTTAGGGTACATGTGCACAATGTGCAGGTTAGTTACATATGTATACATGTGCCTTGTTGGTGTGCTGCACCCAGTAACTCATCATTTAACATTAGGTATATCTCCAAATGCTATCCCTCCCCCCCCCCCCCACCCCACAACAGGCCCCAGTGTGTGATGTTCCCTTTCCTGTGTCCATGTGTTCTCATTGTTCATTTCCCACCTATGAGTGAGAACATGTGGTGTTTGGTTTTTTGTCCTTGCGATAGTTTGCTGAGAATGATGGTTTCCAGCTTCATCCATGTCCCTACAAAGGACATGAACTCATCATTTTTTATGGCTGCATAGTATTCCATGGGGTATATGTGCCACATTTTCTTAATCCAGTCTATCATTGTTGGACATTTGGGTTGGTTCCAAGTCTTTGCTATAAGAACAGCTTTTTATGTTTTATTTTCACATTGAAAATCAGTCAGATTTGCATCAGCTTCAAAGAGTATGTTTATGTAAAATTAAATGAATGCTGGAAGCGAGCTGCACTTTTTTGTAATGGGAAAAGGGTTAACATCAAGGGGTATTGAATTTTATCAAAAGTCCTTTCTGCATCTATTGAGATAATCATGTGGTTTTTGTCTTTAGTTGTGTTTATGTGATGAATCACATTTATTGATTTGTGTCTGTTGAACCAAACTTGCATCCTGCGAGTGAAGCCTACTTGATCATGGTGGATTAGCTTTTTGATGTGCTGCTGGATTTGGTTGGCAAGTATTTTGTTGAGGATTTTTGCATTGATGTTCATCGATGATAGTGGCCTGAAGATTTTTTTGTTGTTGTGACTCTGTCATGCTTTGCTATCAGGATGATGATGTTCTCATGGAATGAGTTGGGGAGGAGTGTCTCCTTCTCAATTTTTTGGAATAGTTTCAGTAAGAATGGTAGCAGCTTGTCTTTGTACATCTGGTAGGATTCACATGCTTAATAATTTTTAATGAATGATATACACTGAGTATAAAAATTATATGGGCTCTAGATAATGATGTCTTATTCCAGAAAGGAGAATTTATTTCCTTTTGGCAGGCAGAGTACAAGATGTACCTGACTCAGTCAACACTGGGTTTCAGGATTTGGTAGGGCTGGTGTAACTTTGGTTTGCCCTTACTTTATACAGAATGCTATAGCTGGTCTGGTGCACTGTCTAAAAAAGCTGGAGTGTTTATTGGGGTCCCTTTACCTTGATGTTCCTAAATTTCTCTCCAAAGTACCATTAAATCGTTTTTTATTTTGCCTTCAAGCTGCTGCTGTTTATTCATTTGCTCCGTAGCTTATCCTTCATACATAGTTTAGGAGTTGAGTAAATATCTTAAAATAAAATTATATGCAAAATTTTCAGATTGCTTCTCTGCCATTAGCCCTGGGGTTTTGGTTCAAGTTTTGACTGCTTTAGCAGCCCTAGGCAATATCCTCTGTCTCTCCAGCTCAAGAAACTGACACAGGTCCCAGGACACTACTTTGTGCTTGATCCCTAATCTTCATGCCTTGAATTAATAAATGTACTTGAGAGAGGAAAAAATAAATAAACAAAGAACAAGGTGAATGTGGAACTGACCTTGTTGTGGTTCCCTTTTCCCCAGGATTTGGGCCTCCCTCATTAAGAAGTTAAGGGTAATCTTTCCACATTATTTTTCTTATCAGTGTCCCTTATAATAACCTTACAGTACTGCATAATATATTCACAATTTGATTCACCCGTCACATCCTTTAGTTCTCATCACTTAGCTAAAGAAGTGAGACCTTTCTCTGGACTTAGAGGAAAGGGTGAATTCATCTGAGGCTGATTTCCTGATGACTAGCCTCATGTCTAGGGAAGCGGCCTTCTGCAAAACTCCCAGGATACTTGTTATATTTGGATGCTTAAGGAAATTAATCTTAATAAAAGATGGATGCTGCAAATCAGCGCTAAGAGCTACCATGCAACCATTTCATGCAGATGCGATCACAAGGCTTGGACACTGTCCACCACTCACTCCAGTGAAGGAGCTGCTACTTCAAGAGTTATGGATGAGATTGTGACAGACTGGAAGTGGAAAGTAAGGTTCTATCCTAGATTTTACCACACCCACACACACCCACACCCACCCACACCCACACACTCACACTCTCTCTCTTTCTCTCTCTCCATAAGTTTTGAATCACTGAAAAAAATACATAGAATATGCCAATTTTCATTTGAACCCAGAGAATTCAAAGCCCTCTGCATCTAGAAGTTCCATAATCATTTTAGATGTGGTACAAAGAATTTGTTCCCTTACATGTTGCTAATTTGGAACTTGTTTAGGTGCTAACAGAGTCAGCAATACCTTTATTGCGTACCTTTTGTTAACAAATTGACCAATATGAATCATGCAATTTGTGATACAATCTTTTGTGAACAAAACGTACATGCTAAGATTTACTATTTCAGAATGCTTTATGTAAAGTTCAACTAAACCCTTCTGGCACTTATGTTTATGTCTTGAAAATTATATTGTTTTCTATAAATATTTTTAAATGAATTGTTGCACCCAATAAATAGGTCATATTTTAAATGAAAGTCAGACCCATAGCCTCAACTTTGAAGTCTTTAGAAATAAACATTTTTAAATAGGCAAAATAACATAAAGTAATATAATTGGAAAATGCAGAAATTCTACATTTTGGCACCAATCTCAGGGACATGCCATGTTTATGTGACAAAAAGTAAACGAAGAGCAGTGAGGATCTTTATTCACATATCTTGAGGAGATAGTAGGAGGAATCCAGTTTTCATCTCACAGTTAACATTTCTTTTAAAAAATTATCTTTCCTATTATCTCCCGGTCACAGCTTCCAAGTCCACTGTGGATTTTCATTTTCTTAACCACTCTTTATAAATGCCTGTTTCCAAACTCTGTCCAATGTCGACTGGCTAACCTGCCCTATCTCTTAATTTTTCCTTTATATCATTATGATTCTTTGGTCATATCTCTTTCTTCCAATTTACCCAAATATGATTCACCAAAGCTCAGGACTAAGGCTTGGAAAGACAAAGTGGGAGTGTTGGGAGGTGGGGCTGATAGAAAAATAAAAAATTTCCCTTTTGAATGCACATTATGGAGAAGAATGAATACCTTTTTATGTTTACAAATCTCATTCCATTATAAAATTAAAAACCAAAATGAAACCTAGTCACATTTACATCTACTTACAAATACAGGGCTTTTTCCTGTTTTGTCCTTTTCTTTTGCACCTTTGCCTGCATCCCACTTTTCTGAATTTATGTCAGCTTCACTCCACTCTGGCCAGAGTGGGAATTTCCCCTTCTTTTGTTCAGTAGAACCAGATTGTACATTACTGCCAAAAGGATAGAAACTAGACAGAGACAGAGAGTGGGTGGGTTAGGTTTAATTAAAATCTCTGAGATCAAATATTGGATTAACTGCATAACATAAATTTGTCTTCTCAGCTGAGTCATACTAACTACATTTTTAATACAATCATACTTGTGGCTAGGCAACTTCTACATGTTAAGTTTCTAAAGACTAAAATAACCCCAAAGAGTTTATTTCATAAGCTAAAGTGGAGCCTTAGTCCCTACTTACTGATGCAAGAATTTTAAAAAAAGATATACCGTATTATCAAATATCATGAACACAAGCAACATATAGTTGATAAATAGCTGTATTCTCAGACTGATATATAGAATCCCATCTATATATCTATCAGTCTACATATATTTTTTTGAAAATTAAGTCATTTTGCATATACTTTGTATAAATTGCTTTTTACCACTTCATCAGCATATTGTTAATATTTCTCATGCTCTAAATATTTATCTAAATACTAATTTAAGGATTGTATAAGATCGTCTTGTATAAATATACCTTATTTCATTTAACTAAGCTTCTATATTTGGAAATTTGGGGGGGTGGTCGATTTTTAAAATTTTTTAATTTTTCACTTTCATAAACAAGACTATGGTGGTTGTTCTTATTGCAAAATCTTTGTGTACATTCACATTATTTTGTTACGATAGATTTTAATGAGGAGCCTTCCTATACCAAAGTGTATGCATATTTAAGGTTTGTGATAGATTTTGACTATTTTTCTACTGAAAAGTTGGGCTTGTTTCCTACTTTAAATATATGTGTATTACAATTCCCATATTGCTAAACCTTGAATGCTACTTTTTGTTCATTTTCATGATTTTTAAAGTGTAAAATAGGTATATTATTTAATGTTCAAGTTTTTAACGCCTTGTGAGGCTAAAACCCTGCCTATAGACAGTGGGTGGGACAAGCAGTTAAAAAAAACAGACTAAAATCTCTATACAGCTCATATCCTAGTGGGTTCTGGATACAAATTAAATATCATAAATTAAGTAAAATATACAGTATACAGTAACACACTGCTTATCAACAAGGATACATTCTAAGATATCCGTTGCTAGGCAAGTTTGTTGTCCCTCAAACAACAGAGTGTGCTTACACAAACCTAGTAAGCACACTACACAAATGGTATAGCCTGCAACACAGCTAGGCTAGATGGTACAGTCTATTGCTCCTAGGCTATAAACCTGTACAGCTGTTACTGTCCTGAATATTGCAGGCAACTGTAACACAATGGTAAGCACCTGTGTATCCAAACACATCTAAACATAGAAAAATACAGTAAAAACACGGTATAAAAGTTAAAACAGAATGGTACACCTGTATAGCACACTTACCATGAGTGGAGCTTGCAGGAAGTTGCTTTTAATGAGTCAGTGATTTGAGAGTGACTGTGAAGGCCTGGGAGATTACTGTACACTACTGAAGACCTTATAAATATTGTACACTTAGGCTACATTAAATTTGTAAAAAACAATTTCTTTCTTCAATAATAAATTAGCCTTAGTTTACTAGATGACCACTCTCATATATGAGGCTCATCAGTGGCCAAAGTGTTGTTATGAGGTGTGTGATTGTATTCAAACATGAAACTCCTAAAGGGAAATATAACACAGTACAGGGGAACTGATGAGTTAAGGTACTCAATTTTTAAAACAATGGTTAAGGAAAATATCTATAGTAAGGCAATATTTAAATAATAAAAGAAAGTGAGGGATCAAGCTATGTGACTATCCATCAAAGAATGCTCCAGATACAGGAAGGAAGAGTATTCCAGATGCAGAGGACATCCTGACTTAGTTTAAGAATAATACAGAGGTCAGTGTGCCTTAAGCTGTGTGAGTGGGAGGAAAAGCAATGGAAGTTGATTGCAGAGAGGTACTAGATGCAAAGATTGTCAAGGTGATCTAAGGCAGGGGGAGGGTCTTTACTCTGAGTGAGATAAGAAGCCAAAGGAGGGTTCTGAGCAGGGGTCCAAAATGATATTATTAGAATTTGATGATAATTCTTGCTGCTATGTTGAAAAAGACCAAAGGAAGAAGGGAGACAATGTAAAATGCTTTGAATTAAGAGGAGAGAACTAATGGGGGTTTGGACTGGCTTGGTGACTGAAGAGAAGGCAAGAAATAGATTCTGCATATACTTTAAGATAGAGAAAGCAGATAGAGTTGATATTTCCTTATCGACAGAAGACCGTGGTACGGAGAAAAATTGAGGCAGGGGGCATAAAGCAGCAGTGCGCTGATAAATAAGATTGTGCTTTAGATGCCAAAAATACAGCCTTGAGGATACTGAGTAGGTAATTAGACATCAGATTCTGAAGTTTGGGAGAAAAAATTGGACAACAAGTGAAACTTTGAGAGTCATCAGCATCTAGGTGGTATTTAAAGTCTTAAGACTGGATGAAATCATCAAGAAAATAACTACTTAAGGAAGGGGCACACCCAGGGATGCTAACAGCTGGTATAGATTGAGCAAGAACAATTCTAAATGGACCCTGACCACAATGCTGGGTCAGTGTCTTCAAAGCCTCCAACTAAGCCAGACATTTATTCCGTATTTTATGTAGCAGGAACAAATATTTAAAGTCCTCAGGGAAAGTCAGGGACCTAGGGCAAAAGGCAGAAATGTCTGGAACTCAAGAGTTATTGGTAATTGTTAAGACTACCTACTGAGAAATATAAAAATATTTCAATCTCTAGTAATCAACAGAGCTGTATTTCTGCCCTGGTACTCTATATGTAAGGGTCAGAGAGATAAGGAGGAAATAACTGTGAACACTGAGAAAAGAAAGCAGTCACTGAATGTGGTAGACAGAATAACCACCAACCCCTACTTCAAATACATACACATCTTAGTCCCTGGAAACTGTGGATCTGTTACCCTCCATTGAAAAAGGGAGCTTGTAGATGTGATTAAGTATCTTGAGATGGGGAGATTATCCTGGATTATCTGGGGATCTCAGAGTAACTCCAAGAGTGCTCAAAAGTGGAAGAAGGAGTCGGAGGAGGTTAGAGGGAAAAGTGGCTGCTGAAGAAAGCAAAAAGGGAAAATTGCTGGGTTTGGAAGATAGACAAAAGTGGCCACAAGCCGAGGAATGTGGTCAAGTTCCAGAAGCTGGAAAGGCAAGGAAGTGGATTTTCTCCTAGAGCCTACAGAAAGGAAGGCAGCCCTGCTGAAACCTTGTTGGTAGCTCAGTGAGACCCATTTTGGACTTGTGACCTCGAGAATTCCAAATGAATTTGTCAATGAATGTATGTGATTTGAAGCCATTAAGTTTGTGATATTTTATTCTAGCAGCCATAAGAAACTAATACACTGAGGTAGGAAAAACACACTGGAAGGCGATACCTTGGAAACCAAGTGAAGGTTTTTTTTGTTTTTTTTTTTTTTTAATGAGGAGATGAGCAGGAGACCTAAATGCAGCTAGCAGATCAAGAATGATAAAGTGAAAACAACTAAATGTTGAATTTAGAAACAAGGAAACATCTCTCAAATATCACCTCCTGGAGGTGAGGGCTGGAGGACTTTCATGAACACCCTATTATAGCAAGGTGCTTCTCTGCATCATTTCATATTGCTTCATTTTTATACTACTCAGTACTCTCACTAATCCTTTATTTATGTGCTGACTGTGTGCCTCCACAGGTAGGATTTTGTAAACTCCACTGTGGTAGGAACATTGGATTTTTTGTTCATTTCCTCCATCTCCAGTAACTGGGATGGTACCTGGACAAAGTAATAAATCTATCTCTATCATCTATTTATATGAAATGAAACAATGAATGCCTGTAATTTACATTTCTGATATACCTAATTGAAACTCTGTCAAATTTTTATATGTAGGTAGAGATTGAGCAGAAGCCTACCGATCCTGTTTCCATTTCTTTTGCAGTTTGGCTAGCACTATGTTATGTTGTATTCCAGCTTCGGGTTCATAAACATTCTGTGAGATACTTCTCTCTCTCTTCCTGCTCAATGTCTGTCTGAGTCCTATAAGGACACCTTACAAAATGGTTATACCACAAAATGAAAGGAGTCAGGAACTCTTATTCAGCACATGCAAAGCCAGCACTACACACCTGGTCACACTCTGGTATGAAAGAAATATTCTTTGTAGTGTTAAGTCACTGAGATTTGGTTTTTCGATACTGTAGCATTGTCTCAAATAAAGAGTGCAATTATACTGTTAGGATTTGGATTTCCTCTTTCGTATCTTTAATCATTATAAGCACTTGTATGCTATATTACAGATTATTCTTCTATTATCTTAAATTTTCAACTTTCGATTCTCTTGCTTGTTGTGACTTTTGCCAATATTTTGTATATTCTTTAATTATGAGCTTATCCTTATCAGGGTTTTCTTCTCCTCCTATCCTTTTCCTCCAGGGTAATCCTGTGTTGAGAAGATGTTCTTTCAATATAACATTGAGTTTTCTTCTGTCAGAAACCCCAAATGAATAAGCCATCCAGGAACCCATAGATAATGTAAAAGCAAGTCACAAACCTACTCAAGTCTCAGTGAAAAGTTAGCTTTCTTATAATCTTTCTGTGCTTAGGTGGATTTTCTCATTCATCTCTTTAAAGACAATTAAACTCTTGGAAAGCCGTATTTTCACCTAAGATTGGAATACTTCCTTTCCTCATTTGGGCACAAGACCATGTACTGTATATATTGAAACAAAAGATTCCAATTTTTTAAGACTGATAGGACTTCCCTCAGAGCCATAGCACTCTGATCATCAATTTTTCTCTTCACTTCTGGATCCTGAAGATCCTTATTCTTTTTTTGTTTGTTTGTTTGTTTGTTTTTTAAGAAGCAGGGTCTCACTATGTTGCCCAGGCTGGCCTCTAAGTCCTGAGCACAAATGATGCTCCTACCTCAACCTCCCAAGTAGCAGGGAGTGCCAACATGTCTGGCTTTTATTCTTTATATACATATTTATAAGTATTTGTATTCTCTTCTTTTTTTATGGCCTTACTATTTTGTCAGGCTGGCCTCTAACTCCTGGGCACAAATGATCCTTCCACCTTGGCCTTCCAAGTATTTAGGACTACAAGCATGTGTGATCCTGCCCAGCTTGCTTTCTTTCTTTTATTTTTATTTTTATTTTTATTTTTTGACGGAGTTTCACTCTTGTCACCCAGGCTGGAGTGCAATGGTGCGATCTCAGCTCACTGCAACCTCCGCCTCCCGGGTTCAAGCGATTCTCCTCCTTCAGCCTCCTGAGCATCTGGGACTACAGGCACCTGCCACCATGCCCAGCTAATTTTTGTATTTTTAGTACAGGTGGAGTTTCATCATGTTGGCCAGGCTGGCCTCAAATTCCTGACCTCAGATAATCCACCTGCCTCAGCCTCCCAAAGTGCTGGGATTATAGGCACGAGCCACAGTGCCTAGCCAGCTTTTTTCTTTATACACACATTTATAGGTATTGTTATTCTTTTAAAATATTAATCTACTATCATCCTAGAAAAGAAAGTCTGAAAATTTATACATTGTTAAAGAGGATTCCTAAGTAGCATGTAAGAATGTATTATAAAGGAGTAAGGATGACTAGAATAGTTTTCAGGGAAAAATGAAGCTTTTTTCATAGTATTAATTGAAAAATCAAGGCATAAATTAGCATATTACAATATCTCTGTTGTATAGAGTATTGACACAAGCCTACAGATAAAAATAAATTGGTGATTTTGTCCATCAAAACCAGCATAAAATTACTTCATTCAGGAAGCTAAAAATCTGAAAATCTATTTATTTAAAGGAAGATATCATTTCTTAAATATAAGGGCTTTACTAAGATTATGTTTTGCTTCTTCACTGTCAAGTGTAAGTAAATCTTCCAGCTCCCTCCTTGAAGCTATTAAGCTTTATCTCTAATTGGCCTACTTTCCTTGTAACGCATCAAATATGTGTCCATCTATATTGAAGATTACTTAAAAAGACTCTCATTAGAGGTGTCTCCTACTAGCCCAATAGATCACCTACAGTGTTATACACACAATATAAACAAAGCTGAAATGCAGCTCTAGGTGAAGTATACTGTGGACTTCAAATGACCACGTAAACTCCTGCTTTTGAAACTCTCAGCACCGTTGCCTTTGAAGTCCACTGGCAGAATATACCCACTGCTCTAGTATAGTTGGGATCTTTTAAGTATTCAAAGTGCATTATTCCGGTCTCATTAATTCTGAGAATAAGATGATTTTTCAATATTTAAATATTTCAATATTTAAACTCACTGTATGTGGAAGGGCCTTTAACCCTATACTTTTATAATATATTACTTTTGAATGTTTTAATACAATTTGCAATTTTAATGAATTAAATAATTTACTAGTATCTGGGCATATTGCTATGTAAACAAATTAACTTTGTGAGTAACTCTGATTTTCCTGTTATTTCAGGTTTGAATTTTCTTAAATTTGGTAACATTTATTTCCCCGTATTGCCAGTTCCTAAATCTTTCTGAATTTTTTAGGAAGGCAAACAGGTAGACAGATAATTTCAATATGAAATGATGTGTGCAGAGATGGATGCTTTCCCAGGTGATAAAGAGGGGGACATTGTGCCCAGTGTGAGGCAATTCAGAGAAACTTCTTACGGAAAATAGCATCTGACATGCCTCGAAGGATAACTACAAATTTTCCAAGTTAAAAAAGGAAGAAAGGGCATCACTAGGAGAAAAGAACAGCATACGAGACAGTTCAGAGGCAAGAAACAGCAGAATAGGTGCAGAGATCTATAAGCTGTTCAGTACTATGCAAGCTTATAGTATAATGCAGGGAAGAGGAAATAAGGTTAAAAAAAAACAAAAGGTAGGCAGGAAGTTCCTGACTGAGGGCCTTGCTGAGGAGTTTGAACTTTGTTTTCTAGTCAGTGTTGACTTTGCTCATTATATAGAGATAAACATTTTATTCTTAGATATATATTATTTAATATTTACTGGTGTTTCCAAATGTAAAGCTTGAGGAACACTGAAGTTGAAATACAACTTAAAAATGAGCATAATAATGATAATAATTTTAAAAATTGAAGGTAATTTTCATCAGATCTGAAAGTTGCACTCTTCTGAGGAAAATTCTTATATGGAGATGTTTCTAATAAAGAAAAAAATAATTTTTAAAAATATAATATACAATGTCAATTATATTCAATTTGAGATTCCATATTTAATAAAAAAATTCTATCCAAACCTGTGATATATTATTTGTGAATACATGCTTGTAAAAACGACTTTAAAATCTATCATCTTAATATTTAAAAACAAATATAAAATTTAAACAATAAGCCTGAGGAATATCACTTCCATCTTAGAGTCACAAGGACTGGATTTTTGTCACCTAAGACAACACAAAATCTGGACAAAATACATGAAATTGATTTTAAAGACATGGTCATGAAATGATGCGGGTCATTGGTCCCTGAAAGATGAGAAACAAATGATGTGAGCCCTTTAACGACCACAACATATGGCCCTGAGAGAGTTTTCAGATTGCAAGGTAACACAGGCAAATCCCAGCATATTTCTTGCATACAGAAGGAGATGAGTGTTTGGGGGACAGCAAGGTATACTTTCAAGGACAGGATCCTAAAAAAGAGAGAGTTTCACAGATAAAACTCCTGAGATCTTAATAGAGTCACCTACGAATATTTAGCAAAGTATTTGTTAGCACATGTGCATGAGGAAGCTACCCAAAGCCGGGGAAAAAAAGTACCTGAGAGAATCTGAGGACTCACGCTGAACCAGAACTAGTATTACTGTGCCCAGCCCCATAGGATACTGGGAAAAGTATCTTGCTTCACCTAGAGAGGCAGAAGTATCTTGCCTCACTCAGAGAATGATTGGCCCTACATTAAACATGGCTCTGGTTCCACGTAACAAATCTTAAAACCAAGATATGAAAGAATCAGACTGTTTCTAAGCAACTAAACGTACCCTAGCACAAAACTCAAGAATATTTATAGGGCTACAAAAATATCCAGCATCCAGTAAGGTAAAATCATAATGTCTGTCATAAAATAAAAAATTACCAGGCATAAAAAAATAAGAACATATGACTAATGGAGAGAAACAACAACAACAGAAACAATTGATTGACTTAAACACATAACTGACACAGGTGTTAGAATTAACTAACAATCATACTAATATAGTTATTATATTCGGTTGGTGCAAAAAGTATTTGTTGTGGCAAAAACAGCAATTACTTTTGCACCAAACTAATATCTGAATTCCATATTTTCAAAATGTTAAGTAGAGACAAGGAAGATAAAAAAAGATTCAAATACCTTAAATAAAAACTAAAATGAGAGGAAAGAAAACACACAACAAGAGTATTAATGGTGGATTAGACATTGTAGGTGATTAATGAATTTTAGAAGATAAAAAATAATTCAAAATAAAAAAATTGGAAATAAGCAGAGCATCAGTACATTCTGACATAACTTAAAGTAGTCAAATATAAATGTAATTGTTGTCACCAAGAAGGGATTAAAGACAGAAAATACTACTTGAAGAAATAATGGTCATTAAAAATTTATGAAAACTATAAACCTACAGAGTTAAGAATTTCAATAAAACTCAAACTCGAGAAAGACTGAAAAAAACCATGCCAAGTTACAATACAAGGAAGTAACTTAAAAACAGTGGTAAAAAAATTTTAAAAGCAGTTAAAGGAAAAAATAAACATTATATGCAGAGGAAAAAAGAAAAGAACAGCAAAGTTCTCATTAAAACACAATGTAAATGAAAAGATAATGGGCAACATCTTTAAAGAACTGAAAGAAAAGAAGAAATATGTCATACTGAAAGTCTACACCTATTGAAAATGTCTATTAAAAGTAAAAGGGACATAAGTGCTTTTTGTCTGACATAAAAAAGCTAAAAGCATTCATCAGCAGAAAATAGTCAACACAATAAAAACATAAAAGGAGGCCTCAAGCAGAAGAAAAATGATAGCAGATGGAAATATGGATCTGCCAAACAAATAAAGATAATTTTACGTAGTAAATACATGGCAAAATACACAAGTTATTTTATTTAAAAGTATCTTTGTAATATAATTAACTGCTTACATAAACGGATGATGTAATACGAGGTTTATAATATATATAACATCAAATATATGATGATAATAGCATAGTGCTTGGAGTTGATAAGTATACTATTATAATGTTTTTTATATTCTATGTGAGTTGATATAACATCACAAGAGGGTAGAGTGTGATAAGTGATGTATTATAAACTGTACAGAAATACCCCAAATAACAAAACAAATAGATATAGCAAAAAGCCAATATAGGAGATAAGTAGAATTTTTAAAATATAATCTATCCAAAATATAGCAGAGGAATAAAACGATAAGAACACAAGAAAGAGAGACAAAAAGAAAATGAATAGCAAAATGATAAATTTAAACAGTTTTAGCAATATTAATAATCACATTAAATGTAATTTAACCCACTGTATGGAACAGAATGTCAAATTGATTAAAAAAAACAAGATCTAACTGTATTAGTCCATTCTTGCATTGCTAGCAACACACACTGAAGACTGGGTAATTTATAAAGAAAAGAGGTTTAACTGGTTAATGGTTCTGTAGGCTGTATAGGAAGCATGGTGCTGGCATCTGTTTGGCTTCTGGAAGCTTTAACTCATGGCAGAAGGCAAAGCAGTATCAGGCATGTCAGATGGCAAGAGAGGGAGTGAGAAAGAGGGGGAACCACACTTTTAAAAACAACCATATTGCATGTGAACTCAGAGCAAGAACTCACTTATTAACACAAGGAAGGCACCATGAAACTCACAAAAGACCCACTCCCATGACCCAAACACCTCACATTTCAACAGGATATTTGGAAAGGACAAATGTCCAAACCATACCACCAACTATGTGTTATCTCTAGGAAATCTACTTTATAAAGATGTCAATAATAAAAGAATGAAAAAATATATGCCATGTTAACACTGAACAAAACTAACATTATAAAAAGTAGATTTCAGAAAAAAAGAATATTACCAGTAATAAAAGAATGTGATTTCATAATAACAAAAAGGAAAATTCACTGGGTGCATATAACAATCCTAAACCTTCTTGAATTTAATAACAGAGCTTCTTAACACATGAAGCAACAACAGAAGTACAACAATCAACAGGCATATTTATAAACACAGTAGAGAATCACAATATGATTTTCTTAATAGTTGATAGAATAAGCCAATCAAAAATCAATAAGGCTATAGAAGATAAAGAATATAGAACAGTATCATCAAAATTGACCTAATTAACATTTATAAGACACTCTATCACAACAGAATACACATTCTTTTCAAGTGCACATAGCATATTTATCAAGATAAACCATAATTTAATACATAGAATGTCTCAATAAACTTTTAAATATTCAAGTCACACAAAGTACATTCTCTGACCAAAGAGATTTATACTAGAAATCACAAACAAAATGATCTGGAAAATTCTAAGATATTTGAAATATAAATAACACACTGTAATTAACCTATGTATTAAGAAAGATATAAAAAGTTAGAAAACATTTTGAATAAAATAAAAATGAAAACACAGCAAATTAAAATTTGTGGAATGCCACTACAGTAACATAGGGTGAAATTTATAGGACGAAATACCTAGTCAAGTATCAAAATAATACAGCAGTTTCCACCTTAAGTAAGAAAAAAAGAGCAAGTCCAAAGTAAATAAAAGTAAGTAAATAATAAGAATTAAAGCAGAAATCAATAGACTAGAAAACATAGAAACATTTTTTCTCTAAAAATAAATGTAACCAAAAATCCAGTTATTTGAGTATATAAATAATAGAGCAGATCAAAGACCACAATTTATAACAACCTTTCATCAGATTGATCAAGAATATAGGAGAGAAAACACAACTATCAATATCAGAAATCAAAGAGAAGACATCACTACAGATCCCACAGATATCAAAGGGATAAAAAAATTACAAGTCATTCTTTATCCAAATATTTGATAACTTATAAAGTTATCAATTCCATGAAATATGCAAACTAACAATATTCACTAAAGAAGAAATAAATTGGATTGGAGATATGAATATCTCTGTATCCATTAAATAAAATAAATTTGTTTCTTAAAAATCTTTCCACAAAGAAAACTCCAGACCCAGATGGCTTCACTGGTTAAGTATACTAAATATTTAAGGAAGAAACAGCACCAATTCTCCACTAACATATCCAGAAAATTGAAGAAGAGGGAATACTTCCTTATTCATTCCATGGGCCAGCATTACCCAAAAAACAAAACCAGACAAGACATCAAAATAAAAGAAAACTGGAACCCAATATCTCTCATGAACATAGATGCAAAAAATATCTAGACAGATCAAATAAAGCAGATCAAATACTACAATATGTGTATTAAAATACATCATGATCAATTAGAGTTTATCCCAGGAATAGTTAGTTCAATATATGATAATCAATCAATGTAATTCATCCTATTAACAAACTAAAAAAAATTATGATCATCTAAATATGTGGAGAAGAAACATTTGAAAAAATTCCAGCAGTCAATCCTGATCTCAAAAAACAAGGAATAGAAGGCAACTCCTTTAACCTGATAAATGACATCTACAGAAACCTGGAACTGACATCATACTTAGTGATGTAAGACTGAATGCTTTGCCCACCTAATTAGAAATAGGACAAGAATATACATTCTCATTTGCAGATGACATGATTGTAACTATGTAGAAAATCTATTGGCATGTATTAAAACTTTCATAAATGATAAGTGAGTTTAGCCATGTTTCAGGATACAAGGTAATATAGAAAAATAAATTGAACTTTTGTGCACTGACAAGAAGAATTCAAAATTAAAAATCAATAATAATATTTCCAATAATATAAAGATAAGAGATCCTTGGGAATAGATGTCATATTTGTTGCTCAAGACCAGTAGACTGAAACTATACAACTCTGGTGAGAGAAATTAAATAAATTACTTAAATTCAATAAATACTTAATAAATGAATAGATAGACCATATACATATGTTGAAAGATTCAATATAGTTAAGACATCAATTCACCCCAAATTGACCAACAGGTTTGAGATAATCTCAATCAAAATCCCAGCAGGCTTTTTTAATATAAAGAATTTGACAAGTTGATTCTAAATCTCATATGGACCCAAACGGAAAATAGAATAGGCAAAACAACTTTGTAACAGGAGAAACATATTCAAAGACTAACAGTTCAAGTCTCATATTAACACCACAAGGTAATGGCATCAAGATACATAAACAGATCAAAGGAACAGAAAATAGTAACAAAATAGGCCCATATTCATATGGACAGCTGATTTTCAACAAAGTAACAAAACAATTGAATAAAGAAATATTAATATTTTCAACAAATGGTGCTAAAACATTGAATATCCATATGCAAAATAAACATCAATTTACGCTTTGCATTATTTACAAAGATAAATTCAAATATACTGAAATGTAAAACTTACACTATAAAACTTCTAAAACAGGAGAGAATCTTTGTGACCTAAGATATGCCAAAGATATCTTGAATATAACATTAAAGACAAATTCCATTAAGTAAAAAATTTATTAAGATTTCATCAAAATTTAAAATTTCTGCTCTTCAAAGGACACTATTAATAGAATAAAAAGACTGCCACAAACTGAGAGAAAATATTCGAAAAGTATATACCTGGTAAAAGGTTTGTACCCCTTACAGCCCAATTAAAAATTGGCAAGCTATTTGATCAAATACTCTAACATAAGAGTACATGTGAGTTGTGTGGCATGTAGAGTATCTAAAATGGCCCCTCAAATACGATCTGGTCTAATCATCAAAGCTATGAATATGGCATTACATTGTTGGCTATGTGATGATATATGGGATAGTTGACCTTAAAATAACAAAGATTGTCTGTGTGGATCTGATCTTGTCATAAAAACGTAAATGAGCTTGAAAGTGGATTCTTTCCAGAATCTCCAGGTAAGAACCCAGCCCAGCTGATACACTGATATACAGCTTTGTAAAGCCCTAAAAAGAGAAACTAGCTGAGCCCACCAGAACGTCTTTGCTACAGAATTGTGAGAAAATAATGGCTCGTGTTTCATGTAACTAAGTTCCTGGTAATGTTTTACAGCCATAGAAAACTAATACTAATGGCAAATAAACACATGAATAGGTGATCAACATCAGTAGTCATTAGGGAAATTCAAAATAAACCAAAATTAGCTACTGTTGTATACCTATTACCAAGGCTAAAATTAAAAAGATAAACCATGTCAAGTGTTGAAAAGGATGTGGAGCAACTGGAACTTTCATATAGTGCTGGTGGCCATGTAAAATATAGAATTTTGCAAAATGGTCCAATAGTTTCTTAAAAGCTTAAACATATAATACCATATGATATAGCCATTCTACTCCTAGATAATTCAAGAAAACTGAAAGTGCATGTACATACATGAATATGAATAGCAGCTTTGTTTGTAATAGCTAAAAACTAGAAATAGCCCAAAATGCACAACAGTAGGTAAATGAAAAAAAATCATGGAATATCCATTCAATGGACAGTGAATATTAAAATAATTATGAGTGACAGCAAGATGACAGAATAGAAGATCCTAAGCATCATCACTTCCCCCACAGAAATTCAACTTGAAACTATTAAAAGACAAGAATATCTCCCTAAATTCACCAGAGCACAGAGGGAAAGTAGAGAAACCCATTAGGGCATCAGAGAAGTTGTGACTAGAATAGTCATTTTAGACTGTGCCAGCCCCTCTCCCAAGCTGGCATAACCACTCAAGAGGATTTCTCTAGACCTGTGGTTTCCATGGTGATTGGAGGAAATGAGAGGTGGACGGTCAATCTCCTCACCTTTTGGAATCTTCATGGGAAGCCCACCCTGACTCCTTTCCAGGGGAGCAATTGGGTGTACCAGGAAAGCTGAACTACCTGTGATGAACTGGGCACTAATCACAGTAACTGATGCATGGATTTTGGCAGCTACTTTGTGCTCCAGTCAGTGGGGGTGCCACATTAAAGAGACTGGCCAGTCTCTTTTATGTGCCACAGATGGCACAATCCATGGGAATGCCTAAATCCCTAGCTGGATTTTCCTGGCCTGGAAAAAAACTAAAAGATCAGAATTAATACCTAGTGCCAACTTAAGTCTTCCCAAGACCAGAAAACAATGGCAGGGATGCAATATAGTTATGGGTCTAAGTTTAAGTTTTGGTGCTCACTGTAAGTTTTTTCTACACGAGGAAACAGTAACAGGGCAACATGTTAGTTATAGTGCAGTGTTTTAGTCCTGGTGCTCAACATAAGTTCTTCCCAGGATGGAAAGCAACAGTAGAGCAGTGTTTAAGAGTCAATACTAAGTAGTAAAAGTCTAAAACCACCAAAGAATGTCAGCAAAAACTGGAAGTGGCTGTCTCATCAAATGCTCAGGAATCAACATAAGAGTTGCGAAAACTCAGGAAATATGACATCACCAAAAGAAACCAACAAATCTCCAGTAATTGACCCAGAAGATTTGAAGATCTATGAGATCTGGCAGAGTATTTAGAATAATTCTCTTAAAGAGGTTTAGAGAATCACAGAAATACCTGACAGAAAACTAAATAAAATTTGGAAAACAATCTAAAAACAAAATGAGAAATACGACAAAGAAATAGAAACAATTTTTCAAAAACCAAATAGAAGTCTTAGCAATACAGAATAAAATAACTGACCTGAAAAAAATCATTAGAAAGCTTCAACAACAGATATTCTCAAACAGAAGAAAGAATTAGCAAGCTTGAAGATGGAACATATAAAATTATCCAACCAGTGGAGCAAAAAGAAAAAAAAAGAATAAAAGTGAGTGAAGAAAACCTACAAGAATTATGGGACAAGAGAATCAAGTGAATTAATATCTGTGCAATAGGAATTTCTGAAGGAAACAAGAAAGAAAAATGCCTAGAAAGCATATCTAAAGAAATAATGGCTGAAAATTTCCCAAACCTGGAGAAAGATTACAACCTTCAGGTAAAGAGAGGACGCTCAGACATAACCAATCAAATTCAACCCGAAGAGGGATTCCCCAAGGCACATCATAATTAAGTTACCAAAAATTAAAGACAAAGAATCATCAAAGCAGCAAGAGAAAATAAAAATATCACATTCAATGGAGTCCCAATATAACTTTCAGGGGGCTTCTCAGCATAAATCCCGCAAGTCAGGAGAGACTGGAATGTGATATTCAAAGTGCTGAAGAAAAAATACTGCCAAACAGTAAGATTATACCCAGCAAAGCAATCTTTCAAACTCAAAGGAGAGATAAAGACTTTCCCAGACAAACAAAGGCTGAGGGAATTCACCAACACCAGACTTGTCTTACACGAAATACCAAAAGAGAGTTTTTCAATACAGAAGAAACTGGATGCTAACATATAACAAAAACATCTGCAGTTATTAAACTGACTGGTAAAATAAGAAAAAAGAAATCCAGAATATTCTAAAACTGTAACTGGGCTAAGTAAACCATTTATACTTTTAATAGGAAGTCTAAAAGACAAAAGTATTAAAAATAATTACAACAGTTAATTAGTAAATAGTAAATAGAAAAAGACATAAATTGAAATACCAAAAAGTCACAATGTTGGGATGGGGATGATGTTGAAGTTGAGAATTTTTGTTGTTGCTTTCACTGTGATCAAGATTAAGTCATTAGCAATTTAAAATAACGTGTTATAACTGTAAGATATTTTCTGTATGCCTCATGGTAACCATAAAGCAAAAACCTATAATAGATACACTAAAAATAAATAGCAGAGAATCAAAACATACTGCTAGTGAAACTTATTTAGCTATAAAGAAATACAGTAAGAGGGTGGGAAAAGGAAGAAAGGATCTATTTTAAAATCCCAAAAACAAGTATCAAAATGGCAGTAATAAACCGTTATCTATCAATAATAACCTTGAATGTAAATTGATTAAATTATCCTATTAAAAAATAGAGTGGCTGAATGTATTTTTAAAAAATGATCCAAATATTCTGTCTATGACAAACTCACTTTGCCCATAAGGACACATACATACTGAAAGTGTAGAGATGGAAAAACATATTCCCACAAATAAAAACCAAAAAAGAGCAGAAATAGCTATACTTATTCAGAAAAAACAAACTTTAAGTCAAGAATTGTAATATATCTATATCTATCTATCTATATATATATGGTTATTACATAATGATAAAGGGGTAAATACAGCAAGAGGATGTAGCAATTGTAAAAATATATGCACCTAATACTGGAGAACTCAGATATGTAAAGCAAATATTAATAGACATAGAGGGAGAAATGGACAGCAATACAAGAGTAATAGAGGATTTCAATCCAATAGAGGATTTCAGCATTGGACAGATGATCTAGACAGAAAATCAACAAAGAAACATTGGAGTTACACTGCACTCCAGATGAAAGAGCCCTAACAGACATTTACATAACATTTCATCCCTCTGCTGCAGAAAACACATTTTCTCAACAGCACATGAAACATTCTCCAGGACAGACCATATGTTAGGTCACAAAAGAAGTTTTATCAAATTTTAAAAAATCAAAATCATATCAAGTATCTTTTCTGACTATAATGGAATAAAACAAAATGAAAGCAAAAGGAATGCTGGAAACTGTAAAAATTCATGGTGATTAAACAACATGCACCTGATCAACAAATGTGTAACTGAAGAAATTAAAAAGGAAATTTAAAAATTTATTGAGACAAATAAACATGGAAACACAAGAACTGCAGGATATGACAAAAGCAGTTCTAAGGTGAAAGTTTACATGAATAAACACTTTCATCAAAAAAGTAGAAAGACCAAATAACTTAATAATGCACTTCAAGGAACTAGAAAGGCAAGAACAAACCAAACACAACATTAGTGGAAGAAAAGAAATAATAAATATCAGAGCTATTTCTGACGAATAAAAATATACAAAAAATCCACAAAATAAAAAGTTCATTTTTTGAAAAGATAAAACAAATAGAGAAACTTTTAGCTTGACTAAGAAAAAAAAAACCGTAAGACTCAAATAAATAAAATCTGAGACAACAAAGGAAACATTATAACTACAAAAATACAAAGGATAATTAGAGACTGTTATGAACAACTGTAAACCAACAAATTGGTGTTATGATGGAGACCTTTATGATAATCCAATTTCATTTAATAAACAGTAAATATATTTTTCTCTTCTTTATGATTTTCTAAATAACATTTTCCTATCTCTAGGTTACTTTATTATAAGAATGCAGTATATATAACATATACATATGACACACAAAATATGTGTTAATCAAGCTTTTATGTTATTGGTAAGGCTTTCACTCAGCAGTAAGCTACTAGTATTTAAGGTTTTGGGGATTCAAAAGTTATACACAAATTTCTACTGTGCAGGGGTTGGTGCTCTAAGCCCCATGTTGTTCAAAGAACAACTGTCCTGGCAAACCGAATTCAACAGCACATTTAAAAAATCATATACTGTGATAAAGTGGGATTCAGCCCAGGGATGCTTGGATGGTTCAACATATGCAAATCAATAAGAGACGCATAGCATCAATGGAATCAAGAAGAAAAACCATATGATTATTTCAATAGATAATTGAAAATGCATTTGATAAAATTTAATAACCCGTCATGATAAAAACTCTACATAAATTGCGCATAGAAGGAATATACCTGAAAACAATGAAGGTCACATATAACAAACCCACAGCTAGCATCATACTAAATAGGAAAAAAAAATTGAAAGCCTTTCCTCTAATATCTGGAACAAGACAATGATGCCCACTTTTACCGCTTTCATTCAACATTGTATGGGAAGTCCTAGCCAAACCAATTAGGCAAGAGAAAGAAAGAAAGGGCATCCAAATTGGAAAGAAAGAAGCCAATTATACTTGCTCCCAGGTGACATGATCTTATGTTTAGAGAAACCTAAAGACTCCACCAAATTACAGAACTGAAAAATGAATTCAGGAAAGTTGCAGCACACAAATCAACATACAAAAATAGGTAGCATTTTCATACACCAACTGTGAACAATTGAAAAAGAAATCAAGAAAGCAATCTCATTTATAATAGCTAAAAGACAATAAAATACCTATAAATAAATGCAACAAAAGAAGTGAATGATCTCTACAAAGAAAACTAAAAAACACTGATAAATAACATTGAAAAGGACACAAAAAGATGAAAAAAAATCTCATTCTCATAAATTGGAAGAATTATTATTGTTAAAATATCTATACTAGGCGCAGTGATCTACAGACTCAATGCAATCCCTTCCAAAATACCAATGCCATTCTTCAGAGAAATGGAAAAAACTATTCTAAAATTTGTATGGAGCCCCAAACAACACAGAATAACCAAAGCAATCCTCAATGAAAAGGACAAAGCTCGAGGCATCACACTACTTGACTTCAAAATAGATTACAAAAGTATAATAACCAAAGAAGCATGGTACTGGCAAAACAACAACAACAACAAAACCAGACACATAAACCAATGAAGCAGAATAGAGGACCCAGAAATAATTCCACACATTTACAGCCAACTCATTTTTGACAAAGGCACCAAAAACATACATTGAGGGAAAGAACAGTCTTTTTAATAAATGGTACTGGGGAAATTGGATATTCACATGCATAAAAATGAAACTAGACCCCCACCTTTCACCATATGCAAAGATCAAGTCAAAACGGATTAAACATTTAAATGTAAGAATTGAAACTACAAAACTACTAGAAAAAACACTGGGAAAATGCTTAAGGTCATTGGTTTGAGCAAATATATATATTTTTAAAATAAGACTTCCAAAGCACAGGCAGCACAAACAAAAATAGACAAATGGGATTATATCAAGATAAAAAGCTGCTGCACAGTACAAGAAAACATTAACAGAGTAAACAGACAACCTACAGAAGGGGCAAAAATATTCACAAACCATCTACTTTAGTATCCATTAATAACTAGAATATATAGAAAACTTAAACAACTCAATAGCAAAAAAAAAAAAACCCAAATAATACAATTAAAAAATAGGCAAATTATCTCAATAGACATTTTTCAAAAGAAGACATACAAATGGCCAACAGGCATATACAAAATATTCAACATCATTAATCATCAGGGATATGCAAATCAAAACCACAAGAAGACACCATTACACCCTCAGTTAAAAATGACTGTTATCAAAAAGACAAAAAATAACAAATGCTGGCAATAATGCTGAGAAAGAGGAATGCTAGTACACTGCTGGTGGGAATGTAAACTAGTACAGCTACTATGAAAAACAGTAAGGAGTTTCCTCAAATAAACAAAAATAGAGCTACCATATGATATAGCAATCTCACTAATGGATATATATCCAAAGGAAATGAAGTCAGTATATCAAAAAGATATATGCACTTCCATATTTATTACAGCACTATTCACAGTAGCCAAGATATGGAATCAACTTACATGTCCATCAACAGATGAATGGATAAAGAAAATGTCCTATTTAGCCATAAAAATGAAATCCTGTAATCTGCAGCAACAAGGATGAAACTGGAGGACATTATATAAAGTGAAACAAGTCACGCACAGAAAGATAAATATTCCATGTTCTCACTTATAGGTGGGAGCTAAAAAAGTTGATCTGATGAAGGTAGAGAGTAGAATGATGGTTACCAAAGGCTGGGAAGGTTAAGAATTAAGGAGAGCAAAGAGATATTAGTTAATGGGTACAAAAACACAGTTAGATAGAAGGAGTAAGTTTTAGTGTTTGATAGCACAGTAGAGTGACTATATTTAACAATAATTTATTGTATATATCAAAATAGCAGAAAGAGAAAATTTGGAGTGTTCTCAACACAAAGATACAATAAATGTTTGAGGTGTTGGTGATATGGTTTGGATGTCTGTCCCCTCCAAATCTCATGTTGAAATGTGATTCCCAGTGATAAGGATGGGGCCTGGTGGGAAGTGATTTGACTGTGGGGGTGGATCCCTCATGAATGGCTTAGCACAATCCTCTTGGTGATGAGTGAATTCTTACTCAGGTCACGTGAGTTCTGGTTGTTTAAAAGAGTCTGAGATTGGCTGGTGTGGTGGCTCACGCCTGTAATCCCAGCAATTTGGGAGGCCAAGGCAGGGGGATCACGAGGTCAGGAGATCGAGACCATCCTGGCTAACACGTGAAACCCCGTCTCTACTAAAAATACAAAAAAAAAAAAATTAGCCGGGCGTGGTGGTGGGCGCCTGTAGTCCCAGCTACTCGGGAGGCTGAGGCAAGACAATGGCGTGAACCCGGGAGGCGAAGCCTGCAGGGAGCCGAGATCGTGCCACTGCACTCCAGCCTGGGCGACAGAGCGAGACTCTGTCTCAAAAAAAAGAATCTGAGATCTCCCCATTTACTCTCTTGCTCCTGTTCTTGCCATGTGACATGCTGGCTCTCTGTCACATTCTGCCATGATTATAAGCTTCCCAAAGGCCCCATCAGAAGTTGAGCAGATGTTGGTACCATGCTTCCTGTACATTCTGCAGAACTGTGAGCCAATTCAACCTCATTTCCTTATAAATTACCCAGCCTCGAGTATTCTTTTACAGCAATGCAACAATGGCCTAATTCAGATGGATATCCTAATTACCTTGACTTGATTATTACACATTGTATGCATTTATCAAAATATCACATTACCCTATAAATATGTACAGTTATGTATTAATAAAAATAAAATGAAATAAATAATTATGATTACAAGAAGCCACACAAAATGTGTACATGGGTTTGATTCCGTTTATATAAAATTCTGGAAAATACAAACTAATAAAGTGACAGAAAACAGAAGGGTGGTTGCTGGGGACTGATAACAGGAAAGGACAGGATGAAAGGATTACTAAGGGCAGAAGTAAACTTTTTAAAATGATAGATCTGTTTATTTTTTGATAGTGGTGAAGGTTTCATGTGTACAGATGCACATCAGAACTTATCAAAGTGCATCCTTTAAATATGTGCAATGCATTGTATATCAATGTTATATCAAAAAAACTGTTGAAGGAAGGAAGGAAGGAAGGAAGGAAGGGAGGAAGGAAGGGAGGAAGGGAGGGAGGGAGGGAGGGAGGGAGAGAAAACAAGTTTGGGGATAAAAGGGAACTTCAGGAAATTACAAACATCACTTCATGATAGCGGTAATATCTGTTACTAAACTTTTCATACACAGTTAAATTTAAATCGACACTCTATTATACTGTTGATTACCTAGTCATATGCAATAAAGTTTGTTTTGTCTACATATTTTTATATATATATCTATTCTTGGCATATCAAATATCCTACATAATCTGGAGTTGCGAAAGGTGAAAATTGTCTTTATACATAATAAAATTAGTCTATAATTTTATTAAAATATTATTTATAAACCTGCTATTAATAAAATATGAATAAATTAATTATTTAAAACTTAAAAGCACTTAATTTCATACTTTGCAAAGAAGACAAAATGATTTTCTTAGAAACTCTGAAGTCAATTGAAAAGTTTATTTAATACAATAAAGAATGCACAAGAGGTAAAAATCTTTAAGGAAAACATTAGCTGGTGCAAAGGTATAAAGCCACTACAGACTTTGAAGCAATAGAAACACCGCTGAATCTTGCTTATATGCACATATAAACATACTGATGCACTCATATATTTGCTTTAATTAGATTATTTCATGGAAGTAAGTTTACTACAGGGATGTTAAAATTACAATAACATTAGAGTCTGAAATTTTGCCATTATTTTCTTAAGGCATGCTGTTCAGTGTAAGGACATGATTTTATTCACAGAGGGAGGAAATTTACTCATGCAATGTGCAGCCAGCATGCTTTCTTAAGTAGTGTCAGCTAATACCCTCACGGAATCAGAATATGAATAGAATTACACAATTGAATTATTTTGGGTCAGGGCATTCTGAGTTTTACTCTTCAGAAAATCAAACATGTAGGAAAACAAATTGAAAATCTTAAAATATTTTTTAAATTAAAATAGTTAAAGTCATGCTGTGTTACGTTTGATTCACTTGGTTTTACAAAAATTATTTAAATGGCCTTTTAACTTTAAAAGTTCATCATTTATTTCTTTTTCAATACATCGTGCTTGAGTAAATGCAAAGATTCAGTTTCTATTCTCAAATAACTTAAAATGAATGAGAATAAATAATGCAATAACTAAAATGCAAAGGCACAAATGAAGGGGCTTATAACAAAGTTTAAAACAAAGTACTTTATTAGCACGGAAGAGAGAGAAAAATTGTTTTCAACTTGGAAAGTAAATGTTGGTTTTATGGCTTCATAGATATGGATGGAAGTAAGTGTAAAAAGTTACTATAAACATAGAAAAGGAAATGGGAAGAGGGTTAGAAGTAGAAAAGTGGAATAATGGTAAATAGTATGGTAGCATTTAGTTGATGTAGAGAGTAGGTAGGGGCTGAAGCTGGTTGCAGAGCTGATTGCTGAGAGCATTCTCTCTCTTTTTCTCTCTCTCCCTCTCTCCCTGTCTCCCTTCTTTCATTCTTCTTTTTTTAAAAAGAGCAGGACCATTCTACCAGCAAAATGGTAGATGACAAAGCTTACTGACAGCACTACGTATAAAGTAATTTGGATAAGAAAAACCTTGACTAAAGAAAAGGGAATGAGAATGTTTTCTCAAGTGGTTCTACCTAGAGTTTAAAAGGGCCTCAACTAGAGGACGGCAGGGAAGAAAATGAATGTGGAGCCAAGGTGAACAACTGAAAGAACAAAGAAACCACGTGAATGTGATGCACAAAAGAGAGGGAGAGGTCATAGATGACTGATCTCTGGAGTTAAGATTACAGGGAAGATAGAAGTAACATTCCCTAAAATGAGCAACATGGGAAGTGTGTATACAGCTGGGAGAGAAAAGGATGACTCCCATTTAGACTGATCTAATTTGGAGTAGAGGAGCACATCCAGATATATTTGTCCACTTGAACATGAGCTTAATCACATGATAAGGTTCAGAGATGTTAATTTAGTAATCTTAAATAAAGAATAATTGTTTCAATCAAAAGGGAAAGAAGAGAAACTAAGACCATCAGAGAATGGCTTGATTTCATAGGTAAAGGACAGAAAACAAAGCAGGAGGCAGATGGGAAAGAGAGGAAAACTCCAGGAAAAGGTAAAAGAGGCCAGATTGGGCTGCAGTGCCTTATGTTTCCCTGAAGGCACCTGAATCCTTATGAGAGACAACGACCCAGGAGAGCAGTCTGGGACACAGACTGCTTCTGCTACTCTGGTCTCAAACAAAGTAATGCTGGCCACTAAGATCTTAAGCTTTTGCCATTTCCCAGGATATGCCACCTTTCAGCAGCAAAGCTAATATTTATAAGAAGTATGCAAATACATGAAATGGTATCCATAAAGACTTTAACCAAAATCCATAAAAAAAAATAGATCTGCAGAACCCAAAGGCTAGTACATGTACAGGCTCAAACTAATCCCTTTTAAAAACAATTCCCAAGATGGCTGACTAGATGCATCAGGAAAAGGTTTGCCCAAGAGACCAGGCCATCAAGAAGACAGGCATATTATTTGATCTTCAGAAGGAGGGCGCTGAGAGGAGATGGGGGGAGGACACAGATTCTGGACTGAAGGAGGTGGAAGCCGGGGACCCTACATAGGGTTGCCGAACACCAGGACTCGTTTCTGGCCCTGAGCAGCTACTGGGGGAAGCAGTGAGATAAATAGGCATGGAGTGGTCCACTCTTGCCATGAACTTTCAGAATCCCAGCTGCAGGAGACCTCACGATGCCCAAAGACATTTGAGCTGGCATGGAGAGCTTCTTAGAGAGGCAGCAAGGACAGGACTTCAGCCTGTCAGGAGCGCAGAAAATTTGGCACAGGAATGGCTGCAGTGGAGCCCAGCCCTCAAGGCTTCCCATGCTCCTCTAGGTGGTTTTGGCCTTTGTTGACAGCTGAACCTGAACAGAACAAGGTTATGTTACCCATGGAATGGGAACAATCTAATCTGAGCACCTCCCTGTCTACCAGTCTTTCCAAAAGTCCCTGCCCGGCCTCACCTGCTTGCAGCACAGCCTCAGATGCTCAACTGGGGTGCTTCCTAGTGACCACTTCCATAGCTCATTCACCAAAAGACCCTGTCTAACCATCAGAGAGCTTCTACAGATGGGCCCCCACCAGCATGTGCCTGCCCACAACCCCGCAACACAACTCGGCCTGCATGCACTCACCTGCAGCCTCCCTTGACTGCCATACCAATGTGCTTGTATATGTGGGTGTAGTGGACCTTTCCACACTGCCACCCTACTGCCAGCACTGCATGAGCACACATGCAGACCCCATCACCCCACCACTGGCCTGTCCATGCCAGCGTGCATGTGTGAATGGATCCTGCCACCCTGCAACCAGCAGCATGGGCACGTGCATGTGGACCCTGACAACTTACCACCAGTGCACATTTATGAGCAGACCTCACTGTGACACCACCACAATGAAATGCTTTTACTGTGAACCACCCCCCATTGGAGTGTTGTTGCCAGCTGACTGGGAATATCTTGGCCCCTCCAATGCAGAAGGTGCTTAACCTCAAGGAACCAGAGAACAAAATCACAGGCCTGGTCCCAGCCACCCAGGGTTAGAGCATACAGCTCAGGAGTGCTGAGCTTAGCCATGTCCCCCTGAAATCATCCAGAAATGAAGCCAGTTGACTAAATTCAACTTATACTATGCTCAAACCCTCAAGGGCTTCAAAGAATATAAAAGAAAAATGCCCCATCCCAATGACAACAACTTCAATGATTAAAGGAATAGTAGCCCACACAGATGAGAAAGAACCAGCACAGGAACTGTAGCAATTATAAAAGCCAAAGTGTCTTCTTACCTCCAAATGACCATACTAGCTCCCCAGCAATGGTTCCCAACCAGACTCAAATGACTGAAATGACAGACATAGAATTCAGCATCTGGATGGTAACATAGATTGCGGAGATTCAGGACAAAGTTGAAAACCAATCCAACAAATTTAAGGAATCCAGTAAAATGATTCGAGAGCTGAAAAATGAAATAGCCATTTTAAGGAAAAACCAAACTCATCTGATAGAGCTGAAAAATTCACTACAAGAATTTTATAACACAATTAGTAATATTAACAGCAGAATAGACAAGGATAAAGAAATGATCTCAGAGTTTGAGGACATTGTCCATGAAAATTTCCCCGATCTCAATAGAGAGGTTGACATTCAAATTCAGGAAATTCAGAGAACCCCTGAGAGATACTACACAAGATGACCATCCCCAAGTTATATAGTCACCAAATTCTCCAAGGTTAATGCAAATGAAAGAAATATTAAAGGCAGCTAGAGAGAAGGGGCAGGTCACCTACCCCTAAATAATAAAAAATCTACCAACCAGAAAAGGCTCTGGCCCAGATAGATTCACTGCCAAAAGGGAATCCCATCAGTCTAACAGCAGATCTTTCAGGAGAAACCCTATAACCAGAAGAAATTGGAGGCCTATATTCAAGATCCTTAAAGTAAAGGAATTCCAACGAAGAATTTCATATCCAGCCAAACTAAGCTTCATAACTGAAGTAGAAATAAAATCCTTTGCAAACAAGCATATGCTAAGGGAATTCATTACCACCAGACCTCCTTTAAAAGAGGTCCTTAAGGGAGTGCTAAATATGGAAATGAAAGACTGTTGCTGGCCACCACAAAAAGACACTGAAGTATATTGACACTATAAATCACCTACATTGACACTATAAATCAACTATGGAATTGACACTATAAAGAAACTACACAATAAGGTCTACCATTGATACTATAAATTAACTACACAGACAAGTCTACGTAACAACCAACTAACAACCTGATGACAGAATCAAATCCACACATTGTTAACCCTGAATGTATATGGGCTAAACACCCCACTTAAAAGGCACAGAGTGGTAAGTTGGACAAAGAAGCAAGACTCAAGATAGTCTCATGCTATCTTCAGGAGACCCATATCACATGCAATGACAACCATATGCTCAAAGTAAAGGGATGGAGAAAGATCTATCAAGCAAATAGAAAACTGAAAAGAGCAAAAGTTGCTATTCTTATTTCAGACAAAACAGACTTTAAGCCAACAACGATCGAAAGGGACAAAAAACATTAAATAACGATAAAGGGTTCAGTTCAAAAAGAAGACTTAACTATCCTAAATATATATATGCATCCAAAACTGGGGAACCCAGATTCATTGAACAAGTTCCTAGAGAACTATGAAGAGACTTAGATAACCACACAATAATACTGGGAGACCTTAACACCCCGATGACAATATTAGACAGATCATCAAAGCAGAAAATTTAAAAAGATATTCAGCATCTAAACTCAACACATGACCGAATGGACCTGACAGACATCTACAGAACACTTCTCCCAATAAAAACAGAAAATACATTCTCCCCATTTTCACATGGCACATACGGTAAAATCAACCATGTCTTTGACAACAAAGCAATTCTCAACAAATTGAAAAAATTTTGAAATCATACCAATCACTCTTGGACCACAGTGTTATAAGGAGTATTCAAAACCAAGATCTCTAAAAGTCATATAATGAAGTGGAAATTAAACAACATGCTCCTGAAATGACTTTTGTGTAAGCAATGAAATTAAGGCAGAAACCAAGAAATTCTTTGAAACTAATGAAAACAAAGGTACAACATATAAGACTCTCTGGGACACTGCTAAAGCAGTGTTAAAAGGGAATTTTATATTGCTAAATGCCCACATCAAAAAGTTAGACGCTTCTCACATTAGCAATCTAACATCACAACAAGAGGAACCAGAAAAACAATAGCAAACCAACCACAAAGCTAGAAGGGGGAAGAAATAACCAAAGTTAGAGATGTGCTGAAACAAATGGAAACACAAAAAACCATACAAGAGATCAACAAAACCAAAAGTTCTTTTTTCAGAAAAAATAAATAAGACTGTTAGACTGTTAGCTACATTAATAATAATAATAATAAAACACACTACCGCTGGCTCTGCAGAAATACAAAAAAAAACCACAAAACCTCAGAGACTATTACAAACAGCTCTATGCAAACAAACTAAAAATCCTAGAAGAAATGGATAAATTCCTGGAAACATACAACCTACCAAGTTTGAACCAGGAAGAAACTGAAATCCTGAAAAGACCGATGACATGTTCCAAAATTGAATCAGTAATAAAAAAACCTACCAACCAGAAAAAACTCTGGACCAGATGGATTCACTGCAGAATTCTACCAGACATACAAAGAGCTGGTACCAATCCTACTGAAACGATTCCAACACATCGAGGGGAGGGACTCCTCCCTATCTCATTCTATGAGGCCAGCATCATTCTGATACCAAATCCTGGTAGAGACACAATGTAAAAAATCCCAAAACAAAACCTTCAGGACAATGCACTTGATGGACACAGAGGCTAAAATCCTCAACAAAATACTAACAAACCAAATCCAGCAGCACATCAAAAAGCTAATTTACCACAATAAAGTAGGCATTATTCATGGGATGCAAGGTTGGTTCAACAAAAGCAAATCAATAAACATTATTCATCACATAAGCAGAACTGAAAACAAAAACCACATGATCATCTCAATATACTAAACAAAGGCTTTTGATAAAATCTGTTACACCTTCACATTAAAAACTGAACAAACTAGGCATTTAAGGAACATACATCAAAATAATAAGAGCCATTTATGAAAAACTACAGCCAGCGTTATACTGAATGGGCAAAAGTTGGAAGCATTCCCCTTGAGAACCAGAACATGAAAAGGATGCCTACTCTCACCACTCCTATTCCAAATCACTCTGGAAGTCCTAGCCAGAGCAATCAGGCAAGAAAAATAAATAAAAGGCATACAAATAGGAATAGAGGAAGTCAAACTATCTCTCTTTGTAGACTATATGAGTCTATACATAGTAAACTCTAAAGCCTCAGCCCAATGGCTCTTAAACCTGATAACTTCATCAAACTTTCAGGATACAAAGCCAATGTACAAAAATCAGTAGCATTTCCACATGCCAAAAACGTCTAAGCTGAGATCCAAATTAAAAATGCAATCCCATTCACAGTAGCCACAAAAGAATAGAATACCTAAGTATATAGCTAACCAAGGAGATGACAGAACTTTACATCAAGGATTACAAAACATTGCTTAAAGAAATCAGAGATGACACAAATAAATGGAAAAACACTCCATGCTCATGAATAGGAAAAATCAACATTGTTAAAATGACCATGCTGCCCAAAGCAATTTAGAGATGTAATGCTATTCCTATCAATACCAATGTCGTTTTACACAGAATTGGAAAAAAAGTCATAAAATTCATATGGAACGGAAAAAGAGCCCAAATAGCCAAGACGATCCTATGCAAAAAGAACAAAGCTGGAGGCATCATGTTTGCCAACTTCAGACTATACTACAAGGCTACAGTGACCGAAGCAGCATGATACTGATACAAAAACAGACACACAGGCCAATGGAACAGGTTACAGAACATGGAAATAAAGCTACCTACCTACAACCATCTGATCTTCGACAAAGTCAACAATAACAAGCAATGTGGAAAGGACTTTCTGTTCAATAAATGGTACTGGGATAACTGGCCAGCCATCTATAGGAGATTGAAACTGGACCCCTTCCTTTCACTATATACGTAAAGCAACTGAAGTGGATTAAAGACTTAAGTGGAAAATGTAAAACTATTTGAAAAAACACCCTAGAAGAAAACCTAGGAGATACCATTCTGGACATAGGCCCTGGAAAATATTTTATGATGAAGGCTCCAAAAGCAATTGCAACAAAATCAAAAATTGACTAGTGGGAATTAATTAAACTAAAGAGCTTCTCCACAGTAAAAGAAACTATCAACAAAGTAAATGAACACCCTACAGAATTGAAGAAAATATTTGCAAACTATGCATCTGACAATAGTTTAATATCTAGAATCTATAAGGAACTTAAATCAACAAGCAAAAAACATGCAACCCCACTTAAAATGGGCAAAGGACATAAACAGACAGCCAACAAGCATATGAAAAAATATTTAACATCACTAATCATTAGAGAAATACCAATCAAAACCACAGTGAAATACCATCTCACACCATTAAGAATGGATATTATAAAAAGTCAAAAAATAACAGATGCAGGTGAGGTTTAGAGAAAAGAGGATGCTTATACATTGGTGGTGGGTATGTAAATTGGTTCAGCCATTTCCAAGAAAGCAATTTGGAGATTTCTCAAAGAACTTAAAACAGGACCACCATTTGACCCAGAAATCCCTTTCCTGGGTATATACCCAAAGGAATATAAGTCATTCTACCATAAAGACACATGCATGTGTATATTCATTGTAGCACTATTCACAATAGCAAAGGCATAGAATCAACCAAGTGCTCAGATTGAGACTATTTCAAAGGGAGAACTAAAGGCTCTATGAAAAATAAAGGGGTATCCTCATTAAACATGGAATTTTGCTACGTTTTTTACACTTAAAAACATACAACTGACATTCATAAAATGTCCAAATCTGTGCCAAGTGTTGTCCCGGGTGCTGCAGATGACTATGACAGGGCCTTTTCCCTCTGGGCTGTCCTAGTTTCTGTCTGGTTCTGAGTCAGGGAGTTTATGGTTTAGCTCCTGCACTGAGTTTGCTGTTCAACTCAATTAAATTACACATGCATTTATGAAATATATAATATAAAATATATATTCAGGCCCTGGAGAGAATGCAAAATAAATAAGGCGAGGCATTCAGAAATCTGTCACTGAATCTTATTTACACATTCTTTATTTTCTTTTTCAGACAGGATGGCATCCTGGTCTGGACATCATCATCATATATTAAAACTGCAACTGGAGGCTGGAAATGTGGCTTGTATAGTCTTTAACCACAATCACCTTACAGATCTGCTGTGCACAGTGCACACTCACATCGCTTTTAATATGTTCCTCACTATCATCAGGAGGACCAAGAATCACGCATTCTCCCATTATCTCAGACCATCACTATTTCTTGCTACCTTGATTCCTAATCCAGCATAAATTCCATGCAATTGTCAAATTATACATCATAAATCACCATTTTGATATTTGAAACCATTTGTATTTCCCCACTACATATAGTTTGAATTCCTTAATCTATCCCTGTCATTCTGCTGGATACTCATCTTAGATGCTTTATGATTCAACTTGGATGACCTGTCCCCACATTCCTGTTGCCTGCACTAACCGCCCCACTAACCTGTGCCTTTTGAAATTGAAGAGTGGCTATTAGACAGAAGCAATGAAAAACCAGCCCCAGTTGGAAGTGTTCTTCCTCTCCTCTAACTCCTACAGCCCTCATTTTAGGAGTCTCATGATTCCTCTACTCTACCCCCACACCAACGCATGATTCCTTCTATGACTTCCAACAAGTTTCTCCTGTCAAGTGTGGCATTACTCTATATTTCCTAGTTACTTCTATATGAATCCTCCCTTCCCTGGCCCCAGAGTGTAAATCCCTTGACAGAAAGCATCATGTTTCAGAATTCCTTATTATCTGGGGCCTACCAGTGACTTCAGCATGGGCAATTCTCAATAAATAATTGGGAAATAAGCATAAAGAATAAGCTATCCTCTGGGAAAGTTTCTTTCACTGAAGTTGATCTTTTTTTTTTTGTCATTTTTAAGGTGCACTTTTATTCATCTGGCCTAAAGTCAGTGTACAGGTAAGCCCTGGCTGCCTCCACCCACTCCCAGGGAGACCAAAAGCCTTCATACATCTCAAGTTGGGGGAAACAAAGGGGGGCCACAAAGGCTGATCATTCAAAATAAAACAAAATACAAAAGTATTACGGCGAAGATTTAAAAAATTTTGCATTACATAATTTACACGAAAGCAATGCTATCACTTCCCCTGCGTGGACTTGGGAGAGGACTGGGCCATTCTCCTTAGAGACAAGTGGGGTGGCTTTTAGGAGGGCAAGGGACTTCCTGTAACAATGCATCTCATGATATTTGGAATGACTATTAAAAAAAGAACAATGTACAATCAAAGTCCTCGGCCACATTGTAGAACTTTGGGGGATGCTTGCTCCAACCGACCTTTTAAATTTGTTAATTGACTATAGTTGTTGAGCTCCACACAGGTCACCTGGGGAAATCACAAGACTCAGCTGATCCTTGGGTTGTTGACAGTTTCACCTTCTTAGCTCTGCCTTCTGGTGTGAGCTATGTGAACTGGACCTGGGGTTACAGAGAGCACCTCCCTAATGTGTACTGCAGACTCTGGGGAGGTTTCTTTTCTGAACGCTGCAGGTAGAGAAACATATTACTTACCAACCTCTATTGCATAGTTTCATTGGATCATCTCTCTCTTGGGCCTCAGACAACCAAGAAAGAATTCACTTAATCTAATACACAGCAAGATATTTGTTCCTCTATTTTATGTTGTTTTCATTGTATTAAATCTTGAATTCAGCTTTTGTAATAGTATCATTTTCAAATTTCATATAGAGAGACATGTTGATCATTTTTGAAAATTCTATAAAATTTAGATGTTCATTTTAGTCAAAAGTTAGATTAACTTGAAAATTATGAAATATATTTCATTCTGTTTTTGAAAGGCTTAATATTATTTTATAATTACAAATCTACAAGGCTATATGGTTCCTGTTAGTTTAACAGATTACCTGTTTTTCAATCTTGGTTTGAATGTCCTTTTGGAAGTGAAAAAAATTTTATAAGTATAAACATCAAATTGTGTCCCTATCTCAAGCTTCCCATTAAGGTTCCAAGTATTTTAGTGTATAAAGTGTATGCATTAATACTGTCAATACTTAAACTGCACGACTTCTTTTGTCTCTGTTATCTTGTCTATGATATACACAAAGAATTATATTTAGTACTTCCAAGAAGATCAAATTTTTGTCTTGATATCACTACAAATCCCTCCAGCGGCATCTAATTGGTGAATGAATCTTTGTAGCACTTATTAGTTTTCAAATCAATTAGATTGATCAATTAATTTAATTTGTTTATAATTGCTAATTGTTATTAGTTTATATTACAGATTGCATATCTGTGTCTCCTCTCCCAAAATACACATCTTAAAATTTTAATTCTCAATGGAATGGTATTAGGACATGGGGCCCTTGGGAGGTAATTAGGTTATGAGGGTGGGACCTCATGATGGGATTATTGTCCTCATAAGAAAAGTAACAGAACTAACTAGCCTTCTCTCTCTAGCATGTGAGGATACAAAAAGACAGATGTCTGTGAATTAAGTAGAGCAGCCATCCCCAACCTTTTTGGCACCAGGGACCAGTTTTGTGGAAGACAATTTTTCCATGGATGGAGAGGGGGATGCATTAGATTCTTGTAAAGATCACACAACCTAGATCCCTTGTATGCACAGTTTACAATAGGATTTGCGCTCCTATGAGAATTTAACGCCTCTGCTAATCTGACAGGATGAGGAGCTCAGGGGGAAATGTTGACTCCCCTGCCTCTCACCTCCTGCTGCACAGCCCAGGTCCTTACAGGCCATGGACTGGTACTGGTCCGCAGCCCCAGCGGGTGGGGACCCTTGACGTAGACAGCCTTCCCCGAACCTGACCATGCTGGCACCCTGCTTGTTGACTTCTAGCCTCCAGAACTGTGAGAAACAAATGTTTGTTGTTTAACCTATCCAATCTATGGTATTCTGTTACAGCAGCTCAAACTAAGATACTGGCAATGAGTTATAATCTGTGACAGTTGTGATGTTATGTTAAAGTTATCTTACGTTAAAAATTGTTATGTTAAAAGATGATAACAGAACAATCAGTTAAACCATGGTTTTAAACATTTTACTGTAACAAAATCCCCTCACTTATTATGGACCCAGTGAAGTTAAAAAATATATCTGATAGAATCATGGAAGTTTAGAACTGGAGGAAAATATAAAGCAGGGAAGGGAGAACAGGACATGCTGGGGTAAGAGCAATTTCAATTAAAGGACCCTCCCTTTAAAGAAGTGAAAACTAAATGTCAGAATAGAAAATGACTTGTCCGTTGTCAAAAAATTGATGCCAGAGTGAACCCTAGAATAGTGATTTCATACTGGCAGATACAGAGAACTAGGAAATAGATAAAATAGAAATTGTTTAATCTAATGTAAAAACTTACAGCTTAGTTACCTGGAATAGTTTTTCTTGGTGATTCAAAGTTATATTTACTTATGAATATGAACATAGATGATTCTACCGTAATCAGTTGTAACATCTCAGTTTTTGAACTTTGCCAATAGCAGATCAAATAGGAAAGAGAAGGAGAATTGGGCTTCGATCAAATTCAGAAGGAATGAAAACCAAGGTGGATAACAAAACTATGAGCTCATTTAGTAAGCACATGGTGACTTTTTTTATGTGCTAGTTGACATATGAGGCAAAAGCCAAACATGACACTTATTCCCAGTCTGACACATAATTTTAGGGCAAAAGAGAGATGTCAGAGATGGCATCTCTAGGAGTGTAAGATTCTATTGCATAGCCGTTTTCAAGGCTCTGAAGACTTTTTCTTTTATTTCCATATCCAGGAACATGTTAGAGTTGGTCGCATTTATTGGATATGTAAACACAAGGTGTGGTAAAATGACATAAAAACTTACTCTAAATCTCCCGGTGTATTTTAAATAACAATCATACTAGAGCCTTGCTAGACTTTGATCCCTACGCCTCATACTGAGTAACACTTTGTCCTACATCTATGGGTTAGCTTAGGTTCTGTGATTAGTTCTTCAGTTAAACTTAGAGGATAGACTTGATTTATAATGAACTTAACATCCAATTATTTAATGTTGCAGAAAAATCTAATGATTTGGTGTTTGATGCTCAATAGTCTCTAACAAATCTTAGCTTTTTAAAAATAACTCTTTGCCCTTCCTCTTCTATTTTCATAAATGTATGCATACATTTTTATTGATATAATTCAGATATTTTCTAGAAAAAAAACATGTTAGACATTTATTACCATCTCAAAAAGAAATAGACAGTCTTAGTAAGAAGAGAGTTTGCATCTTACCAGTGGGGATCTAGTTTCCATTGTGTAATACAACCATCAAAGGATCAGGGCAAGTAATGTGTTTTATGGTGTCTGGTTTGATAAGTTTCTTTATGGGAGTTAACAGTCACATCTCTTTCAGGATATAAACTCATTAAAGTCCAAGATTTTCCCGAAGCTCCTAAAGAGTTGTGAGCCTTCAATGTGCATTACTTGTAACCATCAGTGACTTAGTTATTTGTGTGTGTGTGTGTGTGTGTGTGTGTGTGTGTGTGTGTGCGCATGGGGGAGGGGTGTACTCAAAATTCTTTTGCAATCCTTTAATATCTCCTAGTTAAGAGAGTCATTCATTCATTCACTAAACACTTTTGAGTGCCTACTATGTATGATCTTGGAACTATCTAAGTACTAAGAATTCAACAGTATGTAAAATAGAAAAGGAAAATCCCTGCCTTCCCTATTGGGAAGACAAATGAAAAAAAAAAATGTAGTTTTTAAAAAGTGAAATATATAGCATGTTAAATGAGCAAAAAAATAAAAGTCAATAAAAAAATAAAACAGTGAAGGAAGACAGGGAGCTTTGTTTTGTTTTGTTTTATTTTGGCAGAGAAGTAGAGGTTGTAACTTTAAATCAGGTGGCCAAAGAAGCTAACAGGAGAAAATGACATTTAGGTAAACTCCTGAAGGAAGGGAGAGGGAAAACCATATGGATATTTGAGCAGAAAAGCTTTCCAATAGGGGAAACAGCAAGTGCAAAGGCCCTGCGGTGGGAACAATCCTGAGATGACTCAGGGAGTGGAGAGAAGGCTAGTGGAAGGTAACTTTAGAGAAGTAATACAGGCCTGATTCTGAAGGGCGTCCTCGGCCTTGGACCTAGAGGAATGGAAGCCATTAGACAACGCTGAAAAGACCTGACTTTGGTACACAGAAGTAAAGCAATCCTATTAAAATTACATATGTAATATTTATATAAAATTATATATGTAATATTACTTATATATGTAATATCTAAAATTTAAGCTAGTAAAAGGAATGGATTATCTGCCGGGTAACTGGAAACCTGCTTATGAGAGAGGTTAGAACTAAGGGACTAGAGATTCACAGACATGGGAATGAGTCTGGGAGAAGAATTCACAAAGAAAAAGAGTTTAAATCCTAGGGATCAGTGAATCATAGGGATCAGTCCAATGTGGAATTCTTCAGCCAGGGAAGGAAATGGAGAAACAGGCATCAAGGATGTAAGAATTCAATTTGAAATGATTGATTGCATCGCCCTCCCCATCAGGCAGAGCATGAAGAACATGAATGATCCCACTGAAGCAGGGCGGGCAGCTGGGATTCTCTCACAGTGGGAATGAACATTAGAAATGGTGTAAGTTCAAACAGCCCCAATCCTATGCTGTGGATAACTGGATATCCCTAGGGAAACAGACCACAGAAAATAATAATCATGGGGAAGTACATCCTAAGACACAACACCTAACACCAGCCCAGGACAAAGGCACCATAAAAATTCCATGAGCGAGGGTCTGTTTACTTTCTCAGAGTAAATGTTAGTAACATGAACTATACATTTATAATGTTTTAAGGTTTAGAAGCCACTTTACGTCTGACTATATCTGATTAAAGATCGTAGTCGTTGGACTGGGCAGATGCAAACTAGAAAATCACCATTAAGGTGAAATGTGTCCATGTCTGTCTGTCACTCGCTGTCTGTATCATTTCCGGGGCCATGAAGATGTGGCTTTAACCAGAAGTATTTGAGATATGCCTCTTTCTTAGGAAAGCTATGGCCTTTCTAACTGCCTGAGAGGGCTATGAAGAAGAGGAGGGGTGGCAGATTCACCCATGGGAGCTGAACACCCAAAGCAAGAAAATCAGGGGCTCTGGGAAAGGAAGTGAGTCAAGACAAGCAAGAGAGAAGGATGAGAGCGAGCACCTCCAGGATCTGGTTTACCAGAGAAGACAAGCTGCGAGGAGGCCACTAAACTTCTGCCCTGGCACAGTTTGCTGCAGGGAGGCAGCCCCAGAACTAGTGGTGAGGTCGAGGGGCTAGGCCAGGGGAGGGACGGACAGGCAGAGGTCCCTTACTCTTTCGATTTATCCGATCCGTGCGCCGAGTTGATACGATGCACCTCTTTCTTTTTGGTTTGTTTGGAGGCCATGGCAGAAGCCGATCTATGTAGGGCTGAGCTCTGAGCAAAGAGCCTGCGGGCGCGCTCGGCTCCGCGTCTGCGTTGCCAGGAGACGGCGTCCCGCGTCCAGCGCCCGGAGAGCGGGGGCGGGGCCCTGGGGGCGGGCTCTGCGGCCTGTGGCTGCAGAGGGACGCAAGAGCATAAACTGAAATCCCACATCCCCGTGGAGGAACTTGGAGTTGGTGTCTGGGGAGAAATCGAGGTTCTGGGGCACGGGTTTGGCATTAGGATTACTGGGCAGCCCTGATTAATTGGAGTTCTGCAGGACCTACACTGCCTGGCTTTGCCCTTCGGAACCATAGACATATATCGACTCTTGAATATCCAACTATTTGAACGTAGATGTTATCCTAGTACCACCCCAGTTATTCTCTTGGCTAAATATAACAAGTACCTTCAATAATTACTAAGGAGACATTACAGACACGCTGAAATTGTCAATGGCTTGAAAACCTGGGGTCCAGAAATTAACACAGTGGGTGTAAGGAAGGCAAAATAATGACACCTTGAGTCGCTGAGGGCTAGGTGATGATATCTGTAATAAAACCAATAAGGTGTCTTGTTGTTCGAATGAAAGAGTGAGTCCAAGTCATGGGCTCAGGTGGTCCTTTGCAGACTTTCCAGAAAAGGTCCAGGGGCCAGATGACACAGACAGAACCAAGTAAAATGAAACTTATTAGGGCGCAGGCTTAAGGCTCAGTCATCAGTGGTGATTTGTTAGTTATCTTGCCTTGGGCTAGTTTTTCCCTTTGAGTCTCAGTTTACTCACTTATAAATAGGAGATGCCTATTACTCACTTATAAATAGGAGTTATACCTAACTCACAGTTCTGTTTTGAGGATAAGATGCAAAGCGCAGCAAATAGGAGCCACTCTTTCAGAGATGACAGACCACCTGGTTTCGAGGAGCAGCAGACAGCGTGAATGAATGAAGTTGGCCAGGTAAATACAGAGTAGTGGATACTATGCTTAACTGAGACATGCTTAGACTGCAAGAGCTTGCAAATTTATCAAAACAAAACAAAATATTGTGTTGGTTCAATATAACCTCACTTCAGAGATATCTGACACACAGCCCTTAGGCCTAGGACCACTACTACTGGTTGGTGTCTTTCATGAGCCTAGAAATAGTTAAGTATCTTTAAATAAAAGAAATCCCCTCCACTCATGGGACTGGGCACATGCTCACAGTTCCACCTGTGCAGGCAAGAGGCAGCTTCCTGCAGAGAAAATCTTTCAACTTCTCTGACAAATGAATGCTCAGGGCTCTCCACTCAGCATAGCCTATGGTTTGTCAGACTATCCCAATCTTATTACTATTGGATTACTACTGGGGGTTACCTAGATGACAGACAGCCCCTTCGTTGTATTTCTATATGCAAAATAAATAAATTCCAAGTCAGCAGTGTTAATATTATGACTACAAGACTGCCCTGCAAACATCTCCTATATATGTAAAGACAATGAACACATCATGAAGATTCTGCTTTGTTTATACCATAATTCAAATTTCCAGAGAACTCTCTTGAATGAAAGTAGAGGACTAAATGGTGAGAAAAATTATTTACTACCAAATTTTGTCAGAGTAATCAAATTTATAGCTATAAGTATATACAAAGACTCTTGGCTGAAAACAGCACAACTTTAAGCAGCCAACCCCACAGAGAGGTGAGTTTCTTCTTGAACAAGGGCTATCCTGCAGCCATTGTTAATGGCTGCAAGATGCCAAAAGAATTAGGGAAGATAAGCCTTAGAAATCAAAAGATCTACATCCCACCGGTATTTTATGGACAAATAACTCCAGGCGAAGACAAGCAAAATGTCTTGCCAAAAGTTGCTGGGTTATTTATTGATGGAATTTGGACTAAACACATTAAAGTCAGCATTGCCAGTTTAAGCCAAACATATCACTACTCCACTCAGAGCTTGCTTTTTAAACATCTATTAAATTAGGATAAAGTAAGGGGGTTGTCACCAGAATGGAATAAGATAATCATAAAAGATGTGACGAGTATAAGTTGCCTATTAATTCCTACGCCAGTGTTCTTTCTCCTTTATTATATTAAGAGTGCAACATGCATAAATGGAATTTCTCTTCTTTCTGGAGCTAAGGTTCTGGTCAGGCTGTAATTATAAGAGCAAATCTGTTCCTCTCTAAGATAGTTCTAGCTACAAAGCTTAACATGATATTTATTGTGGCAGTGCAAAAAAGACAATAGGTCCTACTGCTGTTTTTATTTTTCTTATAACTGTTGTCAATGTCACTTTGGAATAATAATAATAATAGCTGTGATTTATTGAGTACCTACTACATGCAAGGTTTAGGGAAGGGTGCTAACTCCTTTAGAGATAAACTTGAATTTAAATCCTGACTCTTGTTGGGTAATTATGGGTGAGTTATTTAACTTCCATTTTCTTTATTTGTGGAAAGGGAAGAATAATACCTCAAATATGCTTGACTCATCCCAAGCATTCAGAGAATTATAGCTAATGTTATTATTCCACAGGTAAAGAACTGAAATGCAGACAGGAAATGGGACTTGCCTGACATGGAGCAGGTGGTAGGTGGCAGAGGAAGATTGGCCACTCCATAACCTGTGCTCTCTCCAATTCTCTGGACTAACTGTCCATACAGATGATTGCCCTGGGACTGAGCTTAGGGATTTCCAAACTCTTGCTATTTAACAACTGTCAAAGACTGAGAAACAGGGCTTATATTTTATTCAAGCTACCCAGAATAGGGCCTCTCTCTAATCTATACTTCCTTTTCGGGGAAGAGATATTTGGCTTCAGGCAGCAGTAGCGCCTGCTCCCTAGGGAAGTGGTTAGAGGTACCCACTTCCCCATATCAGCAGAAACAAAACAGGCAGGAGTCTCTCTGCTTGAGGATCTGCCTAAATAGGGAAGTGAGAATTGGCAACCACTTCTCCCTCCACCAATGGGAATCCTAGATGGAGGGAACTGGGTGGGAGATGGCAGGGGTGGGCAGAGTGGCAGCATTTCTGTTTCTTAAATCCATAACTCCATCTTCAGACACTTGATTCCACAGCCATAGGGAATTGTATATATTTTGCTGCTCAGCTACCTCTTTGCAATTAGGTCAATTATAAAATTACTTGGAATTTAACCAGCCAAATGAGAAAGTATGCATTCTACATGTTCTGTGTAAGGTTGAATTTAACTGTCACTTCAAGTTCTGTTCTTTTCACATTTCCATGGAAATTTACACCCTTCTCCTTTATTTCCCACAGAACTTTATTTGTTCATCTTTTAAAATTCCTATAATATTCTGTCTTGTTTTTATTAATACTTATGCCTTGTTTTTTCTCCTTTACTAGACTGTAGGGTCACTCAAAGCAAAAACTCCTCTTCTACCAAATTCATTCACACTTTTGAAGCTCCTAAACCCTTAATAATAAGAGCTTACATTTGTTGAGCACTTGCTATGTGCTTGACCCTCTTCTAAGCTATTTTTCTGTATTAATTCACTTAATCCTTACAAACACCCTAGGGATTTGCTATTATAATCTCTCTTTTATAAATAGGAACATAGGCAAAGAGTGGCTAAATTAAGTTAGTAAGTGATCAGGCATGATTCAAACTCATGGCTCTAGACCCATGCTCTTTATAACCACATTATTCTGCCTCTGACACCTTCAGTGATCACAACCCTATGAAGTATGAAACTCTGCCCATTTTATAGCGAAGAAAATGAGCTTTAGAAAGGCAAAGCAACTTGCCCAAAGTCCAAAGCACAGGGGGAATGGAGTCAAAATGCATAGGTGAACACTTTGGTTTCAGAGTGCAGGCTCCTAAACTCTCTGCTACATACACACTGCCTACTTCAGAGTTCAAAACATATTTACTTCAGATCATTGGAAATGGTATTAAAAATCACAACTGACATTCAGTTGTGTCCAGTAATATTCAGTCTCTACACCTGTTAAGGAGAAGTTGGATCCTGCAGATATGAAACCTGCTGGCCCTGCCACAGAAAGCCCCGTTATTCTGGGAAAAATTGAATTTATAGTTTTAATGACCTGTGAAAGGAAATTCTGAATAGAGGTTCTTTAAAAAATGGGGGATATGGAAATAAGTTATTAGTTGAAAAACAATTTCCATTTTGATAAGCTGCTTCAAGAAGAAGCAATGACTAACTGTAACTAAATGCTTCATCAGGATGCAAACAAACCTATTTTGTACAATGCTGCAATTATCTGTGCAGCAGATGGGTGGTTCTGTTTCCCCTTCTGGACAGAGACACTCACCCTTTGTTGTATACTTGCACTGAGAGCTACATGTGTCCCACTAGTTTATGTAAGAAGGGGATATAAATGGGGCAACTCTGAAAGGTGCTTCTCTCTCCAGAACTTCCCTTATGACCCATGAAGGCTTCTGTTACAACTGCGTTGCAGTTTAACTTCTCCTTCTCCCCAATCCTGCTTCCCCTACAGATGTTATTGAGAATACTCACTAATAAACCTCATGCATGCAAATCTCAGAGCACCAGAGCCTGGTTCCTGGGAACTAGCTTGGAACAGTGTTAGTAATAGGGATGATCCTAGGAAGCAGACTCTAAAATGGGATTTGGGAAGACTTCCACTTCCAAGCAAGATGAAGTAACAGAGAATTTACCTTCTCTCATGAAATAATTAATAAACTAAAGAAAATATATGAGGATATTGACTGTCAGACAATAAAAGAGAGTGATACCTGGGAGATGGAAACCAAAAAAACTGAGCCTTTTAATTGTCCCATCTTACTGCTAGGTTGTGGCACAGAAAAGGGGAACCTAGGCAGAGCCTGATGGTGGCCCTGATTGGGAGAGACAGAGCTGAGGTCCAGGGAGACTGGGCAGCCAGCGTTCACAGAATGGAGTGCCAGAAAGTAGAAGTTGCACAGACAGAGTATGGAGAGGACAGAACTGCACAGAGGAGAGATCTTCAGAGAGGAGGACTCAGTATTCATGACCGCTTATCTGTTCCTTCATGTGAGGAAATTCCCTGAGGCCAGGGGAAAAAACCACCTAACAAGTTTAGAAGGAGCGACCTTCTTTGAGCTTACGGTAGGCTGGGAATGGTGCCTATTACCATCTGCCTGATTGGAAAAAAACTCATAATTCACAGGGTATGGACTGGAATACAAAGAGAGTTTTGCCCTTGAGAGTGAACAATTCATTCTAGACGAAATGCTCCACTAGTCTCAACCAACACATCTGAAAAGCAGGATCTGAAAATATCAAACTATTTCCAAATAACAGCATCACAGAAAAAAATCTTAAGAATATTTTTTAGGAATACAAAAATATCCGAGTAAACAAGAATTTTACCTTGTTTACTTACCAACAAAGTAAAATTCTCAATAACTAATATCCAATAAAAATTAACAGGTCTGAAAGAATAAGAAAAATATGTCTCATTAAAAGAAAAATATCAACTAATTGAAGGTAACTCAGAAAAAAATAAGAGAATTATTAGAGAGGACATTAAAACAGTTATTAAAACTGAACTCCATATGTTCAAGAACTAAAAGAAAGAATATGATAAGTTCATTTTAGGAACTTCTAAAAATGCAAAGTACAATGTCTACATTGAAAATACACTGTGGCCGGGCGCGGTGGCTCACACCTGTAATCCCAGCACTTTGGGAAGCCAAGGTGGTTGGATCATCTGAGGTCAGGAGTTCGAGACCAGCCTAGTCAACATGGTGAAACCCCGTCTCTACTAAAAAAAAAAAAAAAATAGCTGGGCATGGTGGCAGGTGCCTGTAATCTCAGCTACGCAGGAGGCTGAGGCACGAGAATCAAGTGAACCTGAGAGGCGGAGGTTGCAGTGAGCTGAGATCGTGCCATCGCACTCCACTCCAGCCTGGGGGACAAGAGCGAGACTTTGTCTCCAAAAAGAAAAAAAAGAAAAGAAAAGAAAAGAAAAATACACAGTATGAAACTAACAACAGATTACACATTGCAGAAAAACAGATTAGCCAATTTGAAGACACATCAATAGCGATTGTCCCAAGTGAAATATAGAGAAAAAAACTGTTGAACAAATGAATAGAGCATTTGGATACTGTGGAACAACTTCAAATTGTCTAATAAAGATTAGCTGGAGTCCCTGAACGGTGAGGGCTGGGGTCAGAGATGGCACAGTGAATACAGAAAAAAATTACATGAAAAAATGATGGAAATTTTCCAAATTGCATAAAAACTATAAATCCATAGATCAAAAAAACTTAATGAACTTCAAGCAGAATAAACATGATAAAACTACACCAGGGGCATCACAACCAAATGGATTAAAGCCACAGTTAAAGCAAACATTGTAAAATGGGTCAGCTTTGGAGCTGACCAACAGGTAATGAGTTCCTCATTAGTGCAGGATTGCAGTGCAACTGTTAAACTTTGACCTGTGGTAAATTACAACAAGATAATAGTAGAAGAGAATGCACCAACAGATACAATATCTCAGGCCTTTGAGAGGTTTTGAGAAATAGTAATTATAAGGATTAAGAAACTGGATGGCTGTTGCCACTCTAAAAATAAGAGATATAGTTATAATAACCGATTTCTTGTTCTTGTCTATTAACTAACATCTATGTCATTTCTGGGTCAGGTTCAGTTGAATTATCTTTCCTCCTAATAGGACATGTTTTCCTCATTTGCTCTATTTTTTATTAGCTACAGGACATGTTGAATTCTACCTTCTTGGATGCTTGTACCATCTGTTACAGCTATTAATTTTTCTTTAATGTAATTGTGTTTATCTGGATGTTTAGTTTATCTGGAGGTTAATTTTATGCCTTGTGTATTTCTAAAAAGATGACTAAGATTTGGTTTTTATCCCCAAAGAACTCATAATCTTGTGGGTTATGAACCTACAAGGAACTAGGACTGATATTTACAAAATGACACAATGAATTCCATAGAATAGCTGTTAATCCTGATGAAGGACATCGAAGGGGTCATACAGCACATTGTGACTGGAAAGAAATCTCTAGCTGAGATTAGACACATGGGCATAAGCACAAGACAGATGCATGGTGAGAGGGTGGGAGTGACATTTCAGATCTGGATCATGAAGCAGTCCTGGGTGACTTGCTGCAGCAAGAAGTTCTAGATAGTGAAAGGTGATGTTTTGAAGGTTTCAGCACAAGTACAAGAGCAGATGAAAGAACACTAGACAAACTTCTCCATTTTTGCACTTATGCAATATGTCACCAAGTTAATTTAGAAGATTCTATTTAGGCAGTGTACAGGTAGATTCTAATTGTAGCATTGAGTTTACTGGCATTTAGACTTGGGTTTCAACTTAGCTCTATTATTTGTAAGATGTATGATAACAGGCAAGCTATTTAGACTCTCTGACCTTGATTTTACTCATCTAAAAAATGGTTATAAACTTCATTCCTCATCTGATTATTGTGACAATTGAGATGCATATTTTAAACAAAAATGAAACAACATAAGACAACGCAATCATTCTTATATGAGAAACCATTACGTAGTCTATATGAAGGTTCAAAAATAGCTTGGCATAAACCGAAGTTGCAAAGAAGAGACTAACAGAATTTTGTATTGAGATGATCTATAAAGATTTCAAATAATTCCAAAAACTTTTAAAAGGATAGAAAATTAATTTGAAGTATAATTTTAAAACATGAGAATTATAAAGAAAAAATAGAGCTTCATGATTATCATAAGGTATACTAGTCTCCCCAAAGAATCTTCATCTTATATACCTTGTGAAGGTTGTTAGATGCCATTCTGTCTTTTGACTTAATTGCTAGTAATTCTTTACATTTATGAAGCTTATTCAATTTTCCACATATTTAAATATCATATCTCACACATGCTATTTATACAAAAAAGTAACATTTAAAAATATATTCTAGTGTTTAAAAATGCAGACAAATTTAATTAGGAGCATGGAGCAGAAGAAAAGTTAGATTTTTTTATTATAAAAGTGTTGATTTTGGAAATATGCAAGTATAAGCACAAGTAAAAAAAATCTCTAATCCTAACTTCCAGAAATAACCACTGACAATATTTTGATGTTACAGAGGCTTCCCATTATGTACGCAATTATTTTATAAATTGAGTATTTGACTTTTTTCACTTAACTATTGTTGTTAACATTTACTAAGGTCACTTAATTGTTTTCTACATGATAAAAATTTTAATAGCTGTGTAGTAAGCCTCACATGGATGTACTTAGCCATTGCCCTCTTACTGGACTTTTAGGTTATTCCTGTATTTAACTAATGTGATTGGAAATACAGTACAGGACAGATGAACAGGAATGGGGAAGTGGAGGCCTGGACTGGCTTTGCATGAGTCATTTCATCTTTCCAAGTTCTAGTTTCCTTACTTAGAAAATTGTCAGGTAAGCTGGGTATGGTGGCTCATGCCTGTAATTCCAGCACTTTGGGAGCTGAAGCAGGAGGATCACTTGAGCCCAAGAGGCGGAGGCTCCAGTGAGCTATGGTTGCAACATGGCACTCCAGCCTGGCAACAGAGCCAGGCCTTGTCTCAAAAAAGAAAAAAAAAAAGAATGGTCAGATGAACTAGATGATGTTCCAGATCCTCATTAGTGCTAGTATAGACACCAGCACTTCCAGAATTAAAGAATACTTTGGTGAGGAATGTCTTGAGTAGGGCATCACTATGGGAAACTGAACAATTTGAGGGTAGTGTAAGGACATATGTATGGTGGGCTTTTCGCCGAATTAAAACAGCAAGAAGTGAGCAGTGGCAGAAGCCTGGGAAACAAAGTAGAAAGGCATCAAAGTATCTCTGATTCTGCCAATCCTTTCCCCTCTAAAAAGGGGAATGCTAAAAAGGATTGACATCCAACCTTGTCATCCCTCTTGACACGAGGCATGTGTTGCTCTCTCAGAGAATGATGCTTTCAAATGTGATTAGGCATTTTACACTGTTTGCATTTGAGCATATTGTCAGCTTCATAACCAAGTTTAAAACACAGTTTTATAATATGCATTAATTTAAAGGCAACTAATTTAAGATAAGTTTGCTTTATCAAGGAGTCGAAAAGATGGAGCTAAAGTTAAAGGCTATAAGAGGAAGAAGAGCATTGGATAATGAAAGCTTCATCTAATAAACAGACTTATCCATTCTTTGATTTAACACAAACTTATTGAACATCTGCTATGTTCAAAGTCCAATTCTAGGGTCTGGAAGGGTTCAAAACAGACAAAATCCTAGTTCTTGTGAACTTACATTCTAGTACAGGGAGAAAGATAATAAACACATAATATGCATGTTGTTATACTATGTCAAAAGTGGGTAAATACTAAATAGGAAAGGGAAATAGGGTAGAGAAAATAGGAAATGGAAAAATTGAGGAGGAAATTGCTATTAATTGCATCAAGGGCATAGGAATGGCCACTCTAATAATGGGACATTTGAAGAAAGATTTGAAGTAAGATTTGAAGTGGGAAAGAGACCAAGCCACCCATACCTCTGAAGGTAAGACCATTCTGGGCAAGGCCAGTAGCAAGTGAAATTTTGAGATAGGAGGGTACATGATGTATACTATGCCTTCATGAAAAGAACAAACAGAGCATGGGGAAAAGTAGTAAAAGATGAATTTAGAGAGGCAGCAGGATGGCAGATCCTATACACCCCTATCAGGAACATGGCCTTTATCCTGAATCAGATGATAGCAATTAGAAAATTTGGGGCAAAGAAGTGACATGATCTAACTTAGGCTTTAAAATGATCTTTCTGGATGATTTGTTGAAAATAGACATAGGTGGCTGCTCAGGATGAGAAGGGCAGAAGCTACAGAAAGTAAGTTAAAATGCTATTGCAGTAATTCAGAGAAATGCAATGTTGGCTACGCTGGGGAAAAGTATAGGAGGGTGAGGACTGGCCTGATTCTTGGTGTATTTTGAAGGTATAGTTAATAGGATTTGCTGATAGATTGGATGTGAGGTATGAGATAAAATGAGATAAAGGAAGAGTCAAGGTGACAGCAAGGATTTTGGCCTGAGTAACTGAAAGAATGCAATTGCCATCTGCTTAAATGAGAGACTTTGAGAGCATAGGCTATGGCAGAAAATGAGGAGTTTAGATTTTAACATTTTAGTTTTGAGATGCCTATTAGTAACCCAAGCAGAAATCTCATGAAGGTAGTTGGATATATGAGCCTGGAGTTCAGGGCATAGATCTGAGCTAGAGATGGAAATTTGGGGATTATCATCATAAATTAAATTCCCTAAATAACTTTACCAATGCTATAAAATATATTTTTATTTTTATAAGAACCTGGGGGAAAATTCAAGTCAGAAAATGATTAATAGGGATTTAGGCTTAATTTCTTCATGCAAGTAAAGACACTGTGATTATTATTTTTAAATCAATCCTTGCTGCTTAGATGAAATTATACTTTAAAAATGTCTTTTATTGCTTTAGATGACTACTCTAGCTTATTAAAAACATAGCTCTAATATTCTCCCTCTACACAGAGCAACTGTTAAATGAAATTTGTCCTCGAAAGGAAGAAGGTTTCATAAGCAATTATTGGATTTTAGACTTACGATCTCATTTCATCTAGGACCTCATTACAAACAAGGGGAAAAGAAAACAGAAGTTCAAAAGGTGAAGTGACATGCCCAAAGTCATACAACTAGTGGACTTATTAATTATTTAATGCAAGAGTTATTTACTGAGTACTATGTGCAGGGTCACGTTCTAAAGCAGTTAACCATAAAGACTGCCCCGTGGAATTTACAATCCCTTTAAAAGAGGGGAAACTAGAAATAAAAAACCATGCAAATGTATAATATGACAGTTAGTTGATAAGTGTCATGAAGAAAAATGAATCAGGATAAAAGTAGGGTGATAGGTAATTTATTGTCTAAATAGGGACATGTTTTTAGAACAAAAGGAACTGAAAACTAGACAGGATGCCAGGTCAGCAGGCATAAGCTGGGACATCCTGTACAAACTTAAATGTAAGGTCACCCAGATAAACTGGATGATGGAAGGAGGTACAGAGGAGATGACTTAGGTTTATTTCATATAAAGTGGTCAGAAGTAAAAGGCTATAGTGACATTTGTGGAGAGACCTGAAGACAGTGATAAAAGGGGACATGTATATATTTGGGGTAGACCTTTACAGGTGAAGGAGGTAACAGTGACAAGTTAAACACCTAATGAAGCAGTGGCCATTACTCTTGAATGTTTGTCAGTGTCAGGTAGGGTGTCAGACAGGTGAAAATGTGTCCATTCAGTTACAGCAAGTTCTTGTTTGCTACATGTCCCACTCATCAACATGACCAACAGCAGTCCCAGTTCTATCATCAGATGGTTGGCCATGGTAGCTACCCTAGGCAACAGCTTCCCATAGACCTCTCCATGAACTTCCTCTTCTTGGTCCTACTACAGTCACTGGATGTGCTTGGTTTCTCAGATTCTCTTGAAGGATCTTACTTGTCCACCTGCACCAACCTTTCAGGTAAACTCATTAGTGACTCTGATCCAACAACTCTCCGATTTACTCCATCTACTCTCACTTGAGTATAAAATCTAATGCATTTAATAAATCCCTTATTCTAATAACACTCACTGAAGCTCTGCTTCCCTGACCAAGCCTTGATTACTATATTTACTGGCACCTCATCTGCACTTGAATCTGATTTAGAGAACTAGATCCTAGACTTTGAGTCTGATGCCATTATTGATATGAAACTGGAATGAGGATGATTATATTTTTCATGTGAGAATAACAAAAGCAATTTGCGGTCAAAGAGAAGACTGCAAAAAGGCCTCACATACTTCCTATCTCTATAGCAATGTTCCTGCCCAATGGGACTTTTCAGTTCCTCCTATAAAGATGGAGTCTATTTCTACACCTTCTAAATATGTTCCTAGACACATGACTTTCTTTGGCTACTGAGACACTAGCAAACATAACCCAAGTAGAGATATACAAAATGAAAATGTACAGGAGCTTGCCTTTTCTTGCTGATTTTGTAAGCTAGCTAGCATGTGGATGAGCCCTGCTAGCTTCTGAAATACACAAGGCCAAGTCATGACCATCATTTCACTTAATAATAAGTTAAACCATCAAATATACAAGTGAGGCTAGCCTTGGCCATTCAGCTCCAATGAACTGGATAGATCAGTGTTATTTTACGGAAGAGAGTTATTATGAAACATGAACTAACCAATATAAATATCAGTGTCGGAGAGGATGCCAAGCAACTGCAACTCTTATCCTACTGGTGATGGAAAACTGTTTAGTAGTTACTTGTAAAGTTAAGCACACACCTACCCTAAGATCCAGCAATTCTAGTCTTAGGTATTTACCTAAGAAAACTGGTAACATATGCTTATACAAAGATTTGTACACACACAGCAGCTTTATTTATAGCAAAAATTGGAAATAACCCAAGTGCCAATCAACAAACAGAAGAATAAACAAATTGTGATATATTCAGCAGTACCATTTGGGAACAAAATAACTACAGATACATACATGGATAAATTATAAAAACATTAGCTGGAGTGAATGAAGCAAGACAAGAATACTTATTCTGTGTGTTGGTCAATGTTCTCCAAAGAAACAGAATCAATAGGATACATATAGGTATATAAGAGAGGATATACTATGAAAATTTTCTCACGTGGTTAGGGAGGCGTGAAAGTCCCATGATATGTCATTTGTAAGCTGTGGAACCAGGAAAGCTAGTGGTGTGATTCAGTCAGTCTGAAGGCCTGAGAACTGGAGTGTTGGCAGGGGTATGCTGTGTAAGCCCTAGAGTCTGAAGTCTTGAGAAATAGGAACTCAAATATCTGAGGCTAGGAGTAGATGGGTGTCCCAGCTAAAGAAGATGGATGTCCTCTGACTTTTTGTTCTATATAATCAAGCCCTTAATGGAGTGGACAATGCCCACCTACATTGGGGATGGCCATCTGCCTTAGTCAGTTCAAGAATTCAAATGCTAATCTCTTCCAGAAATTCCCTCACAGACACATCCAGAAATATTGTTTTACCAGCTATCTGGACATCCCTTAGCCCAGTCGAGTTGACATATGAAATTAACCATAGCATTATGTAGTCACATCATTTCCCAGGGGAAATATATAAGGAAAGAGAAGCAAGGGAGAAATGGTATAAGCAAGGGTATGGTTAAAAGGATAAGCTATGGAATCTAAGTTGGTTGTGGAGAAAAACTGAGGACCTGAGAGACTGATGAACGGTAAATTGGAGGTAGGATCTATATATTATAGGTTCTGGATGGATTAAAATAGAGCTAGGACAAGAAGAGGCTTCGATGCCTGAAATTGTCACCTAATTTTTTGTATCAACTGAAGAATCACAAGATCTATAAACTTGGAGAGGAGAGCTTTATTTCTTATGAAGAGTTACAGCCTTCAGGGTGGCCATGCTGACAGGCTTGGAAGCACAGCCTGAAGCAGAGACAGAAAGCAGGCACTTCAGAGAAAAAAAAGTGAAAGGCTGAGATTTATGCCCTATGAATTGGTGAGGTATACATATTTAACAAGTTATAGGTGAAAATGAATATTCATGAAGGGGAGAGATGCATGAAAATGCAGTAAGCAAACATGCATGTTACATGTGTCCCATGTTCAATGCTTAGGGTGGAGACCTAGCATTTAAATTCATTACAGTTAGGTCCTATGTGTGCAAAGGTGGAGCCAAAGACACAAAGGCACCGCGTTCAACCACTGTAAAGTGGTCAGCACCAGTCCATGGTCAGTGTCTCTTATCAGGAGAAAGTTATTGAAATCAATCTCTTGTTCAATCAAAGCTGTAGTTACGGCTTGTGGATCACGTGGCTCAGTTAGCATATGGTGGTCAGTGAGCTGCAATTGTTTGAATGTTGCTTATCTTGAGGCCAGTGCTTCAGTGCTTGTTTAGTTGCTGGAGAAAAAGAGAAAAACAAACAAACAAAAACCTTGCGCATACTTTATTCCTTTTTTTTTTTTTTTTGAGACAGAGTCTTGCTCTGCCACCCAGGCTGGAGTACAGTGGCGTGATCTCGGCTCACTGCAACCTCCACCTCCTGGATTCAAGCAATTCTCCTGCCTCGGCCTCCCAAGTGGCTGGGATTACAGGCGTGAGCCACCGTGCCTGGATTATTTTTGTACTTTTTAGTAGAGACGGGGTTTCACCATGTTGGCCAGGCCAGTCTCAAACTCTGGGCCTCATGATCCACACAACTCGGCTTCCCAAAGTCTGGGATTACAGGCATGAGCTGCCACGCCCGGCCAGAACATACTTTATTCTTTAAGAGTAGGGGTGTGTGACCTAACCCTTGCCTGGTATGGCCTTAGGTCTTGTTTATAGTTTGATATCTTATTGCCACAAAGAGTCTGTTCTGTCAGTCTTATGATCTCTGTTTCAACATTTGTATAATTATCTTTTATCATCTCTCCCCAATAGTTCATGGTTTATGTTCCAACTAAATATCAGTTAACTTCGGAGGCCTTATGAATAAAGCAAGCAGACACCACAATTGACCAAATGATCAACTTTGGGCCTCAGAAAAGTGTAATAAAATAATTTTCAAAATTGACAGAAAAAACACAAAATTACTAACAGCAAAATTATTAAGAATGACAATACAATTATTTTAGCTTAAAAAGCCTTCTCCATAAATATCCCTTGTATATATGATCATTTATTTTGAAGAAAAATCCTTCCATGTAAACAGGACAAGAATAGTTATTTTTTTTTCTTGAGTCATATATTGAGGCAAGTGTGTTGACAACTTGCTCAAAATAACATAGCTAGTAGTTTTTTCTCAAAGCTTCCCCTAGAAGACAGGTTTCCTAACTCTGTTTCTCAGTGAAGTTGATTGAAAAACTTGTTTAATCAACCCACAGAAGCACATGTTTACATGTAACTCAACCCTAAGATCTGAGATAAAATCCAACAAACTAACAGTGACAAACCAATGCAATTTCATATCACTGATTCATTACGACCAAATATGGATAGAAATATTCAGGCACCTAATACCACAACTAACTCAACATATAGAGGTTTCTATTTATAGTTTATTGAAGCTAAGAAACCTTTTTAGGGTGACTAGGCTTGTTGTCTTTTGGAGTTTTTCTTTTTGCTTTTTTTTTGCTTTAATCTATTTTAAAAACATATCGATGAGAACATAAAAGTTTAATGTCAAAATATTTAAATTCTTGGCATTCTTCTGCTCTCATTAAAAACAGGCAATCTTTACTAAGGTAAGGTTCTGAATACAGTTGATCCTTCAACAAAACAGAATTGAATTGCACAGGTCAACTTAGACGTGGACTGTTTTCAACCAACTGCTTATCAAAAATATGGTATTTGTGAGATGTGAAACCTGCATATGGGAAGGGATGACTTTTCATATAGGTGGGCTCCACAGGGCTGTTACCGAGCAATCAATGCCCATAGAGACTAATACAATCTAATGACCATTAGATTGCAGGCACAACTGTTACTATAGATCAAATTTACTAATTTTCTATTCATTCTGTCATCTATAATACTTAGCTTTTAACAAAACTTGATATAATCTTCATGCAAAATGCACATTTTGATTAGCTATTGCTCTATCACAAAGCAGCCAAAAGTTAATAGCTTAAAGCAATCATTTTATTATTCTCCACAGTTCTGTGTGTTGACTGGAATCACCTGGGAAGTTTTAGTCCTGTGATACCACCTGGAACCACAGTAAGCATCTGGGAGCATCTGGAGGCTCTATTTGGCTGAATATCCCACATGGCTCACTCACAGGGCTGTCTGTTGATGCTGGATGAAGGCTGGCGGCTCTCGGTGGGGCTTGTGTCCACAGCACCTACACATGCTCTCACAGCTTGATGGCAGGGTATCCAGAGGGCAGAAGCAAAGGCTGCCAGTCGGTCTTCTAAACGGCTAAGCCTAGAACTGGCACAGTGCCACTTTTGCTGCAATCTATTGCTTAAGCAGCCACAGGGCCAGATTAGATTCTAGCTAAGGGAAAATAAATATCACTTCCCAAAAAGGAGAGTTACAAGAAATTGTGGCCATCTGCTATGGACTTAATTGTGTCCTCACAAAATTCATATGAAATCCTAACTCCTAATGTTATGGCATTTGGAGATGGCGCCTTTGGGAGGCTATTAGGTTTAGAAGAGGCCATAGGGTGGGGCCCTTATGGTGTGATTAGTGCCTTTATAAGAAGAAACACCAGAATGGGCACTCTCTCTCTCCCCTGCATGTGAGGACAGAGTGAGGACACAGCAAGAAGATGATCATCTGCAAGCCAAGAAGAGGGGTCTCACCAGAATCCTATAATGCTGGCACCCTGATATTTTACTTTCCACCTTCCATAAATGTGAGAAATAAATGTCTAGGCCACCCAGTCTACGGTATTTTGTTATCTTGAACTGACTAATACACCCTCCAAATTTTTTATCAATTAACAAAGCTATGGATTTCATACAAATTGCTTTTGGCAAAAATATAGTTTATGTCTTTAATTTCTTCAATGTTTATCTCAATAACAAATGACAAATGATTCCACAGGTATGATTGGATTGTAAGAAATCCACATTCTATGCTTTTCTTTAATGGTAATTATTTACTTCTTTCTGTAGGGTACAACTTTAAAAGTAAAACTTTACTAACCATATTTGTTCCTTCATGACAGGTTTTTTTTTTCCCATTTACTTATGTGAAATTAAAGTCAGAGCTGACAGAATTTCTTTCGAATCATAAAGCAACAACTCTCTACCACCAGGTCATGTTTTTCTCTCCAGTCATCAGCTACATCCCACACAGAGCATTAAATGTGAACCAGAATGACCTCTTTCATTATTTATTCCCAATTTCTAGCCTCTGCATGGTAAAATTATAACTGAGTGGGAAGCAATTTCTGCTTAGTTCAAGAATCTGTTGAAGTCATTCAAGTAACTTACCCATAGCAACAGAAAGAAGCTACATGTAATATTTGCAGTTTAATACTGAGCTCTGCAAATTGCCAAAAAAAATAACCTTTTTTCCATAAAGATGAGAGGTTCAAGTCTCAGAGTAGGTATACTTCCAGATGAGCCAACTTTATTTTTCACATATTATGAAAGTTCATTTCGCATCCTGCTCAAATAAGATGATTTCAGAATATTTTCAGTAAAATTTTAGTAGATGTAGATTGGTGCCATTAAGTAAATGTTTATTGCTAATATTTTCTTGCATTCCCACTTCACATTATTATTTGAAAAAAAATTTATCCTTAAACTATGAACCTGGAAATGGACCAATGAGTAATATGTTTTAAGATAATAAAATTTTCAATTAATTTTTATCTGCATTTCAGTTAACATTGGTTTTTCAACAAAATGAGCATTTTCCCTGGATTTGATCAAATAATGTTATAATAAATATCATGCAAAAAATATAGGCACTATCAGGCATATTAGCTCAGTTACCTCATCAGTAGTTTTCAGCCAACTAATTGCATCATCTGCAAGCAATTATTATTGATTATTAACATATCTCATGTTACTTAATAATTAAGATTTTTTTCTTCATTCACATTCCCTTTTCACACACAGTATCTTCTTTCCTATTTTGCTTGAACATCTCTTATATGAACAGAACCGGCAGTCCTATATCTCTTTTAAGTCATATGGTTTGTTTTCCACTAAAGAGAAGTGATTTTATCACTTTATCACTTCTCTTTCCTCACAGTTTTTCTGCCTCTAGCAAGTAAATATTATTTTACTCAGGGCTATAATTACTTTCTGCATGTAAAAAGTGTTAACAAAATGCTGAACTTTTCATAGCCCCCAACATACTTGTTTTATTGTCAATGATAATTTCATGTCACTTTTCTTTACAGTTTTCTGTTCTCTAAATATGTCTTCTGTCCTTTCATCATGTTGATTTCTTGGTGAGACCCAGAAATCTCTGTGCTAGTAAGTGAAACAGAAGGATTACTGAATTTATTATTAACATGCCATGCTGTCAAACATTGTTCCTGCATGTCCAAATGCCTGAAATACGAGACTCAGAGTAGTACACTTAATATCACAAATATATTTTTTAAGGTTTTGCAAAGCAGAATATAAGTCAAGGAAAAATTATTTTTTTCAGTAGTGTCTTCGAAAAGGAATTTTTATAGTATTCTCTGATGGTAGTTTGTATTTTGGTGGGATCAGTGGTGATATCTCCTTTGTCATTTTTTATTATGTCTATTTGATTCTTCTCTCTTTTCTTCTTTATGATTCTCTAGCTAGCAGTCTATCTATTTTGTCAATCTTTCCAAAAAACCAGCTCCTGGATTCATTGATTTTTTGAAGGGTTTTTCATGTATCTATCTCCTTCAGTTCTGCTCTGATCTTAGCTATTTTTTTTCTTCTGCTAGCTTTAGAATTTATTTGCTCTTGCTTCTCTAATTCTTTTCATTGTGATGTTAGAGTGTCAATTTTAGATCTTTCCCACTTTCTCCTGTAGGCATTCAGAGTGAACAGACAACCTACAGAATGGGAGAAAATTTTTGCAATCTATCCATCTGACAAATGGCTAATATCCTGAATCTACAAAAAACTCCAACAAATTTATAAGAAAAAAACAAACAACCCCATCAAAAAGTGGGTGAAGGATACAAACAGACACTTCTCAAAAGAAGACATTTATGTGGCCAAAAAAATATGAAAAAAAACTCATCATCACTGGTCATTAGAGAAATGCAAATCAAAACCACAATGAGATACCATCTCATGCCAGTTAGAATGGCGATCATTAAAAAGTCAGGAAACAACAGATGCTGGAGAGGATGTGAAGAAATAGGAACACTTTTACACTGTTGGTGGGAGTGTAAATTAGTTCAACCACTGTGGAAGACAGTGTGGCAATTCCTCAAGGATCTAGAACCAGAAATACCATTTGACCCAGCCATCCCATTACTGGATATATACCCAAAGGACACATGCACACGTATGTTTATTGCAGCACTATTCACAATATCAAAGACTTGGAACCAACCCAGATGCCCATCAATGACAGACTGGATAAAGAAAATGTTGCACATATACACCATGGAATACTATGCAGCCATAAAAAGAATGAGTTCATGTCCTTTGTAGGGACATAGATGAAGCTGGAAACCATCATTCTCAGCAAACTAACACAGGAACAGAGAACAAAACACCACATGTTCTCACTCATAAGTGGGAGCTGAACAATGAGAACACATGGACACAGGGAGGGGAACACCACACACTGGGCCTGTTTGGGGGTGGGGGGTTGGGGAGGGATAGCATTGGGAGAAATACCTAATGTAGATGATGGGTTGACAGGTGCAGCAAACCACCATGGCAGGTGTACACTTATGTAACAAACCTGTACTTTCTGCACATGTATCCCAGAACTTAATGTATAACAATAAATAAATAAATAAAAGGATTTTTTTGCTACAATGCATAGCTCGAAAACTTTAAAAATTTATCTTCTTGAATTACTGAAAATGGTGGAATCTCATAGCAATCTTCAGATTATCCTTTAAATTCTGTTTCTATAGACTCGAAACTAGACCGATTGTCTTGTTAGAAATGTAACATGGCATTCTAGCCAAGACTTTGTTTGAGAAGTTTAATTTTAAAAAGTGTTACGAATACTTAATTTTTCTCTGAAACATTATTTTTATTATTTAGATTATTATGTCTGGCTTGAAGATTATCTATCACAGATGTTGTTTTATAGGATTTTAGAGTCTGTCATGTTGCTCCCTTAAGAGGCAAAATTAACATTCTCGTTTTAATTTACTTAAGATTTGAAAATTTCCCAAATGAGACTTTTTTTGAAACACCCTTTTACTAAATTGAATCAAACAACTAAAATTGAAATTCAGCTTTTAAAGAATAATTGGTTAATGTTATGAACACTAACTAGTTCATTAAATAATTCTGCAATCATTAGGAATTTGAATTTGTGAAATCACCTCTACTATTAACTATGTTCTTGGGTTCAGACAAATCATGAAAGAAAATAGGTTTTATTTGGCATCAAGCTTGTCTAACTTTATGACAAGTAACAACACAGAATGCTTACAAAAGCATTGCAATGGTCTTGTAATTACCAGTTACAGTTTTCAACACCCTAGTCACTCAGTACTCACAAGGTCCTAAGAGAGCTGGCTGATTTTTGTCCTTGCGATAGTTTGCTGAGAATGCTGGTTTCCAGCTTCATCTATGTCCCTACAAAGGACATTAACTCATCATTTTTTTATGGCTGCATAGTATTCCATGGTGTATATGTGCCACATTTTCTTAATCCAGTCTATCATTGTTGGACATTTGGGTTGGTTCCAAAAAACCAAACACAGCATGTTCTCACTCATAGGTGGGAATTGAACAATGAGAACACATGGACACAGGAAGGGGAACATCACACACCGAGGACAGTTGTGGGGTTGTGGGGAGGGGGGAGGAATAGCATTAGGAGATATACCTAATGCTAAATGATGAGTTAATGGGTGCAGCACACCAACATGGCACATGTATACATATGTAACAAACCTGCACGTTGTGCACATGTACCCTAAAACTTAAAGTATAATAATAATAAAATAAAATAAAAAAGAGAGGTGGCTGAGTGAGTAAGCACCATCTTGCCTGAGACAGCTCCTTCAGTTTTGATTCACACCAAGTCATGTGGCCCCTCTTATGTACTTTACATAGGCTCTAGCCCAAGCTTGAATGAGGCTGCTACATCAATGCTTGTGGTTCCTTACTTCCTGAAGAATATGGACAATGATGTACAGTTGCTTGGTTTAGTGCATTAGTCCTCAGCCTGGTTCTGACTCATCTTGGATCTGGTATAGGCACACTCCTAAATAATTTCCTGTGTTAGTGTTTTAAGGAGTATTTGACCAAGGGTGAAATGAAGTGTCACTAAGGCTGGAAAAAAAGGCTACCAAAGAAGTTGTACCTTTGCTTCCAACAATCTAGTCGGTCTTATATTTAATTTTGATAAACTTTATATTGATAATTATTCTGCCTTACAAGCAGAATAATTATTCTGCCATTTTTATAAATACTTGTTATTTTAAAAAGGACTACTTCTATCTAGCCTTCTAATATTTGTATTAACGGTCAATCTATTTCTATATTTAACTGAAGGGTATTTACTAACAACTGTTTTTGTACATAAAATTGTTTTCACAATAATTAGTTATGAGATTTTTTAAGAAGATAAAATAGAAGCAAGTTTATACTAAAAAAGGAGCTGAATAAAAACCATAAATATTCTTAACTGGTATATAACCTAGCTTTTGTTAATAATCTATGGTTGTTTGCGAAAATATAGTTTAGCTTGACAAGTCCTACTTGTCTATTTTGGATTTGTTGCCTGCACTTTTGTGTCAAATTCAAGAAATTGTTGCCAACACTAATGTCAACGCCCTTTTCCCCTATTTTTTTGAGTAGTTTTAGAGTGTCAGGTCTTCTATTTAAGTCTCTAATTGATTTTGAGTTGATTTTTTAAAATGGTATAAGAGAAGGGTCCAATTTTATTCTTTTGCATGTGGATATACAATTTTACCAACACCATGCATTGAAGACACTATCTTTTCTCCATTGTGTGTTCTTGACACCCTTGTCAAAGATCAGTTGATGGTATAGGCATAGGTTTATTTCTGGGCCATTAAGTAAATTGATTTATTTATTGTTTTAATTGACATATTGTAACTGCACATATTTATGGGGTATGTGATGTTTTTATACATATTAATGTTGTATAATAATCCATCAGGGTAGTTGGTATATCCATCACCTCCTGCATTTATCATTGCTCTGGGGTGAGAACATTCAAAAGCCTCTCCTCTAACTATTTTGTAATACACACTATTTTACTGTTAACCATAGTCACCCTACTGAGCACTAGCATGCTAGAATTTATTTCTGTCTAATTATAACTGACAGCACTCCCAATTCTCCCCCCTCCCTCCTCTCTTCAGTCTCTGGTAACCACTGTTCTACTCTCTGCTTCTAGCATATCGACATATTACTTTTTAGATTCCACATGTGAGTGATATCATGTGATATGTACTACAAATTCATCCGTGTTATTGCATATGATGAGCTTTTATTATTTTACAGCTGAACAGTATTTCATTGTGTATATATACCACATTTTCTGTAACCATTCATCTGTTGTTGGACGCAGGTTGATTCTATGTCTTTCTTATTGTAAATACTGCTGCAATAAACATGGGAGAGCAGTTATCTCTTTTATATACTGATTTCATTTCTTTTAAATACATACCAATTAGTGGGATGGCTAATATGGTAGTTATTCAATTTCTAAAAGAAACTCAATACTGTTTTCCATATGGTTTTACTAGTTTACAATCCCACTAGCAGTGTGTAAGGGTTCCTTTTTCTCCGCATCTTCACCAACATTGTTTCCTTTTGTCTTTTTGAAAATAGCCATTCTAATTGGGGTGAGGTTGTATCTCCTCATGGTTTTGATTTACATTTTTCTGATAATTAGTGATGTTGAACATTTTTTCATATACCTGTTGGCCATTTATATGTCATCTCCAAAATGTCTAATAATGTCTTCCATACATTTCTAAAATCAGGTTATTTTGTTGTCATTGTTGTTAAGTTCTTTATATATTCTGGATATTAACCCCTTGTCAGACGTATAGTTTGCAAATATTTTCTCCCATTCTGTAAGTTGTCTCTTCACTTGATTAATGGATTCATTTTCTAGGAAAAATCTTTTTAGTTTGATGTAATTCAATTTGTCTATTTTTGCTTTTGTTGCCTGTAAGCACAAAAATTAAGATAGCCAGAAATAACCCTAACTAAGGAGGTGAATGATATGTACACTGAAAATTATGAAACTTTGATGCAAGAAATTGAAGAGGACACAAATAAGTGGAAAGATACTTCATATTCATGGATTCGAAGAACTAATATTATTAAAACAGCCATAGTAGACAAAGAGATCTACAGATTTAATGCAATCTGTATCAAAATACCAATGACATTCTTCACAGAAATTGAAATAAAAACAATTTAAATTCATATAGAGCCCCTAAAAACTTCAAATACAAAAGCAATACTGAGCAAAAAGAACAAAGCTGGAGGCATCACACTACCTGATTTCAAAATACGGTACAAAGCTCTTGTAATCAAAACGGTATGGAACTGGCATAAAAAACAGACACATAGACCAATGGAACAGAATACAGAGCCCAGGAATATGTATTATTTACACATTCTTGGCTAGGCATGGTGGTTCACACCTGTAATCCCAGAACTTTTGGGAGGCCAAGGCAGGTGGATTGCTTCAACACAGGAGTTAGAGACCAGCCTGAGAAACATGATGAAACCCTGTCTCTAATAAAAATACAAAAAATTAACCAGGGGTGGTGGCATGTAACTGTAGTCCCAGATACTTGGGAGGCTGAGGCAGGAGGATCATCTGAGCCTGAGAAGTCGAGGCTGCAGCAAGCCATGATTGTTTCACTACACTCCCACTTAGGCAACAGGAGTGAGATCCTATCTCAAAAATAAATAAATAAAAATTGGTGACCAACCCAATATCATGAAGGGTTTCACCTAGTTTTCTTGTGGTAGTTTCATATTTTCAAGTTTCTCATTTAAGTATTTCATTCATTTTGGGTTGATTTTTATATATGGTGAGAGATAGAGGTCTAGTCTCATTCATCTGCATGTGGATATCCAATTTTACCAGCACCATTTATTGAAGAGACTGCCTTTTCCCCAATGTGTGCTCTTGGCACCTTTGTGAAAAATGAGTTGGCTATAGGTGCATACATTTGTTTCTGGGGTCTCCATTCTGTTGCATTGGCCTATTTTTCTGTTTTTATTCCAGTACCCTACTGTTTTGGTTACTATAGCTTCGACATATATTTTGAAGTCAGGTAGTGTGATGCCTCCAGCTTTATTCTTTTTGCTCAGCATTTCTTGGATATTTGGAGTTTAATGGTTCCATATGAATTTTAGGATTGCTTTTTTTCTATTTCTGTGAAGAATGTCATTGGTACTTTGATAGAGATTACATTAAATCTGTAGATTTATTTGGCTAGTATGGCCATATTAACAATATTAATTCTTTCAATCCATCAGTTTGGGATATCTTCTCATTTATTTGTGTCCTCTTCAGTTTCTTTCATCGAAGTTTTATAGTTTTCACCTCCTTTGTTGAGTTTATTCCTAGCTATCTTTTTTATAGGTATTATAAATGTAATTATCTTTTTTATTTCTTTTTCAAATGGTTCACTATTGGCATATAGAAACACTATTAATGTTTTTAAAATTATTTTAATATTTTTAAAAAATTTCTGTAGAGATGGGGTATTGCTATGTTGCCCAGGCTGGTCTCAAATTCCTGGCCTCAAGAGATCCTCCTGCCTTGGCCTCACAAAGTGCCAGGATTACAGGAATAAGCCACTGCACCTGGCTAATAATTTTTGAATGTTGATTTTGTATACTGCAACTTTACTAAATTCATTTATTAGTTTTAACAGTTTTTGGTGGATTCTTTAGGGTTTCCTATATTTAAGATAATGTAATCTGCAAACAGGGACAATTTGACTTCCTCATTTTCAATTTGGATGACTTTATTTCTTTCTCTTGCCTAACTGCTCTGGCTAGAACTTCCATTAATATGTTGAATAAAAGTGGTAAAAGTGGGCATTCTTTTATTCCTCATCCTAGAAAAAAATCTTTCAGCTTTTCCTGTTCAGTGTAATGTTAGTTGTGGGTTTGTCATATATGGCATTTATTGTGTTGAGTTACATACCGTCTATACCTAATTTGTTAAGAGTTTTTATCATGAAGAGATGTTGAATTTCGTCAAATGCTTTTGTTTCATATACTGAATTGATCATATGGTTTTGGTCTTTCTTTCTGTTAATGTGGTTTTGTCACATTTATTGATTTGTATGTATTCAAACATCCTTGCATCTCTGGAATGATTCCCATTTGATCATAGTAAATGATCTTTTTAATGTACTGTTATATTCAATTTGCTAGGTCTTATCCAGAATTTTTGCATCTATGTTCATCAGGGATATTGGCCTGTAGTTTTTCTTTTTCATTGTGTCCTCAACCAGTTTTGAAATAAAGTTAATACTGGCCTCATAAAATAAGTTTGGAAATATTCTCTCCTCTTAAATAATCTGGAATAGTTTGAGAAGAATGGATATTAGTTCTTTTTTAAATGTTTGGTAGAACTAAGCTGTGAAGCTATTAGGTCCTGGGCTTTTCTTTGATGGAAGACTTTTTATTAATGATTCAGTTTCGTCACTCGTTACTACTTCGTTCAGTTTTTCTATTTCTTCATAATTTAATCTTGGTAGTCTGTATGTATCCAGGAATTTATTCATTTCTTCTAAGTTATCAAATTTGTTGGTGTATAGTCATATATAAGTCTCTTATGATCCTCTGTATTTCTGTGCTATCAGTTGTAATGTCTCCTTTTTATCTCTGATTTTATCTATTTGAGTTTCTCTTTTTTTTTCTTAGTCTAGGTAAACGTTTGTCAATTCGCTTTGTCTTTTCAAAAAAACCTTTCTCTTCATTTCATTGATTTTTGAATTTTTTGTCTCGATTTTGTTAATTTCTTCTCTGAGCTTTGTTTTTTTTTTAATTCTACCAACGTTGGATTTAGTTTGTGGTTGTTTTTCTAGTTTCTTGAGGTGCACTGTTAGGTTGCTTATTAAAATATAGATAGATGATAGATAGATAGATGATAGATAGATGATAGATAGATAGATAGATAGATAGATAGATAGATAGATAGATAGATAGATGTAGGTATTTATTGCTGCAAACTTCTCTCTTAAAACTGCTTTTGTTGTCTCATAGGTTTTGGTATAATTTGTTTCCAGAGTTTTCTGTCTCAAGGAAATTTTTAATTTATCTTTTTTTTTCATTGACCCATTGGTTTTTTAGCAGCCATGTTGTTTAATTTCCATGTATTTGTAAAATTTCCAAAATTGTTATTGTTGCTGATTTCTAGTTTTATGTCATTGTGGTCATAAAAGATATTTGACACAATCTCTATTTTCTTAAACTTGTAAAGATTCGCTTTGTGGCCTAACATGTGATCTAACGTGGAGAATGTTGATGTGCAGTTGAGAAAAATGTGTATTCTGCAGCGGTTGGAGGAAATGTTACGTAAATATCTGTTGGGTCCATTTAATCTAGAGTGCAGTATAACTCTGATGTTTCGTAGTTGATTTTTTGTCTAGGTGATCTGTCTGTCCATTGTTAAAGTAGGGTCTCAAAGTCCCCTGCTATTATTGTATTGCAGTCTATCTCTCCTTTTAGATCTAATAATATTTGCTTTATATATCTGGATCCTCCAGTATTGAGTGCATATATATTTTTACAATTGTTATATCCTCTTGTTGAATTGATCCCTTTATATAAGGTCATTATCCTTATATAATGACCTTGTCTCTTTTTACAGTTTTGACTTCAAGTCTGTTTTATCTCATGAAAGTATGGCCACCCTTGCTTACTTTTTGTTTACATTTGCATGGAATATCCTTTTCCATCCCTTCACTTTAAGTCTTTAATGTTTGTCTTTAATGGTGAAGTAGTCTCCTGAAGCTAGCATGTACTTGGGTCCTGTTTATTTGTTTTTAATCCATTCAGTCACTCTATATCTTTTAATTGTACAATTTAATTCATTTACCCGAGGTAATTTTTGATCGGTAAGCATTTACTCCTGACATTTTAAAAATTGTTTCCTGACTGTCTTATAGATCAATTGTTCCTTCTTTTCTTATTAAGCTCTGAGGTTTGGTGGTTTTCTGTGCTGCTATGCTTTCTTTCCTCTTTCTGGTTTGTTGCTGTAATTTCTTTCTTTATGATTGCCATGAGGTTAGCATAAAGACTCCTGTAGTTATACTAGACTATTTAAGCTGATGGCCGCTTAATTTTTGTATCATAAAAATACTCTAGAGTTTTTACTACCCCCACAATATATATTTTTGTTATCTTAATTTGTTTATTATGCATTCCTTAGCCACTAATTGTAGCTAGTGTTATTTTTGACCATTTTGACTTTAAACCTTCATACTAGAGGATTGAGAGATTTACATAGCACCATTATATCACTGGTGTATTATCAGTTTGATTTATTAATTTACGTCTTATGGTGAATTTTATACTTTTACATGTTTTTTTTTATTCCATAACCTGTAACATACTTTTCACATGCTTTAATGATAGTAATTATCATTCTTTTCTTTCCATTTGTAACACTTCCTTAAGTATTTACTGAGAGGCCAGTCTATTGGTGATGAATTCCCTCAGACTTGCTTGTCTGGGAATGTCTATTTTTCCTCCATTTCTGAAGAATAGCTTTGTTGAATATAATATCTTAGCTGACAGTTTTTTTTATTTTCAGCACTTTGAATATACCATCCTATTCTCTATTCTGCTGAGAAATCTGCTAATAGTCTAATGAAAATTCCCTTAAAGGTGACTTGACACTTTTCTCTTTCAGCTTTTAAAATTCTATCTTTGACTTTTGATGGTTTTATTATAATGGGCCTTAGAAGGGTTTTTTGAAATTGAATTTAATTGGGGACCCTTGAGATTTCTGAATATTAATGTTCATATCTCTCTCAATACTTGGAAAGTTTTCAGCTATTATTTCATTAAAAAGGTCTTCTGTGACTTTCCCCATCTCTTCTCTGTCTGGAAATGCTATACTGCAAAATTTATTTGCATAATGATGTCTCATAAGTCCCACAGGTTTTCTTTATTATTTTTATTTCTACTTCTTTTTGTTTCTTTAAATTATGGTCTTCATGTTCAAAAATTATTTATTTTGCTTGATGTAGTCTGTTGAAGCTCTCAGTTGTATTTTTTTAATTAATTCATTAAATTCTTTGGCCCCAAAATTTCTGTTTGGCTCTTTTTTAAAAATATCTGTCTCTGTCAAATGTCTCACTCAGATCATGTTTTCCTTATTTTATTGAATTGTTTGTGTTCTCTTGTAGCTCTCTTAGCTTACTTAAAATTATTATTTAGAATTGTTTTTCAGGCATTTGGTAAATGTTCTTTTCTTTGGGGTCTGTTACTTGAGACTTATGTGTTTCTTTGGGGGTGTCATGTTTCCTGCTTTTTTATGTTTCTTGTGTTCCTATGTAGATATCTGCATATCTAGTGGAATAGTCACCCTTATTAATTTTATAGTGTAGTTTTCATGGGGAGAGACTTTTTTTTTTGTAGATGGGACCTTGAGTGTTCGTTTAATATAGTGTAATGGCTTTGTTTTTGGGTGTATAGTGTGTTTTCCATGCATTTTTCTTCCACTGTAATCCCTGTCAGCAGTGTCTGCAATTGCCTCAGTGGTCTAGGCTGTAGGAATTTTTGATGACAGTAGAGGGGTCTTGCTGGGGTAGAGGCTCTGGGCCCATTGTCAGGCTGGTTGCATGTGGGCACAGAAGACTGACTGGCCTTCCACTGGGCTGTCTGTAGAGTTGGTGGCTGCTGCCAGATGCCTGTCAGGCTAGGCTTGGGGGCACAAGGATGTGGCCAACTGGGATGCTGTGTGGTTCTTTCTCCAAAGAGGCAAGGCTACAGCTAGACTAGATGTCAGGCTAGGTATGCATAGGCATGGCAGTCCTGGGAGGCTCTGTGGCAATCTGTTGGGGGGCAGGTCTTCCATAGGACCAGCTGTTGGGCCAGGTACAGGTGCACACATTCTTGGCAGGCCATCTGGCTGTGGGTCATGGGTGTGTATGGACAAAGTAGCTGATCTGCTGTTTGTTAGCTCCCATACTGTGCAGATTTGCCTGTTCCTTGGAGACAGGGTATATCACATGGGTTTGGATACCAAAGTCTTGATTATTCCTTCTGGCCTGGGCTCTGGACAGCTGGAGTCATGGTGCTGCGGGCACCTGTGTAAACATGGTGGAATGATGGTGGGGCCTCAGGGATAGAAAAAAAAATCAGTTGCCACCAGCCCCTAGAAAAGGGTGCCCTTTTAGTAATGGGTGCAGTTTTAGGATAGCACCAACCTATAGAAGCTTAGGTCACAAGGGTGATGAGTGCCCAATGTAGGCTTCTACTCTGAGACAATGTACCTGCCTGAGCTCCTGGTTAATCTGCAAACTGAATTTGGTGCCTGTGAAGATTGGGGGACTTTACTCTAACAAGGATAGCTGGCATTTGGTGGCAACGGGGGCTGCCAGACATCCACAGCTCAACTTTTCCCAGTAAGAACTCCCTCCTGACGCTAAGTTGATTCTGGTGGGAGAGAGAGTGAGGCAGGGGCGGAAGGCCTCACTGTCCTCTCTCTGGTGCTATCCTGGGCTTCTGGGCTCCACAGAGAATTTGACACTCCCCTGGTGCTCTCCAGCATACTTCTTCAGCCAGTCTAGTCAAAATATAGTTGTTTGTTTGTTACTTCAGTTTCTTTTTGTGAGGAGGGTGAGTACTGGCTAACTCTAGGTTGCATCTTGCTGACTTCATTGAGGCTGTTGATTCTGTTCCATTGGTCTATGTGTCTGTCTTTATCCCAGTACCATGCTGTTTTAATTTTGAAATAAGAAAAGATGCTGTCTCCAGCTTTGTTCTTATTTCTCAAGATTTATTTGGCTATTTGGGATGTTTCGGAGTTCCAGTGAATTTTAGGATTGTTATTTCTACTTCTCTAAAAAAAAAGCCATTGTAATTTTGATAGAGATTGCATTGAATCTGTCAATTGCTTTGTCTAGTATGAACATTTTTTTTAGCAATATTGTTTCATGCCATGAACATGAGATATCTTTCAATTTATTGATGCCTGCTTAAATTTCTTTCATCAGTGTTTTTAATTTTTTTTAAATTTTTTATTATACTTAAAGTTCTGGGATACATGTGCAGAACGTGCAGGTTTGTTACATACATATACATGTGCCATGGTAGTTTACTGCACCCATCCACCCGTCGTCTACATTAGGTATTTCTCCTAATGCTATCCCTCCCCTTACCCCCACCCCCTGACAGCCCCAGTATGTGATGTTCCCCTCCCTGTGCACATGTGTTCTCATTGTTCAACTCCCAGTTACGATGAGAACATGCAGTGTTTGGTTTTCTGTTCCTGTGTTAGTTTGCTGAGAATGATCATTTCCAGCTTAATCCATGTCCCTGCAAAGGACATGAACTCATTCTTTTTTATGGCTGCATAGTATTCCATGATGCACATGTGCCACATTTTCGTTATCCAGTCTGTCATTGATGGGCATTTGGGTTGGTTCCAAGTCTTTGCTATCTTCCTTGTTTGATATTTGTGCTTGTTTTTTGGTTTGTTTGCATTGCGCTACTGTGTCTTTTTCATCTGTTTCAGTTTGTTTTCTGCTGCTGCAATAGAATACCACAGACTGGGTAATTTATAAACAATAGAAGTTTATTTGGCTCAGAGTTTTAAAGGGTGGGAAGCCTATGAGCATGACAAGCATTATCCCATGGCCAAAGGGTGGAAGACAGAAGCAAGTGTGTGTGTGTGTGAGAGAGAAAGAAGAGAGAGAAGCATCATCACATGACCAAAGGGTGGAAAGGAGAAGTGAGTCCATGTGTGTGTGTGTGTGTGTGTGTGTGTGTGTGTGTGTGTGAGAGAGAGAGAGAGAGAGAGAAAGAGAGAGAAGAGAGAGAAGCATCATCACATGGCCAAAGGGTGGAAAGGAGAAGTGAGTCCGTGTGTGTGTGTGTGTGTGTGTGTGTGTGTGTGTGTGTGTGTGTGAGAGAGAGAGAGGAGAAATCAGGACAAACTCTCTTTTATAACAATCTTAGTGTTGCAATAACTAACCCATCCTGTAATGATGACAAGCCATCATGACCTAATCACCTCTTAAAGGCCTCACCTCCAAATACAGTTATATTGGAAATTAAATTTCAATGTGAATGTTGGAGGAGACATTCAAACTATAGCACCATTCTATCACTTACTGTGTTTTCAATAGTCTATTCTCTTTCGTACTGCTTCTAATTTAACCTTAGTTTTTGTGATATATTTTTCCACTTCAGCATTTTTCCTGAACTATAAAAGAAGCAGAGCTGGTGTTGGGGATGTATTCATTCTCTAGGGCTACTGCAACAAAGTATCACAACAGAAATGTATTGTCTCAAAGTGCTGGAGGCTAGAAGTCCAAGACAAAGGATGTCAGCAAGACCACGCTTCCCCAAAAATCTGCAGAAAATTTTATACTTGCCTTTTCTTAGGTTATGGTGGTTTGTCAGCAATCTGACAAGTGATTTGTTGCTGAATCACTCTAATCCTCTGTCTTCACATGTTCTCCCTATCTATGTCTTCAAATAGCCACCTTTTAGTAAGGACATCAGTCATATTATATTAGGAGGCCAAGCTACATGAGTATGACCCCATCTTATCTAATTACATCTGCAACCACCCTATTTTCTTTTTTTTTAGGAGGGGTCTACTAACACTGTAATTTTTTAATTTATTTATTTTTATTATACTTAAAGTTCTAGGGTACATGTGCACAATGTGCAGGTTTGTTACATATGTATACATGTGCCATGTTGGTGTGCTGCACCCATTAACTCATCATTTTCATTAGGTATATCTCCTAATGCTATCCCTCCCCCCTCCCCACACCCCACAACAGGCCCCAGTGTGTGATGTTCCCCATCCTGTGTCCAGGTGTTCTCATTGTTCAATTCCCACCTGTGAGTGAGAACATGTGGTGTTTGGTTTTCTGTCCTTGCGATAGTTTGCTCAGAATGATGGTTTCCAACTTCATCCATGTCCCTACAAAGGACATGAACGCATCATTTTTATGGCTGCATAGTATTCCATGGTGTATATGTGTCACATTTTCTTAATCCGGTCTATCATTGATGGACTTTTGGGTTGGTTCCAAGTCTTTGCTATTGTGAATAGTGCCGCAATAAATGTACATGTGCATGTGTCTTTATAGCAGCATGATTTATAATCTTTTGGGTAGATACCCAGTAATGGGATGGCTGGGTCAAATGGTATTTCTAGTTCTAGATCCTTGAGGAATCACCACACTGTCTTCCACAATGGTTGAACTAGTTTACAGTCCCACCAACAGTGTAAAAGTGTTCCTATTTCTCCACATCCTCTCCAGCACCTGTTGTTTCATGACATCACTGGCCATCAGTGAAATGCAAATCAAAACCACAATGACATACCATCTCACACCAGTTAGAATGGTGATCATTAAAAAACCACGCTATTTTCAAATAAGATCACATTCTGAGGTACTGGAGGTTGGGACTGTGTATTAGTCTGTTTTCATGCTGCTGAGAAAGACAAGTCCAAGACTGGGTGATTTGTAAAGAAATAATAGACTCAGTTCCACGTGGCTGGGGAGGCCTCACAATCATGGTGAAAGGCAAAACGCACGTGTTACATGGCAGCAGGTAGGACAGAATTAAAATCAAGCAAAAAGGGTTTCCTCTTATAAAATCCTCAGATCTTGTGAGACTTATTCACTACCATGAAAACAGTATGGGGGAAACCACTCCCATGATTCAATTATCTCCCACAGGCTACCTCCTGCAACACATAGGGATTATGGGAACTACAATTCAAGATGAGATTTGGGTGGGGGCACAGCCAAAGCACATCAGACTTCAACATGTCTTTTAGGGGAACACAATTCAACCCATAACAGGGTGGATCTGCTGTATGCTCCTGATTCTCGCAAGTCTCATTTTTAAATAATTGTTTCATTAAAAAAATTCAATCTTGAGAGGTTTTATGTGTCCAGGAATTTATCAATTTCCTCTAGGTTTTCTAGTTTGTATGTAGATATACTCACAGTAGTCTCTAATGATCTTTTCTATTTCTGCAGTATCAGTTGCAATGTCACCTTTATCATTTCTAATTGTGCTTATTTAATTCTTTTTTTTGTTCAGTCTAGCTAGTGATCTATCAATTTTTTTATTTCAAAAAACTAAATTTTTGTTTTGATCCTGTGTATTGGTTTTTGTGGGTTTTTTGGTATCCTGAACAGACCAATATTGAAGGTATATAATAATTGCTATAGTTTGAATGTTTGTCATCTCCAAAATTCATGTTGAAACTTAATCCCCAAGGTGTTAGTATTGAGAGATGGGCCTTTAAGAGGTGATCCATGGATTAATGTATTAACGAGTTATCACAGGAGTGGGACTGGTGGCTTTATAAGAAGAGGAAGAGAGGCCTGGAATAGCATGCTCAGCTCCCTTGCTATGTGATGTCCTTCACTACCACAGGACCCCACAGAGAGTCCTCGCTAGCAAGAAGACCCAAACCAGATGCAGCCCCTTGACCCTGGACTTCCCAGACTCCAGAATTGTAAGTAATATTTTTTTTCTTATAAATTACCCAGTTTGGGGTATTTTGTTATAAGCTAGAAGAAAATGGACTAAGATACCAATTCTGTTTTAGAAATATTGAGTTCCCACATTTTAAAGTGACACCTAAGACAAAGGTTAGAGAAGAATTAACCAGCCATGACATATTGGATATTTCACTTACAACATGCAGGCTGGGAAGAGAATGAAAAATTGCATCTAAGTACTTAGTGGGATCTTACTAAAATTTTTTCTCTAACATAAGCAACGTGAGTGGGTGACACTTATAGACAACTTCATTTGACAGATGATGTTTCTTTTTACCTTCAAGTTCATGATTAACCTTGATTTTAAAAGAACAAGAGGGCTTCAAACATGCACTTACAAATATGTCATTTAGTAAAGGTTAAAAGACAGACTCTCATTGTATGCAGTTCCAAAAATATCACTACTAGAGGTAGTCATTTGGAAGCTTGTCCAGCTCATTAATGAGAAAAGAAGGTATTAACTTCTCTTCTTTCTCTATTGATTTCATTTATTGCATGGTGAATTAAAGGAGAAAATAAACCTTTAGTTGTCTTCTCTGAATTACAAGTACAGCATTTGGGTGCTGATATTTCAGTGGTAGTTCGTGTCCATGAACGTCCACAGCTTTGAAAAGAAGTTATCACATCAGACTCTGTCTGCACTCACAAGTCAGGACAGCAATAAATAACAATGAATTAAAGGAGCTGGGTATAGCAATGGATTCCATGTACTCAGGATTCAGCTTAACTCACTCCGTCTAGGGCTATCTTAAAATATACATGGAGTAAATTCATCTTTGAAGACTTTCATTCAGTTGTGAAATACCTGAAAAGTCTGCTACAGAGTGAAGTATTTATTTCATGCTCCCTTTGTAGTTAAAAATGTAGAGTGGGAAAAAATGAATATTTTAATATATAAATGCATGAAAAATATTGGAACATATTAAATTTAGCATTGATTCAGTAATCAGCCTTAATTTTTTTTTTGTTGTTGTTGGGGGGACGGAGTCTTGCTCTGTCACCCAGGCTGGAGTGCAGTGGCGCCATCTCTGCGCTCACTGCAACATCTGCCTCCCAGATTCTGGGTTCAAGCGATTCTCCTGCCTCAGCCTCCTGAGTAGCTGGGACTACAGGTGAACACCACCATGCCTGGCTAATTTCTGTGTTTTTAGTAGAGACAGGGTTTTACCATGTTGGCCAGGATGGTCTCGATCTCCCGACCTCATGATCCACCCGCCTTGGCTTCCCAAAGTGCTGGGATTACAGGCGGGAGCCACCACGCCTAGCCTAATCAACCTTAATCTTATACTGAAATGTTTCTTTAAATGTTTGAACATAAGCTCATTTTGGGGTAGCAGTGACCATTACTTGAGAATGTCATATGCTTAGCATTGTGTGTACCTGAGGACTGGCTTACATATGAATCCTGTCATAAAATTTCTATTTTAACCGTAACTGCTTTCTGGATAAGGTCAATTACTGCACATATTCTACATTGTTAGCAATGTGTATTGAATTTATCACTAAATCATCATCCTGTTAAACAGGATTGGATAGAAATATTCTCAGGTGGTACCACAAACAGCCTAGAGTATATATTCAATTTTTAAAGGTGTTATGCTATGAAAAATTAGATTCTACTCCAAGCTATTAAAATTATTCTGAATCACCAGCACAGGAGTACTATGGTACTTTACAGCACAAAATTTCTATAAGAGAAAAGTTTTTGGAGATTATCTAAAAGCTTATAATCAATAAAATAAAGAATTCCACAGGTATTGTTCTTTAACCCCAGATGACAAATAAAACAGTATGTTGAATTAAAATTGAAGCAAGAGTCCACCAACATTATTATAAGACTTTATCTAAAACACTTGCTTTATTCCTTTAAAGTTTTGTAGGCTCCCAAGTCACAATTTAACAGCAGGACTAACGATACACTAAAGACTCAAAATCAAAGTTTATATAAAGGGAGGGAAATGGCAGCTATAAATTTAATGTGGTTCAAAAAATTCAGCAAAATAATTATACCATGAAAATATACCATTATATGTTATCTTGGAGTGAATAGAATCATAATTTATTTAAATTATAATATATAAACTATCCTCTAGGGAATATTTAGCAGTGGAAAGATCTTAAGATAATGGATTTGATTTGGAAAATGCTGATGGACTTGTGGAACAATACTAGGTGGTGTTCAAGTGACTTTTCAGAGGCAGCAGATTGAATAACTAATATATAAAAAGTATCAGCAATACTTTATATGTAACTCCAAACTCTATCATCCATACTCCTACTTCCTTCTCCTCCTTCCACATATACACATTAGTTGATGAATTAGAAATAAGAAGAATCATGCTGTTATATGCTCATCTTTCAAAACAGAAATCTATGTAGAAGAAATGGGTAGTTGATATGATTTTATATCTATATAAAGCCTGTTCTTTAAATTGCTCAGTTATCTATTCTTAAACAATGACTACAGTGAGCAACAACAAATTCAACCATGCAAATGGACATTTTTACTGAGCTGATAATTCCAGCTATTTATCTTAAAGAAGTTAACTGATATATGCGAAATCTAAAAAGCACAAAATCATTGATGTCATTAAATCTAATAAAATGTAAGATAATTCAAACCAGTTATTTTTATAAAGCATCAAGTTCCAAATGGGAATTCTCCTTTTCAGTATAGTGTAGCAAACACAGTGACCAGTGTAAAATGAATTGTCAACTATAATACATTGCCATAATATGTAAACTTTATCTAAAAAGCTAAAGTCGGCCTTGACCAACATTCCCAATTCCAGTCCTCTACAATTGCCATCAGGAATTTGGTATGTATCTTTCCAAATGGTTACAAAGCCTTAAAATTCTTATACATGTTTTTATATAAATGTTATTATACTGCTGCACAGTATCTCCTAGTATGGATATGTAATTGTCCACTTTATTTCTCCCCTATACATGAGCATTTAGTTCTTTCCAAGTTTTAATTTTGCATGACGTATATACGAGCAATGCTGCAGTGAACAGACTTCTCTATCCTCCTCGTACACACAGATATATATGTAGTGTTGACAGTAAGGGCAAATACAAATAAAAAATAAGAGGCTTAATTCTCTCTGGTGAAAATAAGAAAAGAGATTCTCCCAGCTGCCCATCCCAAACCTCACTCACCCTTTTCTGAGAATATCTACATTAGAAACCTTTCAAGTTCTTTGTCTCTTTGAAATGCATGCACATCTTTTTAAAAACTGAATTACCCTTTATTCTGAGCCTATGTGTGTCTCTGCACGTGGGATGGGTTTCCTGAATACAGCACACTGGTGGGTCTTGACTCTTTATCCAATTTGCCAGTCTGTGTCTTTTAATTGGAGCATTTAGCTCATTTACATTTAAGGTTAATATTGTCATGTGTGAATTTGATCCTGTCATTATGATGTTAGCTGGTTATTTTGCTCGTTAGTTGATGCAGTTTCTTCCTAGCCTTGATGGTCTTTACAATTTGGCATGTTTTTGCAGTGGCTGGTACCGGTTGTTCCTTTCCATGTTTAGTGCTTCCTTCAGGAGCTCTTTTAGGGCAGGCCTGGTGGTGACAAAATCTCTCAACATTTGCTTGTTTGTAAAGTATTTTATTTCTCCTTCACTTATGAAGCTTAGTTTGGCTGGATATGAAATTCTGGGTTGAAAATTATTTTCTTTAAGATGTTGAATATTGGCCCCCACTCTCTTCTGGCTTGTAGAGTTTCTGCCGAGAGATCAGCTGTTAGTCTGATGGGCTTCCCTTTCTGGGTAACCAGACCTTTCTCTCTGGCTGCCCTTAACATTTTTTCCTTCATTTCAACTTTGGTAAATCTGACAATTATGTGTCTTGGAGTTGCTCTTCTCGAGGAGTATCTTTGTGGCATTCTCTGTATTTCCTGAATTTGAATGTTGGCCTGCCTTGCTAGATTCAGGAAGTTCTCCTGGATAATATCCTGCAGAGTGTTTTCCAGCTTGGTTCCAATCTCCCTGTCACTTTCAGGAACACCAATCAGACGTAGATTTGGTCTTTTCACATAGTCCCATATTTCTTGGAGGCTTGGTTCGTTTCTTTTTATTCTTTTTTCTCTAAACTTCTCGCTTCATTTCATTCATTTGATCTTCCATCACTGATACCCTTTATTCCAGTTGATTGAATCGAGAATAAGTTGTTTTTTTTTTTAAATCCCTAACGCTAAATGATGGGTTAATGGGTGCACACACCAACATGGCACATGTATACATATGTAACAAATCTGCACGTTGTGCACATGTACCCTAAAACTTAAAGTATAATAATAATAAAATAAAATTAACAAACAAACAAACAAAAAACTAAATTACCCTCTTTCTAGCTTTCTCTGGGGCCGGGGAGTACCATCTCTTTGAAATGTAGGAAGACAGTGGCCCTATCTCCCAGTTTCTGTAGGAGGGTAGGAGCCTAACCTTGCTGGGCACCTGGCACCAAGTTGCAAATCTACCATCTGGCATAAAGATATAAGAAGTTGAGTTTTCCTTTAGATAAAGCCAGCTGGTTAACACAGATCATCATCTCAATTACCAAGTGAATTTAAAATGAACTCTGCATAGAAAATGACTGTTATTTGATTAAGCACTAGATTAGCTTGACAACATGTATGTAATGTATTGAATCTGTGGGTCATAAAAAGAATAAGATTTCCATCTTTGCAGTGTCTTACAGTATTCCCTGTAGTGCATATCACATTCTGCTTTAGTACTTATTCAATAATAAAACCACTTCCTTTCTATTCTGTCTTTGTGAAGAAGTTTTATGTATTGGAAAGGGATTTTGTTTTTAATTCTATTTCCCCACAGTAACAGTTCCTCTTCTTGGCAAGACACGTACTAAGAGTGTAAACTGAATAGCAATTTTGCAGGGAATCTTGGTAGTAATTATTAAAATAAATTTAGTCTAATGGTAGATTGTGAATACCTATTTTTCTATGTATGTTCACAAATATCAGAGATATAATCAACCTTACACATTCTTTGTGAATCTAATAACACCTTACTTTATTGAGTTTATAAAACATTTCCTAAGACTTGCCTCTTCCATAAAATACTTGTTTTACATCTTTTGTTTCTTTTCTTAGTTTTCTTAATACCCCTTATTAGCCCTTACAAAATTAAACAGGTTACAAATATTTTGTCTGTTGCTTGTTACACTTTTGTTTATATCATCTTGCTATACCAGATATTTTGATGTAATCAAATGTATCTATCATCTTTTCCTCCTTGCTTTCAGCATTTGAGAATTCAGGATTTTCTTAGCCCAATATCAATTTTTTTCCCATGTATGCTAATTTTTTTGTAGCTTTATTTCTTGTTTTTACATTTAGGCTATTTTCTATATTGTATCAATTTGGGAAGCAGTGAGATAGAAAGGTGACTTTTTATTCCAAATAGCTAGCCAGCTTTAGCAACAATATTTGTAGATTAGTCCAGCCTATCAGAACCCTTTAGCTTCTGTTTTCTTCAGTGGATGGAAGCAAATTTATACTGTTTGTCCATGGTTTAAGATATTCAGGCTTTTTTTTTTTTAAGATGGAGTCTTGCACTGTCGCCCAGGCTGGAGTGCAGTGGCACGATCTCGGCTCACTGCAGGCTCCAGATATTCAGGCTTTTTAATAACAATGATTTACAAATGGGAATGAAAGTGCTATAATTTAAGAGTGTTCATGTTTTGAATAATATGATAGATTTCAAACTGAATAACACTGTAACTACGGTATTTACTCTAGGAGGTTTTCCAAAATGAACATCAGGTATTTTGTAAAAGCAGATTTCCGAGTGAGTCTCATCCCTACAAAACTAACTCAGTAAGTCTGAAGTAAGGCTCAGGATTTTTCATTAAGCAAATTGGGTGCTTTTATGTACATATTTCAGGAAACCAAACAACATTTTGAAAAGTCACAGCTTATGGTAACAGTCACTTTTAGAAACATTATTGAGTTACATACATATGCATATATATGTACTTTATAAATATACATATTATACATACATATGTTTTATGTATGTATATATAGTATGTATGCATACACACATAAAATTGCACATACATGTATACACACATATGTATCACATATATGTGCATATACATATTACACATCTATATATACATATTACACATATATGTACACATTTATACATATAAATGTATGTATATATACATTTATATATACATACTTCTATTTATGTATACATATATGTACATATGTATAAGTATACATATATGTATACATATGTATATATGCATATAAAATATATATGTAACCCAATTTATATGTACATATACAAATCATATAGATATAATTAGAACATTGGTAAATTTATGATGCCTGAGACACATGCAAAAAAAATCCTTTTAATTAATGAGGTATTCTGTACTTCTTGCCAGCATCTCATCCAGTGTGTTTTTATGTGTATCTGTGTGTGTATATATACATATACACACATGTATATGCAATTGATTTTTCAAAGTAAATAAGTCAGAGTATTCTCTTCTTTCTTTTCTTTTGGCTATTTATGCAGCTCACCCTAAATTCAAATTTTATGTTTAAGTTATAAAAACAAATTGTGGCAAGACTTTAAAAGTAATGTGAAATAGTGACTCAGTTTTATTTCTAAGCTGTAGGAAATGGTAAATATAATAAACTATCTCACACAAAAAATAATCTAAGTGTTTACAAAAAGCAATTTATTTAAGGTATTACCAATGCTTAAAATTACCCTGAGAAGTTAATAACAATTGTAAAGATGGGCAATGAAAGTGTAATATTCCTGATTTTGAATGTACTGTTAAGGGAATTTAAACACAATGGATTTCTTGTAAAAATGAAAATTAATATATAAAAAAGAAAATTCCAAGCAGATTGCAATCTTTTCAGAAACTACTTAGGATAAGCTTTATATTTCTAACATTTGAGGTTAAGCACCATTTCATACTTAATACCACTGGACTTTGAAATATAAAAAAGGTTGAAAAGTTGTACCTAGAGTAGAAAAAAACTAAGGAGTATGAAACATATTTTAGAAAGAAAGAGTTAATTCAATATTTAAAAAAATAAACAGATATTATAGTCATTAAATGATATATATTACTTAAATCAGGGTCTTTTACTTTTTCACTTCAGAAAATCTGGTGCTATGTAGATATGTAGAATACATATCCAAAGAGGTCAAAAGGGTTTTTTTCTTACTTAAATATATAATATATAAACATATATGTGATTTCTAGGCAAAACTTAGGTTTAATGAAAAGAGAGCTACATTTTATCGTCCCTGACAACTATTATTTATTCCCAGAACATAGCTGTCAAAGCAAATGCACTTCTTGCTGTGTTTTTCAGTGTTTTGTTTTTGTTTTTGATTTTTGTAAAGACAAGGTCTCTCTATGTTGCTAAGGCTGGTCTTGAACTCCTGGGCTCAAGAGATTCTCCCGCTTTGACCTACCAAAGTGTTGGGATTAGATCTTGCCAAGCCTAGGCTTTGGTTTTGTTTTTGTTCTCAATAAATTAATGAATCTTGCCCATCCAAGTTCACTTAATGTATAAAACAAATTTGGTCAAGGTCTCATTTTGCATTAGCTTTGGATTGTGTTACAAAACCCTTACAATTTTATTTGAAAGTTGGAAGTTCTGGCCAGGGCAATTAAGCAGGAGAAGGAAATAAAGGGTATTCAATTAGGAAAAGAGGAAGTCAAATTGTCCCTGTTTGCAGACGACATGATTGTATATCTAGAAAACCCCATAGTCTCAGCCCAAAATCTCCTTAAGCTGATAAGCAACTTCAGCAAAGTCTCAGGATACAAAATCAATGTACAAAAATCACAAGCGTTCTTATACACCAATAACAGACAAACAGAGAGCCAAATCATGAGTGAACTCCCATTCACAATTGCTTCAAAGAGAATAAAATACTTAGGAATCCAACTTACAAGGGACGTGAAGGACCTCTTCAAGGAGAACTACAAACCACTGCTCAACGAAATAAAAGAGGATACAAACAAATAGAAGAACATTCCATGCTCATGGGCAGGAAGAATCAATATTGTGAAAATGGCCATATTGCCCAAGGTAATTTATAGATTCAATGCCATCCCCATCAAGCTACCAATGACTTTCTTCACAGAATTGGAAAAAACTACTTTAAAGTTCATATGGAACCAAAAAAGAGCCCACATTGCCAAGTCAATCCTAAGCCAAAAGAACAAAGCTGGAGGCATCACGCTACCTGACTTCAAACTATACTACAAGGCTACAGTAACCAAAACAGCACGGTACTGGTACGAAAACAGAGATATAGATCAATGGAACAGAACAGAGCCCTCAGAAATAATACCACACTTCTACAACTATCTGATCTTTGACAAACCTGACAAAAACAAGAAATGGGGAAAGGATTCCCTATTTAATAAATGGTGCTGGGAAAACTGGCTAGCCATATGTAGAAAGCTGAAACTGGATCCCTTCCTTACACCTTATACAAAAATTAATTCAAGATGGATTAAAGACTTAAACGTTAGACCTAAAACCATAAAAACCCTAGAAGAAAACCTAGGCATTACCATTCAGGACATAGGCATGGGCAAGGACTTCATGTCTAAAACACCAAAAGCAATGGCAACAAAAGCCAGAATTGACAAATGGGATCTAATTAAACTAAAGAGCTTCTGCACAGCAAAAAGAAACTACCATCAGAGTGAACAGGCAACCTACAATATGGGAGAAAATTTTCACAACCTACTCATCTGACAAAGGGCTAATATCCAGAATCTACAATGAACTCAAACAAATTGACAAGAAAAAAACAAACAACCCCATCAACAAGTGGGCAAAGGATATGAACAGACACTTCTCAAAAGAAGACATTTATGCAGCCAAACGACACATGAAAAAATGCTCATCATCACTGGCCATCAGAGAAAGGCAAATCAAAACCACAATGAGATACTATCTCACACCAGTTAGAATGACAATCATTAAAAAGTCAGGAAACAACAGGTGCTGGAGAGGATGTGGAGAAATAGGAACACTTTTACACTGTTGGTGGGACTGTAAACTAGTTCAACCATTGTGGAAGTCAGTGTGGCGATTCCTCAGGGATCTAGAACTAGAAATACAATTTGACCCAGCCATCCCATTACTGGGTATATACCCAAAGGACTATAAATCATGCTGCTATAAAGACACATGCACACGTATGTTTATTGCGGCACTATTCACAATCCCAAAGACTTGGAACCAACCTAAATGTCCAACAATGATAGACTGGATTAAGAAAATGTGGCACATATACACCATGGAATACACCATGTCCTTTGTAGGGACGTGGATGAAATTGGAAATCATCATTCTCAGTAAACTATCACAAGGACAAAAAACCAAACACCGCGTGTTCTCACTCATAGATGGGAATTGAGCAATGAGAACACATGGACACAGGAAGGGGAACATCACACTCTGGGGACTGTTGTGGGGTTGGGGGAGGGGGGAGGGATAGCATTAGGCGATATACCTAATGCTAAGTGACGAGTTAATGGGTGCAGCACACCAGCATGGCACATGTATACATATGTAACTAACCTGCACACTGTGCACATGTACCCTAAAACTTAAAGTATAATAATAATAATAATAATAATAATAATAATATAATAATAATAAAAGAAAGAAGTAAGTTTGGACCTTTCTTAAATCAGTAAGTTGGACATGATATAAGTAAGTCCCTTAAAAATAAAAGGCAAAAGTTAACAAATTTTTCTAAGGCAGAAAAGTACATCCCATATTACCTTTCTATTGTAGAATTATACTAATTCAAAAGTAAGACTTCGGTCAAAATATTTATTATTTTCATTAATTGGCTTAAATGGTAATGCAGATATTGTGAATCTGCCTTAAGTTTCTTAGATATTATACTTTAAATGTCCCGACCCTTAGATAAAACCACACATGACCTAGTGTCTTTCACAATTCATACTATAGAAGCTCAGATTTAATTGTATATGCTTTGAAATACTTTCTCTCCTTGACCATTGCTATCACAGACTTGAGAAAGAATTGCAACCATCATATCACTTAGGCCCTCAGTTATGAACATAAACACACAGGAAGAAGAGAGAAAGGACTAGGGAGAGAGAAGAAGAAATGCTCATTTATATAGTTTCCAAGGGGTAGTAACCATATCCAGAAGGAAACATCCATAATACAGATGTGCTATGAGTACTTTTTCAGTCATTAAGAAGGTCATTTTAATGTATTTAAGAAGAGCGACCACATGCCACACCAGCTATGAATGGTTAAGTTAGTTATAAGTAAGGAAAGTAACTTTACACGAAGTTTCAAAAGGTTCGTTTGTTTGTTTTGCTTTGTTTTGTTTTAAGAAAGAGGTTCTCACTCTGTTGCTCAGGCTGGAGTGCCATGGTGCAATCATAGCTCACTGTGACCTCAAACTTCTGGGCTCAAGTGATCTTCCTGCCTCACCTTCTTAAAGTGCTGGAATTATAGGCATGAGCCACCATACCTGGCCTTTCCAAAGTTTTGAATAGAAAATCGCTAAAGAGAAACCTCAAGCCTTCGTGGCTAATAGAATCTAAAAACCCCCCTAAAAAGCGAGGATGCAATAAGGTGGCAAAAATAAGACTCAAAATGACCATAAGACTGGAGGTAACATTTTATTACCACCCCAGCACTTACACTAAAAGCTACAACTTGGAAGCCTTACCAAATCCTGAGGAATTGTCATATAAAAATGTTTAAAAGGATGTAAACATTATCTTCCATATGATGGCAACAATGACAAAAGCCTAATTGTCATCTGTTAAGTTACAGAGCCACTAGCAGGGATACTTCTCCCAAAGTTCCATTTTCAAATAAGTGCAGGCGCCCAGTGGTGCTGCCTTTTGAAGTGCCACATGTGGGAAGACTCCCAGCTAACATGACATCTGTAACCCATTCTCAGGAACTTCTTCAGAGCTGAGGCACACACAAGAGAAGCAGAAGCCATATATCAGCAACACTGGGATTTGTTCTCTGCTCTCAAGGTCTCTTGATCTAGCTTAATTTTGTCCACATCGTTTTCTTCATTAGGAAAGCTTTGGTGGTTTACAAGAATCTTCTCCACTAGGAACCGGGCAGCTTCCTCTATGTTTATGTTATCCTGTAATGCAGAAATGAAGAACGGGATTAATTTTTAGGATTAATTCTTAGAATAAGGCATTAAGAGTATGAATGGGACCAGGAAAATTTGTTAGAGGTGGCAGCAAGTGCACAGCCACTTTCCTCTAATACTAAAGTGTGTGCCCACTTAGAGTTGAATGTTAAAGAATAATGTGGTGATGGAAAGAATTCCCTTATTTTTATGAAGGACACCTTTTCTGATGTTCCTATCTTAAACCTTTGCCACTGAGGTTCCATGAGCTATCTCGACGGTTGAAAATGAATCTTTGCTCTGGGCTGCAATTCATATAATGAAGACATTCCAAATAAAAAAATTCCTGCCCTTGAATATCTAATTCAAGCAGTCAGGATACACTGTGAAAAAAACTGAAAGGGCTCAAACAACATTAAAATGTGATAAATGTATCATGTCATTTTTCCATCTCTAAGTACCAATTATTCCTTTTAGTTGTCATGTATAAATTAGCCTGAAACAATGTTGTCAGTGCAATGTCCATTAAGGACACCCTAAGGAATTATTAGCCGTCACAGCATTTGTGCGACTGAATTATAAGTTATCATTAAATATACAGTAGGTAACACATTGCAAAAACTGTGCTTATTTTTAAATATATTTAACTGTTCATTTTTAAATAATTTTGGATTTACAAAAACATTGCAAAAAAAGTAAACATTCCTACCATTCACACATATTTCTCAAATGTTAACATCTTAGATAACCAGAATACAACTATCAAAATCAGGAAATTACATAATAGTGTTGTATCAGTGCTAGCCTAAAAAGCTTACTCAAATTGCATCAATTATCTCAATGCCCTATTTCAGATCCAGGATCATAAGCTATATTTCACTGTTGTCGCCCTGGTCTCTTTTACTCTCGAACAGTTCCTCACTCTCCTTGCTTTTCATGACCTTGACACTCTCAGAGAGCACTGGCCGGTGAATATACCTCCATCTGTGATGTTCGATGTTTCCTTATCATTAAATTCAACGTATGTATTTTTGGCAGAAATAAAACACAAGTGATGTACCCTGCACAGTTTATCAGGAAGCACACTGCTTCAAGTTGTTTTTGCCATGTTTCTCCACAGAAAAGTTATTATTTTTCCCTTTGTACTTAGTGCAAATATGTAAATATCCTGTTTCTCACCGCACTTTTCCCCACTAATGTTATCATCAATTAATTCCTCCCTACAACAATCATCACTGTGGTGTTTAATGGTGACTTTTTTATTTCTGCCATTCCTTCTACATTTATTAGCTGGAATTCTACTGTTAGAAAGAGGTTCCACACATGTATACATACGTGACTAACCTGCACGTTGTGCACATGTACCCTAAAACTTAAAAGTATAATAAAAAAATAAAAATAAAAAAAGAAAGAGGTTCCCTTCTCCCCCATTTCTTTATTCATTTGTTCATTTTTATCATGGATTATTAGTTTACTCTATAAGTTGAACCCATTACAGTAATTATTTAGTTTGTTGCTCAAATTGTCTTACATGTTTGGAGCTTGTATGGCAGTATCCTGTATCTTTGTCACATGTCCCCATCATTTTGTAAGCATTTCCTTAGTTTCTTGCACAACAAAATATCTCAGGCACATCTTTACTTGACTTGTTCCACCCGTCCTAAAATCAGGCATTTCTCTAGAGATTCCCATTCTTTTTACTGGAGAATGATATTTAAAAACCGAATTTTGAGCACGAGGTAAGTTAATTGGTTCTGTGGTGTCATTCCTTTTAAGCCCTCTCAGCAGGTATGGCTAGTAAATAAACGTATGTATACACACATGCATCTGTATCAACTTCTTTATCTGTTTACACATATGTGTGTGTACATACATATATCTATACACACTCACATATATATATGCATATACTCTTACACACACACACATATGAAACCTGAAGCTCATATTAATGTCTAATCCAATCCAATGCTATGAGGTTCATTGTAGCCTTTTTCCTTATTTGTAAACCCTTTCTCAGACAACAAGAAACCTAAAACAGCTGTGCTATTTACAGGCATCTTTCATAGCACTGAAACAAGCTTTTTATTTATTTTTTACCTCCACTCCCAAGATAAGTGTTAACTTTAATTCAAGTATTGATCTTTTGAATGTCCAAGTGACATTCAGTCCCAGCTATCCCCATTATATCAAATAATTATAAAATTCTCTAACTGTATTTGGAAGCAGTTGGTTAAAATTCCAATGATAGTGTAACTAGTCACATGTTAATGTAATTCCCATATGTTAATATTATTAAAGTTTCATATTAGAAATCCATTATTTGCCATAAAGGTGAAATGATGAAATTTATTTGCAAAAGTTATCTTTTGCCTATGTTCCTAGTGAAATTCGGATGACTGCAATTCAAGCAAAAGTCAGATCTGAAGTTAGCTGCAGGCCAGCTCAGAAGTGTACCTTAGTGACATTTAGGCAGTACTTTAAGCCTTAACTCTAAGATTTTTAACCTAAATTTTTTTATTACTGTTATTCTCTTGGAACACGTCTGGTTTACTGCTAAGGAAATTCTACAGAAGCTGCTTCTATTATATTTGTATGGAAGCACAGAGCAAACTTGAAACTTGTACTCTTAACCAGCGTTTCACCTTTCACCTCTGCGTGTAATCCTATCCATACATAAAGTGAAACCGATGACTTACACAGTCACAAGCTACTAGTCACATGACGTCTTACATCTGGGGGCAAATCTGGATTTACTATCTGAAAGATTAAATAGAGCCTAAAGGGGAATTTTGTCTATCATTTATAAAACTCCTCCACCAAAATGCACACTCGCATAAGCAGTTATACTTACTGCCCCTTTTTTTTTTTTCGTCTTTTTACAGCAAAGCTGGCAAGTAGAGCAAATCACCCAATAGGCATACAGAGCAGACAGAGGGCATGAGTGTCCAGAAGAACACGCCTGTAATCCTAGTGCTTTGGGAGGCTGAGGCAGGCAGATCACTCCAGCTCAGGAGTTTGAGTCCAGCCTGGGCAACACGGCAAAATTCTGTCTCTACTAAAAATGCAAAAAGTAGCTGGGCATGGTGGCACATGCCTGTGGTCCTAGCTTCTTGGGAGAATGAGGTGACTTCTCTATAAGAAGGCTTTCTTTCTGTGATTTTCTCCTTCGTGTCAGATTAAGTGCTCACATAGCACTCCTGGGCTTCATCTTTCTTCTATCACTATGTTTTATTTATGAAAGGAAATTTTAAGATGCTATATTTATTCAAACAATTAGCCTCTAGCTTAGGAGTGTACATTTCTGCCTGCAGTAGACAGTCTTTTTTTTCCCAGTGACTCCATCATTGCGCAATATTTTTGGAGCGGTCTCCTTTTGTGCAGTCTCTCATTGCTTCGCTTTTATCCCGCAGATCATCATTGGCATCAAGTAGTTTTTCACTCTAAGGGTAAGTTTCTAGTAGAGCTAAACCTAATCTGATTAGTAAATATCCAGAATGAGGTGGGTGATTTGGAGGAACAATCATACATACATACATATATAAAAACACCCGTAAACACACACAAGAAATCCACAGAACATAAACTAAAAGCTAGAACTGTGTTATGATTTCAACAAATTTATGGTATAATGTTTATCTGTCATCACAGAATTTTTCAAACATTTCATCATTCTTACATAAATCTGATTGTCACTAACCCCCTTATGTGAAAGTTCCAATGCACGTAACCCCCCCCCCAAACATTTTATATATGTATAATTTTCACCTTTTTTCTATATCTAGACTATTAAGATTTTTTTTTTTTTGAGATGGGGTCTCACTTTGTCACCCAGGCTGGAGTGCAGTGGCATGATCTCGGCTCACTGCAACCTCTGCCTCCCAGACTCAAGTGATCCTCCTGCCTTAGCCTCCCGAGAAGCTAGGACCACAGGCATGCACCACCATGCTCAGCTACTTTGTGTATTTTTGGCAGAGACAGGGTTTCGCCACGTTGCCCAGGCTGGTCTCGAACTCCCAGTTCAAGCGATCTGCCCGATCCATCTGCCTCGGCCTCCCAGACTGCTAGGATTACAGGCATGAGCCACCGTGCCTGGTCACTAGACTGTTAAGATTTTTGAAAGTCAACTGAGTGTTTTATTTTTTCCTTCAGAAAATATTTTATTCAGCTTTCCATAATAGACAAAAGAAAAAATTCTCACTCTACTGTTTATGAAGCATACCACAAATGTTGATACTTTCTGGCTGTTTCAAATCTTTCGTACACAGTTAACCTAAAACTCTTCAAACATCATCTGAATAAATCTCCTCTCTGATCTTTTCACATGGTCCTGCATGTGACACACATCTTCACCAGAGGCATCTTCCTATTCACTTAGCCTTTTGTAAAAACCAAAAATTCTCGTGCTTGACAATACCCCCAACCACTCTAGTTGCATGAGAAGTACCTCAGTTAAAAACTCAAACTCACAGAAAATGTCATTTGCTTTTTGCCCTAAATAATTCTTTTTGTTTTGATGGAAAATCTGCCCTTCTATTAGCCATTAGCCAATTTGGAAAGCAGTCCTGTTGTGGACTGAAAGAAGCTATAACACATCCATGCTACACTTCTCATTTTCCAGACTTTCAAACACCACTCACATAAATATATCTAAATACTTTACATTTACAGCTCAGAATTATGAGCTAGAAAGCAAAAGATGCATAAGCAAAGCAGATCTCACCTTTGCAGAGGTTTCAAACCATCCGGCAAAGCCATGTTCTTTGCAGAATTGGTCCACCTGGGAAGGACTCTGGCTACTGTCCTTGTTCTGGTCACATTTGTTAGCCAAGAGGACAGCAGGGATAGGGCTGCCATTTGGAAGATGAACTTTACTATCCAGATCACTTTTCCATTTTAAGACTGCCTCAAATGTGGAACTTCTTGATATATCAAAGACTACAAAAGCACCAACAGCTTCCTTGTAGTATACTCGGGTCATGTTGCCAAATCGCTCCTGCCCTAGACATAAATATAAGAAAAAATTAAAAACTTGTAATTCAGACAGAGTCTACATTTAGGTATAACCCCTTTTACCCCAAGAGCAACACTATGAACAAATGTCTTCCATTCCACAGCAATATAACCTGGTGTGATTAAGGCTATCCATACAGACCATGACCCATAGAGCAGATGTGTCTGATAATTTGGTTTAAGTACATAATGAATTAGTTTTATGTTCTGTACAACATATTCTCCATAAAAACCAATATGACAATATTTAAAGCTACAAAGTCTGTCATTTATTCCGACTCGTCTCCCCTTAGTCTAAGAGAAGAGAGGCACTAAAGGAAAACATAAAGCTGGAAGTAGAGGAAGAAGAGACAAGAATAGAAGAAATGAAGCCTGCAGGAAGGAGATAAGTGCAGTGGGTAACATGCTAGTCAAATAGATTAGGGCTGGACATGAGATAAAGTAGTTCATGTTCTCAACTCATCTCTCCTTCATATCTCTAGCCCATACCCACTTCTGACTCAATATGCAAGATTTCACCCCTGTAAGTAGTAGATACATGAAAATCTGTTTCAGAACAAAAGGCACAACTGGTTGTGTTGTTACAAGAAGAATCAATTCCAGGGTTCTTCAAATGTCATTGTACTTTTAAAATAATTTATGTCAAACACTTTGGGAAAAATCTGCTTTGTACATTATATAGGACTTTGCAAAGCGTTCTCTTACTATCTGCTATTGTACTAATCTTTGGCATAGGAAAGACCCTTCTTTTCATCTGACAGATGTAACAACAGGAAAATGGATGCTTGGCCAGGATTATAGTGGCACTGACTAAAGAAGACAGGACTAGAATCCAGGTCTTCTGACTCCCACACACCTATAGAAGTGGGATGCTAGCCTTTCTGAACTATCTTGCAGTTGCCTTGACTTAGTTACTGACTACAGTGTGAAGGAAAAATGATTGGCAATCAATGCACATCTAAGATGTATCACTCTGTTCTATGATAAAGACACTTTCTTCTTGAAACACATGAGCAACAGGCTTTATCTACATTTTATTGACACATTTTCTCTGCACAGATGCAAAGATACCCCAAAATATAAAATTCTTCCTTCTCCAAACTCTACAATGCAATATAATTTTATATATTGTTTTAGGGAATAATGGAAGAAGAATAAAACAATGGTCAAACGTGAATGCATAAATTTAAGGTTTGTTTTGTGATGACTCCTCATATGGTTTAACTGAAGCTGTACTGTAATAGTCCAAAGGTCTAAATTTTACTGTAACAAATGGTCACATATGAAACCCTACTATTATGCTCATATTTTATTGTGATGTAAATCTGACCATTATATAGTTCATTGGCTCATAATGCTGACATTTATAAAAACTTACATGATATGCCAACTGTTCAAAATCGCTATTCTGCAGAAAGACTATATGCATTGAAATGATTCAGACTCCAATTTCAAATGCAGTGCACACATTACCAACCACTTCCATTTTTATATATTTTAATTATTGAATATGAAAAGACTAAGCAACAAGATATGACAGTCTTAAATTAGGAAATTGAAAAAGTAAGATTTCAAGATAATTACATGGTAATAAACTATTCCTTTGGACTATATCTTTAATTTAGAAAAGAGAGTGGGGTGACAAATGAGTAAAAGAACAGTTAGAAACCTAGAAGTTAACAAAGAGTTGTTAAACTTTAGTGACTGTTGCTTTTTTTTTTTTTTTTTTGTGAATCATCTGTAAATTTCAAGTATTTCCTTTTACTCGTGCTCATGAAAGATGATAGGAGAGTTGTGAAAAAAAAGACAAAGGGATATTACTAGGTATACTAATCGACAAAGTATAAGATGCAGCAAGGCAATCAGGATCCACATTCTATTTTGGATGGGAATCAAAACAATGTAAAATAAGTTTAGGCATAAATTATATAGTTTATATCTTCCAAGCACACATTTTATGCTTGGGTAAATATTATTTATATGAACTTCAGAGCAGACTGTTCCCAATTTGTCCTTTGGCCCAAAGGAGAGTTACTCATTCAGATTTTTATTAAAAAATGTTGATCCTAAAAAGCAAATCACTCAGTCAATACATGAAGGCTAAAGTATACTAGACCTAAATGGACAAACTTGTTTTTTTAAGATTTAACCTAGACCAGTCTTTCAATTTGCCTGAAAAATGCTATAGTGACTAATAAGCAATAAGCATATAATAGTAAACCAAATACTACTTTACCTACACTGAGCATTAAAAGGAAGATCAGAGACATCTCTTGCTATATCTTGAGTATGCATTTATTAAGATCTCTGTAAAGTGTTATCAAAGACTTCAAGATTTTAGTATATTTCAGTTATGTTTTGAGCAGCAGTCCTAAAGTACGTGTGAGTTAAGAGATGGCAATTGTCTAACACAAAAACTGCACTAAACTGCATCTGTATTTTAAAGCCAGATTCCTTCAATGCCGTAAGAACAGATTTGTGTATCTGAGGATCACAGTGGTTCTTAACCTGAAGAGTTCAGCTGAATCTGCTTAGCTACATGTGTAGAAAACATTTGATAATTCTAGCCTATCATACTTGCCACAGCTTTCAAGCATAGAGATTCGTCATAATTTCTTCACTACCTCGCCCTCTCACTGAAGCAACCAAAAAAAAAAAAAAAAAAAAAACCTAACTAGTAAAAACACCACACCTTAACTTAGTTATGGCAAGTAGCTGGCTCTATCTACTATTGTGCAATCAAAGAATATTTCTATTATTTGAGAATTAAATATGATCCAACTTTGTTACTACATAAGGCAAGTATGCTTAGCCCTGGGGGAAGTTTGTGGAGCAGCCATCAGTTTGCCTTCATTACATCATCATTACTTAATTCAAATGGTATGAGCTGAGATTCACTAGTAGCTCAAATATTCAAATCAAACAGTTAGTAATGTAGCTCTCCAAACTTTAGGCTAAGGATTTTTTGTTTTGTTTTGCTTTTTTTGGTCTCTAAAACAGTTTTTTTTGTTTTTTTTTTGTTTTTGGTCTCTCACTAAGCTATTTTTCTCCCTCATATTCAGAGATATTAAAATTCTATCTCTGAAAATCTTACTTATAATGTGAGCCTAATAATTTCTATAAATTTACCTCTAATTTTGTAAATTGCTGGTCTGTACTTGCTGTATGGGACAACAATACCTGTTGAAACAATATCTAACATCCAGAAATCCCTTTTGGAGATCTTAAACTTTTGTTTTCCTTCCTGGCAAAACTCAAGCTTTGGATTTAGTGAAAAGTACAAGGATATCCCATCTAGGCAGATGTTTATCAGAGTCTGATAAAAAACTAGATATGACCCCTTCCTGTCATTCGAGGTCTGTGATTAATAAAAAAAGAAGAGGTGATACCAGAAAGAAAATTTGTATCTTACTCCTGCTTTTACTTTCTCAAGTTTCTAACTATAAACACTTAAAAATCTAGTTACTCATACTGATTTACCAGCAGTGGGACCCAATCGTAGTTTAATAACAAAATGCCATAATTTACATAAAGAGTAAGGCAAGGTCAATCACCCTTGTAAGCAAGGTTTTAAAACCATCTTTGTGAAAAACCTCAGCTATGCTGCAGATTCCTGGAGAATGACCGTCACATGGTAAGGCAACCTTTAGAATCCATGACTTTGTCAAGAAGCAGAAATACTGCTCATTAGGGTTCTGTGCAACGGCAGGAAGTGTTTCGAAAAAACTTCTGGCTTCAAAGATGACTTTTCAAACGAACTTTTGGTTTTTGGTAACAAAAAACAACAACAAAAAGCTGAGTCCCTGGCTGATTACTCCTTTTTTCTGAGCAACTGAGTTGCATACAGTTATTCTCCTGTCTGAGGGACAGAAATGTGCTCTTAAATGAATGAGTTATAGGTTACAATTATTTACTACTCTTTCTTATGTAACAAGCTATAAATGACAAGAGCACTACCTGGCAGACAGACAGTAGACCTGTGATCCCCCCAACCACTCTGCTACCAGCCAGGTAGCTATACCCTCCATGGGCTTCAGTGTAGGGACTGTAGAATGAAGGGTGGCCTCAGGTGTCCTCTAACCCTAAACCAGCTCCCATTCTAATGCTGTACTGCAGACTGTGCTTCTTAACACCTGTAATGATTGAACAGAGTAATTTTCGTACTTTTTTTTTTTTTTTCTGAGATAGGGTCTCACTCTGTTGACCAGGCTGGAGTACAGCAGTGAGAACACAGCTCACTGAAGCCTTGACCTCTCCTAGGGTCAAGTGATCCTCCTGCCTCAGGCTCCTGAGTAGCTGGGACTACAGGCACGCACGACCACACTTGTCTAATTTTTTGTATGTATGTATGTATATATGTATGTATGTATTTTGTAGAGACAGGGTCTCACTAACAGCCCAGGCTGGTCTCGAACTCCTGTGCTCATGCGATCCTCCAGTCTAGGCCTTCCAAAGTGCTGGGATTACAGGCGTGAGCCACTGGCACTTGGCTTGGTACCATTTCTATGAACTTTCCAATAGTTAACATCATCTTTAAAACGCCCACTCCCAACCACCACACCAGGCAAAGTTCAAGTGTTCATAAATCAGAGCAGAGGGAAATGTACCCCCTCAAACAGAACAAATGAAAGCAAATGGCAGAGAAACACTGTATTGAGGAGTGGGGGGGGGGCGGGGGGGGGCGAGGGCACCAGGGATGGGACTAGGTGTTGGTTTAGCAAGAGAGGAAGGGGTGAGTGTAAGGTTTCAGAAAAGCTTTCCCAAATCTTCACGGAGTGTCTGTCCTCGGCTTCCGATGAGAGCAAAGTATTTGAGGAATGGAGTTTCCCTCACAAAGGCCAGTCTCAGAGCCAAGGCGGGTGGTGGAAAATGATCTGGAAAGGAACCTGGCTTTTGGTCTTGGTGGTGTCACTAACTAGGAGTGCAGCTTCGGGTTAAGTCACCCAATCCCTCTGAACTTGAGTTGAGGCTGAGAGGCGCCGGCCCGCTCCAAAGCAGCCTTCTCAACTAGTCCTGGTGTATGTATGATATACTTGCATTATTCAGAGTTCAAACTTCTGGAAAAGGCCCCCTGGCCTCCTCGCCTCCCTTCAGGAGAGCGAGCTCTGGCGTGCAGGACCTGCTCCAACTCCTACTGCCCATCCCATCCTCTGGGCCCCACCGAGTCCAGCCGACCGCGTCCATCGCATCTCGCCCTTGGATTGGGCCTCTCTCTTCTCCTAAAGGTACCCAGGCAGACGAGTTCAGGCAGAAAAGAAAAAGAAAAGAAGCAGAGAGGAGCCAGGCGGCCCGGCGGGGCTCTGGAGTGGGAAACTCGCGGCCGCGCTTACCCGCGATGTCCCACAGCTGCAGGCGCACCAGAGTCCTGCTGTCCCAGTTGAGGACCTTGAGGGCGAAGTCCACCCCGATGGTGGCCCGGTAGTGCTGGGAGAAGAGCTGGTGGACGTAGCGCTTGATGATGCTGGTCTTGCCCACGCCAAGCTCGCCGATCACCAGCACCTTGAAGAGGTGCTCGCGGGTCTCGGGCGCTGGGGCGGCGGCCGCCCCCAGGCCGGGGTCCCCGGCTCCTCCGCCCGCCATGAGCGCTGCGGCTGTCGGGCGCGCCTCGACTCCGAGTCTGGCCCCCTGCCCGGCCTCGCGCTCTGCCGCCGCGCCCCCGGCGGCCGCGGAAACTCCCCCGAGGCCGGCCAGCCCTCCGCCGCGCCCGCTGACGCCGCCTGACCGGTCACAGGACCCAGAACCCGCCAGTGCTCGCGGCCCGGGCGGGGCCAGACGAGGGCAGGGCCGGACGAGGGCAGGGCCTGGCGCCGGCTTGGGGAGGACCCTGCGCGAGGCGGCTCCCGCCCTGCGCCTCTGAAGCCCGGCCGGGCCCAACTGGACTTCCTCTCCCGGGCGGCGCCTCCGAAGCCCGGCCGGGCCCAGCTGGACTTCCTCTCCCGGGCGGCGCCTCCTGGCGGTCGCGGCGCGGAGGGAGGCCCAGACGCCCGCTGGTGGGCCTCCGGGGAGCCGGCCTGGAGCCTTTATGGGCCCCGGAGGTTCACTGGGGGCCTGAGGAGGCGCCGAGGTCGCTGAGCCCCCCCCGGGGCCGGGGTCGGCGTGGGGTCCGGGCCCAGCCTGGAAGCCTCTGGCCTGGAAATCCACCTCCTGCCCTACTCTCCCCGCAGGGAGAGCCACACTTGCGGGCCTTGGCTTGGGTCGCGAGCAGTCCCCTTTAGATGGGAAAGGAAGTGGCACCGTGACTTTGAACTTAACGAAGGACGGATAACACTGGGCTGGTAGTTCTGTTTTTAACTTTTTGAGTGAACCTCCGTAGGGTTTTCCATAATGGCTGTTCCAGTCCGCATTCCCACCACCAGTGTACAAGGTTCCCTTTGCTCCGCACATCACCGACACTTATTATCGCTTATCTTTTTTATAACAGTCATCCTAGCAGGTGTGAGGAGATACCTAGTGGCTTTTCCCTGTTCATTAGTGATTTTGAGCGCCTTTTCTTATACCTGTTGGCAATTTGTACTTCCTCTGGAAAAAAAAAAAAAGTCCATTCACATCCTTTGCCCGTTAGTTAACTGGGTGTTTTATTTATTTATTTTGGCTGAGTTCTGTGAACGTAATGTATTTTGGATATTAACCCCTTATCAGATATATGGCTCACAAATATTTTCTCCCAATCTATAGGCTGTTTTTTCATTTTGTTGATTATTTCCTATGCGGTGCAGAAGCATTTTAGTTGGATGAAGTCCCATTTATCTAGGTTTGCTTTGGTTGCCTGGGCTTTTGGTGTGATATTGCAAAAATCGTTGCTAAAGCCAGTGACCCAGCTATCCCTCTTCTGGGTGTATACTCAAAGGAAATGAAATCAGGATCTCAGAAATCGCTCTCAAGTTCATGCAGCATTATTCACAGTTGCGAAGATTTGGAAACAACCAAAGTGTCTGTTAACGATGAATGGATAAAGAAATTGTAATACATACATAGGCATGCACGCGCGCATATACACAGACGCACACACACACACAATGGAATATCATTCAGCCTTTAGAAGGCGATCCTGACATTTGCAACAACATGGATAAACCTGGAGGACATTATGCTAAGCGAAATAAGCCAGACACAAAAAGAAAGATACTGTGCAATATCACTTATATGTGGAATCTTAAACACACACACACACACACACACACACACGGAATACGTGGAAACAGTGGTGGTTACCAGGGGCAGGGAAGAAACGGAATGATGCAGGTCAAAGTGTACAAAGTTGCAGTTATATAGGATGAATGAGTCCTAATGATCTAATGTAGCATGAGCGTTATAGTTAATAATATTGTATTTTAAACTGGAAATTTGCTAAGAGAGTAGACTGTAAGTGCTGTTACCATTAAAAAAAAATTGCAGCCAGGTGTGGTGGCACCCACCTGTAGTCCCAGCTACCCAGAAGACTGAGGTGGGACGACTACCTGAGCCTGGGAGGTCCAGGCTTCAGTGAGCTTAATCGCACCACTGTATTCCACCTGGGCGACAGAGTGAGACCATCTCAAAAAAAAAAAAAAAAAAAAAGAAAAGAAAAAATGAAAAGAAAAAATTGTGTAACTATGTGAGATGATGGACATGTTAATTTGTTAATTTGCTTAACTCTAGTAACTATTTCACTATGTATATCAAAGCATCATGCCGTATACCTTAGATATAGATATATATATATATACACACACACACAACAAAATAGTCTATTAAAAACCTTATCATGCTTTAGCATTTAAATTATGGAAGGAGTTTGAGAAAGAAGACACAGGGACTCTGAAGCCATCTTACTTTACTTCCCTAACAATCCTTTTTCAACCTTCATCTGGTAGTGTTTGGATTAGATGTAAATGCTCTAAGATAAATCATAGGAAATTGATTGGAAAGTAGTAGACTTGTGGGTTTTTATTTTAAAGAAGAAACATGGGGGACAGCCCCTTGCTTTCTCTATCTATAAAGTTGAGGGATGCACCCCATCACCTTAATATTTAGAAACACCTGGAGCTGACATCATCTGGCAGCTTCCTTAAATAAACTAAAGCAGCTGCTTACCCTACTATCCTCACTCTAATTGACAATTATTGAAAAGTGTTTTTCAGAGATGGAGGCGTTTTAAAATTTAGAAGTCAAGGTGGGAGTAAAACCTTTTTCTAGAATAGCTATTGAAAAACCACAGATGTGGAAGTACAGCCAACCAGTACATGGCTTTTATGTTCACCCAATTAGAGAGCCCTTCCAAACCCATGTACAGTTTGGGAAAAAAAGGAAATCCTCCAATTTTTGGACAAAGTGCAGCATTTTGTTCCGTACGTATGTAATACCATAGATGTTTTTTTTTATTCGTCCTTCTCTAGCCCTGCTGAATTTCCACTGACTTTAGAGGTAGAATTGTGGTGGTGCTTAAAATTAGAAAAGGTCACTGCTAAAGGCAGGATAAAGTTGTGGATCAACGATTCAAAGACAGGATAAGAGTTTAGATGAGTGGTTTTCAAACTTGAGAGTTCTGGGTTTGTTAAAACAGAGGGGTTCTGATTCAGATCTAGGGTGAGGCAAATAATTTGCATTTCTAACAAGTTCCCAGGAGATGTTGCTGCTAAGTGTCTAGGAGCACAGTGGTTTGGATCAGAATTTGCTTCTCGAACTTAAAAGTTCTTATGTATCTAGTAATACATACCACTTTTTTTTAAATCCATTTATCCTTCCGTAGATATTGAGATTGCTTCCACACTTTGACTATTGTCAATTGTGCTGTATTGAACATTTGGGTGCTAATATCTCTTCAAGATTCTGATTTTCATTCTTTTGGAGAAATACCTGGAAGTGGGATTGCTGGATCATATGGTGGTTCCATTTTTAATTTTTTGAGAAATCTCCATATTATTTTCTATAGTGGCTGCACCATTTTGCATTCTCATCACCAGTATACAAGCGTTCAATTTTCTCTGCATCTCTACCAACACTTGTTGTCTTTTAAAAAATATAATAGCCATCCTTATATAATGGAATATTATTCCACCTTAAAAATAAGGAATTTCCACAATATGCAACAACATGGATGAACCTCAAAGACGTTATGCCGAGTGAAATAAGCCAGTCACAATAGGAAGAATTCTGCATGAATCCACTTATATAAGGTATCTAAAATAGCCAAACTCAGAAAATCAGGAAGGAGAATGGTGGTTTTCAGGGTCTGGAGTCAGGGAGAAAAGGGAAATTGCTAATTTCAATTATGCAAGATGAATAAGTTCTAGAGATCTGCTGCACCACATTGTGCCTACAGTTAACAATAGTCTTGCACACTTAAACATTTAAGAAAGTAAATTTTATGTTGTGTTCTTACTACAATACAATTATTAAAGTTCACATAAATTATGTAGGATCTTAGAAAAGTTTAAATTCTGATTCAGCATATCTGGGATGGAACCTGAAATTCAAAATTTCTAACAAGTTTCTAGGTGATGTCAATGCTGTTGGTAGACCACACTTTTGTTAGCAAGGTGTGATGGTTAATATTTAATGTCAACTTGATTGGATTGAAGGATGCAAAGTATTGTTCATGGGTGTGTCTGTGAGGGTGTTGCCAAAGGAGATTAACACTTGTGTCAGTGGACTGGGAGAGGAAGACCCACCCTCAACCTTGGTGGGCACCATCTATTCAGCTGCCAGTGTGGCTAGAATTAAAGCAGGCAGAGGAATGTGGACGGACTAGTCTTCCAGTGTTCATCTTTCTCCTGTGCTGGATACTTCCTGCCCTTGAACATCAGACTCCAAGTTCTTCAGCTTTTGGACTCTTGGACTTACACCAGTGGTTTGCCAGGGGCTCTTAGGCCTTCAGCCACAGATTGGCAGCTGCACTGTTGGCTTCCCTACTTTTGAGGTTCAAGGACTCAGACTGGCTTCCTTGTTCTTCATCTTGCAGATGGCCTACTGTGGGACTTCACCTTGTGATCTTGTGAATGAATACTCCTTAATAAACTCCCCTTTATATATACATCTATCCTATTAGTCCTGTCCCTCTAGAGAACCCTGACTAATACACACGGGTTCAGATTAGAATTCAGTAGTTCCCACATTTGCTGTGTATCTGACTTACCTAGGGAGCTAGCTAGTTAATTAGCCCCGACCTTCTGTTTTAATGTTTTAGAAGGGGATCCCAGGAATCTGTATTAAAACACAAACAAACCTAGATAAGCATGATGCACACACTAAAGAAACCAGACATACATAATACCAAGTACTGTAAGTAAGTGTTGGACAATATCTGCGTGTACAGCCCTGAACTGGAGAAGGTTGGGGGAGAATGGATAAGTGTTAGAATCCTGAACTGACATTTTAGAGGAAAACAAGTTTTCTTTCCACACATGAAATAAAGAGAACATAATACAGGTAATCTGAGACTTGTCACTGAATAAATACGACTGCCTTTATTTTAAACAGACATTTCCATTTACTACATAAAAAAATAGCCCACTCAGAAAGTCACCCTGTGATGTTCCCCTACACATTTATTATGTTTCAGCATTTGCTATGCCTTTTATCTAGAATGTTCCAAACCATTACCCCATCCCAGGCTCTCAAATAAACTGTCCTCATCCTTCCTGCGCTAGATCAAAGGATTATGTTATTTTCACTCCTCATTTTCCTGGCAGATTTGTATATTCATTTATTTATTCAAAAGCTTATAATTATACCTTGAAATATTTTAGATATTTTAGCTACAATGTTTAGCAGCATAGATAAATTCTTGTTCTCAGGGACTTTATATTGTAGTGGGAACAGGAAAAATAATTTAAAAGCAATCAAATAAATGAGATAATTTGAGATAGTTATACGGTTCATGAAAAATAAAATAGGAAAATGGTATTTAACGATAATCGTTGAATGATAAATATAAACCACACTAACCAGCAGGCCTACCCCAAAGGAAATACGAAAAGCAAACGTCAGGTTTCATTTGGTTCCCAGAGGGACAACTGATTGACTCAGGACTATTGACTCAGGACGATTCACTGAAAAGCCCATCTTTTTTCTATTCCTCCAACGTGCCACCTTTGTCGTAATTCAAGTAGTCCTGTAAGAATGGATCTGTTTCTGCTGTCTCTTGCCTTCATTAGTCTGTGGTCTTTACTTGTACCAATTCTTATTTAGTGATTGTAACTATGGTATAAGTCTTTTCTGGTAAATCAAATTCTCTCATTCTGTAATTCTTCAAGTTTCCCTTAACCATTCTGGTTCCTTTATATTTCGATACAATTTTAGTCTCAGCATCTCAATTTTCAGAAACACACCTGCTGGGACTTTTGTTGTCATTACATTGAATCTATAGATCACTTTGAGAAGAATTGGAAATTATACAACATCAAGTCTTCAAAAATATTGACATGGTATATCTATCATTTATGTAGGTCTTATTATATTTCAATAATTTTGAGACGTCTTAAAATTTCTGTAGCTGGTATGTAAAATTAAAATTAAATTAATTTGTGTATAATGAATTGATTCAATGACGCTGATAATTCTAAAGGTTTATTTATAGAATTACATTTTCTATGTATACATTATTTTAAAAAAAACTTTTCTATCCTTATTTTATTCCTTTCTCATAACTTATTTCACTGGCTAGGGCTACTAATATAATTTTGAATAAAAATGGAGACACTGGAGATGCTAGTTTTAGAGGTAAAAATTTCAACATATCACCATTAATTTATTTTAATCAAATTATCATTTTAAAATTGTGTTAGGTTTACAGAAAAGTTGCAAGGATAGTACAGAGAGTTCCTATGTACTTAACATCTAGTTTCCCCTGTTGTTGACATCTTAAATTAGTATGGAAAATTTGTTATAATTAATGAACTGATATTTATACCATTAACGAAAGTCTATGCTTTATTCAGATTTCCTTAGTTTTGATCTACTGACCTTTTACTGTTCCAGTGTCCCATTCAGGATAATCATTACTCTTAGCCAACATGTCTCCTTAGGTTCTTTTTGGTTGCAGCAGTTCTCAGAGTACAGGCTAGGTATTCTGTAGAATGTGCCTCAGTGGGGATGATCCGATGCTTTCCTCCAAATTATACTAGAACTTCGAGGTTTGGGGAGAAAGACCACACAGGTAAAGTGCCATTCTCCATGAATTACATGAAAGGTACATGCCATCAATATGACTTGTCATTATTGATGTTAATCTTGATTGCTTGACTAAGGTAATGTTTGTCAGATTTCTGCACTGTAAAGTCACTTGTTTTCCCCTTTTCCATATTGTTTTCTTTAGAATACTGTCCGCAGCCAATATTTAAGTAGCTGGGTTAATACTCTCTCTCTATGAAAGATAATCTCTCACAAGATGTTTTGAATTCTGCATAGTAGATTTAGATCTCCTCCCCTATTCATTTATATATCCAAACATTTACTGATGCTAGTATGAACTCATTGATACTTCTTTTCTGCTTCAGCTTACACCCCAATATAACTTTATTTTGTTGCTCATATTGTTCCAGCTTTCGCCATTGGAAGCTCTTTCAGTTGGCTCCAATGTCTCTTTGATATTTTCCTGTCACTGTGGGTTTTGTGGGTTTTATATTTGAGTTTTTTCTCACTTTCTGGCACTACAAGATGCTGCAAGATCATTATTTCATGCCACAGACCCAAATTGGTCATTTGTGCAACAAGTCTGGCATCCTTTCATTGGAGAATGGAATAAAAAACTGATATCTTTGAGCTAGGTGTGTTCACTGGTACTGTCCCGTTGCTCAAGACCATCTCAGCTGAAAGAACAAGGAAGTATGTGTGTGTACTAACTCATGTATACGTGCATATTTATAAATTTTTCTGTATGTATCTAAGAGTATTTATTTTAAGCTAAACATGAGTTCATACTCTTGTCTCCCATTCTGATCAATGATCACATGGATCCTTCTGGCATTCCCCACCTGTTTATGTGTAACCTGTCACTCCAACAGTGAGAAACCTGGCTTCTGTCATCAGCCAGCTGTTTACTTAATTGTGCAATTCCAATGTACAGGTATAGTAATTTCAGAATTATTGACCCATATCCCTGTGGGAAACAAGTTTATCAACTAGAATACAGAGCTTATGTAAGGTTCCTTTTATCTTCAGTATTATAGACTCTACTTATTTCTAAATATACTAACCAATTATCTTTTCTCCATCCTCTTTAGCAAGATTATTTCATACATTTGTAATACAGTTGTTTTTTAAAAAAATCATAGCCTGCATCTCATCCTAGGATCCTCTTATCTCCTAAATGTTTGTTTAATTTGCAAACATTAAGCTCCACTCTTCATGCTGTAAAGTTCTATGGTTTTCAGAAATGTAGAGAATCATGTATCTGCCAGTATGTATCATACCCAACAGTTTCACCACTCTAAAAAATCCTGTGTGCTTCATCTATTTACTACTACACCTCAGAATCCCTAGCCGCCATTGATCTGTTTACTTTATCATTTTGACTTTTTAATGGAATGTTGTTTTAATTTATATTTCCCTAACAAAAAATGGAAATGAGCAGCTTTTCATAGGCTTATTTGGTCACTTGTATGACATATATTCACTTGTATGTCAATGTATGTCACTTGTATGACATATATTCTTTGGCGAGGTGTCTGTTCAGATCTTCTACTCATTTTTATTTTGTTTTTTGTTTTCTTGTTGGCTTTTAAGGTTTTTTTGTATATTGCATATTTCGGATATAATTCCTTTATTATATAGCTGTGTTGCAAGTATTTTTTCCAATCTGTGTCTTATCTTTTCATTCTTTTAACAATGTCTTTTGTAGAACAGATTTTAATATATAAAGTTCAACCTATTCATTTTTCATGATTTTGCTACTCTTGTTGTATTTAAATATTCATTCTTAAATCCAAAATCATCTAGATCTTACCCTATGTTTTCTTCAATAAGTTTTATAATTTCTGTATTTTTATTTATGTCGATGATTTATTTTGAGATTCTTGTGAAAGGCATAATGTCTGTGTGTAAGTTCACGTTTTGCATGGATGTCCAATTGTTCTAGTACCATTTGTGTAAAAGACTATTTTTGCTCAGTTTAATAGCCTTTACTCTTTTATCAAAGATTCTTTTTTATGTTTGTGTGGGTCTATTAATGGACTCTCTATTCTCTTTTCTCATCCATATACTTGTTCTTTTGCTAATACCATGCTATCTTGATTACTGTAGCTTTACAATAAATATTGAAGTTATGTAGTGTCAGCCCTCTGACTTTCTTTCTTTCATATTGTGTTGGCTATTTTGAGTCTTTTGTTTTTCCATATAAATTGTAGGACCTGTTCATCAATATCTAAAAACATATATTGCTGGAATTTTCATTGGGATTGCATTGAGTCTATATATTAGAACAGACAGTTTAACAATATCGAGTCTTCCAATCGATAAACCAAGAATATCATTCCCTTTGTTTAGATCTTCCTTTATTTCCTCATCAGTGTTTTGTAATATTCTACATAAAGATTCTGTATATATTTTGTTAGATTTACACCCCACCTTTAAAATTTGTTAGTGTTATTGTAAATGATATTGCTTTTTAGAATTTAAATTCCCATTGTTTATTGCTGAGATATAGAAAAGCAATTGATTTTTTCATGTTGACCTTGTGTATTGAGAGCAGGTTATAGTATATATTAGTATATACTAAGTGTATTACTGTGTGTGTGTATGTATTAGTTCTAGGAGTTTTTAAATAGGTATTTTGGAGCATTCTACATAGAAAATTATGTCATCTGTGAATATGATCCTTTTCTTTTTTAATAATCTCCATAATTTTTCTTTTTTATGTTTTATTGCACTATCTAGGACTTTGAATAAACTTTTTAATACAAGAGGACAATCTTGCCTTATGTCCAGTTTCTTACAATTAAGATGCTGGCTGTAGATTTACAGATGTTCTTTATCAGGTTGAGAGTTTCCTTTTATTCCTAATTCTCTGAGAGCTTTTATCATGCATGGATTCTAAATTTTGTTAAACACTTTTTCTGTATCAATTGATATATCATATGATTTTTCTTATTTAGTGTTTTGATGTGATGAATTACACTGATTGATTTTTAAATTTTGAATGAGCCTTGAGTACCTGAAATAAATCCCACTCAGCCATGGTGTATAATTCCTGTTATACTTGTTGGGTTCAATTTGTTAATATTTTGGTAAGGATTCTTGTGTCTATGTTCATGAGAGGTATTGGAATGTAGTTTTTGTTTCTTGCAAGGTCTTTCTCTGGAACTGATATTAGGGTAATGCTGGCCTTATAGAATAATATAGACAGTGTTTTCACGGCTTCCATTTTCTTGAAGAAATTGTGGAAACTTGGTATTATTTTTTCTTTAAATGTTTAGTGAATTTACCAGTGAAATCATTTGAGTCTGGTGCTTTATTTTTTTGTAAGTTTATTAAATAGTGATCAAATTTCTATAATAAATAAATGGATATTCAGTTTATCTAGTTCTCCTTGTGGGAGTTTCAGCAGTCTCTTTTAAGGATCTGACCTATTTCAGCCAGGCCTAATTGGCTTTTCTTACTCTAGTTTCTTAAGGCGGAGGGTGAAGTTTTAGATTTTTCTTCTTTTTGAACACATGAATTTAATGCTAAACATGTTAATCTAAGCACTGCTATCACTGTATCACACAAATTTTGATACATTTTATTTTTTCTTCTATTTGGTTCAAAAAATTTTAAATTTATCTTGATACTTTTTTGACCCTGGATAATTTGGAAGTGTGCTACTTTCCAAATATTTTGGAATTTCCCAGCTATCTTTCTGTTACTGATTTCTAGTTTAATTATATTGTGGTCTGAGAACATAATTGAATGATTTTTATCCAATATGTTGGCCTCTAGTGATTTAAATTAATTTAAATTGCCACTAGCAATTGCCACATATAGCAATGTAAATTTAAATTAATTAAAATCAAATAAAAATGTTAAAGTATTTCCTCAGTCACACTAGCCATACTTTAAGTGCTCAGTAGCAACATGTATCTAGTGGCTACGATGTAGGTTAGCACAGATATAAAATATGTCTATTATTGCAGAAATTAGTAACAGAGTGCTGTTATAGAACATGACATAGGAGGATATATTTATGATTTTAAGATAAGTTAGAACATTTAAAACAGTCACAAAAACCATAAACTATAAAGGAAATATGCAAAATTAGACAATACAACTTAGACATTTCTCCCTCAAAAAAAGCTGACAAGAAAATAGAAGCCAAGTTAACAGACTAGGGAAATCTATCTGCAACACATACAAAAACAAAAAGCTCAGATTTGGAATATATAAATAACTTGTAAAACTCAGTAAGAAAATACATACAACAAAATAGAATGAGAGAACAAGTTGTGAAAAGATACTTTACAAAAGAGGCTATCCCCATTGCCCACAAACATGTAAATATGATCAACCTCATTAGTCATCAAAGAAATGGTAATTTAAGCCACAAATCAGTGTTTTCTTCATACTTTCTAGATTGGCTAAAATTAAAAAGTGCTGACAATACCAATTGTTGACAAAGATGTGGAGCCATTAGAGCTGACATGCACTACACGTAGTGGTATAAATCCGTGTATCCAACCGGAGAACTGCCATTATCCTCCAAAGTTGAAGACATACATTTACATTCCTAGGCATATACTTATGCACACTGAAAAACATGCATTAAAAGGTTTATAACTGCATCATATTTTAATGAACACAAAGTAGATAAATTATTGCATAGTCATGCAATGAACTATTATGCAGCAGTGAAAAATACTACAGCTATATGCTACAACATGGACTACTCTCATAAACATATTGAGGAAAAGAAACTAGACACGATATGTTCTGTATAGTTTGATTCCACTTACTTGAAGTGGCAAGAATAATCTATGGTGTTATCATTCAGGATAGTGTTTCTCTTTGTGGAAAAAAGAGGATGTAGTGTTTTGGAAGGGGACCTGCTTGGACATTGTAGGGTCCCAGCAATGTTAGATTTTTGGATGTAAGATCTAGGTGCTAGATGATGGTTATATTGGAGGTGTTTATTTTGTAATACTTTATCAAGTTGTACACTCATGACTTGTACGCTTTTCTCTATGTAAATTATACACTAATGAAAACGTTTTGTTAGAAAAATAATAAAATGGGCATTTCCTAGAAGTATGTATATGAATGGTCAAATGAATATATGAAAAATTTTTAAACCAACTAGTAATCATAATGAAAAAATACCAATTAAAATGAGAAAATATTTCACAGCTATCACATTGGTCCAAAATATTATACGTTACAAAATTACGTGCTGGTGACGATATGGAGAAATGTACATTTTCATCACTGTTGATGGGAATATAAAAATCCTACAATGTTTTATACATCTTGCCAATATTTAGTGAAATTGTATGCGCACATATCTGATGTATTAGTCAGCATCTCCAGAGAAAGAAGCGACAGGGTGTGTGTGTGTGTGTGTGTGTGTGTGTGTGTGTGTGTCCTATTGGTTTTATATACATCCTATTGGAAGGTAGAGAGAGAGATTTTAAGGAATTGGCTCATGTAATTGTACAGGCTAGCAACTCCAAAATCTGCAGGTCCAGAATCTGCAAGGTAGATTGGCAGGCTGGAACCCAGGAAAAAAAATGGATGTTATAGCTCAAGGCTGAAGGCAGTTGGCTGGCAGAAATCTGTCTTCTTCATGGGAAGTCAATCTTTTCCTTATGGCTTTCAGCTGATTAAAAGATGCCCACCCACATTATGAAGGGTAATTTACTCAAAGTCTTCTGATTTAAATATTACTATAGTTTGAATGTCCCCTCAAAATCTCATGTTGAAATTTAATTGCCATTGACAGTATTAAGGAGTGGGAACTTTAAGAGGTGATTAAGGCATGAAGGCTCTGGCCTCATTAGTGGGATTAATGTGATTACAGAAGGATAAGTATCGTCCCCTCTTGCTCTCTTGCTGTCTCACCTTCTGCCGTGGGATAACGCAGCAAGAAGGCCCTTATCAGATGCTTTGATACTGGACTTCTCAGCCAGCAGAACTATGAGTCAAGATATTTCTGTTCATTATAAATTACCCAGTTTCAGGTATTATATTATGGCAGCACAAAATGGACTAAGACAAACCTTAATCTCATCTTAAAAATACCTTGAAAGCAACACCAAAGTGTTTGACTAAATATCCGAGTACCTTGGACTAACCAAGATAAAACACAAAATTATCATTGCACTCAATAATTCATTATCTACACTAAAAACAAAAACCAACCTCTTAAAATTGTTCACAAGAAGTCATGTATTAATTGCTTTATTGATTGTAATAGGGAAAAAGCAGAAACCTGATCATTCCTCACTCAAGAGGAATGAAGAAACTGATTTATTTATATAGTGAGATAATATGCAGAAGGTAAAATTAATGAAATACCATGTTTTTGTGGAGATATTCCTCCTACAGCCTTTCAGTGTCCTACTGTAATTGGGATTGAAAGCTCTTAGGCTGGCTTACACAGCTATTGTTCTGGATATTTTCTTACCCATCACTCCAGATTTTTCTTCACTTCTCTTCTGGATTTCTGACTTCTTGGATCTCCAGTCTACCTCATCTTACTAGAGCATATTCTTTAATAACTTCCTGAGAAAATATGCTTTGAAAGTAAATATTTTTGAGTCCTTATATGCTTGAAAATACCATTACTCCACCTTCACATTTGACTTAACTTTTGAATAGCTATATAATTTTATATCAGAATTTTTTATGCTCTCAATTTTAATTTCAAAGACATTTATTTATTAATTTTTTGCTTTCAGCATTGTTCTCATAAGTCCAATGCCATTCTGATCATATTTTGTCTAGAAGAAGGTTTTATCCTTCTTTACCCTTGATATTCTGAAATTCCATAAGATATACCTTGGTGTGTATCTTTTTGTAATCACTGGACTCCTTGAATATAGAAATTTATGTCACCCAATTCTGAAAGTTTTTCTTACATTATTTATTTTATAAATTCTTCCCCTTAATTTTCTTGATGCTTTCTTTCTGAAACTTATATTAGCCGGTTGTTTCAACTTCTGGGTTGATTCTTTTTATTTGTTTAGGATTCTTATTTTTTGTCTTAAATTAGTTATTGTTAAAATAATGCTGTATAAGAAACCTCTCTCGAGCTCAGTGTCATGCAATAACATGCATTTATTTTCTTACTCATCAGTCTGCACTTGGTTGCAGCTCTGCAAAGATTGGCTAGAGTCAGCTGAACTTGGCTGATCAGAGACATTTCCTCTTTGTCTTTGTCTTCTTTCTTGGGCCACTGGCTTGAATGACAGATGTTTAATTAAGCCAAAAGAAACTCACATGCCTCTTATGAATTTGGTTTATAACCAGCACGCTGTCCTTTCTACACACAAGCAGGGCTTGGTGGCCCTAGCCCATCCTCCATGTAGTAAGAAAATATCCTCCACCTTTCAGGGAAGAGGAATAAATATTTTCTTAAAAATTATGGAATTTATTTCAGCTATGTTACATTTTTTTTCCTTTTTTCCCCCATTTTTGGGTTCTATCTAGATGATTTTCTGTTGACTTTTCATTTTTGCAATCATATTTTTTATTTCTAAGAACTCTTCTTTGTTCTTTGATAGTTCTTTTTTCAAATAGTGTGTTTTATTTTAAACAAAAAAATATTTTCTCATATTTCACCGAACCATTGATTGCTTTCTCTTTCTCTCTTTTTAAAGTTTTTTGTTCTGCTTTCTATGCTTCTCTGTTTCTTGGAGTTTTTTACTCTTTATTATGTCTCTGTCTTATATATGGGAGGCTATCCTTAAATGCCAAATACTACATTGATTCAAGAGTGAAGCACTATCATTAACTGAAAGTTCTGTGAGCATGGCAAGGGATTATTGCCTGGTAAGTTTTACTGCAGGATAGCTGGAAGGGAGACCCGCCTACTTTGTTGCCCCACTCCATGTCAGTATCTATAGATCTTTTAGATCTTTCCTCTTTGGCTGCTCATTTTCTCCAGGAAAGAATCTGAGTCTCCTTTATGAGAGAAATAAGCCTGGTGTCTAGCTAGAGGGCATGGAATTCTCAATGTTCAGTACACAGCCTTTCACCCACTAACCCTCTATCAGTATGGTACTTTGCCCTTCATTGCACCCTACTTGATGTCCTCTCCAGTGCAATTCTCCCTGATAACAACCTTATGTATTTTTTAGGAGTATGAATGGGTAGTAGTCTGTTGTACCAGAATGCAGAAAAGGTCTCAGCAAGTAATTGAACTTAATAGTGACTTTAAACTAACTCTAAACTGTGGAGAGTCCACCTTACAGTCTCCATTTGCCTTCATTAGAATCTGTTTGTTCAGTTCCTGAGCTTTTCTAGGTTTGCACTATAAATTCCTGCTATGGTTTGGCTGTGTCCCCACCCAAATCTCACCTTGAATTGTAATAATCCACACATGTCAAGGGTGGGGCCAGATGGAGATAATTGAATCATAGGGGCAGGTTTTTCCCATGCTGTCCTCATCATAGTGAATAAGTCTCACGAGATCTTATGGTTTTATAAATGGGAGATCCCGTGCACAAGCTCTCTTGCCTGCTTCCATGTAAGATGTGACTTAGCTCCTCATTCGCCTTCTGCCATGACTGTGAGGCCTCCCCAGGCATGTGGAACTGTGAGTCAATTAAACCTCTTTCCTTTATAAATTATCCATTCTCAGGTATGTCTTTATTAGTAGTGTGATAACAGAAAAATCCAATTCCCTTGTTTCTTATAAGTGTCTCATGAATGCCTAGACTTCTGCAGTCTCATCTGTGTGTCAGTTACCACTGTCTGTATGCTTTCCACCTTCAAAGTACGTGTAGCTATTTCTCATTTCCTATTGTTCCATCTCCTGGCCTAATTTGATCTTTTGAGTTTGCAACTTTTTAAATTAATCTCTTGTCATGTTACTGGAATTTTCAAAGCAAATGATGATAAACGCATGTGTTCAACTTACCATATTTAACAGAAATCAGAATAATATTTATAAAATTAAAATCAAATCATGCCTCAACCCTGTTTAAATCTTCTCAGTGACAGAAGATCTCTAGACATATTTATCTTGTACAACTGAGACTTTATACTCACTGAACAACTCCCCATTTTTCCATACCCCAGCTCATAGCAACCACCATTCTACTCTCTGAATCTATTAATTTGATTATTTCATATACCTCATATAAGCAGAATCATGCAGTACTTGTCCTTCTGTGACTGTGTTATGTCACCCACCGTGGTGTCCTCTAAGTTCATCCATGTTGTTGTAAATGGTAGGATTTTCTTCTTTATCTTTTTTTTAATGTCTATGCTTTAACTGCAGTTAGAATATATGCCCTGATTTCTGCACAAAGTGATATATAGATAATATTTGTAAACATGCAGATGTGTAAAATATGCAAAAATTAATCTTACTTTAAGAAGCTATTGAATACTTACTGTGTGCCCTGCAGAGTTCATTGCTGTGTATGTGTGTGTTTTCTCAATATCTTCTGTTTGAATGATCAACTTCTCATTTTTCTTAGGTTTCTATAGTAATGTGATTAAGAACAAAAGCAGAAAAGTGCCCCTATTAGTAACATGATTTTAAGTAATTATAAATACCTTAAATATATCAGGCAATTACATTTTACAATAATTTTTTACAGGTTACGTATTCTTACCTAACTATTTCCATTGTAATTCTATGTTTATTTCACATAATTTGCCACAATTAATGTAGAAAAGCTTGGCAAAATATAAATGGAATTCTAGCCAGTATGGACAATTCTGTTTATTGCCTTCTGTTTCTACATTGTGCAGGAGAATCTTATATTCATGATATCAGAGAGCCAAATATGATTATAATCTCTTTTCAGTTTAGGATATTATATTTTATATTGCATGCTCTTTGGGGAGGCCCCACGGTGGTGTGCAGGCAGGATGCATTTTTTTAAATTATTTATTCACAGAGCTAGTTGACCAAATCTTCCAGAGAATGCACAAAGGTCAATTTTACAACTTATTCTTATATTGATTTGAATATACTTTTTGGATCTGCTAAAGGCCATTTTTGAATAAATTTATTTTATTTATCTGCAATATGATTTTCATGTCTAAAAAAGTCATTGCAATGTTTATTCGATTGCCTGGAAATTTTGAAAGGAAATAGAAAAAATGGGAGAAAGAATATTTAATAAATGCCTCTTTTCTCTCTAAATCATTCAAGAATATAATTTGGCATGTGAATATTTACACATCTTAGTCTGTCATGTATGAATGTCTTCATGGCTTTATGGAGTCATGTATAGAATTATATGACTTGGGAGGCACATTTCAACACAGATTATAATCATGTGTTGAGACTTTTATTTTTATCTGTTTCAAATACATTTTGAAATGTTAGTTGATAAACATATAGCCCCTTTAAGAATAGCAGCTGCTGGGTGTAGTGGTGCACACTTGTAGTCCCAGCTACTCGGGAGATTGAGGGAGGAGAATGCTTGAACCTGGGAGGTGGAGGTTGCGGTGAGCTGAGTTTGCGCCACTGCACTCCAGCCTGGCGACAGAGTAAGACTACGTCTCAAAAAAAAAAAAAAAAATAGCAGCTGCTTGTCTAGTTAATATAGCCCTATGAGTAAATCATGTCTAGATACTAGTTTAGTGTCACTGTACATAATATTAGTTCATTTTATTTAAACACTTGTTGTGTGGTAAATATTATTTTAAACCCTGTACATGTATTAATACACTTAATTGAACATCACTGTAACATGGGTACTTTTATAATCCATATTTTATGGATAAAGGAAAGGAAGTTCATGATGATACTGACAAGAGGTAGTAACTCCCAGACACAAACCCAGACATCCTATTTTAGAGTCCTTGCTCTTCACCAGTCTGCAATGCCACAGATTCTGGCCCTCATCAGTCAGTAGCTTTAAAGAGATATGTAGACTAATCTCTATTATCCAGGCATAACAATTTATAAATTGGAACTGTTTGGCCTCAAGAGGGCAAGCTTTGCAAATGCAAGCCTGCTGAGTAGTGACAGCAAATGTCCTGGAACTCATAACTAATTTACCTAGGAATTTCCTTGTAGCAAAAGAACATGAAGTGTCCACAGTGTATTGTCCAGTGTATGTGGTTATGGCATTTTGGGTCAGTGGGAAGATCAAGGGGGTTTCAAGATTTGATACACATTATTTAAATGTGTGTTGAAGGATTATACATCACAAAATGTCACAGTCAAAATTTCCAGGCTCTGACCTTTTGAAAACAAAACTGTTACCAAGTCGGTCTAGGTCGAGGTCCTGTTGCTTGCTGCAGTCTAGGTACTGTTGCTTGCTGCACAGAAAGCCAGTCACTGAGACAAGTATTGCCAGGAAAGAAGGCTTTAATCAGGTGCTGTAGTTAAGGAGACGGGAGATCAGTCTCAAATCCATCTCCCCGACTGACTAAAATTAGGGGTTTATATTGTAGGGAAGAATTGTAAGCATGTGTGGGAAAACAGGAATTAGGAAGGGGTAAGGAAGAGGAGTTGGTTAACAGGAATCAATTAGTCAGGCAATCATGACAGGTAAGGCACCTGTGCTTTCATTGTCCAGATGCAGTGATCTGGTAAGTTTCAGTTCCTTGATACAATATGGGAGGCCTGATGGTTGGTTCCTGAGAAAGGAACTCAGATAAGACAAATGTAACTTTCTCAAGTTTCAAGAGTGGGAGGATCAATTTTTATGCTTATTCAAAATAGACCATAAACATCAGTTCCATGGGACACTTGGGCCAGTTTTAAAACCATGAGGCCAGACCCAGCATACTAGTCATAATTGGACAGATATATTCTGAAAAGAAAAATAAAACTGAGTTAATAATTCCCTTTACCTTTTACCAATTTGGTACTAAAATATTTCTGAACACCTGTTCTATCCCAGGAATTGTTCAACTAGAGTATAAAGTGCTGAATACAACCAAAATTGTTGTCCCTTTAAGGTGATATAGTAATCAGATAAATCTACATTAAACTTCATTAACAAACAATCCTGAAATTACAGTTGCTTAACCTGGAAAAGGTTTATTTTCAGTCTTGTGAAATCTAGTATAGGTTTGGGCCCATCTCTAGGCAGCTGTGTACCATGTGTTAGTTGGAATCCAGGCTACTTCCATCCTGTGATGTCACCGTCTCAACTGCAGTGTCCATAATCACTAAGCCAGGGCAAGAGAGGACTGGACAGGTTGCACCAGCCATTAAGTGCTTTGGCCCAGAAGTAATGCACATCACTTAAATATGCAAGACATTGGTTAAAACTAGTCATGAAGATCTGTCTACATATATGGGATATAGGGATGTATAAGCTTACTGTGGGCCTGGAAGGAGAGGAAACCAGGTGTCTCCATATATAGATTACTGTTGGCTAAACAGAGAGTAAGAAAGTATATTTATATTGTGAAAGATAAGGCGTTACTCTAATGGTTACAAGTAAATTAATATGATGACCCCTGTTTACATACAAAAAAGCTAAAACTCAGTTAATCGTCTAGTGGCAAATATACTAATGAAAATGTTTTACCTATCATATATTTTTAAGTTTGAGCCAGGGTTTCTCAACATTGGAACCACTGACAATTTGAGCCAGATAATTCCTTGTTGTATGGTGCTTTGCTGTGCATTGCATGATGTATAGTACACATATGGCATGGCTGGTCCCTATCCACTAGATGCCAGTATCCAACCCCTCCTCCAACAAATGTGACAACCAAACATGTCTCCTGACATTGCCAAATATCTCCTGGGGGGTAAAATTGCTCTAGATTGAGAACCATCCCCCATAACATTTTCTACAGCAAATCTTTGAGTTAACACAGTAACATAGGCATGCATGTATACCTTTTAATATATAAAGCATTTTACACAGCTTCATCTCAATTAATAAAATTATTGGAAGAGAAAGTTATTATTATATTCAACATATGAGGAAATTGCAGGGCGTCAACTCAATCTGAGTCCTCTTGCTCCAGATTCTTACATTTACTCTGTAAGTGTTTATTGAGTACCTCCTGTGAGACAGGCACTGTTCTAGTTATAGAGGATACAAGGATAAAAGATCCAGTTTCTGCTCTTAAGGGACTCCTGGTCTAGTGGATAAAAGACACAAATTAACATAAAATTACATAGCAGATAATTAAACTAAGTGCTGTTATAGAAAAACCTACAGTGCTTCAGAGAGAGGGACTTCACCATGGAACTTTGAGCAACACAATAGAAGCACAACACAAAGGAAGAAAGAGCAGCAGCACAAAGACAGCTGAATTTTATTTCTGAGTCGTCACTGGAAAAAATGAACTGAAATATAGGGAACTACAGGATCAAGAGGAAAGAGGAGAATTATATTTTGAGCTGTGAGAAGCAAGAATTGTGAAAAACACTGCTAAGCCTTAAACATACAGGCAAGTGCTGTCTGAAGAGTTGCCAGTGACCGAAACACCCCTTACTTACTAGGTGTCCTATAATGTTGATTTCAAAGAAGCTCATCTAACTGAAAGGAGAAATCATACTACAGAAAATCATTAATTTTTTTGAAAGCTCAAACCATGTGTCTCTAAAGCAGGAGAAAAAGCAAATGATTAAGAATAGGAGTAAAGAAGGTAATATTTCATATAAATGATAAGCAATATAATTTCTTTCTTTTCTTTTTTTTTTTTTTTTTTTTTGAGATGGAGTATTGCTCTGTTGCCAGGCTGGAGTACAGTGGTGCGATCTCAGCTCACTGCAACCTCCGCTTTCTGGGTTCAAGTGATTATCCTCCCTCAGCCTCCCTAGTAGCTGGGACTACAGGCACACACCACCATGCCCAGTTAATTTTTGTATTTTTAGTAGAGACGGGGTTTGACCGTGTTAGCCAGGATGGTCTCAATCTCTTGACCTCGTGATCTGCCCGCCTTAGCCTCCCAAAGTGCTGAGATTACAGGCGTGAGCCACCGCACCCAGCCATGCAATACAATTTCTTAACATGTAGTCTGCCTGGAAACTCAATGTGCTGCTCATTTGTTCAAGTTTTGAAATGAGGTCACTTGGAACTAACTTGTTTTGCCTTTTGCTTTTGATTGGACTCTGTCTTAATATTTATTTATTTATTTATTTATTTATTTATTTTTTTCTCAAAGTCATAACTCACAAGAGTTACCTTTTATGTATTCCATAAAAATACACTTTTTTTTTTTTGCTATCCCTCCCCCCTCCCCCGACCCCACCACAGTCCCCAGACTGTGATATTCCCCTTCCTGTGTCCATGTGATCTCATTGTTCAATTCCCACCTATGAGTGAGAATATGCGGTGTTTGGTTTTTTGTTCTTGCGATAGTTTACTGAGAATGATGGTTTCCAATTTCATCCATGTCCCTACAAAGGACATGAACTTATCATTTTTTATGGCTGCATAGTATTCCATGGTGTATATGTGCCACATTTTCTTAATCCAGTCTATCATTGTTGGACATTTGGGTTGGTTCCAAGTCTTTGCTATTGTGAATAATGCCGCAATAAACATACGTGTGCATGTGTCTTTATAACAGCATGATTTATAATCCTTTGGGTATATATCCAGTAATGGAATGGCTGGGTCAAATGGTATTTCTAGTTCTAGATCCCTGAGGAATCGCCACACTGACTTCCACAATGGTTGAACTAGTTTACAGTCCCACCAACAGTGTAAAAGTGTTCCTATTTCTCCACATCCTCTCCAGCACCTGTTGTTTCCTGACTTTTTAATGATTGCCATTCTAACTGGTGTGAGATGATATCTCATAGTGGTTTTGATTTGCATTTCTCTGATGGCCAGTGATGATGAGCATTTTTTCATGTGTTTTTTGGCTGCATGAATGTCTTCTTTTGAGAAGTGTCTGTTCATGTCCTTGGCCCACTTTTTGATGGGGTTGTTTGTTTTTTTCTTGTAAATTTGTTTGAGTTCATTGTAGATTCTGGATATTAGCCCTTTGTCAGATGAGTAGGTTGTGAAAATTTTCTCCCATGTTGTAGGTTGCCTGTTCACTCTGAGGGTAGTTTCTTTTGCTGTGCAGAAGCTCTTTAGTTTAATTAGATCCCATTTGTCAAGTTTGGCTTTTGTTGCCATTGCTTTTGGTGTTTTGGACATGAAGTCCTTGCCCACGCCTATGTCCTGAATGGTAATGCCTAGGTTTTCTTCTAGGGTTTTTATGGTTTTAGGTCTAACGTTTAAATCTTTAATCCATCTTGAATTGATTTTTGTATAAGGTGTAAGGAAGGGATCCAGTTTCAGCTTTCTACATATGGCTAGCCAGTTTTCCCAGCACCATTTATTAAATAGGGAATCCTTTCCCCATTGCTTGTTTTTCTCAGGTTTGTCAAAGCCTTTGACAAAATTCAACAACCCTTCATGCTAAAAACTCTCAATAAATTAGGTATTGATGGGACGTATCTCAAAATAATAAGAGCTATCTATGACAAACCCACAGCCAATATCATACTGAATGGGCAAAAACTGGAAGCATTCCCTTTGAAAACTGGCACAAGACAGGGATGCCCTCTCTCACCATTCCTATTCAACATAGTGTTGGAAGTTCTCGCCAGGGCAATCAGGCAGAAGAAAGAAATAAAGGGTATTCAATTAGGAAAAGAGGAAGTCAAATTGTCCCTGTTTGCAGATGACATGATTGTGTATTTGGAAAACCCCATCGTCTCAGCCCAAAATCTCCTTAAGCTGATAAGCAACTTCAGCAAAGTCTCAGGATACAAAATCAATGTGCAAAAATCACAAGCATTCTTATACACCAATAACAGACAAACAGGGAGCCAAATCATGAGTGAACTCCCATTCCCAATTGCTTCAAAGAGAATAAAATACCTAGGAATCCAACTTACAAGGGATGTGAAGAACCTCTTCAAGGAGAACCACAAACCACTGCTCAATGAAATAAAAGAGGATACAAACAAATGGAAGAACATTCCATGCTCATGGATAAGAAGAATCAATATCATGAAAATGGACATACTGCCCAAGGTAATTGATAGATTCAATGCCTTCCCCATCAAACTACCAATGACTTTCTTCACAGAATTGGAAAAAACTACTTTAAAGTTCATATGGAACCAAAAAAGAGCCCACATTGCCAAGTCAATCCTAAGCCAAAAGAACAAGGCTGGAGGTATCACACTACCTGACTTCAAACTATACTAAAAGGCTACAGTAACCAAAACAGCATGGTACTGGTACCAAAACAGAGATATAGACAAATGGAACAGAACAGAGCCCTCAGAAATAACACCACACTTCTACAACTATCTGATCTTTGACAAACCTGGCAAAAACAAGAAATGGGGAAAGGATTCCCTATTTAACAAATGGTGCTGGGAAAACTGGCTAGCCATATGTAGAAAGCTGAAACTGGATCCCTTCCTTACACCTTATACAAAAATTAATTCAAGATGGATTAAAGATTTAAATGTTAGACCTAAAACCATAAAAACCCTAGGAGAAAACCTAGGCAATACCATTCAGGACATAGGCATGAGCAAGGACTTCATATCTAAAACACCAAAAGCAATGGCAACAAAAGCCAAACTTGACAAATGGGATCTAATTAAACTAAAGAGCTTCTGCACAGCAAAAGAAACTACCATCAGAGTGAACAGGCAACCTACAGAATGGGAGAAAATTTTTGCAATCTACTCATCTGACAAAGGGCTAATATCCAGAATCTACAATGAACTCAAACAAATTTACAAGAAAAAAACAAACAACCCCATCAAAAAGTGGGCAAAGGATATCAACAGACACTTCTCAAAAGAAGACATTTATGCAGCCAAATGACACATGAAAAAATGCTCATCATCACTGGCCATCAGAGAAATGCAAATCAAAACCACAATGATATGCCATCTCACACCAGTTAGAATGGCGATCATTAAAAAGTCAAGAAACAACAGGTGCTGGAGAGGATGTGGAGAAATAGGAACACTTCTACACTGTTGGTGGGACTGTAAACTGGTTCAACCATTGTGGAAGACAATGTGGCAATTCCTCAGGGATCTAGAACTAGAAATACCATTTGACCCACCCATCCCATTACTGGCCATATACCCAAAGGATTATAAATCATGCTGCTATGAAGACACATGCACACGTATGTTTATTGTGGCACTATTCACAATAGCAAAGACCTGGAACCAACCCAAATGTCCACCGATGATAGACTTGATTAAGAAAATGTGGCACATATACACCATGGAATACTATGCAGCCATAAAAAAATGATGAGTTCATGTCCTTTGTAGGGACATGGATGAAGCTGGAAACCATCATTCTCAGCAAACTATCGCAAGGACCAAAAACCAAACATCGCATGTTCTCACTCATAGGTGGGAACTGAACAATGAGAACACTTGGACACAGGAAGGGGGACATCACACACTGGGGCCTGTTGTGGGGTGGGGGGAGGGGGGAGGGATAGCATTAGGAGATACACCTAATGTAAAGGACGAGTTAATGGGTGCAGCACACCAACATGGCACATGTATACATATGTAACAAACCTGCACATTGTGCACATGTACCCTAGAAGTTAAAGTATAATAAAAAAAGAAAAAAAAAGATGCTTAGTAAAATATATCTCAAAGGGGATGTTATAGGGTTTAAAGTAATAATTAGATGTACTTTATAAGTAGCTCTTAGCATAGTTCCTGGCATAGATTAATAAATTCTAAACAACATTACTGGGACCCCAACAATTATGTAGGCTTTTTGTCCTTGATTGAGCTTCCTCAGGCTGATGATCAATGAAACAATTTAGTTCTACAAAACTATATTACACTCTTATGGATATGGCACCTGGCTAGACACTGAGGGGATTTAAAGCATTGTAAGATATAATAGCTATCTTCAATGTGTTCACAATCTGACGGGGTGAGCAGATATGTACATATCAATAGTAAAATAGTTCAGTTGCAAAAATAGGGAAGGAGGGATTAATGCTCATTGGAGAAACCCACAAGTTCTCTGGAAACTGAATCTTGAAGGATAAGTAGCATTTCAACAGCAGAGAACTGGAGGAAGGGTGCTTTGAAAGTTAGAATGGCTATGCAGAAACGCTAGACATAAAAACGCTTAATGCATTTGGAGAATAATTAATCGTGTGTGTGTGTGTCTGTTTGTGTGTGTGTTGGGGGCGGGGAGAGAGAGAGTGTTTGTGTGTGGTGTGTTGGGTATTGGGATTGCTATAAATAATTGTATACTTATTGCTTTGGGATTTTCCTTCTAAAATGACAGGAATTATTTCTCATTCAATTGTACATTTCACACAACTCCTCATAGTGCCTTGAACAAGGTAAGCTTGAGTGAAACAAATTAAACTGAAATGTTTCTCATTAGATACAAATTTCCCAAATATCTTAAGGTTTATTGCTTTCTTTGCATGATGAGTTTATTTGATGGAGCCATCCCAATTAACATGCTTAGGGGTCCTTCTGCTAGTTTCAGAAATGATAGTGTGAACTTTTAAGTTATTGTAGCAATTTACTTGCCTTTAAGTAATTCATCCTTCATACTAGATTCAGCAAAACCATGCAAGAATTTAACCACCTCCCAAGATTTTGATTCTGGCTGATAATTATGAGGTTTCTCTCCGTCAAGGAGTAGTAATAAAGAAATATTCCTCTGCCTCTTTGAGTGTAAGGACCTGGAGATGGAGGTCTGGAGAAGAGGGCATTGCCCCAGCAAAGGAGGCAGCTGTTCCAGAGATACACAAGTGCTAAAAGAGTAACTGAGGGAAAGACTGGCAGCCAGCATCCTTACCAAATGAACTCAGATGGATCGTTCATTTCTGACCTATGTATTAATAAGGGAGGAAGAGGAAAGAGAAAGACAAGATAATGCAGTTAGTTTTAAGTTTGCACAGGCAAGAACATACTTTAGAATTAGGGGTATTGCTGGAGGGAGCCAATCCTCAAATGTATTTGAAGTCAATTTTATTTCAGTGATAAGTAAGTAAAACAGAATAATGAGATTTGAAGGATTATCATTTCAATATTTACTTTGTATTATGCATGAACTACTGTGTTGTCAGCTGTCGCTGTCTTTTTATCTGAATCTCTCAGATTGTCAGGTTTTCCCTCATGATTGGGCAATTCTCTTGACCCATCCTCCTATTCAGTTACCCTCTCTCTCTTTTTTTTTTCTCCATTGGCAAAAAACAAATCTTCAAAATATGTTCTCTGCTTAATTCTCCTATTTTTTCTTCTCCCGTTGTCTGTTGTAAAGATAACAATAATCTTTTCTTGGTGAAGTCTGAGATCTTGCCTCTCACTGCACTGGCACCCCTAGGGAGCCTCCTGACAGATGCATCCCCTTCTCTTGCTAATGGGGCATCCTTCTCTGGTTCTCCTCCTCCCTCTCTGATTGCTTTTTGTTTCAGACTTCTTTTGTGGGGCTCCATCATCTATGCTACCATGATACATTGGTGTTCCTCAGGGATCCTGGTTCTCTCCTTTATTTACATTTGTCCCTGGGTGAAATCATCCAGTCTTACAGTTTTATATGAATATATTTGCATTTTGAAGACCTCCAAATGTTCATCTCTAATCTGACCTGACCCCTGAATTTGAGACCTACCTCCCTGCTTACCATGGCCAAAACCAAACTCCGTTCCTACCCCAAAACCTGTTCCTCCTCAATTTTCATTATCTCAACAAGTGTTATCTCCACTTTTGTGTCGTGCAGGCCAATTGAAACTCTCCTTGACTCCATTTTTTCTGTTACTCCCTATATCTAATCTGCCAGCCATTGTCTTCACTTAGTATTTTAAAAATAATTATTAGCCCCCACTGTGTTCCTGGTACTGTTCTGGAAGCTTCAGATACAGAAGAGAATAAAGCAGATCAAATCCCTACTCTTAGGTTCTTGTGACTTTAAAATAGATCCACAATCAAGCAATCTTTCATCACCTCCCCACCCACACTACTACAGCCCTAAATTATTGCAGTAGCACCTCTGCTTCCACCCTTATCACCTATAGTCTTTTCTCTCCATACTAGCCAGTGTGATCATTTTAAAATATAAATCAGATCATGCCATTTCTTGCTCCTAACCCTCCAAAGGCTTCTCATCTTACTCAGAGCAAATCCAAAATCCTTACCAGAACCACAGGGCTCTATATGACCTAGGCCCTGATGTTGCTCTGATATTCCCTCTATCACCTTCCCTTCCCTGACTCTGCTCCAATCACACCAGCTTCCTGGCTCTTCCCCAGCAACAGTTGACAACACATGACCTTAGCTCTTGCTGTTTGATATATTCCTACACTTCAGGTCTTCCCTAAAATGTCACCTTACTGAGGAGGCCTTCCCTAATTGTGAACATAAAACAGTCTCCATACCTTCATCACTCTATTGTCTTTACCCCATTTCATGTATACACACATGTAATGTATGTATGTATGTACATATGCATGTATGTATGTGTGTGTGCACATCCTGGAGGCCTCCTGCATCTAGAACCTACACCTTTGAGAGCTAGGATTTCATTTTGCTCACTGCTATATCTCCATCTCTTAGAGCACTGCCTGACAAATATGCACTCAGTTAAGATTAATTGAACTGTCTTCAATCCTGGGATTTATGATTTTGTTATTTATAAACGTGTTTACATGAAGTCCTTTTTGATTAAGGGTCTGCATTTGTGAGTCAGCTAATTCTAGATAAGTGTCGCATTGATGGCTTCGAAGCAAGGAAACTCCACTTCCCTGTGACCTTATCAACTTTCTATTCTAGCCAAATAAGGTGTGTGAACTTTCAAATCTAAAAATTAAGTATCCCATCTCTTTGTTGTGACTAGTTTGCAATATCTGCTAAACTATTACACAGAAACCCTGCTACAAATATGCGGTTACAAAGCCCCTTGGAGGTGGTGTAAGTAATTAGCATTTAGTGGCTTACAGCAATGTCAAATTAACCATCTCATAATTAGGGATTTTAGATCAACTATAAAGTCAGGTGAGCTATGTAGAAGAGAAATCATTACATGCACTTTAATCCTTAGATAGTGAACTATGTAGGAAACTATTTCAAACTATCATATAGAACTATAATAGTTGATAAATTGTGGCAAAAAAGAGTCCATATACAAATATTCTCAGAAAAAAAATCGCTTGGATGTCATAAAGTAATAATTTAAATAAAAGACAATATCCATGCAGGAAGAGCACTGGTCTCTTATTTAGCTACCATTTCCTAACACCTGCAACCTGAGCTCCAGCCATGTGGAACATTTTGTCATTCATTCTTTGATATCTCTGAACTTTTCATGTACTTTCATCTGCTTGGTCTGTCCTTATCCCATAGCCTATAGATAGCAAATTCCATCAATAAGGTTCAGTTCAAATATCACCTTCTTGGTAAACTCTTTCCTGAATTCTTTGATAGATTTTGTTGCTTTTCCTCCTCTGTTGCCATATTCATTTGTACATGTGTATACTATAGAGTCTCACTGTATGAATTTGCTTGTGACTTTCTTCCTAATCTCTGTTGGTTCCTTAAGAATAAGAGATCTTGGGTTGCTTCTAAGATGGCTGAATAGGAACAGCTCTGATCTGCAGCTCCCAGCGAGATCAACGCAGAAGACGGGTGATTTCTGCATTTCCAACTGAGGTACCTGGTTCATCTCATTGGGACTGGTTAGACAGTGGGTGCAGCCCAAGGGGGGCAAGCCAAAGCAGGGCGGGGCATCACCTCACCCCGGAAGCACAAGAGGTTGGCAGATTTCCCTTTCCTAGCCAAGGGAAGCCGTGACAGAATGTACCTGGAAAAACAGTACACTTGCGCCCAAATACTGCAATTTTCAACAGTCTTAGCAACCAGCAGACCAGGATATTCCCTCCTGTGCCTGGCTCAGCAGGTCCCACGCCCATGGATCCTTGCTCACTGCTAGCGCAGCAGTCTGAGATTGACCTGTGAGGCTGCAGCCTGGCGGCAGGAGGGGTGTCCGCCATTGCTGAGGCTTGAGTAGGTAAACAAAGCTCTGGGAAGCTCGATCTTGGTGGATCTCACTGCAGCTCAGCAAGGCCTACTGCCTCTATAGACTCCACCTCTGTGGACAGGGCATAGTGGAACAAAAGGCAGCAGACAAATTCTGCAGACTCAAACATCCCTGTCTGACAGCTCTGAAGAGAGCAGTGGTTCTCCCAGCATGGCATTCAAGCTCTAAGAATGGACAGACGGCCTCCTCAAGTGGGTCCCTGACCCCGCCCCGTGTAGCCTGACTGGGAGACACCTCCCAGTAGGGGCTGACAGACACTTCATACAGGTGGGTGTCCCTCTGGGATGAAGCTTCCAGAGGAAGGATCAGGCAGCAGTGTTTCCTGTTCTGCAATATTTGCTGTTCTGCAGCCTCCGCTGGTGATATCCAGGCAAACAGTGTCTGGAGTGGACCTCCAGCAAACTCCAACAGACCTGCAGCTGAGGGGCATGACTGTTATAAGAAAAACTAACAAACAGAAAGGAATAGCATCAACATCAACCAAAAGGATATCTACACCAAAACCCCATCTATAGATCACCAACATCAAAGACCAAAGGTAGATAAAACCACAAAGATGGGGAGAAACCAGAGCAGAAAAGCTGAAAATTCCAAAAGCCACAGCACCTCTTCTCCTCCAAAGGATTGCAGCTCCTTGCCAGCAATGGAACAAAACTGGACGGAGAATGACTTTGATCAGTTGACGGAAGTAGGCTTCAGAAGGTCGGTAATAACAAACTTCTCTGAGCTAAAGGAGCATGTTCTAACCCAGTGGAAGGAAGCTAAAAACCTTGAAAAAAGGTTAGATTAACGGCTAATTAGAATAAACAGTGTAGAGAAGACCTTAAATGAATGAATGGAGCCGAAAACCACAGCACGAGAACTTCGTGACACATGCACAAGCTTCAATAGCTGATTCAATCAAGTGGAAGAAAGGATATCAGCAATTAAAGATCAAATTAATGAAATAAAGCAAGAAGACCAGATTAGAGAAAAAAGAGTGAAAAGAAAAGAACAAAGCCTCCAAGAAATATGGGACGATGTGAAAAGACCAAATCTACGTTTGATTGGTGTACCTGAAAGTGACAGGGAGAATGGAACCAAGTTAGAAAACACTCTTCATGGTATTATCCAGGAGAACTTCCCCAACCTAGCAAGGCAGGCCAACATTCAAATTCAGGAAATACAGAGAACACCACAAAGATGCTCCTCGAGAAGAGCAACCCCAAGACACATAATTGTCAGATTCACCAAGGTTGAAATGAAGGAAAAAATGTTAAGGGCAGCCAGAGAGAAAGTTCGGGTTACCCACAAAGGGAAGTCCATCAGACTAACAGCTGATCTCTTGGCAGAAACCCTACAAGCCAGAAGAGAATGGGGGCCAATATTCAACATCTTAAAGAAAATAATTTTCAACCCAGAATTTCATATCCACCCAAACTAAGTTTCATAAATGAAGGAGAAATGAAATCCTTTACAGACAAGCAAATGCTGAGAGATTTTGTCACCACCAGGGCTGCCTTACAAGAGCTCCTGTAGGAAGCACTAAACATGGAAAGGAACAACCAGTACCAGCCACTGCCAAAACATGCCAAATTGTAAAGACCATCGATGCTATGAGGAAACTGCATCAACTAATGGGCAAAATAACCAGCTAACGTCATAATGACAGGATAAAATTCACACATAACAATATTAATGTTAAATGTAAATGGGCTAAATGCCCCAATTAACAGACACAGACTGGCAAATTGGATAAAGAATCAAGACCCATCAATGTGCTATATTCAGGAGACCCATCTCACGTGCAGACCCATCTCACATAGGCTCAAAATAAAGTGATGGAGGAAGATCTACCAAGCAAATGGAAAGCAAAAAAAAGCAGGGGTTGCAATCCTAGTCTCTGATAAAACAGACTTTAAACCAACAAAGATCAAAAGAGACAAGAAGGCCATTACATAATGGTGAAGGGATCAATTCAACAAGAAGAGCTAACTATCCTAAATATATATGCACCCAATACAGGAGCACCCAGCTTCATAAAGCAAGTCCTTAGAGACCTACAAAGAGACTTAGACTCCCACACAATAATAATGGGAGACTTTAACACCCCACTGTCAATATTACACAGATCAAGAAGACAAAAGATTTACAAGTATATCCAGGATTTGAACTCAGCTCTGCACCAAGCAGACCTAATAGACATCTACAGAACTCTCCCCCCTAAATCAACAGAATATACATTCTTCTCAGCACCACATCGTACTTATTCTAAAATTGACCATATAATTGGAAGTAAAACACTCCTCAGCAAATGTAAAAGAACGGAAATCACAACAAACTGTCTCTCAGACCACAGTGCAATCAAATTAGAACTCAAGTTTAAGAAACTCACTCAAAACTGCACAACTACATGGAAACTGAACAATCTGCTCCTGAATGACTACTGGGTAAATAACAAAATGAAGGCAGAAATAAAGATGTTCTTTGAAACCAATGAGAACAAAGACACAACGTAACAGAATCTCTGGGACACATTTAAAGCAGTGTGTAGCGGGAAATTTATAGCACTAAATGCCCACAAGAGAAAGCAAGAAAGATCTAAAATCGACACCCTAACATCACAATTAAAAGAATTAGAGAAGCAAGAGCCAACAAATTCAATAGCTAGCGGAAAGCAAGAAATAACTAAGATCAGAGCAGAACTGAAGGAGATAGAAACACAAAAAACCCTTCAAAAAATCAGTGAATCCAGGAGCTGGTTTTTTGAAAAGATCAACAAAATAGACTGCTAGCAAAACTAATACAGAAGAAAAGAGAGAAGAATCAAATAGACACAATAAAAAATGATAAAGGGGATATCTCCACTGATCCCACAGAAATACAAACTACCATCAGAGAATACTATAAACACCTCTGTGCAAATAAAGTAGAAAATCTAGAAGAAATAGATAAATTCCTGGACACATACACCCTCCCAAGACTAAACCAGGAAGAAATTGAATCTCTCAATAGACCAATAACAGGTTCTGAAATTGAGGCAATAATTAATAGCCTACCAACCAGAAAAAGTCCAGGACCAGACTGATTCACAGCTGAATTCTAACCAGAGGTACAAAGAGGAGCTGGTACCATTCCTTCTGAAAGTATTCCAATCAATAGAAAAAGAAGGAATCCTTCCTAACTCATTTTATGAGGCCAGCATCATCCTGATACCAAAGCCTGGCAGAGACACAACAAAAAAAGAGAATTTTAGACCAATATCCCTGATGAACATGGTTGTGAAAATCCTCAATAAAATACTGGCAAACCGAATCCAGCAGCACATTAAAAAGCTTATCCACCATGATCAAGTCAGCTTTATCCCTGGGATGCAAGGCTAGTTCAACATACACAAATCAATGCATGGAATCCCTCACATAAACAGAACGAATGACAAAAACCATATGATTATCTCAATAGATGCAGAAAAGGCCTTTGACAAAATTCAACAGCCCTTCATGCTAAAAACTCTCAATAAACTAGGTATCAATGGAATATATCTCAAAATAATAAGAGCTATTTATGACAAACCCACAGCCAATATCATACTGAATGGGCAAAAACTGGAAGCATTCCCTTTGAAAACCAGCACAAGACTAGGTTGCCCTCTCTCACCACTCCTATTCAGCATAGTGTTGGAAGTTCTGGCCAGGGCAATCAGGCAAGAAAAAGAAATAAAGGGTATTCAACTAGGAAAACAGGAGGTCAAATTGTCCCTGTTTGCAGATGACATGATTGTGTATTTGGAAAACCCCATCGTCTCAGCCCAAAATCTCCTTAAGCTGATAAGCAACTTCAGCAAAGTCTCAGGATACAAAATCAATGTGCAAAAATCATAAGCATTCTTATACACCAATAACCGACAAACAGAGAGCCAAATCATGAGTAAACTCCCATTCACAATTGTTACAAAGAGAATAAAATACCTGGGAATCCATCTTACAAGGATATTAGACCAGTATCGCTGATGAACATGGATGTGAAAATCCTCAATAAAATACTGGCAAACCGAATCCAGCAGCACATCAAAAAGCTTATCCACCACGATCAAGTCGGCTTCATCCTTGGGATGCAAGGCTGATTCAACAAGGGATGTGACTTTTTTGGACCTTATAAGACTGGACCTTACAAGGGATGTGAAGAACCTCTTCAAGGAAAACTACAAACCACTGCTCAACAAAATAAAAGAGGACACAAACAAATGGAAGAACATTCCATGCTCATGGTTAGGAAGAATCAATATCGTAAAAATGGCCATACTGCTCAAGGTAATTTATAGATTCAGTGCCATCCCCATTAAGCTACCAATGACTTTCTTCACAGAATTGGAAAAAACTACTCTAAAGTTCATATGGAACCAAAAAAGAGCCCACGTAGCCAAGACAATCCAAAGCAAAAAGAACAAAGCTGGAGGCATCATGCTACCTGACTTCAAACTATACTACAAGGCTACAGTAACCAAAACAGCATGGTACTGGTACCAAAACAGATATATAGACCAATGGAACAGAACAGAGCCCTCAGAAATAACACCACACTTCTAAAACCATCTGATCTTTGACAAACCTGACAAACACCAGCAATGGGGAAAGGATTCTCTATTTAATAAATGGTGCTGCGAATACTGGCTAGCCATATGTAGAAAGCTGAAACTGGATCCCTTCCTTACACCTTATACAAAATTAACTCAAGATGGATTAAAGACTTAAATGTAAGACCTAAAACCATACAAACCCTAGAAGAAAACCTAGGCAATACCGTTCAGGACATAGGCATGGACAAAGATTCAATGACTAAAACACCAAAAGCAATGGCAACAAAAGCCAAAATAGACAAATAGGATCTAATTAAACTAAAAAGCTTCTGCACAGCAAAAAAACTATCATCAGAGTGAATAGGCGACCTAGAGAATGGGAGAAAATTTTTGCAATCTACCCATGTGACAAAGAGCTAATATCCAGAATCTACAAAGAACTCAAACAAATGTACAAGAAAAAAAAAACCACCAAAAAGTGGGCAGAGGATATGAACAGACACTTCTCAAAAGAAGACATTTATGCAGCCAACAGACACGTGAAAAAATACTCATCATCACTGATCATCAGAGAAATGCAAATCAAAACCACAATGAGACACCATCTTAGGCCAGTTAGAATGGCGATCATTAAAAAAGTCAGGAAACAAACGCTGGAGAAGATGTGGAGAAATAGGAAGGCTTTTACACTGTTGGTGGGAGTGTAAATTAGTTCAACCATTGTGGAAGACAGTGTGGCGATTCCTCAAGGATCTAGAACTAGAAATACCATTTGACCTAGCGATCCCATTACTGGGTATCTACCCAAAGGATTATAAATCATGCTACTATAAAGACACATGCACACATATGTTTATTGTGGCACTATTCACAATAGCAAAGACTTGGAACCAACCCAAATGTCCACCGATGATAGACTGAATTAAGAAAATGTGGCACATATACACCATGGATTACTATGCAGCCATAAAAAATGATGAGTTCATGTCCTTTGCAGGGATATTGATGAAGCTGGAAACCATTATTCTTAGCAAACTATCACAAGGACAGAGAACCAAACATCGCATGTTCTCACTCATAGGTGGGAATTGAACAACGAGAACACATGGACACAGGGCAGGGAACATCACACGCTGGGGCCTGTTGGGGAGTGGGGGCTGGCAGAGGGATAGCATTAGGAGAAATACCTAATGTAAATGACGAGTTGATGGGTGCAACCAGCCAACATGGCACATGTATACCTATGTAACAAACCTGCATGTTGTGCACATGTACCCTAGAACATAAAGTATAATAATAAAAAAAGAATAAGAGATCTCTTAATTACTGTCATACTTCCAGCACCTAACCCAATGTCTTCTTAAGTGTCTTCTCATAATTTTACTTATATTGAAAATTTATAATCTATTGAAATTAACAAAACAGCCTTAAGTATTATACCCTCTATAAAGTGTATTTTATACTTCCAAAGATCCTAGGACCTCATATAATGCAAACTTGTTCATATATAACAGTATAGGGTGGAAGGAGAGTGGTGATGGAAAGAGTTCCTATTAGGACCTTATGCTTATTACCTAAGTAACAAAATAATCTGTACACCAAACTCCCATGACACACAATTTACTGATATAACAAATGTGCATGTGTACCCCTGAACCTAAAATAAAAATTAAAAATATAAAATAAAACAGAATACATCAGAGCAACCTATTTTCCTATCTCAGATACAAGACTAGTATAACATAATTTTTTTTTAATGTTAGTGCTCCTTTAAACTAGTTGTTTAATGAAAGGATCAATAATAATGTGTTTCATCCCTCTTTGTGCTAAAGATATCAAAACACCATATTGGCATCAGTTTAGTCATCCTCATAAGATTCCTCATTCCATCTTATGTTGAATTTATAGATGAGAGGACTAAAGCACAGAATGTGGGCTGGCTTACTCACTTATCCACTATGATATAACTGGAAAATAACAGATCTATTCAATTTTGCTTCTATTTCCCTTTTAGACCTACATTCCCAGTTTTTGTACCACTCTTGGCAATATGTAGGTATTGAAAAAAATTTAATTCCAAACTTGGTGATTTTTCACGAATTGTTCCTCAAATATCTTAGAAGAAATCTTTCTCTTGTTTTTTCCCAATTGCATGGCTTGTTTCTTCTCCTTAATCTTAAATAACAATCAAATTATGTTTTGTGTTATTATTTTTACTAGATTATCAATTCTTAGTATCTAACTGGCCTTATTGTTAGATGTTTGCTGACTCTGCCCCTGGAAGAGTCATTTATTTGGTAAATCCCTGATCTTAGAAAGTGCTTAACCCTTGCAATTCCTGTGTGCAAGACCATCCTTAGATTCTTTCGGTTCTTGATGAGATAGACATTGCAGGGCATTAAAAGAGAAACCAAAGACTTTTACTCTCACTTTATTCCCGTTTAACCACAATGTTGAGTATTCCACCTTTGTAGTGTTTGCAGTCCTTTATTGCAGGTAAGATTCTTCAATACTCATAAGCTTCTGCACCTCAGGGTTGGTGGAGCCGCCTTAGAAAAGACAGAGTCATTTTGCCCTGAACCTACAGTCAAACCCCACAGGGGGACCCCACATGTATTTCCAGCAGGGAGAGGGTGTTCTCATCACTTCTATTTATGTTCTCCTGGATAGAATCTGGGTGTCCATGGTAGCATCCAGTTACAATTTCGTATTGCCTTATTTGGGATGCAAAGGGACAGCCTTTTCCCAATATTCCTAGAAGCATGGAATACTGACTGGCAAGCATGATTTCTCAGCAAAGGTCTTTAAAAAGCTTTGCCAACATTCCTTTTCCTTCCCTTACTGCAGGTAGGCAATTCAGCTGTAGGATGGGGCACATGAGCAATGCCTGTTAACCTCCTGCTCCTATAAGAAGAGACATTATTACATGGCCCATGAGAGAGGCCTAAGGTCCCATGTACAGGATTTCCCACAGCATTTCCCTAATATGGCACTTGATGAATATTGATTGAAGTATTAATCTTTGCATGCCCTTGTTGTTTCTTTTTCTCAGCTTGCCACACTACATAGCTCAAGTTCTTAAGGATATTTGTCAAATAGAATTGAGTTAACATCCTCTGAAGAGCTTCTGAAATTAATTACTGGAATGTACATTTTATGCATCTTTTTTTCCATGCATAATGCATTAGATACCGACTTTACTGCGATTTACTTTATAGCCTAGGCAAAATTTAACCCATTCTTTTCCCCACAGATTCAGCTCCCCAACAAGCTAAGGACGTGTGCCAAGGCTTCTATTCCTCCCCTGGAGATCCACATTCTCTTGCCAAAATATGGATACATTTTGATCAACTTATGACCTTTTGATTTTGCCCTAGTGTCCTACAGCAGATACAGCTGTGCTTGTAGCCAGACTCCAAACCTTAGTGTGGTCTGGAGATTAGGTGACAGAAAATAACTCTTATCTCATGGGCCATACTTCTAGGAAAGTTGGGTTAATTTTTAAATGGTCAAAATTTTCACTGGATTCACCATTGAACAGAATTTGATGTCATTTCTTGGGACAAGTGCTCAAGACTGTATGAGTTAGCCCCTCTCTACTCACCAGAATCCATGAGGAGGTCATCTTGGGTTGCATGGAAAATGGCCATGTCCCCAAAGCTTAACTCTTCACATAGTGCTTCCCGAACCTGTTTGTACTTATAATTGTACTGTTGAAATGCGACTATTGTGATGACTAGTGAGTGAGTTTATCAGATTCTGACATTGACTTACTGCTCTCTGATGAGCTTGGAAATTCTGATTTAATGCTTTGCGAGAAGAGTACCTTACTCATTTTTTGCTATCAGATCAATGATTTAAAAATCCGTCTTCAGTGTTTGGGGAAGTATGTGTCTCTTCTTTCCTATACAAAATAATAATAATACTAAGGAGAGTTCATCTATATCAAATTTATATCTTAAGACAATATAAAATGAATAATAACTACTTGAAAGATGTTTTGGAACAGCTGCCACAATATTCAGAGTGTATTTTTGGTTAGAAAGTTTCAAACCACAGATTGCAATTGATGTATACATTTGGGGGAGCTTATGTTTCTCATTTTTAAAATCCTAAGACAATTGCTCCTTAAAGTCAAATGTTGTTCACTTGGATGTAAAAGGCTACTCTTTTCTGCATGTTTCTGAACTGTGAGATTTAATTTTGTGAAGATTATTTTAACTTGGAAAATTATGTGAATTGCATTAACTCTAAAAATTGTCTTGATAAATATCATCTGAATTAGTTCCCTTGAAAGAATTCAGAAATTGACACCTAGGCACTTCCAGCTCTAGGCTCCAACATCTCATGCCACTTGCCAAAATAATCTCATCTATTTTATTGATTTGGTTCAGGCCTGATGAACAATGGTTGGTGCTCTTTATTTAAAGCTTAATTTAGAATTACCCACAAGGAACATAAGGGGAATATTGCAGTTTCTCAACTGCCTTAATGTGATGAAAAGCTGAGGGCTTTGTTTCATGGTTCTTTGCTGATAACCCTGGCTGGGGTATATTTAGGCTGTTCCTGCTTCTCAGAAGGTGTGAAGCTAAGTCACAGGACAAACTTTTTGTTTGCTTCTTATGATACTGACATTCGCAGACTGTTCATAATGGAACTACACCTTTCCCAGTTGCTCTGTTTTTCCTATTTACAAGAATAAATTGTGGTTTAATCAGGATATAATCTTATGCAATTCCCCTGGATGCTATTTTTTAATTTTAAGAATCATTTTAGATTGTGCTTTCTTAATTTTAAACTTTCCAAGGGCCATTCTCTGAGAATCTCTTCAATATCTTTGTTTCTGATGCTCATTCATTTTGACAGACAAAATGGGAGACAATTGGACTGAAGCAGGTTTTTTATATCAACTCTTGCAGTCATTTTTTATCTCTCTCCCTCGCTGATTCTTATGTTTCAAATCTCAGCTGCAAACATTCCACTCCCTCTGCTATAGCACTGTTCAGAGTATATTACTCATTGTTTGTCTCAGGAGTCATTATTTTTAGTAGCTCAGTCAGGAGTTTAGGGATATAGCTTGAACATATGCTATAATTCAAATAGAGAAAACCCCAAGTCTCTCAGGATCCTGGGCTTCTAATACTGCAGCTGCAAGGCAGGTGAGAACACAGACAATTCAAAATCTCATCATCATTTATGGTGTATGACCAGGAGGGCTTCTGTATCTCCTATATTATCTCCTATTTTACTGGATCTTAAATGCCACGTCTCATAAGAGTGTTCTGGTACAGGCCCCTTGTCTCATTTACTCTACAGGGGGTTGGGTTGACCACTCCTCATGAAAAATATCTCCAGAATAGAAAAATTCTTAGTACAGAGGGTTTTCTCACACAACTATCTCCTAGAAACATGTGAAGGCAGTAGGAGGAGTAGATTTGCCTTCAAAGCAGCAGCTTCTCAGAAGGAATATGATAGAGCTAACGAAAATTTCTTTTTCTCACTGCTTTTTCTTTTAAAATAGAAGCATTTCTTCTGACAACCTATTATAACCTACTCCAGGGATTCCCCCTGAATCTTCTATTTAAGAAAATGGATAGCAAGTGGAGCAGAGGTGATGTCGGGGGATGGAGGGGAAGAGCAAGGCGACTACCTCTTACTTCTTTAGGAAAGATAAACACACAATCCGCATTCTGACACTGAGTGGCTATGAGGGAGTTTGCTGAAAATAAGAAAGTTCATGGATTATGAAATCTCAGTATTATTCCTGGAGCTATTATATGGCTTGGTACCAGTATGACAGTGTGTAAATTCTCTCTCCCTGTATAAAACACATACACATACGCACACACCCCACAGGACTTTCCATCCAGAAAATGTCTTTAATGGTGAACTCCTTGCTTAAAGGCAAGATATAACCAGCTTTGTTGAACAGTTTTCTTTTCCCTGTTTATGACACACCTCCTATTGTGAATCTTGCTGAGAGGAATGCCCTTTATGTTTCATCCATGTAATTGTGCCTGACATTTTTGCAGGAACCACTCTAGTGATGATTTTGCTGTGTGGCCATGTACAAATTTTAATACAGAATAAGATTTATCCTTCTCCCACCCTGTTCATATTAATTGGACAACAGAAATGACAGACTATAATCCAACCCCAGGTCAGATTTGAATACAGAGTGTACAATCACTATAACATCATAGAATCTAGCGAGGGTTATAAATAAAAGGCAGTAAATTGTTGAGTTGCTCATTACACATCAAATGTTTCTGGCTATAAAACTATAAAAACAAGTTTAACAAAATCTTAGTTTTCATATAATTGTTAAAATTGATCAAATATAGCTATTCAGTTTAGTAGGTGAGCTGAAGGAAAGTATGCAGTTTTGAAGATACATTGACAATTATCCCTCTTTTAAAATTACCTAATTAAGATGTTTCTAGCATCTTGATGCACACCTTACCATTTTTAGCATGATTTTCCCTCTAATTAATAGATTGAATCATTGGTTTCTCCTCTTTCTTTCCTTTCTTTCTTCTTTCTTTCTTTCTTTCTTTCTTTCCTTTTCTTTCTTTCCTTTCTTTCTTTCTTTCTAGATCTCTTTGCACAGTAACAATGAGATGATACAATCATTTGTCTTGCTAATTATTTCAACAGAAAATGGAAAAATATATTTAATTTAAAAAGGATATTTATAATTCTCTCTTGCCACTCTTTCAATGTTGAGGCCCAAAATATCTAGACAGGCTACTGTATGCATGGGAATAGGCAAATAATAAGATTGGAGAATTGTTGGAGGTTTCTTTCAAAATATACTACAAATATTATCATATTATATTTCAAAATTAAAGTATTTCAAATTTTAGGAATGTTTGGGTATTTATGCACATGAATGCATTTTCAAAAGATCTAGGCAGTCTATATTTTTAAGTTCGTATACATTTTTATGGGATACAATTATCCTTTTCACCATTCATTTTATTTTTACCTATGCCCACTAGTAATGTCTATGTCCTTTAAAGTTATATCTAGCATTGTTTTCTTATGAATATTTGCCATTTTAACCAAACATGAGGAAATTCTTAATGGAAAAACATTTACCAAGTGCCTCTTCAGTGCCAGGTACTTCACTTCTCAAATGAAAAATGATTTAAGGAACTGGGAATGCCTAGCCTATAAAAGACCAGATTGATGCAGAACTATAGAACATTGTTCACACATTTGAAGAACTGACTGTAGATAAGAAATTCATTTTACACAGTGCAGCTCCAGAGGCAATAATGCCCATTTTTATTCAGCAGACATTTATCAAGAATCTTCCATGTGCCAGTCACTGCCATGAATCCTAGACATACCACAGTGCATAAGACATTTCTCTGCTCTCAAGAAGCAAACTATCTATTGAAACCCAAATAGGTCAAAGCCTCAGGGAAGATAATTTCAGATCAACACAAAGACAGACTCTCTAACAATTAGAACTCCCCAAGAATGTAATAGGCTGTCTTGTGAGCGCTAAGTTTGCATGTGATACTCCAGGATATGACAGAGGAGAGGCAGAGCCCAAGGCAATGAAGTTAGTAGTGGTTTAATGCTAGACTGGAGTGGCTGCCAAAGGCATCATCAGAATGTAGATATCAGGCCATGGTCAGTAATGGGATGGCAAGTGGTTGCTGGGAATAAAGTAAGGGGAAACCTAGAAGCTAAATTAGAGCAATGAAGCTAGGTGTGAATCAGGAAGTGCATGGTAAAGTTTGTTGGCAAACATGGCTACCTTTCATGCCTGTGGGAGATGCCTGTTTAGTATGACTAAAGGAACCTGCAAGGTCCCTGACAAGGGCGAAGCAAATGTCAAAGTTAATAGCATAGCCATATTCAGCAGATGAAAATACAAAACAGTCTATTAAATTTTAATTTCAGATAAATAAATACTTTTTTGGTATAAGTATGTCCTATGTATTGCATGGAGCATGTATATACTATCATCTTTCATTGCTTATCTGAAATTCAAAGTTAACTGGGAAAATTGTATTTTATCTGGCCACTTTAACCAAAGTAGCATCAGCCAGGATGTTTAAAGGGGATCCATTCATAGGATCAAGTTAAAATCATTCATCAGTATTTACGGGTACTTGATATAAGCTAGATGCTGTGCTCAACATTGGGAATACAAGAGTGAACAAGGAAGCCATGACCTTTCTACTCCATGATGTTACTTCTGGTGGAAAGAAAATATCATTCTGTAGGTGCTATGATGCAGGAAGCATGGAGTGTTATGCAACCACATAGTACGGTTTCCAACACGTTTCAGAGGGATCAGGAAATCTCTTAATCTCTTAAGATATGACTGTAGCTCTCTTTCGTAAACAGCTTTATTGAGTTAAATACTATAAAAAATGTACATATTTAATCTGTACAATTTGATGAATTTGGACACATGCAAACACTTGTGATACTATCACCACAATCAAGGTAATAGACATGCCAGCACTTCCCAAACTTTCCTTGTTTCCCTTCGGTTTGTTTTTTCCTTCTTGTAGTAATGACACTTTACATGATCTATTCTCTTAACAGATTTTAAAATTTACAATATCTTTTGCATTTCTCTGATGGCCAGTGATGATGAGCATTTTTTCATTTTGTCTTTTGGCTGCATAAATATCTTCTTTTGAGAAGTGTCTGTTCATATCCTTTGCCCACTTTTTGATGGGGTTGTTTGTTTTTTTCTTGTAAATTTGTTTGAGTTCATTGTAGATTCTGGATATTAGCCCTTTGTCAGATGAGTAGGTTGCGAAAATTTTCTCCCATTTTGTAGGTTGCCTGTTCACTCTGATGGTAGTTTCTTTTGCTGTGCAGAAGCTCTTTAGTTTAATTAGATCCCATTTGTCAATTTTGGCTTTTGTTGCCATTGCTTTTGGTGTTTTAGACATGAAGTCCTTGCTCATGCCTATGTCCTGAATGGTAATGCCTAGGTTTTCTTCTAGGGTTTTTATGGTTTTAGGTCTAACGTTTAAGTATTTAATCCATCTTGAATTAATTTTTGTATAAGGTGTAAGGAAGGGATCCAGTTTCAGCTTTCTACATATGGCTAGCCAGTTTTCCCAGCACCATTTATTAAATAGGGAATCCTTTCCCCATTTCTTGTTTTTGTCAGGTTTGTCAAAGATCAGATAGTTGTAGATATGCGGTGTTATTTCTGAGGGCTCTGTTCTGTTCCATTGATGTATATCTCTGTTTTGGTACCAGTACCGTGCTGTTTTGGTTACTGTAGCCTTGTAGTATAGTTTGAAGTCAGGTAGCGTGATGCCTCTGGCTTTGTTCTTTTGGCTTAGGATTGACTTGGCGATGCGGGCTCTTTTTTGGTTCCATATGAACTTTAAAGTAGTTTTTTCCAATTCTGTGAAGAAAGTCATTGGTAGCTTGATGGGGATGGCATTGAATCTATAAATTACCTTGGGCAGTATGGCCATTTTCACGATATTGATTCTTCCTACCCATGGGCATGGAATGTTCTTCCATTTGTTTGTATCCTCTTTTATTTCATTGAGCAGTGGTTTGTAGTTCTCCTTGAAGAGGTCATGTTCTCACTCATAGATGGGAATTGAACAATGAGAACACATGGACACAGGAAGGGGAACATCACACTCTGGGGACTGTTGTGGGGTGAGGGGAGTGGAGAGAGATAGCATTAGGAGATATACCTAATGCTAAATGACGAGTTAATGGGTGCAGCACACCAGCATGGCACATGTAAACATATGTCACTAACCTGCACATTGTGCACATGTACCCTAAAACTTAAAGTATAATAATAATTAAAAATAATAATAAAAAATTTACAATATCTTATTGTTAACTATATGCACTGTGTTGTACACCAGATCTCTAGAAAATACTTACCTAGCATAATTGAAATTTTATACCCATTGAATGCCAGCTCCAATTATTAAGACCTGATGCATATATAGGAGTTAGTCAGAGGTAGGAATAGGGTGAGCATTACTAGCAGAAAAAATAGCAGATGGATGAGATTGAGTACAGACCCCTCAAAAGATGAAAATATTTCACAGACTTCAGTTTAAATTGCAATTTGGGATTTACAAAAGATAACTTTGGAGCAAGGACTTGATTTTGAAGTGCCACAGATCCTGGTAGGCTGAACAAAGGAGGACAAATGTGGGAATAAAGACAACGACAAAAGAGTATATTTGGAAGCAGGAGTCAGGGGGCTCCTTGCTTCTAGTGAACAAGGGCGCTGAGCTTCTAGAGCCCTTTGTATTTATTGAGTAAAGGAGATAGGGAGAAGGGGTGGCTGTCGGTCAGCTGCTTGACTTAGTACAGACCTGCATGACTGCATTCTTTGAACAGTAGGCTCCAGATGTCCCAGTAGATAACCTCAAGGAGCACGGTGCCAGGGAGTGACTGCCCTCAGCATACCTTCTGGTGGCAGGTACAGATGCGAGTTTGCCCACATTCTGCATTCATGAAAAACAGCTTGCTGTTTAATCATATAGCCTCCAGTGGAATGCTGAGTTGGTCACGACCCTCAGGCTTTCAGCTCCCAACATTGAAGGGTTTTGGAAGCAGGACATTTGGATGCTACCCTAAAAGAAATGGGTATCTCCAGAAGGCTCAGCAGGTACCAGGTGTAGAAAAGGTCATGTGATCAAATTGACATAAGAGATATACGTAGTGGGGAAGCACAGAAGTAGATAAATTTTAGAAATATTTAGAAATTTGGATGGACAGGATAAGTGATTGTTTTGATGTGTGGTAAAAGACAATAGGAATCAAAAATTAGTCCCCAGGTTTCTGGCTTGTGCAAACAGAACACTGATAATGACATCGCCAGATGCCTCGAAAGTGAACACTGGAGGAAAATAATCTCATTTTGCATAAGAAGCAACTAGACTTGGAAGTCTTATGACAAGGGAAGAAGTCTCATATGCATCTGTATTTACTGGCCTAGCGCTAGGCACTTAGTACCTATCAACATGGAGATTGAAAGCAAGGCAGATGTAGATGGAAATTGAAACCAAGGCAAAGGAAGGGAATGCCCAAAGTAGTTGGCAAAATGAGGCAGGCCTTAGGATAAAGCCCTGGGGGACATCAACAATTACAATGGAAATGAAAAGTGAGAGTCTGGAGAGCTAGTCAGTTTGGTGACATTTGACACATATCCATCAACCTCAGGCCTCAGTTTTATCATTTATAAATTGAGTGATACAATATAGGATTGTTGTGAAGATTCCATGCGATTACACAGTGCCTGACATACAGTAGATACTCAATGTATTTAGCTTTATAGTCTGTGCATAGCCATTCACACCTGCTGTATATATAAAATTTGGTTTATTTTATACAGCAGTGGTTTTTAACATTTTTTATTTTGGTTGAGTTCTTTTGAAAACCTTATGCAAGTGCTCCCTTTCCAGAAAAATGGATATGAACTACGCAAAACAATCCCAGTGCCTGACAGAGTGCTCTGTATATAACAGACACATCGTAAATTTAAGAATGAATAAACTTATTATGAGTACATTATATTGCAATTGTATTAAATAAAAGGATGCAACTTATTTTTTTTTAATTGCATACCACTCATGGAGCTTGTGGACCTTCCAAAGAGACTCCATCTCTGCAGCATTATCTGAAGGAAGGGGACATATAGATTGTGTATGCCTCGTTATTCTCTTGGGGTTTGGGTGTCTATGTTTAAATCTATTCCAGGTATGTGGGCTATGGCAAAGCCATAGGGGTTCTTAGATTTAAGACAGAAGTAGGTACCTCTGTCTTGGGGGCTGATTTATTCTAATAGTGATCGGAGTATTTTTAAAAGATAAATGTCCCTCCATATCCTCTTCTTTTAGGACTCTATTTTGGAAATTAGTGACTGCTGTCTCATAGCTCTTTCCAGATTGTATTTTTCATTTATCAGTAAAATCAGTAACTTTATGGCATATGGTAAGGAATGACCTTGAGGTTTTTTAATAGAAGTGCAGTCTCCATTTATAAAATTATATTAACTTGTCTGCATATTTTTAAGCCTGTTGACTTTGCTTCTGTCATCAGAAGCCATGTTCAGGGAACAATAAAGACTGTCATTTTAAACTGTGTGTACACAAATCATTGGTAGTGTGCATCAAGCCATCTGCTCTTCCTGGAGGTTTTTCTTTTTCTATGCATATCCTAACTGTGAAAAGAGTTTAAGATGATAATGTCATACAACCCATTTCCTGTGCTACGATTCTCATTACCTTGACTTAGGAAAAGATGACTACTGATGACGTAGGTGCAAAATTCTGGCAGTAGATTGGTCCTTTCACTTCTACATATCACTTGTCATTTAAACCAGTAGATGTTTTTCAAATGTTAGAAAATCTCTCCTGAATAAAAGCAAATCTCGGCTTCATTGTCTATTTTCCCCTTGTCCCTCACATTTTTCTTCCTCTCTTCTTCTATTCCCGATTATTAATCAGAAATAAATGAATCATGGTACAAAATTTCAATCACTAACTTTTGTATAGAAAGATAACATTCACTCTCAACATAACATCAACATTTATTTGATAGTAGAAAGCAACATTTTTCTTCTCTCAAGTTCTTTGAATAATTCTGTTTACAACTGAGTCACTTTTGGAAGTTCCTTCTTTCCTTTCTGAAGTTCCTTCTCTCCTTTCTGACATCCCAGAGGGAAAGAACTATATCAAGAACTGTGTAACTTCCTATAAGGCTCACTGAGATCATTCATATGTGCTGAAATTGAAGTCCAAAGATGATTGGGTAGGGCTGCCATCTCAGTATTAGGGCATACTCAGAAAGGTCTATTCTTTTGTTCTCAACCTTTGAAAAAAAAATTACATATCTAGCTGAGCATGGTGGTTCATGCCTGTAATCCCAGCACTTTGGGAGGCCGAGGCAGGTGGATCAGTTGAGCTCAGGAGTTCAAAACCAGCCTAGCCAACATGGTAAAAACCCATCTCTGCTAAAAATACAAAACTTAGCTGGGCATGGTGGCATGTGCCTGTAGTCCCAGCTACTCGGGAGGCTGAGGAATGAATCACTTGAACCCGGGAGGTGGAGGTTGCAGTGAGCCAAGATCAAGCCACTGCACTCCAGCCTGGGTGACAGAAAGAAACCCTGTCTCAAAAAAAAAAAAAAATTATGTATCTATCATCCAGATACTGAAACAAAAAAAAGTTGTTTTATTTCAAACACTGAATATCAGAACACTTGAGTTATGTTAGAATCCATGTTTTCTATATGAAGCAGATTTGCCAAAGCTAGTGCCTTTTAGAATTCATTGGCAATGAGTTTCTAGAAGTTTCCAGACCCTGTGGATCCTGCAACACCTAGAGTAAGGATGAAAGAACAACACTTGGGATGTGAAGTCAGGGGTCACTGGAGATGGGGAAGCCTGACCCCCTACTATCCTTGATTTCACTTATTTCTCTTTCTCTCCAACTTCCTGCATCTGTCAAAACCTCTTCCCTGGGGTGGAAATTATTATAATATTAACACAGTTGTTCAAATATGTCACTAAGCAAAAGATTTAACCCAGCATAGGATTCTTTGCATCATTGAAGAGGAGCTTCTATAATCAAAAGCTATTTTCAAGAATGTCCTTGGAAGGAATTGAACTTTCACTGTAAATCCACTGACCATCCATGCCCTGGCATGACCATGAAAAGGGTTTCCAATAAACAGAATAAAGCCCGAGGAGGGTGGTGTTTCTGAGTTAAGGTTGCTCCTATGATACTTTCTTTTCACCCTAAATACTCAGGTTCTTGACATATAAATTAATAAACCACTTGCAGACATACATTTTCTGGAGAATGCAGCACTGCATTTTATGACAAAGTTAAAAGAGGATTCCCTATAATTTTTTAATTCTCTTTTGATGAAGTCACAGGCTGAAGAGGTAGTAGAAATTACTCCTGTCTTCTCATTACTCCATTCATAATGATGATGAACAGAAGGAAACTAATATGCTAGATGCTTTATATACTTCCTTTAGTTCTTACAGCAACCACATCAATAGTCCCTATGGTCACCTCATTTTATAAAGGAAGACATTAAGTTCAGAGAATTTAGGTAATTTTCTCAAGATTCCTTAGAGACAAAGGGATCAACACAAGTGAGCTGCCATAGCCTGAGCCAGTCAGGCCTGAGAGTGCCCAAAACAACAGAATTACATTGCATCTTATCATTCATAAGATTGACTTTATTTTAAAGAGAGATTTCATTTATAAATGCTAATCCATCATGTGACCCTTGACTAACCCTAAGTCCAGGAATACCTCCAGGATGTCTGGTTGATTTATTAGTCTTTATGTAGAAACACCTATTCACTATAAGTTTTGTCTTTCATCCAAAACAACCCTTTATGTTGTTGCAGAAATCATAGGTTGTGATGATTTCTCTCAACCACCTACACATTCTTTTCAAAGCATGCATACTTTTTTCCAAAATATAAGCCCTGGGTCGTGGGGTTGCAGCATGAAGATCTACCTGTCTTGTAGCCACCTGAGACTATGCTTCTGTCTGTTAGGTCCCCCCAGTAGATCACCTCCCACTGACAAACTGGGCTTGTCTGCCTCATTCTTCGGTTTCTTGACTCCTTTGGCATTTTGGGACTGCTTTGCATATAGGGCCTTTCATGGAATAATGATTTATACAAGCAGTAGCTGGCTGTGACTTTTTTTGACACACTAGGTAATTTCCTTCATGTTACAGATAAGGGTGGAGACAGTGAGCACACAGCAGAATGCCAGGCTCAAGATAAAGCCCAGATTGCTTCATATGTCAGATTCAATGGTCAAGAGTCTCATTTTCCATTTTTCTATAGGGTCCAGGGAATTCTGAAACCCTGAACTATAAGAACCTGAAATTTCAGAGGCTCACTGAGAAATTTGAAATAATTGGACTAAAAATTATTTCCTCTACATTCGCTTTGATGGAGCAAGGCTGCCTGGGTTCATGCCCTGACTCCATCACTTATTGTTGTATGACTTTGGGTAGGTTGCTTGATCTTTATATACTCAGTTTCTCTATCTGTGAAATGAGAATGATATTAGCAGCCTACATCATACATTATTGTAAGGATTAGATAAATTAATAAAATCTACCAAGAACTGACACATAAGATAGAATTGGCAAATATGTTAAAACAAATGCCTATAAATGCATTCTTTGTGTTCAAAAAGTTAAGTAGAAACATGATGACTAAATGCAATGTATTGTACCAAGACAGAAAAAGACATTAGGTAAAACTAAGGATATCTGAAAAGAGTATGGATCTTTAGTTAATAATAATGTATCAGTGTTGGTTTGTTAATTGTAATGAATGTGCCACACTAATGCAAGATGTTAACAACAAGGGAAACTGGCTGTGACATATATGGGATTCTCTGTACTATGTTCCCAATGTTTCTCTAATCTAAATTCTAAAAATAAAGTTTATTTTAAAAATAAATTAGATATTTTAATAAAAATTTCTAATTTCCTACCCTCACCTTCTCCCCTTTTTTTCTCCAAAAATCCCCAGGGGTTAAGGAAAAACAGGTTATACTATTTCATGTTGTTAGAGGAGTAGTTGATCTGTATAATGCTGTTTTCTGTTGCGGCCTTGAACATCCAGTTAAGCCATCGTGACTCACTCTTCTATCCTTGTCTCATTCCATATTGTTCCTAGAGCTAAAGGTCTCCGACAATATTAATCTGTTTTCAAACTGCTATAAAGAACTACCTAGGACTGGGTAATTTATAAAGAAAAGAGATTTAATTGACTCACAGCTCTGCATGGCTAGGGAGGCTTCAGGAAACTTACAATCATGGCAGGAGGCGAAGGGAAATCAAGACGCGTCTTACATGGTGGCAGGAGAGAAAGAAAACGAAGGAGGAAGTGCCACAGGCTTTCAAACAACCATATCTCCTGAGAACTCACTATCAGGAGAACAGCAAGGGGGACGTCTACCCCTGTGATTCAGTCACCTCCCACCAGTCCCCTCCCCCAACACATGGGAATTACAATTTGAGATGAGATTTTGGTGGCAACACAGAGCCAAACAATATCACCGACTAAAGATTGTATGGCTCATTTTTCAATGAGTTCCCCCTAAACACACTATAGTATCATTCTAGTCTGTTGTGGCCACCCCATGTAACCACTCTGTACTCCCAGAATATCAGATGGTGAGTAAGACATCACCCCACTTTCCTTGGTTTGGCTTTTGTCCTTTTCTGCATTTCTTATTTCTTTTTGTTGTTTGTTTGTTTGTTTGATTTTTACCTTCATTCAGAATCAGCCTGGCCAGATGAATGGTGCTCCTAGCAAATTTATATTTTTAAGTTCAGGCTATTTGTCTTCTGATTACCTAAAAAATTATATAGATTAGACATTTAAGTGGTACAGTCCTATAGTACTCTGAGACCAACCTGATTCTGCATTTAGAAAACTCTTCTTCAGAGGATGACCACCAGTCTGCATCCTTCTTCTGAGTTGTCTCATTGTAAATGTCACACACACACACACACACACACACACACACACACACACACACTTTCTGTTCTCCAGTAACTTCAAATGACTAGTTATTTCCAGAACATGCCATGGTCTATGAAGACAGGGTGGTTTTCATACATCATTCTCTCTCTCTCTCTCTCTGTCTCTCTCTCTTAATCTCTCTCTCATTTCTCTCTCTTTCTGAATTCTCAAGCTAGAATCCCCACTTACATATTAATGATCTACTTTTAAGCCTCCTTTAAGATCCAGCTCTGGGGAATCTTTACCTCCATAATCTCTCCTCCTGTAAAGATATGTTATTACTTTTTTACATGTCTCTCCCAGGCATGTGAGATCTTGGAAAGTAGAAACCCTGAGAATACATTGCTATGCTAGATTTGGCAAGCATATGTGTGTGTGTGTGTGTGTGTGTGTTGCAGAGGTTTATGTGTTTGAAGATGCTTGTTGGCTAGGACCAGTCTATGTGAGTAGAAATAAGAAAACAAAAGTCATTTCTCTGTGTGGTAGAGAAATAAGTATTTGGGGATTCTTTACTGGCTGTCAGAGAGAAAGGGTTTGGAAGATGATAGAGTGGCATTGGGAGAAAGGAAGCAGTACAGGAGGAAATCAGGCCTGAGGAGAACAACCAGAAAGCCATGCAACTTTTGTGAATGGTAACATCTAATACTTGTTTTAAAATATTGTTCTGTGCAATGCAATTACCAAATCTTCAGTAAAACTTCTGTGGGTGGTATGTTATGAACTGAATGTGACCCCTCTAAATTCACATGTTGAAATCGAATGCCCAGTGTAATGGTATTTGGAGGCAAGGCCTTTGAGCGAGAATTCAGTGATGATGATAGAACCTTTGTAAATAGGATTAGCACCCTTGTGAGAAGAGGCCAGAGAGCTAGCTAGCTTTCTTTCTACCATATGAGGACACAAGAAGTCAGTCATGTGCAAGCCGGGGGAGAGTCTTCACCAGAACCCAGCCATGCTGCATCCTGATCTCAGACTCTGTGCCTCCAGAGCTGTAAGAAATCAATGTCTGTTACTCATAAGCCACCCTACCTATGGTAGTTGTTTTATCAGACTGGACTAAGACATGGTGCCTTGAGAAAAGAGGAAAAGGCTAGATGATTAATTTGGGTAAAACGCTGCAGACAGGACAGCAGGAGAGATGAGGTGAATGCTGAAGAATCTTATTAAAAATTCATCAAGGGCAATAATAAAAGAGTGTTGTGTCCAAGAGAATCTAAAGACTTCCTGGAAGTTTTTGGAGACTTTAATGATGGTGAAAAAGTTTTCACAGAAGTTGAGCTGAAGTAACAAACAATTTGATTGAGTGAAAGGAAAAGATAACCCTGAAGTGTTGAGGGATTTGAGGAGATTTTAATAATTCAACATTTAAACGAGTTTAGCATTGACATTAGAATATAATATATTAAATCCCATTTTCAGTTATGTCAATATATCATGCTTTGCAAACTGCATTTTTTTCTCCACCTAAGAAATAAGAGGGTGGTGTTTCCATGTGTTTGAGAATAACATATAAACTACAGCACTTCTAGAAAGGAGCAGGTCTTATTCAGGCATATGATGTACAATGAGGCCTTTCTAGTCTATGTATTTGGGACATTTTAACCTCTAATAAATAAATTCAGCAATATTGAGAGGATTATCTACTCTGGGATTTATGATAACAAGAAAATCATTTGAGAATAAACATATCCATGGTATGACAAGAACAAAATAAATGTCACTAAATATTTATTTCAAAATATGTACACACATATACATTGGAATAGATACACATCTGAATATATATTTGGATACATATTTGAATATATATAAATTTATATATGTATTTGTATATATATATATGTGTGTATTGTATGTTTGTGTGTTTTTTTTAAAGAATGTAAAATCCATATAAAGAAGCCCATTATTATATAGCTGGTATTAATTTGGAACCTCTGAAACCTGGCTGGCCAGGTATGGTTAAAGTAAATATGCCTTCCAGCTCCTTTTCAGTTTTTTTTCTTTCATCATTTTCATGTCTATGAGAATTCCAATTCTTTAATATCATTTCATTTTAGTAGTTGTGCAGTGATTGATCTTCATTCTGGTAGGTGTTTGGTGATAGTTCTCTGTGGTGTGAATTTGCATTTCCATGATGACTAATAAAGTTGAGCACTTTTTTCCATGTTTAGGGCCAAATATAGCCTCCTGTGAAATGCCTGTTCAATGTTTTGCTGTTTTTTTTCTATTGAATTGCCTGATTTCTACAGTTGTTTATATATGCTGGACACAAGTGCTTTTTTAGTTTTACAGGTTACCTTAATAATACTTTTTTAGTGTTAACCAGCTTTAATTTGTTTAGTGTTTGCATGTTACATATTTTAATGTGTTTTTTAAGCTTTATATGTTCTTATATTTATATTGTATCTTTTATCCAGTCTGAAAATTTTTGCTGCATTTTTTCAATGTTGGTGATAAGTACTTATTTTCTAATATTACCATGATTAGAATTTAAAGTAGTTTTGTTTAATTTTTAAAAGCCTTTGTGAATAATGTTGGTTCTGAAGTCACTCACTACCTTCTAAAAATAAGATCTTATTAATGTGAGGCCCCAGGAAAAGTTTCCCCCAAAACATGCATATTCTAGGTAAGTAGACAAGTGCTTACTTTAATAGCAGTGAAAATGTCAAAGTTTGTATTTATTGAATATCATTTATATACTCACATTTTATATATACCACATTTTAATAAGCTTAAACTAAGTGAAACCAAATACCTAAAATAAATACCTAAAACTGCTTCAAAAATGCCAAAAAGCCTGGCATGTAACTGATGAGAAAGGATTTTTAATGTGGGATTCCTCACATTAAAGGCTGTTGATTGAGCCTTGGGATCCATAGAATAATTGCAAGAAGTCTAGATATGTGGACCAATATCTACATCATAATTTATTAGCTGAATATAAATAATCAACCCACTTCCTCCATGTTTGTTTTGGTCCCATTGTGATTTATATACAATAAATCTATACTCCATTATCATCACTATGTATTTTCTCAGTCAACCAATGTAATACTTACAACCGTTATTATAGAGTGATGTGGTATTTTTATGTCCTTGATAGGGTTCTTATAAGGGAAAAGTTTTGGAGATCACTGATATATTGAAAAATATTGTTTTTTCTCCCAGGGCCTAAGTTTTTTCAACTGCAAATGGAGATTTTAACATCTACCATGTAGAAATTTCGTAGATGTTGAAGAATTTAAAAACTGTTAATGTCTCTATCTGTCCTTCCCCACATGTATTAAAAGCATGGTTTTGCTTTGTAAAATAAAATTTCAAATTAAAATTAAATCTATTGATTCTCGATTTCTCACATTTCTGATTTCTTTTAAAAATTAATATAGAGAAAATTAATAGAAAAATCAAACTGTTTAGCAGAAATTACTATTGGAGATGAGTATAAGAATAACAATGATAGTTTACTAATATAACTGGTGGTCATAACACTAAACCTATGCATTAAAAGAGGTCGTTTAAACAAGTTAATTTATGTTTCTTTCTACTAAAAAAAACCCTGTCGGCCACAAAAAGTAAGAGTTTCAGTGTTTTACACATATTACTTTCTTTAATCCTTACAACAAACTTTTCTGTTGTAAGCGTATGCTAGTATTATTCTCATTTTATAGATGAGGAAACTGAGATGCAAAGATGTTAAGAACTTTCCTCAAGGTTACAGAGCAAGTATGTTGTAAAGCTGGTTTTAACTATACATCTCTCATTAAGGAAACCTTGCCCAAATCTAATATGAGAGATCGTCTTTGAATTGATTCCGATGCATTCTGGGTAAGTATATGACCTGTCGTGAGGGTGGGAGGAGGCAAGGAACTCACTCCTCTCCTCCTTCATCCCAAGAAAGCATGCCTGTTCTTTCCCTGTTCACTGAACATTAGCATTGAGCTTTTTCTCTCCCTCTCCTTCACAGTGAGCAGCTTCCTCGAAATTCCTCTGAGCCCTATTATTGTGTGAATCTTCCCATTTCTAGAGACTACAAATTAAGGGTAGCCTGGCTGATTCTGATTTTTCTGATATCAAACAGCCTTAAAATATCTCTCCTAGGAAATAATTATTTCAGGATAGTAGAGTGAAATTTCCTAGATATGTAGAGAGAAATAAGATTCCTGAGGCACATTTGCCAGGATAACTCTCTGAAGTAAAAAAAATCATATCTATGACAGAGCACTGAAATAAAGTGTCGATAGCATTGCTAATTCCCCTAGGGAATGTCAGTGGCACGCCCTGGTCTGTGAAAAACGTTTACAGTTAAAACTACAGAAGCCTAAGCTTTTACTTTTTTCTTCATTGATTACCAGCTTAGCTGGCTTGTTATGGTTGAATAGGTATACACAAGCATAGAAGAGTATTTGACTGATGTGAGTCTTAATGAACTATTTTAATAGCACATATCTCTCTTGAGAAAATTACTGCTACTTGGAGCCAAATTTTGCTATTCTTGTGAGCAGTGATTAAATACTTAGTAACCATGTATATACAACACTTTACTGAATAAATTGATGACTGGGCATAAACATACATTTACACAGGCAGAGAATTTCAGGAATAATTACACTCTGAAACCATAGCTACTAATGCAGAGAAAGCTTTGAGAGAGTGGGTCATCCAGAGTTATCTTTGTTGATTAATAACTGCTCCTGTCTCCTCTCTCCATTTTACTTTGCATGAGTGTTACTTAACATTAAATAATACATCAATACTGTGGATGTAGTCAATATTTTTTGTTATTGTTTGGGAAATGATTTGGCTACATTGTATAAAACACATTTAGAGTAACTGTTACTGGTTTATATATGGCTCATTTCTACTTTTCTATTGTGATACACTTTAGAAAAAAGTCCTTCATTATATAGGTCTAAACTTCCCCCCGCTTTTTCCTGTCAAAGAAGGAAGGAAAGAGAGAAAGCTGAAAAGACAGAGAGAGCTAGAGAGAGAGATGGATTCACAGATTCCATCTATTATTCCTTTCTTTAATTTCTGTAACTGAGTATAGGAGAATAAGTGTCGTTCAAGTCCCTCTTGCTAAATGGGTATCGTAGTTTGAGAGCATTTTGGAATTTTCAGGACCCTCGTGCTCTGATATAAACTTGAATATGCAAAGGCCATGACATAGGGAAAGAAGAGGTTCAAGAACAGACTAGAGGATATAAAATACACTGACAAAATATAAAAGCCAACAGGTGAAGTGGAGCAGACAACTGCTGGCATCCATGGGGAAATAAGCTGTGAATGACTCAACAGGAGGCCAAGATTCCAGTTATATCTCAAGGAGAGAAACGGGATTTTAAAATAGTGGACACAGCCGTTGACCTCACCTACTCCATCCAGCCACATGCTTGGCTGATCTGGCCTCTGGTGAGACCCCCGTCACTCCCTTCCTAGAGTGAGTGGTCCTACCGAGTGCAGATTTTTCTCTGACAGTGGAAGTACCCACACCTTAGTGCTCTGTTTCACTGCCAAACACAAACTATTTTTTTAAATTATTTTTTCCAAAGACAACTACAACTCTGTCAGCTTTTTATCCAATAAATGGTCTGAAACAGGAAGAATCTATTATTTCCCTTATGAGTTTATCAGTAGAAAAGATATAAAGCAATCCAGCTGTGCAGAAAAGGGCATAATCTGTTAATATCACCCTGAGTGAGAAAAATACATGCCATGATACCAAAAACGTGTTTGCCATTTACCTAGTCTTGAACATAGTATAGGAGACTGGATTATCTGTCAATAATCTCTGAGTCTGAATTTGTTAGAGCCCATTGGGTCATGCTTGAACAATCTTGCAATCCTAGAAGCTTGTCTATTGTTTCTTGTAAATCAAGATAAATAGAATATCCATATTTCTTAGAGACAGGAAGTTTTGTTTTTAGACTCAGCCATAAAGTACATAGACAATAAACAGTACTTTGGAAGAATATAAATAAGTATTTAAGTGGCATGAATGGTAGGGTAGAAGAAAAATATTGCTGTGTCAATTTTCATCCCAGAAAGATCAATAGGTAATTAAGGCTGCATCTCAGCTCCTTATAAAAACACATAATTCATTTAGTGCCTCTAATTCTCAATGCTCTACTGGTTGCTCTGGAGAATGAAATTCTCTCTTTGGACTTAAAATTAAGAAACTAGAAACAAATCATAGTTTTTATTAAAGTATGACCTGGATAGAATTCCTTAGGGGTCGTGTTAAAAATGCAGACTCCTGAGTCTTGCCCTCCGTCCCTCCCCACCCCAAAATAATTCAATGGCAGAAACTAACTTATAAAGGAAGAGATGACAATATCTAACACAAGCTTCCTTAGACACAATATTCCTTGAATATTCCTTAATGAGACTGGTCTCATTAACTTATTCATTCAGCGAATGTTTATTGAGTATATAGTAAATTCCAGGTATTTTTAATCCTGGGATTTAAATGGTTCCTGCTCTATAGAACCTCAGAGTTTCTTGATAAGGAGACAGGTCAAATTAGTGCCATAAGTAGTAAAACAGAAATATCCCCCAGGCTAAGCTGGACCCAGAGTAGTGGTGGATAAAGAAGAGATGTCAGCTTGATGGAGGAAGATGCATAATCTCCAGTAAAAGAAAAAGTTAAATTGAGAGAAAATCAAAGGCAGAAAGGCCAGTCAGGAGATCATCAGAATTAATCAGGAGAGATGTGGGCATTGAGAAGAGGAGACACATTTCTTTTCTTTTTCATTTCAAAATAGATGTCATCATTCCTTACTGAAATTGCTCCCTGCTTCCCTCCCCCAAACACAGATACATACACACAGGCCACCATCACTCACAGTACACTATCATCCTGACCCAGCCAAGGGTCCAAGTTCTGAGCCCATGACCATTTTTGTTACCTATCCCTCCGAGTTTCAGTGGACCAGAACTCAGTTATAACAAAAAATGTGAGAGAAACCACATAATAGTCAAAGATGAAACCACGACAGTTTCATAGAAGCAGAATTTTCAACAAAAGCAAGACCTAACAGTAATTTTTGGAATATAGTAACAATGCAAGATAAGCAGCAATGGAAACCATGGCCAAATCAAGACCATTCCGTTAATATTCATTGTTCCTTTCTTCCTTCTTTCCCCTTCTTTCTCCTCTCTCTCACGCCCTTGCTTCCTTTCTTGACACAAGCAGAACAAGTAATGGTGGGTGGTGCCAGGATGGGGGTCAGAGATGGGAGATGAGGGAAGTCTGATAAGCTGAGACATGGGCAACATAGGAGATTGGGCAAATAAGCAAAGAGGTTGAAGATGTTGGGGCTAGGCTTATCACCAATGAAGGAGCGAATATAAGTATGGAATAAAGGAAGATCTGAGTGAACTTAAACTCTGTAGTGTAGACTGCTAGAAAAGATTTAATAGAAAATCTAAATAAAAGGTACAAGTCAAGCAGCGAGACTCGCGTATCAATTAACATACCTAGCACCCAGACTTTGATTTTTAGATAGTACTCTTCATTTAAAAAACCAAACCTTCATAGAGAGATGCTTTATGCAGGGCTGATAAGTAAAGTAGAAAATATTCTTGAAACATCTGGTTGTGCCACAAAGGAAGACAGTGCTGGAAGAATGAAGGAAATATTTCAAAGATATCTTATCTAGTCCAAAGAGTTACCACTGTCCAAACCTGGGGAAATTATAGCATACAAATATTTATATTACTGTATCTATGTTGAATATAAACCATTAAATGATTTATATTAAATATATTTAAATACATTAAATATAAATAAATGTATATAAGAGAAACTACTTTTATGCTTGGATATATAATAATAAATATAGAAATTCTGACATAACTTAAAATCACCACTTACTACTCATTATGCTAATAATTAATTCAGTAAATGCTAAATCTAGTAGATGAAAATGGGATAAGGAATGGGACAGTTGATGGGCCTGAAATTTCTCCACAAAATCTACTTATTAATTCCAAAGTAATGTTACAGAAGAGAATCCTGGTAAATATCATTTTTATCAGTGATCAAATAAACACCATTAATAATAGATCAAATTGGCATTATGTACCACCTGATAGGACCAACTGTGTAATGTGGGTGTCTTTGGGAGGAAATATCAGACAGACCTACATGGAGAAAGACTACAGAAGGAATGAATGTCCTGCAACTCCAGAAACGTCAAAATCATGAAGGTCAAGGAGAGACTGAGAAGTTGCTCCAGATTGAAGAAAACTAGAGAGACATAACAAGTGGGTACCATGCGAAATACTGATGTGGGTGCTTTTATTATAAAGGATATGATTAGAACAACTGGCAAAACTCTAAAGGGATGTCTGGGCAAAAGGTATATTGGTATTCCTGTATATTAATCTTGTTTTTTTTAATATGTCTACTATCTCACACGTCCAAGAAAATCCATTTAAAAAGTGAAAAAAAAAACCATTTCTTATCCAAATTGCCATTATCTCTGGTTATCTCCTTGTGTACCTGAAGAGGCAGCTGGGCCCTATTGTAACATGATTCTTGCTGTACTTGCTTAGTTGTATGCCACTTCAAGTAGTCACAGAAATTGGAAATGGGATATTCGATAAGACATACTAAGTGTGGATGGATCAACACTTATAATACAACAAGAATAATAATAGCTTATTCTTCTCAAGCATTTACTGTGCTCTCATTTAATTTGTGTACCAGCTCCAAGAGTTAATATTATTATTCTCATTTTCCAGATGAGAAAACTAACATTCTGCTAAGTTTAAGTGATGGTTTTAGCAAATTATGGAGCAGAGATTTGAACCCAGCCAGTCTGATGCTATAGCCTACACTGTTAGCCACTTCTCATAGGTAAGTATGCCATTTCTCATAGGTAAGGTCAAACTCTTGAAAGGCAAGGCTGGTGTCAGGGATAGAAGCCATTGTGAGAGATCTGTTGTTCGCTTTGGATATGACCTTCTACAAGTAGGCCACTTGTAGGGCAAAACTCTACTCTTAGCCCCTTCCTTTGGCCAAGCCAAAGTAGGCAAGGGCACAAAGGCACATTTCAAAAAGGTAGGAGGAAGAGGAACTCTCATTTTCCCAAGGGGCCAGAGCACTAGGCAGGAAGGGCAGGGCAGAGTATAGAATGGACCCCAAGGCCATAGCTGAGACCAAGACTCCATACCAAATGAAACCCAGATATTTATCCTGACTGGGGACAGCCATGTAAACTTAGGATGTAGGAACCCAATAGTTGTGCTGGGACCTATAGAACTCAACATGGATGACTCAATCACACATCCCAGTGGACAGGGACTGTGGAAGTGCCTGCTGAATGCCTTCCCTCTTCTAAGATTGGCTCAGGGATTGGGAGGCCTTGAGGCTGTATCTGCATGCTTGCTTGCTCCAAGCTGCTGTGTAAGGCACAGACTAGTGTAGCTGAGCCTGAGTCACAAAATGACTTACAGTTATCTTATTACAAAATTCACTCCCCCAGTGAGGGCAGCTGGGACCCCTAATTTGTCTCAAGTACACAGAACTATTTCCTCTTGGCGTTCTTGCTCTTGGGACCCTAACGGATACAGCAATGAAATCCTAGAACATTTTGCTTATTTGTAAGCAAATTTTGCTTATTTTGTTTTACAGCACAGTCATCAACTTTCTCCTGAATGTCTAATTTTGCTATTGTCCCAGAAATAATAGTTTTCATAGATAACGCAGCATTTAGGGCTCCCTATTTAACATTCTCATTTCTCACAATTCACAAGCAGATTCACTCTGTTTGATGGGCTTTCCCATTGAGACAAACTGACTAATAATCCTGAGGCCAGCATTAGCCTCTATGGCAGCCACTTCCTTCCCACATACTTTTTCCACAACATCTAAATGATTCCCCTGTTTCCAGCTTTCAGATCCAAAGTCAAAATAAAAAGAAATGATAAACCTAAAATGTTTCTGAAGGGCAAAGTCACTGGAGCTCAGTAGCATGGATCCTGTACTTGTTGCTCATGAAAATTCCGCTAGTGCAGGTTAACCAAAAGAGATGTGCAGCAGACATCATGTCAGTAGGAAAAAGTGTGTCCAGGTGGGTTTGTGGTCTGGCTGACTTCAAGAATGAAGCCGCAGACCTCTGCAGTGAGTGTTACAGCTCTTAAAGATGGCGCAGACCCAAAGAGTGAGTGGTAGCAAGGTTTACTGTGAAGAGAGAAAGGACAAAGCTTCCACAGCACGGAAGGTGACCCAAGCGGGTTGCCACTGCTGGCTGGGGTGGTCAGCTATTATTCCCTTATTTTCCCCTCCCATGTTCGGTTTCCGTCCTATTAGAATGCCCTTTTTTCAATCCTCCCTGCGATTGGCTATTTTTAGAATCCTGCTGATTGGTGCGTTTTACAGAGTGCTGATTGGTGTGTTTTACAGAGCACTGATTGGTGCATTTTACAATCCTCTTGTAAGACAGGAAAGTTCCCCAAGTCCCCACTCAACCCAGGAAGTCCCACTGGCCTCACCTCTCAAAAGTACAAATCTAGATGAAAAGCCTTGTTGTTAAGGCTCATTTTTCAAATATTTGTAACCAAGATTCTATGGTTTGAAATTTCCCCCAAATTTCACATGTTGGAAACTTAATCCCCAAATTCATATGTTGATGATATTTGGAGAGGGCACATTTGGGAGGTAATTAGGAGTAGATAAGGTCCTCAGAGTGGAATCCCCACAATGGGAGTTGTGGCTTTATAAGATGAAGAAGAGACTGAGCTGGCCTATTTTTGCCCTCCCACCATGTGATGCCCTCTTCCATGTTATGATGCAGCACAAACAGCCCTCACCAGATGCCAGAATCATGCTCAGAGACTCCCCAGCCTACAGAACCATGAGCTAAATAAACTTTTTTTAAAATAAATTGCTCAATCTGTGGTATTCAGTTATAGCACCAGAAAATGAAGTAAGATGCAAGATAAAATCTGGACAGATAAGTTTTGCAGAGAATTGAAATGATGTCTATAAAGACCTATTTAGATTTGAAGTGTAATGGTCAATTGTGTGACAACTTAAACGTAAAAACACAAGTTAATAATTCCTGGAATACGTTTCAAGAGAAAAGAAAACTAAGGGTATGAAAGAAAGCCATGCAGGCTGGGTGCAGTAAAATTTCAAAAAAAAAAAAAAATAGAGGAGAATAAATGTCGAGGAGAATAAATTGCCTATTTTTAGGCAGTTAAAGCACAATAAAAAACACAAACCTCCAAGCATGGTTCTGTGTACCTATACTTCCAACTACTCAGGAGCCTGAGGCAGGTGGATCACTTGAGACCTGAAGTTTGAGGCTATAGTTCACTGACTGTGCTTGTGAATAGCCACTGCACTCCAGGCTGGACAACATAGTGAGACTTCTTCTCTAAAAAGTTTATCATCCCAGTTATTCAGGAGGCTGAGGCAGGAGTACCACCTGAACCCAGGAGTTTCAGGTCAACCTGGACAGCCTGGCAAGACCCCTTTTCAAAAATAATAAAAAAAGATAAAGCAATGCAAAATAAAATAAATAAAACAGAATTTTCTTCTAAATCAGCCTTCAGTTTTAATTCTCTTGACAGGTATTACTCAGATAATATTCTTGCATGGTACCAATATTATCAGACAGGATGAACGGAGGACTTTAAGATATTATTTGCCTATGTTCCTCAATTTTTTTTCTGCTCAGAAAGAATCCTTACAAACTACCTGCATCCTCTTTATTGGAAAAGCCAGCCCAGGTCCATTCTCCACAGAACTGACAAACGTAATATGATTAGAAAAAAACGTCATAACAAAGCTCTTAGTTTTGAGGGGTAATTTTTCCCTGATTTGTTTAGATGACTTTCCTCAGTCTTGAGAATCATAGCAAGAGGAGATCGTGCGTTCACTTTAATTAAAATATAGCTATTAACTGAAAGATTTATTTAACCATGTGAAACTAAGCAGAGAGACTAGAATGTGTTTATCTCCAGCAGAATAACAAGTTGCAAAAGAACACAAAACATTTCACCGCATGGTGAACCAAGGTTCATTTTATGGAATATTATATCAGGATTATGTCTCACAAATAATATTTATGCTGTCGGGAAGTCCCACTCAGGAGAGTGTCTCACAGGAGAGAGAGCTGTTCTCCTTTCTCTTTCTTTTGCCTATTAAATCTCTGCTGTTAATCTCAAAAAAAAAGTTGAGGTCACTTGAAACTCAGAAGAGTTAAAAACTTTTTATTTATGAATTCTGGGTCCACCCCTAGCTGGGCGATTGTAGATGAACTACATAAAAGTTTTTTTGATTTCTATTACGGGATGCATTAAGATAATTTTGTCCTTTCATAATGACAGACACAGATTCTCTCTCTCTGGCCCAGGTCATCATCTCCCACTTTGGCCTGCTACCCTAGATGACAAGCCACCCTTCTGATAGTCAATGTTAGAACTGCAAATGTAATGCCTGGAGAGAGGCAGCTTGTTCCAGCCCATTGTTTGCAAGCCTGTGTAAGATCACGGGGCATGTGAGTGTGTATGTGTGCTGAAATGGGGCTGTCCCAGCGTGGAGAGCAAAGGGATCAGCTGATCTCAAAAGGCTTGTTAGGAATTTCAGAGCTAAGTGGCTTCCAAACTTGAAGATTCTGTAGACAAGTAAAATTTCAAAGAAAATACAAGAGAATAAATATAGAAGAGAATAAATTGCCTATTTTTAGGCAGTTAAAACAATTAAAAAAAAAAAAACAGCCAGGCATGGTACTGTGTACCTATACTTCCAACTACTCGGGAGTCTGGCGTCTGAGGCAGGAGGATTGCTTGAGACCAGAAGTTTCAGGGAATAGTCCACTGATTGTGCTTGTAAGGATAAGGTGTAATATCATAATTATATATATAAAATAAAAATTAAATATGGGACTGATGAAACTCAGGTATTAGGATCAAAGTTGAATGGTGCTTAATGAAAATAACTTTTTAAATTTAGTTATTTAATACCCTGCTGTTTTTCTCTTTTCCTTCAAACCATACATCATTTTGTAAATACTCAATAATATATGACAATTTCCTTGTAAACATTCTGAAATTATGTCTACTTATGCTAATTACTTATGGTCATTACTCTTACGCTAATTACTTTCCGTTTTTTTCTTTCTTTTCTTTTTTTTTTTTTTTTTTTTAAGAGACAGTGTTTCACTCTGTCACCCAGGCTGGAGTGCAGTGGTGCAATCACAGCTCACTGCAGCCTCGACCTCCTGGGCCCAAGCAATTTTTCAACCTCAGCCTCCCGAGTAGCCAGAATTTTAGGAGTACTCCACCATGTGCAGTTAACATTTTAATTTTTGTAGAGATAGAGTTTCACTATGTTGCCCAGGCTGGTATCAGTCTCCTAAGTTCAAGTGATCCTCCTGCCTCCTCCCAAAGTGCTAGGATTATAAGCATAACACACAATGCCTGGCTGCTGATTACTTTTAAAAGACAAGTCCTAAATGCTGCAATAGAGAACAAATCTATTTATTACCTGTCAATCATGTCCAGTTTCACATGAATGATTGTAATTTAATGTCACTGAATAGCATGTAATACTTTTCATTTTTTCTCCTACTTCAACTCGTGTCAGTGGTTTATCTGCATTGTATTCTATTCAGTTGAAGAGTTTATTATTGTACAAAATACTTAGGAATTATTAAATAAAATTAAAAACTTTTAAGCAGAGACTATGGGGTTTTCTAGATATAGAATCATGTCATCTACAAGCAGGGATAGTTTGACTTTATCTCTTTCTATTTGGATCTGATACACAACTTTAGCAAAGTTTCAGGATACAAAAGCAATGTACAAGAATCAGTAGCATTCCTATACACCAATATCCAAACCAAGAACCAAATCAAGAATACAATACCATTCACAATTGCCACTAAAATAATAAATTACCTAGGAATACAACTAATCAGGGAGGTGAAAGACATCTACAAAAAAGAATTACAAAACGCTGCTCAAAGATATCAGAGATGACAAAAACAAATAGGAAAACATTCCATGCTCCTGCATAGGAAGAATCAATATCATTAAAATGGCCATATTGCCAAAAGCAATTTACAGATTCAATGCTATTCCTATCAAACTACCAACGCTATTCTCCACAGAATCAGAAAAAAAAAACTACTTTAAAATCCATATGAAACCAAAAAGAGCCCAAATAGCAAAAAGAAGAAAGCAAGCAAAAAGAACAAAGCTACAGGCATCACATAGCCTGACATCAAACTATACTACAAGGCTACAGTAACCAAAACAGCATGGTACCGGTACACAAACAAACACATGGACAAATGGAACAGAATAGAGAGCCTAGAAATACTGCCACACACCTACAACCATCTGATCTTCGATAAAGCTAACATAAACAAGCAATGGGGAAAGGACTCCTGTATTAGTCTGTTTTCATGCTGCTGATAAAGATATAGCTGAGACTGGGCAATTTACAAAATAAAGAGGCTTATTGGACTTACAGTTCCACATGGCTGGGGAGGCCTCACAATCATGGCAGAAGGTGAAAGGCAAGGAGAAGCAAGTCACGTCTTACATGGAAGGTGGCAAGCAAAAAGAGAGAGCTTGTGCAGCAAAACTCCCATTTTTGAAACTATCAGATCTCATGAGACTCATTCACTATCAGGAGAACAGTGAAGGAAAGACCCACCCTCATAATTCAATCACTTCCCACCAAGTTCCTCCCATGAAATGTGGGAATTGTGAGAGTTACAATTCAAAATGAGGTTTGGGTGGGGACACAGCCAAACCATATCAACACCCTATTCAATAAATGGTGCTGGGATAGCAGACAAGCCATATGCAGAAGATTGAAACTTGATCCCTGTTATTACACCATATACAAAAACGTACTCAAGTAGGATTAAAGACTTAAATATAAAAACCTAAATCTATAAAAACTCTGGAAGATAACCTAGGAAATACCATTCTGGGTGTATGACCTGGCAAAGATTCCATGACAAAGATGACAGAAACAAATGCAACAAAAACCAAAATTTACAAATGGGACCTAATTTTATTAAATAGCCTTTGCACAGCAAAAGAACTTATCAACAGAGTAAACAGAGCACCTATTGAATGGGAGAAATTATTTGCAAACTATGCATCTGGCAAAAGTCTAATATTCAGAATCTATAAGGTACTTAAATTTACAAGCAAAACACAAACAATCTTATTAAAAAGTGGGCAAAGGACATGAACAGGCACTTTTCACAAGAAGACATGCATACAGCCAACAAGCATATGAAAAAACTGCTCAATATCACTAATCATTAGAGAAACGCAAATCAAAACCACAATGAGATACTATTTCACACCAGTCAGAATGGCTATCATTAAAAGGTCAAAAAATAACAGGTGCTGGTGAGTTTATGGGGAAAGGGAATGCTTATACACTGGTGATAGGAGTGTAAATTAGTTCAGCCATTGTGGAAAGAAGAGAGGCAACTCCTCAAAGAACTTAAAACGGAAATACCATTTGACCCAGCAATCCCATTAGTGGATATATATCAGAAGGAATGTAAATCATTCTACCATAAAGGTACATGCACGCATATGTTTATTGCTGTACTATTTATAACTGCAAAGACATGAAATCAACCTAAATGCCCATCAACAGTAACTGGATAAAGAAAAAGTGGTACATATACACCATGAAATGCTACGCAGCCATAAGAAAGAACAAGATCATGTCCTTTGCTGCAACATGGATGGAGCTGGAGGCCATTATTGCTAGGCAAACTAATGCAGGTATAGAAAACCAAATACCACATGTTATCACTTATAAGTGGGAGCTAAACAATGAGAACACATGGACACAAAGAGGGGAACAACAGACACTGAGGTCTACTTGAGCAGAGGGTGGGAGGAGGGAAAGGATCAGAAAAAATACCTATCGGGTACTATGCTTATTACCTGGGTGACAAAATAATATGTATATCTAACCCCATAACCCACAGTTTACCTATATAACAAACCTGTACATGTACCCCTGAATCTAAATAAAAGTAAGAAAAAAACTTAAAACTTAATTAGCCACTAACCAAAAAGAAAATATGGAATGTCAAATTTGAAGTATTTTCACAATAAAATGAACTTTAAAACAATGCAATAAAATCATCTTAAATTCTAATTTTTAAAATTAAGTAATAAACCATACTATCACATAAAATTAATAGGCATTATCATAAGACAGTTTGCCCCATTAGAGAGCTAAGAATGCCAGGGGAAAGGCCTGTTGACTCATTGCCACAGTATTATTTCAAAAAGCAATATGGAATTAAACTTGAATTTTTATGAAAAAAACACTGCTAATGCAAAACCAATTCCACTAAGCCAATTTCATTTCTTTGCATACTGCCCTCATAAACGAAAGAACTGTATTTTAGTTGAGAACTCAAGAACTGAATGCTGAAACAATATCATGAGCTACAATTTGTAAAATGTGTTAAAGTCTGTTGTTTTGATAGTATGTACATGCCAATAGCTATGTTGACTTTTGCTTCTAAGCTGCCATAAGTGTTTCTTCAATCCCAGTTGTGTTTCTGGGCTTCAATTCCTTATTCTAATTTCATTGTCCTACCATCATCTTAAAATCAATATACATAATGTTGAATTTTTTTCTGTTTTTTGAGATGGAGTCTCACTCTGTCACCCAGGCTGGAGTGCCATGGCACGATTTTGGCTCACTGCAACCTCCGCCTCCCAGGTTCAAGTGATTCTCATGCCTCAGCCTCCCGAGTAGCTGAGATTACAGGTGCACATCACCATGCCTGGCTAATTCTTGTAATTTTAGTAGACACTGGGTTTCACCATGTTGGCCAGGCTGGTCTCAAACTCCTGACCTTAAGTGATCCGCCTTCCTCGGCCTCCCAAAGTGTTAATGTTGAGTTTTTTTAACCTTCCATCTAGATCAGCTTGTTTTCCTAATGTGCTTTCTAAAAGTTCTGTGTCAGCCAAACATTGTAACCTGTCATTTAAGAACTTCAACACTATAACCCAACCTATTTCTATTTCCTTAGTGCAATTTTCTACTGTTACTATGTTCTATTTTCCGTTAATTTTTGTTTATTTTGTTTTGTTTTTGTTACAATTACCTTTAAGAATCTGTAGACTTTTTTCTCCAGGAAAATACCCATGTATCTATAAACCCAACATTCTTTATGCTACTTTAGGGGGTTCAAGAATATTTAACAACTCACAAATAAACCTCTATGAGTTGTATTAGTTGATGCAAAACATTATATTTTCCAGGTTAGGCATCCCTTTGTTCTTCATGTAAAACTAGGCCATTTAATATTTTCTGCATATTTATTGCATTTTCTTCACACTGAGCTCTGATTTTGTTGATCCCTTCATCAGCAAACCCCCTCTGCTATACACACACATTCTTCAAAGCCTATCTCAAATGCTCACATCTCTACATTTTGGGGGGATTTTGACTATCCAGAATTTATCCTCTTCATGCTGATAATATTATATTTATTTTCATTGAAAAACTTACCCCTTTCTTATGTGGTCCACATTTGCCTTCCAGGAGCAATTCCTGATTAATTTAAACCAACAAGCAGATACAAGCTGTTGGACATAGAGATTGGTTGATATATAGGCACGTGACTGAGATGCTAGCAGAGTTTTGGTTGCTCCTTGAAAAGTAGTTTCATTACTCTTCAGTGGATATACTGTTTTTCTTTTAGATTTCAGAAAGCAAGTATATAATCTTTCTGCCGCTGCCAATGCCGTCTTGTAACTTCAAGTAAAGCAAATTTAGGCTTATGAAGAAAACAAAGGAAATGAAAAGAAACTAGGTCTTGAGTGACATTGTTGAGCTACTAGAGCATGACTGACAAGAAGCCTACATTTTCTGGATTTTACATTTATATTAATCAAAAAATTTTCCATATTATTTGAGCTAGTTTGAGTCCAGTTTTCTGTTTTTCACAAACAACCCTGTTTTTCCTTTTTAGTGCACTATACAATGTGTGGGTTCAATTATTATTTCACATCTCTTAATCCATGTTGTAATGGTATGTGTGTCTTATTTCCTATCAGTTCAGAAGTTCAGAGCTTGCAAAACTGTACATCAAGTATGTTTTTAACATCCATTTGATCTTCAACAAGACCTTGCTTATCCATAATTTCTTTATACATTACATTTTCACATCAACATCACGCTGCTGCCCATGCTCCAAGACTCCAGGACAGTTCTCACAGACCCAGGATTCTGGCCTGCCCTGGCATACTCAGGCTCAAGACCCAGCCCAGTACCAGATAAATCCAGGTTCCAGGCTGCCCCTCAGGGACCCAGACTCCAGGCCTACCTCTGCAGATCCAGGCTCCATGCTTATCCCATGGATATAGTCACCATGCCTACCCCAGTGGACCTCACTACCAGATCCATCTACCCATTGACCCCAAACCTAAGACAACCAGCCTGAGGACTCCAGCAGCCAGCCTTCCTAAGGACCCCAACAGCTGGCCTGCCCAGAATCTCTGGATGGACTGACTGATGAAGAGCTTTTCCTGCTAAGGTTAGACTGAAAAGACTGGAAGAGGTGTCTACTTCTTCAAATGTGCAGACACTAACACAAGCCCACAAGGATCACAAACAGTCAGGAAAACATGAAACCCCCAAAGGAATAAAATAAAGCACTAGTAAGGGATCCTAGAGAAATGGAGATCTATGAACTGCTTGCAAAATAATTCTAAAGCTTCTCAACTAAGGAAGCTTAAAGAAGTTCAGTGAAGACAAAGCAGAGAGACAATTAAACAAAACCAGAAAATGCATGAACAAAATTAAAAGTTCAACAAAAAATAGCAACTTTAACAAAGAACCAAACAAAAACTCTAAAGTTAGAAAAAATGAACTAAAAAATTTTATAAAAAGCTTAAACAGAAGACTCCAGTTGAAGGAAAAAATCAGTGAGCTTGAAGACAGGTCATCTGAAATTACCTAGTCAGAGAAAAGAAAAGAAAAAAATTTAAAAAGAGTGAAGAAAGCTTATGGGACTTATAGGACATCATGAAGCAAATGAACATATGCACTCTGGGAGACTCAGAAGAAGCAGAGAAACAGAAATTGACAGAAAGCTTATTTAAAGAAATAATGACAGAAAACTTTCCAAATTTATGGAGGGAAATAAACATCCAGATGTTTGAAGCCCAAAGAACCTCAAATAGATTAAACACAAAGAGATCTTCACTGAGACACATAATCAAATTCTCAAAAGTCAAGACAGAGTATTTGGAAAGCAGCAAGAGAAAAGCAACTTGTAACATACAAGGGAACTTCTATAAAACCATCACAGGTGTCTCAGCAGAAACTGTAGTCCAGGAGAGACTGGGACGATATATATATATATATAGATAGAGAGAGAGAGAGAGAGAGAGTGAGAGACAGAGTTATGGAGTACACTGTGGTTCTAAAATGTTATATTTAAATCGCTAACCCCCACTATGACTGTATTTTGTGTTGAGACCTTTAGGAAAGTAGTTAATGTTAAACGAGGTAAAAAAGGTGAGGTCCCAATCCAATAGAAGTTGTGTGCTTCCTAAGAAAAGGAAAAGACACAGGATCTCTCTCTCTCTCTCTGTCTCTCATTCTCCATGCACACACAGCAGGGCCATGTGAGGACTCAGTATGAAGGTAGCCATCTACAAGCTAGGAAGAGAGGCTTCACCAGAAACCATCCCTAATGGCACCTTGATCTTGGATGTCAAGCCTCAAGAACTGTGAAAAAAAAAAAGTTTAACATTTAAACCACCCAGTCTCAGGTATTTAGCCTTTTGCAGACTAAAGTAGGTAGGCAGGCAGATAGATATAGATAGATAGGTAGATAGATAGATGATAGATAGATAGATAGATAGATAGATAGATAGATAGATAGATAGACAGACAGACAGACAGACATGTCCTACTCAGACTTTGCCTTGCAGGGAGGTCAGAGAAAGGCTGTCATGCTGCATAACTCCAAGATATCTTATCCACATAAAACACAGTGTGAATTATGTCCCCTGGAGCCATGCAATGCTGCAGCTCTGGGTGACGGCAGGAGTTACTGAGAAGTAGAAGTTTGAATTGATGCTAGAAGTATAAATTAGTCATATTCATTGAAAGACAAGGGAAGAAGGGTATTCCAGGCAGAAGGCACACTTTGTGAAAGGTTATAGGCAAATGAAATAAACATGGCCTTCTTAAGAAACTTTAAGATGTAAGAACTTCTAAGGTAAGAGTAGAGGACACATAGGAGCGTGTGTGCAATAAAATCTTTGAACAAAACTGAGCTACCTGTTGCTGTTATTGTTATGGCCTTTGCCTAGTTTTGCTTAAAACAAAACAAACAAAAAATCTTGAAGTAAGACAAATTTTTATCTTATTTTCACTTTATGCTCAGTTGGTCTCCAAGTCCTAGTATTTTTTAGTTTTGAATATCTACCACTTTACCAAGTCACTGTCTATTCCCACTAGCACGTTTTACTCACTGTTGGAATATTGTCTAACTGCTAAGTAGACAGTACTTGCTCCTATTCTGTTCCCACCCGTGAGCCATGTTTAGAGAATGTAATTCGTTTGCTTGGATATTTTAAGAAGTTAGTGCCTTGGCAATACGTTATTACTGACTTTTATGTGGATTGATCAAAGTGAAAATCCGTCTATAAGGCCCTGAATGTGGAGTGAGTTTACAAGCAGAAGAAGGGTTAAGTGGCTGCTTTTAAGAAAAGAATTACTTTTAGTAGCAGAAGATGTTGATTTAGCTGCAGGATACTTAAGAATTGGTGTGATACAGATATATCTAATTGTATGCTCTTTTGGTTCCTCTTTGGGGAAATATTGCCCCAAATATTTACTATTATATATTCTGAGCAATACCAAAACCCCAATCCAGTGATCAAGCTATTGTCTCTCAGCAAAGTCCTCTCCCCTCTGTACTCTACACTCAGTCTTGTTTTGCTGAGACTGTGGCTCTGCAAGCCTTATTTTTGCCTTCCCAGCTAGATCCTTGTTAGCTTCCAACAATAGGGAGCACTAGATGAAAAATGCAAGGCTGCAGGAGAAAGAAAGGACACTCTCCTTCCTGTTGGCTTCCTACCTGGCAGCTTGTAGTTCCTGTGAGCATCGCCTTTCTTTGCTTCTTCACTCTGGCAGAGCAGTACCTTCCTGGAGCAGTGGCAGGAGGCAATTTGCAGCTTTCTGCGTTTTCTCTGAGCCGGTGTTACAGTGACTACTCAGAAACACCAGCATCAGCTGGTTATCCCTATCTGCTCAGAGAACTGTCCTAGGCCCACAGGCTCTGTCCTCTAAATTTCTAAGTTTTAGTAATTCCACTTTCTGTCCTTGCACCCTAAACATTAGGGGTGGTGTCTGATTCCTTCAGTTGCTAACTCTGTAATATACCTCAGAGTTCTAATTTACTCTTTCAGTTAGTTAATAACTTTTTACCTACTTAACAATTATTTATATTAAATTCTCATTATTCAAATAGCTCATATATGGGTCATAATTCAACCAAAGAAGCAGAATCAGTAGAATCAGTAGAATATCTATCTGTGTACTCTATGCATGCATATGTATATATGTATACCTACACATATGTATCTACATATATACCATATATATGTGTGTGTGTGTGTATGTATGTATGTGTGTATATATATATGATTGTGGGGGCAGGCTAGGCATGTCTGAAATCCACAGGGCAGGCCATCAGGAATGCAGTGCTGGAACTCTTGGGCATGGGCTAAACCTGCTGTCCACAGTTGGAATTTCGTCTTTATCAGGGAAGTCTCAGCTCTGCTTTTAGGTCTTTCTGTTTATTGAATCAGGCCCACCCAGATTATCTAGGATAATTTTCCATATGTAAAGTCAACTGATAATGGACCTTAGTCATATCTACAACATACCTTCACAGCAACACTTAGATTAGTGTTTGGTTGAATAAATGGGAACCACAGCCTAGCCAAGTTGACAGTCAAATACCTTCACAGTTGGTGTGGTTTCTGTCTCTTTCCTGGGGTCCGACTTGTACAAACCATCATCTATAGTTAGAGTGTTGGATTTTCTAGCTGAACAAATGACAGGAAAGAAGAATCAGTGGGAGGAGCTCTCTTTCTAATTTCTCTAAGACATTACAAAACGAGATCACTTGTAAATCTAAAGTGCAGGCTCCAGCTCTTTGTCTTTAAACATTTTTAAGAGTGATGTATATTTAGGAAACTTGCTTCTATTCCTGCCCTTGGATTCTTATATTTGATTTTACCCATAAATTATGAAGAATGCATCTTAAAATTTTATTGAACAAAAAGAATATATTTTTACTAGAACAGTGCATTAAATAAAGTCTTCTTGATTGATACGACATTAATAAACCTGAATCTAACATACCTTTGTCTATTTGAATATTTCCTTCAGATGCCTACATGTTAGAACTGCTGTAAAATTTATTTTTTTCCTATTCTATTCACTTAAATTGTTTTTATCTCAGGCAAAACACTTGGTGAGTTCTCTGACCTTGAGCCACTTTCCTGTTTATTTTCTGAGTTCTTGTGAGGTTCAAGTGGGATAATGTATAGGAAGATGTTTTGTCCACACTGTGAGGCATTCTTTTTGCTTTAGGAACATCAACTGTGATTTCAAAGATATGAGCACCTAGCAGTTCTGTTTTCTCAGCTCTAATATTTTAACTCATTTTTCTTTTTCCATTTTGAAAAGCTTTAGTGCCACCCTGGATTTATTTGTTGCACTTATTATTTCAATAAAATTCATTTAGGAAATAGTTTTCTTTGGATGGCACTTAAAAAGAGATTTATGACTTTGATTTTCTAGATTCATTTTTCAGAATCATAGACACTACATGGAGAGATTGTTTAGCTTCCACTAAGTACCTAGTGTTCCTAAGGTAGCTTTTATGGAGCTGATTAGCCAAACTTAGACCCAAGAGACCAAAGGGAGATCTAACCTTCACTCCATTCCGTTCTTTTCTAAAGCTCTGAAAATAAATGTAGTTGGATCCTGGTTTTATTCCATCTGGTCCTCATGCTAACATGATTGCAGTCTCTGGGATATAGGCTTGAGAATAATTTCCCACCTGCTGAGAACACAGTGTCAGAGAAGGTGGAATATGGATCTGTTGAATATTTCCTTCTGGAAAAACTATTCTATGCTCTTCTAAGATTTGTTTCTGAAATGTCCAACTCAGTTGGCTGGAAACACCGTGTAGAGGATGAATATTCTTTCCTGACAATAGCCATCCATTTATATGTACCCAGGAATGATAGGATATTAGAATGAGAAATTAAGGAAGGGACAGTTTTGATATGCACGTGTATTAGCTTGCTAGGGATGCTGTAACAAAATAACACAAACTTGGTGGCTTAAACAAATAAATTTATTTTCTCACGGTTCTAGAGACTAGAATTCCAAGATCAAAATGTCAGCAGATTTGGTTCTTTTTGCAGCTTGCAGGTGGCTGCCTTCTGGCCATGTCCTCACATGGTTTCACCTCTGTGAACACTCATCTCTGATATCTCTGTGTGTTCAAATCTCCTCATAAAAACATCAGCTAGAATGGATTAGGGCCTGCCCTAATGACCTCATTGTAACTGAGTCACACCTATATGCAGTCACATTCTGAGGTAGAAGGACTTAAATCTATGAGTATTGAGGGTGACGCAATTCAGCCCATAAACAGCATGCAAATAGCTCAGTACTAGGTATTGTGATAAGGCATTTTGTCATTTAATTTTTAAAGCAAGCTATCAAAATAGGCTCTATTATTTTCCCCACTGTGCATGTCAGAAAATTCATACTAAGTGAAGTTAAGATGGTTGATGTTGGTAAGTTGGTGGAGTTGAGGTCTTATGAATGGGAAAATGGCCCCTGGCATCAAAAGAAATGTGAGAAAATCATAAACCCGAGGAAGCTTCTGTCCATGAATTGCGTAACATTTCAAGAAGGTAAGGAAACAGGTTGGACTTCAATTTCACATCAGTGTAGTGAGACCTTTCCTATACTTTTGAGTTTTCCAGGATCTCACTCCAGAAAAGCTGAGTATGCCAGAATGTATCCAGAAAAGGCTCCTCTAATTCAGACTTAACTTTGTCAGTGCTTTGCATTTAATGGGTCTTCTTCAGAGGACTGGCCTTGGGCTACTGGACTCATTTCTAGGTCTCACAGATAGTAAGAGTACCTGGGAGTATATGTTCCCTCCACCCAGGGTTGCTCACCTGGCAATGGCTGACTAGAGCGTAATCAGGAGGACAAGCTCCTCAGTGTAACTTCCCTTGGAAATTCCCCTGGGAATCAGATTGAGGCTGGGACTTAGCTGGAAATTTCACCCTTGCTTGGTTTCTTCTCCTTTCCTGCTCTGCTTCCCTGGTCCATGTCAGTTTCCCTTTGTGGCATATTCTTAGTAAATTACTTGCACAGAAATCTTTGACTCAGGGACTAATTCTGGGTAACCGAAACTAAGGCACTTTCTGTGGCTAAATCTTATTCTAATTTGCTTGAATTCTTTCGAGAAAACCAAGGATTAAATCAAATCTAAATACTGTGATGGAAAAGAACAGAAAACCTGGGTTTAATTACTGGCTCTGCCATGTATCAGCTTAGTGATTGGATCCTTCATCACTCATTCCAGTGCAAAACACTGAAAATCAAATCAGTCAGACTTAAAAAAAATACAAAGGAGTTTGTTCATTTATCTAACCTCAAATCCAGGAGTAGCTCTGACTTTCAGCGTGACTGATGTTAGAAGAAATTTGTTTCATCACTTTTGACTTCTAGCGTTGCACCAAGATGGGCACCATGAGCTCCAGTTTTCACCTTAGTAGTTCAGCAACCTCCACAGAATGAGGGCACCTAGTCTCCCAAATCAGTCCTGAGATTTATTCTGATTGGTCCAGTTTAGGAAATGTGCCTTCCCTTGAACCAATGAGTGTTTCTAGTTGGCCAGGTGGGACAGATTTCCTTCCCTGGAGCCAGGGTAGAAGCAGCCCCAACTTAACTATAATAACTGAGGGTGGGGAAGAAGTGATAGGTTTCTTAAGGCAAAACTGAGGTAACAGAAGAAAGATAAATGGATATTGAGCAGACAAAATTAACTAGTGCATACATGGAGCTTGAATGAGATAATTAACGTTTATAAATCACTCTATCCTTACTGCTAATTGGAAATATAGTCCTTATTGTATAGGGTTGTTATGATGATTAAAATGACATGATGTAGAAAGAGTTATCAGCACAGTGCCTGATGCATAATAGTTGCTCAATAAATGATAGTTATTAATACACTAGTGATAGAATTACGCTTGGTCATCTCAAGGTCCCTTCTGTCTGAAGCATTTTATTATTCTAAGTTTTTCAGTGATGAACTCAGATGTGAGGGAATAAACTAAGACAGAACCCATATACTAAGGACATGTGCCTAGAATGGCAAAAGCTTCCAGGAGCAAGTCAAGTCGTGCTTAATGTTATAACAAGGCAATTCTAATCTGAAACTCTATTGTAAATGTCATTGTGATGATTTCGCTGTAAAGATTATTTTGGGTGGGGGATATTGGGAAGGGGAAATAATTAGGGAAGTAGAGAAGCATTGAGTATTTGTATTTCTTTTCTACTCACAATACCTGTTAAATTGCTAAGAAAATAATAGGAAAATACAAGATGTATGTAATTTTTTTCTGATTTTTGTGTGGGTGGCTATGAGATGACAAAAAGAATCATCTGTGGCCCTTGGTAGAAAACATAAATTTTTTATTGCTTTATAATGAAGCTCTATTTTATCATTTCACATAGCTATGTGCTAGGCAATAGTAAAACGGACTTCTCCATATGTATTATTTCTGGTTTAATGACTAAGTGTCACTCAATCATTTTCCTGATTGAATGTAAATATATCCAAATTAGACAGTACAAATTGCCTTTACAGTTAAACATTTAGCCCTTTTTCTTGGAAATAAACTTAATAATTACATATTTAATATTCAATGGTCCTTGTTACCTTAGAAGAACACAGAAGAAAAGAAAAAGTTAAATGAGAATATTAGCTTTATCTTCATTATTTTGGCTTCATACCTCTAAAATTTCATGCTGAAAGTCATTTTGTAGTTACAATTTTCTGGATAATACAAACCCTTCCTTTTAAATTGATCTTTAAATTTAGGATTGTATCCTTTTCAACTTGAGAAAAATATATTTTCTTCTCTGAAAACATTTCTCTTCTTGTCACTGGGTAGTAACATTATTTCACTCATTTTGAAAAGAAAGAAATATTTTATCAGATACCCAGACATACCCATGTATTCAGTGTTCTGTATAGGACAGGAAAGACCTGGAAGGGATAAAAATGTACAGTTTTCTCATTAGTGATTGGGCTTATAGCTTTAACAAGGCTTCTTTCTCTTTGCCTTGATCATGCGTGCATCATTGGAGAAGAGAGAAAAAAATGTTTCCAATCATTTTTTTAAACCCAGAAACCATTTTCTTTATCATTAATATGAACAGATAAAACAATGCTCATTAAAACTATTTAAGAGATGGAATCACATGTAAACATTAAGAAGTATGAAGTACCTCTACATATAATATTACCTAAGTCTCCAAGATAAGTAAAAAAGCGAAGTCCGAAAAGGAAAAAAAATGTGGTAACACAAATAGAATTTATAAATTATTTAAACATAGAATAACTCTTAAAACATAACAAGACCCCAATAAAATTGACTACATTCAGGGAAAACTGTAACTCTGAACTTGAGTTTTATTGTGTACCTTTATTCTTGTTAAAATGTCTCCACATGAAAGTAGAGAGATAGTATAATAATCCTCCACAGAGTCATCATCCATATTCAACAGTGTTCAGAATTTTCCACACTTGCTTCTTGTTTCTTATTTAAATTTTATTTTTGAAGCATTTTAAATGCATGTCCTAAACATTACATCATTTTTTCCAGTGTACATCTCTAAAAATATACAGGTGTTTACTTGTATAAGCACAATACCATTATCACCCCCAACACAATTGCAATGAACTAAGTGTTTTTGTTTCACCCACTGCCACCAAATTCATATATAGAAGTCTTAATCCCAATGTGATGGTATCTGGAGGTAGTGCCTTTGAGTGGTAATTAGGTCATAAAGGTAGAGTTCTCATGAATAAAATTAGTACCTTTATAAGAACAAGCCAGAAAGCTACCTAGCTCTTTTTGCAACAAGTGAGGATACCAGGATATCTGCAAATCAGGGACTTGACCTTCACCACCAAACACTGGATACTGGCACCTTGATCTTGAGCTACTCAGCCTCCCAATATTGTGAGAAATAAATGTTTGTTGTTTAAGCCACCTATTCAATGGTACATTGTTATGGCAGTTTGAACTAAGACAACAATTAACAATAACTTTTGATTTTGTGATATATCCAGTCCATTTTACAATGTCTTCAACTATCAAAAAAAGTCTTTGAAAAGGTTCGCATATTTTTTTAATTGTAATGACCATAACATTAAGTTATTTTTATCATTAAGACATTTTAATTTAGAGTAGTATCTTCTTTTTATTTGTCATGCCATTAACTTGTTGAAAAAACTAAGTCAATTTCCTGAAGAATATCGTAAAACCTAGATTTTTGTTTGTTACTTCATGATTTCTTTTAATTTGTTCCTCTATCCCCTCCCCATTATTCCAGAAAAATAAAAGGCAAAATCTTGATTAGATTGAAATATGTTCATTCCTAACATTAAAACTAAATGGGATTTTGGCCGGGCGCGGTGGCTCACACCTGTAATCCCAGCACTTTGGGAGATCGAGGTGGGCGGATCACTAAGTCAGGAGATCTTGACCATCCTGGGTAACACGGTGAAACCCCGTCTCTATTAAAAAAAAAAAAAAAAAAAAAATTAGCCAGGCGTGGTCGCAGGCCCCTGTAGTTCCAGCTACTCCGAAGGCTGAGGCAGGAGAGTGGCGTGAACACGGGAGGCGGAGCTTGCAGTGAGCCGAGATCGCGCCACTGCACTCCAGCCTGGGCTACAGAGGGAGACTCGGTCTCAAAAAAAAAAAAAAAAAAACTAAATGGGATTTTAACAACATTATTTCAACAAGAGTCTTTATGGATTTATTAAAGGTCCAGCTCTGATCCTGGTTCTGTTAGATGCATATTCAAATGCCCAGCATTCGCAAAATGCTCCCCAACATTTCCTTTTTCTTGCAGGAAATTGCTTGTTAATGAATATAAGTATTTGGAAAAGTTTGGTACTACCAGCTGGTCTTTAACAGCAACAAAAAGACCTGGTCTTTGACATATAGGGGGACTTTGAAGGTCTGAAAGCCCTATGTCTAATAGATGCCTTGGGTAGCTATTAAATTCCTAGAAAATATTAGATATGAAACTTAAATATGTAGAGATATTAAACTTCTAGAAAATATCAGAAATAACAAGGCTTAACACTTTTTCACTTATTTGTAGCCTGGCTGATTTTTTACTTTGCAAGTCTGAATGCTTTACATGCCCTCAGGTTTGCTTAATAAATTAGGTTCTTTGGAAAGCCCACTAACTTAAAAAAATCATTTTTCATTCATTTAATCAGATATTCATTTATTAATAATCAGTGAATCCCCACTTGGTGGCTGGCACTATTCTAGAAATTGGAACAAAGATGTAAAAACTCTACAATCATTTTAATGCTTTCCAATTGAGTTAAAAGTATTCCTCATTTAGTATATGTGTATACAATATACAAAGCATGAACAAGGCTTTACTATGATAGAAAGATACATCAGACAGATCACCTGCCCTCTTGATATCTTAGTCTGGTGTTTGGGACAAATGTACCCACATCCTTCTGTAACAAACTGCTACACTTGAAAGGCAGATGAAAGTCTATTGATACAAAGAATGATCAAGATTGTTTCTAACTAAAGGCTCTGAAGCTTTTATTTCATTAAAGTCCTCATTTAATGGCAAAATAATACTAGAAACAACTGGATTGATATGTGTTTTATTCATATGTCTTAAAAAGTCACAATTGGTTTGTATTCGAATGGAATATATCATGAATTCATGAGCATTTTTTTTATTATGAATGGTTTGTTGCTTTTTTAGTGATGTTTTTATCATTTACTAGCAAAAAGGCACTTGAGAACTGAGTGATGTACATTCCTATTATTTGTTTGTTTTGCATTTTTATTATATGAAGATCTTCTTCCCATCCCCATCTTATCCCTGAACTATGTTCAGTGAGAGGTAGCAGATTGAGTGGTCCTACGGGAAATGGGTACATGTCAAGTCAAAGACATCACCAGAAACTCATTATCCAAGCAATCATTGTTGTGGTTTTTCACAGAAGCCTGACCAGGGACAACTCATTCATGAATAATGAAAGTGCAGAAAGAGGAAAAATAGAAAGATTCGAGTCCTAGATTTCTATTTTTTGTTAACATGGAACTCTGGGCTTCAGAAGCAGGCCTTTCTTTGCCACCCTGACATAATTAGGCAAAGGTAGCGACAAATGCAGCTCCCCACTTTATTCTCATTAGCTGGCACTACCTGACACTAGGTTAAAGCAATCACACTTTGTACCTTCTGACTTGGAGCATGGTGTGATAGAAATAGCCTTTAATATATCAGAAGAAAAGTGTTTTAGACTTGGATCAACCACTTACTAGCTATGCAATCATCGGTGAGTTGTTTCTTTAACTTTTCTTAACTTTACTTTAATTTGGATGCAAAATGGGGTTTAAAATACTTTAAGGGCTTTTGTGAGAATCACATGTGATCATGAAAGTAACAACTCTGAAGGCTATGCAAAAAAAGAATCACAATCCAACTTCTTGGTAATATGTTTTGAAAAACTTTTTTTTTTCAAATAGAGATTTTATTATTTGTTTTTGTATCAAGAAACATTCACTTACCAGGAATTAAAATGGATATAGACTCTTCTCTTTAGCTGATTTTAATGTAAAAGACATAAGTGTAGGTGGTGGTGATGAGGCTGTATGCTGAATTAAAGTAATCACAGGTGTGGGGACTCATCTAGGAAGTGGCAAAGGGTTAATGAGTTTGAAAATTTGGCTTGGCTTAACCTCTAGCAAATAAGAGAGTTATAAATGATCAAGTTAGAGTTTAGAATCTGTAAGAAAGTTTGAGAAAAGAAAAAGCATATATATACATTTGATGAAAAGGAAAATAGAATTTGGCTGCAGTAAAAGAGGAGAGAGAAAAGCAGAGGAGGAGAGTTTGAATGGGAGGAGAAATGGGAGAGGCAGAGAGAAAAGGAAGGAAAGGAGAAGAGGAAGGGAGGTAGGGAGAACAAAGAAAGAGGCTAGCCTAGGACTTCCAATGACTTTGGAAGCCATTGGTAGCCCCTAGATTGAAACCATAGTTTCTCAACCTTAGCTGCACTTTGGAATCACCCATGAAACTGTAAACATACTGATGCATGGATCCCAGTCCCAGAAATTCTGATTTAACTGGTTGGGGGTAGACTTTTAAAAATCTCCCCCAAGTAATTTCTAATCCATAGGTTGATGTCTCTCTATCCTTAATATACATACAAATTGCCTTGAAAAACTGCCTGCCTGGGCTGGAGGCTGATATTCTGCATCCCTAAGTAACTCCCAGCTCCTAACAGGCTCCTGACAAGCTTACCTGTGACTTCTGGAAAGGGATGTAAGGTAACTGAAAAAGTGGTGAAATAACGATGATGCTAATGCCAATGATCGCTATTATTTAATGAGTCCCAAATATGTGCCAGACACTGTGCTGAGGACTTCCAGTTAACTTGTTAAAGTCCTCAGAACAACCATTTAAAGGTTTATATTATTATTATTATATTATTATTAACTTGCTTTACAAATAAGGAAACTGAGGCTTGAAAAGCTGGGCATCTTACTGAAGTTTAGAAATCTGTATATGTATTTGACTTCTTACGGCCTGATACTGAGCTTGTGCTATTAACATTTCTATTATCCTGGTTTTTAAATAATTCTGAGCCTTAATTTTAAATATTAGGCATACCTAGGAGAGAAAATCTGAAAGAAGGAAGTAAGTCTGGAAGGATCTCCAGTATTGGCACAGATGTAAATAAGTTTAAAATCTATACCTGCGTTACAGATTTTGGCCATGGGAAGAGCTGAAAAGAGTGGCATGAGAATTGTTGCAGAAAAAGCATAAGTTCTTTATTCTGGATAAGGCAAGTCACAAATTTTGCCAGGGTTCACAGCTATGGTTTCAATCTTGTCTGGGTAAATTTTTTAAATCTTGGTGTTTAGGTCACACCTCAAACCAAATAAATCAGACTTTCTGGGAATAGGATACAGGTATTAGCATTTTTAAAGCTTCCCAGGGATTCCAAATTGCAGGTAAGATTGCCAGTAACTGGGTTTGAAATGTGAAATCCTGGAAGGAAATTGATGCCACTGATGAGAAGATGTCAAATGTCACATTTTCCGAGCAGCTTATTCTGGCATCTGGAGGCATTTTCTTCTTCATCTGAGCTGCCCTTCTTTCTATCTCTACCTCTCTGAAAACACTGACCACATTCCATCTTTAAAATGGGTATTTTTGTCTTATCCAGCTCCCTTTGTAGCCCATAGCTTTGGAGACTACAGGGCAGTATAGTATAAAGCAGTACTACACAAAAGGTTTTTTACTAGGCTGGGTTCTAAGAAAAGCTCATAGCACCAAAGGTTTCCATTGTCAAATCAGTTGAGGTAATGTTGTGTAAATATTGCTCCCTTTGAGAATTCCAACAAACATGGCATTTGAAAGCTCTGAAGTATTTTGTAATAATGAAACATCTTTAATTTTGTCTCACTGAGGGTTTCCAAAAATACTTTAACAAAAATTCATCATAAGTGCCTGTAGGGAGAGGGATCCCTGAGGGCAGCTGGGGACAGTGGAGATGGAGCTAGCAGCCCCAGCACATGAAACTCAGGGGCTGCTCTCCATCTCAAACAAGAGGTGCCAAATCAGAGAAGTAATTCAGTAGCACTGCACTGTTGGAGGTATGCTTCATGGGCCCTTTGGGCAAAAACTCCTACTCAGCTTACCCACACAGCTGGGAAATCCCCTTCAGGACACCCCCAGTCCCCATTCTGGATGAGCAAGGCCTTGAAGTTTTGAAAGAGCCATGGTAAACCTGGGTTTAGGCCACCATCTAGTGCTGAAAAGGAGGCAGCAATCTAGGACTAAGGATATTAATAGGTGATTATCAGACAACATCTAAACGCATATATACTAGAGAGACCAAACCAACCCAGACAGTGAAGACTGGAATAAACAACTAATCCTTCCATGTGAAGACATACATGTGCATCCACATGTAACAAAAGCAAACAGGGAACCATAACCTCCTCAAATCCACAAATCAAGAAGCCAGTAAGAGAACCCAAAAAGATGTCAATGTGTGAGCTCTCACCTCAAGAATACAAAATAGCAGTCTTCGAGAAACAGTGAACTCCAAAATAACACTAAAAATCAAATAAGATATTATCATAGAAACTTAACAAAGAAGTCGAAATAATTGAAAAAACCAAATAGGAATCCTGAAACTGAGAAACATGTTAGCGGAACTGAAAAATGCATTGAAGAGTCTCAACAGCAGAATTGATCAAGCAGAAGAAAAAATTGATGGGCTCAAAGACAGGCTTTTCAAAAATACATATTCAGAAAAGAAAAAAGGAAAGAATAAAAGGGAATGAAGAACACCTAGAAAATCTAGAAAATAACCTCAGAAGAACAAATTCAAGAGTAATTGACCTTTGAGAGGAGAAAGAGCAAGGAGTAGAAAGCTTATTAAAAGAAGTACTTACTGAAAACTTTTCAGACCTAGAGAAAGATATAAATATCCAGGCACAGGAAGGTTGAAGAGCACCAAATAGATTCAATCCAAATAAGACTACCCCAAAGCACATAATACTTCCCAGAGGTCAAGGACAAAGAGAGGATCCTAAAAACAGCAAGAGAATAAAAGCAAATTATATATAAAGGAGCTCTAATTCTTCTGGCCATGGACTTCACAGCAGAAACCATACAGGCCAGGAGGGAATGGGAGGACATATTCAAAGTGCTAAATGAAAACAAATAAAAAACAAATAACAAAAAAAACCCTGCCAACTGAAAATATTGTATCCAGCAAAGCTATCCTGAAAACATGAAGGAGACATACATAAGACTTTTTTAAACAAACAAAAGCAGAGGAAATGTATGACCACCAGACGTGTCTTATAAGAAATACTAAAGGGAATTCTTCCATCTATAAGAAACAGGTGATAACATGAAGTAAGAAAATCATCTGAAGGTACTCACTAGTAAAAGTACACAGAAAAATTCAAATATTCTAATATTATAATTGTATTGTGTAAACTACTCATATCTCTAGTGTGACAATGAAAAGAAATATTTCAATAATAATAATTACAACAATTTGTTAACTGGACATACAAAATGATGTAAATCAAAACATCAAAAAGTTAAAATGTGGGAGGATAAATGACAAATTTTTTAGTTTTTTGTTTCTTTGTGTCAATGTTGTTATCTGTTCAAAATAAATTGTTATAACTATAATATGTTTTTTGTAAGCTCATAATAATTACAGAAAACCTATAATGGATACATTAGAAATATAAAACAAGGAATTAAGAAACATCATCAGAGAAAAAGGAAGATAGTAAGAAAAAAATAGGTGAAAAGAGTTGCAAAACAGTCAGAAAACAACAAAAAACCAAATTGGCAGTAGTAACTTCCTACCTATCAATAATAACATTTGAACAAAAATGGAGTAAATTATCCAAATAAAAGACAGAGTGGCTGAGGTGGATTGAAAAAAAAAAGGACTTAAATATATGTTGCCTACAAGCAACCTACTTCACCTATACTAAAAAGACACACAAACCAAAAGTGAAGAGATTAAAAAAAAATCTACCAAATGAACACCAAAAAAGAGGAGTATCTATACTTATATGAAACAAAGTAGACTTCAAGTTAAAAACTGTAAAAGATACAAAGGAGGTCATTATATAATGATTAAGGGGTCAGTTTGGCAAGAGGATATAAGAATTGTAAATATATATGCACCAAACACTAGAGCACCACAATATAGAAAGCAAATATTAATAGATCTAAAGGGAAAAAACAGACTGCGATGCTATAATAGTAGGGGACTTCAACACCCCACTTTCAGTAATGGACAGATTATCGAGGGAGAAAATAAAAAAAGAAACATTGGAGTTAAACTAAACTCTAGACTAAATGGACCTAACTGACATTTACAGAATGTTTTGTTCAACAGCTGCAGAATACATGTTCTTCTTATCAGCACATGGAGCATTTTTCAAGATAGAAAATATATTATGCCACAAAACAAGTCTCAACAAGTTAAAAAAATCAAAGTTATATCAAGTATTCTTTTTGACCCACAATAAAATAAACATAGAAATCAATAACAGGAGAAATTTTGGAAATTGTAAAAATACGTGGAAATGGAACAACATGCAGATCATCCTATATGACCAATGGATCAATCAAGAAATTAAGAAGGACATTCAAAAATTTATTGAAAAAAATAAAAATGGAAACCCAAAATACTAAAACCTATGGGATACAGCAAAAATAGTACTAAGAAGTAAGTTTATAGTAATAAACACCTACATTGGAAAAGTAGAAAGGCTTCAAGAAAGCAACCTAACAATTCGCCTCAGGGAACAAGAAAAGTAAGAGCAAGCAAAATCCAAAATTAGTAGAAGGAAAGAAATTATAAAGACCAGAGTAGAAATAAATGAAATGGAGACAAAAAAAATCAACAAAATGAAAAGTGAGTTTTTTGAAAAGACAAACCAAATTGACAAAGTTTTAGTTTGACTAACAAGAAGGAGAGCAGACCTAAATAGATAAACTCCAAGATGAAAAAAGAAACATTAAAGTTGTTACTAAATAAAAACAAAAATCATTAGAGACATTTATGAACAACAACTACACACCAACATATTGGAAAACCTGGAATAAGTGGATACATTTCTGGAGGAAAAAACACATACAACCTACTAAAATTGAACCATGAAGAAACTGATAATCTGAACAGAACAATAATGAGTAAAGAGATTGAAATGGTAATTTAAAAGTCTCCCACCAAAGAAAAGCCCTGGATCTGACAACTTCACTGCTAAACTTTACCAAAGACTTAAAATCAACTGATACACATTCTACTCAAACTCTTCACAAAAATTGAAGAGGAAGGAATACTTCCAAACTCATTCTATGAGGTCAATATTATCCTTATACCAAAACCAGTCAAGGACACAATGAAAAAAAGAAAAGTATTGGTCAATATCACTGCAAAAATTCTCAATAAAATACTAGCAAATAGAATTCTACAACAGATTAAAAAGATCATTCACCATGATCAAGTGAGGTTCATCCCAGGGATGCAAGGATGGTTTAATACATGCAAATCAAAAAACCTGATACATCACATTAACAGAACCAAGGGCAAAAGTTATATAATCATTTCAATGGATGCTCATAAAACATTTGATAAAATTTAACATCCCTTCATGAGAAAACCTCTCTGTAAACTGAGTATAAAAGGAACATACTTAAAACAATAAAGGCCACAACTAACATAAAACTGAATGGGGAAAACTGAAAGCCTTTTCTTTAAACTATGGCAGAGGACAAGAATACCCACTTTTACCACTTTTATTCAACATACTACTTGAAGTCCCAGCCAGAGCAATTAAACAAGAGAAAGAAAGAAAGGGCCTACAAATTGTAAAGGAAGAAATCAAATTATCCTTGTTTGCAGAAGACATGACCTTATATTTAGAAAAACCTAGAGACTGCACCAAAACACTGTTAGCACTAACAAAAATTCAGTAAAGTTGCAGGATCAACATACAAATAAACATACAAAAGTCAGTAACATTTATATAAACTAATAATGAATAATTGGAAAAAAATGAAGAAATAAATTCCATTACATTAGTTTCCAAAATGATACCCAGGAATAAATTTAAACAAAGAAGTAAAATATCTCTACAATAAAAACTATAAAACACTGATAAAAGAAATTAAAGAGAACACATACAGACACAAAAAATGAAAAGACATTCTATGCTTATAGATTGGAAGAATTAATATTGTTAAAATGTCCATATTGACCAAAGTGACCTACAAATTCATTGCAATCTCTATCAAAGTACCAATGATGTTCTTCACAGAAATTGAAAAAACAGTCCTAAAATTTGTATGGAATGACAAAAAATTCTGAAGAGCCAAATCACTCCTGAGCAAAAAGAACAAAGCTGGAGGCATCATACTGCCTGACTTCAAAATGTCCTACAAATCCATAATAACCAAAACAAGATTATATTGGCATAAAAGTAGACACATAGATCAATGGAACAGAATAAAGAACCCATAAATGAATTCCTTCATTTAAGCCAACTCATTTTTTACAATAGTGCCAAGAACGTACATTGGGGAAAGGAAAGTATCTTCAATAAATGGTGCAGAAAAAACTGGATTACCATATGCAGAGGGATGAAACTAGACCCCTCTGTCTTACTATATACAAAAATCAAATCAAAATGAATTAAAGACTTAAGTTTAAAACCTGAAACTACTAGAAGAAAACCTTGTTGAAATGCTAAGGATATTGGTCTAGGCAATGATTTCTGGGGTAGGTCCTCTAAAGCAGGTAACAAATCAAAAAGAGGCAAATAAAATCGCATCAAACCATAAAACTTGTTCAGCAAACAATTAACAAAGTGAAGAGATAACTTCCAGAATGAGAGAAAATACTGGAAACTATCCAGTATCCAGTGTATAAGGGACTCAAACAACTCAACAGAAAAAAAAAATCAATTAAAAAATAGGCAAAGAACATGAACAGACATTCTCAAATGAAGACACACAAATGGCCAATAGTTATATGAAAAAATACATAATATCACTAATCATTAGGGAAATGCAAGTCAAAACCACAATGTGACATAATCTCACCCCAATTAGAGTTGCTATTATTAAAAGGACAAAAGATAAGTGTTTGCAGCCATTTGGAGAAGGGAGAAATCTTATACACTGTGGATGGGAATGTAAATTAGTACAGCCATTATGGAAAACGGCATGGAACTTCCTCACAAAACTAAAAATAGAACCACTGTGTGATTCAGCAATCCCACTTTTGGGTGTGTATTCAAAAGAAAGGAAATCAATATATTGAAGAGATATGTGCACTCCCATGTTTATTATAGTACTATTCACAATAGCCAAGATATGGAATCAAACTAAATGTCCATCAATAGAAATGAAAATATGATACATATTTACAATTAAATATTGCTCAGCTATAAAAAGAATGAAATACTGTCATTTGCAGCAACATAGATGAAACTGGAGGTTATCATGTTATGCAAAATAAGTCAGGTACAGAAAGACAAATATTACATATCTTTACTCATATGTGGGAGCTAAAAAACTTGATCTTATTAAGGTATAAAGTAGAATGATGACTATCAGAGGCTGAGAAGGGTAGGAGGATGGGGAGATAAAGAAAAATTGGCTTTGGATATAGAAATACAGTTTGAAAGAATAAGTTCTTTTTTTCCATAGCGTAGTAGGTGACTATAATTAACAATAATTTATTGTATATTTCAAAATAGCTAGAACAGGAGATTTAGAATGTTTCTAACACAAAGAAATGATAAATGCTCAAAATGATGAATATCTCAAATACCCTGAATTGATTATTACATGTTATATGTGTCAGGCCTCTGAGCCCAAGCCAAGCCATCGCATCCCCTGTGACTTGCACGTATACGCCCAGATGGCCTGAAGTAACTGAAGAATCACAAAAGAAGTGAAAAGGCCCTGCCCTGCCTTAACTGATGACATTCCACCATTGTGATTTGTTCCTGACCCACCTTAACTGAGTGATTAACCCTGTGAATTTCCTTCTCCTGGCTCAGAAGCTTCCCCACTGAGCACCTTGTGACCCCCGCCCCTGCCCACCAGAGAACAACCCCCTTTGACTGTAATTTTCCATTACCTTCCCAAATCCTATAAAATGGCCCCACCCCTATCTCCCTTTGCTGACCCTCTTTTCGGACTCAGCCCACCTGCACCCAGGTGAAATAAACAGCCATGCTGCTCACACAAAGCCTGTTTGGTGGTCTCTTCACACAGACGCACATGAAATTTGGTGCCATGACTCGGATCAGGGGACCTCCCTTGGGAGATCAATCCCCCGTCCTCCTGCTCTTTGCTCTGTGAGAAAGATCCATCTATGACCTCAGGTCCTCAGACCGACCAGCCCAAGAAACATCTCAGCAATTTCAAATCCGGTAAGCGGCCTCTTCTTACTCTCTTCTCCAACTTCCCTCACTATCCCTCAACCTCTTTCTCCTTTCAATCTTGGCACTACACTTCAATCTCTCCCTTCTCTTAATTTCAATTCCTTTCATTTTCTGGTAGAGACAAAGGAGACATGTTTTATCCATGGACCCAAAACTCCGGCACCGGTCACGGACTGGGAAGGCAGGCTTCCCTTGGTGTTTAATCATTGCAGGGAGGCCTCTCTGATTATTCACCCACGTTTCAAGAGTGTCAGACCATGCAGGGATGCCTGCCTTGGACCTTCACCCTTAGCGGCAAGTCCTGCTTTTCTGGGGAAGGGGCAAGTACCCCAATCCCTTCTCTCCTCATCTCTACCCTTTCTCTGCTTTTCTGGGGGAGAGGCAAGTACCCCTCAACCCCTTCTCCTTCACCCTTAGCGACAAGTCCTGCTTTTCTGGGGAAAGGGCAAGTACCCCAACCCCTTCTCTCCTGGTCTCTACCCCTTCTCTGCTGTTCCGGGGAAAGGGCAAGTACCCCAACCCCTTCTCTCCTTGTCTCTACCCCTTCTCTGCTTTTCCGGGGAAAGGACAAGTACCCCAACCCCTTCTCTCCATGTCTCTACCCCTTCTCTGCTTTTCTGGGGAAGGGGCAGGTACCCCAACCCCTTCTCTCCTTGTCTCTACCCCTTCTCTGCTTTTCTGGGGGAGGGGCAAGTACCCCTCAACCCCTTCTCCTTCACCCTTAGCAGCAAGTCCCACTTTTCTAACGGGCAAGAACCCCCAATCCCTTATTTCCGAGCCCCAACCTCTTATCTCTGTGCCCCAATCCCTTATTTCCGCACCCCGACCTCTTATCTCTGTGCCCCAATCCCTTATTTCTGCACCCTGACCTCTTATCTCTGTGCCCCAATCCCTTATTTTGATGCCCCAACCCTTTCTTTGCTTTTCTGGAGGGCAAGAATACCCCACCCCTTCTCCGTGTCTCTACTCTTTTCTCTAGGCTTGCATCCTTCACTATGGGCAAGCTTCCACTTTCCATTCCTCCTTCTTCTCCCTTAGCCTGTATTCTTAAGAACTTAAAACCTCTTCAACTCTCACCTGACCTAAAATCTAAGTGTCTCATTTTCTTCTGCAATGCCGCTTGACCCCAATACAAACTCGACAGTAGTTCCAAATAGCCGGAAAATGGCACTTTCCATTTTTCCATCCTACAAGATCTAAATAATTCTTGTTGTAAAATGGGCAAATGGTCTGAGGTGCCTGACGTCCAGGCATTCTTTTACACATCAGTCCCTTCCTAGTCTCTGTGCCCAGTGCAACTCATTCCAAATCTTCCTTCTTTCCCTCCCGCCTGTCCCCTCAGTCCCAACCCCAAGTGTCCCTGAGTCTTTCTAATCTTCCTTTTCTACAGACCTATCTGACCTCTCCCCTCCTCACCAGGCCAAGATAGGTCCCAATTCTTTTCCAGCTTCCACTCCTCCACCCTATAATCCTTTTATCACCTCCCCTCCTCACACCCGTTCTGGCTTACAGTTTCATTCCATGACTAGCCTTTCCCCACCTGCCCAGCAATTTACTCTTAAAAAGGTGGCTAGAGCTAAAGGCACAGGCAAGGTTAATGCTCCTTTTTCTTTATCCCAAATCAGATAGCGTTTAGGCTCTTTTTCATCAAATATAAAAATCCAGCCCAGTTCATGGCTCATTTGGCAGCAACCCTGAGACGCTTTACAGCCCTAGACCCTAAAAGGTCAAAAGGCCATCTTATTCTCAATATACATTTTATTACCCAATCTGCTCCTGACATTAAATAAAACTCCAAAAATTGGAATCTGGCCCTCAAACCCCACAACAGGACTTAATTAACCTCACCTTCAAGGTGTACAATAATAGAAAAAAGTTGCAATTCCTTGCCTCCACTGTGAGACAAACCCCAGCCACACCTCCAGCACACAAGAACTTCCAAACGCCTGAACCGCAGTGGCCAGATGTTCCCCCAGCACCTCATCCCCCAGGAGCTTGCTACAAGTGCCAGAAATCTGACCACCAGGCCAAGGAATGCCTGCAGCCCAGGATTCCTCCTAAGCCATGTCCCATCTGTGCGGGACCCCACTGGAAATCGGACTGTTCAACTCACCTGGCAGCCACTCCCAGAGCCCCTGGAACTCTGGCCCAAGGCTCTCTGATTGACTCCTTCTTGGCTTACTGGCTGAAGAATGACGCTGCCTGATCGCCTCAGAAGCCCCGTAGACCATCACGGACGCCGAGCTTTAGGTAACTCTCACAGTGGAGGGTAAGTCCGTCCCCTTCTTAATCAATACGGAGGCTACCCACTCCACATAACCTTCTTTTCAAGGGCCTGTTTCCCTTGCCTCCATAACTGTTGTGGGTATTGACGGCCAGGCTTCTAAACCTCTTAAAACTCCCCAACTCTGGTGCCAACTTGGACAACACTCTTTTATGCACTCTTTTTTAGTTATCCCCACCTGCCCAGTTCCCTTATTAGGCCGAGATATTTTAACCAAATTATCTGCTTCCCTGACTATTCCTGGACTACAGCCACATCTCATTGCTGCTCTTCTCCCCAACCCAAAGCCTCCTTCGTGTCTTCCTCTCATATCCCCCCACCTTAACCCACAAGTATAGGACATCTCTACTCCTTCCCTGGCAACCGATCACATGCCCATTACCATCCCATTAAAACCTAATCACCCTTACCCCGCTCAACGCCAATATCCCATCCCACAGTATGCTTTGAAAGGATTAAAGCCTGTTATCACTCGCCTGCTACAGCATGGCCTTTTAAAGCCTATAAACTCTCCATGCAATTCCCCCATTTTACCTGTCCTAAAAACCAGGTAGGCCTTACAAGTTAGTTCAGGATCTATGCCTTATCAACCAAATTGTTTTGCCTATCCACCCCATGGTGCCAAACCCATATACTCTCCTATCCTCAATACCTCCCTCCACAATCCATTATTCTGTTCTGGATCTCAAACATGCTTTCTTTACTATTCCTTTGCACCCTTCATCCCAGCCTCTCTTCGCTTTCACTTGGACTGACCCTGACGCCCATTAGGCTCAGCAAATTACCTGGGCTGTACTGCTGCAAGACTTCACAGACAGACCCCATTACTTCAGTCAAGCCCAAATTTCATCCTCATCTGTTACCTATCTCGGCATAATTCTCGTAAAAACACACGTGCTCTCCCTGATGATCATGTCCGATTAAGCTTCCAAACCTCAATCCCTTACAGAACAACAACTCCTTTCCTTCCTAGGCATGGTTAGTGCAGTCAGAATTCTTACACGAGAGCCAGGACCACACCATGTAGCCTTTCTGTCCAAACAACTTGACCTTACTGTTTTAGCCTAGCCCTCATGTCTGCGTACAGCGGCTGCCACTGCTTTAATACTTTTAGAGGACCTCAAAACGACAAACTATGCTCAACTCACTCTCTACATTTCTCATAACTTCCAAAATCTATTTTCATCCTCATACCTGACGCGTACACTTTCTGTTCCCTGGCTCCTTCAGCTGTACTCACTCTTCGTTAAGTCCCACATTTACCATTGTTCCTGGCTGGGACTTCAATCCAGCCTCCCACATTATTCCAGATACCACACCTGACCCTCATGACTGCCTCTCTCTGATCCACCTTATGTTCATCCCATTTCCCCACATTTCCTTCTTCCTTGTTTCTCACCCTGATCACGCTTGATTTATTGATGGCAGTTCCACCAGGCCTAATCGCCACACACCAGCAAAGGCAGGCTATGCTATAGTACAAGCCACTAGCCTGCCTCTTAGAACCTCTCATTTCCTTTCCATTGTGGAAATCTATCCTCAAGGAAATAACTTCTCAGTGTTCCATCTGCTATTCTACTACTCCTCAAGGATTATTCAGGCCCCCTCCCTTCCCTACACATCAAGCTCGAGGATTTGCCCCCACCCAGGACTGGCAAATTAGCTTTACTCAACATGCCCTGAGTCACAAAAGCTAAAATACCTCTTAGTCTAAGTAGACACTTTCACTAGATAGGTAGAGGCCTTTCCTACAGGGTCTGAGAAGGCCACCGCAGTCATTTCTTCCCTTCTGTCAGACATAATTCCTCAGTTTAGCCTTCCCAAATCTATACAGTCTGATAACAGACCAGCCTTTATTAGTCAAATCAGCCAAGCATTTTTTCAGGCTCTTAGTATTCAGTGACAGACTAATGGTCTATTAAAAACACACTTCACCAAGCTCAGCCACCAACTTAAAAAGGACTGGACAATACTTTTACCACTTTCCCTCCTCAGAAGTCAGACCTGTCCTCAGAATGCTACAAGGTACAGCCCACTTAAGCTCCTGTATAGACGCTCCTTTTTATTAGGCCCCAGTCTCATTCGACACCAGACCAACTTAGACTGTGCCCCAAAAAAACTTGTCATCCCTACTATCTTTTGTCTAGTCATACTCCTATTCACCGTTCTCAACTACTCATACATGCCCTGCTCTTGTTTACACTGCCGGTTTACACTGTTTCTCCAAGACATCACAGCTGATATCTCCTCGTGCTATCCCCAAACTGCTACTCTAAACTCTTGAAGTAAATAAATAATCTTTGCTGGCAGGACTATGCTGAATCTCCTTAGGCACTCTCTAATCAGATGTCCTAGGTCCTCCCAATTCTTAGTCCTTTTATACCTGTTTTTCTCCTTCTCTTATTCCATTTAGTTTGTCAATTCATCCAAAACCATATCCAGGCCATCACCAATCATTCTATACGACAAATGTTTCTTCTTATATCCCCCACAATATCACCCCTTACCACAAGACCTCCCTTCAGCTTAATCTCTCCCACTCTAGGTTCCCACACCACCCCTGATCCCGCTTGAAGCAGCCCTGAGAAACATCATCCTTTCTCTCTCCATACCACCCCCCAAAACTTTTCGCCGCCCCAACACTTCAACACTATTTTGTTTTATTTTTCTTATTAATATAAGAAGGCAGGAATGTCAGGCCTCTGAGCCCAAGCCAAGCCATCGCATCCCCTGTGACTTGCACATATATGCCCAGATGGCCTGAAGTAACTGAAGAATCACAAAAGAAGTGAAAAGGCCCTGCCCTGCCTTAACTGATGACATTCCACCATTGTGATTTGTTCCTGACCCACCTTAACTGAGTGATTAACCCTGTGAATTTCCTTCTCCTGGCTCAGAAGCTTCCCCACTGAGCACCTTGTGACCTCCGCCCCTGCCCACCAGAGAACAACCCCCTTTGACTGTAATTTTCCATTACCTTCCCAAATCCTATAAAACGGCCCACCCCTATCTCCCTTCGCTGATTCTCTTTTCGCACTCAGCCCACCTGCACCCAGGTGAAATAAACAGCCATGCTGCTCACACAAAGCCTGTTTGGTGGTCTCTTCACACGGACGCACATGAAAATATGCATGTCACAAAATAACATATGTACGTGAGAAATTTGTATGATTACTAGTATCAATTAAAAAACAATAATAGTACCAAAATTCAAAGAGTTGTTGTGAAGGATTAAATTAAATGAGATTAAAATAATAAATATAATTAGTGATTTAAATTAAATGATGTCATTTATATAATATTCCATACATACAGTTCCCAATGTTGGTGGGTTTCTTTCTTTTTTATCTTCGTGGCCTCAAAAGTACCTATTACAGACCTTATGTTAAACACACATGCACAACCATGATCCTGGCAATATTTTTTTTCTTTCAAAACAGTAAGAAAATCCATAATTCATAAGTGGGTGTCAGGATTGAAATTCAGATTTGTTATTCATTTATTGATTGGATATTTGCTCAGTAATTAATATGTGCAAGGTACTCTGGGAGATACAAAAATTGATAAGATGTGGTCTACTTATGGACTCACTGTGGTACCTCTTGCTGCACAACTCTCTTACTTCTGGGCTGTCAGAAAGGCTGATGATGCAGCAGATGCTGGCAGGAGTTGTCCTGCTGGTTGAGCAGAGGGAAGGCTCTGAATAGCACCAGAGCTGGCCACTCTCACCTTTGTGTTCCTGGGCATTTTGTAAATGTGTCTATTTTTTTAATCAGCTGTGGACTCAGAGAAGAGCACAATGCCTGACCCTCAGCAGATCTTTTATAATTGGCTACTTAATGAATTAAATATGGGATTTAATGTCATTTGGCTTTGTGTCCCCACCCAAATCTCATCTTGTAGCTCCCATAATTCCCACATGTTGTGGGAGGAACCCAGTGGGAGGTGATTGAATCATGAGGGCAGGTCTTTCCTGTGCTGTTCTCATGATAATGAATGGGTCTCATGAAATCTGATGGTTTTAAAAATGGGAGTTTCTCTGCACAAGCTCTCTCTTTGCCTGCTGCCTTCCACATAAGATGTGACTTGCTCCTCCTTGCCTTCTGCCATGATTGTGAGGCCTCCTCAGCCATGTGGAACTATAAGTCCAATAAACTTCTTTCTTTTTTAAATTGCCCAGTCTCATGTATGTTTTCATCAGCATTGTGAAAACAGATTAATATAGTAAATTGGTACAAGGAGTGGGGCATTGCTGAAAAGATACCCCCAAATATGGAAGCAACTTTGGAACTGGGTAACAGGCAGAGGTTGGAACAGTTTGGAGGGCTCAGAAGAAGATAGGAAAATGTGGGAAAGTTTAGAACTTCCTAGAGACTTGTTGAATGGGTTTGACCAAAAGCCTGATAGCGATATGGACAGTAAGGTCCAGGTTGAGGTGGTCTCAGATGGAGATGAGGAACTTGTTGGGAAGTGGAGCAAAGGTGACTCTTGTTATATTTTAGCGAAGAGACTGTCAGCATTTTGCTCCTGCTCTAGAAATTTGTGGAACTTTGAACTTGAGAGAGATGATTCAGGGTATCTGATGGAAGAAATTTCTAAGCACCAAAGCATTCAAGAGGTGACTTGGGTGCTGTTAAGGGTATTCAGTTTTATAAGGGAAGAAGAGGATAAAAGTTTGGAAAATGTGCAGCCTGACAATGTGATAGAGAAGAAAAACCCATTTTGTAAGGAGAAATTCAAGCTGGTTGCAGAAATTTGCATAAGTAATGAGTCAAATGTTAATCCCCCAGACAATGAGGAAAATGTCTCCAGGACACGTCAGAGGTCATCACGCAGCCCCTGCCATCACAGGCCTGGAGGCATAGGGGAAAATGGTTTCATGGTCTGGGACCAGGGTCTCCGTGCTGTGTGCAGCCTAGGGACTTGGTGCCCTGTGTTCCAGCTGCCCCAGCCACAGCTGAAAGGGGCCAACATAAAGCTCAGGCAGTGGCTTCAGAGGGTGCAAGCCCCAAGCCTTGGCAGCTTCCATGTGGTGTTGAGCCTGCAAGTGCACAGAAGTCAAGAATTGGGGTTTGGGAACCTGTGCCTAGATTTCAAAAGAGCAGAAGTTTGCTGCAGGGGCAGGGTGCTCATGGGGAACCTCTGCTAGGGCAGTGCAGAAGGGAAATGTGGGGCTGGAGCCCCCACACAGAGTCCCTACTGGGGCACACCTAGTAGAGCTATGAGAAGAAGGCCATCCTCCAGACCCCAGAATGGTAGATCCACCAACACTTTGCACCATTCTCCTTAAAAAGCAGCAGACACTCATTGCCAGCCCATGAAAGCAGCAGGGAGAGAAGCTGTGCCCTCCAAAGCCACAGGGGTAGAGCTGCCCAAAACCATTGGAATCTACCTCTTGCATCAGTGTGACCTGGGTAGGAGACATGGAGTCAAAGGAGATCATTTTGGAGCTCTAAGATTTGACTGCCCCACTGGATTTTGGACTTGCGTGGTGCCTATAGCCAATTTCTCCCATTTGGAATGGCTGTATTTTTTTGCCAATTTCTCCCATTTGGAATGGCTGTATTTACCCAATGCTTGTATCCCCATTGTATCTAGGAAGTAACTAAGTTGCTGTTGATTTTACAGGCTCATAGGCAGAAGAGACTTGCCTTGTCTCAGATAAGACTTTGCACTGTGGACTTTTGAGTTAATGCTGATATGAGTTGAGACTTTGGGGGACTGTTGGGAAGGCATGATTTGTTTTGAAATGTGAAGTATGAGATTTGGGAGAGTCCAGGGGTGGAATGATATGGTTTGGCTCTGTGTACCCACCCAAATCTCATCTTGTAGCTCTCATAATTCCCATGTGCTGTGGGAGGGACCCGGTTGGCGTTGATTGAATCATGGGGCCAGGTCTTTCCTGTGCTGTTCTCATGATAGTGAATGGGTCCCATGAGATCTGATGGTCTTAAAAATGGGAGTTTCTCTGCACAAGCTCTCTCTTTGTCCACTACCATCCATGTAAGATGTGACTTGCTCCTACTTGCCTTCCACCATGATTGTGAGGCTTCCCCAGCCATGTGGAACTGTAAGTCCAATAAATCTCTTTCTTTTGTAAATTGCGCAGTCTTGGGTATGTCTTTATCAGCAGTACAAAAATAGACTAATACAGGATTCTTCAAGAACCAAGGGGATTCTGATGGAATAGAGATTAATTTAATAGAAAGGTATGTCCATGTCTACATGAAGAGGGAAATGTAACAAATAAAACTGATGGTTTTGTGGTTGTGTTTGTCGGGGGCATAAAGAGTTCATATCAGACATTGCGTCTCACATTCCCACCCTGCCCCCTTTGGTATTGAGTACAAAACCAACTCTTATTGGAGGATACTGGTCTGGTTGGGAGATGAAGAGAATGAGGAGGAGGAAAGAAAGCTCTTCATCCCCTTAGGAGTTGTTTTTTAATGCTTAATGTAGCATTTCTTCCTCCCTTTGGCCGATTCTATTGGGAGCCTCTGGGGCCATGGGCGAGCTCTCAGCTTGTTATACAAAATGTGAGCCAGGATTACAGGTAGGAATGTAAAAATTTTCTAAAGGAGACTTTTGTACAACTCTTAGGGATTTTTTTTAATTCAATGTCTCTACTCACACTTTTGAGACAATAATTCTCCATCCTGGCTGCACAGTAGAAAAACCTGGAACACTTTCTGAAAGATATGGATACATAGGCTATATTTCTAAAGGCTGCAAATTGTCTGAGAGGTTGGACTCAGGTATCAGTTTTGTTTTTTTGCTACTTTGGTGCTCTAACATACAGTCCAGATTAAGAACCATGGCCTTAGAAGGACTCCTTCAAATTTCCACAGTTATTAACTAATTCATTGGTTATTATTGTTAGAGGATTTATCAAAATGTTGGGGGCTGAAAAGACTCCTATGATACTGGTTGGCTAGCTGTTTCCAACAATGAGAATTTCTTCTAGTAGAAGAAGCATAGTCACAAACCATTAGATCATGAGGGTCCTATCCTAACTGGTGACTCTCACCAACAAATTATGAATTGTGTCAAATACTGTGGATTTTTGTACCTTAAATGTCAGGAAAGAAAACAATTCTAGTGCCTTTGGCCAGGTGACACATAATTGGTGACACAATAAATACCTATTGACCTTTTTATTTAAAACCTTTGGAAGAAATTTTAATAACTCCCTGAGCGGTTACATGGTCAAATTGTGCAGTGGTATAGACAAAATATCATTTTCTAACTTCAATTTTGAATATAAGGGACAATGATATTTGCTAGGAAATAAATCTCCAATATTCAGGCTTTTTTCCCAATATGCTGACTGATGCTGTGATTTGTGGTTTCCAAAATGTGAAATAGTTCCCTCTCCTTCCTTTAACGTTAGCAATGGGTGCAAAGTTTTCTTAAGATTCAGGTGTGGTTCAGGACTCTTTCTAGACTACAGTTTAAGAAGAACCAGTTTGAAAATAATATTTTAAAAAATTTAAATATACAGAGATAGTGTTTCTTAAACTTTGCATAAACATTTTGAGATAAAATTAAAACCCATCACATATTTGTGTTGGTTTTAAGGAAGTAGAATATAGATAACATTTGTTTTTAAGTGAAACTGCTTTATATATTATGCATAATGCTCTGCAATGTCATTACTTTAACATAAACAAGAGGAAGAGTAAAATGACGTTTGTCATTCAATTTTACCTGCATATGCCAACAGAAATGGTAAACAAAAAGATGATAATCAGGGAAAACTAAATATTTCATGAGTACATTTTTCCTTCTAGCTTAGCCTTTATATTTCAGACAAATTTAGAATGGCTTAATAGGAAAAGGGAAGGTAGATAATATTTACAGTCTCTAGGATTTCAGGCCTCAGATCTACAGATTTAAACATAGGGATTACAAAAAGAAGAAATGAGGATCAACAGTCTTTCTGAAGGTAAAACAGGCTGAAGCTCTGCAACATTATAACCTCTTATAATGGGTAGGAAATATCTTGACACCATTACAGCAAGCTGATGGGAGGCGTTAAGTGTAAATAATGCCGTAAATTATATCCTCCTCATATCTTGGGAATGACCATGTCTTCAGGTCACTTGGTATTGCTAATGTGGGTCATTGGTCAGAGCTTCTTCATTACTCACATCTCTTTGGATCTCAGACCCTGCACCTCTGAGGCTCTCCGCTGCCAGGCATTACAGTCATTCTTTCACAAAGCGTATGCTTTGTACAGGAGAAATAGAAGGTATCTCATCAAGTTGTAAATTATACATATTTCTACAGGAGAAATAGATTGCATTTCAGCAAGAAAAATATCACCCTGAATGAGCAGAAACCACTCATTAATTATAAGCCCTCTCTCCTAGAAAAGTATTTTCATTTTATCACTAAGGTTCTACTATAACCTTGCAGGTGTAAAAATAATGTGCTCCCTACCCTATATTTTTATATTTTTTAACTAGTTATTTTAAACTTTGGGCAAAAATTAATTTGTATTGATTAAAAATTATTTTAAAAATTAAAAACTCAACTGATGCCTTCAATTATTGAAAAAAACACTTCTCTCCATGACCACTACTTATGGTAAATTAAATACGGTATTCCAATATGAGGGGATTAAGGTTATTTTAAGATACATCTGTTTACTAGTTACTTGGGGTGGACTTGATGTAAGTCTTCACAATCAGACTGGGTTTTGATAAATAGAAAGAACTGGTTACAAAAGTCTGTGATAAAAATCTCTGCCATGTGCTCATCTGTGTGGCTACATGGAAACAGATTATACATTGTAACAAAGAACTGAAAAAAGAAAAACAAATCAAAAGAATTTGTGCTATCAGTTACTCTGTTTTCTGGGTGCAGTCATCGTGGTGACAATACTGCAAATGGAAGGAGACTTAGAGGTTTGCATAATTTAGAGGTTAGTTAAGGTAAACCCTGGATTCTTTTGATCCTGTGTCTCTCATAGTCATCACTTGTTAACTGTGTGACCCTAGGCAAACTACTTAGTATATCTAAGCCCCAGTCTTTTTATATATAGATTGGGTCAAATAACTATGACAGAGGCAGTGAACTGTGTTCACTATTTATGGTGTTAGACATTAGGGCGACTATATTTCTTAGCCTCCCTTATCGTTAAGTTTCAGGAGATACATGACTGAGCTCCACCCAGGGAGTGTGGGCGGAAGTGAAGAGAAGCCATCCACTGCCGGTTCTGGTCTTTACAAGCATCCTGCACAAGCCTCCAGCTCATGCAATTGCCCTGTGTAGTGACTTAGGAACTGCAGAGTCCAGCTGGGGTTGCTACTGGCATGAAACAAGGTAGCTCAACCTGCATGTAACTTTATGTAAGCATGAAATAAACGTTATTTTATGAAGGCACTGAGATCCCCTCCCCTCCCCTCCCCTCCCATCCCCTTCCCTTCCCTTCCCTTTTGTCTTCCCTCTCTCCTAGCTTAGTCTATTCTGTTAATACAGCACTTCATACCTACTTCACTCAGCTCTGTGGATTAAACAACATCAAAGACATAATGCTAGAGACATAGGGACATGTAATAAGTCCTGAATGCATTTATTATTATTTTACATAATCGATTCATTATTTTAGAGATAAAAATGCTGAGGATTAAAGGAGTCAAGTGATTACCCACCACCAAACAGCTAACTTTTACTACAGCTAAGTATTTCTAACCTAGGTTTCTTTTATTACAGATTTTCCCCCTAAATCAGATGTACCACCGTAGTGAATGAAATGTTTAAACATGCTAATTCTGAGTGAGGTTAGTCTATAAAAAATAAGAACTGAGTTTATTTTTAAAATATAGCCAGTACATTGAGGGTTTACTGATACCCACACAATGTTGGTCTCAATTTTATAATTGTTGGGTGATTCTCAGTAGGAATTTAGCTGACTATTTTTACATTAACTTATGAATAGCTTCACATTTTTGAGGATAGAGTAATTTCTTCTCTAACTTTTTTTTTTATTTTGAAATTCTTTAGTAAATATTTTGGAAGTAATAATGACCTATTTTTTTAAATGTTACTTTCAGAATGGTGTATGTTATTAAATTGCAGAACCATAAGATAATTACTATAAATCTTTTTATTTCAAGTATTTTTCTAATATATCTATAAATTACCACAATTAAACTGTGATTCAAAGGTAGAATTGGGCTTTCTTGTGGTAGCCTTCCACGGCAAGTCAATGTGTGGTGGTAATTCTACTTGTGTAGTTAGACGAACTTCCCCAATTCCATAGAATCTTGAAGCCCCTACGGAGATAATTCATACTCACTTTCCAACTGGTGATTCTACAGTCAGCAGTATAACATTTCCATTATTTTGCTATTCAAACTGAGTGTGTTTATTTGTATCAAGAGCTTTCAGAATAGCATTTTTAGCATAGCTTTTCAGCATAGTATGGTGGTTAAGAGTGTGGGCTTTGCAATCCAATGGATGTACTTCACTAGCCTTGTGATCTTAGGCAAGTTTATATTTTTGAGCCTCAGTTTTCATATTTATAAAATAAGTCCTATCTCAAAGGATTTTACCAAGTCAATTGTCATCTAAAAATATATTGTTTGACAGTAAAAATAATAATTATTACTAAATAATTGATAAAATAATAATCTCAGAAACTAGCCTAAAAATGATATTATACATAGAAAAATCTTTTGGCATGAAATAATTTCTCATACTAATTACAGAATTCAGAAAACTATAATAATCAAAATGTCTAGAAATAGGGAAATGATTAAATACATTAAGATATATTCACATAATGAAGTTTATGGAGTATTTTTGTTAATGTCAGTAAGAAATACCTTCAATGCTTTACCTTTTAGCTGATGAATACTAAGCAAGTCACTTTAATGATTTACCCAAACCCCCTATGTGCCACATGGCAAAGCCCATGGCATGTCCCAATTGCGCTGGGTCTTTGGATAAGGGAGAGTGTTGCCCTTCATATAATTTGCATACCGCCTGCATCTCTGCCTTCTTTGTTTCAGCTGCTAATTTTATGCTCTGTTTTGGCTCTTGCCTGTGGATACTTTATTGCTCCTATGGTTGTTCCATGCATCTATCCACAGCCACCTAGCTAGCTATTCCTGGCTTGAGCTGCCCATGAGGTAGTGCTTACACAGCATTGACATCTTATGTCCTATGAGGTTCTCTTCCTTGCTGTCATTAAGAGCTCAGGTACTCAGGTACCCTCTGCTTCCGATTTCTGTTATTGACACCCCATGATACATTCTTAATGTTGAGCCACACAGCCTTCTTTGTTGCTGAGTGTGGTAGATTCTGATGGGTTTAATCCCTGCTCCAGGATCTAATGGGTTTAATTATTGCTTCTGTCCACCCATCACCCAAGCCTTGTTGCTGATTTTTGCCCAGATGTCATGCTTTCTTCTTCTCCCTCTCCCTCTCCTTCTGCTTCTTCTCTTTCTTTCCCTTCCCTTCCCTTCCCTTCCCTTCCCTTCCCTTCCTTTCCCTTTCCCTTTCCCTTTCCCCTTTCCCCTTTCCTCTTTCCGGTCTTATCCTGTAACTTCACTTAGGCTGCAGTGTAGTGGTGTGATCATGGCTCACTGCAGCCTCATACTCCTGGGACTCAATGGATCCTCCCATGTCAGCCTCCAGAGTAGCTGGGACTACAGGTGTGCTACCGTGCCTAGCTAATTTTTTTTTTTTTTTTTAGAAATGGGATCTCTCACTTATTTCTCATGATTCTTTTTTTCTCCTTCTTTCACACCATCTGTTGCCCCTCTCCATAATCTGATTTCCCCAGGACACTACTGCCTATTGGCTATGGTGCTATACATTTGAACCTCAGTTAGGAACCAGGTATGAATTATTTCCCAAAGCTTTCCTGGATTCTGTGAGAGAGGGAGATTTGTCTAACTCCATAAGTGGGTGATTCCTCAGATCTGATCAAGTGGAGACTCCTGCTGTAGGTCACAATGCTAAATGAAAAAAAAAGAGCAGAAAACCCAATTATCGGGTTGGTGCCAAGGTAATTGGGTTTTACCATTAAAAGTAATAGCAAAAACTGCAAACTGCAATTACCTTTGCATCAATCTAATATAAATGAAAGCTGATTCTAACTCTGTTAAAATGAGACTTATATGAAAGTCACTGGAAGGAAAAATAAAATCTACAATGTCAATGTTTGGATCATGTGACTATAGGTTTTTTCTTTAATTCCCAGTTGTCTACAATGCATTTTATTACTTTTGTAATAGAATAATGACTAAATTTAAGGAATCATTGCATGGAAGTAATCCAGAATCTAACAACACACTTATTTAAAGCAAGCTTTCACTTTAATTTTCTTTTGTGATTTTCCTTGCTATGAAGAAATAGTAGTCTCTATGGGTGATTCTAGAAGTGCCTGTTCCCACTACAAATGATTAGATATACCTTTGCTTTGACTTCTTCAGGTCTTTGTTTTCACGTCTTTATCTATAGTGTTATCTATGTCTGTGGAAATATCCCCCCACTTTCTCTCTTTCTCTCTGTCTCTCTGCACTCCCCCGCCTCCACCTTTCTTTCTCTCCATAATCACATCTGTATCTAGTATGCTATTGCTCTGACCACGTCCCCTTGGTGCCTACCTTCCTCACACAAACCAACATTAAAATGTCCAACCTCCAGCATCTGCAACTCTTTGCCTGAGGGCTTTCTCTGGAGACAGGAGCCTGTACTTGGGACACACAGGGAGTAACTAGAAATTGACATGTACCTCCCTCCCCAGCAACGTTCAGCCATGATTGACAGGAATTGCTCCAATTGCTACCCTCAATTCTCTTGCCCCACGGGGAGTGAGGACACTTGTGAGGCATGTTCTCCACTGTCTCCCAGAGTTCCCAGCAGGACTGAACTCCTGTTTCCCACAGCGGCAACCCTGCATGATAATGTCCCTTTATTGCCTGCATATTGTTTGCTGCCTCTTGCCCGCTCTTCTACCAGAGCTTCCAGGGATCGCTTCCCCAGTACACAACTTGTGGGCAAGTGCTCCTCTCAGGGTCTCTTTCTGGAGAAATTCAACTTAAGAAAAGGTTCATATTCATATCCAATTATTGCAATTCATATAAAAATGGCTTCAGGGTTATAGCTGGCTCTGAGCTAAGTGTGAGCTCAAAATGTGGCAAGACTGCAAACAAAGTAACGTAAATTTAGGCAGAAATAGGAGAATAATGATTAAAGAGAGTCAAAGTATATGTGTGGTATTGTGTCCAGTTCTGGATACAATATGTTCTTAAAGCATATTCAAAAATTGGGATATGATCATGGCCTGATTAGGGGGTTAGGAAGACAATAACAAAGGTAATAATGGAAAGAAGCGATTTGTCTTGGAGCATAAACTGCTAAAGAATGACATAATCACTGTATTCAAGTAGCTGAAGGGAAGTCACGTGCACAGTGGACTAAATTTGTTCAGTGTTTTTCTAAAAGGCAGAACTCAGGAAAAATTAGAGAAAAGCAATATTCAACTCAGGAAAGGAAAGAATTTTCTAACAAGTAAAGCTTTCCCTTATCAAATATAAGATTCTAGTCTCCAGAAATACTTAGGCAGAGGTGAAAAAAAGTCACCTAAATCTATCCTGACCCTTAAAATAAACTCTGGTTACATATGTAATCCTCTGAAAAGCTCATTTTTGTCACCAGCATTTTATCTGCAGAATTTCATAGCCTACCACCCTGTTGCCTGCCTTGATGATTTTTCCTTGTAGATTCCCTGGTTCCTGTCATGCCTCCATTCTGGATTTGGGCCTGAGTTCTGTTCTCTGACCAGCATTCTGGTTTAGCAATGTGGTTTTGGACTTCTTCTCCCAGTGTCTAAGGCTCTCTGCCTTCTCCTTTGGCACAGCAACTGCAGGTAGTTGGCCCTGTACCCAGCCCAACCCATCAGTGGTGGCTTCTCGCTGTCTAGGAAGAGGAACAGAACACAGGAGAATGGAATCCTAAACAGGGTGAAAGTTTATTTTAAGTGACTTCTAAGTTTACTTCCAACTCTAAGCCTCTGTCACTATTTTCCTTTTTGATTTTTGTGATCTTCATTCTTAAGCTTTGTTTCTCTTGTTTATTAACTAATAAGTCTTTCTTCCCAAGCTGCCCTGGGAAAATCAAGCACAAAATCAAGGTTTCTGGTGTTATTAGTTCAAGTCCCTACCTAAGCTCTTCCTCTCCCTCATATTTCTCCAACTCTTGGTAACTGGTTTTGTTTGCCTGTGTCTGAAGAGACATATTTCTTTAAGTAAGGAAACCTGCCCCTGCTTTTCCCATGGGTGATTTATGTTGCCCTCACTTAAAATGTCCCACTTCAGTAGTTTATGTCTTACCTGCAGTTCTTCTTCAGAGGACGCTGTCTTCCATACCCAGCACTGATCTCTGGCTGGGCTCAATGGACTCTGCAGGAAAGGGGGACCTGCTGCCCATGGGCCAGCTCTTTCTGATGCCAAAAGGAGAGCTTGCTTTTCATGATGAAAGCATGTGTTGTTCCAGCTGGCAGAGTTAGAATTAGTAGGTGGAAATATAGAGCTCTGGACCCCATAAGGATCTTGGAATAAATCTTCAGGGAATTGAGCTGGGGAAACTATATGGTATTATAACATTCATTTTCTATAATACTTTCTCAACAAATCTCTATTGAATATGTGCTTTGCCCTGAACTCAGAAATCAGAAAGAAAAATTGATCCCAAGCGAAAAGGAACTACGTCCATCATTCTTCCCTGGGCTCTGGAGAGGAACATGAATTCACAGGCTCTATATTGGATGAAAATGACGATTGAAGCCCTGCTGGGCTACTTACTAGCTGAGAAATTTGAGGTGGGTTAGTTCAGTTATCTAAAGTTTCTATATGACAGCAGTAATGGAAAGATTAAATAAGAATGAATTCAAATAACCTAGCACACAGTGGCTGGCACACAGCAGGTTATAAAAGTGTTGTTTCCCTTCTCTTTGATTCCCTCACAGGGCATTCTCTGTAGAAATCACTGGGCAGTTACTCATACATCATTTACAGCATCTGGACCCTAATCCTTACCTCTCCAAATGCCTTCCTTATGGTCCAAGTAAAGTTTCTGGACTCTCTCCAGATGGAGTCCTTTGTGACCTATCATGACATTTGGATATGTCTGTGGACTACGTATCTTAAACATTTTTCTTTTTCTTCTCTATCACTTTTCTTCATTTTTTTCTTTCCTGTTTTTGTTTCTCATTCTCTCTCCTATAACTTTTCCTCTTGAGACACAAAGCTCTCATTTCATGATTTATTATTGCATCTTTTAGGCACACTGAAGAAACCTCTGGTGTCCCAGCCCCTGTGTGTGGTTCTTTAACATTAGTCTTCCTGTATGGAGCTTGCTCCTGCCATCAAAATGCATGACAATCTCATCGTGTGGTCCTTGTACCATCATATTCTCTTTTCAAGTGATACTTGGGAAATGCCCTACTTTGCAGGAATCTCATAGCAGAAAATGTGAATAACAGAGACTCCTTTGTTTGGGGAACCAATGAGGTGTCAGTTGAAATGTAGAGGAATAGAACTTAGGGTGAGCAGAAGAGTAGCAGTAAGGTTGGAAACGAGGCCCCCCTAAAGTGTGAACCATGGAAAGAAAAGCCTTGTAGGGCATGAATGAAACAAAGCTGGGAACATTGGATGCCTTTGCCCCCAGAGCTCCACTAGAACGCCAGGAGTTTGTTCAGCCTCACACCCTCATCAAAAAGACGAATGACAATATCTGCCAAGGGCACTGCAAATTTTAATTTTGGAGTTCATTTAAAACTGTTACAACATGAGGTACCACTTCTTCATGGTCAAATTGTACTTCTCACCTACTTGATCTGTAGATCTTGTGTGGCATTCTCCAGCTTTCACCCAGAAGACATGTTCTGAGTCAAATCAAAACCTTGGAATTATTTCTTCCACTGGTCTATTTCTATTATTATAACTCTCACAGACTATAGAGAAAGAACATACACATTTAATAAATAGAAAATATTTATTATACAGCATTGTCAAGATTATTTGACAAAAGGCAGTAACAAGCCGAAGGAAAACACATTTACAAGAAGCTGAACAACTTGTATCAGAACATACATCAAGGTGAAGAGTTTCGGCCCTCTTGGTATAGGGTATGTATGTGTACATCTCCAATTTTGAACAATGATGACATAAGGACTAATACTCTATTTATTCAGGAGACCCCATAATCAGGATAATAGTAGGCATTCAGAGTAATAAAGTGATCACAGTTGAATGAACGTGTTCACCAAAAGTCTTAGACCAACCTGATATCATCTTACACTTGAATATAAGTTGTTTCCTTATCTATCCTAATTTTTTAAAAATCTGAATGCACAAGCCCTGTGATATTAGGGATGTATATTAGTGGCATTAAGAGTAAAAAATAAGCATGATTCACTAATAAAGAGATCATATGCTTTCCCTCATGAATTTGTCAATTACTAAAAACCCATCTATTAATCACTGGAGCCATTGATTTTCCGCTCTCTGCTTTCTTACAATGAAAACATGGAACCAAAGTCCACATCTCAGTCATGAGATCTTTTCAATAAAGGTGTTTTAAAATAATTTTTAAAGGAAATGCAGTTCATTCTTGGTGTGGAACTGACTAAACTTGGCAATAGAATATGATGAAATATAAGTAATACAAGCCTCCAACATTGGAATGGATGTTAAATTCTGAACAAATGATGCAATGGATATTTAAAGATTCTAAGATGATTTTTGGCTGAGAAATCAGCAGCTTCAATATGAAGGAAGCATATTAAAATATGACTGAACATAAGGCATAAACAAAGATATTTAAGGGGGGTATAATTCATTCCACAAATAATAGAAGAAATCAAAACAGCAAGAAAAATCCTTTTATTGGTGGTAAAAAGGGATTGTAAAGATGGAGTAAGTGGATTACATGTCCATGGATATTACACAACAGCAAATAGCAGAAATAAAAAGTTATGACAGCCAAGACACAGGAATAAAAGTCCATGAACATAAAAATTAAAAGAAGGCAAAATGTGATTGATAAAGATTTTACAAATTATTAGCTGAGTTAGATGTTACTGTATGTTAGACACTCAAGTAGCTGTGGAAAATCTTTAAAAAAATGATATAACCTGGAATAATCTAAATGCTTTGTTCAATCTTATGTGTTAATAATGTGTGCAAGCTTATAAAATGTACCTTTTATTTTCACTCTCAGTTTTTGTGCACTTTTAATATAACAAATTTTCAAACCACTTCATTAATAACATATCTCCACATCAGAAAATATCTGAAAAATAAGTTCCATCTTAGAAGAAAAATGTCCATCCGAGCTGCATATGAAAACCTTGAGCCATAGTATTCAAACCGTCAAAGAGCTTCTGTAGATATTGATGACAATGATGTACAAAACATTATTGGAACATAAAAAATATATATAGTATATTCAAAAGACAATTTCTAATTGCAGTTAGATTGACTACTAGGTTGACATTGACCAGTCAATTTGACATTACATTGCACAAATTTTACGATCGCACATATACAAGGACACAGGAACACATTCACTCGCTAGTTACAAGGACTTCAGTGACAATAGGATAGAATTATTTGTCATTTAAACCAGTAATAGTTGCTATGAGTACACCATTAGATTCAAAGATGGATTTGTTTCTCTAATACGTAGGAGAAATAATGGCACCAAATTGTACATATACGCATCTTAGAAGTTCAACTTGTAGGTATTATTTGCTACAGTAAGTGGAAGGTAACAATTTTGTCACATGGTTTGTTCTTTAACTGAAGGTCAATGGAAAGCCCGCTTGGCACAAACACAAGTCAATCTACAAAAGGGTTTCTGCCACTCTCGTAACAATCTCTTGTTCCGGCCTTTTCCCCAAATCGCCAATAAGTGAATATGGAACATGAGAAGCTGATCATGTGTTTTTTTTTCAAAGTCTCATGCTGATGGATTGTTCTATTTCTAGCTCCTTCCTCCTGTAGCACGCCTGATGAAGCACTTTTTGGTGATAATTTTGCTCTTATTCCTGTTTTCCTAAATAAAGGGAATCTGCAGAGCAGCAGGGGGTCCATGCACCTTTCTTCAAGTGCAATCTCAAAGCTGGCACTGGATGGGTTGCAGTGGATGAAGAGAGACCCCTGTGCCGCTCCATTCCTGAGTCTCCTGAAGATGAGGAGTCTGTCAGCCCAGCGGGGAGAAGGGCTTCTGAGCAAGGAGCTGCTGTCCCATCATCCCATCATCCGTTTGGGATGGGTCTGGCCTGGGCCCTTCCCTTCCCCGCACCTGCTCTGTCTGGCTCCACCAGCTCACTCCGAATGCCATCAGGTGAACTCATGATCCGACTGGCATGTCCACGTGGGCTGTTCCTTGGCAAGCATGGCCCAGTGTGTGTGGGCATATATATATCTATGCACAATTGTGCAAAAGAGGACATTATGTTTGTGATGTCACTATTTGATTTGTGATAAAAGTTACATACCATATGGAATTGTGCTTTGTCAGAATTCCCTTTCTTCCCAGAGAAGGCTTCGAGTAATTCAAGAATCCGAATCCTGGCCTGGAACATTTTTTGCTTGGTGTCCTTCCCTCTCTTCCTACTTAAGGCAGCAGCAGCAGTAGCGGCAGCAGCAGCAGCGGTCTCCTGTCCTCCCGACGAGGCCCCCCACTCCCAGGCTTTTCCTCCCAGCTGTTTGCACATCTCTGGAGGTGTGGGAGATCTCTGGCTTGTCTTGCTTTTCTATGTGGACCCTTCCCCCTTACAGGGTGGAAGAGCTTTGCTTGTAGTCCCGCAGAATGACAGAGGCGTAGGATACGTTGGGAGGGGTGCAGAGCACCGACTCGGACACGGGGGAGCTGGGCACCGAGCTGCCCGAGGCCACCGAGTCGCGGAAAGGCGACGGAGGCGTCAGCGCAGGCGAATCATCCGGGGTCAGTTTGCTGGCCGCCTGCAGGTCCTCCTCCTCCTCTTCCAGTTCGTCTTCTTCCGTGTTCCCTTCCCGCTCGTGCTCATACACGTACTCCTGGAGGAGCTTAAACCTCTCGCTGTCGTCGTCGTCGTCCGCGGGCGGGGAGACCAGCTCCTCCCCAAAGGTGCTCAGCTGCAGCGGCAGCATCTGCAGGTGCTGCGGAGGTGGCGGGGGCGGGTACAGGGACCGCAGCCCGTTCCCGGGACCACCGGGGCCTGCCAGCACCGCGTGAAAATCCGGGATCGCGGTACTGAAGTTGCTGACCACTCCCTGGAGCTGGTCCATCAGCGATTTCTGCTGTGGAGGGGGTTGCTGCTGCTGCTGGAGAGGAGGGGGCAAGCCCTTGGGGAGGGCTGGTTCGGCCAGGAAGAGGGGGGTCTCCTCTGCGGTCAGGTGGGACGGCAGAGGCGGAGTGGTCGCCGCGCTTGGCACGCGCCTGTGCACCACCATGGAAGGGCTACCAGGCGGGCTAAAGCGAATCGGCTGGGCATCCTCCTCCTCCTCTACGTTGTAAAGGGTCTTGGTGCTGGTATCTGAAAAGGTCAGGCTCTTGCCAGAGCCTTGGTAACTTTTAGTGAGGGGCTTGATGACGGCTGTTTGGTTGCAGGCCGTCTCATTGGTCTTCACGTGCACAGAGAGGCGGTGCCACATATGCTGTCCCTTGGGCACCTGTCCTCCACCTGGTTCAGACCATGACACAGACTTGCCATTAGAACTATGAATAAAATAGAGATGGATTTATTTGCAGATAGATCATGCACACAGGATAAAATACATAGAAAACATATGCAAACCTAGCTCAGTGTGATTTAACTGCTGTCTCTGCTGTAGGCCTTTGCTCCAGCACCCCATACCTCCTCTTACAAAAAGAACACCAAAAGCTGAAGGAAATATTGACCCTGAGAAAAGTTGTTGAGGAGAAAAGCCAGTCTGTTGTAGAAATAGCTATTTTCATTTAGGTCTAAGATTTCACAAACCTCTCTTTTTTCTCCGTTGCACTCTCTCCCTCTCCCTCTGTCTCTCTCTGACACACACACACACACACACACACACACACACACTTTTGAAAAACTCCCAACTGATGGAGGAAAACTTTAAAAAAAAAATCTTAGTTACACATGGACAACCAAAATAATGGCTATTGTCCTTGGGACAAATTAGGACCCACATACAAAGCTACTCTCGTTGTGTTGTGGGATTATAAAATAGATCCTCTCAGTTGCCCATTCTCATATGCAAGTATTTCCCATGACCAGGGTGGCGTGATCACACAGGGTACCTATAAGGAACATAAAAAAGCAGATGACAGAAAAACTCAGACTCATGGTCAATTTATGAGCTTCATAGCTTTTGATTTTTTTAAAACATTTCAATGCATTATTTCTCACACATACAGTGGATCACAATTCACACAAAGGCCCTGACTCACAGAAGCTGGTTTGGGATTTTCACTCTAGGAACATTGAAATAGCTGTATTTGAAAAGCAATAGAATGAGGAAGCCAGGAAAAATACAAATGCCCACATCCTGCTTTAGGATAGTTTGATGCAAATAAGAGAAAATTATGATTGAGACAAAGCAGCAGTTACTGAGACGAAAACCTCTACTCATTGAGCCTTGGTGAAGAAGAGTCTTAGGGTGCCAGGAGCATCCCAGCCTTATCAACTCCCATCTTCATGGCACCCACAGAAAAGCAGCCATATGGAATTTCTCCCTGAATAAGAAAATAAGAAGATGTACTGTGGCCTACACCCCAAATTCTGTTCTGTCTATTGTAATAACTCTGATCTCACTTCTGGACTCAGCTTCTTTTCTGTATAACTTTAAGCAGATGTTGGTACCTTACCATAGCCTTCTACTAATAACAACGGTGGAATCCTTAAATCAGGAAATAATTGTTTCTTTTCTTTTTTTAGAAGTTTGCTTTTTCTCTGTACTCAGTAAAATGACAGAGAAAGTAGCATAATAGTAACACATTTATGACATTAAAAGGAATATAAAAATGGACATTTTTTTCTTTAAGTGGAGGTGTGAAATAGACTAATCCATATTCTAGTTTTTGTTTGGAAAAAATGTAGGAAATGATCAGTAGTTTAAATAATGGTTTATTTCATCATCTTGAGAATACAAGAACGAATACTTCAAAAATTATATGTGAGCATCATTTATGATGAAGGTAATATTTTGACATTTCATATTTTATAATCTTGAAAAGTAAAGTGAGCCAGATAAGTACAGATGAGTGTAAATGTCTGATATTGATTATAGAAAATTCTGGATATAAAGGCTCTAAAATAGATAAAACAGTTAAAGTTTTGACCTGATTATTTGAGAAATAGGTAGTTCCTCCATATATCTGATACCCTACACTGCATTTTTAATTGTCTAAGACAAAGCTCATCTCTGTTATGTCAAAGTTAATATTTCTTTCAAATATATGCCTTACACATTATCTGAGACTGTGGAAGTGCTTGTAAAGTTTTTAAAAATTGTCTTATTGACTTCCACACTATCTTGTTGGAATAGCTGACTCTTTTCTGAGGTAAACAAACTAAAGAACAGGTCAGTGGTGTCCCTGGCAAGAACAGGTAGTCAACCAGCTAGCCAGAATCACCACCAGAATCCACAGTTGCTCTTCTGAGCTTAAAACTGTAGGTAAACTCATCTTCCACTTAATCTTTTTCAACTGCCCCATCATCTACCACTATACACACTTTGTTTTTTTTATGCATTCAATATGCCTCTTCTAGAAAGGCAAATATAAAACTTATTTGCCTCTTACCCTCCTTAAGTATGCCTTACTATATATAGCATCCAACTCAATAATTTGCATCATTTTAAATTGCAATGAAAAAAATGTTTCCTTCCCCATCTTCCCACTTCTTCATAGGCATTAGGAAATGCCTTTTTAATGTTCACCAGGAAAATGCTTAAACAAAATGTTATCCTGTATCTATTTAGTTGTGTGTGTGTGTGTGTTAAAACAACAACAACAACAACAACAAACAGGTCCCTTGAGAAATAATCTGCCTCTAATTCAACCAGCAGGCTTAGCTGTTCCAATGACACATTGCCTTAGTTTCTACACATAATAGCAAAAAGGTACCTTGTTTCCTGAAAGCCCTAATGTGATCCACTTCACCCACTCATTCACATGGGCTGTTTTCCTCATTGTCCACAGGTTCTATGTGGGCCTCTTTTTAAATCAAAAGCACCCATAAGTTAACAGTATTATTAATCATGTTGCAGACAGATATAATCAGAATTTAGTTCTGTTTTAATTAAATCCAATTTTTATTGTTGAGATGGGACATTTTCACTATGGCCTTCAAAACTGGTAACTTTCGTTCCCCTCAGTCTTGCTCTAGATTTGCTGTAAAGTACTTTTAATTAGGAAACAGATCTCACACCTCAGGGCATTTATCAGATTAAGAAAATTAGTGTAATCTTTTTTCAAGGATAAAATAAACTGCTTTTTAAAAATCAAACATAGTAGAAGGAATGTATCATCTCACAGACATTGCAGCACTGAGTACAAACTTTAGTTCTTCAAGATGAGTCATTTCTTACCTGTGGTCCATAGATAATCTGAAAGGTCCATGCATCTATACCTGCATTAAGCATTGTTTTTAAACTGAATAAATATTATGTATTTGTAGACAATGCACTGCTGTTTTTAAATGTATGTAGATGCTGTTATGATAAAGAGTGTTATTCAATACATGTGTAACTAAATTCTGGGAAGCTTTTGTTTTGTTCTGTATTCAAATGGCCGTGAAGAGAGGTATATTTAGTAATAATAGATTCAGGTGAAGGCTTAAGAACTGTTTTGGTGAGAAAAGAGAGTATCTTATTTGAGAAGGCAGGGAACCCACTACTGTGATATTAAGAAGAGAAAAATATGTAAAATCAAATCCATTTATATCAAGAAAGAATAAATACATTATAAAAATGCAATATTATCCTGCAATATGACATTTATTTAATCCCAGATAACTTTAATCGTTTCTGCTTCTGCCACCAGCTTCTTCCTTCTATTGTTTAATTTTATTTGGCTTCCTAATCTTAGGAAAAGCAATCTGGTTTAGAAAACACCACATAATTGTTACAAAGCACCTGAACCTTTTGCTCCGACTTCAAAAGACAGACCTGAGGCCTAAATCAATCTTATATTTGAAGATCAAATGCAGAGGCATTTAGAGTAAATATCTCAGGTGGCTCAATTGGAGGAAAACACTGTTAGGCCTACAGGATGTATAGGATAATGTATAGTTACTGTGTGGACAGCTAGGCAGGCCTGAGGTTGCAGTTCCAGCAACAACAGGTTCGGGATCTTGCTTTGGTTTTTCTTTCATTAGTTAGCTATCGCAATCCCCCAAACAGAAAACCCAATATTTACGGCACTTTAGAGAATAGTTGAGAGTGGGTGGTGTAAATAGATTAGTGTATCTTTGGCATTCAGTGATCCTGTCTGTTTTATTTGTTTCAGTAAGTACTAGTTACATCTGCAGAGTACACTGTTCTCTGATCCAGAGAGGTTTAAAATGGGAATAACAGTGGGTGGGTGTTTGAGATCATCAGGAGGGAAGCCTCCTGCACAAACTGCCTGAAGGGGAAGCTTACACAACACCTGTCTCTCTTATGTCCAAATCAAGTCTTTGCCTCTAGGCTTAATAGCTTCACAACAGATACAAGGACAGTATCCAGAAAGCCCACAGATAATGCAAGACCTTCGCGTAAGAAAGAGAGGCTCACTCCTGGGAACCTGAGGAGGGTAGCATTTGTTTTCTCTGAAAGTGAAAATGGAAACGGAAAACACCATTGAGTCCCAGCAAGGAGGGAATTGGCTCACCAAGAAAAAAGATAAAAAGGCACAGACTTCGGGACAGTTCTGCTCTGGCTCCCGCAGCTACAGCTAGAACATGAGGCCTGTCAAGGAAGGGGAGGTTCTGACCCCACCAAGACTTTCCCAAAGGAATGCTGGAAATACAGCTGTCCAGATATTTCAACTTCACATTCGTCAGCCCTCTGGTACCCTAGTGCAGCTTGAGAAGTAGGTCTTGTAGAATCTCAGGCCTAGGAACTATTTGACACCAGTTGTATCAGACTTCTGTTTTCCCAGGCAACCTCGAGTTTGTCATCAATACAAAGGACTCCCACTGACTCCAGCTCCACTTCTTGAAAGCCTTCCAGAAAAATCTGCATATTTAGAATGTATTCTCAAACTTGGGGGCCTATCTGAACATAATTACAATTTCTCGCCTTTTTGACTCACCACTAGCTGTAAGGTAAAGAATTTCTGAGGTGTTTTTTAAGACAAATGCTTTCTAATTATATGAGAACTTGGTAGTTTCTGTTGATATGACATCTTAAATGGCATTGTGAATCTTAGCCTTTTCCCCTTTAATTCTACCTTCATCATAAGCTAGTCAGAGAGTCATTGGCTTGCTAAAATTAGAGAATATCACAAAGTCTAAGTATGCAGTTCTTCTTTTAGGATCTTTAGATCAATTACATCCTACATCCTCAAGTTATATGACACTAGATAAAAGACAATACAAAGAAAATCAGTTTGCCCTTATTAAGACCTGTGCTTTCTTCATCTGATCAATAAAGAAAAAGACATTCAGAAATAAAATTACCTAATCAAATTCAGTAAAGTATAGAAGGCACCATAAAGTTTGTCTGGGTAGAGGCTCCACTCTCCTGAGAACATTACCCAATTTATTTCATATTAAAGAATAGAATTCTGATGGATACTAAAATTTTTCCAAGTACAGTTTGAATGGTCTTTAGTTCAACCTAATCATGATTACTGGCTGATCTAAGAAATTCTCCTACCAAAGTCTATTTAAGACAACATGTTGGTACCATGGCGTTGCTTTAGCAGAGGTATAACAAATATGATTATATTTCTTCAGGAAGTATAGATGAACTTAAATTACGCTCCCTTTAAAGGAACTTCAGGTCAAACATTATTATTTCTTCTATACTTTGTGCTACCAGAAACAATCTCTTAATAGTAAGAGATTTTTATGCTCCTCAGCTCTACCTGGAGTTCTCATAATTCACCCTGAGAAATGGGAAAACTGGTAAATTTTCTAATTTGCCAATTTCCCAACAAAGAAATGCAACTGCCATATTTCCTGCAACTGGAAAATTCACCAATTTTCTAATTGCAATAAAAATTACAGTTGCATTGCTCTGTTGGGATTATTTCTCAGGAGTAGGATAGATCTAGACAGACCATAATGGTCCAGTAGGCAGCTTTATTTCCGTCATCACTAATCTCTTTGCCTTGCCTATTCACAAAAACAGTGGGAACTGAAGGTCACAGAAGAACATATCTTTAAAAAAAAATTTAACAGGAACAACCATGGCTAAAAATATCCAGTCTTAGTTTAGTGTATGGTGCACAGATTTAAACCTACTTATCTCTTCCTAATCCTTTATGGTCTGAAGAAGGAAAGTTTGAATAGATCCTATTCTGAAAGTTCTTAACGGCCAATCTGTTAGCTTTGCTGACTGTTACTTTATTTTTTGTCACCCACCAGGGATGTACCACATTCAGCTTTTACTTTTGCTTTTAGGCACTCACCTTTTAGTTACAAAATGTCAGTCAACTCTCCTCTCTCTCTGGCCCTGCTGTCAGGACAAGACAAGCACATCTACCCATTCCCATCAATCCTTTTTGACAGGCAGCCAGCAGCTCTCACAATTAGAATCTCCTTGCTGTGTCCTTGGTTAGACTCACCCCATGATACAAGAAACACTCAGTGCCTTCTGAGCTTGGGAGAATTACAGAGAATTCATCCAGCCACAGTAGAGTGGCTCTGACCTAGATGCGCAGACACCTCTCAGTTACTACCTGGAACACCAGCAGGACTACCATATTTGTTCTTCTAAGAATCAATATGATTTGGTGGAGACCACACTCTTTCTATTTGGGTTTGTATGAGGAATAGCAGAAAGGCAGACAACAGACTTCCCATTGCACTCCACTGAGTGAAGGGAAGAGATGTTATGGCCCTATTCATCAGCCTCCATGGCCAGGTTCAGTAGCAGACATTTGAACAAATTGGGCTCTTCTCATCTGAAGAGCTATTCAAGCCACAGACACCTCATCAGTGGGCTCCCTCCTGCTGCAGGAATGTGTACCTTTGACTCTCCAAGGAGTTTGAAGGGCTGTAAAGGAACAGCTGAAAATGACCACAGACTCCGTGCACAACGAACTGAACATGGTCTATGTTCTTTTGTTAACTTAAAAAGACACTGTCAAGAGCTAAAGGTCAAAAATGGGACCAAACATGCATCATTTTTATCAGACGAGGAAATCTGATAAAAATCACTCATAATGTTAGGAAAATGACTACTTTTCCTTTTTGTAAAGTGTACTTTTTGTGGGACTCACAAAACTTTTGTTTTGTGCTCCCCAGGGTGTGGGAGGCACCCAGCAGAGGCTCATGTTGGCACCCACCCCCGCAAACTGACATGATAGAACTCTTCCATAAATTCAAGCTATGGCTTTTACTTTAGTGCAGACAGCATCATTTCAAACATTTGTGCAACCGCAAAAAGGCAAAAAAAGAAAAGAAAAGAAAGAGCTCTGTTTGCCAAGGAGAAGCTGACAAATTTCTGAAGGGGGAAAATTCACTTTCGGGCTTGTGAGTGGGAGTCACAAACAAAAGTGAGTCTCCAGAATCAGAAAAAAAAAATAGTGCATCAAAACATAAAAAAGCAAAAAGCCTAAATGAACAACTTGACAGTGTCCTTTTAAGAACGATGGACAATCAATTTAAGGCAGTCGTGCAAACCATGGCACGTAAATGAATTCTTCATTCTGATGGCATGCACCACATCTGTTTCCATGTTAGAAAGTGGAAAAACCCAGGAGAGAGAAAGCAAGGGGCAAAACACTAGATTTTCCATGCAGCTTCTCTTACACATTCACTGCAGTGTGGGGGTTTTCAAAGCTGCACATGTGCCGACGGACATTGGCTGGTGGGCGAGAATTCTGGCTGCCTCTTCCTGAAGATTGAAAAGAAAAAGACACCCAGTGAGCGAGGGGGTTATACATGTGTACAGATATGGCAAGTCCACCACTCAGGCAGTGCCTGGCCCTGAGCCTTGCTCTGTATTGCCTCCACCTCCGTTTGCTCTATGGTCCTTGCTCTGCCTGGCTGTTTCTCATTGCCAGGCTATTTCTTAAAACCCTGTCAGTGGGGTGCATCTCTTTCCAAGTGGCAGATGCTTTTTTTGCTGTGTGTGTGTGTGTGTGTCTACCCCAGGTTTGCTCTTTCCCTCCACTGTTGACACACTTCTTTATCCCTTGTGGCAGTGGACTTCATCTCTACTTACACTGATGTAGGCTGATTCTTCCCACCCTCTACTCCTAAAGGAAGTGCATGAGTTTATGTCTGACACTGTGACTTTTAATTGCACTGTTAATTTTCCTGCATATTATGGCATAATGAATGCATTGCTGTCACTTCATATATTTATCTCTTGGCATTCACAAGACAGAAAGTGTCCAGTGGTAGAGAGAGAGGGAGCAGCAACAGACCCACCTGTTGAGATTGGAAGAATCTGCACACAGGAAGAATATCATCTCATTCCCTAGCTGGATGTCTCCTTATACAGCACCTAGGATAGTCTGGCTTCTGTGCCCCTTTGGCAGATGGAGAAGAGAACTAGCTAGACATGACAAGGCTGATGGGCAGCCAGGGGTAGTCGGCCTTTCCATCATTTGTTGGAATAAGGATAAGTGCATTTCCCATGAGTCAGCTAGCACTGCAGAAGGTGATGGGATAAAGCTGTCTGGCTGTCATGCCACATAAGCGGGCTGCCTGTCATAGAAAAGAATTTCAGGTACAAGATGCTTAGGGTGAACTATCAGCACATGCTACAGGTGGTATGGGTGAAGCTGGTTCAACTGGGGAGAAATCTCTCATGTCAGGGGACTCTGGCCATGATGCAGTTCTCTACAGGGCTCCTCAAACTCATCAATGTTCTCTATGAGTCAACATCTGACCCTCTACCCAGAAGATCCTGGTGACAACTGTCCAGGGTAACCTGGAAGAGGACCAAAATGGCTCCTGGCAAATCAAAGACCTTTTCCTTCTCTTCTATCTCTTTTTCCCATCAAAGTAGACAGACGAGTGAAAACTCAGAAGAAAGAGGAGGAAGAGGTATTGCAGGAGGAGACCATGCCCCTTCCCATTCCAAGTCTCTCAGGCTGAGGCCTGACAGGTGCTGGGAAGAAGAGCTGTGAGTTTTAAATTTTAAACAAGAATACTCTGGAACAGATGTTCACTACCTGAAAGCAAGGGATTTGAACTGAATGTATAAGGCAGGAAAAGATTTTCCATAGCACATTGAATGTAACAGAGAAAAAACAAAGTTAATCCATATGTACAATTCCATCAAGTTTGGACCATTCATGAAATCATTTAAAGGTGCATGATTTACCGAGAGTAATTTGAAATCCTCATCAAAAGATAAGAATTTGAGACACCTTGGTGTAACTTCATTATTACTGCAATAATCCATTCATTTAATAAAATTAGAAAAACAGACACTGTTTGCTATCAAACTTATCAAGGTAATATGCCCCTGACATTCAAGATGCCTACTCGAAATCAAAAGATCATTAAAACAATGTAAATGTTAGCAAGGAGATGATCAGGAATAAAGGTATGTCTGAATATGTAAATGTAGTGGGAAGTAATATGTAAAATGATATTCAAGCAACTTTATTTCTCATGAAAGAAGATAGAAAATACACTCAAAGCATTAGGCTTTGCCTTGTTTGCATGTTCTTGAGCCTCTAATTAACTCTACTTTTGAGGAATGTCTGTATGTGGCCTGTTCAATTGGCACTGGGAACTGGGGCCCTGGCAGGACCAGCTTCACGGGCCTGGAACCAGAACAGACAGACAGACAAACACAATCTCTACCTCCGAAGAGCCCTGCACTTGATGTTTAGTGCTCTGTAATCATCCTCTTGAAATTCATAAAAATGTTATCTTTTAATTTGTGTTTTGCAAGTGATGGTCAATGGGGAAATAGAGCATGCGCTGGGAGATTGGAGCCTCAGTTTACACATGGCCCACATCTTGCAGCCTCCCTGCCTTTCTGGACAGGCTTTGGGATTTTCGGACTCTTGTCCCCTGGGTCCCAGCCCTGTCCAGCCTCCCACTACCTGCCCCTGTCTAGAAATCACTACCACTTTCCACCATTGACAAGGGGTTGGGCATAAGTCCCGACAAGATCAGGGTCTGATATATGTGCCCTGTACTATCTCAAGGCAATGAATGGCAGTGGCTGTCTCCTCCCTGGACCGGAAGTGCCACTGCACTTTTGGTAGGCAACACGCAGTGGCAAGCCTCTTGCACATCCTTTATCCAGATACCTTAGGTGTCTCTGCACTGTTATTGCAATACCCTTGGGAGTCACCTGTCTAATATGGGCTGAGGCAAAGAGGACATGAGAAAGAGAGGTAACCGGTTCAACTTCCCTATGACCTCTGCCCAGTGACTGGCTGGAGAGGAACCTGGCAGCCTGTGGGCTGAGCACGTGCAGTCACAAAATGGGGATGGCCGTGTCTGGTGGGACTTCATTTGCCCCACACAAGGGAACACAGCACTAAATGAAAAATACAAAACACCATGACAGATCAAGAGAAGCTGTGGCTTTATAATGTAGTACCTTTAACACTTTACCTCTGCTTTTTGAATCAGGAGCTCCGTGTTTTCATTTTGCACTGGGCCCTGCAAACAATGCAGCTGGTCCTGCCTGCTGGGGATGTCTAATGATAAAAACAAGGGGCGGGGGGATGCCTTGACAACTTAGCAACTCGGTGTACTGACCTTAGCAGAGTCCCACAGTGTGGTGCACCCAGGCAGCATCTGTACTTCTGTGTCTCCCGGAAATTGGACAGGAAGCTCTGTGGCCTCTGTGACTTGCATTCCCTCTTAAAACCTACTCCTGCAGTTAGGGGACAGTTCTGCGGTTCCTTTGAGGCCTTCCGGCATATTGACAGCCAAGCTTCACACAGTAACTCAGTAATCCCAAAGACACCCTAATTAACTACTGATGGAGAGATTTGAAAAAAAAAAAAAATAGAGCATCTCCTTTATGATCCCTTTTGTTTGGTCTCCGACTTTCACTTTGCATTGAAGTGAAACATAAATGACCCTGCATACAGACCTTGCTTTTATGAAAGGAGTGTTTTATTAAAGGTTACAGGACAAGCCATGTAAAATCTGAGGCCAGAGTGGCCATTTTATCAACTGCATAAAAACTGAGAGAAAGAGGTTGACTTCAGGGTATTTTTAGCAATTGTAAAACCACATATTCAACCAACCACAGATTCAGCAAGCCAGAGTAAAAGCTTGGAGGGAAAATGTAGCATATGGGGGCTTGTCAAATATAAGTCCCAAATCTGTGCTTGAATCTTTTGGCAGAAGTTGTGGATTTAAAGAAACCCCAGAAGTAGTTTAGTTAGAAAGGGTCCTCTTCAATTTCTTCTTAAAGTGCAAAGGTCTCTCTCTCTTCTTTTCCCTTCTCTCCTTCCTTCTTCTTTCCCTCCTTCCTTCCTTTCTTTCCCTCCCTCCCTCCTCTCCCTTTCCCTCTCCTCCATTTCCCTCTCCTCTCCTCCTCTTCCCATTCCTTTTTCCTTTCCTTTCTTCCTTTTGTAAAGTCACTGCTTGTCATACACTGATGGATTCTGCGTAACTTTACCCATATATTTCCATTGTCCAAATAGTCTTCCTTGATATAACAGCCTATCTCTCTTTGAGAGATACTTAACTCAGTATGACTTTGCTTTAATATTTTATTTACATCAGGTCACCCATTCTTCACTTTCTATGTAAAGATTTATTTTTTAAATGAAGTTAGAATTTGTTACAAATAAATTTTACTCAGTATGATGTTAGCAATGAGATCTCTGGACATTGAATCAGGAGGCCTGGCACTTTCCAATTGTATGATCACTTCTTTCAGACTCAATTTTTTCATCCATAAAGAAGGATTGTTGAAAAAGTATGTGTGAAAATGCTTTCAAATAGCAAAATGCTATTCCAGCCTAATCCATAAGCCATTGCTATTAATACCCTTATTTTGAAGGATGGAAAAATAAAGACACAGACAAAAGACTCAGACATTTAAAATATCAGTGTGTATTTAGCTTAGACTTATTTCATAGGATCTCAAACTTCCCTTCACTTTACTTGTTGACTTCAGCCACTTTCCTTACTCAAGAATGTCAATAACTTCCAGTAGAAAATAAATTAAACTTTATTTTCTCTCTCTTCCAGACTTTTTTATTTGGGTAACAGTGACTTTGAATGGATTTGTCAGGAACAGGTGAGGCACACAGTCAGGTTAGCTGTCTATGAAGTTGCATGTTTTCGGAGGTTTGGAGGTTAATCTACTTTTTAGCAGAGATAAAATGTTCTATACAATTCCAGATGGTCAGTCTTAAAAATATAGAAAGCTCACCATGGAAATAATAATGCAGCAGCTGTCCAAAGTAATCATAAAGAATGACAGCCACCACTCAAGACCATTTTAGCAGGGTACAGTCTATTTTATGTTGTTTTTATAGATAAATACATAATTTGTGCCTCTGATTGCTTTCCAAAGCCAAATGCATTTTTGCCTGTTTTTTGAATTTTAATGTTTGTTTTTCAGCATTTGTTTATAGGAATGGAGAATGGAGCTCTGGGTATGTGTGTAGGCTCTCTGTAAATGGAAATTTTTTCCACCCTTCCTTTTAACGCATGCATGTATATTAAAACTCTTTATATATATGCACAATGCAGTCTTTCCATATAGGTGTAAAATATTGCTTCATTTCAAAATTGTTAATTATTAAGATTCATAAGCTAGTAAGAGACTACAGAGAATGGTTTAATCACATTCAGTTTAGTTACCACCATAGATTTGACAAATATTAACATTTTGCCCTATTAAAATCTTCTTTCTTTTGAAAATATTAAGGATATGTTTGAAGCCCTCTGTATATTATTCTAAATATGAATCTGCTCCTTTTAAAGAGACAAATTGGTATGTATTGTCACTTGGCATATTTTATGTTGAATATGTATATTCATATGTGTTAGTAAATAATACATGATAGTGTTTAGCATATTATATTTTATATACTTGACATTACATTTCCATTCAACAATTTCCCTTTTTGCACGGTATTATGTATAACTAGTATTATGTATAGCTAGAGTATAACTCTAGTTCATTCACTTAAACTAAATTGAACAAATACCACACTTTAAAAAATAATCCATTCTTCTACTGATGACCATTTAGTTTTTTTCCTACATTTTGCTATTTTATCAATACTGCAATAAACATTGTTAATGGGAGATTTTTTTCCCATGATATTTACTTAGAACTAGAATTGGTACATTGTTGAGCATGCACATTCATCTTTCTTATATATTACCAAATTGCTTTGCAAAGTTCTTGCACAATTTACACTAGTGTATGAGGTTTTTAGACATTCTGCTTGGTTTTTAGACATTTTTAAAATTAACTTTTTATTATGGCAATTTTCAAAGATATCAGATGTTGTTATCCTGATGAATACTTTGTAAAACATCCCATCAGTCTTTCCTCTGGTGGTCTTAGCAGCCATTAATTATCAGAGTATAGATAAATTATTTTATTATGAGACTACAAAGTGGTAATGCAATTCTATCATCCTTTTTGTATCTGTCAACTGTATTTCCCTTCTAACAAAGAACTTTCCCTCATCATCTATTTAGTTTCTCTGAGATAGAGTTCAAACAGAAAATGCAAGGCAAATAGATGATTCTTTTCCTTTATTTACCAATGTTAAGAATACTGACTTGGTTTTCTAACATTCTCCAATAGTGTATCACATGGGGGTCTGCTTCTATTGTCTGTTTCCCTAGGTTTTCCAGTAATATGGTCCTATCTCTTGGTATGCCTAATAGTATTTTATATCAGATGAGACACTGTGAACATATAAAATAAGATTATGTAGAGGCCCTAGAAAGTGCTATCTTGCCTTACCATTTCCTCTCCTAAGTAGAGGGGCACTGCTTAACGTAATCCAACCACTGACTGAGCTGAGTCACAGTCATTTTGATAAAAATCAGTCTACCACAGGGCATATCCCTTCGGGACTTTCAACAGAAAGCCTGGCTGTGCACTAGTGCACTTCATCTGGTGGGTCTTTCTTTACGTTCCCTGCTTTTTAAAGATTTTTCTATTTAGATTTTTGGTCTTCTGCTGCAGATAGCTTCAAAATTAGGAAAATATCTTGTCAGGGAGCCTTGATCATGTGTTTGAATGACTTTGAGTCTTCAATTTTGTCATTTTAGCTTCACATGATTACAAAAGTGTTTTTGAGCCCTCTCCTCGATGAGTCTGTCTCTCAGCACTGGAGAACTCCATGGAAACCTATTTTGTATGTCAGATGTATTCAGCTTATCTTTTAATCTTTCTGACCCACCCAATGGCAGACATCAGCAAATGTGTTGAGGGAGAAGCTGGACCTGTGGTGAAGCCTCTCTGGCCTTTCATTTCCTCACCCCAGTCCTTTGTGACCAAAAGATTTCCTGTTTCCTCTGGTCCTTCCATTGATTCTCTGCCAAGCCCAAGCCTGGAAACTCAGGAATATGGTTTGGCTCTCTGTCCCACCCAAATCCCATCTCAAATTGTAATCCCAGCATGTCAGAGAAGGGGTCTCGTGGGAGGTGATTGCATCACGGAAGCAGGCTTCCCCCTTCCCCCTTGCTGTTCTTGTGATAGTGAGTGTGCTCTCAGGAGATCTGGTTGTTTGAAGGTGTGTGGCACTTCCCCCTTCACTCACTTGCTTTCCTGCTCTGCCATGGTAAGACGTGTTTGCTTTCCCTTCGCCTTCTGCCATGTTTGTAAGTTTCCTGAGGCCTCCCAGTCGTGATTCCTGTTAAGCCTGTGGAACTGTGGGTCAATTAGACCTCTTTTCTTCATAAATTACCTAGTCTCAGGTAGTTCCATATAGCAGTGTGAGAATGAACAAATACACTCAGCCTCCATATAGTGCCCTGAACTGGCAAATTTGCACTATTAGTGCTTGTCCCGTGGAAACACTGTTGCAGATAATTGTCTCAGTTTTCATTTCTCTTCTCTCTGAAATTTGAGTCTCATTAATCTTCATCATTTCAGTAGCTCCCTGATGCTGTAAATAAATTATCTTTGTCCTTCCTATTGTTTTTCCAATTATTCTTCTTGGGAGCTATTCCGCCACAGTCTCTTTCATGCTATCCAAAACAAAAGTCTCATCAGAATTCTTTATTTCTTAATTTTTGCCAAACCAAGGATTGTAAAATGATATCTTAATATTTTTCTTCCGTCTGTTTCTTTGATAATGTTTAGGTTCCCTAAAGGATCCTTAGCCTTCGTGGAATCTTGCATATGTTTCCTTCACAATTCCAACATGTTTGTCAAGTTCCTGTACAATTCACATTGCAATGTAGGCGAAATCTCAGTACCTCTCCTGTGATCCTTTTTACTCCTTATATGTTATTAATGTTAATTCTAATCTCCCATAGGCCATAGTCTCTAAAGACTGACATAATTCATGTCAGAATTACCTTATGTGCCACATTATTCTGCTTTCATATGCCCCAATTTTTTCAAATAATTAAGAAAACCATAGAATTTCTCATGCGAACATTACTTTTAAGCGTGAAAGAAGTTTTCTTTATAATTAAGCCATAAAAAAGGGATAAATTGGGACTGCCTGGGTAGGTACAAAGACATATGGCCACTCTACTTATTATGAGTGTTAAATGAATGACTGAATAAATCAAAACAGAATATGGAAATATTCCAAGTATGAATATTAGCAAGAAATAATTTTGAGCTTCTCTATTACTTTGCTAATTGAAGGGATAGCAAAAGCAATTATTTTTATTATAAATTCTTAAATTAATTATAAAATTTAATATTGAATGTCATAATATCCCCAGGAAAATTTAAATTAAAAAAATAGTAAAAATAGTGTGTATGTATATGCATGTATGTATACGTGTGTGTTAAAATGAGGATATACATAAAAATATCAGTGGTGATTTTTCTTTCTAGGTATAATTGGAAGTAATTAATATTAGCTTCCTTGTGCTTCCCAATATATTCCAAATTGCACACTGTAAATATTTATTATTTTTAATATAAAAATAAGCAATAACTTCTATTATAAAAATAAATTTATCATGACCTAATAATTCAGACCATGATTCTTTTTCCTCTTAGCTTTACCCCAGGAACTAAGATACTATATGGGGCTGCATACATATTTTCTTTCACTTAAAAAAAGATATAATGTAAACATTCTAAAACTGTATATTAAAAGATATGAACAGCTACTAAGGAGACACGCCAAATGTAAATGACAGAATTTGGCACAGTACTAATATTTTTAAGTTAATTACTACTGAAGCTTTTCTTACTTCAGAACTCCACAGTAGAGTACAGTTAGTACTTTTCATGTTGTAAATACATTATTTAACTGTACATACATTTTAAGTGTTTGTTCTCACATATAGGCATCTTTTCTAATGAGAAAGCAGCCGCTCAAAATTAGGAGGAAAAAAAAGGTAGATCAAGTTACACAAAAGGGAAAATAGCCTGCTGTGCTTCCAGAGAGACTTTAGATGACAAACTTCCAAAGTCAGACTTTTTATTACCTTACTTTGATTTATTACAGAGGGGAAGAGAAAAGGATGATGAAAACAACTTGCCAAAAGTTAAAATTTTCACCTCAGGATGTTTTGAAAAGAAGAAATAATTATTTAGTAAGAGGCTTAGAACTGAAGATGTAATGATAATTATAAAGGACTTATAACACAAAAACCTAAATTTTGTGAGAATTCTGAAATTCTTGGCTATAGCACTAACCTCAATATTAGATGCCTACTTCCACTAACGTTTATTTTACACTAGTATTTCTCTTGAAGCAGAGGCGTTAATAGCTTCATGTCATCACACATGGAACCTGAAACAGAACTGAATAAGCAATTATCATACAATTTCTCTCATAGTATTACAAGTGTAATCACCATAGTCCTAAAGAACATCATAGCCACATCACAGCCTATTGAGAAAGGTATTGGTTTTCTAACATCCTCCAATAGTGTTAAGTGGTAGATATAATATAAAAGGGAGGGATCAAGATTGGCATAAGAAGACTTCTGCTTTCAGCTAATATGTAGTACCCCAGGGCAAACTAACTCTCCCACTGAAAACAACAAGAAAAACCAGATAAATTTTTTTAAACCACTGGAAGATATTGAGAAGCTGTCACAGCACCAGAATGCAACGGATCAACAAATTAGAAGGAACAGGACTTCAGAGAGGTAAGCGGATCATCTTCAAGCTGTTTTTCCCCTTGGAATTTTTGATGATTCTTGATACAGGACAACAGACTAAGAATCCAGGCAGAGAGTCTTAACTAAGAGGCAAAGAAGCAAGGAAAATTTTTGATACATTCACAGGACTGTAGACATAAAATTTTGAATTCAAGTGCTCCAAGGCAGCTAGAACTTGAGGAACCGAGATCCTGGAGAGAGGGAAGTAAAGAAAAGTGAGACTGACACTTGGTGGTTTCCCTCTAGAAAAATTTTCATATTTATCACATTTTAGGCTACACAAGGCACAGGGTACAAAACTAAGCAGTAAGCTGCTGAAAATCAGAGTAAAGTTTCTGGAAGTCTCACGGTGCTGAGGAATCAAAATTGGAGTCAAGACTTTCAAAGGATTAGAGGTTCAAGTACACCATCGGAACCCAGAATCTCAGCCAGGACCCCCGGATAGCTCTACCCTCAGAACAGGATGCACCAGGTGAAGCAGAACAAGTTTTATAAAACCACAGTCCACATCAAATCAGCTCAGTCCGTAACTGGATTATAACGTAAAGGAGAAACATATGGGGATACATAGATATTGATTATGCAAATCAATCACATTAATAATAATATAAGATAGGATGTAAAATATGTATAGAAATGAAATGCATGTGAAAAAAGCACAACAGTGATGCAAGATAAATTTAAGTGTTTCATGATCCTTGCCTTGCTTGGAAAGTGATAAAACTACTAATTTATTTGAGACTATAAAAGATTAATTTTTTTTGTAATTTCTATGATAACCATAAAAAATAATAAAAGAATGTAGAGCTAACAAACTAATACAGGAGAAAGTTGAATATTAAAATACTAGTGATTATTATTTTGATAAATATTAGACTAATCAAAAGAAGGAAAAAAAATAAAATGGAACATAAATCCAGTGAGACAAATAGAAAATAATTAAGTGGTTGATATAATTATGTCAGCATTTATATTACATATAAATAAACTAGATATTCTAATTTAAAGGTAAACATTATCAGACTGACTGAAAAGCAAAATCAAACTTACATGCTGCACATATAAGACACAATCCTTAAACATATAAACACAAAAGGTGAAAGTCAAAGGTTAGAAAGCTGAAAATCAAAGGATGGAAAATGGTATATCATGCAAGTACCAAACAAAAATAAAAGCTAGTAGTTATACTAATGTCAGACAAAGTAGACCCTGTTTCTAGTAGTCTATATAGAGGACAAAGGAGAGCTTATATTAGAAATTCAGGGTTTGATTAATATTTGATAATTCAATATATTTTCCCAGTAACATAGAAAAATATAATCATTTCAACTGATACAGAAGAATCTGACAAAATTCAATGCTTATTTGTGATCAATTTCTCAGCAAACTTAAGAGTATAAGGGAATATCTTCAACCCTATTAATGGGCATCTCTGCAAAACCTAGAGATAGCATCAAACATAACGATGAACTTTTGAATAATGAAAATGATATTCTAAACCTGGAATGGCCAAAACAATCATGGAAAATAAGAACGAAGTTGAAGGACTTACACTACCTGATTTTCAGACTAAAGTTTCAGTAATCAGGTCAGTGTGGTATTTGCAAAAAGATAGATGAATACATGGATAGAACAGAATAGAGAGGGTTCATAATCAGGACTAAACGTATGTTCAGTTGATGTTGACAAAAGTACCAGTCATTTAATGAGGGAAGGCAATATTTTCAAAAATTTATCTGGGTGAACTGAATGTATATTTAGAAAAAAACAAAAACAAAAACCTCGATCCATTCTATTATGAACTGAATGTGCCTCCTCCAAATTTATGCATTGAAATCCTAACTCCCAGTGTGATGATATTAGGAAGTGGGGCACTTGGGAGGCAATTAGGTCATGAGGGTAGAGGCTTCAGAAGTGAGATTACTACCTTTATGAAAGAGACCCCAGGGAGTTTTCCAATGTCTCTGCCAGGTGAAGATACAAAAAGAATACAACAGTCTGCATGGTGGAAGAGGGCCCTCACCAGAACCTGCCCATGCTGCTACCCTATTCTCAGACTTCATGTTCCAGAACTGTAAAAAATAAACTTCTATGGTATATAAGCCACCCAGTCTATGGATGGCTTTGTTATAGCCACACAAACTAAGACATGTTGCTTATGTATTACAAGATGTAGTACAGTAATAATGCAATACAGTAATAATGCATTACAGTAATAAATGTAAAAGTCAAAACAATAAACCTCCTAGAAAAAACACAGGAGAATATCTCTATGATCTGGGAATAGGCAAGGTTTCTGCACTGAACTATGCACTAACTGTAAAAGGAAAATTTATCAATTGGACTTCATCAAAATTAAAAACTTTCATTCATCAGAAAATACCAATAAGAAATGAAAAGTCAAAGACTGAGAAAAAATATTTGCAATAAATAAATCTGACAAAGAATTCAAATCCAGATTATACGATTAATAATAAAAGGCAGGCCAGGTGTGGTGGCTCACACCTGTAATGCCAGCACTTCGGGAGGCCGAGGCGGGCGGATCACAAGGTCAGGAGATCAAGACCATTCTGGCTAACAGGGTGAAACCCCGTCTCTACTAAAAATACAAAAAATTAGCCAGGCGTGGTGGCGGGCGCCTGTAGTCCCAGCTACTTGGGAGGCTGAGGCAGGAGAATGGCGTGAACCCGGAGGCGGAGCTTGCAGTGCGCCGAGATCGTGCCACTCCACTCCAGCGTGGACGACAGTGTGAGACTCCATCTCAACAACAACAACAAAAATAATAATAATAATAATAATAATAATAAAAGGCAAACGGCCCAATAAAAGAAGAAAGAATTTGGATAGATATTTCACAAAAAGATGGTATATAGATGGCCAATAAACACATAAAAAGACTCTCAAGATCATTAGTCATCAGGAAAATGCAAATGGAAACTATAATTAAATACCTCTACATACGCATTAGAGTGGCTAAAATTTAAAAGACTATCAACACCAAATGCGTCTCATACATTCTTGGTAGGAGGCAGAATGACAAAAGTATTGTGTAAATTTGTTTGGCAATTTCTTATAAGTTAAACATGCACCTGCCTTATCATGCAGCAATTTCATTCCTAAGCATATAACCACACTAAGTGAAAATATATGTTAATAAAATCTTGTGTATGTATGTTGATTGTACCTTTATTTGTCATAGTGAGAGTTAGAAACAACCCATATGTTCATCACCAGAAGAATAAACATTGTGTATTCATGCAATGGAACATTACTCAGCAATTAAAGGGAATAAGCTCTTGTTACATGCAAGAACATGGATGAATCTCATGTTGTGTGAAAGAATAGAGACATAATAATATCTACCTTATGATTTCATTTTTATTAAGTTCAAGAACAGGCAAGATTAATATATGGGGCAAGAAATCAGAATAATGGTTGTCTCTAATTGGAGAGCAGGATAGTTTAAAAAGGGACACTAGGAAACTTTCTAGAGTGAGGGCAATGTCCTAGGTTTTGGTTGTATGTTGGTTTCATGAGTGTATTACACATTTGTAGAATATATCAAACTGTCATTAATATCAATGCATATTATTGTATATAATTATACTTCAATAGCATGTACATGAAATGAGAGAATAAAAAGGATTACAGAAAATGTGTAAAAGATGATTTAATATATAGATACTAGGAATTCTTGACAAAGAAAACTAAAGCAAGGAAAGAAATGCTGAAGACTGTAATTCAAGAAAACTTTCCTAAAATTAAAAAAATGTAAATCCATGTTAAAAGAGAGCATTACATTTCTAAGAATATTGACCTAATACAATCAATACCAATAATTGTTCTAGTAAAATCACTAGACTTTATAGAAAAAGAAAAATATATTTTGGATGTCCAGGAAAAATCAGTAAGGGTTTTATAAGGGAAAAAAGATTATTATCAGATTTGGGGGCAGCAAAGCTTTTATACTAAAGGTAACTGGAACAACATATTGAAAACACTTCAGAAAAATAAAATGTGCACCCTGAATTATATCCAGCAAAATTGGCTTTTGAGATAAAGATTGTAGACAAAATGTTTTCAATAAGCAAAATCTAAGTTTTAGTCCCATGAACTTTTCCTGAGAAATCTACTCTAGAACAAGATTATAAGCTTCAGACTAGTGAAATAACTAGGGAGCCATCATCATAGGAACAGGAGGTAAGTGTTAAACATATCCTTAATTATAGAACTAAGATGAAATAAAAGTTAAAAGAAAGATGGTATTGTACTCAGATAATGTAGATATAGTAAAACTATTTTAAAAGGAGGAGATGGGAAGGTAGTATGAAATTTGTTTTAACTCTTCTCAGTAATGAGTTGGTAGTGGTAGTATTAGTAGTTATTCTAGGACATTTGTATGACTATCATGGAATAATAAAAATATATACTTATGAGATATTCTGACTCTCTCATCTGTTTTCTTGGGAGTTAGGATTCTTCCTGTGGGAGAAATGAAATATAGATGTAGTACATGTTAACACATGAGCCATCTATGAATTTCTGTCAGAAAAGCTGAGCACAGGTATAATAAGGTAGGCTTTGGGAAACAAACTTTGAGCTGATTCTTAAAATCTACTTACTACATAATTCAATATCTTAGAACAGTATGATGCCATATGAATGTAGTATGTTCATGGGTAGTGTGATAAGCAGAATGTGGGTATTGTCATCTCTACTGTAAATGAACTGAACTCTACAAAAAAAAATGTGAAAAACATGGTGAGCTGCTATGAACCCCAAAGACTGCACATTCCTAATGAAGGGTTTTCCAAGGGCCAGCCAGGATCTGGCTCTCGGTCTTGCTGTTGTCTTTCCCACTACTCACCTCTCAGGTCAATCCTAAATGCAGGGCTTATTTTTGTCTGCCCCTGAAAGAACGATATGTCAGCTAGGATAAGGCTTATATTAAACAGTTCATGAAGTAAGATTGTCACATGCCAGAATTCATTCCACTTTCATTTGCAATGGAAATAACATACAGCGTTGACAATGCTGCAACATATATCAATAGACTTGTAAGGGGAGACAAGACTTGACCATTGCTTGTTCACAGGGAGGCAGAAGGAGGGGATGGAGGGTTACAAGGTTCAATAGTTAAACATTTGATGGCATCAAATGAAGACAGTTAGGTTCATCTTAAATTTGTAATGAACCCATTGGTCACCAAGCCCTTCACCCACCTCCACCTTACAGAGATCTGTGGCCATTTCCAATGTTTTCTTGGGTGACTGCTTTTCTCTGCTCTCCTCCTTTTCCAGATCAGTCATGTTTTAGTATGTTTATACATTTATTCTGGTGATAGTTCAACTTTTATAGGTCTTGTAGCCCAACAATCCTGAGGCAAAGGCATGTCTCTGTTGGCTCTGTGTATATCTTAACATTGAATTTTTTGAGCAACTTTACTTTTACTTTTGTTCTTACTTAAGTATTTCTCTTTGTTCACTGTCTTCGTCCCACCTGTCAAAGCCACAGGTCAGGCCACTGTAATCTCTTCCCTGGACCCTGTACCAGTCTCCTCCTGGAGCTCAGGCTCATATCTTGCTCGTCTCCTAAACATCCTGCATACTGGGGGTACAGTGATAGTTCTGAAACACACATCTCACCAATCACAGTGCACACTGCTCTGTGACCTGAGTGGATTCTCATTGTCCAGAAGATAAGGTCCAAGCTCATAAGGCTTCCTCTAACTAGTTCTAAGTAATCTGGCCCTAGAGGCCTGTCCAGTCTTGTCTCACTGTTTTCCTTCTTACTTCCTCTGCTCCAGGCATCCTGGAATTGCTTCATTTCCATCATCTGTGAGTGCTTTTTTTCCCGTCTTTACATCCAGATTCCCTGACTGCTCTAATCCATCAGCCTTCTTCCTTTCCTAACCAACTGCTTCTCCTTCTTCAGAAATCTTAGCTAGGGTAATGCTTCCTGGAAATATTTCCAGCATTCTTGGACTGGTTGGAGACTTCTAATAACACTCCCATAACACCCGTACTTCTCATAGAAACACTCACTATGCTTGTATTGTCTTGTTCAATGCCCAGTCTACTAGCTAGATTTCAGTTTCCACAAAGTCAGGAGCCAGATCTATTTGTTCACCACTGCAGTTGTCCCAGTGCCTGACACAATTAGGTGCTTGAAAGTTGTTTATTGAATGAATGAGTCAACAGTATTTATCTTCTGGATCTTAAGAGGTATGTTTCAGCCCTTGAAACCAAGCCTATAATTCTAACCATCCTAGCAAAAGTGATTTTATACTAGGATTAGCCCTGAAATAACTTTTGGCTTCACATACTTGAAGCTAAACAAACATTCCTTATAAGGAATACCAACCCTACTGAAACCTTTTATTTTTTTCTTCATTTTCCTAATAAGCTGAGGTCTTGTTTGCCTCCAAATCTCTTTACATCGTGGTCCCTCTGCCTAGAATACGCTCTCTGCACTTCCTCCACCTTAACCCCCTCTTTCTTAATCTCCTTCTTGGTCTAGCTAATGGGAACTATTGTCCATAGAGCTTCGTAGACCTTCCCTACCTCCAAGGCCTTTACTAGAGGCCCTCTAGGTGCCTCCCAAACATTCCCTACCTCCTCTGTTGTAGAACTTCACTTTGTCACATTGTTGTGGCCAGGTTTCTTGCTGGTATTCCTCTACTCCCCTACACTCAAACTTGATTAAATACTCACTGATTTTCTTTTTTTATTCTATTAACTAATGTTAACAATCATATTTTATTGTTGTCCTGTAACTTATAATGTATTTTTATTAACTCAGAAGACAATGTCCTAATGATCTATTTTCTTTATAAGACAAAGCAAAGATCACAGACTGTGCTATTTTCTTTACCAATAAATTGTCCACAGTTTGCAAAATAGTCGACTCTGTATTTTTTTTAAATTAAGGACTGAATTATAAAAACCTTACTTCAAGTTTGCAGTAAGACACTAATGGAATCAACAGCTACAGTCACAGAACTGGCTGACAGCATCCCTGTTCTCCCTCATCCCTACTCCAACTCCACTATCATAATTTCTTTTAATGTACTTTTATTACATAAGTCTATATTTTTTCATACCCATCTAAGCCAAATAATATGAGAAATATGAAGTTTGATCAAGTGGAAAAAGATATTAATTCCCACAGTATTTGAGGGTATTTGCTAGGAGCATGGTAACTTGAGAATATATTTTTATAACTGGAAAATTTGGGGAAGGAAAGTATTTCCTACTGTTATTGATTTCTTTCAAAGAGTTGTTTTTCATTACCTGGAGCAGCATCACCTAGGGGCTCAGCCTAATTTTGTTAGCAGCCAATTCCTCATATATCTTACAGATAATTTGCATAGAGGCTAGTATTAAGTTGCCTTCAGTTATAGAAGGCTTCCCTTACTCTGTTGAAATAAAATGTTATTATAGGTACATTTTTTGTTAACTTGATTAAATACTCACTGATTTTCTTTTTTTATTCTATTAACTAATGTTAATAATATTTTATTGTTGTCCTGTAACTTAAAATGTATTTTTATTAACTCAGAAGACAATGTCCTAATGATCTATTTTCTTTATAAGACAAAGCAAAGCAAAACAAAACAAAACAAAACAAAAACAAAACTTAATGTTCGTCTTTTCTTAGTCTTCATCCCGAGGCAATGGAGAGGCATTTTATAGCCAGAAATCTATATAATAGAAGTGAAGATAAGGTCTGGCTTTTAAACTTAGTTGACTCTACACCTCAAACTTTCATAACAAATGGATCCTCTAACAGAGCCATGGAGTTTTCTTCCCCCTCCATGGACAGTATTTCTCTCTGTGCTATGCAGAACCCTGTGGGTTGAGGGAATTCAGTCATTCTCTTTGGGTATCTGGACCTATAATAACATGTGAACTCATGAGCATTGGCATGGTTATCCTTAGACTCACCATGCGTGCTCACGAAATAAAGATATCTGAGGAGAAGATGAAGAAGGCATAGGGCGAGACAGGAGGCAAGAAGACAGAAACCTGGAGCCTTTCCACTCTGGACCCAGTCTTCTATGTCATATGAGATACCTGATATTATTTCTTATATTTTTACATTAAATACCCCACCCCATTTGCTTAGGCTAGCTTAAGTTGTCGTCTATAACTTGCAGCCAAAGTATTCTAATTAATGACCCTTTAGGCTCTATTCTTGTGATCTGAAGCTTCCAAACCCACTGAGACTTTTCTCTTATTTTCTTCATTCTCCAAACTCTCAATACTTTTGCTCCTGGACTAGCTTTACAACACGTTCACACAGTCTGCTTCACTTTTAAGTTGATAACACTTTACACTGGACACTAAGGCTAGCAGATGGGATGCAAATGACCTCATCTTTCTTTAGCTGAGGCCAAGCAGGGACAGGTTGCCAAACCGTGTCATACAGGGTGTCCTTCTTCACACATCTCACACGGAGTAACAGTAGCATGCCTCCACTTCCAGCAGACTTACAGCTCCTCTATTTTTTATAGCACGAATATAATGAATGCATAAGGCTAAGGCATATCCCCAGTTTCTAGAACTCTCTTTACTTGAAGGGGTAATTACGAATTTTATGTTAGTATAGTATAAGAACTTTCATATACCTTCCCATGTTTTTATAATTTTAATGTCACGGGCTAACAATTATTGAGATTTTTCTCAATTATTTAGGTATTGTGCTGTGCTCTTTATACAAATTTTCTCATTTTATCCTCCTCAGAACCCTATGAGATAAGCACTATTATTATCCATTTTTATAACTGAAACACATAGAAGTTAAGCAATTTGCCCAAGGACTAGTAATTTGAAAGAAAACAGATGACTCGATAGACATCTGCTATGAGCTGAATGTTTGTGTTTTCCAAAACTCATATGTTAAAATCTCCCAATGTGAGAGTATGAAGAGGTAGGGCCTTTGGAAGATAATTAGATCAGGAGGGTGGTGCCCTCATGAAGGAATCAGTGCCCTAATGAAGATACAGGAGAGAGCTTGCTTCCTCCCTCCTCTGCTCTCTATCATGTGAGGATACAATGAGAAGATGGCCATCTTCAAACCAGAAGAGGACCCTCACTAGGACCTCACCTGCTAGCACCCTAATCTAGGACTTCTCAGCCTCCAGAACTGTGAGCAATATATTTCTGCTCTTAAGTCACCCAGTCTATGATATTTTAGTTATAGCAGTTCAAACTGACTAAAAACAACATCTGACTCTGAAATTTCCCATTCACATGAGTCACCACATTATACTGTTTCTTATCATTTCATGCACACAATGAGATTGTAACCACGTGTTATACCATGAATTTTTTGGGAATGGGCTCTATCTCTTATTAATTGAATTTAATGCGTGAATAATAAATACATTATTGAGGTAACAAACTTAGAGAGCCACTGAATGATAAAAATAAGTGATTTTTATCCAGAAAACAATGATTTTTGGCCCCATTTACTCCTCTTATAAAAATGGCATTGAGCTTTCCAAGCCTCAGATTCTTTATTTGCATGATGGTGTTATGAATGTACCCACCTTGGGCCATTACACATAATTATCTGGGAATATTTATGGATTCAGTTTAGAAACTACACATTAACATATGAGAATAAAATATTAAGTTTCAGAACTTGAATATGCATTGACTATACAAGTTTATCTGAATCTGAAATATAAAAGATGACCTATATTTAAAAGGAATTATGTTCTCTTTGAAGATATAGCATAATAGGTGCCCATGGTCTGTCTCAGGTGAGAACTTGAAAATATGAGCCATAAGTATTAAAAGTATTAAAAGTAGCTATTTCTGTGTTATTTGTGGAGCAAGTGTGTTATTTGCAAGAGAAAAATCAAGGAAATGGTGGTGACTGCAAATTTGCTGCACCAGGCTGGGGACAGGGAATGTGCATCTCCATTATCCTGGGGCCATTCGCCCCTTCCTTGCACTTGAGCATGTGGCTTTCCAGGTGGTCTCCTGCAGCAGCATTGTCCTCCACACACCATTTACTTACTAAGCTACGTTCGTTCTAAAGTATTCTAAGGGCCTTCATGTGAAGAAAAAGTGTGGCATCTTTCAGGAAGTGAGAACATTCTGGCCTGATTTTTTGAGGAGCACAGGACTTTACCTCAAACGAAATATCCTTGCGCTGGCCACCTAGGCACTATGACCCGTCAGGGATGGGTCTAAGGATTTCTAACTCTTTCCAATCACACAGAACAGATGTGCATGCTGTATCCCCAACTGAGTCTAACTCTGGATACACAATACCCTTCTTTCTTCTTCTTCTCCTTCTCCTTTATTCTTTTTGTTGTTGTTGTTTGTTGTTGTTTTGGAGATGGAGTTTTGCTCTTGTTGCCCAGGCTGGAGTGCAGTGGTGTGATCTTGGCTCACTGCAACCTTCGCCTCCTAGGTTCAAGCTATTCTCCTGCCTCAGCCTCCCAAGTAGCTGGGATTACAGGTGCATGCCACCACGCCTGGCTAATTTTATTTTTGCATGTTTAGTAGAGACAGAGATTTGCCATGTTGTCCAGGCTGGTCTTGAACTCCTGACCTCAGGTGATTCACCCACCTCAGCCTCCCAAAATGCTAGGACTATAGGCGTGAGCTACCATGCCCAGCCTACCCTTCTTTCTTCTACAAAGGGCACCTACTTACAGGCTGAGAGTGCTCCAGCCCATCAGTAATTCCAGAAGAACACACCTTCCTTTCCAGGCTTTCCCTCATTTGTCCCTTCTCAAATCTTACTGTCAATGTTTATAAGTCCAGAGGCCCAATAAAATCAGTAGGATGGGGTTTATTTTCAAATTTTAATAAAAATGATGATAAGTTCCCAGCCTGATTTTTCATACTATGTTAATACCAACCATTACACATCAACACAGGTGAGTGAGAACCAGTGTCACCCACAAACATCCTCAGAGTTGGTGCTTCATTGTCATAGTTCTCCATTAATGTCAGATGGCTCTGCTAACAGCCTAGCTCTCGGCCAGGCCTCCCGGCACACACCAGATGATCTCTCTCTTATGTTTCCAACTTTTCCTTCTTTGTCACCTCTTTTCTCAGATATTACAAAGAAGCTTAAAGTTCTCCTCTATGATACCCTTCCTCCCTCTTCTTCAACCTCCTTAAATACTGTCGGAATTTCCTACTTCTTTTAATGCCAAACTCCTCAACTTATTGCAGTATAACTTCTACCCAGATTATAGCACTGAAACCTCTCAAGGTTAACCATACAGTCCCCATCCTTGGTGATTCCAAGGATAAGACCTCAAGTTCTATCTTATTGAAACATTCTGTTATTGACTGAATATATGAGTCATTCTCCCCAAAATTCATCTATTGAAGCCCTAATAGAGAATGTTTTGGAGATGGAGACTTTGGGTAATTAGGTTTAGATGAAGTCATAAGGATGGGGCTCCTAGGATGGGATTAGTGCCCATGTAAAAAACAAACAAACAAACAAACAAAAAAACACAACAGAGCTGTCTCGCTGTCTCTATCATTGCTATCTATATCCTCTATCTCCCAAAGAAGAAGTCATGTGAGCACACAGCAAGATGGTGGCTGTCTGTGACTCAATGGGAAAGCCTTCACCAGAAACAAACCATGTTGGCATCCTGATCTTGATTTTCAGCCTCCGGAACTGTGAGAAAATACACATCTTTTATTTCAGCAGCTCAGTTGGTGGTATTTTGTTTTGACAACCTGAGCGCATTAATACAAGGTCTCCTTGGTTTCCATAATATTGCATCCTTTTATTTCCCACATTCTTTTTGATAACCTTTGTCTACTGCCTTCAGATTTTCCTTATGTTATCTCTTAAGTGTAAGAGTTCCCTAATGTTTGTTCTTCCCGGTATTTCTTCTTTTCTCATGTCATAACCACCCTCTTGGGCACTTTAAATATTTTGACAATTGATCTTCAAATCTAGAGGTCTGGCCTAGACCTTTCTCTTAAGCTCCAGACTTAAATTTCTAAGAATCTTATGGATACCTCCCTTTGGATGACTTTATAGCACTTTCAATTAATTAATCTGAAACCCATCTTGTCAATATCTCCTCTGTCCTGTTCCTGTATTCCTTATCTGTTTTAATAGTAGCAGTATTTCACTTGGGCTCAAATCATAAGAGTCCTATTTTCTTATTATTTCTTTCAGCTCGCATAACTGGTATTTCAAGTCTAGTGAATTAAGCTCAGAAAACTTTTTCATATGCATGTCTTGGATTCAACTTTACTGCTCTAGTTTAAGGCTTTTATTTTTACCTGTTATTGGATTACTGTGGCACTCTATTAACTGGTCTTTCTATAAGTCAGTTTCTTCCCCTAAAGCTTATACATGATGATGAAACTTCACAAAAACCTTTATTGCACCTTGTGATTTATAGAAAAAGTACTGAAACTTCCTCTTGGTACATTAACCATTATCTATATTCTATACTCTTCTTGCATTTGCAAAGTTGCCCAACACTACATCTCTCTACGTGCTTCATGCATAACAAACTCTACATCGTGGCATGAAAGTGCATTAACATTTCTGAATCTTCACTTATGTTATTTTCTCTATATAAAATAGTCTAGCATAGCACAATTTCTCCAGTTGAAAAACATGCTTTATGGTCAAGTTCAAATGCTACTTTTACTCGAAGATCTTTCCAATCCTTCTACAGATACTACTCCATTAACTGGACTTAATCTCTTTCTTCCCTGGGCACTGAGAATGTTATATTGGTTTTCTACTATGGCACATAGCACAGTACATTTAGTTATATTTTTTAGTGTCTCCCTTCCCATATTGCAAGATTGGTGCAGTCAGGGCCTGCCTCTTATATATATATATTTTATCTTGACTACCTAGCACCATATCAAGTACCTAAGTGCTTTTAAGCTTACTGTTGAAACAATGATTGATTACATAAATGAATGAATGAGAAATTGATCCTCAATAAATATTACTATCCAGTAGTAAAATTCTATCACAAATGTTTCAATAAATCTTCTGATGTTTACTATAAATATCATGAAGAATTACAGTAGCTTTTAAAGCTATATATTGTGTGATTAAGAGAAAAATAATTACAAAATGACAAGATTATCCTGTTTGTGAGCCAGAATAGTAAATGAGTTCTTTCAAATAAGTTCTACTAGGGTATAGTGACTATAGTTAACAATAGTTCAAGTAGTTAGAAGAGAGAATTTTGAATATTCCCAACACTAAGAAATAATAAATGTTTGAAATGATAGATGTGCTAATTACCCTGATTTGATCATTACACATGGCATTCAGGTATTGAAATATTACAGTGTACCCTATAAATAGGTATAGTTATTATGTGTCAATTAAAAATAATAAAAATTTAGCAGAGCTATAGACATAAATGAGAACTGTATCAAAAATAAAAAAGAGGAGAACACGCCACTTCCATTTGGCCATGATATCTGTAAACTCACTAATACATTTCTTTTCATAATCAGAGGAAAGAAAACCAAAATGCTTACCCAGGACATAATGACTAATGCTGCAGGCTTATTTGCTTCTACTGGTGGACAAAATATATTTCTAGCAGAGAACAAAGTGGAAAATTTCCTCTGAGCATCATTCCATTTAGAATTTCACTTGGTTCTTGACTCAGTTAAAAAAAAACTCAAATACTCAAGAAATAATCAAGGTAGCATATAATAATATCCATTTACTTAGTAACCTATATTTTAAAATTACTTCCTTGTGTCAGTCTGATGCCTTTAGGGAGGAAAGGTTGTAATTGTTTTTAGTTTTGTACACAATTTTGCATGCAAAATATCATAGGAATGTATTGTCACATTTTAGCTCCATGTGCCATCAAATTGTTTGGCACTCAGTGATTTTATTTATCTAGGAATTAACTAGAGATGTTAGATTGACATGTAATCACTGATGTAATTACTTTTTAAAGAAGCATGTCATTTATATGATATTTGAATTTTTCAGTTGAATAATGTTAACTCATTTTTCTTTAAAAGGAAGTGTTAAATTACTTGGATCTAATTAATTTACTTCCTCATAAATGTCCAGGGATTTTCATTTTCTTCTATTGCCAATAAATCGATTTTTTCAATATTTTAAAGTCTACTGAGTCCTGCATATTTTTCCATTCATGTTCATTTTTTTAAAAAGCTAAAGAAATGAGAGGTGTCAAAGGTAACTTCAGCTGATCTCCCAGGATACAAGTATGCCTGAAGGGACTTCTGATTATAAATAACTCAAGCAACCCAAACACCCAGTATATTGATTAAACTCCTCCTATATTATATTCCAGAAAATGTAAAGCAAGTGTCCAAACCTTTGGTTGTGTCAGATATTCAGCTGTGAATAAAATAAAAAATTGAAGTAAACTTTGCTAAAAACAGACAACGCAACATCATTCCAACCACGTATCTCAGAAACAGCCTGTCATGAGAATGCCGTTGGACTTGCAACTCCTCAAAACAATGTTCAAACAGATAGATCAGTTGGAAGCTCTTCATTACAGCATCTGTTCTGTGTTTATAGCTACACATGCAGACTGCTGAACACCCTCAGTGTACCATAAATGTAGGAATTACACATCTAGAATAGCAATAAACTCATTGGGTGATGTGTTCTCTAGAGTTTTTAGCCCCTTTGCTTCAGTTGGCAAAACTCTACCAGATTTTTGCTGCTGTAAAAATATTAGACTGTTTGTGCTTTTTGTAACTTTGGAGACAAACTAAGAAAATATAAAATGGCAATAAAAAGGTAAAAACATAGCATTGAGATTCTTTTTTATATACTAAAATTACAGTCTCACATAGTTACAACAGGAGCAACAGCAGAACAAATGAGAAAAATGAGTAAACAGATGATTGTTTTCCGTAGAAGGTTAGCCTCAAATACCCTCTCTGGGTCAGCTCATTTGCTTGGTGCATATTGGAGTAGGTATAAGTTGTACTCAGAAAGCTGCGGGTTATAACTTTTAATTAGAAATATATTTCTTATTAAATGAATGTAATAATGCTTGATAAATTGCAGCTAATAGTTCAACAGTTTACTGATGAAACCAGCACTTCCTAGACAACCAATCCAGTTAATTTAGACCATGCTGATTTTTCTCTCAAAAGCAAGATCCCACATGAAATTAATTTCTAAATTTCTAATAGTGAAGGGAATGCTCTCAGTTTATAAGGAAAGTGGTTCCAGGTGTGGGAAGGTAATCTCTTGCAGCAATGCCTGGACATGAGAGAAATACTCAGCATTGTTAATGTGACATCAGATAGCTCCAACTCATCTCTGCAGCAGGCACTACATACTCTTCATTAGTCACTGTTCTCTTAAACAGGTGCCCATATCTGTCTGTACATAGAATCACTGGGAGAGCTTTCAAAAATGCATATTCCTGGGCACCAACACAAGATAACTTAATTATATAGGTTTTCTCTTTACCATAAATGGTTAGAAGAAAAACTTTCAAAAATGACCCATACCTAAAAATTACAAGGAAGCTTCTGAAGAACCATAATAAAGGCAAGGTAATTAGAAACATGGAGTGGAATAATGGTGGATGTTGTAATGGAGCCCTCAGAAAACCATAGGTGTTGCAATAAAGTGAATCTTTTAATCCTTGTGAACACTCCAGTTTAAGAAATGCCTTCTTTCTTTTCATTTTCTTTCCTCTTATTTCTTCCCTCTTAATGGAAATTGTTAGTGATGCCATTTTACATCTGGACTAATTGTCTAATTATTTTTTCCCATTTCGTGGCACTGTTGGTTTGCTTTCATGCTCCCTGATAACTCCCTGCCAGGAGTTTGCTCCTGAGGGGAGTTTGGCTAGAATAAAAAAAACATGGTAAGAGGAAAAAAAAGGCTAACCACTTTTATGATCAACATCCTATAACAAACTTAAAAATTGATATACCAAGAAGTAAGCGTACATTATTGGCTTCATCCTAGTTTTGAGAAAATTAGGGATGTCTTTACTTGAAATCCATAAAATGGATTTCAAAGATATGTTTTCCCAAAGACTCCCTTGTTAGATCCTCAAAGTATATAAATTCTGCAAAAGATGCCCACGTTGCTTCTTGGAAAGTAAAGATACAAAAACCAAGAAATTTAAAGGATGTAGAATTTTTGGCATGTGTTAAAGTGAGAAGTATCATATCATTTAAGATCTAAATAAAGAATAACTAAGGGGAATTACATTGAAAAGTTACAAAAATTCTACTATCACATTTGGGATTAAGAAAATAATAATAATAAATAAATACAAGTTATAAAAATTTACAGCAGAGTACTTTTCTCACCTACAAAATAGGGGGAAATAATGTTCCTGCTGACAGGTTCAGATGGATGGAATGATTATTAACAATGTGTACCTTATCATGATTATTATTAAAACTTTTTATTTTTAAAGGATTGTTTGAAAGAGTGAAATTAATGCTGCTGGTGGAGAAAATGACTTAATCTTTGGATACTTCGGTTACCTTTAGAACTTCAAGCATCCGTGCTATTTTTGAAATAAAAAACGTTACATGAAATTTGTTTTCATGGGTCACAGAAAGAGGTGACATATGCAAATTTAACATATGCTTCTTCTCAAAATAGAAAAAGGATAGGAAAGTGCTTATTATAAAAACAACTCAGAAGAATTATAGAAATATAATTCATCTGGACTTTGAATAGAATTCATCTGGAATTCATCTGGACTTTAATGTTCACACAAAGTCTCAAGATTGGGGCTTATCACCTGGTTCCCTTTTTTTATTTTTTTTTATTTTTTGGTGCTTTATGACTAAGAAACTATTCTGATCATGACTTTGCAGTAGCAGAGATGACCCAATTCATGTATAACATCGTGGAACATGTTTATTACAATGTACATTCCAGTTCAATAAATAAGAGAGATATGATAAGTCAGTTGCTTGCAGGATCTTATTTTAGGACATACTTGGTGCTCAGTAGTGATCAAATTTTGAAATGGCAATTTCTCCAGGTGCTAAGTTTTCCTCCCTTTCACCCCGGTTTAGAAGTGGTGTGATTCCGGAATGATAAAAATAAACCAGAAGCTACTTTCACCATGGTCAGAACTAGACATTATAATTAGTGCTTGCCTCTCTGACCCAGCCCCCAGGGGCAAAATGATGCTCCATAGAAGGAGGTCCCATGCGAAAGGGTAAGTTACTGGCAGAACCGAAGCTTCCGCTTCTAGGCAAGAATAAAGATTGTTTCCTGCTCCTTTTCTTTCAAAGAAATGAAAACAGGGAGGAGCCTCAGTTCTGCATTCTTACTGCAACAGAATGTGAGATTTAAGAAAGGGAGAAAAGATTAAGAAAGGAAGAGAAAGACATGGGGGAAATGGAAGAGACAACTCAGAAAACTAGAGGAAGATATGAGAGACAGAGAAAGAGAGAGAGAGAGAGAGAGAGAAAGAGACAGAGAAAGGAAGAGAAAAGAGAGACAAACAGGTCAGATAACTCACTTGGCATTCCCTGCCCCTGCCTTCTTTCTTCGGAAGATGTTGAGGAAAGTGTTGGAGCGGCAGGGCAGCTTGCCATCGCCAACATGCATGCGGACAACATCAGAGGTGGTGAAGGCACTGCGGACATTCCTCTCAGGCTTGGCAATAATGATGTACATCTTGGGAGTGAACATGCACCCCAGAGCCACTGTTACACTGAGACTCACTGCAAAGCAAGTTGTGATGATCTTGTAGTTGCTCCCAAAGTAAATGGGCACAAAAGCTAGCCAGATGATACAGGTGGTGTACATGGTGAACGCGATATATTTGGCCTCGTTGAAGTTGGCGGGCACGTTGCGGGTCTTGAAGGCATAGTAGGTACAGCTCATGATGAGGAGTCCATTGTAGCCCAAAGGGGCCACCACACCCAGGTTGCTGGTATTGCAGATAAGGTAGACTTCCTTGATACTTGGGTAGGACAGAATGGGCATAGGGGGTTCCATGATGATCAGGGTTACCACCAGGGTTAGTTGCACACTAATCAGAATTGAGGCAATGATCACCTGAGCCCAGGCACTCATGAACCTGGGCTTCCGGGTGCAGATCTTCTTCTTGCTGCCAGCCAGGATGCGTGCAATACGATTGGTTTTAGTCACTAAAGCAGAGTAGCACATCGCAGAGGAGAGGCCAACCAAGAGGCGCTGGAGGTAGCAGGAGGTGGTAGTAGGTTTGGCAATGAGAGTGAATGGGCACACATAACCAAGGAAGATGCCAGCTAGGATGATGTAGCAGAGCTCCCGACTGGAGGATTTGACCACTGGTGTGTCCCGGTACAGTACAAAGATTAGGGTGACAAACAAGGTAACAAGGATTCCCAGGCATGAAAAGGCGATGGCTATAATGGATTCGATGTTGCTCCACTCAAGATAGCGCACAGGAATGGGCTCACAGCCTGTGATGAGAAAAATCATTTGAGCATGAATCCAAGGTTTCTGCTAGGAATAACAACTTGCCTATTAATTACCAGAGACACAGTCATCTTTGCATCCTTCATGATTTACAGCATTTAATGCTTTTTTAAAAATGCACACTATTACACAAATAAAGATACATCATTGTCTTACCTGGACAATTATGTCCCCAAACTTAATCTTATTACAAGCCTAATGTGACATACTTGAACCTATAAAAATGATCTTTTCTTCCAACATCAGCATTATAAATAGATGTCATTCTGTGAATGGGACTCGGTTCTACATGTTCAGAAAAAGAAAACACCCAAATAAAACTTTATTTCCAGTGAGGGTTAAATGGTGATAATGGGATAGAATAAATTATTAAGAAATAAACTAACAAAACTTTTCTTTTGATGCAGCCATTGTCTGTAGGCAAGTCCAGCTCATAGACAAGTCGTTTTTGGCCAGCAGAGTGTTTTCAATGTAAATTTCATGGACTTCTTTAGAAGAATCTGCATTCTCCTGTTTCCTGCATAACTCTATATTATACCTTAAATCTCACTCTTCTCATGAATCATGAATGATCTGTATCTGAAACCTGAGGGCCTTTGAGTTAGTAACCTCTAGTGGACATATCCAGGAAGAATGAAATCTCCCCTAACCCATCTCTTGAAAGGAAAGACTAGAATTTGTTCCTAAATTCCTGGCTTATCTTTTCCTTCTAGATGGAGAATAAAATGTATTTTGTATTTCAGAGTGAGAGAAAAATTTGTCAGGCTCTGGGACAACCCCTTCACAGAATTTTGTAATCACAAAATATTTGGTCTGGGCCAATATTTCCCAAATTGTGAGAATAAAGTCATTTCCATAAATTTAGGAAAAGACTCATTGTTCTGTAGCCATGGCAACAAGGAACCACCAGAACCAGTGCTAAACCTGTCAGTCAATCAACAACTTGCCTCAGTGAACATGTGTTTGGATGCCAAGCAAGCACTGTCAGCCCTTACTTCTGATAATCACTCAGGCAGGATCAGAATCACTTCAATAAATGAGTGCCAACTAATCAACAGTCTCATGTGAGTAATCGTATTGCTACAGGTGATGTCAACCAGCTCTCAGAAGCTGCAAGGTTTTCAATCCCTAAACTCCACACTTTCTAAAAACTCCATATAAAATGAATAGTCTTCTGCTCAGAGAAAATGTATCTGCCTAGCATAACTATCCCTTACTATAGTAAGCAATTTGTTTAGCTTTTGTGCTTTTTTTTTTTTTTTTTTTTTCTTTTTTTTTTGAGACGGGGTCTCACTCTGTTGCCCAGGCTGGAGTGCAGTGGCGCAATCTCAGCTCACTGCAAGCTCCGCCTCCTGGATTCACGCCATTCTCCTGCCTCAGTCTCCCGAGTAGCTGGGGCTACAGGCACCCGCCACCATGCCCGGCTAATTTTTTGTATTTTTACTAGAGACGGGGTTTCACTGTGTTAGCCAGGATGTTCTCGATCTCCTGATCAGCCTGCCTCGGCCTCCCAAAGTGCTGGGACTACAGGCATGAGCCACCACACCCAGCCAGCTTTTGTGCTTTTTAAAAAAAATTTTATGTATTTAGTCTCACCATGTTTCATATTTCTAGAGGCTTCACCAAGATAATTTTGAAGACTCCTTATTTGATAACATTCCAGGAGATGCTCTGATCAACAGGGTCACTCACTGGACCCCCTCGTGCCCGCATTCTGTCCTTCCCATGTACTAGCATGAGAGTCATTCTCAATAATTTTCTCACTCTGGCTAATTTTACTGAGCTCTTGTTGCTGAATTTATGTAGTTGTCCTAGGATTTGTAATCATGTAGGTCTTTATATAGAAGGCACTTAAACTTAGGTCTTTGTGTAAGGTTATTTCACCTGTATCTTTATATATTAAGTCATATAACCTTTGGTTTTGAAATGCACCATTTGGTAATTAGACATAAGCTTTTTATTATGTCAATAAATAGTTCACTTTAGAGATACACAATTTGATAAATATTTTTTTCCATATCTGTTTATTCCCTTGCTGTTTCTTTGCTTTTGCTGTTATTTACATACATACACAAAGTCTTATTTTATGGGTCTTTTTTGTTTGTGTGTTTGTTTCGTTTTGAACCATATTTTTCTGTTTTGTTTGTGTGTTTGTTTTGTTTTGAATCACCTTTTTCTGTTGACAATATAAGGGATAGTTCATAAACATTAGAGGAACATGTAAGCCTAAGAAGTGTCCAATCCAAGCTGGCCCTGAGTGCTAATGTTTGGAGCTCCTTTAAATTGATAACCAATTTGCCAAAAGTGGTAGGTCACTCAGCCTTAGGTTTCTTAGAAAACCTTTACAAGAATACTTCCCGTGTTGTCAACTTATGAAAGATCACTTTATTTTAGTGATTGTGTGTTGCCTTCCTACACTCCGTTTGCTTTGGGAATCTAAGACACCATTGGCAAGCACACACTTTTGACAGAACTTAGTGGCCTCTCTTCCTTGTGTATCAGAGATTTGTCTCTGTCTAAATACAAACCTTTTTCTGGAAGAACTTATTCTTCCTATATAAAGTCACATACTAATCCTAATTTTATTTTTGTTTTCCCAATGCAGGCAAGACAGATGATACATAGATGATAAATATATATATATAGACGATAGATAGATAGATAGATAGATAGATAGATAGATGATGGATAGGTAGGAAAATAGATATTTAAAATAACATTGGCCATATGGGAACTAATTTATGATGAAATCAATAAATTAAAATATTTACAAGGAGCTCTAGACAAATTAGGAGATAAAATACCACAGTGAATTGTCAGTTTCTTTAGCTGTCATCCTGCAAACAAATTTTCCAATTCAAAGATGATTTTTGTCAAGGCTTTGGTAACCTTCTGAATGCTACCTTCTTTTCATTTCATTCTTTTTCTATGCAACTTTACCTGACTCTCTAAATGAAATACTCTGTCATCAGAGATTTTACCAGAAAATAGTATAACATTTTAAACTTTCTAGAACACAAGTCAGATCTATAGAAGTTGAATTAAAGAAACTGGTATAAAGCCAAATTAAGACCTATAGTTAATAATTTTCCTAAACTTCATGAATACAGAACATAATGTTTGCTATAGAATTTGGAAATTTTATTAGATACTTATTGTCCATACTACAAGTATGTACCAATTAATTCAATTAATTATTAGCCTTTGATGGAGAAAAATGTTTAAATGCAAGAGCAGAAAAGAGAAGATTAAAGTAACCCAGTGGTGTAACATTTAAAAAAGAAAAATAGAAAAGGCATTGCATAAAGCACTTTCAGAAGCTTTTCTTTCAATAAATATTCAAAGTTGTAAACTAAATAAAGATGAAGAAAAAACTTTAGGAAACTTTCAAATAGTTCTGAAATAGACTCAACAACTAACTTAAAAAGGACCATATTCTCTCCCTCTGTAGGTAGGCTTAGACCTCCTGAATTAGTTGAATCAAATGAGGAAAAAACAGTTATAATTTAAAATTACCAATTTAGAAAATGTCTAATATGTGGCTTGACATTTCCAGATAGAGTTAAAAAGTAAATAACCCAAATCAACATAATTATGGATCTTTCAGTAAACCAACTAAAAGGTCTCTGCTCTCTATGGTTTGGGAGCCTATGGAAGAAAATCTGTAGATATCTCAAGCAGAAGTTTCATTTGAAGAATATTTGTGAACACTCAGTACATCTCATGAAAAATGAGGCAACTTATTCTGGAAGGACAAGTTGGCCAATTAAACAGCAATGGAAAGACATTTTCAGGATAGCAGAAGATGTGTCCAGCTCATGCTTCATTTGTAATTAAATTAATTTGGAAAAAAATGTATGGGACATTGATAAAATTGCAAAAGAAACCTTTGAGCATCTCCAGATGGATTGTATATGGTTGTGCCTCTCTATGATTTATTACTAGGTACTAGTTCAAATAGCGTGCTTATTTTATGACTCTGTTTAAGCGTTCCCCTGTTGAAAAGCCACAATCCTCACAATGGCTAAAATACAATTACATTTGTATTTCTTAGCTGAAACATTCTAATTTATAAATCCAGTGATATGAGGACATTTTCACCGGAATATTTATTCATGACCTCATCATTCCCAACCCTCTAGAAAAATGAAAGGGAACCTTGATACACTGATGATTACACCCATTAGTAATTTTAAACTGAAGCTCTGCAAAAGCCTCCAGAAGCAGAAAGGGCATGGAAGTTAACTGCTGACCCAAAGACCTTGGAGCATGCTAATAACCATATAATGATCTTCTGTGCAAGATCACCATTATAAAATTCTTGTATATATCATACTCTCCTTTGTATATTCTTGCTTATTCATACTTCTTTCCTTACTGATTTAAAGCTATAAAAATCTGAGTTCATCTTTATTATTTCTCTTACTACTAAGAGGAATTTATCTGAGCCTAGATATACTAGAGACAATCATCACACTAACTCAATAATTTAGTTATATTAAGCTACTGTTGGTGGACATCATTCGAGAAATAATATAAAGGTCTTTGCCCATGCCTATGTCCTGAATGGTATTGCCTAGGTTTTCTTCTAGAGTTTTTACGGATTTAGGTCTTACATTTAAATCTTTAATCCATCTTGAGTTAATTTTTGTATAAGGTGTAAGGAAGAGGTTCAGTTTCAGTTTTCTGCATATGGCTAGCCAGTTTTCCCAGCACCATTTATTAAATAGAGAATCCTTTCCCCATTGCTTGTTTTTGTCAGGTTTGTCAAAGATCAGATGGCTGTAGATGTGTGTGTTACTTCTGAGGCCTCTGTTGTGTTCCATTGGTCTATATATCTGCTTGGTACCAGTACCAAGTTGTTTTGGTTACTGCAGCCTTGTAGTATAGTTTGAAGTCAGGTATCGTGATGCCTCCAGCTTTGTTCCTTTTGCTTGGGATTGTCTTGGCTATACAGGCTCTTTTTTGGTTCCATATGAAATTTAAAGTAGTTTTTTCTAATTCTGTGAAGAAAGTCAATGGTAGCTTGATGGGAATAGCATTGAATCTATAAATTACTTTGGGCAGTATGGCCATTTTCACGATACTGATGCTTCCTATCCATGAGCATGGAATGTTTTTCCATTTGTTTGTGTCCTCTTACTTCCTTGAGTAGTGGTTTCATGTCTAAAACACCAAAAGCAATTGCAACAAAAGCCAAAATTGACAAGTGGGATCTAATTAAACTGAAGAGCTTCTGCACAACAAAAGAAACTATCATCAGAGTGAACAGGCAACCTATAGGATGGGAGAACATTTTTGCAATCTATCCATCTGACAAAGGGCTAATATCCTGAATCTACAAGGAACTTTAATTTACAAGAAAAAATAAAACAACTGCATCAAAAATTGGTCAAAGGATACGAACAGAAACTTCTCAAAAGAAGACACTTATGTGGCCAATAAACATGAAAAAAAGCTCATCATCACTGGTCATTAGAGAAATGCAAATCAAAAGCACAACGAGACACCATCTCATGCCAGTTAGAATGGTGATCATTAAAAAGTCAGGAAACAACAGATGCTGGAGAGGATATGGAGAAATAGGAACGCTTTTGCACTGTTGGTAGGAGTGTAAATTAGTTCAACCATTGTGGAAGACAGCGTGGTGATTCCTCAAGGATCTAGAACCAGAAATACCATTTGACCCAGCGATCCCATTACTGGGTATATCCTCAAAGGATTACCAATCATTCTACTATAAAGACACATGCACAGGTATGTATCACAGCACTATTCACAATAGCAAAAACTTGGAACCAACCCAAATGCCCACAATGATAGACTAGATAAAGAAAATGTGGCACATATACACCATGGAATACTATGCAGTCATATAAAAAGAATGAGTTAATGTCCTTTGCAGGGACATGGATTAAGCTGGAAACCATCATTCTCAGCAAACTAACACAGGAACAGAAAACCAAACATTGCATGTTCTCACTCATAAGTGAGAGCTGAACAATGAGAACATATGGGCATAGCGAGGGGAACATCATACGCCAGAGACTGTCAGGGAGTGTGGGGCAAAGGGAGGGATAGCTTTAGGAGAAATACCTAATGTAGATGACGGGTTGATGGGTGCAGCAAACCACCATGGCACATGTATACCTATGTAACAAATCTGCACATTCTGCACATGTATCCCAGAACTTGAAGTATAATTTTAAAAAAGAAATAATATAAAGGTATGTTATGCTAACTTTTCCAATAACAATACTCTGCATATGCAAAGATTGCATGAGTTTAGATATTTGAAAAGATTCAGAAGACTTGTAGAAGACACTCATGTAACAATTTTATTTAAAGTCAAAAGGTCTAATACGGTGCGAGAAAGACAGTGCATGTCAACACCAAGGGACCAAGAGATAACCAGGTGCAAGCTCTCTAGGTTCTTATTCACACATGGATAGACTTTAACTGTGGATTGGACTACCAGGATCTCTACCATGAATATTGGCTTTGGGTTAGCTAGGGCAGAAGTTTCAGTGGAATCTTTTTATCACCCCCAAGTCATGTAGCCAAATCAAGCTAATTGGTGATTTCAGGCAAAATCCATCAGTGAGCAAACAGGATTTGGTTGCCACCAAACACATTTTAAACTTTAAACTGCATATCGTAAATCCAAGTTCCCCTAATGAGGACAATAGTCAAGGACAGATACTAAGGCCTCTCCAAGGATAATCATAAAGTTGTCCAAATCTAGCTATAAAATAACTCTGTCCTATACAGTGCATCAAATACAGATGAAGAACAATGTTGTTATGCTAGAGGGGATGTAAGTACTCTCGTGTTGTAACAGTAGCAGTTTGTCATGACACCCAGAAACATACTTGCAATTCTACTATGATTGCTTTATCTCTTGGGAAGATGCTAGATTCTTTTTCATATATGGAAACCAGGCTTTTCAATGCCAATCTGGAACCATCCAAAACAGAATCTATATTTTGAGTAAGTTTCTTAAAAGTTTTAGATTCTTTTTCCTTTTTTTCTTTTCTTTCTTTATTTTTTATTTAGGATAAATTTAAATTTATCCTAAATTTGAGAAACATTAGCTTTGCCATCTTGAGGGAATTAGCTGTAATGTCATTTGTCCAATTATGTAATGTCATGTTATGTGGCTTTCTTTGAGATCCTGTTTTGAAGTTTTTAAAAAAGAGTTATCCAACCTCCAGGTGTGTTTGTTTATCCCAAAACTAGAAAGAGGGGAGACTACCTTCAACCAGTGGTGAGTAGCGTCCACCTAACCTCAGAACTCAAAAGGGGGACTTTGTGAGAGTTGTGCTTTGCATATCTGAACCTTGGGAACTTGAGGTCCTGGCAAATGTTTATGGTTAGGGTTATTACAGAGAACTCAGAGCTATCAGACAAGTCAGTTTCCTTCAAGCCAACTACAAATTACTGAGCAAAATCAAAGCAAGGTGGCAATAACTCTGATCTGAGGACTGGTAGCTACTTCTAATTTTTGAATCAAATGTTAGGGTACTTATAAGATCCTTATAAGATCCAGTACATCTTATATGATCCAGATGTATTGGAGGAGGATGAAATTTACTATCAGACTTTTTTCCAATTAGGTCAAGTCAAATTTAACATAAATTAAGAAATAAAACTCTATGCAAAGCGTCTTGAGGTAATTCATAACATTTGCAATACTACATCATGATCATATAAACCTTCATCAAAATGCTTCCCTGATTGTTTTAAAATCAATATAAATAGTAATTCTATTACAATTCAATGAAATTCTACCAGGTGAAATTCTGTTTGTAATTCAGTGCTCAGATCAAATGTCCCTTCTTCTGCAAAGGCTTTTTTCTTCCCAGGGAAAAACAGCCGCTCCATATTTATCTGACATTTTACCCATAACTCTATTGTAGGACTTATAGTTGGCTGTTTACATGGCTAGTTTCATATGAAGCTCCTCCCTTAGGATATAGACATTGCTTAATTCACCTGTATATTCCCAGTTTTTAAAAAGTACCTGGCACAAAACAGGTGGTAGTGTTTATTACAGAATGAAATAAATTAGTAGATACTAGTGTAAGAGGTTACAACAACTGTCGGAATGGAAAAAAAGTTGTTAAAATTAGTTAATGTTTATAAAGCATTTTCCGTTTTTTTTTTTAATGAGAAAATGTAGCGTAGTCTGTCTTTTTGAGGAATATTCTTATTTTACTTCTACAAATAAATTAGTAGCATTGGATTACATATAATTGGTCCACAAATTGTTAAACTACTGTCAAGCTGTATATCATGGTAGAAAAGATCCCTGTTTTTGTATCACAAGAAATAAAGTGTGAAATTTAAGTGCTGAATTAAAATGTGCAATTTCACAAGAAGAAAATATGAGAAACTTTTTAACAGCTTCAAAAAGCACTTTCTCTAAGAAATATACTAATTTCTTCATAGCCAAAAAAAACCACATTTTAATGGAAATAAAAACCACAGTAAACCTGTTTTTATTCATTAATATTATAATGTATGGAGTATATATTAAAAGTAGCTAACTTTTAAAGTGATTTTAAGTATATTTTAACCAACTATTAAAAATAAAAAGTATATTTTACTTCAGTAGAATACACTATTTTTCAAAGAAGAATGATTTCTCATTTTAACTAATATTTAGTGAAAAAAAATTACCCATAAATCAAACACCTACTTAAAGGCAATGCGTTTACTTTTCTGAGTAATTCTACTGATTTTTAGTATTCTGTTCTCATAGGTTTTCTCATTTCATAACTACCGCTACCATGGTAACACCCACAACACATTGGCACGGACTATGCCCTTGCTCTGTGCTTGACATGGCATCAAGCAAGTGGTAAATGGGATTTCCTGTAAGAGACCAAAAGAAAGGCAGAATCAATATGGATCATTAAGACATTAGTATAAATTAGAATGAGGAATCTATATTGTGAAAGACCCTAAAGATAAGATTTGCAAAATCATCTGAATATATGACCCAGTCGCAGCTGCATGCCTGTTGTTATTAGCTAAGGGCATGGTCTGAGGAGTTGCTGGCTCAACTCATTTGAATGTTAAAGTGACTTTTATGCATATGATAGCTCATGGCATATTAAATCGTTAGAAATGTAATTGTATTAATATTAATCCATTTTTAACCAAGGAGAATTTTAAAAATATTTTACCAAGTTAAAGATCCCTAATCAACGGAAATGAGCATTTGGCAGTGGACAGAAAATATGCAATAATCCCACAATAGAGCATCTCCAAGGAATAAAAGGTATGACCTTGAGTTCCACTATTACATCATATCATGTTTTTTAAAAAGCTTTTTTATCTTAGTGTTTTAAAATAGGATAGAAATTTTTTTAATGTGTGAGATAAGCCCTAATGAAAATGAAATAGAGCAGTAGGAGAAGTTGGAGAAAGCCCAAAAAATGTAGACAAGAGAAAAATCTTTGTACCTCAAAGCCAAGACTTCTGACTTCTAAGATTAACCTCATAAAGAGGTCACTTTTGTCTTTGAGCTTTTTCCTAGTCAGCTGTGATCTCAGTCAAACAGATGAGTGGAATGACTGTCAGTAAACCCCAGCTCTCAAACACAATGGCCATCTAAGCGGACCTACTTATACAAGAAAAAGAGGCCTGGCAGGAGGCACACACCATGAAGTAGGATACAAATTTGAAGAGAAATAATGTAAGTGGAGGGAAGGCATGAGTCCAAAATGAGGTTGGAAAAGCTTTTCCAAGCCAGGCCATTGCATGCAACCATGGCAGAGTGAGAGCATTCATTAGATCCAGTGACAAACAATCTTGAATGCTCACTGTGGTTTTTCTATTAACCAACTGCATTGACCTCGATGACCCTGGGTGAGTCCCTTCTTCCTAATTCCCTCAATTTAACAAACATGTATTAAGTAGCTATTATGTTCAAGGCATCAGGCTATGCGCCAGAGAGTGGTGTTTCTCAATGGGTGGGACAGAGAGTAATTGCATCAGGATCTGCTGAGTTCCACTCCAGCGGGAGCAAAGCGGAATCTCTGGAGGTGGGTAATTCCTGGGTAATTTTTAGGCATGAAATTTAGCTGGCAAATAAAAAGATGAGTGAGATGCAGTTCATACCTTCAAAAACGTTCTGATCTACTTTTCTTCTCTTTAAAAAGGACCTTTGTACTAGGTGACTTACAAAAGCTTTCTGCTGCTCAGTTTAACTTTTTTCTAACAAAATTAACATTTTACAAGGTATTGTCACTTAGTATAATTTTAGTTACGTGACCTAGTTCTACTTACCTAGTCATTTTTTATGTACTCTGAATAAACTGCATGATTTCTTAGTTGCATATTTTTACTTGGAAACAAGTAAAAAAATGTCCAACCATCAAGAATATTACATTTACGGATGATTTTCAACAGCACCCAAAAAGACATGGAGTCAGGGGTTAGTGGACTAGGTTCTGCTTCTCACTATTTTCCTGACTTTGGCCATACAACTTCACGTCTCTAGGCCTCAGCTCCCTCTTTCTAAGATGATAAGACGAGGGGCTAGATTATTCAGATGACAAAGTGTCTATGTACTCACATAAAAAAGCCTCTATGGCTCCTAAAATTTATGCAAAGTTTTATGAATCATTTCTCCTCTGTAAGCTCATAACAAGATGTGTGAAAAACAAAATTCATTTATATGAACATCACTCTTAGGAAACTTACAAACTCATATAATCAATCCCTCTGAGTTCCATTGGTTTTACTAGTGAATCATCTGTTTCATTTATTCCTTTCCATTCCTACTGTAGCTGTCCTAATCCACACCTTTTCAAGTAACTCACTTGCATCAATACAACAACTTCCTATACCACTACAAGAAGCATACCAGAAATGCGGGTATCATAATGTCATTCACCACTTTAAAATTCTTTAGTGGTTCTCCTGTGCTCAAAGCCAAAGTCCAAACATGTAGAGGAATGTCACACAGAAGCACTCTGCCATCCCATCAGTGTCCTTGTCTATTCTCATTTCTGACCACTACCCTACTGGACCATTGTCCCTACCTACCAACCCCACATACTTGTTCTATGGTTTTCTGCAAATGTGTCATAAACTTTCATGTTTCCCGTGTTCTACTTTAGGCCTGAAATTCCTTTCATCTTCTTGCCTGCTTAACAAACTTTATGCACTTTATAGATATCTCTATTATTTCAATAATTATATTATGTTTTATTATATTTTTCATGTTTCGTTCCTGATAGGTTTTAAGCAAAATAAAAGCCGGGATGATTATTTTAATAATTATGTTATGTTATATTATATTTTTCCATGTTTCTTCCCTGATAGATTTTATACAAAATAAAAGCTGGGACATTTACTTTTCTATTTTTAGGGCCTATAGTAGTGCCTCATCCATAGTAGATGTTCAAGAAATGATTGCAAATATAAATTCAGGTGGCCAGAAATACCTTCAAATACAATTTAAAGAAAAACAGAAAACAACTCTATAATAGCATAGCCTACCACACATCAATTCATTGTTATTTAGATTTACATGAACTTTCTTTTCAATATAGATTATAGAAAACTTATGAGGTTTATGTATACTCCTTGACATGAGGACTAAAAAGTGTGCATTGTAAATTAACATTGAGAAGACATGAGCTAATCATTCTCATTTGAGGGATGGACACATTGGAAAGGCAAATAGTGAGGCACAAGGTTTCCAAGTGAGGCAGTTCCTACCTGTTAGATCTGCATTGGGCCACCATCCCAAGTCACAAGCTTTGCAGGTGAACTCATCTTGCACATATTCATTCTCTTTGCAGGCCGTGCAAATCCAGCAGCAGCTCACTTCTCCTTTCCGTATAACCTATAACATAGATATTTCATGAATTTTAAAGATAGTTTTCCCAGAAAAGCTTCTATTTCAGATGAGGATTTGTTTTCAGATTATGAATAAAGAAAAAAAGACTAACTATGAAAATAATCTTATATGCTGAGGAATCTTAAGAATGTGAATTTGTATATATTTGATTACCTTAGAGTTTGGATGGAATTGTCAATTCATTCCATGCTGGGTTTGGAGGCTTTTCAATAATAATTCATTTTATAGAGTTATTTGACTACATTTTTTTGCAGAGTTAAAAATGAAACAGTTTAATTTAATCCTTGTTTATATTAATATTTATTACTCTCAAAAAAGAAAAAGTATATATTTTTCTTCTCTGAGAAAGCAAGTAATGTTTTACTAAAAAAGTCTGTAATAAAACCTTTTAATTCATCAAAGCTAAGTAATTATACAATTTTTGTTGTAATTATGAAAAACTGAATTATTAGACAATTTCACTCAAGAGCAACTATATATACATAAAAACAGAATGATAGCTAAGAAAGAAGAATCAAGTATTGCCCTGCCTGACTTTCTCTAGTGAATTCAAAAGATCATAACAAGTACTGGTAGCAAAATTACTAGTTCAAAATTACTGGAGAGCTGCTTAATATCTGAGCAGTTTAAACTTTCCCCCATTTTCAGTTTGCTTGGTAAACACTTTCACACTCCATAGTACAAAAATAAACATAAAAACACATTCCATTTGAAGTGCACGTCTTGTAGACAGCACACAATTTGGTCTTGCATTTATCTCTAGTCTGACAATTTCTGCCTTTTATTGTTTAGTACATTTACATTTATCATAATAATCAGTATGGTTAAATACAAATCAATCATCTCTTATTTTTCTTTTTTCTGTCCTATATGTTCTTTGTTTTTTGCCTTCTTTTTAGCATTCTATTTTATCTGCATAGTGGCTTACTAGTTAGGCCTCTTTGCTATGTTCCAGTGGTTGCTCTAAAATTGACAATATGCACCACTAATTTATCACAATGTACATTCAGATAAGATTATACTACTTTATGTATAATGTAAGAACCCTACAGTAATATTCTTCCATTTTCCCCTCCCGTCCTTTGGGTTATAGTTTTATACATTTTACTTCCACATATTTATTTTATAGACCCTTCCCAAATGAATTATTATTTTTGCTTTAAACAGTCAATTATCCCTGAAATATGTTTTTTAAAATAACAAAGATATTATATTTTATATTTAGCCATATATTTACATTTCTGGTTCTTTTAATTACTTTGTTTAGGTCCACATTTTGGCCTGGTATAATTTTCTTCTTCCTGAAGACCTTTCTTTAACATTTACAGCCATGCCAGCCTGAGAATATGACCTCTCTCAGCTTCTATTTGTTTGAAAAAGTATTAATTTTGCCTTAGTATTTCAAAAATAACATTTTCACTTGGTATGGAAGTTTAAGTTGACCGTATATATATATTCTATTTCAGCATGTTATGTCATTCCATTGTCCTAGGGAATGGAATTCTAGGTTAAAGATTATTATTATTATTTTTGCTTTCAGTGCTTTGAAGATGTTACTTCTTTCTTGTCTCACCTATAGTTTCTGATAAGAAGCCTGCCATAATTGTTATTTCGTTCTTCTGAATGTATCACCCCTTTCTTATTTTGGATATTAATTTTTTATCACTGGTTTTTAGCAACTTAATTGTAATGACTTCTTTGTGTTTATCCTGCTTAGGATTTGTTGAACTTTATGGATTTGGGCTTACATTTTCATTACATTTAAAATTTTACAGCCACCATTTCTTCAGGTTTTCTTCTGACCTGCTTCACTCTCCCAGCCTTTTGAAGCTTCAGTTGCACTTATAGTCTACCACTGGGTATTACTCTGCAAGTAACTGAGAGTTTGCTCATTTCTTTTAGCTTTTAATTTTTTCTCTTTGTGCCTCATTTGCCTGTTTCCTATTGCTATGTTTTTCAGTTCACTGACCTTTAGTTCTACAACAATTAATGTGCTGTTAATCCAATCCATTAAAATGTTTTTTTCTTAGATATGTTATTTTTCAGCTGTATAACTTCTAATATGTTATTTTTTATATTGTCATTTTTCTTCTTTTTATATTTATGTCTTCTTTTAAATCTTTTAGCACGTATTTATCCTTGTGTTTTAACGCCCTTGACTGCTAATTTTAACATCAATGTAATTTCTGGAACTGTTTCTATTGCTTGGTTTTCTTCCTGGTAATGTGACACATTTTGCCACTTGGTCAAATCTGCAATTTTTTGGCTAGATGCAAGACATTGTGTGCATTAAGGTGTAGAGTGCGGATTTATTTTTCTTCCTTTTTAAAATGAGTGTTGGACTTTGTTTGAGCATGCAGTTAAGCAACTTACAGCTTAGTTTGTTCCCTTTGAGCTTTGATTTTAAATTATTAGAGCAAGTCTAGAATAGTCACTGTTTGAGGAATAGTTTAGCCTCATTATTAAGACATGACCTTCCAAGAGCTTTTACTTAATTCCTTATGTATTCAACAAGATATCTCTACTCTGGCTGCTGGAAGTTGGAAAATTTCTGGCTCTATGTCAGCTCTGGGAATCCAACTCCCTACTAAGTGTTCCTTACTCGGACTCAAAATTCCAGCCGGCTGACATGTAGACTAGTATTCAATCAAATACTCAAGGGAATGCCTATGCTAATTTCTGTGGCTCCTTTTTTGCATAGATCCATCTTCTTCCATACTTTGCACTACAAATTCTAGCTGTTTTGGTCCTCCCAAACTCTGATTCTGTCTTCTTAAATTAGCAAGATGGCCAAGCTCCATTTGTTTTCTCTCTCAAATGAACAACCATCAGGAAATTATTTCTGTCTTTCTGTCTCCAGGCAGAAAGCCTGAGTGATTTTAGGGTTCACCTTGTTTGTTTCCCTTCACTTCCATGAACTCAAGGTCATGTACTGTTTTCCAATGTCTGAACACAGTTGTTTTGTATATTTTGTCAAGATTTCTAGTTGCTTATGGCAGAAGGCTAAGTCTGGACTCTGTTAATCCCTCATCTCTAGGAGCAGAAGTTCCTCTCTAACACAATAAAAATGATCAAATATTCCTATATGTAAAATCAGAAACTAAATTCTAATTATTGCCATACTTTAAAATGATAGAAACTCTAGCCTTCATAAAAATAAAATTATCTTCCTGCACATCAGGTTGACATTTATACCACTGTTTTAGAATTACATAAAAAGATTAAATGACAGAATATTTTCAGCAAGTGTATAAGGTTTTCTGTTCCTACTTTTACTTTCAGATAACTTTTGAAAGTAGAGTCAATTAAGTCTTTTCTGAAAAAATTCACACCTATCTTCAAAATAGGCATAAGAAATTTAAATTATAAAAGATATCTTTTCTAAATGATATGAGAAAAAATTGAATTAATAAGTAAATGCTACTGTCTTATTTTAATTGGGATAAGCAGTACAGTAAGAGCCATCATGAATTATTGTATGTCACTTCAACCAGCTGTATCTTTCTCCCTGTGTAAAATTAGTACTGCTAATTAGACAAATTCAAAAGACAATAATGCTAAACCAATTTACTTATGCAGGATGACTGGTGAAAGTAGATTCTGCAAATAACTAGTACATGGAAGGTGTTTGACATTAGCTTTTGAATGACTGAATACATTAATGAATAAGTTATTAGCTTATATCTTTAATACAGAATTAAAAATAGGGATGCTTACATGGAGTTAGTTTTTTAATCCTCTTTCTTTATGCACGAAGTGCATCAAGCATGTGTACTTTTGCCATATAATATCTGTAAGATGAAATTTATCCTTTCTATCTTCATAGTCAACCCTCTAGACTCAGACTTTATTAATTTACACTGAAATTATGCTCCCTCCCCATAGTATCATCCATTGTATATATCTAGGGACTTATATACCATGCCTCTAATTTCTTCTCACTCCAGAGTAAGATGCACACAGCTGCCAAGATCATCCAAATAGTCTGTAGCTCCTCAAAGGAAAGGACTATGCCATCTTTTCAATGTTTTCACAGCATAGTCATCAAGGCACAGAAATATACCAATAACACACAGCCAATAAATGAGTGTTGAATGGAATATTTTTCAAAAATATAATTAGGTCACTCAAAGAACTTTAGTGCCTCCTCTTTTAATACCTTTGAAATATAACTTCTTCAGTCATGTATTCACTTGGCCCCTAGTTTTTGTTTCTGTACCTGACTTTGTCTGTTATTAATTTCTTACATATGTCTGTGAAAAAAGGAAGGGTAGTCTCTATGCTTAAATGCATATTACCTTCTATTTAGAATGTCATCTTTCCTACATAAAACCCTCCATGTCACTACTTCCAAGATAAGACACAAAAGTCACATGCTTTAGTGAGTATTTTAGAGCAGTGAGTCTTTCAAAGCATTATTTTATGTGGAACTCTTAATCAACAAAAATATAGTTGATATTTTATTACCACAGGTTAGCTTTTGTCCTCTAATTGTTTTACAAATATGGGGGAGATATGTTACATTCAGACAAGTTGTTTTTTTTTTTTTTTTAAATCTTAGGTTCTTATATCTCTTATATATGTTCTAGTTTCCCCCAAAGTGACAAATTTAAAATTATTTTTATATTTGTCATAGTAACTGATATTTCTTTTGTATGATGTATACGTTCAATAAGTGAATAAGTGTTTAATTTTTGTCACAATAAAATGCTTTTTATGTCAACTCTGAGTCATAGTAAAAGTTTTGACATTTCACTGAAACTTCCCTGGAAGGACTAAGGCTTTCTAAGACCTACCTGTTTTGATTCTTTTTACATCCTGTGTACATGGTTCTATGCTTGTTAGTGAGACTAGGTGATCTGCTGCTACACACAATGTTATGATTCACTTTATGTACACTGTGAGTGTCTTAAAACATTTATACCATAGGAAATTAAATGTCCACTTTGGGACTACATTTCTGAAGCAACCGGAAATGGATTTGTTTAAATTAAAATTTTATTTAGAGAATGGATGAAAGAAAGCAAACAGCATCAAGAGAACATAATGGTGGAAAAGTAACTAAAAAAAGGTAAAAGAGAAAATTTTCTTTGTAAGAGAAACATCTGAAAGACTAAAAAGAATAAAGGAACTGGGTCTACTTTAATTAGAATTGTAGGAAAGAGTAAACTGTTTCTGGCCCCTAGGTGGAGCAAGATGGCGGAATAGAGAATTCTACCGATTGTCTGCCTCCCCCACCAAGGACACCAACAAATATCTACAGAGAATCAAAAATCAAGTAAACACTCAGTATCTGGTTTTAACTTCATATTGATGAAAGAGGCACTGTAGAGTCAGAAAAAACAGTCCTGAATCACCGATGCCACCCTTTCTCCACCCTCTAGATGCTGCAGCATGATGCAGAGAGCATCTCTAGGTGCTGAGGGAGGGAAAACACAGTAATTGTGAGGCACTGAACTCAGTGCTGTCCTGTTAGAATAGAAGGGAAAACCAGATCAAACTCAGCTGATGCCCACCCACAGAGGGAGCATTTAAACCAGCCCTATCTAGAAGATACTCGCTGATTCCATGGGTTTGAACTTAAGTGCCTACAAACCTTGCCACCAAGGGCAACAGGATACTGTTTCTCCAAGTAAACTTGAAAGGCAGTCTAGATCATAAGGATTGGAACTTTTAGGTGAGTCCTAGGGCTGAACTAGGCCCAGAGACAGTGGACTGGTGGGGGCAGATAACATACTGGGACAACAGCTGGGGCAGCTAAGGGAACGCTGGCATCACACCTCCCCTAACCCCAGCCTGTACAGCTGGTAGCTCCAAAAGAGACCTCTTCTTTCCACTTGAGCAAAGGAGAGGAAAGAGTTGGGAGGACATTGTCTTGCATCTAGGATACCAGCTAAGCCACAGCAGGATAGGGCACCCATCAGAGTTGTGAAGCCCCTGTTTCAGGCCCTAGCTCCCAGAGGACACTTCTATACACATCCTGGGCCAGAAGCGAACCTGTTGCCTCGAAGGAAAGGACACAGTCCTGGCAGCATTTATCACCTGCTAACTGAAATGCCCTTGGGCCCTGTATAACCAACAGTGATACACAGGTACTACATTGAGGGCCTTGAGCGAGCCTCTGAGACTGACTTCAGGTAAGACTCAACAGATTACCAGCTGTGGTGGATATGGGGCAAAACTCCTTCTGCTTGGGAGAAGCAGAGGGGAAAGAAAAAGGGGCTTTGTCTTAAGTACCAGCATGGCCACATCAAATGGGCTCCTGGGTCCTTGATTCCATAGCTTGACTCTTGAACTACATTTCTGGATCTGCCTTGGGCCAGACAGGAGCCCACTGCCCTGAAGGGTATGTCCCAGGCCAGGCAGCATTTACCACAAGCTGACTTCAGAGACCTTGGGCCTTAAGGGAACATCAGGGGTAGTCTGCCAGTACTCCTTATGGCCTGGGGTGGCAGTGACTATGGGGTGAGTCTCCTCTACCTTTGGAAAGATGCCAAAGGGCTCTCTGATGGGTGCCCTTTGGAAAGGGGGAAAGTGTGTGAAGGACTGCATCTTGTGGTTTGAGTGCCAGCTCAGCTGCAGTATGATAAAACACCAGGCAGACTTCTAAGTTTTTTGACTCTAGTCTTTGACTCCCAGATGGAACTTCCAAATCCACACAGGGCTCTGGGAGACCTTGCTGTCCTGAAGGCAAGAACACAGACCTGGCTGGCTTTGCCACTTGCTGACTGTAGAGCCCAGGGCCTTGAGCAGACAGGTAGCATGGAGTGGTTTCAGCAGGCCTTGAGAAAGAACCAATACTGTGCTGACTTGAGGTCAGCACAACTATGGCAAAGTCATAGTTGTGGTGGCTACAAGGGCACTTGTGTCACTCCACTCACAGCTTTAGGTGGCTCAGAACAGAGAGAGTGAGAAAGAGAGAGAGAGAGAGAGAGAGAGAGAGACAGACTCTGTATGTTTGAGAGAAAGTAAGGGAAGAGAACAAGAGTCTCTGGTAACCCAGAGACTTGTCCTGGATCTTGTCCAAGACAATCAAGGTGGTACCTCTATGAGTCTGCAACAACCACAGTGTTACTAGGGTTGGGGAGCCCCTTAAAGCAGATACAGCTTGGATCACAACACTCAAGTTCTTTCAAATATCTGGAAAGCCTTCTCAAGAAGGATGGTTACAAATAAGCCCAGACAGTAAAGGCTACATTAAATACCTATATCTTCAATGTCCATGCACCAAAGAGCATGTACTAGCATCAACACCATCCAGGAAAACATGACCTCACTAAATTAACTAAATAAGACACCGGAAACCAATCTTGGAGAAACAGAGATATGAGACCTTTCAGACAGACTTCAAAATAGCTGTGTTGAGGAAACTCAAAGAAATTCAAGATAACACAGAGAAGGAATTCAGAATTCTATCAGATAAATTTAACAGAGATTGAAATAATTAAAAAGAAACAAGCAGAAATTCTGGATCTGAAAAATGCAATTAGCATACTGAAGAATGCTTCAGAGTCTTAATGCAGAATGGATCAAGCAGAGAAAAGAATTAGTGAGTTTAAAGACAGGATATTTGAAAATACCTATCAGAGGAGACAAAAGAATAAAGAAAAGAAACAATAAAGCGCACCTACAGAAACTAGTAAATAGCCTCAAATGGGCAAATCTAAGGATTATAGGCCTTAAAGATGGGTAGAGAAAGAGATAGGGTTTGAAAGTATATTTTAAAAGGTAGTATCAGAGAACTTCCCAAATATAGAGTAAGATATCAATATCCAAGTACAAGAAGGGTATTGTATGAGTCTGTTCTCATGCTGCCAATAAAGACATACCTGAGACTAGGTAATTTATAAAGGAAAAAGGTTTGACTCACAGTTTCACATGGTTGGGGAAGCCTCACAATCATGGTGGAACACAAAGGAGTAACAAAATCACATCTTTTATGGTGGCAGGCAAGCAAGAGAGAGAATGTGCAGGGAAACTCACCTTTATAAAATCATTCACTTCTTCACTATCACAAGAACAGCACAGGAAAGACTGGACCTCATGATTCAATTACCTCCCTGGCCCCTCCCAAATCTCATGTCTTCACATTTCAAGACCTATTATGCCTTCTCAACAGTCCCACAAAGTCTTAACTCATTTCAGAATTAACTCAAAAGTCCACACTCCAAAGTCTCATCTGAGACAAGGCAAGTCTCTTGCATCTATAAGCCTGTAAAATCAAAAGCAAATTAGTTACTTCCTAGACACAATGCTAGATACAATGAGGGTACAGGAATTGGGTAAATAACCTCTATTCCAAATGGGAGAAATTGGCCAAAACAAAAGGGCTACAGGCCCCATCCAAGTCCGAAACCCAATATGGCAGTCATTAAACCTTAAAGTTCCAAAATTATCTCTTTTGACTCCATGTCTGAATCCAGGTCTTGCTGATGCAAGAGGTGGGTTCCCATGGTCTTGGGCAGCTCCACCCCTGTGGCTTTATCAGATACAGCCCCACTCCTGGCTGCTTTCACGGGCTGCTGTTGAGTGTCTGCAGCTTTTCCAGGCACACAGTGCAAGTGTCAGTGGAATAGATCTATCATTCTGGGGTCTGGAGGATGGTGGCCCTCTTCTTACAGCTCCACTAGGCAGTGCCCCAGTGGGAACTCTGTATGGGGGCTCACCCCCCACATTTTCCTTCTGCACTTCCCTAGCAGAGGTTCTCCATGAGGGTTCCACCCCTGCAGCACACCTCTGCCTGGACATTCAGGTATTTCCATGTATCCTCTGAAATCTAGGCGGAGGTTCCCACTCCTCAACTCTTCCATGCACCCACAAGCCCAATACCATGTGTAAGCCACCAAGGCTTGGGTCTTGCATCCTCTGAAGCAACAGCTTGAGCACTATATTGGCCCATTTTAGCCACAGCTGGGATGCAGGGCACCAAATCCCTAGGGTGCACACACACTTCCAACTTCCGTGCAACCACAAACCCAACACCAGGTTTAAGGCACCAAGGCTTGGGGCTTGCACCCTCTGAAGCAATGGCTTGAGCTCTACCTTGGCCCATTTTAGCCATGGCTGGGATGCACAGCACTGAACTAATCCAGGAAGCCTTTTTTTCCTCCTAGGCCTCTGGACCTGTGATGGGAGGGGCTGCCCTAAAGGTATCTCACATGGCCTGTTGACATTTTCCCCATAGTCTTGGTGATTAGCATTGGGCTACTCATTGCTTATGCAAACTTCTGCAGTCAGCTTGAATTTCTCCCTAGAAAATGGGTTTTTCTTTTCTAATGCATCATCAGGCTGCAAATCTTCCAAACTTTTATCCTCTTTCACCTCTTGAAGGCTTTGCTGCTTAGAACTTTCTTCCATCAGATACCCTAAGTTGTCTCTCTCAAATTCAATGTTCCACAGGTCTCTGGGGCAAGGACATAACGCCACCAGTCTCTTTGTATAGCAAAAGTGACCTTTACTCCAATTTCTAACAAGTTTCTCATCTCCATCTGAGACCACCTCAACCTGGACCTTATTGTCCATATCACTTCAGCATTTTGGTCAAAGCCATTTAATAAGTCTCTAGGAAGTTCCAAACTTTCCTACACTTTCCTGTCTTCTTCTGAGCCCTCCAAACTGTTCCAATCTCTGCCTGTTACCCAGTTCTAAAGTTGCTTCCACATTTTCAGTATCTTTACAGCAGTCCCCCACTCCCAGTACCAATTTACTGTATTCGTCTGCTCTCATGCTGCTAATAAAGACGTACCCAAGACTGGGTAATTTATAAAGGAAAAAGGTTTAAAGGACTCCCACTGCAACATGGCTGGGGAGGCCTCACAACCTCCAAGGCCTCACAACCAAGTAGAAGGCAAAGGAGGGGTAAAGTCACGTCTTGCATGGTGACAGGCAAGAGAGAGAGCATGTGCAGGGGAACTCCCCTTTATAAAACCATCATATCTTGTGAGACCTATTCACCATCATGAGAACAGCACCAGAAAGACCTGCCCTCATAATTCAATTACCTCCCACTTGGTCCCTCCCATGACATGTGGGAATTATGAGAGTTACGATTTGACATTTGGGTGTGGACACAGCCAAACCATATCAGTTATAGAACTCTGAGCAGTTTGAACCCAAAGAAGACTACCTCAAGGCACTTAATAATCATAGTATTAGGTAAAGGATGAAGAAAGGATTCTAAAAGTAGCAAGAGCAAAGAAACAACATAAAACACAGCTCCAATATGTCAGGCAGCAGACTCCTCAGTGGAAACTTTACAGGCCAGGAGACACTGGGATGACATATTTAAAGTGCTGAAGGAAAAAAAAATTCTACCATAGAATAGTATATTTGATGAAAATATCCTTCACACATGAAGGACACATAAAGGAGAAATAAAGACTCCCAGACAAAAGCTGAGGGATTTAATCAATACCAGACCCATCCTACAAGAAATACTTAAGGGAGTACTTCCATCAGAAAGAAAAGAACATTAATGAACAATAAATAATCACCTCAAGGTACAAAATTCGCTGGTAATAGTACATGGAATAAAAAGAATATTATAACACTATAACTGTGGTATGTAAACTACTCTTAAGTAGAAAAACTAAATAATGAACCAATCAAAAGTAATAAATACCACAACTTTTCAAGACATAGTCAATATAATAAGATAAATATAGAAACAACAAAAAGTTTAAAAGCAGGGATACAAAGTTAAGGCATATCGTTTTTATTAGTTTTCTTTTTTGTTTGTTTATTGAAACAGTGTTAAGTTGTTATGAGGTTAAAACAATAGGTTATAAGATAGTATTTGCAAGCCTCATTGTAACCTTAAAACAAAAAACATACAATGGAAACACACACAAAAAAGAAAAGCAAGAAATTAATTCATGCCACCAGAGAAAATTACCTTCACTAGAGGAAAACAGGAAGGAAGGAAAGAGAGAAGGGAGGGAAGACCATAAAACTACCAGAAAACAAATAACAAAATGGTAGGAATAAGTCCTTATTTATCAATAATAACATGGAATGTAAATGGACTAGATTCTCCAATCAAAAGACATAGACTGACTAAAAGCTGCTGCCTACAAAAAACACACTTCACCTATAAAGACATGGTTAGACTGAAAATAAAAGGATGGCAAAAGATAATCCGTGCTAATGGAGACCAAAAAAGAGCATCGGTCTCATATAACACAATATAATTTTAACACAAAAACTATAAGAAGAGACAAAGAAGGTCACTATATAATGATAAAAGGGTCAATTCAACTGGAGAATATAACAATTTTATACATATATGAACCAAATACTGGAGCACCTAGATAGGTAAAGGAAATATTATTAGAGCTATAGAGAGAGACAGGCCCCAATACAATAATGACTGGAGATTTCAACAACCCACTGTCAGCATTAGACAGATCTTTCAGTCAGAAAATCAACAAAGAAACATCAGACTTAATCTGCACTATAAAACAAATGGATCTAATAGATAATTACAGAAGATTTCATCTAAGAGCTGCAGAATACACACTCTTTCTCAGCACTTCCTCTCTTCCTCTTTCTTGATAATGAGTCATTATCAAGGATAGATCATACATTATGTCACAAAACAAGTATTAATACATTCAAAAAATTTAAATAATATCAAGGATCTTCTCTGATCACAACAGAATAAAAGTAGAAATGAATAACAAGAGGAATTCTGGACACTACACAAACTACGTGGAAATTAAACAATATGCTACTGAATGACTAGTGGGTCAATAAAGAAATTAACAAGGAAATTGAAAAATTTATTGAAATGAATTATAATAAAAACACAATATACCAAACCTATGGATAGTGTGGATAGCAAAAACAGTATTAAGAGGGAAGTTTATAGCTGTAAGTGCCTACATCAAAAAAGAGAAAAAAACTTTAAATGAACAATCTAACAGTGCATCTTAAGGAACTAAAAAAGCAAGAGAAAACCAAAGCCAATATTAGTAGAAGAAAAACATAATGAAGATCAGAATAGAAATAAATCAAATTGAAATGAAAAACAACAATATGAAACATCAATGAAACAAAAAGTTGGTTTTTTGAAAAGTTAACAGAGTTGAAAAACTTTAGTCAAACTAACAAAAAAAGAGAGAAGATCCAAATAAATAAAAATCAGAAATGAAAAAAGAGACATTACAACTAATATTGCAGAAATTCAAAGGATCATTACTGGCTACTATGAACAACTGTATGCCAATAAATTTTAAAAATCTAGAAGAAATAGACAAATCCGTGGATACACACAACCTACCAAGATTGAACCAGGAAGAAATCCAAAGCCTTAACAGAACAATAACAAGTAACAAGATTGAAGCCGTAATAAAACGTCTCCCAGTAAATAAAAGCCAGGGACCTGTTTGCTTCTCTGCTGATTTCTATCAAGCATTTAAAGAAAACCTAATACCAATTCTACTCAAACTATAACAAAAAATAGAGGAGGAGAAAATACTTCCAAACTCATTCTATAAGGCCAATATTACCCTGATATCACAACCAGATAAAGATACATCAAAAAAGTATAACTACAGGCCATTATTTCTGATGAATATTGATGCAAAAATCCTCGACAAAATAGTAGCAAACAGAATTCAACAATACATTAAAAAGATCATTCATGATGAACAAGAGGGATTTATCCCTGGGATGCAGGGATGGTTCAATATATGCAAATTAATCAATGCGATACCGATACATCATATCAACAGAATAAAGGATAAAAACCATATGATTATTTAAATTGATGCATAAACAGCATTTGGTAAAATTCAACTTCTCTTCTTAATAAAACTCCTCAAAACTGGGGATAAAAGGAACATATCTCAACATCATAAAAGCCATGTATTACAGACCCACAGATAGTATCATACTGAATGGGGGAAAACTGAAAGCCTTTCCTCTAAGATGTGGAGCACAACAAGGATACTCACTATCAGCACTGCTTTTCAACATAGTACTGGAAGTATTCACTACAGCAGTCTGGCAAGAGAAAGATATAAAGGGCATCCAAATTGGAAAGGGAGAAGTCAAATTGTCCTTGTTTGTAGATGATATGATCTTATATTTGGGAAAACCTAAGGACTGCACAATAAAACTATTAGAACTTATATACCAATTCAATAATGTTGCAGGATACAAAATCAACATACAAAAATCAGTAGCATTTCTATATGTCAACAACAATGAACAATGTGAAAAGGAAATAAAAAAGTAATCTCATTTACAATAGCCACACTGATATGGTTTGGCTCTGTGTCCGCCCCCATCCCCAAATCTCATATCAAATTGTAATCCCCAGTGTGGCAGAAGGGGTCTGATGGGAGGCGATTGACTCATGGGGGTGGTTTCTAATGGTTTATCATCATCCCTCCTAGTGCTGTCTCACGATAGAGTTCTCATGAGATCTGGTTGTTCAAAAGTGTGTAGCACTTCCCCCTTCACTTTCTCTCTTTTCTGCCAGCCATGTTCAGGTGCGCCTGCTTCCACTTCACCTTCTGCCATGATTGTAAGTTTTCTGAGAATCAGAAGCCTGTACAACCCACAAAACCATGAGCATATTTAAACCTCTTTTCCTTATAAATTACCCAGTGGCAGGTAGTTCTTTATAGCAGTGGGAGAACAGACTAATACACACACATAAAATTAAATACCTAGGAATTAACAAAAGAGGTGGAAGATCTCTATAATGAAAACTATAAAACGCTGATGAAAGAAATTGAAGAGGACACCCAAAAATTGAAAAATTTTTATGTTAATTGATTAGAATAAACCAATATCGTTAAAATGCCCATGCTAGCTAAAGCAATTGACAGAGTCAATGCAATCCCTTTCAAAAGACCAATTTCATTTTTCATAGAAATAGAAAAAACTATCCTAAAGTTTGTATAGAACCACAAAAACCCAGAATAACCAAAGCTATCTAAAGCAAAAAGGACAAAACTGGAGAAACCACATTTCATTACCTGACTTCAAATTATACTACAGAGCTATAATAACCAAAACAGCAGAGTACTGGCATAAAAACAGGCACATAGACCAATTCATCAGAATAGAGAATCCAGGAACAAATCCACACACCTGCAGTAAACTCATTTTTGACAAAGGTACCAATAACACACACTAGGAAAAAGACATCATCTTTAATAAATGGTGCTGGGGAAACTGGATTTTCCTATGCAGAAGAATGAAACTAGACCCCTACCTCTCCCCATACACAAAAATCAAATAAATATCAATTAAAGACTTAAATCTAAGACCTAAACTATGAAAATGCAAGAAAACATTGGGGAACATTTCCAGGACATTGATCTGGGCAAAAATTTCTTGAGCAATACCCCACAAGCATAGGCATCCAAAGCAAAAATGGACAAATGGGATCACATCAAGTAAGAAATCTTCTTCACAGCAAAAGATACAATCAATAAGATGAAAAGACAACCCACAGAATGGAAGAAAATATTTGCAAACTACCCATCTAGGAAGGAATTAATAACCAGAATGTATAAGGAGCTCAAATAACTCTATAGGAAAAAAATCTGATAATCCAATCAAACTACGGACAAAAGATTTGAATAGATGTTTCTTAAAAGAAGACATACAAATGGCAAACAGGCATAAGAAAAAGTGCTCAACATCATTGATCATCAGAGAAATGCAAATCAAAACTACAATGAGATATCATCTCACCCCAGTTAAAATGGTTTATATCCAAATGACAGGCAATGACAAATGCTGGCGAAGATGAGAAGAAAACGGAATCCTTGTACACTGTTCATGGGAATGTAAATTAGTACAATCACTATGGAGAATAGTTTGGAGTTTCCTTAAAAAAACTAAACATCGAGTTACCATCTGATCCAGCAATGACACTGCTAAGTACACAAAATAAAGGAAATCAGTATATTGAAGAGATATCTGCACTCCTATGTTTGTTGTAGCACTTTTTCTAATAGCTAAGATTTGGAAGCAACCTAAATGTTCATCAACAGGTGAATTTAAAGAAAAGGTAATGCATATACACAATGGAGTATTATACAGCCATAAAAAAGAATGAGATCCAGTCATTTGCAACAACATGGATGGAACTTGAGATTATTATGTTAAGTAAAATAAGCCAGGCACAGAAACACAAGCATCACATATTCCCACTTATCTGCGGGATCTAAAAATCAAATCAATTGAACTCACGGACATAGTAGAAGAATGGCTACCAGAGGCTGGGAAGAGTAGTTGGGGCATGGGGAGGAGATGGGGATGGTTAATGAGTACAAAAGAAATAGAATGGATAAAACCTACTATTTGATAGCACCGTAGGGTGACTATAGTCAATAATAACTGGATTTTACATTTTAAAATATCGTAAAGATTGTAATTGGATTGTTTGTAACTCAAAGGATAAATGCTTGAGGGAAGGAATACCGCATTCTCCATGATGCACTCATTGTACATTGTATGCCTGTGTCAAAACATCTCATGTACCCCATAAATATATATACCTACTATGTACCCATAAAAATTAAAAATTAAAATAAAAAGTAAAAAGAACTGTGGGAGAGTCAGCTGTAAGAGAAAGGAGCTAGCTCCACTAGCCTGTGTCCCTATAGCACTTCATATCCTCTTTGAGAGCTTGGGCAACAATAGAATCTAATTACTGATCCGTTTTTCCCCAGTTACACTATGAGTTCCTCAAAAGAAGAGGCCATGTTTATTTCCTTTGCATTCACAGTGCTAGCACAGTTTTTGGCACATATCAGTTACTCAACAATGTACGTGAAAGAATGGAAGGCAATAATATAGACTATGAGAGAAAGAAAAAATGGAAATGAAGAATTCAATTGGAATAAAAGAGACATAGAACTACATAAACATATCATACAATGTAGGACTACATTGTAATTTATCACCGACAAAGTATAATAAAATGGTAAGAACATAAAATGATCAAAAAGTTGACATATATTAAGTCAAACTATGTGCTAGGCACTCTATATAGAATTACACGAATCTTGATTACTCCACAGGGTGCAGTTAATTGTGTACATTTTGCAAATGAGGGGACGTGTAGATGGACCCAATACCTTGCACAAGCCTCAGTCAAGTTATTTCCAAGAATTAGGCTCTTCCCAGTATCACAATGGCTGCCAGCATGATGACAGATTATTCTGAGAGCCAAAATTGTATCTCAGGGGTTGGCATATATATATTCAATTAATCAACTTCTGTTTAGTGACCCGCTGTGGCCCACATGATGTTATGCATGGGAATAAATAAATGGAAAGACCCGATTATTGAAGTTAAAGAGCTCAAAAATCTTATACAATGGATTAAGTATATCTCTAGAAGGGGAAATAAAATGCCAATGAAGAGATATTTATTCAGTTATTCATTAATTCCTTCATTCACCATTCATTCATTCACTCATCCAAAATTCTATTTGAGTGCCTACAATGCACCAGGCACTATGTCAAGGTTAGAAATAATCAGTGAACAAAGCAGATAATGTCACTACCCATGAGGAGCTGTCATTCTGGAAAAAGGCTATGGAGAAAACTAAATCAAGAAAAAGAAATAGGGTACAGAGCAGAAACAGAGGTGAAGAAAGAAAAGGGCCTAGGGAACAAAGTTAGATACCTTTCCTTCAGTTATATGCAAGTCTTCACTTAAACTTGCACAACATCAAGAAAGGCTGAGTCTTTAAAAGAGCAAGAATAGCTATACTCATATCAGATGAAACAGACTTCAAGTCAAAACTGTAAAGAGAGACAAAGCAGGCTATTTTATAATGATAAAGGGGTCAATTCAACAAGAGGATATGACAGTTGTAAATATCTATGCATCCAACATCAGAGCACCCAAATATACAAAGCAAACATTCATAGACATAAAGAGACAGATAGACTGCTATACGGTAATAGTTGGAGACTTCAACACTCCACTTTTAGCAATGGACCAATCATTCAGACAGAAAATCAATAAAGAAACATTGGAGTTAAATTACATTTTAGACCAAATGGACCTAACTGACATTTACAGAACACTCTATCTAACTGCTACAGAGTGCATATTCTTCTTACGAGCAGTACATCTAACATTCTCTGGGATAGACCATACATTGGGTGACAAAATAAGACCCCAAAATCAGAAAAAAAATCAAAATTATATCATACATCTTTTCAGATCACAATAGAATAAAACCAGAAATCAATAACAAGAGTAATTTTGGAAACTGTAAAACTACAGGGAAAATAAATGACACGCTACTGAATGACCAATAGGTCCATGAATAAATTAAGAAGAAAATTTAAAAATTGAGAAACAAATAAAGGTGGAAACACAAGATACCAAAACCTACAGTATATAGCAAAAGCAGCACTGAAAGGGAAGTTTACAGCAATAAATACCTACATCAAAAAGGTAGAAAAACTTCAAATAAACAACCTCATAATGCACCTAAAAGAACTAGAAAAGCAAGAGCAAACCAAACCCCCAATTAGTAGAAGAAAATAAATAATAAATATCAAAGTAGAAATATGAAACTAATAAAAACTAAAACAGATTAAAAAATTAGTTTTATGAAAAGATAAACAAAGTGGACACAGCTTTAACTAGACAAGCTAAGAAAAAAAGAGAGAAGACCCAAATAAATAAAATCAGAGATGAAAAAAAGGCACCACAATTGATACCACAGAAATACAGAGGACCATTGTGAATAACTATATGCCAACAGATTGGGAAATCTAGAATAAATGGATAATTTCCTGAATACATATAACCTACTGAGATTGAACCATAAAGAAATGGAAAGCCTGAACACACCAATAATGGGTAAAATGATTGAATCAGTAATAAAAATCTCTCAACAAAGAAAAGTCCTGGATCAGATGAATTCACTGCTGAATTCTACTGGACTTTTAAAGAAGACCAGTATTAATTATTCTCAAACTATTCCAAAAAATTGAAGAGAAGTGAATTCTTCCAAATTCATTCTACAAAGCCATCATTATCCTGATACAAAAACCACACAAGGACACAACAAAAAAGAAAGCTACAAGCCAATATCCCTGATAAACATAAATGCAAAAATCCTCAACAAAATACTGGCAAACCAAATTCCACAGTACATCAAAAAGATTTTTAACTACAATCCATTGGGATTTATCTCAGGGATTCAAGGATGGTTTAATACCACATCAACATAATGAAGAACAAAAACGATATGATCATTTCAATAGATGCAGAAAAAGTATTTGATAAAATTCAACATCACTTAATAATAAAAATTCTCGACAAATTAGTTATATAAGAAATGTCTGTCAACATAATAAGGCCATATATGAACAAATCCACAGCTGACATTTTACTGAATAGGGAAAAATTGAAATCTTTTTCTTCTAAGATATGGAATAAGGTAATGTTGCCCACTTTCACCATTTTTATTCAACATGGTACTGGAAGTTCTAGCCAGAGAAATTAGGCAAGAGAAAGTAATAAAGGGCATCCAAATTGGAAAGGAAGAAGTCAAATTGAACTTGTTTGCAGATGACATAATAATCTATTTAGAAAAATCTAAAGATTCTACCCCCCCCCCCAAAAAAAAACTGTAGAAAATGATAAATGAATTCAGGAAATTTGCAGGATGCAACATCAACATACAAATATTAGTGGCATGTCTATATGCCAATAGTGAACAATCTGAAGAAGAAATAAAAAAGCATTTTTCATTTAAAGTAGCTACCAAAAAATACCTGTAAATAAATTTAACCCAAGAGATAAAATATTTTTACAATCAAAACTATAACACACTGATGAAAGAAATTGAAGAGGACACAAAACAATAAAAAGATATTCCATGTTCACGCTTGGAAGAAATAAGATAGTTTAAATGTCTATACTACCCAAAGTGATCTACAGATTTAATGCAATCCTTATCAAAATACCAATAGCAATCTTCACAGAAGACACATGTATTCATGTGTTCATCATGGCACTATTCACAACAGCAAAAACACAGAATCAAGCTAGATGCCCATCAATGGTGGACTGAATAAAGAAAAATGAGGTACATACACACTGTAAAATACTACACAGCCATAAAAAAGAAAAATCATGTCCTTTGCAGCAACACAGATGCAGCTGGAGGCCATCATCCTAAGCAAACTAATTCAGGAATAGAAAACTTGCAAACACTGCAGGTTCTCATTTATAAGCAGGAGCTACACACTCGGTAAACATGGACATGAAGATGGCAACAACAGGCACTGGGGACTACTACTATGGGGGCCATGGGTTGAAAAACTTCCTGTCTGGTACTAGCTCTCCAACTGGGCCACTGGATCATCCCTACACCAAACCTCAGTGGCATGCAATTTATCCATGTAAAAAACTGTACCCTCTGGGAAGCTAAAATAAAAGTAAAAAATAAAAATAGAAAAAAAAATCCTAAAATTCTCATGGAACCACAAAATAATCCAAATAACCAAACAATCTTGAGCAAAAGAACAAAGCTGGAGACATCACACTATCTGACTTCAACATACACTACACAGGTAGTTAATTAAAGCAGCATGATTCTGGCATAAAAACAGACACATAGGCCAGTGGAACAGACGAGAGAGTCCAGAAATGAGTTCACATATTTACAACCATCTTATTTTCTACAAAGACTCCAAGAAAATACACTGGGGGAAGGACAGTCTCTAATAAATGGTGCTAGGAAAATATGGATATTCATATGCAGAAGAAAAAAAAACTAAACCCCTATTTCTCACTATATACAAAAGTAAATTCAAAATGGATTAGAGACTTAAATGTCAGAGCTGAAACTATGAAACTGCTAGAGGAAAATATTGGGGAAATATTTCAAGACATTGGTCTCGGCAAAGATTTTCTGGATAAAACCTCAAAAGCACAGGCAACAAAAGCAAAAATAGACAAATGAGATTATATCAAGCTAAAAAGCTCCTTCACAGCAAAGGAAACAATTAACACAGTGAAGAGACAACCTACAGGATGGGCAAAAATATTTGCAAACTATCCATTCAACAACAGATTAATAACCAGAATATGTAAATAACTCAAACAACTCAAGGGCAAGAAAACAAATAACCTGATTTTAAAAATGGGGAAAAAAACCTAGACATATCTCAAAAGAAGATATACAAATGGCCAATAGGTATATGAAATCCTGTTATTTGCAGAAACATGAATGAGCCTGGAGGAAATCATGTTAAATAAGCAAAGCACAGAAAGAAATATGTTGCATGTTCTTACTCATATGTGGGAGTTTTAAAAGTTGGTCTCATGGAGGTAGAAAATAGAATGCTGATTACCTGAGGCTGGGAAGGGGAAAGGAGAGGGGTGAATGAAGAGAGACTGGTTAATGCGTATAAAAATACAGTTAGATAGAAAAAATAAATGCTAGTGTTTGATAGCACAATAGGGGGACTATAGTTAACAATAATTTATTGTATATTTTAAAATGGCTAGAAGAGAACAATTGGAATATTCCCAAACACAAAGAAATGATAAATATTTGAGGAGATGGATATCCCACTGACCCAGATTTGATCATTACACATTGTGTGCATGTTTTAAAATATCATGTGTATCCCATAAATATGTACGATTATTATGTGTCAATAAAAATGCCTATGGAGAGCATATTTATTCAGTCATTCATTGACTCATTCATTCATTCATTCATTTGAAATATGCATTTGATTGCCTAGCCTACATGCAATGTGTCAGGCACTGTATCAAAGCTCAAAATAATCAGTGAACAAAACATACTATCCCCACCTTTGAGGAGCTGTCATTCTACAAAAAAAGGCTTTGGAAAAACTAAAGCAAGAAAGAGGAATAGGTCACAGGGGAGAAACCAAGATGAGGCAAGGGAAATGTCCAGGGACCAAATTTAAAGAGACTTTCTCCCTCAGGGACGTGCAAGTCCTCACCCAGCTTTCAGGACCTTGAGAGTGACCGCCTCCTTGAAGTCTGTACCATAGGTGCCTGCCTCACTCTGGTCCTCGTCCTGATAGGAAGACACCTGAAATACGGGGTTACCATTTTGCATATGGTGGTCAGGTAAGGTCCCGCTAAGATGTTGCCACTTAAGTAAAATCTTGAGGGAGGGAAAGGGCGTAGCTATCTGGTGAAAGAGTGTTCTAGGCAGAGGGGACAGCTAGAGCAAGGCTAGGTAGGATGAGTACCCTGCATTTTCATACTTGTGCTGCCCTCCGCTACTTTTCTGTGTGTATATTATACTTTAATAAATGTCTACTTAAAAAATCAAATGTGGCTCACTTACATCACTGCCACCAAAGACATGTCAGCCTTGCTGTGTCCCCTGTTCTGCCCAATAGCCCATGATTCACAGCATTTCTCCATGGGGATCTGTCCCTGAAAGTGACGAAGGGGCTGGATCTGAGGTAATAACAAAAAAGTTCAGTGACCAAGAGAACAGCACAGATATAGGTCTGAGTGGGAGTGGTGAAGGTGTGGGCATTACTCATAGTGGTTGTGGATAAATTAATGATATTTCCATGGAATTTTTCACTATGACTGTGTTTGCAAAGTTTCCCCCTCATTCAAAGATACTACAGTAATTTCATTTTTTTTTTTTACATTCACAACAAGACACTAAAGACAATGTTTGGACTTCAATTCCTTTTCAAAATTTTAGTAGCACAGGCAGATCTCATCATTACATAATTATAGACTTCTCAAGTACAAGATTCTTTGATATGCCTGTGGGCAATTTGTACTCAGAACTTGCCATTTTGCAGTAGAATTGAGAAGATATTACACAGTGGAGGAACTGAATCATTGTTTTACTGGATGCCAAAATGGTTACATTAACTATATGATTTAGATGGTTAGTTTGTTTTGATTCACAAAGAGGGAAAAAAGCTGAGGTGGATGTGACAGTTACGGCTGAAGATGTTATTGTTAACTTTCTTAGCTGGTTTGATAATTATACGAGAATTGTCCTTATTAGAAGATGTAAGCTGAGGTATTAAGGTATAAAATTTGATGATATTTCTACCCTTTAAATTGTTCCAAAAAAAAAAAAAATAGAAGAAGAGGGAGAAAGACAGACAGAGAGAGAGAGGCGTGATGTGGTAAAAGATTTATAATTCTGGAATGAGATTGGTGGATATGCGAGTAACTATTGTACTATTTTTTAATATTTTCTTTTATGTTTCAAAATGAGAACAAAAGAGAGGTATTCATTAATTTGGTCAAAATTTTAAGACACAGCTGGACAAGAATAAAAATACTCATTACAGATGTAAAAAGTGTTCAAAGATAATCCACGTTAGTAGGCATGAAATAGTTAAAGAAAAAGGAATAATCTCATTAAGCTATAGCCAGCTGGGCTGGCTGGAGTGGGTCATGGGGACAGGATCATGATATGCCAGTGCCAATCAGGTAGTAATCAGATAGTGATGATTGTTTGCAGAATAGGATAATTTACTTGAGGTAGATTTCGGTCTAAACAATTCTCTTGCTATCATATTCAAGACAAAATTCCTCCTCACACTGTCGTGGAGGAAAGCAAATGCATACAAGCAATTTTGAAGCACATGCACTGGAGGAGAAAGAAACTATTTCTATATTCTATGGTGTAGCCCCTAAAAACAAAAATAAATAGCTAGAGGTAAAAGGAAATACAGTCACAATGTGACACACTTTAAACTCTGAACTGGGAGCAATTGCAGATGGAAAAATTGAGTATAAAATCGTCAACCCAGCATGATTTACAATGTGACCTAGAAGCAAATCAGCAGATGAGCTACTTGGATTCAGTGTGAGAATAGGAAAGGTAGAAGCGGATGCGTCGTCTATCCTCTTCCCAACCTCATTTTCCCCTGCCTTTTTAGGCTGCCATTTCCTCAACCTTCCAACCACTGCCAGTGAGAACAGAGGGGCAATATCTTTTGAGTGGTAGCTCTTATCAGGAAATGGTGTTATAGCATATTTTTGTTATCCTATATTTGGACAAACATGTTGCAATGTTTCGATCACTGCAAAGTGGAAATGATAAGGCTTTTCAAAGTTCATCTAGCTGATTTCCATAGAATACAAGTTTCATCTATCACATTATTAAAGTTGTTTTTCTCCTTGAGGACATCATCCATTTAAATAGCTGAGAACACACCTATTTTATGTAGCTGTTTCTGTATAAAGCAACAGGAAGGACTGATTACACATAGTAGAAATATATTAATAATATACCCACACATATGTATACATACATACACATACATAGACACATACACATAGATTTTATATTACGTTCTAGAGATCAACTTTCACCTTATCACATTCCTTTTCTTATTATCAGGAAAGGTAGGGTTGTACTAATTGCTTGACTATTGTGGTCAAGAATGGGTATCCAAGCTTCCAGATAAACAGCATCTTTTACCCAGTAATGCAGAAGCTAGGTTAACTAAGCAACTGTAAATATAGAGAGCTCTTTGAATAGCAGGAAAATGTACAGAGGAAGAGGGAAATGATATTAAAATAAGGGAGCTAAGGAAGGATCTTAGGTTGCTGATGACAAATGCTCTGGAATCTGAGACCCTAACTCCAATCTCTGCAGAGGCTTGAAGAGACATGACCGAACATAACTTGGCTACATTTTAATCAATGGCCTATGGTGAAAGGTGTCGATCTGAAAATTAATATGAGCAATTTAATTTTTTTAAAGAAGGATATTATTAGAAATTATAAGTTTTCTCCACTGGCAATTTGTCTCAAGTAGCTATATCTACTAACAGGAAAAGCCAGATACGAACTCCTGTAGCAGCATTATTTAATAATGCTTGCAGCACAAACCTGGGCACATTTAACGTTCCAATTCCAGCCAAATATAAATGGTTTCTTAGTGGACTCTCTTAGTTCCATCCATTTTTAAGCGTATCTTAGGTCGTAATGAGAATGATCATGTTCCCTTTGCTTTGATTCTCAATGAATCTGCTCTTTGGCCTCTTTGCTCACCCATGAAAAAATCAGTCATATAAGAAGCTAAAATTGAGCAAGGAGCACGCTAGAGGTTTAAATTAAGCAGTCTTCTTTTCTTAGGGCCACATTTCTAATGCCTTTTAAGATGAAAATTTTATGTCTCTAGTAGATAATTCCAAAAAATCAGATGAAATGTCTTTTTTTTTTTTTTTTTTTTTTGAGATGGAGTCTCGCTCTGTCACCTAGGCGCTATCTCGGCTCACTGCAAGCTCTGCCTCCCAGGTTCATGCCATTCTCCTGCCTCAGCCTCCTGAGTAGCTGTGATTACAGGCGCCTGCCACCACACCTGGCTAACTTTTTGTATTTTTAGTAGAGATGGGGTTTCACCATGTTAGCCAGGATTGTCTCGATCTCCTGACCTCGTGATCTGCCTGTCTCAGCCTCCCCAAGTGCTGGGATTACAGGCGTGAGCCACCGCACCCGGCCGGAATGTCTTATTTCATAAATGAAAACAGTTAATTCTAAAGTCTACAGTGTGTAAGATATGTGTAAGTGGACTTTGTTCTATATAAATAAGGTGCCACTTTACAGCAATAGGGCATGTGTAAATGAGGAGAAACATTTATGATGTGTGCCACATTCACCTAATATCTCCAGAATTCTGTCATGATTGGCTGGGTGATGATAAGAAGAGGTAAGGTTACCTCTATTCTCTTACTGCAACCTCCCAACCCAAAACCAACGTCTTGGAGAAAAGAATTCAAATACAAACTTAAGACGAAAAAGAAAGCAGGAGAAGAGAGCAGAGAGAGGAGAGAGGGGAAGAAAGAACAGGAGGCCAGTGAAATCAATCTTCAGTATCCTTTCCCTCACTTCTCTGTCAATGTCTCAGTCTCTATTAAACTCTTCCAGCCTCCTTCACAAATATTGCTTGCTGAATTCTGGATTCTGTTCCCTCGGCATTTTAAAAGTGGATTATTACTTATGATTTTATTGTGAGCTATTGAAAAAATAAAGGCTTAGAAATTGAAATATGCATTTGAAGGAAATGTGCCAGTTCATATAATGAAAGATAGTTGAACAACATGTGTCCGTGGGATGATAACAGCTTTGAGCTGGCTCCAAGCCCAGCTTTGGCACTTTCTAGCTGAGAGAGCTTAGGGGCAAGTGACTCAATCCCTCTGGGTCTCAGATTCCCTCGTCTATAAAATGGGGGGATGATAATACCTGCTTTAAAAGGGTCCTTTTAAGGAGTAATTGAAATGATGTCTGTAAATCATCTATTGTACTTGCTTATGAACATACTTGACCAATGTTAGTCCCTGATCTCCATTACTTCCCTTCTCCTTTCCAGCATTTTCTTTTCCTTTACCTTTCCTCCCCTTTCTACCCCTTTCCTGTCCTTCACTACAGCAAGGAAAACAGCAGTGGGTTCTGTATGTGAGACCAGCACACACACAAGGCCCCTGATGTTTGCTTGCATAACACTGTTCAGATTTTATCTGTTGCCCCAGACTCTCTTTGGCTGTACTTGTGTCTTGGGCCCTTGGCTATCAGCACTCGGAGAGTTCTAGACATTGCTGTTATGACTGCTACTGCAGTCTCAGTCACTGCTCGTTCATCTTCTGTCATCTCTTGCTGTCTCTCTCTCCCTTTGAGTAGGCTCTGGGCTCCAGAACTGCCCCTGTTGGACTCACCATAGCAGGACCCAGGTCAGACCATAGGAGACCCACCTAGGCTCTCACTCCTCACATTGCTTTCAGAATCTGAAGAAGTGTTGTGTTACAAGTCCTGGGCTCTGGCTTCCTCAGTAGCTGCCTGTAACTTCCTGTGAGCATAAACTTTGGCCACACGAAGCAGAACATAGGATGAAGTGAACACTTTCATTCCTCTCCCATCCTTCCTCCAATAGTCCAAGTAGCCTATCCAGTGACCTCTTGAGGCCACGTGATTAGTTATGCTCAGTGAAGCAATCTCCTGCTCAATAACATGTCACCTTGTTTTGTTTGTTTTGCTTTTCCCCATCCTTCCATACCTCACTTCCCTTTCCCCCTTATTCTTGTTTCTCTAGGATTGAATCTTCCATTAATGTATTAGCAATTAATCCTTGCATAGTTGGTAAAGTTCAAGGGAACCTGAGCTAAGATACTTGTGAACTACATTTTCCAGGATCTCTTGCCAGCTGTCTTCTGGATGGGTTTGGTAAAATAGGAGCAACTAATGGGAGGCAGAAGAGAAAAACCAGGGTGCCCTCACTCTCCCACTTCAGGGATAGCTCAGAGGTAGTAGCTGTGAGGTTTCCTTTGGTCCCTGTAGCTCTGGAGTGGGAGTAGATGCTGCTGTTGGTCACCTTTGAGTTGCCTCAGTACCCCATTTTACTTTTGTGACCATTTTCTTCTATTAAATTTCCCCTAGTAAACCATCTGACATGGGCTCTTTTTTTCCTGAGTGGACCCTAAGGTTACACACAACAATAAAAAGTATTATTTTATTCACCTGTGTTTGTGGTATGACAAAAATTTTTCTCTTCTTCCATGAGATATTATATTTATAAGATATATTTATAATTCTAAAAATCAATAACATAAGAAAACTGGATTTTTGACTACTTCAAAGGAAATGATCTTAAGAAAGTTCTGTGGGTTATCAGAAAAGACATCAAATTATTATTTTAGCAGTTTAAATGGATTTGATATTTAAAATAACCCTTTCCTAAAGGCTGTATTTCCCAGTTAATACAAGTGTATGTCCTACAATCACCTTGCAAGCTGCCTGTTTCTCTTATATCTTGACAGTGGCTACTGATCTGGCTGTATGCATCCTGGGCCTGGTAGGTGGCAAATTAGTGATGTTAGAATGTGCATAATATTATTTGGTAAATACGACTCAAATTTCATTTGTTTCCATACCTCCCAAGGTGCTTATGAGAAACAAAACAAACATCCCCCCTCACCTCCATTCCAGGTTGGTATTGAGAGCATGCATATTTTCCTTCTGCAGGGTATACAATTTTCTAAAATTGGCCCCCAGGAGCTTTGCATTTATAGTGAATGCTCTGTAATGGCTCAGCAACAACTTCTGGGATCTCCTTCGATAACACGCATGGGCATAGCACAAACATGATGGCAGAAACACTTCAGTGTCTAGGTGCAGGGACAAATGCGGACAGCCTTGCCCCTGAACTGGGGAGAACAAAGGCCTCTCCTCTGGAAGGTGTAAAGGGGAGCACACGTGGTATGTGAGCAGCCATTCATGGTCACCTGGCAGTCAGAGTAACAGTAAGGAATTGTGAAAGGGAGCTTGAGGACAGCAAATCCTTGCAACAATTTGTTTTCTCCTGCCAGGTTTTATTTTTTCCATATATAACCTGCAAAACTGAACTTTGCAGTTCCAAAAACTGTTTCCCAGTAATTGTCTGCACAATAGACTCAATGCTACACCCACACTGGAGAGGCAGCCTGAGCCAACATGTGACATCCTTTGGGTGGCAGAAGTGCATGTGCTCAGGGCTTCTGTCCTCTCCCCACCTTATGACTTCAGTCCACAGATAATCCTGTTTTTTCCCACTATTCAGAAAAGATGATGCAACCAGAATGCCTTGGTCTGGCATCTCATGATAACAGGCAAGGAGAAATGTGGGGCCTGTGGATTTCAGAGAACATACCTTATATCATCAGCAGCCTCATGTGGAAGTATTCCACCTAGTCAGGAATCAGCCCATACATACTACTTTTACACATTCTTAGACTACTGAAATACTTCTGCACTGCTTGGAAGCTAGCAGTGTCTCCATGTCTCCTGAATCCCCCACATGACCCCAGCCATGTAGAACACATTGGCCAAACCTTCCCATGATCCACCAACTCAAAGATTTACCATAGCCATGGCATGAGGCCTCCAGTACTGTGTCACAGCATGAGAATGGAGTCTATGCTGATGGACTGGTTGTCATAACAACTATCAAATATTTTTAATATAACTTCTGCAGAGAAGGCACAAGATACCTAAAACTAGGATGACTCATCTCAGAAGTTTCTTTCTTTGTCCAAGTGGCTGGAGTGACTGAGAATTTGAGTCCACCAGGATAGCTCTTCTCAGCTGCCAAAAGCTGGTACAGGTTGCAGATCCTGCATTTTCTTTAGTCAGTTGAGATAAAGCATGTCCAGCCTCTGTCTAAACTTAGCATTATATGACTGGATTCTTGCCCTGGGGACCCTTCAGTGAACTTATCAGAGCATCTCTCCTCCATGGGTGTTTTTGCAGCTCCCAAGCAAAGAATGGTACAGCGGCATGTCAGCATGGCAGGAGCCAGAGCCTCACGCCTGATCTACCCCAGCTCCAGCTGTGCTGTGAGACATTTACGTGACAGCCTGTCTGTGCCTCAAGATGAATCACAGAAAATTAGGGATGGGAAAGATCTATTAGGTCATCTAATCCATACCCTGCCATTCACAATCCCTCCCCTATGCTCCATTTCCTAGCGCATCCCCCAGTTTGGTTTTAAATAGCCTGGGATACAGAGAGTGTTGCCTCCATGCTTTCTTCATCAAGAAGCCTCTTTAGCACACCCCGCCGAGGATTTGATGCTTGTTTGTTGTCATTTTCTATATATACTGATGTCATAGTTACTCACTTGCCCCACCCACCCTCCAAATAGCTCCTGAAAATAGTTAGAAAGTGGGGACGCTGTCTTTTGTAGAAAAAAATGCCAGTTTCAAAAGAATCAAAGGACTAGGTAGAGAAACGGAAAATGATAAGCAGTCTGTGTTACCCTATTTCAACTTCTGGTATTTTGGTTGTTTGCTTATTTAGCATTGTTCAGCTTCTGCTTTCTTTAACAATAGCTAGAACTATGACTAAGCACTATTATTGACTTTGGTTTTCACATTTACTTCTGTTTTTGATTTTTAAAATTTGATTACTCATCCGTTTCCTGCCAAGATTGTGTTAAAGATTCCAGTCCATCATTGTGATTCAAGTAAAGACTATGCAAATATTCTAAGAGTTTACTCACTCTGTTTCCTAATCTTTGTCTTTTCAGTTTTACCTAAACTCAAGAGCCAAAACTGTAAGCCTGGCACACCCTTTCTAGACAGTTATGTTTTTAAAATTGTCTGTGTTGTTCTTTACTAATGTCCAGGCAGCCAACCTCCTCACAGATACCATGCAAGAATGCATTTGTGGCTTACCTTAATCTGGCCCTTTAAGCAAGGCTCACTGCACACAGACCGCACCACTCCACTCTTGTTCATCTGGATTTTGTAATCATCAATGTTCAGCACTCCTTCATGCCAGGTTCCAACGTGCACATAGTCATAGCGATTAGCTTCAGTGTACTGCAGATTCATGATATCATACCTACAAAGAGCACAATGTGCATGTCTTATAGAATATAGACATAATGTAGAAAACAAAGAAAGTTGGTAAGTAGATAATAATAGAAACAAGAGAAAGCTAGAATCATCTTAAATCAGCTACTGCCAATATTTTAGCTTATTTCTTATGTTTCCTCTGATTATCCCAAATGTGTATATTCCATTCTTCAATCTCTGTGTATCATCCATATTCACTAAAAATTAAATTACTCTTGTACTTTTCTCTCTGCTTATCCTCCAAAAAATAATGCTATGTTTGCTAAGTTGATCATGTCCTTCCAATTATGGTTTATTAAGTTATTCTTTGAATAAGTATCAATAAGAACATTAATTTTTTATTTGATTAATCCAAATTTCTTTTTCACATTAAGTTGTCATTTTCATTACACTGTATTAAAAGGGATGAGTTTTACCAAGTCTGGAACGTTTTTAAGGTGCTAATAGAGCAAGAAATCTGAGAAAGGCATCTTTAATTACTAAGGATGTTGAGGATTTAATGTCTTGTGCACTGACATTTAAACTAATCTCTTCCCTGATTAGGATAAATATTTTTGAAACCAAATAGCTGGTATCAGTTATTTCAGTAATTTGAAATGCCGGAACACTACACAATGGCAAAACCTGCACTTAGAACTCTTCACTATAGTAATCATTACTATATACATACAGTATATCAAAACATCATGTTATACACCACACACCATATATGTATATGGTATAGGACATTCTACAATGCAATCTAAAGAACGCAAGATCTAACATCAGAATGTACAAGCTGGTCTCTTTTCTAACATTTTAACAGTAGATTATACTACTTAGGAATGCCACTAAACTCTTTAAGCCTCACGTGGTTCTTGTGGGGATTTATTAAGATAGACATGTAAAAAACTGCTTTATATTCAGGACAAATGCATATGTCCTATGGTCGAAATGCTTATGTTCACCCCCTTCCATTCATATGCTGAAAATCCTAACCCCCAAGGTGATGGTATTAGGAGGAAGGGCCTTCAGGAGGTGATTAGGCCATGAGGACAAAGTTCTCATGAATGAGATTAGTAAAAGCAGCCTTAAAAAGCTTTCTAGCCCCCTTCCACCACACAAGGACAAAATTAAAAGGTGCCATTTGTGAACCAGAAAGCAGGTCCTCCCTAGACACCAAATCTGTTGGTGCCTTGTTCTTGGACTTTCCAGCCTCCAGGACTGTGCGCAAGACATTTCTGTTATTTATGAACCATACAGTTTATGATATTTTGCTACAGCATCCCAAATGAAGGAAGACAATCTATAAGTCAATAGCATGATTTCATTCATATTTCTATTACTATTAATGCCCTAAAATACTCTGGTTATTTTCATTACTATACGAATACTGGAGAACAACTTTGTACTGGCATAACCATTTATATCTCAGTCATGGGAACTCTGGCATTCTTACATCTCCTTTCCATGTTGCTATTCACTCTATAATTAATGCTGCAGTTTCCCAAAGCTGCATGCTTGGTTGCTCCTTACTAGTTCTGCAAAGTGGGATTCTATTCTGCAGTACCTATGCAAAGTGCTCGTCCTCCTGGACTAGAAGATGAGTCACGGCCTCTTGCTCTTTGTGCTTGACTGAAGGAAATGGCAATTAATCAACACATACTCTTCTTCATCAGCTCTCTTCATCCCTCGCCCCTCTCACACGCCCCTGCTTAATCCTTCCTGCAATTCTTTCTCTCTAAACTGACTCATGTTCACAATCCCTCTCAGCCTAACACTCCAGGAGGCTACAGCCAATCAAACTAAGTTGGCATCTGAAATCTATTGGCTGTATCTGGCCTAGTTTTTTTGTTTGTTTGTTTGTTTTTCAATCTAGACAAGGAATGTCAGTTGATTGGGTTTTCTGCTTGTTCTTAATGTGCAAATGCATTCTGTCACCCACAGGGTAGCTAATGGCTTCTCCACATCCAGATTCTTGCAATTTCTACAAATAGTTGTCCCCTAAAAGAAAAGGTATTCTGGGAAAGTAAAGAAAGCTCTCCTTTGCCAGGTAAACAAAATGCACTTAGAATGAGAAGAGAGAATGGTACACCCAGAGCACATTATTCATCTCTTTGCTGTGTTGACTTTTGACTGATAAAGAGTTATTAGCCCCCAGTTGCTAGACATACCAGAAAGTTATTCAGAGTATCTTTCTGAGTGATATCCAAGTGAGAATTAACTGTGGGCTGCTGGCTCACACTCATCCTGTTGATCAATGACACTAATCTACACCTCTGATATCTTTCCATTTTAGATTCATTAGAGCTATAGAACCTGTTGTGCTGTTGTGAGTGCTTGATGTGAGTAATTTCCATTTTCATTTCCAGGAATTTTTGTGTTTTATTTCAGATTACATTAATACAGCTTCTCACATACAAAGAAGGCTTTGCTGCAATGCTGGCTCTAGAATGTCTTTTTCCTTTAAATCAGTTTCCAAAGACTTTTATTTTAGCTTCCTCATTTGCTTTTTCATAAGAGAAATCAGTTCACACTTCATTAGCATTTAGAAACAAAAAAAATTCACAATATTTTGGTATAAAACACATTTTTTTAAAAAGTCCCAAAAGCTGGGAAAAAAACTATGGAAAAATATCCAGGGAAAAATACTGACTTCATTTTAAGAAGCCTTCCTCATACTGTGTGTATTACTGAACACTGCCCTTTTCCTTTGACCCCAGGGTTCCTTCCAGGCATGTTGGTTTTTATTTTGGAATTTTTATGCTATAAATTACATATTTACAACATCCTCTCAATGCATTCAGTTTACATTGTGTGATGATTAACTGAAATAATTACAAGAGGGACCAAAAGCATGAACGATGGTATGACAGGAGGAGGAAGTACAGGGAGATTTTTGAAACAGAAATTGAAAACGGATTATGCCAACCAATTGCAAGCAGAAGGATATGATCCCTAAGAAAAGACCCAGGGGAAAGCTTAAGTAACATTTGAATATTTAATTAAAGATGGAGAAGAAACAAGCTAAAATTATGCACCGACATTTTAGATAACTTGTAGAGAGAGAAGAGGAGTAAACTTGAATACATGAAGTGTCAAAAATGCATCTGGCCTTGTGCTAGGCACATTGTATGTTATCTTTGGGAATCATGAAGGAAGGTTTACATTCTAATTCTGACCCTTATTGAGCCTAGGGTCCAGTGGGACACAGGATGAAAGAGGGTTTACAGAGGCAGGTAGTCAATGTTCTGAACCTCAGACTCACTTGTTGCTCCTAGTACCATTTCCTCGAAGCTTTTCACATGCCCAGTTCCTGAATCATTCCATCTACCTCACTCGCATTCCAGTCAAAACCTGCTCCCATCTAACTAGCAGCTTGGAAGAAATCTGATAAATTGATCATTTTAATTGCTGACAATGACTGATATCGTTTATCCTTCCTAGAGCTGTCAGATTTTAACAGGGAGAATCCACTTAGCTCTCACAAGGTACTCCCTAAGTGCAGGACTTCAAGCTGACACAAACAGATACATGGAGACTTACTTAGGGTCAAACAGTCCCTTACAGTACTTCTGAAATGACATTAAGAAGGTTGCCAGGCCGGGCAAAGTGGCTCACGCCTGTAATCCCAGCACTTTGGGAGGCCAAGGTGGGTGGATCACTTGAGGTCAGAAGTTCAAGATGAGCCTGGCCAACACGGTGAAACCCCATCTCTACTAAAAATACAAAAAAAGTAACCAGGTGTGGTGGTGCACACCTGTAGTCCCAGCTACTTGGGAAGCTGAGACAGGGGAATCACTTGAATCTGGGGGACAGAAATTGCAGTGAGCCGAGATTGTGCTACTGCACTCCAGCCTGGGCAACAGAGTGAGACTCTTTCTCAAAAACCGAAAAGAAGATTGCCAGCCACGTTGCCTAATTTTAGGATCTGCTAAAAGGCAGTGTGATGTTGTAAAAGATTAGAAGCCTCAGAGTGAGAGCACTTGCCTCCACCGCTTGCAATCTGTGGACATTAGGTGAGTTCCTTAGTTTCTCTGATACCCAGTTTTATTATCTGTAAAAGAAAGACAATGATCCACCTACAGCAATGAAGATTAAATGATTTGATGTTCCACTTGAACACAGCATATGCTTTTCTAAAAAGCTCTAAGTCTGGGACATCGTAGACTGACAGGTGACAGGGCCTATAAGACCCTGGGCTTGCTGAGTGGTAGCCAAGCTGAGGGCCTTTTTCCTTCTTCCTGAAGGTGTTAATTCTTCTGCCATTCTGATTATGCCTTTCCTAAGAAACTGTTTATGAATGAACACAACTATTCTTGATACTAACAAAATTTCCTATGTACCAATTATGCTTGAGCTAACTGGTAGTATCAAAACAAGTATTGCAGAGCAGACTGTATGTAAAACGGCTTGGAGAGGATTTTATGTATATACCTTGGTTTACTTTTCATCTGCTTTTTGTTTGATTAATAAGCCATAGGGGCTCAATCCCAAAAAGAAAGTTGTTTCCTTTCTTGCTCCAAGACATATGTTAGCACAAACATAGGTTAGCCTGAGGAGAAGGGACACATATGCAGGACTTAGTTCTCTTTGCATACTGAGCTCTTTAACCAGGTGTAATATTCAAAATATTTCATAACCAGAATGGTATATAGTCAATCAATCAGAAAGATGCTGGCCTGGTGCTGGCAAGGTCTGAGAGGTTTCTGCTGGCCAAGTGTAATTTCTTTAGGTTCCTGGGCTTGCAGGAAGGTCCCAAGCATTCTGGAAAAAGGGTCAAGTGATAGGTGAGTTAGGGGATGGCACTGGTAGAATACTGGGTATTGGGTGTTGAAAAAGAAGTATTTTAATGTCTTAAAAAGTGGTGTGGTCTTTGGTAATTTCATCTGATATTATCCCTGGACTTTTTGCTACCTAGTTGTATCTATCCTCATGGCACCCAGAAACCATGGAACCAGATGAAGCCACAGTTGCCATCTGTCTGGCACAGGAAGGCTCACAAGGTTACTTAGATTGATTACTGAAAAGATTACCTTCCAGGAGCGTCTCCTTTCTCATCAAACCACACCTCCTCTCCAGATACTCCAATGAATGAGGACTTGATGAGGAAGTCCAGCAGCTTGCTGCCGTCGATGGGCTTCATGGCATCGCAGAGGCCCACGTGGCCAGGGCAGAGGGCATGGTGCATGTTCTGCAGCCCATGTGCCATGGCATAGATGGCATTGATGACAAACCCCATCTTACTGTCCTGGACATAGTTTTCTTCTAAGCTTTCATTGCCTGTAACAATAAAAATAGATCACTACCAAGGTCACAATGATAAAGACTAGGCTCCCAGGTTTAATTCTCAAATGCTTTTGGGGGTTCTCAGAGGAAGGGAATGAGCAATGACACTGGCAGAAGCCACGCCCACCTGTGCAAGCTTTGTACTTGTGGCTAGCTCTAGCAGATTCCACCTGCAAATGATTTATTCAGTTTTATTCTCTCTATTCGATAATGGTTTTATGAGATATAAAACAAACTCCACAGAGGCGAAAATAAAGGACTTTTGAATATTGTAAAGAAATCCTGAAGGAGTAATGGAAATAACTCTTACTCCCTCTTTGTTCACAGGAACTTATATTAAATATCTTCCTATATCATGGTACTGGAAAAACATTTTTTGATTCCTTTATGACAATCTACAGTTTACAGGAATTCAATTTATGCATTATCTAAACCATGGTATTTTCTTTTGGTGATTCCACTATTTTTTTTTCATTTCTAGGGCCACAAAAATCCAGAGTTAGAACTGGTCAGTATGAATCTCTTCTTATATACGGTTGATGGGGCCGAAATATTTAAATCAGATTTGCTAGTTATTGGAAACTCAGGTAAAATGTTTCTTGATGGAAGAGTCACACTACACATTAATTTTAGCCTTTAGATTTTACCTGTGAATTTCAAAAACCCTGCAATCATTTCTACCTATGTCACAGGTGATCAAAAACTCCCCTACTGCCAAGCAGGTTTGCAAGAATGGTATTGTGTTAGATATAAGCTCCATATTGGAAGCCTAGACTTCAGGACTTAGATATGGATGAGAAATTTTGGGACCAACTGGGTTTGCTGAAATAAAGGTAAGAGGTTTGGAAAACAAAAAATATATTTGGAAAACATCACTGGCATAATTCAGAGACTTTAGTTGGTTCCTGAAATTTGCTTCTCTCTGCAGTGAGCATTTCCTCCCTCATTTGACTGATAGTAGGGGGTCGATGTGATGTGTGTTTGAAGTACTAGAAGGTGGGAAAGTCAGCAATTTAGCTGCATATGGGGTTGAGAACAACATGGGGCTCCTCACACTCCCTGCCAGCTGCCCTTTGTTCCAACCTAAATAGGTCACTGGACACTAAGGTTCCCAGGCTAAGACTAGCAGAGAAATATTTAGGATGTTAGACAGTTTGAGTCTTTAGAAGAAACGGTAAAGAGTTTTGACTTTGATATCGAACTTGGGATGAAAATGGACATTTTTAAAGAGTTCTATTTAAAGGCCTATTTAGATGTAGTCAAAAGTTTGAAAAGGATATCCTTATATCTACCCTGAGAGTGACATATAAAATACCCAGGCTAGGTTAAAGGGGAAGAAGATTAGATTTTAATCCATTTTCCAGCTTTGCAAGATAAGACATTGTTAAAAGTGTAATTTGCTAAAGCAATATTTTCCTGATTTAAAGGAAATTTTCCAAGAGGAAATGAGGAGTAAGATAGAGGAAGGGCATTTTAAAATCAAACCACACAAAATAAGTATAGAAAGTTACATAAGAAAGAAAAGATCCTCCTTCCAAAAATTGCAGATTCATTTAAACAGAGTAGCTTATGTCTGTCACTCAGAACCCATGGCCCTTACTGTTGGTTTTCTTTCTCTCCCTCTCCAACTTACTGGGACCATAAAAGAGGTAAATTTGTGCCATCTGCCTGATAACTCTTAAACAAGCCCTTATAGGCTCGCCTAGAACCCCAAATGCTAAATATTAAAGCTACTAGAATCATAGAAATTACCAAGAGTTAAAGAAAAAAAAAAACACAAAAATTGAGTGGCAAAATAACCTTGAAGACAGCAGCCCCTTAAAGTGTCCTGTCAATACTAAAACCATCACCCAAAGTTGCAGTCATTACAACCAACAACAGGGTCAAACTGTAGAAAAATATCAGAATAAATACACAATGTTCTTTACCAAATGAAAAATTATCTGTTAGACACAAGCCTTATGGACACTGAGTTTGCTCTTCTTGTTTTTATAACTACTATTTAAGATTTATTTTACATAGATAAAAAATTATGTTGGTGTCCCCAGTACAAATTTCTTAAGCCAGTGCCAGTGGTTGTCTAGTGGATACTTCATTCATCAGCACTGAGACAGGAACTGTTCTTGGATATCTGTGAGATCAGTCTTTTCCTTTTGATCCTCATTTAGGGTGATCATAGAACTTATGACTTGGGTCGTTTTTTTAGAGAGAAAGTTAGTGTTAGCAACAATTATTTTGAGAACACAGGTGTAAATAAGGCAAACCAGGAAAATTGTGTCATCTCTCTTAAGTCAGGTGCCTTCTAACTGTGTCTTATCTTCTGAGGTTATTAAGGGTAAGATTAACATAAAAATATGTATGTATAGACACACGTAAATATATGTACATAGATGTATACATATGTATATACAAACAATAGTCAGTAGAATGTCATTATTTTTTAACTAATTTCACAGTTATGTAATTTTTTAAGGATTTGACAAATATTTATTCATACCTATGATACATCTGGCACTGCTTTTTTCAATGGGGTATTATGTAGACAAAACATACAAGAATACCTGATGTCTCCGGACTTAAATTCTTGTAAAAGGCTATAGAAAATTTCTAAAAATTAACACAACTAAGAAAATTATGTAATAATTACAATCAAATCAGTGTTACAGAAAAAAATACAAGAGAACAGGAAAGAAAAAGTGGGTATGTTGAGACAGTATCATGTCGATTGGTTAGAGTAGACCTCACTAAAAAGAGGAGCATTGAGTGAATAATTGAAGAAGAATAGGGAGTGAATCAGGCAAATATTTGGGAAAGAGCATTTAAAGTAAAGGCAATAGCTTCATATCTACAATAATACTAATACGGCCGGGCGTGGTGGCTCACGCCTGTAATCCCAGCACTTTGGGAGGCTGAGGCGGACGGATCATGAGGTCAGGAGATCGAGACCATCCTGGCAAACACAGTGAAACCCCGTATCTACTAAAAATAAAAAAAAAATAAAAAAAAAAAAATAGCCGGGCATGGTGGCAGGCGCCTGTAGTCCCAGCTACTCTGGAGGCTGAGGCAGGAGAATGGCGTGAACCCGGGAGGTGGAGCTTGTAGTGAGCCGAGATCGCGCCACTGCATTCCAGCCTGGGCTACAAAACGAGACTCCGTCTCAATAATAATAATAATAATAATAATAATAATAATAATAATAGCTACCACTTCTTGTTTGTTATATACAATACTTAATAAATGAGCTATAATGCTTACTATAATCCTGCCAACTAAACATTAGTCTCACTATTTTACAGGTGAGGAAAGCATGTGGTATAACCTGGATCCAAATGCCTCCTCACTCCTTGTTCTTCCTGTCACACTTAGTGGCAATGCAGGGGCAGGTATAGAAATCTACAGAGGAGAAGCTTTTCTGGTGACAGAGGACAGGGCATCCTTCAGTGCCCTGGCACCATTGTCAAGCCTGGTTTAGGACTTCTCTCTGGGATCATTCCAGATGTGCACAGCTGTCTCCCTGACTACAAGTACTGGCACCCAATCTACCAACAGCAAATGATGACAAAGAAGCCCATTCTGTCAGTGTCATATAGAGAGCCGGGAGGCTAGATACATGCTCCTGGGGAATATTTGCAATGTAATAGCTCACACCTCTTTCCAAAATAAACACAGAGTTTGTGTGTTTGTGTCCATCTGAAGTGAGTACCTATGCTCTCTTACTCTGCCAGTCCCCTGGGCTCTGTACACCCAGGAGGGTCCTACTGTCAGGAAGAACTCTCTTCAGCTACTACCTCAGTCTCAGCCCTGCTGGCCCCAAGTCTAATAAACTAGCATGCAGGAACATGTGACATAAAGTTGGAAAGTCATGTGGCTTTTATAGGGCCATTTCCTTTACTACAGCAACTGTCTAGATAATGTTGTAAGGATCTATTATTGAACAAACAAAATCTATTATAGGCTGCCCTGTCCTCTAAAGCTCCTATATTTTCATGGCTAGTAAATAGAGAATTATAAACTAATAACATTGTCACCTGGTGGGAAGGTGAAAACACTTTGGCTTCCTGGGGTTTAGTGCCTTTTCATAACACTTGTCTCAGAGTTATTAGTGAGAAGGAAATTTTATGATCATTTTCTGTGGTACTTTATTTGGGACCACTAGGATATCATTAAACCATTACTTTTTGTAATATGCTAAATGGAACCAAATAATTGTAGTTGACTGTGTTTATTTACTTTCAAAAGAATACCTGCCTAACTGCTTCACAGTGGGTTATGAAAATAGCTGCCTTGGTTCTAAATAGTAATCATGTTCTTATTGTGAAAGCTCAACAAGGGCTATAAACGGCTACCTGAGTGCAGCAGCACGCAGGCTCTCCATTGTGGGCACATATCAAAACCATGTTCCCGATCCAGTATGTCTTTTGTTTATCAGTTAGTTTTGTTTTTCACTGAAGTATAAATCACATATAGTAAAGTGCAGAAATCTTTATAGGTCAAAAACTTTTTACATATGTACACATTCATGTAACTGCTGCCCAGGTCATGGTATGGAGCATTTCTAGAAGAAAGTGTTCATTTATTTAGTTTTCTTAATTTATCCCAGCAATTTTTTTTATCTTTCAGTGTGCAGAATCCATGTGTTTGATTTTTCTGATACTACTACAATTGGCATATTTTTATTTTTTAATTGTTTGTTGCTAGTATACAGGAATACTGGTGATATTTGCATACTAACTTTGTATCCTGCAAGCTTGCTAAATGTACATATTAATTCTAATTTTTTATAAATTCCTTTGAATGTTCTATGTGCACTCACAAGTATATTCCTAGGTCTACTTCTTATTCGGATCTAAATTTGAGAATGAAATACATTGGCTGGCCCACTAAAATCAGGAGTCCTAAGTTCAAGGTCACAGAGTCAGCAAGGACAGATGAGGAATTCATATGCAGGCACTCCCTATTAGGCAGCACTGTGCATGCACGCAGCAGCAGTCCTACCCAACTAGTGGAGCAGTCCCATTACAGACAACAGGACATTTGTTAGCAAAAATTATTAGCTTAATGTTTGTTTGTTCTGAGTTGTTAGTAATATTGTGCCAGTTTGAATGTTCAGAATTGAAAAATATTGAAAGAATGTTTAGCTCCAATAAAGTACATTTGTTGATGCCTGTTTGAGTTCATTAATGCAACCCCATCACTATGCACGTAGGTACAGTGGTACCTTTTCAAATCTAAATTCTTGTCATTAACTTCAAATTAAAAGAACAAACACCGCGTTATTCTATCTCCTCATAAAGCAAGGAAGCATTCGGGGAAGCAATGGTAAATGTGACTCCCCCTGGAGAAAATATTCTTCTGATTTCTCGACATTTGTAGCTCTCCACTGCTTATTTTTGCCTGACAGAATTATATATTCAATACCTAATTTGATACAATCTCAATTCAGATCAAAATAGAAAGGGCTGTAATTATTTTATATTGTTAACATATCGAGCAAAGAAAATGAAATTCAGATTCCTTTAAATTGCCTGAGTCTTAGATTTATTGAAGGAAGATTAATCAGGTCATTTTTTAAATAATGACCTCAAAGGGATAAAGTGCCCTCAATTTTGCTTGGAGGCCTGGCTGCTAAAGTTTCTTTATGCTCTTCCAGGGAGAATTTGAGATAAGATTCAGAACTGTCTAGCCTTGCCTGTGCCCAAGTCTAGGACCTGGGAATTGTTTCCTCTGACACTATATTTTACTCTTTCCCTAAAGGGTTATCTCTGCTGACATCATAGAAAAATATAACAAATCCATTATTTTCTATTCAGTTTATTAAAATGTAAATTAACTGCTATGTAGGATAGAAGAGAAGAAAGAAAAGATCATTTAATCAAGCACATGTTATTATCACGGTTATTATTAGTTGAATTTCTATTGCTTAACCCCACCTGGGCTTTACATGTGCAAACAATACAGATACTTTTCTAAATGCATCATTCCAATCTATTGTTAAAACAGAAATTTCTCATGTGCATGACACATAAACAGCAGGCTCTTTGCAAATTGACAATAAGGTATGGTAGATCTTGATTCTCTGAAAATACAATTGCATTTAGCTGATTCATATTTCAAAAAATTATGGTGTATCTGGAAAACAAATAAGGGCAATCACAAGGGTGTTAAAGTGATGCCGAGGATCAATCAGTAACAGTTGAATTGTGGGGCTCTTTGTTTCTATAAGAGAGGAAACAAGGGCTGCTTGCTGTGTGCCTTTGCTGTTATTATTGACCTGGCTCAAAACAGTGTTGTGGAGTAATAAACCACTCCCCCGAAGTAACTAATCTTTGCAGGTCTGCAGTAGGCATTTGGCAGGTAATCACAGAGACAGAGTATGCTACAGAGAGCTGACTGCTTTAGCCAGTGTGGGAAGTTAGACTGTTGTAAGAATCCATCAGAACCAATTCCTTACTCAACAACCTGCTGGGTCAGAATCCTTGCCAAGCCTATTCCTCTTGGCCTCTCCCACACTCTAAGAAGGCAGAAGGCAGATCTATGCTCATAGCACCACCTCTATTTATTTATGGGTGATAGGAAGGATGCTTTCCTTTAGATATGTAAGAAAGCTTCAAAGTTTATGCTATTATGGTCCTCTTTGAATCCCAAGCAATGGTATGTCCTTTCTGAGTATCTCTATTTTCATGCTGCAGTGATTTAGGCTGAGCTAATAACACAAAGGGAAAATACAGAGTGAAATACAAGAGTTATTGTAAAAGCTCTACTTATTTCTGACCTGTTTTATTAGGGTCTAATGTAACATCTTCTGGTAACCAATATGAGGTCTTGCTTATTACAAAACAAAACCATAAATGTTATATGGCATTAACATTGTAAATCCACTTTTATGACTGACTCTAAATGAATGCAACAAAATATCTATAACTTGACAAGATGTTGCACTTAAAAAGTCTATTTTAGGACATATTAAAGAGTATCCTTCAGCTGTTTTCCTAGAATTAATATGCCAAGTAGATGAAATGGAAGCAAGGAACAGAAGCCTGCCATGTTCTGAACAGACTTTGTGATTTAAATATAGGCCATAAGGTTTACTACAGTATTAGCAACACATGGGAATAAGATATACTGTGGATTTTGGCTGGGCTTGGTGGCTTACGCCTGTAATCCCAGCACTTTGGGAGGCTGAGGAGGGTGGATCACCTGAGATCAAGAGTTTGAGACCAGCCTGACCAACAAGGAGAAACTCTGTCTCTACTAAAAATACAAAATTTGTCAGGCATATTGGGGCATGCCTGGAATCCCAGCTACTAGGGAGGCTGAGGCAGGAGAATCGCTTGAACCTGGGACGTGGAGGCTGTGGTGAGCCGAGATCATGCCATTGCACTCCAGCCTGGGCAACAAGAGTGAAACTCCGTCTCAAAAAAAAGAAAGAAAAAAAAGAAAAGAAAAACGAAAAAGATATACTGTGGATTTTTGTTTAAAGTTCATTTCTTCTATTAGTTGGTACTTTATGTAGACTTATCAGCCCAGTTAAATAATGACACTCTGTCTCAGTGTCGTAATTGTGAGGATTTCTTTAATGTTGCCTTTTATATGGTGTCTCCCAATAGCATCTCTTCAAAAAGTCAAATTTAGAATTCCCGAGGGCCTAATAAAAACTCATGGCTAGTGAAACTTTAGTCAATATCTATCCCAGAATTTAGGAAGATTAATGTTATCAAGAGCACACAGGCAAGGAGGTCTTAGTAACATCTGTTGATAAAACAAATGCAGGGTCCAGACTTAATGCAAATCTATCTGGATACATCAGCCACTCTGCTCAGGTTGTAAAGGGCATATTTACAGAAACAAGAACGACAAATACAGATTCTACAATAAGAAGGATCACCTTGAGAGGTCACAGTCTGAGCGAAATCTATTAAAATGACACTCAGGAATGACATATAAGCACTGCACTATAGATAGTAAAGTTGTCTCTCATGGGGTATGCGTTAATAATTTTCAAATAGCTACACACACGTATACCAAGACTGAACAAATAAATGAATAGCAGGTGGTAGAAGTCAGCATTTTATCATTGTTGGGTTGGGAGGTTACAAATACGCAAAAGGAGAAAGCTAGAATAAACCATGTGGTACAGGGAAAGGGTTGTTGGAAACATCAGCATGAATTTAAATTTAGTTTGGTATATAAACTGATAAACTTATACAGAAATGATTACAGATACATGTTTACATGTGGTCTGGCATACGTATATACCTAGCTCTTTTCACCGAATCAACAACACTCCAATAGCAGTAAGCACACCCAATGCCCAGATCTTGGTTTCTAATACAATTCTTCAATAAAAGGGATCAGGACTTTTTGGGGAAAAAAAATCATGTGTAGTGCAGGTGAAGGAAATATACAAGATGAGCCTAGAGCACTTGGTAGTGCCAGAAAGTAAACAAAACAATGTTTTTAGCCAGAAATCGCTTGAATCCGGGAGGCAGGCAGAGGATGCAGTGAGCAGAGATTGTGCCACTGCATTCCAGCCTGGGCAACAGAGAAAGACTCCATCTCAATAATAATAATAATAATAATAATAAATAAAAACAACAACAACAACAATAAAAAATGGAGATATGTCAAAGGGACACAAGAGCCAACTGAAAGACTTCCAACCATCAGAGACAGAAAAAATTGAGTAACAAAATAAAAAGGATGATAGTGGATTATAATCCAGGGTATAAAATAAATACCCATGCTGATATAAATAAATGATTAAGTAAAAAACAAATGAGAGAGAAAAGACAAATCTACACAGGAGAATTTCAAATAATTTATGTAGATACTCTGTTCTCAGCAAGGTGAAACATAATTCCCCATTCTTTAAGTGGGTCGTACACTGAGTGAGTAGCTTTCAAAGAGCATAGCATTTTTTTAAAAAGCCATAAAAAGTAAGTTTATGGTAAGTCTGGTAAACACGACCTTAGCTGAGTGATCAATGTTAACATCATCACTGATAAATTGATCATATATATTTGAGAATGTCGCTTTTTCTTTTGGCCTTCCTCTCCCTAATCCCAACTGAACTATGAGAAATAAGTTAGCCAAAGTCAAACTTAGGGACATTCTACAAAATACCTGACCAGTACCTCTACAAACTGTCAAAGATATCAAAAACAAGGAAAGGCTGAGGACTGTCACAGCCCAGGGAAGCCTAAGGAAACAAGGAAAATAAATGAAATGTGATATCCTGGATAGAATTCTGGGACAGAAAAAGGAAAAAAAAAAGATGAAATCTGAAAAAAAATAGAGTTTAGTTAATAATAATGCATTAATGTTGGTTCATTAACTATGACAAATGTTACGTAGCAATATAAGACATTAATAATAGAGAAAGCTAGATGTGGGATATACAAGAACTCTGTGCTATCTTTGCAACTTTTCTTTAACAGTATTCTAAAATGCAAACTTTAGTTTTAAAATATGTCCAAGAACTAGTCTAACATCTGACCTAGTGTCAGGAAATAAATGATAATGTGATTAAAGGTTTGCTCTGTGATAGGAGCTCCATTAGGTGCTTTACATGTGCTGTTCTATTCATCTCACAAGGACTTATGAAACGGTTGATAGGACTAACCTCAACTTATTGATGAACAATCTAAAGACTAGTGGGTCAAATAACTTGTCCAAGATCACACAGCTGGATGTGGATGTGGAGGTCACTAGATTAACACCCAGCCTGCCTGACTCTGCAACTCTTACTCTTAAGTACAAGATACTTCTGTCTCTTGCTTAGTTACTGTCCCAGAGTAACATTACACTCAGCAAGCTAATGGGAAGATGTGATATTTGTCACAATATTAACAAATGTTTGTGTGTACAAAATAAAATTTGTCCCTGATTGCAGACAATATATAATCTATAAAGAGACCTTCCACATTTTATCACATGTAATGTTGCCATGATTTATTTCACATGAATGATGTTAATACAGAGACCAAATTTTTGCATAGCTCTTTATATAGATGCTTTGTTCATCACTGCATAGAGGAGGTTAAAAATCAACAGGCAAAACTAATTTGGAAAGAAGCTCACCACTAAAAGTCAGTATTATAGATTCTAAAACCCTCAGACCAACACCGCCACAATAAACTATTAACTGATTCCCTAAGGTTTTGTCTGAGTTCCCAGACTGTTACATGGTCATTTCTTCTGACATAGTCATTGTTCATGCACTTAAAAAGTTTCAAGTGCACCTTCTCTTCTAGGGGTAAATACACAAAAAAGGTTAACTTAAGACTCTAATTAAATGAGTGGCCCTTGAGGCAGGCATACAGTCATGGTTGTTAATATTAGTTTAGAGCCCAAATAATGATAACAAACTTTAAAGAAGCTCTAAGGTGCCACAAGGAATTGTCTCAGAGAAGCAGCGCCCATGCCTATAAGGCTTCTCGTTAAGACTGGCTGCACCGTTGGGGTTAGGTCTTTGCAAAGTGACCTTGCACAAGCTTACCAAAACACACTCATCAGAAATGTGATTGAGGAACATACGGAGTTTAGCATCTCTGGGCCAATGTTTCTGTTGACTGTGGAACTTTCTTAGTGCTTTGGGGAACTTTGCTTTCTAGAGAGTCATGTGTTATTCCCTTTTCGGATGATGTCTTCATCGTGGGATTCAGTCCTACCAAAATACTAATTGGGCAACATATCAAGATTCTCCCTGATGGTTTCTAGTTATTTTGAGATGAGAATATATGAGACAAACACAAACGTGGTCAGGTGCTTATTTGTCTACACTTATTCCATGTTCATTTTTATGCCAAAAGTATATTATTTTATAATATTACAAGAAAAACATCTTCAACTAGAGCTTGGAATTTAGATGAAATAGGAGTGGTCCCTCTACCGCTTCGCTGTATGTATTTGATTCTCAAAACTGCATAAACAAGGAGCCAATTCTAGAGAGAGGGAGGGAGACAGAAATCTTAACATACTGCTAACCACTTGGTTTTTCTAACCAAAACCAAGAAAACAGGAAAAATAGACCATAGTTAGTCATACCTAACCAAGGCTAGATTGAAGGAATGAGCAATGGATACCTTTAACTCAACATAAAGGAAGAATCTAGACTGAGGTACTAGATTTACACCAAAGCCTGTGTTAGTTGAGGGCAGTCCTGGTTCTGGGTACAAAATGCAGTGGTAGTACAGCAGAACTCTCTCACCATGTGTGTGCATGCATGTGGGTTTGCACATGCTTTGGGTTAAATACTAGAATGTGTGCATTCAGAGGACCCTACTATTTTGGGGCCTGTTGTTTTGTAGCATCCTCCAACTGAACTGAACACAGAAAGAGGCAACCTTCTCAATAAGAGGACATGCTAAGCTACGAGTGAGGTTAGAAATGTGGCTTTGGGGCAGGGCGCGGTGGCTCACGCCTGCAATCCCAGCACTTTGGGAGGCTGAGGCAGGCAGATCACGAGGTCAGGAGTTCAAGACCAGCCTGGCCAACATACTGAAACCCTGTCTCTAATAAATATACAAAAATTAGCTGGGTGTAGTGGTGCATGCCTGTAGTCCCAGCTGCTTGGGAGGCTGAGGCAGGAGAATCGCTTGAACCCGGGAGGTGGAGGTTGCAGTGAGCTGATATCATACCACTGCACTCCAGCTTGGGCAACAGAGTGAGACTTTGTCTCAAAAAAAACAAAAAACAAAAAAAAGAAATATGGCTTTGGTCCCATGCTCTGATTTCTCTCATCCAAGTACTAACCATGCCTGACTCTGTCTAGCTTCTGAGATCAGACGAGATCGGGAGCATTCAGGGTGGTATGGCCCTTGCACTAATTTCTTACACAGCTAGAAACAAAAACAAAAATGCAGCAGCAGAGATTACCCTTCAACAAGGGACAAGAAAGTCATTGCAGAGACTAGTTTGCTGAAAAATGGGCACTAGTACCAAGATAGGTGTATTAATTCTGTATATGCTCAGAAATAGTTAAGAAAGAAAAACCAGGGAAAAGATTGATCAGCATGATACTGCCACACTAATTAAATATGACAGATTCTTCTATGGGCTAGGTCAACAGGAAAACCATTAACAGAAGCTTCTCTAAGTACATACCTGGCATTGATTTTTCAGTAGTGCCCCCTGAAAGCTCACAGAATCTAAAGTGAAGGCAGAAATGATTTCCTTATGCCTCAACGACTGCTGAGTCATAGTCACCAGGTACGTCTGCAACTGCTAATGTAAACTGAAACAGCATACAAAATTCCTTGGTGGATTGTTTTCAAACTGTGTTCATTAAGGAGGAAAAGCCTATTTTGTGTGCCAAGGGATGTTGCAGTTTAATGGGTTTCCATGGTCCCTGGCTTCCCACAGTGGAATGTTATGGTGGTACAAGTTACAGAAGCCCAACGTAGCTTATGATGTTAAGGGAAAGGATAGCTGAGGGCTAGCGTGCTGCCAGAAATCCAGCACAGCACTTCCCCTATTCCTGCCACCAATTTGCAAAACCTTCTTTGTATTGTCAGAGTAGACTCTGTGATATCAGCGCACTTTGCTTATTTTCATGCAGTAATAAGTTATTTAGACAATTGTCTTTCATATTATCTCAATTATTCTTATAGTGAATGACTGATAACTCAGCAATAGGATGATGATCTAACTGAAGCATGATTATTATTGATGGTGACTACAATACATTTAAGAATATTCAAAAGAAAACCTGATATGATGACTATAAGCTATCACTCAAGATTATTGAATAAAAGCTGTAATATAAATGAGGTGTCTATTTAGTATATTAGTCAAATTCAGAGCTCTTAATGTCTGTGGAAATAAAATGAGTGTGTATAAATGGAAAAAATGAAAGGGAAAAGTTCAGATTATTATTTTAGTCTGAAACTATGAGATGTTCTTCAAGTCCCTTAAACATAGAGCAAAAATTATGTTCCATGTTAAGGTTGTGAATTGAGTTTGGGTGGAAGGGAATTGTTGAATGCTCATGTCCATTCAGTTATTTGATGGGATGAAAATGTCAGCACCTGATATAATAGGAATTTTTACTTGCTTCTAGAATAAAATTAAAATGAGAATGCCAGTTCATTCTTTGAAGTTATTCAAGAGAACAAGAATTTAATACCACAGTGATTGCATTTCCATTTGGAAAATTGCCTACTTAGCTGTTCATGGAGTATGTTTCATATGTCTAACTCTGTGCTGTTTGTATAGAATACAGTCAAACTTTGTGGGTCCAACTATAAGGACAAGGATTTAAGAAATGCTGCAGTCACTGTGGCATCCCAGGGAAGATTTATGGAGGAGGCTGGGCATAAGATGGCTATTAAGCAAGAATAAGACACAGAGTAGAGAAGAGAAGAAGGAGGAAGGGGCTGCTAAGTAGCATTGGTATTGATAGTGGTGCAAACAGAGAGGAGATACCGAGTGTGGAGGGGGCAGGGCAGATCCAAGCCTTTATGAACTTGGTTAATAAAGAGCTACTCTGGGCTTCTATAACTTGTACCCCCATAACATTCCACTGCAGGAAGCCAGGGAATAATAACAGATATTTATTGAACTTTAACAAATCAGAGGGCTTTAGATTTGAAGCAATAAGTCAAAGGGAGCTCCTATAGACGTTTAGCATAGACAGGCTCAGTGGACTATCATTTCTTTGAAGGCCTTATCTGCTAGATGGTGTTCAGTCCACAGTGACTATTTTAAACATACATAAGCTCATGAGTCCTACTCTAAGCCATAGACATGCAAGAGGCCCTGAGAAGGATGTGTGAACTGTGGAGGCAAAGAAAGCAAAGTTAACACTCTCTTTTTAGCTGGGGCTTGGGCCCCAAACCAAATTCAGAATTCAAACGGGATAAGATAGACCACATAGAGGACTTGTTGGGGCTGAGCTTGTTAGATGCAAGTAACTTCAACCCTGCTCTGTCTTTTCCATGCCAGTCTTAGGAACCTTTGAGCCTGGATTATATCACCATTGAAAAAGCCGATTCATAGCATACCTGCCATAGCCCAGTAAAATGGAGCCATTATAATTCGTGGTAAAAATATATTAGCATTTATCTAATATTTGACCTGTTGGAGATTAGGAATATAGGAAGTTTTTATTTTTCCTGTTTGCACACAAATATTTCTAGCATTGCATAACGTGATCATTTCCTTGGTATGAATCATTTGCAGTAAAATTGTTCGATTAAGACGTTTCTTTAGACTCTTGATCCATATTGGAAAATTTCCCCCCAGGAAAAATCATAGCATGTATTTTACCATCAGCTGCATATCTGAGCACCCATTTTACCACATCCTGACCAGCAGTAGATACTATCATTTTGTATAATATATGCCAGTTTGACAAGTGCAAAATTATTCTTTTTGTTTTCTTTAGTTACTAGGGGAAGTAAATCATTTTCTTTTGGGGGAATTGTGTATTCCTGTTTGTGGCCTCATTATTTTAAAATTATAATGATAACATTTATTATAGTATTTTCAAGTCGTTATAATTTTTTCACTTTTGTTAATTTCCTGTAAATAAACACAAAATTTGAGTCTGATTCACCAAGTACATCATTGTGCTGTATCTTTAGAAGAGAGATTTCCTGGCAGGGAAGAAGCTGGAAGCAGCGCTTTTTGAATTTCTGCCACAGCACACAGACCCTGAATTTCATGAGAAGGCCAAGTCGTGTGCAGGCAGCAATCCCAGAGACTAGGAAGCTGGCTTAATATCCCTATCCCTTACTTTCCATATATAGTTTAGTTCCTTTGTTTACTCTGTCCAAAGAACGTTTTAGGAATATATCCCCCAAGTGATTTGATTGAAACATTTAATTTCATTATTAGTTGGCCAAATATGTAAAAGCATTTGATAGCCTCTTGTGATTTTCCAATTTTTTAAAAAATTAAAAGTGGAAAAGTATTACAAAGAAACAGGCACAGAGAAGTAAAAGCATTCCTGAATTTATATGGATTATCACCAGGCAGAACCTGGGACATGAGAGAGACTGGGAGAGGCTGGGTCTGGGCAGTGGGCTGCCAGGTTCTGCTTCAGAAGTGTAGTCCTGAGGCAGACACTTGCCCAAGGAGTACTGCCTGGACTGCTGTACCGCACATCTCCACATCTCCAGAGGTCACCATCACCATCCACAGAAAACATGATGATAATGGTGCCCTTGGAGTTCTGTGGTGTGGAAGCCCTTCCTGAAACCAGGAAGAGGGACAGGCAAATAAGTTCAGCAAGAAAGCGAAAAACCAGGTTGGGACCTTGGAAACAGGAAGTAAAGGAAGAGTCATGCAGACACAAACACCTGAGGGTACCCAGAGTGGGCAACCTTTCAATGGCAGGCCCCAGGGCAGGACATCACTCTTTAGGAAAAGCATTATTCAGAACAAGTTTTTAATTAGTTGTGGTATCATAGAAGCTACCAAGACAGGGACTCAGGCACAAAAATATACAGAGTCGGGTACTGGAACTGGGTTCAAGATGGGACTGTGTCTTGGCATCAAATCAGAAGAGTTGCCAATACTGGAGAAAGGGAAAAGCCAGGAGGTCAAGGCGAGGAGCAAAGGTAACTCTTGTTGAGTGGAGAGATGTAGCCAATACTTTTGGTGACCAGCCTAGACCACCTTTTCAACTAGAACACTCACAGCACAGCTGATGGAGTGTTGCTAAAATCAACCCACAGCTGCCATCTTCTGTGAGGAATTGCTCTCAGGCGAACAGGAAATGCCTCATCAGGAAGACTCTGTTCCCCCATCGTTTGCTGTATGCCAGAACTCAACCAATGATGGATAGTGGAGTTCAAAAGCCTGGACCCCTTGCTAACTCTCAGTCAATCTGTGTTTCAGAGGATTTCCTGGAATCAGATTGCAGCTTCTCTCCAGCTGAGACATTACTTAACTTACTCCCCAGTCTTAGCTTACTTCCTCTCCTCTTGACAGCACGCCTCAACAAATCATTAGCAAAGGAATCTCTGCCTCTGGCTCTGCTTCTTGAGAACTCAATTTAAGAAAGAATGGATGGCCTAGATTCTACTACACCATAATGCTCAGGCTCAAGATACTAACACTCTTTCCAACTCTCCCACTCCACATCCAAACTGATTGTGAGGTGTATTAGTCCATTCTTAAGCTCCTATAGAGACATACCCAAGACTGGGTAATTTATAAAGAAAAAGAGGTTTAATGGATTTACAGTTCCACATGGCTGAGGAGGCCTTACAATCAAGGCAGAAGGTGAAGGAGGAGCAAAGGCACATCTTACATGGACACAGGCAGGAGATCATGTGCAGGGGAACTGCCCTCTGTAAAACCATCAGATCTCTTGAGGCTTGTTCACTATCACCAGAACAATATGGGAAAAATCTGCCCCCATGATTCAATTACCTCCCACCAGGTCTCTTCCTGGACACGTGGGGATTATGGGAGCTACAATTCAGGATGAAATTTGGGTGGGGACACAGCCAAACCATGTCATGAGGTATTTAAAAAATTATAAGCATTGTACTCTTTTAATGTATCTGTTAAAATGGAGATTTCCGGGCTCATCATAGACCTACACATTAAAAAAATTACCATTTTGGGGGCCCTGGGAAAGTGTCTTGAACTTTAAAGATTAAAAATGATGTTCTAGGACTTGGAGTAGGAAGAAGTTATTGATGGAAATCAAGTGGGTGGGCAAAGAAAGAGAAAAGGGGAACAGGAGCTGGGATTGATGGCTGAAGCAGAAGTTGAGACTGAATGTGTATTTAGCACAATGTGATATAAATAAAACACATCTCAACAGTGAACACAACTTTCCTAGGGAGGCATTCAGAGCACAAAGAAACCTCCTAGAGTTTTATGTGGACTTTACTAATTTGTGTCACTTCGTTGACCCTTAGGGTCCCTATTTATAAATGGGTACAGTGAGGTTTTCAGTCTATGTAGAGAGACTGAAACAATGCGTTAGGTACTTTGAACCAGCTGGAAGAAAGAACATTACATAAATACAAATTATAACACCATTAATACCTCCCTGGCTGAGTTTCAAAACCACAGCCAAGTTTTGAAGCCTTACAATATTCATGAAGATATAATTAAGTTCAAGAGGCTGCAGATTTCATTTGTAAGATGTCAGTCAACGGGAAGGGTTTCTAATCTGATATCTAAATTGCTCTTAACTGAAAGCAGATAGCACCTATAAGACACCTGCAACTGGACAGTCATATTTGCTTTAAAAGCAAAACCCCCATAATGGATAATTTTTTCTCATTAAATTTTGGCTAAATTTCAAAGGGAAAAAATCCAATAAAGAGAAATTCTTTACACAGGAATCCACATGAGTACGAAGTCTCATCATATATCACCAAGACCATGAAATGCTCTTGGACTGAGAGAAAATGATGTTGTCAAGACAAAGGCCTCAAGCTTATGGTGATTTATTAGTGGGAAATAAGGCATCCTGGAGCACAAAGGGCATATGAAGATGCAAATGATGATCCATCAGGTGCTTTCCTCCCCACCTAGCCACTCTGTTACAGTAAGCACACTTTCTCTGCAACTGTTCAAAACCTGGCCAGACATAAGCTGGTGGGAAGCCCGTACGGAGAAAATACAGTGGATTTGCATTCTGGTCTTAGTTTATTCATACTGACCAATGCAACTTTCAGTAACAAATTCTGAGGACAGAATGGAGAACCATACATATGAATGAGGATCACAGGGGCAATTTTCTAAATATCGTATGAGGAAATGTACATGGTGTTTGTGTTCTGTGCCCATGCAGAAGACCATTATTAGTTGGCCAAATGTGTAGAAGCATTTGATGGCCTCTTATGATTTTTGAATTTTTTTAATTAACAGAGGAAAAGTATTAGAAGGAAATAGGCACAGAGAAGTAAAAGCATTCCTGATGTCATATAGTTTTTCTCCAGGCAGAACCTGGGACATGAGAGAGACTGGAAGAGGATGGGTCTAGGCAGTAGGCTGCCAGGTTCTGCTACAGACATCTAGTCCAGAGGCAGAAACTTTTACCCAAGGAGTACTGCCTGGACTGCACATCTCCAGTGGATGTCATTGACAAAGAACATGATGATAATGGTGCCCTTGGAGTTCTGCAGTGTGGAAGCCCTTCCTGAAACTAGGAACAGGGACAGGCACAGGCAAATAAGTTCAGCAAGAAAAGGAGAACCCAGGTTAGGACAATGGAAACAGGAAGTGCTGGAAGAGTCATGCAGACACTAGCAACTTGAGGGTACCCAGAGTGGGCATCCTTTCAATGGGCAGGTCCCAGGGTAGGACTTCCTTTATTTTCCCTATTATTTACTAAACTCCATTTTATTTTTTTCAGATTTCATCATTTTTTTTTCCTTTTTCTGTCCCAGAATTCTATCCAGGATATCACTGTTCATTTATTTTCCTTGTTTCTTTAGGCTTCTCTGGGCTGTGACAGCTCATAAACCTTTCTAGGTCCAGGTTTTTCATCTTGTAAAATAAGGAAAGGATTATCTAGGTAAGCTCCAACAGTGCCCACTTGGATTCTAAGTATGCCCAGGTCTTTATAGTAAAGGCCATCTATAGGCTACTTGGATTGTTACTGGGATCCTGGAGACAAGTAATGATGACTAAAGAGCCCACTCTTCTGGCCCCTGGTTTTCACCATCTCATTCTCCAAACCGTATATCAGGCTGATAATTAGAGTAAGATATAACTGTCATTTCTCTGCCACCGTTCACTTGCTGGTAGAAATTATATTAGCAGTGAAATGGCTGAAGGACAAGTAAGCCAAAGGAATGAAGAAGAGAAAAACAGCCTGAAGAACAAGGATTTTACAATCTTACAGTAATAATGTGTGATTTTCCTCAATTTATCTTCCTACACTTAAAGGAAGTAAATACTAGGGGGAAAAAAAAAGAATCAACACCTGAGGATGTAGGCTTTTGTCTCTTGGTCCTTTAGGAGTTCACCCACATCCCAGGAGCCATTGTTTGCACCCATATGAGGAAGGGTCTCAGAGTACCCATGTCAGTAATGGTCTCTTATCAGCCAGCCTGAGCCTCATGCCAGCTGAATCCTACCAAATGACAACAGATGGTTCAGCATCTACATTTTCCCACATCACTACCAGGAAATGTGGTCAAATATATTTTTAACTACTTTCCTGATCATTGTCCCATATAATATTCACAGACAAGTATTCAAGTGTAATGAAGCATAGTTATCAATAAAAACCACTTTCTTTTAATTTGATAATCTAGAAAATAGATCCTACAACTAAGAAATGTAACAGGGATGGGGGAAAATACTCAGTACTCATGTTAAGAGGCAATCCATGATAACGAATAAGTGTATATTTGAGGCAAAGCAGTGTCACCGGAATATCAGGAACTAACCCTCTGAGAGTTATATTTTGGGTATATTAGATGGCAGGGTCGCCAAGCTCATGGAATTGAAATTTAAAAAGTGATTTTGAGGAGGACAAAATACCTTAAAAAACTGATAGCAGAGTAATAGCTTTTAACAGGGGGCAGAATGGCCCCCTACAGATGTCCACACCCTAATTTCCGAAACCTGTGAAAGTTACACTTCATGGCAAAGGTACTTTACATATGTAATTAAGATTAAATGCCTTAAAATAATGGGGTTATTCTAGATTATTCAAGTGGGCAAATTCCAAACCATATGGGCCATTAAAGTGAGAACTTTCTCTGCCTGGGATTAGAGAAACAGGGCACAAATGTAAGGATTGGAAGCACAGGAGGGACTGCGTCCATTGTTGCCAGAGAGGTCATGTGGAAAGCACGAAAAGGGATGTAGACAACCTACAGGAACAACCTCTAGGAACAACTGCTGGCTAATAGGCAGCAAAGAAATGGGGACCTCAGGACAACAGCTCCAGGAAGAGAATTCATGCAACAACTTAAACAGGCTTAGGATTGATTCATCCCCAGAGCCTTATGAGATGCTAAACAAGACTCAATGGAGCCATGCTCTACTGAGACTTCTGACCTACATAACTGTTATATAACAAATGGGTGTTATTTTAAACTGCTAACATCATGATAATTTGTTAAGGCTGCAGAGAAAACTAAAACAACTCTCATTGGCAGATACACACAATGCATTAGCTCCCAGCCAACTATAAAAAGATACTCCATGAAAAAGACAATGGGTTTTCACATTTCATGAAATCTACCATTATGATCAATACTGTAATGGTCTAAGAGTACTTCCTCTGAGTGTTTAAGAAATAAAGAGTGCTCATATCCCTCAAATGATAACTGGAGAGTGTACTGTCTCCATACTAGTCCTGTGATTCTTTCGGATTCCCAAACTATCACATGATAGTTTCACTCCGAAGGCCAATTTTTTTCAACCAATGAGTTGACCTTAAGGCCGTTCTTCAAGGGCAACTGATGGCTAGACTAGACTTTTTAGTGCTACTTAACACAAGCTCAAAGTCACCTTCAAAAATAAACATGTTTGGGATTAGAATTTTTTTTTAAAGGAAAACAGGACAAACTAGCATCTGTTTGTACTCTGTCTCCCTTCAAATCTTATGAAGAAGACACAAAAGCTCTCATTCCACAGAGGATGAAATTGACCTTGCTCCCAGACCCATACCTAGTAAGCAGCATGCTAGAGATGGAAATTAACTCTGTTTGTTTCCTAACAGGAGTCTCTAGTCTTCCTGATAGCAACAAATGATATCCCTTGCTTATGACAGGTTTATAAATTTATTATCAGGATTTTAAATCTATACATGCACACACCCTTCACATTCTCTGTGATATATATATAGTGAAATGGTCTCTCTTCTTTGGTTTGTACAATATCATTTTCCATTATTTCTTGTTTACTATCCATTTTTTCTCTAGCTAGTAAAAATGTAAAAACACAAGAATGTCTTGTTCTACAGAGATTTATTCTTTCTTCCCTAATGTGTTCTCTCAGGGCTGGCACAAACTCTCAGAGCCATGGCCGTGGTGAGCTATAGCTCTAAGAGGGCATGAGACAAGCACATTCCACCAAACAGCCCAGTATAGCTCATAGATCATTTCCAATAGTGACTGGAAATCCATTCCTGCTCCTCTCTGAATGCTGCCAGGGCAGCAGCCCCTATCAGCCGCTCTTCTGAGACTCCTTCCCTGATGATACAAGAAGGCTGCAGGGCACTCTTGCACTCTCTCTCTTTCTGCATGGATCTGAACTTCACAATTAGCACATCGTGTATAGTATGTGCTTCCTTGTCCTATCAGTCTCTGCATCTCACAATTTGGCATGCTATTATTTCAGCTTAGCTTGCTGTTATATATGATTAGTTCCTGTTAGTTATAGAATCATGTGAGTATGCCCCAACACCTCAACTTGACTATAAACTTCTGTGGGCACAGATATAAATAATTTTTTTCAGCCCATAGCATGTTCTTACACACTCACAAGTTAATTATGATGTAATAGTATATAATGAACAACTGCTAGATTTACTTAAGTAGTTGATTGATCCTGCCTTTATTGCAGAATATATGTATTAAGCCCTGTTAGTTTTCCTCAAAACATTAAAGAATTTAAAACAAAGCAACATTATAAACAAAAGTAACCAATAGATTGGGGATAACACCACGCTGATGATGTATTTTTTAGACTTGCCAGAATTAAGAGAAGATAAGGGAAGGGCTACAGATACAATGGGAAGAGAAAAAGATTTTTTTTAAATCCAATATAAAATTGAAAATTTAGATTACAAGACTGGATCAAAAATATCTCTATAACATGTAGGAGTTTGTTATGTATAGGATAAAAGTCTATAATATAAAAAGACATGTGATGGCAAATTTGATAAAGTGATGGGAGTGTGGGAAAATTCCCAGTAGGTTTCCATTATAATTTTACATTGTTTCCCTAGTAAAAACTCATTAAAAATACACCAATTCTCTCCGGAAACTTTTCTCTTTAGATCCTGAGTAACTTTCCAAGCTAAATCAAATAATTGTATCTAAGACAACCAACAAAAATCCATTTAACAAGAAAAAAGAAAACCAATGCAGCATGAATCTTCACTATGTTTCCCTCCCAGCCAGCGGAATTAAAGGGAGGTCCAGGGTTCTTTGAGTTGTTCAGTCATAATCACACAGTCACCTTTTCTGCCATTCAAGAAACTTGCTACTGCTCAATTTGGTCAACTGGGTTCTTACTTATAGTTTTACACATTTATTTTCCTCTGAAACTAGCAAAAAGCCTACTTAATCAACACTGGCATGTTAGGCCTGTCAGTAAGAACTCTTGGGAAGTTTAAGAAATACAGGCAGTCCCCGACATACAACAGTTTGACTTAAGATATACACATTCAGAAGAAACTGGACTTCGAGTACACATAACCATTCTGTTTCTCACTTTCAGTACAGTATTCAATAAATTACATGAAATATTCAGCACTTTATTCTCAAATAGGCTTTGTGTTAGGTGATTTTGGCCAGCTGTGGGCTAATGTAAAATTTCTGAGCATATTTAAGGCAGGCTAGGCTAAGCTATGAAGCTATGATGTTTGGCAGGTTAGGTGTATTCAACACATTTTTGATTTATAGTACTTTCAACTTACAATGGGCTTATCAGGATGTAATACCATCATAAGTCAAGGAGCATCTGTGATTTGCAGGAAATCACACAAAGTTATGTTTAGAAATGTAACAAGGTTTGATTTTGGTGCCTTTCTATCTATACATCTTTGGCCACTCCCTCTAAGGAACCCAAACTCTTGTCATTGCTTTCATGATATCCAATCTCTCGCAACACCCTGCCTTAGTCAAGAAAGCCAGGGGTCTCAAGATCCTAACTGCTCATGACCTTAATCCTCCACAAAACACATGAGCTTGTCCTTCAGATCCCTGTCCTCCACTGTGGAATTTGCAGCAGCATTAAAGCTGGTAGGGTGCCCCATCTGAAATAGTACTTGAATTATAATAGGTAATAGGAGCTTTGAGGCAGTGAGAGATCTATGCCAGGGAACTTCTGAGGGATGCTCAATGTCATCTCTTTTCCATTCGTTCAACTCTGTGTATCACACACTCACCTTTTCATTGTGCTTGCTGGGGAGGCAATAGAAAAATGTATCCTACATTCACAATCTTTAAGGAATCTATGATCTAAGAGAAAAGTTTGACAATGGCAGCAAGAAAAACAGAGACTCCTCAGGAGGAGATCAAAGATGTGCTGGTAACAGATGGTAACAGATGGTCCCAGGGTGTGGTAAGGTGGGGTTAGAAGGGTTCACACTAGTGGCATTTACTTACAGATGGACAGGTCAGGCTGCCCCACGCCACTGGCATAGCCTGCCCTATTGAGGATGAAGGATAACATGCCCACAGTAGTGTCTGTCCTCTGCAGGGTCATGGGGTCTTTTCTCCTTAGGTAAGGATCAAATGAAGATAGAGACAAATTCCCAACTGCACCTAATCAATAAAAATTTCCCCTGAGATGAGTATCTTGAGAGCCTATGCATAGATCTGACAACTGGAAAGGTGAAGAATTCAAAAGAACAGAAAGAAATACGAGGGGAACCTTATGACAAATATCACACAGGAAAGGGCACATGGTTCTAATTGTGATATAGAAGATAGAGATCATATGTCATGATTAGATAAGTAAAATAGTGTTGAATATATGTACATTACATATGTGTATATAAAGAGGTAAAGAGTATAGTTAAGATAATATTACTATTTAATGTTTTTAGGAGGATCACATAATTTATTTCACTTTGTTATTTAACATTGGCACATTGCTTACATATGAGGCAACTGAGGCCCAGAGATGTTAATTTGCTTTTTCCAAAGCCACACATACCAAGGAGTAAAGCCAGAAATCAAATAAGAGTCTACTAATCCTAGGGTACAGACCTAGGTCAGTGACAACAGTTGTTGTGTCAGTGTGTCTTTATGTGTATGTCTTTTGTCAGTGTGTATATGTGTGTGTGTGTATGGGCTTAGGCGTAGTGGGTATCACTTTTATTTTAATTGCAGAGATGGTTTAATTGACAATCCTGTTCACATAGGAATTCTAAATCTAGAGAACAATATAAATGATTGCAATTACAGAAAATCCCATCTGGTTTCTGGCATATTAGAAATGCATAGAAAAGGTAGCTTCAAACTTTTGGCAACCGTGCACTATAGACAGATGTGGCTAAAGAAAATATGTTTCATTTTTATGAGCAGCTGCCCCTGACCAAATAAATTGTGATGTAGGAAAAAACAGAGCAGGCAGCTATCCTACAATCTGTGGGGCGCCTCACATCCTTGCCTGTGGAAATCCAGTCCCTTATAGTCCCACCAGCCTCAACAACTACCTGACCTTATGTCCACTGACCCTAAATCGCCCATCGAAATCTCTCTTCAAATAGCTAGGTTTAAAAGTCATTTGCTTGTATTGCATCAAAGAAGAAACTAGGGAAAGTGGGGGGTGAGGTGGACTCAGTGGGTGTATTGTGAAATAGACATGGCGATGACTGAGTTGGACAGTCTTTTCCGGAAGCCTGGAGAAGAGCCCTGTAGGATCAGCTACCTATTATTTAAGGGAAGTTTCCCAGACCTCTGAGGAACTTGCATAGCTTCAGGCCTTGACTCCACTTTGATCCTTCCTCCCCACACCTGAAATACACTTAGTCATTACGACCTTGGCTAACCTCAAAGATGCTATAGAAAATAGCCTTTGTAAGCCATTTTTTACTTTACATAAAAGTATGTTACGGAAAATGCTTAGGACACTACAAAGTGGTCTCTTATTGAAGGCTGTATGAGGAGGTTATCTCAGGACTCACTATCAGGAAGAGTTTCATTTCTGTGAAGCACTGTAAACAACTGGTGTATTTGTTTCTTTTGGACATTGGGGGTTCAGGGTCATATTTGTTGCCCACCTCTAGAGACAGAACATAATTTCATAACACCTATTTTGTCTCTAAACACAACCTTGAATTTATCTGATTTTACGTAACCCTTATTATACAAACTTTCCATATTTTAAAAAGTCATAAGAATCACAGCCAAGAGACCTATGGTGATATGATGACTAAATGCAAAGTGGTATCCTTTGGATGGCATCCTGGGACAGAAAAAAAGGCATTAGATAAAAATTAAGAAACTATGAATAGCAGATGGACTTTAGTTAATAACGTATCAAAACTGGTTCACTGATTGTGATAAATCTAACATACTAATGTTACATATTACAGTCAGGGAAACTGATTGTGGAGTATATAGAAACTCTATTCTATTTTCACAATTTTCCTGTAAATCTTTAAAACTTTTCTAAAATTAAAAGTTTATTTAAAGAAAATCAAGGCACATATTGGGAACCTTATATTATACCACAGCTAACTTCCTGGTATTCTTATTTTCTGTTCACTCAACAACCCCTAGTCATATTGTCAGGATTTTTGTATATTGCCTTAAGTATATTTTGGAAAACAGCTATGTATTAATGCATAAAACACATCCAGGCATATAAATATAAACTTTTGGTTAAATAAATAGTCTTCAGTAAAGTTTTTTACAATGTTGTTAGCTAATGTGGGCTATGCCATGCAACAGTGAGATTGCTGCACAGTATATTTATATTTTGATTTACTTTCTACTTATTAATTTTACTATTATTTATTCATATCACTTTTATTTTTTTTTAACTTTTAAGTTCAGGAGTACAAGTGCAGGTTTCTTACATAAGTAAACTTGTGTTCTGGGGGTTTATTGTACAGATTATTTCACCAGCCAGGTATTAAGCCTAGTGCCCATTAGTTATTTTCCCTGATCCTCTCCCTCCTTTCACCCTCTGCCCCTCAAAAGTTCCCAGTGTGTGTTGTTTCCCTCGATGTGTCCATGTGTTCTCATCATTTAGCTCCCACTTATGAGTGAGAACATGTGGTATTTGGTTTTCTATTCCTGTGTCAGTTCGCCAAGGATAATGGCCTCCAGCTCCATCCGTGTCCCTGCAAAGGCCATAACCTCATTCTTTTTTATGGCTGCATAGTATTCCATGGTGTATATGTACCACATTTTCTTTATGCAATCTATCTTTAATGGGCATTTAGGTTGATTCCACATCGTTGCTATTGTGAAAAACTGTGATTTATAAGCATGTCCTCAAACACAATCTAACTTTTGTTTCTATTTTTGTTTTCAATTAAGTCAATTCCAATAGGCTTATGACCACTTCTCTGACTTATTCACTTCATTTTAGAGTCCAACACTTATGTTCTAATAACTAAATGTGTGCTTACTTACAAACCAAACCTGGCGCTAAGGACATGGTTTTAAAAACTCAAAGGCCAAAACTAATTTTCTATATGACTTAAGGGTTTAAATATAAGGAAGTGGATGTTTTATAATAAGAAATTTAAAATAAAATCAATTTTAATTTCAAGAAAAGGCACTCTGACAAAAGACATAAGCAAAGAAACTCACAGAAGATAAAATTATAAAAGCTGAGAAAATATTCAGCTTCAGTGATATATAAAAAGATATAAATTAAAATGTGACAGAAATCTTCACAGATTAATTTAAGGATTTGAAAAGTATAATGCCTAATAATAGTGTTCCAAGGACCCCTGGACAATTTTGTGAAGAATGTTGGATCAGAGAATGTGGGATTCCTAGCCGTTTGCTACATAACAATGTTTCCTTAACCTCTGCACATGTAGACTTGGAAAACTGTCACTAAGAGAGCATGGTACAGCCAGGCTGAGGCCATTTTATTCCTAGGGTAAGGTGTAAATAAATCCATTTCAAATGGATGAAATATGGACTTGAGGTGTTCAACAATCTTTGTACTATATCATAATAACTTGTACATGCTTGTTCTTTTGCAAGAACAATCTCTTGTTAGAAAAGATGATATTGGTTTCTCACACCCATGCAAGAAAGGAAATTCTACAACTGCTCATCCGTGTCACTTATCTCAGGATAGATCTGGAAGCTGGTATCCCTCTGTAGAAAGAAGTTCATTATATTGGGTGGACTATGTATAAACTCCTTTCTTTTTGTCCCTCTTATGATGAAAATAAGCTCCAGTCCTACTCAAAACCTTTAAACAGAGAAGAAGACTTCACTAGTGGAAACATGAAACTCAGGACAGTAATGCCTGATTATTGCTTAATCTTACTTTGATTAGAAAATAAAGATATTTTGTTGACAAGCTCTTCCAACAAATGTCACTCTGTCTTGGAGCTCGGAATATTTCATTCACTGCCTTAATATAAAGTACCTATAATTAATTTACTGGAGTCTTGATAGAGAAGGAGGAAATTTCTCTTCATCTTTGGTAAAAATTTCTCAAGGCATTTTAACGCAGTAATTTTGACAGTTAAAATTTTAATTAAGTTTAAAATTCTAGGTGGCTAGCAAGATGGCCGAATGGGAACAGTGCAGGTCTGCAGCTCCCAGCAAGATCAACACAGAAGGCAGGTGGTTTCTGCATTTCCAACTGAGGTACCTGGCTCATCTCACTGGGGCTGGTTAGACAGGGGGTGCAGCCCACGGGGGGTGAGTTGAAGCAGGGTGGGGCATTGCCTTACCTGGGAAGCGCAAAGGGTCAGGGAACTCCCTCCCCTAGCCAAGGGAAGCTGTGAGGGATGGTACCCTGAGGGATGGTGCACTCCCGCCCAGGTACTACACTTTTCCTGCTGTCTTTGCAACCCACAGATGAGGAGATTCCCTCAGATGCCCATACCACCAGGGCCCTGGGATTCAAGCACAAAACTGGGTGGCTGTTTGGGCAGACACTGAGCTAGCTGCAGGAGTTTTTTAAATTTTATTTATTTTTTTTAATTTTTTATTTTTTTTCCCCAGTGGAGCCTGAAATGTCAGTGAGAGAGAACTGTTCACTCCCCTGGAAAGGGGGCTGAAGCCAGGGAGCCAATTGGTCTAGCTCAGGGGATGCCACCCGCACAGAGCTCAGCAAGCTAAGATCCACTGGCTTGAAATTCTCACTGCCAGCACAGCAGTCTGAAGTTGACCAGGGATGCTAGACCTTGGTGGGTGGAGGGGTGTCACCATTACTGGGGCTTCAGTAGGTGGTTTTCCCCTCCCAGTGTAAACAAAGCTGCTGGGAATTTCCAACTGGGTGGAGCCCACCGCAGCTCCGCAAAGCCGCTGTAGCCAGACTGCCTCTCTAGATTCCTCCCTCTGGGCAGGGAATCTCTGAAAGAACATCGCCAAGTCAATCCTAAGCCAAAAGAACAAAGCCAGAGGCATCATGCTACCTGATTTCAAACTATACTACAAGGCTACAGTAAACAAAACAGCATGGTACTGGTACCAAAACAGAGATATAGACCAATGGAACAGAACAGAGCCCTCAGAAATAATGCCACATATCTACAACTATCTGATCTTTGACAAACCTGAGAAAAACAAGCAATGGGGAAAGGATTCCCTATTTAACAAATGGTGCTGGGAAAACAGGCTAGCCATATGTAGAAAGCTGAAACTGGATCCCTTCCTTACACTTTATACAAAAATTAATTCAAGATGGATTAAAGACTTAAATATTAGACCTAAAACCATAAAAACCCTAGAAGAAAACCTAGGCAATACCATTCAGGACATGGGCATGGGCAAGGACTTCATGTCTAAAACACCAAAAGCAATGGCAACAAAAGACAAAATTGACAAATGGGATCTAATTAAACTAAAGAGCTTCAGCACAGCAAAAGAAACTACCATCAGAGTGAACAGGCAACCTACAGAATGGGAGAAAATTTTTGCAACCTACTCATCTGACAAAGGGCTAATATCCAGAATCTACAATGAACTCAAACAAATTTACAAGTAAAAAAACAAACAACCCCATCAAAAAGTGGGCGAAGGATATGAACAGACACTTCTCAAAAGAAGACATTTATGCAGCCAAAAAACACATGAAAAAATGCTCATCATCACCGGCCATCAAAGAAATGCAAATCAAAACCACAATGAGATATCATTTCACACCAGTTAGAATGGCAATCATTAAAAAGTCAGGAAACAACAGGTGCTGGAGAGGATGTGGAGAAATAGGAACACTTTTACACTGTTGGTGGGACTGTAAACTAGTTCAACCACTGTGGCGATTCCTCAGGGATCTAGAACTGGAAACGCCATTTGACCCAGCCATCCCATCACTGGGTATATACCCAAAGGACTATAAATCATGCTGCTATAAGGACACATGCACACGTACGTTTATAGCGGGACATTCACAATAGCAAAGACTTGGAACCAACCTAAATGTCCAACAACGAGAGACTGGATTAAGAAAATGTGGCACATATACACCATGGAATACTATGCAGCCATAAAAAATGATGAGTTCATGTCCTTTGTAGGGACATGGATGAATCTAGAAACCATCATTCTCAGCAAACTATCGCAAGTAGAAAAAACAAACACCACATGTTCTCACTCATAGGTGGGAATTGAACAATGAGAACACATGGACACAGGAAGGGGAACATCCCACACTGGGGACTGCTGTGGGGTGGGTGGAGGGCGGGAGGGATAGCATTAGGAGATATACCTAATGCTAAATGATGAGTTAATGGGTGCAGCACACCAACATGGCACATGTATACATATGTAACAAACCTGCACGTTGTGCACATGTACCCTAAAACTTAAAGTATAACAATAATAAAATAAAATAAAATAAAATAAAATAAAATAAAAGAAAGGCAGCAGCCCCAGTCAGGTGCTGATAGATAAAACTCCCATCTCCCTGGGACAGAGCACCTCAGGGAAGGGGAGCTTGTGGGTCCAGCTTCAGCAGACTTAAACTTTCCTGCCTGCCAGCTCTGAAGAGAGCAGTGGGTCTCCCAGCACAGCACTGGAGCTCTGCTAAGGGACAGACTGCCTCCTCAAGTGGGTCCCGGACCCCCATGCCTCCTGACTGGGAGACACCTCCCAGCAGGGGTCGACAGCCATAGAGGAGAGCTCCAGCGGGCATCTGGTGGGTACCCTCTGGGATGAAGCTTCCAGAGGAAGGAATAGACAGCAATCTTTGCTGTTCTGCAGCCTCTGCTGGTAATACCCAGGCAAACAGGGTCTGGAGTGGACTTGCAGCAAACTCCAGCAGACCTGCAGCAGAGGGGCCTGACTGTTAGAAGGAAAACTAACAAACAGAAAGTAATAGCATCAACATCAACAAAACGAACATCCACACCAAAACCACATCCGAAGGTCACCAGCATCAAAGACCAAAGGTAGATAAATCCATGAAGATGAGGGAAAAAATTGCAAAAAGGCCTCTTCTCCTCCAAACGATCACAGCTCCTCTCCAGCAAGGGAACAAAAATGTTCCAATTAAAAGACACAGACTGGCAAATTGGATAAAGAGTCAAGACCCATCAGTGTGATGTATTCAGCAGACCCATCTCACGTGCAAAGACACACATAAGTTCAAAATAAAGAGATGGAAGAATATTTACCAAGCAAATGGAAAGCAATAAAAGAGCAGGAGTTGCAATCCTAGTCTCTGATAAAACAGACTTTAAACCAAAACAGATAAAAAAAGACAAAGAAGGGCATTACTTAATGGTAAAGGGATCAATGCAACAAGAATAGCTAACTATCCTAAATATGCACCCAATACAGGAGCACCGAGATTCATAAAGCAAGTTTTTAGAGACCTGCAAAGAGACTTAGACTCCCACATAATAATAGTGGGAGATTTAACACCCCACTGTCAATATTAGACAGATCAACAAGACAGAAAATTAACAAGGATATTCAGGACTTGAACTCAGCTCTGGACCAAGTGAACCTAACAGACATCCACAGAACTCTCCACCCCAAATCAACAGAATATACATTCTTCTCAGCACCACATCGCACTTATTCTAAAATTGACCACATAATTGGAAGTAAAATAGTCCTCAGCAAATGCAAAAGTACAGAAATCAAAACAGTCTCGCAGACGACAGCGTAGTCAAATTAGAACTCAGGATTAAAAAACTCACTCAAAACCGCACAACTACATGGAAACTGAACAACCTGCTCCTGAATGACTACTGGGTATATAACTAAATTAAGGCAGAAATAAATAAGTTCTTTGAAACCAATGAGAACAAAGGCAAAATGTGCCAGAATCTCTGGGACACAGCTAAAGCAGTGTTTAAAGGGAAGTTTATAGCACTAATTATGCACATGGGAAAGTGAGAAAGATATAAAATCAATACCGTAACATCACAATTAAAAGAACTAGAGAAGCAAGAGCAAAAAAATTCAAAGGCTAGCTGAAGACAAGAAATAACTAAGATCAGAGCAGAACTGAAGGAGATAGCGACATGAAAAATCCTTAAAAAAAAAATCAGTGAATTCAGGAGGTGCTTTTTTGAAAAGATTAACCAAATAGATAGACTGCTAGCCAGACTAATAAAGAAGAAAAGAGAGAAGAATCAAATAGACACAATAAAATATGAGAAAGGGGATATCATCACTGATCCTACAGAAATACAAACTACTATCAGAGAATAGAATAAACACCTCTACGCAAATAAACTAGAAAATCTAGAAGAAATGGACAAATTCCTGGACACATACACTCTCCCAAGACTGAACCAGGAAGAACTCGAATTTCTGAATAGAACAATAACAAGTTCTGAAATTGAGGCAATAATTAATAGCCTACCAACCAAAAAAAAAAGCCCAGGACCAGACAGACTCACAGCCAAATTTTACCAGAGGTACAAAGAGTTGCTGCTACCATTTCTTCTGAAAATATTCCAAACAATATAAAAAGAGGGACTCCTCCCTAACTCATTTTATGAGGCCAGCATCATCCTGATACCAAAATCTGGCAGAGACACAACAAAAAAAGAAAATTTCAGGCCAATATCCCTGATGAACATCGATGGGAAAATCCTCAATAAAAAAACTGGCAAACTGAATCCAGCAGCACATCAAAAAGCTTATCCAGAATGATCAAGTCAGCTTCATCCCTGGTATGCAAGGCTGGTTCAACATACACAAATCAATAAACGTAATCCATCACAGAAACAGAACCAATGGCAAAAACCACATGATTATCTCAATAGATGTAGAAAAGGCCTTGATAAAATTAAACACCCCTTCATGCTAAAAAATCACAATAAGCTAGGTATTGATGGAACGTATCTCAAAATAATAAGAGCTATTTATGACAAACCCACAGCCAATATCATACTGAATGGGCAATAGCTGGAAGCATTCCCTTTGAAAACCAGCACAAGATAAGAATGCCCTCTCTCACCACTCTTATTCAACGTAGTATTGGAAGTTCTGGCCAGGGCAATAAGGCAAGAGAAAGAAATAAAGGATATTCAAATAGGAGAAGAGGAAGTCAAATTGTCTCTGTTTGCAGATGACATGATTGTATATTTAGAAAACCCCATCGACTCAGCCCAAAAACTCCTTAAGCTGATAAGCAACTTTAGCAAAGTCTCAGGATACAGAAGCAATGTGCAAAAATCACAAGCATTACTATACACCATTAATAGACAAACAGAGAGCCAAATCATGAGTGAACTCCTATTCACAATTGCTACAAAGAGAATAAAATACCTAGGAATACAACTTACAAGGGATGTGAAGGACCTCTTCAAGGAGAACTACAAACCACGGCTCAAGGAAATAAGAGAGGACACAAATAGAAAAACATCCCATGCTCATGGATAGGAAGAATCAATATCTTGAAAATGGCCATACTGCCCAAGGTAATTTATAGATTCAATGCTCTCCCCATCAAGCTACCATTGACTTTCTTCACAGAATTAGAAAAAACTACTTTAAATTTCATATGAAACCAACAAAGGGCCCATATAGCCAAGACAATCCTAACCAAAAAGAACAAAGCTGGAGGCATCACACTACCTGACTTCAAGCTATACTACAAGTCTACAGTACCCAAAACAGCAGGTACTGGTACCAAAACATATATATTAACCAATGGAACAGAACATAGGCCTCAGAAATAATGTACAACACATGTACAACCATCTGATCTTTGACAAACCTGACAAAAACATGCAATGGGGAAAGGATTCCCCATTTAATAAATTGTGTTGGGAAAACTGGACCCCTTCCTTACACCTTATACAAAAATTAACTCAAGATGGATTAAAGACTCTAAATGTAAGACCTGAAGTCATAAAAACCCTAGAAGAAAACCTAGGCAATACCATTCAGGACACAGGTATGGGCAAAGACGTTGTGAGTAAAATACCAAAAGCAATGGCAACAAAAGCCAAAATTGACAAATGGTATCTAATTAAAGAGCTTCTGCACACAAAAGAAACTATTCATCAGAGTGAACAGGCAACCTACAAAATGGGAGAACATTTTTGTAACCTATCCATCTGACAAAGGGCTAATATCCAGAATCTACAAGGAACTTAAACAAATTTACAAGAAAAAAACAACCCCATCAAAAAGTGGGTGAAAGATATGAACAGACACTTCTCAAAAGAAGACATTTATGTGGCCAACAAACATGAAAAAAAGCTCATCATCACTGGCCACTAGAGAAATGCAAATCAAAACCTCAATGAGATACCATCTCTTGCCATTTAGAATGGTGATCATTAAAAAGTCAGGAAACAACAGATTCTGGAGAGGATGTGGAGAAATAGGAACACTTTTACATTGTTGGTGGGAGTGTAAATTAGTTCAACCATAGTGGAAGACAGTATGGTGAGTCCTCAAGGACCTAGAACCAGAAATACCATTTGACCCAGCAATCCCATTACTGGGTATATACCCAAAGGATTATAAATGATTTTACCATAAATACACATGCACACGTATGTTTATTGCAGCACTTTTCACAATAGCAAAGACTCGGAACCAACCCAAATGCCCATCAATGATAGACTGGATAAAGAAAATGTGGCACATATACATAATTGAATACTATGCAGCCATAAAAAAGGATGACGAGTTCATGTCCTTTGCAGGGACATGGATGAAGCTGGAAACCATCATTCTCAGCAAACTAACACAGGAATAGAAAAGCAAACACTGCATGTTCTCACTCATAAGTGGGAGTTGAACAATGAGAACACATGGACACAGGGAGGGGAACATCACACACTGGGGCCTGTTGGGGGATAGGGGGCTAGGGGAGTGATAGCATTAGGAGGAATACCTAATGTAGATGACAGGTTGATGAGTCCAGCAAACCACCATGGCACATGTATATCTACGTAACAAACCTGTGCATTCTGCACATGTATCCCAAAACTTAAAGTATAAGTTTTTAAAAAGTTTAAAATTTTAAAGATTCCAACCATAAGATTTGCCCTCTTATGAATAAATGGCTATAGTACTAAGCCTGGTTTATTAGTTTGATAGATTGAAGATTGTTCCCATATATTAGATACCCTTCCCCTGAGATGGGTTATATTTCCTCTCTCCATTAATAACTGGCTTGACTACAAAACTTGCTTTGGTCAATGAAATGTGAGTGGAAGTGACACATATAACTTTTAGTGGAAGTTTTAAACTAAGTTCACATTGGCTATGTTTTGTTCTTTATGCTGCAACTATCAATGTTCCAGATAGAAGCTGTTCTATAGTTTGGCTTCCAGAAAACATAAGGGAGTTTTAACTAACATATAATGAACATGTTGCATGAATGAGAAATAATTATTTATTGTTATAAGGCATTAAACTATTTTTAATTTCTTGTCACAGTATATCTAGCCTATCCTGACAAATACAGAAATTGGTACCAAAAAGTAGGGGGGTTCCTATAACACAACGAAACCAACAATGAAACATAAAATACAAGGCATATAGATACAGGAAGCAATTTGCAAAGAAACTGTGACCAGGGTCTAAAAGGACATAATTATTCCATTATTATGCAATGGCAAAACACTCATTAGTATTGTCACCTGCAATAACTTGGAAGGCAGCAGTTTTATCAACTGAGCTTACATGTTTAGGCAAGGAAGTAGAAAAATTAAATGTGCAAAGATAAAAGTGAAATGGATTTTTATTTCGAACTCTTAAAGAGCAAGCTGACAAGGTCTTTGTACCACAAAAGACCCATGAAAACTCAGATTAATGGCAAGAACCATATCAAGACTCATATTCTTTTGTTAAAAATCTCTGAAAATAATAATTTGGCACACATAAATCTTTCAGATGAAGGAAATGGCTAAGAAACAAGAGACTAAGACTGTGGCTTTTCACTAGGAGTCTGTTAGGTTCAATGTACCTCAAAGTAAGTCTGGAAGGCGAGGCTTGTCTAACAAGAATTGTAGGCATGGCTATTAACGCAGGTTGTGCCTGATAAACTAGTTAAAAAGGAAACTACATTTAAAATAAGATTTTTCTTAGAAAAATTAAAAAGCTGGCAGCCTAGACTAAAAGAGACTGTGAGCATCAAATATCTGAAATGGACCTTGGGCCTTCAACATTTTAGGGTCAGGTAGTAGAGGCAGACAGCCGCCTGGCCCTCAAAAAGACAGTCCCCAGGCCCTCAAAAAGACAGTCCCCCGGCCCTCAAAAAGACAGTCCCCAATCAGAGGAGCATGCTCCGTCAGAGGACGCCAAGGAGGATGATGATGCGAAATAAGAGACTTCCCTGAGAGTGGATGCAAGAAATATATGTCGTCAACTGCCTGGATGTTTTACCTTTCACAGGAACACAATACAAATGACTTTTCGAATCTGTTTCCAAAGACTTATATCCTACAGAATCAGCCTGCAGCAGTAGAAGGCACTAAAGAATCAGCCGGTAGGGACTTAGAGAGGCTGATGCCGTGCTGTCTTGACACCTAGTGTGGTAGACAACGTAACAGTCCCACAAAGATGCCACGTCCTAATCACTGAACTTGTGAATAAATTCATTTCCATGGTAAAAGAGACTTTGCGAATGTGACTAATTGTCCCTTGAGATGGAGAGATTATCCTGGGTTACCTAGGTCTCAATCACATGAATCCTTAACAGTGGAGAAATTTCCCTGGTCACGTCCAGAGAGAGGTGTGGTTGAGGAAGAAAAGTCAGATAGATGTAAAGTTCCTGGCTTTGGATATGAAGGAAGGGGGCCATGAGCCAAGACACGTGAGTGGCCTCTAAAAGCCAGAAAAAGCAAGGGAACATTCTCTCCTAGGGTCTTCATAAGGAATGCAGGCCTGCTGACCCTCTAATGTTACCCCAGGGAGACTCTTGTCAGGGTCTTAGAGGTTACGTCATAGGCTTCTAACCTACAGAATTGTAACATAATAAATTTGTGTTGCTTCAAGCCACTGAGTCTGTGGTAATTTGTTATGACAGCAATACAAAATTAATACATCTAAGAATTACCCAATCTGGACAGGGAGGCATACAGTATTTGGTTATGACTTACTGGTTTCGGAATGCCAATACTTCAAATGCAAAACAAGCCTACCAATAAATAAATAAACAAAAGAGACTGATTCAGATCATGAATTACTAAAATCTCATTAGCTATCTCAGATGCCACAGCCAGGGCCAAAACCTTAGCAGGCTCTCAACTTGGACAGTGACAGATGGTTCTGAATTTTGAAAATTTAAATGGCTCATAAATTTTAAGTATGAATTTCTTCTTGTCCTTAAAATAAATGCTTGGCCTCACTCCAAAGATTCTGATTCTATTTGTATGGCGTAGGACCCAGATTAATATAGGAAAGTTTTGTGTAAAAGCTTTCCCGATGGTCTTAATAAGCCATGCTTGAGAACTACAGCTCTGAAGGACCAGATTTTTATTTACATCATTCAAAGGCTTAAGCTATTAATTTAGCCAAATGGATTGCATAATAGTATTAAGCTGACTGGAGTATTCAGTCCAGATCTATTTACATCTCTAAGGATTCAATTCACTGGCATTTCTTTTTTACTTTTATTTTTAAGAGGCAGATTCTCATTCTGCTGCCCAGGCTGGAGTGCAGTGCCACAATCATAGCTCACTGTAGCCTTGATCTCCTGGGCTCAAGTGATCCTCCCACCTCAGCCTCCCAAGCAGCTAGGACTACAGGTGCATGTTAGTATCTATTTAGATTGTTTCTATGGCATTTTTCCATGTCCTCTAAAAGTGCCCAGCTAACTTTTTGGAGAGACAGGGTCTTGCAGTAGTTCCCAGGCTGGTCTTGAACTCCTGGCCTCACACAGCTCATTGGTGTGAAGTTTGACAAATAGCTCTTGGATATAAAATATAACTCCCCAGTGCATTACTGTGGCCTAGAGACATGGGAACTATACCATAAATATAACTTGTGGGTTGATTATACAAGGCAATCTCCCAGTCATTAGGGCACAAATGAATATTTTAACTTTGGGTAAGAGGCTAGTTTTTCGGAAACGCAGTCACTGGAGAATTAATCACTAGGGAACATACTCAGGAAATTGTTCAGAGATACGACAACCTTGATTCCATAGTAGCTAATAAGAAATCTAGCTAATTAGAAATCATGTTTTATAGCTATTATGACCCAAGACTTGGCTCATAATATGAACATAAAATAACCCCTTCACCTTAACTGCCATCTGCAAATAAAAAAAAAATGGAATGATGGAATACACTCTTCAAGAAGCAGTTCAGAAGTCTCACTGGTATTTGAACTTTAACAAGCCTTCTCAGTGTTCAATCCCTTTGTGATGCTATTTTCCCAATCATATATCTCCATAGTGAATAAGACCAACAGGTGAATTAAAAGAAGTTAAACACACACTTACCACATGATGCAGCCATTACACTCCAAAGAACTGACCAAAGAAAAATGAAAGAATATGCTTATGCAAAGATTTGTATAAAGATATTCATAGCAGCTTTATTTGAAATAACCAAAACCTGGAAACAACTCAAATGTTCATTACCAGGTGAATAAATAACCACATTATGATACACAAATAATGGAGCACTACTCTTCAATTAATAGGAGTTAAGTGTTGTTCCAGCACTTTGGGAGGCCAAGGCAGGTGGATTACTTGAGGTCAGGAGTTCGAGATCAGCCTAGCCAACATAGTGAAACCCCATCTCTACTAAAAATACCAAAAAAAAAAAAATTAATCGGGCATGGTAGCACATGCCTGTAATCTCAGCTACTCGTGAGATTGAGGCAGGAGAATCGCTTGAACCTGGGAGGCAGAGGTCGCAATGAGCCAAGATCCAGCTATTGCATTCCAGCCTGGGCAACAGAGCAAGACTCTGTCTCCAAAAAAAAAAAAAAAAAAAAAAAAAAAAAAAAGGAATTAACTATTGATATATACAGTGCAATCATGAATCTCAAAATAATTGTGCTGAGTAAAAGAAGGCAGGCAGAAAAGAGTTTATAATGTACTCTTTTATAAAAATTCAATTTATATTAAAGTATAGAAATTACAAATAAAATATAGTGTCAGAAAATCAATAAGTGACTGCCTGGGGATGGGATGAAGAGGGGTAGACGAGAGGGATTTTCAATGAGGCACAAAGGAATTTGAGAAGCAATATGTTCAGTATCTTAATTGCAGTAAATGTTTCTTGGGCATATACATACATCAAAATTGATCAATTTTTTTGGTGCACTTTAAATGTGTGTAATGTAGCTATTATACCTTAATAAAACTATAAAAAGGAAGAAAAGAGTAAATGGGCCAGACCCCAAGTATAATGGGTCACACCCATCCTGAACAACTGTTACTTTTTATGATGGCTGAAAATATGACTTTATTTTATATGAATTTTCCCAGCAGCAAATGTATACAAGGCGTGAAATACAAAACTATTCTCCTGATGAGAAGCGACACTTTTAGACGACATGGGAAAATGCCATAGAAACAATCTAAATAGATACTAACCTAAATAGATACTCATCCAGGGTGAAATATTTATGAACAGTCATAGATTTTAATCATTGAAAACACTCACTTCAAACTTGTTTGGAAGGCAAGCTGAACCACATGACAGACCATTCAACTTCAGAAATACATATTTTATTCAATAAGAAGAAAACTGATCTAATTAAAGAACTTATTAATAGTTATAACCAAATTCTAGTAATAACTAAAGTATATGAAACTTAGGTCAATCTCTAGGTAACTGGTTTGCAGGCATAGTAAAAATAAAATTCACTTGCATATAAAAGATAAAATAGTAACTGTTTACTCTCTCGATGCCATTAGATGCCTCAGATAATTTCCATTTTTATACCTCAAGTCTGTATCTGCTACTAAAAATTATTTGAGCTTTTGGGAAACAAATCAAGATGAATATAAGGTAAAAGAACCAATAACTCATGCCCCTGCATCAATCTTTATAATTTTTGGATGACAGAACATGTGCATGTTTCTCTGATTCCATCCAATATTAAAAATGACATGGATTAAAGAACTTAACTAGGCTCTTTAAGACATGCCTGGTCTGTGTGGGAACCAGTCCACCCTATGTTGGGCATCAGATCTGTAGGAATTACCAAGCAAGCTGGCAGCGTTGGCTCATACCAAAGAGTGAGTCAACTTTCAGCTGTTGTAATTCGTCAGGATATTCAACAAGTTGATCAGTCTCAAATCACTAACTTGTGAATTATATCCAAATACTACAGAAACAATCAAACTTGCATTTGTGGAGTTAGGAAAATAGAACACAGTCTAGAGCAGCATTGTTCAATAGATCTTTCTGCAATAGTAGAAGTTTTCTGCATCTATGCTGTCCAATATGGTAGTCACTAATTACAGAAAATGTCAGAAGAATGACATTAAAATGGTTATTTCATAAATTTACACTCAAATTCAGATTTGCAAAAACCAGATCTGTATGAAGAGTTAAATCTTTTTAGAAAAGTTGTTCAAAGATAATCATCAACTCTATGCTAAAATTTGTCTTTTGGGATGATTTATCAAAAAATTTGTCTCAATGGAGTCAAAGCTTACTAAATATTCTTTTTTTTTTTTTTTTTTTTTTTTTTTTTTGAGACGGAGTTCTTTCACCCAGGCTCTTTCACCCAGGCCGGACTGCAGTGGCGCTATGTCAGCTCACTGCAAGCTCCGCCTCCTGGGTTCACGCCATTCTCCTGCCTCAGCCTCCTGAGTAGCTGGGATTACAGGTGCCCGCCACTGTGCCCGGCTAATTTTTTGTGTTTTTAGTAGAGATGGGGTTTCAGTGTGTTAGCCAAGATGGTCTCCATCTCCTGACCTCTTGATCCGCCCACCTCGGCCTCCCAAAGTGCTGGGATTACAGGCGTGAGCCACCGCACCAGGCCTAAATATTCTTAACAGTTACTGTAACAATTGCATCAGCAGAAAGATCCTTCTCAAAATTAAAATAAAAAATTATGTGTGATCTTGCATTTTCCAAGAGCAAATGATAACATTCTCAATCATATGTAATGAAAATGAGGTTACTAAAAGTATAAATTTCAATCACCTAATAAATAAGGTTCCAGAAAATAGAGCAGGAAAAATCATATGATCAATCAAAACAGCACATTAACAAAGTATTGTTACCTATCATGCTATGTAAAACTACGAAACCAAAAGTATTTTTTTTCACAATTTGTAAGTTCATGCTGTTACTCATGTATCACTGTTACTATTATGTTTATAAGAAATAAACTATTTTAAACAGAAAAATGTATATTCTAGTACCTGTATTGATACATGAACTGTGGCTAGTGAAACTGAGGAACTGAAGGTTTCATTTCACGTGATTTTCACTGATTTAAATTTAAATACAAATAGACACATGTGGCTAGTGGCTAACACATTTGGCAGTGCCAATCAAAAGTGTTAATAAGAGATAGGTAGGCCAATATTGTGCCTATTGAATAGTTACTCTCAGAGCTTCATCTGTGTGATAATCAGATTTGTCTGAGAAATTATAAGGTCCAGATGAGACACACAGTCAGTTCACTTTCATTCTTCCAACTAAGATATATAAACACTTCTAAGACTTGTAAAACCTATTCCCATAAAGCAACTTATAACAGCACTGTATGAGAACATATGACTGTTTTATTTTGAGAGTATTTGTTTGACTAAGCTATAACTGTACCTCATTTTTTCAGCACTTCCTGTATGCACAGCAGATTTCCTAAGTGGAATAGTTTAACTGCCTAGGATCAAGGGGGCTTTAAAATTCTTTTGATTGCAGGATCTATAAAACTTTTTGGCTTTGCTCGACGAGATCCTGGGTGCAATATTGCACCATTCTTCTTATGATGGGAAAAGACTGAGCATTCTACTATTGGGTTGAGGAATTATGTCCCATAATTTAATTAAACCAACTATTGCTCCATGGATTACAAAGCTATGAATACCTTTATCAGTTATCAATTGCCCCAAAAAAGCCGCATAACAAACCATCCCAGGGCTTAGTGGTTTAAAACAATAATAATTTATTTAGTTCATGAATCTAGGAGTCAACTAGGAAGTTCTGCTGCTCTGAGTTGGACATAACTCATCTCAGCTTGGCTCACTCAGGCGTCAACTGTCAGGTGGTGGGTTGGCCAGGGACTGGCTGATCTAGGACATTCTCAACTGAGAGGTCATCCTGTTTCTGATCCATGTTATTTCTCATCTTCTACCAGATAAATTCAAGCTTATTCATATGGCTAAGGTAAGGTTCCAGGAAAGAAAATGAGAGTAGGTCAAGTCTCTTAAGGCCTAAACTTAGAGTTAATAAATGGTAAGGTCAATTCAGATTCAACAGGTAGGGAACAAAACTCTACCTCTCGAGGAGAGATGCTACAAAGCCATATTTCAAAGAGCATGGATACAAAAAGGGGTGAAGAAATGTAATGTCTTCCACAAACCCCAACTAATAATACCAACTTCTGGGTTGAAAGCAAATGATATTCTTCAGGAGTGCATATTGACATTTGGGTCAAACTTCCCAAGATAAAGAGAAGTTATTACCAAAGGACCTAATGGGCTGAAGTAAACTGGAACCCATCTCAGTTTATGGAACATCTTAATCTGGATCAAACTCTAATGGACTGATCTTATCTGGCCTTATAAAATAAGTTAATTCCAAGTGGAGTCCATAAAATTTGAAACCTAATAAGGCAAATATATTATGAAAATTAGTATCAGTCTAAAATTGTGAATGGCAGCCTCCAAACTATTGGAGTAAGAGTCCCCTTGCTTCAAAGTCTTAAAATGTTTTCACTAGACTAGCTATCATCATCTTACCAGTCCTGAGCTGTTGGTGAGAATTAGATACCAGCCAGATTCTTTCATTATGTCTTCTAAAATAGCCAAATGTAATATAGACTAATTTTAAAAGTCATTGTGTCCATCTGTTCTCAATTGGTACAAAGAATATGGAGAGAAAATAAAATAATGGCTATAACTTCACTGAGGTGTGAAAAAGGCTGATAAGGACAGAATAAACCCCATGAACTCATACAGTTAATATACTGCTAGCCGGAGCAAATATTAAGTATGCAAATATTGCCATATTGCAAGAAAATGCAGTTTATATTTTTAAGGGACCCCAAATTTATCAAGTTATTACTAATAATTATATTTAGGAATCTACTGTAAAGGAACAATCCCAAAACAGTAACAACAACTGTGAAAAATCTGTGTATCATATTCAGTGCTTTTTTTTTTATGTAAGAAGGAAAATTAAAAGTCGTCTAAATGACTGACAACATAAGAATGGCCAGTAGTTATAGTATTTTAACTGGTTAGAATATTATGGAGCTTTTAAAATGGTGGTTATAAAGACCATGAAGCAACATCAAAACTATGTAAAATATAATCCTGAGTGAAATAAGATAGAGAATTGTATGCACACTGTGATGATAATTATGCAAAATAAAATGAAAAGAATGCATAGAGTTTCAAGCAGCGTTAGTAGGAGCTGCCTTTTGGAACTCCTTTTCAAAAGCTTAAAAATGTTCTGTTTTTTTTTTTTTGAGACAGAGTCTCGCTCTGTCACTCAGGCTAGAGTGCAGTGGCGCGATCTCGGCTCACTGCAACCTCTGCCTCCCAGGCTCAAGCGATTCTCCTGCCTCAGCCTCCCGAGTAGCTAGGATTATAGGCACCCGCCACCAAGCCCAACTAATTTTTGTATTTTTAGTAGAGATGGGGCTTCACCATGTTGGCCAGGCTGGTCTCGAACTCCTGACCTCAAGCCATCTGCCCACCTTAGCCTCCCAAAGCACTGAGATTACAGGCATGAGCCACCATGCCCAGCCAGAAATGTTTATATCTCTTGATTAAACTTCTAGAAATTTAACTTCTAGAAATACAACTTAAGAAAATTATCCAAATGTAAAAAAAGAAAGTTTAGAATGAAAATTTTTTTATTATATCACTGCAACATTTTTGAAAATTGTGAATAAGCAAAAACAGCCTAAATAGAAAGAATGAAATGCCTAAATTATAGCTTATGTGAATGCAAAATGTTAAGCAGCCATTAAGAATAAAAGAATTTAACGACAAAGACAAATGTATCAATGTATAAAACATTTCTTTTAATACAGCAATATATAAAATAATATTAATACATAATTTAAAACTATATAGAGAAAGATGAAAACATGCCAAAATTTTAACAGTGACTAATGATGTTTAGATAAGAGCAAATTCTTAATTCTCTTCAGCTTTCTAATGCTTCTGTATATTTCCAAGTGCATGCAATAGCATATTAAGCACGTATTACTTTCATCATCAGAAAAAAATTATAAAAGACTGCATGGGAAAATATAAGAGAAAATATCTATATTGGCACTAACTATGTAAGGGTGATTGATTAAAGATTGTTGTCTTGTTTTTTCTAGTTTCCACATCCTGGGATGTAGTTAAGTTAAACTTACAATTACAAAATATATAATTTTTATGAAATGATCTATGTCATGCCCTGTTTTCTAATAAGACATGACACTAGTAGTAACATTTTACATTTATGTTAAGTATTTTCAGTTTGCAAAGTATTTCACTTGTATTATTTTATTGTAAAGTAGTTCATTTGTGTTATTTCATTTAATTCATGCAGAGTTCTGTGTGAGGTGGATATTGTTGTCATGTTACCAAAACTGAGGTTCTGAGGTTAAGTGAGGTCATGCAAGTCGTGCGGCTGATACATAACTGAACTGGTATTGGACCCAGTGATAGTGCTTCAAAATGCTACACCCTATCAGCTTCTATGGAATTTCTAATAAGTCTCATCAGGAATGAAAAAGCACTATGCCATTGCAAACATGATACAAATCTTTTAAGCAGCTAAGACATTTACTGGAAGAGAGTGACTCTGATTTGCTTTACAGCTCTTTCCACTGTCCTACAATGATTAATTTTTTAGAAGTTATGTTTTGATGTTTCAGTTAGTGCTTTTCTAACACACCTCCAATCCCTTGATATACTCAACTAATTAAGCAGTGATGTGTACTTTACATGAAATACTTTTTAATTAGCCACAGTGATTCCTAAACTACTCAGCCTGGGTTTGGGACCTTTAATATTCAAACTGGCAATCTAGTGCACATAAACTCTTTATTTAAATAGTGACATCTGGGATTAAGTTCAATAATGGTTTCTATGGAAACTAATAGCAATATCAAAACTTTCCAAACCACTAGAAGTGACCCAATTAGAAGAGGTAAAAAGGAGTGACAGAAACAGTAGCTATCAATAGTATGGAAAGGTTAATTCTCCTTCCTCACACTAATTTTCATAGATGTGTCTGCATATTTGTTAGAAGATTATGGAATTCATTTGATATTCAAGGATCTCAAATGGATAAGAATAATACATGAAGTGAAAGTTTATTGTTCTTCAATAACATTGAAGCCAATTTCACAGAAATATAGAGATTAAAACCGAAGACCAAGGTAGGTATACATGAATGTATACATCATAGATAATATAGATAAACACTGCTAAAGATAAAAGTATAAGAATTTTGCTGCATAAAACATAAATAAGTTTTATGAATTAATTCAAATAGAAAAGTTAAATAAACCTCCTGCCTTCCTTAGACCTAAAAAAGAGAAATATTTGCTGAACTTGACTCCAGAATGAAATGCAAATATAAACATGTTTCATAAAGATTGTAATCATATAAGAAGCTCTTAAACACAGCTTTGAGATTCAAGCACAGCATAAAAATAAATCAAGATTTGTAAATTGTTATTTCTTGCTGTGAATACTAACACAGTTTAAGCTTTAACCTTGACATTTATGTACTGTCACAATTAAAAACCCAAAATATTAGTGTACCTTGTTGCAGAGTTTTAACTTGTTTTGAGAGCTCAACAAAATATCTTCCTAGAAATCCTTATATAAATGATCTAAGCATAAGTAGTATCCTGAATTTTACTAATAAAACACAATGACAAAATGACATCTGTAGTTGGACCACCATCAGATATCTCAGACTTAATTTATCCAAAATCAGCCTCTTGGACTTTCCCTAATCTTTTTTTCCTGAAGTCTTCCTCTGTCTCAGTCAATGGTGACACCATCTTTCCAGTTGCTCAGATTACAGTTATTCTTGACAATTCTGTCAGCAAATCTCAACCTTCACTCAACATGTCTTCACCATCAAACCACTTCTCTCCACTTTGCTTCCCACTACCGGGCCCAATTCACCACCTTCACCTGCTTTTTCAGTAGGCTCCTCACTGCTCTTCTCCTTGGGCCCTTCAGCAAAACTCCCTACCCTGAATGAAAATGTAAATTAACTGATCAATTAGCTAACAAGAATTGACTGAGCTCCCAGAGATCCATGTTGTATAGGGTTCTATGAAGCAAGTAAGGATGCTTTGACTACAAAGATATTACAGTTGAAGATGGCAAACATTTCTTAGGAAACAATTAGAAAGCAATGAGAGATAATATATTACCAAATACTAAGTCTAAAAATAGGCACTATGTTGTCTAGGAGGTGTGGGTTGTCGTTTCTTTGCTGCCATTAACCTTATGAGCCTAGGGAAACTGTTTCCCCTGTTCACCCTCATCACCTCTGTTTTGCAAATAAGGAGACTGTCTTGGATGATTTATTGGTTCATTAGAATGCTTATTCTTGGTTTATCTATTATTTCAGAGAAAGGAGATGTCTATTATTTCAGAGAAAGTAGAAACACCTACGTGGCAGAGGTGGGTTATTGTTTAGCAATGTCTCCCCTTTCTCCTGCCTTTCGCCGCCTCCCTAGAAGCCACACTGAGGAAGTTCTAAAAGATTGAAACTTCCTTATTTGAAAATAGATCCATACCAGGCAATTTCCCATTGAACTCTGCTGAACCTTATGAAGCCAAACATACATTGATGCATTTACATATATTGGTATCTGAAAGCATTTTCTAACATCAAACTATGAATACTATTGAAAATAGAAATATTTTATGTAATTAGCCATATTCTTACCATCCCCTGCAAAAACTCGTTGTCCTCTATTGTTATTTGTCTATTTCATGTATGTGATCTGTTTTGATTTGCCCAAAGAGATGGCAAGCCTCTCTAGGTCAAGAGTCATGGATTATACGCTTCTCTATCCCCCTTTGTTTGCTATATACAGTGTTTTATACATGGGCGTAATATGATTCTATACCTTTATAAATAATATCTGCGTAGCCTACATACAGGATATACATGTCGCACCACTGTTCTACAATACAAATTAGGTCATGGATAGATTCCATCACCCATTATCATGAGTGCTCCATTATTCTATGCTATCGACCCAGTAAGAACAACTGGCTTTGAATGGCATTATGAAAGGACATAGATGATTTATCTTGGCAGCATAGAAAATACTGAAAAGGACAGGGGACAGCAATGTCCCTATGCAGTAATAATAATACTCATAAAAGTTACAGTTTTCAGAATCTGGGTTATGGTAGTACTAGGGGTTGCAAGGAGGACATCCTGTGGATTTCACCACACCCCTGAAGAACTTGGAACAATGTGCTGCTGTTTCCTGTCATGGCATCAGTGAGTAGTGCATGGGGCTCATCTGTCCAGCTGTGAACCATTGTTCTGACTGAAAGATCAGAGTGCAGTTTCTTGGCCCCTATGCCCACAAACACTTTTGTTGGTCGTGTGGCTTAGGGTCACATTACCTCATCTTCTCCTGACTTCTGTATCTAAACAAGCCACAAAGAAAAAAGAGGATCTAACCAGTATTGCTGACTTATGTCTATGGCTAAGGTCTCCTAAACATGTTTGTAATAAAATCTCTTCCTTCTGTCTTAAATACTAGATACCTGACTCCTCAGTTTGCTTTTCCTTTACTTCTGTTATCTCGTATCACTTGCTCCAACAGAGACCAAAGTTGTCTTTCCAGATTGCCATGAATCCCTGGGGTAATACACAATTCCTCCTTATTCTAGCATTTTATAAACACAGATGGCAATTTTGTCTTTGGATCTCTAGCCCTGGCACCTTCTATTCTCATTCAACAAGTTGCAATAAATCTAGAAGAGATGACCAAACCTCTGAGTTGTTATTTTGTGAACATGAGTTACCTGTGCAGATTCGTTTAAAGTTGGGATTTTCCAGAAGGTGTCCTGGAAGGCGGCACTGGAACCGATGTTGCCAGAACTCAGGGAACCAGGGATTCCTCGTGTTAGTGTCCAGCCTCAGTTTCAGGAAATAATCATCAAATGACCTGACCTCTGGAGACTGCAGCTTTATCGTGATTCCCCCGTTGGCTTCCACCTCATAACCTTCAATGACTTCATCTCTGTCTGCCCATCCATCACTAAAAAATGCAGGGATTGGGGTAGGGAGAGAGAAAGACAAACATCTCACAAATAGAGCTCAGAGTTATATATGAATGAAGCAATCCAGAAAAGGCTACAGACTATTTTAAGCCAGCATTACTACCCATCAACTTTTTTTTTGGTAGAGAGTAGAAAGTTTTGAAAGCATAATATCCTGTTTGTTTCTTTGTTTTTCACAATTGTGAAAGTGATGATGAGATGATGACAGCAACACTTACAATTAAAGTTCGATGAGTATTCACTAGTCATCAGATTCTGCGCCATTCACTTTTACTGAGAGGGAAGACATTCAGCCACAAAGCCTATCAGTCACTCTCCAAACCAGAAGAAAATAAAATCTAGGTACCTCAGAGGCTGACCTTCAAAATAAGAGCTCAACAAGGTTTCAGCATTGCAACGAAGATCATTACATGAGCTACCTTACATAGATAAGAAAACTGATATAGTTCTGAAACATGCCAACCACAGTTTTTCCTCCTGGGACATCATTCAAATCTGCCTCCCATAGAAGTAGCCAGATATTTTCATTTTTTTAATGTTACTTCAAAATAGCAGCATTAAAGAAAAACAATCTCATCTCAAATTATAAAAAGAATTCTCCTTCTCACTAAATGGGAGCACACTGACATTTTATTCAGTTAGATAGAATTTTTGAAATGTGATCACCTTCTAGAACATTCCTATCTACCAGACGTAATGTAGCCCCAGTTTAATTCAGGTGCACATGTGAGCCAGGCCTATGAGGGTATCAAAGACAAATTCCACCAGACAAAGCTAAACATGCAAAGAAGACTCTGTTCAAGACTATTACAACATATGAGAGACACTGAACCCAACTCTGCTAAAATAAAAGATGGGAAGGTTTTTAGTCCCGGGTGAGCTAGTGGAAAAGTACTGGAGGGCCACTGGCACGAGGTCGGCCCATGTGATTAGGCATCTGTGTTTGCTAATTGTCACATTAGACTCCTGCCATCCCACAGAAACTGGAAGGGAGGGGTTTACCACTATTCTTGATGATTACATTTAAAGGGATGGCTGTCAGGTCCTTGTCATTCAGTAAAACTTCCTTGGTTTCTGAAATTAGCAAGAAACTAGACGATCTACATCTCAAAAAGGCAGAGAAATAATTTACAGTTTTAGGTTTTCCAAAGTAAATGCTCTTAGAAAAGGGACGTCAGGGGCCTGTACTCAGGAAGAAACCTGTCTAAAGTTTAGTCAAGCTGAAGAGAATATTAAGGCTGTCTTGGTCAGGGGATGGATTTATTCTTCTCTGCACAGAGTGGTGCCCTGAAGTTTGTGGAATATAAAGATGCAGTCTCTGCCAAAGAAAGCATTTTATTGCTTGCTTCTCACAGAGAAGGGACTGGGCAAACATTAGTGACCATATCTCACCCTTGGTTACCTGAGATCAATTGAGATAAATGTACTCTTAGCTGAGCTAAGCAGTGCAGTTCTTCTCTAGAATCTTCCCATTGAACCACACATGAGCTGCATTTTCAACAGATCAGGGGTTGCTGAAGGTATAGCTGACTTAACCTGACCCAGAACTAAAGGGACTTTGAGCTACAGTAGAGTCTAGCCAGCCACATCAGAGAATGTATTTTTTATATGCTTCCAAATCCACTAGGGTAGAGACTCTTTTTGTATAGATCCTTCCTTCCTTCCTTCCTTCCTTCCTCCCTCCCTCCCTTCCTCCCTTCGTTCCTTCCTTCTTTCCTTCTTCCTTCTTTCTTTTTTCTTTCTTCTTTTCTTTGCTACTTCTGTGTGTTCCTAGCAGTCACTGTGTGCCAGATGTTCTGCTATGAATTCAAATGAGAATAAGACTCACTATCCTCTGCCCCCACGGTGCTACAGCCTTGTGGGGAAAACAGACACTAAAAAAGAATTACAAACTCTATGAGGCTAAAGAAAAAGAAGTGCCTTTAATCCTAGGACTTTGGGAGGCCAAGGGAGGTAGATTGCTTGAGCTCAGGAATTTGAGACCAGCCTAGGCAACATGGAAAAACCCCATCTCTACAAAATAAATAAATAAATAAATAAATAAATAAAATTATCTGGATGTGTTGGTCCACACCTGTGGTCCCAGCTATTTGGGAGGCTGAGGTGGGAGGATCCTGTGAGCCCAGGAAGCTGAGGCTGCAGTGAGTCATGATCTTGCCACTGCACTCCAGCCTAGGCAACAGAGCAAGACCCTGTCTCAAAAAAAAAAAGTGACCAGTATCATGGGGAGCGATAGCTTGGGGGTTTAACTTAATCTAGTGTGCAGATATGACACGTGTGCCTGCTTGTGTGTGTGCACGCACGCCTGTGTGTGTGAGGTAGTGGGGGACAGAGGTAATTAGAGATGGCTTCTTTAAGAAGGTGATGGCTGAGCTGAGACCCAAAAGAGGAGTCAGGCTTAGTCAGGTGAGGAGAAGGGGAGGGTTTGGTATAGAAGGTTCCTGGCAGATTAACATACAAGAAAAAGTTTGGCACATTCAAGGAACTTAGAAAGAGTTAGTATAGCTAGAGAATAGAAAGAAGTATGGCATGCGATGGGGGTGGGTGCATAAATCCCAGCCTAGACACTGTTAGTCTGAAGACCATGGGAAGTCCTCAAAGTGTTGTAAGCCTATTACTCAATCAGGTCATTCTGCTCTCCTCCCTCATGGTAAATGACCTGCCTATTGTTCTAGTGAGTCCTCTGCTTACCATCGCTGAATATGATGGCCAGTCAAATTGATTTTAAAAAGACTGACTCATTCATTTTTTTCATATGTCCAGTCTGCTCAGAAAGGCTCAAACCGGTTTATTTACATTTAAATGTATTTATATTTACATCTTAACTACATCTAGAGCAATTTGAAGATTTGAGCTATAGTTCATGACACAAAGGAGGATAAAAATAAGACCAGTTAGGCTTTGAAGAAATTCTGTCTAAGGGTAAATATTTAAAAATTGAAATGACATAACTTGAAAAAAATAACTGCTTTTGACATAAAGGTTAGGGTTGAAGTGTGTTTCTCCCTAAGGTTTAATAAGATGTGAAATTTGTTTTGTTTACAGTCTGTACAAGAAAGTCACCATCATAAAAATGTGTACGAAATGAACTTGCTGTGATGTTCATGTGCAATTTAAAAGCACATGACAGCTTAGTTTGTAAAGGCAAATGCTTTGTGTCAATTCTAGAAGGAGAGAAAAGTGTGACTTCCTGCCCTTGAGCCCACCAGCATTGAAGGGCACTTTATAGGACGAAAACTTTATCTGTGAATATGTAGAAATTTTAAGTCACATGGTTTAGTGGTCTGGAATTCTAAGTCTCCTTAACCACTAGTTAAAGACCTTCACCCTCACTATAGGTGCCTGCTCTTTCAGAAGTTAGAGTTGTTGTTAAATCTAAGAGGTCATAAAATCAAGGAGAACCAGGATATAAGGAAAACATTCAAGTAGGATTTCTTGGTGGATATGTTTTAAAGAGTTAATTGCTAAAGGTTTGTATGAGATCTTAAATCTATCACAGGTAAGGTGTTAGAGAATGCTATCATGAAAAAAAGTCACTAGAAAACATCTCTAAAGCAATCCTCTGTTTTTATACTTTCAAAGTGTTTCATCTTTGTATCACCTGTCAAATGCATTTTCAGAAAATTTTAAAGGATTTTTGCTGTTTCGTTGCATTAGGATTCTGTGTGAGGATGTTGTTTTGATGAATTTTCTCTGAAGTACACTTTAAAAGAGCAAACCAGCAACATATCTGATTCCTGGTAGAGGATCTTTCTTAGATGGTGGTGGCAGGGTGTAAACTAGACTGTGCTTGACCTGAGATGACCTGCAGGTACCTGGTCACTCGCCAAGTGTCTGGAGTGAATCCTGCTGTGCTGGGTAGTGACCCAGCCTCAGACAGCACTGGACTCTCTGTGAAGCACATTCACTGCCTCTAGCAGCTTCTGCTGCTCCATCTGCTTCTCAGTTATGAGTTCCGTTTTCTAGCTGGGGTCTGGAAATAAAACTATATATTGTGAACTGTTTAACAGAAAGCTGTATGTCTTAAGTATTTCTCACTAACATACGAGAATTCTTATTTCCTATTCCCCCTCAATATTTTTATACAGCAATTCTTCATGAGGCTATTTTCCAATCAACCTATAAAATTTCACATTTCAAACCTGAATAGTTAGAAGATTTCTTCTATCTTATACATTCTAATATTAATAACAGGAAAATACCATTTCTGCTTCCACCAATTACAATTTGACAGGGGCTGTATGAATGTTACTTTTGCATTATATCAGTTAAACTAATTTAATTAGCAAACTGACAGTAAAAAACAGAAATACAATAGTATTTTTTAAATGTGCAAAAACATTTTAGAAAAACCTATTTTCATTCAATTAAAATAATTACAGTCTAGGTGCTAAAGCAATTTTATTTGTGTTATGAGTTCAAGTAATTGTGTGTACCTGATAATAAAATTATAATTCTTTAAAATATTCCAGAGATTACAATATAATAGGGAAAAGACGAAAACCATAATCAAACGATATTTTTAAAACATATGTAAACAAATATGACATTCTTTTATTTACAATGTTAACCATATTCACAACGGTTGAAGAAATATAGCACGTGTCATATTCATTTGACATTTATCAAATGAATAAATTTATTAATTTCTTGAGCAAGAAATGAGGTGAACACTACTTTTTTTTGGCGTACTGCTTGGATGTTTTCAAATCATGGCACAAGGTTGAGGTTGTGGGGAACTCAGGTACAGCCCAGTGGATTTGCAGAGTTGAGAAAAAGGAGCTGGAAGTCTAGCAAAGCTAGGGAGGCCAGGGTTTACAGGGCAAATGCTGCAGAAGAGATGCTACGGCAAAAGAGAATGGTCTGCAGTACATCTCCCACAAGTATTCAGATGAATATTAGCCATTTATTTAATGAAATTACCTGAGGCTGAGGAATAATCAACCAATATGATTTGAAGGAGTAGCACCTGGAGGCCATGTATTGTTGGGAATAGTAACTGTTTCTAACAGCTAGAGTGAAAAACTTTATATTCCAAGGAGAATTGGATAATGTATTAAGAAGGGTCTTGCCTCAATAGTGAAGAAAAATTGGCTTTTGACTAAATACCACTCTGGGCCTGCCTAACAAACCATAAAAGCAAAATATAAGAGGATCCAAATATTTAACTTCCTCCCAGAACTAGTTCCAGAACATTTTTTTTAATGCAAAATACTTGGTACTCAACAAGGTAAAATTCTCACTGTTTAGCATCCAATAAAAAATTACCAGGCATGTAAATCCATATGTGGATGGAAGGAGAAAGTGATATTAAAGTTACAATTATAATAAATTATCACACGGTGATGTAGGTTAGATAGAGGAATTTTTAAAGAGTCACGTAATAGGAATGAAGAGGAATATATTTTTGATTGGGTGGCCAGGAAAAGTATCAAGTGCTTTGAGAAGCAACTTTGAAGAGAAAACACTTAACACTAAGATCTGAGCTACATGAAGGCACAAGCCAGGTGAAGATCAGAGGGAAGGAAGTCTTTGGGCAGCTTGTGCAAAAATCCTAAGACAGGAACAAGCAGCTATGACTGAACATTACCCATTGCCATGAAACTCTAGACTAAGCAGGTTTACGTTAATCAGAAGAAAGGATATTTGAGTAGACACTTTTGTTTTTCAGCTATCTACTGTATATTTGATACCTAAATTTTTGATGTGTTTTCATAGCTTTTGTAAAGTCTTTGCTAGGAAGTGAAGATGACATTTTCTACGAGAAGACGGTCCCATTTTGATAACCTAGATTAATGAGTCACTTCTGAGAGCAAAACTAGAGAAATAAATGAGCCCATCAGGGCTTAGAGCAAGCCACAGCTCTCTTCCTCACACCTTACTCAGTAGACCCTATTTCTATGTCATTAGGAGCTCAGAAACACCTCACTGTTCAAACACCTCACAAAGATATGCAAAGTCCCCTCCAGAAAAGTCTTAACATTTTGTTCTGAGAGTTTTCCATATGGCCTCAAAATCATCTTGTGTTATTGCAAACTGTTGGCTACAGGACTTCACTAGGATTCTGTTAGAATGGACCCAGTTTTGAAGTTGAAATTCTGCAAGGTTTGAGTGGAATGTGAAGTTTTAGACTTTGGCTTCACTAGGTCCCATAGTGAACTCATCCAATAGGCTCAGCCTCGTTACTAAAATTTCTATTACCACCTATTTTTTAGTGATCTCTCATTCTAAAGCAGCCCTGGAGTTGAGTAGGGCTCTGCTTCAGACAGGTGACTGGAAGCAAGAGCTATGCACAATTTCTGTAAAAAAGAGAGAAAAAAAGTGTTCCTTAATAAGGACCATAGATAGTCTGACCCTCAGCCAATTTAAAGTCATATGTGAAAAGGGCACAAAAGTATATATGGAGTCAGGGAGGGTAGGTATCATGAATAATAAGAAGTTAGGGGTTTATAAAATGAATGTAGAGAATGAATGAGTTATGACTAAATTGTGAGGATATTGAGCTATTCTTGGCAATCATGCCTGGCTGGGCAGTTTCTTGGGTTGCAGTGTCATTGCAATGACTAAAATGAAACTCCCAGCTCAGGGGCCTCAGGCAACAAGAATAATTCTTCAGCACCACAGAGAAGGTAACTGTATGTTTTCAGTAATTTGCAGAAGAAAGGAAGAAAAGAACACAGAGTGAAAGGGAAAGAGAGACTAAGAAATGAGCATCTAAAGACCATGGTAGCAGAATAGTCAGCAGTGCACATATAGAGGGTTAATTTTCCAGGGCTGCTCCCTTGTATTCTGAGATGCCAACCAGGTTGTCAGAATCTCTTTTAGTTCTTTTTAAAAACTGATTTATTTTTCTTATTTGAACAAAAGGTCAAAGCACAGCAATTTGTGACTTTTCAAACGTGAATCCAATGGTTTAGTAACTCATTAACAAATCCCCCCTAACAGACCCAGTGCAAGTGATTCTAATCTCTAATTTCTAGATCCTGCCATTTGAAGAAAAACAAAAATGTCCTCATCAGTTTGGGGTCAATAGTTCTATGAATTGCTAATTCATCCTAAGTATCCAAAGTATCCCCTGACGTTTTGCATTAAAAGTAGAATATTTAAAAAAAAATTGTTTGGACTTTTTGGCTGGGCGTGGTGGCTCATGCCTGTAATACCAGCACTTTGGGAGACCGAGGCAGGCGGATCACGAGGTCAGGAGATTGAGACCATCCTGGCTAACACAGTGAAACCCCATCTCTACTAAAAATACAAAAAATTAGCCAGTCATGGTGGCACGCGCCTGTAGTCCCATCTACTGGGGAGGCTGAGGCAGGAGAATTGCTTGAACCTGGGAGGCAGAGGTTGCAGTGAGCTGAGATCGCGCCACTGTACTCCAGCCTGAGCGAAAGAGTGAGACTCCATCTCAAAAAAAAAAAAAATTGTTTACACGTTTCACAATGTAGTCAACTAAGTTAATGCAGATATTCTCCTGAATACAGAAGTATATACAAAAAATGAAATATAATCAAGAAACAAAAAGTAATTCCCAGGTGCTAGCAATGGTGACAGAAATCAAAGCCAAATGATATGCATCAGGGAATGCTTATCAACAATAGCCTGTAAGGCCCTGGAGACTGGAAATCGATTCTAACACCCATCTGGTGATGTGAAAGATGGCTTCATGAATCGTAGAAGTCAGACAGCTGAAGCTGAGACCCAAACAGAAAACTGGGATATTTGAAGTCTTACAAAATCCAATAGAATGGAACTGGAAGTGTTGCCTGAGGAGGCTTGAAGTCAGTCCAAGGACTATGGTAGAAAAAGTAATAAAGGAAAGTCACCATGCACAAGAGTGATGTCTGAATTTACACAGCCTATATAAGAACCATAAGTCTAGATATTGTTATAAAAACTCATCTAACATTATTGAAAATCCCTAGGATCCAAATGAAATGCCATCGGAAGTCAAAATTTAAAGACACTTTTAAAATCAATGGAATTCTGAATTACCATTCTGGGAGGCAGGGTAGATGGGGAAAGGGGATATGTTAGTTAAAGGGTACAAAATTCAGTTCAACAGGGAGAATAAGTTCTAGCAGTGTATCATAGTGTGGTGACTATAGTTAATAATAACGTATTGTGTATTTTTAAATTGCTAAAAGAATAGATTTTAAATGTTCTCACCACCAAGTAGTGATAAGTATGTGTAGTGACGGATATGTCAAGTAGTCTGATTTAATCATTCCAGAATGTATGCATGTATCACAACATCACATTGTACTCCATAAATATAAAGGATTAGTATTTGTCAATTAAAAGTAAAAGGAGCTAAAAACAGAACTACAATTCAACCCAGCAATCCCATTACTGGGTATATATCTAGAGGAATATAAATCATTCTACCATAAAGACACATGCAAGTAAATGTTCACTGCAGCACTATTCACAATAGCAAAGACACAGAATCAATCTAAGTGCCCATCTATAACAGATTGGATAAAGAAAATGTGTATACACCACGGAATACTATGCAGCCATAAAACAGAATGAAGTCATGTCTTTTACGGGAAAATGGATGGAGCTGGAGGCCATTATCCTTAGCAAACTAATGCAGGAACAGAAAACCAAATACCGGATGTTCTCACTTATAAGTGAGAGCTAAATTATAACACATGAACACAAAGAAGGGAACAACAGACTCTGGGGCCCCCTTGAGGGTGAAGGATGGGAGAGGAGCAGAAAAAAATAACAATTGGGTACTAGGCTTAGTACCTCAGTGAGGAAATAATCTGTACAACAAACTCCCTTGACATGATTTTACCTATGTAACAAACCTGCCCATGACCCTCGAACCTAAAGTTTTTTAAAAAAGAAAATATGCCCACTAAGATAATCTCTCAATAATATACATATACATACACAGACTAGAGCACTAAACTGACATCAGATTCACAAATGAGTTAAACTTTACTTTTAAAAGACAATTATTCTAAAACTAGATACAAAACCTAGCATTACGCTTTGAGAAATTCCAAAAACATAGTGATATGGAATAGTTAAAAGAAATGGATAGGCTGGTGTGGTGGCTCATGCCTTTAATCCCAGCACTTTGGGAGGCTGAGGTGTGCAGATCACCTGAGGTCAGGAGTTCGAGACCAGCCTGGCCAACATGATGAAACCCCGTCTCTACTAAAAACTACAAAAAAAAAAAAATTAGCCGGGCATGGGGGTGGGCACCTGTGATCCCAGCTGCTTGGGAGGCTGAGGCAGGAAAATCACTTGAACCCAGGAGGCAGAGGTTGCAGTGAGCCAAGATCATACCATTGCACATTCCAGCCTGGGTGACAGGGTGAGACTCCATCTCAAAGAAAAATAAATAAATAAATGGATAGATGATACTATTCTCAGAAAAATGGCCAAAACAAAATTAAATACTGATTAAAATATCCAACTAATCCAATTCTAAACAATCAATCAAATATCTAAACTCTCCAACAGAAGGCAGGAAAGTAGGGGAGAGCACTGGAAAGGTAAGACAAACAGCAAGCGCAAGATAAGCTGATGACACTAATTCCACATATATCAGTGATTATATGTAAATTCACAGGTTAAAAAAAAACAGACTTTCTATTAAATTAAAAAGAAAAACATCGATATCTTTTTTGTAACACGTTTTTCTAAAATATGAATGTACTGAATAATTAAAAGTAAAAGATAGTAGGAGATTAACCAAACAAATATTAACTAACACACAGTAGAGGTTGTTATAGTAATGTAAGATACAACTTATTTTCAGGCATAAATCTTTATTAGGAATAAAGAAAGTCAGTGTCTCTGAAGATAAAATAATTTGAAATTTGTACAGTAAGTAACATAGCAAGATAGAAAGTAAATTGATAAAAAGAAATCTCTCGCCTCTATGTGAATCTCTCTCTTTGTAATCTAACTTACTACTCTGTTATTAATAGAAGAAGCTGGCAAAATTTGTTAGAGATTTAGAATATTTTCACACAATTAACATGCTTGATGCTTGGTCTAATGAACATGTATAAGGTCTCCTTCTTAACAGAGGAGAATGTGTTTCGATGGCATACATGGAAATTTAAAAATTAATCTAGTTAATAATGTAAGTCTCAACATATTTTAAAAATTAATATATAGCCCACATCTCTGAGCATCATAAATTAAATTAGAATCTTTTTTTAAAAAAACCAACACATCTACCTCCAACTACTTGGAAACTAAAAACTTTAAACTTCTAAGGAAATTGAAGTTAAAGAAGTCATAAATGAAACTTAAAACATATTATTTGAATGTAAAGAAAAATACCAGATATTGAAATTCATAGGAAGTAGCTTAAAGAGTTCTTAGGAGGAAATTTATTCCCAGAAATGCTTATATTTTTTAAAAAAGAGAAAAGCTGAAAATAAATGAGCTTATTTTCAACTTAAGAAAATAGAAAAGAACACAGAATAAACATAAAATAAAGCAAAAAATAATAAAATTGGGGGAAAGATGTAATAAAAATGATCAACCAACCTAAAACTTGGTTCTTAGAAAACATTAATGAAATATTCAATCCTCTGAGATTATTGTCATGGATGAAAAAGAGAGAAGGCACAAAAAAACAATATTTAGCATAAAATTAAAATATAATGTAACTTCAGATACAGGATAAATTTTTTTTAAAATTATTTAAAATACTATGAAAAAGTTGATGCCAATAAATTTTAACTCCAAGCCAATAAAATTTAATCCTAACCATTTTCTTAGAAAAGCTTAATTAGTAAGACTGAAGAAGAAATATAATATCTGAACAATAGTATATTTAACAATGAAATCAGTAGTTTAAAATGTACTCACTAAAATAATACTAGATTTACCAGATGGTTTAACAAGTGTTCATAGAACAGATAATTGTTATCTTATATAAACTCAACCAGAGATTTAAAAAATGAATATTCTCCAACTGAGGATATTATAACTTTCCGATTAAGGATATTATAACAATACTAAAACCAGTCAAAGACTGAAAGATTTCTGAAAATATATGCCAATATCACTCACGATATTGTTGTAAAAAATATATAAAGTCAAATTAAGGAAGGTATAAAAAGAGACTATATTACAATCATATTTAATTAATCAAGTAATCCAATAATTTTTTTGTTTTTTGCATTTATACCTGGTTGGCTTTATTAGAGGACTAGCAAAAGTCAGTCCTGTAGAGACATCAGCTCAGGCTGATGTTTACAATTCACCTGCATCAAGCATCTCCTCTCCATTGTTTTTTTAAAAATTATTCAATTATTTTTAAAACTTAAGGTGAAATTTACATAACATCAACCATTTTAAAGTGAAAAATTCAGTATCATTCAGAACATACAAAATGTTTTTCAATCATCACTTCTATCTATTTCTAAAATATTTTCATTACCCCAAAATACAACCCCATACCCAGTAAGCAGTTACTTCCTATTTCTCCCTGTCCCCAGTCCCTGGCAATCAAGTCACTTTTTTATCTCTATAGATTTACCTATTCTGGATATTTCATATGCAAATGTAATCACACAATACATGAACTTTTGCATCCAGCTTCTTTTATTTAGCATGATGTTTTAGAGATTTATCCATTTTGTGGTGTATATCAGTGCTTCATTCCTTTGTACGGATGTATAGTATTACATCGTATCAGTATACTACGATTTGTTTATCCATTGGTCTGCTGATGAGCTTTTGGGTTGTTTCCATCTTTTGGCTATCATGAATAGTGCTTCTATAAACATATGTATACATGCATTTTTTTGACTATCTGTTTTCAAATCTTTTGGTTATGTATCCAGGAATGAAAATGCTGGGTCATATGGTAATTCTATGTTTAGCTTTTTTGGAACTACCAAACTGTTTTCCTTGGCAGCTGCACTATTCTACATTCCCACCAGCAATGTACAAGGGTTTCATTTTTGTACAAATTCATTAATTATTGTTATCTACATTTTTTGAATTCTAGCCATCTTACTGGATATGAAATAGTATCTCATTGTGATTTTGATTACCATTTTTGTAATGGCTAATGATGTGACTACTTTCCTGTGCTTGTTGGTCACTTGTATGTTTTCTTTGAGAAATGTCTATTTGTGGCCTTCATCTATTTTTAATTGCATTTTGTTAAGTTGTAAGATGTATATATTCTTGATACTAGGCCCTCAACAGATATATAATTTGCAAATATTTCTTCCACTCTGTATGTTGTCTTTTCACTTTCTTGATAATGTCTTTTCATGTATAAAAGTTTTAAATTTTGAAGTCCAATTAATCTATTTTTTCTTTCATTGGTAATGCATTTGATGTCATAGCTAAGAATTAAATTCCAAAGTCATAAAGATTTACTCCTATGGTTACTTTTAAAATTTTATGGTTTCACCTCTTATATTTAGGTCATTGTTATACTGAATTAATTTTTGTATATAGTGTGAGGGAAGGGTCCAGCATTATCATTTTGTATACAGATATCCAGTCCTCTCAGAAATATTTGTTGAGACTATTTTTCCCATGGAATGATCTTGGCTTCTTCACTGAAAATAATTTGGGTTTATTTCTGGATTCTCAATTCTATTGCACCTGACTATATGTTAATATCTGTCCTTATGCTGGTACCACATTGTTTTGATTACTATGGCTTTGTAGTAAGTTTTGAAGTATTAAAATGTGAGTAATTAAAATTTCTTTTTCTGTTTCAATATTGTTTTGGTTATTTGGGACCTCTTGCAATTACATATGGATTTGAGGATCCATGTTTCCATTTTTCCAAAAACAGTTGTTGGAATTTAATAAAGATTGAATTGAAACTTACAGATTTGTTTAGATAGTTTTATCATATTAGTAATATTAAATCTTCTAATCCACAAATATTGAATATTAAGTTTTCCAATCCATGCATATCTTTCCATTTATTTGTGTCTTATTTAATTTTTTTAGCAATCTTTTGTAGTTTCCTGTGAAAAAGTCTTTCACTTCCTCATGGTTACGTTTAAGAAGTATTTGTGGTAGCAAATGAAAGAGAAGACAAGGGGGACTTTCTTAGAATAATAACAAAAATTTTCCTAAATATCAGAAGATCTAGATGTGTGTATCTACATACACACATGCACACTACAGAAGCAAAGAGATAAAACACCTCAAGGAAGGCTTTACAAAGTATAAAATAAATATATATATAATATATCTGTTCAAAATAATATATACATATTTCTGTCAAAAAGATATATTTATCAAAAAAAGCAATATTGGCTTAACTCACACATTATAATAAAAATAATATATTAAATTGGATTTCAAAGAACCAAAACTATGTTGCATACAACAGACCCACCTAAAATAAAACTTATCAGATTGAAAAGCTGAAAATAACATGATATGCAAAAGCATACCAGGGAAATGTAAACAAAAAGAAACCAACTAACATAATTTTAACATCAGAGAAGGAATAATTTAAGGCAAATGCCAATTTTAAATTCGTTTGATTAGCAACCTTAACTCCATCTGCAATATTAGTTCCCCCTTGTTTCATAATATAACATAGTCACAGGTCCGGGAAATTATGATGTAGACATTTTTGGGGGGTCATTATTGTGCCTACCACAGTCTGCCCTCTGTTGCATAAAGATTTGTATCAATCCCACATTCAAAATACAGTCACTGTATCCCAACATCCCCAAAAGTCTCAACCCATTACAGCATCAACTCAAAGTCCAAAATCTCATTTACATTTCTTCAACTCAATATTCCCAGGTCTCATCACCTCAATCATGTAAAGCAGGTATGAGTGAAACATGATGTATCCTGGGGCCAAACTCCTCTCCATCTATGCCTGTGAAATTAGAAAACAAATTATCTGCTCCTCAAAATACAATAGTCGGACAGGCATGGAGTACCAGTATATAGACATTCCCATTCAAAAAGAGAGAAAATTGAAAGAAAAAATGAGTCACCAATCGCAAGCAATTTCAAAACCCAAATGGCCAGACAATATTGGGTTTCAAAGCCTGGGAATAATTCCCTATGGTTACAGGCTCTGCCCTCTGGTCATGAGACTTGGCTCTCTGAGTCATGCTTCCTTTTTTATGAATGGTAGCACATGTTTGCAACTGAATAGTTTATCAGTCTATTTCCTGCCTGTATAATTTTGTGAGTCTGACAGTTATGCTTCATTTCATAGTCTCTGTCCCTTTCAGTCAGAGCTGTCAGTTTTTTACGTTGTTAAGAAATTCTGAAGAACCTTGTGTACGTCAAGAAAATGTTTCCCATTAAACAAGAGTTGCGTCCATGGATCTTTCCTAGATAATCTGATCTCTATTTTTGGTTTCTCTGGAGATGGCTAAGGAGACCCATAAAGTGCACTAATCTGTTCAAAGAGCCCCTTGTATGACCGAATACACTTATCTTTTGATCTTTTTAATGCAGTAACAAAAGGTTGTCCAGCCACACCCTTGGCTTTCCCTACAGATCATGTTTTCCTGACAGTTATTCTCCTAATTTTAGCATATTTGTAATCTGGACAGGCTGAGCATTTCCCAAATCCATTATTTTTGCCTAACATCTCTTTCATTTCCTTCCTTTCACACTTCGCTACAGGTACAATCATTTTTCACTTGGCAGTGGGGATGCATCCTGAAAAACACATCCTTATGTGATTTTGTCATTGTGTGAACATCATAGAATGCATTATTTACACTCACCTAGATGGTACAGTTTACTACATTCCTACACTGTATATACATGGCCTATTGTTACCAGCATATAAATCTGTGCAGCCTGTGACTATATTGAATACTGTAGGCAATTGTAACACAACGCTAGGACATCTAAACATAGAAAATATAAGTACAAATAATGTATAAAAGCTAAGAAATGGTACCCCTGTACAGGACACTTACTATGAATGGAGCTTGTGGGATTAGAGGTTGCTCTGGGTGAGACAATGAGTGAGTGGTGAGTGAATGTGAAGGCCTAGTACATTACTCTACCATAGACTTTATAAACACTGGGCATTTAGGCTACATAAACGTACTTTTTTCTTCCATAATAAATTAACCTTAGTTTACTGTAACTTTTGACTTTATTTACTTTTTAATTTTAAAAATTGTCTGACTCTTTCATAATAACACTTAGCTTGAAACACAAATACATTGTATAGCTATATAAAAATTTTTTATATCTTTATTCCATAGACGTTTTTCTAATTACGTCACTTTTTAAACTTTTTAATCTTTTTTGTTAAAAATGAAAACGAACAAACCCATGAGCCTAGGTTTACACAGCACCAAGATCTTCCATATCACCATCTTACACCTCCAATTTTGTCCCTCTGGAAGGTCTTCAGAGGCATTAACACACATGGAGCTGTCATTTCCTATGATAACAAAGCCTTCTTCTGGAATAACTCCTGAAGGACCTGCCTGAGGCGATTTTACACTTAACCTTTTTTTTTAGTATGTAGAAGGAGGATACTCCAAAATAACCATTCATATAGCATAGTAAATATATAAACAAGAAACAGTCATTTATTATCAATATCAAGTATTAGGCACTGTACACAATTATAAGTGTTACACTTTTATACAATTGACAGTGCAGTAGGTTTGTTTATACTGGGATCACCACAAATATGTGAGCAGTGCATTGTACTAAGACATTATGGCCACTATGACATCACTAGGTGATGGGAATTCTTCACCTCTATTATAATCTTACAGGACCACTGTAGTATACATAGTCCATTATTGACTAAAATGTTCTGGCCCCGCGCGATGGCTCACACCTGTAATCCCAGCACTTTGGGTGGCCGAGGCAGGCAGATCACTTGAGGTCAGGAGTTGGAGACCACCCTGGCCGATATGGCAAAACCCCATCTCTACTAAAAATACAAAAATTAGCCGGGCATGGTGGCTGACACCTGTAATCCCAGCTACTCAGGAGGCTGAGGCAGGAGAATCGCTTGAACCCAGGAGGCGGAGGTTGCAGTGAGCCGAGATCGCACCTTTGCGCTCCAGTCTGGGCAACAAGAGCAAAACTTCATCTCAAAACCAAAACAAAACCAAAAAAACAAAAATCAAAAGCCATTGTTCTATGGTTCATGACTGCATAAGTAACCAAAAGAAACTAAGTTGCATTTTGAACACTTTGCTTGGAAGTCACCTTAGCTAAATATCCAAGTTCTTAGTTTTGCTTTCCACAGTTTAGCTAAGCTCTCTGCCACTGTAAAATAAGGATCCTCTCTCCTCTACTTTCCAGTAGCATGGTCCACATTTCCATTTGTACCCTCTCCAGCATTGCCTATAACATCCTTGTTTCTACCTACTATCTGCTCATGATGACTTGGGTATTCTCCACCAGGCTCCTCACACCCTCCAGAGTACTCCTTAACAGGGTCATTAACAGCCATGTTTTCACTAACGGTCTGCTCAAGACAATCTAAGCCATTTCTATCATGTTCCTTAAAATTCTTCTAGCCTCTGCTCATTGACCAAGTACCCAGATCATTTCACATTTCTATGTATGTGTTGCATCAGCAACCCACTTCCAGGCAGCCAAATCTATATTAGTTTCCTACTACTGCTATAACAAATTACTGCAATCTTGATGTCTTAAAACAACACAGATTGATTATCTTACAGTTCTGGAGGTCAGAAATCCAAAATGCATTTCACTGGGTTGAGACAAAGATATCAACAGACTGTCTTCCTTTTGAGAACATTAGAAGGCAATCTCCCCCTCATCATTTCCAAATTCCACTGGCTGTCTGCATTCCTTGGCTTGTGGCCCTTTTCCCTTTTCAAAACCAGAAGCTGTAAAACTCTGACCTCTTCTTCTATTACCACACTTTCCTCTCTGACTCCCTTCCCTCTTTCTTTCCCTTATAACAACCCATTGTAAAGCTGAGAGGCTAAATTTATGTTGTAAACATGAGTTGGGTCAATATTTTCAAGGGACTGGCACATCCTGTTGGGGAATGCTAAATTCATTGGAGATTGAATATTTTGATGAAAAAGGCCAACATAAAATCTCTTTTAGAGATAGCTTTGGTGGAAGTATAGGAGATAAACGAAGGAGTGAGAAAACTGAAGCCAATACAAACAGCCATAAATAGTACACAAGCTGAATTAGTTTAAGAAATGAAACTTTATATCTGTACCTTAAGACCCTCCTAAATGTGGTGAAATAATTTCATGCTTAAATGATTAAATGCAATACGAAAAAGGAAAGTAAAAGGTCCCAGAGAAGGACTTATCTAGGACCCTGACCTCTTATATAAGGTGAAAAGTTATCAGTAGAATAAGACAGGAAGGTTGCCCCAGACTGATTTCATCACAACTCCAAGCCAAAATTATGGGAAGAGTCTCTAAACCCTACTTATTACAGAAAACTCCTCTTTCCGTTACAAAGAAACTCCTCTTGGCCAATGGCCAATAGCTTCATAATCAAAACTGAAGCAGCACTCTACAGATTATTCGAGCAATAATCTGCCACAAAAACTTTGAAGCTGTATTCTTTTTTCTCCCTGAGTCAAATGATTGAATTGCCTGTCCACACTAATCAAAAATAAAGAATCATTGTTCATCTTGCCATCTTGCTTAATGTTTATACACTTCTAAAACATTTTATTTTCATTATATTTTCCCCTAGAGGGATAATATGCCTGCCATTTAACATTATTTTCACTTGAGGTTGTTTACTATTTCATAAAAATCTATACAAGAGGCTGTCAGTTTTAAGACATTTTTCAGAAGCAGCACATTCTTCCAGAACTTTTTATCACCGTGGTTCTTTTGTAACTTGTGGAGGTCATCAATGTCAGTTGAACCAGGTTTTTAAAAGTGGATCTTCAAGTTCCTTGCAGCAAAAACTTGTTAACAACTACGCTTTCCAATTGTTCACTTATTTCCTTATATCTAAACATGAAGCCCTTTCAGTTGCCACATTTGTAATTTAACTGAAAGTGTATTTTTCCACTGACACATGGCAAAATCTAAATAACTCATTCTTGCAAAGATTCCTGTGATTCATTTAAGAACTTGCAGTTACTGTATTAATAAAACACAAGTACTTGATTTAGTTTATAGAGATAATCCTGACATTTTAGCAATCTATCTAAATCCAATCTAATCTAATCAATTAACTTTCTGATAAAATAAGCAAGTAGATAGGTTTTTTAAAGTCACATGCTATTTAAATGTGAAATTCTTTAAAAATAAAATATCATTTCATAAATTTAAAAGTACCTCCTCATTTAGCTCCTTTCCATTTTGTATTTTTATATGTATCGAGTTTTCTTAGAATAGACAGCTTTGGAAATTTGGAGGAAATTTAAAATAGTTACATATTTAGGTGTCAGTAATGACTTTTATAAATAACTAGGATTTATAAATTTTTAGTGTTTAAAGTACTTTAAATTGAATATTTTTAAAAGAGATGTTGATGAATTTAATGTTGATTCAGTTGTGATAGCAGGACAGATATAGATATCACTGTTTTTAATTACAATGACAGTATAACTTAGTTTGAATGTTCTAAAGGTGTGGGAAGCTCAACATTTGGATAGAAGCTAAGTTTCAACTCCATGCAAAAAAATAACTTCCTATAGGCTAGAACTCATTAAATATAGATTTCATTCAACGTATTAAAAATATGAAATATGCATATCCAATTTTCCAGGCGTACTAAGAGCTATTAAGCTATGAACTATTGAGCAAAATAGACACAGCTCCTGTTCTCAAATTCTAGCAGAGGAGCGAACATGAAATAAATAAACAGCAGGAGAAACCTAATAAAAATGTCTAACTATATACCTATGTGCTAGGCACTATTCTAAGTGATTTACATGTACTGTATCACAACTCTTACAACAACCTGAAGTATGAATGAAAATAGAATATAGTGCAATCAACGGAGGTCACCATGCAGAAATACTATGCAAAGAGATAAGAATAGCATAGCTTTCAGGGTCAAAGATTATAGTTCTTCCTGAGCACAATATGAATCTAATGAAAGGTTGAGAAGAAAGGAAGAGATCTAATTCATGTTAATAAATAAAAAATACTCTGTGAGGAAAACAGAAGAAAAGTGTGTGGAAGCAAAACCAGATAAATTAGTTGGAAGCTAGCAAATCAGTCTAGACTACAGGTTACGGTGTTTGTCACTCTGAGACAGTAGACACAAGGAGAAGTGCAGCTTTGTTTGGAGTTACACTCAGCATAACTTGGTGATGGAGTAGATGTGAAAAATTAACGGGAAAGGGTGAGAGTGATTATTTCTGACTCAAGCAACAGGTGGATAGCAGTGATGTTAACAGAGATGGAGAAAATCAAGAAAGGAGAAGTCAAGAGTTTGGCCTGAAATGTGTTCAGTTTGATATAGCCAGTAAGTGTATCAGCTGTGAGGTAGGGTATACTCCAGAAATGGTACATGCCTCCATCAAAGGAAATTCAAGAATCCAATAGAAATTTGTCTAGATGACATTAAAGTCTCCTCCATTTTTAAAATTCTAAGATTGTATGAAAGGAGGAAAGAAGAGTGATCTGAAGGGAATGTCATGAACTATTAAATTTGCTCTCATTGGGTGAGGTGCTTGGAACTAGAATTTGTGCATTTTATATTTCATTTGATTTCAAGGACTTATCCATCACTAGCTAAAAAGCAGACTGGATGAAGCTAAAATTTCCAATATATTCTGTTTTAGTTCATTCTTACACTCCTATAAAGACACTACCTGAGGCTGGGTAATTTATAAACAAAAGAGGTTTAATTGACTCACAGTTCCACATGGCTGGAGAGGCCTCAGAAAACTTACCATCATGGTGGAAGGTGAAGAAGAAGCAATGCATGTCTTACATGGCAGCAAGAGAGAGACAGAGAGCACATGGGGGAAACTGCCACTTTTAAAACCATCATATGTCATGGGAACTCTGTCACTATCACAAGAACAGCATGGGGGAAATCGTCTCCATGATTCAATCACCTCCCACCAGGTCCCTCCCTCAACACATGGGGATTACAATACCAGGCGAGATTTGGGTGGGGACACAGAGCCAAGCCATATCATATACATAGATTAAAATTCACAGAAGTGAATCTTAAAAGCCTCTTTTTGCATTACTCATGTAATGAAGCATTCATTATAATTTTAGAATCCAGCACAAAGAACATTCAATTATGCACAGCTGCTCTCTTTAATATATATGTATGTAGATTACAAAACAACCATACCTATGCTATAAAGGAAGATAATGGCTTTGGATGATATTTTCCTTTCTTTTTTAAAAGATAACTTCAAGGTTGCCATTGCCTATCTTTGTTAGTAAACTGGTGTCTTCATATTATTACTAATAGTAATAACATTGTTAAGCCAGCATTCCTGGATCAGATGTGTGACTATGAGTCTTCTCATATATTTCCCACATGCTTTTCAGAGCCAGCACCCCTGGGTTTTCATCACCTGTGTGCTGATCTTTGATGTTCTGCTGTCTGCTGTATTCCACAGATAGAGGCCCAAGCCCATTTCCATAAGACTCAGGCAAATAGACAGACACAGAACATCTGCAATTACAAAACCATGAATTGCCAAAACTGCAGTATTTGAAATCAGTTTGGAAGTACTTATAATTTTTAAAGGAAATAGTATTGAGAAGCCAACTGTTTCTGTATTATCTATCATACGTGAGTTATACATGAGTAGTAGGCCAGAGATACTTTACTTCTGCATTGTGGTGAAGCATGTGGATCCTGGAAGCCTGTAAAGGTGAAATTTCAGCTATGTCACTGTCCAGTTCTGTGACCTTGGGCAAATTACTTAAGTGGTCTACTCCTTACTTTCCTGATCTGTAAAATGAGAATAATATATTTATCACATATTTTACAGAGTCTGACGTCAATGATGAGCTCCTGGAACTATACCTGTCGTAGCAAGTGTTTAATAAATATGAGGTATTATCATTTTCTTCCACTCTTTTTCTAAGGATACATGAGTTAACACAGGAGATAAACACCACAGGCCAATCCAAAGTTCTTTTATAACATGGGACATTGGTTTTAATTTGCAAGGTGAATATGACTAATGAGAGCAAAACTTGCTTTGTTTCTTGCAGAAGTATGCCCATAAAACCCTGCTTCTTGTGCCTTGCTAGCTCACAGGACTACCCGATGTTTTCCTAAATAACTTCCACATACCCAACAGCATAAAAACAAAGCACATATGTATTTGACATTCTTAACTCAGGACTTCAACAGGGGTTGGGGGCTTGTATCTGGCTGATTTTTCATTCTTTAATTATAACAAACCACCACAAAAATTGGCAGTTTAAAACTACAATCATTTATGCTCATTCACACATCTGCAGATGGCAGGGGTTCGGCTGATTTAGGCTGGGTTCTGCTGGGATGCTCTGCTTCAAGCTGGACTTGCTATGCATTGGGCTCAAGTCTGGTCCTTATAAATTCCTTGTGGACATGGCCTGGGGCTGAGAGAGCAGCATCTATTTCAGGGAAGCTCTATTTGTGGTGATGGCAGAAGCGCAAGAGACAAGACCAACTGTACAAAATACTGTACCTCTCTTCTTGCAGGGGGTTTGCTATTATTTCACTGGCCTTGGCAAGTGATATGGCTGAGCCCCAAATCAAGAGACAGGGATTATGCAATATTTCTGGAATGAGGGTGTTAAATGTTATTTCTTCTCAGTTATCCAGTCTATTAGAACAGAATATGCTGCTGGTAATGCTCTAAGTCACTACTATATGTACACATACTTAAGTTTGAAATGATTCATAATGAGACCTAACATTTTACATCCTTTTTTTATTACATTTTTTCTAGTTCTAGTTTTCTGACCATCTGTAGAAAGAAATAAATAATATTTTTCTTAATAAGGGAGAATGTTATTTTTTACACATCAGGCACTCTGGCCTAGAATAGCATTTGACTCAATAAATATTTTCTGAATTAATAATTGAGAGTAATTTTTTGTACTAATTTTCCACCCTTTTTTTTTTTGGTGGGGTGTGGAGGGCTGGAAGGAGAGACATTCATTCTGTAATTTTCTAATGCCTTCCTTCCTTCATCTTTTCTTTCATTCAACAAATATTTTTTGAGTGGCTGCTATGAGCCAGGGGCATTCCAGATTATACGGATATGAAGCAGTGACCCAAACAGGTTCCTACCATCTGGTCAGACATACAATAAACAATGACACAAATAAATAAGTTAGTTGTGGATAATAGTAAGTGGGGCTACAAAGTAAAATATTAGGGAAATTAAATTGTAAGGGTGATACAATTGTGGAGAAGGTGGACAATGAAGGCCTTAATAGAATGATATTTCAGCTAAATATTAGATAATGGGAAGTGAAAATACAGGGAAAGAACATTCTAGTCAGAAGGTGCTGTGTGTGCAAAGACAGACAGGAAAGAGTGTGGCCTGTTAAAGGTACACAAAGGCACCAGTGCTGACAGTATTATCCACTCCACTCTTGAAAGACCCATTCAAATTTCCTAAATTTGATTTCTTGTTTATGATTCCCAAGCAGCCTGTGCACTGCTCATCTGGATTTAGAATTATTGACTGCCCTGTCAACCTCCTCCACTGGAATTTGAGCTCCTTTAGTGCAGATACAGTATCATAACAGTTTATTTATCCACAGCATCAAATGCAGAGCTCTGTTCAACACAAGGTTGCCAAATGTACACATGCATGAATGCAGCTTCTTATAGTTTAAGAATCCATGGTGATGTGTGCCAAGATGGGATCAAGCCACTTAGAGCACAGATTAATAGATGAAAGAAGTAGTGAATCACAGAAAACACCACAATTTGAAAAGAATAAAGCCATATTTATTTCATCACATTAAGTGATTTCAACTGTCATTCTCCTTTTCCAGAAGTATATTAATCATAAAATTAAGAAAGTATTCAATATCTATTACATATAATGTACCACAAGGAACATAAAAAATGAATATAGCCTCCAGAAATGATAATTATAATCTAAATTACATTGCTAAAACTATTTCAAATTGCTTTAATACTTATTATCACATTTTGTCCTTTGTCAAACATAGCAAAAGGCCATTTTTAATTACAATTTCTTTAGGAGTCTGAGTTCGCTCAGTGGGAAAAGAGAAACATTTCAAATTGTATCCTTAAAGATAGAACTTAGAGTTGAAAGGACATCAGAAAGCATCTTGCTTACTAAGGGTTAGAATGCTGTGATCAAATGTGCTAAGTAATGTACCAAAATCTTACAACTAGTCAGGAGCAGAGCTGTGGTTGGAATCCTGGTCCCTGAGTCTCTGGTTAGTTTACTTCCTGTTACACCAGTCATAAAAGAGCTGGAGAATTTGGTTTATAATGAAATTAGCAATCACAAAAGTTAGGCTCAAAACAAATTACCATCAAGAAGAAGGTAGAAAAGCAGTGCTAATGAGAAAATAATTCTTCCAAATGTTTTTGTTCTTGTATGTTTTAAATTTTTGAGCATTATTTTGAAATTTGAGTCAGTTCTTAACTAGACAGTAAGTTACCTATAAACAAAAAAGTAGCTTTCTTAGTATAAAGTTGTCTTCCAAAGGCAAGAAAAGAAAGGATGGGTGAGGTTGGTATTAAAAAATGAAGACATAAAAAATGCTACTTGGGTGTGGTGGCTCATGTCTATGATCCCAGCACTCTGGGAGGCCAAGGCTGGAGACTTCCCTTGAGGCCAGGAGTTCAAGACCCGCCTCAGCAGCATAGTCCGACCCTATCTCTACAAAAAATGAAAGAAAAAAAAATTACCTGGGCTAGGTGGTGTTAGTGTCATTAGTCCCAGCTACTAGGGAGGCTGAGGTGGGAGGATTGCTTGAGCTCACGAGTTTGAGGCTGCAGTGAGCCACGATCATGCCACTGCACTCCTGCCTGAGTGAGAGAATGAGAACTTGCTTTCAAACAAACTAAATGTAAACGAAGTAATGAGTAAAAATAAGAGAAAGGGGATACAATCCATTATGTAGAAAATGTGCATGTGTTCAGGTAAGAAAAATTATACAATTCTGGGCCCATAGCGTTCTGTGTATATTAAGGGATTCAACTATTAATCCAGTTGTGCCCCTTACAACTAGGTTATATTAGCAAACTAGAAACACTGAGATTCCAAACAGAATGATACTAATCAGAGCAATAGTTATGAAAGAATCATAGTCATCATGTGTTAAGTTCTCCCTTAAATAACACTAAAACTTGACAAATATCTACAGTAGCTATTTTCAAGGATGGAACAATGGATAACTCAGGGCTATGATCACTGGGATAGGGGAGCTGCACAAAATGATCTCTGCATTAACCTCAGCTTTCCACCAGGGATCATTATCCAAATCACAGCACTAGACACACCAGAGAGCTGGGGTCTTGGTGGGTGGAAGAAATAAAATTCATAGTTCAGGGTGGCAGAAATGTGCACATAATTGAAGTCCAAGAAGATGAGAGCAATTAGAATGAAAAAAGTATTTGAATGAATAATGATGAAACTTGTCAATTTTGACCAAAAGAAATCAACCCACACATCCAAGAAGTTCAATAAAATCCTAGCAGGATAAATACAAAGAAAACCACACCTAGTCCCACCACATTTCTGAAAACCAAAGTAAAAGAGAAAATCTCAAAGGCAGCCAGATAAATTACACACTGGTGAACAATAATAAATAAGAATTATCACGCCCTTGTCATAGAAAAATGATGCAAGCAAGAAGGCAAGTGATGAAAAAAAAATCAATAAATAAAACCCATCAACCTACATTTCTATAGTCAGTATAATATTATTTTTAAATGATGGCAAAAAAATGGTGTTTTTATATAAGTAAAAGCTTGGGCCACAAGCTCACTAAAACTCAAAGGATTAAGTGATACAAATAATGTTCTCTCACCACAACAGAATTAAACATAAAAATCAATAATAACACAATCTGGAAAAATCACCAAATATTTTGAATTAAGCAACACACTTATAAATAATTCACAGTTAGAGAACAAATGTCAAAGGTAAATAGAAAATTTTTTAACTGAATAATAACTAAAACACAGTCTATTCAAATTTATGGGATACAGTTAAAACAGTGGTTAAAAAATTTTTATATCTCTAAATGCATATGAAAGATAAATAAAAATATTTAAAATTAATGTGTTTCAACTTTAGTAACCTAGCAAATTAATATCAAACTAAATCAAAAGTATGTAAAAAAAGAGAGTATGTAATAGAAGTTAAAGCAAATCAAAGAAACCAAAAGTCATTATTTGAAATTATTAGCAGCATTTATAAACCTCTAGATATACTGAAAGAGAGAGACAGAGAGCAGATATAAATGATCAATAATAGCAATGAATTAAAAATCACTATTGATTCCATACACATTAAAAGGAACAGAAATTATTATAAAAATGTTATGCCAATAATGTTGACAGTTTAAAAGAAATTTTAAAATTCCTTGGTAGACACAATAGAAAAATGGACTCAGGAAGAATTTAATGGTTACAATTACAATATCTGTTAATAAAAATGAATTTGCAATAAAAAACATTCTCAGCTGGACGCGGTCGCTCACGCCTGTAATTCCAACACTTTAGGAGGCCGAGGCGGGCGGATTAGGAGGTCAAGAGATTGAGACCATCCTGACTAACACGGTGAAACCCCGACTCTACTAAAAATACAAAAAATTAGCCGGGCGTAACCTCTAGCTCTATATAACTTCTCTGTTGATTTCCATTAAATATTTAAGGAAGAAGCAAAGTTTTTGTTTTGTTTTGAGACAGAGTCTCACTCTGTCACCCAGGCTGGAGTGCAGTAGCGTGATCTCGGCTTACTGCAACCTCAGCCTCCCAGGTTCAAGTGATTCTCCTGCCTCAGCTTCACAAGTAGCTGGGACTACAGGCATCAACCACCACACCCGGCTAATTTTTGTATTTTTGTATTTTTAGTAGAGACAGGGTTTCACCATGTTGGCCAGGCTGGCCTTGAAATCCTGACCTCAGGTGATCCGCCCGCCTTGGCTTCCCAAAATGCTGGGTTTACAGGAGTGAGCTATCACGCCCAGCTGGAAGAAGCAAAATTGATGTACAAGCAGCTTACTCTCTCTACTACCAGAGGCAGAATAAGTAACATGTCATTAAGGGTGAATATATGGAGTAACACAATAGAACAAGCATGAACTTAATTCCTAATAGACCCTAATCCAAATACTCTCTATGCCACATCCAGTAGTATGCCTGGAGTAATCTCTTTAACTTTCTAAGCCCAATTTTTCTCACATATAAAGCAACATTAATATTATATCACCTGATTATGCTGAAAATTAAAAACTAAAGATAATATATTTAAAGTACAACATAGCTTCTGGTTTTTAATGAGTCTTCCAAATAAATATGATTTGAAGGTACATAATGATATTTCTTTTGGGGTTCTTTATCAAATGGATATTATAATAATGAATCAAAGAGAAAAAATATAATCACTTTAATCTTGAATCCAAATGATCTGGAATCACTGAAAGTTGAAAACTTGGTAATAGATACTTAAAAATCTCAGATAGCCTAAAGATAGTATGTTTTCAGTAAATTTTTTTCTCTTAATGTAATTTAAAGTTAACTATTAAGCTTTTAATTAAAAAATCTTGCTTGACTTTAGAAGCATTTTAGGAAAGCTTTCTGAAGTGATATTATTAATTTAATTATTTAGGAAAGCTTTCTTAAGTGATATTATTAATTAAAAGACTGTCTTGAACCATACTTTGGGGTGAGGCAGGCACAATTCACCCTCAGTCTCAACTATTCACTAGAATCACTCATGAGACTTGAACAACTGTTAACATTCACAGTTACAATATATTGTAACAAATGGATACAGATTAAAACATCAAAGGGAAAAAGTGTAAGAAGTCAAGTCCAGGGGAAACCAGGAGCAAGGTTCCAGGTGTCTTCCCCCAAGGCAGTTGCATGGATAGTCTTAATTCTTGAAATGTGTAAAAACATTTGCCAAAGTCTGTAAGCCAGGGGAACTCGCTCAAATCTTGATGTCCAGGGTTTTTAATTGGGAGTCAGTCAGGTGACCTCAGCTACTCAGTCTCTAACCCCTCAAAAGCAAAATCAGTTTTCACCATAGATCATACTGTTAGCCTAAACTATTTGATCTAACCGGTGCTGGGTGGCCCAAGGCCTTAGGCCAATAGAAACACTCTTGTCAGGCAGAATATTCCAAGGGTTTAGCTCATCTCCCAGGAGCTACCAAGGGGCATTCCAAAGGCAGACAGGCCTTTCTTAGGAGTCTGCAGGGTTTGAGCAACCCAGAGTTAACCCAAGATGAACAAATTAACCCTTTCCTGAGCACACACTCATATTACAGAATTCACTATGCAAACAATCACACACCAAACTTGCTGGGAAACTTTATTGTATTTTATTGTATTGTATTGTATTGTATTTATCTTTTTGAAGACAAGAGTCTCACTCTGTTGCCTAGGCTGGAGTGCAGGGGTGCAATCATGGCTAACTGCAGCCTCAATCTCCTTGGCTGTTCTCCCACCTCAGCCTCCTGAGTAGCTGGGACTACAGGTTTGCCCCAACATGCCCAACTAATTTTTATTAATTTATTATTTGTAGAGATGGGGGTATCACTATATTGACCAGGCTGGTCTCGAGCTCATGGGCTCAAGGAACCCTTTCACTTCAGCTTCCCAAAGTGCTGGGATTACATACGTAAACCACCGTGCCCTGCCTCTGGAGAACTTTACACTCAAGAACATTAAGATAAAATGTACAAATCAATTATTAGTAAGTAAGTAAGTAATTAGTAAGTAATTATTAGACTATTTTATTCTTTAGTCAAGATTTTTAACTAACAATTCATTTTCTCTGGAAGAAAAAAAAATCAAAGTGTTTACAATTGTTCTGGTGTCTAGACTTGACAGACTGATAGCTTTCATCTTTTGCCTGTTAATTTTTTTTCTTTGTCTCTACATATTATAATTTAAAATTATTGGCATAATGAGTCTTGAATAAAACCATTCATGCACTAAAATCATTAACATAAAATGTATGAGGAATAATTATGTTCTATAATAACAACTGGAAGGATAGAATTCCTAATATAAATTATTTGCAAATTGCATTTGCTTTAGAGGAAGGGGAACAAAAATTCTGTTACATAATTTGGAGGCTGGAATGAAATTTTTAGATTATCTAATGTAAGAATGCCATAATTTCTTTTCTCTTTTAATGATGGTATTACTCAAGACTCTGAGAGATAAATTTATATTACTAAAATCACATAGTGATGAATGAAGAATTAGAATCCATTTTTATGCCTATTCTAATATTCTTTTCACTGTACTGGTGGTACCCGGTAATAACCACAAATAATGGGCTTAAAATAAATTTTAAGATAGCTCTAGGCCAATAACATGACTGTGTTACTTAAATAATAATAATAAACCTTGCACTATGTTTTCACAATCTTCTGGCAGAGAGTCTAAAATACTTTTAAATTGCTTGATATAACATTAATGATTTTACCCTTTGTGCTCTCTCTCTCTCTCTCTCTGCCTTCCTCCTCCTCTTTCTTCTCTTCCTCATCTATTGGAAAATAAAAAGATGTACAAATAATATTTTCAACAGACCCAAGACTCATTGGTTGATCAGAAGAAAATTCCAGCAATGTGTGCAAAACCACAATGCAGAATAATTTTTAATAAATTATATGGAATGATAAAATTAAATAAGTAAGAATTTCAGTATCATCGGTGCTGACTCTTTAAAGTAAAACACTGACAATATTAGATGGCGAGAACAGTGTGCTAGAAGAGAAAATAATGAGAAAAAATGTTTAGAGCAGAAAAAATGAATTTTGTTTATGAAAGAGTGAAACTTTAAACAAAGGAATTGTCTTGGCTTTGGAGGCTGATTGGATTCTAAGTAAGAGCTAGAGCTAAAGATAAACTTATGGATAGGGATAGAGATAGGAAAAAGGAGAGAGGAAGGGAAGAGAGAAAGAGATAGGGGGAGAGAGAGACAGAGAGCGAGAGAGAGAAATAAACAACAGGGGCACCGGGTGGGGGGAAACTAGAGCAAAAGAGATTGAGGAGTCCATGAAATGAACTTGATTCCCACGCCTTCTCACCCAGCTCTCCCCCTCTTCTGGAGTTCCTGCATGTACAAACTGTCCCATGTACACGCCTAGCAACCCCCAGCTATCATTCACTCACTTAGATGCCCTTACCTCTTTCCTCCTGTAATCCAAATTTCACCCACCTTAAAAGGTCTAGCTTAATTGTGCCCTGCCTACTGCAATTTGTGGTGACATCTCCCACCTCTGAAGCTCTGTGGTATTTACATGTTTTGTTTTGTTTTGTTTTGTTTTTCTCTCTCTGTCAGTTTCGCTTTTTGAAATAAGCATCCACTTAGTTTAGCTCATTGCAGTTCCACAATGCTCACTGCAGTCCTTCAACAGACATTTTTTGGCCAAGTGCCATCTTTTTCTTTTTAATTTTTTTCTTTTTTCTTTTTTTGGATACAGAGTCTCACTCTGTCACCCAGGCTGGAGTGCAGTGGCACGATCTTGGCTCCCTGCAAACTCCACCTCCTGGATTCAAACCATTCTTGTGCCTCAGCCTCCTGAGTGGCTGGGATTATAGGTGCCCACCATCAAGCCCGGCTAATTTTTAGTTAGCTAAGTGTCTTCTGTCTGGACATTAACTTCTTAGCATAGACATTGACATCTTGGTCCTGATGCATTTTTGTGTCATGTGACTATTAAAGCAAAGGGTCTTATCAGGAGCTAAGCTAAGTTATCCTCTGTTTTCTTCATTCATAAAGCAGGCATTCTTTTACTATTTCAAGCCTATATCATTGAAATGAGATAAATATTAATAACTAATATATATTCAACATTCTGAAGCATGCAAATAAGCTTCATAATTGCAATCTCTGCTTTCTGCATTTAATCTTAAAATAGTTGAAAACATCTCTCTTTTGCAAAAATTTTAAAGCATATTTTAAATACTGTGAGAACAAAAATAATTAACAAAATTGACAAGAGTTTGTCCTACTCAGAGAATATTTTGGAACTAAATTAGATGTTATGTATACAATGAAATTAAGCATCACTTCCACAAATTATTTTACTGATTTCTTCACGGTATGGAGGTGATATTCTTTGCAGTATTCTTAGAAAGTAGCCTATATAAATTGATTTTATTGAAAATAGTTCACAAATCTGGAAAATATGTATTGCAATTATGCAAGTTTTTAAAAATTATGTTAATTGAATTGACAACATTTAGATAAAATTATGTAGAATATAAAAAAGTGCCAGATTATTTGCCATTTTTCCCCAAGTTTTTACTTATTCAAAAGAAATCTTGATATTCCTGTGTTTGGTTCCTCTTTGAATGGCTTTAATAAATAAAAAGCACTCATATACATATCTTATGCAAATCCAAAGATACATTCTTATTGTAGCTACATAAAGTAAGAAAGACTTGAAATTTGCTATAATACAAAAACGATTGCAGAGTGATGGACTCTGTAATACATGTTTTATTCCTATGCATCTGCATAATCACATATTATTGCAGAACATTTTAACAAAAGATAAAAGGTTGAATTCCATTACCAGGAACACACAACAAATACTACGACTGCTCCAATATTCAAATCAAAATGAAGGCAGATTTGTTCATAGCCTCCTCATAATTGCCTTTTCATGTAACTACTTGTAATAACCCTTTAACAATTATCCATCTGGAAAAAAATAGAGCAAGTTCCAAAACACTGAGTCCAATCATTTGTACCTCTTAGCAGCCTCCTTTAAAGGGGACATTTTGTATTTACCCTCTGGTTTATAAAAGAAACACTTTCTAAGTCTTCATCATGGGAAATTAAGAGAGATCATGTGACTACTATTGTAACTCTGTAAGAATGGTGCATCTTAAGCCCTAGGCATCACTTAGAACTTGTAAGAGTGAGAATCAACTCTGTGGGTGTTTCTGCTCTTTGAAAACATGGCCAGATTTCAAAACATTTAGCTGAGATTTTAGGACACCTAGGGAGTAGCATTAACAAAAAGTTATTTAAGAAATAATCATAGATTCTTTTGCAGTGCTTTGGCTTTGTGTTTGAAGAATACCTCCTTTGACTGACTTCTTTTCTCACATAATAAAAGCTGTGGGTTTTTTCTCCTTCTCCGCTGGGGCATGTCTTTCCCAGAGCAGGCCTCACATCTTCCACATTCCTTCAAACCATCAGCTGAAGGGTGTTCACCTTAAACCAAGGAAGCCCCTACACCAAGGAAGCCCCATACTATTCACCAGGATACTATATATCAGAACACATTTACCAAAGGTATTAGTTAATTCAAATACCAGAGGACCAAAAAGGAGAGGGCATTATATTTTGGTGAAAAAGTATATTTGGCACAAGAATATCTTCTTATGTAGACACTTAGTATTCAAAGAACAAGTCACACAACATTCTTCTTGGATTCACAGAGCTCTAGGCCAATTTTGTCCACCATGCTGGAAGAAAGACCTGTCTTTTGCCCCCAAATCATTTTGTGTTTTCTTCTCTGGTACCCAATGATCTCATTTGGTTACTGTGATAGTCATACTCTTGCTGAAAAGCCTTCAGGAGCTCCTGATTGCTTATTTTAGGAATAATGTCTATGTTCCTTTACAAGGCACTCCCAGGATTCCATTCATGGTTGCAATCCTTGTTTTTCACTCCCTGTCCTGCTTTACTACAGGCACTAGCTGATTTCCCAAACAGGATTACCCTTAAAAAAATTATCTATTCTTTTTTGGTACTCTTGACCCCAGTAGAAATTCCCACAACCTTTTCACACAAGCCTCCTCAATTCTATCCAACAATCAAGCTAAATGAAACATCCTTTATGAAGCCTTTACAAATCCTCTTTGTCTCTCCTCATTGCCAAAATATTTGTAGTATTCTCATGGTGTTCCTAATGTACTGTATTGATCATAGATATTTGTGTGCATGGGAAATCCACTGGAATAATTTAGTAGTGTATTTATTCAGTAAACACTATTTATCAGTTCTACTATTCTAGGCACTATAAAAGACAGACTTTGAGAAACTCATTCTCGTAGTCTAAAAGGTCCCCAGTTTCAAGGATAACTGTTTACTTAGTTTCAGGTCCCACAACATAAATAACTTTGTATCTCAAATATAAAATGCAACCGATAATGTTTGCTGATTTGAAACCTATATGATAAAATAAATCTCAGCTAAAGTATTAGGAGATTATTATGTTCATTCATTAAGCATAATTTGTATTTCTTTAAATGATGAGCTCAAAAGAATCCCCAAGCACCCTTGCATGATATATTTTTGGCAAAATGGGCTTTCTTAAATCTTTTCTAATTACAGAAAATAGCCAAATGCTTACTTTATGTATCTATATCCATAAGGGAGGTATTTATGTGTATCCATAAGGGAAGGCAAAGCTAACTCTACTGTGTATCTGGACACAGTCTTGGAACACTGAAAACACTGATGAAATGCAGGAACGTGGAGGATTATTGGACAAAACTGAAAAGGAACTGCCATTTTCTTCAGTGCTGTGGCCACAGGCAGGAATACATACCCTGATAAAAGCTGCAAAGTGTTAGAAAAACATAAGACTACCAGACGTTAGAGATAATAAATTATGTTTGATCTGACCATTGAAGACTCATTCTTCTAATGGGTGAGTGATTTGGCTCATAAATCATTATGCAGCAATAGCTGTGAATTGTGAGATTCCTTTGAACATGGCCATTTAGTGGACTGTCCTCACAGAGAAAATTAGGTGGCTCACTTGGGCAGCTGTTCTTCACCCTTTTCTACAAACAAGGCTAGAAATTTTTAAGGTGACAGACTGCCTACATTTAAGAAAATGCAATTCTATGCTTACAAAACTTAATGACAGGCAAAGCTCAAAAGACTTAGAACTCGAGTTGGAATAAGGTAAATGTTCAAAAGACCACCTACCTCTCAGAAGCCTTTCTGAACTCCTAGGCCTCTTTCCCTCTCCAGGATTCCCTCAGAGGCCCCTTTGTCTCCTTTTCCACAGCCTCCTCCTCTGTCCACCTCCACCAGCTTCCTAACAAGTCTCTTTCCTGAGCCATAGTAAAACCCTCCTACCTCATTACAGTCTGGTTCTAGGCTCTGGGCCAGGGAGCCCTGGCAACCTCTCAACTGGATATCACTAGAGCTTACTTAAAAAAATGAAACTCTGGCCGGGCACAGTGGCTCACACTTGTAATCCCAGCACTTTGGGAGGCTGAGGCAGGCAGATCATGAGGTCAGGAGATCAAGACCATCCTGGCCAACATAGTGAAACCTCATCTCTACTAAAAATACAAACAATTAGCTGGGCATGGTGGCATGTGCCAGTAATCACAGCTACTCAGCAGGTTGAGGCAGGAGAATTGCTTGAACCTGGGAGGTGAAGGTTGCAGTGAGCTGAGATCATGCCACTGAACTCCAGGCTGGGTGACAGAGTGAGACTTCATCTTGAAAGAAAGAAAGAAAGAAAGAAAGAAGGAAAGAAAGAGAGAGAGAGAAAAAAAAAAGAAAGAAAGAAAGGAAGGAAGGAAGGAAGGAAGGAAGGAAGGAAGGAAGGAAGAAAGAAAGAAAGAAAGAAAGAAAGAAAGAAAGAAAGAAAGAAAGAAAGAAAGAAAGAAAGAAAAAGAAAGAAAGGCAGGCAGGCAGGCAGGCAGACAGAAAAGAAAATCTTTAGTGGGTACAATATTAAAAACTCTGCAATTAGGAGACTACATAAGTATGTTCCTCCCTGAAATGGTGTTCATGAAAATTAGTTTGTAGTTTCAATTTCCAAGTGGTTTAGGGCAGTTAATTTTTTCTTGGTCACCAACATTGTGACCAACTATCTCAGGTGTCACAAAAGAGAAAGTAGAGAAGGAAAGTTGGAGGAATTCAAACCTTGGGTTGGGGGTCATGGGGAGTTATCAGCAACTCCTGCCTTGGGGCCAGAGCACAACTCATCCTTTGGTGATTGATTTTTTTCCTATATTTGTTCTGAAAGCCTTCCCTATAAACATTAACTAGGGAGAAAAAAATCACTTGAAAGCAACATATCTTTCCAATGTTGCTCTTGAAATCCTGACATAATGTAGAAGATTCTTCTGTCTGAGGCAGAAGAAGTTTTAATAAAAGATTTACAGACATTGAACTGGATAAAACACACTTGCTGAGTTTTGCATTGTTTTATTTTCAAAATATTCTGAATGCTGATCATCTCTTTTTGAAAAATAAAAGAAAAAAGTGTTGATCCCTGAATCTTTTTTTAAGGAAATAATTATCACAAGTGCCTTGTTTGCTTATACACTCTCTCTCTTTTCTCTTTGGAGTTCTTGGAAATATGCACTGTTAAGGAAAAAGTTCAACCTACCTAAATCTAATTTTTCCAGCTAGCAGGCCCTTGTGATGGACAAAAACATAAAACCTTAATATACCATATGCAAAAAATATGTAAACTTAGGCATCCTCAGCATCATTTTGTGTCTGAATTTTATGCAAATTGATCCCCCCATTTCTTGTTTTTTTTTTTTATTTAAACATTACATTATTCCATTTAATCCTGTTTAGCAAGTATTTATTGCACACAAGCTTCAACCATTCCTAATGAGTTTGCTCACCATCCTGGTCATTTTTCTCTCACACTTTGTCCTCTAAAACAATGGTCCTCAAACTTTTGGCACCAGGGACCAGTTTCATGGAAGACAATTTTTCCATGGAGGTTTTCAGATGAAACTGTTCCACCTCAGATCACCAGGCATCAGATTCTCATAAGGAGCATGCACCCTAGATCCCTTGCATATGAAGTTTACAACAGGGTTTGCATTCCTATGATAATTTAATGACCCTGCTGATCTGCTGGAGGCCAGCTCAGGTGGTAATGCTTGCTCACCACTGCCACTCACCTCCTGCTGTGCAGCCCAGTTCCTAACAGCCCACAGATTGGTACCAACCTGAGACTGGAGGTTGGGGACCCCTGCTATAAAACATCTTGGTAATTGTCTTCTGAAACAACCAGCCAAAATCCAGATTCTCTTCTCTGTGAAGTGTGTATGTGAACTCCATTCTTTCTATCAGTGTTTTAAAGCTGTGCTAATTCATAGAATTTTTAGGAGGTTTAAATGACATATGAAGCATGAATCCTCTTATTAACTATAAAAGGAAGTGTAAATATACATTAGAGACATGCAAAGTTAGACACTGATTATTGAATTTTCATTCAAGTATAACATGAAATCTGGCTTGATGCTCCCTGTAAGAATGCAAATTGGGGATACTTATTTTATAGGTCAATTGATAAAATTATAATGCTATCATTTACTTAACATCACATGTACTCATGTCACCTGGTTTGCTTCAGAAGAAGCAGTCAGGGCGGATAAAAACAAGCCTCTTTCCTTAAGGAATACATATGTTGTTGGTTTTTCTGTACTTACTGATCTTGAGTACCTTTTGTAAGTCTAGGGAAAAAAAATTAGAACTCTGATGAAGAGGCTGTTCTTTTTCTATTCAATGTTCTTGGTGCCTTTGTCAAAAATCAGTTGGCTGTAAGTGTGTGGGTTTATTTCTGGGCTGTCTTGTGTTCCATTGGTCTATGTCTGTTTTTATGCTTTGGCTACAATAACTTTGTAGTATATTTTGAAGTCAAGGAAGTGTGATGCCTCCAGCTCTGTTCTCTTTGCTCAAAATTGCTTTGGCTATTTGAAGTCATTTGTGGTTCTATAAAAATTTTAGAGCATTATGAGTTTTAAGAGAGGATAACTGAAGTACTGCAGGGGCTGCAAGGTCAGAAAGGTCATATCCAGTTGACAATGGTAAAGAATCAGAAAAGTTCTATTGTAGGAGGTAGTATGTGAGCTGACTCATGGTGGTCAAGGATGATTTTAATAGAGTATTTTATAAATCTCTACACCAGAATTTTCATTTATCTCATTATTCAACAGACACTTACTGGGTGCCTAATACTATCAAGCATGTGACTGGCATTGAAGATACAAGTATTAATAAATACTTGTAATGAAGGAATGCAGGAAAGACAAATAAGTAAATGGATAATGATACAAATGTAGTCAGTATAGATAGAGCAATATTGCTCCTACCCAGAAGAAACAGCACCAGGAATTAAGAAAGCCTTTGGAAAAGAAGTCATGAAGGAGTGAACTTCTTAAGCATAAACATAAGTGGACATAATAGGACTCAGTGAGGTAAAGTGCTGAGAAGTGGCAATGGAAAGTTACTGTAGGTCGGGGGCTTAACATTTTTATATGTTCAGTCATTTTAAAAAATGTGTGTCAATTACTTACACCTTACTAAGTAAAAACAAAAATCTTGAGATAAGTGAAAACATGTCAAGTCTTGAGGAATGTGTTTAGTAGAGGTGGAAAGCAAAGTGGTTAGCAGAAGTGGTCAAAAAAGGGGTGAATTTCAAGAATGAATCAGAATTCACAGGGCTTCAAAAGTCTTGTTATGACCATTGAGGAAGACAGTGTGCCAATTCCTGAAAGACCTAGAGGCAGAAATATCATTCAACCCAGCAATCCAATTACTGACTTGTGATGGTTAATACTCAGTGTCAACTTGATTGGATTGAGGGATACAAGGTATTAATCCTGAGTGTGTCTGTTGCCAAAAGAGATTAACATTTGAGTCAGTGGGCTGGGGAAGGCACATCCACCCTTAATCTGGTGGGCACAATCTAATCAGCCACCAGTGAATATAAAGCAGGCAGAAAAACATGAAGAGACGAGACGAGACGAGACGAGACGAGACGAGACGAGACGAGACGAGACGAGACGAGCCGAGCCGAGCCGAGCCGAGCCCAGCCCAGCCCAGCCCAGCCCAGCCCAGCCCAGCCCAGCGCAGCCCAGCCCAGCCCAGCCTCCCAGCCTACATCTTTCTCCCATGCTGGATACTTCTTGCCCTCAATCCATCAGACTCCAAGTTCTTCAGTTTTGGGACTCAGACTGGTTCTCCTTGCTCTGCAGCTTGCAGACAGCCTATTTTGCGACCTTGTGATCGTGTATGTTAATACTTAATAAACTCCCCTATATATATTCTATTGGTTCTGACCCTCTAAGAGAACCCTGACTAATACATGAGTATATTACTCAAAGGAATATAACTCTTTCTATTATAAAGATACATGGACACATATGTTCATTCCAGCACTATTCACAATAGCAAAGACATGGAATAAACCTAAATGCCCATCAATGACAGACTGGATAAAAAAATGCCGTACATATACACCATGGAATATTATGCAGCCACAAGAAGGAATGAGATCATGGCCTTTGCAGGGACATGGCTGGAGCCGGAAGCCATTATCCCCAGAAAACTAATGCAGGAACAGAAAACCAAATTCCATATGTTCTCACTTATAAGTAGGAGCTGAGTGATAAAAACACATGGACACATGGGGGGAATAACACACATTGGGGCCTGTTGGAGGGTAGGGGGAGGGAGAGCATCAGGAAGAATAGCTAATGGATGTTGGGCTTAATACCTAGGTGATGGGATGATCTGTGCAGCAAACTACTGTGGCACGTGTTTACCTATGTAACAAACCTGCACATCCTGCACATGTACCCCTAAGCTTAACATAAAAGTTGGAAATTAAAAACAAATCCTGTTATGGAATTTGCTCTTTATCTCTACCACTTGGAAGGCTATTCAACAGGGACCTTGAATGGGAAGCCATCAAAAGATGGACACAAGGTGGTGATACTAGCAGAGTTGTTTTCTAGCCAGAGCCCTTCGTTAGCACGCGGTGAATGGATGGGAGCAGGGCTTGCTGTAAGGCTAGTTACAAAGTTACCAAGTTTGAACAAGTTACAAAGAGAAAATAATTGGATAAGAATTTATAGGGTTCTTCACTAGGACAGCGGGAGTGTGGTTGGAGATAAGTGAAGCTGGGAGATCAGGGAAAGAGGAGTTTCCTGTAGAACCTGGTGATTAATTAAATGCTGATATTAAAGAAAAGACTGAAGAACGACAGACAATTCATTCTTGTTGGATGATTAATTCTAGTGGTCAAAATATGATGGAACTAATTAAGACAAAAGGGTTCCTGGGAGATTGAGGGAAGGAAAAAAATGAATAGAAGAATGAGAATTGAAGGTATTAAGAAAACTAAAACTTTATCAACACCCTGTTAAATTATATTTAAGTTATAATTCAAAATCAAATATTGCATGCAAATATTTAAATTTTATTGTAAATATTATTTGCTCATTTCATGCTGGATTATTTTATGTTTACTAACATATATTGTAGTTTTAAAAGTTAACTCTCTAATATGTATTTTTTTTTTAAGACAGAGTCTTGTTCTGTCACCAGGTTGGAGTGCAGTGGTGCAATCCCAGCTCACTGCAACTTCCATCTCCCGGGTTCAAGCAATTCCCTTGCCTCAGCCTCCCAAGTAGCTGGGATTACAGGCACGCACCACCATACCTGGCTAATTTTTTGTATTTTAGTAGAGACAGGGTTTCACCATGTTGGCCAAGATGGTCTCGCTCTCCTGACCTTGTGATCCGCCCACCTCGGCCTCCCAAAGTGCTGGGATTACAGGCGTGAGCCACCACTCCCAGCCTCTAATATGTATTTTTTTTAAATAGTTAACAAAAATAGACACAGAGGTTAATGGAACACAATAGACAACCCATAAGTAAAGCCACATACAATGATGGTTGACAAAAATAAACAATGGGCAAAGGATGCCCTATTCAATAAATGGTGCTGGGAAAATTGGCTAGCCATAAGGAGAATGAATTTGGGTCCTTATCTCTCACAATATACAAAAACTAACTCAAGATGGATTAAATACTTAAATGTAGGACCTGAAGCTATGAAAATGCTACAAGAAAACCCAGGAAAAAGTCTTCTAGACATTGGCCTAGGCAAATAATTTTTGACTAGGCTCTCAAAAGCAAATGCAACAAAAAACAAAAATAGACAAATGAGACTACTAAACTAAAAAGTTTCTGGACAGCCAAAGAAATAAACAACAGAATAAGAAGACAACCTACAGAATGGGAGAAAATATTTGCATATTATACATCTGACAAAGAAATAATATTCAGAATCTACAAGGAACTCAAACAACTCATCAAGAAAAATCAAATAACTCTACTAAAGAGTGAACAAGGGACATGAACAGACATTCCTCAAAAGAAGATGTACAAGTGGCCAACAAATATACAAAAATGCTCAACATTACTAATCATCACAGAAATGCAAATTAAAACCACAATAACATACCATTTTACACTAGTCAGAATGGCTATTATTAAGGTAAAAAATCTACAGATGTTGGTGAGGATGCATGCAAAATGGAATGCTTATACACTGTTGGTGGGAATGTAAATTAGTATAACCTCTATGAAAAACAGTGTAGCGATTGCTCGAAGAACTAAAACTAGAACTACCATTTGACCCAGCAATCTCACTCCTGGGTATTTACCCAAAGGAAAATAAATCATATAAAAAGGATACCTGCAATTGTATGTTTATCAGAGCACTGTTCACAAGAGCAAAGTCATGGAGTCAACCTAAGTGTTCATCAAGTGATACCTGAATAAAGAAAATGAGGGATGTATATACCATGGAATATTATGCAGCCATAAAAAAGAATAAAATCATGTCTTTTGTGCAACATGGATGGAGCTGGAGGCTGTTATCTTAAGTGAAATAACGAAGAAACAGTAAATCATATACTCCATGTTTTCACTTACATGTAGGAGCTAAGCAATGGGCACACATGGACATAAAGATGGAAATAATATACACTGGAGACTCCAAAAGAGGGTAGGGTAGCAGAGGGATGAGGGCTGAAAAATTGCCTTTTGTTACAATGTTCACTATTTGGATGATGGGTACTGTGGAAGTCCAAATCTCACCATTATGCAATATGTTCATGTAACAAACCTACACATGTAACAAACCTACACATGTAACCCCCGAATCTAAAAAAAAAACAAAAACAAAAACAACAAAAAACTCATACTTAATTTTCAATTGCACTGAAATATTTAAATTCATTTTGATTAAAATTTTAATTAAAAATTATCTTCTTACTATTATACTGTGCATTAAGAATCTTACTGTCATGTTTTTATTGTTGGGCTAAACCTTTTATTAAATTTATGATAGAAATATTGTTAAAGTTCTATCATGTGAGCAATACAGTATACCATTTTCATATCTATAACTAAATTGGAGTATCTAATGACTCATTTTAGAACACTGAAAACACCGTTTGATTTCTTCTATAGGACAGTAAGCAAAATTTCCAAACCATACAGTCCTCAAACTGAATGTATTTTCTCTTTAATAGTAGCTCTGAATTTCAGAAATACAGCAAATGTTCAGTTGCAGCATCATGCTTTCCAAGACGGTGATTTTTATTTAGCAAAAATTGAATTCCTTGATTTATCAGAATTAAATGACTATTTAGGAACAAGAGCAGTATTAATATACAATTTTCATTAAGATGTTAATTTAACATTCATTAACTCTCCAATGAGCATGCATTCTGCAAAGAACAGTGTTCTAAGGTAATGCAATTGCTGTATATTGCCAACAGTAAAAGACTAGCACGCATTCTCTCAAATTGACTTTTAATGTCATTACAGCAAAAAGTGAAGAACCTATGCCTTAGCCTAGTTCCTTTTTTCATGAGAAAATTAAAGATCCAACTATAAATGAAATAGTTGATTTTTCTATAAATGTGTACTTAGATTTGTATAATAGATTAAACTAGCCATTCTGTTATTTTTCTCCTAAAACATTGTAGAGATTGTAGTAATTGAAATGCAAAATAATCAAGCTACAAAATGTTGCAGTGCTGGCATTCAGACAGACATAGAAAATATTGTACTAAAGCAATAAGCAAATGTATGCTTGTGTACGAGATAAGGATCTAATCTGAATTGCTTTTAAATTGCTATTTATCAGCGCATTGTTTACTGAATAATACTTCCCTGCTATTTTATAATTTTTTGAACATACACTTAGAATTTTATATGTAAAGGGCATAAAGAATAACATATAAATTACCTAATATCTCACCATTTAGAGAATAATAGCACTATGTTTGGTTAATTCTTTCCAATCTCCTAAAAACATAATCTATTTTCCTTTACAAAACTGCAATCATACTAATAATTTCACATTCAGTGATTTAGTTATAATTATATAATAAACTATTCCTCACATCATGAAAAATTGTTTTTAAATGTTTTTATGGCTGTAACAAAAATATTTTCTCCTAACCAATAGCTAGATATTTTATCCATTTCTAAATTTTTTTGTACTACAAATGACACTGAAGTAGACACCATTTTTCATGCATTTTGATCAGTATCCTGATACGTTTCTAAGAACAGAGTCAAGAAGGGGAAATACTGAGTCAAAAGAAATAAATATTTTAAAGGTTCTTAATACATATTGCCAGTTTGATAGTGTTATTTACATTCAGCAGCAGTAAGTGTGGTACTGTGAAGATGTTCATCTACTCACAGTTACCAACATGAGAAATACCATATGGATGGCTGTTTGAATCTTTGATAATTTAATAGGTGACAAATTGCATTAGGTCGTTTATTTAATTTGCCTTTGTTTATTATTAAATTGTTCATTATGAGTAAATATATATATATGTATACATTTAAATTTGGGGTTTAAACATTTACTCAACAAATATTTATCAATATACTTACTTTTAGATTTGTAATTCCTCTTCATGTCATTTGCCCACATCAAGGTTCCATATGTTTCATATTTGTTACATCATTATAGTTTGGATGTATATATGTGTGTGTATTGTGTTTATATATGTGTATATAGGTATGCATATACATACACATACACAGAGAAAATATAATATATACATGTTGAGTGTATAATATATACATTCTTATTTTGTTGGTTTTTAAAACATTTTGTTTATGATGATTTCTGTTGTAAACAGATGTTTAAAGAGTCAGTGTTATGAATACTTTCCTTTTTGATTCATGCATTACCTTGAAATATTTATGTATATTTTCATTGTTCTGTTAGCATATATATACATGAAGTAAATTATAAATAGAGACACACACATATAGTTTAATTTACTTAAGATACTTTTGGTATATGCTGTGAGATGAAAATCTAATGACTCCTAAAATCTAGTCAGATGGCGAATATGTTTATACAATTTTTCAGCAGGTTGTCAAGATAATTTTTTCTACATAAGATTTTAAATATTTTTTTTAACCTTTCTTCCACATGAGGACAACATCTTGACTGGGTGCAGATAACAACAAACTGTTTTTCACAAAATTCTTGGCCATTTTTACATTTTCTTCTATCATAAAAACCTGAAGCTAGCTCGGGTTTATACCTTTGTGTCTTTTCCTTCTTTTTTTTTTTTTTGTTTTGTTTTCTACTAGAATTTTTTATGTTTTGAAATTCCTAGATATTTCAAGAATGTGCCCAGGTGCCTCTCTTTAAATTCATTTCACTTGAAACATGGCGTGCCCTTTCAAGGGGGCTTTCCTTTGTAACTTTCTAAAACTATGCTTCAAATCATTGCTTCTGTTCTAATGCCCTGTCCTCTCTTGAGAAAATGACTATAATTTGTAGCTTACATTTCTTTTCTATTTTTTTCATATCTATAGTCTGCTTTTGCTTTACTTTATTTATTTGATTTTTTTCTCTGCATTTTAGGAGACCATCTCAAGCCCATATGCTAAAATTAGATTAAATTAGATCATCCATGCCAGCAGTTCTCAATACTGGTTTTTAATTCAAATCACATATGAAACTTAATAATAATAATAATAAGGCAGTTAGGCTTAGGGCTACTTTCCTACAGATCTCTAGGTTTTGGTCTATTCCAGGTGAGAAAGTACCTGTCAGATGCCAACTAGTTCTCAATTAAATTAATGTTAAATTAATGAAGATTTATCCAAGATTGACAATGGTTTACAGTCAGAATTAGTTTAGAAAATCTTGATTTTTTTTCTCCATGTTAAAGAGCATTTTTTGGGAAATTGAGAACCACAACATCTATCCTGTTTGAACTGGCACATTTAAACAGTTCCTTCCCTTCACTCTATGCTCCAGATTAGAAGATCCACAAAACAACTCCTCGACCAGGTTCCAAGGCATTTGGGTACTTCAGCCTACCCTCCTTTCCTACTCATTTACAATGTCACTGTGTCTTTCATTTCAGTCCCCATTGCATAACACCCACTTCTGCTCATCAACTCCAGACAGATCCTTCAGTTGGATTTTCTCCTTGGCATTTTATTTTTGCTTCATCCCTGAACACTGTCCTTCAGATTTTCCATAATTCCACGGTCTGTAGCTTGCTCGTTAATCCTTGCTGACTCCTCACTCACAGTACAGCCAGCTTGGTCAAACGCCCTGGGATTCCACTTGTTTTTTCAAGTAAGTTTATATAACAGCATGAATGACTAGCCAGGTTAAGCCAAAGTCCCCATTTAAAAATTTCAATTAATGGCTTTCACTCAATGTCTCTACCCCGGCTTTTGCCAAGCAGTATCTAGATGCTAAAAATATAGAGGTGAGCAAGAAAGAGAAGCTTTCTTCCCAAATAGAGCTAACAGTCAAAGGAGAAATAGAAAAATCAATTGAAACTCCTACACCTCAATTGCAAAAAAAAAAAAAAAAAAAAAAAAAAAAAAAAACCCAAATAACCTAATTAAAAAATGGGCAAAGGACTGAAGACATTTTTCCAAAGAAGACATACAAATGGCCAACAGATTTATGAAAAGCTGCTCATTAATCATCAGGGAAATGCAAATCAAAACGGAGATGAGATACAACTTCACACGTTTTAGGATGGCTACTATTAAAAATATCTCTTTTACACTGTTGGTAGGAGTGTAAATTAGTTCGACCACTGTGGAAGACAGTGTGGCAATTCCTCAAGGATCTAGAAACAGAAATACCATTTAACCCAGCAATCCCATTACTGGGTATATACCCAAAGGATTATAAATCATTCTACTATAAAACACATGCACATGTATGTTTATTGCACCACTATTCACAATAGCAAAGACTTGGAACCAACCCAAATGCCCATCAATGATAGACTGGATAAAGAAAATGTGGCACATATACACCATGGAATATTATGGAGCCATAAAAAAGGATGAGTTCATGTCCTTTGCAGGGACATGGATGAAGCTGGAAACCATCATTCTCAGCAAACTAACACAGGAACAAGAAACCAAACACCACATATTCTCACTCATAAGTGGGAATTGAACAATGAGGACACAGGGAGGTGAACATCACACACTGGAACCTGTTGAGGGGTGGGGGCCTAGGGGAGGGATAGCATTAGGAGTAATATCTAATGCAGATGATGGGTTGATGGGTGCAGCAAACCATCAGGGCACATGTATACCTATGTAACAAACCTGCACGTTCTGCACATGTATCCTAGAACTTAAAGTATAATAAAAAATAATAAAAATAAAATAGTGTCACTAACATATATATATATATAAATATATATATATATAAATAAGTATTGGTGAGGATGTGTAGAAATTGGAATGCTTTTACATTGTTGATGGGAATATAAAATGATACAGCTCCTGTGAAGAACAGCATGAAAGTTCTTAAAGAAAATAGATCTACCATATGATCTGGCAATTCCACCTTTGGTTATATATCCAGAAAAACTGGAATCAGGAACACAAAGAGATAGTGTATGCCATGTTCCTTGAAGCATTATTCACAATAGCCAAGATATAGAAACAACCCAAATGTTCATCAACGAATGAACGAGGAAAGAAAATGGGATATATACATACAATGGATTATTACTTGGCTTTTAAAAAGAAGAAACTCTACCATCTGAAACAACATGAATGAACATAGAGGGCATTATACTAAGTGAGATAAGCCATCACAGAAGGACAACTATTGCATGATTCTGCTAATATGGGCTATCTGGAGTAGTCAAACTCATAAAAGCAGAGAGTACAATGGTGGCTGCCACTGCCAGCGGGGCACAGGAGTTGTTGCTAAATGGGTATAAAGTTTCAGTTATGCAAAATGAATAAGTTCTAAACATCCAATGTACAACATTGGGCCTAACGTTAACAATACTATATAATGCACTTAAATTTTTTGTAAAATGGGCAGATCTTATTTTAAGTATTCTTACACAATTAAAAACCAAAGTCAGTGTGATAAGCACTGAGAGAGGAAAAACACAGTAGTACCTGAGATCAGGCCACCATCCTAGATTTAAATTTCATCAAAATTGATTGTCTAAACTAGGACTTGATGGATTAATAAAAGTAAGTCAAGGAAAGAGGTGGAAGGGAAAGCGTTCTCTAGGAGTATTAACCTTTAACCATGAATATGCCCAGGTGATGGGACCAGTCCAAATTTACTGGGCAGACAGCTCATGGAAGCTTAGACAGAAAAGTCTTTGCCAGCCCCAGGAGTACAGCCAGGCAAGAACTCTTCAGTATTCTAGATGGGATACAAAGGGCTTTTTCATGTATTAGCATTCTTGACAAGTCATTGTTCAGCAAATGTATATCTATTATTTCAATGCATTGAACAAGATGCTGCAGCTAGGATAGTAAGTAGGGTAGGTATGACCCCTGCTGTCGTGGATTTAGTGTCTTGCATGTATTAAGGTCAACTTCTAGGCTATTTGGTTCCAGTGATCTCTCTGGTATTCTCAGAGGCTTCACAACTGAGGTAAATTTGGTGAAACATTTTAACACATGGGGCCCCTGAGCAAACCCTCTGGCAGGTAAGTCAGGGATAAAATAAAGGCCCGGCACCATGACTCACATCTATAATCTCAGCACTTTCAGAGGCCATGGCAGGAGGATCTCTTGAGCCCAGGATTTCAAGGCTGCAGTGAGCTATGATCATGCCTCTGTACTACAGCCTGGGCAACAGAGCAAGGGCCTATCTCAAAAAAAAGGTGAATAAAATAAAATACATAGGAACAAAAGAGGGCAAGATATCAAGGAGACTTAGAAACAAAAAGAGGCAGAAAGTGAACTGCAATAAGGCAGAAAGAGGAAAGAATGAGCATATTTGTGGTTGATAAAGGCAAAGTGCCAGGAAAAAACCCTCTTGGGTAGAGCAGGCTGCCTACCTTTGCATTTAGGATTTTTAAAATCAAGTTTAGCTCAGTCATGTGCATATAGGCACATGATACATATTTTATAGGATGAATTCAGGAAAACGTGCACCCCAAAGCATTTTTAAAGTGCTTAGGAGCTCATTTTCAAAGAAAATTTTGCATGAATATCATTGCTGCTGATAGAAATCAGGCAAGTCCTCAAACCAGCATTTCAATGTCTTCAATTCTATTAGAAGTTGTAAAATCTTAAACCAGCTTCTTCAACCTGAAAACCTGAAGAAAATTGCTCATACAACAGTAACTGCTGGGCAGTTTAGTTAATTCTGCTACTAAAACCACAAGTATTTTCTTAGAAAAAAACTATTTTTTTTTTTTTACGGAAGAACAAACGGATGGAAAGTGTGTTCCGTGTGTATCCTGGATGTGTTGGTTAATTTTATGTGTCAACTTGACTGGGACATGAGGTGCTCGGATTAAACATTATTTCTGCATGTCTCTCTGAAGAGTGTTTCCCAATAAAATTTGCATTTGAATCAGGGGAATCAGTAGGCAGATTGCTCCCCAATGTGGGTAGGCATCCTGCAATCCATTGAGAGCCTGAATCAAAAAAAAAGATGAAAGGGGAAATTTGCTGTCTTCACCTGAATGCTTGAGCTGGTTCACGAGTCTTCTCCTGCCCTCATCTGGTTCTCAGAACTATACTGCCAGCTTTCTTGGGTATCCAGCTCGTAGATAGCGGAACATGGAACTTCTTAACTTTTATAATTACGTAAGTCAATTCTTTATAAGAAATTATATGTAATATATATATGTACACACATATAAATTATACATATATATATATATACACACATATTACACAGACAGACACACACATACGCACACACATATAGGTAGGTATGTGTTCTACTAGTTTTGTTTTGCTGGAGAATACTGAATAATACACTGACTACTCATTTCAATTTAAATCATAAAATACTTAGTGACTTAATGAGCACTCATTAACTACAGGACTCCCTGCTAAATACTCAATGCTACACAGCCACTATGGGGCTTAAAAACAAGAGGCTGTATTTCCTGTCCTTAAACAGGTTATGATCTGATTGTATAAGGTGAAAACCAGTCCCATTATAAATTTTAAAATAAGGATGCCTATATATACACTTATATGTGTCTACATGCCGTAAGAGAATTGAAAAATACATGCTAATGAACGAATTAATTATATCAGAATGGGGATAGAGAAGGCCTTTACTGAAAAGATGATAGCAGAAGAGATGGACTTAAGTTCCAGAATTTCAAAAAATAAAGAAGGATGAGAGACTATTCTTTAGGTGGAAAAAATGGCATAAAACAAAACACAGAGGCAGAAAACTTATGTGCTGTTCAGGAAAACATCTAGCTCATCTGGAGCATGGAGTAACACAAAAGCAGCAGTGGGGAAATTAGACGTTGCAGTAGAGGGCCATGAACACCCCTGGGAAATCCACACGCAATTGTGTAAATAACAGGGAGCAGCTTTTCTGGTTGTAAAGGAAACAATTTCGTGAGGACTTTAGGAAGATGACAAGCAGCATTGTATAGGACGGACCACAGTAGAGAAAGCCTGGAGTTGAGAATCCAATGGAGTAGGGGAAAAATATCAGTAAGTGTTGGGGTTTGAGAAGGTCCACAGGGTCACCACCCTTTTTTCTCTGCTCAAATTCTTCATCAACTGAAATAGATAAAGGAGATGGCAGATGAATCCAAAAGTGCTGAAGATGATGGCTTAGGAGTGCAACACAATCAACTTCCTAATATAGAGCCCTAGCCTTAGATAAACTTATCATACACAGTGTCCTCTACAAAATTTCGGGCATAAAGGAGGAGAGTGGAGAAAAAGGAAGATGGAAGGAGTTAAGCTACATAGGAGGACTCTTTCCCCAGACACACTGGGGGAGGAGTGAAGGGCCAGATAGAGGCCTAGGGTGGTATAGTGGAGGAACTCACTCTTCATGAATTTGAAAAATGTGTTCTTCCATCTGCAACAGAAGGGCCTCTGTTTCCCTGGTGGGAAAATGATAACTGACACTGAAAACCAGCCAAGGACTCTCTAAGCACTTTACCAATATTTTCTCATTTAACATTCAGAAGACCCTAGGATATGGGCTCTATTATTTCCATTATACAGTGCTGAGAAGGGTAGGACAATTAGGCAAGATGGCATAGCTCACAGTGGCAGATCCCAGATTGAACCAAAGTTAAATTATTTGCCTATTCTCTTCGACTCAAGCTGTATCCGAGCCAGTAGATGTAAGTGTATCTCGCCCCTCTACCAAAAAGAAGGTTGGTCAGCAGAGGGCTTTGGGAAATGCCTACTGGTTAGGATACAGCTTGAGTCAAAGCACCAGAATAGTGTCACAACAAGGAAACCAACTGAAACAAATACACATCTTGGATATTGTCATGAGAGACTCAGGGAAGAGTTTTAGTAGATTGAAGAGTGAATGCTTGATTAGAGACACAGGAATGAGTGGATAGTATGAAATGGAAGCAAAATGTACATACAGTACTTTAAAAAAATGTAGCGTGTGAAGAAAGATGGAGTTATGGAATGGTAGCTTGTGGGAACAGGAAAGTTGAGCAATCGTGTTCAGATAGTTTGTTAGGGCATCAGAGAACATTTGTAAAAAGAGATGATTTCGCCAGTAGAGAAGGCTGGTTTGAAGAAGAAAATGAAAGAGGACAAATTCAAGAACTTGGCTACCAGGAGATGCCAAAAGGAATGAGATCCAGACACAGGAGAAATGATACACCTTAAAATTTGAGGGATTCTAAAGAGAAATCTCAGGGAGGAAGGCTTCAAATGCAAGTTAGGGAAATCATCCCCTGGTTTGATAAGGATAGATCAAGCACTAAAGGTTTGAAGAGAGAGATTGCCACAGTTCTCCTAGGAAATGGGATAGGGGATCATTAAAAATGAAATAATTACAGTAAATTATCCAATTATATTAGATTGAAGATCTTTGGTCAAATGTATTATGAGTCTAATAATGCTTTGGTGAAAGACTAACTAAAATAAAAAATAAAGAATTGAGTCAATTATTTCATTAATTCAAGCCTCAAACCTCTAAACCAATTAACTCAACATCTTAGGCCAAAATATATGTTTGTACCAAAAATATCCAAATAGGTTTTTCAATACAGTCAAGATTAAGAAAAGGTGTGCTTAGCCTCAGGAATCTCATTTCAGGGAGCAACAGCAGATGTTTGTGTGCAGAGCAGAAAACTATGATATTTCAAGAAGGCGGTTGTAGTTTTGCTGAGGCTTAAGTTATCTCACATTCTTCATTTTACTATTTCTTTATTCATACCGTTTTTATTTATATGCCACATCTCTTAAAAGTTATGAAATTGATACAACTCTATTCTTCAGGAAACTATGACTAAAACTATGCCATCAGCCAATAAAATGAGAGAGGCTGCAGATATCTTGGTCATTCAGTCACTGACTGTGATTTTATTTCATGGGAGAGTGGGAGGCAAAATAAAGGGGGAAGATGATATAAGAACTGATATTTACAGTTTGCTAATATTTGGTACAATGTACTAATATTATATACATTATAACAAAATGTGTTCAGCCTGTAGATTGTAAACCATTCATAAGTTATGAAATCAATTTAGTGGGGCATGACTGGGCTGTTAAAAAGTGAAATAGAATAAAATAGAACAAAACAGAGCAACATATATGGTAAGAATAAGCTTGGTAAGAAAAGAAACATCTTTCTTGGTTATAAAGAAATACAAACATGCATATACATATGTGACTCCTAGGTCATGATGTAAAATGCATTTCTTGCTGTGGATTGTGATCAAAACACGTCAAAAGTCATCAATTTAATAAATCACTTTAAAGGCATCACTTTCATGTTTTTGTCTAGCAAGAATCCATTCTTCCTTCTCAGCATCCCAATTTCCTTTTGCAGAATTATTTCTGTCTGAACGTCTAGAGTCTTGCTGGGATGGAAACCCCAGGGCCTTCCTTCCAGTGTGGAAGCTGGAAGGGGTCAAATCTGCCAATTTGATACTCTCTCCTGGGACTGAGTCTCAAGCAGGTCACATAAAGAGGAAAAACAGGAACAGCTAGCACACACTCTTTCTTGCAGTGGCATCCAGACCAGTTTGTTTCAGCTATGAGACTGTTTCTGTGATTCTTGCTGCCGTCGTTTCTGCCCATTCTCTGGCTTCATGTCAATAATTTAAGTCCTGATTTCCTTCCAATAAATCCTATTTTCCTAATTAGCCAAAGTTGTTTATACTCAGAATCAAAGGACCCTCAAACTTATACATACACACTATCTAGTTTAAACCTCATAACTATCCTGGGATGTAGGGTTTTCAAAAAAAAAAAGTAAAATATTGTCTTATGAAGAGAAAAGTAAGATTCATGGTGGCCTGGTAATTTTGCCAAAGATTATCTCACAGGTATGGGATTTAGCCTGTATCCCTGTGACTCAAAGTTTATGTCTTTTCTACTGAACAATGCACACTGAGCTGCCAATAGCAGACAGCCATGTATTTCACATACAGAATAATGTTATGCAGAAGATTTGTCAGTGAATAGTTCTTATTTTGTTTGAGTGAACTAAAATCAACAATTTTCTGTTCACTTCAGGAAAAAGTTCAGGAGTCGAGATTTTACACAAGGTCTTCAGATTATGCACCTTGAGAAAAAAATACAGCTTAGGGTGTTCTGCTGATCTTTTCATTGATTTTAAGAAACAAAGGTCTATCCTACTAATTGCATTCCCTAACCAATAAACCAGAGTTCTGGAACTCTTAAGATATATAAAATGAATGTGAACGGCTTAGGAGTTACCCCAAGACATACATCAATGTTAACGAATAAGAAATAAACTGAGTAATTCAGCTGAACAACCCCATTTTTCATCAACAATAAAATTCAGCTCCTTCACTCCTCTAAATCTCCCCCCAAAACACGCACATATTCACAGAAAATCATTCAATCAATCATTTATAATGTTAATTCTTTTGTTACCATCCCTGTCCCTCCATCCTATAGTACAGTCCTCATCTACTGAAGCCTGGACTGTTGCTAATGCTTTTAACTTAAATCTCTAAACAAATCCTCAATTTCTGCAAATTTATGCTTCATATTGCTGCCGAAGGATCTTTATAAAAGCAGAACAGAGCATAATTCTCTATCACTCATGCTTAAAACTCCCAATGCACTTTCCACGATTTAAATAATAAATTCTAATATTTTTATTTTAATATCATACAATTTATCAATTTTTTTTTTGAGATGGAGATTCGCTCTGTCACCAGGCTGGAGCACAGTGTCACAATCTCAGCTCACTGCAACCTCTGCCTCCCGGGTTCAAGTGATTCTGTTGCCTCAGCCTCCTGAGTAGCTGGGACTACAAGCACACGCCACCACGCCCAGCTAATTTTTGTATTTTTAGTAGAGACAGAGTTTCATCATGTTGGCCAGGATGGTCTCGATCTCTTAACCTCATGATCTGCCTGCCTCGGCCCCCCAAAGTGCTGGGATTACAGATGTGAGCCACTGCGCCCAACCAATTTATCAATATTTTTAAACTTAAGGTATTCTAAATGCACCATATAGTTTTGTATCAGTGCTTTTGCACATGTTTTTTCAACTACGTAAAATTTCCACTTCTAACTTGTCCTGCTGGAAAACTCTAAAACTCTAATTTATCCTTTTTTAAAATTGTTAGTTTTTTGAGTTGGAGGTTTGCTCTGTCGCCCAGGCTGTAGTGCAGTGTCGGGATCTCAGCTCTCACTGCAACCTCTGCCTCCCGGGTTCAAACAATTCTCCTGCCTCAGCACCCACCACCATGCCTGGCTAATTTTCTATTTTTAGTAGAGATAGAGTTTCACCATGTTGGCCAGGCTGGTCTTGAACTCCTGACCTTAATTGATCCACCCGCCTTGACCTCCCAAAGTGCTGGGATTACAGGCGTGAGCCACCACACCCAGCCTAATTTATCCTTAAAACCCTAGTTTTGATGTCACCTCCCTCAGGAAGTCTCCCCAAATATTTTTCAAACATTATTAAAAAGTGAATCAAACCCTTATTTATTACCTCTGTTTTTTGCATGTATAATCTTTGCTTGTTTATTTAGTCAACAAATATTTTGCTGCTTACTCTTTTCAAGGCACTTTTCTAGCCTTTTTTCACTTTACCAGTGAATAAAATGAACAAAAATATCTAATTCTTGACAGCAAACTAATAAGGAAAAATAAGTAAAATATATAAAATGTTAGATAGTGATAACTTCTTAGAAGGAAAAAGAGGGATGTAAGGAAGTGTCAGGACAGAGGGTTACAATTCTATGAAGGTGGTCAGGGAAAGCTTCACTGAGATGTATTTGAGAAAAATCCATGAAGGAGGTGAAGGCATGAGCCCTGGAAATATATGAGGAAGAGCAATTCAGGCAGAGAGAAGTACAATGTCAAAGGCATCCTGGTAAGAATGTGCTGGGCAAAATCAAGAAAGAGTAATTGATTCAAGGTTGAAAGATGCCATCAGTGGAGACGAGGTCACAGAGGATCTGGGCATGAGCTTTGAATGAGATAGGAAGCCATTGAAGGGACAGAAGTAAATAAGGGATATGGTTGGAGTTGATTTATGAGGATCATACTCACAAATCTGCCCTTATCCGTGCGCCCAAGTCAAATGCTGAGAAGAGATTAGATGGACAAGGTGTCTTTACTTAAATGCCATGCTTCTGAACAACTGTGAAACACAGCATCTGCTGCTTTTGGCCTAAGGTAGTTTCAAGTAGGACCTGCCAGATATATATAGCAAGGCTGCCCCTCACTTCTAATATTTAAATTTTAGGTCACAAATAATTCAAAATGGAATAATATATGATCTACTTTCTCTAGGTCTGCTGATTTGTGAATGTGGCACTGATGTCTGAAAATGGAATGAATGCAAGGACAAACATAAAAGGACCTTGGGGTTAGAAAAGCACTATGAAAGAGGACTGGGAAAATTTGGAAGGTATTTTTCTGATGAAGCTTTAGGAACTTACACCAATTAAATTAGAGTGGGAGAAAGAAGGGATAATAGACATGGAGTCAGTATTTAAGATGCCTGATTGTAAGAGGACCAAAGAAGGGAGTTTCATAACATATTTTATGGTTTTAATGTAGGCAATTATCTGTCTGCAATCATTTAAATGGTCCCATTTAGAAAGAGATAGATGGCCACTAACGTTTTCACTTAGGCTTATTGTATATTCTTCCAAGGACCTTATGTGTAAGCCTGAAAATTAGGGAAACTAAAACCAGAACTTCATTAATCAAAGGATTGCATCTGGACTGAAAACTAAAATGTCAGAAACCTCGAAGTTCTTTAAGACATTTGTCTTGCTAAAATAGTCCCATCTGTCACCTTAGAACCAAAGGAAGTACAGGAAATTATGGTGTAATTTTTCTCACCTTTATGTAATTTTATAGTTCTGATTTATTTAAACATTTCCAGTAATATACCCTTAAATCTGTCAGCTACATTATTATCATGCCACTGTACCTACACTGAAAAGGTATGGGGTTCATAATAGAATGGGCTCTGGGACCAGACTCACTGGGTCCAATCCTGGCTTCACCATATGATGCTGGTCAAGCTGTTTTACTTATCTGTGACTCAGTTTTCTCCTCTGTAAAAAGAAGTATCCTGAGTAGGTAGTATCTTTATAGCAGTGTGAAAACACACTAATACAATTAGGACCAATTTATAAACAAAAGAGGTTTAATTGAGTCACAGTTCTGCATGGCTGGGGTGGCCTCAGGAAACCTACAATCATGGTGGAAGGCAAAGAGGAAGCAAGGACCTTCTTCACATCATGGAAGGATGGTTAGTGGGGAAGCACCAGACATTTATCAAACAACCAGATCTTATGAGAACTCACTCACTATCATGAAAACAGCATGGGAGAAACTGTCCCCATGATCTGGTCACCTCCCACTAGGTTCCTCCCTTGACATGTAAGGATTATGGTGATTGCAATTTGAGATGAGATGTGGGTGGCAGCACAGAGCCAAACAATACTATTCTACCCCTGGCCCTTCCCAAATCCCATGTCCTTTTCACATTTCAAAGCCAATCATGCCTTCCCAACAGTCCCCTAAAGTCTTAACTCATTCCAGCATGAACTCAAAAATTCAAGTCCAAAGTCTCACCTATGACAAGGCCCCTTCCACCTATGCGCCTATAAAATCAAAAACAAGTTAGTTACTTCCAAGATACAATGGGAGTACAGGCATTGGGTAAATGTTCCCATTCCAAATGAGAGAAATTGGCCAAAACAAAGGTGGCACAGGCTCCAAGCAAGTCTGAAACCTGGTGGAGCAGTCATTAAATCTTAAAGCTCCAAAATAATCTCCTTTGACTCCATGTCAGCAGGACACACTAATGCAAGGGGTGGGCTCCCAAGCCCTTGGGATGTTCCACCCCTGTGGCTCTGCAGGGTATAGCCCTCTCAACCCACCCCCTGGCTGCTTTCATGGGCTGGCATTGAGTGCTTCCGGCTTTTCCAGGTGCATGGTGCAAGCTGTCAGTGGAGCTACCATTTTGGGGTCTGGAGGATGGTGGCCCTCTTCTCACAGCTCCACTAGGCAGTACCCCAGTGGGAACTCTGTATGGGGGCTCCAACCCCACATTTTCCCTCTATATTGTCCTAGTAGAGGTTCTCCATGAGGTCTCTGCCCCACCCCTGCGGTAGACTTCTTCCTGGGCATCCAGGTATTTCCATATATCCTCTGAAATCTAGGCAAGTTCCCAAACCACAATTCATGTTTTCTGTGCACCCATAGGCCCAAAACCACATGGACACAACCAAGGCTTGTGGCCTGCATGCTCTGAAGCTACAGCTGAGCTGTACCTTGGCCCCTTTTAGCCACTGTTTGAGCTGGAACCGCGGGGATGCGGGACACCAAGTTCCAAAGCTGCACAGAGTAGCAGGGTCATGGGCCCATCCCATGAAGCCATTTTTCCCTCCTAGACCTCTAGACTTGTAATGGGAGAGGCTGATGTGAAGGTCTGTGACATGCCCTGGAGACATTTTCCCCATTGTCTTGGCTATTAACATGCAGCTCCTCATTACTTAGGAATATTTCTGCAGCAGGCTTAAATTCCTCCCCAGAAAATGGGGTTTTATTTTCTACCACATGGTCAGGCTGCAAATTTTATAAATCTTTATGCTCTGCTTCCTTCTCAAACATAAGTTCTAATTTCAACCCATTTTCTTGTGAATGCATGTAACTGAATGCTTTCAGAATAAGCCAGGTCACATCTTGAATGCTTTGTTGCTTAGAAATTTCTTCTGCCAGATACCCTAAATCATCTCTCTCAAGTTCAAAGTTCCACAGATCTCTAGGGCAGGGGAAAAATGCTGAAAATTTCTTTGCTAAAGCATAGCAAGAGTGACTTTTGCTCTAGTTCCCAATAAGTTCCTCATCTCCATCTGAGACCATCTCCACCTGGACTTTGTTGTCCATCTCACTATCAGCATTTTGGTCAAAACCATTCAACAAGTCTCTAGGAAGTTTCAAACTTTCTCACATCTTCTTGTGTTCTGAGTCCTCCAAACTGTTTCAATCTCTGCCTGTTACCCAGTTCCAAAGTTGCTTCCACATTTTACCTCACTCCTTGTACCAATTCTTTGTATTAGTCCATTTTCACACTGCTATAAGGCTACTACCTGAGACTGGGTAAGTTATAAACAGAAGAGGTTTAATTGACTCACAGTGCTGCATGGCTGGGGAGGCCTCAGGAAATTTACAATCATGGCAGAAGGCAAAGGGGAAGCAAGGACCTTCTTTACATGGCAGCAGTGGGGCAAGGAGTGCCAGACACTTATCAAATAACCAGATCTCATGAGAACTCCCTCACTATCACGAGAACAGCATGGGAGAAACCACCTCCATGATGCAATCACCTCCTACTAGGTCCCTCCCTCGATAAATGGACATTACAATTTGAGATAAGGTTTGGGTGGGACACAGAGCCAAACCATATCACAATCCAATCCACCTATCTTGACAGTAATTTATACAGCTTTTCTTGTATCTTTGTAACTCTTCTCATTCACCATGCCTAAGGGCTTATCACAATAGGGCTTTTTATAATGAAAGCAGCTACACTGGTATGGGTTGCTTCTGTAGGAACGAAAGAAGAAAAGGAAGGGAGGGAGAAAGGAAGGGAGGAAGCAAAGGAGGAAGGCTTACTAAGCAGAAAGCTTTTGTCTAAAGATCTAGTATTTCCCCCAGAACAGAGCATCCTTCCCAATTCTTAAGACCCAGCATCCAACAAAAGATTCCTAGGGAAACATCTAATAGAGGTTCTTTCATTCTTAGTACAACTTGATGAGGCTCTAAAATGTAGGCTGATTTTATCATATATGTATATATTATATATACTATATTAGTGATATAGCATACTGTAACATATTATAATATATATTAGTATATATTGTTACATGGTTATATTACATATAATATGTAATTTTATATATATATATATACACACACACACACACACACACACACCACACACATTTCCTTTTTTTTTTTTTTTTGAGATGGAGTCTTGCTTTGTCACCCAGGCTAGGGAGCAGTGGCACAATCTTGGCTCACTGCAATCTCCACCTCCCGGGTCCTAATGATTCTCCTGCCTTAGCCTCCCAAGTAGCTGGGATTACAGGCGTGCCCCATCATGCTCGACTAATATTTTTGTATCTTTACTAGAGTCAGGGTTTCACCATGTTGGCCAGGCTGGTCTTGAACTCCTTACCTCAAGTGATCCACTCGCCTCAGCCTCCCAAAGTGCTGGGATTACAGGCATGAGCTGCTGCACCCGGCCATATGTACATCTCTTAAACTGCTTTAACATTGATTCCTCTAAAGTAGCAGGCTACTTATTTTCAAGTTGTTTCACTTGCCTTTTTCTAAAAGCTGCCTCCCCGCTCCTTGTACCATGCAGCTGTATCACTAGGTTAGTGGCAGCCAGGTCACTAATGATATATGACCCTTGCCAGATAAGTGGCCCCACAGATGGGTATTTGATCCCAAGATGTAACACACAGCCTCCCTCCCCAGAGAATTTAGAATGAGGACTGAGAAAGTAATCTTTTCTCAGCAGCAGATTGACCCTACCTGTCTCATGTAAACACGGCTGCCTACTGAGGGCCGTGTGTTACACCTTGTGGACTGAAGAAGAAGAGAAACTGGCCTACAGAGAGAGGGAAGTATATTGCATGGGAGCAGGAATGTGAGAACATCCTATTGATACTGATGTCCCTCATACCAGTTATTTTCCTGATTCCTGAATGTGGCCTTCCCCCATATTATAAATTCACCATTTTCACCTCAGTTAGCTCAAATAGGTTTGTATAACTTGGATCCAAAAGAGACTCCCTTAATATAACTGGTTTCATCAAACTACAATGTATATCAAGAACCTATTATTATCCAGATACCTTGTAAATTCACCATTTTCACCTGTTAGCTCAAAAACTTTTATAACTTGGAACCAAAAGAGTCTCTGTTAATATATCTGGTTTCATCAAAGTACAATATGTATCAAGAACCTGCTATTATCCAGATACCTATTTCATGTATTGGATTTAAAAAAATAATGCAAAGTCTGCATTGTTTTATTGCATTGCATTTTAGATGACACATTTCTCTAGAAATAGCAGATATGAAACAGACTGTGATAGAACATGGTGAACTTCCCACTCTCAGTGAGAGTCTCTGACCTTTCTGTGGATTCTGTTCAAGGTATAGCTATTAATAAATAGTACTTAACCCTTGGCTCTCAGCATAATCTAGCCTTTGATCTTCTCTTGCTGAGAGTGTACATCCATAGACTGACTCCTACAGATCATTAGCTGTACCTTCCAAAGCTATTACAAAGAGCCATCAGCCACCTCACCTGGCTGGCAAGGTCCCCATTGAGCCCTGCCCCTCCATAGCAGCCTGATCTAGGAATCTTACCAACTTTCCAATCAAAAGAATCTGTCACCAAAGCTCTCATCTACAGCAAAGTACTCTGGTCAAGCCCTGGCAGTGTCATCTGAGCAGTAGGTACAGACTCATCTGTTGCTAAGTTGTTGAAGGCAAATTTGTCCAAATGCCTGCTCTCTGGAGTATAACTGCTAGTGATCGAGAATTTCCTCCTGGAATGTTACAGGCCAAGACTTCAAGCACAAAGAGACAGCACAAAGAGACAGCCCTGTTCATTTGTTGTTGTTGACTCTAATATTTGTAGAATTTAAAATTTATAAGCATCATTTAATTTATCTATATTTAGAATAAGAGTGTACATCAGAAGCTACATATTTTTAACAGCAGGAACTGTGGAAGATTGAGACAAGTTATGCTATTGAAACAGGGCTTGTAGAACACAATTTAATAAAATAGCCATTCTATCTTATTGTATTGCTAAGAGAAATATTCACAAGTCACATCCTTTGAAAGACACTAAGACCACAAATAATAGACAGTTGAAAATGAAAGTTCTTTCTTGTAAGATTTAAACAGTTGGTTTATAGCTATTAGAAAAGAATTTTGTTCCTTAGAGGGTTCTCAATAATATTTTACTTTTAACTATAATGAATAATTGTCATATGAGCATTAATCTTGAAATTATGAAGTGTAGGCACTCTGAGAAAATGAATGTATTCACTATATGTTTGTGGTGGGAAAATGGAGGTTTTGAATACTTAACTACTCTTTATAATCTTGCTATAATTATCTCAACCTGTATAAAATCTGATCATCTGTCCTTGACTTTTAAAACCACCTATTTCAATCTTTGCATCACTTTTGGTAACAGTATCAATAAATAGTAATTATGATAAGTATTTTTAAGCACATAGAATATTCATTTCTTTATCAAGGTGTTTATTCGTAGAAACCTTGAAATTTTAGAAAACATCAATTTCATGCCTAATGTTTTGCCTGGTATAATTGTTGAGCCCAGAGACTGTTTGTACTTGAACAGTTCAGGAAGAAAAGAAGTAGAAATGATTTTTGTTGCTGCCACACTTCCTACTTTTTTGTATGAGCTTAAACCTATGTCTTGAACATTTATATCACCATTCTTGCCCCTGAACACAAATGAATTTTTTATCTTTATTTTATGCTACATTTCTATACAATTAAATTTATATTTTCAATTGTTTGTTTGCTTGCTCCCATTGGGAGTCGTTAAAGTGTAAACAGGGCATAGGGACTGCAATTAACCTTGAGAACAAAAGAACAATTTATCACTTTACCAAACAACAAAATTCACTCTTATTGTTAATAATTCATAATAAAGGCAGCAACTATCAATTAAGTTGAGAACAGAAGTGGCAAAACAGGCACAGTCATCAAATTTGCAATAGCTAACTGCTCTATTCTGAATTATCAGCAGTAGCTGAGAACTACCCAAAGGTTTGCTGATGGCCACAGTACAGAACGATTAGTGAATTCACGGCTGCATGTCTGGTTTGCTCTATTTCCCAAACTGAGTAAATAAATGAGAGCTTGCTAATCAGGACTATTAGGGGTTGCTAGGAAATAAAAAATTTGCTACTATGGGCTGTCTCCAACCTAGCAAGGAGTTTGACACAAAACTTCTATTACACACGGTTAACTAGCACTTAAAACAAATATATCTATAAGAATTTATCAGTACTGGTCTGATTCGTAGGCTACCCCAAAACCCTGCCTAGCCAATGAAGTAGCTGGAATAGAAGGAAAGGTAACTGTTGCCAACTGATTGAACAACTTTTTGGTTCTTTTTATTTGTAACAGTGTACCCCCAAAATCTGAGGTGTTTGAGGGTTACCTCCCTCTGCCAAACACCTAGACATTTACTGAACAGACTTTTACTACGAAGTGTTAATGGAAGTCAGGGACCCCAAATGGAGGGACTGGCTGAAGCCATGGCAGAAGAACATAAATTGTGAAGATTTCATGGACATTTATTAGTTCCCCAAATTAATACTTTTATAATTTTTTACATCTATCTTTACTGCAATCTCTGAACATAAATTGTGAAGATTTCATGGACATTTATCACTTCCCTAATCAATACTCTTGTGATTTCCTATGCCTGTCTTTACTTTAATCTCTTAATCCTGTCATCTTCATAAGCTGAGGATGTATGTCACCATAGGACCCTGTGATGATTGTGTTAACTGCACAAATTGTTCATAACTCATGTGTGTTTAAACAATATGAAATCTGGGCACCTTGAAAAAAGAACAGGATAACAGCTATGTTCAGGGAACAAGGGAGATAACCATTAGGTCTGGCTGCCTGAGAGCCAGGCAGAACAGAACCATATTTCTCTTCTTTCAAAAGCAAATAGGAGAAATATCGCTGAATTCTTTTTCTCAGCAAAGAACAGCCTGGAGAAAGAGAGTGTGTTCCTAGCAGGAGGTCTCTGAAATGGCTGCTCTGGGAATGTCTGTCTTATACGGATGTAGATAAGGGATGAAATAAGCCCCAGTCTCCCGTAGTGCTCCCAGGCTTATTAGGATGAGGACATTCCCACCTAATAAATTTTGGTCAGACCAGTTGTCTGCTCTCAAACCCTGTCTCCTGATAAGATGTTATCAATGACGATGCGTGCCCAGTGGAACATGCAACTTCATTAGCATTTTTAATTTCACCCCAGTCCTGTGATCTCGCCCTGCCTCCATTTGCCTTGTGATATTTTATTACCTTATGAAGCATGTGATCTCTGTGACCCACACCCTATTCGTACACTCCCTCCCCTTTGAAAATCACCCCCAATAACGAAGAAGGCAGAACTGTTCTTACATTGTATTCTGTAAAAGAAGCCCCCATTCTCGTCATTTTTAGGTGCTCTGACTATTCTATAATTCTGGCATGAAAGAATTACTCAAGGCAGACACAAGAACATTCCAGAGATAGGATTCTGTTACTCCTCTGGTTTCCATTAAGAAAACAGAAACACTCCTAAAGTAATGGCTGGACAGAGTACCACTTAGGAACTGAGTACAGGAACTTTCTTGAGGTCCTGACTACAGACATTACTAGATACTTAAACCCTATTTAGAGCATCTTTAACATATTTTAGCTGATGTGTATATTGTGAATACATTTTATTTCACTGATGAAAGGCCACTTATGACACTCTTCATGCTAATTAAGACAACAGTTTCACTAATATAAATTCATGGCTTGCATTCAATATGTCTTTTAGCCAAGGTTCCTGTGTTAAGATCTGGATTGCTGAAAGGTTTGTTGCTGCTGCCTCTGGCTTACTTAATTAAAGGTCAGGTGACCTCTCTGGGACTAAGCATAACTGATTAGAATGCTTGAAGTACATGGGTTATAGCTTAACCTAAATAACACACACACAGTAGCATACGTATTCTCCATAGATAAAGAATGCTAACATGAATCCACAAGCATTCACTTCCCTATGTTAAGCAATTTCTATATCTCAGATGGAATCATTACAAAGTCTCTCATGTCTGGTGTGCTGTAAAATTCTTTTTTAAAGAGGAGGGGAAATGGAAAAGGGAAAATATTCTAGGCCTTCAGATAGAGCGGCATTACAACAAAGAGCTTGCAATATAGATGGAGGTACGGTGGAAGCTACCCACTGTTCATTTTCTGTATTTTCCCTACTACCTCTCAGGTAATGAATAGAGAAAAGTAATGACCAGATTCAGAAGGGTGTCGACAGAGCACAGGAATTTCATGCAACTGGCTTTATAGAAGCTGATTGAAAAGTATTTTCAAAGTCAAAAAACTGGAAAATGTTTAACCATTTGAGAATCTGGGTGGGTGGCATGTGATCATTTTAGAAAATATTCTTCCATAAATTATTCACAGGAAGATTGGTGTCTAAAGTCTACCAGGTCTTTTCCATACTCTGTTTCTGGTTCTCGAAAATCCTCAACATCTGGTCCTCCTTCATCAATCCTATATTACTTAGGAAATAAGGCAGCAAACTGCCATGGTGTAATTTTGGGCTTTGAAAGCAGACAGAGCTGAGTATTGAAGAGGGCTCTACTGCTTGCTAGCTGTGTGACACAGGTTTCTGTGCTGTGAGGATTAGAGCTCATATATGTAAACAATCTGGCAAAGCTCTAGACACATGGTAGTCACACTATACATTGTAGGTGGTGTAATCACATCTCACCTGGAGCTCTTAACCCCATATAGGGTGATACTGTCACTGTGCTCCTGAACACAGCTTGCCCATTCCTGACTCTGAGCCTTTACACATGCTGCTCCTTGGAATACTATTCCTTTTCAGCCCCAGCTCACATTCAAGTCAATAAACAGGTCCTTGTGTCCTTTTGATATTGCTGTAAGATACTTCATAACTAAACTTTTAGAAGCCTAAGGCTTCCCTGGTTATTGGTCCTAACATCCTGGTTACTGAACAGTCAGAAACCTTCACCACTGGACAAAAAGAAAAGAGTAACAGAATATTTACTATCTGCAGGTGCCCAGTAGGTATTTTATAGGTTTATAAAACCACTATATAAAATCTCTATATAAAATCTCTCTTCTGCCAAGTGGAAATGGGGATGAAGATACTGAGTAGGGCTCTTACAGAAATATAACATAAAAGAATAAAAAACTGAGTTAGGATAAATTATTCAGAACAAGGCTGAAAGCTGGTGGAGAATCAAGTAGTGTCAGAAATGAACCAAGGCATGGATATTAAACAGTTAGTGAACCTTGGGAACCTAAGGGAGGGAATTGCCAGGGAAGAGTGGAGCCAAGAGGGACTGCTTGGCAACCCCAATGCATGTGAAGTGCTGAGTGTATGGAGACCATCATTTACAAAAATAAATACATGTATCATTAAATAAAATAAATGCAGGAAAATATTACAAAAGAATACCAAGATCTTCAATTCAATATTATTCCCTTTTAAGAAATGTTTCATTTCTGATTCCTTCCACAAGACCATGAACTCCTCAAAGGTAGAGGCAACCTTATTCATCTCTCAGTCTCCAGGTTCCCAAGAAAGGTTTAGTAAAGGTAACAAAGCATCCGGTATCTTATACATGTCTCATTTGTTGAAGAAAATTAGCACCAGCAGAATGCCTCCCTCTTCAACTTTGCATTTAAGTAGACAGTATCTTTCCTCCATAAGAATGATCCTCATTTCCCTCAAAAATCTCAATCGTGTAATGAGGCACAGGTGTTCTTCTCATTTCTTAGATGGATAAATTTGAAAATAAAGTGGTGAACAGAAGGCTCAGGAAAATCCGGCAGCTGCTGAGGCAGGCATAGATTTTGGTTATTCTGCATCCCTGGCAAGTAGACCCTGCAGGCTGGTTTCCCTCCTGAATCTACTCCAACAAAGGGGCCTTGTGTTCAGTTGAAAACTGTGTCTCTTCTCCAGGGGACCCACATTCAGTAGTCAAGTTTTGGTTTCATTGCCTAGGAACATTTATTCATGGTAGAGTTAGTAGGTATACATGTAAATTCCTGGCAAGGAAGACTGTACCACAATGTCAGTCATTTTTAGGTAATTTATATTCAACTGAATAAGCCTCAAAGGAAAACGTGTTGTAAAGACATCCTGCTTAAAAAGTACCCAGCATAAAGTAGAAGACTGGAAATTGCCTAGATATCTTCTATTTTCCCTTCCAGAGCCTTCTCCATCCTTCTTCATCCTGCTCTGTGTCACCAAAGATTGACCCTTAGAATTGCTTTGGATGGGCATCCTCCTTCTCTAACTTAGCCAATGTGACTGCCAGTAGAAAATCAGAGAGTAGGAGGAGAGGGAGATTCTTTTCCTGGCTCCCTTCCTGCCAGGCTGCAGTCTGGCCAGTAGCTCTGTTCCTCTCATTTGGATTCAGCTCCTGCCAGGAATCCATTTCTTGCAGCCACAGATAGTACCAGTTTCCAGTAACCACTCTGACCCCTTGGTCTGGTAACCCTGCCTTGCCTCACAGTTTCTCGGTGGTTCCCTTAACCTCTCCACACCTTTGAAAAGAGTCTTTTATTAACACTCTTAATTTACCCTTTTGGGTGATGCCTCATGAGTATTCTGCAGGGATCCTGACAGATATGATTAATGCTTGCTCCTTTCCAGTCAAAACGTCGGAGCCAGAGGTATCCTGTACGGTTCTACATGGCCCTGAAGTGTTTGGAAGTCAGCCAACAAAGGTTCTCTTCACAACGTGTTTGCAACTCAGAGGATATTGTGAAGGGAAGAGATGGTCCTTGCCAGGTTCCCACCAGCATGGTTCTAAGGCACTACTCAGGTCATATCATTAAGTTTCCCCAGACATCTCACAAGTAAGTATTATTTCCATTTTATGGACAGTGAGGAACAGATGGCTACAGTCAGACAGCACTTGATAGGCAGGTGACCCAAGAGCTTGTGCTCTTCTCATGACCTCGTGGTTCTCACTCCTCTGCGGCCATTTTCTCCACCACAAATGGAGACTGTTGGACTACATCAGTGATAATTCGGTTCCTGAATCTCCGGGGGGAACTTTAAAAAAAGGATACCTCATTTCAAACTGTCACTCAAAAGTTATAAGTTCCAGGTGTGATTCTGATGAGAACCATTAGATTAAATGTCCCACAAAGTTTCTTTTAATTCTAAAATGTGTTTATAATTCTAATATTTTTACCTGAATGCTTCAGTTTGTGCTTATTATAATTTCATATTGGTAGATTTTTAAATTGAACAGTTTCCTTCTTTCTTTCAGGTTCTAGTAAGAAAATATTTTTGTAGAAAGTGTACAGCACAGACACTGGCATAAAATCATTTTTTTTCATGCATCCGTCAAACACTGATGAAGTCCTGGCTATGTATAAAGAACCTGCCTGTATGATGAGTAGAACACAATACTTGCCCGCAAGGAACTCACAGTTCAATGGGGAAACAGACCCCAAACCAGATAGTTATAATGTAATATGGCAATTGCAATGCCACAGTGTAGATAGTGTGTGTGTTAATTTCAGAACTTCCTACAGAATAGTAATGCCATGACCTACAGCCTAAAATATTAGTGGAAATATCTCAAAGACTTCGTAGATACATTTTTTAGAGAAGGAGTGGGTCAGTTTTATCCACATACGGATATAAACAATTCAGCCCATCTGAGCTGTGAATTCAGGTTGCTTGGCAACAGCTTTTACAGTTGTGTTATTTGTTCTGAAATGAGAGGAGCTGATACCTTTCTCTTTAAAACGAAAGAATATTAATAACAGCCACAATGGTGAGTATTTATAAGTCTTTTGTAGAAGAATGGCATGATATTTTAGTTCTTGCATTCTCTGGAGTCAAACTTAGAAGGTTTTTGGAAAGGTATGAAGGTTAAGGAAGAATCTCATAGTCAAATGTTATCATTAGCAGAGTTTCCTATACTCACGTGAACTGAACTATTAATGCAATGTGCACTTATTGGGCATATTTTTTAGGCTTAACCTTCTATTTACAAGGAGTTTTGTGAAAAGTGGGAGAGGCAAGGGTGCATATTAGGGAAAGAGCATAAAATGTGTTAAATGCATATTTCCTGTGCTTAAGATATTTCATTAAAATCATAAATCTGTCCACTTCACTTCAACTTAAAGAAACAAACAGAGCATCTCCCAAGCACAGCTGTACCACTGTGGAAAAGGGATTTGGCAGTCATAGGGAAAAAGAAAAAGTTACACCTCCCAACAGGAATAATTAAGGATATACAATTCACAGAAATTCACCTCTAACTTACAGAGAAAGTCTTCCACAAAATGTCAGCAACTGTAGTGGGAAGAACACTGTCTACTGAAGGGTACGTACCCTTTTTCTTCATTTCTAAAAAAATTTTTTAGATAATGAAACAAAATACCAGTCATATCACATGTCCACCTCTTTCTATAAAACCCAGCTCCAGAAAGGGAGGCAGCTCCTCTACTACCTACTGGTGTAAAATGTGACAGCTAATTTATTTCACAGCATTGGAACCTTTTGGAGAGAGGTGAGTGAATTAAATATAAAATGAATAACCAATGTGAATGCAAACAACTGTCCACTTAAAAATAATGCTGTCAGCTTATAGTTATCATAAAAATCATCCATTTTCAAGGTCCTATCCATTTTTCATTTATTTATCAGTTCTGAATGTTAGCATATTAGTAAAACCAAATGATAGAAAACAATCTTGGAAATGTGAACAATATTTCCTACGTTGTGTTTTTCGTTTTGCTTGTTGCTGAGCAGACAGATTGGATCTAACTTGTCACGCACACTCCAGCAAAAACAACATAAAATACATACAAAAAATGATGGTGTCAGTGAAGCCACAGGCTCATAGTGCCCATTAGTTAGCAGCTGTGATTTGTAACCAGGGGTCATTGCAACAACCAATACCTGGAGGTGAAATGTGTCAGATTAGAAACAATTTGTCCAAATACTTTTCAAACATTTATGTTCAGCACCCAGCATAGCTGGCTACATAAATCTTGAGTACGTAGTCTGTACTTACGCCCTTGTAAAACAATGAAATTGGATCAACCCTGAATACCCAATCATAAGTCACCCTATCAGATGGCATGACTTCAGATGTCTAAGAGGATACAAAGATTGACACTGCTTGGTCTTACTGTGCTTGTTCACCAATGACACTGATCAAACTCTCATTTCTCCAGTCACAAAGAAATGTCTGTATCATTGATTTCTAATATATCTGGAAGTGGGGTAAGGGACAGTCCTCCTTTTATCTGGATATCAGCTTCTCTGAAGGAGAAAGTATGAGATAAAAAAGAATATTTAACAAATATTCTTATTTGTTAAACAATTATTTTATAAATAAACAATTATTCATAAAAATATTTTACAAATAACTATTTGTAAAAATATTTTACAAATAACTATTTGTAAAAATATTTTACAAATAATTTATATTTGAAAAACAAACAAAAGCACATTGTTTCTTAATACAGCAAAGCATAATAAACTATGACTTAAGGAATCCTTTGAAAGCTAGGCTTTACTTTCTGCATATCCATGATTTTCAGCAAAATGCATGAGAGATTCCTTGGGAATAGGAGAGTTATACTTATCAAAAATAAGCATCAAGGAATTCCCATTTCCTCCTGCTATACAGAAAGCTGAAAGTAGTGTAACTTTCCCCTTTAAGTTTAAAAAAATATATAGGAAAATCTGCAAAAATCACAATGGTTCTTGAATCTACTAGATAGCTGAGTCACAAAGCAACCAACTAACCTCAAATCTAAGGAAAAACAAGTGTTTCTAAAGAGCACACTAGCCTCTGATGAGCCAAGGCAGATGCTAGACACCCAGTGCGGTTCAAGCCAGTGAGACAAATTTTACTAAAATTGAGCAGCTTGCTAAAGGTGAAGTGTGAACTCTTGTGACATCATACAGCCCTTGGGAACCAAAAACACTTGGGGAGTTTGACCCACTTCCAGACTCTTCACAAACCTCACTGGATGCCACCACACTTGACTGGGGGCAGGGTGAAAATCTTGAGAATGTCTCTATTGGGCCTGTAGGAACAGAACAGCAGCCCTGCAAGAAAGGCATGAAGGCCTACCTGGATCCTTCTCTCCTATCTCTCCATGACAAATACCTTAAGACTCTGGAAAATGAAGAAAATATCATCATCCTTAAGGTGCAGATAATGACCCAGTGATGTTGAGGGAAGGGAACAACAACAACAACAAAAATTCCCTCACCCTTGTGGAGGAAAAGAAATATATACTGGGCCCAGCCTATTGAAGGGAGAAGAAGAACCCTTGAGAAGGCTCTATCCCTGAGATGCAGACAAAGTGATTGCCTAAGAATGAAGCTAGACCAGAATACCAGAGAATGTTCCCCTAGTGCCTACCACCAGTCACAGAGAAACAAGTAACAGCAGTGTACTCCTAGGGGAATGTCAAAAATGTAGAACGAACACTTCTCCAAGGACAGGTATTAAAAGAAAACCTAAAGGTGATGGTGGAAAAACCATTGAGAACAACTCTCTAGCAAACGAACCTCCATTCTAAAACAGAAAATACTCAAATTTTGTGGTCCAATATTATAGTCACAAACCACATGTGGCTATTCAGTACTTGAAATGTGAGTAGAGCTGCATGTCATAATGACAGTATTTTGGATATGTTGCATTTTTATTTTACTTTTGAAAACAACACTACTAAAAACTTAAAATCATGTATCTACCATGTATTATATTTCTATTACAGAGGACTGCTTTGGAAGAATTAGAAGCCTATATTCTGTCCAACTCCAAACAGGAATGACATAACTCATATTAATAAAGGCCTGCCTAAAAACAAGGCAAACCCATTTCCAAGCAAAAATGCTACTTCTCTGCATTTCTTACCAAAAATGGCATATCTTTCAACAAAAAGTATAAGGCACACAAGGAAGCAAGAAAAAATAACAACCAGACACAGACATGACCCAGATGTTGTCACTATCCAACAGGAAGATTAATTTAATGATGATACATATGTAAAGGGCTCTAGTGAAAAAGGTGGACAACAGACATGATCAGATAGATCATTTCATCAAAGAGATGAAACTATAAGGAAGAAATCAAGTGAAAATGCTAACACCACCACCGAAACACACACACACACACACACACACACACACACACACACACACACGGTAACAGAGATGAAAATGTCTTTGATGGCTCATCATTAGACTGAAAACTGAAGTGAAATTGAAGGTAAAATTGTAAAATTGGAGATAAAGGATAAAAGTCAATCAAACTGAACACAAGGAAGAAAAAAACAGAATATTCAAAATCTGTGAAAAAAACACCAAACAACCTAACATGCATAATTGAAATCTTGGAGGGAGAAAATAAAGTAACAAATGAAATTTGAGGGTATTATGGCAGAGAATTTTTTATCCATGAAGTCACAAATACAATAAGCTCAGAGACTAACAACAGGAATGAGCACATAATACACACACAAATCCTTGGACATATCATATTTGAACTTCTGAAAAATCAAACACAACCAGAAAATAAAATATATTACATCTAGAGGAACAAAGATAGGAATAACAAAAACATTTTTATCATAAATTTTACAATCCAGAATACAATAGAGTGACATCTTTAAACTGTCGAAAGACAAAAAAATGGTCAAGTGAGAATTTTATGCCCTGTGAAAATATTTTTCAAAAATACAATGGAAAATTAAAGAATGAGAGAAAGAGAGGGAGAGAGAGAGAATTCATTGCCAGCAGACCTGCACTACAATGTTAGAGGAAGTTCTTTAGGCAGAGGAATATGATGACAAAAAGAAATTTGGATAAATGGCCAGGGGCAGTGGCTCACTCCTGTAATCCTAGTACTTTTGGAGACTGAGGTAGGAAGATTGCCTGAGCTCAAGACTAGCCTGACCAATATGGCAAAACCATGTCTCTCCTTAAAATGCAAAAAATTAGTCCGGCGTGGTGGCCCATGCTTGTAGTCTCAGCTGCTTGGGAGGCTGAGGCATGAGAATTGCTTGAGCCTGGGAGGCAGAAGTTGTGGTGAGTTGAGATGGTACCACTGCACTCCAGCCTGGGTGACAGAGTGAGACCCTGTCTCAAAAAACACCTAGTAATCAAGATAAACATAAAATTCATTTTTTTCTTATTTTAGTTTTTCTAAAAGATAATTGTCACAAGCAAACATAGTTGCAATGAATTTATAAAATATGTCAGAAGAAATTTATGAGAAATATGACACAAAATATGAGAGGAAAGAAGTGGAAGTTTCCTGTTATTATGTCCTTACACTGAATATGAAGTAGTATAAAATTATTGGAAGGCATATTTTCATTAAAGATGAGCATTATAAACCCAATGGCAACCACTAAAAAAAAATTCAGACAGATATAAATAATAAGGCAATCATAAAGACAAATGAATCATTGAAAACCCAATCCCAAAGAAATAAGAGAAATAGAAACATATATAACAAATAGGAAAGCATCTAAGAAGACAACAAATGTTAATACAATTATACCATAATTAATATGATGAAAATAAACTAATTAAAAGGAAAGAGAGTGCCAGAATATGTAAAAGGAAGATACACTTGTATGCTGTTATATGCTACCTGAAAGATACTCACTTAAAGTATGAAAGAAACAGGTTAAAAGTAAAAAAAATAAAAAGTTAAATCAACCAAAATGCCAATCAATGGATTACTGAATAAACAAAATGTGAAATAATATTCAGCCATAAAAAGAAATCAAGTACAACTATAACATAAATGAACCTTGAAAACAATTACTAAACAAATGAAATATAAAATATTACATAATGATAAAGGGATTAATCCATAAGGAAGATATAACAATGCTATATGTGTATGGATCTAATAATAGAACCTTATAATGTATAAAGCAAAAACTTTTTAAAATTGAAAGGAGAAATTAACAAATTTATGCCCATAGTTGAATTCTTCAACCCTCTTTTCTTAGTAATTGATAGAACAAATAAAAAGAAAACTTAAAAGATATAGAAAGCTAAACCACACTCTGACCTAGCTTGGTCTAACAGATATTTTTATTCCGTCTAACTATAGTTTGATATATTATTATTTCAAATGCACATGGAACACTCTAGACTATAAGTAAACTATATTTTAATTACAAACAAATCCTAACACATTTTTAAAAATTGAAATTACACAAAGTATGTATTTGGATTATGAGTAAAATAAACTAGAAATTAGTAACAGAAGGATATCTGGGGAAATGTTCAAATATGTCCAAATTAAACAACACCCTTTTAAATAACTCATGAGCCAAAGAGGAAATCAAAAGAGAAATGAGAAAATATTTTGGCTTAAGTAAAAATGAAAACATGATCTACCAAAATTAATAGGACATATGAGAACACCGTCATAGTAAATGTTCAACAGTCAGCTCTCTGGGAAAAAAAAGATACAGATTTGTAGCATTTGCCAGTTTTCATGTTGTAAATGTTTCCATCATGATTGACATCACAGAAAATGGAGTTGGGCAGAGACTCCACAATTAGCTCTCATGAGCCAGTATAAGTTGAACCTAGCATACTACTGGATGCAGCTAAAGCAATGCTTAGAGGGCTATTTGTGGCATTAAGTATCCATATTTAAAAAGATTACAAATCAGTGATCTAAGTTTCAGGCTTAAGAAAATATAACAAGAGAAAACTGAACCCAGGGCAATTAGACAGAAGAAGATAATTTAGATAAAATCAGAAGTCAATGACATTGAGAGCAGAAAAACAATAGACAAAATAAACTATGAGCTGTTTCTTGGAAAAGACAGTATTATTGGTAAATATGTGACCCCATTGATCAAGAAGAAAGGAAAGACACAGAATACCACCACCAAGAATAAAAGAAGAGGCACAACTCTAAACTCTACAGAATGAAAGTTTAATAAGGAATGCTATGAACAGCTCTATACTCATAATTCTGGCAACTTAGATGAAGTAGACAAATTCCTTGAATGACACTGTTATGGAATGAATTGTGTCACATCAAAATTCATATGTTGGAGTCCCAACCCCCAGTACATCAGAATGTGACTACATTTAGAGATAGGGCCTTAACAGAGATAATTAAGGTAAAATAAACTCATATAGGTGAGCCTTAATGCAATATAACTAGTGTGCTAGTAAGGGAAGGGTATTGGGGGGCTGGAGGGCAGGTGGGGATGGTTAACGTGTACAAAAAACTAGAAGAATTAATAAGACATATTATTTGATAACACAACAGGGTGACTACAGTCAACAATAACTTAATTGTACATTAAAAATAACTAAAAGAGCATAATTGGATTGTTTGTAACAAAAAGGATAAATGCTTGAGGGAATGGATATCTCATTCTCCATGAGGTGATTATTTCACATTGCATGTCTGTATCAAAACATCTCATGTACCATATAAATATATGCATCTACTATGTACCCACAAAAGTTAAAAATTTAAAAAAATTAAAAACAAGGGGAGATTATGACATAAACTACCTGGACTAAGGGATGATGATGTGTGGATAGACAAAGAAGATAGATCTACAAGCCAAGAAGAGAGGCCTCAGAAGAAACAACCTTGTCAACACCTTGAACTCTGACTTCTGGCCTCTAGAACTGTGAGAAAATAAATTTTCACTGCTTAATCCACGAGTGTGTGGTACTTTGTTATGCCAGCCCTAACAAACTAATAAAGACACAAACTGCCAAAGCTTATCCAATAAATAACCTAAATTGTCTAATCTCTATTTAAAAAATTGAATGTGTAAGCGATGTACTTCCAGAAAGAAAACTTTAGGACCAGGTGGCTTTACCAGTGACTTTTACCAAACATTTAATTAAGAAATAATACCAATTCTACACTAACTTTCCCAGAATGTAGTGGAGGAGACAGCACTCCCTGATTCACTTTATGAGGCTAAGATGTACGCTTACAGAAAAAATAGACAAAGGTATTACAAGAAAACAAAATTTCAGACCTATTTCCCTCATGAATATAGATGTAAAACCTCAATAAATTATAAGCAAATAAAAATCCAATAATATATACAAATAATAATATATCATGGTTAAAGTAAGGTATAATGAAATAATTAAAAAGGCTAATTTAACATTCAGATATTTGTCAATATAATTCACCATATCAACACACAAAAGAAAACAAACAAAGATATGATGATTTCCGTGGAAAGAACTTTCAAGAAACTAGGAACAGAAGATAACTTCCTGAACCTGATATAGTATATGACATGACACAACTAACATTATATTTAATCATTAAAAACTAAATCTGTCATCTTGCCTTTGATTTCTTGCATTTCCATTTGATTTTTTATAGTTTTCATCTCTTTGTTGAAATTATCTGTTCCCCTAAGATCAGGAATAAGGTGAAGTTGCCCACTCTCACCATATTCAACATAGTACTGCAAATTCCGGTCAGTGGAATTTGACTTGGCATTGCTGTGGAAAGACATTTAAAGTGTTGCCCTTAAATCCACTCCTTTTTAAAGACTATTTTAAGAGCAATGTTACATCCTCAGTAAAATTGAGTGGAAGGTATGGTGATTTCCTGTATAGCCTTGCCTCCACGTGTGCTTAGCTTCCTCCATTATTAACATCACGCACCAGAGTGGTACATGTGTCACAGCTGATGAGGATATGTTGACACATCATAATCACCAAAAGTTTATAGTTTACATTAGAATTCACTCTCAGTGTTGCACATTGTATGGGCATGGATAAATGTTTAATGACATGTATCCAACATTACAGTAGCATACAGAATAGTTTCACTGCCCTAAGAATCCTCCATGTTCTTCCTGTTCATCCCTCCCTGCCTTCAACCCTTGGTACCCACTCATCTTTTTATTGTCTCTATAGTTTTACTTTTTCCAGAATGTCAAATAATTGGAATTATATAGTATGTAGTTTTTTCAGATTGACATCTCTCACTTAGAAATATGCACTTACGTTTCCTTCATGTGTCTTGATGGCTTGATAGCTTATTTCTTTTTAGTACTGAATAATATTTCATTGTCTGGATGTGCCAGTTTATTCATTCACTACAAAAGACATCTTGATTGCTTCCAAGATTTGGTAATTATAAATAAAGCTGCTATAAACTTCCATATGCAGGTTTTTCTGTGGATATAAATTTTCAACTCTTTTGGGTAAATACCAAAGAGTGTGACTGCTAGATTGCACGGTAAGAGTGTGTTTAGTTTTGTAAAAAACTGCCAAATTGTCTTTAAAAGTGGCTGTGCCATTTTGCATTCCCACCAATAAAACATGGGAGTTCCTGTTGTTCCACATCCTTGCCAACATTGTGTGTTGTCAGTGTTCTGGATTTTGGCCATTCTAATAGGTTTGTGGTGATATCTCTTTTTTGTTTTAATTTGTATTTCTTTGATGAAATGTGATGAGAAGCATCTTTTCATATGATTATTTGCCATCTGTATACCTTCTTCGGTGAGGTGACTATGAAGGCCTTTGGCCCATATTTTAATTGGGTTATTTGTTTTCTTATTAGTGAGTTTTCAGAGTTCTTTGTATATGGACAACAGTCCTTTATCAGATTTGTCTTTTGTTAATATTTTCTCCCAGCCTATAACTTGTTTTCTCATTCTCTTGAAATTTTATTATTTGGTTATTTATGTATTGCTTTTCAGCAGCTTAGTAGAAAACAATGTATGCAAAGTGTTGTAAACAATGTATCAACCACTTTCAGTCTTGCAATGCCAATAATATTTGATCTACAGAGCTTCACTTTAAGCATTTTTTCATAACTTTCCCAAATAATTAAGTCCTTTTATTTACTCCTGAGAGCAACTGACATGTTGCCTTGTGCTTCTAATGTCTTATATTAGACAGAAAGTATACATAGTTGTAGTTAAATGTTAGAGCTCTAGAGCAAGTCAGCCTGGGTTCAAATCCTACCTTCTATATTTATGTGATCTTAGAAATAATGCCTGTAGTGCCAATCTTATAGGTCTGTTGTGAGCACTAAATGGGTTTATTCATTAAGTGTGTATATAAGTCTTAGCATAAACACTCAGTACATGATAGTTATTTTTATTACAAATATACACTATTTTGTTTGGGTGTTATCCCTATAACATTTTGCTTACTCCCATAATTTTTGAAGAATATAATGTAGAAGAGATTTTTAGGACAAAACATAAATTCATAGAATTATGGGACTCTAGAAGAATTCTTAGACTTTTATTCCATTTTTGTAAACATTGAAGAATCCCTTATTCAAAAACAATCCTGAAGAAAGTTTACTCAGTGGGTAAAGTTTAACGTGACTTTGGTTACTTTTGTGAAAGGGTGGTGAGGAAGTTAAGCAGCACAACAGCTCCAGCTCATGCCCTCTCTATTCTGCTCTCTCTTAATGGCTAATAGGAGGCTCCTTCCGGTCCCTATGGCTCCAAGAGGCACAAAAATCACTGATCTAGTATGAAAATCACCACTAGCTACCCTTTTAATTTTACAGACCAAGACATTGGTACCCAGAGAAGTTAACCTGTGCAACACTATTCAGAATGTCACAAGTTTGGCCGGGCATGTTGGGTCACGCCTGTAATCCCAGCACTTTTGGAGGCTGAGGCAGGCGGATCACCTGAGGTCGGGAGTTCAATACCAGCCTGACCAACATGGAGAAACCCCATCCCTAACTCTATACATTAGTGTCATAGGAACACAATTTTCCAAAAATTAAAAATAAATACAATTTTAGAATTGACTTTTTTCTGCTACTAAAGCATATTTCCTCCTTTAAAGGCTAACATGGATAAGCTTAAAAGAAAGGATGTTTATGTACTCTCTACACCCTCACCCTCATACTAAAAATCTCTTTTACCATTTCATAATGATTATGTTTCCTAGGTTGGCAGACAGAAACTATAAACAAAGATATTTATTGGAGTTGAAGAGGAGAGTAAGCAGATCACAATAAAGCAAGGAGTATGGAATTAGCATAAAGATAATAAAGTTTAGATGCCGCATTTATAGATGATGTAATTGATAAAAAGATAAAATTGGAGAAGCTACAGGAATCAATAGTTCATATGCGAGGTAGACTGTCAAATATCAAGCATCTCAAGAGAGTCTTTGACAGGGTGTGGACTGCAATAAACTTATGATTGAGTTATCTTACATATACTATTACTATAATGCAATTTATCTACATTGTCAGTTGAAGGAGAGTTATATCCTTCAGAGTTACAACTGTCATTGCACTAATTAAGCTTAAGAAACAAACCTAGGTTCCCGGTTGCTATGGTTTGAATGTCCCCTCAAAAAATCATGTTGAAATTTCATTGCCACTGTAACAGCATTAGGAGTGATTAGGTCATGAGGGTGGAGCCTTCAGGAATGGATTAATTTGTTATTTTGGGAATGGGTTCATTATCACATTAACAGGTTGTTATAATATAAAAGTGAGCCTAACCCCTGGTGCTCCTTTCTTTTGCAGGCAAATGCTTGTCCTTCTGCTCTTCTGCCATGGGATAACGCAGTACAAAGGCCCTCACCAGACACCAGCACCTGCTCTGGGACATTCTGTCCTCCAGAACTGTAATAAACAAATTTCTTTTCTTTAGAAATTACTTAGTCTATGGTATTTTGTTACAGCGAAAGAAAACAGACTAAAACACTGATCAAAATCAATCCTCTTCAGCAACTGTGGGCTCTGAAGGTGATGCCAGAAGGACAAAGCACTAGTTTGGGGTTCTACTCAACAGTTGATAAATGCTTTGTAGTATATATGAGGCCTTAACATTTTGTACAATTTACCATAGAAGAGATAAATGTCAGAGAAAACTTTGAGAGTAAGTGTTTCAATCGTGGTCTCGCTTGACAACAACAAAAGAAAAAAATCTCTAAGAAGTGCAGATTATAGAAATCTAATGAACTCATAATAATGCCCTCTAAAACTGAATAAATTGTTTTGCCAGAATGAATGTTCAATACCTTCATAAATAAATAGTGGTGCACAACTCATTTACACAATGACTTCAGTTTGGATGCAATGGATATTTAATTGTGCTTCTTTCTGCATTATATGCTTTCCCTTCAAAATAAAAAGATTTCCCCATTCTGTAAAGGAGGCTGCCTATGTTTCTGCTTCCTTTCATAGGAAGCCATAGTTGCAATTTATTTAATTGGTATCTCTGTTATTACTGAGATTGGTCCATATGAAGCATTGATAGATTAGTAGCATATTAAGCATTCATGAATCAGAACCATAGTCCATTGATGGGATCTCTAAGGTCTCTTCTAAGATTTCTTAGTTCCTATTTGTCAAATCAAAAATTGGAGACAGATTAATTAGTCCAATAAATGCTATTTTTAAAATATTGCTATGCAACTATTCTGTGTGATACTACAATGCTGGACACATGTCATTATACATTTGTCAAAACACATAGATTGTATACCAAGAGTAAACCCTAGTGTAAATTATGTATACCATGAGTGAACCCTAATGTAAATTACAGACTTAAGGTGATGATGTGTCAATGTAGGTTCATCCCCAAACCCCACTGTGAAAGTGGGGCCAGAAAGCAGAAGCCTTTCTGTGTAATAAATACGTGTATGTCTGTGTGTGTATGTGTGTAGATACACACACACGTTATATACTACATATATTTCTGTATGTTTTAGATATTTCTGAGTATTTAGATATTTTAGATATTTATATGTTATATACAATAGTTTTATATAAAATTGATATAATTGCACTAAAGATAGATAAATGATAGATATTTAGTGAAATGATATAATAAAATTAATAAAACACTGAGATAATCTTATTCTATTAAAATGTCTGGAGGATTATTTGTATATAACCTCAGGGTGTATTTCTTCAAATGAACAGTTCTGAACAGTTCTCCTATTTACTGAGGGTAAACTTTGTCTCTCGATGGTACAATCTTGAAGAAAAGAGCAAATGCAGTAACAGATACTGTGGCAGAGCATGGGGAGTGAGTGAAAAAGAATCATCTAGGACTTGTGTTCAGAGATCAACAGCAAAGTTAGCATAGAATCACAGGTGCCCATATTGCAAGTCTGTCCATTAGAGCATTTTTAACAATGACTGTAGAAGAAACAGCATGAGCAGTAATTGGTCAAACCATCCACCTACCGATCAATTGTAGAGCAAATAAATGATCAGAACACAAATACAGAAGCGGTTTTAATTAAGACCACTCACATGCCTTTGGTAGAAATAATGCACACCCAATTATACTCCTAATAGTGAGCTTGCTAGTGATACATAGATAATGTTCTGAGCAGGCATTGTGTTACTCCAGATGGTTTCATATGCAAGCAACAGAAAATCTATTACATCTTTCCTGAAGAACAAAGGGAGTTTACTTGCTCAGATAGCTAAAGAGTTCAAAGGAAGAGCATACTTTGGGCTAGTTTTATTACAGTCACTCCAAAAGGCATGAAAATTCTGGTTTCTTTTCATCTCTTTTTTGTTTCTCACAGTATTGTTATCACTTGAAGTTGATTTTTCCTGAAATTGCAACATGCCTACCAAAATAACACTAGGGCTACAGTTTTCCTCAGTTCATGTCCATTAGGAAGAGACAGCAACTCCCTGAATTGCTCTCTGGAAAGAAGGAGGAAGTGCTTTTCCCAGAAATCACCAATGACCTTCTCCTTTTGCCCTGTTCGTCCAAATTTTGTCTCCTATCCCTATCCCTTAGCCAATCATGAAGCTAGGAAATGGCTTTACTGATCGGCTTAAATGAAGCAGAACTTGCCCTTGAGTTTCAGGATAGAGTCATTCTTTCACACTCATCTCTAAAGGATATTTACAACACAGTTATCACAAAGGGATTTGGAAGCAAACAAAGGTGCATTCCAGGTTATAACAAAGCAGAAGCCAAACATCTGGTTGAGTCATTGTAGGCAAAGAAAGGAAATTTATCTAGTTGTTCAGATTTGCCATACTCATTTATACTAATATATTGCATGGTTTAAAAATATCCTATATTCATTTGTTTTGGTAAGTGAATTTAACTTAATTACATAAAATTTCTATTATTTTGATGAACATACAAATACTCTAATAATCCCATTATTTAAGTGTACTCAGTGCTCACATAAAATAGTTTCATAATTAGGCAGAACTTAAATTTATTTTCATTATTAAATTTGGTGTTAATTTATTATTAGAATGTAATTTATTTTCCAAATAAGAATATTAATGGCTACTATACCTGAGTGTTAAAATGGGAAACTATTTTATATTTCTGATTGAAGTCCCAAGGAAATAGATTCTAAATACATACTTCAAAATGAAAATGAAGTATAGCCTGTGCAAGACTTCTAAAAGTGTTGTTTAAAAACCAGTTTTGCTATCCTTTTCTTTCCTTCATATCAGGAGTTTGATACGGTTGCAGTTGAATTGGCCACAGAATGCTGAATATCAAAGGGAGGACTTCCCTGGAGATTATTATACTGTGGTACCTCCCCTATCTTCCTGGTCTTTCTCCTAAACTAGTGAGAGATCTTCAAGAGAACAGCAGGATTACTCAAGATACGTTCCTTAATCTTTTTAGCTACCATATCTGAGACATCTCATAGGTAAAAAGCTGGAGCTGTCTGTGAAGGAGCTGAAACAAGAGGATCGCACTCCCACACATGATGACTCAAAGCCACTGTGATTCCCGTGGACCAGATATCGGTCATACAAAACGAAAAACAAGGCTGAGAAATTTTCTTAAGTCTTCCCACAAGTGCTACCTAGAGGGCTAAGGAGAATTTAGCAGAGAAAAATTGGAAGAGTATCCAGATGCTCAGGGATGATGGAGGACATAAACAACCATTTGAAGGGGATGCATCTCCTGTATTTGGGGTGGGGAGAAGGTCTCCACAGAATCCATGAAAGTGCCCCAAGAGAAAAGTCAGCTTTGAGTCCTAGTAGCTTTACAGAGGATTGATACTAACTGACCAGTGTCTGTCAAAGAAGACCTTTTATGTTTTCTTGACTTTTCTCCCTGCTTCCTTCCATTTCAAACAGTAGTTGTTAGTTGTTGGTTGAAGAGATGTTACTGTCTAAGGAAAAAAACTGCCTAAAGGCCTCCCCAAGTCAGACTGAGGACTCTCGATTTTACCAGGCTCTCTCCAAGGGAAGGCAGAAACTTTCATCTTACTCAAAATACAAAGTTGCTTACTATTACACCGGACTGGACATGTTACGAAACACAGACTCTTGTGATAAGAAGTGAATGTAGGACTTTTCATTATCTAAGCTGTCAAGCTTATTCTGTCACTTAAGGTTAGAAGAAAATTATTAATTACTCTTTAATGCAAGTTTAAAGATAACAGCCATTGTGAAAAATAAAGTTGCCTTATGATGGCATCCTCTGAGTTTTCTCTAGAAAACATAATAGCTACAAGCCCCTTCTGTTGTTAGGATAAGATTAGAACTAATTTAGCAAGTTGTACTTAGCTTTTATAACCATCATTAAAATAGTTTTGTCACTAAGATATATTTTCAGAAATTGTTTGCTGCATTTAAAAAAATAGTAAATTTCACCATTTCAGCCAACACTTCCCACCTCACTCTGGTATTTCATTATTGACCAATCATATTTAATGGATATTTTCTGAACTTCTTAAAGAATTGGGGAAAGTTTTATCTGTAATCAGTAATTAGATGATTCAATATTTACTTGAATTAACAATTTGTAATACAGTGGTTGAATTTTAGCTTTTCTTGGCCGATGACACCACATCTAGGCCAATGAGGTTTCTATGGGAACACAGCTGGATTTCTGGAGGGCCCAAATTATTCATAAGTAATGAAGATACTGGGTTTTTTTCCACCCTTAAAAATGGATCTGCTATAATGTCAGGAAACTACATTATATGCCTGGGCTCTAAGGAACAATGTTAATACTACATGAAAACAGTAAATTATGATATTCATATTTAAAATATTTAAAATTAAAACTCACTTTCTTGTGATGGGACACGAGTTATAATGGGTACAACATCTATGAAAGAATATCAGAATGTGCATGTGGTGTATGAAGACTGCAAATGTAAACCCAGAATCTCAGTAGATTTCTTTTACTATAGCACATGAAATATGTGGCGGAGAAAGGGTATTCCGTTGATGCTAAAGAGGTGGTGCCAAGGCAATGAAATTGCTTTGCTTTTTCCACAATAATAACTGTTCTTATGCAAGTATATTTTAGTGATATTCCTGAAAAAAAATTGGCATTTTTCAAGGCTGTTATAGAGATAACTTTTTATTGTTTCCTCCTTTTGGCATGAAATCCTTTGTTCATGGTCTCTCAAACACATGTCTTGAGGTCAGTGAAACCAAGTTAGAGCTTGCAGATGAAAAGTCTTTAAACTACTTGCCTGTGGTCGGTCACAGGTCTACCCTACCTCAATCTAATGGAAAGAATGATGTGAAAAAAACATCATGACTTCTTCCTGGAGTGTTTTTCAAGAAGCAAGGGCTCTGAAGGATAAAATCAGGACATAAATATGGCTTAGATGGAAAGTTTTTCTTGTGGATTATTCTTTTCTCTTAGATGTTATTTAGATAAGACTGGGGCATAAGTGTGTACAAAGGTGCAGGAAGCTCATTACTTAAAAAGAGTTCTTGTTTTTGAAAAACTGAATAGCGCCGGTGATCTACTCTTTACAATACCTGAGTATTGGCATCTCTCTACTGTTTGGCCATAGTAGAGCCAGCTGTAAGTTGCTTACAGCTATATGTTGCTTACAGCTGGCTTTACTCTGGCCAGATAATAGAGAGACACCAAGAGTTCCTGGGCTTTCTACATTACTAGATAGAAATAAGGTACTTCTTCTGATCTTTCCTACGCTCTAATATTGTACTAGATTCAAAGATATATAACTCCCCCATCTAAACTTCTCTTACCTGCCTTCAACACCCCCAATGACTCCGCTACCTAACTCACTCATCTGAAGGTCCCAATTTAATGTTACTCTTCAGAGTAACCAGACCTTCCAATTATCTCATTCTGACTTAGAAACTCATTTGTTTTTGTGATGATTAATTTTATGTGTCAACTTCACTGGGCCACAGGGTACCCGGATATTTGGTTAAACATTATTTTAGGGTGCATCTATGGGGGCGTTTCTCAATTAAACTAACATTTGAATCAGTATACTGAGAAAAACAGATTGCTCTTTCCAACGTGAGTGGGCCTCAACCAATCCATCAGCAGCTTGAATGGATTAAAAAAGGTAAGTAGGAAAAAATTCTCTCTCTCTCTGTCTCTCCTTTCCTCTCTCTTTCTGCCTGTCTTTAGTTGGGACATCAGTCTTCTGCCTTGAGACTCAGACTCAGACTGGAATTTATAACACTGGCTCTCCTGGGTCTCCAGCAGCAGATCTTGGGATTTTGCACACATGCACACATACACACACAGACACACAAACACACAGAAATATACATGTTCTATTGGTTCACTTTCTCTAGAGAACCCAAACTAATACATTTACCATGTATGTCTTTCTTATAATGCCTGTTTCCATCATTAGCATGTGAAAACACTTGAAGACTTGATTTGTTTTAGAAAACATTAATTCTCCTTAAACATATCAGAACAGATAAAAAATATGTATTGTCCCTCCAAGGCATCATCTTAAGAGTCTTTACAATTGTACATAATACTTAAAGTACCTTTGCATTCAGCCATTAGAATTAGAGTTAGAAGCAAGGATTAACCAGGTGCTTTACTCTGTAGGTGTCCTCAGGCACCACCCAAATGTTGCTACCTAGGTTACACACCTGAGTTTCTCTATAGAGTAGGGTTCAGCACACTAGAGTCTGTGGGCCAAATCTGACTCAGAGCCTACTTTTGTGTGGTCTGTGACCTAAGAACCATTCTTAAATGGTTGAGAAAAAATAAAAAGATGAGTATTTTGTGGAACATAAAAATTATATGAAATACAAATTTCAATGTCTGTAAGTAATATCTTATTAGAACATCATCTCACTCATTTGTATACAAATGGTTTATGGCTGTGTACATAGCACAACAAGAGTTTAGTAGTTGTGACAGAGACTACATGGCCCACAAAGCCTAAATTATTTAATACCATTTGACCCACCAATCCCATTACTGGGTATATACCCAAAGGATTATAAATCATTCTACCATAAAAGCACATGCACACATATGTTTATTGCAGCGCTACTCACACTAACAAAGACTTAGAACCAACCCAAATGCCCATCAATGATAGACTGAATAAAGAAAATGTGGTACATATACACCATAGAATACTATGCAGCCATAAAAAAGGATGAATTCATGCCCTTTGCAGGGACACAGATGAAGCTGGAAACCATCATTCTCAGCAAACTAACACAGGAACAGAAAACCAAAGACTGCATGTTCTCACTCATAAGTGGGATTTGAACAATGAGAACACATGGACACAGGGAGGGGAACATCACACACTGGGGCCTGTCAGCGGGTGGGAGGCTAAGGGAGGGAGAGCATTAGGAGAAATATCTAATGTAGGTGACGGATTGGTTGGTGAGTGCAGCAAACCACCATGGAACGTGCATACCTATGTTACAAACCTGCACGTTCTGCACATGTATCCCAGAACTTAAAGTATAATTTTTAAAAAAATCTCTGATTCTTTACAAAAAAAATTTCTTGACCTCTGGTCTAAGTCTACACTGGATGTTGAGTGGCTTTGGGTTGTTTTCAGAAATATATTCCTACTCAAGTGGAGCTGGCGTAAATGCCATCAGCAAGTCCCCATTGCTTTTACGACACAACCAGACTCTTACCTGGTTTCAGTAGATTTCATAGCGAGATGTAGCCCCTTCTCACCTCTCTGTGGTCGTCTCTCACCTCTCTCTCCCATGTTCATCTTGTCACCCACCCTATGCACATGCTATTTCTTCTTCCTATAACACTTTCACCTCATCCCAGCTCTGACTTGCCTGGTCATGCATTTCTGATACTTGAGGTAGCATCTGAGATGTCATTTGACCCAGGGACTTCCTCCAAACCCCTACTTCTATGCTAGATGCCCAACGATGTGCGCTCTCACTCCTTGTCCTTCCCCTTTACTGTAACTCTATGAGGACAGGGACAGTGTCTGTCTTCCCAGCTTATGGCACATGGGAGAAACTCAGTTTATATATGAAAAGAAGGAAAGAATATAAAGGAAGAATGGGTAAGAGGAAGGAAAAAGGAAAAATATTTGTCTTAATGAAGATGCTAAAAAATATTCAGCAGTTTCTGAAATACTCCTAAAATTATTTAATCTACAGATGAAGATAATGAATTGTAGAAAACAGAGTAAAACATGACATTAAATTCTAACACAAAATATTGGGATATATATGCAGAGGAACTCACACTCTTGCACATAGGTGGACTTTTCAGACTAATGTTTTTGTGAAAAAATATTAAAATAGCATACTCTGACAATCTTTCTGATAGTACCTTGAAAATCAGCAATGTGAAAAAAATTTCTTAAAAATAAAGTGACTTTTGGCATTGGACCTGATAATACACATTTAGTTAATCGTACATCTCATTTCAAGTGACAGAATTCAAAATTAAATTGAATAATTAAGTAACTACCTATATTTACACTGCTTTCCATTTTCAATAAAGCTATTTGAAATTTATTAGTTTCTCACCTACAGATGATATTATTTAAATGTATCCAAAAATTTAAATGCAGTATCCATGATATGTGGATACATTAAAGACACTCAAATATGGACACACGCACACATGTAATTCTACATATCCATATACACAGATATGTAATTCTACGTACTCACGGTCATCTGTTCTTTTCTACCTCCTTGATACCTTCCCTGTTCCTAATACTAAGCTTATACACTCCCATATGTGTGCACAAGTGCATACACACACACACACACACACACACAAAACAACAAGATTCATTTTATTGGAGGTATTTGTAACAAGGTAGAATTCACTGAAGTTTTTGCCAGAGAGATGGAAAGGGTTTATAAACTCTTAGCTTTATTCTTCCCCAAAGAAAGCCCCTGTCCTACCATTAATTCACATTCCCTTTCTCTGTAGATCATTTTTTGTAATTTATTTTTACCAAGATTCTATAAGAAATATATTTACCCAATACATATGCACACACATAAAATTGAAACATTTTACAAAACAATACTTAATCTTCACTATATGTGACATGCAAATATTTCCTTAAAAATTATTAATCTTCACTATGTCTTACATACCAATATTTCCTATTCTCTTCCTCCCCCTTTTTTTTTAAGTGGCTGGTTGACATCCATTAACTGATTCCATGACTTACTAATGGGATATGTCCTACACTTTCAAAACCGCCGTTCTGGGCTGTCCCACACACTGACCATTCTAACTCTTATTTCATTCATTCTTCATTTTTCAGCGCTACTCTCTTCCTTACATGAAACCTAGGCATAAGTTCTACCCAAGACTCCAAAGTATTGTTCTCACCCCCTGGTGGCTTTATCAAAGCCTCTTCTCAACAAGCTTTCTCACACCAGCTGCTGGGAAGATAACATATTCTCTTTATCCTCACACATTTAAAATATTCCCATGGGCAGAAACTTAGTTAATAAAATGCTCTCTACTTTTAAAAAACTACTTCAAATTCATCCAGATCTTGATTTAAATGCTATTTCTTAAGGCAGATGTACTTGATCATATCATTTCAAACTCTAAATGAGAAATGAGTGCAAAGAAAATCTAAAGCTTTTAAAAATAACCCAGGCTTGAGCAATCAAGGGATTTGGAGAAAAGAGAAATCAAAAAATCATTTCTAAAACATAACATAATTTAGCTCTTCAAAGATGAAGAAATCAAGCAAACCGTGGGTAGGTGACTCCACATCTTTCCACTAAAGAACTAAGAGAACAGATTTAATGGTGGTGCAGCCATGATGTTGTCTTTATCATATTATTTCCACAACGATGTGTTATAATCTATACGTGTGGCAGGAAGAATGTCTTCTCTTCTCGGTTTCCCTTGTATTTAAATATTAAATGCACCTAGTGAGCCTCCAGAAATTGATAAACAATGTCACAGCAAAAGGCAGGCTGTTATATCTGGAATTGTGGATGTATTCACAGAAGCTGACGTTTTATGGCAGTTAGATTTCACTACCCATATAATTAAGTGAGGATCTGAATCCTTTAAGGTTCATTCTTCTGATTTTTTTCATACATTTTATTCAACAAGGAACTAATTTATTTATGTCTCTTTTTTGATACTAACTGACTTTGTCAGAATCTTGCAAGCACATCACTTATTTATGTATCATTTATGATTTTGCAAAGTTTCCTTAGTAAAGACTCAATACTCATGAATCAATGGCAAGGAACTTGCTTCAGAGAACATCTTTATCCCAAATATTTTAAAAGTTGTACTTTGTATCTGTAAATGACTTTCTGCTTCAAAAATATTTTCACACATACACATAAAAAGAGTTCATGTCTGTAATTATCTAGGAAATTTATATAGGGCATTGAAAGGGATGTAAAAGAATCATACGATCTGGACCTTATTCTCGATCTCACAGTCTCACCAAAACTGAATTCTAATAACCAGGGCCAGAAAATCATGCTAAGTTTTTCACAACCCTTGTGTCTATTCCTCTCACCAGCACAGTGACACATGGTTTCATTTAGGTGGATAAGAGATCAGGCTCAGCAGTGATCGCTCTCCACACACAGGCTGGGAGACCTTGACAAATTACTAACCTCTCTATACTTGGTACTTTTTTCATTCTCTAAAATGGAGATGACAATGGTACCTGAATCACAGAGTTATTAGGATAATTAATAAAATGTATTGCAAAGAAAAAAGATATGTGTAACAAAATAGTCGGCAAAATATACATGATAAAATGATTTTGCTACTACTGTAATACAGCCTATCTGCCTTACAACATCTATTCTTCCTTCAAGATAAGCCTCTAAAGTCACCTCTCTGGGAAGCCTTCACCTTGCAAATATTCCTCTATTCTTGATGCTCCCCAGACATGTTTTACTTGTACCTATTAATGCTTTCATTTTATATTGTAATTAAGAATGTTATCTATCACTTCATATAGACTATGGGCTCTGCATGCATATTCTTGCTGAAAACACACAAAAGAAAGGCCATGTCTTAGTAAATGTTGCCTTTCAGCTCCTACCCCAGTGCCTGGCACACAGTAGGCACCTACATTCCTCTCTTGATTTGAATAAATGAATGACTCTATTGTTGGCATAATCTTCCTCTTATTCTAAATATTATGAGAGCATAATAATATTAGAGACCTTTCAAGACAGGCTGTGTTGTTATTAGTTGCTCAGACAAATGCCTTAAAATATTAATTCAGCCCTCTGTTGAACCTGTGCTATGTTTATGAATCATGATTTTTATCGGTAAATAAAACAATGTTATCAGTCGAGAAGAACGCAAGTGAAGTCAATGCACCAACTCAAGGTATTGCTCTCTGGGCAACAAATTTGACAATGAACACACTACCATTTAGCAGCAACACTACAGAGATTTCCAACAAGAACATACACAAAGGTTAACTTATTCTAGTAGGTATTCTGTGTGTCATAATGGATGAGAAATTTTCATTACTTTGCTTTCTCCTCTCCTACCTCACTGACCTATGGCTCATTTGCACTCTTTAAATATAAGAATCAATATAACTAGGTAATTATATATGCTTGTCTTCTCAAATTAAGTATAGATCCCACAAGGCTCCTCCAGTCTTATCCACTTTTTTATAACATAGTGATAGACATATATGTCTATTAATGGAGTTACTAATGGAGTCTCAATAAATAATCTTTGTTCATAATATTTAGACTTCACCTGCACCAAATTGTCTCTAGCTTTTCAATGCTATAGAATCTGGAAAGATGCCTTAGAAACCCAAACCAAGTTGGGCTCCTTGATTGGGTACCTTGTTGCTCAGAAAACAGGTGGCCTCCAGCAGGTGGTGCTTAGCTGGAAAAGCTTTCTTAAAAGATTTCACTGCCAATGAAATGTTCTCAACAATTTATTGAGTGATAACTTGACTTCAGCGTGTGAGGTGGCTCCTGAAAGTACACGGTGACTCTGCTGTGAATGTTTTACAGTTTAGAGGAACAGGACTCTTCCATGCTAAATGCTGCCCCTTCGAGCCACAGTTTGCATTAGCCCCAGTTTCTGTTACACTGTTAAATTGTGTAGCCAACTTTAATAAACTTTTCTAAGAACCAGTCAACCGAATGATATTTTTCCACTGGAGGCCAAAGAAGACAAACTTCAGGTCAAGCTGTTAACATGGCAATAAAAACCATTCAAAAGAAGATGACAATGTAGGTCAGATGATTTTAAGTGGCATTTTGAAACAGCAATGTTTGATGCTGTTCTCAAAGCAGAAGTCTACTATGTTTTTTTTACCACTAATTATCTATTTCAGATTTATAAACTGGATATAAGCTTATTTAAACTATATTGTTTAAATGAAAGAAAAAAGCATTAAAATTCTTAATGATGTTTGGTATATTCCTAATTTTCAGTCTCTACAGTTGATAACATTTACCTAAAAAGAAAACAAAATTAAGGCACAATGGTATTAGCACATTTTTCAACTGGACAAATCTAATACATACTAGAGTCTGATACATACATATACATACATATATATAATCTAATACATACATAGAGTCAGATTTACAGAACAATTTTAGAACAAGTTTTCTAGAATATACAGTATTTTCTTAAAATGTTTGGTCAGGTGCTGTGGCTCACGCCTGTAATCCCAGCACTTTGGGAGGTTGAGGCGGGCAGACCATAAGTTCAGGTGATCGAGACCATCCTGGCTAACACGGTGAAACCCCGTCCCTACTAAAAATACAAAAAAATTAGCCGGGCATGGTGGCAGGCACCTGTAGTCCCAGCTACTCAGGAGGCTGAGGCAGGAGGATGGCGTGAACCCAGGAGGCGGAGCTTACAGTGAGCTGAGATCGAGCCACTGCACTCCAGCCTGGGCAACAGAGCGAGACTCTGTCTCAAAAAAAAAAAAAAAAGTTTGTGGATACACAATAGGTATATATATTTATGGGCTATATGAGATGTTTTGATACAGGCATGTGCTGTGAAATAAGCACATCATAAAGGAGAAGATTTTTGGTGGTGATGTTAATTTTTTTAATGATAAAACACATTTTTAAAATATCAGAAATATTATTAAAATATGTTTAAAAGGCCACTGCTTATAGGAACACTATTCTAATAAGACCTAAGAGTAAGGGCACAAAAATCAGGATGTCTCTAGAACGTTATTCACATCTATTTGTTGCTTCTTGCAAGGGCAAGTTTTTTGGGGAGGCAGCTATAGATTTGTAATATTAGGAAGTATGATGGAGAAAAGCAATTCAGAAAGAAAACAGAGAGTGGTTGAGAAAAAAGAGACAAAGGCCAGAGAGAAAAGACAAAAAAAGAGAAATACTGACATAGATGGAAAAATAAATACATGCTTGATTATCCTAAGACTAACTATCATTAAGGAAGAGACCAAATTAGAAGACTTTGAGATCCCTTTACACTCTTAAAACTAAATTGAAATTATTAATGGACATGTTTAGTAATGTATTATGTTGGTTACTCTGGAAAGCCAGACAACTATTTAAAGGCAAAAATGGTGGTTTGAGTGGACTTTATACAAAACAATAACAAATATGGAGTGACAAACTTTGAGCATTGCAGTCAGACCATGGAAAAGTCAAATGAGGCACCATCATAAAACGGGTCTATTTTAGTCCAGCTCCATTATAAGGTGTATTTCTGGGTTAGCAGAGTAAGAATATCCTTTCAGAGCAAGGTAGATCACAAGCCCTCTGTCTGCTACAGACTCTACGTTAAAGCCCATCTAGTCCTGTCACTGTTCCCAGGAATACCATGCTTTTTTGTTGCATCTCTCATGCCTTTACTCAAGCTCAGCCCTCAGACTGGCCATTCCTCACTGAACTTCATGCATTTCCCTCTCTGGTGAAGTCCTACCTATTTTTCAAAAGCAGATCTAATTCTACCCTCTCTGTGAAGACTTCCTCTATATATATCCAAAAGAAGTATTTATTCCTATATTCTCTTGTAGCATTTTGGACATAACTCTATTATTCTTCACATTGTACTACAAATATATTCCCCTAGTCTGCCTCCACCCCCTACTTAATTATGAGTTCTCTGACCTACAATACAATTATGACCTATTGTATTGATACTTATCATATCCTTTTTGGGTCTTTGTAATAGCTCCCACCTGATTTTACTTTTTGCGGTTTATTCTAAAATACTCATTTTCCAATTTCTATCTTAAGGCTACCACCTCCTTAAGCAGGTTTTCTCTGACAACCTTACCTGAAGTAGCACATGCTGTTCTCTATCGGAGCAATCTTTGTTTTCTTTCATGGAGTTTAGCACAATATATAATTATCTTATTCATTAATTTATTGTTTATCTCCCTCTCCCATGAGACCCATTATGGCTTAGACCATGCCAGTCTAATTTAGTACTTACTATCTTCTTTGCATATAGCATGGAGTATTATAGAGAGCAGTTGTGATGGTTAATCTTAGGTGTCAATTTGACTGGATTAAGGAATATCTAGAATGAGAGTATTTCCAGAAGAGCTCAGCTTATGAGTCTGAGAGGACTGCCTGGGGGAAGATCCACCCTCAAAGTGGCCAGGCACCATTCAATTAGCTGAGACCCAGGATAGAGCAAAAAAATTAGAAAAAAGGGTGAATTGGACTCTCTCTTTTTCTCTGGGAGCTAGGAGACATTCTTCTTTTACCGCCTCAGACATTGGGACTCCAGGCCCTCCAGCTTTTGGACTCCAGGACTTACACCAATGGCCCCCTAGGTTCTTAGGCTTTCTGCCTCACACTAAGAGTTACACCATCAGCTTCCCTGGTTCTGAGGCCTGCATACTTGTACTGAGACATGCTACCAGCATCCCAGGGTCTCTAGCTTGCAGACAGCTTCTCATGAGACTTTGCAGCCTCCCTGGTCATGTGACCCAATTCCCCCAATAAATCTCCTTTCATCCATCTATCTATCTATCTATCTATCTATCTATCTATCTATCTATCTATCTATCTAATCTTTCCATCTATCTATCTATCTCCTATTGGTTCTTTCTTTGGAGAAACTGACTAACACAGCAGTTAAGTGACTAATGCATATGGAATGAAATGAAAGAATACATTAATAAATCAATGCCTACTGTATTTCAAGCACTGAACTAGTCAGTGGGAATATATGTACAATAATGTGTAAAATTGAAACATCCATTACCTTCTGATTTACAGGATCCCTTTCTTCAATCTGTCATCTATACTACAAGCAGAGAGATTTTTCTAAAATGCAAATCTGCCCCCTTCTTGCTTTTTCACTTCCAGCTCTCTGATGCCTTTTGATTTTCTGCAGGTGAAGATTAAAATTAATTTCTTCTAATATCTGGCCTTTACTTACCGCCCCCCACCCAATCTCATCTCTGGACACTCCAACCCTCTCATTTTGAATTCTATGCTTCAACCTGATACAACCTCTCTCATAATCCATCATGCTATCTCACTTCTTATCTTTCATGCATGTGCTTCCTCTCCTCCTGCCCTTTCCATTCCCTCCTGCCCTAAACCAAGTGAATCTCAGTTTAGCTATTAATTCCTCTAGAAAAAAAATCATTAGAAATTCGCTGGTGCCCCCATATATTCTCTTACAGAATTTTCTACTTCCCTTATTATACCAATTACCCCAAATTGAATGCACAATTAAGCTCTGTAAGGCTGTTTCCTTTGCCTTTGTGGTTTTATACCACAGCTTCTGGCATCAAGTCTAGCATGTAGTAGAAACTCGATAAACGTTACCTTATGAGAAACAATTAGAAATAATTATTATACTAAAAATAGAACAATTTAACAAATGAGTACACAGGGAAGTGATATCAGTTGGGTGTATATATACTTCATAAACTAGCTGTAAGTTTGTGGTATAGTTGCCTTAAGGAAGAACTCTCCAAATGGGGGTATACAGCTAAAGGGTCCAGTTTTTGATCTTTGAACTGAGTTTGTAGGGGCAAGCCTGGGAACTTAGCCATCATGTATTCAACATTATTTTATACATTTTTAAAAATCCTATTACTTCTTTACCATAGCAGCAAATAATCAATTCCATGAAAGAATGGTTTCCCCTATTAAGACTAAAAAGAAGTTGGAGAAAGAAAAGAAGATAATCCCATGTCCTCCAAATAGCAGCTATGTGCTGATATTTATAGGCCTGGAGCATTAATATCTGGTTTAGATAACTCAGAGATTTTCTCCAGATGAAAACCCAACCCGCGTCACCTACTGACTTATTTATTTGAGGTTATACTGAGAATTAGAAGGCAATGCTGAAGCATCTTCAAAATGAAATCTTTTTGGGAATGCAAAGATAAGCCCTGTTTGAATAAAATAGTCAATTAGTATTAATTATTTGCTATTCACATGGATCAGTTATATGCTGACATGTTGTGATGGTCTTCAGATGTGTCAACTTAGCTAGGCTACAGTCCCCAGTTATTTAATCAAACACCAGTCCACATGTTGCTGTGAAGGCATTTTGTTGATATTTTCAAAATCCATAATCAATTGACTTCTAGTAAGGGAATTCTCCTAGACAATTGAGTGGACCTGATTCCCTCAGTTAATACATGTTAAAGTAGAGTTGAGGCTTCCCTGATGAAGAATAAATTTCACCTGTGGACAGCAACTTCTGCTAGTTCCCAAGAGTTCCAGCCTGCCCTTCCTGATGCCCTGTCCTGTCGATTTCGGATTTGCCTAGCCAGCCCTGACAACTGTGTCAATCAATTCACTGCAATAAATCTCTTAATATGTACCTCTCCTAATGATTCTCTTTCTCTGGTTGAGCCCTGACTGATACATGTGTTGTTCTCTGGGTTAGCCCAGTTCCTGAAACACAAGCCAGTCAGTGGAATCTAAAAATGAAACTGAAAACAAAAAAAGAACTGTATAATTAACATTTAGAAAAAAGATTAGGAACAAATACCATTGTTCATTACTTATTGTTGTTTATTGTCTGAGCAATTAGCTCATAGAAATTTAAGTATAGTCATGGATTTTTGAAAGATGTAATTTGAGATGTTTGATGAAAATTTACAGATGCTTTTTCAAATAAGATCTCAATAAAATATGTTCTAGCCACCAACACATTACTTAGCAATTAAACTGAACCCCTAATGGATGTCATATAACAAAAAGTCACCGGATAATCAAAATGATCTTATTTGATAATAGTTTTAACCTGATTAAATATCAAACTTCCCCCATTTAAGAGACCCAAGAAAAATTTCATTTTTTACCTTAAAATATGAACTGTCCATCTCCTATAATGGTGGTTAAGAAAACACATTTTCTTTGCTTTCCTTTTTTTTTTTTTCTATCATTAGAGACTGGGTTCTGTCTTCGAGTTTCACTGGAGACACACAAGTCACCAGGTATGAATGATCAAGTGTCAGAACTGTCAACTTCTTCCAAGACAGTGGATAAAAACTCTCTGGGCCAAAGACAAACTCAATGCTCATTACTTTCTAAGAACTCTAGGGATGCTTGAATTTTGAAAAATACTATACCAAGTTAAGCCAAATGTTTTTTTTTTTTTCTTCCCTATATAACTCAAATAGAAAGTTACACTGACAGAAGTTGAATAACTCAGTGGAGCTGAAAGCAGGGAGATAATTCCTTTGAGTAGGTCATAATTTCCTTATATTGAGAAGTTTTTTTCCGAAAGGGTCACATAAGAGGGTGGTGTGCATAACAGGCAGTCTATTTTACCCATATGCTTAACTTACTGTGAGCTTTAAAGGTCTCTCCCCATTCCTGCTGTGAATCTCCATTCTTTAGCATACACAAGCCTGCCCATGTGCCACTGGAGCAAGAAGCATGGTTCTCAATGCCATGCAAGCAACCCCTGCATTTGGGGGACTGCCGTGAAATTAGTCTCCCTTATTTTGGAGAACTATCAATTCAGAATAAAGAATTTGTAAATGAATGAGCCCTTTTTCAAATACTTTTGCTAACATTGGGGTAGTAGGCGGACTCAGGGTGTTTGGTAAAAGGATGTTAACTTTCACAACAGTGTCATGGGCAGGCTCCTGGGTCTTGTTCTATTTCCTCCCTCTTCCACCTACCTCAAACTCCTATCCCTGTTCCTGCAACACCTACCCAAAATCCAGCACTCCCTGACATTGCAAGAACAAAGAAGCAGCAGCTTTTCTACCAACTCTGTTCCCCGTACTAAATTGTCTGTGTTACTACTGTGTGGTATGGTAAAGAAGGCATAGAATGTTTAATAAGCATAATTAGTTTCATTGTAACCTTACGGCATCTTGCAGTGTGTCTGCTTCATACTGTGTTAAGCACTTATCACTTATTTTCTAGTTTAATACTACAGTAACATTGTGGATTTGGGTTATTATTATCCCGATTTCACAGAACTCTGAGGATATACAGTTCAAGAACATAGATTTAGGAGCTGAAAATTTTGGACAAATTGCAAAGCTTCCGTGACTTGGTTTTCTTTCTTTTGTCCCTCAAGGCCATGCTTCTCAACTCCTTCCTTTTGACATTGCAACTCAATCTGCTGAGTCACTGAAAAATTCTAAGAGTATAAAAGCCAAGAGACTCCTATGATATTGCATGTGAAAATGTAATTGCTAATAATTCGACCCCATCCTGCATTCAAAAATAACATTACCTTCAGGAAATATAGCATGGTTGTTCTTTGTATAAAATCCCATGTGCAAAGTAGAAATGCCTTACTCTTTGAGATTCCTTTCTGTTAAAATATTTTATTGTAGTACCACTACATTTTTTAAGAGCACCAAGACCCTTAAACCTGGAAGGCTTATTTCAACCTCTGCTTTCCTTGCAATCTTCCCCACTGCTGCCTAACAATCTGAAAGTGTTTTGAAAGTAAAGTATCTACTACTCATCAGTAACACTAAGGTTCATTGAATCACTGAATCCAAAATAATGATACCAATTTGATTTGTAATGTAAATGTACAAAATCCTAATTAATTGATATCACATCTCAATGATAACGTCTCAAACATCTCCCTTCCATGAATGAAATATACCCTTCCATCCCTAACCATCATTCTGTTTTGTGTAACTTGCCTCCAAACCATTTTCCATGAATCTTTCAAATCTATACATAATTTTTTTTTCTGAAACCCTATATAGTAGAATAAAAGGTATCTCATGTGCCTGAAGCCACCATGGACTGTCAGCCTTTTATGTGATGGTTCATTACTTCTTGGTTCTATGAAATCACATTTAAAGTACAAAAAGTGAATGAAGTCAGAATGGAAAAAGTTGGCAAATTTTACCAACCTTCACCTACTTAATCAAAAATGTCCCAGATCTTTAAAACACTTTGGGAGCGAGTTAATTGCACTCTCTAGGACAAATCATCCCAGGTGGATGATTTTCTATTCTTGCCTCTCTGACTCTTAACCTAAGATTTGGAGCATTTGCTCAATTTTCTAAAAATAAAAATATCTGTTACCTGCAACATGGTCACAGGAAAGAGCATAGGATTTGGATCTAAAGGATTTAGATTTCAGTCCTGGTCATGCCAACCTTTAGCTTCATACTCTTAGATAAATGAAATGACTTAGGTCTCTATTTCTTGTCTAAAATATTAATAATAACTAATTTATAGGTTTGCTGTCAGGAATAGAGTAATAAATATGATATCGTTTTGTAACTATAAAGAAATTATAAAGTAATATGTTAAGGTTAGTATGTATCATTAATATTTTTACTCATAGATGACATTTTTATATCATTTTTACAGATTTTCAAAATTTCATTTATTTAGTCAGGTCATCTTGGGTTTTTAAAGAAATAAACTATGCTGTTTATAATCACTGGCATTTATAAAAATTTAAGAGGAAAAATTAAACTGAGAGCTGGAGATTATTCAAAATTGCAACACAAAATGAATTATTATTATTGACAAAATACTGCCAGTAATTTATCTTTCTTCTAGGGAGAACTATTTGTGTGTGTCTGTTTATGTGTGTGTGCATTTCATACATATATGTATAAATACGTATATATGTGAAATTCAAAGGTAAAATTCCTAACAACTTCAAAATGCATAATGACAATAAATGATCAAGACCCCGACATGAGTAGAATGAAGAAAGATTGGCAGAGTCCAGAAATAAGGTTAAGTATCTATTTAGATGATATTTTTAATAGCCAGATAAAGAGGTGGAAAGGGGAACATATTTAACACTTTGTCTGTATGAATAACCAATGTTACTTGTTTAAGAATGACTTAAAATTGTGAAATGAAAGATAATTCTAAAACAATTTTTACTGCTTCATTACATACAACAAACTACATTATACACAGAAAAAAATATACATTTTTTTCAATAGAAACATCACCTGTTCACTCTAAATAAAAGTTGAAAAGATATGTAAGAATTATCAGTTTGAAAGCATGTTATGCCATTAGCCTTCTTGGGTTACCAACAAGGATCATGAAGTCGCCTGACAGAGAGGTGACCTATGTCATATGCCTGTATTATCTAAGTCGCTGTAAGCCCACAAGACTTATGTCCTTCTATTTTACTCAGCCCTCAACTGCCTGTAGGTATATACAAATGAAGTCTGATGACAGTGAATCAGGGCAACCTTTAAGAAAAAAAGAGAAGTCAGAGAAAGATGACAGGCAGCCTGAGGGTTGTTGTGTATGAAAGAGAGAAAGAGGTCTTTTGCAAGAGGGGAAAGGAGGGAAAAATCTCAGAAGCTGATTAGATAAAAATGCCTATAAATTCATGTCTATTATATATCAAAGAATGGAATGTACTAGGTGCGACTTTTACAACAACTCTTCAGGGAAAATATTACAAACCCCATTTTAGGGATAATAAAATAGGCTCAGACCAACAACTTAAAATGTAATAAATAACTAGTCACTAAGTTTAGGCAAGGATTCAAACACATGTCTGTTTGACCCCAAATATCTTCTTCCCCCTCTCATCAAAACAAATTGTCTTTCTATACTTTTAGTTGCCTATTTTAAAAGATGGGGTTTGGGTGGTGTGTGATAGTATTATGGCCAAATATCTGGGGGTGTCTCTAGCTTTTCCTGCCCATTACTCCTCTCTGCAGAAAAATAGGAATTGAAGTACTACTTAACTAGTAACTATGCAAGTAGCTAATACAGAGCTCTGATGGAGAAAATATTTCCAAACTATTCATCTGACAATGGTCCAATATCCAGCATCTATAAGAAACTTAAACAAATTTACAAGAGAAAAAACAAACAACCCCGTTAAAAAATGGGCAAAGGACATGAACAGACACTTCTCAAAAGAAGACATACATGTGGCCAACAAGCAAGAAAATAAAAGCTCTATATTACTGACCATTAAAGAAGTGCAAATCAAAACCACAATGAGTTGTTATTACAAACACTTATACACTGTTGGTGGGAGTGTAAATTAATTCAACCATTGTAGAAAGCAGTATGGTGAATTCCTCAAAGAGCTTAAAGTATACTACCATTTGACCCAGCAACCCCATTACTGGGTATATACCCACAGGAATATAAATAGTAAATCATTCTGCCATAAAGACACATGCACATGAATGTTTATTGCAGCACTATTCACAATAGCAAAGACATGGAATCAACCTAAATGCCCATCAATGACAGATTAGATAAAGAAAATGTGGTACCTATACTCCATGGAATACTATGCAGTCATTAGAAAGAATGAGATCATGTCTTTTGTGGGAACATGGATGGGGCTGGAGGCTATTTTCCTTAGCAAATTAATGCAGGAACAGAAAACCAAATACCACATGTTCTTATTTATAAGTGGGAGCTAAATGATAAGAACTAATGAACACAAAGAAAGAAACAACAGACTCTGGGGTCTACTCTAGTGGAGAGGGTGAGAGAAGAGAGAGGAGCAGAAAAGATAACTGGGTACCCAAAAGTACCCAAAAGATTGGGTACTGGGGTTAATACCTGGGTGATGAGATAATCTGTACAACAAACCCCCATGACATGTGTTTATGTAACAAACCTTCATATGTACCATCAAACCTAAAATAAAACTTAAAAAGAAAAAAAAAAACACTATTTGAAGAAACTAACAAACATCCAAGTCTGTATCTAAGATCAAGTAGATTTTAGGGGGAGAAAGAGACAGAGAGACAGAGAATACAAGAATGAGGCTGCCTCTTAATCAAGCTCCCTGAGACCCTAAGACCACTTGCCCACTCTGCTGCATAAAACCAGGAAGATAATAATAAATAGGCATAACTTTGTAATATTAAGGAATGATAACCCTGGCAACTGACAGTATCAAGATCCCAGGCCTGGGATAGCAACTCCTTCTTCCTCTCATGGGAGCATCTAGCAACAAAGTAAGGAACTAGAAGTGGGGATGATCTGGGAAGACAGGAATAAAATTGCCTTCCCTATCAAGTGTACACTGTAAACATTCTCTTCCCCCACAAGCCATTGGGCTTACCTCCTGCTTCTCTATCTGTTTCTCCTGACTACATCTTTCTGCCTTAAACTCAAAAGCAGAAAAGATTTCAAATGATACAGGTCCTACAGAAACGGTCCTGATTAGCTTTCCTAGGATATAGGAAACCATGCTGACCATGCTTGGCAGATGTCCCCACTTCTCTTTCTCTGCTACGACATACATCAATCTCTTCCTTTCTTTAATCACCTTCCACCTAGGTTTAAAGGTCCCAGAACCTATAGAGATCAAGAGAACATGATGATGCTGCCTGCTAGTGGACCTCTGCTCCCGCCTCCCTGGGAGAGCCTGCCTGTGACTCTGCACATGCCTGCAAGTTTTTGCTTGGAGCATGTGGGAAAAGGAGAACCAGGTAAATGTCCAAATATTAATCAGGACAGGGGCAGGGTAAGGCTGAACCTCAGTTTGCTTACAATGCAAAGTGCTCTCAGCTTGCCTTCAGAAAAAGTGTGTGCCCCAGAACAGGATTGAAAGTAGACAAAGGGCTGAGTCTTGCTTAAAAGGGAGAAAATAAAATTAAGTTTTAATGTGCCATTTCTAAGTATAGTTATTGAGTTTTTAAATCTGATTTCACTTACCTCCTTAGACAGAAGAATATGCTGCATTGTTATGATAACAATTCAGGTTCAGACTAACTTAACGAAAAATAAATTTTCAAAAACTTTCCGCATAATAATTCACCAGGATCCTGAAATGTTCACCATGTTATTTCCGTTGCTTTACCCTTTCGAATATCCACTGTCAGATCATCTAGCTATTAAGAATTTGCTTCCTAAATATTCACTCATCTGAAACATACATGCTGAGTTAAATCAGTCCTCAAAAAGGAATGAGGAAAATAAATAGAAAAAGCCAGAACACCATAAAGTTTTCCATAAAATGAACATTATCTTTTAAAATAAATTTTGTATGCTATGAAAGAATATTAAACAGTAGTTCACAATAAAGAAAGAAATTAGCTTTGTGGAAAAAGGGACCATAACTCAATGACCTCCTTTGTCATTTTCTAACAAAATCTTTGAGTATTATAGATATTTTTTACTCTAAAACATGTCCTCAATTGAACCCCAAACTATCCTGAAGCCACTTTTCACATTACTTAAAAGTTCACTAATTAGAAATAGATTAAATGCAGAATATAAATGAAGTCATTGGACATTTTTGATGCATGCATTTTCATATATTCATTCAATAACAAAATATTACATAACACTGTAAAGGGGCCAACTCTACTGAAATTCAAGGACCCTATGAAACAAAGCCCATGTCCTCATAGAATGTGAGGATATATCTTAAAGCATTACATGAATTTCAAGGGCAGCCATAGAGTGGCTGAAAATAAGGCCCCTGCCTTACACATTGGGTCTGTTCCCTTAGCGCTGTTTCAGAACTCTGCGTGCACAAAAGTGCCCCTGCTGTGTTTGCCCATGAACCTGAGCATCCCAAAAGCACACAACTAAGGCTTCTAAATTGCTTTAAAGTTCAATATACTCTTCCAACCTTTTTGGCAGTATTTTATTTAGCAAACCTTATAAGAAACATTTAAATTAAATCTGAATTACTTCTGAATCATCATAAATTTCAAGAAATTTATTTAAAAATGAAGTTCTGAACATGGACATGGCATATTCTAATACCAGGCCCATCTATAAATGTGATACCTGGGCTACACCTTCTGCACCCATTTCATTGGACCCTATGAAGTTACATGAAAATGTTAACAATAGACCGTGCCCTGCAAATAATTTTAAGCACAGTTAAATGGGTCTTTTCCAAATTAAAGGGTGTAAATTAAGAAAATCATAGAAAAATAAAAATAGATTTTTCTGTGCTTATGTGTACTTTCTTTGCTAACCGTAAACGTTCAGGAAATTAGGGTAAATTGGCAAATGCTTTCATCAATAGAAACTTCTGTGCTAGAGCACTTCTGCCCATTGTCTTATTACGAATTTTTAAACAGAAGCAATATATCTGCATTTTTTTCTTTCATCGCTCTCATCTCCAAGCAGACCAAAAATAAAGGGCTTGTGAAGTTCCTGCTAATCCACCTTATAAATTAACACATGCATAAAGCTAGAGAGAAGACTGGCTGTTATCAGTTTGACAGTATCTAGTTATCACTTCTTTGAAAGTGTAGGTGCATATAATTAACACTCAATAAGAACATTATATTCAAAAATAACACAATCTACATGTGCTGAAGAACAAGTGAATTTATTCTTATAAAACGTTGGTATAGTGATTGAAATAAAATACTTCTTTTTATTTGAAAAGATTTTTGCTATCCACATACCCAAAGGATAAGGGAATTAGCAAAGGGTGACAGCAATTAATGCTCCAACATCCAACATTGTGGGAATTTACATGAGAGATAAAGTTTTTCATAATATTTTCTGGTTTTCTCTTTGCCGTGGAATTCAAATGTAGGATACGAGTTCAAGTTTCAGAGTTTCCAAAAGTTTTACAACCCTTGTTAAACAATGGTTAAGTAAGATTCCTCTATACATACTGTGCTTTAGGCATATAGTCTGATTATCTTGGGTGCCATCAAGTTCACTGAGTCACAAGTCTGGCCATGGTAGAGAAAGCTGGAGGTTCACAAAAGAAATGAGTTCTCCTCCTTTGAGCATAAAACTGTCCCTGAAATAGGACTATCTAGTCAGAGTCTACATCTCCCACAGCCCCTTGAGCCTAGGTGCACAATTAGGCTAAGTTCTAGTTGATGAATCTAAGAGAAAGAGATGTGCCTCACTTTGCATGCACTCCTACATTCACTTTTCTATGTCTGCTAGCTGGAAACAGAGGACTCTAATGCCCTGGTGGAGGACAGAGCAACAACATGAAAGAAGATGAACCCCCGACAGAGGGAATAGCGGCACAAATGGCAGTAACCCCTTCATCAGACTGTTACATGACCAGGAAATAAACTCCTCTGCATTAAACCACTAACATTCAGGGATTTATTTATTTATTTATTTATTTATTTATTTATTTATTTATTTATTTATTTTGAGACGGAGTCTCTCTGTCCCCCAGGCTGGAGTGATGTGGCGCTATCTTGGCTCACTGCAAGCTCCGCCTCCCGGGTTCACGCCATTCTCCTGCCTCAGCCTCCCCAGTAGCTGGGACTACAGGCGCCCGGCACCACGCCCGGCTAATTTTTTGTATTTTTAGTGAGACGGGGTTTCACCGTGTTAGCCAGGATTGTCTCTCTCTCCTGACCTCGTGATCCGCCCGCCTTGGCCTCCCAAAGTGCTGGGATTACAAACGTGAGCCACCGCGCCCGGCCAATTCAGGGATTTATTTCTTACAGTAGCTAGCATTATCCTAAGGAATAAAATGCTATCAGACAGAATCACTGAGGTAGAGCCTTCGACTAATTTTTAAAAAGTTTTCTGCTGAAGTTCTTGCAGCCAACCCAGCACTTCTCCATGGTACTGAATCCGAGAATCTCAACTCAGAAACAATAGTGGAAAGTTGCTTGTCTAGAATCACACAGCTGACCAGTGAGAGTGCTAAGAAGATAATTCAGGACCCCTGAAGATTTTAGCCTAGAGAAAAACGAGAAGGCTGGACTTAAACTGCAGGGTACATATTTTGAAACCAGCTCAGGTTAACATAATCCACGTTCATTTTATTAATAATCATTAGAAACCTCCATCGTGTTAAGAATTGTAAATGATATTTAATTCAAGTTAACACAATGTTCACTGCTCTCCTGAGTACTGGAGCTGTGTTAGGCAGTTTTACTTCTCTTCTCTCATGTGATCTTCAGAGCAACCCTGTGAGATAGGTATGATGATAGCTGCTTTTATTGATGAGACAACTGAAGCTCAAAGATGTAAAAATACCTGCTGAAGATCCCACTGCTAATTAGAGTAAAAGTCTGTATGGCTTCAAACCCGACAGATCCCATACTAACCAGTTACTAATACATTTATGGGAATACTAAAAATGTTCTGACTGTGTATACTTAAAATGAACATATTATAAGGCATGGGATAGCTACATGATATATTGATGTGTATGAAGCATGTGCATACAGGTTTATATATGTATTTATCCATGGTGGAAATAATATATATTTATGGAGTGCATATTTCTACATGTGTTCATTGGGGGATGCACTCTCTGGCTATCAGAGTCCCACTTATCTGAGTCATCCAAGTTACGTTGCACCAGCCACTCAGGGTCCTTCATTAACAATAACCTGCTAAGTCATGTTCAGCATTAGCTTCCAAAACTCTTCTGCAGAGCCATAGACAACACAGGAATGCCCACATGGCAGCATTGCACAGCGGTTGAGAGCACTGACTCTGGAGCCAGACATTGTGGGTTCAACTTACAAGTTGCACAACTTACAAGTGGCACAATCACTTACTAGCTATGTGATTTTTAGGCAAGTCATGTAACTTCTTGAAGCCTTAGCCTCTTCACTTGTAAAGTGGTGATAATAAGAGTGCCTGTCTCAAATGTACTGTTACAAGTTAACATATAGAACAATTGATATGGACTGAATGTTTGCGTCTCTCCAAAATTCTTATGCTAAAGCCATAATCCCCAATGTGATGGAATTTGGAGGTGTGGCCTTTGGTAAGTAATTAGGTCATAAATGTGGAACTCTTCTGAATGGAATTAGTGTCCCTAAAAGAGATATGAGAGAGATGATCTCTGTCTCTGCTATGTGAGGATATAGCAAGATGGCCCTCTGCAATCCCAGAAGAGGGTCCTCAGCAGACACCAAATTGGCAGGCACTTTAATCCTGGACTTCTCAGACTCCATTGTGAGCAATAAAATACCTGTTGTTTAACCCACCAAATTTATCATGTTGTTATAGCAGCCTGAGCTGACTGAAACAGAATCCTTGAACATTTTCTGGTAAATAGTAATCTATTATATAGACCTTTGTTTTAAAATACGGTAAAAATACAGAGCATTCTCTTGACCAAAGAAAAGCAGTGAAAACCACAGACATTAAAAGAGGTATCATGTGCACTCCTAAGTTAATTTATATCAGCAACTCAAATTTTAACACAAATATAAAGCCCAGAGTTTTAAAAAGTATATTTCACTGAACATCCCTTAAAGATGTTTTACAGGTAAAGTCCATGATCAAAGAAGTTTGAAAATGCAAGACCTTTCGCAGCCATGAAATGCACCACTCAGATCTCTGGTGGGAACACAGAACCACCACCATGTCTGCCCTGAGACATGGGGAATCTCATGTTTCCCTATGAGTTTCTAACAGCCAAGAAATGAGCAGAGCAAAAGAACTAATACAAGACACAGGATGCTTCTAATGGACAATTTTGACTCATGGTTCCAAATGAACCTGACCAAAACTTTATTTGAACTGCGTAGCAATTTGATTCTTTTTCTACCCAGTTCTCCTCTTTCCCTCTCTTTTACAGATTTCAGATTTGCATTGTGGCCTGAAGTCTCTCTCCACCTTATGCTCCCTTCCCCTTATCCTTCATATGCTTTCACCATCCCCCCCACCAAAAAATTATTTTGCATACTTAATCCCATCTTGGCATGTACTTCTTAGAGCAGCTGAACTATCACAGGGGGTCCCAGAAGTAATACAAGAACACAGATGGAAAAATAGAGTTTGGATGCTGGCTCACTTACTGCCAAGAAGACAAAGAATATATGCATGCTCCTGCATGATATATGGCCAATGCAGAGTTCCTGGAAGGAGGCAGTGACCCAATGACTAAAGACTATTAATGGTGATCTAGGAAAAATGTATGGGGGAATACGCCTGGTGTGAGCACAAAGGCATTTGATAGAGATCATGGGAACAATCTCTAGAGAATAAGGCATTGTCTGGTTATTGCTAAGTTGGATTGATGCCCTGCAGAAGGATAATGAGAAACTGAAAACCATGACAAGCAGTTTAAGACTAAAAGATGAGAGCAAGGGAGCTTTACTGGTAGCTTGCCAAGAGACTAGTACCTCCTGCAGTGAACGGCACAAACAGATGAGCAGCAGGCTGAAGACTTAACTGTTAGAGTTGCAGAGCTCCAGAAATGTTTTAATGCTCAGCCAAGGCAAATCTATGTTTAGTTCAAGTCCCAGGAAAATTTTAGTTTAGTTCCAGGAAAATCTGGAACCCTGAAACATAGATAAAGACATTTGGATGGATGCCTCTGAGGACGTGAGCTCTGCAGACCCTCTGAAACCTCAAAGTTTGCTGATGTAGTACACTCTTCCCTAGAAACAGTTAAAGATTTTGGCTCGCCGAATCTTCACCTCCCAGGTTCAAGCGATTCTCCTGCCTCAGCCTCCTGAGTAGCTGGGATTACAGACGTGTGCCACCATGCCCAGCTAATTTTGTATTTTTAGTAGAGATGGGGTTTCTCCATGTTGGTCAGGATGGTCTCAAACTCCTGACCTCAGGTGATTTGCCTTCCTTGGCCTCCCAAACTGCTGGGGTTACAGGCATGAGCCACCATACCCGGTGAGAGTTAGCACTTCTCTTATGCTTAAAATTGCAGCAGAGACCTCCCCACCAACAATGCAGTCATACCCACTTCAGGGACTGCCCCATACCTCCTCTACTGGCAGTCATCAGACAGATAATAGGCTACATCCCAGTATAACTCTGCTAGGAATACAGTGAGTCTGATAAGCAAGGAAAGAGATGATATACTAAAAAGCTGAAAGAATTAGCTAGCCTATACTGGCAGGACCCTGGGAATTACCTCTGGGTAATTGAATTTTGAGGTAACTTAATTGAGAGGGTAATAATTTAAGGCTGAATAAGTAAGAATTCATTGACTTGGGTCCACAGAATTTACTATCCCAGCAAGAACACTGGGGGACAGGGGATATTGACTTTAGGGTAGCTCTTAGAAGCCTAGAGAAAGCAATGACCAATGCTGAATGTGCTTGAGTTGCTTGAGTTGCCTTGGCAAATGACAGAGAAAGGAATAAAGAGCTGAGCAAAGTGGGCATGCTATGCTGGATATATTATGTGCAGTTAGACAACCCCTCAGAGAATTGCACTCAATGGGAAGCCTGGTGGACACACCAGCCACTATCAGGAATACACTAGTGAGAGGGACACTAGTATCACAAAAATTGTCCAATGGTAACTCTGCTCTGCTGACCTGGTCTAGGAGAGGAGTCACAGAGATGGGCTTGTTAATATCCATGAGGATAATAGGGCCCCGAATAATAGAGGCCATGGAAGAGTGCTTTTCCTCTTAAGCCAGGAAGCTGAAATTACAGTAACAAATGCAGAAAGTAAGAATGGAGGATTGGATGGCTGAAGGGAATTACCTCAATAGAAAGTCACTATCCTTTGCTCAGTTCACAGACTTAAGCCAATTTTCAGATCTGGAAACATCTTACTGAGGAATTGGCTGGGTTCCTGGGAGGAAGGACTTAGTGTTTCCCTGGTCCTTCTGCCATATATTCATATAATGGTACACTGGGGACAAGGAATGCCCATACATCTCAAGGATAATTGAATATAAGGTCTGAATTGAAGTTGATACTCAGAAACCCAAAGCATTATTATAGCCTCTCTGTTTAAGTAGGTGCTTGTGATGACCAAGTAATAAATAAGTCTCATCTCAGGTCCATTTTAAGGTGGGCCCACTAGGTGTATGGACCTACCCAATGGTGATTTTTTCAGTCCCTGAGTGTACAATTGTTACTAACATACTTGGCAGCTGAAGTCACCACTGTATTAGATCTCTGGTCTTGGAAAAGACCAAGTAGCAACCACTGAGACTTTCCCCCACCTCTAGCCGAAATTTAGTAAATTAAAAATATTTTTTATCCTGGGAGTGGGAGACTGTTAAACTTGATTGCCATCACTAAATTCCTAAAGGAGGCAGGGTCGATGCTGTATCATGTCTCCACTTCATTCTCTGAACTAGCTCTTGCAGAAACCAGATGGAACCTGGACAATGACTATAGACTACCATAGACTCCGCCAGATGCCTCATCTCAGCTGCTATGCTGGATGTGGCATTGCTAAAGCAGATTAGAAAGGCTTTGCTGATTTTTAAATGGCTTTATTGAGGTATAATTGATATACAAAGAGCTGCATGTATTTAATGTGTACAATTTGATGAGTTTGAATATGTGCAAACATCCATGATACCATCACTACAATCAAGGTAATAGAAATATGCAACACCTCCCCAAGTGTCCTTGTATCCCTTTGTTTTATTTTTTGTTTTTATTGTGGTAAGAACACTTAACATGAGATCTACCATCTTAACAATTTTGAAGTGTACAATACTGTATTGCTAACTATAGGCACTATATTTTACAGCAGATCTCTAGAACTTACTCATTTATTCTAACAAGAAATTTATATTCATTAAGTGACAATGCCCCATTACTGTATTCTCTGCTTCTATGAGCTTGACTATTACAGATACCTCCTTAAAAGTCATATGTTGACATTCTTTTGGTAAATATGCTGTTTTTCATTACAAATAGAAAAGAAAATCACAAACAGTTGTCATTCACAGAGGATGAACAATACTATTTATTTACAGTTGTGCCTCAAGGCTAGACTTTTCTCCTATAATTTCTTATAATAAAGTCTAAAAAGATCTGGGTTGTCTGGACATCCCACAGAACATCATTTTGATCCATTTGATCAATGACATAATTGGGTTGAACAGGATAAGCAAGAGGTGGCCAGCATGCTGGATGCATTGGTAAACCCCATGAGAGCTGAGATGATTCAGGAGCTTTCCACTTCAGAGGTGTTTTCAGGGATCTTATCCCATTTTGGCATCTGCTGCTCCAAGGACCATAAGTCAACTGGTAAATGCCACAATCCTTCTTGGAGCACCACATTGCTCTTTAGCATTTTAAAGACTCTGAGAAGTATATGCAGTAAAAGAAACTTGTTTAATTTTGTCTAATCTCAAGTTTTGAAAACATTTCACCTTGGATCCTTTTTTCAATAAGACCAATACAGAGCCCTATTGGCATTAACACTGTTCTCTTCAGTTGCTACTCATTGTTTGCTGAAAATTGATCTTATCTCCCCAGTTAGACTCTCCTGGTTCCTGCTATTTCCCACCTGTTCTCGTTTCTGAGTTCTATGTCCTCCACAAAGTATCTCCTGTCTGTGCTCTCCCATTGGGAATTCTCTCCTGAACTCCAATAGACATTTTAGCTTGCCTACTTATTTATCATTTTCTATTATTAGACAACTTCTTATGGGTGTAGGTCCAATTTCCCCAACCCAACTGCAATCTTCTCAAGGGTAGAGAATGCTTATTTTACTATCTTTTTGTTCTCTTGTATCTTTCACAGAATAAAGTACCCAACACAGGGCTTTGTATCGATTCTTAACAAATGATTGATTGACAGATTATAGCACTATCATATTTCTGCCTTCACAATTATTATATATAAATGAAACCACTGGCTCTTAAACATTCCTGTGCATCTGATTCACCTGGAGAGTTTATTAAAACATAGATGGCTGAGCCCCAATCTCAAAGATTCTGATTCAGTAGGTTTGGATGGGTCCTGAGAATCCTCATTTCTAACAAGTTCCCAGGTGGCACTAATATGGGTCCCCTTAAAGGGATCACACTTTAAAAACAACTGAACGGCCGGGCATGGTGGCTCATGCCTGTAATCCCAGCACTTTGGGAGGCCAAGGTGGGCGGATCATGAGGTCAGGAGATCGAGACCATCCTGGCTAACATGGTGAAACCCCGTCTCTACTAAAAAAAAAAAAAAAAAAAAAAATACAAAAAATTAGCCGGGCATGGTGGCGGGTGCCTGTAGTCCCAGCTACTTGGGAGGCTGAGGCAGGAAAATGATGTGAACCTGGGAGGTGGGGCTTGCAGTGAGCCGAGATAGTGCCACTGCAGTCCAGCCTGGGCGACAGAGAGCGACTCCGTCAAAAAAAAAAAAAAAATCCACTGCACTAGATAAATGGAAATAGTCTCTTTGACTATCTTTGTGTTAATGACAACATTTCCTCAAAGAAGGGTTATGACATCCAATTTTCAGATGGCATTTAAAACTAAAGGCATATAATTACCCATCACTTAAAAATCACGTTCCTCATGAAACTGCTCATCTATGGTTTTCTCCATTATCATGCACCAACAACAGCCTTGTTCTTTCCACCACACCTGTGGTGACTATATAATTAATTATCCAAACTGGGATACCTTTGTTCAGGAAAATACTAAACTGAACAAAATGCTAAGACTGTAGACATACACCTGGACTGTCCCAGCCAAATTAGGACTTGTGGTCCCTTTTCATAGCTATCTCTCTCTCAGTACCTCCTGCTGTTGAATCTATTCTTCATCAGTCACCAGCACTGCAATTCTATGAGTGTTCCTACTGTATGAAACAAATGAAGATGTCTCCATCCTTTCATTTACCACTATCCAGCTCCTTTCTATTTGTCTCTCCATGTTTATTCCCTCTCTATCGCCTTTCTTTATCTTGCTGTGCATCTTCCCTTTTACTGGGACTTCTCAAGGGGTAAACTAAGTGATAAAACACAGAAGTCAGAAAAGAATCAAAACATCAGCCTCACTGCTAGTAAATTTGTATTAGAGAATTTAGTTTGCATCTGGGGCAAACATAGGCTTTCCTACTTCCCCTGGTATGGGTATCTCCCCACACAGGGTCAAGTCCTGCCCCTGTGCACTTACTGTTGGAGGAGAAGAGAAGAGGCTTTGCCTGCAGGAAGGCTGGGTGAAAAGAAAGAGCAAAAACAGGGCTCAAGCAGTCATACTTAGTAATCCTCTCAATCTCACCCATCAGTAGAGCCTTCCTCCTGAACGGCGGGTCTGAGGAGGTGAAGAGATAGGTGAAAAGTTTTCTCCTATTATCTGTGAAGTTCTCATTTTTATGGGCCAAGGCTAAAATAGAAAATGAATAATAGAAGATGGTTGCAATTACGTCTTCGTGCTTTTTTTCTTGGGCCTTCAAATCAATAATTTAAAATTAAATTACCACTTTAATCTTATATTTCTTAAGCTTTCTTAGCTTCCTGTTCCTGTTTTTACTTCTAGTTATCATTTCACCTACTATCTGTAATATATTGCTTTCATATTCAAATCATTTTAAAAACATGTACTATTAATATGTACAACATGTCACTGGAATGGAAATAGAGTGGATATCAACATTTAGAGTAATGGGTAACATTTATGGAGTGATTACAATCTTCTGGACATTCTTTTAAGTGTTTTACATGTAGTAACTCATTTAATTCTTTACAACAATGATGTAATAAACCAAGTCACAGAGAGGTTAGGTAACATCTCGAAACTAAGTTGTTAAGTGGCAGAGTCAGAATTTGAACCAAGACTACCAGGCCTAAGATCCGAGTTCTTTACACCCATGTTATATTGGTTTATGCTAACATGCCCACCCTCCAACAATTGATAACCTTATAGGACAGTTGAACCGAAGCAAAGAGTGACCTGTGGGACAATATCTACTTAGTGCCATGTGAGTTCAGTGTAGGTATGTGCGGCTTCTTGGAGAGGAAAACATTTGGCTTGGTTCCTTACATTCTTTCTGGAAAGAATTGTGTCTGCAACTGGGTGTCAAATGGGGATTAAGGAATGTTAGTGCATGTGTTGGGAAGCTCAGCAGGGAGTCAAATAGTGGGAGTGCTGCTTCCAGACATTACTGCAAAATGTTTGTTGTAAAAAAAGAAACTCTTATTTTGAAAGATTAAAAATGGAACGTTGCAAAAGTTGCCCCTGATGTTGGCTCATTTAGAGACTTGGCCAATGAAGTCGAGAAAGTTAAGGAAATATAACATTACAGTGTTAGCTGGATATTAAGTCATTGATTTGAAGGCTTAAGGTAACTGAAGAGAACTGTAACACAGACTCTGGAATCATAAAGAGAGGTAGCTTGTGTCATGGGAACTGGCAAAAAAACAACAAAGAAGATGTCATTAGTGGATAATGAAGACTCTAAAAAGGAGAAAGCTGGTTCAATGGAGATAGCAGGAAACTGGACAAAGAAGATATGAGTAGGCAAGTGCATAAAAGAAGAAGCCCAAATTGCCAATATCAATATGAAAATGTTGTTAAACTATTAGTAATGAGAGATATGCAAATTAAAACATTGAGAAGCCACAGAATTCCCATTAGAATAACAAAAATATCAAGAAAAAGGGGTTAGATCCAAGTGTAAAAAAAAGTTATGAAGATATTGAACTTCCATATGCTGTTGAAGAGAAGGTAAACAAGTTCAGCTACTAATACTAAAAAAAAAAATCTGGCAGTATTTCATAAAAATGAAGAATGTCCATGTCCTAAGACCTAGTAGTTACATTCCTAGGTATGTACCCCAGAGAAATACTAGCACAAGACTAAAAGGGGACAGGAAAGTTCACTAGGGCAGTGACTTAGAAACTACATAGGTCTCCATCATCAGAGAAATGGAGTTAAAAATACAGTAGAATGCGCAAGTAAAAAGCAACAACCTAGACGTATGACCTAGAATGCATTTTAAAAACATGATGTTAAAAAAAAAGGTAAGAACAAAAAATGTATTGCATTATAACAATTACATGTTGTAAAACCTGAGACACACAAAATATGTATCTCACACTTTTGCTTCCACCCTACCAAAATGGTGCTTGTGTGCATCATCAATAAGCATCAGTGGCTAAATACATCATCTCCACCTTGTGATCCACTGACAGCCCTTGACACAGGTGACCACTCACTCCAGTTGTACTTTTTTTCACTCGGCTTTAGGACACCACACTCTCCTAGGTGTTAATCTCCCTCTCATTGGCTGCAGTGTCTCAGTCTCTTTACTTGCTTGTAGTTATTTTCTCATGGTCTAGATGTCACAGTACCCCAGGGTTCAGTCCTTGGACAACATCCCTTCTCTAAATTCCACTCACAACCTTGATGATCTCATCCAGACACATGATTTCAAATAGTATATATATCCTAATGACTCCCAAATGTGCATCTTCAGCCCAGAGCTCACCTTTGAATTTAGACTTGTATATCTAACTGTCTATTTAACATCTTCACATCCATAATAATAGGCATCTTAAATTTAATATACTCAAAATTTATCTTTCTCTGTTCTAGTCCACAAACCTACCCCACTTAGGGGCATCCTCATCTCAGAAAATGGCAAATCCATTTTTCCAGTCGCTTGGTACAACAAAAAATTTTTACCTTACATCCAGTAGTTAACAAAACCTGTTGCCTCTACCATGAACTCTATCCTTAATCTGGCCACTTTTCACCCACAACTATTTCTTCTATGCCGGTCATCTTCCTCACAATCACTCACTTGGATGATAGTAAAAGCTCCTTCTTCCAGCTGTGCCCACCTAGAGCCCACAGTCCATATAGCAGGCAGAAAAGCCTGTTTAAAATGTCAGTCAGACCATATGTATAACTAAAAAGTTTCACAAAAATACTTTTTGCTAGTACATACAATTCACTCTAATATTTTCTATTGTATTACATTTAAAAATAAAGATCAGTAAATTGACTTCATAACCCACTAATTGGTCACAACACAGTTTAAATGTGCTGGTTACTGGTTTAGAAAGAGTAAGAATAGTGAGAATTTTGAAAGTAGGCATTTAAGTTGGATGGCAATAATGAAGGGAACAGGAGGATGAGAGAGATAAGCTAACGACAATCATTATTTTAATTTCATACTTACATATATCGGGTATTTTATATGCCAGGAATTCATGCTAAATAATACATTGTTCCTTTTAATCCTTAGCCTAATTGACATATGAGGAACCTGAGGTTTTGTATAAGGCCAAGTGCCTAATAAATTATAGAACCAGAATTCTGACCCAGCTGTGTAGATTTTAGTGCCCAGCTTCTTTAACCAGGGTAACATTTTCCTCCATGTATGTCCCATTATTATTCTACAGTTTGGTTATGCTAATTGTAAACCCAGATAATAATCCCATTTATCCTATTTCAACATACTGTCATATAGTTGTTATGACATATTTATTTCAAAATGTTACCATAACCATTCTCATTAAAAGGAGGATGGCAGAACATTATTATTCCACAGACTTTCCCCTTTTCAATAAGTGAACGCTAGCATTTGGAAATTGTCTTAGACCACAATAAAATTTGTTTACACTGAAAGTTAAGCAATCTTAAATTGTGAGGAGGTTAGTAAGTAGTCTGAATAATTACTTACTTGGTCTTAGCACAAACAAAAGATTGCAATAGATCAATATGTTTATCCCAATTTTTCCAACTACTTATGTGATAAATAGTCCTTTCCCCAGCTTGTTTGTGTGCTGTGTGTTCCCTTTTAAACACAGAGAGAAACCATTTATATTCAGCACAAAAACTTGTCAAAGTTAATCTGTCACGGACCAGAGATTGACTGACAGGAAAGAACAAAAGGTGATAGATTGCTTTTAGTGTCAGCATGAAAGAAAGGAAACAGAAAAGATCCAACCAAAGATGGATACGGGAATGAAGAAAATATCTGAAAAAAAGAAGAGAAATTGGGAAAAGCAAAAGAGATCACACAAAACAAAAAGATTAATTAAAGAAACAAGATAGAAAACAGAAAGGATTCAATATTTTCTCCCTTTATGTAATTATTTAGGTAAAACTGTCAAGTGTGACCCCTTGTAGATGATCATAAAGGGACAGTGATGTGACCCTGAAACTAGGGATGGAGGATTCTTAGAAGCAAATCAAATCCACTTTTAATACTTAAGAAAGATAGCTGAGAAAGGCTTCAGCTTAAGTTGGAAATCAAATCAGTAAGAGGGTTAAACAGAGAGGAATCACCGAAGAGGAAACCATCCAGTAAACCACCTCACTCACTAATAGCACAGGCTTCATCACCTGTGCCAGACACTATGCCAAATGTGCAGGAAGCAAATACAAGCAAGACCTGGTCCTTGCCCTCAAGGAACCCACAATCCAGTAGGGATCACCCCGGTCCACAGACCATCAAGACACCCATGGTAATGCCATGACAGAGAAGACACTGAAAGGAATGGGGGCACGATGGCAAGAAGCCTAATCCAGACTAAGGAAGAGGCTGTGGAGAAGATGAATCAATGAAGCTTCCTGAAAGGGGAACTGACCTAGGCAAAGGAGACTTGGAGACCTTTCCAAACAGCAGAGATAGAGCATGCAGAGGCACAGAGGTGAGAGAGAGAGAATGGCAAGTGCATGGAGGATGAGGCAGCTGTGTGATGATATTGAAGAGGTGGTCTAGGGTCCAATCTTAAGGAGCTATGAATACAATTCCAAGGAGCTTGAACTACATCCCAAAGACTAAAATCAGCCTATAATACGTAAATCAGAGGGGTGATGTGTTTTGATATAGCAATGTGAAGAACAAGTGGGAATACAAACAAGATTGGGGAGAGAGAAAATTGCAATGCTCAGCCAAGAAAGTCAATTAGGAGGTTGTGGCAGTAATCCAAATGAGAAATGATGAAGGCCTGAACTGAAGTAGTGGCAATACGGATGGAGATGAGGAGACAGAGCCAAAAAACCATTGAAGAGGTAAAAACAACAAAACATGGTGACCAAAAATTGTCTTTTCTTATTATTTGTGATTCTATTCCTCTTTTTACTTTTTAAGTTACTTCAACTGTGCAGTAAATATTACCCAGCCTCTTTGTGGCTGTTCCGTAATCTCGTTTTGAGAGAGCTGCTCCTCCTGAATTCGTGTTGGCCAACTCCCTCAAGGTGTGATATCGCCTCGTGTACTTTCTACTTTTTCTCATGAGCTCATTTTTAGTGAAACTTTTTTCCCTTAAGAATCTCATGGACCCCAGTTTGGTTATTACATAATTGTTTCATCTTTGCTTTCTTAACACTCCCAGGATGTTTACTAGTTCAAAATGTTTTAAAATTAGTAGCTTGGCTTGAGGAGTCTAACAAAACATTTATAAACTAACTTCAGACTCCATGCTTATTTGTGGCTCTGGCCTAGGATTTCAGCTTTTCACTGGAAAATTTTATTTCCCACCTAGGATTTTGGTAGAGTCAAGTTCTTTGGTGCTTCTCAGGCAGATGTGAAAATTTTCCCCACTTCCTCTCTTACTCCATTTCTTGTAAAGGTCCAGCTTTAGCATGGTTATTCATTCCCATTTCTTCAATTGAATCCAAGGTCACAGATTCTGTTCCCCAGTGGATACTGAACTCCACTCAACAACTCCAAGGCCCTATACCCGAACTTAATCTAACATTCCTGCCCTCCCATCTTTGAGTTGCCAAAGCAAAACACTGTAACATAGAATTCTGGTTTTAAATTTCCCTTTGACTTTGGCACCATGGGATTTCCCTTCCTTTATTTAACAGTGAAGATTTTGATTAGTTAAAATATATCCATGAATTATATGTGTTATTAGCAGAAGAAAGATTTATGCTACCTCGGTGGAAGGTCAATGTCTAGAGAAGGTTTTCACAGCAGATAGAATCGTAGTGGAGAGAGCCATGACGCTGCTTCTGCAGAGAATGTGGTAGATTCATGGAGCTTAAAATCAGAACACCTGGATTTAAATCCTAACTCTCCTACTAATTACAACACTGCAATCAAGTGCCTATCTTCACTTGTACTGAAGGTTTTTATTAATGAGGAGAATGTAAATGACTTTGGGATATATAAAGACCTCTAACATGTGAAGCATAATGATAATGATATGAAAGTGGGAGTGTCAATATTTCAGGTCGACAGACCAGAATGCTTATAGAAAGCATTACATGAAAAAAGAGTTCAGAGGCAAGAGAGTCGAAGAAGTCAACTCACTCATTGCATTAGGCTCATATTTAGAATCAGAATAGGAATTGCTACAGAATTTATAGACAGATGGAAAAAGCAGCAGGATGTCATAGTGGCTTAACCCAGAGTTGAGCGAGGCTCAAAAAGCTGGTGGGAATGCCACAGAAAGCAAAAAGCAGGCCAGGTCACTGAGGAAAACAGGAAAAATAGTCCATTGCATAGGAACCAGATCAAGGATCTTAAGGCTTAAGAGGAATGAAAAAGTTTCTTTAATGATGTGAAACAACAAGAAAATGATACTTAGGGAAAAAATCAACAATTAAGAAGTAGGAGCTTTGGAATTCTTTTGCTTTCAAATGTTTCCCATTATACTCAACTGTATTTTAGTCTAAACACTCATAACATTATTGTGCATATTGGTTTAGCTTCTCTCTCTCAACCACGTTATGGACTCTTTAAGGAGGAGATAGTTTCTCCATTCCCAGCTTTTAGCACAGTAGCTTAGCATAGACTATGTTTTCAACAATTGGATTGTGAATCAACAAATAAGAAAACTGATAAAAAACGTGAGGGCAGAAAGCCAGGGAAAAGAGAAATGTGTAACTACTACTGTTGTTTGGAAGTGAGGCAGCAAGTTCTAGATTTAAAAGAGTTTCTGGTTCTAGAGAATGAGGAACTAAAATGGGTAGTCTAATTTTGTGGCTAATTTATGAATTTGCTGGGAGATGGAAAATAAGCCAATGCTACATGGTCAAAAAACTAGCAAACGTTTCGTCAGCATTCACTGTAAGCTTGGTCCTGTGAAGAAATTTAAAAATGTATTCTTTGGCTTATGAAATCATCTCATTACTTAATAATTGGGCATGTTTAAGTTATTGGGGTATGGGGAGAATTAAACATTCTGACATTAACATTTAAAAGTAGGATAATATTCATGGGAGTCTTCTTGGATTTTAAGTTTTAGTACAAATTGCAAGGGAAGGTACAATATTTCAGTCCAGAAATGGGGATGCCTGTGGCAACTGAGGTAGCAATAGAGAATTGCCATTCTCTTGGAAGAGAAAAGCAATGATTGTAACATCTGTGAAGGATCCTGAGTGCTACTACAAGAGGTCTAGACTGTATGCTACAAAAAATAGGGCATTAAAATTGTTTTTGTCTTGAACTCATATTAACAAAAAAGGATTTTTAGAAAAAAAGATGTGTAGACAGAATGATTTAACGGTAGGATAAAGGATGGATTTGAAAGAAAAGATGCCTGGAAGAAAGAAAATCAGAGAAAAGGCTATTTCAGACATCTCAGTGGTACAGTGACCACAGGGGTTTTTGAGATTCCCATTAATTCTATAATGTATGGTAGCTGTAAGAGAAAAATTAATCCTTTTTTGAAACACTTTAAATGACTGTGATAATTATGTGCAGAGATAAACATAATGAACCTTAGTTTTAAAAAGAAAGTGCTCTCTGCACAGGACAAAGGCTTGCTATTTTACCAACTGGATATTCAGTTTTTAACAGTAAATAGAACATAAATAATAATAAATAAACAACTATTCTACTAGACCTCATGAGATGCTGCATTTGCCTGGTTGTTCTTACCGATTATAGAAAATTATTTCCAAAACCTCATCTATTCATTTGGCATCTTTTGTATCGTTTTACTCTTTTGTTTTTTGTGTTGTTTTATAAAAAAGCAAAATAGCTAATTTTATATATATATATATATGTTTTGTGCCTAGTTGTTGTAGATATTTTTCTTCTTGTTTGTTAGCAAATATAAATTATATTTCAATTAAATTAACCCAGTAATAAGAGAACATCCATTTTTGTTGTTGTCCGTGAAATATGTCTTTGCCTCCCCTCTACTTGGTGCATTGATGGGTACCATAGATCATTCAAAAGAATATGATCTTTTGCCATGGACAAATTCTAAAAGTTCTAAGACACTTAAATGACATCTTTATAAATGTGCCTTAATGCATACCTCTCATACAAGTAAGGGGATTAGCAGAAAATGAGAAGCAAATTCTAGTTGATCAAAAACTTCGTGATATGGTATGAGTTATAAATGTCCTCATTTGGAAAACAAAACACCTTCTGTCTGTATTAGCAAGTAAATATTCTTGATGCAGTCTTCATTTATTTTATAATGGATTCATCTTTTCTTCTGAAATTTAGCAGATATTATATGGTTATATAAATATTTTATAATAGTTGATTAATATATTCTAGCCCTACAGACATTTGAATAATGAAATCACATTTGGTTGTTACCTGTGCAAACACTAGCATTTCAGAGCTTTAGACCTTCTAGACTTTAAACACAATCAACCAATCTTTTATCAAAATTAAAAGAAGCAGGGTAGTCTTTAATGCTGATAACCGATATTTCTAGGTCTCCTTCTTTTAAATACATAGTAATATTGCATTTCTTCTTCCCTTTAAATCACATGTGGCCATGTGACTTTCTTTGACCAATAAAAGGTAAATATAACTGACATTTGTTATTTCTAGGTAGAGACCTTTAAAGTTCCCTTCCATCTGCCATAATTCCCAGTTGCACTCCAAATAGGAAAACTCCCTTCTTAGACAGTTGAGTTAGGACAATGTACAATATAACCCCTATAGCCCAATGGACACATAGTGCGAACAGCAAATAAACCTTTGTGGGTTTAAATCACTAAAATGTTGTGGGTGTTTGTTACCAGAAACTAATTTAGTACATTTTGATTGATGTAGACATTTGTACAAGAAAAGGAGACAGCTGTAGCAACAACAAAAAAAACTATGATCTGTGGCTTTGCAATTAAGCAGTACGTAGGGAAGAAACTGTTATCAGTTAAGCAGTAGGAAAACATCTAGTAAAACTGTTAACCTTTAGTAAGTTGGTAAACAGATCATGTACCCAGTAAACTCAGGACTCTTAGAAAAGAGGCTAAGAAACAGTATCTGTGTTGTGTAGGTAGCTATTGGCTGCATTTGGCAAGGGATTATAAGAAATTTGGTCAGAAAACAAAATGGTTTGGAATCAAGAATGAAAAAGAAATCTGTGTCCTTGAATTCAGGAATACAGAGACAACTGATTTCCAGCCCAAACAGCAAAAATGTAAAATTCATAGTCTTTGAACAACAAAGGCAAAGTAAAATCAGTCTTAGAGGCAATTGTCATATTAAGAGTATATCTATAGGCCAGGTGTGGTGGCTCACGCCTGGTATCCCAACACTTTGGGAGGCCAAGGTGGGTGAATCACTTGAGGTCAGGAGTTCGAGACCAGCTTGGCCAACATGGTGAAACCCCGTCACTACTAAAAAACATAATAATAATAATAAATAAATAAAAATGAAAATAAATACAAAAAAAAAAAAAAACCAGCTGTAATTCCAGCTACTCGGGAGGCTGATGCAGCAGAATCACTTGAACCTAGGAAGTGTAGGTTGTAGTGAGCCAGGATCACACCACTGCACTTCAGCCTGGGTGACAGGGCAAGACTCTGTCTCAAAATTTAAAAAAAAAGAAAAAAAAGTATGTCTATAGCACTAAGTGGATAAGGTATCTCATCGTGAGATCTAACTAAAGGTATGTGTCCCAGAAAATGAGCTTAATGGTATTACTCTCTCTAAGCCTAAGTGGCTCAAAGTATCTGCAATGGACAATAGTTAGAGATATGTGGATAAGAAAATTACAGAATATAGCTGTCCTAAGAAATGTATTTTAAGAACTGTGGGTGGGATTGCTAGCATCAAACGCTGATTGGAATCAAATAGGTAGGACACCCACAAAGTTTTCAGAGAATTTTACTCCCAAATCACCACAAATCACCAATCTGGACTGAAAGAGAATGTCACTAATCTGGGTTTAAATTAATCCTTAAGCTGTCAGTCATCTGTAAGCAGAAAGTGGATGTGGAAAGCTGCCCAGGCCTGAAAGAAGGCATATTTTCCAATACCAGTTTTTCAGAGATGCCTACAAAGGGTAACAGAAAGGAAGGAATCTTTCAGAGGGTCACAGAGAGCAGAGGACAAGGGAGCTACTCCCAGGTAGCCAAATCAGGGTCTGTGCAAGGAATATTTCTCAACCTCAAGGTAGGCAGCTTTCACAGTCTTGGCTGTATGGCACAGCACAATTGCTCTAGGCCAGACTAGCCCCATGTTCTTTTATTATTCTTTTTCCAAAGTGGAATGTTTATTCAAATTATCCTATTCTACTTTGGTCAGCGTATATTGGACTGTGAGAGGAAGTTAATGTACATTTTTAATTCATATGTGTTCAGATCAAAAAGGGTTATATTCAGACCTGGTATTAAGGCTACTGCATATCATCCAGATGTCATGATTTAGAAGATTTGTGCTGTCACTCAGTGGTACTTTTGGGTTACCTCCTTTTTAAAGAGGTTAATGTATTGTGCGCATGGAAATAAAAATAAGCTGACCTTTTGTTGACCAGATATTACATGTTTGTTACTAACATTTTACTGGAGAATGAATATTTCTGGTTCTCCACCTTTCAGCACACATGGTACTATTTCATTTCCTTTCCATAAAATAAAGTTTATCCAGGGAAATGTGAGTGGAAACTATGTAGTCTTTTCAAGGTAAACATTTTTAAGGGAAATACTCTGACACATTCCTTTCCTGTCTCTATGTTAAAGAGCAATCTTGTTGATCATGAAGGCTTCATCAGGCTACATCCCTGCATGAGGATGAGATGAAGCAGAGCCCCACACACCTGAGATGATATATAACATGAAAAATAAATAAATGTTTATCGATTTAAGTTTCTAGAATGTTAAGATTGTTTTTTATTGCAGCATAGCATAGCCTATCAGACTAATACAAGATAGAGAGGTATAGGAAATCTGTGCTTTGCTTACCACAGGACTCAATAAAAATTTAGTTAATGGTACTGAATTCATGCCGGCATTTTAGTGTTAAGTAACGAAACTCTGATTCAAGGAGAATAAAATTTAGTATATTATCACAGCAGTCCATGAGGCCCATTCAGATAATCCACAGATAGTTAATTAAAAAAAAACAGAAAAAACTTATCAGCCACAATTAGAGAATTTATCAGTATTGTAAACAATAGAACAATGGATTGTCTCAGAAGGCAGTGAGTTTCCAATCAAGCAAAAATAGAATAAACATGTTTGGGAAGTTGGAGAGAGAGTGCTTCTTCTGGAGGGAAATTAAGTGAAATGACCTTTATATTTTCTTCTGATTCAAAGATTCTGTGATCATAATTATCTCCCCCTCTGTCTTTTTCAAACTGATTTAAAACAAGTTAGGGAAAAACCAAGTGCCCAGGCTGGACCCAAGATTTATGATCATACTGTTAAACCTTTTTTTATCATCTGGCAAGTGCTATTATATGTCCGAGGTGACCCATTTAAATATTGAATTCCTGGCTAAATCCAGCAGTGTTCCAGGTCCTACATTTTACAATGCTTCAGGGTTCTCAGTGGGGAGGAGACCTAGTTAATTGCCCACTCCAAGTGTGATTTACAGACTAAGTGGCCTGATTATTGCTGTAGTTCCTGAGATACATCTTCCTGTTTTCAGCTGTGTTCCTATCTTTACAGAAACTGCACAAAGAACTTAGAAAAATATGAGGATTTATGCCATATGCAAGAGATAGAAGTCAGGGTAGATATTGGAACCACCAACATTAGGAGTCAGACTAAGGAGCAGAAACTGATGAAGGAGAGAAATGTACCTGAATTAGACAACATAAAACCAAGCAATCAGCCTATACACGAAGGTTCTAGAGGAGAATCGCACAGTTACTTAAGAAAGACACAAAGAACTTTAAGATCATAATACAAGGCATGGAAAAGGAACATAGAGATCATCTATTCTGGCCGTCTTTTTATAGATAGAAACTAAAATTCAGAGCTGTGTTCCCACCCAGGTCCTAGTAGCTGATTTCAGGACTAGTAACTACCATTTTTACTTTACTGTGTTATCAGTTAATATATCTCCTCTACCTCCGTCACTTTATTTGACCCTCACCACAATCCTAAGAGCTGGGAAGTGGAACAGAAAATGACAGTTGTCTCCCAAAATTTATTCTCCTATTGTTAAATAATAGGAGAATTATTTAACATATAAGAGTTCCTAGTTGGGCACATGGACAACCAAAAGAAAGAATAAACTCTTCAATCTCTCATGGAGCTAAATGTGGCATGTTATAACAAAGTTCTTGTCAACAGGATGTGAAGAGAAGTGATGAATATGTAGAACTTTCATGTCCTTCTTTTAAAGGAAGGAGGTCTCCACTTGTCTCCTTTTCTCTTTCCAGTGACTAGACGATAGATGATATGGTAAGCCATCTTGAACCCTGCAGATGAGAACAACTCCAGAGAGGATGATGGAATGACAAATGTGAAGGAGCCTGAATCTTAGAAGACCTCATGAGGTAGAGCTGTCCTACCAGCCCTTAACTGCCTGCCTCCAGATTGTTACTTTAGTTTCATTTCTACTGTAGTAACTAAATTCATACCCTAATTCTATGAATTAAGAACAAATTCATAGAATACCTGACAAATTGAACAAATTCAACAAATACCTGACAAAGCAGGTATTTCTGTTACTAATTTTATGAGAAAATATTAATACTCAGTTTATCTAGGATATTTGATCTTTGGCTAGTGTCTCTATTCAAAGAAAACATGAGTGGAATGTTTTATTGACTTAACCCCAGTATGTATGTCTTGTTTCATGTTGTAAATTACTGCATCTCATTCCACTCCAGAAAAAAAATACAACAATAACTTGTATTCAAATCTGCAGTGATGGAGGTAGCACTCCATTTATCCAACCTAAGAAGTCTTTGTGAGAATGTACTATGTATGGGTAATATAACATTTTAAGGCAAATTTATGTACAGTTTGCAAAGTACTTTATTTAAAGAGCATCAGGAAAGGGCAAGTAATTGTTGTCATTAGAATTTTGCCTGTTCTCCTAATAGACATGCAAATGAATGAGTTTTGAAGTATATTTCCAATTCAGATAGCACTGCATGTACAGCTGTAACTGACTTGGGGGGAACTGAGGGATGAAATTAGATAATTTCTTGCAATCAAGACAAATTCAAAAAAGAAAAAGTTTCATCCACCTGTCGTTTAGAATTCTACTAAAAATAACTCTAGACAATGTATTTCAAAGAGAAACAATTTGCTAGAGGAAAAAACAATCTACTAATCAAGCTTCTTGTCTTTCCTTCTTATTAATGAAATAAATCTGTTTGCAGACCCTGTGTTGTAAAAGCTTACAGTGCACCACAAAATAATTTTTAAGCTATATTCTGTGTACATGAGATGTGGATGAAAAGGTTAACAAAATAGGCCAATAATTTTCATGTTATGTCCAATCCATTTCCTTTACTTTCAGTAAAACAAGAACTTCTTAGGTAAGCTGTGGAAATGTTTGACATAACCTTTCACAACTTTTTTATTAATAAAATAACTACCCTTTCTCAATTGCTTTTCCTTTTTAATGATCTCTTATTTTACATCCCTAAAATTCCACTGCTGTGTGTTCCAAGAATAATCTTTTGTATGCTCTTATTAACTATATTGCTTTCATCCTGCTTATAATTAATAAATCTTATTGAAAAATGATTACTAATTGATTTTCATTGTTAATCATTCTGATCCCATATTTATTCACCTCTCTTTCTTACCTAGTAATAGACTCAGGCACTTAGTCCTTAGTACATTGACAAACGACAAGGAGACAAAAGTACCCTACTTGCTAGTTATTCGAAAGAAAGGAGAAATTGACAGCTTGAGCTATAATAATATTTTGGATCAACCTATGAATTTCTAACATTATGCCATAATTCAGTTCTCTATCAATATTTTCCTTCTGAAGTCATTCAACAAAATATATTAAGTGACAATTATAGATCAAGTGCTGTAGGTATATTCAAAATACAACAGTAATCATGGCAGAGTGAACTTATATTCAATACAATAAGGAGTTAAGGACCTTGATCTTCTTTTTGAAATGTTCTTTTCTCACTTGAAGATTGAAAGTTATTTTGAGTTTTCTTCCTAATCTTGAATATGTTCATATCCTAGGATGGTGGCATAGGACATATTTTATTTAGTGAACTGAAGTTATCACAAAGACTTCCTTATTCAGTGCCTCAGACATTTCATTTCTCACCATTACTCTTTGGAGAATTTGTGGATTTTTGTTGTGGTTTTTTTTGTTTTTTTTTTAAAGGTGGCAAGTTATGTGTGAACATTTCAAGTTTCCTAGCCTCTTTCCAAGTTCATTTCGTATTCACAGCAGTCTCTTGCTGAAATGCATGTTATCCATGGGCACTGCAAATCTATTTATGTACCTGAGGTGTGTTATTGCCAATTATCCTCAGTTGATGGGCAGTGAAAATAGTGTCATCTCTTCTTTGGCACAAATTCTCCTCAGCAGAATTTCTCTTATAATTATACGTTTCATAATCCTATGGGTTTTAAGTGTGTTATCACATTGAGGTTATTTCTAGTTATACTAAGATTATATCTCCTGCCATTATACCTAGAGCTAACCAGAAAGGTCCGCTTTTAAAAATATTTGCTGTAAGTGAGTTCTTATTCAAGAGTCGACTTTGCTTAAAGTCACATATTAGAGAAGCACTATTTTATTAGAACATTTTAAACCTAAAGTGCAGTGTGTTAAAAGTAAAACCAGGCTGTGGGTTGGAAAGAGTAAACCATGAGAAGCTAATGAAAGTCCTATGAAGAAAACCAATTTTAGTAAAGTTTAAGTTCGTGACATTTGGTTGTTACAATCCCTTTGGATTTAGAAAAAAAAAGAAAAAAGAAAAATGATCAAGGTTGCAAAACCTATATGACAAAGAGAAGAAAAGGTTTAGTTCTTTCTTAAATAGAATAATCAGGAAGGAATTTCATCAACGATCACTCCACACAATATATATTTCACATTTATTCCTCCAAGAGCTCTAACTTGTAAAGATGAAAAAAAAAGTTCCTCTGCTTTTAAAAGAGATAATCATCTAAGTATAACCTCATTATGTAAAAATCAGTTAAGATAACTTTTCCTCTTGCATAAACAATAGAAATAAACCAAATCTTAGTTTTACTTCATATTGTCAGTGAAAATAAACTATCTTTAATTGGAAAATATGGTACCTAACACTAGCAGCAACAAAATCTAGCAAATCTCTTATATGGTTTGGTCTATAATATTAAAAGAAGTTAATATCTGCATAAAATAAACTTAAAGTTAAGAAATGATAGAAAAATACAGATAATCTTTTAAGAAGAGTTTTTTGTTTGTTGGTTGGTTGGTTTTTTTGGTTTGTTTTTTGGTGAGTTGGGATTTTGCTCTGTCACCTAGGTGATCATGGCTCACTTCAGTCTTGACCTCCCAGGTTCAAGCAAATCTCCTCAGCTTCCCTAGTAGCTGGGGCCACAGGTGCACACCACCATACTCCAGTTAATTTTTTTCTTACATTTTTTTGTGGAGACAAAGTATCCCTGTGTTGCCCAGGCTGGTCTTGAACTCCTGGACTCAAGCAATCCTCCTGCCTCGGCCTCCCAAAGTGCTGGGAAAAGAAGAGTTTTTCAAACTCTTAAAAGATGAAGGAATAAAGAACAAAAAAAAATTAAAGGTTCTGAGTTCTGGGCTGGGCAGGGTGGCTCACGCCTGTAATCCCAGCACTTTGGGAGGCCGAGGTGGGCGGATCACAAGGTCAGGAGATCGAGACTATCCTGGCTAACACAGTGAAACCCCGTCTACTAAAAATACAAAAAATAAATTAGCTGGGCATGGTGGCCGGCACCTGTAGTCCCAGCTTCTTGGGAGGCTGAGGCAGGAGAATGGCGTGAACCCGGGAGACGGAGCTTGCAGTGAGCCAAGATCGCACCACTGCACTCCCGCCTGGGCGACAAAGCGAAACTCCGTCTCAGAACAAAACAAAACAAAAAAAGTTCTGAGTTCTAATTCTGGGCATGCTACTTACTGACTCTACAATCTAAACAACAGGCACACTGTCCTTTAATTTTCTCTCATATAAATGAATGAGCAGAAAGTTCAATCAATTGACCCTACACTGATACCCACCCATTCCTTCTCCAAAGGCTTAGCTGGCTGGGGTCATAAGGTCATCTCTCTGCAAGCTCAAAATCAAGATAAAGTCAAGATGAAGTAAAACTTTATCTTTTCCAGCGGGGGCATGGCATTTTAGGTAGTGGGATCTGAAAGGAATCTTGCTGTTTAGGTCTGGATTGCACTAGTCAGTGTTAGTCCTGAGAACACATGTGCACGTGAGAGTGTTGATTTATTTTCTTCAATATACCCTTTTCTCCCAATTTGTATATTTGAGATTCGCCAGTGGTTTATAGTCTGGTACTCTGTATTTCCTATCTGAAAATGGATTACTTCCAGGACAAAAAGTCCATATGTCTGGGTTCTGACCACTGTCTATTTCTCACAGGACTCTCTTCCAAGGCATTAAAATCGATTCCCATTCTTATACCACCAGCCCAGATTAGAGGCCTTGTTGTGGGTAGATTAACATCTTTGAATTAAATCACAGGGATGTTCCTAACCCAGCTTCACCTTAGCAGTGCCAGCCAGTGGGTGATGTACATAATGAACAGTACACAAGTTGGTCTAGGGCAGATAGTCCCAAACATGAATATACAAGCATAGACATTTGGTATCCAAATAAGAATGGCTACTAAATGAGAAATTTTAAAAAATACATAAAAATTAGATGCTCAACATCAATATCAGCAGGGATAAGTCATGTTGATAGAAGCTGAGCATTCCTAATCCAAAATCCAAAATGTCCCAAAACCTAAAACTTATTGAGCGCAGAAGACATGAGATAGTGACACCTTTGCTTTCTGATAGTTCAATGTACACAAACTTTGTTTCATGCACAAAATTATTAAAAATATTGTATGAAATTACCTTCATGCTATGTGTATAAGTTGTATATGAAACATAAATTAATTTCCATGTTTAGACTTGGGTCCCATCCCCAAGATATTTCATTGTGTTTAGAAAAAATATTCCCAAATCAAAAAGACATTCAAAATCCCAAAGCATTTCAGCTAAGGGATACTCAACCTATATAATATGATGAAAATGGCACTTTACCTCTGTGGTCTTAATCCCCCAAATCCATAACACCAGTCTACTAATGAGAAAAAACATTAGACAAGTGCTAGATGAGAGACATTCTACAAACTACCAGACCAGTACTCCTCAAAACTATTGAGGTCATCAAAGCAAGGAAAGTCTGAGAAACTGTCATACCCAAAAGGAGTCTAAGGAGACATGACAACTAAAGAGAATGTGGTATTCTGAAACAGAAAATGGACAGTAAGTAAAAACTATGATCTGCGGAAAACATAGACTTTTGTTATAATGCAGTATCAATATTGATTCATTAATTGTAACAAATGTACTCTACTAATAAAATATGTTAATAAAGCTTACTAAGGGAAATTGAGTGCTGAGTATAGGGGAACTTTCTTGACCTATCTTAGCAGTTTTTCTGTAAATCCAAGAATAGTAAAATTCATCTAAAAAGTAAAATTTATCAAATTAATACACAGAATAAAGAGTTCTGTAGGCCTGTTATAAAAATAATCTCTGCAGACCTATGATGAGCAAGTGCTTATATGACTATGAGATTGTGATCTTTCACAGGCATTTTTCTTGTCTACAATTTTAAAATGCATTTTTCAAGGCAGAGACAAGAAATGGTCAAACTCAAATTGCAAAAATGCATTTAATGAGAGCAACAGCAAAAGAAAAAAAATTCAGTGAAGGCAGAGATGCCATTTAAATAATGATAACTGAGAAAGGAATGCAATTCATTTTTTTCCAAAACAGTACTCATAAGTTATCCAGCTTCAAAAAGTTGCAAACGTGAATATCAGATTTTAGTGTGATTAAAAGCTCTGAAACTGAATGCCAGGAATTTAAGAACATTGAGTATAAAAAATACATATATTAAGCTATATAAAAAATCAAAGAGAGCCAAATTAAAAGAAAGACACCTTTAATAATATCCTAGAGGAAAGAAGTGAAACTTAACTTGTACAAACTATTTTCAGAACACATCTAGCAGAAAGAGAATGAAGATAATCTAAAATTTTTAACTCAGCCTATTCTATTCTATTCTAGCCTGCTGTGAGTTGTCAGAGGAAGTCACTCTGGGAATACATGTCAGTTCTAGTTATTCCCCTGGGTTGAGATTAGGAAATCATATATTGAAACAATGGACTAAAGGTCAGACATAAAGGACTCACTTACTTTACTTTGCTGCTTTCTTTCCTGGTCCTCTGTTAGGAAAATGAGATACAAACTTGAAGCCAAATACTTAAGGCTTAAAGAAGAAAAGAAAGCTCAGGCTGAGTCCATTTAGTAATACAAGGCTAAAATGTGTAGCTAATATATATTGGTCTAATGGCATGCAGGGGAATTCTGTTAAACAGTTAAATTCCATTTTCTTCATAAAGGTCGCAATAGCCCTAATATGAGAGATGTTAATATTGGTATCACTTTAGAGAAAGGTTAAGTAACTTACTCAAGTTCTCTTAGTAATGAATGGGGAATCTGGAGTTAGAATGCAGGTATTTCTATTATGGATGCTAGTTAAAAATTATTCTATGAGTAATTATCTGATGTAATTTATTGCTTATTTAGAGAAGTAACCTCGTTAAAAGATTTAATCCTCTTCTAAGAACTTATTGAATCAACTAATTATTTTGGTATAGAATAGTACAACTTCATTGTTGCTTAGAAAATATACAATATTTAATATATCTTGAAGGAAAACTTACAGACTTCTTTTTTCCTTTCAAATATTTTGAGCTGTTGATTCTACAGGAGACAGAGCCAAGTGAACTCTTGAACATACTAAACTCTTGAACAAGTGAACTCTTGAACAAGTCAACACACTAAAACCAAAATTTTAGTATGTTAAGATCTCTGAGTCTTTATTACTGATTTCCTTACCTCAATTGACCAGAGAAGCTCATGGGGAGATATTCAAATTACAGCTATTCACTGTAATCCTCAAAAACAGGTAAGATATTAACCCAACAATTCTGAAACAGCAATTATAACACATCATGACTTAAAGTCAAGTACATCAATAAATTTCCTAATTTATTAATCCCTTCCAGTTCCTAATAGGTGTTTCAAAACCTCTGCTTGACTATTGCCAGTTAAAGGATCCTTGCTGACACCTAGAGAAATCTATTTTATTGTTGAATAATCACAATTGTCAACATTTACTGAGAATTCATTGTGTATCAGGTACTGAACTGGACACATTATTTGATATTAAGAATTAACTGAATACCTATGAAGCCTAAAGCACTGTTGAAAGGGCGCTAGGGTTTCAAAAGCTAGCTAAACAAAACTGTGCCCTTATCATGATTATATTTTATTATTTAATCTTCAGAATAACTTAGGAGATAGTTACTATAGTTAGTGAATTTTTGTCTCTCTTTTAAAGTGAGGAAAGAGGGTTAGAGGTTTCCCCAAAACCACAATGGCCTATTATAACATACAGGTTTAGACAACCCGAGTATTATTGTAAGCTCTGTGAAATACAACCTATATATTTTTATAACCTAATGTAACCCATACCCTATCAACTATAGGGAAGATGGTGGGCCTTTCTCATCTGGCTAGTAAGGTATAGCATATACATCTTTTTTTTTTCCTTACCATATGAATTGTGCATGAAGACCTGAAAACTCCAGTTTGTGACTTTAAAAAGAAAAACTTCCAATGACCCAGAGGAGGATATTTTGGATTTATGAGATGGATCCTGCATTTGTATTTATGTGTATTGTATTATTCTTACTATTTACAATTTTGAAGGAAAAACTAACTTCTGTAGAGCAAAATACTCCTGTTTTTCATAGACTGCTCCTCAAAGTCACATGGAAAACACAATAAACCCAGCAAAGAAACACCATCTATATAGACATGTCCAGACAACTTGTGAGAGGCTTTACCTGAAGCTTTTAAAATAGATGACATTTAAGGAAAGTAGAGGTTGTAACAAGAATCTATTATAAGTCTCGAAAACTCAAGTGATAACACTAGCACAGGGACGTATGTCCTCCAATGGTGTCATTGAAAAATTTTCATTCTGATTTCTGCTTTAACCTCATTAGAATAATAGCTTTAAAAGCAAGACTATAAAATGACTAACAGCCAAGCATATTTAATCAGAAAAAGTGATTTCCAAATGCAAATACTATGGGTCTGTTTCTACCACCATAATAGGCAGCCTCTAAGATGATCCTGCCTCCTTGTGTTCATTCCCTTGTGCATTCCCCTCCCCTTGAATTGCTGGACCTAGTGACTTACTTCTAATGAATAGAATATGGCAAAAGTAACAGGATATCACTTCCACAATTAGTTACCAAAGACTGTGATGTTCTCCCCTCTCTCTCTCGATCTCTCTCTCTCTATCCGCCCCCCACCTCAGGGAAGCCAGATCTCACCTGGGCTGGCCCCACACAGAGGTCCACATGGCAAGAAACTGTTAGCTCCAACAAATAGCCAGCAAGAATCTGAGCCATGGCAATGGCAAAGTGAATGAGTTTGGAAGCAAGTTTTTCCCAAATTGAGCCTTGAGATAATGAGATTTTGGATGGATGAAAACCATTTGCATTTCACAAGTCTTTCTCCACAGAAAGTCAGCCTCAGCCAAGACTTTCCTCTCTTTAAAGAAAATTCAAGGCACAAAGCCCTGGGGATACAAGTGTAAACATTCCTAATCTAATAACCCAAAACATAGTTAATGAGCTCTTGTTTATCTTTCGGAAATTATAAGCTTAATTAAGTGATTGTATAACAATATAAAATTTTCCAATAGTATGTAGTGACCAAACTCAGTACATAGATATAATAATTTTCAATATTCTACTTTGGCAAAACATACCAGCAAACTACACACAGTATACCTCTTTACTGACACAATTTTTGCAATTCCAGCTCCTTTGCACTTATCTAGGTTTGAAATCCCCACAGGCATGGACTAGAGTAAAATTTAAGAACTATATAATGTGCTATATTTGATGAGCAAGGAGAAAAAATAATATTCATATTTCTCTATTAGAAAGGAATGCTAAATCCAGAAGCCCATAAAGTCATATCCAGTAGTTATTGTGTAGTGTTTCCACACATCCCTGAAGCTGTGTCTACCTTTTGGAAAAAAAAATGCCTATAGCAATTTCCAGGGAATATACCTGTGTAGGGAAAATTTAACACTAGGAAAAAAGAGTAAAAATTTCTCAAACTGAATTTTCAGGACATGATTTTTTTCAACTTTCAATGTTGTCTTAAAAATGTATAGAAATTTTTATCTCTTAGAGATAAAATTTATCTCTTAGAGATAAGATGTCAGATATCAAGTAAGGATTCATATTCTTCCAAATATGTGAGCACACCTGACATAAACATAACTGAAACTACAACTCTGAGTAAGAACCTCAAGGAAGAGCCAGGTGCGGTGGCTCACACCTGTAATCCTAGCACTTTGGGAAGCGAAGGCGGGCGGATCACAAGGTCAGGAGTTTGAGACCAGTTTGGCCAACCCCATCTCTACTAAAGATACAAAAAATTAGCCAGGCGTGGTGGCGGGTGCCTGTAATCCCAGCTACTTGGGAGGCTGAGGCAGGAGAATCACTTCAACCCAGGAGGTGGAGATTGCAGTCAGCCAAGATCATGCCATTGCACTCCAGCCTGGGCAACAGGGCGAGACTCTGTCTCGAAAAAAAAAAAAAAAGAACCTCAGGAAAAAAATTATTCTGCAATTTTCAACCATTCCACAGAATTTAGATAAAACTCTGGAATCATCCATCAGTGAGAGAAGTTATTTATTTTTACTGTCTAGAATGATTAAGGCAGTGGCTCTTAATTATTTTACTATTCATCAAAATCAGTTTATTCACAAAAAGAGATGGGATATGATAGGATTGGAAGAATCAAGAGTTTCTTTTTTTCTTTTCTTTCTTTCTTTCTTTTTCTTTTTCTTTTTTTTTTTCTTTTCTTTTCTTTTTTTTTTGAGACAGAGTTTCACTCTTGTTGCCCAGGCTGAGTGGAATGGTGCAGTCTCGGCTCACTGCAACCTCTGCCTTCCGGGTTCAAGTGATTCTCCTGCCTCAGCCTCCTGAGTAGCTGGGATTACAGGCAGGCGCCACCATGCCCAGCTATTTTTTTTTATTTTTAGTAGAGACGGGGTTTCTCCATGTTGGTCTGGCTGGTCCTGAACTCCTGACCTCAGGTGATCCACCCACTTGGGCTCCCAGAGTGCTGGAATTACAGGCGTGAGTTGCTGCATCAGGCCAAAATCAAGAGTTTTCCAGTCAAAGAACTTGCATACTGCAGCACACCTGCTTCTGAATCCGTTTATTACCAAAGTCCATCCAGACTTTTACCCAGCCAGTCATTCGCTCACTCTCCTGGGTCAGAGGAAGAAATGTCGCCTCTCTTTTCAAAATCCAGCCTTACGTATTTATTTCTGATCCTATCTCCCTGATCAACTTATCAGTTAGTATTTCTCTACTCTTCCAAAACCTATCTCTTTCTGTGAAAAGTATAAAGTGTTATACATTTTTCAATTTTTTAAATCCAAATGCCATTAAATATGACAAAAACAAATTCTAGGACTATAAAAAATACTGTTTTAATTTCAGACCACTAACCTACCCTCTAAGACTCATATGCTGCCTTGTGGAAATATAGTGCCCTCATCCCAACCCCACATTGAGTATCACTGTGCTAAGACCTTTCTTGGCTATCCCTCACCTCATATAGCTTTAAGATTCTTACTTTTTATCAAGTTCTTCCCTCAATCTACCAATCTCTTAAGGCTCCCTCACTCCTCTACCAAATATTTCCTAGATACTGCTTTTTCCACAGACTACTAATACCTGTCCTCTCTTTGACCTTCTGCTCAAAATAATAGCCAGTCAAAGATGTCCATGCTCAAATCTCTGGAACCAGTGAATACATTCGGCAAAGAGAAATTAAGGTGGTAGATAAAATAAAGGTTTCTATTCACCTGGTCTGAAATTAGGGAGAATGTCCTGAGTTATACAGGTGTGCCCAATGTAAATACAATGCTTATTAACAGTAGCAGAGGGAAACAGAAGAGAGAACAAGGGAGATGGCAGTGTGAGGAAGACTCAGCCCAATGCTACTGGCTTGAAAATAGAGGAAGAAGGCTGTGATCCAAGGAATGTAGGCAGAGTTCTACAATCCAAGGAACGTAGAAAAGGCACGCCAATATCTTAATTTTAGCCCAGTGACACTCATTTCAAACTTTTGGCATCCAGAGCTTTTTTGTCTTTTTTTTTCTGAGTAAAGCATATCTTTAATAGTGACTGGAAGGAGAACTAATATCTATTGTCTCTTCTGCCACCATCAAGCTCAAGGTAGGACCATATTAACTTATACCAACAGATGCTTCCCAAAGCCATTTGGATTTGCCACAGCAGGGAGGAAGTCATGGGAAAAGAAGAGGCAGGGCTCTATGCCCTATGATGGAGTATAGAGGCTGGTGGCTGGAAAAAAAACAAGAACAATAGAAATGAGGTCATCCTCCTTATGATGCCATGCCAAGCAGAAGACCTCTGAAAATTTCCCCAGTCATTAGAACATTCTTCTTCACAAATGACACCACCTCCTCAGCTTTGCTCTTGACCTTAGTAGGTATCTGATTGCTTTTATGGATCTTCAGCTGTTCTTTTGCTTTCTTCATGTCCTCCTCTAGTTGTTGCCAGTCATCTTTGATGTACTCAGTATGACTTGCAAGCTGAAGGAGAAAAAATTCACCCCCCCACAGCTGTTGCAGCCAATTTTCAACCTTTTGGAATATGAACTCCATGCATCATCTAGTGAAGCTTCCAATTAACAGCTGGGTTGTCACGGGATACTTTTTAGCCAGAGATCCAGATTCCTGTCCAAACATCTTATTCCCCCATGGCTGATTTTGAGCAAATTCTGCAAGATCCAGAGACTCAAAATTTCCCTCAAAGTGTCCTTGACTGGACATGGCCATTTCAGTGAGCTCATCTCCCAAAAGCACATGCAGAGGATCCACGCTGTAGGATGCAGAGTGGCGTGCAGTTGCCACACCAGGTGGTTTTTGGCACGTGAGGGCCCAGAACTCAATATTAAAATTTTGTATTTTTAAGTCATTAACGTTGTGGTAATTTATTATAGTAGAAAACAGAAAATAAATACATACTTCCTCTGCAACCTTCAACATGGTACCCTACTTACACAGGAGAGTACTCTTAAGCTAGACAAATTTTTATTTGAATATCTTTGCTGTAGTGACTAGGTAAGTGGCTCTGGATAAGTCATCAAATCTCAGTGAGCCATGGTTTTCTCATATATAAAATGCCCCCAGTACACAGCACAAATTCAAAAAAGATTATTCAAGTGATTTCACACTGCAAAAAAATAGACTTCAATAAAATAATCTACCCAAGACAAAAAATATAAACAATAACAAAATCAAGCCCCAGAGAAGAGGAACAGGATTAGTATCTGGAATTGTTATAACATATTAACAAAATTTCCAGTTTTTAACCAAAAATGAGATTTTTTTAAAAAAAAGTGTGACTCACATACATGCAAAAAAAAAGCAGGCAACCAAAAACTGCCTGTGAGATGGACCAGATGTCAGCTATAACAAAGTCTTAAAAGTATCTATTATAAATATATTCAAAGAACTAAGGAAACTATGCTTAAAGAAGTAAAAAAAAGGATATAATGACAGTGTCTAATTAAATACAGACTATCAATTAAAAGGCAGAAGTTATTAAAAAACAAGGACCAAAATTAATTCTGGAGTTGAAAAGATAAAGAAAATGAACAGTTTATTAGAAGGGCTCAACTGTAGGTTTGAACTGGCAGAAGAAATATTGAGTGAATCAATAACGATTACAAAACCCAAAGAACAGACAGAAAATAGAACAACAATAAAAACAAAAATGAACGGAGCCTCAGAGAAATGTGAGATACCTTTAAGTGAGTGTACCAACATACATATAAAAAGAGTACCAGAAAAAGTGGAGAAAGATAAAGGAGAAGAAAAAATATTTAAAGCAATAATGGTTGAAAACTTTCCAAATTTGCTGAAAAATCTTTTATCTACATATGCAAGAATGAACTCTAAGTAAGATAAACACAAGAAGATTAAGGCTCAGCATAGTAAAAATGGTTACATGGGATTAAACAGAAAAATCTTGAAAACAGCAAGTGAAAAACCACTGATCATATAAAAAGAAAACCACAGTAATATACAGAAGTAATCCCTTATGAAAAACAAAAGAGGCCAAAAGACAGTTGAATGACATATTCACCATGCTGGAGGGAAAAAAAAGTTGTTAGCCAAGAATCTTATATCCAGCAAAAATATTTTTCAAAATTAAAGGTGAAATAAAGACATTCTCAGATAAACAAACATTAGAGAAAGACAAATCAAAACCACGTGAGATATCATTTTATGCTCACTAAGATAGCTATATAAAAAGGACAATAATGATAACAAGCCTTGGTTAGTATGTGGAAGCTTCATACATTGCTAGTAGGAATGTGAAATGGTGGCCTCCTGCCTTCAACAACTAGAACACGAAATAAAATATATGAACCAACTGTTATCAGACATTGTATAAATGTCAATATAGGACTATAATTCTCCAGAAAAGTAAAATCAAAGAGATGAACCAAATTGCCCATGTTACTGTCTGGTGGTAGTCTCTAGGCTGCAGAACAGGGCGGGGGAAATTCAGCGAAAAATAAGAAAACAGGGATCAGAGTTTGGGAAGGTTGAAGCAGGTAGACTTACTGGGACAGAGTACCAAAAAGGAGAAAAGTGGGTTGAAAAACAAATCTTTGGAGGGATTCCCTCCAGTCTTTAGCTAAGTTCTGATGTACACATATCTGAGAAGAAAATATCTAAGGCGGGAGAAAGACTCACTGGAAAACATAGAACAAACAAATCCTGGAACTTACACAACACTGAGAACAGCACATACCCCATAAACTGCAGTGGAAAGCCTGCCTGGCAAGACAGAGAAGGACATTAAAACAACTACTCTAAATATGTTTTTATATATCCCAGAAGAATGACCATGTTAAGAAAAGAAATAGAAAGTAAACAAAATACTCAGGTATAACTTTTAGAGATGAAAAATACAATATCTGAAATTTTAAAATTACATGATGGGATTAACGGCAGATTAGATGTTGCAAAACAAAAGATCAGTGTACTCAAAGTTATAGCAATAGAAACTGTTGAAAATGTAAAAGAAAAAAGTGGAAAATAAATAAATAGATAAAATTTCTATGTAAAAATGTCAAGAAGTCAAACACATATAAATGGAATCTCAGCTAGAAAGAATATAACAACAAAGGCAGAAATAATATTTGAAGAAATAATGGCCATTTTTCCAAATTTGATCACACTTAATCTAAAACGTTCAATAAGCCCCAAGTCCCATAAATATTTAAAAACTACATCAAGGCTTATCATAATAAAATGACTCAATACTAGTGATAAGGAAACATGCTTAAGAGCATTCAGTGATAATACATATTAGAGAAACAAAGGTAAAAAGAAGTACAGCAGATTTCTCATCAGAAACCATGCAAGTCAAAGTATAATTAAGTAATATCTCTAGAGTATTGACCATAAAAGTCAACTATCAACCTAGAATTCTATACTAGGCATTTTTCTTTCATTAAGACAAAATTAAAACATTTGCAGGCAAAACAAAAAGTAGAAGAAAATGTGTCTCAGTAGATAAGTCCCACAAGTGATGTTAAACGAAATTCTTTAGGCAGAAAAAAAATAATCCAAATGAAAATATGGATTAATACAAAGGAATGAAGAAGGTCATAAATAGTTTTTATACGGGTAAATATAGAAGCTAATTTTTCTCATTTTTTATTTCTTGAAAGATAATTCACTATTTAAGCAAAAATAACAATGTATTTTGAGTTTAAGAATAGATATAGAAATAAAATACATAATAACAATAGAATCAAAAGTCAGGGAGAAATAGAAATTTACTATCATAAACTTCTTATATCATATGTGATGCAGTATAATATTCTTGGGACATGGGCAATAACAACGTAAAGAAGTATATTTTAAACCCTAGATCAACTATTCATAAAATAATTGTCATAGCTAGTAAGCCAAAAATAGAGATAAAATTGAATGCTAAAAATTCAATTAATCTAAGATAAGAATACACACACACATATATTACATTATTTTTAACAAAATGTCAAGTTAATTTAGTGAAGAAATAATATTTCTTCTAGTAAAATGTTCTCAAACGACTGGGATATTCTTACATAAAAAGAACATTCACCCTTATGTCACAACATATACAAAAATTAGGCCCAAATGAGTCATATATCTAATATGAGGGCAAAAAATATAAAACTTTTAGAAAAATGTTTGTGACCTTGGAGGAGGTAAAATATTTTTGATAGAACACAAAGAATATAAACCATAAAAGAAGAAATTGATAACTACACTGTTAAAATTCAAAATGTTTCATCTTCCAAAGACACTCAGCAGAATACAAATTTCAGACACATATTGAGAGAAAATATTTATTATACACATATACGATAAATCACTTGTGTCCAGAAATTATAAATAACTTTTACGACTCCATAATGAGAAGATAAACAACCTGAAAATCCAAATGGACATAGATGTGAAGGATATTTCACCAAAAAAGATACTAAAATGTCAGATAAGTACATAAAAATGCTCAACATTATTAGTCATTAGGAAAATGCAAATTAAAACCACAAAGAGATGCCACGATACACCCACTGGAATAGCTAAAAGTCAAAAGACTGACAATACTATTTTGGTGAAGATGTGGAGGAATTAGAACTCTCATACATTGCTGGTGGAACTGCAAAATTATATGGCCACTTTGGAAAATAGTCAATTTCTTATACAGTAATTGACAAGGTTAAACACACACTTATGACCCATAATCTCACCCCTAGATAGTTCCTAAAGAGAATTGAAAATACATGTCCACACAAAGACTTGTACAAGAATGTTCACAGCAGGACTATTCAAAATAGTTACAAATTAGAAACAATCCAAATGTCTATCAATAGGTAAATGGATAAGCAAGTTGAGATATATCTATGCCATGGAATCCTACTCAACAATAAAGAGGAAATTAGTAATATGCCCAACAGCATGAAGGAATCTCAAAAGTATTTTGTCAATTGAAAGAAATCAGACACAAGAGACTACATTCTGTATGATTCCTTCTATGTGAAATTCTAGAAAAAGCCAAAGTGTAATGCCGTGGTTGCCTGTTTCCAGGGGTTGCAGAGGAGAGACTGCAAGGCGGTACTAAGAAACATTGTGCAAGCATTCTACATCATGATTGCTTTGGTGCTTATGTCACTGCGTAGAGTTATCAAAATCCATCAAATAAACACATAAAATTGGTGAATTTAGTAAAGCTAATTTGAAGAGCACATATAAATTACTAAGTCCCTTCCCCAGCATATTAAACTGGAATCTGAAGAAGGTGGAGCCCAAAACCTAAAGTTTTTAAAACCTCCCCAGTTTTATGATGTAGACAGATAAGTGGTTATGGAGAGAGTCTAACTTAAGGAACAATTCAGTCATCAGACCCCATTCTGGTAATTAGCAAGAGAAACTTCATTGGTAGGCCCCAGGCAACTCTAGACTCATAACCTTGAGTTATGTTTAAATGCTCCTACTTTGCAATTTGATTAGTCAGAAAACTGGAACATGACTGTGTTTTCAGAGGGCAGGTCAGTAGGCCAATTTGGGCAGCAGGAGAAGACACCAACACAGGAAATAAAGAGAACTGCAAATTGTTTTTTACTACTCCGACTACTATTTACTAATCTCAAATGTATCTGTAGTTTAAGACAAAAACCTTGAAGGCAAGTAAATTTCAAGAAAGAAAAAAACAGAGCTGAAATGGTAGAATAATGGACAATAGAGTTAACCTTTCACTTTGTCTTCCCTTTCAAATATGCCCCATAAGCAGTTAATTCATAGTGAATGCCACATGAGTGCAAATCCCTGATCTAGGCATCATAAGGTAGTGATTCTGAAAGCTAATTCATCAGACGGGGAAAATAAAAAAAGAAATAAGATCCAAAGTCCTGACCAAGAAATTGTATTGATGGTCTAAGGTGAGATCAGGGAATCTATTTTTAAGTGTGTCTGCTGATTGTGATTTAAACCCAGGTAGGAACTGCCACAAGTGCTACAAGAACATGTTAAGATAAATTCCATATTGTCTCTGATCAGCATCAAAGACAAAATGAGCTGAATCATAATGACATCCTTTTCCGTCTATTCAAATTGGGTAGTGCCATACAGACGCAGACAGCACCAGAAATCCTTTTCCTCAATGTTTTAATACCCTAAAGGCAGGTAAAGACCATGAAAGTGGAATCTTTCACGTTTCAGATGTCCGGTATCTGAAACATGAGACTATAGGTGTTAGAATATAGGAAGGGTTTATAATTACCAACTTTAAGGTAAATCAACCTCCTCAGTTGTTATGGAAATCCTGACCAATTCTGTATCAGAGATCTATACACACGATACCTGTTGATATCTTACAAATAATATTTATTCTCCAGAGTATTCTAAACAAAATTCCTTCTCCTTCCCAAGCAACATTTCTCAGTCTTTTTCTAGCAGTGTAATTTTCCACAAAGCTCTCATTAATCTGTCTGTAGAGCAGTAGTGTTTTAAGAAAAGTATAGCCTGTCTGCAGGTTTGTAATAATTTCCTGCCCTTGGGAGCTGAGAAAAGGCCAAGTCATATATCTGTAAGTCATGACCATTATGCATCAGAAAATGCTTATCTGCCTTGCTGGCCTTCTGATTATAATCCATTTTTGGAGATGTCACACTTCAATGAAAGTCCACATTCTCTTTAAAATAAAATCTTTGCAATTTTTCCTGAATGCTGCAAACTTTAGAGTTTTCCCCATTTTTTTTCCATAGTGGAAACATGAAACTAAAATAACTCATATTTTATTTTTAAAAAGTATATGAAACATAACACCGTGGTATATAATCTTATGTTTCAAGGATATAGAGGTCACTTTCCCAAATGTGTGTTCTGAAAGAAAAAGACCCCAAAAGGTACACAGTAAAAACCAAGTATTTCATTTGCTTTTAAATGAAACTGTAGTCTTCTTTCCAAATAAAGCAATTGCTCCATTTCAACCATTTTTTACACGTGTGTTTGATGTGTTTGTTGTGTTTCAACTAAAAAAGCAGGAGAATAAAATTTTCTTGGATCAAGTTTTAGCTAAAGGGCTGGGGGTGGTGTTTCTCTGCAGTGAGGAGTGATAGAAAGTTGGCCTAATGAGTGAGAAGATCACAGAGTTGCGAGAAGCAATAGATAAAACAGCACACAGTAGTAAGGGACAAGCAATTGAAATGCAAGAACTGTAAAAAAAAAAAGATGTAGTCAGAATCCAGTAAAAAGGGCTAGCAAATATATAAATAAATATGGTACACCTAGTATGTCTAGTCAAAGACTCCTAACAAGGCAGAATGTGAACTTACAGTAAAGGCTTTCCAAGATGAGGAAACCAGGGTGGAGGCTCAGGATAATGCCAACACTAGGCAAAGGACTAAAGTCAGGAGGCTCTCACTCACCCTGAAAGAATAGTGTGTCTTTAGTGGAGCTAAGGTACCGCCAAGGGACCTACTAGTGAGACCCAGTGATGACTCACCAGGCAAGCAGGCATTTTGTGATTAGACAAATAAGACAACCTAAATGGGTTGTTGTTCCAATTTTACAGATGAATTGTTCAGATACAGGCTGATTGAAGAGCATCAACCCTTACCAAACTAGGTAAAATTTACTGATTCTAGACTATCAAAGGGAAATCAGGGGTCACATAATGAGGCTACATGCTCTCTCTACTAGCTATCAAGCTTTTTGATGTAGTTATTAAAAAGTTATCATACCAAAACACTGTGCTAGGCATGAAGGAAAATAAACAACTGTATAAAACTTGGTTCCTACAGTTGAGGAGGTTACAATTCAATACCTATATATGTATATGATAATATGGTTCAGTAGTAAGTTTGAATATTGACTCCACCACTTATTAAACTTAGGAATTTGGAGTAATTATTGAACTTCTCTGCTTTTCAAGTCAACCTTTCAGGGCTGTTTTTGGAACTAGAGACAACATATATTAATAGCCTAGTACCTACCAAACCCTCAATAAATGGTAGCTATTTTTTGTGCTCATACACATAAATTATTCTCAGTTTTACTTTCTTCAGATAAAAAAAAATTTAAGAATTAGAACAGATCCATCAGTTAACTATTAGAATTTTAATAATTATAACTTAGAATTTTAGAGAAATAGCACTCATTCCAAGTTGACTTCTACATAAATATAGTTCTATAGATAAAGCCTGGTGTGCAAAGAGAATGACATTGTAAAGTCCCATGTTAAGATAAAGAAATGAGCTGGAAAAGAGGTTAAATGAGTTATCCGTTAATGAATTATCATAGGAAATATTTAAAACTAAGCATGAAATAAAAGAATGCAAAGAAATAAAGAATAACTAGAAATGTAAAATAATTTTCTCATGGGAGATACTTTAGCTGATTTTCCCAAAGAAGGTGACTCTAAACCGTGAAATAAATCTCTGAAAGAGAGAGCAAGTTAAAAGGAAACTAAGATTAATGCCAATATCTCTTAAACAAAACAATCATGGTAAATCTAGAACTCTTATCTCATGTTTTGTTTTGTTTTTCCATTACCCCACAAACTTACTAATTAACAGCACAGATTCTGATGTTGCAGTCCCTAACTTCAAATCCCAGCACTGGCACTGCAGCACTTTTTGACAAGTTACTGTACTCCGTACATTGAAAGGGGAATAATATTAGTACCTATCTTATCACATTGTTGTGACAATTAAATGAGTTATGTGCAAAGTTCTTAGAACAGTGCTTATATATAGTAAGTCCTAAACAGGTATTATCAGACGCAGGTACATCATCAGCATCACAATCATTATTACAATTATTATTATAGTGAGCATAATTCTGAGAAGCATCTTAAATAAAGCTTTCATAGAGACAAGAAGAAATGATTCTTTTGCACAATGATTAACTTGATTGTGATTAGTTAATTTGCTTGGTAAGAATACTATGCCAATTTATTCAAAGTCAAAGGTTTGATTCTCCCCTGGGTCTGCTGGCTATATTTCATAACAACAGATTTATCCTAATACTGACCAGCTTATTCTATGAATTCTGGTTTTAACGAAGTGGCTGGTGAAGAAATTGATCAGCCCAAATTAATGAATAATATTAGATAAGTCTATAAATACATCCCTACTGATCTTAGATTAGTCATATTGTCTTAATATATTATAAATTCTAGGACTGGAAAAATGTTTAAAGATGATGTGGAGCCAAATATTTTATTTTAATAGAAAAAAATAGGCTCCAAGACAAAAAGCTACTAAGTAAATAAGATCATATAATTGCTTCATGGCATAGCTAGAACTCTTAGTCCACGTTTTGTTTTGTTTTGTTTTGTTTTTTCATTACCACCACATTTTTTCAATATATAATATTTTTATTCTCTATGAGAACTTCCTTTTTTAAAAGTCCATTTTTCTATCAGTATAGTTCATTATTCCATTCTCAGCAGCTCATTCCAAGTGGTCAAATATGGAGCTTTGAAGGCCTTTGTAATGACTTTGTTATGAAATAAATAGGGGGTCATTTTAAGGCATTAGGCATGTGAGGTGATGAGTGACACTACTTGACTTAATTTCTTAGAAGATCACTTTGCCTTCTATGTTAAGACTAGATGGCCAAGAGGTCCGATTCTGAGGTTATCACAATAAGCCAAGGGAAAATGATCGTGGCTTGGACCAGGATGATAGCAGAGGAAGTGGTGACAAGTTGTCCACATCTGAATATGTTTTGATGGTAGTGTCAAGACGAGTTCCAGACACATTGCATGTGAAGTGTGAGAGAAAGTAACAGACATGGAGACGAGGGCATGTAGGTCTTCATTTAAAAAGTCCTAATTTTTTTTTAACCAAATCTCTCCTGCTGCTATCTACACCATGATTTACTATATGAAAAGAAGTTCATGACCACCTACACAATGCCCTTCTTGTGACTCTGGCAGTAGCCAGAATCATACCGTGTGTTACGAAAGAAACCAAACAATGGCTTCTGATCTCAAAAAACTTCAACATTTGGTAGATAAAATCCCTTAGAAAGGGAGGGAGATATATTTGACAGCATTACTAATGTAGCTAGAAGTTGTAGCTTGAGGTTAAACTGTAGCTATTCTGGACATGTCTGCTGACATGAGGGAACCAAGCCCACATGTCCATTGACATGAGTGACAGAGCAGCATTTAGGATAGAATCCATCCCCGATAAAGAGAGGGAATCAGCCACCTGAAGGGAAGGCTACTTCTAAGGATGGCATCGTCTCACTACTTGGCTCTGTCCCCAGCTCAGCTCCTTATGAACTCATATCTGAATGTCATGGAAGGGAGAGAAAATTGTGAGCCAAAAAATTTTAAAGGCTGCTTTCATTAAAATTCTCTAAGATTCGAGATTAAACGCCAACACCATTTTGATAGACACTCGTGGAAAGTAGCCCAGAAGAACAGAGAGACACTTTCCTTCACTTGGCAAAGAGTATGGTATAGCTTTGTCATCTCAATGATTCCATGCATCAGTGACCGTAACTATTAGCACAGAAAGCAGTGTCCTCAGAAGCTCAGGTGTTCATTGAGACAATAGCTCCCTCGGATATGTGGAATCCAGTAGAGGTGGGGCAGGTAAGAGGAATAAAAGAGGTAGACATCACATGTAGCTGACCTGTTCATAGACAAGCACATAAACAAACACATGTGCGACTCTCAGAAATACTTGTATGAGTTCAATTGCATTATTAGGAGGTAAAATAAAAGAGCTAGAAAGACTTAAGTTGCCATTATCATTCTTGTCCAGCTCACAATGGTGACAGGATACATTTTTCACACTCCAATTACACACCGCACAATTTTGTGTAATTATGTTTCATAATTAGGTAGTCTATATGCCCCGAAGCTCACAGGTTTGCCACATCTTTTCAATATCTCCAGAACCCTTTTTTGAGGATATTATAAAAGGAATAAATTCTGCAAAACAGACTACTGTTGTTTTGTAAATTATAAATATGAGAATTTTTTAAAAACAAGCAACCTTCCTAAAAGCAGTCATGTTACAGAGCAATGGAAAGGCCTGAATGTCTGGACACCCTCTGTCCTGGTGCATATATTACTCTGTGTAACACTTCAACAATACTGCTTACCTTCTTTTCACTCCTAAAAGAAATAACATTTCTTATTTAAATACTCCTTAGAAGACCTGCTTTCTTATGAACATTTTATTGGCTTCCAAAAACTGCACCATGTTGAAGACGCCAAGTTGACTCTGTGTGCCAGTGTGCCAATTTTGCCCACATTTAATAATTATCTTAATCATGAATTACAATTTGACCTTGGCTCCACACCTCCTCATGCTTGGAGAGTATCTCTGTTTCTTTATTCATTTATTTGTATTTCTATCCTATTTTCTTTTAAAAAGTCCCTCAAGTGTCTTATACCTCTAATTTCAGGTGATGGCAAAGTTAGTGTTCCTAGAATTGCAGTCATTATTATAAACACAAGGACAAAAGGGAAAGGTCCAGTGAGCATGTCCACACCAGTACTACCTAGCTTCCAGAGCAGAAGATCAGTGGTTGAGGCTCTTTAATGGGTGTGATATGATTGTAGTGTACCCAGAAGAAGAGATGGGAAGAGACAAAGAGCTTCGGAAGATGAGTGTGATAGGGTTGAAGATCAGTAAAGATCAGGTAAACTCAGTAGGTTCCTGGGGAAAACTGAGCAGGTTATTTATGCAATATTAGAAGCTGGCAAATTAAACAAGATATCTGTTAGGTCAAAAGCCCTATGAAAAATCCAGTGATGATGACCATCTATTGCCAAACAAGTACACGTGATTTAGAAAGAGAACAGAAATTTTGGGAGCCACCACCAGCAATTCCAGAAATCACATGCAGAAAGCATCAAAATTAGCTATCTCATAAATGTGACAAGATGATATATTATAAAATTCCACAGTTCCGTTGCATATCTTCACTTGTCTTTAGCCAACTCTGTAAATTTCAAATCTTAATACATATTTTCCATTTTCACTGCTGTCCTTTATCCACTGATATCTCAATAAGATGTTCATGTTTAGGAGGTAGGAAGACATAAGCATCGGCTTGGGTGTGGAGAAAGCAAGTGAAACGAATAATTCTCCAGATCAAGACATATTCTGCCAAACAGCTTTCCATCTTTTTTTTTTTTCTGAAAAAGTATCAGTATCTTGTTATATGCTGCTCTGCTCTTGTTTTTCTTTCTTTCCTTTTTTTTTTTTTTTTTTTATAGTTAAGGTCTCACTCTGTCACCAAGACTAGAATGCAGTGGCACCAATCATAGCTCACTGTAACCTCAAACTCCTGGGCTTAACCAATCCTCCCTCCTGAGCCTTGTTCTGCTGTTGTTTAGCAGGAAGATGCCAATATTCACATTAACAGTGAGATCCAGAACTAATGTTCAGCTCAGCACTGCACATCTCTCCCACTTTGGAGTTAGCAAGTCTAGTTTTGTGAAAGCAAGCATATGTGTTTCAAAGTGTGTGTGTGCATGTGTGTGTGTGAGAGAGAGAGAGAGAGAGAGAGAGAGAGAGAGAGAGAAACTTACCTTCCAATGAGTGAGAACTCGCCCACGACGCCAAGGCGCCGCATGGCGCTCAGGAGTCCTCGCACTGTCATGCCTTCACAGAAGCAGACCACCACTCTAGCCTTGGGAAGCCTCTCTCGGAGTTTGCGCAAGAGTCGGTCAAAGCTCTTCTCCCCAGCGTTGCTGTAGATTTTGTCAGAATGGGCGATACAGAGGCCTTCCTGGGCAGCCAGCTCTTTGAAAGCGTCCATTCCGCTCTCCCCATAATTCCCTGTCCAGAAACAATCAGCAGATGTTCAAGACAACTGTGGCAATAACACTACTTACACAATGGAATAACAACTTGTTAGTCACAGGAATGGAGAGAACGGACTTGCCAAATAATTTGTAAATATGGCTGAGACTGACGGAAGATCTGGATGGATTAAAGAGAGTAATCAAATGTAACCAGACAATCAACTCTGTGGAAATAACGAGAGACGATCTGAGCTAGGGAACCTATAATGAGACATGTTTTATAAAATGAAGGATTGCTGCCCTATTTTACAACCATTATTAATAGTTCTTGTCCCAGATTTTAACCACGTAGGAGAGATCAGTGCATTGGACTAGGGAGGTCAAAGGAGCATGAAGAGAAGCTCTGTTTATTTGAGGACTTGCATCAGCTGGCTGCCAGGTTAAGAGACAGACACTCTTGGTAACATAAAGTCCTGCAACGTTTCCACGAAGAATGAGCAAGCAAAATAAATGGAACACCTGGCCAGGCCAGAGATCAGCAGACCAGAAACAGCTATAGGGCTTTGTCAAAATCCACCATCCTCTGACAAAGTGATGGGATTATGAGAGGTTTGTGTCTTATATTTTGATTTTTGTTTTATAGCATTCTTGTAATAAAATACACTTCAAAAAACTGAAAACTCATAGAAATCAATGAGATAAATATTACACTTTACAAGTTCCCTGTCTCTCTATTCCACTGATGATTTTAGCCCCCATTTTATGAGCCTCTGTGTCTCTATTCCTCTCCCGAAGTTTGAGGATTTTCACTTGTATGTGGATGATACATCTGATACCATGCCCTCACGATTTCTCAAACTCTCCCCTTCCACTGATGTTTCCTGTAACCCACACATGTCCAGGGTCACACTTTTGACCATGTTATCACAGATGTTTCTAATACCTCTGAATGTGGATGTCAAACATCCATCTCTGCTACCTCATCTTATCATACAAACTCATATATTCTACTACCTCTACTGCAGCACTTTTTCAACCTCATCAAAATTTCAAATCCATTAACCTTCCTATTTTTTCCTTCCATCCTCCCTCTTGTTTCCTTCTTAGCCCAGCTTAGATTTCATAGTCTACCTCTTAATTGCTTCTTGCAAATTCCTTAACTCTCTTATGTTTTCCTGACATTAATGCTAGTTAAACCCAACCATCTACCTATTCCATGTCTACACCTGAGCACCTAAATATGGCTAAAAAAGACACAACCTTGCTGAATGGTTTTATTTAAAATTCATCAGCACATGTACCAAAAATGATATTCAATAGCACAAGGAAATTATACTACATCACCCCTGTAAGTAAATTTTCTTACAGAAGGAATAAATTATTTCATTAATGATTAAATATTAAATATTTCATTAATCATTTCATCCTTACTCTTCTCTCTTCAAATTTCCAAACTACCAAAACCATTCCCACTCCCCATTTTGGCTTGGTTGTCATTTCATATTTCAATAAGAACATAGAAACAGTCTACCAAAAACTAGCTTTGCCTCCCACTACAACATCTATAAACATTTCTTCACTGGCATTTATATTATCTATCAATCTTTCTGTTGTAAATTTGAAGTGTGTCTACTTTAGGTTAGAGCCAACTCCTGCTCACGGACACTAGATCCCATCACTTTTTGTCTATTCAAGGAGTTTCTCCTACAGTTGTTCCCTCTCTTGGATAATCAATTTCTCCTTCCTATCAGTGTCAATCAAAAAGAAAAATACCCCTGACCTCATTGTCCCTCTTGAGTTACTCATTCATTGCTCCTGTTTATAGCAACAATAGTTGCCTAGGTCAATGTATTTGCTTCTTCTATTCTTTCCTTTTTAGCATTTTTTTCTCTTTGTCTTAGTTGACTTCTAATTGATATACAAAAACTGTACACATTTAATGTATACGTCTTGATGAGTTTGGACATAGGCATACCCATTACCTCATAATCTTCTCTTATCAAAATCTTCTTTTGTCAAGATCAGCAATAATCTCCCTGTTTCCATATCTTGTGATCTGTTGTCTTCATCAACCACCCAGTTGCATTCAACAGTTGGCCATACCCTCCTGGAAACATTTTATTCTCTTTATTTCTGTGATACAACCTTCTCCTGTTTTCCTCACTTCACTGGTCACTCCTCAGTATGTTTGTTGGATTTTCTTTCTCTGCTCCAATTGTCATACCAGGACTCAATCCTGAGAAATTTTGTCTTTTTCATCTATACTCTCACCATAGGTACTCCCACTCTGTCACATGCATTCAAATGATATTTGAATCCCTGTTGAATCCCAAATATAGATCTTCAGACTGAACTGCCCTTGGGATCAAAAGATTGGTTTATTTACCTACCTGATGGTATCCATTTATAGACACTTTAACATATTTGAAATAAAATTATTTCCTTCTCTACCTTGCAAATCTACTTCTTCCAGACATCTATTAGTACATGATGCCATTACCCACCAAGTTGTGCAATAACAAAATTTGAGAACTACTTTTATTTCTGTCTTTTTCTCACATTCCAGGACCATTCCTGTAGCCCTTATCTCTAGAACATTCTTAATCCTTTCTCTCTCCTCTGTTTCAGCCTCTGCCACTCTAAACTGTGTCTTAGGTCAGGTTATTTAAAAACAGAGCCTAATATGAAGATTATTGTTCAAGTAATTTATTGAGGAAGAGAAGGCAAAGAGAAGCAGGGAAGAACAGTAGGAAAGAGCTAAGCAGAAACATCATTTAAGCTAAAGAATAGCTTCAGGCTGACAACACAATAAAGTGCTAGAGCACATTACACCAGAGAGTTAACCCCACCTCCAGGCAAGGGATCCCCTTGTCAGTCAATCATTGGCTAAGGTCCACAAGAAGGAAGACCAGGTACTGCCTCCCAGGAAGCTGGCAACTGGGACTGATAGAAGCCTACTTTCTTTTTTTCTTTTGAGCCGGAGTCTCACTCTTGGTCGCCCAGGCTGGAGTGCAGTGGCACGATCTTGGCTCACTGCAACCTCCGCCTCTTGGGTTCAAGTAATTCTCCTGTCTCAGCCTCCTGAGCAGCTGGGACTACAGGTATGTGCCACCACACCTGGCTAATTTTTGTATTTTTAGTAGAGACAGGGTTTCACCACATTGGCCAGGCTGGTCTTGAACTCCTGACCTCAGATGATCAACCTGCCTCAGCCTCCCAAAGTGCTGGGATTACAGGCATGAGTCACTGTGCCTGGCCGATAGAAGCCTACTTTCATGGTAGCTAGGAGACTGGCACATACAGCAGGTAAAGGAAATCTGGGTGGGCAAAGCATAGTATCCTCTACACCAAGTAAATATCAGCTCTTCCCTAGACAAGTGCCGTAGGCTCCTGATTGGCCTCCCGGCATCCATTCTTGTTCTCAGTGATTGATTTCACACCTAGCAACCAGAGTAATCTGTTAAAGTGTAAATCTGATTTTGTCACTCCTTTACAGAAAGCTACACTTGCATTCCAACATGTTTGGAATAAAATGGAAACTCCTTTCCCTGGACTACCAGGCTGTGCATGGGCTTCTCCATAAGACTGGAGAAGGTGAGGGAGGGAAAGTGAGAAGAGATGAAGTTGGAGAAATTGGAAGGTTCATCCCAGGAGGCTTTTATCTTTTTCTGTTGGGGGAATACCCCAAACTCATGCATGCTATTTCCATCACCTGAAAAGATGCTCTGCTACTGGGTGATCTTATCAGTCATATCATGAAAGAAATATCACCTCCTTTGAAAAGCCTTTCCTGATCAGTTAGCTTAAAGCAACCTCTAAGTAAATCCTGGTCATTCCCCATGCTTTTATCTCAATATAGTCATGTGACACTTTACCACAGGGATATGTTCCGAGAAATGTGTTGTTAGGCGATTTTGTCATTGTACAAACATTATAGTGTGTTTCCACAAACATAGATGGCATAACCTACTATACACCTATGGTATATCGAATAGCCTATTGCTTCTAGGCTACAAACCTGAACAGCATGATACTGTACTGAATACTGTAGGCAACTGTAAGACAGTGGTAAGTATTTGTGTATCTAAACATAGAGAAAGTACAGTAAAAGTACCATATTATAATCTTATTATGATTGTGGGACCACAATCATATATGGGTGGCCCACTGTTTCCCAAAATGTCATTACTGGTGCATTGCTGTACATATTACTGATTGCTTTATTTTTCTTTTTCCCCTAGAATGTAATCTCCACGAGAAAATATTCTTATGGCTTTTTCAATGATGTACTCATGATAGTTCCAGATACTTAAATGCACAGCAAAGGTGCATTTGTTGTATCAGCCCAATGGAAAAATGGGCAAAAGTTATAAGCAAAAGCAATTTAAACAAAATAAGTAAAAGTGGGTAACAGGTATATGAAACAAATCACTGAACAGTATTTGCTATCAATAGAGTACCTTTAAAATGAAACATTATTTTTTTACCTAATAGAATGCTAGAAGTTCAAAGATTAATAATATTCAGTGTTGGCAAGGTATAAGTACATACACTGTTTGTGAAAGCAGTTCTAACTTTTGGTGCACAATTTGGCAGTAGTTTTCAAAATTTTTTAAGATAAATATCAGGTAAATGCAGCAATTATTTAAGCAAATAATTGTAAAAATATGACAGTATTCAGAAAGGACTTGGGACTTCAATGTCAACATCTGTAAAAGTTTCATGAGCATTGTAATTAAATCTAATAAGACATTCCTGTATTTTTTAAAAGAAGCTTTCTTATTTCCTTTTTCATAACATTAAATGATCAAATTAATGCATTTTTCTCTTAATTCAAACACCTTCAGTAACCTAATTCAGTCCAGTGAAGCCCAAACGAAGCATTAACACATCACAAAATCCTCAGCTCCAAAGACTGTGGAAACATGTCACGACTCAAAAGACAGGCATTGACTGATTACAAGGGAGAAAACCACACACAGCTGGCCAGCGAATGGCTTATTCATCTGCAGAAGAGGGCGCGAGGAAGGAAGTCAGATGCCACTTTCTCACAATACATGCAGGTTCAGGAATCTGCAAGGTAAATAGACATCACTAGCAGACCCTCTCAGCAGAAGTCACTGTCGGCCTGTCAGAAGATTGTGTTACAAGGAGAATGATTTTAAATTGCAGGGTGCCCACCCTTGGACTTCAATAAAGAAAAGATTTTGCTCCTTTTTGAAAACACATGCAGGTTAAACGAACAAGAATGCTCTTTGCATTAGAATAAGAAAATCCTTGTGTTTTAAACCTAATAAAGACCCTTAGGCATACTCAGAAAAACAGATCAGCTTATAGACAAGGAAACTGAGGCACAGAGAGGTGAAATATCTCACCAATGGGCACGAAGCTTATTGATGTGAGAACTGGAACAGCTCTGTCCTGATTCTTAGGTTACTTCTTATTTCTGTTAGTAGCAAAAAGCAATTAAACATGTATGTTTCATAATCTAAAATGTCTGGATGAGTTAACTGGTTTCATGAAATGTTTGTCCCAATTTCTTTATTTATATGCTCTTGTTTGAACAATTCTTTTTGTTGTTGCTGTTCAACTTTTAAGTTCAGGGGTGCATGTGCAGGATATGCAGGTTTGTTACATAGGTAAACACCTTCCTTGGTGGTTTGCTGCACAGATCAACCCATCACCTTGTAAGCCCAGCATCCATTATCTATTCTTCCAGATGCTCTCCCTCCCTGCACCGCTTCCCATGACAGGCCCTAGTGTGTGCTGTTCCCCAGCATATGTCCACGTGTTCTCATCTGAACAGCAATTCTTAACTACACATATTGATAGACAGCTGAGTATTACGTATTTGACTATGTTTAAACTCCCCATTTCTCTCATGATACCTAAAAGGCTCCAAACTTACATATAAATTCCCATGAGTGCAGCACTAATGTAGAAAGAACTTGTCCTTTTATCAATCTTTACTTTAAAAATTGTATTTGTACACATTATCTTAGTTGATTCTCAAAACAACCCTGTTATACTCATGGTATTGACAACAGTGTTAGATGCAAAGAGCATACAAACTGAAAAGGAAACCACCTCCCATTGAGCTTAACATTCTATTACTTTCATTTACTAAAAACAGAACTAATGACATGACAAGGACAACTGCAAGTATCTAATAGAGGTGCTATGGGTTAAGAATCAGGAAAACTGTCTAAAGAAAGTGTCGCTTGTTCTGAGTCTTAAAATATAAGCAGATTCTCCATAAAGAGAAAGAAACTAGGGGACATGTGCTCTTTGGCTATCTACCAGGTCATGAGCAAGCAATGTCAGGCTGAAGATAGTACACCCAGCCACGAGCCCACCCTCTGCCTTTCCCCAATCCCATTCTGCCACTTAGGCTTCTTCCTGCTTTTGCTGGCTTGAAGAATTTATCTAGATAATTCTCTGTGTCTAGTATCTGTAGCTCTGAAAGAAAGTTGTGAATATATAAAAAAGTGACCTATAATAAAACACTTAAGAAATAAAAAGGCTATGTAATTGTAAACACTCAGGGCTGGTAGAGAGCTGCATATTTTCTTTGGATTAGCAAATATTTTATTGAACTCTTAACCTGAAAAATTCCCTGTGCTCTGCCCTTTAAGAGTTGCCAAGAAATGTTAGACATTGACTCTCCCTTCAATTTGATGAAAATTTACTATGTGTCTGGCACTGGGATAAACACCTAAGCATTTCATTTATTCATCATAATAACTCCATATAGAAGTTATAACCCCTCTTTTACAAGTGAGGATGTGGAAGCTCAAAGAAGTTAAGTAACTCACCCAAAGGGACACAGTGGTGGATCTAGGATCTTAATTGGAAGTTCTTGCTCATAACCACCATTTTGTACTGCTTCCTCCATGGACTTACAGTATAGGTGTGAAGGCATGACACAAGCACACAAAATACAGCAGCAGTACTGAGCCATATATGCTACATGAAAAATAAAAACTACCGTCATCCTAGATTTAAGGATGGGAGAGCAGAGATAATCAGAGAACACCTCTTCAGAAAAGTAAGAAGGAAAGTGGGCCTGATGCCAAGCAAGGCATTGGCATTCAGGGTGAATGGGAGTGAATGTGAATCCATAAGAGGTATTTTTAGAGGCAGTAAGTAGAGAAGAACCACTGGAGCAGAAGGTTCATGATTTACAGAATGACACTCTGTTTCAAGATCTTTAGTGAGGCCTCTGGCATACCCCTACAAGATTGCAACGTGGTAATGTGCTATATGTTGCTGCATTGTAGAAGATTTTATAACAGACTTTATCACTGTTAAGATCCTGCCTAAAACCTAGAGAGTACAAGAGAAAGGGAAGAGCAGCGTCTGACAAAGTCCATAACATACACAATTTAATATGTTGAAAAATCTTAATTTTTATCTTAGTTATGTGACAATATTTACAGAGGGTAGGTTACATCAAGATATGCTCTAAAACTAACTTCTAGACAGAACTGATGGGATATTTATGAAGGAGAACACATGGAGCTTACAAAGAAATCCTATTATTTGAATAATCATAAAAGTACTTTAAAATAATAGAAGTGGACATGATTGTTTATACCAGAGTAAAGTTAAGATAGGCACTGAAAATGGGGGTAAAATGGGATCTCAGGAGAGAAAATAATGGCTGCAACTCTGAGTTCTCTAAACTCGGTATGATTTTGAAAAGTCAGACATAATTATCCAACTGGAAAAATGGAAATGTATTCAGAAAAATTGATTTATAGTGACTTAGTGGCTAAGTTTCATTGACCCATGAAACAGATTGTGTTGCATTTCATAATCACCTGTACGAACTGCCATCATGGCAAAAAAGTAGGCACTGAAAACTAGGCTTTAAATTGATTTTTTTTCCACTCCTAAAATATTGAGGATATATTTAAAACCATCTGAGCTCCATTTGGTGGCTCAAGTAACATTTCAGCCATCATGTAGCACTTAGTTCAAATCCTGTCAGTGCATCTTCAAACACTTTCTTGGTCAAACAACTGTATTCAACATTGCTCATTCCTGCATATTTACACATCAGTAAATCAGGGGAAACATTCATATAGAGAAAATATGTAGATATTTGTTTGTACACTTTCACTAAAAAATAAATGGTTTTCCTTTGGAGAATCTGCTATCTTATACTCTAGACACTCTTAATTCCTGGGTTATTTCATGTAGTCTCTCTCATTCTCCTGTGATGATGAATCCATTCCTGGTCTGGTCCCTTGGGTCACAGATCACTCCCTGTCAACCAACTACTTTGCCTCCTATGACATCTTGGACAAACAAGAGAATGTCGCATTTAAAAAATATTTCTTGGAAAGTCTTTATTTCTCCTTCATATTTGAAGTATAATTTCACTGGGATGAATGGATAGAGAAAATGTAGTGTGTGTGTGTGTGTGTGTGTGTGTGTGCGCGCACACGCGTGTGTGTGTTTATACAGGAATATTATTCAGCCAATAAATAGTGAAACCTGTCATTTGCAACAACATGGATTGAAATGGAGGACATTATGTTAACTGAAATAAGCCAGGCATACAAAAACAAGTATTGCATATTCTCACTCATTTGTGGGAGCTAAAAGTTAAATCTCATGGAGATAGAGTAGAAGGATGGTCAGAAGAGGCTGGGAGTGGTAGTGGGGAGAGAAGATAAAGAGGGGTTGGTTAATGAATACAAAAATACAGCTAGATAAAATGAATATCTACTATTTAGTAGCACCACAGGGTGACTATAGTTAACAAAAATTATTGTATATTTTAAAATAACTGGAAGAGTAAAATTGGAATCTTCCTAACAAAGAAATGATCAATGGTTGAAGTGACGAATATCCCAAGTACCCAGATTTGAGCATTGCACATTGTATGACTGTGTCAAAATATCACATGTACCCCATAAATATGGGAAACTATTATGTATCCAAAAATAAAAATAATTTTTTTAAATTAGTAATAAAGGGTAAAACAAAAATAAGAATTTCTGTGAATAAAATTGATTTCACAGCACCTTCTGGAAAACTATTGTAATACTCAACATCTATAACTATCAGGAAATTCTTTTTTACCTAAATTTCTTATGATAAAATCTAAATTTGTTTGTTTCCTCTTTATTCTCAGTGCAGACAGATATCAGCTGGTTTAAATTATTCTTTGGGGAGAGGGGAGGTTGTCCTTCTGGAAGTCATAATTCAGATTTCTCTTCCCCAGCAGAGAAACAACCCCTATTACTTTCACTTTTCCTGGCAGCCTTTTAATTTGTTTGGTTCTGCTCTGCCACTTAATACCTAGAAAATGTTATGGGTTTCCTGCCTCCATCCAAACATCTGCTGAGTCCTCTAACACAGTCAGCATGATGGGTCTGGTCAGTCAGAGGTGAGTGAATCATCACCTGTCCCGGTGTTCCCAGGTGGTGGCATATAAGGAAATTTATATTCAAGGTCAGTGAAGGAGCTGCCTCACACTGGGCAATCAAAGAGAACAAAAGAATCTTACAAGCAATTTTCCAGCCTCACCTCTGTTCCAGCTTTGGCAGGCACAAGTATAGCACCCAAGTAGAAGAAGGGGATTTACTACAAATTGGGTGTTTTCTTTAGGTAATAGCATAGAGGCCAAGTAATCTTTGTCCTCTTGCTTCACTGTGTTCTCAGCATCGTGTTCCCATTGTGCCTTACAGCTAAATGATTGAGAGGATGAGACTTAAAGGCAAATCAACCTGGTTTGAATCCTGCATCCTCAGTAAAGAGCTGGATAACCCTAAAGTATTTTCTTTTCTAAGTTTTGGTCCCTTTTGTGTAAAATGGAGGTCATAATGCACATCCAAAAAACTCATCATGATTATTAAATTATATGTGATAATAACTTTAAATTTCCCAGAACAAAGAAAAGTGCAGGGAATATTCTCCACGTCTTTCTACAGCTGTAGAATCTGAAAGTGGACATAAGGCTTTAGCACTGACCCAGTAGCTTTAGCTTTATGCCCATGTTGCTATTTATAAAACCCAAGCTCATGATTGTTTCTTTACTGCAGTGCTTCACTGTCCACTCATGGTCACCTTGTGTCCATGACTTTCTGCCACACTTGCACAAAGAAAGTCCTTCTCTTTTTTATTTTGGGGCTTTTAGTGTTTAGGTTTAAAGATGTATTGAAAGTCTACATTTATCTATATCCAGCCTCTGTCATTGAGTCTTCTTTAAGTTACAAACACTCATGCCTCACTGTATCCATTTTAGAGCTTCATACAATGATCCACTTCATTGATTCTCTAACTTCAGTTAGCTATTTATGAAATGGAGAAAGAAGTTAAGAGAAGGCAAAATCTAAGTGGTATAAAAATACAAAAGGAGATCATCATTCTTGGAAAAAAACCCAGCATTTCCCACTGTGGTTTCCACGTGCAAGAAACAGGTTCACAGGAGCAATTCTATCTCACCTGTCCACTATCCTTACCTATGTGGTATTGGTATATAATCAAAAACAGGAAGGTTGTATATAGCAACAACAAGTTCAGAAAAATTACCTCCAAATTACACACACACACAAACACACGCTCACACAAAACTATATATACTTGTTAATGATAATATCCACTGTTGGCAAGAGTTCATGTTAATGGTGTAATACATTTTTCTCATCTTTTTGGTAAAAAATTTGTAATATTAATATCAATACTATGAAGTATGTTAAATTATGTTCATATCCTTTGACTCAGAAAATAATTTCATTTTCCACGAAGTTTCAGTCACAAAAATTATCACAGCACATATTAGAAATAATAAAAACAGAAAACAATTTGTGTCCAACAATAGGAGGTTGGTATGTATTTATAAAAATAATGCATGCAAACATTTTCAAGGATGATATAAAATTGTACTCAATGTCAGGGAAAATATTTATGTCATATTTTTAAATGTCAGCATGGTTTAAAATAGAATGCAAAATATAAATCCAATTTTTAAAAATATATATCAATACATTTACATATATAAAGCTTAAAGAACAAGTATAAAAATGTTAACAATAGTTTTATTTAGACGATAGAATTATATGTAATTGTGTTTTTATATTTTTAATATTTTTTGTTTCTAAGTTATCTACAATAATCATTTATTAATTTGTTAATATAAATAAGTTTGAAATAAAAATACATAGGGATGAAAACTGAATGCCATGCCAAGCACAGCTATTACAGGGTATTTGGGAAATTTTTCCAGAAGGGAATTGAACCGCTCATAATGCCCACATAACAATTTTTCTTCCCAAAGGAAATAAGAAATACTAATGTTGTAGTGACTGCCTTTAAGTAAAGTTGGCCATAGGCTATGTGCCACTTTCTGTGATATCTACATACTTAGATTAAAAGACCATGTGTAATACATACAGATTTCTTGATAGAAATCCTGAAATCTGATGTGAGAGCCCTAATTTACTAAAGAAGAAATTTGTCTTCTTTTTTTCTTTTTCTTTCTTTCTTTTTTTAAGTTGAAGACTCAATGAGACTGAGTTTGGGAGATGTAGATTTATTGATCTATGAGCCTCTGCCTTAAGAAAAAATATACAGGACTCAGGACCCCCTCTCTGTTTGTTGTAAATTCCCTACAAGGGCTAGGCTGCAGGCCTAGTCACCACTTCTCCAACACAAGGAAGCACTTCAGCTTGAGCACAGGATGGCTGGCTCATAGAGGACTTCTCTTTAGGCAAAGGGCTAGAAGCAGAGAGAATAATTATTTTTAATAGGAAATAATGCTGAATAAAACCTGTTTCATCAGCTTCTGTGTCTTGGTATTCTGAACATTCTGTCTCACTAAAGTTAAAAGAAATTAAAGTATGACTTTGTCCAGGGAGGATAAGAAACACAAATGCCTTGTGATCCTAAAACGGTGGTATAATGTGAACACTAGCATTTATGGAGACCTTATGTCTTAATTATCATCTTTCATCTTTACCACAACTTCGTCGCCTTATTTGTCATAATTCTCTCCATTTACAGAGGAAACTGAGGACTAGAGAACTTACGTAACTTGCCCAGATACTGTCGGAGCTGGGATTTGAATTCAGATGTGCCTGACTCTAAAGCCTATGGCTCTTAATTATTTACCTACAACACGTTCTATGTTTCAGACTCCAGTAGTTTTCTATACATTATCTATTCCTCTGTTCTTCTTTAATAAAAAATACTCACTTTTGTTTGGAGTGACCGGGCATAGCCAAAAACACCTACCTGCCCAGATGCCCTTGTAGCTAGAGAAGCAAAGTGACCCAGTTCCAGGCAATGAGATTTAAGCAGAAGTTGTCAAGTGAAGCTTCTGGGAAATTTTTGAAAAAGTCAGATGGCAGATGGTCTGCTTCTTAAGCCTTTTGTCTCTTCTTTTTTTAGCCAGTAAATGGACTTGAGCCTGGAGGTGTAGCAGCCATGTGGTAACAATGGAGGGTCAAATATGAAGACTGTATTACTCTGTTTTCTGTTGCTTATAAAATAATACCAGAAACTGGGTAATTTATAAAGAAAAGGAACTTATTTCTTAAAGTATGGAGTCTGGGAAGTCCAAGGTCTATGGTGAGCATCTTGTGAGAGTCTCTTTACCGGTGGAGACTCACTTCAGTGTCCCAGAGTTGGCACAGGGCATCACATGGTGAGTAATTTGTGTGTGCTCATGTGCTAACATGCTAGCTCAGGCTTAATCTACTCATGAGGGCAGTCCCTCTTAATCTAATCACCTCTTAATGCTCTACTTCTCAATACTACCACATTGGGGATTAAGTTTCAACATAGTTTCAGAGGGGATGTTCAAACAATAACATTCCACCACGGTCCCCAAAACTCATGTCCTTCACAAATACCTTCATTCCAATCCCATCACCCCAAAGTCTTAATTCATTCCAACACCAACACAAAAGTCCAAAGTCTAGAATTTCATCTGGGAACATGTGAAATCAAAGCAGGTTATCTAATTTCAAGATACAATAGTAGGCCGGGCACGGTGGCTCACGCCTGTAATCCCAGCACTTTGGGAGGCAGAGGTGGGTGGATCACGAGGTCAGGAGATGGACACCATCTTGGCTAACACGGTGAAATCCCGTCTCTACTAAAAATACAAAAATTAGCCAGGTGTGGTGATGGTTGCCTGTAGTCCCAGCTACTAGGGAGGCTGAGGCAGGAGAATGACGTGAACCCGGGAGGCAGAGCTTGCAGTGAACCGAGATGGCGCCACGTCTCAAAAAAAAAAAAAAAAAAAAAAAAAAAAAAAAAAAAGATACAATGGTAGTACATAGGCACAGGGCAAATATTTACATTCCAAAAAGAAATAAGCCAAAAGAAAGTGTTAAGAGGCCTTAGGAAAGTCTGAAACCCAAGAGAGCAGACGTTAAATCTTAAGACTTCAGAAGAATCTCCTTTAACTATATGTCCAGTGTCCTTTGCACACTAGTGAGGGGAGTTGGGCCCCCAAGACCTAGGACAGCCCTGCCCCTATGGTTTGACTGGGCTCAGTACACCTAGCTGTCCCAGACTGGCACTGCACACTGGTAGCTCTATAGTTCTGAAATCTCAGTGGCAGTCCCACTCTCATGGCTCCAATGGGCATTGCCCTAGTGAGTACTCTGCAGAAGCTCCAACCCAACATTTCTGTTCATTATTATTCTAGTGGGATATCTCTGCAGTGCCTCTATCCCTGTGACAAGTATCTGCCTTAACTCCTGCCTTTCCATGACATCCTGTAGAATCTAGGTGGAGGATGTCAAGCCACCACAGCTCTTGCTTTCTACAAGCCTGCAGAATTAGCACCATGTGGACGCCACCAAAGTTTACAACTTATATTTACCAGAGCTGCAGTGCAAGCTGTACCTAGGGCTACTTGAGCCATAGTTGAGCAGCTGCGCAGTGTGCTTGGGGACAGAGAGTAGAGTTCTGAAGTGGCCCTGGGCAGCTAGCTCATAGAGATAGTCCTGGGCCTGTCCCCTGGGAATATTCTGCTCTCCTAGGCTTCTGGGGCTGTGATGGGGGGACAGCCTAAAAGATATCTGAAATACCTTTGGGGTCTTTCTTCCATTGTCCTGAGGAGTAGCATGCAGCTTCCTTCTATCTGTGCTAATATCTTCACCATATGGTTGCTGAGCTACAATCTTGGTTTCTTCATCTGAACATACTTTTTCACTCTTTATGTGCCAAAGTGAGGGTTTTCCAAATATTTTCATTCTGCTTCCCTTTTAATTATGTATTTTGTTTTTAAATCATTCCTTTTTTCCTGAATTTCGGGATTAGCAGCCAAAAGCAACCATGCAGCTTCTTCCGTTTTGCTTAGAAATTTATTCTGACAGATATTCTAGATCATTACTCTTAAGTTGGACTTTCCACAAAGCCCTTGGGCATGAACACAGTTCTACCATATTCCTTGCCAATCTATAAAAAGGATAGCCTTTACTCCAGTTTCCTATACTTTTTTCTTCAGTTTCACTGTAAATTTTAACACAATGGCCTTTACGATCTATGTTTCTATTACCATTCTGGTCATAATCACTAAACCAACCTCTAAGGAGTATCAGATTTTCCCCATCTTCTTGTCTTCTAAGCCCTCATCAGAATCACTCTTAATGCTCTGTTCATAAAGACACAGATCTTTCTAGCCTGCTCCTCTAAACTCTTCCAGTCTCTTACCCAGTTCTAAAGCCACTTCCACATTTTCAGGTATTCATTATTGGCAACAACCCCACTCCTGGTGCCAATTTTCTGTTGTAGTCTGTTTTTTATTGCTTATAACAAAATATCTAAAACTGAGTAATTAATAAAGAAATGTAATTTATTTCTTATAATGATGGATACTGAGAAGTTCAAGGTTGAGAAGCATCGTCTGGTAAGAGCCTTGTTGCTAGTGGGGACACTGCAGAGTCCTGAGGCAGCACAGGGTATCACATGGTGAAGAGGTTGAGTGTGGTAGCTCAAGTCTCTCTTCTTTCTATAAAGCCACAAGTTCCACTCCCATCATAACCCAAACAAAATATATATGCTGAAGTTTTAAAATCCAATGTAGCTGTATTTAGAGATTGGGCCTAAAAGGAGGTAATTAAGGTTAAATAATGTCATAAGGGTGGGGCCCTGATCCAATAAGATTAGAAGCCTTCTAAGAAGAGACACCAAAGTGCTCACACTCTTTATGAGCAGAAACCAAGTATGTGAGAACCTGTGAGGGCACAGCAAGTGGTACCCATCTGCAAGCCAGGAAGAGAGCTCTCACCAGACACCAAATTTGCTGGAAACTTGATCTTCAACTCCCCAGGCTCCATAACAGTGAGAAAATAAATTTCTATGGTTTAAGCCTCCTAGTCTGTAATAATTTTGTTTGGTAGCCCAAGTAGGCTAATACAATATGAAATTTCCCAATAAAATTTTCAGAATGAGAGCCAGGAGTCTTGATTGCCTCTAACTAGCTATGACCTTGAGCTGGGTATCATTCTGTCTTCTTTATTCATGTTCAAAATACAGGGTTTGTACTAGGAAATCTCTAAGGTTTCTTATAGCATAAGCATTTGGTGATTCTAGAGCAATATGAATCAGCACTCTTTCATAATCTGTAGCCTCATGTCAAAACATTTTTCATATTCTCAGTATTCAAAGTAAGTACCTGCTTAGCAGATTTTTTTCAACAGCTTTTTTCTTTCCCAATATGATTTCTTTTACAAGTGTATTACTGTAGGGGAGGAGAAAGCATTTGTTGTGCAGCCACTTAAAATGTATCTTGCCTGCAGATTCATTTTTGCCAATATTCATTTTTAGGTATGCAGTCACTGAAAAACAGGGAACAAGATACTGCCCTGCAGAAACACCCAACATATGACAAAACCAGACCACTTCCAGAACAAGCTCATCAGGTGAACCTGAACTAACAGAAAGACATACTGCCCAGCATCATTGGACTGACATTCATCAGGATCCAGCTGTTCTCCTATCCCTCCAAGCAGCTACTTTTAGCCACCTTATGCTTGGTGGGATCAATTCAACCCTATTACTAAGCTCTCAGTCTCCTCCTATTTAACCCCACATTTTATATATCTTTTACATCATCAGTAGAAAATAAGATTTAGCTAAGTCAAAATAGATTTTACCCAGGGTCAAAAGGAAATTAGGGTATGGAAGAAAAGTTTCCTTTAATTCAAAGAACGTGAGGACCTCTTGAAGTAAATGTAGTGAATTTAAAAGCCCTTGGAGAACCCATTGCCTTGAAGGGAAGGACCCAGTCCTGGAGGATTCATTATCTGCTGACTAAAGAGCTCTTAGGCCCTGAATAATCAGTAGTGCTAGCAAGGTAGCGCACATCATGGGCCTTGGGGGAGACTGAGATGTGCTGGCTTCGGGTGTGACCCAGCACATTCCCAGCTGTGGTAGCTATGATGGGAGACTACTTTCTTTGAGAAAAGCAGAGAGAAAAGTGAAGAGGACATTGTGTTGCAGCCTAAGTACCAGCTTGGCCACAGTGGGTTAGAGTACCAAGCAGGCTCGTGGGGTTACCGATTCCAGGCCTTGGTTCTTGGGTAGAATTTCTCAACCTTCCCTGGGTGAGAAGAGAGCCCACTGCCCTGAAAGGGTAAGTCTCAGGCCTGACAGCATTCACCACAAGCTGACTGAAGGGCTGTAGGGCTTGAGTGAACATAGGCAGTAGCGTCGCAGTACTGTCTGCAGGCCTGTGGTGGTGGTCTATGCGGAGAAACGCCTCTGCTTGTGGAAAGGGAGGGTAGGGTGGGAAAGACTTTGTCTTGTGGCTTGAGTGCCAGCGCAGCTGGTGTAGACTACAGAACAAGGTAAATCCCTAAGTTTTCTGACTCCAGGTCCTGCCTCCTAGATGGCATCTCTGGATCCACCCAGGCCTGGGGGAACTCATCACCCTGAAGGGAAGGACACAGCCTGACTTGTTTTGTCACATACCAATTGTGAGCCCAGCAAACATAGGCAGTAGCCAAGTAGTAGTTACAGTGGGTCTTGTGTGAGTTCCACACTGCTGTGCTAGCTTCAGGTCTGACCCAGCATAGTTGCAGTGGTAGTGGCCACAGGAGTGCTTGTGTCACCTCTCCCACAGCTCCAGGAAGCTCAGCACAGAAAGAAAGACTCTATTTGTTTGGGAGAAAGTAAGGGAAGATAAAAAGGGTTTCTTACCGGTAATCAGAGAATTCTTCCAAATCTTATCCAAGACGACCAAGGTGGTACCTCTATGAGGTGGTACTTATACGGGAGCTACAGTGTTACTGGGCATGAGGTGCCCTCTAATGCAGACATGGCTGCAATGACCAAAAACTTAGATAACAACACCCAAGTCCCTTTGAATACCTGGAAAGCCTTCCTAAGAAAGACAGGGACAAATAAGCCAAGACCTTGAAGACTATAATATCTAACTCTTCAATATCCAGCCACCAACAAAATTCCACAAGCGTTAAGACTATCCAGGAAAACATAACCTCACCAAATGAACTAAATAAGGCATCAGGAACCAGTCCTGGAGAGACAGAAATATGTGACCTTTTGGACAGAGAATTCCAAATAGCCGTTTTGAAGAAACTCACTGAAATTCAGGGTAACATAGAGTAGAAATTCAAAATCCTATCAGACAAATTTAACAAACTGATTGAAATAATTAAAAAGAATCAAGCAGAAATCCGAGTTGAAAAACACAATTGACATGCCAAAGAATGCATCAGAGTCTCTTAATAGCAGAATTGATCAAGCAGAGGAAAGAATTTATTAGCTTGAAGACGGATTATTTGAAAACACATGGTCAGAGGAGACAAACAAATAAAAAACAATGAAGCATGCCTAGAAGATCTAGAATATAGTCTCAAAAAGACAAATCTAAGAGTTTTTGGCCTTAAAGAGGAGATGGAGAAAGAGATATGTGTAGAAAGTTTCTTCGCAGGATAATATCAGAGAACTTCCCAAACCAAGAGAAAGATATTAACATTCAAGTACAAGAAAGTTATAGAATACCAAGCAGATTTAACCCAAAGAAGACTACTTCGAGGCATTTAATAATCAAATTCCCAAGGTCAAGGACAAAAAAAAAATCTTAGAAGCAGCAAGAGAAAAAAAAAAAAACTAAGAACAGACAATGGAGTTCCAGTATGTCTGGCAGCAGACTTTTCAGTGGAAACATTACAAGCCAGGAAACAGTGTCATGACATATTTAAAATGCAGGACGAAAAAAAATCTTTTACTCTGGAATAATAATATATTCAGTGAACATATCCTTCACCCATGAAGAAAAAATAAAAACTTTCTCAGACAAACATAAGTTGAGAGATTTCATCAACACCAGACATGTCCTACAAGAAATGCTAAAGGGAGTTCTTCAATCTGAGAGAAAACAAAATTAATGAGCAATAAAAAACGATCTGAAGGTGCAAAGCTCACTGGTACTAGTAGGTACACAGAAAAACATAGAATATTGTAGCACTGTAATGGTGGTGTGTAAACGACTCACATCTTAGGTAGAAAGACTAAAAGATGAACTAATCAAAATTAATAACTACAACTTTCCAAAACATAAATGATACAGTAAGATATAAATAGAAACAACAAAAAGTCAAAAAGGTTTTAAACTTCTGTTAAAAAAAGTTAAAAACTTTTTCAACAAAGTTAAAAAGCAGACAAAATTGAAGCGTAGAGTTTTTATTAGTTTTCTCTTTGCTTGTTTGTTAGTTAATTTGTTTTTGCAATCAGTGTTAAGTTTTCATCCGTTTAAAATAATGGGTTATAAGATATTATTTGGAAGCCTCATGGTAACCTCAAACCAAAAAACATATAACAGGCTGGGTGTGGCGGCTCATGCCTATAATCCCAGAATTTTGGGAGGCTGAGGTGGGTGGATCATGTGAAGCCATGAATTCAAGACCAGCCTGGCAATCATGGGGAAACCCCATCTCTAGTAAAAATACAAAAATTAGCCTGGTATGGTGGTGCATGCCTGTAATTCCAGCTACTTGGGTGGTTAAGGCACAAGAATCACTTGAGCCCAGGTGGCAGAGGTTGCAGTGAGCTGAGATCGTGCACTGCACTCCAGCCTGGGCAACAGTGTGAGACTTTGTCTCAAAAAATAATAATAATCATAATAATAATACGGATACAAAAAATAAAAAGCAAGAAATTAAAATATACCACCAGAGAAAAATCACCTTCACTAAAATGTAGACAGGAAAGAAGGAAGGAAGGAAGGAAGGAGAAAGAAGGAAGGAAGGAAAGAAAGAAAGAAAGAAAGAAAGAAAGAAAGAAAGAAAGAAAGAAAGAATAAAGAAAGAAAGGAGAAAAGAAGAGGAGAGGAAAGGAGAAGAGAGGAAAGAAGCAAAGGGGAGAGGAGGGGAAGTGAGGGGAGGGGAGGGAAGCGGAGGGAAGCGGAGGGAAGCGGAGGGAAGGGAAGGGAAGGGGAGGGGAGGGCAGGGGAAGGGAGGGGAGGGGAGGGGAGGGAAGGGAAGGGAAGGGAAGGGAAGGGAAGGGAAGGGAAGGGAACAAAGCAACCAGAAAACAAATAACAAAATGGCAGGAGTAGGTTTTTAGTTGTCAGTAATAACACTGAATGTTAAGTCGACTAAACACTCCAATCAAAAGATATGGAATGATTGAAAGGATTAAAATAAATAAGACCCAATGATCTATTGCCTATAAGAAATACACTTCACCCATAAAGACACACACAGACTAAAAATAAAGGAATGAAAAACTATATTCCATGCAAATGGAAGACATAAAAGAACAGAAATAGATATATTGGACAAAATAGATTTCAAGACAAAAACTATAAAAAGAGACAAGGATCATTATATAGTAATAAAGTGGTCAATTCACCAAGAGGATATAACAATTGTAAATATATATGGACCCAACACTGGAGCACCCAGATATATAAAGCAAATGTTATTAGAGCTAAAGAGAGAGATTGATTCCAGTACAATAATAACTAGAGACTTCAACCCTGTACTTTCAGCATTGGACAGATCATCCATACAGAAAATCAACACAGAAACATCAAACTTAATCTGCACTATAGATCAAATAGACATAATAGATATTTACAGAACATTTTATCCAATGGCTCCAGAATACATATTCTTCTCAGCATATGGATAATTCTCAAGGATAGGCCATATATTAGACCACAAAACAAATCTTAAATAATTCAAAAAATTGTAATTGTAAAAAGTATCTTCTTTGACCATAATGAAATAAAACTAGAACTCAAGAGGAATTTTGAAAACTATATAAAATGGAAACTAAACAGTATGCTCCTGAATGACCGGTGGGTCAATAAAGAAATTAAGAAGAAAATTGAAAAATTTCTCGAAACAAATGATAGTGGAAACACAACATACCAAAACCTATGGGATACAACAAAAGCAGTATTAAGAGGAAATTTTAGCGCTGTAAGTGTCTACATTAAAAAAAAAAGAACATTTCAAATAAACAACCTAAGTATGCATCTTAAAGAACTAGAAAACAAGAGCAAATCAAACCGCAAATTAGTAGAAGAAAATAAATAATGAAGATCAGAGCAGAAATAAATGAAATTAAAACAAAGGAAACAATACAAAGGATCAATAAAATAAAAAGTTAGTTCTTTGAAAAGATAGACAAACCTTTAGACATACTAAAAAAAAGCAGATAAGGCTCAAATAAAATCAGAGATTAGAAAGGATCATTAGAAGGTACTATAAGCAACTATATGCCAATAATTGGACAACCTAGAAGAAATAAATAAATTCCTAGACACATACAACCCACCAAGATTGAACCAGGAAGAAATCCCAAACCTGAACAGGCCAATAACAAGTAAGAAGGTCAAAACTGTAATAAAATGTTTCCCGGAAAACTAAAGCCTGGGAGCTGATGGCTTTGCTGCTGAATTTTACCAAACATTTAAATAACTAATACCCATCCTACTCAAACTATTACAAAAAATAGAGGAGGAGGGAACACTTCACTTGATGCTGAAAAAGCATTTGATGAAATTCAACATCACTTCATAATAAAAAAATCTCAAAAACTGAGTATAGAAGGACGATACATCTACATAATAAAAACGATATGCAACTGACACACATCTAGTATCATACTGATGGGGAAAAACTGAAAGCTTTTCCCCTAAGATCTAGAACACAACACGGATGCCCACTTGCACCACTGTTATTTAACATAGTACTGAAAGTCCTAACTAGAGCAATCAGACAAGAGAAAGATATAAAAGGCATCCAAATTGAAAAGGAAGAAGTCAAATTATCCTTGTTTGCAGATGATGCAATCCTATATTTGAAAAAAATCTAAAGACTTCATCAAAAAAACTATTAGAACTGATAAAGAAATTCAGTAAAGTTGCAGGATACAAAATCAATATTTAAAAAATTAGTACCATTTATATACGCCAACAGTAAATAATCTGAAAAAGAAATCAAAAAGTAATCCCATTTATAGTAGTCACAAATGAAATTAAATACCTAGGCATTAACTTAACCGAAGAAGTGAAAAATCTGTCCAATGAAAATTATAAAACACTGATGAAATAAATTGAGCAGGACACAAAAAATGGAAAAATATTATATGTTTATGAATTGAAAGAATTAATGTTGTTAAAATGTTCATATACCCAAAGCAATCTATAAATTCAATGTGAGCCCTATCAAAATACCAACAATGTTCTTCACAAAAATGGAAAACACAATCCTAATGTTTATGGAACCAGATAAGACCCAGAATAGCCAAAGCTATCCTGAGGGAAAAAAAATTGAGGAATCACATTACCTGACTTCAAAATACACTACAAAATATAGTAATCAAAACAGCATGATACTGTTATAAAAACAGACACATAGACCAATGTAACAGAATAGAGAATCCAGAAACAAATCTGTATATCTACAATAAACTTATTTTTAACAAAGATGCCAAGACCATACAATGGGGGAATGGACAGTCTCTTCAATAAATGGCATTAGGAAAACTGGGTATCCATATGCAGAAGAATGAAACTAGACCCCAGTGTGCCATATACAATAATCAAACCAAAATAGACTAAAGAGTTAAATCTAAGACCTCAAATTATAAAGCTACTAAAATAAAACATCGAGGAAACTCTCCAGGATATGGAGTGGGCAAAGATTGCTTCAGTATACTCCACAAGAATAGGCAACCGAAGCAAAAATGAACTAATGGGATACATCAACTTAAAAAGCTTCTGCGGCCGGGCATGGTAGCTCACGCCTGTAATCTCAGCACTTTGGGAGGCCAAGGCGGGTGGATTACCTGAGGTCAGGAGTTCAAAATCAGCCTGGACAACATGGCGAAACCCTGTCTCTACTAAAAATACAAAAATTAGCCGGGTGTGGTGGTGCATGCCTGTAATACCAGCTACTTGGGAGGCTGAGGCAGGAGAATCACTTGAACCCAGGAGGCAATAATTGCAGCGAGCTGAGATTGTGCAACTGCACTTCAGCCTGGGTGACAGAGCAAGGCTCTGTCTCAAAAAAAAAAAAAAAAAAAAAGCTTCTGTACAACAAAGAAAACAATCAACAAAGTGAAGAAACAACCCACATGACAGATTATTTGCTGTTGGCATATATAAATAGTACTAATGCTTTAAATATTGATTTGTATCCTGCAACTTTACTGAATTTCTTTATCAGCTCTATTTGCAAACTACCCATCTGACAAGGGATTAATCACCATAATATATATGGAGCTCATACAACTCTACAGGAAAAAAATCTAATAGTCCTTTTAAAAAATTAGCAAAAGATCGGAATAGACAGTTCTCAAAAGAAGACATACAAATAGTAAACAGGTATCTGAAAAGGTGTTCAACATCACTGGTTATCAGATAAATTCAAGTCAAAACTACAAAGAGATCTCACCCCAGTTAAAATGGCTTTTTCCAAAAGACAGGCAATAACAAATGCTGGTGAGGATGTGAAGGAAAGGGAACCCTCATACACTGTTGGTAGGGATGTAAATTAGTACAATCACTATGGAGAGCAGTTTGGAGGCTCCTCAAAAAACTAAAAACTGAGCTACCATATATTCTAGCATCCCACTTCTAGGTATAGACCCAAAAGAAAAGAAAACGGTATATTGAAGACATATCTGCACTACCATGTTTATTTCAGTACTATTTACCATGACTAAGATTTGCAAGCAATCCAAGTGTCTATCAACAGACAAATGGATAGAGAAAATGTGGTATATATACACAATGAAGTACTGTTCAGCCATAACAAGAATGATATATTCTCATTTCCAACAACATGAATGGAACTGGAGGTCATTATCTTAAGTGAAATAAGCCAAGCACAGAAAGACAAGTTTTGCATGTTGTCACTTATTTGTGAAAGCTAAAATTCAAACAATTGAACTCTTAGAGATAGTGAGTAGAAGGATGGTTCCCAGAGGCTGGGAAGGGTAGTTGGGGGGTGAGGGGAAAGTGGGGATAGTTAATGGGTATAAAAAAATAGAAAGAATGAATGAGATCCAGTATTTGATAACAAGGTGATTACAGTTAATAATAATTTAATTGCACATTTTAAAATAAAGAGTAGAATTGGATTGTTTGTAACATGAAGGGTAAATGCTTAAGGTGATGGATACCCCATTTACCCTGATGTGGTTACTGTGCATTATATGCCTCTTTCAAAATATCTTATGTACTCCATAAATATATACCCTTACTATGCACCCACTAAAATTAAAAATAAAATAAAAGCCCTTGGAAACCTAACCAGTGGTTGGTTCTGCCTCAATGTAACTATGACTGTGTGCAAGTTCTTGCACTGCCCTGGGTTACAGTGTTCTTATATGTGAAGTGAAGGAGTTACACTGAGTAACCTCCGACATCTCTTACTATGTGTCTGTAAGTCTAGCCCAGGTTTTCTGCATCATGGTAGGAAAGGCTCATTCCACACCACTTCACATCACAGAGCCTTAGTCAGACCTGCATTTCACTTGGATTCAGATTGTGCAGAGGAGTTTTCCAATGGCTTTGCCAATACTTTTGGAGTGATGTCATCCATCTATAGGAGAGATAGCATTGCAGAATGGTGATAAGCAGGCGCTCTGGCAGCAGAGAGTCCTGGGCTCAAATTCTAACTCCCTACTGTTTACTAGCTATGAGACTTTGGGTAAGTCAGCTAATCTCCTTGTGCTTTGGCTCCCTCACCTATAAAATGGCCATAATAGTAACCACCTCTTAGGGTTATCATTAAGAATTAAATAATTTATATATATGCAAATATTATCATATAGTAAGTATCTGATATGGTCTGGCTCTGTGTCCCCACCCAAATCTTATCTTAAGTTGCAATCTGAATTGTAATCATCATATGTTGAGGGAGGGACCTCGTGGGAGGTGATTAGACTATGGGGGTGGTCCCCCCATGCTGTTCTTTTTGTTTTGTTTTGTTTTGTTTTTGAGACGGAGTCACGCTCTGTCATCCAGACTGGAGTCCAGTGGTGCCATCTTGGCTCACTGCAAGCTCTGCCTCCCGGGTTCCCGCCATTCTCCTGCCTCAGCCTCCCGAGTAGCTGGGACTACAGGCGCCTGCCACCACACCCAGCTACATTTTTTGTATTTTTAGTAGAGACGGGGTTTCACTGTGGTAGTCAGGATGGTCTCAATATTCTGACCTCATGATCCACCCGCCATGGCCTCCCAAAGTGCTAGGATTACCGATGTGAGCCACCACACCCGGTCCATGCTGTTCTTTTAATAGTGAGTGAGTTCTCAAGAGATCTGACGGTTTTATAAGGGGCTTTTCTCCCCTTTGCTCTGCACTACTCTCTCCTGACACCATGTGAAGAAGGACATGTTTGCTTCCTCTTCTGCCATGATTGTAAGTTTCCTGAGGCCTCCCAAGCCACCCCGAACTGTGAGTGAATTAAAACTCTTTCCTTTATAAATTACCTAGTCTTGTGTATGTCTTTACTAGCAGCATGAGAACGGACTAATACAGTACCATATGAGAGTTTGTAATTATTTGTTTTGGAAACATTTAATGAGCTCTATGTGTTAGGTACCAAATTAAGCCCTTTACATTCATTATCTCCTTGTCTTCAGAAACCCACAACATGCCATTTTGCATACAATAAAACTGGGGCTCAGAAAGGTTCCTTATGTTCCCACATGTAGTAAATGGGAGAGAGGAGAACACAGCCCAGGCAGTGAGACTCCAGAGCCCACAGTGGTATTCAATATGCTGCAGGAGAATGAGACATATGAGTAGGCATCTATAGCGGGTAGACCACAGGGAGGGGTGACACACTGTGCCTGTGTGGAACACTGGGCAAGCCCAAGTCAATGAAGTGCCAAGAATACAAGCCAGTAAATGTCACTGGGCATCTTATCTGCTCCACAGGCCAGGATTTTGAGGATAAGACTTACATATGATGTTATCGAAAATGATGGCAGGGGCCCTTCTAACCTAAGAAATTCTACCATTATCAAGATATTACTTTTCTCTTGCTCCTGAAAAGAAAAATGATCCTAGGAGAGGTAACCCATTAAAGCCCTGATATCCTAACGTGCTTTGGTTCCACAGATCCTTCTGAAGGCAGCAGGCAGCTGAGGCGTCATGTTGCCAAGGAGGTGAGGGCTGCAAAGCACAGGATTGCACAAAAGGTTGATTTTGTCAATTCCACATGCAGTTGGGTCCCAGGTGCTTTGATCATCCTTAGATCATTATCAAACACTCTCTGATGGGAAGTTCTAATGGCCATTATTTAAAATCTTCACAGCACATTTTGACAAGAGGACTCCTGAGAGGGAAAAAGATGGGCAAGGAAGACAGGTAGTTTTCATAAGAATATGAAGGTTAAAGATATACATAAATAAAATAGAAAGGAATAGTTCACAAAGAACCAGAATGGAAATCATCCTCTGTCATCTCCCCTAATCTATATGCCATATCTTTTCCCCTGTCCTTGTGTACAAATGCAATTTAATTAATTAGTAGCCAAAAAATGAGAATGTGTTAGTGTCTAATTTTCCTTTTTGCTATTAAGTCATCATTAGTTTTCACCAATAAAAACTAAGAAAAGAGACATTATTTCTGAGAAGCCCAAAATTAGGAATCCAGCATTTTAGACAAATTCGGCTGTAATGTTGCAGTACAGAGTGAGTCAGTTGTAGGACTAGATCTCCTCTGAGGCTCCTTCCAATTCCAAAAGCTTTAAATTAATGAACCACATAGGTATTGTTGATTTAGCTCTTCCAAGGACAGTTTGCCAAGCTCTATGACTGCCTGCCATATGATAGCCTCCAATGTCTCTGACTCATTTCAGAGAGATGATAGCAGAAATGAAAAACTCAGGTAAGCCACTCTTTAGTCTTCAGTTTTCACACTATCACCAGAGGACATAGAAAGACAACTATTACATCCTATGAATCAATATGATCTCTTTGTTGTTCAATGTTTTCCAGCATGTACATGCCAGGTAGAACTAGGCCTTTGGAGACAAACAAATGGAAGAAATCCCATGCACTAGATAAATTCATAGCTTTCTGGAAGAGTGAGACCTGCAAAGGAATGATTGTAGCTGTGTACAGGGTGCTGAAGTGCAGACCAGAGGAGAGAATATCTACACCCAGTTAAGAATAAGACAGACTTCCCCAGGGAAAAAAATCTATACTAGGTTTTAAAGTAGGTCTTGATTCTGAAGGATTAGGAAATAAGGTCATCAAAACTGTACCTTCATCATATGTCTGTTTCCTGGACCCATTCTAAAATAGGAGTAAATTACAGATCTTTTCAGTTAACAAAACAAGAGGAGAGGAATACACAATAAAATGTGGGACAATTCCAAATACACCCACACCCACACACACATGCACACCTGTGCATGTGATACATGAAAAAGTTGTCTTTAATGGAAGTTAACTTAGATATATTCCATATGCCCATTCATAATGAAATCATTTTATTTCCTTACACTTGCTCACCTATAATCTGTCAACTTCTTAATGATATGTTGAATCTATCTGTATTATCTTACCTTAATGTAAGTCTTCATTGGCTCGCTCCTTGACTATTGCCATATCCTTCAATGTGGTCCCCCCCCACCACATCCACTGTTTTTCCTCTCCGATCCATTCTCAACCTAGAAATCATAGCTATCTTAAACATAATTGGATCAAATTATTTACTGGCTCAGATCTCTTTAGTGGTTTCCCCTGACACTTAGGATAAAGTCCAAAACTCCTTTATAGCTTAAGATGTTCCATGTGACTTCCAGTATCCCTGTTTTGCCAGCCTTACTTCTTTCCGCTCTGTGAGTTCACTTTTACAGCCACATTGGACTTCTTTTCATTATCAAATGTGACAAGTTCTTTCCTTGCCGGGAGACTTCACTCATTTGTTTCCTTTGGCTTTGCTAGGCTTACTCCTATTCATCATCCAGGTTTCAGCTCTGTCTCTTCCTCATAGAGGTCCTCCTTGGCCATCCTATATAAAGTGGCCCCTATCTTGGCTTCTTCACCACACTCCGTTTATTCTCTTTACAGCACTTATGGTTGGACATAGATAAATATATAACCATGGATGTGTGGTTGTTTGCTTGATGCCTGCATACCACACTGGTGTGTGCACTTTCTAAAGATAAGGGTCATGTCTGTATCACCTTTGTCCAGAACAGTGCCTAAACAAAGTTTCCATTCAATAACTTCTGTTAAATGAATAAATTCACTCTCCTGCAATTGTTGACCAATTCAGTCAGCAAATATATGATTAGTCTGCTGGACAAACTCTTTGTCCGAGTGGAGGTATCACTGCCCTTCTAGAGCCTCTGCAAGTGGCAGTGTGTATGTGTGTATTTTCTGCATTTTATTAAAATTATATATATTATATATATACCATATCATATATAATATTAAAACTTGAAGAGACTTAGAGATTATTTTATCCATAATCTTCACATTACAGCTGAGGTGCAGAAAAATAAATCTGCCCAAGATCACATTGAAACCCAGGGCTCCTAATTTTGGGGATAACACCTTTTCTACCACATTGCCACACAAAAAATTCTAGGTTGTCATTCAGAATTTTATACAAAACGGGAAATAAAGCAAATGAAAAAAAGTCTAAAATTCTACTTGAGAATTACAACATTCTAGGACAGTACAGACAAATTCATCATCAGCCACTGCTCAATGACATAATCAATGAAATGTGTGCTGTCTTCTTAGTGCCTAGGTCTTAACTGAGTAAATCAGCACCTAGAGAAGTAGACATTGTTTAATTATTCTAACTCCTGAAACATAATGTAATATTTTAATAGTTATTATGGAGTAACTTTGCTCCAGGGAGAAGAGGTAGGCCTTGGGGGAAAGAGAACATACCTGGATCTCCCAGTTTACTATTGTTAGGTTGACTCAAAAAGTGGCAAGAACTTCCATCTGTGATCATCAGTAGTGCTGATGGTGCTAATTCTACACTAAGAAGAATTACTTAACAAAGAAGGTTGAAGACTCATGATGGTAGATAAATTTTCGTGCATATATTTATCTCCTTCTAGAAATTAGAAGGAACTTGAGAGGGGGGCTAGCCTTACAGTTGCATTACTATTGCACTACAATGTCACAGCCTAAACTCAGATAAAACCTTTTGCTTCCTAATATTGCATTTCTCAAAAATTAGGTGTCTCCTTTCTCAGACTCTTCTTGGTGAAACTAGTGAAATTTTAGTACAAAAATAATAAGATTCTCTGGAGTTTTACCTTCTGGAAATACTGAATAAATTTATTATTAATAAAATATAGTAAACGGTGAGTTCACTGAGGTGAAAGAAAAGCATATCATAAAGTTTTCTTTAAATCTTAGCACAGTATTGAGCTTTACCTACCATGGTACTTTAAATAAAAACATTAAAACTTAAAAATATAAAATAAAACTAGTTAGCTAATTCTCAACTGTTCAATATTCACTTTCTCTTAACTATCTAACATCCTCCACCTATTTTTCTTAAGAAATTTATTTTCATTATTTACTTTCAGGAAATACACAATTGTTAAAACTCATAAGTGTACTGACTGATAAAATTCTTCACAAAATTATTTGTCTTTTTCTTACGAAAGAAAGAAAGAAGGAAGGAAGGAAGGGAGGGAGGGAGGGAGGGAGGGAAAGAAAGAGAAAACTAAATCTAGAGTCTCAGAAAACAACAGTGGGAATAAAAGTAAAATTTTAGTGAAGTATCAGGATCTTCAGCCATTGCAGTGTGAGTTAAAACTATATGGTGGTAGAATTCCCCATGACTTCCAATTACACTAATCATCTTAAATATACAATGAAGCATTGGGTTGAGTATTGACAACTGGCATTTTTTTCCTACAATTGCCTTTCTAAAGCCAATACATCTGAAATTTTATAGTCTGACCACCAAGAATGTCTAGTTGCAAAATGGTGCTCTGAGTGATATTTTTGCTCTGGATAGAAAAACAAAATAAAAAATCTGAACATCTATGACTCTAGCCTTAGGAGTCCAGGCTCAGGACACACCATGATACTGAGATGATAACTTGAATTCCCTGGGGAGTCAGAGAAGCCCCGACTGGCACAACATTCAGAAATCAAATTGGGCCCTTTCTGTTGCAGAAGTGTCTGCCATAGGGAGATCCTAATAATGACCACGCAAAACAGACCCAGGCTAGAGTTTGGGACCTTTAACAATGTGCAGTTGCCATCAAATCACAACCTTCTATCTCAAACAGCCTTAGAGTGGCCTAGCTTCACTAAGAACTCAGCCTAAGGTTCAGCTCAAGATGAATCAAAGGCCACAAGTCCTTGTCATCTTCCCAAGTTGCTCTGTGCAGCCTCTCAGTGAACTGCAGTAACACCTGCCATGGAGGTTCTGGCTTTTTCCTGCCCACAACTCTTTATAGAAGGCTTCACGTAGGACAAGAATGTGGTATTGTGTGGTATAATTGGAATTGATTTCCCTGCCGCAAACATACTCACACACACACGGGAATTCTTTGTCTTGTTTAATGAAACACTGCACTTCAAGAAGAAGGCCATATATCCTAGATAGTAAGTGCCTGCTACTCTGAAACCAGTCACTGCTTCTGGAGGCTGCTTCTATATAATGCAAGCTGTAGGAACATGGGAATGTTATCTTCTATTCTCCTTCCTGTACTACACATATATTGCTATTTGGTTAAATATTAATAGATGAAAAAAGAAAAATTCCAATAAAATGTTCAAATATTTAACCACCAAAAGAAATTAAAAAGAAAATTTTCACCCCAAGTCAGTCATTCTTTAGGGCTGTAAAGTTAAACTGCTAGAAATTTTACATGTACCGGAAAATATCAGGGAGGAAAAGTGACCGAAATCATTATTTATTCTCAAAAGTCATTTAAGCTTCTGGAAACCACATCTAAAGACTCTAGGAATACAAAAGCGAGTTGGGTCATGTAAAATCTTAGGGTTTTTACAGCTTTAACTAACATTCTCTGATTTCATAATGAAAATGCAAGGGATGGTCTGTACTTTTAGGGAAATGGCCAAGGATGCTGGGATGAGAGAGTGGAATGATCATAGACAATTCTTTTAAAACGAAAGATTCTCAGAAGTTTACCTCTGGAAACACCAAAAATATTACAATATTATTTGTTATATTAATTTTGTAGCCAACCAGACACACATTCATTGTGTGTCTGAAATCTAAAATATTAATATTTCTGAAAAAGTTTCCCAAAGTTTTTCCTTTAAAAAGATTTAAATTTGGATAGCAAATTTAGAATTCACAAAGCATTTTTATGTATATGTTCTTGTTTGATCCTGAAAATAACTGCTGCGAAGGATTAAAAGTACAAACTCTAGAGCCATGGGTTCAAATCTCAACTCCACACCTTAAATATATTATTGGTGAAATAAGACTCCCTATGCTGCATTTTTCTTATCTCAAAAATAGAGATGATAATTGCAGTACCTACCTCAGAGTGTTTGGTGATAAATTAAAGGAGGTGATGTATGTATGTAAATCTCTTAGCGCTTGATACATATTAAATGCTCTTGATAAACATATCCTATTATTATCTTAGCAGCAGGATTGCATTTTCTAAAGATGGCCCCAGGGATATATCCCCTTCCACATGTTCTTCCTACAACGTGAATTATAACTCCTCCATTGAGACATAGACCCTGCTCCCTCCCTTTAAATGATAGTGGGTCTGTGACTGTGATCTGGATGACTTCTGAAGCTAAGTCATGAAGGTGCTACAGGTTTTTCCTGTACACCTAGGGATACTTGCCCTTGGAAAGTAGCCACCATGCTAGGAGGAAGCCAAGCAGCCACGTAGAGAGGCCATGTGTAGACCTTCCAGCCACATTCTGAGGTTCCAGCAGATGGCCAGTGTCAACTGCCAGGGAGGCTTGTGAGCAAACTCAGCAAATGATGATGATTCCATCCCCCAGCCTTTGAGCCACCCCAGCTAACTCTCAGTAGCACAGAGACAAGCTATGCCACTGAGCCCTGCTCACATTACACAATCATGACAAAAATGCATGTTATCATTTAAACCACTAAATTTGGGAGTGATTTGTTACATATCAATAGACAACCAGAAAAATACTTAATATCATTATTTTACAAATAAGGAAACTGAACCTTGGGGAGATTGAAATCTTGCTGAAGATTACACAGCTCCTAAGAGTTAGCAGGAGATCTAAGACCCAGATTTTCTGATTTCAAATTTTGCTTCTTCAGCAATTTAGAAGATGGAAAGTTGTCTCACTCAAGAATGCCCAGCTAAACTGAGAATATTTCTGGTTCATTGTTACATTGTAGGTCTATTGCACCCCGTGTCTGATCCTTTGAGCCCAAGTGGACCTCCCACCCATCAAACCTCAGGAGTGAGCACCAGCCATGAACAATATCACCTGCATTTCCCTGGGAAAGGCCTTTCTGATTACTTTCTGAAATCCTGAGATGGGCACTTCTATTTCTGCTTCAGATCTTCCCCCTTATTTCACTACCAGCTTATACTGCCTTTTCTGATTTCTGAATATTTGCCAATCATTCTCTATTAATATGTCACTGATGAGGCCATCACCTGAAACTTCAGGTACATAACCCCTCTCTTACTCTTGGCTGCAGGATGTTCAGTGTAGCCCCTGGCTCTCCCCACCATGCCCTCACCATTTCTTTCCACGGAAACTATAAATCAATTTTCAGTAATGTAATTTGTAAAATGTAACTATGCTTTTGAAATGAAAACTAATGTTAACTCCTGAGTCAAGGCAAATTTAATATGAAGAAAGCTCTAAGCTTCAGGGCTGCTCACTTACATGGGCTCTTTTCAAGACACTGGGAGGAGCCCTAGCAATGTACTTGTGGAAATATTTTTTTATTACCTTCACCAAGTGTAATATAATTTTGTATATTTTTATTTTAAAAGGCTCTCCAAATCATACCTAACAACCTTGAATCCACACCTACTCCTGAGAGGCTCAGCTCAAATGGATCACACACTACAGCTATTAAGTTCTATTTCCATAAGAAGGGTTATTGCATTAGTTTGAGATCTTAGAACAGTTTGGCAGCAGCAAATTTAAAATAGTTTCTTCAGAGCAAATTTAAAACTTTCTTCAACAGTAGATTTCATAACAATTTTTTAAAAAGAGCTTCTAAAATTAATGAATAAAATTAGGATTCCAACAACAAAACACACAGGAGAATCTTTCTCCTGTCCCTTAATGATTAAAATTACAATGATATGATACAACTAATGAGACTATTTAGAAGAATACTTAAGAATTTGAAAAATGTGTCTGTAATAGATCGATTTAAAATGAAATAATTGTTTAGTTCAAAGAATATTTTGATTCTCTGGTTTAGTGATTTTAGAAAACGAGCTTGCTTCCAGTTGAACCAATTATATTAATAATTTTTAAAGGCTTGGCTATATACACAGCAAGTTTTAAAATATGTGTATACTTGTATACAAATATATGTGCACCAAAAATATATAGAAAAGCAGTATATCCAATTGTTGTAGTAAATATCTCTTGGTGATGAGGTTATGGTTGCTCTTTCTTTCCTTTATATTTTTCTCTACTTTAGAAATATTATGTCATCAATATGAACTATGTTCATAATCACAAATAAAAGATAAACATTCATTGTCAAGAATGTATTTTTTCAAGTGGTGGTTCAAATATTTGTGTTTAGTTCAGTCTTCATTAAGATTAATTCAATTTGTTCCACAATTTTGGTCAACGTTTGATCCTTGTTGGTATAAGATGCCTCCCTAAAGGTCTCCACAAAAATATAAAGCAGAAATTTTTGGTTCTGAAAATCATTTTTCTCTAGTTTCTGGCTGTAACTAGAAATGAATAGAAATATATCACTTCGTCAGAATTTTAAAAAACAGATTAAAAACAAAAATGTAATTAGAAAACAATCTGAACTTTAAGAAAATAAGACAAATAGTACTCTGATCAGTCAAATTATACCATGAATTCACTTTCAGTTTATTTTGATTTTCATTTCTTTTAAACATTTTCAGAATAGGCTGCTTCCTTCAAGAACCAGGTGATAAAATGAAGAAATAATTGACCACTACTAAGAATTCTGAGTAAGTGAATTAGAAAAAAAACACATGCAAGCATAAGCACTCACATAAATAGCAACTCAGAATGGAGAAAAGGAGGGGGGAAGAATAAAAGAGTTTAGATGCTTAAAGTGCTACTAAATGTGATAAACGCAAAATGATTACCTTAGCCTCAAATATACTTAGCATATAGACCTACACTCTTAATGTATAATTTATACCTTAAGTCTAAGAATCAAATGATGACAGCCAGAAATAAAAAATAATGGGAGGAAAGTAGAGGGAGAGAAAGTACACAAGGGTGGAAAAGGTGAGAGAAAGTTGAGGGGGGGGCAGAGAAAGAAAGAAAAGAAAGAGGAGTGAAGGAAGGAATGGAGGAAGGGAGGAGGAAAAAATATCCCTATGTTCTAAATACCAGCTATACCCACACAAAGGGCTTTGAAAATGGCTGAACATGACAAGAAAGCAGAGAAAACATATAGTCACATTTAATAACTAAATTAAGATATGTTTCCTGTGTATGTTTAATTGTTACAGTTGAAATATCAATTGAAAATAAAAAGTTAACTATTTGGGTGTTGGGAGTGATAAAGATATTTTCGTCTACTCCATTTTTTTTCTTAGAGAACGTGCAAATAGTTTCAAGCTTAATTCCAGATTCCATGATTTGGCAAGTGGCAGTTACCAAAGAAATATAAAAACTAGCCTGGGTCATTCTTGATCTCAAACCTATTTGGAGTGACAACAAGTAACACCAATGGTAAAGCATGTTAAAAGAATCCTTTTAACTCACTTACATGATGTCATTAGCATTTCATAATTAACACAGTTTTTAGTCACATCACTAACAGTTTTCTCTAGTTTAAATGAGGAACTGGAATTTTAAAAATTTTCATATTTCAAGAAACCTAAGCAATGTTTCTCTCCCAGAGCTCTGTGGTTATTAATGTCAACCTGCAGAAGTGCATCGCAATGGATTCTTGAAGTTTTAGATAACCACAGATGAGTTGTTAAAAAGATAAGCATGCATTTAAAGTTATAAAAATGCTCTGTTTTATTTCTATTGATGAATATTATCATTTAACTGTTTTGTTTAGTTTTCCAGAAATGTTTATTGTAATATATATCAATTTTGTAGTATATAGGTATATGGTTGTACCATATTGTAGTATAACCAATTCTTATGCCACAGAAATAGGTATAGTTGATACTAAGATCATGAAGATAATTGTTGCCAATATATCACCTTATATCTGTGATACAGATATAAATATTATAAGCATATACACATTTATTAATGTATTGTAGTGATCATTGTCTCTAAAAGGATAAGAAAAATGGTCAATAGAATAATGTGTGTGGAAAAACTAAATATTTAATGAATTTAGAGACAATCTCTGCCAAAATCAGTGCAAACATTTAATGTCCTCTTCGAAATCAGCAATGAAGAAATTATTACTGAATTATTATATAGAACTAGTCCTGATTGAAATTACTAAACCATAAAACTTAGTAGTTTAAGTTATGCTATGAAGTCTTCAGTGTTTTATATTTGAATCAATTTATCCTTTGGAAAAGTACGATTTTGGAAAGCATTACATTGTTCAAATCACTTACTAATTAAAACTTTCCAAGTATTTATTTTTTCATCTGTAAAATGGAAAAATATTGAATTTGCATAGTTATGAAGATATAGAAATACGTGTACAAACATGTGACAAAACACTTAATATTTCTGAAACTGTTATTCAAAGCTGAAATCAAAAGAAAAATGATGAGTTTTGTAAACTCGACTATGCTGATTCCTTAGAAGAAATCAAGTTTTATTACTAAAACTCGAAACAGAGTTTTTCTGCTTCATGATGGATATCTGAGCATATGTATCAATCTTGCCTGTTTCCATGATGCCACTCAAATAACAGCAGAGATTTAAAAATAAGGATGAATCCATGGTAGCGCTAGAAACCTGGGAAGGATGCCAGCCAGAGACCAGAACAGTGGGAGAATTTCTAGAATGTTTGAGGCAGATGGGATCAGATTGCTGGTAAAAATCGAATAGAGCTGAACCTGTAGCATTGAAAAGACATGAGGGAAGGCTACTAACAAAGTGAGTGTTCCTCTCAGAATTCATGAAGAACACCAAGATCAAAGACAGCAGGGACTGGAGGCACAGTTGGGTATTGGATGGTGAGCTGCAGAATTGCTGTACTGCTGATTGTATCATGAGCTTCTAGCCTAGAGTTCTGTAAATAAAATGGAGACTCTACCATAGAAAACGTACAGATGTTTTTGGGGCAAAAGAGTGAGAGCACTCCAGTGGTGCTCCAGATAACTTCTGGTCCCTTTGTGAAGAGGCAGCCCCTGCATCCATCAGGCAAACTCTCTGGGTAACCTAGAAGAAGGTTTGCCTGGTCCAAACATGCACTCTCTCTGCCTACAAAGCTGCTCTAAAATTAGAATATAAATTCACTCTCTGCAAGAATTGTAATCACTTTCGCTGGGAAGATCATCTCTAACCATCACTGCTTACCAATCTCAGCCTTCAATTAGAAATACAAAAGTATGTTTCAGAAAATCTAACAATGTGAAAACTGGTGTTAGACCAAACCAAGGAGCTAATATCTGAGGAAACAAGGTTAATAAAAGAAATCACAGGCCGGGCACGGTGGCTCACACGTGTAATCCCAGCACTTTGAGAGGCCGAGGTGGCCAGATCACGAGGTCAGGAGTTGGAGACCAGCTTGGCCAGCATGGTGAAACCCCATCTCTACTAAAAATACAAAAATCAGCTGGATGTGGTGGTGTGCACCTGTAATCCCAGCTACTCAGGAGCCTGAGGCAGGAGAATAGCTTGAACCCAGGAGGCAAAGGTTGCAGTGAGCCGAGATTGCCCCACTGCACTCCAGCCTGGGAGACAGAGCAAGACTCAGTTAAAAAAAAAAAAAAAAAAAAAAAAAGAAAGAAAAGAAAAGAAAGAAAAAGAAAAAAAGAAATCACAGAAAACTTTAAACTAAATAGAATTCTTAGAGATTTGAAAAGAATTACACCCACAAAAATGATTGAGGTTACTCTTAAAAAGAAGCAATTAAAAATAAGACAATTTAAATGTAAAATTAAAATGAATACCAAATATCAGAATGATATAGGCTTAAAGCTAATTTGTGAAATGGAAGTTTGTGCTGAGATATTCTCCAGTGTTCAGTGCAACAGAATGAAAACATTAAATAATAAGAGAAAAGCAGTCACAGAGGAGAGAACCAAAGGAACTGACACCTATCAAGAGAAAAGTAAGAAGCAGAAAATGATGAAGAAATTCATAAAAGAAAATTTACTGGAAATAATGAAACACTAACATCTTCAGAGAGTGAGCACTTCATAAAATTTTTATAGGAATGTTGCAGTGGGGGTGGGGCAAATTTGTGGAATGCAATCTAGATACCACCTAATAAAATTTGAAAACTCCAAAGATAAGGAGAAACAAACATTATCTTGCCAAGGAAGAAAAAAATACTACAAAAGAACTGAAATCAAACTGGCATCATAATTATTGTATAATCTCCAAAATAAAAGCCTAGAAGGGGGCAAAGACCAACTACAAAATTCCGGTGGAAAAAGATTTTTATCTAGACAAAAATTATTTAAGTTAAAAAATAAATATATCCCTTTACCATTATGGTCTTGTCTCTTTTGATCTTTGGAAGCAAGTCCTTAGAGACCTACAAAGAGACTTAGACTCCCACACAATAATAATGGGAGACTTTAACACCCCACTGTCAATATTAGACGGATCAACGAGACAGAAAGTTAACAAGGATATCCAGGAATTGAACTCAGCTCTGCACCAAGTAGACCTAATAGACATCTACAGAACTCTTCACCCCAAATCAACAGAATATACATTCTTCTCAGCACCACATTGCACTTATTCCAAAATTGACCACATAGTTGGAAGTAAAGCACTGCTCAGCAAATGTAAAAGAACAGAAATTATAACAAATTGTCTCTCAGACCACAGTGCAATCAAACTAGAACTCAGGATTAAGAAACTCAAAACTGCTCAACTACATGGAAACTGAACAACCTGCTCCTGAATGACTACTGGGTACATAATGAAATGAAGGCAGAAATAAAGATGTTCTTTGAAACCAATGAGAACAAAGACACAACATACCAGAATCTCTGGGACACATTTAAAGCAGTGTGTAGAGGGAAATTTATAGCACTAAATGCCCACAAGAGAAAGCAGGAAAGATCTAAAATTGACACCCTAACATCACAATTAAAGAACTAGAGAAGCAAGAGCAAACACATTCAAAACCTAGCGGAAGGGAAAAAATAACTAAGATCAGAACAGAACTGAAGGAGATAGAGACACAAAAAACCCTTCAAAAAATCAATGAATCCAGAAGCTGCTTTTTGAAAGGATCAACAAAATTGATAGACTGCTAGCAAGATTAATAAAGAAAAAAAGAGAGAAGAATCAAATAGACGCAATAAAAAATGATAAAGGGGATAGCACCACTGATCCCCCAGAAATACAAACTACCATCAGAGAATACTATAAACACCTCGACGCAAATAAACTAGAAAACATAGAAGAAACTGATAAATTCCTGGACACATACACCCTCCCAAGACTAACCCAGGAAGAAGTTGAACCTCTGAATAGACCAATAAGAGGCTCTGAAATTGAAGCAGTATTTAATAGCTTAACAACCAAAAAAAGCCCAGGACGAGACGGATTCACAGCTGAATTCTACCAGAGGTACAAGGAGGAGTTGATACCATTCCTTCTGAAACTATTCCAATCAATAGAAAAAGAGGGAATCCTCCCTAACTCATTTTATGAGGCCAGTATCATACTGATACCAAAGCCTGGCACAGACAAAACAAAAAAAGAGAATTTTAGACCAATATCTCTGATGAACATCGATGCAAAAATCCTCAATAAAATACTGGCAAACTGAATCCAGCAGCCATCAAAAAGCTTATCCACCATGATCAAGTGGGCTTCATCCCTGGGATGCAAGGCTGGTTCAACATACGCAAATCAATAAATGTAATCCAGCATATAAATAGAACCAAAGACAAAAACCACATGATTATCTCAATAGATGCAGAAAAGGCCTTTGACAAAATTCAACAACTCTTCACGCTAAAAACTCTCAATAAATTAGGTATTGATGGGACGTATCTCAAAATAATAAGAACTATTTATGACAAACCCACAGCCAATATCATACTGAATTGGCAAAAACTGGAAGCATTCCCTTTGAAAACTGGCACAAGACAGGGATGCCCTCTCTCACCACTCCTATTCAACATAGTGTTGGAAGTTCTGGCCAGGGCAATCAGGCAGGAGAAAGAAATAAAGGGTATTCAATTAGGAAAAGAGGAAGTCAAATTGTCCCTGTTTGCAGATGACATGATTGTATATCTAGAAAACCCCATCGTCTCAGCCCAAAATCTCCTTAAGCTGATAGGCAACTTCAGCAAAGTCTCAGGATACAAAATCAATGTGGAAAAATCACAAGCATTCTTATACACCAATAACAAACAGAGAGCCAAATCATGAGTGAACTCCCATTCACAATTGCTTCAAAGAGAATAAAATACCTAGGAATCCACCTTACAAGGGATGTGAAAGGCCTCTTCAAGTAGAACTACAAAGCACTACTCCATGAAATAACAGAGGACACAAACAAATGGAAGAACACTCCATGCTCATGGATAGGAATAATCAATATCGTGAAAATGGCCATACTGCTCAAGGTAATTTATAGATTCAATGCTATCCCCATGATGCTACCAGTGACTTTCTTCACAGATTTGGAAAAAACTACTTTAAAGTTAATATGGAACCAAAAAAGAACCCACATTGCCAAGTCAATCCTAAGCCAAAAGAACAAAGCTGGAGGCATCACGCTACCTGACTTCAAACTATACTACAAGGCTACAGTAGCCAAAACAGCATGGTACTGGTACCAAAACAGAGACATAGACCAATGGAACAGAACAGAGCCCTCAGAAATAATGCCGCATATCTACAACCATCTGGTCTTTGACAAACCTGACAAAAACAAGAAATAGAGAAAGGATTCCCTATTTAATAAATGGTGCTGGGAAAACTGGCTAATCATATGTAGAAAGCTGAAACTGGATCCCTTCCTTACACCTTAGACAAAAATTAATTCAAGATGGATTAAAGATTTAAATGTCAGACCTAAAACCATAAAAACTCTAGAAGAAAACCTAGGCAATACCATTCAGGACATAGGCATGGGCAAGGACTTCATATCTAAAACACCAAAAGCAATGGCAACAAAAGCCAAAATTGACAAATGGGATCTAATTAAAATAAGAGCTTCTGTGCAGCCAAAGAAACTACCATCAGAGTGAACAGGCAACCTACAGAATGGGAGAAAATTTTTTCAATCTACTCATCTGACAAAAGGCTAATATCCAGGATCTACAAAGAACTCAAACAAATTTACAAGAAAAAAACAAACAACCCCATCAAAAAGTGGGCAAAGGATATGAACAGACACTTCTCAAAAGAAGACATTTATGCAGCCAATAGACAAATGAAAAAATGCTCGTCATCACTGGCCATCAGAGAAATGCAAATCAAAACCACAATGAGATACCATCTCACACCAGTTACAATGGCGATCATTAAAAAGTCAGGAAACAACAGGTGCTGGAGAGGATGTGGAGAAACAGGAACACTTTCACACTGTTGGTGGGACTGTAAACTAATTCAACCATTGTGGAAGTCAGTGTGGCAATTCCTCAAGGATCTAGAACTAGAAATACCATTTGATCCAGCAATCCCATTACTGGGTATATACCCAAAGGATTATAAATCATGCTGCTATAAAGTCACATGCACATGTATGTTTACTGCAGCACTATTCACAATAACAAAGACTTGGAACCAACCCAAATGTCCATCAATGATAGACTGGATTAAGAAAATGTGGCACATATACACCATGGAATACTATGCAGCCATAAAAAAGGATGAGTTCATGTCCTTTGTAGGGACATGGATGAAGCTGGAAACCATCATTCTCAGCAAACTATCACAGGGACAAAAACCATGCACCGCATGTTCTCACTCATAGGTGGGAATTGAACAATGAGAACACCTGGACACAGGAAAGGGAACATCACATGCCAGGGCCTGTTGCAGGGTGGGAGTAGTGGGGAGGGATAGCATTAGGAGATATACCTAATGTAAATGACGAGTTAATGGGTGGGTGCAGTACACCAACATGGCACATATATACGTATGTAACAACCCTGCACGTTGTGCACATGTACTCTAGAACTTAAAGTATAATAAAAAATAAATAGGCCGGGCACAGTGGTTCACGCCTGTAATCCCAGTACTTTGGGAGGCCGAGGCGGGTGGATCACGAGATCAGGAGATCCAGGCCATCCTGGCTAACACGGTGAAACCTTGTCTCTACTAAAAATACAAAAAATTAGCTGGGCGTCGTGGTGGGCGCCTGTAGTCCCAGCTACTCAGGAGGCTGAGGCAGGAGAATGGCGTGAACCCAGGAAGTGGAGCTTGCAGTGAGCGGAGATCGCACCACTGCACTCCAGCCTGGGCAACAGAGTGAGACTCCGACTCAAAAAAAAAAAAAAAAAGAAAAGAAGAAAAAAAGAATAAAAAATAAATAAATAAATGTATGTCAGATATATAAAGACATACAAAGTTTGCTACTCATGCATCTTTTTTGAAAAAAAATTTTTTATACTACATTGCAGCAAAATCAAAAATGAATTCAAAACAAAAGGAGACAGAGTATTAAGTAATAGTGGTAAGCAAGTTGTGTAATATGTATACAAAGCTGAATAAATAATTGTTTATAAGTAGTTACATGTTAAAATAATAGTCAAAGTAAAATATCTATAATGTAAAAGAATGACAATCAAGAACTTAAATTCTTGGTTTTTAACAAAATCCTGCAGAGAACAAAGGGAAAGGAAAATAAATATGTTAAAGCTCTATTGTACATGTGCAAATGGGGGGGTCTTATAAAGGCTATAGATATTGAGCTTTGAAACTGATAGGAAAACTCAGTATGTTTATACAAATATATACATTAGCAGAATTGTAATAAAAGAATACCTAAACTATTTTGTAGTAGATAGTGAAACATAATCAGTTTGACCTTAAAATAAGTAAAAATAAACAAAAAAAAGAAGTCATAAAATGAAAGTGCAAAAAGAAAATAAAATATAGAAGTGATCACAAGAAAAATAAATTAGATGTTCCTATTAAACAGAAACTTATTCATTGGCTTAACAAACATCCAGCTATATGCAAGTTATAAAATAAATAAACAAATAGGTCAATAAAAAATGAAATGTTACAGAAAGGTAAGAAATGAAGAGTTAGATGTATCCACTGGATGAATACCAGCAACAACAATTTTAAAAAGGGAGTAATAGCCATATATTAATAACAAAGTGTGTTTAGAGCAAAAAGAATTATATAGAAAGATAAATATTTTATATTCCTTATTGTAATATAGCAGAGAATACAATAAATATAATTTTTGATCCAAATTCAGCATTATCAAAATATTAATAGATAAGCATGAAACTCAAGAAACTAAAAAAAAAATAAATAAATAAATAAATCCAAGGAAAATTGAAAGAGAAACTTATAAACAAAAACACAGAAATTCATAGAATAGAATAAAAAACATATTAAAATAAACACACCAAAAATAAAACCAATAGAAGACTTTAAAAAATTAAAAATATTGTCAAACTTCTTCCAGATTTACTCAAGGAAATAAAAAGAAAATGCAAGTAAACCACATTGGAAATAAAAATGGGAGTGGGGGTGGTGAGAAATATTATGGTAAAGATAGTCAAGTGCTTAAAAATTAGATAAAATTTTATGCCAAAATAAGAAATTCTATATGGTACAAAAAATAATGTAAATTTTCACATTGACAAAACAAAAGTTGGAAATTTTTCATAGATTAGTGACCACAGATCACTATGGGTAGAAAAAAATTGAAAAATGTAAAAGACTTATCTCTCCCCAAATTTACTGAAATTAGATGACTTAACTGGTAAATTTTATCAAAGCTACAATCTTCAACCAATGATAAGAAATGAAAGTTAATACATTCTTTGATTCTATAAAAGCATGTGAAACTGATAACAAAACTGGAAAAATATAATATATACACACATACACACTCAATTCACTGTGGATTTTATCTCTTATGAAAAACACATGTAAAAATCCTAAGTACAATATATGAGTAAAGCACATATAGAAGGATATTGAGAGAATATTATTCAATTACCAAATAGGGTTTATTCTAGAAATATAATGATCATTTGGCATTAAAAATGTATTAATATGATTCAGTGTTGTAACTGTTTACTGACATGATCATTTGGAAGTGAGGAAAAAGTCTTTGATAAAATTCAAGGCTAATTCCTTAGTTTTAAACTTTACACTGAATTAAAAAATAAATAAATATCTCTCTTAAATTGATGAATGGGGGCCAGGTGCAATGGTTCATGCCTGTAATCCCAATACTTTGGGAGGCCGGGGTGGGCAGATCACTTGAGGCCAGGAGTTCAAGACCAGCCTGGCCAACATAGCTAAACACTGTCTCTACTATTATTAAAAATACAAAAATTAGCCAAGCATCACGGCATATGCTTTTAATCCCAGCTACTTGGGAGGCTGAGGGAAGAGAATCACTTGAGCCCAGGAGGCAGAGGTTGCATTGAGCCAAGATTGCGCCATTGCACTCCAGCCTGGGCAGAAAATATTTTAAATGAAACAAATATATCTACTATGAATGTAATTACAAAGAATTGTACATAGCCAATACAATAAGACAAGAACAGAGATCAATCATTAAATATCAAAGGAAAATCAATGTCATTTTGCAGACCACTTGTTTGTCTATTCATTAATACAAGAAAATAATCTCAAAAACCAACTAGAACTGAAATGAAAGCACATAATGGTGACCAGATACAAGAATATCCAATCAAAATCAATAGCTTTTCTAATAAATCAATGTAAAATACTATGAAAAATCTCCACTTCACAATTGGAGTAGCAAATTTGTAACTCCTAGAAATAAACACCAAAAATATGCCAGACCTATATGAATGGGAAGACGGTATTAAAAAATTATATATTTATGTAATTAAGGTATAGAGTTGTTAAAACAGTATTTTAACAGCTCCATAGCTTAACTCCCAGTTTTTAAAATGAAATTTGGCAGTTAGGACTGAAGTTAATTTGAGGAATAAGCAGATAATTTAATCAAGAAATATTGAATAAAGAATGGTAGTGCATAGCATACTATAAAGTAAAGTTACAACTAAAGCAACAGAATTGCAATACTAGCTGCCACGTGTTGAGAACATGCTATGTGTCAAGCACTGCTCTGGTGTGAGAGACTATACATATATAATATTTTATATATGAAGTCTATATTTACAAATATTCCATATGTACTATATAGTACATGTATAGTATATGTATATATATGTGTGTGTGTGTGTGTGTGTGTGTGTATGCATTTAATCCTCAAAACAGCCCTGTGATTCTTATGAGCATTTTAAGATGAGGAAATTGAACTATAGAGAAACAAAATAACATACCTAAAGTCAAAAGCAATTACTTTTCAAATCTGTAGGTTTGAAGGAGGTTACTCAGTTTTCTCTCTCAAATAGCAATTGTCTCAATCAGATTTTTGACCTGAACTATAATCTTAGTATCTGAAAGTGTAGATTTTCTGGGTTGTTTGAAAGAATTTTCATGTCCTGTAGTCCTTAGGTAAGCCTTTGATAAACCTTATATCCACAGTATTGGAATGATCACTGAACAACAAACTTGAACACTAAACATCTAATCTAAATTTCTTATTATTTGTGTATTTTTGATCCTTAAAATGGGGATAGCAATGCAAATTTGCAGAGCTCTTACAAGAATTAAATGAAAATATATGTAGTTTATATAGTCTATTTGTTGGATGAATAAATGAATAACCCCATCACCCAAACACAACTAATATTATAATTTTAATACATTCCTTTCTATCCAGTCTGATGCTTATAGTATTAGAATAATACAATTTGAAAATCAGCCTGCTTTTACTTACTATTGTACAATAAACAGTTTTACCATGTTTATGATACCAATTTACCATGATTTTGAAGGCCTCATAATATACAACTGAGTGAAGGCATCTTAATTTTCATAATCATTCTACAACTATTATTTATTTGGATTTTGATTTGGTTTGGTTTTGCAATTGCACGTAACACCTCACACAGTTTGTTCATGCTTATAGTTTTCTCCATAATTTCAGTTATTTCCTCAGAAAATGGAATTCCTGGGAAAAGATTATACACATTTTTAATTTTAGAACAAATCCCAGTTTGATTTCCAATTATTAGAAAAGCAATAATATCATCAATATACAAGAATACCATCTTCAAACTCTTTGTAACTTTGAGTATTGATTATTTAAAGTTTTTTGCCTATTTAATAGATTCTAAACAACCATTAGTATTCTATTCTGAAATCTAAAAACAATGCTCCTAACAGCATAACTGTTTTTAATAAATGAGATCATCTTTTCCAAATTCTCGATGTAGAAATATTACGCATCAGAGTCCACAGGTCAAAATGTTAAATATACATCATCTACCTCTCCCTTTTCAATTTCAACACGTGTCAACAAATATAGTAATTATGTAGGAGGAGTTCATGCATGTAGATCCAAAACTGTATTAAGGGAAGCTGATTTGGGAGGAGTACATGGCTCAGTTCAAGGTTTAGGGCAAGAAATCTTGTCCACACAGTGTTTCTCAGTGTGCAAAGAATTAAGCAAGGATTGAGGACCGGTGGCCCAAAGAACCTCTCCCCAAACAGCCATGAACTCACCCCCATTCTTCTGAGAAAAAGATACAGGCTAATGGTTTGTCAAAATCTATCACAATACCTCTGAGAGAAATGAATCATATTTTTATTTTCATGAAACCTTTTCTCTGAAAAGTATAATTTGTTTCACTGTCATTTATAGGCTTTGTTTCAAAAATTTGGAGAGGAAAAACTGTCAGTGCTCTAGACATCAAAACATCACTAGCCTCACACTGAGTGACCTTCAGTAAAGGGCTTCAAAAAACGCTGTACTGCACTACACAGATTTAAGAGGAACGAAATGAAGCTATCCTCATTTGCATTCTCACTTTTGAAGTCTTCAGTCTTTAAAATAAGGAGTACATATACTTTCTTCTGGAGGGCCTGAATTATACAGCATAAATGCAGCAGTGTACTCAGCATAAGATAAGGCCTTGTTAGTGCTCTATCCTTGCAGCATGCCAAATTCAAGGGCTCCGAAGTTAAATATAGTTTAATTACTGTCACAAGTGGAATATCATGAAGCTTTAAGTTGCAGCAGGGAGTCATCAAATAACAATGCAAATCTAGTGTCTCAAAATATTCTACTGAATTTACTATGTGTTTGTTGAGTGTCTATTCAATCTACGATGTGTTTCTTGGCAGTGTAGAGGAAACACGAGGACATGCCATGATCTGTTCCCCCAGGAATTTTCCATTGCCATTAGAAGACAAAAGTTAAATTAAATCACACTTAAATTAAAGACTGAGTATATCAAAGGAATAAGAATACTTTTAATTTAGTCTCTTTGCTACTTTCTTACTATTGGACTTTATTTGATGTTTTTGTCGAAAGGAAATATGGAGCTTGAAGACTTAAGAGGAGGAAAACAGAATAATACAAAATACTGGGTTGCCTTTAACTTATTAAAGTTTTACCCTGTCTATTGATTGTTTCCAAAGTGAGCTAGATGGCTGAAAATCAAACAAATGTTTTTAAATGTGTGTTGACGCTCAAGCTAGTGCACCTATTAATCATTTGAAGGTGACCTTCTATGAAAAAAATGAGAATAAACAACAAAAAGGGCCACCAATTCAAAGGGGAGCTGAATTGGCTCAGATTTGAAGTTGCATAAAACCCAAGAGGCATCTCTAATTCCAAACAGCAGACAATTTAAAAATCAGTGCATGTCCCTGAGTGAGTGATCTGAATGTGAACATACAAAGGAAAAATATAAAAATCTTCCTACTTCTTATGCATAGAAACAGTGACAAATACCTCTTGGGAGACTTCCATTCAGGAAGAAACCTTTACCAAGGGAGCCCAGATAGAGGGGTCTCTATCTTGATCTCTATTCTGTCAGAGAGAAAAAGAATACATGCTATAAAGCACAGAAAAATCTAAACACTTGGCATTTCTAAGAAGAAATAAACCTTCAAAATCTAAGTAACAGTATGTATCTCAATAGAGAACTCACTAGTTCTGCTTATCTCAAAAGCAGATGGTGTGGCAAATAAAAAGAAAAAAAAAACTTTTCTGAAGATAGTCCCTTTCCAAAATGCTAAGTAAATTCTTCATTCCTTATACTTGTGTTGTTCTTTTTTTTTTTTTAGATAATCATACAAAAGTGAATGTTATTCCAGAATGGTAATTAAATATAGATCAAGCTGAGAATTATGCATGCTTACACACTCCACTGTGTGCAAGTTGTTATTACAGACTCATCAGATAGCCTCATGTGTATGAGATGATGTTAAATGGGCAGAATCAGGCAGCTTAGCTGAATTACTCAGAACAGTGCAAGTCATCTGCATGGAAAAAGCTGTTGCCTAGTGGTGCACTGGGGTAACACTCACATCTAACAAGCCTGATCAAGTTATGTGTGTCATAGAGTGCCACATTGTGCATGCAATAGCATGATATATAGGCCCTGTATTTGAGAAGTTAATGATGTAGTTTTAATAATAAAACACATATGAAAGCAGAATAAAAATATGTTAAACAGTTAAAGTGTTAACTATCAAGCATTGTATCACGAGCTTTTCTGTGTTAATCCATTCAACACCCCCAACAGCCAGAGAGCCTTGTTACCCTTCTCATTGACTTCTTATTGCAACTAGAATAAAACCCAAACTCCTAATTACTGCTTAAAATCCCCACATGATATGCTGCCTCCTTCTTCAGCAACTACCCATACTGGCCTTCTCTCTATTCCTCTAATAAACCAGGCTATCTCAAGCCTTAAGTTATCCTGCATGAACAACTCCTCATCACATCTTTGCAAGGCTGGCTTTACACGTCAGTCAAGTTTCAGGTAAAGTATCATCTTCCTCAAAGAGAGGCCTTCTACAACCACCTTCTCTAATGTGGATTCTTTCTGCTGTGACTATGTTATCAACTGTTTTTATTTTTAAAATCATTTAATATTGCTTGCAACTCTTGACAATCTGTTTTACTTGCCTATCTCTCTCACAGTCTTTGTGTGTCTTGTTCATTGGTGTGCACACCTGGGATATAGTATGCATTCAGTAAATGTTTTTCTGAATAAATCCCCACTTTACAAATCAGTTAGCAGGGACCCATGGTCGTGAAAGCTGGTAGGTAACAGTCAGGATTTGAACCCAAACCCAGATGGCTCCAAATCCCACTTTTTTTCCCCATAAAATCTTATCTCCAAAATGGCTGTGCTATGATTCAGAACATCTAAAATGGAGCCTGGAGCCATTTTGTTGAGAAACTTCTGCACATTCACAGACAGGTGTACCTGGAACTTCTTGTGAACTTTAGAACTGGTCCAAATCACAAAGACCACAGCACCCTGGAACATTGCTTAATTTAGCCAACCACTCTTGCAGCCAGCTGTGTATGGACTCATGTACTTTACAATGCCCTAGCCAATCATGATTTTTGAAAAGCAACTTTTGTAATGTTTTAAACTTTCACCTTCTTTCTTCTTTAAAACCCTTCTCTCTCCTTCCTCCTTTAGGAACACAATTCAATGTCATATTGAGTTTATGTCTCCCAAATTGCAATTCCTAAGACCCCTAATAAATGTCAGTAACTAGGTACTTCTTGCCTGGTTTGATTTCAGTTTGATTCCTTATCTCTAAACATCTAGTTTGGCATAGTTAAATAACCATACAAAACAGCCTATGAGGAAATACAAAATAAATGCCTTAAATAACAAGCATTTACAGAAAATAACTCTAGACTGGTTTTGTCAGGAACAGCTTTTAGGAAGGAGGGAGACTTGAATGGAGCCTTGGAAAGTGGGTCTTCTGATTCATTGAGAGAAGGAGCTAGGTGAGCACAAACAGATGGGAAGCCACATGCCATCTGTGGGATAGTAGGGTGTATTAGTACATTTTCGTGCTGCTGATAAAGATATATCTGAGACTGGGCAATGTACAAAAGAAGGAGGTTTATTGGACTTAACAGTTCCGTGTGGCTGGAGAGGCCTCACAATCATGATGGAAGGTGAAAGGCACATCTCACATGGCGGCAGACAAGAGAAGAGAGCTTGTGCAGGGAGACTCCCATTTTTAAAACTATGAGATCCCATGAGACTCATTCACTATCATGAGAACAGCATGGGAAAGACCCACCCCCATGATTCAATTATCTTCCACCAGGTTCCTCCCACGACATGTGGGAACAGCAGGAGCTACAATTCAAGATGAGATTTGGGTGGAGACACAGCAAAACCATATCGTTCTGCCTCTGGCCCCTCCCAAATCTCATGTCCTCACATTTCAAAACCAATCGTGCCCTCCCAACAGCCGCCCAAAGTCTTAACTCATTTCAGCATTAACTCAGAAATCCACAGTCCAAAGTCTCCTCTGAGACAAGGCAAGTCCCTTCTGCCTGTGAGCCTATAAAATCAAAAGCAAGTTAGCTACTTCCTAGATACAATGAGGGTACAGGCACTGGGAAAATACAGCCATTCCAAATAGGAGAAATTGGCCAAAACCAAGGGGCTACAGGCCCCATGCAAGCCAGAAATCCAGCAGGGCAGTCAAATCTTAAAGCTCCAAAATGATCTCCTTTGACTCCATGTCTCTCATCCAGATCACGCTGATGCATGACAGGGGTTCCCATGGTCTTGGGCAGCTCCACCCCTGTAGCTTTGCAGGGTACAGCCTCCCTTCTGGCTGTTTTCGTGGGCCGGAATTGAGTATCTATGGATTTTCCAGGTGCATGGTGCAAGCTGTCAGTGGATCTATCATTCTGGGGTCTGGAGGTCAGTGGCCCTCTTCTCACAGCTCCACTAGGCGGTGCCACAGTAGTGACTCTGCATGGGGGCTCCCATCCCACATTTCCCTTCTGCGCTGCCCTAGCAGAGGTTCTCCATGAGGACCCTGTCCCTACAGCAAACTTCTGCCTGTTCATCCAGGCATTTCCATATATCTTCTGAAATCTAGGCAGAGGTTCCCAAACCTCAGTTCTTGACTTCTGTGCACTCGCAGGCTCAACAAAACACCAGGTGGAAGCTGCCAAGACTTGAGGCCTTCACCCTCTGAAGCCACAGCCCAAGCTGTGCCTTGGCCCCTTTCAGCCCAGGCTGGAGTGGCTGGGACACAGGGCATCAAGTCCCTAGACTGCACTCAGCATGGGGACCCTGAGCCCTGCCCACAAAATCACTTTTTCCTTCTAAGCATCTGGAACTGTGATTGGGGGGGCTGCCATAAAAACCTCTGACATGCTCTGGAGACATTTTCCCCATTGTCTTGGGGGTTAACATTTGGCTCCTCATTACTTATGCAAATTTCTGCAGCTGGCTTGAATTTCTCCTCAGAAAATGGAATTTTCTTTTCTATTGCATTGTCAGGCTGCAAATTTTCCAAACTTGTATGCTCTGCTTCCCTTATAAAACTGAATGCCTTTAACAGCACCCAAGTCACCTCTTGAATGCTTTTCTGCTTAAAAATTTCTTCTGCCAGATACCCTAAATCTCTCTCACATTCAAAGTTCCACAAATCTCTGTGCAGGGGCAAAATACCACCAGTTTCTTTGCTAAAACATAGCAAGAGTCACCTTACTCCAGTTCCCAACAAGTTCATCATCTCCTCAACCTGGATTGTATGGTCCATATCATTATTAGCATTTTGGTCAAAGCCATCCAGCAAGTCTCTAGGGAGTTCCAAACTTTCCCACATTTTCCTGTCTTCTTCTGAGACCTCCAAACTGTCCCAACCTTTGCCTGTTACCCAGTTCCAAAATCGCTTCCACATTTTTGAGTACCTTTTCAGCAGCACCCCAGTCTACTGGTACCAATTTACTGTATTAGTCCATTTTTCATGCTGCTGATAAAGACATACCTGAGACTGGGCAATTTATGAAAGAAAGAGGTTTATTGGACTTACAGTTCCCTGTGGCTGGGGAGGCCTCACAATCATGGCGGAAGGTGAAAGGCACATTTCAAATGGCAGCAGACAAGAAAAGAGAGCTTGTGGAGGGAACCCCTATTTTTAAAACCATTAGAACTTGTAAGACTTATTCACTATCATGAGAACAACATGGGAAGGACCCACCCCCATCATTTAATCACCTCCCACCAGGTTCCTCCCATGACACATGGGAATTGTGGGAGTTACAATTCAAGATGAGATTAGGGTGGGGACACAGCAAGACCATATAATGGTGAGATCATGCTGGTAGAAGATAATGGAAGAACACTGTGTTCTGAATCCTTACACCCAAATTTCAGCGTGAACATATCTATTTATCAGCTAGGCAACTTAGCAGTTGCATAACTTCTCTGACTCTCAATTTTCACATTTGTAAAACTTGCTTTACCTATTTCACACTGTCAATGTGAAGGTTAATGAGAAATTCTCACATATATTTATATACATTTATATTTGAAAGCACTCTGAAAAATGTAAATCTCTCTGAAAGCCAAAGACATCTTCAGCATAAAGTAGAGAAAATGAATTGGAGATAGATAGTAGAAAACAATTAATGCCAGCTGATATAAGTAAATAATTTCATAATAAGAAACTTTTATGATTAAGACTCAATAATTAGAGAATCAAAAAGAGAGAACTATAAGGAGGGAAAAAGCATTCCCTTATATTAGGGAAGTGGCCTCTCAGATAATCCCAAGTCTTTTTAGGAAAATGAGGCCCTCAGATGAGGGGAATAGGAAGGTAACTCGCAGACTCCATGGATACATTAAAGTATGCATTTTCCCCAAACTTACCTGTCAAATGTGCAAACATCTACTGGTTTATGAGATAAATGCAAATGAAAGATGATTAAAAGGAATAGAAATCAATAACTACTGAGAGGGATTTCTTGAGTTCCCAGGAGAGCTCAGAATTTGGGGGACAACTGCAGTTCCATTTTGGGCTTGAAGGGGTGAAGTCTCCAGTAAGAACAGCCACCTCAGGCCAGTAATAGGCAAAGCTGCAATTGCCTGCAGGAAGCCTCTGAGGGATCTCAGCCTAGCCAGGCCCTGTGGCTGTTTTTCAGTGTCTGAAAGCGTTGTAAGTAAGTCAAGGAATGTTAAAACCATAAAAAAAAAAAAACTACCTGGAAAGACAACAACAAAATATGTATTTAATTGAGCATACTACTACATTACACCTGGATGTTTCTATTTATTTTATGTATTGTACCTTTATTATATTTCTTTACTTTGTCTTATATACAATAATAGTAGTATTTGACATAAATATTCATAGAAAAAATTCAAGAATGTGCTAAATGCATTTTAATCTTAGAGGAGAGGGAACAGAAGGAGTCATAGAAGGCCGTCTTCCTGCTAACAGGCACAAAACATTGCAGGAATGATGTCAAGGGAGAGATTGCAAATTCAACCTACTGGACTAAAGGCACAGTAAAGGGCCACTGAGGCCAAAGGAGAAAGCACTTATAATCCTATTGTCAAATGCTACCCAGAGGTCGAAGAGTAAGTTCGCTACTCTTGGAAGTACAGAATCAAGAAAGTGATACAAGTAAAAAGCACTTATCATTGTTTGGCTAATAATTACTGAGAGCTCACTCTGTGCATATCGTCATGCTAAATAGCTGAGTTACCCAGCCTCATCACCTGCCTTCAAGGCACCTACAGTGTGGCAAAGGTGTTTGTTAGTTCTTATACATAAGGAATGACACCACGAGGTCAACTAAATTTAAATGAGCTGAGCATTCTCAGTGATGACATGGCTCAGTGAAGTGATAAACTAAAGGATTTTGTTGGCAGTCACTGGGAAGGTCAATGGCTATAAAGACCTTCAGGCTGCTGAATACAAATTTCTTGTTTTAAGAGATGTAGCCCCTTATAACAAAATCAATGGTTACAAAAAAATCCTGATGTGAACTGAATTGGTAAGTTTTGCCTTGCATTTTATGATGTGTCACGTGGGACACTACTGTTCAAAGAGGATAACTTTCCTATAAGCATAGGGGCAACTGTAAATAAACTCTGAAGGCCGCAGTTTGTTTGGGGAGTACTGTCTGGGGCCCACCACCTTTATAGCCAAGAATTCATTTCCTACTATCTATGATGAAAGCAGAAGCACTTGCCATCCACAAAGGTATCTTAAGGGTCTGTAATGAAGCAACACAATAGTTTTCATATTGTAATATTAATAGAAAGTGACAAGGTGATCCAGTTGACCTTCTATATCAGGATTTAAGCCTGTATTATGAGTTGCATTTAAAGAGAATTTCCATTAATCAAGTGGTGTTCTAATCACATTTTACAAAAGAGATAATTCCCCCTAAATAAATGTTACCACCCCATGACAAAATACAAATTATGCTTAATGACGCATTAAACCTTTTTAGAATTATGACTTGAAAGAAAACAATTTCCAAATACAGAACATTTTATATGTACAGACCAAATTCTATTATAACAATGCCCTAGACCCTGTTTAGAATCTTAGGTAACAAGATTTGCTTTATGAGATATTGCTCAAAGGTACTGAGTGGAATTATCACTAGACTGAGAGGTGAGAGACCCAAGCTTTAGTTAGGCTTTCCACTAACTGTGTGACCTGGGTACTGACATTGAGTCTCCAAGCCTGTGGAGTCCCAATCTGTCAAATAAGCAAGTTAAATGAACTACCTTAAAGGTCTCCTGTTATTCTTAATTTCTTGACTCTAAAGAAATTTTGAAGTGTGGACTTCAAAATTCTGTTTTTAATGAAGTTAAATGTGTCATATTTTGCTGTATCAAAAATATCACAAAATACATATACTATGCTAAAACTATAAAAACACTAATATAGCAAAGATTCTAGTGCCTTGAAATGATTATTGACATATATTGAATTGCCTGTCCTTTTAGATAGTTTATCTTTTTTTTCAAGCAGTCCCATGTTACAACTCCAAGTTTCTAGGAATCATTTATGTATTCACAAAATGACAAATATGAACAAAGTTTATTCAAAAACCTGATTTATAAAAAATTGTTATTTGCTTGCCACCATGCATTTTCATCACTTACTACTAATGTTTCATTTGGTTGTTTATAACTTACTCCTATCTACTTGTATGAGTTATAGATTTTAACTAAGGGTATTTGCCTTGGGAGTACTAAGTTTACTAGTTTAAAGGCTACTTACTCCAAAGGGCTACATTATCTTTTTCTATTTCCCATCAACATACAAAAGAAATAATTCACATTTCTGGATTTTGTTCCTTCAGTTTCTCAACCCAGGACAATCAGACTTCTACCATCAAACATTCTACTCAAACTTCTCATCAAAAGTCACAATGATTCTGAAATTAATCATTTCCAATTGCTTATTTTAAAACCCTACTTATTGGAAAATATGAATTGCATCACAGAAAACTTTACAAAACAGAAACATACAGCCCAAAGGTTTATCCCAAGGGAAATATCCATAAAAAATCACTCAGGTCAAGAAAGAGGACTTTACCAGAACACAGCAGATCCCCTCATGCCTACTTCAGATCATTACCCCCTCTCTCCTTACAAAGACCCATTTTTCTAGCTTTCTTTTACGTTTGTGTCACCTATACAAGTTTCCCCAAGCACTACATGTTTAACTAAACCCATCTTTGTAGAAGATCTAACTTTTCTCACTCAATATCACGTTGCAAAATTTATCCTTTTTTCTCAGATGAACCTGTAGTCATTTTTTACAGTATGGTGTTGCATTTATGAATGTATCCCCACTTGTGTGTTCATTTCGCTAGAGCTCGAGGGCTTCTTATTTCGAAGTTCTCAACCTGCTGAACATCTCTAGAGCATGTAACAGTGTTGACCTTTGCCTTTCGGAAATTCTCTACTCTCCAGCAATATTCCAGTTTTCCTTCTTCCACTTTGATGGTTCTCCAGTGGTTCACTAGCTGCTCTTCCTTAATGCCCCCCCATATGAAACATTGGTCTTCTTTAGGTATCTTTCGTTATCTCCTCATTTTACACATTGTCACTAGGCAACCATTCCTTCTTTCTTTTTTTTTTCTTTTTTTTGAGACGGAGTCTCACTCTATCGCCCAGGCTGGAGTGCAGTGGTGCGATCTCGGCTCACTGCAAGCTCCGCCTCCCAGGTTCACGTCATTCTCCTGCCTCAGCCTCCCAAGTAGCTGGGACTACAGGCGCCCGCCACCACGCCTGGCTAATTTTTTGTATTTTTAGTAGAGACGGGGTTTCACCGTGTTAGCCAGGATGGTCTCAATCTCCTGACCTCGTGATCCGCCCGCCTCGGCCTCCCAAAGTGCTGGGATTACAGGCGTAAGCCACCGCGCCCAGCTGGCAACCACTCCTTCTTTAGCTCTGGCCCCAAACTATTTCCTAGCTCAATTTTTCATTACTTCCTGCCATTGTTCATCCTCATCCCAGCCTAGCTCTTTGCTTCTCCCCAGACATCTTACACAGCTGCAAAACAAGCAACTCCCAAACCATTCTCTTTCCTAGGAAAGAGAATTCAGATCAGATGGTTTTTTTCTTCAGTTTAGATCAAATGTTTCCTCATCTTCCAGGATACCTGGGCAATTTTAATTGCCCCCTCATCTGTGTTCCCTAAGCGCATTGTGCAATCCTCCACAATAGCACTTACGATGTTGTATTGTGAACACTTGTTTGTGCCTACCTCCCTCACCAGAGAATAGGAATCTTGCCTTAATCATCTCTGCATCCCTGAGAAGGATGTGTAAATGTTGCCAGGATGAATGAATCTGTTTACTTGGTAACCTTTGTGAGCTTCCTGTTCTAGGGAAAAGCCTCACAGCATTCCCATTAATGTTATGCTTCTCTGGCAAAGCTGCATCAAACTTTTACATGGTGGGAGTTGCAAGTTAGGTTCTCTTGGAAGCAGACTCTAAGATGAAGATTAGCATACAGGATGTTTATTACAGAATCAGTGCCTGTGGAAGGAAATGGAAAGAAAGAGAAAGAAGGAAGATTGGGCAGAGGACGATGTCAAGCTGTGACAGTCTCAACAGAAACCTTAGCTGACACTATAGGGAATTCTGAGGACAGAATGTGCCAAGAGAGTGTGACAGAGCTGGGCCTTCGTGTCCCTTCACCTGTCTCAAAGCAAAGCATGACCCCTTTGGCCTGGGTAATCCCTGAAGGGCTCTGACAGCCAAGAGTGACACTGTCAATAGCAAACTACACATCATGGTGTCCCTCACTATATAAAACACTGTTAAAAATTTTTCATTAACCAATCTCCTAAGTTATATATAATGCTGGTTAGGATTTCCAATGCCGTCAAATATACTTATATCATTATGCAAAAATGCCAATTGCCAATTTCACCATGTTTGGTATAAAAGTATCTGTTCTAACTTAACAACTTCGGTTTTGTTCCCTGTGGCACTGCAGAAGGACAGCCACGCCATCCAAGAGACCCCTAAAAACCATCACAGAAACTGCACAGAGAAACCCCTGCAGCAAGAATTTAATGTGACTCCATTTGAAAAAACTGAGGTATCCCCAAATATTTGGTTGTTCACCCATTAACTTTAATGAAGCGCACAGTCTGATGTTCTCAGCCACACTTTTGTGAACATTGAAAAAGAAATTGCAAAAATCTCAACTAAGTTCCAAAGTATTTGAATATCAGTTTCTTTACAAGTTTTCTCTTCCATAATTTTAGACACCTAAAAGTGTTGAAAAAAATCAGTAAGTGAGTACTTGTATGATACTCTGTTGGGCAATATCAAAATGTAAGCTGCTAAACTGAAAGAATTATTTTTCAATATATGAAAAAATAGTTACTGTATCCCAAAAAGGGTAAAATCTGCAGTTATTAGTTCATCAAATCATCAACATATCAAGCTGATAAGTGCTCCAAATGGGACAGCACCAGGAGATGGGTCACTAAAGACCAGAATGCAAAGAAATCTGCATTGGTAGAAGAGATTTCTGAGGCTGGCATGATAAAAACAGTTCTATGATTACCAGTTTTCTGGAATGAGCAAATGGATAAAGGGTGATGCTTTTAACCAGGATAAGATACACAGGAGGAGAAGGAAGTTTAGGAGAAAAAGATTTATGAGCTCAGTTTTGTAAATATTGACCTGGGATGTCTAGACTCCAACCAATGAAGATATAAGATAGTTTACCATTCAATAGTTACAAGACAGGCACCATGCTAGGTCTTAGATATAATGAAGTTGGTATGTTAAGTGAAAGCTTATGTTGTGGGAGAGGATATCATATAAGCAAGGATAGGAAGAGTGAGAAAAGGACCAATGGCAAGACCCTGGTGAGGAGCCAGATTGAGGATATGGGCAGTGGAAGAGAACCCAGAGAAAAAGAGTAAGAAAAAGAGGCAGGATGGACTAGAGGAGAACAAGAGGCGAGCGAGATCTGTGGATTTAAGGCAGAGACAAGTATTGGGCAGAGTTTAGACTCTTGCATGAGGCTGACTTCCCTGTAGAACTTACTCTTCATGACCTTGGACAATGGAAAGGCCATCTCATCTTTGATAATAATATCTGGTTTGTAAAAGTAGTGGCTCTAAAGTGCTGCCCCACAAAAGATACTCAGTAAGTTGGTATTAATTTTATCACTCATATTATTATTAACATAATTATGTATTATTATAATTATATTATAGTAATTATATATTACAGTAATAATATATAATTATAGTGTTATTATTACTATAATTATAATTATAGCTATAAGTATAGTCATAATAATACCAGTGATATTTACCAGTGATATATACCAGTTATAATTACTATGGCTACTATTAATACTTTTAGCATTATAGCAATGTTCTACAGTGCTGAAAAATCAACATAAGGACCTTGAAAAATAGTCCTTGGCTTTAATTGTGAGAGGATCCTCTGGCAGAGCAGTTGCAGTGTGGTGGTGGAAGCAATCAAATCGCAGCAGGTTGGAAAATGACTGGCTGAAAGGTAAGAAGGAAGAGACAGAAGCGTGGCCCATCATGCCTAAATCATTGGCCATGAAAGGAAAAAGACATAGAGTATATAGGGAGCTACTGAAGGGCTTTTAACAATGGGTACATAATGGGTTCAAATTATGTTCATGTAATAAAGAGAGTAGCTCAGTGGAAGAAAAAACAGTGAGAATACAAGTTAGTGAAAAGAAATGATAAGCAAAGTCTAGGAAGATTTTGATGAGCTATGATCAATGACAAAGGTGGGTTTATATAGCAGTATCAAAATGTATCAGGTGACTCGGTAAAAGTCCAACAAGGATATATAAGGCTACTACAGAAAAAATCATAAAATGGGATTAAATTACATTAAAGAAGACTTCAGAAAAATGAAATATATAGCAAATTCACATATTGAAAAACTTGTGACTGTAAATATTTCTCCTGAATTTTTTTTTATGAGATAGGTTCTCACTTTGTCATTCAGGCTAGAAGGCAGTGGCGTAATCATAGCTCTCTACAGCCTGGAACTCCTGGACTGAAGCCATCCTCCCACCTCAGCCCCCTGTGTACTTGGCAGCCTGCCAACATGCCCAGCTTTTTAAAAACATTTTTTCCCTAAAAACAGGATCTCACTATGTTGCCTAGGCTAGTCTTGAACTCCTGGCCTCAAGCAATCTTCCCACATTGGCTTCCAAAAGTGCTGGGATTATATGTGTGCAACTACTCTCTCCTGAAAGGAATGTATAGATTCAATGAATTTCATATTACCAGCAGATTATTTTAGTGTGCATGTGGAAGTTCACAAGTAGATTTTCAAATGTATATGTATGTTAAAAAGGCCAAAGTTAACCAAGAAAAATAAGGCAGAAAGGACTTGCCCAGTTATCAAGACCTATATAAAGCTATGGTAATTAAGGCAGTGGATGTTTATTGCAGGAATAGATATTTAGACCAAAGAAATATATTTTAAGTTCAGAAACAACTTCACACACACAAGGACACTTGATTTATAATAAATTAGCACTCCAGAGCAATGGGGAAGGCCACTTTTTAATCTTTGGAACTGTAATAATGGGTATCCATATATAAAATCAATTAAAAACCAGAGTGGAAAGGGCAAAATTTTTAAACTTTGAGGAGAGAGTAAAAGTAAATATCTTCATAATTTTGTGACAGGGGGTCTTTAATAAGTCAGAAAAAGTAGTCATTATAAAGAAAAAGAGATAATTTTAACTACATTAAAATTAAGAACATCTGCTTATCATATGGCTTTATAACAATACTCAATACACAGTAAACTCAATGAGAAATACACATAAAACAATACTTCAATAGAAGAGTAGGCAAAGAACTGAACTTGAACAAAAGCTTCGCAAAAGTGAAAATCCAAATTACCAATGGACTTCTGTTTTTTAAAAAGTTACTCAACCTAACTGGTAATAGAGTAAATGGAAATTAAACAAAATGAGTTAGCACTAAACACTCTTAAGATTGGGAAAAAAAATGCAAAAGTAAATACAAGTTGTTGGTCAGGATTTGGAGCAGTAGGAATTGTCATACACTGCTGGTAGAAATATAAATTTATACATGCACTCTGGAAACAGTGTGGTGTTTTCTAGCCTAGTTGAGGCACACATACCCTTTGACCCAGCAATTCCACTGCTAAGTATATACCTTAGAGAAATGCATGCACCAAGACATATTGTTCAAAATAGCCCCAAAATGCAAACAGTCCAAATTGCCTTAGAAGTAGAATGGATAAATAAACTGTGGTATATTCATTTAAAGGACACTGTATAGTATTAAAAATGAATGGACAAACTAAAGTCACATACAACAGCATGAATATATTTTACCAACCTAAGGTTAAGAAAAACAAGCCACAAAAGAATACATATAAATGGTCCCACTTATATAAAGTTCAAAAACAGAAAAATTTATCTTTTTCCTTAGGGAAATTATAAAGATAAGAGAAGACATTAACACTATAAAGCCAGGATAGTATAAGCAGTAGAGGAAAGGAATGAGTCTGCAACTGGCAGGGATAATCAGGGAGATGCTTGTGCTTGGCTAGCTTCCTCTCCCTCTACCCTCAGTAGATACTCCAGATCTTTTAAATGAAATGTTCTATTTGGTCTGGGTAGTTTTAACACAGATTATTTGCTTTTATTTTTTAGACAGGGTCTCGCTCTGTTCCCACACTGGAGTGATCTTGGCTCACTGCAACCTCTGTCTCCCAGGTTCAGGTGATTCTCCAGGCTCAGCCTCCTGAGTAGCTGGGACCACAGGTGCACACCACCACACCTGGCTAATTTTTGTATTTTTTCTAGAGACAGGGTTTTGCTGTGTTGCCTAGGCTGGTTTCAAACTTCTGAGCTCAAAGTGATCCACCCACCTTGGCCTCCCAAAGTGCTGGGATTACAGACATGAGCCTCCACACCCAACCGACACAGATATTTGCTTTATAGTTATTTGTAAAACTGTTAATATGGGTTGTATGTACTTTTCTTTGTGAAAGTTACATTTCTCAATGAAAAGTGTGAAAAAAGTATAGGTGGTGTATTAGTCCATTTTCACACTGCTATGAAAAAAATGCCTGAAACTGGTTAATTTATAAAGGAAAAAGGTTTCATTGACTCACAGTTTGGCATGGCTGAGAAGACCTCAGGAAACTTACAATCATGGCAGGAGGGGAAACAAACAATCCCTTCTTCACATGATGGCAGGAAGGAGAAGTGCCAAGAAAAAGGGGGAAAAGCCTCTTATAAAACCATCAGATCTCATGAGAACTTACTATCACTAGAACAGCATGAGTGTAGCCACCCCCATGGTTAAATTACCTCCCACCAAGTCCCTCCCACATGTGGAGATTATGAGAACTACAATTCAGGATGAGACTTGGTTGGGGACACAGCCAAACCATATCAGGTGGTAAGATTAACTTTAGGTAATAGTAGGAAAATAACATTTACCCAATAACTTATTGACCATAATCTATACAACACGTTTAGTTATACATCTAACGCAAAACAACAGGCGTGACAATTATAATAGTAAAGTATTTATTTTAAAAGACCATACCTAAAAAAAAAGAAAAATGTTATTATAATCTGGATGTTTTATTTCAACTCAGAAATACTTCAGGCAATATTTTTACTACTTAGGACTATTTGTGGTTAACAGTAATCATAGCCTTTTTATGTAAATTCTCTATAGAACAATATTATCAATATCCTTTTGAGATGGGTAAGCAACTTACCAAGGCATTTGGTTAAATGTTATCCTATTGAAATAAGTGGTTTGATCATACATTCTAAAGTTTAGCATGCCAATATATTAAAAATGATTCTATCTTAGATATTTCATTGTCTCCCTGGTTCTTTAGTATACAATTTTGAAGACTAATTTGGTACAATGGTGTCAAATCAGCTAAAATAATCATTCCGTTTCATTGAAGAATGACTGAGACCTCTAGACAATATTTTATTCAATTAATATCAGTTTTATAAATATTTATGGAGCTTGTGCACCATAATAAGAATTGTAACAGGGATAAGAATAAGGAGTGCTGAACAGAGGAATAATCTGTGGTCAATAAGGAGATCACAGAATTTAAGTTCAGTAGATCAATATGAAATAACTAATCACAAGGCAAAGCTGGTATAAGCAATAAATAGAGGTGTTAGTAATATGCTGTAGGAATATTTAATTCTGACTGTGTAAATCAGGACAGGTTGTCATTGAATGAAACTGACAGATGATCCAGATTTGGCCCTCAACGATGCATGAATTTGAACAAGCTCCTTGGGCACATCAGTGAGGAAACTGCGATAGCAGAGGACAGAAGTTGTAGATATGCTCAAGGATCTTAAAGGAGATTGATGAAGCTGGAGCATTCATTTTGTGGAAAATGTAGGGGGGGAAGATACTGGATAGGTAATTTGGAACCCAACTTTGAGAACACAGAAATAGCTCTAGCTTTTCTAGAGTAAGAGGGTTAAACTGGCTATAACGTGAGACAGAAAAATATGACCCAGCATGTAGTTTTGCAAATGCATTCCAGAATTATTTATGAAATTCTATTTAACAAATTTTCCTCACTGACACTTACTTGTTATTTTAGGTACTTCCTACCCTGTGCTAGCAAACACCTATCCCACATCTTCATACATATTTTTCTACTCACAGGATTAAAACTGGTTTCTACTAAAAATTTTTAGAATCATCAAAAATCAACTAATTTATCCAGAATATGAATTTAAAATAAAGCAATATTTTAAAATGCAGATACAAAGAGTTTTCTGAAGTGGCATGTCTGAAAGATAAGGAAAAGAGTAAAATCATAATTTACTTTGGAAACCCCCCATTAAGCAAAATCTCCCTAAAATTTAATTTATTATATTATCCCACAGATTGTCTGTATTTTAGTTCCTGAATAAAGTTTAGGTATGTACAATATCAACTTTTTGGAGTATGTTCCTCATAAGCAGAACCACTTTTTAACCCAAATCTTTTATTTCCTCAATTTACTATTGCCAGTTACATAATCTAACATAACTATCATTCCCTGGCATAGTAGAACATAAAATTTTTAAAAAAAGTAAGCAACAATCTGTGAAAAAAAAGTAAATTCACAGAGTGTTTTCAGACCAAATATCATCTGTTTCCTGTACTAAACCCAAATGTATTTCAGTAGATAACATTAAATGCTACTTAAAATTATAACAAATTTTCCTTTTTATGAGAACCAAAACTATCTCACAGCTAAAAATGATATCATCAAACTTATTACTCAAGCATGTTCCTATGATGAATTTCTGATTCTCTCATCTTCCTAAGAATTAGCACCCATCTAATATCACTCCTTAATCAGTTGACAGAAGACAAAACAGTTGTCTGCCTGGTCATGGGTGATACACCAGCAAGTGAACAAGTAAGGGATTAAGAGGGAAAAACCATTTGTTATGCTTGTGATTAAGTTCATGAGATTAATATTGTAGCTCAAAAGTGAAAAGCTTCTGTTGGAGCATACGGTATTACTGCATATAAGAAATTTGTGGAATAAGTAGCCACTGGGTCCTTTAAGCAGGCCAGCAGCTGGGAATGCACCCTCCTTTCCTGTATAGCTGATGGCTGAAAGTAAGGTGTGTGACCTTTAGCAAGTCCCTTCCTCTTACTTAGGCTCCATTGGATCATCAGAAAATTAAGTTGAACTAGCTAATCTCCAGGTCTCTTCCAACCCTTTGAATCCATGAAGGGAAATAACAGTTTAAGAAGAATGGTGATAGCATCACAGACATATGCATACTTCCAAACTCATCAAATTATATACATTAAATGTGTGCAGGTTTTTGTTTATAAAATCAAATATATCTCCATAAATCTGTTTGAAAAAACAAAACTACAAAAACTAAAGTATCTGAAGGAAATTTCAGCAAAGACAGGAAGAATCTGGATAGTTCTAGGCTTGAGACTGATTAAAACAAGAGACTACTTTCAGCCTTATGAAGTTAAAGTACCCTTAGCTGAGTTGGTAATAAATCTGCGTCTTGAGGTCAAAATATTGTCAGGAAAGAGGAGAAGAGAGCCACATTAGAACATGTCTGAAATGGAAAAGACTGCCTCTAGAGGAGTCAAGTTAACCATCACTGGAGATGTTCAAGAAAAAGCTGGGAGATCACTTGGCAGAGATGTTTTAGAGATGCTAAGAAGCTTCTAAGTCAAGCTCCCTCCAACCTTAGAGTATAAAACGCCACCATAAGCTGCTGTACAATAATTCAGTGTCTGTTACTCTCATGAATCTCATGGCAGAATTGCAGCTCATCATTCATCCAACACATTTATTGAAACCTACCCTGGGCCAGACTGTGCAAGTCCTATCAGGCATACAAAGATGATTCAGAGAATACACTGTAATACTAAGGGATGAGAGAGGAACATGATAGCTACCAGGCAGGTCGTGATAAGTGATAAAGAAGAAGCACAGAAGAAATATGAAGATATTTCTGAGAAAAGGAGATACTATTTCTAGCTTCACAGAGCAAGGATGGAACACTCATGCAGAGTTTTTGGAAGATAGGAAAGATCTGCACCTTAAGGAAAGCAAAGGGAGCAGAGGGAAAACAAATGGCTTCTAAAACCCTGCCATTCCTGAGCTTCCATGTGCTTCACTAAATAGCTAAGAATGCCATGAAAATGAGCACAGATATGTTGGTTCCCCCTGCCTTAAAGTGATCAATCTGCTCACCATTTGACCATAAGGGACTAAATAGGCAAGAGCCAGTGGGGTACACCCTGCTATCAGAAGAAGTGGGGCCTGAACAGGAGTTCACACTGGTGTGGAATCAGAATCACATGTCGGTTGTCTTTGGGTGATGCCAGCAAACTTAAGGCATCACATGCAATTTTAATGGCAAGATTGAGTTTTATAAAGACATTATAGGGTTATCTAAGACTCACTCTATGGACAGTGACTTAAAACTTCAATTTCAGTGACACATATACATTCATATTAGTGCTGATCATATGTGCATCTTTATCTGCTTGATCATTTATTGAATAATATACAACTCTATGAACATCTGAATTCACTAATAGCATTTTATTTTGATTATCTATGAAACTTTACCTTTGGATCTTTGGAGGAATTGTCTTGTGGCAGCTCATATATGACTTCAGCCTTTTTAAAAATATAACAACTGCCCTGGTCTCCCTCTTTAAACTAGTGCATGATTCTCAGCACATTTTCTGGGATTTGAGAGTTTAGTCATGAATCTATAGTAGATTCTCAATGACATATCTAATGAGTATTGATTATTCTCCTATTCCACTGCAAGATTATAATTATAGTCTAAAATGAGTCTCTGAGTCTTTGCCATTTAGAATAACTATGCTCCATTTAGAATAACTTTCTTTCAGTATTTGTCATCATACCATTAACAATGAAATGATTAATTACACATACACAGGGTAACCTAAGGAAGTTGTTTAAAATTCAGACTTGCTAGTGTTACCAAATAGTATAATTAAAATAGTAAAGAAAATCGAGTAATACGCCCTATAGCAGTCATGCAAAGATAATATTTTGTGATTGATTCCAGAACATATGGCATAGAAATGCTAATAATTACAAGTATGATAGAGAATTGTAAGGCCTCAGTTCCATGTTAATGTAGTAATGACCAGGAAAAGCTATGCCCCTGACCAGGACTACTGGTTGCTTATAACCTAGAGGGACAGGCTCCCCAGCCAGGAAAAGAGACAGTCACCACAGATTTACCATTCCAAGCACTCACACTTTCTCAACAATTTTGTGCTACATTCTCATACTTTGCACTTTCTCTAGCTTGTAGAGACCTGGTGTTCATTGTGTTTAATCCTAATTTAATACGGTTAACAAATTCTTCTTTTCTGTTAAAGACTTCATTGTCCCTAGTTTTATTTATATCTAAGAAAGTCATGTAGCCAATTATTATCAGAAAATACTTAGGGGTTGTTTTTATAAGCACTATCAACGAAAGAGAATGTTTAAATTCTGAGCCTCTAAACAAAATTCTGCAAAATTTTACTTATTATCAAACTCATTTTCTTACTATATTTTAGGAGGCCTGATATGATATGAACTCTGAGACTTCTTAATACAGTTTTAATATTCATTCCCCTGTTATTCGAGTAGGAGAAAATCGACCTAGAAATGTGAGGATAATATTCTAATTATAATAGAAAAACCTGCTAATTATATTCATAGGGCATGTAAGCACCTAAGGAGAGTGGCTCTTTGTTCCTGGCAGTCCTTTATTGAGCACCTTAATGGATTTGTATATGCATGTTTGAGAAAAGGAGCTGGAGAAAACTCACTTTCATAGTAAAATTGAGACTGAAGTATTTAGAATTTCTAGGAAAAAATGAAAAGAGGGTATGTGAGACAATAAAAGAAAAAAAGAGAGGTTCACAAAAGGATATAAAACAGTGTGATGTATGGGGCTAGAACTAAGACAGGAAACTTCAGTGAGGGCCAGCCACAAAGGATGTTAGAGAGGAGGAATCCAGAATATGGGCTGTTTTTGAGCTATGCATCAAGGGACTCCTCCCTTTAACTAGCAACAGTAAAATCCAGTGTACTCACAAATGCTCTGAGTGTGTGTAAACCAACCAACCAATATTCTGAGAATCATCTCTGAATTAACTGCATGCACAGCCAAGACAGCAAAGGTGGAAACAAGAGTCTGGCAGTCAGAGGAGATCACAAGAAAGAGGGAAACTGACAGAAATCTTCCAAAGACGTGGAAGCATTGGATTCAAGCCAATCTTACATAGTTATTTAGTGACAGCAAGGCTTTCCCATCTGACATGGCATTTTGCATATTTCCAGCTAAATCTGTTTCTTTTCTGAATATTTATTGGTATGGGAATAACCTGAAGCAATATACATGGGCTCTAGTCTCAGGAAGATTCCAAATTAGAAATAAAAGGCATATACCTAAAACTTAGAGAATAATACCTAAGACGAATAATGTGGTGGAAAATTCTAGTCCTGCTCACCCCATGTTCTTTCCCCAATCAAAACTTAAAATTATATTCCGATCTCTTAAAGGAGAAAGAACCAGTGATATTACCAGCAATGTTTCATACTCTATTTCTACTCTGTAAATTGTTCCTCCTCTTGGACAGAGAAAAACAAATCAATTTGGCGAAATCAATAAGATCCTAACTTTCATTGAACAATGTTTCCAGTGGGAGTCACATTGCCTCAAAAGTTAGAAATAGGCTCTGTGCTCTTCCCTTGCTTCCTCTTGGTTCTGCTTCTTCAGATGCAGCAGGGGCCAGGCTTCCAGCTTCCATGCAGTAAGCCCTCTCAGATGTGCATCACAGCCTCTGACCTGTGACAAGATGGATAAATTCAGTGTGGGGAGAGTCAGAAAGCCTGCTAGTGTCCTTGATCCAAGCACACATTGAGTAAAACAGATACCCATACTCCATGCCTATGTGACTCTGTATGTGTAAATTCTCAACCAGTTCTATGAAGGGAAGGACAGACTGTACCATGAGTCTAATCTCTAAAGATAATACAATACCAAAACCACATAAAAATGTTAATATTTTAAAATGACTAATGCAGGCAAAAATGACCAAGGTTTGAGGTAATAGATACCTGCAAAAGGTGAAGATAGTTGATGTTACGGACTGTATGTTTGTATTCTCCCAAAAATCATGTTGAAACCCTAGTCCCCAGTAGGAGTGTCAGTAGGCAAATCCTTTCATGGAATTAGTGTCCTGACAATAAGAGAAATATACTAGAGCTCACTCTCTGGTCATGTAAGGGTATAAGGGGAAGGTAGCTGTCTACTACAAGCCAGGAAGCAGGGCTTCACCAGATACCAGGCCTGCTGGAGCCTTGATCTTGGAATTCCTAGCCTCTAAAACTATGACAAATAAATGTTTGTTGTTTAAGCCACCCAAACTACGGTATTTTTGTAATAGCAGCCAAAACAATGAAGACATTCGGGGAATGGGAAAGTGAAGCATGTCTTTGAAATTATTTCAAAGAAAAATTCACAGCCTGGTTAACTGATGAGATACTGGGTAAATGAAAGATGACAGCATGGAATCTCAACAGTCCAAAGATGCCACCATGTTTGTGTTTCTTGAGCTTGACTTTTCTCTGAGTTTGCAAAGCAACTCCAATCACATATGATAGTATTAACTATTTTAACTCCCCCCAATTAATCTGAATTTTTGTTTCTGAATTCTATTAAGATTGCAGAGATAGATTTTTTCACAATTCTTCAGATAGACTTTTTCACAATTCTTCATGACAAACTGCTGAGTCCCATATCTACATTTAAAAGCTGTCCTTCATCACTCTAGCTACTAATTATTCTTCAGAAATATAAATACTGTAAAAATGATTTCCTTACTCAAAACTTCAGCTCCAGCCAGTTTCCCCCATGTCCTTGCCACACTGGATTCCCTGGCTGCTCCCTGAACACACTGGGCAATTTTATGGCTCTCCCTTTATTTATGTTGTTCTTCTGTCTAAAATGCCACTCTAGCTACCAAACATCTAGCACACTTGTACTCATCTGTTAAAGCTCAGCTTCAATGTCACACATCTGTTCCCAACCTTCCACCTAAATCCCTATTAGAGCTAAGGACCCCATCAGCTATGAAGAGGCTTTCATGAATACACTATCAAAATATTAGGAGGGGCACTCACTCACCCCGGCCTCCTCACTTTCCCATAGTGGAGAGGGAGCTCTACTTCCTGAAAAGGTACTCTTTGCCTCCTTGCCTACACTAGCCCAAGGGAGGAAAGACTTCTTTGATCCTGCCAATGGGAAGAAGGAACTCAGACAAACAGTTCAGCTTCTTTCTCTTTTTTCAGACAGCAAAGTCTTCAGGACACACATCTTTTCTTCCCATTCCTGACCAGGGCAGTTCTGTCTTTTTAAGGCCTGATATTGTGAGTAGGCAAGTTTGATTCACAGGTTGGGGGAGCAGAATAGAAAGACTGAGTGTGGCTATAGGTCAAGTGGCATTTTCTAATTTATCATCAATAAAGTATCAGATATTTTCCCCATCATCTGTTTGGACTCCTGTATGCTCTTTTTGGTTTTTTTTCCCAAACTCAGGAGGTGAAGAGGAATGTCATTGATTGATTCTCTTCAGCCCTAACTTAAAGGTTCAGGGATTGGAAATTCTCAGTAATAAACCATGGGCCAGAATGTGGGCCATGCTTAGAAAGAAAGGGAAGGAGGCTAGAAGCTCTCAATGCCTCGGTAACCTTAAGCCACCTGGGTTTGGACTTCATTGGATTTCTGTGGCTTTTATCGTCACTGTGTGGCTGATTTTTAACTGTTGAGGGAGTGTGGGGCTTAGCAATCATAGTCTGTGTGGTTTTCTGTGGCTGAACTTGCCCTGACTCATGCTGGCACAGCTATGGCTTAAAGCCACCCAATGGGGCAGGGATTACATTATAGTTAAGAGAGTTTATTTTGCTCCAATAAAGGCTAATCTTAATGTAGGCCGCATTTTAGTGTAAAAACTTTGTAGGCACTTATGAGAAGCTCAAGCTTAGCTGATTTTATTGTATTTCTTAATCAGATCTATAGGCTGGGTCTTAAAATGCAGAAGCAGCTATGTTACAGTCCACAGAGTCCTACTAAAGTATGTCTCATACCACGAATAGGTAAATAGTACTAAATATGCTGCCCCAAATTGCATTTCCTTCTATTTTGTTTTGAAATACAACAAGAGTTAAAAATAGAATTTAGGATAAATTAACCTATTGGCATCATGAAGACTGCTGGCAAGGTTTTAAGAGTTGCTCTCTAAACCCATGGCCTCAAGGAGGCTACAATTTGCTATTGGAACAACCAAAAAACAGGGCTTGGATTTCAAAGGTCTACTATAGCTTCACACACAGAAGGTACATGGATGCTATTAACAAAAATTTTCAGTTTTACAATAAAAAACTTTTCATAAACAAAGTCAACAGAAAACAAGTAGATTTGAATAAAAAATCTGCAACATACAGGTCTGAAGTTTAATATCTATAATACATATTACAATAAAAAAAGACATAAAAAATAGAGGAGAAACATTGGCAGAGTTTTAAAAAGCAATTTGCAGAAGAGATAACCCCTGTAACCGGAAACATTAAAAAATGGTTAAACTCACTGGTAGGCAGTGAAATTTAAATTAAAGTAACAATGCGATATCTCTTTATTCTTTTGAGACTGAAAGGATTTATAAACCTCTATTAGGGCCCATTGCTAGTAAGAATAAAAGAAAAAGGATACGCTTACACATTGCTGGTAGCATGTGAATCATTAGAGCTTCTTTAGAAAGCAACCTGGCATCACCTATTAAAATTTAAAAGAACATGCAGTAACCACACTCCTAGAAAATCTATCCATAAAATAAAGGCATCAATATATAAAGATATATGAATAAAAATATTTTTCAGTATTGTTTCCGTGGCAAAAATAAATAAAATCTGGGTAGGGGTGAAGTTGTATTGATTTTCTATTGCTGGGTAACAAATTATCACAAATGTGGTGACTTGAAGCAACACACACACATTATCCCTTAGCTTCTGTGGGTCATGATTTGAGAGGTACAGTTAAGGCCTCTGCTTAGGGCCTTATAAGGCTGCAGTTGAGGTCTCATCCAGGCTGTATTCTCATCTGATGTTTTGACTGGGAAAGAATCTGCTCCCAGACTCACTCAGTTTGCTGGCGGAATTCATTGCCTTGATACTGAAGGACTGAGTGAGCTCTCTGGCTTCTTGCTGGTTCTTGGCTAGAGAATGCCCTCACCTCTCAAAGTTTACCTGTAGTAGGTCCACAGTGCCTTGCCAGATGGGCTTCATCAATGTGGCCACTTATTCCATCAGGCCAGCAAGGAGAGTCTCAGAGTGAGTCTGCCAGCCAGACAGAGGCTTACATAATGAACAATAACAGAAGTGACCTCCCTTTACCTTTGCCATATTCTGTTGGTTAGAAGCCAGTCACAGACCCTGCCCACACTCAAGAAGAAGAAATTACACAAAGGTGGGACATCAAGAATGGCCATCATGGGTCTGCACCTCCACTAAAGTTGAATTTCATTGATTCAAGGAGGCTAGGTAAATTGGTATGTGTTTATACTTATATTGATTACTATAAAGTATTACAAATAATACATTAGGGATGTAGCACTTGATTTAACAGATGTGGGGACAAGGGAAAACTGCCCCTAGCAAGAAGATTCCATAGGCCTCTTTTATAGCCAGAGGCACGGGGGCAGCTACTGTGATGGGAGACCTGCTTATAGATAGGTGGATTTTCTCCCCATTTATGGTAAATGCATCTTGATTAGTAATTTCTTACAGTTCAGTTTAAATTTTTAGATCATGGTGTTTGGACCAATGACATCTACTGGCATCCTGGTAAGACTTAAAACAAGATTGTCTCTGTCCACCTTCCTTTCCTCAAATATCAAGGAATTTCCATTAGCATCTTTGGCAACAATAACAGGAATCTGCACTAGACTAAACACTGGGTTCTGGAAAATTATTTTGCCTGGGATTACAGCTCCAATCACTCAAATTTTTGCTTGGCTCTTAAAATTTCATGGCTATGGAGTTGGTCTTGAAATATCAGGTGTTTCAGTATTATTTTCGAACTTTAAAAATGAGGCACATGACCACATACCTGGCAAAGAACATATTTTTAGAATATATAACAAACTCTCAAAACTCAATAGTAGAAAACAAAAATCAAACAATCCAATTAGAAAATCAGAAAAAAATATATTGTCACATTACACTGAAAGAATATACACATAAAATATAAGCACAGGGAAAGATGCTCACTATCACTAGCTTTTAGGGAAACACAAATCAAAACCTCAGTGAATTATTAGTACACATATCAGAATAGTTAAAATAAAAAATAGTGACAGAACCAATGCTGGTAGGATGTAGAGAAAACGTATCATTCATATTTCTAGTGGGAATGTAAAATGATACAGCTACTCTGGAAAATAGTTTGGCAGTTTCTTTAAAAAGCTAAACATATACTCAGCATGCAAATGAGCAATAGCACTTCTGGGTATTTATCCTAGAGAAATGTACAGTTTGTTCACACTAAAACATGCACACAAATGTCCATAACAACTTTACATGTAATATCCAAAAACTGGTAACAACTCAAATGTCCTCCAACAGGGAATGGTTAAGACAAACTGTAAATCCATGTGATGGAATACCATTCAACCAAAAAAAGGAATGAACTTTTGAGGCACGCAACAAATTGAATAGATTTCAGAAGCATGATGCCAACTCAAAAACTTCAGTTTCAAAAGGTCACATACTGTATGATTTCATTTATATAACATTCTTTAAATAACAAAATTATAGAGATGGAAAACAGATTCGTGGTTGCCTGGGGTTAGAGATGAGGTAAGCGTGGAGAGTGTGGGTGTGACCACCAAGGACAAACAAAGAGGATCTTTGTGATGGTGGAGCAGTCTGCATTGATTGTGGTGAGGGCCACATGAATCTACACATGTGACAAAATTTTACAAAGCTACACACATGCGCGCAAACACAGACACACACACACAAGTGCACGTAAAGCTAGTGAAATCTGAATAATGTCTATGGATTTTACCAACGCCAATGTTAGTTTCCTGGTTTTGACATGGTACTGTGGTTATGTAAGATAGTATTTATCACTGGGGAAAACTAGGTGCAGGCAGATAGGACCTCTTCATACTAGTTCTTGGAATTGCATGTGAATCTACAATTAGGTCAAAATAAAAAGATAAAATAATTAAGACACAGGAGAGGCTTAGGGATGAAAGAACCTTACTCATTCCAATACAAGGCAGCTCAAACTGAAGCTGATTAAAAAACTGAATTCTGTCTAGACTGTGGAATACATGCCGCTATCTGAGATTGGACAGAAAGAAAAACTGGATAACATAAATTTTGAAAGTTGATTTCTTTAAACTTAACATAAAAGTTTTGGATCTTAGAATTTCAGACGAAAGATAATTTTCATGTCTCTTTGACATGGGAATTTTTTAAAGGGGGGAAATCTGCACTTAGGGACATTTATATATTGCCATCATAATAGATTACTGGAGTATCTTTATGCTGCCATTTATCTCCCTGAATAACATTCCTGGAGCTATATTGATCACGAGGCTAGACATACTTGGGATGAGAATTAGAGTAGGGAATGACTACTATCCCTGGCTAACAGCAAGGTCTGAGAATTGATTTAACTAATGTGCAGTTCTGATCCACTGCATATCTGCACTGCCTACCAGTTGTCCCAGAAGACAGACTAAGGGTCAATTGTTGGTACTGGGAAAAGGAGTTCATGAAGGGAAGAGCAGGACGCATTAATGATCTTCTCCCCCGAGAGAGAGACATCACACCCCCAGATGACCTGAAACTTAGGTATTAAAATCAATATATTTATCTCCTACTTTTTATATCCTATCCAGGAAAGAAAATGCCAGTCCAGAGGTGTAAATAGTACCCAGCCCCTCTTTCACTCCTCTCCAAAATAAGAGGAGTGACTTACCTGATTAGCAGCTTTGGCAATGAGCAAATGAGCACCCTTTCTCTTACAGAGTAGTCTGGCCTTGAGACACATACTTTTCCACTAATCTGTTGTAAAGTTGTGTTGTAGCTTATATTGTAAACATGAGGACAGGTTTTGTCCTCAGAGAGAAAGCTGAAGTTTTAAACAGACATGTGCGATTCAGTGAAATGACCTGGGCAAGAGGAGCAAATCAGAGTTTGTATAGCTATCACCATAGGTCAAGTCAAATAACTAATTTAGCCTTTACGAAAATGATACTTTAATTACTGGCTCCCTCATTCCTTGGTAATCATTTCCAAACTAGAAAGAGGTACAGAGTTATTATGTGTGGGCTCCTTTCAAATCTAATAATAATACATACTATTCCACTATCAAATCACCTACATAAGAATGCACTCTATTCCACTCATATACCCCGAATTGTCTTTGTAGCTGGCACAACTTATATTTCTATATCCCCGTCACATAGAGTATGCCAGCACAAAGCAATAACTTTCTCAAATTCTATTAAATAAACTCACAAATTCCATGAACTTTCAGCAGTCATATCAGAGTATAATTCTCAACTTTAAAAGGAAGTTATCCAAAAAAACTCAAGTCCTAATTCCTCAAAGCAACTAAATCCTAAATCCTCAAAGCAACTAAATGTGTAACCCACTGATTGATGACAATAAAGAAAAATGCCAGTACACTCTTAGGGTGTTGAGATTAATGTATAATCGAAAAGAACAGTGGTTTATACATGTCTACAGTCGATTAAGTAGCAAAGTTTTTCTCCTCTTTTTATGAAATATAGAAGATACCACTTCCCTCTATTTCTTTTTGTCAAGAGATCTAAATTAAAAAGCACTGAGAAGATACTGAAATAAAACTTCTAAAGCTTGTCACTTATATTTAACAAAGGGTCTAGTCAGCTTAAAAACCTAGTAGGTATTATTCACCTAAAGAAAAGAGACTTACGAGTGATCTAAAAACAGCTGGTCATGCAGAGGCATGTTTGAATCAGAATTATGTGAAAGAATAGTCTATACCATCTTAAATTTCTTCTCCGAAAACTGGTCAAGTTCTTTCTCCATTTTTCTTTGAGGCATTAGTGTTTCTTTTACTGTTTTGTGTCATTTATTTATGTGGCAAAGCAGAAGCCATTTAGCATCACCCTTAAATTATTCTCCCAGTTTCTCCCTTTTCTTTTAATTTTATTTATAATGTATTTAAACATGCACTATTGTATTTAAAAATATTATGATATTTTTATTGTTATGTAGTTATATCAATCAGCCATTTCTGTTGCTGGTTCTTTCATTGCTTTAATATTTAGAAAATCATTTTCTGCCCAGAGATTAAATAAATATGCACTTATACTTTCTTATAGTTTCAAAAATTACAAATATTCCTTTGAGACTTAAAAAATGGCATGACTAAATGGAGACACTTAACATGCTTCTGTAAGAGAAAAGTAAGTATTTGTCATTTCTCTTCAAAGTACAGTTTTGTATAATCCTGAGGATTTGTGGGCTAATCTAGAAAAAAATAGGAAAATTCATAAAGCAAGTTCTTAGAGACCTACAGAGAGACTTAGACTCCCACACAATAATAGTGGGAGACTTTAACAATGCACTGTCAATATTAGACAGATCAACAAGACAGAAAATTAACAAGGACATTCAGGTCTTGAATTCAACTCTGGATCAAATGGACCTAATAGACATCTACATAACTCTCCACTCCAAATCAACAGAATATGCATTCTTCCCAGTGCCATATGGCACTTATTCTAAAATTGACCACATAATTGAAAGTAAAACACTCCTTAGCAAATGCAAAAGAACTGAAATCACAACAAACAATCCCTCAGACCACAGGGCAATCAAATTAGAACTCAGGATTAAGAAACTCACTGAAAACCACACAATTACATAGAAATTTAACAACCTGCTCCTGAATGATTCCTGGGTAAATAATTAAATTAAGGCAGAAATCAAGAAGTTCTTTGAAACCAACGAGAACGAAGACACAACATACCAGAATCTCTGGGACACAGCTAAAGCAGCGTTAAGAGGGAAATTTATGGCACTCAATGCCCGCATCAGAAAGCTAGAAAGATCTCAAATTGACACCCTAACATCACAATTAAAAGAGCTAGAGAGGCAAGAGCAAACAAATCCAAAAGCCAGCAGAAGACAAGACATAACTAAGATCAGAGCAAAACTGAAGGATATAGAGACACGAAAAACCCTCCAAAAAAATCAATGAATCCAGGAGCTGGTTTTTTGAAAAAAAATTGACAAAATAGATAGACTGCTAGCTAGAGTAATAAAGAAGAAAAGAGAGAAGAATCAAATAGACACAATAAAAAATGAAAAAGGGGATATCACCACTGACCCCACAGAAATACAAATTACCATTAGATAATACTAAAAACATCTCTATGCAAATAAACTAGAAACTCTAGAAGAAATGGATAAATTCCTGGACACATACACCCTCCCAAGACTAAACCAAGAAGAAGTTGAATCCCAGAATAGACCAATAACAAGTTCTGAAATTGAGGCAGTAATTAATAACTTACTAACCAAGAAAAGCCTGGGACCAGACAGATTCACAGCTGAATTCCACCAGAGGTACAAAGTGGAGCTAGTACCATTCCCTCTGAAACTATTCCAAACAATTGAAAAGGAGGGACTCCTCCCTAACTCATTTTATGAGGCCAGCATCATCCTGATACCAAAACCTGGCAGAGACACAACAAAAAAGGAAACCTTCAGACTAATATCCCTGAAGAGCATCAGTGCAAAAACCCTCAATAAAATACTGGCAAACCAAATCCAGCAGCACATCAAAAAACTTATCCACCATGATCAAGTCGGCTTCATCCCTAGGATGCAAGGCTGGTTCAACATGCACAAATCAATAAATACAATCTATCACATAAACAGAACCAATGACAAAAACCACATGATTATCTCAATAGACGCAGACAAGGCCTTCAATAATATTCAACATCCCTTCATGTTAAAAACTCTCAATAAACTAGGCATTGATGGAACATATCACAAAATAAAAAGAGTTATTTATGACAAACCCACAGCCACTATTACACTGAATGGGCAAAAGCTGGAAGCATTCCCTTTGAAAACCAGTACAAGACAAGGATGCTCTCTCTCACCACTCCTATTCAACATAGTATTGGAAGTTCTGGCCAGGGCAATCAGGCAAGAGAAAGAAATAAAGGGTATTCAAATAGGAAGAGAGGAAGTCAAATTGTCTCTGCAGACAACATGATTCTATATTTAGAAAACACCATCATCTCAGCCCAAAAACTCTTTAAGCTGATAAGCAACTTCAGCAAAGTCTCAGGATACAAAATCAATGTGCAAAAACCACAAGCATTTGTATACACCAACAATACACAAGCAGAGAGCCAAATCATGAGTGGACTCCCATTCACAATTGCTACAAAGAGAATAAAAGACCTAGGAATACAGCTAACAAGGGATGTGAAGGGCTTCTTCAAGGAGAACTACAAACCACTGCTCAATGAAATAAGACAGGATACAAACAAATGGAAAAACATTTCATCCTCATGGATAGGAAGAATCAGTATCATGAAAATGGCCATACTGCCCGAAGTAATGTATAGATTCAATGCTATTCCCATCAAACTACCATTGACATTCTTCACAGAATTAGAAAAAAACTACTTTTTATTATGGATCAGAGGAGGATGAAATATGAGTGCCAGTTCTAGCTGTTGGAGCAATTCGGTAAAAAATGATTGCAACTTGAACAGGTGAGGATGAGGATAGGGAAAATAAAAATATTTGAGAAACATTTAGAGATGGATTTGATAGAACTTGGTGATTGATTGGATATGGGAAGAGGTAGAGAAAGGAAGGGGTTAAAGATAATGACATGGGATTCTTACTTCAAAACAGATATCAAAATAAATCCCAGATAGGAAAGAAGATAAATGTTTAAAAAGACGAAACCACAGGCCAGGCATGGTGGCTCATGCCTGTAATCCCAACATTTTGGGAGGCTGAGGCAGGTGGATCAACTGAGGTCAGGAGTTCGAGACCAGCCTCACCAATATGGTGAAACCCTGTCTCTACTAAAAATACAAAAATTAATTCAGCATGGTGGTGGGTGCCTGTAATCCCAGCCACATGGGAGGCTGAGATGGGAGAATTGCTTGAACCCGGGAGGCGGAGGTTGCAGTGAGCCGAGGTTGCACCACCACACTCCAGCCTGGGTGACAGTGTAAGGCTCTGTCTCAAAAAAAGAAACCAACCGAACAAAAAATCACAGAATTCCTTAAGGGAGTTAATGTCTCTAGATTTGAGATCCACTCCACCTACCTATTTCCTAGTCTCAAAGCAGCATTATGAAGAATGCCCCCATCTACCCATTTCTTGATGCCTGCATTTCAGCATATGTTCTTCCTAAGAACTAACTTTAACTTCCCCGTCTCTACTCGCTAAAATCCCACTGACCTTCAAAATCTGGCTAAAATGTCACTTCTCCACAAAACCTTTCTTGTCCCTCCAATAAAAATAATTTTTATTTTGTTGCCACAGTATTTTACTTATAAACTTTGTATAGTTATTATTAAATTCTATTATTTCATGATTGGATTCATATGTTTGCCACTCCAGAGACTCAAAGACATCTTGAAGGAAAATCTTCATAGCTACAACCTAGCTCGCACAACACCTATTATACACTGCTTAATGTACAATTCATCGATGAATTAAATAATAAAGAAAGGCATTAAATTTAATTTGAAAAAGTGCTTCCAGGTAAAATCAGACATTTTGCCACTTACTTACCAAAAGCTCAAGATTTTCCAAAACTCATCTTTCTGCAAACTACGGGCTGCTCCAAGCCATTCACTTCACTTTATATTAACTTCAGCTTAAAACAAATTAACACTCTGCTTCCACTCTTGCCGTGACATGTCCCCAAGCTTCTGTGAGCCGTTCCTCTTTTTCTCTTTTCAGATGTGAAGAGGTGGGCCCCTAGCTATTACTAATTCAGTACTGCAGGGCTGCTCTTTTTGAATAAATGATATTCTGCAGATCTCAAACATGACCCAGTCTGCTCTAAACACATTGCTTTATTTTATTTTTTGGCCTCTCTCTGTAGCTTCTTAACTTGTTATTTTGAAATAATTTCAGATTTACAGAAAATACAAAGTTCTGTATACCCTTCCCCATATTTCCCAAATGTTAACATTTTATCACAGTTGCTTTTTCATTCTCCCACCCACACCCTCTCATACTTAGAGCAAGTTGCAGTCAAGATGCCCTTTTATTTCCAAGTACTTTGGAGACTCCACAGCTTTTAAATGATGCTTTGCTGAGACGGACCTTATTCTTCCTGGACTTGGGTCATCTATTCATGGATGTTACTCCATCATGCTTCACTGCCAGCAACAAGGCTGCTCCAGGACCTGCCATCTCTGAGCCATTCCCACATCCCCCTTGGGCACTTGGGAAACATTTAGCTGTTCCCACTCCACCGTGGGTGTGGGAAATTCAGTAGGAATGTGTAAGGCTATGTTTGGGCACATGCACAGCCATGTGCTGTCCCCATCCTTTGGGGGATACAGAGAATTATGAAATTATCTAAGCCTTGTCTGCCCAGACACCACGTGCAGCCACTTCTACTTTATTGCTTCCGACCCACAGTTGGGAACACACAAAAAAATTAGTCTTGCTACGTGCATTTCCTCCCCTTTCTACTCCCTTTACTGCTCTTGTCCTCCCACCCAACCCCATCCCACACCAACGAGGCTTGGATCCTCTCTGCTCTCAGATTCCCCTGAATTACCTGAGGACCACAGACTCTGACCAGGGAACTAGGGTAGGGGCCCCTTGCTTAGGAACCCTCAACATCTTTTACTCTTCTGCTTACCTTGTAACTTCCTCCCTTCTCTCATCAGTTAAGGACCTTTTCTAGTATGAGGAATGAAGAACTGGCTCTCCCTGTGTCACGTGTATTTTTACATCCTGTCTCCCCAGGACCTAGGCATTAGAAACACAAAAAGTAAGACCTGATTTCTCTGTTTTTGTGTTTTGTAGTATCATCCCTTCATTGAAGCAGTGAAGGCAGAAGACAGCATATTCAGAAGAGGAAAAAAGAGGAAAGTAATATTTGAAAGTATTATTATGCAACCCATAGGCTAGTGTACATAAAATTCTTACATTCACAATTCTAACATGGTAGGTAAACTTAATTGCTATATCACCCTCCACACCAGCCTCTTCTACACAGTAACAGAGTCAAATCACCATCCCCAATGAAAATTATAAAGCTGCCTCTGACTAATAATTTCTTGAAGATGCTCCGAGTCCTTCGGCCACCAAAATCTCACACTTACCTACTTTATTGGTGACAATCTGCCAGTGCATGCTCACTTTAAAATTATGGGTTGTCACTGGGGCAAACCTATAGTGAAGAATTCTGAAAGCCTTCCAAGCCCCATTTTCACTGAAGAGGATGAGAGCAAAATACAAAATGAAATCCAGGCATCTTTTAAACCTTTAACAACCTCTTAACCCATCCATAGTGGTAAAGAGATATGGTGGATTTGCCTGCACGGGCAATGAAAATGAAAATTCCACTGATAGTTCCTCTACAACGCCTGGCTTTATGAAACATCAGTCTGGTTTTCATTTTTGACATTTCATGAGCCACTAATGTTCTATATTCTCGTGATTGAAAAGACAAGGCTCTTTCATTGACTGCTTAGGAAGAAAAAGACATTTCAATACCTTGGAGTACTTGCTCTCCATGCCCAGGTACCATACAAAATGGGAGGAGGGAGGTTCGACACACTCTCATCTGTACCAAAGTTTTCTCTCATAGAGTTAAAGAAAAGTATCATCTTTTCGATAATTGAGACAGGACAATAAATTTTTACTAATGGAGGTGTTTCTTATAAAGTTTCAACAACTTAAAAACAAACACAAAAGCTGTTCTCCATCCATCTGCTCCAATAAAGAAGATAAATTTGGGGTCCCTTCTTTGGCAGAGTACCCCCTTTTTACTTTAACCCTTTCCTCTCTTGCACTCAATGGAGATGGCCTTCTTATCCCCACCTATCCCCTCAAAGCTGGATCTCACATATCACACATCCGAGGTGCTGAATGGAATGTTGCCTTTAAACTAAAAATCACTTCTGAAACCGCATGCTGCTCAACCTAATGTCCAGCCCACGGGCATTGCAACAAATGCTTCTGGGCAACCACAGTGATAATGATTATGGTATTGAGACAGCCAAGTAAAAAGGGCTCCCCTGATCATCTCCAACTGGCCTGTGCACTGGGAAGACAGGGTGATGCCTCAGGAAGTTCATGAGATTTGCAGGGAGCAGGGAGGAGGAGCCTGGCCCCTCCGGTTCCTGTGTGCTAACCTGGGATTCAATCTGTGAGATGGGGGCCTGTTAACAGGAACCCCTCCCACTTTGTGGAGATTTTTCCTTTTTGCCCAATAAACTCCATTCTCCCCCACCCTTCAAAGTGTCTGCGAGCCTCATCTTTCCTGGTGGTGTGACAAGAACCTGGTTTTTCCTACAACAGTGGGGATGGTGGGGATGGGAAAGGGAAGGCCAGAAACAGCCTATTTACAGAGAGAGGAGAACACACCGTTGTCTATGTTCTAACAGTATCGTAAAATTACAAGAACAAACTACATGATTGGAATCACTAAAGTGATCCCACCGCATTGTTTTATTAAGTTCCTGCTGAAATTATTCATTTTAAATACTGTATAACATTCTATAAATAATAATAGAACAATTTTACCCAAGTATATGTATCCAAATATATTTATAAATTATCTAGTGATAATCAGTCTTTCTTAACCTCTATATCCACATTTTATGCCAGTGGAATGGTAACACATACATCTCCTTCATCTTCTTTAATATTTCTTTCCCAGCATATTAACTATCAATCATGCCCAGTGGACCCCACATATCCAAATGCCAGTTCTAGCTAGCACTTGTGCTGAACAGCCAGAATCTTTTTCTTTTTCTCTTTCTTTCTTAACAATGTATTTCCACAGCTGCTATTTCAAGTGAGTTATTCATCTTGAGGTCTTTCAGACTGCCATTAAAAACAACACATAAGGAAGGCAGTTCAGACATGGCACAGGCAAAGAATTTAGCAACAAAAATCCTGTCTTTCAACTTCCATCACACCGGCAGATCTCAGCCTGAATAATAATGAAGATGCTGTCAATGTGATGTTACACTAAACACTAGGAAACATTCCCAGCCCGTATGAAAATTCTGCTGACAATGCTTACTCCTCTCATCACACAGAGCGACAAAGGAAATCTTTTTTTTCCAATAGTGTTCTTTTGCTTATATTTTGTTGAATGTGTCAACTAAGCTAACATCTGCTTTGTCAAAGGAGCTGAAACAAAACTGAGTCTCATTTTAATATGGCGCACCTTTATCGGGCTGTCTACATTTCCTTCCTTTTCTCAGCTTCACATCTACTCTGGTTCTGCCATCTTCATTAGCTGCCCTCCTGGCTCACCTGAAGCAGCAGAGCCAGCATTGAGTTGCCTCTGCCCTGTCTTGACCTCTTAGACCAAGTCCTTCCACCAAAGTGAAATAGAGAATTACCTCTATGCCCATACCAGGGCCTGGTGTATGAGGGCATTTAGCAAATACTTGTGGAAATGAATGAGCTAGATAAATTAGAAATAATCTTTAAAGATAAGGAAATTTATTCTGAATTGCCTGGTAATAAACACTAAGTAAGATTTTCCCCCTTCACTATCCAGATAAAAAATTAATTTTCCAATATTTGTAATCAGTCGGTAATTGGCTATTATTTTTTTCCTTTCCAAAGTTCAGCAGAAATCTGTTGACATCTGTGATGCTCAGTCCAGCTAGTGCTTGTTCTACCACACCACTCTGCTTCATAATTTGTCTTTGTGTTGAGGAAAATGTCTGTCTCCTGAGTGCTGAATTGAAGATGGGAAAGGGAAGTTCAGAAAAAGCAGTGTAAGGAGAGGAGTGCAGAAGGGTGCCTCTGGAACAAAGCAGCCACTGACTGAAACCACCAAGGTGGAGCTAACCATCCTGTACCACCAGGAAGTGCCCCATCCAAATAAAATTTGGAAGGAATAGAGGTGTTGCATGTATCTGTCTGTGTGTGCGTTAGCAATGGTGGTACACATAGCTCATGTTTGTATTTGAACCAGAATTCACAGTGGTCTTCAAGTCTAGTGATTGGAAAATCAGGCCCCAAATATTTTTGTTTTGAATATGTATCCATCACTCCATACTGTAGCTTCAATCACAAAATCCATAACAAATTTAATTGAAAATGAGAAAAGTAAATTATTATTTTTCATTCAAATTCCAAAATAACGAAATATCCTACTATCAGTCTCTGTCATCCACTGCCTTTACACACCTACCCTCTCTAGATTTGTCCAAGGTCATTCTGACTAGAGGGATAAAAAGCCAGGACCTGGCTTCCTGTGAAGAAGGGAAGAAAGAAGCAGCCTGTTGGATATAGTTCCCACGGAGGGTATACGCAGGGATAACACAGCCTGAAGACTTTCAGGCAAAGGAGAAGCTGGGTTAATGTATTTGACCCAGAGAGTCACTGGTCCTGAAGAACTGCCTGGTGCTAATTTGCACAAATACTATCTAGCAAGAGGCAGCTCTTCTGTCAGATCTCTCACCTCAACTTCAACTGTTTATGCAAAACTGACCATCCAACCTCTCCACTCCAATCATCTTGTACATTACATGACCTAAATGGGGCTTCTAATCCTGCCTCCAAACTTGCTCCACTGGCTTCTGCATATCACTCAGTGCAACTCCATCCTTCCGGTTACTCATGTCAAAATCCTTGGATTCACCCTTGACTCCCTTCTCACACCTACATCCAAACAATCAGCAAACCTTCGAGCTATATCTTCAAAATCTACCCAGAATCCATCCAGTAACTTTTTACCACTTCTACTGCCACCACCCTGACCCAAGCCCACATCATCCTTCACTGGAATATTGCGATCAGATTGCTTCTAATCACATTCGCTGCATCTTCCTTTACCTCTGTAATTTATTCTCAACACGGCTGACAGAGTGAAGCATTTAAGACATAAATCAAATCCCTAAAGCTCCCTATTCCACTTTGCATTAAAAAGCCAAGATCACTAGTGGCCTACAAGTCCCTCACCAGGCTGTCTCCTGGTTCTTCTCAGACTTCATGCCGTCTATTCGACTCATCACTAACCCTATGCAAGATAAATGAGCTCCCTGAAGTTTTTCAAACACACCAGTCATGCACCCTCTTCAGCTCCTTTGTACTGGTCCCTGGACCCCAAACACAAATACCTGCATTGCTAATTATCTCATAGTTATAGATTGAACTTTGTCCCCCACAGGGACACAATTGTTTGATCTTCAACAAAGATATGTTGAAGTCCTAATTCCCAGTACTTATGAATGTGACCTTATTTAGACATAGGGTCTCTGTAGATTTAATCAAGTTAAGATTATGGTCACTAGAGTAGACCAATATGACTGCTGTCCTTATAAAAAGAGGAGTGGACATTCAGAGACACACACAAAATAGAGGCCCATGTGAAGAGATGGAGCAGAGATTGCAGTGATGCAGCTACAAGCCAAGGAATGTCAATGAGTGCCAGGAGCCACCAGAAACTGGGAAGAAAAAAGGAAGGATTCTCTCCTACAAGTTTCAGAGGAGTCATGGCCCTGCTGACACCTTTATTTCAGACTTCTAGCCTACACAACTGTGAGACAATCCATTTCTATTATTTTAAATTATTCTGTTTGTAGTACTTTGTTATGGCAACCCTAGGAAACTAATACACTCACTTTCAGTCCTTTATGCAGATTCTATCTCCTCATTGCAGCTATCTTCACCATTTTACTTAAAATGTAATCCACTCCAGTTCTCCCCATCATCCTCACCCTGCTCTGTAGTCTCACAGCATTTAGCATACAAAATATCATACAATTTAGTTATCTATTACTTTATTGCCTTTTTCCAGGAGAATATCAGCTCTCTGAGGACAAACAATTTTGTTCACTGATGAACTGTCAGAGCTAGCACAGTGTCTGACACATAGTAGATGATCAATTAATAATTTGTTAAATAAATAAGGAACAGTTGTGCTTTTTATTATTTTAGAGTGTAACACTGGGCTTTCTAACAATAATTGTGCTGTGAGTTTGCTTTGTCAATCAAGGTAATAATATATCTTCTTTTATGGAGTATATCAAATATCTCCTTGTTATTTGCAAAGGGCAAATATCTAATTCTTTTTGATGGAACACTATCAGGAAGCAACAGAGCACTGAGATCAAAGAAACCCAGTTTATGATATATGATTACATTGTTTCATAGCATATGAACTCTGGAAAATTGATCCTCATTCAAATGATAAAAGGCAAAAAGATGTAAAATAGGCATAGAAAAGCAAATTGTAATTTCTATGAATTAAATGCTCTTATTTGGCAGCATAACGGTATTTCACTAAGCTGCCACAGCCCTTGATTATATGTAATTTGCACAGGTATTTTGGACTTCTCTAACTTGTCACAGAACCATGGTTTAAAGTCATTAAACTGTTATGTGAAAGTAAATAAGCATTGCCTGTGGGATATTTGTGTCGGATTTATGACTCTCTAGTATTCAATAAAAATTGTTGTTACAAAAAGTCCAAGTAATCCCAGCCAAAAGCAAAAGGGGCCAAAGAAATTTAAGAATAAGGCTTGTTGGGCAATATTCATTTGAGACTAACTTCTATAAGCAAACAACAATTTATTAATAAAGAAACCTGCCAGGAAGTGGCTACCCAAGCCAAAGGTGACTGCAATCCTGGGCACAGGAGAAATGCTCACAAAATATCCCACGACTGACAAATCCATTCTGAGACGAAAAGACTTCCAGGTCTCTGGGTGGGGTCTAATGTAGGCACAGATTCGTGACTCTGAATTTGAGGGAATCTCAATAACCCTGTGAGTTCTCAGGCATGGGGGATGCCTGAGGACTGAGAGGCAAGGGAGCACGGAAGTCACACATCATCATCCTTATTACTCTTCTTAAACTCCTCCTGTGGAAAAGCAGGTGACTAGGAAACAACCAGGCAAAATCACAGAAATGTACACCCTGCAACCTTTTCGAGATGAAGGCTGCACAATCTTGCCCACACCACTCCAACCCCATGCTAGGGAGGAGGAGAAGAAATGTGAGGCAATCTGGTCTTGATATCTCTCATCCATCAACATTTGGTACATTGTTTCCCCCAGGATAATGACCTCCTATGTTAAGCAGGTCTTTTTATCTCGGTATCTCTTTCAGAAATCAAGGGATAGCTGTTCCACAAATCCAGTACTCCTGTACTGATAAAACATTCACATGATCCTTAATCTTGGTGATTTTTATAGACTTGAATTCATACATTATGTTAACTACCATTTTTTGAGACTATTTAGGATCAATATTTCTAAATAGTGTCAATATCTCTTTTTTCTCCACATATGGACATCTCTACGTTTACCTGATTACATTCGTGGCCAGTTACTTTTGTGATCCACACGTTTATTTTTTCCTCACAATGCAATTCCAGAATTTCATCATTCCAGATACAGATACACAAGGTTTTGCTCAGTTGTAGCTATTTTTCCCTGTGCCTTTCCAAATAATGCCTAATATTCTTGTGGCCATTTTAATTATCACTTATAATACTTGTAAAGTTTTTTGTCATATTTCCCCCATCATTACCAGTTTTGCAGACAACACTCTACAATACCACTTGGATTTTGATGACACTTGGTGGGTTATAATCTATAATTTTATAATTTATTGCATTTTCATTATACTTAAAAGTTTTAAAATTATATTTGTATATGGTTGTGTCCTTTGGTCTTCTTATATAAATAGGCCAAATATTAGTACCAAAATACAAATGAAAAGTAAAGTTTAACAAGTTGGCCATTTGCATAGCAAACAAGTGGTAGAGTCTTTTGACTCTTATCTCAGATCCACATTTTACTACACCATGCCTTACTTTAAAGTCCAATCCTCTCCTTTTACAAGAAAGTATGCTTTAACTATGTGTGTTCTAACCCACATTGAAAATGTTTTGACTTCTTAAGCCTCAGCCCCCTTCTAGCCAACAAAGACAACAAACTACCGTAGGGTTTGGCATGCTGATGAGTTTATCTTCTTCCCTACAGATCCATCATTTCTCCCTAGTCTCTGCAATCAGAGTAATACATATCCCGTCCCAATAAGCACACCCTGAGATATGTTATTATAATTATTACATAATATTCAATTTCCTTTATAGATAATTAACTAACCTATAATCATCATCATCTCCCCCCAAAAAAAGATAGAGTAGAAGCTGGGAAAGTTTGAGGAGCGTTACCTAAGAGTGTAAGCATCTGAGTATACATATTCAGGTGGCCACTGAGACCCCTGTGCACATCTTCCCTGTGTATTACCACTAAATAGTAATTTGGTTGGCAGCAAGTCCCATTTCTTATTAATCTTCATATCCCAGGCACCTAGCATATAGCACAGCGCATCAAGAAAACTTAATGAATGTTTGCTGGAGAATATATCAAGCGTCTTCAGAAATTTATAGACAGTTTCTGCTTTTATCACCAATTTTTCCTTTGAAACCTTAGCAGTTTATTGTCTTTTGCTTTATAATTAATTCTTTCACCCACACAATCTCTTCCTTCCTCTATCTGGCATAAATTAATAATCCCCATATTTCAACGTATATTCCTATATAATCTATATCTAATAGCTATATATGCCATTTGACCTCACAAATATGGTCAAATTATGTCATACACCTTAAATATATACAGTAAAAAAAGAATTAGTACTCTATTCAGGACAATAACATTTAAGTTTTGTTTATTTATATACTTTGCTTTTGATGTGGAATCTTGCTAAAAACTTTTGAAAGTAAAAAGTTTTATCCATTGGTTCTTCTTTATACATCAATCACTTGATCTTCTGTGAGCATTTAGTGCAGGATATTATAGAATAATGCATGAAAGGAGGGAGGGGTATCACAACATCACTGTACAGATATTATCTTGGTCATTTTGCAGAAAAGTATTAGGAAATGTTACAGCTCAGATGCCCTAATGGAAGTATCTGAGCAGGTCAATTAAGAGAGAAGGAAAGCAAAGGAAAAGAAGTATCTCTTAATGTATACCAGGGCTCAGGGTGTATTCTTGTCCAGCGGATAGATACAAAGAATGCAGATTATCAACCAGAGCAACACCACTGCTTCCTCAGGGAGGTCTATCAAAATAATGCTTTATGTTTATCAAAAAGAATGATTTGAAATGGTTGAGACAGATTGGCCTAATCTATGTCATTATTTCCTCTTCATGAAACACTAGTGTCACGAATGCTGCATTGTGCTGCCAAGATCCTGTCTTTAGCACTGAGGGATTTATTCCCCAGCTACTGGGACAGCTCTCAGCTGTTAATTTGTTTCCAGAATTCCCTCCATTGAAAAAGTTGCCTCAGCCAAGGTCATACTAACTTCAGTAGCAGCCTCCATTGAATGACTGGTAAACACACAGGATTAAAGGCCCAGCTCCTTGCCCTAACCAAATACAGCTCTGATGGGTACAGTATTTCAGTTTCAGAGCTTGCTATTGGGTTGGTCAAGGTTTTATCATGACTGTATCACAGTCCCCTACCTTATCCTGTCTCCCTTCCTTCCCATCCCTAATAAGTGTGGATCTCAAAAACATTCCTATTAAGTTTCCTGCAGGCTAATCTCCATCTCAGAGACCCAGGATGAGACAACTAAAAAGTAACAGATTTTAGTAATGCTTCATGCTTTCTAAAGAAACCATGCTCTTCCAAAAAGTCTTGCCTTTCAAGCCTACATGATTTTAGGAGAAATATGATTAAAGAGTAAAACTGCCTAAGTAAGTGAAGATATATAACTATATTAAGCATGAAGTTGATAATGCATCCATGGTTCTTGATAACAGGAGATCCATTTCTAGCTTAGATTTCTATCTGGAATTTCTTCTTCTACCAGAAAATAAGCAGAGTAAAATCTCTTCCTTCTACCACAGAAAAGAATATGCAGGCCGCGGGTAGCAACCCAGCACAGTGCTAGTGCTAGTGCACTATAGCAAAGAGAACTAGACGGAAGCTGCCTAACAGAAAGTATCTTAGAAGGTTTCCTTTTAAAGAGAAGAGACAAAGACTATACTTAAGTGACCTTTGAATAATAATCACGTGGACAAAACCCAAGAAATTCCTGTCAATGTAATAATAAACTTGATGCAAAGAAGCAGACCAAGATGAGACAAGAACAGCATGATCAAACAGAATGACTCGCAAATTTGGAAGAGAAATCCAGATACACAAAAAGCAAGTGATTCCCAAGCCCCATAGGCTAATTATTTCGATAGTTTCTTAGTGAATTAAAATTAGCAGTTTATACTGCTAATAGGTACTGCCTTGTAGTACTTTAATTACTACAAGTTATTGTGTTTCAGTGAAGTGTTAATGGTTATTACAGGGTGTGGGTTTAGCCATTTTCAACTAATATTTTTATTGTAAAGTCCCAAGCTAAGAAGTCTTTCCTGATAATTCAAGTGGATTCCTGAATGACTAGTAAGGTCATGATTCTGCTGCCAAAAATTGACAAAATAGGTTAAGAAACACTCCTTACTGGAAGGATTTCTAACCAAATGTATTTAAGTCTGGTTTTGCTACCTCTTAATTTTATATATTTGTACAGTGAACCTATTTTAACATAGATTCTACTAATCTACCTGGTATAGTAGGAAAATTTGCTGCTCTATAAACCTCAGGTTCCATAGGGAACCTTCTCCCAGACTAGAAATCAGGTACCAAAACTACGTGGGAGATGCCGTGATCCAATTGGAAATGCAAAAGCTTTGGATATCACTAGATAAGACTGAAATCCCAGCATCTCTGCTTACAAGTCTGGTCATATCTCTTAACCTCTAGGAGTCTCATTTTTCCCCTTCATAAATCTTATATAAAGCGCATACCATAAGACTGTCCTAAGTATTCAATAAAATCATGCGTATTGAGTGCTCAAAATGTGCCCAGTTTTTTTCCTAATGTAATTCTCTCACTTATATTCTGCATACTTTCAGCTGTATGACAGCTTTCTTGGATATTTTTAAATAACATTAAAAAAATGGAGTTGGTGACCACCACTGAGCAATAAACTTGTTAGAGAAAAAAAAATGACTTTAAGAGCACTGGAGGAAAGATAAAGAAGTGTTTTCAGAAACTTTTCTGAGATTTATGCTTCCCAAGGGCAGCAACCAGGTTCTATTTATTTTGGTTTCTCCAAAGCCAAACACAGAAATTGGCACATAACAGATAAACATTTTTATTAGACTTTTGGGGTATTTATTATGGGAGATAAAGGTGTGGAGATTTAGTTAAATCCCATCTCCTCCATCTTATAGCTGAATGACCTTGGCTAAGCTACTGAAACTATCTAATGCTCAATTTCTTCCTCCTGAGTGGAGTCGTTATGAAGATAAAATGAGTTTGTATATTTAAAACAACTTGCACAGCATTTAGCATATAGTAAAAAATAGTGGTCATAGAAATAGTGGTGATGATAGTGGTGGTAGTACAAAAAAGGCACAACATAGATTGCTTCATTGGCTTTCCAGTAGTTTTCATAACTTTCTTAAGCTAATGTTAGGAATCTTTCATCATATGAAAATGTTGTGGCATATTTTAAATTCAACTTGGAATTGACAGTGTTATTTAAACACAGCCAAGAGTACTTAACTCATGGACTTTTTGAAAAGAATTTTATGGATCGGGTACCAACTACAGCTGAAAACTGGCCTCCAGGGAGTCAGAATAATATGTTAACAATTACAAATAAAATAAAAGACATTTCAAACATATCAAAACCTTATCTGTATATTTTTAAAAGATTTCATATTCCTATTACTCATAACACAATCTAGAGATGGTCATAAGTTTTTAAAATATTTAACATATAAAAGTTACTTTAGAAGATTTTTTGAAACTCAGTCATAATGTAATGTAATGTAATGTAATATGAGCATTGCCATTCAGAAGCTTACAAACTGATGAAAGATATTGAATAAAATGTTCAAAATAACCAGTAAGTTCAGAGATGCTCAGTGTTGTACAGGATCAAGGTCTCCCAAATATAAGTGATCACAGTCACAAGGAAACATAAAAAGCAATAGAATGCTGGGACTCAACTCCTAGATATTCTCCTTCAATAGGTCCACAAAGAAGTCTGATAATCTCTATATTTCAAAAGTCAAAATGTGATTTGATGTTTGGGGACCACTGACATCAAAAGATCATAAGTTTAACAGTTCAGATATTTAGGAATTTAGAAGCTTCATAACAAACACATAGATCAAGAAGCAGAAAAATTCACATAGCCAATCTGAAACATAAATTTCATATTAAAAATTTAAAAGGAAATGTGGCTTACATTTTCAAAGTATGATTTTTTAAATATGTATCAATTGATGTTCAAGGATTGTTGGATTAAGTAGGTAGCTTTTTAAATGAGGAGGTGCTATTACGTAAAAATTTTATTTTGTTCAGATAAGTAATTAAAATCACAAAGTAGCATTTAGCTACTTTTTAATTGTCCTCAAGACATTCAAGCCAATTTTTTGCCTTTATTCTGATTCATGAAATAAATGAGGCTTTTCTAATATTACTCTCAACTGGATGGGCTGTACCATAGGTTTGTAGCAATTATTATTTTCCAAGACAAATCATTTAACAATTACCTGATTATTCATTCTGTAGATTAGCTCTGGCCTGAAATTTAAGGAGCCTCCTCATGACTTGCCACATTCCTTGGTCTTCTCTCTCTATCTTGTGGACAGATTTTAGTTTTACCCTCAGGAGAATGGGGGAATAAAGTTAAAATTGTGGATGCAAAGACATAATTTAACACAATGACAAAGTCTTTTAAAAAATTATTTGAGGCCGGGCGCGGTGGCTCATGCCTGTAATCCCAGCACTGTGGGAGGCCGAGGTGGGCGGATCATGAGGTCAGGAGATCAAGACCATCCTGGCTAACAGGGTGAAAACCCGTCTCTACTAAAAATACAAAAAATTAGCCAGGCGAGGTGGCGGGCGCCTGTAGTCCCAGCTACTCAGGAGGCTGAGGCAGGAGAATGGTGTGAACCCCGGAGGTGGAGCTTGCAGAGTGAGCTGAGATCGTGCCACTGCACTCCAGCCTGGACGACAGAGCAAGACTCCGTCTCAAAAAAAAAAAAAAATTATTTGAAGGTTCAATGATATTTAATCTACACATTCCATGAATTCTAACAATTATTGCCAAATATCAGAGTTGTTTTGTAGGTAAGCTATAAGCGACCTTTTAAAATGCAAAGCGCATTACAACTTTTCCCCTAAAACCCTGAAATTACGTGATTAGAGCTGATCAAAATAAAATCAGTGAAAAGAAAGATAAAGCCAGATTATTTTCTCTATTATGAGAATTCTAAAAGTTATATTTCATTTTATCACGTCACAATATAAACTTATCAGGTTTGGGAAACTATTTTCACAACATTTTGAGAATTATTTGCATAATAACTTGAGGAATTCTCTTTCAAAGTCTTTATCTTTGGAAACTTATTTTGTTGTTTTGTTTTGTTTTTTTAAGAATGTAAGAAGGCTTTTTTAAAAAATAAGAAAAATCTAAACCCAGTCCTTATCTTAGGCTTTTATTTGTATAACAATGAACTTGTGATAGATAGGTATTTTGAAATCATTTTAATAGTTTAAGATTACTTTAAATTACTTTACTAAGGATCATGTTTGGTTATTTATTTATTAACTCTTTCCTACTTAGATAAGCATAATAGTTAATTTCTTTAACTGTCCTATTCCATTCCAAAAAAATTTAAAGATTTCAGAAGGATATTTATATGTTTAGTAATTGACTCTCTAAATTACTGTCAAATAATTACCCAGAAGTAAAATATATGTCTAAGACTTTACAATAATAGTGGTTGGAATGTGTCTAAAATAAAACATAAATTTAGTTTATACACTGCCTACCTTCACAGGAGATTTAAGGCATATATCATATTGGAAACATAAATAAGCAATAGACAAATAACCAAGTTTCTAATTCATGTGCTACTCTCTAAGGAATACAGCCTTTCTTATTGCTGACGAGCAAATTTAGTTATTTTGCTAACGTGAGATCAATTAATCAATCAAATTGTTCTCTCAGCGAAATTCATTAATGCCAGAGTGAGGGGTATAATACAGAAACTCACCAGTTCAATTGGAAATATTAACTAAAATGGGTTTTGAGAATTAGCTATGTTTCTGAACTCTCTAGTAAGCATGGATTATACTTATGTGGTTAAATGTGAAGACAAAAATAAAATTACATCCAGACTATAGCTTAGAAAAGTTAAGAACTGAATAAATATGTTAACATTTTTACTAGAAATTTGGAAGATTGAGTATCATACAACCATTAATAACAGAGCAAGTTCTCAAAGATCTGAGCTCTTTCCCTAAATGTCCCACATTTGTAGAAGTCATAGATTTAGGCATATTTACTATGCATTTACTGTGTTCTCTCTCTCTCTCTCTCTCTCTCTCTCTGCCTGTCTGTCTATTATTATGTAAAACCTGTTCTCTAAGGAGTGATTTAGACCTCTGCTTAAAAACTTCCTCCAAAAGGGAGCACATTTACACTGTTGGTGGAATGTAAATTAGTTCATTCACCATAGAGAGCAATTTGGAGATTTCTCAAAGAACTGAGAGTTCAACTACCATTCAACCCAGCAATCCCACTACTGGTATCTACCCCAAAGAAAATAAACTGTTCGACCAAAAAGACACATGCAACCATATGTTCATTGCAGCAGTATTCACAATGGCAAAGACATGGAATCAACTCAGGTACCCATCAATGGTGGATTGGATAAAGAAAATGTAGTGCATGGAGTACTATACAACCATTAAAAAAATCTTGTCCTTTGTAGCAACATGGATGTAGCTGGAAAGAATTATCCTACATGAACTAACGCAGAAACAGAAAACCAAATACCATGTGTTCTCACTTATAAATGGGAGCTAAAATCTGAGTATACATAGTCACAAAAATGGGAATAATAGACACTGGGGAATACAAGAGAGAGGAAGGAGGGAGGAAGACAAGGGTTGAAAAAACTGTCTGTTGGGTAATATACTCTCTTACCTAGGTGACGGATTCATTTGTGCTCCAAAGCTGAGCATCATGCACATGTACCTTTGTAAGAAATCTGCACATGTACCCCCTGGTTCCAAAATAAAAGTTGGAAAAGGGAAAAAGAAAAAATAAGAAATAAAAGCCGTCTCAAGCAACATGCATCTCACAGCCTTACAATACAGTTCATTCAATTTCAAATTCTGATCAGGTTTTTTTTTTTCCTTTGAGTCATGGGAATCTGACTTCTTGCCTGTCTTATGTGCATGTCCTATTCTGAACTTATACAACCACATGGAGCATGACTAACATCTCTTTTGCAAAATAGTACTTCTGCTAATGAAAATGACAATACAATCTTTTTCCCCTTTATGATTCCTTCAACATTTCCCCATAGGGAGTGGACATCTGTTGCTTGTACTTACCCAACATTCCTTCCGCCTTCTCCTATCTGGACAATTCCCTTCTTTTACTTTGAAAATCTCATTCCACGTGGATCAGGAGGGGTCTACCCTGCTTCTATCCTTGTTTACGGGGCTGAACAGCTCAGGCCCAGCATCACATGTCCTGTTTTGCTATGTAGTTTATATAGGGTACCTCACTTGCACTGAATGGGTAGTAATCATGGTGGCAAACTCTGTAACAATATACTGTGTGCCAGGTATTATCTCATGTACTTGTCAGTCAATTACCCTAAAAGATAAGTATGATTATTATCTGTATTTTACAGATTCAGAAACGGAAGCACAGAGAAGTTCAAGAACTTGTCTGGTAAGTGGCAGGGTCAGGATTTGGACCAAAGGCCACCTGCGTTCAGAAACTGCTCATTACCACTTTGCAGGGCTACCTATTAATGTGGTTTTGAGACACTGAGTACAGCTAGATCTGAACGTGGTTCACACATAGCCTGAACCTACACCAGCACAAGACCATTACATTTTCCTCCAAAATCAACACCAGGAATTCATAGAGAACATAATAATAAAGAAAATTTTGAATATGTTTTTTACAGGGTACACATTAAGAAGGCTTTCTCCTGCATTTAAAGTAGTTGTTTAGAGATCAAGGAAGGGTTCATAACTGAAAGATGACACAGGCTTAGGGAGTGATTATATTTTTTTAATATTAAAAGTTTTATAAGGAAAAACTTTAAGTGTAAATCAATATAAAAATTCAAGGCTTTGAAGATTATCTAGCAACTTTGACAATTATCTTCAATAAGGTAAAACAGTGTGCAAACTGCCATCTAGTATTTAGATATTGATGATATTGATGGTTTGTTAAGTATAAGACTCAATCTCGAAAAAAATTCTGTAACTATTAGGCTCATCAAATATTCATTAAGAAAAAGAGAAGATATAAAAAGAACAAAATTTTTTTTTTTTTTTTTGAGACTGAGTCTCACTCTGTCACCCAGGCTGGAGTGCAGTGGCGCGATCTCGGCTCACTGCAAGCTCCACCTCTCGGGTTCAAGCGATTCTCCTGCCTCAACCTCTCCAGTAGCTGGGGGAAAAAAAAAAAGAACAAATCTGACCCCTTGTTTTTTATTTTGATTTCTTTGTGAGAAATTAAAAATTAGTGGATCAAGGAAGTAGAACAGATACTATATACTGATAATCAGGAAAAGCATTATCATATTTTAGCAAAAAGAATAATCCAAATGGATTTGGACACAAATGTTGTCATATGTTTTAATATTTTCTGAAAATGGAGAAAGCATGGCTAAAACATTGGTACAGAATTGCAGGGTTTAGTATTAAATTTCATATTGGTTAATGTATTTATTTATGAAATAATTTTAAGTTAGGTTAAAGTAACTATAAAAGTAGACTTAAAGTATTAAGATGAAAACCAGGTAATAGTTCTATTGTTCAACTTAACACTATGGAAAATACACAGCTGCAATCCTTACATTAATTATACTTTTGATACACATAAACATATACATGTGCACACACATGCACATCACGCCAGGAATTTTTACAGATTCATAAAGAAGACTTGCTAATTCTTAACTATTTGTGGATTATCTATTTTAAGAATTATCTACCTCGAATTATATATCCTGGATTTCTATTTTTTTGTTGCAAACTAACATGCTAATTTAGGCAATTGGTATATTTTCAGAAAATCCAAGTTAATTTGCATGTAAGTTTAGGAGAGATTCTAGTTATCTAAATATGAAGAAAGTCAAAAGTTATAATGCAAATGAATCCAAAATAATGCATAGTTTCCAGATTTCATTGTATTTCTGTGACTTTGCATCTCTTAATTAGCATAGATAATAATTTGGCTGTACTTGAGTATGCAATATATTTAAATATCATGAACTCCTATTCCATTAATACAGGATTTGCAATGATTCTGATATGTGTGACTGCCCATGACTTCAGTATGCAACAGAAGAGCTACCATATGGATTCATAATGTTGATATTAATATATAGTATTAATATCATGCAGTCTATGAATGGCTTCAGTGCTCAAAAGCCTAAACTATAGCCTTAAGAAATGACCTGTTTTCACTGTGCATACGGAATTAAATAAGGAAAAAAAAATCACAATGTGACATAGAAAAGCAAACAAATGAAATTCTGGTTTTTTTTATTATGTAGAAACTAAGTTACAGAAACAAGAAAATAAAAGTAAGAAATCTCCCTTCCCAAATGCCTATTAAGATGTCCAAGAAAATGTCTGATTTGAGAAAAAATCTTAGTAAGTCTTGAAAGCAATTAACACAAATAAAATAATCTTCAACATCAATATCAATGTTGAATTGAATATTCAATTCAATAATCTTCAATGCTGAATCTAATCAACATTTCTACAAACTACCAAATTGATGAGACTCGATTAAAAACAGCATAACTAGCAATCACAGTTCTGTTAACCCATTTCAAAAAATTTTCCCGTTAACTTGAATTCTAATTAGTTCATTCACAGCCAGGAAGATAAACTAAAACTTGTTGAGGCACTGCTCTGGTGGTACTTTGCACTGGAGCCTATGCTGGGTGCGCTGAAATCAGCCTGCTCTCCAACCTCAAATCTGCCAGAGGAGGTTGCTCTTAGAGGAGCAGACAATGGTAGCTCTAAGAAAAGTCTAAGCAAAGGTGACTGTTGGTTGCTTTGGACTATCACATCCGATTGGACTTAGCCTCACTCAAAGATGAATGCGAAGGAAAAAGAAAAAATAGCCTGCAAGGATCCATAAAAGAACATTTATAGCACAAAAATAAAGGAAAAACTCTGTAAAGGCATGGCAAGGGTGAGGGAGAACCTCAAAAATAGTGTTTTGAAGAAATATAAAATAAATTTAGAAAATATCTACTTAATGTTCAAAAATGAGGTTTTCAAGCAGGTATTATTTGAGGGCAGGCCAGAATAAGAGCAGATTGTAGACAAATGAAAAACAGAGTAATCGACCAAAAACAAATCACACTGGAGGAAGAAAACTAGCAAAATAGGCATTACAGAAAAATAAATTGATGATGAAGTGGAGAAACCTGAATACAGAACAAAAATAGATTAGAAAGGATGAGAAAATAAAACAAAATTTAAAAGATATATGCACAGTACTGGATAAATTGAAGGAAAAACAAAAACAAACCAAAAACTATAAACATCCTGAATTCTTAAAACAAACAGCATTTTATTTTATTTTATTTTATTTTATTTTATTTTATTTTATTGTTATACTTTAAGTTCTGAGACACATGTGCAGATTGTGCAGGTTTGTTACATAGGTATACATGTGCCATGGTGGTTTGCTGCACCCATCAACCCATCATCTACATTAGGTATTTCTCCTAATGCTATCCCTCCCCTAGCCCCCTACCCCCCAACAGGCCCTAGTGTGTGATGTTCCCCTCCTTATGTTCATGTGTTCTCGTTGTTCATCTCCCACTTATGAGTGAGAACATGCATTGTTTGGTTTTCTGTTCTTGTGATAGTTTGCTGAGAATGATGGTTTCCAGCTTCATCCAAGTCCCCGCAAAGGACATGAACTCATCCCTTTTTGTGGCTGCATAGTATTCCCTGGTGTATATGTGCCACATTTGCTTTATCCAGTCTATCACTGATGGACATTTGGGTTGGTTCCAACTCTGCTCTTGTGAACAGTGCTGCAATAAACATACGTGCGTGTGTGTCTTTATAGTAAAATGACTTATAATCCTTTGGATATATACCCAGTAATGGGATTGCTGGGTCAAATAGTATTTCTGGTTCTAGATCCTCGAGGAATCACCACACTGTCTTCCACAATGATTGAACTAATTTACACTCCCATCAACAATGTAAAAGTGTTCCTATTTCTCCACATCCTCTCCAGCATTTGCTGTTTCCTGACTTTTTAATGATCGCCATTCTAACTGGCATGAGATGGTATCTCATTGTTTTCGATTTCTAAAAAAAGCTCATCATCATAGTGATTTCTCATCACTCATCATCATAGTGATGATGAGCTTTTTTTCACATGTTTGTTGGCTGCATAAATGTCTTTTTTTGAGAAGTGTTTGTTCATATCCTTCACCCAGTTTTTGATGGGGTTGTTTGTTTTCTCTTGTAAATTTGTTTAAGTTCTTTGTAGATTCCGGATATTAGCCCTTTCTCAGATATATAGATTGCAAGAATTTTCTCCCATTCTGTAGGTCACCTGTTTACTCTTATGATAGTTTCTTTTGCTGTGCAGAAGCTCTTTAGTTTAATTGGGTCCCATTTGTCAATTTTGGCTTAATAAAGGGCATTTCAGTACAGGCATTCAAAATGCAATATCTGTGATGCACAATAAATCAATGTGCAAACACAGATATTGCATTTTTACAAATTGAAGGTATGTGGCAGTCCTGCATAGAACAAGTCTATGAGTGCCATTTTTCCAACAGTATGTGCTCACTTTGTGTCTCTGTCACATTTGGGTTATTCTTGCAGTATTTCAGACTTTTTCATTATTATTATATCTCTTATGATGATCTATGATAAGTGATCCTGAATGTCACTATTGTAATTGTTTTGGGACACCATGAACCATGCCCATATAAGACAATAAAGTTAATCAATAAATGTTGTATGTTTTCTGATGGCTCTACTGCCTCGGCATTCCCCCATCTCTCTCCCTCTCCACAGGCCTTTCCTTTCACTGAGACACAATAATAGTACAATTAGGCCAATTGGTCAACATCACTGATCATTAGAGAAATGCAAATCAAAACCACAATGAGATACCATCTCACATCAGTCAGAATGGCTACTATAAAAAGTCAAAAAATAACAGATGCTGGCAAGGTTGTGGTGAAAAGGGAGCACTTATACACTACTGCTGGGAATGTAAATTAGTTTAGACACTGTGGAAAGCAGCACAGTGATTTCTTAAAGAACTTAAAACAGAGCTACCATTCAACCCAGCTGCCCCATTACTGAGTATACACCCAGATGAATATAAATCATTCTACCATAAAGACACCCATGTGCATATGTTTATTACAGTTCTATTCACAATAGTAAAGACATGGAACCAACCTATATGTCCATCAGTGATAGACTGGATAAAGACAATGTGTTACATATACATCATGGAATACTATACAGCCATAAAAATAAACAAGATCATGTCCTCTGCAGCAATGTAGATGGAGCTAGAGGCCATTATCTTAAGTGAGCTAATGTAGGAACAGAAAACCAAATGTCACATGTTCTCATTTATAAATGGCAGCTAGACATTGAGTACACAGGGATACAAAGAAAGGAACAACAGACACCAGGGCCTACTTGAGGGTGGAGAGTGGGAGGAGGGTGAGGATCAAAAGACTACCTGTTGGGTACTATCCTTATTACCCGGGCAATGAAATAATCTGTACGCCAAATTCCCACAGCATGCCATTTACCTATATAATAAACCTACACATGTACACCTGAGCCTGAAATAAAAATTAAAAAAAAACACAGAAACCTATATAATTGCCTCTAAGTGTTCAAGTGAAAGGAAGAGTTGCACATCTTCCTCTTAAATCAAAAGTTAAAAATGATTAAGCTTGGTGAAGAAGCCATGATGAAAGCCAAGATAAGTGAAAAGCTAGACCCCTTTCACCAAAAAGTTAGCCAAGTTGTGAATGCAAATAAAAAGTCCCTGAAAGGAATTAAAAGTGCTACTCCACAGTGAATACACAAATGATAAGAAAGTGAAACAGCCTTATTGCTGTTAAGGAGACAGTTTTAGTGATCTGGAAGGATCAAACCATTCACAACATTCCCTTAAGCCAAGCCTAATCCAGAGCAGAGCTCTAACTCTCTTCAATTCTATGAAGGCTTAGAGAGGTAAGAAAGATTCTGCAGAAAAGTTTGAAGCTAGAAGGGGTTGGTTCTTGAGGAAAGAAACCATTTTTAAGGAAAGAAGCTATATCCATAACATCAAAGTGCAAGATGAAGAAGCAAGTGCTGATGTACAAGTTGCAGGAAGTTATCAAGATCTACATAAGATAATTGATGAAAGTGACTACTTTAAACAAGTGATTTTGAATGCAGACAAACTACATAAAGCTTTGGGCTTTTAAAGCTAGAAAGGAGAAGTCGATGCTAGCTCCAAAGCTTCAAAGGACAGGCTGATTTCTTTGTTAGGGGCTAATGCAACTGTTGACTTTAAGTTGAAACCAATGTTCATTTATCATTTTGAAAATCTGAGGCCTTTAAAAGTTATGCTTAATCTACTTTGCCTGTGCTTTATAAATGGAGCAATATAGCCTGAATGACGGCACTTCTGTTTATAGCATGGTTTACTGAATATTTAAAGCCCACTGTTGAGATCTACTGCTCAGAAAAGAGAAGATTCCTTTCAAAATATTACTGCTCATTGACAATACACCTGGTCACCCAAGAGTTCTGAGGGAGACGTACAGGAAGATTAATGTTGTTTTCATGGCTGCTAATACAACATCTGTTCTGCAGCCCATGGATCAAAGAGTAATTTTGACTTTCAAGTCTTATTTAAGAAATGCATTTCATGAAGCTATAGCTGCCATAGATGGTGATTCCTCTGATGGATCTGGGCAAAGTAAATTGAAAACCGTATGAAAGTGATTCACCATTCCAGATGCCATTAAGAATATTTGGGATTCACTAAAGAAGATCAAAATTCAAAATATCAACATTATTAAGAGTTTGTAAGAAGTTGATTCCACCCTTCATGAAGGTCTTTGAGAGGTTTAAGACTTCAATGGAGAAAGTCACTGCGGATGTGTTGGAAACAATAAAAGAACTAGAATTAGAAGTGGAGGCTGAAGATGTGATTGAATTAATACAATTTCATGAAAAAGCTTGAACAGATGAAGAGTTACTTCTTCTGGATGAACTAAGAAAATGGAATCTTAAGACAAAATCTGCTCCTGGTGAAGATGCTGTGAAATGACAACAAATGATTGAGACCATTACATAAACTTAGTTGACAAGGCAGCAGCAGGGTTGAGAGGATTGACTCCAATTTTGAAACAAGTTCTAATATGGGTAAAATGCTATCAAACAGCATGGTATGCTACAGAGAAGTCGTTAATGAAAAGACGAATCAATTGATGTGGCAAACTTTATTGTTGTCTTATATTAAGAAATTGCCACAGCCACCCCAACATTCAGCAACAACCACCCTGATTAGTCAGCAGCCATCAACATCAAGGCAAGACCTCAGCCACCAAAAAAGATTAAAATTTGCTGAAAGCTCAGATGATCATTAGCATTTTTTAGCAGTAAACTGTTTTTAATTAAGGTATGCACTTTTAGGCATAATACTATTTCACACTTAAAAAATTATAGTATAGTGTAAACATAAGTTTAATATACACTGAAAACCAAAAAATAGGTGTGACTCACTTATCGCAATATTTGCTTTATTGCAGTGGTCTAGGACTGAATCCAAAACATCTCTGAGGTACACCTGTATAGCCAGTTATAGAATATCATGCCACCACTCTAAATCATGAATACTGAGACTAGGTAGAAACTTAGGAAACTGTTTATCATGTAAGAATACGCAAAAAGAAGATGACAGCTCGTTATCTACATAATTCTGTATGTGATGTTACAATCACCCGAAGTCCTCAATTTTAACACTAATGTGGAAAAACTGGAAGAAGTCCAGAGAGACGGAAAAAATGAATATTAAATATATAACTCTTTTAAAAAAGTAAATCCAAAAAACTACAAATTGGGTTCAGTGTATACTGCTTGGGTGATGGGTGCACCAAAATCTCACATATCACCACTAAATAATTTACTCATGTAACCAAATACTCCTTGTTCACCAAAACCCAATGAAAATAAAAAATTTCTTAAAAAAAATTAAAAAGTCAAACCAAAGTAATCTTCTTTAGAGTTCTTCAGGGAACATATCAAATCTTTTTCTCTGAGATTCTGAGTTTGATTCCATATACTCAGTGTCACAAATTAATTAAATGGTTGAGAAATAAGACATGGTTTAAAATGGGGAAAGAAGGAATGGTAGAAGAGAACAAGGAGGTCAATTCCAAATCCCAAAGAATTATGCAATTCTTTAGGATTCAACAAGCTGCTTTATTCAAGTTGTACTTCTATTCCTTATGTTTGAATGAGTTAAGAGATTGATTGGTATGTTATCTCGCTGATATACAGTGCTCTATGTTTTTGCAAAGCACTTTCATATCTAATTGCTTTCTTGTGATCCTCTCAACTACCCTATCACATTTTTTAATGTAGCATCTTTATAAAAGATAAAATGGAAATTCAAAAAGGTGTGCCGTTTTCAAGGTTACTCAGCTAGTTATCAGTGAAGACAGAGGTGCTTATGTGTGATGCCTAGGTTATTCCGCTACACTGGGGATAGTTCCCAATTTATGATACAAGATGTTGTGTAGAGGCATTTATCGTATTTGAAGCATCTGAAGTTCTACATTGAAAAGTGGCTACAAAGGCAATGTACTATTCTTATTTCTGGCTCCAAGGAATTGTGTCACAGAATACAAGAAATTGTGTGACAGGATGAAAAAGATAAAAAGTCTTCTCATTACATGGCATTGTGTATCTTCCCTTATGACTTAGGCTCTGTGTATCAAAGTTACTGGTTACAGTGATTTTTGTACTGAATTGAACTATGATCTGGCTATGACATAAAAAACAGAATATTTACTAGGATACCACAAGCAAGGCTTGCTCACTAGGAGAGACAGACAAGTAAATGTGACAAGGACACTGTGTTTTCAAGAACTGCATCTGTTCACAGTTCTTCTGGTGAGAGCTTATTAATATGTTTACTACAGCAGGAGATAGCCAAGTACTGAAACTCTGCTAACAATTTGCTTAGACTCAGAGACAAGTTGACAGTATTTTCTCTGGTCAGTTTCAACAAATGTTCATAAACAACTCTCAGAGAAGCCAATAGTAGGCAGATTTCAAATATTTGGAGAAATCGCATAGTTCACAGTGAAAACGAAAATGTTAATGACTGAAGATCAGTTACTGTTCCTTGTGAAAGCACAGATGTTGCGAAAGTTTAAAAGCTACTCAATTACATATCACTTGGCACAAATCCCTAATTTTAAAAATGAGAAGGCCCTGAGTAAAAGCGTGACATGCCGAAGGTTCGACATTAAATTCTTGCTTAGTTAGAACCCAGGAAGTCCAGTTCTAATGGTTGTATTCTTGCCACTACACTTGACTATCTAAGGCAGTGCTCTCAAACTAGCAGCTTGGGCACAGTTAGGCTTTGTTGGGTCTATATGGTGTTTCAAAAAATTAATTAGTTGCTGCAATGTAAAGACAGGGACGTTTCACATACAATTTCTGATTTCTATTTTTTTCTTTAAATAAGAGACCTGGCAACAGCAGGTCTACCTTCTCCCATGACCACAGTTGGCTGGAGAGGGTGCCAGTTCCCACTCACTCAGGTTCTTGCACAGTTACCCTTGTAGCCTCACCTGTGTGTCCCTGTAAATGTCAGAACCTGTGGTCTCTGTGTCCAGATTGTCCTGTGTGAGATAGTTTTAGAAAAATAAACTTTTTAAAATAGCTAATTATATAGAAAGATACTGCATTCCAAACATGTCAACTTTCCCATTATGCCACCAAGATGAGAAATATGAGTTCTAATCTGGCTATTTTTGAAAGCATTCTTTGTATGGTTTTAAGTGAGACTGAATTCATGTAAACAGTAAATATGTTAACTAACCAATGAATCAGTTGGAGGGTTCTTCTCACTGATTAGTCTCTAACTGCTTCCCTTCAAATCAATTTAGTAATTGAGTAAATTCAATTGTTTTGACTTTTTATTTAATAAGCATATGTGTATAAATACAATTCATTAAAATTCACTAAATAAAGTAAATACACATTTCTTTCCCTACTGGCAATCCAGCTTCCATTTCCTCAAGTTATTTCATTACAGTTATGTTTTCATTTTAGTTGGCAATCATTTATATTCCATTTGATTTATAAATGTAAAACCACATATTACCCAACTTTACAGCTGCCGAGGGAAATTATTTATTGCTCTACATGCTGCCTACGTGCTGTCAGAAAAGAAGCACACCTCCCCAGCCCTTCAATTCTGTTCCCACAAACACAAACACATACCACTCAGTGAAAGACTCATTGAATTTGCATTTAAAATTTCAATCCAAGAGTTGATATCTATAAAAGAAAGAATAATAAAGTTAACACGACATGTTAGGAATTGAAAGTCATGATTTTGGAATAACTTTGATTTTGGATGAAATTTCTCATTCTCAGGAAAAATTGTTTAATGGAAAATGAAAATAAGAGCACGCTTTCCTAAAAATTAAAAAAAGGTGTGGTTAGTTATTTCAAATGTATTTAAAATATTAAAATATGTAAGACTTAACTCAACATCCATGCTAGAGGTTGGGCCACAGAACTTCCTTATGTGCCAGTTGTATCCATAATATTATGCTAGAAGCAATACACACATCTAAATACCACTCATCCTATTTATTAACCTTAATTTTTCCCAAAAAGTATGGCATAATTCTGTAAGCAGATATTCAACATACATTTTCAAGTATACATTTATTCAACATGTTTTAAAAAAATAGCTCATATGTGCCAGGTGCTGTATTAATTGCCCGTAACACAGTATGAACAAGAAATGCAGATTCCTACATTTATTGGAAGCTTAGCGTGAACCCAAGGCAAATCGCCCCATTCCTATCTCCTCACTCATCCAGCACTCAGCTCCCCTCCACCCCCAATTATTACCCGCACCCATCACTTGCCCTCCACACCCACCCCTGCATCTTCCCTGCCATAGCAGATAAGAGAGACAACTGTCGCTGACACTAACAATGACACAGACTTCCCTCTCCTTAAAATCCCTAGTTTTTTCCTCTGGGGAAAAATTATACACACATATGTTGTTCTGTCAGTTGAATCTTTGTCCTATTCTTTCTATAAAACATTTCTGGTAGAGCATTAAAAAACAAATATAAAAATATATATTGCACCCAGTGTACATTGGATCTCCCAATGGCTGTTGGAGTCTAACAACCGTCTAAAATGTTTCTTTCCCTTTCTCCTCTCCATAAATGTGAGAAATGAATGTCTATGCCCCCTGACATAAACTATGTTAGGCTGAACATTCTGTGAAGAGCATATAGAGAATTGTCTATGGATAGAATATTTTACTGCTGACAGATAATTTTGGATAAAATATAAGGTACAGAAAGGGAAAGCTGGTCAGGAAAAGCAGAGCTTGCTATGGAAACAGCTTGCTACCTCCATAGAAAAATTAAATCTGTTTTATAATTATTATATTTTATATAATGAAATATATCACTGCTCAATCTGAAAATATGGGAGAGAAAATATATGATGCTTGTTTTCCATTTCTTCTTCCAATCATCCAGAGAATGTAAATAATGAAAGAGTACTTTGAGTACTGGTAGATAATTCCATGACAGTTTAAGTGAAAAAGCTGATACTTTCATGTGAGAGTAAATCAGAACAAATCAAACATCCCTGTGCACCTTGCAAGGTATAAGACACATTGCTGACAGCCCAACAAATCATGAGTATCTAAAATTCAGGGGAATATCAAGGTTCTGTAATTTATTGTCCTCTATTTAAGCAGGATTTAAATAATCTATATTAAGAAGTATATCTTATTCATTTTTTATCTCTCATAGTCAATAACTGTTGGATTTAATTAAATGTCAGAAGCAAGTCTTTAGTTTATTGAGATTTAGCTCAGACTGGTACTGTGTAGCTAAGCAAAAAGTAGAGGGTTTCTTTGAAAGTCCTACAAATGGTATTCTCCATACATTATATGGAACCTCCTTATCTCTTCAGTTAAAACTGAGGCACATTCATATACTAATAATATCACGTACATAGTGGTCCCAAATTTGGCTGTGCAGCAGAATTACCTAAGGAGGAAGGGGATTATAAAAATATGAGTCCCAGAACACCATTCCCAGCATGTTTTGCAATATCCCCAGATGTTTCTAATTGCATGCATTTGGGGATCACAGGTGGGGATGAAAGAGCCCTGGACCAAGAACTGGGTTCAGAGATCTGCTGTGCCACAAAAAAACTCACATAACGTTCAGCAGGATTCAGTCCATCAGTCCTTTATTCATCCTTCAAGCATGCATGAAAAACAAACTATTATATCTCGGTTTTTAACTTCCTCATCTGCAAAATGAGGTTCCTGGAATAGATAATCTGAAATCCCTTCAGCCTCTAAGTCGATCCTATAATCTACATTATAATCATCCCACCTACATTTGTCATATATGCCTTACATAAAGTAATTTAAATCAGTTTTAAGCTCTCTATTGAATTAAATTCTGCAAATATATATTGAAAAATATATTATGACCAAGCATAGCACAAAATCAAAGTTCTGGAGACATGTTGGGCAAAACCTTGTACAAAATATTGCTTCTTGTATTCTAAATTCTCAATAAGTATTGTGAAGTGAATGATTTAAAAGAAAGAATAAAAAAATAAAATTTGCTAAACCTATTTGAGCCTTAATTTCCTAAATGAAATAAGCTAGGTACAAAAAATTACTTTTTAAACCAGGGGTATAAAAGAAGTTTCCATCTGAAGGCTAATGATGGATAACTGAGAATGGTGCTGAGAACTATGTTACAGAATCTGGGAGAAAGGGTACCGTAGGTCAATTAGCAATGTCTAGTCACATATTTGTCTTTCCTGTTATAAACATAAAACCCCGGGGTTTTTTTATTTCAAAAATGTATACTTCAAGCTTTTGGGGCATCAGGCATTGTTCTAGGTTCTGGAAATATGACGGTGTCCTGTTAGTAGGTGAGTATAACAACAAATATGTAAAGAATTGCATAAATGAGATAATTTCCAATAGTAGGAAATGGCACAAAGTAAACACAACAAAGCAACAGGATAGAAAGTGAAAGGGGAAGGGTTATACTTTATATAGAGAAGGGATTCCTGAGGAAATGATATTTGAATTAAGATCTAAATGAAAAGAAGCAGCCAGCCACAAAAATAGCTGAAGAAAGTGGATTTCAGCTGGAGGAAACAGCCAACACCAAGGCATTAATGAGGGTACATCCTTCATGTGCTCAAGGATGGCAAGGAGACCCATGGCTGAGTGGGATGGGATAGGTGATACCAGATGATACTAGGCAGACTCACCCTATACATTTGCAATGCTAGACACACTCTTTACCCCTTTCTCTCCCTAACTCCCCATCCTTCTCCCCATGGGAAGGGCTGTGAACACCTGAGTCTGATTTCCAGGCTCCAGCAGAGCCTCCACGGCTGGGGCTGGGCATCTATAGGTTTTAAAGCTCCCTAGATAAATGTAATGAGCAGCCAGAAGTGACAACCAGTGCCCTAAACAAAAATTAAAAAATAAAAACTTAAGTTATAAACAACAGAGAGGCTGAATTTATGGCCCATAAATGACTAAGAAAATGGAATGTAATAAAGTAAATATAATATTGAGGAAAGTTTGGTTACAGAAATTGCTCCCAATCTCTAATTCTTTCCCTCAGACAAATAAAGAACATGTTTTCCTCACAGCCTCACAACTCTGATTTAAAATTTAAAAAAATCCTACTTTGTAATGTCAATTTATTTAAACTAACATTTTCAGCCTATGTACAAGGAGTTGTAATAAGTGCTATATAAATCAGAAGAGATATAAGATATATCCTACTCTCGAGAAAGTTACAAGCAGCATTACAAATATCTGGTTTCAGCCTTATGATCTTGTTGACATGACTTCAGCCTCCACCACCCTTTGCAACTGGTATTTTCTTCCCAGTGCCTTTTCAAATCGCAACCTTGTACAGAGTAGAAGCCATTAGTTTATATAAACCAAGAAGATTATATAAGGGTGCTTGGGAAACAGTAGTGATGATGATTAAAGATGATTCTCAGGAAACTTCAGGAAATGCTATACATATGTTCATAGCTAAAATCCACTAACAATTATGAAATAGGAATAACCTTTGATGTCTTCCAACTGGCCTGTGAAGGACTGGCTCCCCGCTGCAGGCACTACTCTGTCATGACCCCCTAACCACTTATCTGAAAATCTTGAAGTCATAACTGATCATAGCTTTAAGTGCTATATTTTCCAAAGGCATTACCTTTTAACAGGAGCATATTAAACACTGCAAATTTTCCAGATGCAAAGCAGTCAAGGGATGGGAGCAGTTAGATGCCTAAGAGGCTCTCAGTCTATTCTCTATATGAATCTTCCTCTTTTCCCCTTTATCAGTAAATTATGTGCTAGCTCCAGTGTAGGTCTCTGAAAAAGACTTAGGATGAGCACTGTATCATATTTACAGATGGAGGGGAAGTCACTTCCAATAGAAGCTAACCACTGTAGGATACACAATATCAGACCACCACCTTATTAGCTTATGTGTGTATGTTTATGTATTTTATTGAGTTCTTATTATATGCTAGCCATTATCTTGTTAGCTGCATGAGAAGTAAGTACAATTATAATCTCTGGTTTGCAGATTTGAGGAGTAGGTTTAGAGAGTCTCAGTGACTCACCTAAAGTCACACGGCTCTAAGATAGGGTAAGAAAGCAGATGTGTCTGAGTCCAAGTCTCCTTATTAACCACTAATCCCCCTCCTTCATACCCAGACTTTTTATTATGTGTCTGCTTGAACTATAACTACAAATGGAGGAACCAAAATTTAAAAGGCTAGTAGCTCTTTTGGTAAGCCAAAGTCACTGGTAGACCTTCCCAGGAAGGGTTGATTGCAACGCTCTGTTATGAAACCATAGACTCTATGTATCCTCCTCACTGGATCACAGGTTCACAGGTCATCAGCTTTATTTGGTCCAATCAAATGAGCCTAATACCGGAATTCCTTCCACAAAAGCAAATGAACAAACAAACAGGAATCTCATAGGCATATGCCGTAATCACACTAGGGACTAAGTAAGAGAGGCTGGCTTCTGCATGAACTAACACTACAATGGAAAATTAATTGGCAGTGTGTAGATTCTGCTTTGGAGAATGAGCAGCTAAGAGTATTGTCAAATTTCAAAATGCAGTAAACTCCCATTACTAATGCCCTGGAAATTTCCAAAGAGAAGATATAGCTTTTCTTCCCCTCCCCCCTCTTAAAAATATCCCTTGTTTTTAGAAATATGGATATGTTTGTTTCTTTTAATTATAGAATTGTTCTAAATACAGAAGAAAAGAAGGCATGTCTTTTTATCATCATTTCCAGGAGTTACTGTGTTTGAAGGTTTTTCAAGGATCAAGTGTGCTTTAAAACAAATCAGTGTGTAGCTACTCTTACCCTCTGACAATGCCTCCCTCTATCTGTTACTTGCAGCCAAACAGGAGCAAGCTTTAGAGTAGAACTGCCTTTTCTAGAGAGACACACATTTTCTAGAGAGACACACATGAAGAAAACAGAAAAGGAAGACCCAGTGTGCATTTATTTTATCCTTTTCTGAATTGGTAATGAGTTGGGCTATGTCCTTCTGGTTGACAAGAACAGGTGTGTCGAATGCAATATAGCTCCAGGACCTGATTTTTTAAAAAGACTTTGCCCTCACTCATGGTAATACAGTCTTTGCACCGGTTATTTACATTTTCCTTACTCACTTAGACATTAAAAATGCTGACAATATCTAGCTCAAAACTCATAAGCCTGTTTTGAATCTTAGTGTCTCCTTATACAGGAGATTATACGTAGTAATCAGACACTAAGCCTTTGGAATGAGACTGACTGGGTTTGAACCCTGCGTCTGCCACTTTTTACCTGTATGACTTAGATGATCATTTTTAAACTTCCAAGAATAATAATAGTACCTACCTTCTAGGGTTATCGAGAGGACCAAATGAAGCAATGAACATTGAACAATTGCACAGTGTTTGGCACACAATAAATACTCACTCCATGGTACTGCCATCGTTGTTATTTTTTAATAATAATAATTTTGTTAGTCAAGATTCTCTAGAGGGACAGAACCAACATGAGATGATAGATAGATAGATAGATAGATAGATAGATAGATAGATAGATAGATAGATATGAAAGGAGGTTTCATATGGGAATTGGCTCATGCAATTATGGAGGTTGAGAAGTTCCACAGTAACTTGTCTACAAGCTGGAGAACCAAGGAAGCCAGTGATGTGACTCAGTCTAAGTCCAAAGGCCTGAGAACCAGGGAAGCTGATGATAGCATAACCCTCAGTACAGGGCCAAAGGCCTAAGAATCTAGGCAGCTACTGATGCAAGTCCTGGAGTTCAAAGTCGTAAATCCTGGAGTACTGACGTGTAAGAAAAGGAGAAAAGGGGGGTCCCATCTCCAGTTCTATATAGGTCCTTAGCTTATTTCATTATTGAGGGCAGCTCTTCCTTGCTCAACCCATTGATTCAAATGTGAATCTCTTGGGAAATACCCTCATAGACCTACTCAAAAATGATGCTTTACCAGCTATCCGGGTGTCCCTTAATCAAGTCAAGCTGACACCTAAAATTAGCCATCACAATAACATACCTCTGAGTTATATTACCATTTATGAGTAGAAGGTGGTGGTTCACATGGTAGGGGGAGGGTAAAAGTTAAGCAATTAATAGTCGATAAAAAGATGAGCATCAGTTGCACCGTGAACACTAGTTTTTTTTTTAGCACATGCAGAAAGTACCAAAACCTAGAGCAGGTTTTACAATATAATAGCCTCAAAAGAACTGTATTAGTTCTCTAGGGCTGCTGTAACAAAGTAGCATACACTGGGTGGCTTAAACAACAAAAATTTATTCTCTCACAGTTCTAGAGGCTAAAAATCTGAAATTAAGGTGTCGATAGAATTGGTTCTTTCTGACAAATGTGAGGGAGAGTCTGTCCCATGCCTTCTCCTAGCTTTTGGTGGTTGCTGACAATCTTTGGCATTCCCTGGCTTGCAGATGCATCACCCCAATCTCCGTCTTCATCTTCAAATTGTGTTCTTCCTGTGTGCGTGTCTTTTTTTGTATCCAAATTTCTTCTTTTTATAAGGTCACTAATCATGTTGGATTGGGGCCCACCCTAATGATATCATTTTAACTTTACCATTTAAATCACCTTTGTAAAGCTCGTATTTTCAAATAAGCTCATATTATGAGATATCAGGTATTAGGGTTCCAACTTTTTTGGGGGGTGTGGTGGGACACAATTAACCCATAACAAAAACAGAGGGCAAAAATAAGAATTATATTTGAAATGTTTTGAAAAAGCATATGTTTTAATGGTTTTAATGGCATATGTTTTGGAATCACTCAAAAACGCAAAGGAAAATGCTTTAACTCTTAAGTATTACACTTGTGCCAAGATGGCATTATTATGGCAGTAAGAACATGCATCTCTTCCTAAAAGTAAGTCCCAGTGAGGTTTTACATAGGTCCTTCCTAGAGAAACATGAAGCCAAGGAATTCCAATACCCTGGCCAGCCCAAATGTCTATTAGATTGCCTCTTAACAAAACAATATTTGCTTATTCATTCAACAAATATTAATTAAGCACTTTGTGCTTAACCCCATATCAGACCTTACAAAGATATGGAGGAAATCTAAAATATGGTACACGCTGTATGGAGTGCTTTACCTGCTTGTGAATATGTGAATTATGTTCCTTGTTTTCTATGCCTTAAGAGTTGATGAGGCATGGTTCTAAGGATCCAGAATGTGTTCACTAAGGCTGATTTCCAGGAACCCATGCATGCTATTAAGGAGTGACATAAGGAGTGATCTTGCTCTGTCACCAAGGGTGGCATCATAGCTAGGTGTCAGGTGGAAATATGCCTGTTATATGCCATCTTTCATGTGAAACACAATTCAAATTTTCACCCAGTGTCATTCTAGGTTATAACCATTCTTCTGGATTAAGATTTGTCCAATAAGTATGGGCAATAAACCCCAATTCAATAAGTTTCAAACTAAATTCTCCACTAGATAAATGCCATGGAGAAATACACTGCAAAAGGCAGAGAACACAACTTCCCCACATGCAGAAGTGAAGCAAAGTTATCTGTGCATGATGCTAGAGGGGACAGCAGCTTTGGGTGACAGGTGGCATGCCTCTCTGCCAAGAAGAAGGCGTTGCTCCTGGCAGGTTTTTTTTTTTTTTTTCCTGAGGCATGTGACCTAAGTAGTGGCATTTCACAGCTGAGAAACCAGCTTGTGATATGCCTTTTGCTTCACTGAGAGGCGGGCCACATGTCCACAGAGGCTGCAACTCTAGCTGCAAAACATTGCAATAAGTTTGCCTGTATCCTTCTTAAAATCAAATATTTATGTTGCTCTGGAAATGTAAATGGACTGTATGATTAATGATGTTTTTCTAGACAAACAAAGAAGGTGGCTTCCTTGCAAAGGTGTCGCTTTCTAACACAAATGCTACAAGGAGGAAAAAAGAACCCGAAAAATGAGTGGGCAGGAAATGTTAAAAATAAATCCCTATTTATCAGTCTTTGGTAGAAATTTGCAAAAGAGGGTCTACTCTATTTTGACTAACATAGCAGATGGAAGACAAATTCAAACTCTGACATTCTCAGCACTCTGACATCTGGGTCCGCTTTTCCAACCAGCTCCACAACTCTCCTGTAACTACCTTCTGCTCCAGATGAATTAAACCACTCACCATTCTCTGCATACCTGTTAGCACCTTACTCAGATCCCTGATTTACATGATTTTATTGATGTGAGATTATTTTTCCATATAGCTCTGCATTTGTAACACTAGCTATCATGTAAGACCCAGTTTTAATGCCTCTTATTTCAAATACCTACCCAATATCCCTACTGGAAGTAACCTGTCCCTCCCTTGGACCTCACACCCTCTCACAATGATGTGGCAATAATCCTTTCTCTAGCCCTCCATCTGGACTAAAAACAATGGTAAGAACTGCAGGGTACCCATAAAATTTGGAAACATAAAAAATATTATTTTACTGTACTGTAATAAAATATCTGGATAATTTTTTACATATATTTGCTTATGTTACCAAACTTTATTGGCCTCTGCACACCTGGATTCATTTTTAATATCTGATGCCTGGTGCACTGCCTAATAATTAGTAGAGCAGTTTTTATAAAATAAATTGACTAACTTGCTGGCTTACTGATATAAATATGAGGGTTACCCTTCAAGCCCACCTACAAAGAGTAAGGGTGGAAGAAAATCAGACAGTAGGCAGAGCATATGAAGAAATTAATGTCAATGATCAGGAGATCCTTCAGAGGCTGTAGAGAGAAAAAGCTGGGCTACAATGATAGTCATGCATCATGCATCTTGTAGTAACTAGCTGTGTGTAACCCCACATCTAAGCTTTCTTTTCAAATCAAGGACTTAGATACTCTCTTTTAGCATATAATCTATCATTTTAAATAAATGCTGAGTAATAGTGGTTGTTTATAACTTTCTGGTAAATGTAGAGGCTAGGAGGAATTATTAATAATAAAAATGAGAAAATAACAATACAAGCTATAGTAGAATATAATGCAGCTAATTGTATGTATATAAAAGTATACAGTTTCCAAAGTACTTCCACATCAACTATTTGGGTCTCACAGGAAGCGTGTAAGAAAGGCAAAGGCAAGACAGACTCTTTACAGATGAGAAGACAGATGGACTTAAAGCAGTTTCCTGGCTTGTCCAGAGTCATGGAGGTTGTTCTCAGAGGACGTGAGATCAAATCCAGGTCCTCCTACTCAGTACACCTCTTGCTGCCCACGGGCGCTAAAGTGTAAAAGGAAGAGAGGGTACTAGATACCAGTATTCATATAAAGAGAGTGATTGAGAAAAATATAACATCTGTGAGCTTTAATTGCCAGTAAATGTAATGATTTTTCCTTCAATGATTAAAAAGGGAAAAAGGGAAGAGTGATAATAAGTAGAGTCTACCCACAAAACATGCAATTAATTTGATTTTTTTTTTTTTTTTTTTTTTTTTTTTGCTGTATTCCACTTTGGTGAGAAAGAAGCAAAAGAAAAATAATCTACAACAAATTTAGTAAAAACCAAAGACTTCTAATGTTGCTGGTTCTTGGAAGTTGAATAAATAATCGATCATCTTGTTTCATTTACATTTACATTTACAGTACTAGGCACTAAGAATTGATGTGAAGCCCTGTAAGCTCTTAAATCATCAAACCCCTTACTAAGGCAGAAAAGGCATTTGAAACAAAAGCCTTCCATACTTAATTCAATTGAACAAATGTGTACCAAGTGTCTACAGTGTCCGAATCCCTACTTTAATTGCTGAAAAAATATCAGTGAATGAAACAAAACTAAGATCTTACTTTCCAGCAGTTTATATTCCACCAGGACAGATACTTTTTGGGGGCAAAGTATTCTAGCGGGAGAAGGCATTGATGTAACCAGAAATTTGATTAACTACAATGCTACATTCAGTAATTATTCAGGTTAGCTAATGCATATTTTTAAAATCATTAAATGTAAGAAATGAATAGATAAATATCTTTTCTATAATTTTTTAAATTTGCACATTTTAAAATCCATTTTCTGCCTATGTGAGAATCAAACAACATTTCTCTTAAACATATATAAACGATTTTGCAGGAAATAATTCATAAATGTATGGGAAAGCATCTACAATACACTGTCATAAGAAGTAAATTATGAGAAGGGGCTTCCAGAGGTTCTGTCCATATTGCGGTCCAGAAATCAGCAGCATCAATACCACCTGAGAGCCTGTAGAGACAGACGCTCAGGCCCACCCCAGATCTACTAAGTCAGAATCTGTAATTGAAGCTCCCCAGGTGATTTGTATGAACAATAAGGTTTAAGACTCCTTGACTGCATTCCTCTGTACCAAGGAGAGCCTAAAATAACCTTGTAAAAGGCAGAATATAAGCACTTCAAAAAATTAATCACTCACTCGATTTTTTTTCATTTTTAAGAGGCAGTTTCTTTTCAAGTAAGATTTTACTTTTAAAATGGCATATCAAAGATATTTCATACTAAACTTTCCTTTAGCATGTACTGACATAGACCAAAAAAATGAATTTGCCTTTTCATGGTTTCAAATTTGGTGCTTCTAGCCAAAGATTAATTTATCCCTCACATGTATCAACACACAGTACCTCCCTCTATTCTCTGTGATTGAATCACCACCTTATTAACAGGTTTAAGAGACATAGGGTGTCTTCCATTTTCTCATCCTATATCAAGCTCGGTTTCCCAAGTTACATCATGTTGCCCTTAAGGCAAACAAGAATGAAGTAGAAGACAGCATCATAGGTACTGAGCCTACCTAGAACATTCAACAAAACTGGCTGCCAGACTACAAGTAATTATGGCCAGGGAAGTGCATGAGAACACCAGGAGAAGTTAGAAGATGGGTAAAAGCAAGCTTCCTCTCCATTTCTCACTGAGCAGTCACTTTACAAACAGACTCGCCTTTCCCAGATTTTATTTATTTTTATTATAAACATGAGAAAAGGGGAAAACAGGAAGGGAGACTGTTATAAATCCACAGAGGCACCCATATCGAGGTTGAACATGGAAGAAAGACAGAATGTTTCAGCCACACATATGCCCTGTCAAAAAGGGACAAAATGTCCAAACACAGCCTCATGGCAGGTCCCAGAATGCACTAAGAAGGAAATGGCAGGAACAGGTGAGCATCTGAGCCAAGAAAGGAATTTCAAATAATCTGAAAAAGTATGATTCTCTTCTGTTATGTGATCAACACTCAAGGATTCTTCTGTACACACTAGATCTTCTCATCTTTAGCGTATTAAACTATGAGTGTAAGATACCTCCAGTTTCCACAGTTTAAAAAAAAACTTTCCACCTGTCATTACCATCTGCTTCATAGCATACAGAAATTCTGGTTGAGATATACACCTACGAGGAGGTCACTTCCCTTTATATATATATATATATATATATATATATCACCTGACTCTTTCCAAAAATAGAGTTGAGATATTTTACAATTATAAAAAAGTATAAATTAATGCCATTGAAGTAAGGTGGAAGAAGCTAGTATCTATGCACATAAGCTAGAATATATTCTGTGATTGAGCATTAATTTTAGTTTTGAGCTTCCTGGTAGGCAAGAGATAAACAGAAAATGCAATGTTCTCATTACCAATTAAGATGAAACATGTTAGCTCTTTAAGAGAAACAAATACTATCATAACATTTAAATCTAAAAATAATATGTTTCTGATGAATTTATACAAGTTGCATTAAGCAGCACAGGCAATATCTTCAACAAAAAATAGATGAAAATGATAAGCATTGTCTAAATTTTTAATCCCTGTTCTGACCTTTAAGAAATGAAAAAGTAAAATATTAACATGTTACTTAGAAAAGGCAATTCTTCAGGAAGACTAAACAAAGTCAAGTATGTAATATTCTGGAAACCTAATTTTTTTTAGACAAGGTCTCACTCTGTTGGCCAGGCTGAAACACAATGGAATGCATCATTGCTCACTGCAACCTCAAACTCTTGGGCTCAAGTAATCCTCTTTCCTTAGCCTCCACCTACAGGTGCCTCCTACAGGTGCACGCCACCATGCACGGTTATTTTTTAATTTTTTTTTTAGAGATGGGGTCTTGCTATATTGCTCAGGCTGGCCTCAAATTCCTAGCCTCAAGCCTCCCACCTTAGCTTTCCAAAGTGCTGCTATTATATGCATGAGCCACTGTGGGTGGCCCCTGGAAACCTATTTTCATACAGAGAGGTTGGTAATGATCTCCCAGATGACACTGTTAAATATCAGTTCTCTTATCTGGCCCTTTGAGAGGATCTGGATAAAGGATAATTCTTGGCTCTGATCTCTGATGGGCACCTAGTAGCCTTTGTAGTAAATTAAAGAAAGATTTTGGTGTTTTTGGACATTGGGCCAGTAGGTGGCCAAGTTAATTAACTGCTATGAAAGCTGAGACTTCTTGCTTGTAACTGAGGGCTGTACAATAGTGAAGAGAATGTCAAAATAGTATGAACTAACACTACTAGGAATATGTGGTTTCTCATCTCAATTGGCTCCTCTAAAAATATGCTCTATTTGTATTTGACCTGTTTCTTCTCTCTTTCCATTTCCCTCATTGAATAATTCAGAAAATAAAGGCTACCAAATGTTGTTTTCAAATACTCTTTTCTCCTCTTTCCCGAACTTCACTACATCACCACGCAGAGAAAAGGCTTCTGTTCAAGGCTAGCCCTGCCACAGCTTTGTCGTGGCTCCTCAGCAACCTTGCTTGATCAATTATCTTCAAATTTTCCTTTTCTACTCACTCTTTTTCATCAGCCTTTAAAACTGCTTAATTTTTTCCCCTCCTAAAGGATTATTTTACTTAGAAGTACATCTCTCTGTAGTTATCATTGGATCTCTCATCTCCCTTTCTCAGGAACAAGGATGCATATTAGCAGCCTCCACTTCCTCCTGGCTTCTGCCCTTCCAATTGATTTATAAACTGACACACTACTGGAAAGACAGAGCTAGGAGGAAGTGGAGGCTACTTGCTATGGTCTGAACGTCCCCCAAAATCCATGTGTTGAAATTTAATCCCCATTGTGGTGGTATTAAAAGATAGAGACTTTTGAATTTGATTGAGTCATTGAGGGCCCTGCACTCAAAAATGGATTAGTGCCTTCTAAAACAACTGGAGAGAACTAGCTTAAGCCTCCTTTGCCCTTTTGTTCCTTCCACCATGAAGACACAGAGTTCATTTCTCTGGAGGATGCAGTAACAAGACACCATCTTGGAAGCAGACAGCAGCCCTCACCAGACACCAAACTTGTGGTGCCTTGATCTTGGACATGCCAGTTTCTCCAAAACTGTGAGAGAATAAATTTCTATTATTTATAAGCTACTCCGTCTATGGGTATGACATCACCAAAATGGTGGAGTAGAAGAAATATGCCTTCCATCTTCCTCACAGAAAACCAAAAACAACTATCTAGTGTCAAGATTATCATCACCAATAACCCAGAATTCGAAGCTGAGGCTGTGAAGATCCTTGAAGCCACAGAGAAGTGAAAAATTGTGAGCAGAAGACAAAGGAGATACCGAGTCAGAGAGGAGGTTCAGCAGCACCACATTGTAGGAGGCACATTCATGAGTCTTCTGGGCATAAACTCCTAGTCAGCCTCCCAAACAGCAGAGAAATTCTCTTGGAGACCCCTCTCCCCAATCCAGAATGGGCAGTGCTTCCAACTTGTGTGAGAGCTGTGGGAAACCTGGGCCTAGGGCACCATCTAGTGCCAAAATAAAGGCAGCTGTCTAGGGCTAAGGGGACTCAACAGGCAACCAGCATAGAACCTGTAAATACACATCACTAGACAGACCACACCAACACAGGGAATGAAGACTGGGATAAATAACTAACCTTTCAATAAGACACAGATATCCATTCATAAAAAACACCAGCAAACAGGGAGCCATAACCTTCCCAAATGGGTAAAGCAAGGAGCAGTGGCTGACTCCAATGAGATGGCAATATGTGAGCTCTCAGGTCAATAATCCGAAATAAGAATTCTAAAGAAACTCAGTGAACTCCAAGATAACACATAAAAGCAATTTATAAAGTTATCAGAGAAATTTAACAAAGAGATTGAAATAATTAATTTACAAAGTTAAACAGAAATTTTGGAGTGAGAAATACTTTAGTTGAATCAAAAAAAATGCATCAGAGGGTTAAAACAGCAGAACTGATGAAGCAGAGGAAAGAATTTATGAGCTTGAAGACAGGTTATTTGAAAATACATTCAGAGGAGAAAAAAGAAAAAAAAAGAAAAGGAATAAAGAATGCCTCTGAAATCCAGAAAATAGCCTCAAAAAGGCAAATCTAAGAGTCATTGGCCTTCAAGAAGGAGTTGAGAAAGGGCAAGTGGTAGAAAGATCACATAAAGAAATAATACAAGAAAACTCCCCAACCCTAGAGAAAATATAAATCTCTAGGTACAAGAAGGGTAGAGAACACCACACAGATTTCACCCAAATAAGACTACCCCAAGGCATATAATAATGAAACTTTCAAAAGTTGATAATCCCAAAAGGAGCAAGAGAAAGGAAAACAACATATATGAGCTCCAATTTGTTTGGCAACAGACTTCTTAGTGGAAACCACAGGCCAGGAGGGAGCAGGATGACAAAGCACTGAAGAAAAGAAATTGTCAACTGAGAATACTGTACCCAGCAAAGCTAACTTTCAAACATAAAAAAGAGATAAATACTTTCCCAGGCAAACAAAAACTGAGGGAATTCATCACCCCCAGACCTTTCTTAGAAGAAATGCTAAAGGGAGTTCTTCAATCTGAAAGAAAAGGACACTAACATGCAATAAGAACATCATCCGAAGGCATAAAATTCACAGGTAAAAGTATAAAAATTCAGAACATTCTAACACTGTTGTTGTGGCATATAAATTACACAGTCTCATGTATCGCTACTAGTACAGAACACTGTTTCTATAGTTCTTCCTCTTTTACCCATCAGCTTTCTTTGTCACTGTTCTATTATCAAAACTGTCTCCTCCATTGGCTTTCATAACATGAGGTTCTTCCTGTTTCTTTTTCTACTTTTTAAACTGTCCTTTTTCCCTTTTCTGTAGACTCTTTCTCATTTCACATGCCTTAAAGTACTGCCCTTGACCATCTTTTTGTGTTTTATATCTTACCCCCTTGGCAATCCCATCAATTTTCATGGTTTTAACCAGATATTTTCTGACAAATTTCAAATATAACTCTCTTTCCAGATCGGTGGCCTATGGGATCCCTTGACTTTATTGTCCAATGGATACCACAAACTCAAACAGCCTAAACTAATTTTTTCCCAGTCTGCGATTTCTCTTTATTCCCTATTTATTCCTACAAAATAGACCTGCGGCTTATTCTAGACTTCTCTTTTTCCTTGATTCTCATAACCAATCATTCACTAAACACTAACCTCCCTGCTACATAGAAAGTCAAATTCATTCTCCTCTATCCTTTTCCATTGACACTTTCTTTAGTAAAACTCTAATCATCTCTTGACAAAATTAATTAATTGAACTGGCCTTTCCTTCTCCACTTCCCTCAACCATCAATGGCCTTCAGATTTGTCTCCTAATTTCCAATTTGACTCCTTTTCTTAATCTGTCTTCTCCAAAGCTTTCCAGATGCCCTTTCCAAAATATAATCTGATCTTGATTTCTTCCTGCATAAAATTCTTCACTGGCTCACCATGTTTCCAAGAGTCTAATTTTCTTGGCTTGATAAGTATGTCCCATCATGACCTAGGCTCTTTCTCTCTTTTCAGTTTGGTCTTCCCCACTCATTTTCCCAGGACATATACTTTAGAGTTAATGATATTCTTAGAGGTCCCTGAGCATATTTTGCTTTCTATGTCAGTGCTTTTACTGAATTTACTCCTTTGTTTCCTCGGATATAGTGAACTTCAGATGTCACCTTTTCTGGGGACCTTCTATGAGCTTTCCCTCACTGCTTCCCTGGACCAGAGGGAGCTAATCACAGTTCTCTCTGTTGTCTCTCTACCTCATGCCTACTCCTATGGTTGCACTTAGCAAAACTGAATAGTAATCACCATGTGGTGAACTTCTTAAAAGGAAGACTATAATTCCACTATCTCTACTCCTCAATGACTATAGCATTGGTCAAACCAAAGAATGTGCTACAAAACATAAAAATTGAGATAGGAATCTGGACATGACTTCTTCTCTGCCAGTAGAGTAGTACCTGTTAACCAAAACCTGAAAATAACAAATAATGTATTTATTTATCGAAAAAAAAGGATATTGAATTTCTTTATTATAAGCTGTTTCCACTATTTCAATATCCTGATATAACCTTTTAAAATCTTTCATAAAGTTTTTTTCTCTTGAACATACTATCAGCAATTTGTTTATTGATTTTTTTGTTCTACCTTTTATAACAAACAAATTATAAAATGTGTTATAGCACCACAGAGAACAGAGGAAACTGTCTCTGATTGTTTAACAATAGCTGTGGAATATGCTGTCCAATCAAAAGATTTGCATTGAGGGCCACATGCTGTGAGTGCAATTTTTATAAAGGGAGAGAATGAGAAGTTGAATATGCGCCACTCAGTGTTAGTAAATCAGCATTTTCCCTCTTTATTTTCACATCTCCACCACAGAACTTCCCTGTATTTACTTCACACAGGCTCATCTAAGCTAAGGGCATCTTCCTAATTAAGGTTAGAATAGCATGACAACAATAATGACATCTTACATCTATTACATCTACCTAGCCCTATATGGAGCACTGTTGCATCTTATCTGTATAATAAACTTAGGGGACTGTTTTCTGTATACTTCACCCTGATAGCTCTCTAAGCATGCCTAATTCTATTAATCCCTTGAGTCAATCCTATTCCAGATCTCTGGATTTCAACTCTAGCCACCCTTCTCTAATTTTCTCATCCTTATCCACTCCATACCACTTCTAGTTACTTGTGGTAGAGATGGTGTCACAGAGATGTCTGACCATGTGTCATCTCCCACTGTTAACCACAACCCTCATAGAGAAGGCATCCTTTCTTCTTTCATTTTAACAAGGTGTTTAATTCTGGTCTTATTTTACATTTCTGCCCTGAAGGAGCTGGAGAAAAAAAAATGGTTAATTCATAATCTCCTGAAATAGAGCTTCATGTGGAGCAGTCACTCTACATTGAAAGTTTATTTTCTCTGCGAAAGGACTTTTATTACAAGATGATAACAAGCACAAATATGGAGGTAGAGTTGCTCAGATGCAGAAGGGAAACCAGATCAGCTGAGAAAATGGCTTTATTCAGACCTTCCAGAGAAATGTGGAGAGCAGGTGAGGTGGGAGCAAAAGAAGTTGAAGAAAAGGAGAGGCTTCTATTTTTCAGTGACTTTCTCATGTTTAAAAATTTATAAATAAAATAGTTATTGGCAAGGCCAGGGTACCAGATTGTGGTCAGGGTAAGTGGGTTGCTAAAGAGAAGGCAAGGAACACAGAGCTGAGATCAATGAGCTATGAGGATAGGTATTGGTGGGACAAACACATGAATGTTGGAGTCATCCAAAACTAAGGTAAGAGCTGACATTAAGAGGAAGACTAACAGCAGAGTGAGTTTTCAGAAGAGGAATCTCCTAGAAGCTGCTAAATGACAGCAGCAAAGTTGGAAAGACACAGTTGAGCTAAATAGTATGGACCTCACATGAGAGGCGTGCATGAGGGTTAAAAAGGAAAGAAAGAAAGAAAGAAAACTTTGGCTTGAGAAAGTATCTAAAACAAAGCTAAATTAGTCCTAGCTTTGCTGCTGATGAATTTTATGATCTTGAGCAAGTCATTTTGTTTTATTTTTCTGGGCTTTTGTTTTCTCATTTGTAACAAGAAAGTTTCCTAAAGTCTATAGTAGATGCTACACCTTTATCTTAATCATGAATTTCATTTTAATCTTATATTACTAGGTTTAGGGTCGAAAATCTGTATCCAATTAACTGGCTTCTTGGACTTGCTTAATATTCATCAGCTGAGAAGAAGTCATCGCTTTGGTGGCAGTTTAAGAAAAACAACTGAAATGTATTTATGGGTACCATCTTCTTGTTCTTTGAAAAGCTGCTGTGAGGAATATAACATGGTAGTGATTATAATTCCCATTTTACAAATGAAACTGAGATGTGCATGCATACAGTATTTCCCATATGTTTTGTGCATTTTTCAAAACAGTAATTAAACATTTTCTTTTTAACCCATGAGCCTATAACTGTCTATATATTTACATGTCTCTTCCAACAAATATTAGTAGTAATAATAGTTATTATTATTGATTTTTATTACTTTATGTGTTACTAGCACCAAGAAAAATATGTGATGCATAATAGTCACGTGTTTATTTATAAATGTCTTTATTAGAAGGCAAATTAGTTACTAGGTAATCAAAGAATTTCTGCCTATCAAAATCCTGTGCTTCTACTACAAATTAAGGCTTTTACCTGGATATTTAGATAATTGCCTTGAATATTTAATTTGTTGGCTATGAAATAAATAAAATAGATAATCCTAAAATTGATAATTGGAGATTTCTGAGAAGCAATTCTCTTCATAAAAACATTAATGTTCTATTTGGTACTACAATGCCTTAAGTTTAAGAGAGTAAAGCTTTCTGGAATACAGAAGGTAATTAAAATTATAATTTCTCATGTAAGTTAAGATTTTAAATGTTGTAGACATTCATAGAGAACAATTAAACAGGAAAAAGTAGCAAATATTTCTATATAATTTTAGAATCTAATGATAACTCTCTGTTGCATAAGACAGTGACATTTTGACAAGGCTTTATGCCTTGTCTTGACTCTGGTTTTCAACTACAGCTTCTCTGAAAATTGACAACTTTCTCCTACTGACATGCTGTTTCCAACATATATCAGAACAGCATGTGCCATGAGTTTTTTTAGTGGTTGTAGGTGTTCACCAAACTATTCTTTTCTGGATGTGGTTCCCCAGCCCTCTGTGTTCTTAAAAAAGTGTATGCCGAAAACACGACTTTTGATAAGTCTCTTTGTGAACCCATCACTCCAGTCACTGCCCAGTTACTGAAAATCCACAAAGCAGTTATTGTATATTAGCTCCCTATATCATAAGGGCAAAAATTTTAATACTTGTAGAAGGATGGCTACTGCCAAGCCACACGGTAGAAACATAAAATGGAAGCTGCCATCACCACCTACCCTATGAAGGACAGCTTCTTATAAAATTTGCAGCAAGATAAACGTAGTCACAGGGTGATTGTGTGGCAAAGGAATCACAAAGAGTTCAAGTTTACTCAAAATAATGAAAGTGTCATTTTTTTCGTCTTTGGATTTCACTCTAATTCTATGCACATAATAGCTGTTTGCTAAATACTGATTAATGACTTTAAAAATGAGTTTAATAAATCCAGCCAAGATATAAAAGAAAAAATAAAGATAAAAATTTTTAAGTATGGCAATTTGTGGCCATTTTGAGTAATAATAAATGGCCTTATATTTTTTTAACAGGCTCCAAGATTACCACCATATTCCAGCGCAAGGTAAAAATTTATGTTCACGATAACTTGGTATATTCAAGGAAAATGTCCATTAAATTGAGCACTGTCTTTAAAAGAAGTTAGGGGACCTTACAGTAGTGTTTGCAAAGATCACCTCATAAAATGTTTTAAATGTAAATGTTGGTGTTTAAAGAGACCAACTCTCAAGTATAAAGTAGACAGCTAGAGAATCAAGGTTATGGATAAACAAGGTTTTACTTGGATATGAACACTTGTTAAAAAATTACAAATAAAGTATCTCGTAACAATATCTGGCTTTTCTTTCGTCCACTCACCAACTTTTGCCAATAATATATGTTCTCTTGGCCAAAGTTCACATGTCTAACTGTGCTTGGATGTATCTTTCTTGAAACCAAAACTCTTTGTCACATGCTTCAAGATTCTCCATTACTTGTCCTTCATGTCTATAAAGACTGATGTAATCACAGAATATTAGGACTTACTTCTGTTTTTATTATTAGTTCTTACCCCAGACTCTTTCCTCCAGATAAGCAAATCTGTTTTTTTCACACCATTACAGTACTTTCAATACTGTCTCTTTTACAAATGCTATGTTTCCAAACAAAACTCTAACCAAAATTCCCTTTTCTCCAGGTTTTCTCTAGATAATTGCACCACTAATACATTCTTTCAGTTCCCTACAATTGAATAAACTCATGTTTATAAATGTCTATACTGTGATTGCTTTTACTTACTTTACATGTATTTAAACTGCACTCCCCTTAAAGTAAAAACTACTTAGTAACCGAAATTAAGTCTTCAAAATTGTTATTTAAAGTTTTTATGCAGTAAATCTTTACTTAAAGTCATCTGTTGTGATGACTTTTCATTTAAACTACATATAGCCATTTATACATTTGCAAGGTAGTATAGTAAGAGGAGGAAAAGCACTGTATAGAAGAAATTCATAATAGGCTGAGTGAACACCAGAATTAGCCAGGTAGTTTGCTCGTGAAAGGGTTTGAGACTTTACTTTCGACCCTTATCTTATTCAGGTTTTAACGTATATGGTTAAATCCTGGAGACACAAAGCTGGAATACTAAGATAAATTAAACAATCAAAATCCCAGAACTTACTGATGTTAGAAAGGCAGATTGAAGCTAATAATTTTACATTTAAAGGGAAAAAATTCAAGTCCTCCTCTTGAATCTAATGGTAACAGTAACAAAATTAATAACTGTTCAAGCATAAAAGGAAGGAGATATGGATTAATAGCAGCACTTCTGAAAAGACCTTGGGATGTTAATTGATGTAAGATCTACTCTAGTCAGCTATGATGGTAAGGGAAGTAAAAAATGAAATGCATGAGTGAAGGAACTGGAGAGCTACACTACAAAAGAGAGATTATTCATTGATGATAAATGTCACATGGAAAAGAAGCTTGAATGTTTTGGATGACTCCTAGTCTTCAATGAAGGATTGGTGGAAACTTCAAGAAATCTGTTTTAGGTCATTACATAGAAGAACTGACTAAAAGTCAGGTGAAATTCTGCTCTCAATTTAACTCCGATATACTCCTACTCTAATTAGAAACCCTAATCACAATTAGAAAGCTTTGAGCGTGGGCAAGCACGTAATGTGATGTTCTAAGCATCTTTTATTAGTTGGCCTGAATAACCTTTCAAAACACTCCTATTTCTTACTATATGATAAAATGAGCAATGTATTAAGATAATTTCCTTTGAAGTAGGTTGCAATCAAGACAAGAAAGATATATAGAAAGTTACTGGTACATAGATAGGAAATATGATATTTAGTAGATATAAAATTATTACAGGTAATTGCATTAATCAAAGTATGTATTTATGACTTAGGAGGACTTTTTTCTGATGTCATTAGACTTTTTAATTGTTTTATATCAAATAAAAAAGTACTTAAAAAGGAAAAAATCAGATTTTGGAAAGAAGCTCAAAAAGGCCAATTTTATATAAAATGTAAGCAAATGTCAAAAAAATGTCACACCAAGATCAAAATCTAACTGGAAAGAAAAGTTTACCTTAAAGTGGATATTTTAATAAGGGAAGCAGCATCACTAAATTCATTATTATATCAATACTTATCTAAGTAACTGAGACAAAATACTAGAAGAAAGGCTTAAGATAAATAAATAAATACATAAAAGTAATGAATGAAAATTTATCCACTCAAAAAAAATTCTTGTAGCTACATACTCAAAGAACATTTTTATTGGACTTGTTCAATGCTTTGAATTTTATTAACTACAGTTATTTTTAAGTACTGTTTTCAAAAATCATTTGAAATAATAAATTTGTTTTTTTGACGGGGAATCTGTATTTTATCAGAAGAACAAAATATAGTGTCCTTGGCTGAGATATTCTTATCAGTGGTAGGCTATTTCTCTACTATATACTTAGCATATTTAAAGACTCACATTCCAGGTAGGCAGCTTGCTCCAAAGTGCATTCAAACTTTATTTGTGGATAAGGCTCCATTACTCCAATATCCTGCCTCCCCCTTGACAGGCTCATCTTAACATTTGCCTCCAGAGCTAATCATGAACAATTTCTGGAGAGTCTATTGCATTGCAGGTAACTTTATGTGTACTGATTTTCTTTCATTTTATGTAAATTGATAATTGTCATGTATCAAGTGTGGTACAAATAATATGATATAAGATTGAAAAGAATGTAAGAGAATATAAAAACTAAATTGTAACTGGTTAAAACACAAAACAAAACAGAAAATATCTGCAAGTTTAGCTTCAATATAAAAAAAAGTAATATAAAAACAACTGTACCATTCAAAAACAATATGATTTCAAGATAATCTCACAATTAACTACAGAAATGAAGGTACACTAGTCCAGTCACTTAGTGCTTTTGGTATTAACTATTCTTGGTTAACTTCTAATACAAGAAACGATGATAATGAATTGACTAGGGAATGGCTGATTTGGAAAGGAGAGATGAAGGTCACGAGAGGCCCCAGAATTTCTAAGCCCTAAGTTGCCAATATCCAGACAAACTGGCTTCCTTGCTGAATAGTGCTCAGACGACAGAGACAACCCTGATATGTGGTCTTCTCTGCTATTTGACAGGGAACTGTCACCAATAAGCGACCCCATCAGTCTGAAAGCAGTAAAATTACTAAATGATCCAAGGAAGTGCCTGTAGGCCAGTACACTATGGGGCCCTGAAAAGCAGGAGGGCAAAACCTCAGGAAAAATGAATCTTCAGTGGGACCTTACACAAAATTCCTTTCCAGATAGAAGGAAAGAAATGCAATTTAGTTTTTACAGATGTTACGTTTAATAAGAGAAGTAACTAATTCCCTTTGAGAAGAAACAAGGTATTATATATGAATGGCAAGGTGAATGGTGTAACTGCTTGGTAATAAAATAAACCCCACATATTTCTATGATGCTGTTCTGTGAACACAATGTAGTCTGGAATCAATTACTATAATAGTACGGAGACATTGTCTTTGCCATACAACACCAATCAGAAGGCAGAAAGGAAACATAGTAATCCAAACTAACACATGGGCAAAATTATAATATTAGTCCTTTCGCAGCAAAATTAGTGAAAACATGTTCAATTCATTTTCCAAAAACATAATTCTACTCCTCAGAAAGCAACCCACTATTAGCCACCTCTCACCAAATAAAACAATCTTATAATGAAATATGGAAAATAAAACCACTGTTTAAAAATAATGAAGCATTACTTCTTCCTGAAGAAAGAATTTATACTTCCAATATTAATAATCAATTATCTAGCTCAATGGGGGAAATATTATTAAATATTTAAATAAATCACATTCAATCTAGATTTTGCCATTCTCTTTGCCATCATCTTTGGATCTATCCAATGATGATATTTAACACATTTTAACTTGCTCTTTCAGGATGTTTCATTTAAGCAAGCACTAAAGAAACTATGCTAAACATTAACATGTAGTAAAGTTAAATATTAAAATATAAGGAATTAATACTTTGAGTCTTAAAAAAGTAATGAATTTTTGTTCAAAAAGAGATACGCAGTTCATGATTAAAAATCAAGCTTCAGAAGCATAAGTCAGTTATTATAAAGTTATAATATCACAGCAGATAGTTTTTTCCAAAAGCAAAATCTGAAATTATAATGTGTAATCCTATATCATTTATGTTTGTTCTGAAAATTCTGTTCCCTTTATAAAGTATATGTTTTCAATAATGATAACCATATAATCACTTCACTATGGATGCTGTCAATTTCTATAATCAGACCTCACGCCAGTAACTGAATATTATGGAAATATTAAAAAAACATGGAGCCATGCCTATGGCTTCTTGAAAGTCATTTGAGTTGAAGAAATATGAATACAGAAATACCAGCAAGATTGTCTTCTTCTGCCAGCTTATACATGTGAATTGTCCTAGATGTTAATTTATAACCAGGGCTTCAGCTTTTTCATAAACCTACTGGGGGACTTAAGAGTAGCTGAGCTCAGAAATCCCCTTTTATTAAAAAATGTATATAACCTAAGGTGAAGAGAGTCTAGAAAATCTTTATATAAAAAATTTTTGAAAATTCACATCCATAAGTCTCTGGAAAAATCAAAGCTTTTAACCTTAGGTTAATCTATTGCATTTTAGAAAGACATTATAAACCTAATATCTGCTATCCATTCATTAGTATTTTATAACTGATCTAACTTTAATTCTAATATGTAAGTTCATTGTGTTAGAAGAAAAAAGACTAGAAACCAAAACTCAAATCCAAGTGGTCACCAGTGTTATTTCTCATAAAACAAGATAATTCTTGGGGGAGTGAGGGAATCTGGATGATTTTAGCCTATAAAGTAAGAAGAAAATACATTATTTAAATTACTTACTTTTTCTTTGTAACTAAGGTACTCCAGAAGTAAAAATATAAGTTTCTGATATACTGAGGGAGATGACTGCATTAATCCTACATTCACAGGAAAGTTTTGGATATGTAAGAAGGGGTACAAGAGGACAAAGAAAATCTTCAACTGTTAAAGAAAGATAAAGCTTTGAAGTCCTATTTGTGGAATAGTAACTTCTTTTTGCCAATCACTCACACTGAATTAACTCATTACACCTGGAAAGTCATAGCCAGTCACTGAAGGGCAATATAACACCTTGGACAAATAAGCCTTCCAAACGCAAACTCAAAATATGAGGGCAAACAAGTATTCAAGTCAAATCTACTGCTGGACACTTTGCATGGAAAGTTTGATACCCTTTCAGCTCCTATTATCCTCAGATATTCTATGGGGTACAATTTTCCTACACTATAATTGTAAGGAAATGAGGATAAAAGGCAATGCCTGGGTGGGCAGTACTGAGAAGGGTAAACTCCGTTCCCCACAGTGCTAGAAATAAACAGGAACAATACTATGATCCCAGGAGCACATCATGCATTGCCCTGACTTTCTCAGTACCCTTCTTTCCCAAATATAATGCCTACCTTCCGTGTGGACTGCAGAGACATAGGTCCAATTGTAACGTTTGACTATGTCAAGCATGGCCCTTGCCTGCAAAGTGTCAGAAGGGACAACCCTCAGGAAGTATTTGTACAAAGTTTTGTCACTCAGGTCGATGCTTGTGGCTGAATAAGCGATCTGGGGGATGTCGAAGAGCTGGAGCAGGTTCTGCACTTGAATGGCTACAGAGCTGGAGCCGGGACCGATCACTCCCGCAATGGGCTTCTTAGTCCTGCCTGGGGGGAGGGACTGGCCGTCAGGCAGACACCGGTTGATCCCATCCTTCTCATCTCGAATGGAAATCAGAGAGTCCCTAATGAACTCAATGCTCTGTTCCAGAGCCACGGAAGAGTGCCAGCAGGAGTCCCGGATCTCACTGCCCAGGGTGATGTTGGGCAGGAGGACCGGGTCCGCGTTGATCTTATCCAACGTGTGGAACATGGCCTCCACCCTCTGGATGCCATACTGCTCCCTGATCTCCCCACACTTCCTCTCGGGCACTTTCTCGGCCGGAGGCTGGTGATGGACTGAGAAGAGGGCTCCAATGATGACATCTCCGTCCATTCTGGCCACCGAGCGCTGAGACGACGCTCCTGCCAGCAACACTTTCCTGCCGGGGCTTCTGGGGAGAAGGGACACCTCCAAAAAGATCGCTGGGAAAAAAAACAAAAGGAGCCCGACCATGGTGGTGAGGACGAGGTCCACAGCCTGCCAGCCGCGTTCCCACGCTGGTCCCGCTGCAGGCTCCCGGCGCGCACCCCCAAGACGCCCAGCGCCGCCTCTCCCGGAGTGGTGCCCCTCGCCAACAATGGTCGTCCAAGGCCTTTGCCTCCTCCACCACCGCCTCCTTCCCCTTCGTCTCCTCCTCTGGGTCCTCCACGACCGCCTCTACAAGCTGGAGGCGTTTGTAAGGGAATTCGAGTCCCCGTTCTTCACCGGTAGTGCATCAAGGTAAATTGATCAAGAGTACAGTGGAAGTCGTGTTGGCAGCGGTGAGCTAGATGCTGCTGACAAAAGACAGAGAAAAATCACAACCTTGTCATCAGAGGACCTGTGTTAAAACTCTGGGGTCTATAATGTTAACAGTTGCCTTGTCCGTTTCATTTCGGCACATCCTGATATCGGCTGCAGGAACAGCTTGGAGCGCAGCTGTGGTCACTGAGGAAGGCGGGGTGTCCTGCCCCCTCTGTCCTCACGGGTCCAGGCGGCGCAGAGCCCCGCCAACTCGCCCGCTCCTCCAACCTTAAGTCGTTTCCTGGTCCCCTAAAACCTATCATGCTTTCTAACTTGGAGGGCGGTGGGGAAGGTGAGCAGAGAGGAGGGGAGGAGCTAGGTCCTTCAACCCAAGAGAACTTTCCGGATTGGAAAAGATCAACTTTTTTTCAGAAGAAAATTTGGAAACTCATTGTAAAGGTGGAAGCGCGACTTTAAAATAAACGTAAACAAAGGATGCACCTTTTACTTTAATTTTGAGGGGTTGAAGAAGCCCTGACATAAAATCAGCTGTAAATATAAATTTGCCAGCTTGAAGAAAATCCACATTAGTTACTAAGGCAACGCCTGGTAAAGTCTCCGTATGGAGGAGTTTGGTATGTTTCCCCCGTAAGAAGTCAGGCTTGCTGTGTATGTTCAAGAAGAAGGGGTGCAGATAAGGTAACTTGTTTCCCGCGGTGGGTGGACGGGTTAGGGGGGGTCCTGCGCTTGCTTTGGGGTTTGCATAGTTGCTAGAAAGGGAACGGAGGGGAGCTTCCGGGTTGCTCTCGCCGCGGCAGCCTGAGCCCTGCCGCCTTCAGGACCCTGGACAGTGCTCGGTCCAGCCAGACATTCCCTGGCAGGGCCTGCAAGGGACGCTTTGACCAGTGAGTTGCAATTCCCTGACCCGCTTTGCTCTTTCAACCTCCCTCCTCTGAGTTCTTTACCCATACACACACACACACACACACACACACACACACACACACACACACACTCCCTTCCACTCGAGTCCCCACCGCCCCTCCGCCCTCATTCTCATCACCTTGCACCGCTTGTGCAGGTATATATCCAAACCCACCCGCTTGGGGACAGAGGCGCCAAATCTCAGCCGCCTGCGGGGCTGAAGTTGGCTCCCTCTCCCGTTCCTCCCCTGCTCCTTTTCTCAAGGTGAGAGTCGACGAAAAGGGGGCTATGGGAGCGGGCGAGGAGAGCACAGGAGGTGAGGCAGAAAAAGGAGAAAGAAAACCCAGGCACCCATTGGTCCCGACTCTTCCTGAGGATACAGGACGAAAAGAAATACATAAGCGAGAATGCGCCTGGGACCCGGAGGAAAATCTGATAGACTGGGACTTTGTCTGCCGTTGTGGGTGGGTTTCACCGGAGGAAGTGTCCGCTCACCTGAGTCTGTTTGGAGGACATGGACTTGAGACATACCTGAGTACCTGAGTCGGGGTAGACAGCGCTATGGTCCCGGGGCCAGAGGACCGTGGCCACGCTCGGCTTGCAGACGCCTCAGCTCTAATCCAGACGGTGCAAGGATGCGATCTGGGCTGTACACTAGTGCCCTCTTTCTTCAGCACTATTTTACCGCAAGGGAAAAAGAGGGGGAGGGAAGAAAAAAAAAAACAGGTCACCCAAGGCTTGTCTATTATCTCATGTATAAAAATCAGTCGTTTGATAGAGGGAGGAGGGGAGACAAACTAGGAGGAAGTGGGGAATATTAATTCCTTTACTATATGAGGGGTCGTATAGAAGCTGCCAGATACGTGAATAGTCAGACAATCTGGCCAAAGAAGTGGAGAACTGCCTAGGCTGCTTTGGGGTAGATATCTTTGTATATATATCTCAGGGACTCAAATATATTTTCTCTTTCTGCGAGTAAAGTCCCTACAGAGGGAAACAGAGTGTAAACACATGTACAGACATCTAAAGAAAGGCTCTATTAGTAGATTGCAAGGGAAATCAGGAAGAGGCTGCATAGGGTGGGAGAAGGGAAAGGACAGGCATGCCCATTATGAATTAAGGTATGCCAAATGAAGAGAGACATATTGTGGCTGCATTTTCAGGTCAAGATGTAACTAAATTGAGAATGAGAGTCAGGTCACATGAAAATACTGGAGTGACAAATACTTATCCAAATTCCTCCCAGGCGGCCATCACCTTCCCTACAGGTCTATGGTGTTGCTTCTGACTGTGTGAAAAGCGGAAGTTAAATCACATTCCTCTGGGAACATGTTGGCTGAGCAGAATGTGGCCCGGCTTTTTCAGGGGAAAAGACAAGTGACAGTGTGTCTTTCTACTCTTGTTCAAAGCTTTCTATTTGTGTCATCTGCAGAGCAGAGAGATCAGCTTACGTTGGTCCCTTATGGGTCAGCTTATAATCGCCTTGCTCAGGTCATTATTATATTATGGAATGGTGCCATGTCAGACTGGAGGGGACAAACCACATGAGGCAGTTTCAAATACTCTTCAGTGTGTTCCATGAAACTTAGGAAGGAAAACAATACCTCTAGTCAATAACAAAAGGTCTTTCTCATTCTGGTTCTGATCTTTTTTTCCCTAAGTGTCAGAGTTTTCTGGATTTTTTTTTTTTAGACAGCCCAAAGAGAATATATTTTTTTCTTTTTCCACAAATAATGCACTAAACAACGTTCACATTTTTTAGACTAAATGATCTCAATTCGGGAAGTAGCCACATGTTTACATAAGGAAAATGGGAAGAGGTAAGTTCTGATCATCACATATGGGACTAAATGGCTCTCTGCTTCTACCCTAGGAATATGTCTGTTCGAAGAACAGCAAGCCACAGGTATGCACAGAGTCCCATAGTATCTGACTTCCTCTAGTAGCCACTTAAGTTCAATTTTAGATAAGCCCATTAGAGTGTGATAAGCTCTAAATGTTACTTTCCTAGAATATTCCAGAGATATAGTGAATGTGCAAAGATTTCTGTGCATATATACCCCTTAATTATGATTTTCAGCATTAAAGAAAGTAATGTCTCTGAAGTCCACATTTAGTGTCAATATGTGCTCCTAAAGCTGAACATCTTTAATATATCACATTGCTGTACTGAAGGAATAATTAAATGTTCAGATTTATTGGTTCTCAAATTCATTTTACAGTCCAAGTAAAAACTACACATTCAGGCTGGCTGAAACTAATCATTTTAAAGACGATGAATTTGAGGATTATAACATGCCAGATGCATGCATATACAAAAAGTGTTAAAGAAAAAAAATTTCAAATGTATTAATTTGAAATGATCAATTAAATTTATTGATAATTATTTAAGAGCTAACTATAGAAGGTACCAGGACAAAAACAATCAAAGAAGAAGGCATTGAGACAAAAGAAGACAAGATCACCCAAATATACTTTCTCTTTCTATAAATGAAGACTTCACATAGGAGGCAGGGTATAATACATGTGCAGACATCTAAGGGATGGTTCTTCCAGTAGGATTGAAGGGGATTACTGCAACAATGAGCTACATACAAACTAGCAAATACAAGTAAATACACTAATCTATAAGAGTTCAAAGAATGCTAAAGGTTCATGAATCCAGAAATATTGTTAGTATGAATATTCAGTACTAGTATGAAATCACATTACAATCAGTATGTGATCTGTAGCAGGGTAAAAAACTGTTATCGGTATTTAGGTTTGGGAAATCTATACACAATGTGGTGGAGATCAAGATCAAAATCAAAAGAATGTCTAATCTAGTATGTGATTTTTAGCAGGATAAAAAAGTGTTATCAGTATTTAGGTTTGGGAAATCTATTTAATACACTATTTAGTGGAGATCAAGATCAAAATCAAAACAATATCTGCACTATTATCTCAAAACAATGATTTAATGTGCTGCTGTAACAATAAGAACAGAATGTTCACCATCCTGATATGGTAATAAGGTAAATATTATCCATCAACAAAACTGTAGTCACCCTCCTTATGAATGTATGCATAATTATCATTGCTTTCCATCATAAAGTATTTCATAGAATAATGAGTCTAGGCTATAAAAGAGCAAAAGGATATAAAGTTTTCCACATAAAATCAGCTAGAAATTTAAACTCTTCAAATGGGAGAGATAAGAAGCAAGCAAGAATCAGACAAAAGAAACAAAGGGATGAATTAAGTCTTGTATTAGGTCATTCTTACACTGCTATAAAAAAATATAATCATGGCAAAAGGTGAAGGGGAAACAAGGGACAGCTTCCCACAGTGGCAGAAAAGCAGGAGAAACTGCCACTATGAAATCATCATATCTCATGAGAACTCACTCACTTATCATGAGAACAGCATGGGGTAAACTGCTCCCATGATCTAATCACCTCCCACCAGGTCCCTTCCTCAACACCTAGGGATTAAAATTTGAGATGAGATTTGGATGGGGACACAAAGCCAAACCATGTCATTTCACCCCGGCCCCTCCCAAATTTCATGCCCCATTCACATTTCAAAACCAATCATGCCTTCTCAACAATCCCCCACAGTCTTAACTCATTCCAGCATTAACCCAAAAGTCCAAGTCCAAAGTCTCATCTGAGACAAGGCAAATCCGTTCCACCTATGAGCCAGTAAAATCAAAAGCAAGTTAGTTACATCCAAGACAAAATGGAGGTACAGGCATGAAGTAAATGTTCCCATTCCAAATGGAAGAAGTTGCCCAGAACAAAGAGGCCATAGGCCTCATGCAAGTCAGAAAGCCAACAGGGCAGTCATTAAATCTTAAAGCTCCAAAATAATCTCATTTAACTCCATGTCTCACATGTCTCACATTGAGGGAATGCTGATGCAAGGGGTGGACTCCTATAGCCTTGGGCAGCTCCTTTGTGGACTCTCATTGAGTGCCCATGGCTTTTCCAGACACACAGTACAAGCTGTTGGTGGATCTACCATTATGGAGTCAGGAGCATGGTGGCCCTTTTCTCACAGCTCCACTAGGCAGTGCCCCAGTGGGGATTCTGTGTGGGGGCTCCAACCCCACATCTCCCTTCTGAATTGCCCTTCCAGAGATTCTCTATGAGGGCCCTGCCCCAGCAACCAACTTCTGCCTGGACATCCAGGCACTTCCATACATCCTCTGAAATCTAGGTGGAGGTTCCCAAGCCTCAATTTTTGACTTCTGTGCACCTATAGGCTCAACACCACATGGAAGCTTCCAAGGCTTGGGGCTTGCAGCCTCTGAAGCAATGACCCAAGCTGCACCTTGGCCCTTTTTAGCCACAGCTGGAGCTGGAGCAAATGAGACACAGAGCACCAAGTCCCAGGGCTTCACAGAGCAGTGGGGCCCTGGACCTGGCCCATTAAACCATTTACCTCTCCTAGGTCTCTGGGCCTGTGATAGGAGGATCTGCCTTGAAGATCTCTGACATGCTCTAGAGACATTTCCCCATTGCCTTGGTGATTAACATTCAGCTCCTCATTACTTATGCAAATTTCTGCAACTGGCTTAAACTTCTCCCCAGAAAATGGGGTTTTCTTTTCTACCAAATGGTCAGGGCACAAATTTTCAAAACTTTTATGCTCTGCTTCTGTTTTAAACATAAGTTCCAGTTTCAAACCATTTATTTGGGAACACATATAACCACACTTTCAGAAAAAAGCAGGTCACCTCTTGAATGCTTTGTTGCTTAGAAATTTCTTCTGCCAGAGACCCTAAATCATCCCTCTCAAGTTCAAAGTTCCACAGATCTCTAGGGCAGGGGCAAAATGCTGCCAGTCTCTTTGCTAAAGCATATCAAGAGTGACCTTTGCTCCATTTCCCAGTAAGTTCTCATCTCCGTCTGAAACCACCTCAGCCTGGACTTCATTGTCCATACCACTATCAGCATTTGGGTCAAAACCATTCAACAAGACTCTAGGAAGTTTCAAACTTTCCCACATCTTCCTGCCTCCCATGTCTTCTTCTAAGCCCTCCAAACTGTTCCAAACTCTGCTTCTTACCCAGTTCAAAAGTTGCTTCCACATTTTCAGGTTATCTTTATAGCAGTGCCCCCTCTCTGCCTCTTGATACCAATTTCCCGTTTTAGTCCCTTCTCACACTGCTATTAAGAAATATAATCATGGCAGAAGGCAAAGGGGAAACAAGGGATGTCTTCTCTTTGCAGCAGGAGATAGAGAGAGCAGGGGAAACTGCCACTTATTTAATACACAATTTAGTGTATTAAATACCACTTATAATACCAAAAGATCTTGTGAGAACTCTCTATCATGAAAACAATTTGGGGGAAACAGCCGCCATGATCCAATCACCTCCCACCAGGTCCCTCCCTCAACACCTGGGGATTACAATTTGAGATGAGATTTGGATGGGGACAAAAAGCCAAACCATATCAAGCCTGTATTTCAAATTATAGTATACTCTAATGGGTATTTTGGAAAGTAAAATTTATGGAGTTACTTACATATGCAAATGAAGTATACACAAGTGGTAATAAACTCATTGCTAAAAAGGTAGTAGTGACTGAAAATAGAAATGAGATCAAAAAGTCTTTGCAGAAAATTGATTTGTAGAGCATTGATATGTAGTGTATTACTAAGGGAATATAATGGATGTTCAAGATAGATCAATGTTGTGGAGAGTAAATATTATGCTTTTCCATAAACTATCATGCTCCATGGACAATTAATTTAATTGAGTATAACATTTCTTACATTCTTATATTTAATTCATAGTGTCAGCAAGATAATTCAAGCCCCACTGAGAATTTTCAGTTTATCTATCCAATTTGGTTATCTATATTGCTTGAATCCAGGGAGAAAGAGCCATATCTTTATTGGACTTTGTTCTCTGAGCCAAAATCAATTGGAAAATAAAATCTCTTCCTTTAAGAAACGGGAAACATTTTTATAAAACTTGGATGATTAACAAAGTAAAGAAAATGCTTTAAAAGATAAGGACTAAAGCCAAATTTACTATGTGTTCAGTTGTTGTATTGGACTGATTAATTAGGCTATTACTATACATAGGACTATATTTAGAGATAGGACCAAAAGCATCAACTTCCCTAAGTGAATAAAAATCATTAATGACTCTGTGGACTCATGCAGATTGACTGGGACACATACATTTGGCCACATACTGTTCTGCCACAACTGTCCAAACATCTATGTTTATAGTATTAAATATAATTCAGCATTTGATAGACCAGAAGTGTGCCTATAGTTAACAATAATATGTTGTACTTTTCAAAATACCTAGAAGATAAGAAATTGAATGTTCCTAGCATAAAGTAAAGACAAATACTTAAGGTAATGGCTATCCCAATTATACTGATTTAATTTTTACATTTATAGGAGTGTATCAAAATATCACATGTACCTCAAAATACGTGCATCTATTATGTATCAATTTTAAAAACTTTTTACTTCAAAAAAGAAAGAAAAAATAAATTTAAAAATTGATCTAAAATTACAATTAAGGAGAATAAGACAAACACATTTTTCTGGAAGTACTGTGAAGGCTGCAGCTATTGTCTGTTTTATTCCCTGCAGTATCCCCAGTGCCTACTGTCAGGTTCATTATAGGTGCTCAAATATTCATTGAATAAATGAATGGATACATTCTTTCTGAACATTAAAATTATCATCTCATGTCAATGCCTTTCTCTAAGAATATCAAAGTCAAGCAGTTTACAGACTTTTCTCATTTATTTTTAATATAGCGTAGAAAGAGTAATTATTTTGCAACTATTTCTCAAGTGCAAGTAACTAGCCTAATTAATATTAAACCTTTTAGAACCATATTTACACTACAAACTTCATTATATTTGAAGTATTAAAATGTGTTCCCAATGTGATAAAACTATTTTCACCACTGTGCTGCATATGTTAGTGTATAGAAAATGAAGTTTTATAAAAGTAAAAAGAAGATAATTAAATGTAAGCTAACCTTTACCTAATGTTGTGGCTATATGATTTGAAAGTAACTATTTGAAAATGTTCTCAGAATCGTCATATGAGATAAGCAAAATAGGCATGTTATGGAATCCTATAGATGAAAAAATTGAGACACCAAGAATGTTTTCATACCTGAGCTTAGATAATAAATTAGTGGCAGTGCCACATCACACTATCTTTATTCCAAATTCATAAATTGAGTGTAATAAAAACAAAACATATAAACTGAGCTAAGTATTACTTATATTCATTTTTCCTTAAGCTTTGAACTGATGCTCTTCTCAGAAAATGCTTAAGTAATAAAGAAAATGAATTTGAATTCCTTTCCCTTGGGCATTTCATCTGTTGAGGGCATAAACATTACAGGTGATTGTTCTATTTGCTTAAAATAGCCGTCTTTTATAACAGTTCTAATAAAGGCAGTAACCTACTTGCACAGTCTCACAGCCAACTTTTGAACAATTAAGCAAGCAAAGTATCTAAATTTTCAAATTCCATAAAAGCCTTCAGTAAAAAAGACTTTCCTACTGCAGTTTCACCTACACAACCAATTAAATTATTATTCCTGTTTAAACAGAAATATATTGTATTCCTACTTCACTGCAACAGAAAATCTACAACATAGTTGTTATACAATCAGCACACCACCAAAATATTGCCCTACCTGAAACACATCCTTTATCCTTTTTATCAACCAGAGAATAGATAAACAAAATGTCATATCATCACACAATGGATCACTACTCCACAATAAAAAAAAACAAATTACAGATTCATGCAACAAAACAGATTAATCTCACAAGCATTATTTTGACCAAAAGACACCAGAGAACATACTCTTTGATCCAATTTATATAAAGTTCAAGGACAGTCACAGTCATCTACACAAATAGAAATCAGAAGAGTGATTGCCTTTGCATGAGATTAGGAAGATCAACTGGAAAGGAGTTAGAGAAAATCTTCTGGAGTGATATAAATGCTCCTGATTTTGATGGGAGTGTTATTACACAGGTATATACATTTGTCAAAACTATGGGAATTATAAACTAAAATTTATCTGTTTTACTTAAAGTATACTTCACATCAATAAAATTAATTTTAAAATAAGTTACAAGTAATCAAAGTGGGAGATCATGATGAACTGAACTAAGGCATTGGCAGTGACAATGTATAAACATGTAAAAATTAGAAGGATAGCAATAAAAAATGAGATGTTATAGAGATTGAGCATGAAAAAGCAATAAGAAATGGCTCCCCAGTTTGGAATTTGGCACAAGTTACCAGATAGTGGTACCATTTACTGACATAGAAAATATAGGAGAGGAAGAGTTGCAAGGTAATGGGAAATGATGAATTTCATTTGAGACTCAGTAAACTGCCTTTGAGACATGGCAAAGGAAATGCTCCCATAAGTAATTTTGTACACATTTAGGGGTCAGAAATGAGATATGTATCAATGAAATATCTGTGGGGAATCTTGGAAAAAAATAAATCACAGAAATTGATAAGATGACCCATGGAATATCCAGGGTAAGAAAAAAACCCTAGATATGGTAAAAGCAGAGAAAATGGAGCCCACAAAGTTCATTGAGAAGCAACAGAAATAGATAAAAACTAACAAATGTTAGGTCAATAAACCAGTGAGAAAGAGTACTTCAAGAAGGAGGGAGTGGCTAAGGTGTAAGAGTTGAGGGAAGAGGTGGGAACACAAAGGACTAAAAATAGTTCATTAAATTTATCAAAATGTAGCCTGTCTGATATTATCAAATCACTTTTATAAGGAGGAATAGCATTGGAAACAAGATTGCAGGGCATGAGAATTAGGAAACAGAGCAAATGCATCTTACAATGCTTTTTAAACATCTGAATGCCTTTATATTTATTTACCACTATGTGTACTATAACAAGAATTACTGCAACCACGTACATATGTACACACATACACAGTTGCATGGATGCACATGATTCTTCACACAAATGGTAATTATTGTTTGAGATTTAGAATCATACTTCTATAAATGCCCAAAATTAAAAATTTTATTCCAAGAAGAAAATTGTGTCAGTATCATTTATGACATGTGCCCATAAGATTACCAAGAAATTTAGGTTATTTTCAAGAAACAAAATTACGATCAAATGATAGATATTAATTCAGAAGGAAAATACAAGCAAGTGGGGACCCTAATAGAAAATTTAGCTATAAAAGATTAAGTGGAAAATATTCTCTCTCTCTCGCTCACACACACACATACACACACACATATACACACAAACACATATATGCACTATATATATATATGTATACAGTGATAAGCTTACTTCAAAGTTTCAAGTAACTTTGCAGTCAGACCAGATCTATGATTGCAGTCAGATCAGACCTATGTTTGAATCCCAGCTCCATAACTTATTATGAACATAACTTATTAGGGGACATCAGGCTTAGCTGAGTGTGGTGGTGTCATACTGAAAACAAATGAGAAAGTGACAGCATCTCTAAATCCCACTTTCCTCAATAAAATGGAAATAATCATGCTTATCCTGATAGAGTTATTTTGAGAATTAAATGGAAGTGCTTAGTAGACTGATCATTTTCAATATAAATGGCAGATATAATTATTATTATTATTATATAAGGACAATGATGCTCTTTGGTGATAGAGAAGGTAGTATCTTGTTGAAAAAGGTCTAAAGTTCACTAAGGTTCAAATTTTAATGAAATAATTGCTTTGCAGGCTTAATAATAAAGCTATTTTTTATACTTGAATAAGACCCTTTCAACCACCCAGATATGTTGGATTTCTACTAGATTGCCTTAGAATAATCAAACCAGCCAACCCAGTTCACCATATAAGTATTTAATAATCAATACATGATGCTGTATAATTAATATAGTTGTGAATTATCCATTTTGATTCTGTCTGACCTAACCAAACCATACTGTCTAGTTTAGTTAGCCACCTATAACCCAGACTGAAACTTTGAAGTAAGCTTATTACTAGAATAACTCTTGATGATTAAAATATAAGAATTTATCAGAGGTTTTGCATTTATTGTAATTAACATATTTGGGCTTAAACCTTGTTTTTCCTACCCTACAAGTCATGATATGCCTGTAGATTTGTCAATTGCTTGAACAATTGGGAAATTTGTAGAGTTGGTTTTTCAAGCTCAAAGGATTAGAAATCTGAAAGGGTAGTGGCAGTTGTGACAGCTAATTATATATTAGTAATGATGTCAATGACAGTTGCTGTGAGTGATAGTGATGACAACAATGATAGCAGAACAGAGCCAAGGAACAAAATAAGGAACTCCAAGTGGCTAAAGGAAGAGAATCCATCAAAGGGGACCAAGCATCCAAAGAAACAGAAAAGAAACTGGAAGAATAAGATGCTAAAGAAGTCAAGAAGAAAAGGAACCTCAAGAAGAAGGAATGAGTAAGTTGTATGGAATGTTGCTGAAATGCACCAATTAAAATTACAACAGAAAAGAATGCCCTGGATTTAGCAAAATAGGGAAAATTGGTAGCCCTAGCAAGAGCAATTTTGGTCAAGTGTTGGGAGTGGAAGACTGACTGGGGTGGGTTGAATACTGAATTGGATACAGAATAACCCAAGAGACTTTACAGACTAATTTTTAGAATTAACAAGAGAGTTCAGCAGAGGTTCTACATATAAATCCAATATACCAAACTGACTGCATTCCTAAATACTAATAAGTAGTAAAACATAATCTAATTTTAAAATGCTGTTTGAATCTGGAAAAAGAAGAAAAATCAAACATATTCATTTACTTTTGTTCCCTTAATAAATTTATTGTATTGTCATTAAAATGATAATGAAGAGGTTTTTAAGGCTTGAATCTATAAGGTAAAGAGAAAAGGAAATCAGAAAACAGGGGAAAAGTAAGCCAAAAACACATATGATAAAAAGGTGACTGCTTGAGAAGATTCAAGCAAGGTGAATTCTAGGTTGGCAGTGAGAAAATTCATAAGCAATTTCAGTTATATCATAGAAACCACATTAAGAAATTTGTAGCGCCAGACACGGTGGCTCACGCCTGTAATCCCAGCACTTTGGGAGGCCGAGGCAGGCGGATCACAAGTGAGGAATTCGAGACCAGTCTGGCCAATGTGGTGAAACCCTGTCTCTACTAAAAATACAAAAATTAGCCGGACATGGTGGCAAGCACCTGCAGTCCCAGCTACTCTGGAGGCTGAGGCAGGGGAATCACTAGAACCCGGGAGGTAGAGGTTACAGTGAGCCGAGATCGCGCCACTGCACTCCAGCCTGGGTGACAGAATGAGACTTCATCTCAAAAAGATAAAAGAAATTGGTAGCATCAGCTACCTCTAAAAGTAGAGGTCAGGATGAAGGCAAAAATAAGAGAATTGGTTGGAAGTTTGAAAAACAAATAGATCCTCAGATTGCCTCACTGACTCCATATAGCCAAGTAACTCTCCTACTCCCAGGAGTAGAAATCTCTTCTCTGGATAGGGTAAAACAAAGAGTGCCTGCACAGGAGACATCAGGCACAGCTGAGTGTGGTGGTGTCATACTGAAAACAAGGAGATTAAATGAATGCTCAAATACTAATGATTACATCCACTTCTCTGCCCTCTTCCCCTATTCATCTTAGTGAGAATTAGCAACTACATTAATACCTTCTGTGAAGGCAGTTAGAAGATGCTTCTCTGGATAATCTGATGGGTCCAAAGGAAAGATAAACTATACTTATACTGAGGGTCCTTAAGGGAAAAGCCAAGCCAAAGTACCCTGCAGTAAGTATCACAGATGAATGTCAAATGATCATTGAAGTGTCTGATCAGCTTTTTAGTGGACGAGACCACTACAACAGAGTGAAGAAAGCTTGTTGATCATGGATTTATAATCTAAAATGTGTTTTAGAAGAGTTTGAGAGGATCAGGGTGGAATTTGAGCCAGTGTAGCTCATATTCATAGCTCTCAGAAGATAATATGGGAGATAATTAATAACAGAAGAGGCTTCTACTTTGGACAGAATTATGTTCTGGTTTGCCCAGAACAGATTCAGTGTATACCTCTTATAGATTCATTCATGGCTTTATTTTGTAGCACTCCCTTTCACTCTCAAAAGTGCCCTGATTTGAACGACCAATGTCCCCAAGGATAGAAGGGAAGGTAAATTTAGTCCACAACACAGCTTGGAGAAAGACTTTAAAATAGTCCTGACAGTATTCTTCTGTGGCCCAGGGATTACAAGGTAAATTCAGACTTCTTTTGTCTTCTGATTAGTAGATGTCAAATTCAGTACGTGTATCTGCAACAGTAAAAGTGAGCAACTATAACATCTTTATGGGGGAGTGACCATCTTAAGGAAATAGGGCCAATGCTCTCTGAGAGATTTTTATTTCTACTGATTCAACTCTAGCAAGCATTGGTTACATAGGACATCCCCATTTTAAATTTTGATTGAGATTATATTATATTTAAAAATGACCTTAAAAAAAATCTGTAACTGTTTCCCCTTATTCTTCCCTATTAGTGTGAATGAGATTAACTCTTATCGCATTCCTGAGGCAATTCAAGCTTTAGATGAAAATTGTTCTCTTATTGCAGGAAGCAAAAAAAGCAAATGTAATGGAGACATTAATGGAATACACAAGTTTTATAGGTCATGATTCCTAATTCAAGTCCTGTAACTCCCAATAATGTCTTCAACTACCATTGGAGAATGTGTTGGGAAAGACTGCAGAAAATCAATCAGTCCATCAGTAGATTAACCTATCAATTGATATTCCCATAAAGAGATAAGAAAATATAAATGCTGGTATAGCTGCAGGATAAATAAAAAATAAATGCCAAAATTAATTAAGTAATTTAAACATTGTACAAGAGTGAAATTACATGAACTAAGGTACATTCCAACTTCGAAAATGAAGTTATCAGTACTAATGCTGCTGAGATATATTAATACCTGTATAGGGAGACTTGTGATATATGCAGTACGTGTACAAATCCAAATAGACCAAATAATTTGTTCCCAATATTTTATAAATTGGGGGTTAGATTTAATAAAGGGATTTTCTACTTCAAAGAACCATGAGTTCCTTTCAATTAATAGTTTATTCTTTCATAAGACTTTATAGAACACAACACGATATTTCTAGGATGATTTAAATGTGGATCTCTCCAACCTAACTTGTACTCCACTTTACTTACCTACGCATTCCTCCACTCCCTCCATGAACGTTACTCTTATTCCTACCTCTTTATCTCAGGCTTGTCTTCTCCCTGCCATGCTGGTTGGTCTCTCCCTCCTGGAAAGCCCAGCTCTAGCCCCCTCTTCTGCTTGGAGGCCTTCAGAAAACATCTATTTTTACTGATTGCTGCTTCTTCCGATCCCTTCTGAACAGTGCCACTTTAATTAGCACCAAGAAAATATCTGCATTGTACATGCCTCACATAATCAAGAAGACTACAGAACTGTTGGTTTTAAGAATCAGATCAAATTGCATACTTGTAATCAATGGTACAGATCCATGCACACAATAGGGTCTCAATAAAAATGAGTTGTATTTAAAAAGGTGAAAGAGAATTCTGTGACCAGCACGCGAGGAAAGATTCAAGCTTGAAATGCAAGGGACTTTCTAGGTTTTCTTCCATTTTAGGCAAGTAGTGCTTTTTTTAAGTTCTAGGGTGGTTTTTAAGTGGTCTCCAAACTAATTAGCTTTTATGAGGATTCCTAATTTCTTTCAGAACAAGACTTGGCTACACTGTAAAGCTGGGTTCTCAACTTCTGACTCCAATTCATCTAGTAATTTTACTTTTAGTCTTCATTCTATGACTATACTGACATTTCTGTTTTCTTATCTCTTTGTGGGAGTAACTATCTTGCAAGTGATTTGCTGAGTCATAGTTTTAATAGCACTTTGAAGAAGGGCCTATATAAAGGTGCATCTTCACTGATGCAAATAATGTCCAAACAATATGTTTTGTTGGCTTTTAACTTGCTTTCCTCACATGTGGATACCCAAGTGCTTATATCATCAATTGACTGATGCATTAGCATTTTACCACACCAGAAATATTGAAAACAGACCATTAAAAAATAAATAGTTTGAGTTATATACAAAAAGAAAACTAATTTCAGAGCTGATTACAAACAATAAATTAGTTTGGCACATTACGTTGAATTTGTATTTTTAATAAATTATATGTATTTTATATGCATCTATTTTTGTGTTATTGTGTAATATGTACACCTCAAATGATTAATAATTATTACAAAGTGTATCCTGAAAAAATTTTAGTTTCAACACTAGACTCACTATCAAAACAGACAAGTTCACCATTTAAAGCCACAAAATTTGTTTGCTGTGGATGTAACAACAGAAATTCTTTCATATATTTTTATCATGTTATTTCTGGGTTTGCTCCAGAAACAAAAGAAAGGGAGAGGAATCATTAAAATCTTTTTAAACATACTATATTTATAGATATGCATGTATCTCATAAACATGTTAGAAGTGTGATAGTTTTCCCTGAAGAATCTAAAAGATATTTTTCTTCACATTCAATCACAAAAACAGAAACTGACATGAAAGAAATCACTCAAAAGAAATGAGATATCTTAAAATTTCACAGCTGAGAAAAGTCTTAGTTCCACTCTCATAGTACACAGATGGGCAAGTTGAGGATCAAAGTGTCATGTGGTCAAACTTTTAAGTAGCAGAACCAAATATAGAATACCGATAAACTGACTCTAAGCAAGGCTTACTATGTCATCTGATATTCTATTATAATTTATTTATTCATTCATTCATTCAATAAATATGGGGCAGTCACTGTAAGCTAGATACCATGGTAAGTGTGAAGGATAAAATAAAACTAAGTGCTTATTCTTAGCCTGGACAAGTTCAGAGTGTTTAGAGAAGATAAAGAGTTGAAGAAATAGATTGAAATAAAATTTGGTAAATGCTATAATACAAAAGAGGAATCAGCACATAATCAGATAATCCTTCATAAAATGACATTTGAGCTGGGTTTTTTAGAGGATGTATTATTTTTCCAGGGCTGTTATAACAAATCACTACAAACGGTGGCTGAAAACAACAGAAATTTATTTTCTCATAGCTCTGGAGGACAGATATCTGAAATTAAGATGTTAGCTTACTTGGTTGCTTCTGAAGGTTCTGAGGAAGAACACATTTCATGTGTCATTCCTAACACAGGATGGCTGTTGGCTTGTAGGCACATCACTCCAATCTCTGCCTCTGTCTTTGTATCACCTCTTCCTCTGTATGTCCTTTCCTCTTATCTTCTCTCATAAGGAAACTTGTCATTGGATATGGGGTCTAGCCAGGATGATCTCACATCAAGGTCTTTACCTTAATTACATCTACTAAGACCTTTTTTCCAAATAAGATCACATTCACTGGTTCCAGGTGGGCTTCTCTCTTGGGGCTGGGGGATGGGTGGTGGGGCCACTATTCAACCTACTCGAGAAACAATCAGGATTTCATAGGTTAAAAAAGTCTAAAAGGGTATCCCAAGATATAAAGCATATGCCAATGCATAAACATTCATGAAAAAAAAACATGCCATTTAAGGGAAAGAGTAAGAAGTGTAATGTAATTAGAGTGAACCTAGAGAAGGGATGGGAGATAAGGCTTAAGCAGCAGGTTGGGTCAAATTGAGAAGCACATTGTAGATCAAATTAAAAAGATTTGAGACAAATTAAAATTATTTTGAATGAAGATGTCAACAACAACAATTTGGAGGCTAGAAGAGGTAGAGAGGACACTGGAAGCTGAGAGGTTTGAAAACAGGCTGGCAATTTTTTTCTGTAAGGGGTCAGATTCTAAATATTTCAGGCTTGCAGACCACATTATTTCTGTCAAAACTACTCAACTATGCTATTGTAGCACTGAAGCAGACATAGATAATATGTAAATGAATGAATGTAGACATGTCCCGATAAATATTTATGAACACCTAACTTGGAATTTCATATAATTTTCACAGGCCATAAAATAGTATTCTTTTGATTTTTAAAAATGTCTTACTGTAGCATTGCAATATAGTTTTAAGTCAGGTAACTTGATATGTCCAGCTTTGTTCTTTCTGCTTAGTGTTGCCTTGCCTATTTGGGCTCTTTTTTGGTTCCATATGAATTTTAAAATGGTTTTTTTTCTAGTTCTGTGAAGAATGTGTCATTGGTAGTTTGATAGGATAGCAATGAATCTGTAAATTCGTTTGGGCAGCATAGCCATTTTAATGATATTGATTATTCCTATCTATGAGCATTGAATGTTTTTCCATTTCTTTGTATCTTCTTTGATTTCTTTGAGCAATGTTTTGTAATTCTCACTGTAGAAATCTTTCACCTCCCTGGTTACCTATGGTACTGATACAAAAACAGGCACATAGACCAATGGAACAGAATAGAGAACTTGGAAAAAAAGGTCACATATCTACAACCATCTGATCTTTGACAAAGCTGACAAAAGAAGCAATGGGGTAAAGGCTCCCTATTCAATAAATGGTGTTGGGTTAACTGGCTAGCCATATACAGAAGATTGAAGCTGGACCCCTTTCTTGCACCTTATGCAAAAATCAACTCAAGATAAGACTTAATTGTAAAACCCAAAACTATAAAAACTCCTGAAGACAACCCAGACAATACCATCATGGCGTAGGAATAGGCAAAGATTTCATGACAAAGACACCAAAAGCAATTGCATCAAAAGCAAAAATTGACAAGTGGGATCTAATTAAACTTAAGAGCTTCTGCACAGCAGAAGAAACTATCAACAGAGTAAACAGACAAGCTACAGAATGGGAGAAAATATCTGCAAACTATGTATCTGACAGTGGTCTAATATCCAGCATCTATATAAAGCTTAAACAAATTTACAAGAGAAAAACAAACAACCCCATTAAAAAGTGGGCAAAGGACATGAACAGACACTTCTCAAAAGAAGATATACTTGCCACCAGCAAGCATATGAAAAAAAAGCCCAGTAACACCAATCATCAGAGAAATGCAAGCCAAAACCACAATGAGATACGATCTCACACCAGTCAGAATGGCTATTACTAAAAAAGTCGAAAAAGGCCAGGCATGGTGGCTCACACCTGTAATCCCAGCACTTTGGGAGGCCGAGGCAGGCGGAACATGAGGTAAGGAGATGGAGACCATCTTGGCTAACATGGTGAAACCCCGTCTCTACTAAAAACACACAAAAAAATTAGACAGGCGTGGCGGCGTGCACCTGTAGTCCCAGCTGCTGGGGAGGCTGAGGCAGGAGTATGGCATGAATCCGGGAGACAGAGCTTGCAGTGAGCCGAGATCACGCCACTGCACTCCAGCCTCAGCGACAGAGCGAGACTACATCTCAAAAAAAAAAAAAAAAGTAAAAAAATAACAGATGCTGGTGACGTTGTGGAGAAAAAGGAACACTTGTACGCTGTTGGTGGAAGTGTAAATTAGTTCAACCATTATGGAAAGCAGTACGGCAATTCCTCAAAAGAGCTAAAAGCAGAACTAACATTTGAACCAACAATCCTATTACTGGGTTTATACCCAGAGGAATATAAATCATTCTACCATAAAGACACATGCATGCCAATGTTCACTGCAGCATTATTCACAATAGCAAAAACATGGAATCAACATAAATGCCCATCAATGACAGATTGGATTAAGAAAATGTGGGACATATACACCATGGAATATTGTGCAGCCATAAAAAAGAATGAGATCATGTCTTTTGCAGGAACACGGATGAAGCTGGAAGCCATCATCCTCAGCAAACTAACACAGGAACAGAAAACCAAACACTGCATGTTGTGACTTATAAGTGGGAGCTAAATGATAAGAATTTATGAACACAAAGAAGGAAACAACAGACACTGCAGGGAGAGAGACACAAGGGAGAGGAGCAGAAAAGGTAACTATTGGGTACTGGGCCTAATACCTGGGTGATGAAGTAATATGTACAACAAGCCCCCATGACATGTGTTTACCTATGTAACAAACCTTCACATGTACCCCTAAACCTAAAATAAAGGTTTTTTTAAGTCTTAAAACATAAAACCATTTATAGAGATAATGTTAGCCAAAATGGTGGAATAGCTAGCTTCAAGGGCCCATTTCAGCATAGAAAAACCAAAAAATCAAGTAAAACTGTCAAAATCAACTTTGTCAGAACTCTGAAAAACAGATAACAATTTATATCAATCAAGCAAATACTTAATCAAGAAAAAAAAGGATCATTAAAATGGTAGGAAAATGGTAGGGCACTTATACTTGCTCTTGCCCAACTCCCTCTTAAGCTTGGTGATGATATTGAAGAGGGTAGGAAGCCCGCATTTCCAGTGTGGGACTCTGGCCTCTGGTTTGTAAGAAAGCAGAGAAGACCCTGTTCTCAAAAAATTGTGTTTATCAGTTTTGGACTTTCCAGGGGCTATCAAGGGACTGATACAAGGTGCTTGCCTTTGTTTAAGCTAACTTGGAATGCTCTCAGGTGGAAAAGGAGCCATGCTGAGGGAATTCTCTGAAAATATTGTAAGACAAATGAGCAACCTACTACCACCTGAGGCAAGAGATTCCAATTGAGATAAACAATAGACATGCCAAAAGCATGAGAAGAAAAGGAGAGTATTCTTCAGAAATAAGGGCATTGAAAAGCACCCATGTAAACAAGAAAATTTAGAAAACCATGCACATGACCAGGGCAGAACACACACTTAGAAAAGATCTGAGAACACTCTAGGCTTTCACCACTGACTCAGGTCTAGATTTAGCATAAGCAGGAAGTGAAGGCTAAGGCAGAGTTGTAAACACCCTGGCTGAGTTGGGAGCGTCCCAAAGGAGCAAAAGCTGCAAAGCATAGGAGGATTTCTTTATTTTCTTTTTTACATTTTCTTCCTTCTTTCCTTCTTTTGTTGTCTTTTTTGTTATTGTTGTTCCATTTTGTTTTTGGAGCCAGGCATTTAAGGAAAACTCTGTCAAAACACCAGCTGAATAGAAGCTAAAGAAACAGATTGGAGACTACACACAACAAAGAATACAGAAGTCGCAAAATAACTTAGAAAAGTGACTAAACAAGCAACCAACTAAAACCCACAAAAAACTGCAAAACCAAACCCTGACAAAGGGGAGAATCTGATTTCCAGAGGTACCACATTATATATTTAAAATGTCCAGTTTGCAACAAAAAATACAAAGTATGAAAAAAAAAGAAATATGCCCTAATCACAGAAATAATTAACAGAAACTGACCCTGTGAAGCAAAAACATTGGACTTACTAGAAAAAAACTTTAAATCAGCTCTCTTAAATATATTTAAAGAGCTAAAGAAAACCATTGAAAAAGAGTGTAACGAAACAAAAATAACGATGTCTCAGCAAGTAGAGAATATTAACAAAGAGATAAAAATTATAAAAGAAAGGTAGCAAAAGTATAAAAAATGGAGCTCAAAAGTATTATAACTGAAATGAAAAATCCACAAGTGTTTGCATAGCAGATTTGAACAGGCAGAAGAAAGAATCAGCATACTTGAGGATAGGTCGATTGAAATGATTTAGTCCAAGGTGCACAAAAAAGAAATAAATAGAGCCTCAAACAACTATGGGACAACATCAAGTGTACAATAATACAAATAATAGGAGTTCCAGAAGGAGAAAAGAAAGAGACAGAAAGAATATTTAAAGAAATAATGGTCACAAACTTCCCAATGTTGATAAAGACACAAATGCAGATATCCAAGAATCTGAACAAACTCAAAACAAGGATAACACAAAGAGTTCCATACCAAAACACATTGCAATTAAACTGTCAGAAGTAAAAGACAGAGACAAAATCTTGAAAGCAGCATGAGAAAAGCAAATTTACAGTTACAAGGAATCCTCAACAACATTAGCAGTCAGTTTCTCAGCAGAAACAATAAAGGCCAGAAAACAGGAATGACAGAGTTAAAATGCTGAAAGAAAATACTGTCATTTAAGTATTGTATATTCAGCAAAACCGTTTTTCAGAAATGAAGACAAAATTAAGATATTATTTGATGAACATAAGCTATGGGAGTTTGTCACCAGTAGCACTGCCCTATAATAAATGCTACAAAGGAGTTCTATTCTTCAGATGGAAATGAAATGACTCTAGACAGTAACTTGAAGCCATACAAAGAATTAATGTTACTGGTCAAGATAACCACATAGGTAAACTCAAAGATTAGTATTATTGTATTTTTGGTTTGGAACTCTTCTTTCTTTTCCTATATAATTTAATGCCACAGGTATAAAACAATAATTACAAATCCATGTCAATGCACACACACTGCATAATGTATTTTGTGAAAACAACACAAAGGGGGTGGTAGAGCTCTAGGGAGCAAAGTTTTTGTATACTATTGAAGATAAGGTGGTGTTAATTCATAATATATTTTTATTAGTTTAAGAGATTAATATTCCATGTGAATATAGATACAAAAATTTTCAAAAATATTGGCAAACTGAATACAGCAGCCCAGTAAAAGGATTATATGCCATAAGCATGATTCATCCCAGAAATGCAAGTTATTCAATATACAAGAATCACTCAATGTAATATAACACATTAATGAAATTTTTAAAAATTTACCACCTTAATTTATACAGGAAAAGCATTTGGCAAAATTGAACACCCTTTAATAATTAAAATAATTTAATTTAAAAATCAGAGATAAAATAGAACTTCCTCAACCTGATAAAGCACATTTATTTAAAAAAGAAAAAAAAAGCTAATATTATACTCAATAGTGAAAAACATAAAGCCTTTTCCCTGAAATCAGGAACAAGACATGGATGCTCACTTTTACCAATGCTATTCAATAATGCACTGAACATTTTAGCCAAAGACTACTAGACAAGAAAAAAGAAATAAAATCATTCAAATTGGGAAAAAAGAAGTAAAACTATTCCTTTGCATAGAAAAAATGGATATTTACAAAATACATACATAAAAAAATTCTAAAGAATCCACACAAAAAATTACGAGAGGTAATAAACAAATTTAGCAAAGTCGAAGGATACAAGATCAACACACAAAAATTAGTTGCATTTTTAAAAATGTTTTATTTTCAAGTGTAGGTATATAGTAGGTACATATATTTATGGGGTACATGAAATGTTTTAATACAGGCATGCAATGCATAATAATCACATCATGGAGAATGGGGTATCCATCTCCTCAACCATTTATCCTTTTTGTAATAAACAACCCAATCGTACTCATTTAGTTATTTTAAAGTGTAGTTATTATTTACTATAGTCACCCTGTTGTGCTATCAAATAGTAGGTCTTACCCATTCTTACTAGCTATTTTTTGGTACGCATTAACAATTTCCACCTCCTATCCACCCCCAATACCCTTCCCAGTTTCTGATAATCATTCTTCTACTGTCTGTGTCCATGAGTTCAATTGTTTTAACTTTTAGATCCTACAAATAAGTGAGAATACGTGATGTTTCTTCCTGCCTTTCTTATTTCATTTAACATAATGACCTCCAGTTCCATCTATGTTGTTGCAAATGACAGGATCACATTCTTTTTATGGCTGAATAGTACTCCATTGTGTATATGTACCACATTTTATTTATCTATTCATCTGTTGATGAACACTTGGATTGCTTCCAAATCTTGGATATTGTGGACAGTGCAGCAACAAACATAGGAGTGCAGATATCTCTTTGAATATACTGATTTCCTTTCTTTAGAGTATATACCCAGCAATAGGAAGATTGCTGGATCATGTGGTAGTGATATTTTTAGTGTTTTTGAGGAATCTTCAAACTATTTTCCATAGTGGTTATACTAATTCACATTCCCACTAACAGTGTATCAGGGTTCCCTTTTCTTCAGAATTTGTTATTGTCTGTCTTTTGGGTATAAGCCATTTTAACTGGGGTAAGATAATATCTCATTGTAGTTTTGACTTGCATTTATCTGATGATCAATGATGTTGAGCCCCTTTTCAAATGCCTGTTTGCCATTTGTTTGTCTGAGAAATGTCTACTCAGATCTTGTGCCCAGTTTTTGGCTGGATAATTATATTTTTCCTATAGAGTTGTTTGAGCTCCTTATACATTCTAGTTATTAATATCTTGTCAGATAAGTAGTTTGCAAATATTTTCTACGATTATGTGGGTTGTCTCCTTCCTTTGTTGACTGTATCCTTTGCTGTGCAGAAGCTTTTTCTTGATGCGAGCCCATTTGTCCTTTTTTGCTTTAGTTGCTTATGCTTGTGGGGTATTACTCAATAAATTTTTTGCCCAGGCCAATGTCTTGCATAGAGAGTTCCTCCAATGTTTTCTTGTAGTCATTTCGTAGCCTGAGGTCTTAGATTTAAATCTTTAATCTATTTTGATTGAATTTTTGTAAATGGCAAGAGATAGGGTCTAGTTTCATTCTTCTGCATGTGAATATCCAGTTTTCCCAGCAGCATGTATTGAAGACTGTCTTTTCCCCAGTGCATGTTCTTGGCACCTTTGTCAAAAATGAATTCACTGTAGGTGTGTAGATTTGTTTCTGGGTTCTTTATTCTGTTCCATTGGTCTATGTGTCTGTATTTATGCCAGCATCATGCTTATTTGGTTACTATAGCTCTGTAGTATAATTTGAAGTCAGTTAATGTGATTCCTCTAGTTTTGCTCTTTTTGCTTAGAATAGTTTTGGTTATTCTAGGTCTTTTGTGGTTCCATATAAATTTTAGGTTTGTCTTTTCTATTTCCATGAAGAACGCTATAGGTATTTTTATAAGGATTGTGTTGAATCTGTAGATTGATTTGGGTAGTATGGACATTTTAGCAATACAGATTTTTCCAATCCATGAACATATGTCCTCTTCAATTTCTTTCACTAGTGTTTTATAATTTTTATTATAGAGATCCTTCACTGCTTTGGTTAAGTTAATTACTAAGTATTTAATTTTATTTGTGGCTATTGTAAATGGGATTATTTTATTGATTTCTTTTTCAGATGGTTCATTGTTGGCGTATAGAAATGCTACTGATTTTTGTATGTTAATTTTGCATCTTGCAACTTTACTAAATTTGTTTATCAGTTCTAATAGTTTTCCTGTGGAATCCTTAGGTTTTTCCAAATATAAGATCATATCATCTGTCAAAAAGGATAATTTGACTTCTTTCTTTCCAATTTGGATGCCCTTTACTTGTTTCTCTTCTGATTGCTTTACTAGAATTTTCAGCACTATGTTGAATTACCGTGGTGAAAGTGGGCATCCTTGTTGTATTCCAGATCTTAAAAGAAAGATTTTCAGTTTTACCCCATTCAGTATGATACTAGCTCTGAGTCTGCAGTATATTACTTTTATTAAGTTAAAGTATGTTCCTTCTATACCCAGTTTCTTGAGGGTTTTTATCATGAAGGGATGTTGAATTTTATCAAATGTTTTTTCAGCATAAATTGAAATGATCATATGGTTTTTGTCCTTCATTCTGTTGAGCAGTGTATCACATTGATTGATTTGCACATGCTAAACCATCTGAATCCCAGGGATAAATCCCACTTGGTCATGATGAGTGATCTTTTTAATGTATTGTTGCATTGGGTTTGCAAGCATTTTTTTGAGAATGTTTAAATTTTTGTTGGAGATTATTGCATCCATATTTATCAGAGGTATTGGCCTGTAGATTTCTTTTTTTGATGTGTCTTTGGTTTTTGGTATCAGGGTAAAACTGGCCTCAAAGAATGAGTTTAAATGCATTCCTTCCTCCCTATTTTTCAAAATAGTTTGAGTAGGATTGGTATTAGAACTTCTTTAAATGTTTGGTAGAATTCAGCAGTAAAGCCATCAGGTCCCAGGCTTTTCTTTATTTGGAGACGTTATTATGGCTTTGATCTTGTTATTTGTTACTGGTCTGTTTGGGTTTTGAATTTCTTCCTGATTCAATCTTGGTAGGTTGCACGTGTCTAAAATTTGTCCATTTCATTTGGATTTTCCAATTTATTGGCATATAGTTGCTCATTGTAACCACTAATGATCCTTTGAATTTCTGCAGTATTAGTTGTAATATCTCCTTTTTCATCTCTTATTTTATTTATTTGGGTCTTCTCTCTTTTTTTCCTAGTCTGGCTAAAAGTTTGTCAATTTTGTTTAACTTTTTAAAAACCAACTTTTTCTTTCATTTATCTTTCATATTGTTTTCTATATTTCCAATTCATTTATTTCTGCTCTCATCTTTATTATTTCTTTTCTTCTACTAATTTTTGGTTTGGTTTGCTCTTGCTGTTTTAGTTGTTTAAGGTGCATCTTTAGGTTATTTGAAGTGTTTCTATTTTTTTGATATAGGTGCTTATAGCTATAAACTTTCCTCTTTACAGTGCTTTTGTTGTTCCCATAGGTTTTGGTATGTTGTGTTTCCATTATCATTTGTTTCAAGAAATTTTTCAATTTCCTTCTTAATTTCTTCATTGTCTTCCAGGTACAGGTCTTTCAGGAGCATATTGTTTAATTTCCATGTATTCGTACAGTTTCCAAAATTTCTCTTGTTATTGATTTCTAGTTTTATTCTATTGTAGTCAGGAAAGATGCTTGATATTACTTCAATTTTTTTGAATTTTTTAAGACTTGTTTTGTGACCTAATATATGGTCTATCCTTGAGAATGATCCATGTGCTGAGGAAAAGAATGTGTATTCTGTAGCCATTGGATGAAATGTTCTCTAAATATTGATTAGATCCATTTGGTCTATATTGCAGATTAAATCCAATGTTTCTTTGCTGATTTTCTGTCTGGAAGATCTGTCCAATGCTGAAAGTGGGGTGTTGAAGTCTCCAGCTATTATTGTGTTGGGCCTATCATTTTCATTAGCTCTAATAATATTTGCTTTATATATCTGGGTGCCTCAATGTTGGGTGCATATATATTTAAAATCGTCTTGCTGAATTGACGCCTTTATCATCATACAGTGACCTTCTTTGTTTTCTTTGTTTTCTTATAGTTTTTTTCTTGAAATCTATTTTGTCTGATTTAAGTATAGCTACTTCTGTTCTTTTTTGCTTTCCATTTGCATGGAATATCTTTTTACATTTCTTTCTTTTTAGTTTGCGTATGTCTTTATAGATGAAGTGCATTTCTTGAAGCAATAGATCATAGAGTCTTATTTTTTAAGTTCTTTCAGCTACTCAATGTCTTTTGGTTGGAGTGTTTTCTCCATTACATTCAACATTATTATTGATAAGTGAGGACTTAATCCTGCCATTTTGTTATTTGTTTTCTGGTTGTGTGGTGTTCTTCTCCTTCTTTTATCTTTCCTTCCTGTCTTCTTTTAGTGAAAATGATTTTCTCTGGTGATATGATTTAGTTTCTTGATTTTTATTTTTTGTGTCTTTATTGTATGTTTTTTGATCTGAGGTTACCATGAGGCTTACAAACAGGTAGATCACTTGAGGTCAGGAGTTCGAGACCAGCCTGGCCAAAATGGCAAAACCCCATCTCTATTAAAAATAAGTTTAAAAAAATAGCTGGGCATGGTTGTGCATGCCTGTAATCCTAGCTACTAGGGAGGTTGAGGCAGGAGAATCCCCTGAAGTCAGGAGGCAGAGGTTGCAGTGAGCCGAGATTGCGCCACTGCAGCCTGGGTGACACAGTGAGACTCTGTCTCAAAATAAAATAAAATTAAATTAAAATTAAAAAATTATTTAGCCTAGTAACAACTTAAAATTTTTCACATAAACAAACAAATGAAAAGAAAACTAATAAAAACTCTAAGCCTTAACTTCGTCCCACAGCTTTTAAACTTTTTGTTGTTTCTATTTATATCTTAAGGTACTGACTATGTCTTGAATAGTTGTAGTTATCATTTTTGATTGGTTCATTAATCTTTCTACTTAGAATAAGAGTAGTTTACACATCACAGTTACAATGTTATAATATTCCTTGTTTTTCTATGTATTTACTACTACCAGCAAGTTTTGTACCTTCAGGTGATTATTTATTACTCATTAACATAATTTTATTTCTGATTGATGTACTTCCTTTCACATCTCTTGTAGGACAGGGCTAGTATTGATGAAGTCCCTTAGCTTTTGTTTGTCTGGGAAAGTCTTTATTTCTCCTTCATGTTTGAAGGGTATTTTAATAGAATATACTACTCTAGGGTAAAAGTTTTTTTTTCCCCTTCCACATTTTATATATGTCATGTCAATCTCTCCTCTACTGTAAGGTTTCCACTGAAAAGTCTGCTGCCAGGTGTTTTGGGGCTCCATTGTATGCTATTTGTTTTATTTTCTCTTGCTGCTTTTAGGATCCTTTCCTTACTCTTGACCTTTGAGAATGTGATTAATAAATGTCTTGAGGTAGTCTTCTTTGGGTTAAATCTGCTTGGTATTCTATAGCCTTCTTGTACTTGAATGTTGATATCTTTCACTTGGTTTGAGAAGTTCTCTGATACTATCCCTTTGAATAAACTTTCTACCCATATCTCTTTCTGTATATACTCTTTAAGGCCAATAAATCTTAGATTTTCCCCATTGAAGCTATTTTCTACATTCTGTAAGCATGCTTTATTGTTTTTTATTATTTTTTCTTTTGTCTCCTCTGACTGTGTATTTTCAAATAGCTCGTCTTCAAGCTTACTAATTCTTTCTTCCACTTGATCAATTCAACAATTAAAAGGCTATGATACATTCTTCAGTGTACCAGTTGCATTTTTCAGCTGCAGAATTTCCTTGTGCAAGGGAAGCAGGGATCGGTGGAGCCCTCTATTCTGCCATCTTGCTCCACCTCTCCCTCCTGTTTTTTACCTTCTTCCCTTAGTTGCTTCCCAGCATGAGTGGAAATTCCCTAAAGCCCTCACCAGAAGCAAATGCTAGTAACATGCTTCTTGTACAGCCTGCAAAACTGTGACCCAAATAAACTTCTATTCTTTATAAATCACCCAGCCTCAGGTAGTCCATTATAGCAATGCAAATGGACTAAAATACCATTCAATGAAGAAACAATAGTCTTTTTATAAATGGTGCTTAGACAACTGAATATTCATACGCAAAAGATGAAGTTGGATCTTTACCTCATAGTGTATACAACAATTCACTCAAAATGGATCAATGACGTAAGTGTAATGCCTAAAACTATGAAACAGAAGAAAACATAGGGATAAATCTTCATAACCTTGAATTTGGCAATGGGTTCTTAGATATGACACCAGTGGCATAAACAACAAAAGAAAAAATGGGTAAGTTGAACTTTATTAAAATTGTAAATAAACTTTTGTGCATCAATATACATTATCAAGAATGTGAACAACCTATAGAATAATAGGAAATATTCACAAATTACATACCTGATGAGCATCTACTATTCAGAACTCTTATAGCTAAATAACTCATAACTCAATAACAAAAAAAAACAATTAAAAAGCAAACAAAGGACCTAAATATATGTTTCTTCAAAGAAGATATACAAATGGCCAACAAGTACATGAAAAGATGCTCAACACAATTAGCCATTAGTGAAATGCAAAATATAAACCATAAGATACCACTTCACACCCAGGAGGATGGTGTTTTAAAAATGGAAAATAACAAGTATTGGTGAGAATGTGAAGAAATTGAAACATTCCCGCACTGGTGGCAGGAAAGTAAAATGTTGCAGCCACTGTAGAAGACTGTCTGGCAGTTTCTCAAAAAATGAAACATAGTATTACCAAATTACCCAGCAATTCCCCCACTAGGTATATACCCCAAATTATTAAAAACAGAGACTTAAACAAATACAGGTAGATGCATATTCATAGCAGTACCATTCATAACAGTCAATTTCTTCCTTCCTGCCTGCCCCATCCCCTCCACACACACTCCATCCAGACACTGAAAACAACTCAAATGTTCATCAATGGATATATTGGTAAATAATATGTGATTTAGACATATAATGAAATAATATTTAGTCATAAAAAGGAATGAAGTACAGATACATGCTGTAATGTGGAGGAACCTCAAAAACATTAGGCTATATGAAAAAAGTCAGATGCAAAAGGTCATCTGTTGCAAGATTTATTTATATGAAATATCCAGAAGAGGTAATTCTATGCAGACAGAAAACATAATGCTGGTTGCCAGGTGATATGGTCTGGCTCTGTGTCCTCACTTAAATATCATCTTGAATTGTAATCTGAATTGTAATCCCCACGTGTTGGAGGAGGGACCTTGTGGGAGGTGATTAGATCATGGAGGCAGTTCCCCTATGTTGTTCTCATGATACTGAGTGAGTTCTCAATAGATCTGTTGGTTTTATAAGGGGCTTTTCCCCCTTTGCTTGGCACTCATTCTCTCTCTTGCCGCCCTGTGAAGAAGTGCTTTCTGCCATGATTGTAAGTTTCCTGATACCTCCCCAGCCATACAGAACTGTGAGTCAATTAAACCTCTTTTCTTTATAAACTACCCAGTCTTGGGTATTTCTTCATAGCTGCATGAGAATGGACTAATACAGTAAATTGGTACCGCAGAGAGTGGGGTGCTGCTATAAACATATCTGAAAATGTGGAAAGACTTGGATGTCAAGGCAGAAGTTTGCTGCAGGGGTGGAGCCATCTTGGAGAACCTCTGCGAGGGCAGTGCAGAAGGAAAATGTGGGGTTAGAGCCCCCACACAGGGTCCCCACTGGGGCACTACCTAGTGGAGCTGTGAGAAGAGGGCCACTGTCCTCTAGACCCCAGAATGGTAGATCCACCAACAGCTTGCACTGTGTGCCTGGAAAAGCTGCAGACACTCAACACTAGCCTGTGAAAGCAGCCAGGAGGGGGCCTGTACCCTGGAAAGTCATAGGGGCAGAGCTGCCCAAGTCCCTGGGAGCCCACCTCTTGCATCAGCGTGACCTGGATGTGAGGCATGCAGACAAAAGAAATTATTTTGGAGCTTTAAGATTTAATTACTGCCTTGTATGATTTTGGAATTGCATGGGGCCTGTAGTCCCTTTGTTTTGGCCAATTTATCCCATTTGGAATAGGTGTATTTACCCAATGCCTGTATATCATTCATTTTATCTAGGAAATAACTACCTTGCTTTTTATTTTACAGGCTCATAGGTAGAAGGGACTTGCCTTGTCTCAGATAAGACTATGGAGTTTTACTTTTGGGTTAATGCTGAAAGGAATTAAGACTTTGGGCAACTGTTGGGAAGGCATAATCGTGTTTTAGAATGTGAGAAAGATGAGATTTGGCCAAAGCCAGAGGCAGAATAACATGGTCTGGCTCTGCGTCCCCACCCAAGTCTCATCTTGAATTGTAATCTGAATTGTAATTGCCACATGTTGGGGGGAGGGACCTTGCAGAAGGTGATTAAATCATGGGGGTGGTTCCCTCATGCTGTTCTCATGACAGTGAGTGAGTCTTCATGAGATCTGATGGTTCTATAAAGGGCTTTTCCCTCCTTTGCTCTGCATTTCTCTCCCCTGCTGCCATGTGAAGAAAGATATGATTGCTTCCCCTTCTGCCATGATTGTAAGTTTCCTGAGGCCTCCCCAGCCATGCGGAACTGTGAGTCAATTAAACCTCTTTCCTTTATAAATTACCCAGTCTCGGGTATGTCCTTTTGCAGTGTGAGAACAGACTAATACACCAGGGAAGAGGGGGTGGCGGGAAACAATGGGGAATGAATGCTTAATGAATGTGGTACTTTCTTTTGAGATGACAAAAATGTTTTAGAAGTTGCTATAGGTAGTAGCTGTGAATGTATTAAATGAAATTGAAATGTACAGTATAAAACTGTTAATTTTATGTAATTTGAATTTCACTCTTATAAAAAAAGTGAAGAAAAAAGCTTTAGGTCACAATCCATGCAATAACCGTCAGTAGGTTGGATTTGGCCCATGAGCTGCAGTTTGCTGATTACTGTTTTAAGAGGACACTACAATATAACAAACAAGAATGACATTGTAATTGTCTATGATGTGGTTATAAATTTCATAAGCTCTTTGAAGACAGGATTCAAACCTCTCTTTTTACTATAAATTCATTATTCTTGGAGCAATCAACTGCTCAATAAATATTTGTTCAGATGAATTAGTATTTTTTTTAATTGGGAGACTGGATAGGTCTTAATTACCCTTTATCACCATTAGGAATTTAGAAAGTAACGTGAAGTTTTTGAAGAGTGAAATAATGAATTATTTGGGAAATGTTAAGCCTGTGAAAAGTCCAGGTGTGTGGGTTTGAGGGGGTGCGTTAGGGGATGGGTGCATGTGTGTGGCAAATGTGGGTCTGCAGCTTAGAGGTGAGGTCATAGCTGGACATACGGACATAGGGATTTGGTTAACATATATGAAATGAATCAGTGCTCTCTAAAGTCATGGTCTCCAACTTCAGTGGTCCCTCATCACTGATCAACAATCTTTTTGTTTGGCCCCAGTTAGTCTCCTATAATACTAATAAATAAAATTCATCAGTGTCTCTGGAATCCTTATTCCATAACATTATTTCAATCTCAGTTGACTTTTCCGCCCACCATATAAAGACTATCGGAGAGGATCCTATTCAATATTTCTCACCCATCTACAAATCCATCCTTATTTTCCATTTTAATTTTTCTCGGAGGTATAGTGCCCCACTCTTCTCCTAAGGTGAATTATTCCTCTATATCTTAGGTTCCATTCCCTCTTTTCTCCCAAAAGTCCCAAGTGCACGAATTATACCTTCTCTACTCGTCCCTCTTCAGCATATTAACAGATTCAAGTCCCTCTTATCTATAACACATTCTCTCTCTCTATCACTTGCTCTCTTTCTCTCTTACTCTTTCTCTGTCTCTTTCTCTTTCTCTCTCTCTCTCCCACTTTCACTCTCTTCCCCATCCCTCCCTCCCTTCCTCTCTACTTCTCTCTCTGTTGTTAGACACACACACATACACACACACACAATCCAGAATAAACTCCACCCACTCTTATTTAATGAAGAGCTAAAGAAAATTTCTGAATTAAAGCAACACTTAGTACACCACAACAGCTGGGTACAAGAAAAGCAGGAGATACTACTCTGAAGTCAGGGATGGCAAATATAAGGTGCTATTGCTCAATCTGATCAATTAATATCCAGCACTAGTTTGAAAATTCTATGAGGTCAATGATTGTGTTTGATCACATCCTTAATTCCTAAAAGAATGTCTGGGAAGAGTTGGGGAAGGCGGAAATACCACTGAGATAAACAGGCACTTGAAAGGGAGAATTCATCCCTGGGATGCAAGGCTGGTTCAACATACGCAAATCAATAAATGTAATCCAACATATAAACAGAACCAAAGACAAAAAACACATGATTATCTCAATAGATACAGAAAAGGCCTTTGACAAAATTCAACAACGCTTCATGCTAAAAACTCTCAATAAATTAGGTATCGATGGGAGGTATCTCAAAATAATAAGAGCTATCTGTGACAAACCCACAGCCAATATCATACTGAATGGGCAAAAACTGGAAGCATTCCCTTTGAAAACTGGCACAAGATAGGGATGCCCTCTCTCACCACTCCTATTCAACATAGTGTTGGAAGTTCTGGCCAGGGCAATCAGGCAGGAGAAGGAAATAAAGGGTATTCAATTACGAAAAGAGGAAGTCAAATTGTCCCTGTTTGCAGATGACATGATTGTATACCTAGAAAACCCCATTGTCTCAGCCCAAAATCTCCTCAAGCTGATAAGCAACTTCAGCAAAATCTCAGGATACAAAATCAATGTACAAACATCACAAGCATTCTTATACACCAATAACAAACAGAGAGCCAAATCATGAGTGAACTCCCATTCACAATTGCTTCAAAGAGAATAAAATACCTAGGAATCCAACTTACAAGGGATGTGAAGGACCTCTTCAAGGAGAACTACAAACCACTGCTCAGTGAAATAAAAGAGGATACAAACAAATGGAAGAACATTCCATGCTCGTGGGTAGGAAGAATCAATATCATGAAAATGGCTATACTGCCCAAGGTAATTTATAGATTCAACGCCATCCCCATCAAGCTACCAATAACTTTCTTCACAGAATTGGAAAAAACTACTTTAAAGTTCATATGGAACCAAAAAAGAGCCCACATCGCCAACTCAATCCTAAGCCAAAAGAACAAAGCTGGAGGCATCACGCTACCTGACTTCAAACTACACTACAAGGCTACAGTAAACAAAACAGCATGGTACTGGTACAAAAACAGAGATATAAACCAATGGAACAGAACAGAGCTCTCAGAAATAATCCGGCATATCTAAAACTATCTGATCTTTGACAAACCTGACAAAAACAAGCAATGGGGAAAAGATTCCCTATTTAATAAATGGTGCTGGGAAAACTGGCTAGCCATATGTAGAAAGCTGAAACTGGATCCCTTCCTTACATCTTATACAAAAATTAATTCAAGATGGATTAAAGACTTAAATGTTAGACCTAAAACCATAAAAACCCTAGAAGAAAACCTAGGCAATACCATTCAGGACATAGGCATGGGCAAGGACTTCATGTCTAAAAATACCAAAAGCAATGGCAACAAAAGCCAAAATTGAAAAATGGGATCTAATTAAACTAAAGAGCTTCAGCACAGCAAAAGAAACTACCATCAGAGTGAACAGGCAATCTACAGAATGGGAGAAAATTTTTGCAACCTACTCATCTGACAAAGGGCTAATATCCAGAATCTACAATGAACTCAAACAAATTTACAAGAAAAAAACAAACAACCCCATCAAAAAGTGGGCAAAGGATATGAACAGACACTTCTCAAAAGAAGACATTTATGCAGCCAAAAAACACATGGAAAAATGCTCGTCATCACTGGCCATCAGAGAAGTGCAAATCAAAACCACAGTGAGATACCATCTCACACCAGTTAGAATGGCAATCATTAAGAAGTCAGGAAACAACAGGTGCTGGAGAGGATGTGGAGAAATAGGAACACTTTTACACTGTTGGTGGTACTGTAAACTAGTTCAACCCTTGTGGAAGTCAGTGTGGTGATTCCTCAGGGATCTAGAACTAGAAATACCATTTGACCCAGCCATCCCATTACTGGATATATACCCAAAGGATTATAAATCATGCTGCTATAAAGACACATGCACATGTATGTTTATAGAGGGACTATTCACAATAGCAAAGACTTGGAACCAACCCAAATGTCCAACAGTGATAGACTGGATTAAGAAAATGTGGCACATATACATCATGGAATACTATGCAGCCATAAAAAATGATGAGTTCATGTCCTTTGTAGGGACATGGATGAAGCTGGAAACCATCATTCTCAGCAAAGTATCACAAGGACAAAAAACCAAATACCGCATGTTCTCACTCATAGGTGGGAATTGAACAATGAGAACACATGGACACAGGAAGGGGAACATCACACACTGGGACCTGTTGTGGGGTGGGGGGAGGGGGGAGGGATAGCATTAGGCGATATACCTAATGCTAAGTGACAAGTTAATGGGTGCAGCACACCAACATGGCACATGTATACATATGTAACAAACCTGCACATTGTGCACATGTACCCTAAAACTTACACTATAATAATAATAAAATAAAATAAAAATAGGGAGCCAAAACGCAATGAAGATCACCTTTGAAGCACAAAATGAAACAATAAAACACTGTCAACTTAAAATTCTACACCAAGGGAAAATATCCTTTAAAATAACAGCAAAATAAAGGCTTTTTTCACACAAGCAAAAGCTGAGAGAATTCACCTCAGCAAACCTGCACTACAAGTAATGTTGAAAATTCTTCAGGTAGAAGAAATGAGACTAGATAGAAATTTGGATCTACATGAAGGAAGGAAAGATGCCAGCAATGGCAAAAATAAGTACAAATGTAAAAGGAATTTTATCCTTATTTTAACATCTTTAAAAGATAATTGTCTAAAATAAAAATAAGAATGATGTATTGGGTGGTTTAAAACAAATGTAGAAGGAAAATGTACGGCAGCAGTACAAAAGATGGAAGGGAGAAAATGGAAATACGCTGACGTATATTCTTATAAGGTTCTCGTACTCTGTGAAGTGTTACAATATTATTTGAAGACAGGCTGTTAAAGATGTCTATTATAAACTTTAGAACAATCATTTAAAAATTTTAAAAGTGGAATAACTAACACGCCAAAAGTGAGCATAAAATGGAATCATAAAAAATACTCAATTAACCTGAAAGAAGGCAGAAGAAAGCAGATTGTTCAACATTAAGAACAGTTGAGCTCCAAATGCGCTGAAAATGTTCATTTTTAAAATAGAGCCACATTTCCTAGAAATAATGACTTGGTGAGGAAAAGATCAGAAAAGATAGTATAACAAATGTTTTGGGTAGTAAATAAATACTTCCATGGGTATGTTAGTCATCCAATAACCCTGACCTTATTAGAGGACATAATTACAGTAGCAAAAGCTTGCTCCAATACTGCGTGAGACCAAATATACTTTTTTTTAACTTTCTATTCTTTCAGTTTTCATTGAGAGGAGAACAAAACAGTTCGTAAATGTCACTGAGAAATAGGATGCTATATACAGGGTTCAGATATAATGAATCACTAGTTAGAAAGAATATGAGGCTAAAATCATCACTCATAAACTAAACAGCTCAAAAGCCAGGGAAAGGCAGAGATAAAGAAATGCTTTTAGAGAAGCAGAGAATGCAAAAAATAGAATTCAAATCAAGTTTCTTGGTAGAAAAGAAACCAACCACCCATGGAAAAAAAAAAACACACACACACACACAAAATTTAGAGCTAACAGGACAACCCTCTTGTCTGCATGTTATATCTCTTCTAAATCCTATCAAAGTTTGTCTATTTACTTTTCCAAGAAAGAAAGTATATACGTATATAATAGTTGAATGAGTAAGCACTGTGGGTTCTGACAGATCTGCTTTCAAATCTTAGCCCTTCTGCTTACCTACTTGTTAACCTTGAAAACGTTACTCATGTCTTCTCAACCTTCATCTCTTTAATATTAAGATACAAACAATGCCTTCATGGAATACTTTTCAAGATTCATGAGATTGTGAATGAACAGTGCCAAAGACTGCCTATCACACATAAGACACCACATATGTAACCATTGTTATTTGAGAAAGCAGTCTAAAGTCGCATTGTTATTCTCATTGTTGTATTTACAGAAAAAAATTGGGTTGAAGCATCTTTTTAAATATAAATTATCATATATAAGATATCTAAATTGCAGAATATGTGCTACCAATAACATAGTCCTGAAAAGCATCTATTTGAATGGTAACCAATCCTTTCACCACCAAGATGTCTTTTATAGTACCTTCATGGATGCAAAGAATTGCACCACTTCATTTAAAACAATGCAAAAATATCCTGTTAAATTAACATCATCTAGACAAAAGCAAAGAACCCTAATGGTTTAGTTAGCCTAAGTGGTGGCCTTTCCTTCGGGAAACAAAACTTCCATTAGATTTCTTTTCTTTTTTTTTGAGACAGAATTTCACTCTTGTCACCCAGGCTGGAGTGAAATGGTGCAATCTCGGCTCACTGCAACCTTCACCTCCCAGGTTCAAGCGATCCTCCTGCCTCAGCCTCCGAGTAGCTGGGATTACAGGCACCTGCCACCACGTCCAGCTAATCTTTGGTATTTTTAGTAGAGACGAGGTTCTACCATGTTGGCCAGGCTGGTCTCAAATTCCTGACCTCAGGTGATCCACCCGCCTCGGCCTCCCAAAGTGCTGGGATTACAGGCATGAGCCACCACGCCCAGCCAGACTTCTTTTAAAATACAAATTTTTCTGATAGACCATGAAATGATATTTAAGAAGACTCTAATGCTCCCAGCATCCCTGATCAGGAACCACTACTCTAATATACTCTAAGAAGCATGCCTGGCAAAATCAAATCATTTTAATGCTAACCAAGTGATAAGATAATCCTAGAAAACCAAATTACCTACATCACTTTTTCTTCTCAGATATTACTTTTGAGGTATTCTATTAAAAATCACATGAAAATTCCAAATATAAAAATGCCAGAAAAGTGTAAGAACAACATAAAGCAACATCACCATAAATGACAAATATTTTCTTAGACACATAGGAACTAAAGCGACACTTAGCAGTGGATCCTGGTCAAAGGGCATCAGTCAGAGATTACTTGAGAGAGGAGGCAATTTTTGAGTTTGTTTTAAAAGGGGAGAAAGAAACATGAGTTAGTCAAAAGATACACGTTTTTTCAGGGAGAACGGCTTTCCAGATAGGACATATTATATTTGAGAGCTAAAAGTCATTATAGGAATGGGAAACAAGATTAGCTTGGAAGAAAAGGAGGACTTATATTTCGGGATAAAGTCAAGTGTTGATGTGACTGGGAAAGGTAATCTGTACTATCTACTGTCTCCAACAAAGTTTATATCTAAATTAGCATGATCTTGTTTTGCTTGTAGTTAATTTGTTTTTAGGATTTCCAAGTCAGAAATTTTACCAAGTTCTGATAGTCTGCTCCAGGGTGCATAAAACAAGGGAGTACAAGTCTATAAGATAAAGAGGAATTGCAACTGGCTATTTTCCTCTCTGTATGTAGTTTTGTTCTATTTTGTTTTTGCCAATTACAGATTTCAACATAGAAACAGTCTGCTAAGGAAAATAGCTTCTGGATATATGTTGTTCTTCTGACTGGTTGCTAAGTATTTTCAGTTCTTAATTTGGGGTCAGGTCCTTATTGTAATTATATATTTCACTTTGAAGCTTAAAAATAAAAGGGTGGCTGTGTGCTCATATATCTGTCCTGCATACATGTTATTTTTTTAATGTGTTATTTTTAAAGCATTCAAATAGCTTTGAAAACTTATTTGCTAAGTGTCTCTGTTTCAACAGGAAGAGCTCAAATTTTGTCTGAGACATAATAAGACATAATACTAGGAAGTCCAGGAGTCAGTCCATTGAATGACTCAAAGCAAAATGCCCCTCATTCATTCATTCATTAAAGAAATATTTTTTAAACACTGACTTTTATATATATTCCAAACATTTTGCAATAATCAATGACTATTAATATGGTTTGGCTGTGTTCCCACCCAAATGTCATCTTGAATTTCCATATGTTGTGGGAGGGACCCGGTGGGAGGTAATTGAATAATGGGGGCAGGTCTTTCCCATGCTGTTCTCATGGTAGTGAATAAGTCCCATGAGATCTGAAGGTTTTGAAAAGAGGCGTTCCCCTGCACAAGCTCTCTCTCTTTGCCTGATGCCATCTATGTAAGATGTGACTTGCTCCTTCTTGCCTTCTGCCATGATTGTGAGGCTTCCCCAGCCACGTGGAACTGTAAGTCCAATTAAACCTCTTTCCTTTCTAAATTGCCCAGTCTTAGGTATGTCTTTATCAGCAGCATGAAAACAGACTAATACAGAAAATTGGTAACAATAGAGTGGGGCATTGCAGAAAAGATACCTGAAAATGTGGAAGCGACTTTGGAACTGGATAACAGGCAGAGGTTGGAACAGTTTAGAAGGCTCAGAAGAAGATACGAAAATGTGGGAAAGTTTGGAACTTCCTAGAGACTTGTTGAATGGCTTTGACAAAAATGCTTATAGTGTTATGTATAATAAGGTTCAGGCTGAGGTGGTCTCAGATGGAGATGAGAAACTTGTTGGGAACCAGAGCAAAAGTGACTCTTGTTATGTTTTAGCAAAGAGACTGGCAGCATTTTGCCCCTGCTCTAGAGATTTGTGGAACTTTGAACTTGAGAGAGATGATTTAGGGTATCTGGTGGAAGAAATCTCTAAGCAGTGAAGCATTCAAGAGGTGACTTGGGTGCTGTTAAAGGCATTCAGTTTTAAAAGGGAAGCAGAGCATAAAAATTTGGAAAATTTGTAGCCTGAAAGTGCAATAGAAAAGAAAATCCCATTTTCTGAGGAGAAATTCAAGCCAGCTGCAGAAATTTGCATAAGTAACAAGGAGCTGAATGTTAATCCCCAAGACTGTGGGGAAAATATCTCCAGGGTATGTCAGAGGTCTTCACAACAGCCCCTCCCATCACAGACCCAAAGGCCTAGGAGGAAAAAATGGTTTCGTGGGCCAGGACCAGGGTTCCTGTGCCGCGTGTCCATTTAAATAATGTGCTGCCCTTTAATATGTTTTCTATTTTAGATATTGAGTTTCTAACTAATAATAAATTAATTCATAAGTACCTACAATATATGCTTATATAAAAGCATACACTCCAACACAGATATGACAACCATGTACTTGACATAAAAACAACACAATAAACAGACCTATATGACTGGGTTATTGCAGAATTCATTGAGTTACAAAGATGAAATTTTTTTTAATAAAGCTATACCAAATCTCTTTTGTTGAACTTCCTTTTCCTTCTGAGGAACTATCCTCTCACTATCCTATCTAGATTATATATCTTTTTAGCTGCCTTGAGTTATTAAAACAGTCTGATTTCGATTTTTTAAACTTGGTTGTGTTCATTTTAAAATTTAATTCTGCATTTGAATCAAAGACCTTCTTACAACCTTATCCTAACCCAAGCTAGGGCTGTGGCTCTATTGGCAGAAATATTTATTTTTCACACACCTTTTTCTTCTCTTTGCCTCTTCCCTGTGCTGATTCTGTCATTATTGAGCATACCTGAACCATATGAGGAATGGAAGAAAATATAATATGATCACTGCTTAGGGCTTGAGTCTAAGTTGCATACCCCAATTCTATTTTACCAAAGGGTTATTGGAAGTATGCACAGTAACTGTTTATGCGGTTCTTGGATCCCCATTCTGCTATTGTTTCTTAGATATGTGATTTGTGTAGAAACCCTTAAGGAGGGGAGAAGGACAGAAGAGATCATCTGGATACTCCTAAGTCCCAATCTGAAACACTTCCAAATAGCACCCAAATGTATCACCATTAACCTCTAACAACTGTGCCCCACAAAACTATTCAGAACTGTTGGGCACACAAGTCAATGAAATAATCCCAAATAATAAGCATATATTCCAAGAGAGAAGAGAAAAATTAGATAATGTGACTAGTAGTTTCTATGAGCTCACTTGATCACTTGTGTCTATGCTACCAAAGGATTCAAGAAATCTAAGAGGTAGATGTGAGTGGATACCATTCAGGAAATGAAATGCCAATCTTCTTCTTGCTGTGGGCTTGAGGAGAGAGAGAGGAGAGAACACACTTTGTTCACAATCACAGCATTTCTCCAAATCCCGCTCCCTCTCCCTTGTAATGACTATGAATAAGTGGGCAGGGGTGTGGTGTCAGAGCCTCATCTTGGAACTGGCACATCTCAGTGAGCCCTAAAGAACGACGGCTGGCCCCAACTGCTGGTGGGTCTTGGAATGTAATAGAAGGAATACATTTTAGTTTTATTTTAAACTTTTGGTCATAGCCATTAACTGGGGGCAACAGGGAAGAATGTTACTTTATATCTTGTCACGTATTAGCTAAAAGAATCTCAGCTGTTTTCAGGTAGCTAAGATTCCTTGATGAGAGGGAAGGTAGAACTTTTTGCTAGCCCTAGAAAATGACCCATGAATAATATAAACCAGTCACAGAAATCCCATGTTCCTATTCTCCTTCATTACAAACTCTCCTTCCCATATTCCTTGGAGCTAGAGATAGCCATGTGACAACAGCTACATTCAATGAGACCTAAAGGAAAGTCTGTTTGGAAACTTTTGGAAAAAATTTTGTTTCAAGATACAAATATCTTGCAAGAAGAAAGTTTTGTGCCCCTGCCCCTTTCTTTCTACTTGAGATACTAGTGTGTAGTTTTGCTGCCTAGAGCTGCTGTAGCTGTCCTGAGGCCACGAAGGGAAAGTCAACGAAAATGTGCAGGTGCAAACAAAGTGAAATGTACGAACCAGCTGCTACAGCAAACCTGCAGCCACTTTCTTCCAGACTTCTTGCCTTTATTATTTAAGCCAAAATTCATCAGAAATTCTGTTAATTGCATGTAAAATCCTTCCTAACCAAGATAACTCATGCTTTAAAAAATTCAGTTAAAGTATTAATAGCCATGCATTTTTTATTTAAAAATTATATTTACCTCTGAATAACTTCCTTCGAGATATCAGGACATGCAAATACACTCTGTATTGACGATAATCTCTCTACCATTGTGAGAGGCTAAATATTGTTTTCTGTAATAATTATTGATTGGTCTTATTGTCTTTAATAGTTGTGACTTCAAGGGATTGGGAATAAACAACTTTTTTTAAAAAAAAAACAACTAAACATTTTATTTTCAAGTTATTTAACATTTAGTTCCTAGAATTGGGAATACAGATTCAAGGAAAAAATAAAATAAAGTTCTAAAGGGTGTGTTACAACTGGAAAAGTTAGAGTTAGACTAACCTTTGGAGTTAAGGTTATCATATAAAAAGAATTCAATAATTTGAACGTCTGACTTTTCAGAGGTATAGAGTACTAAACTTGGGAGAAATCACTACATGGTTCTAATTCTTACTTTAAAAAATTTTCTTTGCAGGTAAAGGCAACAAAATATTTTAGAATAGCTTACAAGAACAGTTTTATGTCATGTACATTTTTTCAAGGAAAAGCTTTTTAAAAATTAAATTTAGTCTATCATATATACGAAAAGAACAACGGTTAATTCAATATGTTTATGACATATTTTTAGATGTTACTTTCTATATTCTAACTGAATATCTAAGTTTAAATAATATCTTTCTATAAACTACACACACATTCAGATTTACTTTGGAGAAAAAGTGGCATATAATCATACATTGAATTATCTTTTACTTTTAATTTATTCATAGCACATGTTCTAGTTATAAAATCAGTTTTTTTCATTTTATTAAACTGATTAAGTGTGATAGATAACCACAGGTAGAATTTATAAAATACAGCATTAGGTCTTTCTAACCAAGGGAGCTATCCCAGTTGTCTAGTTGCTTCATAGCCTAGTCTAGTTATTGCAGCTAAAGGAAAATGGTTATTCTCTGGTTGGAGATTTTATCTTTGTAGGGAGAAATAAAATATTTGTTTGTTGAAGGAGGTTGAAGCCATTTTTGCTTCCCACAGGTATATAAGACAGATATTTCCAATGCTGCTATTCTCAAGTTAAATTTGCTAATATTTCAAAAACAAAATTGGTTTGGGATGTTTTTTCTGTTGCCACTAAAGAATCATTAGGCTATATATCAGAAACAAAATGTACTCATTCAAAAAGAAAGGCCCCAGTCTTCCAGTGTATCTATTCCCCTATGTTGTTATTCTCAAATTGCTTACAAAATAGTATTTTCCCTCTTGTATGCTCAATGCATAAGGCATATATAAGAATCTGGGCATGACTTAAAAGTAAACCAATTTTCCTGTTTCTTAAGTGTTGTCTTTACCAATCAACACCAATATTCTCTGATTATAATGTCCAAAAATGGTGCAGATGTAGATGAAATTGTGATTTAGGCAATGGTAATTTTTCATGCCTTCTTAACCTCACCTCTGGAATGATCTTCCTGTTTTCTATAGCCCTAACCAACAAATCATTAATTCAACTGGATACTTTTCACACAAGTATCTGGGTATATTGGACTTTGCAGGGTCATTGCTTGTCAAATGTATATACCCTTTCTCCCAGTCCCTTGGGGCTCTGCTTTCCCTGGTGAATCTCATTCTACCTGGTTTTATTGGGTTACCCTCTCCCAAGATATTTTTATATTTACTAAAACATTCTAAAAATAAAGTAAATGTGTTTTAAAAACTCTGAATTGTTATGTAAATGTAAGTGACCATTGTTATTTTTATTATTATGAATTTACCAATGATCAATATCTATTGAGTACCTATTATATGACAGGTATTTTTCTAAGTGACTGGGATACATCAATGAACAAACCACACAAAAACCTCTGACTTCTTTCTACCAAAGAGAAACAGAAGATAAACACTAAACATAATAAATAAATTACATAATATGCTACAAGTACCCTTGAGAAAGTAAGAACTGTAGGTTAGGGAACAGAAATGTAAGGTAGACACCATAGAGTGGGATGTAACTTTAAAGGGTATTCAGGTTTCATTGAGAGGGTGACATCTGAACAAAGATTTTAAGGGGTTGAGGGAGTTACCCTTGAGAATACATCGGTGAAAGTATTCCAAGCAGAAGAAACATCCAGTGACAGGCCTTAGGGCTTGAGGGTACCCGATGTGACTGAAGACATGTCAGGAAGTCATTTTGTCTGGAACAGAGAGTGGGGGAAAGAGCAGTAGGGAATGAGGTCAGAAAGCAAATGGGAAACCAGTTCACGTAGAGCCTTGTAGGCCATTAGGATTTGTTTGGTTCTTTGGTTGTTGTTGTTTTTTTTTTTTTTTTCCAAATGGGGAGCCATTGAAAGATTGTGAACAGAGGAAAGATCCGACTTATGATTTAATCAGACAATTCTGGCTGCTTTGATAAGAATACACTTATCAAAAGCATGAGTGGAAGCAGTGAGACTAGTTAGGAGACTACTACAATAATCCAGACAAAAGATAATGGTGCCTTAATTAGACCAGGCTGGTAGCAGTAGAGATAGTGAGAAATGAGCAGTCTCTGGATGTATGTTATGGGTAGAGCCAAAAGCATTTTCTGAACATGGGATGAAATTTAAGAAATTAAGAATCAGGGATGACTCCAACACTTTTGGCTTGACAAGGAATTTTTGGAAAGATGTAGTTATCATTAGCTGTTACTACCAGTAGGCTTGAAAAGTACCTTATTCCCAAGGTCTGGGATAAACTGTAATGACTGTTCTTTAGCTTGCTTCTCATCTTAAACACAAGCAAGCAGGGCCAATTCTACGTACATGAGAAAAAGTGTCTACATGGTATGATTTCCAGGGTACCAGGAAGTTATAATGCCCTCCAAAATCTCCCACTTCTTATTTGTATCAGGAATCCACATTGTTAGAACTTTTCTGAAAGGTTTTGAATACTATTACAATACAAATGACCCTGAAGACAGATGGCTTTTAAGCTGTTTTCAGTTAACAGATATGTCTACATTTTAGTATGCAAGAACAGTCAAAGAAACAGAAAGAGAGACCTGGAAAAAGTCTACTCAACTCGTACAGTTTCAAAAAATAAGAAACCTGAGAGCCATGGAAGTTAAGTGGCTTACCCAGGATTATAAAACTCACTGGGACAAGATGTGAGACTAGAATCCAGGTCTCCTCATTCCTAGTTCAGTGCTTGTTTTAGGTAGATTTGCCTGGGAATGGAATGAATAGCACAGGATGGATCCCTATTTGGGAAGACCGTGGTGCTGAAGGCAGAAATGGACTTCAAACTCTGGCAAGAATAATACAGAAATCCTATTTTAGGCTGTTCCCTTTTGTGCTTTTGCATCGTACCAGCTCTAGGACGTCTCTCTTTATTTTCAACTTTTCTCTTTGATGCATCTTTCCCTCGAGCCTCTTCCTATAATCATTCTCCAGACTCTCCCCAATTAAAATAAACAATTTAAGACATAAACAAAAATTCTTCCATTGATCCTAGATTCTTCTTCATCTCTTGCTGTATCTCTCAAAACCACCTCCAAGAAAGAAGACTCTACACTGGACAACCCCTTGTCTTCACCTCTTATACAATCTTCAGCCCTACTGCAAGCAAGTTCCCCTTTTACCACTACTTAAATTCTCCAAGAAAAAAGTCATCGATGGCTTCCTAAAAGATCCATAGGATCTTTTTAGTTCCTGTATACTTGACCTTTCCCCAGCATTTAACTGCTGACTGTTCCTTCATCATTAAAACTCTCTCCCCACTTGGTTTCTGTGACTTTATGCTTTCTGGGTTTCCCATTCTATCACTCAGCTCATATCTTCTCAATCTCCATTTAAGCTCTTACTCCTATATTTGCTCTTTATTTAGTGGTGTTCCCCAGGGTTCTATTCTTAGTCCTCATCACTTCCTGATTTACAAGTTGTCACTGATTTACTTTGCCTTTCCCTTGACTTCGACTACCAACTATGTGCTTATGACATCTCTATCTCCAGCCCAGGTTTTCTGCTAGCCCCATGCTCATGTAGTCATTCATTTAGTCATTCAACTCATCTAAATCAAGTGCCCCTATGTGAATGGGTGTTCACCAATACCTGAGCCTCAACACAGCCAAAGATGAAATCATCTTTCTCTCCAAATCGGACCTGCTGATGTACTCCTTATTTCTGTGAAAAGCACTGCCCAACTCTCGATAGCTCCTCTCCTCTCCATTGCTGCCTTAGTTCAACTCCTTCTCATACATGAGCTCCCCAGCTGCAATGGTGCCCTGAGGGTCTCTCTGTCTCCAGTCTTCCCATCTGTTCCACCTTCCATAACATGACTAGAATTATGTAAGACACAAAACTGATCATATCATTTCCCTGATTAAAATAATTCCATGTCTCCATATGGATAATGGGATAAATTCCAAATGCCTTGTCATGGTATAAAACGTTTCCACACTCAAACCCTTAGCTACTCTTGTATCTTACTTCATCTTTTGTCCATGCCTCACCACCTCTTCACTTTCACTCTTCATTCCCCGTGTGTCCAGCAGCTTGCAATCTCTTTAAATAAGGCAGTCTGCTTTCCATTTCCAGGCCTTCCAGATTTAAGAGGCTCTTCTTGTCTAGGATACCCTAGATCCCTGTTTACCTGGAACATACCTATTAATCCTTCAACACACAATTATCATTTCCTCTATGAAGGAATTTCTAAACATCCCAACAAATAGAGTTTATCATACCCTCATTTGTGCCCTCACAATATTCTGCACTTCTATCATATCACATACAAAAGTTCATTACACAGTTTTTAACAGGTTTGCCTTTCCTTACTAGACAGTGACAACATTTGACAAAAATGCTACCTCATTCCACTTTACGTTCCCAAGAATTTGTAGTGTTTGACAGACAATTCTGTAAAACATTTACTGAACAGTATTTATCATGTGTCAAAGATTTCTGCATATATGATATCTTTTTTTTTTTTTTTTTTTTTTTTTTTGAGACGGAGTCTCGCTCTGTCGCCCAGGCTGGAGTGCAGTGGCGGGATCTCGGCTCACTGCAAGCTCCGCCTCCCGGGTTCACGTCATTCTCCTGCCTCAGCCTCCCAAGTAGCTGGGACTACAGGCGCCCGCCACTACGCCCGGCTAATTTTTTGTATTTTTAGTAGAGACGGGGTTTCACCGTTTTAGCCGGGATGGTCTCGATCTCCTGACCTCGTGATTCGCCCGCCTCGGCCTCCCAAAGTGCTGGAATTACAGGCGTGAGCCACCGCGCCCGGCCCATATATGATATCTTAATTCAAAGAAATAAATATTTGTATACTAATATAGTTTCAAACACCAAGAAGATGGCTAAAAGGGAATAATTTAGAGATAGAGGAAGGGGTGTGGATTTCCTGTATTCTCTAAATTATTCTCATATTGCTGGTATTCTTACAGCGCCTGTTTACGGTGCTTCTGCCAAATAGACTTCATATATTTTCCTTGGCATTGCATTAGCAATAAAGTAGCAGAGAACTCAACTCTGTAGAGAATTTGGCCATGTATATTTTGACTTCTTCTGTGCATTATTTTAAACTAACAAAGCCTCCTATAACTTTCAGGCAGGGTCTCTACCAAGCCACAGCATTTTTCTTCAAAACGTGGATGATCAACACTTTCCTGTGAGACTTGATCCCATAAATGCAAAGCATCCAAATTTCTCAAGAAATTGAAGGATATCAAATTATAAGGACAAGCTCAGACTAAGTTAGGAAACTGGTCTAGATTGGTATTTTGATACTTGCTACAAATGACTTTAATATACCAGGTTACAAAAGAAAACTGAAATAGCAAAATAACTCATAAAATAGAGATAATAGCAATGAAACTTTTTTGTTGATTTTATGTAGTTATACTTATCTCTAATTAGAAAATAAAGCATATGGTTCAAGAACCTAAAAGCAAGGTTTATTTACATCTGCAAATATAGGGTTTTTCCCATTATTCATTTTAATATCTTAAATTTTCTAATAACTTTTTATAGCCAGCAGTCACTTTAGAAATATTCTATTACATGTCCTTGAAATGTGCACCATCAAAGGGATGAGGATAATGAGAAATTTAATAACTAAAACTGGTCCTTTAGGGTAGAGAAACCTTAATCACTCTGAAATGGTTTATAAACTACTTTAAAGTTCATATGGAACCAAAAAAGAGCCTGCATCACCAGGTCAAACCTAAGCCAAAAGAACAAAGCTGGAGGCATCACGCTACCTGACTTCAAACTACACTACAAGGCTACAGCAACCAAAACAGCATGGTACTGGTACAAAAACAGAGATATAGACCAATGGAACAGAACAGAGGCCTCAGAAATAATGCTGCATATCTATAACTACCTGATCTTTGACAAATCTGACAAAAACAAGCAATGGGGAAAAGATTCCCTATTTAATAAATGGTGCTGGGAAAACTGGCTAGTCATATGTAGAAAGCTGAAACTGGATCCCTTCCTTACACCTTACACAAAAATTAATTCAAGATGGATTAAAGACTTAAATGTTAGACCTAAAACCATAAAAACCCTAGAAGAAAACCTATGCAATACTATTCAGGACATAGGCATGGGCAAGGACTTCATGTCTAAAACACCAAAAGCAATGGCAACAAAAGCCAAAATTGACAAATGGGATCTAATTAAACTAAAGAGCTTCTGCACAGCAAAAGAAACTACCATCAGAGTGAACAGGCAACCTACAGAATGGGAGAAAATTTTTGCAACCTACTCATCTGACAAAGGGCTAATATCCAGAATGTACAATGAACTCAAACAAATTTACAAGAAAAAAACAAACAACCCCATCAAAAAGTGGGCAAAGGATATGAACAGACACTTCTCAAAAGTAGACATTTATGCAGCCAAAAGACACATGAAAAAATGTTCATCATCACTGGCCATCAGAGAAATGCAAATCAAAACCACAATTAGATACCATCTCTCACCAGTTAGAATGGCGATCATTAAAAAGTCAGGAAACAACAGGTGCTGGAGAGGATGTGGAGAAATAGCAACACTTTTACACTGTTGGTGGGACTGTAAACTAGTTCAACCCTTGTGGAAGTCAGTGTGGCGATTCCTCAGGGATCTAGAACTAGAAATACCATTTGACCCAGCCATCCCATTACTGGATATATACCCAAAGGATTATAAATCACGCTGCTATAAAGACACATGCACATGTATGTTTATTGCGGCCCTATTCACAATAGCAAAGACTTGGAACCAACCCAAATGTCCAGCAATGATAGACTGGATTAAGAAAATGTGGCACGTATACACAATGGAATACTATGCAGCCATAAAAAATGATGAGTTCATGTCCTTTGTAGGGACATGGATGAAACTGGAAACCATCATTCTCAGCAAAGTATTGCAAGGACAAAAAACCAAACACCGCATGTTCTCACTCATAGGTGGGAATTGAACAATGAGAACACATGGACACAGGAAGGGGAACATCACACACCGTGGACTGTTGTGTGGTGGGGGGATGGGGGAGGGATAGCATTAGGAGATATACCTAATGTAAATGACGAGTTAATGGGTGCAGGACACCAACATGGCACATGTATACATACGTAACTAACCTGCACGTTGTGCACATGTACCCTAAAACTTCAAGTATAATAATAATAAAAAAAACTTCAGCATGGGTTCTTCATAAAATTCTCCAGAGTAAATATCACTTCCATAATCAACTTCCTTCTGTGTTGATTTGCTTGTTGTTATCTGCCTATACCAATTCAACTCTAAGTTCCTCAAGGGGAAAAATTTTGTCTATTTTGCCATTTTATTCCCAGTTCCTAGCATGGTGACTCACATTCAATATATGCTCAGAAGTATTTTTTTTTTCTTTTGAGATGGTGTCTCCCTCTGTCGCCTAGGCTGGAGAGCAGTGGTGCGATCTCGGCTCACTGAAACTTCCGCCTCTGCTCAGAAGTAATCTTTAAATAAATAAGGCAGTACTGCTTCTAGCTGAGTTCCTCAATGTAGCATAATTGGCAACTTACTTTGAAACTGTGACATAAAGAAGGCATATCTTCTTGTTCACAAATTTTGCCCAAAGGCTTCATGTAAAATGGTAATTTTTTTACATGAAGTCTTGGGCCAAATTAAAATATAATTAATATTTGGACAATTAAAATATATTTTATAGTTTAGAAAATGAATTATTGATTTGAACATAATACTTATATGCTTTTCACTTATCTTTTTTTTAATAGAGATGGGATTTCGCCATGTTGCCAGGCTGGTCTCAAACTGTGGGGATCAAGCAATCTGCCAGCCTTGGCCTCCCAAAGTGCTAGGATTACAGGCATGAGCCACTGTGCCCGGCCTACTTATGTGATTTTTAAAAGATAAAACCCATTTCACAAGTGTGCTAGATGGCTTCAAAGGCCACATCTTGAGGCTCCTATGACATAGCAGACCTTTCTCTGACCACAGGGAAATTTGGTAGAAAAGTTTAAGAATTGAAAAAGAAATTTATCCTTAAAAACCTGGTAAAATACATTCTGTTCCCACAATCCCTATTTTTAGCTACCACTTTCTCTTTCTACTATGGGTCAGATACTGTCCTAAGTACATTTAGTCTTGTCAAGAACCCTGCAAAGTAGACATTATTAATTCCAAGAAACTGAAGTTCAGAGCAGCTAAGGAACTTGACCAAAGTCACACAGCTGTTAAGTGGATGGTTCCAAAGACTATTCTATCTAGTAGATGGATGTTTCCCAATATATGTTTTGTCAATAAGATGTTACTAGCATTTTAGGAACAAAAAAAAGAGTTCCAAGGTCAAATAGCTAAGAAAAGCTCTGGAATCTTTGATCTCAAGTATTCACAGCTCTATGGGGACACAGGTATTCTCACATACTGGTGGCTGGAGAATAATCGGCATAGCAACTTTGAAAGGCAGTAATGAGAGTTGTCTAGGCTGCACGCCATGACTCATGCCTGTAATCCCAGAATTTGAGAGGCCGAGGAGGGTGGATCACTTGAGGTCAGGAGTTCAAGACCAGCCTAGTCAACATGGTGAAACCCCATCTCTACTAAAATACAAAAATTAGCCAGGCATGGTGGCTTGCACCGGTAATCCCAGCTACTCGGGAGGCTGAGGCAGAAGAATCGCTTGAACCCAGGAGGCAGAGGTTGCAGTGAGCAGACATCACACCACTGTACTCCAGCCTTGGTGACAGAACAACACTCCATCTAAAAAAAAAAAAAAAAAGGCAATAGTGACAGTTGGTTGGTCTCTGTTTCTAATCGATCCCAAGAGACATTTTCTGCCTTTCTCTGCTCTAAACTGTTCCCTGAGAGATTGATTTCTATAAACTCATCACCTGAGCTGCATCACAGCTGGCTTTCCATGATATTCAGCCAACAGGAGATACCAGTAGAAGATAGGAAGACAGGTCAGACAATTTCTCACCTGTTCTCTCCCTGCTTGGTACTTCATTTCTGATCACAGCTGCAACCCTCTAAGACTCCAGCTCCCTTTGGACAGCCAGCTCTCTCTGTAAGTAATATTATTTCTTCTTCCCTCTTCAGGTTAGGGCTAATAACTGCTTCCCTTGTTGCTAGTCTCTGGGTGGCTCACTCTCTCATGTTAGCTCCCTCGATCCTGCCAATTCTTCTATGGTAGACTCCTCACTAAAGTCTCTTGAACCATTTCAATCGCATTCTATTTTATGCTGAAACCCTGACTTGCTATGTGTGTGTGTGCATGTGTGTGTGTGTGTGTCTAATATGGAAATCCAAGATATATTGTTAAATGAAAAAAATAAAGAGGAGCACTATTATGGTATGATCCAACAAAAAACACTATAAGTATTTCTAAGTGCACATGTGTGTTCATAAATATATAGAAAAAGATCTAGAAAGATCTTTTCCAATACAGCAATAAAATTTGGGATGATACACACTTTGAGTAGGAAGTAGGATTAAGCATCTAGGAGAGACTTCATAGTATTTTAATTTTTTAAGTGAATACATTCATGGACTACTTGTATAATTTTAACTATACATATATTTTTTAAACTATTGCAAATCATTCAGGGAAAAAACCTGCTACACCTCCACCTACTTAACCTATTATTAGTCAGACACATTTGGCCACTGAACCCTTTTCCCTGGAATCTTTGTTGGCATCTCACACAGTCTAGAAAGTGCTACATCAGGCCATCTGGCCCTTAGTCAAACATGATTAAGAGGACTTTCTCTTAATTGGATTTTGCTTCTTGAGACCTACCAGATCCGTGATGCCATTCATGTATATTTCCTCACTCTTCTTACTATTCAATCCTGTGACCTGTTGTTCATTAGTTTTCTCCTTCATTAAGGGGCAGACATCTCAGTTCAGCATCAAGGATTCTGAAGGAAAACCCTGGAAATGTTTGCAGTCCTATTCTATGTTAACATGTTCTACTTAAGCTTTTAAAGCTACACTGTCCAATATGGTAGCTACTGGCCATATGTGGCTCTTAAGTGCTTGAAAGTGGCTAGTCTAAACTGAGATGTGTTATAGGAATAAAATAGAAACCATATTACAAAGATCAAGTACAAAAACCAAGAATATAAAATATCTCATTAAGAACTTTTATATTGATTATATGTTACAATAAAAATACAGTTATAACAATTACATTATGATAATATTTTGAGTATAATGGGCTAAATAAAATTTCTTAATTAAATTAATTATTAATAAAATTAATTTCACCTATTCCTTTTTACTTTTTAAATCTGGCTACTAGAAAATTTAAAATACATATGTAGCTCACATTATATTTCTATTGGACAGTACTATCTAAGAGATGCCTACTTTTTTTATATTAAGATAAATACTTTTCCACAGGGCAGTCAGCTAGGCTGACAGTATAATTTTGACAGATGCAAACAGGTTAGCCCCTCCAACAGGCAGTTCTCTCACCCTCAGGATAAGGTCACTCAATGCAATCAGAATCATTTTTACCATTCTTGACATCAACCTCCAGAATCCAGAAAATGAAGCTGAACATATCATGTTCAGAGTAAATATGTCCTCTGATCCTAACCTGGAACAGAAGGAAGAGAAGAACTTAAATTTACTGACTGAGTTGGCTCCCTGTTAATGAGGATTCAGTGATGAATAGGACATATCCCTTGCCCTCAAGGAGCCTACAGTCTACTAAAAACGAGACGAACAAGTAAATAGCCAATTATGGTACAGTGCCAAAAATGTCATGAGAGGCACCTCCATAATATACTGAGAAAACAAAAAAAGGAGCACAGTAACTCACACTAGGAAAGTCAAGGCAAGGTAGTCTGAAACAAGGCCCAGTGAGTTTGAAAGGAGTGAAAAGTTGTGAGCTGGCCTGAATTGGATGGGATTATTTTATTTTGAGACAGAGTCTCACTCTGTCTCCCAGGCTGGAGTGCAGTGGCATGATCTCCACTCACTGCAACCTCCATCTCTCGGGTTCAAGCAATTCTCCTGCCTCAGCCTCCCGAGTAGCTGGGACTACAGGCATGCACCACTATGCCTAGCTAATTTTTTGTATTTTTAGTAGAGACGGGGTTTCACTGTGTTAGCCAGGATGGTCCCCATCTCCTGACCTCCTGATCCGCCCACCTCGGCCTCCCAAAGTGCTGACATTACAGGTGTGAGCCACCACACCCCGCCATGGATGGGATTATTATAGACAGAAGTAGAAGCATGTATACATACCTGGAGAGGAGATAATAGTGCTAGAGGAGCTTCAAGTAACCCAGTATGGTTTCAGTACAGAATTCAAGAACATAATGAAGGATAAAGAAAGGCAGATAGGTAGAAGCCAGGTCAGAAAACTCATTACTGATCAAGCGAATTCAGACTTTATCTTGAAGGAAATGTGGAGTTATTGAATAGTAAGCAGAAGAAATAATTTAATCAGATATGTTTAAAAAAAATACTGACATGTGAAAAGGAATTGAGTAGAGGGGCACATGACTTGAGGCAGGGTGACCTTTAATCTGTTGCAGTACTCCAGTGGGAATATGGACTAAGGCAATATGAACTAGGATAATGAAAGTTCATGGTCAGAACTTGGTCATCAAGCAGACATTGGGGCTGAGAAGAGTAAAGAATAGAGAGTAGAACAATGAAACTTACTCCATGCCTCCTATGTGCTAAGAACTCTACTCCTCCCTTAGATAAACCCCCCAAAATAAACTATTAGTAACCTTCCAAGATAGAATCAAGCAAAAATAAAAATCTTAAAAGAGTTACTTGTAAAGAGAATAGCTTTAGACAGTTTTCCATATCCCACAAAATTTACTGCCACAGAAGAAGTTAGGTTAATATTATCTATTGATAATACTAATTAATGTTAATTATCTATTGTTAATAGATAATATTAATTGTTACCAATATTAAATGTCTATTGACATTTTCACATTCTAGCTTTAGTAATTTAAAACACAATTTTTCAATGTGTCCCTTCAGAATCCAGGATAACACAGTATATTTAAGGTTCCCAATACAGTAAATGCAAATTCTCTATATTGTACCAAGGATTTTTCAATCCTAAGTAAATCATCATACCTTTTTCTCTGTCCACATGAAAATTCATTTAATCAAAACCACCCATCAATTTAATAATCTAAGATTTTTTAAAAAGATGCCAGCTTTATAAAAACTTTAAATTGACATAATTATAGTAACTTATGAAAAGAAAATCTTTAAATGAAGTCATGTCATACATGTGAAATTACATCAAAGTTGGTTGCACTGTATGGATTATTATTGGCATTGGCTGAGGTACAGAAAATAAATCATCACAGTATCTATCATATAACTTAATGAGTAAATATGAAACATTAAGAAATATACAAGAAAAGCATACGAAAAGAGTAAATAAGCTCATTTCACTTATCAAGATGTGTTTAGAAAAGATAAGTATAATTTAGACAAATTTTATTTAAAGAGTGGACATGATGCTAAAGCATCTGAATATTCCATCCAAAGATGAAAGTTTCAAAGTCTATATCAGTGATATTTACCTACCAATAAAACCCAGTTGTGAACACTTACATTAACACAAACATTTATTAAACACCTACTGTCTGCAAGGTAATCTGGTAGGTACTGAGGATTCAAAGATACAAGTATCTAGCTCAGTGATTCTCAACCAGAGGCGATTTTATCCCCCAGAGGATGTTTGGCAGTGTTTGGGGACATTTTTGATGGTCATGACTGTGGTCGGGGGTTGCTACTGGCATTTAGTGGGTAGAGACTAGGGATGATCCTAAACATCCTGCAATGCACAGGGGAGCCCATCATAACAAATTATCTCATGCGAAATGTCAGTAACACTGAGGTTGAAAACCCCTGACCATGAGACGTTTTCTTTCTTGCTTTCCTGAGCTTCAGCTCTGAAAATTGCAAAAAAATTTCCACCTTGTATATGAGCAAATGTGCATACAGTACACAATAAGCTTAAAGAAGGTGTTTCTATTCCAATTATACTTTTTAAATTGTGACTCAAAAAGAGAAATGAGTTGTCCAAAGAAATGCAGCTAGTAAGTGTTGGGACAAAGATTTTTAACCTGTCTGCAGAGTCTGATTCATTCTACTAGAAATTTGAGAACTATGCCCTTGGCTAGGAAATACTCAATACTCACCCCATGTATTGCAGAATATATAACCACTGTGATAAAATTTGTCTTTATGATTTTCCCCATTAAATTTCAGTGTCTTGGACAAGGGTCTGATTCTGTATCCTTTTTCTTTTTCTTTCTTTCTTTCTTTTTTTTTTTTTTTTTTTTTTTGAGACGGAGTCTCCCTCTATTGTCCAGGCTGGAGTGCAGTGGCCCAATCTCGGCTCACTGCAACCTCCACCTCCTGGGTTCAAGTGATTCTCCTGCCTCAGCCTCCCGAGTAGCTGGGACTACAGGTGCGCACCACCATGCCCAGCTAGGTTTTTTTGTATTTTTAGTAGAGACAGGGTTTCACCATATTGGCTAGGCTGGTCTCAAACTCCTGAGCTCATGATCTGCCTTCCTCAGCCTCCCAAAGTGCTGGGATTACAAGCGTGAGCCACTGCACCCGGCCTCTGTATGCTTTTTCTATTTGTAAGCGAAAAAAAAGAGCCCTAAATGATGTGAATCCAAAGGAAACTCCTTTGGTCTGTACTTCTGCAACTCACCTTTACTTCATGAACTCACAACTATTATATTTACAGTACCCCACAGGAAAGGAGGGAAATAATTGAGGCACCCAAATCTCTTTATTATCATTTGGGAAAATTAGAAAGCTTTACGTTGTCTGACCCATCCAGAAAAGTGATTCCCATCAGCACAACACAACTGGTGAATTGTTTTCCTTGTCAATTCATTCTGTTTGAACCCATTGGACAATTACATTTTAATTTGTCTTCTTAGCTACATTCTTCTCCTTCTGGACAAGAGAAATATCATTTCAAAAAATCAGTACTGTCAAAAAATAGAGAACCATATTATATAGCTAGAGAAGACTTCATTAAAATAACAATTACTCAAAAGGCTGAGTAATTCAGAGGTCTCCAAATTTTAAGGTAATTCAATAGTATTTGGGAACATGAAGAATATCTAAAAATACTCATTTCTGAAATATTTATTTTTCAAAAAAGGCATCTTCAGTCCCAACTTCTTTGAAATCATGTTTTAAGACACTTCAGGCATTTTAATCAATGCTGAAAATTTTCTCAAAACATTATTTAGGATATATTTTCCAATTAGGAGTTTTGTTTCATGTACTTAAGATACGGTTGTTAACACCTGTATTTGTGGAGGTTTTTTTCTATTTATTTTCATGACACTTTTGGTATGTTAAAGGTATGAAACAGATTTCCAGGAATGAAGTCCCAGTTTATAACACTGTGGCTACAAGAAATAAGGGTTTGATTTACATAAGCTCAGTTTTTTAGCCAACCAGGAATCAATTAGTTCATAAGCTGGAGATTATCTGCTCAAGTGGTTCCCAAACATCTGTCTCTGTATTGGTTTCACTGGAGTTACCTGAGATGGTTGGATGGTTTGGTTAATTTTTTAAAAATGAACTCCCAGGAGCTCATAGTCAACATGGGGGTGTTATGGCATAAGAACATAATTAGGCCGGGTGCAGTGGCTCACGCCTATAATCCCAGCACTTTGGGAGGCCCAGGCAGGCAGATCACTTGAGGTTGGGAGTTCGAGACCAGCCTGGCCAACATAGCAAAACCCTGTCTCTGCTAAAAGATATAAAAATTAGCCAGGTGTGGTGGTACGCACCTGCAAGCCCAGCTATTCAGGAGGCTGAGGCAAGAGAATCGCTTGAAACCAGGGGGCGGAGGTTGCTGTGACCTGAGATTGCGCCACTGCACTCCAGCCTGGGAGACAGAGTGAGACCCCATCCTAAAAAACAAATGAACAAACAGACAAAATAACATAATTAGTAATTATATACTATTATTGTGTGGTATTTAAAAATATTTAAGAATTTAAATTTATTTAAAGGCCTAATGAGGAGTTCAGAAATTTAACAGGGCTTAAAGGAAATGGAATTCAGATCTAATTTTGTCATTGTCCCAAGGTGACCTAAACAACACACAAATGTGGAAGTCAGAGCATGGCGCTGCCCTGCTAGTGGACGGAAGCTTTGGAAAGGTTCTTCATTTTCTGGCAAGCATCATTTTATGTTAAGATTATTATGAGTAAGATTTCTGGCAGAGACACAACAAAAAAAGAGAATTTTAGACCAATATCCCTGTTGAACATCGATGCAAATATCCTCAATAAAATACTGGCAAACTGAATCGGGCAGCACATCAAAAAGCTTATCCACCATGATCACATGGGCTTCATCCCTGGGATGCAAGGCTGGTTCAACATATGCAAATCAATAAATGTAATCGAGCATATAAACAGAACCAACGACAAAAATCACATGATTATCTCAATAGATGCAGAAAAGGCCTTTAACAAAATTCAACAACTCTTCATGCTAAAAACTCTCAATAAATTAGGTATTGATGGGACGTATCTCAAAATAATAAGAGTTATCTATGACCAGCCCACAGCCAGTATCATACTGAATGGGCAAAAACTGGAAGCATTCCCTTTGAAAACTGGCACAAGACAGGGGTGCCCTCTCTCACCACTCCTATTCAACGTAGAGTTGGAAGTTCTGGCCAGGGCAATCAGGCAGGAGAAGGAAATAAAGGGTATTCAATTAGGAAAAGAGGAAGTCAAATTGTCCCTGTTTGCTGACGACATGATTCTATATCTAGAAAACCCCATCGTCTCAGCCCAAAATCTCCTTAAGCTGACAGGCAAATTCAGCAAAGTCTCAGGATACAAAATCAATGTGCAAAAATCACAAGCATTCTTATACACCAATAACATACAAACAGAGAGCCAAATCATGAGTGAACTCCAATTCACGATTGCTTCAAAGAGAATAAAATACCTAGGAATCCAACTTACAAGGGACGTGAAGGACCTCTTCAAGGAGAACTACAAACCACTGCTCAGTGAAATAAAAGAGGATACAAACAAATGGAAGAACATTCCATGTTCATAGGTAGGAAGAATCAGTATCGTGAAAATGGCCATACTGCCCAAGGTAATTTATAGATTCAATGCCATCCCCATCAAGCTACCAATGACTTTCTTCACAGAATTGGAAAAAACTACTTTAAAGTTCATATGGAACCAAAAAAGAGTCCACATCGCCAAATCAATCCTAAGCCAAAAGAACAAAGCTGGAGGCATCACGCTACCTGACTTCAAACTACACTACAAGGCTACAGCAACCAAAACAGCATGGTACTGGTACAAAAACAGAGATATAGACCAATGGAACAGAACAGAGGCCTCAGAAATAATGCTGCATATCTATAACTATCTGATCTTTGACAAACCTGACAAAAACAAGCAATGGGGAAAGGATTCCCTATTTAATAAATGGTGCTGGGAAAACTGGCTAGCCCTATGTAGAAAGCTGAAACTGGATCCCTTCCTTACACCTTACACAAAAATTAATTCAAGATGGATTAAAGACTTAAATGTTAGACCTAAAACCATAAAAACCCTAGAAGAAAACCTATGCAATACTATTCAGGACATAGGCATGGGCGAGGACTTCATGTCTAAAACACCAAAAGCGATGGCAACAAAAGCCAAAATTGACAAATGGGATCTAATTAAACTAAAGAGCTTCTGCACAGCAAAAGAAACTACCATCAGAGTGAACAGGCAACCTACAGAATGGGAGAAAATTTTTGCAACCTACTCATCTGACAAAGGGCTAATATCCAGAATGTACAATGAACTCAAACAAATTTACAAGAAAAAAAAAAACAACCCCATCAAAAAGTGGTCAAAGGATATGAACAGACACTTCTCAAAAGTAGACATTTATGCAGCCAAAAGACACATGAAAAAATGCTCATCATCACTGGCCATCAGAGAAATGCAGATGAAAACCACAATGAGATGCCATCTCACACCAGTTAGAATGGCAATCATTAAAAAGTCAGGAAATAACAGGTGCTGGAGAGCATGTGGAGAAATAGGAACACTTTTACACTGTTGGTGGGACTGTAAACTAGTTCAACCCTTGTGGAAGTCAGTGTGGCGATTCCTCAGGGATCTAGAACTAGAAATACCATTTGACCCAGCCATCCCATTACTGGATGTATACCCAAAGGATTATAAAACATGCTGCTATAAAGACACATGCACATGTATGTTTATTGCAGCACTATTCACAATAGCAAAGACTTGGACCCAACCTAAATGTCCAACAATGGTAGACTGGATTAAGAAAATGTGGCACATATATACCATGGAATACTATGCAGCCATAAAAAATGATGAGCTCATGTCCTTTGTAGGGACATGGATGAAGCTGGAAACCATCATTCTCAGCAAACTATCACAAGGACAAAAAACCAAACACCGCATGTTCTCACTCATAGGTGGGAAGTGAACAATGAGAACACATGGACACAGGAAGGGGAACATCCCACACTGGGGCCTGTTGTGGGGTGGGGGGAGGGGGGAGGGGGGAGGCATAGCATTAGGAGATATACCTAATGTTAAATGAAGAGTTAATGGGTGCAGGAGACCAACATGGCACATGTATACATATGTAACAAAACTGCACGTTGTGCACATGTACCCTAAAACTTAAAGTATAATAAATTTATATATATACATCAAAAAAAAAAGATTTCTTGAGGTCTTAGATGCATTCTGAAAGTGCTATCCACTATTTTTGTACTTCAAAATGACACGATTGTGACCCTTGAAATACTCAGAGAATATTTTACTTGTAGATCTCAAAACTGCATAATAAATATTACTCAGAGTCATAAGTATCGACAGAGTCGTCGACAATATTCCTATTCTTTAATGCCTAACACCATACTGACAAGATTAATTGAAAAAATATGCCTTAGGGGAAAATGTAACAGTTGGGTATGGAGGGTGGGGAGGCTCTGGGATGGTGGGAAGGAGAGCCTATGATACAGATTATACTATCTTCATTGTTAAACACTGAATATAATCTCCTATCTTTCCTTACCAGCAGATTCACCTTCAACCTTCTTGCTTTTACCTAATTTAAATCGTTGCTTTATTCACACCTAAAACAAACACTGTCATAGGTTCATGTCCATTGCAGCATTTTGTGTACAGACTACAAGTTTTGCTTTAGAAGTTATGAGAGGCAGAAGGAACACAGCTTGAGGTTTTAGTTTTCAGGCTGAGCTTGCAGCAGGGGAGACCGAACAAACTTTGGGCTTGAAACCAATCCAACTTGTAAATCATCAAGGAAAAATGAAACAAAATTAACAATTAAATCTACCCAGGTCTAGTCTAGGGAAAAGCTGTAAAGTTCTAAATATGAGGATTTGGGTTCAATTCGCACACCTCCTGTCCCTGATATATCCTGCTCATGCTCCTGCAAAGCATGTCCGACCCTTGGTACCATTTTATGTTTGGTTGATCTGATACCACTCCTTTCAGCATAGCTGATGACCCCTGCTAGCACCAATTTTCCAAGACCATGTTTCTTCTTCCCACTCTTTTTTTGGTACTACATGCATTCTACCAGTGGTTTTGGACGTTGTAATTCATTCCAGAATAGCGGAGACTTTGATCCTAATATTTTCAATTTGTCAGAAGGGAAAGCAGTCCCAAGACAGGTTGGTAGTAGGAATTGGCAACAAGGAGTCATCTTTGGGAATCCCCAATCATACTGGGTGGGCCACCTACTTTGTTTCCAGAGAGCTGGCAAAGGTAGGTAGAATACAGAATAAATTTCTCTAGTCATTTTGTTAATGATCTATTCAGGAGAACACAGTGTTTGTACTGAATGATCCTTATTGTTGATATACAAGCCCTATGTCATTAAGTAATGACACACCTCTTGCCTTCAGTTTGCCCATGATTACTTAGTAAGTTTGAGGACTAAGTTGTATATTTTTATTTGATAGACAACATGATTTAGTAATAAGAGACAATAGCCTAGACAGAGGAATAAAGAGTTTTAGGTCCTCTTGTTCTCTTACAGCTAAATTGTGGCAAATTACCAAATTTCTGAGTCTCAGATTGCTCTCCTGTAAAATGGAAATTTTAAAAGCCTATTACTAGTCTAGGGATCAAATAAAAAAATAAACATAAAAGGGCTTTGCAAAATATAAAGTTCTTCACTGATAAATCATCATTTATCTTGTTTCTGTCCCTAAAGGGAGTTAAATTTGTCTTAACTCCTCTACTCCCTCTCAACTAGTCCTCCTCCTTGAGAACAACTTAGAATATTCATTTGTAAAATAGATGCCCCAGTTAGGGGTATGGCTAGAATAAAGCCACTGTCCCTAAAAGAAAATGAACCTACAGCTAAAGCTAGTGAGACCATACAAGGAAGAAAGTGGTCTGACTGATCTCATGTTATAGTTTCAAGAAGGAGCAGATGAACTCCGTGAACACTGAGTTATTCACTGTCAAGATGCACGATGTCCAATCAGTTCATTCTGATTTGCGGAATGTCATTAGATCACTAGCATCTAATAGGTGGATGAACTCAGTGTACTCAGGGGTGAACAGGTGTCTCACAGCTGGGAGCTGCCAGAGAGCCAAGGTGCAATCATGAACCATGTTTTCTGAAATTAGCTCTGATGAAAAATATTATTCCAGAGAGAAATTTTTCAAAGAATAGGCAGAGCATTTGGTAAATATAGGATTGAACACTGGAAAATTTAAAAGAATTTTGTTTCATTCTAATCACTGAATGGTAGTATACAGAATTCCATCTCTACAGTTGAAATTGCATCTCCATACGACAGACAACTGGATCTGAAGTTTAATATCTTGCATGGACATTACCATGATTACATATATAAATTACCCCAATCAAGGTGAACAAAGGTGAAATGATGCTGTGCTTATTTTTAAATATTTCTGCCTAGCACTAGTTGGATAGACTCAGCCAAACTTTGGGCCTAATTATCTGCTCCAATGATGAGAAGTGACATAAAACTATCAAAGATAACCTTACTCAGCACATCATATGTTTAAATAGCAAGTTGCAAATTACACTTTCAGAAGCAAGGTTACATCACCTTGTATTTGATAAAATGATTGGTTTGCCAAGGAAGGAGGATCCTACTTGCCCACTGTTCCAGCATTAGCACTACTTTTTCCAGCTTGCCTCATAAATCCTGGAATAAGGTAACTGATTTCCATCTATAGGCATACCTTGGAGATATCACAAGTTTTGTTCCAGGCTACCACAATAAGGCAAATATTGCAATAAAGTAAGTCACAGGATATTTTTTTTGTTTCCCAGTGCATATAAAAGTGACACTGACACTACAATGTAGTGTGTTAAGTGTGCAATAGCATTATGTCTAAAAAAAGTATCTACCTTAACTTAAAAAATATTGTATTGCTAAAAAAAATCTTGCTTAAAAAATATTGCTTAAAAAAGTTGGCTGCAGCAATTGACTCTTTATTTCACAAAATATTCCTCCATGATATGAACTGCTCTTTGATAGCATTTTACCAACAGTAGAACTTCTTTCAAAACTCAAGTCAATCCCCTTAAACTCTGGACTGCTTTGTCCACTAAATTTATGAAATATTTTAAAATCTTTGCTGTCATTTCAACAACGTTCACAGTATCTTCCCAGGAGTATATTCCATCTCAGGAAACCAGTTTCTTGGCTTATCTATAAGAAGTAACTCTTCATCCATTAAAGTTTTACTATGAGATTGCAGCAGTTCTGTCATATCTTCAGACCCCACTTCTAATTCTAGCTCTCTTGCTGTTTCCACCACATCTGCAGTTACTTCCTCCATTGAAGTCTCAATCCCTTCAAAGCTGAGACTTTGAGTTCCTGAGAGATGGAATCAACTTCTTCTAAACTACTATTAATGATATTTTGACCTCTCCCACCAATCTCAAATGTTGTTAATGACATACAGAATGGTGGATGTTTTCCAGAAGTTTTTAATTTACTTTGTCTAGATCTATCAGAAGAATTCCTATCTATGTCATCCATAGCCTTATTACTTCTTAAATAATAAGATGTCAAAGTTAAAATTACTCTTGATCCATGGGCTGCAGAATGGGTTTTGTGTTAACAGGCATGAAAACAACATTAATCTCCTTGTACATCTCCATCAGAGCTCTTGGGTGACCAGGTGCATTATAAATGAGCAGTAATATTTTGAAAGGAATCTTTTTTTTTTCTGAGCAGTAGGTCTGAACAGTGGGCTTAAAATATCCTGTACATCTATGCTGTTAAGTAGATGTGCTGTCATCCACACTTCATTGTTCCATTTATAGAGTACAGACAGAATAGATTTAGCATAACTCTTTAGGGCCCTAGGAGTTTCAGAATGATAAATGAGTATTGGCCTCAAATTCAAGTCATTAGCTGCATTAGCCCCTAACAAGAGAGTCAACCTGTCCTGTGAAGCTTAGAAGCTATGAAAGTCCTAGATGGCCTTTTCTTTCTATAGAAAGCTGTCTTATCTACATGGAAAATCTGTTGTTTTGTGTGGCCACCTGCTTCAATTATTTTAGCTAGATCTTCTGAAAAACTTGCCACAGCTTCTACATCAGCACTTGCTCCTTCACCTTGTACTTTGATGTTATGGAGATGGCTTCTTTTCTTAAATCTCATGAACCAACCTCTGCTTGCTTCACATTTTTCTGCTACAGCTTCATCACCTCTCTCAGCCTTCACAGAACTGAAAAAAGTTAGGGCCTTGCTCTGGATTAGGCTTTGGCTTAAGGGAATGCTGAGGCTGGTTTTATCTTTTATTCAGGCCACTAAAACTTTTTCCATATCAGCATGAGGCTGTTTCGTTTTCTTATCATTTGTGTTTTCATTGGAGTAGCACTTTTAATTCCCTTCTAGAACTTTTCCTTTGCATTCACAACTTAGCTAACTTTGGTACAAGAGGCCTAGCTTTTGGCTTATCTCAGCTTTTGACATGGCTTCCTCACTAAATTCCTTCGGTTTTCGATTTAAAGTGAGAGATGTGCCACCCTTCCTTTTACTTGAACACTTAATAGTCCATTGTAGGGTTATTAATTGGCCTAATTTCAATATTGTTGTGTCTCAAAGAATAGGGAGGCCTGAAGAGAGGAAGAGAGACAGGCGCCAATAGTGAAGCTTTCAGAACACACACAACATTTATTAAGTTTAGCATCTTCTATGAGCAGAGTTTGTAATGCTCCCAAAAAACTACAATAGTAACATCAAAGATAACTAATCATAGATCACCATAACAGATGAACAGCAAGTGAACACATGCTGCTTGAAAAATGATGCTGACAGACTTGCTTGAGTAAGGTTGCCAAAAAACTTCAATTTATAGGAAAACATATTATCTGCAAAGTACAATAAAGGGAAGCAAAATAAAAGGAGGCGGGGATTTGCTTATGGAAACAGCTTCGTATCTGTGATAAAGGAATATACTAAGTAAAATATGGACTACCCTGGACTGTCTAACACAACTACAACCGATATTCACTTGGACAAGAACTTAGTTCAAGTGCTTCTGTGGTCACACAACCCAAAAGGCCTCCACAGCAGAAAAGCTGCTATTAGGTACTCACTAACTAAGTACTGAGTCCCCAGTGTTTCCTGAGGGTTATTTCACAGGCTCCTGACCCTGAAGCCTCTCAGAGTTATTCCAACATTAAGGTCACTTCTATGAGGAAGAGGTGAGAGGAAAAAAGACCAATAGTGGAAGGCCAGCTTCAGCGCAACACATGTATTTAATAGTTTCTCTCATCTTTGAATATTTATTCACATTTCCCTTTAAAGTCTGTTTTTGAGGGGGAGAAGCTTTATTCGTACCTACTTAGTGGCTGCTTTATAGCAGTAAAATAGATGCTTTTGCAGAATTCTTTTCTGCTTTTCTTTTGTGAGACGGAGTCTCATTCTATCACCCAGTGGGGAGATGTCGGCTTACTCAATCTCTGCCTCGCAGGTTCAAGCATTCTCCTGCTTCAGCCTCCCGAGCAGCTGGGACTACAGGCGGGTACTACAGGCGCGCACCACAACGCCCGGCTAATTTTTGTATTTTTAGTAGAGACGGGGTTTCGCTATCTTGGCCAGGCTGTTCTCCAACTCCTGACCTCAGGAAATCCGCCCGCCTCGGCCTCCCAAAGTGGTGGGATTACAGGCGTGAGCCACCGCTCCTGGCCCCTGCCTTTTTATTAGAGATACAAATCACACACGCCCTTCGCTTCAAGGGGAGCCCCGCCCCCTACTTCGGGCATTCGGCCATCCTGTGTTCTCTAATGGCGTGGGGCAGAGCTATCGCGAGACTCCACTGTATCCTCAGCAAGTTTTTAACAGTGTGAACTTGCGCAGAAGAGACTCATGAAGCCAGCGCAGGAGAAAGGGGGCGGGGTGCTCTGACGAGCGCGTTCGCCTTGACCCCACGCTACAGCGCGCGCCCGGCAGCTAGGCGCTGTGGTTTCTGGGTCTCCCGGGGGACCCCTACACGTTCCGGCAAAAAGCGCTCGTGCCCACCTCAAGCCCATGTTCGGTGGGTGGCGAATGCGTGCCCGTGATCTGCTGGGTCTGTAGAGGAGCGCAGGCCTGGTGCAAACAGACTCAAGAGGCTCGGAGAACCAGCTTGGGTAGGCGCTTGGGTGATGGAAGGTCAGGGGTCAGAGGTCGGGAGGGAGGGAGGGAGGTGGTCTTTGGCCTCCGGGACCAGGGAGGGAGGACGCTGGTTGTCCTGGAGCCCGGGAAGCTCAAGGGCTGAGAGGGAGCCGCTGCGCGAGTCTTCCCCACCTCTTCCCGATCCCGGACTAGCGAACTTCGGACCACCACGTCCCTCCGGGGATAAAGTGGGGTCGTGGGAAAGGAGGCTGTGCTTCTCCTCATGCACTGGGGCCTGCGGTGTTTGTCTCGAGCGTCCAACACACTAGGATCCGGGAGTCCGTCGTCACGCTCCTTGGCCTCGCGGTCGCTTGTTTGCTCGGCCTGCTGGGAGCGATCCGGCGCTGACAGCCCCGCTCAGACTCCGGGAGCCGCTTGTGGGTCTTTCGGAAGATAACTGAGTGGGTACCGTGCGCCGCAGATCTACCCCCGGAGGCTGGAACTGGGTCGCCGCCTCCCTTCTTTGTGCGCGGCATTGTATTAGTAAAAGGGGAGGCAGAGGTTTCTCAGTCCCACTCAAAGTTCTCCGTTACCTTTGGAGCCAGATTAATTACATTCGAATTCAGAACCACTCTTTGACATTGTACAGTTTGACTGGTAGTTGCTATGTTTATGAACGAAGATAGGGTGTTATTTGATGATTAATAGTCACTGTATAATGATCAGTTAAATAATGACCAGGAAGCTTGTGCCCTTTTTCCAAGTAGTTTGACATTAGCACGAGGTAGAAATCCGAGATGTTTGATGCCTTCCAACTTGTACTTAAGGAACTTAAGGAACTTGGGGCTTTTTCTGAACAAAATAAGATAAAGTTATTACTGTTACTTTAAATTATTCCAGTGGGCATTAGTAGGAATGATGAAACTCTTGAATAGAAACGATCCATGATATCTCTACTGTCACAAAAAAGACTATTTAGTTTATGATTAGTAAACATGCTGGAGACAGAGCAGTCCTGAGCAGTATTGTAATGATTATGTCTGTGCTCGATAACCTGCACTTTCTAGAGCTTTAAAGGACCAGTTAACCAGTAAGCTGGCAATTGAGAATAAAATAGTTTACTTTTGAGAGATGCTCTTGTATATCCTCTTTGTCCACCCGAAAGGAGCTGGACTTACAGAATTATTAAAACAAAACTTTTATTATTAAGAGTTTAGGCCAGTAAGATTTAGGGGAAACAATTTGCTGGTGAAAAAGCTTCTTATGAGGGCATTTTTAAAGTTTATGTAACTAGCATATTTTAGCATTCAGTAGAAGAAAATACTCTCACCTTGCTGGAATTATTTCTACAGAAAAGGAAAAGATTATGTTAACCCTGGGTCATTAAGAGCTTCCTAGTACTTAGTAATGAGTGGGCTTCATTTCCATAACACAACATTTTGGACAGGAATATGGCAAGTATGTAATCCTTTTTGCCCTTAATAGCCTAAACCCAGATCTACCATGGATTTGTTGTAATTCAAGATTTGTGTGTATCTTTTAAAGAGGAAATAATATTTTGGAGGGAAAAAATGTGAATTTAAGTTGTGTTATTCATTTGTTGGATTGTCTTAGTAATGTAACATTTTATGTTTATTTTTCTAGCATTCCATCCTTGTTTTCTGTTAAAGATACAGTTCAGGCAGTTTTCCCTGCCTCGTTCTAGTATTTCATTTTTCTCAGAAATACTAGTTTCATATTACCTATAGTCTTCTAGAATGTGGATAAGAGAGACTTCTCCAAAAAGAAATAAGAGTAAAGTATCGTTAGGTCCTCAAAAGGAGGGAATACATCCACGGAATTAGAGATCTTTGTTTCACCCTTTTTGTATGTCTTTACTTCCTAGCACTGACCTGGCATTGGGAGTACAACACTGAATAGGATACTACTCCTGCCCATCTTTCAAAGTGAACACTCTAGCAGTTGGGATCGAGGAGAGAGAGGCCCTTAACTCAGCTTCTCTAGTCATGGAAGCCTTTCCAGGGAAGATTGGGATGGAGACAGGCATAAAAGCAATTCAAGCAAAAGGCTTTTATATTTAAATACAAGACAGTAAAAGTGCGGTCCATATAGAAAACTTCACATAATTACGTTTTACCCAAACACTGCTAATTAAGGAGGAGGAAGAAGTAGTTGTGACTGATAAGGTATGAATAAAACCAGAAGAATATGGGATGTGGTTAGATACAGAATTTCACCAGTACTTGACTTACTAGTTGCCAAATTGCATTTTAGTCATAAGTATATTTGACCAAATACTATTTTCTTTGGTTCAAGAAGTTAACCCTGAATAGAGATTTCCTTAAGTAAAGACTCAGTCAAAACCAGGAGCTTTTTGTTTGGTTGGTTGATTTTTGATCATGAATGTTTACTCAGTTAAGAACTGGACAAAGGGAGAGCATTGCTAGAAATTCTGGTGTTGACTTTTCTGCAGTTTATCATTATCACTGATAAGTACCTTGAGGCACTAATATTGGAAGAATCAGGCTGAAAGAATACATCTGAAGGAATGTGCAAATTATAATGGTGTACATAATTTAAAAGATACTGGATAGGTTTTACCAGAGAACAGAATAAATAGTTGAAGTAATGTTTTCTGGTTTGGTAATATGTCTGTTACAAAATTATTGTGGGAAACATGGCACATATTACTTCTCACATTCCATTGGCTAGGACTGGTCACAGGACCAAACCAAGCTGGGCAGTCATTTCTCAACTACTCTATACTTTGAGTGGAAATAAGTGGATTTTAGTTGGCAGCTGGTTATCCATAACAAGGTTTTTTGAACTTGGCTGCACCCTGGAATTTTTTAGGGATTCTAAAAAATAAAGGGAGTAGTGCCTGGGCCCTTCTCCAAGACATTCTGACTTAGTTGGCTCGACATCAGGATTTTTTTAAGTTCCCCTGGTGATTCTAATGTGCAGTCAAGTTTGAGAAGCACTAATCTGTGGTCCCCCATCCTGCGACATTACAGTTTGGTTATTGTGAAATGTGGTTTAGAGCAGGGGTCCCCACCCCTCAGGCCATGGACCGGTGCCAGTCCGTGGCCTGTTAGAACCGGGCTGCATTGCAGGAGGTGAGTTGCGGGCAAGCGAGCATTACCACCTGAGCTGTGCCTCCTGTCAGATCAACAGTCAGTAGATTACCATAAGAGCATGAATGCTATCGTGAACTGCATATGCGCAGGATCTAGGTTGTGCACTTCTTATTAAAACCTAATGCCTGATGATCTAAGGTGGAATAGTTTCATCCCTAAACAACCCCCTCTCCACTCCACCCCTCTCCTCCGGTCCATGGAAAACTTGTCTTCCATGAAACCCATTTATGGTACCAAAAAGGTTGGGAACTGCTGGTTTAGAGTGTTCTCAGGATGATGATAAGTAGCAACTACCATTTATGGAATACAGGCCAAATTTCTAGTACTGCTGTTGTACTTAAATTATTTCTAACCACAATCCTGCTATCATCCCCATTTTAGAGATGAGAAAATTGGCACAGAAGACTGGATAACTATTCCAATGCCACACAGTCAGTAAATGCCAAAGCTGGAATTAGAATGAATATAAGACTTCAAAGCATTGCATTCTCACCTTTAAGCCACATCGCTTTGCTAATGTGAGACTCTGCTAGACAGTTGCTTTTTGGGTTTTCAGAGTTAATGATTCCACAATAACCATGTTATTAATATTATTATGGTTAGTGTGATACATTGTGTAACTGGCCCAATTCCCTTCCAACACTCCCTCTACCCTTCCACCCCCCATATCCATGCTCTTTGCCATGTGCAGTTTCACCTAGTAAAGAGGTGTAGTATATTTCTTCACCACTTGACATTGGGTCCATGGATATGTCTTGCTTTGGTCTGTGGCACCTTAGTGGTTTTTAAGCACTTTGAAAACTACTTGTGTGATTGGATTTGCAGTAATACACCTCAACCATTGCCATAAAGAACATTCCTGAGTTACTTTGCTGATCCAAGGAGAGGGGATAGGAACTACATTAAGCAGAGCCAAACTGCTTTTCCAGAAACCTAGCCTAGATTAGCCTCCTTCAGCTAATGTGCAGATCTATGAGAATAAATGATTGCTATATCAAGGTATTGAGCTTTGAGGTAGTGTGTTACACAGCATGTTTGTGGCAGTAGTTAACTGATAAGCTACTATAGCATAACTTTTTAAAGTTCCTGCAGAGTGACCCACTTTCAGTATTCCAGCTTATGCTTTGAGGAAAACTGGACAAACATAAACACTTAGGAAATTAAGAGCTTTCTATATTATTCCACTAAGATAAGAGAGGATAAGATGCTTTAAAAGTAGTTGACCATAGCCAAGGATTGATTTTAATCCATCACCTGCACATTCATAAGTGAAGCACGGGCTAAGGGAATAGAATTCTCATGATTGACTTAAACAAGCACTGTCTGATACATAGACTTTTTGCAATTATGTGAATGCTCTATATTTGTGCTGTCCAGTACAGTAGCCACTAGTCACATAGCGCTACTGAGCACATGGGGCTAGTGAGACTGAAGAGCTGAGTTTATAACATTTAATTTTATTTATAGTCATGCATCACTTAATGATGGGGCTGTGTTTTGAGGAATGCATCATAGGCAAGTTTGTTGTGTGAACATCTTAAGAGTATACTTACACAAACCTAGGTGGTACCGCCAGCCTACTACACACCTAGGCTCTATGGTACAGCCTGCTGCTCCTAGGCTACAAACCTGTACAGTATATTCGGTACTGGATACTGTAGGCAGTTGTCACACCGTAGTATTTGTATATTTAAACATATTTAAATATAGAAAATGTACAATAAAGATATGGTATAAAAGATAAAAAATAGTACACCTTTGTGGGGTACTTAGCATGAATGCAGCTTATAACACTGAAGGTTGCTCTGGGTTAGTCAGGGAGTGAATGTGAAGGCCTGGGACATTACTGTACACTTCTGTAGACTTTGTAAACACTGTACACTTATGCTACACAAAGTTTATTAAAAAATAAAGTAATGCGGCTAGGCGCGGTGGCTCACGCCTGTAGTCCCAGCACTTTGGGAGGCTGAGGCATGCAGATCTTGAGTTCAGGAGTTCAAAACCATCCTGGCTAACACATGAAACCCCGTCTCTACTAAAAATACAAAAAAAAAGTTAGCTGGGCATAGTGGCAGGCGCCTGTAGTCCCAGCTACTCAGGAGGCTGAGGCAGGAGAATGGCATGAACCCAGGAGGTGGAGCTTGCAGTGAGCAGAGATCACGCCACTGCACTCCAGCTGGGCAACAGAGTGAGTCTCTATCTCAATAAATAAATAAATAAATAAATGCATTATGATGTTACAATGGCTATGATGTCACTAGTCCATAGGAATTTTTCAGCTCCCTTATGGAACCACTGTAATATTTGGTCCCTCATTGACCAAAATGTCATTATACAATGCATAACTGTATTGAAAGTTAAGTAGTCACATGCAGCCAATAACTACCTTATTGGATTTGCTTTGGCCAATAGTAGCTAGAAACTACTTCCTTGGAGGTGCCAAGGAAATCACTTCCTTTGAATCATAGGGCCACCTTGTTCCTAAATAAAGGTTCAGTCATCAGGGAAGGAGGATAGACCTTAGGCAGGTAAATAATGTCACTTTAGTTTCTTTTATGGTTATTGGTCTATTCATATTTTCCTTCTTGGGCCAGTTTTGTTCATTTGTATTTTGTTAGCAAAATTTTATCACTTTATAATTTATCATTTTATCTAGATTTTTCAGATTTATTGAATAAAGTTATACTTAATATTAAAATTTCTAAATCTCGTGCATCTTTTTGTTTTTGCTCTTTAAATCAACTTTATGATATAATTTATGTATAAGAAAATTCAATTTAAAGTATATAATTTGATGAGTTTTGACAGATGTATACTCTGCAATCATGTGTTGAACATTTATGTCACCCCAAAGCCTGCCTTCCTGCTCCTTTACTGTCAGTCACCTCTTTATACTTCCTTGCCCCTGGTAACCACTCATCTACTTTCTGCAATCAGGTTTTTGCCATTTCTAGAATTTCATGTAAATGGAATCATATAGTATATAGTCTTTCACATCTAGCTTTCTTCAGTTTAGCATAATGCTTTAACAGTTCATTCAGGTTATTTTACAGAAGTCTCTTTTTATCACAGAATAGTATTCCATTGTGTGACTATGCCACAATTTGTCCATTCACCAGTTGATGGACATTTGGGTTTTCTTCCAGTTTGGGGCTTTTAATAGTAAAGCTGTTAACATTCAAGTTTAAATTTTTGTGGATTTATGTTTTGATTTCTCTTGGATAAATACCTAAGAGAGGGATTACTAGGCTGCATAGTAAGTTATATTCAATTTTATTAGAAACTGATACTTTTCCAAAGTGACTGTGCTGTGTTCAAATGTTGGAGAGTTCAGTTCTGTTTGAGCCATACTCTCAGTGTTTTAAATTTTTGACTATTTTAGTATATGAATAGTGGCATCTCATTGTGATTTGTGGGTTGAATTTGTATTGCTTTAATGACTGATGCTGGTGAAAATATTTTCATATGCTTATTTTACACTTATAGGTCATCTTTGGTGAAATGTCTATTCAAAATTTTTGACTTTTTTAAATGTTTGTCTTACTATTAATTTGTGAGAGTTCTTTATATATTCTGCAAACATATCCTTCATCAGATACTTGATTTGCTAATATTTTCTCCCATCTGTGACTTGCTGTCATATTTTGATGACAGTATCTTTTGAAGAACCAAAATATTTAATTTTGATGAAACTTAGTTTATCATATTCTTACATAGTCTATGGTTTTTGTTTCCTGCTTAAAAATTTTTGTGCCTTTTTTTTGGGCTAATCCAATGTCATTTAGGTTTTCTCCTCTGTTTTCTTTGAGAAGTTTTAGTTTTAGCTTTTATAGTTTATTATCTATTTTTAGTTAATTCTTACATTTTAGGAGGTAAAGCTTCATTTCATTGCATATTGGTATCCATTTACTAAAAGGATACCTTTCCCATTGACTGCCTCTGAACTTCTTTCAAAAATCAATTGACCATCCATGTGTGGGTCCACTACAGGACATTTCCCTTGATCTATATGTTGGTCTTTACACCACTACTGCACCATTTTTATTTCTTTTGACATATGTCTTGGAATCAGTGTAAGTCATTCAACTTTATTTTTCTTTTCTAAAATTATATTGACTTTCCTGTATTGTAGGCATTTTAGTATAAATTTTAACATCAGGTTGTCAGTTTCTACAGAACAAACCTGTTGGAATTTTGAATGGGATTGCTTTTCTATAGGTCAGTACTAAGAAATTGACATCTGAACATTTTGAGTCTTCTAGTCCATGAACATAGTACACTGTATAGATCTCTGATTATACTGTTATACTATTTTCTAAATTTTTATGTATGCTTGAAAATTTTCAGAATGAAAGTATAGTAAGTTATCTTTTACAGAAATTTAAAAATCAAGAAAAAAGTTTACTATATTTATACACATATTTTTTGTTTTTGCTTTTTATTTCCTTGTGTGTGGATCCAGATTTCCATCTGATGTCATATTTCTTCTACCCAAGCGCTTCTTACATTACTTAGATTGTAGGTATACAGGTGATAAGTCCTTTTGGCTTTTGTTGATCTTTTTTTCACCTTCATTTTTGAAAGATATTTTGCTGGGTTTAGAGCTGTGGGGTGGGAGCAGTGTCTAAACCAGAGAAATAGGGCCAATCTGGAGAGAAGTCCTCACTTTTCAGTAATTTAATTATGGCATACCTTATTGTGATTGTTCTTTATGTTTGCCCTGATTGGGTTTCATTGAGCTTCTTGGTTTTCTGAGTTGATGGTTTTTATAGAAGTTGGAAAATTTTCATGCATGATTTTTTCAAAAAGTTTTTTGTATCCTTTCCATTCTTTGCTGCTGAGATTCCAGTTTTATGCATGTTTGACTCCTTAACATTGTCTAGTAGGTTTCTGATGTTCTATTTATTGTTTTTTCAGTCTTTGTTTATCTCTACTTCATTTTTGACAGTTTCTGTTGTTACTGTTGTTTCCATTGTTTAAGCTTATTCTGCTTCTTTTTTTCTTTGCCATTTCTAATCTGCTGGTAATCTCATACAATGTGTTTTTCGTTTTAGATGTTGCATTTCCATCTGCATAAATTCTATAGGAGTCACTTGTATATCTATCATTTTTCTTTGTCATATTCATGTTTTCCTCTACCTTTAACATATTGAGAATATTTACAGTAGCTGTTTGAATGTTTGTTTCTGCTAATTATATCATCTGTGTCTTTTCTGGGGCTTTTTGATTTTTTTCTTGTAATGGGTCTTATTTTTCTGTTTTATTTTCATTTTTTTTGCGTGCCTGATAATTTTAGATTTGATGCCAGACATTTGTGTTGGATTTTGTTTCGCTCTTTTAAGTATTGTTGGGCTTTGTTCTGAGGGGCAGTTAAATTACTTGGGATTGAGAGATTTACCTTCCTATTATATTGCTTATTAAATGTATTTCTACAATTTATTTTATTTTATACAACAAATTGCCTTTACTATTAAAGACTAGCAAAACCATTAGAATTTATTTGATAAATGAGATTATGGTTAATATGTTCATTCCTTAGTCATAATGACCTGGTAAAAAAATTACTCATTGCCTTATATCTCACAGAAGATTTCATATTATGTTTATGGGCTATGAATTTATGCTGAATTTCTCATCTGGTAACCCTTAAATACTAAATCATCTCTTGTTATACCTCCTGTTGTTTCATTTGTCCTCTAGAGTTCACAGTTACCAGCCAAGAAAACTTGAAAATGAGCAGCCGACGGAAACGTGCTCCTCCAGTGAGGGTAGATGAGGAAAAGAGGCAGCAGCTTCATTGGAATATGCATGAGGACAGAAGGAATGAACCTATCATCATAAGTGATGATGACGAGCAGCCCTGCCCAGGTTCAGATACCTCTTCTGCTCATTATATCATTCTAAGTGATAGTCTAAAGGAAGAAGTGGCTCACAGAGATAAGAAGAGGTGTTCAAAAGTGGTGAGCTTCTCAAAACCAATTGAAAAAGAAGAGACTGTTGGTATTTTTTCCCCTTTGTCTGTAAAGTTAAATATTGTGATTTCTCCCTATCATTTTGATAATTCCTGGAAAGCATTTCTAGGAGAATTAACTCTTCAGCTTCTTCCTGCACAGAGTTTAATTGAAAATTTTTCCGAAAGGAGTATTACATTGATGAGTTCAGAGTCAAGCAATCAGTTCCTGATTTATGTTCATTCAAAAGGTGAAGATGTAGAGAAACAAAAAAAAGAACCGATGAGTATTTGTGACAAGGGTATTCTGGTGGAGTCATCCTTCAGTGGTGAAATGTTAGAAGATTTGGGGTGGCTACAAAAGAAGAGAAGAATAAAACTCTATCAGAAACCAGAAGGAAATCACATTATCAAGGTACTCAGTTTTTTGTGGTGTCTTTTTTGAGGCTCTTCTACATTGGCAGTCCAATTTTAAATTAACTTGTGAGAGAAGTCTGAAAAGCCAGCAATAAGCCTTTCATTGTTAAGTTTCAAAGTACACTTTAAGCTTTTAATAACTATTCAAAGTATGTTACAACTAATCATTTTCAGGCTACACTTTTTCAAGATCTTCCATCTCTACTTTCAGTGACTTGTTTTGGTCCTCATCATCAGTTCCTCTTACTGCAGCAGTCATTTAACCATTTATCTGTTTGCTATTTTGCCTTTTCAAATGCTTCGATTTTGTCTCTGGAATTGTATGATTGAATGCAAATGAAATTCTACCCATTACTGCCTACAGAATTAAGTATAATCTTTCTAATCTGGCACACAAGTTCCTCCCTTGACAAGCCCTTGAGCCTTACCCTTTATTACTCTGCTTTTTATTTTGTCCCAGAAACTCCAAATTGATTTATTTTCTCCATATACCACACTGACTTTCTGCGTCTTTGCTTTTGTTCTTATAGTTCCTTCTGCTTGAGTTGTTCCCTTCCCCTTCCCTGGTAATTCCTGGTTATTCTTTAATATTTAGTATAGCATTTAATTCACCCAGGGAGATCGTTTCTTAAATCTATTGGTAGTATTATGTGCCCTCTCCTCAGAATCTCTGGTAGATTTTTTTTTTTGGCCTTGGCGGCTTGTCACATACTTAACATTTTAGATCATTCCCCTCTGCTAAACTATGAAGCCTTTCATCTTTACAGCCTAGTAAAGTACCTGGTACCTAAATTTTCAGTAGATGAATGAATAAATTTGTAATTTATTTCAGTCTCTGTCATTCACTGGCCAAATAACTTTATGTGAATCATTTAAATGCTCTAATTTCAGTTTCTTTATGAAATGTAAATAATACCCATTCTTCTTACAGCATAGAATTGTGTTGAAAATCAGGCCAGATAATGTAAGAAAGTATACTTTGTAAACTGTGAAGCAAGTTAATATGCTTTTATGCTAAACCTGAAAATTTAAAATGTTAATTTCATGTTGTTTAACTGAAAACTGTCTCATATATTTCTTGCATCGATAACCTTAGTTATAGTTTTAGAATTGTCAGAAGGAAAGGAGAACATTTAGAATTATTAGACTCCAATTAATTTTTCCCTGTACAGTGAAACTATGTAATCAAACATTCCCTCTCTTTACTGATTTTGCCAAAATTGTGGCTCAGTGATAACAAGTATGTAACAATTTATGACTCACATATCTGTGTTCTATCTACGTTCCCTACAGACCAAGTGTTAATCTATTCTGTTTTTCCTGATCCTGAATTTTACAAATATTTAAACATTTATTGCTGCTGTAGTAAGACATCACCAAGCGAGCCAAGACAGAATACTAGCAGTAATGAAATACACTCTTTGTCATTCATTTCTGTGTAAGGCTGGTGGATTCCTGTTCTGTAGTGAAAGAATATGAGATTCTCAGTGATTAGGGAGTCAGGTACAACATAGTCAACATGAAGTAAAGGGAATTAACATTTATTGAGTGTCTACCATTAGAAACTTTTATAGTTATATTATTTAAGATGGACTTCTCTCCATTTTGTAAATGAGAACACTTAGGTCAAAATCAATAGGTTATTTTTCTCAAATTCATTTAGCTTCCAAATATCAATGCCAGTATTCAAAATCAAGTCTTTCAACTGTAAAACTTCATACCACATTGCTTCACTAGGGTCAAAATATTAACATTAATCAAGGTCTGTTTTTTTACACGTTTTAGTGTTTGATTCAGTAATGAGGATGCCCAAACCTAACTGTGCAGAAGATTCCTAGCATGTATGTCATAATCTTCTGGGGAAATCGGCATTTTTAACAAACTTGACTGATTAATTCATCAGTTTTGGGAATCATTGCATTGGTAGATAGAACTAGGTGTTCTTATCACATTCTCCCAGGTTCGATTTCAGTTAGGGGAATATTTTTTTCCAGCAACTCGAATTGTACATTGTAGGCACTTACATTTATAATTTGTTAGTGAAAATGAAACACGTGGGGGAAATTTGGTAGGCATGTATTTATTGTTTGTGTCACACATGCTATGAATACCTTTAAAAGTAGTGATGCTAATTTTTTCTTGCTTATGTCCTCATAAAGAATGGTATATTTCAAATGAAACTACTTTTATTTTGATTAATTGTTTTTAGGTTGGAATTTATCTTTTGGAAGCTGGCCTAGCAAAACTAGACTTCTTGAGTGATGCAAATTCAAGAATGAAAAAGTTCAATCAGCTCATGAAGAAAGTAATGGAAAAGTTACACAATTCTATTATTCCAGGTAATATTTACAGTAAACTTAAAAATTGCTATTACTTAGGAGTTGTGAGTTTTTTCCTCTAACCCCTGGACATAACAATCAGAAAAACAGCTAATAAAGCCATAATAAAAATTAAATGATTATATGGCAAATTATACTTATTTGAAATGCACCCACTAATATAATTTGTTTCTTTGGTTAACTCTGTGCTTACCTTATATTAAATATTAAAGAAATATTTGCGGAGTCAATATGCAAGTCAAAAGGCAGAGTCTAAAGGGATCTGAGCTGGTTGGGATTTTTGCATTATTCCTGTGCTTTTATTTTGTCATGGGCCAGAAATTCTTGGCTGGCGTTTATTCCACCTCTCCTTTGCAGTCTGACAAATAATTTCAAAAGCCTGGTTCCCATAAAGACCAGATAACTTTGCTCTGTTTCTTGGCAAGACGTTGCATCTTTGGTCAGGACTGCAGATTCAGAGTTGTCTGCCATTGGTCACCTTGGGAGAGTGTGGATGGCTTGGTGCAGCTCATCAACACTACTGGAAAAACAGCCCAAATTCTCCAAGTTCTGCTCATGGTGGGTCAGCATTATTTCAGGTGCAAATTATAGAACATTGTCATACTGGAGTATTTGAAAATCAGTTTCTAACTTCGATTGTTATTTCTCTAGTACATTCTTTGCAATGCTTTATAATATCAGTAATAGTAAATCGTTTTGCAAGTTAGATACTTTAAATTAGGAAATCTCTGGTTTCGGGATTAGAAGGAATGAATTTAAGTACATCTAGAGTTTTTAAACTTATGGCCTTTTAAAAATATTACAATTTGTTCATTTTAAAGCCTGGTATCTAAGGAAAACTTCAAATTTAGCTATTAATCTTAGATTATATAATTATAGTAAAAGTCTAAAACAACTGAGCATAAAGCTGTACATTAATTGTGAAGTTTTGGAAATTTTACATGGCATATTTATTGGAAAAAAATAAGTTGTGAATTTTTTGGTGTCATCTTTTAGTTTTAGAAGTTATGAGGTATGTCCTATAAAAGTATATAGGCCTCTTTCAAAGCAATTCAGAAATAAATGATATACTTTTTCACCTTGAAAGAATTATGTTTTTAATAAAGAACCATTAGCTGAAAGGAGTTTGTAAATATGTTCAAGGTTTTTATTACTTTTTTCATGTTATAGTAAGTATAAATCTTCTTCCACAGAACAATTGTGCCCACCAAGTGAACTTAGTGTTTTTACAAATTTGCATTAATAACATAATCACTTGTCTTCCAGTTGGCTGCTACTGCTACCAAATGCCTATCCTTTTCTAGCATAAGAAATAAAATGAGAACCCATTTCTTATTGGGCATAGAACAGTTATGTCTCCATATGGATTTTGTATGTTAAAATTACAAAAGTAAAGTAAGTTGTTCCTATATAAACTTCAAACAGTATTCACATTGAGTTCCTCAAATGTTTATAAAACATCCACAATAGACAATACACGTGTCAGCTACGTGTCAGCTTCTCTGAGGGGCTACAAAAATGAAAAACTTTGCCTTTGTTACCCTGGGGAAAGGACCAGTGGACATAAATGTTTGCAGTACCAGATAGATTACAATGTAATAATACTGTATCCACAGAGGAGAACATAATTCCAGCCAGGGAAAACAAAAGAAAATGCCATGGAAAAAGTATCAGTTAAACTTTCTTGAAGAATGGATGAGTAGATTTTTGATTAATGAAGAATTAAAGATAGGGCCTTTCAGTGACAAAACACACTGAGCAAGGCCCCAGAGTTGGGCAAGTTCATTGTATGCTCTTAGAATAAGAATTGCTTATAGTTAGAAAAAACCTATCAGTTTTTGAGTACATTTGCTGTGTGATGTACAGATGTGTTGGAAGAGGATGAAGATGATCCGGAGAGTGAGCCAGAGGGACAAGACATTGACGAGCTGTATCACTTTGTGAAACAAACACATCAGCAAGAAACGCAGTCCATCCAAGTGGATGTCCAGCATCCTGCATTGATCCCTGTGTTGAGACCCTACCAAAGAGAGGCTGTCAATTGGATGCTACAACAAGAGTGTTTCAGAAGCAGTCCTGCTACTGGTAAGAATAAGATGTTTAAAGAAAGTCCAATTGATTAGAGAGATTACATCAGAGACAATTAGGGCAGGGTGAAATTGATCATTAAAATAAACATCCTGAAAATATAAGATAGAATGGGTGCCATAAAATTATTTTCTAAGAAATTCTTTAAAATTGAAATCTAGAAAAATGAATTTGTGAGTTTCTTCATTCATAAAAGTTTGTACTGGTTTTTCTTGCCAAAAGGAAATCAATCCTGCCTCAATTGGAATTTTTAAAAACCAAGAAATTTTTTTTACATTCCTTTCAAACAAAGAATTGCTCTTTAGAATCTGGTCCAGTGGGAATCTTACTGACCATCTGCAAGAAACTCACAATGTAATGGTGAATGTTGGTGACAGAAAGCAAATTTACAAAAGTAGGAGACTTATGTGTGATGAATTTTCCTAGACTTTGCATTTTTTTCTTTACAGTAATAAAATGTCATCTGTTGAGTATTTTTATGAAAGTAGTAGTTTTACGGGAGGCATTTATGCCACTTCTTTATTGCTGTCTTTTTTCAATAACTTTGTGGGGGTAAAAGTGGTTTTTGGTTACATGGATGAATTGCATAGTGGTGAAGTCTGGGCTTTTAGTATACCCATCACCTGAATAGTGTATATCGTACCCACTATGTAATTTTTCATCCCTCACTTCCCTTCTGAGTTTCCAGTATCCGTTATACTATTCTGTATGCCCCCATGTACTTATAGCTTAGCTCACACTTGTAAGTAAGAACATGTGGTATTTGTTTTTCTGTTCCAGAGTTACTTCACTTGGGATAATGGCCTCCATTTTCATGCAAGTTGCTGCAAAAGACATTATTTCATTCTTTTTTGTGGCTGTATAGTATTCCATGGTTTCCATGGTGTGTATACACACCTGCCCCCCTCCACACACATTTTCTTTATCCACTCATTGGTTGATGGGCACTTAAGTTGATTTCATATCTTTGCAATTGTGAATTTGTACTTCAATAAACATGTAAGCATGGGTGACTTTTTGATATAATGACTTGTTTCACTTTGGGTAGATACCCAGTAGTGTTCTGGAGTGAATGATAGATCTACTTTTAGTTCTTTGAGAAATCTCCATACTGTTTTCCATAGAGATTGTACTAATTTGCATTCCCATCAGCCGTGTAAAAGCATTCCCTTTTTACTGGCTTCGTGCCAACATCCATAGTTTTTTGAATTTTTAATGGCCATTTTATTCTAGAATATAAAAATATAAAATATCTATTAATCTCTAAAGAAGCCAATTAAAAATTACTTGCTGTTTCATTGGTGGGTAGAGACATGCTACTTATTTGGCAGTTGGTTTAAATAAGTTAAAATATTAAGGAGAAGGCTAGTGGAAGATTCTGGTAGAAACAAACTCAGCACTTCTGAGTTATGGTTTTAGATATTTTTTTCCCAGTTAAGTAAGCCTTTCTTCCCACTCTCAGACCCGTAGAAGAGGTCAGGTCTGATTCGGGTAAATGTATTTAGCCACCTAGCATATGTCTATTGAGTTATTCAAAGACTTCATATAATTTATTGCAAGATTTATTAAAAATAGACTCATTCATCAGGTAGGAGCTGGTTATATGTATTAGTTTTCCTGTTAATTCTCTGTAATCTGCCACACTTTGCTTATCTGTCCTATTATTTGCTGATGTGGATTTGTGCCCAAAACAAAGGGAGCTAAAGAGTAATATCAGAAGAAAGGAAATAGAGGGACTTTTAGCTTTTTACTCATGTGTTAAGTATGTGGCTTTTCCAGAATGAGATTTCACAAGAATATGGGTATCACTATGCCAGAGTATCCTCACTGTTAACCTATTCTTTTTTTAATGTGATTATCTGACTGAAGGGAAAACAAAAATTTGTTATTATGATTATATTTTTCTTTAGAAAGTGCCCTGCACTTCTTATGGCGAGAGATTGTTACATCTGAGGGTCTGAAACTCTACTATAATCCATATACAGGCTGGTAAGGCAAAATTTTACTTATATGCTTGATTTAAAAAATAAATATAATGAAAAACTGTCTGAGATTGTTAGCATATCTGTAACTTTGACTCTACCTCATGAAGGAATCAAAGGTGAAGTCTTGATTAGACATATCTATGGATAGGATAGATTTAGAATTAATAGCACTTGTCATTTTTCAGTAAATGAATTTGGAATAATAGACATAAGGTGCTTAGTTATCAAGACTAAAAGAGATTATTATTTAAAGTAAAAATGTTATCTTGTTTATTATGGGGTCAGTTTTATTTTTTCTTAGTAATCATTAAACATCATGAATGAATAGTAGTTATTGCCCTTTGTATTTTTTTTTATTCATAGATTCATAAAGGTCATAGAAAGAAGGCAGACGTGTTCTCTTTTAACTACCACTCATTTCTGCAGAGTTACTTGTCAGCTCAGGCAGTTTTTTTGGTTATCACAGTTCTAATGTTTGTAATCTAAGGTTTGAATTGTTTTGCCCTAAAATATAGTTTCAATAAACTTAGACTTTATGCATTGCTTCCAGTTCTCTTTAGGAAAAGTAATTAGGAACATTGTAATTTGTATTCACATTCCTATGATGTGATTTATCTTGTTTTTTTCCTCAGCATCATTCGTGAGTACCCAAATTCTGGGCCGCAGTTGCTTGGTGGAATTTTAGCAGATGAGATGGGTCTTGGAAAGACAGTGGAGGTTTTGGCTCTGATTCTGACACATACTCGACAAGATGTCAAGCAAGATGCTCTCACTCTTCCCGAGGTAGGAGGGTATAGTAGGGCTTGCAAAAGCAGGGGACATATGTTCTCGAAAAGCATCGTATGTTGAACATTTGCTTGGCACTTAAGTCAACACTTTCTGTTCACTCTGTGGGTAATGATTTATATTAGTGGTTAGTTAACTTCAAGTGGGCAGAGAGAATGGGGTGTTTGTGACCCAGAAGGTTTATTTTTGAAGTAATGTTGGCCAACTAGGAAGAGAATTTGTGATCACTTACTGAACTTTCTTCTAGTTGGCAGAGAAACTCCTTTACAAAAGTACTGTTGACTCCTCAAATGTTTTGTCACTAATAAAGTCTCCATATTACTACTAAATATTTTTAAGAGCTATTTAAAAATGTTATACAAATCTCATATATATAAATCTTAGAACCAAATAATTAGAACTTTGTTAAAGAACAAGTAGCTTAGTAAATAGATTGCTAAATGAAACAAACTTCAAGTCCTTGTCCCAAAATACATAATTGTGTTTAAAAATATAAATTTTAGAGTTACAGAAACAAAGTCCACTAAGGCAAATATAGTATATAGCTCATATTTTCTAGTAATGAAATCTGAAATCAGCCCTTACATTAAATCTTGCTGAAATGAAGTCAGTAGTTAAAGGTATAATTATAATTAATTACCTCTAGGACCCACCAGTCTCACAGCTTTAGCATTATGTTATCTTTCAGTAGGGTCAAGTTTGCAGAATTAGCCTTTCAGATTTGAGTAGAAAATTTAAAAAAAAAATGTTTTTTTTGTAGACAAATGACTTGGAATATATTGACTTAACTATCAGTAACTTCTTTCTGAGATTTCCTACTCATTACTATTTTAATTCCAAGTTATTTTCATATTATTATAAATTCAATGGGTTAATTTTATATTTAAATATACCTTTAAAAGTTAATTTCAGAGGTTCCACACATAACATTTAGGTAATTTAAGATAATATGCACAATTTTTTAAGTGATAGCTAGCTGTAAACTCAGAAATAAAACTGTGTATGTATCTACAGCTATTTGGCCCTTTCTCTTGCAATTTTTTTAGAACTGTTTTGCATTTCCATAAAGAAGGAAAGTTAATTTCAATAAGCAATTCAGAATACTGAAAGCAAAACACTGTGTAACTACTGACTGTTGTTTGTATCAGGGAAAAGTGGTGAATTATTTTATTCCGTCACATTATTTTGGAGGAAAACTGAAAAAGACAGAAATCCAGAATATCGAATTTGAACCAAAAGAAAAAGTTCAATGCCCTCGTAAGTAAGACATCTCTTAAAGGAAATACCTTCTTATAGTGATCTTTGCTAGAGTTCTTGCAATCCTTAGAGATATCTTGTAATTGTTATAAACAATTGTTTTTACAGTTATATATGCTTTTGATAAATGAATTCAATTACAAGTCATAATATCTTAACAAAAGTAAAGATGTATTATTTTGTTTGACTTGGCCCAGGTAGTTCTTGCTCAGTCTGTTATATTTAAATCTCTTTAGCTTACAGTTTAAACCAGGCTTTATTTATCTTTTAGGAAATGAATGTTTCGCATACTAATGGTAGCGTATACTTAAATAATTGTGAGAGTTTTCTTTTATAATTTTGAATGATTGTTTTATAGTATTAACAATTCAATATGAGTAATTCTTCCTTTGATTATTTTTATTACAGTAATTTGTTTCTTAATATGCTGAGATACATTTTTATTACATATTTTTTCAAAATGGCACTCTGCTGTAATAAATCTTTGATTTATTTCTTTCTTAACTCAGTCCTCATGCAGATTAAGATTAACCAAGTTTTACTTTCTTTTCATTTTAATTATTTTGACTGATTTAGCATATCCTTTTACATTTAGCTACACGTGTGATGATACTGACAGCTGTGAAAGAAATGAATGGAAAAAAAGGAGTGTCCATCCTTTCCATCTATAAGTATGTCAGTTCTATATATAGATACGATGTTCAACGGAACAGGAGTCTTTTGAAACGGATGCTGAAATGTTTAATTTTTGAAGGTCTCGTGAAACAGATCAAAGGCCATGGTTTTTCTGGGACTTTTACATTGGGAAAGAATTACAAGGAAGAGGATATATGTGATAAAACAAAAAAGCAGGTAACAGAGCTTAAGTTCAGCTCTATATTAAGTACACGTATGTGATACCTTACTGAGTACATTGACAGATCCCACCTTGAAACTGAAACTCTTACGATCTGAAGATAAAAAAATAGGAAAAGTACTTATATCTGTAACTTCTACTTTCTACTTTGTGGATATAAACTCCGTGAGAGTAACTTTACTTTGGCTATCATTAAACCTAGAGAATAATGCTTGGCACGTAACAAATACTCAGATATTTATTGAGTGAATTAAAAAACTAGTTGGCTAAGCGTATTATAGAGTATAAAGCATCTTCTGTATTATTTATTTTTATTATTTTTTTAAGACACAGGGCATCTATTGCCCTGGCTAGAATGCAGTGGTCATAGCTAGCTGCAGCCTTGAACTCCTGTGCCAAGCTGTCATCTTGCCTTAGCTTCCCAAGTAGTTGTGAGTACAGGCTCATGTCACCATGCCTGGTTAATTTTTCTTGTTTTTTTGTAGAGACGGGGTTCTCACTATGTTGCCCAGGCAGGTCTGGAACTTCTAAATTCTCATTTTCTTTATATTATTATCTTATACAATTTCTGCATTTTGTTAGAAAACTGCTTCTGTTGGGCCAGTAATTTCAATTTGCTTTTAGGAAAATAGTTATAATATTTGCAATCATAAATAAAGATTAATGACAACAAGTCAAAATGTGGAGCTACCAGCTCGGCCACCAAGAAAAAGACAAAAAATTTATTTTCTGGAGTAGGGAGTCTATATTATCCTTGGGTAGCACTGAAGACAGCAGTGAACTGTGCTTTTGGTAATCCTGCTACCACCAAAACTAGAAGATTTCCCTCAGTTAATGCCATTGATTACATGTTGTGTCTTAACTCCCCTGTTCGACCTCAGCCCTGATATGCCTTGGAGGAAGCTGTCCCTATTAACTACCTGCCTATCATACTCCCACTATGTTGTACAACCCTCTTAGGTATTCCCATAGCATCATTTTACTTTTTACTGTTCTCACTTTTCCAGTAGACCCCTTTGAAACCGGGGGCCAAATATTGTTCATATTTGTGTCCCTAGCATCTAACACAACTACTGGCACAGAATTGGCATTTAATAAGTAATTGTAAGAGAGGACATATGTAGAAAAGGGAAGGAAAGAAGGAATCAATTTGCTAATTGCAGTAACCAGTGGATTATCTTTTACTTTCTTTGGATGCTATATTTTAGTACTTGGTGTTTTTGTAGTTGCCCTGATTTGTATATTTATGTACTCGAAAAGTACTAGTCTTGTATTGATTTAGGTAGACTAAATCATAGTAGGTAAATAACAAAATATCAGTAGCTTCCTTTATCTTTCTAATTTTTCATCTCTCCAAATCTGACACTTGTAGAGCCTTCCTTTTGTTTTGAGATGAAGTGAGGGTCCTTACAGAGGGCAGATTGGAAGCCACTTATCAGGAGTGATTCTCCTCAGGGAAAAGGGTAGCAAAGACTGGCTGCTACATAATTATATGAAGTACTTACATAAAGTCAGGAGTTTAATTTCAGAAATGCAACTAGTTGCAATCAATTAATTAAATATTTTTTTCATAGGCAGTAGGGAGTCCAAGGAAAATTCAGAAAGAAACTAGAAAATCAGGGAACAAGGACACAGATTCTGAATACTTGCCATCAGACACCTCTGATGATGATGATGATCCTTACTATTATTATTATAAGTCCAGGAGAAATCGCAGTAAATTGAGGAAAAAGCTTGTTCCATCCACAAAAAAAGGAAAAAGTCAACCATTTATCAATCCCGATTCACAAGGTCACTGTCCAGCTACTAGCGACTCTGGAATAACTGATGTTGCTATGTCTAAAAGTACATGTATCTCTGAATTCAACCAAGAACATGAAACAGAGGACTGTGCTGAATCTCTAAATCATGCTGATAGTGATGTACCACCTTCTAATACCATGAGTCCCTTTAACACCTCTGATTACCGCTTTGAGTGTATATGTGGTGAACTTGATCAGATAGATCGTAAGCCTCGTGTTCAATGCCTGAAGTGTCACCTGTGGCAACATGCAAAGTGTGTGAATTATGATGAGAAAAATCTGAAGATCAAGCCTTTTTACTGCCCCCACTGCCTTGTTGCAATGGAACCAGTGTCAACAAGAGCAACTCTGATCATCTCTCCAAGTTCCATCTGTCACCAGTGGGTGGATGAGATCAACAGGCATGTGAGGTCGTCATCTCTTCGAGTCTTGGTAAGGCCACTTGGACTAAAGAGGGAGAGGAAAATGTAAAGTTTTGCTTCTTCATGATAGTTTCCTAATCTTTGTTTCTTTGTGGTTTATCCTCAAAACTAACTGAATGATTTAATAGTAATGTTAAATCAAAGCTTAAAGAAAAAAATTGAGACTAAGAACTAGAACAGTACAATGTTATTCTTTTCTAACATCAGAATTTCACCAATTAAAGCATTTTGAGTATAAAGATGTGGAAGCTTTTTAAAAATTCTTGAGTATGTAAATGAGAAATTCTTGGTATAAGCATTTATAGTCTTCAGAGAGAAATGCAATCCAAAGGCAGCACTGTGTAATAGGAGCTACTTATCTGATCTGCCATCTCTTAGCTCCAAAATCATCCTCTAAAGCTTCAGTTACCTCAGCTGTAAAATAAGAATTTACTTATACAGCAAATCTTTATTGACCACTTATTATGTGCCAGGAACTGCTGAGTTTTAAAAATAGTATCCAGTCATTTGTGAAGATATGATTTTGTCAAGTACTGGGCACATAGTAATGTTATTGTTTCCTAATATTAATACCCTTCACTAATTTCATTCTTCCTTCTTTCCATGCAAGTGTTACTGAAGGTTTTTGTATTTCATCCACTTTACATAGGCATGGAGAATACTGTAATAAGCAAAACAATTTTTGCTGTTAAGAAGCTCTATTCTGTGTGGGTAGGCAAAGCTTTGAGTCTTAGTTCCATCAGTTTTGAGCAAGTCACTTTATTTTTCTTATGTGTGGGATAGGAATATTAACAACCACCAACAGAATTATTGTTGAAGTTTGGAGATAATGCTTAGCACAGTATCTGAAACATAAAAGGCATTTCATAAATAATAGCTCTTATTGTTCTACTTTTTCATACCATTGTGCTTTCACATATGCTATTGATTCCATCCTCCTACCTACATATAGCCCTTTTCTCTTTTTGCCACCTATGAGAACCTTTAAGATATACCTCAGGTTTTAACTCCTCTGTGATTTTACCTTCTCCGCTACAGAATTGGTCTTTCCACTGTGATGCTGTCATGTTCACATTTATTACAGTTTGTTGCACATCAGTTATGTAATTCATCTTCCACACTAAAACATGTCTTTCTCCAAACAGGTATGGGATCTGTCTCATAGCATGAATGCTCCTAAGAAAATAGAGAGGACTTAGTAAGGGTATAAATGAGTGAATATTTCATTGCCTTTAGTGAGCCTTTTTGCAATAACTGCCTGTATTGATTATTTCCTAGGTATATCAAGGAGTGAAGAAAGATGGCTTTTTACAACCTCATTTTTTGGCAGAACAGGATATAGTTATCATTACCTATGATGTACTGCGTTCAGAATTAAATTATGTCGATATCCCACATAGCAATAGTGAGGATGGGCGTCGCCTACGGAACCAGAAGCGCTATATGGCTATCCCGAGCCCCCTGGTAGCTGTGGAGTGGTGGAGGATCTGCCTTGATGAAGCTCAGATGGTTGAGTGTCCCACAGTAAAAGTGAGAGTTTCTGCAAAATCTTTTGAGGGCTGGGGAAGAAGGGTGAAAAGGAATTAGGGGACCTTGAGTAGTTTAATAGTTTAAGCATAGTTAACCTGTAGTACTGATATTGGTCAAAAGTTTGTTATTAAACACTACTTGTGCTTTTCTCTTGTGCTTTGAACTACATAACCCTTTGAAATTAGTTCTGTACTCTGTGACTCATTGCTCTATATGAAATATATATTTTTCAGTAAGATGTCTGTTTATATATGATGCAGATCAAAGTAAACTGTGTTTAGGAACTTCTGTAAGCATTTCTGCTAACTGGGAGCTCATCGTGTAGCCTCTGATAGCTTTGAACCAAAGTTGACTTTGACAGTCTTTTAAATCAGAGGCCAAATGGTAACAGAAAATACTACTTTAGAGGACAGAATTTTGATTCAGCCTTTGAATGTCATATGTCTTTATTCTGTTGTCTTTGGCCAGTCTGTAACCTGAACTGAATGTATGAATCATGTCTGTTAGTATATCTGGAGGATAGAGTGATGCAGGGCATGGATCAGTTATTCAGGGGGCTTTTTCATTTTGTACGTATTTGAACTACCCCTCTGTTTTAGGGGACTGCGTGGCAGCCTCCCACTAATGAGAACCACTGTACTGGAAGATGGTCCATTGAATATGACATTCAACATTGAGTGTGATAACTGTTAAATAAAAGTAGGTACATCTCACCAGAAGTGTAGCTTTTAATGGGCTGTTTTTCATGAGTATGCCTGACTTCTGTGTTCTTTCTGTGGTTTTCTGGATTTCATTTTTATTTCATTTTTCCCTCTCATCAGGCTGCAGAAATGGCCCAGCGTTTGAGTGGGATTAATCGATGGTGTATCAGTGGCACTCCAGTACAGAGAGGATTAGAGGGTAATGTATGGTTTCCTCACATATTGCATGCATTTGAAAAGCTTCATTTTTTAGAGAGAAAAGTATTGTTATGCTTAACCTTTGCTGCAGTCCCTATTGAAGTGATGATTCATGTCTTTATAGTTGACTCCTAATAGTTTCAAGCATTTATCTTTTTAAATGGGACTCAGGTGATTTTTCTGTTTATGTATATGAGGACCGATATATATTAAGAGGTCTCATTGCCTTAAGTTGAACAATTATTGTACCTGCCTAAACAGCATAGATATAGGTCTGAATTAAAATTAGAGTTCCAAAGTCATAGGTAGAAAACAAAGAATCTAACCCAAAAAGAAACAAAGGGTGGGGGGGGTGGGGAGAGGCAGAAAAAGAGAGAAAGGGAATTAATTTCAATTAACTGTGTCTATGAAAATGGAGACTATAATTTTTATTGTGTGAACCCAGGAATACTAGGGCCATAATTTTAGTAATTATATAAGTTATTAGTAGTCTTATAATGTCACACTATATGTATATACCGTTATTGTTTCTACCATTCCTTTACTTGAGCATTTAGATTGTGTCTAGTTTTTTCCTCCTCTCCACACGTGCATTGAAATGATCCTTCTACCTTAATCTTATTCAATATCACAGTAGAACGGACACTGCATTTCTAAAACCTTTATTCAAGTTGTGAATATCTAAAATGAAAAGTTTAAATCTTGTTTTATGTATTTCCCTAAAAGTTGTTATTAAAGTGTAGTTAAATTACAAAATTTAAACATACTTGGAGTTCTGTAGTAAATACTCATCTTCAAAACTTATCTTTCTGAAAATCCAAGTTTTCGTATGTTTTCAGCAGCATAACTCACTCTGCTAAAACAAAAATCTCAGTATCCATTACTTTGACCTTTAAAAGCAGTGTTTTCCAATGATTATTTTTAGGAGGAAAAGGTTTTCTAGTAATATTTTCTAGTATATATTTAAATATTTGCATCACTTAAATGTTACATTTAGATACATATTTATAGAATAATATTACGTTCAGTAAAGGACCACATTTAGTGGTCTCCTTTCATGTTTGGAAACTGTCGAAATTGTAAATGTTTAGGCGTTAATAAGGTCTGAGATCTTACCCAGCTCAAAAGTTAGCTGAGAGGGTACAGAAAAGAGTACATGACTATCAGAGTTACTTTTTCTCATTTTAATGTTGAGAGAGTATGAGCAATAATTTCTTAGTTCCTGGGTCGGTTTTTTTGGAGATACAAGATGTTGGCAAGTGTTTTGAGCACCTGTCACCATTCAACAAATTCCTAATTTTTTAAAAACCAACTTTAATGAGCTATTTGGACTTCATTGAGATATAAATGACATATAACTAAATGTTTAAAATACCACATTTGAAAAGTTTTGACATGTATTTGTAGCCATGAATATATGTGCACAATAAGGCAAGTTTCGTCGTGTTCCAAGTCAGCTCCAAAAGAGCTTTTCCAGACTTTCTAGAATTTTGTCTTTCTTCCTCACTTCCATATCTCTCTGGTATCTTTCTGATTCTTGCAATTAAATGTTTTTTTTCTAGTTGTCACACTAGGAATGTTAGCCTGCTCATGACTTACTCTGTTGTATTTGGACATGGAAGTCTCATTTGTTTTCTTTTTGTGCTAAACTAGGGTTTCTCAACATTGGCCATATTGACATTTGGGGCCAGATAATTCTTCTTTGGGAATTGTCCTGTATGCTTTAGGATGTTTAGCTTCTACCCACTAGATGCTGGTAGCACTCCTACAATTCTGACACCCAGAAATGTCTTCAGAAATTGCCAGACTGAAATAATGTCATCTACTTGGGATGTCAAATATGGAAGAATGCTTCCTAACTCCTTCCACCCGCCACACCCTATGTCTACATAATGTATTCATTTGTATAATATAGAAAGCATTGGCTTTGGGGAATATAAAAACTGGGGTTTACATCCGGACTTATTAGTTGTATGTCCATAAACAAATTCCTTAAACATTTAAGTCCTTATTTTTCTTATCTATAAAATAAGGTGTTTTAAAGATGAATTATGATGAAGTATACAAAGGATTTAGCACAGTACCTAACAAATATTAAATATTCAATGAATGATAGCTGCCTCTACTTCTCCTTTTGTTGTTTTTATTTTCCATTTATGTAGTCATTTATTTATTTTAATGTCTTCGAAAGTATTGACTTTAACAAGTACTTTGTGATGCATTTATTATTTCATTTGTTATTATTTATGTATTTGATTTATTTCTTTGTGAGGTAGGATAGAATCTCAGTCAGATTTTTGCTGTTAGGATACCACAGACTGGATAACTACAAAGAAGGGAAGTCTGTTTAACTCGCAATTCTAGAGGCTGGCGCATCTAAGAGCATGACACTGGCAACTGGCGAGGATCATCTCATGGTGGAAGGTGGAAGGGAGTACATGAGATAGAGAGAAGCACCAGGGGCTGGACTCGCTTTGTAACAACCAACCCTTGAGATAACTAACCCGCTCCTGCAATAATGACAATTAATCCACTCATGAGGGTTCCACCCTCATGACTGAGTCACATATAATTAGGCCCCACCTCCTAATATTATTCACTGGAGTTTAAGCTTCTAACACGTGAACTTTTGGGGGATACATTCAAACCATAGCAGATGATGAGCAAAAGTACATACGATCCCTTATCTATTGAGCTTACAGCTTAGAGGAGAACATACATTTCTTAAAATGTTTCTTAAATACTTAGATAAATATTAAATTGCAATTGAGATAACTTTCACAAATGAAAAAAAGGAAAATTCTAACTATAACAGGTTTCATTAAAAAAATAGTTTGTTCTATAACATCATACAATTGGGATGCTGACAACTGAGCTGTGATCTGAAACATTAACATGAGCTAGGTAAAGAGGAAAAGGAAAAATCCTCTATTGTAGAGGAAACAGAAAATATTAATGTAAATAGATCATGTGGCAGAAATAGCGTGGCTAGAATGTAAAGAGCTAGGGAGATGATGGTGGATAGAGAGACTAGGTAGGTAGAGATGGGACCATGGAGGATGTTATTTGCCTTGTTAAAGAATTTTATTTTTTTTCTTAAGAGTAGTAGGAGCTATTGAAACGATTTAAACACAGTGGTTGGGGGTCATTTTGTGGTTAGATTTGTATTTCAAAAGATCACTCTAGTTGCAGTGTGGAGAGTGGCTTAGAAGAGGGTAAGAGTGGATGTTAGGATATTAATTGATTGTCTATAAGAAGTAATCTAGGCAAGTGGTGCTGGCACTTTTGATTTGGACTAGGTTTGTCCTAAAGATAACAGAAAAAAGTGGATAAGGCAAAATTAACAAGCCTCAGTGACAGATCAGGAGATACCAAGATTTCTGACTTGCATAAATCCATGAATGGTGACTGGTTTCCCCAGTGAATACTACCAGAAAAGAAGCATGGGCCAGTGGCTCACACTTCTAATCCCAGCACTTTGGGAGGCTGAGGCGGGTGGATCATCTGAGGTCAGGAGTTTGAGACCAGCCTGGCCAACATGATGAAGCCTCGTCTCTACTAAAAATACAAAAATTAGCTGGACATGGTGGCAGACGCCTGTAATCCCAGCTAGTCGGGAGGCTGAGGCAGGAGAATCGCTTGAACCTGGGAGGCAGAAGTTGCAGTGAGCTGAGATTGCACCGTTGCCCTCCAGCCTGGGCGACAGAGCAAGACTCTGTCTCAAAAAAAAAAAAAAAAAAAAAAAGATGAAGCATGTGTGCAAAAAGATTATGAATTTGAGATTTCGGCAAGTTGAGTTTGAGACGGCTTTGGGACCTCAAAAAAGAGGTAACATATAGCAATTGAATTGATTTGAGCTAAAAATATAAATCTGTGGACCTTTGCATAGCAGTGATGCATTGGTTCTTTCAGATGTTGCTAACTCCCAGCAACCATCAAGGTAACTTAATTCAATCTAAATATTTGTTGATCATCTTCAGAATAAGTGTTGTAGGTGTGGGAAGGATATTTTTATTATTATTTTATGGCTTCTGAAGAGAATATATGCCCATTGTGAAAAAATTTGAACTGTACATAAAAGTATAAAGAAAATTACAACCCGGACATGGTGGCTCACACCTGTAATCCCAGCACTTTGGGAGGCTGAGGTGGGAGGATCACTTGAGCCCAGGAGTTCAAGATCAGCCTGGGCAACATAGGGAAGCCCTGTCTCTACAGAAAATAAAAAAATTAGCCAGGCATGGTGGCACACACCTATGATCTCAGCTACTTGGGAGGCTGAGGTAGGATCACTTGAGCCCAGGAAGTTGAGGCTGCAGTGAGCTAAGATGGTGCCACTGCACTCGAGCCTGGGCAACAGCAAGACCTTGTCTCAAAAAAACAAAAAGAAAATTACAAAATTACACTCATAGTCTTCATTTGAAGATCTTTTCTATATAGATGTTTATATATTTGAGCTTATTCTGCATGCACAATTTTATATTCCTTTTTTTTTTTCCACTTCATATCCAAAGCAGTTTTTCATTAAGTCCTCACAAATAAATATATGGAAAACTGTTTAGGGTATGTTAAGTGGGCAGGTGGAGGGGAATAGAATATAAAATTGACTGTGCCCAGTAAAGAGATAAACAAGAAGTCCCATGCTCTAAAGCTAACAAATACAAGGCATGCTGAATCAGAAAAGAAAAATAGTTCTATTTTGTGGGATTACTATAATTTATTTATTTGAGTCATTTTTCTACATATTGTTGCTATGAATATCACTGTGTAAGTAAATCTTATCTATATTTTTATTACTCTCTTAGGCTTCTTTTCTAGGAGAATTATTAGATAAAGGGTATGAGAAATATTGCATCAGAGAATATTCTTCATGTCATCTGTGTGCTTAGAAATTCTTTTTTCCAATCCAGCAAATCTTGCATCTATTGGTTTCAGAGCATGGTATTTCTTATATATGTCTTACCAAGTACATTCAGTTGAGTGGTTTTTTGGTTTAACTTCTGATAACAGTTTCAGATTTTTGAATTAAGTATAAGCTGTATGTAATGAATGGTTGCATAAATCTAACATTATTTTAGCACCTAGCCCAAAACCTAGGGCAGAATAGATGCTCAATAAGTATAAATGGAATTGGAATTGAATTTCAGATTTAAGAGCCTATACAGCCTGTATTTTAATTCATGGAAAGTTCTATGTGCTGTGTAATGTCTGTAGAAAAGCTTCTGCAAACTAGTAATGAAGTAATAGAGTTATCCTCAATGTATTTTATTTTTTCTTTTCAGATCTTTTTGGGTTAGTGGTCTTTCTTGGTATTGAACCTTACTGTGTCAAACACTGGTGGGTTCGACTTCTCTATCGGCCTTACTGCAAGAAGAATCCTCAGCATCTCTACAGCTTTATTGCCAAGATACTGTGGAGGTCTGCAAAGAAAGATGTGATTGACCAAGTCAGTACAATAAGTTTTTATTGATAAAGGTACTATAAGAGAAAAGAAACAATTGGGATGGAAAGATAAATTTTTAGATGATATCTTTTTTTTTTTTTCTGCTCCTTTTCACAGATCCAAATACCACCACAAACCGAAGAAATACACTGGCTCCACTTTTCTCCAGTGGAAAGGCATTTCTATCACCGTCAGCATGAGGTGTGCTGCCAGGATGTGGTGGTAAAACTCAGGAAGATTTCTGACTGGGCTCTGAAGCTCAGCAGCCTAGACAGAAGGACTGTCACCTCTATCCTGTATCCATTGCTGAGGCTCAGACAGGCCTGCTGTCACCCACAGGCTGTTCGTGGAGAGTTCTTGCCACTCCAAAAAAGGTTTTATTATCAACTTTTTTTTAATTGCAGTTGGTATATCATAATAGACAATATTTCAGGCCCACGGTTTCATTCAGAGACATGTAACTGAGTTGTCAGTTATCTTTAATGGTGTAGAGGGTTTTCTTTGGTATGGAAGCTCATTTGCAACGGAGAATTACCAGAATTATTTTCATGGTTTTAAGCATTTCTCTTTTGCAGTGGGTATGGTGTTTTTTTGTTGTTGTTTGTTTTTTTTTGTTTTGAGACGGGGTCTCACTCTTTCCCAGGCTGGAGTGCAGTGGTGTGATCATAGCTCACAGTGGCAGCCTCAAATTCCTGGGCTCAAGTGATCCTCCTGCCTCAGCCTCTCAAGTAGCTAAGACTACAAGTGCACACTGCTACAGCCAGCTACTTTTTATTTTATTTTATTTTATTTTATTTTATTTTATTTATTTTTTGAGATGGAGTTTCGCTCTTGTTGCCCAGGCTGGAGTGCAGTGGCACAATCTCAGCTCACTGCAATCTCTGCCTCCTGGGTTCCAGCAATTCTCCTGCCCCACCCCTCCAAGTACCTGGGATTACAGACATGTGCCACCAAGCCTGGCTAATTTTGTATTTTTAGTAGAGACGGGGTTTCATCATGTTGGTCAGGCTGGTCTTGAACTCCAGACCTCAGGTAATCCACCCCTCTCAGCCTCGTGCTGGGATTACAGGCGTGAGCCACCACGCCCGGCCTGTTTTATGTTTTTGTAGAGACAGGGCCTCGCTATGTTGCCTGAGCTGATCCTGAACACCTGGCCCCAAGCAGTCCTCCTGTCTCACCCTCTCAAACTGTTGGGATGACAGGCATGAACCACCACACCTGGCCTTGAACACTTCTTTTAAAATTAGGATTATTGTTGAGGTTTTTTTTAAAATTATTTTGTTATTTAGGGTTTTGGCTGTACTCCAGATATGAAAGGCTTTTGCTCTTATTTTATTTCATAGTTCCCACATCAGGGAGTTAGATTACCGTTAAATATTTTCTATCTCTCTGATTATTCATTCTGAGAACATTAAGAAATTTGTGTTCATAATACTCTATTGTCCCAGAAAGTTTTTGTGAATCAGACTGCAACTCAGGAACTGGCCTTTGGCTATAAGAGATAGAAAGAGGATTCAGTTTTGTCTTTGCTTTTAAGCAGGTTATAGACAAATAAGGGAAATGATGAAAATTATAGATTTCTAAAATATGAAGTGAACATAGTAAATTTCAAAAGATATATGAACAAATTGCTGTGTACAGTTAGAGTCCGAAAACAATTTATATATGAATGGTTAAGGTTAGACAGCCTTTTGAAGGAATGGCATTTAACCTTAGAGGATCTTCATTTTTTACTGATTAAAAAAATATTCAGGCTCAAAGAGGTTTTCTAATTAAGTTGCAGTGCTGGGATTCAGAGTCAGTCTTACATGTTAATACCTGTAATGTTTCAAATATGTCATGCTGTACTTTGTACTTGAGGAAGATTTTTCTAGTTTCATTCTCCCTTTACTGAAATGGGAAAAACTTAAAGAAGGATGTGATCAAATAAAGGTACTTATGTGGGAAAAAATAATGGTAAAAATTGAGGCGAAAAAAAATGCTAGAGATACCACAAAAACTGCGAGTCTCATACACTCTTGATCATGTGAGATATAACACTCCCACTGAAGTCACACTTGGGATTTTCTTTCTAGTTTTGAACAGTCTACCTTTTCTTTTAGCACCATGACAATGGAAGAGCTGCTGACATCTTTGCAGAAGAAATGTGGAACTGAATGTGAAGAAGCACATCGACAGCTAGTTTGTGCTCTCAATGGCTTAGCAGGCATTCATATTATTAAAGGTAGAAGGTGATTGCTTTATCTCTGATTCTTTCAAACACTTCCTGAGGAAGGTTAATTATAGAAAAAATAGATTTTGATTTTTGGGGGGGGGATTTTTCCCCCAAAAAGATACTCTCACACACTACTGAATATAGTTTAAATAGGTTCAACTTAATATAGAGCAGTTTCATAGAACGTTTTGAAAACCTTCAAAGTTTACATATGATTTAACCAAACATTTCCATTTTTAGTTCTTTTTTAAGGAAATGAGGATACACAGATTTCCCTTGAAGTTGTTAATCTTAGACTTTAATAGTTTAATAGTAAACAACTGTAAACAGTCAAAATGATTAGAAATAGAAAAATGGTTAAATTTTGACACATTAAAGGAATTATTGTTCATTGGTTTAAAAATAATAGTTTGTGGGATCATTTTTTCAGCAAATATTTGTGTGCCACATCTGATCTAGGTAACGATGATATGGTAAATAAAGTAACTCTGATCTTGCAGACCTTAAATTCTTACAGAGGGTGACAAGTACACACACACCCTCCCACACACACACACAGAACGTATATGTGTAAAGTTATAGTGTTATATATTATGCACAAAATTAAAGCAGGTTAGAAAGAGCATCTTATATTTACATGGAAGAGTATTAGTGGCTTCTCCATCTCTCACGGATCACTTTTTTTGCATTAGGTCTAATATCTTACAAACTGTCATTTTGTATATTTTGCCTGTTATTGTAGTTTTTGCAGGGAAGAGTAAATCCATTGTCTGTTACTCTATCTTGGCTGGAAGCAAAGTTATATAACTGGCACTTTTAATAAGCACCATATAGACACACCTTTCCATATAAATATGAGAAACATTAAAACTGTATTCCATAGATTCAAGAGTGAAGATGAAACATGTTAAGTAGAAACCTTGAAAACATGCAATCAAACTTCTGGAAATCAAAATTTCAATGTCTAATATAGAAAATTCACTTAATAAATAGAAGATTAGACACCGCCTAAGAAAAAAATCAATAAAGTCAAAGTATAGAATAGCAATAGAAACTCTCCAACATGAAAAACGAAGAAGACTGAAAATTTTGAAAAGAGCCTCAGTGAGGTTGTGGACAACTTCACATGGCCTAATATAAATGTATTGGAGTCCCCAAAGGAAAAAAAAAAAAAAGAAATATATTGTGGGTTTTATATCATGTAAATGTACAATGTGTAAAAGCAATGATACAAAGTCTGTGTGGGGAGACGTGGATGTATAATATTGTAAGATTATTATCCTATATATGAAGAGGTATAATATTATATGAAGGTAGACTGTGTGTGACAAGGCAAAGAATGTGCACCCTACAGCCACCACTTCAACATACAACAAGGAGTTAGAGGTAATAATCCAAAAGAATAGATAAAAAGAAAAAATAAAAAATCAGGCCAGGCACGGTGGCTTGTGCCTGTAATCCCAGTACTTTGGGAAGCCGAGGCAGGCAGATCACAAGGTTAGGAGATGGAGACCATCCTGGCCAACATGGTGAAACCCCGTCTCTACTAGCTGGGTGTGGTGGCATGCGCCTGTAGTCCCAGCTACTTGGGAGGCTGAGACAGGAGAATCACTTGAACCCCGGAGGCGGAGGTTGCAGTGAGCTGAGATTGCACCACTGCACCCCAGACTGGGCTACAGAGCAGGACTCCATCTCAAAAATAATAATAAGTAAATAAATAAATAATAAATTAAAAATCTTCAAAAAAAAGAAAAAAGGGTGCAAAAAACAAATGAGATGATTAGAAAACAAACAGCAAGATGGTAGATTTAAAAACAAGCTTATCAGTGATCACGTAAACTGAAATGGTCTAAATATCCCAATTAAGAGGCCTGGATTGTCAGACTGGATTAAAAACAAACAATAACCATCAATATGTTCTCTATAAGAAACCTACTTTATATTTAAAGATGCAAATGTAAGAGGATGAAAAAAGATATGTTAACACTAATCAAAAGAACGATAAAGCCACTATATTTCTATCAAGTAAAACAGATTTCTTATTAATACTGCCTGCTAACTGATTGTACCACTGGAACTTATAAAGTAGATTTCAGAGCAAAGAATATTACCAAGGATAAAGGGTGTTACTTTATCACTAGAGAAAAAAATTCTAAATATTAACGTACCTAAAACAAGAGTTTCAAAATAAATACTAAAAACTGATAGAATTATAACGAGAAATAAACAAGTGCGTAATTATTGTCAGAGATTTCTACATCCCTCTCTCAGTTATGTATAGAATAAGTAAAAAATAAGTGAGGGCATACATAGTTCAAACACCGCTGTCAACCAGTTGACCTAATCAGTGTTTATTGACTACCCAACCAAAGAGGAATATACATTGTTTTCAAGTACACATTAAATGTATATGAAGATAGGGCATATTCTGGGCTGTAAAACAAGGCAGTAAATTTCAAAGGATTCATGCTTACAGAGTGTGTTCTATGCCCACAGTGGTAGATACCAATAACAGAAGGAAAACTGGAAAGTCCGCAAATGCTGTGAATTAAATAACACACTTCTAAACCTTTGGGTTAAAAAATAAAAGGGAAAGTAGGAGATACTTTGAAGTGAATAAAAATGAAATATCAAAATTTGTGGGATGCAGCAAATCAGTTATTAAAAAGAAATTCATAGCATTAAACATGTACTAGAAAAGAAAAAAGTTTCATATCGGAGACTTCAGCTGCTACCTTAAGAAATTTAAAAAAAAAGAGCAAATGAAGTACAAAGAAATCAGTTGCCCAAAGAAATGTGTGCTTTTTGTAGAATATAAATCTTCTTACATTAAGCCTCTTTGAGTAGCCCGTCTGTAGTTGTTAGCTCTTTAGCATAATAGAACCAGAAATGGAAAGTGTCTCTTATTGTGCTAGATACTTGGGTAGAGTTATAAGGATTCTCAGAAGCTGAGCAGAAATAGCTCTAGACAAGAACTGAATAGGGTGGGCCTACTTACATGCTGCAGTTGGAACCCTGTGAAATGGTATATATTGTTCAAGATTTCCGAACTTCAGTGTCTTTGTCAATAAAATATTACAGGTGCTTTACTTACCTCAACTATTGTTCTTAATACAAAATGTAGAAGCACATTGAAAACGTTATAAAAACAGAGATGAAGAATGATGTTATTGGTTATGGTAATATGAAGGTTACCTCAGATTCTTACCACTTTCAACCTGCTCACAATGTAAATTCTGTTATCAATATCTAATAGAAAAGGGCCTATTATTATATATTCGTGTTAAATTGTTCACATATAGTACACGTAACTTTGTGTGCAAATCTTCCCTCTAGGGCATTCCCTAGAAAGTCCTCAATTTAGCTAGCAGTGTATTGTTGATTATTAAGAGAAATCCGCCACCAGAAAGTCCATTAATAGAGGATATGTTCCTTCTGAATTGTAATTTTCAACTTAATTGTAATAGATTTGCTGCTTTTAGTTTTTATTAACTTCATAGTAATGTGTTAAACAATATTCATTTTTTAAAGTAACATTACATATATAACTTACATAAATTAGATTCTTCTAATGTGAAGATCAGACAGTGAAGGTCTGACTTTTAAAAGAAATCTAAAATTAATTTCAAACTCTAAAAAGATTTGCTTATATTATATGTAAATAAATACGTATGATACATTAATACATATTCTGAGATTCTCCTTGACTGGTATTAAACACATTTTATTATTCCAATTTTGAACATTGTGTTTTCTGCAGATGATTTTCGGAGAAAATTAGCTTGACAATATCAAATCCACCAGTTTTCTTAGAAATGTTAGCGCCATCAAGTGGCTGAGAATGGGTATTTCCAAATTTGACTTAAACCTTTATAACATTGAATATGGGTTTTTTTTTAATCTTCCTCAGAAAGCATGTCTTTTTAAAAATAAACATGCAAAACCAGGTATTATAACGAATAGATAAAATTCAGCTGCTTTACATTATAGTTTAATCACTATACCTTCTTTAAAAGGTATGGTAATTATGAAGAGAAAATTGTTAATTGAATTATTCTCTACAAATGGTAGTATAAATACTGATAGAATTCATAATGTCCTTTGAAAAGCTTTAATCAAGACTCTTAACTAAAAAAAGAGAACTCACTGTGAAGATAATTGAATGTTAATGCCTACGTTATAAAGTAACTTTATTATTGTGAAAATAATCTTCTCCCTTATTTAAAGGGAATAGAAATTGGCTGACTACAGTTCTTTGATAATGTGTGTTTTAGAAAGCTTTGTATTAGCTAACTAATAGAACTAGATATAAAGCAATGGTATAAGAGCTATTGTTGCAAAATTTATTTTAAATTAGGTGTTTTGCACAACACTGAATATACATAATGCCACTGAACTACACACTTAAAAAGGGCTGAGATGGTAAATTTTATGTATATTTTACCAAAATCAAGATATGTATGTAAACTTATATATGAGCTAAAAACAGAACCAACTTCAAAATTTACAAAGGTTTGCATATATATATATATCTCATTGTAACTATGAACATGGTCCTAATTACATGATATTCATAAAACCAGCTTGAAGTTTTTTTTTAAAAGAAAGTATGTGTGATACTTAGGAAAAAAACTTTCTCAGCAAATAAAAGCTAGAACATCTTGTACCTTTTTTTGGTATGGATTGCATGGTTTTGCCAGTGTTAGGTTTTTACTTTAATAGTATTTATAATTTACCTGTCTTGAATTTTACAAGCAGCAGTTAAGATAGATTCTATTATTCAAGCCATTAAAAATGTTCATCTCTTACTTTATTGAGATATCATCAAACTTTCTGTGTAAAGAAGCAGATAATACATAGGCATTGCAAGCCATAAGATCTCTGCGCAACTATCAGCTTGGCTGTTGTAGTACAACAGCAGCCACAGGCAGTATAAAAACAAATGAGCAGAGCTAGGTTCTAATAAAACTATGGACCCTGAAATTTAATTTTCACATGTCACGAAATATTTTTTTTGAATTTTTTTCAACTATTTAAGAATGTAAAATTCATTCTAAGCTGATGTGCCCAACAGATAGGCAGAGGGTAGAAATGACCCATGGGCCATACTTTGCCAGACTGTGCTTTAATCGATACTTTTTGAATTGCTTTATTTGAATGAGGTGCTGATTATGAACAGTAGAAAACAGCATACATCTCAGACCATGATTTGTGTGACCAGAAGAAGAGGGAGATCCCTGAGTTTCTGACATGAAGTTTTTAATTGCAAATTATTTGGCCTAATACCAAGAACAATAATAGCTACCAAGAATACTATATTTTTCTGATCGCTATGTGTGGGTTGGTTGGAGTGTCTTAAATTTTTTTTTTAATAAATAATCTATAATTACCTTAAGTTTATCCTTAATTTCAAACATCATAATGACTACTGATTGCCACCTTTTAACTTCAGCAAGAGGAAATTTTTTTGTCTAAATTAAAAGTTTATCCAATAGCATAATCTCAAAACATTACAAACGTTTGATTATAAACATATTTCAGTATAATTTTAAAATATTATAAATGTAATATAAGAACATTATATTCCATGGAATTAAAAAAGGAACTGTACTCAGCCTTTTTTAAAACTTGGGCAATCATATTAATACCAAGTCAAATTTCTTTACTTAAAAAAAGTTATAATCATTACATTTTATTTTTACAGTATTCTTAAATAATGGACAACTAGATGACATTGGGAACTAAATATGTGACTCTCGTATGCTTTAAATACATTTTAATTCTTTAGGTGAGTATGCCTTGGCAGCAGAATTGTACAGAGAAGTGTTGCGCTCCTCGGAGGAACACAAAGGAAAACTCAAAACTGATTCACTTCAAGTAAGTAAAGACTAAACAGTTTCATAGGTATTCTGTTTGTTTTTTTAACAAAATAATTTTTCTGAATGTTTAAGAGGATAAATGGTAACAAACAGTCATAATCACTGGGTGAAACTTGGGATTCAGTCTTCTCAATAAGCATTTTAGATGATTTGTATGTACACTAACATTTGAGAATCACTACTATTCCATTCAGGGAAGTTTTGGGCACAAGCCTGACAAGGTAAGTCTATATAAGCTACAGTTAAAAATAGCTCAAAGTACTTGTACTTCCAAGAGTAGGTCAGTTTTATCACTTTGACATATGAATATCAACATATTTATTCACATGGTTTTCATTAAAAAGAAAAGGAACTAAGCAATAAAATCTATCTAATGATAATTTTTAGAGGTCTTTAGGGAGATTTGGATATTTTAATTATAACACTTATTTCTCTTTCCCTTCTTGGATCTGTCATTGACTCATATAGACAAGGCTCTCTAGCTAAATAAGAAGTAGAAATGGGTTTATTAATTTTGGCAAGTTTAGGTTTGAGTCCCAGGTAAGATGTCATTACCATTCACAATATTGACCTTGGGACTGACTAACATGTTCACAAGTACCAGAGTGGATATTTAGAGGAACATATGGAAAAGTGGAGGGAGAGGAAAAATTAAATATAAATCTGATATTCTGCATGGATAAGGGTTACAAAAGGCAGGTCCTAGACCTTAACACCCTGCCCTTGAGTAAAGAAAACAAAGTAGTAGTACTCAGATTTTTTTATAGGAAAAGTATTTGGTGATATGATCTTAATGTGGTGTTAGTGTTCTGTGTGCCATATTAATATTAGGTTCTCTTCAGAGTCTTCTGCATTGACTGTCATAATTACTGCCTTTGATATGTTTGTAGAGACTTCATGCTACCCATAACTTGATGGAATTGTTGATAGCCAGGCACCCAGGGATACCACCTACCTTGCGTGATGGCCGACTTGAGGAAGAGGTAATTATTTTTTTCATTCTGTCTATAAAAGTATATTTTCTTCAAACTTTATGCTCCATATAGTTGATATATCCTAGGACATACAACATACAAATAAATGTAATCATGTTTTCCTGTTACTTTGATGTTTCGAATTTTGTTGTGATTTTGGGTAGCAGAGAATGGCAGCAGTACGTATTATTTGGCTTCTCTGCTGATCTACCTGCAGTTATGTGATAAATGCTTGTTGTAGATATGGCTGTTGGTAGCCAACAGAATGGGATGTAAATAAATGAGTTTTAAAAAAGAAACTTTGATCTCATGGCAGATCTACAAAAGAGGTAGCTTAGTAAATATACAAACTTTTGCACTTTCTCCACATTTCTGTGTATTTTTTAAGGGGGTAAATAAAGTCAAATTTTTGGTGGTAGTTCTCCCAAAGAAGTTTCCTCTACAAAAAGTGTCGCCTCTTTTTGAAAAGAATGACATCGAAAAGAGTGATATTATAAATTATTTTACTATAAATTGTTAATAGCTTATTATGCAGATTCTTCCAGGGATTTTTGCTGTTGTTAAACATTAAAGAGCTAAAATCAAAAGAGTAGGTATGTTTGAAATGTATTGAACCTGTAAGTGGAGGCTTTATTTGAGTCAACAGGATAAAAAATGAGATTATATAAATAAGCACAGCCTTTTTGCACTGGTTGTTTTGGGGGCGGAGGTGCCCTGGTAAACTATTTTAATTAACAAAAATTTTATCTATTCATGAGTAGAGACTGATGTTTTGATGTATGTAGACACTAGAATAGCTAAATCAAACTAAATCAATTACCTCTTTATTTTTATTGCATGCATGTGTGTGTGTGTGTGTGTGTGTGTGTGTAGTGAGAACATTTAAAATCTACTTTCTTAGGGCTTCAGCATATGAATTTTGGGGAAACAAAATTCAGTTCCTAACACCTGTGTTACTGTGTATTCTCAAGGATTATTTTTAAACTGCAGTAACTAAGGAATTTTAATAACTAAATTAGCCAAATTTTAGAAAGGTGTCTTTGCTTTGCCTATCATTTGAAATATTACTGTTCTTTTTTTCCCCTCTTTGCTTATTCTAACTAAAAAAAAAAATTAAATAAGAAATTGGCAAACAAATATTCGGTGTTTCTGAAATTTTGTTACTTGGACAAGTAAATTTTGTTAACTTCCATATATAAGGAATTTTTAGCGTGACTTTTATGTTCTCTACAGTATACTTGGACTTTTATGTTTAAATGCAGTTAAGTAGCTTTAAATGTATAAAATGACCCATTCTTCTTGAAACATCATACTGAATTATATTCTAGATTGGGAGTGAAAGTTTATATTCTCTGTTTCAACACAGGCCAAACAGCTGCGAGAGCACTACATGAGCAAGTGTAATACAGAAGTTGCTGAAGCCCAGCAAGCTTTATATCCTGTGCAGCAGACCATCCATGAGCTTCAAAGAAAGGTATGCCAAAATGCAGTGTTTCTTACTTGTATTTGCCTCCAGATATCATTTTGAGTTTTGGTTTTTTGGTGGGGAGAAACTTGAATTTCTTATACATTTTGAAATCCTTAGCACCTAGCACATTGCCTGACCCACAATACAAGTTTATTTTACTGTTAGCAATGATTTATTGGTTGAGTGAACAGATGCATAAATAAGTCAACTATTTTGAGTTCTCTTTCTTTTGAACTCATGGGTTTTCTCTTACCATGAGTATATAACAGTTGTCTTTTGAAGAAAGTAAAGACTTCTATAACCTCCTTTTTATCTTGTTTCTGAGATGTTTTAAAATGTTAATACATTAGAACCACAGGTATTTTTCCTGCAGAATATATACCACTTGTCATTTCTAAAATTTCAGTTTTATGAAATCAGCAGCAAAATCTAAAGAGGTTACACAAATACACTTTTATTTTCAGTTTTTAAATCAGGTGTTGCAAATTTTTGTCTTTCTAATTCATTCATTATTTAGTATTCTGGGATATAATTTTGTGAGTTATTGTGGATTATTCATTAAGTAGAATCTGGTTCAGTTAGTTAAAGATTAGAATGAAGGCTTTCTTTCTTATGCTGATAAAGAGACCTGTGACCTTTTCACACATATAGATTGAGTATTGAATTTTCATTTGGCGTAAACAGTTTTTTTAGTTACAGCTTTGTTATATAAATGCATTCAATAAATTCCCATTTATCCAGAGTAGTTAGGAAATAGGGGTTTCTCTTTAATTATATTTTCAAAAGAGGAAGCGAGCATTGTACATGGAATATGTATACTCGTCTCCCCTCTGTGATAGTCCCTTTGAGAATAGCATTTATTACTTTCTTTGAATTTTGGCATCACCCTGCCCAGTGATGGAAGCTTAGTGAGTACTAAAAAAAATGTATTAATTGATTAACTGCTACCTTTTTTACAGATTCATTCTAATTCTCCTTGGTGGCTAAATGTGATCCACAGAGCAATAGAATTTACTATTGATGAGGAGCTAGTTCAGCGAGTGCGAAATGAAATAACCAGCAACTACAAGCAACAAACTGGCAAGCTTTCTATGTCAGAGAAGTAAGAAAACAGGAAGAAAAAGTATCTACTCATAATTTTAAAAGCAAAGAAATCCTTGTATTTTCTAGTTTCTAATTTCTCATTATTACCGGCTTTTTTTCTCCATTCATAAACCTATACAGACACATTCATACTTCTTTTTTGCAGCCTTTTTTATTCACAGTTTATCAAAATGGTTATAGGTACTATAATTGGGTTTAACTCCTAACTGCGACCTACCTTTGTTACTTTAGTTACTTTAATATTTTACACTTCATAATGTGAGCACATTAGTAACTATTGAAATTATACAGGAAAAGTGCTTGGCAAAGTGCCTCGTATATAGTGCATAATTACAGATTTAATTAAGTATATATACATATATATATATATTCAACCAAGGAATATAACTCTTAGCCATTTTTCTTCTTTCTTCCCAATATTCTGCTTTTATGTTTCATCCTGCAGGCACCTCCTCATATAGAGCAAGGATGTCAGGAAGGCTATCTGTAGTCAGGCTTAAAACGGAAGAATGTGGCAGTCGTACACTTTCAAAGATATCTGAGACAGACATACATTTTTCATGCTCTTTTTCAGTTCCTGAGCACAGGACTATCAAATTTTTTTGGTATCTTTTACGGTAGACAGCCCAATATTATACTTTGAATACATTCTGAAGGAAAACTCACTCAAATGTTGCTGTTAAAAAAAAAAAAAACAGCAAACAGTTTCTTTAACACTTTGTTTGGCAACCATTCTCTGAATTTGAGGAAATTGACCTATTATTCTTTTCTTTGTATTGTGTGTGGTGCTGGTGTGGGAATCAGGTTCCGTGATTGCAGAGGTCTTCAGTTCTTACTTACAACACAAATGGAAGAGCTAAATAAATGCCAGAAGCTAGTAAGAGAGGCTGTAAAAAACCTGGAGGGACCTCCATCTCGTAATGTTATTGAGTCTGCAACAGTCTGTCACCTCCGACCAGCCAGACTTCCTCTCAACTGGTAGGTAATAGAAGAAATCATACAATGAAATGGTACCATTTCTTTAAGCTAGATTTCTTAGAGAAGAAACAATTGACTCATATAGTAAAGGTTTTTTCATTTTAATTGAGACAGAAGTAGAAAGAGATGTATTAATCTAATTTAAAGAAAAATAAAGTCTCAAGGACAAGGTATGAAAAACCATGTGATTTGTTTTTTCTAAAATGGCATATCTAGTGGAAAGAAAAATGAAGTCAAAATATTAAGCTTCTCCTTAAAATTACCAGATTGCTGGTTATGTTTGTGAATATTTCTGTTAATCTCTTTTTTTTCAGCTGTGTCTTTTGTAAAGCTGATGAATTGTTCACAGAGTATGAATCAAAGCTATTTTCCAACACGTAAGTTCTCTATTTGATTATTACCCATCAAGAAAATGAAACATTTTGCAAGACTCAGTTATGTGATATAAGACTATGTTTTCCCCCACAGTAACCTTTATTATATTGTTTCTTTAATTAAATTGATTAGTACACCTTTGGTATTTGATTGTTTAATATGCCCAGTTTTACCTATCCAGAAGTTATCCCCTAAATGTTCATAGTGTAGTAATATATAATTAATTGAGATGCAGTTTTGTGGAGTGGTAAAATCCCAGACTCTAGAATCCAGTGGATTTGAATTATACAGATTTTGCTAGCATTTTACTGCTATTCAAGGTAGAACTCATAATGTCCGGCATAACTTCTTCAAGAATAAAGAATGACACAATCAAATATGTTATTACTTTAATGAAACCATAAGTAAACATTGTCACAAACACCTGGATTCTCAGAGGGAAGCTTGTTAGAACAATAAATGTGTCCACTTTCATCCAGGTGTATTACTATTCTATTTTAGGTCAAATCTTTTTCTGTTATTACTGAAGTAAATAATACATTTCTTCATGTTTCTGTCCAAATTCTGTTTATTTATCTCCAACAGATATAACTTCTCTAAAATAGAAATTTTCCTCACATATTTCCTTGCCAAACGTTCACTTCTGCATGTCAAGGAAGAAAACAAGATTTTTGTGTTGTTATGGCAAATGAATCAGTAGCTTTCTGTTTATTACAGTGGATATAATAGAATTTAAAAAAAAAAAAACTGGCCAAATTTATGATGTTTTCAGCTTTTTCAAGGTTGCTTTGGTTTTTCCAAAGACTTGCAAACATGTTCTTTTAGAACTCACATTGAAGGTTGCTTTTCACTCACTGATACCAGTTACTGTTGTTTTGTTCTGGTATGTTTTCAGAGTCAAAGGCCAGACTGCAATATTTGAGGAGATGATAGAAGATGAAGAAGGACTGGTGGATGATCGAGCACCTACCACCACCCGGGGTCTCTGGGCAATAAGTGAGACAGAGCGATCTATGAAAGCAATACTATCATTTGCAAAATCACATAGGTTTGATGTTGAATTTGTTGATGAAGGAAGCACTTCAATGGATCTCTTTGAAGCATGGAAGAAGGAATATAAGGTATAGTATTTTAAAACTTCCTTCCAAAATTAAAAATTCTTCTTTTTTACATCAATTTTAACTGCTACTTTTTTCTCTCTCCAGTTTTTTAAAATCTTCTTTTGAGATTGAGGTGGCATAATTTCTCTTTGCCTGAAATGTAACTGTTGTAATAAAGGATAGCAAATACCATAATACTCAAAGACATTCTATTTATTAAATTACTAAAAGAAAATCATTATTAAACTGGAACTTATATGAAACTTTTTGTTTAGCCGTGAAAGTGTGTTCATTCTATTATTAGCTTGATCTTCCACTGCTATTATATGAAATTAGAGTTTTGTTTTTGTTCTGTGAATAACAAGCAAGCATCAGCTACCTTAAAGATTGGGGAACATAGTAAATACTTCTTATCCTATAAGTTTGGAAACCATTCCAATAAATAAAGCCCGATATGCCCTTTCATATTTGTACTTTAATGATTCCATCATATTATACCTCTGTACTTGAGATTTCACAATTCATTAATTTTCAATTATTGTTTTATTTGGATTAGTTATCCATTGTACTGCTTTACAGGTGACATAGGTAGAGGAAGGAAAGAAGTGTTTTTTTATAATGACATTTTTATTCAATTTCTTTTTTAAAAAGTCTTGCTTTTTAAAGTAGGATAAAAATTTTTATGCAGAGAGATAGTTATTTGTACTATCAGTTCATATGTCATAAATTGGGGAATACATTTATAACATCAAAATCATTGGTTTATAATAATGTTTTTCTCACACATTACTCATGTGAATACAAAGCACGTTAACACAGTTAATTACAGTAAGCCTTGGAAGAAGTGTTACTTATGATGTTCAGTTGCCCCTGTATTCTTCCTTTCGACTCAGTTTGGCCACATACCCTTTGTCCAGAAGAGAGCTTACTGTGCAGTTCTCCCAGGTCTTGGTACATATTTTCTGCATAACTTTGCAGACCTTTTCACAGAAGAGCAATTGAATGAGCTCCTGCTGTACATATCTACCAGATCTACCTCAAAATGTAAAGTCAGTGAAGAGAGCCTGTCAAAAAATGTATACTGATTGATACCATTTCTGTGAATTTCAGAAACATATATAACTGAATTATTAAGAATATGTTTCACATAGTATAAGTTCAATGAAAAGTGTAGCAGGATAAGTACAATTCAGAATAGTGGTTGCCCCATGGTTGGGTACTGAAGGAGGAATATGTGAGGAAAGAGTGATACAGTTGAGAAAGAACACACAGAGCCTTTCCAAGGAATTCATATTATTCTTTCTTCAATTAAATGATGAGTACTTGATTGTATATTTTAGTATTCTTGTTGCCATTTATACATAGTTGAATATGTGAAATATGTTATAATAAAACTATTTTTAAAAAATAAAACAAGAGATTCTGTCAGCCTAAAACTGGACTTTATAAAGATTTTTGGTCTTAGCAAGAAATCTTTATATTCTGTTACTGAGAATCTAAAGAGGCAGTGTCCTATAGAGATTTTTTTCATTCACATTTCATCCTAAAAATGACCCCAGGAACTACTTGTACGTTAGACACATAGCGAAAAAGTGTAAGATCTCATTGAAGACTTTTGCTTAAGGCACATCTTGGTGGTTTTAACCAGTTTTAATTACATGCTTTACCACTGTGTTTGTCTTTTCTATTCCTTCAGTTGCTTCATGAATATTGGATGGCTCTGAGGAATCGTGTGTCTGCTGTTGATGAACTTGCAATGGCTACAGAACGACTAAGAGTGCGTGATCCTAGGGAGCCAAAGCCTAATCCGCCTGTTCTTCATATCATTGAACCACATGAGGTAATTGGCAAGTAAATCACAGAAAAGGGAACAGCAAGCAGATGTCACAGATATCTAAGACCCATAGAAAAGGCAGAATCAGGGCACTGAGCTCTACTGTAAGTGTGTATTTAATCTCCATTTTTAATTTGACCCATAGAAAATTGTCTTTATAGACCAAAAATGGTCAAAGATGAGCAATTTCATATCTATTACATGCTTAGTGTTCACTATTTTGGGGCATCTTGTTTCTCTCCAGGTTGCGCATTCATCTGTTTTTGAGTTTAAAACCTTGTATGTGCTTAAGACCAATAGATATTCTCAGTCACTTTTTAGACATTTTTGTCACCTCAGTTTTATCAGAACTAGAAAAATCTTCCTTAAAAACAACTGAAACCTTTTCTTTTGCAGTGTTTCTTTTGCTAATGATGAACTAATATTAACAACTTACCTTCTAATAACTTTGTCTTTGTAACTCAGGTTTAAAAGCATTACTCCACCAATCTCTTTTATTCTCCATTAAAAGATATTATTTCCTTTATAATTCATTTTTATTCCTTATTTGTTTAGTGCCTTAAGTCTGTTTCTGTACAGCTTGGAGACTGTAACTTGGAAAAATGTAGATATATTCATTATATACTATCTCACTTAAATGTGAATTCTGAAGAAGTTTTTCTGAGAAAATAAATTCGTCTTGTTTGAGTGTTCCTTCTCTGTCTGCTGTATTCTACCAGGGGGACAGAGGAAAGAAGGGCAGAGAAATTCTTTCCTGGATTTCATGAAATCACTGAGGCCAGAGCAACAGATCATTTAACTTTTCTTTATCCCGTGTATGTATTACTGAAAAAAATGGTACATAATAGAATTTGAGTTTATTTTTATCTGACTTCAGGTACATAGGGACACTTCCTGTTTAAAAGAACTCTGCATTGAATTGTGCCTTTCATAAAGCAAAAAAAAAAAAAAATCATTTGAAATATATTATCTAGTATCCATTTTGAAAACTTGTGTTTTAGAATGTAAATAGGTTTTTTTTAAAAACAATACATTTGTATTACTGGAGAATTGTCCATATTTAATATAATTTAACTGTCTTTCTGAAAGAATAAAGAAGTTTTTATTTTTATTTTCTTTAGGTAGAACAAAACCGAATAAAACTACTAAATGATAAAGCTGTTGCTACATCACAGCTTCAGAAAAAACTTGGGCAGCTTCTTTACCTAACTAATTTGGAGAAGGTATTGTTTCTAAGACATGCTACTTTTTCCTATGCTGCATTATCATAAACCACTTTAGTGACTCCTTTCATAATTAATGGTGCAAATTGTTGTAATTAGTATTTGGTGTTATATGAGTCAGAACACTACCTATGTCTCTACAATAGCTTCAGAGATCACAAAAGAATATTGTATCTATAGAAATTTATTATGCAGATGATATAGAAGGCATGCACTCGATAGTAGAGAACAATGTAAATGGACTGTAGTTCAAAGCCTTGAATAGTAAAAGTATTAAAACATATCTCGGTGAAACTGGCATAATGCAATTTATACACATGCATTCATTCATCAATACAAAAATATGTTGTAATTTGTTATTTGAAACTGAAGTGTGTTTCGAAAGCTACTAAATCAGAGTACATGGTAATAAAGGTAGACTTCAAATATTAAGTAATTCAAAACACATGTTCTGAGTTATGATCTGAGTATTATACTGGACACTGATGAATTGGTGGGTCATTGATTAAATATAATTTCATTTTATTGCAGGAATCATATTTTGCTAGTTGGCAGAGAACCTTCTAGGGGCAAGATATAGTAGTAAATATTTGGATAGGGCAAGTGAGGACAAGATATAGATTTGAATTCTTCTGGAAACTGGTATAACATATACTTAAGTGAATCAGTAAATCTCAGACAAAATGAAAAGTTAGACATTCATTATAGATATAGCATGGCGACTAAGAAGGTAGACTTTGGAACTGGACAGCCCAATTTTGAATCGTGACTCAACTGTTTTCTAGATATGTGACTTTATTTAAGTTATTCACCTTTCCTCGCATCATCAGTAAAATGAGAATGATGTCAACACTACTTTATAGTATAGGGCTGTCTTGAGGATTGTGTGAATTAATACATGTAAAATGCTAGAGTAGTTTCTGATCTATTAAGCACTTTCTAGGTTTTTGCTGCTATTAATATTATTAAGATCATTATTACTGTTATGATTACCAACACTTATTCTGAAAGATAAAAAGAAGAAAAAAATTAAAAAGTTTCATGCAAATTGCTAACATTAAGAAGATAACACAGGCTGGGCATGGTGGCTCACGCCTGTAATCCCAGCACTTTGAGAGGCCGAGGAGTTTGAGACCAGCCTGGCCAACATGGTGAAACCCTGTCTCTACTAAAGATACAAAAAATTAGCTGGAATGGTAGCACACGCCTGTAATCCAGTTCCCAGGAGGCTGAGGCAGGAGAATCGCTTGAACCTGGGAGACAGAGGTTGCAGTGAGCTGAGATTGCGCCATTGCACTCCAGCCTAGGCGACAGAGCGAGATTCCATCTCAAAAAAAAAAGATAACAGGAAAAATGTCTCAACATTCCTGAACATAAGTTTTTTAAATGTAAGATTTCTATACTTTAAATATGATAGTCAAAATAAAAAGACAGTTATCTTGTACGTCATTGTTTATATGTTAAAATATTTTTTAAAACCTAAAATTTTAAGGATATAAATATTCTACCTAAGAAAATCCAATTTGGCTGTTAATAAAAGAAAAAGCATTTAATCTATAATGATGGAAAATCAAATTACACAGGTGCTATTTTCTGCCAACAATTAGGCACAGATTTTTTAAATGATTACACACCCCAGTGGTGAAAAAGGACAGGGAATGGATACATTTTATGCATTACCAATGGAAATATAAATTTATATAAGCTTTTCTTAAAAGCACTTTAACAATATCTGTCAACAATTTTATGTAGGTTGAACATCTCAAATCCAAAACTGGAAATGCTCCAGTGAGCATTTCCTGTGAGCATTGCATCAGCACTCAAAAAGTTTATGATTTTAGAGCGTTTTAGATTACAGATTTTTGGATTTGGAATGCTCAACCTGTATGTGAAAGAAAGGAAAAGGAAAACTGGACAACATAAGATGAACTGGAATCTATACAGTAGGATTAAATGAACATTATAGAACTGCAGAAATACAGTATCTGAAATCAAAAACTCATTGGAGACCAGACACAGAAAAAGATGGGATTCATGAACTCAAGTACAGTACAAATGAAAATACCCAATTTGAAGTGGCATAGATAGAAAAAGAACAAAATAGGGCAAAAGAGATTTGAGACACAGTTGTTTGATCTAGCATACTTGTAATTTCATAGATCTAGCATACTTGTAATTGAAGTTCAAGAAGAAAAGAGAATAGGACAGAAGCTTGAAGAGATAATAGCTGAGAATTTTCTAAAACTCATAAAATTATGACAAATATCTTAAAGATTCAAGAAGTTCAGAAACACTAAGCAGAATAAGTAAAGAAAAAAACAAAATACTGCCTAGATACATCATAGTCAAACTGCTGGAAACCAAAAATAATGAAAAATAGAAATAAAAAAAGTTGAGAGATAAAACATTTAATACTTACAAAGGAACACTAATAAAACTGGTGGCTACATAGAGATGTTTTTCTTTTCACCTTTAAAGATGTTTCGGTATTTTCCATAGTTTCTCTATGTAACCAGTTGACATTGGAACATCTTCAAAATGCTAAAAGAAAAAAACAGCCAACCTAGAGTTCTATACTTAAAGAAAATTTCCTTTTTTTAAAAAAAGTGAAATAAGGATATTTTCAGACAAACATAAACTGGAAGAATTCATCTCCAGTAAACACACATCACAATAAATATTAAAGGAACTTCTTTGGATGGAAGGAAAATTATTTCAGATTGAAGGATGCAACTACAGTAAGGAATGAAGAACAAAAGCTTAAATATGTAGATAAATATGCAAGGATATTGACTATTTAAAAGCAACAATGCTGTCTTATGGGTTATACAACTTATATAGAACTAAAATATATGTCAGTAGCACAAAGGAAAGAGGTAAGCAGAGGATTATTAAGATTTAATTTAATTTATTTAAATTTATTAAAATTTATTTTATTATAATTGTATTATAATATTTATATTTATAATTATATATTTATAATTCTGCCAAAATATATTTATAATTATATTTTATTATAAATTTATTTATAAGTTTATTAAAATTTATAAAATTTATTAAAATAATGTAATTATTTTAAGATAATTTAATCTATTTTAAGATTCCTTCAGAGGAATGGACAAGAAAGTCCGTAAGGATATTGAACATTTGAACACTAATGAACAAATATGACCCAACTGACACAGACCATTACACCCAACAGCTTCAGAATACATATTTTTTAGGTGTACGTGGAACATTTATCAAAATAGACCTTATGCTAATTCAAAAAGCCGCTCTTAAAAGTATGTGAGAGTATGTTTTCTGACTGAAGAGGAATTTAAACCAGAAATCAGTAATGGAAAGATAACTGGATAAATCCCTAAAAGTTTAATAGAAATTGACAGGATACTTCTGAATAACCCATGGGTCAAAGAAGAAGTCAAAATGGAAATTAGAAAATACTCTGAACTGAGTGAAAGTAAAAATATGTGACAGTGCTTAGAGGAAAATTTATAACTTCTTTAACTTAAGGATCTGCAAATTACCATGCATGGGAAAAATTCAGCCCGCTGCCTTTTTTCGTAAGTAAAGTTTTATTGGAATATGGTCACACTCATTCATTTACGTATTGTCTGTGGCTGCATTCATGCCACATTAGTGGAATTGAGTTGTTACAACACAGATCATATGGCCCACAAGGCCTAAAATATTTATAATCTCACCATTTATATAAATGTCAACTCTTTATTGACATATTGGAAAAGAAGAGCTGTTGTGAATTATGATAGATTGTTTACAAAGTGCTACAGCAATGACCCTCCCATTCTTGTTGCTCTTTGGAACTCCATGAGACTATCTCAAAAAGCCTAGTTTACTTTCTTGAGCAGCAGAGCCCTCAGCTCAGCCCAGCCCTCCCTGCAGACCAGATAGCCTACCAACTGCCAAACATGAGCATGAGGCCATCATAGACCATCCAACCCCAGCCAACTCAGCCCATCCCCAAATCACCTGTAGAATCTTGGGAATCATATGTTTGTTTTAAGCCACTAAATTTGTAGGTGATTTATTATATGTAAAAAGGAAAAGTGGACAACATAGTAAAATGAATTGGAATCTATATGGTAAGATCAAATGGACATTATAGAACTGCAAATATATACATACATTATTGATTTACTTATAAAAATCAATAATTAACAGAGGAAAAGAATAATTCATTGGTTCAATTTGTTTAAATGCCTAATCTGAAAATCTGTTACCTGAAATGCTCCAGTGAACATTTACCTTGATTGTCATGTCAGCACTCAAAAAGTTTGGATTTTGGAGCATTTCAGATTTCAGATTTTGGATTAGGGATATTCAACCTGTGTGATTAAAATTGTTTTCATTTTTTTGTTCACTCCTTGAATAAATGATATTTGTAAGGAAGTCTCAGGAATAATCTTGTTAGGTAATATAGAGATCGATGGGTCATCTAAATTGTTAGATTATGTAAATTGTAATTGCCAGTATTCACTTCCATAAATGAGTTGCAAAACATATATCAGGTTTTATATGTAAAAACGTAACTAATATATTTTTTAATTCTTTTTTGGATAGTCTCAAGATAAAACATCGGGAGGTGTTAATCCAGAACCTTGCCCAATCTGTGCTCGACAGCTAGGAAAACAGGTAAAATTATGATAAACATCACATGCATTTATAAAATACCTTACAGTTTTCAAAGGTTTCTACATAAAATCTTTCTCTCGTTTTTCTCACCACTAGTTTCTATGAAAGGCAAGTATTACCATTATCTTAAAGATAGCACTAGAGGTTAGGTGACGTGCTTAGGATTAGATGTTTGAGCAATGCTTTTCTTAAATGGGAAGTGAAAAAATATTTCTAGAATGACGCCATCTTTTTCATTAAAGATGCACAGTTTTGAACATTGTTTCCAGTCACAAGGTTGTGTCCAGTAATTTGACTTCGTCAGGTTAACATAGTTATTCAATAATTATACAGAAATGTAATATAACACACATAGATTTACTTAAGGTATTACATTAGTATAGAATCGTAGTTCTTACTTGCCAGTATTAATGTCTCATAATACTTGTTCTTCAGAGTACAAATTAATCTCTCCTAGGGAAATTTAGATGTGATTTTGGTAGACCACTATATTAAATATATTCCTTTGTGGATATTAGTATACATAATGTCTATAAACATGGTAGAACCATATTCTCCTCTAGGAGAACTGCAATTTATGAAAATACAAGTTTCTGCTTTCTATGATAAATCTATATATATATATATCAGACTATTCATTGCTCTTGAAAATTTGAAAGATAAGCCTATTACTGTTGAAGAAGTAGAAATAGTCTTGGCTGTTTTTTTCTATGGAACTGAGAGTTGAAAGGTAAATATATGCATTCCATATTCTGACCAGTAATAATCAAGAAGAAAGTACCTTTTGGTTTCTAAGATTGGTGGAGAAGGTGAGATCACAAGAATACTTTATTTGCTAATACATCTTAAAGGGAGAGATACTACATTGGAAACTGAGCAAAATAGTACTGTACAAATGCTGGTTACTTCTGACAAAAGTCAGTGATGAAACTGATAAAAGTTGTGATAAAAATGGAAGAAATCATGACATAAAGTAGTATTTTTTGCTTTTAGTTTTGATAAGATTTATACAACTGGACTGTCTCAGATATTTCATTTTGTCTTAAACATTTTCAGTTTTTAAAGTTCTTTCATATACATTAGTTCATTTAATTCTAGCATAACCTAGGTTTCCTGCACTTGGAAGACCATATTGGATTTCAATAATAGTAATAAAAATACTTTTCAAGCTCTGTTCATACTTACAATATATAGTAGCCGTATTTTTTTTTCCTTTTTGGATCCCCAGTTCTCCCCCCTTCTAATTTAGGGCTATTAAATTAGAATCTATCAGAGTTAACCCATATGTACCAGCTGATGCACCTGGAGGCATTGCCATTTGTCTCTTCTGTTTGGGTCAGTCAGCTTCCTGTCACTCCTAATGGTCAGGTGCCAGGTATCTCGTTGCTTCTTCTCCATTGCACATGTAGGTGGACCTGTCTTGATGTTTAGTTGGTCCATTTTGAGCTCTAGTGAGTCACAAAACTCCTTTCCAGTAGAGTACCCCAGTGGCACTAGAGGTACATAAAGTACAATATAGTGCTGCTCTGTGTCATACAAAAATGCTAGTAAAACAGCTCTTCAATTTCATTAGTCTCAACTCCTGTGGACTCTGGCAGAGGTGCAGCTAGAGAACAGTAGGAATAGTATTAGCTGTTAATAGGCAAAATAGTGGTTTGAAAACCAAGCTTATATACCTCAGTTTTCTCTTCTTTCAATGTGAGTTCTTTTCCAAAGAGCATCTTAGATGATCCAGCAAAGAATCTCAAGTGGGCCAGGTACGCACTTTCTTTCCATACATGTCCAAATCTTAAAAAAAACATAGCTTAAGGATTTAGAAGCTTTGTCACTCAAAAGACACTCAGTTTTTCTTATTGTTTTTACCAGATGAAAACGGTTAAAACTACATTTGTAAGATGCCATAGCTTTTAGAACTTACACCTAGACTAAATCTATTGTTCTTACGTCTCTCGTTGCCAAAGAGGGCAAAAGTCTCCATGGTATGTTGCAGAGATTCAGAGAGGATTATTTTATTTTTCCCGAATAGGACAAGGGGTTTCTTAAACATTTCTTTTTGGCTGGGCGCGGTGGCTCACACCTGTAATCCCAGGCCGAAGTGGATGGATCATGAGGTCAGGAGTTCGAGACCAGTCTGGTCAGTGTGGTGAAACCCCTCTCTACTAAAAATACAAAAATTAGCTGGTCGTGGCAGCAGGTGCTTGTAATCCCAGCTACTCAAGAGGCTGAGGCAGGAAAATTGCTTGAATCCTGGAGGTGGAGGTTGCAAGGTTGCAGTGAGCCAAGACCGCATCATTTGCACTCCAGTCTGGGCGACAGAGCAAGAATGTCTAAAAAATAATAGTAATAATAATAATTTCTTTTTGTTTGTAATTTTTTAAATAACCAGAACCATTTTCAAAATAAATTTGAGATACTATCCCATATTATTTTCTATATAAGTGCTTTAATGTGTGAAAATATAAATCTGTTTTTTAAATTAAATGGAACATATCGAGTATGATATTATCTCCAAATTAATATTCTAAGTCCCTCTGTTATATCTGTTGTTAGAGTGCTGAAGGACTAATTTACATTCTTCCCAAATACAGAAATGAGAACACCACCTTTCTACAAAGTAGTGGTGACTGACTATCATACTCACTTTTAGGATAAACAGAACTAAAGATTATGAAAACTTACTTTGGAATAAAAAATTAATTTGAAGGCACAACTTGGCTTTATGACAAAGAATATTAATGTTATGAAATCTTTAGGAGGAAAAATTGCGAATCTCTTTTTAATATGCTTATAAATTGTAAGGCATCTTTGATAGCACTAAGGCTTGTTCTGTTTTCTTTTTAGTGGGCGGTACTGACCTGTGGTCACTGTTTCTGTAATGAATGCATTTCTATAATTATTGAACAATACAGCGTGGGATCTCACAGAAGCTCCATTAAGTGTGCAATCTGCCGCCAGACCACATCTCACAAAGAAATCTCGTATGTCTTTACCTCAGAGAAAGCAAACCAGGAGGAGGACATCCCTGTGAAGGTAAAGTAGGTCAGGAACACATAGAAGCATAGGTAAGGCAATATAATATAGGAAGCAGTATCTGATTAAGAAAGCATGAACATCAGAACAAGCTTGACAGTGAATAGGTAGACGCCACTGTTGTCTGTAGATACACTGCCTGAAAGCCTCAGCTTAACCATGTAATTTTTAATTGTAGGAGGAACACAGAACACTTATTCAAACATGGTTAGCGATAGTCATGTACACTGTGACTAAAATGTAACATCTTAAAATTACAGTTTCCTATCCTCTATAATATTTCTATCCACCACAAGTAGACAGAGGTCTGGTTACATTAGAGATTTATTTAAAGAAAGAGTTTTCCTCATTCTTTTACACATCCCTGAATGTAAGGAAAAAAGGATGTGTCTAACTAAACAGAAGGATAAAATAAATTGGCTAATGAAGACAGCTACAAGAAAGAGGGTAATGTGCTTTTTAAACAGCATAGATTGATATTCCAGGATAAAGCCAAATTTTGGCTTTATTTTCCTAATTTTTTTCCATGCTTCATTCAGAATTTTAAGAAAATTACTATAATGTGATATCCAGACTGGATCTGTAATTGGATTTACTGCTTTTAAGGGGTATTTAATAAAAAGCCAAGACTATTTTGCTCTTTCTTTTCCTTAAATATGCTTTTTTAATATTTTTTTTCTAACCAAACTTGAACAAAGGACACATCGGTATCTAAATTTAGTAGCAAATGTGGGCTTTAAGGAATAGAGAATGAGAATTAGAGAATGATGGGGTTGACTCTTAAGCAAGATGAAGTATTCTTTATTAATTCCTTCTGAGTTTTTGATACTCCTCACTTTTAAGTAATGTGTTTTTTAAGTAGAATCAGCTACAAGTTGAAATTCACTACCAGTAGTTAAGCAGTTATTAGGGTACCCTTCTCCCAAGAAAACTGTAGCTGCATTAAAGAACTTTTAATTGCTCTTTTTTCACTGTTATTTGAGTAAAACCTGAAAATATCAGTTATATTGCTCTTTAGTCTGTTGGGATAAACAGAATTCCACAGTTAGAATAAGCATTCATCCATTCATTCCACACATATATATTGGACACGTACTAGCACACAGGCAGTGTGCTAGGCCTCATAGACACAGCATACACATAAATAAAACAGATATGGTTACTACTTTTGTGGAGATTGGTGAAGGAGTTTGAGTTGGGGCAGGAAGCACAGATGTTAATAAATAATGTGTTATAATTGTGATAAGCACTACAAAAGAACAAAGCTGGAGGCATCATGCTACCTGATTTCAAACTATACTACAAGGCTACAGTAACCAAAACAGAATGGTACCAAAACAGACATATAGGCGAATGGAGCAGAACAGAGACCTCAGAAATAATACCACACATCTACAACTGATCTTTGACAGACCCGACAAAAACAAACAATGGGGAAAGGATCCTATTGGGTAAATGGGGCTGGAAAAACTGGCTAGCCATATGCAGAAAACTGAAACCGGACCCCTTCCTTACACCTTACACAAAAATTAACTCAAGATAGATTAAAGACTTAAATGTAAAACCCAAAACCCTAAAAATCCGAGAAGAAAACCTAGGCAGTACCATTCAGGACGTAGGCATGGACAAAGACTTCATGACAAAAATGCCAAAAGCAATTGCAACAAAAGCCAAAATTGACAAAGGGAATCTAATTAAAGAGCTTCTGCAGAGCAAAAGAAATTATCGTCGGTAAACAGGCATCCTACAGAACGGGAGAAAATTTTTGCAATCAACCCATCTGACAGAGGTCTAATATCCAGAATTTACAAGGAATGTGAACATATTTATAAGAAAAAAACAACCCCATCAAAAATTGGACAAAGGACATGAACAGACACTTCTCAAAAGAAGATATTTACGTGGCCAACAAACATGAAAAAAAGTTCATCACTGATCATCGGAGAAATGCAAATCAGAACCACAATGAGATACCATCTCACACCAGTCAGAATGGCGATTATTAAAAAGTCAACAAACAATAGATGCTGGCAAGGCTGTGAAGAAATAGGAACGTTTTTACACTGTTGGTAGGAATATAAATTAGTGCAACCATTGTGGAAGACAGTATGGCGATTCCTCAAGGATCTAGAAACAGAAATCCCATAGGACCCAGCAATCCCATTACTGCATATATACCCAAAGGAATATAAATCATTCTGCTATAAAGACATATACACACAAATGTTTACTGCAGCACTATTTACAATAACAAATATATGGAACCAATCCAAATGCCCATCAATGATAGACTAGATAAAGAAAATATAGTACATATGCACCATGTAATACTATGCATCCATAAAAAGGAATGAGATCATGTCCTTTGCAGGGACATGGATGAAGCTGGAAGCCATCATCCTCAGCAAACTAACACAGGAACAAAAAACCACCACATGTTCTCACTCGTAAGTGGGAGTTGAACACTGAGAACACATGGACACAAAGAAGGGAACAACACACACACCAGGGCTTGTTGGGGCAGGGGAGTAAGGAGAGGGAACTAAGAGGGCAGATAAATAGGTGCAGCAAACTACCATGGCACATGGATACCTGTGTAACAAGCCTGCATATTCTGTACATGTATCCTGTTTTTTTGTTTTGTTTTGTTTTGTTTTGTTTTTTAAGGAGAAAAAGGAAAAAAAGTCTCTGAGGGAATGACAGTTAAGCAGGTATCTAAAGGATGAATGATGAATTAGTCAGCCTGAGGAGAGAATAGGTTGGCTCCCAGACAGAGAAAAAGAAAACCAGAAGAGAGCCAGTGCATGGAAAAGCCTAAGACAAGGACTCAAATGGATCTGAGTGGCTGAAGTGTAGAAAGCAAGGAGAAAGCAGTTGAATAAGCCTGGAGACCTAACTAGGGGACCAGATGTTGAAGGGCCACCTGAACATTTGAGAATTTTATTTTTATTTAAGGAGAAAGCCATTAAATATTATAAGCAGGGATGTATCATGATCAAATTTGGATTTCAAAAAGATCTCTCTTGTGTGGAAAACAGATGATGAGGAACAGAATAGAGCAGAAGAAATTTGGAGAGAGCAGCTTAGGAGGCTACAGCAGGAGTAATGGTGGCTTTGATTTGGCTGATGGCGGTAGAAATGGAGAGAAGTGGGTATATTCTAGACATGTTTAGAATAAAGTTAGAGAATGTTGGCAGCATTAGTGAAGGAAATTTCATAGATCACCCCTGGTTTCTGATGTGAATAAGCAGGTGGGTAATGGTATAGCTAATGATACAAGATATTTGGAAGAGGAATACATTTAGACATATCATATTTAAGGTGCCTAAGACATCCAAGTAGAACTATCCAGAAAAGTGTTGATATGTGGAGCTGGAGATACAAAATTCGGAGTCACTAATAGAAAAGTTTGCTTCAGATTGAGTCCTATGAAGTCCATAACTTTAAAAGATTGAATCAAGTTGGGAGGGCTGGAAAATGAGAAGGAGCAACTAGGGACAGGCAATCCAGGCAGGTACGCTGGCAACAAAGACCACAGGGAAGCTCTGCTTCGGTGAGGAGACAGTAGTGCTGAAGGTGGATCAACTACAATGTGGACTAATTTGTCTAATGAGGTCACTGATGACTTTAGAAGGAGCTCTTTTAATACAAATGTAGAGGCAGAAAGCAGATTGGGAGGGATTGCGGGATGAGCAGGAAGTCAACAAGTAGAAAAAATGCCCAACTGTTTCATAAACTTAACTGTGAGATAGAATCAGAATTGTAACCAGAACCTATGAAAACAGAAAGACATCACTTTTTTGTTGTTGTTCTGTTTAAGACAAAAGATTCTTGAGCATGTTTAGTCTCCAGTGAAAAAAGGATAGACTGAAGATATAGGAGAAAGGATAATTTGTAATACAAGTTTCTTGAAAAGAAGGAGAATGTTGATGTATAGAAAGTAGAGTTTCATTGAAGTCAAATAACAGGTATAAATTGGGCTATTGAGCACAAAAGATATAAGCATAGGTGTTCTTATCTGAGAATGGGAGATCATAGTCATTCCAGAGAGGACAGGCCTGCCAGATGTGACTGTAGAAGTAGGTGACTCAAGTGAGGTGGAGAAGAAAAGATGCTAGAAGATGAAACAGTGAGACCTGAATTTTGGATGAGCTGTCCAAGCAGACAGTATGTAATATCTAGAGTTGAGGTATAGAGTAAATTAGGCACCAAAGTTCTTTAGTGAATGTAGGGTAGGGTTCAATAAATTATAGCAAAGGGTAGAGTTGGGATAACTGGGCTTCAGGGGGCTCAAAAAATGGAAGTTGTTACACAAATGAGAACTAATGCTCTGAAACCTGCATTTGTGGACCAGCACTCAAATGCAACAGTCAAATCCTTCACTCAAAAGGGCTGCTGAGAGACCAGTATGCTTAGAAGATAGCCAGGTTCTAATTAAAGCAGGGAAGTGAAGAGCAGTATTTCTACAAGAGGTAGAAAATATGAAACAATTTGTTTCATAAAATACGGGTTCCAGGGGGCGCCAGTGAAAGGTCCAGGAGTGAAAGGAGAAAAATTAGAGGGTAAACAAGCAGGAAGGAAGTGCAGGACAGTATGGGAATAACAGAACAGGCAAGGATACGTGATGAGAGCATCATGACCTAAGGATCATCTAGTCCTGTTCCCTCTCTGTGAATCCCCTGAATACATTTTACAGTCAGCCCTGTGTATCTGTGGATATAGCCAACCATAGATCAAAAATACTTGGAAAAAGAAAAATTCCATGAAGTTCTAAAGAGCAGAACTTGAATTTGCAGCATGCTGAGTTTACATTGAATCCACGCAAATGCAATGATGTGTAGGGATTATATGAGGTAATCTAGAGATGATTTAAAGTATACAGGAGGATGTGTGTATGTTATATGCAAATATGACATCATTTTATATAAGGGCCTTGAGCATCCTGGGATTTTGGTATCCACAGGGGTTTTGGAAGCAGTCAGTCCCTCACAGATACTGAGGGAGGACTATATTTTTAAAGCAAATACCAAAGAGTTATTGAAGGAAGAAGTAGGTGACTTATGGTGCAGCCCTGAGGCATTTGACAGTTATTCTTTATCCTGCCTGCACTTAGGAGCTATGCTGCTTCCCAGTCCCTCTCTCCCTTTCTTCCCACTCCTATAGTTTCTCCTTTCCTTTCCATAAAGATAGTCTTTCTTAGCCCTTCCTTTTTTCTCTTCTTTCTCTTCCTCTGGCCACAGCATCTCAAGGGCCACAGATGGCCTTTGTGGCTAAGAAGAGGTGGCTCACCCTTAGGTGACAGCATGCATCACAGTACAAGGAACTGGCATAAGAAAGAACTGCTGTGTCAGGTTTTGCGCAGAGAGGTTAAGGAAGTGATTGCTCTAGCTACTGGTAAACAGCACAGCCTCTACGAAACTGAGTCATTGAGCCCATCAAATCCAAACACCTGTTCATTTTATGGCAGCTTTCCTAGACACCCAGGATAGAGATTGGCACAGTTACATGTGCTGTGCTGTTGGAGCAGGGATATCGGTATATAAATACTGTTTATTGTGCTCTCACTTCTCGCTGTCTTTCATGAGTATTGATTAACACGTGAATTAACTGAAGCATCTTTTAAAAAAAATTAAGTTTATAGAATTTACTAAAGATAATTTCCCTTTTTATCATAGATGCACATGTAATTACATTTCCTTTTCTTAAACATAAGACTATTGTACCATTGTGCGGGCAAATTTTATCCCTCCTCGACGTTGTCACACTGCTTCACGCCATGTTTAGGTTGGCTCTTCACTGCTTTTTCTGTTACCATTTGTGTCTGCCACATTTGCCTTGTGCTTCCTGTCTCTTCTTCTGACTTCTGTCACATTTCTGGCCTGCTGTCTGTCACTTCCTCCTTGAAACATCAGCTTATTGTATTCTGAGACTTCACCCCTCTCTTGTGACTCTTTGAAACTTCCACATAAATGATCATATTGCCTATTTTGGATTAGTATGTAAATAAAGATGGCTTTGTGTAAATAATTAAGGCATTATTTTCAAATTTTAGAAACTACTAGTTCCAATTATTTCTAAACCTAGTTTTTTTCTTTATATTACTGTTGATTATCAAATCGTTGTTCTTTAACAAGCAATACTGACAAGTAATTTTTTATTTAATTGAAATGTTTATATTATCTGAAATATAAAATTTATTTCTGAAATGATTATTTCACTGTATTTATGTCAAGATTCTCAGACATAGCAAACCATATATCGTACAGAATGCTTAATCATATAGCTTTTTTGTGGATAAAAGATATTTGGAAAGCATAAAACTATTATTTATTAGTAGTAGACATTTTTAAGTAGTATTTCTTGGAAATAAGAGATTTTACAATGTAAGGAATGCTGTTGATTGACCATAGATATAAAATGAATACTGGGATCACAAATGTCCTGTTCGGTGGATGCACTTAAGTTGAAGACCATTTCTTCCCTAGCAACAGTGTGATGGTATTCCTAAATGACCTTTGGAACCTACTGGGCATCTCACAAAGTAAACAAAATTCCCCTTGCAAGTTCTGACAACTGCCAGGCATTTTGGATGGTGAAGTAGGCCTCCTGGCAGAACATATGGCCCACATGTCTTGTTCCCTGTGTCTTACATTTGGCTAGGTTTTATACAAAGCATTTTGCCAGTGGAAACCCTGACCCTATATACTGGTCAAGAGTCTTAGATAATAAGAAATTTCTGTCCGGGAGAAAATAGATACAGCCACTACATAGATATAGTGACAGCAATACAGTACCCTTCCCACCCACCACATGCTACACAATTGCTTTTTTTGTCAAACTTTTAAGTATGTGACCATCAACTGGCCTGCTTTTTAAAATAAATATTTTTGTTCAGGCTCTGTCTCCATAAACTTTGACTCATTAGACCTGGGATGTGGTCCAGAAATCTGCATTTTTAGCAAGCATATCTCTTGATAATAGAGATATCTTATACAGCCTTTTTGTAGAGAAAAAAACTCTGTATCTCTACATTCCAACTCACAGAGAAGCCTAGCCATACTATGTGTAGAATTCTACATGTGGAATTCTATTCTGTTTTTTTTTTATTTGAATTTTTGTTCATTTAATTTAAAGATCATTTGTGACATCTGTCTCACACTTTTAAAATATAATTAAAATAAACATCTGAGTGAAAAAAACTGATTATGAAATTCTGAGTTTAAAATAGGAATAAAATAATTTGGTAAATATAATCCAGAAGTGATTATATTTAAATATATTTATCTAAATATTCTTATATAAGTTTTATATAACATGAACATTAACTGGTAAATTTGGAATGCAGTTGTATATTTTTTGTTAAAATATGTCATGACTAAATATAATTGCAAAAAAAATACCATTTCTATTTCTGTTCACCGGCCAAGTTAATACTTGTAATTCTGAACTGTTAGCCTCATGTTAAAGTTAGCCATAGCTTGCAGTAAATTGAACACACAGTAGAGACTTCTAAGATATAAACTAAAACTTATCTTTATGAAAAAATCATTTGTTGAGTGTAAACTCCATTAAAAGGTAGAGGACTTGTTCATGAGGTAGGGATGTTGTTTTATTCACTATTTTGTATGAGGCATTTGGAACAATACCTGGCATATAATAGGCACTCAGTAAGTATTTGAATGCATGGATGGATAACAATTGAATAGTCTGTGTAAACAATTGAATAGTCTAGAGTAAAGCCAAGCTACAGTGTATCTTTCTACACCAATACTCAGATTTTTACCATTAATATTGCGCCCTCTTTTTTCCCCAATAATAAGTCTTCAGTGCATGAAAAGCACTTCCTCCCTCTGAAATTACATCGGTAAAATAGGTCATCTCATTCTGGAGGGGAGAGGATTAAAATCTAGATCAGATGCTACTTGGTTGGTTTATTAGAAGAATTTTTTTCAGTCTACTGAATTTATGGCAAAGAAACAAAACTGAATTTTCTGTCATTTTAACACATTTAACAACTTGTAATTCAAAGTTTAGGTTCTCCACATTTTACAACAGGAGGCTGCAACTATAGAACACCTTATTCCAATCAGATTTAACTCTGTGATAAAAATAAGTTAGTGGCACCTGTTAGAGCAGATAAGCCACATGACATTTCTGATCTTGAGTTGTGTTACTAAGTGACTTCCAGGCCAAACTTCATTAGAAATATTCTTTATTGGCCTTTGGTGCTAGTGGGTCTCTACTCTTTTTTCAGTGTGTTGACTTCCTGCCCCAAATTCTGGAGCTTTTAACTTTGTACTTTATTTTCCAGAAAGTGGAAGACTTCACTTTACTTCACTTCTTTATTTTTAAACATTTTAATTCTCCTGGCTGCTGACTTGAGCAGAAAACCAGGAGAGATAACAGCCTTGCGCTGACTGGTAACACTTTGTATGTCTCCCATCCGAGTTCTCTAGTTGACCTTAGAGAGAATTAGTGCCTTAGAGAGAAGAATGGCAAAGATACAGTCAGTGAGGGTAAAGGACAGAAGCTGTGTCGTTATTCCAAAGCTGGACCTTGGTCATTAATGTTTCAGAAACATGAAGGAAAACCAAGCAATAAGCACAAAGTTAGGATTAGGGTGTGTGTGTGTGCTGAAGAGACTAAGGAGAAAGGATGGGAGTAAGGAAAGGGACAGTAATGTCAGAAGAGGACAGAGGTGCTTATAGTTAAGTACAACTTTATCAACCTAATATATTAAGAGATTATCTAGCAGTTGTATGGGATTTCTGTTCCCATGTACAGTCTTCCCTAATGCATAACATTCCAGCTTAACTTTGCATCTGTTTACTGCTGTAGCTAAATAATGAGTTTGCCAGAGGCTACCAGTTTACCTGTCTTGAGAATGTTCATACTGTGTTAACAGCTTGCACAGGAATAGATTGGTATCCACATTTCCTTTTGTTACTTTTTTGCTTTTTTGCAAGCAGCCTTGCCTATATGTAACCCATTCCCTTTTTCCTGTTTTAATCTTATCTTTTTTTAACAATGTGAATATTTGCTTTCTATAGCAGTAACTACATTGAATAGTCTTCTCAGAAGCTGGCAGATTTGAACCCAAGTTTATTTACATATTTAAGATAGAAGAAACATGAAAAAGAGCAGTAGAATGTGTGTAGTGCTCATTAAGGCGGTATAAAACATTCATTTCAATTGCCAAACCAGCAGATAAACCATCCTTTTATGTTTTTCTCCATATTCTGCAACACGCGTTAGAGTGTTATGTATTTGGAGACAAGGGAGTGTATTTTTTCATCTTTGTATATCCAGTTCCTCATATGGTTCTTTGTTAACTGTCAAATGAAATATTGTATATATTTATGGTAGTATACAACATGATGTTTTAATATATGTAGATATTATGGAAGGATTGAATCAAGCTAATTAACATACCCATCACTTCACATACTTAACCAATTTTTGTGATAAGAAAATTTAAAATCTGCCCTCTTAGCAGTTTTCAAGTATAGTTGGCCCCCCACATTTGCAGATTCTGCATCAGCAGATTCAGTTAACCACGGATAAAAAATACTCAAGAAAAACCCAGCAACAATAAAAAATCACAATACAGCATATTTAAAAAACACAAATTTTTAAAAGACACTATAATAATTTACGTAAGATTTACATTGTATTCAGTATTGTAAGTAATACAGAGATGATTTTAAAGTATACAGAAGGATGTGTGTAGGCTATATGTAAATACTATCATTTTATGTAAGGCACTTAGCATCTGCAGATCTTGATATCCAATGGGGATCCTAGAACTCCCCATGAATACCAAGGGACAATGGTATACAATACATTATTATGTACTGTAGTCACCATGCTGTATAATAGATCTTTAGATCTGTTCCTTCTGTCTAACTAAAACTTTGCACCATTTAACCCACTCCCTTCCCCCACAAACTCCAGCCTCTGGTAACCGCCATTCTGCTCTCTGCTTCTGTGAGTTAAATGTTTTTAGATATCCCATATAAGTGAGATCATGCAGTATCTGTCTTTTCTGTGCCTGGTTTATTTCAGTTAGCATGGTGTCTTTCAGGTACATAGATGTTATCTCACCTGACAGGATTGATTTACTGTCAGGTAAAAACATATTCCGTGGTGTATATATAACCTGTTTTAAAATTTATTCATCAATGGATGGACACTTACATTGATTCCATGTCTTGGCTACCATGAATAATGCTGAAATTAACTTGAGATTGCAGATATCTCTTCCACATGCTGATTTAATTTCCCCTGGATATATACCCAGAAATAGAACTGCTGGATTGTGTGGTAGTTCTATTTTTAATATATTGAGAAACCTCTTTACTATTTTCCAAAATGGCTCTACTAATTTGTATTGCCACCAATGGTGTACAAGGGTTTCCTTTTTCTCCACCTTCTCACCAATACTTATCTCTTGTCTTTTTTATAATAGTCATTCTAACAGGAATGAGGTGGTGTATCTCAGTGTGGTTTTAATTTGTATTTCCCTGATGATTAGGGTCGTTGAGCACCTTTTCCTAGACCTGTTACCTATTTGTATGTCTTCTTTTGAGTAATATCTTTTCAGGTCCTTTGCCCATTTTTTACTCAGGTTGTTTTCTTGCTGTTGAGTTGTTTGAGTTTCTGGTATATTTTGGATAATAACTCCTTATCACATGTGTGGTTTGCAGATATTTTCTCCTTTGCTGTAGATTGTCTTTGTTGATTATTTCCTTTGCTGTGCAGAAGCTTGTTAACTTTAATGCGATCCTATTTATCTTTTTGCTTTTCTTGCCTGAGTTTTTTGGGTCATATCCAAAAAGTCTTTACCAAGATCATTGTCAAGTAGTTTGTAGTTTTGGGTCTTATATTTAAGTCTTTAATCCATTTTGAGATGATTTTTGTATATGCGGTGAGATAAGGGTCCAGTTTTATTCTTTTGCATGTGGATAACTAGTTTTTTCAGCACAGTTTATTGAAGAGACTGTTTTTTCCCCATTGTGTGATCTTCTTATCTTTGTTAAAGATTGGTTGACTGTGTATGTGTGGGTTTATTTCTGGGCTCTCTCCTGTTCCATTGGTCTGTATGTCTGTTTTTATTTCAGTAGCGTACTATTTTTATTACTGTAGTTTTAAAATGTGTTTTAGAATCAGGGAGTGTGGTATCTCTAGCTTTTTGCTCAAGATTGCTTTGGTTATCCAAGGTCTTTTGTGGTTCCATATGAGTTTTAGAATTGTTTTTCCTATTTTTCTTTGTCTGTTTTATGTTGCCGTAACAGAATATTTGAGGCTGGGTAATTTATAAATAAAAGGAGTTACGGCCAGATGCAGTGACTCATGCCTATAATCTCAGTGCCTTGGGAGGCCAAGGCAGGAGGATCACTCGAGGCCAGGAGTTCAAGACCAGCCTGGGCAACATAATAAGACTCTGTCTTTACCAAAAAAAATTTAAAAGTAGCCAGGTGTGGTGGTGCACACCTGTAGTCCCAGCTACTCGGGAGACTGAGGTGGGAGGATCACTTGCGCCCAGGAGTTCAGGGTTGCAGTGAGCTGTAATTACACCACTGCACTCCAACTAGGGCGACAGCACAAGACCCTGTCTCAAAAAGAAAAAAGAGGATTATTTAACTCCTTTTTCTGTAGGCAGGGAAGTTCAAGGAGATGGCCCTTCTGGTGAGGGCTTCCTTGTTGCATGATAACATGGCGGAGGTCATAGGGGTAGCAGACAGGTACAAAGAGAGAGCAACAAAAAGGAGGAGGAAACTTATAACAGCCTGCCCTCATAGGAGCCAATTCATCTTGCACAAGAGAGAATTTACTCACTACCAAGAGAATGGCACCAAGTCATTCATAAAGGATCCACCCCCATGACTCAGAACACCTGCCACTAGGCCCCACTTCCCAAAACCTCCACGCTGGGTATCAAATTTCAGCATGAGTATTGCTGAGGACAAACTCAAATCATAGCACTATTTCTGTGAAAAATGTCATCAGAATTTTAATAGGGATTGCATTGAGTCTATAGATTATGTTATATAATATTTATGTAACAATATTAGTTCAGTTCATGAACATATGTCTTTCCATTTGTGTTCTCTTTAATTTTTTTATTAATGTTTCATAGTTTTCAGTGTACAGGTCTCTCACCTTGATTAAATTTACTCCTAAGCATTTTTTTATGACATTATAAAATATTTTTTCTTGACGTCCTTTTTGGATAATTGATTGTTAGGTATAGAAATGCTACTGATTTTTGTGTTTCTATTGTATCCTGAAACTTCACTAAATTCATTGCTTTTAACAGATTTTTGGTGGAATCTTTAGGATTTTGTATATATAAGATCATGTCATCTGCAAACAGTTTAACTTCCTCCTTTGCAATTTGAATGCCTTTTATTTCTTTTTCTTGCCTAATTGCTCTAGCTAAGACTTCCAATACTATGTTGAATAACAGTGGCAAGAGTGGGCATTTGTGTTTTGCTGATCTTAAAGGAAAAGCTTTGAGCTTTTCACCATTGAATATGATGCTATCTGGTAGGCTTGTCATTTATGGCCTTTACTGTGTTGAGGTACATTCCTTCTATACCTAAGTTGTTGAGAGTTTATTGAAGTATGTTGAATTTTATCAGATATTTTTTCTGCATATATTGAGATGATCATTTTTTTCCTTTATTCTGTGGTGTATCACATTTATTGGTTTGCATACGTTAAACCATCCTTGCATGCCAGAGGTAAATCCCTGTTGATCATGGTGAGTGATCCCTTTTAATGTGTTGTGGAATTTGGCTTCCTAGTATTTTGTTGAGGATTTTTGCATGTTTTCATCAGAGACACTGGCCTGTAATTGTTTTCTTATAGTGTTCTTGTCTGATTTTGATATCAGAGTACTTCTGGTCTTGTAAAATGAATTAAGAATATTTTCTCTTCAGTTTTTTATAAAAGTTCAAGAAAGATTGGTATTAGTTCTTCTTTAAATGATTGTTTAACTTTACCAGTGAAACCACTAGTTCCTATGCTTTTCTTTGAGGGGAGACTTTTTATTACTGACTCAATCTTGTTACTACATACTGGTCTTTTCAGATTTTCTGTTTCTTTGTGATTCAGTCTTGGTAGATTGTATGTTTCTGGGAATTTATCCATTTCTTCTAGATTTTCTGATTTCTTGGCGTATAGTTGTTCATAAGTCTCATGATTCTCTGTATTTCTGTGGTATCAGTTTTAATGTCTCTACTTTCATTTATAATTTTTTAAATTTTACTCTTATTTTTTCTTAGTCTACCTAAAGGGTTGTCCATTGTGTTTATGTTTTCAAATAACCAACTAAGAATTTCATTAGTCTTTTCTGTAATTTTTTTTCTGATCTCTATTTTATTTATTTCTGCTCTGATTTTTATTATATCTTTCCTTCTGCTGACTTTCGGCTTACTTTGCTCTTCTTTTTCCAGTTCCTTGTGGTGCAACATTAGTTGTTTATTTAGAACATTTCTCTTTTTTTATGTAGTTGTTTATTTCTATAAGCTTCATTATTAGAACTGCTTTTGCTGAATTCCCATACCTTTTGTTATGTTGTATTTCCATTTTCATTTGTCTCAAGATATTTTTAATTTTTCCTTTTAATTGCTTCATTGACCCAATGAATGTTCAAGAGCATGTTATTTAATTTCTATATTTTTGTTAATTCCAAAATTCCTCCTATTATGGGTTTCTAGTTTCATTCCATTGTCAGAGAAGATACTTGATGTAATTTCAGTCTTGATTTCGGACTTGTTTTGTATCCTAACATATTCTGCTAGGAAAGTAGGAAGTAACTAGATTGGGACAAAATGGTTCAGAACTGTAGTGGTTGGAAGGGATCATTGAGCACTACCACTGAACTGGCCAGTCTTTGATAAAAGCAAATGCTCTGTTCTTTTCCTACGTAGAGTTAGCACTACGGTACTAGAAATGTTGATTATAAAAAATTTATTCTACATTTTTTTTGAACTTTTAGTAAGAAACGTATTAATCAGTGGAAGGATTCATAGTTTTCCTGGTATTTCACTTGAAATAGTTTTAAAAGTAAGACCTTGCAAGGAACATGGATGTTTTTGTCTAAATTCTGAAATGATCACCTTTACACTAATTTCCTATTTTCTCTTCGCTCTTGTTTGAGATAATTATTAGACTGAAATAGGTTCTTTGTAGTACATTTCTAATCTTGCAAGTACACTTGAAAGTCTACATACCCAGAGAAAATAAGTGTAGAATCATGATTTTAGCATGAGGATTTTAAAACTTTTTCCATTATTCTATCTTGCTGGCTTAAAATTAGTACAGCTTTCTTTCTTGTTTTGTTTATATTTTTACCTTTGAATGTTTCTTCATGTAAAAGTGTGTTGAGAGGATTGAGGGAGAGGGTTTATGCTGCTGTGGAAATATTTTTCCTTCTTTTTGGTTAAATCTGCTCCCCCTTGTGGTATAATCTAGGTCATTATAGTGCTCATATTTAATATCTCAGAAAGATAATAAGTTCTTGAGTGTTTACTCCTTACCAGATGTTAGGCTAAATGCTTCGTATACATTTTCTCATTCAATCATCACAGCCACCTTTGGAAAGAGATATAATTATCATTCAGCCCTATTGGATAGATGAGGAAACACAGGATTAGAAACTATAACTAGTGAGTTGTAGAACTATGAGTTGAACTTAAATTTGTCTCATTCAAAATCCCATAACCTTAATTTCTCTGTCATACCATCTCCAAGAGCACTCCAGAAGGAAAACTTTCTCATTGAGGGCTACAGAAATACTTGCACTATTTTCCTCATTTTCTTATTTCTCCATTTTAAAAATCATTTTTTCACTTTCATCCTCATCTGATAGAAATGGTTATGGAAGATGCAAAAAAAAAAAAACACACAGTTTTAAGTGTCTAGCTTTGTATGAATCTGCCTCATTCTAAGTGAGCATCATTTGTACCTCTGTCATTGTTTTTGGTAATACCCTTGCAAGAAAACATTCTCCATTGGTTGGATCCTTCACTGTTTGCTTACATTGGGAGTTTTGATTCATTGTATTCTTAACATTTCTAATGACATAATATCTGAAGAAAGGGAGAATAAATGAAGAGTGTTTTAAAATATCATTTCTGCTAATCTAATGTAACAAAATTTTGTAACTATAAAACCTGACTACTTAACTAAAAGATCCTATGTTCAGGGTCATAGCACTTAATGACTTTCTGGCATGCTTTTACATTCAAATGTCTGGGTGTAAATTTAATGACTTCTACATTTCGAGGCTAAAGAAAATTTCCAGCAAACACAAAATGAAAAAGAGTAAACACATATGCACCTGATAATTTGTTTTGATGCATTTATAGTTTTGATAATAAAAAGTACTTTGTATTGCTTTTCTATTCTGTTCTTAACTAGATTTTTTAGTAGTAATGTGTATTTTGTGTGTGTGTTCAAAGGGCAGCCATTCTACAAAAGTGGAAGCTGTGGTCAGAACTCTGATGAAAATACAGCTTAGAGATCCAGGGGCCAAAGCACTCGTTTTCTCAACGGTATAATCAACATTTTCATCCTCAATATTAATTCGAACTGATTTTCCCTCTCTAATCAGTTTACAGCTGAGAACTAATTTTTGATGTTTACTCTTAGATTTTTTTTCCCAAATCCATAAGATAGAATTATTTTTAGAGAAGATAGAATTATTTTTAGAGAAATGTGATGATGTTTCACAAGGCAATTTGTATAGCTATATTTCATGACTTTTTATTAGTTTCATTTAAGGATTTTCTTAGTTTAATATTTTTAAAATTGGAATTTCTGACTTTGAAAGTCTCATTTCACAAAAATTTGGGTTGAAAAAGACAATCTACTTTATAAAGTGTTGAGTAAAACCCTTAGTTTTCATTTTCGAAAACTAAGTAACTATATTCCAGTATGCACTCCATTATGTATTTTCTACTGTTTGTTTATCTTAATTACATTTTCAAAACCAGCATTTGATGCAAAAAAAAAAAAACAAACAAAATTACTATTTCAGATAGAGCTAAATAATATGGATGGTACTACATTTGAGGGTTTTGGTTTTGGTTTTATTTTCTTAACTCCAGTATAAAAGTCATTTTGATTTATTTCCTTTTCAGATACCCTTAGATAAAGGCTACGTGTAAATATTGGTTTTCTTATTGTTTTATGTGTTCTAGTGGCAAGATGTATTAGATATTATTTCAAAAGCTCTTACTGACAACAACATGGAATTTGCACAAATCAGTCGTGTTAAGACATTTCAGGTATGTTAAGATTTTACTCCGGTTTTTGTAGTGGATACAGTTGCAAATTTAAACTGCTGTTAACTAGCTTACTTACATTTATTGTCTCATGCCATATAAGCCACATAAACAGGGTCTGAGTTCTTGATTAATTATAAAGTGAACATTTAAAAGCAGAGACTGCAGGTATTTTCAGTATATAACAAGACCATTGGTTTTTTAAAGATCTCCCAACTTGAGGTTCTTTTTTTTTTTTAGTACAGGAAAAGATTGCCTATGATATACCTTTTGAATGGACAGGGGCCTCACACCCCAAGGATTAGTTTCTAAAGTCACTGTCAGGCAGAACTGCATGTGGTCACAGTTATCCTTACATCATGCTCAGCACAGTGACAGGCGTATGACCTCAGGCACACACAGAGACCAAATGAAAATTTAGCAGATTCATGTCTCTTATCTCACATTCACTCTAGCACATTCTTTTTCTCTTTTTCCTCTAACCTCATGTAGTTTAATTTGCATGCATTACATGCATCTGTCTTGTGATTCCTCTAGATATTACGAAGAACAAGAGAGCTTATATGATACTTTTCTTCATAATTAAAATCAAGCGACAAGTTTACATTTTCTAAAGTTGGTAATTTTGCATTTAAGTTTCTTAGCTGTTACCTTTCACAATAGTAATAGATAGCATTAGACATCTTTAAAGTGAGCTATTACATACTGCTCTTATTTTAACTGATCGAGCTAAAATTAAAATGTACCTTTCTTTTTTAGGAGAACCTTTCAGCATTTAAACGTGATCCCCAAATCAATATTTTGCTGCTGCCCCTGCACACAGGTTCTAATGGATTAACTATCATTGAAGCAACTCATGTTCTCTTGGTGGAGCCCATATTGAACCCTGCCCATGAGCTTCAGGCCATAGGGAGGGTGCACCGAATTGGACAGACAAAGTAAGGACTAAAATTAGAATCAGTCACATTTGCTTCAGTTTTCTGAGAAACCAAATCAGTATTTAAACTCTTCATTTATGTTCATCATAGCGTACTTGTTTTTAATTACTTCCTTAGATACTACATTTTTTAATTATTTATTTTATAACTTATTTATTTATAACTTTTTAATTATTTAATTGAAAGGCATGAGATTTCCAACCCTCCCTTCTCTCCAAGAAGCAAACCCCCAAATTGTCCCAATTTTTTTCTTCCCTCCCACAAAAACCTTATCACTTTATCCAAAAAAAAGCTTGTTAGAAATACTTAAGACAGCTACAAAGTTGAAGGCATCCATCATGCCTTTGAGGAGAATGGAGTTTTGATTGTCTAAAGTAGTCCCGTGTTTAAAAGAAGACATACCTTGTACATGACTGAAAATAAATGGCTCCTTTTAAAATTCTTAACATTAGGAAAAGACACCCCCTAGGTCAGCTCCAAGAGATCATTAGATTCAGTTTAAGGCCCAAAGCAAACCTAATAATGAATATTATTATATGGCATGTATTACCTTTATTCATATATCAGAATAGACAGTTATCTTTGATAAGGCCTGCTAAATGTATTACCTTCTGGATGTTAGAAGTCTTTGATGTTTAAAAAAGGAAAAAAAAACACATCCATAATAAGCACTTACTAAATCAGTATTTATTGAGCACCTACTGTATGTCAGGCATTATTCTAAATACTGAAGATTCAAATTGAATGATACATAATTTATTTCCCCAAGGAGGTCACTGTGTAGTACAGGAAGCATGACTTAAAGTGTTGGGGTAGAATGTGCAAAAGTATAATAATAAAAGGACTGTGTTAACAAAAGAAGATAATGATCACTCGGGCCCTACAGAGTCAGGAAAGACTTTATGGTGTTAAGTCTTGAAGGAATAATTATTTCAAAGTTGGCTGGAAAAGGGTATTCACACAGCCAAAGAGAGTTATATATGCAAAAATACAATGGTGGGAAATGACATGACATTTCTAGGGACTGTAAGGAGTTTGGAATTGTTGCAGTATAAAGTATGAGAAAGAGATCATCGGCAGGAGATGAAGTCTTCTGTGTCATACTCAGAAATGTAGACTGCCCCGTAAGAAGTAGCGGGGAGAGAAAATAAAGGGCTTACTTGAAAACAGGAAAGAGACATGTTTATTAAACCTCTTAACAAATAGGGCAAAGTAACTGTAATAAATGCGGGCTTGTTCTAACATACCACCAAGTGGCATTTAAAATGCAGTCATGTCTTACTTGTTTTTTGTTGGTTTTCTTCTGTGTTTTTAAATATTGATTTTTTGTCCTACCAATGTTCTTTTAAAGCATAGGCTGGACTAGTCTCATATTTAAAACCACGAGTCCAAAAGGCCATTCAGCATTACCCAACAATCTTACTATGCCTCGCAAGTCAATATGTTTTTTTCTACTTTCTGAGGAGTCTGTCTTAAGTGTGTCTTCTTCCTCCCCATGGCGATCTTGCCTCATACAGGGGAAACATATACAATCAGATTAGAAGTACCTCATCTTTCCATCATCAACTTGAACAGTCTGCCTGCATCAGTACTCACATACTTTTTGGTAGATTTTTATTGAGTATCTTCTGTGTGCCAGGCACTGTTTTAGGAACATGAGATGTCCTCATGGAGTGCGATTCTAGCTGTAATGGGGTTGGTAGACAGAAAGGTGGTAAACAATAAACTAAGTACAATCTGGACTATGTTAGGAGCTGGAAAAGTAGAGCAGGGTGAGGAAGTAAAAGTGCAATGTTTGGGCAGGAAGGCATGCAAGGCCTTATTGAGAAAGTCTGAGCAAGGACTTGAAAGAAATGGGAAAATGGGAAAGTTAGTCATGCAGCTATCTTGTGAAAGAATGTTCAAGTAAACAGTGCTTTCGGTGCAAAGGCCCTAAATCAGGAGTGTGGTATGTTAGAAGAATAGCAAGGAGCTACAGTTGCTAAAAGGGAGAGAAGCAGGAGTTGAAGTGAATGGGCTCAGTGGGGAGAGGGATTACATTGGGCCCAGGAAGCCACTGTGAGGATGGTGCTTTTGCCCTGTGTGAAATCGGGAGCCATTGGAAGGCTTTGAACAGAGGCTTGGCATATCTCACTTAAGTTTTAAAAGAATCATTCTGAGTGCTGTGATAGGGTGGGAGTGAAGGGGAGCAAGGAAGAGTAGAAGCAGGGAGAGTCTTGGAGGCTATTGCAGTCATCCTGGTGAGAGCTGAAGGTGACCTGACCATGGCAGTAGCAGTGCACATGATGAGGAGTGGTCAGGTTCTGGATATATTTTGAAGATAGAACTGATAGTACTTTTGGACAGACTAGACATGGGGTATGAGAGGGTCAAGGATAACACCATGGGTTTTGGCTTGGACAACTAGAAGGATGAAGTAACCTTCAACTGAGCTGGAGAAGTCTACAGGGTAGAGCAGATTTGGTAAGGGAAGAACAGACATCCAAATGGAGATTTCTATTCTGTAACTAGATGTACAAGTCCATTAAGTCACGAGACTGAATGAGATTACCTAGGAGTGAGTTTAGATAGAGACAGAGTTTAGATAGAGGACCATGGACTGAACTCCAGGGCACCAAAGTTCAGCTGTTCTAGGAGAGGAGAAGGAAGCAGCAAAGGTAACAAATAAAGATCAAACAGTGAGTTAGGAAGAAAACCAGAAGACAGGAGTGTCCTAGGAACCAAGTGAAAAATGTACCTCAAAGAAGAGGTTATGGTCACCTGTTTCAAGTGCTATGAAAAATGTCAAGGAAGATAAGGATTGAGAATTGATCATTAGATTTAGCAACATGGAGATCAAAACCAGGTTAAGTGGTAGAGGTGACAGCCTGACTTTAGTTTTGGAGAAAATGGGATTTTGTGTATTTCTTATTTAACAAATATTTGTATAACAAAGAGAGGTTAGGTAACTTGCCCATAGTCAGGCAGCTAGTAGAAGCAGTGGCAGATTTCAGGCACAGCCATTCTGCCTTCACAGTACAAGCTTTAACCACAGTGCACTGCTGCTTCTGTGTGGCTGGTAAGGCCAGTATTTTGAGGAGTTTTGCTGCAGAGAAAAGGAAGAGAATGAGATCAAGAGAGGTTTTTGTTTTCCTTTCAAATGGGAGAATTAGTAAGAAAATGATTCATTAGAGACAACAAAAACTAGTGAAGGAGAACAGGGAGAATGCTTGACAATGTCCTTGAGTAGGCAAGAGGATATGGGATCAAACACTGAAGTGGAGGAAGGGGTTGGTAGTAGGCAGAAGCATGGATATGTCATCCAGTAATAAGCAGGAAAGTACCTCATATGCCTTCCCTTTTATTACAGCAGAAGTGTCCCTTTTCTTTCAAAAGCCATCCATTCATTTGTCCTGGACTCCATTCTTTCTCATTTTTCAAGGACAGGTGTACATTTCCCTTGTACAGGTTGAGCATCCCTTAACTGAAATGCTTCAAGTGTTTTGCCTGTAGGATTTTTTCAGATTTTAGAATATTTGCATATACATAGTGAGATATCTTAGGAATGAAACCCCAGTCTAAACATGAAATTTATTTATGTTTCATATACAAATTCTACTCATAGCCTGAAGGTGATTTTATATAATATTTTAAATAATTTTGTGCACAAAACAACGTTTTTAATGTGTTTTGACTGTGACTCATCACGTGAAGTCAGGTGTTGAATCCTCCACTTGTCACGTTGGCACTCAAAAAGTTTTGGATTTTGGGTTTTTGGTTAGGGATACTCAACCTGTCATATATTACCCCATAAATATGTCTTAATATTATCCATCTTTAGAAAGAAAAAAACACTCTGATACATCCTACCTCCATCTCTACTTTTTTATCCCCCATTCTCTGTCAACCTGTCTGGTTGATTTTCTCCCCACCATATCACTGAAGTGAGACTTATAACATTTCTAGTGACCTACTTCTTGCCAGTGGTCTGAGGGTTCTTTGTCTACACCCCTTCGATGAATTTTTCCAGTCTTAGGGCTTTAGGTAGCTTTTACAGGTTGATGACTCTCAGGTGTATATCCCCCAGCCCAGACATGCCCATATAGCTCCTGTCCCAGGTGCATATATCCAGTTCTAGCTCTGCACACATATCTCTGGACTCACCTTGGATACCTGTCTAATAGGTATCTGATAGGTTTCACATGGACAAAACAAAACTGTGTTGCTTCTGCACTCTCACTCCCACCCTGAGCTTTCCCCATCTTATAATGTGGCACTGTCATCTGTTCCTGCCCAGATCAGAAATCTCGGACTCTTCTATATTTTTCTTTTCACATCTCACATGCCAGTCATCTTTTAAGTTTTGTCAGCTCTACCTCCAAAAGATATTCCAAATCTACTTGACTGCTATCTCCACTGACACAACCATAGTGCATCCACCCTTACTTACCCAGATGACTACAGGACTTCTTAACTGGCTTCTCTGGTGCTCTTCTTGCTGAGCAAGAAGTACATCCTCCACACGGTTGCCAAAGGGATTTCTAAAGTACAGTCAGGTATACATCAAATCATGCATACAAACCCACCAAGGGCTTCCCATTATAACCACGATAAAATTCAAATGCTTGGTCACATCCTGGAAGGCCCTGTGTGACCTGGCCCCTGCACATCTCTCCACCCTTATTTTCACCTCTCTCCCTCGCTTACAGGATGCTTCTGCCATGCCAGCCTTCTTTTGGCCTCTTGAACATGTTAGGCTTGTTCCAGGCATATTCCCTTCCCGGGGACTGTGTATGTATGTGCTGTTTCTTCTGTTTGGATATTCTTCCTACTCCTCCTTTGCCTACTGGCCTCATTCCCATCACTCTTTTTTCAGTTTGCATGTCAGCCTGTTCTCCCAGCATTATATTTACCTGAAACCGTCTTACTCTTTTATGTGTTTATTGTCTGTCTCTCATTAGAATGTCAGCTCATGGAGATTAAATAGTTCATTTTATTCGCTGCTGAACCCCTCCCAGCACCTGCCACAAGTGGGCACCAACTGACTGATGAATATAGCATATAAAATGTGAAGTCGGTTTGTACTGATTTGTTTTACTATGTTTTTAAGCTTAAAATTCTTCTGTACCTTTTAGACCTACTATTGTACACAGATTCTTAATTAAAGCAACAATAGAAGAAAGAATGCAGGCAATGCTGAAAACTGCTGAGAGAAGGTAGGTAATAATTTACCACAAGTAGAAGGGGGAAGGTTTTCCTGTTAAAAGTTTGTATCTTTAGAACTTCTTCACTTAGATGACAACGAAAAATATAGCACAAATACGTTTTTAAAAGCAAAGTCTGACGTTTTGCCTTTTCACTGTTTCCCAGTCAGTGCTCCAGACTTTGTATATTTGAATTAATTTATTAATTGTAACATGTAAATATAAACTATACTACATTCCTTTGCCACATTGGATCACTTTCTGAGGCTGGGAGTTCGAAACCAGCCTGGCCAACATGGTGAAACCCCATCTCTACTAAAAACACAAAAATTAGCCAGGCATGGTGACACGCACCATAGTCTTAGCTAGTCGGGAGGCTGAAGCAGGAGAATCGCTTGAACCCCGGAGGTGGAGGTTGCAGTGAGCCAAGATCGTGCCACTGCACTCCAGCCTGGGCAACAGAACGAGTCTGTGTCTCAAAAAAAAAAAAAAAAAAAACAAACTTGTTAAGGTTAATTGTGGTGTCAATCCAAAGACAAAACAAAAGCAGAGAGACTAAACCAGTCTTAATTTTAAAAGCTTGACTCTGGAATCATAGAACTTTCTAATATTTATGGTATAATTTATTTAAATCTTTTTGAAAACATAAATCTTTCTACATCTTTAGGAGGTAGGTAGGATTGGATGGTACCCAAGGAAGAGATTATTGCCTTAGAAGGGATTGTCACATAGCAAAGAAGCAATTTGAAACTAGAAATTTTCTTCCATTGATGGTTTCTGGGAAGGAAAGAGGCTTCCACAAGGGCCTTTTTACCTAAAACATGAAGGCTTTTTAAAGTTCTTGTTTTCCTTGTGTATCAGACTTCAGTGATTTTTATTTAGGTTGTTTTAATAAAATAGCAGTTATGAGTTGTTTGAAATTCTCTTGAAACAAATTAACTTCAGGTGGTAAGAAGGTAATTTGTAAGGTGAGAGCCTTAGTAGCAGTAGTCAAGAGTTTTATTCTTTGTTCTATTAATTGCACAGAGAAAAAACACTTTGACAAACACTAAAAGTAATATATAGAAATCTTCACTTTGACAAGGTATAACAAAGATTTTATCACTTGCTTTCCTCTGGGAGTTTCTTATATCCCAATTACAAAAACTTAAGAAAAAATATGTGTCTAGTTCGTATTACTACAAATATAATCGCTGATGGCTTGGGGTTTCTTTCTGACTGTGCTCATTTGGGAAACCTTGCAGTCACACGAACTCATCAGCAAAGCATTCAGAGGCCTCTGTCTTGACTGTGGCTGACCTGGCAGACCTATTTACCAAAGAAACTGAAGAGCTTGAATGAACTACACTTGATTCATTCCATGGACTTTAGTGTATTAATAAACTTTCATAGCTGTAGAGCAAAGTTACAAGTTTTAAAAACCCAGTAGATAACAGTAACACTGTTCCTAGTTGAATGAATTTGTTTATTGTTCTGGTTATACAGTGGCTTAGTACTTATTGAGTCCTTTTCAATATACTGTTTCCAAAAGATCTATAAAGATTCTTAATTTTACACTCCTAATAAAACATTTATTTTTTGTCCCAAATAGTATCTATATCTGATGATGCAAGGGAATTAAGAGAGGTAATGTGTACTTTTCTTATGATAAGATCACTCATAAAACAGTTGGAATAAGAAAGTAAACTAGTCTAGTTTTATATGACCTGGTATATTGAACAAACATAGATCTCAGTTTTGGAAGGGCCTTCAGTATCTTTAGCACATGATTCACCAATATCTTGTTAGTAATATTTTAAGTAGATGGTGAATTATATTAACCCATTTTTTGAGTAGGCTTATACCATAACTTTACACCTAGTAATTTTGCAGTAATACAACTCCTTACAATAAGTTAATGTTAGACAGTTATTTGTTTCTTCTGCATCTTGCTACTGAAAACAAAAACAATGAAAATATTCATATTTCTATTATGTGTAAAGTGGTGTTAGTGTAAACAGTTAACTCCAAATAGATTTTTTAATGTATTAATGATTACCTTAAAATTATCTGCTTTCCCTACTCTTAATTTTTCTTATTGTTAAAGTTTTTATATGTTGTAAGATTGATGTATCTGTAAATATTGCAGTTTTTATGATTTTGTTTTATTATAACATGGAAATATGGCAGGGTTTTTTTTTTAATCATTATTATACTGATGTCTTGGATTCTTTTTCTTTCCCATGTTCTTGTGTAACTAGACTTTTTAGCCAGTGATATCTGAATTCATGGTAGAGTTGTTATTTCACTCCAGTTGTTCCTCCCTTAAGCACGAGTCTTTGACCTTTTGAACAAGAGAATGCCATGTTCACATAAGCAAATCGTTGCAAGTGATAATAACGAAGTGTTTCTTCTTCTGTGAGGAATTAATGGACTTTGAAATTGCTGAATAAGGAGTAGCTTGTTACATCCTAGCCATTTGATGTAATACAAATGTTCTTATTTGGCTTCCTTTTCTTTGAGCCTTCAGAGTTTTAAAGGACCCTCTTTGACCCTCAGGACTTATTAGCTCCCAGTTAGCTGCCTGGAAAACTCATAGAACCATTCCCTAGATCCCATTTGTCCGAGAGGCTTTGGTGCTTAGTTAAGGTGCATTTTCTTACTCTAGGTTTATAGAGTGATGTAATTCAACTGAAGAAAACACACACATGCTTTTGGTGCTTATTCTTCAGTTAAAAGGAGGTATCCATTGATTCTTTTATATGAAATTAAATCAAACTGTTATTTTTATAGCTCTTCACATATTAAAAAGAGCTTTCATGTACATTTACGTGTTTAATTTACCCAACAATCTTGTGAAGTTGATATAATTAATATCTTTACTGTTTTAAAGGTAGAGAACTGAAGTTCAGATATATTGAAACTTTCTTAGGACATGTAGCAAGTAAACAGTGGAGCCCAGGTCCCCTGACTCCATATCTTACATTCTTTTACTAATAACATGTCATGCTGAGATTCAGAAGGCCCATGCTTATAATTTAAAAATGAGACTATTTCAGTATTTCTTTGTGTTTGTTTTCTACTATTCCTTTCTGAGCTATGTTTTAGAGAAAACAATTTGATATGCTTCAATTTTGTAAAATCAAATTACATATATATAAAAAAACCTATCTGTATTAGACAAAAACTGTTTTTATTTATTTCTGTAAGATATCCATTAAATAAATATTTTAGTGGAAATGAAAATTGTGGAATTCTTTGATTTCTGAGACTTAGAACATATGGGGTTTTTTGGTTTTTTCTTTCAACAAAAGATATCAAAATGGCTAATACTATAGAATCCCATATTTTATATACATTTATTACATCTTAAAAACAATTGTGACAGTTTCCAATTGTTCAAAACAAGTACAAATCTGATCCTCACATTTTCTTGGCTGCAAACAAAGGATTTTTTAAGTTTTCTTTCTCTATTATTTTATAGCCTCTGAAATATTACTGTGTTTAGAAGTAGTTGTTCTTAAATGGGTGCTATGCTAATGAACCAATGAGACAAAATGAGATAGCCGCAATTGTTAGAGTAGTCCCAGTCATTAAACTTAAATGTGTTTGGACCTGGAGAATCATTTTCTGTAACATGATTCCAGATGAGTTCACTAGAACTAAAAAGATACATACAATGTAAAGTGCATATACCTAACGTCATAGCCTTTTTGCTTCAAACCCAGATAGCTCTGCTATGTTTATTGCAGCGTCACATTTCTCTTTGTATGTGACCTGAGCTGAATAAGCCATGCATGCATTCAGTTTTAGGAATTGTTATCTTTCATATCACATGAACAACAAACTAAAAATCTTAACATGATAATTCAACATGCAACTACTAATACTTTACAAATAATGATCAAACCAACTACTTACCTAAATATTTAGGAAATGAATTTAACAATGCAAGGTTAATCACCAATGCAAGCTATCCTGTCAGGTGGATAAAGTAAGAAATCATGTCTTTTTAATCTCCTGCTCTCATTTAATAGCTCTTCCAATGTGCTTAAGTTATTTACGTTTATTAAACGACGAGACAACCTTTCAAAAATGCAGAGATCACCGTGCTGAATAACCTCAGGCTTAAGTCGAATAAAAGGTATCTTTCAATTTTTCTAGAATTTAGCTAAACAAAATCCCACAATGTGCCATTTCATAATTTTTAACTGGCATACAAATGCAAAAATGGAATGTAAAAAAAAAAATGAGTGTAAACCAATTAAATGAATTAAAAACCAATGCAAAAACAAAAAAATGCATTACAACAGTCTAGTACAAGCAATGCATTTTAAGCCTGTCTACTCTGATAAATGACATCTAGTCAGTAAGACTTCTTCAAAGTGAGATCAGTTAACAGTTTTATAAAATTTTCTGTTTACAAGAATCTCTGTGTACCTCTGTTACATTGTGAAGCCCACATGAATGCTTATCACATGGAAGGGTCGAATATGAACCACTTGCAAGCCTTCCCTTAGAGGAAGGCTATGTAAGTAATTGATAACCCCAAAGGGAGTTCAAGCCTTATGCTAGGTATGTGGTGTTGCCTCTGAGTTACAAAACAGATAGTATCACATACAGAAAATAGCACGAGTACTTGGCAGAGGCCAAAGTTGCCATCTCCAGCCTTCCCCTGTCTTCAGACAGCCTTTTCAGGGGCATGTATAGCTCATCTTCGAAGAGTAAAGGTCCCCACACCATCCTCGTATCTTCATCATTTAATGTCAGTGACTCTCAATACTGATTTTTGGGGACTGACTTTGTTATCTTGAAACCAAATTTTTATTGCAGCTTATGCTTCTTTTCCTGCAAAATAGAAATTAAAAAACAGCCTCCATTATCTGTATAATGATCTTTATATAGGTCACTACTATTACTAAAATTAATAACTTTTTCCCTGCTTATCAAAAAATCAGCCTTTTTTAAATGGTCTGCCTTTCCAAACCCTATTGTTATCTTTGTCTCTCCAGTAAACCTGCTCTTAATGCTCCACACCCCCGTAGATAGCCTATTAGAGGAGCCATTTGTCCAAGGACACATTTTCGACCTATGGGATCTTCCCAGACCTGTGATTTGTATATGCACACAGTTCTGATTACTGACCCTTCCAGTGTTCTAATGAGCAAACATTTGTGCTCAAATTTCCTTAGAAATCGTTTCTGCATATTTTATTATTTATTTAGGATATACTTACTGAAATTACCTGTGGTCATTTTCTGCCAAGACTATTTAATTAACATTTACTGCATCATGTCCCTAATTCTTTACCCAGAACCGTAAGGCACCTCATGCCTCTTCTGATCTCTTGGCTTCCCATAATCAAACAACTGCTATCTCCAGTTATTTTTCCAGAGCCTTTGTAAAAATTTCCATTGACTGAGAGCATCATTGCCTGTTGATAATGTTGAGTGTATTTTCCTTTGTCACAGAATTATGTCTTCTTTGGTAAATGCAAATCTGTGTTTTAAACAGGAATGCATTTTAGTTTCTGATCTTTATCAGAATGTTTATAAGTGAATCCGCTATTAAACTGTGAAAGCATCAGTGTGGAATGTTGTATTTACCTAAAACTTCCCCAGTGCTTTTCACTTCTCAAGTCCGTAATTATAATCATGTTAATGTTTATATTCTGCAACTGACCATTTTCTACCCTGCACTCAGATTTGCCTTCCCAGATTTTCTGCCAGCATGATAGGGTGCAAATAAATACTTTACACCTCTGTAAGAGGCACTTCTGTCTTTTTCATAAGTTGTTAATGATGACTCAAGCAGTCATCTCGTTTATGCAGTGATTTATTTTTAAGGGATTACTATTTACGCATACAGGAGAAGATTTAGCAAGTTTCCTTCTTAAAATGGCTTTGGCCTTTCAAGCAAGATAAAGATCTCTACTGAGTAAACCACCTTTTTTTTTTTTTTGAGACACAGTCTCTGTTACCCAGGGTGAAGTGTAGTGGTGCCATGACCGCTCACTGCAGCCTCAACTTCTCAGGCTGAGGTGATCTCCTCACCTCAACCTCCCAGGTAGCTGGTACTACAGACATGCACCACCACACCTGGTTAATTTTTTGTAGAGACAGCGTTTCGCTATGTTGCCCAGGCTGGTCTCGAACTCCTGGGTTCAAGCGATCCACCTGCCTCGGCCTCCCAACGTGCTGGGATTACAGTAAACCACCTTTTAATTCTCTCTTTTTTTCCCTTCCTTTCTTCCATTATTCCTTACTTCCTTTTTTTCAATCTTATTTCCTCCTTGGTTTTGAAACTGTATGTGTAGGTATTGGAAAAAGCAGTTTATCCACCATCATTACATAAAAAGGACGCTTATCAGACCAAGCATTCCTAACTGGAGTCAGTGGACTTACGAAAGGAAAAAAGGTCCACAGGTGAGCTTCAAAGGGCAAACTCCCAAGATGTGTACCTTCCAGCAGCTTCCTAGAGACAGAGTTTCATATTGTCAGATTCTTAAAGGGATTCAAGGCCTAAAAGGACCCATTGCCATAGACCATCAGTTTCCAAGTGTGGTCCTTAGGGATCTCCAAGACCAAGGAGTCTGAAGGGCCCTAGGATTTTCTTCATATGTGTCAACAAAAACAACATGCTCAACACAAGTCTCTTGCCTGCCACCATGTAAGACATGCCTTTGCTCCTCCTTCACCTTCAACCCTAATTGTGAGGCCTCCCCAGCCATGAGGAACTGTAAGTTAATTCAACCTCTTTTTCATTATAAATTACCCAGTCTTGGGGATTTCTTCATAAGAGTATGAAAATGGACTAATACAAACAACAACAAAGAATTTAAATAATGAAATATATTCCATAGCCTGTTTTTATTTAAAAACTAAAAATCTATGTTTTAATAACAGCAAAAAGATTCTGTCCCATTAGTAAGTAAAAACACAATCTTTTACATTGTTTTACTCCAACTATAATTTATGCGTGCTTTAAAATAGAAATAGCTAATAACCTATTTACATTTTAAATAAATGTGCACTGGATATATAGTTGCACAAACCTTTTACTGGTGAGATATGTAATTAAATAAGTTTGGAGATCACTGGAAGAGAAGTAATTGTTGCTCTTACGAATGTGAGAAGCTTTTATTCTAGTTAAGTTTTTATCACTCGAAACTCTTTTAGGATGCTTGAAATTGCTTTCAAAGCCAATTAAGAAATTATACAATTTCTTCATAACCTCACATCATTTTGTTTTATTAACCAAAAAAGTATATTTTCTATTTTATATACATTAACTTATTATATTTTGTAATGTATATATTTTATATAGTTTCTAATTTATACTCATTACGTGCCAGGCTTGCTTTGCATGTGTACCCTTCCTGAAAAGTTTTTTTCTTTCCTTTTCAACTTTTTTTTTTTTTCTTTGAGACAAGATCTCACTGTGTTACCCACGTTGGAGTGCATTGGCATGATCATGACTCACTGCAGCCTCAACCTCCCAGGGTCTGGTGATCTTCCCACCTCAATCTCCCAGGTATCTGGAACTGCAGGCACATGCCACCACACTAGGATGATTTTTGTAGTTTTTGTAGAGACAGGGTTTCTCCATGTTGCCCAAGCTGGTCTCAAACTCCTGGGCTCAAGTGATCCTCCTGCCTCAGCCTCCCAAAGTGCTAAGATTACAGGCATGAGCCACTGCACTCAGCCTGTATTTTTAATCTTAAAATTGGCAGTTATGGGTCAAGAATTTTGCAGAGGAAATGTAGACCTATGTTAATATTAAATAATGAATTTATTCCATGTTTCAATTTTTTCAGTCAAAAAGTAGATAAAGCACCTAATTTAGGCTTAATAATAATTTATTATCTCATGAAGTTTCTAGAATGTTTGGAGATACACCTGGTAACATGAGGGAAAAAGTCAACAGTAAATGTTCTGTTTTCAGAAACCTAAACATTGAGAAAATTAATATTGTCAACAAATGTTAGTACTTAGTCTTGTGTCTTGCAATATTTTCATGTTTGTTTTCTCCCTCATTGGGTAGAGAAGGCGTGAAGAATTTCATCATTATATCAAGATGGTGGGGGGAAGCTAGTCACCATTTCTTTTTTTCTTTTTTCCTTTTTTTTTTTTTTTTTTTTTTGAGATTGAGTTTCACTCGTTACCCAGGCTGGAGTGCAATGGTGCGATCTTGGCTCACCACAACCTCCTACTCCCGGGTTCCAGCAATTCTCCTGCCTCAGCCTCCCGAGTAGCTGGCATTACAAGGCACCCACCACCATGCCCAGATAATGTTTGTATTTTTAGTAAACACGGGGTTTCACCATGTTGGCCAGGCTGGTCTCGAACTCCTGACCTCAGGAGATCCACCTGCCTTGGCCTCCCAAAGTGCTGGGATTACAGGCATGAGCCACCACACCCGGCTGCTAGTCACCTTTTCTACTGAATACAGAAGAGGCGCCTATAGGATCGGTTTTGATTATCCATGAGAAAAGAGAGTTTTAGAATGCAGAATAAACTATCAAAGGAGATAGTGAAATCCTTTCTGAAAAATTTTAAGAAAAGGAAAGAATTTTTTTAAGTGCAGATAAACTTCAAGAGTTTAAGTCCTATATTTAAATAACTATGGTATTTTCTGTTTTAGGTTTGTTTTTCTTTCTCCCAAAATATATGGTGTTAAGTTCCAGAATATCTTCAGCCAACTAAGAAATACAAGGAGGAATGGGGGGTGTTATTTTCTTTTTTTTTAAAGTTAGTAAACAGAGAAAAAGCAACTATTTCTTTTTTAAAATGTATCAAAGAATTTAATGACTTCAGTACAAGAGGCAGTGGGTGTTCAGTAAATAGTAATTTAACTGGTTAGAATAAATAAAAATATGATAACTATGGCTCACAACAGAGCAGAGTCATGTAGTTACTAAAACATTTGCACAAATACTGTCCACCAAAGGGACCCAGCTCATAAGCACTGAGAAATGACTAATATTTCTCATGTAACTGTATTATTCCCATCTGTTTCATATTTAAATTTAGAGGAAGTTTTAATAGTACCAAATTCATATAAATCTTTTGAAGTCCATGAACAGTAAGAAGTGCTATTTGATTCTTATTCCTTGATTTTGATATCAGTAATTGTTATACACACTGATTAGCTTTTATCTCCAAATTTTATTTAATACTGCCTAATGCTGGTTGTTTCTTTTGGAGTCCTATAAATCTGGCTGCCAAGAAAAATGATGGCTCTGCTCCGAAACCACAAAGTGGCTGTATTAACATTTAGTGAATCTCAAGTAGAAAGGAACAGTGAAATTCCTGAGGAAGCCATTCTCCAGAATAATAAAGTATTAGCGTTTTTCTCATAGTAGACAAAAGTCATGGGTTTTCCTCCTTGGCAGGGAGCAAACTCAACCTTAAAAAGTGATAGTCAACAACAGAAAGACAAATAACCCAATTTAAAACTGGGCAAAGGATTTGAATAGACATTTCTCCAAAGAAGATAATATGTAAGTGACCAATAAGCACATGAAAAGATGATCAACAGCTTTAGCAGCTGGGAAAGTAGATATCAAAACCGAAATATGAAGGTTTGGAGAGGAGGAAGGAATGAATAAACAAAACGGGATTTTTAGGACAGTGAGCCTTCTGTATGCTACTACACGGGTGGATATATGTCATTACACATTTGCTGGACCCATAGAATGTACAACACCAAAAATGGACCCTAATATAAACTGTGGACTTTGGATAATGATGTGTCATAATTTGAAACAAATGTACAACTGTGATGTGGGATATTGATAGTAGGAAAGGTTGTGCATGGGGTTGGGGGGAGGCAGGGGTATATGAGAACTCTGTGTACTTTCTGCTCAATTTTGCTGTGAACCTAAAACTTTCGTAGAAAATAGTCTATTAGAAAACAATGAGCTATCACTTTACACCACATGACTTGTAGATGAAAAGAGTCAAACTCTGTAAAATATTTGAAGAGATTTATTCTGAGTCAAATATGAACAACCTTGGCCCGTGACACAGCCCTCAGGTGGTCCTGAGAACATGTGCCCAAGGTGGTCGGGGTGCAGCTTGGTTTTATATATTTTAGAGAGGCATAAAACATCAATCAAATACATTTAAGAAATACATTGGTTTGGTTCAGAAAGGTGAGACAACTCAAAGTGGGGCCTTCCAGGCTATAGGTAAATTTAAACATTTTCGGGTGGACAGTTGGTTGAATTTGTCTAAAGACTTGGGATCAATAGAAAGGAATGTTCAGGTTAAGATAAAGGATTGTGGAGAACCAGTTTTATTGTTCAGAAGAATCTCTCAGATGGCAGACTTCAGAGAGAGGGTAGGTTGTAAAATGTTTCTTATCAAATCTAAAAGGATGCCTAGCTCTTAGTTGATTATCCACTGGATCTGCAAAGAAAGGAAAGAAAATAAAAGGGGAAGGAGATTTTCTATGGAATGTGGATTTTTCCCACAAGAGACTTTGCAGGGCAATTTCGAGGCATGGCAAGGAAATATATTATGGGGCTAAATATTATTTCCTTGTCTCATAATGTCACGCCAGAGTCAGATTGAAAAGCAAGTCACAATATACATGGTCAAATAAAAGCCATCTGATGAGGATCCATGGTTTGTAGGACATGACTCCCCAGACCTCTTAGGTAGGAATTTGGGCAAGATAAAAATCAGAGCTTAGTCCCTGAACTATAGTCAAAAGATAGACAATAACAAGTTTTGTTAAGGATACAGAAAATTGGAACCCTCAAACATTGCTGGTAGGAATGTAAAATGGTACAGCTGCTTTGGAAAACCATTTATCCGTGTCTTAAATAGTTAAATGTACACCTAGCAGCTATGCCACTCCTATGTACTTAAGAGAAAATAAAACATATATTCATACAAAAACTCATATGAACAGTCTGGCAGGTACCTGGAGTGTTAAATGGAGTTACCACATGACCCAACATTTCTACTCCTAGGTATTTACCTGTAATAGTCTGCTAGAGCTGCCATAACAAAATACCACAGACTGAGTAAATTAAACAACAGAAATTTATTTATTACAGTTTTGGAGCCTGGCAGTTGAAGATTACAGTGCTGGCAGGTCTGTTTTCTTCTAAGATCTCTCTCCTTTCTTGCAGATGGTTGTTTTCTGTATCCTCACATGGTGTTTCCCTGTGCGGACAGGCCCCTGATGGCTTTTTATAAGGACACTATTCATACGGGATTAGAGCCCCCATCCTAGCAGCTTTACTTTAGCATAACCACCTCTATACACACCTTATCTTTAAATACAGTTACATCCTGAGATACTAGGGGTTGGGACTTCAAATTATGAATTTGGTGGAGCCACAGTTCAGCCTATAATAATAATGGAGAGAAATGAAAACATGTGTTCACAGAAAAACTTGTATGTGAATATTTATAGCAGCATTATTTATAGTAGGCAAATGTGGAAACAACCCAAATGCCTATCAAACGATAAATGGATAAATCAAATATGGTTATACTTCTAATGGAATATGATTTGGACAAAAAAGAAATGAAATACTTATACATGCTACAACATGGATGAACCTTAAAAACATTATGCTAAGTGAAAAAAAGCAGTCCCAAAATACTGTATATTTCTGTTTATAAGAAATGTCTAGAATAGGCAAATCTTTATTTTTTTTAGAGGATGGGTTCTCACTCTGTCACCCAGATGGGAGTGCAGTAGCAGTATCATAATTCACTGCAGCCTGAAACTCCTGGGCTTAAATGATCCTCCTGCCTTGGCCTCCTCAAGTAGCTGGGACTACAGGTGTACACCGCCACTCCTCATAAGAACAGGCAAATCTTTAGAGACAGAAATTACATTAGTGGTTGCCCAGGACTAGGAGAGGAACTGGAGTGACTGCTAATGGGCATGGGGTTTCTTTATGGAGTAATGAAAGTGTTCTAAATTTAGACTGTAGTGATAGTTGCACAACTTTGTGAATCTACTAAAAACCACTGACTTGTACACTTTAAATGGCTGAATTTCATGGTGTGTGAATTGTATCTCGAAGATATTTTTGAAACATTTTTAAAGTAGCACAAAAGCTTATTTTAAAAAATATCATTTGGCATGCAAAACTTCGGCAGAGCCAATTGTAGATGAAAATGAGACAGATGGCCTTCAAAATATGAAGCACACATTGTAAAGAATGTTGTACTCCAGGCCTGTGAATCTCACTGATATCTGGCAGCCACAGTTAAAATGTTGTAGCATCTGGAATTGCGGGCTGTAATTGAAACTCAACTGAAGAGCTTTCTGTGGAGCTGGAATGACCAGCCAATGCATAAAGTTGTTAAACATGAAACAAAGATAACTATTATCTTTTAAAAACCTCTCATTAACCCTCATGACGTTCTTGGGTGAAGGTCTAATCTGGCACACTTGCTAACTTCTAATAAAGAATCAAATGGTCTTCCAACTCACATAATGACTAATTCTAAAGCATGCAACCTCAAAGTACTACATTCTCCCTGTTCTAGAAATACAACCCTAGAGGGCCAGTCTTCCTTCAGCATTCAAATATTGAGTAGAACAACTGAACTGTAAGGTTCAACTAAAGGAATGCAACTGTGACTTGAGCTGTGGAACGGCTATGGCCTAAGTCAAGAATTCTCAACCTCAGCACTAGTGATTGACATTTTGGGCCAGGCAATTCTTTCTTCTGGGGCCTGTCCTATGCATTATAAGATTGAGCAGCATCCCTGGCCTCTACCCATTAGATGCCAGAAACATACTCCACCCCCAAGCTTTGACAACCAAAAATGTTTCCAGAAATTTCCAATATCTCCTGGGGCTTAAATCAAGAACCACTGGCATAAGCCAAGGAAGAACTAACCATTTACCATGGTACAGGATGAGTATCCCATATCTTGGGACCAGAAGTGTTTTGGATTTCAGATTTTTTAATATTTGCATTATGTGCTTACTGGTTGAGCATCTGAAATCCAAAATGCATTTCCCTTGAGACTTATATCAGTGCTCAAAAGGTTTCAGTTTTGAAGCATTTCAAATTTGGGATTTTGGGATTTGGGATGCTAATCTGCAATAACATAGACCATGTACCAAAAGAAAAAAATCGATATGTTTAATTTGTACTTCATTTATTCAAGCTCTGTGGAGTTTAAATATTCAGAATATTATGCAAAAACCAGTTTCCTTGATCATACTAAGTTTTGATGACCATAATCATTGACAAGTTTATTCAGGAGATTTTCATATGTTGCTCTAAAGTTTAAACCCAATGCTGAAATGCCAGCTTGGAGCCACATAAGGAATGAGCTGTTTGTATTCTATTAAAAGACTGCCCTTGAAAATTTACAGATGAAAAAACTTCAAGGGGATAAAAATGTGATTTTAAAATCAATTTTGCCACCTAGTAAAGGATTTGCTAAATGGATAACTATGAGGTGATGGATGTGTTAATTATCTTGATTTTGGTAATCATTTCAGAATGTATATGTATATCAAAACATTACATTATACACCTTAAATATGTACAATTTTTGTATGTCAATTATACCTTAATAAAGCTCAGAATAAAAAAAAATGCTGTCATTAACAGAGAGTTTGCAAATACACTCAAAGTCTTTATCATTAAGGACACGGACACCAGGCAGCATGATGGAACTCACTTTCATTGTTCTTCCAGCCTATCAACTGAATCACATAAGAATGAAAGATGAAGTAAAGTTTTGATACGGTGTACTTCAAGGTTTTTAAATGTGAATTTATTGCATTCTGAAACTATGGTGTAGATGACATCTGCCCACACATTATTATTATTATTATTATTATTATTATTTTATTATTTTTGAGATGGAGTTTCACTCTTGTTGCCCAGACTGGAGTGCAATGGCACGATCTCGGCTCACTGCAACCTCCTCTTCCTGAATTCAAGTGATTCTCCTGCCTCAGCCTCCCAAGTAGCTGGGATTACAGGCTTGCTCCACCATGCGCCGCTAATTTTGTATTTTTAATAGAGACGGGGTTTCCCCATGTTGGCCAGGCTGGTCTTGAACTCCTGACCTCAGGTGATCCACCTGCCTCAGACTCCCAAAGTGCTGGGATTACAGGCGTGAGCCACTGTGCCCAGCCTGCCCACACATTTTGATGTCATAATACTAACATAATATCACTTTGTGATATTAATTTTGTGACACTGAAAAGTCTTCACCTGTCTCAAGAGGACCCTAAGTAGACCTCATGCCTCTGGCTTCTAGAGGCTGGGACTACATAGTTTCTAACTTTTCGTTCTTTTTCTTCATCCTCTCCCTCCCTCCCTCCCTCCCTCCCTCCCTTCCTTCCTTCCTTCCTTCCTCTAGCAACTGTTACTGAGACACTAAAACTGACATCATCATTGACACTTAGCAATTACAGTATGCTGCTGGGAAGCATGGGCATGCTGGTTTCTTCTCATAGCAGGAATGGGAGGCTTACCAGGAACCCTCCTCAGAATTTATGTCCATGATTTTGGCTACAGATGACCATTAAAGCAGTATAAGGTCATAACCAGTAAAGTCTTCTCCTGTAACTTTCAGAAAATAAAGTGAACTTATTAACTGGAAGTTGTGTCAATTGATAGTGTAAGAATAAACAGACTGGCTATTTTCTATAATCTTGGTAAATGGCATTCATCCTTTTTTCTTGTTCAAGGCAAAAACTCTAGAGTCATCCTAGTACCTTTTTCTTCTCTCATCCTTCACATCTAATCCACCAGCCAATCAAGCCCACCCTCAAAATGCATCTAGACTCTGACCACTTTTCATCATCTCCACAGCTACCACCTAGTCCCTGACATAATCACTCTTTTTTTTTTATTTCCAACTTTTATTTTAAGTTCAGGGATACATGTGCAGGATATGCAGGTTTGTTACATAGGTAAATGTGTGCCATGGTGGTTTGCTACACAGATCATCCTATCACCCAGGTATTAAGCCCATTATCCAATAGTTATTCTTCCTGATCCTCTCCCTACTCTCCAACACACCCTAGTGTGTGTTGTTCCCCGCCATGTGTCCATGTATTCTCATCATTTTGCTCCCACTTGTAAGTGAGAACATGCAGTATTTGGTTTTCTGTTCCTGTGTAAGTTTGCTAAGGATGATGGCCTCCAGCTCCATCCATGTCCCTGCGAAGCACATGACCTGATTCCTTTTTATGCCTGCATAGTATTCCATGTTGTATATGTACATTTTCTTTATCCAATCTATCACTGATAGGCATTTAGGTTGATTCTATGTCTGCTATTGTGAATAGTGCTGCAATAAACATATATGTGCATGTGTCTTTATAAGAAAATGATTTATATTCCTTTGAGTATATAACCAGTAATGAGATTGCTGGGTAGAATGGTATTTCTGCCTCTTTGTCTTTGAAGAATCACCAGACTGTTTTCCACAATGGTTGAACTAATTTACACTCCCACCAACAGTATTAAAGTGTTCCTTTTTCTTCACATCCTCATCAGCATCTGTCATTTTTTGACTTTTTAATAATCACCATCCTGAATGATGTAAGATGGTATCTCATTTGGTTTTGATTTGCATTTATCTAATAATTAGTGATGTGAAGGCTTTTTTCATGTTTGTTAGCCACATGTATGTCTTCTTTTGAGAAGTGTCTGTTCATGTCCTTTGCCCACTTTTTAATGGGGTTGCTTTTTTTTGTAAATTTGTTTAAGTTCCTTATAGATTCTGGATATTAGGGCTTTGTCAGATACATAGATTGCAACAATTTTCGCCCGTTCTGTAGGTTGTCTGTTTACTCTGTTAATAGTTCCTTTTGCTGTGCAGAAGCTCTTTAGTTTAATTAGACCCATTTGCTAATTTTTGCTTTTGTTGCAATTGCTTTTAGTGTTTTCATCATGAAATCTTTGCCAATGCCTATATCCTAAATGGTATTGCCCAGGTTTTCTTCTAGTGTTTTTATAGTTTGGGGTTTTACATGTAAGTCTTTAATCCATCTTGAGTTGATTTTTGTGTAAGGCGTAAGGAAGGTGCCAGTTTCAATATCCTGCATATGGCTAGCTAGTTCTCCCAGCACCATTTATTAAATAGGGAATCCTTTCTCCATTGCTTGTTTTTGTCAGGTTTGTCAAAGATGAGACAGTTGTAGGTGTGCAGTCTTATTTCTGTATTCTCTATTCTTTTCCATTGGTCTATGTCTCTGTTTTTGTACCAGTACCGTGCTATTTTGGTTACTGTAGCCCTATCGTATAGTTTGAAGTCAGCTAGCCTGATGCCTCCACCTTTGTTCTTTTTGCTAAGGATTGCTTTCAGTATTCAGGCTCTTTTTTGGTTCCATATAAATTTCAAAATAGTTTTTTCTAATTATGTGAAGAATGTCAGTGGTAATTTAATGGGAATAACATTGAATTTATAAGTTGCTTTGGGCAGTATGACCATTTACATAATATTGATTCTTCCTATCCATGAGCATGGAACGTTTTTCCATTTGTTTGCATCATCTCTGATTTCTTTGAGCAGTGCTTTGTAGTTCTCCTTGAAGAGGTCCTTCACTTCCCTTGTTAGCTGTATTCCTAGGTATTTTGTTCTTTTTGTAGCAATTGTGAATCAAAGCTCATTCATGATTTGGCTCTTGGCTTGCCTGTTGTTGGTGTATAGCAATTTTTGCACTTTGATTTTTTATCCTGAGACTTTGCTGAAGTTGCTTATCAGCTTAAGAAGCTTTTGGGTTGAGACAATGGGTTTTCTAGATATAGGATTATGTCACCTGCAAAAAAAGATAGTTTGACTTCCTCTTTTCCCATTTAAATACTCTTCATTTTTTTCTCTTGCCCGATTGCCGTGGCCATAACTTCCAATACTATATTGAATAGGGGTTGGGAGAGAGGGCAAACTTGTCTTGTGCTGGTTTTCAAGGGGAATGCTTTCAGCTTTTGCCCATTCAGTAAGGACACTGGCTGTGAGTTTGTCATAAATGGCTCTTATTATTTTGAGGTATGTTCCTTCAATACCTAGTTTATTGAGAGTTTTTAACATGAAGGAATGAGGATTTTTATCGAAGGCCTTTTCTGCATCTATTTAGATAATCTTGTGGTTTTTGTACATCGAATGAAGAGCCTAAGAAGAAAAATCACATGAACATATCAGTAGGTGCAAAAAGAAAGCATTTTACAAAATCCAACACCCATTCTTAATAAACACTCTTAGTAAATTACAAATAAAGAGGAACTTCCTCAACCTGATAAAGGATATCTACAAAAACCCTACAGCTAACATCATATTTAATGGTGAGAAACTTGAAAGTTTCCCTCTCAGATCAGGAACAAAGCAAGGATACTCCCTCTTACCAGTCCTTTTCAACATTGTTCTTGAAGTCCTAGCTAATGCTACACAACAAAAGGAAATAAAAGGTATACAGACTGGGAAAAAAGAAATGAAACTGTCTTTGTTCACAGATGACATGATCATGTATGTAGAAAATCTGAGGCCAGGCGCAGTGGCTCAAGCCTGTAATCCCAGCACTTTGGGAGGCTGAGGCGGGTGGATCACAAGGTCAGGAGATCAAGACTATCCTGGCTAACATGGTGAAACCTCATCTCTACTAAAAATACAAAAAAATTAGCTGGGTGTGGTGGTGGGTGCCTGTAGTCCCAGCTACTCAGGAGGCTGAGGCAGGAGAATGGTGTGAACCCGGGAGGCAGAGCTTGCAGTGAGCCAAGATTGCACCACTGCACTCCAGCCTGGGCGACAGAGTGAGACTCCATCTCAAAAAAAAAAAAAAAAAAAATCTGAAACGATTGACAAAAAAACCCTTCTGGAACTAATAAGAGATTATAGAAAGGTTGTAAGAGAAGACTAATATATACAATTCTATTGCTTTTCTATATACCAGCAATGAACAAGTAGAATTTAAAATTAAAAATGTAATACCATTTACTTTAGCACCCCCCAAAAATGAAATACTTAGGTATAAATCTAGCAAAATACATACAATATCTACATGAGAAAAACTACAAAACACTGAAGAAAAAAAATCAAAGAATAACTAAATAAATGAAGAGATAGTCCATGTTTGTGGATAGCAAGGCTCAATATTCTCAAGACCTTAGTTCTTCCCAACCTGATCTATAGGCTCAGCGTAATCCCTAGTAAAATCCCAACACATTATTTTGTGACTATGAACAAACTAATTTTAAAGTTTATATGGAGAGGCAAAAAAAAAAAAAAGAAAAGAAAAACCAAGGTAGCCAAAACAATATTGAAGGAGAAGAACAAAGTCAGAAGACTGATAGTATCTAACTTCAAGACTTACTATAAAGCTATAGTAATCAAGACAGTGTGGTATTTGTAAAGGAAAGGACAACTAGATCAATGGAAGGAATAGAAAACCCATAAATAGACCCACATAAATATAGCCAACTAATCTTTGATAAAACAGCAAAGGCAATAAAATGAAGCAAAGATTGTCTTCTCAAAGAATGGTTCTGGAACAAATGGACATCCACACACAAATCACTGGATCTATACCCTTCACAAAAATTAACTCAAAATGAATCACAGGCTTAAATTTAAAATGCAGAATTATAACACTCCTTGAAAATAACATAGAAGAAAATCTAGATCGCCTTGGGTTTGGCAATGACTTTTTGACTACACTACCCGAGGCACAATCCAAAACAGAATTGATAAGCTATACTTCATTCAAACTAATTTCTGCTCTGCAAATGCCACTGTCAAGTGAATGAAAAGACAAGCTACAGAATGGGAGAAAATATTTTCAAAACGCATATCTGATAAGGAACTGTTATCCAAATACATAAAAATACTTAAAGCTCAACAATAAGAAAATAAACAACTTGATTTAAAATGAGCCAAAGACCTTAACAGGTATCTCAAAAAAGGAAATAGATGGTGAATGCATCGGGGAAATGCAGATTGAAACAAGATATTGATACACACCTACTGGAATGGCCAAAATCTAAAACACTGACAATAATAAACGCTGGTGAGGATGTAAAGCATTCATTGTTAGTGGGAATGCAAAATGGTACAGCCACTTTGGAAGACAGTCTAGCAGTTTCTTATGAAACTAAACATACTCATATCTCATGAAATAAATATGAGAGGCATTATTATTTAAGAATAATAAAGCAAACAATTATAATTCAATATTTTTAACTTTTTCCTAAAAATAACAAATAGTTCATTGTAGATGTTTACATTTGTCCCAAAAATGACATTTCAAGAAATCAGCTATCAGAATGATTGTTTCACAGTAGACTTCTTTGTTATATTGCAACAATTGACGGCTGAGGCTGTACATCCTTCTTCAGCTTCAGATTGAATATACTAAGCAAAAGACTAGAGGGATGAAGTATAAAAAACAGTACTCTTCTAAGAAAGCTAGATTATCTTCTCTTGATTCTTTAATTTTCATTGACTGTCTTCCTGTGTCGTACCTTAACACTGATAACCTCATCTTAGCCGGACTGAAAACAAGTGACCTATTAAAACTTCCTAATAAAAAATAACATTCAACAAAAGTTAATTCTACCCCCAAATACATTTTTTTAGAACTCAGAGCAACTTGGGTTTAAATCCAAGCTTCACAACTTATCAGCTGTGTGATATTAAGCAGAGTTGTGGGCTTTGGTCATTCCTCATGTGTAGAAACAGAGATGATGTTACTTGGCATTATGGGATGAATTGTATCTCCACTTCAAAAAAGTTGTACGTTGAGGTCCTAACCCCCAGGGCCTTAGAATATGACTGTGTTTTGAGACAATGCCTTTAAAGAGGTAATTTAGGTATAATGAGGTCATATTGGTGGACCCTAATCCAATTGGACTGCCACTCTTACAAGAAGAGGAGCTTTGGACACAGACAGGTACAGAGGGAAAACTATGTCAGAACACAGGAAGAAGGCACCATCTATAAGCTAAGGAAAGAGGCCTCAGAAGAAATCAACCCAAAATAAATCAACTTGACCTCAAACTTCTAGCCTCTAGAATTGTGAGAAAAACAATTTCTGTTGTTTAAGCCACCCAGTTTGTGGTACTTTGTTATGGCAGCCCTAGCAAACTAATGCACTTGGCAAAGTTGTTTTGTTTTGTTTTTAGTCTAGAAGAGAGTTTTTGTGGAGGTATCTGTATTTAATTCCTGTGAGTGTTGTAACAAATTTCCATGAACTGAGTGGCTTAGAACCGCAGGAATTAATTCTCTCAGTTCTGGAGAGCAGAAACTGAAATCAGTTTTTCTGGGATAAAATCAAAGTGTTGCCAGGGCAGCTTCTGGTGCTAATGGTGACATACTCCAAACTACCTCTGTGGTTATAGTGCCTTTTCTCTTCTGTCTGTGTCAAATCTTCCTTCACCTCTCTCTCTCTCTCTCTCTCTCTCTCTCTCTCTCTCTCTCTATATATATATATATATATATATATATATATATTCTTTTTTGAAGACAGCGTGTGACTCTGTTGCCCAGGTTCACGTTCAGCAGTGCAATCACAGCCCACTGCAGCTTCAGCCTCCCGGACTCAAGTGATCCTCCTGTTTCATTTTGCCTCTCTCTTGTAGTGACACCTGTGACTGCATGGAGGGTCCACCAGGTTAATCCAGGATAATCTCCCCCATCTCAAATTCTTTGCTTAATTCCTTTTATAAGAGTCATTTTTCCATATAAGATAACATGTACAGGGAGGGATTAAGACCTGGTATTTTGGGGGTCATTAATCAGTCTACTACAGTGTGATAGAGGGATGAATTTGGATACTCATCTAATGAATGCAAGTTGCCTTCCTGTGAACCTTGAGTTGGTAATGTTCATGAACAAGATGTTTAGTGCACCTGTTCTTTCTGAGATCAGAGAGTGACGAAGAGTAGAAAAGTGAAACTAAAAATACTGAAACAGTTAAAAAATAGCAGAGAATATTTCCCCTATAGTGACCTCAAATTTGAGCTTTAACTTCCCATTTAAAAGTTTTAGATTTTATATGCTGGAACTGAAGTGTTTTTAATATAAATAATAGAATACAGATCTGGCCAATCTGTTGGCAACCTTGAAGTGTGTTGACAAATCTTTATATTCACTGTAAGATTTTTGCATACCAGAAATGTTGCCCCTGTCCCCTCTCTGTCTACCTTCCCCCATCAATCAGCACAGGCAAAGGCCAGAAGTGACAAGTGATTGTGTACTAGACAAGCTAATGTTTGTGTGGAGAAAACACTTTTGTTCCCTGAATCTCTGGTGGCAAAGGACCCAGAACTCAAGAAGCAAATCTTCCAGTCTCCTTTAAGCCTTCTCTTCCATAAGTGGCCTCCTCCCTGGAATTGGAAACCACTGTCAAGTATCTACGTCCCTGTTGGCCCAGCGTGAGACTTCTACACCTTTGGCTCTTTGAATGCCACCTGACATGAACCCTCTGGCCACTTGCAAAAGGAGGTCAGAGGTTGCTGCCACTCATGCTGCTAATAATGTCTGATAATGATAAAACCACGTCCTGTTTGTCTTGTATTTTATCATAAAGAGCACTTTGATGTGCAGATTCTCTTTCCAAGGTGTTAGGAAAACAAAAGTAGATAAGACACATTTTCAACCCTTAATGATCATTTCAATCCAGTTAATTATAACTCGTTTAATCCCAGAAATGTAGAAAGGAGGATAAGAGAGTTATTATTATCCCCATTTTCCAAATGAGGAAGCTGGGTGTTAAAAAATAATTTTCAGAAAAAGGTTAAAGTGTGACTTTCATACAGATATAAAAATGAATAGACGTTAAAGATTTTGTTTAACACATTCAATGAGGGAAGCAGACAGATGTTACAACCATTTCAAAAAAGAAGTCAAGAAGCACAAATTTATATGGCATAAAAGAATATTGAAATTAATGGCAAATGAAAGCAACTGTTTTTCCCCCTTGGGGATAAAGGTGAGGAAGAGGGAAGTCAATAGAGCTTGTGGTGCACAGGACAGAATTTGTGTGACTACCAGGTAAGTTTAACAAAGAGTTGTAAAATAGCTCCATGGAATCAGATCACCAGAGGAAGGATGCATAAATGCATAGATTTCCAAATAGGGCCTGGATGTGAATCTCAGACTTTCTGACACCAAATTCAGGTTTGTTTCACTCTACCACATTGTCCTAGCTTCTGCAAAAGGTGCTCTTTTGTCACCTTAAGTCAAAGAAAGTTACCAAAAAAGAAAAAAAATAGGAAATGAAAGCATAAAAGGTAAACTGGTCAGAGGTTTCCTGCTATTCTGCTTTGTTTAGAAATTCTCACTGAGGCAGCCAGTAAGCCAAGATGCAGCTGAACCCAACTCTTGGAGAGATTGCCCGGGCCTCTGCCCATACTGAGGCACAGCTCCTGAAATGAAGCCCGCTTCAGAACTTACTCAAATGCATGTTGCTTCTTATTGCAGCTGGACTAGTAGCTTGAACTGTGATGGAAATTAAACGTCTGCTTCTAAATCCTGACAGGAATCTCCTAAACAGGGTCAAAGGCCACCTGTCTTAGTCAGCTCAGGCTGCCATAACAAAATACCATAGACTCAGTGGAAACAATAGATTTTATTCGTTCATTCATTTATTCATCCATTTTCACACAGTTCTGGAGGCTGGCAGTCCAAGATCAGGATGTCACATGGTTGGGTTCTGGTGAGAACTCTTTTTAGCAACCATCTTTTCATCTACTTCTATGTCCTCACATGGGAAAGAGAAAGTGAAAGCTCTCTGGTATCTCTTTATAATGGCACTAATCTCACCATGAGGGCTCCACCTTCATAATCTCATCTAAATCTAATATCTCCCAAAGGCCCCATCTCTAAACGTCATAACATTAGGGGTTAGGACTTCAATAGTTGAATTTGCATGGGGAAATAATTCCATCTATAGCAATGCCAATATGTGAACTAACTAACAGGCTTAAGCCAGGTACCTGAGATGGTCACAATTATGGGCAAGAAGATGTTCAATCCAAATAATGAAATTATAGCAGTTTACAAAAATGTTACAATTTATGTTTCTGAATGTTCCATACTAGAAATAAATAGAAAGGCACCACGGTCTCAAAGTGTGTGTGTGTGTGTGTGTGTGTGTGTGTGTGTGAGTGTGTGTGTTTATAAATTTTATTTGATAGTTTCAAATTACTAGGCTGAAGAAAGAAGAACATTAGCAAAAAATGATAGTGGCATTAATACATTTGCTCACTACTAATGACCTAAAACGTGGCAATTCAAAAGGAACAAATAATTATTTCAGTGTAGACTGTCACAGAATCTAGGGCATCATCAAACTTTGATCCCTTTGGGCTTTTTACTTGGAAAGAATGCAGTTTCTCTTTTTTTTTAACCTTAGCTTTATTCTCCAAACATTTTAAAATTTAATTCATGGGCTATTATTTTGTTCATAAGCTAAGTGGCTTACCCAAAAAAAAAAAAAAAAAAATTTCTTTCTTTGTACCAGATTGCTAAATACAGCCTCTTTCCAAGAGGCTTTATTGTTTTGTTGTTGCTGTTTTTATTTTTTATTTTTTAATTTTTAATTTTTTATTTCCACAGGTTTTTTGAGGAACAGGCGTTATTTTGTTTTCATGACATCACCCCATTCTCCCACCCCTGGTCCCTGACAACTGCCATTCTACAGTTGAGAGATTTGGTGATTTGTGAGTTGTTTTTTATTTACTTTAAAAATTTTTTGATTTGTTTTTTATCATCTTTTTCAATTTAGAGATGTTTTGCACAAGTAAAAATTATGGGGCTTATTCAGTAATACATGTCTGTAAGGAATAAACATTAAGAAACCCAAATTAGGGTCTAAATTAAGGAATTGTGAAACATGAAGAATAAAGAAATGAGGAAGTGAGAATATAGATGATAGACCTAAGAGATTTGTCTTAAGTTATGGTCATACGACAAGGAGAGGGGAAGTGATCTAATTTGTCAACAAGATGAAATAATAAAGCACTCACATAAAGAAATGTAAGTTTATATATGATGGTTTGCTTTGCAGGTTTCCTGGGACCACAGCACAAGCCAGACACTCACATGATGCAAATTACTTATGTGGATAAATAATAGATATGCACATATCACAAGATATTTTAACAAAATCTATTTAGCAACAATTTGCTAGTAATACACTATGAATAATCATAATTCTTCATTGACTTATATCCTACCGAGTCTCAGTCCTGCTTTCTGACAGCCAGCTCCTTAATGAATTACTAAGGACAGTAGGAAGCAGCCGCCAGAAGATGCTGCTTGTGAAATTTACCCTCTCGAAAACACTTTGATCATGTCTCTTCCCTAATTACAAACCTTTACTGGCCCCTCTTTGACATTGACCACGTCCTGAACTCCTAAAGAGGCAAAAATTTGTCCTTTATTAACTAGCCCAGTCCATCTCAGACACTCTCCCCTAAAAACTCTGGTCACATTAAGCTCACTGTCCTCTCAACTTCTGTGCACCTTTGCATAAGCTGTTCTTTTTACTCAGAATGCTCTCCTTCCTCTTTGTCTTAATAACATGGGCTATTGCAAAATGACAAATTACCACTGTCAATCTTATCCAGATCACTTAAAATAGTTGTTTGTTGAAGGAGCTATGCAACTTAAACTCAGGAAATACATTGCAATATATCTGCATTTATCCATCCATTCCTTTGGAAACCTGATCTTATTTATGTCTACCCTTTTGCAAGCAGGCTTGGTTAAGTTCAACATGTTATTCTAAAGATTTTTTGTCCTTGATTAGCTTAAATCAAATCATTGGCAATCACGTCTCTCATTTTCAAGTCTCACCACAAGTATCATCTAGTCTCCTTTACTAGTAATTCCATAGATCTTCATTCATACTTGGGGTACAGCACTTCCAATGAGATATATAATTGATCTTTTTGCATAGCTGCCTCTTTCAGGCTGGATAGATTCCTGTATTCACCTTTGTATCCTCAGCTCTAGCACAGGGTCTCATACATAATTGTTGTTCAATACATGATATCCTTAGATTCAAACTCCTGTCCAGTGACATTGGACACTACACAATTTGCTCTTAATCATTCATTTAATCTTTCAACTAAAATAAACTGAGCATATACTATGTGTCAGACATTGGGAATACAAAGACTAATAATACATCGTGCCTACCTAGTTCTAAAATCCAGAAAAAAGAAGTAACCTTATACCTTGCATGTGAGAGGGTTTTCTAAGACACTTATGAGAATTTGATTTAAAAAATAGGAAAATAAGGATTATACCCCTTTATTAGTATTACACAGGAAACTGCACTTCACAGACATGAAAATACTGTTTCAAAGATAAATACAGTACCTCACACATTCAGAACAGTTTGACAGCTGAAACACAGAAGAAATTGTTCAACATCTACTATGTAACTGCCAAGCTCTGTGCAAAATGCTGTGAACGTAAAAACAAGACACAATATTTGCCATTATGTAAACTTGCTATGTTTGGGGAAAAGTATACTCCCATGAAACTGTTACCAAAATCAATGCTATAAACTTAACCAACACCTCCAAAAGTTTCTTCCTCCTCCATTTTTGTTGTTTTGTTTTTTCTTTTTGTTTTTTGTTGTTGTTGTTTTTGTTTTTTTGTTTTGTTTTGTTTTGTTTTGTTGAGACGGAGTCTCGGCTCACTGCAAGCTCCGCCTCCCGGGTTCACGCCATTCTCCTGCCTCAGCCTCCCGAGTAGCTGGGACTACAGGCACCCGCCACCGCGCCCGGCTAATTTTTTTTTTTGTATTTTTAGTAGAAACGGGGTTTCACCATGGTCTCAATCTCCTGACCTCGTGATCCGCCTGCCTCGGCCTCCCAAAGTGCTGAGATTACAGGCGTGAGCCACCGTGCCCGGCCTTCTTTTTGGTAAGAGCATTTAACACAAGCTCTACCATCTTAGCAAATTTTAAAATATACAATACAGTATTGTTATTCATAGGCCCCATTTTTGTACAGTAGATCTCCAAAATCTACTCATCCTACATAAATGAAACTTTGCAACCTTTGACCAACATCACCCCATTCTCCCACCCCTGGTCCCTGACAACTGCCATTCTACTCTCTGCTGCTATTTGTATGACTATTTTAGATTTTACATATCAGTGAGATCATGCTGTGTTTGTCTTTCTGCGTCTGGCTTATTTCACTTAATATACTGTCTTCCAGGTTCATCCATATTATCACAGATAGGAGAATTTCCTCCTTTTTATGGGCTGAATAATATCCCACTGTGTGTATGTGTGTGTGTCTACATTTACATCTATATCCATGTATGTGGGTGTGTATATGTATACATACATGTATATAATGTTTTCTTTGTCGATTCATTTGTCAATGAACACAGGTTGTTTCCATATCTTGGCTACTGTGAATAATGCTGCAACGAATATGGGAGGATGGATATCTCTTCAAGATACTGATTTAATTTACTTTGGATATATACCCAGAAGTGGGATTGCTGGATCAAATGGCAATTCTATTTTTAATTTTTTGATAAATCTCCATATTGTTTTCCATAGTGGCTGTACCAATTTACATTCCCACCAACAGTGTACAGAATTCCTTTTCTCTACATTCTCACCAACACTTGTTCTCCTTTTTTTTTTTTGATAATAGCCAGTCTAGCATGTATGAGGTGATATCTCACTGTAGTTTTCGTTTACATTTCACTAATGACTAGTAATGTTGTACACATTTTCATATACCTATTGGTCATTTTGTATGTCTTCTTTAGATAAATGTTGGTTCAGGTCCTTTGCCCATTTTTAAATCAAATTATTTGTTGTTGTTTTCTATTGAGTTGTAGGTATTAAAGTCTACAAACATTTTCCCCCATTCCCTAGGTTGCCTTTTCATTTTGTTAATTGTTTTCTTTACTGTGCAAAGGCTTTACATTTTATGTAATCCTACTTGTTTATTTTTTGTTTTTTACCTGTGTTTTTGGTGTGATATCCCAGAAATCATTGCCCAGTCCAATGTCTGCAAACTTTTTCCTCTATTTAAAGACTTTTATTGTTTCCAGTTCTACATGTAAGTATTTAATCCATTTCGAGTTAATTTTTGTATATAGGGCCCACTTTCATGCTTTACATGTGGATATTCAATTTTCCCGACACCATTTACTGAATAGATTATCTTTTCCTCATTGTATATTCTTGGCATCCTTGTCAAAGATCAGTTGGCAATATATGTGTGGGTTTATTTCTGGGCTCTCTATTCTGTTTCATTGTCCCATATATCTGTTTTTATTCCAGTACCATACTGTTTTGATTACTGTAGCTTTATAATATGTTTTGATGTAATAGAATGTGATACCTCTGGTTTTGTTCTTAGTGCTCAAAATTTCTTTGGCTATTTGGAGTCTTTTGTAGTTTCAAGTAAATTTTAGGATTCTTTTTTCTATTTCTGGAAAACTGCCAGTGGGATTTTGATAAAGATTGCATTGAATCTGTAGATTGTTTGGGGAAGTATGGACATTTTAACAATATCAGTTCTTCAAATCCATGAACACAGAATGTCCTTCTATTTATTTGTATCTTTTAAATTTTATTTCATCAATGTTTTGTAGTTTTCAATGTACAAGTCTTTCACTTACTTGGTTGAGTTTATTTCTAAGTACTTTATTCTTTTAGATGCTATTATAAATATTTTTTAAATTTTCTTTATGGATAGGTTGTTTAGTGTGTAGAAACACAACAAATTTTTGCATATTAATTTTGTGTTCTGTAATGTAACTTTACTGAGTTCACTTATTAGTTCTAACAGTTTTTTTGTGGCACCTTTAGGATTTTCTACATGTAAGGTCATGTTATGTGCATGATATAAGATAGTTTTACTTTTCCTTTCTGGATTGCTTTTGCTAGGACTTTCAATACTATATTGAATAGATGTGGTGAGAGAGGACATCCTTGCCTTTTTCCAGGTCTTAGAGAAAAAACTTTCAGGTTTTCACCATTGAGTATGATAGTTGTAAGAAATACACTTTTAATTCATTAACTATAAATGCCTGTTTCAAAATGATGTTAGCAGTATAGGCAATTATATTCATATAAAATTCAAATTTAGATTATAAAAAGCTAATTGTTGTCTAGAGACTAATATAGGTTAAACAAAAACCCACCTTAGACACCATTAATGTATCTGTAAAACATACTCACATTTGCCACTCAGAAAGAACAGAGAGAGAATTCAATTTAAGTCCCAAAGCACTTTCTCCTCTTCTTGCCATTCCAACACATTCTGCTACTCTTTTTCATTATGGTATCTACAGCCCACAAAGCTGCTTGGGTATTGTTACAACAGCTTCACAACTTTTTACATTGGTTTGGAATCAGAAACAACATAATTTAGAAGCAAATTCAGTAAATTTTCACTATCATTTACTCATTCTAACTGAAGTCTTGCTGCTGCTTGATCTGTGACTTTTACAATGGTTGCTGTTTTATTTCTTTGTTTTGGCATTACAAATTTATTTCATTATTTGAAATTGATGCATTCTAACATTACCTTTTGTAAAGCAGACAATTTTATTTCTGATTTGCTGTCAATATCTCCACTCATCGATTTGTCTACATGGATAAGTTATTCTGAACATAATAATGATGTATAGTTCAATGTGCAATTGAACTATAAAATCTTTAATTGATGCCTAGTGCCATACTAAATAAAAATCAATGATTTATCAATCATTTGAACATTTGAACAGTTTAACACTTTCTAAAATAAATACAGATCAATTAGAGACATGTAACAACTAAACTTCCAGAGAAAATTACAATTAATATCACAGGTTAATTGGGTGAGATTGCATTGTTAGCATTCTACTCAATTTAAAATTGGGATTCATTTCTTCAAAATTGGTTAGACATACATTTTGTTTTTATCTGATCATCTATAAGTACATGTACATACAAAGATCTCCCAAGGAAAAGTTTTGGGTTGTTTTGCATGCATTGTATTTTTTATACTATCTAGAATACTTAGTCCATAATAATTAAAAGTATATTTGTTAATATCAAACTATCATTTTAATATGGTATGAATTACATAAAAATACAGACTAATGAGAAAAGCAAAGTCAAGATCAACCACAAGTAAGTCCATTTCTATCCGCCCAGTCATGAAGAGCCGTGAAATCTAAAGTACCATATCACTCCAGTTCTCTATGCCTGTTGAAAGTATGCCAGATTATTCTTTCATCCGGCATTAGCATTTTGAGCCTTTAAGGTTTCTGTAGTTCTGTGACACATTTATTGAATATTGAAGAGGAAGAAAGGCTCAGCAGAAAACCATCGTTGTTTTAAGTTTTACTGAGGTATGATTCACATTTCATCAACAGCACATATTTAAAATGTTAAATTTGATAAGTTTTGACATCCATGAAACCATCACCACAGTCAAGATAGTGAACATATTCATTACCCCAAAAAGTTTCCTCATGCTTCTTTGTAATCCCTCTCTCCCTTGTTTTCCTCTACTCATTCCCCTCTTCCCAACCAGATCTGCTTTTTATCACTGGAGATTATTTTACATTTTCTAGAAGTCTATATAAATGGAATCAAACAACATGCACTTTTTTTGGTATGGCTTTTTTCAGTAAGTATATTTATTTTAAGATTCATCCAAATTGTTTCATATATAAATCTTTTTTAAAAATTATATTGCTAAGTAACTTTCCATTTATGGCCACACCACAATATATTTATTCATTCATCTGTTGATGTTTATGTTCTTTTCAGTTTCTGACTATTACAAATAAAATGGCTATGAGCATACATGAATAAGTCTTTGTGTAAACATAAGCTTTTGCCCCCTTAGGTAAATTCATAGGAGTAGAATGACTGGATTATATGGTAGGTGTGGTGACCTTTTTAAGAAATTGCTAAACTGTTTTCCAAACTCCATACCGTTTTAAATTTCCACACACAAAAAAGTATGAATGTTCCCATTTCTTCACATCCTCACCAACTCTTAGTATAGTCATTCCTTAATTTTAGACATTCTACTAGGGCTATAGTGGTATCACATTGTGGTTTTGATTTGCATTTCCCTATAACTAATGATATTGTATGTCATATCATATGCTTCTTTGCCATCCATGTATCTTTGGTGGAAGGTCTGTGCAAATATTGTAAACACGTTTTAATTGTGTTGATTGATTTCTTATGGTTGAGTAAAAGTGCACTTCTTGCAAGCAAAATATAGTCTTATTTTTTTATTTCTACTCTGACAATCTCTGCCTTTTATTTGGGGCAGTTACAATATTTACATTTAATGTGATAGTTGATATTGTAAGGCCTAGGTCTATCACCTTGCTGTTTGTTTTTGCTCTGTCCCATGAGTCGTTTGTTCCCCCTTTTCTCTTTTCCAGTCTTCTTTTGTATTAATTATATTTTTAAAATTCTTTGTTTATTAGATGTAGTTATTTTGATGTGGTTTGTGTCATTGTTATTATTGCTCCTGTTTTAGTGGTTGTTTACAGCATATTACTAGCTTACCATTGTCTATCTTCAAGCAATATTATACCACTTCATGTACAGTACAAGAGACTTACACTAGTACATTTCATTTTTCTCCTCCTAGTCTTCATGTTATTGTTGATATACATTTTATTTACTTTTTATAAATTTCAGAATGCATTGTAATTTGTTTTAATAGTCATTTATCTTTTTAGAAGATATAACTATAAAGGAAAAAATGTTAGGTATTTACTCTTAGGGTTATCGTTTGTGGTGCTTACCATTCCTTTGTGTAGATCCATAATACCATGTGATACCATTTGTCTGATTGAAGGACATATTTTAACATTTCTTGTAGTGATGATCTGCTAGCTCTAAGTTCTTCCAATTTCACTTTTTAAAAAATGAGCTATTTTACTAGGTCTAGCAGTTTAAAGGTGTTTTTCCTTTCAGCACTTTAAGGATGTTTCTCTCTTGTCTGCTCACTTACATTATTCCTATTGAGAAATCTGTTATACATATCTTTATTCCTGTATGGATAGTGTTTCTTTTTCCTTGAGCTGCTCTTAAGATTTTCTCTTTATCACTGGTCTTGAACAATTTGTTTATTGTGTCTTGGTGTTGTTTCTTCATTTTTTTTGTATTCATAGATTTTAGTTGTCTCAAATTTGGAAATATTTTGGCCATTATTTTTCTATCCATTCCCCCTATCACTTGGCACTCAGGGACTCCAACTACATCTATACTGGGCCACTTGAAGTTCTTTCACAGCTCTCAGATGCTCTGTTAAGATTTTTAAAATTTGTTTTAGTCTCTATGATTCATTTCTGATAGTTTCTATTGCTGTGTCTTTAAATTCACTAATCTATGGCCGGGCGCGGTGGCTCATGCCTGTAATCCCAGCACTTTGGGAGGCCGAGGCGGGTGGATCACGAGGTCAGGAGATCGAGACCATCCTGGCTAACACGATGAAACCCCATCTCTACTAAAAATACAAAAAAAAAAGTTAGCTGGGCGCGGTGGCGTGCGCCTGTAGTCCCAGCTACTCCAGAGGCTGAGGCATGAGAATGGCGTGAACCCGGGAGGCAGAGCTTGCAGTGAGCCGAGATCACGCCACTGCACTCCAGCCTGGGTGACAGAGCAAGACTCCGTCTCAAAATAAATAAATAAACTCACTAATCTTTTCTTCTGCAATGTCTACCATATCATTAATCCTATCTAGTGTGTTTTTTAATTTCACTAATTGTAGTTTTTATTCCTAAAATTTTAATTTGAATATTTTGATAAGTACTATGTCTCTACTTAATTTTGAAGGACATGGAGTATAACACCTTTTAAATATCTTTGTCTGTTATTTCTAACGTGTGAGTTCTGTGTCAGTTTTAATTGATTGATTATTCTACTTATTAAGGGTCATGTTTTCTTGCTTCTTTGCATGCCAGAATATCTTTTTTTTTTTATTATACTTTAAGTTTTAGGGTACATGTGCACATTGTGCAGGTTAATTACATATGTATACATGTGCCATGCTGGTGCACTGCACCCACTAACTCGTCATCTAGCATTAGGTATATCTCCCAATGCTATCTCTCCCTGCTCCCCTCACCACACAACAGTCCCCAGAGTGTGATATTCCTCTTCCTGTGTCCATGTGATCTCATTGTTCAATTCCCACCTATGAGTGAGAATATGCGGTGTTTGGTTTTTTGTTCTTGCGATAGTTTACTGAGAATGATGGTTTCCAATTTCATCCACGTCCCTACAAAGGACATGAACTCATCATTTTCTGTGGCTGCATAGTATTCCATGGTGTATATGTGCCACATTTTCTTAATCCAGTCTATCATTGTTGGACATTTGGGTTGGTTCCAAGTCTTTGCTATTGTGAATAATGCCGCAATAAACATACGTGTGCATGTGTCTTTATAGCAGCATGATTTATAGTCCTTTGGGTATATACCCAGTAATGGGATGGCTGGGTCAAATGGTATTTCCAGTTCTAGATCCGTGAGGAATCGCCACACTGACTTCCACAAGGGTTGAACTAGTTTACAGTCCCACCAACAGTGTAAAAGTGTTCCTATTTCTCCACATCCTCTCCAGCACCTGTTGTTTCCCGACTTTTTAATGATTGCCATTCTAACTGGTGTGAGATGGTATCTCATTGTGGTTTCGATTTGCATTTCTCTGATGGCCAGTGATGGTGAGCATTTTTTCATGTGTTTTTTGGCTGCATAAATGTCTTCTTTTGAGAAGTGTCTGTTCATGTCCTTTGCCCACTTTTTGATGGGGTTGTTTGTTTTTTTCTTGTCAATTTGTTTGAGTTCATTGTAGATTCTGGATATTAGCCCTTTGTCAGATGAGTAGGTTGTGAAAATTTTCTCCCATTTTGTAGGTTGCCTGTTCACTCTGATGGTAGTTTCTTTTGCTGTGCAGAAGCTCTTTAGTTTAATTAGATCCCATTTGTCAATTTTGGCTTTTGTTGCCATTGCTTTTGGTGTTTTAGACATGAAGTCCTTGCTCATGCCTATGTCCTGAATGGTAATGCCTAGGTTTTCTTCTAGGGTTTTTATGGTTTTAGGTCTAACGTTTAAGTCTTTAATCCATCTTGAATTGATTTTTGTATAAGGTGTAAGGAAGGGATCCAGTTTCAGCTTTCTACATATGGCTAGCCAGTTTTCCCAGCACCATTTATTAAATAGGGAATCCTTTCCCCATTGCTTGTTTTTCTCAGGTTTGTCAAAGATCAGATAGTTGTAGATATGCGGCATTATTTCTGAGGGCTCTGTTCTGTTCCATTGATCTATATCTCTGTTTTGGTACCAGTACCATGCTGTTTTGGTTACTGTAGCCTTGTAGTGTAGTTTGAGGTCACGTAGTGTGATGCCTCCAGCTTTGTTCCTTTGGCTTAGGATTGACTTGGCGATGCGGGCTCTTTTTTGGTTCCATATGAACTTTAAAGTAGTTTTTTCCAATTCTGTGAAGAAAGGCATTGGTAGCTTGATGGGGATGGCATTGAATCTGTAAATTACCTTGGGCAGTATGGCCATTTTCACGATATTGATTCTTCCTACCCATGAGCATGGAATGTTCTTCCATTTGTTTGTATCCTCTTTTATTTCCTTGAGCAGTGGTTTGTAGTTCTCCTTGAAGAGGTCCTTCACATCCCTTGTAAGTTGGATTCCTAGGTATTTTATTCTCTTTGAAGCCAAGATTCATAAAGCAAGTCCTAAGTGACCTACAAAGAGACTTAGACTCCCACACATTAATAATGGGAGACTTTAACACCCCACTGTCAACATTAGACAGATCAATGAGACAGAAAGTCAACAAGGATACCCAGGAATTGAACTCAGCTCTGAACCAAGCAGACCTAATAGACATCTACAGAACTCTCCACCCCAAATCAACAGAATATACATTTTTTTCAGCACCACACCACACCTATTCCAAAATTGACCACATACTTGGAAGTAAAGCTCTCCTCAGCAAATGTAAAAGAACAGAAATTATAACAAACTATCTCTCAGACCACAGTGCAATCAAACTAGAACTCAGGATTAAGAATCTCACTCAAAACCTCTCAACTACATGGAAACTGAACAACCTGCTCCTGAATGACTACTGGGTACATAACGAAATGAAGGCAGAAATAAAGATGTTCTTTGAAACCAACGAGAACAAAGACACAACATACCAGAATCTCTGGGACACATTCAAAGCAGTGTGTAGAGGGAAATTTATAGCACTAAATGCTCACAAGAGAAAGCAGGAAAGATCCAAAATTGACACCCTAACATCACAATTAAAAGAACTAGAAAAGCAAGAGCAAATACATTCAAAAGCTAGCAGAAGGCAAGAAATAACTAAAATCAGAGCAGAACTGAAGGAAATAGAGACAGAAAAAACCCTTCAAAAAATTAATGAATCCAGGAGCTGGTTTTTTGAAAGGATCAACAAAATTGATAGACCGCTAGCAAGACTAATAAAGAAAAAAAGAGAGAAGAATGTAATAGACACAATAAAAAGTGATAAAGGGGATATCACCACCGATCCCACAGAAATACAAACTACCATCAGAGAATACTACAAACACCTCTACGCAAATAAACTAGAAAATCTAGAAGAAATGGATAAATTCCTAGACACATACACTCTCCCAAGACTAAACCAGGAAGAATCTCTGAATAGACCAATAACAGGATCTGAAATTGTGGCAATAATCAATAGCTTACCAACCAAAAAGAGTCCAGGACCAGATGGATTCACAGCTGAATTCTACCAGAGGTACAAGGAGGAGCTGGTACCATTCCTTCTGAAACTATTCCAATCAATAGAAAAAGAGGGAATCCTCCCTAACTCATTTTATGAGGCCAGCATCATTCTGATACCAAAGCCAGGCAGAGACACAACAAAAAAAGAGAATTTTAGACCAATATCCTTGATGAACATTGATGCAAAAATCCTCAATAAAATACTGGCAAAACGAATCCAGCAGCACATCAAAAAGCTTATCCACCATGATCAAGTGGGCTTCACCCCTGGGATGCAAGGCTGGTTCAATATACGCAAATCAATAAATGTAATCCAGCATATAAACAGAGCCAAAGACAAAAACCACATGATTATCTCAATAGATGCAGAAAAAGCCTTTGACAAAATTCAACAACCCTTCATGCTAAAAACTCTCAATAAATTAGGTATTGATGGGACGTATTTCAAAATAATAAGAGCTATCTATGACAAACCCACAGCCAATATCATACTGAATGGGCAAAAACTGGAAGCATTCCCTTTGAAAACTGGCACAAGACAGGGATGCCCTCTCTCACCACTCCTATTCAACAGAGTGTTGGAAGTTCTGGCCAGGGCAATTAGGCAGGAGAAGGAAATAAAGGGTATTCAATTAGGAAAAGAGGAAGTCAAATTGTCCCTGTTTGCAGACGACATGATTGTATATCTAGAAAACCCCATTGTCTCAGCCCAAAATCTCCTTAAGCTGATAAGCAACTTCAGCAAAGTCTCAGGATACAAAATCAATGTACAAAAATCACAAGCATTCTTATACACCAGCAACAGACAAACAGAGAGCCAAATCATGAGTGCATGCCGGAATATCTTTCACTGGAGGAAGACATTGTTTTACCTTTATGGGTGCTGGGCATTCTAATATTCCTATAAATACAATTGAGCATTGTTCTGAGATGCAGTTAAATTACATGAAAACAGTTTGATTTTGGGGAATCTTACTTTTATGATTTGATAGACATGTCAGAAGCAGTGCTAGGTAAAGGTCTAATTATTTCCCACTTACTGAGGCAAGACCTTCTTGAGTACTCTACACAGTGCCCCATGAATTATGAAAATTTCCACTTTGGCTGGTGAAAAAAAGAACAATTCTCAGCCGTTGTGAATGTCAGGCACTGTTCTTTCTGATTCGTTCAGGTAATGTTTTTCCTGGCCTCAGGTAGTTTTCTCACATGTGAGCACTGACTGGTACTCTGCTATAAGTCAGGGTTTGTTCGTTGCCTATTTCCTGGATTCCTTTTTGGTGCAACTCTCTTTTTGCAAACACTCTGTCTTCTGAACTCCAGCTACTTGGGCATCCTTGGACCCTTAGTTCCCTGTTCTCAACCTAGGGAATCTGCTGGAATCTACCAGTGATCCCCACCCCTGTGTCATGACCTGAAAATGCTCTTAAGGAAGTAATCTGGGGCAAACATAATGTTCATCTTGTTTGTTTTCTCTCTCTGTGGTATCACTCTCCTGCACTGCCTGATAGCCACTGTCCAGAAAACCATTGTTTCATATATTTTGCTGGATTTTTAAATTTGTTTCAAACAGCATGATAAATCCATTCTTGTTTTTCCACTTTTGCCAGAAAGCAGAAGTCACTGTCACAAAATTTTGCAGCCAAAAAAACAAAACAAAACAAAACCTTGTTTGTAGAAATCTTATTTATCCCTTTCTAGATTTTTAGAAATATTTTCTATTCAACATATTGCTTCAGTGTGAATGTTTGTATACTCCTCAAATCTATATGTTAGAATCCTTTCTCACAGTGATGGTATCAGGAGGAGGGCCTTGTGAGAATACTACTAATTGCCTTCTGGCAACACTGCCATTTGAAAGATAATAATAACAACAACAATAATAAATGGATATTGAATGCTTGCCATAATGAGATATAATCAGACTCATAAATCCAGCTCAGAGACTAGGCTATTTAGTGCCTACTTGACAAAAAGGGCTGATTAGTAATAATATTAGTTAATGCTAAAAACATATATTATCCACCAGACATTATTGTAATTCTTGACATATATTTACTAATATGATCTCTATAATTACTCTATGGGAATGTTGTGTTTCTATATTCATTTTATAGGTGGGGTAACCAAGGCATCAAGAAGTTAAGTTATTTCTCCAAGGTCTCTCACCTAGTAAATGACAGAACCAAATATGAGCCCAGCAGTATTATTCCAGAGTCCTCCTCTTATAATAATCTCTCTCAATTAGCCTTTAAATTTGTTTAAAAATGAAAATCAGCGATTATCACAGCTCTGTGCATGTAGGAGTTCAATTTTTCTCAGAAGATGCAAAGAAAATCTCTGAACTATTTTTGCAGCAGTACTCATATATGCGTGCAGGGAGAATACTGGGTATAGCCCAATATTCTGTCATTAAGTTCTCTTGCCAAAGTTCTTTAGTCTGTTTTAGGACAGAAATGATTGCAAAATGCTGAGTTGTGGATTGTCCATCTAGTGCTGTCTGATAAAATGTTCTGTGATGATCTAAATGTTTCTATCTGTAGCATCCAATAGCCAGTAGACATTCATGGGCATTGAACCCTTGAAATGTGAATAGTGTAACTGAGAAATGAAATTTTTAATTTAGTTTAGTTAAATTTAAATAAAACAGTCACAGGTGGCTAAAAGTTACTGTATTGAGCAGAGTAGATCTGTGATGGAGAAGTTTCCACTTGTCATCACAAAAGACAGCACAAAAAAGCTTTTGTAAGATACTAATTAAAACCTATGAGAACCAAAATAAAGCTCTTCCAGCCACTCTCTATGATTTCATTCCACCCACTCTTCCTCTTCCCTCTTCCCTGCCAGACAAAACACACACAAGATAAACACACGCATAACACACATAGACACAGACTCTCTGTCTGTCTCTCTCTCTCTCTGTGTCTCTCTCTCTGTGTGTCTCTCTCTGTCTCTCTCTCTCTCTCTCTCTCTCTCTCTCTCTCTCTCTGTCTGTCTCTCTATCACATCAGAAAAATAGTTATTTCCTGAGTAGTATGTCCTGGACTTCCGTGTTGACCAGGACTTGCTACTGTTGTTTTCTCTGCCTGAAATGCCCCTCCCCACTAGCCTTGCAAATGTCTCCTTCCTTCTCAAAATCTCATAGTTCCTTTCTTGGTCCCCTGAGTCCCCTTAACAGAATTGATTGTTCCTGTGTTCCTAGGTGTGATGGTTAACTGTATGCGTCAACTCACCTGTGCCATGGTGTGCTCAGAGTAAACATTATTTCTGGCTGCGTCCATTGGGGTATTTCCACATGAGATTAGCATTTCAATCAGTGGACTCAATAAATAAAGTAGATGGTTGTCACTGGTATAGGTTGGCACCATCCAACCTGTTGAAGGCCCAAATAGAACAATAACAAAAAAAAAAAAAAAAATGGAGGAAGGAGGAATTTTTCCCCTTTGCTTCCTGCCTGATTGCCTGAGCTGAGATATCAGTCTTCTCCTGCACTTGAACTGAAATTTACACCTTCCGCTCCCCTGGTTCTCGGGCCTTCAGAATTGGACTGGAATTATACCACTGGCTTTACTGGGTCTCCAGCTTGCAGATTATGAGACTTTTCAGCCTCCATAATTGTGGGATCCAATTCCTCATAATTTCTCTCTCTCTCTCTGGAGAACTCTGACTAATACACTAGCTATAAATGACCTCTGTGATTTAAAATTAATTTTTTATCAACTGAGGATGGATTGCTGGATTAGTAAAAAAAAAAAAAGAGAATGGGGACTAGAAGATCACAATCCAAACTGATTTCACAGAACTGCACAGGGCATGAAATGTCCCTGGTAGCACGTCAACCAATCATGTTTTGTAACAATCTTGGCTTTGCTCCAATTATTCAAAAGATGATTAGTACACATTACTTTTGACAGTTTTGCTATATTTCCTTCAGTTTAGCAATGAGAATTTGTGTTACAAATGCACCTCATTATCTTGCGTAAAACATAGAATTTCCAGTTTGGGGCTTTTTAGTAGAAAACAATGGCATGCAGGATACTGATATGACTCTTGTGAATGAGTTGACTTCAGGAGCCCAACTTTACTCTGATGCTATTTAATATGCCCAAGGTATCCCCATAGTTTGCAAGAATAAGGCAGACTACAAAAGAAATCTTTAAAGGTGCCTTCCAAGAAAAGTGTAAATATTAAATTTGAATATCTCTCACTACTAATGGGAAGTCAAGATGCACCCCTCAGATAAAAAGAACTTGCTATTCACCTGGAGTAGTGCAGTCAGTTGAGAGCCTCCTGCTCTAATGCCCTCAGAAGACTGGATAGCTCCCAGCCAATGCCTGGGTATGATGTACCAGGGCCTAGCCATCTGTCCCTTATGCAGAGCTCCTCCTCTGTCAATGTTTGCACCAGAGCTCTCTTGCTTCGCCGAGGTTTTGTCAGTACTATACTTATTGCCCTTTGAGGCTAGTCATATCCAATCCTCCTTCCTTCCTATTCTCCTTTCCACAGGGGTCAGACTTACATCACAGTCTGAGTCTTTCCCTGTCTATTCCTACTCCCTTTTCCCCTTTATCTTTCACTGGAATTACTCTTGATTAATTTCTTGCTCTTCTAATTACATTTTGGTGTCTGTTTCCCAGGAGACATAAACTGATAGAATTAGATCCAATTTTAGAAACAGGAATCAGGCCTATAGAAGCACAGGACTTGCCTCCATGGCCTCTCCATCTGCTTCTAGGTTGAATCAGGAAGAGGAACATATATTGTTTATTAGTTTTTATTCATTTTTTCTTTAAAAGTTGGTCTTTTGTGGAACTGTGTTCCAGAAACAGAAATAGGTTCAGCTACTGCCAAGAACTTTTTCCCCTATTTGATCCATAAAGTAAAAGAAGGTCACTGTAACTGGCAAAGTGAGATTATCTAGTTTTGCTATGCCAGTAAGAACGAATTAAGACAATTTTTTTCCAATAGGAACATACATCAATATAAACCCATATAAATGTGTATAATTTTTCTATTGCCTAGAAAAGATCTATAATTCTGTTTCTTAGAATATATGCTTCCCACTAGACCAAACACAAATTTGAAAAGAAAAAATATTCTGGAATTGTCTCTTTTTTGAAAAACATATGAAATATTTATGCTTAGGCCAATCATAAGAAAAACCCTAAATTCAAATGCAGAATTCTCTAAATTCTTTGGCTTATTGTAGACACAACTAGAACATCCTGATATTCAGAAGTTTGGCTTTGTAGAATGATGATACCTCAATTAAATCTAACCATCCTGTGGAAATTTAGATTATACTTGGTAGTAAATCATAATTCTGCGAAGACATTACAAAGCTTATAAAACTATACGATTTTTTTCACATATTAAAATAAGTAAGAAATCAATTTAAACTTATTTGAACTCCTTTTCTGAAAGGACCTTTAGAGGTTGTTTTTAAGCCACCACCAACACTGGCTTTATTGTTTTAAAGCTATTTATCAGCATTTAATGGAAAAAATGGAAAACAGAGTTACCTGTATTGCTTACAAATTACCTCTAAATTATTTAGTTTATTTTTAAAGGTAAAATCCCTCCTCAAATAACAAATATCCATCATATATGTCTTTATCACCCCTGAGAGGCTGTAAATAAATACTGGCAGATTATAAAGACTTGTTAATGAGGAATTACACACCAGTAACTCCAAGACAGACCTGGAGGACATAAAGTTCCACAACATGACCAGATCAAGTGGTGAAAGATCAAAAGCCAAAGTGAGGGGCTCGGGAGAGATCCCAGGACATCTGGGTGCTAAACCTGTCTCTGCCATCTTGGAGAAGTTCTTGAACTTTCCGGGCCATTTTCTCACTCAGACTGTGAGAGGACAGGTTTTGAGGATGTCTAAAGTTCATTCCTGAGTTAGCAAGGCTACTTCCCTTAGATAAGAAGAACCAGGGGTGAACCATAAATATTTCTCCAAGGTGTACAGTTGGAGCATAAAGAAAAACCTAAGCAGTCTTTCCCTCCATCTTCTCACAGAAGATTGATTTAGAAAAAATTAATCTTCAAGTACAAATGAAAAGATGTTTAACTAGTCATAAAACCTGCAAGTGTGATTAAATGGAAGCAAGCAGTTGAACACAAATTGGGATGCTTTGCACCCTTCTCAATCTTTAATCTGCCCTTTACACACCAGATTCAGGGCCTCCACCAGAGGGGTCATTAAAGACCTAGGGATTACAACAGAAGGTTTTTAGTAAGAAGGCTCTTAGTTTTTCCCTACAATATGCTTGCTGCACATGCTGGTCAAATAAATTCAGCCCATTTGTCTAAACAGAATATTTCTTGTACCTTTTTTTTTTTTTTTTTTTTTTGAGACAGAGTCTTGCTCTGTCGCCCAGGCTGGGATGCAGTGGCATGATGTCAGCTCACTGCAACCTCTGCCTCCCGGGTTCAAGTGATTCTTTTGTGTCAGCCTCCCAAGCAGCTGGGACTACAGGTGCATGACATCACGCCCAGCTAATTTTTGTATTTTTAGTAGAGACGGGGTTTCACCATATTGGTCAGGCTGGTCTCGAACTCCTGACCTCAGGCGATCCACCCACCTAGGCCTCCCAAAGTGCTGGGATCACAGACATGAGCCACCGGGCCTGGCCTAGAATGTTTATCTTCTGAGCTACTATTTTAAACACACAGAATAGAACTTTTGCATTTCTAAGACCACATAAAATAGTGTTCTCTTTTAATCTGGAAGACCTATCACTATCATCGTTGATACAGCATCTACTCAGTTACACGCCTGATTTTCAAAAGTCAAACCCATGTTGCGATCATTACACAAGAAAGGAATTGAAGATAGGGAATACTGAAGATGTGGAATATTATCTCTGAAGAAACCTAGATTAAACTTTGTATGTCATATTCATTTCAGTCAAATTATGGGCCTTTAATAATCCAACTTGAACACAGCTGGGAGTGTCCTTCTCATTAATCTAGGTCTGATGATATGTGCAAAGCCATACTATTGAAGGGAAGAAATAAGAAGACTGGCAATCAAAACATAATAAATGAAGTGCCATAAGAAGAAATACCTAAAATCCAGTTTGAGGAGATGAAGAAAGCAAGATAGGAATGGGAACCTGAACAATGAGAGTAGCAGCTAGATTTTGGCGGGGTTTGGGGGAAAGGGGAGAACACTGGGTCAGAACAGTATTTGTAAAGGTTCCCAAAGCACAAGAGATCAGAAAGTATTTAGGACTAAGTATAGAGTTTGGGAGAATGGGAGCAGATAATGATGAATAGAAAGATTGGAGAGGCAAGTGGGACCAGATCATGATGGAAGGACATGTTCCTTGAAACTCCATTTCCAAACACTTTTCACCTATATTCTGAATCTTCATTTTATCTCCACAACAAACATGCTTAGGAAGCAGATTGTCATTTTCTTTTTCTTTTTTTTTTTTTTTTTAAGACAGGGCCTCATTCTGTCACCCATGCTGGAGTGCAGTGACATGATCGTAGCTCACTGTAATTTCACACCTCTTGGTTCAAGTGATAGATCCTCTCACTTCAGCCTCCCAAGTAGCTAGGACTACCGGCGTGAGTCATCACACCCAGCTATTTTCATTTATTTATTTATTTTTTTGTAGAGACAGGGTCTTGCTATGTTGACCAGGTTATACTGACATTTTTATAAAAGTAAAATGTAAAAGTAATTTTTAATAAAAGTAAAAAGTAAAAGTAAAGTGATTTGCTAACATTTCTTTAACAAATGTCCTCTATATTCTATTCATAATACTGTCTCCTGTATATTAAAATGTTAAAAGGTGGCTGGGAGGAATGTTGATAGCAAGTGTTCTCTTGCCATTCATTCTGCAACTCACAAGTTCCTCCTAAGCCACACGCTTCCACACCCATCTGCATCACCCATTAGAAAATTCATCCATGGCTTTTATAGGATTTAAGCCTTAGACTGATTCCCTAGGGGGTCGTTGGCAGAAATAAAAAGTGACTCATTGGACAGAATTAGCATCCTGGGATTCTTGCTTCTATTTTTAATGGTATTAGATCCAGAGAATTCAAGTTATTAATGACAAACTTCATGGGCAAGTTAACCAAGTAAGAATGACAAACGAAATTTTCTCTGGAGTATAAATTGCACAGTCACCAACAACTTGGCAAGGTGTTAGGAGCAAAACTTGTACAACAGTTGAGTAGCGTGGTGACTTGGCAGTCCTCTCCATATGAGTGACTTGTCACTGGCTGTGACATATACTAAGCTAAATCTAGACAGAAGAGGCTTTTAAGTAATATAAAATTGATAATTGAACTCTGACTGGGTCTTAGCATTTATTTCTCATTTGTCCAAAATTCATTTTTTCAGTCAGATGAAACAATGCCCAAGACACTGAAAGTCAGTATGTGTTGAAAACAGGATTATTAATTTTTGATCAAGTAAAATCCATGTTTTCATGTCTTCTCAATTCTTCCTAGGCACTCTTGAGTTGGGAAGCATAAACAGTATTGAAAATAATGAGTTAAAAAAAATCTAGGACACAAATACAGATATTCAGTTTTGTTGAGATTTCTTACAGTGATCTGTACTCCACGGCATAGTTTAAATATATCACAGTTTTGCTATTGGAAGTCTGGTAAGCTTCCCATCTAGACAAGGTTTTGGAAATCATATTATGTATTAGGCAAAATATGACTATATGATACTACATTTTAATTAAAGATTAATGGGCATATTAGAAGTTTCTCAAAGTTAGGCTAGAAATATATCTCAAATTACCCTAAGCAAACAGACAGAAAGGAGGAAATTTATCATCTTAAGTAAGTGGGCAGTCTGTCATGGGTCAGGTACAAATACATTGAGGAGACCATGCAATGTCATCAGGCTCTCTTCTTCACCTCTGGATCTGCTTGCCTTGATGTGCTCTTCATTCATAAGTTGATATTGTTAGGTTTTGGGTCCCCATCCAAATCTCATCTTGAATTTTAATCCCCATAATCCCCATAATCCCCATGTGTCAAGAGAGAGACCAGGTGGAGGTAGTTGAACCACTGGTGTAGGTTCCCCCATGCTGTTCTTGTAATAGTGAGTTCTCATGACATCTGATGGTTTTATAAGGTGCTCGTCCCCCTTCGCTCAGCATTTCTCCTTCCTGCTGCCTTGTGAAGAAGGTGCCTTGCTTCCCCTTTGACTTCCACCATTATTGTAAGTTTCCTGAGGCCTCCCAAGCCATGCTGAACTGGAGTCAGTTAAACCTCTTTCCTTTATAAATTACCCAGTCTCGGGCAGTTTGCTATGGCAGTGTGAAAACGGACTAATACATAGATTTTCCAAGTCTTGGCAAAACAGTGCCTCTGAGCTCCATTATTCTTACAGCTGCAGATTACAGTGAAAGCAAACACCGCTCATCCTGGCAATTAGAATTACAACCTGATTTGAGCTACCTGCCCATCCTTGATCACAGTTTGGAGAGGAATAATGAGCACTTGACTGACCTTGTTGACTGACCCTGAATTTAGTTGACCTTGAAGTAGGAAATGGGTTGCTTCTCCAGAAGAAAAAAGTGCAGAGCAAGTAAAAATAAATAAATAAATATCTTGCAGATGTCTTCTACACAGGCAAATCAAATACAGAAAACATTTCTCTTTTGGTAGCCAAAATAGATAAGCATCTTTAGAAAACACTTTTTCACAATATTTTCTACATATTTGAAGAATATGTTATTATGCTATTAGAAGGGAAAAGATCATCTTGCCCTTCTACCAACACAAATTGCTTAAAATCACAAAATGTTTTCCCAGTAACCAAACTATTAACATACATCTTAATGGACTTAGTTACTTTAAATTCAAGTAACTGTGAGTTAACATAGTCTCTGCAGTGAAAACAAAAACAAAACTTTGCTCATAATGTATCTTAATGGAAGTTAATTAGCTGACACAGCTGGCAAAGAAAACAAATTAAGAAACAGAATGATATTTAGGCAGCTAACTAAATTAAAAAGCAGGTCTCTGTTTCTGGAACCTGTCATTGTGCTATATGACCCCAAGCTCTCAAGCTTATTGCTAAAAATCCCTAGTATCGTTCGAAACTTTCTTTCCCTCAGATACTTTTAATAAAATGTTGACAAATTCATCTCTGTACACAACTTAGAAAAAAAACCCTTTATTCCATGAGTGCTCAATAAATAGATGTTTACTTGTAATCTGTTGTTCTGATAGCTGACTATGGGATTGGAGGCAGGGAAAAAGCAGGCAGGGGCAGCGGGAGGAGGGAGAACAGGCTGTGAAGACAGGGAACATTCAGTGTTTCATGTTAGACCTTAAAAACAAAAGAAAGGAATTCTGAAAGCTGGCACAGTTATCACATTATAAACAAAATGCCTTCCCAAGCAGATTGTATAAAAGGCATTTCACAAGTTAAACAATTCCCCTACTGCCATGGTTGTGAAAGAGCAAAGACTAAAAAAGGAAACAGTCTACCTTCTTTCTCAACTGGTTAAGGCAGATATTCTCAGAATCTTTGAGGCTGAATCTTTCTCATATGAGTTGATTCCATAACATTCCCTCTAATTCCTATTCATTCTAGAAGTGTGATTTGGAATCACTTCCTTATGAAATTAAAAGGAGTTTTATTTTTTAACACAATTTGATACCATCTTTTGACTTAATTGGGCCATACTATGGGCTTTTCCCACTCAAAAAGTGAGGTCCGTAGAGCTAGAGGTTGGAGAGCTGCCCAGAGAGAGGATTTGATTCCTTCAGGGTGGGCTTTCTCACCCACTCCTTCTTCACTGGATAGACCTGATCATATTGAAGTGTTATTTCCCTCTACCTGAGCTTCTCTAATTAAAGACTGGTTTCTGGATCAAAAATATGATCAGTGCACACCACTGCTTCCTATGGAGGGTGTTTGGCATATATGGGTTTTGATAATTACATTTATCTTTGATTCTGACAACAGGCAGTCAGCTGCTTAGATATAAAAAGAACCCATAATAACCTATTCACAGAGCTGCAAACGCACAGAGCTGCAATGCAGCTCCATTGGTTTGTTCCATTGTCTAGACCTTCCACATACCCTGCCTGTCCATTCCCCTAGACCCACTTCAGTGGACAATGGGTACATGGTGCATGAGGAAGAAACACCTGGCTGAGACCCATGGGAAAGGCCTGCACTGACCAGAGGAACTGAGAGACTATCAGCCTCTGGGAAGGAGCTCATGTGCTTTGGAACAGAGAATTCATTTAAAACATGATGGGGACGGGTAAGAAAGAGGGGAGAAAAAATAAAAAGTTGTCTTTGCCTGGCTCTGCTTCTGCTGATTTTGCTATATCCTGCAGCGAGGGGTGGGGAAGTTAAAAGCACCTGTGTTGTCTCAGTCAAGCCTAGAACTGAAGCTACCTGACATCAAGCCAATTGTCCAGGACCAGCATTTCCAGCACTTCCAGTTGTCCATATCTGCACTTCCAGGAGTAAACAGGCAACTGAAATGCAAGTTTGTCAGCAAAAATCCTGGGAAACAAGTTCCTGGTAGAACAATGGCTAGATCAGGGGATCACTTCTGTGTCTGTATTACAGTGAGGTGCTAATAGTCACAACCCAAACCACAAGAGCTTTTCAACCCAAAATCATAGCTTGAATTGCAGTGCGCAGAAAAGCATGCAGTTAATACACACTTGTTAAACTAAAAAAAAAGTATATTGGCCAGTATACAGGCAATTGCCTGCTCCATAACAAAGATGCCAAATTTTTGAAATATATAAATTAAAAATTATTCCTAGTGTTGTGGTTCAAACGTAGGTGTCCCTCCAAAATTCTTATGTTGGAACTTAAAGCCCAAAGTGATTAAGAAAAGGGGAATTTGGGTGTTGATTAGGCCACAAGGGCTCTATCCTCTTGAACGAATTAATGCTCTTATAAAAGAAGTTGGGAGTGCTCTAGCACCTTTTTGCCTTTCCCTCTCTTCTGTCATGTGAAGACAGCATTCTCTGTTCCCTTTTCACTCCTTCCTCCGTGTGAGGATTTAGCAAGTAGTGCCTACTTAAAGCAGGGAGCAGCTATCACTAGGCACCAAATGTGTCAGCACCTTGATCTTGGACTTCTCAGCCTCCAGACTGTGAGAAATAAATGTCTGTTGTTTATAAATTTCCCAGCCTGTGGTATTTTGTTTTAGCAACAAACCAACACTAGTTTTAACAAGCTTCTTCTCTTAATGTTTAATATATTGTAGTTACATAATATAATTATAATTGGAAGATTGTAATATATTGTAACAGATTACTAAAGCAGACTAATAAAATGAAGAGTCTACCTGACATCACTTTTTGAGGCCATTCAGATTCCACTGACCAAATAGGATAAAAGGTCACTGTATTAGTCAAGTTTCTCCAAATAAACAGAATCAATAGAATATATACATGTGTGTGTATGTGTGTGTACATGTATATTACATATTTATATATAGTATATGTATGTGTGTATGTACATTACATATTTTTATATTATATATTTATATGATACATGTCATATATAAAAATATAACATATGAACATAATATGTCTCATATATAAAATATGTAATATATGATATATATTTTAAAATACATATAAATAAATATATGGAAGGTTTACATATTACATTTACAAAATATATTATATATTTCAATATATAAATAAATAATAATAAATTAACATTACAATAAATGTCTTTCATTTTATACACACTATATCATATAATTTTGAAGATAATTAATATATAAAATTATATATTTATATACTTATATATTTGTCTAATTATTATATTTTAAATAATTATAACAATATTGTTATATTTAATATACTATCCATAGATATTTATATTTATATAAACATATAAATAAAATATTAATTTATATATAAATAAATATTAATTTATATATAAATAAAATATTAATTTATATATGAATAAAAAATTTATATATAAATACGTGATTTAGATATAATTAATATATACAATTAATATATAATGTATATAAATATATGTAATATAATTATATAATTAATGCATATATTATGTATATAATGAAAAAGATTTGGTGTAATATTTATATTTTTAAAAATATATATAAAATTCTTTTTATATAATTACATATACAATGTATAAATGTATAAATTAGATATAATTAATCTTATATATTAATTATATATTAATTCTATTATATATACTATATAACATTGTATATTATATAAATTATATATAATATATAAGAAATGAGAGAGATACAGAGAGACAGAGAGAGATTTATTGTAATAAATTGGCTTACATGATTGTGGAGTCTTGACAAGTTCAAAATCTGCAGGGTGGGCTGGTGGGCTGAAGAGCCAATGAAGAGCTGGTATTGCAGTTCAAGTCTGAAGACAGTCTGCTGGCAGAAATCCCTCTTCCACAAGTTCATCTTTTTCTCTTAAGGCCTTCAACTGATTGGATGAGGCCCACCCACATTATGGAGAGTAATCTGCTTTACTCAAAATCTGCTGATATAAATGTTGATCTCATCTAAAAAAAACCTTCACAGAAACATCTAAAATAATGTTTGACTAAATATCTAGGTGGTGTGGCCTAGCTAAGCTGACACATAAAATTAACTGTGATAGTCACTTTCTCCAATGTAAGCTATTCTGATCTTGTTTGAACCTTCAAACTCCAATTATCAATAGTCAGAGGCCAGGAAGTATTTGGAGCTGAGAGAATGTATTTTATAATTTAGAAAAATGAAACAGCTATGGAGAGTTATTTGAAATTACTAACATGTTAAGAACCTTTCCTAAAACAGGAAAACACCAATAAAGAAATTAATTCCATTGAGCTTTCACTCAGGTTTCCTCATCAGTTTTGGAAGACATCACTTTTCTAGTAAAATAGTCATACCAATTCCTTCCTTTAACTGACATATATAATGATAAGATGTAGATAAATAATGTAGGTGAAGATTCCATTGACTAATTCAAACTTGCTGCTTCTGACTTAAAAGAATGTGTGGTTTATTTATCTCAGAAATTGTCAAGAAACAGCCTCTGGAATTTGGAAATATAAGATAGTTTTCTTAAACATTACTTTAAAAAGATATGTATATATGTTTCACCTCTAGAATGTACTTTCTATTTTTATATAAGAATAGTTCATCAGTGCTTGGCAGCATCAGTGTATGTAACCCGAAGGGCAGTCTTAGAATGGGATGGTGACCAGACAGCAACTGACCCAAGTGGTTCTCTAGGGGCCAAATATTTAAAACTCAAAGATTGCTGGGATGGCATATAGTTGAACAATGGCACAGAATATTTTAAGTAGCAACATAAAACCTACTGTTCCAGAAAAGCTTCCTGGCTTTCATTTTCCTATTAGAGATATTTCCAGATATATCAAAACATCTGCAAAGTTAACTTGATTCTTCTAGGCATTATCTCCCTTTAAGTGCAGGACTCTATTATCCTGAGACTACACATTCTTTACAAAAGGCATGAATCTGATTTCTGGAAATGAGAACAAAATACCATTGTAATGAATAATTTCTATTTACACTTTATTATTGGTGGCAAATGATTAAGCATTTCAACTTGCTATGCTGAGGATATGTTTATTCCTTTAACATACTGTGTAAACCATGTACTAGGTTTGTAGGGTACGCTGAAGATTCTGAGAAGAGTAAGACACAGCTTCTAACCTTAAGCAGGTCTTGTTCTAGTTGGAGATGCAGGTGGTGTTGTGGGTTAAGTGTTTTTCCCCATCCAAAATTCATGTTGTAACTTGATCTTCAATGCAACAGTATTAAGAGTTGAGACCTTTAGGAGGTCCCTGAGTCATGAGGGCTCTGCCCTCCTTCATGGAATTTGGTTCTCTTTTAAAAGGGCTTGACAGAGGAAATTTGCCCTTTTCCCTCCTTTAGTCCCTTCCCTGATATGAGAACACAGCACTCCTCCCCTTTGGAGTACATGACAGTGAAGTGCCATCTTGGAGGCAAACAGCAGCCCTCACTAGACAGCAATCCTGCCAGAGCCATGATCTTGGACTTCTTAGCCTCCATAACTATTTTTTTAAAAAAGTATCTGTTCTTTCCAATTACCCAGTCTGTGGTATTTTGCTACAAGAACGCAAATGGACAAAGATGGTGGGTAAACAAGTGTAGGTGTCATAAAAACCAAGACACAAAGGGGGGTCAAGTCTTCCTCAGAGAGTAGGTTAATGACAGTCCAAATCATTAAGAAAGATATAAATTCTCCCAGTGTCTACTGCATGTCTAGCAGTAGATATAGCCTTCCCTGAGTCTGATGTTGCCCTTAGCTGTGAACACTTTGACTCAAGTTGAAGAAGTTTTTACCTTGTGGTTTTCCTTCATAGCTGGCAGGCAATGGGCTACATGGACTATGGAGTCTGAAAGACAGGGTGCCTCTCACAAAGCCTGACCAGAAGGGAGAATAGGAGGCAGCCAATGTAGAACTGGTGCCTGAAGGGTGATCTGTAGGGAGCCGGAGCACTTTGTCCAACAACTATCAAATACAAGACCTACCACCCTCACACTCTTGGCTCAGTCATTCTTCATCTGAGGGTTGCTAAAATAGTGTAGGCCTTTATTGCATTTATTATTTATACACTGATGCCTACTCCCAAGAATAATGTAAGCTTACTTGAAGTCACACATACAACATAACCAATGAAAGAATACAATAATGTTTTTAAATAATTAAGGAGGTAATAAGTAGGTAGTTTAATCTAGTTTTATGCAACTGAGCATTAAATTTAGCTCTATTTTTACTGATAGTCAAAGGGAAAAAGAAAGAAGATGAGGGAGAACAGGATGAGTTCACATGCTTTTATCAACATAAAAAGAAAACGAGCAATTTAGAAACGTCTTTATTCTTCTAGGACAAAATTCTAAGAGGGAGTATAGTGTAAGGATATTTCTGTAAAGAGGATTAGGTAATTAATAATAGTACAAAGGATGAAGATACATAAATACAGCTTGTGGGTGTTGGGGAGGGTATGAATTCTGAATAAAAGCTGAAGGCAAATTGTTAAAGTTTTTGAAAGGTCTTTCTATAGTGAGCCAATAAAGTGACAATAACTCCCACTATTATATGTTGATGCCGTATTAGGGCTTTACATATTTTTTCCCTAACAATGTTGGGAGGTACATATTACTGTTCTTCTAGAAGTTTCCTAGGGGAACTGTGAGAGATTGAGGATCTTGGTCATGTAAAGCTAAGACATGAATCTGGATCTTCATGGTCTAAAGTCACATTCTTTCCATTCTACTCATCCAGACATGTAGATTTCTATTGATTTGGTATGGAGATAGAGTAAAACAATGTGGAAAATGCTAGTTATCATGTTCCCGTATCTCCAGAAACCACTGTCCAAGTCCAACTTTTGACACAATCAAGAGAGCAAAACACTTGAGTTTGAGTTAACTGAAAAATGCTTGCAATATTAGTATTTTCCAAAACAAACTTCAGATGTTTTATATACCATATCATTAAGAGGAAAAACTGGTTTTCTTTCAAATGAAAATTAGAGCCAGATACAGACTTCCCAAGTTGACGAGTAAATTATATCCTTGCACAAAAGTAGACTGGGGCTGATGAGGATTAGGGCCAAAATTTTTCACAATAAAGCTTGAAAGCAGCATCTATCATTAAGGACTCCTGCTTGAAAGTGATAGAAACTCAATTTGAACCCATATTGAGAAAGAGGAATTTGTTATCTCCCAAAATCTAAAGAAGCAGTGAATATCCAAACCATGTGAAAGAAAGCACTGAGTTGGGTCTCAGGAACTGAATGTGTCAGGAACTTGAATGATGCCAGGTTTCTCTTTCATTTACTTTCTCTCTCTCACTTACATTCTTTCTCTCTCTCTTCCCCGCCTCCCCTCTGTGCCAACTTTGTCTCACACTGAGTCAGTCTTTCTCTTCATGGCAGGAAATATGATCACTGACAGTTCCTAAGTTTTACATCTCAATTCCATCACAGGACAAGATTGCCTAACACACACCACACCAACTCCCCAACAAACAACAAAAACAACCCAAGGAATGCCCGTGATTTGAATGGCTTGGTTTGGTTACCCATCCTTAGAGTCCTCAACATTTCTAGGAGGCAGAGTTGCAGTGGAAGGAGGAGTAGTTTCCAGAAGAATGAGTTGCTTTTTTTTCAGAAGGAGGCAGGGGTGGTTAGTAGACAAATAATAAATATTCTTCCCAAGATTGTCTTGTCTCAGTGGCTTTTAAAAGTGCAGACTAACAACTGTCAGATTCTTCTATACAATAGAATATGTTTTGTTTAATTGATGGATTAAACTTTATTTATCAATACTTTATCTTATTTCAAAAGAGATTTAAGATCTTGGGCAACATAAAATATAGCAATAAGCTACAAATAAAATATGCCAATAAATCATAAACTACAAATTCTATGAGAATAAATAAGGAAAAACAAACATGGGGGCAAAAACTAGAAGTGGAAATGAGTTAAATGAAAGATGCAATCATACTGTCGTTTTGAGCCATAAATTTTTCTCTGTGACAGTGAATCAGAAAAGGGAAATCTGATTGGTGACCCAATTCATAATATCCGTAAAATAAAAACAAATCCATTTCTCAAGATAAGCCTGCCTTATCTTCCTCACATTAGCACCAGAAAAGAAATGTTGAGGTAGTTTATAGAGAGTGAGATATGTAATAACATGAGTTCCATAGGAGGCTGCAAAGAGAAATTATCAGTGCAAGTCCAGAGCATCACACCAAATAGAATTCAGGAACAACAATTCACTAGGGGGCCAAAAAATATCTTCTGGAGTTACATGTTTCAGCTTTTAAGAGATTTAATTCAATGAAAGATTTTATTCATGTATTCAATCAACAATTTTTGTGGGGTACCTACTACTTGACAAAGTAGAAAAAAGATGAAATAATAGGTAAAATGTGTATTTTCCCAAAGGCATCCATAGACATTGTTTCCCACGGTTGAGTTTTTAACAGATACTTGAGTGACAAGGAATTCAACAGTATATTCTCTAGGAAGTAGCTAGGAATTCTTCTATGTTACCAATTAAGCACACAATTATATAGCTTCCTGCAGGGAAGAGCTAGTGTTGCAATAAATAACTCGTGAAAAATAAAAACACTTAAAGACATTTTCTGAAGCCATCCCCCTTCCTCTTGGAGGTGAGTGAGGACATTTCAATAGGCAGAACCAAGATCATCCTTAGAAAAATAAATTGTCATAATGTCCCAGATTTCATTTGGGGAGAGACAAGAAATAATGTAACCAATTTTCTGTTAAACGTCCTACACTGTGATTGTATCATGCATGCATATAAAAGTACTTATGAGAAATGTATGGTGCCTGTAGAATAGTTCTTTTTTGAGCAGCCTGTATCTGGATGGGCCTGCCTGGATAAGGTAGCCATGAAAGAATTATCCCAGAGAACTTACCACGTTGCTAATGTTAAATAATTTACTCATCACAGTGGGGTTATAAAGCATCGACTGGACACCAAATGACAGTTTGGGTTGGGGTATCATTGGTAATCATCAGGGAATATTATTATACATTATATTTCATTATATAATATTATTAAGTAATAATTATAATTACTATTAAATAGTACTATATATTATTATTTTACTGTCACTAGTTAGTAGATTAAGCTATTAGCCACCTGTCATTCCCATAAGAATGTGTCCTTTACTGTTTGCTATGACAAGAAAACATGCATTTTATCAATACAATCATTGTGACAATTTACTAATTGCAATTAGGAGTGGAAATTAATCTATCAGCTCCTACCCACTCTATGTTTGCAAGTAGCTTTGTGATAAAGTCTCTGAATCCACATTGAAAGCCTGCTATTTATATTGAAATCATAAACTTGGCCCATGCATCCTTATTAAATCAATAGATTACAATAGATCAGAAATGATGCAAAAATTCAGAACTTGTTTCTAACATCTTTTTTTGTCATTTATGTGAAAGAGAATATAGCAGTGAAACAGTAAACCAGTTTTACCTCGTACTTTCTTATTCCTCGTAAAGGAATAGTCATAGCCTGGCAAATAGTAATCACTCAGTAAATGTGTGTTGAATGAACTACACTGAGCAGATCACTCTTAAATAGGAAGTCAAAGGATTTTAGTCTTGTAAATGGATAAACTCCATTTTGAGCCAATGCTGAAGAAATAGAGGTGAGTTAATAAAGATGATTTTGGCCAGGTGCGGTGACTCACACCTGTAATCCCAGCACTTTGGGAGGCCAAGGTGGGGAGATCACTTGAGGCCAGGAGTTCGAGACCAGACTGGCCAACATGGAGAAACCCCGTCTCTGCTGAAAAATACAAAAATTAGCCGGGTATGATGGCACACGCCTGTAGTCCCAGCTACTCTAGAGGCTGAGGCAGGAGAATCACTTGAAGCCAGGCGGTGGAGGTTGCAGTGAGCTGAGGTCATGCCACTGCACTCCAGCCTGGGCTACAGCGGGAGACTCCATCTCAAAACAAAACAAAACAAAACAAAACAAAACAAAAACAAAAAACGTGATTTTTGACTTTGAATTGAGAGTGTCCTCGAGGATCTGTGTCAATACAAGTTGATTAACCAGAGCGCTAAGAATTATTGGTTTCATTTAGAAATGATTCTAAGTTTCCAATGAAAACCTGACTATTCACAAACCTCTGAAAATTAAATCTAAAAAGCCAAGGAATGTAGGTAACTAAGGGTTACTCTTTTAGCTTTAAAATGGTTTGGCTGTGTTTTCTGTTTTAACCATTTTAAATAGTAATTTTAATAAATACACATGCTTCTATCTTTTTAAACAGAATTCATTGGACATGTCAACTTTTTCTGATGTGCTACAGAATGTTATTATAAACATCAGTTACAGCACTGCCCTCAGGATTGATAGAAATGTGTAGTCACAAGACAGATGTGTGGCTTTTTTAGAAGATTTTCTGTTTAAATTTTTCTACCTTCTCCTCTTCCCCCAGACTCTCAGGCAATTCTTTCTTCTTGCTTTTAGTATATATGTGCTTATTTCAATCCTATTATCACATTTCAATTTGTGGCCTCTACTCTGTGGTAGGTTAAGATATTAAAAAGCCACACTCAAAACTACTGTGTGCAAAAAATTCTCATATTTTTAAGAGAATTTAGGTTTTAAATGGTTAAATGGAATCCCTCTATGAAAAAAAAGTATGCATTTTGTTTCAGAGTATTTTTACATATTTTGATTGTTCTTTGTATATCTATTTTAGTCCTTTTTGGCTTCTGGGGTATTGGCTGCTTTCCTGATTAGGCAAATTTTAAAGACAATTAAGTTCTGTAGAAATGAAGTACTAACATATATATAAGACTAGTTAAATAACTGGTTAACCAATAAATATATATTTCATGAGATTCTACTACTTTCTCAGTGTTGAATAGAGGTCATATGTGTGTTGGGGAAGGTATTTTCCTTCCAGTTCAAAGGGCAGGAAAACATTCATTTCAGTAATAGTGTAAGCCTTCTGAAATGGTGATAGGGAGATGAAGAATCAGGCTAAATAACAATTTAAAAATATCTCATAAAATAGCTGTTCTAAAATATCTATAAAACAAACATATGAGAGCATTTATCACAGGAGGTGATAATTGGGTATTTATGTATGTTATTATTTATTTAATGCCCATCTCTCTAACTACACTGTAAACACTATGCAGGTAGGGACAATGTCAGTTTTACTAACCACTTTGACTTTTAGTGTTTTAATAGATAACAGGTGCTCAATGAAAATTTTCAAATGATTCAATGACATATAATTGATAAGGAGATAATATTTTCTGATGTAAAGAACATGGGATCCAGGTTCATAAAATTCCCTTTCTTCTGGCTGCATGTGATTTCAGAAAAGTTATTTATTGTCTCAGAACTGCAGTAACTTCATGGGAAAAACTGAGATAAGAGTAAAGTCTATTAAATAAGTTGTTGGTAGGGCCAATCAAAATACTATATGAAGAGTATTTCTTACACTATAAGATGTTATAGCACTTTTTTGTCAAATTATAGTAAGAGATGAATAAAATTCTCAAGAAGAAACAGAATTTGATTACAGCTGTTGTTGCTTGACAAAAATATATAAATAGCCATAATCTTTAATGGCTGCTAATGTTCCCAAAAGTCATCAGACATATGTGCTTCCTGGCTGAAGTATACCTATGCAGTATTCTTACTACAAAATTGATCTTCATTCTCATCAAGCCTCTGGATCTAACTATCAGTTTGCAGGAAATACGGGAGTGGTGGGAATCAGTAAACTTCAGACTAAGAGAAATTCTATTAGACAAATGACCTGGTTTCTTCAATGAATAAATTTCAAGGGATTAAAAAAGAGAGAGAGTGAGAAAGATGGAAGAAGAAGGGTTAAGGAGACTTAAGAGATACATCAACTAATTGCAGTGTGTGGCCCACGGCTTGGTTGCATCAACAAATACATTTTTAGGAATTATAAAAGAGAAAGGGAGAACCTACAGATTAACATGGATTTCATCGAAATGAAAACGTTTACTCTTAAAAGACATTGTTAAGGGAATGAAAATACAAGCCACAGACAAAGTAAATATTTATAAAACACACCTACTAGTGGGCTTTTATCTAGGCTATATGAAGAATTTTCAAAAGAATATTAAGAAAAACTGCTCCATTTAAAAAATGAGCAATAAGCTAGGCATAGTGGATCATGCCTGTAATTCCAGCACTTTGAAAGGCCAAAGCAGGAAAATTCTTTGAGGCCAGGAGTTTGAGACCAGCCTGGGCAACATAGTGAGACCCCATCTCTACATAAACTAAAAGTATTAGCTAAGAGTGGTGGAGCACATCTAGCTACTCAGGGGGCTGAGGTTGGAAAATCACTTGAGCTCAGGAGTTCAAGTTTGCAGTGAGCTATGATCATGCCACTGCACTCCAGGCTGGGCAACAGGGCAGGACCCCATCTCTTTACAAAGAAAGCAGGAGAGGGGCAAGTAAACCAAACAGACACTTGACCAAAGTGCAGATATAAATGGCAAATAAGCACATAAAAAGATGCTCAACATCATCACTTATTAGAAAATGTGAATTACAACCACAACAGGTTTCTATTTTATATCTGTTACAATGGTTAGAGTTTAATAATACCGGTGAGGATGCAGAGCAAATAGAACTCTCACACTGCTGGTGAGAATGAAGATGGAACATTAGCGGTTTCCTATAAAGCTAAAAATGTACTTACCATGGGACCCAGCAATCATATTCTTAGATATTTCCCTAAATGAATTAAAAATTATATTCATACAAAAGCCTATACATTAATGTTTAGAGAGCTTTTAGTCATAATTGCAAAAAACTGAAAACCACCCAAAAGTCTTTCAACAGGTAGATGATGAGGCAAACTGTGTTATATCCACATAACAGAATACTGCTCAGCAATAAAAAGGGAGAAATTACTAATACATACAGTGACATAGGTTAATCATTAACACAATATACTAAGTGAAAGAAGCCAGACTCAAAAGGCTATATGGTGTGATTCCATTTGTATGACATTTGGGAAAAGGCAAGCCTATAGAGACAGAAAAAAAAAAAAAATGCTTAGTCCCTGCCAGGGCCTGAGGGTAGGGAGAACTGACAACTAAGGGACACAAGAAAAGTTTTGGGAGTGATAGAAATATTGTATATCTTGGTTGAGATGGTGATTACAAGACTATGTTTGTCGACACTTGTAAAATCGTATACTTAAAAGGGCGAATAGTGCCATATATAAATAATAGCTCCATTTCAAAAAAATTTTAGAAGACAAATCAACCAATTACAATTGGTTGTACATTGATTTAATTTTGTTTCTGATTTTAAAATGTTAAAAAAATTTTACAAGACAATTGGAAGTTTTTGAACACTGACCTGTTTTATAATAATGAATTATTATTTTCAAGGTGTTGTGATAGTATTACTGGTATATTTACATAAATAGTTTATACCTTCTAGAGATACATAAGGAAATGATATGATGCCTGGAATTGGCTTCTATGTAATCTAGATGGGCAGAGCAAGGAGTGCTGATGAAGCAAGATTATCCACGAGGTTATAATTATTGAAGCTGGGTAATGGTACAGGAATGCTTAGCATGCTACTCTCTCTACTTTTAAATGTTTGAAATTTTACCTAATGTAACATTTTCTAATGTGCAATGATTTTGTAAAAACAGAACTCGATTCTATAAAAAAAAATACAGAAAGAAAGAATTTATGTTAGAGGAGCCAAGGCAAATATGGAAACTCACAGCATAAAAGTTGCTTTTTCAGTTCCCAGGAGGGTTTGAGCATAACTGCTGATATCTTAATTGAAAATTCATCATGTCTGGCATCAGTTCATACTTCCAGACACTTGCTCTACCACTAAGCTACTTCTACCTTGATAATTAAGGTATCAAGTCCTTATTTCCTGAGCCATTATTAACACATATTGGTCACAAAATCTTAAACTAACCTGAAATATTTAAGTTTGGTACAAACTTTGGTACAAACAGTAGACCTCTGTAAGTTTCTGTCATTTGTTGCTGCCTATTATTAAAAATGTTTATTGCCTTTTGGTTTTAGATTTTACTCTTCTATTTAGTATCACTATTGCATGAATTTTATTTCATGTAATCTTGCTTCAAACTCTTGAAAATATAAATGTATTCAGAGGGGAAGATAGTAGACACATATGTAAGATCTTATTACAGAGTATTTAATAATTATATGCTACATGGTGCTACTGCAATGGTAACTTTCATTAATTAAAAAAAATCCTCCAAATGTATCTTGTCCTCAGTATTTTAGTATTCCTCTGTTCTTATTCCCAAGAGAGTCCAGGAGGATAAGAGGCTGAGCAAGTGAGCCAGGGCCATGAGGCACAGGGTCACAACTAAACCAGTGGACCAAGGCCAGCATGGCTCGGGCCACAGCAGGAGGCAGCCAACAGTGGCAACGCCAGAGAGAGCTGGGAAGAGAGCACAGTGGTGCAGCCAGAGGCAAACAGGTTGGGAGAGGTCAAAGCAGAGCATGGCCTCTCAAGTTCACAGGACACAAGTATTGGCCCTGCTGTCCCCTGTGACAGTGCATTCTTCAAGTGGTTGTATTTCAGGGACTGACTCCAATTGCATTGCTTTTTTTCTCCCCCAGTGCACCTGAATGACAAGAACTAAATTCCTTAGTTCTTGGCTCGTTAGCAGCCCATTCTGAGTCTAATATTGATATTAATATCAATCAAGTATTTAATGCATCTGGACAAATTCAGAACCAGTATCAGTAAACGACTTGGACTTCCATGAGAGATATCGATTTTTTAAATTTTTTAATTGACACGTTGTAATTGTACATATGTATGGATGCAATTTCATGTTTTGATACATATCTATGCTGTTTAATAATCAAATCAGGATAGTTAGTTTATCCATCACCTCATGCATTTATCATTTCCTTGAGGTGAGAACATTCAAAGTCCTCTCTTCTAGCAATTTTGTGATTATATAATACCTTACTGTTAACCATAGTCACCTTACTATGCAAGAGAACACCAGAACGTATTCCTCCTATCTAATTGCAACTTTGAGTCCTTGACTAAGCTCTCTCCATCTTCCTCATCCCCTCTTCCTTCCCCGTTCTCTGGTAAACACTGTTCTACTCTCTACTTCTATGATACTGACTTTTAAAAAAATTCCACATATGAGTAAGATCATGTGTGTATTAGTCCATTCTCATGCTCCTAATAAAGGCATACCTGAGATTGGGTAATTTATAAAGGAAAGAGGTTTAATTAACTCACAGTTTGGCATGGCTGGAGAGGCTTCAGAAAACTTACAATCATGGCAGAAGGGGAAGCAAACACATCCTTCTTCACATGGCAACAGCAAGGAGAAGGCTGAGCAAAAGAGGGAAAAGCCTCTTATAAAATCATCAAATCTCGTGAGAACTCACTCACTGTCATGAGAACAGCAGCATGGGGGTAACCACCCCTATGATTCAATTACCTCTCACCAGGTCCCTCCCATGACACCTGGGGATTATGGGAATTACAATTCAAGATGAGATTTGGGTGGGGGCACAGCCAAATCATGTCAATGTGGTATTTGTCTTTCTGTGTCTGGCTTATTTAACTTAACATAATGTCCTCCAGGTTCATCCATATGGTCACAGATGACAAGATTTCTTTTTTTTTAATCGTAGAATGGTATCCCCATTTTCCTTTTCTTTTTCTTTTTTTTTTTTTTTTTTTGAGATGGAGTTTCACTTCTGTTGCCCAGGCTAGAGTGCAATAGCGCAATCTCGGCTAACCACGACCTCCGCCTCCCGGGTTCAAGCAATTCTCCTGCCTCAGCCTCCTGAGTAGCCAGGATTACAGGCATGAGCCACCATCCCCAGCTAATTTTGTATTCTTAGTAGAGATGGTGTTTCTTCATGTTGGTCAGGTTGGTCTCCAACTCCCGACCTCAGGTGATCCACCCGCCTCGGCCTCCTAAAGTGCTGGGATTACAGGCATGAGCCACCCTGCCTGGCCCACATTTTCTTTATCTATTCATTCATTGTTTAACACTTAGATTGATTCCATATCTTGGCTATTGTAAAAAGTGCTGCAATAAACATGAGAGTGGAGACATCTCTTTGACACACTGGTTTAATTTCCTATGGATATATACCTAGTAGTGGGATTGTTGGACCATATGGTAATTCTATTTTTAATTTTTGGAGGAATCTTCATACTGTCCTTTCTCCAATGTATACTCTTGGCACCTTTGTTTTCCATAATGGCTGTACTAATTTACAATCTCACTAACAGTGTGTAAATGTCTCTTTTTCTCCACATACCTGCCTACACTTGTTTCCTTTCATCTTTTTGATAATAGCTATTCTAACTGGAGTGAGGTGGTATCTCACTGTGGTTTTCATTTGCATTTCTCTGATGATTAGGGTATCTTTTCATATACCTGTTGGGCATTTGTGTGTCTTTTTTTGAGAAATGTCTGCTCAGGTGTTTTTCTCATTTTTAAGTTATGTTATTTGTTTCTTTGCTGTTGAGTTTTTCAAGCTCCTTATATATTCTGAATATTAACCCTTGCCAGATGGATAGTTTGCAGATATTTTCTCCCATTATGTAGGTTGTCCCTTCACTCTGCTTATAGATCCCTTTGCTGTACAAAAGCTTTTTAGTTTTATATAATCTCATTTGTTTTTTTGTCACTTGTGCTTTTGAAGTTTTATTTCAAAAATCATTGCCCAACCCCACGTCATGAAATGTTTCCCCTATGTTTTCTTCTAGTAGTTTCATAGTTTCAAGCCTTTAATTTAAGTCTTTAATTCATTTTAACTGAGTTTTGTATATGGTGAGAGGTAGGGATTTAGTCTCATTTTTCTGCATGCGGGAGATGTGACTTTTTAATTTTTTTTAACTTTTCTTTTTCTCAATTTTCCTCCACACCATTTATTGAAGAGATTGTCCTTTCTCCAGTGTGGATTCTTGGCACCTTTGTTGAAAATCAATTGGCTGTTGGCTGTAGGTTTGTTAATTTATTTCTGAGCTTTCTATTCTGTTCCATTGGTCAATGTTTCTGTTTTTATGCTGTTTTGGTTACATTAGCTTTGTAGCATATTTTGAAGTCACATAATGTGATGTCTAAGCCTTCCTTCTTTTTTATCAGAATTGCTTTAGCTATTTAGGGTCTTTGTGGTTCATATAAATTTCAGGATTGTTTTTCTAATTCTGTAAAAAATATCATTGATATTTAACAGGCATTGCCTTAAACCTGTAGATCACTTTGGGTTTTATGGCCATTTTCAGAATATTAATTCTTCCAATCCACAAACATAGGTTATCTTCCCATTTATTTGTGTCCTTCTCAATTTCTTTCATCAATGTTTTGTAGTTTTTCGGGGTAGAGATCTTTCACTTTCTTAGTTAAGTTTATTCCTAAGTGTATTAGTCTGTTCTTCCATTGCTATAAAGAAATACCTGAGACTGGGTAATTTATAAAGAAAAGAAGATTCATTGTCTCATGGCTCTGCAGACTGTACGGGAAGCATAGTGGCTTCTGCTTCTGTGGAGGCCTCAGAGAGCTTCCAAGAATGGTGGAAGACAAAGAGGGAGCAGGGCTCTTACACAGCAGGAGCAGGACCGAGAGAGAGGGAGGAGGTGCTACACATTTTTAAACAACCAAATCTCTTGAGCACGCACTCACTATTGTAACACAGCATCCAGGGGAACATCCAGGCCCCATATCCAACATTGGGGATTACAACTGAACGTAGATTTGGGTGGGGACACAGATCCAAACCATGTCACTAAGTATCTTACTTTTCTTGCAGCTCTTGTAAATGGAATATTTTTCTTGGAATTTTTATAAAATTTTTTTAAAACCTTAAATGTCATATTTCCAAACATGATCTTAAAGACTTTTTTCCTGTGTTAAAAAATAGTAAGTAATGTTTGGTTCTCATATGATTTATAGTAGAACCCTATTATAGCGTGGTTGATTACTTAAATGGATTTATGTATAAAATGAGACAAAGCCATTGTTCCCTAAATTAAAAATACATTAAAAAAACAAAACAGAGATGGCTTCTTGAGGTGCCTTTCAATCTAAGATTAGAAACTATCTTTCTAATCCACCTCAATATGAACACCACTATAAACATGTGAAGAAAGTATTTTGCTTTGTTTCCCCTTCTAGGCTCTACTTGTCCCCATAGTTACCATAGATGTCTCTCCCATTTCACTAAACTCTTGTCCTTGGCTCACAAACCCCAGATGTCTGTAGGGTAAGTTCAGGACCTAGTTCCTAATCTCGTCACCACCAAAGTCTCCTTTAATTACCTATCCCCGTTCTTCTTCTCTTCATGCACGCACAGTCTCATTAGTTTAAACAATTTTTTTTCCACCTTGAGATGCCATAATTTTACTTACAAGCAAGGAAATTTGATCTTTAATCAGCCTATATGTGATGTGTAGCAACAATACAGAAATAAGCCATACATGGCCACTTTATTTGGATTTGCAAGTTGTGGACTGCACAACTCCAGAAGGATAGCCATCTAAATGTTCTGAAAATGGAAGCATCGGGACTGTAGGGCATTTTGCTGTTTTTAATGCAAGGTGCTACATCACAGTGGTATGGGTGCCAAACAGTAAGTCTGCTAAGTCCCAGCTATTCTGACACTGCCAATGAATAACACCCTGGCTTCAGACAGGCATTTGCTGTCTGCATTTATCAAATAAAATCAAAGAATTAATAATCTGTAAGATCTAACTTATTTGCTAGTTTTTTGTTGTTGTTGTTGTTGTTGTTGTGAATTCAGATGTTCCTGAAAGAGGGCAAATATGCAATCAGGAGACCACACACAGCTGTACATCCAATTCTGTGTTGTGACACTTTGGGTATCTTGCTTAAATGCTTGTTGTCCCTATTTCTCGAGATAACTTGAGTAATTCACAAGTTTGATAGTGAACTTACAACAAGTGGTTATAAAAAATGGTTTTAAATGCATTATACAAATATAGGGGGGGCACTTCACCTAAAATTAGCTTAGTTCAGTTTTACTTATCAAAATGGACTCACAACTTTTGGGGGGAAGAACTTGCCTCTGCTAGTGAAAATAGCAAAGCAAAAGAATTGTATCGAAGCCAGGACTTCAAGGCCTAAGGCAAGAGCAGAAGGTAGAAAGTAGAAATATTTTTCCCAACCTGTTGTGTGATCACCTGTTGCATGATCTAGTTTCAGCCCTTCTGTTTCCAGGCACCTGCTCTTACTGAAAAAAAATCTGGCTGAGGCTGGAAGTTATTGTAGATATTCACAGCTTTCCTTATGCCATAGGACCCTATAAGCAATAAAAAGGACTTTCTTGGCTGGGCGCAGTGGCTCATGCCTGTAACCCAGCACTTCGGGAGGCCTAGGCGCGCAGATCACTTGAGGTCAGGAGTTTGAGACCAGCCTGGCCAACATGGCGAAATCCGTCTTTATTAAAAATACAAAAATTAGCCAGGTATGATGGCGCACACCTGTAATTCAGCTATTAAGAAGGCTGAGACAAGATAATTGCTTGAACCTGAAAGGCAGAGGAGGTTGCAGAGAGCCGAGATCACGCCACTGCACTCCAGCCTGGGTGACAGATCCCTCTTCTCAGTAGATTATTTATCATCCACTTCCCTGCTGTCCCCACTCTGTCCCAGATCTGAAGATCCATATATTTTCAGACTTCTTAGGTAAACTCAAGGAAGCTTTCATGTTGCTGTTCTTATTATACCAAGTCAGAGTCTTCTAAACCATGAGCTTTGACAACACAATTAGATCATGTGCATTTACTCTGATGTACTTTGCATCATCTAGCTCTGTAAAGTATAATTTGCCTTCTGTTTCTTTCTGAAGTCTTTTCCCCCCTACTTCACAAAGGTTTATGTTCTTTTACAAACATTAAGAGCATTTAACCAAATGTGGGAAGCAACTGAAGTTATCTTAGTACTGAGGCATTAGACTGTTCTATTTCTCTGAAGAATGTTATTGTGTGACCTAAGGAGGGAAATAAATAGAAGCATATGTTGTTTATAATATTTCTCTGCATAAGATAAACTGAGAAGTGGGTGAGCAGAATCAGGGTGTGGCAAGCTAATTCAGCTCTGGAGTGTCTGAGAGAGACTTGGGGACAAATTAAACACCCAGAGAAGATGACAAGCCATTTGGGTTGTGGTGACATAGGCTTTAATGTATGACTCGTGTGGGCTTGCTTTAGATCTTTCCATTTCAGGTTGGAAATGAAACTAAGCATCTTATAAGTGAACTGCAAGTCAATGTAGAGTTAATCTAGTTTTTGTTTGAGTGTGTTTGTTCTCAATATCTTGTTAATTAAATCACATTATGTAGGAGTCAGTGGTCCTAGACTCTGGTTCTGGCTCAGAAATTGATTTTATTGCCCTTTCTATTTATGAAATATGAGTGATATGAAAAGTCATAATGCCTAAGGGGCATTAAATGCCAATTAAGCTGGCTCCAGGACATCTATAAAAAGGATATTAAGGGTAAATACTTTGGTTCTTCCTTTGCATCCAGAAACCCAATGAAACTTCTACATGAATAAAAATTTGCTCCAGGGTGTCAAGGCAAATTGAGGATGATGTCAGAGTTGCAACCTGTGTAGTTTTGATATGTCACATATTACTATGTAATTCATATTTAAAAAAAGAACCAGAGACACAGATGCAGAAGCAGAGAAAAACAGAGAAACAGACAGGGCTATTGAGTGGAAGACTTTGCTTCTCAAGACTTTGCAACAAATATGAAGTACACATACAGGGCTAGACTTTGGAGGCCTCCACCTTCCCTTTTAATTCTTTCACCATCTTGAGGCCCTTGAAATCTCCTATTCCCATGCCTCAGATCCTCTTCTGCTACCAACTGTCCATTATTCTAAATGAAATACTGCTCATTCCAGGGTTGCTTTTAATAGGTGATTCCACAAGACCTCATAAATTACCAGAGGAACAAATTGATAACATTGTGCTCCACCCAGATGACTTGTCTTTCAATACCCACCACTGGAGAGACCTCAGATTTCCCAACTTTGAGGAAGAGGAAAAGAAAACATACCTTTCCTAGAGTTTTGTTTACCCTCAAAAGAAGTCAGTCTAGAGATGAATCAGGGGGCCATTTGCCAGGTACTAGCTTCAGCTTTGTAAGCTGATATGAATGGAGAGCACGCTTACCTTTAACCCTTTGCATATTGGAAAAGCAAATTAGAAAGTGAGTTTCCTTTTATGTCTTACCATTCCTTCATCGATGCTCTGGAAGACATCCAATTCTTCTTTTGGTGGAAAAACTCCCCCAAATCTACATTTTTTACTTTCAAGGTTTATGCGATAGAGTCTTTCTTACTGCAACAACTTGATCTACATTGAGTGATATTAATATAAACCCCTAATTATTGATTTGCATATACACATTTCTTTCTCTTGTCCCAGTCCCATCTTTAATACTCTAAATATATCCTGAATCACTTTGTATAACTAAGGATAAATAAAAGTAATGCTAGTTACTTTATTTATTCAGGAAATATTGTGTCTTAGAAAGACAAATTAGTTTAGCTTGCTTGTCACCTTAGATATTTCAGTGGAGTGGAAAATAATCCATTGACCTTGAAGACCACGTTGCTTCTGTACCCTGAAATGTCCCAAAGTAGCTGTGTGCAGGTAAGTTTCTATCCCAATGTAATAATACATTTTCTTTCCTTTATTGTCAAAATGTAAGGTCAGAGAAAGGTCTATGAAAAGTGTGCTGCCATCCCAAAATATGAAGCAACAATTTACAATTATTTGTGTGTAACACAAATGTCATTTAACCAACATTTATTTGAGTATATCATATCCCCTAGGCTCTGAGAATACAGGAATAAACTAGGTAGACAACAGACCCTGTCCCTTTGCCTGCTGGGATTATCAGCCTTGCTTAACTGCAAGGCTTAACAGAGGTTTCAGCTGCAATTTTTTTTTTTTTTTTTTGAGATGGAGTCCTGCTTTGTCACCCAGGCTGGAGTGCAGCGGCACAATCTCGGCTCACTGAAACCTCTGTCTCCTGGGTTCAAGAGATTCTCCTGCCTTAGCCTTCTGTGTAGCTGGGATTACAGGTGTGTGCCACTTACCCCGGCTAATTTTGTATTTTTAGTAGAGATAGGTTTTCACCATGTTGGCCAGGCTGGTCTTGAACTCCTAACCTCAAGTAGTCCACCCACCTCGGCCTCCCAAAGTGCTGGATTCAGGTGTGAGCCGCCACACCTGGCTTCGGCTACAAATCTTAGTGAGTAGACTCAATCTCTCTCAGAAGTCCATTGCACAGGATGACTCAGTTGTTTCTGAGTTTTCCCAGAGATTTTGTTAGAAGTGCTCAAGACTAGATCCACTTATGATCTTGTGCTTGGGTCTCCTTTTCACTGCCCAGTCCATCGAGGGCAAGGCCAACCAGCTACCCTGATAAGGGCACAGCTCCCCTGGCTTCTGTAGTGCCCCTACAGCTCTACCAGTCTCTGCAGCAAAGTTGCCCCATGGTGGAACACAAGTGGGAAAGAACTTTCCTCTGCCTAAAATAATGTCACAATTCGTCACTTGAGCTTGAAGCTGCACAAAGACAGCCCCTTTTGCTTCTGCCTACTACCCTTTTTTGCTAAGATACTTGACTACCTCTAGGATCTGGCTGAGGAAAAGACACCTAACATTATTGAGTGCCCACATGTGCCAGGCACTGTTCTAAGTACTTTAAAGATATTAATTCATTCAATTCTCAAAACAGCACACGCTGGGGCAGGGGAGAACACTATTCTTTCCTATTTTAGAGATGAGAAAAGAAGGATCTGATGTACTAGTTATCTATCACCATACAACAAATCATCAAACACTTAATGGCTTAAACAACTTCACATTTTCTGTGAATCAGGGCATGGCTTAGTGGGGGCCTCTGTTTTAAGGTTTCTCACAAAGCTGCAATTCAAGGTGTTGGCTAGGGCGAGGGTCTCATTTGAAGGCTTGATAGAGAAAGGATCTGCTTCCATATTCATGTAGGTGGTTGTTGGCAGGATTCAGTTCCTTTGGGATATTGAATTGATGGCCTGGATTCCTAACTGATGGTTGACAGTGAATATCCTCAGTTCCATGCCATGTGGGCCTCCCCAACATGACAACTTGTTTCATAAAAGCCAGCAAGAGGGAGAGTCTGCTAGCATGACAAAAGTCAGAATCTTTCGTAGACATGAAAGTGATATCCTAACACCTTTGACATATTTAATTGGTTAAAAAGCAAGTTATAGCTCTTGTCCTCATTCGAGAGATTATGTGTGAACAGTAGGAGACATGGATGTTTGGGGGCCATCTGAGAGTCTTTCTCCCAGACAGAAAGGTTAAATAATTTACCAAGAATTAGGAGTCAGCATTTAAGCATAGGAAATCTACCTCCAGAGGAAAATGAGACTCAAATGGTTTGGAAACCAGGCTAGGCACAGAAATAAATACAAATTTCTGTTTTATCACCTTTTGGATGAGTCACTAAAACAAGGGTGATAAAGCTGTAGGCTTTTTTGTGGTAGATTTTTTTCCCCATGCAGGGTTTTTAAAAAATTTGAAAACCGCATTATGTGGTTTCACATAGTTATATGAATTTCCAGGAGCTTTAAAAATAATCAGAAAATATGTTGCCACCATTTCTTCCATTCACATGTGGCACCAGCTATTAGACTAGAGCTAAGTAACAACTCAGTAACAATGTGCTTGCCTGATCCCAACAACCTCTTTTGAGCCCTCTTCTTGTTACCAGCATGGCATTTATATGAAGGCATTTGACTTTGCTACAAATGCAATTGAATAGAGAATATAGTAGAACTGAGAACTAAATAGTGAGCCCATTTATGGGGTAAATTAGAAGTGGTTTCTCCCAGATATTTAATCTATACCAAATTTCTTCGAATAATGAGAAATGTATACATAGATATTAAACATTATCTAAAAATGTACTATCAGAAAGTGCTGTTTGCTTAGCAAAGTCACATATGTATTTGTAGACAACTGATCTGAAAGGACATCTAAGAGATGTCCTCTCTTAGATGTCCTCTCATCTAAGAGATGAGAGAAGGCTACCTAAACATCTGCTTAAGCACAGACTAGTACCCATAAGTGCTAGCTTCCCGAAATGCAAATACCACACCTTTGAGGTACAACCTTTCAGGGAATGGGATTTTTCATTTGTTTCTTTATTTGTTTAATGAGCATATATTCTGTATGCTAGACACTATATTAAGAAATCTAATTGTAATAACTCAAACTGTGAAACACTGAAATGCACATGATAATTTCAACAATGTCTTATAGCAAGTCTGTGGTGTACAGGAACAAAACCTTGGTCTTCTGCTTTTCTAATATTCCAGGCTGCCTTGGTTCAAATTCTCTTGATAATTTATATAAAATTGCAAGGTTGACTTTGGGTTATGAATATTAGCCTTGGCAGGCTGCTTCCAAATTATCATATAATTGTATGTTAATTATCATATTCCTCATACTTCAAATGAATTTATATAGGAAATATAATTATAGCTACTAGATTCTAGACTCTGGGAATTAGGTGATTCAAACCGGCTCTTTCTCTCTTGCAATCCCGTAGGAGCATATCATAAAAGAGGAATGGTATTTCCCACCACAGTCCCAGCTGGTAATTCTGATTGTCCCATGATTTCACAGCTGCAAATCAGCCCCCACCCAATCACACTTGTCTCTGGCAATGATCCTTTCCTTAATTAGAACATGACTTAGACTTTAGTCCTAACTTATCTGTTGCCTTGGCCCTGGGCTACCTGAGTACAGGCTGGTTTAGTTGGAAAAGAAAACCTACTTGAACATAGGTCTGTTTGACCTAACATTGAACAAAGGGAAGAGCCATTTGTCTGGCTGAATTTACTTTATTTAGCAACTGAATTTATTTTCTTTGACAACTTCTCTCTCTTACAGTCTAGTCTTGTGTCTAGGCTTTGTATTTGTGGTGTCATTTTTGTAGTTCTTATTCCTTCCTCAACTTGGGTATAGCCTCTAGAAAAAGCCACTAGGTCTTGTCCAAGCCTGTATGTGACAGCATGTGGGGTGTGATGTGAGGAACAAGCAAGGCTTTCCTCTAAGGTAGCAGGTAGGTCAAACCTAATATTGCCCTTTCCTCCTTTTTTTAAAAAACCTTAAATTTCCAGGGTCCCCGTCACTTCTCTTGAGTGGCTAAGTCACACAGATGAGAGCTTTCCTCTAAAAGTCTATGTCAAAATACATGTATATTAGAGAGGAGGGCATATTTAAAGAAACTTGTGATTTCTGGCATTCTTTCTGCTCACCTTACACTTTGATACATTCTCTTGGAAAGGCACCAATAGAAGGTAAATAGAAGATACACAGAAAATGAGGATGGGGTGAAATGACAGGAAAAGTAAACATTTTATTTTTCAAATGACAAATATTCATTAAGCATCTACAATGTACATGGTAGTATACTAGATAGTTGGGGAACATATTAAAGTGATGCAAAATCTGCTCCCATGAATTTGGGAGATAATCTGTGAGCCAATATCTACATGTGAATCTATATGTTTCACATATAGATTTGTGAAAAAGGTAACAGTGCCATTTGGTACATGTAAAAGTGCTCAAAACAGATAGTATTTGCTACAGAGTCCTCTCAGAGAGGACATGGTATTAGAGCTGTATAGTTAAGAAGGAGGAATCTCAGATTTATTATTATACTGTATAATCACAGGTGGCTTGGAATTGGACTGTGCATAGTGTTTGGTAGAGAAAAGAAGGAAACAAATCAGGCTACAATGAAAGATTTACTTTGAGCAACTGCAGACAGGAGTTGAGACTGTATCTCATGGGCTCTAGATAGCCATCTGCTATGGTCTGAATGGTTTTGTCCCCTTCTCAAAAATTCATGTTGAAACTTAACCCCAATGCAACAGTGTTGGAAAGTATGGCCTTTGGGAGGTGACTGAGTTTTAAGAGCTCTGCCCTAATGAATGGGATTAGATGCCCTTATAAGAGGGCTGGGCAAAGGGAATTTGACTTTTGTCCCTTCAACTTCTGCTATAAGGACAGAGCTTTCCTCCTCTCCAGAGGAAGAGGTGTTCAAGGTGCTATCTTAGAAGCACAGATGGGATGTTTACCAGACAACCAAATCTGCCCATGCCTTGATCTTGAACTTCCCAGCCTCCAGAATTGTGAGAAAATAAATTTTTCTTCTTTATAATTATAGTTTCTTGTAATTTATAATTACCCAGTCTGTAATATTTTGTTATAGCAGCATAAACAGACTGTGACAGTTAATACTGAGTGTCAACTTGATTGGCTTGAAGGATGTAAAGTATTGATCATAGGTGTGTCTGTGAGGGTGCTGCCAAAGGAGATTAACATTTGAGTCAGTGGGCTGGGAAAGGCAGACCCACCCTTAATCTAGGTGGGCACCATCTAATCAGCTGCCAGTACAGTTAGGATATAAAGCAGGCAGAAAAACATGAAAAGGCTAGACTGGCCTAGCCTCCCAGCCTACATCTTTCTCCTATGCTGGATGCTTTCTGCCCTTGAACATCAGACTCCAAGTTCTTCAGTTTTGGAACTCAAACTGGCTCTCCTTGTTCCTCAGCTTGCAGATGGCCTATTGTGGGACCTTGTGATCGTGTGAGTTAATACTTAATAAACTCCCTTTTATGTGTATCTATCCTATTAGTTCTGTCCCTCTAGAGAACCCTAATACACATACTAAAACATCATCCCAGCCAGGTGAATATAAAAATAACAAGATAAAATGGGTGTCTTAGGAAGAATTGTGTTGATAGGGGATTTGAGATAGGAGATACTGCAGGAGAAAGGACTGGTTAGGCAACAGCAGACATCCAAATTTGTTTAAGACAGTAATGTTAAAAAAAAAAAAAAAAACTTCAGCCAAATTAAATTTAAAGGAGTTTGAGCAACGAACAATTCACGCATCAGGCAGCCTCCTGAGCCAGAGTAGGCTTTGAGACTCCAGCGCAGCCACATGGTGGAAGATGATTTAGGACAGAAGAAGGAAAGCGACATACAGAAAACGGAACTGAGGTACAGAAACAGCTGGATTGGTTACAGGTTGGGGTTTGCCTTATTTGAACAAGGTTCGAACAACTGGCTACATTTGATTGGCCAAACTCAATGATTGACAGAAGTGTGGGCTATGGTCTGTTTACTCCTCCACTTATTATAGTTCACGGTGTACACAGAAACCTTTAGGCTGAACGTAAAATATGTAAGGAGGCTGCTTTAGGCTAAACTTGATTTAACAGTAACTAGGGATGAAGGTGAAAGAAAAAAAGGATTTTAAATAATTGTCTGGACATGGAAAATTATTGAGATGAAGGGACAAAGAAGACAATGAGGTTTCCAACCTGAATGACTCAACTTCAGGCGAGTGAGGGTGACCTAGTGTCAGCTAGGTGACTTAGTAAAAGGTAAAGCCCCAGATCTCAATAAGTATAATTAGAGATTCACAGAATTTTAAAGCTGGAAAGGGCTCTAGAGATAATCTATTTTAGATCCTTTATAAGAGGACAGCTAAAGCAAAACAAAGGTCTGTGACTCAATCCAGGACAGTGAGCATTGAGCGGGGCTATAGTGTAGCAGCACCTACATCCTCTCCCACTGGGCCATCCTGCCTGTTTCCCCATCCTGACCATGTAGCTCTCTGGACAGTGGCTCTCAAGGTCTGAACCGAGGACCAGAGCCTGTCTACAGCCAAATCAGGCAAAATAAGGGGAACAGATAATTTTTCAAAAAGTTAATCATTTAAGGAATCAACCTTTACTCTGTAATCTAAGTTCCTAACTCAGTTTTTGTTTTGTTTTGTTTAATTTACGGATCTGAAAAACCCACAGGCTTTCTCTGTAGGATAGCAAATTATGTGTGAGCTCTCTTTCCCAAAGCACAACAGCAAGGGGTAAAGATGCAGCCACAAAAAGGATGACAACAGTGTTTTCCTGGCTCTGCCCCCATCCCCACTGCCAGGATTACAACCATCTTTCCTTTGTTGTAATTCTCTTGCGACGGGGTGGGCAGGAGTCCCCGACAGAGGGGTGGGGGCGGGTGAGCGGCTCCCAACACCCAGAGCTCGGAATCACTGTCCCTCGGCCGTAGACCAAGGCTTGGTGGTGGTAGCGGGGGCGTGGACATCCATCCATTCTTTGATACAGCCCTGTGGGATTTCTTTACTCCCCAGTCATATGTAAGGTACACTGCAAAAGCGGCTTCAAGTCCCCTCCCCAGCTAATTACCTTCGCGGAATGACGCCTCGGCCCCTCACAGAAGCAGACCCTGGTGGGCTGTCCCGTCCGGGCTCCAGAGAGGCTCCGCCGCCCGCCGGGATCCAGGGCTGAGCTCTCCCGGGGGGAGGTAAAACCCGACAGGGGATAACGGGTCACAGCACCGTCCTGGCACTAAGTCACGGGACTTGGGCACGCTGAGTTAGCCGGCGGGAAGGCCTGTGGCGGCAATCACCAAAGGTCGAGCAAGGGCGCACCCATTTCCTCCAAAAATGAGCTAAAGGGAAAGCAGTGCCCCAGAGTCAAGGGATCGGGGCTGCTGCTCCTTCGACTAGCGGCGCGAACAAGTCATGCTACTTGGGCCTGTTTCCTCAACTGTAAAATGAGGGGTCTAGGATTCCCTCTGGGAATGTACGATTCTAAAATCGAACAGGGTTTGGTAGCACCGCCGGGGCGGAGCCTTACGGGGCGCCGCGGGAATCCAACGACAGGACTCGCCACAGTGGGAGCTCTCTCCAGACCCTACTCTAGCCACGACGCTGCGGGGTCAGAGGGCGGCGTGCGCGTCCCCGCCGGGACTGCGTGCGCGTCCCCGCCCAGCTGTCGGCAGAAGCCGGGCCGGGTGGGCGGGGCGCAGCGGGGCGGGGCGCGCGAGGAGGGTGGCTGCCTCTGGAGCAGGCCGGGAGAAGAGAAAAGGCGGCGGCCCGGCTGGGGAAGAGGGGCGGAGGAGGCGGTTCGGACGGCTGTGTGGGGTACGGAGCGTCGCCGGGACAGAGCGGAGCAGCTGGGCACGGCGTCCAGGGCAGCTAGGGCCTGGGCCGCGGTTCGGCCGCGCCGGCCGGTGAGTGACGGGAGGCCCGCAGGGGAGGCCGGCGCCGTCCGCGCTGCGGCGGGGACGAAGGCAGCGGCCGGGCAGTTTGAGGCCGCGGCCGGGACCGAGGCGCTGGCGCTGGCGGCCGTGGGGTTGACGGGCCCGGCCTGGAGCAGAGGAAAGGCGGCTGACCCCGGTCCATGCGCGTCCCGGGTCGGCCGTCCGGGCGCCCTGAGAGGGCGTCCGCCGCGCTCGTGTCCTCGCCGGGCCGCATGCCGGGCCAGCCGTTGAGGTCAGCAAATGGCGACTTAAGCCTCGAGGGCACCGACCTCCGTGTCCCCCCCAGTTTGTGTGTCTTTGTATTGGGAAGGGACGAAGGAGGAGTTAAACTTAGGGAACCCTAAGCTTCTCGTTCCGTCTGGTTTTTAGAAACTTGGGTTATTTGGGGACAAATGGCTTAAAGTAAGACTGGGGAGGCATCATCCACTGTCTGCACGGGATGAGCAAAGTTGGTAACTTTGCCATTCATGGAAGTGAGAGGATCTTAGCCTTAGCCTCGGTCCTTATTAAAGGGGAACTTCCTTATTTTGCAGACCTGAGGTTATTTGTGTTGTTCCAAGACCTGCGCCTTGGAACTCCTTTGCTTGGAAGGGGTTTATAGAGCGCGTGCTGAATTCAAAGTAATCTGCCAGTATGTTTTTAACGGGTATATTTGGGAGTATAGAGGCAAAGAGGCAAAACAGTATGTGTTTACCAATGTCCTAGTACTCCATTTCCCTCTCCCTTTCTCTTGTTTTTCTTATTGAGCCCTGTTGTAAGTCCCAGATAAAAGATGCTTGGGAACGAATTGACCTTTTATTCCATGATTACTTCGTTGACTCTGATCCAAGATGAAGTTATTTATGGGCATTCTGATATCGGTGTAGATTAATTTAAAATCTTTTAATACAAAATCCCAAACTTTTTAAATTTTAATTTCCATTTGCTAAATTTCAATACTGTTTGTTCTTTAGAGACCTATGGAAATTATATTAACAGGTTTTGCATTTGCTCATACTAAGGTTTTCCAAAGCAGTCCAATTGTTGACATGGCAAAAGGAAAAGAGTAGCATAAAATAAACCTTTAGGATTTTTCAGAGGGTTAGATTTCAATATGCGGTTTCCGCTGAATCACTCTTCTTCATGCTTAGTCACTGTTTCTCATCACAAAAGTTTAATTGGGGATAACATGGTGTTTTGCTGACTTTTTAAATTGCCAATTTGTTTTTACCTAGCACTTTAATGCCGTGACGTAACTTTTTTTTTTTTTTTTAATTCTGGAAATGGTGGAGTTTCGTGAATGCTGTAAGAGAACTGAAGTTTCGAATATAGGCAAACTTTAATGTATACCAAGTGTACTAGGTATTTAATTTCAATCCAGTATTTCTCCCGGTCTAGCATTGGGAGACTTCTTCTAAAAAGTGTCCTAATATATCATTAAAAAGCAATATTATATAAGTAATGCTAACGTGTATAGAGAGGTACTTTAAGGTCACCAAAATAGGCATTGGTTAATGCTTACTGTTTGATATAACATGTTTCTAAGATGTGAATATTTTAATGGATAAGCGCTATGCTATTCTGTATGATTTTGGATAAATATTTTAATTCAGTTCCTAAGACTGCTTATTTGATAGAAGGAGTTAGTACATATTATGGAATGTCATTGTATTTGTAGAATTTTTTGACATAAAACAATTGAGTCAAAGGCTGTATAAAATATAAATTCAAATTCAGTGTGATGAAATAGAGGAGATTGGCCTTAGACAAGTTGCTTCTATATTTTAGGTAGCTAGATGTTAGATACAGACAAGCGGATCAGTTAAAACCCAGTCTGTGAAAATCTTTTTTTTAAAGAATGAGTAATGTTATTACTAGGTAGTTCTTCATATGATTGCATTTAATTAATGATCTCATAAAAATAATTACACGTAAAATTTTTGTGTATATAAGTGTGGCTGTTGTGCAAATCGAAGTACATCTGGTTTCTGAGAACTACATGTTTATATCCTATTGGACACACACATAATTGTAAACAATCTTTGTAAAGTTCTAGATTGTTTCCAGAGTAAAGTAATTGCCTCAAGGTCACTAAGCTGAGACTCTTTGGAAGCCCATTCCCTCATGTCATGTTACCTGTTTTAATAAACTGAGTTCTACCGTTTGGGTGGATTATTTTTATCTGAGTATCAACTCAAATAGGTTCTAGTCCGAGTATTAAATATTTATTAATACTATTTCAATTTCCCATGTAAGTCTGTGATTTCATTTACTTATTTAGTGGAGAACGTTGCAAGTAGTTAGATTTCGCTTTGGAATAAGCTACTCATGACCATGACTCTATTTAGAAATGAAAGATATATGTTTTGATATATTTTATCTGGAACAATAAAACATGAAAAAAGTCCATATAATTAGGTCATCCATTTTATAAATAAAAAGAACGAAAGTTTAATAAAAGAATGTACACATTGTAATCCATTTAGCCATTTGGGACTGGAAGCTAGTGCTTTGAGTTGGGAATTTAAGGATAATGCCTTTTTGATTTTGTCTAACCACCGCCCCCCAACCCCACCTCTTTTTAAACAGTAAGATAAGATGCCTAACTAGGGTATAGATTTATTATGATTTTTAAAGCTGAGTGCACCTGATAAACAGATCAGTCACCAGAGGTACTATGCACTAATACCTCTGGACTTTACAAGGGATGAGATTTGCACTGGAAGAGCTTATAACTGATTGCCAAATTTGAAATTTCATTTGTGGACTTAACTTGTAGAAATGGTTAATTAATTGAACAAATCTGTCTATAGTTTTATATCAGCCTTACATTGGAACAGTATATTACTGTTTTAAGTATATTTTATCTAATACCATGTTAATTGTAATACTAAGCTGTAGGCTGATAGCACTTCCTATTTTAAACTTACTTTTCTCACTCTCTACCCTAATCGGGCACCTTTGCATATGCAGACCTTAATCCCTTCCTTTCTTTTTGAACCCAGTGCTTCTATATTCATTATTTTTCCAGTAATTGATCTGCAGGGTTGATGAGGGAATTAAAATAGTGGAAAAATATAAGGTAAATGCTTCCTCCTATGTTTCTCATATTACTATTTAAGATTTTAAAACAGTGGAAGGTTGAAACTGACTTTCTTTGATTTGCTTTTTTTGATAGATGATTCGTCCTACTCCATATATAATGCCTGGAACATATTACTTATGTGCTTAACATGTGTTTGAGCACCATTGACTTTTTATGGCCAATACAATGAAGTAATTTTGATTCAGTTTGATTGATGCCAGATCTGTAAGGTATTTTTATGTGGAATATGTAGTTTTCTGTGAAATGAAGAATCTCATTTGTCCATTTCATTATTTTCTTATATTATAATTCTTCGTATATTTAATACAAATGAGTCTCTAATTGAGGCAGAATTTTGAATGTAGGGAACATAAGAATGAATGAGACTGAGATGATTCTGACTTTCATGGAGCTTATAGCTTTCCTGTGGAAATAGATATTATACAGAATGATGACTTACTTAGAGTTGTCACTAGTATTACCAAGGAAAAAGACAGTATGTAATGAGTACACACAATATGGGATCCATTACCTTGTCTTTGGAGTATGTGGAAAAGTAACAGGTAAGCCAAGACTTAGGGTTGAGGCAGCAGGGGCGTGTGGGGAGGAAAAGGGATGTGTGTCTGTGTCTGTGTGTTAGAGGTAGAGGCAGACATTAGGAACAGCCTGGAGGCAGCAGGTTATTTTGAATACATTAGATGACTCTTATATTTTAAAATCATGCTAATTTGCACTTCTTTATATTTACTTACCTCCTTATGTATTTTAATGAATTTTTTAAAAATGCTTTTTTGAGGGCAATATATTTATGCCTTTAATGACAAGATCTCATTTCATTATATGGGAAAATGCCATGTCTTAGAACTATTTTAATGAATTGCTTGTCAGCCACAGAGTATGAGTTGGCAAAGAACTTCTCTCAGAGAAAATTGAAAGAATTGAAAACATTTGATGATTTACTAATATTTTCTGGTCCAGCGAAACTTTTCCAACAATTTAAATTCAAATATAAATTATTAGAGATGTTAGTTGTTTTCTACTGTGCCTACTGTGTCACTGTTAACTGATAAATAAGAGATTGATGTTTTTAAACCTGTTTTACAGGATTTACAAGCAATTGCAAAATACTTTATAAAGGCATGTTTAATTTGATAGTAGTGGTCTTGATTAGGAAGAGGATGAATCTAGGAGAGTTTTAAATTCTGAAGCTGAGGATTCTATTCCCAGAATACTCTTGAGTATTGACTACTATATTTTCTTAACTTTTTTCTTAATATAGTTAATAGGAAAATGGAATTGAAATTCACTCCTCATTTGTATGGCTATTTTAATAATTGTTAAATTTAGTAATATAATGTTCCATACACTTATACTGAGCATTATCTATGTAAATTATTCTTCAAATAATTTAAAACATATATATTCAAAGCAGAGTAAAATGCTATTATAATTGGAAGGGACCAAAAGACTTTCTTGACCACAGGAGTGATTAAGTGTTGGGATAAACTACAAGCAAAGTTGTGTAATCTCCATTCTTCACATAACATCTTAACATTGGATCACCAGTTACAGAAGTGCTGCCTAAGTTTTTTAAACTTTTATAAGTAAACATACCTGTTATTGTCCATGGATGTTGATCAGACGTGGAGCTAGAACATACAGTCCTAGCTCTGCCACTTACTAGGTAGATGACCTTGGGCAGATCACTTGCTCTTTCTGAACCTCAGTTTCCTCCAGGTTGTTATAAAGATGTGTAAAGAAGGATAAAATAGGTACATAATTACTGTTCTCTCTTCCTTCTAAGTCTACTTCAGAAAATAATAAATGTTATGAACTTGTTGCTATGGATGCTTTTTTGAAACCTTATTCAAAGGGGGATGGGTAGTGTAAAAGAGACTATTTGTTTGAAGCTTGACTACTTTCCTTCTACCTTTGAAAATTATTGCTGTTTTTGCTTTTAACTCAGACCCTGTTGCAAGCAGTTGCTATTTTAAGCACTTTTGAATTAAGTGATGTTTTTAAGATATGTTTTGCCTGGTGATGTCATGTGATGGTGTGTACAGTAACATAAAGTGTCCCTAAAACTTCTGAGAGCACTGGTTACTTCTGGTGAAACTGCTTGTATTTTTAGGTTTCTCCCTTAGTAACAGTCAAGCTTGTAACCTTCAGCATGTGAGATCAACTCAGTCTAGTTCCTGCAAAATAAGAAAGCTACAGCTGTTTTCACAGTCTAATCACTCAGTAAGATTTGTCATAATTCTTAATAAAGTTTTTCTTTAAATGTCTGGTTAATTTACAAATGTTTGTTATTAGTCTTTTATTTCTATATGACTATTTTAGTATGTCTATTTATATATTTCTATACTTATGTCTAAAATTCATGAAGATAAACATTTAAAAGTATTCAACTCATAATTTGTAGTTTTTAACACAATTAAAAAATATAGGTTTGGCGTTGAATATATACCTTGTCTTTTCTTTGACATCATTGAACACCATAATATCAACTCGGAACTTTTCTACTGAATCAAGAAAAGCTCTGTTGATGATGATTCAGGTACACTTTTGTTATTTTAGTTTGAGAAAACTCATACCTCAACTGGAGAAAAAGATAATAGCAATTGAGGAGTGATTAATTAGTTACCTGGAGCCAAGATAGATTTTATGGAAAAATATGTCAGAGAGTTAATAATCTCTTACGCACTGAGGTGAAGAAAACAGGATAAGAATCACCTTCCTATCCAGAAAATTCTTGTCTACTACAATGTAATTTAATTTTGGAAATGTTGAACTGAGTTGCCTGTGCCATATACAAGTAGAAATATATCATAAGTAATCCATTGTAGAGAGTGAAGAGGAGTTTGAAAGAGGAATCTGGGCAGCATGTATAGACGGATTTTCAGCTTATGTATGGTAATTGAAACTTTTGGAGAAAATGAGAGCACCCAGGGAGAATGTACAGAATAAGCAAAAAATGACACAAGCCCTGAAGAAATGCAATATTTAAATAATTATTATTGAGTAATAGTTAAGAAGACTAAGGGTAGGAGAAAGACTGGAGTGACATCATGAAAAGTAAGAGGATGTAATAGTCCTAAAATAAGGGATTAGTCATCATCAGGATACAATGGCCAAGGAAGATGGGGTCTAGAAAAATATGCCTCCAGATTTAGTATTGAGGTTCTCAGCAGAGCAGTTTTAATAGGGGTAGTAAAAATGGGGCCAGAATAGAGAGTTAAAGAATATATAGGAAATTAGACGTTTTTTTTTGGTGGTTTTCAGTTTTTCTTTTGAAAGTTTGACTGGATAAGAAAAAAAAAATGGTGGTAAAGGGGGGATATTATGTTATTATTTCAATTATTATTATTATTTTTTGAGACAGAGCCTCACTCTGTCACCCAGGCTGGAATGCAGGGGTGCACAGTCATGGCTTACTGCAGCCTCAATCTCCTGGGCTCATTTGAGCCTCCTGCCTTGGCCTCCCAAGTAGTTGGGACTACAGGTGCATGTCACTATGCCTGGCTAATTTTTTTGTTTTTATTTTGTAGAGACAGGGTCTTGCTATGTTGTCCAGGCTGGTCTTGAACTCCAGGCCTCAAATGACCCTCCTATGTTGGCCTCCCAAAGTGCTGGGATTACAGGTTTGAGCCACCGTGACTATTATTTTAGTTTTTAAAGGTTAAATAATCTTTTAAAGTTTTTATTGCTAATAGGAAACACACCAGTAAAGAAGTTGATTATACTAAAAATACATTGAATAGGCTCAATAATTATAATTAAGTCAATATATTATGGTTAGACTTTTATTTTTCATATAAAACTTTTCTTTATAAAGGTTATGATGGAAATTTTAAAGCAGGGAAGACCATTAGACATCTATAATCCATTCATGTTATTTTATAGAACTATTTCTCTGCTTAAAATTCTCAGTGACTTCCAGTTGTAAAAGTGTGAACTCTTTGGAGCAGCATAAAGCACTCATCATGATTTGCCTTATTCCTTTCTGACCTCATCTCTTACAGATACCTGGCATTTTCCCCTGTGATCCAACAATACTAGGGAACTTGAGGTTTTGCTAATTCATGCTTTTCTGTATTTGCATATGCTATTACTTCTGCATTGAATGCCTCTCTTTCTTACCAGTTTACCGTCCCATACTTAAGACTTCTCTTTCAAGACTACTGTGATTTATTCTCTAATCCCTACTCATATTGATTATTATCTTCTCTATTGGTACCATTTTACTTCTGTCAAATTGACCACATAAAAACGAGATACACTTTTTACTGTCTTTGACATCCTGCTGTAGCTTTTTGAGAGGAGGCACTGTGACTTGCTAATCTTTATATTGCCACACCAAACACAGTGCATGGTCCATGATAGTTAAACAATAAATAGGCATTTAATGAATGAATGTGGCCCTCAAAAGTAAGTTATTTGCCCACAGCCACAGAGCTTGAGCTTGAACTTTTATTTTCTGGATAAATTCCTTGTATGTTCTAATTAAGACTTACTTAATTTGTGGCAGAATTTATTAAGGCATATATAGAAGGAGAGATCAATAGATGAAATCTTAAATGAATTCATTTAGAAGGAATAAAAAAAGACTTCTAAGAAAGTTTTAAATATATTCATGAAATTCATATTGTTCTTTTAGTAATACAAGATCTCTGAAATGTGGGGTACAATCAAAATCAGTTTAGTTGAAATTAGAAAGGTAAAAGTGAAAAACACTCTGAAATCTAAAATACACATTAACTTGTTTTTAACATTAAATAATACACAGTATTAGAATTTAAATAGTATATTTTGAAACTTTTGCCCTTTTAGGCATATTGTTATATAGTATATAAAAATGAACCGTTATGACATTCTACAGTATTGAATTGTTACTAGAATGTAAGTGCTTACATCCTTTCAAGACATTGATTATATGTAAAATTAACTGGTTAAGTATGTTTATTTTATATATGTCATCCTAAAATAAACCAAGATATTAGATAAATTAGTGATTTAATTATTAAACAATTTTGAAAAATCAACCATTTTTTGGCTAATTTCTTATCTTTTTCCATTTCATCAACCAGAGCTGGACTGGCCATTATGGAGGAGGAGCTGCAGCATTCCCATTGTGTGAATTGTGTCAGTAGACGGTGCATGACCAGGCCAGAGCCAGGGATTTCCTGTGATTTGATTGGTTGTCCATTGGTTTGTGGTGCAGTTTTCCATTCTTGTAAAGCTGATGAGCATCGACTTTTATGTCCATTTGAACGAGTGCCTTGCTTAAATAGTGACTTTGGATGTCCATTTACCATGGCCCGAAATAAAGTTGCTGAACATCTAGAAATGTGTCCTGCAAGTGTGGTGTGCTGTACTATGGAATGGAATCGATGGCCAGTTAGTTATGCAGACCGGAAATCATATGAAAATCTAAGCAGAGATGTCGATGAAGTGGCACAATTGGATATGGCCTTGGCTCTTCAAGACCAAAGGATGCTCTTAGAATCCCTCAAAGTAGCCACCATGATGTCAAAAGCAACTGATAAAGTATCCAAACCTAGAGAACAAATCTCAGTTAAATCAAGTGTCCCAGAAATACCACATGCTAATGGTTTAGTGTCTGTTGATGAAGAATCTTATGGTGCACTTTATCAAGCTACTGTAGAAACAACCAGAAGTTTGGCTGCTGCTTTGGATATCCTGAATACTGCTACAAGAGACATTGGCATGTTAAATACAAGTGTCCCAAATGACATGGATGAACAGCAAAATGCGAGAGAAAGCTTAGAGGATCAAAACTTGAAAGACCAAGATCATCTTTATGAGGAGGAAATAGGAGCAGTAGGTGGAATTGACTACAATGACACAAATCAGAATGCCCAGTCTGAACAAAATGGTTCAAGTGATTTATTATGTGACTTGAATACAAGTTCTTATGACACTTCTGCTCTTTGTAATGGCTTTCCTTTGGAAAATATATGTACCCAGGTCATAGACCAGAATCAGAATTTACATGGTGATTCAAAACAAAGTAACTTAACAAATGGAGACTGTGTGGCATCATCAGATGGCACTTCAAAACCTTCCAGCTCACTTGCGGTGGCAGCACAACTTAGGGAAATAATACCATCCAGTGCTTTGCCTAATGGCACAGTTCAGCATATCCTCATGCCAGATGATGAAGGTGAAGGTGAATTGTGTTGGAAAAAAGTAGACTTAGGGGACGTGAAGAATGTGGATGTCTTATCTTTCAGTCATGCTCCTTCATTCAATTTTCTTTCTAATTCATGTTGGTCTAAACCAAAGGAAGATAAAGCAGTAGATACATCAGATTTGGAAGTTGCAGAAGATCCTATGGGCCTCCAAGGAATAGATCTGATCACAGCAGCATTGCTTTTTTGTCTAGGAGATTCTCCAGGAGGGAGGGGTATATCTGATAGCCGCATGGCTGATATTTATCACATTGACGTTGGGACTCAGACTTTTTCACTTCCATCTGCAATATTAGCTACAAGTACAATGGTTGGGGAGATAGCTTCAGCTTCAGCTTGTGATCATGCCAATCCACAGCTTTCAAATCCAAGTCCGTTTCAGACACTTGGGCTGGATTTAGTATTGGAATGTGTCGCTAGGTACCAACCCAAGCAGCGTTCAATGTTTACCTTTGTGTGTGGACAGTTATTTAGAAGGAAAGAATTTTCTTCCCACTTTAAGAATGTGCATGGTGACATTCATGCTGGACTCAATGGCTGGATGGAACAGAGGTGCCCTTTAGCTTACTATGGTTGTACCTATTCTCAGCGTAGATTTTGTCCATCAATACAAGGAGCAAAGATTATACATGACCGCCATTTGAGGTCATTTGGAGTTCAGCCATGTGTATCTACAGTATTAGTGGAGCCTGCTAGAAACTGTGTGTTGGGATTACATAATGACCATCTAAGTAGTCTTCCTTTTGAGGTCCTGCAGCATATTGCAGGCTTTCTCGATGGCTTCAGCTTATGTCAGCTCTCATGTGTATCCAAGTTAATGAGGGATGTGTGTGGCAGCCTGCTTCAGTCTCGTGGCATGGTCATACTGCAGTGGGGGAAAAGGAAGTATCCAGAAGGAAATTCATCATGGCAGATAAAAGAAAAGGTTAGTGTAATCTTTACAACCTCTTATTTGACATAAAGAGGACTTTAATAATACTGCTGAATTAATACAATTAATATCTTGTTGAGAAATTGACCATTCCCTAAAACTTACTAAATCAGTGTGATGACAGACTTTTTCTTAATGGTAATTAATAATGAACTAGGATAGTTAGAATTGTTTGCCATAATTGTAGGTTTACTACTGATTTCCTAGAACTAGATTATAATCTAATATGGCAGAGACCACTTACGTTTCTCAATTTTTCTATAACAACTCTCTTTGTTTGGGTCCATGTTACCATCTTCTAATTTGGACTCCATCTGAAAAATGTGCACCATAAGATAATGGAGGAAGCAAGAAGAGGGTTTTTTTCCTGCTTGTAATTGTCTCTCCATTCTATGGCAATTTTGTTCCTACGATTTGGTTGTTTCAGGTACAACCTAAATAGCAAGAGATGAGAATAAGTTACAACTACTACTGTGGTCATATATTAAAGTGACCAGAGGAGTATATGATATGGGGAATAAGGAACATAAATGGATGAATGAGGAGATGCTTTAGGCCGCTGTGAGAACAGAGTAGGGCAGTAGGATTTGATATTTTGGGTGGGGACTCTGGGTTTAGTAGAGTCCAAAGGAGTGATGCATATTGTGTTGGAAACTTGAGCTGGAGATTTAGGCAGACCTAAGCAAATCCAAGCTACACCATTTTCCTTCTGTGATACCCTACTTTTGCTCAGCTTCTATTTGGCACTACTCAGTAGGAACTGGAAGGCATTACAGATATCTTTGATTGAAGGTTTTTTTATTTTTGAACACTTATAATATGAAACTTTTACATTTTCTAAAGTGGAAACAATTGTGATAAACTTTACATTTAGTTGCACAGCATTCAAACTCTGGTTACTTTATTCGTAGCACCTTTAGGTTTTCTTGCATTCATTGCACTGATTTTTCAGAATACTACATCCACTTGGTTTCCCTGAGGCCTTGACCGATAAATGATCACACAAATTGTTTCACGATTTTTTTTTCCAAAAGGGAATTTCTGATGGCAGAAAGTTTCTACTGCTTGTGTTTGTGTGTATTTTTGTTTTCCATATGATTTTGTATCTTTTCTTCCCTTTGGGATGGGACAGTCTTAGTATGGCCTCTTTTTATCTTTGCCTACTAGTATTGACATATGGAGTGAAATTTTTGGGGGGATTCTATAATCATTCCTGCAGAAAATCTCACCTACTCTTCAAATTTAACTCGCCATCATTTATATAGATTACTCACACATCTGTATCCTAGCCATTTGCTCCACTGAACTCCCAACCACTATATACAAGCATCTACTGGACATTTCCACTTGATTATCCTATAGCTTTCTCAAACTCAACATATCCAACCTACTCCAGTCCTCCCCCTCTTAGTCTGAGAAAGTGGCACCATCATCACCAAGTTTCCTAAACCAGGAATTTAGGAGTTATGTTGGCTGCTTTTTCTCCCCCCTTTATTTTTATTCAGATAATCATGAAGTCCTGAAACCTCTCAGGTTTGCTTTTCTGTTTCCACTGCCATTTCCCAAGTTCAGTCCCAACTGTAGTTGTCTCCTGGACTACAACAACAGCTTCCTTCTAACTGGGTTCCTACTTCCATTTGGGCCCTTCTCCAATATATTCTCTACACAAGAGCTAATGTGATACATATTTTCTTAAATACAATTCTTACACTGTCACCACAGTGCTTAAAAACTTCCTTAATATTTGTTCATCACCCCTGGATAGAGCCCAGCTCCTTAATAAAACATTTGAGACTTTTCATAATCTCATCTTTATCTTTTCACTTTCCTCCTATCATTTTATACTGTAACCGCATTGATTTACTTACAGTTCCCTGATGTTTTTTCTTGCGTTAAGTCTTTAAAATATGCCATCCCTAATTCTCACACTTGAGCACCTGCAATATGCTACTCAGTGTGCATTAGCACTTTGCTTGTATGAACTTATATAATCCACTGTACCCATTTTACAGACAAAGAAACAGAGGTTAATTAAGCTGGCCAACTAATTGACTTAGGAAGCCGGTTTCTCGATCTTGTGATCTTCATCTTTCTTGCTATGTCCCGCTTACTCTTCAGGTTTTACCTCCTGAAGATAGCTTCTTGGGACCCATAACCTGACAAGTTGTTGCACTGCTTTGTGTTCCTGTGGTGATAAACCTCTACTAAAGCACTCACTGAACTGTTTTGAAATTGATTGATCAATTGTCAGTTTCAGTCACTAGACTGTAAATTCCTTGAGAAGTGGGACTCTCAGGGAACCAAAATACTGCCTTGCATAGTACCTACTATGTAGTAGGCACTGAGTAAATATTTGATGCATACTTGAGTGAAAGATGGATCCATTACTAAGAAACCTTGTCATCAGCAGGTGGGAGTCATACATTTTCTTTTGCCTGCTTTTCCTGAGTTTGTTTCACCAGACTCTCAGTTGTATGGAAGTAGAGAGACTGCCTGTCTCCATTGAATCTTTCAGCTAATTCACCTGCCCAAGCTTAAAGAAAACTCCTAATTCCTTTTGTAGCTTTGTGAGCATGGGGAATGGTAAGGGAGGCTAGTGACATCTATACTATCACTAGGCCTTCACTGACTCCTGGAAAATCACTCCATAAAGGGTAATTGATCATAATCCTAAGGAGTATAGGGGGTACCGTTGTGCTGAACAATGGGGACTTTCTATTGCTAGTTGACAAATAATTGTTTTCCCACATCTAGCCACCCTGAGAAGACATTACCATGCTTTCCTGAGAAGCAATAAATGCTGAGGGTTTTTCTTAAATCTGCCACTTTCTAAAGCAGGGGTGTCCAATCTCTTGGCTTCCCTGGGCCACATTGGTAGAAAAAGAATTGTCTTGGGCCACACATAAAATACACTAACGATAACTGATGAGCTAAAAAACACACACACACACGCACACATACACACACACACACACAAAATCTCATAACGTTTTAAGAAAGTTGACGAATTTGTGTTGGACTGCATTCAGAGCCGTCCTGGGCCACATGCTGCCTACGGGCCCCAGGTTAGACAAGCTTGTTCTAAAGCATCTGCAGTTCAACGTGTGTAAATTGTTCCCTAATTAGACATTTGCCTGTTGATAAACTTAGCAGGCATGGCTAGGCCTGTCCTACCCCATTCATGCTTGTTATCTAGGTCTGTCCTGCTCTGCATTCATGCTTGTTACTTATGTTCAGGTAGCTTTATGTTTCATTTGTAAAGATGAGGGGCTTGGGGCACAGTCTTTTGCTGGACTAATAATTTGACAGTGCTTCAGGGCTTAGAGCAGTTGGGTGGACAAAAAGGGAAGTAGCTAATATTTTTACCTACAGACATGAATAGGGATGGCAGGTAAGTATTTTGCCTAGAAACATGTTTTACAATGATATGGACTAAAATAGGATCCACTTTACAAATATTATTTTTATATAAAATTTCAGAGCCATTTTGAACAAATTGAAGTACTTGAATATCACTAAGTACCTTTAGTACTTGTGAACAGCGGAAAAAGAAACTTACCTTGGCACACAATATTCTAGGGTATTTTTTAGTACTGATATTATAAATAGGAATGGGAGAGAAAAACTTGGAGAAAAAAAATAACACTTGCATTGTCAGTATCTCCAGAGTGTAATTAGTTCTAGATAGCCAATTGGAGAGTATGAAAGAATAGTGTGTAGTATATAATATTTTAGGAAATGGCTCTGAATTTGTGCAGTTTTGATTTTTTAAAAATCATTTAGTAAGCCAGATTGGGTGTGATTTTTAATACTGAGTTTTGTCTTTTATTGTTTTTAGATTTATTGAAGTCATAATGTCATAGAAGTGATTTACCTTGTAAATATTTGACATACATTTATGTCCAAAAGGATTTACCAATTTTTAATTTTATAGCTATTTGAAACTTTATATTGGATGCTTCTATAATAGCAGAAATGTATGCAGTAGGAGCAAAAAGTGTGTTTTGATTCTCTACACATTGACTTGTTTAAATCTAAAGTAGAATTTTCTTGTAGGTATGGCGATTTAGTACTGCATTTTGTTCTGTTAATGAATGGAAATTTGCTGACATCCTAAGCATGGCAGACCACTTGAAGAAATGCAGTTACAATGTTGTCGAGAAACGGGAGGAAGCAATCCCTTTGCCATGTATGTGTGTGACACGAGAACTCACTAAAGAAGGACGTTCACTACGCTCAGTTTTAAAACCTGTACTTTAAAAGTTGTAATATTACTAGCACATATATGCAAGCACCTAGTATAATTTCTTTGTAATATGTGAAACTTTATTAATGTATTAAATATTACAACTAGCTAAATTTATTGTCACTGTGTATATAATGTTTTGAAGTGACATCTATTTTTATAAAGTACTGTTTAGTTGGAAAAAGTTGCCTTAATGTTTGAAATGTGTGAAATTTTTGGAACTTGCTGGACAGGGTGATTTAATTTTTAGCTACATAATTTTAAGAATTAGTATTTTCAGTGGTGTGCATATTTTGGTTCTTAAATTTTTGCTTCTTAAACTAAAAAAATCCTGACCAATTTATTTGTTGTTTTCTGTGGGTTGCGACCCATGCAATCAAAAAGCAAAATTTTGATTGAGATTTTTTACAGCATAGGTTTTTCATATAAAAATATTCTGAATTTGTTAAGCACTGCCATAATATCATTATAATGTTTTTGTCTTTTAGTGCTTCCCTATACAATTGTTAATGCACAAATGATCTCTAATATATACTTACATACGTAAAATCATAAAGTTTGGTAATGCAGTTTATCGTTTTAAAAATAATCCACAAAGATGTTTTTATCTCACATACTTACAACTCAACACACAGAGTGACCATGTGCAGCTTTCTTTTTTGTTAGATGCCACATCCGAAGACTCATCGCAGTGTGTTATATGACAGGACAAAGCAAAAACAAACAAAAAGCAAGCCTGTGAATATAATTTAATTTGAAACTGCTCCTGGTATTATATATTTGCTAGTTATCTAATGTTTTAAAAGAAAATATACCTCATTTAGGTTTGAATTGGGCGTATTGTGTAAATTTCAAATATTCAGAATGCAAAGGGCTTGACTATTAAATGTTTGCCTTTGATGTTTATAAACATTACAACTATGTTGTTTTAAGACATTTAAAAACGTGAAATTTGTTATCTTTGTAAAATGACAATCATGTAGAAACCTGTCTTGGTTGACAATCTCTTTGAAACATTTCCGAGTTAATTTCCCATAGGCTTCACCACCAAGAAAGTAAGAATTGCATCTTTACATAATGATCAAGGTATAATGGAAAAATATACCTATTCTTGAAGTAGTTTATTATAGTTTTCAAATTGATTTATACCATTATTAACCTGATGTGGTCTGCTTAAAAAATGAATATATCAGTATTTAGAAATAAATTGCAAAGGTGGGAATATATACTTAAATAATTTGTCTTAAGTAAATTAGCATTTGGTAGTCTGAAATGGTGACAGATTACTTGTTAAAATTGTGAAAACTCTGTTGTGTCCTCTCTTCCTACATTTGTCCCTGAGAGTACTCCACGATTACTAGGTTCTTGATTCCCTTATATGGCAATCAGGCAGAGGCGTTCCTTAAGCATTAGAGAGTTCTGAAGCTTAAGATTTGTTTTGGTTGGATGAAGTCCTTAGTACAGTTGAAAAACAGAGCATTAAAGACTAATCAATTGTTTTGCCTCACCAGTCATTTTAAATAGTAGAATACTTATTTCTCAGTGCTTAAAATTTCTTTTTCAACTGTGAGATTGAATAAACAGTCTCTATTTCTGTGGAAAAAACAACAGAAAAGAGATATTAAATACCATAAAATGTAACTCTGCCTTTTAAAGTTTTGCTGAAGAATGTGTCTGTGGTTAGGATAGCACAAGCATTAACTTTTGTTTTATAGTTATGCTTTTTAAAATTCATTGTTTTTAAATTTAGACTTCTTATTTCCACACTGGATTATGAGATACTTAACAATTTTTCCACCTTATATTTCTTTTACACATTTTGCTGTTCTCTTTTTTGTTATTGTTATGCCACCATACCATTTTGTTAAAATGTTTTCTTTGTGAAACATTTGTTCAAGTTCTAATAAAATTAATGTTTTCCCTTAACATGGCTCAATAACTTAAAAACGTTCATTTAAATAAAATTTTAATACTTGTTTGACAAATTCCAACACAATCATATTGTTTCTGTAATGTGGATTTTCTGCATGTTATGGTAGTTGTTGATTATCATCATTACTCACCCATGTTTTACTAGTGAACCTTAATTTTTTTAAAATTTGAGACACGCATTAGTTAGCTTTCTCTGATCCTTCAGTGTCTCGAAAGTAATACCACCTAGGTGCACTGAAAGGCGGAAGAGTTTCTAGCATGGTTATAGCTCTAAAAGTTGTCATGGAAACCATCTCTCTCTCCTCTTAAGTATGAAAAGGTTTTTATGTTGGCCTAATAGATTGTACTTTGAGAAGTCATCATTGATTCCTTAGTCTTTGCTAAATAGCAAGGTAAAAGGCAAGCATCGGGATGGAGGGAAGTATTTGAATTCACTTTTGTCCTCTGCCTCCTTCCTCAATACTGCCTGTTAGCTTAATCTTTCTCCCTCTCCCTTTCCCTTCTCCCTCTCTCACTCTTTTTTCTAGATTTTGAGACTCACAGATCTTACAGCAGTGGTTCCTAAAGTGTGGTCCTTGGACCAGCAGGAACATCAACACCTAGGAATTTGTTAGAAATGCAGATTATTAGGCTTCTCTCCAGACTTAGTGAATCAGGAACTCTGGGGTGGGACCCAACAATCTGTTTTAACAAGATCTCTAGGTGATTCTAACGCACAGTAAAGTATTAGAACTTAGAGGGAAGACTGGGTCATGCCAGCTACCCTCTGGTGCATTACTGGAGTGGATATATGTGTGTACCTGTGTGTGTTTGTATAAATATATGTGTAATCCAAAAGTCAGTAATGGTAATTTATTAATGGTTAAACTATATATGTTGTCTCAATTTTACAGCCATATGACAAAATACACTGGGTACTGTAGTTGTTGGACTTGTATTCTTTAAATTAGTATTTACTAGTATTTAAAATTTTACTAAAATTTTACTAGTGTTTCTTCTGTTCAAGGTAAATTGCAGTGCAAATTTTAGTTCATTAGCAGTAACATTTAGCCTAGTCATCTCATTCTCTTGTTTAGTGGTTGTAGAGTCGTGAACATATTCAAATTGTAGGGTAATCAAAGAGTAGAAGTAGACAAATATTGGATTAAATCCTACAAAAAATATTTTTAGGGATCTTTTCAACCCTATCAATAAGATGTTATGAAAGATTGGATCTCTTGTTTACAAGTAGTATAGAATCTTTTTTGATCTTTGACTCTGTGCTGCCTATCTCATCAATGTTGTTGCTATTAATATCTGTCCTTTAACACTGGATGTTGGGATCTTAGTAATGTTGCTGATAATAGGATTTTCAGCAAAACTTCCATATCCCTTGAAGATATGGTAGTTTATATTACTATATCGATAACAGTTTTGCCTGTGGAGATTTGACTAGTTTTAGGTGTTTGGAAGCAAAACAGATTTCTTCATGTTTTGCATCCCAACCTGAAAAGACATGGGGTTTATTAATTTTAAAATTTCCTAAGGAAAAGTTATTCAAATATTTTAAAATGTGTTTGTTTCATGCATGACATGCCACATTGGTGATGTGATTGGAGCTTGCAGAGTTGGTTGTTTAGAAGTGCAGTAGAGAGAAAGCAATTGGCCCTCATTCTCTGGACAGACTTTTGATGGAAAGAATTTCTCTGATAGGTGTTTGACTGGTTATCTAAACGTTGCTGTTAAGTAGTCTTACTTAAGATGCTCATAAGGTCTAGGAAGCAGAGAATATTAGTTATACCTTTATCAACTCATCAGTGACTTGTTTGATGGTGTTTAAGATAATTTAATAATGGGGTTTGACAGGATTTGTCTGATTTCCAAAAAAGCAAAGTTCGAATTCAGAAAAGATCAACTCTAATGAAGTCCTTTCTAAATAAGGGAAAAGGAAAGATGGTTTGCTTTTGAAGTCATCTTTTACATAATTATTTCCCTTTATTTAAAAGATTAAAGTGAGATCAAGAGATAAAACCTTTCAAATTTGAATTTTATGGATGAGAAAATAGGTACTCAAAATTTAGGCAGTGATTAGTGTACTGGGATATTTGAGAGAGAATTATGTCCTTACATAGATCACTTTTTCACTTTACGAATGCAGGAAGAAAAGAGATGTTTAGATGTAAGGAAATTTGGAAAATGTTGCCTAGGATATTTGATTCCTACTGCTTTGGAAAGCATTTTGGAGCAATACCAAAAGGAAACTAACTAACCAAGTGTGATATGTTGCTCTGAAAATCTTTGCGAAATGAGGGCCTCTTGCTGAATTTTACAAGTAGGTTATTGCATCTATGATTAAACTTTTTTAAATAAATTGCTTATACATGTTTATTTGACATATATAATCTTCATAATTGGCCAGTACACCTTGAGATGTATTAATGGCGATACATCTTGAGGTGCTTTGTTACCTTAGCACATTTCAAAACTGGCATTTTGTATTCAGATTGTTTTATATTTCAATGTATTATGTGGAGAGTGACTTTTCATTAATAAACTACAAAGAAATGGGTTATAAGGAATATTCATGAACATGCTCTATAGAAATATAATAAAAATTCATTGATGCAAAGTCCTTTTTTAAAAATAATTTTCAATCTTTTTGATAAGCTGGACGGAAGCATCTGTCTTTTACTATGAAGAAAACATTTTTGAAGTGAACTGACAACATAAGGCAAATACTGGGTAAAAATTTAAGCATCTCCAAAATCATTTTATTAACCCATTTGCATGCAAATACTAGGGAATGGTTCTTCAATATGTAGCTAGTTCTTGTGGTGGTTAATAGTTCTTCGTGTATTTGAAAGTAACAAAACTGCATTTGTGTTGAACTCTTAAGACCAATTAATCAGGTCAAATTGCTCTTAAGACCAATAAATTAGGTCAGTTGCTCCTAACAAAGGCAAATTCATCAGATTTAATTTCTACCCTTTTCTAATATAAATTTTTAGAAATTTTGTTTCTCAGATGTGAGGCAAATAGGTTGATCTATTTGTTTATTCTTTGACAGAGAGACTGACTAGAGTTAGACAGCTTTTTAATACCCCTTCCAGTCAAAAAGTAACATTGTTATATTAGTATTTAGTAGTTTTAAAGTCTGATGACATAAGAACAGTAACAATTTGTTAATATTCAAAAGATTGAAATTGAAAAAAAGGGGTCCTGCATTCTGCTGTCCTAGAATTTTTTTTTGTGTTGAAATCTTCTTTTCCATATTGTCATTATTGCTTCTTTATCCCATGACATTAATTTTCTGGTGAGGTGACCCTGAATTTAGTCATTTTCGTCAGTAATTTTAGATTTAAGTAACTTATCATGCTTGTTTTAAAGTCTCTCTCAGCTCACCCGTGAAGAAACAAATTTTTTTTCATTTTTTTCTTCAAAAATCAGCAAGTATTGCTGAATCTAACAAGTATCAGCATTCAGGTTTAACCGTGTTATTTGATTGAAATAAATCAAACCATGGAAATAATGGGCACTGTGTCTGCTCAAGAGTAAAATTACCCAATGAATGATTATGTCAACTGGATGTCTTTTATATCAATTGATGACTTTTTAAAAAATCTGTATTTTAAATAAAATATGGAGAGAACAGTATTGGTCCCTACAACATTCCAATAGCTTTGTCATGACAGCCATGTCATATGAAATAACTTACTCTGAATGGCTAATAATTCAGTGGAGATGAATTCTAAAGATTTTTATTTGCACTTAAAATGTTAAAGTAGTATTGTTCATTTGATCAATGTTTGAATACTACTCAGTATTGAAAACTTTAACTGCATTCTGAAAGGTCATTGCGCCGATTGGCTTACCTAAGATGTCATTTAGCTTCCTTTTCTCATGATTTACATAAATGTTGTTACCTTAAATGCAGAAAGATGTGATATTCTTTGGAGGATAAAAAACCTAAGTGAATGAAGCTAGACACAAAAGGCTACATATTATATGATTTCATTTATATGAAATATGCAGAATAGGTAAATTCATAGAGATAAATCAGATTCATGGTTGCTGGGGGAATGGGAGTGACTGCTTCATGGGTATGGGGTTTTCTTTTGGATTGATGAAAATATTGTAGAACAAGATAGTGGGGATAGTTGCACATTGTGAATGTGCCAAAATGCCAGTGAATTGTATACTTTAAAATGGTGTATTTGATGTGTATTTTATTACAATTAAAAAGAAAAGAATTTGATATTTGCAATCATTACCAAAGCCAAAAACTAGTGTTCTCAACGTTTGTGAAATGCCCAAACCGTGGTTTAGAATTAATTTATAGCATTAGTAACATGACAAATCTATTCAGCTTAAAGTTCTAGTAAAATTTGTGAATCCCATCATAGAAGTACTCCTGACAGCAGCAGAAATAAAGCTGTAATTCATCAAAATTTCCTTATATTTAAAACTTCTGTGACTGAGTGATTGACTTCTGTGTCAATGTTTATTTTTTATCTTTTGAAATTTATTATGATTCCTTGTGGCACATCCCAATCACGCTTTTTAAAGATGTGTTTTTAAAACCATGCTTTGAAAAAAATTTGTATAATTTTCAAGGTTTTTTTTTATAGTTTTATACTTTGTTTCTTTTAAAGAACAAATGCAACTTGTTGTATTAGAGTAAGACTAAATAAATTGTACTGATGTGTACATTTTTATGCTTTTGTATTGTCTTGTGGGGAAAAAACTATCTGAATCTTAAGATCGGTAGGAACTCTAATGATCATTTAGCTTCTCATTTTATATTTGGAGAAATTGAAGCTGACGTTATCAATGTGTCATTCATTCAACAAGCATTTACTGAATACTCATGCCAGGTAATGTGTAGGCTTGATTCTGGAAGGTTATTTCATGCTTGAAAGTTTCACAGGTAATTTCTTTTTTTTCTTTTTTCTTTCATCATCTAGTAACTATGCCAGACACATGGACAAATGGATAAGTTTCAGAGGAGGGGAGGCTTTAGGCATAGAATCACTTTTAAGTGGTTCTTCTCATAATTCTTCTCCAAACATCTTAAAGAGATGTTCTTCAGCACAGTAAAGCACACATGATCATAAGTAGTCTGCTACTCAAGGAATGTGTCACTACTTCCATGACTTTGGGAAGGGAGTATTTTTGAATCACCTTAAACCAATTATTTTCCATTGTTCTAAGGAGCCAGCTTCATACCGTTGGTTCAAATCAATCTTTAAAAAAAGTTAAATTGCTTTGCAGATAACAGTGCCTCTCATATAGTTGGGGGTATATATGTGAATTAAAGGGTTTGTATGCTTCAAGTTGAACAACAGTAAGTATAATTAAATGAACTTAACAGAATGAGGTTGATAAGGTAATAAACATAGACAAGTAGCAGTACAGTAGCTTTACTGACACATTGCAAGAGTCCAAAATCAAAGAAAATGAGAAGGTAATAGTTGTGATAATTCACACACTAACACATTTGTTATGATTTTTTACCGTATTCATTTCTTCTTAATATTTTGATACTTCTACAACAGTTAGGACTTCTCACCAAATAGGTTATTTGACCTGAATTTCCTTAATCATCCACCTTCTCTTATTCCATCACTTTGCACTCTACATTTCTGCTGCATTGTATTACTCACTATTTCCCAAACACTTCATATCCTTCAATGTCTGTGAGCCTTTACATATGCTATTTCTTTTGCCTAGAATGTTCTCCCCTAACTTCTTTGTTCATTGGTGAAGATCCAATTCTGATCTCATCTGCTTTTTACCTAGACCATCTCCAACAGATAATCATCTTTTATCTATATTCCCAGTTTGGATTTCATTTATTTTAAAGTCATATCATTTTACAGTATAATCACACTGCACTGCCATTATCTATTTGCTGGTATCTATATACTATAATTATGAGGTCATCTAGGTAGAAACCATATCTTATGTGGCTTTGCATCTCTATTCCTAGCTGAGGGCCTTACAAACAGAAGGTGATATGGTTTGGCTGTGTTCCCACCAAATCTCATCTTGAATTTTAATTCTACAGTTCCTACGTGTGAGAGGGACCTGCTGGGAAGTAATTGAATCATGGGGGCAGGTCTTTCCCATGCTATTCTCATGATAGTGAATAAGTCTCATGAGATCTGATGGTTTTAAAAACGGGTTTCCCTGCATGGGATCCTCTCTTTGCCTGCTGCCATCCATGTGAGATGTGACTTGCTTCTCCTTGCTTTCCACCATGATTGTGAGGCTTCCCCAGCAACATGGAACTGTAACTCCATCAAACCTATTTTTCTTCCCAGTCTCATATATCTTTATCAGTAGCAAGAAAATGGACTAATACAGTAAATTGGTACCAGTAGAGTGAGATGCTGCTGAAAAGATACCCAAAAATGTGTAAGCGACTTTGGAACTGGGTAGCAGGCAGAAGTTGGAAAAGTTTGGAGGGCTCAGAAGAAGACAGGAAAATGTGGGAAAGTTTGGAACTTCCTAGAAACTTGAAGAATGGCTTTGACCAAAATGCTGATAATGATATGGACAATGAAATCCAGGCTGAGCTGGTCTCAGATGGAGATGAGGAACTTGTTGGGAATTGGAGCTAAAGTGACTCGTTATGTTTTAGCAAAGAGACTGGTGGCATTTTGCCCCTGCCCTAAAGATTTGTGGAACTTTGAACTTGAGAGAGATGATTTAGGGTATCTGGTGGAAGAAGTTTCTAAGCAGCAAAGCATTCAAGAGGTGACTTGGGTGCTGTTAAAGGCATTCAGTTTTATAAGGGAAGCAGAGCATAAAAGGTTGGAAAATTTGCAGCCTGATAATGTGATAGAAAAGAAAATCCTATTTTCTGAGGAGAAATTTAAGCTGGCTGCAAAAATTTGGATAAGTAATGAGGAGCTGAATATTAATCCCCAAGACAATGGGGAAAATGTCTGCAGGGCATGTCAGAGGTCTTCACAGCAGCTCCTCCTGTCACAGACCTGGAGGCCTAGAAGGAAAAAATGGTTTCATGGTCTGGGCCCAAGGCCCCCTTGCTCTGTGCAGCCTAAGGACTTGGTGCCTTGCGTCCCAGCCACTCCAGCCATGGCTAAAAGGGGCCAAGGTACAGTTTGAGCCATTGCTTCAGAGAGTGCAAGCCCCAAGGCTTGGCAGCTTCCATGTGGTGCTGAGCCTGCAGGTGCACAGAAGTTGAGAATTGAGGTTTGGAACCTCTGCCTAGATTTCAGAGGATGTACGGAAATGCCTGGATATGCCCAGGCAGAAGAAGTTTGCTGCAGGGACAAAGGCCTCATGGAGAACCTCTGCCAGGGCAGTGCAGAAGGGAAATGTGGGGTCAGAGCCCCCACACAGAGTCCCTACCGAAGCACTGCCTAGTGGAGCTGTGAGAAGAGGGTCACCGTCCTCCAGACCCCAGAATGGTGAATCCACTGACAGCTTGCACTGTGCACCTGGAAAAGCCGTAGACAATGCCAGCCCATGAAAGCAGCCAGGAGAGGGGCTATTCCCTGCAAAGCCACATGGGTGGAGCTGCCCAAGACCATGGGAACCCACTTCTTGCATTGGCATGACCTGGATGTGAGTCATGGAGTCAAAGGAGATCATTTTGGAACTTTAAGACTTGACTGCCCCAATGATTTTGGACTTGCATGGGCCTTTAGCCCTTTGTTTTGGTCAGTTTCTCCCATTTGCAATGAGTGTGTTTATCCAATGTCTGTGCCCCCATTTCATCTAGAAAGTAATTAACTTGCTTTTGATTTTACTGGTTCATAGGTGGAAGGGACTTGCCTTATCTCAGATGAGGCTTTGGACTTTGGCCTTTTGAGTTAAGGCTGAAATGAGCTAAGACTTTGTGGGATGGTTGGGAAGGCATGATTGGTTTTGAAATATGAGGACATGAGATTTGGGAGGGACCAGGAGTGGAATGATATGGATTGGCTTTGTCCTCACTCAAATCTCATCTTTAATTGTAACTCCCACAATTCCCACATGTTGTGGGAGGGACCCAGTGGGAGGTAAACGAATCATGAGGGTGGGTCTTTCCCATGCTATTCTCATGATAGTGAATATGTCTCATGAGATCTGGTGCTTTTAAAAATGGGAGTTTCCTCTCACAAGTTCTCTCTCTTTTCCTGTTGCCATCCATGTAAGATATGACTTGTCCTGCTTGCCTTCTGTCATGATTGTGAGGTTTCCCCAGCCACGTGGAACTGTAATTCCATTAAACCTATTTTTCTTCCCAGTCTCGGGTATGTCTTTATCGGCAGCATGAAAACAGACTAATACAGAAGGCATTCAGTAGAGGTTTGTTAATCTAATAATGAAAAATGATTGAATAGTGTCGTGTCAGTTAGCTTTTGCTGCATAACATGAAATCCTAAAAGTTTGTTGTTTAAGCAACAATATAATTAGCTCATGATTGGTTGGCTCAGCATTTCTGGTTGGCCTGACTTGGCTGTTGTCTTCCTAATTGGCTCACGTCCATGGTCAGCTGATGGGTCGGCTGGAGGTTAGATGATCTAAGATCACCTTACACATCTGGCAGTTGGCAGGCTGTTGGCCAGGGTTATGGGGATGATTACACCATGTGTCTCTCATCATCCATCAGGCTAGCCCAGGCTTATTTACAGGGCAGTAACAAGAATAGCAAGAGTGTAAGCCCCTACGTTCAACCCCTTTCCAAGCCACTGCTCATCACATTTATTAATGTCCCATTTTCCAAAGCAGTCACATGGCCAAACCCAGATTCATGGGGTGGAGAAATAGGCTCTATACCCTTTGATGGAAGGAGCAGCAAAGTCACAGTGCAAATGAGTATGTGTATAGGAATAAGAAGAATCACACCTATTTAAGTGTACCATAAACGTTGAGGAAATTTTCACTTAATCTACCTGAATATTAAAAACTAGAGCCAATTCAAAATCAGAACTATCTTTTGCCTCTTTTTTTCAAACTGTAAAGCTACTGTTTTAGTCAGGGTTATCCAGAACGACAGAACTGATAGGAGATATCTATCTATCTATCTATCTAACTAGAGAAATTGACTCACTCAATTGTGGAAGTTGAGAAGTCCCATGATGGGCCATCTGCAAGCTGGAGAGCCAGGAGATCCAGCAGCCTGGAGGACCAGGATATCCAGTAGCCTGGATCATATTTGAAGACTTCACAACCAAAGAATGGAAGATGATGGTGTAACTCTCAGTATGAGGTCTAAGGCCTGAGAGCCTAGGGGGCTGCCAGTGTGAGTGCAGGAGTCCCAAAGCCAGAGAACCTGGAGATCTGATATCCAAGGGCAGAAGATAAAGGGTGCCCAAGCTCCAGAAGACAGACAGCAAGAATTCACCCTTCCTCCATGTTTTTGTTTTATCCAAGACCGCAGCTGATCAGATGGTGCATACCCACATTGATGGCAGATCATCCCCACTCAGTTCAATGACTAAAATGCCTATCTCCACTGGAAACACCCTCATGGACATACGTAGGGCAGTCCAGTCATTCTAATTGAATGCTAAAACACCTGGGTTTGTTTTCCTTTCAGCAGAAGAGGGATGGGCTTAGTGCCTACTGAAGCACTGAAGATATGTAATGCTATACCACCTATCTGGATATCTCTTAATCCAGTCAAGTTGACACCCAAAATCAACCATCACAAGTTCATCCCTTGTCAACTTAGCACCCATACACATCTCTTTATCATACTTAATCTCTAAATAACAATACAGCTATCTTGTGCAAAATCAAAAACTCACGAATCCTTTCCCCAGAAGAGGAGGTAAAGTTCTTGAATGATATTTACTCCTTTTCTGATATCCGATAACTAAAATTCTGTGATGTAAAATTAACAGTACTTATACTAATACAAGCTCAATACATATTATGTTACATGACAAAGGATAAGAAAGCAATGAAAACAAAGATATTTGCTTCATATATGTGTATATATACAAAAACCTATTCTTAACAAAATAGAGATTGTACAGCCCTTGTTTCTGTAACCGGCCACATGGTTGTAGCTGGTATTTATAACTACCTTGTTCTATTACCCGTTGTGTATTCCCTTTGCCTGCAGTAAGCACCTTAGCTGGTTATTGTTCTTTACCTGATGGAGTAACCCAAATGTCTATTCCTGTAGGATCTCAGCAATTTGCAGCCCTGCCTGGATTGGGTAATTATAAATTCCCACTGACCTTAATCACAGGGTATGGTAGTAATAAGAGCCCCCCCTAGGGATATCTTGTATTCCAGACATACTCGTCCTTACCTCTATTGTAGAATAGCAGTCCGATTTCTCCTTGATAGTCCATATCAGTCACCCCAGCCAACACTGTTACTCCTCTCTTAGCCTGCTGACTCAGAGGCATGAAGAGCCCACAGTGGCCAGATAGCAGTCAACTTCTAGCTCAATGGAATTGTTATGTCTCCTGGTAGAAACATTTATCCCTCTGGAACTAAAACACCCATGCCAGCGGAGCATAAGGTTGTGGGAATAAGAAGCAAAAATTTTGCTAGTGTGTAACTAGGGGTAATGGCGGGTAGTGCCACACCCATTTTCACCCCTTGATTCCTGGATCCATGAATCCTGGCTATGGAAGAAAGAGTACCATATTCCGGGTGTTGATTTGGAGCAACTGTGGTCTGCTGGAGAACACTGCTCCAGTCTTGCAAAGTGTTATCATCTAGCTGGCACTGTAAAAGGCCATTTCACCATTTTATCAAGACAGTTGCTTCAAGGTGATGGAGAACACGATAAGATAATTCGATGAGCATGAGCCCATTGCTGCACTTCTTTCACTATGACATGAGTTTCTTGGTCAGAAGCAATGCTGTATGAGATACTATGACCATGGATAAGAGTGGAAGTGGCACCACAAACCATCACCCTTAGTGATCCACTAGCAAAATTTTTGCTTCCTGTTCCTGTGACATTACATTCTGCTGGCCTAGAGATCTTAGTTTCAAAGGGGAGACGCTGCCACCAGGAGACACAACAATTATTCCATTAAACTGGAAATTAAGATTGCCACCTGGACACTTTGGGTTCCTCCTACCTTTAAGTCAACAGGCTAAGAAGGGAGTTACAGTGTTGGCTGGGGTGATTGACCCAGACTATCAAGATGAAATCAGTCTACCACTCCACAACAGAGGTAAGGAAGAGTATGCATGGAATACAGGAGATCCATTAGGGCATCTCTTAGTATTACCATGCCCTGTGATTAAGGTCAATGGGAAACTCAGTAGCCCAATTAAGGCAGGACTACAAGTGGCCCAGAACCCTCAGGAATGAAGGTTTTGGGTCACCCCACCAGGAAAAAAAAACATGATCTGCTGAGGTGCTTACTGAAGGCAAAGGGAATACAGAATGGGTAGTAGAGAAAGGTAGTCATCAGTACCAGCTATGACCACATGACCAACTTCAGAAACGAGGACTGTAACTACCATGAGGATTTCCTCCTTCTTTTGTTAAAAACATATTTGTGCCTGTATATACTTGTACTAAGAAAATATCTTGTTTTATTTCCTTTTCCTTTATCATATGACATAAGATTTCTTGATTTCATATCAGCATTTAAGTGCTGTTAACTTTATGTGATATTATTTGGGTTGGGGATTGGTACATTTCTGGTTGTACGAAGGATAGTTGTATTATGTTAGGTGTAATTATGACCTTATTATTGTCTTTATTTGAAAATTATGTATGATCTCAGGAGATGTGTATGGGTTCAAGTTGACAAGGGGTGGACTTGTGATGGTTAATACTAAGTGTCAACTTGATTGGATTGAAGGATTCGAAGTATTAATCCTGGGTGTGTCTGTGAGGGTGTTGCCAAAAGAGATTTGAGTCAGTGGGCTGGGGAAGGAAAATCTACTCTTAATCTAGTGGGCACAATCTAATCAGCTGCCAGCAAATATAAAGCAGGCAGAATAACATGAAAAGAGTGAGACTGGCCTAGCCTCCCAGCCTATATCTTTCTCCCATACTGGATGCTTCCTGCCCTCAAACATCGGACTCCAAGTTCTTCAGTTGTGAGACTCAGACTGGCTCTCCTTGCTTCTCAAGCTTGCAGACAGCCTATTGTGGGACATTGTGATCGTGTAAGTTAATAATAAACTCCCCTTAGTGTGTGTGTGTGTGTGTGTGTGTGTGTGTGTGTGTGTATACATACATATATAAAGTAATACAAATAAATATAATAGGATATATATATATATATAAGCATTCTGTAAGTCCACAGATGATACTTTTAACAGAATATTGCATGCAGAGAAGACAAATACATACCTTGAGTAAGTGTCTATTAGGTCTAATGTAATCAACCTGCCATGCCACCATATGCTTGGCTAATCATATCAGTGGCTTAGTGTTGGCCTCTGGGGCTGGCAGATTGGGCACCAGCAGTAGCCATGGCCAGGTTGGCCTTTGTGAGTGGAAGTCTGTGTTGCTGATCCTATGCTAACTTCCATTCCTGCCACCATGACCACTTTGTTCATGAATCTGTTGCACAATTACAGAAATGGCTGAGGAAAGAGACTTACTGGTATCTACAGACTGGGTCATCCTATCTACTTGTTTTTTACAATTCTCCTCTACTGAGGTCATCCTTTGGTGAGTATTCACATGGAACACAAATGTCTTTATGTCCTTTGCCCATTTAAAAAGGTGTATCCACATACCTCTTCATCATATTTCTTTTGTCACCGGTTTTTCACCATGTTTCTTCCAAGCCCTTGACCATCCAGCCAAGCTATTGACTACAGCCCATGAATTGGTATATAATCACACATCTGGCCCTTTCTCCTTCCACACAAAGCACACGACCAGGGGCACTGCCCAAAGTTTACCCCACTAAAAAGATATTCCTTCACCTTTGGACTTTCAGAGATGTCTTAGAAAGGGGCTGTAGAGCTGCAGCTAGCTGTCTACTGTCAGTAGTACCCACATATTGTTCAGAACTATCTATTAACCAGGCCTGAGTCTTCTCTTCCCATCAGCTGATCATAGCGAACTTCCCATGAGGTTACAGCTACAGGCTGAGAAGAGGAGCCATTGTAGCAAAGCAGAAACCATGGACATTTGTGCCACTTCTTCATGGACCTTACTTGTGCCTTCAGGACCTGCCTGGGTTTGATCATGTATATACCACTTACATTGATGATGAAGTGCTGCTGTGCATGCCTAACTTTATGGCTTGGTGGATCAGAGAACATCCAGTTCATAATAGGGATCTTGGGTCACATGGTAACTTGGTGGCCTGTGGTCAAGCTTTCAGTTTCTACTAAGGCTCAGTAGCAGGCCAAGAGCTGTCTCTCAAAAAGAGAGTAGTTATTTGTGGATGACAGCAGGGCAGTGCTCCAAAATCCTAAAGGCCTTTGTTGCAATTCACCTATGGAGGCCTGCCAAAGGCTGCAAACATTATCCCTATCTGCCACTGACACCTCAAGTACGCTTGGAGCTGCTAGGTCATATGGCCCAAGTGGCAGAGCAGCTTGCACAGCAGCCTAGACCTGTTGTGGAGCCTTCTCCTGCTTTAGACCCTACTCAAAACTAGCAGCTTTTTGAGTTTTTTGGTAAATGAGCTAGAATTTACCAAATGGAATTTCACCCCTGTGGTTTGAATGTCTCCCCTCTAAAATTCAGGTCTTGCCAATTAGATAGTATTAACCCTTTTCCTGTTTAGAATTTTAAAAATGCAGCTCATGGCCAGCACTCATTTAATTTTACTTAAACATGCTCTTTGAGGCTGCAGCAAATCTGACTTGATTTTCCAATGTGAAAATAAAATATAAAAACTGTTCTTGGCTGGCGTTATTTCTAAACAGAACTAATATCAGAATTGATTAGATCATCAGAATCGTCTATTTCAGAAAAATCAGATTCATCAAATGAATCCTTGGCCAACAACTGTCAGAACGATGTTAACATCACATGTAGAAATGCTGCATTTTCTAGGATTTGACATTTTCAGTGAATGCAAATAACTGTATTTTGTAAATGAAAATACCACTACTAAATGTAGAATGCTATAAATAGAATGATGTCTTTTGTTTCCAAAGTCGATATGCTAGAGCAATGCGAAAATAATAATAAGAGTGAAATATTTCATAGCAAAGTTATCTCAGGGTAATTGCTACAGCTGCAAGCACCACCGGTGAGTATTCTCAGCAAACAGGAAAAGGGTTAAGAGGCGGGGCCTTTAAGAGGTGATTTAAGCCATGAGGGCTGCTTCCTCATAAATGGGATTAAGACCTTTTTTTAAAAAAAAAAAAAGCTTTGTCTAGCATTTGACTCACTTAACTCCACCATGTAAAGACACAGCATTTCTCCTTTCTGAAGGATACACCCCTCACCAGACAACCAAATCTGCCTATTTAACCTTGATCTTGGACTTCCTAGCCTCGAGCACTGTGAGAAAATAAATTTATTTTTTGTAAAAATTACCTAGTCTGTGGTATTTTGTTTTAGCAGCACAAAATGGGCTAAGACAGAAATTGGTACTGATAAATGGGGGTGTTCCTATAACAAATACCTGAAAATGTAGAAGTGACTTTGAAATTAGGTAATAGGCAGAGGCTGATACAGTTGGTAGGGGCAGGCTAGAAAAAGCCTATATTGCCATGAGTGGGGCGAAAGGGTGATTCTGGTAAAGGGTTAAAAGAAAAGGAGAGCTGCAGAGAGGACCTTATACTTCTTATAGATTACTTAAGTGGCTGTGAACAGAATGTTGGTAGAAATACAGTGAAGACTACTCTGCCATTTCAGATGCAGATGAAGAACAAGGTATTGGAAACAGGAGGAAAGGCCATCCTTGTAATAAAGTGGCAAAGAACTTGGTTGAGTTGTGTCTGTATCTTAGGACTCTGTGGAAGTTAGAACTTAAGAGTGATAAACTAGAATATTTGATGGAAAAAAATTGCTAAGCAGAAAAGTGTTGAGGGTACTGCATGGCTTCTCTTAACTGCTTTAGTAAAGTGCAAGGAGACAGAAACAATTTGAAGATGGAAATATATAAATATAATCCAAAAACAAAACAAAATGTAAAGATTTAGAAACTTTTAGGCTGCCCATGCAAAGAATACAAAAATCAAGTTTAGGAGAGAAAACAATGGGTGTGTCCAAGAAACCATTGGTAAGATTCATGTGGATAGAGGGAAGCCAGGAGGTATTCATCAAAACAACGGTAGAATGACTCTGAAGCCATTTCAGAGATCTAGGCTGCCACATCCATCATAGGTCCAGAGCGCCAAAGTCTTGAGGTCATAATGGTTTTGAAAGAGAGGCCCAGGGCTCTTGTGGGATGTTGGGGAAAAGTCTTCATCTCTCCTTCATGTTTGAAGTTTGGCTTTGCTAAGTACAGTATTCTTGGCTGAGAGATTTTTTTTTTTAATATGTCAATTTTACTCTCTCCTGGCCTTCAGGGTTTCTGCTGAGAAATCCACTGAAAGCTGCACTAGGGCTCCATTGAATGTGATTTTTTGTTTTCCTTTTGCTGCTTTGAGTATCCTTTCTTGGTCTTTGATTTTTGATAATTTGATTATGATGTACTTTGGGAAATATCTCTTTGGGTTAAATTTTATTGGTGATCTCTGAGTTTCCTGTACCTGGATGCTACCATCTTTTTTCAGATTTGGAAAGTTCTTAGCCATTGTTTCCTTAAGTATACTTTCTAGGCCTTTTTCTCTCTCATCCCTTTTAGGAACTCACAGTATGCAGAGGTTAATTCACTTGACATTGTCCCATAATTCTCATAGGCCTCCTTCACTCTTTTAAAATTACTTTTACTTTTTTCTCATCTGATTGGGTAATTTCATGTTATGTCTTTGAACTCACTGAATTTTTCCTGTTTTATCAACTCTGCAGTTGAAACTTTCCAATGAGTTTTTTAAATTTCAGTTATTGTATTCTTTACTTCTACTTGGTTTTCAAAAATTGTTTCTATTTCTTTATCAAATTTCTAATTTTGTCTCTGGATTGTTTTCCAAATTTCATTCAGTTTCTATCTGTATCTTTTTGTGATTCCCTGAACATTTAAAAGATTATTCTGAATTTTTTATCAGACATCTTCTAGATATTTTGTTTTTGGGAGTTCATTACTGGAACATTGCTGGTTTCTTTTGGTGATTTCAGATTTCCATGAGTTTTTACAATCCTTGTTTCTTTATGTTGATGCTTGCACATTTGATGGGGTAGCCAACTCTTCCACTTTTTGTAGGTGTTCTTTGGTGGTATTATACATTTGCTACTTAATATTAGAATGTAATCACTGGCCTACTATTGCTTTCTGACCTGGAGAAGACATATAGTGAGCACTGGAACTTAAACTCTGCACTGAAATTTAAGCACTGCCCTACCATTGTTTCCCAGTTTGGGGAAGACTTAAGGAAGCATTAGACCTATTCACTGACCTTTTAGTTGTTTCAGCTCATCAGAAGGTTTCATGCAAACACCTGGACATTGTGGGAAATCCATCCAGGGATTTGGGCCTTGTTGAGGATTGCACCCCCGCCACACTATGGTGCCAATCAGTCTCCTCAGTGTGGCATCGCCACTGACCAGAGCACATAGCAGCCACCAAGATCCACACGCTAGTTGCTGTAATCAGTACCCTTGCTTTTTGTCCTCAATCCACTCCAGATGGTTCAGCCCAATTGGCACTACCAGTGGTTCCCATGGGACAGGATCAGAGTGGGCTTCCCATGGAGATTCTCAGACTAATGGGGAAATCAAATGCCAACCTCCAGTTCTCTCCTCCAACTTCCAATAAAGTGGATCTGTAAAAATTCTCTGTGAGTGGCATTATGACAGCTTAAAAGGAGATGGTGGAGCAGTCTGAAATAATTGTTCCTCTTACTGGTTTGTTTTTTCTTGATTCTGTGGGCCCAGGGAGTTTCTCTATTTCTCTCCTAAGTTCTGCAAATTCAGGGTAGTATTCTGGTGTTTGAATAATTTCTAATTGTATTTGTGTGTGTTGGGGTGGGGGAAGTGACGCTGGGGGATCTTCTATTTTGCCCTCCTGCTGACATAACTCCCCTATAATCTAGGTAATTATTTTGAAACCTTAATAGCCATCTGTTACTTAGATGTTTAAATATTCAATTACTAGGGCAATGGCTGAGTAGCTTTGTGGGACCAACTGTCTGACAGATAGCAACTATAAAATTAGTGCCAAACATTTAAAGAAAACTGTTTGAAGATACTACAGAGGGTCTTAAACCAGCCATCAAGTGGAGAGAGGTCTACCCTTTAAAAATGTACTGCAAGTGAAATTTGCATGAATCACAGAAAGCCATAGCCTTACTGGCTTAAGTTGTAAAAAGATAGAGTCGAGTCTAGAAGGGGCCAGAAAGTTAAGGAGGAAATGTTGTAAGAGAAGGGACTAGGAAGAATGTAAGCATCAAAATCTATGTATAAAATTTGCCTAAATATTTGACTACCAAACTATGCATGTGCAGGTGACAGCCCATTGAGCCAAGCAAAAACAAACAGCAGCTAGAAGCAGAAAAAAATGAGTAGAGATTTTAGCTACATTCCACAGAAGAAAAAATGGACATTGGAGTTTGACTCAGTGAAGTAAATTGCCCACTAGAACAAAACTCACTTTTCAAAGGAACAAAATGGAATCCAGAGTCATCTTTACAGTTCATAATTCATAATATCTAGTATCCTATAAAATCCACCAGATTTGTGAATAAACAGGAAAAAGTGACCCATGTTCATGAATAAGAGTAGTTAATAGGTATAACCCCAAGGTAATTCAGATGTTATAAATAGCAGACAAGGACTTTGCAACAGCTTAACATAAACATACATTCACATAGATTTTCCATTTGTATGTATCTGTATGTGAGTATATGAAAGTACCATAACTACAATGAAAAATCACTGAATAGTATTAATATTATGGTATGATGTTGTATGAATGCTCTTGAGATGATCTCCAATGATTCCTTTTTCGTAGTATTCACGCTTTTATGTAATCCCCTTCCCTTGAGTGTAGACTGGATCAAGTGACTTGCTTCTCACCAATGGAAGATGACTAGTGATTGTATGTCATTTGATGATTGGGTTCCAAAACATCGTGGCTTCCATCTTGCTATTAGAATCTCTTTCTTGCTTGCCAGTGAGGAACTGGATCTTGCCAAAAACTGTGAAGTGAGCTTAGAAGTCAATGCTTTCCCAGCTGAGTCTTCAGTTGAGATCATAGACTTTGGGTGGACTTCTTGATTTCAGCCGTGTGAGAGAACATCAAGCAGAGGACCCAGATAAACTCTGTCTGAATTCATGACCCACAGAAACTGTGAGATAATAAATGTACATTGCTTTAAGCTGCAAATTTTTAGGGTAATTTGTTTCACAATAATAAATACTAGTGGGAATAATAACCAACTAAAGATGGTAGAAGAAGAAGTCGATAAACTTTAAGAAAGATTATTTATATTATCCCTGTATGAAGAACAGAGAGAAAAAAAGATTGAAGAAAATTAAACAGAGCTTCAGAGATATATGGAATAATATCAAGGAGTCTTATATACATACAATGTTAATTCCAAAAGGGGAAGAGTGAGAGAATGGAGCAGAAAAAAAAGGATATGGAAAATTAGGACCTGAGAACTTCCCTCTGAATTTTAAAGACATCAGTTTTAACATTCAAGGTGTTTAAATGAGTCCCAAGCAGGATCAATTTAATAAAAATTGAAACTAAGCACTTCATAGTTAAACTGCTCAATCTAAAGATAAGACAAAATTTTGAAAGCATCTGAAACAACATATTATATACATAAGCAAAAAGATGTTAATGATGGGTTATTTTTCATGAGAAAATTTAAATAAAAATAAATCATTTGATAGGACACTAAAATGTTATTTTTAAAGATTTGAACAAAAACTATTGTTAATCTATAATTGTGTCTAGCAAACTATTCTTCAAAATGAAGGTAAAATAAAGACATGGAGAAAGCACTGACTAAAATTATTGTTAATATACATATACAATAAGAAATGCTGAAGTTAGTTCCTCAGAATGAAAATAAGTGATGCAAAATGTTAATTTAGAACTATAGAAATGAATGAAGATCACCTAAAATGATAAGTATGTTGGCAAATGTGACGATATAATTTATTCTTCTCTTAATTACTTTAATGACATAATATGTAAAGCAAACCTTTTATGCAGTACCATAGGGTTTATAATGTATTTAAATGTAATATTTATGACAACAATTAAACAAATAATAGGGGTAAGTTGATAACTGGAGCAGTGATGTTCCAATGCTGTCAAATAGAACAATAAAAGATTGTGATAGGCCAGGCACGGTAACTCATGACTGTAATCCCAACACTTTGGGAGGCTGAGGTGGGTGGATAACCTGAGGTCAGGAGTTCGAGTCCAGCCTTGCCAACATGGTGAAACCCCATCTCTACTAAAAATACAAAAATTAGCTGGGCATGGTAGTGGGCACCTGTAATCCCAGCTACTCAGGAGTCTGAGGCAGGAGAATGACTTGCACCCAGGAGGCGGAGGTTGCAGTAAGTCGAAATCATACCATTGCACTTGAGCCTGGGTGACAAGAGCAAGACTCCATTAAAAAAAAAAAAAAAGATTGTGATAAGTTGAAAATGCGACCATTTAAAAAATGCAACACAGATATATAATTACCTTCACTTGCAGATATAATTATTTACATTGAAAATTCTAAGGGATCCTCAAAACAGCTAGGAAAAAGAAGTTAATATAGAACAAATTTGTAGAGACCTACAAAGAGACTTAGACTCCTACACAATAATATAGGAGGCTTTAACACCCCACTGTCAATATTAGATCAACGAGACAGAAAATTAACAAGGATATTCAGGACTTGAACTTAGCCCTGGATCAAGTGGACCTAATAGACATCTACGGAACTCTCTATCCCAAATAAATAGAATATACATTCTTCTCAGTGCCACATGGCACTTATTCTAAAATCGACCACATGATTGGAAGTAAACACTCCTCAGGAAATGCAAAAGAACTGAAATCATAACAAACGGTCTCTCAATCCACCGTGCAATCAAATTAGAACTCAGGATTAAGAAACTTACTTAAAACTACACAAGTACATGAAAACTGAACAACCTGCTCCTGAATGACTCGTGGGTAAGTAATAAAATTAAGGCAGAAATCAAGAAGTTCTTTGAAACCAATGAGAACAAAGAGACAACATACCAGAATCTCTGGGATGCAGCTAAAGGAGTGTTAAGAGGGAAATTTATATCACTAAATGCCCACATCGGAAAGCTAGAAAGATCTCAAATCAACACCTTAACATCACAATTAAAAGAGCTAGAGAAGCAAGAGCAAACAAATCCAAAAGCTAGCAGAAGAAAAGAAATAACTAAGATCAGAGCAGAACAGAAGGAAATAGAGACCGAAAATCCCTTTAAAAAAACAATTAATCCAGGAGCTGGTTTTTTGAAAAAATTAACAAAATAGATACACCACTAGCTAGACTAATAAAGAAGAAAAGACAGAATAATCAAATAGACACAATAAAAAAGATAAAGGGGATGTCACCACTGACCCCTCAGAAATACAAACTACGATCAGAGAATACTATAAACACCTTAATGCAAATAAACTAGAAAACCTAGAAGAAATGGATAAATTCCTGGACATATACACCCTCCCAAGACTAAACCAGGAACAAGTCAAATCCCTGAATAGATCAATAACAAATTCTGAAATTAAGGCAGTAATTAATAGCTTACCAACTATGAAAAACCCAGGACCAGACAGATTCACAGCCAAATTCTACTAGAGGTACAAAGAAGAGCTGGTACCATCCCTTCTGAAACTATTCCAAACAGTTGAAAAGGAGGGACTCCACCCTAACTCAGTTTATGAGGCCAGCATCATCATATACCAAAACCTGGCAGATACACACACAAAAAAGACAACTTCAGGGCAATATCTCTAATGGACATCAATGTGAAAATCCTCAATAAAATACCGGCAAACTGAATCAGGCAGCACACCAAAAAGCTTATCCACCACGATCAAGTCAGCTTCATCCCTGGGATGCAGGCTGGTTCAACATATGCAAATTAATTAAATGTAATCCATCACAAGTACAGAACCAATGACAAAAACCACGATTATCCCAATAGATGCAGGAAAGGCCTTTGATAAATCCAACATCCATTCATGTTAAAAACTCTCAATAAGCTAGGTATTCATAGAACATGTCTCAAAATAGTAAGACCTATTTATGACAAACCCGCAGCCAATATCAGACGGAATGGGCAAAAGCTGGAAGCATTCCCTTTGAACACTGGTACAAGACAAGGATGCCCTGTCTCACCACTCCTATTCAACATAGTATCGGAGGTACTGGCCAGGGCAATCGCAATAGAAAGAAATAAAGCATTTTCAAATAGGAAGACAGAAAGTCAAATTGCCTCTGTTTGCAGATGACATGATGATATATTTAGAAAACCCTAGCATCTCTCCAAAACTCCTTAAGCTGATAAGCAACTACAGCAGTGTCAGGATACAAAATCAAGGTGCAAAAATCACAAGCATTCCTATACACCAACAATACACAAGCAGAGAGCCAAATCATGAATGAATTCCCATTCATAATTTCTACAAAGAGAATAAAATAGCTAGGAATACAGTTAACATGGGATGTGAAGGACCTCTTCAAGGAGAACTACAAACCACTGCTCAAGAAAATAAGAGAGGACACAAACAAATGGGAAAACATTCCAGCCTCATGAATAGCAAGAATCAGTATCATGAAAATGGACATACTGCCCAAAGTAATTTATAGATTCAATGCTATTCCCATCAAACTAACATTGACATTCTTCACAGAAGTAGAAAAAGCTACTTTAAATTTCATGTGGAACCAAAAAAGAGCCCATATAGCCAAGACAATCCTAAACAAAAATAACAAAGCTGGAGGCATCACGCTACTGGACTTCAAACTATACTACAAGGCTATAGTAACGAAAGCAACATGGTACTGGTACCAAAACAGACATACAGACCAACGGAACAGAATAGACACCTCAGAAATAACACCATACCACACATGTACAACCATCTAATCCTCAACAAATCTGACAAAAACAAGCAATGGAGAAAGGCTTCCCTATTTAATAAATGGTGTGGGAAAACTGGCTAGCCATATGCAGAAAACTGAAACTGGACCCCTTCCTTATACCTTATACAAAAATTAACCCAAGATGAATTAAATAATTAAATGTAAAACCCCAAACCATAAAAACCCTAGGAGAAAACCTAGGCAATACCATTCAGGACATAGGCATGGGCAAAGACTTCATGATGAAAACACCAAAAGAAATTGCAACAAAAGCCAAAATTGACAAATTGGATCTAATTAAACTAAAGAGCTTCTGCACAGCAAAAGAAACAACATCAGAGTGAACAGGCAACCCACAGAATGGGAGGAAATTTTTGCAATCTACCCATCTGACTAAGGTCTAATATCCAGAATCTACGAGGAACTTAAACAAATTTACAAGAAAAAAATGAACAACCCCATCAAAAAGTGGGCAAAGGATATCAACAGATACGTCTCAAAAATAAAAACATTTATGAGGCCAACAATCATATGAAAAAAAAAAGCTCATCACAGATCATTACAGCAATGGCAATCGAAGCCACAATAAGATACCATCTCACACCAGTCAGAATGGCAATTATTAAAAAGTCAAGAAACAATAGATGCTGGTGAGGCTGTGGAGAGATAGGAACGCTTTTACACTGTTGGTGGGAATGTAAACTAGTTCAACCATTGTGGAAGACAGTGTGGTGATTCCTCAAGGATCTAGAACCAGAAATACCATTTGACCCAGCAATCCCATTACTGGGTATATACCCAAAGGAATATAAATCATTCTACTATAAAGACACAGGCACACGTATGTTTATTGCAGCACTATTTACAATAGCAAAGACATGGAATCAATCCAAATCCCCATCAATGATAGACTGGATAAAGAAAATGTAGTACATATACACCATGGAACACTACGCAGCCATAAAAAGGAATGAGATCATGTCCTTTGCAGGGACATGAATGAAGCTGGATGCCATCATCCTCAGCAAACTAACAGAGGAATAGAAAACCAGACATTGCATGTTCCCACTCATAAGTGGGAGTTGAACAATGAGAACACATGGACACAGGGAGGGGAACAACACACCGGGGCCGGTTGGGGGATAGGGAGCAAGGGGAGGGAGAGCATTAGGACAAACAGCTAATGGATGCGGTGCTTAAAACCTAGATGGAGGGTTGATAGCTGCAGCAAACCACCATGACACATGTATACCTAGGTAACAAACCTACAGGTTCTGCACTTGTATCCTAGAACTTAAAGTAAAATTTAAAAAATTTTAAAAAAGAAAGGTACAGAACTCCAGATTAATATACAACAGTCAATTGTATTTTTATATATAAAAATTGGGAAGTTAAGATTCCATTTACAATAGCACAAATAAAAAATGTGAAGGAATACATTTAATGAAAGATGTGTAAGTCTTCCAAGTGGAAAACTATACAACATAGCAGAAAAATTAAAGAAAACCTAAATAACTTATCACTAATGTAACTTATCACTACATTTTGAAAATGATAAAGAAAATACTTGAAGCAGAAGGAAAATAATATAAAACGAAAATTTGGACCTGCACTAAAGAATGAAGAGCTGAAGAGCAGCAGAAATGGTAAATGTGTGAGTAAATATTAATTTTTTTATTTTAAAAAGGTATTTAAAGATAACATGCTGCTTAAAATAAAATAATGTCTTGTAAGGTATGTATACAAAGAAATTTATATATGTAAAAGTAAAATGTATGACAAAAACACAAAGCTTGTATAGAGAATCTAAGCATACTTTTTATAAGATCCTTACAGTATTGTTAGTGATATAATATTACTTGAATGTAGATTGTGTTAAATTCAATGCCAGACAGAATTCTAAGGTGGCCTTGGTAAAATTCTTGGCCTGGGGAATACACAAACCTTTTGTCAGTTACTCAGATAAACACTGATCTAGATACTCTTGTGAAGTATAAATGTAATTAGGATCCCAAACCAAAATCAACTGACCTTAAGATAGGGTGATTATCCAGGTGCACCTGAACTAACCACACAAGACTTTTAAATGCACAGATTTCTCTGGCTGGTTACCAAGGAGGAAATTATGGAGACGTATTGTGGTAGGCCAGAAAGAAAGCAAACATCCATGTTATGAACTGATGGCCTCCAAATGTTGAGAGAGGTCCCTGGCTAACAGCTAACAGGAGAACTGGGACCTCCACCCTACGATAAGAAAGTGAATCCTGCCAGTGACCTTAGAAGAGGGCCCACAGCTCTAGATTAGTACTAGAGCCCCAACTGGCATCTTCATGTCAGCCTGGTGAAATCCTGGGCCAAGAATTCAGCCACATTATGCCTGGACTTTTATATTCCTAAAAATATGAGATAATAGACTTGATTGTTCTAAGTCACCAAGGTTGTGGTCATTTGTTATGCAATAATAGAAAACGAATGCAATTTTAAAACTTTAGCAACCCCCCCCCACAAAAAAAGAAAAGAACAAATAGGTATAGCCAACAACATATAAAATGGAATCATAAATTATACTAAATTCAAAAGGAGGCATAAACATAAGAAAGAATAGATAGGGCAAATAATAAATAGCATGATGGTAGATTTGGATATAAGTTCAACCATTCTAATAATTACAGTAAAATGCAGTGGCCAAAACATGCCAGTAAAAAAGCAAGGTATTCAGATTAGATAAAAAAGCGAAAACAAACTACATACTGCCTGAAAGAAGCCCACTTTAAATATGAAGATATAAGTAGGTCAAAAGTAAAAGTGTGTAAAACATATATTATGTTACAACTAATAAAAACAAAGCTGAAGTAGTTATATAAATATAAAATAGATTTCAAAGCAAAAAATATTACCAGTGATAATGAGTGATAACAGGGTCAAGTCATCAAAATTTGTGAAGCTAATGACAGTTTCAAAACACATGAAGCAAAACAGAATTTGAAAGAGAAATGCAAAAATCCGGAATTACAGTGAGAGATTTCAACACCACTCTTAATAATTGACAGGACAATGAGACAGAAAATCAATAAGTGTGTAGAAGACTTGAGCAACACCTTCAACCAACTTGACCCAAATGTCACTTATACACAACAGAAGAATAGACATTTTTTTTTATGTACACACAGAACATTGACCAAAACAGACACTATTCTGTGCCTTAAAAACAAGTCTTAATGAGCTTAAAAGTATTCAAATCAGAGTATGTTTTCTGGCCAGAATTAGGAATCAATAACAGAAAGAAGTCTGGAAAATACAAAAAATATGGTAAGCTAAATATCATACTTATACATAACCTGTTGTCAAAGAAGAAATCAAAATAAAAATCAGAAAGTATATTAAGGTCGGGCGCGGTGGCTCACACCTGTAATCCCAGCACTTTGGGAGGCCAAGGCGGGTGGATCACAAGGTCAGGAGATCGAGACCATCCTGGCTAACACGGTGAAACCCCATCTCTACTAAAATACAAAAAATTAGCCGGGCGTGGTGGCGGGTGCTGGTAGTCCCAGCTACTCGGGAGGCTGAGGCAGGAGAATGGCGTGATCCTGGGAGGCAGAGCTTGCAGTGAGCCGAGTTCGCACCACTGCACTCCAGCCTGGGCAACAGAGCGAGAATCCGTCTCAAAAAAAAAAAAAAAAGAGAATACATTAAAATCAATAAAATTGAAAACACAACATGTGAAAATGTAAAGATAAGGCTGTGCTTTAAAAAATTATAGCACTAAATTCCTATATGAGAAAATAAAAGAAATGTCGGAAATTAATGACCTAAGTGTTTGTCGTTTTATTTTTTTAGAGACAGGGTCTTGCTGTGTTGCCCAGGCTGGTCTCAAACTCCTGGGCTCAAATGATCTGCCTGCCTCGACCTCCCAAAATGCTGGGATTATTGGCATGAGCCACTGCACCTGGCCATAAATACCTCAGCTTTGAATTTCAGAAATGTGTGAAAGAAAAAATAAATACAAAGTAAGCAGAAGAATGGAATGATAATGATAAGATTAGAAAACAATAAAATAAAAAAAGAAAAATAGTGAAAATTAATGAAATTAAAAGCTGGCTCTTTGGAAAAAAAATAAATAAAATGGACAAACCTCTAGCCAGACTGATGTGGAAAAAAGAGATAACACAAATTACCAATATCAAGAATGAGAGAAGGGAATCTCCCAGCAGATGCTAAACATTAAAGGGAAAATTAGGGGATGATATGAACAACTTCATGCCAACAAAATTGACAATTTAGATAAAATGGAAAAAGTATTTGAAACATAAACTACCAAAGCTTACTTAGAAGAAATAGCTATCCTGAATAGCCCTATGTATTTTACAGAAATTAAATTTATAGTTAACAAACAAACAAACAAGAAAAGCAATTCCCCACATAGAAAATTTCAGGCCCAGGTGGCTTCATTGGGGAATTCTACCAAACCTTTAAGGAAGAAATGATGCCAGTTCTGTCCAAACTCTTCCAGAAAAATGAAAAAGTAGAAAACAATTCCCAACTCATTTTATGAAGCAACATTAAAATCAAGAAAGAGCACCACAAGAACAGAAAACTACAGATCGGTACCCTTCATGAATACAGATGCAAAAATTCTCAGCAAAATTTTGGCAAATCAAATCTTACAATATATTAAAAGTAGATTACACTATGGCTCTGGGGGCTTTATCCCAGGAATGCAAGCTTAGTTTAATTTTTGAAAATCAATGCATGTAATTCACCATATTAACAGGCAAAAGACAAAAACCATATGACAATTTCATCAGGATGAGAGAAAATAATTTATAAGAATGGTGAAAATATAAATATTAGTACCAATGAAGTGCCATTTTCCTTGTCCTCTAGAAATTTTTTTTTTTTTTTGAAATGAATGTTTTTTTATTTACCCCACATTACCCAATCAGCAAAACATTTAGGTGTTTGCTAATATACACAATCATTACTATAACCTAATTAAGGGACATTTTATAATTTTAGTAACAAATGCATTCGGTTCTTGACAGCTGAAAACAAATTAATAAATTATCTTTTACATAAAAACATGTACAATATTGTTTATGGATTTACTTCTTTGAGAAATCTTTCCTTAGATGAATAAATGAAAGTTTTAATTTTTCATGATATATCTGTGATGAAAATAGTAAAACTTTTTTTTTTTTTTAAGTTTTGATGACTTTTTTTTTTTCTTTTTTTTATTATTATTATACTTTAAGTTTTAGGGTACATGTGCACATTGTGCAGGTTAGTTACATATGTATACATGTGCCATGCTGGTGCGCTGCACCTACTAACGTGTCATCTAGCATTAGGTATATCTCCCAATGCTATCCCTCCCCCATCCCCCGACCCCACCACAGTCCCCAGAGTGTGATATTCCCCTTCCTGTGTCCATGTGATCTCATTGTTCAATTCCCACCTATGAGTGAGAATATGCGGTGTTTGGTTTTTTGTTCTTGCGATAGTTTACTGAGAATGATGGAAAAGCCAAAATTGACAAATGGGATCTAATTAAACTAAAGAGCTTCTGCACAGCAAAAGAAACTACCATCAGAGTGAACAGGCAACCTACAACATGGGAGAAAATTTTCGCAACCTACTCATCTGACAAAGGGCTAATATCCAGAATCTACAATGAACTCAAACAAATTTACAAGAAAAAAACAAACAACCTCATCAAAAAGTGGGCGAAGGACATGAACAGACACTTCTCAAAAGAAGACATTTATGCAGCCAAAAAACACATGAAAAAATGCTCATCATCACTGGCCATCAGAGAAATGCAAATCAAAACCACTATGAGATATCATCTCACACCAGTTAGAATGGCAATCATTAAAAAGTCAGGAAACAACAGGTGCTGGAGAGGATGTGGAGAAATAGGAACACTTTTACACTGTTGGTGGGACTGTAAACTAGTTCAACCCTTGTGGAAGTCAGTGTGGCGATTCCTCAGGGATCTAGAACTAGAAATACCATTTGACCCAGCCATCCCATTACTGGGTATATACCCAAATGACTATAAATCATGCTGCTATAAAGACACATGCACACGTATGTTTATTGCGGCATTATTCACAATAGCAAAGACTTGGAACCAACCCAAATGTCCAACAATGATAGACTGGATTAAGAAAATGTGGCACATATACACCATGGAATACTATGCAGCCATAAAAAATGATGAGTTCATGTCCTTTGTAGGGACATGGATGAAATTGGAAACCATCATTCTCTAGAAATTTTTTATTGTCGTTTTTGTTTTTGAGAAAGAGTCTCACTCTGTCACCCAGGCTGGAGTGCAGTGGTGCAATTTCAGCTCACCACAATCTCTGCCTTCTGGGTTCAAGTGATTCCCTTGCCTCGGCCTCCCGAATAGCTGGGACTACAGGTGCATGCCACCATGCCCAGCTAATTTTTATATTTTTAGTGGAGACGGGGTTTTTCCACGTTGGCCAGGCTGATCCTGAACTCCTGACTTCAAGTGATCCGCCTGCCTTGATCCCCCAAAGTGCTGGGATTAGCAGGCGTAAGCCACTGCGCCCAGCCACCTCTAGAAATTTTGGTCCTATTTATGCTCCTGTCTTAACTTTCTTGACTTCATGACTTCATATTTTTCTAATTTTCCTATTTTAATTTCTGGTTCTTTTGCTGATTTCCTTTTCCTGACCCTTCTTTTCCCACTTATGGCTATCCATGTCTAAACTTATTATTTTGTACTCTTTTCCAGTATTGATGCTGTTTAATAGGAATACATCTCAATCTATAGTTCTATGTGTATATATATATCAAAATACCTATTGGATATTTACACATAAATGTTATTATTTCAGACTGCAATGAACAGCCAACATCTTAATAATCTTTTCCTTAAAAGTAACTGTATACTTACTACATAACCCAACAACTCTTCTCCTTGGTATTTCCTCAACAGAAATAAAAATGTGTCCACAGCAAGACTATACAAATGTATAGCAGCTTTGTTCTTGATAGCTCCAAACCAAAAACAACTCAAATGTATACCAGTAAGTAAATGAATAAACAAATTATGCTATAACCATACAATAAAATACTACTCAGCAATACAATATAATGGACTACTATACACAAACAATATCTCCAAATATTAAGCTGAGAAAAAGAATCCAGATGGAAAGAGTACACACTCCTTATTTCATTTATATGAAACTCTAGAACAAGAAGAAACTTGTGGTGATAGAAGATCACTATTTTTTTCTGGGGCCAGGAGTGAGTAGATGTGGGATGACTATGAAGCCTCTCTCTCAGCTTCTGGTGATTTTCTGCCAGTCTTTGGTTTTCCTTGGCTGTGGCTGTATCATCCTTACCTTTGCTTTCATATTCACATGGTATTCTTCCTATGTGCATCTCTGTGTCCAAATTTCCAAAATTTCCCTTTTTATGGGGATACCAGTTATATTGGATTAGGAGTCCACCTACTCCAGCATGACTTGATCTTAAAATTAGATCTCTTTCCAAATAAGGTCACATTCTGGTACTGGGGGTTAGAACTTCAATATTTGACTTCTGGGGGGACACACATTAACCCATAATATGTAATTGGAACTCGTGACCAAGAATTAGCAACTAATCTAGACACATTAGTAAGACACTTGCTTGTACATGAGTAAGAAATAAAAGTCCACAAAAATTAGCAGTTATCCTAGTGAAATTTCTAGGAATCTAGTTGTCTGGGACATGTCAAGATACCCCATTCAAGGCAAAGAAGTTGCTATATCTACCCTCTCTTAACGCTAAGGAAAATTCACAACACCTAACAGGCCTCTTTGGATTTTGGAGGCAATATATATCTCTTTTGAGTATGTTATTCCAACCTAGTTATTGTAAGATCTCAAAAACTATCAATTTTGATTGGAGCCCAGAAGAAGAGAAGGCTCTGCAGCAGTACAGGCTGCTGTACAAGCTACTGTGCCAGTTGGGCCATATGATCCAGCAGATCTGAAGTTGCTTAAAGTGTTAGTAGTAGATAGGGATACTATATGGAGCCTTTGGCAGAGGGTAAACACAGTGCTCAGCTTCACAGTTCATCTCCTTCTTTCCAATCCTTATCTCTGTCTTTTTCTTGCCTTTATCTATTTAATAAGTCCTCCAGTTCAATATGGAATAAAAATGGCAAGACAAACATCCTTACCTTTCTCCTCATCTTAAAGTAAAAGTCTTTATCACTTAATCATCAAATTTGATGTTAGCAGTAGGTTTTACACACTCCCTGTATAGCAAATTGAGGAATTTAACTTCTATTCCTAATTGCTGAGAGATTTTGTTTTTATCACAAACGGATGCTGAATCTTATCAAATGACTTTTCTGCAATCAAAAAATATTATGATTACATAATATTTCTACTTTTCTTTTGTTGCAGCCAATTACATTGATTGATCTCCAAATGTAACCCTGAATTTCTGAGATAAAGTCCACCTCATTATTTTGTATTGCCATTGTTATGTACTGCATGATTTAATTTGCTAATAATTTATGAAGGACTTTTTCAAAGTTTATGAAATATATTGGTCCATAATTTTCTTATTAAATTTTTTTCAGGTTTTAGTACTGAGATTATGCTGCCCTCATAAAAAGAATTGAAAAGCAGTGTTTCTTCCTTCTATATTTTCAAAAAGAGTTTTTGTAGGTTGGTATTATTTATTTCTAATCTGTTTGATAGAATTTACCAGAGAGACTAATTGGGCTTAGAGTTTTATGTGAAGAGTTTGTAAAATTGGGAATCAATTTATTTTGTAGATATAAAAAGATGTTTAGAATTCTATGTTTTGAATCAGGTCCAGTATTTCATGTATTTCAATAAATCCATCAATTTTATCAAAGATGTTAACTTTATTAAATTTATATTTGTGCTGGGATAGCTGGCTACCCTTATGCAGAAGAATGAAACTGGGCCCCTACCTTTCACAGTATAAAAAAATTAACTTGAGGTGGCTGGCAAGATGGCCAAATAGGAACAGCTCCAGTCTGCAGCTCCCAGTGAGATCAGTGCAGAAGGTGGGTGATTTCTGCATTTCCAACTGAGGTACACAGCTCATTTCACTGGGACTGGTTAAATAGTGGGTGTAGCCCATAGAGGGCAGGCCGAAGCAGGGTGGGGTGTCTCCTCACCCGGGAATCACAAGGGGTTGGGGAACTCCCTCCCCTAGCCCTAGACTCACAATCATGTGGAAGGCAAAGGAGGACAAAGTCACGTCTTATGTGGCAGTAGGCAAGAGAGCATGTGCAGGGAAACTACCCTTTATAAAACCATTAGATCTTGTGAGACATATTCACTATACTGAGAACAGCATGGGAAAGACCCACCCCCATGATTCAATTACCTCCCACTGGGTCCCTCCCACAACATGTGGGAATTATGGGAGGTACAATTCAAGATGAGATTTGGGTGGGGACACAGCAAACCATGTCATTCAGCCCCAGCCCCTCTCATATCTCATGTCCTCACATTTCAAAACCAATCATGCCTTCCCAACAGTCCCCCAAAGTCTTAACTCATTTCAGCATGAAGTCAAAAGTCCACAGTCCAAAGTCTCATCTGAGAAAAGGCAAGTCCCTTCCCCCTATGAGCCTGTAAAATCACAAGCAAGTTAGTTACTTCCCAAAAACAATGGGGGTACAGGCATTGGGTAAATATACCCATTCCAAATGAGAGAAACTGGCCAAAATGAAGGGCTATAGGCCCCATACAAGCCCAAAATCCAATAGGGCAGTCATTAAACATTAAAGTTCCAAAATGATCTCCTTTGACTCCATGTCTCATATCTAGGTCATGCTGATGCAAGAGGTGGGCTCCCACAGCCTTGGGCAGCTCTGCCCCTGTGGCCTTGCAGGGTACAGCCCTTCTCTTGGTTGCTTTCACAGGCTGGCATTGAGTGTGTGCAGCTTTTCCAGGTGCATGGTGCAAGTTATCAGTGGATCTACCATTCTGGGGTCTGGAGGATGGTGGCCTTCTTCTCACAGCTCCATTAGGTGGTGCCCCAGTGAGCACTCTGTTGGGAATCTGACCCCACATTTCTCTTTTACACTGCCCTAGCAGAGGTTCTCCATGAGAGACCTGCTCCTGCAGCAAACTCCTGCCTGGGCATCCAGGTGTTTCCATATATCCTCTGAAATCTAGGCGGAGGTTCTCCAACCTCAATTCCTGATTTTGTACACCTGCAGGCCCAACACCACATGTAAGCTGCGAATGCTTGGGGCTTGCACCCTCTGAAGCAATGGCCTGAGTTGTACATTGGCCTCTTTTAATCCCAGTGGGAGCTGAAGCAGCTGGGACACAGGGCACCATGTTCCAAGGCTTCATAGAGCACTGGGGCCTTGGGCCAGGCCCATGAAACCAATTTTTTCTCCTAAGTCTCCAGGCCTGTTATGGGAGGGGCTGCCATGAAAGTCTCTGACATGGCCTGGAGATATTTTTTCCCATTGTCTTGGTGATTTACATTTGACTCCTTGTTACTTATGCAAACTTCAGCAGACTTAAATTTCTCCCCAGGAAATGTTTGTTTCTTTTTTACTGCATCACCAGGCTGCACATTTTTCAAACTTTTCTGCTCTGCTTCCTCTTGATGGCTTTGGTGCTTAGAAATTTCTTCTGCCAGATACCCTAAATAATCTCTCTCAAGTTCAAAGTTCCACAGATCTCTAGGGCATGGGCAAGATGCTGCCAGTCTCTTTGCACAGCAAGAGTGACCTTTGTTCCAGTTACCAAGAAGTTCCTCATCTCCATCTGAGACCACCTGAGCCTGGATTTCATTTTTCACATCCCTATCAGAATTTTGGTCAAATCCATTCAACAAATCTCTAGGAAGTTCCAAACTTTCCCACATCTTCCTGTCTTCTGAACCCTCCAAGTCTCTAGGAAGTTGCAAACTTTCCCACATTTCCTATCTTCTTCTGAGCCCTCCAAACTGTTCCAACCTCGCCTGTTACCCAGTTCCAAAGTCACTTCCACATTTTTAAGTATCTTTACAGCAGCACCCCATTCTACCAGTACCAATTTACTATATTAGTTCTCATGCTGTTAATAAAGACATATCTGAGACTGGGTAATTTATAAAGAAAAAGAGGTTTAATGGAATCACTGTTCCACATGGCTGGGAAGGCCTCACAATAATGGGGGAAGGCAAAGGAGGAGAAAGGCACACCTTACATGGTGGCAGGCAAGACAGCATATGTGGGGGAACTACCCTTTATAAAACCATCAGATCTTGTGAGACTTATTCACTATCAAGAGAGCAGCACAGGAAAGTTCTGCCCCTGTGATTCAATTACCTCCCACTGGGTCCCTCCCACAATATGTGGGAATTATAGGAGCTACAGTTCAAGATGAGATTTTGGTGGGGACACAGCCAAACTATATCAATTCATATATGAAATGCTACTTGACAATAAAAAATGAATGAAGTACTGATACATGTCTCAACTTGGATAAACCTTAAAAACATCGGGCTATGTGAAAGAAGCCAGACACAAAAAAGGCCATATATTGTGTTATTCCACTTATGTAAAATGTCCAGAATAGGCAAATCTGTAGAGAAAATTGATTAGTAATTGATAAGGGCTGAAGTATAAGGGTATGTGGAGTGATTGCTTATGGGTATGGGGTTTCTTCTTGGGGTGGTAAAATACTGTGTGAGTGTATAAAAACTGGTGAATTGTATACGTTTTAAAAGATGAATGTTATAGTATAACTTAACAATTTAAAATATCCAGTATGTAAAGTTTACAGATTTTAATGTCATTAACCTAAACAGGGTTTTGGAATTTTCACCTGTGCTTTGTTTTGCCTGCTCTTAATTTGATCAATACTGTGTGTTATGAACAGAAGTGCTTAGAGCATTAATCTCATTTGTGTACTTCAGAGAAGATCCACCACTGATAATTTATTCATTTATATTTGCTTTCTTCTGAATTAAACATTTATTCATCTTTAAAATTTAAAAATGAAACAAAATTGATTACAACATTACAACTCATAAGCACTCTCAGTCATTCACAATCCTGCAACAGTAAAAGGAGCAGCAGTGATAGTCCACCATTAATGAGTGTGGCACAGAAAATAGACTTCTGGTTATTTATTAATCTATTCTTGTTGACTTTAGCATCCATTCCTTTATCTCCCACTCCACTAAACATTTCTGGAAAGCCAAATGAGTGGAAATGATGTTTGTAAAGGGATGAACTTGAAATAGTGGATTGATGTCAAACTTTGAATCTTTGACACTATTAGCAAATTAATTATAAGAAACACTGGAGCTGAGATCTTGAAGACAGTGCAGCCTCAGGTTACTGAAATATTTACTTCCTAAAATATCCTCCTAAAAATAGTGTTTCATATTGCATTATTGTATTGACATCATCACTCTCTACCATTATGCAGCTCTGCTACTTTTTTAATTTGCGTTTCCTTGGAGTTACAGACACCACTTTTGGGAAGTATACTGTGTGCTGTAGGTACTCTGGGGATTAAAGAGTATGCAGAAACTTTTAGCTCATTGTTTCCACTGAGTACTGTCAAAGTGCTGATAACACAGGCTGCCAAAAGAGTATTTTCTAGACAAAACAGTAAAGGGGATGCAGAGCTACTGAGCCACTCTCTATTCCCTGCCTGAAGCATCTCCACCCTTTCATTCTAAGCAGGTACCCTTGCTTCTAATACCACAAAAAGCAGGATATAGATGAATTGTTACCTGCCTAGATGCTGAGACCAGACTACCTCCGTTGTTGCAACATGAAGTGATTGCACTATAAGGTAAGCAATGCAAGTACTGTGTTAACTGTCATTATTTGTCTTTTAAAGATGATACAACTAAGTTAGCACCGCAGAAGGATGCGACCCTTTCAGTGGAGGCTTCACCCTTCAGTGGAGCCTTCAAGAGTAGGCAGCACCCTTTCCTTGCCCAGGCACTGCCAAGATATTATTCAGCTTTCCTCTGGCTTTCACTGTTGCTATAAGAAATCAATAGTTTCCTTTGTAGGTTAACTGCTTTTTTTCCCCCCCTCTGACTGCTTTTAGGTTAACCTTTTTGTCACTGGTGCTCTTCATTTTCTTTTCTTTTCTTTTTTTTTGAGACAGAGTCTCATTCTGTCACCCAGGCTGGAATGCAGTGGCATGATCTCGGCTCACTGCAACCTTCGCCTCTTGGGTTCAAGTGATTCTCCTATCTCAGCCTCCCAAGTAGCTGGGCTTACAGGTGCTCACCACCATGCCTGGCTAATTTTTGTGTTTTTAGTAGTGACTGGGTTTCACCATTGTGGCCAGGCTCATCTCGAACTCCTAACCTCAAGTGATCTGCCCACCTTGGCCTCCCAAAGTGCCAGGATTACAGGCCTGTACCATAGCATCCGGCCTTCAGTTTCATTAGATAGATCTTGGTATCGATTTCTTATGCACTGCATTTGAATTCATCATAATTCTAGAATCTGAAGGGTTATATCTCTCAACAAGGTTTTCTCATTTAAAAAAACTTTATTTTATTTTAAGTTCTCGGATACATGCGCAGGATGTGCTAGTTTGTTACACAGGCAAATGCATGCCATGGTGGTTTACTGCAACTATCAACCCATCACCTAGGTATTAAGCCCTGCATGCATTAGCTATTTATCCTGATGCTCTCCCTCCGCCTTCGCCCGTGACAGGTCCCGGTGTGTGTCGTTCCTCTCCCTGTGTCCATGTGTTCTCATTGCTCTCAACGAGGTTTTCTATAAATGGTATCCAAGAAATGTGAACAGTAACTAGAAGGGGATGTGAGGAAGAGGAAGGTTTATTTTGTTTAAGATTCGAGAAATAATAGCTACATGTTATTAATGGATCTGACCTAGTAAAGAAAAATTGGTGATGCAGTGGGGAAAGAGTTACTGTAGTGAAGTCCTTGATTAGCTAAGAGAGAATGAGATTGTGTTGGGATGGAGGAATTAGCCTTAGAAAGGAGGACCAACAGTTACTGTAAGAGAGAGAAGACAGGGTGTATGAGTACAAGTATGTTTTGTTGGGCAGACTGGGTGGAGGTGAGAGTTTGTAGATTGTTTGTTTTTAAATTATTTCTGTGTTTTCAATAAAGATTTTGTCAAGTTGGCTCCTTCATATGTTTCTATGCAGATAGATATGGAAGATCAATTTGTGTCAGAAATTTGCAGTAAGCTTAGAAAAAAAATGCTGCTTATCTAGAGCAGTGATTCTCAATAGGGGTGACATTATCCCCAGGGGACATCTAATATGTCTGGAGATATTTTGGTTGGCCCACCTGCTGGAGGACTACTGGCATCTAGTGGGTAGAGGCCACAAATGCTGCCAAGCACCTGCACAGGCAAGCCCCACAAAACAGAAAACTGTGTGACCCAAAATGTCAGTTGTGTTGAGGCTGAGAAACTCTGATCTAGAGCAGTGGTGGGCAAACATTTTTTTAGAAAGGAAGGTAGAAAACACTTTAGGATTGGAAGCCATTTGGTTTCTATTGTATCTACTTAACCCTGCTATTGCAGTGTGAAAGCTGCCATAGACAAAATACTAGTGGTCCTGGCTGTATCCCAATAAGCTTTATTTATAAAAACAGGCAGGTGGCCCATGGGCAGAGTTTGATAACCTCTGATCTAGAGGACTCTTTTGCTTTTTCTGCAACCATCTAAGAAATAGAGGCAGAGTTTGGACTAATCATAGATGGTAGCCATCATTAAAACTTCTTCATTCTTGGTGAATATCAATGCTTTGATATGTTGGCTGTGCCCCTATTTGGTGCTTAGTGAATACTTTAAAATCTAGACTTAAATAAGTCAGTAAGTCACTAGTTTTTAATTTCAAAATTAAATTTTCTTCTCTCATTTCCCTGCCCCGCCACCCCCTGAGAGGGTCTAATAGCCACTCTTCTTAGTCATATGCTTAGGACTGCTATTATCCAAAAGATGATAAGCATTGGCAAGGGTGTGGAGAAAAGGGAACTCTAGTACACAGTTGGTGGGGATGCAGATTGGTATAGCCATTATGGAAAACAGTATGGAGATTCCTAAAGAAATGAAAAATGGGACTCCCATACAATCCAGCAATCCCTCTTCTAGGTATATATCCAAAGGAGCTGAAATTAGCACTTCATAAAGATATCTGCACTCCCAAGTTCAGTGCAGCATTATTCCCAATGCCAAGATATGGAAACAACCTAGTATCCATCAACAGGCAACTGTATAAAGAAAATGTGATACATATGCTGTTAAATATTATTCAGCCTTAAAAATTTGCCATTTGCTACAAAGTGGATGGACCTTGCGGACATTATGCTAAGTGAAACAAGCCAGATACAGAAATAAAATAGTGCATGATCTCACTTATAGTGGAATCCAAAATAAAACAGTCAAATACAGCCACGCATCACTTAACAATGGGGATATATTCTAAGAAATGCATTGTTAGGTGATTTCATTGTTGTGTGAACAGCACAGAATATACCTACATAAACCGAGATGGTAAAGCCTACTACAGACTACACACCTACACGGCATAACCTATTGCTCCTAGGCTACCAACCTGTACAGCATGCTGTAATATAATGATAAGTATTTGTGTATCTAAACATAGAAAAGGTACAGTAAAAATATGGCATAATAGATTTTTTTAAATGGCATACCTCTATAGGGCACTTCCCATGAATGGGGCTTGCAGGACTCGGGGTTGCTCTGGGTGAGTCTGTGAGTGAGTGGTGAGTGAATGTGAAAGACTAACACATTATTGTACACTATTGTAGACTTTAAAAAACTGTACACCTAGGCTACACCAAATTTATTAATTTTTCTTTCTAAAATAATAAGCTAAGTTTACGGTATCTTGTTAACTATATACATTTTTAATTAAAAAAAACTTTTTGACTCTTTTGTAATGACATCTTAAAACACAAACACATTATACAGCTCCACAAACAAATTTTTCCTTGTATTCTTACTCTGTAAGCTTTTCTATTTTTTAAATGTTGCTTTTTTTTCTATTTAAACTTTTTTGTTAAAAATGAAGACACAGACCCACCCATTAGCCTAGGCCTACACAGGGTCAGGATCATGAATATCACGGTCTTCCACCTCCACATCTTGTCCCACTGGAAGGCCTTTAGGGACAATAATACTTGTGGAGCTGTCGTCTCCTGTGATGCCAATGCCTTCTTCTGGAACACCTCCTGAAAGACCTGGCTGAGGCTGTTTTACAGTTAACTTTTTTTGAATACATAGGAATATATTTTAAACTAGCAATAAAAATATATAATGCAGTAAACACATAACCAGTAACACTCATTTGTTATCATTATTAAGTATTATGTGTGGTACATCATTGAATGTACTATGCTTTCACATGACTGGCAGCACAGTAAGTTTGTTTACACCAGCATCACCACAAACACTTAAGTAATGTATTGTGACTGCTACAACATCACTAGACTATGGAAATTTTCCAGCTCCATTATTATCTTATGGGACCACTGTTGTATAAGCAGTCCGTTGTCGACTAAAACATCATTACTGATGCTCGACTGTATACAGAGATAGAGAACAGTGGGGTGCGGGAGAAGGAAGAAATAGGGAGAAATAGGTCAAAGGATACAAAGTAGCAGATATGTAGAGTGAGCACGTCTAGACATCTAGAGATGCGCAACATGAGAATTATAGCTAATAAAATTGTATTATATTAGAGATTTTGTTAAATAAGTAAATTTAACAAAAAAGGATATAAAAATAACTACATGAGGTGATCGATATGTTAATCTACTTCACTATAGTAACTATTTTATTATTCCTTTAGTTCCCATAACATAATGTTGTAAACCTCAAATATACAAAATAAAATTTATTTGTTAAAAAGCTGGCCCCCACATCTCTATTGACATCATTTTGAATTGTTGTTTTGGTAACCTAGTATCCTCCAGACTTGGCAGTATATTTTCTATCTAGATTAATTTAATGTTATTTGAACTGTAGCATCTTTTATGATGCAGCAAACAAAATTGGAGCCTCAGAATATTTTATAAAAAAATAGAAGACCTTTGTAGTTAAATGATCTTGAGTTCCAGTATCAGCTCAGCCATTTATTAACTTGGAACTGAGAAGTAATTTATTTAACCATTCGAGCTTCATTATCTTAAATAGCAAATTTCTAATTTACAAAATTGTTAAGGGGATTTTATTAGATAATGTAACCAAAGTTTGAAATTCAGTGACAACCACAAGGTAGCTTTTTAGTAATTAGTGGCTTTTAGCAATAGTATTATTATTAACAAACTACTTGAGAAAATCCAAATATTTCTGAGGCAATTAGACTTTTCCCCAAACATTTTGCATTTTAATCCAGACATTTCACTTTTTTAAACAGTGAGATGCCTGATAGACTGTTCTGTAAAAACAAATACTAATCCTGTGGTATTTCTTTGTGCCTAAGATAGTTTTTGCATATTTCTGCTTGTAGAAATGTCACACTTTCAATTTTCCAAGTACAAATTGTCAGACAAGTCCTATGTAAAAGAGAACTGTTTTCTGAATCAGTAAATACAAGAGAAGTTGGGAAAATCTTCCCTATTTCACTTTCTTTCTCATAGTTACTTAGCAACCAGCTAGTACCTTTGAAAAATCTCCTTTGAATACTAAATACTATTGAGATTTGTGTTTATTACTAAGTTGAGGATTAAATACGCAGTCACCATTTCCCTAAAGGACACAATTGAAACCTAGGTAAAATTACCTCATTGCCACGAAGAGACCAATATTTGGCCCTTCCTGTTTATGTGCTGTTACTTACGCATAATATAGTCATAAGAAAGTCCCTGAGACTGGGATTACAAATAGGAATGTGTAATGCAGCCGACAACTCTTCTTTAATATTTAATATAAGTCAGTCCTCCATAGGCATTCCTTACTTGATTTGAGAACACACACAGTTAGTGTTATATGAATAAGGAGACAGTGCATTTTGGTTTGCCTGGGATGATCTAGTTTACCTCTGTGGTAAATCAGTTAAAACTGTTCATTATTTTAGCACTTCTTTCTATTCCCCAAACTGACCTGTTGTGGATAACAAATTGCATGGTGACCCTAGATTTGAAAATTTGGAGGCACTCTGAAAGAAAGCAATTGAAATATGGTTAGAGGCATTGGGAATAGCCCCTATGAAGAAATGACAAAAGGAATTGGCTTTATTTGTTGAAAAAAAGAGAAAACTTAGGGAGATTATGCTCTTCAAGAAGCAAATATGGAAGGGTACGCTCTAAGAAGAATCAAAAGCTTCTGCCTCTTTCCTTCCCGGGGCTGAACAGCATTACAATTCACACACTGGAGGTATGCTGTGTAGAAATTAGAGGTTAGGAAGCCACTGTACACACTAAATTGCACTCCCAGTAAAGGTTATTTTTTCCTGTTTTGAATATTCTTTAAGAAACAGATAGTATATGGACATACTCTATGGCTTACCAATTCTACTCCTAGGTATAAACCCTAGAGAAACTTGTGCAAATATACATAAGGATGTACCAACCAGGATTTTATTAGCTTCACTGTTTGTAATAATCCCATACTGAAAATAACTCATCTATCTGCTAACAATAAAATTTAAAAAGTATGAGGTCTTCAGATAGTGGAATATGCTATACATAAGCAAAAATAATTGAAGCATAGCTACATGCTACAATATGTAGATATTTGAAAAACATCATATTAAGCAAAAGACATAAGTTACAAAAGAATACATGAAGTATGATTTCCATTTATACAAAACTCAAAAAATAGGCGAAACTAATTATTTAGCATTGGTAGCTCCAGACAAAACCATAAATAAAGGATTCAAGTTCAAGCATTAAGTTGAAACATATGAAACTTCAGATCTTCAACCATTTTTAACTTACAAAAATGGGCAAATTTGGTTTAATTAAGTAGCTTATTTGGGAGGGACAAAACATAGCTTAAGAGTGGCCAGGCACGGTGGCTCACGCCTGTAATCCCAGCACTTTGGGAGGCTGAGGCGGGCAGATCATGAGGTCAAGAGATTGAGACCATCCTGGCCAACATGGTGAAACCCCATCTCTACTAAAAATGCAAAAATTAGCTGGGCTTGGTGGCACATGCCAGTAGTCCCAGTTACTCGGGAGACTGAGGCAGGAGAATCGCTTGAACCTGGGAGGCGGAGGTTGCAGTGAGCCGAGATCACACCACTGTATTCCAGCCTGGTGACAGAGCAAGACTCTGTCTTTTTTTTTAAAAAAAAAAAAAAAAGAAAGAAAAAAAAAGCTTAAGGGCGAGGAAATAGACAAGGAAGGGAAGCAGTGCATTTTCAAACCACTTAACCACTGTGAATGTCTGCAACTTAATCCCATTATGGTAACACTAGAGAGCCAGTGAAAAACATGCACCAGGATTAACTTATTTTAGGGGTAATGAAGTTGAGATATTTATACACTATTTATTGTCAATTTTCGTTAGAGCCCTGCTTCAGGGTTTTCAGACTCTGCACAGCATCCCTGTCTATCTTGAACATCTCTGGTGTAATAGGATTGGCTGGAGTGTATGTTCCCAAAGGCATTGTTATTTATACCACAGACTGAAACTGCTATGGAGCCTTTCTTGTTCTGGGCCCAACCCCAAGTGGCAATCTGCCAAATGATGCAATAAATGCCTGAGGTAATATTCTCAAATGTGGTATATGTTCTCCACAACCCAAAGAGATCTACTAAATAACTATGAAATTCCTCTTTCTTAATTGTAAGAATTGCAACATGCAGTAACTTGTCCTTTACTTCCTTTACTGCATTCCACAGACCACTAAATCTCTGAATCCTCCATTAGTGTTGCAGGCCCTTGAATCTTTGAAGGGATTATATCCAGTCCTCTGAGGTGCATTTGCCTTACAAGGGCATTTGGAGTATTGCAACTTCATGATCCTCAGTTCCAATGATTGCATCAAATACTGCGGCTGGAGGCGATGTTCTGAGAAATGTCTAGAGGATTGAGGTTCCTTTGGACTATATTGTGCTTGAGATCAGGAGAGCTACCAGAGTCCCAGAAAGACTGTGATGTAGTCTACTCTCATCCATCATGATCCATATGGTTTTTGCAAGGGCCAGATTGGTGAATTAGAGGGAGATATGATGTTCCTGTATCCTTTACACTTTTGAGAGAGATATTAATCTCTGCCATTCCATCCAGGATTGGTTGTTTCTAATTTACTGTCTTGCCTGAAGTGAAGGCAGTTTCAAGGATTTCTACTGTTTTCTACTACCTTTTATGTTATGATGATTTTACTCCATGAGTCAAGGAGCCAATCTAAGTTGAGTATTCTTGGGGCCCTCTCCAGAGACAGGGTCAGCTGGTAGCTTCTCTGGTCCTATATTCTGAATACATTACAGCATGTTCATTCCTTTGTCTTTTTATCCCTTTCTAAATACTCCTATTAGGCAATTTCAACATCTTGCCTCATTCACTATATGCTGTGTTTTTTCCCCAAATCCCAAGGATCCATTCCAATAGTGCATTAGGACTGGCTCCATAAGTCCTTGCTGAGATGCTATATCTTGAGTTACAGGAGAGTGCCCTTCACAATGAGTTCACCCTTATCCAGTTTATATTCTACTCCCTCAATTTCAGGTATATCCTCTCAGTTGCTGCTTATGCATATTAGCCAGGCCATGCAGAATGTTTGGTACATAGTTCGTTTCCTCTCATGGAAGAGCAGTTCATCGCCAGTAAGGCTGTGTTGAGGCATAACCCTAGTAACTGCTGTACAAGCCGTGAGTGGAAGTAAGGACAGATTTTAAAAGTCATGGATGTGCTCCTTTCTTCTGTGTAGAATGACTGGGGTAAATGGCCATATATCCCTTAAGTGGGAAGGAATGGGGAAATCACTATTTAAGTACTTGGCTGTAGCATTACAAAATTCTTCCTTAAGGGGAAGGGGATCTAGCATTCTCTTCAATTGAAGGGCTCTAGTTTTCAGAATAGATTCTGGTTTGGAAATTGAGTAAGAAAACAATTTTCTATTATGGTGACTAATGACTGTCTTCTGCTCTGCTCTTGTTCTTATAGGTTGTACATGTCATGCAACATCTTTGTTGGATGCCTACCCATCTTGCCTCTAAAAACACCATGGCTATTAGATATCACCACAGATATCTGTGAGAAAGAGTTCCTCGGTTATTATTCTGTCTTTGTTATCTATATATTGGATCTTCCTTAAGTGAGACTTCTGCATGATCTCCAAGCAAGGAGAGGCTATCTAGCATGGGGGAGTGGAGGTCTTACATAGCACAGAGGGGTCAAGATTTTCAAGCACAGAAGACCAGATGTTTCTGTTTCAGGTCTCTGGGTCCCATTTCTTCTTTATGACGACTCTGTATTTGGCATAGGAGAATTGCTGGGGCTGTGAATTTAGCATTATTTGAAATTTAAATAATTCCACAATTAGACCTTGCATCTGATTTTCAGCAGCCTTCCCTCTGGCTATGGCAAAGAGGGTAGGGTCTCTTTCATGCTACAGCTACTACGTAAGTATGGGAACCCAATCTTCCACAAATGAGAGTCTATAGATTTGATACTATACTACTAGGAATGGGATTCTTGTTGCTCTATGCCCAGGGAGTTATTCAATTTCTGAATCCCATCCTGAAGATTTGCTCCATAGAGCAATGTATGATATCAATTATTTTAGTTTGAATTATCCCAGAAGCAGATTTTGAAATCAGGATTTAAATGCATATGGTTTATTTGTGGGATGAAGGCAACCCTAGTAGGAAGGCGAGGAAGATAACCAACTACCACTGTGGACAACTGGAGCTTAACCCCACTAGATAAACTCAGAGAGCCAGTGTGAAGCACTCCTCAGTTGTCCCAGCAGAGGAGACGATGGAGCCAGAGTACATTTATACCAATTCCCATCCGTCATTGTTGAAGGGTGCTCTATGGGTATTTTTCAGCACTTCTGGTCCAGTTGCACAACAAAATGTGCTTTAACAGCAAGTGAAAGCTCCTGGGCAAAGACCTTAGGCATTGAGAGCTGTGTGCATTGAAGTGCTAAAAGCAAGGGCTATGGGTGGGATGCTGACAGCCTCAGCCAAACAAAATCGTATTATAAATGTATACGTGAGAAATAAAACTATAAAGAGAATAAAGAAATGATTATCACAAAATGGACGTTTTAAATGTTTTAAAATAGATATGAATTATTTAACTTGCTCTAATTATGGTTTGGATTTTCACAAGTAGTTTCTATCTGGCATCTCAAACTATTGAAGCACTGGTTGTATTTTAATGATTAATAAGATATATTGCCAAATTCCAATTTACTGAAGAACAACTTAGTTAAGAAATAAATCAATCTGACTTAAGCCCTTGTGTTATAAACGTAGGCTTCATGCTTATTTTTATGGCCATGCTTCTGTTTAATTTAGCACATTTATTCCTGAATTCTGAAGATATCAGTCTTATAATGCATATTATTGACAGGTCTTTCCCTCCATTGCCACTATAATCTTTACTATGAAGAGAAAAATTAATGAGCTGTATTTGCCAAGGTTTACCTGTGTGAATGAACTCTCCTCTCTCTTAATGCAAATATAATATTCTAGATACATGTTATATTCTTGAAACCAACCAAACTATTAATAATGTTTGATGATAATGATGATGATAATCAATACTTGCCTAGTGTTTTTATTTGCCAGACACTGCTCTATGCACTTTCCCATATATCATTTAATGTCCATATAAATCTGGTAAAGTAGGTTCATTTTTGTTCACATATTTTAAGTGAAGAGACTGAGATCTGGAGAGTTAAAGTAACTCTACCAAGATTACTTAGCCAGGGATAATAAACAATAGAAAGAGGTTGAATCAGCTTATCCCAAGAAAGGGACGATATAGATTAATGTAACCAAAGCACAGAAAGGTCAGGGGAAGCGTTGACCTCAGGAAAAAAAAATGATTCACATCCTTGAATACTGAGATGATTCTGTCTCTTGTATTTGCTTCTTTCAATATGTTAGCTCCATTTTTTCAGCCAAGTTGTCCCCATGAGGCTGGAAAGTTGGCTGCAAGTAGCACTCAGTTTTGGTTGTAGTCTGATATTTTAAACACTTTTCTTCTCCAGTTGAGGGAGGAATCTTACCGTGCCAGCTTAGGTCATGTGCCCATTCCATTAATCAGGGGTCAAAAAACTAAAGCTTGCACCTATTTTTGCAATAAAGCTTTATTGCAACACAACCATGCTCAATCCCTTACATTTTGTATATGGTTGCATTCGTACTGAAAAGGCTGAGTTGGGTAGTTGCAACAGCAGTCATATAGTCTGCAACACCTAAAATACTTACTATCTGGCTCTTTACAGAAAAAGTTTGCTGACCCCTATCTCAGGTCAACAACTATGGCAACTTGGTCACAGGTCTTCATATTGTTCCCACTTCATTTGAGTCAAGTGCATGGTTGTTGATACATGGGTTGACATTTTGCCCTCCAAAATGTCTTTAAAAAGAGTACAATGTGATTCAGCCTTCAATCTGAAAACTTTTTGTGTTTTTAGAAGCAATGAATCAGCAAAGTGTAAAATTTATATTATTGGAGCAAATATTTATCATTGGTGAAAAGACTATCGTTCCACATTTTCTTACAAGCAGTATCCAAGTGATTTATTGGACCTGAGAAAGACTGCCACAAGTAGATGAAGCAGAATTGTTTTGTGACTAAGATATTTGAAATACATTTCATAAGGTTATAATTACCATTGAGAGTGATTACTCTTATAAACCTGGGCATAGTAAATTGAAAAACTTCTTCAAAATATTCATTGTTTTAGATGCCATTAGGAATATTTGTGATACATGGGAGGAGGTCAAAATATCAACATTAACAGAATTTTGGAACAACGTGGTGACAACCCTCACAGGTGATTTAAAGAGCTCAAGACTTCAGTGGAGGAAATTACTGAAGATGTGGTGAAAATAACAAGAGAACTGGATTCAGAAGTGGAGCCTGAAAACATGACTGAACTGTTGTAATCTCATGATAAAACTTGAACAAATGTAGAGTTGGTTCTCTGGATGAGCAAAGAAAGTGGTTTTTTGAGATGGAGTCTACTCCTGGTGAGGATGCTATAAACATTGTTGAAATGACAACAAATGATTTAAAATATCATATAAACATCTTTAATAAAACAGTCGCAGAATTTGAGAAGATTGACTACAAGTTTGAAGGGAGTGGTATTGTGGGGAAAATGCTATCAAACAGCATTGCATGTACAGAGAAATCTTTCATGAAAAGTCCAGCAATGTGGCAAATTTCATTGCCGCCTTGTTTTAAGAAATTGCCACAGCCATCCGAGCCTTTGATAACTATCAGCCTTATTTGTTAGCAGATCAACATCAAGGCAAGAAACTCCACTGGGAAAAAGACTATAACTGGCTAAGGGCTCAGATGATTGTTACCAATTTTTAGCAATAAACCATTTTTAAATGAAGGCATGTACTTTTTTTAGACACAAAGCTATTGCCTGCTAAAGAGACTAAAATGTGTTATAAATATGACTTTTATATGCACCGGGGAACGAAAAAATTTGCATGACCTGCTTTGTTGTGATAGTCACTTTATTGTGCTGCTTTGGAACCAAATCCACAATATCTCCAAGGTATACTGGTACACTTAATCTGGATCATAATTTAGCCATGACCATGACCCCCTTTTTTAGTGCTTCCTTGTACATAGCTCATTATCCATTTGTAAATTTTTCCTTTTTCTTTTAAAATAATTTTAAACTTGGAAAAAAGTTGGAAGTTCAAAAAACTTCTGAATGCTCTTTTCCCAGATCCTCTAACCAGCAATGTTTTGTGCATTTGCTATACAATTTTCTCTCTTTTAATATTTTTCTCTTTATGTGATTATGTGTATGTATTGGATAAATTTATATTAAATATATATGTGCCCATAATATAATACTACATACATATTATGAATATACCTTATAAATATATGCTATATATAATATATCCTAATATGACAAATACATATCATATATGCATATCATATATACATAAATTTTATGAATTTTAGGAAACTATTTGAAAATAGTTCACCAAACATTTTTAATGCATATGTATTAGGGTTTTCTAGAGGGACAGTAATAATAGGATATATATATATATATGAAAGGGAGTTTATTAAGGAGTATTGACTCACACAATCACAAGGTAAAGTCCCACAATAGGCTGTCAGCAAGCTGAGGAGCAAAGAAGCCAGTCTGAGCCCCAGAACCTCAAAAGTAGCGAAGTCGACAGTGTAGCCTTCAGTCTGTGGCCAAAGGCCTGCGAGCCCCTGGCAAATGACTGGTGTAAGTCTAACAGTCCAGAAGCTAAAGAAGTTAGAGTCCGATGTTTGAGGGCAGAAAGCATCCAGAATGGGAGAAAGATGAAGGCCGGAAGACTCAGCCAGTTTAGTCCTTCCATGTTCCTCTGCCTGCTTTTATCCTAGCCGCCCTGGCAGCTCATTAGATGGTGCCCACCCAGATTGAGGGTAGGTCTGCCTCTCCCAGTCCACTGACTCAAATGTTAATGTCTTTTGGCAACACCTTCACAGACACACCCAGGAACAATACTTTGCATCCTTCAATCCAATGAAGTTGACATTCAATATTAACCATCACAGTGCATTTCCTAATAGAAAAGGGCATACTCTTACATGACTTTTGTACAATCTTCAAAATTAGGAAACTTAACATCAATACAATACTATTATCTAACCTGTAGTTCTTTTACATTTTTACTGGTAGGCCCAATATGGCATTTTTTTTTTCTGGCTCAGGATCCAATTTGGAATCATAAATCTTATTTAGTTGTCATGTCTTTTTTTGTCTTCATCAAGATGAGTCCCTCAGCCTTGGTTTGTCTCTTGTGGTATTGCCATTTCTAAAAAGCATAGATTTATTCATTATATCTCTCAATTTGGGTTTGACTGATGCTTTCTCATGAAAACATCAGAATATCCATGTTGGGAAGAAATACATAGAGTTCTCCTTACTTTATATTATATGATCCTGAAATCTTTTCCCAGAATATAGAGAGTATCTGTAGAGTAGCCAGTGTTCTTGTAGGAAGTGTGGAACTAGCATTCTGCCAATCAAGGATAATCTCACTGGATATGTCGGATGAGCCAATTGCATGCTTATTCTGCAGGAATCTGACTGAGAGACATTCAAGACAAAGTTATGCATAGCAAGAGTAATAGAAGGCAAAAGAGAAAATAGCTGAGTCATACTCAAAGGCAGAACACCAGAGGAGAGATCAAAGGTGGCCAGTTTCTCAGAAGACAATAATTAGAGTTGTGGAGACACCAGAACCACTTTCAGATCTAATACAACAATTGTTGTATTTTAAACAATATTTTGGTTCTGTGTCTTTGTGAGGCCTTCTTGTCTCTGTTTCACATAAAGCTGTAGTAGCTGAGATAATCTAATTGTGTCTCTCTTCCCTCTACATTGAGAATCAAAATGATTTAAATAGATGAGGGCTATGACTTGTGGGATCTTATAATATCAAATAGCATTGTCAATGATAGAGGAAAATAATCAAACACTTATAAAGATGTATTACTTTATTTTTTGTTGAAGTATAATTCACATAACAGAAAATTTATATTTTTAAAGTGTACAATTCAGTATTTTTGGTGCATTCACTGTGTTGTACAATAATCTCCACAATTTAATTTCAGAACATTTCCATTACTCCAAAAAGAAATTCCATATATATATATGCATAATTAGTCACAATTTCTCTCTTCCCTCATCTTCTGGCAACCCTCAAATCAACTTTCTACATGTATTTGCGTATTCTGGAAACTTCACATAAATGGAATAATACATTATGTGGCTTTTTGTGTCTGGTTTCTTTCACTTACCGTAATGTTTTCAAGTTTCATTCATGTTGCACCATGTAACATACCTCATTTGTTTTTATGGCTGAATAGTTTCTTTTATTAAATGTATATATCACATTTTGTTTATCCATTCATCATTGATAGACATGTGAGTTGTTTCAACTTTGGGCTACTATAAATAATGCTGTTACGAACTTTCATGTACAAGATTTTGTGGAAACATTTCTTTTCAATTCTCTTGGGTATTTACCAGTGAGTGGAATTGCTTGGTCATGTGGTAATTTTATGTTTAACTTTGTAAGAAACTTCCAGACTCTTGCCATGCAGTGGCATCATTTATGCTCCTACCAGCAACGTAGGAGTTTCAATTTATCCACATTCTCACCAATACTTCTTATTATTCTTTTAAGAAAATTATAGCCATTCTACTGGGTGTTAAATGGTATCTCATTGTGGTTTTGGTATGCATTTTCCTAATGATTAATGATGTTGAGCATCTTTCCATGTGTTAAATGGCCACTTGTATTTTTTTTTGGAGAAATATCTATTCAGATCATTTGTCTTCATTTTAATCAGGTGCTCTTTATATTGTTGAGTTGCAAGAGTCCTTTATATATTCTAGATAGTGGACTCTTATCAAATACGTGTGATTGGCAAACATTTTCTCCCATTCTGTGGGTTGTCTTCTTACTTTCTTGATGGTGTCCTTTTTATATGTTGATGAAGTTCAACTTATTTGTTTTTAATTTTGTTGCTTATGCTTTTGGTATCATATCTAAAATAACCCATTGCCTAATCCAAGATCATGCAGATTTATAGCTATTTTCCTACTAAGAGTTTTATAGTTTTAATTCTTACAGTTAGGTCTCTGAACTATTTTGAGTTAAATTTTGTGTATGATATGAAGTAGGGATCCAAATTTATTAGTTTGCACATGGATATCCAGTTGTCCCCGCACCATGCATTGACTCATCCAGTTGAAGCAGTTAAAGCACTATTTCCCCACAGAATGATCTTTGCACCTTTGTCAAAACTCAATTAACCATAACTGTATGGGTTGATTTTTGGACTCTCAATTCTATTCTATTGGTCCATTTGTCTATCTTTATGCCAGTATCACACTATCTTGATTGCTGTAACTTTGTATTAAGTTTTGAAATTGGGAGATATATGCCCTGCAACTTTGTTCTTCTTTTTCAAGATGATTTTGGCTACTCCGGGACCCTTGAATTTCCAGATGCATTTTAAGATCTGGTTGCTCATTTCTGCAAAATAGGCAGTTGGAATTTTGTGTTAAATCTGTCAAATAATTTCAGGTGTACTGCTCAAATCTTATTAAATTTTCTGTTCCATGAACATGGGATATCTTTTCATTTATTTAGATTTCTTCATTTTTTTTCAGTAATATTTCAACTACTGTTTTGTTGTTTTTAGTGTACAAGTCCTACACTTTGGTTAGACTATTTTTAGTATGTTTGAAATAGGATTTAGTTTGTATCCTACAAATTTGCTGAATTCATTTATTATTTGTTTTTCTATGTGTGTAGACAGATGTATTGCTTTAAAGAAAAATTAGGACCAGATTGTTTGGCTTTCACATTTGTGCCTCACCACAATTAATCACAATGAAATAGTTCTGTGCGTTTTCCGAAGGAATAGAGGAAACAAACTTTTCCCTTCTATCACTATCTTTATACTAGAGCTAAATGAATTACTATTATCTCACCTCTCATTGTCTCCAGGGTCTTACAAGTAATCCAGTGGCCACAGAGAAGAGAAACTGAATTATTAAGATTCCTACTTTCATTTTTGTGTATATTTCACAAACATAAAAATGTTAAAATTCTATGTTCTCTAGAAGATGAGAATTTAGCCAGAGTTTTCAAAGGATAAAATTGGACAAAAGTTTAGATAAATTAACTTACATTTCTGAAATTTAGGAGAGTCAATACCCACGTCGAATCAAGTAACTGAATGGCATCACTCAAGATGAAAAGAAAACAATGATTCAAAGTGGAAATACAAACTGTAAAAAAAAGTAGCATTATAAAAATCTTATTGTAAATTTGCAGCTAAGTAGATTCCAGAGAAATGCAAAACGTTATTCCAAAATGATAGAAAACTCTATATTTACATGTTCAACTCAAGTAGATAATAAAATAACATTTATATCAAAACTTCTGTTTTAAAAGTATGAACTTAAGAGCATAATGCCTGTGAATTTAGTTAAAAAATTAAATGAACAACTTTAATCTAAAATAACATGTAGAGTTTTATATTTTATGTTTAAATTTGTATGAGTGTTTGAGTGTTTATCTCTATCTACCTACCTACCTATCATCTATCTCTACTCTCTATCATCTATCTATCCATTTATTCCTCCATTATCTACCTAGCTATTTATCCACCTAGCTATTTATCCATCTATTTTTCTATTTATTCATCTACTATAAGTCTAAGGCTGGTTAGTAAATTGTATGCTTTTAAAAAGGTACATCTCACCACTCTACATTTAGCATTTTTCTGGTCACCAACATGTATGTTCAGCCCCTTCCCCCACTTTCTCCTTAAGAAAGGTAGATCCCTTTTGTAATACTTCTTATGAATCTGAAACTGCCTCCTACTGTTTTTGCTCCCTGATGTAGATGATGGTATTACAATTCACAAATATTTGCTGCCCTTTTCAGGAATAGCTTTATATTTTCCTGAATAATTGAATAACAACTTGGCCATGTGACTTGCTCTAACGATGAAATATGAGTGTAATTGCCTTGCATCACTTCAAAGCAAAATCTTTAAGAGCCATCTTTTTTTTTCTTTTTCCTCTGTCTCAATGACCCACAAAATTCTAGCTAGAGGCTTCTATTTTATCCACCACGGCCCTGGAGTGAATATGATATAAGGCAGAGATACAGCCAGCCCAAGATGGGCATGTGATATGATTGAGACATAAAACTCTTGTGATTGTTAACTCATGGATTTTTTGGGGACATTTGTTGCCAAAATATAACTTAATCCTGACTGATACACCTAGTGTTTCAGCCTTTTTCAAAAAAGCTGCTTGGCATACAGAGAAAGAAAATATGGGGTGGGGAATGATTTGCTCTTTGGAAGTTGGGAGGAGAGATTCCTTTCAAGTGAGTGGGTATGTGCTGGCTCTCCCCTGGTAAACAGGTGAAGGATAAATGATAGGTAAAGGGTGAGTAGGTAAAGGGCAAATAGGTAAAGGGCAGCTTCAAGATCAATCCCTACCTACCACTGGATCCCTAGAGTGGCGGTTGTCCACCTAGAAGGTAAAAAAACATGTACTGAGGATGACCTACCTACTGAGCACATGGACCATGATTTTTACCTTGGTGAAAAATGCCAAAGATGCTCTTCCATTTTCGGACGGGGTGACTTGGAAAGAAGGTAGCATAATAAATTCTCCTGCTTCTAAAAGTTTTAAGACTGCTCTTCAACAGTATCCCAGGACGATGTTACTCCTTGGAATACGCCAAGGAGGAGAATGGGTTTAAAAATACTGATTGTGCATGCAACCATTGCTTTTAGAGTGGTAGAGAATATTCTGAAAAAGCTCTATGATTATATTGTTCGCAAAACCAAAATATCACTGACATCTTTTCTTGAATCGAATTATTCTTCTCAGTCATGGATTGTGTATTTCTGGTGCATGTATCATGGACACTTGAGGGTAACTCATAGTCTTTCAAAGAAAGGAGTAAGGATGAAGAGACTGGGTAAACATCTCTCTCCAACAATCCTTCATATTTTAGGAATTCAAATTTATAGATGAAAACAAACTGATCAACTTATAAAACAGCCTCAGTTTTCTTGTACATCAAAGAGGCTCGAGCACAGAGGTTCTTTGTGCTCTTTAGAATCTGCAGTTCTTAATACAATAGATTTTTCTTTGAATTTTCTAGCCCAGGTACACCTAATTATATTGACTAAATATTAATAACCATTAATCTGGTGAAATCAATTATGCTTCCATTTATTTTATGGAAGAATTTCAAAATTAAATCATAGAATCGATTGCTACTCCAACTTGGACATGCAAACTTAATTAAACCACAGAACTTTTTTTTCAGGTGAATTTAGTGCCCCTGCAATGTAGTCACTACAGTGCAGTTAGAGCTGGACACTTGCCAGAAATAAAAGATTCTGCGAAATCAATCCTTTCCTCAGAGTAATAATAAATCACAATTTCTAAAAAGAATGTTGCTGTTTCCCAAAGATATTTACTTATAAAAAACAGTCTCATGTGTCTAACCTAATACTGAAAAGATTTGATGACTGAATGAGATTACTAAATACGTATTAGTCTTGCAATGATTGAAATTGTTTGCCTGGCAAGCATGTGGGTGCATGTACTCACATACTCACTCCTGAAGGTAACAGCAAACAGATTATAACAATTTACAATGTGCTGATTTCTGTGGTTGTGAAATAGTATAATGGAACTCATGTTTTCATATTAAAGTGAGGTGTATGAAATGGTTCATCTCTTGATTTTAATAAGTTTGATATTATCTCTTTGGACATTAAACATCCAAGACATTATTTACTTCTTTTCTTTTCCAGTTCTTCTTCATAGAACTACTATAACATCTTTGTCTTTTTACCTATTGTCTTTGTAACAAATAGTGTTATGTGAAACATGTAAAGTACCTAATTAGTCTAAAATGTATTTGGGTAAGCCAAAATGTATGTTTGCATATAATTAAATTGGAGTAACAATTTTAGAGTTCTGTATTCTTTTGTTTTTACTCTAAAATTACATACTTTAAAATTTCCTGCCTCTGCTTTTGTTGATGCAGGTACCTGACTTGGAATACAGCTTCCTTCTACCTTCATTCCTTTCTTGTTTTTTGCCTGTCCCAAATTCTGGTTGCAAGCCCTTTGTTATGTGAGATCAGACCCAACCTTCTCACATAGAGAAATGTTGAGAGGATTAAATGAGATAAAGTAGGTAAGATAGCCCAGTGCCTAGCACTTAATAGATAAAAGCTCAATAAATGGAAAGTTACTAGTATTATTACATATTGTTTAAAAAGTATCTGAGCTTAGCCTTAAAGTGCCAGGTTGACTGCATGTCCTGCATGCTGGAGTACTCCATTGGGGTCACCGCAGAGTTATGTTATTCTTTATAAGATTATTTGTGCCTTGGTGTATTTTATTATTTACTATTGATTGAGGCCAACCCCCAAAGTTATGTATGAAATCTTGTAGGTGTTTATCTGTTAAAGGTGCAAGGGATTCCTATCTGGTAAAAAAGATATATCCAAATGTTACAGTTTAATTGCCCAGTAGGAAGTTAATCAATTTTGTATCTAACCTAGTAATTGTCTAGCATTCTTTCAGTGCCTACATACATTGTATTTAAAATTCTCTTTGAATCAGCTTTACCATCCTGCTGGTTCTCTCATTAATTTACATACATGAGAGTCATTTTAGAAAATTATATTTTACTTAGGTTCTAGTGCATGCTTGGACAAGTGTATATATCTGAGTAAATAGCTGTGTCCACTAGTTAAATATGGGTACGCTACCTCCCTCTACACTATTTTTGCATTTCCAGGGAATCCACAAATTTCTAGTAAGAACTAGAGTTTAGGGGAAGGCCAGGGTCATTACTCAACTTCTGGTGTATCCTTTCTCTCACACTGAAGGTCAATAGGGTTTCACCGAAGACTTCTCATTTCCAGTTACTACCAACTCTTATCTTCCTCTCTGGGCTCTCTTCTTCTTCCAGCTGATGGTGAAGTAAAAGAATGTTTCAAACTTACCTTCTGCCTGCAGCCCAGTTTTATGTTTAAAATACTTTTAATATAACACACATACAGTGGTTAGGAAAAATAAGCACAGAGTGAATTACAGAGGGTTCAAGTTCTTAAAAAGTACTAGTCTTTTTCAGCACCATCAGGTAATTTATATTCTTCTCTAAACTGGTTATTCTAGTTAGCAATTCTCATAACCTTTTTTCAAGGTTCTTAGCTTCCTTGCATTGGGTTAGAACATGCTCCTTTAGCTCAGAAAAGTTTGTTATTACCCGCCTTCTGAAGCCTACTTCTGTCAATTCATCAAACTCATTCTCCATCCAGTTTTGTTTCCTTGCTGGTGAGGAGCTGTGATCCTTTGGAGGAAGAGAGGCATTCTGGTTTTTGGAATTTTCAGAATTTTTACACTGGTTTTTCCTCATCTCTGTGGATTTATCTACCTTTGGTCTTTCATGTTGGTGACCTTCAGATGGGGTTTCTGTGTGAACAACCTTTTTGTTGATGTTGATGCTATTCCCTTCTGTTAGTCTTCCTTCTAACAGTCAGGCCCCTCTGCTGCAGGTCTGCTGGAGTTTGCTGAAGGTCCACTCCAGACCCTGTTTGCCTGGGTATCACCATGGAGGCTGCACAAGAGCAAAGATTGCTCCCTGTTCCTTCCTCTGGAAGCTTTGTCCCAGAGGGGCACCCGCCAGATGCCAGCCGGAGCTCTCCTGTATGAGGTGTCTGTCGACCCCTGCTGGGAGGTGTCTCCCAGTCAGGAGGCATGGGGGTCAGGGACCGACTTGAGGAGGCAGTCTGTCCCTCAGCAGAGCTTGAGTGCTGTGCTGGGAGATCCGCTGCTCTCTTCAGAGACCTCAAGCAGGAACGTTTAAGTCTGCTGAAGCTGTGCCCACAGGTGCTCCTTCCCCCAGGTGCTCTGTCTCAGTGAGATGGGAGTTTTATCTATCAGTCTCTGACTGGGGCTGCTGCTTTTCTTTCAGAGGTGCCTTGCCCAGAGAGGAGGGATCTAGAGAGGCAGTCTGGCTACAGTGGCTTTGCTGAGCTGTGGTGGGCTCTGCCCAGTTTGAACCTCCCAGTGGCAGTTTTTTACACTATGAGGGGAAAACTGCCTACTGAAGCCTCAGTAATGGCAGACGCCCCTCTCCCCACCAAGTTCAAGCATCCCAGGTTGACTTCAGGCTGTGCTGACTTCGCTGCCGTGCTGGCAGCGAGAATTTCAAGCCAGTGAATCTTAACTTGCTGGGCTCCGTAGGGGTGGCATCCACTAAGCTAGAACACTTGGCTCCCTGGCTTCAACCCCCTTTCCAGGGGAGTGAACAGTTGTGTCTCGCTGGCATTCCAGGCACCACTGGGATAAGAAAAAAAAAATTCCTATAGCTAGCTCGGTGTCTGCCAATATCCCTGAATGAATATCGATGTGAAAATCCTCAGTAAAATACTGGCAAACAGAATCCAGCAGCACATTAAAAAGCTTATCTACCATGATCATGATCAAGTCAGCTTCATCCCTGGGATGCAAGGCTGGTTCAACATATGCAAATCAATAAATGTAATTCATCACATAAACAGAACCAATGACTAAAACCACACAATTATCTCAATAGATGCAGAAAAGGCCTTCAACAAAATTCAACACCGCTTCATGCTAAAAACTCTCAATAAACCATTTATTGATGGAATGTATATCAAAATAAGAAGGGCTACTTATGACACACACACAGCCAATATAATACTGAATGGGCGAAAGCTGGAAGCATTCCCTTTGAAAACCAGCACAAGACAAGGATGCCCTCTCTCACCACTCCTATTCAACATAGTACTGGAAGTTCTGGCAGGCCAATCAGATAACAGAAAGAAATAAAGGGTATTCAATTAGGAAGAGAGGAAATCAAATTGTCTCTGCTAGCAGATGATATGATGGTATAATTAGGAAACCCCATTGTCTCAGCCCATAATCTCCTTAAGGTGATAGGCAACTTCAGCAAAGTCTCAGGATACAAAATCAAAGTGCAAAAATCACAAGCATTCCTATACACCAATAATAGACAAACAGAGAGCCAAATCATGAGTGAACTCCTTTTCACAATTGCTACAAAGAGAATAAAATACCCAGGAATACAACTTACAAGGGATGTGAAGGACCTTTCAAGGAGAACTACAAACCACTGCTCAAGGAAATCAGAGAGGACACAAACAAATGGGGAAACATTCCATGCTCATGGATAGGAAGAATCAATATTGTGAAAATGGCCATACTGTCCAAAGTAATTTATAGATTCAATGCTATCCCCATCAAGCTACCATTGACTTCCTTCACAGAATTAGAAAAAACTACTTTAAATTACACATGGAACCAAAAAAGAGCCTGTATATCCAAGAAAATTCTAAGCAAAAAGAACAAAGCTGGAGGCATCACACTACCTAACTTCAAACTATACTACAAGTCTACAGTAACCAAAACAGCATGGTACTAGTACCAAAACAGATATATAGACCAATGGAACAGAACAGAGGCCTCAGAAATAATGCCACACATCTATAACCACCTGATTTTTGACAAACCTGCCAAAAAACAAGAAATGGGGAAAGGATTCCCTATTTAATAAATGGTGCTGGGAAAACTGGCTAGCCATATGCAGAAAACTGAAACTGGACCCCTTCCTTACACCTTATATGAAAATTAACTCAAGATGGATTAAAGACTTAAATGTAAGACCTAAAACCATAAAAACCCTAGAAGAAAACCTTGGCAATACTATTCAGGACATTGGCATGGGCAAAGACTTCACGACTAAAACACCAAAAGCAATGGCAATGAAAGCCAAAATTGAGAAATGGGATGTATTTAAACTAAACAGCTTCTGCACAGCAAAAGAAACTATCGTCATAGTAAACAGGCAACCTATAGAATGAGAGAAAGTTTTTGCAATCTATCCATCTGACAAAGGGCTAATATCCAGAATCTATGAGGAACTTAAACAAATTTACAAGAAAAAACCAAACAACCCCATCAAAAAGTGGGTGAAGGATATGAACAGACACTTCTCAAAAGAAGACATTTATGCTGCCAACAAACATATGAAGAAAGCTTGTCATCACTGGTCATTAGAGAAATGCAAATCAAAACCACAATGAGATGCCATCTCATGCCAGTTAGAATGGCGATCATGAAAAAGTCAGGAAACAACAGATGCTGGAGATGATGTGAAGAAATAGGAATGTTTTTACACTGTTGGTGGGAATGTAAATTAGTTCAACTATTATGGAAGACAGTGTGGTGATTCCTTAAGGATCTAGAACCAGAAACACCCTCTGACCCAGCAATCCCATTACTGGGTATATACCCACAGGATTTTACATCATTCTACTATAAAGACACATACACACGTATGTTTATTGCAGCACCATTCACGGCAGCAAAGACTTGGAACCAACCCAAATGCCCATCAGTGATAGAATGGATAAAGAAAATGTGACACGTATACACCATGGAATACTATGCAGCCGTAAAAAAGGATGAGCTCATGTCCTTTGCAGAGATATGGATGAAGCTGGAAACCATCATTCTCAGCAAACTAACACAGGAACAGAAAACCAAACACTACATGTTCTCACTCATAAGTGGGAGCTGAACAATGAGAACACATGGACACAAGGAGGAACATCACACACCAGGGCCTATCGGGGGGTGGGGGCTAGAGGAGGGATAGCATTAGGAGAAATATGTAATGTAGATGATGGGTTGATGGGTGCAGCAAACCACTATGGCAGGTGTATACCTATGTAACAAACCTGCAAGTTCTGCACATGTATCCCAGAACTTAAAGTAGAATAATTTTTTTTAAAAAGTACTTATCAGGTTTGCCCTGCCAACAGTCTCCATTCTCTATTTAAGTGTAAATGAGTAAGCTCTGCTTTCAGCTAGCCTCTTTCCTTTTTCTCAAAGTCTTTGAAAGTTCCTTTGGGAGTTTCAAATCTTCCCTTCCAGCCACCATTCTTTTATTCCTAAGGGTTGAGTTATCATGCTCTCCACTCTGTTTGGGAAGGGTATTAACCAGCCTGCCATTCAAGTTACTCAGACCTAGGAGGATCTTTTTACAGCTGAAGGAAGCTCTAAACCAGTGTCTCTAATCTTGAGGTCCAGCCACCTGGCTTGGCACTCTACTTTCCCCAGGCAAAGTCATTTTAGGTCATTGCCTAGGAAAACCCAGGCTTGAATGACCCTGTTGAGTAGAGGTTTTCAAAGGAGAAGTGAAGGGGAGGAGGTGTAGATTTTACAATGATGGAGGTGTGTGACGGAAAGGGCAGGTCAATGTCTTCTGAAAGGGCATACGTTTCATTGTAATTTCATGCTTGGAGCATTCCTAAAAATTAATATTTTAATAATGTAAATTGTAAAGAAAGAAGAATGACAAAACAGGCCGGTGGTGATGCACTGAAGATGCAAAACTTCTCTACGGTGGTATGGATGGGAACTGGAATTATTGGAATCGACTGGAGACGAGATTTTTATATGTATCAAAAAAAGACATGAATTTTTACAACAGTTGAGGAATGTAGTGGGATTTTGGGGCAAAGCCTTAGTTTAGTTTATATCCTTCTATTGTTCTAGATTTCCAAAGGGGTTTCTAACCCATGGGAACCCCAACTTATGAGGTAGCCTAAGCCATACTTTTTCAATCCAGAAAAAAGTTAGCTGTAACATGCAAAAGTTTTTAAGCTGTATTCAAACTCTGTCTGAAAGGGATTTTTTTTTATTGCTACAAAATTGCATAGTATATGTGACACATTTAACTTTTAGATATGTTTTGTTGAGTAATAAACTAATACTTATAACAGTCCCTGAACTATGTGGATAAAATATGGTTTACATCAGTGAATGTGTATACACATATAAAATACTACAAGGAAAGATTTATGATAACTCACTGACTAGTGAAAGATTGCTTCAGAAAGCATAAATCTCCCAAGATCAAACTAATAGCTTTCCCTGAGGGGGCTTCAAAAGAATTTACATTTGAATTGGATCTTGAAACTCTATGTTTGAATTTATCACCCATTCCTCAGGAAAGTTTATAGTTATATATAAGATAGCATTATAAAAATGAAATTCAATGACAACAAATTGTTTTGGTCTTTTAAAAATTATTATCATAATTATGTTACTCTACTGGACTGATTCTTGCTCTAAATTTAGCTTGTCCCCATAGCATCAAGAATCTGACCTCAAATGGATTTCATAAATAATCCCTTTTAATAAATACCATGATTCTTCGAAATGTAAAAAGAAATCTCATATGGAGGACCCAACAAGGAAAAAGATCTAAAACTAACACAATTTAAAAACTGGTAAAATTCTTCACCTTGGCTTCTTAAATCTGTTTCTATTGCCAACACATAGGTATAAAAAGGCATACAAATTATAATTTCCAAGAACCTGCAGCCAAATCCTCTCCAAATGCTAAGATATATGTGTCTTTACAGAGTCATTGATCCGTTTAGACTGCCACTCATGATTCATCTGTTCTTTAATTCCTAAGGATGAAGTTAGTTACAAGAAATAATGATAGGAATTTATTTTTTTTAAATTAAGAGCTGACAGAGAATAACATTTAAATATGCTAGAATTTATATGCATTCTGAAACAGATTTTCCTTATCAGAATTTATATCTGTATCTATATCTATAAGCTGAATGCACCCCTTTTAGCCCCTGGCTCTGCCCCTTCCTTGCTGTGGGCTGTTCATTGGACCCTTTTGTGCTGAAGTATCCTCACATCTAAAAATGGGGGTAACAATTGTAGTTACCTTATAGGATTGGTGAGAGACTTAAATAAGATAATATGAGTACGAAAACCATGTGCCTGGCCCATAATATAGGCTCAATGGATATTATCATGGTTAATACTTATACATCCAAATGACTGACCGTCAAAATATGATCAAGGCCTTGATATATGTCCCTTAAGCCCTATTTTGGTCTTGTTCTCCTTTCCAGTTGCATTTTACTTACTACACAGTGCAGCTATCCAATTTATACCTTATTTAAATCCTTGCCATAAAATAAGCTATTACAAATTTTGTTTAGGGGCTTAAGAGGGTTACTTCTTCCAATGGTTAAAATTATTTCAACCTCTTTATGATGAAAGAAGAGTAAAGGAAACAATGTCCGTTGAGCAAAGATATTGTTTAATTTTTCCGCTACTGTTTCTTCTACAGAATGGGCAGAACTCACTCTGGAAGAGCTGGTGGGAATAATGCCATTTGGGAAGCACACAACATAGGCAGCACAGTGGAGCACAAGAAAGTCCGGAGCTGTTAGCTCCCAGGTCCTGAAGGAATGAGAACTTTCACCGGAGTCTGGATTCCACTGTAGACAAAATCCTCTCTGCATCGCCAAATGACTCTTATTTTCCTAAACTTACTCTAAGAATATCTTTTAACAGCAATTTGAATAAACCGACTCACATGCCACTGTGATTTAATGTGTGATTTGCTGCCGAATCAGCTGTGTTTGGCCAGCCCTTCTGTCTTCACATTTTTCATAGTGTTTATCCTTAAGCTTAGCAACCAACCAAACTTCGAGTGGAATATCAACATTCAAGAGTAAAATGTATTATTAGTTTTCTAATTGTTCCACAAGAGATTGAGTTTGTGTAGTTTACATTTTTGCACTTTCTGTTTTACTTATATCCTCAACGCATGAAATTTTGGCCTGTTCCCCTTTACTATTCACAAACTTCCAAACACTGGTAAAAATGCCTTTGTGTGTCTTTAATTCACGTAACAGATTTGTGTTATGTTAAATGTTAGTGAATATATAAACCTAAGAATACAAGGATAATTTTGTTAAAGAATCAAAAAGTATCAGGACATTCGTTTGTCTTATGGCAGAGACAAATTGAAGTTCCCCACCAAGATATACGTATTTTGGATTTGGGCCAGACAGCTAAAAAACCTGTTTCAACTTAAAACCCAAAAAGGTTTTAAGTTGAAAAAATAATGCTGACTTTTGCTGAAAGTAAATTTTAAACAAAGGTTTTTTTTTTTAATTTACTCCATTAAAAATGCATACATTTGGACAGAGCGAGACTCTGTCTCAAAAAAAAAAAAAAAAGCATACATTTGTAGTCACAGAATTAGTTTTTGTTTTGACCTTGAAAAGGACTTGAAAGTATTTACTCCAAACTTACTTTACACATACTAAAAATATAGTTTTTGAAAAAAGAAAGTTGATGTGGCTTTTCAGACAAGGGAATGGTAGGTAATGTTTTGCATCAGCTCCGGGTCTTGGGTGATCTCCACCAATCAGAGATCCTTCAGAGCTCGTAGGGTCTAGAAAGATCATTATTTTACACCCTCATTTTACAGACAAAGAACCTGAGACCTGCTAGAGTAAGTGACTTGGTTAAGATAGGGAGCGCTCCAGAGACCAGGTCCAAGATCTTCCCCCGTTTCACAATTAGAAGGCGGCTGTCTAGAGGTCATTCCCTTCCTTATGATCCTCATAAAGTTAATTTCCAGTCTCTTGGAGAGAGAACTGGACGATCGCCTGGCTTAGAAGTTTTCCTCCCTCCCCGAACCCCGTTTTCTCTTCCATTTCTTCCGGTCGCGTGTCCCCAGCGCCCACAGGTGGAAATCAACCGCCCGCGGGGTTGCGGGGCACAAAGAGGCAGCTAGCGGCTCCGCTGACCCCTTCCCGCCGGCCTGGACGAAGTCTGGGCTCGGGAGCCGCGTGATGCATCCCAAAGAAGGCGCAGAACAGCACGTGTTCTCCCCGGTGCCCGGGGCTCCCACACCACCGCCCAATCGCTGCGGCCGCCTAGTGCTCGGGCCGCGCCTGCCGGCCGCGGGGACTCCGGGCCCGGGTATTCGCGCCGCCGCCGCCCGCCATGCGCTTCCGCTTTGGGGTGGTGGTGCCACCCGCCGTGGCCGGCGCCCGGCCGGAGCTGCTGGTGGTGGGGTCGCGGCCCGAGCTGGGGCGTTGGGAGCCGCGCGGTGCCGTCCGCCTGAGGCCGGCCGGCACCGCGGCGGGCGACGGGGCCCTGGCCCTGCAGGAGCCGGGCCTGTGGCTCGGGGAGGTGGAGCTGGCGGCCGAGGAGGCGGCGCAGGACGGGGCGGAGCCGGGCCGCGTGGACACGTTCTGGTACAAGTTCCTGAAGCGGGAGCCGGGAGGAGAGCTCTCCTGGGAAGGTATTGCCAGCAGACGCCTGCCCCCGGCGCAGAGCGGGAGCTCCGGCCCGCACCCCCAACCGGGGCCTCGGCCTCGGGCAGGCCCCGCAGGCCCCGGCGGCGCGCGTCCCGGGCTTTTTGCCCGCGTCCCTGCGCACTCCCCGGGCGACCTGGGCTGACCCTGCTCTGCCGGCCACGCTGTCGCCGCCAGCCGCGCCTCCGGCTTCCTACTGATTCCCTAGACCCGTATAGCGCTCCCGGCCGCCTTCCCGCCCACTCTGTTGCCTGCCCCTCTGACCTGGTTTCCGCACATCCAGTCCTCAGCTTCTTTCCAACCGCGCCTGCGTCACGGGCCAGTGCCCTTCGTCTCCCGCCCGGGGCTCCCTTCGCCCTCCGAGTGCCCCTCGACCTCCGAGTCCCCCCCTTCGCGGGTCCCTTGGCTGCCCGGCCGCGCGCCGCTGATGGCTTCAACAGCCCAACTCCGCCTTGGTTGGGTTTTGTGTCCTCATTTTCCTGCTCTAATTCACTAAAAAAAACCCAAAACGATCCAACCAACGAAACTAGCGTTTTCGCTAATCCTAGACAGCAATGTGCTACTTAGATTTTTTTCATAGATATTGAGAATGAACTAATGGAAAAACGTTGAATATTTCCCTTTTTGGATTTTTTTTTCTTTTTTAATCCCAGATATATGACAATTGAGACATGACCTGATTTCTTAAAATACTAAAACAATACATGCTGGTTGTAAAATAATAATAAAGAAATGTACATAGTGAAAACTTACAGTGTTTCCTCCACACATCTTAAGCACACTGCTTGTACACATTTATGTATGTGATATATGCATATACTTTTTTTTTTTACAAAAATTGTATAGTAATTCTGAATTTTTGCTTTTCTTGCCTAACAATATGTTAGGGACATCTTTCACTGTCACTACACGTAGATATGTATTTTACATGTAGATGTATATTTTAAATGGCAACAAATTATTCTGCATCTACCAATGTGCATTTAGGTTCTTTTCAGTTTTCCTCTGTCGTAAACAGTAGTGGCTTAATTGAAATTCCTTTTACAGATATCTTTGAACATTCGGGAGTGTTTCTGCAGAGTGGATTCAAAGAAGTGAAATTATTAGGTCAAAATGCAGTCATTTTTTTTAACACTTCATTAAAGACTGCTAAATTATGCCCTAAAAGGGTGATTATCTAATGTCGGCTCCCGCCAACAGTGTCTGAATTGAGACAGCTCCTTTCTTTAAAGGAAATGTGCAAGGTTGTAGACTGGAGTGGGTGTGACTCAATAGTTGAAGTCAATGAAATGAATGTCTCTTTAGAAGTTTATATGAAAAAAAAAATGGGCCATTTAGCCTGTAATGATGTAGAAACAAAGAATCAGTAAAGAAGATTAGAGTGGAATGTGTTTATATATTATCCTTGTTCTCCTTCTCTACCTCACTGGGCTTATGGTCTGGTAGCATTTATTGGTCTGTTATTTTACCATGACAGAATTGAAAGATACCCTCTTCAGTTTATCCTTTCTTTACAGAGTATTACTATTTTTCATAGTATTGTAGAATTATTTTTTAAAATAATATCTGATAATTGTAATAAAAATGGAAATGGTGTGAAACAAAGATCTTCCCTTTCCCTAGTTATTTAGCTTTTCTGATAGTCCTCCCTATGCCGTTAATAGTTTGCTTATGTTGCTATTTCTTAAGGTACCACAAACTTTTGTTTTTAATTTTTCTAATAGTTACCATATAAGTTATATATAATTTTAAAAGTTAAAATTAGGCAATAGATATTGACACCTACTGGATGCTCATAAAATTAACCATCACACTTGTTATGAAATATGAGGAATTTAGCTCAAGTTCACTCTCTGTCTTCCCTGCTGATTTTTTTTTACTATTATTTTCAGTTTTTTTGATAAATATTTTTCTTTACTATCCAAGCAGGAATTATTTTCAGTTTTGTATTAAAAATTGACTGTTGACTTTCTAGGAAGTTACTCCTATAAGAGAGGATAAGAAAAATATTACAATTTCTTCCTGTCTCACTTTGGTTTATTATGACTTTTACATTATCAAGTTTTATATAATTTATATTCTATTTTCTAATTGTTACAGTGCCTTCTTGTTTAAGGTAAATAGACTGATTCTAAACATCGTAAATTAACAGAGAGCTTTATGAGAAGCAGGGTAGCCAAGTGTTTAAGAGCAAGGATTCTGGAGCCAGATTGCCTGGGCTCACCAACCAGTGTGGGATTTGAGGCGTGTCACCTCAGCTCACAATGAAAGGACCAAGCTGCCTAATAAATGAACTGTATTTTGTAGAATAGGATATATATTAAGAACTTACAAGAGGACATATGGTAAATGTTAAATAAGGGCTAGTTATTATTTTTTACTATGATTATTGGGAAACCACGTTGTGCAATTAGACTCGTAAACAAGGAAATAAAATTTTGTGACATGAAAACTGTACCACTGCAAGGAAAAATTCTCTTTTCTTCACTATAAATCATGTTCAGATTTTACTTAAAATGGTACTAGAATTTGTTTTACTTCATATTTGGACTGTAATGTTCTTCTACAACTTATTTAAAAATTTGTTATTAATTTTTTTAACAGAAGAGTTAAACCAGTTCTCACAATGTCCTAGCTTAATTGCACTACTTGATGAATGCATATTGCTTATTTCTTGGAAATAGAATTTTTTCCTTGAAGAATTAGGATTCCTGTTCTAATTTTCACTTTTCACTAATATATGGCTTTCTGATATATATATATATATATATATGTGTGTGTGTGTTTCTGATATATGTATCAGTTTTATATAAAATATTGACCGTTGACTTTCTGTTACATAGAAAGTTCATTCTCATAATCCTATTATGCAGGAAGTTACCCCTATATGAGAGGATAAGAAAAATAGCTTACTTACACATTCCTCTCCCTTCCTTACTTTGGCGCGCACACACACACACACACACACACACACACACACACAAGTCTTAGCTGTAAACCTGAGACTTTAAAGAAAACAATCGAACTCCTATGTTAGTTGCACTGTTTTAAATGGTATATCTTCCTCTTTCTTAAAAACCTTAATCATTTCTTTGGAAAATTTTCAAGAAATGGTAAAATCAGAGAGAAAATATCTGAGCCCTCAAATTCCTAAAATGTCTTTATTTGGCTTTCCCACTTGATTGATCATTTGGTACAGTATTCTGGTCTTAAAATAATTTTTCCTTTGAAGACTTTGCCTCAGTAATTTCTAGCTGATAATTATCAGCTGTGGCTGATAATTCTAATGTGAAACTAAGCCCATTCCTGTTAGCAGTCTGTTTTATCACTTGGCACTTGGTTGGCTCTTTAAATTCCAGGAATTGTTTCCTTCAACTCAGGGAAATTTTCTATGATTTCTTTCTCTTTTTTTTGTTGTTCATTAAAAAAATTTCTTCTAAAAAATGACATATATGTGCAGAATGTGCAGTTTTGTTACATAAGTATTATACATGTGCCATGGTGGTTTGCTGCACGTATTGACTCATCCTCTAAGTTCCCTCCCCTCAACCCCCACCCACCAACAGGCCTTGGTGTGTGATGTTCCCCTCTCTGTGTCCATGTGTTCTCTATGTTCAACTCCCACTTATGAGTGAGAACATGTGGTGTTTGGTTTTGTTTTCCTGTGTTCTCATTAGTCATTGGGCACTTAGGTTGGTTCCATATCTTTGCAATTGTCAATTTTGCTGCTATAAACATACATGTGCTCTGTAGTCAATTGTTTTTTCAGGATGGCTTTTTTATTCTATTGATTTTTCTCCAGTATCTGGTAGTCCTTGGATATCCATTCATTTTTATGAATGAAGGATATGCTGATCAGTAGGGGTAGCTGTGGTGGTTTTCTGTTGAAGTTGTTAGGTTTATTGAAAACCTCCTCTAAATGGGAGAACACTCCATGGAATACTGTGTAATTTGGCAGATTTTGTTAAGGATAAAATTCCGCTCAGGGTGTGTGGCTGGGGAGCCAGCAGGCTTAAGATCGTTATCATTGGCAAAGTAAAAAGAACTTGATCATGAGGTGGGATAATTTAGTATATTTTATTGTTGAATGGAGTTTCCTTTTTTTTTTTACCTCTAGGTCTGTCGTGTGGGTCTGTAGACATCACAGGATTTGTTTCACCCAATCTCCAGCTCCTATACCCACACTAGGGTCCTTTCCAGGAAACCCTTTCCCTGCTGTGTTTAGAGCATGCTTATTCCATGTTGGTGATGGGAAGGGGTTGAAGGAGGCAGGTGGGAAACCTTTCTTTCAACTCCTCTCCAGGCTGACATGCGTTTATTTGTTAGGTTTCCTCTTTCATGTTGCTTTTCTAGAAGACCTCCCTAACTACCTACTGATTCTTTCTCGTAACATCTGTTCCTTTTTCTTATATCACTTATTACAGGCTAAAAATCACATTAACTATGCTGGATTGGACTCTTTAATTGCAAGTAACAGAAACTGAATGTGAACCAGTCTAAAAATAATTTTAAAAAAATCAATTCATGTAACCAAACTGAAAGAAGCATGGAGTACAGCCTCTCTCTCCTCACTTGCTTTCTAGCTCTCACTCTCTTGTTCTCAGATTTGCTTTTCTCAGGTCTTGGCTTTATTTTCTCAAGATAATTGACTCTGTCAAGCTAGGCTTTCCCACAAGAAGCTCAGGACTATATGCCTAAATTGGATGTCACGTGCAGTGTCACACTGTATTCTCTTGGCTTTTCCCTTAAGGCAACAAGATGGCTGCTGCAGCTCTGTTCATCACATGTGCATTTAGTGGAATAAGGGAGAAGAAGGAAGAGTGGAAGAATCATCCTTAGGTATTCCCCATAATCTAGGAAGCAAATGTTCACCAGAATACCTCCACACTCCCACTTTGTTTTATGTTTAGAATTGGCCAGAACTATTGTGTTTGACTACCTCTGCTGCAGAAGAGACTGGGTGTATTAGTCAGTTCTTGCATTGCTATAAAGAAGTAGCTGAGATTGGGTAATTTATAATGAGAAGAGGTTTAATTGGCTCATGGTTTCACAAGCTGTACAGGAAACATGGCTGGGGAGACCTCAGGAAACGAACAAATATGGCAGAAGATGAAGGGGAAGCAGGGACGATCTGCATGGCTGGAGCAGGAGGAAGAGAGAAAGATGGGGAAGTGCTACACACTTTTAAACAACTAGATCCCATGAGAACCTACTCACTATCATCATGAGAATAGCAAGGGGGAAGTCCACCCCCATGATTTAATCACCTTCCACCAGGCCCTTCCTCCAACATTAGGAATTATAATTCAGACATGAGATTTGGGCAGGGACACAAATCTAAACCATATCATTCCACTTCCAGCCCCTCCCAAATCTCCTGTCCTTCTCACACTGTAAAATACAATCTTTCCTTCTCAACGGTCCCCCAAAGTCTCAGCTTATTTCAGCATTAACTCAGAAGTTCACAGTCCAAAGTCTCATCTGAGACAAGGCAAGTCCCTTTTGGCTAGGAGCCTGTAAAATCAAAACCACTTAATTACTTCCAAGATACAATGGGGGTACAGACATTGGCTAAGTACTCCCATTCCAAAAGGGAGACGTTAGTCAAAACAAAGGGGTTATAGGCCCCACACAAGTCCAAAACCTAGCAGAGCAGCCATAAAATCTTAAAGTTGCAAAATAATCTCTTTTGACTCCATGTCTCACACCCAGGTAACATTGATGTGAGGGGTGGGCTTTCAAGGCCATGGGCATCTCTGCCCCTGTGGCTTTGCAGGGTACAGCCCCCATGGCTGCTTTCATGAGCTGGTATTGAGTGTCTGTGGCTTTTCCAGGCCCACGGTGCAAGCTGTTGATGAATCTACCATTGTGGTGTCTAGAGGACAGTGGCCTTCTTTTCATAGCTCCAGTAGGCAGTGCCCCAGTGGGAACTCTGTTTGGGGGCTCCAACTCAACATTTCCCCTGTGCACTGCCTTAGTAGAGGTTCTCACTGAGGGCTCTGCTGCTGCAGCAGACTTCTGCCTGGATATCTAGGTGTTTCCAAATATCCTCTGAAATCTAGGTGGAGGCTCCCAAGCCTAAACTCTTGCCCTCTGTGCACTAGCTGGCTTAACATCACATGGAAACTTCCAAGGATTATGGCTTGCACCCTCTGGAGCAGTGGACTGAGACATATTTGGGACCCTTTTAACCAAGGCTGGAGGTGGAGAAGCTAGGATTCAGGGAGCAGTGTCCTGAGGTTGTACAGGGTAGTGAGGCCCTGGGCCTGTGAAACTATTTTTCCCTCCTAGGCCTCCAGGCTTGTGGTGAGAGGGGCTGCTATGGAGGTCTCTGAAATGCCTTCCAGGCCTTTTCTACATTGTGTTAGCTATTAATATACAACTCCTCTTTACTTATGCAAGTTTCTACAGCTGGCTTGAATTCCTCCCTAAAAATGGGTTTTTCTTTTCTACCACATGGCAAGGCTGCAAATTTTCCAAGCTTTTATGCTCTGCTTCCCTTTTAAGTATAAGTTCCAGTTTCAGATAATCTCTTTGCTCATAAATATGAGCATATGCTGTTAGAAGCAGCCAGACCACACCTTGAATGCTTTGCTGCTTAGAAATTTCTTCCACCAGATACCCTAAATCATCTTTCTCAAGTTCAGATTTCCACAAATCTCTAGAGCAGGAGCACAATGCTGCCAGTCTCTTTGCTAAAGCACAACATGAGTGACTACTGTAGTTCCCAGTAAGTTCCTTATCTCTAGCTGAGACCACCTCAGCCTGGACTTCACTGTCCATATCAGTATCAGCATCTTGGTCACAACCATTCAACGAGTCTCCAGGAAGTTCCAAACTTTCCTTCATCCTCCTGCTTCCTCTGAGTCCTCCAAACTGTCCCAACCTCTGCCCAACACCCAGTTCTAAAGCTGCTTCCACATTTTCAGGTATCTTTATAGTAATGCACCTCTTCCCAGAACCAGTTTTCTGTATTAGTCAGTTCTTGCATTACTATAAAGAATGACCTAAGACTGAGTGATTTATATAGAAAAGAAGCTTAATTGACTTATGATTCTCCAGGCTGTACAGGAAGCATGGCTTGGGAGGTCCAGGAAACTTACAAACATGGCAGAAGGCAGAGGGGAAGCAGGCACGTCCTACATGGCTGGAGCAGGAGGAATAGAGAGAAGGGGGAAGTGCTACACACTTTTAAACAACCAGATCTCATGAGAATGCACTTTCACAAGAACAGCAAGGAGGAAGTCTGCCCCCGTGATTCAATCGTCTCTCACCAGGCCCCTCCTTCAACATTGGGGATTACTGTTCGGAGATGAGATTTGGGTGGGGACAAAAATCCAAACCATATCACTGGGAAAGTGCTTTATTTAGGCCAGCACATTCCTTCCCTGAAAAAAATTAGGGTAGTGATTACCAAGAAGAATGAGTAGAGTAGATTTTAGGTAGGCAGCTAACAATGCATGCTACAGTTTAAAACAAAAATATCATGTACAACATTTATTTGTGTATTTATTGGTTTTTGTCTCCTACCAGATTGTAAACTCTATGAGTGTAGGGACTATGTGTATTTTATTCATTCTTTTATATCCTGCAATTGTAGTTGATACATAGTAGCTGCTCAGTAAATATTGGTTGAATGAATAGAGCACAGAACAGAAACGGAGGTTTTTTTTTTTTATCATGGGCTAATTACTTCTTAGGTGCTTTCAATTAAATTACCCTTTGTCCTCACAACAACACTGCAAGGCAGATATTCATTTCTCTGTTATATAAATAAGAAGATTGAGGCTTTCTTCTAGGTCTAATCTGCTATGAATCCCATCCAGTGAAATTTTATTTTCAGATACTGTATTTCTCATCTGTAGAAGTTCCATTCAGTATTCTTGTGCATCTTTTTCTTTTGTTCTCATTTAGCTTATGTTTTTCTTTAAATTCGTGACCATGTTGAAGATATAGCCAGTGTCCTTATCTTCTCGTTTCCTTATATATGTCATATTTGGGTGTGGTTTCTATTGACTAATTTTTCTAACAGTTATTGATAGTATTTGACTACTTCTTTCCATGCCTTTTTGAGTAACCATAGCTGAGCTTTATTTGTGGATTATTTTAAGGTATGATAAATTATATTACATGTATTTTTAAGAATAAACTGTTCAGAATAATTTTAGATTTACAGAAAAGTTGCAAAGACGGTACAGAGTGTTCTTATATACTCCTTACCCAGTTTCCTCTGTTGTTAATATTTTATATTAGTATGACACTTGTGATAATTAAGGAACCAATATTGATACATGATTATTAACTAGGATCCAGATTTCATTCATATTTCATTATTTTTACTTAACATACTTTTTCTCTTCCAATACCTTATCTATATGACCACATTACATTTATTATGACTGTGATAGTTTCTCAGACTTTATGTATTTCTGCAATGACCTTAAAAGTTTTGAATAGTATTCATCAGGTATTTTGCAGAAAGTTGCTCAATTGGGATTTTTCTGGTGTTTCTTTCTCATCATTAGACTTGGATTATGGGTTTTTGGGAAGACCATCAAAGTAAAGTGCCTTCCTTATTACATCATATCAAGGATCTATACTATTAACATGACTTACTACCGTTTGTGATGACTTTGATCATGTAGTTGAAGTCATATTTGTTAGTTTTCTCTGCTGTAAAAGTTGTGTTTTCCCCATATTTCCATACTGTAGTCTTTCAGAAGAAGTCACTGTGCAGTGCTCACGTTTAAAAAGTGAGAAGTTATGTTCTGCCTGCTTGAGGGCAGAATATCTACATTAATTTTCTGGAATGTATTTATATGGAGGATTTGTCTCTTCTCCCTCATTTATTTACCTATTCAATTATTTATATATATAGGAATTCACGGATATTATTTTATACTTTGGTTTAAATATCTTACTACTTTATTTTCTTGTTCAGTTTATTTCAGGTTTGGCCATTGAGTACTCTTTCAGTGACTTCTCTTTTGTGTCTCTTTGACATCCCCCCATCTTTGTGTGTGTGATTTTTAGTTTGTTTTTGAGCACTTCCTTACTTTCTGGCACTACAAGGTGCTCTGAGATCATCTTTTATGTCTCCTTCCTCCACGCTAAAATTGGACATTTCTCCAAGGAGCTCTGTTTGATTTTATTGTAGAATGATATTAGAAATCAAGATCTGGGCAGTGAGTGTGCCTCTTCCTTCTGGGATATTGTTGCTTGTAGGCCTTCTTAGCTGGCAAAACAAAGAAATATACATTTATATTAATTATGTATATATATGGGAAATATATTCTTTGTAATATAAAGTTCTGTGGATTTTGATGATGCACAGTGTCATGTATTCATTATGATAGTCTCATTTCGACTAGTTTCACCTCCCTAGAAACTCCTCTGTCTTTTGTCTATTCAACCCTTCCCACTCCTCAAACCCTTGGCAACCACTGATCTGTTTACCATCTCCATAGTTTTGCCTTTCCACAATGTCAAATAATTAGAATCGTACAGTGTGTAGCCTTTTCAGACTGGCTTGTGTCACTTAACAATATATTTAATATCTATCTATGTTTTTTTCTGTAGCTGTAATTTCTTTTTATTGCTGGATGATGTCCCATTATATGTATGTTCCACATTTTGTTTATTTGCCTATTGAAAGACATCTTGATTGCTTCCAGGTTTGGGTGATTATGAATAAACATTGGTGTGCAGATTTTTGTGTAGGTATGAATTTTTATATCAGTGGGTAGATATCTAGGAGTGGGTTTGCTGAATCATGTGATAAGACTACTCAGCATTGTAAGAAACTGCCAAACCATCTTTTAGAGTGGCCTAGTATTTTTCATTTCCACTGGCATAGAATGAGAGTTCCTGTTGCACATTTTCATCAGTGTCGATGTTGTTAGTGTTTTGGATTTTAACTACTGTAATAGGTGCATAGTGGTATCTCATTGTTTAGATGTGCAATTCTGTAATAAATGATATTGAGCATTGTTTCATATACTTATTTGCCATCTGTATATATTCTTTGGGTGTCTGTTCAGATCTTTTCATTTTTAAATTCATGATTTTTAAGAGTTCTGTGTATATTTTGGATACAAGTCTTTGAGAGATGGGTGATTTGCGAATATTTTCTCTCAGTGTGTGACTTATTTTTTATTGTAGCAGTGTCCATTGCAAAACAAAACTATTAATAAAATCCAACAACTTTTTTTTTCTTTCATGGATTATGCTTTTGGTATTGAACAAAAAAACTCTTCTCCAAATCCAAGGGCGTCTAGTTTTTCTCCTATGTTATTTTTGGAAGTTTTTACATATGTATATATTTATAAGCCATTTTCTGTTAATTTTTATGTTTTATATAAGGTCTGTGGCTAGGTTCTTTTTGCTCCCCATATGGACATCCACTTGTTCCAGCACCATTTTTTGAAAATACTGTCCATTATTTTTTAAATTGTCTTTATTAGAAACCACCTGACTTTATTTGCATATGTCCATTTCTGTGCTCTCTATTCAGTTCTATATGTCTGGTTTTTTTGAAACCAGTATCACACTCTGTTCATTACTGTAGGTTTATACTAATCTTGAAATAGTGTAGTGTGAATCTTCCAACTTTGTTCTTGTTCTTCAAAATTGTGTTGGCTCTTGTTGGTCATATGCTTTTCAAAATACTTTTTAGATTCAGTTGTTGACTTGTACAGAATAGCTTGCTGTGATTTTGTGTTGAAGCTATAGATCGAGTTCAGAAGAACTGACATCTTAACAATATTGAGTTTTCAAACTTATGAACATAGAATATTTCTCCAGTTTTGTTAGATTTATACATAAGGGTTTTTGGTATGCTATTTTAAATAGTATATTTAGTTTTTCTTAAACAATTAAATTTCAGTTGTTCTTTGCTGATATCTAGGAAATAAATTAACTTTTGTATCTATTGATTTTTGTTTGCATGCTGGCCATTGTAATTTCCATTGTTTCATAGAATTTGGATTAGTTTCTGACAGTTAAGTTACTTGTGGATTAGCTTGTTCTATGTAAGGTTCCTCTTGAAGGTTTACAAAGGCAGGTCTCTAGGAAGGTTAGTGCAGCCCCACTATTAAGCAATGAACTCTGGGTTCTTTACTGAATGCCTCATGTATTCAGTGCCCCAAGATTTCCTCACTTTGTCTGGTGGAGACTAAAATGTTTCCCAGTTCTGTGTAAGCTCTGCAAGTTGTCTGGCTTACAATTTTCAGAAATTTTTCTTTTCTTTCTGTTTGTTCTTTGTATGACTCTGTCAAAGTTTACGTTATGCATCCACAGATTGACATGCAGCCAAAGAATCTAGGAAACTTTTATGCAGATTTATGGACTTCTTTGTCTGCATAGCTTTCTCATCTCTGGTATTTAACTCTCACTTTGTTCTCCCCAAATGTGAGAGTAAAGTCCCACATCCCTATGTCATGGTTTGGAAATGCCCTGAAGTCAGAAATCCATGGCATTTATATCATTCATCTTGTTTGTTTTCTTCTCTTAGGGATTATAGTCCTGTACTGCCCTTTATTCAACATTCAAAAACAATTATTTTATGAATTTTGCCATTTTTCTAGTTGTTCTTTTTGTTGGCAGGAACAGAAATCTCTACTGATTTTAAAAAATTTTGCAGGCAGGTATTTGTCCAGCATATTCTTAAATTTTTTGCAAAATAATAAGTCTTGATTTTGTTATTTAACTTATTTCTAATTCTTTTGGTATACTTGTGTGTTTTTGTGTTCTGTGTGTATGCATATGTATATAGTCTAAATTATATCTTTCTTGTGAAATTAGATTATTTGTTTTGGAACTCTCTTCCTTCATGCTGAAAATCCTTAACTCTAATTATAATGTGCCATTAGATTGACATGTCCCCACTCAGTGATACTCTGGGTGAGGTTTTATATTCTTAGATTTTAATGGCCATAAATTCAGCCTTCTAATTATCACTATTTTTTTACTCCACTCTTTCATTTGTCCTGCACAAACTGTAATTTACCTTCATTTCATATTACCTTTTGTGCTACAGCATTTATGTTAGAGCATATTTGATATAAAAATTTTGAATCCTTAAATAATCTATTATAATTTAAGAAGATTAAACAAATCAACATGAAATTTTATGTCTTTAAAATAACACATTTGTTTGCGAAGGCAGCCATAATCAAGTACCGCACACTGGGTGGTTTAAATAACAGAAATTTATGGTTCCACAGATCTGAAGCCTAAAGGCCCAAAATGAAGGTGCCGTCAGAGTTGGTTTCTTATGAAAGCTGTGAGGTAATTATCTGTTCCAGGCCTCTTTCTTTGGTTTATAGATGGCTATCTTCTCCCTGCCTCTTAACACCATCTTCTCTTTTTGTCTCTGTGCCCAAATTTCTTCTTATAAAGGCACTAATCATATTGGATTGGGGCCACCCCTAATTACCTCATTTTAACTTTATTACCACTGTAAACATCCTATCTTCAAATAAGATCACATTCTGAGGATCTAGGAGTTAGGACTTTTATATGAATTTTGGGGGACACAGCTCAACCCATAACAGAGTAAATCTTTTCTAATACTTCATTCACCAAATTATTCTAACATTTCGGGTTATGATTTAGTATTCCCTTCCATACCACATTACCTCTACTAGGCAGGACATGGAAATTTGGCAAGTAAATTTTAATATCCCATATAGAAACTCTGAGCTCTAGAACTTATTAGGGAGAAGTTCTTTGTGTTTGTGTTGGCTGTGCGGTATCTTTGTATTATCAGTAAGAAGAGAATTGAGAGAAAATGCCAACAAAACTGGGAGGTGAGTAGAGACTCTGTTTATTCCAACTGGTCCTTTTCCTTGACTTTTCTCTTAATTTCCCCATCCTTCTTTTCCAAAATAAATATTCATTTAATGTGTTGTTTCAGCCAAAATGATTCAGAGTTTTTGAGAACATTATCAAGAAGTACATTCAAATCCAAATGAAAAGGCTTTTCCTTTACTCTTGGATTAAACCAAAGTCTTCTACAAATCCAAAATAAAATTATGCCAGACTAAAATAATCCAGGTGTATAAATTGCTACAGTTTCTCATTCTATCTCCCCCCGTATCTGATCTTCCATCATTTACCAGGGTTAATGATAACTGAAATGATATTACTTGTTACTTTTAGATGATTTATTCATGTTCCATAGAAGCAGAATGGAGGTTCTAATATTAGGGCAAATTAAAGAAAGTAGTGTTGCATGCTCACAGGTGAGAAGAGACAAAAGTTATGAATTTTTCCCCCCAAAAGGTAGTAAAGCAGCTACAATGTTATGAAGTGTTCTTTGGTGACCTACCAGAAACAAAATAATAGTTTGAATAAAGTATAAGCTTAAACTAGTATAACATATTTTATGATTTCTAGAGAAATAATAGGCATCTGATAGAGATTTTTTATTTGTGTAAAAATAATGCTCATGTGTTTGAGATGTGAGAGTGAATGTGTTTGAGATATGAGAATGAATTGTGAATGAATGAGAGTGAATGCTCATGTGTTTGAGATGTGAGAATGAATTGTGCTTGCAGAAAGCCAGTAAACAGATAGTTCAATGAGATAAGAGCTGTCTTAGGAGATTGTACCTTTTTCTGAAAGAGCTGTGGTAAGGCTGACAGGTCAAGATTGACTGACTGGCTGGGCCTTCACCAGGTGTGAGAAGTCTTAGTACCATTGTTGGTCCCAGGACTTCTCTTCCAGTAAGCTCATTAAAATGTTTTATTTTTCCAACACCATCACCAATTTGAGTTTCATTATCTGGAATATCTTCTAAGTTTTTTGCTCTGATGCTGGCATCCTGGGCAAAGTCCAGATAGCTCAGGCCTGTAGTGCCGCCAGTACATACAGGAGTGAGAAGCCCAACAGTTTCAATTCCGTGATCTTTATGGTTTTAAATGGTAAATTGTAATGCCACATGAATGTAGCGTTTTATCCTGAATTTTAGCTAAGTAAAACTTCAGAGAATTAAGGGAATGATTTTTTTCTCTTTTTTATTTGACAGGGTCTGGCTCTGTCACCCAGGCTGGAGTACAGTGGCATGATCTTGGCTCACTGCAGCCTCTGCCTCCCAGGCTCAAGCCATCCTCCCATGTCAACCTTCTGAGTAGCTGAAACCACAGGCATGTTTCACCATGGCCAGCTAATTTTTGTATTTTTTAGTAGAAATGGGGTTTCGCCATGTTGCCCAGGCCTGTCTCGAACTCCTGAAGCACAAGTGATCCACCTGCCTAGGTGACCCAAAGTAATGGGATTACAGGTATGAGCCACTGCACCCGGTCAGGTTATTATAAAATTATTGTCTTTTAAACCTTAGTCAAAAGGCTCAATACTGTTTCTATGAGCAAAGAGAAATTTCATCATGGTTTGATCTATTACCAACATTTTTCAACATTATATTTGTAGATTTTATGAACTCTGTATGTTAGGAAGAAGTTAGCATAACATTTACATTCATGCCTTTTGCCATAAAATACCAAAATATTACCATCTCTGTTGTTTGGAGTCAGCAAAAGTCTATCTGTTTGATGAATATGACAATCAGTATTTGGTACAATTCCAGAACTGGAACAATCTGGAACCCCACACATGGAAAACAATATTTGGGGGTCACACTGTTATTTCCATCATCTTCGATTTAGAGCTATCCTTAATTTCACCCATGGACTTCTGAGGTAAAAATAATTCTGAATGTTGTACAAAAAGACATTAGTTTAAAGTGTTGCTTTAACACTTACTAGTTCAGAATAATTATGAGGAAGAATTTACTTAATATATATGAGTATTGCTTGTAAATGGAAGTAAAACTATTTTATGTAAAAATATTGACAATATTTTGTCATTGGTTTGTGTTTCTTAGTTTTGACAATGTCTCATGTTTTCTCTACAATGAAGAAGTATCCCATAAAAGAAATACTTATTTAAAAAGTTCTTTACTCCAGAGCTATGTATGCTTTTTTGCACAGACTTCAGTCTTTACTTAATGTGGTTAGAAGTTTGAATCTGAAATTTTAGCTTGATAATGTTGTCTTTTTATTGTGGTTGAAGAAGTTTTATTATCTCTTAGAGGGATGTACTTAGAATCCATTAGTGAATCAATCTAACTAGAGATGAGAAATGTTGAGAGATATGATCCAAATGAAACATAAAAAAACACTAAAAACTCTTCTAGGTATTCTGGTAATACAAAAATGTGTTAACTTTATTAACCTCAAATTTTAGTATTGTTTAAATCGTTATTTTGGTATTAACCACTGAGAAGAGATCTCTATTACTTTTGCACCTTCAGTTAGGAAAACTAAAACCCTAACAAATCAGAGTCAGTATTTGATTCACTTATTCAACTCATGGAAGAACTTGGAAGCTCAGTTATACACCTGGAATTGTGATAGGTACTGGGATACCAAGATGAAAAATTTACAGCCCTTGAGGTTAAGAGATATTTTTAGTTGAGGGGAAAAAATGTTTATTGTCAAGTAAGGACTAAAGCAGAAGTCTGAAACCTATATGCAATGTTTTTATTTATTTATTTATTATTATTATACTTTAAGTTTTAGGGTACATGTACACAATGTGCAGGTTAGTTACATATGTATACATGTGCCATGCTGGTGTGCTGCACCCACTAACTTGTCATCTAGCATTAGGTATATCTTCCAATGCTATCCCTCCCCCCTCCCCCAACCCCACAACAGTCCCCAGAGTGTGATGTTCCCCTTCCTGTGTCCATGTGTTCTCATTGTTCAATTTCCACCTATGAGTGAGAATATGTGGTGTTTGGTTTTTTGTTCTTGCGATAGTTTACTGAGAATGATGATTTCCAATTTCATCCATGTCCCTACAAAGGACATGAACTCATCATTTTTTATGGCTGCATAGTATTCCATGGTGTATATGTGCCACATTTTCTTAATCCAGTCTATCATTGTTGGACATTTGGGTTGGTTCCAAGTCTTTGCTATTGTGAATAATGCCGCAATAAACATACGTGTGCATGTGTCTTTATAGCAGCATGATTTATAATCCTTTGGGTATATACCCAGTAATGGGATGGCTGGGTCAAATGGTATTTCTAGTTCTAGATCCGTGAGGAATCGCCACACTGACTTCCACAAGGGTTGAACTAGTTTACAGTCCACCAACAGTGTAAAAGTGTTCCTATTTCTCCACATCCTCTCCAGCATCTGTTGTTTCCTGACTTTTTAATGATTGCCATTGTAGCTGGTGTGAGATGGTATCTCATTGTGGTTTTGATTTGCATTTCTCTGATGGCCAGTGATGATGAGCATTTTTTCATGTGTTTTTTGGCTGCATAAATGTCTTCTTTTGAGAAGTGTCTGTTCATGTCCTTCGCCCACTTGTTTTGATGGGGTTGTTCGTTTTTTGTGTGTAAATTTGTTTGAGTTCATTGTAGATTCTGGATATTAGCCCTTTGTCAGATGAGTAGGTTGCGAAAATTTTCTCCCATTTTGTAGGTTGCCTGTTTCACTCTGATGGTAGTTTCTTTTGCTGTGCAGAAGCTCTTTAGTTTATTTAGATCCCATTTGTCAATTTTGGCTTTTGTTGCCATTGCTTTTGGTGTTTTAGAGATGAAGTCCTTGCCCATGCCTATGTCCTGAATGGTAATGCCTAGGTTTTCTTCTAGGGTTTTTATGGTTTTAGGTCTAATGTTTAAGTCTTTAATCTGTCTTGAATTGATTTTTGTATAAAGTGTAAGGAAGGGATCCAGTTTCAGCTTTCTACATATGGCTAGCCAGTTTTCCCAGCACCATTTATTAAATAGGGAATCCTTTCCCCATTGCTTGTTTTTCTCAGGTTTGTCAAAGATCAGATAGTTGTAGATATGTGGCGTTATTTCTGAGGCCTCTGTTCTGTTCCATTGATCTATATCTCTGTTTTGGTACCAGTACCATGCTGTTTTGGTTACTGTAGCCTTGTAGTATAGTTTGAAGTCAGGTAGTGTGATGCCTCCAACTTTGTTCTTTTGGCTTAGGATTGACTTGGCAATGCAGGCTCTTTTTTGGTTCCATATGAACTTTAAAGTAGTTTTTTCCAATTCTGTGAAGAAAGTCATTGGTAGCCTGATGGGGATGGCATTGAATCTGTAAATTACCTTGGGCAGTATGGCCATTTTCACGATATTGATTCTTCCTACCCATGAGCATGGAATGTTCTTCCATTTGTTTGTATCTTCTTTTATTTCCTTGAGCAGTGGTTTGTAGTTCTCCTTGAAGAGGTCCTTCACATCCCTTGTAAGTTGGATTCCTAGGTATTTTATTCTCTTTGAAGGAATTGTGAATGGGAGTTCACTCATGATTTGTCTCTCTGTTTGTCTGTTATTGGTGTATAAGAATGCTTGTGATTTTTGTACATTGATTTTGTATCCTGAGACTTTGCTGAAGTTGCTTATCAGCTTAAGGAGATTTTGGGCTGAGACAATGGTGTTTTCTAGATATACAATCATGTCGTCTGCAAACAGGGACAATTTGACTTCCTCTTTTCCTAATTGAATACCCTTTATTTCTTTCTCCTGCCTAATTGCCGTGGCCAGAACTTCCAACACTATGTTGAATAGGAGCGGTGAGAGAGGGCATCCCTGTCTTGTGCCAGTTTTCAAAGGGAATGCTTCCAGTTTTTGCCCATTCAGTATGATATTAGCTGTGGGTATGTCATAGATAGCTCTTATTATTTTGAGATACGTCCCATCAATACCTAATTTATTGAGAGTTTTTAGCATGAAGGGTTGTTGAATTTTGTCAAAGGCCTTTTCTGCATCTATTGAGATAATCATGTGGTTTTTGTCTTTGGTTCTGTTTATGTGCTGGATTACATTTACTGATTTGCGTATATTGAACCAGACTTGCATCCCAGGGATGAAGGCCACTTGATCATGGTGGATAAGCTTTTTGATGTGCTGCTGAATTCGGTTTGCCAGTATTTTATTGAAGATTTTTGCATCAATGTTCATCAAGGATATTGGTCTAAAATTCTCTTTTTTGGTTGTGTCTCTGCCCGGCTTTGGTATCAGGATGATGCTGGCCTCATAAAATGAGTTAGGGAGGATTCCCTCTTTTTGTATTGATTGGAATAGTTTCAGAAGGAATGGTACCCATATGCAATGTTGTGGAAGAAGTTCTTCTGGGTGGGAATTCAGGAGGAAGAAAGGGGTTGGGAAGACTTTATAGTAGGGTTAGTATTTTGAACTTGGTATTTAATGAAAAATAGGATCTTTTCTCATTTATTTTTGTGTTGCAATTATGGGAATAAATACAACAACAAAGCTGTTTTTAAAAATCTGATCTGAATCCAAGAAGAAATGGGTGCTCAGGCTCTATCCTCCATGTGAGGGAGACAGGAGAAAGGCTGATTTTATTAAAATGGCAAGGAAAGAGCCAAAGTTGGAGGGTTTCAGAGATGTTTAAGCTTTTTGTGGTGGGGCTCCCTGGGTGTGTGGTGGTGATGAGGGGAGAGCTGCATGAATGCATTTTGGGGTGAAGGAATCCTGAGTGAGAAGACTGCCACAGTTGTGAGGAGCGTGGGAATGGCAGCTGCAGGAGGCTGTGGGGCGGCCACTCCAGGATAGGGGTAGGGTCTTCTTTCTTGAGACCTGGAGGACGTGGGCAGGGATCACCTCTCTTGCTGCATGGCTTACCTCGAGCAGTCTCTACTGATATTTTTTCTTTTCTGTCAAACATAAAACATCAGACAACTTTCTAGTAAATTTTCTAGGCCACACCAGTGATGCCCTGTCCTGGAATGCATTAGGATCACCTTGGGAGCTTTTTAAATCACAGACCTGCAGAATCTTCATGGGTGGATCCTGGGAATTCATATTTTTTATAACAGCTTGCTGAGATGTAATTCACATACCATAGAATTCATCCATTTAAAGTGCACAGTTCAGTGGTTTTTAGGACACTTAGCCTTCTGTCCCTATGGATTCTGCATCTGTGGATTCAACCAATCTAATATTCAGAAAAAAATTCCGCAAAATTCTAAAAAGCAAAACTTGAATTTGCTGTCTGCCAAGTATTATGTTGATTCCACATGAGTGGAGTGATGTGCTGGCATTGCATTAGGTATTTGATAGTATAAGTAACCTAGAGATGACTTAAAGCAGTGGTCCCTAACCTTTCTGGCACCAGAGACCAGTTTTGTGGTAGATAATTTTTCCATGGACTGGGGAGGTGGGGATGGTTGTGGGATGATTCAAGCACATTACATTTATTGTGTACTTTGTTTCTATTATTATTCCATTGTAATATGTAATGAAATAATTATACAACTCACCATAATGTAGAATCAGTGGGAGTCCTGAGCTTGTTTTCCTGCAATTAGATGGTCCCATCTGTGGGTTGGAGAAGACAGTGACAGATCATCAGGCATTAGCTTCTCATAAGGAGCCCACAACCTAGATGTCTCCCTGTCTCCCAAGTGCAGTTCACAATAGGGTTTGCACTCCTATGAGAATCTACTGTGCTGCTGATCTGACAGGACGCAGAGTTCACCCCGTAATGTGAGTGATGGGGAGCAGCTGTAAATACAGATGAAGCTTTGCTCACTCACTCGCCTGCTTACCTCCTGCTGTGTGACCTGATTCCTAAGGGAGGAAGTTGGCCAGAGGTTGGGACCCCTGATTTAAAGTACAACATATCCTCAAATAACATCTTTCATTCGATGTTGTTTCATTACAATGTTAATGAGAAAAAGATCACTTCCTACCAGGGCCCCTGTCTGCAGAGTCTGCATGTTCTTCCTGTGTTTGTGTGGGTTCTCTCCAGGTCCTTTGTTTTCCTCCCACATCTCAAAGCTGTCCCTGTGCGGTTCTTTGGCATGTCTATATGGTCCCAGTCAGAGTGAGTGTACCTGTGTATGAGTGCCTTGCCATAGAAGGGTGTCCTGTCTGGTGGGTGCCTGTCTAGCACTTGCAGGAATGAAATCTGGCCACCCTTGATCCTGAACTGGAATAATTGGGTTGGTAAATGAATGAAGAAATGAATATAAATTATTGTCAAACAGAAATCTGTAAAGTATATGATAATCATACAAATGCTTGACAACAAATAATATGCTACCAAAGTGCTCAGTGAGCCTCCCTGTTTGTGATCATTTTAGAACTGAGCAGTGGCAGGAGGTGCTCCTTTTTCACTTTGCAAACATTTGTTCCTTGATATAACCCATCACCACGACTATTACCACAGTCACTCACTGACTCACCACTAATTGGTTAAATAATTTTCTTACTTGTTGATGTGGTTTGGCTGTGTCCCCACCCAAATCTCATCTTGAATTCCCACATGTTATGGGAGGGACCCAGTGAGAGGTAATTGAATCATGAGGGCAGGTCTTTCTTGTGTTGTTCTCGTGATAGTGAATAAGTCTCATGAGATCTGATGGCTTTAGAAGGTGGAGTTTCCCTGCACAAGATCTCTCTCTCTTTGCCTGCTGTCATCCATGTAAGATGTGACTTGCCTCTCTTTGCCTTCTGCCATGATTGTGAGGCTTCCCCAACCACATGGAACTGTAAGTCCAATTAAACCTCTTTCTTTTGTAAATTGCCTTTCTCAGGTATGTCTCTATCAGCATTGTGAAAATGGACTAATACACTTGTCTTTATTCATCTTTCTTAAATATGTGTATAGCTCACATTTATTTCAGTGTTTAATATGAGAAGTGTTTGTGGTATTTATTGAGAAGTTTGGTGATGTTTTTATGACCAGAAATACGCCATAGAAACTCCACCCTTATTTATATCACTTCGCTATAGTAGTAAAATTGATTTGTTATACATCATTTCACTTAAAGTCACAGTTTCCAAGAACCTATCTACCATGTTAATTGAGGGCTTACTGCATACAGGAGGATGTGTGTATGTTATATGCAAATACTATGCCATTTTATATCTGGGACTTGAGCATCTGCAGATTTTGGTATCTGCTGGTGGTTCTGGGACCAATTACTCATGGGAACTGAGAGACAACTCTACATTCACAAAATGTTATGTAACTATCAACACTTATGACATTTTTGCCATTCCAAAATGAAACTCTGTGCTCATTACCAGTCAATCTTTATTCCTCCCTTCCCTATCCTCAGGCAAACACGAATGCACTTTCTGTCTCTAGGGCTTTGCCTGTTCTGGATATTTCATAGAAATGGAGTCATACAATATGTGGCCCTTTGTAACTGGCTGCTTTCACTAATGTTAATGTTTTTGGGGTTTGTACGTGTTGTAGCATGTCTCAGTTCTTCATTAACCCTTATTGCTGAGTAATATTCCATTGTATGGGTGTGTCACATTTTCTTTATTCACTCACCAGTTGATGGAGGTAAAAGCTGTTTTCACTTTTAAAATAATGGTGCTGTGAACATTTGCATACAAGTTTTTGTGTGAACATATGTTTTTACTTGTATTGGGTATGTACCCAGAAGTGGAACTGGTGTGTACCCAGAAGTGGAATATGGTAACTCTATGTTTAACTTTTTGAGGAAATTCCAGACTGTTTTCCAAGGTGACTGCACTATTTTCCACTCACCAGCAGTGTATGAGTTTCAGTTTTTCCACATTCTTGTTATTTTGTGTATTTTTAATTTTAGCCATTGTAGAGGGTGTGAAATGGGGTCTTATTGTGGTTTTGATTTCCCTAATGACTAATGATGTTGAGTATCTTTTCAGGTACTTATTGGCTTTATGTCAATATGGAAGATACACACATATGTATCTTCTGTACACACATATGTGTATGTATCTTCTTTGGAGAAATGTCTATTCAAATCCTCTGCCCATTTTCAGTGGGCTTATTTGCCTTTTCATTGCTGTGTTGAAAGGGTCCAGGTTTTTAAAATAATCACCTCAGATGACATTGTTCCAGATAATCCTCAGATGGGCTATAGGAAACCACAAAATAAGCAGTCAATGCACCTAACTTGGACAGGACACTGAAGCTTTTAGTGTGAAATGCACGCATTAGTTTCGTACAGTGCTTTACTTCATTGTAACAGGTAAAGAAATCTCAGATTCAGGAAAAGATGTACTAACACATCTGTTACAAGTGGGAGCTTAAAAAATTTGTGGAAAATGGAATTAAAAGATAAAAATAAAAAACACAAACTTTATTTCTCAATGTAACTTCCATCACAGTCAAGACACTTTTTAAACGATGATAGCAGCTATTAGTCTATCCCTAAAGAACTGACAGTTTTAGAAATTAAACCATGTCAATGCAGTCTTGTTTTTACATTATTAACTGAAGAAAAATTGGTGCCCTTTACAGATTTGTTAAGATGAGGAAACAAAAAGAAGTCAGAAAGAGCCAAGCCAAATCAGGACAGTAAGGTGGATGCCTAATGATTCCCCATAGAAACTTTCATAAAATTGCCCTTGTTTGATGAGATGAATGAGTAGGAGCATAGTCATGGTGGAGAAAAACTCTCTGGTGAAGCTTTTCCAGGCATTTTTCTGCTAAAGCTTTGGCTAGTGTCTCAAAACACTCATAATAAGCAGATGCTATCATTTTTTTTGCTTTCCAGAAAGTTAATAGGAAAAATGCCTTGAGAATCTCCAAAACTGTTGTCATGATACCTTCTCTTGACCATCAACTTGTGGTTTGATTGGGCCACTTTCACTTCTCAGTAGCCATTGCTTTGCTTGTGCTTTGTCTTCAGGATCATACTGGTAAAGTCATGTTTCAGCTCCTGTTATAATTCTTCAAAGCAGTGCGTCAGGAGCTTGATCTCATTTGTTTAAAATTTTCATTGAAAGCCCTGCTGTTGTCTGCAGCTGATCTGGGTGCAATGGTTTTGGCACCCATTGAATGGAAAGTCTGTTCAACTTTAATTTTTCAGCTAGAAATTGTGTAAGCTGACCCAGCTATTGTTTCTGCTGTTAATTATTGGTCCTCTTCCTATCAAGAAGAATTTTTATTTGTAAATTGATGTGGATGGTCTGTTGCTGCAGGCTTCATCTTCACCATCATCTCACCCCTTCTTAAAATGAATTATCTATCATAAAATGCTGATTTCATTGGGGCTTTGTCTTCATAAACTTTTGATGCTTTTTGTAAAGCATCAATGATTTCACCATTCTTCCACCTGAACTTCACCATAAATTTGATGTGTGTTCTTGCTTCAGTTTTAAGCAGAATTCATGTTGCTCTAAAGGGGCTCTTTTCAAACTGATGCCTTATTCTTCTTAGTGCCTCAAACTAGACCTTGTTCAGATATGTTATAGCAAGTTAGTATAAGTTAATTTTAGTTCCAAAAAATTTTGAAACCTGTGCATAGTTTTTCCACGTATGCATTTTCTGTGAACTTTTTGAGGACCCGCTGATGTTTCCCACTGGAAATTTTTTTTTGAGGAAAAATGCATTTTAAAGTCCCTGAAAATTATTAGGCTCTATTAGTCCAATGAAAAATGATATCAACTTTTCTAAAAAACATTTGATTTAATGGAATTATCTGTTAGGTATATTTATCCTTCCTTTGCCAACTCTAATACTATCATTTATCTGCACACTACTCTTAGATTTAGGTGCTCTTTGAGCTCTTTCATGACATCATTTCTTATCTCAAGCTAAATTCTTTCTCTGGAGGACCTTATCTAATCCTAGGATGTTGTATCTCTAGCTCTAATCTCTCTTCTGGGCTCCAGACCTGTATATCCTCTTGTCTACAAGACTTTTACATCTGGGAGTCCTATAAGTAGTTTAAATTCAATATATTCAAACCTCAACTCATTATCAATCTCTGTAAGATCCTTTTTCTGTGTTCCTGATTTAAAGACACTGCAGCTCAGTCATTCAAGTGTGTGGAAACGTAGAACTTTTGTAGGCTGGGCTGTCTGTATTACAAGCTCCTGCGGTATAATGAGTATTTCTTCAGCCACATCCTTTAAATTTTAATTTAATAGTTCTGGGATTGGCCAGGGAATACAAACTTTATAATTTCCCCAGGTGCTTTTGATAATCAACTGGTTTGGAAGACCACTGTTAGAGACTCTGCAGTTGAAATATTTCAATCCCCCAATCCTTTTTTTCTTTTATTATACTTTAAGTTTTAGGGCACATGTGCACAACGTGCAGGTTTGTTACATATGTATACTTGTGCCATGTTGGTGTGCTGCACCCATTAACTCGTCATTTAACATTAGGTATATCTCCTAATGCTATCCCTCCCCCCTCCCCCCACCCCACAACAGGCCCTGGTGTGTGATGTTCCTCTTCCTGTGTCCATGTGTTCTCATTGTTCAATTCCCACCTATGAGTGAGAACATGTGGTGTTTGGTTTTTTGTCCTTGCAATACTTTGCTCAGAATGATGATTTCCAGCTTCATCTATGTCACTACAAAGGACATGAACTCATTATTTTTTGTGGCTGCATAGTATTCCATGGTGTATATGTGCCACATTTTCTTAATCCAGTCTACCATTGTTGGACATTTGTGTTGGTTCCAAGTCTTTGCTATTGTGAATAATGCCGCAATAAACATACATGTGCATGTGTCTTTATAGCAGCATGATTTATAATCCTTTGGGTATATACCCAGTAATGGGAGGGCTGGGTCAAATGGTATTTCTAGTTCTAGATCCCTGAGGAATCGCCACACTGACTTCCACAAGGGTTGAACTAGTTTACAGTCCCACCAACAGTGTAAAAGTGTTCCTATTTCTCTACATCCTCTCCAGCACCTGTTGTTTCCTGACTTTTTAATGATCGCCATTGTAACTGGTGTGAGATGGTATCTAATTGTGGTTTTGATTTGCATTTCTCTGATGGCCAGTGATGGTGAGCATTTTTTCATGTGTTTTTTGGCTGCATAAATGTCTTCGTTTGAGAAGTGTCTGTCGATATCCTTCGCCTACTTGTTTTGATGGGGTTGTTTGTTTTTTTTCTTGTAAATTTATTTGAGTTCTTTGTAGATTCTGGATATTAGCCCTTTGTCAGATGAGTAGATTGCAGAAATTTTCTCCCATTCTGTAGGTTGCCTGTTCACTCTGATGGTAGTTTCTTTTGCTGTGCAGAAGCTCTTTAGTTTAATTAGATCCCATTTGTCAATTTTGGCTTTTGTTGCCATTGCTTTTGGTGTTTTAGACATGAAGTCCTTGCCCATGCCTATGTCCTGAATGGTATTGCCTAGGTTTTCTTCTAGGGTTTTTATGGTTTTAGGTCTAACAGTTAAGTTTTTAATCCATCTTGAATTAATTTTTGTATAAGGTGTAAGGAAGGGATCCAGTTTCAGCTTTCTGCAAATGGCTAGCCATTTTTCCCAGCACCATTTATTAAATAGGGAATCTTTTCCCCATTTCTTGTTTTTGTCAATCCCACAATCTTTTTGAGTTTTATCTTGCTGCCTCTGCCCTGGATTATTTCCTTATGTCTTCTACATGATCTAAAGAACTTCTACAGGAACTACTTTGTGTTTCTTCTCTATTCAATCCTTCCTCTACAAGCTACTAGAATTATATTTCTAAAATACAGATGGGATAATGTCACATGTGTATTCAAAATATTTAGATGATGTATTAGTCTGTTCTTACACTGCTAATAAAGACATACTCGAGACTGGGTAATTTATAAAGAAAAGAGCTTTTATTGACTCACAGTTCCACATGGCTGGGGAGGCCTCATAATCATGTTGGAAGGCAAAAGAGGAGCAAAGTCATATCTTACATGGCGGCGGGCCAGAGAGTGTGTGCAGGAGAACTCCCCTTTATAAAACCATCAGATATCGTGAGACTTATTCACTAGCACGAGAACAGGATGAGAGAAGCCCTCCCCCATGATTCAATTACCTCCCACTGGGTCCCTCCCATGAGATATGGGAATTATGGGAGCTACAATTCAAGATAAGATTTGGGTGGGGACACAGCCAAACCATATCCTTCTGCCCTGGCCCCTCTAAAATCTTATGTCCTCACATTTCAAAACCAATCATGCCTTCCCAACAGTCCCCCAAAGTCTTAACTCATTTTAATATTAACTCAAAAGTCCACAGTCCAAAGTCTCATCTGAGACAAGGCAAGCCCCTTCTGCCTATGAGCCTATCAAATCAAAAGCAAGTTAGTTACTTCTCAGATACAATGGGGATGCAGACAGTGGGTAAATACACCAGTCCAAAATGGGAGAAATAGGCCAAAATTAAGGGGCTACAGGCCCCATGAAGTCTGAAAACCAATAGGACAGTCATTAAACCTTAAAGTTCCAAAATGATCTCCTTTGATTTTATATCTCACATCCAGGTCACACTAATGCAAGACTTTGCAGTGTCCAGCCCCACTCCTGGCTGCTTTCATGGGCTGCTGTTGAGTGTCTGTGTCTTTTCTAGGCACACAGTGCAAGCTGTTGGTGAATCCAGCATTCTGAGGTCTAGAGGTTTGTGGCCCTCTTCTAACAGCTCCATTAGGCAGTGCCCCAGTGGGGACTCTGTGTGGGTGCTCCAATCCCACATTTTTCTTCTGCACTGCCCTAGCAGAGGTTCTGCATGAGGACCCCGCCCCTGCAGCAAACTTCTTCCTGGGCATCCAGGCTTTTCATACATCCTCTGAAATCTAGGTGGAGGTTCCCAAACCTCAATTCTTGACTTCCATGCATCCACAGGCTCAACACCATACCGGAGCTGCCAGTGCTTTGGGCTTATACCCTCTGAAGCCATGGCTTGAGCTGTACCTTGGCCTTTTTTAGCCATGGCTAGAGTGACTGGGACACAGGGCACCAAGTTTCTAGGCTGCATACAGCAGTGGGCCCTGGGCCCAGCCCAGGAAGCCATTTTTTCCTCCTGCTTCTCCAGGCCTGTGATGGGAGGGGCTGCTGCAAAGGTCTCTGACATTCCCTGGAGACATTTTCCCCATTGTCTTGGTGATTAACCTTTGGCTCATCATTACTTATGAAAATTTCTGTAGCCAGCTGGATTTTTTCCCCAGAAAATGCGTTTTTCTTTTCTATTGCATCATCAGGCTGCAAATTTTCCAACCTTTTATGCTCTTCTTCCTCTTGAATGATTTGCTGGTTAGAAATTTCTTCCACCAGATACCCTAAATCATCTCTCAAGTTCAAAGTTCCACAGATCTCTAGGGCAGGGCCCAAATGGTGCGAGTCTCTTTGCATAGCAAGAGTGACCTTTACTCCAGTTCACAAGAAGTTCCTCATCTCCATCTGAGACCACCTCAGTCTGGACTTCACTGTCCATATCACTATGAGCATTTTGGTCAAAGCCATTCAACAAGTCTCTGGGAAGTTCCAAACTTTCCCACATCTTCCTGTCTTCTGAGCCCTCCAAACTGTTCCAGCCTCTGCCTATTATCCTGTTCCAAAGTCACTTTCACATTTTAAAGTATCTTTATAGCAGCACCCCACTCTACTGATACCAATTTACTATATTAGTCTGTTCCCATGCTGCTAATAAAGATATACCTGAGACTCAGTAATTTATAACAAAAGGAAGGAAGTTTAACTGACTCACAGTTCCGCATGGCTGAGGACGCCTCACAATCATGGCGGAAGGCAAAAGAAGGGCAAAATCACGTCTTACATGACAGCAGACAAGAGAACATGTACAAGGGTATACCCTTTTATAAAACCATCAGATCTCATGAGACTCATTCACTATCACGAAAATAGCACAGGGAAAAACCCACCCCCATGATTCAATTACCTCCCACCAGGTTCCTCTCATGACACATGGAAATTATGGGAGCTACAATTCAAGATGTGGTTTGGGTGAGGACACAGCCAAACCATATCAGATGATTTCCTAGTTCCTATAAAATAAGTCTAAACTTCTTAGTATGGTCTTTCTGGTTTCTCACAATCTGGCAATTATTTACTTTTGCCTGCTCTTCCCCTGCCACTTCCTATCTTAGTACTGTACCATTTTCTTGGATTTCTGACAAAATCATGGCAGTTTTAGTTCTACAATAAACCATGATACATTCACTACATTGACTTTGGTGTAATAATATGGAAACCAATCAGAAGTAGTGTCTTAGCCTTTTCAGGCTGCTATAACAAAAATACCTTAGATTGGGTAATTTATAAACAAAAGAAATTTATTTCTCACAGTTCTGGAGGCTGGGAAGTCAAAGATTAAGGCACCAGTATTAATAGATTTGGCTTTCTCTTTGTTTCCAAAATAATACCTTCTTGCTGCAGCCTCACATGGCAGAGGGGAAAAGGGATGAACTCATTCCCTCAAGCCCTTTTATAAAGACACTAATCCCACTAATGAGGGTGGAGCCCTCATGACTTAATCATTTTCCAAAAGTCCCTACCTCAATATCATTGGATTGGGGATTAAGTTTAAACATAAATTTTGGAGCAACACAAACACTTAAACTATAGCAAGTGGCCTCTTCAAATAATTTATATTTATTATATAATTCTTAAACATAGCAAGCAATTATACAATATAAAATTATTGAATGTATTTGAACAAAACCATCTTATTAATACACAACACTAACACATGCGTATACACATTCCTTTGGATTGGGAGTACAGCGGCATATTATTTTAATCTCTATGTGTTGTCTGCCATGGTCTTTTAGTGCATTGTAGGTATAGTTGCTCTGTTTTTCTCCAGTGGCTACCTAGGCCATCAGTGTTGATTGGATTTAGTATAAAGGCTTTCGTTAGAGCTTCTTGTCTGAGACTTAACCTTCCAGCATTAGCAGAGGGAAAGAAAAACATGCACCCTTCCAGCTGGAGCAAATGTTATTGAGCTATAAAAATAGCATGCAGTTTAGTGAAGTTACATATTTCGGTTATATATGTGGTTAGTGCACTTTCTGGCTTTGTTGTCCTCACTCAACTGTTTGCAGGTTTACATATATATAAATTAGGTAACCTAATGTGTTGATTCTAGGTATAATTTTTGTACATCAGGCTCTGACACACCACCTACCTGGCTATAGTTTTGTGTATATGCCCAATAAGCAACCCTACAGTGTAATTCCTGTTAAGATGTGGGATCCTTCATGGGATACAGGCAGCTCTTATGGATTTACACTGATAAAGTACTATGTCCAGAACTGGGACTTTGAGTCTTAATTTATACTCACAAACATTCTAAATACCTTTTCTCTACTTGTCTAATATGTAGTCATTTGCATCTTGAATATCTGAAACCTAAACATTCCAAGTCTTCCAGCCTTCTATGCAAACCCCTTCTTTTCATATTTAAATAAATTGCTTGAATTCCCATCACATATACAGAGAGATCTGATCTCTTTCTTCCATGTTACCCAGCACCATCTTTCCTTGGTATATCTTGGAAATGTTGGAGCATGGCAGGCGATTACTGTTTACCAGTATCCATGTCCTCTCCCCAGGGGAAGATTGTTCTTCTTTGCTCTGTTGAAGAAGTATATCTTTGTTATGTGGCTTGCTTTGGCCAGTAAAATATGAGAGGAAGTGCTGTGTGTCATTTCCTGTTGCGTTGCCTCATTCTCCTTTCTCTTTGCCAAGAAATTGTTGCTATTTCAAATAGGGATTGCCTTGATGGTCAGCATGAAGATGATGACAATGTGAACAAGAGCCCCTAGCCAATCTATAATGAACTCTAACATGGGAGATAATCAAACCCCTGCACTTTTTCTTTGTTTGTTTGTTTTGAGACAGGGTCTCAGTCTGTCGCCCAGGCTGGAGTGCAGTGGCGTAATCTTGCCTCACTGCAGCCTAGACCTCTCTGGCTCAGGTGACCTTCCCACCTCAGCCTCCCAAGTAGCTGAGACTACAGGTGTGTGCGCCACCATGCCCAGCTAACTTGTGTGTGTGTATGTGTGTGCATGTGTATATCTATCTATCTCTATATATATCTATATATCTGTATCTGTATCTATATCTATATATCTATATTTTGTTGTTTGTTTGTTTGTTTTTGGTAGAGACAGGGTTTCACCATGTTGCCCAGGCTGGTCTTGAACTCCTGGGCTCAAGCCATCCACCCACCTTGACCTCCCAAAGTGCTGGGATTACAGGCGTGAGCCACTGTGCCCAGCCCAAACCTTTGCTCTTTTATACCACTGATACTTTGGGGTTGTTATTACAGCAAGCCCTAGGACCAAAAACAATGCCTGTCATGTAGCAGATGTTCATTAAATGCTTGATAAATATATGAACTTGAGCAAGGCACTTTCCAGAAATTTCAAACTGGAATACACTCCATCTTCCTTCTTCAATGTGATTATGTGCCTGGAAATTTGTAACATGAGATAAAGATGCAACGCTGTCTTAAAGCATAAGTTTTTCTAAAAGACATTTGAGGAAAAAAGCATTATTTAGAAATTAAAACAGACACATCTATCTTATGGAATAGTACACAAATCTCAAAGGAATTTTAAAGGAAAACTAGAAGTCTTCTAAGAATATTAATACCATTTGGGTACTGCCTCAGGTTATTTTTCCAAGAACCCTTGGACGTGATAATCTTTGAGTCTCAGTTTTATCCTCTATGAAGTACAATATTTGGACAAAGATGGAGGTGTCAAAGGCTTTTTAGGAGGGGTTATATGGTGTGAACAGCAGTGAACTGAGAGCCAGCAGCCTTGGGCTTCAGTCCTTGCTTTGCTGTATAAGTATAGGACTGTCAGGTCATTTAATCTTGAAATTTAGACTCAGGAAAAGATGTACTAACACTTCCGCTATCTGTCCCACTGGATTTTTTGAGAAACAATACATTTTAGAATACTTTGAAAATTATTAAACTCTATTATTCCAAATGAAAAGCGATAGGAAATTCTTAAAATCTTTTCAAATTTGAATACTTTATTTATATTCTGTTTCCACTGGGTGGCAGTATTTCACTTGCACTCTACTGTAATTTTTATAGTTTGTATATAATCTTATAGAAAAAAATTTGATAACTATTTTAAATAAGTACCTCATTGTTTCCCAACCTTATCTTTCTCCTTTCTCATCCCATGCACTCCCTTTCTCTCAAAGAATTCAGATAAACCACTACCATTCATTTAAAAAATCTTTAATGAAGTAAATGTGACTGCAGTCTCTTTAAGCTTAGCAATTTATTAAGAACTTCTGCTTCATTTGGGAATATGTATTAGATAGCTTAATTTTGCTCAGATATAAGCAGATTACTTTGATGTAGGTAATTAAAAGTAGTTAAAAATAACCTACAAAAATCTTGCTATTGGTTCTTTATGACAATTTTAAAATAATGTTTTTAAAATTAAGCTGATGGATGTCCTTTTTAACTGATAATACCAGTGATGCCTATTTTATCCTATCATCAGAAGATCATCACACAGTTGTTATGTGAAATCCTTGATGTTTATGACATGTTCGAGAAACACTTTATCATGGTTTCATATCAGTTAACTTTGTGTCAGAATTTCCTAGAAAATTAGTCCCACAAGATGAGTTAAATAAGAAAAGTATACTTGTAAAGCTTGGTGAATAATTCCTTGCTGACTTTTGTTGATATTAAGGTTTTGAGGTAAGTAATGGCATAAATGTGTTAGAGTAGTTGTATCCTACAGCATGAAGATCAGAGTCATTCAGCAGCGTAATGGATTGCTAGTTTTCACTTGTAAAGAGACTATCAGTGCAATTTTTAAACTGACATAATCACTGTATTCTGTATAAGAGAGTAATTGCCTTGAAAAATTAGGCTGTTTAAAGTTGTTTATAAAACTTGATGTAGATAGAATAAATATTTTTAAATGGCTAAAATGCTATGTAACATTTTAATTGTTTTGTGCCAAATCTTTGCTGTTTTCAGGAAGAAAAAAAGGAAGTTTTTTTTTAAAGAATATCTAAGGTCACATGTGGTGGCTCACACCTGTAATCCCAGCACTTTGGGAGGTCGAGGCGGGCAGATCACAAGGTCAGGAGATCGAGACCACCCTGGCTAACACGGCAAAACCCCGTCTCTCCTGAAAATACAGAAAATTAGCTGGGCGTGGTGGCGGACGCCTGTAGTTCCAGCTACTTGGGAGGCTGAGGCAGGAGAGTGGTGTGAACCCAGGAGGCAGAGCTTGCAGTGAGTGAGATGGTGCCACTGCACTCTAGCATGGGCAACAGAGCGAGACTCCGTCTCGAAAAAAAAAAAAAAAAGAAACATGTTTATCAAATTTGCTGATAAGAGAAAGTTGGGAGAGATAGCTGGTATTTTGTTTAAGATGAGCACTATTCAAAATATTTTGTCCCACAGATAGGAATAAACCAATAAGAAGAGATTAATAAAAGTTAACTCTTACATTTGCATTAAGTTATTTTATAAAAATAGAGAACAAGAGAAATTGCATTGATCACAAGTCAAAGAGAAAAGAGTTTGTAGTTTCAGTTTTAGGGTAAAGCTAGCATGGTTGGGCAGGGGTTGGGCAGAAATTGTAAACTATGTGAGTTACTGAAAAATCTTGTACCTTGGAAACACATAAGCCCAAGTGGAGTTACTGTTATTATGGTCTTGTCTTGATACATATAGGTCTGAACAAGGTTATTGTTAAAATAATTTGAGTTTGTTTTAGTAGTATACCTCTTTTGCATTAGTGTACAGTTTTGCAAAGACTAGGAGGACTGGAAGAGGTGTAAGGTAATAGTTAAGAGCTGTTACTGGTTGTTGAACATCAACTGTGATAGTTTCTATGTTAAATCTTTTAAATGGATTATCTCATTGAATTCTCTCACAACAGCCCTATGAGGCAGATAGGCATTTTTCTTTTTCTTTTTTTCTTCTTTTTGCAAATAAGAAAACAGACACAGTTTGCTTAAATGATTTTCTCATTACTGTTTACAAAGAGTAAATCATACAACTTGGAATGAAGTCTGAGTCTGAATCTTGAGCCCATGCACTTAACTGCTATAAAATACTGTCTTTCAAGAAAGAAGTTTTACGGAACCTACAAAGGAGAGTTTCGACAGAGGGTGGTCACTCTCATTAAGTATTGCACACAGGTAAAGAAATGTGAAAAATTATTATGGAAACTAGCAGATGACTTTGTTTAAAGTTTTTTTTCCATAGAGCATTGAGTGCAGATGCCATATTGCAGGACGCTGAAGAATGAATAGGGAAGTAAGAGTGCTGGGTGAGCACAGGGCTAGCTAGAGGCAAGAGAAGGCAATAAGAGATGCTGTTGGGCAGAGATGATTGGAAACCTGGAAGAGGAGGGATTTGGGGAGATTTAAAGCCAGGAATAGAATGAGAAGATTCTGTGTTATAGCGAAGAGGTATAAGCCAGACACAATCAAGAACTAGACAAATAACTGGTACTCTCTTTCTTGCTCGCTTTTTTTGTGTGTGTGTGTGGCAATTGGCAAGTTTTAAGAGTACATTAAAATGCTTCTACTTTTACTGCTGACTTGTTTAAATAAAAATCAGTTGCAATTAAAAATGTAATACATGGAATAGTTTTGAATTAAATCAGGTGGAGATGTGATGCCTAAGGAAATATGATTTATCCTCCAAAATTACTTGCTGGAGAAAGATAATGTGTTCCAGTGCATCACTATCACCATTATTTGTTTCTCTCCACTCTCCGCAGCCAACAGAATCCTGATTTCTTTAGGTAGCAATGGAATGAATCATTGCTATAACCAGTTATGGTAATCTTATTCCTCTTGGGTAGCAATTGGCCTAGGGATGTTAATGTCACCTAGTTCTGGCTCATGAGATATGGGAAGGCAAGGCTCTCAGGAATGCTTTTGCTTTTCTCATGAAAAGGAACAAAGGCTTAGCTGGCATGGTCCTTCACCCTTCTTCATGGTTAGGACTCCAGACATGATGCCTAGAGGTGACCCTATGAACATCAGGTTAGAAGCTTGACAAAAGTCAGCATGTGAAGGACGGCAAAGCAGACATTTAGGAAGATCTTGGTGTTGACCAGCTCTGGGCTACCTGGCTTCTCACCTCTAGTTATGTAAGACAGAGTCTTATATTAATATTTGTTTAGGTCACTGTTAACCAGATTTTCTGTTGCTTGCAATCAGACATAGTTCTGAAAGAAAGAAAATTCTTCTTCAGTTGTTTCTTATACATGTGTAGTTTATGATTACGGCAAATTTTAGGATAATCTAATTGCCAGGATTACGCCCTCTTTTATTTTCAGTTTATAATGTCTTATTAAAAGGATTTAAAACAACCTAGTTTCTCAATTTCATCTTTAAAGATTGTATTTGGTCACTTTATCCTCCATTTCAACTAGCTGTATATTTCTAGTTTCTTTCCAATGCATATGTGATATTCATGTCAACTGTATGCCCTTAATATTCGTAAAATATTTTTGCCATGGAAGAAAGCAATGTGTGAAGCTATCAGGGATGGTTTTTGCAGCAGAACTAGATCAGCTCAAGGGAGTGTTTTACTAAATTATTTAGTCCACATTCTGGAAAATCTTAATTGAAGACATATTTTATGCCAAATATGTTCTTACTATGAAACTGCCAAAATGCATGTTTACCTAGCTAGCTGGGTTAGGATGGAATTAAATGTAAAATATTTCTCAATGTTCTGAAGAGTTCCAGGATGAATAGTTATATTCTGTGTTCTCTGCAACTAAATGTTGGACACTGTTGAGATATAGCTACTAGGGAAGTTATCTCCTTCTGCCTCAGCATTATTTGTATATTTAAGTGCACAAAGATAGGTTTTTTTTTGTGTGTGTGGGCTTTAAGGTATACGAAATGAAGTAGCAAAATGTGGTTAGAAAAATTTGCTTATACAATGAGACTAATACTGATATAGATGCTTTATCTATTTTTAACATATGACTTGGATTTGTGTTCAGGCTATGAATAGGGAAATTTCTAGTTAATTCTGAGAGTGCCATGAAGGAAAAAAAATGAACTACCAGTCTTAACAACAACAACAAAAGTCTAGACACTGCCATGAAAATTGTTTTAATGACAGTAGGAAAATCAACATTAAAGATTATTAGAATAATTAAATCAAAATTTATTAAACACAAAAATAAACATCTCTGCATGTGACATAGAAAGTAAATTTCAGTATCCAGCAAATGTTTCCAATAATACAGAGATGGCACATTTTAATAGGTTGATCTTTAGTCATAGTATAATAAACTGCCAAAAGTTTTGATCACATCAAATTAGGTGGTCAAATCTTTTGGCATCTCTTTAGATTATTATCACATTGAATGAATTATTAATAATTCAATCTTGATGGTTTGAGTGAAGCCTATTAAGAGTAATCTGAGTTTCAGATTTGATTTTAAAATTATATTTCAAGAAAGCTCTGTTATTGTGTTTAATTTTAAATGAAAGCATAATTGTCTGGTAATGCCATTGTGGAATTTTTTCAGCATAATCTACAACCTTTGAAATGCTTCCTATTTTGAAATATGTTTATCATCATGAATCATTAACTAATGTAAATGCTTTGCATTAAAAAATGCCTTCTTAAATACAGTAATGGTTAGAGATGTGTAATTCTGTTCTTCACTTTCCAAGTCATGAAATCCAGTTGTTTTACAGTGCTGGCTTTGGAATTCAGTCAGTAATATGGACATCCTATGGGCCAGTGTTGTCACTCTACCCACTGAAATAAACAGATTTGTTCTTATCCATTTCCTAACTTGAATCATACTTATTCATACATTCTTGTACTCTTTGTCATGTGTCTAAAGCATATCCTGTTGTTCATCACAGCATAGCACCCATTCCCTCTATTATAAATCCTTTCTCAGTAATTCTAGCCCATACTGATATTACCTTCTCCAACATAGTCCATTTTTAGTTTTCTACATTCATATGCACACCACAAACCTATCATAATTTTTCTCTCCCAGTGAGCCAGTTGATCCTTAGAATACAACTCAGCATAGCCTTTCAGTCATCATACATGGAAAGTGGCATTTGAGATGAGGCCTATTTGCAATCCTTTGGTACTCTGTTCATGTTTCAGTTAACATACAGTTTTAAAATTATTTTCATAATTTAGTTTCGTTTCACTCACTAATGGCTTCCTATAACTTTTATCTAATCAACAGAAGTTCATTTATTGTGGGAATCATGTTTTAAACTTCATTTATTACCCCTTCCTAGCATAGGACTGGATACATAACAAGCTCTCAATCATACTTGATTATTAACTGGATTAAATTGGAATATTTTGCATATATGAGTGTATTAGTCTGCTAGGACTGCCATAACAAAATACCACAGACTGGATGGCTTAAACAACAGAAGTTTATTTTCTCACAATTTTGATGACTAGAAGTCATAGATCAGGGTGCTGGCAGATTCCGTTACTGGTAATGCTTCTCTTCCTGGCTTGCAGATAGCCACCATCTGCCTGTATCCTTACGGTGTTTCCTCAGTGTGCTTGAGGAGAGAGAGATCTCTGGTGTTTTTTCCTCTTATGGGGTGTAATGGCATTAGGACTTCACTCTGTGATCTTGTTTTACCTTAATTAAGGTCCTATGTTTAAATATAATCACATTGGGAGGTCAGGGCTTCATTATATAAATTTTGGGGTGGGGGAGACACAATACAGTCCATAACAATGGGATATTCAATTATTAGTATTTTAAAAAATGCACGATTAAATTTTACTTTTGCTTTTACCTTGTTTTTTTTTTTTCTATTATGTTTCTTCAAATTAACTTGGTATAAGCCTCCATTTCATCCATGTCTTTTTATAATCATAGAAGTTTTTTGTTGTACTATTTTCTGCTCTGTATGGTTTGACAGTTGTTAATTAAGTCTTCCCTTAAAATTCTTAGCTGGAACTGATCAAGGTCCTTCTGGGAGTTTTCCCTCAAAGATCCCCACTGGAGGCTTGGCAGATAGTGAATCCAAGGCTAAGCTTTGTCAATCACTCCTTCTGTTTCCTTTTTCTGCATGCCTTGAGCTTACCTTTGAGAGGGCTAACGCGTCATACTGGACTGCTAAACAACTGTCTCAAGGACATTTGTCTATTTTCTCATAGAATTTGAAGCATAACAAATGTCTCAAGGACCTTTGTCTATGTTCTCATAAGCATTTGAATGACCTTAACTCTAATTGTTGAGAACAAATTGTTGCGGGAGGTCAGGGACCCTGAACGGAGGGACTGGCTGAAGCCATGGCAGAAGAACGTGGATTGTGAAGATTTCATGGACATTTATTAGTTCCCCAAATTAATACTTTTATAATTTCTTATGCCTGTCTTTACTGCAATCTCTGAACATAAATTGCGAAGATTTCATGGACACTTATCACTTCCCCAATTAATACCCTTGTGATTTCCTATGCCTGTCTTTACTTTCTTAATCCCATCATCTTCGTAAGCTGAGGAGGATGTATGTCGCCTCAGGACCCTGTGATGATTGCGTTAACTGCACAAATTGTTTGTACAGCATGTGTGTTTAAACAATATAAAATCTGGGCACCTTGAAAAAAGAACAGGATAGCAGCAATGTTCAGGGAACAAGAGAGATAACCTTAAACTCTGACCGCCAGTGAGCTGGGCGGAACAGAGCCATATTTCTCTTCTTTCAAAAGCAAATGGGAGAAATATTGCTGAATTCTTTTTCTCAGCAAGGAACACCCCTGAGAAAGAGAATGCGTCCCTGAGGGTAGGCCTCTAAAATGGCCGCTTCGGGGGGCGGCCATCTTTTATGGTCGAGCCGTAGGGATGAAATAAACCCCAGTCTCCCATAGTGCTCCCAGGCTTATTAGGACGAGGAAATTCCCGCCTAATAAATTTTTGGTCAGACCAGTTGTCTGCTCTCAAACCCTGTCTCCTAATAAGATGTTATCATTGACAATGTGTGCCCGAAACTTCATTAGCAATTTTAATTTTGCCCCGGTCCTGTGGTCCTGTGATCTTGCCCTGCCTCCATTTGCCTTGTGATATCTTATTACCATGTGAAGCATGTGATCTCTGTGACCCACACCCTATTGGTACACTCCCTCCCCTTTTGAAAATCACTAATAAAAACTTGCTGGTTTTACGGCTCCGGGGGCATCACGGAACCTGCCGACATGTGATGTCTCCCCCATACACCCAGCTTTAAAATTTCTCTCTTTTGTACTCTGTCCCTTATTTCTCAGATCGGCTGACACTTAGGGAAAATAGAAAAGAACCTACGTGAAATATCGGGGGTGAATTTTGCCCAATATCTGGCTGAATTTCCCCCAATAACAAATGAGGCCAACCTATTATGCACCAAGTTATGAGCCCACTGAGTTGTAATTCTACCATAATTCTGTGCAGTAATTGTCTTAGGCTGTGTGGCTCATTTTTTGACTAAAAGAGCTAGCCAAGTTTACATATACAGATGTACAGAAAGGCTGGTGCTCATGTATCCAAAATTTCACAATATTATTTGTCATCAAAATAACAATAATCATAGTAATCAGTTTTCTACCTTGAAACACACCACACACACACACACACACACACACACACACACACACACACACACACACACATACCCCTACCTGTGCCAGATGTTTGATTCATTACTAGGATCATACTATCATATTTGATATTTTCTTTCCTGATCCTCCAAATTCTAACTTCCTTATCAAATATATTTTCATTTATTTTAGAAAACCCTGTTATCTCTAATTCTAGTACCTGTTTTAATCATTGCTGTATGGGTTACTTATTTGTCTTTATAATTCCTATTTCTATTATTGATATTTTTAAGGGAAAAATCATAATTGTATATGTGTATGGGGTACATTGTAATGTTTTGATATGAGTATATATGTGGAATAAGTAAATCAAGCTAATTAACACATATCACTTCACTTATTTTATGTGGAGAGAAACCTTTGAAATTTATACTCTTAGCTACTTCCAATATATTATTGACTTTAGTCACCCTACTGTGCAATGGATCTCAAAAACTTATTCCTTCTGTCTAATTGAAATTTCTCCTTTTTTTGATATAGGCATTTATTGTTATGAACTTCCTTCTTAGAATTGCCTTTGCTGTGTCTCATAGGTTTTGATATGTTGTATACCCATTATCATTTGTCTGAAGATGTTCTTTAATTTCCCTTTTGATTCCTTCTTTGACTTATTAGTTGTTCAGGAGCATGTTTAATTTCCACGTATTTGTAAATTTTCCCAGTTTTCTCCTATGATTGAGTTCTAGTTTCATATCATTATGGTAGGAAACAATACTGGATATGATTTCAGTCTTCTGGAATTATTAAAGACTTGTTTTGTGGCTTAACATATGATCTGTTCTGGAGGATGTTCTGTGTATATTTGGGAAGAATGTGTATTCTTTGCCATATATTTCTGTTAGGTCCATTTGGTCTAAAGTGTAATTAAAGTCCAATGTTTCCTTATTGATTTTCTGTCTAAAAAATGATGTTCTGTCCAATGCTGAAAGTGGAGTATTAAAGTCCCCTACTATTACAGTATTTCAGTCTATCTCTCCGTTCAGATTGCTTAATAACTGCCTTAAATATTTAGGAGCTACTATGTTAGATGTATATATATTTATAAATGTTGAAGAATTGACACCTTTATCATTATATAATTACCTTCTTTGTCTTTCTTTACTGATGTTTGACTTAAAGTCTTTTTCGTCTGATAGAAATATAGCTACCTCTGCTCTCTTTTGGCTTCCATTTGCATGGAATATATTTTTCCATCCCTTTATTTTCCATCTACGTGTGTTCTTACAAGTAAAGTGAGTATTTTGTAGGCAGCATCTAGTTATGTTTTGCTTTTTCAATCTATTCAGTCACTTTATATCTTTTGATTGGAGAATTCAATCCATTTCCACTCAAGGTAATTATAGTATGTAAGGACTTATCTTACTGCCTTTTCATAATTTGTTTTCTGGTTGTTCTGTGTATCTTTTATTCTTCCTCTTGTTGTCTTTCTTTGTGGTTTGATTGTCTTCTGTAGTGATATGTCTTGAATCCCTTATTTTTATATTTTGTGGAAGTATAATAGGGTTTTGCTTTGCAATTACCATGAGGTTTACATAAAACATTACCTGTAACAGGCTATTCTAAGCTGTTACCAACTTAACTTTAATCAAATACAAAAGCTCTCCATGTTTACTCCTCCCTACCACATTTTATGATTTTGATGTCAAAGTTGGCAACTTTTTGTAATTTGTATCCCTTAACAATTTATCAAAGCCACAGTTGTTTTTAATAGTTTTGTCTTTTAACTCTCATGTTAGAGATAAAATTGCTTTACACATCACCTTTCAAGCAAAAGACTATTTTGAATCTGACTGATACCACTGAATTTTTTCCCTTCATGTATTTTATGTTATTAATTAGTGGTATGTTTTCTCAGCTTAAAGAACTCACTTTAATAATTCCCATAAGACAGGACTAGTGGTGATGAATTCCCTTATTCTTTATCTCAGGAACTGTATTCTCTCCTTCCACTCTAGAAATCTGTTTGTGAATGTGGTAGGTTGTACTGACAGTTGGGGAGGAGGAGAAGAGAGAAATATTACAGAAGTGCATAAAACTTCACATTAAATATTAAAAGATGCTTGCCATTTACTGCTCTTTGGTGGTCTCATGATCAGGGTATTTTGACTATCTTTTATTCTTACATAGTTTTTCTAGCTGGATCTTCTTTCTTCTCTTTCTGCATCTCACCTTTCCTTCTTCTTGTCAATCTTAACACCTCTTACTTCATCCTCTCCTTCACTGATTGTATCTCAGGTTTCCATTTCATTAGCAAGGACAGTTTAGCTGTATCTAAGACTACCCCTGAACTCAGCTATTTTCTACGTTTGCATTTTGCCATTCATCAAAGTGCTCAACTGGAACAGGATTCATCATCTCAAAGAGGCAGTTGGTTGAACAAAAAGATTTTTTGTGCGTTTTATTTCTTTGTTTTTGCCATTAGAAGAGAACATCAAAGTGCCGAAGAGTTTGTAATGACTATATCATGTTTGTACAACTTTATGCAATAATAGCTTCCGAGGTAGTAACAGATGGGGCATGAGAGAGATCAGATGTGGGTGAGTTAATAGTTAAAATTAGAGATTAATGTGTTAGAATCAAAGCTTATGTTCATATGCTAGAAATGAAACATTTAAAATAATTAAAATCCAAAGAGGATAGTTCAAATAAAATAATATGAATAATAATTGTAAAATTTATTTTGCTTAAGGAGACTACACCTATCCAATAGATATTTAACCAATATAATTTCAAAACTTCTGGATTTATTAAGAAATACACATATTTTAACCGAAACTCTCAAACTTATAGAACTATGTAAAATAATGAGTTAGTTGTGAGTTTTTAAATTCTAGGGTTTCTTATTTCTGTGGCTTTAATTGGAGTGCCAGACAGCAGTTCCCTTACTCCTACACATTTACTCACTTCGTTTGAAATCACCTAACTTGCCTTGATGAACAAATAACAAAGTAGCTAAAACTGTTCTGAAGAAATAGATGTTTTTGTTAATTAAACCAATAATTTTCTACTTTTCTACCAAAAATACAGATTAGTTTATCCCAACATAGTGAGCGATTTATATGTTTACTTTTTAAATTTTAACTTTGATAAATTTATTTTTTAATTTTAACTTTTACAGATTTAGGGGTACAAGCACAGTTTTGTTACATGGACATATTGCACAGTGGTGAAGTCTAGGCTTTTAGTGTGTCTGTCACCTGAATAGTGTACATTGTACCCAGTAGGTAATTTTTCATCCCTCACCTCTTCCTACCTCCCCACATTTTGAAGTCTCTAATGTCTATTATTTCACTCTGTATGTTCATGTATATCCAATGCTTAGCTTCCATTTATAAGTGAGAGTATGTGGTATTAGACTTTCTAAGTTATTTCTCTTAGAATGATTGCCTCCACATCCAAATAGGAAGACACGAAGTCAAACTATCCCTGTTTGCAGATGATATGATTTTATACCTAGAAAACCTCACAGTCTCTACCCAAAAGCTCCTTGTTCTGATAAACAACTTGAGCAAAGTTTTAGGATACAAAATCAACATATGAAAATCATAGCATTTCTATATACCAACAGCATCCAAGCTGAGAGCCAAATCAAGAATGAAATCCCATTTACAATAGCCACAAATAGAATAAAATACCTAGGAATACAGCTAACCAGAGACATGAAAGAATTCTGCAACAAGAATTGTAAAATACTGATCAAAGGAGTCAGGGATGACACAAACACATAGAAAAATATTCTATGCTCCTTGATAAGAGGAATTAATATTGCTCAAGTGGCCATACTACCCAAAGAAATTTATAGATTCAACCCTATTCCTATCAGCCTACCAATAAAATTCTTCACAGAATTAGAAAAAACTTTAAAAATTCATATGGAATCAAAAAAGAGCTCGAATAGCCAAAGCAATCCTAAGCAAAAAGAACAAAGCTGGAGACATCACATTACTTGACTTCAAACTATACTACAAGGCTATTGTAACCAAAACAGTATGGTACTTGTACCAAAATGGACACATAGACCAATGGAACAGAATAGAGAGCCCAGAAATAATGCCAGACACCTAAAACCATCTGATTTGACAAAGTTAACAAAAATAAGCAATGGGGAAAGGACCCTATTCAATAAATAGTGCTGGGATAACTGGCTAGCCATATGCAGAAGATTGAAACTGGACCCCTTCCATATACCATATACAAAAATTAACACAAAACAGATTAAAAACCTAAATATAAAACCTAAAACTATTTATTATTGATTTCTAGTTCAATTCTGTTAATGTCAGAAAACACAATTTGTATGATTTAAATTTTCTAAAAATTTGAAGTTGTTTTATGGTACAGGATATGTTCTATCTTGGTTTATGTACTGTTGAACATGTGCATTCTGCTATATTGGGTGCTGTATAAATGTCAACTAGATAATGTTGGTTGATGGTGTTCTTGAGGTTTCTAATATCCTTGCTGATTTTCTGTCTAATTGTTCTAACAATTGTTTTGGGTGAGGTGTTGAGGTCTTAAACTATAATTCTGGAGTTTTAAAATTCTTTCAGTTCTCTCAGTTTTTTGCTTTACGTATTTAACCACCTTACTGTTTGATATATACACAGTTAAAGTTGCTGTGTCTTCTTGTTAGATTGATACTTTAAACATTGTATAATTTCCCCTCTCTAGTAATTTTCTTTTCTCTGAAGTATACTTTATATAATAGTAATATAACTACTCCTGCTTTTTGATTAATGTTTGCATAGTATATCTTTTTCTATGCTTTTACTTCCCACCTGTGTATATAATTTGAAGTGAATTGCTTCTAGACAGCATATAATTGATTCACTTAAAAATTATTCTGCCAACTTTTGTATTTTCATTGGTGTATTTAGACTATTTAACATAATTATTGGTATGTTAGAGCCTAAGTTTGCCATTTTATTTTTTGTTTCTGGTTGTTTTCTCTTCCTCCTTTTTCTCTGATTGTGTGGCATGTCTGGTTCATAATTGAACATTTTTTTAGAATTCTGTTTTGATTTACACATAGAATTTCTATATACATTATGTATATTATATACCTAACATCATAGTTGACTGGTATCAACCTTTTACGAGTTTGAGTGAATTTTAGAAAACTTACCTCCTTTTTCATTCGTTTGTCCTTCCTCATTTGCAATATAATTGCCTTAAATATTTCCTTTACATACATGTAGAATAGCATCAGACAATGTTAGAATGTTTGCTTATTTACTTATAATTTTGTTTACTGTGCTCATTCTTCCTGTTTTCAAAGAGTTTCTTTTTGTTTAGACATCTTCTGTTAGTCATTTTTAAGATAATTCAGCGGCAAAATTTTCTTAGTTTTCCTTCATAAGCATGTTTTGATTTTCCCTTTTTTTCCTGAAGGAAATAGTCACAAAGTAAGATTCTTGGTTGACAGTTGTTCTTTTTTACAGCACTTGAAAAATGACACTTCCTTTGGTGACTTCTGATGAGAAATCTGCTCATATTAGAATATTTTTTCCTTTACATTGCTGTTTTTCTCTGGCTACTTTTATGATTTTCTCTGTTGTTAGTTTTCAGAAGTTTAAATATGTCATGTCTCGGTATTGATTTCTTTGGGTTTATGTTGTTTGGACTTTGCTCACCTGCTTGAATTTGTAGGTTTTGCCTCTTGCCAAATTTGAAAAGTTTTCCGGCATTATTTTCTTAAGTACTTTTAAGCCCTACTATCTTTTCCCTCTTCTTCCAAGACTCCAATGACATAAATTTAGATCTTCTGTTAATAGTACCACAAGTCCCTAAGTGTCTGTTTTTTTTTTTTTTAATTCAGCCTACTTTTCTGTTGTTTGCTGTTTAGATTGGGTAATTTCCATGATTCTATCTTGAAGTCTGTGAATTCTTTCCTCTGTCCCTTCCATATTGCTCTTAAACCCATCTATTGAGTTTTGAAAATTTCAAATATTGTGTTTTTCAGTTCTAAAATTAATATTTAGTTCCTCTTTTCATCTTCCATTCCATTGCTGAGACATTCCGATTCTTCATTTGTTTGAAATGTGTTCTAATGGGTTACTGAGGCCTTAAAATCTTTATCACATAATTATCACATAATTCTAACATCATTGTTCTCTTGGTGTTGGCCTTTATCCGGCATCTTTTTTTTTTTCCATTTAGTTTGAGATCTTAGTGGTTATTGGTATAATGGGTAACATTCTATTGAAACCTAGACATTTTGGGTATTATGTAATGAGGTTAGCTCTTTTTTTTTTTTTTTTTTTTTTCTTTTGAGACGGAGTCTCGCTCTGTCGCCCAGGCCGGACTGCGGACTGCAGTGGCGCAATCTCGGCTCACTGCAAGCTCCGCTTCCCGGGTTCACGCCATTCTCCTGCCTCAGCCTCCCGAGTAGCTGGGACTACAGGCGCCCGCCACCGCACCCGGCTAATTTTTTGTATTTTTAGTAGAGACGGGGTTTCACCTTGTTAGCCAGGATGGTCTCGATCTCCTGACCTCATGATCCACCCGCCTCGGCCTCCCAAAGTGCTGGGATTACAGGCGTGAGCCACCGTGCCCGGCCTGAGGTTAGCTCTTATGCAAACCTTTGATTTTAACTGAATTCTTCTGACACCACTCCAGCAGAAGAATGGAGGTCCCACCTTATTACCCAGGTTCCTCACACTGTTTCCATTCATAACCAAACCAAACAGACTCCTCCCTGAGTGGGGTGGTAGTTCTAACTCTCCATTAGGCCTCCATTGATAGCTCCCTGGCTGAGACAGGGAGGAATGCCTTGTTACTGCTTCCTACATGGCATCCACTGATGGTCGGGTGGGAAGGAGGTGGAAATCTTGACTTTCCACTAGGTCACCTTTGTCACGATCTCAGTGGAAAGAAGGGGCACCTCGTTACTGCCAAATGGAGGTGGAAGTCCACCTTTCCACTTGGACTCCACTATATTGCCAACGATGATGCTGAAAGTTTCAGACCCCTACTCATCCTTCTCTGACACCATGATAGTGAGTGGGTTGAGGCACTGCAATACAGCTTGGCAAACAAAAGTGGAAGTGTACCCATGCTTGGCCTTTGCTGGCCTGAGTGGGTGTGGGGCCACATTTTTTCAGTGGGTTTGACTGGAGTAGTGTAGTTATTATCAAACAGATTTCTGTCTGGCTAGGCTTGTCTTTTCATTTGGCTAGAGAGAATGGACTTTTGTCATGTTTTCTTTTTCTGTCCTTGTGTTACCAGGTTGCTGGCTTCTTCAGATCTAAGTCTGGGATATATAAGGCAAAAAGAAAATGCAGGGAACTCAATACTTAGGTCTTTTCTTAGGTCTCAGTGTCCCTGGATAGTCTGTCTTCTTCTCTTTGTCTTTCAAAGTTATCTTATGTTTGTTTATTTATAATTTTCAGGGTTTTAAATTATACTTAGTGGGAGGACTAGGGAAAAGTACATTTATTCCATAGTTCTCCATGCAGAAATCTCCAAAACCAAAATTATTTTACTATTCATTTTTGCCATTTCATTAGGTGAAATTAAAAAGACAATAACCCATCCTCTAAAAGACATTTTAATTATTAGAACATATTTTGAATAACTCAGTTTACTATCCATGAAAGACTTTTAAAAATGTTGCCTAAAACATAAATGTGTAAAAATGAGTAATTAAAGAAATCACTCTAGGAATGAAGAATTCTTATGAAGATGATGACACATAAATAATTCTTCTTGACCATTGTAATTTATGAATATTTGATCTCTTCAACAATTATATTTTTAATAGGTAATAATTCAATTGTTGTAAGTCAATTATACTGACCAATGGGAGCCACAGATATTGTTTTATTTAACTAAAAAAGTAACACCCGCTCCTTGTAACTAATCCAATCAATTCAAAACAGTTGACTATGACAGTTCCCCTCCATCCAATTCCATTTCCTAGAAGTAACCATATCCAGTTTGTAGTCTATGTTTACACTTTCAGTCATGCTCTGCTGCTTCACTTAGTCACTCCTACTTTTCCTTTTCAGCTCCTCTATTCATCTTTTGTAAGTTTATCCTTCTCTCGCTGGCTGTTAAACATTGAAAAACTTTCAGACTTTGTTCTAGAACTTTTTTCCTTATTAATATTGTTTTTCTTTGTGACTCATCTATGTTCCTATTTCAATTACCATTTACACTCAAATTACTCATATATTTATTTTTTTAGTTCAGATTTCTGGTCTTAATGTCAAATGAGTAACTCCAGCTCTCTTTTGAGGACTCCTTTTGGATATCTAAAGAGCACTCCAAACCCAACATTGCCAGAACTAGATAGATGATCTTTCCTTACAGCCTCTTTCAGATTTTGCATCTCAGTGAATAGTGCCACTGTATATTGAATTATTTTCACTAGAAGCTTAAGAGGCATTGTTAATCCCCTTTCATCTTCACCTTCCTTTTCCAATTAATCACCAAGTCCTGTGGCCTTTCCCTCTTGAATCTGCATAATCCTTTCAAAGTCTGTGACCAAGCTTCATCATAAACTACCTAGGCCAATATAGTAGTTTCTTAAATGGACTCTCTGCTTCTATCTGATTGTTCTTGAATTATTTTTTTACTCTGTAGCCAGAGAGGTATCCTTAAAATAAAATCTGGTTATGTTACATGCCTGCTTAGAATATTTCAAATTTTTAGTTGCTCTTATGATAAATATCTGAGTTCTTAACATGACCTAGCACAGTACCTGTCTCAATAAATATCTGTAGAAGAATGAAAAAAAACTTATATGGTTTACAGTATTTTCTATTAAAATAGTATTACTGTACGCATGTATCTCTGTGTGCATCAGAAATTCTTTTTTCTTAGTAATATTTCTGTTGGATATGTTTCTAGAAGTGAGGTTGCTAGTGTAGTTTGGTTTTTATCTATTAAAAATGAAGGTTAATAGAGATGTGGTGCAGCACCTTGTAGTCGTCGAGAAAAAAAATCCATTAAGAGAAAAAAGAGGAGACTGATCTAGGAAGATCAGTAATGGTTTATTAAGAGAGTCATCCTGTACCTTCTGTCTGATGGAAGGAGTTATATCTCAAAGAAACATCAAATAATTTAAGGATTTTTTGAGAGCTTACGCCAAGCAAATTTAGGTTAAATATTTTGTAAGACAGAACAAAGAGAAAAGAACAAATGAATCACATTTTTGTATTCATAACAAATGTGATTTATTTCTGTAAACCACTCATGCATTTAGTTTGCTTACATGTCTTTCTTACAGTACATTATACTTAGGTAGTATAAAGAGAGGCATGATTTGAAATGGGATGATAAAAAGGTAGTAAAAATAATGTATGAATTATAATTTTTGTAGAAATCAAGGTTTACTAGTATGTAAGACCATTTGAGCTGCTATAAACAAAACACCATATATTGGTTAGCTTATGAACAATAGAAATTTATTGCTTACAATTCTGGAGGCTGGGGGGTCTAAGATTGAGGCATACCAGATTCAGTGATTGGTGAGGGCTCACTTACTGGTTCATAGATGGCGACGACTTGCTGTGTTCTCACATGGTGGAACAGAGCAAGGGGTTTCTTTCACCCCTCTTTTATAAGGGAGCTAATCACATTTGTGAGGGTTCTTCTTCATGACCTAATCATCTCCTAAAGGCCCCAGCTTCTAATACCAACACCTTGGGTGTTAGGATTTCAACATATAAATTTTGGGGGGACAAAAACATTCATACCATAGCAACTAGTGTAGTTGATACTGGGCAATCGTGAAATAGGCAAATAATATTTTTAGAGATGTGTGTCTGCTTCCTTTGATCCATGGCCCTGGAAGGAAGATGGTGTGTCTTTGTGCATGTGACATCAGCAGGGAGCATCACAAAGGCATCAGACGCCAGAAAGGTGGGGGACTAGGAGAGGCAGGTGCTACTAGCTCCGCACTACTAGTTTTGTGACCTTGGGCAAGCTAGTTAATCTCTGTGAGACTTGTTTTCCTCATTTGAAAACAATAATAATAACTGTTTTACCTGTAAAGTAGATTTGATGTGGTCATTTATTACTTATTAATGCATTTATTTATAATTATGCATTTTTTTGTTGAGCTGATACTACAACACTTTATTCCTGATTTTATTCGTAAATTTGCATACCAGAAAGATAGAAGTGTATAATACAGGGGCATTAATAGCTTTAAAAACTTTTTTTAGGAGCTTCTCAGGCTGCAAAGTGATTCATAATGGCCTCTTAGAGCACTGAGAGGTACCATGAAGCTCTGAAAGAGTTAACATGCTTTTTATAACCCATGTACTCAAAGGGAGTAAAAAACTCTGATTTTCCTAAGTAGCTCTTTACAAATTCCTACCGTTCTGTTTTTCACTCTAGTCTTTTTTGTTTATACTGAAATGTGTAGATTAAGTAGCTTTATGTTTATTTTTTTCTTGCTATTAATTTTGTATCAGCTGCTTTGAGGATATTTAAACAAAACACTGATTTAATTGCTCTGTTTATCATTTTTTCTTGTTCTAGGCAATGGACCTCATCATGACCGTTGCTGTACTTACAATGAAAACAACTTGGTGGATGGTGTGTATTGTCTCCCAATAGGACACTGGATTGAGGCCACTGGGCACACCAATGAAATGAAGCACACAACAGACTTCTATTTTAATATTGCAGGCCACCAAGCCATGCATTATTCAAGGTAAAAATAGTGCTATATTTATAGGCATAGAAGTAGGACAAGAGATAGCATTAGCACAATGGAAATATTTACTGTGTTCGAAACTGCAGTGCCTCACTTGGGAGGGGTCTATAGGCCTGTAGTACTTTGAGGAGAAAATTACAGTGAATCAGTGTGTGAGATTTTCTGGGTCTAGATGTGGAGGATTTTAAAAATAGAATTCTTTAATAAATGCATACCCTAGCATCAATATGTTTTGACCAGATAGTAGCTAACCAATCTGTGTACTTATGTAGTGGATTAAAAATAAGAACTACACTAAAATAGACTAAATTAATATTTGTGTCCTTTATGCTACTGACTACCAGTGAAACAAAAATTGGTATTTCCTTATACAATCTTATCCAAATAAATATGTGTGAAAATACAGGCACAGAACTAGATTGAATGTGATTATCTGCTTTATTATTTGTTAATATTTTGATTTATTTGTTCATTTAATTCCTAAACCAGGAGGTTGCTAAATAAAACATAAGGCTTATTATCCTTTTCTCCTTTCCCACTCATCAGAAGTGATTATTTTTAATCACTTTATGGTTAGTTTTTCTTGAGATTAAATCTAAACCTTAAACAATATGCATATGTGTTGCTTGTTAATGTACCAGTTTAAAAATAGCTATTGATTCCCCTCTATTACACATAAGAAATTGACATCTCTCATACTTGTCCTCTCTCCCCACTCCAGTCCCTACCAGGCATTTTTTGAGAAGTTCCATTGTTACTTACCATCATACAAATTCTATGTCTTGACCCATCAATTTTTCACAGTGTCTCCTAGTTTCCTACATTGTAAGAGTAGAGATTTTTTTTGTTCCTGTATTTTTTTCCACATCTATTTCCACCTACTAACTCCTGCTTTTAAATTACTTTTATAATTTCAAGGCTTATAGAATTTACATTAAACTTAGTAAATATAAATGTCTTTCACACTTCGATTATTTAAAATTTGAAAGCAATTGCCAACATTTAAAATATTATGTAAGTGTTATTTATTGTAGAACTTACAGTGTTTGTACCATACACAAGGAGATGCATTCTCATATTCTTAAAGAATGTGTTATTTTGAATGAGAGATACAATTAATATAAACCGAGTTGTGAGAGGTAAAAGAGAGAGAAAATGCAATTTCACAATAGTTTTAGGGAATTAATAGTCCTCTTGAACACATTTTTCTTTCAAACTTCTGGTAGATGTTGGCTTTGCTGATGGGTTGTATGCACAGAATGAGGAAGACAAGAGTTAAGCATGTCTCGTGGTTTTATGGCCTGAGCTACTGTAATGGTGTTGCCACTTACTGAGATGGGGAAGACTAGGAGATGAGCAATTTGAAGTAGGGATTGAGGTACAAGTTCTACTTTAGTCATTTTTTGAAATGTCTGTTAGATTACAGGAAGGAAATTGATTTGATGTCAGAAATTTTATGGAGAGCTTGGAAATAAAGATATAAAATTGGCAGTTATCAAGACATAGATAGCATTCAAAATGTTGAGTCTAGATGAGACAATAGTAAATGAGTGAAGTATAGAAGAGACAAAGAGAAGAAGCAAAAATATTGAGCCCTGGTTCACACAATTTAGAAGTCAAGGAGAAGCAGAAGATCCAGAGAAAGGAATGAGAAGCAACACTTCTTGAGATGGTCTGACATTTAATGAGGATATGTTTATGGGTTCTTTTAAATGATCCTGAACCACATTTCCTGAATGAACCCTTTTTTCTGAAGAGTCATATCTTGGGCTCTGGAGATTTTTTTCCACTGAATGATTATTTCTTCTCCTTGATTGCCTTTGCTCTTTGTCATTAGAGACACTCCTTAGATGGATGTTGGACCTCTTGGATTTACATTTTATATTTGTCATCTTTTTTATTGCTTTACATTTTGAGAGGCTTCTTTTTTTCCAATTCAACTATCGATTATTTTTTTCTTAATTTTGGTAATTGTATTCTTAATTTTCATGGACTTTTACTTATTCTGTTATTCACTTTTTGCATATTAGTTTGTTCTTGTTTATGAATGAGTATATTCATGAATCTTTCTTAGAATACTAATGAGAGTTATTTTTAAGTTCTCTTCTCTTACTGGAACTATACTTTTTCCTCCTGAATCAATTGTTTTTCATTCATTTTGATCTTTCTTTTTTGTGTTATTATTGTTTTAGGTAACATGATTATTAGTTGTTCATATTTACTATGTGAAAGATTAGGTTGATTGTTGTATATGGCTGTCATAATTTTCCTCTGCTATTACTGGCCTCTGTACCTGTGAGAGGTGTTGGGGGCAAGCTGTGCTCAGGTGGGCAGATCCTATCTTTCTCAGCAGACTCTGATCAGACAACCCACCTGCATACTTCCTCCGCCCCACCCTGAATGAAAAGACAGGCAGGGTCTGTTGTGGGGTACACCTCTCACTCTGAGAAAATTTGCTCTCTGAGTTGATGTTTTAATTTTTAAATAGAGTATTTCTTCAGCTTCACTTACAGTATCAAAGCTGTATGTGCAGGTGAGAGTGAACCTTAGTTCATATACTCAACTGTGCAAGAAAGCGTACGTTTCTTTATTTTCTTTAAAGCAACATAGTTTTACATCCAAGTCTCTATCCTACTGAATTCTCAGGTAATTCAACCTGTTATCCACTGCAAGGTGTAAATATATCTATGCTTATAAATAGTAATATATTAAAATGTATGTATACTATATAATACTTTATATATTAAAATAATAAATAATATATGTGTATGTATACCTGGAGTATAATATATAATCTAATATATACACACTCACACACACACACACACACACACACACACACACACACACCAAATCCTGGGAATCTTTATTTTTCAACATCTCCATGTGATTTTTACATGTGTGAAAGGACAGTAGTTTAGAATAGAAAAGGAATATTTTAATGCACCTTCAGTTGTTTCAGTCCAACTCCCCTTAAAAATTCCAGCATAATTCACCTTCACATGAAACTGGGTAAGATGAAAATCTGAATTCAGTTTAAAAGAAAAGAGTCAGAAAGGCATTTTATATTTCATTATTAAATTGAAAACATCGAATTCTATCTGTTTGCTATGTTCATCTGACAATGTATAATGCTAAGATTATTTGTGAATTTATCTTAGCTGCTGAAATAGATACAGACAGGTAGATTATATGTTTGAGCATTTATACAATGGAGGTATTCAAACTCAACTAAGAATTTGTAATTACAGACTCTCACTCTTTAGTTTGAATATAGGAATGGAATTATGCCTAGAATTTTTTTATGGTTGGGATAAATCATATCAGAATGGAATTGCCAATATCCTTTATAAGGATGAGGCTTTTTAGAACATATATATCTAAAAATTAAATGTTATATAATAAGATAAATGGTAACTTCATTTATTCAGTAAGAATTGTGTGGATTACTCTGTGCAGCCCATCTTGAGTGCTGGACCATCAATAATGGAGAGACATGATCCTTGCTCTCATGGAACTTATGCTGTAGTGGAAGACAACATGTAAACAGCTGCAATACAGTTAAATATTTGCTGTAATGAAGTTATATATGTAGTGTAAAAAGGGACAGGAAAAATCTTTAATTCAAGGAAATCTTTATGAGGACGTAGAACTTGAACAGAAATGTGAAGCCATCTTTTTCTCAGGACATTTGGGAAAGGGAATTCAAGGTAAGAAGAATAGCGATATGGTTTGGCTGTGTCCCGACCCAAATCTCGTCTTGCATTGTAGCTTCCACAATTCTCATGTGTTGTAGGAGAGACTAGTGGGAGGTAATTGAATCATGGGGGCGAGTCTTTCCCATACTGTTCTCGTGATAGTGAATAAGTCTCATGAGATCTGATGGTTTTATAAGGAGGAGTTTCCCTGCACATGCTCTCTCTTTGTCTGCTGCCATCCATGTAAGACGTGACTTGCTCTTCCTTGCCTTCAACCGTGATTGTGAGGCCTCCCGAGCCACGTGGAACTGTGAGTCCATTAAACCTCCTTCCTGTAAACGTTACCCAGTCTTGGGTATGTCTTTATTAGCAGAGTGAAAACGGACTAATGCAAATAGCAAGTGTACATATAGAGAGGTGTGAGAGAGCAATATTAGGGTAGCCACCTAATTTTCTCCAACCAGGATGCTTTGAGAGTAAAAAGAGGTACTTTACATAATTAGCCTGAACATGGGGTATGAAAATAGGACTTTACTGGGAATGCTAGGACATATGGCAACCTAGAGAACATGTCATGTAAAAGAGAACATTCTGGTACTTCTCAATATTCAGATGCATATATAAGCTGACAAGCACCTGTCTCCATAGAGAGACTACAGTTATCCTTTGATAGATCAATGGAACAGAACAGAGCCCTCAGAAATAACGCCGCATATCTACAACTATCTGATCTTTAACAAACCTGAGAAAAACAAGCAATGGGGAAAGGATTCCCTATTTAATAAATGGTGCTGGGAAAACTGGCTAGCCATATGTAGAAAGCTGAAACTGGATCCCTTCCTTACACCTTATACAAAAATCAATTCAAGATGGATTAAAGACTTAAACATTAGACCTAAAACCATAAAAACCCTAGAAGAAAACCTAGGCATTACCATTCAGGACATAGGCATGGGCAAGGACTTCATGTCTAAAACACCAAAAGCAATGGCAACAAAAGCCAAAATTGACAAATGGGATCTAATTAAACTGAAGAGCTTCTGCACAGCAAAAGAAACTACCATCAGAGTGAACAGGCAACCTACAGAATGGGAGAAAATTTTTGCAACCTACTCATCTGACAAAGGGCTAATATCCAGAATCTACAATGAACTCAAACAAATTTACAAGAAAAAAACAAACAACCCCATCAAAAAGTGGGTGAAGGACATGAACAGACACTTCTCAAAAGAAGACATTTATGCAGCCAAAAAACACATGAAAAAATGCTCATCATCACTGGCCATCAGAGAAATGCAAATCAAAACCACAATTAGATACCATCTCACACCAGTTAGAATTGCAATCATTCAAGAGTCAGGAAACAACAGGTGCTGGAGAGGATGTGGAGAAATAGGAACACTTTTACACTGTTGGTGGGACTGTAAACTAGTTCAACCCTTGTGGAAGTCAGTGTGGCGATTCCTCAGGGATCTAGAACTAGAAATACCATTTGACCCAGCCATCCCATTACTGGGTATATACCCAAAGGACTATAAATCATGCTGCTATAAAGACACATGCACACGTATGTTTATAGCGGCACTATTCACAATAGCAAAGACTTGGAACCAACCCAAATGTCCAACAATGATAGACTGGATTAAGAAAATGTGGCACATATGCACCATGGAATACTATGCAGCCATAAAAAATGATGAGTTCATGTCCTTTGTAGGGACATGGATGAAGCTTGACACCATCATTCTCAGCAAAGTATCACAAGGACAAAAAACCAAACACCACATGTTCTCACTCATAGGTGGGAATTGAACAATGAGAACACATGGACACAGGAAGGGGAACATCACACTCTGGGGACTGTTGTGGGGTGGGGGGAGTGGGGAGGGATAGCTTTAGGAGATACACCTAATGCTAAATGACGAGTTAATGGGTGCAGCACACCAGCATGGCACATGTATACATATGTAACTAACCTGCACATTGTGCACATGTACCCTAAAACTTAAAGTATAATGATAATAAAATAAAATAAAATAAATAAATAAATAAATAAATGAAACTTACGCAGAAAAAAAAAAGAAATTAGCACCCATTCCATGTTATGATTTATCTAGAGAGGTTTATGTGTTACATTTTAGTTTTTGATTTTTAGCCAAGGCATACATGCCAATTCTTTAAACATGTGTTTAAAGAATTTATCAGATCTACAAGTTTTATTATGAGAAAAAGAAATCTTTCTCCCTCTTCTTTCCCCCACCCAACCTCCCCCAATTTTGTCTTTCCACAGGCAGCCACTTTCATCTCTTTAAGTTCATAATTTGCTACTTAACTTCAGGTAAATGATAAATAATATGATTATATTACTACTGTTTGGTTTTAGATCTAGGTATTATCTATTGACTTTACAACTTGAAATATGAATATCTAGCTCTCTTTTCTTCTCCTTCTCCCACATCCATCCTATTGTTCATTCTTCCCAATATAGTAATGCGTTATTTTTCATGAGATCAGTATTCCACGTGTATATTCGTATGCCTATGTAAATGCTATTTAACAACCAAACAGTTCGCAGATGTTTAAAGCTCCTCTGAAGAACTTACAGCTCTCAAGGTTGCTATTGAGAAGTCAAAGCCATTATGCTTTCCAATCTTTTATGTTCAAGTGTTTTTGTTTTTGTTTTTACTTCCGTAAACGAAGAAGCCTGCAGAATCTTTGCATTTCCAATAGTGTGAAATTCCATGATGAATGTCTTGGTATGGGTCCATTTTATCCATTTTGCTAAGCTCTCAGTGCAGAAGACTTTAATTCTGCAAAGAAGTAAAACTTACTTCTTTGGAAGTAAATTTCTTCAATTATTTCTTTGATAATTTCCTCCCCTTTATTTCTGGAATTCCTATTACTGAATTATTGGGTCTCTGGCCTGAGTTTTCAATTTTCTTGTCTTTTATATTTTGCATTTCTTTTTTTTCTTTTTAAATATATTTTTCTTCTCCTTTTTTGTTTTTTATTATTATACTTTAAGTTCTAGGGTACATGTTCACAACATGCAGGTTTGTTACATAGGTATACATGTGCCATGTTGGTTTGCTGCACCCATCAACTCGTCATTTACATTAGGTATTTCTTCTAATGATATCCCGCCCCCAGTACCCCACCCCCTGACAGGCCCCAGTGTGTGATGTTCCCCACCCTGTGTCCAAGTGTTCTCATTGTGCAATTCCCACCTATGAATGTGAACGTGCAGTTCACAGAAAACATGGTTTTCTGTCCTTGTGATAGTTTGCTGAGAATGATGGTTTCCAGATTCATCCATGTCCCTGCAAAGGACATGAACTCATCCTTTTTTATGGCTGCATGGTATTCCATGATGTATATGTGCCACATTTTCTTAATCCAGTCTATCATTGATGGACATTTGGGTTGGTTCCAAGTCTTTGCTACTGTGAATAATGCCGCAATAAATATACGTGTGCATGTGTCTTTATAGTAGCATGACGTATAATCCTTTGAGTATATACCCAGTAATAGGATCACTGGGTCAAATGGTATTTCTAGTTCTAGATCCTTGAGGGATTGCCACACTGTCTTCCACAATGGTTGAACTAATGTACACTCCCACCAACAGTGTAAAAGCATTCCTATTTCCCCACATCCCCTCCAGCATCTGTTGTTTCCTGACTTTTTAATGATCACTATTCTAACTGGCGTGAGATGGTATCTCATTGTGGTTTTGATTTGTATTTCTCTGATGACCAGGGATGATGAACATTTTTTCATGTGTCTGTTGGCTGCATAAATGTCTCCTTTTGAGAAGTGTCTGTTCATATCCTTTGCCCACTTTTTGATGGGGTTGTTCGTTTTTTTCTTGTATATTTGTTTAAGTTCTTTGTAGATTCTGGATATTACACCTTTGTCACATGGGTAGATTGCAAAAATTTTCTCCCATTCTGTAGGTTTCCTGTTCACTCTGATGGAGGTTCTTTTGCTGTGCAGAAGCTCTTTAGTTTAATTAGATCCCATTTGTCAATTTTGGCTTTTGTTGCCATTGCTTTTGGTGTTTTCATCATTAAGTCCTTGCCCATGCCTGTGTCCTGAATGGTATTGCCTAGGTTTTCTTCCAGGGTTTTTATGGTTTTAGGTCTAACATTTAAGTCAATGTGTAAGGACGGGATCCAGTTTCAGCTTTCTACATACTGCTAGCCAGTTTTCCCAGCACCATTTATTAAATAGGGAATCCTTCCCCCATTTCTTGCTTTTGTCAGGTTTGTCAATGATCAGATGGTTGTAGAAGTGCGGTGTTATTTCTGAGGCCTCTGTTGTGTTCCGTTAGTCTATAAATCTGTTTTGGTACCAGTACCATGCTGTTTTGGTTACTGTAGCCTTGTAGTATAGTTTGAAGTCAGGTAGCATGATGCCTCCAGCTTTGGTCTTTTTGCTTATGATTGTCATGGCAATGCAGGCTCTTTTTTGGTTCCATATGAACTTCAAAGTAGTTTTTTACAATTCTGTGAAGAAAGTCATTGGTAGCTTGATGGGGATGGCATTTAATCTATAAATTACCTGAGGCCATATGGCCATTTTCACGATATTGATTCTTCCTATCCATGAGCATGGAATGGTCTTCCATTTGTTTGTGTCCCCTTTTATTTTGTTGAGCAGTGGTTTGTAGTTCTCCTTAAAGAGGTCCTTCACATCCCTTGTAAGTTGGATTCCTAGGTATTTTATTCTCTTTGAAGCAATTGTGAATGGGAGTTCACTCATGATTTGGCTGTTTGTCTATTATTCGTGTATAGGAATTCTTGTGATTTTTGCACTTTGATTTTGTATTCTGAGACTTTGCTGAAGTTGTGTATCAGCTTAAGGAGATTTGGGCTGAGATGATGGGGTTTTCTAAATATACAATCATGACATCTGCAAACAGGGACAATTTGACTTCCTCTTTTCCTAATTGAATACCCTTTATTTCTTTCTCTTGCCTGATTGTCCTGGCCAGAACTTCCAACACTATGTTGAATAGGAGTGGTGAGAGAGGGCATCCTTGTCTTGTGCCGGTTTTCAAAAGGAATGCTTCCAATTTTTGCCCATTCAGTATAATATTGGCTGTGGGTTTGTCATAAATAGCTCTTACTATTTTGAGATATGTTCCATCAATACCTAGTTTATTGAGAGTTTTTAGCATGAAGGGCTGTTGAATTTGTTGAAGGCATTTTCTGCTTCTATTGAGATAATCATGTGGTTTTTTTCATTGGTTCTGTTTATGTGATAGATTACATTTATTGATTTGCATATGTTGAATGAGGCTTGCATCCCACGGATGAAGCCAGCTTGATTGTGGAGGATAAGCTTTTTGATGTGCTGCTGGATTTGGTTTGCCAGTATTTTACTGAGGATTTTTGCATCGATGTTCATCAGGGATATTGGTCTAAAATGCTCTTTTGTTTGTGTGTGTGTCTCTGCCAGGCTTTGGTATCAGGATGATGCTAGCCTCATAAAATGAGTTATGGAGGAGTCCCTTTTTTTATATTGATTGGAATAGTTTCAGAAGGAATGATACCAGCTCCTCTTTGTACCTCTCATAGAATTTGGCTGTGAATCCATCTGGTCCTGGATATTTTTTGGTTGGTATGCTATCAATTATTGCCTCAATTTCAGAACCTGTTATTGGTCTATTCAGAGATTCAACTTCTTCCTGGTTTAATCTTGGGAGGGTGTATGTGTCCAGAAATTTATCCATTTCTTCTTGATTTTCTAGTTTATTTGGATAGAGGTGTTTATAGTATTCTCTGATGGTAGTTTGTATTTTTTTGGGATCGGTGGTGATATCTTCTTTATCATTTTTTTGTTGTGTCTATTTGTTTCTTCTCTCTTTTCTTCTTTATTTGTCTTGCTAGCAGCCTATCAATTTTGTTGATCTTTTCAAAAAACCAGCTCCTGGATTCATTGATTTTTTTGAAGGGTTTTTTTGTGTCTCTATCTCCTTCAGTTCTGCTCTGATCTTAGTTACTTCTTGCCTTCTGCTACCTTTTGAATTTGTTTGCTCTTGCTTCTACAGTTCTTTTAATTGTGATGTTAGGGTGTCAATTTTATATCTTTCTGCTTTCTCTTGTGGGCATTTAGTGCTATAAATTTCCCTCTACACACTGCTTTAAATGTGTCCCAGAGATTCTGGTATGTTGTGTCTTTGTTTTCATTGGTTTCAAAGAACATCTTTATTTCTGCCTTCATTTCATTATTTATCCAGTAGTCATTCAGGAGCAGGTTGTTCAGTTTCCATGTAGTTGTGTGGTTTTGAGTGAGTTTCTTAATCCTGAGTTCTAATTTGATTTCACTGTGGTCTGAGAGACAGTTTGTTGTGATTTCTGTTCTTTTACATTTGCTGAGGAATGCTTTACTTCCAATTATGTGGTCAATTTAAGTGCGATATGGTGCTGAGAAGAATGTATATTCTGTTGATTTTGGGTGAAAAGTTCTGTAGATGTCTATTAGGTCTGCTTGGTGCAGAGGTGAGTTCAAGTCCTGGATATCCTTGTTCACCTTCTGTTTTGTTGATCTGTCTAATATTGACAGTGGGGTGTTAAAGTCTCCCATTATTATTGTTTGGGAGTCTAAGTCTCTTTATAGGTCTCTAAGGACTTGCTTTATGAATCTGGGTGCTCCTGTATTGGGTGCATATATATTTAAGATAGTTAATTCTTCTTGTTGAATTGATCCCTTTACCATTATGTAATGGCCTTATCTCTTTTAATCTTTGTTAGTTTAAAGTCTGTTTTATTGGTGACTAGGATTGCAACCCCTGCTTTTTCTTGCTTTCCATTTACTTGGTAGATCTTCCTCCATCCCTTTATTTTGAGCCTATGTGTATCTCTGCACGTGAGATGGGTCTCCTGAATACAGCACACTGATGAGTCTTGACTCTTTATCTAATTTGCCAGTCTGTGTCTTTTAATTGAGGCATTTAGCCCATTTACATTTAAGGTTAATATTGCTATGTATGAATTTGATCCTGTCATTATGATGTTAGCTGGTTATTTTGCCCATTAATTGATGCAGTTTCTTCATAGCATCGATGGTCTTTACTATTTGGCATGTTTTTGCAGTGGGTGGTAACAGTTGTTCCTTTCCATGTTTAGTGCTTCCTTCAGGAGATCTTGTAAGGCAGGCCTTGTGATGACAAAATCTGTCAGCATTTGCTTGTCTGTAAAGTATTTTATTTCTCCTTCACTTATGAAGCTTAGTTTGGGTGGAAATGAAATTCTGGGTTGAAAATTATTTTCTTTAAGAATGTTGAATATTGGCCCCCACTCTCTTCTGGCTTGTAGGGTTTCTGCAGAGAGATCTGCTGTTAGTCTGATGGGTTTCCTTTTGTGGGTAACCCGACCTTTCTCTCTGGCTGCCCTTAACATTTTTTTCTTCATTTTAACCTTGGTGAATCTGACAATTATGTGTCTTGTGGTTGCTCTTCTTGAGGAGTATCTTCGTGGTGTTCTCTGTATTTCCTGAATTTGAATGTTGGCCTGCCTTACCAGGTTGGAGAAATTCTCCTGGATAATATCCTGAAGAGTGTTTTCCAACTTGGTTCCATTCTCCCTGTCACTTTCAGGTACACCAATCAAATGTAGATTTGGTCTTTTCACATAGTGCCATATTTCTCGGAGGCTTTTTTTGTTTTTACTCTTTTTTCTCTAATCTTGTCTTCTTACTTTATTTCATTAATTTGATCTTCAATCACTAATATCCTTTCTTCCACTTGATCAAATTGGCTACAGAAGCTTGTGCATGTGTCACAAGGTTCTCGTGCCATGGTTTTCAGCTCCGTCAGGTCATTTTAGGTCTTTTCTACACTGTTTATTAGTTAGCCATTTGTCTAACCTTTTTTCAAGGTTTTTAGCTTCCTTCTGATGGGTTAGGACATGTTCGTTTGGCTCGGACAAATTTGTTATTACTGACCTTCTAAAGCCTTCTTCTCTGTCAGCTTGTCAAAGTCATTCTCTGTCCAGCTTTGTTCCATTGCCCCCAAGGAACTGCAGTCCTTTGGAGGAGCAGAGGTGCTCTGGTTTTTAGAATTTTTAACTTCTCCTCTGGTTTCTCTCTATCTTTGTGGTTTTATCTACCTTTGGTCCTACAGACCTACAGGTGGGGTTTGGTGTAGATGTCCTTTTTGTTGATGTTGATGCTATTTCTTTCTGTTTGTTCATTTTTCTTCTAACAGTTAGGTCCCTCAGCTTCAGGTCTGTTGGAGTTTGCTTCAGGTCCACTCCAGACCCTGTTTGCCTGGTTATCACCAGTGGAGGCTGCAGAATAGCAAATATTGCTGCCTGATCCTTCCTCTGGAAGCTTCATCCCAGAGGGGCACCCGCCTGTATGAGGTGTCTGTTGGCCCCTACTGGTAGGTGTCTCCCTGTTAGACTACACAGGGGTTGGGGACCCACTTGAGGAGGCAGTCTCTTTGTTCTCAGTGCTCAAATGCTGGGAGAACCACTGCTGGGAGAACCACTGCTCTCTTCAGAGCTGTCAGACAGGGATGTTTAAGTCTGCAAAGTTTCTGCTGCCTTTTTTTCAGCTATGTCCTGCCCACAGAGGTGGAGTCTATAGAGGCAGTAGGCCAAGCTGAGCTGCAGTGGGCTCTGTCCAGTTTGAGCTTCCTGGCCACTTTGTTTACCTACTGAAGCCTCAGCAATAGCAGACGCCCTCCCCTCCCCCCACCAGGCTGCAGCCTCTCAGGTTGATCTCAGACTGCTACACTAGCAGTCAACAAGGCTCCGTGGGCATGGGACCCGCCGAGCTAGGCACGGGAGAGAATCTCATGGTTTGCTGGTTGCTAAGACCATGGGAAAAGTGCAGTATTTGAGTGAAAGTGTCCTGTTTTTCCAGGTACAGTCTGTCATAGCTTCCCTTGGCTAGGAAAGGGAAATCCCCCTACCCCTTGCACTTCCTGAGTGAGGCAATGCGCCGCCCTGCTTTGGCTCACCCTCCGTGGGCTGCACCCACTGTCCAACCAGTCCCAGTGAGATGAACCAGGTACCTCAGTTGGAAATGCAGAAATCACCTATCTTCTGCGTCGATCACACTGGGAGCTGCAGATCAGAGTGCTTCCTATTCGGCCATCTTGGAATGGATTCCTAAAGATATTTTTCTTAAGTTTATCATCCCACACTCCTATTTAGTTTTGTATTTCTGCTATTATTTATTTTTGAGGAAAATAAGTTTGAGTTTTTTAAAAATATTATTCTGTTTTTATCATGGTTAGATTATTTCTAGGGAGACAGCAAACAATTGTTTTTTTTTTTAATTTTAAAAACAAATTTCTTTCCCTGACATTGTTTTTGTGTGTTCCAAATTGTTTTAATGTATTTTTTTCTCTTCGGTTTGTCTCAATAGCTCACATTAGAGGATTTCCTCTGGTACCTGGAAATTCTTAGTTTTTTGCTTCTCTTTAAGTGTGGGAGACAAAAGCACAGATTAGAGGCTCTGAGTATATAGATGGGTGTGTGACTACATGATCTGACTGCCCTATTTAGATGGGAAACCTCTGATGTGAGATCTTTAGGTCTTTCCTTCTATACTACTTTTTTTTCCTAGACAAGGCTTTGCCAAACTCCTGCCTGGAGGGTGAAGGTCTGTACTGGGACCTGAGTGTAGGAGGCTGGCTGAGGGGATCTCTGCTTCCAATGTACATAATACACTTAATTCCTCTGTTTTTATTGTGATGTTTCTTCCTTGTGCCGGGGTTCCCCCAGTCCAGAGACTTCTTTAACCTTTTCAAGAGAATAAACCTCGTCTTTTGCTAGGACTGGGGAGGGAAAGTTTCCCAGCTGAGGAGAGTGTAAAAGTGAATCTGGCATCTGGCTGCTTCTTAAACAGGCTTTCAACTAGTTCTTATTTCTTTTTCTCGTATCTAAAAGTATCTGGTGGTACCCATTTCTGAGCCTGTTGGAGATTCCGTAGTATCATTGTAGTTAGTTCTCACCATTCCCTACTGCTGGCATTAGGACTTTGTTGTTTGTTGTAGCTCTGTTAAATTTTTCAACAATTAACCAATTGCTTTCCAACTTCTATAATTTTATTGTTACCGTCTTTTCATTTCTGTGACCTTAGGGGCGTGTGTTTTAAAGGGATTTGGGGAAGGAGTCAAGAATTTGGTGAAAGATTCTAGATGTGTGGAATCAATTTGTGTGCAATAAAATAAACTGAAATAAAATATAAAACTTGGTAAATAGCTCAATAAATATTAAATCCACATTTAGCTTGTACTATGTTTCTTTGGCCCAGGTAAGATTCTTTCATGCTAGAATGAGATTTTAAAAATCAATGTGCATTTTTATATTCAGGCTACAGTTAGGACCAAACTACACCACCCTCTTCAATAGAATTATTTTTCATGCAAAAGAATGGATATTTGCATTAAAGGACACATATAACTAACTTAATGAGATGTTAGTGGTTAAGGACTGTAATTTCTGTTCCTTGAAAAGGCTTATTGCCAATTAAATACACTTCAAGAGGCATAAATTAGATTTTATGAACATCACACTTCACACTCTTTCAAAAATGTTACAGTTTAGAAAATGTATTGTAAAAGCATGTTTATACTTTTACCTTCTTTGGCTCAGAAAGAAATTCTATACAGTAAATTTTGAAACTCAAAATTATTTTACACACTATAGAACAATAATTTTGCACATTTAAAAATACTATTTTATCTGGCATTCTTTTAAATGAATGAAGTTAATTACTTTGGAGACAGACTAAGGAGCTAGGGTTCTAGCCTCAGCTCTCTCATTTACTCATGGGTAACCTTGGAACAATCCTGTAACAGTTCTAGAAATTTTAATTTCCTAATTTGCAAAGTGAGCTGGTTGAACTAGATGACTATTAAAAGTATAGTTCTGGAAATAATCAAGGTTAACACCTGATTAATGTCAATGTTAATTTCAAAAGCTAAGGCTTATATCACATTTTGCCAACATGTAATATTGACTCACAATGACTATAGTTCATATCAGCTTCTCTGCTTTCAGATCCAGGGACCAAAGGCCTGAATTCCAGTTGTGCCTCAAGATGGTGCTTTCCCTCATTTTTGTAGCTCAAGACGTACATTCAACTCAAGAGTCCAGCTCTACAGCAGCTATATTTGGAAATACACATATTTTATGGCCAGTATATAAATGATTTTTAATAAGTATGTATACACTTCTTGTATAATGATAAGATTTTTTTTTTTTTACTTTGCTCGCATTTATAAATCAAACTTCGACAAGAATCTTTTTTGGAGTAAACAGAGAATAGCCACAGAATTTGGTGGGCAATGGGACCTAATTACATAGTCCTGCTTCTATAGTTCACAGTCAAGACATTACTGGGCAAAGATAGACACTAATTTCAATTAGCATTTCCATCTGATTCAATGATTTGAGATTCTTTTAAATCTTAAGACCAAGATTACAATTGTTCATATCAGTAGGAAAGGAAAACAACATGCTTCTCCTTTTTGTTGAATTCTTCTGACTGGGGAATGATTTTTATTGAGTATTAACTGGGCGTGTGAGAGTTCTCTAAGAGTACCTTTTTTCTATCTGAATAATGCTGTTCATACGGTCAAATTAATTGCTAGATATCCTCTTTTTCTTATGTTTTCGAAATATATTTTTATATAAGAGAAATATATTTAAATATATTAAGCAAAATACATATTTTATCTCATATATATCATTATATTAGGATGATTTATTTTCAACACCATATCAAAGAATATTAGTGTTAGTAGCATCTTAAAGGTAATAGGGCCTAGTGCAAGCATAGTCCCTTAATTCTTGTTTCTTAAGAGTCATTTAGAACCTATCAGCTAAAGTGTATGAAGAAATAAATCAGTTTTGGCAGACCATGCTGTTCTGGAATCAGTACAATTGTAAAGGAAGCAGCTGTATTTTTGTGCTCCCTCGTGTATTATCAGCAGCATTGTTGTTTAAATGGTGATGGAAATGTCTTGACCAGTGGTGAATGAAAGGAAGACTGGAAAGGAGAGAGCTTGACTGCTAGATCTCAGGTTGTATCATAGGAATGGTGGTAAGAAAGATAATGATTTTATCATATAAATTAAGCAAACTGGATTTATTATAAGTCATGAATGATGTGGGTAAGATATGGTGGTTTTACTGTAAAATATAGAATTTTACTACAAAAGAGATCAGAGCAATGAGGGAAGGTTAGAAAGGTGAAGGAAATTTATAAGGTGGGAGCCATAGCAGAATATTTTCATGTTAATAAACATTATCCCAGAGAGTAGAGAAAAATTAATGATTAAGAAGAGAAAGGAGAGAACTGCAGGAGCAAAATCTGTGTGTAAGCAAGAGTGAACCGAACCAGGAGAATAAACGATTCATCTCTGGTCCTAGGAGGAAGGCAGAGAACTTGGACATGGATCCAGTAGGTTGAATCAGCAGTGAGAGCATGTGGAAGTTTGGTTTTTGATGGCTCTTTTCTCAGTGAAATAGGAAGCAAGGTCATCAGACGATAATGAGAAGAGAAAGAAGATTTAGGTTTGAATGAGATACATGGACTGGGTGACTAATGGAATATAAATGTACTGACTCATGAATTTTAAAATAAAACTCTCCCAATTCCAATATGACAGTGGCCATGACAACCAAAGAAGAGTTATTCTTTCTTATAACAAATACAGAAGACAGAATATTTTTGACAAGCTTGGCTAGCCTTTTTCCAGGGTTTTCTATGTGACGCTAGCCAGATCAGAAAGAAATCTAAGTAACATGCTGAAGTGGAAGCTTGGCAGACTGGAAATTTTATATGATGTTTTTCAGTGCTAGAATTAAATCTATTATGTGAACCATTATGGAAGGTCTGCTTCAGGAAGCCCAGCTGATTATATTAGGGTCAGTGAACACATCAGGGAATATTTATATCTTGTTTTCAGAAGGTGTATTATGGTCACTTTGCCATTCATTGATTATGATTATTTAAATTGGCTTCAAATGACTTGTTTCTTAGATCATAGTCCACTCTTTTGTGGAACAGATGGGAAGGATTATCAAACCCTTGGAAGAAGGTTCAGTTAAAAACCAGTAGTCAAAATGCATATATTACTTACTATGTATTAGAATTAATTCTGCTGTTACCTATTTCTATATCATAAAGGCCCTATTATAACTTTTCTGTTCACAGACTTTTTTATGAAACATGAACTCTTTGTTATCTTGTTTTGATAAGTTGTAAAATGCCTTTCCTGTCTTCCTTTTTCTAAGTCCTTTTAATTTTTCTCTTTGGATGTCATGAAGACTTATTGTTCCTGATAAATGAGTCAATAGTGATGAAAATATCAGCTTGATTCATTAGCAGGTATAAACATTACACTGAAAAAAATACTGAGTGTATCAACACACAGACCTACTCACACACTCACTCATATATACACACATGCATGTACACACACGTATACACTGATAACATCTACTTGTACAGGCTCTCCCTTGTATAATGAAAGAATTATTTTCTATCCAAAGACCATATGGTGTGTTTGATGGTCCTGTAGCAGGACTCTGGGATCCACACTGATGAAAATAGGAAGTAGATTTTAGATGTTTTACAAATAATATACTGGGCAAGTAAAACCATATAATGCTTTATAACCCTTAGCTACTTCTGACTATGAGGGAAAAGTCATCTCACACAGTGTCCCCTCATGCTATAGATGAACAAAGTGGGAACGAAAGCCATGGAGGTACTGCTCTGAGATCATAGCAGCCAATAAGTAGCAGAACTGCCATTCCCAGATTCTCCTCCATCCACCTCTTAATTATTGTATCTTCACAAGACAGGGTCTCTACTTTCTTGCCCCAGAGTAGTCTATCATCAATTTCTGACCAAAACATAAAAAAGGATACAAATGAATGCCAAAAAAATCGTGCCTATTTTCATTAATCAAATTTTAAAGCTTATATATTCCATATAAGTCTAGATAAGTTGAATTAATTATAAAAAGGACCTGAAACCTTTTTTTCTCTCCAAGGACCTTCATGCCATTTTTTAAAAAGATCTATTTATTCAGTCATTTGCCTTGTAGTTTAACTCACCTCATTGTCCTTCTCCATCTTATTATCTTGACCATTATGTTAATTGCTTGTCTCATTATCCTTTTTTTCTTAGATTGCAGATCCTGTCCCAACACCCCTTTCTTCTATAAGACTTCTTTGGCCTGTTTAGCTTTACTGAGGCAATTATTATTAACCTTTTTTTTTTATTATACTTTAAGTTTTAGGGTACATGTGCACATTGTGCAGGTTAGTTACATATGTATACATGTGCCATGCTGGTGCGCTGCACCCACTAACTCGTCATCTAGCCTTAGGTATATCTCCCAATGCTATCCCTCCCCCCTCCCCCCACCCCACCACAGTCCCCAGAGTGTGGTATTCCCCTTCATGTGTCCATGTGATCTCATTGTTTAATTCCCACCTATGAGTGAGAATATACGGTGTTTGGTTTTTTGTTCTTGCGATAGTTTACTGAGAATGATGATTTCCAATTTCATCCACGTCCCTACAAAGGACATGAACTCATCATTTTTTATGGCTGCATAGTATTCCATGGTGTATATGTGCCACATTTTCTTAATCCAGTCTATCATTGTTGGACATTTGGGTTGGTTCCAAGTCTTTGCTATTGTGAATAATGCTGCAATAAACATACGTGTGCATGTGTCTTTATAGCAGCATGATTTATAGTCCTTTGGTTATATACCCAGTAATGGGATGGCTGGGTCAAATGGTATTTCTAGTTCTAGATCCCTGAGGAATCGCCACACTGACTTCCACAAGGGTTGAACTAGTTTACAGTCCCACCAACAGTGTAAAGTGTTCCTATTTCTCCACATCCTCTCCAGCACCTGTTGTTTCCTGACTTTTTAATGATTGCCATTCTAACTGGTGTGAGATAATATCTCATTGTGGTTTTGATTTGCATTTCTCTGATGGCCAGTGATGATGAGCATTTTTTCATGTGTTTTTTGGCTGCATAAATATCTTCTTTTGAGAAGTGTCTGTTCATGTCCTTCACCCACTTTTTGATGGGGTTGTTTGTTTTTTTCTTGTAAATTTGTTTGAGTTCATTGTAGATTCTGGATATTAGCCCTTTGTCAGATGAGTAGGTTGTGAAAATTTTCTCCCATGTTGTAGGTTGCCTGTTCACTCTGATGGTAGTTTCTTTTGCTGTGCAGAAGCTCTTTAGTTTAATTAGATCCCATTTGTCAATTTTGGCTTTTGTTGCCATTGCTTTTGGTGTTTTGGACATGAAGTCCTTGCCCATGCCTATGTCCTGAATGGTAATGCCTAGGTTTTCTTCTAGGGTTTTTATGGTTTTAGGTCTAACATTTAAATCTTTAATCCATCTTGAATTGATTTTTGTATAAGGTGTAAGGAAGGGATCCAGTTTCAGCTTTCTACATATGGCTAGCCAGTTTTCCCAGCACCATTTATTAAATAGGGAATCCTTTCCCCATTGCTTGTTTTTCTCAGGTTTGTCAAAGATCAGATAGTTGTAGGTATGCGGTGTTATTTCTGAGGGCTCTTTTCTGTTCCATTGATCTATAACTCTGTTTTGGTACCAGTACCATGCTGTTTTGGTTACTGTAGCCTTGTAGTATAGTTTGAAGTCAGGTAGTGTGATGCCTCCAACTTTGTTCTTTTGGCTTAGGATTGACTTGGCGATGCGGGCTCTTTTTTGGTTCCATATGAACTTTAAAGTAGTTTTTTCCAATTCTGTGAAGAAAGTCATTGGTAGCTTGATGGGGATGGCATTGAATCTGTAAATTACCTTGGGCAGTATGGCCATTTTCACGATATTGATTCTTCCTACCCATGAGCATGGAATGTTCTTCCATTTGTTTGTGTCCTCTTTTATTTCCTTGAGCAGTGGTTTGTAGTTCTCCTTGAAGAGGTCCTTCACATCCCTTGTAAGTTGGATTCCTAGGTATTTTATTCTCTTTGAAGCAATTGTGAATGGGAGTTCACTCATGATTTGGCTCTCTGTTTGTCTGTTCTTGGTGTATAAGAATGCTTGTGATTTTTGTACATTGATTTTGTATCCTGAGACTTTGCTGAAGTTGCTTATCAGCTTAAGGAGATTTTGGGCTGAGACAATGGGGTTTTCTAGATAAACAATCATGTCGTCTGCAAACAGGGACAATTTGACTTCCTCTTTTCCTAATTGAATACCCTTTATTTCCTTCTTCTGCCTGATTGCCCTGGCCAGAACTTCCAACACTATGGAATAGGAGCGGTGAGAGAGGGCATCCCTGTCTTGTGCCAGTTTTCAAAGGGAATGCTTCCAGTTTTTGCCCATTCAGTATGATATTGGCTGTGGGTTTGTCATAGCTAGCTCTTATTATTTTGAAATACGTCCCATCAATACCTAATTTATTGAGAGTTTTTAGCATGAAGGGTTGTTGAATTTTGTCAAAGGCTTTTTCTGCATCTATTGAGATAATAATGTGGTTTTTGTCTTTGGCTTTGTTTATATGCTGGATTACATTTATTGATTTGCGTATATTGAACCAGCCTTGCATCCCAGGGATGAAGCCCACTTGATCATGGTGGATAAGCTTTTTGATGTGCTGCTGGATTCGGTTTGCCAGTATTTTATTGAGGATTTTTGCATCAATGTTCATCAAGGATATTGGTCTAAAATTCTCTTTTTTGGTTGTGTCTCTGCCTGGCTTTGGTATCAGAATGATGCTGGCCTCATAAAATGAGTTAGGGAGGATTCCCTCTTTTTCTATTGATTGGAATAGTTTCAGAAGGAATGGTACCAGCTCCTCATTGTACCTCTGGTAGAATTCGGCTGTGAATCCATCTGGTCCTGGACTCTTTTTGGTTGGTAAACTATTGATTATTGCCTCAATTTCAGCTCCTGTTATTGGTCTATTCAGAGATTCGACTTCTTCCTGGTTTAGTCTTGGGAGAGTGTATGTGTCGAGGAATGTATCCATTTCTTCTAGATTTTCTAGTTTATTTGCGTAGAGGTGTTTGTAGTATTCTCTGATGGTAGTTTGTATTTCTGTGGGATCAGTGGTGATATCCCCTTTATCATTTTTTATTGTGTCTATTTGATTCTTCTCTCTTTTTTTCTTTATTAGTCTTGCTAGCGGTCTATCAATTTTGTTGATCCTTTCAAAAAACCAGCTCCTGGATTCATTGATTTTTTGAAGGGTTTTTTGTGTCTCTATTTCCTTCAGTTCTGCTCTGATTTTAGTTATTTCTTGCCTTCTGCTAGCTTTTGAATGTGTTTGCTCTTGCTTTTCTAGTTCTTTTAATTGTGATGTTAGGGTGTCAATTTTGGATCTTTCCTGCTTTCTCTTGTGGGCATTTAGTGCTATAAATTTCCCTCTACACACTGCTTTGAATGCGTCCCAGAGATTCTGGTATGTTGTGTCTTTGTTCTCGTTGGTTTCAAAGAACATCTTTATTTCTGCCTTCATTTCGTTATGTACCCAGTAGTCATTCAGGAGCAGGTTGTTCAGTTTCCATGTAGTTGAGTGGCTTTGAGTGAGAGTCTTAATCCTGAGTTCTAGTTTGATTGCACTGTGGTCTGAGAGACAGTTTGTTATAATTTCTGTTCTTTTACATTTGCTGAGGAGAGCTTTACTTCCAAGTATGTGGTCAATTTTGGAATAGGTATGGTGTGGTGCTGAAAAAAATGTATATTCTGTCGATTTGGGGTGGAGAGTTCTGTAGATGTCGATTAGGTCCGCTTGGTGCAGAGCTGAGTTCAATTCCTGGGTATCCTTGTTGACTTTCTGTCTCGTTGATCTGTCTAATATTGACAGTGGGGTGTTAAAGTCTCCCATTATTAATGTGTGGGAGTCTAAGTCTCTTTGTAGGTCACTCAGGACTTGCTTTATGAATCTGGGTGCTCCTGTATTGGGTGCATATATATTTAGGATAGTTAGCTCCTCTTGTTGAATTGATCCCTTTACCATTATGTAATGGCCTTCTTTGTCTCTTTTGATCTTTGTTGGTTTAAAGTCTGTTTTATCAGAGACTAGGATTGCAACCCCTGCCTTTTTTAGTTTTCCATTTGCTTGGTAGATCTTCCTCCATCCTTTTATTTTGAGCCTATGTGTGTCTCTGCACGTGAGATGGGTTTCCTGAATACAGCACACTGATGGGTCTTGACTCTATCCAACTTGCCAGTCTGTGTCTTTTAATTGGAGAATTTAGTCCATTTACATTTAAAGTTAATATTGTTGTGTGTGAATTTGATCCTGTCATTATGATGTTAGCTGGTGATTTTGCTCGTTAGTTGATGCAGTTTCTTCCTAGTCTCGATGGTCTTTACATTTTGGCATGATTTTGCAGCGGCTGGTACCGGTTTTTCCTTTCGATGTTTAGCGCTTCCTTCAGGAGCTCTTTTAGGGCAGGCTTGGTGGTGACAAAATCTGTCAGCATTTGCTTGTCTGTAAAGTATTTTATTTCTCCTTCACTTATGAAGCTTAGTTTGGCTGGATATGAAATTCTGGGTTGAAAATTCTTTTCTTTAAGAATGTTGAATGTTGGCCCCCACTCTCTTCTGGCTTGTAGGGTTTCTGCCGAGAGATCCGCTGTTAGTCTGATGGGCTTCCCTTTGAGGGTAACCCGACCTTTCTCTCTGGCTGCCCTTAACATTTTTTCCTTCATTTCAACTTTGGTGAATCTGACAATTATGTGTCTTGGAGTTGCTCTTCTCGAGGAGTATCTTTGTGGCGTTCTCTGTATTTCCTGAATCTGAACGTTGGCCTACCTTGCTAGATTGGGGAAGTTCTCCTGGATAATATCCTGCAGAGTGTTTTCCAACTTGGTTCTATTCTCCGCATCACTTTCAGGTACACCAATCAGACGTAGATTTGGTCTTTTCACATAGTCCCATTTCTTTTCACCCCTTTCTTTGACTCGGAAAGGGAACTCCCTGACCCCTTGCGCTTCCCAGGTGAGGCAATGCCTCGCCCTGCTTCGGCTCACGCACGGTGCGTGCACCCACTGGCCTGTGCCCACTGTCTGGCACTCCCTAGTGAGATGAACCCGGTACCTCAGATGGAAATGCAGAAATCACCCGTCTTCTGCGTCGCTCACGCTGGGAGCTGTAGACTGGAGCTGTTCCTATTCGGCCATCTTAGTTCCCCCCAATTATTATTAATCTTAATGTATTTGCTATCATTTCCATTGCTATACCCCCCAGTTGGACATGTTTACTGCATACCCCATTAGGAATAGGCACTTGATGTTAGAGAAAGGCATTTTATGAGAGGATTTTACAGTGCAGAGTATGTCACATTTTTTTTACTGCTATTCCAACCTAATTATATTAGGTATGACTCCTCATGCTAAGTTTTATGGAAACTTAAATGTGTAAAATCTCGAAGCTCAGACCCATAGTTGCATTAAATAGGAAGTCACCAACGAAATTTATTTAAATGTTGACCTCTCCAAGGTCTTAAGATTGTATTTTGACAGCAATTTTTTGCTTGGCCAAACTTTAGTCAGGTCCCTGAACCTCCTCCTAGACCACCTGTAAAAGGGCCTATATAAGCACTTTCCTTGTAAAATCCATTTTTAGCAAAGAACCCAGCTAAGTCAATTTAGCAAGAACCCCATCCTTGATATCTGATCGGGTTCCTCATTTTCCATTATCCTCAACTGATATCTGATCCCCCTGACATGACTTTAGTGAGAATCCTGTGGATAGGTTTAGCCAGAATCCCATTTACCCCTGATATATCCTCTTAGTAATTTTCTATCCACTGATCCCCACCTTGCTCCTTGACTGTAAATTCCTACTTGCTCATGCTGTATTCGGAGGTGACCCAGTCTCTCTCCTCCACCACAAAATCCCATTGTTTTAGCCTCTGTACCTATCATGATCAGTCATAATCAATCCTAAGTTTACCTTACCTTGCTTTAACAAGTATCATTAAATGATTTTTTTGAACAATTTTCAGGCTAATTTTTCTTGGTCTAGTTTTAGGCAGAATGAGAAACCTAAAGCTAAAATTAATGATCAATCAGGAAAGAAAATTCAGCATATCAAAAATGATAAATTAATTAGAAAAATGATCATTTGTTATAAAAATAATAGGTTTATACAAATGATCAGGAATGATTTTTTTTGGTGCCAAGTGTAGTATATTTACATTTATATAGCTACTTGTATGTTTACAGTTTGTTCCTAGTCATTTCTTACACAAATTAGAAAGAGAGAGAAGAGAAGGAAGTGGGAAGAAGGGAGGAACACAGACTTCTCATCTGGACTTGACCAGTTTTCATTCAGCTATTCTGTGACAGTAGGTGGGGAAATGGTTTTTTCAAAAACCCATTTCCTTTCCAAGCATGCTCTGTCCCTTGAAATTTTACTCTGAATAATCTGTTGTTTCTGATGTTACCAGACGTTTGGAAATAGGGCTTTTTGTGTGTCTTATTGCTTATAGCCATAATGATGAGTTTTTTTTACTTCAGATCTTTCCAAAGAAAGCAAAGCCCAGAGATGCAGTGAATGTGAAAGAACCATTATGATAGAGATCAGTGATCACACGTATTGATCAAAGATGCTCAGCCGGAGTAATGGTTATTTACAGTTGAGGGGGTTTCAAGAGCCATTCTTTAACTTAGGATAATCAAATCCGATACTGTGAATTAAGAAGGAATAAAAGGGATAAATCAAGTAGAGTAAAAGTTGGAAAATAGATTTGAACATTCATATGCCTAGTTTCAAAATCTTTTTCATGAGATTGTTTAACACTATTTCCTACTGAAAAAAGAACACGTAAAAAGCTGAGTTTAGAAGTATCATTCTGATTACATACCATTTTCCCAGTATTGTATTAAGTACTGTGAAAGCTTTTCAGCTTAAATAAAGTGAAATTAGATGGTGTTTGTTTTTAATCACAAAGGTGTTCTTCACTTTCAGAAAGGATTCCCTTGCATTTAAACAAGTTCACATTCTCAGGATAGAGCAGTGGGGTTGGGATTCCTCTTCAGCCTGAATTAATAATAGCTGAGGCATGATTTTGTTCTGGTCACTATGACTAGAAAAATTCAAAAGTAGAAAAAATATACACTCAAGATTCTATACAGTAATGCACCAGTTAATTCACACTTCAAAGATGAGTAATGAGAAGTTTAAAAGCTGAAATTTGTGGCCTGGTGAACTGCAGATTGTGAAAGGGCGTTTATAAAACTTTACATAGGAATGTGCCTCATCTATCAGGTTTTGCCCCTTCTGTTCCCCTTTCTTATTTTCTTCTCTACCACTGTTTTGATTTCCAGTCTACTTCTTTCTCGGACCCGCACCCGACTTTGTTTTTCAGGGCCTCTGTTGCTGTGCCCTGTCTCCCTCTCTAACCTTCTCTGTCTTTTCTTGTCCTCTCTTCCTATTTTAGTGCCCTTTCCCCTTTTCTTTATTGTCTTCTTGATACTTTATTAACTGGCCACGATATGAGATTGAAGTCCAAGTCTAAACACATATTTAAAACGTTTTGTACTGTCTGTTCTAAATATGCTGATTAGGTGACTTTGATCTGCTTTCATTCTTTTCATTCAGCAATTTTTTAAAAAATTTATTATTTTATGTTATTTTATGGCAGAGTCTTGCTGTCTCCCAGGCTGGAGTGGAGTGGCGTGATCTTGGCTCACAGCAACCTCCGCCTCCTGGGTTCAAGCGATTCTCCTGCTTCAGCCTCTCGAGTAGCTGGGACTACAGGCATGCGCCACCATGCCCAGCTAATTTTTATATTTTTAGTGGAAACAGGGTTTCATCATGTTGGCCAGGCTGGTCTCGAATTCCTGACCTCAGGTGATCCGCCTGCCTCTGCCTGTCAAAGTGCTGGGACTACAGGCGTGAGCTACCGCACTCAGCCAGCAAATGTTTTTTGAGTGCCTACATTTTGCTAGGAGTTAGATATTGGAGTAAAAAGTTAAACAAGGCTTAGTGTCTCCTTCAGAAGCTAATAGTCTCATGGTAGAGACAAATAAAATATGTATTATTGTTCCCAGTATTGTATTAGGTATTCTTAAAGTTTTTCAACTTAAATAATAATAAAATAAAATGGTATTTGCTTTTATCACAGAGGTATTCTTCACTTTGCTTTCCCTTACATTTAGACAAGTCCACATTCTCAGGATAGAGCTATGGGGATCTCTTTTCAGCCTGAATTAATAATACCTGAGGAATGATTTTGGGTTAGATATTGGGGTACAAAGTTAAGCAAGGCCTAGTCTCTTCTTCAGAAGCTAATAGTCTCATGCTAGAGACAAATAAAATATGTATTACTATGAAGATCTTAATATCGTTGTTAAAAGATAATTTTTCAGAAAAATTAAATTTAATAGAGTTTAATTGAGCAAAGCATGATTCACAAATCAGCTCCCCACCTCCCACCTGCCCTAGCCTGCAACCAGAATAGGTAGGTTCAAAGCGACTCTGCTACATGGTTGGATGATATTTATGGATTTTAAAAAAAAGCAAAATGAAGTATAGAAAATGGAAGTAAGGTACGGAAACATCTGGATTGATTACAGCTTAGCATTTAGCCTATCTGAACACAGTTTGAACAGCTGGGTGCCTGCGATTGGCTGGAACTCTGTGGTTGGTACAAGAGTAGGTTACAGTCTGTTTACACATCCAGTTAGGTTACAGTTCACTATGCATGGATAAACCTTTAGGACAAACTTAAAATATGTAATGAGGCAGCTTTAGGCCAAACTTAATTTAACAAAATTAAGTGACTTTTTACTTCTCTGTGATTTTTCAACTTATTTTCTTTAATTGATCTCTAGTTTAAATCTTGCTATATTTAGTATGTGATTTGCTTTCACAAATTTAGTTAATATTTAATTTTAAGGAACAATTATTTTTTAATAAAGGGAGAGTCGATGGTACTTAAAATTTTATGAAGTAAGGAAATGAACAAAAATTGTATTTACCTCATATTCTGATTTTCTTATCCTAATAAAATCTTTTCAATAATTATACTGTTGAAGTACAGAAAAAGCCTTCTGGGTAAAGTACAATGCTGCCTCAAAATTGTGCTTTATATTTTTATCATTATTAAAGAATAAAGTTTCATAGAGTATTGGGTATAGGACTGTTGCTTTGCACAATTCCAGAGTGTATGATTCATGCAGTAGTTTACGTGAATCCTCCCACCCCATCCCACCCTATCTTGTGGGAAAATTGGTTGGTTAATAATTTTAGATATCACACAGAAAGTTAGTGGGGATTGTAATATTTGGATTAACATTTACTTGAAAATTTTATGGTAAATTTTTTGACCAAAGACATAGTAATAGCTTCTAGGAAGTGACCTATATTAATCATTTTTAGTTTGTAAGTCAAGTGGCTGGTATTCCTTCACATCTCCTTTGAAACTATTTGAATGAGTTAACTAACGCCTCTTATATCATTTAATTCTCATGCATATCCAACTTTATAGCCTGAAAAATCTTTCTGGAATTGGTATATGAAAAAGTATCTAAGCCTAAGGAACAAATATTTACAAACACAATAGGAAAATGGAGATTTCACAATAGGAAAAAAAAGTATAGAAAGGCAGCTAATCCACTGACAAGACTAAGAGTTAATATTAATTTATTTAAAAATCAAAACCATTTTTGAGATTTGAATTTTAAATTTAGAAAACTACTGTGTCTTTTCACTACTTTAACTTATAAAAGCAAGATAGATTTTTTTTAACTTATTTTGATTTGTGAAATAGCCTTAAAAGGCATTTGTCATTCCAGAGTAGATATTTTTGTCTTGCTTATTAATTTGTATTTTAATGAAAATAACATAACTTTCATCTGGTATTCAGTGAACTATGCTATTACAGAATAAGACTGAAGTAAGATCTTTTGGTTGTATTTTAAATGAAAAGAATAGGAAAAGCATCCACTGGGATTTCTGCTTTTTAACAAAAACAACTAAATCTCTGATAGAAAATGTCTCAGAGTTCTAGTAATAGTAATGAGAGACAGAAATAATGAGTTTAGGAGCAAAAGTCACATCTATTGTGCTGTAAATGGTAAATTCAAGCTACAGATCCTCATTAAAAATAAGAAGGCCATAAATTTAACAAATGCTATAGAGTGTAGAACAGGTCAGTCATTGAATGGAAAATATCTATAAATACAATGCAAAATAAATAGAGGCTAAAGAATGACTGCATGCGTGGACAGATGCAGGCAGTATTTACTATCTAACTTGGCTTAAAGTATTTTATCTTGTTGGCCTGACTAATTTCTTCAACTTATTTAAAGATATTGTCTTGGGCTGCTTTCTTGCTAATGCAGATAGCTTTTTAGGGGGAACATTAAAATAGTAAATATAGAGTGCACATAAAGGTACACATAGCTAGTGTACTGAGAAAAAAGAAGGTAATGAAGTTTTATTCCAGACACTTGAGCAAGCAAACAGTCTTATGATATACTAAGCTGACGGGAGGTTGGTACTATCACTTTAGGACAAAGTTGAAGGGCAGTCCAAAGAAACGCATCACCTGAGTGCCCATAAGTCTGAGTTCAGCAGACTCTGGGGACAGAGATTGTAAATCTTCTACTGTCTTAAAAGTGAAATGATAATTTTTTGATTAGAACTTGAAATTGTTCCTTAAAATGAACTTGAAAATCTTAACAGTAGGCTGCTGTGTGTTCCTAAAGTTCTAATAAAAATCTGCCCTGTGGCAGCCTCTGACCACCACTGACCAAAGAGGTTGTTAGAAAAATTCCACTTGTATTGAAAGGCACATCTATTATTACAGAACAAATAATTAAGAGTGACTAGCATAGAAGAAGGAGGAAACTGAATAAAGGAAACAGAGAAGATTATAAATGAAAGAAGACTAAGGTCAGAAAGAAAAATTAAATAGAATCTAATAGTGAGAATAAATCCTGTCAGTTAAATAGGAAGAAGAACCTTTGTAAAAAAATTTTTAAATGCATGCCTGGAAAAATAATCAGAAGGATTAAATTTTTCAAATAAAAAATAGGAAAAGGCTGGGTGCAGTGGCTCGTGCCTGTAATCCCAGCACATTTGGTAGGCTGAAGTGGGTGGATCACAAGGTCAGGAGTTCCAGACTGGCCTGGCCAATATGGTGAAACTCCGTCTCTACCAAAAATACAAAAATTAGCCAGGCGTGGTGGTGCTCGCCTGTAGTCCCAGCTACTCGGGAGGCTGAGGCAGAAGAATCACTTGAACCCAGGAGGCGGAGGTTGCAGTGAGCCGAGGTCCTGCCACTGCACTCCAGCCTGGGTGACAGAGCAGGACTCCATCTCAAAAAAAAAAAAAAAAAAGGAAAAATGACGGGCTTATTTTTTTCCTTATTATAATTTCTTGCTCTTCAAATTTCATTGTTGATTCTAAATCTGTTATTGAAATTCTCTAACACGAATTCTGCCTGATTTTGTTAGTGAACACTGAAAAAATTTCTAGCTTTTCTTTAAAAATAAATAAACATAAAAGCAAAGAGAATATTTTATCTTTAGTAGTACATTTTCATTTATAAGACTGGACAAATTCCATGTTGCCAGACCATTAAAGGAATTTAAAAGAGTCTTGTAAATCAAGAATTTTTCCAGCACTTCCAGTACTGTAGTTGGTATCCTGAGAATAAGAACATAAATAGATATGCTGGGTGAGAAAATGATCCCATTCAGCTTCATACAACTCCTTTGGCAATAGCACTATAATCATGTCAACCGTTTTCTATGATGTTGACATCATGTCATCATGTTGCCAAAACCTGATATTGATCAAGCCCTCTCTCTAATGCCACCTCTTCTGTGAATCCTTCCCTGGTAATGAGGGTAGAGATATTGTTTGTTTCATTCACTGTTATATGCCAAATCTCAGTGTCCACACTTTGCTTACTCGATATTAAAGTTACTTAATGATGCATGTTAATTTTCCCATAGAAAGACTATATGTTAGTTTCAGGGCCCACTAGGGTCTAGGTGCTCTCCTGTGGTGAGGTTTGCAGGAGTTGGTGGTGGGGATGTGGACTGCTGGAGGTCTCTCACTTACCCTTTCTCCACACTGTGGAGGCTCTCTGGGCTCCCATCTGGCCTGAGCTGGCTTCCTGGCATCCCTCTCCTTCCATGTCTCCAGTATTTCCTGTGACTTCTCTGTTGAACTCAAGTGTTCTCTCTTAGATGCTTTATTCAAAATGTGATTAGCTACTTGCTAGTTTAGTTTTTCTTTGTGGAGGAAGTGAGTGCTGTATGTCTCTAGTCAGCCCCCTTGAGGCTTCTCTTCCTGTGGCTTCATTTTTATCATCATTATAGATTTTTGAAAACTAAAGATATAACTTCTGTACTCTTGCATATTAGTGGATTTTTTGACTTGCTCTGAACATTTCCGTTTCAAATCTTGCAGAAAAAATAGGTCTTAGATGAATCTTTGGATTGCATTTTTGGATCAAACCCCTGAAGATATCCAGTAATAGAAGTAATACAGCCTCAAAATACTTTCCAAACACTAAGAACTAAGCTTATTTCTTGCCTTATGATATAGCTGATTCCAGGGTCACACATTCATGTATTTATAACTTACCTTAAAAACAGTGTTCGAATTAGTAAATGCCAGTGCTCTGTTATGTTCCCTTTTTTTTCCGCCTAGTATATCCTTTAGCTTTTTTGGGACCATTTCAATAGAAAAAAACACACAAAATATTTTTATCTATGGCAATCCCTGAAGAAACTCTTATTTAAAGCTTTAGGAATGTCTAAAACCTGACAAGCAACATCCTCTTCAGGTACCATATTTCTCATGAATTTTGGCCCTTTTCATATTAAATTATTATTTTTAAAAGTAATTTTGTTTTGTAAATATAAAAACATATTACAGCTTCTGCCTTTCAAATATTATTTTAATATTATTTTAAAGTTCACTTTTTTGTGAACTTTTTGACATTAAGAATTATATCTTATTTACCTTTGTATCCTTGCAACCTATTTCAGTGCCTGGGTACAGAGTAGATCCTCCAAAATTACTAAACAGTTCTTTGGATTTTTTTCTTGGTCATAGAAGGTACACGCAAGTAACTTTTACATACTTAATAGCTACCCTGCACTTCTCTAGGTCATTTGGACAGAATCCAACATGTACCACAATAGACATTTGGGCACTTAAATAGATATTATAGCATATAGTGGTCAGAAACCACTGGAAAAGCCAATCCTGTTTTTTTTTTTTTTTCACAGCAAAATCACACTGTTTGAAATACCAGGATCCTGGAACTTAGAAAAGTCTAGATTTGTTACAGTGTCAACAAAGCATGATATGTGTTTTCTTGTGCTTCCACATGGTCACACACACAAATTCAACAAAACCAAATCAAACAAAACGATGCGTGCATTTTTGGGGTGTGAAAAAGCCACTCACAATCGTAAATAATGTACACTCAAGAAGCTGACAGTCTAGGGCAGGAAATAGACTTATGAACAAATACTATCATCGGTAAAAAAAAAGTCCAAATTTGTACAAGTTCAACTTTATACAAGTGAAGTAAGAGAATCTAGAAACACAGAAATATTAACTAAAACTTCAGGAGCCTTGAAAAACAATTTTATTGAAATACAGGACTCAAACTAAACGGAAATAGATTTTGTGTTAATATTAGCAACTCAGTAGACAGTTATCAAGCCATAAGCTAAACTCTCCATTTTATTTTCTTCTTAAACTTCCTTTTACATAATGAGGAAGTGATATCAATGAACAGATTACTTATACCTACCGTTTCTGCGGAAATAAAGGAGTTAGAATCTAGATCAGGTATAATGAACTTGACAGACTTTGTAAAGTTCTGTAGGCAACTGGGAATTTCGGTTGGACTTTGAGTATGGCAGATCAAAACTTTTTTGTATTTCCTACAATTGAGAAAATTTTCCATAACACAGAAAGTGAAATTAGTATGTTTTTATTTCTGCTGCCTAGTCCTGAAATGATTTTCTGCTTGTCTGTGCTTTAATACAGTATTATGATTACACCAGCCTGACCAACATGGAGAAACCCTGTCTCTACTAAAAATACAAAATTAGCCAGGCATGGTGGCACATGCCTGTAGTCCCAGCTACTTGGGAGGCTGAGGCAGGAGAATTGCTTGAACCCGAAGGCAGAGGTTGCGGTGAGCCAAGATTGTGCTCTAGTCTGGGCAACAAGAGTGAAACTCTGTCTCAAAAAAAAAAAAATTGCATAGTCTATGTAGAAAATGTTAAAATTTACACTTAATAATATATATCACTTGATCAATAGATATACAGTGAGTTCTGAGATCAGGACAGTGGAAGATAAAAGAAGTTCAAGAAAAGCTCACTGCCCTACTGGAGCTTACTGTTTACTTAAAATGATAAGGCATTAAGGCCTGGCTATTTCAGCAGCAATATATAAATTAAATAAATCTAGACAAGATCAGAAGAGCACCTAGGAGGCCGCATGTAATATGCATCTGTGAGAGTTAATTTTATGTGTCAACTGGGCTAAGCCATGATACCCAGATAGCCAGTCAAACATTATTCTAGTGAAGGTGTTTTTTAGATGAGAATAATATATAAATAAGTAGACTTTGATTCAATCAGAGTACACTCCATAATGTGAGTGGGCTTCACTCAATCGGTTGAAGTTCTTAAGAAAAGACTGACTTCCCCAGAAGAGGGAATTCTGCCAGCAGACTGCCTTTGGACTTGAACTGCAGCTCTTCCCTGGATCTCCAGCTGCCAGCCTACCCTGCAGGTTTTGGACTTGTCAGACTCTGTAATCATGGGAGTCAATTCCTGAAAATAAATTTCTTTTCCTAATATACATATGCACATGTCCTATTTGTTCTCTTTCTCTAGAGAACACTGATAGATAAAAAAATAACAGTTGAGTGCTGTATTAGTCCATTCTCACACTGCTATAAAGAACTTCCCTGAGACTGGCTAATTTATAAAGAAAAAAGGTTTAATTGACTCACAGTTCCACCTGGCTGAGGAAACCTACAATCATGGTGGAAGGAAACCTACAATCATGGTGGAAGGCAAAGCAGGCATGTCTTACATGGCAGCAGGTGAGAGAGAGTGAGCAAGAGCAGGGAAAACTGCCTTATAAAACCATCAGATATTGTGAGAAATCACCCCCTATCACAAGAACAGCATGGGGGAAACCCGCCCCCATTATCCAATCACCTTCCTCCATCAATACGTGGGGATTACAGGTCCCTCCTTCAACAGGTGGGGATTATAATTCAAGATGAGATTTGAGTGGGGACACAAAGCCTAACCATATCAAGTGATGTGGCTTGAGCAGAAAAAAATCAGCCAAAGGCTTGATGATTATTGTACATCTCTTGTCTTACTTTCTCTTTCCATGTTTAATCTTCTTTCCTAGATGGTGAGCTCCTAGAGTTCAGTGGCACAGTATCAAGTTCTGATATAGATAAAGACTTGGAAAGGGAATATCTTTTAATCCTTATATTTAAAGCAGTCAGAAATTAACATGCAAAGAGGTAGGCTGGTCATCTAGATTCCTCCCTTCATTGGTTATTAGGAGGACTTTTAGAGGCTGCAGGCAGTTCTGTAGAAGCACACTACATGAAAAGCCTAGATTTCACTCTTCAAGAGTTGCAAGACACTGTAGAAATTGCTTCATGTCTCCACGCCTGTGTTTCTGCTTGTAGATTAAGTAAGGTAATAGAAGTTCATGTACCCATGAAAATAGGCCAAACTCATCTGTGCTATTTTAAGTCAGAATAGTGGTTATCCTTGTGATAATTACAAAGAATATGAGGGGAGTGTTCTAGGGGCTGGCAAAAGTTCTGCTTCTGGATCTAGGTGCTGGCTATATGGATATATTAGTTTCTAAAATAATTGAGTGGTACTCATGTATTTTTAATGTATATTACATTTTAGTACAAAGTCTTTAAAAGTTCATATGTTCTGTCTTGTAAACACCTTCAGAAAATTGACAGGATACAAAAATTCTAATGTGTCACAAGGATAACCCAAATTACTTGTTGCAGCATTTCCTTTCAACAGTTTCCATCAGAAAATTAGAATCCCATTAACAACAAACAAAAAGAGGTGGCAAAACAGAGGCAAAGAAAAGCAAAAATTTTTTGAAGTCCATTAATTGATTTTCAGTAGATCCACCTAAATTTAATGTGTTAGGTCTTTGGCACTATCTTTATTTTACTTGTTAATGTTTAACTTAAGAATGCAGTGAAACCAAATGCTTGTATTTGTGAAAGTGCTTTTCGATATTTGTTAAAACACGATGGAAAAACTAGGTAATAGCTGTACAGGCTTTTTTATAGGTCATAAAAGGAAAAAATAAAATATCTTATAAGTAAGTTTGAAGCTCCACAGCTCCTAGTCAGAAAATTGAATTATTTAGTGTTTCAGTAATGTGATGGAGCCATCCTTCTTTTATGAACAACAAATATCATGCCAGTTGCCTACCTTAAATACCAATGAGAAGAGGGCGGATAGAATTTTCACACACAGACATTCTTGGAAATAAAACATACAACATCTTCTGCAGACCTCCCTTTGACCCGTTTAATAAAATAACAGAATCCCAAACTATGAAATATTTTTCCTAACCACCTGAGTAGCTGAGGGGCATCCTTATTGAGGGTGTGTTGGTCTCTAGGGCTGGATATCTGTATATCTTAGTACTGTTAATCACTGCTACACTTTCCACTCCTTTTTCTCTTTCAGTTATTTTATATTCATGAGCATTCTTCTTTCTTTCCTCGTGTAAATCTAAAAAGTACACCGTTTAATTCCTGATTTCTTTGAATGAAAATGCTGGATACAGAAGGCATTTCGTTAGTACCTCACTCAATAATTCTGGTTGCAGAAACACTGTGCGTTGCTAAGTAGAGGAAAAGACTCTCAGGACCAGCTTCCTTTACATTGATAGAAACAGGTGTTCTCTTTTAGTTGTCAAGTCAGCTCCCTTCTGAGAATCTCAGATAAGTGGTCCAAATTACATCTAAGAGGAAAATTCGCCAAAGCATAATTACTTTTCATCAGGGTGCCACAAATAATGAAAGGAAAAGAACACTTGAAGTATATTGTAGTCTACTTAATCACCATCATTTTAAAAAGCTGATGTAGAATTCCTTACTTCAAGACAAATTGTATGGCTTTGGTGGTAAATTAGGCATATTTTCTAAACACTAAATTATATTTCCTCTAATTCACATTTGGCTAAGAAAAGCTGACTAGTCTTTGTAGCAATGGAATATAAGAGATAAGGTTTGCAGCTGCCATTTTCAAACAGTTCATTTTTGTCTATTCTTCAATTGCTTCCTGTGTTTCTATTCATATTGAATAAAATCCCTTTCTTTCATGTTAAGATAAATTTCATCAGGGTTGCTATCCATGCAGGATGCGGCAGATTCTTTACTGCACCTTGTCTTTCCATTTTCCATTTCCCACAGCCCTACCCAAGAGCTAAATTTGTGGAGAGCAAGAGATAATTAGCATAAGTAGAAATTGTAAAGCTTTGCTCAACGATAAACAATTATCTAGCACAGTGCCTAAGAAATTCTGGTTATCAGAATTTTAGGTAACATTTATCTGCCTTTAAGTGATGTTTTAGAACTGAATAACTTTAGTTGAGGCACAGTAGAAAATCTGAGAGTGATAAAAGTAGGTTTGACTACAAGGTTAACCACTGATTAGATATGGAGAAGTTGCTTAAGCTCTACAGAATTTGGCTTATTTATAAAATTAGGATAATAATACCTATCCTTTAAGAATCAAATAGCATAACAAAAACAATTTCCTAGGATTGTACTTGATTAATAGTAGTAATTATAAAGGACATCTAATTTTTTTTTTTTTTGAGACAGAGTCTCACTCTGTCACCCAGGCTGGAGTGCAGTGGCATGATCTCTGCTCACTGCAACCTCTACCTCCTGGGTTCAAGTGATCCTTGTGCCTCAGCCTCTCGAGTAGCTGGGATTACCCGCATGTGCCACCACACCCAGCTAATTTTTGTAATTTTAGTACAGACAGGGCTTTCACCATGTTGGCCAGGCTGGTCTTGAACTCCTGACCTCAGGTGATCTGCCTACCTCGGCCTCCCAAAGTGCTGGGATTATAGGTGTGAGCCACCGCACCCGGTCAAGGACATCAATATTTTTGAGAAGGTATATAGACTATTGGGGAAATGAGAGGAGAAAGTGCTCATCATACAAAAGCATCTTTAACCAGGGCCAAAGCCTTCAAGTTGCCTTCTGTTTTCCTAATTGCTTTCCGTTCCTTCCCATCAGCAGCTCTTCTATCTGTGATCCTCATCTTTTATCCTTTCCAGCAGATGTTTATCCTTATCATCGAGAGCCTCCACCCCCATAGATACTTGCTCTTTGTACCCTGTATTTGATGAACGTTTCTTTTCTCCCTACAGGCAACTGGATAGATGGAATAGAAATGCCCATTCATAACTTAAAATTTGCCATGATGATTAACTTACTATGGGGTAGAGCTATGGGTTTCCCGACACATTATACATCTAAGGCAGGGATCAGCAAACATTTTCTATAAAGAGTTGGGCAGTATATATTTTAGGCTTTCTAGGCTAAATGATTTCTGTTGCAACTACTCAACTCTTTGCAGTGGGAAAGTAGCTGTGACAATATGTAAACAAATGAGTGTGGCTGTGTGCCAATAAAACTTTATTTACAAAAATAGGTGGAAGACTGAATTTGGCCCATGAGCTATAGTTTTCTGGTCTCTCGAAGACACAGAAATGAATTAAATGATGCTAGAGTTTAAAGGGGCATACCAGTCATGTGGTCCAGGTTTCCCCAAAGAATGTTCCCATAGAGAGCTGTCTTCACACAACCAAAAGCTAACTGGTCAAACATATTTTTGACGTGTTACACAATTTGCCCCCATCATATAGGCTTACCAACACATTAGTATTCTTAAGTCCCTGACTTTTTTAGGGTATAATATTCATAATAGGTTAGTAACTAATGCTTTAATACTGCTTGCTAAGCGCTCAGAACCATTCTAAATGCTTTTACCTATATGATTTCATTTATTCTCACAATGCTGTGAGATATGCATTAATCCCATTTTATAGTTGATGAAGCTGAAACACTGAGAGGTAAAATACCTGTCCAAGGTGACATACTTAGTGGAGCCAGGATTCAAATGTAGGCAGCCTGGCTCCAGGGCTCCAGCTCTGAGCCACCTTCCTACCTCCATGTCACATCTCGAAATCTATGAGAATTACTGTGAAAGCTGGGAAACTGCTTATTGAATCCAGTTCTCTCAGTGTACACATTAGAAAAGAGAGGCCACGAGAGGTTCAGATGACTTTGCAAAGGTCACAAGCATAATTAATAACTGAGATAAGTCTACAAATCAATTAAATCACTACTTGGTACTTGAAGAAATGCTTAAATGAATCCTTTATCAAGAAAGAAAATCCTCTGAAAATGAATAATCACCTCTAACTTCCCTTTTTCATTCAGATTTTTATGACCAGTTTCATTTCAATGAGGTAAATAAATACAAAGCTTGATATTTAAAGGTAGAATTTTTTTTCACTTTTAAAATTCTGATAGGCAATCCCCCAACAAGGGGAAGATGACACATCTTTCTCTGCAACTGTGATCTCTCTCCCAGGCTCTGAATCAGTGATTCCTAAACCTTAATGTACATTAGAATCATTTGGGAGTGCCTAGACAAAATGATTCTGGGTGCCACCCCACTGCCTCAGATATTCTGAACTTAATTGAGGATTCAGCAGAGATATTTTGAAGGAGACCTCCAAGAGATTCTAGCATGTAGCCAGGGCTGTGAAACACTGCTCTAGAATCACATTTGTCATTACTACTCAACTTGTCCACCTGCGTTAACAGCTAACATTTAAAATACTACGTGGCATGAAATGGAACTTATGGTTATGGTCCATGGGTTATAATTAATAAAAATGTGAGTATACTCCAAGCATGAATGAAACTTTATTGCAGATGAATTGTATGGGTGGCTGTAATATTCAGTACATTTTAAGTGAGACCTTTGGATTGACAAACACAGCTGCAGAACTAGACTGACCAAGGACTCGGGATTCTGTTAGGTTGCTATGAATCTCTCTGGTTCAAATAGAGGCTGGTCTCTACCTTTTATGTGGCTGTCATAATGCAAGAGACTTAAGGTCGAAGAAAAAGTGTTTTGGAGAATTAGGTTTTGCCACCATCCACCACCTATTTACAAGTATATAATCATTTTTAACAGAAGACTTTAAAGAAGAAATAATGTGTAGTAAAAGAATTTAGCATAGAAATAGACCATCTATGAGAACACATAGAATAGAAATTACCAGGGATTTGAGGCGGTCTAATTACTACTATTGAACACTAAATTTGTCTTTTTTCTGGCAGTTAAAGCAAGAAAGGAAACATGTTGAGTTACATAGTTTTATATTCTGACTAAAAACAGCTTTCACATTTGTCTGCAGAGAAAATTGTTATTTTGAGCTAAATTCAACAAATAATTTAACACATACATCCTTGGGATAAGACAGTTGACAATGTCTTCAACACAGTTTTGTGAAAGTCAAAGAAGTGCTTTTCAATTGATGATAGCTGAATGAACCCTCTAGAATATCTTGAGTTAGTAAAGTCCTTCCTTCTTCCCTTCCTCTTCCCCTTTCACTTCCCCTTCCCCTTCCCCTTCCCCTTTCCCTTTCCCTTCCTTCCTTCCTGCCTTCCTTCCTTTGTATTTGCTTATAACTATATGCTGGATGCAATGTTAAGTGCCGTGGGTACTGTAAGGAATAAGATAGCATCCTTGTTCTCTAGGAAGTCACAATACAGACGATGAAATGCTTAAGAAAACTCATAATTCAGAGCAAGAGAGGCCAGAGCCTGAAATAAAGATGTGTTATTGTTTGCACATATCTTTACAAAGGTATGTATAAGATGCCATGGGAACACAAAGAAGCAAAGAGCAAAGTGAGCCTATTGGAGATCAAGGAAGATCATGTAGGCTTGGTTGAATAGATGAGCAGGGGAATGCAATGGAAGATGTGTTCCAAGAGGAATGATAGCAGAATAAGGGGAAGGGAAAGGAGAGTGCATGGCTCTTTAGGAAAATTACAAATATCTGCCCTAAATTGAGGTTCATATGGGGACATGGGATTAGTGACACACGTAGGGGTCAGATTCCAAAGAGTCAGGCCAAAAGATTGAACTTTATATAAAAGCGATGGATATTCAGCTCAGTATTTCAGGATACGGAGTGGGTTTCACATGCTTTATGCTTTAAAACGATCACTCTAGTGACAGTGTGTAAGGGAGACAGACTGGGAGGTCATTTTGGAGGCTGTTGATATAATTCACTTCTTAAGTGTTGTGGATCTGAAGGAAAGAAATAACATTCTACAAGTCTTTAGGGAATTGACTTTTATGGTGGGCTAATGACTCTGGGGGAAGGGATAGGGAGAAGACAAGCGATGTTTCCTGGCTTACATGACTGGGTGGCTGTGGCACAATTCCTGGAGACTGGGAACCACAGAGAAGAATCGTGCACGTTTGTAGGTGGGGAGCAAAGAGGAGGAGAGAATGAAGATGAGTTCATTTGACTCTAATGGGATAGGCAGGAGAGAATTCCAATAGAGGGTTGAAGTCTGAGCTAGAGATAATGGATTTGGAGTTTACCAGCATATAGATGACAGTAAAAGCGATGTATGTCAGTGAGATATCTAGGAGTGTATAAATTGAAGGGAGACCAGAGTTTGGAACTCTAAGGAACACTCACACTTAAAAGGCATGTGAGGGACACAGTTTATGAAGGGGACGGAAGCATGGTAAGAATAAATGTGTGTAGGGTAATAGGGTGATCAGTAGGATACATGCAATCACCTAGTGATGGAATTTTCAATAGAGAATGAAAGAAAGTGTATGTGGCCAAGTGCAGTGGTTCACGCCTGTAATCCCAGCACTTTGGGAGGCCGAGGTGGGCAGAACACAAGGTCAGGAATTCGAGACCAGCCTGGCCAACATGGTGAAAACCCATCTCTACTAAAAATACAAAAAATAAAAAATTAAAAAAAAAAATTAGCCAAGCGTGGTGGCACGTGCCTGTAATCCCAGCTACTCCGGAGGCTGAGGCAGGAGAATTGTTTAAATTCAGGAGGTGGAGGTTGCAGTGAGCCAAGATCGCGCCACTGCACTGCACCCCTGGGTGACAGAGCAACACTCCATCTCAAAAAAAGAAAAAAGAAACTGTGTGTTAAATTGTCAGTGAAACAACAGTTGTGCCAGGTGGGACTCATTAGGTGCTGGGTCTCTGGCTGCTGGAGTGAATGCTCTTAATAAGAGTCTATGGATAATTTACATTGTTTAAGGGAAAAATTAATTAGATATCAGAAAATTTGAGATCCAGACTCTTCTCGTTAGATGAGAACGCCAAGCTTAGATGAGGTTTCCACACAATTAAGCACAGTCATGAATGCAGAATAAATGTCCTTAAAAGTTTTGCCAGGGCCGGGCACAGTGGCTCACGCCTATTATAATCCTAGCACTTTGAGAGGCCGAGGCGGGTGGATCGCTTGAGCTCATGAGTTCAAGACCAGCCTGGGCAACATGGCGAAACCCTGTCTCTGCAAAATATACAAAAATTAGTGGTGGTGCATGCTTGTAGTCCCAGCTACTTGGGAGGCTGAGGCAGGAGGAGTGCTTGAGCCTGGGAGACAGAGGTTGCACTGAGCTGAGATCACACCACTGCATTCCAGCCTGGGTGATAGAACCAGACCTTGTCTCAAAAAAAAAAAAGTTTGCCAGGATGGTGGCTTATCCCTGTAATCCCAGTGACCTTCGAGGCTGAAGCAGAAGGGTTACTTGAGGTGGGGAGTTCGACATTAGCATGGGCAGCGTAGCAAGACCTCGTTTCCAAAAAAGTAGAAAAGAAATTACCTGGGCATTGTGACACATGCCTGTAGTCCTACTCAGGAGGATGAGGTGGGAGGATCACTTGAGCCCAGGAATTCGAGGCTACAGTGAGCCATGATTGTGCCACTGTACTCCAGCCTGAGCAATAAAGGGACCCCTGTCTCATAACAACAACAACAACACTTTTGAAAATATTGAAACATTTGCATAACATAAGATGGAAATGTGAATGTCCTGGGCTATGAAATGTGGAAGAGACAATTTTAGTTGATAAAAATTTAAGATCAATTTTTACCAATTAAGCACTTCACTCAATAGAAGCTAGGTATGCTCATTAGAAGAGATGATCTTAAATAAAACTGTATTCTGAAGGTCTTGCCAGGATGAATTAACTGCAAACAGGAACATGTGTAACCAAATGCACTCATGACGATTAGAGTTGTTTGAGATATACCAACTTAAATATGACAGTTTCAGTTTGGGTGGGATTGGTACTTAATTCTCCTTGTTAAATGTATTATGCTACATGTCTAATTGCTAATTTACAATCTTTCCTACTTAGTAATAAAGTAAATAGATCAAGTATTACTGACAAGTATCTGTTTTCCCATATGTATGGATCCTCAGGATCCTTGGGTAATTTAAGGAGGACAGAGGCCTTTCTGATTTTCACATCCTTGGTAGGTAGTAGCTATCATGACTTCTCTCTCATGTCATGAAGTATACTCTTTGTACTCTGACTTCAGGATGAATGAAAGAAGCAAAACTTCCCAGGGATTTGGGAAGCATCAATATTATAATATTTTTAATTAAAAATATAATATTTATCCTCTGTTCCTGCCATCCTAATTACTCACATCTCATAGGGAAGAGGAAGTGTTTCTTTGTCTTTCTAGAACCTTATCTAATTTTTGATATCCCTGACTGCAGCACTGCTAATTGTGTCAGTTTTAAACCATTTAAATTATTTGATGCCCCATAAATTTTAAGTCTTATGTGTATTTTCCTAAATTTTCAGCATCCATATATAAAAAAAACTTATGCAGCTTTTCAAAATATAGCACAATTTTAGGCTTCTATCAGGAGGTCAATGAGCACTGTAAATAGTAGAAAAGGGGAATGATTTAGAACCAAGGAAGGTGATTCTGTAAACACAACCATTTGGTTTCCTGCAGCTTGCTCACTGGGAATTCACGAAAAAAAGGCAAAAGAGATTTTAAAATCATCTATAGTTAGTAGAATTTTTTACAATAATGAGCCTGGTTAATATTAGCATTAACAACAGAGATACAATGCTTGTCTTTCTGTTTGCTTTAGCAGGAGGATCTTACTTAGTTAACATCCCAGTATAGCTGAACATTATGAACTGTACTGCACCATTGCAATGTATAATAATATGATAATAGTATTTAGATTAAATTATTAGAGTATTTGTTGATACTCGAACTGTGGTCCAAGGGCCAGCAGCATGGGTGTTACATGGGAGCTCGTGAACATGCAGACTCTCAGGCTCCAGCTCACATGTCCTACGTCACTATCTACATCTTAGCATGATCTCCAGATGACTCATCTCCACATTAATATGGGAGATGCAGTGGTCTAGATGAATAATAATCATACACCTATCCAAAACTATTTTTTTTTTTCAGAAAATTATAATGTTGTTGCTCAAAGTATTTAATGGAATCCCTTTTTATCCCAGGAATTCCTTGTATTTCAACAAATTAAATAGTTGGCAGTGAAGAAGACATTAACATTAAAAAAGGAAGAAAATCATGATATTTTCATTTTCCAACTGTCTTGTTTTCTAAATTCATTTTTGTTTTGGAGCTGAAATAAAGACCCACAAGTCCAAAGAATAACTTAAAAAATCTATTTAGTGACTTGATTACATAAATAAATCTGTTTCATTGTGTACTACTTTGTCTACAGTGGATATTTCTATATGAGTTAAATTTAAACCATAAATTATAACATGAATTAAATGTAACTCATAAATTATCAGTTAAATTTAACCCTTAAATTTGATGGGCTACATATCCAGTGTATAAAGTTTTTACTTCAGTCAAACCCTACTTTATTAACATTTCCATAATAAAAATAAAGATTTGAGGGAAAACAAAAGGAATTGAATAGCTTGATATTATCAAGTTTTGGGCCATATGCAGGCCATTAACATGATGCCTAATAAATAAAATGTTGATGAACTCTGAGTCTTGTAAAAATATATAGTAAAGAAACTTGTAGATATTAGTTTTATTGAGAGTAGACCTGATTAAGAAAATTTAGATTATCATACTGCTTTAGTAACCTTGGGGTCATGTTTAAATCTTCTCTTTTCCTCAACTATTGCATCCAATTAATGTGCAAGTTCTGTTGGTTCTACTGCTAAAGTACATCTTGAACTTATCCACTTCTCTCTATCTGTACCACTAACTGTATTCTGAGCCATCACCATCCGAAAGGTCTTCCCTCTTCCTCTCTAGTCTCTGCTACACCTGCTACCCAATCAAATTTGCATATCACTGCCAGAGTCACCATTTAAAAGCTCTAAGTCCATGTCACTCTTCTACCTAAAAACCTTTCATTGGTTTTTCATTGCTTTTATATTAGTATATAAATTCCCTAGCATATCAATAAGGCATTGCCTGGTCATTTTATATTTATCTCATTCCATATTCTTCCTTGTTCACCACACTCCATGTCCCTAGGTTTCTCACAGTTCCTAAAGTATACCTGACTCTCGCTTTAAAAAGGACTTTGGGTATCTGCCTCTTCTGATGTCAGATCTGTTTTAATGTCACCTTTTCAGAGAGCACCTTCCTGTCTTATCTAAAATCTCGTTCCCCTGTAGTTCTCTATTTTAATTCCATGTTTATGTCCTTAAAAGCACATTACAAATTAATTCTATCTAATGTATACATTTGGTAAATGTATTTGTTTGTTGCCTGTCTTCATCAAAGAATGCAGGCTCAAATGAAGGCATACTTTGTCTTGCTTACTGTTGCTCACTATTGGTTGTTGAATTACTGGCAAAAAGCAGGCATCATTTCATATTTGTTGAATCCACAGATTCTTTAAAACAAATACAAGAAAAGTCACGTATTTAATTTTTTATTCCTTGGTCTTTTGTGCTTCCTAATTCAGTATGCAAGGGATTGATTTTAAACAAGTCTTTTCAAGTTCACTAAGTAAAAAAAAAATTAAATATGGCATTTTAACTTTTCAAAGAATGCTCAGCATTGGAAACAACATTAACAAACCAATAGTCTATTTTCAAGGCACATTTTGTTTAAATCTGTATCAAGGTAACCAAGTCGTAGCCTGGTTATTTGCCTCAATCTTTGTGCTGCCTCATGATTGACTTTAAGGAAGCAAAGTTTGCTAGTTGCCTTATTTACAATTATAATCTATTGACACGGCATATAGATCAAATTTCAGGGCTATATATGCTCAAAAACAAGAAGGCCAAACTCTCTTGGACTCAGTCTTAAGAAGTTGTGAGTCTGAGAGACTGTGCTCTTACATCATGGGATTCTTCATTGAGGTTCATTCTCTGAGAGTCATGTAAGAGGACCCAGGACTATACCACATTTATTAAACCTAGACACCCCAGAACTTCAGTACCAAATCATTAGATCAAGAAGGGGCCCACGTATTTCAGTCATTTTAGTCGGAGTCTGGTGATCTTTTCCCTCATGTGAGAGGTGCGCAGGTGATAGATGGAAGGACATCAGTGAAGGAAGGAAGAAGGGTAGTATTGTGTAAAGAGAGCATTTGGGAACTACCATCAAATGCTAGTTGTATTTGCAAGAATTCCAAACATCAGGATGAATGGTGAAAAAAGATCTATTACAATGCTTTAAGGACGTCTGGTGTATGGATATTTGAAAAGAGTCTGGATGATTGAATGACTCTATTTTAAGCCTGAATGTTTAGACTTTTATTGGGTTGCTAAGGCTGCTTTAACAAAGTGCCACAGACAGTGTGGCTTAAACAATAGAAGCTTATTATTTCACAGTTCTGGAGGCTGAAAGTCTGAGATCAAGGTGTCCACAGGGTTGACTCCTTCTGAGGGCTGAGTGGCAGCATCTGTTTGAAGCCATCTTCTCCCTGTATCTTCACATTGTCTTCCCTCTGTGTCTGTGTTGAAACCCCCCTCTTATAAGGACACTAGTCATTTTGGGTCAGTGCTTACTCTGATGACCTCAGTTTAACTTGATCACCTCTGTAGAGACCCTGTCTCCAAATACAGTCACATTCTGAGTTCCTAAGCGTTAGGACTTTAACATAGGAGTTTGGGGAGGGGGACACAAGTCAACATAATAGGCCTTTATAATTAATGATATGGCATTTCATAATATGGAAAATAAAAGAGCATTTTGTCAAAAATTATTTGCTTTCATATGGCTCTAAACTACACAGTACATCCCCAAAATGTAAGAAATGAACTGGACTTACAGAAATTAACTTGTGCTCTATATACATAGTGTATGACTCATAAAAAACTATAATAAAACTATGGTTTAATAAAGAAGCTAATTAGTATCACTTTCTAAATTGGAATTTGTCTTTGAGTAGTTATTCAGCCTTAACTGGAGCCTGTTATAAGCACCCTTTTGGGGTAGAAGTTTGGCATTAATAACTTAACACTGGATGCTAGAGGACAAATTTTCAGCAGAAGGAGCTGTATGTGCTACTGAAGCCTGGAGCTTACTAGAGGTTGATTTTAATGTTTCTCTTGCTTTCCCACTAATGAGATCTAAATTATAGGACGGATAGACTTTTTTTCCCTTTACTCATTATTTAAGAGCCAGTTCATATTTTAATTTCTCATTGAATTGCCCGTAAAATATTAAATAAGATAAATGCAACACAATTATCCAACTTAGGAAATGTGCTTTTTTTTCTTTCCTTTTAAATTCTTAGCTGGGTTTTGTTAAGAGCTTCAGCAAAATCGATTTTCTCTATTTTTTGAAATGGTGCTCCGTTTGTATGGCTAGGAAGAGGGCACTGCAGTTCAACAGTTGGAGTCTTTAGGTGTGATAAATAAACAAAAGCTGGTTCCATTATTCCTGTGGTTTTCCTCATCTTTTTTTCTTTCGATGGACACAAAATAATGCTGATTTTCACCTTTAGGAAAAGGTTATTCTGCCATTTCTCATGGCCATTAGTGATGGAAGCTGTAATGTGAAGTCCATTGAATGGACTTGTCTCCCAATACCTTTTGTCTTTTAGACACCCACTTCTCCTGTCGATACCCTGTGGTGATTTTTACAAAGTGCTTGGATGGTCATTCTGTCTGATGTGCCAGTGAGGCTTCCTTTGACTGACAGTTGAGCGTCTGATTCATACGCTTCAGTAGCTGTTGGACCACAGGCCCAAGCCTGATGGGTGAAACAAATACTGTAGTATTATGATATGGTTACCTGGAACCACAAATCCAGATTCACTCAAATGAGTTAAATTGATTTTGATTTGCAGTCTAAGAAAATAAGGTTCCAGAATGTCAGCCATCTATTCTTTCCCCTGGTCTTTAGCTAAGTTGTAATACTACTAGGGTAGATTTTATTTATGTATAATCTGATTATAGCACAGCAGAAATAGTCAAAACCCTAGTTAATAATTTTTTTTCTACAAAAGTACATTCTTATGCATAGGACTATATTAAATATTTGTCGTGGCTCAGAAGTAGATTTAGTTTTGACCAGTTAGAAGGTACTGTGCATTAAACACATGGATATACATTGTCTCTCATAACAAATAATTTCTCACTCTAGGAATTATTTGTAGTCTTGACACTATTTTTTGGACAAAGATAAGAACTCACCTTAATTTGTAGATATGTCAGACTGAGGAAGCCCATTTTTTCTCATCTCCATATTTTTTACTGATATTTAAAAAAGATATTGGGCTCTATATATTAAGCTTCTCTTACATGCATATGGAGACCTTGGACTGGTGGTCCAAGGTGGTGGTTCTGGAATCTGCTGCTTACACAATCTAGTTAATTTCTAAACAGACCAAAAATCAAAGAACCTACAGAATTATAGGCCTAACTCCCAAGCCTCTCTATAAGTATCTCTGAGATGGATCCTGGTAATAGATGTTTTTATAAAAGTACCTCATGTGACTTGAATGCATAGCCAGGTTTGAAAACTTCTGTCCTGAGCTGACTGAGTGTCAATACCCTGTTGGTTTAGTTGGCGTCTCTTTACCTCCAAATAGTCTATAGTGGAGCTGCCAGAAATCTCTTGAGTTCATGATTGATAGTGGATTATTTATGAAACAAGTCTCTGGAAGTTTTATGATATAACTTATAATTGTAAGCTATAACTTCTATTCCATTATATCTTTGAATTTTGGTATGCCTTGCATTAAAACTACTCTTACAGAGAATTTTTATTCTCTAATCTCATATGTCAACAGGCTTCTTTTCACCCTAAAAATCCTGATGTTAAAAATTGTTTAAAATAACATTGATACCAAAAGAAGACTAAAACTGAGATGAGATGAGTAAAAATGAATTTTTAATGGTATCAAATTATCCTCTTTTGAATGGATGAGTAAAAGTTTAATTACTTTTTAGAAAGCATATCATGTATCTTGTTACCCCCAGTGAATCCTATAACTAGAAATATATCACCTACTTTTGGAAAACAAACTGAAATAGGATGCACATGAAGGGCACTTTAGCTGTCTGATTAAGCAGAATCCATTGATGTGTTTGTTTCCAACAGGCCCAGTCTTTGTCTCTGCATCCCATACAATGATTCAGTACAAATCACTTTATAACCTTACTTTTCTATCTTTCAATATAGTGTTTGTTTTCAGAGTTTATCTTTAGTTATCTGTCTCTAGGTTTAGAACATCTTGTTTTAAAGTAGCAGAAATTAGTTCATACTCATTTCTTAAATATGGACTCTGACTTCCACCATGTCTGGATGTATATTTTAAGGGCTTATTTCCATCAGAAATGTTATGTGTGAGATATATGTGTTAAGCTACTGGCTTTGGGCCTGTTTATCTTTGACTTGTTCTGAGTTTCCCTATCACCTTAAAAACATTTGAAGGCCAGGGCTGAAGGATATGATAGAATAACACCTCTTTTAGCAACAACATGTGACTCTATAGACTGACTCTGATTTGGGATATGCTGACTCTGATTTCTTATATTGCAGGCTCAAATGTCCTAATTTACCCTTTGTGTATCTCTATGAACTATTCTTGAGCTTTTATGCAATCCTGTGTGAAAAATCAGCCAGCCATTTTATTTTGGCATTTACCGACTAGCGAAATACTAACTAGTACCCACTCAAAGAGTGCAATATTCAAGAAAATGCTGAGTGGTATTTGGATTTTAGCTTGCCTGTCATGAAATTCTCTTTAATATTTTACCAGTCCTCTTTAAAATTTTGCCAGTTGAAAAAAACAAACAAACAAATAAAAATTACTGTCTTATAATAGTTTCTATTTCTTGGTTATGTAACGGAAGTGTCCACTTCCCTCTTTTCCAGCTTAGGAGCTTTAGTGTGCTCAGTTGAACCCCAAAGTATACATACGTGAGCCCAGCACTATCACCTCACTAGGCATCCAGCAGGTCCCTGGGTAAGGGATCTTTGAAAGATCTGGAAAGAGGGATGGGACATCTAGTTAGAGGCAGGTCTCACTCAACAGCCAGAGGGAAGGGGCAATCAGCAAGTGGGTGTGACATTTCCCCCGAATACTCAGCTATCCAGGTCCTGATGAAGCTCGGCTCTTGGGCACCCTGCAAGTGTCCTTGCTCAAGGTCTTTCTCTCAGTACACTGGGTCCAGTGGAATATCTAAGAATTATCTGGATCCAGGGATAAGATGAAGGCCTTGGATTTCATGCCTCTCTTTCCATCACCATTAAGTCTTTTGCCATTTCTAACTTTTCTTTTATCATTTTTTTCCCATAATAATCCTCAATAAGGATTTCTGCAAGGAAATTCCTAATAACCCTTTAGACAAGAACACAAGTAGAAAAAAAAAAAAAGTTGTTCTTCTCCTGCAGGGGAAGCAGGGCTCAGGCTTTAGACAGATAGTGCCAGATCTTATGAGATAATTTTCACTGATTATGGGTCATGACCACATTAGAGGATTAGTTAATTGGCTTCTCCTGTTAACATCAACAATGACAACCACCACCAAAAGGAAAAAAGCAAAAAACAAAAAAAGCTAGCTTTCATACAAAAAAATAGGGTATCTTCTACTCTGTAGCATTCAAATGAAGAATATAGGAAACAATGAAGAATTAACTGAATAATCTTTACAATGCAATGCAAAGTAAATTACAAAAATAAGTAAATCACTATAGCTACACATGAAATCCGCTTGCACTTACTGTGCATCCACGGTTTCAGTCCAATTCAGGTACATTAATTGTATTTATTCCTTACAAGATTTTTATGAGTTATTTTTAGACCCATTCTAAAGATGAGTACACCAACAGGTTAGAGTTGATAAATAACTTGGCCTAACATCATACAATTGTTACTAAATGTTATACGAAATCTTTTTTTTTTTTAATTTTTTTTTTTTTTTCAGACAGGTTCTTGCCCCATCGCCCAGGCTGGAGTGCAGTGGTGTGATCTTGGCTCATTGCAACCTCTGTCTCCTGGGTTCAAGCAATTCTTAGGCCTCAGCCTTTCAAGGTAGCTGGGATTACAGGTGTGTGCCACCACGCCCAGCTAATTTTTGTAATTTTACTAGAGACGAGGTTTCTGCCATGTTGGCTGGGCTGGTCTGGAACTTCTGGCCTCAAGCAATCCCCGCCTCAGCCATCCAAAGTGCCAGACTACAGGCGTGAGCCACTGCGCCAGCTTCTTTTTTGGTTTTTACATTTTTCCTTTTGGCTGTTGTTGTCAACATTGTTAACATGAGAAGCCAATTGCCCAGTTCCCTAATGAAGATCCACCACTGTCTTTCTAAAACTTCAGTTCTGCTTACCCTACAGGAGAGAATAAACTTTTTTTTTTTTTAAGAGATGGAGTCTCACTCTGTCACTCAGGCTGAAGTGCAGTGGTGCAGTCTCGGCTCACTGCAACCTCCGCCTCCCGGGTTCAAGCAATTCTTCTGCCTCAGCCTCCCCGGTAGCTGGGATTACAGGTGTCCACCACCACGCCTGGCTAATTTTTGTATTTTTAGTAGAATTGGCCAGGCTTGTCTAGAACTCCTGACTTCAGGTGACCCGCCTGCCTTGGCCTCCCAAAGTCCTGGGATTACAGGTGTGAACCACTGCATCCGGCCAGATAAGCGTGTTTTATGTTTTTTCTCCTTGGGTTCTTGTCTAAAGGGTTATTAAAATTTTTCTGAGTTTTTAACTTTTTCATTTCATTATTTTTTTCTATAATAAACCTCAATGATAATTTCCAAAAGGAAACTATATTGCTATTTCTCCTTCTTACCTTGCAGCATTAGATGAAACCTATAGAACACTGCTAGGTACTAATGGAATTAATGTTGATTCTGATCTTATTAAAAGAAGTCTGTTGTTTTTTAGCTTCTGTTCTTTAGCATATGTTAAAAGTCTCATACTATTTGAAATATTTGCATAGACTTTTAAACCGGAATGCCTGCTGAAATTTGTTTTTCAGAATTTATTTATATAATTACAGGAATTTTCACCTCTAATTTGTTAGCATTTGAAGTCTATTGATGGATTTTTATCATGTGGAACCATATATGCATTCATGGAATAAGTACAACTTGGTAGACTTATTTTAATATATTGCTTGATTTGGTTTGCAAATGTCCATTTCCTGGCGTTCTAGTTAATTGAAATACTTGCTTTCCCCAAAGCAGCAACACCAGTACTTTTTCTTTCAATAATAACATTGGTGTTCATATTCTAAAATATCTAGCTTTTCCTGTGCCAGACTTAAAGGTTAGTTATATTTTAATACTACATGTTTTATGCAGCTCCTTAAACCTCAAATCAGAACAACACTAGTGATAGTTGTCTCCATATGTTCTCATTAGAATTCTACCAAATATCTGGCTGGGTAGCTGCCCTCGTCAGGTGGAACATGTAACCATCAAACTGAAGCATGAATTGGGGATTACAGCTGTAATGAATTTCCAGACTGAATGGGATATTGTACAGAATTCCTCAGGCTGTAACCGCTACCCAGAGCCCATGACTCCAGACACTATGATTAAACTATATAGGGAAGAAGGCTTGGCCTACATCTGGATGCCAACACCAGATATGAGCACCGAAGGTAAGGATCAGAACTGTTCTGCCTCCTTGCTGTATTTCAGAGAAACCCTTGCTGTCTGTCTGTCTATCTATAATTTAATATCTTAAAAATGAATGGTAGAAATGGAATAAATATAAGATTTTAGATTTAATATATATAATACATATGTTTTGACACTGTGGCTAAGATTCTGTTTAATGTGGCTTCTTTGTTTATTCATTCAACACATATTTATTGTGTATGTACTGGGTATGCGGCATTATGCTAGTAGCTAGGAACACAGCAGTAAAGAAAGACAGGCACAACTTCTGCCCCCACGGAGCGCATTGTCCTATAGGGATGGCAAATGTTAATCAAATGACTAAAAATAGAAGTTTAAAACTATGATGAATTTTTTGTTAGAAAATATATAGATATTGCTATGAGATTATGTACAGGTAATCAGGCCAAGAAGTGGGGTCAAAGAGGGTTTTCTTGGAAAGTAGTGTTTGGGCTAAGATCTGAGGGTGGGCTGGAGGAAGAGTGAGTGGAGGGAGTGACCCAGGCAGAAGCAGCAGCTTAGAAGAATCCTTGTGGCAGGAGAGAGCACAGAGTGTTGCAAAAACTGAAAGACCAATGTGGCTTGGATCAGAGAACGAGGAAAGATGATCCTGCAGGATTTGAGCGACAAAAAGGACTTTAGACGCTATCCTATAGCAGGAAGAAGCAGTTGTACAGTAAGACGAGTTCGACACTAATTACAGCACAGAGGGGAATGGGTAAGAGAGGAGTGAGGACCGTGCTGGAGGAGGGTTATGCATGGGAAGAGCACATTCTGGGGAGCGACAAAGGGAGGCTGCGTGAATGCCATGGCACTTGAGGTGGGCATGGCTTTGATAGGTAGATGTGGAGGGAGAAAGGGCATGCTAGGGGGAAGCAGCAGCACAGGCTATGGCACAGAAGCATGGAATTTTAGAGGAATGATAGGGATTTTAGCCTGGTTGTAGAATAGGGTACTTGTCGAAGAGGAGTAGAGATAACTACAGTCGGCAGAGGAGAGAACCAAGTTACACCGATAGTATCAAGCAGCTGTCAGCAGGGGGCAGCAGAGAGCTTCAGAAATGGGAGAGGCTAAGGAGTTTGATGACCTCCTCTGCTGGGGAAAGGACAGTGATATCCAGCTCAGAGACGTTTCTATCTTTAGCCCTCTTCCCCCAAATGTATATTATGTACAAAACACTCTCCTAAGCAATTTACAAGAATTAGCTTATTTAATTCTCATAATAAGACTCCAGGCAGATATTGTAGCTGTCTCTATTTTGCAGACGAAGAGGCTGAGGCATGAAAAAGTTATTGCCCATGTCATAGAACTAAAAAGAGGCCCATTCTGAATTTCAAGGCTGGCAGTCGGACCCAGAACATTGCTCCAGACAGCAACTTTACCAGCTATGAAGCTTCTCCCTGCATTCTTACACAGACGCTTCAGGCAGGTTCTTCAGACCCATGCAATTTCAACCCCTTATGTTCATGATCATCTGGAGTTAGGCAGAGCCTACAAATTGCAAGGGAAGTAGCTTGTCTCCCCAAGAGTGAATGGTCTGCAAGATAAAAAACCATGAGGACCACAGGAAATCTACGTTTCTGGACCTTGCCCACCTCAGCCCTTTATGGATCTCAGGTGGTCCTCCTGGCCAGGCTGGGCCCCTTTGTTGATCTGTGTCTGAGCTGAATTGCCATTGGGGATGGGGTATAATGTTTGTTCCTGAAGGTGGAGAGAGCTGCTGACAGTCTGGTTATTCCTCTTGGTAACCTGACCTAAGGAAGCATGATTTAGCTGTAAGAGCTCTGCCCTTCTTCAAGGAAGAAAAAAAGAAAAACTTCATTTGCGAAGATGCACATTGGTTGAATCCAGGTGATATTTACCTTGTCCAGCTGGTTTTCCTGGTTTCAAAACAGAGAAGATAGTTAGGATTTGAAGGACTGTAGCTTCCAGAGAGCATTTTGATGTTAGCATCTCTGAATCTGATTTGACAGCATTGTTATCCTGTTGGAGAATGATGTGAGACGAGGCTGGGAGAAGTTAGGCTGCCAACTGTGCCACGCATCCCCCGCCATCCCATCCCAACCCACACACTGATTACCTGAAGGCTCTGCTGACAGATAGTAATTTGCTTGATAGTTTGGGACTCTGCAGAAGCCTGAGGGAAAACTGTATCCCCAAGGACCCATTGTAGTTGTGTTCACGAACCTTTTTTGCGGTCAGTGGGTTACCAGGTCACAGTCGTAACTGTTAGTGCAGTAGCATAGCTTCTTTCAGGCTGAGACAGTGCAGTGGCATTTGAGCTGCAAAATGCAAGCTTCCACGTGATAAAGGCCCAGCTGTAAGACCGACTAATGGATTTCTTTGGCTTGGCCTAACCTGGGGGTGTAATCTAAGGGTTAATAACCACTTCTGAGTGGCAGGGGAACTTTTTACCAATAGACCAATGTCTGTGGCTCACAGTATTAGCCCAATGAACACATAGATTAATCAGCTGAATATTTTTAGAACTCTAGAGAAAAACCCAGTTGGAAGTGTTTTGAGCTGCAGCATAATGCTCTCAGTTGAAGTCTGAGAAAGAAGACAGTTTGTTAGGCTTGACTGTCACCGCTAGTTGTCACAGACCTGTTATAATCAATCGTGTGATCGATCCTTACTCTTGCATGCTTTTGTCATATGTGGAATGGTGGTGTAGATTTCTTTTTTTAAAAAATCTTTTATAAACATTTTGGTTTGTGTCTTTCACCTAGGGAATGAAAATCTGCCAAATCTAACACTCACCTGAACAAAACAAAATGAAACAAATCTGCTCGTTAAAATTTTCTTTGCATAGAAGGTATTCAGGTTGTGTTTTGACCTCTGTCACTGCAGCACTATTTATAACAAATGTCTACCCTTGCCTCCCAAATGAGTTCACAGGCTTCATGAAGTCCTCAGCTACCCCTCTGTTGTCAAAGTCTGACTTCCTTTCCCTTGCTCAACACACTGATTTCGGCTCTCCCATTGCACGGAAATGCTGACCTTGGAGCCAAGACAACTGGGCTAAAGCCTTGTCACCACTGGGTAGCTGGGAGGATATCGGCAGGCTAGTTCCTGCATTAAGAAAATGAGGATAGTAATTTCCACCTTACAGGACTATAACAGTAGAATAAGATAATTGATATGAAAGGGCTTTGAAAATCACAAAGTTGGAATTGTAGGATTAGTTCCAAGTCTTTAAGTTTCTACCAAAGGATGTTATAGATAATGTAGATCCTATCTATATTACACTTCAAAGATGGAAAAAAATATGCCCCCCACATAATATATTCATCATATATCTGCTCCTGGAGTAAGAAAGGAAAGTGTGTGTGTGTGTGTGTGTGTGTGTGTGTGAGAGAGAGAGAGAGAGAGAGAGAAAGGCTGAAAGCTGCAGATTTCTTTCAGGATCAACCTTGGATAAAGCATATCTTTAGGGCCTTTTGACCCCTCTCTTTTATCTCAGGCCCTAATACCTCAGGCTACTTGACTTACCTGCCCAAATGCTCTACCTCTCCCTCTCCTCACAACCTTGGCTGGCTCAATAGTGCTTTCAGGAAGCTTTTGGTTGGTCCAGAGTCAGATTAGCCTGGAGCTGGTGTGAACCACAGGTTAGGCTAGAAGTGCTTAGTAGTGTCTCAGATCAAATAGGCTTTTATTGCTGTTTTTCTAGTCTTGTGTTTATTCATGGACTTAATGAGTGTGTATGGAGCATCTACTGAGAACTAGGGCCTGTATTAAATTACAGAGTCAGAAACTCAGAGGGTAGAATGTCTTGTTTGACCTGCAAAGGATTTACAGTTTTTCAACTTAGTTGTCAGCATTTAAAGTTTGGAATACTTTATGTTAAAAGATCTGGATTTCTGTCTTTTCTTGAGGTTTTATTGTTTTTAAGAATGGAAATGTCTTATCAAATTAAATTCTATGTGGAGCCTATCTATAGCTGCTCTGGTTGACACTGGCTTTGTTGAGCTGGGTACATCAAGATGAACCTTCCTGGGGACCCTCTTTTTATTCCTTAGTGGGTCACATATTAGGTTAGACTTCCTAGAATGGGTTTCAAGCAGAGAGACATGGTCCTCTTGAGAGGGCTCCTCTAGGGTGGGGCAGAGGTGTTAATCCTCAAGGAGGACATTATTCTCACCCAGGGTAAGAGCAGCAGCATGGGCTGGTAAGTGAGTGCAGAGGGACTGACTGAGAATCCAGATTGACAAGATGGGGGCCAACAAATACCATTAACCAGGTGGATTAGGGAAGGACCACAGTACAGTGGTTAAGACCTGCGGCTTCAGAGTCACACTGGCTGAGTTTGAGTGGCCACTTAAGGAATAACCTTGGGCAAATGTCTGTGCTCAATTTGTTCATATATAAATTGAAGATCACAACAGTGCTGACCTCATAGTTGTTAAGAGGTGGTTGTAAATGGGCTAGTGCATGTAAAATGCTTACGAGAGTGCTGGGAAGGTAGAAAGGGCTCAATAAATGTTATCTACCATCAACCAAAGCGGGTGATTTGTAGTCACAGGAGATCAAAATAAACCAGGCCTCCAGCTGTGGCCAGGCTGAGATGAGTGGGCACCCTGGACCAGCTACTTCTCTGGTACCCTTCTTTTTTAGATGGAGTCTTGCTCTCTCCCAGAGGCTGGTGTGCAGTGGCACAATCTCGGCTCACAGCAACTTCCACCTCCCTGGTTCAAGCAATTCCCCTGCCTCAGCCTCCTGAGTAGCTGGGATTACAGGTGTATACCACCATGCCTGGCTTTTTTTTTTTTAATTTTAGTAGAAATGAGGTTTTACCATGTTGGCCAGACTGGTCTCGAACTCCTGACCTCAGGCAATCCACCTGCCTCGGCCTCCCAAAGTGCTGGGATTACAGGCATGAGCCACCGCGCTTGGCCTCTGATACCCTTCTTAAGTATTTATTCTTTATGTTGATTAAACATTTGCTCATTCTTCAGTGCAATGGTTGAGTGATTCCGGGAGAAGATCACTGATGGCTGTGCCCAATGCTGAAATCTGTGTGAGGCTGGGAGCCTTGGGAGCTTCTGCATGTTAGCTGACATGTACCTTTCAGGAGTGTGTGCCTGAGATCACAGAACCTCAAACTAACACATGCCCCTTTTTAACTTCTAAACTGTGTACATACCTCTTGAAGAATGTTTTACACATAAAATGAAAAGGGGAATGTATTGCATCATTTGTGCTATTTGGTGCAGACCCATCCTAGGGGAACCTCTGGCCAGAGAACAGGTCTGGGGAAGGGATCTTGACTGGGACCAGGGAAGATCTTGTTTGCAGGCTGGTTACACTGATGTTGTATGCACCGAGTGCCAGGGGCTGGGATTCTGAGTCCAGCAGCTCCTACTGCAAATGACCACTGTGGGCTATTCACATACTGGGCATCTGAGGCAAGCCTGAACCTACGTTAAATGATTCTTTTTTGTTTCCTGCCAAGGCACATAGTATCTGGAGAGACAGGCACAGCAGGGAGCTTGCCATGTGATGCTAGCTGTGGCAGGAGCAGGAAGAACCTACGCTTCCAGCTCGAGCAGCAGAGTTCTCCTCCCACCCAGCTTTCCCTGGAGTGAACCCCTCATACCCTCAGCAGAACAGAAGCCCCACAGTGGAGCAGGCCTCTCCATTCTCAGCAGGGCTGATCCATCATACATTGGAGGTTTTGGTCCTCTGATCCCCCAGCGCAAATAGTGGATCTGCCATGCAGTGCTCTCCCTGAGACATGCTGAGACATCTTGCTGTCACACATGATGCTCTCACCATCCTGTTGCATCTCCAGTGATATTTTAGTGCCTCTAGGAGGGCACCATGAGTAACTGAGTGGCAGACCCACCTCGCTGTAATCTCACGGTGCCGTGGAATCAGGTGTGGTGGTTTAGATGGGTTAAAGTTCATGGTTCAGTTTGGACTATGAGGAATCAGATATACATAGAAGCTGGTAACTCTAATACAAATGCCCTTGGGGACCAGGCAGGGAACAACAGTGTATGGCAACAGGCCAGAGAAGGATGGAGCTCAAGGAACTGAAACCGTGTCCTCCCTGCCGGAAGGCATTCCAGGTACAAACGTTCTAAACTGCTGTGTGGAGCATGCAGTCTTAGATCTCTTCACTAGGGGGTTAACAGAGCTCCAGCAACAAAATTAGAATATTATCCTGGCTTCCATGTGGACTCTGCTCCTTCTCAGAGCTTGATGAGCCTGAAGCTGAGGATGATGCCTGGCTGGGTGGAATGGCCAGTGAGAGGCCTTTCAAGCCACACTGTGGTCCTTGGTAAACTCTGTCCTTCTCAGGTGCTGATGCCTCATCTCAGTGTGTTGTGTTGGCTCCTTCAGGGGCACTTGTATTTCACCAAAGGACATCTAAAGAGGGAAGTCTAAACATGGGAGTGGCTGTCATGGGAGAATTCTGGGCCTCACGGCAGATCCCCAGGTGAAATCTTTCGAGGGAGGGGTGTTCCCATCTCTTTGGTCATCCAATAAGGATGGCAACGTGAAAGCCACAAAGAACTCTTGTGTGTGACCGTCGGAGGATCCTTTCGGGCCACTGTGTTCCTGTAGCTAGAGAATGCCAAGTCATGAGCCCTCAAAAGAGGGCTTTCTCATTTCCCTCTTCCTTTCCCTTTGAAATAATTTACATTGATCACCCGCTGAAAACAAACAAAAAACCCAACTTACAAAATATCTCTGTACTGAGAACCTGTGAGCAGGAGAAACTTCAGGCATCCAGGAGCTCAAGGAAGTGACTGTGGGGCGCTTCTCTGTCCCACGGGATGAGAGAGCGGAGCAGAGTCTACCAGGCCTCAGCAGGGCATAACGTGTCCTCTCCTGGCGTGTTGAGAAGATATTTGAATAATCTAATAATCAAAATGGTAACCTTGAAGTAAACCCCAAATTATAAAATTTCCTGAAAATATAGAAATTAAATCAGTTTTAGTATTCATTGTAACTCGAGGGAATAAATGAACAATTGGTTATCCATCTGTATCGAATGATGTTAGCCATTCCATTGAACAAATGAAAATGAGTGTATGTTGAATGAACAGATTGATTCCTTTAACTATTATGGGCCGCTTCTGTGTTTTACATTTAGCTGGAAGATACTTTTGGATTTACTGAAATTCAGGTGGCCAGACCTGACAACTATTTTTTTTTTTGAATCCTCTAAAATTCTGACCAATCTCTGCAAAAACTTCATGTGAAAGTGCATTCTGATGACAGGCGATAGGTCACTTTTCTTTGGAGGGATATTTGCATGGATGGCGAAGTCACCCAAAGGAGCAGCAATACCCAGGGAAGGATTAGAGAGAGCCTCTGGCCTCTGGAATGCTCTTTCCACTTTGCTATTAGCAGATTGTAAAATGGTCTCACTTTTTCCTTCACAATGCAGAAAGAAAGCAAACTCTCGTATCCCTGCCTGGCCCTGTGCAGCCCTGTGATTTCAGGCTGTGCTGGAGGAGACCTCAGCGGCGGTATCTGGTGGTTTAGTTATTCACATGTGTGCTGTGCTTTCCCCACCGCAGGCCGAGTACAGATGCTGCCCCAGGCGGTGTGCCTGCTGCATGCGCTGCTGGAGAAGGGACACATCGTGTACGTGCACTGCAACGCTGGGGTGGGCCGCTCCACCGCGGCTGTCTGCGGCTGGCTCCAGTATGTGATGGGCTGGAATCTGAGGAAGGTGCAGTATTTCCTCATGGCCAAGAGGCCGGCTGTCTACATTGACGAAGAGGCCTTGGCCCGGGCACAAGAAGATTTTTTCCAGAAATTTGGGAAGGTTCGTTCTTCTGTGTGTAGCCTGTAGCTGGTCAGCCTGCTTCTGCCCCCTCCTGATTTCCCTAAGGAGCCTGGGATGATGTTGGTCAAATGACCTAGAAACAAGGATTCTACCTGAACTGAAAGGACTGTGTGACCTCCCCCAAGCCAACCACTTTCACCTGGGATGACTTTCGATTATGCTTTGTTTTGGGGCTGTATTTTTGAAATACTCTACAAGAAAGCTGTGGCTCAACACATGAGAAGAAGCACGAAGCAGTTAGGCTGTACATCAGACAGAAGGGTAATGCGTGCAGTTCCTGCTGCCTGCAGGCAGACGAGGCCTTTGCTTTACAGCACTGTATGTGTTGCACGATGGATCCGTGACAGCACTTTCCTGTTGCACTGAAACTCTTGGCCATGTAGAGGAAAAGATATGGAGTTATGTGGATTTCATCACTAGTATGTGTGCGTGAGCTGGTCAGTTGCCAAAGGAGGAAATAAGGTTAGAAGCCTGAACCGTTACAAAAGAAGAGCTCACTATGGTCAAAAAGTGATGGCTTTCAGGACTTGTTTTTTATCCTGCCTCACAGTTGTTAAAGTCTGTTCCAAGGCATCACCTTCCTTCTCTACCCAACAACCCTGTGTAACAACTAAAGTAGAATTATCTCTCATTTGTTGTTGTTTTTCCTCAAAATTACCAAACAAAGCAAAAAATACCCTTGTTTTTTATAGTTGAGATGTCAAGAAGTTAAATTGAGGCTTAATGAGCATAGGTAGCTTGTCCAAGGTCTCATGACCAGTCAAGGGCAAGCTGGAGTTAATAATCTATATTTATTTGACTCAGCACTGTTTTCATCACAACTTGTTTTCCCAGCATCATGTAGTGCATTTAGTTTTGTCTTTCTCAGGGTATAGTCAATATGCCTGCAGGAGTTTCTATAGCGAGACATAGAATAGTATTCTGATCAGTTGCCAAAGAATCTAGGAAATTAGTTGTATTTTGTGCAAGCTAATTTAAAAACATGATGGGCTGTTTTAAGACCAGAGTGGAAATTCATGAGAGGAACTATACTACCAAAAGAGCCCAAATGACCAAATCCATGGATAATTGCTTCACAGCCTTGGCCATCCTGGCTCAGCTCTCAATTTAGTATAATATGCAGTTCCTGTGCCTCCAGACTATGCAGCTCATCACCCTAGGTTCTACAGGAAATACAGAGATGAACAACTTTGCCTTCAAAAATGTGCTGCCTAGAAACAGACCTGCATTCAACCAACTGTAATGCAGGATTGGACCATGAATGATATGCTAGAATAGAAGAAAGAGAAGTGTTTTTTTAATTGAGAGCCTCTATGTGCAAGGTGATATATAATCATATCCAGTTTAATCTTCACAATATCCAATGAAGAAGGTCTCATTATCTCCATGATAAAGATGGGGAAACTAAGGTCAGAAGGGTTAACTCAACTGTCTATTGTCACATGATGAATAAATAGATGAAGTGAGATACAAAGCTGGGTTTGATTCAAAGCCCTTACTTTCCTAATTAAACTATGATGCGTATTTATTTTTCTGCACCTTCCTTTCTTCCACAAACACATATTGATAGATGCAAGAGACTCTTATTTAGAAGGCGTGGGGGACAAGAAGGATACAAGGTAAGTTTCAGTGGAGCTCAGAGGACGGGGAGATAGAACTGTGGCACTTAGGGGAGATGACATTTGCTTTGGGCAGAGGCAGCTAGCCAGGACACATTTCCACTATAATTTTACAAAGTTAAATTTATAAGCTAGCATTAAGTAAAGTGAAGTCCAGCTCCCTTGCTAAAAATAACTAGAGGTAATAATTGGTATTCAGGTAACTCATTTACAGTCATAATGTGTTGTGAAAATTTAATCTTAAAAATTAAATTTTTAAACTATGTGGGTCTGTGAATTTCTTTAATGTCTAAGAAATCCAGCTTCATAATTTCCATGATACAAAGATCTTTTTTCAGGTGGATTTTTACCTTTGTTCCTTTTGCTCTGATAGACAAAATCAGTTTAGGACTATTAAAGAATGTTTTGGAATAAACTGTCTTTTTCCTCAATGAATGGGATGTCTAATGTATTTCAAAATCACCCAAAACTTTTGGCAAATAAAAGCATTTAAAAAGACCTTTCTGTACAGGATTTTTAAAATGTTATCAGCTTAGTCTGAAATCTAGAAGGACAAATTTTGTTTCCTTATTTGTAAAGGGGGCAATCCACTGAGCTAAATTGTTTATTTTTCTTGTCACTCTTCCTCTTTCAATTAAACGATCAAAATTGGCAGTTACATGATAAAGGAAGTCAAAGGTGAAGGACCACAGAGAAGTGAGGATGAAAACTTAGAGTGTGTCTGAGAAAATCAAAGCAGATATTATGCCATTAGCTGCTTGTCACTGGTGTTTAACAAAACTTTTCAATCACGGATTTCTCAAAGGCAATCATGAGAAGATCTCATTCATGGTGAAGGAAAGTCTGAATGAGGTGGTTTTCTTTCAGACTTGAAACATTATCTTTCTATCATTCTGCTTGCCAGCATTAGGAAAAATGTAAAACACAACACAAAACACTCTCTTTTGACCATCATTAAGGTGTGGTAAAAATCACTTGGCTTGGTGTAAGAAATAATGATGAAAAATGTGGTTAAGACTTTGGAAATGATAAGAAAGTAATGAAAGGAGAGATTTGAAAGTGAGTTAGGAAATAGGAAATGAAATGGAACTTGCCACACATGAAAAATCACTGAAGAGCTAAACGCAGAATCAGTTGGATCAGAAGTTAAAGCTGAAAGTGTCTTTAGAAATAATCTCATTTAATGCCTTTATTTTACAGAGGAGCAAACAGACCCACAGACATCAAATGACTTTTTCCTATTGCAAAGAGTTGTAACTGGGACCAAAGGTAAAGGATAAGTCAGGAAGAAAGGTTCGGAGATTTATTGTGATATTGAGATGTCATAGGAGAATTAATGGGAATGAGAGCAGACAGTATTGTTAGTGGGTAAGAAGTGGTGCAAGGATTAATAAAAATTGTAGTAAGAGGAAGAAAAATGGCTAAAATGAGAAAAAGCAAAGACCAGTGTCTTTTCCAAAAGAAGAAAAGGCAGGTGTTTTCTGTGGTGGTGAGAGCGAGAAGGTGTGACTGTAGAAGCAGAGGGGGAGATTCAAGGTTATGTGCCTGGGAAAGAGATGTGCTGTGTCCACTTATTTGTCTGTGGGACTAGATCGCAGTAGGAAAAGGGAGCAGCTAGATGTAACGTGCTGATCAAATCATGGCATAGGTGTGCCGTCACTGAGTACCTGCTAGAAAAAGAAGAAAACTGATAGAAGATGAGACTGAGAATAAAGGGGAAAGGATTGATGACACTACCCTCATTATAGCAATAATGACAATAATAAGAAAGAGGAAGAACAACCATAACAACAACTCTGTTCTTTGCTTCTCTAAGTCGTTGCTCTGAAAGTCTTCCCTGATTCCATTAATGGAAATACACTTGCAGCTGCTCAGGACCCAAACCTCAGTGTCATCCTTGACTCCTCTCTTTATTTCAAATGTCACATTCAAATCATCCAGAAATTCTGTTAAAGCATCTATAGCATCTGTGTTTTTCCTCCTTTACTGAACAACCCTGGTCAGAGCCAATGTGATCCCAAGACTACATTTCAGAAATGGTCTTCTACTTGGTCTCCCTGTTTCTGGCCTTCCCTCCCAGCCCCTTCCTCTATCAAAACTACTCTCACATAGTGGTCAGGATGCTTTGATAAAAATGTAACTCAGGCCTTGTCACTCCTGTGTTTAAAAGCTCCAATGACTCTCACGTCACTCAAGGTAAAAGTCAAAGCCCTTTGAGGTCCTGTACAATCTGGTCACCTGTTACCTCCTGACCACATCTCCTACTTACTGCCTTCCACCTCTCTCACTCTGCTCTAGCCATACTGGCCCTCTTGCTGTTCTTTGACTATTCCAGGCAGGCTCTGGCCTCAGGGCACTTGCTCCTGCTGTTCTCTTTACCTGGAATGCTGCTACTCCAGGTATGCACATGGCTCACTCTTCTCCCTCCTTCAGTGATGCCTCCCTGGACTACCCTATAAAAGATGGCCTGATCCAATCTCAGCCTTCCCAATCCACAGTCTCTGCTTTATTTTTCTTCATAGAACTTATTAATGGCCTACATATTACATAAGTTACTTATTTTATTTTCTATATGCTGTCACTGCAATGTAAGCTTCACTGCATTATAAAGGCAGAAATTTATATCTGTTTTGTTTTGTTCGGTGATGTACCTGGAGTGCCTATAACAGAGCCTGACATAGTTAAATGAGTGAAGGACAAGAGTAGCTAATAACCATTGAGAGCATACAATGTTATAGGTATTGTCTAAGTGCTTCACATGTATCAGTCTACCTTATCATTCCAAAATTGCTAGGGGATATTATCCCTGTTTTACAAATAAGGAAACTAAAGGATAGAGAGAAGGTGAACTTATTCTGAGGCAAGTAAAGATAGTTTTACTTCTGATTTGGTGGAATAAGCTCTTAATGAACCACCCATTATAATCTCTGTTCACAGTACATCTGTTTGCTGGGGCAGCCATAATAATGTACCACAGACTAGGAGGCTTAAGCAACAGAAATTTTTTCCTGGCATGGATCTGGAGTGTAGAAGTTGGAGATGAAAGGGTGAGCAGCGCCAGTTCCTCCTGAGGGCTGCGAGGGAGAATGTGTTCCATGCCGCTATTCTAGCTTCTGGTGGTTTGCCAGCAACCTTTGACGTTTCTTGGTTTGTAGAAGCATCACCTTGTTCTCTGCCTTCATCTTCACATGGTATTCTCCCAGTATGGGAGTCTGTGTCTAAATTTCCCATTTCTACAAGGATGGCAGCCACATTGAATTGGGCCCACTCGACTCTAATATGGCCTCTTCTTAACTAATTATATCTGTGATCACCTGATTTCTGAATAAGGTCACATTCTGAAGTAATGGAGGTTATGACTTCAACATTTGAATTTGAGGGAAACACAAATCAATGGACAACACTACAGAAAACAACTACCTGAAGGCTAGAGAGAGTGAAAGAAACCAGGCAGATTGGAGGGGAGTGGAAATGTGAAAAAAGGGACCAGATTGGGTTGAGTTTCCCATTTACAGGTTTAGCTTGTAAAAGAGAACTATTGAAAGAGTAGTCAGAGACAGACAGAAAACTGGGGCCATTCAAATAAAAGACAGGATGAATTCCTGTACTGTTGTTATATCAGGCATTATACCAACATTACTAAAGGACATATTTTAATAATATAAAAATGAAAATGATTGCTGTCCTCAAAAATCACTCCAAAATAGGTTAAGACTTAAGCATGAGTCCTGAAACAGTAGAACTCCTAGAAGAAAATATAGTGGAAGAACTTCTTGACATTGGTCTCAGCTATGATTTTTTTAGATGTGAAACTGAAAGCACAGGCAACAAAAGCAAAAATAAGCAAGTGGAAGTGCATCAAACTAAAAGGTTTCTGCACAGTAACAGAAACAAGAAAACAAATGAAAAGGCAACCTACACAATGGAATATTTGCAAACCATAATATGTCTGATAAGGAGTTAATATCCAAATGCATAAGGAACCCAAACACGTCACAAGCAAAAGAACAAATAACTCAATCTAAAAATGGGCACAGGACCTGAAAAGACATTTCTCCAAAGAAGACATACAAATGGCTAAGAGGTATATGAAAAGGTGCTCAGCATCATTAATCATTAGGGAAATACTGTTTAAAACCACAATGAGATATCAACCTCACACCTGTTAGGATGTAAAAAAAAAAAAAAGCAAGAGATAGTAAATGTTGGCAAGGGTGTGTGGAGAAAAGGGAATCCTTGCACAGTCTTGGTGAGAATGTAAATCAGTACAGCCGTTATGGAAAACAATATGGAGTTTTCTAAAAAAATTAAACCTATAACTTCCATTTAATTCAGCAGTCTCACTTCTGGGTATATATCCAAAGTAAATAAAATCAGTATCTTGAAGAAATTTCTGCACTTCCATGTTCATTGCAGCATTATTTGTGATAGTCAAGTATGGTAACTAAGTATCCAATGACAGATGAATGAATAAAGACAATGTGGTGGATATATAAACAGTGGAATATTATTCAGCCTTAAACAGAAGGAAATCTCATCATTTGCAACAACAGCGTTAAAACTTGAGGACCTTGTGCTAAGTAAAATAAGCCAGGCACAGAAAGACAAATACTTCATAATCTCATTTATATGTGGAATCTTTAAAAAGCCAAATTCATGTAACAGTGAATAAAATGGTAGTTACCAGGGGCTGAGAAGTTGGAGGAAAGAGGAGATGTTGGTCAAATGGTACAAACCTTTAGTTTTAAGATGAATAAGTCCTGGAGACCTAATTAATTACAACATGATGATGACAATAATAATGTATTGTATACTTGAAATTTGCTAAGAACACAGTAGATCACAAGTGTCCTCACCATAAAAAAGGGAGGTATATGAGATAATGGATATGTTAATTAGCTTGATTGTGGTAATCATTTCCCAATGTATGTATAATTGTACACCCTAAATAATACAATATTTGACAGTTATACCTCAATAAGGCTGAAAAAATTGCTGTTATTTAAAAACTGAACAATATGCAATTACTATTAAATGAACTAGTATGGCACCAGAATGGTGTGGATTATAAAGGAGAAAATTAGCAGAAACTAGACAGTGAAAGAATGGAGAGCTGGACCTTGAACAGAACAGGTCATTGTCATTACCATACTTATCAAGACTTTATCAATTTCTAGTGAGAGAAAACTCAGAATTCACTGAATAGAATTTACTGTTCGCTGTATATAAAATGGTTAAAAGTGGAATTATATATTTTTATTTGATAGAAATCCTTATTGCTGCCTTCTTAATATTAAATGACTAATCTAAAGATGGAAATAAGGCCTAAACCAGTGGTCTCCAACCCCTGTGGCTCAGTTCCTAACAGGCCACAGTAGTGGTCCATGGCCTGTTAGGAACCGGGCCACACAGCAGGAAGTGAGTGGCAGGTCAGTGAGCTTTACTGCCTGAGCTCTGCCTCCTGTCAGATCAGCAGCGGCATCAGATTGTCAGCGGATTGTGAACTGTATTGTGAACTGCACATGCGAGGGATCTAGGTTGCACGCTCCTTATGAGAATCTATCTAATGCACGATGATCTGAGGTGGAACAGTGTCATCCCAAAACCATACTCCCCTCGCCTCCCTGTCCATGGAAAAAATGTCTTTCACAAAACTGGTCCCTGGTTCCAAAAAGGTTGGGGACCACTGGTCTAAACAATTTCAGAGATTTTACACCCATAGTGGATAAACAAAGTGAGTATCCCTCATTCTTTATAGACTGGTGTTTAAACGATGCTAATTACTGCTCAGCACCTCATATGTTTCAGGGGCTTAAGCCATGTTTATATGTTAGGATTTCTGATAATATTTAGACCTGTTTGCATTTGTTCATTTTTTTATTTCAAAAATGTTTTGACCTTTTCTATGTGTCTCTTCTTGCTTTTTATTTTTTATAATTATGTCTTCCTCCTTACAACGGAGAACTTTAACACTGACTTATGCTCACTGGTATTTATACTTCCTTCATGTTGACATGATTACAACTATAATTATGAGTTGTTTTAGATATACTTCCTCTTTTTCTTTTTGTGTTCTTAAATTTTTTTTTTAATTGTGAGGAAGGCAAAAAAGAAATGTTGGTGGGGACATAATCTTCATTGCCGGACAGACCTATGATTACCACTCCACCCCATTTCTAGCTTTCTTAACTATCCTAGATTCCATTACTACTGAGAATTTAAGCCCAGTTACTCTCAAGGTTCCAGTGAGCTTATGAGTGCCCAGCTCTCCTGCAGTACTGCATCCCCTCATAAGGTATTCTGAGTCACATCTTCCTTTGCTTTCCATCAGCTCACTTCCAAAATCATTCTATCATCCTGAGCTATCTTATCTGCTAGTAATCCTTCTTAACTGCCTCTTCATTGTTGCAGGTGAATTTCTGTCTTCAGATTTTATATTGTAATTTCCATTCAGATGTCAGGAGGAGTAGTGTGTTTGCCAGTTTAAACCAGAATTTTCTCAATCATCGTCTATAGTAATGATATCCAAATCTCAATCCCCATTCCACTGCTTTCTTCTGAGTACAAGGCTTATATATCAATTTGTTTCAAAACATCTTTCAGAATATCTCCCAAACTCAATATTCCCCAATTTTTTTTTTTTGCCAGACCTCCCATACTTTCTCTGTTGAGCAGACACTGGCAACATCTTCCCCTAATTTCCCAAGTTAGAAACTTGAATGCCATCTTTGCCATCTCTCCTCCATTTACCACCCTCCTAACCATTTGACAAATTACTTTCATTATGCTTCCTAAATATCTCTTAAATATAACTACTCCCCTCTGTCCACGCTGACCTGGATTGTTAAAGCTTCCTGGCTTATCTTCCTCTTGTAATCCTTACCCCTTTCAAGATCATTCTTGACACTGCTGCCTGAGAGACCTTTCTACTTCAAATATACTACTGTCTCTTTCTTGCTCAATATTCCTCAATGGCTCCTCGTTTTTCTCAGAAAAAAGTAAAAAATCCTTAACGTGACATTGTATTAGTCTGTTCTCACACTGCTAATAAAGACATACCTGAGACTGGGTAATTTATAAAGGAAAGAGGTTTAATTGACTCACAGTTTAGCATGGCCTGGGAGGCCTAAGGAAACTTATGATCATCGCAGAAGGAGAAGCAAACACCACCTTCTTCACATAGCAGCAGGAAGGAGAAGTGCTGAGCAAAAGGGGGAAAAGCCTTGTATCAAACCATCAGATCTCATGAGAACTCACTATCATGAGAACAACATGAGGATGACCACTGCCATGATTAAATTACCTCCCACTGGGTTTCTCCCATGACACATGGGGATTATGGGAACTACAATTCAAGATGAGATTTGGGTGGGGACACAACCAAACCATATCAGACATATGAGGGTCTTTACGATTTGTACTGTGTCCTTCTCTCCAATCTCTGTTGTCATTCTTATAACCATCTCCCAAAAGTGCTTGTTAGCCACAGTGAATTGCTTAAAGGTTCAACAATCTTTTGTATCCTTGGGGTTTTGCACATATTTTTTCCTCTGCCTGGAATCCTCTTCCCTCCTATCTATATCTGGTGAGCATCAACTCATCCTTTGGGTCTTTGAAGACACCCTCTCTGAGGCATCTTCATGAGTCCTCAAGGGTGCTTCTTCCAGGCATTTTCATAGAACCCCTCTTAATGTGCTGTACTATAACATGAGCTATAACATCATTAGGTAGAAACTGTAAACAGTGCTTGGCAAACAGGCTTTGGCCCATTCTATGACAGTTAAGCCAGGTACTCTTTGGATTCTGTGTTCAGATCTAATGTGTATTTTATTATGTTTTTTAATTAAAAAAATTTTTTTTGAGACAGGATCTTGCTTTGTCATCCAGGTTGGAGTACAGTGGTGCGATAACAGCTCATTGCAGCCTCTACCTTCCTGGGCTCAAGTGAGCCTCCCACCTCAGCTTCTTGAGTATCTGGGACTACCGGTGTTTGCCATCATACTAGGCTAATTTTTAAAAGTTTGTTCTAAAGATGGGGGTCTCACTATGTCACCCAGGCTGGTCTCAAACTCCTGGGATTAAGTGACACTCCTGCCTTGGTCTCCCAAAGTGTTGGCATTACAGGCATGAGCCACAGCACCAGGCCAGATCTAATGTATATTTCAATCTAAGAGAAATGTGAAGAAAATATTAAATGAGAACTTTAGTTTCCTGTAAGTCAATGAATGGGGTAATTTATTCAATGAAAGTACTATCAGTATCTTCATTTTGTGCCTTATTTTGTTTTAAGCATTTTAATAACGATTTCTCTTTCTATATAATACTAGTATTTAGTTATATTAAAGCAGAGTAACATCCTATAAAATATTGTGTTTTTAGCCTATCCTCTTTGTATTAGTCTGTGTTCATGCTGCTGATAAAGACATAATTGAGACTCGGTTATTTACACAGGAGGAAGGGATTTAATGGACTTACAGTTCCATGTGGCTGGGAAGGCCTCATAATCATGCTGGAAGGTGAACGGCACATCTCATATGGTAGCAGACAAGAGAAGAAGAAAACTTGTGCAGGGAAACTCCCCTTTTTAAAATCATCAGATCTTGTGAGACTTATTCACTATCATGAAGACAGCACAGAAAAGACCTGCCCCCATGATTCAGTTACCTCCTATTGGGTTCCTTCCACAACATGTGGCAATTCAAGATGAAATTTGGGTAGGGACACAGCCAATCCATATCATTCCACCCCTGACCCCTCCCAAATCTCACATCCTTATATTTCAAAACCAATGATGCCCTCCCAGCAGTCACCCAAAGTCTCAACTCATTTCAGCATTAACTCAAAAGTCCACAGTCCAAAGTCTCATCTGACACCAGGCAAGTTCCTTCCACCTATGAGCCTGTAAAATCAAAAGCAAGTTACTTCCTAGATACAATGGGGGTGCAGGCATTGGGTAAATACAATCATTCCAAATAGGAGACATTGGCCAAATCAAAGGGGCTACAGGCCCCATGCAAGTTCGATACCCAGTGGGACAGTCAAATCTTAAAATTCCAAAATGATCTCCTTTGACTCCATGTCTCATGTCCAGGTCACGCTGATGCAAGAGGTGGGTTCCCATGGCCTTGGGCAGCTCCACCCCTGTGGCTTTGCAGGGTATAGCCCCCCTGCTGGCTGCTTTCATGGGCTGGCATTGAGTATCTGTAGCTTTTCCAGGCACACAGTGCAAGCTGTCAGTGGATCTACCATTCTGGGGTCTGGAGGACTGTGGCCCTCTTCTCACAGCTCCACTAGGCAGTGCCCCAGTAGGGACTCTGAGTAGGTGCTCTGACCCCACATTTCCCTTCCTCGCTGCCCTAGCAGAGGTTCTCCATGAGAGCCCTGCCCCTGCAGCACACCTCTACCTGGGCATCCAAGCATTTCCATGCATCTTCTTAAATCTAGGCAGAGGTTCCCAAACCCCTATTCTTGACTTCTGTGCACTGGCAGGCTCAACACCACGTGGAAGCTGCCAAGGCTTGAGGCTTGCTCGCTCTGAAGCCATGGCCTGAGCTCTATGTTGGCCCCTTTCAGCCATGGCTGGAACAGCTGGGATGCAGGGCATCACATTTCTAGGCTGCACATAGCATGGGGATCCTGGGCCTGGCCCATGAAACCACTTTTTCATCCTAGGCCTCTGGGCCTGTGATGGGAGGGGCTGCAGTGAAGACCTGACATGCCCTGAAGACATTTTCCCCATTGTCTTGGGTATTCACATTTGGTTCCTCATTACTTATGCAAATTTCTGCAGCTTGCCTAAATTTCTCCTTAGAAAATGGGATTTTCTTTTCTATTGCTTTGTCAGGCTGCAAATTTTCCAAACTTTTATGCTTTGTTTCCCTTTTAAAACTGAATGCCTTTAACAGCACCCGAGTCACATCTTGAATGCTTTGCTTCTTAGAAATTTCTTCTGCCAGATACCCTAAATCATCTCTGTCAAGTTCAAAGTTCCATAAATCTCTCGGGGAGGGGCAAAATGCCACCAATCTCTTTGCTAAAACATAGCAAGAGTCACCTTTACTCCAGATCCCAACAAGTTCCTCATCTCCATGTGAGACCACCTCAGCTTGGATTTCATTGTCCATATCACTATCAGCATTTTGGTCAAAGCCATTCAACAAGTCTCTAGGAAGTTCCAAACTTCCCACATTTTCCTGTCTTCTTCTGAGCCCTCCAAACTGTTCCAGCCCCTGCCTGTTACCCAGATCCAAAGTTGCTTCCTCATTTTCAGGTATTTACAGCAGCACCCCACTCTACCGTACTAATACTGTAAATTGGTACCCCAATTTACTGTATTAGTCTGTTTTCGTGCTGTTAATAAAGACATACCCGAGACTGAGTAATTTATACAGGAAAAAGGGTTTTAATGGACTTACAGTTCCATGTGGCTGGGAGGGCCTCACAATCATGGCAGAAGGTGAAGGGCATGTCTCACATGACAGCAGACAAGAGAAGAGGGTTTATGGAGAGAAAATCCCCTTTTGTAAAACCATCAGATCTTGTGAGACTTATTCACTATTATCATGAGAACAGCACAGGAAAGATCTGCCCCCATGATTCAGTTACCTCCCACTGGGTTCCTCCCACAACATGTGGGAATTCAAGATGAGATTTGGGTGGGGACACAGCTAAACCATATCATGCTTGCTGAAAATTGCATGTATTCAACCCTGTTTTGGCTTGCCATCATGGGCTAATACCGATGGCCATAAAAAATAATAACCCTATGAAAGACATTGCTTGCTGTGTGTACTAAGTACACAGGGATGCCTTGTTTGACTGTGCTTCCCTTTATTGTGCTTCACAGATACTGTGTTTTCTATAAATTAAAGGTTTGTGGCAACCATGCATCAATAAAATCCACTGGAGACATTTTTCTAACAGCATGTACTCACTTTGTGTCTACACTTTTGCAATTCTCACAATATTTCAAATTTCATTATTATTCTATCTACTATGGTGATTTGTGATCTGTGATGTTTGATGTTGGTATTGTAATTGCTTTGGGGTGCCATGAACTGTGCCTGTATAAGACAGCAAACTTAATTGATAGATGTTGTGCAGTTGTGACTGCCCCACTGACTTGCCATTTCCTCATCTCCCTCTCCTTAGGCCTCCCTATTCCTTAAGACACAACAATCCTGAAATTAAGCCAGTTAATAACTCTGCAATACCCTCTAAGTGCTCAAGTGAGATGAAGAGTTGCATGTCTCTTACTTTAAATTAAAAGCTAGAAATGATTGAGCTTAGTGAGGAAGACATTTTGAAAGCCGAGGTCAGCTGAAAGCTAGGCCTTTTGTGCCAAACAGCCAAGTTGTTAAGTGCAAATAAAAGGTTCTTGAAGGAAATTAGAAGTGTTACTCCAGCAAATACACAGATATAGTAAGAAGGCAAAACAGTCTTATTACTGATATGGAGAAAGTTTTAGTGGTCTAGATGGATCAAACCAGCCACAACACTTTCTCTTAAGTCAAAGCCTAATCCAGAGCAAAGCCCTAACTCTCTTCAATTTTATGATGGCTGAGAAAGGCGAGGAGGTTGGAGAAGAAGTTTGAAGCTAGCAGAGGTTGGTTGATGAGGTTTAAAGAAATAAGTTGTCTCCATAAAATAAAAGTACAAGGTGAAACAGCAAGTGCTGATATAGCAGCTGCGGCAAGTTATCCGGAAGACCTAGCTAAGATCATTGGTGAAGGCAGGTACACTAAACAACAGATTTTCAATGTAAACAAAACAGCCTTCTATTAGAAGAAGATGCCATTTAAGACTTTCATAGCTAAAGAGGAGATGTCAATGCCTGGCTTCAAATCTTTAAAGGACAGTTTGCCTCTCTTGTCAGGTGCTACTGTAGCTGGTGACTTTAAGTTGAAGCCAGATGCTCATTAATCATTATGAAGACCCTAAGGTCCTTAAGAATTATGCTAAATCTTATCTGCCTGTGCTCTATAAATAAAACAACAAATCTTGGAGGACAGTACATCTCTTTACAATATGGTTTACTGAGTATATTAACACCAGTGTTGAGACCTACTGCTCAGAAAAAAAATCTCTTTCCAAATACAAATGCTTATTGACAAGATACCTGCTCACCCAAAGGTTTTGATAAATATGTCTAGGGAGATTTATGTTGTTTTTATGCCTGCCAACACGACATTCATTCTGTAATCCATGGATTAATGAGTAATTTTGACCCTTAAGTCTTATTATTTAAGGAATATTTCAAAAAGCTGTAACTTCCATAGTGATTCCTCTTGATGGATCTAGGCAAAGAAAATTGAAAATCTTCTTGAAAAGATTCATCATCCTAGATGCCATTAAGAACATTTATGATTCATAGGTGGAGGTAAAAATGTCAGCAAAAGGAGTTTGGTAGAAGTTGATTTCAACCATCCTGAATGACTTTGAGGGATTCAAGACTTCAGTAAAGGAAGTAACTGCAGATATGCTAGATAATGGCAAGAGAACTGGAAACAGTAGTGGAGTCCGAAGATGTGACTGAATAGCTGAAATATCATGATAAAACTTGAACAGATGAGAAGTTGCTTTTTATGAATGAACAAATAAAGTGGTTTCCTGCGATGTTAACAACTAGTGGAGATGCCGTGAACATTGTGGAAACGACAACAAATGATTTAGAATACTGAATAACTTTAATTAATAAATAATGGCAGGGTTTGAGAGGATTAACTCCAATTTTGAGTTAAGTTCTGCTTTGGGTAAAATGTGATCAAACAGCATCACATGCTACAAAGAAATATTTCATGAAAGGAAGAGTCAATGGATATGGCAAACTTCATTATTGTCTTATTTTATGAAATTGCCACAGCCAGCCCAACATTCAGCAGCTACCATCCTGATCAGTCAGCAGCTGCCACCCTGATCAGTCAGTGCCATCAACATTGAGGCAAGATCCTCCTCCAGCAAAAGATTATGACTTGCTGAAGGTCAGATGATTATCAGCATTTTAGCAATAAAGTATTTTTACTTAAGGTATATATATATATATAAAATACATATATACCTATATATAATATAATATATATAATATATATAAATAATATTGTACTCTTAATAGATAACAATGAATATAAACATAGCTTTTATAAGCATTGAGAAATGAAAAAAAATTGTGTGACTTGCTTTATTGTGATACTGACTTTATTGCAGTGGTCTGGCACCAAATCTGCAGTATCTCTGAGGTTTGCCTGTGTTGTTGATTGTATTACATTTCACAGTATTCTCCCAGTGAATGACCTCATGAAAGAAATTGTTTTCTGGCCAAAGAATAAAGCATAATTGTTATTCTTGAGCAAATAAAAAAGATAATTTGTGTTACCATGAGGCTTACAAGTAATTATTTTCTTCTTCCCACCAGCAACTAAGATTATGAGTGCATGTTTTTTGAACAAACTTTACTCTTTTCTCTGCTTTGTATTTCTACCCATTTTACCCATTTATCTGTCTTATTTTAAATTTTCATCCTGAAATATTGTTTGATCCATTATAAAATGCAAAATCTAATTTCTTTAAAAACAGAGATATAAATAAATACGCAAATAAAATTGTTGTCATGTTATAGCACTTGCATAATATAGAAGCTGACATTCATGAATACTAGTAATATAAATGTCAAAAAATGGTGAAATGTCATGAAATATACATGTTTCAGGGTAAAATTCTATCATTTGGAAATTAAGATACTCTAAAAATAGAATTGCCTTTTATTCTTCACCAAATATGCACAAATATTGGAGGATTGTCTCACATCTGTAAAATGTCCCCATGCCTATATGTTGACTTGATTGGTAGATTCTTTTCATCATTAAGCAAGAATAGAGTTCAAGCCATCAACATGGTTTCCCTGCATCTAAAACTTCACAGATGGAGAAGTGTTTTTTTTTCTTCTTCTAGATAATTCAACAACTTGGCTAATTATATTGTCTTTATAATTTAGTATCAATGGAGTAAATAACCAGATGTGACCACCAGTTCTTCTTCCTATATTCTGTTGAACATATAAACAGCTGCAGTTCTCAGAAAGTAATAAATAAAACTTACAACTAAAATATTAAGCAAACTTAGTGACCTGTTACATTTGTCTAAATAGTGGGTTTCTCTCTTCCAGAGAAAATTGCAGACAATGTATTGTTATTACATTGACAATATTTCCTTTGGAAGTTAACAACTGTTAATTTTTTTCTATTTATAGTATATCACTTTCTCTAAAGGTAATAAAATTTGTTGGCCCATTACTTAAAATATTTCTATTCCTATAAACACAGGAAATTTTTGAATATTATTAATCTATTAAGCTGATGAGTGGAAAGTGGAGATGGCTGTCTTTGGAAGGTATTTGATCATTATATATGAAACCAACTAGGCAAAGGAGTCTTGTATATAATTACTGGCAAGCAGAAGTCGAAGTTGTCTAAATAAAATTTGTTTTCTTATCTAGATATTTAAATAGTTCTGAATATTCATGCAAAATAATAAGTGATATAAAACAAAATAAATCTCTTTGCAAGGTGATTTTAAGGTGTCCATAAGCAAACATCTTAGTTTAATTTGAAACATTTGCCAATTTTTTTTCTAGGAATTACTTTCATAAAGATACTTGTCAGTACAGAATATATTTTATCTGTTCGTGGTCTATTTTTTCATATATGCTTTAATTATTGTTTTTAATGACAGAAATAGAGGATAAATAAATTAAATCTAAATCTTAGTCATGAGTTAATTTTCCTGTAGCTCATTATAGAACTGTTATCAAATGTTGCAAAATTAAAAAAGGAAGCAAACTGGTTTAGTAGTAGTTCAAATGAAAATAATTTAGGGCATTTAAATGAGCTAGCCATTTTCTGTTGCTTCCAGAAAGGCTAACAAAATGATGGGTTGATTCCTTACACACAAAAGGATACAGTGAGTGCTCAGGTCCTGATCATCAAAAGTAAAGTGCAAGACTTTTGCTCTGACCACTATTCAATTGAAAGATTACATTAAGTTCTACTCAACAAGTCTGAAGAAGGATATCAATATTTACAAATTAGACAGTGTTCCCAAAAGGATTTCTGATTTCTTCAGAAATGTAGACAGAGAAAACAAGACCTAGAAATCTTTTTGTACTAGTAATTTCACATTTTGAACAACTGTAAACATGCTTACTACCTTCCAGCTTTTGTGCAGAACTTTCACTCACTGAGTACTCACAACGACTTTGTTAAGTGGATGTAATTGTGGAAATACATAGAAAGTAGCTTAGGATGACTAGCATGGAGAAGAGAAGACTATACAAGGAAATAAGAGTCTTTCAATATTTGAAGGATTGCTGTATAAATAAGGCAATTACTTTGTGCTTTTTGCTTTAGAGGGCAGAAGTAAGATTCATGGTTAGGAGTTTTAGAGCGGTAGCTTTTGACTTCTTTTAAGAAGCAACTTTCTAAACAGAGTTGGAAAATTGTTAAATAGATTCCCTTGTGAGATAAGGAGCTTCCTACCACTAAAGGATTTCAAAGCCGAAATTGAAAACTCTCTCCAAATTTTTTTTTTTTTTTTTGAGACGGAGTCTTGCTCTGTCGCCCAGGCTGGAGTGCAGTGGCACGATCTTGGCTCACTGCAACCTCCTCCTCCCGGGTTTAAGCAGTTCTCTGCCTCAGCCTCCTAAGTAGCTGGGATTACAGGCGCGTGCCACCAGGCCCCGCTAATTTTTGTATTTTTAGTAGAGACAGGGTTTCACCATCTTGGCCAGGCTGGTCTTGAACTCCTGACCTCGTGATCCAACTGCCTCGGCCTCCCAAAGTGCTGGGATTACAGGCATGAGCCACTGCGCCTGGCCCAAAAATGTTTTTAAAAGGATTGATAAATGGATGAAAGATTTCATCATATAAATTCCAAGGTCCCTTCCAAAGTAACTGTCTGTTTCCAATTGTTGATTTATGTCAATTCCCAATTTGCTGTTTTTCCTTAAAGGACACCAAAGAACAAGAGGAGAGTCCAAAAGTCCTACCACACTCAAAGAGAAAATTGAATGTTCAATTGGCTCTTGCACTTTCCTAAGAGAAGACAGAGTTAAAAAATGTACAGCTGAACAAGCTGTAACCCTTCTGTAGCTATTCAGGGATTCACATTACGTGTGTAGAAAACACTGGAATAACTTGTCTGAAGTCAAATGGAATGAGCCATGGATAGCTTCTCTAATAAGAACTTCAAAAGAGAAAGGCAGCCATAGCTTGCAGGAGAGAATAAGCCATCTTTCCCACAAGAATCAGCTCCTAAAATAATTTAGAGTTTATGTAACTGTCTTGATTAGGTATAAATTATGATCTTCCCATGTACCTTCCATGTGAAATTTTTACTCACAATTCTTTGTGAACACGTTAAAGTTTAAAACAAACCTGACAAAAATCTTATCTGATGGTAGTAAAACAAATTTAAATTTTGTTAAATTTTTAAGTTTTGTTCATTCCTGGACCCAGTTCCAAGATTATTGGCGGCTGACTTAATTCTATTGGCCATGTTAGATTAGGTATATTCACTGGTCAAGTTCTGCTCTCCTATTTATTTTAACTTTGAGCTCAGCATAGAGTCCGATCAAATTAATTGGCTTAGAGCATTATGTAAGGCAAGTGTATTAGACATGCCAGGATTTTACTATTTCCTTACTCTTCTGACTAAAATACCATCACCTCCTCTCCCACTGGAAGAACTTCCTTCTTTTTACTGTTTCAAAGGACAACAGCTGCTTGCTAAGATGATGTCTTAGCCAAATACATTAAAGACAAGCATTCTTGTGACTATGATCACATTTCTCAAATAAACAATTTCCTGAGTAGTTTTCTATTTTCCCTGCTATTTCATTTCTTCTCTTTGATATAATTTGTTGCCTATTTGGTTAAGTCAGTTCAATATTTGGGTTACTTAGATTATCTGTTGTCTGTCCCAAAGTAGAGGTACTTAGCTTATAATGGGAGCTGGCTCTTAGATGCTCAGTCTGAGAGTAGCTCTTTTTATTTTGCCTTTTTCTCCATGGCATGCTTGCATTGCTGTTCCTTCAGCACAGTGTATGGCTCTTTGAAAATACAGCAAACTTAATCCAGGACCCCCAAACAGCTCTTCTTTTGCATGTCTGTTGTTTAAAAATGGGTTGAACTGACTGTGATTTTTTTTTTCTTTAGTACCACAGTAGAGAGTAGATTGACTAAGGATGAAATAGGAACATTTCTTCTCATTTACCGGGATCTTGAACTGTTTATGACGTGGTATGGGTGAAACAAATGAAAGGGATTACAAAGAAATTTTTCATATGATGAAGTACAGAAAGCAAAAGTCATTCCACAAAATAACATTAAGGGGGAATTAATGAAATAGTTTTTAACATTTAATTCTGATACTGTTTTCTGGCTTTGGAAGGTGTATATGTCTGTGCATGCATGCTTGTGCCTGAAACTGCAGATTGTAATGATCCCTATAAACACTATACTTTTTTCCTATACATCCTATACATACCTATGATAAAGTTTAATTTATAAGTTAGGCACAACAAGAGATTAACAATGATAACCACAAGGAGAAATTAACAATAGCTAATAAGAAAATCGAACAATGATAACAGTATACTGTAATAAAAGTTATGTGAATGTGGTCTCTCTCTCTCGAAATATCTTTTTGTGTGGAAAATTGTATGTAGTATTTTGGGACCATAGATGATTAAAACAATAGAAGGAGACATCACAGCTAAAGAACTGCTGCTGTACTCAGAAACAACAGCCTGAGGGGCAATTGTCAGTGACAGAGTGTTAAGGACAGGAGAGAAACAGCAAGGCAGTAACATGGTAAGCGTTGGCCTCACATGATAGCAAGAGCTTTGAAGTATAAATGTAATTTTCCTTTTACCTGCTCACTCTCTGGATTTTTAGTACCCTGAATACAGGACAGATGGGGATGGCAATTCCATGGCAATGGGAGATGCAAAGAACAGTAACGTATCTCTTTTCCATGTCCTCTGCTCTGCCCCACTGTTGATCAGAGCAGTGGTATCATCATCAGTCTCCTGTTTCAAGCCACAGGCTAGTGTTATTTTTACCTCTTCTGCATTCTTTATTCTGTACATGTACTTTATTGCAAGACCAAATTTCATTTTTGTTTCATCTTTTCCCCTCATACCTCTCCCACTTTTCCCAGACTCCTTGACTTCACCTGCCTTCCAGTTTCCACTGTCATTGTGTGGTCGGCATTGTTTTCTTCACCTATCGTTTTACCCCTTAAAAGGGGCAAAAATTCTTCCTAAAATGCTTTTTCCCATCTGCCGTCAAAGCTTTGCAGTGACTTGTTGCTGATTATGTTCTCCAGAATGCAAAGAGTCACATACTGTACAGCAGAGCCTCATGGAGCAAGCCTGGAACTAAATTTTCTTGGTTTCTATTCTTTGATTCATGAGTCTTTGATCATATTAGACAAATCTGTCCCAAGCTCCCATGATACAGTCATTTGAGTCCAAATGGCAAACCTTTAGGAAAACAGCCTCATAAGCCTTAATTAGATATTTTTTCTCTTTCAAACTGTAAAAAGGTAAACTGAGGTATAAAACTTTAACGAGGTTATTTGAGTAAGCAGTGATTCATGAATTAGGCAGCTTTAAACCAGGAGTGGTTTGGAGGCTCAGCTCAGGTAACACAAGGAGAGGCTTTTATAGGGTGAACATGGAAGTAAAGTCAAGAAAATACTTGATTGGTTATAGTTATACAGTTGCCTTATTTGTCTATTCTGCTGAAAAGCTCCTAAATTATATAAATTACTTGTCAGCTTCTGATTGGTTATCCTTAAGTTTAATTTTTCTTTAATATAGGCATTTACAAGAAATAGCTCAAGTTAAGTTTCACTTATGTTTGCAAATCAAGCAAGACTAAGGTTACTTATGAGGTCTAAGTGGCTTTGTCTGCTCAGAGATTCTCTAGGCCCAGTGTCCATTTTAATTTAATTTAACAAAACAAATCTGCCAAAGTATGTCTCTCCTGTTGTTAAGCTGACACCAAATTTCTGCTCTTCCATGAAACATTTCTAGACTAACCAGAGGGGACCTGCATTTTCCCTTACAGAGTACAGGATTCCTGGTGACTCCCATAATTATATATATTGACGACAACTCAAACTACATGCATAGCTTTTTAAATAGAAAAAGAACATTTAAAATATTCAATAAAAAACTATGAAGCAAATATTCATGTTTTAGCATAGCTCAAATGGATTCTAGTTAGCAACTTAGAAATATTTCCCATTTAAAAGTTTAATACAGTATTTAATATTTAAATGTAAAAATAAATATTATAAACAAAAACAAATATTTAATGTTTAAATATAAAAATTTAATATAAAATGTAAATACATGCTTTTAAAAGCATAAATTTTTTATTTATACCAGGGGACTGAGTATTAATTTTCCTATATGTTAAGAAATACTAGTTGGGAAAAAGAATGAAGATGTCTAGAAAAATAAACAGTTAAGAAATGCCATATTAAATTCTATGTGTGTGCTGACTACAAAAGTTTATGCACAGCGCTGAAGTAGCTGAATAGGGAATACAAGAACCATAGCAATTGTGTTTTTTTTCCTTCATGTGGAGTAAAACTTTTCTGGTTTTGTTTATAAATTTCGTTTTCATTGTTTTTCTCTTTGGTGAAATGTGAAATTGCATAATAATTTAACTTTTGCTAAGGGAATTACCAATTGGTGTAAATAAATTTCCATAGCCAGCCACCTGATTGGAGAAATATGCTATAGGATTAAAGGCTAGGAGTTTAATAGCTAGAATTATATATTATTTCTTTAACAATGAACCCAAGATGCAATGAACATTTCCTGTAGTTTTTTGTTCCCCTACAGTTTCTTCCTAACCTTGTTAAATGTGCCATGATTTGATGTATCATTTTTTGAATTATTTCTACTGAGTCTGAAAGCAGACTTTTAATTTCATCTTAACCATGAATTATTTTTATTTTTGATTTTTAATCTTTTAAAGTTTAATTGGCATAAATGTTAAAATATGATATAAAATTTGATACCAAGGAACCCCATTCCTTTTTTGTATCTGGAAAGCAGTGCTGTAAAATGTGTCTTTCTCTGCTTAAGAATATTCTCTTTTGATTGTTAGATTTCCTAAATTACAGTGAGGTTGGTCTACCTCTGAGCCATTTGCATTCCTTTTTGAGATTTACAGTCAGCACAATCATACTCCTACATTTTCCTGCGATTGAATGTCAGAATCAAGAATTCCAGTGTAGCTCTGTTTCAGACAAGAGAGAAGGATAATGGAACAGCCTAAGCTTGGAAGTACACTGTTGTGTTATAGCATCAGGTACAAGAGTGGCATTGAAAGGGCAGTGCCCACGAGTATATTTTTTACTGTTTCTATAAAAGACAGGAACAGAAAAAAATCCTTTAAATACTCAGGTAAGAACATGCTAAGCCAAAGGATGCTTTAGTTACCAAGTATGGCATGTTATAACTCTTATGGAAATTGTTGTTGGAATTTGAATTGCTGAATAATTGTTGTTGCTGTTGGAAACTCTAAGCTGACTCTCAAAGGAAAATAAAATACAAGTTGGCATTTAAAGGCACTTTCTGACTTTTAGGTATAAGTTTTCTTAAATAAGTAGGCCAAAGGATATACAACCTTTCCCTAGCAAAATTTTAATTTAAAATTGCTTTTCTCTTGCTTTTCCATTAAACAATGATTACCCCTCTCCATTAGATATGTTGGCAGTCTAGGCAGGGTGATCTTTAAAGCTTCATGGTCCCTGTTAGTGTTTTTCAATGTTAGATCTTTTTAGCAAACCATCCACATACCTTATATTTTTCACTCTCACAATTGTTTGAAAAGGGAAATTGGAAATAGCTAGAGGTAATATGCTTTATTCTATTTTTATATTGTTGACTAAGGGACATTTTCTGCATGTCAGTGTGAGAAGAAAATACAGCAGCTACTCTCATTTACCCATTCTCCCCTCAGATTGCCTTCGTTTTCTCTTCTATTTCTTTGAAAGATTCCGATTAACTATTTGATTTATGAAACTTATTCTCAGGCTCTGGAGTAAGTGCCACTAACTACTGTACAGTTTTCAGTAAAGTATTGCTCATTAATTATTTAATTTGGAGATTGCAATAAAACTAAATGGGAGAAAGCTTTCATTTATGGGGAAAACATTATTTCATGTTAATAGACTATTTCAAGATACTTTTCTGTGTCTGGGTTGGATTTTCCAGTGGTGGTTTTTTGCAGACTCAATATAAAATGTGCATTTATAAGAGCCAGTGAAAGCTACAACTGAGTCATTCAAATATACATATGTTTTATTCTTTAGTAGAAATCAAATTTGTTAAAAGTGAGACATACTAAATAGTCAAGGTATCCAAACATCTAATATGTTATTTTTCGAGTATGATATTAAATTCCTGAAAGAAACCTTCAGATCTTTGTATATGGTAATATTATCCAGCAGGCATAATAATATTTCTAAAATTCCCAAGAAGGACAAACTACTTTATTTTCTAAAATAATACACTTACATTTTTGGAATTTTTCCACATGGTCCCAAAAGAGCATAAACTTTTTAATGGCTATTCAAGTTGGCTTCACTGAACAAACATTTTATTGTCTATAAATCTGTTGAGCAAAAATCAAATAATAAACACATTTTCATCCTATGTATTTTAATGAAATTTCTTCCCACATCTTCAAATGTACCCCAAAGGCCTTTTGTTTTCATTTAAATTGTTTAAGATATTGTTAGCATTTTGAGATATGAGAATATATTTTGTATTTAGAATCGTATAACTTTTACATGTTACTGGTAAGTATTCTAAGAGATCATCTCTAGAATAGCTTCTTTACAAATAAAAAAACGTGGACTCTCAAAGAAGTTAAGTAAGCCATTTGGGATTCATGGCAGAGATACTAATTTCCAGTTAATGGCATAGATCAGTTCAATAAACATGTGTTGAGTACTTAACAGGAGATTTTTAGATAGTTCAGAAATAATATTGGCCTTCTAAGAGCTTATAATCTAATAGAGTGTGCAGATGCATAAACAGATAATTTCAATAGAATGTGTTAAATGTGGTAATAATGGTAAGTGCAGGGTACAAATATAAAAGAGGAAAGTAGATTCATTTAATAAGCACTTTCATTTTCTTTCAGTTAACATTTATTGAACACCTGCTACATGCCAGGAGATAAGTACCAGTAACTAAAATAGACATAGTCCCTGATCTCAGGATTCTTAATGTTTTGGAAAACAGATGTCAATTAATCACATAAAAATGTGCAATAAAACTGAAATGAGTGCTTTGAAAGAAAGAATGCAGTTCCAGAGCACATACAAAAGAACCTGATGGGCTCAGGGTTCAGGCAAGAATAACTTCTCATCCAATTACTTTGACAATTTGCAGGTTGAAGGGGTCAGGCTCATTTACTTTAACAGTTTTTTTTTTTTTTAATTTAGAGATAACAGATTCTCTTCTAAGTAGTTTAGTTTGTGCAGAAAAAAGAATTTCATAGGTTTGGGGATGTCACAGCCAGAAATGATGCCCAAGTTGCACCACTGGGCGACCTCAGCAGATGCTGTCATTTCCACTGCCAAGCATAGACATTTCAGAGTGCCCTGCCAACTGGGGCAGAGATGCCAGCATGAAGACTCCTGTTATTCTGTCTCTGGACTTGGGATCTCTCTGGCCACTTCATTGAAATGAATTCTAGGAGGAGCCTTACTTCTTCACAGAGCTGTCTTCCAAAATTGATCTCATGAACAGAGGCAGGATTTCCATGAAGCTACTGAGGCTTATGCTGACTTGCGTGGATTCCTTCCAAAACCTCGGGGGTGGTTCAAGTAATGTATTCCTTTGGGTCACACATTTTTGTAAAATGTGGAAAAGTAAGGTATTCCAATCTCAATAAGTTAAGACTGCTGTTTTCTTCTATTTCAGTTTCCCCTCCGTAACACTTTTTCCTATGTCAGATGGTTTTGAAGTGGCCCCAAGAATTTTTGGAATCTAACAGAAAATGAAATTAGGATACTTACTTAGCATTTAATGGGATATGTTTGTGTAGTTTTGAGGCACTCTGGGAGGAATTAAACTAAACTATTGACAACCATCCTGGTATAGGAATGGCTTCCAGAAAAATTCCTGTTGCCCATGGTACTGAGTACTGACTCATCTGGCATTATGACACAAAGCTGCAGGGCCAGAGGCCATACAATATGAATATGTCTTGTAGGGGCACCACCATAGGTGTGTGGGTAATGGAGGAGAACAAGGATTGAATAGGAAGCTAGTCTGGGGCAAATTCTTCCAGTCATTAGATCTATAATATTGTAAGCAGATGATCTGGTTATCATCAATGTCAAGTCAAAAGGAAAGTTTTCTCTTATTAGATATACACTTCATAATGTGACATGTATAATTATCAATGCAACAAATATATTTTTCTTGTATTGATGGGAATCCATGAACTAGAATGTATTAAGATTAATAAATATTAATAAAGTTGACCTATGGCAGTACTACAAACAGTAAGCACATTTGTGTGTGAATGTTGTATACATCCCAAATAAATAAAAAACAAATATTGATCTAACTTATCAATGGGAAGACTAAAATACATTTTAATTTTTAAATAGAAAATAAGAAAATAATATATTCCCATGAAGAAGCAAAGAGAATTCATGTAACACGGGAAAGAGAGCATTTATACAGGTATGACAAGAAGTCATTTAATTAAAAATGTATGTTAGTAATTTGTCAACTTTTTCAAATTTATAATTAATTGTAATTCCTTTTCTCATTTTAAATAAATATATTTTGTGCATTACTTTGTATTTGTAATGTATTCTTTTTCTTAAAAGAGGCGCCTATAATTGTATAAGCTTTAGTTCACACAATACCTGGATTCATCCCTCATGAGAGTATACCTGATTGGCAAAAAGAGGTCACATGACTAGTTTCTACTTGCACGGAAGCTGGGAAAGAAAGTTTCAGTTTCTACTTTGAAGAGGTGCATATTAGCCACACAGAAGGATAAATGTTTCCTTTAATATTCCATGATGTACAACACTCTAAATAGGCCTTGCCATCATGCTGATATTATGCTTTGAACATCGTAAGTTAATAAGGTCTGGGGAGCAAGAAGCATTACAAAACACTTAGTTGGGAAATGCACATACACACACAGAACAAAGGAATGAATATTCCTATTTAGATATCTGGTAATCCTTTAAGACCTGTAAGTTCTTCCCTAAGAGTAGATTCCCAATAGAAATCTGATTAAATTCACTCCAATCCCTAAATTCTAAAACCCTGCTGTACTACTACCACCACTGTCACGTTCTTATTTTTATATTTGTAGAAAAGTCCCAATGAATACCTGGCCAAAACAACATCAAAAACAAAAACAACACACACAAACAAATAAATAAAAAGGGGAAAAACAACAGGTGAAGTGGATTCTGAGAGGTATGGTCACCATAGGTCTGTAGATAAAGTGATAATAAAAAGGTTATACCTTATATTATTCAGGGTTTAATCAAAAGACAGAAATCCCACATAGCCATATCAACAGGAAAAATCTAATATAAATAAGTGTTAATAATAACAGAGAATTGCTACTAAAAAGTCAACAAAACTCTAATAAATAAAGGGATAACAGATATGGTAGCAGCCCTGCCTCTAGGGCTAAGGCAGAGCCTCCAAGTAAGGAGCAAGTCTGGAAGATCCCATCATCTGCCTCCCCCCAACCTGGGGAGAGATTCAGATCTCATTGGAAAGGGTACAGCCATGACCCTCTGGACAGTGGAGACTTTGTTAAAGTGCTGTCAGAACTCTGTGCCCTCTGAGGGACAGGTGAAGCCATCCATGAAAGACACTCTGCTGAAGAAATCATTGAGAAGCCACCTGCTTGGATATTGTCCTGGGTAATGGCCCTCTAGGTTGTCAGGATAAACTGCCTAAAGGAAGTCCTGTGCTTCAGGTTGCTGGGGAGCCAACTGAGAAGGCATCACCAAACTCCAGGAGGAAAGCACCTCCTTCAGTGTCTCTCCAGCACCTTTTACTGTTAAAGCTTAATATCAAGGCAACTGGTGAGGGAAAAATATCCTAGTGTCACAAACAGACGAAGGGTTGATTGGAACTGAGAAGCAATAAGTTGATAACTGGTACACACTCCTAAGCAACTACCATTGCCAGTAACCTACAAATCAGGCAGATATTGCAAAACTCAGGAGAAAATAACTGAAAAGATAGGAAAACAATGGCTTAGTGTTCTTTGAAAGGACAGCACTTTAGGCGGATTAACAGTGGTGTGAGGGGGTGGAAGGACAGACTGGGAGATGACCAGTGAAAAACTCTGCTATCATTGTATGTAGGGAATCCTAGTTTTCTAATGTTGGAAATAAGAGAGAACTAGGTAGGGATGGTACCAAGAACTCTGTTAGAAACCTTGCAGGGGACTGAGATCTAGCCAAACCCACCTGAAACAATAAATACAGAGAAGATGATATCACAGTGAATGTAAAAAGATAAAAATGGAAATAACAAGTGGAAAAATTAGAAATAAGAAAATAATATTGTTACTATTTTCAGATGATATGGCTGTCCACATGAAAAATAAGACAGAATATAAAGAAACCTAGAAAAATTGAGAGTTCAATGATGTTGCCAATTATTAGATCAACAGGTAAAATTCAATATCATTTTTATATCCAGAAATGACATGTTAGAAAATACAATTTAAAAGGAGACAAAACTTTATAACATAAACTATTATTTGCCCAGAAATTAATCTGCCAAAGAAATATACTTGTAATTTATGAAGAAAAATGTAACAGTGTTCAATTTTTGATTAAAGAATATAGAGGGAAATTTGTGTAAATGGAGAAACATACAATGTTTACAGATGATAGTTTATTTTTAATACTTAAGTGATCCATTAAAAAGAAATTTACCCACTCAATTGTCCTAGATAAAATCCATGCTCAAAGGACTCTAATTATATATGTAAAGCAGAATCTAATGAGATTTTTAGTTTTTTATTCTTAAATATATGCAAATAACTAAGGATGTTCATATATAGAAGATTCCAATATATAAGAAAAAGACCAAAACATACAGAAGCAGAATTATAACCAATATTTTTAAAAGATCAAATTATTGTATCCACCCAAAAAGAAGAGAATGCTATAAAGAAGAATTAATCAGAAAAAATAGAATGATCTTTTAAAGATATGACAGATGAAATTAAAAATTCAATGATGGGCTTGCAAGATAAAAGTTAAAGAAGTCTTCCACTAAGCAGAACAAAGAGAATAAAGAAGGACAATAATAAAGAAAAGAAAAAAAACTTTAGAGTATTAATAAAAGAAGTACAGTAACTAATTAGTAGAAATTACCTAAAGGGAGCACAGAATAAACATTGAGGAAGAAATTATGAAAGACATAGTAAAAGAAAATTATTCAAAACTGAGAGACATACATTTTCAGATTATAAAAGCCCACTGAATCAATATCATTAACATGATTATACTGCCTAAAGCAATTTATAGATTCAATGCTATTCCTACCAAACTACCAATGACGTACTTCACAGAACTAGAACAAAACTATCTTAAAATTCATGTAAAACTGGAAAAATAGCCCGAATAGCCAAGGCAATCCTAAGCAAAAAGAACAAAGCTAGAGACATCATGTTACCTGACTTCAGACTGTACTACAGGGCTACAGTAACCAAAACAGCATTGTAATACTATTAAAACAGGAATGTAGACCAGTGAAACAGAATAGAGATCCCAGAAGTAAGGCTGCACACCTACAACTTTCTGATCTTCAGCAAAGCTGATAAAAACAAGCAATGGGGAAAGGATTTACTATTCAATAAATTATTCTGGGGTAACTTGTTAGCCATATGCAGAAGTTTGAAACTAGACCCCTTCCCTACACCATATTCAAAAATCGACTCAAGATGGAGTAAAGACTTAATTGTAAAAGCCAAAATTATAAAATCCTGTACAACAACCTAGGCAATACCATCCTGGACATAGGAACAGGCAAAGATTTTATGACAAAGCCACCAAAAGCTATTGCAAGAAAGGCAAAAAATTGACAACTGGGATCTAATTAAACTTAAGAGTTTCTGTACAGCAAAAGAAACTATCAACAGAGTAAACAGACAACCTAGAGAATGAGAGAAAATATTTGCAAACTATGCATCTAACAAAGGTCTAATATCCATCAGATATTATCTTTTACTATCTTATAGATATTATCTATGAAGAACTTAAACAAATTTACAAGAGAAAAACAACCTACCCCATTAAAAAGTAGGCAAATGACATGAACAGACACTTTTCAAAAGAAGACATACATAGGGCCAACAAACATATGAAATAAAGCTCAACGTCACTGATCATTAGGGAAATGTATATCAAAACCACAGTGAGATACCATCTCACACCAGTCAGAATGGCTATTAAAAAAAAGTCAAAAAATAACAGATGCTGGTGAGGTTGTAGAGAAAAGGGAACACTTATACATTGTTAGTGGGAGTATAGATTAGTTCAGCCATTATGGAAAGCAGTATGATTATTTCTCAAAGAGCTAAAAACAAAACTACCATGAGACCCAGCAATCCCATTACTTGTATATACACAGAGGAATACAAATCATTCTACCATAAAGACACATGCATGTGAATGTTCATTGCAGCACTATTTGCAATAGCAAAGACATGGAATCAACCTAACTGCCCATCAGTGACAGACTGGATGAAGAAAATGTGGTACATACATACCACGGAATACTATGCAGTCATAAAAAAGAATGAGATTATGTCGTTTGCAGAAACATGCCTGGAGTTGGAGGCAATTATCCTTAACAAACTAATGCAGGAAAAGAAAACTAAATACTGCATGTTCTCATTTATAAGTGGGAGCTAAATGATGAGAACTCAGGAACACAAAGAAGGGAACAACAGACACTGGGGCCTTCTTGAGGGTGAAAGGAAAGAGAGGAGTGGAAAAAGTAACTGTTGGGTACTAGGCTTAGTACCTGAATGATGAAATAATCTGTACAACACATCCCCATGACATGTGTTTATCTATGTAACAAACCTTCACATGTACCCCCAAACCTAAAAGAAAAGTTAAAAAAACAAGAAGCCCACTGATTATGCAACACAAAAAAATTAGAAAAGAGCCATATCACAACCTTTAATCATGATTTCAGATAGTGTAAAACTTACCAAAAAAAAGAAAAAAAAATAAACAGGTCACATACAAAGGATCTGAAATAATAATAGCATCTCAAAATCATAATTTGAAACTAGAAATCAATGAAGCAATCTTCTATTGGGAAAATAATTATAGGCTTAGCCAAATTGACCAGCAATGTAAGTGTAGAAGAAGATATTTTCAGAATCATAAAGTCTCTAAGAATTTATCTCCTTTGCAGCATCTCTTGGGAACATGATAAAGAATGTACTTCCATCAAAACAAGTGAATAAACCAGAATGAAGAAGGTATAAGATCTCGGAGAGGCCGGGCGCGGTGGCTCACGCCTGTAATCCCAGCACTTTGGGAGGCCGAGGCGGGTGGATCATGAGGTCAGGAGATCGAGACCATCCTGGCTAACAAGGTGAAACCCCGTCTCTACTAAAAATACAAAAAATTAGCCAGGCGCGGTGGCGGGCGCCTGTAGTCCCAGCTACTCGGGAGGCTGAGGCAGGAGAATGGCGTGAACCCGGGAAGCGGAGCTTGCAGTGAGCCGAGATTGCGCCACTGCAGTCCGCAGTCCGGCCTGGGCGACAGAGCGAGACTCCGTCTCAAAAAAAAAAAAAAAAAAAAAAAAAAAAGATCTCGGAGAGAGCATATACAACGTAGAAGAAAGTAAAGAGTAGGAAGGCCTAGGATGAGTGTGTTGAAGGCTTAGAGAGAATCTAGTCCAAATGATAGCAGAATGTGAGAGAGTCCCACGAAGGGTGTGGATATATCAAGAACTAATGAACTATCAGTGTGACAGAGTAGAAAATTATATGGAGAGATGTTTTTACAAAATGTGGGAGGTGTAGGAAGCCATTAATAGAAAATAAAGGTGTAGGAGGCCATTAAGGAAAATAAAGTAAATGAACTAAAAAAGAAATATATGACTCCAGGAAGAACCAAAAGAAGGGGAATTAAATTATAATATACTCAAGAGTACAGAGTTATAATGACAAAAATATTCTGTTTACATATATGTTATAAAACTTACATTATACTAATACTGGGAAAATGGGTAAAGGAACCATAAGAGATTTTCATCTAACAGAATAATCAGCAGAAACTGTAATATTATTGACAATATGTATTAGATGCATATTGTTTAGAGATCTGGAGGGAACTCTCCAAAACAATAGTGGAAGAAGTAGAAGGTGGTTGCTTCTGGGAAGTTAGCAAATTTTATTCAGCAACATATAAAAGCAGTACAAAATTACAAATTGCACAATTACCTATCATACAAACATATTTCATCAGGAAATCTAATAGTGTAGTTTAGCAAAGTGTAAAAATTAGTTGTCAATCACAATAAACACTAATAAACATTTGATTAATCACAAGTATTACTGATATGATAATACGTAGTCTTGGAACATAAAGATACAAACATACTTCCTTGACTTTTAAGGAATATTGTTAGTTGTTTAGGACTTTTAAATTTCCAATGATTTTACTGTTTTGGGTTAACATTTTGTTACTAACATCTATTTTTATTGCTCTGTGTTCTGGAGGCCAGAAATCAGCAGCCAACATTATTCATCACTGGGGTGTTTCCATTGACATCAGAATGCTGACAAGGATGCACACTATTGTTGTCATTATTGCACATTGTTCTGAAAATGCTAGCCAAGACATTAAAGATAAGAAAATGAGAAAAAAATAAAGTATAAAATCCTTTGTAAAAGAAGGCATGTTATTATTATTTGCTATAATATCACTATCTATTTCAAAAAAAATTCTCTGGAAAATAATGAGCTGAAAGGTGACATTTCAAAATCAATATGCAAAAACAGTAGCTTTGCTCTCTTTTGAGAATCATAATTGGCTAAACCCTCCCATATATATAATTTAAAAGAGCAATGAAACCATGAAATAAAAAATATAAAATAGATATATCCTTGTCTATTTGAAATGAATAGACAAAGTCTATGAAAAGAGTGTGTAAAGATGTTAATTCTGTCTAAACTGCAATTAAATTTAAAATCAATATAAATTTTTTCTGAGAATTTGATTAAATTAAAAGGATAAAGCAATCTGAGTTGCTATAAGTTTTTTTTTTTTAAGTAAAAGATAGCACATAGTAGAAATATCTATTCCTATAGTATGTCTTCTTGGAGAATAGGCCTCTATCATTATGTAATGCCCCTCTTTAGCCATGATCATTTTCATTGTTCTGAAGTTTGCATGGCTTTTTATATTTAAAGCAAGATGGTTCTGATTTCAGAGCAGAAGGTCATATCAAAAGAATAAAATAGAGAATACAAAATAGACCCCAGAATTTTTAATTAACAATACACTTGAAAACTAAAGCCAGTGGGGAGATAGACAAATTATAGTTCCAAGATAACAAATGATTAAAAAAAGAGACAGATCTCTGCTAATCTTAGAATGAATTCCAGATTACAAAGGACTAGAAGAAAAACATTTTAAAAAGTATGGCCTAAGGTCTGATACCATGAATTAAATATTTAGATTTTTAACTACTAAAAGTTAAGAAAAAAAAATTGGGACAAAAACATCAAAAAAGGGTGAAAAGACAAATGTTACAGAAGAAAGTTCAGTTATAAAATAATAAAATCTTTATAAATCCTCACTATGTAAACCATTAAAAAAACCTAATGGGAAATTAAACATGGTAATTCACTAGGGAACATGTATAATGGCTTAAATAGCTGTCCTAAATTCTTGTGATGGAAATAAAAATTAAATTGGCTGTTCTGTAAATAATTTTTAAAATATTCATTGAAATTCTTCAAAGTGTACATACCTTTTTATCTGGCAATTCTAATTCTAGGAATATTTCTTTAAAAATAATTGAGTAAAAGTATTTTTAAAATGTATATACAAAGATATTGATTCAACTTTGTTATGGTGTAGAATTTTTTGTATATTATTGCATTAAATTTGCTAATATTTTACTGTATATATTTTTTTAATGTCTGTGCATGAGAGATATTGGCCTGTGATTTTTCTTTCTTGTAATATCTATCGAGTTCCAGCATTAAGCTAATGTGGCATCTTAGAATGAGTTAGGAAGTATTCTCCCTGCTTGTATCTTCTGGAAGACGTTATGGGAAATTAGTATCATTTCTTACTGTAATACTCAGGATAATTTACCAATGAACAAGTTTAAATTCTACCAATTCTTTCAATAAGAAATGAACCTTATATTTTTTTTCTTGAGGGTTTATTATTGATTTAATTTTTTAAATAGATTTTTAATAGCTACATATTAAGGATATTCAGAATATCCATTTCTCCTTGTGTGAGCTTTGGTATTTTATGTCTTTTAAGGTACTGGCCCATTTCATCTAAGTTATCAAATCTGTGGGCCTAGAGTTGTTTTTTCAGAATTCCTTTCTTATGCTTTTAGTAGCCATGGATCAGTAATAACAACATATTTAAAAAACTTATATTGGTAATTTGTGTTCTCTTTTTCACTCTCTCTCTAAGCTATCCTGGCTAGAGTTTTATTATTTTATTTATATTTTCAAAGAATCAGCTTTTGTTGTTTTTTTCTATTGTTTTATATTTTAATTTCTTTGATTTTCGCTTTAGTTTGTATTATTTCCATTCTTCTGATGACTTTAGGCTTAAATCATTCTTCTTTCTCTGCTTTCCTAAGGTGAAAGTTTAGATTACGTATTTTAGGTCTTTCTTTTTTCTAATAATATGCATTTAATGATGCTAAAAATTTTCATCTAAGCACTGCTTTTGATACTTCCTGTAGATTTTGATAAGTTTTAGAGTAAAGTAACTTAATTTCTCTGGAGAATTTTTTCTTTGGCCCATATGTTATTTAGCAGTGAGTTGTTTAGTCTTTCAATATTTGGGAATTCCAAGCTCTGTTTCTGTTGCTAAATTCTAGTTACATCCATTTTGTTCTGAAAACATACTTTATATAATTTTTATGTTCAAAAAATTTGTTAAGGTGTGTTTTATGGCCTGGAACATGATCTGTCATGGTGAATGTTTTATGTAATATGAGAAGAATTTGTATAATGTGGCTGTTGAATGAAGAATTCTGTAAATATCAACTAGAGCGAGTTGATTCACAGTGTTGTTCAGATCAAAAAAATCCTTACTGATGTTCTGCCTGCTTGATTTATCAATTACTGAAAAGGTGTGTTGAAGTAGATGTGCCTATTTCTTCTTGCAGTTTACCAGTTTTAGTCTCATTATTTTGATGCTGTGTTGTTATGTACATACAAATTAAATTGTCATGTCTTCTTGGAGAATAGGCCTTTATCATTATGTAATGTCCTCCTTTATCCTTGAAAATTTTTCTTGTTCTGAAGTTTGCTTTGTTTGAAATTAATATATACTCTTTAGCTTTCTTTTATTTATTGTTGGTATGGTAAATCTTTTTCATCCCCTTGCTTTGACCTAACTGACTTTTTATATTTAAAGTGAGTTTCTTGAATACAGTGTATAGTTGGGTCTTGTTTTTATCTATATTGACAATCTCTGTCTTTTAATTGGTGTGTTTAGATTATTTATATTTAAAGTGATTATTGATATGGTTGAATTAATATCTGCTATATTTGTTATTGTTTTCTATTTATTACAGCTTGTTATTTATATCTTTTACCTTCTTTTTGTGCTTTCCTTCTTTTTATTTGAGGCTTTATTATTATTATTCCATTGTTATCTCCTCTCTTAATGTATCATTATGCTTCTTTAAAAAAGCTTTTTTGGTGGTTGTCCTAGGGTTTAAAATATGCATTTCTTGCCCATCATCACTGGCCATCAGAGAAATGCAAATCAAAACCACAATGAGATACCATCCCACACCAGTTAGAATGGTGATCATTAAAAAGTCAGGAAACAACAGGTACTGGAGAGGATATGGAGAAATAGGAACACTTTTACACTTGTTGGTGGGACTGTAAACTAGTTCAACCATTGTAGAACTAGAAATACCATTTGACGCAGCCATCCCATTACTGGGTATATACCCAAAGGATTATAAATCATGCTGCTATAAAGACACATGCACAAGTATGTTTATTGTGGCACTATTCACAATAGCAAAGACTTGGAACCAACCCAAATGTCCAACAGTGATAGACTGGATTAAGAAAATGTGGCACATATAAACCATGGAATACTTTGCAGCCATAAAAAAGGATGAGTTCATGTCCTTTGTAGGGACATGGATGAAGCCGGAAGCCATCATTCTGAGCAGACTATGGCAAGGACAGAAAACCAAACACCGCATGTTCTCACTCATAGGTGGGAATTGAACAATGAGAACACTTGGACACAGGGTGGGGAACATCACACACCTGGGCCTGTCATGGGGTGGGGGGAGGGGGGAGGGATAGCATTAGGAGATATACCTAATGTAAATGACGAGTTAACGGGTGCAGCACACCAACATGGCACATGTATACATATGTAACAAACCTGCACTTTGTGCACATGTACCCTACAACTTAAAGTATAATTTTAAAAAAATACAATAAAATGTGCATTTCTAATGAATATAAACTTACCTTCAAATAACATTATACAGTCTCAGGTGTAGTATAGGTATTTTATAACAGAATATTCCCAGTTTCTTTTTTCCATCCTTATAATATTAATTTTACCTTTTTCATTTGCTTTACTCATCTAGTATATTGTTACTATTATTAATAAAATAAAAATAGTTATCTTTTAAAACAACTAAAAATTTGTAACAAAATATTTTATTTTACCTTAACAAATGTATCTCTTCCTTTCTTTATATAGATCTGAATTTCTGACTTAGGTCATTTTCTTTCTTTCTGAAGAGCTTCTTTTAACGTTTCTTACGGTGCAGGTCTGCTGCTGCTGAATTACCTGCTTTTTGCCTGATAAAGTGTTTCTCCTTCACTTTTTAAAGATAATTTTGTTGAATGTAGAGTTCTAAGTTGGTGATTTGTTCTTTCAACACTTTAAATACTTTACTGCACTCTTTTTGTTGGTTTGTGATGAGAGTTTCCTGTAATTCTTGTTTTTGTTTTTCTATAGGTAAAGTTATTTCCTCCCCTTGGCTTATTTTAGTAATTTCTCTTTGTCTTTGGGTTTCTAGAGTTGAAGATGATCTGTCTACATGTAGGCATTTTGCTATTTAGCCCTGTTTTATGATTTCTGACCGTCCTTGATGTATGATTTGATGTCTGTCATTAATTCCAGAAATTTTCTCAACCATTGTAACTTCCAATAGTTTTTTTTATTTATTTTGCCTTTCTTCTCCTTCCTGTATTCCAAATATGTCTATGTTATACCTTTTGAAATTTGCTATAGTTCTTGACATCTTATTCTTTTTTTATTCTTTTAATCTTTGCATTTCAGTTCAGCTCACTGATTCTTTCCTTGGCTGTGCCCAATCTACTGATGGACCCACCAAAAACATTCTTCATTTCTATTAGTGTTTTTTACTTCCAGCATTTCTTTTTGATCTTTTCATAGAGTTCTTATCTCTCTGCTTATGTTATTCACCTATTCTAGCAAGTTATTAACTTTTTCCATTAGATTTCTTAACATTTTAATCATAAATATTTAAAATTTTCTGTTTGATATTTCAAAATCTGTGCCATATCTTAGTCTGGCTTCGATGCTAGGTTAAACTTTTTATACTGTTTTTTTCTTATTTGTCTTTTAGTATGCCTGTTATTATTATGATTTTTTGAAGCTGAGCATGATGTATTGGGTAAAAGGAACTGTGGTAAATGGGCCTTTAGTGTGAGGTTTTATATTAATCTGACCAGGAGGTAGGATGTATTTCATGTTTGCTGTACGTGCCAGAGACTTCAGATTCCTCTAATGTCCTTGTTCTGGTCTCTCCTGTTATCTTCAGAATTCCCTAAGAAGTTTACCTTAAGTCAGTGGCTTGCAGCTCTTTAATGTGCAATCTATTATTATTATATAGGGACCCTGTAGATGTGGCAGTTAGGTATGGGGAAGGGGAAGTAATCTATAATCTTATGGTTAAATTTCAGTCTTTTATTGGGCCTGTGGGCCTGTATTATTGGCTTGTGAATGGCACAATTTTCTTTTTTTTTATTTTTCAGTTTTTGCCCTCCATTTAAGTGAGATACGAAGGCTAGAGGGTGCTGGAGGAGAATAAGTGCCCTTTCCCCAGGTGTATTAGGCTCTGGTAAAATCTTTTTCTTGTTATGTAGAATAGTTGGTATATTTAAAAATGGCTACTCCCCTCTTCCCCTGACAGAATTGTGAGGGGAGTTTCTCTTGGCTCTTGACCATGAGAACCTGTTGAGATTCCTAGAGGTAAAACCCACAAAAGTGTGAAGATTTTCCCAAGACTGTGGCCTGTAGGAGTTTCTCATTCTCATGGTAGTCTATACTTAGTCTACAGCAAGTTGTCAAAATTAGTGTTTAAGTATTTCTATAATTTGTAGCTCCAGAAACTCCTGCTGTGGGTAAATAGAGCTTGGCAATATTTCTCTGTATTCTGTTGTCTTTCTAGAATTTGTGTGGTGGTTTACCCTATGACCTCGATTCTCTGAAGAGATTGTTGATTTTCAGATTGTTTAGTTTTAAAAATTCTTATCTTAAGGATGGGAGTATTCTTTCTTTTTTTTCTTTTTTTTTTTTTAACCTCTGAACTTTTCATTGGCCTCCTGCTCCCCAAAGGGTACCCTGCTTCTGCTGGCTTAATGCTTCAGAACTTTGGTGTCATTGGTCTCAGATACCACTTTGCTATCCACTCTCCGGCTGCTGGTGGTCTTTTGGATGGTTTGCATGCAGTGGCTGCTATACAGGGCATCACCAAGATTGAGGTCCTCGCCATCTTCCAGATATTATTAATCTTTTCATTCATACACTTGATCCTCTTTTGGCTTAACATTAAACAATTGGTAAAACTCAGACCCTTCACTAGTTTTTAAATGAAATCTAATTCAACTCACCATTTTATTATTATTTTCTTTTTCTTAGTTTTGTAGTCTCTACTTAAGATTTACAGAGGCATTGGAAAGATGACAGTGACACACTGCACACCATGTCTTCAGACAAATTCTCATTAAACACGTCTTTCACAAAATCCCTCTGTCTGATTGCTACCTCAGATAATCTACTTCTTTATCATCCCCAATATACCTTGTGCACATTCCCCAGCAATGATACTCAGCCCATTTCAATAAAAATGGAAACATTTTTATTTTTATTAAAAATAAAATACTTTATAAGTAAAGTAACCAGGCCATACTTTCCTAATGAACAGCCTCTTCCAAGTAGCTCTAATCCATTCACACCCTTTGGCAATGGTGAACTGCTTCTGTAAATCAGCTCCAGATGGCTCAGACATTCCAGCAACTTGGGCTGCTTCTAGAGAACAGCACTGTCCCTTTCTTTCTGGCAAGATTATTTGTCACCAGCAAGCTTTGTTCCTGTCATAGACGAATATTTTGGAAGAGATCTAGATCACAGCCAGGGTTGGGGCAGGGCCTTTTCCTAGTTATCAGTTCCTTTATTTTCCACTTTTCCTCAGCCTGGGGGTAGTAGCTTCTCTTGCTTGTGCCATGCCTGGACCTCTTAGAATCCTCTTCCATAACTTTTAGTAGTTCTACCTTCTACTAGTTAAAAACTCCTTATAGTAAAGTTCCCCTGCTCAAATAACCATGTGTTCTCTCCATTCCTATGGGCTTGATTTGTTTGGCACAACATATTGTTCTTGAATCTTCACCTGTTTCCCTTTTATAGTGAAATTTTAAGTTTATAGACTATAAAACATAAGTCACAAACTATACTTTAATCATTTTAAACTCTTCAACGTCTTGCACTGTTCTTGGCATGTAGTAAGTGCTCAAAAATAGTTTGAATGAATAATGCTGATGATTTTATATTGACAAAATGGGAGTGTTTTTATACAATGCATGTATGGCTCAAAGGAAAAAACAACATAGAACAATGAGTGCTGATTAATGTGATTTTTTCTAAACTTTCATACTTTAACATTTTTCTTAACACTTTTCCCAAATTTCAATTACCTTTGAATTAATTTTTGAATTAGTAATGAAAATTGGAGTCAGGTTTTCTGAAGGACATTTCTCAAAAATGACTTAATTCTCCCAAGTTAAACATGTTCCAAATGAAGAATTTCAATTCTCTTCTCTAATGAATTAATCCATGAATTGTATGATTTGTCCATTCTTGTTAAATGAAGAATAAACAGGCCTCTAAAGTAAATCTAACTTATTTCCCTACAGTATTCATGGTTTTCATTAGGTTCTTTCCAATATTAAAGAATGTTAAACCACAATATTATATTTTTCCCAGATGATAAACATATCAATACCATATTCAATGAGGTTTACAAAATCCTGTATTTGGAAATAAAGGCACATTATTGGGACATTCCAGGCATCTGTGTAATTCATTCTGGTTCATCAGAGACATATACTCTGAGGTTTTTGGTGTTCATTGTCAGCAATTGATAAGTGTGTCCTTTATAAATTTTGCAAAAGAATGAAAGATAATTGAATCTGTAAGTACTTTCCCACTCTACTGTCTGATTCGTACATGCATAATATTAATTCAGAAGTTTTGTTTATAAGGTTTCACCAACATAAAATCTTCATTTCCAAATCTCATCAGTTGAGTTATTGAGAATAAGATAAATTTATTTAGAAAAATGGCATGCCTTTCAAGGTTTTAGATATTTTGTTATGTTTCATAAAGCACTAAAAGTTTCTTTAACCCAAATTCTTGTTATTTTCCCTTTTGGAAAAGATAGACAAATTAGGTTAAGTGAAAATTCTGCTCAGTAATGAAAATTGGAATATATGAATTGGTTATGTAATTTGTGTGATACATTGCAAGGAATTATAAATCATGTTCTGGCCCTTCCTTCACCTGTTTGAGAAAATGAGTCCCTTCTGTCCTCAATTTGCTGTACTGACAGAAATCTTATCTCCAGAAGTCAAGGAACAGCTGTTTACTAATGGATCACAGCAGGAGAATAAACACAGCAGTCTGGGCAGAGAATATTTTTCACTCTTCTGCAACTTGTTTCTCAATATTTTGTCCTCTGTTGTGGATTATAAAGTGTGTTTGTGAGAGTAAACATCAGGCAATCACTCTTCCTCTTCCTGCATGAGGAATAACACTTCAAGGCATATTAGTAATTCATATATTCTGAACCATTTGCAACAGAGTTCTTTATTGAATAAAATGAGTACAAAATAGAAACATGTTTTTGGTTTACTTTTCTAATTAATAAAAAAACACAACATGTTAGGATGACAATGCTTCTTTCAAATGAGGCATCTCCAATTTGCCTGTTTTTATGTTCTGTTATATTATGTTATTACCAATTACTGAATGCCTTCTATAATTACATGGCTATTGTAACAGTCTAGGTGACATATAATGAGTGAACTCTGAGGAACAGTGAATGGAATGAATGGAATAAAAATATTTCAAGAGGATAAGAGTTTTCAAGGGTTTCAAACATTTCAATGAGGTCATATATAAAAGGAAATGAAAAAATCTAACAACAGTCATTGAATTTGGCAATTAGTAGATTTGGGTAACATTGCCATCAGGTTGGGAGCTATAATATGAGGAATAAGAATTGATCATCAGTTACTTTTTTAAGGAGATTGCCGGTAAGGACCATCAGAAATCATGTGAGGTTTCGTTTTAAGTAGAGTAAGCAGAATGCATTTTTTTGGGTTGAAGACATATCTACAATTATCCCTTTTTTAATTTCTAAAATTATCTGTTTGCAAGTTAGGTTAGGGTTGTGGAGGATGCTTGGAAACTACTATTAACTAAATAGGAAGGATCGTTTTGGGGAACACCATAAAGATCTAAATGAAGGCATGCGTCTTTGAGTTTGTGTATAACTTACCCATATCACTTTACCTTCAAATATAGTGGTATTCACTGCTCTTTTCTTTCATTTTAATGATGCTCAAAAAAATAGATACCTTGGCTATAGATTCAATGATACAGAAAATTAATATAAATTAAAAGGATAAACAGTTCTAAAAAGATATTTTGATATTGACAGTATCCTGCTATTAAACCTGTATGTTGCTTACTTATTCCATATGGCAAGCCCCTATTCTAAGCACCAAAGTTTATCTCAAATATTTGAAAGAATATGATTTCTAAGGTCATAATGATAAAAAAAAGACGTTAAATTCTTTTTTACAGAAGAGCTGTGAAGATGGTATAACAGGAAAAATACCATCTCACATTAAGCAAGCAAAACACTAGACAAAATATATGGAAAAGTGATTTTCAAGATACAACATCAAGCAATAATCCCCTAAGGGATGAGAAGCAAATGACTTGAGCCCATTGACTACTGCAGTTTACCAATTTAAGAGAGTTTCTAGGCTGTAACCCGGGAAGGTAGAACCCAGGTGAAGCCTAGGAGACTCCTTGAGTTGAAGAGATGAAGCTGAAGCTGAGGGCCCAGGTTGACCAAAAGAGCTAGAGTTTATGGGACAGTGGACTAGAAAGGTAAGACTACAGTGAGAGATAAAACTAGATGTGAAAATTCCCAGTCACAAGACTGGAGTAGTTCCTGTTTCTAGGAGCCAAACTGGAAAACCTAATAATTCATGAAAAATTGGATAAATACGTAGAAGGGTTTTGCGTCGGGAACAAGGCAAAATTAGCCATAAACTAAAGACTGCTGCAATTTTGGTTAATATATTTTAAACACAATAGCCCAAAAGATCAAACTGTTTCCAAGTAACTTAATTGTATACCAAAACAAAACTCAAAAATATTTATAAATGCACAAAAATATCTGGCACCCAAAGAGATAAAATTTACAGTATCTGATATATAATTAAAATCTATCAGATATACAAAGAAACAGGAAAATATAACCCATAAATAAGACTTCATAATGTTAGATTCAGTAGACAAGGATATTAGAAAAGTTGAGAGAAGGAAGACATAAGAACCTAGATAGACATCTAGAAATGAAAATTATAAAGTGAAATGAAAAATACAATGAATGGTATTCGACATTGCAGAAGAAAAGACTAGTGAACTTGATCATACAACAATAGAAACTTTCTAAAATGAAACTCAGACAGAAAAAAGAAACTGGAAAGAAATGAACATTACTGAGCTGTGAGAAAACTTCAAGAAGCATAATATGCTGGTAATTTCTGTCCCTTAGGAGAGTAAAAAAAATTATTTGAGGAAATAATGACCAAACTTTTTCCAAAGGTGATGAAAACTATAAGTCTACAGATCCAAGAAACTCAATCAACTCTAAACAAAATGAACATAAACAAAACAATACCAAGATACATCATACTCATGATGAAGAGAAAGTCTTAAAGAAATCAGTGATAATAAGAAATCAGTGATAAAGAAAAAAATCTTAAAAGCACTCAGAGAAGAACAGTACATTATAGTTAGAGAATGAAAAGAATGTTGGAATATATATCATCAGCTATATAATTAAGAAGACAGTAGAGCAATATATTTAGTGTACTGAAAGGAAATAATCAACCAAGAAAATATTTATCCTGTAAAGTATCCTTAAAGGCAAAATAAAGATATTTTTGATATAGAAAATCTGAAAGAGAGAGAGCCAAGATGGCCAATTAAATGCAGCCCGGAGGGACATCTCCCATGGAGGGACCAGGACATTGGGAAGACTGGCACACTCCTAGCAGATCTTCAGAGGGAAGGCATTGAGAATGGATGCAGGGAGGATGCAGACATTGGACTGAAGGGGAAGGAAGCTGGGAACCCTGTGTGGGGCTACTGAACACCAGGACCTGCTCCTGACCCTCAGTGAGTCATGGGGGAGAGTTAAGTTGATCAGATGAAGAGTGGTTCACTCTTGCCACAGACCTATGGAATCCTAGCTGCAGGAGAACCCATGACCCCCAGGGACACTTGAGCTGGCAGAGACAACCTCTTAGAAAGGTGGTAGGAGCAGAATTCCAGCCTGTGTGGAGCCCAGAGGTTTTGGCATAAGAATGGCTACAGTGGAGCATGGCCAGCGATGCCCATCCCCAGGGCTGGCCAAACTCCCCTATGTGGCGTTAGCCTTTGGAAGACTGTACAGAGCAGGGCAATCTTGACTGTGGGATGGGGCCAGTTCCATCTGAGCTCACCTCTGTCTGCCAACCTCTTCCAGGGCCCCAGCCTGGCCACATCCAGTTGCATTACAGCCTTGGATGCCCAATCAGGGTGCTTTGCAGGGGCCTTCATCATACCTCCTTTGCTGGCAGACCACACCTAACCATCAGAGAGCACCAGCACACTGGACCCTACTGACACAACAAGCTCACCTGCAGCCTTCCCCACTCCACTTCAACCTCCCCCTGACACTTTGCTTAATGCACTGTCCTACAGCCATCCCCCATTGCTTTGCCGATGCACGCACATGGGTGAACCTCCCCACTTCTTCACTGATAGGACATGTGTGCAGATAGCCCATGGTACCACTGCTGAAAGGAACACACACACACTATGCTGCCCCACCCACTCCTGCTAGCAAACCACACAGTTGCTGCCTCTGCTGGCACAAGTGCATGCACAGACACTGAACCTCACCCCCCCACCACCCTGCCTGCTCTGCACCAGCACTGCCACCACCAGGGCAAGTATGTGCATGGATGCCAGTGCTCCTGCCTGCACTAATGTCCCACCCCTGCTGTGCTGCCACTGCCACTGGTGCAAATGTGTGCACGGATACAGGCATCCCTCTTGCAGCTCTGCTGACATGTGGGCACTCTGCCATTCCATCACCACTGTGAATGCATGCATGGATGCGTCTGTCCCATTCCTGACAGTGCACTGGGCCAGCTGCCTTGTATGCAACCCACTTTGCCACCATGGCTGCTGTCACATGTGAGCAAGCATGGATCCCATGCCACTCCTCCTACAAAGTGCTTTGGCTGGCACACCCCACCCCGCCCGCCATTGGAATGTTGGGGCTAGTGGACTGGGAACAATTTAGCTCCTTCAGTGCAACAGGTTTCTAACCTCGAGGGGGCAGAGAACAAAGCCAGGCACCTACTACCAGCCCTCCAGAGTTAGAAAACACAGCACAGGAGTGCTGAGCCGAGCCATGAACTCCTGAAATCTTCCAGAATTGAAGCCAGTTGACTGAACCCATCTTATACCACAATCAAAACCCCAAGGGCATCAAAGAAGATAAAAGAAAAAAACCCATCCAAAGGACATCAACTTTGAAGACTGAGGGAACATCAGCCCACACAAATAAGAAAGAACTAATGCAAGAAATCTGGCAACTCAAAAAGCCAGAGTGTCTTCTTACCTCCAAATGACCACACTAGTTCCACAGCAATGGTTCTTAACCAGGCTCAAATGGCTGAAATGATGGACATAGAATTCAGAAGATGAATAGGAACAAAGATCATCGAGATTTAGGTGAAAGTTGAAATCCAATCCAAAGATCTAAAAAATACAATAAAACAAGACGGGAAATGAAAGACAAAGTGGCTATGTGGAGAAACCATCAAACTGATCCAATAAAGTTGAAAAAACACACTGTAAGAATGTTGTAATGAAACTGCAAGAATTAACAACAGAATAGACCAAGCTGAGGAAGGAATCTAAGAGCTCGAATACTGGTTCTTCAAGTTAACTCAGTCAGACACAAATAAAGAAAAATAATAAAAAAGAAGTAGCAAAACTTCTGAGACCTGTGAGATTATGTAAACAGACCAAATCTATGAATCATTGGTGTCTCTGAAGAAGAGGGAGAGAAAACAAGCAACTTGGAAAATATATTAAAAGATGTCATCCACAAAATTTCCCCAGTATCACTACAGAAGCCTACATTTGAATTCGGGAAACCCAGAGACCCTCTGAGAGATACTATACAAGACAATCACCCTCAAGGGACATAGTCTTCAGATTATCTAAGGTCAATATGAAAGAAAATATATTAAAGGCAGCTGAGAGAGAAGGGGCAGGTGACTTACAAAGGGAACCCCATTAGGCTAAAGTGGACCATTTAGCAGAAATCCTACAAGTCAGAAGATAATTGGGACCTGAACTAGACACTGGACCAAATGGACCTGACAGACATCTACAGAACTCCTCATGCCAAAACAACAGAATGTGCCTTCTTCTTCTCTGTGCATGGCACATACTCTAAAATTGGCCACATAATTAGCCATTAGACAATTCTCAGCAAATTTAAAAAAACAAAATCAGACCAACCACACTCTTGTACCATGGCAAAATATAAATAGAAATGAATACTAACAAGATTGCTAAAAAATCATACAATAACATGGAAATTAAACAACTGCTCCTGAATGATTTCTGGGTAAACAATGAAATTAAGGCAGAAATAAAAAAAAATTTGAATCTAATGAAAACAAGGATACAACAAACCAGAACCTCTGGGACACAGCAAAAGCAATGTGAAGAGGAAAGTTTATAGCACCAAACACCCACATAAGAAAGTTAGAAAGATCTCAAATTCACAACCTAACATCACACATAGAGGAACCTTACCACTGACCCCAGAGAAATACAAAAAAAATCTTAAGAGACTATTATGAACATATCTATGCCCAAATAGCCAAGGCAATCCTAAGCCAAAAGAATAAAGCTGGAGGTATCACATTACTTGACTTCAAACTATGCTACAACCTACGGTTATCTATTCCACTGTAGAACAATGAAATAGAACACAGAACCCAGGAAAAAGCCTGCACATCTATGACCATCTGATTTTTGACAAAGTTTACAAAAACAAGTAATGAGGAAAGGGCTCCCTATTCAATAAATGGTGTTGGGATAACTGGCCAGTTGTAGGCAGAATGAAACTGGACCCCTTTCTTACATCATAAAAACTCAACTCAAGATGGATTAAAGATTTAAATGTAAAACCTAAAACTGAATAAACACTAGAAGAAAATCTGGAAATACCATTTTGGACATAGGACCTGTCAAAGACTTCATGACAAAGATGCCAAAAACAATTGCAAAATAAACAAAAATTGACAAATTAGACCTAATTAAACTAAAGAGCTTCTGCACAGCAAAATAAACTATCAACCGAGTAAATACACAACCCACAGAATGGAAGAAAATATTTGCAAGCTATGTATCTGTCAAAGGTCTTATATTCAGAATCTATAAGGAACTTAAAAAAAGTAATAAGCAAAAGACAACCCCATTAAAAACAGACAAAAGACATAAAAGGCACTTTTTCAAAGAACACATACACGCAGCCAACAAACATGAAAAACCCTCCACATCACTAATCATTTGAGAAATGCAAATTAAAACCACACTGACATACCATCTTGCACCAGTCGGAATGGCTATTACTAAAAAGTCAAAAAATAACAGAAGTTAGTGAGGTTGCAATGAAAGGCAACACCTATACACTGCAAGTGGGAATGTAAATTAGTTCAGCAGCTTGGTGGTTACTTAAATAATTTAAATAGAATTAACATTTTACCCAGCATTCCAATTATTGGATATATACCCAAAGGAATATAAATCATTCTGCCATAAAGACATATGCATGCCTATGTTCATCAAAGCACTATTCAAAAAAGCAAAGACATGGAATCAAACTAAGTACCATCAATGGTAGTCTGGATAAAGAAAATATGGTACAGATACATGATGGACTATTATGCAGCCATAGAAAAGAATGAGATCATGTCCTTTGCAGCAACATAACTAGAGATGGAGGCCATTATCCTAAGTGAATTGACACAGGAGCAGAAACCAAATACGACATGTTCTCATTTATAAGTGGCAGCTAAACACTGAGTATACATAGACACAAAGAAGGGAAAAATAGAAACTGGGGCCCACTTTAGAGTAGAGGGTGGGAGGAGGGTGAGGACTGAAAAACCACCTATCAGGTATTATGCCTATTACCTGGATGATGAAATAATCTGTACACCAAACCCTCTTGATTTGAAATTTACCTATATAGCAAACCTGTGCCTGTACCCTTGAAATATAAAAGTTAAAAAAGTAAATAAATAAAATGTAATCAAAAAACAATATAACTTGCTTTTATATGAATTCAGATATAGTAAAAATAAAATGCCATTCTTAAATGTAGCAGTCAATTAAATGTGAATACAAGAGTATCAGACTGAGATATTCCAATAATAGTGTTATTCAAGGTTACAGTTAGATTTCTTTATGGTTTTAAATATTTTAAGCTGTATTTCAAATGCTAATCATTTAATAAATCATAAATGATAAATTATGCTTGTTTTGTGTAAAAGAAAAAAGAAAATCTGAAAGAATTCATCTCTGGCAGCCTTATAGTACATGAAATTTTGGAGGAAGTCCTTCAGGCAGAAGGTCAATGATACCAGATGGAAGTATGGATCTAATCAGAGAAACAAGAAATGCTTAAAATGATAACTCCATGGGTAAATCTATAATAACCTTTTCTTATTATGTAAATATTTTGAAACTTAATTGAATCTTTAAAAAAATTTTAAGAATGTAGTCTGCAGCTTATAATCTATGTTAATGTACAAAGCTTTAAGGTAAACACAAGAGAAATGAAAGTATGCTATTATAATGTTAGTATATTATGTGTGAATTATTATAATATCACTTGAATATAGACTGTTATATGTTAGAGATAACTAATATAAACCTATAGCAACCAATAAAATAACAGTACAGAATTAGCTGAAAAGCCAACAAAGAGAAGACAGAATGCAAATAAAATTAAATTAATCCAAAAGACAGAAAAGAAGAGGTATAAGAGGAAAAAAGACACTAAGACATACAACCGAACAAAACCCAAAAGTGAATAGCAACATGCTATACTTAACCATATCAATGATCACAATAAATGTAAGTGAGCTTAATATTTCATTTAAAGGCATATATTGTCAAACCCAATTTTGTTGCCTATAAAAAAGGCACTTTTAAGAGAAAGACACTAATAGTTTAAAAGTTAAAATACGGATAAATTTACACCATGCTATCATTGTTCAAAGAAACCTGTAAAAGTAAGTGGTAGTAGCTATGTTAATTTCAGATACCATAGGCTTCAAAGCATAGAAAGTTTTCAGGCATAAAGGTATGCATTACATAATGATATCAGGGGCAATTCTCCAGGACATGCCAATCTTTAATGTGTATGTACTTTGTGATGGTTAATTTTATGTGTCAGCTTCACTGGATTAAGTGATACCCAAATAGCTGACTATGTCTGTGAGGGCGTTTCCAGAAGAGATTGGAATTTAAATCAGTGGACTGAGTAAGAAAGATTTGTCCTCAACCCATGTGGGTGGGCACTATCTAATCAGCCAAGAGTACAGAGAGAATAAGGTAGAGAAAAGGCAAATTATTTTTTCTTTTATTATTATTATTATTATACTTTTAAGTTTTAGGGTACATGTGCACAACGTGCATGTTTGTTACATATGTATACATGTGCCATGTTGGTGTGCTGCACCTATTAACTCGTCATTTAACATTAGGTATATCTCCTAATGCTATCCCTCCCCATTCCCCCCACCCCACCACAGGCCCCGGTGTGTGATGTTCCCCTTCCTGTGTCCATATGTTCTCATTGTTCAATTCCCACCTATGAGTGAGAACATGTGGGCGAAGGATATGAGCAAATTATTTTTTCTTCTGGAGCTGAGACGCCCTTCTTCTCCTGCTTTTGCCTGAAGATGAGGGTAAAGATTTGGAGGGAGAGAATATAAAGGGGAATAAGGTATCTTGTAGGGATGACTTCATGGAGTTTACATAAACTAAAAGTTACCAAATTACATACTTTCAATATATACAGTTTATTATGTCAATTATACCTTGATAAAGTATTTGTTTTTCCAAAAGGATAGCTATTTACTTCTCCTCCTGCTAAATTTTTTGGAATAGTTTGGGTAGGATTGGTATTAGTCCTTTAAATGGTTGAATTCAACAGGTGAACCCATAAGGTCTTGGACTTTTCGTTGATGGGAAACTGTTTGTTATTAATTCGATCTCATTACTTGTTATTGGTCTGTTCAGGTTTTCTATTTCTTCATGGTTCAATCTTGGAAGGTTCTATTGTCTGAGAGTTTATCCATTTCTTCTAGGTTTCTCAATGTATTGGCATATAGTTGTTCATAATAGTCTCTAATCTTCCTTCTAACTTCTGTGGTATCCGTTGTAATGTCTCCTTTTTCATCTCTAGTTTTATTTATTTGGCTCTTCTCTTTGTATTTCAAGTTAGTCTGGCATAAGGTTTGCTAATTTTGTTTATCTTTTCAAAAAAACTTGTAATTCCATTAAACTTTTATATTTATTTAGTCTCAATTTCTTCTATTTCTGCACTGACCTTTATTATTTCTCTTCTTCTACTAATTGGATTTGGCTTGTTCTTGATTTTCTAGTTCTTTAAGATGCATCATTAGGTTGTTTTTTTGTCTTTCTACTTTTTTGATGTTGACATTTATTGCTAAAAACTTCCCTTTTAGTACTTCTTTTGCTATAACCCATAGATTTTGGTATCTTGTGTTTCCATTGTCATTTGATTCAAGAAATTTTTAAATTTTCTTCTTCATTTCTTCATTGTCCCAATGGTCACTCAGTAGCATGTTGTTTAATTTTCACACATTTTTATAGTTTCCAAAGTTCCTCTTGTTATTGATTTCTAGCTTTATTTCATTGTGTTCATAAAAGATAGTTGATATAATTTCAATTTTTTTTGAAATTTTTGAGACTTGTTTTATGCTTTAACAGATGGTCTATCCTGGAGTATGTTTCATGTGCTAATGAGAAGAATGTGTATTCTGTAGCTGTTAGATAAAATGCTCTGTAAATGTCTTTTAGGTCCACTTGGCCTAAGTACAGATGAAGCCTGAGGTTTCTTTGTTGAATTTCTGTCTATATAATCTGTCCAAAGCCAAAAGTGAAATTTTAGAGTTCTTAACTATTATTGTATTGGGGGGGGGTCTACATTTCTCTTTAGCATTAATAATGTTTGCTTTATATATGTGGGTGATCCAGCATTGAATGCATATATATTTACTATTGTTATATCCTTTTGTTGAGTTGGCCCATTTATCATTGTATAATTACTTTTTTGTCTCTTTTCATAGTTTTTGTCTTGAAATCTATTTTATCTGATGTCATGCTAGCCCCTCCTGCTCTTTTTTTTTTGTTTCCATTTTCATGGAAAAGTTTTTTTTTTCCATTCCTTCATTTTCAGTCTATGTGTCTTTATAGTCTTTATAGGTGAAGTGAGTTTCTTCTAGGCAGCATATAATTGAATCTTACTTCTTTATCCACTCAGACATTCTATGTCTTTTAATTGGAGAATTTAGTCCATTTACATGAAATGTTATTATTGATAGGTAAGAACTTAGTACTGCCATTTTGTTATTTGTTTTCTGAGTGCTTTGTTAGTCCTCTCTTCCTTTCTTGCTATCTTTATTTGTGCGTAAGTGATTTTGTTCTGGCAGAATGTTGTAATTTCTTGCTTTTTATTTTTTCTTTTGTGTGTGTGTATCTAGTATAGGTTTTGACAATGTGGTTACCATGAAGCTTGTAAAAAACATCTTAAAACCAATTTAAACTGATAACAACTTAACTCTAATCACAAGAAAAACAAAGCAAAGAGAAACCTAAAAAAACTCTACACTTTAACTCAATTTTTACATTTTTTGACTTTTTTTGTCTCTATACCTTTTTATATTGTCTATCTCTGAACAAATTGTTGTAGGTTTGTCTTTTATTCTTTACACTAAATATATGAATGTTTTACACAACAAGTTTTAAGTATTAACATATTCTATCTTTGTGTACTTACTTTTACCAGTGAGTTTTATACTTTCAGATGATTTATTGTTGCACACTAGTATCCTTTCATATTGAAGGCCTCTTTTTAGCATTTCTTGTAAGACATGTCTGATGTTAAATTCTCTCAGGTTTTGTTTTTCTGGGAAAGTCTTTATTTCTCCTTCATGTTTGAAATAAAACTTTGCTTGATACAGTATTCTAAGTTGAGAGTTTCTAGAATTCTGTTTCCAGCAAGGTTGCTACTTACTCCTGTTTATTAGTTTTAAACTGCCCAATCTGTACTTTGTGATATGCATAAATTACTGTTAACTGATTACAGTTACTGTGATGTCTTGATAAGAAAATTTCTTGCCCCTAAGGCCTCATTTCCAGACTATTTTCTACTAATCTTTCATTAATTGGACAACAAAAGGAAATAAAGTGTGCAACAGCGGAGAGCAGCATTTTTCAGAAATTTTTGATTACCAGGAGTTAATTCTTTCCATTCCCCATGTAGCATTGGTTCTGAGAATTCTAGAATTGTAATTTTAGCCAGCCAGAGGAGACCATCTTCCTGGGCAGGAATTGTGGGGTGGTAAAGATAAGAAGGTGGTGGAGGCTGGTCGCAGTGGCTCACACCTGTAATCTCAACACTTTGGGAAGCCAAGGTGGGTGGATCACCTGAGGTCAGGAGTTTGAGACCAGCCTGGCCAACATGGTGAAACTCCATCTTTACTGAAAGTACAAAAATTAGCCAGGCGTGGTGGCACATGCCTGTGGTCCCAGCTACTCGGGAGGCTGAGGCAGGATAATCACTTGAATCAATGGGTCTGTCCCTCTAGAGGACACTGACTACTATAGATGTTGGTACCAAGAATGGTTCTTGAGGAACAGAATATTAAGAATGGAGTTCTTTCATTGGTTTTGGGGTTTCTAGAGTTGGCTGCTTAATATGATTAGACCCAAAAATGCTAAGGATCTACTTCTGATAGTATGGAGAACACTGATAGTCTTTATTGTGACTGTTTAGAGAGTTATGTGAAATAAATGCATTTGACACTCCTGTTTCATTGCTCATGAGAAGCAAGGAGTTTAGTGACTCTATACATAATACCTTTGACAACTTGTGGAGAAACAAGGAACATCATGAAGCTGGTTGGTTTCTCCTAAGTTCAGTGAAAAAAGTGATGAAAGAAAATGTTGAACTTGGGGATTCTATCTCCCGGCTTCAGAAGCAGATACTGAGCCTCAAATCTGCTAAGATTGCCCTGAGTGAGAGTCTTATCTCCTGTAGAGAAAGAGCTGAAATTGCGGAAAAACAGATACAACCTCTTATCATGCAAGTGGCTGACCTGCAACAAAAGGTGTGTGCACTGCCTCGCCAGGTGTCTACTGTTAAAATGAGGGCATTGATTGGAAATGAATGGGACTCTGCCGCCAGGAATGGGGATGTGTGGGAAGACCCTGATGAAACTGGGAACACTGAGTTTGTAAACTCTGATTTACCTTTTTTGCCAGAGTAAACAGCTTCCCCATCCCCAGTAGTGGCAACATCCCCTCCCCAACCCATGCTGCCATCAGCCTTTCCACCTTTGTCTGAGAAAATAAACCCTGTGCTGCCTGAGGACACAGTGGTGGCCTCCCCTGAGGCAGTTGACAGGCAAGATAATGTTGATTCTCTTCAGGAGCCACCCCCAACAGCTCTGTCTGCTTCTAGACCTATAACTAGACTAAAGTCCCAGCAGGCCCCTAGAGGTGATGTTGAGAGCATGACCCATGAGGAGGTGCACTACACTTGAAAAGAACTGTTTGAGTTTTCTAATTTATATAAGCAGAAATATGGAGAACGGCATGGGAATAGATATTAAGGGTGTGGAATAATGGTGGAAGGAACATAGAGTTGGATCAGACTAAATTTATTGATTTGGGCCCACTAAATAGGAACTCTTCATTTAATGTTGCAGCTCAAGGAGTTAAAAAAGGTTCTAATAGTTTATTTGCTTGGTTAGCGGAAATGTGGACTAAAAGATGCCCACTGTGAGTGAGATGGAAATGCCTGATCTTCCTTGGTTTAATATAGAGGAAGGGATCCAAAGGCTTAGGGAGTTTGGGATGGGGAAGTGTATTAGCCACTTTAGACCTACTCATCCCAGCTGGGAGGGTCCAGAAGATATACCCTTGACCAATGCCTTGTGAAATAGATTTGTGAGGGCAGCACCTGCATCTTTGAAGAACCCTGTAATTGCTCTTCTCTGTATGTCAGATCTAACAGTGGGAACCACAGTCACTCAACTACAAAATTGAAATACAATGGGAATAATTGGATCGCAAGGTGGCAGGGGCCAAGTGGCAGCACTCAACTGTCAAAGGCAAGGTGGGTGTAGCTACCATAATGGACAGCAGAGGCAAAGCAGCAATCAGAATAGTCTGACTCATGTAGAGCTCTGGCATTGGCTAATTAATCATGGTGTTCTTAGAAGTAAAATTGATGGGAAACCTACTGCATTCCTACTTAATTTATACAAGCAGAAAACTTATAGGTCGAGTGGACAAGAGAGTAATTTGAATTATAAAATCAGAGAATCATGGCCCCTCAATCAATTTCAAGAGTTGAGCCAGTTTACAGACTCAGAACCCCTTGAATGAAGGGGAGGCTGGATCCCCTTGAGGAAGGATCCCACTACATTACCAACAATTTATGCAGTGAGTCTTTCTCCCGTACTTCCCCAAGGAGACTTCCAGCCTTTTACCAGGGTAACTGTGCATTGGGGAAAAGGAAATGATCAGACATTTAGGGGACTACTGGACACTGGCTCTGAGCTGACATTGATTCCAGGGGATCCAAAACATCATTATGGTCCTCCAGTTAAAGTAGGGGGCTTATGGAGCTCAGGTAATTAGTAGAGTTTTAGCTCAAGTCTGACTTACAGTAAGTCCAGCGGGTCTCCGGACTCATCCTGTGGTCATTTCTCCAGTGCCAGCAGAATGAATAATTTGTGTAGACATACTTAGCAGCTGGCAGAACCCCCACATTGGCTCCCTGACTGGTAGGGTGAAGGCTATTACGGTGGGAAAGGCCAAATGGAAACCATTACACCTGCCTCTGCCTAGAAAAAATAGTAAATCGAAAACAATATTGCATCCCTGGAGGGATTGCGGAGATTAGTGCCATCATCAAGGACTTGAAAGACACAGGGGTGGTGATTCCCACCACATCCCTGTTCAACTCTCCCATTTGGCCTGTGCAGAAAACAGATGGATCTTGAAGAACGACAGTGGATTATTGTATGCTTAACCAAGTGGTGACTCCAATTGCAGCTGCTGTAGCAGATGTGGTTTCATTGCTTGAGCAAATTAACACATCTCCTGGTACCTGGTATGCAGCCATTGACTTGGCAAATGCCTTTTTCTCTATTCCTGTCCATAAAGCCCACCAGAAGCAATTTGCCTTCAGCTGGTAAGGCCAGTAATATACCTTTACTGTCCTACCTCAGGGGTATATCAACTCTCTGACTTTGTGTTATAATCTTATTCAGAGAGAGTTTGATTGCTTCTCACTTCTGCAAGATATCACACTGGTCCATAACATTGATGACATTCTGCTGAGTGGATCCAGTGAGCAAGAAGTAGCAAACACACTGGACTTACTGGTGAGACATTTGCATGCCAGAGGATGTGAAATCTAACTGAAACTCGGGAACTTTCTACCTCAGTAAAATTTCTAGAAGTCCAGTGGTGTGGGGCCTGTTGAGATATTCCTTCTAAGGTGAAGGATAAGTTGCTGTATTTGGCCCCTCCTACAACTCAGAAAGAGGCATAACGCCTAGCGTGCCTACTTGGATTTTGGAGGCAACACCTTCCTCATTTGAGTGTGCTACTCCAGCCCATTTATTGAGTGACCTGAAAGGTTTCCAGTTTTGAGTGGGTTCCAGAACAGGAGAAAGTTCTGCAGCAGGTCCAGGCTGCTGTGCAAGCTGCTCTGCCACTTGGGTCATATGACCTAGCAGATCCAATGGTGCTTGAGGTGTCAGTGGCAGATAGGGATGCTGTTCAGAGCCTTTGGCAGGCCCCATAGGTGAATCGCAGCAGGGGCCTCTAGGATTTTGGTACAAAGCCCTGCCGTTTTCTGCAGATAACTACTCTCCTTTTGAGAGACAGCTCTTGGTCTGTTACTGGGCTTTGGTGGAAACTGAACATTTGCATATGGGTCATCACGTCACCATGCGACCTGACCAGCCTATCATGAACTGAGTGCTTTCTGACCCATCTAGCCATAAAGTGGGTCGTGCACAGCAGCATCCATCATCAAATGGAAGTGGTATATATGTGATCAGGCTTGAGCAGGTCCTGAAGGCACAAGTAAGTTACATGAGGCAGTGGCTCAAATGCCCATGGTCTCCACTCCTGCCATCCTGCCTTCTCTCCCAGCCTGCACCAATGGCCTTATGGGGAGTTCCTTATGATCATTTGACAGAAGAAGAGAAGACTAGGGTCTGGTTCACAGATGGTTCTGCACAATATGCAGGCACCAACTGAAAGTAGACAGCTGCAGCACTATAGCCCCTTTCTAGAACATCCCTGAAGGACAGTGATAAAGGGAAATCTTCCCAGTGGGCAGAACTTTGAGCAGTGCGCCTGGTTGTGCATTTGCATGGAAGGAGAAATCCCCAGATGTGTGATTATATACTAATTCATGCACTGTAGCCAATGGTTTGGCTGGATGGTCAGCGACTTGGAAGAAGCATGATTGAAAAGTTGGTGACAAAGAAATTTGGGGAATAGGTAGGTGGATGGACATCTCTGAGTGGTACAAAACTGTGAAGATATTTTTATCCCATGTAAATGCTCACCAATAGGTGACCTCAGCAGAGGAGGATGTTAATAATCAAGTGGATAGGATGACCCATTCTGTGGACACCGCTCAGCCTCTTTCTCCAGCCACCCCTGTCATTGCCCAGTGGGCCCATGAACAAAGTGGCCATGGTGGCATGGATGGAGGTAATGCATAGTCTCAGCAACGTGGACTTCCACTCACCAAGGCTGACCTGGCTACGGCCACTGCTGAGTGCCCGATTTGCCAGCAGCAGAGACCAACACTGAGCCCTCGATATGGCACCATTGCTTAGGTAATCAGCCAGCTACTTCGTGGCAGGTTGATTATACTGGACCTCTTCCATAATGGAAAGGGTAGAGGTTTGTCCTCACTGAAATGGACACTTACTCTAGATATGGGTTTGTCTATCTGGCACACATTGCTTCTGCCAAGACTACCATCCATGGACTCACAGAATGCCTTATCCACCATCATGGTATTCCACACAGCATTGCCTCTGACCAAGGCACTAACTTTACGGCTAAAGAAGTGCAGCAGTGGGCTTATGCTCATGGAATTCACTGGTCTTACCATGTTGCCCATCATACTGAAGCAGCTGGATTGATAGAAAAGTGGAATGGCCTTTTGAAGTCATAATTAAAACATCAACTACGTGACTATATTTTGCAGGACTGGGGCTAAGTTCTCCAGGAGGCCGTGTATGCTCTGAATCAGCATCCAATATATGGAACAGTTTCTCCCATAGCCAGGATTCACGGGGCCAGGAATCAAGGGGTGGAAGTGGAAGTGGCACCACTCACCATCACCACTAGTGATATACTAACAAAATGTTTGCTTCTTTTTCCCGTGACATTATGCTCTGCTGGCCTAGAGGTCTTAGTTCCAGAGGGAGGAATGCTGCCACCAGGAGACACAACAACAATTCTATTAAACTGGAAGTTATGATTGCCACCTGGACACTTTGGTCTCCTCCTACCTTTAAGTCAACAGGGTAAGAAGGGAGTTACAGTGTTGGCTGGGGTGATTGACCCAGAATATCAAGATGAAATCAGTCTACTACTCCACAACGGAGGTAAGGAAGAGTATGCATGGAATACAGGAGATCCATTAGGGCATCTCTTAGTATTACCATGCCCTGTGATTAAGGTCAATGGGAAACTACAAGAGCCCAATCCAGGCAGGACTACAAATGACCCAGATGCTTCAAGAATGAAGGTTTGGGTCACTCCACCAGGAAAGAAACTATGACCTGCTGAGGTGCTTGCTGAAGGCAAAGGGAACACAGAATGGGTAGTAGAAGAAGGCAGTCATCAATACCAGCTACAACCACATGACCAGCTGCAGAAATGAGGACTGTAACTGTCATGAGTATTTCCTGCTTCTTTTGTTAAAAACATGTTTGTGCATGTGTACACGTATACTAAGAAAATATCTTCATTTCCTTTCTCCTTTATCATGTGACATAAGATTTATTGACTTCACATCAGCATTTAAATATTGTTAACTTTATGTAATAGCTTTGGGTTGGGGATTGGTGAGTTTCAGTTGTGTGAAGGATAGTTGTATTATGTTAGGCATAATTATAACCTTATTATTGTCTTTATTTGAAGATTATGTATGATCTCAGGAGATGTATATGGGTTCAAGTTGACAAGGGTTGGACTTGTGATGGTTAATACTGAGTATCGACTTGATTGGATTGAAGGGTACAAAGTATTGATCCTGGGTGTGTCTGTGAGGGTGTCCCTAAAGGAGATTAACATTTGAGTCAGGGGCGGGGAAAGGCAGACCCACCCTTAATCTGGTGGCCATAATCTATTCAGCTGCCAGCACAGCTAGAATATAAGCAGGCAGAAAAATATGAAAACAGAGACTGGCCTAGCATCCCAGCCTACATCTTTCTCCGGTGTTGGATGCTTCCTGCCCTCGAACATCGGGCTCCAAGTTCTTCAGTTTTGGAATTCAGACTGGCTCTCCTTGCTCCTCAGCCTGCAGACAGCCTATTGTGGGACCTTGTGATCATGTGAGTTGATATTTAATAAATTCCCCTTTATATATATATATGTATATTCCATTAGTTCTTTCCCTCTAGATAACCCTGACTAATACACTAGGCAAAGTACCTAACTTTACTGACTCTCACATTTCATTTCCTTATTTTAAAATATGAGGATAATAATATCTGTCTAATCTACTTTACAAACACCATAAAGTCTCAAATAATATATTGTTAAAATCTGGCCATATAAATGCAAAAACTCAAATATAAACAATTATTGCTATGCATAAAAAGGCAGGGACTATATAAATCAAAGGGGGCTTTTAAACAATGCATTTAGATGGGGACAAATGAGATCGCTTTGCCTTCCAGAATGATCAAGAACTAGAGGAGATTACAAGATTAACATGCAAATGCCATAGGTGAAAATCAATTCATTTCTTGCCTATGATGCATTTGCCATTGCCACTGAGGTCTCATGAATTTTCTGGTTTTGTACAAAGCTTTTTGTAATCCGATGCCTGATTCTGCCATGGGATAGCATGCTGGGGGCATATGAGGTCATCTGAATGTACTGTTATGAATGTACTCTCTCGTGAGTAATTGTACCCCACAACATAATGGACTGCCCAGTTACTATCATGTAATGATGGTAGTACCAGTGAAAGAGTAAAACATGTTTACAAAATTCACGGCTGCTTAACAAGGGCTTTTGATATACCAATCCAGGCTATTATTACAAAAGTGGATGTTGACTACTCACAATTTGCAGGAATCAGGACAGAGTCCATGCCATAGTGCTATTTTGCTTTTCCTTTCTCTGACTCTGAAGCGTTTAAAGTGGTGTGAATTTTCCTGAACAGCATTTCAACAATTCACATATTATTTGGTTTTGAAAACTCCATGCCTATGGCTGCCTCCTCCCCTTTCAATTCCATTGTGTTGGCTGCATTCACACCTCCAGTGCAAATTCATTTATAGTCTGGGCACCAGCAAACTAGAGTGGCTTGAACACCCTACAGGGAAGCAATTATTCCATCCAAGGCGTCTTATTGTCCTCATCGTGCTCCTAATTTCTGCATAATGTAAATGTGCATTTGCCACTGCCTATTATTGGCTTGCTGCTGACACCACAGGTACTATTATGAGTGGGCCTGGCTGTCTCTCTTTTTCTTCTCTGAAGAGTCAGGTTGGCATTCTGATGTTTGAAAAGGGATAGCACAGAGGAGATTGGAAGCCAGTTCTTGGCATGCTCTTAACAAAGCACTTTGCACTGGATTAGAAGTCACATATTCCAGGCCGGGCGCAGTGGCTCATGCCTGTAATCCTAGCACTTTGGGAGGCTAAGGCAGGTGGATCATCTGAGGTCGGGAGTTCGAGACCAGCCTGGTCAACCTGGAGAAACCGCGTTTCTACTTAAAATACAAAAATTAGCTGGGCGTGGTGGTGGCACGTGCCTGTAATCCCAGCTACCAGGGAGGCTGAGGGAGGAGAATCGCTGGAACCCAGGAGGCAGAGGCTGCAGTGAGCAGAGATCATGCCACTGCACTCCAGCCTGGGTGACAGTGCAAGACTCCGTCAAAAAAAAAAAAAAAAAGTCAGATGTCCTGGGTTACTGTTCTGCTTTTACCATTTACAGGACATGAATAAATCATTCAATCTCTCTGAGGCTCAGTTTCTCACTTGAAACAGAGAGTTTCATTGGCCTAGTGAAGAAGTCTTACATCTATTCCCTAGATATAATCTCATGCCCAGTCATTTGGGAATACCAGAAATGCAAAACAGTACACTTATTATAGACCTATCATAATACATTTAGATAACATGATTTTAGTTAACATAAATGACATTAATTATGTGGCATCCTTCCTTCATGCTGTCAAATTCTTGATGTCTGGAGATATGAGGATGAACTGCTCCCAGGAAACAGGAATTGTAAATGGCTGGACAGTATGCAACAAGGCCCTCTAAACACTCAGCCTGTACTGGAGGAAAGTCACAGAAAAGAGGGGAAGTAGGAAATACATAAATCCTCTGCTGACCATCTTATTCTAGGCACTGCACAAAGACAGCAGAGCCGGATGTCAGACTCTGAGAGAGTGATGGCTGGGCTCTCTCTGCATGATCAGAATGTGAAGCACTAGCTTTTCTTTGGCATGATCTTGCTCCAGGATTCAATATAAATTTGATGCATCAAATCTTAGTACCTGCCTCATCCTTCCAATCAGTGTGCTTGGTTGGGGAAAGAGTTTCACAGATACAATTAGCATCCACTAAATTCCATGTGTTTTCTTACATGTCCCAGGATCCCTACAGTTAGGCTGGGGCCTTGTGGCTAGTTCTGGCCAACCGGCTAGGAGCACATGTGTTGGTACACTTGTGGACTGTGTCAATAAGAACCAATCCACCTCTGCCAAATTGCTTTTAGCCTGCTGTGGCAGCATGTTCCAGGTGATGAAGCTACACAATAGATCTGGCTTTCCAACCTACATTGCACTTGACTTGAGCAAGAAAGAAACTTTTGTTGTTTTAGGCCACTCAGAATTTGAGGCTTGTGTGTGGCAGTAGCTAGTGTTCATTATCCCAGCTAAGACAGTATAAAAAATATGGAAGATTGAGGAGCAGCATTTGAAAGTGACCTAGAGAAAAATACAGTTCTTAAGGAAGAACTTTCCAAAAGAACTTTTCAAAAATACAATAGGTTAGTCAAAAAAAAGTATTGATCCATCCAATGGGTAGTGAGCTCTGGGTCACTGCAGTGTTTAAGAAAAGTTTGCATGAATGGGATACTGTGTAACAACTGCTGAGGGTCTTCCTGCTGCACCTATTTCCCTAGATTTTGGGGAGACTCAATAGGATGGGGCCTAGTACATGAATGTAAAAGAGTGTTAACTCATAAATGACGGGTTTATGGCAAGTGCACCAAGCATGTTTCTCCTTTACCAAAGTCAACTTACTCTTTCTGTGATTTCTAAGAAAGAAAATACTTGCTGTCCTTTTATAGAACTACTAAACGAGAATGAATTTGACACAGGCATCAGGCAATTTTCTTTCCTAATTTACTACATTTCTTTAAGTCCTATTCTACTCTTGTCTTTAGGCAGCAGCCTAAAACTCTTAATCTAAAACACCACAGAGTATCCCATCTTTTAAAAAAGTGAAACTTTAGTAGCTTCTTTTGACCCCTATTAAGAACCAAAGATTTACTGGCATTTTGCAAGGTGGCCCTAGATCCTTTCAGAATGTTCTTTGCTGTTTAGAGTGTTGGTAATGTCTTTTTGCTCTCTTAAGCTTATGCCACATAAAAGCAACTCACCTTCAATAACCTTCACTGGTTAATGCTTAGAAAAGGAATTGACATGGTAGTCAAGGTGATCACCAGTCAGCAGACAATTGAGACTACTGTTCTCACCTTGAACAAGGTGTTAGGGGCATTATACAGGTGAGAGAACAGACTCAGACCCGAACACTGTGGTGGAGAAAATTCAAGATACAGGTGGTGTGCAAACATAGCATATCTGAATAAGAAAACTGTCCACAAACCAGGAACTGTCCAGAGGGGAAGTTAATATTTCCAGTATAAACCAAAACAATTTTTGAGAAAGGAATGGAATATAATATTAATGATAGAAGAGGCTTAGAGCTCTTTTGGTCCAAATCCCTCAAGTTTCAGAAGTTTGAAAATTAGCAAATATGTGAAGGGGTTCTCTTAATGTCACAGAATTAATGACAGATCCGAGACTAACACTTGAGCCTCCCAATTTTCTGTCACTGCCTTTTGTGTTATACTACTCAGGTGTTCCTTGGAGATGTACCATGCAGATGATTTTGGTAAATCATTCACCTAAGAAGAGGCTGACTTGGGTTACGGAGTTACTACTACATTCATTCATTCATTCATTTTTGTTCCTAACCTCAAGGAACATCCATTCTTATATGGAAATAGTGCTCACTGATCCAAACATTGCCTTAGAGGAGAGATTTCCATATTTTTTCCTGAATAAGCACACCAGTGCTTTACGGGGCTCATATCTTATGCAGCAGTGGTCCACGGTGTGCCCACATTCTTGATTTCTGTTTCTTTACCTCATCGCATAGAGGATTCAGCTCACCTGCTCTGACCTTCCAGAGCCCCTCAGGGATAAGGAAGTTGGATAGTCATCCCAGGACCATTTGGGCAGGTTGATACCCACCTTTCTTCCAGGATTATGTGGATCTTAGAGGGCCAAGCTCTTTCCAAAAAAAGCAGTGCTCTCATCCTCACTCAGGACTTTCCTTTCTGGGTCCCTGGATTCTGTCTGGCTCAGAGAGCAAATAAATTACTGTGAAGTTTCTTGGTCATGGCCCTGGCAACTGCTCTGCTCAGGAAGGAGGTTGGCAGATGGTCTGGTGCTGTGAGGCAGAGAAGCAAGTACATGTTTTAAGATCACAGGGTTTCCAGGGTTTCAGTTTGAATCTAAAGTTTAGTTCATATTTTTTTTTACTACCTAAAGATTCCCTCCCCACTGCTTCACAAAGAGCTGCCTTATTTGAGTTCATAGGTGAAGATACAGCTGCACGGGTACCCTGCTGTAACCTCTCATTTGCGCCTGATACATCACATGGGGTCATGTTGCCATGAACACCAGTTGTTAGTGCCATGTGAGGGGACTGTGTCATTTTCTGGGCAGAGTCAAACAGCAGGTAAGGTCAAAAACCAAGGGTGCTACCTTGTGGGATCATGGAATGGGCATGCTAATAGAAAGGATGGTCAGTCTGAATATGCCAAGCTGAGAGAGGGAAGAGACACTCCACAAAGCAGATGGAAGGCTGCAGACAAACAGAGAAGTCAAAATTTAGATGAGACAGAGAAGGAAGAAGAGGGACAGAGTCACCCATGAGCTGTACAGGTTTGGTGCTCTAATGCTGTCTTTATCAGGGAGGCCTCTTCAGAGATGCCCACTGACAGAGGATGAGGCTGAGAACTGCCCAAGCCCTATAGTACAGGAGCAGTGGTACAAACAGAAATAAGCATCAGGGAAATTTAAGTTGCTGCAGGGTAGCTAGATCCCCTTCCAGCTGAATGTAAGATCTGGCTCTGATGTTAGTTTATGTCAGTGTCTACTACAACACTTCCCAGCTCCCTCCACACCCCCTGCCCCCCCCCACCATATACCCACAAGATCTGTGTATGTGTGTACTCATACATATCTGCATGTGAGTTAAATTAAATAAGCAGAAGGCCAATAGCCTGAGGCCATCTCCATACTTTGAGTTCCTACATAAAAATCTGCCACCTAATTTATACATAAACCAAAATTTAGGAGCAGATTTTGTGTAACAAATAGACAGTTTTCTGCCTTTCACAAACTGCTGAGCTTCAGCCAATTTTAGGCAGCTAACTGATCATACAGTGGCCAAATAAAGCAAATGCCTAGCTATAGCCAGTCAGGTGATTTCTCAACTTTGCTTCTGTGTTTGGCCCCTAAAGCCTCACTGCTCATGCTGTTGGGTGGAGTTCTCTGGACCTCTCCTGATTTTGAATGCTGCCTAATTCATAAATCCTTTTGCTCAAATAAACTCTGTTAATTTTATTTTGTCTGCAATTTTTCTTTTAATGTACATACGTATGTAGATATACACAGGCATATAGATGCATGTGTATATATATGAACACATGTATGTATTTATATATGATATTTGAATATATACAGTTAGCTTTCTGTATTTGTGGGTTACACATTCATGGATTCAATCAACTGCAGATTAAAAATATTTTTTTTTAAATTGCGTCTGCACTAAACAGGTACAGACATTTTTCTTGTCATTCTTTTCTTGACAATGGAGCATAACAACTATTTACCTAGCATTTACATTGTATTAGGTATTATAAGTAATCTAGAGATGATTTACAGTAGATGATAGGATATGCATAGATTATATGCAAATACTACACCATTGTGTATCAGAGACTTGAGAATCCACAGATCTTGGTATCCTTGGGCATCCTGGAACCGATTCCTCAGGGATACCAAGGGAGAACTGCATATATAAAGTGTACTTAGTTTACTACTCAAATGTATATATGTTTTCCCTATATTTATGTTTAATTATTTATTCAGTAGCCATAGAGTGTTGTGGTCACTATGGTGAGGGTGGGGGTGAGGTGGGAAAAGTTTTGCAGAATTCCAAAACCTGTCCTAAACTTTAGGCTAAACTCTTTGGTGCAAGAGAGTTAGGTTTATCTGGGTACACAATCTCAAAATAAATAAAATAATGTTAGAGACATTCATTCCATTGATTTGTCTCTTCTTCCTATTTGACTGTATGTAGATATCAGGTTTTATCAAGCTTGCAATAAAATCCTGATTTCATGTCAAGCTACCAGATTTTAATGGCTTTCTATTGCACTTACCATGAAATCCAAACTCACAGCCATGACTCAGTGAGCCCTGCATGCTCTGGCCTCTCTAACCGCATCTTCCTCTGCTTGCCAGATTCCCACCACTCTGGCCTCTTTCTGTTCCTCAAACATTCAAGGACTTTCACCACCGTGGGCTTTTGCGTGCATTCCTTTTGTCTGGGATGCTCTTCCTCTAGTTCTTTCATCCTTCGGTCTCAACTAACATGCCTCATTGGAACAAGGAGTCGAACTGCATTTTTTTTTATGTTTAACCAAGGACAGCTTCAAGTCCCACTCCTCTGGGCAAGCCAATAAGAAAACCGGCACATTCACTCCACACAGGTACAGGGGAAATGTCGAACCATACAGCCCCAACCACACCTGGGGACCCTTGCCTGGGCCCCACCCTCTAACTGCAACACAAAATCAAGCCACATCCTTCTTCCTTTTCTCAAGCCGTTTCAGATCAGCTCGAGTGTCTGCCTTGCTCTCCACTGAAAGCCTCTTTATGTGAGTAAATAAACCTTTTCAACCCTCTCAATGCCTGTGTGGCTTCATCCACATTGAAACCAGTTTTGAGTAGGACGTTTGATCTCACCTTCTATGGTGCAAGCAGAAGACACACCCCCTCAGACAGGCCTTCTCTACCAATCAGCCTAGAACTTTGCTCACATTTTCCTGTCTCATCACCATTTTCCAGTCTCATCACCATTTTCCACATCATAGTCTTCAAAAAAGTCTTTTAACACTTCAATGTGCCAGCACTCAGCCTTTCCATGGAGTGTAAAACTCTAAGAAAGACTTCGAAGCAGCAGAGTCCTTGGGTCTAAAGAGATCATGCAGACAGGAAAATGGTGTCACAGAATAACTAATGTGGGCAGGGGACTGGTGGCCTCCCCAGACCTGAATTCTACATCAACTCAGGCCCTCTTCATGACTCAAGTTGAATTTCCTTTCAGTCTGGTCCAGAATTAACTTGCTCTAGAAAAGAAATATATGTGCTATTTCTTGCAGACTTGAGTTTGTGGACTATTATTTAATACCTGCTACTCTAGTGATTTATTTAATTTATTAAATTGGCATGATACTCAATGCTGTTATTCATCCTTTGGTATTTGTTTTGTCTCACCCCAGCTATACCAAAGGCTCCTGAAGAACTGTAATCTTTTTTTTTCTTTTTTGGTGTAACATGTCTGCATCTTTTATAGGTAAATAAAATGTTTCCAGAAGGACATTTTAAAACAAAAAAAGGAAACAACAATGCATTGCATACTTCAAAATTGTTAAAAAGTAGATTTTAAGTGTTCTCATTACAAAAAACTGAAATGGCTATGAGGTAATGCATATGTTAATTACTTGAACTGAGCCATTCAACAATGTATACATATTTTGTCTTTTTTTTTTTTTTTCCTTTTTGTAATCAAAAGAAAGCTAGTTTTTTTTGCATTTTTTTCTTCAAAAATGTATATTTTTTGGAAAAATTTAAGTTCTGGGATATATGTGCAGAATGTGCAGGTTTGTTACATAGGTATACATGTGTTGTGGTGGTTTGCACCTATCAACCCGTCATCTAGGTTTTAAGCCCCACATGCATTAGGTATTTGTCCTAATGCTCTCCCTCCTCTTGCCCTCCACCCACCGACTGGCCCTGGTGTGTTTGTTGCCCTTCCTGTGTCCATGTGTTCTCATTAGAACTGTGTAATTTCAGATCTTAGAATTTGCAACATGTAAACAACAACCAGGTTTCTGCATGCAGAAAAACGAGAAACGCTGTCTGATATAAAGACTTTAATTCATCTCATGATTATCACTGCCCTCACAATTGATTTATTTACTGGGAAGTAGTTCATGCATTCAATCATGCAACAGTTACACAGACAAGAGAAGATACGTGTCACAGAATGGGAGAAAAACAGTGGGCCTATTGTTAGGGGTTGCCTGACTCATGGCTATCATTTATAAGAATAGTTACCATTTGTGTGTCCTTAATAGGGTAGGGCTCTGCTGCAGTCTTCCCTTGTTTTGTTCCAGTGCTGTATGTTGGCAAAATGAGAAATGCCATTTCAAATTCAAATATACAAAAGTCTTCATTAATAAGGCAGGAGACAAAACTGAATATAGAATATTATTGTACAGTCCCGAGCTACCTAGAAATGGGGATGCCTTCTGAGAATGTGTTGTTAGGCTATTTTGTCATTGTGTAAACATCATAGAGTATACTTACACAATAGCAGATGGTATAGCCCACTACATACCTAGGCTCTATGGTGTAGTGTATTGCTCCTCGGTTACAAACCTGTGCAACATGTAACCACAGGCAATTTAAACACAATTGGTATTTGTGCATCTAAACATAGAGAAGTTACAGTAAAAAAAAAAAAAAAGGTATAAAAGATAAAAAATGGTTATAGCTGTATAGGACACTTACCATAAATGGAGCTTGCAGGACTGCCCCACACAATTTAGGGTGTGGAAACATATACTACAGTATATGTACTATATAAATTTTGTAAAATGTAAAAAATTCCAAATTACAGAATAAATCTGTCCTTAAGATTGATGCACCCTGTACATTTTCTTAAATGAACTAGTTTTATGGTAACAATAGAAACATTTTTAAAATCAACACACAATGATAAAAATAATAATAATTGGTTATTAAAATAATTAAATAATAAAGTGTCAGCAGAATACAGTGGCAGATGTGCTTCACAGAGTTTACAAACTTTACAGGATAGGGAGCTATATGGCATGTTTGAAGCATTGCTTTTTGATACCTGACATCCCTTTATTCATTAAGCAGATAAGCACCTCATATACTCATAGTACTCAAATTACTAAATTACTAAAGTTACTTGGAGATGGTGAAAAATCACACAATTGTTTCATAAAGTTTCCAACCAGATATTAATTAACTGGAAATTAATTTGTATAGCATGATTTAGATGTCGATATGGATTTTGCCAGGGTTAGCAAACTCTGGCTTGTGGTCCAAATCCTGCCCTTCACCTATTTTGGTAAATAAGTAGCCATGCCTATTTATTTACATACTGCTTTTGTGCTGTGAAAACAGAATTGAGTTTACCTCGCTTGCAGAGCCTAAAATATTTTCTATCTGGCCCTTTACAGAAGAAATTTGTTCACCCCTGATTTACAAATTTATTTGAATATTCCCTAATTAACTGGAAAAATAAGTTCCAGTTTATTATATGATAAATGCTCTATGACTCATATGCTATGAGACATTTCTGATGATTGGATTTCCTAGAAAAGTGTGGATTGCATCGAAAAGATTCAAAATTGGTGGAATATAGCCTAAGCAGAAATGATTTACTGAGAGGAGAATTATCATTGAGGCAAATTGTTCATTCTATGTGGATTTTGCTGCTGACCTCACTATTGCCCTTCTTGGTGATTTCTGAGGCCCAGGTCTACCCACAGCACCTTGCCACTGCTTGTCCAAGTACTTGATGTGAAGAAGAACCTGGCTGAATGTACTTTAACATTTGAGAACTTGCCTTCCTGTTATTATTGCATGTTCAACTTCAACGGCTTATGGTACCTGTGAACCTCTCACTGAAACAATTGAACCAAGCCAAACTTTTTTTGTTTAATCATTTCATAACTACTTAGATTACAAAACAAATCCTGGCTTTATGAATTGTGCATCTGAAGAGTTTGGGTTATGTGACCACAGAAAGCAGAGTGTGCTTACTATAATTGTTGGGGAAATCAGTCTTAGATAATTTAGGAGGGTGGGGAGGGTAGGAATTAGCATCTTACAAAGTTGGTATCAATTAGTTTACCGTAGTGATTTGGTGTTTACGTGTTAATAGCACCATTTTAAAAAAAAAAAAAAAAAAAAGGAGAAAGTATTATTGGAAAGGAGCCATCCATAGGCAAAATTGTGAAGAAGAAATTTTCTCTTTGTCTCCACTTTACTGTCATTTAAAAAAAATTTATCTTTTCTGGGGGTAATTGTTTACTGACATTAATGATATTAAAGATAACTGTAATAATTATAAATAATTTAGTCTCTATCCTTTATTTGTTAGCTTCATACAGGCTTATGCTATCTTTAATTTTCACACAGTCTGCTATTTTGATAATAGAAACCAAGTCTAAGAAAGGAAATTGGCCAAAATCACATAGTCAAGAAGTGAAAACTAGGATGAACCAGGATTTGTTTATTTTTGCAAATCCTCTGCTCTATTGATTATTGGCTTTCCAGGACCTATAGTCCACTCAGTTCTGGTCTGTTTGGATAATGCCCTAGGCTCTAGGCATTGCCTGTTCACCTTCTCTCTATTTCCCATCATAACCACCCTCCAGATAGATTCCTGATTGTCAAGGATGAGATAAACTAAATCACCCTAGGAATGACTGGGATTGATTCACTTCTATATTTTATACAAAGTTACTGATGATCTCTTTTTACTAAACTATTTTGCCTACCTCTGGAATTGTGAAAATGAAGACAACATCTCTGCCTTCAGACAGCTCCTGGCTCACAGACATATAAACTGGAGAAATAATGACCATCTCTCCTCTCTGGTAAATCCATTTTACCAGTCACAGAGTTGTAATGATGGAACTTGATGCACCAGCCCACCAGCCTTATAAAAGCATAATAGAGGGGTGGAGGTGGGGAAAAGGGATGGTCCAGGGAGGGCTAGGAACTGTAGCAACAGGCTTTGCTTCTGCATAAGGCTGATTATATTAGAAAATGATCCATTTTAAGCAGTTACCGTATCTACAACATTAGTAACTTGGGCTTTAGTCATCTTATCTCTTATTAAAGTCTAAATTCTGATCAAAAATTGGCAAAGGATCTGAATAAACATTTCTCGAAAAGCACGTACAAATGGCCAACATATACATGAAAATATGCTCAAAATCACTAATCATCAGAGAAATGCAAATCAAAACCACAATAAGATATTACTATATACCTCATGAGGGTGCAGGGAAAAGAAAACCCTTGTACACTGTTGGTTGGAGTGTAAATTAGTACAGACATTATGTAAAACAGTATGGAGCTTCCTCAAAAAATTAAAAATAGAACTACCATATAATCTAACAATTTCACTTCTGGGTATATATCCAAAAGAAATCAGTATGTCAAACAGATATCTGCATTCCCATGTTCATTGCAGCATTATTCTCAATACCTGTATTAGTCAGTTTTCACACTGCTGATAAACACATACCCGAGATTGGGTAATTTATAATGAAAAAGAAGTTTAATGGACTCACAGTTCCATGAAGCTAGAGAGGCCTCACGATCATGCCCCCAAACTGTTCTCATGGTACTGAATAAGTCTCACGAGATCTATACCCAACATATGAACTCAATCTAAGCTTCTATCCATAAATGAATAAAGAAAATGTAGTATATATAAATAATAGAATACTATTCAGCCTTAATAAAGAAGGAAATCCTGTCATTTGTGACAACACGGATGAACCTGGAGGACATTATGTTAATTGAAATAAGCCAGGCACAGAAAACAAATACTGCATGATCTCACTTATATGTGGAATCTGAAAACATTGAACTCATAAAAATAGAGAGCAGGTCAGGGAACCACTTATGGAAAAACAAAGGAATAAAACCTCTGCTGGTTACCGGGGGCTGGAGAGGCAAGGACGGTTTGGGGAGATGTTGGTCAAAGGATACAAAATTTTAGTTAGGAGGAACAAGTTCAAGAGATCTATTGTACAACATGATGATTATAGTTAATAACAAAATATTGTGTTCTTGAAAACTGTTGAGACAGTAGAGTAGTTTTAAGTGTTCTCACAATAAAATAAGTATATGAGGTTATACATATGCTAATTTTCTTGAATTAGCTATGATGCAATGTATACATATTTCAAAACAACATGTGGGCACACAGTAAATATACACAATTTCTATGTGTCAATTTAAAAATAAAATGATAAATAAAAATTCACATTTGTTAATTTTGTAGGCTAGTAAGTTATTTCTCTTCAACAACATGTAGAATCACAATTTTGGTAAAACAGAAGGTAACATGACCCTTTAGTCTTGAGATTTTATCTGTTTCCTATTATCTTTTCTTTATTCCTTCCTCTTAAAAAATTTTCCATTTTTTATTTTTCTCCATTTTTATTTTTATGGATTTAGGGGGTACAAGAAGAGTTTTATTACATGGATATATTGCATAGTGGTGGTCTGGTCTTTTAGTGTAACTATCATGCAAATAGTGTACATCGTACCCAATGGGTAATTTCTCATCCCTCACTCTCTGCTTCTTGCTATTTCCTTGCAGTTGAGCTTATATTTCAGCCAATGGTTCTGTGGAACTTCTGTCAGAAAGTGAATTGAGAAGTTACTCTCAAAATATATAATTTATGAATTGAAATACTGAATAAAACACTCTTGCGAAGATATGATGCTTGAATATTTAGAGATCTTTTGTGTGTATATAGTGAAATATGCACAGATAATCTGCTAAAATTGCTCTACTTTTATTTTCTGTTTTGCCATGAATGCATCATTTCACTGCAGATAGAATGGAACCCATGTCTAACATGAATTGTTATGAGCTGAAAGTCTTCTGACTTGCTTTTTTTACATGATCGTGTATGATATTTCCATATATACACCACCAAATTTTCTTAAATAATTGCTACAAATAAATAAAACTACAAACACACTATTATTGTAAATACTTAAAATATGTTCAAAGACAGAATGGAAATCAGAGACATAAGCTGTTATGTGATATGGTTGCATATATTTTTAATGAGAGGAAGGTCAGCTTTTCTCAGCAAACAGGTGATGGTCACTCCAAAGAGAATACTACCTTGGGAATAGAAAAAGATGAGCTGAGCACTTTAAGGTGGTCTGCTTCTCAAAGTTTTCCAGGAATCCTTCATAGAGCTTAATGCCAAAGGCTGCTCTCAAGTCATTAATGAAATTGCTCTCTTTCCCTGTACAGTATTACTTTATGTTTATAAGTGTTTCTCTCCCTTCTCTTGTTACTTCACTTCCCAGAGCTCTAAATACTTTCTGCCTTCTAAATACTCCCTTATTAACCTTAAAGTGATGGTGAGGCCAGCAGGGGAATTTAGACAAGCTGTTTATCTTCTAAGCTCAGAAAATTCTATCACATCAAGGTCAAGTAACCTTTGCAAGTTCTCTGCTCATCAGAAATAAATTTGTACCTGCTGGCTTTGCACAAGGAAATGAGAAAAACTAAAATACTTCAGTAGTGGTTAACCCTCCTTCCCACTAGATGAATTGAAGAGTGTTCTCTAACTTGTCAGCTGAAGGGATCTGCACAGGCACAGTTTGAGGCCTGGGGAATCTTGGCATGCTTTTATCATGTGTTCTATTCACAAAAGTATTATTTCTTAAAAATACAGTCATGGGACAAAAACCTAATGTGTAAAAATGTGTTGTTTTTTATTTTCATTTAATAGAGTGGCTGTAATTGTAGAACACAAATATAAGCAGAGAAAAAAATAATGGAATCTGGAGATAGATTATGTATGCATAAAATGCTATAACAGCAAAAAGAAAAGGTTAATGTGTGTCTTAATTAATTTCCTCCATTACAGAGCTGTCCTCTTTGCTAGGCTGTGTCTTTGTTAGGTAGGCATAAGTTTGAGTTGTTTACATCAGAAAGGTCAGGGAACTACTTATGGAAAAACAAAGGAGTCCTAAAATCAGAAGGTGGGGGGAGTGTGTGGAATAGATGAGAGAGCAAAGCCAAGTTAGGTTAGAGGAACAGATTGGGCTACTGGCCTTGTTTCATGTGATACATAAATACATATACATATCTATTAATATATATTGTCTAAATAGAAAAATGCAAGCACACACAACTATTTGTAAGTATGTGCATATGCGTGTGTGTGTATGTTGAGAGACAAAGAGAAAGAAAAGGAATTTTAGAGATTTTGTTTGCAGATTAACATTTAATTTCCCTATTTACTTTCAATTATTTTTGGATTTTGGCCTAGAGTTTCATTTTAATCCACACTGATAGCTTTGCAAGTAGCTTAATTTTATTAAACTGAACCATATAAACTTGCTGATTTTCTTGTCAAAGATGGTCAAAGATTGCCAGTGTTTCCTGGCTCAACCTAATTTATGGGCCATGTTAGAGTTAGATTACCTAGTTCATGTATAAAGACTGGCTTAAATGTTCTGGGCACAGGAAGCCATATGCACAAAGGCTGGGAGGAGGGGAAGTCTGTGCATGGCTGAGACCTCTGCCCTGGAGCTGGTCCAGGGTTACCAGGGAGAGGAGCAGAGGATGAACTAACACCAATGATGCTAACATGATGATTGCTAGCATGGTCTTTCTTGTAGACACTGTGCCAAACACTAATAGAACGATCCCATTTAAACCATTCAAGGATCCTGTGAAGCAGATATTATTATTCCCATTTACTGATGAAGAACTGAGCCTGTGATCATTAATTTTATGTGTCAACTTAGCTAGGCTATGGTGATAAGTTGATGTAATTTACATGTAAATGATTAGATTTTGAGTAAAGCAGATTACCTTCCATAGGTGAGTGGTCTTCATCAAATCAGTTGAAGGCCTTAAGAGTAAAGCCTGAAGTCCCCAGATGAAGAAGAAATTCTGCCTTGAGACTGCCTTTGGAACCCAAACTGCACAATCAGTTTCCAACAGAATTTAAATTTCAGACTGACTTGCCAGCTCCTATAATCATATGAGCTATGGTTTTAATGTGTTCCCCAATACATATGCTGATTATAGGTGATGCCTTAGGAAGGTAATTAGGATTAGATAAGATCAGATAGGCCCGCATGATGAGACTGGTGGCTATATGAGGAGCACATTCTTCCTCTCTCACCTTGTGATGCCTTCTGCTATATCAGGAGAAAGCAAGGAAGCCCTTGCCAGAACTGGCTGCTTTGTATTGGACCTCCTAGCCTCCAGAACCATGAGCTAAATAAATTTCTGTTTATTAATTATCCAGTCTGTGGTATTCTGTTGTAGCAACAGAACATGAACTAGGACACCAATTCCTTAAAGTAAATCAATCTGTCTCTCTGTCTATGTATCTATCTATCTATCTATCTATCTATCTATCTATCTATCTATCTATCATCTATCTATCTCTCTATTATCTATCTATTTATCCATCCATCTGATTGGTTCTGTTTTTCAGGAAGATCCTCACTAATACAGAGCTTCAGGTCAGGTATCTGGTACATTGAGGAACAAGTACAGAAAAACTCGGGTTTTTCTGGGTCTGAGGTCCATACTTTAAATTACTACATCATACTACCCCCCTTAGTATTCACCATAGAAAGTGTCATTCTGTACTTCCATCGTTAGGGGATGTTTTTATTTCCCCTACTCAGCTGTAAACTCAAGAGGGCAAGAACTTTTGTATCCCCAGCAGCCAGCACAGTTCTTGTCACATAGCATTGCTGAACATATATTTGCTTTAGAATTTGGAACAAAAATTTATGGTAAGGTGCTTTGACAACTGTAAAGCATTATACAAATATGAGGTCTATATAGTAAAACATAATTTTTGTACAACTGTTTATAAGCAAATATAGAGTGCATATACTTAAAAGTCAGATTACTTTGCCCATGCCAATGTGAATTTCTAAGCCAATGTTATTATTACTTGATATATATATATCAAGTAATATATATGTATTTATATACATATATATTACTATATATATAATATATATACTAAATATAATAATATATATATGTAACTATTTGTCAGCAACAAAGGGTAAAAGACTGTCTCCAGGACAAATAATAAAATGGTATTTCTCTTCTTAACAGCTGAAAAAAGAAGTAGTAATCACAAACCATTTTCCATATGGGATAAAGTCAGCAGCCTTTAAGCTGGGAAAGGTAACTAGGTTTGATGTGAAATGCTAGCTCTGATTGATGAGCAGTGGCTTGTGTGGAGCATTTAAGAAAGATTCTGAGATGCCAGTTGGGCCCTGCAGCAAACAGTGCCATGATTAATGAGCAGTGTCTACCCTGGGCAAAGGATTGGAAGGTAGACAGCACAAATGTCCTTCCATCCCCTGCCCTAATTAAGCAATACAAGACTAGTTGCCTTAGTGTTTTTGGTGAGTTCGTTAGCCACGCTACTGAGGAGGAGCATGGGAATAAAGGTTCAATTTGAAAGGATATCCAGAATGAATTTCTTGAAACAGATGTTGTATTAGTCCATTCTCACATTGCTGTGAAGAAATACCCAAGAAGGGTAAGTTGTAAAGAAAAGAGGTTTAATTGACTGATGATTATGCACGGCTGGTGAGAGCTCAGGAAACTTACAATCATGGTGGAAGGCATCTCTTCACAGGGCAGCAGGAGAGAGAATGAGTGCAAGCAGGGGAAATTCCAGACACTTGTAAAACCATCAAATCTCATGAGTCTCACTCATTATCATGATAACAGCATGGCGAAACTGCCCTCATGATTCAATTACCTCCATCTGGTCTCATCCTTGACACGTGGGGATTATGGGGATTACAATTCAAGGTGAGATTTGGGTGGGGACACAGAGCCAAACCATATCAGATGTAAAGTATTTTAAGTGGTTAGATAAAGGTTAATTTCTTAATTAATTAACATATAATTGGCACATGCTATATTCCACCAATGATTGTCTTTCTTTAATAACCAATCAGATAAAATCAAATTAACAAATCTTTTTGAGGAAATGTTTGCTGGACTAGAAAAATCAGTTGTCAGAGCCCACGTCCAAAGCCCACACCTGGGTAGAAACATATACTATTAGTAGGAAGTATTTTAGCTTTAGCCTGTATTTCCCCATAAACTAGCCATTAATTTAATAGTTTTACAGTCAGTGGTTCTTACTTTTGCTCACATATTTATCAATATATTTGCACATGATTCCTTTTTACATGTCAAATCTTCTATCTGGAATCATTTTCTGCTCAAAATACATATATTTATTACATTTAGTGGGTAATCTTTTAGTGGCAAATTAACATTCATTTTTGTCTAAATCTGTCTTTGCTATTTGTTTTTGAAAGACAGATTTGCTTAAGGAAATCTAGGCTGACGGTGATTTTCTGTAAGTCTACTTTTTTGCAATCTTCTGGTTTTCATTCTTTCTGATGTTAAGTCAGAAATCACTCTGATTGTCATTCCCTTGTAGGTTATCTGTATTTTCTTGGAAGCTTTTAAAAGTGTTTCTTCTTTGTCATTTTGCAATCTCACTATTATGTGTCTAAAATATAATTTATTTTCATTTATTCTACTTGAGATGTATTGGCTTCTGGGATCTGAAGATCCTGCAATAGTTCTTAAAAGTTCTCAGCCTTTAAAAATCTTTAAATATTGTATATTTCCAATTTTTAAGCATCTTTTTCTGAATATCTAATTAGGCATTATTATAGCCCTTGTCGCTATCTTCTCTCTTTCAATCTATTTTTCATATTTTGCATCAAATTTTTTCATAGGTGTGCTCTAGTTATCTGATTCTGTATTCATAGGAATCTATTCAGTTATTTAGTCTCAAGTTTTTAGTTTAATTTTTAAATTTTCATTATTTGGTTTTACCTAAATATAATTTTATTTGGTTCTATATCGAATCTAGAAATTCTTTACTATGCCTTGCTCTTTGTTCATGCTTCCAAGTTTCTTTTACAAAAAAAAAAAAGTTTAAGTACATAAAACGTAATGTTTCATGTCCTTTATTTTGATTCTATGGTATATCCCTCATGGTGGCTTATTCGTGTGAATCCTTTGGATTTTGTGCTGTTAATGATTTATTTTCCTTGATTACATCTGTGTGAGATATTTGGTCAGTATTGAAATTGACATTACCAGAGAAGATTTACATTTATTTCTGCCAGTCTCTTCTGAGTGACACAACCAACTCAAAAACATTTTAAATGTAATTCTTAACCAAGATTTCTGGACCAGAAAGTGCAAATTTGGGGCAAAACCCATTTGAAGGCCAAGTTGAGGTCTCAGATCCTCAGAGTATATGTATTTTTTCTTTCATCCAGTGTCAAAATCAAGCCAGGAAAATTTACTTTTCCCTTTAATGTCATTTAGGTATCTGCTTTTTAAAGGAACCTTTTACTAGGCTTTCATTGGAATTTTTCTACTGCTTCCTGTGTACTAAGCCACTATTACATCAGAAACTTGAGTTCTCCTCTCCATATTTCAGCAGAAATCCTCAGGGCAAAGTCAGCCTTGGCAACCACTCAGACTTACTGTTTCACCTAATTTTTAAGATGTTTGGATTGCTTATTTGTTGTTGTTGTTTTTAACTTTTTTTGTGTGTTAACAGTGCATTTAAAATGATTCCTAGGAAAACATTTTCTGTGTCTTAAACAGAAAAGCCATTCAAGGTATATAACCTGTCATATCATTGAAAACAGAAATCAAAATCAAATTTTATTATACCATATTTTACTCAGACTTCTGTGGGAGACATTTGACTTGAAGGTATGAAGTCTCTCACACATGGAATTCTGGAATTCTGTGCAGGAGACCTTATTCGCTGTACAGTTGACCTTCATTAATGTGGGGGTTAGGAGCACTGCACAGTCAAAAATTCACATGTAAGTTTTGATTTTCCCCAAACGAAACTACTAATACCCTACTGTTGACTTATATTTCTGTTTATAGTATCAGTAAGGCTTCCTTACTGGAAGGAAGGACACATATTTTGTATGTTGTATGTATTATATAGTTTATTCTTACAATAAAATAGATAAAAAATGTTATTAAGAAAACCATATGAAAGGACATATATTTCCTATTCATAAAGTGGAAGTAGATCATCATTAAAAGTCTTCATCCTTGTTGTCTTCATACTGAGTAGGCTGAAGAGGAGGAGTTGGTCTTGGTGATTCAGGAGCAGCATAGCAGAAGAAAATCTTCGTATAAGTAATCATGCACAGTATGAACTGGTGTCATTTAATAGTCAACTGGATTTAGGGAGTTTCTTGATTTGGAGGTTGAAAGTGTTTGGGAAGAAAGACTTTCCCTCTTCTTTCTGAGGATTTGATAATTGAGTCTATGAAATAAATTGATAGCAGGCAGACTAAGAGGTGTACAAATTCATTATGTGCACAGGGATATCACATGAAATAAAAGTGAATACCCCCAAACCCGGTGAGGTATAAAAGCTTATATCCCCTTTTCATAGGAGAGAGGGGAGGAAGGATATAGGCTACTTAAAGGAGAGTAAATGGTTTTGGGATGTTGTGTTGCCCTCTCGTCTCCTCTCTTGTGGTCCAAGTTAATCCCCTGACCCTGGTTAATAAAATTCCTGGGAAGGGGATTCATTACCATTTCATTCCTTTTGTAGGATCCATCTTTAGGCAAATGATGTAAGTTCAGAGAAAGTCTCTCCCTGCATTTGCTGTTCCCAAAGTTCCCTCAGTTTGAAGTAATCAGCAGACCAATGTGGGATATTTCTGGGTGACGTTTCTTGAGTTCCTTCAAAAGCTATACAAGTATACACCACTTTATGAACTTTCGGTTCTACTGGACTCTGCAACATACAGGGGATTCACATTAATTCAAGTTAGAAGACTCCTTGAGTCATTCCTACCCCATCTGCTCTTGCTCAGGTATTATAGATTATGTCAGGGCAGGCGATGGAGAATATTGAGGTGTGTGGTACATGAGGAAGCAGCAGAGAAGCAGAGCCACATGGCTTTCATGGCCACATGGCTTTTGTAAAGCTTCTGCACACTACTGCCACATACACACTCTCTTGTTTTGGGACAGAGGACACTGTGACCATAAGTCTGTGCTAGGGAAGGTAGTCGGCTCATCACAAGGCACCCTCTGGTACAGCTGACCTAGAAGCAATTTCCCTTAGCAATTTTCCTATGCTCAGCTCTGCTACCATAATGGATAGGTTTCTATCATATGTTCCTTAGGAATGTTTTATAATATCAGCGTTTATAGTGTTAGAATTTATTTATTTTTGGCAAGGGACTAAGAAGTGTGACAATTTATTGTCAGTGAAGTTGAAGAGTAAAATATTCCTCACTCCTCAGTTCTGCCTCATGAATACTCTGTTCCAATTACTTGCGTCTAGAGGCAAGTGTATGTAAATAAAATTCTGACAAAGGATTACATCATTGCAAGTAAAATGCCTTGTATAAATCATGAAAACAATTTTTGGTTTCTAATTCTTCAAAACAGAATTATATTGCTTTATACTTTTTAACAATGATAAGTAGGCTTATAAATTTCAAACCAAAAATAAGGATGGCATTTGGAGTAAAATTGCCTTTTGTCTTTAACAGATAGATTAACATTTAAAGAATTGAGCAGGGGGCAAGAATGTTAGTGTCTGTGGCTCACAACACATATATTTTATCACTTTTTGGGGCTTTGGCCTCTTGCTGAGTAATTTTGCCCTGAGGGTTTTTATGTTATCTTTGAAGAATTTTCCTGTGCACTAGCAAGAGAGACCAAAAAGTCACATTTAGGCAGATGCCAAAACAGATAAAGGTATCTCTATTCCTTGTAACAATTCTCAATGTAAATTTACAGGGTACATAATTCAACTAGCTACACACGGCTTCAGATGAGATCTGAAGTATCAGGGAAGTAGTACCTCCTTAGCAGTAGAATTTTCCTTTAAGAAGAGCCTTGTTTTGTTTGATGTATACTCTGATAATTCTCTTTGGAGTGGGAACTGAGACCACCAAAGTGCAGACGTATGTATTAGGCTGTTGATTTATTGAGTAGAGCAAGCAAAGTGAGTGAGAGCCGAGTTTAGCTCTTAGGAAAACAAAGAGGACTTTTAAAGGCAGCAGAAGGCAACAGAGAAGGGAAGATAGATGAGGTGTCTTCAGGGTAGAGGCTTTTAGGAGAAAAAGGAGAGGGATCAATGGCAATCAATTTGGGTTTGAAGTGGGTGTTGCTACCATGTGTACCTTGTTTCCCATCTTCCCATGATGTCTTTGGTAGAATATCCATTTATTATTCATGTATTCTGGAATTAGACCTACCAATGTCCCGCTTCAAGGTTGTTATGAGTTAACTACAAAGGCTGCTCCCAAGGACCTTGTCATGCCCGAGTTTGCCATAGGTAGGACCGTGATGGACTAAAATGAGAAGATTCTTTGTGCAAAGTCATCTAGGCAGGAATAAGTAAATGTCCTCCAGGAATAGTGAAGAGTAATACTTTTCTTATTTGGGCTCTTAATAGAAGTTAGAGAGCAAATGTTTGAGGCTACATTTTCTCATGAGTCTCTAAAGTGCAGTTAAACTGAATTCTTGATTGGAAGCTCATTAAAATATTATAGATGTTGTCAGAAAGAGAAGAAGGTCAGTGCGCCTTTGTGGAAATTGAGGAGTCTTGCCAAAGTCATGGGGATGAATGACCATTCCAGCTCCACATGGAGACAGAAATAAAGAGCATGATTTCACTGCAGCATGCGGGAGTGCCAAGGAACATGGTAAGAGCAAAGGCTGGAAAAATCATCTGGAGCCGAAGCAGGAAAGGCCTGAGGGGACACAATTGAGTATTTGGGTCTCATTTATTAGAAAAAGGAAAGTCATAGAATATTAGTTTTGGGGTCGTTACTAGGATTTATAAAATAAGTGTTTTCATTACTTCTAAAAATCATGCATTATTATCATATACAATCAAATAATGTAGGAAAAATATTTAAAAGGAAAGTAAATATCTTGATGACCCAAGGTAGTGTCTGTGGATCACCACACACACATTTTCATCATTCCTTGGGTCTGAGTCCTCTTGTTGTGTAATTTGCCCTGAAGATTCTTATGTTATCTTTCAAGGTTATTTTCTGTTCAATAGCAAGAGAGAACTAAAAGTAACAGTTAGGCAGATGTCAAACAGATATAGTTGTCTCTATTCATCAAGGTAGCCTATACAGTAAAAATGTGTAACATAATTTTACAAGGTATATATTATTCAATCCAGTACACAGAGCTTCAGATCCTGTTCATTTAGATAGAATCTATATTTTGTTGTTTTTCTTGTAGAATGTGCTTCCATGTACACCCAAAGGCTTAAACCCATAAAAGTTTCATTATGATGCACATATTGTGTGGTCAGCTGATGCACTTTGCTTATCATTGGGGATTTTTGATTGAATATCTGCTCAACATAAATGTGGCCACTGAACTGTAGTGACCAGAGCCTGGAGTTACTGGAAAACCCAGGAGAAGTCTCAGAAGAAGGAGAGCCAGAGTTAGTTTAGTGTAGAGGGACTAGAAAAGACCAAGGAGATGGAGTGGGTACAGTACATCTGAGGGGAGAGGGCAGAGGAAGGCTTAGTGGACAATGCTTTCCAGATTTTGAATTTGAAACTGTTGAAAAGTTAACCAGAATAGAGGTTAGGATGGGTTGTGAATTTTGATAGAAAGTTGATAGGTTTGGTTTATTTATAGCTGTCAGCAAGTCCAGGTGAAAATGTCAGCAGAAACTGCAGTATTCCAGCATGGTAACCAGGCTACAGGGCAAGAATGGAGAAGGGAACAACTGGTTGAGTATTTGTTTATGCATACCTGATTTAGCCTTGCAAAGTAGAAATTATTATTTTATAGAGTAAGAAAGGCTCAACAAGATTAAACTATTGACCTACACAGCTACTAAATGGCAGAGCTAAGATGTAAACACAGGGCTCCAAATTCTAAACTCTTCTGTTTTAGTATACAAAGAAGTATTGAAGGGGTAAAATGAGGAGGGAAGATCATTGAAGGAAAAATGTATACAATCTTATATATGGGAATATAGGAATCTGTGTCTATATGTCTATATCTATATTATTTTACTGCCTTAATTCATTCCATAAATATATGTTTCAGTGTTTATTATGACAAAACACTGGAGATAAGAAAATAACACACTCCCTCAACTAAACACTGTTTCTACAATCATGGAGCTTACATTTTAGCAATCATGACAATGATTAGACTACTAAATATAAATTAATTACAATTGTGATGTGATGGTTAATTTTAGGTGTCAACTTGACTGGTGAAGGGATACCCAGAGAGCTGGTAAAGGATTATTTCTGGGTATGTCTGTGAGGCTATTTCTGGAAGAGATTGAACTTTGAATCAGTGGATTGAGTAAGGAAGATCTGCCCTCACTGATGTGAGCAGGCACCATCCAATAAACTGAGCACCCAGATAGAACACAAAGGCAGAGAAAAGGAAGAACTTTTTTTTCTTTCTCTCTCTCTCCCCCAAAGCTGGGTTACCTATCTTCTTCCACCTTCAAATATCAGAGATCCAGATTCTCCAGACTTTGTACTCTGGAACTTGCACCAGCAGCTTCCCAGGTGCTTAGGCCTCAGTCTCAGATTGAGTTACAGTGTAGGCATCCCTGTTTCTCAGGCCTTCAGACTTGAACTGGGCTATGCCACTGGCATCCCTAGTTCTGCAGCTTGCAGATGACAGATAGTGAGACTTCCAGCCTCCATATTGCATGAGCCAATTCCCCTAATAAATATCCTCTCATATACATCTACATATCCTATTGATTCTGTTGCTCTAAAGAACCCTGACTAGCACATGTGATAAGAGCAATAAGGGAGAATTAGAAGGCATTCAGAGAGTATTTAGCAAGCAGACTCAACATCCTTGGTCAAGGAAAATTGAGAAAGTGACACCCTTCAGATCTAAGTGTACGCGAAGAAAAAGGGAAGGAAAGTTGTTACAGACAGAATGAATGTCATAAGCAAATAGCTTAGTTGGGAAAGAGTTTGTTATAACTGAAGTTAGTATGGCTGGAGCTGGGAAGTAGAGGAGAAAGATCCTAAGAGGTGAGGTAGATGCAATGAGCAGCTCAGCTCGGGTCCTGCAGGGCTCTATAGGGCACATTTATTGTAATGGTAGTGAAGCCATTAAGGTGGATGGGGAGAGGAGTGACATGTTTATTTAGATTTATTTACTTAAAAGAACTCTCTGGTATGACTTGGGGAAGAAAGAATAAGTAGTGTGGTGAACTGTATTATCACTTCTAATTCTGAACTTCTTTCACAGTTATAGAATGATAGATCCTTACTTTTGTGACTTTGCATCCTCTCCCACTATTTTACGAGGAATATGTTTCCTCATGTACTTGATGGTAGGTTTGGCCATGTGACTTGCTTGGCCAACGGAATGTTAGTGGATGTGACATGAGCGGAGGCTTTAGCTGTGCTTGTATGATTTGACTTGGCTTCTTGACTCTGCACAAGTCATTAGAAGAGTATGCCCACACAGCCACTGGTCTAAGGATGAAACATACAGCAGACCTGAACTAAGCCAGCCCACTGACCTCAAGTGACAAAAACAAATGGTGGTTGTTGTAAGCCACTGAGATTTCACTGCAGCTCTTTCTAAGTAATAAGAGTGAATGTAAGGAGGAAAATTAGTGGTCTAGGAAGAAGATAATGGTGGACTGGATTATGATAATGGTAGAGGTGATAGAAAGAACTGCATAGACTTCAGAGATACTTAGGCTTCACAAGTGATAATGTAGAAGATTTATTGAATGTGGAGGTAAGGGAAAAGGCAATGCCAAGATGGTATTTTAACCAAAGATCCTAGCAATGTTGTTCAACCTTATGATTCTAAACACAACTGAATATGCTTAAAGCTTTCAAGTGATACATGTCATTTTGTCTGTGATTATGAAGATTGTTATTTTGGTGAAAAAAGTTAGTCAGGGGTCCTACCCTGGGAACCCACACAGGAAAAGAGCCAAGCTGCTGAGCATCTACTATTTCTCTCCAAAAAAAGCAATACTAGTCCAGGCTTCAGAAGACCTGTTGCCGGTGGGCTGATCTGAGCAAAAGCCACTCCTTTTGAAGTGATTCATCATCCTACATCCTGCTATGGCTTCAAGGTTGCCACAGATATACCAGTTTCTGCTGTTAAAAAGCACTAAACCTATCACTTTTATTAGGAAGAAAAAAAAACCAATTTATAATATTTTAGTACAGGATGTTTGTCAGGCTTTCTGCCTAACGCACACTTTGTGACTGAACTTGGATCCTGAACTTGATAACCTGTACTCTCCCCACACAATTTACCAATTAGTTCTGGGTAATTCTGATTGCTGGCTATTTTGCTTTTTCCAAGGAAGCAGTGAACTATGTTCTGTCCAATGTTACTGAGCTGAGAGCAGCATGGTTTTTATTAATAGAGTGAACAAATAAATGTCAGCAGCCCAGTTATTGAGAAAATGGGGTTGCAAACTGCAAAAAATTCACAAACCCAGGTGGAGTCTGACTCACTCTTTCACTGACTTTGTCCTCTGCCAGCAGCCAATGCGGCTTAGCAATCTGTGAGCAGCAAGCTTGCTGTGGCCTTTCTGATGGAGGTTAGGGAATCAGACCCACTTCTGACTCATTCATCAGACAATTCAGCCTGTTCAGTTTGATTTTCTGGGTTCTGCCTGCTGAATTTTCCTCTGCCAGACTTAACTCTAGCTTAATAATTTGTCCATTTTCTTTCAGCAGAGCTCAGTCACCATGAGACTGACCAGAAGCTTTACTTTTTCTCATCAATTTTTGTCACCAAAATTAGGAAGATTAATTATAGCTAATTGTTAAATAAATGTCTTCAGAAGTTGGTAAAGTTGAGAAATACAACATCCCATTTTGGCTCCCCACGTTCAATGTTCCTTTAAGATTTCCAAGTGAGCCACTAACAAGTCCCAAACTGTACTGGAGTGTACATCCATCTTTTTCCTTTCACAGTTCTTGGAAATCTAGGGGGAAAATGGCCCAGTGGAGAGAAAGGACATGACAAAGACCAATGTAATGAGTGGTCTGGAAAATCTACAATCCATGTAATCAATACAGTCAATGTCTTAGTATTCAGGAGTTGCCTGGAATATATTCTTAATATCCACATTTCTCCCATATCCTGAAGAAACCCCTTCTTTGATGAAAAACTAAATATAAAACAAATACTTTTTTTTCTTTAAATTATTAAAGACCCTGTTTTGATAGAAAAAGCAGGTGATTTGGAACCAGTAAACTTTATTTTTTTTTCTAGTTCTACCAAAATTAATTGTATGGCCTTGGGCAAGTCGTTTAATGTTTCTGAGCTGCAGAATTCTCATCTGGAAAATGAGAAGGTTTTTTGGGTGACTTCCATCAAGACCTTTTTTGACAAGAGGCTATGTTCTCCATTCTATGGTTTGGCGTTGACACTGGCCTAGATTTATTATTTTTATAATGCTATTTTTGCTTGTGTAGACACCTTTCTGGATTCACTAATCATTCTTTGAACTGATGGTAATTTATTTTGACTGTATTGATTACTGTAAGTGCCATTCATTCTTCGTGATTAAGAAAAAAAAAGAGCATCCTTTGCTTCTATTCTGTTTATATCTTTTTTAAGGCCATATTGCTCATCTTTTTAATCTCATAAATCTAATATAGCAATGAGAATTGGTGAGAAATGCAAACATAATGAACAAAACAAAATACAAAAACGAAAGGAAGCTGGCTGTGTGCAGTGGCTCACACCTGTAATCTGTAATCCCAGCACTTTGGGAGGCTGAGGTTGGTGGATCACCTGAGGTCAAGATTTCGAGACCCACCTGACCAACATGGAGAAACCCCGTCTCTACTAAAAATACAACAATTAGCTGGGAGTAGTGGCAAGTGCCTGTAATCCCAGCTACGCGGGAGGCTGAGACAAGAGAATCACTTGAACCCAGGAGGCAGAGGTTGCGGTGAGCCGAGATTGCACCATTGTACTCCAGCCTGGGCAACAAGAGTGAGACTCCTTCTCAAAAACAAAACAAAACAAAACCAAAAACAGAAAAAAACAGAAGGAAGCAAACAAACTAACAAAAAATAAAGCCAAGTATCATAGACTAAAGAATCCAAAACAACATTTGACTGTCCAGAGGGGACTAACAAGGGTCCCTGGCTTCAATTACCTACCAAATGACATCAGGTGAATATGCTCTAATTGGCTTTATGAAAAGTATTTCATTCCCTGACTATTTTTGGCTTTCAGTAAAATGTCTTTGCCTCAGCAGTTGACTTTGTTATATTCCAACATCTTCTCATACTATTTTCACCTGCATATGTTTTTTAAGCTGCCCCTTTCCTGGACATCTTGAAGGACACTTCAGTCAGAATTGAAGATGACTTTGTATAGCCCCCAATCCAGGATGCATGACTGTTCACTCATCGCTGAAATCCACTTGTCCACCAGGAAAAGGCAAGCTGTGTCAGCATGCCATAACTTTCTTTTTGAAGAGGAAGAAGAGATGAATCTGTCCAGTTGTTATGGCAAAGGGAATTTAGAAAGGTGGATGCAAGCATCCCACATGAAATTTGGGAAGCAGAGAAAAAAGATGGCCTTCTGATCTTTAACAGTGCTTTTCATGGTGAAGAAATATTCAGAAGCTTTAGTGCCTATATGCTCGTGAAGACATAGACTTTTGACTTTCTAACTCAATGTTTTCCTTTCAGTTATGTTTTATATTGTAGTCTGATAATGTTTTCTACTAATTGCACATTGGTCTCCAATTCCTTTCAAACAATTCTATGCTTTATTTGAGAAGCCTTGCCTCTTTTTTTTTTAAGCATCATCTCCTCATATGTAAAAGTGAGGTTTTAAAAAAAAGGTAAGAAAAATTATCCAAAAATCGACATATTACTTGGAAATGTATAATGTTCTGCTATATAATTTTCTGTGCCTTTCAAGGTACAGAAATCAATCAGAGTTCTATGTCATTTGGGCGGATTCCTGTGCACAAGAATTTTTCATAATATATCAAAATTAAAGATACTCATGTTAATTTGTCTCATATCTGCCTCTGGAGGATCCTCATCATTTTATGGCCATCATTGCAAGTATATTCTTCATTCTGCTTCATTCAGTCATTAAAAACATCTCTTTAGTATCCACAATATGACAGATAACCGTGCCAATGCTGAGAATACAAAGATGAAAATTCAGGAATTCTTGACTCGTTTTGACACCTTCAATTGGCAACTTTGGAAGCATTTGTTGAAAATGAGGTAATGTACTTACAAAATCATTAATTTTTTTAAAGTTGAACAACATAGATTGTTTACATACAAATTTGCTTTGAGAAAATTTCAGCTTGCTGGGTAAAAATAACCCAAAGTATTTTCATTTATTTAAATGGCTTACCATTAATGATTTATTCCAATATAGAACACCGATCATATATATATATATACACACACACATATATATACACATATATATGTATATACACACACACACAAATTGGTGTTTTTTATATATATACACACACATATATAATTATATATGTATGTATGTTATATAATTATATATTTACACATATACTTGGTACACACACACACACACACACACACACACACACAGATATATATATTCCCAAATAGTTAAAAAGTTATTTTTAGTTCTTGATTAAACTGTTTTCATACATGCTTTTTTCTGGGTCACAAGACATCTGCTCACATCTTTAAAATTAGGGGGAAAATGGAATGCGTGCATGTATGTGTGTGCATGTGTGTATGTTAAAGAGTATTGCATCCTCACATACAATTGAAAAGGCTGCCAGTTCTGCCAGTTATAGGCCAAAATTTATATTTGGCTTTGAATTACTCATTCATTTTGTGATGAATCAGAGATGAGAACAGATTTAGCATAATTATAGTTACTCAATATTTTAATACATCCTTTTAAATGGAAATGGAAGGTAATTTCTATCATATACACCTGTCCTCTAAGTAATTTAAATTTTGAAGTGATTTTAGGACTCTGAATTTACCACGCCCCTAGTTTTTGATCTTTTTCATTTTTGTAAAATGTTTGAAATTTGTTTTCTGAAATGCGTCTTTACTAGTAAAAGACAAATTTCCCTAAAAAGCAAAGTATTTTATTCTTTACTTATCACTGAGTTCAGTTCAAACTTGACCAGAAGTCTAGGATTGGAGATTCATGCTTTGGTTCAGAGCTGAAAATGTGCAACGGTAAGATCCTTTCCTGCTCTAGGATTCTAACATACATATGAGAATCCCTGGTGTCATGAAAAAAATTTGTTGAGGTTGTTATTGGGTTAGCGATTCACACCAAGTAACAGGGGAAGGGAGGTGAGTAGTGCTGAGGGGAAGCAAAGATAACTTCTTCAGAACCAAGTATGGGGTCTTCTTCCCTCTCAGGGGTTAAAGTAATTTTGGCTCAACCCAAGCTGAGATCTGAGAATTCAGAACTCTTTCACAGCATCAGTAACTTCCAATGTATTCTTTCCTTGTAGTTTCCTTTCAGTTTTTTTCCACCAGTGTTTTAAAGTTCAGTTTATTAATAGAAAGTTTGAGATACAGCAAGGGCAACAGATCAGGAGACAATTGTCATTGAAAAGATAGTTTGTTGCTCACTGTTCTCAAGAGGAGGGGGCATGGTGCCATGGGGGCCACAGGAGAAGCACCAGGGTCAGGCTGGAGGCAGACACGGCGGGGGTCACTTTAGGCAAGAGCCTTTATTGTGGTTTCTGCTGGAAGAAACAGCCAAGGCAGGATAAAATGGTGAAGGATTGTCTAGTTTGAATAATTCCAGGCTCTGAGTCATAGTAGCTGTTTCGAGTTGCCTAATCCCTGGCCCTGGGATGTTTAAGGTGGGTGGATAGTGGCCCAGAGCCTGACAAGAAAGGTAGTTTGGAGGTGTGGACCATGGATTGTTTGGTCCTTTGAAAGGTGTACTTAGGGGTGAATTGTTTACTATCCCTAGGAATTGGCTAACCCTGGGAGAGGTAGCCCTTCAGGATCAGCAAGACCCCATACATCAAAGCATCAAAATACGGAAAACAAAAAGTCATGGTTAATACAATTAAGTTTGACTTTTTATCTTGTTTCTTCTTTGGACTGGGACCAAAACTATAGTCCCTTCATCAATTTTCATATAAGTTCCAATCACAGTGAGAGTTTTGGTAGTTTAGGCTTGAAGTGTTTTGGAAAGACATAAGGAATTATAAACAATGATGGACATTCTCTCCTTTTCTGTCTTTCTCTAGCTCTGTTCTCCCTCTCCAGTGCAACCAACAAATTCTCCTCCTTATCGCTGGCAGGGCAAATCCTTACATTTAGGCCCTCCAAGGTCATAGCTTCTACTACAGCTAGGAGTTTCAAGTAATTTTTTGAGCATTGGTGGATCTCTTCTCTGTACAATGAATGCTACTGTCAACTTCTAAAAAATAAAAATCCCCTACCTTATTACATATAAACAGGTACTGATAAGATGCCTGGAGGAGAACTAAAGATAACAAAAGAAAAAAGTGATTTTAAATTAACCACAAAGTTGAAGTGACAGTGGGGAATATGGCACTGTTGTATCCTTAGTGACAGTTTTGGCAGCAGCATTGATAAACATGCCATGATTTTGCTCCCTGAGGCATGATGTGATCTGTGTTTGTGTAGAAGGAATTTATTATATATGCTTGTATTATCATAATGCAGTGTATGTTATCATTTGGTGATGGTATGAAGGAAAGTTTGCTAGCTAATATGGAAAGGGCTCTCGTATGTACAAAACTGTGCCTGGCCTCTGAGGGTTGAGCTGTCTCTGTAACTCCATACTACATGTGCTCTTAAGCAAGGATTTCTGGTACATGGAACAAAAGCTGTGCAATGTATTTACTGTGTTCCCTTGAGCTTTTATGAGTCTCAGACACTTCATCTGTGAAATGGAAATAATGTATGTGCCATATGATTGTGTGAATTACTCCAAAGAATGTATTTAAAAGTGTTTAGCTAGAGTTTAGTACTGTATATGGCTACCATTCACTGGCTAAACCTAGGGTCAATTGTAAACTAAATCTTAGCATAAAAACAATTTTATTTATCCCAGATGAATTATCTGGTTCAATACTTGTTACAATACTTACACATTCTGAAAACAAAAGAAATTATACAATTTACTTGTTTAGTATATGTTGGCCTGTGCCTTTGTCAGCTATTAACTCTGAGCTCAGCTGGAAAGGCGATCAAGCCTACTCCACTTCATGAAACCAGAATTGCTGATTGCTGTTCAAGCTTTGTCATTGATAAGTGATGCTCTAAGAAGCAAGAGGGAGAGATTGGATGGAGAGTGTGACAGTAAGGAGCTCTTGATGAAGAGCTGCCTGAGTATTCTCTTATTTACATTCAAACAAATCCAAAATCTATTTGCTCAGGCATGTTGATTTCCATAGCTCTTATTTCCAAGTTCTTCTTATTTCCAAGTTATTACTAAACATGTATTAAGTTCCCACAGTGCATGAACTCAAAGCATGTAAAAAAAAAAAGGCCTCTTCTGTGGAGAAATAGTAATGCTTTTACACTGTTGGTGGGAGCATAAATTAGTTCAACCATTGTGGAAGACAGTGTGGTGATTCCTCAAGGATCTAGAACCAGAAATACCATTTGACCCAGCAATCCCATTACTGGGTAAATATACCCAAAGGATTATAAATCATTCTTCTATAAAGACACATGCAGACATATATTTATTGCAGCACTATTTACAATAGCAAAGACTTGGAACCAACCCAAATGCCCATCAATGATAGACTGGATAAAGAAAATGTGGCACATATATACCATGGAATACTATGCAGCCATAAAAAACAATGAGATCATATCCTTTGCAGGGACATGGATGAAGCTGGAAGCCATCAGTCTCAGCAAACTAACACAGGAACAGAAAACCAAACACTGCATGTTCTCACTCATAAGTGGGAGTTGAACAATGAGAACATATGGACAGAAAGAGGGCAACAACACACACTGGGGCCTGTCGGGGGGTGGGGAGTGAGGGGAGCGAGAGCATTAGAACAAATACCTAATGCATGCTGGGCTTAAAACCTAGATTACAGGTTGATAGGTGCAGCAAAACACCAGGACACATGTATACCTATGTAACGTACATGCACATTCTACACATGTATCCTGGAACTTAAAGTTAAAAAAAAAAAAAAAAAAAACCTCTTGTAGGACAACATCTGCCTTCAGGTCCATCTTTATATTTTAACCCAAAGCTTAGGATAACCAAGAAGTATATAACAATAAAAGAAGTAGCTAAAGGAATACTTCTAGGCCATTTCCTAGTGTTTCTGCATTATAAAAATAAGTTATGTCTAATGAGTATAATTATCAGAGTATTTGTGTCTAATCACCGTAGTCAGGATGTGAGACAGGCTGGAAAGCACAGGGTTAAATAGCCACCCTAACCCATGTTCTATTGGTTTCGAGAGATTGAATATACAAATTGACAATGGAGAGACCATATATAAAAAGGAAACTTTGACCCACAACTTGTAGCAACCTATCCAGGAAACCAACTCCTTATCTACCATATACAACCCAGGAAACTAGCCTCCTATAAATCAGACTTGTAGAGAGTTAAACTGCTATCTCTAGTAACAATCCAGGATGCCAAACAATAATTCCTGTAACAGTTGGCCCCAAATGGCCAGAATTTGATTAATAGCTGATGGCTTCCCTAATTTTTGTTCTCATATCTAACTTAGGACCAACCAGACAAAGCCAAAAATGTACCCCTAGCCAATCACATAGGATGCCCCACTTCTCATGAGCCCACCTACAGCTTTCCCATGCCAACAACCTACAATCAGGGCACACCTGAAGCCTCCTCTTTTTTCCACGATAAAGCTTTCCCACTCCTCTGTCTGCCTTTTAGTCACTGCCAAAATTCAAGTGATGGTGGCTGAGCCCCTTGCTATAGCAAGCTCTGAATAAATAGCCTTTACTTTTCTCATTTGGTTAGTTTTCATTTATTTCCACAGTTCCAAGAAGGACAAAGGGGCTGAGTGTGGATGACTGCACAAATCCTTGCCCACTCTCAGGGGAGAGCTCAGTGACCACCAAGGTTGGCCAATGTGTCTGCTTCATAAGTGGACAGCCCAGGTTTGTGTGAATGAGTGAGTGAACATAAAAACCTGGGGAAGGGGCCAGGTGCAGTGGCTCACACCTGTAATCCCAGCACTTTTGGAGGCCGAGGCGGGTGGATCACTTGAGGTCAAGAGTTCGAGACCAACCTGACCAGCATGGTGAGACCCCGTCTCTACTAAAAAATACAAAAATTAGCCGGGTGTGGTGGCACAGGCCTGTAATGCCAGCTACTCAGGAGGCTGAGGCAGGAGACTTGCTTCAACCTGGGAGCTGGAGGTTGCAGTTAGCCAAGATTGCACACCTATACTCCAGCCTGGGTGACAGAGTGAGACTCCATCTCAAAAAACAAACAAACAAACAAAACCAAAAACCAAAACAAAAACAAAAACAAAAACAAAAACAAAAAACCAACCTGGGGAAGGGAGACAATCAAACTATCAAACTTCTTATCCTAGAAATGAACTGAGAGAGTCTGGGTAAAGAAATGGCAAAAACAAAACAGAGTAAGCCCCTCCAAAAGGACTCTTAGGAATAAAGTTGGAAAGCCAATAGGCTACAAAGAACCACAAAATACATACTGAGCGATACTTTCAACTGTTCATTGTGCTGCTGTGAAACATCAAAACATTACTGACTTTAGCAATTTTATGATAATATTTTTCTAACTTTTAAACTGCTTTTGACATAGTGTTGAAGTTCATTTAAAAGGATTTTTTCCCCTACCTTAAACACATCAAAGCAGGGCTTCAGGCAGAGGAATGACTCAGGGAGTTCCACTCCTGTGAAAGTCAATTTGGAAAAGGTAAATTCACAAAGTGAAAGTGAACTTACCAAGAGCATTATCAGAAGAAGCAAACACCAATTGAAACTATAAACAACAGAGCATTTTTACTTAATTTAATTTACCCAAAATTACTATAGACATGACACAATTGTGATTAAGAACTTCTAACTGTAGAATGGATCTACTTTACCTCACTGATTTTTAGTGCTAATTGAGCTATTTTTCTTACTTTATTGTTCCTTATTTGCTTATTATTGGCTCTGACAGTCAGTGCTGCAAAGCTGGGGTCTGCACTTCCCAGTCAAGCTCCTCGCTGGGTCTTCTGGAAGCTGGAGGTGCCTGCTCACCCACCTACTGTGGTGGTTCTCAACCGTGGCAGCTCATCAGAACCTCTGGGAGAGCTTTAAAAAAATACCTACAATCAGATCCCACCTCAAACCAATTAAATTATAACCTTTCAATGTATTTTAAAAAATAACTCCCCAGGTGATTGCAATGTGCAGAGTGTTGAAAAACACTGTCCTGGAAGAAGCAAGATTTCCTTGACAGTAAGTGTCACCTTGAATTGTATTCACTTTGTTTGAGGGTTGTCAGAATTTAATAAAGCAACTTTTAGTTTGTCCATTTTAAAGCGATGGTTACACAGATGTTACAAATGGACTCTCTGGAGCCTTGCCTGGCTTGTTTAATGCTGCGTGTCTCATGATCCAAGGGTGCGGCTGTTGACTGGCTTGGAGTAATGGGGCAATGGAAGAAAGATTCATCTATTCTTTTTCTGTTGTTTGAATTTTCAATATGAAAGTAATAAATTACCTGGGAAGGAGATAAAAAGATGAAGAGCGATCATATGTCAAATTGGTTGTGTGAAGTGGCTGATAATGACACAATATCATGTGCCTGCTCTGTTAGTGAAGCATTCTTTCAACATTGCCGGTGATCATCTAAAGTACACTGGACCTAGAGGTGAGGTGGTACCTAAACAAGCTTTAGGTAACCTGACTTGATGACATGGAAACTGAACTTATTGTGCCTTTTAGTCTCAGAGTCAGATGCAGATATATCACCAAATGACGCTTTATGAGGGATGTAGTTTCCTAGATTTCACAAGATCACAAATGAGGTACAATTTATTTCAAAATAGAGCAAATCAGAACTGCATTACTAGACTTTTAAAAAGCTTCACTCACTGGGCAGTTAAGGGAGGAGAGCTAGTGCATCTGCTCCGTCACCAAAAGTGAGCCAATTTCCTGCAGCTGCAGAGGACCTGGCCCCCGTGCTTGCATTGACTGAACCTTTCATTGCATAGATACATGTGGACTCCTAAGAGGTGCATAACTTAGAAAAGGCTTTGTGTTCCTGATTTACTTTGAATATGTTTTTGTAAAAATGACTGCTTTCAATTATCTCTTAATTCCTCCCCCTCCTTTAAGTTGCTAGGCTAACTTCTGTAAAATGGGTATGGTTTTCTTTAGCATTTGCAGAGATATAAAACTTTCTGAATTGTCTTGAACTTCTTTTTGATCTAGGAGAAAGTTTCAAAATAATGTATACTCTCATTTTCACTCAAGGTAAATAAATGCCTCAAATATATTGTTTCATGCATGACCCCATTCAGAGCCAGGTGAAGTACGCTGAAGTACCCTGACAGCCTAAATTGTGCCCTTATTGCTTACCATTAACAGATGACTACTCTTGCAAGAGCACAAAGATTATCTGTGAGTAAATTCACTTCAACATTACCACTCCTTTCACCGAACAGCAGATTCTCAATTATATTTATTATTGGAATAAAGAGAATAAGTAAGTGAAACCATAACAAATTTTATAGTTTAATTTTAATTAATAAATCCAACAACTCCTCTTGACAAAGGCTTTCAGAACTATCTTTATTCATTCAGCAACCATTATGTGTTTCTCAAATCTCATACTGTGATCTAGTTGCTAGAGATACACCAATATACCAGGTAGCTCAAGATGCAATCTATCCTGAATCTTATGTTTTAGAGATAGAGAGAGAAACAATAAACAAGCATGCAAATATCATAAATTCAGAAAGAAATAAGTGATGTGCAGAAGACAAATGGTGGGCTTGACAGAAAGTGATTGGTGGGGGAGAGGTGGAGGGATCTACTGGGAAGGATGATTGGAGTTACTTTTCTGAGGAGGAGACATTTGAACTAACACCTGATATATGAAGTAGACCCAGTCATGCAAGAGGTTGAGGGTGGAGTACTGCAAGGGACAAATTCAAATTTTCCCCAAACAAGAATGAGCTCATGCATTTGAGATATTAAAGACACACTTTGTGTCTGGAGCATGGGGTAGGGGATGGAGGCAGAGAAGTAGGTGGGGCCAGATAGCATAGGGATTTTTAGTTCTTGGCAAAGAGCTGAAGTATTTTTCCAAAAGAAATGAAAAGGCATTGGAGGGCTTTAAAAAGGGGAGTAGCATATGATCTGCATTTTATGAGACTTACTTTGACTACTGGGTGGAGATTAGAGAAGAGTGGGGCAAAACTGGACACTGTAAGATGAGTTATGAGGCTATTGCAGGAGTCTAGGTGAAAGATGGCAATAGCTTGGGCTGTGGTAGTTACAGAGGAGAGGAAGGAAATGAACAAGGAAATAGAGTCAACAGGATTTGATGATGGATCAGAAATAGAGGGAGAAGAAACAAGAGAATCAACAATGACTCCTGATAGTCTTTTCCAAGACAAGAAAGAGTAAGAAAGAAACAGGTATTTTTTTGTTGTGTTTTGTTTTGTTGGGGGAGGTTTGCAAAAATCGTTAATTGTGTTAGACCTGTTAAGTTTGGGAAGCCTGTTAGACATCAATATGATCATGTCAGATAAGCAAATGAATATATAAGTTTGATGCTTAAGAGGGAGATTAAGGCTGAAAATATACATCTAGGGGTCATCAAGGGACAAATTGTACTTGAAGTAAGCGACTAACTAGATAGGTAGTCTAAAGGAGAGAATGTAGAGAGAAAGGAAGAGAGCTGGACTAGGTGTTCGCGAGGAAGTGCAGCCAGGAAACCTGAAAAGAGTGGCCAAGGTAGGGCAAAATATTTCAGTGGAAGGGACATCAGACAGATGGGAATGGGTTGAAGAATACAGGGAGGTGGAGTACGGGGGTCTGTCCCACAGACCCTGACCCAACAACAGATGAATCATGTACACTGACACAGATATTATGCTTGTCAGTCCAGCTGAGGGTCCGGGCCACTTACAGACTCCAAGGAGAGTGCTGTAAAGAGTTGCAGCCACGGCCCTGACTCACTGGCCCTGCTAGCATTTATTCAGCACACATTAAATGACAAAGACTTTGAGTCAACACCATTACAAGGTAATCAACCTGGTTGCCTCCCCCCACCCCCAGAGAGCCATCATGCCCGTGAATGATCAAAGGTTAGTTTTAGGACCACATGAGTAAATAAGTTATTTAGATAAACTCCTTTACATTCCTATGTATCTGCTCTAAGTTATTTACTCAAGGTAAGGATTAGGCTGCTTTCAACCATAACCCTATCCTGAGACTTTTGCAAAAACCTTCCAGCCTTTCAAGAAGATTTGTGTTTATATCCTATAACTTCATCTTAAAATTTTTCCCACCAGCCTGACTAAACTCCCACATCTCCCCCTTTTCTGTTTTTTCTGCAGTGGGTTCTGTTGACTAACATGTACAGATGTGGCAGCAACAGGTCTGTTAGGCGAGGCAGTCATTGTTCTTATTCCGGGTTTGCATCCTAGAATTAGCAAATAACATAAGACAATCATGAGTATAATTAGCAACATTCTTTTCCAGTCAAAGAGTGACCTGTAGTGTTACTTGGCACTTCAGTTTGATGTGTGCTGTTACTAAGGAACCCCACTGGGGGTATGTTAACCCCTTCCAGCCAAGCAGTCGCATTGTTAGAAGCTGGGAAGGGAGTGTCTGCCCAGATAACAGAGCTGAAAAAAGGCAGATTTAGAAGATGAGCTTAATAGAGTGTAACAGGTATAGGTAGCAGGCACAGTGAGAGAATAAAAAAGGGATAAATTATCTGGAGTGAATGGTGTCTGTGTCTGGAGTAGAATTTGCTGAGTCTTCTGACTTGTCTTCTTCAGCATAATGTCCGGGGCCTGTGTCACCTGAGGAAGCTGCATCATCCAGGGCTGTAGGTCCTGCAGGGTCAGTTCCTTCATTTATGGTACCGGGTTGGGTCTTAGCTATGCCATAGTATGGTGTGATGCATTGTGCTGGACTCTAAAGAGGATCTGAGGGCGTGTGGACACAAGCATATCCTCTTGCCCAAGTTAACAATTCATTTGAACCGCACCATACATTATTGTTTACATCTTTCCATAAAACTGCAGGTTTTATGTCTTAAGAGGTTTTAGCAAAGTGCTTTTCTACAGCTGATTGAAATTTGTCATCTGAATTTTAAAAATTAAGGGTAAATGAAGCTTGTGCCAATAGTGTTGCAGGGTCTTTACCCATAATCCCCCTTTCTGTGTTTTGAGCATATTTTTAAGAATGGAATGGGCACATTCTATTATGGCTTTTCCTTGGGGTTTATATTGGATGCCAACATTTATTCTGCACACATTAAATGACAAAGGCTTTGAGTCAACACCATTAGAGGGTAATCAACCTGGTTACCTTCCCTGCAGGGAGCCATCCTGCCCACAAATGATCAAAGAATTAGGCTGCTTTCAGCCAGAATCCTATCCTGAGACTTCTGCAAAAACCTTCCAGCCTTCCAAGAAGATTTGTGTTTATATCCTATAACTTCATCTTAAAATTTTTCCCACCATCCTGACGGAACTCCCATAGTGGAGACACCATATCTTTCTATGTTTTGCTGCAAAGGAGAGAAAGAAATGAGCAATTAGCTATAGAGAGGTGTGGGATCAAGGAAAGATTTAGTTATATACTTTTTACAGAGGAGCTACAAGAGCAAGCTTGTAAGTTGATGGTTATGGAGGTGAGTGGTGGGTCAATACTAGCATCAGACAGCAAAATCCAGAGGCTTGTTTGTAAAGCCTTCCTTGCCAACCCCTTCTAGAAGAATTAATTACTCCCTTGTCTCTATTTCCATAAGGTTTGCTTAATAATATTTATCACATTTTATTATGGTTAATTATGTAAATTTCTGCCTCCCAGGTGGATTGTAAACTCCTTGGGAGAGCAGGTATTCTTTACTGATTGTCAGCTATGGGCACATTACAGGTGTGATCTCAGTTACTCTTCACAATGGCTCTTTATGGGAGACATAATCCTCTTTGTTTTATAGATGAGGAAATTCAGGCTCAAAGAAACTGAGTAACTGGCACAATAATGTGGGTAGTAAGTTGAAAGCAGAGTAGAAATTCAAGCTCAGGTCTGCCTGTCTCTTAACAACAAGCTTTCCCTTGCTACATTTCTGTATCAATGGCTTCTGCTATGCACCCCCAGTGCCTAGTTAGCACAGTTCAGTATTAGGTGTGTACTAATTTGGAATTCAATAATGGTGAATGAAGTAAAACGAATGTAAATTCGTTAATAAACTTTAAAACCCTTAAATTCAATTACCCTCTCATCCCTCTGTTTTTGACTATAAATTCCATTTGTTGATCTAGAGGGAATAGCCCAGATTGTTCCAGCCACACTGGTCCCTCCACAGGCATCCCACTGTACTTCCTAATTAGGGGAAAGGCATAAACAGGGTGGCCTCTGTTGGAGGTGGTTGTGCTGATATCCTCAGCTACTGTAGCTCTGCTTCAGAACTGACTGGGCAGAGGAAGGAGCAGATGGAAGTTGAGAACCTTTGGCTAAGTAAGTGAAGTCAGAGAATTCGCTTTGTTTATTTTTTGAACCTCAAAGTGATGATCATTTTCTTTGGTGGTTTCCTTCTCAGGAGTCTCTTACCAAATTTATCACATAATGATAATAACCCCATGCAATTTGATTGCAAAAAAAATAGAAGATGGCATTTAGGAGCTTCAGTACTTACTTATTTCAGGCGTCATATACACTTGCTGCTTTGTTTCATGTAAATTTAATGTAGAAAAGCAATTTTCTCTGGTTACCGGGAAAGGAAGTTACTGAGCCTGGAGCCTAAGCTTGAATGGCCTGAGCAGTATCAATGCTGTGCAGTGTTTACCAAGTGCCTGCTCTGTGTTGCCAACCTTTTGCATGCACAGGCATACTTCAGAGATAATGTGGGTTTGGATCCAGGCCATCTCAAAAAAGCAAATATCACAAGAGAGTCACACACAGTTTTTGGTTTACCAGTGTGTAAAATGTTAGGGTTACACTATACTATATTCTATTAATGTGTAATAGCATTATGTCTAAAATGTACATATCTTTATTAAAATTCTTTATTTCTGAAAAATATAAATTATCACCTGAACCTTCAGAGAGTCATAACCTTTTTTGCTATGGAGGATCTTGCCTCAGTGTTGATGGTTGCTGAATAAGCAGGGTAGTGATTGCTGAAGGTGGGAGGGGCTATGGAAATTTCTTAAAATAAGACAATAGTGAAGTGTGACATATCAGTTAACTCTTCCTTTCATAAAAGATTTATCTGTATCATGTGATGTTGGTTGACAGCATTTTACCCAAAGCAGAACTTCTTTCAAAATTGGAGCTAATCTTTTCCACTCCTGCCACTGATTTATCAACTAAATTTATAAAATATTCTATATCTTTTCTTGTCATTTCAACAATGTTCATAGCATTTCCACCAGGAGTAGTCTCTATCTCAAGAAACTACTTTTTTTGCTTATCCATAAAAAGCAACTCCTCATTTGCTGAAGTTTGATCATGAGATTGCAGCAATTCAGTCACATCTTTAGGCTCCACGACTGACTCTAGTTATTTTCTTGTTTTCACCACATCTTCAGTGACTTCCTCCACTGACGATTTGAATCCATCAAAGTTATCCATGATGGTTGGAATTAACTTCTTCCAAATTCCTGTTATGTTGATATTTTCACCTCCTCTCCATGTATCATGAATGTTCTTCATGGCATCTAGAATGGTGAATCCTTTCTAGAAGGTTTTCAATTTACTTTCCCCAGACCCATCAGAGGAATCACCATTTAAGGCAACTATAGCTCTATGAGATGTATTTCTTAAAGAATATAACTTGAAAGTTAAAGTTACTCCTTGATCCATGGGCTCCAGAATAGATGTGTGTGCAGACATGAAAACCACATTAATAATCTTCTTGTATAGCTCCAGAGCTCTTGGGTGACCAGGTACATTGTCAATAATATTTGAAAAGAAATATATATTTTTTTCTTGAGCAGTAGGTCTCCACAGCAAGCATAAAATATTCAGTAAATCATGCTGTAAATAGATGTGCTGTCAGTCAAGCTTTGTTGTTCCATATATAGAACACAGGCAGAGAATTAACATAATTCTGAAGGGCTCTAACATTTTTGAAATGATAAATGAGCATTGTTTTCAATTCAAAATCACCAACTTCATTATCCTGTAGCAAGAGAGATAGGCTATTCTTTGAGATTTTGAAGCCAAGCATTGACCTGTCCTCTCCAGCTATGAAAGTTCTACATGGCTTCTTTTCCCAATATGAGGCTCTTCCTCTACATTGAAAATCTGTTGTTTAATGTAGCCACCTTCATCAGTTATCTTAATTAGTTCTTCTGGATAACTTGCTTTAGCTTCTTCATTAGCAGTTGCTGCTTCACCTTGCACTTTTGTGTTATGGGGATGGTTTCTTTCCTCAAACCACATGAAGCAACCTCTGCTAGCTTCAAACATTTTTTCCTGCAGCTTTCTCACCGCTTGCAGCCTTCATAGAATTAAATAGACAGTCTTGCTCTGGATTAGGCTTTAGTTTAAGGGAATGTTGTGGCTAGTTTGAAATTCTATTCAGACTTGTAAAACTTTTTCCATATAAGCCATAAAGACTGTTTCACTTTTTTTTTTGTTATTTGCGTGTTCCCTGGAGTAGCATTTTTAGTTTTCTTTAATAACTTTTTTTTTGCATTCACAACTTGGCTAACTAGCACAAGAGGCCTAACTTTCAGCATTTCTCAGCTTATGACATGCCTTTCTTACTAGGCGTAATCATTTGTGGCTTTTAATTTAAACTGAGAGACATGCCTAAACATCCCACTTAAACACATTGAGTGGCAAGTTGGATAAAACAAAACAAACAAAACAAAACCCATCCTTCTTCTGTCTTTAAGAGACCCATGTTATAAGTAATGACACCCATAGGCTCAAAGTAGAGGGATGGAGAAAAATTTATCACACACACACACATGAGCAGAGGATGCTATTCTTAAATAGCAACCAAAAGACTTTAAACCAACAACAGTGAAAAAGGAAGGGCATTATATAATGATAAAGGATTCAATTCAACAAGACTTAATTATTCTACATGTATATGCACCCAATGTTGGAGCGGGCAGATTCATAAAACAAGTACTTCTATACTTATGAAAATATGTAGAAAGCCACACAATAATAGAGGGGGGCTTCAACACCCCACTGACAGCATTTGACAGATCATTGAGGCAGAAAACCAATAAAGAAATTGTATACTTAAATTCACCATTTGACCAATTAAACTTAATAGACATTTACAGAACACTCCACCCATCAACCGCAGAATATACATTCTTCTCATCTGCACATGGAACGTACTCTAAGATTGACCACATCCTTGGTTATAAAGTAAGTCTTAATAATTTTTTTTTAAAAATCAAAATGATACCAAATATATTCTCAGAACACAGTGGAATAAAATAGAAATCAATATTCGGAAGATCTCTCAAAACCACATAAATACATGGAAATTAAACAACTTGCTCTTGAATGACTTTTGGGTAAACTATGAATTTAAGGCAGAAATCAAAAAATCATTTGAAGTAAATGAAAACAGAGATACAACACATCAAAATCCCTGGGATGCAGCAAAAGCAGTATTAAGAAAAAAAGTTGACAGCACGAAACACCTGCATCAAAAAGCAATAGAAATATCTCAAGTTACTAATCTAATATCACAACTAGAGGAGCTAGAAAAATAAGAACGAACGAACTCCAAAGCTAGCAGATGAAAAGAAAGAACTAAAATCAGGCAAAACTGAATGAAATTGAGAACCAAAAATGCATACAATTAAACCAAAAGTTGGTTCTTTGAAAGGATATACAAGGTTGACAGAGTGCCAGCTAGATTAACAAAGAAAAAAGAGAGAACTTTCAAATAAGCATAATCAGAAATGACAGATGACATTACAACCGATCCCATAGAAATACAGAAGTTCCTCAGAACCTATTACAAACTCCTCTGTGCAGACAAATTAGAAAATCTAGAAGAAATGGCAAATTCCCAGAAACAGACACCCACCCCAGACTGAATGGGGGAGAAATTGAAATCTTGAACAGATTAATATTAAGCTCTGAAAATGAATCAGTAATAATAATAAAAAAAATCTACCAACCAAAAAAAGCCCTGGACTAGATGGATTCACAACTGAATTCTACTAGACGTATAAAGAAGAGCTGGTATCAATTCTGCTGAAACTTCCAAAAAACTGAGGAGAAAAGACTTTTCTGCAACTTACTGTATGGAGCCATAATCACTCTGATACTCAAACCTGGGAAGGACCCAGGGAAAAGAAAACAGCCAATATCCCTGGTGAACATAGATGCCAAAATCCTCAACAAAATACTAGCAGACTGAATCCAGCAGCACATCAAAAAGCTAATTCAATATGATCAAGTAGGCTTTCTTCCTGGGATGCAAGGATGGTTCAGTATACACAAATCAATAAGTGTGATTCACCACATAAACAGAATTGAAAACAAAACCCATATGATCATCTCAATAGACAATGAAAAAACTTTCAATAAAATGCAACATCCCTTCATGATAAAGAACCTTCAACAAACTAAACATCAAAGGAACATAACTCAAAGTAATAAGAGTCATCTCTGACAAACTCACAGCCAATATCATACTTAATGGGCAAAATGTGGATACATTACCATTGAGAACACGATCAAGACAAGGATGATCTCTCTTACTACTCCTACTCATCATAGTATTAGAAGTCATAGCCAGAGCAATCAGGCAAGAGAAAGAAATGAAAGGTATCCAAATAGGAAATAAGTCAAATTATTTCTCCTCACGGAAAATATTATTCCATACCTAGAAAATCCTAAAAATTCCACCAAAAGTCTCCTAGAACTCATAAACAGCTATAGTAAAGTTTTAAGAAACAAAATCAATGTACACAAATCAGTAGCATTTCTATACGCCAATAGTGTTTAAGATGAGAGCCAAATCAACAATGCAATTCCATTTACCACAGCCACAAAAATATCTAGGAGTACATCTAATGAAAGAGTTAAAATATCTTTACAAGAATAACTACAAAACACTGCTGAAAGAAATCAAAGATGGCACAAGCAAATGGAAAAACATTCCATGCTCATGGATTGGAAGAACCAATATCATTAAAATGGACATACTGCCAAAGCAATCTACACAGTCAATGCTATTCCTATCAAACTACCAGTGTCATTCTTCAAAACATTAGAAAATACTGTTCTAAAACTCATTTGGAACCGAAAAAGACCCTGAATCGCCAAAGCAATACTAAGCAAAAAATAAATAAATAAATAAATAAATAAATAAATAAATAAATAAAATTGAAGGCATCACATTAACCCAGCTTCAAACTGTACTGTAAGGCTGCAGTAAACAATACAGCATGGTATTGGTACAAAAACAGGCACATAGATCAATGCAACAGAATACAGAACCCAGAAATAAAGCTGCATACGTACAGTCATCTGATCTTCAACAAAGTCAACAAAAATAAGCAATGGGGAAAAGATTCCCTATTCAATAAACTGTGCTGAGATAACTGGCTAGTCATATGCAGAAGAATGGAACTAGACCCTTAACTTTCACCATATACAAAAATTAACTCAACATGAATTAAATATTTAAATGTAAGACCTCAAATTGTAAGAATCTTAGAAGAAAAGCTAGAAAATACCATTCTGGACACCTGCCTTCAGAAAGAATTTATGACTAAATTATAAAAAACAACTGCAACAAAAACTAAAGTCAGCAAGTAGTGCCTAATTAAACTAAAGTACTTCTGCTCAGCAAAAGTAACTATCAATAGAGTAAACAGACAACCTACAGAATGAAAGAAAATATTCACAAACTGTGCATCTGAAAAAGATCTCATTTCGAGAATCTATAAGGAACTTAACAAGCAAAAAACAAGTAATCTCATTTAAAAATGGGCAAAGGATGTGAACAGACACTTCTCAAAAGAAGACATACAAGTGGCCAACAAACATATGAAAAAATGCTCCACATCACTAATAATAAGAGAAATGCAAATCAAAACTATAATGAGATGCCATCTCAAACCAATCAGAATGGCTGTCATAAAAAGGTGAAAAATGTTGGTGGGGCTGCAGAGATAAGGAAATGCTTATGCACTTTTGGTGGGAATGTAAATTCGTTCAGCCATTGTGGAGAGCAGTTTGGAGATTTCTCAAAGAACTTAAACCAGAACTACCATTGGACCCAGCAATCCCATTACTGGGTATATACCCAAAGGAAAAGTTATCATTCTACCAAAAGACACATACACTCATATGTTCATTGCAGCACTATCCACTATAGCAAAGATATTAACCTAGATGCCCATCAATGGTGGATTGAATAAAGAAAATATAGTACATACATGCAGTGGAATACTATGCAGCCACAAAAATGAAAAAATAATATCATTTGCAGCAACATGGGTGTAGCTGGAGGCCATTATCCTAAGTGAATTAATTCAGGATCAGAAAACCAAATAGCACATGTTCTCATTTGTAAATGGGAGCTAAGCATTGGGTTCACATGGAATAAAGTTGGGAACAGTAGATACTGAGGACTCCCTTCCACTAGAGGTGGGAGACAGAGATGGGGACAAGGGCTGAAAAACTACCTATTGGGTGTTATGCTCACTACCTGGGTCATAAGATCATTCGTATCCCAAACCTGACCACTACACAATATACCCATGTGACAAACCTGCACATGTGCCACCTGAACTGAATCTAAAGTGAATGTTGAAATTATGAAAAAAAAGGTGAGGGACATGGGACTCTTTCTTTCACTTGAACACTTAGAGGTCATTGTAGGATATTACTTGGCCTAATTTCAATATTATTGTGTTTCAGGGAATAGGAAGGCAGGAGAAGAGGGAGGGAGTTGAGAGAACAGTCAGTCTGTGAAGTAGTCAGAACACATGTATGTATGTCTTATGTTCACCATCTTATTTATATGGGTATGGTTCATGGTACCTCAAAACAATTAAAATATTAACATCAAAGATCACTGATCTCAGGTCATCATAACAGATATAATAATAGTGAACAAGTTTGGGATATTGTGAGAATGGTCAAGATATGACAGAGACATGGAGTGAGCACATGCTGTTGGAAAATGGTGCTGATAAACTTTCTAAATGCAGGGTTGAAACAAACCTTCAATTTGCAAAAATTCAGTATCTGCAAAACACAATAAAGCAAAATATGAAAGAATTGTCCTCCCCTTGAATTTTCATGTAATTGAGATCCCAGTATGTGAACCCATATCACTAAAACACTATAAATTGTAGAATTGCGTCAATCATTTATTTTGAAAATGCACATTGATTGCCTATTTTGTGCCCAGAGTATTAAGAACTATAGAAAGTTCAACTGAAAAAACAAAGTTCTGCCCACAAGAACTCACAGTCCAGAGAGAAAACACGCAAATTCAAAGTAAAATTTACAGTATGAAAATGTCTGAATATAGATAAGAATAGGATGCTTTGGTGACATATTGGTGCATATCTTAAACCTACAAACAACCCCTGAGAAGGCTTTTTGGAACAGAGCGTGCTTGAGTTGTCTTTGAAGTATGAGCAATTGTTAGCCAGATGAAGGAGGTGGGATAGGATGAGCATTCTTGGAAGAAAGAAAAGTAGAGACTCTACCTTTGCAAAGATAAAGAGTTATAAAAAAAGAGAGTGTCTTTGAGGAGTTTATTGTAGTTCAACATGGGTGATTGTGGTGTGCTGGTAATTAGCAAAAGGTGAGGGAGGAATAGTGCAAGCACAAGATAATAAGCAGCTATTCTGTTTCACTAAGGAGTGTGCATTTTATCCTGAAGCAATGTTCTAAGGGAATATGGAAAACAGGTTTAAGAATGAACAAAACCATAGCAAAGAGACTGAGAAATTGCCGTAATAATCAAATTTCAAGATTGTGAGGATATAAATTTTAGCCTGCAGGAGTGAAACTGGAGAAAGAGTACTGTTTAAAATATAGATTTAAGAGATTAAATCAATGGAGACTGTTAATTGTTTTAATGTTGTTGGTAAGGGAAGGAAAGAAGAGTCTAGTAAGTCCAGGTTTCTGCCTTAAGTGGATTGGATGAATGATGCCATTATCTGGGTCAGTTGATGGAGGGGGAATGGTTAGGGGAAAATGGTGAGTTAACCCCAGGACATGTTATATTTGAAGTACTTATTCCACATTCAAGTAGAGATGGCCAAAAGTTAGAGAGTACCTAAGCTGGATGTGTAGACAGAAAGTTATAAAAACATGCAATACTTGGCCAGGCGCGGTGGCTCATGCCTGTAATCCCAGCACTTTGGGAGGCTGAGGCAGGCGGATCACGAAGTCAGGAGATCGAGACCATCCTGGCTAACATGGTGAAACCCCGTCTCTTCTAAAAATACAAAAAAATGGCTGGGCGTGGTGATGGGTGCCTGTAGTCCCAGCTACTTGGGAGACTGAGGCAGGAGAATGGCGTGAACCCGGGAGGTGGAGCTTGCAGTGAGCTGAGATCGTGCCACTGCACTCCAGCCTGGGCGACAGAGGGAGACTCCGTCTCAAACAAAACAAACATGCAATACTTATACTTAGGGCCAAAATAGCTAATGTGGAAAGGATATAAAGACATGGATCTTTACCATTTTGTAGGTATTAAGTTCTTTGACAAACCTCATTAGTCACACAGTCATGCTGTAGACATTTTCATTATCAATACATCCAATCCCTGCAAGATCTTATTTTTATTCATCCTAATCTCCAACCACTACTTCCTATATTTCCAGCTCATTCCCTCTAGTATATTAACTCTGACAATTCCTCTACCCCTACTGGGACCAACAATCTAGAGTTTTTACCTTTTTCATCTACTGTCTTTTTACTATCCTTTGCCCCTTCAGGGCTCACAATCTCTGCTTGTGCACCTTAAATCCATGGTCAAATAATCTAATCATTTGTTGCCTCTTGCTTCATTATACTTACTTGATAAAGCAATAGCCCTAGTTAAGTTCAATCCTTCACCTATTATCTGTGCCTGCACCTGTTCAAATGATTGTGGCTAGAAAAGAATACACTACCATGGCAACTGGTCACATTTTTATATTTTTGACATTGGATTTCAATTTGGACTTTCAAGTATCGCCTGGTAATCAGGCAAGATTTCTTTATCTTTTATTATACTAGATGGCTATTTTATTAATATGTCTTCTTTTATGCTTTCAAAATCTCAATGCCTACCTTCCATTTCTTCCCCATTCTCAGGAGATGAACTTGCCTTTTATTTCACTGAGAAAATTGGAGAATTTACGTGAAAACTTCTATAGAATCCCTTCATTATACCTAACTCCCATCAGAATCCAGCACACATACCTTTCTTTCTTGTGTATTATTATGAGTAAAGTCTCCACACTCCTGTTGAAAGCATTCCAGATATATGCCAGATCTCCCAACCTCTTGCCTACTCAAGGACATTGCTGCTGCAATCTCTCCTTTTGCCTGTCTCATCAATTTTTTATTCTCTGATCAATCATTTCCATCAACACACAAGCTGGAATAATTCTCTATATTTAAAATTACTTTCTCTTTTACCATCACTTTTGCCCCTCTTAGGGAACTTGCTGTTCCCTCTAATTGACTTATTAAAAACATGGCAACTCTTCATGTCTTTTAAGTCTTTGATTAACCATTACATTCTTGATGAAGTCTTCCCTAACTACCCGTCCCTTAGCCATCCCAATCCTCCCCATGGCCCTTGTGGTCCCCTTTAATTTGTTCTATTTTTCCTGGAGTCCTTTAAAGATTTTATCATTTGCTTATTTATTGTGTTCATAGCTTATTGCCTAATATTATTTCACAAAGATCTTTGTGGCTTATTTTTAATGACTTATTTCCTTCATAAATATTTGTGAAAATGAACACTATTGAGTGAGAGAATACTTTGGCTAGGAAAAAATGCACGTGTACAAAATAACGTGTCTCTATTTCAGGAGGCTCCCTTACAAGCATATAAGCCTTATCTACAGAATCTGTGATAAGTATTCCAGGGAGAGATTAAGAGTAGCAGGCACCAGTGACTATGACGGAATTTTAGCAGTAGCTGGAAGAAGAGTACAGGAAGGAGAGAGATGAATCTAAGAGGTCCCACAGTGATGGAGATAAGGCTTTGTGAAGAGTGTCAGATGCTCAAAGAAAGCAAATGAGGTGAAGGCTGAAATTGTCTGTTGAGTACTGGAATTAGGAGACTACCCCTTACCTTGGTGGGGACAGCAGGCAGATGCAACAGGCAGAAAAGTGAATGGAAAAGAGAAAAAGTACAGTGATATTTTAAGATTTTAATTATGAGAAAAAGAAGTAGGAAAACATAATTGGAGAAGTTCTTTTGTTTTCACAAAAGATGGATGAGCCATGATTATATTTATACTCAGGAAAGAACTTTAAAGAGTCAATGGGGGATGTGGAATTTCAGAGTCTAAGAAGTCAGTGTAGTTTGGGGAAGGAAAACTAATCTTAAAGGATGGACAGTATTTGACTAAGGGAGGATTCAGTGTCAAAATATGAGGCAAAAAAATTTTGTATTATACTGGTTGAGGTCATGTCCTTTGGGATAGTTTTGTGATCCTCCTCTGCAATTTACTAAATTAGTGACGTTGGGAATGACCCTGGGCCTACATTTCTTCATCTTCAGAATGCGGCTAATGATAGGATTCTATGAGGATTGAATGAGATGGCTTTCTTTTCTAGATGTCAACTTGGAACCTACCTGCTCTTTAAGATCTGAGACTGGCAAATTGGCTTATTCCTTTGCGAGTTTTACAATCTTCAAAAGTCTGAAGGGTTTCTCGAAACCTCTGTCCACCTCCTGGAAACTTACATTCTGGGGTCACTGTGGCTCCCCTCTGTGGTGCGCTCCTTGGCTGCCTCTTCCCTGCATTCTAACATCCTCAGTGAAAACTTCTCTTTTTTCCTATACAGTCTTCAAAACATTTCTAATTTAAAAATGCAATTTAAAGGCTCGTGATTCAGTGATTTTTACTGAAAATTGGTAGGGAGAAGAGTGAAGTTGGAGGGGGGATTCCATTAGCAAAACCAACCCTGAAGGGAAAACATTAGCGGCTCTATTCTTGAACCATATCTCAGGGGCATTTAATCATCTCCAGGTCTGGGTTGCCCTCCATGTTGCTACTCCTCACTCTCTCATGCCTTTTCTCTACCATTCACTTTCTGGAGTTAAATATCCATGGTGCATCAAATAGAGAAGGTTTCTCCCTTCTCTGAAATCTGGAAGACACTAAAAATACAGAGTCCTAGTAGAGCTTTTTTTCCTAATCAACTATCAAGATATTTCTCCAAAGGAAGATGATTCTTCTAAGAGGAATTTAGGAGACAACTGCTTAAATAATAAAATTTTCTTCACCTTATGACATTTATAAAGTACTTGAGTAAGGAAATATAGCTATTATCCTTAAAAGGAAAATTAGCATTCAGTTCTCATGCAATGCTGGGCTCTGGCAGCAGAGTGTGGGAGATTTGGAACATTCCTCAAATCCATTTTTGCTATGGTTTTGGACTCAAACTTTACTCTTTCTCTCTCACTGCTTCTCCACCTTTCTGGCTCCCAACTCAGTCTCAACTTCTGTATGTCTGGTTGGCATCTCACAGTTGCACCATATATGTTTCCATAGAATGGCCATCCTCTAGGCTATGTCAGAGTTCTGGATTATTACTCTGGGGTTCTGGCTTTAGCTAATATGGTGTTTGATAGTAAGGGGCAGGAATAGAAGCGGGATTATTAATTTCTCTTTCCTCAGATTAAATATGTGACATTCTTAATCTTTTCTACTCAAAGCTAACTGTTGGCTAATTCCAGTCACAAAAAGCGATTAGTAGACTTACTATGTCAAAACCTCTTTGTTTTTTTTTTTTTTTTTTTTTTTTTTTTGGTGCATTTCACACAATCTGGAACTGATCCCTGGGTAAATGCCATTCTGATTCCATTAATGTTAAATTTCAAAGAGACAGGAAAGGGCAAAGCAAGAGCTGAAAGTAATTACAGAGAAGAGTGCACATCTGCTGTACTGGAGTGTCCATCTTGCTGCTGATGTTGAAATGGATTAATCCTTTCTCAGAATTGGCTGAGTGGCTTGAACAGTAGGCATGCTATTAAAGGATGAGATGAGTGCATTCTGGAATGAAGACTCAAATTAAGGTGCCCAAAATAAATCACCCCAAAAGCAAAGTGCATTTCTCTACTTCTCTGAAATCAAACTTTTCTCGCTGAGAACATAAAACAGCAATCTTTATCCTAACCAAAAACTTCTAGTGTAAGTAACTGGGGTATTGAGAAAATGATGTATGGTTCATTATATGTAGGCAAGTAAACACATTCGCCTTCATGCTTAGGCCACTTTCCAGAAATAAGCTGTGCTTTTAAGGCAATTTAACAAGTTCTTCAGCCCTTTGGAGAAACATTGCATTAGTGTTAGAGTTTATAGGCTTTATGGCTACATGGTGATAACAGGAGGCAAAACTTTTAAGTGGTTATCAATTGGCGTGGCCTTAGGAATCTCTTCACTGAAGGATAAAATTTTTTTTTCTGGAAATAAAGTGTTCAGATTTTTATTTTTGTGTTTTTTAGATCCAGTAATAGAAGTCTAATCACGGTAATGTAGCACGTGATATTATTGGAGCTACCACTTAATTGAGTTCATGATAATTCACCATAATTCCAGAAGACCCATATTTCTGTTCAAATAGGGCCTGAAAAATGTTAATGTGCATCTTTAAGTGCCTGCCTGGCTCCTGGGGATAATATGCTATGCACTTAGTGCTTCATTGTTCCCTTCGCAGACACTGCTGAACTGAGCATATTAAAGATATTGCCTACCAATCATATAAATTAGGTAGTCTTTTATAATGACAGAAGTAATGTATGTCTATTGCTATTTAAATAGTTCTTACATTATGCCTTTCGAAGCTCTTCTGCCTGTGATAATGGGTCATATGAAAGTAATAACATCTTGGGAAAAGTCACATCTGAGCAACTCTGTTTATAATAACGTGTGATGCTCTTTGGGAAGCCCCCAAGCATGGGGCTACCTTAGGTATTCATTGCCACTTGCCTGAGGTGACCCTTTTTGTTTGTTTGTGATTTTTGTTCCTGTGTTATTTATTTGTTTATTTTTATTTTGGTAAGAACACATAATGAGATCTACCCTCTTAACATTTTTTATGTGAGCAGTACTGTGAATTATAAGCACAATGTTGTATAACAGATCTCTAGAACTTAATCATCTTGCAAAAATAAAACTTCATACATGTTGAAAAACAACTCCCCATTTCTCCCTCCCCTAGGCAACCACCATTCTACTTTTAGTTTCTATGAGTTTGACTATTTTAGCTACCTTGTATGAGTGGTATTGTATAGTAGTTGTACTTCTGTGACTGGCTTATTTCACTTAACATAATATCTTCAAGGTGCATTCATGTCACATATGGCAGGATTTCCTTCTTTCTTATGGCTGAATAACAAACATTTCATTGTATGTGTATATCACATCTGCCTTATCCATTCATCTACTGATGGACGTTTGAGTTGTTTTCACATCTTGGCTATTGTGAATAATGTTGTAATGAACATGAAAGTGCAGATATTTCTTCAAGATCCTGATTTCAATTCTTTTGGATAAATATACAGAAGCGGGATTGCTGGATTATATGGTAGTTCTATTTTTAACCTTTTAAGAAAATGCCATATGGTTTTCCATTGAGACAATCCTTTTATACCCACTCCTGGCAGATCAAAGCTATTTGAGGTTCATCCTCTTGAGATCCAAGGTCTATCACTTGCTTTCATTTCTCTGGCCATATACTTCTCTATTCGAGTCCCACAGAAGCTCTCCATTCATATTTTTCTATGTTCAGGTGAGATAATTTCTGGACACACATGAGATGCACTTAAAACTATCTCATAGTCTCACGGCTCTGCTGTGGTGGCCCAAATTTAAATGCTATCAGTCTCTTTGATACTCTCTGTTCTCCCATCCCTATCTTGATCTTAGCCACCAGTATTGTTTTCTGGCCAGCCTTTCACCTCTAATTTAATCACTAGGCATTGACTGAACTCCTAGTTCATCTTGACATCTAGGTCCTCAGAGAGGCAAGGTTGATTTCTAGTTGAGCTCCTGAAATGTTCCACTTGGTTACAAATTCAATTTCTTTCCTAGAAATTATTTCACCTTCCCAGGACTGTGCCTTGAGAACAGTAGCTACAATTGCAGTCATCACCTGATTTATGATGCTTTACTGTCCATCTTCACTATCTCTCTCAAAGTTCTATCCATATGTTGAGTTAATGAGAATATGGTAATAACCACTACCCCTGCATCTTGCAAGTCTTTCATGGTGGCAATAATTATTGTAGCTCTCCCAAGGATATGGTAACTTTTGGTTAATTATCCTGTTTGAGAAGGACAGTTACCAACTGGCCTCTGTAAGTCTCCATTCTGACTGGCTTCTAGTAGCATTAGATCCTTTGATGTCTGAGTATCAGCTCACAGCCAATGTCTAGCAATCCTTAAAATGTATTGATATTTCCCCTTTGCCCAGTGCATAGTCACCATGGTAAATGGAGGCAGGTTTCTTTGGAGAAAGCTAAGAAGAGAATACACTGTACAAATGCATGGTTTGTCTTTGGATCCTTTCGCAAGGTGACCTGTATTCCCTTCACACAAAGGGCTTGAACCTGTGGACTGGCTCTAGTCTAATTTAGTTAAGACCTATAAATTGTGGTGCCTTACTGTGGTTTGAATGTTTATGTCCCCCCAGATTTATATGTTGAAATTCTCACCCCCAAGGTGATACTATTAGGATGTGAGGACTTCAAGAGGTGATTAGATCATGGGGACAGGGCCCTCAAGAATAAGATTAGTGCCCTTATAAAACCTGAGTCCCCAGTGAGACACTTCACTCCTTCTACCATGTGAGGTTAGAGTGAGAAGATCTCTGTGTATGAGGAAGTGTGCCTGTCACCAGACACAGGGTCTTTCAGCATCTTGATCTTGGACTTCTCAGTTTCTGGAACTACGTGAAATAAATTTCTGTTGTTTATAAGCCACTCAGTCTGTAGTATTCTACTACAGAAGACCAAACAGGCTAAGAGAGGCCCCAATCTGATCTGTGTTCACAATACCTAGAAATTTTGGTTTACACAGACCAAGTAAGATTTCAGTAGGCCACCCATTTATTTCAGTTCTAGAAAATTGATCTTAGGCATCACCATTGCTTTCTCTCTAGAAAACCATATTTCAGTTCTAGAGACGTCATGATAAGTTGTAGTCATTACCAAGGATGTTTGTTTTTCTCTGATTATTGCTCCAGCCCTTCTACCAACAATACCCATACCCTTCTTGTCTTTGGCTACTGAGTGGCCTCTATACTGCAAGATCCATCATTCACAATTATTTCAGGGAATCAATTCATTTCAGTGGAAGTTTTTCCCACTGTAATTACCTGTCTGCAGAAGGCAGCTAGTGCAGAGCTTTCCAAATATGCAAGTGCTCCCCAGCAATGTACTTCTAAATATCTTGATTGGAGAAGGAATGTCCTTTAGGCCAACCTAGGTGACATAGGTAGGAGTAGATGAGTGGCTTGCTGTGATAAATCCACTCAAATGTTTTTGTCAGTGGAGCCTTCAAATTTCTTTATATTAGGATTTCTGGACCTTGGCACTATTGATAATTTTGGAGCAAATTATTCTTTGTGGAGAGAGACTGTCGAGTGCAGTATGGAATGTTTAACAGCATCTCTGGTCTTTACCCAGCAGTTCTTCTTAGTTATGAGAATGAAAAATGTCTCAAGAAATTGGCAAATATCACTTGGGGAGGGAGGGTAAAATTTCCCCCAGTTGAGAAACACTGCTCTATATTATTGAAGGAAATGTGGTTGAGTCTAGTTTCCAGGCAAATATAACTGTTATAGTATTTATCTATCTAAAAACACATCTATCTGCTTCAGCTAACACACTGAATCCACAGTTTTTAGTAAATGTACATATATCAATAAATTTGACTTGATGCATTTTGTTTGTTTTTTCCTGATCTAGTACCCTCAGAATTCATTCCCAGCATACTCCCCATATTTTTCCCAATGCAGTTGAGAGAATCCTTCAGTTATTTAACTTATAATCTGTCTCTCCTTGGCTTTGACTCTGAGCTCACGTCCCTGAGGTTTGCTGGTATCTGACTCAGTTATAGAACCCAGAGGCAATATGGAGTCGTGGGGCAGTTCTCAAGAAATACCAACACTCCCTTGCAAGATAACTGCCTCTAGTGAAGTGGAAGAGATATTCCATTCTCATCAAATATCCGCATACTCCACTACATTTTTTAGACTCCTTGCAATTACGGTGGACCATGTGACTAATCCTGGAAGATGTGCTTTGAAGAGAAATCATATGTGACACTTTTTGGCTGAGGCATGTAAGAGCTGGTTTGGGAACCTCTCCCTCTCTCTCCCACTGTGAAAGCTACCAGGTGCACCACCAGTTCAGCTGTGAGGTGACTGAGCTTCAGTCAATAGATAGAAACAGAGCTCCTTGCCTATTTGCATTGGACAAGTAGCAGGAGACAGAAATAAACTTTTGTTAGGTTTGTTATTGCAGCACAGACCATCCTATTCTAATTAATCCAGTAAGGTCATTAGAGAGTTTTCTATTATAGGGATGGTGGCTTAATTAGATAAGAGAGATGGCTGGCTTCTTCTGTCAAAAGAGAGTTAGTAGGCACTTGATTCTAAAACTACAGTTTATAATTTAAGTAAGTACTTCATCACTTGCATGTCATGAATAATCAATATTCATATTTTTGCTATCAAGGAAGTCATTACTGCAATCAACTTTAACTAGGTTAGATAAATAATCCCAGGCATCGAAACTTGAGAGTTTGCTCCTGAAATCACTTTTCTATAATAATTTCTTTTCCACTGGGAAGATACTTAGTAGTAAGGTTGCTGGATCTAATAGTTCTATTTTCAGTTCTTTGAGATATCGCCATAATATTTTCCATAGAGGTTGAACTAATTTACATTCCCACCAACAGTGTATGAGCATTCCCTTTTCTCTGCATTCATGCCAATATTTTTTTTGGCTTTTTAATAATAGCCATTCTGATTGATGTAACATGGTATCTTGGTGTAGTTTTAATTTGCATTTCTCTGATGAATAGTTATGTTGAACATTTTTTTCATGGGTGGTTGGCCACTTATATTTCTTTTGAGACATGTCTGTTCATGTCCTTTGCCAAGTTTTTAATGAAGTTGTTTGTTTTTTTCTTGTTGAGTTGTTTGAGTTTCTTATAGACTCAGGATATTAATCCTTTGTTGGAGGCATAATTTGTCAATATTTTCTCCAATTCTGAAGGTTGTCTGTTTATGCTGTTATTTCTTTGCTGTGCAGGCACTTTTTAGTTTGATTAAATCTCATTTGTCTATTTTTGTTTTGTTGTGTCTGCTTTTGGGGTCTTCATCATAAATTCTTTGCTTGGGCCGATGTCCAGAAGAGTTTTTCCCAGATTCCAGAATTTTTATAGTTTCAGGTCTTATGTTTAGTTCTTTAATACATCTTGAGTTAATTTTTGTATATGGTGAGAGATAGTGGTCCAGTTTTATTCTTCTGCATGTGGCTAGCCAGTATTCCCAGCACCATTTATTGAATAGAGAGTTCTTTCCCCATTGTTTATTTTTGTTGGTTTTATTGAAGATCAGTTGGTTTTAAGTATGTGGCTTTCTTTCTGGGGTCTATCTTTTTTTTTTTTTTTTTTTTTTTTTTTTGAGATGGAGTCTCGCTCTGTTGCCCGGGCTGGAGTACAGTGGTGCGATCTCGGCTCACTGCAACCTCTGCCTCCTGGGTTCAAGCAATTCTCTGCCTCAGTCTCCTAAGTAGCTAGGATTACAGGCGCCCACCACCACAGCCGGCTAATTTTTGTATTTTTAGTAGAGACAGGGTTTCACCATTTTGGCCAGACTGGTCTTGAACTCCTGACCTCATGGTCCACCTGCCTTGGCTCCCAAAGTGCTGGGATTACAGACGTGAGCCACCACGCCCGGCCTGGGGTCTGTATTCTGTTCCATTGATCTGTGTGTCTATTTTAGTACCAGTACCATGGTATTTTAGTTGCTGTAGCCTTGTAGTATAATTTGAAGTCAGTCAAGGTGATGTCTTCAGATTTGTTCTTTATGCTTAGGCGTACTTTGGCAATTCAGGCTATTTTTTGGTTTTATATATACTTTAGGATTTTTTTTCTAATTCTGTGGAAAATGAGATTGGTAATTTGACAGGGACTGATTACTTTGGGCAATATGGTCATTTGAGTGATATTGAGTCTTACAATCCATGAGCGTTGGGATGTTTTCCCATTTATTTGTGTCATCCACAATTTCTTTCATCAGCGTTTTGTAGTTCTCTTGGTGGAGATCTTTCACTTCCTTGATTAGATGTATTCCTTTGTACTTAACGCTTTATTCTGGCTGTTGTAAATGGCATTATGTTCTTGATTTGGCTCTTGCCTTGAATGTTAGTGGCAGATAGAAATGCTACTGATTTTACACATTTATTTTGTATCTTGAGACTTTACTGAAGTTTCTAATCAGATCTGGGAATCTTCCAGAGAAGTCTTTAGGATTTTGTAGGTATGTGATCATGTTGTCAGTGAACAATAATAATTTGACTTCCTCTTTCCCAATCTGAATGCCTTTTATTTCTTTCTCTTGCCTGATAGCTCTGGCTAGGGCTTCCACTACTATATTGAATAGGAGCGGTGGGAATGGACATCTTTGTCTCATCTCACTTCTTAGGGGACAAGAACTGGAGCTTGCTTTCAACTTTTCCCCATTCAGTATTATGTTAACTGTGGGTTTGTTACACATGGCTTTTATTTTGAGATACATTCCGTCTATGCCTAGTTTGTTAAGGGTTTTTATCATGAAAGGATGTTGGATTTTATCAAATGCTGTTCTGTGTCTATTTAGATGATCATATCGTTTCGTAATTCATCCTGTTTATGTGATGGATTATGTTTATTAATTTGTGTATGTTGAATCATCCTTGCACCCCAGGAATAAAGCCCACTTGATGATGGCGAATTATTTTTTGATGTGCTGCTCAATTCAGTTTGCTAGTATATTGCTGAGGATTTTTGTGCCTATGTTCATTAGGGATATTTGCCTGTTGTTTTCTGTTTTTGCTATCTTTTTGCAAGATTTTGACGTCAGGATGATACTAGTTTTGTAGAATGAGTCAGGGAGGAATCCCCCTTCCTCAATTTTTTGGAATATAAATTGGTACCAGATCTTTGTACATCTGGTGGAATTTAGCTGTGAAACCATTTGGTCCAGGGCCTTTTCTGATTTTGGTCCAGGGCCTTTTCTGATTGGTAGGTGTTTTATTACTGATTCAATTTCATTACTCGTTATTGGTGTGTTCTGGATTTCTATTTCTTCCTGGTTCAATCATGGGAAGTTGTGTGTTTCCAGGAATTTATTCATTTTCTCTAGATTTTCTAGTCTGTGCACATAGACATGTTCATAGTAGTCTCTGAATATATTTTGTATTTCTATTGGAGAAGTTGTAATGTCACCTTTGTTGTTTCTGGTTGTGCTTATTTGAATGTTCTTTTTTTCTGTTAATCTAGCTAGTGGTCTGTCAATCTTGTTTATCCTTTCAAAGGACAACTTTTCATTTTGTTGATCATTTTGGTCTGAATTTCATTTAGTTCTGCTCTAATTTTAGTTGTTTCTGTTCTGCTAGCTTTGTGTTTAGTCTTTTTGGTTTTATTTTTTTGTTTGTTTTTGTTTTTGTAATTCTGTTAGATGCAAGGTTAGTTTGTTCATTTGAAATCCTTCCATCTTCTTAATGTAGGCATTTAGCACTATAAATATTCCCCTTAAACACTGTTTTTGTCGTGTCCCAGAGGTTTTGGTATGTTGTGTCTCCATTTTTATTTGTTTCAAATAATTTGTCATTTCTGCCTTAATTTTATTGCTTACTGAAAAGTCATTCAGGAGCAAGTGGTTTATTTTCCATGTATTTATGTAGTTTTGAGAGTCCTTACTGGTATTGATTTCTATTTGTATTCCATTGTGGTTGGAGAGTATGGCTGGTATCATTGTGATGTTTTTTAATTCATGAGGACTTGCTTTATGGTTAAGCATGTGGTCAATCTTACAGTATGTTCCATATGCAGATGAGAAGAATGTATATTCTGTGGTTGTTGGGTGCAGTATTCTGTTAGAAGTCTATTAGGTCTAGTTGGTCAAGTGTTGAATTTACCTCCAGAATTTCTTTGTTAGTTTTCTGTCTCAATGAGCTGTCAAATGCTGTAAGTGGGGTGTTGAATTCCACCACTATTATTGTGTGGCTGCGTTAAGTCTTTTTTTTTTTAGGTCCAGAAGTAATTGTTTTGTGAATCTGGGTGCTCCAATGTTGGGTAAACATATATTTACGACAGTGAAATCTTCTTGTTGAACGGAACCCTTTATTGTTATGTAATGCCCTTTTTTGTCCTTTTTCACTGTTTTTGGTTTAAAGTATATTTTATATGATGCAAGAATAGTGACATTTACTCCTTTTTGTTTTCCATTTGAATGATAGACCTTTCTCCATCCCTTTACTTTGAGCCTATGGGTTTCATTACATGTGAGATAGATCTCTTAAAAACAGCAGAAGAATGAATACTGTTTTCTTAAATCCAATTTGCCAGTGTGTGTCTTTTATGTGGAATATTTAGGCCATTTATATTCAAGGTTAATATTGATATAGTGGTTTTGTTCCTTTCGTAGTGCTTTTAGCTAATTGATTTGTAGTCTTGATTATGTAGTTGCTTTATGGGTCCATAGGCTATGTGCTTCTGTGTGCTTTCGTGGTAGCAAACATCTTTCATTTCCATGTTTAGCACTCCCTTAAGCATCTCTTATAGGGCCAGTCTAGTGCTAACAAATTCCCTTAGTGATTGCTTGTCTGGGAAAGACTTTATTTGTACTTTGTTTATGAAGCTTAGTTTGGTGGAATATGAAATTCTTGACTGGGATTTCTTTTCTTTAAAAATGCTAAAAATGGGCCCCCAATCTTTTCTGGCTTGTAAGATTTCTGCTGAAAGTCTGTGTTAGTCTGTTGGGTTCCCCTTTAAGGATAATATGGCCATTTTCTTTATCTGTCTTTAAGATTTTCTTTTTTTGCATTGACCTTGGATAGTCTGATGACTATGTACCTTGGTGATGTTCATCTTATATAGCAACTCTCAGGACTTCTCTGGATTTCTTGTATCTGCATATTGACCTCTCTAGCCAGATTAGAGACATTTTCCTGAATTATATTCTCAAATATGTTTTCCAAGTTGCTTACTTTTCTTCTCTCTCTCAGGAATGCCAACAAGTCATAGGTTTCATTGCTTTACATAATCCTATATTTCTCAAAAGCTTTGTTAATTTTTTAAAAATAATTTTTTCTTCATTTTTGTCTGACTTGGTTGATTTGAAGGACTAGTCTGTGATTTTTTTTTCTTCTGCTTTGTCAAGTCTGTTGTTAATGCTTCCAACTGTAGTTTGAAATTCTTTTAGTAAATTTTCCAATTCCAGAAGTTCTGTTTGGTTATTTCTTAATATAACTATGTGGTCTTTCAAGTCTTTGATCATTTTGCTGGCTTGTTTGTGTTGGATTTTAACTTATCTCTTGTATCTTGTTGAGTTTCTTTGCCATCCACATTTTGAATTCTATATCTGTCATTTCAGACATTTCATTCTGGTAAGGATCATTGCTAGAAAGCTAGTACAATCCTTTGGAGGTGAAAAAACACTCTGGATTTTTGTATTGCCAGAGTTCTTATACTGGTTCCTTCTCATCTGAGGGAGCTGACATTTCTCCTTATTTCTTTTTAATTTGCTATTGTTTTGATGGGGAGTGTTGATTTTTTTATTGTTATTTTTTTCCCTTGAGGGTATGACTGTGTTGTTTATTGTGTATCATTGATTTGCCTTGTTTCTGGGTGCTTTCAGAGGACCAAGGCTCTGTAAGGGCTCCTTGGTTGCAGATATGCAGTGTCTTCCTCAAGTTTATTGTTGTAGTGATTTACTTTTATTTGGAGGTGTAATTCAGGCTTCCAGCCAGTAGATGATGCTGAGAAGTAAGAGCCAGCAAGAGGCTCTTTGCATGTGTTTACCCTTAGCATGGGCAGAAACAATGGAGAAGCATGAAAAGCACCCTCCCTCAGCTCATGCTCACCTTTGGTGGGGGTAGAGCCAATGGAGAAGCCCAGGAAGTGGCCTCTGTCAGTCCACACTCCCCAGGCCCCACCTGGAAGACCTTTTGTCATGTCGACAGCAGTGCACTGAAGAAGAAAGCTGGGGGTGAGAGATGAACTCTTAAGTTCATTTCCAGGCTTTGTTGGTGCTGCCTTATGTGGCTGGCACCATGCTCAAGTTTTCTTTGACTCAAGGGGGCTTTGGCAGGCTATGCACCTCTCTCCCTTAGGGCCACTTAGTACTGGGGGTTAGATCTCCAAGGAAGTGGTGTCCACCTCCCTCCTGTTCCTTGGAGCTAGTGGGGCACTGTCTCCCCACTGACCAAGGGAGCAGGCTGGGGCACCCACCAAGGACACACACAGACTGGTCCCAGAATACAAAGCTGTCCCTGGCTGTAAGTCTTGCCCTCCAGGAGAATCCTCAGCTTCAACAACTCTCCTCCCATACTGGTCTTGTGGTGAGAGAGAGCCTAATTCTAGCATCTACTGCTGGGACACTCTCCATACTCACCACTCAATTCTGGCAGTGGGAACCCTTCTCCTACTCCAGTGCTAGAACCCCAGTCTCTGGCCCAAAATTAAATGCCTGCTGTGGCTACTGCTTCCAGGTTGCAAAACAATGACTGCCTTTGTATAAGCCTGGATGGAAAATGGCATCCTCCTCTTGGTCCTGGGTCTGGGACAATGCAGTTTTTTCCCAGTGTCTCCATCTCTCTATCTCTCAGCCTCTCCCTAACTGTTATCTCTAGGGCTTGAGAGAAACAGGGTGCCCTCCCTTGGCACATATCCCTAGTGGAAAGGTGAATCACCAAGGGAGACTGACTGCCCCTCCCACACACCTTTTCAGCTGAATGCTGTCGCAAGGGCTGCTTGCCCACTTTCTCCTTCCCAGAATATGAGGTGTCCTTTGCTATTCCTGCAAATTGTCACCTTTCCTTTTGAATTAAAACTCAGAGTTGATTTTTACACACTATTTTGCTGTTTCCAAGTGGCCGAGGCATCCTAAAAGTCTTTTTGTCACCATCTTGGGAAAAGAAAAGGTTTTCTTTCTTTTAAAAAAATTGAATTGAGATAACCAAGGTGAAATAAAAATGCATACCTTGTAGCAAAGAAGATATGAAGTATTTGATTTTTTTACTTGTGATTTAAAATCTCATCTCTTTCTTTAAAACCACAGTCTTGGCTGGGTGTGGTGGCCCATGCTTATAATCTCAGCACTTTGGAGGTGGAAAATGTCTGTATATTTAACAAGCTCAACAATTTCATATACCAGGCACCTGTTGACTGCTTAAGGATGGCCTAGATGCTCTCCATGGTGTTCACAGCAAGCATCCTGGACCCTATTTGCTTGTTTCTCATCTATTCTCTCTTACCTTGTTTAACAAAATCAGGAACTGAAGAGTGGGCCAGTCTGAAACAAGATCAGAAATAGGCTGGTCAGTGTGGCCTCCTTGGCTTCAGCTATCCTAATCAGATCCAAGGACTGCAGCTGGAGACTGGGCCACGCCCTCTAGGCCTGCTCACTGCCAGCACAGTATTTGTATGACCCAGATACAACCTCTGCTTACAGGGTGACTTATTTTCTTTGTATTTTCTTTTCCATATGCTTGAGTTCATATTATATATTCAATTTGGAAACTCTTTTTTACTAAGTTTCTCAACATAAGTACTTTTAAAATTAATATATATTTAATTTTTAATTAATAGATTTTATATATAACTGTACACCATTCTATCTTGTGTATATACAATAATTTACCTTGCCTTTCCTGTGCTTTTAGACTTTTAGGTGTTTTATTTTTGTTTTTACTTTTATGAATCATGAAATAATGAACACTGTCATGTCTAAGGCGTCTGTTGTCCTTAGGATTATTTCTTTGAGCAAAAATGCCAGGAGTGGAATTCCTGGATGAAAAGATAAGGTTGTTGAATAATTATTGCAAATTCTTTGCAAAGGTTATGTAATAATTTATATGTCAACATCACTGATTAGATTTCCTTCTTCATACTACGTGGAGTTCATTTAAAAACAAAAATAAACATTATACACCATATTCTGCTATAACACAAATCAACTATGCTCCCTAAACCAAAGGAAACTGTAGTGTGAAGTCCTTTGACACAGGGGCTGTCTCTTTTTTTCCATCATTTCTTGACAGTAGATTACCAATTGTAAGTAATAAAACCACCTAGAGGGGCTGCATTTCAGAGTAGAGCTCAAAGCTAGACAGCTCCTAGTGTGATGCCCTTTTTGGCTGGCTTTCTGTCCAAGTAATTCCATCTCATTCATGTTCAATCAACTAGGAACTTCTACTAGAATTTTGAAAATGATTTGTCATTAGTGATAAATAGTTTAAAATGTTTAAAAGCAAAGTGGCACTATTAAATTTTAACTTTTTCATTCATTTATTTCTTACTACACATATTAATAGCAGAAACATTTAATCTTGGTGATGCATTATAATTTTTATTAAGAAAATAATCACATTCCTTAATCTTTCAGGGACATATATGGTCCTACAGTGGTATTGACTGAATCTCATTTCATATTAATCCATACACTAGTTTTAGCTTGATACAGATATACAACTAAGACTTTGCTCTTAAAAAAATAAGTGTAGGGTTTTTTGTTTTGTTTTGTTTTACAGGAAGTTACTGGGACAACCAGTGAAATATGACTAGGTCTGCAGATTTGATAATATTACTGAATAATATTGTTAACATCTTAATTTTAAAATATACTGACTATGTAGGTGGTAATGGAACATCCTAGATTCATGGCTGCAGCTTACTTTTACATAGTTCAGGAAAAAAATTGTACGTATATATACATACATATTTGTGTGTGTGTTTGTGTGTGTGTGTGTAAGAGAGAAAAATAAAGCACATATATGAAAATGTTAACTGTTAGGAGATCTAGATAGATATACAGAAATTCTATGTACTATTCATGCACCTTTTCTATAAGTCTGAAATTATTTCAAAATAAATTTTTTTTTTTAATTATACTTTAAGTTTTAGGGTACATGTGCACATTGTGCAGGTTAGTTACATATGTATACATGTGCCATGCTGGTGCACTGCACCCACTAACGCGTCATCTAGCATTAGGTATATCTCCCAGTGCTATCCCTCCCCCCTCCCCCCACCCCACCACAGTCCCCAGAGTGTGATATTCCCCTTCCTGTGTCCATGTGATCTCATTGTTCAATTCCCACCTATCAGTGAGAATATGCGGTGTTTGGTTTTTTGTTCTTGCGATAGTTTACTGAGAATGATGGTTTCCAATTTCATCCATGTCCCTACAAAGGACATGAACTCATCATTTTTTATGGCTGCATAGTATTCCATGGTGTATATGTGCCACATTTTCTTAATCCAGTCTATCATTGTTGGACATTTGGGTTGGTTCCAAGTCTTTGCTATTGTGAATAATGCCGCAATAAACATACGTGTGCATGTGTCTTTATAGCAGCATGATTTATAGTCATTTGGGTATATACCCAGTAATGGGATGGCTGGGTCAAATGGTATTTCTAGTTCTAGATCCCTGAGGAATCGCCACACTGACTTCCACAAGGGTTGAACTAGTTTACAGTCCCACCAACAGTGTAAAAGTGTTCCTATTTCTCCACATCCTCTCCAGCACCTGTTGTTTCCTGACTTTTTAATGATTGCCATTCTAACTGGTGTGAGATGATATCTCATAGTGGTTTTGATTTGCATTTCTCTGATGGCCAGTGATGATGAGCATTTTTTCATGTGTTTTTTGGCTGCATAAATGTCTTCTTTTGAGAAGTGTCTGTTCATGTCCTTTGCCCACTTTTTGATGGGGTTGCTTGTTTTTTTCTTGTAAATTTGTTTGAGTTCATTGTAGATTCTGGATATTAGCCCTTTGTCAGATGAGTAGGTTGTGAAAATTTTCTCCCATGTTGTAGGTTGCCTGTTCACTCTGATGGTAGTTTCTTTTGCTATGCAGAAGCTCTTTAGTTTAATTAGATCCCATTTGTCAATTTTGGCTTTTGTTGCCATTGCTTTTGGTGTTTTGGACATGAAGTCCTTGCCCACGCCTATGTCCTGAATGGTAATGCCTAGGTTTTCTTCTAGGGTTTTTATGGTTTTAGGTCTAACGTTTAAGTCTTTAATCCATCTTGAATTGATTTTTGTATAAGGGGTAAGGAAGGGATCCAGTTTCAGCTTTCTACATATGGCTAGCCAGTTTTCCCAGCACCATTTATTAAATAGGGAATCCTTTCCCCATTGCTTGTTTTTCTCAGGTTTGTCAAAGATCAGATAGTTGTAGATATGCGGCGTTATTTCTGAGGGCTCTGTTCTGTTCCATTGATCTATATCTCTGTTTTGGTACCAGTACCATGCTGTTTTGGTTACTGTAGCCTTGTAGTATAGTTTGAAGTCAGGTAGTGTGATGCCTCCAGCTTTGTTCTTTTGGCTTAGGATTGACTTGGCGATGCGGGCTCTTTTTTGGTTCCATATGAACTTTAAAGTAGTTTTTTCCAATTCTGTGAAGAAAGTCATTGGTAGCTTGATGGGGATGGCATTGAACCTGTAAATTACCTTGGGCAGTATGACCATTTTCACGATATTGATTCTTCCTACCCATGAGCATGGAATGTTCTTCCATTTGTTTGTGTCCTCTTTTATTTCCTTGAGCAGTGGTTTGTAGTTCTCCTTGAAGAGGTCCTTCACATCCCTTGTAAGTTGGATTCCTAGGTATTTTATTCTCTTTGAAGCAATTGTGAATGGGAGTTCACTCATGATTTGTCTCTCTGTTTGTCTGTTGTTGGTGTATAAGAATGCTTGTGATTTTTGTACATTGATTTTGTATCCTGAGACTTTGCTGAAGTTGCTTATCAGCTTAAGGAGATTTTGGGCTGAGACGATGGGGTTTTCTAGATAAACAATCATGTCGTCTGCAAACAGGGACAATTTGACTTCCTCTTTTCCTAATTGAATACCCTTTATTTCCTTCTCCTGCCTGATTGCCCTGGCCAGAACTTCCAACACAATAAAAAATTTTTAAAGTCAATAATAAATAGACCTGAAAAGAGCCCTCTTACATTAAAGCTTTCCTCTATACACATCTTGTATCATATCAATGCTAGCATTTATTTAATAATTTTAATAGAAAGGACAGATGATAGTCTGTAGATTAGCATTTTCATTTATAAATTATGTGCTATGCTGGTTATGGAAGCATCACTAAAAACATTTAAATGGGTTATGGCAAAGCTAAAGCTAAAAATTAATTGTCCTTTCATTTGGAATCTGTGCTCTGCAAACTAATTATGTATTCAAAATAATCTTAATATGTATTCATCATGAATATTATGAATCTGCATTAAAATCATTGTTCAATTCAATGTAATAATTATTCAGTGAAAGCCTTAAGATTCCAAAATATTAATTTTCTTATTGATTTGTACATCCAGTTTGTATCAAACAAATAAATATATTAATAGTCATGATTTATTTGGGATTCATTGACTTTTATTAAGCACTTCTAATTTGCTAAATACTATGTATATTACATGATAGGAAATAGTCACTGTTTATTTTCAAGGTGTTTCCTAAGACTGAATAACAACATCTTGAGCAAGGCTGGCACTGTGCCAGGTTTTAATAAGCTGCCACTCCTCTCCTCCTTTTTCCAGATGAGAAGAGGACAGCTGACATGTGCTGCTCGGGGATGTGGGAAGAGACTGCAGGTGAGTGAGTATGCACCTCCTCCCAGTGAGCAGCTTCCTCAGCTGGCTGTCATCTCTTCTTCAGGAAAGTCATATATTTGGGGGCTGTGCAGTCATTCAGAGGACACTGCTCTATGGCTCACTTCGAGATGACTTTGCAGAAGCAAGGAATTCTGGAAATAAGGCAGGCTGAGTTTGGCCTTGGCCAGAGCTGTGTGGCAGATGGAAGCCATGGGAGGGAGTCAAAAAGCTTGGCTGGGCTCAGTTTAGCTGGAAACCCAGGACAAGACAGCAAGAAGATGCCCAGATGTCAGAGAATTCCCATTTCTTTTTTCTAAATAATCTCCTTCACAGTTGCCTTTCCTTTAATTGACTTCCAAAGGTTTAGCTATGTGCTTTATACCAATTTCAAACTCTTACCTTTACCTGTGCTCATGCCTTTGTTTCTTTGCTTAAGAGTGTTTCTCCCAATGTCCAATTAGATAATAAAAGCTCCTTTTCACTCTTTTGTTTAAGGGCAAGAGTTTAGAGGTTAGCTGTTTAGGGTTCAATTCGAGACTCTTCCTTTTACTCCAGCACTAAGACTTTGGACAAGTATTTAAAGTCTTCCAGTCTAAGCCTTCACATCTGTAAAATGAGAACAATAACAATGACAATTGTCACCTCTACCTGTATCTATCCCTGTCTTCTTTTAGATTTTGGCCTTGGGATTCTGGATTACTTAAAACAAAAGTAAGACACAAATATCTCCCTAACCTTATTATATCTCGTAGAAGATGGCAGATGGGTGACGACTGGTGCAAGCTCACACAGGAAAGAAAAATTTCATAAGCATTGAATAGTTGTGTTACTAATTAGTGGGACAATCTTCGTAACTCCTTCTTCCCCCACTTCTGCCCAATATGTAATAATAGGCATGCTCTGAATAATTGTACTCAAATAAGAAATTACTCCTCCAAAGTTTCTGAGTGAAGCTCAGCTTTGTGCTTTGGGACACACAAGTCTACCAGTTATGTCAATTATATACCAGGGCAGTAGAAGCAATGGCACTGAGACCAACCAGGTGGCCACAAAATACTACAAATAGGAAACATTCGGAAAATAGAATAATTAATTGGGACAACCAAAAGGACAAGAGTAAGAAAACATATGACCATTCAAGGCTATTCCACCTTGAAGAAATTCAAGGCCACTCAGTTTGTATTTTATACAACATTCTGTGATGCCACCAGGAATATTGCTGGACCCACAATTTGGGCACAAAGAAAAATTCCAAAGTTTTTACTGTCCAGGTTTCTTCCAAATTCATTTTACTATTAGGATTTTTGTGATTATTGTTATGACTCAGTAGTAGCAGAGGTTTTCATCTTCATAGCACTAAACTCTTCAACGTTTGCTTGTAAAAGTTGAGAGTGAAAATGTAAAAGTCCTCTCCTCTCCTCTCCTCTCCACAGTGTCTGGTACATTGTGAGTGTTCAGAAAATGTTAGTTGGCATTATTACAAATATTATATGTGTTATTGAATACTGACACACATGGAATAAAGCTCCTTTAAATGCTTGATGAATCTGACTGTCAAATTATTCTAGCATCTTCACTTTATACTCTTACCAATAAATAGAATCTACACATCAAACCTACCTGACATTTCCCACAAACCAAACCTGAGGACATTTGCTAGAAGGGAGAGAGCTGGTCAAGACAAACTGTGGGAGCAAGTAATTTTTGAAGACAATTTCCAGATCTACACTTGACTCAGCTATAGTTGAAGGTCATTTTCTCCCAGGCCAGAGAGAAATTTGTTAGCTCTGCTCATTCATAGAAGGTAAGAATCTGAGTCTCTGGGAACACAGTGGGGGAGCTTCATAAATATATTTAATATAAGGTCTGTGGGTCTCAGGAGCCATGTGTTTGTTCATATGAGCAAATTTGGTGTAGCAGAAACAGGAACTCTCAAGAAAATGACCTGATTCTCCTCCTTTCCCTTTGTCTACTGATGGGGATAGATCAGGAGGGGGATTGTCAGGAGCCCTCTGTGTCCTTGCTGGTGGACAGCTCTGTTCCACATATCTGAGTGGCTGAGTGCAGTTAAAATCAGATACTGAGGTAAATAATTAGCCACTAACTGCTTAGATTGTGAGGCTGAAGGTACTACTTCCAAGTAGTTTCCTTTTTGCAGTTTTCTCACCTCTACTGGGACTACAACATCAAAATGCAAGCTGTAGAAAATCAAACAAAGAAGAATTTACATGTTCTGGAATCAAGACTCTGTCACTCCTATTTTATTTACCTCACTCAAATAGATTTGATGAAGGATGTTTTGACGACTCTCTCTCTAAATAGTTGGAACATCCATATAAATGATTGTTCTATAGCTTTCAAGAAAATTCTGTCGTACTGGCTCACAAATTCTTTTTACCCAGCTCTAATTACATAAATTGTTATATAAGCAGATGTCTGTTATACCAAAGTCTATTTCACTTGGGAACTATAATTTTTCTGAGTTCAAATGCTATTGGGCTAAAAAAAAAAGCACATCTTTTGATGTTACGAAGAAACATTTTTATGTTGTCAGGATATGAGTGGAAAAGCAATCATCAACCAGGCTCCTTCACCTTCGTGCTCCAGGAACAGAGAAAAGACGCAGAAGAGAGATCACACTACAGGCATCCCTAATGTAACTCTTTATCTTGGTTAAATTAATTCATTTTTCCAAAATATACACTTGTATCAATGACTCCCTTACAACCATTATAAAGACAATATATAAAAATGTTTTCTCTGTGGAGTATTATTTGATCTTTATAAAACAGTAATAAAATTGGTAGAGTATGAGTGATGGTCTTCCATTAGGCAAGACTCCTATCTAAAAGCCACTGTGCTAACATTCATTAATTCACTCACTCATGCATGAATGAAACAATATTTCTGAGTATTTACTATGTGCCAGACACTGTGTTTCTGCTCATACAGAGCAACGAATAGAAATGGACTTGAATGCTGCCCTTAAGAAACATATAGTCTAGTTGAGGAGGTAGACATTAATTAATTAATTGCAAAAGTTGATAATTATAAGCCATGATAAACTTATGATTTGAAAGTATAAGAAGTATGAGAGTATGTAGAAGTACAAGGAGGATTCCTTCAGGAAATGAATTTTGAACTGAATCTAAATAACAGGTAGGGCAGAATAGGTAAAAGGAACAGAATGAATTAGGAAAAAACATGTTATGCTGTTTGATTCTAAAAAATATCAACTTAATTGGAACTCAGGGAAAGAGGAGGCAAGGAGTCAGATGAGAAATAAGGTAGATGTAAGATGTCAGGTTGTGAAAAGCCATGTATGCCATGTTAATTTTTTTCTTCATCTTGAGTGAGAGCATTATACATTTTATTCAGAAATTACCCATAATTTATTCAGAAATTACCCATAATCAGATTTGTATTTTTAAAAGTTTAGTCTGGCTATAGTGTGAAGAATCATCAGGAAGGGCCAAAAACGGATGAGAGAGACCCATTGGGAGGCATTCTGCAGCCAGTTGTCTGTCTAAGAAAAGATTGGAGTTTGAAACTAGGTCTTGGTGGAGGGAATAGAGAGAAATTGACAGATTTTTAAAAGATATTTAAAAGATAAAGTTCACACTCTTCAAAATAGCCGAGATATGAAAACAGCCTTTGTATCCATTAGTGAATGAGTGGATAAAGAAACTCTGATGGAGTGGGGCCAAGTTGACTGACTGGAAGCAGCTATGGTGCATGGCACTCACGGAGAGGAACAAAAGGGGCAGAAAATACAGCACCTTCAACTGAAACATACAGGTACTTGCACTGGGGCTGATCAAGGAAACAGCTCAACCCAGGGAGAATGGAGAAAAGCAGGGCAGAGTGACAGCCCATGCAGGCGTGACACAGAGCCAAGGGAACCTCCCCTACCGAGGGAAGTGGTTAATGAATGTGCAATCCTGGGAAACCATGATTCTCCCACAGACCTTTGAAACTCTCGTGTCAGGAGATCCCCTCATGAACCCACTCCACTGGGGCCTTCAGTCTGACACACAGAGCTGTGTGAAGTCTCAGCAGAGCAGCTACTCAGGTGTGCACAGAGTCTCAGGAGCTTTACATACTCTGGCTCCAGGATCCCTGGTAAAAGTGACTGCAACTCAGGGAAGGCAGGTGGTCCACAGGTACCCCTAGGAAGGGGGTGGAATCCAGGGGTCCAAGCAGCATTGGTCTGAGGGCCCCACTTCCATGGTGCCTCACAGAATAAGACTCACTGGCTTGGAATTCCAGCCAGTCCCTGGCAATAGTGTTGTGCCTTCCCAGGACAGGTTGGTGTTCCTGACGGGAGGGGTGGGCCACTATCTTTGCTGTTTGAATGACCCAGCTTTTCCAGCCTGCAGGCTTCAGAGAGTCCAGACTGACTGGGGAGAGAAGGGATCCCCCAGCACAGCACAGCTGCTCCACAAAAATTTGGCCAGACCATTTCTTTAAACAGGATCCCAATCCATTCATCATCTCTGGGCAGGACCTCCAAACTGGGGCCTACAGCCACCTCTGCCTGTGTTCTCCTGTAGACAGAGTTTCGATTTCTCTTTGGGATGAAGTACCTGGGAGGAGAGGAGGGCCACTATCTTTGCTGTTCCAGCCTGCCGGCTTTGGCGAGCCCAAGCCTACTGGGGCAGAAGCAATACCCCAGTAAGGCAAAGCTGCTCTACAAAAGTGTGGACAGAGTGGTTCCTTAAGCAGGTCTCTGATCTATTCCCCCTCACTGGGCAGGACTTCCTAACTAGGGCCTCCAGCCAGTTGGGTCGATGTTCTCTGGCCAACTGAGGTTTGAAAATTTCCTGGGACAGACTCCTAGAAGAAAGAGTGACTGCCATCTTTGCTGTTTCAGCAACTTAGCTGTTCCGGTCTCCAGGCTTTGGAGAGCCCAGGCTTACCACAGACGGAAGCAATACAACAGCACAGCACAGCTACTCTAGGAAAGCATGGCTAGATCACTTCCTTAAGTGGATCCCTGATCCCATTCCTCCTGACTGTGCGAGACCTCCTAACCAGGGTCTCCAGCGACCTCCTGCAGGTGCATTTGGGCTGGCAACATGTCTGTACCCCACTGGAATGGAGCTCCCAGAGAAAGGGGCAGGCTGCCACTTTGCTGTTTTGCAGGCTTCACTGGTGATATCTTCAGGTACCAGAAAATCTGAGGCAACTAGGGACTGGAGCAGATGCCCAGCAAACCTCAGCAGCCCTACGGAAAAGTGGCCAGACAGTTAAAAGAAAACAAAGAACAAACCCAAAACCGCATCCAAATGTTAGCAATCCCAAAGATTGATGGTAGATAAGCCCACAAATATGCAAAAGAATGTGCTCCTTTAGATCAAGAATGCAAAAACTCAAAAAGCCAGAGTGCTCTTTCCTTCAAATGACCACATTACCTCTTCAGCAAGGGTTCAGAACCAGGCTGAGGCTAAGATGGCTGAAATGACAGGAGGAGAAATCAGGATATGGATAGGAATGAACTTCACTGAGCTAAAGGAGCACATTCTAACTCAATGCAGGGAAGCTAAAAATCATGATAAAACATTGCAGGAACTGGGCTAACAAGGTGAAACCCCGTCTTTACTAAAAATACAAAAAATTAGCCGGGCGCGGTGGCGGGCGCCTGTAGTCCCAGCTACTCGGGAGGCTGAGGCAGGAGAATGGCGTGAACCCAGGAAGCGGAGCTTGCAGTGAGCCGAGATTGTGCCACTGCAGTCCACAGTCCGGCCTGGGCGACAGAGCGAGACTCCGTCTCAAAAAAAAAAAAAAAAAAAATTGCAGGAACTGACAGTAAAAATAGCTAGTATAGTGAAGAACGTAACCCATCTGATAGAGCTGAAAAACACAGTACAGGAATTTTATAATGCAATCACAAGTATTAATAGCAGAATAGACCAAGCAGAGAAAAGAATCTCAAAGCCTGAAGACTGTCTTTCTGAAATCAGGCTGGCAGACAAGAACAGAGAAGAAAGAATGAAAAGGAATGAACAAAACCTCTGAGAAATGTGGGATTATATAGAGACTTAATCTACAACTGATTGGTGTACCTGAAAGAGATGGAGCGAATGGAACCAATTTGGAAAACTTACTTCAAGATGTCATCCATAAGAACTCCCCCAACCTAGCTAGACAGGCCAAGATTCAAATTCCGAAAATGCAGAGTAAGGAAATGCAGGAAATTCAGGAAATTCCCAGTAAGATACTCCAGGAGAAGATCATCCCCATGACACATAGTTATCAGATTAATCAAGGTCAAAATGAAAGAAACAATAGTAAGGGCATACTAAGAGAAAGGCCAGATTACCTACAAAGGGAAGCCCATCAGACTAACAGCAGACCTCTCAGTGGAAACCCTACAAGCCAGAAGTAATTGGAGGCTAATATTCAACATTCTTAAAGAAAAGAAGTACCAACTGAGAATTTCATATTTGCCCAAATTAAGCTTCAAAAGTAAAGAAGAAATAAGATCCTTTAGAGACAAGCAAATGCTGAGAGAGTTGATAAGCACCAGACATGCCTTAGAAGAGCTTCTAAAGGAAGCACTAAATATGGAAAGGAAAAACTTTTACCAGCCATTACAAGAACACACTGGAGTACACAGACCAGTGACACTATAAAGCAGCCACATAGGCCAGGCGCAGTGGCTCACGCCTGTAATCCCAACACTTTGGGAGGCTGAGGTGGGCAGATCACGAGGTCAGGAGTTCCTGTCCAACCCGGCCAATATGGTGAAACCCCATCTCTACTAAAAATACAAAAATTAGCCAGGTGTGGTGGCACATGCCTGTATCCCAGCTACTTGGGAGGCTGAGGCATGAGAATTGCTTGAACCCAGGAGGTGGAGGTTGCAGTGAGCTGAGATTGTGTCATTGCACTCCAGCCTGGATGACAGATCAAGATTCCATCTAAAAATCAATAAATAAATAAATAAAGCATCCGCATAAACAAGTCTGCAAAACAATCAGGTAGCATCATGATGACAGGATCAAATCCACACATAACAATACTAACCTTAAATATAAATTGGATAAATACCCCAATTAAGAAACACAGTGGCAAGCTGGATAAAGAACCAAGACCCATCAGTATGTTGTCTTCAAGAGACCCATCTCACATGCAATAACATCCACAGGCTTAAAATAAAAGGATGAAGGAAAATTTACCAAGCAAATGGAAAACAGAAAAAAAAAAAATCCCAGTGGTTGCAATTCCAGTTTTTGACAAAACAGACTCTAAATCAACAAAGATTATAAAAAAGAAGGGCATTACATAATGGTAAAGGGTTCAATTCAGCAAGAAGAGCTAACTATCCTAAACATATATGTACCCAACACAGGAGCATCCAGATTTATAAAGCAAGTTTTTAGAGGCCTCCAAAGAGACTTAGACTCCTACACAATGATAGGAGGAAATTTTACCATCCCACTAACAATGTTAGATTATCAAGACAGAATATTAAGAAAGATATTCAGGACCTGAACTCAGGTCTGGATCAAAGGGACCCGATAGGTATCTACAGAACTCTCCATCCAAAAGCAACAGAATATACATTCTTCTCATTGCCAAATATCTTACTCTAAAATCAATCACATAATCACAAGTAAAACACTTCTCAGCAAATGCAGAAAAAAACACTGAAATCAAAACAAACAGTCTCTCTGAGCAGAGCACAATGAATGCAATTAGAAACCATGATTAAGCAATTCACTAAAATCCATATATTACATGGAAATTGAATAATCTGCCCCTGGATGACTGTGGATAAATAATGAAATTAAGGCAGAAATCAATAAATTCTTTGAAACTAATGGGAACAAAGATACAACATACCAGAATCTCTGGGACACACTAAGGCAGTGTTAGGAGGGAAATTTATAGGACTAAATGCCCATATCAAAAAGATAGAAAGATCTCAAGTTAACAACCTAACGTCCCAACTAAAAGAAATAGAGAACCAAGAATAAACAAATTCCAAAGCTAACAGAATACAAGAAATAACCAATATCAGATCTTGACTGAAGGAGATAGAGACACAAGAAAACATTCAAAAGATCAACAAGGCCAGGAGCTTATTCTTTGAGAAAAAATAATTAAATAGGTAGACTACTACCTAGACAAATAAAGAAGAAAAGAGAGAAGATCCAAATAAACACAATCAGAAATGATAAAGGGGATATTACCACTGAACCCACAGAAATACCAACAAACACCAGAGACTACTATAAACACCTCTATACACATAAACTGGAAACTGTAGAAGAAATGGATAAATTCCTGGACACATACACTCTCCCAAGATTGAGTCAGGAAGAAATTGAATCCCTGTACAGACCAATAATGAGTTCAGAAATTGAGGCAGTAATAAATAGCCTTCTAACCTAAAAAAGCCCACGACCAGACAGATTGTCAGCTGAATTCTACCAGATGTACACAGAATAGCTGGAACCATCCCTACTGATGCTATTTTAAACAATGGAAAAAGAGGGACTGCTCCCTAACTTATTCTATGAGGCCAGCATCATCTTGATACCAAAACATGGCAGAAATACAACAAAAAAGAAAACCTCAGGACAATATTCTTGATGAACATTGATGCAAAAATTTTCAACAAAATACTGGCAAGCCAAATCCAGCAGCCCATCAAAAGTTTATCCACCATGATGAGCTAGGCTTCATCCTTGGGATGCAAGGTTGGTTCAATATACACAAATCAATTAATGTGATTCATCACATAAAACTAAAGACAAAAAGCACGTGATTATCTCAATAGATAAAGAGATGGCTTTTGATAAAATTTTACCATTCCTTCATGTTAAAAGCTCTCAATAAACTAGGTATTGAAAGAACATACCTCAAAATAACAAGAGCCATATATGACAAACCGACAGCCAACGTCACACTGAATGGGCAAAAGCTATAAGCACTCACCTGGAAAACAGGCACAAGGCAAGGATGCCCTCTCTCACCACTCCTATTCAACATTGTATTGGAAGTTCTAGCCAGAGCAATCAATCAAGAGAAAGAAATAAAGGGCATTCAAATAGGAGGAGAGGAAGTCAAACTATCTCTGTTTGCGGATGACATGATCCTATATCTAGAAAATTCCAACATATCAGCCCAAAAGCTTCTTAAGTTGATAAGCAACTACAGCAAAGTCTCAGGATACAGAATCAATGTGTAAAAATTGCTACCTTTCAATACACCAACAACAGTTAAGCTGAGAGCCAAATCACAAACAAATCCCATCACAATTACAGCTAACAAGGGAAGTGAAAGATCTCTACAAGAAGAGCTACAAACCACTGCTCAAAGAAATTAGTGGTACTGTGGCCACCCAGGTGTCCAACTGAGCACACCTGCACCAGCAAGTCCTGAGAAGAGGGAGAACCCTGGCTCTTGTGGGGAAATGGAGGGGTAGGGAAGGGTATGGGGTACATTATGCCATGAGAAGGGAAAGCATGGAATGAGAGGCTTTGAGGAGAGGAAGTGATAGGGACAGGAGGCAGAGAAATTCTGGGTAGAAAGGATGGGTCCCTGGCGAGGGTCCCACCCTCAAGCCTGGAACAGCAGCCCAAAGTGAGAACATGCATTCCTGTTTTCCTGAACAAATGTTGCCTTTTCCAAAACCACCCATGGCCTGCCCTGCCCCCAATCCTGTGCCCATAAAATCCCCCAGCTCCATCAGCAGAGAGAGTGGAGAAGAGGAGAAGCAGCTGGATATCAGAGACTGTGGTTTGACATCAGAGAGAAGCGGCTTGACTTCAGAGGGATGGCTTGACAGCTATCAGACTGCTTCAGAGAAAAATCCGGTCCTCCCTGGAAAATCACCTTCTCACTCCATTCCCTTTTCACTTCACCTTCCCTCTGAGAGCCACTTTCATCAGCAATAAAATCCTCTGCATTCGCCTTCCTTCAATTTGCTCATCTGACCTGATTTTTCCTGGATGCCAGACAAGAGCTCGGGTGCCACAGGTGTGGATGAAGGCGGTCACAATGACCCTCTGCCCTTGCTGGTGGAGAACAACCACCTCATGTGAAAAGGCAGAGGCCCCACTGAGCTGTTAAGCTATCTGTGGATGGCAAAGCTAAAAGAGCACTATAACACATGCCCTCAGGGGCCTTGGGGGTGGCAGGTACGCCACCCTAGATGGTACTGTGGGGGCCGCACAGAATTTTGCTCCTGCCGGCACCCAAAAGCACTCACCCCAGCTCCTGCACCTGCTCACCTGCATGCTTCCTCCTCTGAATGGTTGAGCGCAGTGGGTTCGAGTGAGTGAAGTTTGACCTAGCTGGTGCCAAAGCAGCCAGCTAGCCCCAAGACCCACACTCCAGTTCCTGCCTGCAAAAAGGCCAGGGAAAATTTCCTGCTTCAGAAGGAGGACAGACCATGAACTAGGGCAACCTGATGGCCATGGAGGTTGAAGAGAGGATGAAATGTTTTCAAAAGTTTCCTGAACATCATCAGATGATCCTCGACTGACTGAATAAACAGCAAGATCGGGACTGGTTTACTGACATCATCCTGATTGTCAACAGACACCATTTTAAGGCTCACAAGGCTCTTTTGGCTGCTTGCAGTAAGTTCTTCTATAAATTCTTTCAATTTACCCAGGAACCTTTGGTGGAGATAGAAGTTGTTGGTAAAATGACCTTTTGTAATTTAATTCAGTTCACATATACAGCAAAATAATTGATACAGGAGAAGAAGAAGCCAATGATGTATGGAAAGCAGCAGAGTTGTACAAATGCTAGAAGTTACTGACAGGGACAGGAGGCAGGGAAATTCTGGGCAAAGGAGGACAGGTCCCCGGCAAGGGTCCCACACTCAAGTCTGGGACAGCAACCCAAAGTGAGAGCATGCCTTCCTGTTTTCCCACTCGAATGTCATTTCCAAAGCCAAGCATGCCCTGCCCTGCCCCCTATCCTGTGCCTATAAAAACCCCAGGCTCCATTGGCAGAGACCGGAGAAGAAAAGAAGCAGCTGGACATCAGAGACTGGTTTGACATCAGAGAGAAGTAGCTTGACTTCAAAGGGACGGCTTGATGGTGTTGCTTTAGAAAGGAGTCCAGCTGGGGATGGAGGGTCCTGCCAGATATGGAGTCCACAGGGCCCGCATAGAGTTTTGCTCCTGCCAGCACCCAAAAGCACTTGCCCTGACTCCTGCGCCCGCTCACCTGCATGCTCCCTCCTGTGGCAGGTTGAGTGCAACCGGTTCCAATGAGTAGAGTTTGCCTCAGCTGGTGCCGAAGTGGCCGGCTAGCCCCAGCCCCTGCACACCAGTTCCTACCCATGAAGGGGTCGGGGAAAATTTCCTGCTTCATTATGAAAGCCCTTGAAGTCAGGAACAAAGAAAACTCAGCTCCATTAGAGGAAAATACCACAAGAAAAAAGGTGGCCAAATAAAAGGAAGATTGCAGCAACTTCAAATGTTATCACAGAATCATTGCCATCTGCAGAATCAGAACCTGTTGAAATTGAGGTAGAGATTGCTGAAGGCACAATTGAAGTGAAGATGAAGGCATCAAAACATTAGAGGAAGTGGATTCTGCCAAGCATCCATAAAGTACACACAGAACACAAGTTCCTCTAATGATTCTGCTCTAGCACTGTTGGCAGATATTACCAGCAAGTATCATCAAAGTGACAGAAAAGGGCAGATTAAAGAAGAAGATGGCCATGCATCTGACCCTACAAGCATACAGGTAGAAAGTATCGAAACTGTGGAACGTCAGTTGTCACATGTGACAACCTTCACATGTGAAGGACTTGTTCCATTGTGAGAAATGTAATGGTTCATTTAAATTGTTTTATCATTTGAAGGAACGCATGAAATCACACTCTACTGAGAGTTTCAAGTGTGAAATATGCAATGAAAGGTATCTTTGGGAGAGCACATGGAAACAGCACCTAAATTGTTACCATCTTGAAGAAGGTGGAGTCACTAAGAAGCAAAGAACTGGGAAGAAAGTTTATGTATGTCAGTACTGTGAGAAGCAGTTTGACTGTTCTGGACATTTTAAAGAACATCTTAGAAAACATACAGGTGAAAAACCTTTTGAATGTCCAAATTGTCATGAAAGATTTGCTAGAAATAGCACCCTCAAATGTCACCTCACTGCATGCCAAACTGGAATAGAGGCAAAAAAGGAAGAAAGAAGCTCTATAAATGCCATGTCTGCAACAGTGTGTTTAACAGCTGGGACCAGTTCAAAGATCACTTGGTAATACACACTGGGTGTAAACCCAACTATTGTTCTTTATGTGACTTGTGGTTTATGCAAGGAAGTAAATTAATGAGGCATCTCAGTGACACTATTTCAGAGCGTCTAGTAATGGAAGAAGTTCTTTCAGTAGAAACGTGTGCAAACTGAACCTGTGACATATCAATGACTATTATATAACAAATTGGGAAGGTGCGTGTGCTACCATTGCTTCAGGTCCAGGTGGATTCAGCACAAGTGACTGTGGATTCAGCACAAGTGACTGTGGAACACGTCCATCCAGATCTGCTCCAGGACAGCCAGGTACTTTGTTCACACGAGTGTGCTTCCAGAGCAGGTCCAAATAAGTTATCTAGAAGTGGGTCGAATTCAGACTGAAGAAGGTACTGAAGTACACGTAGAGAAGCTTCACTTTGAATGGATAAATCAGGTGCCAGTGGAAGTACAAACTGAACTTCTAGAAGCAGACTTGGACCACGTGACCCCAGAAATCTATGAACCGAGAGAAGAGAGAACCTAGCCAAGCAGATGCTGCTGAGGCTGCCAGGGAAGATCACGAAGATGCTGAGGATTAGAGAGCAAGCCAACAGTGGATTCTGAAGCTGAAAAGGCAGAGAATGAGGACAGAACAGCTATGCTGGTTTTAGAATGAAATTACACATGAATATATTTTTAAATTTACTTGTTGGGTTTTTGAACGGATTATGGGCAGTATGACTGTCCTTAAGCTAACAGACAAGTGGACCAAAGTTAAGCTATTTGTTGTTGTGCTGAATTGTTTTTGTTGAAACAAATTGATTCCTCTTCCCCAGCTCAATGCCAGAGGAGGGATCTGTTCCATAAATTAAGGGGAGTTTTGAGAAGTACATTTCTGGAAACTTAAGTGGATTATATTCTTAATACAAGGTTGCATATGACTGTATCTATTTTCATTGTGGTAAAAATTCTCCCTCTTCTCTTTCCCAGGTCATGTTCTTCCTCAAATTTCTTTCATATTATAAAATCAAACTTAAATCATTAGAATACAAGTTTATGTATTCTAATACATGTTAGAAAATTGACTATATAGGAAACACAAGGCTGCATGACGAACATTGCATTGTTACTGTGCAGTTAAATTTTGGCTTTCTTTCGTTGGAACAAATGTTGTTGTCTACCCCAGTAGTCACAGATGCCATCTCTGCAACAGAGAGAGGGGTGGTGGCAAAATTTCGAGAATGTTAAGAAAAGAAAATCCATACCCATGTGCCGTTTCAAAACCAGCTAAACTTCTGTAAAGCATCTGGTTCTTTCAAAGTCTGTGTCATAAGGAGCAATGCAGCCAATGCTATAGTACTTTATATTTTTGCCTATAATAACAACCACGAGTTATTTTTCGCTTAAGTTCGGTTAAGAAATTTTATTTAATGGCAGCCGAAGTGCCAATTTCAACTGGGAAAATTTATTTACCTCTGTGGTAAACTTTATTTTGATTGAAAGTTGCACTAGTATTTTACTACCAGATGAAAAAAAGATGAGCATCATTTAAAAATTAATGTATTTAAAATAAAGTACAGGGAAAAACATGTATATAATTATCAGGCTTTTTTTTAATGGAATCTTTTCCCCCAATCCTTAATGTAAAGATCTTGTGCTATAACTTTTAAAGCCATATAAATAAGAGTGCTAAACTGTGGGGTTAAAAATAAATGTCTAAATATTTTTAATCAGTATTACTTGGAAAATAAAGTATCTCTCTCTCTCTCTCTCTCTCTCTCTCACACACACACACACACACACACACACAACCACACAAATTAGAGATGACACAAACAAATGGGAAAACATTCCATACTCATGGGTAGGAAGAATCTTAATTGTTAAAACAGCCATACAGCCCAAAGCAATTCATAGCTTCAATGTTATTCCTATCGAACTACCATTGACATTCTTCACAGAAGTAGAAAAAATATTTTAAAATTCATGTGGAACCTAAAAAGAGCTTGAATATCCAAAGCAATCCTAACTAAAAAGAACAAAGCTGGAGGCATCACACTACCAGGCTTCAAACTATACCATGCTGCTACAGTAACCAAACAGCATGGTACTGGTACAAGAACGATCACCTAGACCAATGGAACAGAATAGAGAACCCAGAAATAAGACCACAGACCTACAACTATCTGATATTTAACAGACCTTTCAAGAACAAGCAATGGGGAAAGAATTCCCTATTCAATAAATGGTGCTGCAATAACTGGCTAGCCATAAGCAGAAAAGTAAAACTGGACCCCTTCCTTAAACTGTATACAAAAATTAACTCAAGATGGATTAAAGACTTACATATAAAACCCAAAACTATAAAAACCCTGGAAGACAACCTAGACAATGCCATTTAGGACATACACATGTCCAAAGATTTTATGATGAAGACACCAAAAGCAATTGCAATGAAAGCAAAAATTGACAAATGGAATCTACCTAAACTAGAGAGCTTCTGCACAGCCAAAGAAACTATCAACACAGTCAACAGACAACCTACAGAATGGGAGAAAATTTTTGCAAACTATGCATCTGAAAAAAGTCTAATATCTAGCATCTATAAGGAACTTAAATAAATTTACAAGAAACAAAAAGAACATGAACAGACACTTTTCAAAAGAAGACATACATGCGACCAAGAAGCATATTAAAAGAAGCTCAACATCATTGATCATCAGAGAAATGCAAATCAAAACTACCATGTGATACCATCTCACACCAGTCAGAATGACAATTATTAAAAAGTGAAAAAATAACAGATGCTGGCGATGTTGCAGAGAAAAGGGAATGCTTATACACTGTTGGTGAGAGTGTAAGTTAGTTCAACCATTGTGGATGACAGTGTGGCGATTCCTCAAAGACCTAAAGACAGAAATACCATTCTACTCAGCAATCCCATTACTGGGTATGTATACAAAGGAACATATGATCCATATGTTGTAAAGACACATGCACACATATGTTCATTGTAGCAATATTCACAACAACAAAGATAGGGAATCAACCTAAATGCCCATCAAGGTTAGACTAGATAAAGAAAATGTGGTACATATAACCCATGGAATACCATGCAGCCATAAAAAAGCATGAGATCATATCCTTTGCAAGGGCATGGATGCAGCTAGAGGCCATTATCCTTAGCAAACTAATGCAGAAACAGAAAATCAAGTACAACGTTCTCACTTTTGAGTGGGAGCTAAATGATGAGAACACATGGACACATAGAGGGGAACAACACACACTGGGGCTATTGGAGGGTGGAGGGTGAGAGGAGGGAGAGGATAAAAAGCAACTAATGGATACTAGGCTTAATAAGAGGGTGATGAAATAATCTGTAAAACAAATCCCATGACACATGTTTACCTATATAACAAACCTGCGCATCCTGTACACGTACCCCTGAATTTAAAATAAAAGTTAAAAAATAAACTCTTATACATATGTAATGTGTAATAGTATAATAGAATATTATTCAGCTTTAAAAAGGAGAGGATTCTTTCATTTGCCAGAACATGGATGAATCTAGAAGAATAAATCAGACACACAGAGAAAAATACTGCATGATTTTACTTATATGTACAATCTTAAAAAATAGGGTCAAATATATAAAGATAGCACACTGAACCACAATAAAACCGTGGTTAGCGGGTTTGGGGGAGAAAAAAGGGAGAAGTAGGTCAAAGGATACAAAGTAGAAACTATGTAGGATGAACAAGTCCCGAGATTAATGTAAAATATGATGACTCTAGTTAAAAACAGTGTATTGTATTAGGGATATTTGCCAAATGAGTAGATTATAGCTGCTCTTGTCATAGCAGAGGAAAAATAGCTAACTATATGAAAAGAAGAACATGTTAATGTGATCTACTCTAGTAATGATTTTACTATATAAATGTATGTTATAACATCATGTTGTAGCCCTTAAATATGCATAATAACATTGACTTAAAAATAAAAAGATAATGTTTAGAGGTGAGTATCCTTAGCACCTCCCACCTCAAGTACCTGAGAAGAGTCCTTCTGGGGTGACCTTCATCTGCAGCCTGCTACAGCTGGCAGCTTTAGCTTTACCTTTTGGGGCAACCCCTCTGGAAGGTTCTATTTGGAACTCTTAAGTATTGGCAGCAGTTGCTGCCCTGGTCTACATACTAGTAGATGCCTAGAAACTCTCAGCCAACCCACAGCTCACAGCATGAAATTTCTTGGCTTTGGTTTGGCTGTATCCTCACCCAAATCTCATCTTGAATTGTAGCTTCCATAATTCCCACATGTGGTGGGAGGGACCTGGTGGGAGATAACCGAATCATGAGGGCAGTTTCCCCCATACTGTTCTCATGGTAATGAATAAGTCTCACAAGATCTGATGGTTTTATAAGGGGAATCCCCCTTTACTTGGTTCTCATTCTGTCTTGTCTGCCGCCACGTGAGACGTGCCTTTTGCCTTGCATCATGATTGCGAGGCTTCCCCAGCCACATGGAACTGTGAATCCATTAAACCTCTTTTTCTCTATAAATTACCCAGTCTTGGGTATGTCTTTATCAGCATCATGAAAACAGACTAATACATATTTTATTTCTCTCATTGCAAGGGCAGAACATCCCTTTTTTGCTTTAAGGTTAACCCAGGCTTCCATGCTCTGAATTTCATCACTTATCCTCTGTCCCAGGACCAACACCTCACTCCATGTGACATTTAATCTTCTGTAGGTATTTTCAACCCTGTTTGCTTCCTTCCCTGCGGTTTGTAGTTCATTCACTTCTCTCTCTGAAGTGCTGCCTGAATGCTATCCTCTCCCACCCCCTGCCAGTAAAGGCCAAGAGTTTCTGCTTTTTGTCTTCATGCTCTGGCTTCAAAACTCACTCCCACTCAATTACCCACCACTTCACTAGTGATCTCATGGAGCCCGAATCTGGTTTATAGTTATCAGAACATGTTGTAGAATAATATCTCAGTGGCATTTGATGTTACTATGTCCTCTTTTGAAACTTCTCCTTGATTTTCCATGACACTACTCTCACCTTGTTGCCCCTCTTCACTCTCACCATTCCTTCTCAGGCTTTATACATTTTTCTATTGCAATTTTATATACTGGCCCAAAATTGGATCTCAGGCAACTTTCCATTCTCAGGCTATAATGTGTGCTGGGGAACCCACTGTTTCATTGGTTTTGTGATAGTACCTTAGCATGTGGGAGAGAGCTGAAAGGGAATTTCTAGCCAATACCTCACTCCTCAATGTTAGTATATATATATAATATATATATATATATTTTAATGTCATTAATCAGACATCTATACCTGAATACCAAAATAAAACAAAAACAATAAAAATAAAAACCAGAAACTCTTATGCCATATATTTAAGTAATTAATTATATGAAGTGGACTGCCTTAGTCTTTATCACTGGATATAGCCAAGCAGAAGATAGGCAGCCATGACTTGGGGATATTATAGAGAGGGTCCAAATATTGAATGTTGAATAGATCTTCTTTAAAGTCTCATAAAACCTGAGATACGATGATTCAAATAACATTTATGTGGACATGGTAAATGCAAGACATTTTGTTTTCGCATATTTGTTTTTATTAATCCTCTGAACAATCCAGTGATTTATGTCTGTCTTTTGCATGATTTAAAGGGATCCAGCAGTTAATATATTTGTCCTATAATTACATACAGAATGTAGATGGCAGAGCTGGGATTTGGAGATTATGTCTTTGACTCCAAACACTATACCTTTCACATACTAACAGATGATTCTTTGGTATGTATATATGTTATTTCTTCAACAGGATTGTTATCTTTTTGGGGGTGGTGAACATGGATCTTCAAAAAATTCTCCAGAATACCTAGTCCATCAAATAAGTGCACAGGCAGATCTAGGTTTCATGGGGACTAAAGCTCATAAAATATTTGGGGTGCTCTTTTAGAAAAAAAAACAGAAAATCATGAGTATACCTTCTAAGGCTTTGTTTGACAGGGGTCAGTATATTTAGGGGGCCTGAAACCAAAGCATAACTAAATGTATTACAGGACTGAAAACTTGCTACCTAAACACAGTTGTCTGCATCCTAAATCATTACAGAAGAACAGCAGAAAATCTACTTACTATTCAGAATTACTAAAATAGAATTTTCAGCTGTTTCTGATCAGGGACATGATACTCTGGTGGTTTCTGAAAGAACCAGCCTATTCATCTAAAAGCTGAATTCTGTCATGTAGCAAGATAGACATATCTTTTTAAATTTTTGCATGGTGTTGTAAGGTATAGCCTGCTCATTAGAAAGATATATTTGTTAGATGTATTAACTTCTTAATGCTTCTTCTCCATCTCAGACAGACTTTTAGAAACCCAAGTAGGGCTAGGGTTCGTGAGGCAAGCCTCCAGTGAGCAGAAGTCATTACTGAATGTGTGAGATACCTTGGCAACAAACTAGAGATGAAAGGCTTGATCATGGTGTTAGCTGAAACAGCATGACAGATAAATTGGGTACAAAACAAAGAAGTGATTGAGAAGCTAGTGTTTTCAAGACTGTTGTGTGGAATTATGTGCTTGGGCATCCTTGTTTAACACCACAGCTTGTTCTTGACTAATATGAAATTGCTTTCTCTTCTCTTGAGTTCTGATTCAAAGTCACCCTAAAGCATAGCAACACATTTTATCTCTGGATGATTCACTTCCTCAACAGTATGAGGTTGTTCTAGTCATTACATTTAGGTAAGAGAATAAATGAAATAATATCATCAGTTACATTTTAGTCTTCAGGGACATGGCAGATTGATGATTTACCTCCTTAAATTCTAACCTCAAATATAAGAGGCTAAAAAACTGAGTAAGTTTCCAGCTTTGTTTTAAGCAGGGAGAAAACCAAGCTAGCTGTCTTTGTTTCAGAGAGGTATAGAAACTCTTCCATTTATGATGACTAAACATTAAGTGAGCTACCTGTGTTTGTTGAAAGCTGAGTAATGCTGGAGGAATTCAAACATGGACTAGCTAGACACTTGGCTTATGTGCTACAGAAGATTTAATTGAATGCTTGTCAAAGCTACTTTTAACTTTAGGAGGTAGGTTTAAATAATAAGGGCTATTTCATGCTAAAAGACACTGTTTTGATTTTTAAAAAATAAAAAAAAAGAAAGAAACTTTGATGAGCTTACATTCGCCCATTTGCTTTTCTCATTAACATCGTGTCAATACTGTGCCAGTGTACAGAAAATAAATTGATGAGGCCTACGTTAACTGAGAGAATAATTGATCCTAAGGTGTGTGTCAAGACAACAAACAGTTTTATTTCTTTTGGAGCTGCATGCACAGCCAAGTACTCACTCAATTCAGGAATTTCCTTTCATGCTTGCCCTTGAAGCTGTTCTTTAAGCCACAGAAAAAAAAAAAAGAATAGCTATAATTTAAGACATAAATAATCAATGCAATGAAACAAAGAGTATGGCTGAGTGACAAATAGAGAGCCAAAAGTTGACTGTAGTTGTTAATGCTGATCTAAAACAGAGATTCGTAAAGCAAAATGGGTTCTCGTTGTATTTTCTATCATCTGGCTTCAGTAAATTTCTGCTTCAAGTAGCTGAATGTTGCCATTTTTTTCTGAACAAAGGCTTCTCTCCAAGCGCATGTGAGGTTTTCATGCATTATGCTTACTAATGGCCCAGTCCTCATTTTGTCCAAATAAAGATTACATAGAGTATCTTTTTCATTTTACACTAGCAGCAATTACTTTTATTTAAATAAATAGAGGCTCTTTATTGGTATCCATGGACTGTGATCAAACATACCACCTTTTAACAGCTTTTATTGTCACCTACATGCTGTAATAAAAAGTAGATCAAGCAAAAAGAGCTCCATTTAAAAAATCATCATATATTCCAGGCACTAACAATGACCATTATATTCACTATGTAGAAGACATTTTTTACTTCATTGCAAACTATTGCATTTTTCCAGCATAATTTCTTTTAAGCCTTAGTGTTAAAGCTGGAAAAAATTGCTGAGTGGCATTCTGTTAACTAACGATATAATTTATTATCATTGCCACAACTAATAGTGCTACTGAAATCACAGTGAATCTGAAATTATCATTTGCAAATTCTGCACTGCTTTTATTTTTCAGGAGAAAATGTAAATGTGCACACAAAACACAGAAGAACTCTGTTAGTTGGATGTTTGTAGTTCCCCTGAGAGAAAGAGAATAAGAAACATGTTTGTCAGTTTCTTATGATGCCTTTTTTTACAGGTAGTGTAGATTTTTCTGTTGAGTCAGGCATAAGATTTGCTTCTAAGCATTTGTATGATTGACTTAGTGAATGACCATGGTTTGGTCCTTATTTATGTATTCATCCAAATATGTTGTTTATGGTTTCACTAAATTATCCTTAAAGAAACTACAGCATCAGACTGATTTCAACCTAGAGACTATATGTACACATTTTCTGTTAGAAAAATAATGGATCTTAATATTTTAATAATGACAGTATGTATTAGTTATCATTTCTATATAATAAATTATCACAAAACTTAGTGGCTTAAAATAACAACAAGTACTTATATCCTACAGTTTCAGCATGTCATGAATTTGAGAGCGGCTTGGCTGAGTGGTTCTGGGTCAGGGTCTCTCCTGAGATTGTAGTCAGGTCTTGGCCTGGGCTGCAGTTATCTGAAGACCTGACTGGGGCCAGATGATCCATTATCAAGGTGGCCCCTTATAGTTAACTATAACAATTAGGCTACTAAATTAGCATCCCTGATGAGCAAAACCTAGCATTTAATAAGCTCATCAAGGGCAGCTACCGGTAATGCTTTCCCTGAAGCAACAATCTATTTTATCCTTGAAATAGTGTGATATTTAGAAACCGATCATTTTGGACCTTCCCTTCTGGCAGTATGGCAGAATAAATTTTCTGAAAATTCTCCAGTTTAAAAAACAAACAAATGAAAAATAAACTTTTATTTTGGAACAAATATGCCTTTTAATTTATTTTTGGTTTAAAAGTAAAAAATAAAGGAAATCTTTGAGGGCATCCTTCTCCACTATCCAAAGGATATAAAAGATTAGTGAACAAAAAGCAATCACAGAAAGCCCCAAGGTTGCCCTGAGGGCAGTTGTTTTTTTTCTGGTGCTACCATCCATTGGGAGATTAAATCCTGTGACAGTTGAAGGTGGAAATGCTGATAGTGGAAATTCTTCATTAGTCCACACAACTTTAAGGGGCTAGATTGTTCCCAGCTCACAAATGCTCTTAACTTTCAAAAGATGCAAATGCAAATTTTCTTTGGCCCATGCAACTCCAGTTTAGACTCATAGGTTTTCCACATAAAAATATCCAATTATGAGCTCATTATTAAAGATCACCAAATAAACAAGGAAATAAGCTGCCATGAAGAAGAGTTACCAGAAATAATTGCTAATACATTTAAACCCCAAAAGACTTAAGATTAGAATTACCCATAGTTGTAAAAGAGATATTTAAAGAAATAGGAGGAAATCATAAAAATAAGCAAATGACAATAAGCTATCAAATATTGTCAGATACAATTGAAAAGATTCATTTAATTAAAAGGTCTATCATTTTGATATGTGTATGTCTCTAAGTAGCCTCAAGATATAGTAAGGAAAAAGGTAAATTGGACTTGATTGTACAAGTCAAACACTTTTGTACATCACAGGACATTGTGAAGAAATCGAAAAGATAACCTACAGAATGGGAGAAAATATTTGCAAATCATATTTCTAATAGGGAATTAATATTCAAGATATAAAAAGATCTCTTACAGCTTGTTAAGATTTGGGTTTGTGTTCCTACCCAAATCTCATGTCTAATTGTAATCCTCAATGTTGGAAGGGGGCCCTGGTGGGAGATGATTGGATCGTTCTTGTGATAGTTAATTCTCACAAGATCTGCTTGTTTAAAAGTGTGTAGCACTTCCCCCTTCCCTCTCTTCCTCCTGCTCTGGCCATGTAAGATGTGCCTGCTTCCTCTTCCACCATGACTGAAAGTTTTCTAAGGCCTCCTCAGCCATGTTTCCTGTACAGCTTGTAGAACTGTGAGTCAAACCTCTTTTTTTTTTAAATAAATTACCCAGTCTTAGGTAGTTATTTATAGCAGTGTGAACAAATACACTACTGAAAAACAAAGAGACAGACAACCCAATTAAAAACTGGCAAACAATTTAATGGTATATTTCTTGAAAGAAGATATATGAATGGCTTATAGTCACATGAAAAGATGCTGAGCAATACTAATCATTACGAAATTGAAAATCAAAACTACAATGAGATACCACTTTGCAACTACTGGCATGGCTATAATTTTCTTTAAAAAAGAAAATAAAAAGTGTTGGCAAGGATGTGGAGGAATTGAAATCCTTGTATGTTGCTGGTGAGAATGTAAAATGGTGCTGCCTCCATGGAAAATAGTTGGTGGTCCTTCAAAACGCTAAACATGGGATTGTCATATGACTCATCAACTCAACTGCTAGGTAGGTACCCAGAAGAATTGAAAACAGGGACTCAAACAGATATTTGTATGCCAATATTCATTGCAACATTATTTACAATAGCCAAAAGATGAAAACAAACCAGGTGTATATCAACTTATGAAAAGGTAAACAAAATGTGGCATATAGAGCCATAAAAAGTAATAAAGTTCTGAAACATGCTACAACATGGATGAAACTTGAAAACATTGTACTAAGTGAAATAAGTCTATCACAAAAGGACCTATGTTGTATGATTCCACTTGTATGAAATACTAGAATAGGCAAATTTGTACAGACATAAAGTAGATAAGAGGTTATGGGAATACATAGTTGTTGCTAATGGTCATAGAGTTTCTGTTTGGGGTGATAAAAAAGTTTTGTAAAAAGATAGTGGTGATAGTTGCACAACATTGTGAATGCAATTAATACCCTTGAATCATATATATATATATACACATATATATGTATATATATATAGTTAAATCATATATATATATATAGTTAAAATGGCTAATTGGCTAATTTTATTTTATATATATATATTTTACTAAAATAAAAAAATTTGGCAAAAATGGATAATAATACAGAAAGAAGAGGACAGATCTTTACTACTGGAAGACGTCAATCTACTTCTCTCCACTATTGATAAACATAGTTTCTCATTATGGGTAGAACCAGTGGTCAAAAATCAGTAAAGACAAAAACTTAAGTGACACAGATAACAAGCTTTTAAAAAATATTTTAAAACACAGCACCTCACAAATTAGAGAACAGAGTAGAACATATATAGAAACTAACCACAAATCAAGCGAAAAGTACATAGTGAAACAAGCACATAGTATAACATACAAAGAAACTGACCACAAATCAAGCCAAAAGCAGATCTTAATAACTTGTGTAAAATTATTATCATACAGACTACATTATCTGGTATTTATGCAATGAAGTTAAAAGTAAAAAATAAAATTAAGAAAACATACACGGTTTCAAATAATTTATGGTGAAAATAGAAATCATAATGAAAATCATAAGTACTTATAACAACTATAACAACTAAAAATATTACATATAAAACATATGGGATGAAATGAAAAGGCTTCTTAAAGGGAAATGTATAGCTACAGATGCTTATGTTAGAAGAGAAACAGAATCCATCTTAAGAAGTTAGAATTCTGTTACATTGGCCTATGTGTCTGTTTTTATGCCAGTACCATGTTGTTTTGTTTACTATAGTTCTGTAACATAATTTGAAGTCACATAATGTGATTCCTCCAATGTTGTTCTTTTTGCTTAGGATAGCTTTGATTATTCTGGGTCTTTCGTGGTTCCATATACATTTTATAATTTTCTTTTCTATTTATTTGAAGAATGTCATTGGTATTTTGATAGAGATTGCATTGAATCTGTAGATTGTGTTGGATAGCATGGACATTTTAACAATATTGATTCTTCCCATCTATGAACATAGAATATTTTTCCATTTTTTTTGGTGTCCTCTTCAACTTCCTTCATCAGGGTTTTATAGTTTTTATTATAGAGATCATTCACTTCTTTGGTTAATTCCAAGGTATTTAATTTTATGTGTGGCTATTGTAAATGGGATTACTGTTTTGGATTTCTTTCTCACATTTTTCATTGTTGGCATATAGAAATGCTACTGATTTTTGTATGTTGATTTTGTATCCTGCAACTTTACTTATTTGTTTATCTGTTCTAGTAGTTTTCTTGTGGAATCTTTAGGTTTTTCCAAATGTAAGTTTACATCATCAGCAAACAAGGATAATTTGACTTCTTCCTTTCAATTTGGATGCCCTTTATATCTTTCTCTTTTTTGATTGCTCTAGATAGGACTTAGAGTACTATGTTAAATAACAGTGGTGACAGTGGGCATCCTTGTTGTGTTCCAGATCTTAAAGGAAAGGCTTTTAGTTTCTCCCCATTCAGTATAATATTAGCTGTGGGCCTGTCATATATGAATTTTATTATATTGAGGTATGTTCCTTCTATACCCAGTTTGTTGATGGTTTTCATCATGAAGCAATAGTAAATTTTATCAAATGCTTTTCCAGCATCAATTGAAATGATCATATGGTTTTTATCCCTCATTTGATTAATATTATATATCACATTGATTGATTTGCATATGTTAAACTATGCTTGCATCCCAGAGGTAAGTCCCTCTTGGTCATGATGAATGATTTCTCTAATGTATTACTGAATTTGGATTGCTAGTATTTCGTTGAGGACTTTTGCATCAATATCAGAGATAATGGCCTGTAGTTTTCTTTCTTTCTTTTTTTATGTATCTTTTTCTGGTTTTGCTATCTGGGTAATACTGGACTCATAGAATGACTTTGAAAATATTCCTTACTCCTCAATTTTTTGGAATATTTTGAGTAGGATTGGTATTAGTTCTTTAAATGTTTGGTAGAATTCAACAGTGAAGCCATCAGGTCCTGGGCTTTTCTTTACTGGAAGACTTTTTATTATATCTTTGATCTCGTTTCTTGTTATTGATGGGTTCAGGTTTTAGATTTCTTCTGGGTTCAATCTTGGTAGGTTGCATATATCTGAGACTTTGTCCATTTTCCAATTATCAGCATATAGTTGCTCATAGTAGCCTCTAATGATCCTTTGAGTTTCTGCAGTATCAGTTGTAATGTCTCCTTTTTCATTTCTGATTGTATTTACTTGGACCTTGTCTCTTTTTTTCTTAGTCTGGCTGAAAGTTTGTCCATTTTCTTTAAGTTTTCAAGAAACCAATTTTTTGTTGCATTGATGTTTTGTATTTTTTTCCATTTCAATTTTATTTATTTTTACTCTGATCTATGCTATTTCTTTTCTTCTAATGTTGGGTTTGGTTTGCTCTTGCTTTTCTAATTCTTTAATATACATCATTAGATTGTTTATTTGAAGTTTTTCTTCTTTTTGATGTAGGCACTTATAGCTGTAAACTTCCCTGTTAGTACTGCTTTGGCTGTATCCCACAGGTTTTGATATGTTGTGTCTTCCTTACCATTTGTTTCATGACATTTTTCCGTTTCCTTCTTAATTTCTTCAGTGACCCACTGGTCATTCAGGAGCATAATATTTAATTTTTATGTATTTGTATAGTTCCCTAAATTCCTCCTATTAATTTCTAGTTTTATTCCATTGTGGTGAGAGAAGATGCTTTATGCTATTTTAATTTTTTGAAATGTTTTAAGACTTGTTTTGTGATCTAACATATGGTCTGTTCTTGAGAATGATCCATGTGTGCTAAGAAAAAGAATGTGTATTCTTAAGCTCTCAGATGAAATGTTCTGTAAATATATTTAGATCCATTTAGTCTATAGTACAGATTAAGACTGTTTTTCTTTTTTTGTTGTTGTTGTTCTTGATTTTCTGCCTAGAAGGTCTGTCTAGTGCTGAAAGTGGGGTATTGAAGTCTCCAGTTAATATTGTATTGTATTGGGGCCTATATCTCTCTTTAGCTCTAATGATATTTCCTTTATATACCTGGGTGCTCCCATGTTGGGTGCATATATATTTAAAATTGTTTTATCTTCTTGCTGACTCGACCCTTTTATCCTATGTAGTCAACTGCTTTGTCTACAAGTCAACTTCTTTGTAGTTTTTGTCTTGAAATCTATTTTGTCTTATATGAGTATAGCAAATCCTGCTCTGTTTTGGTTTCAATTGGCATGGGATATGTTTTTCCATCCCTTTATTTTCAGTCTATGTGTGTCTTTATATGTGAAGTATGTTTCTTGTATCAATGGCTCTTGTTTTTTCATCCATTTCACCAGTCTCTGTCTTTTGATTGAAGGGTTTAGTCCATTTACATTTAATATTATTATTGATAAATAAGAACTTATTGCTGCCACTTTGTTATTTGTTTTCTGGTCTTCTTTCTTTCATTTCTGTCTTCTTCTAGTAAAGATGATTTTCTCTGGTGATATTATTTAGTTTCTTCCTTTTTGTGTGTGTGTGTATCCATTGTATGTTTTTTGGTTTGAGGTTACCATGAGGCTTTCAAATACTCTCTTATAACTTATTATTTTAACCTGATAACTACTTAACACTATTTGCATAAACAAATGAACAAACAGAAAGAAAACTAATAAATAGTCACCATAACTTCATCCCCACTACTTTCTTTTTAAATTTTTTTTTTTAATGATACTTTAAGTTCTGGGATACTTGTGCAGAACGTGCAGGTTTGTTACATAGGTATACATGTGCCATGGTGGTGTGCTGCACCGATCAACCCATCATCTACATTAGATATTTCTCCTAATGCTATCCCTCCCCTAGCCTCCCACCCATCAACAGGCCCCAGTGTGTGATGTTGTCCTCCATGTGTCCATGTGTTCTCATTGTTCAACTCCAACTTATGAGTGAGAACATGCAGTGTTCGGTTTTCTGTTCCTGTTGTTTGCTGAGTATGATGGTTTCCAGCTTCACCCATGTCCCTGCAAAGGACATGAACTCATCCTTTTTTATGACTGCATAGTATTCCATGGTGTATATGTGCCACATTTTCTTTATCTAGTCTATCATTGATGGGCATTTGGATTGGTTCCAAGTCTCTATTTTGAACAGTGCTGCAAAAAACATATGTGTGCATGTGTCTTTATAGTAGAATGATTTATAATCCTTTGGGTATATACCCAGTAATGGGATTGCTGGGTCAAATTGTATTTCTAGTTCTAGATCCTTGAGGAATTGCCACACTGTCTTCCACAATGATTGAACTAATTTACACTCCCATGAACTGTGTAAAAGCATTCCCATTTCTGCACATCCTCTCCAGCATCTGTTGTTTCCTGACTTTTTAATGATTGCCATTCTAACTGATGTGAGATGGTATCTCATTGTGGTTTTGATTTGCATTTCTCTAATGACCAGGGATTATGAGCTTTTTTTCATATTTTGTTGGCTGCATAAATGTCTTCTTTTGAGAAGTGTCTGTTCATATCCTTTGCCCACTTTTTGATGAGGTTGTTTGTTTTTCTTTTGTAAATTTATTTAAGTTCTTTGTAGATTCTGGATATTAGCTCTTTGTCAGATGGATAGATTGCACAATTTTTCTCCCATTCTGTAGGTTGCCTGTTCAATCTGATAATAGTTTCTTTTGCTGTGCAGAAGCTCTTTAGTTTAATTAGATCCCATTTGTCAATGGCTTTTGTTGCCATTGCTTTTGGTGTTTTAGTCATGAAGTCTTTGCCCATGCCTATGTCCTGAATGGTATTGCCTAGATTTTCTTCTAGGGTTTTTATGGTTTTAGGTCTCATTTTTAAGTCTTTTATTTTAGTTTTAGTTTTTTTGAGATGGAGTCTCTCTCTGTCACCCAGGTTGGAGTGCAATGGCTCAATCTTGGCTCACTGCCACTTCTGCCTCCCAGGTTCAAGTGATTCTCCTGCCTCAGCCTCCTGAGTAGCTGGGATTACAGGCACCCACCACCATGCCTGGCTAATTTTTGTATTTTTAGTAGAGATGGGGTTTCACCAGTTTGGTTAGACTCGTCTCAAACTCCTGACCTCAGGTGATCCACCCACCTTGGCTTCCCAAAGTGCTGGGATTACAGGCATGAGCCACCACGCTGGTCCCATACCCACTACTTTTTAACTTTTTATTGTTTCTATTTATATCTTATTGTACTAACTATATCTTGAAAAATTGTTGTACTTATGATTTTTTATTGATTCACACTTTAGTCTTTCTACTTCGGATAAGAGTAATTTACACATTGCAGGTACAGTGTTATAATATTCTCTGTTTTTCTGTGTACTTACTACTACCATTAAGTTTTGTACCTTCAGATGATTATTTATTGCCCATTAATGTCCTTTTCTTTCTAATTGAAGTACTCCCTTTAACATTTCTTGGAGGACAGCTCTGGTATTGATAAAATCCTTCAGCTTTTGTTTGTCTGGGAAAGTCTTTATTTCTCCTTCATGTTTGAAGAATATTTTCACCAGTTATATTATTCTAGGGTAAAAGTTCTTTTCCTTCAGCATTTTCAATATGCCATGCTACTCTCTTCTGGCCTGTAAGGTTTCCACTGAAAAGTCTACTGCCTGATGTACTGGAGCTCCATTATATATTATTTGTTTCTTTTCTCTTTTTGCTTTTAGAATTCTTTAACCTTAACTTTCAGGAGTTTTGACTATTAAATGCCTTGAGGTAGTCATCTTTGGATTAAATCTGCATCATGTTCTATAACCTTCTTGTACTTGGGTATTGATATTTTTCTCTCAGTTTGGGAAGTTCTCTGTTATTATCCCTTTGAGTAAACTTTCTACCTCTATCTTTTTCTCTGTCCCCTCTATATATGGTCAATAACTCTTAGATTTGGCCTTCTGAGGCTATTTTCTAGATCATGTAGGCATGCTTCATTGTTTTTATTCTTTTTTTCTTTTGTCTTCTCTGTATATTTTCAAATAGTCTGTCTTCAAGCTCACTATTTTTTTTTTCTTCTGCTTGATTGATTCTGCTACTAAAGTACTCTGATGTATTCTTCAGTATGCCAATGGCATTTTTCAGGTCCAGAATTTCTACGTGATTTTTTTTCATTACTTCAATCTCTTTGTTAAATTTATCTGATAGAATTCTGAATTCCTTCGCTGCATTATCTTGAACATCTTTGAGTTTCCTCGACACAGTTACTTTGAATTCTCTGTTTAAAAGGTGACATATCTCTGTTTCTCCAGGATTGTTCCCTTGTGCTTATTTGGTTCATTCATTTGGTAGGGTCATGTTTTCCTGGATAGTGTTGATGCTACTAGATGTTCTTCAGTGTCTGGGAATTGAAGAGTTAGGCATTTATTGTAGTTTTCACCATCTGGGCTTATTTGTAGCTGTCCTTTTGGGAAGGCTTTTCACAAATTATTTGAAAGAACTTGAGTGTTGTGATCTAAGCAGTTTCTGCTTTAAGGAGTATCCCAAACCCAGTAACACTGTGGTTCTTGCAGACTTGTAGAGGTATCGCCTTTGTTGTCTTGGACAAGATTAGATAGAAGTCTATCTCGCATTCTATTGTATTGTGGCTGAGCTAGCATTCAAAACACAAGATACAGTTCTTGTCATTCTTCCTTCCCCTTTTCAAAGGCAGGGGAGCCTCACCCCATAGCCGTCACCACCCTAGGCCATGAGGAGTACTGCCAGACTTCCTCTGATGTTCCCTTGAGGCCCATGGTCTCTTAAGTTAGCTTGTCATGAATACTGCTTGGCCCAGAACTCACTCTTCAGGGCAGTGGTCTCCCCTCTGGCTTAGGGCAGCTCCAGAAATGCTGTCCACAGGTCAAGTCCTGGAATTAGGGACCCCATGACCCTGCTTGGTACTCTACCCCCCGTGGCTATGATGGTACCTAAGGTGCAAAACAAAGTCCGCTTTGCTTTTCCCTCTGCTTGTCTCAGAGAGAAGGAGTTTTGCCCCATAGCCACCACAGCTGATTATTTGCTGAGTCTCACCTGAAGCCAGCAAGTCTCAGGGGCTCACCAGGGCCCTCCATGTAGGACCCAGGTATCACTGCTGGTTACTCAGGGCCCAGGGGTCCTTCAGTTAGTAAGTGATGAATGCTGGCAGGACTGGGTCTTTTCCTTCAAGGAAGCAAGTTCCCTTCTGGCCCAAGGTATGTCTAGAAATGTCATCTGTGAGGTAGCACCTGAAATGGGGGCCTCATGACTCTGACTGATGCCCTTCCCTGCTGTAGTTGAGCTGGTATCTAAGATGCAAGACAAAGTCCTCCCCACTCCTTCCCTCTCCTCTCCTCAAGCAGAAGGAAGGCATCTCTTAAAGTACCCAACTGAGCTGTGCCTGCAGTTAGGGGAGGCATGATGCCAGCATTGCCAGCACTCCTGGAGCCACCCCAGCTGGTGTCTCAGTAGGTAACATGCCTCCCTAGTCTACTGTCTTTGGGCCTAGTTCAGCCTTAGGACTTACCAATGAGTTGCAGTCCTTTTGGCTTAGACTGACTTTCAAGTTTTCTTAGAAACAGAACATTTTGGCCCTAGGTGGTGAGGTTTGTGGGCACTCAAGTTTGGAATGCTGAAATAAATGATTCTCTGCTGACTAGGGCTGATTTAAATTCTCCCTGTATGGGTGGTCATCAGCTCACTTTGTCTGGTTTTCTTGTCCAGTTCAGTGCCTCAGAATTGCTGTGTTCTCCGCCAATGCCCATAGAGGCTCTTCACACCATGCTGCAGCTGCCTGGAGTGGGGAGTGGGGAAGGAGTGGTGTTGGCAATTCAGAACTGTCTTACTGTCTTTTTTATCTCGTCAGTGCCTCTCTCAGAGATATGAAGTGAAAGCCAGGTTCTATGCATGCTCACCTGATTTTTCATTCTCATGATTGTGTTTTTCCTGTGTAGATAGTTGTTAACTTGGTGTCCTTGTGAGGGATGCAGGGATGGGGATGATAGGTGGAGCTTTCTATTCCACCATCTTACTCCACCTCTCAACTGAGGCCAATGATTTTGAAAATGTATAAAATGAATAAATTCCATAAATAATATAATTTACCAGAACTGACTCAAGAAAAAGTGCCTAAATCCTCCTACGATCATTAAATATATTGATCAATCAATAGATTCAAACATTTTCAACAAAGAAAACAATAGGCCTTGACAGTTTTGCAGCTGAGTTATCTTACCACTTAATGTTATGATTATGTGTTCTGTCTATGAGGTCAATGACTTTGATACCAAACAAGACTCTTGTGTTTCTGCCATTGCCACAAAATGAACTTTTATCAGCTAGCCTGCTACTTCAGGGAGGAAGAGAGCGGTGTGGAGCAGACCACATCCTACCCAAAACTTGGAGTCAATACATATGGTCCCAGCCTAGAAGAGCTAACTGCAGCCTACCCACAGATATATGAATGAGTAGAAATAATTATTGCTTTAAGACATTGAGTTTGGGGTGGTTTATTATATAGTATTATTTTATGAATAGCTGATATTCACTGTAGCTAAAGCATTTAATGAAATTCAACAACTACCTATGCTAGACTATTAGTAAATTAGGACTAAAAGAGAACTTCCTTTTGTGCATAAAGTGTATCTTCCAATAAATCTATAGTAAGCATTATAAAACTTGTGTATTCAAAATCTTTTTGCACTAGAAATTTCACTTCTAAGGAATGTCCTAGAGCAAATCATACACACATGCAAGAAAACATGTATAATTACTTCAATAGCATTATTCTTAATATTGCAGAAAACTAGACACAGTCAAAAGTGTTTTTAAAATGGCAAATATAAAAATAAATTATTGACTAGTCAATTTTAAATGGAATATTAAAAAGCAGTGCATATAAATGAACTATAATGATTTGCAACAACAAAGATGACTCTTACCTACATAATACTAGAATGGCAAAATATTTTGGACTACATACAGCATGAATTCATTTGTATAAATCTCATAACATAGATATTCTTTTAAAGAAATTTTAATTTTTAATTTTTATTGAGTACATAGTTGGTGTATATATTTATGAGGTACATTAAAATATTTTGATACAGAAATACAATGTATAATAATCAGATCAGGGAAAATGGGATATCCATCACCTCAAACATATACTATTTTATGATGTTACAAACATTCCAATATGCTCTTTTATTTTAAAATATACAATAAATTATTGTTGACCATGGTCACTTTGTTGTTCTATCAAATATTAGATCTTATTCATTCTATTTAGCTATATTTTTGTACCCATTAACCATCCCCATTCCCCCTACCCCTACCACTACCCTTCCCAGCCTCTGGGAATCATAGTTCTAATCTCTGTCTTCACGAGTTCAATTGTTTTAATGTTTAGTTCCCACAAATACATGAGAACATGCAAAGTTTCTCTTTCTGTGCCTGGCTTTATCACTTAACATAATGATCTCAAGTTCCATCCATGATGTTGTAAATAACAGAATCTCATTCTTCTTTATGGCTGAATAGTACTGCATTGTGTATAAACACAATATTTTCTTTATCCATTGATCTGTTGATGGACACTTAGGTTGCTTCAAAATCTTGGTTATTGTGAATAGTGCTGCAGTAAACATAGGAATGAACACATCTCTTCAATATACTGATTTGCTTTCTTTTGGGTATATACATAGGAGTGGGATTCCTGGATTGTACGACCCTACTTTTAATTTTTTGAAGAACCTCCAAACTGTTCTTTATAGTAGTTGTACTAATTACATTCCCACTAAAAGTATGTGAGAGTTCCCTTTTTTTCACATCTTTGCCAGCATTTGTTATTCCCTGTCTTTTGGATATAAGCCATTTTAACTGGAGTGAGATGATATCTCATTGTAGATTTTGTTTGCATTTTTCTGATTATCAATGATGTTGAGCATATTTTTATATGATTGTTTTCCATTTGTATGTCTTCTTTTGAGAAATGTTGATATGGTTTAGCTGTGTCTGCACCCAAAATCTCATCTTAAATTGTAATCCCCATAATGCTCACATGTCAAGGGAGAGACCAGGTGGTGGTAATTGAATCATGAGGGTGGTTTCCCTCATGCTATTTTTGTGATAGTGAGTGAGTTCTCATGAGATCTGATGGTTTTATAAGTGTTTGATAGTTCCTCCTGTGTTCACTTCTCCTTCCTGCTGCCTTGTAAAGAGGGTGCCTTTCTTCCCCTTTGCCTTCTGCCATAATTGTAAGTTTCCTGAGGCTTCTCCAGCCATGTGAAACTGTCAGTCAATTAAACCTCTTTCTTTTATAAATTACTCAGTCTCAGGCAGTTCTTTATAGCTGTATGAAAATGGACTAACACAAATGTCTATTAAGATCTTTTGCCCATTTTAAAATCAGATTATTAGTTTATTTTTCTATATAGTTGTTTGAGCTCCTTATGTATTCTGGTTATTAATCTCTTGTCAGATGGATAGTTAGCAAATATTTTCTACCATTCTGTGGGTTGTTCCTTCACTTTGTTGATTGTTTCTTTTTCAGTGCAGAAGCTTTTTTAACTTGATGTGATCCAATATGTCCAGTTTTTGCATTAGTTTCCTGTGCTTGTGATGGGGTATTACTCAAGAAATCTTTGCCCAGTCCAAAGTCCTGGGGGAGGTTCCCCAATGTTTTATTTTAGTGGCTTCATAGTTTGAGGCCTTAGATTTAAGTCTTCAATCTTTTTGATTTGATTTTTGTATATGATGAGAGATAGAGGTCTAGTTTTATTCTTCTGCATATGGATCAAAACACAGACATTCTGAATTTGAATGTGGTTACATGGTGGTTATTTTGCTATTGGGATTATATTTTAGATATTTGTTATATATCCATTTGTATCTATTTATATGAGATAAAATATAATATGGAATAAAATATAGTCAAAGTTTATGCCAGAATTACATTATTATAATAATTTCAGTTGGCAGTCTAATAAAAGTTTGTTGAACACACTGTATTTTAGCTTTGGTGGCTTTTATGAGGAACTTACAATGTACGGCGATTAAAGTGATTTGAAGTATTGCTATTCATGCACAGTATCATATTTTTGTAAGTATTTTTCAGCTATAGAAATATGACTGTCCTCTGAATAAAACAGGTAACAGGAAATTCGAAACCCTGGGACATTATGTCTTATTTATCTGTGAAAGGCTATCATATAGTCAGGAAGAATATGATAGTATCTACTCTCAATATTCCTATTCAAAATTTCATAAAGACAAATATAAACAGGACAGACACATGTATTCATTGGTTACGCAAGGATTAAACTAGCATATATCCAAAATATATGGATTAAACTACCATATATTTTGTATAAAATGTGATTACCTACTTAGAAAACCCAAGAAAATAAACTGAAAAAAACTATTAAAACTAAGGAAAATTTAATGCACAATAATATTTCCATATAGGGTAATAATCAATTAGAACATGTCATGGAATAATATCCCAATCAGAATAGCAGCAGAAATAAAAAACAGGGAGAATTAAACCTAACAAAAGATCTGAAAGACTGTTACGAAAAACAGTGTAACACTCTTTGAAGGATATATAAATCAGCCTAAATAAATGCAGAGGCATAGCATGTTCCTGAAAGATAATATTTAACATTGTAAAGATGTTATTTCTCCCCAAATTAATCTATAAATTTAATGCAATCCCATATAAAATCTTAAAAGAACTCTTTGTGAACCTTGACATGTTTAATTTAAAGTTCAATTAAAGAGAAAAATGTAATAATAGCCAAGACTATTTTGAAAATATCAAAAAGTGGCATTTGCTCAATTTCATTAAAAAATACATAGTGTAAAGCTGTATAGCAGCTAAACCTACCCTACTTAAACAGGTGTTCAGGAAGAGGCAGCTTGACTGCACAGAAAAAGAGTATAAGATCAGATCCAGCTACATAGGAAAATTTAATATGTGACAAAGGCAATGTGATATGTTACCCTGTGGTGAAATTAATGGGAACAAATAGGCTATTTAATAAATAGTAGTGGGACAACTTTTTGACAGTTTGGAAATAAAATTAAGTTTTGCCCTACCTCGCACCCTCACAAAATTATTTTGAAATAGACCAAACAATTATACATAAAGTACAGAAATATAAAATTATGTTTAGAAAATAAAGAGAATATTTATTTATAATTTTTATTTATTTATTTATTATTATTATACTTTAAGTTTTAGGGTACATGTGCACAATGTGCAGGTTAGTTACATATGCATACATGTGCCATGCTGGTGCGCTGCACCCACTAACTCGTCATCTAGCATTAGGTATATCTCCCAGTGCTATCCCTCTCCACTCCCACCGCCCCACAAGAGTCCCCAGAGTGTGATGTTCCCCTTCCTGTGTCCATGTGTTCTCATTGTTCAGTTCCCACCTATGAGTGAGAATGTGTGGTGTTTGGTTTTTTGTTCTTGCGATAGTTTACTGAGAATGATGATTTCCAATTTCATCCATGTCCCTACAAAGGACATGAACTCATCATTTTTTATGGCTGCATAGTATTCCATGGTGTATATATGCCACATTTTCTTAATCCAGTTTATCATTGTTGGACATTTGGGTTGGTTCCAAGTCTTTGCTATTGTGAATAATGCCGCAATAAACATACCTGTGCATGTGTCTTTATAGCAGCATGATTTATAGTCCTTTGGGTATATACCCAGTAATGGGATGGCTGGGTCAAATGGTATTTCTAGTTCTAGATCCGTGAGGAATCGCCACACTGACTTCCACAAGGGTTGAACTAGTTTACAGTCCCACCAACAGTGTAAAAGTGTTCCTATTTCTCCACATCCTCTCCAGCACCTGTTGTTTCCTGACTTTTTAATGATTGCCATTCTAACTGGTGTGAAATGGTATCTCATTTTGGTTTTGATTTGCATTTCTCTGATGGCCAGTGATGATGAGCATTTTTTCATGTGTTTTTTGCCTGCATAAATGTCTTCCTTTGAGAAGTGTCTGTTCATGTCCTTTGCCCACTTTTTGATGGGGTTGTTTGTTTTTTTCTTGTAAATTTGTTTGAGTTCATTGTAGATTCTGGATATTAGCCCTTTGTCAGATGAGTAGGTTGCGAAAATTTTCTCCCATTTTGTAGGTTGCCTGTTCACTCTGATGGTAGTTTTTTTTTTTTGCTATGCAGAAGCTCTTGAGTTTAATTAGATCCCATTTGTCAATTTTGGCTTTTGTTGCCATTGCTTTTGGTGTTTTAGACATGAAGTCCTTGCCCATGTCTATGTCCTGAATGGTAATGCCTAGGTTTTCTTCTAGGGTTTTTATGGTTTTAGGTCTAACCTTTAAGTCTTTAATCCATTTTGAATTGATTTTTGTATAAGGGGTAAGGAAGGGATCCAGTTTCAGCTTTCTACATATGGCTAGCCAGTTTTCCTAGCACCATTTATTAAATAGGGAATCCTTTCCCCATTGCTTGTTTTTCTCAGGTTTGTCAAAGATCAGATAGTTGTAGATATGCGGCGTTATTTCTGAGGCCTCTGTTCTGTTCCATTGATCTATATCTCTGTTTTGGTACCAGTACCATGCTGTTTTGGTTACTGTAGCCTTGACTGACACCTCACACGGCCGGGTACTCCAACAGACCTGCAGCTGAGGGTCCTGTCTGTTAGAAGGAAAACTAACAAACAGAAAGGACATCCACACCAAAAACCCATCTGTACATCACCATCATCAAAGACCAAAAGTAGATAAAACCACAAAGATGGGGAAAAAACAGAGCAGAAAAACTGGAAACTCTAAAAAGCAGAGCGCCTCTCCTCTCCAAAGGAACGCAGTTCCTCACCAGCAACGGAACAAAGCTGGATGGAGAATGACTTTGACGAGCTGAGAGAAGAAGGCTTCAGACAATCAAATTACACCGAGCTACAGGAGGACATTCAAACCAAAGGCAAAGAAGTTGAAAACTTTGAAAAAAATTTAGAAGAATGTATAACTAGAATAACCAATACAGAGAAGTGCTTAAAGGAGCTGATGGAGCTGAAAACCAAGGCTCGAGAACTACGTGAAGAATGCAGAAGCCTCAGGAGCCGATGCGATCAACTGGAAGAAAGGGTATCAGCGATGGAAGATGAATGAAATGAAGCGAGAAGGGAAGTTTAGAGAAAAAAGAATAAAAAGAAATGAGCAAAGCCTCCAAGAAATATGGGACTATGTGAAAAGACCAAATCTACGTCTGATTGGTGTACCTGAAAGTGACGGGGAGAATGGAACCAAGTTGGAAAACACTCTGCAGGATATTATCCAGGAGAAATTCCCCAATCTAGCAAGGCAGGCCAACATTCAGATTCAGGAAATACAGAGAACGCCACAAAGATACTCCTCGGGAAGAGCAACACCAAGACACATAATTGTCAGATTCACCAAAGTTGAAATGAAGGAAAAAATGTTAAGGGCAGCCAGAGAGAAAGGTTGGGTTACCCTCAAAGGGAAGCCCATCAGACTTACAGCAGATTTATTTATAATTTAGGGCTTTGAAGGGTTTTCTAAGAAAACCCTAAATTCAGAATTCTTAAAGGAGAGAGTTGTCATATCTACCTATATAACAATTTAAAACTTTCAAATGATAAAATTATGATAAATAAAGGAAAAGTGACAGACTGGGAGAAAATATGTTACACATGTAACTGTCAAAAGATTATTTACCACAATTCATAGGGACCATAAATTATGAAATAAAAAATTATACAATGAACTAAATAACTAAAAATAGCTGAAAAACATTTTAAAAGATGCTTAACTTCATTAGCAAGCAGGAAAATGTAAATGAAAAGAAAATGATACATTTTTTTCCCATCATGGTAGGAAAAAATTACAAAGCTTAATAATCTCCACAGTGGGTAATGATGATGTAAAACAAGTGCTGAATAACTCTGTAGGTGTGTGTACAAGTTGTGTATTAGTCCATTTACACACTGCTATAAAGAATTTCCCTGAGACTGGGTAATTTATAAAGGAAAGAGGTTTAATTGACTTACAGCTCTGCATGGCTGGGGAGGCCTCAGAAAACTTACAATCATGGCAGAAGGGGAAGCAGGCATGTCTTACATGGTGGCAAGTGAGAGACAGTGAGCAAGAGCAGGGAAAACTGCCTTATAAAACCATCAGATCTCATGAGAACTCAATATCACGAGAACAGCATGGGGGAATCTGCTCCCATAATTCAATTACCTCCCTCCCTTGATATGTTGGGATTACAGGTGAAGCAGGCATGTCTTACATGGCAGCAGGTGAGAGAGAGAAAGAAAGAGAAAGAGGGTAAACTGCCACTTATAAAACCATCAGACCTCATGAGAACTCACTATCATGAGAACAGCATGGGGGAAACAGCCCCCATGATCCAATCACCTCCCACCAGGTCCTTCCCCTGCCAGGTGGGGATTATAATTTGTATTACACTTCGAGATGAGATTTGGGTGGGGACATAGCCAAACCATATTAAGTTGATTCAGCCTTTTGCAGAGAAAAATTTCAGAATCTAACAAAAATTTAACGTGCAGTCTTTCTAGTGCCAGTGATTCTACCTCTAGATGTCTTTTCTAGAGAAATAAGCCCCACTTGCCTAAAGATGCAAATACAAAGATTTGATAGTTAACAAAACTACACTCAACCTACACATCCATTGTTAGTTGAACTGCAGTATATTTGTACTGTAGAATAATTACATAGATTTATATATATACCAGTCATGTATATGCCAGCATGGAAAGATCTCCAGCACATATTGAAAAGTGGAAAAAGTAAATTGTGATATTAGGTATAGAATTATGACATTTGGTAAAAAAATGTGTTTAAAAACAAAATTATATGTATGTATGTGCATAAATTTACACACACATATATAAATATATGCATGTGTATATATCTTACATATTGCATGGGAGGTGATCTGGGGATACTTACTAGGCAGGTGAGATATTGTGATTACAAAGGTGGTTTACCCAGAGTGGGCTTATCCATTGCACTCTGGATGTTCTGACCCCTGTGACTTCCCCTAATGTGGAAAACCCAAGGCATAATTTGTGGTAGTGAGGAATTTCGTTTGCACTCTCCCTCAAAAAGAAATTAAAAAGTAAAAACAAAAAAAAAAGAAAAGAAGATAAAACAAAAGCAAATAAAAGAAAAAAGAAAAGTTACCTGAAATGAATTGCAGCCTACTTACTGTTAACCCTCATTACCTGTGAAGAGGGGAGTGAGATTCACCTAAAGTGAAATTGGACTATTTATTCTTACAATGTAATGTTTCTGTGCTTGAATTTTTTAAATAAAATGTTTTTTATATAACTAAAATTAAACCAATACAGATGTAAAGAAAGAATAACTAGAAGCGTGAGCAAATGAATATGACATTTTAATATTCGGAAAGAAATCTTGGTATTAAATCAACTATAGTGTAACTCAATTTGCCATACTACGTACATTTATCTACTTGATTTGCATTTGGAGCAAAAGCAGGAAGGAGTCATCTTTATTGAGGCTTTAAATAAGAGTCTTCAACAAGTTGTTGGTAGTGATAGATTGATGGGTCCAGAAAACTCTTGCACTGGGATTCAGAGATGTGTTGACATAGTGTACATGCTTGTGGCAAGTAAGAGGAAGACTGCCTTTTGGACACACAGACTTACTGGGTTCTGGCTGGATTGACTGTCATTCCCACCTCAATAAGAATTCCAACTGACATCTGTGGGAGTCATAGCTGAGTTGAATACCAAACTATATTTTAATTTATGAGCAAGATTCATTGCTTTTAATTAGTTGCTCAAGGTAGGTATGTGACAAAATATTCTTTATAAAAATGCTTACGGATAAGTAAGCTAGAAATACCTAATCTTTTGAGAATTGATGAAAGGATATTCCCTGTGGAAAAATATACTTATGTAATAAATTTGTATACAATGTATTTTATGTAAATTTCCCATTTGACTTCATGCAAAAAGGGAATGATATATTTGTTGCACGGGGTTGATCCTACCCACCCCACTCCCCTGCAACATGCAAACACACGCATCTCCTTGGATCTTTTTAAGTACCATACCCTGCTTAATATAGTCTCCTTTCTTCTATCTGACACTCCTGGAAATATCTGAAGTACAAGACAGGAACTTTTGCAGCATAGTTATATTTTGTTAGTAAACATAAATTTATATAAAACAATACAGATTTGTTGGTATTTTAATGGTAGTGAATATGTACTCACAGTGCCAAGCACTATTCTGAGAGGAAACTGAAGAAAAGAGATGTTTAGGAATTTGCCCATGGTCCCACAGCTGGTAAGGAGCAGAACTGGGATTCGAATCCAGCAGCCTGGCTCCTGAGCTTACGCTTTTGCATACTGTGATATGTGGAAGTACCATGTCCCAATTCCTTTACACGCCCATATCCTGGCTTTAAGGTGGCAAAAGTTCTTTTTGTCATGGTTAAACTTCCTGGTTGTCCTTGAAGATTTTTCCCCTTTTTAAAGTCCCTCTGAAATTATTGTCCCAGCACCTCAAGAACCTGCTGTGCCTTCTCATAGCTGGGGCTCACTATTGCCTCAACCCAAATACTTTGCTGGAAGTTAGGGAAACCAGTTCATTTTTGCTTGCACTCACCATCTCTTCTGTTGGTCTTTTCAGAGACTTTATTTATTTTTCCTTTCTCTCCTCCAGAAAGTCACTTTCAGATGCCTCAAGAGGCCTTTTCTCTTTAGACAGTTAACAGTCTCTTTTTCCTGTGAGACCGTACACAACATATGGTATTGGGTTTTCTGGTTGTTGCTTAGTCATTAAACCTTACAGAGATATTATGTATGAATGCAGCCCATTCCAGAGTGGAAAAAGAACAGGTTGTGTCTCTCCTTCAATCTCATCATCTGTGTTTCACTCAAAACTTTTCTGTGGCTTTCACAAACTGTGGCATTGCATTTTAAAACTGCTCCCCAAATGTGAAAATCTCCCAACTGCCTGTTATGCACATACATTCTCCAATCCTGACTGTATTGACTATGGTGCACTCCAAGCAAAGAAAAGTCCATCACACACTTCAATCAAGTTCAAGTGACTAAGGCTTCTACACAAGAACTGACTTATTGCCTGTGATTTTTGCTCAACTGCTCAAATTAGACAGGGACATTGCTTTGGGCTAGAAATATTGTTTAGTCTTCTAAGTATACTTAGGTCCCACTGTAAAAGAAAGATCATAGTTGATAAAGGTTGAGAATACAAAAAGGATTTAAATACTTAGGCTGATGAATGAGGGAACTGGTGAGAAAACAGGCCATAATTCAGTCAAAGTATTTGATTGCTAATTAGTAAGGCCACTGAATGAGGAATAAAAACCACTAATTACCAGTTCTCCATTAATACTTCATGTCGATATGCTCCTGTTAGATATTTGATATATCAGATCTACATGAAGTTTAGGATTTTTTTTAAGAGAATATGTCTAGATTTGAATCTTGAAAATTAAAGCTATAAAACTGATTACATTGGGGATTTGTTAAGGAGAATATTCCTTCTCTTAGTTAAAATTTTTAGCTGATTTTATACTGTTTTCCCTTAGAACCCAAGTAGTGTATCCTAACATTCTAATCAAGTAAGTGGTCTAGAGTCTAACGCAGTCTGCTCACTAACACTGATGCTCACCTGCCCACCCAGGCTCCCCATCATTCCCCATTCTGCATCTTCCCTCTCGTACAGGAAGGAAGGAAGTAAGGGAGGAAGGGAGGGCAGGAAACAAAGGGTAATAATTCCCTTAATTCCCAAACTTTGTATTGAGGACATACTGTGCACTAACCCAGTGTGAGGTGTTTTCTTTATATATACTTATCTTACCCACCTCCATCCAGTTTAGTGCAAGATTAAAAGCCAGCATTTTCAAACTGTAGGAAACCTAAATAATTATATCTTCTTCTTAGTTTATAGTTGGGAAGACTGTGATCAGGAAGGTTAAGAAACTTGGAGTATCATACAGTTTGTTGGTGACAATCTCAGGGAAAAGCTACAAATCTCTCTACTTCTGGTTTAAGGCTTTTCTTATAATTTCCATTGATATTTGAATAGAACTCTTGGTAAATAACATATTCAGTGTAAATCTCAGGATGTACAAAGTGCAAGAAACTCCTTAATTCAGACACCATATCAACTCCTTTATAGCTAAAGATGGTGATAACGAGTCCTTACCTATCTCCTCTGAGAGGAGCAGGAGGAACTAGTATTTTCTATTATGCTTAGTCCAAGCCTTTAAAAAAATTCTTAAGTCTATTTTTGTTACTAGAATAAATGTTAAACTTAAGTTATGGAATTCTATGTTTATTTTTAGCTCAGTATTAACTACCAAACTTAATTAAAATACTAACTGGTCTGGACCTCTGTTTCCTAAATTGCTAAATGAGAGGGTTGGAAAAGATGATCATTAAAGCCTTTTTCAGCTGTTGCATGATTTTATGAATTATGGAAACCACTTCCTAAAGTAGATTATAAAGGATGAAAAAGGTTTTCTTCCAGATTATTTTTCTAAATTAATAAATCTGTGATAAGTTGGCAAAGTTATATGTGCAGATAGGGTATAGAGGTATCGTATTGTATCTTATCATATAGTATAGTATAGTATAGTATGCTAAAAGAAGTGTATAGTAAAAGAGGAGATAGCAGTAAGATGGTAGCCATCACTGAAAAAATAAATAGGTAAGAGCATAAATATTTGGGGAGGATCCAGGGACATTATTATCAAATTATTTGAATATTATTTAAATAATTTCCTATTTCAGAATCTTTTATGACCTTTTTAAACAGTCATAAATTAAGACATTTTGATATTGAGTTGATTGGAAAGTTACCACTTGAACAATTTGGATGAATAAATATGGAAGTGTAATAAACAAACAACCTCTCTCTACATTTCTGAACTTTTCGAGCATGATTCTCAAAGCCTGAATGTAACTCTGGTTAGTGGCATCCATTCTGAGCATTGTTCTCAGGGATTGATAAAGATTCCCACCTTATCCAGATTTTTGTCTGACTCTTCTGAGCCCTCTTCTCAACTAGGCCTCAGCCTTGGCTTGCCTTTAACAAGAATCTCCCTATACTTGATATCACCTCTTAGTAATTTCCCATCCACTGACCCCCTCTCTTTGCCCATTGGCTACATATCCCCACTTGTCCATACTGTATTCAGAGTTGTGTTCCATCTGTCTCCTCTATTGCAATAGTCTTGAATAAAGCCTTCTTTACCATTTTAATAAGTGGTGAGCAATTTTTCTGTGACATGAATTTAGGTGGAAGACTCAAAACAAAGTCCTTTCCACTTCCAAAGGGCCTACCTGTTTACCTACAATGTACATAGGTGACTGCTTCCAAGACTATGAAGAATGTCTGTCTGGAGAAATTGAACTTTGATGGTTTTTGCAAGAAAACTTAGTAGTTCCTTGAGTTCTCTCCAAAAAAATGTATATTTGGCACATTTTTGCTAATGTGTTTAAAGCAGGGAAATTTATGCTAGTGTTTAAAGAACTATCAGTGAAGAAATTGCCTGGCAACAGCAACAGAACTGGGCGGGGGGCGGGGAGATATCTATTTCATCAGGATTTTTTGGTTCCATATACATGTAAACAGGTGCTCTGACTAGGTTGGACAGGTCAATGGATAAATTTGTCCTGTGAAATTAGATGACTCCCATTTCCTATCTCCCCCAAACTCCACTTTCTCACAATGTATCTATCCCCTGCTCTGATAAACTAGGGGTTCAGCTACAGGGAGACTTTTGTAACTGCCATCGTGATTTATAGGAGGCAAGACTAAATCTAATACATGATATCCTAATGCCTCGAGAGATAAATTCATCACAAGAGGAAAAGCCATCTTGCTTGTTAAATCCAGCGTAGGAATAGAACCAAAATGGTTGTTCTCTGCCTGTGAGCCCCTGGGGAGAAGAATGGCCGTGTATAAGAATAGATAGAGCTTTTCTTCAAGCACAGAAATACTGAGAGACAAAATAGCGTTCGGCCTTCCCAACCGAGCTCAACACAGAGGGAATGGCCATTATCCTCACTTTTCTGGAACATTTATCATTGCATGGGGAGAACTGGCAAGGATTGGCACTGAGGAATGGTGGCAGATCACAAGTAACATGTGACTAATGATAGACGAACACAGGGACATATACTTAAGTAAAACATTGGGAATTCCTTGAAATACTCTAAGAATGAGAACTCCTAAAAGGTCTGGACTTTCCACATAGGTGAGTGTAGCACTGAAACTCTCTGTATTTGGGTATTAATATTAATAATACTAATTGGATTCAGAAGCCTGGAATATTTTGAATATTTCATTTTATATGAAAGGCATTGCTGATACAAGTTACATAGATTTCATAAGTATTGTCTAATAAGTTTCTTGTTTTATTTATGTTACTCAGTATTACATTTGTATTTGAATAGATCTTAATAATTCTCTACATTCAGACAACTGTATCTTGACACATATTACAAATACAAAGGTTTTATCATGTGAATCACATATTTTCATAACATTTATCAGACTGGCTGCTCAGAAGAAAAATGAGCCCATATCTGGCAGTCAGGAGAAGGAATTCCAGTCCCTGCCATTTACCCATCTGACTGCCTCTGTATGTCATCTCATTTCTCTGGCCTCTGGGTTCTGATTGGCCTCTTAGAATGTCTTAGAATGATCATCACTGTTCTATACATTCAATAAAAATTAAGTGAGTGAATTAGGTGTTGGGAATGCAAAAGAGATGCACTGGTAGCAGTTTTTCAGAAGATACATTAAAGGCAGAATTATATATTTTTTTCTTTTTCTTTTTTTTTTTTTTTTTGAGACAGAGTCACTCTAGTGCCCAGGCTGAGGTGCAGTGGCATGATCTCAGCTCACTGCAACCTCTGCCTCCCAGGTTCAAGCAGTTCTCCTGCCTCAGCCTCCCGAGTAGCTGGGACTACAGGCACCCACCACCATGCCCTGCTAATGTTTGTTTTTTCAGTACAGAAGGGGTTTCACCATGTTGGCCTGGCTCCCAACCTCAAGTGATCCATCCACCTCAGCCTCCCAAAGTGTCGAAATTATAGGTGTGAGCCGCCACACCCAGCCAAAGGCAGAATTATCTTGTTTCAACTCTGATGACTTATTAGCAGAAAAACTTTGGGCAAATTAATTTTGTGCTTCTCTTATCTATAAAGTAAGAAAAATTATTATATCTAACCTATCAGGTTGTTGTGAGCATGAAGCGAGCTAATATATGTTAAACTCATAAACCTCACTTAGCACATAATAAACAATCAAATATGAGCATTTAAACTTTGAAACTTTTGTGTTCTCATAGTCTATTTGAATTTTTAATATTTCCATTTTATACCGTTGTCTTACTTTTCCTTTATAACATCTGTAAGGTGGCTCAAGATAGAAATATCTAAAATATATACATTGAAAATTTCAAGGTGATCTATATTGGGAGAGATGTATGAACAAACATATAATGCTACCCGACAGTAGAATGAAAATTAGTGGAAAAATAAAAATATTTATTTGCTCTTGTTTTCTTTTCATTCTGTTGTTCATGTAAGTATGTATCACATTTTTGTAAATAAAACCAAATTCCTGCAATTTTTACACCCATATTCTCTACCTCCAATTCCTCTTAATTTTTTCCTCTGTTTAGTACATAGTAAGCCCCAATAAGTTTGTAGAAATTGTCCATATTCATTAAGAGAAAAAAATGGAATGGAAATGGTCAAATGAAATAATCCAGGATTTGTGGCAGGAGGAGCACACTCTGGATTTTTCATTAGATGGAAAACTCTATTCATTTGGAAAGTTCTTCTTTATCCTTCTTTCTCTCTGTCTCTCTTTCTCTCAATCTCTCTGTTCATCTCTTTCCTTCTTAAAGATTCTAAGGAGTGCAAATGCTTCAACTGTAGATTAGTCTTTTTGCAAGCATGCAAACGTCTTTTCATTCATCCAAAAAATTTTATTTGGCACCTACTAAGTACTGGGGTACCAAGTATAATATTTTAAGGTTAGGGTAACTACCATGGGCTGGCAATTGGTAATTTCTATTATACTTTGTTTTATTTTCTACATTTATTTGCAATAAGTAGGTCATTACTATCATAGCAGTAAATTCACCTCAAGGTCTTCTACCTCATAAATCACTTTCTGACAGCCATGCAGGTAACTGGTAACTCACCATGCATCCCCCTTCTTCTTCACTTCAGTGTGCACATTTACATACAATAAGAACAACACAACAGAGGGTTTTAATTAAAAAATCGCAGTAATTTGCTAAAAAATATCAAAATCATTATGACTTATTCTCCAAGGGGTATCTTGGGAAATTTTAAATTCATTCTACACTGATTAGTAGAGACATGAATTTTGCTTTCTAAAACTGAATATTCAAACAGTCCCAAGGAATCATTCATAGAATTTATAAATTTATAGTCTCATGTCTGAATGTTTCAATGTAAAAATTTTTCAGAAAACTTGTAAAAGCCTATATTTCTTATGAATAATTTACCAGTAAACCTTCAGAATATGAAACAAATGACTATCTTGTTATCAACGAATTATTCACTAACATTAAAATATTTGGAGAAACAAGTACTGTAAAATAAAGTGATTTTATATACTGAAAATTTTTTAGTTATTGCCGGATGCGGTGGCTCACACCTGTAATCCCAGCACTTTGGATGCCGAGGCGGGTGGATCACCTGAGGTCAGGAGTTCGAGACCAGCCTGGCCAACATGGTGAAACCCTGTCTCTACTAAACATACAAAAATTAGCTGGGTGTGGTGGTGGGCACCTGTAATTCCAGCTGCTCAGGAGGCTGAGGCAAGAGAATCACTTGAACCCAGGAGGCGGAGATTGCAGTGAGGCAAGATCCCGCCACTGTACTCTAGCCTGGGCAACAGAGTGAGACTCGGTCTCAAAAAAGAAAAAAATTTTTTTAGTTGTATATTGTAAAATGAAAATTCTAAATCATATAAGTAGTTGTTTTTTTCTTTCATTTTTACATTTGAAAGCACTATTTATTCACTTATGAATATATAAATTCATATACATATATTTACTATCAAAATTTAATATATATTGATTTTGAGGGGAATACACTTAAATTATACCTCTATATTTTCCAAATTCCATTTGTTACCACAACACAATTTTAAGTAATTCCATATGCCCACATATTTAGAGTCAATATCTCTATTACCACATTCTCTTCAACCACTGATATAAATAAGTGTATATGTGTGTATATATTCACACACATATATCTATGTTTATATATGTGTACACACACATATATATGTATGCACATACACATATATACAATTTTTGCACACAATTGTACAATTTCCAAACATATTTAGTTTTTCTAGTAATTCTTTGTTATTAATATTCAATTTAATTTCACCGAGGTCAAAGGAGATGAGTTATATACCAATCCGTTGCAATGTGTTGAAGTTAAATTTATGGATATGGCATGGGATCAATTTTCATGAATGTTCCATGTGTTCTGAAAAAACAGAGGATTCTGCCATTGATGGGTGTAAAGTTTCATATATGTCTGTGTGAATCACCCAGGTAGTGTGAATTCAGATCTCAAGCCCACTGCAAGGGCTAGTTTGGGATTATAGAAAATCAAAGAAGAATTTTTCTCTCCACTTGGCACTTGATGTGAAATACGAAAATTTTTTCAGTATCCCCTTTGCATAGCAAGGTTTAGTTCTAATTCTTACTTTTATTGGGAGTGTTTAGTTCTAATCCTCACTTTTACTGTGAGTCCAGTGTCTATGGGGTCATCTTTTATTATGTTCACTATCTTGAGAATATGCTATCTTTTATCTCCCCTCTCCCATACCCCTCATACCACCATGGAAGCTCGAGATAACTAGAGATGGGTAGTCATCCACAAGATAAAAACCAGCTTTGGGGCTTGCTGATCTGGTTTCCTGGTATCATTAGAATATTGCGGGGCTTTTAAAATTTATTGATTTCATGAAAGTTCAGGAATGCATTTGGAATGATGTTATACACATTTTAAAATATTTTTTCCAGCAATTTAGTTACTTCCACCACTTCCGGCACTTGGGAAGATTATTCTGTGTGACTAATCTACCATATTATTGAAAACAGGAGCACCTGAATATCTTCTTAAGAAGGAAGTGACATGCTGAATTTTGAAATCTTTCATAGAAGACCAATTTGATTTAATACTACAGACATATTATTAGATACTAATGGAATCAACAAAAGTGTCAAGAACAGATGGGAGTAATTCTCTTCAACTGGAATAATAGATGAAAAACTCATAGGATGTGCTTAGTTTCTCCTTTCTTCTTATTTTAAATATATGCGTTAGACACACTCAAATGAGAATACATTTGTTAAAGAAAACAACACCATGAAATAACTTTAAAATACTTTTAAGTTAAGAGAACACAATACTCCCTCAAAGCAATAATTCTCAGAGCTTTTTATAGGAAAAGAGCATAAGCAACAGTGACACATGAGGGTGAACTTGGTTTATCAGTATTTTAATCTGGGTCTTTAGGTAATAATTATGAAGCCATATGCTAATAAAAAGCACTCATGAATTAAGTACTTTTTGGTCTGCTATCCTGAAGTTGCCAGACTCTGAAATGAGGAGGCAGACACAGTGAGGGAATTAAAAAGGAAATAGTTTCCTCAGGAAATTCTACTCTCCTTAATCTAATCTTTGCACAGCTGCAATACAATTAAGGAACACCAGGGTCAAGTTACAGCAAGAGGGTTTTATTTGTTATCTTTTTGTTTGTTTGGTTTTTTTTTCTTTTGGTTTAAAAAAACCCACATGACAGTGTATCTATTAGAAAAAAACACAACAACAACAGACACTGGCTCTCTCAAAAACCTCTGAGAATTTTTTAAAAATTTAATTTCAAAACAACAGGGAATGGGGAATCATCTGAGTGGAAAGCTTTAAATGATGAGAATCTTTTTTCCCCCCACCTCCATTCTCTTAACCAACTTCAGGGATTAATCTCATGTACTATTTTTTAATAAAGTAATTTGATTAAAAATAATTTCATAGAGATAATCATACTTAAAGATGACATTACGCTGTTCTGGGCATAATGTGTGAGCACTGGGATAAATTACAGGAAGAGATTGTGGGCCTGTTGGACAAGTAAACAGCATCAGAAGTTTTAGAAACAATACTTCAAAGGTATGAGACTTTGGAAAACAACTTTAACAATAAATATAGGATTACAGTCCTTTAGTTACATGTTACAATATACAAAAAGCTTGGAAGTCCTGATCACCCATTACCTAAAACCAACAAGTTCAACAAAAGCCTTATGTCATTGCAATTAAGAGAGAAAGAATGGAGTTTCACATAAGTAGTTTGATTTGCAAAGTTTGATTTGCAAAGCACCAGGAGATTCCCCATATCCCAAAGCAGCTTCCTATACCCAGTGTGCACACATTCAGCCCTATTGGTAAGTGTATTTTACTCCTAGAGATTCACCAAAAATAGGCAATACTTCTGCAGAAATATTTAAGTTCAAACATTACTTGAAAATATACATTTATTTTTAATTTGTCAAAATCTGGATTTTTTTTTTTTTTTTGAGACAGAGTCTTGCTCTGTTGCCCAGGCGGGAGTGCAGTGGCGTGATCTCGGCTCACTGCAAGCTCCGCCTCCCTGCAAGCTCCGTCTCCTGGGTTCACGCCATTCTCCTGCCTCAGCCTCCAGAGTAGCTGGGACTACAGGCGCCCGCCACAACGCCCGGCTATTTTTTTTTTTTTTTTTTTTTTTTTTTTTTTTTTGTATTTTTAGTAGAGACTGGGTTTCACCATGTTAGCCAGGATGGTCTCCATCTCCTGACCTCGTGCTCTGCCCGCCTCGGCCTCCCAGTTTCTCTACTGATAGAGAAACAACATCTGAAATTTAGACAGAAGCAGACATATTAGCTGCAGATGGTAAAAATACAGAACTGAAAAGGCCCTTGGAGATGCTCAGGTTAACACAGGTCACACAGCAGGTAAAGAAAAAGAGCGTGATTTTGTGGAGATGGAAACGTATTTGTTAAGGGCAAGGACAGAGATCTGGGTAGTCCCACAATTGCAGGAATATAGTTTTAGCATCAGAGGCTGATGTCTGGATTTGGAGAATGGGATATGGAGGTAAATTCTCAATCCTGAGGAACCGCCTGGCAGGCAACTGTTAAGAGAGCCAGGGTGTAAAAGAGAGGGGTAGACCAAAGAAGAACGAAGGGCTGTACTGACACGGGAAGGAGAATGCTAGCAAGAAAATTTCAAAAGAAAAAACAATGATGAAGAGGAGTTGAAAGGAAGCATTCTATCCGTGGTTTTCTAGAGCAGAAGCTCCCAACGCTTTTGGTCTCAGAAACCTTTTACACTCCTTAAAAATCAATGGCGATCAAAAGGCTTTTACTGTGCTGATATGTGTTTTATATGTTTCATATGTGCTGATATACATTCATATTTACTGTAATACAAATTAAAATTAAAAAATAATTTAGAATTCTTAATTCATTAAAAAATAAACCCAATACTAGTTAACACAAATAACTTATTTTTCTTAACAAATGCTATGCTTTCTAAACCCAAAAATATTTAGCAACAATATTGATATTGATTTACATTTTACAATTCTATTTAATGTCCGGCTTTATAGACTATACCTAGATTCTCATATCAGTTTCTAAATTCGGTCTCTTGCAGCATATTGTTTTAATTGAAGAATATAAAGAAAATCTGACTACACATATACCTGTATTTGGAAAAGAGAAGAATATTATAATGGCTATTTCAAATAGCTATGTATTCCCATCTTTGATGCTACATCAAAACTCAAGAAGTGTTAGTTCTTTAAAACTTAATTTCAGTGAGATGTTGCAGTAAAATCCATTGTTTTATCTTGTACCTACAATGGATTTTTTTACCAATGCATTTTTTGGTAACAAATGCATGATTTTGTAACATCATGCTTTGGTCATTTGAAAAATAGTGATGCAGCAAGTAATACAGACCTTTCCTTCCCATGTTGACACATTTCATTATGCAATGTTCAAAAATCATGTGCAGTAAGATCAGCACTGATTTCATCAGGTAAGTATTTATGTATTGGACAACTGTGAAGTTAATGGTGGCACATAAATGTTTTCTAAAATTCTAAATTTCACTTAAAAGCTTAAACCGTATCATTGACAACAAGTACTACCAGTTGCTTTTCTTGAAGTGAGAGGCTGACTTTATTGATTTTAGAGAAAATGTCTGCCAAGCAAACACCTAATCCAGAGGAACCATAGATTGGCCTTCAGTTTTTCTTTCAGGTAAAATTGATGTTCCTAAGCTTGCAAGGAATGGATTTACCCAACTGCCTAAAAAAAGAAAAAAAAAAGACAAAGTATATAAAACAGCAGTTTACAAGGTGTTGGAAAATGGTCCTTGAGAGATGGAAGACAAATAATGTTCATCTATAGTTATTCCAGCTTACTACCCTAGAGAATTTCTGAGTCATGGTATAGAGAGGAGGAAACAAGACAGAGCTGCTGGACTACCCAGGGTAGGGAGATGATGCTGAGAGTTCACGCAGAATAAAGCATCTGCAGTTACCAGTACAGAGCACAGGAGAGAAGAGGACTGTAAAGGGAAAATGAGATTTGCAGAGAATTTCCCCAAGAACATTTAACTGCTTACTGATCAGAGTATGCATGTGAGAAAACTTCCAAAGTCAGGGAAAGAATCACCCAAAAGGATGAAAGGTAATAGTGCTGTGATCATTCTTGTATGTGCCTTTTGGTGAGAATACATATACAGTTCTGCTGGGTAAATGCTTAGGAGGGGAGTTCTGGATTAATAGAGTCTGCATTATGTTAGTGGTTGTGCCAATTTATACCCCCACCAATGGTTTCAGTTTCTTTTTTTTTTTTTTTTTTTTTTGAGACGGAGTCTCACTGTCTCCCAGGCTGGAGTGCAGTGGCGCGATCTCGGCTCACTGCAAGCTCAGCCTCCCAGGTTCATGTCATTCTCCTGCCTCAGCCTCCCGAGTAGCTGAAACTACAGGCACCCGCCACCACGCCCAGCTAATTTTTTGTATTTTTAGTAGAGACGGGGTTTCACTGTGTTAGCCAGGGTGGTCTTGATCTCCTGACCTCATGATCTGCCCACCTCGGCCTCCCAAAGTGCTGGGATTACAGGTGTGAGCCACCACACCAGGCCTGGTTTCAGTTTTTCTACATCCTCTTTAAGACTTGTGTTGTCTATTATTTTTATTTTAATTATTATAATAGCTATATAATATTCTTTCATTTGGTTTTAATTTGCATTTTCTTTATTACTATGGAATTGAGTTCCTTTTTATATATCCATTGTCTTTGTTCATATAGCCATTATGGCATAACTAATCATTAAAATAACTTTGTAATAAAAACCATTTCCTATTATAGTGAATTAACAGGGCTTTTTCTCTCTTAGAAATAATATATGCAAACATCAAAGCTTAAAGGAAATTCTTTGTCAGAGTTGTTTGACTATGTTAGGAAGAGTCCATTGAAAATCTGAAATTTAGAAAAATACTATTAAATAAGTAGCTATAGAAAAGGTTCATTGATTGCACTAGCTGGAAATTCTGTACCAAACTGAAAAAACCTGCTCAAGTGCTAATTAGCCAGTGGGTGATGTGAACATCTGGAACTGGGTAGCAAAGCTCTTTCCCCATGGGCTTGTGCGGGGGCTTGCTATTTCCAACTTTTATGTTAGACCAACTCACCTCACAAAGTGAGACACTTAGATAAACGGGGTAAAAGATGCTACCACATGATTCTGGCAAATTTTTTCTCAACAAAATTAGAACAAGTTGACGGATCTCTGTCAACTTTATAAATAACTTTTCTGTGTAAATAAAAATAAGACTACATTGAAGGGGGCATCTGGTTGTATAAAAATAGACTGCACATGGCCCAGTAAAAATTAGCTCTCATGAGGAAGGGTTTGCTAATTATTTTTTCTTTGGTGCTGTCATTCCTGAAATACCTTCACCACCTGAAACCTTGCACTTGGCATTTCTCCAATCACTTGATTTAAATGTTTTAAAAAAATGTTAATGGGTGTCTAAATATGTCAACAGCATAATACCAGTTAACGTAAATAGTCTATAAATCACAGTAGCCCTGACAAAATTGTTAACAGGTATCATTAGACATTCTGCATCACTCCTTAGGTGAAACATGAAGCCCGCAAAGCTTCTCACATAAAACAAAATATCACAAAGAAAATAGATATGAAGCACATCCCTAGCCCTCAAAGCTTTGCTACTTACATTTTGTACTATTTATTTAGCTGAGGCCCATGGTTTTACACTGCAATCTCATATTGCTTATTTGTAGACAGCATCGGTGTAACTCATAAGTTAAACAACTAAGAGAATGTTTTGAAAAAGAGGAAGAGACTTTGTTTAGATTATTTTTTATTTAAAAATAAGTGTACAAATTATCTTTTAAGTTTCAAATGTTTAGTCTATGTATCATCTCTGTGCTTTCATTTTCCTATTTAAGTAAATAAGATAAGCAATGGTTCAAAGACCAGGTATGTAAGGTACTTGCTGTTAGTGATAGAGAAGTTGGCTTATGGTCTAGCTGTAGATGTAGCTGATTGAGCACCAAATTATTGTTATTTTCAATCAAACAAAGCCAGCAATATTTATAAATGTTTACTAAACATCAAGCATTATTTTAAAAGTTCTCCCCTTGCATTAACTCTTTGTTCCTCAAGTTAGATGTTATTGTTTGTATTTTGTAGGTAAGGAAGCTTAAAAATCCCTTCCTTTCTCTTCTTTAATAATCTGACTCCTTTGATGTCTCTTTTGCTGGTCTCTTTCTTTTGCCCTGCCCTTTAAAGCAATGGTTCCCTAAATTCTCTTGCCTTTTTCCCAGTGTAGTCTCCATGGAAAATTTGATTTACATTGTGGTTTCCTATAAGTTTGGGTAATGAGATAGAAAATGCTAAAGACACGAGTATTGAGCATGAAAACCAATGACAAATGAAGGAATACTTCATTTGGATGGCTTAACCATTTTACACATTTTTAATAAGCACTTTTTAAATTAAAAAATGGAATGGAAAATAATCACAATAGTGTATTTACTTCAATTAATCACTTATGTGAAATCACTACTCTTGTGCCCTTTGAGAGAAAAAGAGAAATTGTATCTTATACATACTTATGTCCTGAAGAATTAGGCAGTAATTGACACGGAAAACATAGTAAGTATTCAAGAATATAATATAATTTTATCTTTTTGATTCCAATAGTTTATCAAGTATAAGAAGTCCTACCAGTTTGATGTCTTTTGAGAATTTTTAAAAACAATATATGAATTCAAGCCTTACTTATTAACCAACAAAATAATACATTTATTTGTTATGTTTATATCCCACTTTCTTCTTCAGCTGAATTCTTATATTCATTGAATAATTATTCCTCTGAGTATTTTTTGTCAATCAAGAGTTATGCATAAAATCACAGTGGCATACTTATGTTCTTGGAGTTTTAGGTGCTTTAAAATGAAGTTTATGATGATTTTAAAGTTTATTAAAGAGTTCTTGTCTTTCACAGTAAGGTATGTTTGAAGTTTCTTGTATTCCATGCAAACAAAATCCAGTGTTTCTATTGTTCAGTGTATATTCTTGTAGACAATGTTGAGCCATTAACATTTTTAAGCATTTTTAAACCCCTGAAAAAAATAAAATCTGTGTTTGGGAAAAATACTGAAAACTGTAAATAAGACAGAGATAGAAAGAAAGTAAAGAAAACTAGAGGTAAGGCACCAATTAGCAGATGTATATAGTAAAAAAGTGAGAGATAATGAAACTCCAAATCTAGGGTAGCAAGGATAAATAGGGAAGGGAATATTGGAAAGATATTTAAAATATGGAATAACTAGAACTTATTGGCTCATAAGAATTGCAAAGTAGGGAAGTAGAATAAACTTAAAATATATTGATTGAAGAGGATAAATAAAAGTCTTTAAACAAAGTTTCCCAAGTGTGTACCTGGGTGAAAGAATTATTAGAAAAGCAATAAGCCTATTGGTTTCCTTCCTTCTTTTATTTCTTCCTTCAGAAATATTTATTGAGTATCTTTTTTACACTAGCCAATTTCTAGGCTTTGGGACTAGAGAGTAAACAAAACTAAGTTCTTGCTCTCAGTACCATACTGAAGAGACATATAATAAATGAAAAGTAAATACAGAGTACTTAACATACTCTAGAGAAAACTACTGCAGCATAATGTAAAATATGACACAGTAACTTGTATCTAATTAATTCTCCTACCAACAACACCTGTTAAAGCTGGATTAAAATACAACAAAACAAAAAAGGACAACTATATGAAAGCATCAAAGAAGATCCAAGATAATCAGAATTTCAGGACAAAGATTTCAGAGGAAAAGCATATACAGATGTGAACCTGACATACTGTGTACAATTTCTACCTTGAGGCATCCTTTTGAGTATTTTGTTGACTCCAAAGTTATGCATGTGTGGGACGATTTTCCAAGCAACCAAGCAGAAGAAGTGATAAGAGGCTCAAAAGGCAAGAGGAGCTTTTGGCAGGATCAAGGTTTCCAGAGAGAGAGAGAAAAAAGTAATCCTGCCAAGGAGGTGAGACCCTGGTGAAAAACACAGGGCTAGGTCATATGAATAAGAGCAAAGAAGAAATTGATGGCCATCAGCTGGATCAAGGAAATCCACCAACATTAAATACTTTTTGGAAGAAGATAGCATCACACAGTGCTCCCACAACTTTTCATGTATGATATCTGCCCTTCAACAAAAATTACATGGCATATTGCAAACATGACCAAACTGAAAACCAAGAGAAAAAACAAATGATAGAAACAGGCCCACTGATGATCTAGTTATCATAGTGTTTCAGTTACTTTTGCTACATAGCATATTATACCAGAACTTGATATCATAGTGTTTCAGTTACTTTTGCTACATAGCATATTATACCAGAACTTGGTGGCATAGAACATATTCATGATTTTAAGGGTCAGGAATTTGGGAAGAGGTCAACTTTGGTGTTTCACTTAGGGTCTTTTATATGGTTGCAGTTACATGTTGGCTAGGGCTGCATCACCCACAGACTTTACTGGGCTGTACATCCAAGGTGGCTTATTTACATGGCTGGGTAACCGATGCTGACTGTTGGCTTGTGGCTCAGCTTGGGCTGTTAACAAGAGCAACTTTGTATGGCCTCTCTACCATTGTTCTCTCAGTATAGTTAAACTTATGTGGTAACTGGTTTGCCCCATTATAGTCATCCCCAAAGAGTCAGGCAGAAGGTGTAAGACCACCAATAACATAACCTAAAAAAGTATACAGCATCATTTACATGTGCTTTTTTGCTATACTAAGCATAAACCAGATTGAAGGGAAGAAGACATAGACCCCGCCTCTCAATGAGAGGAGCACCAAAGAATTTATAGCCATTTTTAACTGCTACATGGAGATATCAAAAGTAGACTTTTTATAACTATGATTATAATGATGTCAGTGAAAATGGTGAAGTAAGGAATTTTGAAAGCTCACTTCTCCAAAAAAACAAACAAACAAAAGGTCAGAACTGTCATAATCAACTTTTTTAGAACTCTGTAAATTAACCAAAGGCTAGCAGCCCTGAGGAGTGCTTATTCAAGAAAAATGGCTTAGTCTTAGTAAGCACAGTAAGCTCTGTAGAATTTTAGAATACCCCAGTCCTACACTTCCCCTTCCCATCTCAGTCGTAATCTATTCTTCTGAAAATTATAGCCTAGATTCTCTATACTGGATAAAACAGAATAGACCTTATTCATAAACAATTATATTTACTTGTTTTGATGTATATGATGACTACCTGGAAGACAAGCTCAAATGTCTGTCTTTATTTCACCTGGATGGAACTGGACCAGTGCTAATGCTAAAGCTGTTATCTAAGGGTCATTTGTCAAAGAAAAATTTATAGGCAAATGTTTTGTTGCTGCTGTCTGAGGTGATAAAGATTAATCATTTCTGGGAATCTAGAAGGCCACACATGCCTAGGGCTGTGTACATACTTAGAAAAAAAAACTAGAGAAAGTTCTAAGCTCTCACCTCTGGCTACTCTTGACACACTACAGAAACAGAAAATGAAGGCTAAGGCAGACTTATAAATTGCCTGAGTGAGTGTTGAGGTGTGACCTAATATACACACACAGCACCTTAGTAAACACTGGGAAACTCTTTTGTTCCAGGTGTTTAAGGAAATTTCAGTCCAATCATTACCTGACCACTAAACTAATGGAACACACACTTTAGTAGCCATGAATGAAAAAAAAAATCTAAATTTTCTAAAAATATTTTGGAGAATTAGTTCAGAAAAGTCACTTAACAAACAAACAACAACTGCTTTAATAAGCAGCAGTGGCAACAAACCTAGGTTAGAAGAGAGTATCTTATTTCCAGAGTTACCGTATTTATAATTCAAAATGTCCAATTCTAAACAAAAAGTTATGAGACATGCAAAGAAATAAGATAGCGTGCTAATGCATAAGAAACAAAAGCAATAAACAGAAACTGTTATTGAGGAAGCTCAGACATTGGACTTTTTGGAAAAAAATCTATAAATAAGCTATTTAATTGAGGAAGAGGGACTCATCCCCAACTCATTCTATGGGTCCAGGATCATCCTGATACCAAAAACTGACAGAGACACAACAAAAACAAGAAAACTTCAGGACAATATCCTTGATGAACACTGATGCAAACATCAACAAAATATTAGCAAACTGAGTACAGCAGCACATCAACCATGGTCAAGTAGGCTTTATCCCCAGTATGCAAGGTTGGTTCGACCTATGCAAATAGATAAATGTGATTCATCACATAGACAGAACTAAAGACAAAAACCACCTGATTATCTCAATGCAGAAAAGGATTTCAATAAAATTCAACGTTCCTTTACATTGAAAATCCTCAATAAACTAGGTATTAAAGGAACATACCTCAAAATAATGACAGCCATTTATGCCAAACCCACAGCCAACATCGTACTGAATGGGCAAAAGCTGGAAGCATTCCTCTTGAAAATCAGAACAAGTCAAAGATGTCCACTCATGCATAATATTGGAAGTCCTGGCCAGAGCAGTCAGGCAAGCTAAAGAAATATAATAAAAGACATCTAAATAGGAAGAGAGGGAGTCAAACGATTCCTGTGCATTAGTCCATTTTTACGCTGCTGATAAAGGCATATCCAAAACTGGGCAATTTACAAAAGAAAATAAAGAGGTTTAATTGGCCTTACAGTTCCACATGGCTGGGGAGGCCTCACAATCATGGCATAAGGCAAGGAGGAAAAGTCACTTCTTACATGAATGGAGGCAGGCAAAAAGGTAAGGCTTGTGCAGAGAAACCCCTGTTTTTAAAACCATCAGATCTCATGAAACCCATTTGCTATCACGAGACACCATGGGAAATACCCACCCCCATGATTCAATCATCTCCCACTAGGTCCCTTCCACAACACATGGGAGTTATGGGAGCTACAAGGTGAGATTTGGGTAGGGACACAGAGCCAAACCATATCACCCTGTTTGCAGATGACATGATTCTATATCTAAAAAAACCCCATAGTCTCGGCCCCAAAGGTCCTTGAAATGATAAGCAACTTCAGCAAAGTTTTGGGATATAAAATCAAAGTATGAAAGTCAGTAGCATTCCTATACAGTAACAGCACCCAAGCTGAGAGCCAAATCAAGAACACAATCCTATTCACAATTGCCACAAAAAGAATAAAATGTCTAGGAATACAGTTAATGAGAGAGATGAAAGATCTCTATAAAGAGAACTAAAAAACACTGCTCAAAGAAATCAGAGATGACAGAAGCAAATGGAAGAAACTTCCCTGCTCTTGGATAAGAAGAATCAATATTGTTAAAATGGCTATACTGCCCAAAGCAATTTCTGGATTCAATGCTATTCCTATCAAACTACCAATGTCATTCTTCACGGAACTAGAAAAATGTATTCTAAGGTTCATATGGAACCAGAAAAGAGACTGAATAGCCAAAGAAATCCTAAACAGAAATAACAAAGCTGGGGCCGGGTGTGGTGGCTCACACCTGTAATTACAGCACTTTGGGAGGCCGAGGCAGGTGGATCACAAGGTCAGGAGATCGAGACCATCATGTCTAACATGGTGAAACCCCATCTCTACTAAAAACACACACACACACACAAAAATTAGCCGGGCGTGGTGGCAGGTGCCTGTAGTCCCAGCTACTCAGAAGGCTGAGGCAGGAGAATGGCATAAACCCAGGAGGCGCAGCTTGCAGTGAGCAGAGATGGTGCCACTGCACTCCAGCCTGCGCAACAGAGCGAGACACCATCTCAAAAAAAAAAAAATAGTAAGAAAGAACAAAGAATAACCTTGTGAAACTTCAAACTGTACTACAAGGCTACAGTAACCCAAACAGCATGATACAAAAACAGATACATAGACCAATGGAACAGAATAGAGAGCCCAGAAATAAAGCCACACACCTACTACCATCTGATCTTTGACAAAGCTGACAGAAACAAGCAATGGGGAAAGGACTACTGATATGGTTTGTCTGTGTCCCCAACCAAATCCCATCTTGAATTGTAGCTCCCATAATTCCCTTGAGCTGTGGAAGGACCCAATGGGAGATAATTGAATCATGGGGACAGTTTCCCCCATACTGTTCTCATGGTGGTGATTAAGTCTCACAAGATCTGGTGGTTCTTTAAAGCAGAAACCCCTTTTGCTTGGCTCTCTCTCTTGTCTTGTCTGGCACCATGTGAGACCTGCTTTGCACCTTCCACCATGATTGTGAGGCTTCCTCAGCCACATGGAACTCTGAATCCATTAAACCTATTTTTCTTCCCAATCTTGGGTATGTCTTTATCAGTGGTGTGAAAATGGACTAATACAATAAATTGGTACCGGGAGTGGGGTTCTGCTGAAAAGATATATGAAGATATAGAAGCAACTTTGCAACTGGGTAACAGACAGAGGTTGGAACAGTTTAGAGAGCTCAGAAGAAGACAGGAACATGTGGGAAAGTTTGGAACTTCCTAGAGACTTGTTGATGGCTTTGACCAAAATGCTGATAATGATACGGACAATGAAATCCAGGCTGAGGTGGTCTCAGATGGAGATGAGGAACTTGTTGGGAACGAGAGCAAAGATGACTCTTGTTATGTTTTAGCAGAGACTGGTGGCATTTTGCCCCTGCCCTAGAGATTTGTGGAACTTTAAACTTGAGGAAGATGATTTAGGGTATCTGACAGAAGAAATTTATAAGCAGCAAAGCATTCGAGGGGTGACTTAGGTGATGTTAAAGGCATTCAGTTTTTGTTTTTGTTTTTGTTTTGTTGTTGTTTTTGAGATGGAGTCTCATTCTGTCTCCCAGGCTGGAATGCAGTGGTGCAATCTCGGCTCACTGCAATCTTTGCCTCCCATGTTCAAGTGATTCTCCTGCCTCAGCCTCCCAAGTAGCTGGGACTACAGGCATGCACCACCATGCCCAGCTAATTTTTGCATTTTTAGTAGAGACAGGGTTTTACTGTTGACCAGGCTGGTCTTGAACTCCTGACTTCAGGTGATCCACCTGCCTCAGCCTCCCAGGGTGCTAGGATTACAGGCATGAGCCACCACACCCAGGCAGCATTCAGTTTTAAAAGGGAAACAGAGCATAAAAGTTCAGAAAATTTGCAGCCTGACAATGCAATAGGAAAGAAAAACTCATTTTCTGAGGAGAAATTCAAGCAGGCTGCAGGAATTTGCATAAGTAATGAGGAGTCAAATGTTAATCACCAAGACAATGGGGAAAATGTCTCCAGAGCATGTTAGAGGTCTTCTCAGCAGTCCCTGCCATCACAGACCTGAGGCCTAGGAGGAAAAAATGGTTTAGTGGGCTAGGGCCCAGGGTCCTTCTTCTGTGTGCAGTTTAGGGACTTGGTGCCCTGTGTCCCAGCTGCTGTAGCCATGACTAAAAAGGGGCCAAAGTACAAGTTGGGCCATGGCTTCAGAGGGTGCAAGCGCCAAGCCTTGGCAGCTTCCATGTGGTGTTGAGCCTGTGGGTGCATGAAAGTCAAGAATTGTGATTTGGGAACTTCCGTCTAGATTTCAGGGGATGTATGGAAATGCCTGGATGCCCAGGCAGAGATTTGCTGCAGGGGCTGGGCCCTCATGGAGAACCTCTGCTAGGGCAGTGCAGAGGGAAAATGTGGGTTTGGAGTCACCATACAGAGTCCCTACTGGGGCACCACCTAGTGGAGCTGTGAGAAGAGGGGCACAATCCTCCAGGCCCCAGAATGGTAGATCCACCGACAGCTTGCACCATGCACCTGGAAAAGCTGCATACATTCAATGCCAGCCCGTGAAAGCAACCAGAAGGGCTGTCCCCTGCAAGGCCATAGGGCAGAGCTGCCCAACTCTGTGGGAGCCCACCTGTTACATCAAATGACCTGGATATGAGACATGGAGTCAAAGGAGATCATTTTGGAGCTTTAAGATTTGACTGCCCCACTGGATTTTGGACTTGCATGGGGTCTTTAGCCCCTTTGTTTTGACCAGTTTCTCCCATTTGGAATGGTTGTATTTAACCAATGCCTGTACCCCATTGTATCTAGGAAGTAACTAACTGGCTTTTGATTTTACAGGCTCATAGGCAGAAGGGACTTGCCTTGTCTCAGATGAGACTTTGGACTGTGGACTTTTGAGTTAATGCTGAAATGAGTTAAGACTTTGGGGACTATTGGGAAGGCATGACTGGTTTTGAAATGTGAGAACATGAGATTTGGGAGGGGCCAGGGTGCAATTATATGGTTTGGCAGTGTCACCACCTAAATCTCAACTTGAATTGCAGCTTCCATAATTCCGTTTTGTTGTGAGAGGGACTCAGTGGAAGATAATTGAATCATGGTGGCAGTTTCCCCCATACTGTTCTCATGGTAGTGAACAAGTCTCACAAGATCTGATGGTTTTATAAGGGGAAACCTCTTTCACTTGGCTCTCTCTCTTCTCCTGTCTGCCACCATATGAGATGTGCCTTACACCTTCTGCCATGATTGTGAGGCTTCCCAGCCATGTGGAGCTGAGTACATTAAACCTATTTTTCTTTTCAGTCTCAGGTATGTCTTCATTAGCAGCATGAAAACGGGCTAATATAACTCCCTATTCAATAAATGGTTCTGGGCTAACTTGCTAACTATATGCAGAAGACTGAAACTGGACCCATTCTTTAAACCATATACAAAAACAACTCAATGTGGATTAAAGACCTAAATGTAAAACAAATCTATAAAAACTCTGAAAGATAACGTAGGACATACAATTTTGGACATTGGAACTGGCAAAGATTTCATGATAAAAATGCCAGAAGCAATTGCAACAAAAGCAAAAATTGACAAATGGGACCTATATAAGTTAAAGAGATTCTGCACAGCATATGAAACTATCAACAGAGTAAACAGGCAACCTACAGAATGAGGAAATATATTTGCAAACTATGCATCTGACAATATATCTAATATCCAAAATCTTCAAGGAACTTAAACAAACATACAAGCAAAAAACAAACAACCTCATTAAAAAGAGGGCAAAGGACATGAACAGACACTTTTCAAAGTAAGACCCACATGCGGCCAACAAGCATATGAAAAAAAGCCCAATATCACTGATCGTTAAAGAAATGCAAATCAAAACCATGATGAGATACCATCTCACGTCAGTCAGAATGGCTTTTACTAAAAAGTAAAAAAATAATAATAACATGCTGGTGAGATTGCAGAGAAAAGGAAACATTTACACATTGCTGGTGGGAGTGTAAATTTGTTCAACCATTATGGAAAGCAGAGTGGTGATTCCTCAAAGAACTAAAAGCAGAATTACCATTCAACCCAGCAATCTCACTACTGGGTATATATCCAAAGGGATATAAATTCTTCTTCCATAAAGACACATGCACACGTATGTTATTGCAGCATTATTCAAAATATCAAAGACATGGAATAAACCTAAAAGCCCATCAACAGTAGACTGGATAAGGAAAATTTAGTATATATACACCATGGAATACTATGCAGCCATAAAAAGAAAGAGATCGTGTTCTCTGCAGAAACATGGATGGAACTGGAAGCCATTATCCTTAGCAAACTAATGCAGGAACAGCAAACCAAATGCTACATATTCTCACTTGTAAGTGGGAGCTAAATGATGAGAACACATGGAGAGAAAGAGGGGAACAACAGATACAGGGGCCTACATGAGAGCAGAGGATGGGAGAAGGGAGAGGTTTAGAAGAAAAAGAAGAAAAGAAGAAAAAAACTATTGGGTACTATGCTGAGTACCTGCTTGATAAAATAATCTGTACACCCGATCCCTGAGTCACAAGTTTACCTCTATAACAAATCTGCAAATGTGCCCCTGAACCTAAAATAAAAGTTAAAATAGTTTTAAAAAGATTATCCTTGGCCGAGTGCAATGGCTCACGCCTGTAATCCCAGCACTTTGGGAGGCTGAGGCGGGTGGATCACGAGGTCAGGAGTTTGAGACCAGCCTGACCAACATGGTGAAACCCCGTCTCTACTAAAAATACAAAAATTAGCTGGGTGTGGTGGCGTGTGCCTGTAATCCCGGCTACTCAGGAGGCTGAGGCAGGAGAATCACTTGAGCTCCAGAGGCAGAGGTTGCAGGGAGCCAAGATGATGACACTGCACTCCAGCCTGGGTGACAGAGCAAGACTCCATCTAAAAAAAAAAAAAAAAAAAAAAATTATTCCCTTCTCAGGAGAATCTACACTGGGAATACCTAAACTCTTTGTGTGAAACTCAAGACCTACCTTTGTGTGCAGCCTTACCTATGGACCCAGACTCAGAATATAATAGCCAAAACTCAGGGGAGAGATAAGCACACAATTACAGTTAGCAGGACAGGGAGAATACCTCCCTGTACTGTCAGCCCTGCACCCTGCTTCTCCAAATCAGCTTCTTTTGTTATTCTATTTCCGTTCTCTTGTCCATAAGCCTCACTTCCCACTGGGGACCTTGTCCCATGACACCATTTGTCTTGGTCTTGATTGTTCTTTAGATTTGACTTCAGAAAACCCAAGCCAGAGCACCTTGCCTGTCCACCCACACACACACGTGTGCACACACACATACACCACCTGAAAAGAGGTAAGAGTTAACAATGTATCTCTCAGGATACCATGGATTGCCTCATGAAGCAAACCTGCCACAAACATGAAATGTCTTACCAGTTTTGTGTTTTATCCTAAAATGAATGTATAATTTGCATTCTGATTTCTAGCATATTAATTTTTTTCATTTTCAGTGTAGGTTTAAAATTACTTAAAATTCCATTAAGTAACCTAAACAGGTAAGAGCTGAGCCTGATGTACAAAGCATGTCACCTTCAAGATCTGGACTGAATTGAACTGAACTGATACTTGACAAATTAGATTCAGCAACCATGCAATTGCTGTGGTCTCTCTTGGTATTATACTATTTCAAGAGTCTAGGCTCCCTCATATGTAGACATAAATAGAATCAGCTTTTGATGGTGGTGGTTTAATGTTTTATGGAGAAAGAGACTGTTTGTTTATTTGTTTTTATGTTTTATTTTTAGGTCAGTGGAATCACCTAGGTGAGCAGCCAAAATAATGCCAATGAGGTGGCAACATTTTCAACTGATTCTTGGTGAAAATTTTGATCAGCGTATTTTCTTATTGAGAAATCAAATAGCTTTTTTTCATTTGTTAGGTTAAATTATTTTGATCCACTGGTCAGTTTATTTTACTATTTGGGGAAAATACATGCTGTATTCGACTGTTCTTACACCGCTATAAACAACTACCTGAGACCATGAGACTGGGTAATTTATGAAGAACAGAGGTTTAACCAACTCATGGTTCTGCAGGCTTAACAGGTAGCATGAATGGGAGGCCTTAGGAAACTTACAATCATGGGAGAAGGCGAAGGGGAAGTAAGCACCTTCTTCACATGGAGGCAGGAGGGGGGCGGTGGGGGAAGTACCACACACTTTTAAACCATCAGATCTCATGAGAACTCACTCACTATCATGAGAATAGCATGGGGGAAATATGCCCCCATGATCCAGTTACCTCCCACCAGGCCCTACCTTCAACACGTGGAGATGACAATTCCACATGAAATTTGGGTGGGGACATAAAGCCAAACCATATCACATATCAAATAAATGTCTTTTCAGCAAAAAAGCTATTTTAAATATGTCTGAAAAGCTGAAAACACCCAAGGAACTGAATAATTAAAGTAATCCTAAAGAATTAAAGAAATGTGGGAGACATGTTTTACCAAATAGAGAATATCAATAAAAAGATGGAAATTCTAAAGAAAAAACAAATAGAAACTTTATAGTAGGAAAAAAAACAAATAAAATAAAAAATTCACTAGAGAGGCTCAACAAGAGATTTGGTCAGAAGAAAGCATCAGTGAACTTGAAAATAGGTCAATTTAGATTAGTTACCCAGTCTGAGGAATAGAAAAAAAGAAATAAAATTGAACAAGTGAAGATAACCAAATTTAAAAATGGATAATTCATTTGAAAAGACAGTTCTCCATAGAAAATATACCAACAGCCAATAAACACAAAAAAAAGCTCAACATCATTAATAATTAGGTAAAAACAAATAAAAACTACAAAGAGATGGCACTCGACACCCCCTAGGATGTTAACAGTAAAAAAGATAGTCAATAGCAAATGTGGGTGAGGAGGTGGAGAAATTGAAACCCTAATGCATTGCTGGTGGAAATGTAAATGGTAGAGACACTGTTGAAAATAACTTGGCTATTCCTCAAAAAGTTTAGCATAAAACTATGATAAAACCCAGCAATTCCATTCCTAGATATATATCTAAGGGAATTGAAAAGATACGTTCACACAAAATCTTGTCTATGAACTTTTATGGCAACATTATAATAGTGAAGAAGCAGTAGCAACCCAAATATCCATTAACTGATTACTGAATAAACAATATGTGATATATCTGTACAATGCAACATATTTGGCCTTAAAAATAAATGAAGGGCTGATACATGCTGCAACATGGATGAGCCGGTAAGGTGATCAGTGGCTGCCAGTGGTTGGCGGGAAGGAGAGATGAATAGGCAGAACATAGAGGATTTTTAGGGCTGAGAAACTATTCTATACCATATTTCAGTGGTGGATACCTGTCATTTTACATTTGTAAAAACCCATTGAATGTACAACACCAAGAGGGAACCCTAACATAAACTATGGACTTTGGGTGATAATGATGTGTCAATGTTGGTAATCAGTCGTAAAAAGACACCACTTTTTGGGGGATGCTATGTATGTGTGTGCACAGGGGTATAAAAAACTCTCTATATTTTTAGCACAACTTTTTTGTGAACCTAAAACTGCTCTAAAAATAAAGTTTATGAATTAACAACAACAACAACAAAAATCATGCTATATGAAAGAAGCCAGATACAAAAAAAAATTGTGTGATTCACATATATTAAGTATCTAAAATAGAAGTATATTAGTAGTTGTATCAGTCTGTTTTTGCATTGCTATACAGAAATACCTGAGACTGGGTAATTTATTTAAAAAGCACAGGTACCCTACAACTTAAAGTATAATTAAAAAAAATAAATTAAAAAAAATCAGAATAATTCCCACATTCTCTGCAGTTGCCTATAATTTATAACCTATTTTTATTTTTCATTATTTCTTGATTATTAAAATTTAAAAAATTATGGTGAAAGTATTACATGAAAATAATTGTTAAATACTTCTATAAAACATATATATATATATATATATATAAATTCTTCACTCTTTTCTCTCATTGATTTGTCCCATTTCATTGATTTGTGCCATTTGCTAGAAGAATCACTTTGTTTTTAACTGTTTGTTCTGGTATTTATCTTCTCATGTGAAAATAATATTCCTCTTGATAAATCAATTTACTTTCTATAGGGTATGTTAGGATTTTTACTCATTTATACCTTATACTTCATATTGCTTCCCTCACTTCTTCCATATATGATTGACTATGTCTAAATTTTTAGTTACATCTTTTTAAAAAATGAATAAGTAAATAAAAAGAAGTTTAATTGGCTCATGCTTCTGCAGGCTGTACAAGCATGGGGCCAGTATCGGCCTGGCTTCTGAGGAGGCCTCAGGGAGCTTTTACTTATGGTGGAAGGTGGGACCAGAGTAGGCACATCACATGGCAAGAGCAGAAGGAATGAGGAGGAGGTGCCACACACTTTTAAACAACCAGATCTCATAAGAACTTATTATCTTGAGGACAGCACCAAGCCATGAGGGATCTGCCCCATAAGCTAATCACCTCCCACCAGGCCCCACCTCCAACATTAGGGATTACATTTCAACATGAGATTTAGAGGGGAAAAATCCCAAACTGTATCAGTGGTTGCCAGGGGACAGGAAAAGGGGAGAATTGGCTGCTAGTAACTGTGGAGTTTCTTTGGGAGTAATAGAAACGCCCTGGCATTAGATAGTGGTGGTGTTTGGGCAACATAGTGAATATACTAACAACCACTGATTTGTCATCTTTAAAATGGTGAATTTTATGTTACGTAAATTATATCTCAACTAAAAAATAACTATGCTTAATATTTTCAAGCCAATAGGTGAAAAGATGGAGATTTGACTAGAGAATTGGATTCTATTTTAACAAATCAAATAGAAATCCCAGAAATAAAAATGATTACTTAAAAGCAGAGAGGAGGAAGTGCCACACACTTTTAAACAACCAGATCTCACAAGAACTCATTGTCTAAGAATTTGATATAGGGTTTAATCAACAGATTAGACAGAGTAGAGGCTAAGGTAGGGGGATCACCTGAGCCCAGGAGGTTGAAGCTGCAGCAGTCAGCTGTGATTGTGCCAGTGTACTCTACCCAGAGTGACAGAAGGAGACCCTGTCTAAAAAAAAAAAAAGAGAGAGAGAGATAAAAAAAAGAGAAGAAAACAAAGAGAAATTGAAAATCATTCAGAGAAAAAGGATACATTATTCAAAAGATCAACAGTTAACACCAAGTTTTCAACAAAAAATAATGGAAGTCAGAAGCCGGTGAAATGACATCTTTGAAGTGTCCAAAGGAAAAAAACTGTCAATCTAGAATTCAATACCCAAGGAAAATATCTGTCACAAAAAAAGAGGGTAAAATAAAGATTTTTTTTAAAAAAAGAAAAATAATATTTTGCTAGAAGAGATGCAATAACAAATACTAATAATCATCATCCTAATAGTAATAATAATAACAAATTTCTGCCCTTCCAGTAGAAGGGACATGATCCCAGCTGGAACTACATACAAACAGAAAGAATAAAGAACACTGGTACATATTTTGTTAAATGTACATATACATTCACTGTTTAAAGCAACAAAACCACAGTAAGTCCTCATTTAATGTTATTAATAGGTTTTTGAAAATTTTGAATTTAGCAGGTTTTCAAATAATATTGTTTTATTCAATGTATTCTTACAGTGTTAATGAGGGAAAAAATTGGATCTGTTATACAATGTTTCACTGGAAGTCTCAGTTTCCAAGAACGTGTTGACAATGTTAAGTGAAGGCTTACTGTAATGTATTATGAGGTTTAAACTATAAAAAGAATGTATAAAGGTCCATTTAAATATAGCTAGACATGAGGATAATCATTAAAATAACAAACATTTATAACTAAAAAGCTAATAAGAAGGTGGGAAGAAGATGGAATGATTAGAAAAATAAATCCAAAAGAAGGTATGAAAGGAGTATACAGAATAAAAAGAAAAGCTAAGAAAATAAAATGTGGGACAAATTTTTTAAATGACAGATTTAAATCCCCAAACATCACAATTACATTATATATAAATAGACTAAGCCCGGTGAAAGCTTTTCTCACTTTAAATAAAAAGCTAGAAATTATTAAGTTTAGTGAGGAAGGCATGTCTAAATCTGAGATGGGCCAAAAGCTAGGTCTCTTGTACCAAGCTGTTAGCCAAGTTATGTAAGACAAGAATGCAAAAATACAAAGGAAAAGTTCTTGAAGGAAATTAAAATGCTACATCTGTGAACACATAAATGATAAGAAAATGAGACAACCTTATTTCTGATATGGACAAAGTTTGAATGGTCTGGATAGAAGGTCAAACTAGCCACAAGATTCCCTTAAGCTGACACCTAATCCAGATCAAGGCCCTAAGTTTCTTCTATTATATGAAGTCTGAGAGAGGTGAGGAAGCTGCAGAGGAAAAGTTGGAAGTTAGAAAAAGTTGGTTCACCAGGTTTAAAGAAAGAAGCCATCACTGTAACATGAAAGTACAAGGTAAAAAAGCAATTGCTGATTATAAGCTGCAGCAAGTTTCCAGAAGATCAAGGTAAGATGTTTGATGAACATGGCTATACTAAACAAATATGAAAACATATTTTCAATGTAGATGAAATCACCTTATGTTGGAGGAAAAATGCCTGGCTTTAAAGCTTCAAAGGACAGGTTGACTCTTGTGAGGAGCTAACATGGCTGGTGGCTTTAAGTTGAAGACAATACTCATTTACCATTCTAAAACTTTTAGGGCTCTTAAGAGTTACACTAAACCTACTTGAACTGTGCTCTATAAATGGAACAAGAAAGCTTGTAAGACAGAACATCTCTTTACAGCATGGTTTATTTAATATTTGAAGCCCACTGCTGAGACTACTGTTCAGAAAAAAAAAAAAGACTCAAAAAACTGATCATTTACAATGTAGCTGGTCACTCAAGAGCTCTGATGAAAATGTAAAAGGAAATTAATGTGGTTTTCATGCCTGCTAATACAACCTCCATTCTGCAGCCCATAGATCAAGGAGTAACTTTGACTTTCAAGTTATATTCTTTAAGAAATACATTTATAAGGTGATAGCTGCCATAGATAGTGAGTAGATCTGGACAAAGTAAGTTGTAAACCTTCTGGAAAGAGTTCATTCTAGATGCCATTAAGAACATTTCTGATTCATTGGAGGTCAAAATATCAACACTAACAGGAGTTTGGAAGAAGTTGATTCCAGCCCTGATGGATGACTTTGGGAGGTTCAAGACTTGACTTCAGAAGAGAAAGCAACTGTAGGTGTGGTAGAAATAGCAAGTGAACTAGAGTCAGTAGTGGCTCCTGAAGATGTGACTGAATTGCTGCAATCTCATGATAAAACTTGAATAGAAAAGGGATTGCTTCTCATGGATGAATAAAAAATGTGATTTTCTGAGATGGTATCTCTTCCTGGTGAAGATGCTCTGAGCATCATTTATATGACAACAAAGAATTTAGAATATTACATAATCTTAGTTGATTAGGCAAAGACAGCGTTGGAAAGGATTGACTTCAGTTTCAAAAGAAGTTCTATTGTGGGTAAAATGCTATTAAGTCAAAAAACAGGGCGTGCTCCAGAGAAATTATTTATGAAAGGAAGAGTCCATCGGTGTGGCTAACTTCATTGTTGTCTTATTTTAAGAAATTACTGCAGTCACACTCATCTTCAGTAATCAGCACTCGATCAGTCAGCAGCCATCAACCTTGAGGCAAAACCTTCCTCCTGCAAAAAGATTACTACTCGCTGAAGCCTGAGATGATCATAAGTATTCTTTAGCAATAAAGTACTTTTAAAATAAGGTATGTGCATTATTTAGACATAATGCTATTGCATACTTAATAGACCACAGTATAGTGTAAACATAACTTTTATATATACTGGGAAAAACAAAAAAATTATGTGGCTCACTTTATTGCAATATTTGCCTTTCCATGGCAGTTTGGAACCTAACTCACAGTATCTCTGAGATATTCTTTTACTGTGTAAGCTGCTTTCTTTTTATTTCCTATATTCAGTTTTCTGATGTACCAGGCTTTGGATCTTTTGTTGGTATTCATCCATTCAGGATGCAATCCTCCTTTCTTGATGGTAACTCTTAATATTATAATAACTGTATTTCTCTGCTATTAGGACTCTAGTGTATTCTGTTCTCTTTTGCAAAATCTTTGACCCTTGACCCTGGTCTGTAAAACAGCAATGTTTACTTACATGTGAATTAAACATTTCAATTATTTTCTATCTCTCTGCTGTTGTCATAGGCTATTGGTGATTTTATTTGTTCTTCTTGTTGACATACATGTTTTCTGGGGGAGTATTTGAAATTAAGTGGCCACAATCAGCCCAAGGGAAACCAGAAGCTCTATTTTTTTAAGCTCTGATGTTTGAAGTTAAGAAGATTGGAGAAGAGATATATCTGGAAAAATCTTCAGATTTTATAATTAATAGTTTAGCATTCATGTTTTATATTATAATTTTATATTTTGCTGAAAAACATCTTTCTGAGGCTGAAACTATGAATATTTTTTCAGCATTCTTTTGCACCTAGATTTAGTTCTTCAGTATCAATTAATCTGAAAGTAATTTTGGTCTTTCCATTTCTCATATTCATCTTCAGTTGAAGAGGAGCAAATTCACTGCTTTTTAGAAACCTAATCTCAGATATCAGACAGATGGAATTAAATAAACAAGAAATTTTATTCCACTACTCTTCTGTTGTATTTTATTGCTAGGTTTTTGCCTCGTATGCTATTAATGGTTCTTTTTTTTTTTTCTTGAGATGGAGTCTTGCTCTGTCACCCAGGCTGGAGTGCAGTGGTGCCATCTCGGCTCACTGCAACCTCCGCCCTCCAGGTTCAAGCGATTCTCCTGCTTCAGCCTCCCGAGTAGCTGGAAATACAGGCGCCCACCACCACGCCCAGCTAAGTTTTTGTATTTTTAGTAGAGACGGGGTTTCACCATGTTGGCCAGGCTGGTCTCGAATTCCTGACCTCAGGTGATCCGGCCGCCTTGGCCTCCCAAAGTGCTGGGGTTACAACCGTGAGCCACCGCTCTGGGCCAATGATCCATTTTTAACTCCTGTTTCCACATGAAATATGTTGATAACAAATGCCATTTCTCATTTTGGGGATTATTTATTTCTTTTGTTTTCCTTTGAACATCGTTTATTTTTATTTATTTATTTGAGACGGAGTTTCACTCTTGTTGCCCAGGCTGGAGTGCAATGGTGCCATCTCGGCTCATCACAACCTCTGCCTCCTGAATTCAAGCGATTCTCCTGCCTCAGCCTTCCGAGTAGCTGGGATTACAGGCGCCCACCACCATGCTGGGCTAATTTTTGTATCTGTAGTAGAGGTTTCACCAGGTTGCCCAGGCTGGTCTCGAACTCCTGACTTCAGGTGATCTGCCCGCCTCAGCCTCTCAGAGTGCTGGGATTACAGGTGTGTGCCACTGTGCCTGGCCTCCTTCAAACATCTTTTTAACCTGCATAGAAGAATTCTACTAGTCACAAAGATAACTTTTTAAGGGAATTTGATTTTCATCTGAGCCATTAAAATATCACAATCCTATATGCTTTCTACTTACAAAAACAAATCTCACAATTAACTATTTTGTAAGAAAATGTTAAAAAATTCTCCTAATTTTAAAAAAAGTCATCAACAATTTCTATAAGAGATCCTTATGTTTTCACAATAATGTACATGTATTTCTTGTTACATTTTAAAAAATTAAATTTGCATTATTTTGGCAATCCTAAAGATGATTACAAAGAATGAATAACTCTAGGTTCTGGAAGTTTTTAAAATAAAATGTTATAATATTCAGAATTTTGACATGATTGACAATTTTATTTTTTTCTAAGGTTTATCATGATGAAATTAAAGTTTTTTAATTATTTCAGAACATTGTAATATTCTTTATCACTTGAGAAATATAGATTAATCACCTGCTATATACACCAGGTCTTGTTCTAGATGCAGGAGATATGGAAGCAAATAATATAGAAAAGAACCTTGCTTTTAAGAAGAAAACAGGAATTAGATAAGCAAATAAATGAATTAATTGATAGATATATTAAAATATAGTTGATTTTTGTTTAAGAATTAAAATAAGTATAATATGAAAACATTACTTGGTTAGATTGGATGGTTAAGGTGAACAGTATTCTAGGAAATGGAAACAGAGAGAGGTCAGTATTGCCATAAGAAAGCTGGGGATAAAGAGAGTATTTTTTTTCTTTGTAAATTTGATCATCAAAATAGAGTAAATTAATATTCATGTCTACAATATTTGAGAATAATTTAAGAATCTAGTGATTATCTAAAAATACTTCATTGACTGACTCATTTGCCTTTGGAAAGCTCAGTTGGCGCTTTTGGTTATGAGCTCTCTTGTACTGAATACAAATGGCAACGTGGTTTTAAAGAAACGGTGCTCTGTTTGAAAGAAATTCTTCCCTAAGGATAGCTTTTCAGCACTAGCAGCTGGGTAGCTCTCTGGGTTAATGATAAGTGCCAAAGCAAAGAAAATACAGTGTCTGCCTCTGCAGGCTTCCAAATGGTCCTTGAGGCTCTTACTGTGCGATGAAGAAGATAAGGTGTATGTTGCCTGTCGATGTTAAGGTCTTCTGCAGTATCTTTTCTACCTCACCATGTTTACAAAACGACATGTAACCATCTGCCACAGCAAAGAAAGTAAAACACTTTTCCTCAAATAAAGCCCACATAAACATAAGCTGTGTGTGTGAGTATGTATGCATTATAAACTCCGTTTCTAGATGAAGGAAAATGATGTAATTTAATGTGATATGGATAATTGTATCCTTTTCTAAAAATTATGATGATGATTCTCCTACAATGAGGAGTAGCTAGTGCTTATTGAATGAGAGAGAGCTCCATCTGGATGTTCAATGCTGTTCAAAACAATAGATTAACCGCTCGTTGGGAAGGAGTGGTTCAGCTATGCAAAGAAGGTGGGTGTAGATAAAAAGTGCTCAGTGCAGTGACAGAAGCAAATAAAAGTTAAATGTCAGAGCATATGAAGGCAGAGAAAGACAGATTCAAAAATCACAAAAATATAACTGGAAAACTAAAGGAACAGTGATATAGAACTTATAAAAGATACAGATAATAATTAAATACAAATAATTTATTTAAGATAGTAAGGAAAATACAAAATTATGTGTCTTATGATTTTGAGGGCTGTCCACTCAAATAATAAGATTAGGATGCATAATTTTTGAAACTCTAAAGTAAATAAAATTGAACAGCAGCAACAACAGCCAAAAAAAAAAAAAAAAAACTATCAACACAAAAAGATAGGAAAAAAGAAAACACAGTAAACAGAAAATATAAAATAAAATGTCACAAATAATTATAAATATCCACTATTAAATAATGATAATGGGATACATTTTCCTGTTTGAAGACACTCAGATTGGGTAAACTAAATACTGATGTACTTCCTGGCTTAAGGAGACACACTTAAAGTAAAATGTGATTTAAAGTTGAGAATAAAATATTGAAAAAGAAATTTCAGGCAAATACTAACAATAAGAAAGTAGGCATGAATATTTAATAAAATCAATATTCAAATGAAAAGCTTTGAATAGAAGAGAACAAAGAGACATGTTACATATTGAAAAAGTATAGTCTGATGAGAAGACAGTAGTAAGGGCCATCATCATTTTTTTCTTGTGCTAATTGAATAGTCTCCTAACTAGACTGTCTTCTTTCACTCTTGACCCTGTATATCCTATTTTGAAAAGCAAAATCAGATTTTAAAACACTACTCCTTTATTTACTCTTCTATTGGCTCTCAGATTCATTCAGTGCGAACTTTCAAGTTTCTAGGAGACGCACTGTGACACCTCCACCCCTATTACCTCTCTGATAATCTTATCTCTTACCACATCCCTCAGGCTCACTCTGCTCTAGCCCAGTGACCTCCTTGCAGTTTCTCAGACATGCCACTCTCACCCTTTCACCTGTGTCTCTTGCATCAGCCGTTTTACTCTGTTACACTCTGCCCCGAAATCCACAAGACTTACTCCTTTACATCTTTCAGAATTTACCACCCTATTTAAAATGGCTATCTTCCCTCCCCACAGACTCCACATGCCCAATTCCACCTACCATATCTCTCAGTCATTGGTTTTGTAAAAACAATATTATGTTAGCTATAGGAGAGCAAACAAGGGGTGTGGACTTGATATTGGCTGTCTAAGGTTGCCAGAATGAGCACAGGATGGAATTTGTTGAATGATGCTGTGTCAGGAATACTTCTGTGCTCTGTCCATTTAAATTTCTTTGAACTCCATGAATGACTATACAAAGTCAAAATTGCCACCAAATATAAAGAAAAATGTTCTTTCCCCTTTCAAAGCTTTTTATTATTCAGAATGAACTATGTATCTATGCACCTAAACTAAAAAGAAGAGAAATAATTCTCTTTCATCAGTAAGGTCATCATTTGAGTTGCATTTTGAAGATGATTCAGGAATTTTTTGAAGATATAAACAGATATTGAATAAAATACAGTCTCTTTGAAGTCAATTAAGAATGTAGATGAAAGCAAAGAAATACAAGTGTACCTTAAAAATGGAAAAGCCACATGTAAAATATTTTAATAATTTTTAAAAATTAAATTTCATTTCAGTTCTTTGCCTCTCTGAGTTTTACAGTTTTATGCTTAAGAAACTCCAGTGTAAAAGAACTTGATGTTCAAACTTTTACACAGTGTAATTGCAAAGAAAACAAGAAAAATCTCTGTATACAGGTATGTATATTTCTCTTCCTCATGATTATAAGGATGCATAGTTTTATATGTTTTGACATTATTTTTCTTCTATATTTTCAACCCTTTAGTATCCCATCTCTGGAAGTAAAATTAATCCATTCAGATGTTTGGAATAACATATGCTACACTGTTAATTTAAAAAATCATTGTGGAATAATATGTGCTACAATATCGATGGTGGAAATTATTTTGATGCGAATCTGGTTTTGAGAGATTGTACTGCCAAAGGAGAAAGTTTTTAGGAGCCTACTGGAATAAATAAATTCAAGGCCTGACTCATAGGATGAGTTATACATGCAAAGGGAGCAGTGTGAAGACTGCCATGATTCTAATGGAAAGGACAGCGTGTAATAAGGAGGAAAAAGTGATGGGTCCCTATCCTGGCCTGCTGTGAACATCAGCCAATAGTGAATTGGTTCTTTTCTGAGAGTGAAGATTGCTGCTTGATGCCTAGAATATCAACCAGAGAAGAGTTCAATGGAAACTGCTTGGAAATAACTTATAGCACTTAAATATTGCTATATTTTTACAAAGTTTATTCATAATTTTAAAAATTGTATAAAGATTTTAATTCCTACAGAGGCTTTTTAAATAGATAATTTAAAATATCTAACAATGGATTTTGATTGAGTAGCAAGCAATAATCTTCATGAAACTCATGCGATTGATCACATTGAGACTTGGTGGAGAAAGTATCTAATAGTAATACCTAAGTTCACTGCAGTCTTTGTGAGTGGAAAGGAATATCTTTCAGCTGGACAGAAATAAGACAACATGAAGCAATCACACAGTGCTACCTTACAGCCAGTGGCTACGTGTCTTCAATAAAGAGCAAGTACCTCAGAAGAATCAAACCACAGCCTGAAATCTGGCCTTCACAATAACGAAAGTGTAAATGACAAATGCAATATTTGATTTATATAGTTTTTCTTTTTTTTTTTTTTTTTGCCATTCTCAAATATCTGACAATTTTAAAGGAATGGATTGATTTAGGTACAGAAGCTATCTTTGGCAAACTATTCCAATAGTCTTTAAAATACTCATTTCCACTGGCCTAGTAATTTTATTTCCAGAAAATAACATGAAATTCAGAAAATGACTTATAGCCAGGCATGGTGACTCAGGCCTGTAATCCCAGCACTTTGGAAGGCAAAGGCAGGTGGGTCCCTTGAGGTCAGGGGTTCAAGAGCAGCCTGGCCAACATGGCGAAACCCTGTATCTACTAAAAAATACAAAAATTAGCTGGTTGTGGTGGTGGATGCCTGTAATCCCAGCTACTCAGGAGGCCGAGGTGGGAGAATCGCTTGAACCTGGGAGGCAGAGGTTGCAGTGAGCCGAGATCACGCCACTGCACTCCAGCCTGGGCGGCAGAGCAAGACTACGTCAAAGAAAGAAAGAGAGAGTGAGAGACGGAAGGAAAGGAAGGAAGGAAGGAAGGAAGGAAGGAAGGAAGGAAGGAAGGGAGACTTACATCCAAAGCTACTAATTGAAATTTTATGTATGAGAAAACACACACAATCTCAATCGCATATGGTACTGTACTGTATATAGATATGTGGCCTTTTATATACAGTACGTAGATTAGATAAATAGATAGATATGGATCTATGTCTATATATCTAATATAGTCTTAGTCCATTGGGGCTGCTATAACAAAATACCACACTGAGTAGCTTTTAAGCAACAGAAATTTATTTCTCATAGTTCTAGGGGGTTACTAGGAAATCTATGATCAAGGTTTCAGCAGATTCAGTGTCTGGTGAAGGCCCATTTCCTGTTGCACAGATGATGCCTTTTCTCTGCATCCTCACGTGGTGGAAGGAGCAAGGCAGCTTTCTGGGGTCTCTTTTATAAAAAAGTGAACTAATTCCACACGTGATGGCCCCTCTGCCACGATCTAATCATCTCCCAAAGGCCCCACCTCCTAATACCATCCCAATGGGGATTAGATTTCCAAATATGAATGTTGAGAGGACATAAACATTGAGACCATAGCAATCTATATTTAGATCTATATCTAATAGATCAGACATAATTATTGACACTTTTACACAGATATACACTGTGAATTATTTCTTCACACAGTAGAATACACTCATCATTTACACTTCTACACCTCTATAAGCTTCGTTACTTATTTCTCTATAACTTATCTTTATGAATACCACATTTTGCTAGATATTAGGGCAAAATAAATTTTAAAATTTCCAATTAATGCTATTACTTTCTCTTCCAGCTTAATCTCCTTCAGTTTAAAACAAGCTTTCTCAAACATTTAGTCAACTTAACGTCACATCCCTCATCCAGCTGTTTCTCTATTTTTCCTCCTCCTGCCTGAGACAGTATTTCCAATGAAGAGAAAGTTTATTGTCCTGCAGGGTTGTTGAAGGGTGCCAGGATTTTTGTAGAACAGCTGATAGCTGGTTGGTATTCACCAAGTGTGGTCGGACTGGTCGAGCTGGTCCTATCTGTGGGCTTCTTGCTGGTGTCTGCCACTGTAGAGCATGGGTGGTGTAACCCATGCTATGTTCACTTAGTTTAGGCAGTACTCTGGGGAACATAGCTATTTCACCTTGTTGATGGGCCCCATTGGCTTCATCTCATATCAGAGACACTCTGGTTTCTGGCAGAGATTCCTACTTTGTCCCCAGCCCAATAACATATTCTACAGTTCTTAGCTGTGGAATTATCCTAAGTAATACTAATGCCTGAATCTTCCTGGAAATTTCCCTAGCTGTTTATTCAGTTGCCCTCTTAATCTCCACTTGGGAGACTGGGGGAACATGTAGGAACTACGGAGCTCTTCCTTGCCAAACAGTGGTAGAAGCTGTGTTGAGATTACCCCCCAACTCAGATCTGACCACTAGCTATGCTGTCTATTGCCATCCCACATTGGCAAGGTCACCGGGAGTGGGCATCTCCACCTGAAGTTCAAAACAGGAAGTGGGTAAAAACCCTTCAGCTTATCCTTCTTTACTCCCTGGAAGTTTTGTGCATATGGGAAAGTTTGCAACCAAATGTGTGAATACTTGCTTCCTCTATTTCTGACTCTCTTTTCTCTTCCACAAGCACTGTGGCCAGGGGGAACAGGCTTCCCCCTTCCATATGACAGGACATATCTTAGGTACCATCTCATAGTTTTTCCATGGTTGATTTTAGTAAACTTGACAGTCAAGGCCACCACATCTGGGTGGAAAGCCCTTTCCCTCTTGTCAAAATCTGCGTAAAACAACTACAGCCATGTTAGGGGAAAAGACAATATAAACAAAACATAAAATTTGATAATCAAAGCTGAGAAATTACTGCCTCCTCTGTAAAACATGCTCCCTTTCAGAGGGATGAAGCAATACAATCTTTGGAAGAAATTGGGGAAGTTTATATCAAGGTTGAAAAATGATGCTCTATTGAATATTATTAATATGGAGAAGTAGAGAAGAAATTTTAAAGAGAACAAATAAGAAAAAGGAAAGGTGTTGAGGGTCTGCAGGCAGAGAGTATGAGAAAAGACCATATATTTTGTATATATTTTACTTGTCTAAATCCATCTTTAAGCTTAGTAAAATGAGCCCTAATTAAATTAATGATCATTTATTATATTGACAATATATGACAAATATATATTCATATAAAACATAAGCAAGGCTAAATATTTTAGGGTAAAAGTGAGTGAGTCATGGCTTAGAAAAAAAATTTTTAGTGATTAAATATTAAAAACAACAGGACCCTTATTGATTGATACTACCTTGTTGATTAATTGTGGCTTCATAATTTCAGTTTAGGAGGAATTTAGGGAAAACAACCTAAGGAATAGGGGAATAGTAGGATAAAAATAACAAAATTCTGTTTTATTGTACTGCCAATAAAACTGAGAAAAAAATCAATTTCACATATAAAAATGGTGGTAATAGAGTTGGGGTAGTAGCTGAAAACCTTTAGAGCCCTGCCTAAGTGTCATTAATTTTTCTGATGGTCAGTGAGGTCAGTTTTTTTGAGAAAGGTGAACTGACTTGAGATTAATTTATGTGGATTAGAGTGCAGTTTGAATAACATTTCTGGTTTCCAGTGACACAAAGATAACTGATATTTCAGATTTTTTTTTTACAAAAGATTACAGGAAGTATATGACATATCTGTAAGGAGAAATTCTTTGATAAAGAAAAGAATAAGAAAATAAAGAAAAAATAGTGTATCCCAATTATGAAAAGTACAAAACTGGGACTTTCATATTATATCTAATTATCTAATTATATATGTATATACACACAAAAATATATATATTTATATACACAATATAATTATACAAATCTATAATTATATATAGTTATATTTATATATCATGTATACAAATATATAGATTTGTATGAGATCTATATACTTCTATAATTATATATTTATGTAAAAATTTTATAATATAAATATATTTTATATTAATATATAGAGATGTGTATAACTATATTATATATTTATATATGTATATATATATTATCTCTCTCTCTCTCTCTATATATATATATATATATACACTCATATATATTCTATTTAACCTAATATTTTTAACAGGTGATTTAAAATCTATACTTCTGTGGATTTAAAAAATCTTTACAAATCCATCAGTTTTCACTTTATATACTTTGAAGGTATGGTTATGTGGCTTTTTAAAAATCATAGTTTAGTATCTTCACTTGTCTCTTTTTATAATTTTTTCCTTAAATTCTATTTTAGCTGATTTTAATGTTATTTGGTTTACTATTTTTCAGCTGTAGTTTGACCAATCATCTTGTTGAAAGCCTGTTTTTTTAACTTAAAATATATCTCTTATAGATAACACATATGTTTTATTTTAAATCCAAATCACATATTATCTTTCTTTAAAAGCTAGTCTGTTTATATTTATTGTTATAACTGGCATATTTGAACTTATTTCTACCATCTTATTTAAGTTTTCGGTTTACTCTTTTTTTCTCCTGCTTTTTTTTAACCTCTTATTGAACTGTGAAATTTTTTTTAAACAACTTCTCTTTAGTGGTAGTCCTTAAAATTTTTATAAACATCTTTGTACAGAAATTAAACATCCACAGAAATTAAAATTATTCTGTAATACTATTTTCACCTTTACAAAGGTATACAAATACATAAACATAATGTTCCTTTACAAAGATACACAAATGCATAAACATAATGGTAGGAAACTCCCTTCATTACTTCCAAAATACTATGCAACACCATGAAAAAAAGTCTGTTATTCAAAGGTAGCCAGAAAGCAAGGTTGAAAATTCAAGTACCCCTCACATGAAACTATGGAATATAATCTTCTCACAAAGTATCATTCTTCTTGTTTAGTCCTTCACTGTCTATTTACAGCATATCATATACTGTATTTTATCACCTGTTGGTGAAATAGTAAAATAAAATTTAAAAAAAGAGAGCTTGCAAAAACAGTTAGTGTTACCACTGTGCAGTCATCCAGTGTTACCCCAGCTTCGGTTCTCAAAGAATTTGCTTAGGTCAATTCTATGGCTTGAATGTATCCCCAAAAGTTCATGTGTTGGAAACTTAATTTCCAGTGCAACAGTGCTGAGAGGTGGGATCTTTAAGAGGTAATTAGGTCCCAAAGGCTCTGCTCTCATAAATGGATTAATGCCATTTAGTGCCATTATTGTAGAAATGAGTTAGTTATCTTGGGAGTGCGTTTCTAATAAAAGGATCTCTCTCTCTCTCTCTCTTTCTATCTCTCTTCTCTTGCATTCATGCTGTCTTACCCTTTCACCTTCTGCCATGGGATGACACAGTAAGAGGGCTCTCTCTAGAACTGTAAGAAATAAATCTCTGTGCTTTATAAAGTAACTAGTCTCAGGTATTCTGTTATGGCAGCACAAAATGAACTAAGGCAGTAAGATGTAGACACTTAAATAGTATAATTAGTACCATAAATTATATACTCCATTGTCCTCCTGCCAGTGTAATTATTGTTGAAATAATTAGAAGTTTTCTAAGTGGATGTTCACGGTCAGGGCAAGGAACTAGTTAGATTCATGATTAGCTTTTAAATTTCAATGACCTCATTTATTTGAACAAATGTTTTTTATCTGTTATAAAAAGAACTTATAAAAGGTATACAAAAAGCAATGAAGAGGATGAAGTTACATCCATAATTATATGCATGCATAAACCACTGAAATTATTGATGCAGCCAGCATAAGACATAATTTTAAAAGTTCTAGTAGTACCATATGGTGAACAATTTGCAGAAATTGTAGAATATCATAAGCATATGGGTATATTCCATATGATCTGAAGAAACTTTAGGGGCAAAGAGTATCATATCAAAGAATATGCTCTTTTAAGTGGCAAAATAGGTAAATATTAAATATTATTGGCTTGAATACTGTGGTGGTGGTGGTGATTTACATGTGTATGAATGTGTATAAGAGAAAGAGAACACAAAAAAATGAGATGATTTAATTAAAATCAAGCATATTCATTATAAATATTTAATTTGGCTCTCAGAAGATGATCCTGTCAAAGCTGACTGGCTGAGACCATGGTTTTGATTTAAATATTCTTAACATTTTCCAGCAAAAGAAGCCAGCAATGCAAAAAACTAAATGACAGCCCTTAATAAAATATATTTTAAATTTTGATTTCAATATTTCTTTAAAATATTAACTATTCAATGTTTGTTTCATTTTAGCTCACTAACGTATATTTGATTTATTTAAACTATTATTTGTATCATTCATATTTGTAATAGTTATTTCATTAATTATTAGTAAATTATTCAGAATGGTTTTTTTACCAAGTTCTTTTAGATTAGTAGTTTTCTGTCAAACTCCTCAAAATTTTTTCTGTTAGACACTGAATGTTAGTTATTACATGATCACATTGATAATTTTAGTCTTTAGTGCAATGAAAATTTCTAAACACATAATGTGTCAAAGATAGACAAGTTTTTTCTTTTCCAAATGTAGTAGTCTTTCACAAAATTGAAGGCCCTTGTGCTAGAGAATAAAAATATGAGGAGTCTCACGATTTCTAACCAATACATTTGCTACAAGTTTGATCATTATATTTAAGGCAATTCACATCAAAATCTTTTGCAACCATTCTTCCAATTTTTGAGATTTGATTTCTGTTTCTATTCTTAGGTTTCCATCTGCCTGTGCTTTAAATATTTTTTCATAACCTGTCTGATATAGTTGTATTTTTGAAAAAGTTCTCATCAACTCAAAGGATATTAGACCTGGAAGGACTTTTGGAAATATTGTAGCCCAGTAGAATATTTTTCCATCCAACACATCTGAGGGCTATAACACGCTTCTGTTAGAAACTGTGGCTCACTGTACTGTACTGTTCAATGGTGAGGCCATGCGCTGCTGGGGAAAGGAGCGGGGGGGGGGGACATTTAACAGAATTTGCTTGGGCAATGGGTGTTTATAGTTTTAAAAAGCCACCCAAGAGATTTGGATGTGCCTCTTCCTGTTGAGAATCCTCATTCTGCAGGTAAAGTCACGTGGGAACAAAATAATTGTAGCTGTCTTTAGTGGAACTGGAAATAGAACCAAAGGCCTCTGACTCGCCAGTCAAATGCCTTTTCTCAACACCATATTCAAGTTCCATAACAGTTAGACTTCTTTGATTTTCCAAGGAATATAAACAGACTTTGGTAAACGTAATTTAAAAAGACATTTTTTAACTACATAGCATACTTCATGGAATTGAGGAGAAAAGTGGAAGAGCCAGGTTTCAGAGCAGCTCTGGGCACTCACCTTCAGGAATGAAGAGACATTCATTCACTGGCAGTCTGAATCAGAGCAACAGTCTATATGTCATTCTGCTTAAAAATCAGATTCAGTCAAGCGGGGTCATGAGCCCATCCTTTGGCCGGAGTGGAATGGAGTACCCTGATCAGAAGTCCCATCAAGACTGAGGAAGAATTAGTTTCCCAAAGAATGATTAGGGTGTTGTTACCCAAGGAAGGAAGAACTGGTAGCGGGTGGCCCCAGCAACACATGTCTGCTAAAGCCCCCTTCCTGAGAGAAGTCTCATTCCAATAGAGTCTTCAAAGCTTCCTCTGTGACAAACAGTCCTGGCATCATTTCTGGATGGCTGGGCAGTGGTCACAGCAGAGATTCTCTTTTCCAGCACCTGTCACTCTCCCACTTGAGGCATCCTTTCCCCTCACCTGCACCCAGCAGTTGGGATGAAGCACACAATGGAGGAGATATTCCTGGAAAGAAGCTTTGCAGAAAAGAAAAAGTAAGAGTGAACAAGAACTGAGCAGGACACACTTAGCACTGAGCGGAAGAATTTGTGGGAATTTGCATCCATTTGTCTCCGATCTCTCAGAGCATTTCCTGAGGAGCAGGTATAGACAAGTGGTTGCTTGTGTGCAGTAGATTAGTGGTGATGCAAAGGCCTCTGAGAAGCATATCACATACAGATGGAGAACAGAAATGTGCAATGGCTGGCCCAGGTGACTACAGACTTTTCCCCTGGCTCTGCTCTTCTTCTCATGAATCTGAATGAAGTCACCAGAGACTGGAATTGGTGGTGAAGGATCAAGTGGGAGCAGTGAATTATCAGGGGTGTGAGGGAGGGAGTGGGCGGTGTGGTGAGATTGTAGTTTCCATCTTGGTGATGGGGTCCAGGTGGAAGGGAGCACCTGAAGGAGCTGAAGGAGTGTGGCTCAGCTGCTGGAAGCTGTTATATCAAAGAGCTGCTCTCGAGGTGTGTGGAAATATAGCCATACACAGCCTAGAAGGTTGTGACCATGGGGAGGACTTTCTGCATTCACGATTCAGCTGTGGAGTCTGGGGGCAGCCGCCTCAACTGTGTGGCTGAGGTTAGGTGGATTGAAAGTTGGTAGCATACTAGAAAAGTCTATATTCAGAAAAAAGTCACCCCCTCAATTTTAAGAAAATACCAGAAAAAGATGAATGTAAAATGGAGTGATGAAATTGGTAAGTTATTGCCTTGAGTTATACCTAGAGTCAAATTATATTGGAGCTTCAGCTAGAAATTTCATCTTAAAGTTCTTTTCTGGGAGGGTTATTTTTCCTGCCTGCATATATTAATGCACTATGCCATGAAAACACACTTACTGAATAGAATTTTAGCCCCTGAGCCTGACGAACTCAATCCATTAATTTTTAAAAGCTATAAAATGGAAGAAAAGTGACAAACCAACTGCCTGAGATGCTAATGGGTCAAGGCATCTATGAGACGGGCAGTTTTGAGAGCTGTATTCTGCGGCACAAAATGCAAAAGTGTTTTTCCTACGTGAAGAACAGCAATACAGTTTTACAGACTTCTGTAGGATTTGGTACTACTGAAAACCCAAAGAGTCACACAGGCTAGGAAAGCTAAGTAGGAGCCAGCTAAGGAGAAAACCAAATTGAAATAAGCGAAGAGCAACTAAAACCTCTGAGGAATCTTATCTAATCGCTGAGCTGCACACCCAGCATAACGAGCTTCCTAAGCTTCCCTGGAACGCCAACAAGGTCTCAATATCACCTTGGCCAAGGCTGGGTCTGCTTAGCTATGAGGGAGATTTCAGCCATTAGGGGAAGAGATTCAATTCCTCAACAGAGGAAAATTTTCTCTCCCCTAAACATCCTGTAGAAACCCTTCTTACAGTTTTTAAAATTATTTTAACTTTCTTTTCACAAGATATATTTACTCTGGGAATATAATGACAGTAAAAAAAAAAAATTAAGAAATCAGTGTACATTTCCTACGACCCCCTAAACATAAATCACCCTCAAAATGTTGTCAGTTTGTCTATTGTGTAACAAATCATCAATATTTTAATAACATAAAAATAAAAGTATATTGTGTAATGCTCTAAACTTATAAGTAAAAGCAGTCAAAACAGTTTTCTCTCAGGAAATATGGGACAACTTATTCTGGAATATAAATACCCTTATCTAGGCTAAAAGCTGCCATGTGCAAACTGTTCCTATAGAGGCAACACTCAACTCTCTGTGCTCCATCTCCCTACGTTATCCTTATTCCTCAGGCTTTCTGCCATTCCTCTGTTTATCTGCTTGGTTTTTAATTCTTGCAAGTCATTGACACCCTTGTTGCTCAATATATCCTACTTCTGGGTAATAGGAAGAATTCATGAAAACTGGAGCTATGTATATCCATATAAAATCCTATACAAACCAAAAGCCATAATTATAGTGGTCAAATTTTCATAAGAAAAGCATTGAGAAAATTCCAAGTTGTGAGATTGGGCATCAACTAACATAGTTCTGTGTTTAAGATAATCACAAACGTTAGAAAATTGTTGTGTTAATGACAATCTGCATTAAAAAAAAAAAAGCCTGCCTGTTTTGAAAAAGATGCATAGCCTTCACTGGGAATATTGTATCCTAAACTCATGCTTCTATTTAGAAAGAAAGTAACAACTCATTTAGGAGCTCTAAGCTGGGAGTTTTATATTTCTCTTTTTGCTGACAAGTGTACCCATGACCTCCATCCCTAAGTGGGCAGGATCAAGACAGTGGTTTCATGATCTGCAGCTGGGAGTCGGTGGTGATGCCATTCAGCTGCAGGGCCCAGAGCACAGTACAACCAAAGCCAGTCTTCTGGCGTAAGTCAGGCTCAAGAAGCATATGACTGTGTCCAGTCTAAAGAAGAGGATGGAGAGCAAGAATGGAAACCAAATCAATGGCTTTGCAATTGGGGTCAGAGAAGCATAAGCAAATGGGCTTAGGAGCCTGGGGAGTTACCTGAGCAACAGAACTCGGGGGATGCAGTTCTCTCTGGAGTGTCAGCAACAAAGCTGGTGGGAGGCAGAGGAGCTATTACAGTTTCTGAAGAGTGAGGAACAAAGTAATCATCACAGGCACATTTTTAGAATAAGATAAGATAATGTACATTACAGTACTTTGTAAAGTGTAACACAAATGGGAGGTGTCATTATTGTTATTAACATTATTATCATCATCACATAGCCCTGAACACCTCATAAGTCTATATGATGGAAAAGAATGAAAAGAAATGATAAGAACCTGATTCTTCACTCAACAATTTAGAAGCAAAATGTCAGGCACAGAAATAACTGGAAGTAAAACGACTTAACTAATATGTGCAAAATCTAAATTCAAAGGCTATCCTATGTGCACGTTCAGGGAAAAATTATGTTAGTAGTGGAAGGCTAGAGTATCTGTGGACCTATCAGGTTGAAAATTATCAGAGTAAAACAGGTAATCCTTTTCTGAGAAATGTGGAACGACTTCACAGATCAGGAGAGATTTCAGAATGTCTTTAAATTTTATGAAAGCCAACAGTATGGCTCAGGTGAAAACCGTACATTGTCAGGCCACACATTTTAACATATTGAATGTTCTCCATTTCTTTTGATGTGTTCTGTTCTAGCCAATGAAAGCACAATTCTCTGAAGGCAAACCCTAACTTTCCCTGAACTTGCATGCTTCCCAGAATAGTGCTCAATACTCTGTAGCTATTCAGTGAGTACTTGGTGATTATGACTAAAGTGACAGCGTGGTCAGAGCATGATCCAGTTTTGACAAAGGAAGCAATCTAGGTGGAGTGCACAGGTAGAGTGAACAAGAAACAGGAGACAAAGTAGGATACGGGGGGAAAAGTGAGCCAAAGAGGTCTTTGAAGAAAAATGGTTTAAAAATAACCTTTTTTAGAAAGTAGAAGCCACAATAGAACTTTCTAGAATAAGACACTAAATAATAAACTGAAATGAGCTATGACAGCAGCTAGTGGGTAGACAGAGGGAAGGATAGCATATTATCAAAGGCAGGAAGTCCAGTGAGGAGAAATTACAGAATGGATTCAGGGTTGAGGAGGAAAGTGCTGTCCAGGAGAATTTGCTATCCACATTGGACTTGCAGGTCAGAGGGTAGACAAGAGACAGAGAGTAAATGGTGATGTTAGAGTAATAGGATGTTAACACAGGACTCTCTGCCTTAGTTTTGCCTGAAGACTCAAAGGAGGAGGACAAAAGAGAGGTGATAAGCATTCCTCTTAATATTTCAAAGTATAATAGATCCTCTATGAGAAATTAAAAGGAAAATAAAGACGGGGAAAAATCTAGAGATATTTAGGATGTTGAATTTGCAAAGAGCCTAGATTAGTTTTGAAGATAATTTCTTTAGTGAAGCGAATCAACTGCTATGATAATCTTTGCCACCCCATCCCCAACACAGGGCAGGGGAGATGTGTGCCTGTGCATATTCCCCACTTCAAGCAGAGACCAACCGGCATCAAGAAAGCCACTTGGGAAGGCTAATTTAGAAATTCAGAGTTCATGAAGTAGAGAGACTGGTATCAAATCCACACTAACAAAGCCAAAAGGCAAAAGATGGTGGCTGGCCAGCTATCCAGGACAGCAAAAAAGAAAGGGCTGCACTGGGAATGGCTGTACTTGTGCTGAAGGCAGAACTGAGTGTGGAAGGAGTTGATCTGGAGTACTTCCATCCTGCCCAAGAGGAAGATCACCTCAGGTGCAGGGTACTGGAATCCAGCAGCGTCAAGCTTAGCTAGCACCCACACCATATTGTGGCAGTACCAGTCAAGTAAACTTCCCTGCCTTTACCATCCCTCTCTCCCACTCAATCCATCTCTAAAAAGAAGGGAAAGACAATCTAGAGAAGGAGAGGGGGAAGAGGCCAAGTACAAGGAGGGGAAAATTGGAAGAGACTGCCTAAGCAACCTACCACTCCTCTCCCTTTATCCACTGTAGGCTTCCAAGCCACGGAGGAAAAAAGTGTGTAAATGCTTCCGTCTACTTGCGAGGAGTTTTTACGTGAAAATAAGCTATTTGTCAGGACCCCAAAGCCTTGTAACTATGGCCAAGAGATAGAAGTTACAGGGTTAATATTTTCACTCAATATAAGAAAAGACATTCTCAAAGGAATATCAAAATATACATCAAAACTCACTGAATTTTATCTCATGAAGAGTTTCTTAGCATCACAGTAAGAACATAACATTTCCAGAATGATTGCACGGTCACCCTGAGTGCTGAAGGGGCTCTTGGTGGAGATATGGTAGAGATGATTCAACCACGGGCTGGAAAATGGACCACATCTTTGAAGTCTTTCTAATTTGTCTACTATTAAGATTCTATTAGCACAATTCATAAAACTCTATTCCTGCCTTCTTTCAAGTGCTGGATTTCACTTTACAGGGTATGGTGATAATTTCAAACTACACAACAAAACTTCAAGTCTTCATCATATAAAGTTGTCATAAACCTTTAATGGCCCTTGTGAATGCTTTTGAAAATAATCTGGCTTGCTCTTTGCTCTTAATTGGGAATCATGCTCTGAAATATAACCAGGCAACTACATTTTTACGAAGTTTCTCCACGACTTTCAAGACCTCCCTGTAGACATTCTCTGTATTTAACAACATCATTTTACTTAAACTGATTCAATGTAGTCACCTTCAAAATGAAAATTGTTTTTCCCTGATTCTGTGCATTATGCTGATACTATTCTTTTTTCACAGTCACTATTGATTTCATCCCCCTTAGTAAAAGAGAAAATTGATGTCATAAAGAGCAAATCCTGCCTTTTGTCACCATATCTAAATTACCATAGACTCCTTCACATCTTCTGAGCTGGTAGTAAGGGGTGGACTGGAGGTAGGGCTCAAAAAATTACACCAGGGAAACCAACCAGCAGAGAACCCCAGATGCCTTCCCCTCATTCTGTTGCCTTAGCCACTGTCATGGACAAAGCCTACCATCTCAGGGCCTCTTGCAAAATCACATTTTCTGGTTCCATACAACTATGACAAGCACAACAGGATGTTCATTTATTTAGCACAATTCTGACAGAAGTTATACTTTTCTCTCTACTGCTAGGCAATAGAATAGATGAGAAATGAACAGCATCCAAAGCCTCAATCCACTTGTTCAATCCCTCAGTAAATATATTCTAAATTTTGAAAAATGTGAATCTGAAAAGATCCCCATACTTTAGCAGATTATAATCTAAGCATGAGTATATAATTGATTTTTGGCCAGAACAATGTTGAGAGCTAAAGGAATTCAGTAAAAGGGAAAATTAATTCTACAAAATCAGTTGATATGACCAGATATGTAATTTATTTTCTCTCTTATTTGTCCCCCATGGAGTACTTACACTTAATTCAGTAAGCTTTTGTAAGGTGCCTATTGACATTTCAGACCCATCTATTAAAGATTAAAGATACTTGTGATATTTAAAGATATTTGTGAGGAATGTGTGTATATTATGTGTACTTTGATATTCAACTATGTAGTTATTTAAAATTATGTTTATTCTATGTGTAATCTAAATGTGTATGTATGCCAGCATTGTCAAGATGAAGATGAATTTTTTTTTTTTTTTTTTTGAGACAGAGTCTCAGTGTCGCCCAGGCTAGAGTGCAATGGCGCAATCTTGGCTCACTGCAACCCCTGCCTCCCAGGTTCAAGAGATTCTCCTGCCTCAGCCTCCTGAGTAGCTGGGATTACAGGTGTCTGCCACCGCACCCGGCCAATTTTTTGTACTTTTAGTAGAGACGGTTTCACTATGTTTGCCAGGCTGGCCTCGAACTCCTGACCTGGTGATCCGTCTCCCTCGGCCTCCCAAATTGCTGGGATTACAGGCTTGAGCCACCACACCCAGTCAGATGAAATTCTTTATCAAGTCAAGTCTGTACCTGCAAAGGTGTTTTTGGAAGACACACCTTCCCCTTGCTCTATACCTACTATTGTAAAAAGGGCCGAGAGGCTGATTTCACATAGACATGAATTCAAACCTCAACTTTACTCCATACTAACTGAATAGTTTTAGGCGATGTTCTTACGCTCTTTGAGTATTAGTATAAAGTAACATATATAAAATGCTTGGCATGTGTGGGTTGATGATTTTTGTAGCTGGTTAATGGTCCATGGGTATCATTGTACTTTTGTTTATGTTTGAAAATTTTCTAATGTTCTAATAAAATAATTTTAAAATGCTTGGAATGTGCAGAATTTTACATTCTAATTTTTTTTTTTACCATTCTCAAACCTCATTTTTTCCCTTCTGAACTTAATTGATTTCATGAGCTGTCACACTGACCACCTGTGCCAATATTGTAAAATTGATCACATTTTGTCTGAGTGCATTTGAACTGTTTCAAGTGATTATGGCTCAGCTCAATGTATAATTAGATATGTAGCAAATATATCTTGATGATGATTGTTTCCATTCTTAAATCAATCAAGTCATTATGCCAGGAGCAGTATCAAGGAAAATGTCATATTTGCACCTTTTATGTATCAGTTCAAAAATAAACTTATTAGGGAATGTATATTGTCATCATAGAAAGAGCTGGTATCTTTTATAATCATGAGACTTGATTACTGATCATAAGTGACTCTGGTCAAGTAGTCCTTTTGACCTCTGTTTCAAAATTGACAATGCATAGATAGTATCTGCTTCTATTATTCTGTGGCAGGCATTCTCACAGAGGAAATATAAATAATCATCAGACTCCCCCTAGTTCATATAGTAGATGAAAGATTCACATATCCTCCCTCATTAGCTTCTTTTATCTCATATCTCTTGTTTTCTGGGTTCCCATGTTGCCTGATGAAACTGTGATGTTATTAGAGAAAACTGGTCAGGTCATCTGCTAAAGCTGTGTGAAATATACTATTCATAACAATAACAAGAATTATTTTTAATGGGCCCACAGCTTTCTAAGAATTGTAAATGTGGCTGGGGAGAGTCCTAAGTAATAGCAGGGGCTGCAAATGAAGATACTGTTTTAACATGTCTTTATAAACTTGGCTGTCCCACCTCAGACTCAACTTGTCTCAGCAAGCATATTGTCTTACCACCTGCTTTCATCCCCCAAAGCTAGCTTCTCTGTTTCTCACCATTAGCACCCTCATTCTCCAGGTTACTTGAGTTTGAAGACACAAAGTCAATATTGGCTCTACTCGGGCATTGTCCATAACTAGCCCTTGTTAATTCTTCATTCAAAATGTCTCCAACATACATACCTATTTCTTTATCATTGACAACTTCCAGCAGTAACTTTACTTAGGTCTTTATCCCTTCAAATTTAAATAACTCCAAAGATGTCCTTATTTTAATTGTCTTACAGTATTAATTTCATCATGTCAGTCACAGGCTTTTCTATTGCCTCGAAGGATTAAACTCTAATTCCCAATAGGGCTCCAATTTGCCCTCAAACCTCTCATTAGTCTTCTTTAGGATTATTCTTCTCAGTAATTCTCAGACACACTCTACTTGGTCATTCTTTCTTTGTTACATTTTCCAGGAAAACTCATGTTCCCCCATGTCTTCTTCTATCCCCACATTTGCAAATCTTACCATTCTTCAAATCTAGTGCCACTTCAGCCTCTAGGTCTTTTCTACAATTTCGAGCAACATTGATTTAGCTCTTGCAACACCGTCTCTCATTAATCCTCATTTGGATACCCGATTGTGTTATTGTTTTATTTCCTAGGTGTATGTGGTAGCCAGCATCCAAGAAGGCTCCCGACATCTATACCCTTCTCCCATATTGAATCAAGGCTGACCTTTGGGGCCAATAGAGTGTGGCAGAAATGATGATGTGTTTCAAACCAGGTCATTCATAAAAGGCATAGTAACTGTCACCTTGGTCTCTCACTTGGAAGACATGCTCACCTTGGTCACTCACTTGGAAGACATGTCATCAGGACATTCAGGCAGCCCTATGGAGAGGTCAATATGGATAGGAACCAATTAGCCAGCATTAATTTGCCAGCCACATGAGTAAACCTCAGTGAAGTGGATTCTCTAGTGCTGTTCAAGCCAAGAGGAGTAACCACATGAGATCCCCTGTAAATAATCATCAGAGTCCCCCTAGCTCATATAGTAGATGAAAGCCCAGCCAATCCACTTCCCCACTCCTGATTCACAGAAACTGGGAAAGATAATAATAAGTGAGTATTACTGTTTTAAGCCACTAAGCTTTAGGGTGATGCTTTAAATAATTAATAGAAAAAATAGTGGTGTATAATTTGCTCCCCATCTACATTGCAAGCTCCTCAAGCATAGAACACTTCTTTGAAATTTTAAAATCCAGGCAATAATTTATATATTATTAAACATCATAGCATAATTAGATACTGAGTGTGGAATTAGAAAAAGGAAGCAATATTTATTGACTTCTACTAAGATGCTTTATATATACATGAACCTCATATACATAAAAATGGCTACCTATATGGAGAAATAGATAGTCTCTAAAGAATAAAATATTGTACCCAAACTGCAAAGTAATGAAGTCAATTTTTTTCTTTTTTTGTGATCACTTCCCAGACTTGTTTTTTTAAGTGAGATGATGTGTGTGAAAGGACTTAATAAACCATAAGTTGCTCTACAGACATGTGACATTACAGCTTGCATCAATTTATTTTCCTATCAAGTTCTTTAAAGGATAATTAATACTTCTGCTCTGATCTTTCTTTTGCTTAGAAATTTTAAGACTAGAATTAGATATGGCACTGTGATATAAACACTTCTAATTTCCTGAAAATCCATTAAAGGGCAAAATAAATAATTTTTTTGGTATTAGTACTTGCTGTGGTCTGAAAGCTTGTGTTCCCCAAGATTATTTTGTTGAAACCTAGACCCCAAAGAAATGGTATTAAAAGGGAAGACCTTTGGGAGATGATTGGGTCATGAGGGTGGAGCTCTCAAGAATGTCATTAGTGCTCCTGTAAAAGAGGACTCAACTAAAAAGTGCCATCTAGGAAGCAGAGAGCCCTCACCAGATGCTGAATATGCTGGTGCCTTGATCTTGGACTTCCCAGCCTCCAGAATTGTGAGAAATAAATTGCTGCTGTTTATAAATTACCCAAGGCATTTTCATATAGTAGCCTGAACTGACTAAGACAGTACCACATTGTCCCATTTGCTGTTGTGTGCCCAGCAGGTATCTGTTTAAAACTGTATAAATCAAGTTCTCAGACTTAACTGGGATGAGGTAGGATGAGAAGGCCCACTTAAGTGGGTCATTGAGGAGAATTTAACATGGCTAAGCAAAGTAAGTGCAGAAAGAGGAGAGAACCATTTATGAAACCCAGAGAGAGTAACGTAATTGTAGTGGAAGCCCTGACAATGTGGTTTTTGGTGGAAAACACAACCAACTGGTCTCAACCTAGCGTAGAGGGGCCAGAGAAAATCAATTCATGAACTTCATCCTTCTTGTACATCTTTCTCTCCCACACATGGCCCATAATGGCTGAATGCAAATCAAAGCCAAAGAGAAAGGGTGCTGGGTAGTACAGCTGTTACTGGTCATCCTCCTGGGACACAGAGCAGGATGAAGAAGAGCAGATAATTAACTGAGGGTGGACAATAGAAAATGCCTCACTCAAAATGCAGTGTTATTTGTATAATAGCAAATAACCCCAATGGTGTGCAGTAGGCACAGAAATAAGAGATATATTCCAAAGGACAGCAAGACACTGAGGCTCATAACAGGCAGAGTTTCAAATTTAAGGCAAAAAGGAGAAATAAGGAATTATGTCCTCAAATGGCATGAAGATGAGGAAGTAAGTTTCATGTTTTTAATTATGAAAAATTGCTTTAAGTTCCAAAGGGAATATTAAATGCATAACTATCTTATGTCAATGACCTTTAAACTGGTTATATAAAACTTAGCTATTTAGCTATATAAACATGTGACCTTACCCAGAGGATATTGAAAAATCATCTTAGAAACAAGCTTCAGTCAAACTGACAGTATCATTTGTGTATCTATTTATAACTTCCTGACTTGACGACAATTTTTTAAGAATAATTTTAGTAGCCTTTCCCTATGTCTGATATGAATAAAAGGTTCATATTCTAGTAACCAACAAAACTGTAAAACATCTTTTCTATTTGAACCATAAAATTTATTTAAAGCTATAAAGGGAAATAACTTTTAGACTCATAACTTTGAAAAAGCTGCTAAATGGCATTTTAGTTTAGTTCATGAAGTACATCTAGAATTTTAAATTGTGAAAACTCCTCACAATTATAGGAAAGCTGGTAATTTTCTTACATTTTGCATAGGTGTGCAGAACTTGCACTAAATATACATTTATGCTGTAGCCTTTTTTTGATTTGCTCTCATTATGTCAATGAGACAAGATAACCCTTTGAAATATTATTAAATTGTATGGCTAATTTTAGAGGCTCTTCTAGAATTAAGTAGGCCCTGACAGGAGTCTCTTAGTTGTAGGTCCAGAGCTCATATTATGACAAATACAGGTACTATGCCAAATTTAGTGTAAATGCCTAAGATTGCTCAAATTACAGCCAGTGTTTTAAATACTTAGTGTATGTCTTTTGTCCCAACATATATCATGGCCATATATATGGACATGGTTTCATCAGAAAGAGATCTCAAATGTTCCTTATCATCTGTACCAATCACAGTGGCTTTTCTTTTTCAAATTTGGAAAACTTTACTGCCAAAGACAGGGATTAGTGAAATAAGACCCTGGGTTAGCTGGGGATCGCACGGTCAGCATCTGTGCACTTTGCATTACCACGAGGCACGATCCTGCATTTCCCACCACTTCCCTAACTCCTTCCCCACAGAACTTACAGCCTAATCTCCACTATTTCCTTTGGCAAATGTTTGCTTCTTCTAGATAAGTGGTTCTCAAATTTGAGCAGCAGCAGAATAGCCTGAAGGGCTTATTAAAACATGTCTACTCCCAGAGTTTCTAATTCACTAAGTCTGAAATGTGACCTAAGGATTTGCATTTCTAATGACTTCCCAGGTGATGTTGATGTTGTTGGTGGGGTCAATACTTTGAGAACCATTGCTTTCGCCTATCTCTGGGAAGTTTTCTAGCCTGAAGGTAACACCAGTCAAAAATAATTGCTATATTCATACTTTTAAGACATTTGGTTTTCCTGAAAATCCAGTCTCTGACCAAGTGTCTTTGTTTACACTGTGTTCACACCACCTGCCTGGGCTATTGCAGTTTATCTGACAACTTGGTAGCTACCATTAGAGGAAGAAATTGTAGTCAGATGAAAAGCAACTATAATGTATGTATATACATCCACCAGAGTGCCTTATCAGACATCATTCTTACTACCACTTTCACACGTAATTGTTACCGCCTTAAGAGTGGAAATTAAATTACAATGGATGATGCAGTTTCAATAACAGTGCCATTATTCTGAAGCACTGCCATCTGAACTATAGATCTAGCATTATGTTAATTTTTTGTATGTAAAAAGAAAAATGTTATTTGAAGCTTCTTGTATATTGTTAGATACTTTAGGAACTTACATGATCACTTTGCCATGGCCACCTTCCTGTTGTGGAAGATGAAAATGAGTGATTTTAGTTCATTTCAAAACTAATCAGATTAAAAAGAAATACTTTGGTTATACAAAAAGCAGCAGACTTTGGTGGCAGCAGCCTTTAACTATTGAGTATTGAATATTATTTCAGAGCCTGCGGTAATAACCTAAACAAATTATTTGTATATTTGCATGGTGTAAAAAAGATAAAGACAGAGTTTAAATAATATACTGTGTGTGTGTGTGTCTGTCTGTTGTGTGTGTGTGTGTGTGTGTGTGTGTGTGTGTAGGTATCTCCATGATTAAATAGTTCTTCTAAGAGATTTTCATAAGCAATTAATGTTCAGGAATGGTCAAGTTCAAACAATTTTGATGGAATAATAAGATTGAGAGAAAGTTGTAAAGTGGGTATAAACACTTGCACAGCTTATAATAAAATAAGATATTTACCAACAATGGTGATGTCCTGGAAAACAGCTATTCAACAGTTTCCAGAATGACTATTTCTTACCTGAAGTTTCTTTACTCTAGTTGTTCTCCAATGTGGTTATAGCCCAAGTTTATAAGTTGACATCAAATTCAACAACTTATTTCAGAGGCAACCTAAATAAAGTAATAATCCTGATTCTTGCTTTTTGGAATTAAAAAATGATTTTGCATATTTCTGCTGCTTTATTTTTTAAAATTTAGAAAAGGAGAGTTTAAAACTTATTTAGAAAGAACAGTCTACATGGTACAGTGCTTTATCAGGGAACATTACCTCTGCCATTTCTGCTTCTGGCATGAATTTCATCCTTTTTAAATTTTATATTTAACTCTAGGGTGTCATTCATGTACTTATAGTCCCCAAGAGAAAGTCTTGCCTTAGGATGAAAGGACTGTCTGGTAATTATATGACGTAACCGGCAGCCACAGCAGACACGCAGACATTCAGTTCAGGAAGAAGACTAGTTGTCATCAGAACATAGGCCGTAGAATTCACAATGAGCCACTGTGTGTTTGTCTAACAACTTGTATATAAAAATTGCATTTCTGGAAGAGGTATAAGATGAGCTAACTTGATTGATTAAACGTGCAAATTCAAGTCCAACATCTTCTTAGGTGGTACTTTTGTGTAAGCTTAGTTTTTCTAACATTGTCAGCAACTTTTCTATTCACAACAGCAGCAATCCAATTAAAATGGCCATCAGTGCAGAGCTGAGCTGCATTAAATGGTGCCCATTAATGTCATATTTAATTTGGAAGTACAGTGTTCAAGATGTTCATTACTTTCCTGTGAAAATCATCATGCAGTTTGTGGACACAAAGTTTTATAAATTGTATTTACATCTTTTAGGAAAGAAAAAGATCAATTTGCTTATATTTCAAAATCACACTTCCAGGTTATTTATATTCCTTTAAATCTGCAATATTCAAGCCACTATATTTAAACCAGCTTCCTGCAGCAATCTTTCAAGAAGGTGTGAGGAGAAAGGACCTATACTTTAAAACAAAATCCCAAAGCAAATTGTGACTGCATGTCTTCCAGAAGGCAAAGGATATAATTAGACTTCAATTACTCTTTTGGATTTTCAGGATTGACAATGTTGTTGAGCCTATTTTACCATATAATGAAGAATCAGAAAATAGGAAGCTTTGGTGTTAATTTAAAAGAAATTTACTGAAGAGGGCTACCATTGAAACGAAGTGCAAAGTAATCAGGACAATACTTCAGGATTCCTGCAAGCATCAGTTCAGCACATGATTGAATGAAGGGCGAGCTTCAATTTGAATTTTTCAGGGTATATGCCCTTATTCTGACCCTCAAAAGGTAAAAAAAGCTTTAGACAAACGCATATACACATTTAAAAAAACAATTTACATACAAAATAAATACGAGTATATAAAGACCTGTATATCAATAAGAAAAATATAAAAATAAAAACATTTAAAATGGACAAAGGGTATGAACAGACAATCCATGGGATAAAAAACTTGGGTGTTTAAAAACATATGAAAATATGTTCAAATGTAAAAGTCATCAGAGAAGTGTAAATGAAAATAACAAAGAGACAATCCACAGAATGGGAGAAAATATTTGCAAACTACCCATCTGACAAGGGATTCATAACCAGGATATATAAGGAGCTCAAGCAGTTCTATAGGAAAAGGTTTAATAATCTGATAAAAAAAATGGGCAAAAGATTTGAATAGGCACTTCTCACAAGAAGACATACAAATGGCAAACAGGCATATGAAAAGGTGCTCAGCATCACTGGTCATCAGAGAAATGCAAATCAAAACTAGAATGCACTATCGTCTCACCCCAGTTAAGATGTTTTATATCCAAAAGACAGGCAATAATGAATGCTGACAAGGATGTGGAGAAAAGGGAACCCTCGTACACTGTTGGTGAGAATGTAAATTAGTACAACCACTAGGGAATATAGTTTGGAGGTTCCTCAAAAAACTAAAAATTGAGCTACCACATGATCCAGCAATCCCACTGCTGGGTATATATACAAAAGAAAGGAAATCATTATATTAAAGAGCTAGCTGCACTCCTGTTTGTTGCAACACTGTTTATAATAGCTAAGATTTGGAAGCACACTAAATGCCCATCAACAGATGAACAGATAAAGAAAATGTGGTACTCATACACAGTGAAGTACCATTCAGTCATAAAAAGAATGAGATCTAATCATTTACAACAACATGGACGGAACTAAAGATCATTATGTTAAGTGAAATAAGCCAGGACAGAAAGACATCACATGATTCATTTATTTGTGGGATCTAAAAATCAAAACAATTGAACTCATGGACATAGAGAGTAAGAGGGTGGTTACCAGAGGCTTGGAAGGGTAGTGTAGAGCAGGGGCATCAGGGGGTGGTGGTTGGGGGGAGGGGGTGTGGGAGGATGGATAGTGGGTACAAAAAATAGTTAGAAAGAATGAATAAGACCTACTATTTGATAGCACAATAGGTTGACTATAGTCAATACTAAGTTAATTGTACATTTAAAAATAACTTAAAGAGTAATTGGATTGTTTGTAACTCAAAGGATAAATGTTTGAGGTGATGGATACCCCATTCTCCATGATGTGATTATTTGATCATTTCACATTACACGTCTATATCAAAACATCTCCTGTACCCCGTGAATATATATACCTACTATGTACCCACAAAGTTTTAAAATATTTTAAAAATAACAAAATACAATTTCTTAATTACCAGGGTGGCAAACATTGAAGTGTAATAGTATCAGGTTTGAGGAAAGTTACAGAAGTTTGAGAATTCTCTACACTACTGGAAATGTAACTTGAAGTGACAGCTCAAGAGAGTAATTTAGCATTAAAATTGCAAATGCACATATCCTTAGAATAGACGTCTCACTTCTAGGCTATTACATAGAAAGTAACTCAGACATATGTAGAGATATAAAGTAGATTTAACTCTTTAAGAAATGTAACTTTTTCATTTCATTTTAATATTTTGACCTAAGTTCAAACTTACAGAGGAGTTTCAAGAATAATACAAAGAATTCACCCAGGTAGACCAAATGTTAATCCGTTTGCCTGTGCTCTTTTGCTCTTTCTCTGTCTACACCAAATTATTTTTCTGAACCAATTAAAAATAAACTGAAAACATGATTTTCCTTCACCCTTTAGATACATTAGGGAGTTTCCTAAAAACAAGAATATCTTCTCACTTAATCAGACTATAATTACCAAAATCAGGAAATTAATATTGGTACTACATCACTATCTAAGCTACTAACCTATGCAAATTTTGTCAATTGTCCAATCTTAATCTGTGTAGTATAAGTAGGTGCCATCTCAGACACTGCACAGTAATGTCATGCGTCTTTATCTCCTTTAATCTGGAAGATTTCTCTCTTTTTCAGGACATTTCACACCTTTGAAGGGTACTAGTCAGTTATTTTGTGGAAATTCCCTTCATTTGAGTTCTGCTGAAGTGTCTTCATAATTAGATTCAACTTACATGTTTCTGGCAGAAATTCCACAGAAGTCATGCTATGTCCTCAGCTCATCTATCAGGCATATGATGTCCATTTGTCTCACTAGAGCATCATTCACTTTGATGACTTGGATAAGATTATGTTGGCCAGCTTTCTTCCATTTACAAGTTACTACCTAGCTCTTTGCAATTAAGAAGTATTTTGGGAGAGGTAATTTCAGATTTTGCAAATATGCCGTTATTCCCCACACTCACCCACTAGTTTTAATATCTATTTAATAATTCTTTCTTAAACCCATTATTTTTCTGATGATTGTCAAATCATGCTTTTCTAATTATGTACGAGATGGCTTTCTAATCTAGGAAGAGTGTTTCCTTCTCTCTCTTTTATTATTCATTTATTTATATTAGCATTGACTCACTAATTATTATTTTACTCAATGGCTTATTATTTAATTTGGAGCTCAAAATATCCCAGATTTAGCCACTTGAGGCGGCTCCCATATCCTTTTGACTTGCCATGATCATTCTTTAAGCCCTGCCTTACCTTCTGTCACAAAAAGATGTTCAGATGTAAATTGATAGCCCTTAGGCATGATAAAGCAATGTCCATTAATGAAATACTTGGGATGCAATCAAGTCTAATGATGGAGATTCAGCCCATGAAATCCAGAGGTTTGGGGTTAATTTTACCTCATTCCTCACTGTGTAATGTCAGTCCCATCTTAAATTTCATTAAGCCTCATATTAGTTCACAGTTTTGGGGGACTTTGGGGTAGAATGCAATAGGATCATGCTTAATTAACATTGTGTCTGACACATGGTTGAACCAAAATTCAAATACATTCTGAGCATCAACAAGAAGAGTAATTGGAAATAAAATAAGAATTACTATCCATCCTTAATGTACATTCATACTCAAGGAACACTCTTTGCCATTCTAGGCACCAGACCTTAACAGAGAGATCACAGATCTTGCTAAGGTGAAAATAGAGTACTTGTGTATATGATATATAAAAAGATGGGTACAAATATGCATATGACAAATGCTGCATAAATGACAAATATTTTTATTTTCTCCTTAATTGATTACATTAATTTTTTTTGTCATATTGGGCTTTAGGTGTTTTTTTCCCCCTACCCGTTTTCATAGGCTTGATTGTAGTGAAAAAGACAAATAAAACATAATGATAATGGAAATATATTTGTTCTATTAATTTGCTGATGTATTATTACAATATTGTATTAAGAACTTTATTCAATTATTAAACCCTTTAGTAAAGTCAAAGGTACTTTATTAAACATTTCTTAATCTAATATTTTTTTCATTCTGCAGGAACATTGTTTTATGGATAAGCTTGTCAACCAAAAAGTCACAAAATCTGTAAGTTTAGAAAGGAGGGCTTTCTTTCTAAAGATGGGGGTGTAACAACCTGTAGGCGGGAAGCAGAGCCCCGGATGAAACCAAAAATTAAGCGCTTTGAAGGAGGGAAAGAAGAGACAAGAATTTATGGTGAACAGTTTGGCTAAGTACATATATTTAACAGGTTATAGGAGGAGCTATGAATATTTACATAGAAAGTCATGTACATGCATAGTAAGCAAAAATGGATGTTGCCTATGTTCCATGTTCACTTTGGGGTGGAGACTTAACATTGAAATTAATACAGTTAGTCCCTATATGTCAAAGGTTGAAGCAGAGGACACAAAGGCACTCAGTAAGCAACCTCTGTTAACTGATCAGAACCACTCCATAGTCAGTGGTCTCTTATCAAGAAGGAAGGCCAGCTGTTGTGCCGAAACCACAAAAAAGGGCGGGGGTCAATATTAGGCAATTGATGGAAATCATCAGTAGAACAAATCTTTTGAATGGGCTGGTTTCTGTTTAACTCTTAAGAAAGAGGTAATGGGCTTTAGTGAGGGAGGGAGTATAATGAGACGTGACTTTCTGTCTGACCTTCTGTGTCATCAGTTTTTAAGGTTTATCTAAGTTCCCCTTGGACAAGAGGGGATTAATTCAGTTGGTTGGGTGTCTTAGGATTGTGTTTTTATTTCTCATTTATGCCTTTGGCCAAGATTTCTCAGTCAGCATCAATGCCCAAACTTTCATTTCATCTCATATCATTGTCTGGGTGATCTGGCTACTTTCCCTGGGATTACCCAATCCATCTGTGGGACCCCTGTGGCCAAGGGACTTAGAGCCAAAAGAATTACAACCAATTAAATGTTTTAGGCCAGATGGGAATGGGAGTGGGCAGGCACTCATCAACCCTTAAAACCTTTTAAGCAGCATAAAAATCAAAACCACAAAAATCTTGGTTTCAGTTACAAATTTGTAATAGTTATACAGAACATAAACATTTTGATTATCAGAAAAAAAGGAACAAAATAGCAAGGATAATAATAGCAGGATTTGTAAAATGGATTGAAGCCAGATTCCTAATCTAGTCAGGAGATAGCCAAAAAGATTATTGAGGGCGTCTGTAGTTCGTAATTTTTGTAACCATTTGGTTTATTTGGAAATATTTTCTATATGAGTTTCTACCTCACCTGAAGGGTTGACATAAATACAAAGGGAGGTATGAGCCATTGTACAGAATCCTTCTTGTTTGGCTAAGAGAAAATCTAATGTAGCCCAATTGTCTAAAACCACTTGGGCCAGAAGAAGTCTCTAAATTGTCAAATAATTTAGAGACTTTTGTTATTCCACAATACTTTTTGCACTCTTTTCAGCAATTTGACCTGAAGTGGCTGATAGATTTTTTTTCTGTTCGCATAAATCCCATAACCAGGAACTACTACACACAGAGTTTCTGCCACTAAGTCTCTTGAGAAACTCCCAGTAATTCTCTTTTTAGTCTGTTGAAAGCAGGAAAACTTTTATAGTTGGAGATGATGGAAAAATAAACTTTCTTTATTTGATTACAACATGTCCCATCAAACAAGAATCTTCTTGTGTAGGCTGTTGAGGCAGTGGTGTGCCCACCCCAGTATGAGTGGATCAGCTCTTATGTCACATATAAACACATAACCTAGGGGAGAGCAAGTGATAGTCCCAAAGTTATGTTTATTGATGAACTAAATAATGGGAAGTGCCAATGAGACTAAATTAAACCATGAGTCACCTCTCTCGCAAACTTTTTAAAATCCATTTACATGACATTGTAAACGTAAGTATTGTTGGCATAATAGGGACAAATTTTAAATTTTCTTTATTTGATCTAGAATGTGTTATCTGTCTACCCAGTAGTTCATTGATCAAGGAAGTCTTGTGGTATACAGTGATTTTCTAACATTAATAACATGGGATAGATTAAAAAGGGGGTGGTAATATTTGGGTGTGCAAGCAATTGGACTCAGAAAGTTGACAAGAAAAGAAATTAGTCCAGATAAGTGGTGATGTCAGGAACATTGGAGAAAGTCTCTGATGGTTTTTTTTTTTTTTTTGAGACAGAGTCTCACTCTGTCACCCAGGCTGGAATGCAGTGGCACAATCTCAGCTCACTGCAACCTCTCCCTTCTGGGTTAAAGTGATTCTCCCGCCTCAGCCTCCCAAGTAGCTGGGACTACAAGCACATACCACCTCAGCCAGCTAATGTTTGTGTTTTTGGTAGAGATGGGGTTTCGCCATGTTGGTGAGGCGGGTCTTGAACTCCTGACTTCAAGTGATCTGCCCGCCTCAGTGGCTCACGCCTGTAGTCCCAGCACTTTGGGAGATGACAGGTATTATTAATGGCAAATGTTTATTGTTAATGGATTTAGGAAGCTCTTGACAAATCTAATAATTTGTTAAATTGTCTCCAGCGGCAACACTTTGAGACAATTTAACTAAATAATTATCATGTCATTTTATACCTTGACATAAAGGGACAATTACAAAGAGATGAGAAAAGGCTGTTAAGTCCATAAAAGAAAAAAAAAGAGACAAACATTCTATTTAAAAATTCAAACCAAAGAAGAAATCACAAGTTTCATACAAACTCTGGAGAGCTATCAGGCAAGCTTTTGGGATTGTCTTTGAGATAACAGAGCACCTTACTAATAAAGAAAACAAATAACCATGCCCTTAAAAGAAAGTCCATAAATCCTGTCAGATTCTGACTGTTGCAGAAGAGGGAGCTCATAAGTATTTTAATTATCTATAGGTGTCTAGTTGTTGGCATGCACAGGCCTATCTCAACATGGTGCAAAATGTCTAAAATACATAAAATTTCTACAGATATAACAATTAAAACAATTAGAAAATAGATGTGCATTTAGCAAGGTGGGGGTGGGTATCTCAATACTTTATGTAAGAAAATGATAACTGTGAAAATTCCTAAAACACTAAATGTGATAACCAATACAAGGAGAGTATAAAAATTCATCTCAGTACAGGCCTGGTTCAGAGTGTTATGAAGTTCACTGTGGTTGTCTTTCCTTGGGCCTAAGTACTAGGGTTTGATCAACTTGGGTTTGGTGTCAGATACAGACATTAATGTCCATGACTCAGCAGTGATTGCTGCCTTTTTCAGATGAGATATGTGTACCTAATAGTAAATTCTTTGTAACTTAACAGCACACAGGTTGGTCAATAATACTTGATAAGAGCCTTTTCAATGGGGCTAAATGGAGTCTTTTAACTGATGTATTTTCCAGTATATGTAACCACCAGGTTGGAGTTGGTGAGACTGGAGATTATGGCCTCACTGGAAGCTGTAAAAAGATTTTCCCACCTTGTGGTGGTTGATGCCTACAGCTTTGAAGAGCTTCTGGCAATAAGCTGGGAGTTCCCCCTGTAATTGGGTAGGAGATAACATTTCTTGTTCTAAAGGCGTAGACCAACCAATAACAATTTCCTTTCTTTTCTGTTGCCCCTTTTTTATTTTTTAAGGCTCTTGCTCTGTTGCCCAAGCTGGAGTGCAATGGCGTCATCATACCTCACTGCAGCCTCAAACTCCTGGGCTCAAGCAGTTCTCCTGCCTCTACCTCCCAAGTAACCGAGACTACAGGCATGTGCCACCATGCCTGGCTAACTTTTTAAATTTTTTTCACTTTTAGTAGAGACGTGTTCTCGCTATTTATCCCAGGCTGGTAGTGAACGCCTATCCTCAAGCTATCCTCCTGTCTTGACCTCCCAAAGTGCTGAGATTACAGGCCTGAGCTACCAAACCGAGCCAGTAACAATTTCAAAAGGAGAAAGTCAATGTTTTCTCACGGGAGTGAACTGCAAAATCAGTAATACCAGCAGAAGAGCTTTAGGCAGGACACATGAAATGTTTTTGTGATTTTTGCCAGATGGTTTTTAATGATTTCATCAGTCTGCTCAACTAGCCCAGAGGACTGGAATGATAGGCACAGTGAAAGTGCTGTGGGATTGGCCAGGTTTTAAACACCTGTTTCAGTACTTGACTGGTAAAATGAGCTCCCCTATCTGTGATGTTCAAAGGGAATCCCAGGTAGAAATGGTTTTCTCAAGTAGTATTTGGCCACCACCATAGCTGTGACTTGTTTGTAAAGGAAAGCCTCAACTCAATGAGAATAAACGTCACCACTACAAGAACATATTTACATCCATGGGGTGGCAATAACAGAATGAAATCAACTTGCCATTACAGTGAAGGGAAGTGAAAGTTAACTTGGAGGAGAGTTTAGGGGTTTACTGAGGGCAGACATTGCAAAGTTTATGGACCTGAGAAGCACTCCAGGTATCTGAGGGCAGACATTGCAAAGTTTATGTACCTGAAGGCAGACATTGCAAAGTTTATGTACCTGAGAAAGTCTCCAACAGTATTGTCTGCTCCATTGAATCATTTGTCTGGATTGCAATAGGTCAGATTCTGTATGAAGGTTAAAGTCGGTCTCTAAAGAGTGCTGGGTACAATTGGATGTCTACTTGGACTTTCCTATAATTTTGTCTGGGGGTTTAAAGAACAATTTTGTTTTATCTAATTCCTCCTTTCAGCCTCTGAAACTGTTTTTAGAAATAGTGAGAGTCTGGAGAAGAGATCTTCAGATGGGAAAGGGAATGAGGGAGAGGAAGGAGCCCGGGAAGAAGGAGGGGTAGTGGGTTGAGCAGCCATAACTGGGGAAGGAGTCACCCTGCAGGAGCTGGAGCTGCCACACTTCTTAGGTAATTGTCTTTGCTGTCCTATGTCTTGTCAGAGAAATGTCTCTGGACTTTGATAATGACTATTGCTTGAGGAGCCTGAATGGTATCCAAGAGGACCAGAACAAAGTCTTCGTTCTTAACAGGCTCTTCAGAAAAGGTGTGAAATCCTTTTTGGCTCTAGATCTTGCTGAAATCACAGGCAACTCTGAAGGCATGTCTGCTGTGTGTATAAATATTACCCCCTTTATATGTGGCTAGTGGACAGGCTTGAGTGAGGGCATGCAGTTCTACCTGTTGGGCAGATTAGGCACCTGGCCGAGGGCTTGATTTAATGGTTTGTATCAGAGAAACCACCATGTAGCCTGCCCAGTAGGACACAGCAGAATCTCTGATAAAAGACTCATCAGCGTACCAGATAAAATTCAGATTGAGTAAGGGAGTTTCCTTTAGTCTGTGTGTGGTGAGAGAAGGATGTCTATAAAAGCAGTATAGTCATGGAGGATACCTCTTCTGGTAAAGGAAAGAAGGTGCCGGGGTTAAGGAGGTTACAGTGAGCTATGGCTAGGTTAGGAGAGGAGGAGAAAAGTGTCTTATAGCAGGTCAGTGGACTAGTTGAAAGATGCTGAGTGTGGTGCAGGGTGAGAAGGGCCTCAACTGAATAAGGAACATGTATAGTGAGAGGGGCTCTCGTTGTTTTTTCAGTAGATTTAAAGCTTTAATGAGGGTGAAAATGGCCATGACTGTCCTAAGATAGGGTAGAGCTACAGAATTGAATTGTTGACTCTAATCTTAATGGGCTGATTGTTACCCCCATAGGGCTGAATTAGGATTCCCAAGGCATTTTCTTCTTGTTTTGGGACAAAAAGGGAAAAGGGGAGATCATAATTTGGGTGTCCCAGAGTAGGGGGTGAGGCCAACTGACCTTTTAGGTCCTTGAAACCTCTCTACCTTGTGAGGTTCAAATAGGGGGTCAGAGGAGAAAACTTTAAGTAAAGCATATAGAGGTTGTGCCATTAAAGACAGGTTGGAAACGCAAGCTCTGTAGTAAGTCCCAGAAGCCCTCCAAGCTGCTGCTTGATAGTGGAGAGAGGGGAGGAAAAAATGCCTTAAAGGTGAGAAGGGTTGTTGTTTAGCCCTGAAGGGGTTAATAGATGTCTGTGAAACTTAATAGAATTCTGACAAAACTGTAGCTTGTCTTTAGAGACCTTGTGTCCCTCAAGGGCCAGCTGGTGGAGCAAGTGAAGAGTGTCAGTAAGTCAAGCATCTTGTGAGGGAGAGCATAAATGTATTATAATAGGGTAGGATTGTTGGGGAAGCTTATATCCTATAAGTCGACTCATAAGATTTGAGAAAAGTAAGTGGAGTTTTCTGTATATTCCCAGAGAATGACTATATTAGTGAACGATTGGCCCTTTCACATGAAGGCAAAGAAAAATTGACTTTCTGGATTGACAGGGTGCTGAAAAAGGCACGACAGAGACCCATAGCTGAGAGACACTGAGTGTTAGAAGGTATGCCAGACAGTCATGTGTGTGGGTCTGGCACAACAGGGTGTCAAGGCATAACAATATTAGTAATATCTTTAAAGTCCTGAACAAACTTCCATCACTTTCAGTTTGGTTTCCAGACAGGTAATACGGGTGTGTTACAAGGGATAATGCAGGGGATTATGAGGCCCTTGGAGAGGAAATCATTAAGGTTGGACTCTATTCTGGCCAAAGCTTCAGGATTGAGGGGATATTGTCTTATATTGGGTAGAGGTTTGTTGGGCTCTATCTGTATGGTAATTGGCAGTGCTGAGTGAATCAGACAGATATCAGTGTTAGATTGGCCCAGAGTGTATCAGGCAGTTTTTTAAAAGCCTGGTGCTCAGTGGCAACTGAGAAGCTAATGACTGACATGGGAAAGACATGAGTAAGGTCAGTGGTCAAGATGTCCAAAGGATAGACCTCTGGAATGGTCCCTCCCTCATGAGAAAAAGAAATATGAACTTGATGCCTTTCAAGGAACTCTCTCTCTCCATCATACGGAGAGGAGCAGAGGAAACAAGAATGAGGATGCCCTGGCTTTGCCTTAAAAATAGTCATAAGTTGGGCCGGGCATGATGGCTCATGCCTGTAATCCCAGCACTTTGGGAGGGTGAGGCAGGCAGTTCACAAGGTCAGGAGATCGAGAGCATCCTGGCTAACAGGATGAAACCCTGACTCTACTAAAGATACAAAAAATTAGCCAGGTATGGTGGCACACACCTGTAGTCCCAGCTGCTTGGGAGGCTGAGGCAGGAGAATCACTTGAACTGGGGAGGCAGAGGTTGCAGTGAGCCAAGACCACGCCACTGCACTCCAGCCTGGACAACAGAATGAGACTCTGTCTCAAAAAAAAAAAAGAAAAAAAAATAGTCATAGGTTGATTAGTGACCCTGACCATTTTTATGGTTTGGTTACAACCGTAGCATAAAATGCTCTTATGGGGAACCTAGATTCTAAGGAACAGTCACTGGTCAGCCCCCACCAAAAACCCTGGCAGCTTTGGGGTGGTGGACATATAAAGAGTTGGGGTTAAGCACTAAGAGAGTGGCCCCAGTATCTATTTGAGTTCAGACCGTTTGATTATTAATTTGAAGATCAAATTCTCGCAGCTGAATTTACCACAAGGAAAAGAAAAATTCTCTTCCCTTCGTCGTAGTACCCCTATTCTTATAATGGGGAAAAAAACTGTTCTGGCGTCAGTCTACTTTGGGAAAAGAATTAGTTTTCTTTATGATGATCAGGATTTTTTTTTTTGAGCCACATTTTCTATTTCTCACAATTCTGTTTAAAGTGACAGACTTCCCTGTAAAAATAACAATCTGTGATTTTTTTATGTCAGGCTCTGCTGTGTCTTTTGCTCCTTAGATGGGGCTTGTTGTTTAGTGGAAAGCCCCTGATTCTGCTTAATGTGTAGGGCCATGAGTTTTGCAGTTTATTCCTGGTAATGAGTGTCTTAGCTACTCGAGTATCTTTCCTTTTCTGTTGTTTTTGAGAGGTAGTTGAACACGAAAGCCAATTCATGAGGCCTTTTAGAGTCCAGCCAGAATCATGGCTTAACGGGAGTACTGGTTAATCTGCTTGACCAGAGTACTAAAGGTCTCATTGAGACCTGAAAGAAAAAATGAGTTGGAAAGCTTGGCATTATCATCATTTAAATCTTTGATGCCTGAATTCTGTCTGAAAGTTTTTTTAATTGATTGAAAAAAAATCAAAGACTGGCTCATCCCTTTTTTGGATATATCATTGAATAGCCTTCCAATCTATTTGACATGGAAAAATTACTAGGATGGCCTTAATTAATTCTGTGATTACCTCCTGAGCCCTCCTAAAGGCTGCTTCCCACATAAGTACAAGATCAGTTTTAGGATGTGCCAAACCCTCATGGTTGATCTATTCCCTGGCTAAAATAGTCCCGCTAACATCTGGAGCAATTGACAACCACTGAGAAGGCCTGGTTGATATATATTTATAATGAAGCCAAAATGGTGTTCAAATTCAACTGAGTCTGTTTTAGGGTTAGGGAAGTCCTTGATAATAGTCACAAGATCAGTTTTAGACCAGAGGGAGGAGAATGACTCTACTGCCTGGTGGCCCCCTGTAATTTGAGCAACTTGTAAGGGGGCAAGGAGAAGGGTTGGAGGGGTGTGGAAAGGAGGGGTTGACTCTAGGGAAGAAGGGGAAGGGAAGAAAGGAAGCTCAGAAAGGGTGAAAGATGGCAGAGAAGGATACACTGTTGCTGGCATTAAAGGAGCAGTAGAAGGAGAATGGGGAGACACAGCATCTTCCTCTGTCTCAAGGTTGGAATCTAACTCAAGGTAGCTCTCAAGTTTTTAAATATACTGGTCAAGTTTCAAATTAGACTCCTTCAGCCTTGAATTTGTCTCCTTTGAGGAGGCCATCGGAGACTCCAGAACATGTTTAGAGTTCTCATAATACCAATTAATTACAAAAGGTCTCACACTGCTATTGAGAGGTCCAAACCCTCTCCGTTCTAATTGTGCCAATAAACAAACTAATTTAAGCATGTCAAAAGTTCCCCCATTGTGACCAACAAAGCTTTAAATCCTCCTGGTTAGCTTTAGTCAGGATCTCAAATATTCAAAAGAATGTTTCCCTGGTTCTTAAACATGTAAGCCACCAGGGTTTCTGATGGTGGCTGACCAGAGGCTATTCCCTTAGAACCCAGGTTCCCCATAACAGCATTTACCAAAGGTGTCCCTTTGAGGACCCCACTGAGTTAAGCTGAAATGCCCCCCACCACCTGCCCCCCACCTAAGACCCAGGGCCAAGAGAAATATCTCTTCCAAGGTCCAGATGGAAGGGAGAGGTAGGAAGAAATAAAGTCTCCAAGATCTTCAGCCTAAAAGTGGGAGATCTTGGGACTTACTCTTCCCCAGTGCAGCTGGCAAGACAACTGAGCTGTCAATGGGCTCATGCATGCATTATCTTCAATCACGGGGAATCTAGGGATCTGTCACAAAATCTGTAAATTTGGAAAGGAGAACTTTATTTCTCAAGCGGGGGTATGGGAACTTCCAGCTGACACTGAAAAGCAGGCACTTCGAGGGAGGAAAAGATGAGACAATAATTTATGCTGAATGGGTTGGCTGAGTACCCATATTTAACAGATTACAGGAGGAGCATGAATATTTATTTACAAAGGGGGGGCAGGCACATGTGTCTAAGCTAGCATGTACATTACATGTCTCATGTTCACTTTGGGGTGAAGATTTAACATTGAAGTGTATTGCAATTAGGCCCTATACATTAAAAGGTGAAGTAGAGGACACAAAGGCACTCAGTGCACAGCCTCTGTAAACTGGCACCAATTATTCCATGGTCGGTGGTCTCTTATCAGGAAGGAATGTCTGTCAGCTGCTGTATTGAAACTGCAAAAAGGGAGGGGCAGTGTCAGGCTGATGGTTGAAATCAGCAATGGAACATGTCTTTCAAAAAAAGCTAATTTCTGTTTAACCCTTAGGAAAGAAAGCTTAATGGTGGTTAGCAAGAAAGTGGTATAACAGGTATGTCCAACTTCCTGTGTCATCGTGGCTGGGCACTCAGTTTTTAAGGTTTCTCTGGGGTCCCCTTTGCTGAAAGAGGATCTGTTCAGTCCACTGGGGGACTTAGGATTTTACTTTGATTTCTCAAACTGCCTCATTTCCATCTCAGGCTGTTTCCAAACCCCCAACCAGCAAGTATAAGCCACACATCACCAACTCCTCTGGGCAAAGACAAACAATTTGACCAAGTTCAATTGGGCAACTTGACCAGGTTGAACGAATCTCTTTCCTAGGAATTGCATATTGAGATGGAAAGAAGGTGAAAAGTTTGCTGCAGGTGTTGGACTAGTGAGAACATTTAAGTTTGAGGCTGGTCAGTCATAATAAACCTTGTATATTGACAAGCAAGCAGAGAAACTGGCCTCAGGGAGAAAAAATATGATGTAAAAATGCATATGTACATCTTTTACATCAACTATGATGTAAAAATATGAGCAAAGCCAAGAGAGCAATAGAGTAAAAGCCAGAGAATAAGAGAGCAAAACACAAATAGAGAATGAGTCTGTGCAGAAGTATGAGCGGGAGCGAGAGAAAGAAAGAGAGAGAGAGAGAGAGAGAGAATGTGCATGCACAACATGGATAAATAATGATGGGAAGAGAATGAACCTTTTGTTTACCCAAGAAAAGAAATTTTCCTGCAGAACTATCACCAGACAAGTTTGGCAGAAAATAAACAGCCTAGGAATTGGAAAGTTTATGCCATGAAGGGTACCTTACATCACTTGGCTGGGCCAGGTGCCCAGATACTTGTTCGAACATTATTCCGGATGTTTCTGTGAAGGTGTTTTTTTTTTTTAATTTAAATTTAAGATGAGATTAAAATTTAAATTGGTGAATTTTGAGTAAAGCAGATTAGTCTCCATTGTGTGGCTGGGCCTCATCCAGTCAGTTGAAGGTCTTAATAGAACAAAGACTGCCCTCCCCAAAGAAAGAAGGAATTCAGCCAGCGAACTGCAACTGCAGTTCTTCCTTAGGTGTCCAATCAGTTGTTCTGTCTACAGATTTTGCACTTACCAAGCTTCCACAATAGCGTGAGCCAGTTTCTTAAGATAAATCTATCTCTCCTTCTTGCTCTCTGTGTCTCTCTCTGTCTGTTTCTGTTTCACTCCTGTTGGTTCTGTCTATCAGGAAATCCCTGACTATACACAAAATAAGAAAACACAAGAATTAACCATTTTTAATTATATTTTGTTCCATCATGAGAATATTTGCATGTTTGATATTTTCTAATATTCCTACAAGTTCTTTCAGTGCCCAGTTGATAAAGAAAAATTGTAAATTGGCCGTCATCATTGACAATAATGGCTTCTTGGGGAGGAGGGTCCAGGTTGTGACTACACCTCAAGGATGGAGAAATTACTCTTCGTGTACTCTGAAAAATGGAGGTAGGAGACCTTCACTGCTTATCAAGCAAGGAAACTTCACAGAATAAGGTTGAGAAATAATTTGTTCCTTTATTCACCAAATATTTATGGAACACCAATTATGTGCTAGGCATTGTTTCTAGGCACTTGCAGTATGAAAATAAATAAAACATTTCTCCCAGACTGTCCCCTTGGAGCTTACATTCACGAGGCAAAAGAGAGTTAACATTAATATGGAAAGTGTTTGTATGTTAAAAGGTGATGAATGGGCCAGGCGAGGTGACTCACATTTGTAATTCCAGCACTTTGGGAGGCCAAAGCAGGCAGATCACCCGATGTCAGGAATTCAAGACCAGCCTGGCCAACATGGTGAAACCCCGTCTCTACTAAAAATATAAAAAAATTAGCCAAGCATGGTGGTGGGTGCCTGTAATCCCAACTACTTAGGTGGCTGAGGCAGGAGAATTGCTTGAACCCAGGAGACGGAGATTGCAGTGAGCCGATGTGCCACTGCACTCGTGACAGAGTAAGAATCCATCTTAAAAAAAAAAAAAGAAAAAAAGATGATGAATGCTTTGAAAAAAAGTCAAAGGGAGGAGAAGAGGGGGTTGCATTTTTAAATGTAGATGTGAAGGTAGGCCCAATTGAGAAACTAATATTTTGTAAGAAATTAGTGTGGCGATTCCTCAAGGATCTAGAACTAGAAATACCATTTGACCCAGCAATCTCATTACTGAGTATATAAAGGATTTTAAATCATTCTACTATAAAGACACATGCACACATATGTTTATTGCAGCACTGTTTACAATAGCAAAGACTTGGAACCAACCCAAAAGCCCATCAATGACAGACTGGATAAAGAAAATGTGGCACATCTACACCATGGAATACCATGCGACCATAAAAAAGGATGAATTCATGTCCTTTGCAGGGACATGGATGAAGCTGGAAACCATCATTCTCAGCAAACTAACGCAGGAACAGAAAACCAAACACTGCATGTTCTCACTCATAAGTGGGAGTTGAACAATGAGAACATATGGGCAGAGGGAGGGAACATCATACACTGGGGCCTGTCAGGGGCTGAGGGGCAAGGGGAGGGACAGCATTAGGAGAAATACCTAATGTAGATGATGGGTTGATGGGTGGAGCAAACCACCATGGCACATGTATACCTGTGTAACAAACATGCACGTTCTGCACATGTATCCCAGAACTTAAAGTATAATAATAATTTTTTAAAATGCATCAATCTCACAATAAAAAAAAAGAAATTGGTCTGGGTTTTATCTGGGGTTAGGGGGCAACATGGAGATAGAACAACCAATGCAAAGATGTAACTAGTGCACATGCCTGGTAACTTCAAGAAACAGCTAGCAGTGGCTGTAGTATATGGTTATAGTAGAGTGAAGAGGGCAGAGATTAATAAGGGATGAGGTCAAGAAAGATCACAGGAGAGGGCCGTTCTAAAAGAACTCTGTGGATCTTCACAGGTTGTTTTGAGAACTTAGCTTTTACTAGTAGTGAAGTGGAGAATCTTTGAAGGGTTTAGACAGAGAAGAGAAATAAAGAGAACAGTATATCAAATCTGTAAGCATTCACCACCAAGCTTCAATAACCATGAACCTCCTGCCATCTTTGTTTCAGGCTATTCCCCTCTATATTATTTACTTCATTTTTAAAAAATGTATGTTTAATTGTGAAATGCACAGATCTTATGATCACGGTTGGATAAGGTGGGACAAACATATATGCCTGTGTGGTTAACACCCAAATGAATACAAACAACATTTCTGTCACCCCTGATAGCTTCCCTTCTGTTTATTTCCAGTCCAACCTCTTCAACCTGACAGAAAACCACCCTTCCCGCATCTATCACAGTCTCCCCTGCTCCTCTGCCTGCTTGTACCATAACTTGGCACTTGGTTCCAGGAACACAACTTTTGTGACTCTTATCTCATCTACGGTGATTTCATCCTCCTCTGGAATTTATTTTCTTAAACTTATTTTGGGTCCATATTTTTTTCAAAGCTTAATAAAAATTGTAATTTTGATTTTTTCTTTTTTTCCCTGCTGTTACTATGAAAGCAAATGTCTTTCTTAGGTCTTCCTCTATTTGAACCAGGTGTGGTAATCCCTGGCTGGATGACAGCCCCCAGACAGTGGGAATAGATAGAAAGGAGACAAGGACAAAGAACCAAGACATCGGGTTCTCCCTCTGGTGCCTGACAAAACTAGAATAAACAGATCATGGGATTGTCAAGGAAGACAGACACACAGTGAGTGTCAGGAGACAAGAAGAGATGGCATCTGGAACTCCCCCTTGATCTATGTTGGTGGAGGCAGGACAGTCTGAAGAAAAGTGGCTTTAGGTCCCTATGTGTGGGCTGCCTCTTTAATCCCTGTTGAGGATGTCTGAAGAAGCTTGATGTGATTCCTAGCATGCAGAACCCTCATCATTAATGTTTGAGATGTAGAAGGTGTTGGAGGGAAGGTCTTTGTCTCAGTGTGTAGGCGTTTTCTTGAGAATATCATTTACTATATAATATAATCCTGCAAACAGAACAAAGCTATCTCTGTTGAAAAACTTTAGGGACAATTGTCTGTTTCTCATAGTTCCCAATCACAAATTTTCTACTTTATAAAAGGAAACAGTTACTTCATTGGAGATCTAGTTTAAGAAGAAATATTTCCCTTGGGTTTGGCCAAGAAATTTTGCCCCAAAACAAGTGGGTATCTGATGACTTTTCCATTGCCACTTCTAGTCCTCTGTGAGGCTCAAAGACATTATCTGCCCCTAGATCCCCTAAAGTATGTCAATACTCTGAAAAAGTCTTTTTAAACAAAACAGACTACTTTAAGTAGATTTCTGTTACTGGCACCCAAAAGAGTCTAAGAAAAGGAACGAAAAATCCCACTGATTATGAGAGATGACAAAATTTGGTTTAAGATTATCTGCACCATGTCTGGCTCATATCCCTGGTTTCTAATTTTCATTTTTTCATCTCTCTCTAAACCTACTTAAACTGCAACTACCTGCCTGAAAACTGATATCACACATCAGAATATGGCCTTTTATTTTCCTCCTTGTTCAGGACAAATATTTAGCACAAACAAGTGGCTGTGTTTAAGACTTATTTAGTGTTGTAAACACAGTTATTAAGTGTGAAGAACTTTAAAAAAAAGTTTTGAATTTTTCTTTTTATATAAAGATAGCTTTAACAGGTCAAACTCCCAATGGAATATCTAGTGACGGCTCTATTATATGATTGAAACTCTTAATTTCAAAGCTCTTGGAACTATTTAAAATGATTCCTAAGTTTCCTACATGTAGGAAAGCTTTGATAATTCACATGATTTCGATAACTCTCGGGTGATATACAAAAGCTTTTTTTCCCTCGTTTTAAATATAGTTTTTCTCACAAAATAGCACAGACTAAAAATCAATAGTGTCCATACGTAGTATAGCAGGCACCACTGTAATGAAGTGACTTATTTGTTTAACATATCTTTCCAGTGTCCAATCTGAGCAAAACGCTGAGCTAGGCACTATGCTTCTATTAAAATAATTACAACTACCTTGGATTTTATGCTAAGTAGTATCTGAATATAGTTTACTATTGATTACACCTTTCCCTAAAATCTTTTTTTTATTATTTTAAAGAATATTCTATTGAATTTAGTACTAAAGTACAGCTCTTTAGCAATTTTGTTCATTACTTCAGTACCTGGTAAGATAGTAGAAACTGGAATGCATTTGAGATCTGAATGAAATCTCCCTGGAGTATAGTTTTGTTTACATGAGTCTGAACTACACAAGGAATTTTAAATTCTTGATTTCAGGCTAAAAGGGGACTGGAAGGAGAATACAAAAAAGTACTGAATAAGAAAAATTGATAGATAACAAACATTGCATGACATGGAACAAAAAAAAAGTAGAAAAAAGAAGGAGACAGATTTATAGATAGAAAGCAATGGGTAATTAAATAAATGGTCATTTGTAAAGAGTGTGAAATGGGAAAATTCAAGCTACTCATTGTCTTAAATACGATGAAGGTTTTTTAAGACTGGAAAGTCTGTGTACAGAAACACCGTCACCTTGGTATTTTTAAATTATGTCCAATTTTTGCCTGGAAAAAAAGTTTAAAAATATAAAAATGCCCAGATAAATAAAAAGCATTCCTCTGTGACTTTGGCAGTATTTGCTATGTAACATAAAAACAAATCAATCACAACCAGATTTGGTAACTTTGTTTGAATCTATGAAACAAAAACTCAGTAAAAAACTGGGAGTTTAATTTATATCATCAGAATACTCTAAAGCTTTGGTCATTTACAAATGACCTTTTTTTATTTTTTATTTTTTTCAACAACCCAGCCATTGTTGAGATGAGCTTTATATTTAAGGAAGAACTAAATTACAAAATTCCAAACCAAATATGTGGCTTTAGTTTATTCAGTCAAAAAGCAGATCATCTTATTAGACAGAAAACTATTGAAGGCAAGGATCTCTTCATCCTTTGTAATTCCCTTAAAAAGGGCATTATTTGTTCTCAAAGATGTACACCAGCTCCCATAGGTCTCCACGTTATTTTTTAAATGGGTATAAGTGATTTTTAGTCCATTCTAAAGTTCTTTAAGAGAAAAATTCTTATCATTTTGTATAATTCTGAATGTACTTTTATTTATTCTAAACATCTGAAAAACCTTTATTCATGCGATGCTATTTACATTTCCTTGATATTTAGAAGATTATTGACAGTAGTTTAGTATTTTTTTCTTTGTATTCTCAATTTCTCCAGATAAGATTTATGTTCTTATGGAGACCTCATAGATGCCTAGTCGTTGTCTTATCTCTTCACTTATCTCTTAAACATTTTCCTCAAAAAGTTTACTCTAGACTTTCCAATATGATGCTCTTTCTTCTATGAAATACAGAGAAAGTGGTAAATAGAACTGCTTTTTTGACCTCTGTTAGTGATGATCTGTACTTGGATGCATATCCACATGCATATTCAGGATCCAGATGCATATTTCAGGATGCATGTTTCAGGACTGAAGGACTTACTCCCAGCTGCTGGGAGTGCCACTAGTGTCAGCTGGCAGCACTCCCCAGGAACTACTCTCCCCTAAAGAGAGTTGCTTTCCCCACCTGCCCTGAGGTAGCCTGCAGCCAATGCCAGATCAATGAGGGGTTATAAAGTCCAACCTCCTTGCCCCAACTGACCACAACTCTGCAGGCTGATCCAGTTTAGAGCCTACTGTGAAGTTAGCTTATGCCTTTATTGACACCGAATCTTAGACCACATTTTCCCTTTGCCAATCCTTCTTCCTTCCATGCCCCCACAGGTGTTGATCCCATGATTATCACTAAAAAATAACCCTGTGTCTCAGAGGCTGCTTTCCCAGAAATCCAACTTACAACAGCCATCTTGTTAAAGCAAAGTCAGTCCCTTTGTTGATATTGTTAATAGTCCCTTGTTGTTATCGTTTACGTTTTTGTAAGCTACGTTTAACTGAAAGAAGAAAAACTAGGGACTTGCAATTTTCCCTTATTAACTTGATAGCTAGGAGTCATTTTTGACTACTTACCTAAGATCTCATACAAATACAAAGTAAAATAATCTCAAGACTCTCCCCTCTCACTTTTTTTTTTCAGGCCAGATACTAAGAGGAGGAAGAAAATGGACAAAGACAAACATACAGAAAGGACCAATGCTATGGATATTATGAACAGCAACCTCAATTTCTGTCATGACTACAAGGAATGGACAGCATTAATAAAATGTAACCTTGTCATTATTTAATGACAACATTAAGAATCTATCAACATGATTTAACAGATCTATATGTTAAAGGAGAAAAAGATATGTGGATGCTATCAATAGTAGCTGAAAAGCATTTTCAGAAATCTGTAAGTAGAGGAAATGTATTCATATGTTTCTATGTTCTAGAATAGATATTTTGACTAGACAAAAGTTGAAATCTTGTGTCTTATGTTTTTATTTAAATGATAGACTCAATACGTAAGTAGTCACAAGACATATGATATTGTCTGGATCTGTGTCTCTGCTCAAATCTCATGTTGAATTGGAATCCCCAGCGTTGGAGGTAGGGCCTGCTGGGAAGTGATTGAATCATTGGGGTGGATCCTTCATAAATATTTTAGCACCATCCCTTTGGTGCTGTTCTCGTGATAGAGTTCTCACAAGATCTGGTTGTTTAAAAGTGTGTGGCACCTCCCCATCCTCTGTCTCTGGTCATGTAAGATGTATCTGCTTCCCCTTTGCTTCCACCATGATCAAAAGTTTCCTGAGGCCCCCCTGGAAGCTGAGTAGCTGCGGCCATGCTTCCTGTAGTCTGTGGAACTGTGAAACAATTAAAACTTTTTCCTTTATAAATTACCCAGTCTCAGATATTTCTTTATAGGGGGGCAAGAATGAACAAATACAACACATGAAAGAGAAGGGTGGAAATGCATGGAAGGATATATCCCAGGTGTATCAGACAATTTTGCTCCTCACCTAGATGCCCCGGATCCTTTGGTAGCTCTGTGCACCCATCCCAGCTCCAGCATGCTTTGTGCTGAGATCCACCTGTGACACTGGAAGATTACTTTGGATACTGGAGCTAACTCATTCTTAAGATAGTTGGAAATACCTGGGAGCTGTGGCTTTTGTAGTGGACTGAGTACAAAGCCCTAGCGTCTAAGCAGAGACGTTCCCAAAGCATTACATATACTACAGAGCTTTCTGAGGGACTTGAAATTACATGCTTGCCTGACTCCTTCCCCATTTCTGTCCTTTCTCCTCCATTCCCTCTGCTTGCTCCTGGGAGTAAATCTTTAATAAATCATTTGCTTCTGAAACATTGTTTCAGGGTTTGCTTCTGGAAGAATTCAACCTAAGCCACCAGGCTAGCCTTGGTTACCTTCAGGGATAAGGAATGTACGAATTATTACTTATATATGTTTGCATTGTTGCATTAATTACACTAAATCTTACTTTTCATTTAAAAAGCAATTCAAACATTTTAAGAGAAATAACTTATTTTCAATATCATTTACTTGCCATGCTTTGTTTGAGATAGCCAAGAGAGATTTTCTCAGTTATAGCTTCTCATTTATCATTTATAAAGATAAATGCATGTAACTCTATTTCTGAAGCAGAACTCGATGTTATATTGCTGTATTTTCATTTATGATTTTATGCCAGAGTACATCAGAATAAAGCAAGACATTCTGTACCTGGCTTCATTTGTTCCTGCTTTAAACCACACGAAAGAATCAGAAATGAAGTTTCAAGGTTCATTTTACTTCAATTTCCTTTATCACTTGCAAGATAACAATTCCAACAGTACTTGCATTTTTTTCATCCTATTCTTTCTTCAACCTCCCATTCAACTTTTCCCCTATTATTATCAACGAATGGCTTATACAAATATTTTGTAAGTGGGAATGTCTAGAGAAAGCTTTGTTTTTAACTATGATTATAAAACTCACATATGCACATCTATTTCCCAATGGTTTTTGCTCTGAAAGGAGTCCGAACATGCTCTCCTCTCCAAAGAAAATGAATCCTCTTGGCAGACGGTCTCTAAATTTAAGCTCTAGTCATATATTTATGCTAAATTGGATCAAAAAAATCTAATAAGAAAATTGTATTTCTTGGAGTTTCCACCCTCTCTTGGGTTCAAACTTGAGCAACTCATTCCAAAATATGTAACCACCAGGGCAGACACAAAGCAAGATATCACTGAGTTACTTTGTTAACTATCTTTTGTAATGTATAACAGCTATTTCATTATGTTTAATATCATCACACTATATTTTATATATTATAAAACAATTTTAAGACAAAGATTATACTGGTGAACTATTTTACAGGAATTGGAGTTTTTTTTCTGACCAAATATCTGTACGGTATTTTCATCCAATTTGACAAAAGAGTTCTTATCCAGAAGAAAATATTTTATGACTGAAGAAAACAGATATAATGTACATAGATGAAATTTCACCAGATGATATGAAAACCAGTAAATAATTGGCTAGCATATATAGAAACTATTTTTCAAATGAAGAAAAATGTCTTTTAATATTTTGGCATCCAACTACATGTACTCATCATTGCCATGCTCTTCATCCATGGATGGGTGTTATTTCTTTAGGCACAATTCCAATGAACATGATATAGTAGTACAGAAAGTAGTGAGGGAAGCCTGATAAATATAGATATTTGTAGATGGATTTAGTATTTATGGAAAAATTTCTTTTTGAATAATGGATTTGAGATCTCTTTTAATTTTCTTATTGGGTTATAATTTACATGTAATAAAATACACAACGCAAGTGTTCACTTCAGTGAGTTTTGGTAATTGTACATACCCGTGTAACCAGCAAATGAAAACAGGATGCAGAACAATATGATCGTTTCAGGAATTTACCTCATCCACTTTGCAGTCAATTCCGCCTCAACAGAGCCATCCACTTTCTGGCCTCCATATCCATAGATAAGTTTTGCCTTTTCTTAGACATTATGTAAATGGAAGGATGCAATATGTATTCTTTTGTGCCTGCCTTTCTTGTTGAAAATTGTTTTTGAAAATCATCCATGTTGCTGTGTGTATCATCAGTTCATTCCTTTTTAATGTTAAGTTGTATTGTTACATAAAAATACCACAATTTGCTTATCCTATCTTCTCTTGAAGGACATTTACATTGTTTTTGGCTATTGCAAATACATCTGCTGTGAACATTTACATGCGAGTCTTTATGTGGACCCATGTTTTGCTTCTCTTGGGTAAGCACCTGGGAATGAAAATGTTGGATCATGGAGTGGTTGTATGTTGGAATTTTAAAGACACTGCCACACAATTCTCCAAATAAGTTGCATTATTTTACATGACTACCAGCAATGTGTGAGAGTCTCAGTTGTTTAATATCCTTGTCAACATTTGGTGTAGTCAATTTTTTATTTTATTTTTTGTAAAGGATTAGTTTAGGGGGTGGGTCCTACCTTACAATTATAGGATCTCTGGTAAATGTTGAAAAAAAGTGTAAACGTGGACATTTCTGTCTTGTTTATAATCTTAGGGGAGAAGACTTAAAGTGTGGTGTTAGCTGTAGCTTTTTGATAGATGCCCTTTATCAGATTAGGGAAGCTTCTTTCACTTCCTTTTATCTGAGAATTTTTTACGTGAAATGGGAATTAAAATGGATGTTGGCTTTTGCCCAAAGCATGTTTTTTGCATCTATGATCATGTGGGGTTTTCTTTCCTTCTTTATTCTAATAAGCATTTATTGATTTCCTAATGTGAAACAATCCTTGCAATCCTAGAAAAATCCCACTTGGTCATGGTGTTCTAGCCTACTTAAGTATTGCTATATTTAAACAGCTGGTGTTTGTTAAGTCCATGTTTATGAGTTGTCTTCTCTTGTTATTTCTTAGGTTTTGGTATCATAGTCTTGGTATATTGGCCTCATAAATTAAGTTGAAAAACATTGCCTCCTCCTGTTTTCTGAAATTTATGTACTATTGGTATTATTCCTATCTTAAATCTTTGATTGAATTCAAAGCAATCTGGGCCTATTTGAATTTTCCCTTTCTTGTTGTATCTGTCTTGATAATTTGTGTTTTTCAAGGAATTTGCCTGATTCATCTAATTTGTTGAATGTATTTTCATAAGTTATGTAATATCCCCTTGTGTCCTTTTAATATACATAAGATCTATAGCAATAATACTCTTTCATTAGTAATTCACGTTTTTTCTCTTTTTGTGAATAATTTTATCGGTATTATTCAAAATATCCTTAAATGTTTCAAAGAACCAATTTTAACTTTGTTGCTATTTTGTATTTTGTCTTTTTTTCTACTTTACTTGTTCTTCTAATTATTTTATTTTTCTTGGTTCCTAATTTAACATTGTGGTAGGAGTACATACTCTATGTGATTTTAATTTTAATCTTTTACATTTATTGAGAATTTTCATAGTTCATCGTATGGTCTACTTTGATGAATGTTTCATGTGCCCTTGAAAAAAAAATTCTCTAGTTGTTAGGAGCAGTGTTCTGTTAATGCAAATTAGGTTATGTTGGTTGATTGCAGTGTTCACAGCTTCTAACATGTCCCTGATTCTTTGTGTTTTACTAATTAATTATTGAACCAAGGACTTCAAAGTAATCTTACATAGGAGATAAGAATTTCAATATGCTATAAATATGCTAAGTAATATAGAGAAAGTGATGGTCAAAATGAATGAAAATATGAAAAATTCCAACAAAGAATTGGAAACTATTAAAAGAATTAAATGAACATTCTAGAATGAAAAAAATACTGTCTAAAACAAGTTCACTGAATGGGCGTAAGAGCAGACTGATCACAGCAGAAGTCAGTTTTAGTAAACTCAAAATGTCAATAGGAAATATTTAAATCGAATCCTTTTTTGCCCCCCATCCTTTCTCTCTCTCTCTCCATCTCTTCTATTTTTCTTTTTTCCTATTAGAGCAAATCTTTAATACATCTGGAACCTACCCATAGCCAGGTACTGATGCAGAGGGATGTGATATCAGGGGCTGCAGGAGGGGGTAAAAGTTCTAGGAGGTGCCCGGCAGCCCATGGGGGTGGACAGCACAGTGGGACCCAGAGCAGCCACTGGAAGTGGAACAGATGGTTGTGCTGTGGGAATGGACTGGTTTCCACCTGATACCAGTGGTCTCCGAGGTTCCTGAGAACTTTCTGTGTTACCCCATCAATTTTTAGAAAATCTTCACTTTATCCTCATTCCATTCGTTGCCTTCAGGGTCGGCAGCATGGAAATGCACCTTGTCTCCTTGATAGCCTCCTGCTGCATCTCACTGGCTCTGATCCCAGTGTTTTTGACCACATTCATCTTGGAGGAGGGGCCATCAGCTTCCATCTTGCTCCTCTGCTGGCTCCAAGTTCACACACAGCTGGTCTATGTCTTTCCCCAGGATGATCGAGCTTCACCTGTTCAGAACGTCAAGGCAGGACCTCAGCCTCCCCCACACTGGCCACTCTCTCCCCAGTGCTCACAGCCATCAGAAGGGTGGGAACAGGCCACAGACAAAAGCCTGACCAGACGCCAGCCCTCCCGGGGCTGACTGCCACCTCCAGTTCTTGCTCACAATCTGAAGAGTGGGGGAGTCAGGAGACCCCTTGAGGCCTCCAACAGGACTCAGCTCAGGCCATGGTCATCTTCATGCTGGAAGAAGCTGGTGAGCCGCCCGGATGTGACACTACTGCATGGCCCAACTGTGAGGGCAGAGGTGCCGCCATCTGCCCTCTGTGAGGAAGTGGTTGCCTGAATGCAGTTTTAAAACAAACTTAAAAACAACCAACTATCCAGAAAAATGGATTTGCCACCATTATGCACCTGGTTAGCATTATTCAGATGTAAAGCACTCACACAGACAAAAAGGAAAATACTAGGATGTTAGTCTCCATTGCTAATAGGCAAGCCATGAAAGACTAAATAGGAATAGCTTAAAAACATGACAATAGACTTATTTCACTAGTAATCAAAGAACTGGAAATTAAAATTATTTATTTTATTAGTTATTAATCTTATTTGCATACTTTAAAAAAAGACCCTATTCAATGTTGTCCAGGAAGAGTGAAATAGGTACTCATCTCTATTAGTACAATCTCTTTAGAAAACAACATATAAATACGTGTGAGAGTAGGAAGGAAAAAAAACAATCATGCAGGTGGTTAGGGTTGGTCCTGGGTGAAACTCCTTCAGATCAAGAACAGCCTGAAAATCAAGCTGCAGGCCCCAGGTAAGAAAAAGCCTGTCTCCTTGAATGGAGACGCCTACTCTATGAACCCAGATGAACATATTCCACCCCTTTGTTGCACACATTTCTCTCTCCTTGGCATGGCTTTGTCCGTTTCATGTGCTTCCTCCCAATTTTTCCTTACTTTTCACGTATTTTACATATACCTATCCTTCTGTGATTGGTGCTGGCCGAATCTTTAGTTGCATAATGTGTAATGTCACTTCAGCCCCTGATTAGTTGCAGGCCAAGACTTCACCTCTACCTCCAATTGGTTCTTTTCAGTACTGTGTCCCTTTCTGAGTGGTGCTTTCTCCAAGATGTCCCTTGGAGTCAACGCACTCCTCCCACTTCAAAGTCCATAAAAACCCTGAACTTAGCCCTGCAGCCAACAACCCTCTTTTGGGTCTCCTCTGCTTGCTGAGAACTTTTCTGTTGCTTAATAATCTGACTCTGCCTTACTCACTCTCTGGTGTCCACGTCCCTTATTCTTCCTGGTCATGAGACAAGAACCCAGAGCTCACTGGTGGTGGGGGTAAAAGAGTTGTAACACTCCCCACCAACTCACTGAACAATAGGCGTGAAAAAGCTGCAACATAAGCACCAGGAGACTTAAAAATATGATACCTTTTGTTTCACACATTTAGGACTCTTTTATCAGGAAATAGTTGGAAAGATATCCAAAGATATGTACACAGAGGAGTTAATTTTAAAAAACATAATTGTTGCATAATTTAACCTAAAAATATCCTAAATACTTAATGTGAGGGAAACTAAGTTGGCATAGTCATATAATGGAATATTTGACCTCCATTCAAATTATATTTATAAAAGTATAATACAACAAAATGCCTATAAGTAAAATGTAAATGATGTAACATTTTAATTTATGATATGTCCTCCAGTATGTTAAAAATTTCTTTAAGTACTGGAGAATGTGTGCCAGAAGTTAAATATTTTTCTGGTAATATCATCATGAATAATATTTTTTGTTTACAGTGTTTTAGTGCTTCAAACTGTCTCTTACAATGATAAAAGGAAATTACACATATATAATATATATATTATGTTTGTGTGTACATAGTATATATGTATTTAAACATCTGAACGATGTTTAAGGTCCAAATTTGAACTTAATCACATTAATTTTGCTTTAGTAAAATATTCAACACTGCACTAGAGAATTGATAATAAAGCAAAATATGAGAAAAAAAGCCTAAAACTCCACATGGAAAAATGTTATAGTAAAAAAGTTAAAAGTAAACATAAAAAAAATTTCATAGAACAACAAAAGAAACCCAATAAATTTACTGAGGACAGAGGATAGAACTAAAAGTCTTAACGCAACAAATATAATGCAATTTTGACATGCTCAGAATATATAAATAATATGTATGTAATACATATGCATGTATATAAATACAGGTCAATACCTGAAGTTAGAAGTTTATTTAAATAAACCTTTTTCAGGCTAGGACAGCTGAACTTGGGGCATTTTTATAAATGTTATTAATTTTTAAAATTAATCTGCCTCTGAAAAAAAATTTAAGAGGAAGAAAGATATGCTAAATTTAAAACCCTAAAGAAAGAGTATTTTTATTGCTGTAATTAGATGTAATCAAAAAGTTGGAAATTATGTACCCAGAGGTTGAAGGCTGATTTAATACTCATGAAACAAGGCTCAGGCTATGATTTATAAATTTATAAATTAAGTAATTTTCTCTGGTGATAATGGTTTCTAGAAGAATTGGAGCAATGAGAAAATTTAAGTATGAGAAAAAGAATTTTAAAAGGAAACGTAGATGAGGCTTTATCTCATTTTTCTTCTCCAGATAGCATATGACTGAATTTACGGCTCTCATCCCCAGACACATTACATATGTGAATTTTGACACAACCACTTGTTTAACCAAAAAATGAATGACTGAGGCAAGTGTCTCAATCAGTAGAAGTTTGTTGGGTCAAAGTGTGAGACTGTGCCCAGGAAAAACACAAGCCACAGAAGCACCTGTGACCTGTGTTTTCCAAAGAGGGTTTTGTGAACTCAGTATTTAAGGGGAGAGAGCGTGCCAGTGCTGGGAGGAAGGGACGATGGGGGTAGGCAGTGAGGCAAATGGTTACAATCTTGTGAGGCTCTAATTCTTGATCAACAAATCTACGTTTTACATAAGACAAGGTAAACACTGAAAAGAGAGAGCAGAGGAAAGAGTCAATTATACAGCTGTCTCAGGGTAGGTGGAAGAGTGATTGATCTCATCTTGTCCTTGTTTGCTACCTGGCAACATAAGCTCTTAATGGACACTGTCAGTGTGAGTCTAACAGAACTCAGTTTGAGAAGTTTAACTCAGGCTGCAGACTTAAGGTTACAACTGGCATGTGTTTGCTTTATAAGAGGCTATGTATCCTGAAAGGATCCAGGGGCCAGCAAGGAATTTCCTTGCGAGCAATTTGTGAGGGTGTCCACATGGATAGGTATAAGGTCCTTTGATGTTGTGGGAAACTGGCTTATGTATACTGCTATGAAACAGAGTTGTGAAGTTACAGCTATATGTTTAGAGAAAGAAGAATGGAAGGGTTGAATGACTCAGTTCCCAGGCTTAACTTTTCCCCTTGGCATAGCAAGTTTGGGGGTCCTGAGATTTTATTTTCTTTTGCACACTGATGAGCTGATTGTCTTTGGACCAGGCTCAAAGCATTCCTGAACTTGAGTTTTCTCATTTTTAGTGTACCTGTTGTAAAAGCTGCAACTCTTATTGTAGTTCCTTAGTCATCTGTAATTTATTTTTCAACAATTTAATGAAATTCAATCTCAGTTTTGAAAACATGGTAGGATTGTACTTGCTTGCCTTCTTGTGCCTGGTTAAGGCCATGTGACAACTCCTGGTCAATCAGTTGTGAGGAGCAGAACCTCCATTGCCCATGCAGCACCCTACAAAGCTCTCTTTGCCTCTCTCTTGACAAGCAGAAACCCGTTGGTAGCTGTTGTGTCAGCCTGTATCATGGAGTGCAGTCGACATGGAGCACTCTCAGCCTCTGGCCAACCCACAATGGACATGTAGCAGGACAAGAAATAAAGTTTGTTGTGTAAAACTACTGCAATTAAGTGGTTATTTGTTAACACAGTATAAGCTAGCCTATATGAACTGATAACTAAACAAAATATTAAGCAATAGAGAATTGGCTAAGTGATTTATGATGCAACATAACTTGAAATAGTGTATAGTCATTAATTTTAATGTCAGATTACATTTTTGACATGAAGAGATGGTTATATTACTGAAAAAAATGCTTATTTAGATATAGATATGTAGATACATAGATAATATGGTACTTTTTAAGATATTTAATTCAAATTTATGTGCACATATTTGCATAGACAAAAATTAGAAAGTTTTGTGCTAAAATATTACACAGAAAAATACTATATACTAAAATATTAGGCCAGGATAGCAAGGTAGTGTTTTCACAGTGATATTTTCTTTTTGCTTAATTCTATACTCTCTTGTGTTTTATAATGAATGTATAAAACACTAATGAAATAATGAAAGTTTTTAAAGAGAGAAAAGAAAAATGTCGGTAGTGGGCTGCCATGTATGTAGCTGTATTAAAATACTAATTTCCCAATCCCCCATATCCAAATCAAACCATGTAGTAAATGCACTTGATAAAAATTGGGAGTCATTCTAGGGTAAAAGGCTGTTTCACTGGCATAATTATCATAGCTTGAAATGTCTCATCTTCAGTTGAAAGACAACGGTTTCAACTATAGAGGAAAGTTCTAAAAATGCAACTCCTTCCCATGGTGATAATAAGGCTTGACAAGTAGTATTTGCCCTTAGGCCTTTCCTGATCTTGTTATTTTCCTCTTTAGAAATGGCTCAAATGGCCTGCTCTGCTGAGAAACCCCTACAGTAGACACCTGACCTCTTGTGTTTGTGCTAAATCTCCATTATGATAGAAGCTTCTGGCACTTGTCAAAAAAGAAAAAACTGCCTCAGGGTGTTCATGTTGGTCACACTTTAAGGCAGTTTTTATTAAGTAATGTGTGGAAGCTTCTGGCAACTCCAGGAGAGATTAGTCCAAGTTCCTGGATTGTTCCAATGCTAACAATATCTTGAGTCTTTCTTATCCCCCAATAAACTGGGCACAAGAGCCTCAGAAGGAATACTGACAGAACTGAATTTTTAGGTGCTTCTCGTAGGCCTAAGGGCACAAAATTAGTAAAGTTTAAGGTAACCTTTTAATCAGTTAAGAGCATCAGTGGAGGAGAATTGCTTAAAGGCTTTCCTTTGACAGAGTATTTTTTAATTGATATGATAACGATGTCAGTGCATTTTCTCCCTCTTTGAAAATGCCTAAAGCCTTTTCAATGGTGCCAAAAGAGCGAAATCTAAAACCTCTTTAAAGGTAGGTCAGCTTCCAACTTTCAAAGAGTTAACATAGCATTCTGCCTTTTAGAATATTGCTCTGTAAATGTGAAGATGGGATGCCAGTTTCTCTGCCTAAGTAAATTAGAATTATATGGTTTTACACAGTATTGCAAAGTTATGGGATTTTTTTCCCCACTCAGTTCATAAGGTTGTTGTTCTGTTGTTTATCAAAATAGTCCAAACTTTGGGAAATACCATGAAATTGTCTTGCAATAGCCATAGAGCCAGACACTACTGTGTTTTTCACATCTCAAAGATGTCTGGTGGACCTGAAAGCAGCTTAGGTGCTATTCCCAGTGTCCAGTGGATGAAAAGACACTGTTTCCATTATTCTGATCCCTCATTGAAGCCTCACTAAAAGCCACTGCCTTATTCCAGCTGTGCAGCAAGGAACAAAGGAAAGGTCTGGCTCTAAACGTGGGAGTGAAGCAGAATGGGAAAGTGTGGTGTTTGCTCCCTGTGGCAGTCACTGTCTATGGCCAGCTGTGATCTCACCAGGGTTATCAAGTGTGGTGCTAGCGAAGTGATGACAAGTGTGCTAAGCTAAACTAAATTTGGCCTGAGGATGCCTCTGTACTTTGAGTCCCTATGTGAAGAACTGCAACCTAACTTATAATAGTGCTTAAACTGAAAGCCGGGAGTCTACTTTTGTATAAATAGCTGAGTCTCAGCCAATCACAGCAGCCAGACTTCAGTCAATCACAGGCTGCCAGCTGATCAGACCATATTCAAGTAAAGCAAAGGCGAAGTTGTAACCAGTCAAGCTGTTTCTGTACCTCACTTTCATTTTCTGTTTATAAATGCAGCTTGGCCATGTTGTGGGAGGGAGTTATCTCAACCTCTTCTGATTCAGAGCACTGCCTGATTCATGTATTGTTGTTTGCTCAACTAATATCTGTTATGTTTAATTTGTCTAAAGGTTTTTTTTTTTTAACAACTATAAGGTGGGAATGGAAAAGAAAGCAAAAGTATAAATGACATTTTAGATTTCAACTCTATGAGCAACTGGTATCTAATAGTGTAATGGAGAAGTCAAATCTGATTCCTAAGTTGTTTTTAAATCACAGATGATTAAGGCAAAACTATAAACTGAAAGGATAGTCTAGAACTTGTAATTTGAAGGTAAAATTAATTACTTTGAGAAAATTGAATTTAAAGTCCCTTCAGGACTTCCAGGCTGTCAATGGAAAGAGGTGGTTTTCGTTCCATAGTGTTATTGAAGCAACATTGTCGTGGCAAGTAAGCCATTAGGGGAGAAAGTAAAGCTGACATTACAATTTGGGTGGTGTAGGTGGTGCTATTGACAGTGATAAGGTAGTGGTAAGAAAATTAAAAGGTGGTAAAGAAGAAAATACTGAAGAGAGAAGAGAGAACTGCTAATTGATAGAGTAGGACCTTAAAGGAGAAAAGAGGGAGAAGTCAAGTGTAAAGGACGAGGGGAGGAAGGTAAATATTGGGAAGGAAGTTGTATTTCAAGAGTTTGTTATGCCTAGGGTAATTTTTCTAATACCTTTATCGTGTGTGTGCGTGTGTGTGTGCGTGTGTGTGTATATGTGCATGCGTGCATGTTTAACAGTGTAAAGCCCCTTTGCTCACCCAGTTGGGGAGTAAATATCAAATTTCCCAACTCAGCAAGCAGCGGGGCTTCATCTTCTGATGCTGGAGCTGACATCAGAGGTAGGGAGCCGAGGAGGCAGCCCCAAAGCTACATTCAGTTCAAAGGGCACTGTCAGAGAGCACAAACTAGGTCCCTGGGTAAAGGCGTATGGTAGGCTCAGAAGACAGAGTGAACATGTGCCGGAATGGGAATAGGGTGCTAAGCCTGGAGTAAGACCTCTTTTGCAGGGTATAAGCAGTCACGCCCATAGTCATGCGCACCAGTGAGATGAAGTATTATGGTCGAATCTTAAGCTTCGATCATATAAAAGTATAGAAAATACAATTGGGTTGAATTTTTTATTGAATTTTCAAGGCAAGTAGTGTATTTATTTTTAGTTAAATGGAAAATGACAATTAGGATCCATGCATTTACCCATTTATTTAGTATAAATATACATCACAAATGCGGAGTGGTTTATAATTTCTTTAAAATTTATTTTCCAAGTCCAATGCTTAATTTTATAGGCAGCCAACTCTGCATTTCATTGAGATAGAGTACCTCTCTTTGAGTTCCCAAATAAAAATTTACTTCTGATCTGCTGAGATTTGATTTTTATGGTTCTGATTAACAAATAGCAGAAGTCAAAAATGCCATTTATTTAGAAGTGCAAAAGTGATTTAAGAGATGAAGCCAATGCTAATTCATTGCATACCCTACAAAGTAATTGGTCTTTTGGTGAAAGATTTGATGGACAAATTGCTTCCATTAGTAAAGTGGTCTTAGGAAGGCTGATTTAACAAAAACAGGTCAAGTAGTTTCCAGCTTGATCTCTTTTCAATTAAGCCATTTTTGCAGAGCAAGAAAGTCTGACAAATATTTAACTGTAATTTTTTATGTCTTTCTAAATTATCTTCCTATTTCGTCAATGTATGTAAACTCCATTCTACATATTAATAATCACTGTATGTTAAATTGAGACATTTTTCATGTAATACTGCTTCATATTTGTATTTTGTAGATGTCAAAATATTTGCCATTTTAAATGTCTTTTTAGTGTGTCAAAACTAGTGTTTTTGCTTTTTGTTTTTATTTGTTTTTTAAAATCATGCCTTATTAGTCATTTGCACTATTGTCATGTATTGTGTCTTGGGAAATGGCACCCTCTAGGCACACTTCTTGGCATGATTGCAATTGCAGTCTGGGAGGCAGCAGAGGGTGTTGGGGGTCTCAGCTGCCCAGACTTGGGCAGGGAGCAAATTGAAATTGAAGCCTGTGCTTTACCTCAGTGCCCTGGAAAGCCAGAAGAAAATCCAAATGCCAAATCTGAGGAAAGGAATACAGAAAGGGAATGGAACCTAAACTGAAGATCTGCTACAAGGAAGAGGCCAGACCAGAATCAGGCTTAGTGGTCTGGGTACAGAGTTGAGGTAGAATGCCAATACCGCCATTGGCCTGCACAGCTGCCCTGAGTGTGGTATGCTCTTCCATGGGGAGAAAAACCAGGCTCTGATCTCTAAGGAAAAATAGAATTAAGTGGCATTATACAACCTAGTAGCGATGCCCTCAATAGCAGCTTCACAAAAAGTGCACAGGTCTTACACATATAATTGTTTTTAAATACTAGTTCTTTTTGAAAATGAAGGACACAATGTCAACATAATCTTCATAGAGTCATTTTATTTATTAGTTCTTAATACAAATGAGGACTTAATATTAAAGTTATATGAGGGGTTTTTACCAGACAGTAAAATTATGTAGTACAAGTCTGTAGTTTTCTGAATCTCCAAATTTATATAGAAATGAGGCTTAGAATCAATTCTGGATTTCATCCCTACCACTGTACCTCTCCTGCTCTTGCTGAGATGAGTGTGATTTTCATGTGGTTCATTTATTTGGAAACCTTAGATCTAATCTCATTTAACCTTTTGGAAACACTTAGTACTCCCTCCTGCTTAAACACTTTCTTAATATTAATAAATAACATTTAACCTGCATGGTGCTAAGAATATTACATTTTAATGCCACAGCCATATCATCAATCTCATTTACAGATGAGGAAATTGAGGCTTGGGAAGGTTAAGTAGCTTGATCAATGCATCAAAACCAGCAGAGTTCAGACCCTTTGTGTCTAATCCCCAAGCTGGTGTTCTTAACCAGCATGCATCCTGCACACCCACCTGTCGGCTTCCTGTACACCCTTCTCTCCTCCTCTCCGTTCTTCCTATTTGGCTCCTCCTTCTCTAATGGATCATTAGCTTCGACTGCATCTTATTTGGTGCAACAGTAGAGTCTGAACTCATTAGTAGTCCTTAGGCATGACTGCACACTGATATCACCTGGAAATTTTTATAAGGCAGATATCTGGGCACTATCTCAGATGAATGAACTGGAACCGTTGAGAATGGGGCTTGCCTGGACATCTGCAGGCTTAGAAGTTCTCCCGCCAATTCTAATGGCAGAAAGGGCTAAGAACAGAGACTCTAAAATAGTAGTTTCCAACAGGACTTATTTGTATTATCTGAGTAACAGTTTAAAACCCTATCTGGGATGGGGTAGGGAATGCGTAATTTTTCAAGGACTCACAGGTGATTCTGATGAGGAACCAGGTTCAGAAGCAACTTAGAGTTTCCTTCTCAATTACTCACTACAGAAGCACAACTTTATACAGGAGCTTTGTGGTATAAATATTCTGTGCTTTAACTATCAGACCACCATAAACAGCAAAATGATATTTTGCAACAAAAATAGAGAACATTGTGTTCAACCCTCATGCCATGACTGACAAGGGTCTCCATAGCTGACACCTGTTTGCTTCCACCTCATTGCTCACTGCTGCTGCTCCAGACCCTGTTGAATAGAAGCATTCCCAGAGCTCAAATGCTGCTTTCTGACTTTTCCCTTCTGCTGTTTCCTTTATCAGGAATTCCTATCCCTTTATTTCCAGGGCTGTGATGGGGTTCAGGACATGCTACCACATAATATTTGAATCTGAAAGAATTGAGAAAACCGCAGAAGCAGGAAGGTCCCTCTGCCTTCCCTTGCCCTTCCTCCCTGATGCAGTTCATAGAATCCAGAGGGATTTTCAGACCTTTCTCTGAAGCAGGTCATAAGACTTTCATGTGAGAGACACCCTCCCTATTCCCAGAAGAAGGGAACATCCTTACCTCCAAAGAAAGAACACAGAGGACTCTGAATGGGCCTTGCTGAGTTTCCCCCAAGTTTCTCGCCATTGGATCTCACTTTCTCGCCTGTCATCTTTCTCTGGGACTGTCTACTCTTCGTTAAAGCTAGCACAAAAATAGCCAAGTTTACCCATTTCCTTGAATCTTTTTTTTTTAATGAAGACTCTAGTGTCATGTGAAACATATATTAAATAAATTTGTATGCTTTTGTCTTATTAATTTGATTTTTGCAGTAGAGGCCTCAGCCATGAACCTAGCATGGGTAGAGAAAAATACATTTTTTTTTCCCCTACAGCTGATTAACTTCTCATTGCCCTTTCAACCACTGAGGTCTCTCTGCATCCAACAGACCTCCACCAGTGGGGTCAGAAGTAGGTGGCATAGCCAGGTGATTCCTCATCCCATGTGCCTGTCTTTATCACACTGTGTTGAACTGCTCTGCACATGTGTCTGCTCTTCCACCAGCCTGTCAGTTCCGTGAGAACAGGGACCATGTGTTTTCTATCCTGCTATTCTCGGGCTCTCACAAAGTTCCTGGCAACTGAAATGGTTTAGTAAGCGTTCGCTGACTGAATGTTAAAATGAACTAACATAATGCAGACATAGGAATCCTTTCCTAATTAAAGAATAACGTTGGGGCAAAATTCAAATATATACAATAATTAATTTTCAAAAAACAACTGTTTATATGATGGTAAAAAAATAAATTGTTTATTGAAAAAACTTAGGGGGAAAATTTTATATTATATATATATATACACACACACACATGCATATATATACACATATATATGTATATATGAAGTGATAGCTAGAAAGATAAAAGCACCCATAGTCCCACAGTAAACAATTATGGAGGTTTAGTCTCCTTTTATGCAGATTCTGTACATAGTTAAAGTTATTTCCTCTACAGTTATATTCTGTGTATGTATCCCAGTTTCCTGGATTACCAATCTAAAGCTCTGGGAGAAGTCCTAGCCCTGCCAAGTTCCCAGTCCCTCCTCACCCCCTGAGAGTCTGACACCTTTGGTGCCCCTTCCCCATCCCACCCCACCCCTATTTCAGCCCTGTCACGCTCTCTACCTGACCTGGGTTCCACCCCATTTTTGTGTTCATTTCAATCCCAAAGATAGGCACTCATTCTGTACCTCAAAGAAGTCACTGCATTAGGCACAACGGAGGCACAGCAGAGACAGATTCTGTCTTCAGGGATGTATTAGCAGAGACAACACAAAAGACACAATATAAGACAACAGATGCTGAATATGGGGGGCCTTGTGTAAAAGAAGCTTATTTAGTAGAGGGGTCATTAAATAGTTGAAGGAAAGAGATGACTCTGAGCTGAGCCTTCAGGGCTGTTCTGAGTCTGACAGGCGGGGCAGGACATGCCAGATGAGGAAACAGCAGCATAAAGAGGAACAAGAGAACTTCTTGAGGCTCAGCACAGTTGCTTCTTAAAAAGGCAGATTTCTAAACCTCTGAATTGAGGAAAGGTGACAGTGGCAGCATGATCTACCATTTTAACAAGCGCCCAGGTGATGCCAACGCCGCTGATCGACAGACAGGCATTTGACAAGATGAGAACATGTTCAGTCTGTAGCTGTGGGTTTATGTCACAAGGCTGTGGGATATGGAACAGGGAAACAGAGATTGCAGATGATCTGTGGAAGGCGAATGACAACCTCAGCAGTTAGTACTTATTTCCTGAGGCAAAAGGGAGCCATTGAAGGATTTTGAGCAGAGAAATGACATTATCAGTGCTGTGATTCAGAAAAAAAGAAAACCTATGGCTTAATTCCTAATTGTTGATTCCTACCAGAGTCTAAATTGAGCTTTCAAAAGATGAAGGCCTAAAACTTCCACCTGGAACATGGAGTCAGTTGGTCAGGGTAAACCCAAGGCTTATACATTTTTCAGTAATTACATGATCTAGACGGGGACTGAAAGTTCAGAGGAAAAGCGTTAGTGGCAGAGACATTTTCATGGGGTTGACCTAAGAATGCAATGAGATCTTGCCTGCCAATTTGTGGTTTCTATTGATATTTCCCAGAATGAGAGAAAAATTATCCTTCAGCTTCAACTCTGAGGGAGTCTTACAGGGAAAGCACGTCTCTGGAAGAGCTCCCCTAACTAAAACCCTTGAGTTTGGGAAAATAAACTGTGGAACTAGCTGCTGGCAAACTGAACCCCCTTAAAAACATTACCTGCTATGTGTGCTCAATGCTCTTGGTTGACCTCATGCATAAAGGTGTTGATTCAAGCAAAATACTAGAAATGGAGATAGCCAAGAAAAAAACTTCCTAATGTCAAGTGATAACCAGAGATAATTATGACTAATGCTTTATAAATCTCTGTCCTAGAATATTTGTTTACGGTCTTATTTTCAACCACAAATAGATATTTCAAATTGTATAGCATATCTGTGAAGAAGCATTTGTATAAAAATATAACTTGTACGCAAATCCATTTAAAAAATAGATGAGCATGGTGTCATTTTATTTTTCAATTATGGAAACAAGTTTCTCAAAGGCAGTGTTGTTTCATGGAAAGGTTATTATCTGGTTAAAGAAATGAGCATTCTTTACACATCTGTAATATTTCATAAAATTTTACAAATTGTAAAACCTTGGAGATAAGTATGATTAACTTCCTCCCCACCCCCTTTTCCAGATATGAAAACTGGGGCTCTCGGCTAGGTAAGTTATGGAAACGATACTTGAACCCATGTCTGTCTGAGCCCATGACTACTGATATCAAGAGGTCTTGATTAGAATGCTGGCTTTGACATCAGATAGCTGTGGAAGATTGTATAAGACACCTCCTCTCAGCTTTAATTTTCCTTATCTGTAAAACAGAGTTAGATTTCATCTTTAAAATCTCCTTGCAAAGTATTCCATGAAGTACTTGACTTTCACTTTTTGCCTACTTTCTAAAATAAATTTAAATGTTACTAAAATCAAGTTATTTAGATGTTTCTCATTTCCTAAACTGCACTGATCATTGTTCAATCATTTCCGTTATAATATTTAAAATTATAACACAACTTTTATTTTATAGGTACTAAGTAGAAATTCTGCTGTTCTTTTTTACTTGAAATAATTTGCGATTGCATTCAAAATTAAGAGAAAAAAATACCAAAGCAAACATACAAAAAGCCACAATTAAAAAAATTAAAAGATCAAATATCACGTTTTCACTTATAAGTGGAAGCTAAACAATATGTACATTTGGACATAAAGATGGAGATCACAGATACCAGGAACTCCAAAAGTGGGGAAGGTGGGAGGGTAGTTACAGTTGAAAAGTTACTTATGGGCTACCATGTTCAATATTTGGATGATGTGTACACTAGAAACCCAATCCTTACCATAGCATGCATGTAATATCCATGTAACAAACAAGCACATGTACCCTCTGAATCTAAAATTTAAAAAAAAATGTAAAAATCAAAACACAAGTCCATTCAATTCTATGTATTTTCCATTTTGAGTTTTTCTATGTCCTACAGGTTATTTCAAATTATGTTTCATTTGTGTACACGTGGAGATGTTTATTTCTTTTTGCTTTTGACTTCTAATTTAGTTGCATTATAGACAGTAAATACATTCTATACAAAAATTCAAATTATTGAGACTTATTTAGTGGAATAGTAGATATACTACTAGTGGATCCATTAATAGTGATGTAAATCCAAGGCTACAAACTGATCTACTCATTTTAAAAGCATTCCATTTTTTTTTGTTAGGAAAGTAATTTATTCTCATTGGATACTGACCTATACATCTACATTAAATCAGGCTTATTAATGGTTTTGTCCAAATTTAAATCCTTAAATCTTCCACCATGTTGCTGAATTTTTTCAAATCTCTTTTTATATATGCTGAGGATAATTCATTTGTGTACAAGTTTAGAATATTTATATTTTGATGAGGTGAAATTTTTATCTTTATACAATAATGATTCTCTCTGCCCCTAATGGTATTTTTCTGTCTTAAAGTCTATTTTGTCTGCTATTCATGCTCTCTCTGGTATTTACCTTATGTCTACACACACACACACACATACACACATGCATAAAAAATGATTGATATGTATTATTTCTTTTTTTTTAAAAAAATGCAAAATCTTGCTCTGTTGCCAGGCTGGAGTGCAGTGGCACAATCTGGACTCACTGCAACCTCCACCTCCCGGGTTCAAGCAATTTTGTAGTCCAAACTTTCTTTGTTCTTAATTATTAAATGTGTCTTAGAAATGTACTACTAGGTACATAATTGTTATTGTTTTTCATATATCCTACTAGAACTATTTTAGGTAAAATTTTAAATATAGTTTATTAAGTTTTTCCATTTTTACACACAAAACAGCCTTCAAACCATACACACAGTTCTTTTCTTGCTTTTTTTCATTTAACACTGTACACTGGAGAGTTTTCTATAGCAGTGTCTTCTTACTGTTATTTACTATCTGCACCATATCCCTACTGAATCAATGTCCTACTGATGTACATTCTTATTACCAATATTTTTCTATCCAAGACCTACCTTGGATATTATTTCATGTGAAAAAATATCCATCCCTAGGATAAGTTTCCAGAAGTGCAATTTCTGAGACAAAATGTCTATGTAATTGGAATTTCTAAATGTCTTGCCAAGTTGCCCTATAAAAGATTGGACCCATTTAAACTCCAAAGAGTAATACATGAGAATGTTCAAAGTCATTGAGAAGGCATTATCAAACTTTTAGATATTTATCAACCTGAAAGGTGAAAATGTAGTTTTAAATCTCACTTATCTTAATATGATTAAGACATTAAGAACACTTCAGTGAGTTTTAGGGGCATCTGTAGGTCCTTTTCTGTTAACTGTTTGATCATATCTTTTACCTGCTTTTTTAATAGCAATGTTGGTCTTTTTCATACCCACTAAAAGCACTTTTTGTGTTAGATTAGCTCTTTGTCTATGAGTTGCAAACAATTTTCCCAGTTTTTTATTTATTTTGCCTTCACCTACATGTTTTATTTTGCCATATAATTTTCTTTTATTTTATGTGGTCAAATATATCACTTTTCTTTTATAATTTATAAATTATGAATTATAGTTCACTCTAAGTTTATAAAGAAACATATAGTTTCTATAGTACTTCTAGTACATTTATTATCTCACTTTTGGTATGTAAATCTTTGGTCTATTTAAATTTTTTTCTGATGAACAGTGTGAAATATGGGTCAAATGTCATTATATTAATTTTAGAAGCCTATATAGCTGTTTCAACATATTTGTTAACAGGTCCATAATTTGAACATTATTTTAAAATGCCACTTTTACCATATACTAAATTATCCTATGTATTTAGGTCCGTTTCTGGCCATTATATTCTATGCCATGGCTCTGTCTCTGTTTCATTACCACATTGTTTAATTATTGAGGCATTATAATATGTATTAATATATAGTAGGTCTAGCTGCCCCTTCAATAATTTTAGAATCTACTGGCTACGTATATATGATTTTTTTCTACATAAAATTTAGGGTCAGCCTATGTATTCTCGGAGTCTGTCCTCACACTTCTCTTTGTATATGAGAAGATTATATTACATTCATAACTTGGGAAGAATTGACACATTTATGATGTTCAGCCTTGCTAGCTGAGAACACAGTGTTTTCTTTTGTTCAAGACATTATTGGTGTCTCTCAGTAATGTTCAGTTTACTCTTGAGCATTACATAATTCTTGTGAAGTTTATTCCTGGGAACTTCAATTTGTTACTGCTATCATAAATGGGTTATTTTTCTCATTGTATTTTTCAATGTTCTTGGGGGGGTTGGGGATAGGAAAACTTAATTTATATACATTATGTTGTACCATGCCACTCACTAAATTTTCTTTTTATTTACAGGTGTTTCTCTAGTGGATTTTCCTGGGATTTTTAGCCAAAACTACATCATCTACACATTATAAAATAATGTTTACCTCCCCTTTTCCAATTTCTATACATTTAAATTCTTCCATCTAATTGCATTGGCCAGTACCACCAATAGAATGCTAAATAATTATAGTGAACATAGGCATACTTTTTTGTTTGTAACTTTAGTGGGTCTTGTATTTCCAAATTAAGCATGATGATGATTTGGGGGTCAGATAGATATATTTTATCATGTGGAGAAAAATCTCCATCTATTCTTTAATTAAATATCTTTATCAAAAATTGAATAAATTTGTCAACATTTCAGCATCTATGAAAGAAATCACAAGATTCTTTTTCTTAGATGAATTAATAGTATGAATTTATATTAATAGATTTACTGATATTGAATCACCCTTCCCTTAATAAAATAAACATGAAATGTATATTCTCTTAATTTTCTGCTGGATATTTGCTAATATTTTATTTATAGTTTTTACATCAATATACTTCTATTTTTAATTGAAAAAACTTTCAGGTTTTAAATTACTATTATAATCACATTATAAAAAGCATTTGAAAATTTTCTCCACTACCACATGTTTAGAAAGAATTCAAAAGCATAGGACATATTAAATATCTATCTATTTATTTATTTTGAGACAGAGTCTCTCGCTGTTGCCCAGGCTGGAGTGCAATGGTACAATCTTGGCTCACTGCAACCTCTACTTCCCCGGTTCAAGCAATTCTCTCAGCCTCTTAAGTAGCTGGGATTACAGACACTCACCACCATGCCTGACTAATTTTTGTATTTTTAGTAAAGACGGGGTGTCATCATATTACCCAGGCTGGTCTTAAACTCCTGACCTCAGGTGATCCACCCATCTTCGCCTCCCAAAGTCCTGGGGTTACAGTCAGGAACCACTGCACCCAGCCATATTAAATTGTTTCTGTAAAATCATTTACATTAGGTTCATTTTCTGGAAATAGTTATTTTACTCTTTTTTTAAATTGATGCTCTGGAAATAATTCCACTTAAATTTGCAAACCTTTTTCACCATTATTATTATTAAATTATATTTTTTAAAAGTCTATACATACTGGTTTTCAAAATGATTTGCATTAAATTGAGAAAAGAAATATTTAAATAGTTTTCATATTCGTTGATTCTGTAGTTGTTCTTTTTTTTTTTTCTTTTTGAGATGGAATCTCGTTCTGTCACCCAGGCTGGAGCCCGCCACTGCTTGGCTCACTGCAACCTCCACCGCCTGGGTTCAAGCGATTCTCCTGTGTTCAAGCGATTCTCCTGCCTCAGCCTCCTGAGTAACTGGGATTACAGGCACACCCCACCATGCTCTGCTAATTTTTGATTTTTAGTAGAGACTGGGTTTCACCATGTTGGTCAGGATGGTCTTGATCTCTTGACCTCATGATATGCCAGCCTCGGCCTCCCAAAGTGCTAGGATTACAGGCATGCGCCACCACGGCTGGTGTATAGTTCTTCTTTTTGAAGCAGCTGCCTTGTCTGGGGTAAATACCAGGGGTTCGTCGTTTCACACCAGGAAAGTTTAGGACAGGGACACACACGAGGAGTTTAGGTGTGGAGTTTAATAGCAAAAGAAAGAAAAAGGAAAACAGCTCTCTCTCTAGTGAAAGGGGACTTTTGAGAGCCAAAAACTGGCCAGGGGCAGATGCTTCGAATTTTACAGTCAGGCTTGAGGAGACAGTGTCTGATTTACATAGTGCTCACAGATTGGTTCTATCAGGTTTGACGTTCACATAGCTTGCAGATAAGGCTGGCAGCCCCACCCTAATTCTATGCAAATGAACTTTCCCCTTGGCCAGTGCCATCTTGTCTGCTCCTTACTGTACAGGTGGCTGACAGAGAAGGGAAGATAGAGCCGCCGTTTTGAACGATTGGCACAACTGCCAACATCTATGTCTGCAGCTCGATTTTACGGGCTGTTCTTTGTACTTTGAAAGGAAAGTGATTTGGGCTGCTTTTCATTAAAAGGTAAACCTTAACAAGGACTTCCATACCCTCCCTATCTGCCTAAGTAATTTCTTCTTAACTCCTGTATCATTTTCATGTACTTTCTTATCTTGTATATATGCGCTTTCTTCACTTCCACTCCTTTTTTATTGATTAGATTAGTTTGTGGATCATTTATTTTATCAGTTTTGTCAAAGACTTGACTTTCTATTTGAGGACTAAATTCTGATTTTTTTTTTTTTTTATCTTGCCCAGATTCCTAAGGTGTCTGGGGTCATGCCCTACAAACCATAAATTCTCATCAGATGAGTTTTATTTAACCCTATATATCGTGACTTACTTTCCAAACTGACTCTGCCATAACGTTACGACACAAGGAAGAAAATCATCATATTTTACTCCAAAGCATGTTTCTTTGCCATATCTTGAAATGGCCCTGCAAAGCTATTCTTTGTGGGGGAAAATTTTCGTCTGTAAAGAATCTCTATTAACATAGTTAGATCTTTTTATTCCATGCCCTCCCAATTCTAAAGAGATTAACCAAAAATCTAGCATCTTTTAAAAATCTGAATAGGAAATACTCATCATCTATTGTCTCTAAGAGCAACCACTATAAGAATTCAAAAGAACCTTGGTCTCCACAGTCTTTTATCTTAACCTGAACATTTCTTTTCTCTCCATCCCAGATATTTAGACAAACTCAACCAATTGTCAACCAGAAAATGTTTAAATTTACCTATAGCCTAGAAGCACCCTGCCCCACCGCTTTGAGTTGTCCTGCCTTTCTGAACTACATTTCCAACCAATGTATATCTTCAATGTATTTGACTGGTGTCTCATGCTTCCCTAAAATGTATAAAACCCAGCTGCACCCCGACCACCTTGGGCACATGTTCTCAGGACCACCTGGGGGCTGTGTCATGGGCCATGGTCACTCATATCTGGCTCAGAATAAATTTCTTCAAATATTTTACAGTTTGACTCTTTTCGTTGACAAATTTATTTACTCTTTGTTTCTTTCCTAATTAACTTATGCATTTATTTTTAAAATTTGCTTTATTTCAGTTTTCTTTTATAATTATTTAATTATTTTATTTCATTTTTTATTGATGCAGACACTTAAAATGATTAATTTGTCTTTGAGCATCTCTTTAACTGCAATAAACAGGGTACAGATCTTAGTGTTCAACTTACAACAAAATTCTTTTTTAAAAAAATACATGATTTTTACATGTAAATTAAAAAATAAATTAATTAAAATAAAAAACAAATTTCAGAATCTTTCTAATGTATTTCCTTTTGTCATTATACATCATAGACTTGCCTTATTCTTTTCTATATCTGCCTAATATTCCATTCTCCAATTAGTTGACATTCATTTTTATTTTCATGGGTTTTTTTTTTTTTTTTTTGCAAGTATGAGCATTGCGGCAATAAACATCTTTGGATATATTCCATATACATGAGAGATTTGTTTATCAGTTGGTGTTTTTATTTCTATGCATCAGAGTTCAAGGAGTAGGATTTCTGAGTTGAATGGTATATGTAATTACAGTTTTAATAAATATTGCCAAATTGCTTTTTAAAAAGATTATTCCTGGCCGGGCATGGTGGCTCATGCTTGTCATCTCAGCACTTTGGGAGGCCGAGGGGGGTGGATCACCTGAGGTCAGGAGTTCAGGACAAGCCTGGTCAACATGGTGAAACCCTGTCTCTACAAAAATACAAAAATTAGCCAGGAGTGGTGGCATGCACCTGTAATTTCAGCTACTCAGGAGGCTGAGGCCAGATAATTGCTTGAACCCAGGAGGCAGAGGTTACAGTGAGCCCAGATCACGCTACAGTGAGCCCAGATCACGCCACTGTGCTCCAGCCTGGGTGTCAGAGTGAGACTCAGTCTCAAAAAAAGAAAAAAAGATTATTCCTGATATCCTTACCACATTTTAATGTCTTTTGGATCTGTAATGATGTCTTCTTTTTCATTCCTCATATTGGTGATTGGTAATTTTGTTCTCTGTCAGGCCTCTGAGCCCAAGCTAAGCCATCATATCCCTTATGACCTGCACGTATATATCCAGATGGCCTGAAGCAACTGAAGATCCACAAAAGAAGTGAAAATAGCCTTAACTGTTGACATTCCACCATTGTGATTTGTTTCTGCCCCACCCTAACTGATCAATGTACTTTGTAATCTCCCCCACCCTTAAGAAGATTCTTTGTAATTCTCCCCACCCTTGAGAATGTACTTTGTGAGATCCACCCCCTGCTCGCAAAACATTGCTCCTAACTCCACCGCCTATCCCAAAACCTATAAGAACTAATGATAATCCACCACCCTTTGCTGACTCTCTTTTCAGACTCAGCCCCCCTGCACCCAGGTGAAATAAACAGCCTTGTTGCTCACGCAAAGCCTGTTTGGTGGTCTCTTCACAGGGACGTGTGAGACATTCTCTTTATTTCTTTATCAGTTTTGCTAGTTTATTGGTTATATTCATCTTTTCAGAAAATACTTTTTGGCTGTGGTAATTTTCTCTCTTGTACAATTGGTTTTTATATTATGGAGTTTTACTCTTTTTTTTTTTCCTTCAATTTTTAAGTTTAGTGGTACATGTGCAGGATGCGCAGATTTGTTACATAGGTAAACATGTACCATGGTGGTTTGCTGCACAGATCATCCCATCATCTAGGTAATAAGCCCAGCATCCATTAGCTATTCTTCCTGATGCTCCCCCTTCCTGTGCACCCCTCCTCTGACAGGCCCCAGTGTGTGTTGTTCCCCACCTCATGTGTCCATGTGTTCTCATCATTCAGCTCCCACTTATAAGTGAGAACATACCGTGTCTGGTTTTCTGTTCCTGTGTTAGTTTGCTGAAGATAATTGCTTCCAACTACATTCACATCCTAAAATTCTTTCATTTTAAATTGTGCTCCCTCTTTGACATGAGGGTTGCTTAAAAGGTTTTTGTTGTTGTTGTTTTGTTTGTTTTTCTAGTTCCACCCGGACTCATATTTTTGTTTCTTAGTTTTGTAATTAAATGCTAATTTTAGTTAATGGAAAACAGAGAATAGCATCTGTGTATTCCTACTTTTTAGATTCATCAAGATTTTCTTTGTGCCCTGATACAGGTTCATATTTTATGAGTGTTCTATGGTCACTTAATAAAATGTATGTATTTTCAATTTTCTGAGTTTAAAATTAAGTTTTTATCAATCAGATATGACTGATTAAATATGTTATTAAACCTTTTGTGCTTGTTATTTTTTTCCACTTTTTTAATCATTAACCAAGATAAATAAATTAAAGTTGGGGCAACTAGTCTGTTTCTAATTCTTCCTCCTTATGTTTCCTGAAATTTTGATTTATGAATCTTGATGCTATGTTACTTGGTGCAAACATATTCAAAAGCATTAGGTCTTCATTTTGAACAGAATGTTAACATCGTCATGTGTCCTTTTTTGTGCAGTTTAATGCTTTTTGGCCTAAACTCCACCTTTTCTGCTATTAACATTCTTTAAATTTTTATTTATTTTTTCTAAAGCTTTATCTTATGAGTATCTGCTATAAAAAGCAGCAGAGTTTTCTTTTTGAAACAATTTGGGATCCCTCCTTTTTTTAAAGTGACTGTTTCAATCATGATTTGAGCAGAAAAATTAAAATCATTCCATGCATTTTAATTAGAGAGAATTAAAGGTTTACACACCCACTGGAACCATTGAAAAAGACACTGTCAGCATGCTATCTTAAGAAAATCTGGAAGCGCCGATATCACAATCAATGATTCCAGCTGTCTGCAACACCAAAGTGGGTGATTCTTAGGAGAAATCCCAAAGAGAAATGAACACCAATTTTCTCAGTTGCCTACACACAGAAGGTGTAATCTCAGTTGATTTCTCACAGCACATGTTTCTCAGGAAGGCCCAGAAACTACCCTTGATGATCTGATTTGCCTGCTGAAGGTTTGGCAAATGTCTTACTAGGACATCTAGTCAGTAAGTTTTAGTCAGTGTGATATCATCTATGTATTGGGCCAGCAAACTCTCCTGTGGGATAGCAAGCTGATCAAAGAAAGTGAAAATATCGTTCCATTGTCTTCAAGCTCCTTTTATTTCCATCAATAAATTTGTTGTCATATCCTTTTTAGGTTATTTCACTTTCCACTTTGTCTGCCTTTTAAGTTCTTCTCTTTATCGAAATTTATTGTTCTACAGTTTCAACATCATGTATCTTGGCACAGATTTCTTTTGTTTCATCCTGCTTAGGGTACATTAGAATTTCTCAATCACAGTAACACTCTCAACATTTGCCTCGGAACAACTAGGTCTTTGCAATTAAAAAAAAAATTATGTTAAGTTCAGGGGTACATGTGCAGGTTTGTCACACAGGTAAACTTGTGTCATGGGAGTTTGTTGTACAGATTATTTCATCATGCAGGTATTAAGCCTAGTACTCATTACTTACTTTTCCTGATCCTCTCTGTCCTCCCACTCTCCACCATCACCAATAGGCTGCAGTGTGTGTTGTTCCCCTCTGTGTGTCCATATATTCTCATCATTTAGCTTCCACTTATAAGTGAGAACATGTGGTATTTGGTTTTCTGTTCCTGTGTTAGTTTGCTAAGAATAATGGTTTCCAGCTCCATCTGTGTCCCTCCAAAGGACATGATCTCATTCTTTTTATGGCTGCATAGTATTCTGTGGTATATATGTACCACATTTTCAGTTTTTTTGTGTGTTCACTGTTTCAAACTCTGGATTCAGCCCACTATTTTTTTCAGGGAGAGGGAGGAAATATAAATTTATCTTTTTTTCTTGAGAAACCACAACATAATACAAAGTTTATTATATCCAGCATCTAGTTAGTTATATTTTATTGAGAGGCCTTCAGAGTGCTGTCAATTGAAAATATTTAGCTCAGACTGTCTATCATAAATTCCATGTCTGAAATAACTATATTTGTTAAAATAATGTAGGGTTCTTAATTATTTAAAACATCATCAAAACACTTGATATTTTTAAAATGGAAAGTCTGTAACTACACTCATAATAAATGCATAATTTGTAGACATTAAAAGTGTTGTCTTCCTTTAATCACTATCCTGGAGTTAGATTCTGATTCTTCCTGTTTTGTTCCTCAATGCTGGAAACATTCTGAAGCATTTACCTTGTTCAAGAGTTATATATTCTAAATTTCATGCTCTTTTCCTGAATTATGTATATATGAATATATATAATTATATATAATGATGCTAATTTACTATGAATATATATTTGATAGTAATATATATTCATAGTATATATGTATATATACTACTCATAATATATACATACACATGTATATCTTATATACTATGAATATATATATTCATAGTAATATATATTCATTGTGTATATGTATATATATACACTACTCATAATATATATATATACATATATATATCTTATAGTAAATTATTTAGCATCATTCATGAGTAATTTGATGCTTCCTCCTTTAATGTTTTGGACCAAGAGATGATGTATCATAGGTATGCAGTGAAACATGGTCTTGAGAGTCAAAGAAAAACAAAAGGAAAAAACCAACTTGGTGTATTGATAGCTTTAGAAAATCTAAGTGAAATGGTGCATTTGCCACCATTAACATTACTGTAATCAGAGCTTCATTTCTGGACTGGCCCATATCCACAGGAGTAAGAAGTTTTAGAAAAGATTCACTCCAATTCTTTTTGCCAATCTTCTTAAACATTATCAAAAAAATAGTGTATCATTGCTTTCTTTTTGAAAGTGATGTGTACCCTATTTTAGTTAAAGGTTTATCTTCTGTAAAATCAATCAAGTATTGATTTTTTATATATGCAATTATGTATATATGCAATCTAGAATTTCTATTACCCATTTTATTCCAGATGCTAAATTCTTGTTGTATCATATTTACCTACTCATTATTTTCATAAAGATGGCAAATATAAATATTATTGATTACGATTTTCCACAAGGCAAACATGAAGCGGGGAGTGATCAATTGTCCTATTCAAAGCAATTAGTTGTTAAGCCAGGTTAAGAACCTAAGGCTGTCTTTAATTTTACCCAAGAGTTTGTTTTCTAAAACCTCTTAAAATATAACCAACCCAGAGAAGCCTAAACATTCTAAAGGCTGTCATCCAAAACATTAAAGGTTCCTATCACAGCCCTGGTTTTATAAACTCATTTTGATAATTTCAGGCTGCATTTTTTCTGGATGTTTCTAAGGGATTTTTTGCCAGTTTCATAACCAAGAGAATGGGTGAGTGAAAAGAAAAAATATACTCAAATTTCTTCTTTACCACAAGGGTCTAAGCAATGGTTGCAAACAATGCAGTGAGCCGTCATTCCACCAAGTCCTTTTTGTCTGCTTGTTTCAGCTGGGCTTCACCTCAGGCACCACACTGCTCTTTGGTCCTTCTTCTGCCCCTCTTCTGCAGACTGCAGAACTTGCTTCACTGCAAACCACAACTTATCCACACATCCCCTATTCCGTCTCTGCCCTGGAATCTACTCCACGAGTTTAAGTACTGTCTTATTTTACCCTCACAAAGTTTCATGTGGTTCTTCTTGTTATTATTAATTATTATTATTATTATTGTTGTTTCCATTTTATAGACAAGGAAATTGAAGCTCAGGGAAATAAAGTCACTTGGCCTAAGCCACTCAGCTTGTAAGTAAAAGAGACAGAGTTTGGAACAGATTTGTTTGAGTTCAAAGGCTCACTTCTTTACCCCTAGGCCATTGTGTTAGTCTATTCTCACGCTGCTGGATAAAGACATACCAGAGACTGGGTAATTTATAAAGAAAAAGAGGTTTAATGGACTCATAGTTCCATGTGGCTGAAAAGGCCTCACAATCATGATGGAAGGTGAAAGGCACGTCTTACATGGTAGCAGACAAGACAGAATGAGAGCCAAGCAAAAGAAGAAACCCCTTATAAAACAATCAGATCTCATGAGACTTATTGACTACCATGAGAACAGTATGGGGGAAACCACCTCCATGATTCAATTATCTCCTACCGGGTCTCTTCCACAACACACGGGAACTATAGGAGCTACAATTTAAGATGAGATTTGGTGGGGATACAGCCAAACCTTATCAGCCATACACATTCTCATCTTTGCCTGATGTCTATGGATGAAGCTGGAAAGCTATTCTGGGAAACATCATCCAATGTCCCACCTGTAGTTCTCCGCAAAGCCCTGCTTGTCCTGAGGCAGGGCTGGCTTTCGTCTGACTCTGGTTGAGTTCCTAGGGAATCTTTCCCCATAGGGCCTATGTTTTCTCCTCCCAGGGTTATTTTGTCTCTTGTGCATGTGAATGTGTGTGGGTTACTGTTGTGCTTGTACCTGTTTAACTGCTGTTTGACTGTTCTTTATAGGATAAAATTAGGCCAATGCCTTGTCATTAAACTTTCTCTGAAAGACTTAGAAAGTCTCAGGCGGAAGGTTCTTCCAGGAAGGGCACTTAAAAAGATTACAGGACTGCAAATAACTCAATAAATTAAACACCCTTGCGTATAAATGCAACCCTGGCTTTTATATGATACATTGCTAATAGACTAGAAGATTCTTCGGGGCAAGATCTGGGTCTAATTGTTGAATGTTCCTCATATATTCTATGCATCATAATGATACAGGAGGGGGGCAAGGAAGTGCTCGGTAAAGAAAGGTGGGGTCCCAGGCAAGGGTTCCACCCTCAGGCCTGTGCCCACAGACCTAGGTGAGGACAGGCACTCCTGTTTTCATGCCCAAATATTGCATTTTCCAAGATCACTCTGGCCCACCACGCCCCCAATCCTGTGCCTATAAAAGCCCCGAGACCCTAGCAGGCACAGACACAAGCAGCTGGACATCGAGAAGAACACACGGGCAGAACACACTAGCAGAACACACCGGCACACACCAGCAGACACCAGCAGGTCATATACAGTGGTGCCATGTGAAGTTCAGCCAGAGGAGAGCGCCACTACTGGGTGGCCTGACTCCAGGGGAAGACCACTTTCCCACTCCATCCAGCTTCTGTCTTCCTCATCCACCTCCCTGGGAGCTATTACCACTCAATAAAAACCTCGCACCTATCCTCCAAGCCCCTGAGTGATTCGATTTTTCCGGTACACTAAGGCAAGAACCCTGGGATACAGAAAGCCCTCTGTCCTTGCAATAAGGCAGAGGGTCTAATTGAGCTGATTAACACAAGAGGCCTGAGGACAGCTAAGCTGAAAGAGCATGCTGCACTATAACACATGCCCACTGGGGCTTCGGGAGCTGTTAACACTCAACCCTAGATGCTGCCGTGGGGTTGCCCACATGCCACATTGTCTTATTCTCTGTTCCACAAACTTTCAGAGACAGAAAACTGGGGCCCAGGGGTGAGACTGGTCTGAGAGATTTGTACAATGTATTTTTTTTCCATGAATAAATGCTCAACAGGTAAAAATCAGGAGCTTTCAAATAAAAATCTAAATTTTAAACACTTCTTGCAATGTCAAGAGATCAAACAGCCCTGGACCCCCGTGTCTGCCTAGCAGCCATAAGCTGGAGTGAAAAACAACTGTCTCTTGCAGGGGGTATGAGCTTCCTGTGTCTCTATCTCTTCTTGTGAAATTGCAAGCACTGAGGCCAAAACTCATTGCTGGTAACTTTGACACACTATTGTTTTTCTTCTAGCAGAGTTAAAAGGCCAGTAAAATAATTCATAGCATCATTTCTTTATCCAAAGTGGGGAAATCAAAGACTGTGTGTTTCAAGAAAAATTGTTGTGAACATATCTTTTTGCAAAGATGAAGACTATTCCTAGTTTTATATAAAGAATTTGATCAAAGAAAAAACCTAAGATACCCTGAAAAATAATTTATGGTAAAAACTGTAAAAATATGTTGAAGACATGCTTATTTAAAAACAATAAAAAATGAACAATATTTAAAATATTTTGTTTTTCAAAGTGATGTTGCTGTGAAACGCAATTATGATGTGTGAGGGCAATTTTGTTTTTCATCTTGAGAACCTTGTCTAGAGGTTTGGACTTCATTAGCCTGTTTGGAAAATGTTTATCATTTAATTTTATTACAATAGTAATTCTGTTATATGAAATTAACATTTTTGGAGCTACAGTTTGTGATACAAAGTTGTATAAAATACACCCTCTGCCCTCAAGCAACTCTCTAGATGTTGACTCATTCATTATTTCAGAAAACATTTATTGAGTCCTGAGGGTCAAACACTGGGCTGAACTGGTGATGCCAAGAAGAATTATAGAGTCTCATCTCATAAGAAGCTTATAGTCAAATTGGAGAGGCTTATAAGTAAGCAAGTACAGTATAGTGTGGCAGTGGGTGGGCTCAGGGCACAGTGGGATCTTACAGTGGAAAGAGTGAAGAAGCAGGGGCACGGCATGGGAAGGGAATGAGAAACAGAGCCAGGTAATCTGTTGGGAGTTAATTCTCCGTGGGGTAACATGTTGTCCTGCACATCTTGCAAGCAGAGGCACAGAGTGTCTTTTACTCTGGAGAATCTTTTCAAGGAAGCCTGTACAGCAAATAGCCTTGGAAGACAGAGATGTCTCTCTGCAGAGCAAAGGGCGGGCATTCTTACCATCCTCTGTAACAAAGGTAATGTCTCCCTCTGGAGACTATACATCATAAGATTTGAGTTCCTTCAGCTCAGGGTTCTTCTCCTATATTACAACCCATTGAGTATGCTGGTGTCATCTGGGCCTGTCCACATTGCCCCCATGGGGTCTGAAGGCAAGGGGAACTGACGCAAATATGTTGATCCTTCTGCTGCTCCCCTTGACATGAATAATAATGTTCTTTGTCTCTGACCCAGGAGTCTCACTTCTGCCAGCATTCATGAAACGGTAGCAGACTAATTTCTTAGGTTATAAGCTGAGTACAATCTCAGACTCTTCACAGTTCTTTGTATAGCCTGTTGGCAGAATTTTTTCTTGTTTATCCAAAATCTTGTGTATCTAGGTTGGGGGAGGGATGTATTTGTTTATTGGAGTTAACAAACAAAATAGATTGTGAAAAGGTGCTTCGAGAAAATAGAGTCAAAGACCCTTCTTATCATTGCTCACATTTCTGTGCAGGTGAAATACAGGAAACGTAAACATCAAAGAGAGTCTAGAGGGAAATAGAAGGAAAGTTTTCACAAAACAGCAGCATGTGACCTAAGATAGTTGTGGTGCATTAGAGACATAATTATTACTGCTCACCATCTAGGGACTGGGTCACAAAATAGGAACTTCAAGCTTTTTCTAATTTAATTTTTTGGTTTTACCAGTTAGTAGCAGTACGTTAGCTGCCTGATTCCCATAGTCCTACCTTGCAGGTCCCTGCACATCTTCATCCCTCTTCCAGCTCCAGCCAGACAGCGCCAGCTCCTTATCTGTGACCTCTGAATGGTGCTGTGCAAGGTCACTTCTCTGTCATGCTTACTTCTGAGCCTTGGTGAATTATTTCTGCACATTATGTCATTATAACTGGGGGGTTTCCTTTTTAGTGCCTGTTTATGGTGGAACTTGTTAGCATGCTTAAACCTGTTAAAGAACCAAAAATAGCTACACCTCTTGAGCAGTTACATTCTGAAGCTGGTTTAGGTTTTATGTAACTGCTCTCTCTTTCTTGAATGTGTCTATTTCTGCCTCAAACTTTTCCTGTTCATAAAAAGCATAGCTATTTTGATTGGATTTGCATTTGTTCTGTCACGCAGAAGCACACTGACATCCCTCAGGGGCAATGCTGGATTCACAGTCAAATGAGCACGTTCTTCTTCCTCTCCCTAGCATTTCATCTCTGTAAGAAAGTGACCAGCCACTAGAATAGTAGCATCATTAGAACAGCCACACTTATCACAGAGATGTTTTAAAACAGACAAATTAAAACAAGTCAGGAGAAGGTGGCTAATCCAATTAATTAGGAAGAGATAACTTCCAGCAGAAGAAGGCAAAGTGGGAGACTCACCATGAGGCTTAGCGCAGCCGTGCTCTGTGAAACATAGATGTGCAACTGCCTATGTTTTTCACAGCCATCCTGCTTCTCTTCAGACAGGCATCAATCAATAGCCTATAAAACAGGTTTTATTTTTTCTGTCTGTGCTTTTTCAGGTGAATGTGTGGGTGTGGTGGTTGAGGTGGAGGTGGAGGAGGGGATTTATTAAAGAAAAAAGACCAGAGGGGTGAGAGGGTAGAATTTATTAGAAATGGTACAAGTAAACAAAGTTTAATGGGAAGAGTTTATGATTGACTGAAACAAACAGTGAAAGAGGGAGTGGAGATTACATCTCGGACACCAGGCTGGGTTTGGAAGACCAATCCAGGCAGGGTGATGCCAGATGTCATGCTTTCCATGAGAGTCTTTTTAAAATTTCTTTTTAAAAACTCTATTTTTGCAGATATTGGCATTGCTCTACTCTGGAAAGACTTTAAAAGTCCACTCAACTACAGCTCTTTCTTCATTTTTTTTCTCTCTCTGCTTGCTAAATTAACAACAAGCTCACAGGCCCAGATTATCTTTGCCTAAAGGAAGGCAGCACTTGTGTGCTCTGTGAGATGGCAGTTTATCAGCCCAGTTGAAATGCAGTCTTTTAGGATTTGTGCTGTTTTTCTCAAGCTCTGTGCTAATCCTCCTGTTATCATCTCTGTCAGGTTTGTTGATGATAATCAGTTTTCCATCAAAAGTAGGCATATCTGAACACAAGTAGCTAAGCTTACATCCAATGATGAGTTCTTTCATTTGCATACAGCTAAACCTAATAAAGTTTTAAACTATGAGTCACCTCTTATTAAGGATAAAAGCCATCTGTCAACTTCCATCTATGTATTTGCCAATTTTGATGCAAGAGCCATTGATACACTCTATTTAGTTTCATAAGCAAGAAAATGCAAGTCAAAAACTCCTGGTGATTTGTTTACTGGTCAGTGATGCAGCCAGAATCAGACTCAAGTACTCAGCGAAATGTCTATATGGGGAGTCACCAAGAACTTAAAAATATTTAAGTTGGTGCAAAAGTAATTGCCGTTTTTGCCATTCAAAATAATGGTAAAACCACAATCGTTTTGCACCAACCTAATATCTTTCCCTCAGTGTTCACTCACAGGCTTTGGTATAAACATACACACTTTGATTCCACTAATTTTGAATTTGTGACAAAAGTAATACAGGAAAAGACAGAATTTAGACAGTAATGTATCAAGCCAGAGAAATTGTTTTCCCTTTTTTTCTAGGAAAAGCGATTTTGAAAGAAACACTTTGATAGACAATTAAAGGTAAAGAATAGGATCCTGCAGTCTGCTCAGGCTTTAAAGGATGATTTCTAAATATTGTGCATTAGGCAAAGAGAAGACTTTGTTACCCTCCTTGGGAAGAAAAAAAGAGGAAAGGGAGAAAAAAAGAGGGAGAGACTTAGCCATTGACATGGTAAATGGCTGTGCTTTGAAAAAATGTGATTATTTCTTACGACTCTCCCTGTTTGGTCACTGTAGCCAAACTCAAAATACTTTGTGTGGATAGAATTTTATTGAAACCAGGGAGCTGTTTAAATCTTTTGTCCAGACAGATTGATCTACAGTGAAGGATGCTGCTCTCATTGAGCACACATTTAAGACAGGATAGAGATAAATACATTAACAAATATATAAACAATACAATTTAATAGAGCGATAAAAGTTTCAAAGAAAGAAACACCTGGATAATGAAAGACAGTTGACTAGCATTGGGCTGGCTAGAGATGGTGAGGAAATGAGTCTCTAAGGAGGTGACATTTATGCAGAGGCAAGCAGATACCCCTCCTTCTTCCAAATTCATGCATATTCAAATGTTTTGCTAGTTGATTGTAGAGAATAAAAGACGAAATGACAGTTCTAATGTGCAAGGAGCTCACAAACTAAGAGGAGAAACAAAATACAACAAAATGAAAGGCATTTAATACAGTTCTATAAACTCATTCAGAAATAACTCTTCAACATTAATCCAGCTGGAATTAATCTCTATGAGAATTGGAAGCATGACTGGCTAGCTCTATGTTAACATCTCTCTGGACAAAGGAGAGTGTGTCAGTCAAGTCTCTTGGTTGCAAACTTCAGAGTCCAACTCAAGCTTGCTTAACTGAAATGGGGAATTATTGAGGGAACATAAAGGGGCTGTCAGAAGTGGTGGAAAAAATGGATGGCAAGTCTGGGAAGACAGACAGGAAACAAGATGGTTCCTAAGACCATGCAGCAGCAAAAATCTGACCAAGAAGCCACCAGATCATCTTTTCTCTAAGCCATAATTGCTTCTGGGGACACTGCCTCCATGAATGAATGAACCTCAGCCTGGCAGAGTCACTCATAGACTGTCTCACATCAATCAGACCAATTCTGACAGTCCTGTGCACTTTGGATCACTCCCACAAGCTTCAAAGTCTCAGGCAGGTATATCCGAACAGCCAAGCTAAAAGACAGTTCATTTTCCAGGTCTCAAGGGGGAGGGAGAGGGCAAGCCTGGCTGGTTTCGTTTGGTTTCCACAGTGAGAAATGAAACTCCCTATTCTACTAAGACTTGCACAAGGGAGTTCCCTTGAAACAAGAAAGAGGATTGAAGTTTGGGTAGGAAAAATGTCAAATATTCCAAAATATGTTACTATGGTTGGCTTCCTAGCTGCATTTTCACCTTTATCCCCATACTAATACTTTAAAATAAGAAGCTCTTGTCTAATGTAACTATTATTTGTATTGTCAAAAATTACAGCCACCCAACTCCAGGACTAGAATCCCTTCCATCTCTAGACCTGTCCCAACTTCACTTCAACAGTCTCTAATACAGAGCCACTCTGTGCCACCAGGTCTCCCTAGGCCAACAGCATCATCATCATCTGGGAACTGGTTAGAAATGGAAATTCTCCAACCACAACCCATCCCTAATGCATTGCAACCTTTGCACATAGGGCTTAGCCATCTGAATTTTAAGAAGCCCGCTGGGTGATTCCAAGTTTTATTCTGGAAGGATCTTCGTCTTTGTTGTTCCATTTTTGTGTAACTAGTAGTCTTCTGTTAGCTTTTTCCACTGAACACGGTAGGACTAGTACCCCAGAGGCTTTCTCAGTTCCGTAAATCCTCCCTCCATTCCCCTTGGTGAAACAGTCATCTTTGGCCACCTAATAGTTAAGTTTAATTCTTGTTTTATTTAAGATTAAAATTTTATCGTTCACTTTTTTTTTCCATAGCATGAGCTTCGTAATGACTGTCAGCCATCTGTGTTGGACATTTTGATGGACTGTCCCAATCTCTCTTCTGGAATGAAAGACCCAAAAATCTAGCTGCTTTGGGGATTGCCTCCACTAAAGAGAGCCTTCTCACTGGACTTCACACCCCTTTCAGGGTGGTCCACATCCAATAACTGATTGCCTCACAGGTGTAAACGACTGACCCTCTTCTTACCCAATTTAGGGCAATGTTAAAGGATCAACCGAGCTTAGCTACCTATAGGGCCAGCTGAGGCTTCTTTTGAAGCTACAACACAGTGTGACTTTCCCCTCTGCCAGGTCCTGCTTCCTGTTCCTTCCCTTACACAGGTGTGGCTTTCCAGAACACTCCCAGATAAACCTGTATGCTAAGCCCCATCTCGTATTCTGCTTCCTGGGGAAACCCACCTGCAAAACCATTTCATTCCAAATCTAAGGAATAATTGTTGTATCCACTGGGATAAACAATTCTTCCTTGAATATTAACACTCCAAAAATCCAGAAATCCAAAGTTGCAAGAATAGGAAGTAAATATTTTGAGTGGATCATTGTTTTCTGAACACATTTATTCTGACATGAAACTGACTACTCCATACTTTGCTGGTTCAGAGCATCTAACACATCCAGCAGTTCTGCACCACCATCTCTCATGACATTGTCTCCAAGCTGGCATCATAATAAAAGTGGCAATCCTTCTTTCTCTCATTTTGCTAGGGCCAGCTGTTTCTGGATACAGAATCAAACCGTTGACTGACTTTGTTGATGTCTTAATAGAAAGCAGGACATTGTTTCTCATCAAGATTTATATCAAGAGGGATTCTTTCCAAATAAAAAAGTTGTTTGAATGCTACACAACTAAAATATTGACATAGGGCTATGGAGACTTCAAGCTGGATGGCAAGGAATTATACGGGATGGGGAAAATAAACTCCAGATGGGAAAAATAGGAGCAACATTGCATGTAGCTGGCTAAGCATTAGATAGGTGCATAAAATGGAAGGTAGTCTGGTTTGTCACAAGATTGAAAGTAAACTTTATAAATACTGTCAGTGATTCAGACATGTCCATCAATATACATACAAATATTTGATGCACCAGTTAATTACTCTCACACATTTAAAAAATGGGGTCTTGGGCATTCAATTTCCAGTGAGCACAATTTAAATTAATTTATATGCCCTAAGGTAAAAAAAACACTTTATTTGAAATATTAGATAAGTTTGACTTTCATAATTGAGATGACTCTTCTCCCTAGTTAGACTAATAAGTGAATGTTCTGTACATGTTGCATTCCATGGGTCATGAGTGACTATTTGGACCTTATCCAAAGTAGGATGATTAGAATCACTCAAAATTAATCTGTTAACTGATTTTTTTTCATGTGCATAGGAATGCAAATGTCAACTTGTGTCTGGCAGCCTAGTAGACTAATTTGAACTATTTGAATAGTTATGAAAACTTTATTTCAGAAATTTTAAAAATTTCTGACATTTTTTAGGTAAAAAAAAAACAAAACTATTAGGTAAAAGTTTCCCATATAAACAGAATTTATTTGACTTCTTGACTTGACAGAAACACAAACTAACAGTATCTGTAAAGATTTTTCATATATATGTGAACTGTATACACTCATACATATACATACTTAACACTCATAAGAGTAAGATCAGGGAAATCACTCCGAAGTCCATATACTTATGCTTTGTTACAAAGATCAGATTCTTCAAGTGAAGAACACCATGGGAATCAGTGGAAACTCTGTGCAAAGGTAAAAGAAAGCATCATGTATTATAAAACTACAAGGGATTTAGTGTGGCTGGAAAATGATTTATACGTGAGTACAGCAAGAAATAGGGTTAGAAATGAACAAGGATCAGGTCACAATGGGCGTTTTATGTCATCCCAAGGAGCTTAGATTGTGTTCTTCACTTCAGGACCACAACCTCCTAAAACATTAACTTTAAACTGGAACCATAATTAAATTTCTAATCATCATTCCTTTTATTCTATCAAGACCAACAGCCTCTGGGTAGAGGGAGAAAAAATCATCAAATCCCTAAATTCAGCTAATGATTAAGCATTTCACAGTGTTCAAGTAATAAGAAATGTTTTTTAAAATAATTTTGTTTTAAATGATAATATGCATACAAGGGAACAGTTTGTAATTTCCCCATACCACAAGCCTTGCTTTCAGCATGCAGGAGTTGTGTGAATCAATGAGTCCGTCAAGGTAAAAGCAGACCCAGGCTGGTGCTTCAGATTTCATCATCAAGACCTGGCTGCTGCCTCCCCTGTAACTTCTTCAGCCAGCATCCTGATAGCCATTATTTCCCCAGAAATGTCCTCCTGCTTGCTTATCCAGGAGGGCTGCCTTTCTACATTTATTAATGCTTTCCGTCATGTAAGACATTTCCTGCCCAAGGTCTTTTCAGAGTCTGCAAATACGCCTGGAAGATTAACTGCTTTCCCCAATAACAAAAAGCAATGGGCTAGCGTGTGGGTGCTTGGGGCAAAGAGAAACAAAGAGAGAGAATTTCTTAGGGAAGAGAAAGTATCATAGACAGGAAACATTTTGGAAATATCTCAGAAAAGAAAACTTCACAAAGTTGCCTATGGCTGACATCACCTAATTATCTATAAATATAAATCCTTTGCTGATGAAAAATGAAAAGAGAAAGAAAAAGGCAAAGTGCATTAAATCTACCTGAGGCACATGGATTCTCATTAAGGATGAAGAGGTTTCCTTAGGGGCTGAGACTCATGAACCAGTGGTTATTTTCATGATCACTGTATTTGAACAACTGCATTCTTGCTTCCTTATTTTTGTTTTGGTTTTCAAATAATCCTCTCAGAAATCTAAAATGCATGCTAAAATCTACGAGGGATGCATGATTTATTCATTATATCTGCTGTTATGACCAAACTACTCTAGTTCTTCTCACAGAGGCAATAATATTCTTAACAACAATCAAACCAATAGAGAAAAATGGTAAGAAATCACTATTTAAAAATATACTTTATTCCCAAAGAAAGTGTCTCAAGTGTGTGTGAATATATAATTATTCACCTGGCCAGATTGCCCATAAGATGTGTGGTGCAAATTAAGAAAATGACATCTCTAATGAGATAAACTCCTATGAAAATATTCCCTGACCTTAGCATTTTCATTGAGAAGGTTTTGCTTGTAAAATTCTTATTGATGGAGTTTATATGGCTTTACCAGGCCAAATTTGATGATATTCATATCATTAAAATTTAGAGTGATTGCTCTGTCGTTAGACCTAGAACTGTTATGAGGCAATGATAGAAAATGCAGAGAAGAACACTTAGTAGACTTGATGTAATCATAAATTTTCAATGTCCCTCTCCTCTCTGTTGGGATGTAGAATTGAAAACCGTTTTCTGAGCTGGGTGCGGTGGCTCACGCCTGTAATTCCAGCAATTTGGGAGGCCGAGGTGGGTGGATCACCTGAGGTTAGGAGTTCAAGACCAGCCTGGCCAACTTGGTGAAACCCCGTCTGTACTGAAAATACAAAACATTAGCTGGGCATAGTGGTGGGTTCCTGTAATCCCAGCTACTCAGGAGGCTGAGGCAGGAGAATCGCTTGAACCCGGGAGGCGGAGGTTGCAGTGAGCCGAGATCGCGCCATCATACTGCATCCTGGACAACAAGAGCAAAACTCTGTCTCAAAAACAAAACAAAACCAACCAACAAACAAAAACAACAACAACAAAAAAGGAAAGCCATTTTCCTTGCATAATTTAATTAACCTGTCACTTTATTTTGGAGGCTTGCTAATTCATGACCCAAAAGGATTAATTTATGGAGCATCATGAGAACAAAGGTTAGATGCTGAATAGAATAGAATTAAGCAGCCTAAGAATAATATAAGAATAAAATTATTTCTGAATTGACGTCAATTATAAAATGAGTTCAAGAGAATATTTACTACTAAAGCTGGAAAGTCTGTGGTTTATTGACCTGAATTTTTTTATCTGACTAGAGCTTCCTGTTACTTCTTACAGAAGAATTAAAATAATATTAAAAATAGTGATAGTAATCCTTTAATAGTGCTGATTATTTAACAGATATAATGCAAATTTCCATATATATTTTTCTATTATATAGTATATATATTATTCCATTTTATATTCTCACAGAAAGTCACCAAATAAAAATTATTAATGATGATCAAACTATGTTCAGGGAATGCTATCATTCCAACTTAGTTTGCAAAATTTGTTATGATACAAAAAAAATGAAAGTGTGTGCATAGGAATGGCAAAACAACCACATTTGGCTTTGGGAGACTCTATTCTCCAAAATACTTTAAGGACTAAAATTTGACAGAGAATGTCTTAAATATCAGCCTCTTGAACATTAGCTAAGAGATACCTTCTTTTAGAATATTAGGAAGTTATCTTACAAAATATAAGAACACATGTCTTTTATCTTATTTATTTATTTTTTTGAGATGGAGTCTCGCTCTGTCACCCAGGCTGGAGTGCAGCGGCGCGATCTCGGCTCACTGCAAGCTCAGCCTCCCGGGTTCATGCCATTCTCCTGCCTCAGCTTCCTGAGTAGCTGGGACCACAGGTGCCCGCCACCACGCCCGGCTAATTTTATTGTATTTTTAGTAGAGACAGGGTTTCACCGTGTTAGCCAGGATGGTCTCCATCTCCTGACCTCCTGACCTCGGCCGCTGGGATTACAGGTGTGAGCCACTGCGCCCGGCCAAGAACACGTGACTTTTAGTATTGAGAATATTTATCAGTGAATATTTATAAATTAATATTGAGGACATTTATAAATAAAAGCAGGAGACAGTGGCACATGGAGAGGAAATGTTAGCACGGAGGGAAACAAAGGTGTAACTCTCCTGGTGTTTGAATGGTGGTCCTTTTCTTATTAGGCTTTTGGGGCTGGATTGTGCAGAATGGAAGCCTAGCATTTGAGCAGGAGTTAATAGAGTGAGAGATGGATGGTGAATGGAGTCCTTTTGCACACTCCAGAAAGTTCCAGTGTTTTTTGGTGTTCTTGCAAGAGGTCATTATGGGTAAAGCTAAGGGGTGAGCTACAGGTAGGTAGCCCACACAGTATGCTAAGGAAATTACTGGGATGGTGATATAGTTTGGCTGTGTCCCCATCCAGATCTCATCTTGAACTGTAGCTCCCATAATCCCCATGTGTCACGGGAGGGACATGGGAGGTAGTTAAATCACGGGAGTGGGTTTTTCCCATTCTATTCTCATGATAGTGAATAAGTCTCATGAGATCTGATGGTTTTGTAAAGGGCAGTTCCCGTGCAAAGGCTCTCTTGCCTGCCAACATGTAAGACGCGACTTTGCTCCTCCTTCGCCTTTCACCATGATTGTGAGGCCTCCCCAGCCATGTGGAACTGTGAGTCCATTAAACTCCCCCTTTTTTTTTTTTATAAGTTATCCAGTCTCAGGTATTTCTTCATAGCAGTATGAAAGTAAACTAATACAGATGGTTAGCTTTTATTTACACACAGCGTTTATCATTCTTAGAATTAGGAAATAGACATCCCACCCTTGCCTCCACCTGACACCCACATTACTGGGAGCCCCTCTCCTGCCCCCCTAGAGTAGGAGTTTGTGGAACTAACACCGCATGGTCACCAAAAGCCCAGACCCTCCTCATTCAAAACTGTGCTTGGATACCCAAGAATTGAACATTCTCACCCAGTGTCCTAAGCCTGTTTCCAGGGCCCTGTGAGTCTCTTCCAGGGTCTATTCCTCTGAGTATGGGAAACCCACTCATGGGATCGCCTTTGTGCCTAGGAGATAAACAAAGGGGGGCTGTGTGCAGGCATGATGGCAGAGTCAGGGCTTGCAAGCATGTCAGGCACCTCTTGATGTGACAGAAAGCCAAGGGTGAGAAGAAAAGCCTACCCCAGTTAGGGGCTGGGTGCTGGGACACCATAGAGAACCTAGAGGTCCTCACCTCTATGTTCCAGCAAAGGATTTCAAGAATTCTAAATAAGATTCTGTCCTAGGGCATTATGAAAGTATATTTGTCAAACTAGGAGAATAGAACATATTTTACTCAACAGATTGTGAGCTTGACATGTAACATTTAAATATTCAGACAACAGCTTGTAGACTTCCATTTGTACTCCTGCCCCAGGCCCTGCTGATGTTAAGGGTGGGTGTGCTGAATATTCTAGATGAAAGTGTTTAAGTTTATGTTGCATGACAGCAGAGGCTCTTTAATGCTTAGCATCTAGTGCAGTGCCTGACATAATAGTAAATACCAATTAATATTTTGGGAATGAAAGACTACATTCTTTTATTATTAATCATATATTATTTATTATTTATTCATCCTATAAGCACAGTGGTGAAAAATTGTATCTCTGGAACACAAGATCCTGGAATGGGAAGAGACAACATTTTCTACAACAACAGAGAGTAGATTATCTGTGTAGATCACTTAGCAATATCTCTGTCACTTAGTGAATCTACATTAAATATTATCGACCCTTATTAATTATACAGTCTATAGATCATGGATTCTGGGTATTTCATCAGTCGACATTCAGTAAGTGTAGCTTGTGTAGTTGCTTTAAAATATGTGATCAATTTTCTGACATCATGAAAGTATGAAAGTACCCATGAAAAGACTTCTTGCCACCTGAATAATTTAGTATTCATCCTAATTGGTGACTTCCAGGACTTGTCAAACTATTTATTTGATTAATGTCTAGAGCAGTGACATCCTCAGAGTATAAATTTTATTTTACGCTATCTTTTAAATGAGAGAGTTTTATTGCCTTCAAATTCTAATCTGCCTAGTAATTTTTTCCCCATATTTGATTCTTTTTTGGAGCACTCATCAATTCATACTCAGCCTATGAATCCAAAAGCACTCATTAAGGATTTTTAAACATACTGCATGCTGAGACCATTAAAGGGTTTGATTAAGTTACAAGAATACTATATATATTTGCTCAGTGAATATTATTTCTTAAGATAATCTGTCCAAAGGATACAGCATCTATTTATGAGTTTGTCTAAGTTTATCCTTGTATGAAAGAAGGTGACCCTAAAAACAGCTGAGCCATAATTATTTCAGGCTTCTACAAAAAAACAAACAAAAACCACTTGACTGGGTTAGAGTCACATATACTCCTTGCCTTTTAAAAAGTTCAATACCACATTTGCCTATTTGAACAATGTTTCTGTAATAAAACAAGGATTACAATGACTCCCCTACGTTTAGTTTCAGAGAAACCCTTGCCTTTCCAGAAACATTTGTAAGGCAGTGTTGAGGAAGAGTTTATTGGAATATTTGCTATGTAAACATAACTAAACCTCTTTTTATTTAGTGAGGCAAGATAAAACAAGTCATATCACTTTCCAAAGAATAGTGATTGTATTAGCTCATTGGAGGGGCAGGTAAACAACTCTAGATGTGTTTTTATTGTATGGTTTGTCATTTTTATTTTTAATTCTTTTCTTTCTCTCTTTGTTTCTCTTTCTTTCTTTTTACTTTGGCGTTAATCATACATACTACTCAAAATCCTTTTGGGAATAAGCAGGATAAAAATACTATGGACCCCATAGTGTAAACCCATGAAAGTTGCTTTGTGTTTTCAGTACCTGTCTCAGGGTCTGATCCAGTGTGTGGGCAATATGTACACAGCCAATAAATGAATAAAATAAATAAAACATTTAACTATTTTAGAGGGATCCCAGATTCTAATAGCAGTTTGCAAAACCCACATGAAACTATAATTTGACAGGGAGAAATTATACCCTGAGCAAGAGAAACCAAATTTCAGTCTCCTAAGCCTGTGCCATCTAATAGCCTTACTGATTGAATCAAGCCAGCTTACTTTGCTGGCAAAGCCCATTGCATGGAGGATAACAATAAGGAGGACAATTTTCTGGAAAGTACTATGTTCCGTGCCCTTTCTGCCACTGTCTCTCACCAAAGAGGTGTTTAAATAATTAAGGAAATTCAGTTCTGGGTTATCACAATATTAATTTAAGCCAAGTGGGAAAAGCCCATTTGCCTCAATTTTTCCAGATGTTGTTCCTCATATACCTAGAAAAACACCCATTCTTTCCATATATGTTTTTCCATTATTTGCACTAGGGAGCTGCATTCTTATTGCTCTGTTGAGCCATGTTGCCTCAGTGAATGTCAGTTTGGCATCGGTCAATTGGAAGAGCTGTTCATGGGCAAATGTACCATGCTCAACAACCTGCTGTCCACTGGTCACTGCAGCCCCATGGGACTATATTGACAAACCAGTAGCCCTTCTAGAATTGTAAATGTATGTGGGTGGAAAAAAATGGGATTGTGACAATATTGCTATAAATATATATTGGTACAATACTGTATTTATACCTTTCATCATATTTCATTTGATCATCACAATACCTCTGTGAGCTAGAAAGAATAATTATTAGCATATTCATTTCAGAGCTGAGCAAACTGATACTCAGAAAGATTCAGTAGCTGGTTCAAGCTTCATTGCTCACTTTGTCAGTAAGGCAGAAATGTGGCCCTGGGCCATGCTGTCTCTCTAGTTATGTCCTATAGGACACAATTAAAATGAAAATTAGCCATAGGGAGAAAGGAGAGAGAGGTGCTTAGATTGCTAAAAGGAGATATTTTTCTGAAGATTCTGCAAGGATGAAAAAGAAGAGCCAATTTAATTAAAATCCTTAGGAAAACAGTATGAATATCATCCAAGGCTTCTCCCAATTGCATAGTGTTGGAATTTGAAAGCTTACTTCAAATTGGATGCATTACATGTATCATATGAACCAGTGCTACCGTAGATTAGACGAGTCCTTTCGTCAAGAAAATAAAATAAAATAAAATAAAATAAAAAGCCTCTGTTTCAATGGAAACCAGGAAGAAAAGTAAAATTATTTTTTTAATCTCCCTCCAAAACTGTGATCTCATTTTAGTAATGAATAGCTAAGCTAAGCTTATTTGCTGCTTCAGGTACTCTTCTATATATTTTAAATCACTGAGTCTTCACAATAACCCTAGGAACTTAGTTTAATAATTATGCCATTTAATAGATGAAGAAACTGAGGCACACACTGGTTAGAAAGTGCCTGAGGTCACACCGCTAGTGACTAGCAGACGGAGAATTTGAACCTGTCCCACATCCTTTACTTTTAACACTAGGTTCAAATATCTCTGAAATAAATGGCAGACTAACATTTCTCTGGTAGAAAACTCATACATGATACAACTTCTTAGTAGATAGCTTCCTCTCGCAAAAGTTACTGCCAAATATGAAATGCAGCATTTTATTTTGCATGCTTTTCATTCCATCAATAATAAGTACAACAGTATGGTCATTGTGATTTCAGGATCAAATAAAATACAGAAACACCAAAGCGTCTATTTTCACTTGAACTCGCAGGTGCTCCAGATACTATTACCTATTGTTCTCTCATATATTTTTGATGTGAATCTCTAGAAGGAGATAAAACAATGATGAGATCATACTGAGTGCCTGTGTTTTAGGTGAAGTGTGTCACAGTTTGTTAAACCCCTCAAAAATAGGGATTAAATGATCTATACAAGAAGTCACCACTTTCATCCAGAGAATGACCTCGAAATTGTTCCATGAAAACACACACACACAGAAGCAGTATAATGTTAAATGTAAAAATAAAAGGTCTGAAAGAAAGTGTATCAACACAAAATAATAATTGCCTCTAAATGGTAGAGTGGTAATGAATTTAAAACAATACTAATGTTGCTTAAAAATCAAAAGTAAGTATGTGTTGCTTTGCAAATTATTTGAAAAATAATATATATTACTTAAAAAATTATAGAAGATACATAGGACAATTAATAACAACAAAAAATTAATTACTATATGGAAACTTGCCATAAGATGACATGTGCCACCATGCCCAGCTAATTTTGTATTTTCAGTAGAGATGGGGTTTCTCCATGTTGGTCAGGCTGGTCTCAAACTCCGGACCTCAGGTGATCCGCCTGCCTCAGCCTCCCAAAGTGCTGGGATTACAGGCGTGAGCCACAGCGCCCGGCCACAGTACAATTTTATAATTTGGGTTTGATTACTAACCAAGACTTAGACATAGAGAATCAACGATTTTTTAAATGTATAGCAACAACTATTTTAAACACGTATAACAATGGTCAGCAAACTTTTTCTGTAAAGGGCCAGATGATAATTATTTCAAGCTTTGCAACCCATAAATTCTCTATCACAACTATTCAGCCTGTGTAGCATAGACACAGTCACAGACAATATAGAAACACATGAGCATACGTGTGTTCTAATAAAACTTTATTTACAAAAACAAGAAGCAAGCCGGACTTGGCCTATGGCTATAGTTGTTGACCCTGTAAAAAAAATATTATTTTCTAAGTCATAGAGTTACAGAAATATTAATGCTAAAAAAAAGTAAAACATCATCTAAACTAAACTTTCTCAATTTTTAGATTTTTCCTGGAGAAACAGAAGCAATATTGCCGAGTGGCAATAAGTAAGAATTTAAGTTTCAAATAGACCTAGGCTTGAATTCTAAATTACTGAGTCTCTTTAAGCTTTAATTTCTTCATCTATAAAGTGAAGATTACAATAACATCTCAATAGGATTATTGTATAGTCAGGTAGCAATTGTTAATTGCTTAACTCAAAATCTGATGTAAAAGTATTCATTAAATGTTAGCTAGTATTAACATCTCTGATCACATGTTAAATAATGGCAAAGTCAGGCATTTACATCAAAGTTGCTGGAACCTCCTGACATGGCTTTAGCTATAATTATGACTACAAAATTAAGCCCTGGACAAACTGTGGAGACTAGAACAGATGAGCTCCCTGCTCTCATAGCTCTTACTTCATAGCAAGAAGACAATTGAAAATAAATATGTAAACAAATGAAAAAATGAGATCATTTCAGATACTAAGGAATTCTATGGATAAAATGAAACAAGACAATAAGATATATAATTACTGCTTTGGGAAAGGACTGGATTGGGGTTTGCTTTAGCTCTGTAGTGATCAGTAAGGTAGCCACTAGCCACATGTAGCTATTTAAACTTAAATGGATTAAAGTTAAATTTTAAAAATTCAATTTTTTAGTCATACTAAATATTTCAAGGGCAGTCACCACATATAGTTCCTGCCACCGTATTAGATAGCACAGGAAAACACTTTTATTATCCCAGAAAGTTTATTGGCTAGCATAGCTATAGATCCAGATATGACTGATAGAAAGAAAGATATATGATAGATAGAAAGATAGATTGATGAATAGGAAGGTGGAACAAGATGGCCAAATAGAAGCCTACACTGTTTATTCCCACCCTCAATCCTGCAGATGGATGGAGGGATGGATAGATAGATAGACAGATAGATAGATAGATAGATAGATAGATAGATAGATAGATAGATAGATAATAGATAGATAGATATAGATAGATGATAGATAGCTAAATAGAGATAGATGATAGATAGATATAGAAGATAGATAGATGATAGATAGATAATAGGTTGAAAGAGAAATAGGATAGTAGTAGAGACAAAGATAGAGCTAGAAAAATATAAAGATATAGAAATAGACATACAGAGTGACTGATTCTCTGAGGAGGTGATATTTGGTCTGAATAATGAGGAGATTAGTATCTTCTCATGAAAAATACTGTGATAGACAGTTCCAGGGAGAGGCAGGAACAAGTGCAAAGGCTGAGACCTAGAACAAGCATAGTGTAGGTGAAGGACAGAACAGAGTACAGGACAGGGAAGACTTAGAGGAGACAGTCAAGGGCAGGTCATACAAGTTCTTATAAGTAGTTTGGATTTTAGTTTAATGCCAAAGAAATTCACTGGGGTGTTTGAAGTAAGGGAGACTTTCTTCTGATTTACATTTTTGACAGATAACTTTGGTACATATGTGGAGAATGGACTGTTTGGTGGCAAAGTTAGAAGTGCAGCATTCTTACAGAAGACTATCATAGTAATCCAGGTGAGAGATAATAGCGGCTTGGACTGGAGGTAGCAGAGAAGATAGGAAAATGTTTAGATTAGATTTTGAAGGTAATGTCAACTAGATATGCTATTGAATTGGTTGAGTAGAGAGAGGAAAAAAGAAATAGTAAGGATCACTTCTAGCTTATTTATTGGAAATGAAAATGGCAACTAAGAAGAGAACAGGATTGGGGAGGAACTCGAGAGCTCTGCTTTAAAGCAGGAAACTAAGATGCCCATTGGACATATACATTAGATGTATTTAAAGATGCCCATTGGACATATACATTAGTTTCCTAGGGCTGCAGTAACAAATTCCCACAAACCTGACGGCTTAAAACAACAGAACTTTATTCTCTCATGGTCCTGGAGGCCAGAAATACAAAATCGATTTCACTGGGCCAAATGCAAGGTGTTAGCAGAGACAGACTTCCTCTGGAAGCTCTGGCAGAATTCATTTCTTGCCAATTCTGTCTTCCAGAGGCTGTTAGTTCTCTTTGGCTCCATGGTCACATTTCCTTCTCCTCTTCTTTGTGTCTTTTCTTCTGTCCTTGTGAAATTTTGTCAGCCTCTCTCTTACAGGGACATATATGATTGTATTTAGGATCCACATCAATAATCCAGGATAATTTTCTTTTATCAAGATCATTAATTTAGTCATATTTGCAGACTCTTTTTCCAAATTCTTGGAAACCTTTTCCACAGATTCTTGGATATCCTTTTCTCGGGGGTGAGTGTAGGAGGAGGCATTTTCCACTGTACCTCAATATCCAGGGGGAGTTATTGAACTGAATATGCGCATTTGAACTTGAAAGAAGAGAATAGGAACTACATACATGAATTCAGGTGTGGTATATAGACAGTAGATAAAGAAATGGCACAAGTGTAATCACTTAAGATGGGATGGAAGGGAGGGTTAAGAACCAGTCCCTATGGCAGCCCCAAATTTAGAAGTTTGACAGAAAAAGAAGCACCTGCAAAAAAAGACTGAAAAGGGAAATCTAGTGGGATAGAAAGAAAAACAAGAAAATGTGGTGCTTCTGACTCCAAAGTAGAAAAAATGTTTTAGAAAAAAATGATTATGGAGTACAGCATAAAACAAATTTTATAAAATTAATATCACAGAATCCATTAACTTTAATCACAATACAACTAAGGTAGACATCTGCTACAAAATTACTGAAACATATTATCTATCTGGAAATTAAATACGTTCTTCTAAATAAGTCATAGGTCAAAAAAATAATCATAAGAGAAATGTAAAAATACTTAGAACTCTTCAGAAACAAAAATGCAATCTAGCAACATTTTTGGAATAATAGATACAGCAATACTTAGTGGACTGTTTGAAAATTTATAAGCTATTACAAGGAAGAAAAGCTGACTAAACACTGAGAAAATAGAATGAATAAAGCAATAAAATAAAATAAATGAATTTGAAAACAAGTATACATAGAATAGATCAAAAAAAGCAAAAGCAGTTTTTTTGAAAAGGTTGAAAAAGTACTAAATCTTTGACATGGCTGAAAAAGGAAAAGCAAGAAAATACATATCTGAAATGAGGAGGTCTGTAACTACACATGAAGGAGAAATTGGAAAGATAATAAAGAATGCTGAAAGAAGTTCAGGATAATAGCTGTGAAAACTAAGAGGAAGTAAATTATTTTCTAGAAAACTATAACTTTCTAAAGCTAATTCCAAATAAAAATTGAAAAAGGCTTACAATCATTAAAGATTTGAATAAGCAATTTTAAATCTACCCATAAAAACACATAATACTAAGCCTTTTATTGGTGATACCTACTGAATATTCAAGTTATATATAATTTTAATCTATTCAAACCCTTCCAGGGAATAGAAACAGAAGGAACAATCTGTAACTCATATGAAGTTGGTGAGTCTGATTTTCTAATAGAAGCTTCCCTAAAGAGCACACGCACAGGAAAGGAAATCACATATCATCACATTTATGAGTATAGATGAAAACATTTTATCAAACTAAATACACAGTGTTTTTAAAAATAAATTCAGTATAGCCTAATTGGGTTTATTCTGAGAGTCCAGTAGTATTGATCTACAAAAAAACACCTGAGGCAAACTTAATATAAATAGAGAGTTGATTTGGCCCAAGCTTGAGGATTGCGAACCCAGAACACAGATCCAAATTGCCCTGAATATACACTCTGATTAGCATGAGTTGTAAGTGGATTTATAAAGGAAAAGAAGAGGCAGTTTCTAAATTTTTTTTTACCAAGAATTTACATTAAAATAACATAAACTATTGATTGGCTATACATTGTTCTTTGTATTACAAATTCCAGGACATAAAGCCAACGCAGGAGGCAGCTAGTAAGGAACAAAATGCCTTTCAACTACCCGCCCCAGGCATGGGTGTGTCAGGGAGGGAATGATTGAAGTCCCAGACTGATGTTTCTCTGGGCCTGATACATTTTGCATACCTCACATAGCTCAGACTGCTGTGAGCTATTTTTATTTTCTCAATAGGCAAACATTAGTTTAAATAGTGTGACATGATAATAAATTAAAGGAGAGAATCCATAAGATCAAAATTGTTTGTAATAGAAAAAAAACCTCCACAATAACAACAACCTAAGGTCCGTTAATAGAAGAATGAATGAATCAAATGTGGTATATTTATTCTATGGAATAACGTACAACAAATGAGAATGGTGAAATGGTTGGAAATAGGTCCACATACCAACACAAGTAAATTTCATAAACTTAACTTAGATCAACAAAGACACTTCGTAGAATATATACAGTATAAAACAATTCTTATAAAATCTAAAAACGTGCTAAACAATTTTATATATCTTTAGGGAAACATACATATGTAGTAAAAGTAGAACTGTATACTTAAAAATGATTTTAAAAAGATAATTTAAACATGAAAAGATATTCAGTATTGTGGTTACTTTGGAGGCAATGGAGGTAGAAATTAGATCAAAAAGGAGTTTCATATTTTAGTTCAGATAATGAAAAAATGGATTTTCAGCACATTAATCTTTTTTCATCTTTTATGTTTGAAATATTGTTACTGTAAACATTTTTTATGAGTGAGGAGAGGTAACAAAGAGAGGAGTAAAGGGAAGTAAATTTGATAGAGTTGAGAGGCTGTATGTCCCAAAATGTTTGAAAGTTTCTTCGGCTAGCAATAGCAGAAAAAGTAAGCTAAAAATGTTATCGACCATGGGCTGTTAGGCTCTCAAGCAATAGATTCTGAATTTACATGAGGCCAAAAAGTTTCCCAGACAAGGCTTTATTGGGGCTTATGCTTGAGCACAAGGGAGTCAGCATAAGAGGAAAAATTATCTGGCTGGCTTCCCAAAGGGAGCTGGAAGGACAGTATAAGAGGGGCTATAGCAGGAAAGGAGAGATGTTTTAGCATGCAGAGGCAGGATCTATCAGCGCCTGTGCAGTTGGATAACATGCTTCTTCATGTGTTGCATGCCTCATTGGCATGTTAAATCTCCATCCCTGGATGTGATTTTTAGTATTATAATGAAGCTAGGGGTTAGAATCGGTCACTCTCAGGCTTTGTGCACGTGTGAGTAGTAGGGGTACCAGCAAGAGATGGAATTTAGACGTTGGATACCTGAAATTGAGTTTCAGAAATGCAAAACTTAGGGCAGTAACAAAAGTAGTAATGTATCCATGGAGTGCATAGTTTCATATGGAGTAAAAGATCATTGCTGTTGAAGAGGCCACAAAACTAATGGGTCAATGTGTTAGATAAATTATCTACCTGGAATTTGAAATTGCCCAGAATTATAGCAAAAATAACAATGGAGAAGACAACAGTGGTCCAGTGTTAATATATAATGGCTATATCCTGGAAGTCTCCACTGATAGCACGGAGGAGGGGCAATATGGCAGTCTGATTTTCAAAAGGCCTGGTTTCTTTCTTTGTTCTTTTTGTTTTGTTTTGTTTTAATAAATAAGGAAGATAAAAGATTTTAAAAAGTAAACAGAGAGCAAAAGGGTCATAAACTCTGCTGCTGATCCTGGTACATGGGTTCAGAGGTGAAGGCAGGTGGAAGAGGCTTTATTTGGCAGTATTTCAAGAAAGGCAATGTCTCCAGGGAGCAGCCAAATTCAGTTATAGCTAGATGATGAGTGAAGGTAATGTTCAGAAGAGAGATTGAGGTTTGTTAGAGGCAGTTATTGTTGACTTACTATGTTCTACAGAGAGCACAATCCAAGCATGTGGGAAAATGGCATGGGAGGGAGATAGATCAGGTCACATTAGGTGATATGCTCAACAATATATATACAGGTTGAATATCCCTTATCTGAAATGCTTGGGATCAGAAGTGCTTGGACTCGGGATTTTTTTTTTTCGATTTTAGAATATTTGCATTATGCTTACCAGTTCAGCATCTCTAATCTGAAAATCTGAAATTGGGAATGCTCCAATGAGCATTTCCTTTGAGCATCATGTCAGTGCTCAAAAGGTTTCAAATTTGTGAGTGCTTCAGATTTCAGATTTTTGAATTTGGGATGTTCAACCTGTACTGGGATGATGGAGAATTATCTGGGAAATCTGGGCTTCCAACAATCACTATAGGGCATGATGAGAATAGCTGTGGCAGTGTCTTATGGAAAGAGAGGAGACTGGTTTAAGTTAAACCTCAGAGTACTTAGGTCCAGAAGGTAAGCTTTGTCAGCTTACAATCCAATTTTTTTCTGCTTTCCTCAGCTCGCCTGCCATCATTCTTCAATATGAACCTCCACTCAGATCAATCCACTCTCTTTTTGTACTCTGATTCAGGTATTTCTTTCTTATCTGTTTTGTTTTCCCAACAAATTTTGACATCTTTTAGAGCTTGGTTTTTCTTTTGTATTCCTGATTCACCAAGCAAAGTGCTAGATACACAGTGGATATTTAATAAAGATTTGATTGAGCGAGCTGACATTTCGTTTGTCTAGGTTATAATCAGTACTCAGACACTCAAGGTATGGCTATAAATTGGGAAGCAAAGGATTTGCACTTTAATTAGAAACATTTTCCGTGTTTAAAAGAAAATCTTGGCTTATAAAGATTTTGCCTTTACTCTTGCTTCCTCCCCATTTCATTGCAATCTGAGATTTACAAAAACATAAGTAGTTGCCGTGGAGACAATTGCTGGGCAATAGAGGAGCCATTTGGGAACAACAGCAAGAACAGCTATAATAGTCAACAGCAGAATTTTACATTAATCTTTTTGCTTTCAACAGTGGAAATGAAAATAAAAGACTAAAAAAAAACCATTGGATACTGTGAACTCACTCTCTTTGCTACAGGGCTCATAAGGATCTGGTACATACGAGTAGACCCTACCACTTGTTAAGATACTGAATGATTCCACACTGGTTGGGAAATAATCATTGTCTCTCAGACTCACCTGAGTGCCACTCCATGGCCCCAGTTCCCCAGCCCCTGTCCCCATATCTTCCATAGCTCCTCATTATCCAGCAACTAAAGTTTAAGCCCTGGTCAAGCAGGGCCCAGCACTATGGCTATAGTTGGCATTCCAGCTGCTAAACATCATGAATCTACCAGCGCTTAAATATAGTGAATACCGTTTCTAACTATATTTATCAGACATCACCAACAGATATCCTTCAGGCATGATTTGTGAGGCCTTCTCAGGGTTTTACATTCTTCCAAAATTATCAGGTAGCATTTAAAACTTCCATGGATTCATCTCATTTTTAGCTTCTCTTGAAAAATTGGAGGTCCTGACTACATTGGGCTTTTATTCCAAAAAATCAATAGACCAGAGCAGCAATTGACCCCTTTGGACACTCCATGTGCTCTCTGCACAGCAGTCTCCACCACTTATTGTTCACCCAAATGACTGCCTCTTTTAATGTGACTACTCTTATCCCTGTGGATGGTTAAGTTTCTGTGCCCTGCACTATCATATTCCAAATCAAATTCCTGGGAGCTGTATTTGGTTCTAGACTTAGGGGTCATTTGATGTGACACAGGCTCATTGTGGATCCACTCCTGCTCTGTCTCCTTTCTCTTCTGTACATCATTTGCTTCTAGAAGTTACAACAGCAACTCAACCACCTTCACTTCTAATTCAAGAAGGCATTTCTTTGCAGACAAGAAAATCTTGTCAATGCCTATATTCCTGAAGTTTCACTGAAAATAATCTAGCATTGGAAGGAGCATGTACACTGGTCTTGATAGTAACTACCAATAAAAGATAGAAATGAAATTGTGACCTCTGCTGTATATATTTGCACAGTAAGTGAAAAGAATGGTGTCTTCTACAGGAAAACTGCTGGTGCCAATTATGCTGCTATTTATGGGAAGGAACGGCTTTAGGAGCGACAGGTCCAGGGTTTCTACCTGCTCAGCTGCTGTTTTCTGCCTTAACTGTGACTGCCACCTGGCCAGTTTGTGAATTCACAGCTACTTCTAATGACAAACAAGAAGGAATGATCTAAAACCACATTTAATCAGAATCCTTGGTTCAGTTCTCTATTGCTGCAAAACACACCATCCAGAACTTAGTTGCTTAACATAATGCAATTGATTTTCTTGTACTTCTGTGGTTTAACAATTGCCAAGTCATTCATGCCATTGTAGGCATCTGGAAGTTCAACTATGGCCCCTCTCACATCTCTGGTGATTTGCATAGGATGCAGTCAGGGAAGCTGGCTTCTCTACCACATTGCCATACAGTGTACCTTGACATGGTTGTCTCAGAGCAGCATTCCAAGAGGGTGAGAGCAGAAGCTTCCAAATTCTTACACTGTCACTTCTGCCACATTCTGTTGGCCAAAGCCAGTCACAAGACCAGCCCAGACTCAAAGTGTGGGGAAATAAGTTCCAACTCTCGATGGGAGAAGCAGTAAGTCACAGGAGAATACATGCAGGGATGAGAGGTGTTATTACCACACTCTGTGTAAATAATCTGCCACGTTCCTGAAGCCAAAACTGACAGAGGGTTGGGCTCCACTAAAACAGAAGAGAGGAATTATGGTAGACAAATCCTTAAAATATATTGGAAATCTTACACAGAAATTAGAAAGTCTCTAATGAGTGGAAACTGTAAAAATAAGGAAGATAGAGGAGGAGTTCCGATTTGGAATTCATTGGGACAGCTATGACGGTGGAAAGAAAGAAAGGAGGCGGAAATGGGGGTAGGAAAACAATAATGACAGCCGAAGAGTCTGGGAGGAAAAAGCCCTGATGGAAGGACCCTCTTCCTGAAAGGGTTCCCTGCCTGCTGCCACAGCATGGCCCAATCGCATTCCTGCCCTCATTCAGTCCTCAAAGCCAGGGCTGTGTTTGCTGATCCATCCCGTCTACTCTCAATTCCAAGGGCAGGAGCTCTTCATCTCAGACCTGATTACTATGATAACATCCAAACAATTCCTCCAGGTTTCCTTTTCTGGTGCATCCTGCATATCACACCTGCTTGGATTATTTGTTTTTTAAATACTTTTATTTCTTTCTGAATAAGTAAAATATGCTCACATTACACAATTTTAAAAGTATGAGGCTGGGAGGAGTGGCTCACACCTGTAATCCCAGCACTTTGGGAGGCTGAGGCGGACAGAACACTCAAGGGCAGCAGTTCAAGACCAGCCTGGTCAACATGGTGAAACCCCATCTCCACTAAAAATACAAAATAAATTAACCGGATGTGGTAGTTCATGCCTGTGATACCAGCTACTTGGGAGGCTGAGGCAGGATAATTGCTTGAACCTGGGCAGCGGAGGTTGCAGTGAGCCAAGATCATGCCACTGCACTCCAGCCTGGGTGATAGAGTGAAACTCTGTCTTAAAAAAGAATAAAAAAATAAAAATAAGGTACGAAAGGTACACAGACAGGAAAACAGAGATTCAAAGAGGTTAAGCAACTTGCCTCCTAGGAAGCGGTGGAGTCTGGACTTGAACACTGGAGGACCCTGTTCTTGGCCACAGCACTGTTGGCTTCTGGAATCAGGTCTCCTCATCTGCCCTGACCAACAAAAGTTTGAGATTACTTTTCCCACCAACTATCAAAACTAGTACATTGACTTGGGTTAGTAAGTGATAACTGTAGATCTGCACAATTCTTGGCTAAAAGAATAAAGACTAGGACAGCCTACAAGAAGTCAGTATTGTCACTGTCACAAAAATAATAAATCATATGAAACAGACACCAACACTACTTGTACTATGACATAGTCATGATGTATTAATTTTTGCAACACTTGGACACCTTGTCATGCCAATAAAGACAATGAAATTGAAAGCAGAAATTTAAAACTAGATGTCACCTGCATCTATCAGTGACCCAGGAGTCAGTAAGGAAGATGGAAGACAAGGGTTGTTGGGAGATACATAATTAGCACTCAGGAAGGAAGGAAAATTCTGTTGCTTCTTGCCTCACGTCTAGCCTCCTTACTTGCAAAGTAGCCTCAGGAGAGAGACCTTTTCCACTTGTGTTTCATCTTCTTGATTGAGAAAGGGTACATAGGAAGATGCATGATTATTTAGTTTCTAAAACTCAAACCCACAGTGTTTGGATGATATATCTAAATATATTTCTGCTACAGCTGCAACACGGGCTGTGTCTGTTTGCGTATGATCATGAGGCATTTGCAGGGCTGTGCACATTGGCCAGAACACATTTACCAGCAATACCTTCCACAATGTATACCTGCAATGGCCCACTGGGTTTTAAACACTGGTGCATGGCATCGTGGAAGAGGAAGGTCATCTTTCCTACTGGGCTGTGCGTAATTCCATCCTGCAGTCAGGTAGACTATCTGAAGCTGGATGTTCCAGCCATTCTTTACTCAATTAAACTTCTGGCAACACCTTTCTACTTATCACACAACAACCACTTTCTTAAAAGGTCATTTGCACATTTCTGGCCATTCAGAGGCATCCTATAATAAGAAATGTTTGCACTCAAAAAGATGGATTTTACCCATTTCTTTGAAAAATCATTTAGGGCATTTTCTGATGCTAGCTTTTAATCAGCTACCTAAGCCACCCAGACTTGGGGGAGGTAGATTGATCTTCCTGCTCACTGATGAAAGGAATGTTCCTCTAGCCACTACACCCATGCCAGCCTGGATGTTGGGATTTTTAAACAAAAATATTTTTACTTATATGACAATAATTATCAAAGCTGCAGTTTGAGTCTTTTCTCTCTTTTCAGAAGAAAATTCTCTTTTATTTTCTCCCTTTCCTTGCATTTTATAAATAGATCAGTCTCAAAGCAAGTCTTCAAGGGGCACTCAGGTGAAGTTAATGGAGGTTAATCCTTTTTTCATATGCTACATAAAATGCTATGATTCAACCACAAAAATATTACCTACCTGAACACCTTGAGTTCCTCCCATTAGGGTAGATAAAGGGAAGGACATAGATAGAAATGAAATTTCTTCCTACATATGAGAAGCTGCCTGGATTCTTGAAGATACTGACTTGGATACCTTACAAATTCCAGATTATATGCCTTCATAAATGATTATTCCATTTCATAGGCTCAAGTTTTCAGGAAAAGATGTATGTACAATATTTGTAAAAATATAATTTGAATCTATAGGCATAACATGTTATACAAATTAATTATATTAAAGTAAGAAAACTTATACCTATTGTTTTATGTATCAGGCAAGAACAGTAAAATTATATATTGCCTTTCTTATCTGTGTGTGTATATGCTAAAAAAATACAAGGGAAATAAAAATAAGGGTGAAAGGCTAAGTCTCCTGTTTGCATTCTGGGGATAGAAATATACCTTCTGTGTCTTTAGCAATAGCAATCTGACCATGAAATGCAAGAACATGACTCCCAGTGTCCTTTTTACAGTAACAGGACCATCATGACAAGGGCAGACAGGTCCTAGAGCCAGGTACCTTGTAATCACAGACTCAAATCAAATCCCCTGTAAAGGAATATAAATTATACCTATTTATTTTCTATGCTGCAGTGTTACAGTGGCCTTGCATTATGACATTTTTCTAGTACATAGGTACTCAACAGAAGGCAAGTTTCTCAAACCAAGCATAATTTGAATGAGGGTGGTGGGTTGCAAGGGAAGCCAGCCCCTTCCTGACTCTCGGGTCCCTCTTTCACAAGCCTGCCTTTGAGGCAGGTGATAGAGATGAACACATTTCTGATAAGTCATTTCCAGTTTGGAGCACCACACAGCATACACCCTTTATAACCAAACTACTGAAGTCATCAGGCATCGAGGACAGTGGTTTGTGGACTGGGAGACAGCAATAACTCTCCTCTGATGATCCCTTCTGGTGAGACCACTAAGATTGCTTTAAAGAAAGTCTAGGTATCTTTCAGAGAAGTGACAGGAGCATGTACAAGTGAACTGCTTTGAACAGGTCTTTAATTAGTACCAACACCTGCTACTCCAATCTACCAGATGATTCCTACCCTATTTGCCAAATATATATATATTATTTTCTTTGACATCTTCAACTCACATATCAAGCCTGCAAAGACCTAATGAAGTCTTCAGACAAGTAAACAATGAGGCTCTGCTGAAATCCTGGGAGGAGAAGCACCCTGTTTGTCTCTATTGCTTCAGTGTGCAAAATTGCTTCCCACTGATCACCTCATCCCTGCTCTTAGCAAAAGCTCCTTTCTGGAACAATAATCTGGAACCAGTGTCAGAAGTTAATCCCCACTTGGCATGAGGGATGAGTTTAAAAGACCTGTTTCAGGAATCAAGATTCCCAGTACCCTTTTAGAACAAGGCTTGCTATTTATAGAGCACATTTCCCAAATGGGGCATCTGGTTATTTATAGAAATGCCAGACTGAATATGTGTCTGGGTTACTTCTGTGACTGGCATATTGTGGGGAAAGTTGGTTGCATCAGTCAAGAGATGTTTATGCATTGTCTACTCTATGTAAGATAGTGCAAAAATGAATTTGTATCCAAGCTTTACTTAGACTCTTGAGTAAAACAGAGGATTTGAAAATCGAACTGTCTTAAAAAACCTGCATGATCGCCATTCTAACTGGTGTGAGATGGTATCTCATTGTGGTTTTGATTTGCATTTCTCTGATGGCCAGTGATGATGAGCCTTTTTTCATGTGTCTGTTGGCTGCATAAATGTCTTCTTTTGAGAAATGTCTGTTCATATCTTTCACCTACTTTTTGATGGGGTTGTTTGATTTTTTCTTGTAAATTTGTTTAAGTTCTTTATAGATTCTGGATATTAGCCCTTTGTCAGATGGATAGAGTTCAAACATTTTTTCCCGTTCTGTAGGTTGCCTGTTCACTCTGATGGTAGTTTCTTTTGCTGTGCAGTAGCTCTTTAGTTTAATTAGATCCCGTTTGTCTATTTTGGCTTTTGTTGCCATTGCTTTTGGTGTTTTAGTCATGAAGTCCTTGCCCATGCCTAGGTCCTGAATGGTATTGCCTAAGTCAGGAAACAACAGGTGCTGGAGAGGATGTAGAGAAATAGGAAAAATTTTACACTGTTAGTCGGGCTGTAAACTAGTTCAACCATTGTGGAAGTCAGTGTGGTGATTCCTCAAGGATCTAGAACTAGAAATACCATTTGACCCACCGATCCCATTACTGGGTATACACCCAAAGGATTATAAATCATTCTAAGATAAAGGCACATGCACACGTATGTTTATTGTGGCACTATTCACAATAGCAAAGACTTGGAACCAACCCAAATGTCCATCAATGATAGACTGGATTAAGAAAATGTGGCACATATACACCATAGAATACTATGCAGCCATAAAAAAGGATGAGTTCATGTCCTTTGTAGGGGCATGGGTGAAGCTGGAAACCATCATTCTGAGCAAACTATTGAAGGACAGAAAACCAAACACTGCATGTTCTCACTCATAGGTGGGAAATGAACAATGAGAACACTTGGACACAGGATGGGGAACATCACACACCCGGGCCTGTTGTGGGGTGAGGGAGGTGGGAGGGATAGCATTAGGAGAAATACTTAATGTAAATGATGAGTTAATGGGTGCAGCAAACCAACATGGTACATGTATACGTATGTGACAAACCCACACATTGTGCACATGTACCCCAGAACTTAAAGTATAATAAAAAATAAATAAATAATTAAAAATTAAAAAAACAAATTAAAAAACCTGCATGATATGGTCTTTGCATATCCACACTGCGTGTCAGAAAATGCTATTGAAACCTGTTATCATAAGTAAAGGAGTTAAGACAAAAAATTAGTGCAAAATATATACTACGCCACTGTCATTCAAATAAGCATTTGCTTTAAAAAGTACACAATATGATATGAAATAAGCACTAGACTAAGACTCAGGACTAGATACTACTTTAATCATGACCATTAACACACTGGACGACCTGAGCAAATTCCTCTTTGAATCTGAGTTTTGACTCCCTAATGGGTAAAGCTAGGCAGGTAGAACAGGATGATATATAAAGCCTATTCCAGTATTGAAATTCTATGATTTTGTAATTCTACGTCAGTCACTTTTCCATTAACACTGAATTTCTTTGAACAGAAAACATATTAAGCATCAAAATAGCAAAATATTCATTTTGCCTTTCATCATTAATATATATCTCAAAGCTTTTGAATCTTTAGTTCACCAAATTATATCACATAATTAATGCAACATCTACTGGTATTATCCACAAGTGCTATATTTTGTCAAGAGTCACTGTCGAGGAGTAATTAAAAATTCTGAATATTGAATTCATTACAAAGTACACTCACCAAACACTAATGATGATTCATTTTTGTTTTGCTGTGATTAACTCACCTTGTGTCTCATTATGATAATTTGTTCTAATTCCCTCGTTCTTCCCTAGCAGAATAATCTCCAACAAATATTTGAGGGGAACATCAAAAAAAACCTGTTATTTTTATGAGGAAAGACTGAGATACACTTAGTAATTATTTTCTGGAATATGAAGCCACAGATTATGATCAGCTATTTTGCATTTACACAAAGGAGAGAAAACAAATCTAAACAGGAAGCAAGGTTGTGATTACCAAAGGAGTTTTCACCATCGTTCCTCTCTAGAATCTGATACTAAGAAAAATTGGCAAACCTATTGTTCTAGATGCATTTCAGAATATGGGAGATATATTTGTGGTGCCTAATGTTTCTTTCTTGTTTTATTTGAGAAATGAGAGGTAGGGGGTTGGGGGGCACACCAATATTTTTCACAAGTTCTGTTTTGTATTTTCCAGTATCACTTCACTACTTCCTACCTTCAAACTATCTTGGTATATTTAATAGGTAACCAAACACACCTTTCTAACTATTTACTTCTACAAAAGTTAAGTCTCTGCTGCTGAGTCTGTGTCTTAAATAAGAATATTAAACACAGTTTCTACTAAGCTATATCTAAGCTCAGCCATGTAACTCATGTAAGCATTCCCCCCCAAAATTTGGAGCAGACCTATCTCTGTTTCAGTATGCCCATGGAAAAGATTTCTGAAAGATTTTGGTCCTTCTTTAAGGTTTGCTAAGTGCAATACAATTGATAGCACTGTTACCATGATCAGAGGTCATTGCAGGGGGAGGGTAACAGGATGAGCTAAAATAGATCTTTATAATATTAAACAATAAATTAATACAAATGACTGCTATATTCTCCCAAACTTTACATATTGTCTCATATAACCCTCACAACAAACCCAAAGCCATATTCTCAGAAAAATTTACTTGCCGAGAGTTGCATAACCTATAAGAAGATGAGTAAGAATTTGAATCCAGGTAAATTTCTTTACGTTTAAAAGTGTAAAGAAAAAATCTATATGGACAATATTTTCAGGTAGATGATGTCCAGTTTGAAAGGTTTTATCTGCAAGTTTCAACTGCATTCACTTACCTGACTCCATTAACCTGGGATCAATAACTGTTAGAATTTCAAAATAATGAAAAAATTATTATGTATTTGTTAATAAATGATATGGGATAGTCATTCAGGAGGGAAAACAGTCAGTCAAATTCTTACTTATTGGAATCAAATAGTTCAAAGATTTTAATATAAACAAAAAATGAAACCATAAAAGTACTTAAAGAAATATGGGAAAAATATTGAATAATTGCGAGTAAAGAAGGCCTTTCTAGAAATGACACAAAATTCAGAAGACATATTAGAAAAGTATTATAAATGAGGTTACTTTAAAAATAAATTCAACATGGCAAAACCAACATAAGCAATATGAAAAGAATACAACCACTCAGAAAAAAAGATTTGGTATTTATATGATAATTAAAATGTTTCTAAAATATAAAAAAATCTAGAAATTAATATAAAAATACCCCACAGCAATTCAATAGAAAAATGGACAGTGGGTATGAAAAGGCAGTTCACATTTTTTAAAAAATGAAAATACTTATCTTAAATTTAAGATAAGTATTTAACCTTACTCATAATAACAGAAAACAAATTATGGGATCATAATGATACCAGATTCTGTATATTAGACTGGCGATGATGAAAGCTCTTGTTAATACCTTATTAATACCTCATGTTGGAAAGTGTGTGGAGAAATTGGCCTTTTCACAAATTTCTTAGGAGATTGATAGATAGGGCAATTTGGCAACATCTAGCAAGATTTTAAATGCTCATACTCTTTCGCCCAGCAATTTCACCCCCAGGATTTTATCATTTCATATCCATGAAACTTTATATGTACAAAGTTATTCAGGATTTTATCATTTCATATTCATGAAATTTTGTATGTATACAGTTATTCATTTTTGAATATTCATGTTTGTTACATTTTTGCAATAGCAAAAGATTGGAAGCACCTTAAATGTCTATCAATAAGTGACGAGCTAATCAAATTATGATACATTTATAATGTTGAGGTTATGGGGGGATGTTATTGCCACTCTCTTTTGCTTCCATCAGGAAGGGTTTTTCCTAAACATTCTTATATTCTTGCCCACTGTTTACTAACCTGAGTTGCCTAATTTGTGAGTTTAGTGAGAAACTGTGTCCAGTACAGCTGAGCCCCCTTGTCCAGCTTTCGCTTAGGATCTGCCTGCAGCGCATTTAGATCTGCTCCACCAGGTCATGAGCCCTTTAGGGAAGGCATAGTGCTGGGAGGCCTGTGGCTGTTTGAGCTGCCTATGTCTGGGTTGGTAAATATGCCCAATTTGAGGGCTCAGTGTTAGGAAATCATTGCATTGTGCACTTGGGCTGCATTCTCCAGTATAGGCTTTAACAGTAAAACAAAGATTTTTATTTTCATCTTCTTTGCACTTATCTAATCTCCCAGTTAATGCAAAACACAGGTGGGAAAAGCATCAGCACCATTTACTTTGCCTCTCTTATACCAATATGCACATTTGAATCATATTTACCCACAAAAATAAGAAATATCTCTCCTGGTACAAATAGGAGATCACCTCCAAGTTTAATCATTGGGAGAAAACAGCAAGGTGCAGAACAGTATGTGAAGAATGCTACCACTAGGTGGAAAGACAGGAGAGAGTATATGTTCACATGTATCTGCATAACATGTCTATACAGGGAGATACTGGAAGCTGATAATATTGGTTGCCTTCAGACAGGGGAAAAGAGTGGCTTGGGACAGAGAGAGGAGGAGATTTTTTGTAGAATTCATTTTTGTACTTTTGAATTGTGAATCCATGAGGATGTATGATTATATGAGTTCATTACTTTGCAGTACATTGTACGTGTTTCTAAAATTACCTATTCTTTCCCTTTCTTGCTCCCCCAGAAGATTATATTTCATTAGTGCTGGTGTTAGTAAAACAACATAATTGCAAAGCGAATAATATATGATGACTCTTGGGCTTTCTTACCTGTGACAACCAAATACCTTCCTTACTCAGTTTCTCCTTGGCCCTCCTCCTCCATGAAGGTGTCTTTCCCCAGGGTTTAAATTTAGGCTTTCCTGACGCAACATCAGGAGACAAGGAGGAGGATAGTAGCAAGCTAAACAGGGAAGAAGCTGTAGAGAGGAGTTCAGGTTTTTTTGAATGTAACTGGTGCACTCCTATGCAACACAGTATTAGAAGTCCTGGCTAATGCAATCAAGCAAGAGAAAGAAATAAAAGACATCCCAAAAAAAAAAAAGAGAGAGAGAGAGAAAGTCAAACTATTCCTGTTTGCAGACAACATGATCCTGTATCTAGAAAACCCCATAGTCTCAATCCAAAAGCTCCTCAAGCTAACAAACTACTTCAGCAAAGTCTCAGGATACAAAAACCATGTGCAGAAATCACGAACATTCCTATACACCAACAACAGTCAAGCCAACAGCAAATTAGGAGTGAACTCTCATTCACAATTGCAGCACAAATAAAATATAATACCTAAGAATACAGCTAACTAGGAAGGTGAAAGGTCTCTACAAGGAGAACTACAAAACACTGCTCAGAGAAATCACAGAGGAGAAAAACAAATGGAAAAAAACATTCCATGCTCATGGATAGGAAGAATCAATATTAAAATGGCCACACTTCCCAAAGCAATTTACAGATGTAATACTATTCCTATTAAACTACCATCGACATTCTTCACAGAACTAGAAAAAACTATTTTAAAATTCATACGGAACCAACAAAAAGCCCGAATAACCAACGCAATCCTTAGCAAAAAGAACAAAGCTGGAGGCATCATGCTATGAGACTTCAAACTATGCTACAGAGCTACAGTAACCGAAACAGCATGGTACTGGTACAAAAACAGACACATAGACCAATGGAACAAAATAGAGAGACCAGAAATAAGACCACACACCTACAGCCATTTGATCTTTGACAAAACTGGCAAAAAATAAGCAATAAGGAAAGGACTCATTATTCAATAAACAAGGCTGGGATAGCAGGCTAGCCATATGCAGAAAATTAAAATTTGACCCCTTACTTACATCATATACAAAAACCAACTCAAGATGAACTAAAGACTTGAATGTAAAATCCAAAACTATAAAAAGCCTGGAAGCATTCTGGACATAGGAATGGGCAAAGATTTCATAATGAAGACACAAAAAGCAATTGCAACAAAGGCAAAAATTGACAAATGGGATCTAATTAAACTTAAGAGTTTCTGCAAAGCAAAAGAAACTATAGCAACAGAGTAAACACATAACCTACAGAATGAGAGAAAAATTTTGCAAACTATGTATTCAACAAGGTCAAATATCCATAATCTATAAGGAATTTAAACAAATTTACAAGCCAAAACAAACAATCCCATTAAAAAGTGGGCAAAAGACATGCACAGACTCTTTTCAAAACAAGAGAAATGTGCAGCCACAAGCATACAAAAAAAAGCTCAACATCACTGATCTTTAGAGAAATGCAAATCAAAACCACAATAAGATACCATCTCACACTGGTCAGAATGGCTATTATTAAAAAGTCAAAAAATAACAGTTGTTGGCAAGGTTGTGGAGGAAAAGGAATACTTATACTCTGTTAGTGAGAGTGTAAATTAGTTCAACCATTGTGAAAAGCAGTGTGGCAATTCATCAAATAACTAAAAACAGAACTACCATTTGACCCAGCAATCCCATTACTGGGTATATACCCAAAGGAATATAAATCATTCTATTATACAGATACATGCACACATATGTTTATTGTAGCACTAGTCTCAATAGCAAAGACATGGAATCAACCTAAATGCCCATCAATGGTAGACTGGATAAAGAAAATGTGGTACTTATACACTGTATTAGTCTGTTCTCACACTGCTAATAAAGACATATGTGAGACTGGGTAATTTACAAAGGAAAGAGATTTAATGGACTCACAGTTCTACATGGCTGGAGAGGCCTCACAATCATGGCAAAAGGCAAATGAAAAGCAAAGTCACGTCTTACATGGTGGCAGGCAAGAGAGCGTGTGCAGGGGAACTTCCCTTTATAAAACCATCAGATCTTGTAAGACTTATTTATTATCACAAGAACAGCAAAGAAGAGACCTGCCCCCATGATTCAGTTACCTCCCACGAAGAAGTTCTGTTAACTTATATAAATATCATGGTTCTTGGGCTCTGAGATAGGACCATCTGGGTCCCAGCTTTAATGGACTTAACAAGTATTATGACTTGGTGCTGAAACCTGAGCCATGATGGTGCCTCACTTCTTCAGATGGCTCCCAATACCACCATTCAGAAGACACATAAAACAATTAAGGAGATTAAAATCCTCCCGCAGACAGGCTTTTCTTCTACTGATTCATTTACTATAGAGAGGCATCACCTGCTATCTAAGCTGCTGATGAGTCGTAAAACTGGCATCTGTTGGTTTGTTTTTTTTTGTTTTGCCTTTCTGAAGAATATAATGGGGGTACCAACAGCCTGTGCTCTGGGAGCTCTTAATAAACAGTTTTGCTCATTGCTAAATATAAGATATATGCACTGGGCAGTAACTGTGGGCACTGGGCTAGTTTATCCAGCACCTCCATGCTGTGGGGCGCTGCAGAGGAGAAGGAAGTGAAGCAAAGGCAATTCCCTCTGGCAGGGATGAGGGGAGGGTTCACCCAGACCCCTTTCCCAATTCTGCTGACTCTATAACTCACATCTCTCCTGCCCCTGACTTCTTTTCTTTCTTTTTGTTTATCTCAAAATTGCTTAGTTTACCTATTCATAAAAGATGTATTATCATTGATAGGACTGGCTTATTTTTACATAAAATAAAATACTACACAGTTCATACATAAATTATTAAAGTGTGAGATTGTCTTTGTTACGAATTTTCTTCCCTCTCAGTATGAAATCCTATTCACATATTTTTGGTTGTCACAGTTTGTGGCTCACAAACCTCATAATTTAAACACACACACACACACACACACACACCAGAGGGAAACTTGAGCTTCAGTGTGATTTAGTAACATAGACCCCCTCTGCTGAGATTTGTTGGGATGTTTGTCAGAGTCCTTGAATTGCTGGCATTATCATTTGTTTCTACAATGATGGCAATGATGGGAAATAATCACTGGCAAGAACTCTGATCCCCTCGCCAGAGAGGTTTGGAGTATGAGGAGAAAGCAGCCTAGAAACTTGATTTAAAATTCTAGAAAAAAAATTGTTTGCAACAGTAAATGTTAACTGTCATTCAGACACCTAAACAGAAGCAGAATTCCCTACAGGAAAGAGGCTGTTCTGAAATACATGATAAATAAAAAATCCTTCTTAGACATTTTATTATTATATATGACAGCAAGAAGAACAAAGGAAGCAAAAAAAGGATAAGCTCTGGATGTCTTTCAATGCTCTCCTTATATCAGGTTTTCAGCTGTATTCTCCCACTCATGGAAGTCAAATCATCCCAGCTAGATTCTATTTTTGTTTGGGAATATTGCTTACATTAGGAGGTTAACATCAAATTTATCACACACACACACACACATATATATATATGCTTTCAAAAACTGATTTCATTTTCCTATATTTCTAAATCACCAAATATTTCTTTCTTAATGGAATCATTAATTCATTGAATCACTTATTAATTAATAAATATATTAATCTGCTTACACAGAACTGTGTTTTGTTTAATAAAATATCACAAGGGAACTATCCGCTGTTGATATGGTTTGGCTGTGTCCCCACTGAAATCTCAACTTGAATTGTATCTCCTAGAATTCCCACAGGTTGTGGGAGGGACCCAGGGGGAGGTAATTAAATCATGGGGGCCAGCCTTTCCCATGCTATTCTTGTGATAGTGAATAAGTGTCACTAGATCTGATGGGTTTATCAGGGGTTTCCGCGTTTGCTTCTTCCTCATTCTGTCTTGCTGCCATCATGTAAGTTCCTTTCACTCTCCACCATGATTATGAGACCTCCCCAGCCATGTGGAACTGTAAGTCCAATTAAACCTCTATTTCTTCCCAGTCTTGGGTATGTCTTTATCAGCAGCATGAAAACAGACTAATAAGCCTGTGTTCTCTAAACTTTAGTGAATTAGGGTGAATGACTGGGCAGGAATGATGGTCGCCTCTTCCTTTTTCTTCAGTGCAGCCACAACACCATGCCTTGCATGCGATGACACACATCCGAGCTACCTCCTCTGATGCAAGGGAGAAGAAGGAGCCCTTACCTGGACAGAGCCCTGTAGCCTGGGAATCCTCAAGATTGCCACCAGTAGAGAAACCACACTTCCTCCATATGCCAAGTAATCCAGAGCAACAGGAAGAACATTCCAGATTTGTGGCCAGAAAGGCAGTTCTGAGAAAGATATTCTACAGCTCCAAGCTATTATAGTCAAATACTCTTCTGCCCAAATTCTACCTAAAACCTTCAAATCTTTCTGTCCTTCTCCCTTGGGACAATTGCTCCCTTTCTGCTGAAATTTTAAGCATTTCCATTGACTAGCATCATTGCAGCCCTTGAATCTCAGGTCATGGCTTCAACTTGAAACTTTGGTAGGCCCAACATTGATGGGAGTTCATCAATACCACAAGTGGGTTTTACTTGTCAAACTATTGGAGGCAAATTTATTTCCATATTATCAGGTGGCATCTAACTGTTGCCATGGTGTAGGCAATATGTGGATTGATTGCAAGTGTGACTCAGAAAAGGAGTGTGTGCTAATGGTAGCTACTGTAAAGAGAGGATGGTCATAATCCATCTTGGTTCTATTTTGTTTATGATGAAATATTAGACCAACTAAAATTATGACTCTTCTTTTTAATTTATCCATCCGATTACAGAGTATTTGATGGTTCTCTTGTATTCTCCATCATTACCAATTTTGTTTTCCATTCTGGGATTTGACCATTACATTGTGTGAAAAGGACAGGTTGCAGGTACTTTCTCATACCAACCACATGGTTAAGAGTTGAATAATCCTCATGTGTTATTTTGTTGTCATAAAATTGTATGCATGAATAATCAGCCAATGAGGCCCTGCACTTAAACAACCTCCTAGCTCTTGGGTGGAAGACTGAAGTCATAATCAGTCTCTGCTTAATTTGGCTGCAAATGATTAATGATTACAGCAAAGTTTTATTACTCCAAGTGCAGGTCACTTCTTAAAGTTATGGCTTCTAGTAATAGAAAACTGCTTTCCCACTGTATTTTAAAGAGTAAGATTGCAGTCCTACTCATTAGGGTGATGGCAGAAATACTCTGAGATTTGGCAACCCAGCTTGTAGGCAAAATGAAGAGTTAAATAGAATCTGCATGATTTCTGTCTCTACATGAGTCAGTACACCACAGCAGCAGTTAGATCCTACCTGAGAGTACGGAAATAAATTTGCCTCCAATCATTTGACAAGCTAAATCCACTTGTGGTATTGATTAAGTGTGAGAGCAAACACTAAGAGATTACAAAATAGGTGACTGTGACACTTCAATAAAATGTGATCTGGTGCTAATTTCAGAATTATTAGTCAGACTCTTTGAAGATGGTAAGAAGCAAAGACCTACTCAGGTTATCTCCAATAGTGAATAGTTATCATAAGAAATCACAGGGAAGGAAGTCAGGAAACATTCTCAGGAGCCTCATAACCAGGGATTAGAGAGCCCAGAAAGCTGCTGGGGATTCAACAGGGGCTTTTGTCTGAGATGTGACCCAACAGAATCTCTTTCTCCAGAATTGGAAACCCTTGGCTCCATCCTCCAAGCATTGCTACTGAGATGAATCTACAATTCTCCATTCCTGCTTCTTTTACTCGCAACACTACAGACTCAGTTTACTCTCCCATTTATCTGGTAGTTTCTTCTTATTTAAGGCTTTGCTGCCTCACGGCTTCTGCTCCTCACCATTCCTTCTACTGCCTCCTTTTTGCTGCCGTTGACCCAATTGCCAGACTCCTTCTCTGTGCGTCTCCTTCAAACGTGCCACGTGACAGGATCTAAACAGGTTGGCAAAGTCACTGGTGCCCCGCATCATCTTGGACAGGAGTCGCGTATCAAGCTACCTCACAGGCTGCTGGCCAGCACAGAAATCTCTGGGGGTTACAGGCCCATTAATTCTTGTTCTAATTAGCTGTAGCCAATGTAGCAGGAATGTGTGGTATAAAAATGATTCACTATGTGTAAGGAGCATCTCAGGAGGGTGCAGCAGGCCCTCTAATGATAACTAGAGGACCTCCTTCCATGGCTGATCCAGTACATTAGGAAATCAGGGCAGAATTGTAACTGAGAAAGTGGAAGCCTGGTTAATTGTATTGTGCTGTGTGAATACAGGGATTCCTAGAGTGTGAAAGAGGAAATCCCTAATACCAGTGGTAGCCTATTCATTCTGCCCAGGAAAGAGCATGCCCCAAGCATACCCAGATAGGGAAGCTCAGGTGTCAGTCCATCTGAAAAGTACATTTATTGCAAAGATGTGCTATTTTCATCAAACTCATATATTAACCCTCCTTGTTCTGAGCCCATGCAGGCCAAGCAGGCTTCGCATAAAGCCGCTCGGTGTTGTCAGCCTACTGGGCAGGGATGTATGGCTCTGTCAATGTGAGTATTCCTGTCTACCTGACAGTCAGTCACAGTTGTCATTATAAATAAGCATTCTGGTATATATTTGCTAATGTAAATACATCCCCGAGAGAGAAGAACTCACAAAAATCAAGGTTTCTGGTCTTGCAAAATTGAGGACCAGCTCTGGAATGTGATAAACACCTCCAAGATAGATTTCACCTTGTGGGGCCCTAGCTTAGTTTCTGTAAACCTTCCCTGTACTTTCTCCTCTGCACCACCATGAATAATGAGCCATATATTTGAAACTTAAAACAGAGTGCTTTATTGCCAAGTAAATCCCATTTGTATTCACTCAGCAATTAATAAGCATCAGTTTAATTTAACCAGATCATTGGCCATTGGAGAGCATGCTGGGTTCACAAAATGTTTTCCAAACTGAACCATGAAAGACAGTTAAAAGGAAAAAACAAAGGTTTCTAATATGTTTATAGGAACAAGCTAAACGTGAGACAAATACACTATTATTTGTGGAATTAATTAGGCTCAAATGTGGCCACTCCGCATCATCAGTTCTTAACCTTCATTTCTGCCTCCCTCCTGCTCATGGCGTCAGTGGACTTCCATTATTGACACCTCACACACACATACTGAGTTTCAACAAAGTGGCATTCACATAGCTGAGGACCATTCTTTCATTTTTCTGTATTACTGAAAGCTTCAGGGAGCACTGGCCACATTGTCTTCTATATGAACAGTATCCAGAGTTGCACAGTGTAGAACCACATGACCGCAAGTGTTGATGGACACTTGCATGTGGTAATATTAACTCTCTAATGTATGAACTTGTCTTCATAGGCAAAGAGTATAGATGAGAGACAGATGCAGATAATTTGGGAAGTAATACCCAACTTTGATATATGAAAATACTTTTCTGAAATATGACCATTACCAGATAGCTGGTAGTTAAATTATTAAAATAATTTGGTTCAAATGTTGTTAAGAAAAGAATCTGAGTGTTAGGAGTAACAGAAGCATTACTGAATTGAACAAATTGAATATTGAGTCAGGTGACATGAAACTTTATGTTTTGAGAACTATGTGCCATTAAGTGATTTGGAAGTAAAAGATACTCTTGCAGGGGAGGGGAGCATGAGTTGTTTAAATAACTAAAGCTTTCATACACCTGTTTTTAAGAAGCCTTGCCATTTATTTTATTTTCTTGTATTTGATTTATACACAGTCTAGGTTTAAACTACTGCTGTCTTTTCACTTTGTCTTTTGAGTTCTCAGAGTGTGTGAAAGAGCTATAATTATGGACAATTAGGAAACAAAAGTCTCCAATGTACACACATTTATTAAGAACAATCATTGATGAAATGTTTAATGTTCTGACTTAGCAAAAACCACAGGGCTGGGGGGCTTGTTTACAACATTCTTCAAGGTTTTGAAAGAAATAAACTGCATAAGGAGGAAATATTGCTTTGTGTCTAGGGCCAATGCTTGAGAAATGAATATTAAATGCAAGAAATTGCTTGAGGTGTTTCACTGTGGTCAATAATTCCAGAAAGCACACTATATCTTCATTCTCTGGAAATTGGCTTCCGTGAGACTCCTGTGTGTGTGTGTATGTGTGTGTGTACGGGGGGTGGGGGGTACACTTAGTTAAATGTGGATAGGCTAGTTACATGCAAGAATGTCTCACTTCCTTCAATCAGAAAAATCATTCTGAATAGAAATTGTTTGATTGCAGGAGTGGTTATGGGATCCCTTCAGCTTAAAAGCAGCAATTCTCCACCCCATTAATTCCTTATTCAAGTTCTTCACTGTTTAAACACTGCTGTTTTTCTCTTGCTCAGAGTTGCTGATTTGGAAAGAATCCTGTGATATTCATTACCCAATGAAGCATCCAAGGCTCTTGTTGCATTATCTTATTAAATGAGTAGTTGTTTTTATGATGCATCATAAAAAAAGCACAAGAATTACTTCCTGTTATGAAAACCACACTGATTTAAAAACAAATCCAGCAAGATGGCCTCAAAACTTGTTTATGCCAAATTGATGATGACTAAAAATTTTTAGGATTTCTGCAAAATAGCTTTAAGATGAAACACCACCAACGACTACTTTTGCTGAGACACAAACAGTACTAAGCTAGCTAGTATGAGAAGAAGAACCTGGCAAGGTGAAATGGTCTGTATCATGTGCCTTAGCTTTTGATATGCCTTGAAGGTTTTAAGGTAGTGTGAATTAGAGAACTAAGAAACTCAATATGAGCAAAGTAAACATGTCTCTTACTTGCTTGACTTGATTAATCCCCCTTCCTTTAATGCCTTCCCGGCCAGTACAGTCTCCAAATAACCAAAATGTTCTTTCTTAGATTTGAGTCAATGAAAACGCCTAGATATTTTCCTCCTCTGTACAGATGAAGTTCAAGCTTTTTAGCATTCTACCTGATACCCTTATTACTTTTATTTTTCTGTCTCTCTGGATGACAACTGTCTCCTAGTCTCATTGCTACCAAAGGCTCTTGCTATCTCTGTTTTATACTGAGGCATAGACTGTTCTTTCTACCTAGTATTCGCTTCCATCCTTGGATCCTCAAATCCAATTCAGACATGATTCCCAACTGGGATCTTTCTCAGACTCCTTTCCCTCTTTTAAATCTATCATTGCACCTATCACCCTGTGACGGAGGGAGAGGAGGCATCTGGCAGACAGTTTGCTTGAAGTGGGTATTTGAAACTAGGATAATTACATTTAGGTTGTAGTTGCTTGGCAAATACATGGACTTACCTAACTTATCTAAACTGGGTGATCGTTTGGGTGGTTTAGAGATGCTGCTGGAGATTTTGCACTAGGGCTTATTAAAGCCCTCTAAGCCACCCTTTGTTATCAAACTGAACTGGGATATGCTCGCCAGGCACAGTAAGGCCAAAACAGCCACACTGAGGTTTGCAGCAGAAGAAAGGAGAGCATTTGTTTGCAGGGTGCCAAGCAAGGAGAATCGGGCAGCTCTAGTTTAAATCCCAAATGCCCTGACGGCTTGCATGTAAGGGTTTTTAAAAGCAGGAGTAAATTTCAGGAAAGCAGAAGTTATAAGCAAAACCATAAATCAATATATAGGGATTACACATTGGTTTGACCTAAAAGGGCAGGATATCTTGAAGTGGGTGGCTTACAGGTCATAGGTAGATTCAAATGTTTTCTGATTTGCAATTGGTTAAGAAGGGGAAGCTTTGTCTAAAAATTTGGGGTCAGCAGAAAAGAACGTTAGCTCTGGCTCATGGGTGTGACCTTTTCCAGGTCCCTCAGGAAGAGATTTAGAACAAAGAACAGTGGTCAGAGTTCAATCCTCAGTTTCCCCTTTTCGGAGGTCTACGTGACAGCAAATCCATTTGGCGGACATCCAGGTTTCTGAAAAGCAACTTAAAGACATATGTTAAGATATCATCTTTAGTTTCTGTAGGGGAACATCCTGTGATTCTAACTTCCTTGGCTATTGTTTTAACTTATCAAGTCATTTATTTATTTCTCAGGGCTAACTAGGTGCCTGGAATCTTCCTTGAAGGAACAAAAAGTTTTCTTTTTTTCCATGCTTGAGGGGGCCCGCAGGCCCCTAGGAGAAGTTTCTCTTCCGTCTCACCTTGGCACACCACAAACTGCACATGTTTCTTTACGTCTTCCATCTGTATCTGGATTTGCGTCTCTTTGGGCAGAGGCTTTTTCATTGCAGCATCCTACTGGCTAGCAGTGTTAGGCACCTCAGGAAATGCTTATTAAATTTTTTAGTCAATTGAAATAAACATATTATGAATAAGCCTTAATGAACAAAGTCATAACATCCCTGAGAAAATAAAAATAGCAAATAATAAATGAACCACTTGGGGATTTATAAGGATCTTGATACATACTTTATTTAATCCACACATAACTCCATGAACACAGTTGAAGGCATAACAGAAGCTCATCCTCAAACTCACCTGAGAGATTAATAGCTTTTGCTTTGCCTCTTTTCCCTTACTCTGACTTCATCCCTTTCATACCACACTGCCACCAGGCAAAGGTTGTGTCACAACTGTGACAGGCTGATGGTGGGCAGCCAAGAAGTCTCGTAAGGTGACTTTTATAATAGTAACTTTGCCACAGTCAAAGGCCTAGTCCTTATTCTTGAGGGTTCAGAAATTCAGTTACTAACATGTCATTCGTATATTAATATCTCTTCTCAAGAGGGCTTTATCTGAATTCGGAAACATGGACTAGGTACCCATTCTAAATGGTCCCACAGGAGTCTGTGTTTACCTCTGCCTAAGCGCTTAACTCTATACTGTTAATATCCATGACTGTCTTCCTTATCAGATTATTGATATCAGGAAGGCAGGGCTGGTGCTGTCCCATTATCTCTTCCTGTAAGTAGGGTGATGTATAGAAGGGAAAAATTGCTTCCCTTTACCTTCCTAGATCCTTTGGCTAGTCTACAAATTAAATGGACATAAAACAGATTAACAGGAGAATAACAATTTACCAGTATGTACATATAAGTATGTAACTTGTAGTACGTTAACTCACACATAACAAGTATTATGTTAGTTACATACTTACAGATGGGAATCTCACACACAGAAAAATGAGACTCAAAGAAATGGCCAGATGATTGAAGGCTATACACCATTCTGAGCTACAGAAAGGAATAGGAGTTTGGGGCTTCTGGTGGGTAGTAGAGACACATTATGAGAGTGTGAGGAGAGGAAATATATGATAAGTTAAGACTACCTTATTATGCAGATAAAAGTCTCTCAGGTAGACCAAGTGCAGTGGCAAGCGCCTGTAGTCCCAACTACTGGAAATGTTGAGGTGGAAGACTCACTTGAGCCCAAGAGTTTGAAGCTGCAGCGAGCTATGATGGTGCCACTATACTCTAGCCTGGGTGACAGAGCGAGACCCTGTCTTAAAAAAAATAAAATAAAACAAAAATAAGCCTTTCAGTTGATAAAAGTTCTCTCACAGTAGCTCTCTTCCTGGTCCAGATACCTTTACTAATGAAAATTTCCTTTATAAGTATATGTTTCTCTGTACAAAAGGGGTTTCATACTTTATTTTAGGCAGTTGAGTGGGAGGTGAAAAGCTTTTCCTGTGTTGGCTGGTTCTCAATGTCTTTTAGCTGGAAGTAATCAATATGCAAGGGTGGCATGCTTTAGGGTGGTGTATTCTGAGCCTCCTCAGTGTCAATAAGTGTTTAATAAATAATGAATGAATGCATGCATTCACTTCGGAGATGCTTCATCTTGTTAAAAAATGTCACGAGATTCTGAAACCTAAAACCATCTTGTCAGTTTCATAGTTTTACATTTGGAAATGTCACTGTCATGTTGCAGAACCTTCACTTCTTTGGTCACGAGGGTTGTGGCATCTGATCTGCCTGTGTCCGAGATGACCGCCTGCCATTTCCACATTTAGTCCTGCAACTCTCCAGCTTCTGCTGGCTTTGCTGACCAGACTCTTGTTCTCCTGAACACATTATTTTCCAGTCAAATTCCTGTTGATCTTAGCAGCTCTGAACTCATCCTAGCTTCTAAAGATAGCCTTTATATTTCTCCCTGGTCCATTACACATTGATTTATAATTTAACGCTCTAGAGGAAATCTCTGGGGACAAACCAGCTTTAACTACTTATTGTCGACCCATGTAGTAGGTATAATTACTCTTTTATTTTATAGATAAACAAGACCTAGAAAGGCCTTATTAATTAAACAGGTTATATAACTTTTAAGGAAAAAGATTTGGGCTAAAATAAATGTCTTCTGCTTCCTAGTCCATGATGCTTCTCTCATTTAAAGAAAAATACACATTGTTGAAGTATAATATACACAGAGGAAACTGCAAATATCATACTGTATACCTAGATGAATTTATACAAATTGAACAAATCCATGTCATCACCAACCAGACTCAACATCATCACACTCCCAGCACCCCTGAAGGCCCTTTAAGTCTATCCTCCAGTACTATACGATCTCCACCCAAAGTACATACACTATCCTAACTTCTAAGAGCATAGATTAGTGTTCCTTAATTTAATATATTATATCAATGGGATCATACATTATGCATACTTTTACATCTGGCTCTTTTCACCCTATATCATGTTTATGACATTTATCCATATATTTGCAGTTTGTTCATTCTCACGATTATATAGTATTACATTGGATAAATGTATCTTATTTTTAGCTACTGTTCTTGATGAACATCAGATGACTTCTACTTTGGGGCTGTATGAATAGGACTGCTGTTAACATTTCAGTATCTCTCTTTTTGTGAATATCTGTATTCATTTCTATTTTATAATTGCTAGGTCATAAGGTACATGTATATTCAGCTTGTGTAGATATTACCAAACAGAGGGTGTTGCCAAAAGAGATTAACATTTGAGTCAGTAGGCTGGGGAAGGCAGATCCACCCTTAATATGGTGGGCACAATCTAGTCAGCTGCCAGCAATTATAAAGCATGCAGAGAAACATGAAAAGGAGAGATAGGCCTAGCTTTCCAGCCTACATCTCTCTCCTGTGCTGGATGCTTCCTGCCCTAGAATATCGGACTCCATGTTCTTCAGTTTTGGGACTCGGACTGGCTCTCCTTGTTCCTCAGCTTGCAGACAGCCTATTGTGGGACCTTGTGATTGTGTAATTAATACTTCTTAATAAACTCATATATATATATATATATATATATATATATCAGATGCCACAACCCTCATGACCAAAGAAGTGAAGGTTCTGCAACATGACAGTGACATATATATATATATATATATATATATATATATATATCTCCTATTAGTTCTGTCCCTCTAAGAGAACTCTAACTAATGCAAATGTGTACTCCTAAAGGTATGGAAAAAGGTTATCCTTTCCTTTCCTTTCCTTTCTTTCTCTCTCTCTCTCTCTCTCTCTCTCTGTGTGTGTGTGTGTGTGTGTGTAGGGAGAGAATAGATAGATACATAGATAATGTGATTAGAATTGTTTGAATGAATGCTTTCTGGTTAGTAGTAAGGATATATCCTGGCCATTATCTACCAATGGTCATTCAACAAAGATTTGTTGAGAGCATATTATATGCAAGATACTATGCTAAAGACTAGAAATGTAGCAAAAACTGGACATTAAAAAGTCTCTGCTTTCATGGAGCTTATAGTCTGTAAGGGCAGACAGATGATCTACAAATAACTACGTAAAGTTAGTTAATTAAATTTATAATAAATATGATAAAGGACAAATATAGTGTATGATAAAAGTATATAGCAGAAAAGTATATATGCCTTAGTTAAAGAAGCAGGTCAAGTTCTGGGCCTTAGCTAATAGAAACAAGAGAAATGGACAGTACAGTGACAACATGGGTAGAGGTGACATACTGAAATTGCAACCGAGGTTAACTAAGAGTCTTCATTGTTGGCAGATTGTTCTACAGATTATAAAAGATTCCAAATATCTTTGGGTTTTACTTCCTATTCCTTGAAATCTTGATTGTGCACATCAAATGATGTTAGAGATGAAAACATAAATCCATGGCAGGATGAATCAAGCCATGCTGTGGTCTAAATTTTTCTAAATGTTTGTGTTGCCACCAAAACTCATATGTTGAAATCTTAATCCCAAGGTGAAAATATTAGGAGGTGGAGACTTTGAGAGGTGATTGAGTCATGAGAGTGGAGCCCTGACGAATGGGATTAGTATTCTTAAAAGAGACTGAGAGACCCATTGTTCCTTCTATCACATGAGGACACAGTGAAAAGGCACTATCTATGAACCAGAAAGTGGGCCCTCACCAGAATGAATATGCTAGTGCCTTGATCCTGGACTTCCCAGGCTCCAGAACTATGAGAAATAAATTTCTGTTGTTTATAAGCTACCAAGTATACGGTATTTGGTTACAGTAGATTGAACAGACTAAGACAAGCCATTAATCCTTAAAATGTTTGTTTAACCACAGAATGTCAAGGGTGGCATAATTTGATTACAATAATGATAGTGAAAGTGTAAAAGGGGAAAAAATGATCATCTAAAGAGATAGAGAATGTTTTCCAACAAAATTTACTTTCTAGCTCCAATTAAAATTCTTAACAAACTAAGAGCAAAAGGAAACTTTCTTAACATGTTAAAGGTCTAAAAAAGTCCTACAGCAAAATGATACATTTTTTTTTGAAATGTGGAAAACCCTTTAAGATCTGGAGCAAGACAAGTGTGTTGTCTCTCATTACTATTCATTATGCTGAAGGCCTTAGTAAGCACAATGAAATGTGAAAGAATAATAATAATAAGTGAAAGTTGCAAGGATAATGCAGAAAACATTTTTATCAACAAATGATATAATAAAACTTGTACACATAAAATATTAAATGTAATTAAAATTTAACAAGTTTACTGGATGCAAAAAATTCTTTAAAAAATCTACTCAAACTCAACACATGAGCAAAGACTGTTCAAAAATACAATTTAATTAAAAGGGTAGAATTTATATCATATTTTAAAAATGAAGTATTTAAAAATAACTCCAAGAAAAGAACTCTTAAAAATTAATTAAAAAGTGACAGGAAAATATTGGCAAAAGTCTTATAGAAGCATTGCGTTGAAGAAGCCTCTGTAGTATAGAAATAAACATGAGAAAAGATGTTCAATCTCATTAGTAAGCAAAGAACTGCATGGAAGTTAACTACAAACCATTTTCTTCCTACCTTATGTGCAAAAATTAGATGTTGTCAAGGTTATGGAGCAAATAGTACACTTAAAACTGTCTGGTACTGTGTAATCACTTCAGAAAACAATTTATCAGATAAAGTTGATTTTTGTGCACTCAATGCAACTCAAACATTTCAGTCCTGAATGTACACCCTAGAGACACACTTACACACATAACAATATCTATCCACAGTAGAATGGAAAAATGTGGAATAATCATATGATGGATTACTTTATAACGGGGAAATGAATGCATTTCAGATGCCTGTAAAAACATAGATAAATGTTAGCGACATAATATTGAATAAAAAAGCAAAGCTGAAGATGATACATATATAGTATGATTCGATTTATGTAAGGTTTGAAAGCAGGAACAACTAAACAATATATTATTTAAACATAGACTTATTTGATTAGTCTATAAAGTAAAGCAAGGAAATGGTAAACACAAAATTCAGATTAGTCATTACTAATTAGGGAGGAAAGAATGGGATAAGACTTGAGAAAGATAGACAGGGAGCTTGAAACTTAACAGCAATGACCTTTATTTTCTTATCTGCATGGTATCCAAGCAGGGCTGATATTCACCCGGCATAAACTGGTAGATCTGGGCTAATACATTCTTAACTTGTAAAGAGCTGCTTCTCTGAAACCTCTGATTGCTCCCCCAACCACTGGAATTGCCCCTACCTTGGGTTATTAATGTATTTACATGTAATACAATTACTGATGTATTTGGGATTTAGACCAATTATGTTAGTTTATTTTCTACTTGTTTTCCCTGTTTTATGTTCCTTTGCTCCTCTCTTCCTGTCTTCTTTTGGTATTCTTTATCATTTCTATTCCATTTTATTTTTTTTAATTCTTTTGGTATACATTCTTGTATTTTCCTGGTTTTGGCTACCCTAGAGATAAATGCATGCATCCTTATCTCACCATAGTATACATTATGTTAATATTTTATCACCCCTGAAACAATGCTGAGAACCTACAACAGTTAACTGGATGGCAAACTAGAATGTTAAACACTTTAAGATGGAATAACACACAGAAAAGGCAATTTGATACTTGTAAAATGTGTGCTTTCTCGTAAAAAATGAACAAGTGTTGCAAATCAACTCCTTTAAAATGGCCGATTTGATCAACTGGAAGAAAGAGTATCAGTGATGGAAGATCAAATAAATGAAGTGAAGCAAGAAGAGAAGTTTAGATAAAAAAGAGTAAAAAGAAACGAACAAAGCCTTCAAGAAATATGGGACTATGTGAAAAGACCAAATCTACGTCTGATTGGTGTTCCTGAAAGTGACGGGGAGAATGGAACCAAGTTGGAAAACACTGCAGGATATTAACCAGGAGAACTTCCCCAACCTAGCAAGGCAGGCCAACATTCAAATTCAGGAAATACAGAGAATGCCACAAAGATACTCCTTGAGAAGAGCAACTCCAAGACACATAATTGTCAGATTCATCGAAGTTGAAATGAAGGAAAAAATGTTAAGGGCAGCCAGAGAGAAAGGTCGGGTTACCCACAAAGGGAAGCCCATCAGACTAACAGCAGATCTCTTGGCAGAAACTCTACAAGCCAGAAGAGAGTGGGGGCCAATATTCAACATTCTTAAAGAAAAGAATTTTCAAACCAGAATTTCATATCCAGCCAAACTAAGCTTCATAAGTGAAGGAGAAATAAAATACTTTACAGACAAGCAAATGCTGAGAGATTTTGTCACCACCAGGCCTGCCCTAAAAGAGCTCCTGAAGGAAGCACTAAACATGGAAAGGAACAACCGGTACCAGCCACTGCAAAAACATGCAAATTGTAAAGACCATCGATGCTAGGAAGAAAAAGCATCAACTAACGAGCAAAATAACCAGCTAACATCATAAAGACAGGATCAAATTCACACATAACAATATTAACCTTAAATGTAAATGGGCTAAATGCTCCAATTAAAAGACACAGACTGGCAAATTGGATAAAGAGTCAAGACGCATCAGAGTGCTGTATTCAGAAGACCCATCTCACGTGCAGAGACACACATAGGCTCAAAATAAAGGGATGGAGGAAGATCTACCAAGCAAATGGAAAATGAAAAAAGGCAGGGGTTGCAATCCTAGTCTCTGATAAAACAGACTTTAAACCAACAAAGATCAAAAGAGACAAAGAAGGCCATTACATAATGGTAAAGGGATCAATTCAAAAAGAATAACTAACTATCCTAAATATATATGCATCCAATACAGGAGCACCCAGATTCATAAAGCAAGTCCTTAGAGACCTACAAAGAGACTTAGACTCCCACACAATAATAATGGGAGACTTTAACACCCCACTGTCAACATTAGACAGATCAACGAGACAGAAAGTTAACAAGGATATCCAGGAATTGAACTCAGCTCTGCACCAAGCAGACCTAATAGACATCTGCAGAACTCTCCACCCCAAATGCGCAGAATATACATTCTTCTCAGCACCACATCGCACTTATTCCAAAATTGACCACATAGTTGGAAGTAAAGCACTCCTTAGCAAATGTAAAAGAACAGAAATTCTAACAAACTGTCTCTCAGACGACAGTGCAATCAAACTAGAACTCAGGATTAAGAAACTCACTAAACACCGCTCAACTACATGGCAACTGAACAACCTGCTCCTGAGTGACTACTGGGTACACAACGAAATGAAGGCAGAAATAAAGATGTTCTTTGAAACCAACGAGAACAAAGACACAACATACCAGAATCTCTGGGACACATTCAAAGCAGTGTGTAGAGGGAAATTTATAGCACTAAATGCCCACAGCAGAAAGCAGGAAAGATCTAAAATTGACACCCTAACATCACAATTAAAAGAACCAGAGAAGCAAGAGCAAACACATTCAAAGGCTAGCACAAGGGAAGAAATAACTAAGATCAGAGCAGAACTGAAGGAAATAGACACAAAAAACCCTTCAAAAAATCAATGAATCCAGGAGCTGGTTTTTTGAAAACATCAACAAAATTGATAGACTGCTAGCAAGACTAATAAAGAAGAAAAGAGAGAAGAATCAAATAAACGCAATAAAAAATGATAAAGGGGGTATCACCACCAATCCCACAGAAATACAAACTACCATCAGAGAATACTATAAACACCTCTACGCAAATAAACATAGAAGAAATGGATAAATTCATGGACACATACACCCTCCCAAGACTAAACCAGGAAGAAGTTGAATCCCTGAATAGACCAATAATAGGCTCTGAAATTGAGGCAATAATTAATGGCCTACCAACCAAAAAAACTCCAGGACCAGACGGATTCACAGCCGAATTCTACCAGAGGTACAAGGAGGAGTTGATACCATTCCTTCTGAAACTATTCCAATCAATAGAAAAAGAGGGAATCCTCCCTAACTCATTTTATGAGACCAGCATCATCCTGATACCAAAGCCTGGCAGAGACACAACAAAAAAAGAGAATTTTAGACCAATATCCCTGATGAACATTGATGCAAAAATCCTCAATAAAATACTGGCAAACCGAATCCAGCAGCACATCAAAAAGCTTATCCACCATGATCAGGTGGGCTTCATCCCTGGGATGCAAGGCTAGTTCAACATATGCAAATCAATAAACGTAATCCAGCACATAAACAGAACCAAAGACAAAAAACCACATGGTTTTCTCAATAGATGCACAAAAGGCCTTTGACAAAATTCAACACCGCTTCATGCTAAAAACTCTCAATAAATTAGGTATTGATGGGACATATCTCAAAATAATAAGAGCTATTTATAACAAACCCACAGGCAATATCATACTGAATGGGCAAAAACTGGAAGCATTCCCTTTGAAAACTGGCACAAGACAGGGATGCCCTCTCTCACCACTCCTATTCAACATAGTGTTGGAAGTTCTGGCCAGGGCAATCAGGCAGGAGAAAGAAATAAAGGGTATTCAATTAGGAAAAGAGGAAGTCAAATTGTCCCTATTTGCAGATGACATAATTGTATATTTAGAAAACCCCATTGTCTCAGCCCAAAATCTCCTTAAGCTGATAGGCAACTTCAGCAAAGTCTCAGGATACAAAATCAATGTGCAAAAATCACAAGCATTCTTATACACCAATAACAGACAAACAGAGAGCCAAATCATGAGTGAACTCCCATTCACAATTGCTTCAAAGAGAATAAAATACCTAGGAATCCAACTTACAAGAGATGTGAAGAACCTCTTCAAGGAGAACTACAAACCACTGCTCAATGAAATAAAAGAGGACACAGATAAATGGAAGAACATTCCATGCTCATGGATAGGAAGAATCCATATCGTGAAAATGGCCACACTGCCCAAGGTAATTTATAGATTACATGCCATCCACATCAAGCTACCAATGACTTTCTTCACAGAATTGGAAAAAACTACTTTAAAATTCATATGGAACAAAAAAAGAGCCCGCATTGCCAAGTCAATCCTAAGCCAAAAGAACAAAGGTGGAGGCATCACGCCACCTGACTTCAAATTATACTACAAGGCTACAGTAACCAAAACAGCAAGGTACTGGTACCAAAACAGAGATATAGACCAATGGAAAACAAGAGAGCCCTCAGAAATAATACCACACATCTACAACCATCTGATCTTTGACAAACCAGACAAAAACAAGAAATGGGGAAAGGATTCCCTATTTAATAAATGGTGCTGGGAAAACTGGCTAGCCATATGTAGAAAGTTGAAACTGAATCCTTTCCTTACCCCTTATACAAAAATTAATTCAAGATGGATTAAAGACTTAAACATTAGACCTAAAACCATAAAAACCCTAGAAGAAAACCTAGGCAATACCATTCAGGACAAAGGCGTCGGCAAGGACTTCATGTCTCAAACACCAAAAGCAATGGCAACAAAAGCCAAAATAGACAAATGGGATCTAATTAAACTAAAGAGCTTCTGCACAGCAAAAGAAACTACCATCAGAGTGAACAGGCAACCTACAGAATGGGAGAAAATTTTTGCAATCTACTCATCTGACAAAGGGCTAATATCCAGAATCTACAAAGAGCTCAAACAAATTGACAAGAAAAAAGCAAACAACCCCATCAACAAGTGGGCAAAGGATATGAACAGACACTTCTCAAAAGAAGACATTTATGCAGCCAACAGACACATGAAAAAATCCTCATCATCACTGGCCATCAGAGAAATGCAAATCAAAACCACAATGAGATACCATCTCACACCAGTTAGAATGGTGATCATTAAAAAGTCAGGAAACAACAGGTGCTGAAGAGGATGTGGAGAAATTTTACACTTTTACACTGCTGGTGGGACTGTAAACTAGTTCAACCATTGTGGAAGACAGTGTGGTGATTCCTCAAGGATCTAGAACTAGAAATACCATTTGACCCAGCCATCCCATTACTGGGTATATACCCAAAGGACTATACATCATGCTGCTATAAAGACACATGCACACATATGTTTATTGTGGCACTATTCACAATAGCAAAGACTTGGAACCAACCCAAATGTCCAACAATGATAGACTGGATTAAGAAAATGTGGCACATATACACCATGGAATACTATGCAGCCATAAAAAATGATGAGTTCATGTCCTTTGCAGGGACATGGATGAAGCTGGAAACCATCATTCTCAGCAAACTATTGCAAGGACAAAAAACCAAACACCACATGTTCTCACTCATAAGTGGGAATTGAACAATGAGAACACTTGGACACAGGAAAGGGAACATCACACACCGGGGCTTGTCGTGGGGTGGGGGAAGCGGGGAGGGATAGCATTAGGAGATATACCTAATGTAAATGATGAGTTAATGGGTGCAGCACACCAACATGGCACATGTATACATATGTAACAAACCTGCACGTTGTGCACATGTACCCTAGAACTTAAAGTATAATCATAAAAATAAAATAAAATAAATAAAATGGCATTTCCCATTGGTCTGGCAAACTGGTAGATTTCTTGAGAACAAGAACAAGGCCTTGAATTTTCTTTAACTCTCTGTCACTGCCCAGTCAGCTCCTCATATACATGGTAGGAGTTCACTTGGTATCTGTTGTAAATATTCAAAACATTGAACATAAACAAAAATTTCTATGCCACTTCAGAACATTAATGAATAAATGAGGGTCATCGTCCACTATTTAGAGTAGCTATAGAAGCCCAGGAATGAGATTGTAGCATATATACAGGTAAGGAAGAGAAATTTTCAATTGCATCAGGTAAAACTGTTAAGAATGAGTACGCACCCTCTTAATACACAGCACTGGTTCTAGTGCCCTTCTATAAGAAAATTCCAAGAAAATGTGGTTTGGATAAGCCACTTACTGAATACAATTTTCAAGGCACTCAACACAAACAAGTTTTAAGAGAACATTGTAGTATTTGAGGGGAAAGGCAGGTATAAGTCATTAAAACTAGCCGATGTAACAGGCAAATTGAAATTACAAAGCCATAATACAATAAGGAATCTTTTTTTTCAGTCAGTCAGAACCTAATACAGGCTTCATATCCCAGTTCATTATGAGGCTATACTACCCAGGACACATGACCTCCAAGGCCACCAGGATATGACCAACTGGACTGGAGGAACTAGAAGATGTTTTAGAGGACTGCCATCACTTTGTTCATTTTCCACTGGTCAGAACCCAATCATGAGGCCCAACCAACTATAAAGAGGCTCAGAAATCTAGAAGAGGAGCTGTATTATAAATTATTAAACTCCATATTTTCCCAATTCCCCAACATTCCCCATCAATAGTCAGTGAGCACCTCAACCAGGTGACCAGGTACAGTAGTGTGATAAGGCTGGTCCCTGACACAGTGTGATAAGGCTGTCCCGTTCTTGCCTTCGCCTGACTGTGACCTAATGACATTAAAACATACAAGTGAAATCCCCTCAAACCTTTTGCTTGTGTCCTCCACCATGATCTCCAGTAAAGGCACTTGCCGGCAGGTCCTCAATCTCTCTCTTTCTCTCTCTCTCTCCTCCTCATCTGCTTGGTTGAGCTTGCTCACCAGGAGTTCCTCCCATATGGCTGGCTCCATGTGTGGCAAGCCTTGCCGTGCCTCCTGTCTCTGGGTCCTGTGAGTATAACAAACGCATGATATTTTTAAATATCATATGCCTCTCCCAGTGTGATTTCTATGACTATGTTGGAGTGATCTGTAAAGACCCCAACAGGAGGACTTCCTTCCCCATTTACAACACAGGGGCACATGGGCATTTGGTGACTGTAACAGTCTCTGTGAGAGGAGGAAGAGGACAGGATATCTATGTGATGTCAAATGTATTGCTTGGCCTGGATTTTTCCACTCTTCTATTATTGGGTGAAAATAGAAACAGAGAATTCTGACAGTGGTGATAACAGAGGTATAATGGTTAATTTTATATGCCAATTTAACTAGGCCACAGTGCTCAGATTTGTGGTCAAACCTTCTACTAAATGTTTCTGTGAAGGTGTTTTTGAATGAGATTAGCATTTAAATTGTTGGATTTTGAGGACAGCAGATTACCCTCCATAATGTGTGGAGAATTCATCCAATCAGTGAAGGCCTGACTAGAACAAAGACCGACCTCTCCCAAGCAAAAATGAACTCAGCCAGCAAACTGCCTGTGGGCTTGAACTGCAACTTTTCCCTTGGTCTCCAGCTTGCTAGTCTATGTCGCAAATTTTGGATTTACTAAGCCTCCACAATCACATAAACCAATTCCTTAAAATAAATTTCTCTCTCTCTCTCTCTCTCTCTCTCTCTCTATATATATATATATATACACACACACACATCTCCTGTTGGTTTTGTTTTTCTGGAAAGCCTTGACTAATACAAAGAGTTTTAGGGGCTTCTAAAGCAAATATTTTTCCTTTATTCATTTAATAAGGTGTATTACAGAACTACTGTATGCATCCACCACTGCAATACAATGAAATAGAAATAAAAATCAGCCAAAATGTTTTCCTCAAGGAGCAAGATGTCAAAGAGGGAAGATAAAGACATGTTGCAAAATGTCTACTCATTTACCATTTCTTGTATCTGTCCCCAAACTATTGGGTTTTTTTTTCATTTCTTAACAAAAGTAACCAAAAGCACATAAACACGATTTTGAGTGCTTCATTTTCTTTTTAAGTTAGAAATTATATTCTTATCTGTATCTGCAGGCTGGAGGAACAGTTGTCAAATTAGTGTGAAAAACATGAATATAGGAAGCTGTAATAATTTTGTTTTAATGTGGGGAGAGCATGCTGCCAGACATCAAAGCACTGGAGTTTTATTTTCCTTTTGCAACTGTGACCTTCATGAAGCCAGCTCAACCCTAAGGTGTTTGATTTTCCCATGTTAGGTGAATATGTTCTCCAAGGTCTCTTCCAAGTGAACTTTGTTTCTCTTTTCGATTCGCTTTCACTATTTTTGCATTCCTCTTCCCTCCCTAGCAAAATAAGTTTCCTCTACTTCTGACCATGAACCCCAACTGGTACCCCTGACGAGTTTGACGTCTCCAAACAAAGGCCCAGTCTCTGGACTCTGAATCTTCCTGAACCTCTTCTTGCTCTGCTTCAATGTTGTCTTAGCTCGTTCAGGCTGCTATAACAGAATACCATAGACTCCGTGGTTTATTTTATTTTATTTTATTTATTTATTTTGAGATGGAGTTTTGTTCTTGTTGCCCAGGCTGGAGTGCAATGGCGCAGTCTCGGCTCACTACAACCTCTGCCTCCCGAGTTCAAGCAATTCTCCTGTCTCAGCCTCCTGAGTAGCTGGGATTACAGGCACCCACCACCAAGCCTGGGTAATTTTTTCTATTTTTAGTAGAGACGAGGTTTCTCCATGTTAGCCAGGCTGGTCTCGAACTCCTGACCTCAGGTGATCCTCCCGCCTCAGCCACCCAAAGTGCTGGGATTATAGGCGTGAGCCACTGCGCCCGGCCTTATTTTATTTTTTTTGTTGAGACGGGCTCTCTCTGTCGCCTAGGCTGGAATGCAGTGGGGCGATCTCAGCTCACTGCAACCTCCGCTTCCTGGATTCTCCTGCCTCAGCCTCCCGAGTAGCTGGGATTACAGGCACCTGCCACCACGCCTGGCTAATCTTTTGTATTTTTAGTAAAGATGGGGTTTCACCATGTTGGCCAGGCTGGTTTTGAACTCCTGACCTCAAGTGATCTGCCCACCTCAGCTTCCCAAAGTGCTAGGATTACAGGCGTGAGCCACCGTGCCTGGCCGACTGGTTGGTTTAAACTACAGAAATTTATTTCTCACAGTTCCAGAAGCTAAGTAGTCTGGGATCAGAGCACCAGTGTGGTCCGGTTCTGATGAGGGCCCATTTCCTGGTTTGCAGATGGCCATCTTCTTATTGCGTCCTCATGAGGCAGAGAGATGATCTCTCCCATCTCCCATCTTATAAGGACACGAATCCATTCATGAGGGCTCCCCCTCTCTCCACCTCCCTCAGGTTCCCAATACCATCATATTCGGGATTAAGGCTTAAATGCATACATTTTGAAAAGACATGAACATTCAGTTCATAGCAAATGTATACCTGTCCTGTGGCTCATTCTTTTAAGATCCATTTTCTATTTCTAGAGACTTATCTATTCAGTTAGATAAACTAACATGCACCAATGGAATAAAGAACCTGTTGCTTCATTCCTATAGTAAGTAGCACACATGCAGTGAAATTTGTAGTTTTCTGGGGGAAAAAGAAGACACCTCACAAAGAGCACTGCTAAGGGGGCAAACATCAGGCTTCTTGTCTGATGAGCAGCTGAAAAGAGGAAGCACCACCTGATTAATTAATTGTCTGTTCCAGTGACATAGAATAGACATGTCACTAAAGCTGTTAATATTTGCTGTGGATAAATTCACAAGAGAATATGTCTTACAACATCCCCTGTCTACAATAGCACCACTCTATTTAGCCAGTCTTAATATCTTCCAAACTATGATTGCACTGATTATGTAATAGTGCATAAGGAAAAGGTGTTTAAATTTTATCGAATACTTTTTCACATGTAAGGAGCTGATGATATGCTTCCCTCTTTTATTTCATAACTGTGCTAAATTATGTCAACTGAGTTTTGAATGTTATGCCAAACTTGTATCTGGGAATAAACCCAACTTTTTATGATATATTACCCTTTTTACATATTCCTGAATTTGATTTGCTAATATTTTGTTTAGGATTTTTGCATTTGTAATTTTCCTTTCTTGTAATGTCTCTGAAAGTTTAGTATCTAAGTATCAAGTTATGCTGCACTCAAAAATAGAATTAAAAAAATTTCTTCTATTCTCTAGAAAAGTTTATATGTATTTGGTATTATTTCTTACTGAACAGTTCGTAGAATTCATTGCTAAAGCCACCTAAGAACTTTGTTGAATGTTTTTTAGTTACATATTTCTTTTGATTAATGTCTATTATTAAGATTTTATGCTTCTTGTCATTGTTAATAAGCTGTATTTTCTTCAAGGAAATTTTTCATTTCATTTACATATTTAATTGACTAGCATAAAGTCAGTAATAATATATATTTTTATTCTTTTGATATATAAAATATCTATAATGACTCCTTTTTTATTCCTGGTATTTGTAATTTATATCATGTACCTTTTTTTTCTTTGATCAGTCTTCCCGGGAGTTTTTCATTATCATTAAACTTTTCAAAGAAGCAATTTTTGGCTTAGTTAGGTTTTCTCTATTGCATGGTTTTTGCTTTTATTATTTTGGATTTAGTTTGCTATTATTCTTCTGATCTATTTATATGAGTGCTTCGAGATTTGATTTTTAGTCTTTTTTTTTTCTAACATATGCATTTAGAGATAGAAATTTCCAAGCATGGTTGTTGTGGCATCACAGATGTTGATACATCATATTTTCATTATCATTTAATTTAACATATTTTCTAATTCTCATTGTAATTTCTTCTTTGACCCAGTGTGTGCAGAAAAGAGTTAACACAGCAAGCTTGAATGCTATCTTTTGAAAGTCCTAAATACAAGGTAGGCCCTTGGAAGATTTACTAGAACTTGGATTTGGGGAAAGTTTCCCCCATTCCCACAACTGATAAGAGTGGCTCACTATGCATAAACTGTACAAAGAATATGATGCATGCTGAATACTTGCTTTCCTTCTAGGAGTCTGAAATTTTGGCACATGCCAGGCAGAACCTGCCTACGTGACCAGCCTCCAATATAAACCCTGGGCACTGAGTCTTTAATGAGTTTTCCTGGTTGGCAACATTTCACATGTGTTGTCACAACTCATTGGAAGAAATAAGTGCATCCTGTGTGTGATGGGTAATTTTATGTGCCAACTTGACTGGGCTAAGTAATGTTCAGATCGCTGGTAAAATACTATTTCTGGGTGTGTTTGTGAGAGTTTCCAGAAGAGGTTAGCATTTGAATCAGTAGACTGAGTAAAGAAGATCCCATCTCACCAATATAGGCAGGCATCTTCCAAACTGTAGAGGGCTAGAATGGAATAAAAAGGTGGAGGAAGACTGAATTCTCTCTTTCCTTTGGCGGGGGCATCCAGCTTCTCCTGTACTTGGACATCGGAGCTCCTGGTTATTGAGCCTTTGAACTCCTGGACTTACTCCAGTGTCCCCCTGCTCTCCAGTTCACGATTCTTCAGCCTTGAATTGGGAGTTACATCACCAGTGGCTCGCCTAATTTGTAGGCCTTTGGACTGATACTGGACTACACCATCCGCATTCCTGGTTCTCTACCTTCAGATGGCATAATGTGAGACTTCTGGGCCATAATCATGTGAGCCAATTCTGATAAGTTTCTTCTTATATATGTCTATATGTATTCTATCAGTTCTGTTTCTCTGGAGAACCCTAATACAATGTGTGAACCTCTCTGGGAGAAGATTCTGGAAGGTCGGACCTGTTTTTTCCCCTAGACTTCACCCCATCAGTTTTTCCCTTTGCTGATTTTGCCTTTGATTTGTAACAAATCATAGCCATGAGTATGACAATGTGATGAGTCCTGTGAATCCTCACAGCAGATCACTGAACCTGGAAATTGCCCTGGAGACCCTCGACAAACGTAGTCTTAAGCACTTAGGAATCCCTCCCTTTTTTGTGTGCATCTGTTTTGCTTAATTCCACTGTTGCTAGAGAACTACGCTAAATAATTCTAGTTAAAATATGTTGAAACTGACTGCATGAAAAGCCAACTTTAGTAAATGTAAAATAAGCAATTTTAAAGGAAGTGTTTCTTGAAGTTGTGTGCCTTATTTATATATGCTGATTAGGTCAAGTTTCTTAATTGTATTTTCAAATATTTGTAATATTTAGTGATTTTGTCTGTTCCTTCAGTTACTCAGAAAAATGCATTAAAGTGACTTAAAATAATTGTGAAATTTGAATATTTTTTCTTACTAGTTCCATCCATTTTTGTTTTACATATTTTGAGGCCATATTATTATTTGCACTCAATTTAGAGTTGATACATCTTCCTGGTAGATTGACCATTTTATTATAATGAAACATCACTTCTTGTCGCTAATTATATTTCTTGCCTTAAATTCTACTTTAATTGATAGTAACTGTGCAGCATTCATTTTGGCATATGTGTGGGCATGTGCATGTGTATGTGTATGTGTTTTACTTAGGTTTGTATGGTATATTTCTGTGTCATTATATTTAGGTATGTCTCTTGTAAACACCACGTACTTAGCATGTTTAATTCTTATTCAGTCTGAGTATTACATTCAATTGGATTACTAATAGTTTTTAATTTAAGCCTACCATCTTGCTCTTTGTTTTCTACTTCTTCTACAGGAGTAAATTTAAAAAACATCATTGGAAAGTATGGCTATTCAAAAACTATATTGACTGGAGGAGGTCAGTTGTGTCTTCAAGGGAGGATTTGACACACTTTTTCTTAAAAAGGAAGATAATTAACATTTTACACTTGCAGTTCATTCAGTTTCTAGTACAACTAGCCAACTCCACTATTGTAATCCAGAAAACTTCCTAAATAATGTGTAAATGAGTAGAAATGGCCATATTTCAATAAATTGTATTTACAAAAATAGGCAGCCAATTTATAGACTATAGTTTGTCTATTTTTATTCTGGAATCAATTACTTGTAACTTTATTTGTGCCACATATGTTTCTTGCATTTCCTTATATATTTTTGCTTTTTTGCTTCTCTTTGTTGGGTCTTAATATGTTCTGTTGAGTTGTTTTCTATTTCACTAATCTTCTCTTCTGTGTATCTAATCTTCATTAAAACAATTTATTGTGTACTTAATTTCAAGGTTTTTTTTGTTGCTACATTTTTTTTTTGTTTTTGAGATGGAATCTTAAAGATTGAATTGCTGAAGTACAATGGTGCAATCTCGGCTCACTGCAACCTCTGCGTCCCAAGATCAAGCAATTCTCCTGCCTCAGCCTCCTGAGTAGCTGGGATTACAGGCATATGCCACCACACCCAGCTAATTTTTTGTATTTTTAGTAGAGACACCGTTTCATCATGTTGGCCAGGCTGGCCTCAAACTCCTGACCTCAAGTGACCCACCTGTCTCGGCCTCCCAAAGTGCTGGGATTACAGGCGTGAACCACCAGCCTGTTGATACATTTTCTATTTAATGTTTCTATAGATTCCAATTCTCTGGTAAAGTGCTCCATCTAATCATCTCTTTTCTTTAACTTATTGGTCACGGTTATATTAAAGTCCACTTCTATTAACACTATCTGAGTGGTCTGTGGTTCTATTTTTAATTATCTTTTTTCTCCTTGGTTTTCAGTCATTTGTTTCTGTTTTCTAGTCTTCATGGTAGGCCAATAATTATGTGTAAAAAGATGTGGAGATAACTGAAGGCAGAATCTAATTTTATGTTTTTCCAGAGAGAATTTAATTTTGTTTTCTTGCAGACATTCACAATAGGGGCATGTCACCTTAATCCACATTGGGCTATAGCTAGATTAAAGATAGGTTTTAATCTTTTGTATATACCAGTTAATTTCTTTGTAAAACTTAATCCCAGAGTACAGATATTCAGGAGTTCTAACTGGAAGGGTGGCCCTCCTCCCCTGACAGGCTTTGGTTCCAAGTTAGTACCATCACCTTTGTGAGACTGTTAGAAACTCAGTTGTTTCCCAGCTTCTTAGCCAAACATTTCTGCTCTGCCCTGTAGCCTTTGGTTCTGCAGTTTAAGAATTGGAAAATGCCTCAAGCGGAAAAGCAGTTCAGATTATTGGCTCACCTCAATATGTTTTTCCTTTTTCTAAGATCTTCGTTTAATCCTTGATTGCCTTAGTAGCCCTGCTTTAGAGTCTTAGGTGAGACTTTTGAAAGATTTGCTCAAGATCTCAGCCCCCATCTTCACAGATTCTCAGCTTTATAGACTTTTGTTAAAATGGCTCAGGGGGAAGGATTTCACAGAACTCCCGGTCTATAACAATTCATTTATCTTATTTCTTGAATCTTGGTGGTAACTCAAATCATGACTACTTAAAGAGTGTTCCAATGTTTTCAAACAGGGGTGTGTGTGTGTGTGTGTGTGTGTGTGTGTGTGTGTGTGTGGTGTGGTTCTGTTCATTTGTAAATTATTCTCTTTGAAAGGATTAGTCTGTAATAAGCTATGCCAACTAAAACAGGCAACTCAATGTACTCATTTATAAATCTAAGACTTTAGATGTTACCAGTTCAAACTGAAATGTGAGCTTCATTTACAGTGATTGGAATTCTATCCTATTAGTAAAATCTAAATGTATATTAGTTAGTTTGAAAGCTTCTACTCTGCCTTCTTACATTGAATCAGCAGTATGTAAAACTAGATTTTTTTTTAAATGAGCAACTACTGAGCAGTGTTCTTACTAGTGTAGTATATTTCTTTACATAGAATTGTATATTGAAATTAGATCTTGTTAATTTAAATAATTCTTATTTATGGTGAAGAAAAATGAACCAAAATAATAATTAAAAAGTTATGTCTATTATTTCATATTTTTATTAAATTTCTTGAGAAAACCATAAATCTTCCATTTTTGTTTTTATTGTTTTTTTAAAAAAGTCTAAAGCCACATTTTAATTCCCTTAGCAACTCACTGAAAATTTATTCAGATGAAAGAGCATGACTAACAAGTCTCAATTCTCCTTACACCTAATGGATAGTGCCTTTTATGTGGTAGATGTACTGAATTTTTTGAAGGTTCTGTTGATTCTGGGTTTTTAGCCTTTCTTAATACTGTTATTATGCTCTATGCCCTTCTTGTATAATCATTGCTGGTTACATCACTCTCTTCTATTATTTAAGTGTCCTTTAAAAGTACAATTTTTTTATAATGGCTATAAATTATTAGATGCCTCCTTTTTTCCTCCATGAATCTTTTTTTATTAGATTGCAAAGTTTTCTTTTTGAAAGATTTTCACAGACTTGGGCTACTTCCCTCTCCAAGCCTGGTCATTGGATTATTTTTTCCTGAGAATATAGATATATGCCTATCTAAGCTTTAGTTCACCTGTCTGTCAAGGCTCAGCATTCCCTTATTTGGATATGAAAACTCTAAGATGAAAATGGTTCTTCTTTCTGAATCTGGCCTTACCCGGATAGCACCAAATATCTTTGTTGATTAGAATTAAGTATAAAAGAATAGCTCAGATTGTTTTATCTTTTCAAAAGAAAGAAAACTATCAATAAAGTAAATCAAGAATTTATCAGACAGACTTCTTTGAGCAGAGAGAGATTTTCAGCAAATATATAGCTTGTTGGATTAAACACAATCCTTAGTAAAACTTACCTCTTTAATAGTTGCTTGATTTTTATTAAATCACAAAATTTCAGCTTATGAAACAAACATGGGAAAATGCCAAAATAGAAAATCAAATCAGAAAAAAAAATAAAATGAAAAACAATTTTGCATACAAATGAGTAAATGGAGAAAAAGCATAAACATATGTGAGCTTTAATTAGATGCTGATTTTTTTCTAAGTCGCACATCTATGATCATTTATTTAAATAGAAAACTGAAAATACTTAATAAAGGATATTTAAAGAAAACAGAATGGGATTTAAGTAGAAGTTGACTTCAACTTTTGCACAAAAGCTGCAAAATCGAGAGGGAAAGAAGGAGAAACACTTACAAACTCAGCCAGCCAACTTATTCAAAAGATGTACCAAAATTGGGTACATAACTGCTTACTCTAGGCCATTGATGTCCGTACTTGCAGCTAGCCAACTCCAAGCAACAAAGGAATAAAGCTAGGTGGAACGGCTGCCTCCAGGAATTGGCCAGCTACCTCAAGACACATTCATATAGAACTTGGATGTTAATGGTTTTGGCAGTTAGCACAAAATTTTTAAATGAATATTTCTATTTCAGTTTGATCTCCAAGGGCCAGAACTTCTTCTAAAGAGGCTGCAAGCTGTGCTGCCTGCCATTCACTTCAGGGTACAATGGAACATGCCATCTTGAAGTTGGCCAGATCTGTTTTTTGGCTCTCCCTATGGACTGAATTTCACTGTATTTTCTTTTCCCTAAGCAAGTCTGGAACCAAGCTGAAATTCAAGAATAAACAAAGATGATCAAGTTTTTTTTTTATCAACATTTTTTACATAAGTTTCTGTATGGAAATGATAGCTAGCTGTTCCCCCAAACATTTGTGTTCCCCTTCCATGATGCCATTGTAGCTGAGAAGGGACTACGTAGCTCCACCAGTTGTTTAAAGTGATGTCATGGAACTAGTTCTCACCAATGCAATATAAGCAGAATGGCAGGTGCCACTTCTAACCTGAAGTGGCTAGGATATAGGTAGGCATATTCTACTGTGTGTCTTATCCCATCTTCTGGCTGAATGCTGTTGCCCAGGGAGACCTCAGTAGCCCCTTCTTGGAGATAGAGAGGTCTCCTCAGGCTGGGTTTCTAAATTAAGTACAGAAAAAAAATGTGTCCTCTCCCCCAACAAAGAGAAATGCATTAGACTTCTGTAGAGCAAGAAAAATTTAACCTGTTAAATTACTGAGGTTTGTTTTAATGATGTTTGTTCCAACAGCTAGCATTACTCTTATAGTGCCTTTGTCTCAGTCACACACACACACACACACACACACAGAGAGAGAGAGAGAGAGAGAGAGAGAGAGAGAGAGAGAGAGAGAGAGAGAGAGAGAGAGGACTCTTCAGCAATTTATCTCCAGGGTCTCTTAGACCAGCTGTAACAATCAGGATTCAACTGGAGAAGAAGAACCAGTAGGAGGTATATATACATACATATTCACATGCATACATAAGGGGTGTGTGTGCATGTAAAAGATTTCTTACAGGAATTTGACCTTGTGCAATTGTGAAAGTTAAGCAGTGTTGGTAAGGCTATTGTCTTTGCATCTGATGCTGGAGCTTGAAGTCTACTGCACAGACTGTCAGAGGAAAGATAGCTATAGAATGAGGGAAAATTGGGACAAGCTAGAGCCCACAAGCAGATGATGGGACCCACAAGGACACACTGGAACCAGCCTCAGTTCTCAATGCTTCCCAACTTGCACATGTGAGTATTCCACAGGGCACACCAGCACCCTTCATGATGGAGTGACATACAAGCTGGAGAAATTCAAAGCGGATCTGGGGACAGGTGAAGCAGTTTCTGTCCTGGCTGCCATCTCATGTCAAGGAGGTGCGACAGCAGATTAGCAACAATGTTGGTGAACTACGAAAGCATCTGATGACCTTGGCTCAAACTTTTGAGCGCTTAAAAGCAATATGGCTTCTAGTTCCTCTCTGCCCTCTGAAGCTTATACAGAATATTTCTCATGGATCACACGAAAAGAAAAATTTCAGAAAAAAAGGGAATGTTGTAAACACAGGTCAGTGTAGCCAAGTTGGCACATTACAAAGTCTCCATACTAGTTCACTGATTAAATAACCAGCCAATTTTTGTTCTTTAAAAGGTTACTACTCATTTATTAAATGTGCATTCAATTCTACTTATTTTCTAGCATTTAGGAAAGTACTAGAAATAAAAGTTAAAATGTGAGTAAATATAGCTTGAATCTTTAGCAATGCACCATCTCTTGGAACTAACAAACCTACAAACAGAAAAGTATAATATAATACTGTCATTGCAATGGTACCGCTATTCAAAGGGCATTGTATGAACACTGTCTGAGGAGGAGCAGTGCAGGGTATTGATGTTAACAATTACACCAGACTGCTCTGCCCACACCTACATTTACAAATACCTGGGAAACATCCTACTGCCCCAATACCACCTTCCAAGTCAGCTTTTTGCTGTCAGCAACATCCCCTACTGCCTTCCTAAGGTGTTAGATTGGCAGTCATAAGTGTAGAAAGAAACAGGGAGCCTCATTTTAGCTTCAGAAGCCAGAGTTGAGGCTAAAAGCAGTCACCAGGAGAAAACAATGTCAATTGTTTTATTTTAAATGTAACGTAATATATAGGAGAGGAAAACAAAGAGTAAACAAAGATTGGTAGACACTGCATAAAGTCATTTTTCATATACACTTCACCAGGACTACACCATGGTAGTACTACAAGCATGCAACTGACAAGAAATGAGAACTCATCTGTCTTTCTAACTCTGATGAGTAAATTCTGTATAGGTCCATCACCAAGGCATGGAACATACAAAGTGTTTTTCTCAAATTGTTGAAGGCGTTTCACCAGCATTCTCTAATTAAGCGACATATATCAAGAAAATAAAAAGCTAATTATTACAGCTTTCACTTCTCAAGTGGGAAAACCAAAGGAAAAGACACATTTATTCAAGGTCAGGAAGAATTTATGACAAAGCAAGAAACGGGCCATATCTCTGACTCTTTTTCAGGATCCACATTGCTAATCTCGATCACTGGAGAGTAACTGAAAGGCATTGTATAGTTCAGAGTACTTGTGTTGCACTTGAATTTAGTTGTTATTGCCCCCATTCTCCCCCACCTCAGGTATGACTGATTTTGTTTATTCCAACTTGTTTAAACAAAGTGAAACATTATTTCCTGAGGACCCAAGTACGAGAGGTGTAATTTTGTGGGTCCCAGAATGAATTAAGCCTGAAAGTGACCCAGGGTCTGGGAATCTTAAATCTTCAATTCACTGCAGTGTCAGAGGGATTTTGCCTGTGATACTAGAAATTTTTTAAATCGAAAATACAGAAGATTAGTGATGAAGATGTATTCTTTCACTAAGTGCTTAATAGTGCACAAGGAAGGAGAATGGCCATAACTTATTATCCAAACTGGGATACTGTGAAAATGAAAGAGTCCTAGTAGTTATTATGCCCAGAAATAAGTGGAAACCAGCACTCCCTGGACAAACTGAGGCAAACCTTGTCAATCTATACCTCCCACATATTTAGTGATGATTGCAATATATCCTTTCATTAACCAATGTGTGGAGATGTTCGACACCATTGGTCAAATACCCACATCATGCATTACTAGTTTGTCTCCATACGCTCACTGGCTTCTTGCCCCTCACTCCAGAGATTTAAATTTAGATAGTGTATTAGTTTCCTAGAGATGCTGTAACAAAATACTATTGTACAAATTAGGTGGCTTTAAACAGCAGTAATGTATTCTTTCCCAGTTCTGGAGGCCAGATGTCTGAAATCAAGCTATTAGCAGAGCCATTCTCTCCCTGAAGGCTGTAGGGGAGAACTTGTTCCTTGCCTTTCTCTTAGCTTCTGGTATTGCTAGAAATCCTTGGTATTCATGGCTAAGAAAGCATCATGCCAATCTCTGCCTCTATTGTCATGTGGTATTCTCCTTGAGTGACCCTTTCTGCCTCTTTCCTCCTCTTATTTATTATGTATTTGTTTGTTTGTTTATTTATTTATTTATTTTTGAGACTGAGTTTCACTCTTGTCACCCAGGCTGGAGTGCAATGGTGGCTCACTGCAACCTCTGCCTCCCAGGTTCAACTGATTCTTCTGCCTCAGCCTCCCAAGTAGCTGGGATTACAAGCGCCCACCACCATGCCTGGCTAAGTTTTGTATTTTTAGTAGACATGGGGTTTCACCATGTTGGCCAGGCTAGCCTCAAACTCACGACCTCAGGTGATCCGCCCGCCTCAGCCTCCCAAAGTGCTAGGATTACAGGCATGAGCCACCACGCCCAGGCCTTTTCTCCTCTTCTGATAAGGACATTAGTCATACTGAATTAGGTCCCACCCTAATGACCTTATCTTAACTTGAGTGCATTTGCAAAGTTTACTTCCAAAGCAGGTCACATTCACAGGTACCTGGGTTTAGGACTTCAGCATATCTTTTTGGGATACACACTTTAACCCATAACGGACAGCTGTGGTATTGAGAAGCACATATTTAGAGTGAAAAAACAGTATCCCAGATATTATAGCAATGGCATGCTTGCCTCTGGAGTGTACTTTTCAGTCCTTACTATTATTGCCCTTTCTTGAACAAATGAACCTCTAGAGAGGCCAGAAACAAGTTATTGAAAGGGGACACTGGAGAACGGCAGAGCACAGAGGAGGTTATTCCACAACACAATTCAATCCATCATAGAACAAATAGTGTTTAAGAATGCAAAATGCCTTCAAATAAAGGCATATGCCTTTATTGAAGAATATTCTCCACCCCGCCCTTGAATAGAGAGCCTCAGAAAATTCAGGCAACAAAACTTTTTAAATATTTCTTAGTTTCTGTGGTAGAAAAAAAAAAATGCCACACCTGTTTTAAAATAGCTCCTGGAAAGGCTAGTGATCAGATGCTGGTGGCTGTGAGCTCCGGTGTTGCAAGAGGAGCACGTGTCCCTGCATTCACCTGCACAACGCACAGCTAAATATATTCGCGGATGTATTTGATTCATTATTCATGTGATTTCTTTCAAAAAGCAACACTGCCATTTAATGCTCATCAGATTTACTTCCTCCTTGCCACATTCTTTTTTCTTTAGACAAACACCGAGAGAAATCATTACCATGTCTTCCTGAGGTATTGTTAGCAGCTCCATGCTGTCATTTCACAGAAATAAGTTATTTGTTACCCAGAAATAAGTTAATTGTTAGCTGGAATGAAGTATATGATGTGATACAAAATCGGAGCTGAATTGTTATCTGGAAAAGCAAAAATGAATGAGGGAGAAAATATTCCTGCCTTCAAGGATTGTGTTTATATTTATAGAAGTTTCACATTTTATTGTTCAAGTTTATTCCACCAAGACCCTTTAGGTTTTGTTCCTGTAACTCATAGAATAGTGCATTTCAAGACCATTTGTTTATTGACGAAGAGTGACATATAGAAACCTTTCTCTCAAATGCCATTATTAAAATACCAGGGTGTGAGACCATTGTAGATTCATGATATTTTATTGGGAAAGCCAGTTATTATTATAAGCTCCATATATTCAACTATTATTCCATAATATTTTTAGGTCTCATTGAAATGGAATCCTCTTTCTTTTGTCCAGAAGACATGCATCACACTTCCAAAGGATTTGTTGACTTAATGCAAATGGGTACTGTATACTGCATGGTGATGTCTGCAAGATGCATGCCTTCAACATCAATGGGCTTCTTGCCTTCATGCAGTGAGAAGATTATATTTTATCCTACATTTTCACGTGCTTCCTTGCAGACATCCAAGAGATCGATTAAGAACATTTCAAATGGCCGGGTGCGGTGGCTCACGCCTGTAATCCCAGCACTTTGGGAGGTGGATGTGGACGGATCACCTGAGGTCAGGAGTTGGAGACCAGCCAGGTCAAGATGGTGAAACCCCGTCTCTATTAAAAATACAAAAATTCACCTGGCACGGTGGCTCAAGCCTGTAATCCCAGCACTTTGGGAGGCCAAGGTGGGCGGATCACGAGGTCAGGAGATCGAGACCACCCTGGTTAGCACGGTGAAACCCCGTCTCTACTAAAAATACAAAAAATTAGCCGGGCATGGTGGCGGGCGCCTGTAGTTCCAGCTACTCTGGAGGCTGAGGCAGGAGAATGGTGTGAACCCGGGAGGCGGAGCTCACAGTGAGCCAAGATCGTACCACAGCACTCTGGCCTGGGCAAAAGAGCGAGACTCCGTCTCAAAAAAAACAAAAAACAAAAAACAAAAATTAGCTGGGCATGGTGGTGGGCACCCGTAATCCCAGCTACTCTGGAGGCTGAGGCAGGAGAATCACTTGAACCTGGCAGGCAGAGGTTGCAGTGAGCCGAGATGGTGCCACTGAACTCCAGCGTGGACAACAGAGTGAGACTCTATCTCAAAAAAAAAAAAAAAAAAAAAAAAAAGAACATTTCAAATTAAGGGATGGGGCACATATGAATTATTATAAATTTGAAAAAGGAAAATTTAGGGAATCTGATTAATAATAGAAACAATGATGTGGTTTCAGGTACTGCCATGACAAGTAAAACGACAGTAATGACCTAGGCTAAAATGGAATGCCTAAAAATTGCAACAGACATTAATCTTTAAAAATCATCAAATGTCATGTATTGTACTTAATTCATATTACAATTCCTTTACTCCTAAATAGCTTGGCTCTTGTTGCAAAATGTGTATCTCATATTTTTTAAAATTATACTTTAAGTTCTGGGTTACATGTGCAGAAGGTGCAGGTTTGTTACATAGGTATACACGTGCCATGGTGGTTTGCTGCACCCATCAACCCGTCACCTACATTAGGTATTTCTCCTAATGCTATCCCTCCTCTAGCCCTCTCAACTCCCGACAGGCCCCAATGTGTGATGTTCCCCTCCCTGTGTCCATGTGTTCTCATTGTTCAACTCTCACTTATGAGTGAGAACATACGGTGTTTGGTTTTCTGATCTTGTGATAGTTTGCCAAGAAAGATGGTTTCCAACTTCATCCATGTCCCTGCAAAGGACATAGACTCATCCTTTTGTATGGCTGCATAGTATTCCATGGTGTATATGTGCCACATTTTCTTTACCCAGTCCATCATTGCCAGTCTAATTGCCTGCTATACATGACCATCCTGACAACCCTTCAAATGCTTCATATCCAAAGCTAAGCCCATCCTCTTCACTCACAACACCCAGCACCTAATATAATCCTTTGTGAAATAATGCAATAAATGTCTATTTAATTGAATATATATTTTTATAGAATGTAAACAATTATATACCATTTAAATACAATTGATTTTTGAAGCATATTTGTGCAAGCTTCGACTAGTGGCTTGTAATTTTTAAAGGCATGAAGAGGTTTTACCATTGAGCAGCATTGAGTGACAAGAGCCTAAGGCGTTTCTGGTTCTTTTCATTATTTCTCAAATATGTAATTTTCAGAGCCTTTAACAGCACAGCTGTCCCTCTCTGGCCAAAGTCTGTCTTGTTAATGTTCTTTTTTAAAATATGGCTCCAAGATTGTTGGAATGAATTCAGGACACTCATAACTATGTAAGTTTTGTTGACACAGCTAAACCTAATAACAATTTCAACCTGCAGGTGGCTTTTTGCTTAAATTTTAAGTAATAGCTGGAATAGCATGGACCTTCTTATTACCCATGTGTGAAGTGTGTGTGTGTGTGTGTGTGTGTGTCTGTAGGGGGTATGTGAATGAAATAAAAAGTGAAGGAAGAACAAGAAAGTGAATTTGCTTCTTGTATGTTACCTGTCCCAAAACAACCTTCCATGATAATATACGAGCCTTTGAAAATGGATCTATTGTTTTGTGAAAACAGATTTGGAAGTAAAATAAGTCTTTCTTTTAGCTGTATAAATGCTCTTCTATAATGCAATGATCAAGCAACAGATGGACAAGCACATAAACACTAAATAAGAAATATGTGCTAAATCCATGTCCCTGCATTTATTCATGAGCCTATGAAACTTGAAGACTCATGTGCAGATATGCATATTTATGAAGCTCAAAACAATGCTATAGTATTATTTCCTAACCTAAAGGCCTCTTCATTTTATGTGTGCATAAAATGACTATAATTTTGAGAGGCAATATTTGATGGGTGAAAGAGAAGGGCCCCAATGTCATACAGATACATCTAGAATCATGAAGTTAAAAGTGAATGCAAGACCTTATTTGACTGTTGGACATTACTCAGTTCTGCACTATTTGCCTTATTGAAGAGTTTAATGACTTCGAGTGGTCTGATAAGTCCCCACTAAAGGCCACCAAAGGCAGTATTGCCCATGTGAGAATCTGAGTCCAAGCTAATGCAGCAATAATCAGGTGTTATATTATCTCACAGTAACTCAGTGGGGTGAGATAAAAGTTGAACTGATTTCTCATATTGAATATCCAAATAAAAGTGACAGCAATTAACATTAAAGTGTTCCTATGCACCGGGCATTGTTCAAAGCACTTTACATGTATATTAATTCATTTTAATCACATAATAACCCATAGAGATGGGCAATTCTATTATTCTCTTTATATGGATGAGGAAATTTGGGCACCCAGCAGACGCATTGCCCAATTTCAATGGGCAATTGAAACTGTGGAGCCCAATTTCAAATTTAGGCAAAACTTCCTAGGCAAATTTCCCAATTTCCAATTGTGGAAAGAGTGGAGCCCAATTTCAAATTTAGGCAAAAAATTTCCAGAGTCAACATTTAACTTTTTTGTTGTGTTGCCTCTTTTCCAAATAAGTCCAGCCAGCATTTTAATGTAGTGCAATGCTATACATATTTAATTTTCTCATGAATCCATTCATACACTCTTTTATCTTCATAGCTCTGTTTAAAACTTTAACATGTTAGCATTCACTATCTGAAAAGTTGAAAGCACGGGATGCCAATATTTCATTTTGCCCCAAACTCCCCTACCTCACAAAGTGTTTCAAGGAAAATATCTCAAATTTTCTGGGAATTGCCTCATGATCTCAATCCATGGATCTTAAACTACAGCAGCACTTTTGTAGCATGACTCAGTCACTAGGGCCACAGATTATTCCTGGGATGGGTGCATGATTTACACTGAGCCATGTGATCCTTGCTTTGAGAATTTGAGGACTGGGACTCTCCCTGGGTTCTTCAATGATGACATATAATATGTAGATTCTTTTTAAAAGTTATACTCCACTATGTGGACTTGGGGGCAGCACAAGGTAAGAAAAAAGTACATTTACATTCACAGGGAAAAGCCCAAACAAAAGATATAAAAGGAAGTTTTCCCAAGTGTCCACAAGGGCTCCATTTTTGTGGCCCATTTCTGAAGCCCAGTGGACTTTATACCCTCTGGATTCTATTACACGCTTTGGTGTTTATATACATTTCGGGATATCTTTCTGATGTCCTTTCTCTTTTTGCTTCAGCTGGTTCCTATTGTGTTTCTATTACTTGCAACAAAAGAATCCCAGCTAGTTTGTAGAAAGATGCCATTATATTTAGAAAGGTTTTCTATATTTATGATATTTGTTAAGTAGATTTGGAAAGCACTTTTTAAAAAGTTTTGCTGAAGCATTTGTCAAACACTTTACCAGCTAGATGAATCTCTGACAATTAACCCTCTAAAGGGAAAGATGAGAAATAATAGTCTGATTTTACCAGGCCATCAATGAGCTGAGTCCTTTATAGCCTTGTGCCCCTGAGGACATACAGTTTTTTTCATGTTTATTACTTAGGGTCATGAAATAGAATACTGAATGTACCATGTTTATTGTTGATCTCTTTATTTCCAGCTCCTGAGTCTAATGTCTCCTGATCTGGATATCTTTCCAGCCAGGAGGTTGGCTTCTTGACAGACAGAGGCTCTGAGACACTGGATGTCAGCCAGGCCTAAGAGGGGCAGAGTAATAAAACTGGAAGACAAATGAAAGGCCCTGCCCACCTCCACATCTTTCTCTCAGATGCCTTTCCGAGGGAGTGCTTTAGTGAGAAAACGGAAAAAAGTAAGACCTCTAAACCATTCCACCACTGACCAACTGTTCTGGTCAAATAGCAAGTCAAGAATAAAATGCTTGACATAGAATAAAAATGCTATCACTCAAATAAGCAGTGATTAACATGGTACATTGACTGAGTGGTTCAAAATTAAATCTGAGCCAACACTGTGGCATCAGTGCAGCCTGTATTTTACTTAACTGGACTATTCTCAAGATAGGAGTGGTGCTTTATTATCAGGAGTCAGGTCGCTGGGATGTAACACTGGTATTTCATTTAGTGAGAATATTTACTCCATAATAGCTAATGAGTGCTCGGTGTTTGATACAAAAAAAAAGAAGAGAAAAAATTATCATGGCTAATCTAAGTTAATTTTCAAAAGTCATCATTGCAATTACAATTTGGCTGAACAGTAAGTTGTTCTCTCAAATATTTGAGAAAAATCATTTGCTACTCAATTTTATAGATCCTGCCTATTTTTCTCAGGGCTCCTATATTCCTGGTCATAGATGCAGATTCAGAGTTTATCTACTGGGCGCTGACTATACATTTACAGGAAAAATATGATGGAAAGGTTTTTGAAATCAGAACAGTTTTGTTGAAAACTCAATAAATTTTATTTGGCTCTTCACTTGTTTGGGTCATGAACAAGTAATAACCTGGGATTAATTTTCCCACTACTGGGATAACACACATTTTATTTCTTCATTCCTAACAGCTTTAGTCATGGAGTCAGAAGAATGTTTCCATGTTGAGGTGACCTGCATTTCCACTGTGTTGGGGCAAGGGATTCTCCAGGGTTCTCATGGACCAGAGGGAGAGAAAGTCTTTTCCATGTTAGAGGAATTCATCATGAGCCTATTCCAAATGACTGCATAATGAGCAGAGAAACAAAAGCAGCCAGAACCCAGGGGACAAAAAGAGTCCTAAGGGCCTCTCAGAAATAGAGATGCTTTCACTTGAGTCAAGAGAGCTGCAGGACAGAGGGCCCAGCAGAGTCCTCTAAAGAGCCAAATAAAGTGCCCCCAAGAGAGTCACCTGTCCACTGGCCCCAACAGCACAGACCTATGTATAACATTAGTTCCAGCAAGACCTTCCCTGCATAGTTATCGCTCCTCCCTCTCCAACTGCAACACGTGAAGTGTTAGAAATTGGGTAGTCAGCCAGGGAATGGAAGAAGAGTACGATGCAGCAGAAAAGTTATCACAACTACATTTTCCACTGAAGTCTTCTACCCCAAAGCAGAGGCTTTGAGAAGACTTGAAATTATATCACATTGAGAATATTGGTTATTATCTGGTAATAGGCCACCTAATTTCTGAATGAGAATATGTTTACAACTTAAAGTGATTTAGGTAGTACTCAATTACCTAGCAATGAATAGAAAAGTCAGGGGTCTGTGAAAATTCCAGCTGGGGGCTGGGAATGAATATGTTTTATGCAATGAAAATGGGAGAACTCCTTCTCCAAAAAAAAAAAAAAAAAAAATGTTGATTTCAAGTGTTTCCTGAGCTTTTCCTGTTCACTAACTTGGTAGAATAATTATTATTTTCCAGGCAATGTGCTAAATGATTTATGTGTATTATTTTATCTTAATACAACACACTTACAAATTAGGTATAATTGTCTTTACTTTGCAAGTGAGACAAATGAAGCTTGCAGAATTTCAGTATTTTGCTCAAGGTCACAGATCTGGTAAGCAGAGGAGCTGGGATAATAGTCAGGTCTGTCTGATTCAAAGTCCATGTTCTTAACTCCTGTACTTTCAACCACTACCATGTACTGTTGGCAGAAACTATTCATAATTCATAATTCAGTAAAAAGCTTTGAGAGAAAGATATTTTATGAAACAGCATGCAAAACATCCATTTTGTAAGTAAAATATATATATTTCTATATATTTACATAAATGTGTGTGTATTACTATGCGTGAAATATTTTTAAATTGTGGATAAAATCTATAATTTTTAATTGGTGGTGGGAGGACAGTTCCTTCTACTTACTTGCCTTTGCTTCTACATTTTTTTACTATATATTGCTTTCCTAGCAAGAAAAGTAAGCATTTATTTTTTGTTAGTTAAAAAAATATTTTCTCTGTCTTGTGTTTTATTTCCTTAGGCTTAATTATGTGACTGGTGTGGAATATTTCTATCACTGAACTTGGTTTTAATTGGTAAATTCTGCCTTCCCAGGCAGTTCACCTCCCCCAGGTCTGTATGTTTGTTTACAGTGCAGGTAGCTCTCAAAATAAATTCTTACTGGTTAAGGATGACAGGTTTCTCTTTCAGGCAAGAATATCTAATCATTACAGAATGTATTGCAGAAAATCTACACATTAATTATGCTGTATTAAAATATTACTATTAAAACGACAACAAAACTGCATGACTTTATTTACGATACATTCAGAAAAGGCAAAACCAGAAGAATAGAAAAGAGGTCAAGGTACAGTGGTGTGCACCTATAGTCCCAGCTACTCCGGAGGCTGAGGCAGGAAGACTGTTTGCGGCCAGGAGTTCAAGGCCAGGCTAAGCAACATAGTGAGACCCCGTCTCTATAAAAGAAAAAAGAAAGAAAGAAATCAGTGATTGGCAGGGTCTAAGGGTGGAGGAGAGAGGTTGACTACAAATAGGAAGGCGGTAATTTTTAAGGGGGTAACTACTATATGGTAGTTACAAAACTGTGTTTGTCAAAACTTGCAGAACTAGACACTGAGGACCCTTGGTCTGGGCCAGCTGATACTTATCAAACAAGGTTTCAGGAACTTTGCATGAGACTTATAGATTTTCCTGTGCCCTGGATCCTTAGTTATCTGAGTTCTGGATGTTTCTTCTCTTTCTTGAGTCCATGTCCTCATATTTTAAACACTAACATAGTTTCTTCTGAATATTTGTACTATCTTGCTCTCTCCAGTCCTCATGGGCTTTAAAACTTTGGTCCTGGAAATGTGTGGTCAGCCTCCCTTGAATTCTGTCTGTCCTATGACCAGAGCATCCCAGGTTTCCCAGTCAAGTCCCAGCTAATTCTTCATTTCTGGGCTGACCTACCAAGGCTTCTCATCGTACCACCTATGCCCTAAGAACAGCTTCAGCCCACTGAGATTTTCTGTGGGCTAAGACCTGTGCTAGCCACATTGGAAAGGAGATATTGTCATTGTTATTGTATATCTGAGGAAGCTGAGGCTTGGAGATCAATCTTTGTATGTGACAATGGCTTTTTGGATGAATAAAACTCAGAGGACTCCAAGAGTCTTGCAATATTTCCAACCCAATCCAACACTAGGCAAAACAAACCATCAAATAGGAAATCCAGAATTTAGGGCCCCCTATCAAAGTGAAGTCAGTATTTTTACTTGTTGTACAAACTTATTAGTCAGAATTAAAGAAACCTTTGGATTATTACAGAATAGTCATTCAACCTCTCTGGCCTTGCATAATCACTAAAGAATAAATAGTCACATAAACCTCAAGAACTCCTGGCATCAACTAGACATTTTTAAAAGTGTTTTTATGGAGAACTATAAAGGTAGTTAATTATTTTCTATTTGGAAAGATTTTTCATTTAGATTGAGCTGCAATCATACTTAGACCCAATAGATTTGCCTTACTCATTTCTGAGTTCTCACAGCCCATTCGATTTTTCATTTATTTACTATGTGTTTATGTAATGCTTATGATGTATCATGAGCTATACTGGGGCTAGACAGGCATTGGTGAGAAAAACAGACATAAGTATAACTGTCTTGACACTTACATTGAGTAGAGGAGAGAGACAATAAATAATTTTGGATCATTAAAAATGGCTATTGAAACATAACCAAGGTACTTTACCAGAGATAATGGGTTAATGAAAGAAAGTAGAAATTAAAGGAGCATTGGTACTTTAGATAGGATTGTCAAGGGAGGTATCTCCAAGGAGGAGGCATTTAAATTGAGGCTAGAAAAGTGGGAAAGATCCTGTCATGACATGCGAAGCATTAGGGGGCAGAGAAAGAGTGATTCCAGCCTAGGAGGTCAGTGAATATAAAAATACTGCAGCGGCCAAGATTTTGATGAGTTTCAGGAGCAGTCAGACCGGTGCTGTGATTACGATAGAACAAGCATGTGGGAATATGGCCTGAGGTGAGGCTTGGAGGAACATGACCTTATGGATCATGGGTAAGAGTTTGAATTTATAATCAAGTGTTTTGGGAATTTGAAAATGGATTTATAATGGTTAATTTTGTGTGTCAATTGACTGGGCCACAGGATGCCCAGCTATCTGGTAAACATTATTCAGAGTGTTTCTATGAGGGTGTTTTTGAATGAGATTAACATTTAATTGGTAGACTAATTAAGCAGATTGCTCTCCCTAATGTGGGTGGGCCTCATCCAATCAGTTGAAGCCCTGAATAGAGCGAAAAGCCTGACCCTTCCCCAAGTAAAAGAGGATTCTTTCTTCCTAATGGCATTTAAGTTGGGACACTGGCTTTTTCCTGCTTTCAGACTTGAACTGAAACCTTGGCTCTTCATGGGTCTGGAGCCTGCTCAGCTTCAAACTATTAACAGAACTACACAACCAGCTGTCCTGATTCTCAGACTTTCAGAACTAATCTATTGGCTCTCTTGGGTCTCCAGTCCTCTCATTCACTCTGCAGATCTTAGGACTTGACAGCCTCCATAATTGTGGGAGCTGACTACTTATAAGAAATCTATCTATCTATCTATCTATCTATCTATCTATCTATCTATCTATCATCTATCTATCTATCTATCTATCTATCTATCTATCTATCTTTATACACAAACAGAATCCCTTGATTCTGTTTCTCTGGAGAACTCTGACAAATACAGCATTGAACATTTGAAGGTTTTTTTAAAGGAGAAAATTACATAATTCAATTTTATTTTAAGAACATCTCTGATTACATTGTGGAGAATAGGTGATAGAGAGAGGTTGTGGTAAGTATATTACTGTTTTTAAATACTTCTTGGCCTTTGTTGTAAAAAGATACACCTCCTACCTATTAGCATCAATCGTGGCCCTCTGACCTACCTTGGCCAATAAAATATAAGCAGAATAACTGATGTCACACGGGAGTGGCAGTGCAAAGAGCCATCATGGTGTCTTGCCATTATTCTTTCTCCCTTGGCCATGAGAGCAGTGCAACTCAAACAGGAGCTGCTCCTTCAGCCAAGTCCTTCAGTAAAGATATAACATAGAATACAGCCAGAGCCAACATGTAAAGTGTGCAAACAACAAAAGCTTACCAAAATAAGGCACTGAGAAGTAGGGTTTGCTTGTTACCATAGCATAAGCCAAAGTATGCTGACTGATAACAGAGCAGGTAGAATACTGTTGCATTTGTCCAGGTGAAAGAAACTGGTTGTTTAAACAAGAATAGCAGCAGTAAAGATAATGATGAGTAGAGAAACCTGAGATAGTTTGCATATTGTGATGATTAATTTTATGTGTCAACTTGGCTAGGCTATCATGCTCATTTGTTTGGTCAAATACTTGCACAGGTATTGCTGTGAAGGTATTTGTGGATGTGTAATTTACACATCTATAATCAGTTAGCCTGAAGTCAAGCAAATTACCCTGCATAATGTAGATGGGACTCACATGGTCAGTGGAAGGTCTTAAGAGCAAAAATCGGAGGTTTCCTAGAGAAAAAAGAATTTTGCCTCAAGATTGTAACATATAAATCCTGCCTAAATTTCTAGCCTCCTAATCTACCCTATGGATTTTAGACTGACCAGCCTCCATAATCATGTGAGTCAATACCTTAAAATAAATCTCAGTCTCTCTCTCTCATTCTCCCTCCAAAAAAGAGAACCAATAGGATATATATGTTCTCTGGAAAATCCAGACTGATAATACGAAGAACTGACTTACAGAGCTGGGGGTGGATTTGATGTAGGCGGGTGTCTATGTCTCTAGGTTTCTGTCTTGTGCACCTCTGTGGGTGGGTACTTAACACATGGTACATGTCAATGAATAGTATTTGCATTGGGTGGAATAAAATTGAATCTCTAATTCTAGAATAGCCTCAAACATTTTTGCTGCTCAAACTCTTAAACATTGCTTAAGAGAAGATTTGACAGCCAAAGGAATTTTATTGATAAAAATAAAAATGGCAACAAAGTATTATTGGTCTTTCTGAGCCTTATGGAAAATAAAGTCTGTGCCAGAACTGTGAGCACCACAAGAAAGCCTTGTGAAATAAAGCAGTTCCTTGAAATGGATATTGATTTTTCACATTATTTAGTAATACACATCAAGAGCTATTCATGGCATCCTAGTCACCTTAAAATGCTACTTTTAAGATGGTAAAGGTGGAAGAAAGCCTCCAGGATGTGCTGAGTTTCAGAAACTTGCTACAAAACAGTTGCATCCTCTCTGTACTTTGTCCCCTCATACCATCAGCCAGGCAGGCCAGAAAGCCAAGGAAAGCCAACGCCTGAAAAGATGATTTACAGCCCTTCGTGGCTGAGGGAATAACACATAAAGAACTCTTTAAAGCTCTCCCACTAGGACGATCCTTCACTATAAACACCAGGAGCACACAGAGGGTATAAAGCAGCCCCCATGCAATCACAGTGCAAAACACCGTAGGTCTAACCATGAGGCCAGTATAAAAGGGCAGCAGGAAACCCTGGACAGAAAATATTAGGGCTCAAAAATTGTATGCTACCCATGCACTTCTATCTGAGAGTGACATTTCTGCTATGTTGAAGATAGAAGGCCACATGTACTATCAAATTGATTAGTTCAATGCAGTCCAATTTTCACAGGCAAAGGCAACACAAAGCTTTTCTTGAAAGGTGTACCTATATTTACAATAGTAAATATTTATGATAACAATAATTAGAGACTAATTGTTCAACTTTACTCCAGCTTCTCCTGCTAATTTTTTGTTGTCATTGTTGCCTTAAATCTTTTTAAAAAGTAAGGCTCTCTTGTAGCATCCACTTGACCTTTTTTTTTTTTTTTTTCACTGAGCTTCAGTAGTTACGTGTTCTTGTTTTGACAGTTCAGCAGCTCCCAGGAACCTTATCAGCAGAATTGTACTGGGACCCATTTGTTGTACTCACTTCTGCCAGTAGAAAGGGTTATTTATTATTTCAATGAACGGAGATTTTCATTTTTGGCTTTCTTTTAAAATGTGATGTCCAAGAATACTAGGCTTTTTGAAAAAAAAAAAAAAAAAGGTAAATTTGATAGTGGGGACTAGCTGTAGGTTACTGGCCCCTCCTTGATCTACAGAGATTCCCTTTTTCTTTTCCCCCATCCCAATTTAGCATGCAGTTTTTTTCTTTTCCTTTTAGACTTTTATAGTTTCTCCCACAGGGCTAGAACTGCACTGCTGACCAATCTCAGAATACCAATGCATGAACAAAAAAAAACAGTGGCAGAGACTAACCATAACAGCATCCAATTTATCTTTCTTTTCCTGACAGTTTCGAGATTCAATAGAAAACAATATAGAAAGAGGAATTTAAATTCCCCCTCCTCACCCTATAGCTGGAAATAACTCAGGGAAGTTCAATAGTAGAAACTGAGAATCACCAAGGAAAGACTATATGTGGGATTTTAGATTGTTAGGATGCCATTTCTCTTGCCTCTGTGGACTCTTCTTTCCCACAGTGTCTCCTAGGTTCCCAGGAGATAGGATTCAGGGAAAACCTCAGGCAAAAGGACTCTGTGCAATGCTAATGCTACTCCACAAAATCTCCAGGTATTTTCAGAGCCTGAAAAAAAAATATTAATAGAAAAGTAAAATCTTCAAAACTTCAAAACTCTCTTTTCCCCAGGGCTCTACTCCCTCCCACATTCCACACCCTCCAAGTTCCAAACACTCTCCTGAGCAGAGGACCCTCTTCCCCTCAGATACAGGGTCCCAGTTGCCACCTAGTAGAGAAGCTTGAGTAAGCGTTTGGAGAAGGAGAACTTAGCTCTTTTATCCTTCTGTAGATGACTCCACTGCTACGCTGACCTGCTCTCACGTCATTGAACAGGGGTCTTATGTTTTCAGTGGGTTCCCCCCACTGAAAGGGTTGCATATTGGATGAAATAGTATTTAAACAGTTTCTTGGCTAACGTCATAGGGTTGAAGCCCACCTCAGTAGTTTGGGGTGGATTCTGTTTCTATTCCCATCTTGTTACACAGATTCATCTGCATCCCACACAGGGAAGGAGCTAGCAGGAAGAGGCCCCTTATCTCTTCTGCCTCTTTGTTGTGAGTAGGCATGCACTTTGAGAATACATTTCAAGTGGGCAGCTCAGCCACCATAAACTTAGAGGCTTTCATCCATTTCCTCTGTTCCAAAGGAAATATTAAATTGACATGTAAAATACAATCCTGAGCAAGGCAAGCAGGAAGATAAAGGGAGGGTGAAAAGAGAATTGTTGAGCATCAATTCTCTTTCAATTTTGCCATTACCTTCAAATATATTATCTCGTTAATCTAAAAATCATCTTGTAGACCAGGTATTAATATTCCAGGTGCGGTGGCTCATGCCTGTAATCCCAGAACTTTGGGAGGCTGAGGTGGGCGGATCACGAGTTCAGGAGATCGAGACCACCAGGCTAACATGGTGAAACCCCGTCTCTACTAAAACATACAAAAAGTTAGTTGGGTGTGGTGACACTGCCTGTTGTCCCAGCTACTCGGGAGGCTGAGGCAGGAGAATCGCTTGAACCTGGGAGACGGAGGTTGCAATGAGCTGAGACTGCACTACTGCACTCCAGCCTGGGCGACAGAGGGAGACTCTGTCTCGAAAAAAAAAAAAAAAAAATTCCCAATTTTTATATATGAGTAAAACTTAAGCTGACTGGTTATTTCCCTAAATTTAACTCAATGCCATGTGAATGATAGGATTTATTCACAAATATCCATTGTTTCTGACCAAACACAATATCTTCCAAAAACGAGATAAAACAAAGGAGCACGGGAGTTTATAAAAGAAGGAGAAATTAACAGAGTCATTTTGCTGGCAATGTAGGCAACTCTTCAAGTGATTTCATAGGATCTGGCAATGCACAGATGATGTCCGTGGACAAAATTCCTCCATTTTGATATAATCTCTTTATCTTAAAAATGATTCCTGTTTTTATGAATAAAAATCATAGAAAAGAGTACACTTTAAACAAGTTTTCATCAGTTATACTTTCAGTGAAGGAATCCCCCATCCTCTGAAGAAGACAAGCTACTTTTAATTTCCTCTAAAGCTGTGAAAACCTGAAACATTTGGAACTTTTCTGCCAGAACTGTCTTTGGGGCCGATTTATCAACCACACAAGGGTATCTGTTTCATTACATGTATTCACATATTTTTAAACCCATTTGTTTATCTACTTCTTGTATTGGGCTCTAAATAACTTTTAATGATTTCCAAAAGTAGAATTCAGTATGAAAGGATAAAGATTGGCTACTTTGGAAAGAAAATTTTAAAAATTTATGTTAGATTCTGAAGACAATGCCAAACACATTTTGTGTAAAAGCAAAAAAGGGTGAAATAAGTCAACGACTTCCAAGAAGTTTATTTTGAAGGGGCCCAAACTTCTCTGAATGCAAAAGTGAGGATATGTTTGTGATCATTTTCATTACATTAAGAATAGCATTTACTATTTATAGCATACAATTAAAGAAAGATAAAAATCTTCTTCTTTCCCAGATTTAGGAAGCTGGACATGAACCTGTGTTTCTACAGAAGTACTTAGAACACTGCTTTCCTGTGGTATGATCCTTTGCCGGTGTGAAACTGATATGAAATGAAGGAATAGGTGTACTTAGAGGAATCTTGAAGGAGAAGAGGGGAGCATTACATAATCTGTAAAAATCCAAGAATGAAACAATCAAATGGTGCTGGAATCCTCACCTACTGAGATCTTATCAAACACACAGACAACCCGATTCATTAGTTGCAGTAGATGTTGGCAACACAAAAACCCTAGAGCTAGAATGTTCACCCAGATAGCATGGGACTGCAGCCTAAGAAAGAACGAATGATGGAAGAAAAGAGATGGCCCAAATACGGCACATGTCTGAAAAAATATTGAGGTTGTTAAGGTCAAAACACAGAAGTGAGAGATTGGTGCCTCTGTACCAGGATTGATTCTTTAAATAAAGAAAGAAAGAAAGGAAAAAGAAAAGAAAACAGTACTTATTGTTTGACAAGAGAACTTTGTGGAAACTGACAGGCAAACTAAATATTTACCCTTTGGGCTGTTAAAAATGAACATTTAGAACCTTATATGCTCAGAACTACAGAAGCAAGTCCATAGTGGGAGACAAGGCTCAATAGTTCTCTCATGTTTCTGCTGAAATGCACTGACAATATTTTGTTCTGGACTGTCTTTTCAAGCATGTTTACAGAGCAAACAGATTTTTGGAAGATAGAGTGTCTCTCTCTGGAGCAAAGGGCAGATTTTTTTTCCCCTGCTGTCCAGGATAACAAAGATAATGTCTCTCTGGGGCAAAGTGTGAGCATGTTTGCTAACAGCCTTTGTAAATGCATGGGTTTCCTCAGCCCTGGTTCATCAGGGCCACAGACCTGCTGTGTGTGCAGCAGTCTGGGCTGCTCTGTGCTGCCCGGCTTGGGACTAGAGGGAAGGGGAATCGATGGGAACATGAAGCCTAAAAGGCCTGTTGTGCTGTGAATAACAAAGTCTTTTGTCTCTGATCCAAGAGTTTCATTTCTTCAGCTGGCATCCACGAAGCTGTGGTAGGCTACACTTTTAGCTTGCACACAGGGTAAAATTTCAGACCTTTCACGGTTCTTGACACAATCTTGACAACTTCCAAAAAAAGAATCACGTAGAATCTCTTGATAAACTCTTCAAAGCAACAACTTTTTATCTGCTAGATGATAATTAAAACAGACATATTGTCAATGAGAAAAACAGATACAAGCACAAGGGGGTAAAAACACTATCACACGCAGAACAAAAACCATATTTTAGATGACTTAGAAATGAAGATAAATAGACAGATTTGTGGATAGATGACAGAGTGACAGAGAGAGAGTAAAGTGCATATTTGGAAGTGTGAGTGTATATGTGTATGTGTGTGTATTCATGTGTATGTGTGGAGACTGAGCTATGCACTATTATGCAAGTTCAGAATGTATGCACGTAAGAATAAAAACCTATTTGTAGTTCAGAGTTTCTATTTTAAAGAGTATTTCTCAGGCAAGATATCAAGCCCTCCCCCTTCGATGAGATGAGTTGAAGGTGAAGTAAGTTGTTTTTCTCTTTATTTTTCTCTTTGGTTTCTATCTTTGGTGGACCTTCAGGAGAAATGATGCTGTATGAAAATTAGGTTTAAAATTGGCTCATTCATTTCAATTTTATTGCTTGTTCCCTAAAAGAAAAATGGAAGAGCAATAAATGATCTCTCGCCTCAGCATTATCAATTTGAATTCACTGTGTTTTATATCTCCCATTCAGACATGGCTGTGTCCTGACCTTCCTTTTAATTTAGTTCCAATACATTGTTAGCATTTTATCTCATGGTTGGTCTCAAACACTTCTGGAGCATTTCACAGCTTTCTGAGGTTACATTTCATGAATACCTCAACCACTTAGTTTAGTTTTTTCACTCCACACCTAAACATAATAAAAAGTGTTGGCTTCATAGACTTCGGGTAGTGTTAGCATAGTTCCCTTGGACTTTGTGCTTCTTCAGAAAGTTTTGCACATTAGCACTTACCTGGACAAGGAAAATATCTTGAGGCAAAATGTAGGGTATATCTAATTTCTAGAAGCCATCTTAGTACATGCACTAAGTGAGAAAATCCTTAATCTCTCTTAAATCATTGACCATACAAATGAGGCTCACTGCCTTTGAAGGTGCTGCATGTTTCAGTCAGAGCTCCAGAGATGAGCTTCCCAAGGCACCCGACTCAAAACCTCCAACATCTTTCATCATACTCTCGTGGGTTTCTAATGCAACTTCTCCCACTTGCTTTTATTTATTTCTTCTGTTAACACTAAGTCTAGCAATGGTAAGGGCATTGGAAATCCATTTATCCTCCAAGTAGTGTCAGGGTTCATCAAGAGTGAGGTCCTGACACCACATCCTCTTTCATTCTTCATGCTGCAAGAACACCAAACTATTTACATTTGTTATACCACCCTCACCTTACTGTAATATACATACCTACATAATACAGTTTTAATTTTTTAATTAAAAAAAAGTACCATGCTTACATTTCAGATGGACAGTTAATCTCATTTCTAGCATGAAACTTCTTCAAAAAAAGATTGTTCTTTTTCACTTTATTACTCTTTATTTCATGTTGGGTCCAGTTACATTTTCCAGAATATGTGTTTTTATAAGTGATTGAAAAGAACTATTTTGCTTTGTTTCATAAGAAATAAAGTTAAAATAAAAATTTTGCACAACAGAAGTCTTCATATAGAAGAATTGATCACCCTTACTGGTTTTGAATTTCTCCTAAGAGTCTGTTTTCTGTTCTTTACAGATGCTCAGCTTTGGAAGCAAAATAAAATGACAGACTGTCTTCCAGAGTTCATTAAGATGCAGCCAAGTATCTCCAACATCATATCTCCACTTAGGGAGTATCCAGTCCTCTTCACTCTTTCTTTTCTTTAATCCCTTTTTTCTTCCTACATTGGATTATCTGCTTCTTTTCCCAAGTCCTTTGGGTTGCAATGACACCTACAGCTTCCTAGTTTTCCCAAATGATAAACCCTTTTCTTGATCCAGTTGTCAGCTTTGTCACCTTCCTGAATGTTCCTTTGATGACATGTCCCTAAGGTACATGGACTTCCAGGAATCTATCACTGCAGTTTTGTCACAGAACTATTTTAAACATACATTAAGAGCATGTTTTTAATTCTTTTTAATTCTTCACCACATAATGTTTTCTTTAGGCATTCAATAAATATATCAAGTGTTCACTGTGCACTAGATAAATTGTTATGCACCAGGAACGTGGAAATTCATTAGACGTGGTTTCTGCTTTCTTTGAGCTTACAACCTCTCAGATACATAAACAGATGTTTTCTTTTGTTGCACATAATCGATTACTAATACTCAAGCTTTGAAATGTCAAATGCGTTAATCTATTCGAAGCTCTTTTCGACTTATCTATACTGTACATTTGACTGCATAATTTACATAAATGAAATAAAACTCTTAACTTTAACTTTTTAAAAAGTCTAGATACACCAGCATTTTAACAGATTTTAATACTATAAGCTATTTAATAAAGAATCATCCTAGAGTGGAAATGAAAGAGCTCTGAACCAACATTGAGAATGTCTAGGCTTTGTCACACACACAAAAAAAATCTCACGGCTTCAGAAAAGCCACTTAACCTTTTGAATTTCATTGCTATCATCTGTTAAATGATGGATAGGAGTAAATGTTCTCTTAGCTTTCTGATCTAAAATTCAGTGATTCTAAATGTAAAAGTGTTTCAGGTATGAAATACTGCTCTAAACGCATTTTTCATGGAAATTCAGTGAAATGTGAAAATTCAGCCAGCAGATGCATGCAAATTTGCTGGATAGAGAGGCCAGAGGTTGCACTGAAATTCCCTGCTACAAACAGTCTAGGAGGCTAGCCAGACTCGTCGACGGGCATGGGAAATCAGCTCTCAATCTGCTCCGCACATCAACCTCCTCTCTCTGCAAGGTCAGGCTCAGTGCCATCAAAGCATTATGAATGTGCTGTGGCTTTTCTTCTGTATCTGGTGATCATCTTTCCAAATTTATCAACAAAATTAGATGGAAAGAACTATTTGTGTTTGGATATGTATGACGATCACATTCATTAATCAGATTAAGACAGAGGGGAATCCATATAATAATTATGTGCATATGATGAAAACTTATCTTTCCTGCATCCTGTGTGGATCTGCCATTCCCAGTGACATAGTCTGCAGAGGGCCAAAAAATTAAATGTGGATTATAAAATCATAACATTTGCAATGTTGATGACTGCAGTATCGCCTCTCCCAAGGACAATGAAATGGGGGGAACAGTAGACATTTTCTCTATGCAATCTTAAATTTATATTGACTTAAAGAAAAATGTTAATGCATATAATTTATTTGCAAAATTGTCTTGGAGATGGATTTCTGCTGTTCATTTAATGATGAAATATATTTTATATGGTTGTTCTAAGAAAAAATATGATTTTTTCTCTTTAATCATTTTTGTTTATACTGAAGTTGTTGTTAGAAATTTATTTTTAGGAGAAGCTCTTCTCAGCCTTTGATACTGTGTCTGCATACCACAATGCTGATATTTGGTTTGTTCCTTATTTTATAATGGATAATGTCATAGCCTTGATATGCATACTAGTATCTTCTGACTTAAAGGACATAGAGTCAATGACAGATCTCGTTTTCTGGGTTTTTTGACAACACAAGAGTTTCTAAAATCAACAAATTTACCTTTATTAAACCTTGACCAAATGTGAAACTATGTAGCAAATTATCCATAGACATATATGCTATTATAAAATAATGCCACAGAGTAAGGATTACACACATTTTCTACATTTTTCATGTTTTATTTAGCAACATAACAGTATTCATCATAACAAAAATATGATTTAACTCACAGCATTCCCAAAACTGTAGTCCCAGAAAGTGATTTCTAATGGTTTTACTATAAATGCATATAAAAACACTGCTTGTATTTAATACATGTATTATCACACTTTGTCATTATTTCAGCCTCTCAGGGGCAGCCCATAATGCTGTCATGGCTAGAGATGTACAGACTATCCATATCAAACAACAACAGCAATTTTCCTGGATGCTATGCAAGCCAAGTTAAAGAGCACATTGGATAGAAATAAACCATTTTATTTTCTTTTTAGTGTTCTAATTACAAAAATAGAATCAAGCCACGGTTATTAGGTTTCTAGAAATTTAGTGTGCTGCAGTAAAGCAATCTAAAAGGGCAATAAATGTTTATGAGTGTCTAAGTTAAATGAATGTGTTTGCGTGTTTCCAATTTTTATTTGTTATGCAAAAAAGACCATATTACTTTAAGGTCATTTAAAGTTACCTTAAAATTTTGTTATCTGTGATTTCTCTTTTTTTTTTCCAAAGCTATCTTTTCCTACTCCAAATCTCACACTCTCATAAATGTCTACTGAAAATTGCAATGTGCTCACATAACTCATCTTGTGGATTGAGGCCATAAATATTAACAAATTAGCTGCAACAGCACTTGGCACCTTAAAGTGTATCTCTCCTCTTCAAAGCTTGCTGAGTCAGAGCCCCTCAACTGATAAAGATCAGTCAGGAGATATGAACTAATAATAAATTGTAATTTGCTGATTAAGGAAAGAACACTTATTAATGTACAATGTATGCTTGAAACCAGTGGATTTTGAGAGATATATTTTTCATTTACACCTATCTCTCCTGTCAAGAATGGGGATGTAATAGCTGGCATGTACCTCTCTCTTATAAGTCAACCAAAATTGGAACTAATTGGGAACTTCTTGATTCATTTTCTGCTAGTGATGACAGGGTATTAAAGCAGAAAGTGCATCTTGGGTTATCAAGTATGTATTGAAGCACATTGGTCAGAAACTATTTGGAAGAAGAGTCCATTTGTCTCCATTAGAAAGGAACTCCATTGAGGTAATTTGTCAGGGTGATTTGGCAAGAATTTGACTAGATAATCCTGTTTGAAGACATGATCTTCCTGTATCGTCCTGAAACCCCAGAACTGCACTGTAATTTTGTCACTCGCAGCAAGTTTGGGGAATTTAAGAACTTATCCATGATGTCATAACAACTGGTTTATTTGGTCATATGTTCCAAACTAAACATTCAATTCATTATAAAACAAACACACAAAATGATGCCAAACTATATTTAGTGAATAATTCAATTGAAAGAAAATGTTGTGTTTTTTTTAATGGAGAATTAAAGATCCTGTGTTGATATTAGTTAGATATGAATTATATAATGTCTCTAGATGGAGAAAATTGAAGAAATGATAGGGATATTATTATTAAACTTTTAAAAATAGAATGATAGGGAATTAAAACATTAGATACAGAGGTACTATAAATGGCATTATACATATATAAAGCAAAAGTAGACATATATAAATTATGATAATCTAACTTTATATGTGTTTTTAACCATGGACTTTTAGGAAATCATGCTAAGTTTTGCACTATAAGAAAAACTTAGTAATATCATACAAATTGATGCTTCTTATTTTATGTTTCAGCTATCCATAATATTTCAGCAATTTTTACCTGAATACACAACTTCAAATAATTTGACCTATGTCAGTAATGTACTCAAATTAAGCTTTCCACTGAAAGGTAATCATATCATTTATAGAAGTCCACTGGGGACTTCTGTATATAATGTATATAAAACTGTAAAAAATATAAATTTGGGCATAATGCTGAGATATGTTTTTAAACAATATAAATTTGGGCATAATGCTGAGATATGTTTTAAACATTTTTATCCATTCTTTTTTGTGCCTAAAACTTTGATGTATATGGATATTACATTCATTTTCTTATTTCTCATGAACTATGCTTGATTCACACATTTTCCAATAGTGATTTTTTTCATAAAAATAGCTGTATTTATATTAGTCTCTATTTAAGGTAATAAACAACAAGAGAAATAAGATGGCAAGTGAGAACAAACTTCTGTTTTAAAATCTTCTGTGAAGGGCTGTGTACTTAAGTATGTGGTGAGCCCCATGGGATGATGATGTGCCTGCTGAGGTTCCTGCCCTGTATCCTTCTATAAAGCTGCGGAAACACAACATTAAAGCTTACTTGCATCTTGTGAGTCTGATTGCCAATTCAGACCTCTGTGACTACATTGGTGCAATGCATATGCATTTCTTCCTATATTCATCATCCCGTCCACTCTGTTCCCCCAATCCTGCAGAGGCAGGGAATACCAAGAGATAGCATAAAATAGAATGCAACTCAATGAATATTTATTAAGTGCCTGCTATTTGAGAGGAGGAATGGGATTTTCAGCAAAATCTCCAGAGGAAGCTATTTTTCTTCATAAAAAAATGCACACACAGCTGCATTCTTACAGACATGCACATAGCCTGTGTGTCATCTCTCTGCACTGAGGCATAGTAACATATTGGAGAAAATGTCATTTATTACTACAGGTTGTGACAATCACTGAAAAAATTTACTGCAGGAAATTAGCCAACAGTATTTCAGCAGGAGGTCCAAAAATTATCTATCAAAGATTCAGAGACTTGCGGAAACATTTCACTTCATTTATTCAAATGCTCTGGGCAAATAAAATTGTGATGAAGCATCTAGCAACCTCTGCCCCATGCATTTTGACAAGCTTACTGCTAATTGATTGTTTGGGTCCCGCTCACGCTGCAAGAGAAATAGATTACTATTGATTTTAGCTGACATTTCATATTAGCGCACATATTTTATTTTTATTTATTTTTATGAAACTGAAATCAGGCTCTGTAACATCACAGGAGGAAATGGAGGTGTCAGAATTTGGCTCCGTTCTGTGGCCTTTAAAAGAAAGGGATAAAGTAGCCATCCCATTAACAGTACCATAGATAAACAATTGATTTAGCATTTGTAAAGCAATGATGTTAATATTACACCATCTTAAGCAAGGCAATCACATTTGGCATGGAGAGGATGTTACACAAATAAGAAAACAAACAAATTCCCAAATCAGGCTATTCTAGCATACCCACTCTCAACATCCCAGTTGGTCTCTTCACCCTTCTTGGTCCTCATGAAACTTAAATATGTTTTAGGAGATATAACATGCGCATTTGTAAAGAGTTTGTAAGGGCTCCCTACATGCATCGGCTTTAAATGCACTAATAAAGCTATAATCTGGACGGCATATTACATCAACATAATCAACTGTTATGTTCACCAAACACTTATTGAAGATTTGCTGTTATCCCATGCTAGGCCACATGCAAACAACTCTACATTAGAAACAGACCCATCCTCAAAGAGTGCAAGTCTACTGAAGGAGGACAGATGAATAAAATCAGTAAAATGTGGCAAGGTAACAATAACAGTAAGCATGTGCTATTTGGGAGCTCCTAAAAGATATGCCAAGCCAATTTGCTCAGACCTGATTTCCTCAAGGAGGTGACTGGAGAATAGTACCACTGAATTGCAGAGTATCAAAACCAAATGGGAATTTGAAGGTCATCTAGATCTAGTATCATGAGTCTCACTGTCAAACGAGGTGTGAGTGAGAACTGTGTGAGGAGATACACATACTTTTAGAAAGTATTTTATGGGCTTTCTCAACCTACAGAAAGGGATGACATTGCACTAGAGCCAGGGAAGAAAATTATCCCTAACCAGAAGACATGCTCTCTAGGAAGCCACTTGTGAGCTGAGGTCAAGAAGCTGAGAAACACTGATCTAGGCTTTGGTTTTACAAATAAGAAGACTGGAGCCAAAGAATAATAAACATCTTTTCAGAAGGCATTTTCACTGAACCTTTATTGAGCTCCTACTATATGCATGAAGGCATTTTACAGATTGGAATTAAAACACATAGTTAAATCCATTCCATCCAACGACAGTGAGAGGAAAAATTTGCCTTCCATTTTAAAGGAAGTTATTATAGGTGAGTATATGAACAATTAGACAAAGGAAAAGGAAGTTATGATGGCAAAAGATAATCAGGTCATTCTGTGCAATGGAGGAAGTCAAAAAGGAAGGAATACCAAATGATGTTCAAACAGCACAAAAAAGAACACATATTCCCCAATGTACTGCCATGCAAGGCAAGCCAGATGATGATCGCTGCAATACTCACTGGAAATAAACACCTGAGACAGAAGGAGAGAAGAACTGACATCTTCTACCCAGCCAAGGCCTGTGGCCTACCAATGGATTTTTTGGTATCAGTTACCTCTTGGTAATTTTTACTTGGCTTATTTATTTATTTATTTATTTATTGAGACAGCATCTCAGTTGGTCACCCAGGCTGGAGTGCAGTGGCATGATTTTGACTCACTCCAACCTCTGCCTCCTGGGTTCAAGCGATTCTCGTGGCTCAGCCTCCCTAGTAGCTGGGATTACAGATGCACACCACCACGCCTGGCTAATTTTTTTATATTTTTAGTAGAGACGGGGTTTCACTGTTGTTGGCCAAGCTGCTCTTGAACTCCTGACCTCAGGTGATCCACCCCCCTCAGCTTCCTAAATTGCTGGTGTGAACCACCATGCCCCACCATTTGCTTAGCTTCTTGAAAAGAGGCAAACAGTTTAGCATCATGAAACACATCCCATTTTCCTTGTAAATGTTTTGTAATAAATGGGAAACTGTACAGCAGTTAGTTCAATATTACCCATGCAGGATGAATCCTCTGAGCAATTACCTTGTTTCCATGGCAACAGCCTATCTGCCCATCCTTCACTGCAATACTGGGAAGTCACCAATTTGGGTCTGCCTAGTAATGCCAAGGAAAACTTGGGGGAGGAATGCAAGAGGATTGTAAATCTGATGCTAACTGCGTTAACAAACAAACAAACCACTATCTATACTATTTATTTACTGGTTCCTTTGAGGAGCTCAAAACAATCCACAAGGGAAGACTTGCAATGTTGGAAAACAGAAATGAAAAGCAAAATCTGTGGAAGAAAAGGAGGAGGAAAATGACAACTAGGCTGTCTAGTGTCCTTGCCCCCACCTACTTTCTTGGCAGGAGACCTCTGAAGAATTCTAGGACATTGAGTGCAGAATGGAAACAAATCTCCAATAGACTCCTGTGTGGACCTCACACTCCATCCAGAGTCTGCCTGGGCCCAAAGCATGTACTTTTTATTTTTTAGAAAATCCTGAAAAAAGCAAAAGAGGCCAGCAAGTGTGCCTCGGACATCTGTGGAAAACTCATTCTCTTATTTTGGCTGCTACACTCCAAGGAACTGCAAGAAAAAATAAACCAGAAGAATCACATCATGCATACTGAGACATAACTCAAGTCCAAAAGCAGAGGAAGCTACTTTAGAGCAAGACTGCCAGGCCCACTGCAGCTACCTTCATAGAGGGGGTTTTAGACAGAGATTTAAAGTTGGAAATTAAAGATATGTTCCTCAGGGAAAAATGGACATTAAAACAGTGCCATGCCCCCTGTTATCACTCTTGATTATAGGCTCTCATGGGAGGTAGCTCCCAGACAGTTTTAGAAGTAGGATGTAATTTAGAGACATTTCCTTGGTAGGGATCATAAGGGAGGCTCTAAAAAGGGAGGTGGGAAGAGAATGTGGGAAAGGTCTAGGGAGTAGAGTAGCAGAATCATGACCTGAAATACTACTGGTTGATGAATATGACATGTAATTACATCTAATTACAGGCATCCCTTGGAACCTGGACCACTGGGTTGAAGATAAATTTAATACCTGGGAGAAATACTCAGACTAATATAATAAAGGTTTTTATTCTATTTAGAAGGATAAATGTATTCATGTAAATCTCTAAATCAAATGATTATGCTTCTGAGAAATTTGCTTATTGAAAATTAAAAGGACATAGCAATCTGGGATACTAAAGAGACAAAGAAAATAAAAATATTCAAGGAATTATTTCATTTTATAAACCACTCTGCTTTTAAAGTGCTTATCTTGAAGCAACTTGAAAGAAAAGTTAAACATAAGGATAGAAAAAAATCTCTGAATAATTAAGATAGACATGCTTTAAAAATTATCTTAAAAATAGGAGCATAAAATAATAACTATAATGTGGCCCACAAACTCTGCTGATCTCTGTTCTACATAGGCACATGGGAACAAATTATTTATACTTGATAGATTATATATTTATATTGCCCTATCAAAATTCACCAAGGTTCTCAGCAATTATACCTACAAAAGTAATATTCAAATAAAAAATTTGAAAATATTGTTTTTCTATCTATAAAATTATGTAGCTTATCATGTTTTACAATTAAAAATCTTATTGCTTGATTTAGTGTACAAGAAACAAATATATTTGATAACCTACATTAGTGTAAACCCTATAATATTTCATATAGAAAAATACAATGTAAGAAATCTATGCCAAAACTCACTGCTTTAAAATTATTCACATAATATTTAGTCTGTCCAAAATTAAATTACTCAGCTCAGATATTTTACCAAGATATAGCTAAAGATATAACATTATCAATGGAAAATATTAAATAAATGTTGAATTAATGAACTAATGGGGAGGGCAAATAATCAGTTGTTTTAATTCACCATGTAGTTTGGGATCACAGGCATAACCACAGGTATCTCTAAACTGGGCATCATGAATCAAGGGCCCTTTCTCCCTACTGTAATACCATTCTCTCTTCTCCACCCCAAGCTCCCTAAGCAGGTTCTCCTTAACTTCCCTGGAATTGTGGAATCCATTTTCATTTTCCTTTTTGTTACCTGCATCCTGCACAGTTTGCCAGTCAAGATTGTCTTTGCTTTAGTGTATTATAAAATGAAACACAACAGATTTACTTAACATCACCTCTGTGCCTAGTGCTATTATTCGTCACTGTGAGGTTTGGGCATGATCGCCATCCTAATCTACTGGGACAAGTAAGACAGACAGATAACTAATAAAACTCAGTAAATTATTGGATAAGAGCAAATAAGTGGTACATGACCAAAAATTTTTTTGTGGCTTAGAAAAGGACAATGGAATGGAATAGATAAAAACTCCATAAGTGGAGAGATAAAGGGAAACTAGTATTTAGTAACAACTGGTTTTTATCAGGCCCCATGCTAGAGAGTTCACATGTATTATTTTATTTATTTCTCACCTCAACATGTTGAGATGTATCTCTGATAGTTACAGCAGGCAGGGAAATTCTGGGCAGAAGAGGGCAGGTCCCCAGTGAGGGCCCCACCCTCAAGCCGCAAAGCCTGGGACCACAACTCAAAGTGAGAACCTACATCTCTGTTTTCCCACTCCAATGTTGCCTTTTCCAAAACCACCCATGGCCTGCCCTGCCCCCATCCTATGCCCATAAAAACCCAAGGCTCAGCTGGCAGAGCGAGGAGAAGGAACTGGACATCTGGGACTACAGTTTGATGTCCGAGGGAAGCTGCTTGACTTCAGATGGACAGCTTGGTGGAACAGCTTCAGAGAAGAGTCTGTCCCTGGCCGGACTCCAGGGGAAGATTACCTTCCCACACGGTCCTCTTTTCAGCTCTGCTTCCCACTGAGAGCCACTTTCACCAGCAATAAAATCTTCTGCATTTACCATCTTCAATTCATCCAAGCAACCTCATTCCTCCTGGATGCCGGACAAGAACTCGGGTGCCATGAGTGTCGGTGCAAAAGGCTGTGACACTGACCCTCCAATGAGCTGTTAACACTTAAGCCATCCACAGACAGAAAAGCTAATAGGGCACTGTAACACTTCTTCTGGGGCTTCTGGGATCTCAGGCACCCTTCCCTAGATGCTGCCGTGGGGCCAGTATGGAGTTTGCTCTTGATGGTGCCCAAAGGTGCTTGCCCCAGCTCCTGCACCTTTTCACCTGCACTTCTCCTCCCATGAGGGGTGGAATTCATGGAATTCACCCCTGCTGGCATCCATGCACTCCCGTTCCTGCCTGCAAAAAGGTCAGGGAAATATCCTGTTTCATCTCTTCATAATTTCACAAGATATGAGGCCCAGTAGGGCTCCAAACTTGCCCAGGACTATATTGCTTGCAGGTCTCTGAGCACACATTCCAATTCAAGTTAATACTATTTCCATTCCAGCCAGAAGGAATATGAGCGTGCACTAAAGCACCAAGCTAACATTATGCATAGGCACAGGTGTGTTTGACAGATAATGATTGCAGCGATCACCTAGAACAGAGCATCAAAGGGGAGGCCATGAGTTTGCAAACAGTACATGTGGAGACACTCAAATTCTTTAACATGGCCTACAAGGCCCCATGTGATCAGGCCTGGCTTGTCTATCCTCATCAGAGCTGCTCACTGCTTTGCTCACCTCCAAACTCCAGCCATGCTGGGCTTCTTTCAGTCCCCCCAGGAAGCAAACCCCTTCTGGTCACCAAGCCAAAATGCTCGTCTATCAAGCTGATGCCTGGCTGACCTTTATATTCCATTAGGTCTCAGCTGAAATATTGCCTCCTCAAAGGCATCTTCCCTAACTATGGAAAGGCAGGTCCCCCCATCTCATACCCTCCAACTTTATCATTTTATTGTAACAATGCATGTTCTTTCATTCAATGTGCTGATCACAATCCTAAACTTTACATTTATTTGACTGTTGTGTTTATGATGGGTTTCCTGGCTAATGGGAGTACCTTGAAGACATTAAACTTGTAAGTTAATCACAGTTTAACCAGAGCCCAGAGCTATGGCTCGCACACAGCAGTTAGGCAATAAATAATTGTTGAATTAATTAAAGTGATAATAAATGAATGATTCCTTTTTTCAGTTTTAGTTTTAGCACAATTTAGTAAATTGAAAAGAATGTTCATTCCTATTGTTTAATATCTGTTGCTAAATAAATGTTGAATTTGTGACATATCTATTTAAGAATGGCAGGTATTCACTCCCAGAGGATGAGAACATATGGCTGTTGGTAAAAACAATAACTGTGACACATTAAGAAATTGTAATATAAGAAAACGGTGTTTTGAAAGTTAAATGTGGCTGAAATCCTAATTAGCTGAGCAAGTAGTAAGTTACCATTGTTATTAATATTTACAGACATCAATAACTCTTAACGCTGGAGTTCTGAAACAAAGAAATGTTTGTTTCTCTGCCCTGTGAAGGATCTGACGCTAACAGAGGGTCTAACTGATCTTCAATTTTGAGTTCTTGTTCAGCTCTGGACTCAGATTAAACCTATCTCCTTTCCCTACAGATTCTTTAAATCTATGCTTTCCCGGTGCCTATGATCCTTGCACTAAATAGCAGAATTAACATCAGGGTCACCAGCACTAACAGCTGCAACCACCCTCAATGTGTGCACTGTGTGTGTAGAAAAAGAGCCCTCAGGAGAAAAATCTGTATGGCAACAGTGGTTGCAGTTGGATGGTGGGGCTATGAGCAGTTTTTAGATGCTCCTTCCATTCACTGTTTTCCAATTGGGAAAATAAAGTAAAATATCTTTGTAGTTAAAAAACAGTAATAAAGCCAGCATGATGCTTGGGCTCACTTATTGAGAAAATGAGCCTCCATAAGGCCAATTTCCTCACTGTTAAAGCTAATAATAGTGATGAGTGAAAAGAATAGACTTGCGAATTACCCTCCTGATAACGCCAACCAACAGTATTACTAGTAGAAGCAGAAAAGTTCATTGTTGGTATTATATTGTCATATTTAGTGAGCAATTACTACATCGGGCACCATGCCAAGTGCTTTGCATAGTACTGTCTTGTTAAATCTTTGTAAAAATCCTGTAAGGTGATTAATCTCATTATACTCATTTTGCAATAAGGAGAATAAAACCAAGAGAAGTGAAATGATTATATTGGCCCAGTGTTCAGTTTGACCTTGAGATACCCAATCCATGATTTTTATCGAAATCATTCCCTGATACATCTATTTGATGACACTATTAAGCATATATTATGTGACAGGCACTGCTCTTGCCATTGTTCTGTCCTCAGGTATTCAAATCAGTGGGAGAGACAGTTGTATAAACAGACAAATCTAAAGTTATGGGCTTTTACCAAATAGCTTAATTGGAAAATGATGAATGTGAGAACATTTAATATAGGAGGGTCTGAACACAGGCCTGGGACAGGAAACATCATGACAGATAAGAGGAATGGTGTCATGAGGAAGGGAGCAATAAGAAATGAGATGGAGAGATAGCAAGGATTTAAAGATGAATGAAATGTCATGTTTACATTATAGAGATATGACTTCAGCATATACTGAATAATTTGAGATAGACAACACAAAAGAGGCAAGAAGGTTTGTTGGGAAGCTGCTGAAATTTGATAGTCAACAGAAAAAAAAGGGCCTTAATCAGGGTAGTATGGCAGAGACACATTGAAAGGAGAGGAGTTGAGAAATATTTAGGAAATTAAACTTGCAATTTTGATTTGCAACAAAAACAAGGTACAGAAAGAAATAAAAAATAAATGAGTGTTAGCTTAATACGTTGGGGAAATAAATGTTGGCACCCTCGATTCCCTGTAGAGATAGAGAAAGCAGGAATAGAAGCTAACCAAGCAGGAGAGAGAGGAACTCAATTTCAGACTGTGGAACAATGGAATGAAATAGTCAATGTGTGGCTGTCCTTCAATATTTGGAGTTTATAGACAGCTTTGAGCTGGGCGTAGTTCTTTCATGATCTTTAGTATATTAGTAGTAGATACCTCACCAAGGAATTTGGTGAGATAGCTCAAGGAGAGTGGAAAAGATAGAATCTTGCACACAAAATACAGGAATTTTGGAGGTAGAAGCAGGAGAAGAATTCAGTGGGCAATGGGCAATGACAGACCTTTTGGAAAGAGGCATTTTAAGGATGTACCAAGGACGAGGAGCACATGAAAAACACACGGGTAAGGGTCCATCGTAAAAGCATACAGAGAATCAAAAGAGAGTGGTGCTATGGAAAAGAAGAAGAAAGAGATTTTTCAAGAACTGGGGAGAGATCAACAGCAACAGAGGCAGACGCGTGGCCCAATTAGGTAAAATTGAAAACTTAATTCATTTGGGAATTAGGTGATCATTGGTGACTGGGTGAAATCAGTAAATTGGTAGGGACAGAAGGCAAGTTGCAGTTGATAGATGAGTGAATGGAGAGGAAAGAAATCAAAACAGATAGATGGAGGCACTTTCTAAAATTTTGATAAGTAAAGAAGAAATAATGGAATTACTAGATAGAATTCAAAGTTAAGAGTTTAGGGGAGATATTTGTATTTTTTAGTAAGTGAGAGAGATATCAGCTAGATCTGAGAAGGTTTATGGAGTCAAGGGTAGAAAGGGACAGGTTGACCTTGGGAAGGAAAAGAAGTGCCCATCCACCAAGACTGTTGGAAATAAGGGAAGACTGTGTGTGTGTAGATAAATTTGTTAATGGAGACAGAAAGTTGAATAATAAACATTATGCCCAATGACTTCTACATTGTGAATGGGGCAGAAAAATCATATAATAAAAGGCTCATAAACATATCAGGGAATAATAGTCCAGTGAGAAATCTTAAAAAAATAAACAACAACAACAACAACAAAAAAAAACGGAGTGGTTGCTAGTGCCAGGACACCTATTCTAAAAAGCACTGACCTTTGAACAAAGATTATTAGAAGCTGAGGGTTGATCTACAATGCAGAATTTTATATCAATGTCAGAAATCTTCAGTATGGAAGTTGGGCATGAATACCTATAACTGACCAGTACACATAAATTTAGATAAGAAAAAGAAGAACACCTTCCTACATCTTATCAATGAGACCTTTGCAGTTGACTCAAAATGTTTTTCATTGCAGGAACCTTGTAAATTCTTTCTCATGAACTACCAGCATTATGTGGCATTTAAGTCAACATCATAGCCCTTGAGTCTATCCCTATGTCAAGTATTAGCAGATGAGACATATATGAAAATTAGATAGATTTCCAGATATACATGTATGGAAGAAATTTTATTCACTGGAATTCATCTTAGTAAGGGCACCGCATTGTTTTGAAGAAATACTTGTATATACCATTTCGTACATAGGAAAGGTCACACAGAATTCAAAAAATGTGCTCACCAAAAGACAATATACATAAAAAGAGGAACTTATGCTTGAGAAATAAGTAGGGGAAGGAGTTCGGGGGAGAGATGTAGAATACAAAAGAGTCTGAAAAAAAAAAAACAGCAAGAGTGTTTAAAGGTGTGATGTCTCATAACCTTCACAGCTTTGGTAAATTCAACTAAATTCAAAAATATTCCAGTTCTGTGGAAGTACTTGAGAGAGATGTAGGGAGTGTGAGTTTGTTGCCTGTACCCGGAGGATGTGTAGAAACCAAATATGTCACACAAAGATCCAGGAGGCAGAAAATGAGATGAGTGTAGGATTCCCCGCAACTCCCAGGTACAGTGACAACTGGAAGGAGAGGGCTAAACTGTGGACTTTCACATGCTATGGAAGTGAGGATCTGAGCTCAATCTAACCACCTGCCCTGGGACAACACTGCCATCCGTCCCCACTCTCCCCAGCTCACATCTGCCAAGCACCAATATTCACTAGGGAAAAATTTAGGCAAAATATTTAGACAGAGCTGTTTGGTAGATAACCAGTAGGATGACAGAAGTGTAACATTGTTTACTCAGAGAACATAATGGGGAAGAAATATTAACTAGAACAGTTTTGACTCCAAACATTTGACAATTAAGCAGAGTTGAAAATAGACTTTAATGTGAACAGATTGCTCTTAGAAAAATAAATACAAATAGCTCATAAACATATGAAAAGATAGTTAACCTTACTCATAATCAGAGAAATACAAATAACACTAGTGAGATGCCATTTTTCATTTAGCAGATAAACAGGCACCTCAATACTAGGAGGAGTTTAAATTGGCACACTCTTGTGGAAAGTTATTTGGTGACATTTATCCAAATAAATTTTAAATGTTCATACACTTCAAATCAACAATTCCATTTGTAGGAATATCTTGTGGGCAGCTAGTATTCATGAGAAATGACACATATGAAAACTTTCTCATGAAAGAACTGTCTGTGACAGCCAAGAGTCCATCAGCCTGGGAGTGATAAGTTAAAGGTTGATGTAAGCAGACAAGGAAATATTATACAACCATCAAAAATAATGAAACATATCCCTATTCACTAATGCAGAACAATCTTCAAATTACAGCGTGCAAAGTAGGATGCCAGGCAGTATCTCTAATGTACTATCAAATGGTGTATACACACACATATAAATGCTTAAAAACTGTTTATAGACACATATACACAAATCTATGTGCTCATATTTTATAGCATATTTCTAGGTGGATAGATAAGAAGTTTAAAACAGTGATTATCTTCTAAACTGAAAACTGTCTATTGAAGGGAGAGATCCAGAGGGAGACTCACTTTTCATTACACCTCTTTTTACCTTCAGAATTTTGATGTTGTTTAAGTTGAGAATAAAGATATGAGATCAGCCCAGATAATCAAGTTTGGGGTCTGGACTAAGCAAACCAGAAAGACACCTTAGAGGAACTGATAAAATGTGACAAAACTGCAGTATCAACAGCTTGGAGGTCTCTAAGATACCAAAAGCAGCCACAGTGGAGGATGAGGGTGGTAGGGTATATATTGGGCAGTGCAAAGTGTCTGATAAAGCAGTTTCCAAGTGATGACCTGGTGCGGGTTGAGAGTGGCTGATTGCAGAAGAGATAAAGGTCACCTGAGCAAGGAGATCAGGAGTTGTGTTCTAGATGTTTGCAAAATTCATAAAAACACTGCATCAGTGGACACTTTGTTTTGTTTGTTTTTGAGACGGCATCTTGATCTGTTAGTCTTGTTCTGTTGCCAGGCTGGAGTGCAGTGGCACGATCTCGGCTCACTGCAACCTCCGCTTCCCAGGTTCAAGCGATTCTCCTACCTCAACCCCCCAAGTAGTTGGGACTACAGGCGCGTGCCACCATGCCCAGCTAATTTGTGTGTGTGTGTGTATTTTTAGTACAGACGGGGTTTCATCATGTGGAGCAGGATGATCTCGATCTCCTGACCTCATGATCTGCCCGCCTCAGCTTCCCAAAGTGCTGGGATTACCGGCGTGAGCCACCGTGCCCAGCCGGACACTTTGTTTTCATGAATGTTGCAAACATCTAGAACTACTGACAAAAGGTAGAAAAGGGCAGTCTGTGAACCAGGATGCAAAGTTTTCTTTGCTGGAGAGTAAGGGGTTGATCCTGGGGCTAGCGTTTGATGGGGCAAGGATGAGGGAGAAGTTGTACAGTCAAATGACATGAACCCATAGGTTCTATAAGATCCAGGTTTTATTACCTCTGACCTCACTCCTACCACTCTCTCGGAGTCACAGTTCTAGAGCCACACAATGCAGTCCTCTTACTCCCTGGAGAACTCTACCTTATAGCCTTGGCACTGGTCATTCCTGCTGCTTGGGGAGCTCTCTGTGGGTAGCTGCAAGTTTCCCTTGGGTTTTTGCTCAAATGTTACCCTCTCAAAGAAGTCTGCCTGGACTACCCACATATAAAATAGTACTCTTTCATCAGATCTTTTTCCTTGCTTCCTTTTTACCCATAACACTTATCATGTTCTTAATCTTCTCTGTTAATTGTTTTCATTATCTGGAATAGAAGCTCCATGAGGGCAGGAAATGTATCTGGGTTTTTTTGTTGTTGTTGTTGGATCCTCAGTGCCTAGAACAGTGACTGGCAATAATATATACTCAATACATATTTGTGGAACGAGTAGAATTAGTTTTTACATAGGGGTAAATGGATAGTAATCTCAAATTACATTTATTTTCTAAGATGTGTGCATTTAAACATAAAGTGCTTTGAATGACTCACAGATAAATCTCTTCTGTTTCACCAAATGTTTATTGAGCACTTGCCAGGTGCTAAGTAAGCACTGCACTGGCAATGCAGATAGAAGAGTCAGACAAGGTTCCCAGTCTCAAGGCTTTCATCAACTTGAGGGGGATATGAAGATGTATAACCCCTAATAACAACTCAAGGCACAACCAAATAAGGACAAAGTACTGCATGAATCCAGAAAAATACTTTATCGGTTTCCAAAGTGGGAAGTAAGCAATTCCTTGCCACGTGTGATCACCCTGGGGGTTGGGAAGGGATCATGAGCAACAGCATGAATGGTGCTGATGACTAACCTGCTCTCAGCACTTCGTGGGATTCTTTGCTCCAAGCACATTATAGACGTATCCAGTTCAACTCTTGTTAATCCCATGAGGGAGTTAACAAGACGAGGACATTGAGACTCAGAGAAGTGATATAACTTACTCAATAGGACTTCATTCTCTAGGCAGTGGAGAGCTGTTGTAAGGGTTTTAGGAAATGACATCATCTGTCTTATGTTTCAAAACAATAACTGATAGCAGTGTGAAAGAAAGGAGGGGGTGAGCACCTACATTTGTTCAAAGGAAATGGAAAAGAGGGCCAGTTTGGAAGTATTTCAGAGGCATAAATGGTGGAACTAGATGAGGCCATGAGGGGTTGACATATGAGTGTTCTATTCACTGAGAGGCAGCATGGAGGAGATAAACAGAATTATTGAACTAAACAAGTTTTTATATTCACTTGTGTCAATCCTTACTATCCAGCAGCAAGGACAGGAAATATAAGTTTAAGTCGTTTCTGGGGAAGATATGGAAATTAAATATTCTTCCTTCCAGCCTAACAGAGATTTTACCACCTACTGGTAAATGCAATTTATCAATCCATAAAAGGTGTGCATATGTTTTCCTGAAACCGTTTTAATGGCCATTGGAGTTTTATGGAGATCTTTACCTGGGTCTAGGATTATAAATGGAAATTTTCACCAACTTTCCCTCTGATATTTGTCCCATAAAAGAAAAAAAAAACTACATTCTGATAATGTTATTTTTAGTTTCAATTTTTTATACTAAAATATTTACTCCTCTGGATTTGGCTCACTTTTCCTTGGACTCCCAATCTCAACTATACACATCAGTGTAAGAGTCAGCGGGGTTCCGGCAGATGCAGTGGGGTGAATGCGGCCCTGGAAGGCAAGAAGTGAATTATATGTCCTCCAAGCAAGGATACCCTGAAGACGTTACTACAATCCTTGGAGACTATTTCCTCATCCAGAAATGAAGGCAGTGAATGAGACACTCTAATGTTCATTCATTTCCTCATTTAGTCACGTAAGTACTAAAGGGCACGCGAGCCCCAAAACTGGGGCTTAGTCCAGGAGGATTCTTGGCTTTGCCAGGAAAGAATTCAAGGGCGAGCTGGTGGTGTTAGACAGCAACTTTTTTTTTTTTTTGAGACGGAGTCTCGCTCTGTCACCCAGGCTAGAGTGCAGTGGTGCGATCTCGGCTCACTGCAAACTCCACCTGCCGGTGTCACGCCATTCTCCTGCCTCAGCCTCCCAAGTAGCTAGGACTACAGGCGCCCGCTACCACGCCCTGCTAATTTTTTGTATTTTTAGTAGAGACGGGGTTTCACCATGTTAGCCAGGATGGTCTCGATCTCCTGACCTTGTGATCCGCCCGCCTCGGCCTCCCAAAGTGCTGGGATTACAGGCATGAGCCACTGTGCTCAGCCTAGACAGCAACTTTTATTGACGCAGCAGTGTATAGCAAGAGCAGAGGTACTGCTCCTTGGGAGCAGGGCTACGCCATAGGCCTTGGGCCCAGAGTAGCAGCTCAGAGGCAGTTCTACAGTCATATTTATACCCACTTTTAATTATATGCAAATTAAGGGGCAGATTTTGCAGACATTTCTAGAAAAGGGGTGGTCACTTCCAGGTATTCAGGCAGTTGTCATGGAAAGGGGTGGTAACTTCCAGGTGCTGCCATGGCAATGGTAAATTGATATGGCACACTGGTGGGCTTGTTTTATAAAAAGCTGCTTCCACCCTGTCCCTGTTTTAGCTAGTCCTCAATTTGGTCCAATGGGTGAACTCCACCACTGGGTGTCCAAGTCCCCACTCCTACCTCACAAGGATTCAAGAAACATACATTGAATGTTCACCATATGCAAGTCTTAGAGAGATACAGAGCTGAAAGAGCCAGATCCAGGTCTAAAGGAGTTTTCAGTTTAAGAATCCCAAACTAAGCAATTCTGATTTTAAAAATTAATATAATATTTTAAAAGCTACAATGATATCTCAAGGAAGTGATCTCTGCATTGAAGCCAAATTAACCATCCCATTGAAACACGTTCAAAATTGTTGATATTTGTTTCCTAGATAATTTATGTTTTAGGCTTTCTTTCTAAAAACTGAATGACTCAGAGAACCAAGGAAACAAAAGCCAGACTGGATGAAGGTTTGATTTCTGTCTTCGGTATTGTTGTATCATACTTGTAAAAAGAGGTCTGAATCCAAGAAAGCAATGTGGAGATACTAGGAGACTCCCAGTTTTCCTCCAGCCCTAGCTTTTGCATTTGAAAAAATGAATTATTTTCCATCAGGTGTCATCTGGAGCAGCCTGTATAACTGGGGAAAAACCTGTGCTTCTGACCCCATGCCCTCTATTACCCACTGTCTGCAGACACAGAGAAAGGGCAGGCCTCCTGTGGAGCATAAAGGATCTTTTCTATGAAACGTTGCAGGAGGGCTGCATTGGCACAGATTCTCACAGCCTGCCTTACATGCATTTCCTTTCTTTACTGGAAATGCACCATTTCTAGAAAAAGTGTGTCTGGGGTCTGCTCCCAAGCACAGTGGTGACCATGGGAAGCCTGCTCGCTCATAACAGGAAAGTGCTCACTGTTCCCATTGGCACGCAGGTCCACAGCTGACAGCACAGTTCAGACAGAAATGCTTCTTCCTTTAGAGCTTCAGGGATCTGTGCAGAGGATCATTCCCCTGGGATAACACAACCAACCAGCTCTACTGTGCTCTGTTTAGCTTACACAGAAAGAACCAAGATTTTCTTCAAGCCTGCTTCTGAATATGAATGACAGCAGAGAAGCCAAGAGTCACGGCTTCTGATTCATGGCAGCTGAGATTTGTCTTTTACTATCAACTAAGTCCATGACTTGGAAAATGGTAGATGCTTAATAAATATTTGTCAAATTAATTATGTGGTGATTTAATAAGCTAATTAATTTATGGGCCTAACTCTTGCACAATGCCTGACACATGGTTAGTGTCAATAAATAGTTGATGAGCGAATGAACCAAGAGCAAAGTCTACAATGCAATTAAGTATTGGGTTCCAGGGCCAGACCCAAGGCAATATTATGAAATGGATGGCACTATTCCAGACTCTCCCGTCCTCACTTTCAGCTCCTGCATACACTTACCAGGGCCTGCATGGTTCACTCTGGATACAACTAACATGTATTTCATTCTTTTAGAGTAATAAACAAGGTTTTATACCCAGAGAAGAAGGGAAAATGGCAGATGCTACATTTACTTGTTTAATTCATTTGCTTAGAGACTTCCAGAAATATTTGTTGGGGGAAATTATTTGTAGTGGTTCCCAAAGTATAGTCCCATGACCAGTAGCGACATCATCTTGGATCTTGCTAGAAATGTAAATTCTCAGCCCCACCCCAGATCTACTGAATCAGAAACTCTGAGGGTGGACCAGTAATTTATATTATAATAAGCCCTCCATGTGATTCTGAGGCACATTAAAGTTTGAGAACAACTGCTTGGACTTTTGTTTTCTTTTTTGTTTTTCTGTTTCCAAATAACTAGCTACATGAGACCCACCCAGGAGTGCTCCCTGAACACACAGTTTGGTCTCTCCCCTAGATTCTGAGAATTTGTATCTCTAGGATTACAGCCAGGGAATCTGCATTTTGAACAAATGATTCTTTTACACAGTAGAATCATTTTCCTGGTGCTTTGCTTTCTTTCCATCATCTATTAGTTGATTAGTTTCAGCAAAAGTTTATAATTGATTAGATTTATTTTATTACCTTAACAAAGTGACAACCAGGGATGTTTTAATATTTGACAGATAACTAAAAGACCCTCTGTCCTAAAACCAAAATAATCACTAATGATGGAAATTCAGGTCCTGCTACAGGCAGCACAGGATGATTCTAGACTCGGGTGAGGGTCTCCCCTTCAAAATAAACAGCATCAATGGTTTCCTATTCAGCAAAATGAAAGGGGAAAGGAGAAAAGTGGATTACATATTGGCTATTATGTTTTTAGAATTCAGCTATTAAAAAAGTTGAAGGCCACAGGCAAAATTCAGCCTGCATATATGTGGGATTTTTTTTTAACCATTAAAACATTATAAACAAAAAACTGTAAATACTATATAAAAATCTGAATTGCCAGAATCTCTTGAAAGAATGAAACCTCTGGCCACATTGGTCATCTATTACTACATGGTAACAATTAACTAGATCTGACAAGTTGCTGCTTTTTTTAATTCACCACAGTTGCCATCATCCCCTAGTGCTTCGCATAATCTCCTCAGTTTATGATAAGTTGCTGTTCTCTATAGGTATTTGATTTTGTGACTTCTGCTTTACATGGATTCACTACCACATAGCCTCAGAGGCAAGCATTTAGGGAAGACCTGGAATTCCCTAAGGAACAAGAGAAGGGACTACAGCACCAGTATCCCAGTCACTCCACAGTTCTGGCTAACTCACTTAAAACAACAAAAAAGGCCCTGCGTGGTGGCTCACGCCTGTAATCCAGCACTTTGGGAGGCTGAGGCAGGTGGATCATGAGGTCAGGAGATCAAGACCATCCTGGCTAACACGGTGAAACCCCGCCTCTACTAAAAATACAAAAAATTAGCCAGGCGTTGTGGCAGGCACCTGTAGTCCCAGCTGCTAGGGAGGCTAAGGCAGGAGAATTTCTTGAACCCGGAGGTGGAGCTTGCAGTGAGCCGAGATAGCGCCACTGCACTCCAGCCTGGTGACAGAGCAAGACTCCGTCTCAAAAAAACAAAAAACAAAAAACAGTGAAAAGGCTGCTGGTGCTGCTGTTGCTGCTCCTGCTCCCTGTTGGTCAGGTGTATGTTCATGCAGTTTGGTAACCATTCGAGTTTTAATGTGTTTTTCTTGTCTCCTCATCTAGGTCAGGAGGATTTGCTAGCTTTCCAGTCCATTGAGAGTTCTTGACAAACATTTTAATGCATTTTGTCACATTGCGATATTTTTTCAAAAAAATTAAATAATTCTTTTATTACAGACATTTTCATGTCTTAAAATTGCATCACAACATTTACTCGATTCGGTATTCATTCGATTATGAGAACGGTCATTTTTAACCAAGCATATAATCAGGCAAAACAAATTATAGCTGGTTCACTTAAAAGCATGTCCTCACATACCTATCAGAAATATTATACGCCTTATACTGTTATTGTACTATGTATAATGCATGAATAACTAACCTTACACATTTACACTATCTGTTCTTACTACAAATAATTTCCCCCCAACAAATATTTCTGGAAATCTCTAAGCAAATGAATTAAACAGGTAAATGTAGCATCTGCTATTTTCCCTTCTTCTCTGGGTCCAGGACTTTGCTTATTGCTGTATTGTTACTTCATTAGCAATCTGGGAGTGAAAAGATTTAAATTCATGAGCTCCAGTGGCCACACAAAGTAGAGGTTAAAAAATGTCTTGCTCATGATAGAATAGGTGGATTGAAAGACATCATACTTTTTTCCGGCCGGGAGCAGTGGCTCAAGCCTGTAATCTCAGCACTTTGGGAGGCCAAGGCAGGTGGATCACGAGGTCAGCAGATCGAGACCATCCTGGCTAACACAGTGAAAAACCCAATCTCTACTAAAAAATAGAAAAAAATAGCCGGGCGTGGTGGTGGGCGCCTGTAGTCCCAGCTACTCAGGAGGCTGAGGCAAGAGAATGGCGTGAACTCGGGAGGCGGAGCTTGCAGTGAGCCGAGATTGCGCCACCGCACTCCAGCCTGGGAGACAGAGCAAGACTACGTCTCAAAAAAAAAAAAAAAAAAAAAAAAAAAGAAAGAAAGAAAGAAAGAAAGATAGCATACTTTTTTTCAATGCTGATTTTTATAAGGTAGCCATTATTTCCCCCAATGCTCCTCCAAGTGGTCTTATGCTAAAATAGAAAAACGTTGCAGAGGAAGAAGAGTATAGAGATTGGAAACCACCCACACCCAAACAAGTTACTGTCGACTTTTAGCAAGACTTTACTATTCCCTTGACTTCATCAACAGGGCTTTACTATTCCAGGAAACTCTGGCCCACAAAGATAAAAGCTGCAGATAACTTCACTGTTTATTTCAGAGACTTCTCCAAAATCCCACTTAATTTATTATCAGACTGCCCAACTTTTCAATAAATAGCATCAAATGACTGTTAACTCTCCGAGACTCTTGGAAATCCTACCCACCCATTTTTAATTAGTATGATTTTCACCCAATATTAACCCTTATACCATACCCCCAAATCTCATAAATACTCCGACTTTTTCTTCTCTTCTCCTTGATTTTACGAGCAATAAGCTTGGGTTTGCCTTATCATCAGGTATTTTAATGGTATTGTTCAAGGAACCAGCATTAAAACTCCAACACACCAGACCCATCAACGACTTAGTTAATATTTTTACCAACAAGCTGTTTTCCAAGCTCGATTTCACCAAAGTTTCTTCCTCTATTTCCATTCGTTTGGTTCTTTCCTGCCGTGATGGGAAGTTGTTTCGAATTGGATTCCAACTCTGAAGCTTCCTACGCCTGCCCACGTTTCTGGTCCATGATGGCTCTCATTTCCATTTTAGATAGCATTTTTATTTTCCTCAGCTTTAACTTCTACTGAAAAAAGTTGCTTAGTCACAGAGTAAACCTAATTTTGGCCTCATCCCACAGATACTTCAGCCACACATTACTCACTGTTTTCATTTCCAGAATGTAAATCACAAATACAAAGGAACGCTCATCTCTGGACCCTTAGCAGAATCCAGTGTTGTGATGCACAAGTCCAGCTTAGCAGGTTTATCCAAAGCCAAATCCCTCTGAAGGGAGAAATCCAACCCACAGCAGTTCTTATGCAAATGTTAAATGCTTTAAATATTTTATTTTAAAGTTTCTTGTAAAAATTGTACCTCATTAGTCCAAAGTGTTTTTGAAAAAGTACAATATAGATCCCAGAGAGGGCTTGGGTTCAGCCTTGGGGAATAGTGAGGAACAAGCTCAACATAGTGTCTTCACCATGGAGCTCAGTCTAATGATAAGCAGCCATGAAGCAAGCATTGTAAAAACAATTGCTTGCATTGCAATTGTGCAAAGTTCTGTGGAGGGGAAATACAGAGGACTGCAAGAGTATGTCACAGGGAACATTGTGGAAGACAGTGTGGTGATTCCTCAAGGATCTAGAACCAGAAATACCTTTTGACCCAGCAATCCCATTACTGGGTATATACCCAAAGGATCATAAATCATTCAACTGTAAAGACACATGCACACGTATATTTACTGCAGCACTATTCACAATAGCAAAGACTTGGAACCAACCTAAACGCCCATCAGTGATAGAAAGGATAAAGAAATATGGCACATATACACCATGGAATATGACGCAGCCATAAAAAAGAATGAGTTCATGTCCTTTGCAGGGATGTGGATGAAGCTGGAAACCACCATTCTCAGCAAACAAACACAGGAACAGAAAACCAAACGCCCCATGTTCTCACTCATAAGTGGGAATTGAACAATGAGAACACATGGACACAGGGAGGGGAACATCAAAAACCGGGGTTGGGGGGTTGGGGGCAAGGGGAGGGAGAGCATCAGGACAAATACCTAATGCATGTGGGGCTTAAAACCTAGATGACGGATTGACAGGTGCAGCCAACCATCATGGCACATGTATACCCATGTAACAAACCTGCACATTCTGCACATGTATCCCAGAACTTAAAGTAAAATTAAAAAAAAAAAAAAAGAGCACGTAACAGGGGAACCTAGACAAAACTGGGAAGCTGGGGAATCTTGTTCTACGAAAGTGATCTTTAACTGAGACTTAAAATTATTTCACCCTATTTGTCTCCACAAGGAGCTGTTGAATATTAATGACATTAACTAAAAGAACAAAACCTTTAAAAGGTAAACATTAGCTGTTTTGGTTTGGTTTGGTTTGGTCAAGATATGTGATATGATAAAAAATTTGCAGACTCTCTGAGAAAAAAGAGAAATTTGCCATGTTGTAAATTGACAGGTGAGGCTGATTATATGGGTTACTAAAGCTAAATGTGTCCAGTTATTACCGATGACTGCTTTTGGATTTTTATTTGCTTGTTTGCCAATATAGATATTTATATATACATGCAAGACATATTGTGGTAATACTCAAGTTTCAGTCCAAAGTTTTCTGTTCATCGTCTGAAGTATTATAAAATTAAGTTTAGAAAGTAAAATAAGACTTAGTAATTCCTTCTAATTTTTGTTTATCTGAAAAATAGTTTATTCAATTTTATTTATAATATTTTTACCTTTCATATACTGTTTTCCTTTTACTTATATTGGAGAGAAAATGTCACAAGATGACAGGGCTCTAGAACTTCTTGGAGAGGTTAGACAGATTGTATTATATCTGTTTAGAAAGCATAAATGAGAATTCATGAATATAAATTAGTGTTTTATTTTTTCTAGTGTCACACAGAATAAATCAATTGCCTGACAAGTGACAGTGATATAAACAGTAAAACATCTCCTCATTTCTATGCAAAAATACAGACTTAATAAGATAAATAAAAGAAGTATTGAAAATAAAAAGACAAATATTCTTTTATGTCTCTTAGAGATGCAGGTGAGGATGGGTAACAGAGGAGGAGGGTTTCATAACTGTGTGATTCCCAGCTTACTATGGAAATCCAGCAATGCTCCTATTCAAGCCTGGCTTAGAGACAGTGGGTTTCACAAATATTTTGAAAGCCAAATTATTAAAATATTATTTTTGCTGAGTCAATCTTATAATTCCCACCCACATCAGGCAAGCAATATGACAGAAAAGAAGGAGGGAGGTAGGGAAGGAAGGAGGGAAGGAAGGAGGAAGGGAGGGAAGGAACAAAAAAGGGAGAGAGGGAGGGAGGAAGGGAGGGAGGGAAGGAAGGAAAGAAGGGAGGGAGGGGGAAGGAAAGAAGGAAGGAAGGGAGGGAGGAAGGAAGGAAGGAAGGAAGGAACCCTGTCACCTTTGCTGCACAGACACACAGACTCAGTATTCTGTTGAACAAAGCAAGTTGCCCAAAATTCATGTTGCAGTGGAGCTGATTTCTGTCTAACAAAAATGAGGATATTACAAGGATATCCTGAAAAAACTGGGGAATAACTGGAAAGTCATTCTATGGACACTCAAAACCACACAAGCTGTAGATTTTTGGGGCCCTTGAAGGAGAATCTGGAAAGGAGGAAGACTGGGGGTTTGGTGCCTATATCACCTTATTTTTAATCACATTTGAATATTAGAAGTTTTCATGTTTTTAATTATTTCTCAACTCACCTCTTTCCTTTCCCCTGTCTTCTCTGTACAGCTACATCTTCTCTAGAGTCATCTCATTAAAAAGGAAGATAAAGGACACTAATTCCAGATTTAGCTACCTTTAATTAAAACTTTTCTGCAAAAGGGCCTCTTAATGGCCACAGAAGCATGTGGAACCCAGAGCGCTATATCTTAAAGTTGATCAAACTGATTCTGTATGAAGTTTCTCATCTTGGTACTATAATAAAATATTTTCTCTCAGGCCTTACAATGGAAGTGCTCTCTGCAGTCAGTAATATGTCTCTCTGTTTAACTGGCCTTTTTCTTTGTTTCTTTGGATTTCCAGTTCAGGAATAAAATAACCTGTTGACAAAGAGTCAAATTCTGTAAAACATTTGAAGAGATTTATTCTGAACAAAATATGAGTGCTCACGGCTAGTGACACAGCCCTCAGGGGGTCGTGAGAACATGTGCCCACGGTAGTTGCGGTACAGCGTGGTTTTATGTATTTTAGGAAGGCATGAGACATCAGTCAAATACATTTAAGAATTACATTAGTTTGGTTTAGAAAGGCAGGACAACTCAAAGCAGGGGCTTCCAGGCTATTGGTCAATTTAAACATTTTGTGGTTGACAATTGGTTGAGGTTGTCTGAAGACCTGGGATCTATAGAAAGGAATATTCAGGTTAAAGATAAAGGCTTGTGGACACCAAGTTTTATTGTGCAGAGGAAGCTCTTAGGTAACAGGCTTTAGAGAGAGCAAGTTGTAAATTGTTTTTCATCGGACTTAAAAGGGTGCCTGGCTTTTAGCTGATTATCTCCTGGATCTGGGAAGGGAGGAAGGAGAACAAAGGGGGAAGGGGATTCTCTATAGAATGTGGATTTTTCTAAGAGATGTTGCAGGGCAATTTTAAAGTATGGCAAGGAAATATATTTTGGAGTTAAATTTTTTTTTTCCTTGTCTCATAATGTTATGCCAGAGTCAGACTGAAAAGTAAGCCACAATATACAGGGCGAAATAAAACCCATCTGATGAGAATTTATAGTTTGTAGGGCATGACTCCCTAGACCCCTTAGGTAGGAATTTGGGTAAGATAAAAAATCAGAGCTTAGTCCTCAATTTCCCAATCAGATACATTACCTCAACTTTAACATCTTCTATTTTTAAAGTTTGAATAACATTTTGCACATGAATGCTAATGAAGCTTTTTTTTTTTAAGAAAACACTAAATTGAACTCCGAGAAATTAAAAGAAACAATTTCAAAATGCCAAGATAATTCCTTTATCTCTTAACTGCTGCAATAGTTTAAAATGAGAGCCAAACAATTTTATCAAGGGACAAGGTTTTCATCAGAAAAGGCTAGGTCCTCAACCCTGTCCAGGATCTCAGCCAGCTTCTGGGAAACGTGACTGAATATGTTTCAAACATTCTCACCTTTGTCAGAGTTCCCATAGTTCTTGAGGTGTGCTTGCAGCTACAAAGATAGATATGTCATTTTACAACGACACGTAAATGATGGTAAGCTTAACTCATTGCCCTGGAGCTGTATGGTTAGACCCCCATTTCAAAGTTCATTGCCTTTTTTTTTCTTTTCTTCTTAAGATTCTACAAAGATCTTATCATAACAAATGAATTAAGTTCGATATTTGCCTCTAATAAATTAGTTATTGTTCTGTCACAGAATATAAAGGAATAGAGTAAATCCATGCTTCTGAACCAGTAGCCACAGACACATGTTGCTATTTAAATTTGAATGTATGTGAAATAAAATTAAATTAAGTTAAAAATTCAGCTCCTCAGCCACACTAGCTACATTTCAAGTGCTCAATAACCATATGTGACTAGTGGCTTTTGAATTGGCCAGTACAGAAATAGAGCATCCCCATCTTTGAAAAAAGTTACATTGGACAGTGCTGCACTAAATGATTAAAGAAATTAGGAAATTAATTAGTGTCTTAACTGGGCTAAGATTCTTTTCCATAGTTGTTGGATTTTTTGTTTTTGTTTTTTGAGGCAGGGTCTCACTCTGATGGCCAGGCTGGAGTACAGTGGTGCTACCTTGGCTCACTACAATCTCTGCCTCCAGGGCTCAACTGATCCTCCCATCTCTGCCTCCCAAGTAGCTGGGACTACAGGCATGCACTACCATGCTCAGCTAATTTTTGTATTGTTTTTAGAGGCATGGTTTCACCATGTTGCCCAGCTGGTCTCAAACTCTTGAGCTCAAACAAATCACCTGTCTGCCTCCCAAAGTGCTGGGATTACAGATGTGAGCTGCCATACTTGGCCTCAATGTATTTTTTAACTTTTCACTTCCTTTAGAATAAAGGCATGCTCTTGCAACCATATAGCTAGACTAGTGTCCAACTTCAGAGTTTAATTCAGTGTCCATTAAGGAGTTTATCAGGCTACATGAGCAGACATAGAAAGATGTCGTTCAAAGAAGGACCAGTTGAATCAGGCTGTTGATCTGGAAGATGCAGGAAATCAGGTGATCAGTGGTCTTTTTCTGAAGCTGAAACCATGGAACAAGTCAGAGGACAGATCGTTAGTGTTGGATGTAGATCACAATGGAAGTTAAAGGCAAAATGCAGATGCTGGCAAAGGAGCACAGAAGGATTCACAGATAACAGTTAGAGCTCACTGTCAGAGAGTAGTGATTACTGACAAATGAGGGCAAGTTGTACAGTCCAGACCATGTCAGCAGACCCCATCTTCCTTTGAAATAGACACTAGAATTTCTAGGTCAACTACTCCTTGGATCAAAGGGTCATGGTCATGCCAAGCTGAGAATAGACTGAACTAAGTACAATTAAAAAAAAAAAATCTAATATCTGTGAAAAGATGGCCCTTCTGGACCTTTGCATTTGAACTCTCTTCTAGTTTGTTCCCACCCTGTCCTCACAGACTCTTCTAATCACTAGTTGCCGTGTTCAATATGCTAATTTTTACCTGAAAAAAACCCTAGCTCTCTCAATTGTTTATTGTAATGAGACCATACAGCAGACACATACATATACATACACACACACACACAGATACATATATATATATATATATATATATATATATATATATATATATATGGCATTGGTTCAGGGCTATTGTGCTATTGCTCTTTTCTCAGCGATGTTGCATTTTGCCCTTGGATGCTGAGTTAAATAAAAGTAGAGGTCATCTCATTGACTGTTTCTATGGCTTTGTTAAAAAATAAACTTAGCCACATTAAAATTTTAAAGTTTGTTTGAGCAGTGATTCATGAATTGGGCAGCTCCAGACAGCAGGTGGTTGGGCTCCTTCAGGGGGTTGTGAGGAAAAACTTTTATACTGTATTCCCAGAAGAAACAGAAATATATATTGAGTTTGTTAAAGTGGAAAGTTGCTAATTAACAAAGAAAATATATTGGATTGGTTAAAGTGGAAAGTTGCTACTTAGATGTTAGTTTGGTGGTTTCTGAGCTTAAGTGCTGTTTTACTGTTTACATTGAGCTGGGCTTTCGTTTGCTTATGTAGGAATTCAAAGCAGTGGAGCCATTTCAGCCTAATGACCTCCCAATTAATTCTTTTTAACAGTTCCCATTGGTTTGTTGATGAGGCATCTATTTTAAAAAAAAGTATTTACTCTTTAAGAGAATAATAATTTTTGTCCTTGTGAGTTTTTCAGAAATATAGATCAACTTGAATTCCCCAAATTCCAAATAGAGATTTCAATCTTCTCAACTACTCACAACTTTTTTAAAAAGCTTTTTTAAATAGCCAGACATTTTACTATATGTTTCTATGAATACTCGATGAAACAGAAGAGAAGCATCCAAGATTTAAAAGAAAAGGAAATGGTCAAATTCAGGTAGGACCATTCTAAGCATAAGAGGCCTGGAGTGATCCACTCAGTAATGCCCCCACACCAAAGCTATTTTTGTGTAGACTCCAAAGATCTTGCTTTATTCTGATTTTTCTGGACAACTTCTACATTTTTATCAGTATTTTCCTCTGCAGTTCTTCGCCACTCTCCTCAAATTTGATGGCAGGAATCAATTATTTGCTAAGCTAATCCAATTGTTTTGCATTTTTATTTCCAGGAGTAATTTTGAAACTATTTCCATCTTTCCTATTTAGCCTTCCTTTTCTTTTTGTGACCTCATAGGTCACAGGATAGACTGTTATTGGTTGAGTTTATGTGTTGAATTGTGATGTTTCCTAAAATTAAGCCCAGTACTTGTGAGTGTGGCCTTATTTGGAAACAGAGTCTTTAAAGATATAACCAAATGAAGATAAGGTCATACTGGATTAGTGCTTTGGTCTGAATTATGTGTCTCTTCAAAATTCGTATGTTGAAATCTTAATCTCTAAGTAATGGTATTAGGAGGTGGGTTTTCGTAGAGCTGATTTAAGTCATGAGGGCAGAGCCCTTATGAATAGGATTAGTGCTCTTATAGTATAGACCTAAGATAACTCATTCACCCTTCCCAGCATGTGAGAACACAGCAAGAAGTCACATCTATGAATCAGCAATGAGCCCTCACCAGACACTTAATCTGCTGGCACCTTGCTCTTGGACTCCCCAGTTCTCAAGAACTGGGAGAAATAAATTTCTATTGTTTATAAACTACCCAGCCTCTGGTGTTTTGGTTTTGCAGCATGAATGGACTAAGTCAATTGAGTGGGTGCCAATCCAATGACTGGTATGCTTATAAAAGGAGAGAAATTTTGATATAGACACACACACACACAAAAGGACCCCAAAAAGAAGAGAATAAGCAGACATGACCCTTGGACTAACTTGAGCTAATAAAGCATCCCTAGGGTTGCCGTTGTTATCACAAGAGAAAGATCTCAGACATAGAAAAGAAATACTCTTACAACATGTAGGATGATGAAGGCAGAGATTGGAGTGGTGCATTTACAAGCTAAGAAGCACCAAGTATTGTGAGCAACCATAAGAAGCTAGGAAGAAGTGTATTAGTTCATTTTTACACTGCTGATAAAGACATACCTGAGACTGCATAATTTATAAAGAAAAAGAGGCTTAATGGACTCACAGTTCCACGTATCTGGGGAGGTCTCACAATCATGGTGGAAGCTGAAAGGCACATCTTACATGGAGGCAGGCAAGAGAGAGAATGAGAAAAAAAGTGAAAGTTGTTTCCCCCTATAAAACCATCAGATCTTGCGAGACTTATTCACTACCATGAGAACAGTATGGGGGAAACCAACCCAATGATTCAATTATCTCCCACTGGGTCACTCCCACGACAGGTGGGAATTATGGGAGCTACAATTCAAGATGAGATTTTGGTGGGGACACAGCCAAACAATATCAAGAGGCAAGGAAGGATCCTTGCCTAGAGCCTTCATGGAGAACATAGCCCTGCCAACACCATGACTTGAGGCTTCTAGCCCCCAGAACTGTGAGACAATAAATTCCTATTGCTCTAAGCCATCTGATTTGTGATAATTACAGGAGCCTTGGGAAACAAATACACCCAAGTACATGTTACACTTCATTCCCATTTTTGGAAGTGCGTCAGCAGAGAATACATCTTAAAAGGGACCCAGGGATTGCACCATTTTACTGGAGTACCAGGTCAGTGTTGAGGTACATGCTCCATTTAAGGCAGACTACTTTGCAATAGACAACATAGATGTTAGGTTGGCAGGACTAGCTGAGTTTTAGTGATCCCATATGGTAGCAATATAGTGACAAACGTAACAGTAAACAGGCCTTATCCTTGGACTATCTTGGGCTAAAAAAGCATCCCTGGAATTGCTGTGATTATCACAAGAAAAAGATCTCAGACAGAGAAAAGAAATACTCTAGCAACAGGTAGAATGGGAGTTTAACATCATCTGATGTAAACAAAAAAAGAGAATATGAAGTTATTTGGTATCCCAGCCTAGTAAAGCAAGAAGTATTGGCTGCAGGAACAAATTCTCTCCTAACTAATGCGCTGCAAGCCTGGGTGTTAAGCCCACCCCAGGGACATGGGGAGAGGATGTGGACTTTACTTTTCTTTAGGATCAAAAGGAGTAGGAACAGAGCTAGAGGCCATTATCCTAAGTGAATTAACACAGGAGTAGAAAACCAAATACTGCATGTTCTCTCTTATGAGGAGCTAAACATTGAATACACATGGACACAAAGAAGTGAAGAACAGACATGGAGAACTACTTGAGGGCAGAGGGTGGGAGGAGGGAGAGGATGGAAAAACTACCCATCGAGTACGATGCTTGTTACCTAGGTAATGAAATAATCTGTACAACAAACACTGACAAAATGCTATTTGCCTACGGAACGAACCTGCCCATTTACCCCCGAACCTAAAATAAAAGTTGAGGGAAAAAAGGAGTAAGAACAAAAAGCCAATATAAAGATGCTGTTTTAACTTAGGCTAACAGTCATATTTCACTTTCTCTACATGTAATATTTATGAGGAAGTATATAATTAATATATTCAAATCATTCCATAATAGCTGTATCAAAACAGTTGTTCTCTGGTAGCTACAATCCTGACCTAGATGCCTGCATCACCATCTGTCACTCAGGACTGGGCCCCTAGAATGCAGGTACTTGGGACATTAGGAGGCCTTCCAAGTGAGCAACATGACTCTGGAGATACTCCTGGGAATTCAAAAAGGAATGTTATCCTATGGGCATCAAACTAGACCTCCCCATCTACCCCACCTTCAAAGTCAGAACCAGCCTCTGTGGTCTTCCATTAAGGTCCTTGGTTTTCTGCAACATTCTAGTTCTCCGCAGGATTGGAGACCAGCCCCGAGGGCTCAGTTAGCAGGCTTGTGGGGCTGAGGCACTTGGGCCTTTCTTCTTCCTGCTTATCTCTATGAGAACACTTCTCACAGTTCCCTGCATCGGCTTGCGCCATCTTTCATTGTTAAGAACAAGGCAGGCTCTACTAACCCTGAAAAGAACTCTTCACAAAGGGAGTGGAAGCTATGCAACAGCCTCACTCCCAGGGCTGTGACACCTGAGTAGGAATTCCAGGTTGCCACACATTCATAGACTTGGACTCCTGGTCCCTTCCCATGAGTGAGGAAGGAAGCAAGCAGCTTTGCTGTCTTAATCAGATCCATACCCTGCCACCCAACATTCTGCCTCAGCCCACAGTCTGGTCCTGTTTCGCTTGTTTCTTCCCTAGAGGTTCTCCCATAATATAGCACAGCAGGGGGTCCACCATTAGTAAAAATGACAGGGATCTATTCTATATGTGGAAATTATTGTTTAAATTAAACTATGTGTTTTGAAGGTATTTTATTAATGCTGATATTTCTCTATTGTTTTAGGAGTTGAAGAAAAGTGTTCATGATTAAGCATGCAAAGCCACCAATGAAATCTTGTACCTCCAAAGAGCTAACAGTTTCTTTTATTTAATGCGCTGAGATCTTAAAAAAAAAATCTGCAATGTTTTTGGCCAGAAAATTACTCATTCAAACTAAAGTGACAACAAGAATTGCTTTTGCCCTGGAAATATTATTGCCATACTGAGGGATGATATTTGATATTTCATGTGCCACTCATATGCTTGAGTAGTTTTTAGAATATAAAAATATTAATCTTTCCTATTGTGATGTTACATCAACTTGCTCTACACAAGTCTCCCAATTCCAAGGTATAGTAATGTAAAACTACATGGAGATTATTTGAGACATCTGAAACCTCCAAAAATATCTCTACTACAATTCAAAACTCTTCTATGAGATTCTTCTACAAAGCTTCTATAAAATTTCAGCTGCCTATCCAATGCATTATATTTTACTTTTATTCTAGACTACTGGCTATTTTACTTATTCTTCACCTTCTTTTTCCTAGGCTTCAATATCTGGATACTATTTCAGGTATAAAATATTTTTGTTGCTAATGTGGTCAAATAAGATAACTTTTTCTTTAAAAAAATACACCTGGCCATCATCATAATAGGGTAAACTTTCCTGTTACACAATGACAGAATATTTCTGGCAGAAGTTCTGGTTAAATTAATCACTATTTTCTGCACAACAAAATCAGAAGTGATATTTCTGAATCCCTCTCAATTGCACTTCCAAGAACTTGACCCCATACTTCTTGTAAGCAATGTTCAGAGCACAGGGTATGACTACTGTTATGTAAAGGCTGACCTTAGTATCAAAGTAGAAGGTTAAGGAGTCATCCTCAGAAACTGAACCTAACAAACAGCATGATAAAATGGATGCTGGTTTCCTGTGGAATTCTTTCTAGAAAGGATCCTGTTCTAATAGATATTTTCTTTTAAAAGTATTGCTGATGAGAATAGGGTGTCTTCCAAAATCCATATGCTAAGACTTTTATACAATAAATACAAAGAAAGCTAAGCTTAACTATTTGATACGTGACTGCCATTAGATAAAGTTGGAGTAATAGGTTCTTTTGCTAGAATGTTGAAAAGAACTAAGTTGGTTAAGTGAATACTAGTAAGTATTTACTGAACATCAGCCAAAAAAAAAAAAAAAAGAAAATTCTGAATTGTTGAAGCACCAGTATTCTGATCACTAGCATCTTTTTTTACTATCTTTTCTGACAACGTAAGAATATCTCTTAGGAAGAAATGGTCCTCAAAACAACCACCTTATGTTCCCTTCAGAGAAATGAGACATTAGCAGAGGGCATGAATATCAGCAGAGGGCATGAATATCAGCAAAGGACATTATAATTGATTTGCTTGAGAAAAGAAGTGTAATATGTGGTATTTGTGCCCAAAAGCAAATGGGAAAGATAAGTAAAGAAGAGTGAGAAAGGGAGGATGAAGAGAGGAGTAACGAAATCTCCAGGGATGGAATGGTCTAGATCTCCATTACACATGTTTTTCCCAGTGCTATTATGTGACCCTCTTCTCTCACTCATTTCCAAAAATCATTAATAAAGTCTACCAGGGCATTAACATTTTGTTTGAGAGTGTGTGTTTGTATGGGTAGGTGGGTGCTAAACTTGAAGAAGAGGATGAATTCCATACCTTGGTCATTGTGGTTCATAATCCAGGTTGCCAATGTGAACAAGAAAGAAAGAGGGAGGAAGAAAAGAAAGAAGGAAGGAGGGAGAGAGGGAGGGAGGGAGGGAAACAGGAAAGGAAAGGAAAGAAATACATTTAAAATAAAGTATCTATTAGATTAAGATTATTTCTAGAAAGAACTCCACAGGAGACCAGCATTCATTTTATCTGGCTGTTGTTAGATTCAATTTCTGAAAATGGCTCTTTAACCTTCCGCTTTGATACCAAGGGCAGCCTTTACATAACAGTACTCATACCCTGTGATCTGAATGTTGCTTACAAGAGGAATTTATTTAGTCAAGTTATTTGGGAGTGCAATTGAGAGGAGAGAGGAGGTAAAAGGAAGGGAGAAGAAGGCAAAGGGGAAGGGTGGGAGAGGGGAGGGGAGGAGGGGAGAGGAGAAGGAAAAGGGAAAAGGGAAAGGGAAATAAAAAAAGGAGAAGGAAAATAAAGGAGAGGAAAGGAGAAAGAGGAAAGGAGAGAAAGGAATTCAGAGAAATCTTGGGGTGTGACTTCCATAGGCTGAGAAACTGTGACAGGGTCCTGGGCTAATGTTATTTAGATCTCAAAATACAGGTGGCCCCAGCAGATACCTCACTGGCCTTAGGAAGAGATGCTCTTTGTGAGGTTCAGTTACTTTCCTAAACTTTTCTAGAATCTCATTATTATTATTTTACCGTCTCTTGCCGTGATGCTGACAGACCCTGCCTTGCCTCCCTGCCTTCATCTTTGACAGTTGCCCAAAGTTAGCCACATTGATGAGGAGGAAGGGTAACAACTTTGTTTCCATCACACAGCGGGAATTGGAATTCAATGTCAGAACTTGGAACAGAAGCACCAGGGACTACCCTTCCCTAATAAGGGATGGCTCAGTGCACAGAGCTCCTTCTGAAAGTACCCTGGCTCCTCCGTTCCATGTTGCCACTCCTCCTCTGTCACTGGAACCAGACTCTGAACCCAACGCCATTTTATCACAGCCATGGTTTAATGTCTTGAGAGTTCCATTTTGTGAGTTAAAGGAAACTACATTCTAGGATTTTCTACAATGAAAGTCCTTCTGATACTGCAATGATCCAACCACCAAATTGAGACACCTGGTAATGCCCTAGCCTGATGAGTACCTAGACAGCTACTTCTCTGGGGCCCTGCTTCCTGGGGCACGCAGCTATAATTGCTGGAGTCAGCCTTAGCAGCCTGTGATGTTTTCCCCAGCCAGTATCCCTTGCCCTTGAGCTGAGTATTCTAGAGTCAAACTAACCTGATGACATAATATTATCTTCATTTCTCATGGAAAATTCCAGGTTAGAGCTGTTAAGAAGTTGCTCAAGGTTATCTACCCAAATGAAGTTCTCAGAAACTCTTTTGTCTAAATCTAGACCATATGTTCTCTCCACATTGCCACCCAGCCTTCCATTATTTATATTCTGAACTATTCCACAAAGAATTTGAGGCTTTAAAAATTAATAACTGAATTCTAAATTATAAGTAATCCTCCTGTGCATTTGGATAACATAAATAAATTCCACTGAGATTTATCCTCATAAGAAGCTGGTCCTCAGTATTACAGATCCAGAAACTAGACCAATGGTGAATTCACCAAAATGCCAGCCCTCTCCATAAGGCTACCTGAAACAACCCTGTGGTCTTTCCCAAGTATGGGAACTACCGAGGAAACAGCTGGGCCTTCACAGGTGTCACCGCAGATACTGGGGGTGATGCCACATATAAGACTGTTTAGCATTGAGACTTGAGATCCAGTTGCAATTATCCTCAGCTCTTGACAAGTCACCTTAACAGCAAATAGAGTTTAACGATCAAACCTTATCTTTAAGCTCAGAACAGCTGCACCGGGATGAGTTGAATGAGTCAGTCCTCCCAACACATTCTCATCTTAACCTGCCTTATTGCAGCGCTACCCAGCTGTTAGCACTGAGATACCGCCATAACTCTCCTCATATTTTTTTGGCTGGATCTTGATTTTTGGGAGCCCAGTGGGTATTTTATGCCCAGTTTCCTATTTTCAAAGTGATTATTGCTGGGTGCTCATTAAAGAAAATTTTGAAATGTTCTTCCTTTTTGGTGGGCCCATTTTATTGGTTTTCTACCCTGAGAATGGCCTTTGGCAGCCTGGCTCCTGACATTATGCTTTAGCTGATTTAGCATCCCAAGCCAGTATGTCAATTCCACTAAAAAGAAGAGATATTTTTTCCAAAATGGCAAAGGGTTTCTTTACTCAGCCTGTTCTTCAGTGTCCCAGTGGTTGCGATCTCTGGATTTACAAATGAGTGAAAATGCCAGCACCAGCATTTACCAACTGTGTGGTCTTGGGCAAATTCCTTAATCTGTCTAAACCTAGTTCCTTGATCTGTCTACACCTAATTCCTTAATTCATTCTAAACCTCAGACTTATTCAACCCTGTGATGATTAAGAAAATGTATATAAAGGCACTTAGAATACCCTCCTATACATAATTAAGTGTCCAGAAAATACTATATTTATTAAAATTATTCATTCATTCATTACATAAAAAGTGAGAAAATGTGAATTACTCCTTGTAAGGTAGAGTAGAGAAAACCATTTGTGTATCCAAGATATTTACATGAGTTCATGGATTAGGGTGCCATTTAGCTTTAAGAGGTCTGTCTTCAACTTTTTCTCTATATGAATAATATATTTAGCAGGCAACTGACAGAGTAATCTCTCTAAAACTGAGCACTAATCTGGTTGCACACCGTTTAAAAGACATCAATGAATCATCATTGTCAAATAATTTAAACACATACTCTTTGTCTTGACACCCCCACCCTACCCCTACTTGAGACATTAACTATAGAGTCCATAATTGGTACTCATTAAGTCTCATTTTGCCTTCTTTTCCTTGAATATTATTGCCCAACTCAGCAATAACTCCCTCTACACTCCTCTGTGTAAGGACATTTCAGTGTTTCCTGAACACAACTAGCATTTCCCAGTTCCCTCTATTTCTCATCCTATCATCCTATCAGTCAAAACCCTGCTTTTCCTCCAAGCGCAGGTCAAATGTAAACTTGTTTATAAATCTTTGCCTGTAAATTCCTATTTGAGGGAGCTCTGCGTGTGTGTGTGTGTGTGTGTGTGTGTGTGTGTGTTTAGAATAACTTTATATTCTTGTATATTTTACTACAGTCCCAGAACAATCCAAACATTCCATACCACTTTGGAAATGCTAGAAAATTCATATGCCACCTGTGAAAATGATGCTGGGAGGATGATCTATTAGGAATCTAACACCCTTCCAACCTTAGGACTTAGGCTTGGAGGTGTGAAAGAAAGAGCGTAGGCTTCAAGGTTCAGCAGACCTGGGTTTGAATCTTATCTCTAGTATTTAATAATTATTTGGCCATGGACAATTAGTGAATGTCTATGAGAATTAATCTGCTCTAATAGGATCATTAATACCCACTTTCGAGGTTTTGTTCTGCAGATTCTAAATAATATAAATGAATTTCAGTGCCTAGTAAAAAGTGTAAGCTAAGTAAATGGCAAATTTTATCATTGTTTAGTCAACTGGCAAAAGTATTGACTCTGGTGGGTGAATTATTCAAGCCTAGTCCTTACTTAAGCCTGTTAAACTGCTCAAGAAGTCCATTGAATTTTCCTAAGATTTAGATGCCATGTTTCAGTCAGGGAATTCAGTTCAGTTATGCCTGCGTATCCAACCCAAAATGGTACCTTGCATTGAGAAGCCCAGTCAGATTCTTCCAGAGGAATATGAATTCCTTTCATGCATATAATAAACCACGAAGGGAATTGCTTTAACTCAGTGCCATATCCACATTTCCTTTTGAGAGAACAGAACTTAGTAAAAGATGAACTGATCCTATGTCTTATAATTTAAGTATCAATTGTAATTGAAAACGACTCATTTTGTAACTGAAAAATGTGAAGTGAAAGCATTAATGTGTGTATTTTGTCCAACATCTCAAACCTGTTTAATAACAGAACTAGATCTAGAAAACAGGTCTTCTAACCCCTAACACAGCATAACCCACATGAGACACATGAAAGGGCCCAGCATATCACTAGCATCCATTGTAAGTATTTTTTTTTTCTTTTCACCTATTCCAAGCTAAACCTCTACTAATTACAACGCCTCCAAACTTATTTCATTTGGCAAGTTTTTTGGGGGAGATCTAAAATGACGGTGATAAAGTGCTTTTTCCCATGCTGAAGTTATGTGCTGTTCATGCAATGGAACCAAGTTGGCTAATGATTGCAAATTGTTATTTTTTTTAGACGGAGTCTAGCTCTGTTGCCCAGGCTGGAGTGCAGTGGTGTCATCTCGGCTTGGCTCAGCTCACTGCAACCTCCACCTCCTGGGTTCAAGCAATTCTGTCTCAGCCTCCCGTGTGTAGCTGGGACTACAGGTGCACACCACCACACCTGGCTAATTTTTGTAGTTTTAGTAGAGATGGGGTTTCTCCATATTGGTCAGGCTGATCTCAAAGGAAATCTCTTCCTAGTGGGTAAGAAACAGGCATTCCTTCCTTTAGTGTAGAGAAAACTGAAGTACAAGGATAAAAGCTATGTCTAAAACATATCAAAACCTTTTAAACTTGCATCTGGATGTTTTTGACATCATGTAGAGTCGATCAAAGTAAAATTCTGCAAGTCTTAGAAAATCAAAGTAGATGAATAATGAAAAAGATCCAGAACTGCTGGGCCTCTTTTTTCATCACTTCATTAATTCAGCAGCAATGCTTCTGTATTCCTAATTGTTTCTAAGTATATCTATAGTTTTTTCTCAAAAATCTTTGGAAAATGTTTATCATCTTTAAAGTCAATAGACTGCTTCACAATTAACAAATTAAATTTATTCTTTTTTTCAGACAAAATGGCCAATTATGTTAGATTACAATTTCCTCATTGATGAACATTCCAGGATGCCATTTACCAGTACCCACATGCTTGTAAAAAAAAAAGAAAGTAATATTAGATCATTGGTGTTTGTGCAGTTTTTGATGAATTAGCATTTTAACTAGACATAATTCAGACTCGTATTTTAAAGCCTTCGTAGGGGTAATCCACATGTTTCTCAAAAACAAGGAAACCCTCTTCTTTAATATTTCTTAGGTCAAGATTAGGTGAGTCTGGGCAAATACAGTCTGCACACTAGAGAGGCCTCAGCCATTCTATCACAGACAACCACTGCTGCACTCTTTCTTCGAAGTTTACACCAACAAAAAGCAGAGATTGCTGTAGAAATTATAGGATTATTCTCAAGGTCTGTGAAGATCCAAAACCTAACTAGGTTAAAACTTTGTATGCAGATCTGATGTCTTCAATAGGAGTCAGCCCATCAGCAAAAGCCCTCCATTGATTGCTCAGCAAAAGCCCTCCATTGATTGCAGGGAGGAGAGCATGTGGCAGACACTCTCTTGCCTACTAAATACCCATTTTCCTTTATTGCTTACAATCAGAACCCCGATTGTTGCTGTAATATCAATGTTTCCAGATTAAAAACCAAAATCTCAGCCCACCTTGCAGGTGGGCATAGACAGTGACAACCTTGTAGCTAAAGATATGTAAGTGGAAGTCATGAAGTGTGACTTCTCAGAAAGTTAATTGAAAGCAGAATGACAAATGCCTTTGGCCCTTTGTTCTTTCCATTACTCTTGCATGGAACACTGATGTGATGCTAGAGATGGAGCAGCCATTTTTCAACCTTGAGGAGATATGATTATGAACAATCTAATCACAAGCTGAGTGGAAAGGTAGAAAAAGCCAGGCGCTCTGGGACATCAAGGGGCCACTTCACCAGTTCTCAACTTTCTATCTCATGCATTTGTTATTCTAGAAGATGAACAAAAACAAAAACAACTTTACAGGCTCTAGCTGGATACATCACAATAAATTGCATTTTCTGTTTTATGCCTTGGACTTAACTATTTTTCTCTTGAATGGGAACTTTATTTATCCTGTGGAGAAGAATATTGAAAAATAACATGGCTTCTTCATGGTGAAGTCATTTTATGACAGGAATAGAAATCTTAATTTATTGGCAGCACAGAGATTCCTATATTGATCATGGCTACCCTGGAAATGTCCACAACCCAGATTAAAATAAGAATTGTTTACTTACATCAGATCCAGCAACAGAACTGATTAAGTCAGCATCTGTTTTACTGCATCTATCGAAATGCTTTATATTTTAGACTGTTAACATGGCAAATAGCATTGATTGATTTTTCCAGTGTTAAATCAACCCTGTATTGCTGGTAAATTTCACATGGTTCTGATTCATCCTTCTTTTAGTATATAGTTGTATTTGATTTGTGAAAGTTTTTAAAAAATTTTGTATCTATCTTTATGAGAAATATTGATAAGTATTTCTCTCTCTTTTTGTATTGTCTTCAGTTTTGGTAGCAGGGTAATACTGGCCTCATGGAGTGATTTGGAGTCTTCTATTTTCAGGAGGGGTTAGTGCAGAATTAATATTATTTCTCCCTTAAATGTTTGTTAGAAATAACTAGTGACATTTTCCCGGCCTGGAGCAAGCTTTTGTAATTTGTATTTTACAAGAAACTTGTCTATTTCAGATAAGTAACAAATATATTTCCACAAAGTTGTTCATTTTATTTTCTTATCATCCTTCTAATGTTTGCACAATCTGTTGTGATGTCCTTTTAATCAGTCCTGTTATTGGTAGCCTAAATCTCTTTTATCTTCATCAGTCTTCCTATAGCTTTATAAATGTTTTTGAACTTACAAATAACTAATTTTGGGTTTATTGATATTCTATATTCTTTTTGTTTTCTACATCATTGATTATTCCTCAGATTTATTAATTCCTTCTTTTGGTTTTGGGGATTAATTTGTTCTTCTTTTCTTAAGGTAGACACTTTTACTATTGAATTAAGCCTTTATTAATAAAGTATTTATTGCTATAAATTTTCCTCTAACCATGGCTTCAGCTGCATCTCACAAATTTTGTTATGTAGTGTTTTCATTTACTTCAAAACATTTTTCATTTTACTATATAAATTTTTTCTTTGACCCATGCTTTATTAAAAAATGTTTTATTTAATTAGCAAATATCTGGAGATTTTCCAAGCATGTTTCTGATGTCTATTTTCCATTTAATTCTGTTGTGATGAGAGAACATACTTCTTGAGATTTCAATCCTTTCAAACTTCTTCCATCTTGTTTTGGGCCCCCCAAAAATGTGCATTGTTGTTTGGGTGAAGTGTTCCATAAATGTCCATTAGATTAAATAGGTTGATTGTGTAGTCCAAGTCTAATGCATTCTTACTGGGTTTTTTTGTATGTGTCTTCCTCTTCTATTAGTTATTGAAATGGCATATTAAAATTTCCAAACATAATTGTATATTTGTCTCTTTTTTTTTGTTCTGTCTGTTTTTGCTTCAAGTACTTTGAAGCTCTCCTTTTAAGTGAATACACATTTGAGATTGTTATATCTTGATAATTTAACACCTTTTTAATAAGAAATGCCCCTTGTTATCCCTGGTAATATTCCTTGCTTTGAAATGTATTTAATTTTATATAGTCTTCTATTGATTAATATTTTATGGTACATAATTTTTCATCTTTTTTTCTATTAAACTACCTGCTTCTTATATTTAAACTGCATTTTTTTAACTTTTATTTTTACATTTAAGTGTACATGTGCAACATTGTTACATAGGTAAACTGTATGTCATGGGGGTTTGGTGCACAGATTATTTAGTCACCCAGGTAACAAGCATAGTACCCAACAGTATTTTTTAAATCCTCTCCCTCCTCCCCACCTCCACCCTCAAGTAAGCCCTGGTGTCCGGTGTTCCCCTCTCTGTGTCCATGTGTTCTTGTTGTTTAGCTTCCACCTGTAAGTGAGAACATGTGCTATTTGGTTTTCTGTTCCTGCATTAGTTTGCTTAGGATAATGGTCTTCAGCTCCATCCATGTTGCTGCAAAAGACATGATCTCCTTCTTTTTTATGGCTGTATAGTATTATATGATGTATATGTACCATATTTTCTTTTTCCAGTCTACTGTTGAAGGGCATTTAGGGTGATTCCACATCTTTGCTATTGCAAATAGTGTTTCAATAAAGAAACATGTGCATGTGTTTTTATGGTAGAATAAACTATATTCCTTTGGATATATACCCAATAATGAGATTCCTGGGTTGAATGGTAATTCTGTTTTAAGGTCTTTGAGAAATCATTATCCTGCTTTCCACAACGGCTAAACTAATTTACATGTCTACCAGCAGTGTATAAGTGTTCCCTTTTCTCTGCAATCTTATCAGCATGAGTTAATTTTTGACTTCTTAATAATGGCCGTTCTGACTGGTGTGAGATGATACCTCATTGTGGTTTTCATTTGCTTTTCTCTATTGATTAGTAATGTTGAGCATTTAGTTAATATGCTTTTTGGCCACATGTATATCTTCTTTTGAAAAATGCCTGTTCATGTCCTTTGTCCACTTTTTGGTGGGGTTTAAAAAATAATTTTTAAGGCCATATGTATTAGTTCACCCTCACACTGCTATAACTAACTACCTGGCCAGGTGTGGTGGTTCACACCTATAATCCCAGCACTTTGGGAGGCCAAGGTAGGTGGATCACCTGAGGTCAGGAGTTCAAGACCATCCTGGCCAACATGGTGAAACACTGTCTCTACTAAAAATACAAAAATTAACCAGGCATGGTGGCAGGCACCTGTAATCCCAGCTACTTGGGAAGCTGAGGCAGGAGAATCACTTGAACCCGGAAGGCTGAGGTTGCAGTGAGCCGACATCACACCATTGCACTCCAGCCTGGGCAACAAAAGTGAAACTCCATCTGAAGAAAAAAAAAAAAAAAAAGAACTACCTGAGACTGAGTAATTTATAAAGAAAAGAGGTTTAATTGACTGACAGTTCCACAGGCTGTACAGGAGGCATGGATGGGGAGGCCTCAGGAAACTTACAGTCATGGTGGAAGGGTGAAGGGGAAGCAAGCACATCTTCACATGTTGGCAGGAGACAGAGAGAGGGACAGGTGAAGTGCTACACACCTTCAAATAACTAGATCTTGTAAGAACTCTCTATCATAAGAATAACAAGAGATAAATCCACTCCCTTACAATCCAGTTGCCTCCCACTATGTCCCTCCCCCAACACTGAGGATTACAATTCAACATGAGATTTGGGGTGGGGACACAGAGCCAAACCATATCACCATATAATTGGATCTTGCTTTTATATCAGTCTGACAACCTCTGCCTTTTAGTTACACTGTTAATCCCTTATCTTAATAGAATTATTCATAAAGGAGGGCTTAAATTAACATCTGGTTATTTTTTATTGTCCCATCTAATTTTGAGGGTTTGTTCCCCCTTTTCCTGACATTTTGGTACTAATTGAGTGTTTTTTAATATTTCATTTTACATCCATTGTTGGTTTATTAGCCTAGCCTCTTTGTAGGTTTTTTTGATGGTAGCTTTAAGGTTTACAATCTATATTGTTAACTTGTACATTCAAGTAATATTGCATAACTTTATTTATAGTATGAGAACTTTACAACAGTATGCTTGTTGTAGTTCCATTTCTCTGCTTCTGGCCTTGGTGCTATTTTGTCACAGTTTTACTTTTACATATGTTAGAAATGCCAAAACATATTCTTTGCTTATAAAAGTCTATTATCTATTAAATTTCTCAAAAATATTTTCATAAGCTTTTAAATTTGCCCATAAGTTTACTCTTTCTGATGCTTTTTATTTCTTTGTGTAGTAAATTCAAACTTCCGGTGGTATTTTCTTTTTTCATGAAATATTTACTTTAACCTTTTTTGTAGTAAAGATCTGATGGTAATACATTCTCTTAGCTTTTATTTATCTGAAAAAGTCTTTATTTTGATTTTATTTTTGAAAAATATATTGTCTGGATATAGATTTAGTTTTCTTTTTCTTTTCACCACTTTAAAGATATTTATCATTTCTTCTTGCTTGGGTGGTTCCTGATGTCACATCTGCTGCCATTCCTCTGTACTTGACTTGTCTTCTATCCTCTGGGTGATTTTAACATTTTCTCTTCATCACTGATATCAGCAATATTACAACGATGTGCCTTGTGGTGGTTTTTTCATTTTTTTTTTCTGCTTTGGGTAATTTGGGAGTAACTTAGCTGCAATACTGAGACAATAGCTTCCTAAGAACTCTACCCAATGCCCTGTATATAAAAATATTTCTCCACTTTGACCACTGGAAATAATAACTATTTCTGATCCATTAATGAGCATTTAGGATTGTTCCGCCTGCTCCTTTCCGTGATTCTGTGATGCTTTCCCTTGAGTCAGGTAGTTTTCTTACCTGCAAGCCTACATCACTATTTCACCAAAGAGTTTAGAGGATCACTTTGTATCCTCTGAAGATACCTACCTCGATGTCAAATAGATAGGTAGACAGATGACAGAGGGATAGATAGATGATAGATAGATAGATAGATAGATCTAGATCAATATAGATATCATATATCTAAATATAGAGATAGAGATAGAGAGAGAAAGAGATAATAGAGATAGAGATATATGAAGTGTCTGTCTCTCTGTTGTGTTGTTCTGCCTCGCAATGCTAGCTTCCTTGGATTTCCAAACACCAAAATCTTTCTTCTTCCTTCAATAAGATCACTGGGCTCTAGCCATATTTGTTTAAATATGTTAATTTTATAGTTGTCACTTTCCTAATTTATTTTCTAATTTCCCTTACATTTCCAGCCTCTTCTTTTCAGGCCTTCAGGCCAACACAGTTCCAGTATTTTCCCCTTATGTCCTCAGTGTATGATTTTAAAAAATATGTAGCCGTAATCACAGTATGATGGAGTAAAGGGAAGTAACAATCTAAGCCTTCCAGGAATCAAGTTTCTGTATTCCAAAATTATCTATCCCTCTCCCTCCAACCAAAATCCCTCTTCCTTCTATAATAGATTAGAAAAAGTCTGGACCAAATACAGGAGGGCAGTAGTTAAGAGGGTAGGCTCTGGAATCAGATTCCCTACGTTCACAACCCGCCTCTGCTTCTCACAAGGTGTGTGACCAGGGCAAGTCACTTAGTTACTCTGACCTCAGTCTCTCTATTTGTAAAGTAGGACTAATTACAGGTACTGTTATAAGACACTGTATAGATTAAATAACATCATCCAGTTAAAGAATTTAGGACTGTGACTAGTGTAAGAAATGCTGTAATGATATTAGGTGTTAGTATTATTGCTCAGTATATAACTGATGAACCTCTTGGCACTTTCAAAAGACACTTTTATAGTTTTAGAGGGTGTTTATTAGTCCAGATAACTCCAAATTGGTCAAATATATGACTCTTTTTCCTTTGTATTATTCCACTTTCAAACAGCATGGATAGGGAACATTACATGGCAGGTCAATGTTTCCTGTATATCACTATGTTGAGTGTGGTCCCCAAGACCACAATCTAACTTGATGATTTGCTAGAGCGGCTAACAGGACACAGCGTATAATCCTGCTCATGGCTATGACTTATTACAGTGAAATGATACAAAGCAAAATCAGCAAAGCAAAAAGGCACTTGGAAAAATCCAGATGAAACCAAGCACAAGCTTCCAAGACTGGAGTCACACAGGACACATTAATTTCCCCATTTTTGAAATGGGACAACACGTATGTACTAGGCAGCCCATTGAAGATTCAGTGTCCAAGGCTTTTATTGTAATCTGGTAATAAAGGCATTCTCTGCCTAGCATGTACCAGAATTCCAGATTTCCTTAAAGAAAGCAGGTGTTCAGAATAAATTGTATTGTTCGTATAAATAACTTAGGGAGTAAGCACAGTGAGCCACTTGTTTCATTTAAGGAAGTTTTATTAGTGTAGAAAGCTGTTTGCCAGTCAAGTTCCCTGATACCAGACAAGGCTCAATCTTTCAGGCAGGACTTTCCAAGAAAAGGAGTGTCAGGTCTACCATGTTAATTCTTTTCTCACATAGTCTCCCTCTTCAAGCTTTTAAATCAACTTTTCAAGGCTTCCTGCCTAGCTTAAAAGTCTCCAAAACTTCCAATGGTTTCAATGCCAACAGGCTTTCTAATAGAAGGCAATGAAAGGGGAGAAAAGGTATAGTGTCTGGGATTATTGTCACTATTTTTTCATTATAATTCCAGATGAATACAATGTGTTTATGAACCATAAATTGCTGCAGATATATTGTATAATGCATTACTGTGTTAGGAGCAAGGTTTCAAGATAAGGCCTACTGAAATAAGATCATAACTGGTATTCAAGAATAATATTTTGGCTAGACAGCCTCTTTCTATCTCAATTGTATTAACTATCAGAACATGTTTATTTTTATAATTGATACTGGAAATAAAAATGTTTACTGCTCAGATGATGAGTGCACCAAAATCTAACAAATCACCACTGAAGAACTTACTCATGTAATCAAATAACACCTGTTCCCCAAAAACCTATGGAAATAAACAATTAAAAGAAATAAAAATGGTATTATGCTAATCACCTGAGGTTGAATATTTAGGCAAAATAACACCTTCATTTATTTACTTGTTAATACCACTACTTCAGAAATAAGTTTTTTCTTTACCTTATTGACATACAATGAAGAAAGATACTTATATAATACATATATTCATTATAGGATTAGATCTTTGTCCATAGCCCTGATAGTAATACATATCTCTCTCTTACTGATTAAAGATGGGAAAATTGTAAGGAGTCATCTTACGCAGCACACTGAGATCTGTAACTTAACTAATGATGTGCTAATTTGTATGATAATTTATCCCATGAAAATTCATTTAGAAAAAGAATATACATATTCTTGGATACAGCTGGAATCACATTCTGGTGGAATACAGTGACGTACCAACCTAGGTATTGACTTAGAAATCAATAACAACAACGCAAACCTTATTTTTAAACTTCATATGTATGGAAGTTTAAAACTTGCAAGTTTAAACAGTTCGTAAGTTCAACTCAAAGCTCAAATTATTAAAAACGCTCAACTAAATAATACGTTAGTCAACATACATACACACACGTGTGTGCATGTGTTTTAATTCCTAAAAATATTGTAAATTGATACAATAATCCTGTTTTGTTCTGCTGTATTTGGGTTTTACTTTCAGTAGCTTATATTTTAATTTTGTTCCACTTTCTTTAATTTCTAAGGTTCCTACTTTTTCAATATATGTTTTAAGGCTCTAATATTTCCTCTAAATACTATTCAAAACTTTGCCCTATTTCTCCCAATGTGTAGCATTTTCATTAGAGTTAAGTTTTGTCACTTTTATACTTTTCTTATGATTTCTTCTTTGACCTAAAAATTATTTAAATATCTGGTGAGTTTCACATTTTCATTCATATAAAGCAGTAAAATAAATTAGCGATTTCTAAATTAATTGCATTATGATCAGGACGTTTTGTCCAATTACACTAGTTCTTTTAAATTTATTGACACTTGCTTTTTACCTGAATATATGGTCAATTTCATCCTCAAATTGTACCTTTCAGAAATACTGACCTAGTTGCCATCCCCTGAAAGTGCCAAGCTCTCCCACATGGAATTCTTATTCTTTTGCTTGAAATCATAGACTCTTTTTTGAATGCATTCCTTCTCCTGGTTTACTCCTTATCAGCTTCTCTGACTCCTAATTGAATTAAATACACTTTCTTTATGTTCCCTTATACCTTGTGCTTACCTACTTTTATAACATCCATTTTTCATATCAAGTTTTCTTGTGTGTTGTATGTCCTACCACTTGCATCAGGATTACTTAAAATACTTCTGAAAAATACAGGTTTATGGCTTTACTTTTAGACCTATTGAATCAGAAGTAATTTAATTGTTTCAAGTAATCAGGCTCTATTAGAGCCCTGGAATCTACAAATTTATCAAATATTGCCAGTGATTTCTATAAACATTCAAGTTGAGGAACCACTAAGGTATGCTGTAATCATTTGTTTATTTCTATCTTCCTAATGTTGTTTGCTGACCTATTGTTTATGACTATAACCCCAGGAGCTAACAAAGACTCAATAAATGTAGACAAATAAAAGAAACAAGTGTGGTATAAATTATAAGTAATAAACCAGACAGTTGTGGCATCATTTAAGGAAAGGCTAATTGTTCAATCTAATATCAAGTCTGGGAAATTCTATCAGCTTTTAGTGCCCTGAATACAGTATTAACAGTTGTAGAGGGTTTTAACTGGTCAAATTCATTTAAATTTAAATTAATTTATTCACGACTTCATAGAGTCTCAGAATTGTAAGAGAACATTGAACATAAACAAGTCAATCCCTGAAATTATACAGATGTGTAATATGAGAATGAAAAGTAAAGTTGCTATCCCAAGATGTTTAGCAGGAAGATCACAAAACTGCGACCAGATTCTTCACAATTTGTTCATAAAAAAAAAAAAAAAAGGAAACTAATGTAGAATACTTTGGGAGAAACGGAAGCTGAAGTGAGGAACGGCAAGGAAATTTTACCTGGTTTGTCTTGGTTTGTTGAGATGTTAGATAGACCAAACTGTAGAACACAGATGAGAGAAAGAATCAAGCCAAAATCAGGCTGATTCACTAAGGGATACAAACAAACATTAATACAGAGAATCAAAGATAAAGAACACGTAAGAAAAAAATTTTCTAGTTTTTTAGGTTTTTCTGACATTTGCCTTCATGTCTAAACAATCAAATATGAATTATAATCAGATTAGCATTGCCTCCTACATTGGGACAATAAATTAATAACTAGCCAAAGAAAATACAATTGAAGCCCATGTTTTTCTTTGGTTCAGATTAATTTAAGTTACATATGGGCCCAGATTAATTTTACATGGCTCCAGGTAAACCAGTATACTGACTCAGTGAAGAAATTTTACCTCGTTAGGTATTTTTAATGTGTTTTTTTTTTTTTTTTTACTAATCTAGTTTCTATTTCTCTCTCGTCTCAAATATTCCACCAGGTGGCAGTAAATGCACCACCTATTTCTTAAAAAATGGCAACAACCTGCTGAATTATATCAAATTTATCACTAAGTATTTTGTAGGGTTAAATTTTCACTGGTAAAAGAAAAAATTTGGAGAAAAAAAAATGTGGGTTGGATATTTTGTGTGTTAAATTAAGGGTATAGTCATAAGACTAATTATGAAGAAAAAAATCAAAAGAAGAACTGAAATAGAGAATACAAAACACTGACCTTTGTAAAAAATCTATAAATTGAGCCAATAAAAGTGAAAAGGCCAAGTCAGCCACATGTTGAATATGTTTTAGTAAAGTTTTGCCCTTCTTTACTTAGTATTAGGTTGTCTTTGAATTAGTTTCAAAGATTTCACTTGTGGATATTTTCGCTTTTCCGTAGTCCAACGAGAACACTTCAAATAGATAACAAAAACCATTAAAATTAATGCGCATCTTCAATCTACTTGAACTGACTGAAACCAGTTGACAAAATTAAACTTCAATTCTACCCTGTATTACAGCAGCACATACAAATTTATTTCACTAAACTTATTCTGGGTCAATAGCTTCTAAAGCTGTCAAAATGTGCCTGTACAATCACACATTGCATCATTGGAATAATAGGATTCAGAGCAAAAGAGGGGATCGTTCAGTTCTTTAGTTTACATTGGTTAAAACACCCTGGGATGTTAGGCTTTGGGCCTATCACTTTAAGGTAATTGAAAAACTGAAGAGCATCTAAAGAATGGCAACCACACTCCATCTCTACTGGACATTTTCGGTGATGTCAGAATATAGCAGAAAGACCAGCAAGGAGAAATTATACTGAGAGGCCCACGTTAGTTCAATACAAAGCAGATGTTCTTTCACTGTCAGTTCTTACATTAAGAATTGAGATAGCAAGTCACTCCTCCTACTATAAACAACAGAAACTTGACATAAAACATAACTGAAAAAGAAAGTAAATATAAATAGGCCTGTAAGAAGAAAGAAAAATCTCCGTGGGACACAAATGAAAAAGAAAAGAATGCAACCTCAGGTGAAGTTGAGATAAGCTGGAGAATAGAAGTGTTAGACCCAGAAATTGGCCCTGACAGCCAATGGCTTTAACATTGAGGTGGTCATGAAATTTAAGATCTTGGGCTCCAAAGAGCCAGGGAGTTTGAACAGGATTCCTTGCATAAAGCAGACCCTTGGAAAAGCTACACCCTCAGTTAAAATGTGGCTAGAGAGAACTCTGCCCATCAATTCAGAGAGAAGTTTGTCTCTGCTCTGGTGGAAGAAAACTCCTCCAGAGCCCCAGCTACCCAGACTTCCCAATGAAAGACTGACTTTTCTCTCAGCTGATATTTCCCAGCAATGGTATTTACTGCCATTTGTACCATGCAACAGGTGAGTTGGTAAGCTTGTAACCATTTGTACCGTAGAAAGAAATCAAGTGAACAATAACTTGAGCAGTCTTAAAACTCTAATTAGAATCTGGCAAAGAGAGTCTTTAGATGGGATCCTTGAAACACATTCATAACTACACTTTCTAGTTTTTGTCACATCACACATCCCATAATATACAGAAGTTTTTCAAATTGTGTTAAACCTGTAACACTGCCAGAGTCAAAGCCTAACTTCTAAAGTAAAGGAAACAAAGCCAGGAGTCAATGGTCTGGAACATTTTTACTGTATCCTATTTTAAGCTGCACATGTTACCCTTTGTAAAAGGAGGAACCTGGCTTTCAGGCCTACCTTGCTTTTAACTAAAGGCACTTTGAAGTTATGGTAAGTAACTTATTATCTTCTGCTTCATCTAATTAATTATGCCATAGTTGTAAAAACACTAACAACAACAGCTCTCAGGTATTGAGTGAGAGCTTAGTATGTACCAAATGTACCAACAGCACTTTACATAGTTTTTTTTTTTTTTTTTTTTTGAGACTGAGTCTCATTCTGTCGCCCAGGCTGCAGTACAGGGGTGCGATCTCGGCTCACTGCAACCTCCACCTCCTGGGTTCAAGCAATTTTCCTGCCTCAGCCTCCTGAGTAGCTGGGACTACAAGCGCATGCCACCACACCCAGCCAATTTTTGTATTTTTTAGTAGAGATGGGGTTTCACCATGTTGGTAAGGCTAGTCTCAAACGCCTGACTTTGTGATCTGCCAGCCTTGGCATTAAAAATTGTATCCTCAGCCAGGCACAGGGGCTCACGCCTGTAATCCCAGCACTTTGGGAGGCCGAGACAGGTGGATCACCTGAGATCAGAAGTTTGAGACCAGCCTGCCCAACATGGTGGAACCCCATCTCTACTAAAATTCAAATCTCTACTAAATCTCTACAAAAATTAGCTGGGCATGGTGGCGCGCACCTATAGTCCCAGCTACTCGGGAGGCTGAGGCAGGAGAATTGCTTGAACCCAGGAGGTGGAGGTTGCAGTGAGCCAAGATCGCGCCATTGCAATCCAACCTGGGCAACAAGAGTGAAACTCCATCTCAAAAAAAAAAAAAAATTGTATCCTCAGAAAAACACTGTGAGGAAAGTATTATCAAAATGATCATTATGTATATGAAGAAGTTAAAGTTTAGAAAAGTTGAAAAAGTTTATCTAAGGCCACAATATTAAATGGCAGCCTTGAGAAAGAGGAAGCAGTCTCGTAAGAGACTTTTCACTATCCAACATTGGAATGGAATGTTCCACAAACTAGTAGTGGTCACCCACTCCTTGACATACTCAAGCGGTAGCTGGATGACCATATTTCGAAGTTAACTTGAAAAGGATTCTTGTAGAAGATTGAGCTAAATAATCTAATTCTAGAAGTTTCATCATTTTTAAAGAAGTTGCACATTCTTTATAGAACATTTGCTATGGGCGAACTGATTAAATCACATCTCCAGTGGCTTTAATAGAATTAGTGTTGTCTAGTCAATGAAGCAATGGCATAACCAGATTGACTGCTTAAATATTCAGAGAGAGTCAGCGAGGGCTCCCCAGGATGAGGGAATTCTGCATCCCATTTAAACATATGCCCCATGCTAAATGAGTCTGCAAATTTCATTTCAATCGTTTAGCCATTTGACTACCTGACTGAAAAGATATCATAGGAGAATTACATGAACACCATTTGTACTTGAAAAAAGGTAAAACATTTAAATTGTCTATTTTTAAAGCAAATAAAATTAAATGCTTATTAACACGTCATATTTCATGTGTTGGTGGAACATTGTCATATTGTGTCTATCCTTCTAGGAGCATATTCTCTGTGTATAACAATGAAAATAAATGATTTGCAACTGGAGATATATACATAAAAATCAGGATAGTCCATAATGTAAAAAGTAGATGTTTTTGCATTTTATTTGCTAATGAATGAGTGATTGATTCGATTTTCGCAAATTGGGGTTTTTTTATCAGTGATTTGAAGGTAATGAAGTCACTCCACTGTAATAAACCTAGTTGTGCTACTTTGTTCAAAAACTGAAAATTTTATGGCTGATCTTAATTTTGACAAACAGCTCTCAACAGACTTAGAATACTGCAGTGGGATAAATTGATGGGGTTATACAAAGAATTAATAGCAGAACAAAGAGAAAATGCTAGGTGTCCAGAGCCTTATCTCTGGATAAATAATGCCTGTTATATGCTTAGTGAGTGGATCTAATCTTTGTTTTTAAAAACTCTGGCTTATTTAGTATTTAATGTTTAGCCAAGCAAATAGAAAGAAGGCACCAAAATGTCACCAGTAAGAGTCAAGGATCCTAGTGATGAAGACAAAAGAATATCAACAGTTATCAAAGCTATAAACTGTGATTATTGGGACACTCTGAATGTGCTGGGGATGTGTCCAATGACTTGGAAGAGAACAAATGATTAGAGGTAAATGAGCTCCTTAAATGCAGAGATAAGTCTCACTCCAGTTTATATCTTCAAAATACAGGGAAACAGCAAGAGCCTGATACTTTTTTTGAGTAAATAGATGGATGATTATCTATTATTTATAATTTAAATGAGGAATAAAATACTTGGAAAAGATGATTAGCCAAGAGAAAAATTCAGCTGTTTATTAATAGAACTGAAACTGAAGGGAAATATTTTAAAACATGAAATGAGCATTTTCAGCAAAATGAGATCTTGCACGAGAGAAAGAGGAGCCAAAGTATGGAAGAAGAGAGGAGAGAGATATCAGTTTCTTAATTTTTTCAGGCTATTTAAAAAGTTCAAAGTTATGACCTCTCTTCCCTCTCTAGTCAAATTAAAATAACCTTAAAAGAACGGACATCTTTTGAGGTACGTTAAGTCTGTAACTCTTTTTACACTAAAATTATATTTTCATTTCCATACTATTTTCAGAGGACTGTGAATTCAGATTCCTTGAGTCTGGGTTTTTGTTTTTATTTTTAAATAATAAGCCTACCAATTTAAAATAAGTCAAATAAAATGGATGTGAATAAAATAATGAATTTGGAAAAGTCAGTTTATAAAAATTTGACAAATAATGAAAATGTGTATCATTTCCAACTTGTTCTTTTCAAATGTCCATTCTATATAATCAGTTGTGTTTATGGAAGCACTGTATCTTATCTGTCAAAATTGGAACAAGATTAGGACACACGCTAATAAATGGAATGGAGTATTTGTCTAGACTTTCTATATTTGTTCTTTTTGCCATTGTCCAATGCCAATACCACACTGAGCTAGACCATCCCAGAAATCAGGTACTACTAATTCAGAAACAAGAACCTTAGCTACTCAAGGAACAGGAGGTAGAGGCATTTGGATTCAGACTCTATTAACTGAATTTAAATATCAGTTTAGGAATTACGAATGAATCAAAAAGGTTTTTAATAATATTCACCACCTATGAAACACGATCTACATGAGCAGCTTGCTTCCTGTGTGGAACAGCTCAGACATCTAGAGTTAATACCCCATAAAGTTTGAGATGGACGGGTGAGCTGAACCCTGCCCATTCTCTGTGTCCTCTGATCAAAATAGTTAATACATTCATGCCTGCACCCTATCAAATATAACCTTCAAATATTGCCCCTCTTTGTCTTACTACAAAGTGAGATTTTTTTCCCGTCTTCAAATTCTGCCAGTTTTAAAAACAAAAATAACAGTTTTTTTTATAAAGTATTTCCCATGTGTCAGGCACTGTGCTATGTATATTAAATGCATGACCTCATCGGCTCTCCTCCCTTTAGCACTGCTCATAGATTATTGTCCCTGTTTTTCTGAGGAAATTGAGGCCTCAAAGGACTGCTATTTGTTTACTTGCCAGCAGCTGTTTTTCTCTCCAAAATAAGTTTTGGGGATTGGTTTAGACCTTGGGAAATGTTCTGTCTCTCTAAAGGAGAGTAGATTTGGTTACAGCAGAATGGACTTCATCCTTATTACTAAATAAGTCAACCATTTGACTTCAGTCTTGAAGGTGATTTGGCCCTCTGTTTACTGACTGTTCACTCTAGCTTATTAAGTCAAGTGTGGGTATATTTTAAAAACCAGAGTTCAAGATCTTTAGAATAAATATCAGAAATATAAATCTGGATGTTATACATTTCCCACCAGAATGGGAAAAACAAACAATATTTATTTCCATTTCACAGAATCAAGAATATATCTGAAATCTCAGAAAGACAGAGGCAGAGATTACAGAAGCAACATGAGCGAAACCAGCCTCTCTCACTGCGGGAGGTAGGGGCAGGACAGAAATGACAGGCACTATAAATTCCATTGTTATATATTGTTGATATGACAAAAATACCTTGGATTCTAGGTTATTCCTCTCTTCCAATTGGAACCTTTTCATATTTGTTCCATGTGCTTGCACGTAGAGCTTAAGAATAGCATGTTATAATGGCAATGTGCAGGACAGGATGAGGGCTGAGGGATCAGGTCAAGAGACTTGGGACCAGGCCCGGGTCTGTAACTAAATAGCCTGGGAGACTGAGCAGATAACAAAATGTTTTCTACCTATCCATATCTATTTTGTTCTTGGATCTTACTTTTTCACAAATCAATAAACATTACATCATCTTTAAGGTTCTTTCCAGATATATGACTCTAGAAATACATGGGTTTGCTTTTCTTTAATTTAGTTTTCTTTTTCTCAGTTATTAGTTCATCCACTCCATGCTTGGATGGTATATATCAAATTGCTATCTGCTTTTACTCTGCTAATATTGGAAATGGTCACACATGTTGTGCTCACAGACCCTAGGAACTCTAAGACATATGCCAATATAAAATGCCAAATTTTGCCACATATATATAGACCATACGAATGCATAAATTGATAGTAGATTAACAGTTATTAACTTGAGAATATTTCTTGGTTTATAAGCCATATCTTATGATTTCCATGATCCTGTGGAGTACACATTATTATCCCATTACCTAAATGAAGAAACTGAGACAGAGAGAGATTAAATTAAAATGCCCAGATTACTTAATCAATGGAGAACTCTTCTATTTGTTGAGCCATATTCTTCTTTTTCATTGTTGTTGTTTTGTTTTTCTGAGACGGAGTCTCGCTCCATCACCAGGCTAGAGTGCAGCGGCATGATCTTGGCTCACTGCAACCTCTGCCTCCCGGGTTCAAGCGATTCTCCTGCCTCAGCCTGCCAAGTAGCTGGGACTACAGGCGTGCGCCCCCACGCCCAGCTAATTTTTGTATTTTTAGTAGAGACGGGGTTTCACCATGTGGGCCAGGTTGGTCTTGATCCCTTGACCTTGTGATCCACCTGCCTCAGCCTCCCAAAGTGCTGGGATTACAGGCGTGAGCCACCGCGCCCAGCCTGTTGAGCCATATTCTTCTAACCTAACAAATTCATCTTCTTTCACAACAGCATGATGCTTTTCAGTGGAACAAACATATGACATTTATTGAAATTTGGATGCAAGAGTGAAAGCTAGAAGAAGGGGACATGGAAGTTGTATTTCCAGGTTACATGAAGCCAGAAATTGTTTGCAGCCAGTGATCGGGGAGGAAAGTGATGAACTTAAACTGGTCATCAAAAGAGTTTTCAAAAAAATTTTTTCTGAAATACCATACAATCCCTACTGGTAAAAGTTGGACTTATTTCCAACACAGTCTAGATAATAGACATTTCTGCTTTTTCCTGCTAAGACCCCAAGTGAGTGGTGAAAACTAGAAGATCTAAGCATGTGATGTTAGTGACACACTTATTAGTACCTGTTTGGAGTCCATCAAAAGGCAGTGAAGCAGGATGAAGGGGAAGCAGAAACTCAATTAAGAGACAAAATTAGGGAGGTGCCGATTGTTCAACAATAGAAAAACAACTGACACATAGGGAAAAGCACATGCTAGGAGCTAAGAAATTCTAACTGCCACACCAAGCATCCTCCCACCCATTAGAGACAAAACGAGCCCAGCAGACGTAACCCATTTAAAATGGTTGCATTTGCTTTCTCCTGTTAATAGCTATAAACCAAAGTGCATTGCCAATCTTTCTTTGGAACTTTAAGAGCTACCAAATTTAAAGAGAAAGAGTATCCCTGTTAAATCTCTTCTCTGATCATGGAGGTTGGGTTGAAGCTGCCCTGGAAAACTTTGTAAAATAATCTCAGAAAAGGACACCCAAAATGAAGGTGGACTGACTGCAGCAGACATGCCTATGAGTATCAGTTCAGCACAACCACATACTTTTTTTCTCACTGTTTGAGACAGAATTTTGGTGATAAGATTTATTTTTTCCAAGAAAAGGCAGAAAGACAACAAACCAAGTTAAGATGACGCAAGGAAAGCCCCTAAAAAGCTTCATAACTACAAAATTGGTCACAAGGAAGAAAATGTTGCTTTAAAAGTCCTGCATAGAGCTTCCTAGCTTGGGGCTATCTCGTGGATGGAGATAATCACCTCCAGCTGACCCATAATTACCTCATTTGGACTAGATCCACTCCGATTATGTACCAGCAAATGGATTTCAATGAAATTCAGATTTTTCTAAAAATAAAACAGCCAAAGACCCAGAGCAAGTAACAGCCTCTAGATGATTCATCATAAAGACTAAACTTAGCAAGATTACGACGTCCGCTTGCCAGAGCTCTTGCTGTCTTGTTTTTGTAGACATGAAATCTTGTCTTCCTCTAAAATGCTTGAAAGTCAGTAATTCTGTTGAGAGCCACCACACATACCTGGGAGACTGAAAGATGGCTCTCTGAACACAAACTGGCCCTGTAGCCAGGGGCTAGTGCTGTGATGACAGCAAGCCTTGCAGATAGCAGATGAGGTCACTCAGCTATGCTACACTGAGAAGGAAAAACACCATTTCACTAATTCACAAAAGACTATTACCCACCAGACAGATGACAGCACTTACTGATTTACCACTGTGTGCAAAGACTGTCAAATATGCCGGGAGGGAAAGTCGCAATATTGAAGATGCAGCCCTTGCCCTGAAGGACCTCCAATGGTAATTGAAAGGGCAAGGAGAGTGGAGGAAAGTGTGGCTGTGAAAAGAGAACTAGGTGGAAGCTGTATCCACTACTTTCCTGCTTAGTGAATTAGGACAATTTACTTATTGACAAGTCTCAGTTATCCCATCAATAAAAAGGGAATCATATTAGAATAATAATATCCTTCTTAAATGAGAATTTCTTTCATAAACTATGCAAATATGAGTTTCTACTTATTTGAAAAGACGACAGAAATGTTTACAGAGGGCTTGAAGTCTCCTGTGCTTGAATTGCTTTTACTTCCCTCTCTCCTGGCCAATTCCCTTTCCCTTTACTCACTCTTCCTCAGTCCACATAGGATAGAAGCATCTATTAGGGTGCCAAAAGGATCATAGTTACCAAAATAATGTCTGGTCTAGAGCAAGATGGTTGAAATCTTAAAGAAAACACGGTCACTAACAGAAGTGTTTTTGAAATGCATATACAGTCATTCTGCTCCTAGTCACTTGTGCTGACTTCCAAAAGTAAGGGGAAATGAGCAGATTTAATGAACAGGTGCTTGCATCAGAGACGAGAGGAGGAGAAGGATCTCAGTTTGGTACGCTGCCATTGCGTTAATTGAACACAGCACACCTACCTGCACTCACTGACCCAGATATGTCTTTTCAAGAATGGCCATCCTTGGTGAGAAAGTTCACTTTGCTGTTGAACCAAGGTTGAGATTAGCTAGCCAGTCCCTCACTGTCACAAGTAATGAGCTGACATCTACAAAGCTTGAGAGGAAAATCTCTCTAAGATTTATGAGATAAAGACCTAGAATAATGGAAAAAAAACAAAGGTTTGTTGTAAGACAGAGGTTGTTTGTAAATAATCCAGTTATATATTATCATTTTATTGTCAATTTCCATATGTGAGAAGTAATAGCTTTCATTGCAAACATTTTTTGAAGTGGATTTCCAAAGCAAGGGACCACCTCTTACTTGGCTTAGGCTTGCAATGTCTAGAAAGATAACTTCTGAATCAGAGACAGTTCTCTTCCACTTTATACATTTTTGTGTTTGAGATCTCACACAGTCATGATTGTAATAAATAAACATGTTGAATCTGGTTGTTTATGTTAGTGGAAAACTAACGTAGTGGGAAGACATAGAGCTAAAAACTCAAGCTGTATTTTTGCCTCTGTCAATTACCCTATGACTAACAAATATTTACAGACTTATCAAGTATATCCTTAAATTACCTTAAACAAGACATGTACTCTTTTTGAGCTTCAGTTGCCACATTTATATGATGATGACAGTAATATTTATTCCATTCTTCTACCTCACAGGGCTGTTGTGAAGACAAATAGGAGGATATTTGAGAACACAATGTCCTTCAGAGTAAATGTCTTTTACTCTGAATGTAAAACATTGAGTTTTACATTCAGAGTAAAAAATTTACTCTGAAGTGTAAAAAACCAAGTTTTGCAAGATTTTTAGTATAAAAAATGTGGTGTCCATCACAGGTAAAGGAAGCCCTTAGTCCGTCCTAGCCTGATTTTTCCGATTTGATATGCTTCTAATGTAGTGGGGAGGAAATGCAATTAAAAAACAATAAGTTCTTCTCTGAGAGCTCTAAACAATAAGCCAAAGGCTATGTGACCTTTCAGCCCTTACAACAGCATGAGGAAAGGCCATTTTATAAGGAAAAAAGAAACACAGTGTCACAAGTATATGAGTAATGACAGAAGCCAAGGACGTTTTATTTTCAATGGCACCATGTGCTCTCTCTGCTTTAGCAGAGGCCTATCACTTATCACTCTAATAGACTAAGTGAATTATTCTGCAAGACAGAACATCACACTGACATTTCCAGGAGGCTACAATGTGCAAGACAGAAAACAAGTAAGAAAGGCCCCACGTCTGAGATGCCATGTCAACATAATTTACTGTAAGACTAATAATTCACCCTCCCCTTGACAATAACCAGGATACAGAGCTATATGTCAACCCTCTGTAGCTACCATTTCCCTGTTCTGTTTTTAAATGCCCAGGACAGTGCTGGAACATAGTAGGTGTTCAATTAAAACTCACTGATACTAAACCTGTCTTCTTCCACTCTTATTAGCCTACTTTTTTGTGTTGAATAACCACTTTGAAGGATCAAATTTTGCTTCTCATTCAAAAAAAAAAATTACATGCTAGAAAGCTGAGAACATAATAAGTACAAAGGGCATGAAGTTAACAGATTTGAGCCTAGAAATGAACTGTGTTATGGAAAGAAGAGCTGCAAACTGGAGCACTTCATCACTCTGATGCTTCCACCTTATATGGAAGAACTACTGTATGGATCTGAAAGAACAACCGGGAAAACAGTGCAGCTTCCCTCACTTCTCAAAGCTCTGAGGTCACAGTTCTTGACCATCCAGCACTCTGTGAGGACTGGGAACCTGCTGTGGTCATGACCCCAAAATAGAAGTAGCAAGTGCCTCTGGGCGAGATGTAAAGCTTCTTTTTCTTGGTTAACTATGCTCTTCTCCACAAATGCACAGGTCTTTCAGTTAGTTCAAAACATTGGCTTTAAAAATATGTACACTTTGATTATTATTTTTATTTTCAGACATGGGCTCACTCTGTTGCCCAGGCTGGAGTGGAGTGGCATGATCATGGCTCACTGCAGCTTTTGACTGCAGGGGCTCAAGCGATTCTCCCACCTCAGCTTCGAAGTAACTGGGACCACAGATGTGCACCACCATGCCCTGCTAATTTTATTTTTTAATTTGTAGAGATGAGGTCTCGCTATGTTGCCTAGGCTGGTCTCAAACTCTTGGGCTCAAGTGATCCTCCTTCCTTGGCCTCCTAAAGTCCTGGGAGAACAGGCATGAGCCACCATGCCCAGCCTGTACCCGGATTTTGTTTTGGGAATTTTGCTGTTTCGTTGTTTAGTTGTGTTTTAATTGGTGCCATCTCTTGTATTAATGATTTAATGAAATGGCCATCTCCATGCCTTCTTTTTCTTATCAGTAAACATGGTTTATTATTTTGAGTTTCGAGGTGCTAATGAACATCAAAAATAGATTTTTCAGAGAAAATTTCATGGTAACATCAAGTTCTGATCTTGATGTAAATAGAGAAGAGTGGTCTCCAAAATCCACAATGACATGATATAATTTGTCGGGGTGAAGTGTGAGATAACTATTCAAGACTTATGATAAATAAAGCACCAAAATGCCACTGCACTGTAGTCAGGATTCATTTGCAATGCACCATGGGCTGAGCTGACATTAGATGACCTTTCTGAACTGGCCGTCTACAACCCACATGCATTTCTCAGAGTGTCAAATGAAGATTAAGAAAAATCACTGAGAAAATAGGGAACAAGACTTACCACTACTCCTCCGTGTTTGCTAGCCTAAATAAAACAATGATATATTGGACAATTTTAGAGGTTGCCACAAGTGGATCAGTGTGAGTAGTGGTAGTGACCTTGCAGTTCTCAGGAATCTATGGGTTGAAATGGGAATACTTGAACAAATTACCATCAGCATTAGACAAGGTGAGGAAGTGGGGTCTGGCTTATAAACCCATTTAAAAAGAAATATTCCCCTCAGTGTGCTGTCACTGCCTACTTTTATCCTATGTTTCCAATTTACCCTTTGATGGCTTTAGAAAAAGACAGTAACAGAGCTCTCCCTGGGAAACATAAGAAGGGAGGCCAGGGCTCCAGGCTGCATCAGTTTTAACCTGGAGGTCCAAATAGCTCTCCATGCTTCCTCTTTCCATTTTCTTCCTGTTTTCCTGCTTATTTTTCTGAGCTACTTCTTTAATATCCCACTCTGTTAAATTCCTTGCCCTCTCTTTCCTTCAACCAGATGTTTACTGAGCACCTACCGTGTACCAGGCACTGTATTAGACTCTGAGGCATAGAAAGGTGCAAATGACAAAATCCTAGCCCTCAAGAAGACACAGTTCAGAGGTTATGTTATCTTCTTCAATCCTCACCATAACTCTGGGAAAAAGATATAATTTTTTCATTCACAAATAAAGAAACGGGGGGTCAGAAAGTTTGGGAAATGTGCTCCAAGTAGTACAGCAAGGATGAGGCAACAGATGAAGCTGACCAAGGGGCAAAGCCCTGAGCTTCTCCACCGGGACTCAGCCACATGGATTCTCCTTTTCAGCCTGCCCTCATTCCTCACTTGTTACTTCCCCAATCTTTCTTCTATTTTCTAACTACTAACAACTGCCCTTAACTTCTCCACTAGGAGAAAGCGATTATTTTTTAATTGATAAAAGTTCATTAGTTTCTAACCAAGTTGTTGAAAGCCCAGTGAAAAGAACATGACTCGTTTGTCCAGCTTTCCACAGATGATGATGAAAACAAGACCTTGAAAGGAGTCAGAGAAAATTATATCCATTCCTTAAAGGACAATTTCTTGATTTTCTTTATGCCTATCTGATTATTTTGAGGTTTATGGGTGTGGGGATTCACTCTGAGTCCTAACCTCAATGCTCTCCCACCTTCTGGTATCTTCTGTGGCCCGATTATAAGAACTGAAATATGCTTTCCTGTAGCAAAGCTGGGAAAGAAGAAAGAAGAAGGAAGGAGAAAGAGGGAAAGAAGGAAGGAAGGAAAAGAAAGGAAGGAGGGGCTACCTTCCCCATGCAAAGAAAACTAGAACACCTGCTTCATGTACCCTGAAAGTTTGTTGTTAACCAACCACAGTGTATTATCACTAAAATAACTTGCACGAACAATTTATCACTAAAAACAGGAAAGTGGGGGGTGGGGGGAACACAGAAGAAATGAATTATTTGCCACCAAATTACTGTAGTAAATAAATAAATATAAAATAATAAAATAAAATAAGATCCGGGTACCATTCCAGAGGAAGGACAGGGGGAATAAATCAATATCTTTGAATCAAACTGTATAAAAAAGCAAGCCAGTTGGAAACAAACAGAAAGCCTAACAGAAATTGATCACTTGGGAAACAGGACAAGAGGAAAGAGCAGAAACCAGAAAAGCTTACAAATTAGTGGAACTGCCGTGTAGGGTTAACATTCAGGTCATCGATACCTAACAACTCAGATTAATGACACCCCTGGCAAAAGAGTCTAACTTTTCCATATCACTAATGCCCAAATGGGAAGGATGTGACTATCAATCAAAACAAGATAACAATGTGAAACAATCAAATCTCGCCTATTCTCAGTATGAAATAAAAGGAGTTTATAGACAGAATTGGTGCCTGTCCACTCCTTTCCTCAAAAAAAAAAAAAAAGCATTAATAAGAGTTAACCTGTGACACCTTCCGGACAACATTTACGAACCATACTACAAAACAAGACTTTCTACCTAGAAGCAAAGAGGTCTAGAGATGGTTTAAAAGAAAAATGTAACAACAAAATCTTACCTCTCATTCAGTCTGCAACTAAACAAACTATATAAATATAATATTTATAATAACAGATAGCAAAATTTTCCCCATGCTGCATAGCTTTTTAAAAAAATCATTGCTTTTCTGGCAAGTACTCTAATCTGATTATATATCTTTTATTTCACTTCTATTTGGATTTATCCTAATTACATTTATAAACAAATACAAATCAATCCATTTTATAGTCACAAATAATTAGACTGAGACATTCAAAATGTTTAATAATTTTGATTCTGGAATATATTTTTGGTTAATAGAATTTGCAGCAAATTATACTTGGAGAGGAAAAAGTACTTTATCTCCATCAAATAATAGAAGCACATCCATTTGTTATTTTTTAAATGCTGACAGCAAAATCAATTCTAAGGGGGGAAAGGAAAATGAGATTCTGAATTTCTCACCATACCTCTAGTTCCCCTTGACACACTAATTAGTCTCCTGCCCTTCTTTTTAATGCCTTACAGGATGTTTGTCTGGAGGAAAAATGAAACTGGCAAAACAGAAAAGTGGCAGTGACTAATGAAAAGGACAATAGAGAAGTGACAATTTTTTTGAATGGAGCCATTAGCTACATCGTGTTTCCACAGCTCCAGGCCTCAATAGTCAAGCATTTCCAGTGTTTACAGAAATTCCTATGGAGGGGTATAGACTGTATATGGCCCCATCCTTGACAGTTTGGTACAGTCATGTGTTGCTTAATGACAGGGTTGCATACTGAGAAATGCATCATTGGGTGATTTCATCATTGTGTAAACATTATAAAGTGTACTTGAAGAGTGTACTTCATAGAGTGAACTTACACAAACCTAGATGGTATAGCCTTCTACACAACTAGGCTATATGGCATAGCCTATTGCTGCTCAGCTGCAAATCTGTGCAATATGTTGTGTACTGAATAGTGTAGGCAATTGAAACACAATGGTAAAGATTTGTCCGTCAAAACCTATTTAAACCTAAAACAGGTACAGTAAAAATACAACCTTATGACTTAGGAAGCCACTGACATATATGCATTCCATCACTGGCCAAAATGTCATTATGCTGTTAATGACTATATTTGTACAATTAAGGAGGGCATATCTTTTTTGTTTTGCTTTTGAAGATTCTTCAGCTCTTCTCTGGAGACTCAAGAGGAGATTAGTGTAAAGGATAGTATCACCTTACTACCATTACCTTGTAGAATTTAAAAGAAAATTTTAAAAGTGTGAATATCAAGTATAGATGACAGTAAAATTCCCTGAAAATGATAAAAAACTGTTATCTGCACAGTGTGTGGCCAAAATTCAATATTTTAAAATGTATAAAGTTTGAATTTTAAATAAGGGGGATTATTTTAACACTTGTATTTTTAGGGAGTTTTTGACACAGTACAGAATTAGAGTTGGGATTTTACTAGAAACCACACATCGAAGAAAGCATGTGACTGGATCCAAAGTCATCAAGAACTAGTAAGTTACTAACACATGAGAAATGTCTTCATTATTGTACTGTTTCAGGCATGATGCACCCTATCATACTTTTATTTAAATGCCCTGTTATACCTCTGAGAAAAAATAAAGAAGATTTAAAAGGAAAAACAACAATAAAATGTCTTTTAACTCTATTTTTATCATTTATTACATCTTCCAAAATGGACTAGGAAGTGCTAATTATTTATTTTTTCACTACAGTGAGGTCTGAGGTTATCTATATCTGTTAGAATTCCAAAATATTATAAATGGTATTAGATTTAGCTAAGGTATGATTTTAAAATTTAGAGTGAAAACAACAAATTGACATTTAGGGATTAAGCTCAGGGGGGAAATCCTGTTGCTGTGGAAACAAGTGTGAATCTGTCCTCTATATACCTTAAGTTTCTCTGTATCCAAGGACTACTTCTGATTTAAGCTAATCATTGACACATACAAACCATTTATCCTGAGGACACAAAACATAGTGCCCTTAAGTTAAATGGTTTGTGTGTGTAGATGCTTACACACACACAAACCTAGTCTTCTCAACACAGACTGGGTTGAGAAGCAGCTTGTGTAGCTGAATTAGTCTCCAAAATATGCCTTTCTGGAATAAAGACTATTTTTAGCCAGCTATTATGAGACCCTTTGGCTAGAAAAAAGAAACATCAAGTGCAAGTAACTTCCTAGAAGAAGTCCCTTACCTGTTCACCATATTCAAGGATGGTTTCTACTAGTTGGGAAAGAGGGGTGGATCCTAGAAGCCAATTCATTTCCTCAGGGAACACCTGCCTGTGGATAGTCCTGTTTTCTTCAACAGCTTCTCTGTTGAATCCTCCCCTCCATGGCCTGTAACCCTCTAAAATTTAGGTGAATTCCACATGGGCAGAGGAAACACCAAGAACAGATCTAAACTGCTATAAAGATACCAAGAGCTGACAAACTGATTATGCATCTTGCCTTAGCAACTTCATCTATGATAATATTGATGGACACGTTATTTCTCTCTGTACAGTTTTCTGTCTATAAAATTGGGGGAACATTCTTTTCCTACTGGGTTTAGTGTGAAAAACAGTGACTACTTTAATTTTTGTTAGATCTTAGAAATGGCTTATTAAAATTAATCCTGTTAACAGATGAGTTCAGCTGTATAGAGAAGGCAGCTGAAACACAGGAGTTCCTTATTCAGAGAAAGTGCCTACAAACATATCTTTTAAATGTTCTTTTAAATATCCACATACTATGAATGCGTCAATTTTATTCCGACATGCAGATTAGAATAGCTATTTGTAGTGATACGGAGTTCAGTGCTTAGTTTACATTGCTTCTCTGTAATGAAAGAGTTGGGGGTCTCTTCTTACCAGAACAAGTCAATCCATAAAATACTGCCTTATTAATTTCTGCAATACCCTGGTTTCTACAAATGGCAGAAGTAGAAAATCTGACATCAAAATACTCTGATCTTGTTTTGTTATGCATTTATTTACTTCTTCCCTTGTATGAGCTTCGGTTTGCTTCTAGTTTCCATTCTGCTTTTTCTATCCAGACAATAGATGAACAAATTATATTTCCATGTAATGGAGAATTGCTAATAAAAAGATACTGAGTTTTAACTCAGTATCTTTCTTCCTCACTTACTGATTAGGACACTCAGGGAAAAATGTCAGTTAAAACCTATGTTTCGAAGTTTATTTATTTTTTTGAGATGTTATACTGTGTCAGACAGAAACTGGACTGGGTGCAGTAGGGAGGTCTCCAGCAGGTAAGATTACAAGAAGACAGGGGTCATGGATTCATCTGGATCCAAGAAGTCTAGAACTCCTCCATGTGGAACTCTAGCCAATTTCATCTATAAGAACTATAGACCAAGAATATGTGCTTTTCTAGAGAAATTGATGAAACTTACCAAAGGTAACTCAGAGTCACATCCACCAGAGAATGAAAGTCTTAAATTAGATAAAACTGTTCACTTGCAAGGTGCGCTAGAATAAAGAAAGGGATTACAAATGCCTCAGAAACAATGGAGAATGTATGTTTGGCATGCAGAGCCTCTAAAAGACTAAATGAGAATATATATATTCTCTAAAATCCTTACAAAAGGCAAAAGAAAAGTGTAAGCAATTAATTGATTAGAAGTAACAGTATATCGACTGACTTATCTCCAACTACACTTTCTCTCTATTCTTCTCTGCCTACTCTGAATCTACAACCTTTTTAGCTTACTTACCTTCTCACCCTAAAAATAAAAAGAAAATTAAACAAGTGCCTTACAAAGTTAGGCCTTCAGAACAATCAGGTGTGCTTTTCTAACCACCTGCTCGTGTTGATCAAAATCTTGAGAACAGAGAAAAAGTGAAATGTTTTCCTGTCCCAAAGGAAACCTCCATAAAATTGCCAAGAAGTTTAGAATTCTCACTGGAGTATATGATCCAAGACTATGACCTTTGGCAACTTACATTTACATGATACTGGGACCTGGTAAACCCTGAAAATAGATGGCTAAAGCCAAATGGAAGGTACTGAGAAATATATCAAAGATTCAATTACTTAATCTTCCAAGATAGACAAAGAAAAGGGTTAAGAAAATAACAACCTCTTAAAACCCAAAGTACTTCCTAAAAAACTAAACAAACCCTAACTGGTCATTCAATCTTGTGAAAAGAAAAAGGATGGGCCGGGTTTGGTGGCTCACGCCTGTAATCCCAGCACTTTGGGAGGCTGAGGAGGGCGGATCACAAGGTCAGGAGATCGAGACTACCCTGGCTAACACGGAGAAACCTCATCTCTACTAAAAATACAAAAATTAGCCGGGCTTGTTGGCGGGCGCCTGTAGCCCCAGCTACTTGGGAGGCTGAGTCAGAAGAATGGCGTGAACCCGGGAGGCGGAGCTTGCAGTGAGCTGAGACTGCACCACTGCACTTCAGCCTGGGCTGGGCGACAGAGCGAGACTGAGTCTCTCAAAAAAAAAAAAAAGAAAAAGGATTAACGTGTTTCTGACTGTAAGTAAAGGTTAGAAGTATTGTTTATAAAAGATTCTGGTCTATCCATGCTGAGTCCAGGAATAGAAAATGCTCTGTTTGCCCTACTTATTAATGAGCTCCACCCTGAACTCAGTAATCTAGTTAAAGAAACACAGATTGGGTGAAGAAGCAGCCTGTGTAGCTGAATTAGTCTCCAAAATATGCCTTTCTGGCATAAGGACTATTTCAGCCAGTTACTGTAGACCCTTTTGTTAGGAAAAAAAAATCAATCTATAAAGAAAATCTCCATTTGTAAGTGTGGATCTCTCTCTGCACAAGAAAGGAAAAAAGGGCTAAATCACTAGAAACTCTTAGACTGGAGAGGTCTCAGCTTAAATCTATAGAACAAACCTTACCTTTGTTTAAGTTGCTTTTTTTGGCCATCTTATTTTAACTGGGCCTTTACCTACACCATTCTTTGTTTCTGAAAATGATGGTATTAAAGCACAGGTTTAAACTCTGCATTTGAGATGTAATTTTTTTTGCCTTGTCTTACCTAAGAGCCATTCCTGGAACCCACATGTACAAAAAGTCAGCCCTCCATAGGTATGGGTTTTGCATCCCAGGAATACTGTATTTTTTATCTGCATTTGGTTGAAAAAATATTGGTGTATATGTGGACCTCCACCATTCAAACCTGTGTTGTTCAAGGGTCAACTGTATTTAGAAACTGCCAAATAAAAAATCTTAAAACCTCTTCACAAATAGTAGTAGAAAGTGTTAGCTATCAATGAAGGAAGTCTTATTTCATTGGCCAGAATAAAATTCTGATTCATGTATTATTTTATAAACTACCAGTGAGTTTTTTATTATTGTACATGGTACATGACATAAATTTTAAAACAGAAGCTGATATGGTTTGAATTTGTTTCCCCACCCAAATCTCATGTCTAATAATCCCCAGTGTTGGAGGAAGGGCCTGAGGGAGGTAATTGGATCATGGGGGCAGATTTCCCACTTGACGTTCTTATGATAGTGAGTGAGTTCTCATGGGATCTGGTTGTTTAAAAGTGTGTGGCACCTCCCCCTTTGTTCTCTTCCTCCTGCTCCAGGCATGTGGAATATACCTGTTTCTCCTTTGTCTTCCACGATGATTATAGGTTTCCTGAGGCCTCTGCAGCCATGCTTCCTGGACAGCCTGCAGAACTGTGAGTCAATTAAACCTCTTTTTTTTTTTCAGATGGAGTCTCACTCTGTTGCCCAGCCTGGATTGCAGTGGTGCAATCCATCAGCTCACTGCAACCTCTGCCTCCTGGGTTCAAGTGATTCTTCTGCCTCAGTCTCCCCAGCAGCTGGGATTACAGGCATCCACCACCATGCCAGGCTAATTTTTGTATTTTTAGTAGAGATGGGGTTTCACCTTGTTGGCCAGGCTGGTCTCGAACTCCTAACCTCAAGTGATCCACCCGCCTTGGCCTCCCAAAGTGCTGGGATTACAGACATGAGCCACCACATCTGGCCAAACCTCTTTTCTTTATAAATTACTTAGTTTTAGGTAGTTCTTTATACCAATGTGAGAACAGACTAATACAGAATTTATATGATATGTATTTACTTCTGTCTATGTGCTTATGCACATCTATGTATGTATGTAATCTATATGTGATATTCTTCTACCTCCAGATGGTATTGACAAAATTAACTTTTAAAAGAGCTTTATTTAATATAAGCCAATTCATTATTTAATTGGCTTAAGGAAAACAAAGAGGTTATATAAACTAAGTACAGTCATGTGTTGCTTACCAACGAGGATACAATACGTTCTGAGAAACGAGCCATTAGATGATTTTGTCACTGTGCAAATGTAACCAGTATAGTCAGTTTGCTAGCTTTCTCTAAAAGTAACCCTTCCCTCCCTTCATGTAACCAGTATAGTCAGTTTGCTAGCTTCCTCTAAAAGTAACCCTTCCCTCCCTTTGTTTCTTGCTACACATATATCTAACTACCTGTTCACTGGAGAACTCCAAAGGCTAATCTTAAAACAATCCAGGCAGGAAGCAGAGATGGCAGTTGCACAGTTGATCCATAACTTGATACCAACCAGGCCCCTGGATAGTCCATTACTCAAGATAGCCATTGGATGAGAAGCAGATCTATACCCTACGCCACTCATACACATAGTTTCCATGCCACCTTTCCCCTTAAAACCCCTTTAGTTAGCCTGAAAGTTTGCGATGGCTTTTTGAGACTAGAATATGGCTGTCTCCCAAGCAGCTACCACTTGAATAAACCTGCTTTCCTTCCACCAAACCTCACTTCCAGTGTCTGGCTTTCCGAGCAGCAAGCAGCCAAACGTGAGTTTGGTTACACAAACATCATAGAGTGTATTTACACAAATCTAGACAGCATGGCCTGTTATATACCTAGGCTATCTTGTGTAGCCAATTGCTCCTAGCCACAAGCCTACATAGGAGGTTATTGTACTGGATGCTGTAAGCAATTGTAACACCAAAGTGTATAGAAAAAATATGCTATAAAAGATTTTTTAAATGGAGCTTTTGCATACAGTACTTATCATAAATGGACCTTGCAGGATTGGAAATTGCACTGAGTCAATGAGTGAGTGGTAAGTGAAGGTGAAAACCAGGACATCATTGTGCACTGCTGTAGATCTTATAACACTGTACACTTAGATTACCCTAAATTTATACAAAAACTTTCTTCAATAATAAATTAACCTTAGCTTACTCTTTTTACTTTATAAACTTTAAAATTTTTTTTAACTTTTAGACTTTCATAGTAACAGCTTAAAACACAAACATGTTGCACAATGGTACAAAAATATATATCTTTAAAATCTTATTCTGTAAGCTTTTTTCTATTTTTAAATGTTTTTTAACTTTTTAAACTTTTGTTAAAAACTAATACAAAGTACATATGTTAGCCTAGGCCTACACGGGGCAAGGATCATCAAGATCACTGTCTTCCACCTCCACATCTTGTCCCACTGGAAGTTTTTCATGGTTAATAACATGCATGAAGCTGCTGTCTCCTATGATGATAAGGCTTCTTCTGGAATACCTCTTGCAAGACATACCTGAGGCTGTTTTACAGCAATTTTTAAAAATAAGTACAAGAAGTATAGTCTAAAATAATGATAAAAAGTACAGTTCAGTATAGCAGGGAAGTAATGTAACAATGTGTAAGAAGGCAGGAACTAGGGAGGGGTAAGGAAGAAATCCAACTCATTGAATGTGGTGATCTGGTGAGTTTCAGGTATTTGATACTCTTTGTGAGAGGCCTGAAGGTTGTTTCCTGAGGAAGGAACTCAGATACAACAAATATAAGTTTTAAACTTTAAGACCAGAAGGGTGGATTTCTATTTTTATTTAAAAAAAAACTATGGAACTATTGGGTCAGTTTCCATTTATGATCAGTATCATGCATTATGTACTGCACATAATTGTTTGTGCTATAATTTACATGACTGGTAGTTCAGTTGGTTTAAAAAAACACATAAACATGTGAGTATCATATAAGCATGTGAATAATGCATTGCACTAAAAACTATGCTACAAAGCCATTAAGCAACAGTACTTTTTCAACCTCATTATAATCTTATGAGACCACTTTTTATACACAGTCCCTCATTTACTGAAATGTCATTTTGCAGCACATCAATACTTTTCTTAAACTCTTGGAATTATAGAAAGTAACCCAAAATGTGTTTCAAGTTCTCATGACTGGTACATCTTTGGTAAATAAGGTTAGTTTAATATTGTTCATTTATTAAAATAGCTGTGGTCAGGCGCAGTGGCTCACGCCTGTAATCACAACACTTTGGGAGGCCAAGGCAGGCTGATCGCCTGATGTCAGGAGTTTGAGACCAGCCTGGTCAACATGGTGAAACCCTGTCTCTACGAAAAATACAAAAATTAGCCCGGCGTAGTGGTGGGCTCATGTAATCCCAGCTACTTGGGAGGCTGAGGCAGGAGAATCGCTTGAACCCAGGAGGGAGGCGGAGATTGCAGTGAGCAAGATTGCGCCACTGCACTCCAGCCTGGGCAACAGAGTGAGACTCTGGCTCAAAAAAAAAAAAAAAAAAAAAAGTTGCATCTTCTGAGTTATCAGTTTTAGGTATAATATGAGCTTGATATTTTTATTTTACCTGGGTTTACTAGTCAGATACATTTATCTCTACTAGATATTTAATATTATAAAGAAAATGTGCAAGTGACATGCAGTGTACATTACTAATATATTTCAAGCACAAACAAAAAAAAAAACAGTGTAGTTAACTTTTTAGGACTCTTGCTTTCATGATGGCTGCCTAACATGTGCATACAGTGAAAATACCTATAGGGAAATAACTTGCTGATGGCTAGCTTTGTTTGATGTTATGTCTATTTGAAAAGAGTTTTTGAAATCTCTTTGTTAACTTATTCCCTTGGAGTTTTACTCAGTTAAATTAAATAATGAATATTAAATTGAATATCTAAATCACTTTTCAAATCGGATACTGAAACATTAATTGTGGAACATAAGTTTTTCTACACTTGGCTTCTTATTACAGAAGAAAAAAAGATATCTGGGTCTGTAAGTAAACATGAACTGTGCCACACTGAAAGAGAACAGGCAAAACTGAATAGATATAAGAAAGTTGGGCTGGTGGTGGCTCATGCCTGTAATCCCAGCACTTTGGGAGGCCAAGACGGGTGGATCATGAGGTCAAGAGGTCGAGACCATCCTGGCCAACATGGTGAAACCCCGTCTCTACTAAAAATACAAAAATTACCTGAGTGTGGTGGTGCGTGCCTGTAGTCCCAGCTACTCGGGAGGCTGAGGCAGGACAATCGCTTGAACCTGGGAGGCGGAAGTTGCAGTGAGCTGAGATCACACCACTGTGCTCCAGCCTGGTGACAGAGCGAGACTGTCTCAAAATAAATAAATAAATAAAAATAAAAAAGAAAGTTGTAGGTTTGTGGAAAAATAATTAAATAATCTTAGGAAAGGAATTTTATCTGTGGTCAAGGTGGCTAAGATTTGAATGGATTTGTTTATAAGTTATTTAAAAAAATCACCTTAATATCAAAAGTCCACTGAACTACAACCAGAATTTGATCTTCTCTTTTAAACTGATTGTGAAAGTTTTTTCTTTGCCTTTAAGTAACTCGCTTGGGAGGAAAATTCTGTGTTTTATTAAAATAATTTCCTGTGCTTCATGTTGTTAGGTCTTCAAATACTTAAGAAAACTGAGTCCTCTTTATTCAAACAGCAAAGGGATATTTTTCCTTAAACTATGTAACTTTCTGCAATTGCCTTTGAAGTCTTTTAATTATCACTCTGGTTAAATGAATGACTATTGTTTCAAAGTGACGTGTGATTGTCTTTTAATCAAATGTTTTAAACCTTTGATATTTTTTATAAACTTTACAAAATTAAGTTCTAAATTAAGTATTTTTGAGCTTGAACTAACTTTGAGAATTTCTAGGGATTTCTGGAATATATAAAAATTATTTTTTCTCGCTCTTTTTAAAAGGAAAGGTATCACACTAATTAGACTTATTTGATATGTTAAATTTGCATGGGAAGCATTGTCAAATAAAAAATGTTGTTTAACCTTCTTTGAATTATATTTACATGGATATGTTATGAATGTCACAGAAATTACATAAAATTTCTAAAAATTTGGTGTGTCCTGACACTTTATCAGGCATAATTTTGGTATTGTGTTAAAATATTGTATGCCATAGAAATATCCAAATTTCCTTGTCAATTTCATCATTATTATAATGAACTCTGTCATCAGATCTTTAACCATGTCAATTGTAAGCATTGTTGTCCATAGATGGTTACTTGTTTTACTCTGAAAGCTTTTGCAAGCATCTGTAGTCCTAAAATGTTTCATCTTCAAGAAGATTCAGGAAAAAGACTGACAAATACAGGTTTCCAACTTTAAGGTCACACCATTGAACTAGGTAAATAATTTCCAGGACTCTAATGAAGAAACTGATTGGTTCATAAAACTGCTAACCCAACATCAAGCAGAACAAGAATTAATTACACGGGACTGAACAAATAGATTATTAATTTTATGGCCTTTTTGTTTGAAACATTGCTGGCTCTTTAATGCTTTACTTTTTCAGATTTAAGGAAACAGTTTGCTTTTCCCTTAAGCTATCTATAACTTACAGCAATTTGATAAAGTATACCTCTGTGAAAAAAGATGAAACAATTACTTTTTCTTTTTACCTGATCCCTCTAGAATTCAAAAGCTATCTGTGAGTATTCTTACTTTATGGCAATATCATTATTTGCATAAGTTCAATAGGAATCTGCTTGCCTTGTAACAGGAGACAACTGGAAACTCTGGTTATACAGTATTATCAGGGCTTTGAATGGAACATTACAGTTGAGAATGTACATAGACTCAGATATGATCAGACAGTTTTAAAAAACTAAGGTTGACTCTGTGGAGCCAATAAAGGCCCTTGTAAATAATTGGCCTGACATCTGGCTTTAAAGGTTCCCAACCCTCATGAAAGAAGGCCCAAGAACCTCAAAAATATTTCGAGGTTCTTAAAAACAGAAGAATTTCCCTAAATTTATAGGTATTACAGGCAAATTCTGATGGCAAGTCTTTGGCTTACTAGCAGGGAGAACACTTTTAAAAGTCTAATCAGAGATTCCTTTTTAAAAGCAGACTTAAAAGGGCCTATATGGTTGATCACTGTTCTTGCTACACTTATGTAAATAATCAGGCCAAGTTTAATGAGACTAGACCTGTTTTGCAAACAAATTGGTCTTTCTCTGATCATCTGTGGCAGAAAGGTAGGCATCTGTGGAGATGCATATTCATATAATCTTTTAAAAATATTGCATCTTGTATAGCTAAAGCAAAGACTATCTTTTAGTCAAATAATCTAAATAGAAAAATTATAGTACTTGATGGACAGGCATCAATAAATATCCATTTAAAGAATAAATGAATGAGAAAGTTTTGATTTTTTTAAAGATTAATAATTTTCCAAATTGCAAATTTAAGAACCACAAAATATATTTTGACTAAAAGTACTAAAACATTAATATTTTAATTTATGGTCTGACCAGAAAACAACTTTTTTCAAATGTATTCTTCATTGAAATAAAATCATTTTTAAAACTTTTTTATTATGAAACATATACCCATATTGCTGTTCCTGAGTTGTGTCTTTTACAACAAACTATGGAATGTAAATAAAGTGTTTTCCCAAGTTCTGTGAGCTGTTCTAGCAAATTATCAAACTCAAGGAGAGGGTGGTAGAAGCCTCTGATTTATAGCCAGTCAGTCAAAAGTACATGAGACCCAGATTTGCAGTTAGCATCAAAAATGGTGTTAGTCTTGTGGGACTGAAGCATTTAACTTGTGTGACCTGATGCTAACTCTAGGTAAATAGTGTCAGAATTGGATTAAATTGTGAGACACGCAGCTGATATCCAGAGAGATATAAAACTGCTTCATGTGGAAAAAAAAAGCACATTTGCTATCGGAAGTGTTGTATGTGTAGAGAAATAGTGTTTTTTTCAGCTATATCCCTAGGAATAGTTGGGTCATAGGTTATGTGTGTACTCACATATTAGGTAATGCCTATTTTCCTAAAATTTATTTATTTATTTATTGAGATGGAGTTTCGCTCTTGTTGCCCAGGCTGGAGTGCAATGGCAAAATCTCAGCTCACTGCAACCTCCGCCTCCCAGGTTCAAGTGATTCTCTTGCCTCAGCCTCCCAAGCAGCTGGGATTACAGGCATGTACCACCATGCCCAGCTAATTTTTTGTGTTTAGTAGATATGGGGTTTCACCATGTTGGTCAGGCTAGTCTAGAACTCCTGACCTCAGGTGATCCACCCGCCTCAGCCTCCCAAAGTGCTGGGATTACAGACATGAGCCACTGCCCATGGCCCCTATTTTCCTAAAATTTATACCACCTAAAGTGGGTGAGAATTCTAATTAATCAATTTCTTCTCCATAAATCTGACATTATTAAATTTTCATTTTTGCCTAATCTGATGGTAATGAAATATTATCATATTATAATTTTAGTTTAATTTCTCTTAATAAGCTTGAGCATCATGTTATGTTAATCAGCTATAAATATTTCTTCTTAAATAAAATACCTGCTTGTTTTAGTTTCCTATTGGTGCTCTAATTATCACAAATATAATAGCTTAAAACATACATTTGTTATAATTCTTGAGGCTAAAAGTTTGAAATGATTCTTATGGAACTTTGTGATATTATAATATATAATAAAGAAATGTGATATACAATATAATAAGAAAAATATATTTGATCTCTACACACCCCTCCTTTTTTTTTACACATAGCCCCTAAAACCCTGGAAATCTCTAAAGTGATTTGTGTCTTTTTGTATGCTGATTAGATCCCGGGGCACTAGCTGGGTGATCCTGGATAGCCTCCTGATGAGGACTTGTCAGGGGAACCAACCTAGTGAAGAAAGGTTTGCAATTTTCAGCCTCACTTTTCAACCTCTGGGGAAAGAAGAGGAGCTGGAGGCTGAATTAATCACCAATAGCCACTGATGTAGTCAATCATGTTTACATAATAAAACCTCTGTACAAAACCATAAAGGACAGGGTTCAGGGAGTTTCCAGGTTGCTGAACTCCTGAAGGTGCTGGGAAGGTGGAGCACCCTGAGGCATCATGGAAGCCCCAGGCTCCTTCCTCCCTATCTTGCTCTTGCATCTTTCATCTAGCTGTTTATTTGTATGCTTCTATAATACAAGGGTAAATGTAAGTAAAGTATTTCCCAGACTTCTCTGAGCAAGTCTGGCAAATAATTGAACCTGAGACGGGGTCATGGTACCTCTGATTTATAGTCAGTCAATCAGAAGCACAGGTTAAAACAACCTAGCATATTGGTTGGCATTTGAAGTTGGGAAGGAGGCAATCTTCAGGGACTCAGCCCTTAACCTGTAGGGTCTGCACTAACTTCAGTTAGTGACAGGATTGAATTAAATTACAGAACACCCAGTTGGTGCTGAAGAATTGCTTGGTATGGAAAACCCCACAGATTTTGATGACCAGTATTCTGTGTTGAGAGTATAGTTGGAGAAAAAAGTTTGCCTTTCTGCTTTTTCCTATTAATACAGGCTTGAATAAAGATGTCAGCATGGCCGGTATTCCTTTTGAAGGCTCTCTGGGAAAATCCATTTTCCTACCTTTCTCAGTTTCTAGGATAGCCACAAAAAATATAGAATTCTTACATTCTTCCATAAAAAATTATTTTTATGTACTATATTGAATCTTTTGAGATTTTTAGATTATCTTTTATAATACTTTTGCCTTGAAGTCTATTTTGTCTGATATTAATATAGATGTACTACCTTGCTTTGATTAATATCTGCTTAATATATCTTGCTATAAACATTTATTCTCAAGCCTCCTGTCTTCTAATGCATTAGATGAATATATTTTAAATTCATACTGTTGAGTATATTTTTTATGTCCAGTTGATATTGTCACTTTAACTAGATAATTAAGGCCATTTATACTTATTGCGATTATAGTATATTTGGATTTATTTCTAGATCTTAATTTTGTAGTATTAGTAAGTTTTTTTCTCCTGTGTGTATGTGCATGCATGTATGCATGCATGTGTGTGTGTGTTTTGTGCCTTCTTCTGGATCAATGGATTATTTTTGTGTTTCTCGTTCTACTTTTTTCCTATTTGTTTGAATGTGCTGTGCTGTTTGTTATACATTAGTTTTTTAAATTTTTTAGTTAAAAAATAATTTTTAATTTTATGAGCACACAGTATGTGTATATATTTATAGGATACATGACATTTTTATATAGATATACATTGTATAATAATCATATCAGGGTAAACGGGGTTTCAGTCACCTCAAGCATTTATTATTTCTTTGTGTTATAAACATTCCAATTTTACTACTTCAGTTATTCCAAAATGTACAACAAATTACTGCTAACTGTAGTCAACCTGTTGTACTATCAAATATTAGACCTTATTCTTTGTATCTAACTATATTTTTGTACGCATTAACCATCTCCATTTCCATATCCTCCCCTGCAACTACCCCTCCAACGCTCTGGTAACCATCATTCTACTTTCAATTTCCATGAGTTCAATTGTTTTAATTTTTAGCTCCACAAATAAGTGAGAACATGCAAAGTTTGTCTTTCTGTGCCTGACTTATTTAACTTAACCTAATGTCCTCCAGTTCCATCTATGTTGTTGCAAATGACAGGATCTTATTCTTTAAGAGCTGAACAGTATTCTATTGTGTGTAGGTAGCACAATGGAATACTGTTTTTCTATTCATTCATCTGCTGATGGACACTCAGGTTGCTTCCAAATCTTGGCTATTGTGAATAGTGCTGCAATAAATATGAGAGTGCAGATATTTCTTTGATATACTGATTTCCTTTCTTTTGGGTATATGCCCAGTAAGGAGATTGCTGGATCATATGGCAGTTCTATTTTTAATTTTTTTTTCAGGAACCTCCATACTGTTGTCCATAGTGGCTGTGCTAATTTACATTTTTACCAACATCATTTGAGTGTTCCCCTTTCTCCACATCTTTGCCAGCATTCTCTATTACCCGGCTTTTGGATAAAAGACATCGTAACTGGGGTAAGATGATATCTTATTGCAGTTTTGATTTGCATATCTCTCATGATCAATGAGGTTAAGCACCTTTTCATATGCCCATTTTCCATTTGTATATCTTCTTTTAGAAATGTCTATTCAAATCTTTTGTCCATTTTTTAATCGGGTTATTGGATTTTTTTCATATAGACTTGTTTGAGCTCCTTATGTATTATGGTTATTAATCTTTTCTGAGATGAATAGGTTGCAAATATTTTCTCCTATTCTGTGGGCTGTCTTCACTTTATTGATTGTTTCCTCTGCTACTTGGAAGCTTTTTAATTTGAGGTGATCCCATTTGTCCATTTTTGCTTTGATTGTGCTGTCAGGGTATTACTCCAGAAATATTCAACCAGGCCAATGCCCTGTAGAGTTTTCCCAATGTTTTCTTTTAGTAGTTTCATAGTGTGGGATATTAGATTTAAGTCTTTCATCTCTTTTCATTTTATTTTTATACATAACGAGAGATGGAGGTCTAGTGTCATTCTTCTGCATGTGGATATCCAGTTTTCCTAGCACCATTCATTGAAGAAACGTTTCCCCCAATGCATGTTCTTGATACTTTTGTCAAAAATTAGTTCACAGTAGATGCATAAATTTATGTCTGGATTCTGTGTTTTGTTCCATTGTTCTATGTGTCTGTTTTTAATGCTAAGACCATATTGTTTTGGTTACTATAACTCTGTAGTATAATTTGAAATCCAGTAATGTGATTACTCCAGTTTTTGCTCAGGGTGGTTTTGGATATTCTTATTCTTTTGTGGTTCCACATAAATTTTAGATTAATTTTTTCTATTTATGTGAATAATGTCATTGGTATTTTGATAGGAATTACATTAAATCTTTAGATTGCTTTGGATAGAATAGAGATTTTAACAATATTGATTTCCAGTCCATGAATGTGGAATATCTTTTCATTTTTTGTGTCCTCTGCAATATCTTTCATCAATGATTCATAAATTTAATTGTAGAGATCTTTCACTTCTTTTATTGAGTTATTGCCTAGGTACTTAATTTTATTTGTAGCTATTGTAAATGGAATTACTTTTTAGTTTCTTTTTCAGATTGTTTGTTGTTGGCATACAGAAATGCTACTTATTTTGTATGTTTATTTTATATCCTGCAACTTTACTGAATTGTTTTATCAGTTCAAATAGTTTTTTGGTGGAGTCTTTAAGTTTCTCTAAATATAAGATTATATCATCTGCAAACAGAATAATTGGACTTACTCCTTTCCAATTTAGATGCCTTTTATATCTTTCACTTGTCTGGTTGCTCTAGCTAGGATTTCCAGTACTATGTTGAATAACAGTGGTAAAAGTGGGCATCCTTGTCCTGTTCTACATCTTAAAACAAAGGCTTTCAGTTTTTCCCTGTTCAGTATGATACTGTCTGTCTGTCACATATGGCTTTTATTGAGTTGAGATATGTTCCATCTATACCCATTTTTTAAGGTTTTTTCATGAAGGGATGTCAAATTTTACCAAACGCATTTTCAGCATCAATTGAAATGATCATATGATTTTTCTCCTAAATTATCTTGATATGATGTATCACATGGATTGATTAGTGTTTGTTGAACTATCTTTGCATATCTGGGATGAATCCCACTTGGTCATGATGAACGATTTTTTGAGTGTGTAGTTAAATTCAGTTTGCTAGTATTTTGTTGAATGTTTTTGCGTCAATGTTTGGCCTGTAGTTTGTTTGTTTGTTTGTTTGTTTATGTGTTTTTGTCTGGTTTTAATATAAGGGTAATTCTGGCCTTGTAGAATGAGTTTGGAAGTATTCCCTCCTTTATTTTTTGGAATAGTTTGATTTGGATTGGTATTAGTTCTTCTTTAAATGTTTGATAGAATTCAACAGTAAAGCCATCGAGTCTTAGGCTTTTGTTTGCTGGAAGCATTTTTATTACAGCTTCAATTTCAGTACCGGTCATTGGTCTATGCAGATTTTGGATTTTCCCGTAGTTCAATCTTTGTAGGTTGTATGTGTCTAGGATATATCCATTTCTTCTAAGTGTTTCGATTTGTTGGCATATTGCTCATGTTAGTCTCTAATGATTCCTTGAATTTCTGTGATATCAGTTGTTGTTTCCTTTTTCATCTGTGATTTTTATTACTTGGGATGTCTTTCTTTTTTCTTAATCTGGCTGGCTGAAGGTTTGTGGATTTTGTTTATCTTTTCAAAAAGCCAACTTCTGTTTTGTTGATATTTTATGTATTTTTTCATTTCAATTTCATGTATTTATGCTCTTATCTTTATTATTTCTTTTCTTCTACTAAATTTGTGTTCAGTTTTACTTTCCCAGTTTTTTATTATTTTTATTTTTATGGGCATATAGTAGGTGTATGCATTTATGGAGTACATGAAACTTTTTTTTAATTATTTTTTTGAGATGGAGTCTCACTCTGTCACCAGGCTGGAGTGCAGTGGTGCAATCTCGGCTCACTGCAATCTCCGATTCCTGGGTTCAAGTGATTCTCCTGCCTCAGCCTCCCAAGTAACTGAGACTACAGGCGCCCACCACCATGCCAGGCTAATTTTTTTATTTTTAGTAGAGACAGGGTTTCACCATGTTGGCCAGGATGGTCTTGATCTTTTGACCTCGTGATCCACCCGCCTTGGCCTCCAAAAGGGCTGGGATTACAGGTGTGAGCCACCGCACCCGGCCCGAAATTTTTTTTTTTAATGGGGTTTCACTCTTGTTGCCCAGGCTGGAGTGCAATGGCACGATCTTGGCTCACTGCAACCTCCACCTCCTGGGTTCAAGAGATTCTCCTGACTCAGCCTCCCAACTAGCTGGGATTACAGGCATGCACTGTCACAGCTGGCTAATTTTGTATTTTTAGTAGAGACAAAGTTTCTCCATGTTGGTCAGGCTGGTCTCGAACTCCTGAACTCAGGTGATCCACCTGCTTCGGCCTCTCAAAGTGCTGGGATTACAGGCGTGAGCCACTGCGCCTGGCCAAAATGTACTCCTTTGAAAGGTCCCACCAAGATTCGAACTCGGATTGCTGGATTCAAAGCCCAGAGTGCTAACCATTACACCATGGGACCAATCCAAAATGTTTTAATACAGGCATGCTATGTGAAATAATCACATCATGGAGAATGAGGTATCCATCCTCTTAAGCATTTATCCTTCATGTTACAAACAATCCAATTACACTCTTTTAGTTATTTTATAATATACAATCAAGTTATTATTGACTAGTTGTGCTATCAAATAGTAGGTCTTGTTCATTCTTTCCAACTATTTTTTCTTTTTCTTTATTATTATACTTTAAGTTTTGGAATACATGTACAGAATGTGCAGGTTTGTTACATAGGTATACCCGTGCCATGGTGGTTTGCTGCACCCATCAAACCATCATCTACATTAGGTACTTCTCCTAATGCTATCCCTCCCCTAGCCCCACAACAGGGTTCCACTATGTTCGCCAGGATGGTCTCAATTTCTTGACCTTGTGATCTACCCACCTCGACCCCAGTGTGTGATGTTCCCCTCCCTGTATCAATGTGTCTCATTGTTCAACTCCCACTTATGAGTGAGAATATGCGGTGTTTGGTTTTCTATTCCTGTGTTAGTTTGCTGAGAATGATGGTTTCCTGCTTCATCCATGTCCCAGCAAAGGACATGAACTTATCCTTTTTATGGCTGCACAGTATTCCATGGTGTATATATGCCACATTTTCTTTATCCAGTCTATCATTGATGGGCATTTGGGTTGGTTTCAAGTCTTTGCTATTGTGAATAGTACTGCAATAAACATACGTGTGCATGTGTCTTTATAGTAGAATGATTTGTAATCTCTAGGGCATATACCCAGTAATGGGATTGCTGGGTCAAAAGGTATTTCTGGTTCTAGATCACTGAGGAATCACCACACTGTCTTCCACAATGGTTGAACTAATTTACACTCCCACCAAGAGTGTAAAAGCGCTCCTATTTCTCCACATCCTCTCCAGAATCTGCTGTTCCCTGACTTTTTAGCAATCACCATTCTAACTGGCATGAGATAGTGTCTCATTGTGGTTTTGATTTGCATTTCTCTAATGACCAGTGATGATGAGCTTTTTTTCATATGTTTATTGGCTGCATAAATATCTTCTTTTGAGAAGTGTCTGTTCATATCCTTTGCCCACTTTTTAATGGCGTTGGTTTTTTTTTTTGTACATTTATTTAAGTTCCTTATAGATTCTGGATATTAGCCCTTTGTCAAAAGGATAGATTGCAAAAATTTTCTCCCATTCTGTAGATTGCCTGTTCACTCTGATGATAGTTTCTTTTGCTGTGCAGAAGCTCCTTAGTTTAATTAGATCTTATTTGTCAATTTTGGCTTTTGTTGTCATTGCTTTTTGTGTTTTAGTCATGAAGTCTTTGCCCATGCTTACATCCTGAATGGTATTGCCTAGGTTTTCTTCTAGGATTTTTATGGTTTTAAGTCTTATGTTTAAGTCTTTAATCCATCTCGAGTTAATTTTTGTATAAGGTGTAAGAAAGGGGTCCAGTTTCAGTTTTTTCCATATGGCGAATTTTCTCAATACCATTTATTAAATAGGGAATCCTTTTCCCATTGCTTGTTTTTGTCAGGTTTGTCAAAGATCACATAGATATGTGGCATTATTTCTGAGACTTCTGTTCTGTTCCATTGGTCTATATATCTATTTTGGTACCAGTACTGTGCTGTTTTGGTTAATGTAGCCTTATAGTATAGTTTGAAGTCAGGTAATGTGATGCCTCCAGCTTTGTTCTTTTTGCTTAGGATTGTCTTGGCTACATGAGCTCTTTTTTGGTTCCATATGAAATTTAAAGTACTTTTTTCTAATTCTGTGAAGAAAGTCAATGGTAGCTTGATGGGGATAGCATTGAATCTATAAATTACTTTGGGCAGTATGGCCACTTTTGCGATATTGATTCTTCCTATCATTAGCATGGAATGTTTTTCCATTTGTTTATGTCCTCACTTATTTCCTCGAGCAGTGGTTTGTAGTTCTTCTTGAAGAGGTCCTGCACAACCCTTGTAAGTTTTATTTCTAGATATTTTATTCTCTTTGTAGCAGTTGTGAATGGAAGTTCACTCATGATTTGGCTCTCTGTCTATTGTTGGTGTGTAGGAATGCTTGTGATTTTTGCACATTGGTTTTGTATCTTGAGACTTTGCTGAAGTTGCTTACCAGCTTAAGGAGATTTTGGGCTGAGACGATGGGGTTTTCTAAATATATAATCATGTCATCTGCAAACAAAGACAATGTGACTTCTCCTCTTCCTATTTGAATACTCCTTATTTCTTTCTCTTGCCTGATTGCCCTGGCCAGAACTTCCAATACTATGTTGAATAGGAGTGGTGAGAGAGGGCATCCTTGTCTTGTGCTGGTTTTCAAAGGGAATGCTTCCAGCTTTTGCCCATTTAGTATATTAGCTGTGGGTTCATCATTAATTGCTCTTATTATTTTGAGATACATTCCATCAATACCTAGTTTATTGAGAGATTTTAGAATGAAGGGTTGTTGAATTTATTGAAGGCCTTTTCTGTGTCTATTGAGATAATCATGTGGTTTTTGTTATTGGTTCTGTTTATGTGATGGATTACGTTTATTGATTTGTGTATGTTGAACCAGCCTTGCATCCCAGGGATGAAGCTGACTTCATCATGGTGGATAAGTGCTGCTGGATTCGGTTTGCCAGTATTTTATTGAGGATTTTCACATTGGTGTTCATCAGGGATATTGGCCTGAAATTTTATTTAATGCAGTTTCTTCATAGTGTCTCTGGTCTCTACATGTTTTTCCAGTGGTTAATACCGGTTTTTCCTTTCCATATTTAGTGCTTCCTTCACAAGTTCTTGTAAGGCAGGCCTGGTGGTGACACAGTATCTCAACATTTGCTTGTTTGTAAAGGATTTTATTTTTCTTTCACTTATGAAGCTTAGTTTGGCTGGATATAAAATTCTAGGCTTAAAATTCTTTTATTTAAGAATGTTGAATATTGGCCCCCACTTTCTTCTGGCTTGTAGGGTTTCTGCAGAGAGATCTGCTTTTAGTCTGATGGGCTTGCCTTTGTGGGAAACCTGACCTTTCTCTCTGGCTGCCCTTAACATTTTTTCCTTCATTTTTAACCTTGGTGAATCTGACAATTACGTGTCTTGGGGTTGCTCTTCACGAGGAGTATCTTTGTGGTGTTCTCTGTATTTCCTGAATTTGAATGTTGGCCTGTCTTGCTAGTTTAGGGAAGTTCTCCTGGATAATATCCTGAGGAGTGTTTTCCAACTTGGTTCCATTCTCCCCATCACTTTCAGGTACACCAATCAGACGTAGGTTTGGTCTTTTCACATAGTCCCATATTTCTTGGAGGCTTTGTTCATTTCTTTTCATTCTTTTTTCTCTAATCTTGTCTACATGCTTTATTTCATTAAGTTGATCTTCAATCTCTGATATCCTTTCTTCTGGTTGCTTGATTCGGCTATTGATACTTGTGTGTGCTTCACAAAGTTCTCATGCTGTGCTTTTCAGCTCCATTAGGTCATTTATATTCTACTCTAAACTGGTTATTCTAGTTAGCAATCCCTCTAACCTTTTTTCAAGGTTCTTAGCTTCCTTGCATTTGGTTAGAACATGCTCCTTTGGCTCAGAGGAGTTTGTTACCACCTTCTGAAGCCTACTTCTGTCAATTCGTCAAACTCATTCTCTGTCCAGTTTTGTTCCCTTGCTGGCGAGGAGTTGCGGTCCTTTGGAGAAGAAGAGGCATTCTGGTTTTTAGAATTTTCAGCCTTTTTGCACTGGTTTTTCCTCATCTCTGTGGATTTAACTACCTTTGGTCTTTGATGTTGGTCAACTTTGGATGGGGTTTCTGTGTGGACATCCTTTTTGTTGATGTGGATGCTATTCTTTCTGTTTGTTAGTTTTTCTTCTAACAGTCAGGCCCCTCTGCTGCAGGTCTGCTGGAGTTTATTGGAGGTCCACTCCAGACGCTGTTTGCCTGGGAATCACCAGTGGAAGCTGCAGAACAGCAAAGATTGCTACCTGTTCCTTCCTCTGGAAGCTTCATCCCCAGAGGGGCACCCACCAGATGCCAGCCAGTGCTCTTCTGTATGAGGTGTCTCTCGACCCCTGCTGGGAGGTGTCTCCCATTCAGGAGGCAGGGGGGTCAGGGACCCACTTGAGGAGGTAGTCTGTCCCTTAGCAGAGCTCAAGCGCTGCGCTGGGAGCTGGGAGTGCTCTCTTCAGAGCTGGCAGGCAGGAATGTTTAAGTCTGCTGAAGCTGCGCCCACAGCTGCCCCTTCCCTCAGGTCCTCTGTCCCAGGGAGACGGGAGTTTTATCTATAGGCCCCTGACTGGGGCTATTGCCTTTCTTTCAGAGATACCCTGCCTGGAGAGGAGAAATCTAGAGAGGCAGTCTGGCTACAGCAGCTTTGTGGAGCTGTGGTGGGCTGCGCCCAGTTCGAACTTTCTGGCAGCTTTCTTTATGCTGCGAGGGGAAAACCACCTATAAAAGCCTCAGTAATGGCAGGTGCCCCTCCCACCAAGCTCATGTGTCTCAGGTCGACTTCAGACTGCTGTGCTGGCAGCGAGAATTTCAAGCCTGTCAATCTTAGCTTGCTGGGCTCCATGGGGATAGGATCCACTGAGCTAGACCACTTGAATTCCTGGCTTCAGCCCCTTTTCCAGGGGAGTGAAGGGTTCTGTCTCACTGGCATTCCAGCTGCCATTGGGGTATGAAAAAAAATCTCCTGCAGCTAGCTCAGTGTCTGCCCAAATAGCCGCCCAGTTTTGTACTTGAAACCCAGGGCCCTGGTGGTGTAGGCACCCAAGGGAATCTGTTGGTCTGTGGGTTGTGAAGACCATGGGAAAAGCATAGTATCTGGGCCAGAATGCACTGTTCCTCACGGCACAGTCCCTCATGGCTTCCCTTGCCTAAGGGAGGGAGTACCCTGACCCCTTGTGCTTCCCAGGTGAGGCAACGCACCACCCTGTTTCAGCTCACCCTCTGTGGGCGGCACCCACTGTCTAACCAGACCCAAAAGAGATGAGCTGGGTATCTCAGTTGGAAATGCAGAAATCACCTGCCTTGTGCTTTGATCTTGCTGGGAGCTGCAGACCAGAGCTGTTCCTATTTGGCCATCTTGCTAGCCACCCCTCTCTAAGTACCTTTTCACACCCATTAACTATCCCCACCTCCCTCTACCCCCACTACCCTACTTAGCTTCTGGTTTCCATCCTTCTGCTCTCTATATCCATAAGTTCACTTGTTTTGATTTTTAGATCCCATAAATAAGTGAGAATATGTGGTCTGTTTTTCTGTGCCTGTCTTATTTCACTTAACATAATGATCTCTAGTTCTATTTATGTTTTTGCAAATGACAGAATTTCATTCTTTTTCATGGCCGAATAGTAGTACATTGTATATATGTACCACATTTTCTTTATCCATTCATCTGTTGATGGTCACTTAGGGTGCTTCCAAATCTTAACTATTGCGAGCAGTGATGCAACAAACATAGGAGTGCAGATATCTTTTTGATATACTGATTTTCACTCTTTGGGATATATGCCCATCAGTGAAATGCTGGATCTTATGGTAGCTCTAATTTTAGTTTTTTGAGGAAACTCCAAACTGTTCTCTACAGAGGTTGTACTAACTTACATTCCCACCAACAGTGTACGAGGGTTCCCTTTTCTCCATATGCTTGTCAGCATTTGTTATTGCCTGTCTTTGGATATGAGCCATTTTAACTGGGGTGAGATGATATTTCATTGTAGCTTTGATTTGCATTTCTTTGATTATCGAAGATGTCAAGCACTTTTCACATGACTGTTTATCATTTGTCTGTCTTCTTTTGAGAAATGCCTGTTCAAATTTTTTGCCCAGTTTTAGATTGGATTATTAATTTTCTTCCTTTAGAGTTGTTTGAGCTTCTTACATATTCTGATTATTAATCCCTTGTCAGAGGGGTAGTTTGCAAATATTTTCTCCCATTCCATGGGTTGTCTCTTCACTTTGTTAACTGTTTCCTTTGCTGTTCAGAAGCTTTTTAACTTGATGTAATCCCATTTGTCTGTTTTGGCTTTGATTGTCTGTGCTTGTGGGGTATCACTCAAAAATTTTTTGCCCAGGGCAATGTCCTAGAGAATTTCCCCAATGTTTTCTTGTAGTAGTTTTATACTTTAGGGTCTTAGATTTAAGTCTTTAATCAATTTTAATTTGATTTTTGTATATGGTGAGAGATAGGGGTCTATTTTCATTCATCTGTATGTGGATATCCAATTTCCCCAGCATCGTTTATTGAAGAGACCATTTTTTCCTCAGTGTATGTCCTTGGCACTTTCATCGAAAATGAGTTCACTGTAAGTGTGTGGATTTGTTTCTGGGTTCTTTATTCTGTTCCATTGGTCTATGTGTCTGTTTTTGTGCTAGTACCACACTGTTTTGTTTACTATAGCTCTGTAGTATAATTTGAGGTCAGATAATGTGATTTCTACAGTTTAGTTCTTTTTCCTCAGGATAGCTCTGGATATTCTTTGTCTTTTGTGGTTCCATATAAATTTTAGGATTTTTTTTCTATTTCTGTGAAGAATGTCATTGGTATTTTTATAGGGCCTTGCACTGAATCTGTAGATTGCTCTAGGTAGAACAGACATTATAACAATATTGATTGTTCCAATCTGTGAACACGGAGTATTTTTTTTTCATTTTTTTTTTGTGTCTCTTCAATGTTTTTCATCGGTGTTTTATCATGTTTATTATAGAAACTTTCACTTCTTTGGTTAATTCCTAGGTATTTTATTTTATGTGTGATTATTGCAAATGGGATTACTCTTTAAATGTCTTTCTCAGATTGCTCACTGTTGGCATATAGAAATGCTACTGATTTTTGTATGTTCATTTTGTATCCTGCACCTTTACTAAATTTGTTTATCAGTTATAATAGCTTTTTTGTAGAGTTTTTAGGTTTTTCCAAATAGAAGATTATATCATCCGAAAACAAGAATAATTTGGTTTCTTACTTTCCACTTCGAATGCCCTTTATTTTTTTCTCTTGTCTGGTTATTCTAGCTAGGACGTTCAGTACTGTGTTGAGTAACAGTGTTGAAAGCCAGCATTCTTGTCGTGTTCCAGATCTCAGGGGAAAGACTTTCAGTTTGTCCCTGTTCGGTATGATACTAGCTGTGGGTCTGTCATATATAGCTTTTATTGTGTTGAGGCATATTCGTTCTATACTCAGTTTTTTTTTTGGTTTTTATTATGAAGGGATTTTGAATTTTATCAAATGATTTTTCAGCATCAATTGAAATGATCATATGGCTTTTGCCCTTCCTTCTCTTGATATAGTGTATCACATTGATTGATTTGCATATGTTGAAGCATCCTTGCATCCCAGGGATAAATCCCACTTGGTCATGATTAATGATCTCTTTAATGTATTGCTAAATTTGTTTTGCTAGTGTTTTGTTCAGGATATTTGCATCCATATTCATCAGAGATACTGTCCTGTAATTTTCTTTTTTTGAAGTGTCTTTGTCTGGTTTTGGTATCAGGGTAATATTGGCCTTATAAAATGAGTTTCAACGCATTCTTTCCTTCTCTGTGTTTCATAATAGTTTGAGTAGGATTGGTATTAATTCTTTAAATGTTTGGTAGAATTCAGCAGTAAAGACATCGGGTCTTGGGCTTTTCTTTACTGGGAGCCTTTTTGACAGTTTTGATCTTATTATTTGTTACAGGTCTGTTCAGGGTTTGGATTTCTTCCTGATTCAATCTTGGTAGGTTGTATGTGTCTTAGAAATTGTCAATTTATTCCAGGCCAATTTATTGGTATGTAGCTGCTCATAGTAGCCACTAATGAACTTTTGAATTTCTGCAATATCAATTGTAATGTTTCATTTTTCATTTCTGATTGTATCCATTTGGGTCTTTTCTCTGTTTTTCTTAGTCTAGCTGAAGGTTTGTCAAATTTGTTTAGCCTTTTAAAAAACCAATGTTTTGTTTCATTTATCTTTTGTATTGTTTTTATTTATCTCAAATTCATTTATTTCTGCTGTGATTTTTATTATTTATTTTCTTCTACTAATGTTGGATTTGGTTTGCTCTTTTCTAGTTTTTTAAGAAGCATCTGGCTGGGCATGGTGGTTCACGCCTGTAATCCCAGCACTTTGGGAGGCTGAGGTGGGCAGATCACCTGAGGTCAGGAATTTAAGACCAGCCTGACCTACATGGAGAAATTCCATCTCTACTAAAAATACAAAATCAGCTGGGCGTGGTGGTACATGCCTGTAATCCCAGCTACTGGGAAGGCTGAGGCAGGAGAATCACTTGAACCCAGGAGGCGGAGGTTGCAGTGAGCCAAGATTGCACCATTTCACTCCACCCTGGGCAACAAGAGCAAAACTCTGTCTCTCAGGAAAAATTAAAAAAAGAAAAAACCATCTTTAGATTGTTTATTTAAAGTTTTTTCTCTTTTTTGATGTAGGTACTTATAGCTATGAAATTTTTAGCACTGCTTTTGCTGTATCCTGTAGGTTTTGGTATGTTGTGTTTGCATTACCATTTGTTTCAAGAAATTTTTCAGTTTCCTTCTTAATTTCTTCATTGACCCACTGGTGTTTTTCTAGTTCTTCAAAATGTATCATTAGGTGACATTTTCTATGTTTTTGAGGTAGGCACTTATTGGTATAAACTTTCCTCTTATAACTGCTTTTGCTGAATCCCATAGGTTTGGGCATGTTGTATTTTCATTTATTTTCATTTATTTCAGTAAATTTTTAAATTTCCTTTTTAATTTATTCATTGGCCCACTGTTCATTCGGGAGCATATTGTTTAATTTCCATGTGTTTGTATAGTTTTCAAAATTCTTCTTTTTATTGATTTCTAGTTTTATTCCATTGTGGTCAGAGAAGATACCATATATTATTTCAATTGTTTTGAACTTTTTAGTATCTCTTTTAAGGCCTAATGTATAGTCTGTCCTTGAGAATGATCCATTATTCTCCTGTTGAAGAGAAGAATGTGTATTCCTAGCCATTGGATGAAATGTTCTATAAATATTTATTAGGTCCATTTCGTCTACAATACATATTAGGTCCAATATTTCTTGTTGGTTTTCTTTCTGGGTAATCTGTCCAGCACTGAAAATGGGGTGCTGACATCTCCATTTATAATTGTATTGGGGTCTTATCTCTTTCTTTAGTGCTAATAATATTTGCTTTATATGCCTGGGGGTTCCAGTGTTTGGTGCATATATATTTAAAATTGTTACAACCTCCTGCTAAATTGATCACTTTATCATTATGTAATGAAATTCTTTGTCTCTTTTTATTATTTTTGTCTTAAAGTCTGTTCTATCTGATATATATATATGCTGCTGCTGCTCACTTTTTTATTTCCATTTGCATAAAATGTCTTTTTCCATCCCTTTATTTTTCATTCTATGTGTGTTTTTATAAGTGAAATGTGTTTTTTGTAGGCATCAGATAATTGAGTCCAGTTTCTTAAATTCATGCAGCCACTGTCTTTTGATTAGAAAGTTTAATTCACTTGCATTCAATGTTGTTATTGATAAGTAAGGACTTAACTCCTGCCATTTTGTTATCTATTTTCTCTGGTTGTTTGTGGTCTTCCCTTTCTTTTTTCTGCCTTCCTGTCTTCCTTTTTCTGAAAGGGATTTTCTCTGATGGTATGTTTTAATTTCTTGTTTTATATTTTTTGTGTATCTGTTATAGTTTTTTTAATTAGAGGATATCATGAGGCTTGCAAATAACGTCTTATAACTCATTTTTTAAACTGATGACAACTTACTTAATTCTGTTTGCAAAACAAACACGGAAAGACAAAGCTAATAAAAACTCCACAATGTACATCATCTCCACTCCTGCTTTTAATCTTTTTGTTGTTTCTATTTATATCTTATTATATGGTCCATGTCTTAAAAAGTTGTTGCAGTTGTTATTTTTGATAGGTTTGTCTTGTAGTCTTCCTAGTCAAGATATGAGTAGTTTACACACCACAATTACAGTGTTATTACATCTGTCTTTGTCTGTGTACTTACTGATACCAGTGAATTTTGTACCTTCAGATAATTTCTTATTGCTCATTGGGATCTTTTATTTTAGACTGATGGATTCCCTTTAGTATATCTCACAAGGTGAAGTCTGGTGTTGGTGACAACCCTTAGCTTTTGTTTGTCTGGGAAGTCTTTATTTCTCCTTCATGTTTGAAAGGTATTTTCACCAGATATGGCTATTTTAGGGTAAAAGTTTTTTTCCCTTCAGCACTTTAAGTATGTCAAGTCACTCTCCCCTGGCATGTAAGGTTTCCACTGAGAAGTTTGCTGCCAGTTTTGTTGGAGCTTCATTGTATGTTATGTGTTTGCTTTCTCTTGCTGCTTTTAGGATCCTTTCTTTATCCTCCACCTTTAGGAGTTTGGGTACTACATGTCTGGAGGTAGCCTTTATTGGGTTAAATCTGCTTGGTGTTCTATAACTTTTTTGTGCTTAAATATTGATATTTTCCTCTAGGTTTGGAAAGTTCTCTGTTATTATCCCTTTGAATAAACTTTCTACTCCCCTGTCTTTCTCTACCTCCTCTTTGAGACCAATAACTCTTAGATTTGCCCCTTTGAGGCTATTTTCTGGATCCTGTAGGCATGATTCATTATTTTGTATTCTTTATTGTTTTATTCTTTTTTCTTTTGACTCTTCAGACTGTATATTTTTAAACAACCTGTCTTGAAGCTCATTAGTTCTTCTTCTGCTTGATCAGTTCTGCTGTTGAGAGATTCTTTTGCATTCATTCTTCAGTTTGCCAATCAAATTTTTCAGCTCCCAAATTTCTGCTTGATTTTTAAAAATTATTTCAGTCTCTTTGTTAAATTTATCTCATAGGATTCTGAAGTCCTTCTCTGTGTTATCTTGGATTTTGTTGCATTTCCCCAAAATAGCTATTTTGAATTCTTTGTCTGAAAGGTCACATAGCTCTGTCACTCCAGAGATGGTCATGATGCCTTATTCAGTTTGTGCTTTGAAGTCATTTTTTCTTGGATGATTCTGATGCATGTGGATGCTCATCTATGTCTGGGCATTAAAGAGTTATTTATTCTAATCTTTGCAGTCTGGGTTTGTTTGTACCCACCCGTCTTGAGAAGACTTTCCAAGTATTCAAAAGGAATCGGGTGTTGTGATCTAAGTTTTTGGTCACTGCAGCCTTATCTGTATTAGGGGTCACCCCAAGCCTAATAACACTGTGGCTCTTGCATATTCATAGAGGTACTGCCTTGGTGGTCTTGGGTAAGATCTAGGGGAATTCCCTGGATTATCAGGCAGAGTCTCTGTTCTGTTTCTTAACATTCCCCCAGTCAAATGGAATCTCTCTTTCTTTTCTTTTTTTTTTTGAGATGGAGTTTCACTCTTGCTGCCCAGGCTGGAGTGCAATGGCGTGATCTCGGCTCACCACAACCTCCGCCTCCCAGGTTCAAGTGATTCTCCTGCCTCAGCCTTCTGAGTAGCTGGGATTACAGGTGCCTGCCATCATGCCCGGCTAACTTTTGTATTTTTAGTAGACACAGTGCTTCTTCATGTTGGTCAGGCTGGTCTCGAATTCCCAAGCTCTGGTGATCCGCCCATCTCAGCCTCCCAAAGTGCTGGGATTACAGGCGTGAGCCACCGTGCCCAGCTGGAATCTCTCTTTCTGTGCTGAGCTGCCCGGAGTTGGTGGAGAGTTACAGAAGCACTCCCATGGCCACCACTGCTGGAATGTATTGGGTTACATCTGAAGCCAGCACAGTATTGGTTCTCATCCAAGGCCTGTGGCAACTATTTCCTGGCTATTGCTGATGTTAATTCAAGGCCCAAAGGCTCCTTAGTCAGCAGGTGATGAATCCTGCCAGGACTGGGTCTTTCCCTTCAGTGAAGCAGGTTGCCTTCTGGTCCAGGGTGTGTCTAGAAATGACATCCAGGAGCTAGGGCCCGGCACAGGGTGCTTTAGGAATCTACCTGGTGCTTTATGTTACTGGGGCTAAGATGATATCCAGGTTGCAAGACAAAGTCCTCTTTTCTTTTTCCTCTCCTTTCTTCAAGCAGAAGGCATGTCTCCCCATGGCCATCGCAGCTGGGAATGTGCTGAGGTCAGCATGCTGAAGCCAGCATGCTACTGGGTCTTACACAGTTGCCCGTGGCAACTGCTGCCTGGGTTCTGCTGATGTTTATTCAAGGTCCAAGTGCTCTTTAGTCAGCAGTTGGAGAATTCTGTGAGGACTAAGTCCTTCCCTTCAGTGCAGTGGGTTCCCGTCTGGCCCATGGTGGGTCTAGAAATGTCATCTGGGAGCTCTGGCCTGGAATGGGGGCTTCAAGACTCTGCCTGGTCCTTTATTTTATGATGGCTGAGCAGGTATCTAAGTTGCAAGACAAAGTCCGTTTTTACCCTTCCTTCTCCCCCTAGAGCTGTGCTTTCTGGAGTGGGGAGGGGTGATGCAAGTACTACTCCCTTGGCCACCCCAGCTAGTGTCTCACTGGGTTGCATGTACCCCAAGTCCACTGGCTCTGAATACATTACAGCACCAGGACTTGTTTGGGAATTGCAGTCCTTGTGGCGTAGACTGCCACTGCATTTATTTAGGACCTCAGAGTGCTTTAGTCCATATTGATGAGGCTAGCCAGAACTTAAGTTCCAACCACTGGGAGGGATGATTCTCCTCTGGCTAGGGCTGGTCTAAATGCTCCCTCCATGGGCACCAGCCAAATTCTGCCCTGTGTTGCTTTGCACTGTGACAGAGCAGCACTGAGTTCCACTGCAAAGTCCCATAGCAACTTTGCTTTCCCTTCCCCAAGCACACAGATTCTCTCTCTATGCCACATAGCATTGCCAGGGGGTGGGGGAGGGGTGGTGTCAGCAATTCAAGACTGTGTTTCCTACCTTCTTCAGTGCCTCTTTCCTGATACCAGGTTAAAACCAGGTACTGTGATTGCTCACCTGATTTTTGGTTCTTATGAAGATGCTTTCTTGTGTGGATAGTTGTTAAATTTGGTGTTCCTGTGGGTGGGGGATGATCCCCAAAGCGTTCTATTTGGCCATCTTGCTAGATCTCTCTTAGTTATGTTTTTTAATAAGCTTTTTATTTGAAATAATTTTAGATACATAAAGAACTTATGTTATTAGGGTCCAGTATTTTACATATTAAATATCACTATTATCATTACTATTATACATTTCATGTTTGTTTATACTTACCCATGTATGCATTAATATATTTATTCATCTTTCATACATTTATTTTAAACACTCAACCTAGATATATCTTCCTTCTTGTTGAAGTCGTCCTTTAGAATTCCTCTAGCATCCTCTGATGATAAATTCACCAGCTTTTGTTCAGCTCTGAAAAGTCTTTATTTCATCCTCATTAATGAAGAAAGCTTTCCTGGGGATATAATACTAAATTGGCAGTGATTTTCTCTTGCAATGTGGAAGATGTTATTCTGCTTTCTTCCGGCTTCCATTGTTGCCTTTGAGAAGTCAGAAATCAGTGTGATTTTTGTTCCTCTGTAGGAGGTCTGTAGTTTTCTCTGTCTGCTTTAAATATATATATTTTTTGTTGATATTCAGCTATTTCATGATGGTGTGTCTGTGTGTTGATTTTTTGTTTCTGTAAGTAATTCATTGGGTTCTCTACATCTGAAGAATTGTGCCTTTGTACTTTTCAACAATTTTGGTAAATTATCCTCCATTATTTCTTACACATGGCCTCCTCCATTTTATTTCTTTTAATTACCTCTGGAAGATAGATGATAGATAGATAGATAGATAGATAGATAGATAGATAGATAGATAGATAGATGATAGATAGAGATATTATAGATTTATAGATTTTTACATAGATTTATATATAGAATATATGAGTCACTCTTATCCTTCATAAGCGTAGGAGTTAATCTGCCTTCATTTCTTTCATCTTGCCTTTTTGGATCAGTATACCAAATTTTTTCAGACCTATATTCCAGTTCACTGAGTTCCTCTTCAGTGTATCCAATCTGCTATTTAATTCATCCATAAAATTTTAAATTTTGTTTGTACATTTTTGATTTCTAGAAGTTCTATTTGATTATGTTTCCAAGGTGTTAGGTTACTTTTTGTTATCTCTTGTTTGCCCAAAGGGCAAGTAGATTTTCAGTTTATTTAGGCATATTCCATAGTTCCATATTTCATACTTCATTTACAATTCAGTTTCTGATAATACCAGAAGTACTTGCAGGTCTGTTTTCATGTTTCATCTCACTTGTTCTCACAGGACCTCGTGTGCTTTGGGATTTTCTACCTCGAGCCTGTTCATTTTCCTTAGAATTATTTCTGTGAGAATACTTTGAGGCCTGGGTTGAAGTTAAGTTTCTCCAGAGGGGTTTTATATTTGCTTGTGTCACTAACTTGGGGTCACTTTCAAACATGGACCAAACTAAATTTGCTGCTTGAAGTTTTTTAGACCACATAGATAGAATGAATCAAGATGATGTATCTTTTTTAAGGATAAATTTAGTTATAAATTCTCAGGTGAGATTATTTTTTCCTCCAGCTCACATCAGAGTAAAAATAGTTAAGTCTTCTTGCTTTCCTCTACTAAGGTAAAGACTGTAATTCTCTGGAGTCGCAGCTTCAAATGAGTCTCCTGTCAGATTCTCCATCGTATATACTCTTGAGGCTTCATATCCATCCCCTTTGCTTGTACAGCCTTCAAAAGGAAAGTTCAAGGTCTCAGTGTAGATAACCCCAGAGCAAATGCCAGCATTAACATTTGCTTGGCCCCCAAAATTTCTGTTTAACTTCGTTTTTGCCTCTCCGTCTTTCTTCCTTTTCATCAGTGTACTTAAAAAGCTTTTCAAAACATATTTTATCCAGAATTGTACCTGTTTTAGTCAGGAGAGTCATCAAGGTATCTAATTTGCTATATTGATGGAAAAACAATTCTGGGAACAAAAGTGCTTTAGTTCTATTTTTAGACTCTGTTTTCCTTCATACACAAGGTCTGTTATGCAAGTTTGAATAATATAACTCATGAATGTCCTACTCTGGTTTTATTTGTATTACATAATGTGTATAAACTGATGTCTGATATATAATAACACACAAACAAAGTGAAAAGAAGCCCTGTATCTGGTCTAGCCGATTGGGAAGACTGCGTCACTGATTCCTCATCAATCACAGTGTAGTGCCAGGACTAACATTGATTCTATGCACATAACTTGTTGTCAGCCCCAAATTATGTGCAAATTACTACAGCACTGCCTGGCACAAAATTATCTGGAGTAGAATAATGGACAGAAATTGAGAGTCAGGCAATGCTAGGCAGTGCTATAGTTAGCAATGCTATCAATAGTGTGCCTATATAATTTTATTAACATTATGTCCTTGTACTTTTGGGTATTTATTTTTTAACATTATTTATGAAATTACACAAATAAACTTTTTATTTTATAAGTTTTCTGAACAATGGCCACTTTAAATTACAAATTTTTTAGTATAAGATTTTTTAACTTTATGCCTAGACATCAGTGATTAAGCAGTTTGCTATCTAGTCTTATCAGTACTATTCTCTTTTTTTCCATTCTTTAAACCCATCTTTACTCTCAGCAACTGCTGACAACAGTTAAAAGTTTTCTTTTAAATGTAAAGATGCTAAACTAAAATTTAAAACTCTGTTTCAGTTGCTCTTTTAAAATGAAAAAAAAAATTCACACTTCCTTGATAACCCACTGGTAAGTCTGCTCATAATTTTTAGCGCATCAGTAACCCTAGAACTGTGTGAACTACCTCGAAAACTCATGAAAGTGAAATTCTGGTCTTGTTGACAACAAATTTTATCATCTACATGAACCACTAACAACATTCTAATATCTGCTCTCTGCAAGCTTTATTTTGCCTTGAAAATTAAAGTTACCAAATGACATTGAACACCTGGATTTATTTTAGAAATTAAGCAATAGCATATATGAATTGGCCACAGGCATCCCACACTTAACTTCAAAATATCAAACACTTTTTTTTAAGTAAGCCTATTTATTGAGTGACACTATAAGAAAAAGAGAAAAATACAGAAGCAGCACCAATCAGCAAGCCTCTGTTCACTTATTCTTGGTGTAAGATATCTTGTTCCTTTGGTGTTCTTCTGCAAAACAATGTATCTATTAAGCAGTTTGATGCTGATGACTTCTCTGAACTATAATTTGGTGACTGTTGAGCCATTTTTCTAAGGGATGTTCGGCCTTAGCACAAAGAAGATATAATTACTCAGTTGCCCTGTTCTGAGTTAACTGCTTATTGGAAGCAGGCACAGTCATGAGTTGTCCATCTTACCTAAAGCTGGTTCTTTAAAAAGAGGGTTATTTCTCATTGATTTATCTTTTTCTAAGACTCACTCAGAGAATGAAGTAAAATAATTATTGGCTCAATTAATTTATAAAACTTAAGAAAAATCAAAATATTCTTCCAGGATATATTACTGGTTTCAATGACTAATAAGTACTATATTTGATTTATTGTACTTTTAAGCCAAAATAGGCTCAATATCTAATGTCAATTCAGTCTGCGTTTTATAACTTTTTTTCTATAATCTTAACAATATTGAATGGAATTCTCCTCTACTGGATGAGAAGATCACAAACAGATTTTTAAGAAATCTATTTGAGAATGTAAAAGGCATGTAAGAAACCTAGAATGACTTGGAGATTTTAGACCCAAGTGACAAGATCAGGTGAAACTATTTTTTTTTTTTTTTTTTTTGAGGCGGAGTCTGGCTCTGTCGCACAGGCTGGAGTGCAGTGGCACGATTTCCACTCACTGCAAGCTCCGCCTCCCGGGTTCACGCCATTCTCCTGCCTCAGCCTCCCGAGTAGCTGGGACTACAGGCGCCTGCCACCGCGCCCAGCTAATTTTTTGTATTTTTTAGTAGAGACAGGGTTTCACCATGTTAGCCAGGATGGTCTAGATCTCCTGACTGCGTGATCCGCCCGCCTCAGCCTCCCAGAGTCCTGAGACTACAGGCGTGAGCCACTGCCCCTGGCCCAGGTGGAACTATTAATAGAAATAAGGAAGTAAACAGAAGAAAGTGAGTCTAGAGAGAAGGGGAAGAGGAGAAATTTTTTTTTGGCATATTGATTTTGAATTAGAAATGCAGAAATGAAAGGAATCAGAGATCTCCATGTAAAACAAAATGAAACCAATACTGGTAAGTCATACAGTTAATTAAAAATCCAGGAACAACTTAAAATATTAAGAAATCTGAAAATCTAATCATGAAGAGTTTTGAATAACAAGAGACACCATAAACAAAGTCTCACGACAAATAGAAGATTGAATATAATATTTTGGCAACTTATAGATAAGACTAATATCATTTAATACATGCAGAACTTTTAAAAATTGAGAACTTCTTTTTAAAAAGAATTCACACAAGAAGTATGATTAAAAATATAAATGGACAGTTTACAGAAAAATTAATTCAACTGGCCTTTAAACACAGAAAACAATATTTAGCCTCACTCATGATAAGACAGATATAAATGTTGACTCACTAAGAAACTACTTTCCACTGATCAAATTAGCAAAAAATCCATACTTCTCATTGATAAAACTGTGGATAAACAAGTACTGCCATGTATTGTTGGTAGAAATGCAAAATTACATAACACACATGAAGGAAAATTTGATAAAATATAACCAAATTACATGTGTATTTATTTTCCATTGACCCAGTAATCCCACTTCTAGGACTCTATCTCAAAGATTAAGTGGGGGAAAATTTTATATATATAAGCTATGCATGAAAGTGTTGTTCATCATAGAAAAGAAAGAGCCAAATGTCCAGCAATAGCAGTCTTACAACAATCTTGTTAAATTAACTATGTTATTCATGTTCACTCAAGGGAGTACTATGCAATGGTAAAATGGGACAAGGAAGACATCTATATGCTGGTAATTTCTAGGATATATTGTTAAGTGAAAAATACAAGTGGAGAACAATATTAATAGTTTTCTAACTTTTGTATAAGAAAAGAGAGAATCAAATTTTCATACGTAGTTTTTAATATTTTCACAATGATTTAATGGAAGAATAAGGCTAAGATATGTTTACCAATGAAAGGAGGATAAGACAGGAATGAAAGCAAACTTTTCTGAATTTATGCACATAATTTTGACTGGAGCCATATACATTTTTAATTTACGTAATTTAAATAATAATTTAAAAGTGATTTTTAAAAATCAAAACCAGACCACAGAAAATGAACCTACTGCATATGACCTTAACAGCACAATCAAACAGGGAAATAAATTACTTCATGAGCTTTTAAAACATAGTACCTTAACAGCAAATCTCTAATGGAATATATTCCAAGATCCAAAATAACTGCAACAAAATTTGAAAGATTCTGTAGACTTGTTAACAAAATTTTGAAATTATTTTCAAATCATTATAGATGCTTTCCATGATAAAGAAAATAATTAATTATATTGATTTTATTAGAATTCAAGATTTTTAGAATAAGAGAAGAGATTCAAGTATCAAATCCAAGAATTTGAGTAGCAATCATGTAATCTTATATTTAAATTGGAAATATCAGTATAACCCATATTTTATTCTCTCTAAAAGAAGGAGGGTATTTTCTAGTTCTTTCCATCGAAAACGCAGAAGTAATGACGCAGTAGAAAGAAACACTCCTACAGCTCACATTATGGTCTCTAAATACCAGTTCTCTCTCAAGGAAACCAGGACTCCTTGATAAAAATTGCTTCCGGGTCTGATCAGGAAATATACTGGATTTGTTCAGCATATACCATCATGCTAGAAAGCTAGCACAAACATATGGGATCATGTCAAAGGGGCACAAAAGCCCATTTTAAGAGAGGATCCCACAGCCTAATCTGCAATAATATGAGCAGCATAAAGATTAATGACTGCAAGGCTGGTTGCAGTGGCTCACACCTGTAATCTCAATAGTTTGGGAGGCAAGGTGAGTGGATCCCTTGATATCAAGAGTTCGAGACCAGCCTGGGCAACATGGAAAAACCCCTTCTCTGCAAAAAATACAAAAATTACCCAGGCATAGTGGTGCATGCCTGTAGTCCCAGCTACTCAGGAGACTGATGTGGGAAGATCACTTGAACTCAGGAGATAGAGGCTGCTGCAGTGAGCGGTGATCATGCCACCATACTCCAGCCTGGGCAACAGTAAGACCCTGTCAAAATAAAAAATAAAAAAATAAAAAAATAAAATAATAAAAAAAGAATGACCACAAAGAAATGAATGATATCACATATTTTTTAAGAATTATGAGAATGTAATGACATGGACCCCTTCAGAAAATAAAACAAAATTAAAAATTTCGCTCATCAGTATTGAAGTTTGCCAAGGCATCAACTAATTATTTTGAAAATTCATAAATAAAGCAAACAAATCAAATATGTATACTGTCTTTCTTGTATGAACTGTATTTCAGGGTAACTAAACAGTTGATCAAGGAAAATTCTTATAAAATTCCAAGTAAATGAAGACAAAATAATATAATAAGGATTTTTAACCCCTAATGAAATAGTGGATTTAAATAAGGATTATCAAAGAGTGCCAAAATCACTAGGTTGATGGTGAACTTGACAATGAATAGATCAGATTGGTGTAAACAGAACCCAACGATCAATATTAGCATTAATAACATAAGACAAGTTATTATGTGCCTAATTATGTGACTCATGAGAAAATACACAGCACTATCTGTGTATGATATATTCCTTCCTAATATAATTGAACTTGGATCTGCTATATGTAAAACCAAACTGGCAAAATATTGACAAGCTAGATGACAGGAATGTGGAGATTCATGGTATTATTCTTTATATACATATGAAATTTTCTTATAAGCAGGTTTTATTTAAGGAAATGTAGAAGAATATCTTGAATGAAAGCAATACCTATGGAAGCCACCTTCACATGAGTGAGGTAAAGAGATAAACCAAGAGATAAGAGATCCTTAAAGAGGGCGAGAAAAGAGAGAAGAGAGTCAAAGAAAAAGCTGCAGGAGAATACTGCATTAATGTCTGTTAGAAGAAAATGACCTAGAGAAATTAAGGAGTGAGAGAGACCCAGTCAGGAAGAAGGTGTATTATGGACCCTTAGAGAAAAGGAAACAAGCCTAACTTGAGAAGGAGAAAAGAAAGAATGGTTGTCACTGTTAAAACTGGGCATTTCAAGGTGACTAGAATGGGGAAAAAAAAAGCTCAAGTTAGAGAATCTCAAATCTCTCAGACAATAGGAATCAAAAGCATCTCCTAAGACTGGAGGTTCCAGGGAAGAATTCTTCTAAGTCATCAAAAACAATTTTCATTTTTTTCTCTGCCTGGAAGCAATAAATGAGCAGCTTCCCTGACACTGAAGCATGGGTATAAAAATTGAGAAGAAGCTAGTTTCATTTGAAATGACAAGAAAAGCCATATCATTGACACAGAAATCCCCTTAATGGAGTTTTTATCTCAGGTAAGCAGAGACACAAACTACAAAATCTGCCAGAAGAGGAATGGTTGATGGTTTAAAAATATCTTGATGAGAATATAATACCCTGCACTGAGAAAACACCATTTCACATTATACTCTACTGTGAAATGTACAACTAATACCCATTATGCTCCCTAATTCTTAGTCTAACCATATAAAAAATTCAATGTCTTCTTTTCCAATTAGTGGAAGATTTTGACTTTAGGTAGCTCCTGGGTATAGGTACTAGAGACATAGGGTTGTGGAAATATTTTTTTAAAGGAAAAAAAAATTTCTCCTTCTTCCTTCATCCAGTTTCTTTTATAGACAGGCAGCATTACACCTAACACATTCCAGTTATACAATGTTCTTTACCCAACCTCCCAGGAATGAAATCCAGGCTTCTTATTGCTGAAACCTACCAGAAATATTAATTCCCAACATATTTCCATGTATAATACATCTGGGAAGGCAAGTTACTCATGGCCATAATAAAATTTTGGCAGGATTTTTACTATCACACCATTAGTGCTTACAAATAGGGAGAACATATGTATTAATAATTAGAGAACTCTCATGTGAGATGACATCATCTACATATGAACTGAAGTGTATTCCCTTATAAAATGAAGCCAAATATTTTGCTGGCAGCAACCTAACTCATTAAGAATCCTAAATCACATTGCCTGAAAACTTAAAAAAAAGTTTTTCCAAAAGCTAGCATACAGGTCAGCTTCATTAGTTCTCAGATTTGCTCATATTCCCTGTGGCGCTATGCAGTGTGAGGGTGTTTTAATACGCCACCAACAGGCCCAAGCTTCTGGTGCCCCAAGGATGTGGTTTTTATATATTTTGAAGTATGTTTGGTGGTTTAAGATTGAAGGTATTTCGTAGGGTAGGAAGAGGTCAGGCTGCAAATATGGGGGAAATTCCTAAATATATATCTCATTAGATGATAATAACAAAATCAACCTGATTGCTGTTCCAGAGTAGATTTTAGACAGGACTAATTTGGTAATATAGGGTAAAATGCTTGAATTTTACCAGTTTGCTCAAATGTTGATCATACACCAAAATTTGAGTGCCACCCACCTTCAAACCATGGTAAAAAGAGAATACCCTTAAACCATAATAGCTTATGAATCAAAATTCAATTAATTGATCCAGTCCATCACTCAACCAGTAAATTCCTGAGATGCTTGTGTTTCCATAGAGAGTTGGGTAAAGCACGTGAGAAGCATACTGCAATTAGTCAAAAGATGTAGCTACATTATGTTGAGCAAGTTATAGTGAACCTCTTCATACATCCTTTCTGCTGCTGTAAAATGAAAAAAATACCTCACAGGATGAAATGAGTGAATGTATATAACCACGTTCCTCTATTCTAAACCAGTTGTTGACCAGAAATTTAGGCTTTGGGACCACTCATTTTCCTTCCAAGATGTTGACTCTTTTGTCATCCCATTTTCTTTCTACAGAATTGCTAATTAACATTTCATATTTTATTAACTCTACCTACTTCTGATAGATGCTTAAAAGTTAGTTCTTAGAAGGCTGTATTAGTCTGTTCTCACACTGCTAATAAAGACATACTCAAGAGTGGATAATTTATAAGGGAAAGAGGTTATATTGACTCATAATTCAGAATGGCTGGGAGGCCTCGGGAAACTTACAGTCATGGTGGAAGGGGAAGCAAACACATCCTTCTTCACATGGTGGCAGCAAGAAGAATGAACAAAAGGGGGAAAAGCCCCTTATAAAACCATCAGATCTCATGAAAACTCACTCACTGTCATGAGAACAGCATGGAGGTAACTGGCCCCATGATTCAATTACCTCCCACCAGGTCCCTTCCACGACTTGTGAGGATTATGGGAACTATAATTCAAGATGAGATTTAGGTGGGGAAACAGCCAAATCATATCATTCAGCTCCCAGCTCCTCCCAAATTTCATGTTCTCACATTTCAAAACACAATCATGCCTTCCCAACAGTCCCCTAAAGTCTTAACTCATTCCAGCATTAACAGAAAAGTCCAAGTCCAAAGTCTCATCTGAGACAAGGCAAGTCCCTTCTGCCTAAGAGGTTGTAAAATCATTAGGTGATCATTAGGTTACTTCCTAGATACAATGGAGTTATAAGCACTGGGTAAATACACTAGTTCCAAATGGGATAAATTGTCCAAAACAAAGGGGCTACAGGCCCCATGCATGTCTGAAATCCAACAGGGCAGTCAAACCTTAAAGCTCCAAAATGATCTACTTTGACTTCATGTCTCCCATCCAGGTCATGCTGATGCAATAGATGAGCTCATATGGCCTTAGACAGCTCTGCCACTGTGGCTTTGCAGGGTGCAGCCCTGCTCCTGGCTGCCTTCATTGGCTGGCATTGCATGTATGTGGCTTTTCCAGGAGCATGGTGCAAGCTGTCAGTGGAGCTATCATTCTGGGGTCTGGAGGACAATGCCCTCTTCTCACAGCTCCACTAGGCAGTTCCCCAGTGGGGACTCTGTGTGGGGACTCTGACTTCACATTTCCCTTCAACACTTCCCTAGCAGAAGTTCTCCATGAGGGCTCTGTCCCTGCAGCACACCTATGCCTGGACATCCAGTCATTTTCATACATCCTCTGAAATCTAGGCAGAGGTTCCCAAACCTTAATTCTTGTCTTCTGTGCACCTGCAAAACCAACACCACATGGAAGCTGCCAAGGCTTGAAGCTTGCACACTTTGAAGCCACGTCCCTAGCTATACCTCGGATCCTTTTAGCCATGGCTGTAGTGGTTCACATGCAGGGCACCAGGTCCTGAGGCTGCACACAGCAGGGGGTACCCTGGAACTGGACCATGAAACCATTTATCCATCCTAGGCCTCTGGGCCTGTCATGGGAGGAACTGCTGTGAAGGTCTCTAATATGCCCTGGAGACATTTTTCCCATTGCCTTGGAGATTAACACTTGGCTGCTCATTACGTATGAAAATTTCTGCAGCCAGCTTGAATTTTTTCTCAGAAAATGGGTTTTCTTTTCTACTGCATTGTCAAGCTGCAAATTTTCCAAACTTTTATGCTCTGTCACCTCTTAAATGCTTTGCCGCTTAGAAATTTTTTCCGCCAGATACCCTAAATCATTTCTTTCAAGTTCAAAGTTCCACAGATCTCTAGGGCAGGGCCAAAATGGTGCCAGTCTCTTTGCATAGCAAGAGTGACCTTTACTCCAGTTCCCAACAGGTTCCTCATCTCCATCTGAGAACACCTCAGCCTGGACTTTATTGTCCATATCACTATGAGCATTTTTGTCAAAGCCATTCAACAAGTCTCTAGGGATTTCCAAACTGTCCTACATTTTCCTATCTTCTTCTGATCCTTCTAAACTGTTTTAACCTCTGCCTATTACCCAGTTCCAAATTCACCTCCACATTTTTGGGTATCTTTACAGCAGCACCCCACTCCTGGTACCAATTTACTATATTAGTTTGTTCTCATGCTGCTAATAAAGACATGCTGAGACTGGTAATTTATAAAAGAGAGATGTTTAATTGTTTCACAGTTCAGCATGGCTGGGGAGGCCTTAGGAAACTTACAATCATGGTGAGAGGGAAAACAGACATGTCCTTCTTCACATGGCAGCAGCAAGGAGAACAACGAGCAAAAGGGGGAAAAGCCCCTTATGAAAACATCAGATCTCATGAAAACTCACTCACTATCACAAGAATAGCATAGAGGTAACCACCCCGATGATTCAATTACCTCCCTCCAGGTCCCTCCGATGACACATGGGGATTATGGGAACTACAATTCAAGATGAGATTTGGATGGGGACACAGCCAAATCATATTAGAGACTTCTCTAAAAACAGCCATACTCTTTCTTTATTTTTTACATGTTTAAAAAAATAACTTTTAAAATACCTATAGGATGGTTTCCTCATTCCTCTTTTAGAGTATTTGGAATTTATTTAGCTATATAAGGGGCTTAAGCCCAAGCAATGAAAACTAATTGTAAGAATGTAATAGGCTAATGAGAGAATGATTTGAGATTAGATGGGCTTTTCTAGTGAACATAAAATAATTTTTATGAAACTTAAAGTTAAAAATACCTCTGAGTATGAAAGGCATGCATGCTTAGCTGGTATCTCAAAAGAAAGTTCTCCACAAGGAAGCATTATTTAGATCTGTCCAATATACTTTCTGTGATGACCGATGTTCCATATTTGCTTTATCTTAGTCCACTTGGACTTCTGTAATGGAACACTGTAGACTGGGTAGCTTAAAAACAACAGAAACTTATTTCTTATTTTTCTGGAGGCTGGGAAGTCCAAGATCAAGGTGATAGTAGATTTTGGGTGTGGGGTTGGCCCCCTTCATGGTTCATAGATGGCCATCTTCTCACTGTATCCTCACAAGGTGGAAGGAGTGAGTAAGCTCCCTTGGGCTTCTTTTATAAAGTCACTAATTCCATTCATGAGAGCTCCACCCTCCTGACCTAATCACTTCCCAAAGACCTCACCTCTGAACACCATCACATTGGGCAAATGAATTTGGAAGGGGACATAAATATTCAGTGTGTAGCAATCCTATGCCAGTTATTTAGGCATTAAATTATAATTTGGTTGTGTGTATATGCCTTAACTCCCTAACTTCATTATAAGTTCTTGATAACATAATATCATCTTTTTTTTTCTATTTTCTTTTTTATTTTGAGATGGAGTCTCACTCTGTCGCCCAGGCTTGAGTACAGTGGCATGATCTCGGCTCACTGCAACCTCCACCTCCGGGTTCAAGCAATTCTTCTGTCTCAGCCTCCCGAGTAGCTGGGACCACAGGCAAGTACCACCACGCCTGGCTAATTTTTTGTATTTTTAGTAGAGACAGGGTTTCACCATGTTAGCTAGGATGGTCCCGATCTCCTGACCTTGTGGTCCACCTGCCTCAGCCTCCCAAAGTGCTGGCATTACAGGTGTGAGCCACTGCACCCAGCCCAACATAATGTCATCTTTTATTTTGCTTCTTACAGTGCCTACTATTTTCCCAGACATATAGTTATTCAACATATTTTTGTTCAGTAAATGAGACTTTCCTTTTAAAAAGTCAATTGGGTGAAATCTAACCACTAAACACTATTATATCATTTTAAAATCACTGTTTCATTTACCTGTTTTCCAATGCCTCCATCTAAGGTAAGGATAGCAGTGTTGCTGCCAAACAGCCTCATGATCCTTCTCAGCACAGCTAGCCAGGCAGTCAATCTCAGTCAACCTAGGCTGCCCTCCTTGATCCAAGCCATGAAACCAACATCAGAGCTACAAGTAATGCAGTAAAGGCACAAATATATTCCACATTCTCTCATTCATAAAAATAATTTTATTTAAATTATTATTCTACTTAAACTATAACCAACTTGCACTATCTTGCCCCCTTCAGTTTTAGTCCCTCCAGAGTCAAACTTCCTGTAAGAATTACGTACATACACCCTGTCTCCACTTTGTCCCCTCCCATTCTCTCATCAACCCACACCAATCTAGCTTCTTCTCCACTAAACCACTCAGTGGATTTTTGGCAAGGTCCACCAATAATCTCCAGGGAACCAAATCCAATAGACAGAGTTCTGGCCTCATCTCCCCGACCTCCCTGCATTACTAGACACAGTTGACCATTCTCTACTACTTGAAACAGTTTCTTTTGATTTCTATGACACATCTGTTTCCAGTTTCCCTTACACCAGGTGTATTAGTCAGAGTTCTACAGAGAAAGAGAACAAGTAGGATTTATATACATAAATTGAGAGTCACAGGGATTCATTATTAGAAATTGGTTCACATGATTGTGGAGGCTGAGAAGTCTCAAAATCTGCAAGCAGGAAACCCAGGAGAGCCCATGGTATAATTCTAGTCTGCTTCTGAAAGCCTGAGAATCAGGGGAAACAGTGGTGTAAATTCCAGTCTGAGTTCAAAGGCAGGAGAAGACAAATGTGTTAGCTTGAAGACAGCCAAGGAGAGAGAATGACTTGTCTCTTGCTCAGCCTTTTGTTCTATTCAGGGCTCCAACAAATTGGATGAGGCCCACCTACACTGGAGAATGGCAATCTGTGTTATTAAGTATACCGGTTTAAATTTAATCTCATCCAGAAACACCCACACAGACACACCCAAAATAATGTTGAACCAACTATCTTGGTACCCTGTGGCCCAGTTAAGTTGACACATAGATTTAGTCATCACATCACTCCAGCTACTCCATCTCAGTTACCAGTTCCTCATTTATGGGTGTTAGTGTCACTCAGGGCTTAGTCCTGTAAACCAAAAAGTATCTGAGACAGGCCTCCATCACTTTAAAATTTAATTTTGCCAAAGTTAAGGACCTACCTAAAAATAATAAATGCAGAGTCACAGAAACAGTCTGTAGTATGTGCCTTTCTCCAAAGACGATTATGAGGGCTTCAGTGTTTAATAGAGAAAAGCAGGCTGGAGGGGAAACAAGGAAGGAATGGTAATCCACATGTTCAAAGAGAAAAGGGGCAGGTAGGGGAATAGACAATTATGTATTCCTCTCATGCTCAGTAAATCAGCACTTACATATGATAAGGTGAACATAGAGCAGCTATCTGTGGAGATATTTCACCTTTTATCTGTAGCTATCTGCTTACGAACAAAAGGAAGGCAGCTTCTTGCATGACTCAGCTTCCAGCTTAATTTTTTTCTTTTGGCATAGTGAATTGGCATCCCAAGTTTTTATTTTCCTTTCATCATCCTGGGCCCTCTTCTCTTATTCACTCTCTCCCTGACAACATGTATATGACAGATGTATATGTATATGTATACATGTGAATAAATACAAACACATATGCATACCTGGACACACATAGCTTACATTATCTATATAATGAAATTTCACTATATAAATTTTACATATATATGTATGATTATAGATATAGATATAATTTTGGTATATGTATACATGAAATATATAAAATATATGTGTATATTTCACATACACATATACCAAAATTATATATACATACATATAGTGGAATAGAAAATATCAAAAAGAATTACACAGACTCATAAACTATTATTGTGTGAAGCTGTTAATTTCAGTATGTGTGTTTATACTGAATATGTGAATTTCACACTGAATATGTGAATTTCAGTATACACATATACTGAAATTAGCAGCTTCCCACAATAATCGTTTATGAGTCTATATAATTTTTGATATTTTCTGTTCCCCTACACTATATTCACTTCTACTCACTTTTTAAAAAATTTTAGTCTTAACTCACAAAAATGATGTAATATCACTAATGGATTGTGACTCACAGTTCTAAAAACACTGTTTTTCTCGTGACTTTAAACAACGTCTATAGGCTGAGGATTCCTAAATTTATCTCTCCTCTCAGCTACAGGCGTGTAAATCCAACTGCCAGTTTGCCACATTGTAAGAAAATCAAATGTGACCTCATAAAAACTGAGGTCTCCATTTTGCCCACAAATCTTTACTTAGCAAATGACACTATCTTGCACCCAGTCAATGGAGCCTGAAAACTCTGTGTTGTCCTCAATCCCTCTCACCTTGGTTCCCACCCTCCCACCCTCACTCACACAGAAGCAACCTATGATTAGGTCTGGTCAATTCTACACAGGATCTAAGACAACAATTAGGATCGTTGTGACAACTGGGTTCTGATGCCAAACTGTAACTTTTTACCTGGAGTTATGTGAGGCCATCCTCACTTCAGTGTCTTGGGACAGCTGTTTAGTACGAAGTCTGTCAGGGAAGTCCTGCCCAACTTTCTTGTAGGTCAGGAGTTAATATGTTCCTCTCTCCATAAAGCCCCCGAGTCTGTTTCTGCTACCATTCTCTCTGGAGGGATGAAGAAATTCAACTGAGAACTCTACTGACTTGTAGTCCTCCAAGCCTGTGCGTTTAACTCATTCCTTCCTTCCCAGTTCTGAAACTGGGCTTCAGTCAGTATAATAGTTTGGTTGTTTTAAGAAAGAGAGGCTACAGTGTCTCACCCCGAATCTGCATCTAATAAATAATTCACTGAGCGGCAATGCACTCAAAGACCAATTCTTCAAAAAATCAATTTTCCATATTTACATATATATGTGTGTGTGTGTATATACATATATATATATATATATATTTTTTTTTTTTTTGAGACTGAGTTTTGCTTTTGTTGCTCAGGCTAGTGTGCAGTGGTGCAATCTTGGCTCACTGCAACCTCCGCCTCCCGTGTTCAAGCGATTCTCCTGGCTCAGCCTCCTGAGTAGTTGGGATTACAGGCATCCGCCACCATGCCTAGCTAATTTTTTGCAGTTTTAGTAGAGATGGGGTTTCGTCATGTTGGCCAGGCTGGTCTGGAACTCCTGACCTTAGGTGATCCAGTTGCCTCGGCCTCTGAAAGTTCTGGGATTCCAGGCATGAACCACTGTGCCCGGCCATTTTAATTCTTTATACTGCTTATAATATTTAATATCAACTAGACTGGCAGGGTCTAGGAGAATTGTGGGAAGCCATGGCTGCAGGGTTTTGGAGTCTTTACACTGTCTCTCTGTCTCAGTCCTACTCTACCCTAGGGCTCCTCCTTTCCTGCGACTGGCAGCCTTCATCTTTTCACCAGCGGGAAGTTCCTTCGCTTTGCCCAGCTTCCAATAACTGAGGCAGCAGGGAGTCCGAACAGATGCAAATTGAACATTCTTTTAAAAGTTGTTAGAAGCAGACCAAACTAATCTAGAGAGATAGAGGTCAGAGAGAGGTCTGAGATGGTTAAGGAAAGGGAGAGGGTCTTCAGATGCTGAAAATATTCTAGATCTTGATCTGGTTCAACAGGCATATATATATATATGTATGTTAAAATCCATTGAATATACCCTTAGCATTTATGCATTTTGCTGTGTTCATGTTATACCTCAATATGCAATAAAAATACCAAAATCCATGAAAAATGTTACAAATATTGCATGTCATACTAATTGTTATAAACTTTCTAAATAGTTAAAAGGATTATTTTTATTAATTTGATAAATTTGGTCATTACACACACAGCAAAACCTGAACCCTAAAAATGTCAAAATACAAGACAAAACGTGATTTCAAAAGAATTGTGAAAAAGAAGAGATTGAGACTGAAAACTTCAAAACAAAATTTGAAATGTTTGACTTGGAAATGTTTGACATCCCAAGCTGAAACTTGGGATGTTTCCTTAAGAATAATATGTTTAATGTATTCAAAAATAGTTTCACGGATATATTTAAAGGAAGAATATATACATAATAAGACTAAAGTACCCTTAGATTTTAACAAATTAAAAATCTCTTAAAATTTTGCTAACTATAATGTATTCCTATAATATTTTCATTGAATATATTCAAGAAAAATGCATTCATTAACACATTCATAAGGATATATTCCTATCCGTTGCATACATTTAAGAAAATTATTCTCTTTTAAAATGTTTTATGAGGTTATTTTTGTATATTCAAACAATTGTCATTCAACCAGTGGATGCTTCAGCAAATTGTTTTTTGGAGAATTGCTTTTTAAGGAATTGATCTGTTTTTGGTTTAGAGGTAAGACTGATTTTTTTTTTTTTTTTTGAGACAGGGTCTCACTCTGTCACCCAGGCTGGAGTGCAGTGGCACCTTCATAACTCACTGCAGCCTTGACCCTTTTAGGCTCAATCAATCCTCCCACCTCAGCCTCCTAAGTAGCTGGGACTACAGGTGTGCGGCACCACACCAGCTAATTTTTGTATTTTTTGTAGAGACGGAGTTTTCCCATGTTGCTCAGGCTGGTCTCAAACTCCTAGACTCAAGCAATCTGCCCACTTCAGCCAAACAAAGTGCTGGGATTACAGGCCTAAGCTGCTGCACCTGGCAAGACTGATTTTTAAAGCCAGAAACTACTATGGTTGAGCAAAAATTAAAGCCATATTAGATTAAGGTAAGTGGCAACAGGTAACAGCAAAACCAATGGGTAGCCTGGAAGCAATTGAACAATTTTGAAAGAAGAGACTACAGGGAAAGAAAAGTAAACAAAAGGGGAGGCTAGACACCGTCCTATCTAACACTGCTTAAAAATTTAAAGACAGTAAAAGGAAGAAGAGCCTCCAAAAGAAATAAAAATAAACTGTATGATAAATTTGGGAGGGAAGGATCAATAGGAGATGCACAGAAGAGAGTGGCCTGGATGAAGTCTAGTAACATCTGTGGAGACCCCTTCAAGACCAAGGTTTGTAGGTAAACTTGTTCAGAAATTAATGAAGATACCCCGCTGTGGGACTGTGTTTCCATCTCTCTTCTGCACAGGTACTGGGCTTCTGCTTCATGCAAATACCTCTTCTCCTTACGGGAACTCCCACCACAGGCTATCTGTTCCTGCTGTTGCAGACCTGGGATTTGCTCTGTATTCTTTCCCTCAGAGAGATGTAAAGAGCCAGCACTTTCGAATATAGGAGTCCTCTCTCTGTTTCCCTCCCCACACATTCCCTACTCAATTTCTGTTTGTTTTGGCAGTCCCTTTACTTACTTGGTAGTCAGGTTTCATTTGGAATTTGTGCTTTTGTTTCATATCCTCCTTATAATATTTGTGTGATTTCCAAGAAAAGAAGGGGAAAATTCCAACTTCATCATCATTTTCAAGCCAGACATGGCTAAATATTCGGTGAATTTTAATGAAAGTGTAAAGTCAAAGGTAATTGTTTTTAATCTAAGGTACCTTTTAATTTCTATAAAATAGACTTCTATGAGAGGAAAGCATTCCATGTTAAAGCAAGCGAATAAACAAACAGAATACCTTTTAAAGTTCGAGTGAAGAAGATCTATAGGAGGAACATCTCCGGCAGAGGGGCAAGCTCCTAGCGAGTCACCCTAGGGGTGTCTTTGATATTTCCTCTTCCACCCTCAAGCCAGGACCTAGGAGAGTACACCACCCTCCTTTAAAACCCTGCTCCTAGCTGACCTACCCTCTTTTCAAATGGGAAGATTCCAAAGATATGAAAGAAGCCCTGAGCAGGAAAGGGTATCTCATCAACTGAGACTGATGTCCCCTAAAGGATGAAACTCTGATAGGGTGTCCTGAGGTGGGGGACTGTGAGTGAGAGTGGGAGAAAAGAGGAGGCCTCAGAGCACGGACTCTCTGTGCTACACTAGTGATTCAGGACTACTTGACTTACTCAGCCAGTTATCAGGACACACAGACTAGACAATAGTTGGCTGATGGGTTCAAGCACTCTGAAGATGTGCTGTAATCCATGACCCTGGAAGTTTTCCAAAAACTTTTTAAGAATTCAGAGCAGAGTAGACCAATGAAACTGACGTATCATCCCTACAAGGGGACCGGCCTGTGTTTTCAGTAAAAGGTGGGGAATCTGAAGGCTGGTCAAACTGGAATAAAATCTCCTCACTTTGGGAAGACATGTAATCCTCTGCAACCTCACCTCTCAGTAGCTCAACAGTGACTAACCTTTTATTTTTAATGAGACTTTGCTGTTTCCCTTTTTAAAGTTGTGGGGCCCAGCAACATGTCAAGTGATCAGTCAATCAATAACACTGGCTCGAAAATCACCAAATCAAAATTTTCCTTGTTCCCCTTAGCATAATTGAGAGAATAATTTTTCCAGAGGAATTTTATTTTAAAAAGTAAAGGAGCCCCAGATAAATTAAATGTACAAAGAAAACACAAAATGCATAAAATGCCATCCTTCAGAGTGCAAATTTCTAATCCTGCGGTAGTTAACTTCCTAACGTATCCACTCATAATGTATGTTAAGCCTGATGAAGTGCCCCCCCACCCACACAGATGCACATATCAACACACATTATGTAGCCAACTGTGTTCACATTGATACTCTTGTGTTCTAAATTATTCTCCTCTATATGAGCAGGGCTGTCAACCTGGTTTTGACTTCTTGATTTGTTTCCTTTCTCAGTCCTGCACTCAGCCCTCACATCGGATTCTAGTCACTGACCATTGATCAGCTCCCTCGTCAGACACGAGCCACAATTTGTCTTCAGATAGCAGCACTCTCAGATCTACAGAAGCACCAGGAACCCCTCGGTGGTGTTCTCACGGCTCGAATTTACCTTGCAAATCTTGGAAGTAACCTAAACACATTCTGTTCCTTCTAGAAAATGTCAATCCTGAAGTTTAAATAATCACCTGAACCCTTTCTACTCTGTTCATTCCCATATTGTTCTCTGAGCCCTACCAGATTTCTTGCATTCCTAGCAGAAACAATGGAGTGCAAATGAATCAATGATTCTACCCATGTGTTTAAAGAAATAGTCAAAACATAGAGGCTTCTCCCTTCCACTCTGCCAGCTCCCCCCTCTCCCTACCCTACCACTGGCAGAGGCAGGAGATTTTTCTTTCCTTGCTGCACAGTTGCAAGAGCAAAATGCCGTATAAAGTAAGCACTGGAAAGCCCTAAGTGTGGTATTTATTATGGGTTACATTGTTGGGTCTGCATCATATCTACTATGATGCTTCTTGAAAGTACAATGGAATCTAGGGGGAAAAATCATTGAAGGTGTATATAAACATATTTTCTCTTAGCATTTATTAAATTCATACTACATGCCAGAAACTACTAAGGATGAGGGATCCCAATAGGGATAAGAAAAATTATCTGCATCTAAAGAAACCAGATAAAGGCACAGGTAATTAAAATAAGTATAATAATAAATATAGGATTATAGGAGACAGAATAATTAATTTTGGTATGTTGGAGTAAGAATAACAAAAATTATTCAGTATTTGAACTGTACCTTGAAGATAGGATAGAAATTGCATGAATTTTCATATTAATACATGTAACTAATCTGTAAAATGATATGTCTCAATTTTCTTAAACTATATATTTACACATGTAGTACTTAAATATATATGTTTAAATAGAAAAAAAAACTTAAAACTACAGTACTCCTGAGAATGCACTGAAGAGAAGATTTTAAGGATAGAAGTAAATTCAAGTAAAAAGCCAAGGCACCAGGACTCACATTTGTTATACTAAAGAGGTTTGTCTACTGCCCTTCATGGCACAAAAAGAAATATTGACCAGAGGATCTGTTGTACAGGACACTGGCCAAGGAGGTAGGTGACATCTATTCTCAGCTCTATAACAAATGTGCTCACTGACCTTGGGTAAATCTCTTGACTTTCTTTTGTTCTCTGATTCTCTGTCTGTTCCATTGACACTCAGTTTATTTTCTTTACGGGTAGCCAGCATCATGGATGTATCTTCAAAGTGCTCTCATTTCTTAATCAAAATGAAAAACACACATTCAAATGCTTTTGCCCAGAGTTGCATACCAAGTTCGAGAGACTCTAAGTCTGTGAAATAAAAATAGTTTCACTAAAGGATAACTAGTGCAATCAGAATAGATTCAAAAATTCCATGATGAAACCTGTAGGAAGATTGACTTTTAAGTGATGAATTTGGATACTCCTTGTTTTAAGAGCAAGAGTCTTCAAAGGGAACAAAACTTTAGAAAAAAAGAGAAAAAGAATGGATAGGTATAAAAAGGTAGTGAATAGAGCAGCCAAGATAGGTATACAGGAAATGCAAATGTAATACACAAGGGCCAGCTCTTGTTCACATGAGAGCCAGGTGGAGCAGAAGAAAATCTTGAGCTGTGATGCAAGTGCAATGACAGCCTTGTCTGACCGCACTGGGTGCCCTGCAGCTACAATGACTCATCAGAGTTGCCCCATGTTGAACCAAAATGCCCTTGAGATATAAATATCCTTAAAGTACAAAGGGAAATTACCCCAGGCTATATCGATATGGTGCAAGTATTTTTATGGCAAACATTCTCTGGGTGTTTTCCTTACCATGAACTTGTATATGATCACTCATATGCCCTCTGCATGTGGCTGATCCATCCTCATTCCTAGCTTTAGCTACAATTAGAGTAATAAATTGGCATTCTTAACAATAAACTCAGTTTCTTGTGAGTCTAAAGAACTGTGTAAGCTGATGGAAATGTTTCTGTGCCTATGTTCAGAAGACTACCACTGCTGGGCTATGTTAAAGGGAACACCCCCACCACCCTTCCTGGGTTCATACAGCAGCCTTCATCACCCCAGTTAGCCAGGGACAGATGAGGCAGGAGATACTCTAGAGCTCTGTCTTTAACCATGACTATATTTAGGATCTATACCATATATCTACACCTGCACAGGTCCAGATCTGGGTCTATGGCTGTCTCTCTGTCTGCCTACTTATCTACCTGTCATCCTTCTTGAAACACTTGCATTAAAAGTGATGGCAAAGCTTAGATGCAGATTCACGATGGCAAGTTATCTTAGAGTGTGACTTCTTTTTTTAGAAGGGGCCCAGAATCACTCATAGTCTTATAATTACAAAAAGAATATTCACTTAGTACTGTTGGGCAAGCTAAAATGAGGGTACAGTAATCCAAATGTGTATGACTCAGACTGTATCATTAAGTATTTCTGATGTCATGTAAGGCCCCTTAGAGAGAGAATAAGCATAGTTGAGGGAGATGGGATTTTCAAGCTGCAGCTAGTCTGCAGGAGGTGAGAAAGCAGATGGAAACAGTGTAAGTGAAGAGGCTGAGCACTGGAGAATGAAAGGACAGCCAGCAGAGGTGACATGTGGTCAGAATGACAGATATAGACAGTTCCCAGACACTGAGGTCTTGCTGTCTTGCATGTGGGCACTCTTCAGGGACTAGACATAAGGATTTTGCTCACTTTACTTCATCCTTCTTCTACTATACTGTGGTTCAATCTGACAGATTGGAGAGATGAGTGTGAAAGTAGAACAAGAATATATTGATTACATATTGCATGACTTGCTATATTTTAAGGAACAGCAAATATACTGAATAGAATTATTGATTCTAATTTTTAATGCAATCAATATTATGTGGATAAAGGGATTCTATGTGCTGACAAGATGCTAAGGCTGTTATAGAACACTGCTTAAAATAAATCCTGAAGAGTAAGCATTAATGTAAGAAAGCACTAGCATATACCCTACAGAAAATAAATAATAACAATTACTGTTATCCCACATTTTACAGGTGAGGAAATAAGGCTTAGAGGGATTACACAGCTTGCCCAAGATCTCACTTCTGATAAAAAACAAATTTTGTTCTCTTGATTTACGCTCTTAATCATTATGTTCAAATCTATTCAATAAACTTATCACAAAGGAAATATTTTAGCCAAAAATACAATTGAAATGCGGAGATCCACAAAGAAAGAAATGGCTTCAGAATCTTGTTTTCAGCATCCTTTCTCATCCCTACTTGCATGGTCCCAGCACGTAAGAACAGAACAAAGGAATCTAATCTATTAGAAAGTTCCCAAGAAAACTGCCATTTGTCTTCTATCCTATGACTTAATAGTTAATGGTGTTAACAGAGTCATTAATTAAAAACAATATTTTATGTGGTCATTTTCAATTCTCAAAATGTTTTCACAGACATTATCTCTTCTTTCACCTATTTATGTTTAAATCCTACAAAGCTTATTAGTTCAACTCTATCTGCATGATTCTAAATATTGGGTAAAATGCCTAGGATGAGAGGAAGTGTGAAAATTAGTCATTCAATCATAGCTAGATGCTTTGCATCCTGTATCCACATACATATGATTGACTGATTTTTCCCATTCTTTGAGGATGTTTTGTTATATGCCTCAATCTAACCTTTAAAAAAACTTGAAAATATATTCAATATTTCTCATCTGGCAGGTTTCCCAGATATTTCAAATATATTTTATTTACTAGCATCAGAAGTTAAAGTAGGGTGGTTCTCAGTGCTATACCATTCAATCACTTCTTTTTTTTTTTTTTATCTATTCCTACCTGCTTTTTGAAAAACTCATTTATTCATCTGCCCAGATTCATATCAATAAAGACACATACATAGAAATACACACACACACACACACACACATGTCTATTTTCCAAATATATGAAATAAAGTTTGTGTTGGTGTAGTCCATATGATTCATTGATAAATATTCATATAGAAATCATGAGCCCTGATTTGTTAAATATAAAATCTATAATTGACATACTATTTGATTAATTAACACAATTCATTTTATCACTATGCCATTAAACATATATTGTTTTTTATCATCAGTATTGCAAAATCAAGTGGCTAGAAATTAGATAAAGGATATCACCTGTCCCCAGCTTTCAATAAGATGACTCTTAATCCCTCTGTTTCCACCAATTTGAGCATTTCAAAAATTATTTTTCTCATGTCTTGTAAGGCCATTCATGAAAATTAAAGCTGCTTATGTTACTATGCAACTGCAGAATTAAGTGTTTTAAAGCATTGGAAAAATACTCATGTTTAATAAACTGTTATGCATCCTTTCATATTGTCTCTACTCTTGTGGTTGACATAGAGTTATGACATCCACAGTTTCTCTGTACCCTGATTCTCAGGGGAATCAGAGCTAAGTGTGGCCTCCATTAGCATATACTACTCTTCTTGATACTGATCTTAGGCTGGGTGCTTTGGGGACATATCCTCTACTATTTTTTACTGAGCTCCTATGTTTTATATTATAAAAGCAAGTGGTTCGAAATTTTTTTAAAGGTTCCAATATCTCAAGAGTGAATTTCTGTCTCAATTCATCCCTAATACATATAAAAATTCTGAATTTCCACAGAATTCCAAATTCCTTAATGAATTATCTTTCCATCCTTGAATGCAGGATCTATGCATCCTGGGTGTTTCCTTCACAGCTGTGGCCATGGATGCCATGACCATCTCCACTGGAGTCCCTGGAAGTTTACACAGCAGTACGGTCCTATGAGCTATTCTCACAGAGTGCTTTTCGGAGACAAAATATCTACCTGAACATAAGGGTGGCATCTGATGCTCTTGCAATAAGTTAATGGCTCAAGAAATGCTCATGTCAGAAAGATTCCCCAAATATTCACTATTCAACCACCTCTGTGGCCTTGCAGTTCACCTCAAGGTATGCCAACTGTTTGCCCACATCACAAGGCCTTGTAGGGGCTGCAATGCTCTTCTGGCTATAGGTGAGGTCAGTCATTCACTGTATCTCAACTGCCACTTCACAGCCCGTGTCCTTTTCCCCAGGAGTGGGGTGATGTTGGGCATTCCATTCCCCAACCTCTCTACCCACTTTGTTCAGAGGTTGAAAGAAAGTCTTGCTTTCCCTCAGTCTCCCCATATTATTTATTAAATGGCCATTGACATTATTTTCTAAGCCTTCCAGAGAGTAGTCATAGCACAAAGCCTATCCCAATTTAAGCTGAATGCCAGGCATTCTCTCCATGGTACGCATCTAGCAAAGTGAATCCTGAGAGAAAGACATTTTGAAATAAATCCAACCAGAAAGGGAGAAAGTAGTTTGATTTAGGCAGCAAGACCCCATCCTAGAAGTCTTTTTGTAATTCATATTATCTGAAGGCAAGGATAACTGAAAAATAAGCCCGGTTCTCTATTCCAGCAAACTAGTAAAATGATTTTCTTGAGGTTTGAAAAGTCCTGAAACAGGAAGCTAAATCTCTATTCTTATGTTTTTCTCTTCAGAAATGGCATCATCACAGTTAGTCAGACCATCCTTTAAGTTATATTACAACCTTGAAGATCAAGACTTTTGATTGTAAGAAAATTACATTTCAAATGGAAAAATGGAAGAATATACAACAGAAAGCAAAAATCATACATCATGAAGGGATCTCACAAATAACCCACTGAGAAAATAATTGGTCTTAGAGAAGGCTTGAAGGACATCAAATATTTCAAAAAAAATTTAGCCAATGACTCTTTTATTGACAAAAATTACAAAACAAACACTATTACTATTCCAACAATTTTGAAAAATTTGTAAGACTGAACTGCATAGCATCATTGCTAAGAGACAAGAGTTCCTAATTTTAAAGAGTTTCACTGTGTGCCTAAGTTTACTAATTATTTCACCAGCCAATTACACAAACTAACAATTCAAGAGATTATAAAATCAATGTAAGATGAGAAAGGGAAGGAAAAAATGGTGTTTGTAAAAATATACACAATTATTCATAAAGGACACATTGGCTATTTTCAGTAGAACATTAAATACATTTCTTTTGCTTATTGTAAAAAACTTAGTTTAAAACATCTGCCACTTTGCATGAACCCAGGAGGTGGAGGTTGCAGTGAGCCGAGATCGCGCCAGTGCAGTCCAGCCTGGGTGACAGAGTGAGACTCCATCTCAAAAACAAACAAACAAAAAAATCTGCCAGTTTGTTTTATTTGTTATGTGTTTTCACATGCTATTGTTAAAACAAAACCTATCTAATTGTTTATAGACTTTGCAATTTCATTCTCATTAACTCTGTATTATAGTATGAGCAGTTTTTATATTATCGGATATATATAATCATCCTTCAGTACCTCTGGGGGACTTTGAGACCTCCTGTGGATACCACAATCCACAGATGCTCAATTCTCTGATGTAAATATATATATGTATACATGAATAGTTTTTGCATATAACCTGCACACACTCTCCCATATACTTTAAATCATCTTTACATTACTAATAATAACTAATATGATATAAAGCCTATGAAGTAGTTGTTACACAGTATTGTTTAGGGAATAAAAATAAGAAAAAAAATCTGTATATGTTCAGTGCCAACGCAATTTTTTCGAATATTTCCCATCTAAATTTTGTCGAATCTGCAGATGCAGAACCCACCATTGACTGTACCCAGAAATAAGCAGGCAAAGGCAAACTGGCAGAAATGAGCAACTTGGGCATGACTGTCCAGCTCATCCCTTAGGCAGTTGAGTATGTTTTTGTACTAATTTGTTCCAGGGCATCTTTAAGTGTTAGCCCCATATAATCCTGGCTTTAGAAAATTCTTGTATACCCACTGTCAAGTGCTAAATTAGGGGGAACATACAGCTAGAGGAATCAGACAGACCTGGGTTTATATTCCAACTCTGCCACCAAAGGTCAATCTAAACAAATCATTTGATGTTGGGAGGCCCAGCACCCTTATTTGTAAGAACAATTAACAGTGCCTAGCTGGGAGGGGTGTTGTGGAATCAAGTTAGTGTACTGCCACATCTAGCTGTAGTGTCTCTCACAGACATGGTGCCCAATAAATGGTAGACTGTGGCAGTAAACATCGAAACAGGTTGTTCTACCAAGTTTACCTAGTTCCTTCATTCTAACTTCCCAAATGGTTATCTAAAATAAACAATTCTTCACCAGTCTCCTCTTGGCTTAGTCTCTTCCTTTTTAAATGAATGATATTATATGGGGGTTCCACACATGCATGGCCTGTGAACAAATGAATAAATAGAAATGCTGTTACTCTTACATTGATCTGAGTTTTTAGTATCCCCTTTCTCGAGTTCTTTGCCTCTAGCTTTCTGTATCACTCTACTCACCATCTTGTTTGGTTATTCTTTACCCATTTAGATAAAAAAACAAGTCTGCGTTCTTATTTGAGTCACCCATTACTAAATTATTTATGCATATTTCTTGTAAGTGCAAGAAAATGTCTTTATTAGGTGTTAATTATTTTAAAAATAGTTATTGTTATCCTCAATGATTTCTTGGTTATGTTAGGGTCTTTCAGCAATGAGATGATATATGCAAACTATCCAAGAAAGCATGACACAGATTAGAAACTCAGGTGACAGTGAGTTGGTCCCGTCTCATGCTCCCATCCTACTCTACTAAATGAATTCTTACTCTGTACTATATTTTCTTTTCGGCTGATATTTCCTCCAATAGATCGTGAGTTCTCCCAGGGCAGGGTCTTTGCATTTAAAGAGCCCAGAACAGAATCTAGCTCATATTAGGCTTTCAATACAAATTTGTTGAAAAAAATCAAATGTTTTACCAATATTTTAATTACTATCCCTTTACTAATTTTACAAAAAAAAAAAAAAAAAAAAAAAAACAACCAAAAACAAGAGGAAGAAAACTCACTTCTGCCTCTCATCAGATTTCTAAATAGCTAAGCTGACTAATTCTACATTTGGCTGTTTACACTAAATTGATGAATCCCATTCATACAAAGAGGTAAAACAAGATATTCATGCTTGGTCTAAAATACTCCACTTAATCAATGTAAAGGAGTGGTCACCTGGCCATGTCCAGCCTGAAAGAAAATTCATTTATTGTTATTTTAGTCAAGTTCAAAGCCCTAGGATTCAAGACTCTCTGTATTCTGTCAGCAGAGGTAATTGCCCACTAAAGCCAGCATTCCTACTGAGCTGCCTTTAGTGATGCCAACAGTGAAACTGGGGGAGTCAGCGCTTCCCAACTGAACTAGTTCAGAGAACTTAGGTAAAAAATTAATTTAGAGAATCCTCAGTGAGCTGAAATAAACCAGGCAGAGTTAGGAGATCTATCCCTTTGGCAAGGAAGCAAAGAGCCTCTGCCTTTTCACCTAGGTCCAAGCTTCCACACCAAATAGAATCCCTGTATAAAAAATCAAATTTTGACCTAATGCATCAAATATTCCAGTAACACTAGAGCTGATTATCACCTAGCAACAGTGTGCACTGCAAAATAAATTACCAAACAGGCTGTTCTTGGGGATCCATTCCCTACTTACAATGCCAAATAGCATATTTAAATGTATTTAAATAAAGCTCATTCTAGAATGAATTTAAGTACTGTACAAAAAGGCTATTTCTGTGATGACTGGCAGATGGACAGTTGTAACAATGCTTTACAAATTTGTTTCCTTGCCCATAAAAATTTTGTTCAATGACACTTTCTGATGAACCATTATCATAACTACTTCCTGACTATGTCAGAATTGGTCTCTGTAACGAAGACAATGTTTTCTTTCCTTCTCCTGATTTTATTTATTGCAAATGACATATTGTCACAATGGAAAGAACACTATCCAATTTCCCTTTAGGAAGAAAGAAAAAGAGTCCTTGTGGCAAGTTTACATCAAGGTTTTCAAAAGGTCATGGTGTGCATTTTGTGGATAACCTAAAGAATCAATTGTTAGAAGGTAGAGGAGAAGTGATTAATTACTTCTGTGGAAGGTGTGAAATTGAGACATGCCTCAGAGGAGGGCTATGAGAAAGTATCTTCCCTCCCACCACTTTGTAGAGTAAGTTGCATTAAAATATTTCCTGATAGGCAAGAAACGTTATGAAATATAAAACTAAACTTCTCAAATGTTCATGAAGTGAAGCAGGAACTTAGCATTTGTGAATGTTCATGCCCAGGAAAGGCAGTGTATCCTTCAAACAAACATTTATTGAGCATCTGCTGTGTGCTGAACATCTTAGTCCCCATGAACATATAACCTTGTGAGGAATATGCGAGCACATACTGACAATGAACTACACCATTGGCAATAAAAGAGGTACGTACGAGAGGCAATGGAATCACAGAGAAATTAACGCTTCAGGTTGTCCAAAGTAATTAGAAAAGATATTATTGGATTTTTGATTCAGTACTTCTTTTTTTTCTCTGAAACCCTGACAAACAGCTCGGACTCATATCTGTATAATCCTTGCCACCACCAAAATCATTTTGCTGTACCCTACATGCAGACCAATTCTGTGCTGAGTATCAGGGTAGATTCTCCTCCCACCTCTTCTTTTCCTTGGGCTCACCAGTCCTCATCATGGAGTGACTAGAGGCTTAACTCTCTGATTAACTTTAGGGCCTAAGATGAAGGGCCAAGGATGTCGCTAAGCTATTTTTAGTGTATGCCAGAGGCCAAGGCCATCAGCGCATCTTTGCCATTCGTTTATGGCCTAGCCCAGACCCTAGACATTTGAGATCAAACTATTTTATTTCTTCTTTCAAGAGATATTTATTGAGCTCTACCAGTGCTGGGCTGTATTCTAGGAGCTGAGGATAAAGTAGTAAAACTAACAGAGAAAGCCCTTGCCTTCCTAGGAAATTGAGGTGGAGATAGGTGAATTTATTTGCTGAAAGTCAGATTGATGTCACTGGCAGAATCAGCTTAGCCCCTCTACGTCTCTTAACTTACAGAAATCATAAAGGTATTTTTCTACTGTTATAGTTTTGCTACTTTCAAGTTGATCTTGAACACTCAGGATCCTGAAACTGTGTGTGTATGTATGTTTATGTATATTTGTATATGAAGGAGAGAGAGAGCACACAAGCACATGTGGTATACACCCAGCTTCATGGATCCTGCCAGGCTTATTCAATTCAGCCCACTGCTGATCATAATCTTATGTATGAGATAGTCCATGTCCTCAATAATGTTATTTAGGTAAATTTTAGATAGTACCTTTAAACACAGTAAGTCCTTACTAAATAGTTACAGAATAAATGAATGGACACATGAAATGTGAAATGCCTGGGTAACAATTTACCATGACTATACTAATTGTGCAGCATCATCCATTAAGACAAACAATTCACAAATGGTGAAGAACCCCAGAATGAGGATGATATGAGAAAGTGAACCCTCTAATTTGGAAATGTTCTATTTCCAAAACAGGCTCCCTTCTAGTTTTTCCACCAATTATTGAATTGGCTTGGCATAAATTGATATTGTTCCCAAACCCATTTTCAAATTTAGCTAGAGTTTCTGAAAGGCTGCCAACGCTCATTGTACACAGCAAGTGCACTCTCACCCCAAATGCCTGGACTGCTGCACAGCAGGAGACTCAATCACTTCAGCTGTTTAGCAATCAATGTGAATTACTCTCTGCCATCAGTGCTGATTGCGAAAGTGGCTGAAATGGCCGGGACTCACGCACACATATGCTCAGCCCAAATTTGCATATATTTTCCCTCTCAACGTGCCTCTCAAAGCTTCTTTGTTATTAATAATTAGTCTTTATTACAATCTGAGAGATTTCATGTGAAAAAATTTATTCCACTTGCTAAAATAAGTGCAATATTTTGAATTTCTAATATACTCTCCGTGGCATTTTTTTCCTCTCCTTGCCATGGTTCTGGGGCTAAATTATTTCTGTGATGTCTTATTTCTCTTGGGCCTCCTTTACTCATAAGCAGGCAAGCTTTAACTCAGACATCCACAGTGTATATTCAAGCCACAGTGAAAATTGTATCTAATTTATTCTCTGAAATGTAGAAAACAATATTGGGGAAGAAGCTAGAAATCAAAAGGTAATAAGGTTTGAAGAACAATTCTGCCACGGCTGTCAGAATGCTGATAAAAGGCAGACTCTCTTGATAATCAGCCCTTTTAAAGTCAGAAGAAGGAAGAAGACAAAGGCCTAGTCCTCTACTTTGCTTTCCCAGTGACTGAAAGGAAACTCTAACAAAGAGTCAGACTGAGGCTTCAGTGCTCAGGATGAAGGCCTGTGTCATTTGTGATAAATCTCATGCTTAAGTGTGAAGAATTGGCACCCTCTTGCAGATCAGAGCCAGAACCTCCACCATCCCACACCCTCTCAAGGATTTCCCTAATGACTGCAGGGCCTCATTGGAAGCAGGGGAAGAATGCTTTTGAAAAAATTTTCCTATGGTGAATAGTACTTGGAACAGCATTTGTACTTTTGATAAAACATTGCACTAAATAATCTTTATAAACCCAAGGAATGTCCATTTGTGCAGCAATCAGTAGTAAATTTTAATTTTATATTATTTAATTTTATTTGTTTTATGCTTAATGTTTTGAATTATATGTTTATTATATTTATTGTATGGTTATTAACAAATATATATGTATTTATTTTTTTTAATAGAGAAAAAGTATTGCTGTATTGGCCAGGCTGGTCTTGAACTCCTGGCCTTAAGAAATCCTCCTGTCTTGGCCTCCCAAAATGTGTTAATATATTTTTATATTAAAATATAAGAAATGCAATGGGGAAAGTGGATTATTTTACATTGGGTTCTCCATAGGCAGAGCCAGAGACAAGGATTTGAGTGGAAATAGTTTATTTGCAGGGTGATTCTAGGAATCACTGGCAAAGGAGTCAGAAAAGAAAACTAGGATAGGGAAGAAACCAATATGAATGGGTTAATGAGCAGGTACCACTATGGGCAGCCAGGGCTCTGACTCCTCTAAGACTCTTCGGAAAACATGGCTTAGAGTTCTTCTATCTAAAAGTCAAGGAAGTTGGGGTACTTACCCACCGACATCTATGTTATTATTGGCAGAGGGATGCTTCCAGGGATATTAGTACCAAGGAAATTTGGACCCGAATTTCATACAGGATGAGTACACTCCTGTAGCAGAAAGCAGAAAGTTAGAGGTGCCACAGTAAGAAGCTGTGTGTGTGCATAGAGACGTGAATACTAGGGAGAGATGGGCTGGGCATCAGTAGCATCTCCACAATAGGCTGGGTCCAACTCCTGGTTGGGGAATCATTTTCTGCAGGCCACTGATTGGATAGCACAGGAAAGGAAGAGTAAGAATTCCATCAAAGGATCAACGGGACTGCAAAATTGCAACCCTCTTGTCCTCTGTCTTCTACAGTTATTATAAAAAGTGTGTCCCAAAAAAGAAAGAAAATTATTGACAATTGCATGTAAATAAGAGAAATGCAAAAGCATTCTCCCAATATGTCCTGCAGACAACTTCCAGTTCTGCTGCCTTCCCAAGCAATTTGGTCCTAGCTCATAATGATAATGTATTGTTTTCTACCCTTTTACTTTTCAAAGTGTTCTCACTCTTATTAACTTATTTGACCTTGAGGGGGCAGTCTGGTCATTCTCATCTACACTTTCACAAGAGAGAGCTAAAAGCACATAAATATCAAATGAATTTCTCAATAGCGCCATGGTTAGAACTTCAGTCCCAATGAATATGTATGGAGCATTTATATTCCAGAAACTGTGCTTAATTTGGGGGACATGGAATTCAATAAAACATGGCCCTCATTGTTGAAGAAGTCACAGTCTACTGATGAAAACTGATGTATAAAAAATTTAATAATAATGTGGTATTCACAAAACAGATGTTTATGCTTATGTTTATTTAGTAAAATGCTGTGTGAATACTGAGTTAGCAGGTAAATCTTCCTGGAGGAGTTAGGCATGTGTTATCAGTCAAGATGGGGTAGATTGTGCTATGGCAACAAACCAGTCCAAACTCTTATGGCCTTAACAGAGCAGAGATTTATCTCTCACTTATACAAATTCTACTATAGTGTGGTCTGGTCACCCACCTGGGTAACTGTTCTCTATATGGTGACACACTGGTCCACGGCTGAGGGAAGATTTGCCACTCGGTAGCTCCATCATCTTGAACACATGGCCTCTTCAATTGATACTGCAAGGGAAAAGAACATATATAGAGTCATGCATGGGCTCTTATGTGTTTCCAAGCAGAAGGGAACAGTGAACTTCTCACACCGTATTGGCCAAGTCACATGGCCATACCTAAGTTTAAGGGAGTAGAGAAGTACAGTCTTTTATATGCCTGGAAAGGCAAAAGAATCAAAACTATTGGTAAGAAGCATAATCACTTTCTAAAGGAGATCATATTTTAAATAGACAAATAATAATTGGGGGAAAAGTACTTTTGGCAGACAAAGAAACCTGTGTAAAGGCACAAAGATATGACATGGCCTGATGTGTTCAGAGATTCAAAGTTCAGAAAATTTCAGGAACTTGAAGGCAGAAGGTAAGGCTGGTGAGGTTAACAAGAGCTAGATAATTAATGACTAAATTATTTTGGAATTTATCATCGTGAACCAGCAGCAGTTTAAAACCATACAAGACACATGACCAGCTGCCATTTTTTAAAGAAACGTCCCATGTTAATGAGAAATGACTATATTGTGGCACATCTCAGCTAACACACATTTCTAAGAGTATCTGAAAGCTACAGAAAAATCTAACAGAAGAAGTATTTGGGTGTGAGAGCAGCAGCAAGTGTCATGATAGATTCAGAGTGCTGGAATCTCTTATACTTACCCAATACTCATTCCCAAATGATGTCTTGAGCACATGGGTATCAAAGCATGCAAGTATCAATGAACATAAGCAAGATCCTCCCTTCATTTGTCATTGGAATGGCAGAAACTTAAGTGCTATCTTTCCCGTATATCCTTGTTTATGATATTCTTCTGGGAGTCTACAGTCTTTTCTTTCCTATCCCATGAGAAAGTACGAGGTTGTAGGTATTTTTCCTGTTGCCAGACTTAAATAGAGTAGACCAAACTTTTCATGTAAAAGATAGACTCAGGAGAGGGGTGGAGCAAGATGGCGGAATAGAAAGCTTTACTGACCGTCCCCCACTACAAGGACACAGACTTAACAACTATCTACACAAAAAAACAACTTCGTAAGAACCAAAAATCAGGTGAGCACTCATAGTACTTGGTTTTAACTTCATATCACTGAGAAAGGCACTGAAGAGGTAGGAAAAACAGACTTGAATCAGTAATGTCACCCCTCCCCCAACATCCGGCAGCGAGTGTCATGGTGCAGAGAGCAATTCTCCGTGTGGGGAGAGGGAGAGCACAGCAATTATGAGGCACTGAGCTCAATGCTGACCCATTATAGCAGAAAGAAAAACCAAACCAAATTCAACTGATGCCCGCCCATAGAGTGAGCATTTAAACAAGCCCTAACCAGAAGAGAATTTCCAATCCCAGCAGCGAGAACTTGATTTCCCACAAGTCTCATCACCATAGGCTAAATGCTCTGGGGCCCCAAATAAACCTCAATGCTGAGCTAGCCTCACGTCTGACCCCTAGGGTGGTGGCCACAGGGCTGCTTGTGTTACTCCACTCACAGTTCCAGGTGGTTCAGAAGAGAGAGAGAGAGAGACTCCATTTATTTGGGAAAAAGGAAGGGAAAAGAACAAGCACCTCTGCCTGGTAATCCAGAGATTCTTCTGAATCTTACCCAGGTCATCAAGGTGGTACCTGTATGAGTCTGTAAGAACCACAGTGTTAATAGGCTTGGGGTCCCCACTAAAGCAGATACAGCTTAGATCACAAGACCCAAGTCCTTTCAAATATCAGTAAACCCTTCTGAAGAAGGATGGGTACAAACAAGCCCAGACTGTGAAGACTACAATAAATACCTAACTCTTCAATACCCATACATAGATGAATGACTACAAGTATCAAGATGTTCCAAGAAAACACTACCTCGCCAAATGAACTACATAAGGCACAATGGACCAATCCTGGAGAAACAGATATGTGAACTTTCAGATAGAGAATTCAAAATAGATGTTTTGAGGAAACACAAAGAAATTCAAGATAACACAGAGAAGGAAATCAGAATTCTATTAGATAAATTTAACAAAGAGATTGAAATAATTAAAAAGAATCAAATAGAAATTCTAGAGATGAAAAATGCAATTGGCATGCTGAAGAATGCATTAGACTCTTTAATAGCAGAATTAATTAATGAGAAGAAAGAATTAGTGAGCTTAAAAAAAGACTATTTAAAAATACACAGTCAGAGAAGATAAAAGAAAAAAGGATCAGAAACAATGGAGCACACTTAAAGGATCTAGAACATAGCCTCAAAAGGGAAAATCTAAGAGTTATTGAACTTTAAGAGGAGGTAGAGAAACAGATTGGGGTAGAAAGTTTATTCAAAGTTTATTCAAAGGAAAATTTGATTATTCAAAGGAAAAATAACAAAATAACAACTTTTCAAACCTGAGGAAGATATTAACATCTAAGTACAAGAAGGTTATAGAACACCAAGCCAACTTAACCCCCAAAAAACTACCTCAAGGCATTTAATAATCAAACTTCCAAAGGTGAAGGATAAAGAAAGGATTCTAAAAGCAGCAAGAGAAAAGGAACTAATAACATACAATGGATCTCCAATATGTTTGGCAGCAGACTTTTCAGTGGAAACCTTACAGGCAAGGAAAGAAGTGGCTATTTAAAGCTCTGAAGGAAAAAAAAACTTTTACCCTAAAATAGTATATCTGGTGAAACTATCATTCAAACATCAAGGAGAAATAAAGATTATCCCAGACAATCAAAAGCTGAGGGATTTTCATCAATACCAGACCTGTCCTATAAGAAATGCTAAAGGAAGTACTGCAATCAGAAAGAAAAGGATGTTAATGAGCAATAAATAATCACCTGAAGGTACAAAACTCACTGGTAATAGTAAGTATACAGAAAAACACAGAATATAATAATGCTGTAATGGCGGTGTATAAACTACTCTTAAGTGGAAAGACTAAACAATGAACCAATCAAAAATAATAACTACAACATCTTTTCAAAACATAGTACAATAAGATATAAATAGTAAAAACAAAGAGTTAAAAAGCAGGGGGATAAAGTGAAGGTGTATAATCTTTATTAGTTTTCTTTTTGCTTGTTTGTTTGTTTGCTTGTGCCAAGAGTTTTAAATTGTTATCTATTGCGGGATCTGGCCAGCAGCCCGCAATGCAACAGGGCTTTCTCTTCCTTCCGAGGCGGATCGGCAGGTCGAGAAATAATAGACACACACAAGATAGTGAAAGCTGGGTCCAGGGGGGTCACTGCCTTCTAGTCCCACGATGCCGCCAATGCACTGGATATACTAGCATTTATTATTAAGTTTAGTGAGGGAAGGGGTAGGTTAGTGAGGGATTTAGGGTCATTTGATTATGAGGTGAGATGGTCACATGGGGTTGAAGTAATTCTTTAACATAACGCATAACATCTATATGTAGAAGTACAGTATACAGAGATAAGAATTTACAATATAGTGTGTGCATCAGTAATTTCTAACAGAGCCTTAAAACAGAAACGCAGTCTTTCCATAACCTATGATTAGCAAAATATTAATCAGCAGTAACAGTTGCAGCAAAAGCTAGTTACAAACAATCCATAGAAACAGGACGCGAAGCTAGACAACTAGTTAGACCAGAAATTCTCAGAAGGGAGTATGCCTTAACCCTAAAGAGGCCTAGAAGAGACGTGGCAAGATAAGGGCATTTATAGCCCTATCTTATCCATATGAACAGGTGCCCCCTCATTCGTCCATTTATAAGCTCTCCACAAGGGTCACATTCCATTCCCAGAGCTATGAACATCTGTTTTTCTGGGATAGGAATCTTGGTGATGTGAAACCTCCCTGACTACACGTCTGTTCATAGGCTCTCTGCAGGGGGAGGCACGTCGCTCACTGTTGGCTCATTCTGGCAGTCCAACCTGGCATTGTCTTTACACAATCCTGCATGCAACTTTGTATTTACAATAATTAGGAACATTTCATCTTTTACCCCATAACAATAGTTTCAGGGGGTCTCCCTACAGTTATCAGCTTAAAATAAAGGGTTACAAGATAGTATTTACAAGCCTCATGGTAACCTCAAAACAAAAAGCATGCAATAGATACATATACAAAAAACAATCGTATCTCCGGAGAAAATCACCTTCACTGAAAGGAAGACAGGAATGAAAGAAAGAAGGAAGACAAAACCATAAAACAACCAGAAAAATAAATAAATAAATAAATAAATAAATAAACATAATGGCAGGAGTAAGTCCTTACTTGTCAATAATAACATTGAATTTCAAAGGACTAAACTCTCCAATCAACAGATGTAGAGTGGGCCTGGCACAGTGGCTCACACCTGTAATTCCAACATTTTGGGAGGCCAAGGTGGGCAGATCACTTGAGGTCAGGAGTTCAAGACCAGCCTGGCCAACATGGGGAAACCCTGTCTCTACTGAAAATACAAAAATTAGCTGGGCATGGTGGCAAGCACCTGTAATCCCAGTTACTCAGAAGGCTGAGGCAGGAGAATCACTTGAACCTGGGAGGTGGAGGTTGCAGTGAGTTGAGATCCTGTCACTGCACTCCAGCCTGGGCAACAGAGTGAGACTCCATCTCAAAAAAAAAAAAAAAAAAAAGTACTGATTTATTGCCTTCAAGAAACACTCTTCACCTATAAAGACACACATAGACTGAAAATAAAAGGATGGAAAAAGATATTCCGCACCAATGGAAACCAAAAAAAAGCAGGAGTAGCTATGCTTATATCAGACAAAATAGATTTCAAGACAAGAACCATAAGAAGAGACAAAGAAGGTCACTATATAATGATAAAGGAGTCAATTCAGCAAGAGGATATAACAATTTTAAATATATATGCACACAATACTGGAGGACCCAGATATATAAAGCAAATATTATTAGAGCTAAAGAGAGAGATAGACTTCAATACAATAATAGCTGGAGATTTCAACATCCCACTTTCAGCATTGGGCAGGTCTTCTAGACAGAAAATCAACAAAGAAACATCAGACTCAATCTGCATTATAGAACAAATGAATCTAATAAATATTTGCAGAAAACTTCATCCAATGGCTGCAGAATACTCATTCTTTTTCTAAGCACATGGATTATTCTCAAGGATAGACCATATGTTAGGTCACAAAACAACTCTTAAACCACTCAAAAAATTTAAATAATATGATGCATCTTCTCTGACCCAATGGAATAAAACTAGAAATCAATAATGAGTAATTTTTGAAACTATACAAATATATGGAAATTAAACAATATGCTACTGAATGACTAGTCAGCCAATGAAGAAATTAAGAAGAAAATTTAAAATTTTTTTGAAACAAATGACAAGAAAAACACATACCAAAAGCCTATGGGACAGAGGGAAGTGCCTACATCAAAAAAAAAAAGGAAAAAAAAAAAAAACCTTCAAATACACAACCTAACAACACATCTAAAGGAATAAGAAAAGTAAGAGCCAACCAAACTCAAAATTAGTAGAAGAAAAAAACATAAAGATAAGAGCAGAAATAAATGAAAATAAAATAAAATAATAAAAACACCAATGAAATAAAAAGCTGGTTGTTTTAAAAGTTAAACAAAGAGAGCAAACCTTTAGTCAGACTAAGAAAAAATACACAAAAGATTCAAATATATAAAATCAGAGATGAAAAAGGAGCTATTACAACTGATAATACAAAAATTCAAAGGATCATTAGTGGCTACTATGAGCAGTTAGAGGCCAACAAATTTGAAAATCTAGAAGAAATGTACAAATTCATAGACACATAAAACCTACCAAGACTGAACCAGGAAGAAACCCAAAACCTGAACATATCAATAACAAATAACAAAATTGAAGCTATAAAAAAAAGCCTTCCAGTAAAGTAAAGCCTGGGACCTGACGGCTTCACTGCTGAATTCTACCAAATATTTGAAGAAGAATTAGTACCAATCCTACTCAAACAATTTCAAGAAATAGAGAAAAAGGAAATACTTCCAAACTCATTCTACGAGGCCAGTATCACTCTGATACCAAAACCACACAAAGACACACCCAAAAAAAAACTACAGGCCAATACCCCTGATGAATATTGATGCAAAAATCCTCAACAAAATATTAGCAAACAGAATTCAACAATACATTAAAAAGATCATTCATCATAATCAAGTGGGATTTATCCCTGGGATGCAAGGACTGTTTAACATACACAAAAAAAATTGGTAGGATACATCATATCAAGAGAATGAAGGACAAAATTCATACGACCATTTCAATTGATGCTGAAAAAGCATTTGATAAAATTCAACATCCCTTCATGATAAAAACCCTCAAAAAACTGGTTATAAAAGGAATATACTTCAACACAATTAAAGATATATGTGACAGACCCACAGCGAGTATCATACTGAACAGGGAAAATCTGAAATCCTTTCCCCTAAAATCTGGAACATGACAAGGATGCTCACTTTCACCACTGTTATTCAATAGAACTGGAAGTTTTAGCTAGAGCAACTGGTCAAGAGAAAGAAATATATGGCATCCAAATTGGAAAGGAAGAACTCAAATTATCCTTGTTTGCAGATAATATGATCTTACATTTGGAAAAGCCTAAACATTTCACAAAAATAACTATTACAACTGATAAACCAGTTCAGTAAAGTTGTAGGATACAAAATGATCATACAAAAATCAGTAGCATTTCTGTATGCCAAGAGTGAACAATCTGAAAAAGAAATAAAAAAATTAAACCCATTTACAATAGCATAAATAAAATTAAATACCTAGGAATTAACCAAATAAATGAAAGATTTCTATAATGAAAACTATAAAACACTGATGAAAGAAATTGAGGACACCAAAAACAGGGAGAGATATTCCATGTTTATGGATTGGAAGTATCAATATTGTTAAAATGTCTATACTACCCAAAGCAATCTACACATTCAATATAACCCCTATCAAAATACCAATGACATTTTTCATAGAAATAGAAAAAAACTATTCCAAAATTTGTATGAAACCACCAAAGATCCAGAATAGCCAAAGCTATTCTAACTAAAGAAAAAAAAAGGCTGGAGGAATCATGTTACCTGACTTCAAGTTATACTGCAGAGCTATAGTAACCAAAACAGCATGGTGCTGGCATAAAAACAGACACATAGACCAATGGAGCAGAACAGAGAACCTAGGAGCAAATCCATACATCTGCAGCGAACTTATTCTCAATGAAGTTGCCAAGAACAAACAATTGGGAATAGACAGTCTCTTCAATAAATTGTGATTGGAAAACTGGATATCCATATGCAGAAGAACGAAATGAGACACATATCTCTCACCATATAAAAAATCAAATCAAAATGGATTGAAGAATTAAATCTGAGACAGCAAACTATGAAACTACTACAAGAAAGCACGGGGGAAACTCTCCAGGACATAGGTTTGGGGAAAGATTTCTTGAGTAATACCCCACAAGCATAGGCAACCAAAGTAAAAATAGACAAATGGGATAACATCAAGTTAAAAAGTTTCTGAACAGCAAAAAGGAAACAATCAATAAAGTGAAGAGACAACCAAAAGAATGGGAGGAAATATCTGCAATCTATTCATATAACAAGGGATTAAAGACCAGAATATATAAGGAGCTCAGACAACTCTATAGGAAAAAAATCTGATAATCTGACTTAACAATGGGCAAAGGATTTGAATGGACATTTCTCAAAAGAAGACATAAAAATGGCAAAGAAACATATGAAAAGGTACTCAGCATCATTGATCATTAGAGAAATGCAAATCAAAACTACAGTGAGACATCATCTCATCCCAGTTAAAATGGCTTATATCCAAAAGACAGGCAATAACAAATGCTAGCAAGAATGTGGAGAGAAGGGATGCCTTGTATACTGTTGGTGTGGATGTAAATTAGTACAACCACTATGGAGAAAAGCTTGGAGGTTCCTCAAAAAACTAAAACTACAACTATCATACCATCTAGCAATTTCGCTGCTGGGTATATACCCAAAAGAAAGGAAATCAGTCTAGTGAAGAGAAATCCGTACAATTTTAAATAATTAAGAATATAATTAGATTGTAACACACAGAATAAATATCTTAGGGGATGAATACTCCATTTTCCATGATGTGATTGTTGCATGCCTGTACCAAAATATCTCATGTATTTCATAAAATATACACCTACTGTATATTTTATATATTTTTATAAAATATTATAAAAATAAAAAAAGTTAAAGATAGGGGAAAAACTGGAGGCGAGGCCTAATAATAAAAGGCTATGTTTTCAGTGGCAGCCAAGATAACTTTATTTGGAACTTTTGTCATCACAGGCCTGATTAGAAAGTTGCATAGTATCAACTCAGTTATCTTATCTGTATTTTGTTTATGCATCCTAGAGGAAGATGCACATTCTAGTGTGACTAAGCTCATAATTCAGTGGCTTATTGAGTACCATCATAGTAATGAGAGCAGCAGATATAGCAGGTCCTCTATAAACAGAAGTGACTTGAACAAAATTATCTATTTATATTTCTTTCCTCACTATACTATGAATTCCTCAAAGACAATGACTATTTCTTATGGACCTTTATATATCTCTAGGGCATGACCCAGTGCCTGGTACATTAGATGCTCAATCAATGTTGATTGAATGGAGCTGAATTGACCAATAACTACTCACATGTGATAATTGGTGCTACACTAGCCTATAAGAATTAACACATCTTGCCATTGCAGGTATAGATTTCTCTATAGTACCCAATTCAACCAAGTGAAACAGATCATTTGTTTGAAATACGTATCTAAAATGATAAGGGAGACAAGCTCCCAACTTGGTCTACAAATAAAATCTTAGCGAATGAGTACTTACAATCAAGGAGGGGGGAAAAATCTGTCTGCCCTAAAATTCTCGGGCTGATTAAATATATTACTCTAATTCAGCTGCAAGCAGCACCCAGCTCACTTGCGGGAAAGGCATAAAAGAAGCATCTCCTGTTGATTCTGGCCAGCCATTCTGCTGAGGACAGAGAGCCTAGAGTGTTGTTTTCTAGAGGTGACCTCACCCTTTTCTACCCAAATCCTACACAAGTACCTTTGTGGGGTTGCCTTTGAGCCAAATACACAATCAGGTAGCTATGCTAGATTTAACATCATCATCCTATGACATATGAATAGATGGAAACAGAATTCTACAAATTTAGTAAATATATCTTTGGTGGTTCATTTTATTGTTTCTCATGAATGTTTCTAACATTTCTGACTTCTGTGCTTATTATATACCACAATCCTTAACACCTTTTTTTCACCAATCTACCAAAATCCTGTTGATTTCACTCAATTTTTAAGATTTTCTTTACTGTTTTCTTCTTCCACTATCACCACCACACACCTCCAATCTCTTCTTCTTTCAGCAAGAATATTTTAAAGTTAAAATCTGATTATATCATTCCTCTGCTGAAACCCTTTCTATGGTTTTTCAAAACCATGAAAACAAGCCACAAGACTCTTGATCTCACTACTGCCTGGGTCACTCACTCGTCAATTTCAACACTCCTACCACAGATCACCCCCTATGCTAAAATGCTTTCCCCTCCAACCCCAAATACACTTTCCCCTTTTGCCTTCTTAACTCCTACTCTTCCTTTGGATTTCTTGGATTTCATGTCTGTATTAGTCTGTGTTCACACTGCCGATAAAGATATACCCGAGACTGGGCAATTTACAAAAGAAAGAGATTTACTGGACTTATAGCTCCAAATCACTGGGGAGGCCTCACAATAATGGAGGAAAGCAAGGGGCAAGGAGTAGCAAATCACATCTTACATGGATGGCAGAAGACAAAAAGAGCTTGTCTTTTTGTCAGATCTCATAAGATCCATTCACTATCATGAGAACAGCAGAGGGAAGACCCACCCCCTAATTAAATCATCTCCCACCAGATCCCTCCATAACATGGGAATTATGGGAGTTATAAGATGAGATTTGGGTGGGGAGACAGAGACGAACCAGATCATTCTGCCCCTGGCCTCTCTCAAATTTCATATCGTCACATTTCAAAACCAATCATCCTTTCCCAACAGTCCTCCAATGTCTCAACTCATTTCTGCATTAACTTAAAAGTCCACAGTCCAAAGTCTCATCTAAGACAAGGCAAGTCCCTTCTGCCTATGAGTCTGTAAAATCAAAAGCAAGTTAGTTACTTCCTAGATACAATGGGGATACAGGCATTGAGTAAATACAACCATTCCAAATGGGAGAAATTTACCAAAACAAAGGGGCTACAGGCCCCATGCAAGTCTAAAATCCAGGGGGGCAGTCAAATCTTAAAGCTCCAAAATTGTTTCCTTCGACTCCATGTCTCACATCCAGGTCACACTGATGCAAGAGGTGGGTTCCCATGGTCTTGAGTAGCTCTTCCTCTGTGACTTTGCAGGGTATAGCCTCCCTCCTGGTTGCTTTCATAGGCTGGCATTGAGTGTCTGCAGATTTCCAGGTGCATGGTGCAAGCTGTTGGTGGATCTACCATTCTGGGGTCTGGATGATGGTGGCCCTCTTCTCACAGCTCCACTAGGCGGTGTCCCAGTAGGGACTCTTTGTAGAGGCTCCAACCCCACATTTCCCTTCTGCACTGCCATTGCAGAGGTTCTCCATGAGGGCCCTGCCCCTGTAGTAAACTTCGACCTGGGCATCCAGGCACTTCCATACATCTTCTGAAATCTAGGCAGAGGTTCCCAAACCTCAATTTTTGACTTCCATGCACTTGCAGGCTCAACACCACGTGGAAGCTGCCAAGGTTTGTGGCTTCCATCCTCTGAAGCAACAGCCCAAGCTGTACCTTGGCCGCTTTCAGCCATGGCTGGAGTGGCTGGAATGCAGGGTACCAAGTCCCTAGGCTACACAGAGCAGGGGTGCCCTGAGCCTGGCCCATGAAACCATCTTTTCCTCCTAGGCCTCTGGGCCTGTAATGGGAGGGGCTGCTGTAATGACCTCTGACATACTCTGGACACATTTTCCCCATTGTCTTGGGGATTAACATTCAGCTCCTCATTACTCATGCAAATTTCTGCAGCCAGCATGAGTTTCTCCTCAGAAAATGGGATTTTCTTTTCGATTGCGTAGTCAGGCTGCAAATTTTTAGAACTTTTATGCTCTGCTTCCCTTTTAAAACTGAATGCCTTTAACCACACCCAAGTCACTTCTTGAATGCTTTGCTGCTTAGAAATTTCTTCCACCAGATACCCTAAATCATCTCTCTCAAGTTCAAAGTTCCACAAATCTCTGGGACAGGGGCAAAATGCTGCCAGTCTCTTTGCTAAAACATAACAAGAGTCACCTTTTCTCCAATTCCCAACAAATTCCTCATCTCCATCTGAGACCACCTCAGCCTGGACCTTATTGGTGATATCATTATCAGCATTTTTTTGTCAAAGCCATTCAACAAGTCTCTAGGAAGTTTCAAATTTTCCCATATTTTCCTGTCTTCTTCTGAGCCCTCCAAACTGTTCCAATCTCTGCCTGTTACCCAGTTCCAAAGTTGCTTCCACATTTTCGGGTATTTTTTCAGCAACACTCCACTCCTGATATCAATTTACTATATTAGTCTGTTTTCATGCTGCTGATAAAGACATACCCAAGACTGAGCAATTTACAAAAGAAAGAGGTTTATTGGACTTACAATTCCACATGGCTGGGAAGGCCTCACAATCATGGTGGAAGGCAAAGAGGAGTAAATCACATCTTATGTGGATGATGGCAGGCAAAAAGAGCTTATGCAGGGCAACTCCCATTTTTAAAACCATCAGATCTCATGAGACCCATTCACTATCATGAGAACAGCACAGGAAAGACCTGCCCCTATAATTCAATCATCTCCTTCCGGATCCCTCCCACAACAGGTGAAAATCATGGGAGCTACAAGATGAGATTTGGGTGGAGACACAGAGCCAAACCATATCATCATCACACTCTATATATCCTTGGGAATGTCTTTCCTACACACTTTCCTCAACCCTCAGATAAATTTACTTCTCCCTGTTATCTCCATAGCATTCTGCACCTTTTCCTCACAGCCCTTAGAATTCTATTGTTGTGATTCTGTGAAAGAAATAGGAGGAGGACATGATCTGAGTCTATTTTTCCCCCATTGTATCCCCAGCACCAGGCATGAGGCCTGACCTTCAACATATGCTTGTATCATGTTGAAGAAATGAAGAGAGAGCCTCCTTGTTCATGAATGTATATGTGGAGTACATGAGGAGGTGAGAGAGCAATTAAGGGAGAGAGCATTAAGACAGCCTGCCTTGCATACAAACAATTTCTAGCAAGTTACTTTTGCTATTTTAGGGATCATTAGCCCTATTTCAATTTCCACATAATATTAAGTTTTGAAAATCCAGAGTAGAATGTGAATGCATATTATTTATGGAATTTAAATTAGTTTCACATTGACCTTCTTAGTTGTATTTTTATTTAAAAGCTACTCCTTTTTTAACAGCCAAGTAAAAAAAGTACTACGTTGAATATCTCTATGTCTTCTCCTTCTATCTATGTCTCAATCCATTGCAATCTGACTTTAGACTTGATTTTTGCATCAACCAATTCTTCTCAATTTCCCTTGCTAAAGATATTAATAACTTTCAAGTAGAACTCATTATAGTTATCTCATTGGACCCCAAAGGAGAATTTGACACAGTGAACCAAACTCTCCCCCTGCCAGGTCTGAGGCCCATTCTCCAACTCGTCTCCTATCATTTGACCAATTTGATCATGACCTTGTCTCTGTCTACCTGCTAGCCTCTTTATCTAACCTTGCACTTCAAAGTTCAGCACAAGGAGAAGAAAAAAGCCTTATAGATTTCCCAAAACATATCACACTCTTTCATATTTTTATTCCTTTGCACATACTGCTACCTTTTCATGGAATTCCATTCTCCTATTTGTTTACGATGGAATCTTATTTCATTCCTGCCTTTTAGGAAAGTCTTCCTCAACTCCCCAGGCATTCCATTGCTCCTTCAGCAGTGCACTCATTGCATGTTTTCTATATCCCCATAGAAGTCATTTTCTTATTGTTTGTTGGCTTATCTCTTTCCCATTCTTTACTGTTAGCTGTGTGAGAAAAAAAAATCTGTGCTTTTCATCTTTGTCGCTGCAGTACTAGCACAATTCCTAATATGTGCCATATGCTTCATAAAATATCTGTAGGTTGACAGTTTAGGAGTACAGCTGGAGGATGTATTTTTTCTAGTAGTGTAATTTAGATTCACATAGTGGGAGCATTTGGGGGATGTTACAGGATTAGAAAATGATTGCCCCGAAGCCAAGACTATGGAGAAGAATGAGTAGTCCCAGCTGCCATGTCTATGACCCTGGAACCACGTTCCCACACATGTTTTACTTTATAAGGAATCAAGAATTACAGATTCTAGCTCTCTGTCACTAAGTATTTGTAGCATTTGACCAATTATGAGATTTCTACTTAATCTCTAATTATTTTCCCCAGCTCAGAAGTTATTTGAGGTGGTGACTTGTGCTTCTAGTGTGATAGAATATCTGAGTCAGATCAGCCTTCCCAATGAGAACACATGTAAAAACTAAATAAAATGTTTTAAAAATAGCAGTTTTAAAAAAATGGGAGAGCAACTAAGGTAGCCAACATTTGAGAGTGACAGATCCTGGAAAGAAGGGAGGCACACTGAGTTGCTTCATTTGCCCCACCATTTTTTCTTTCTGGGTATTTGTTGATTCATATGTAGTGTAATAGTCAGAAGCTGAGCAGAAACTTGTGGTTTCAGCTTTTGGAAGTCAAAAGTTTAAGTATACAAAAGCATTCAGTACTTGAGCAGCCAAGATCCTTAAGAAAATATAATGTCAGGCCAGGCACGGTGGCCCACACCTGTAATCCCAACTCCCTTTGGGAGTTGGAGGTGGAAGAAACACCTGAGGTCAGGAGTTCGAGACTGGCCTGGCCAACATGGTGAAACCCCATCTCTACTAAAAATACAGAAATTAGCTGGGCATGGTGGTGTGTGCCTGTAATCCCAGCTACTTGGGAGGCTGAGGCAGGAAAATCACTTGAACTCTGGAGGTGGAGGTTGCAGGGAGCCAAGATCATGCCACTGCACTCCAGCCTGGGTGACACAGTGAGACTTCATCTCAAAGAAAAAAAAAAAGAACAGAGAGAGAGAATATGTAACCTCAAAGAAGTGAGCCCACATTCTGCACCACATTTTCCCTCAAGACATTAGCTTATTTTTGAGCTGCGGGTGATAACTATGGAAATTAGATATTTTACCGAAATAATAAAGAAAAACATGACACAACATAGTTCCTGTGATGCAGCTAAGGCCATATTTAGAGGCAAATGTATAACCTTAAGTGCATATGTTATAAAAGCAAAAAATCTGAAAGTTATATCAATATCTATCTCAAGCAATTAAAAAAGAATGGTAAATTAAATCTGAAGAATGTAGAAGAGAATAATGATGATAAGAGTAGAAATAACTGAAATAGAAACAAATGTATAATAGAAAACAATTAACAAAACCTAAAGTTAGTCCCTGAAAAGAATAATAAAATTAGTAAATCCTAATAGGATAGATAAAGAAAAAAATAAGAGAGTAGGAAAAAATTATAAACGCTAGTAATAGAAGTGGTACATAACTACAAAGCTTATGGACATTAAAAACATAAGGAGATTGTACTGTAAATATTATGGCAATACATTTGAAAATGTAGACAAAATTTCTTAAAAACTACAAATATTAAAACTGACACAAGAAATATATACTTACATACATATATGTGTGATATGCATATAAAATTCTTAATTTAAAACCTTGCCCTGTAGTCCCAGCTACTCAGGAGGCTGAGGCAGGAGAGTGGTGAACCCGGGAGGCGGAGCTTGCAGTGAACCCAGATAGCGACACTGCAGTTCAGCCTGGGCGAGAGAGCGAGACTCCATCTAAAACAAACAAACAAATACAAAAACCTTGCAACAAAATATTCAAGACTCAGATGACATCAGAAGTAAATTATTTATGCATTTAAGAGAGAAGTCACACCATCTTACGGAAGAAATCTTTGCAGAGTAGAACAAAAGAGAAAATACTTCAAAGCTAATTTTATGAGGACAGCGTAACCTTGATACAAAAAGCTGGTAAAGACATTTCAAGAAATAAAAATGTAAAGCCAGTCTCTCTCATTAATATAGATGCAAAATTTCTAAATGTAGTATTAGCAAATTGGATCCAGTGGTACATGAAATACGTAATACATTATGATCAAATTCATGTTTTTACAAGAATACAACGTTGCTTCAACATTTAAAAATCAATTAACTCCTTAACTTATTTGAATAAAACAGAAAGGCCATATGATCATCTCAGTACTTTCAGGAAAAACATTTAATAAGTTATTCTAAGTGAAGTAACACAGGAGTGGAAAACCAAAACTGTATGTTCTCACTTATAAGTGAGAGCTAAGCTATAAGTATGCAAAGGCATACAAAATGCTATAACGGATTTTAGAGACTCAGAAGCGGGGTATGACAGGGGCCTAGGGATTGAAAAAACCATAGTTTAGGTACAAAGTACACTATTCAGGTGACCAGTGCCCTAAAATCTAAGAATTCACTATATAATTTATCCACATAAGCAAAAAAAACTATTAAAATAAACTTTTTAAATTTAACATTGATCATATTTTTAAAATAAAATAACTCTCAGTAGACTAGAAATAAAAGAAATTTTGTTTTATCCCAATAAAGGTCATTTACAAAAATTCTCACCAAACATCATGGTTAATGATGAAATACTAAAATCTTTCTACCTGAGTGATCAGAAATGAGACAAAGATGCCCCATCTCCATTTCCTTTAAACATTGTACTAGAAATCCTAACCAAAGTATTAAGGCAATATTTAAAATATTTTATATATAAGGACTGAAAAGAAAGAAACTAAGTGGTCATCATTTGTAGAACACATGATTCTATATGTAAAAAAATTCAAGGAAATCTACTGATAAAAATAATAAGTTACTCATGTAACCAAACACCACCTGTTCCCCAATAACCTATGAAAACAACAAAAAAAATTAAAGTAGTAAGTTAATGTATTAGGCAAAACCAACCTATGGTGATAGAATTCAGAATAGTAGTTATACTTTGTGGGAATAAGCTATTAGAAGTAATAAGTAAAGCTACTAGACTTAATAAGAAAGGACATTAGATACATGGTTACAATTTCTACATTCTAGCAAAAAACAAAACTAAAAATTTTTAAATGATATCATTGATAAGATGACTTTTTTAAATAAAATAATTATGCATAAACCTAATGGAAGATATCCAAATACTTTACACAAAAAAATTATAAAACATGATTGAAAAAAATTGTTAACGAGCTAAATAGTCTTGTATATTGCCAAGAAAAGGCAAGACAATTTTGAAGTTGAAAAGTTAGAAGAATTACATAACAGACATCAAGACTTTTATAACAAAGCTTCATTAGTTAAAACTGTGGTAATTGCTAAAATATAGACAAATAAACAAGTTTAACAGAATAGAGAACCATATATGATCTTTTATTTATAAGAAAGTTGACAGAGAAGTGTAATAGGGATAGAATGGTCTTTTCAATAAAAAGTAAGGATTCCATTGGATATCCATATTGTAATATCAGAATCTTGACCTCTACTTCACAAAAATATTATTTCCACACAAAAATATTATTTCCAAGTAGACTGAAGAATGAAATATGAAAGGTAAAATGATAAAAATTCCAAAGCAAACACAGAAGAATATCTTCTTTATTTTGAAATAAGCAAAGTTGTCTTAACAAAGCACAAGAAACACTAACTACAAAGAAAAAGACTGATAAATTAAATGCTATTGAAATCAAGGTCATCTACTCATCAAAAGATGCAATTAGGAGAATGAAATGGCAAGTCATAGAATGGGAGAAAGTATTTGCAATATATACACCCTAAAAATCTTTTGTGTCTAAAATATGCAAGTTTTCTAGAGGTCAATAAGAAAAACAGTCTAATTTCAAAAGGACTACCGGAACTCTCATACACCTGTTGGGGGTATAAATTGGTGTAATTACTTTGGAAAACTGGTAGTACCTGTCAAAGCTGAGTATACGTAGAACCTACAACTCAGCAATTCCACATCTGTGTACTATGTGCTCCGAAAGACCAACAGACATGAATGAACACTTCACAGCAGCATTAACTGTGTAAGCCAACATCTAGAAACAACTCCATTTCCATCAACAGAGAATAAATGAAATGTGAAATATGCATATAATAGAATATTCTATGGAAATCATGAATAAATTATTGCTACACAATGTTTTAATCTCACAAGGAAAAGAGGCCAGACACCAAAAAATACACACTACATAAATCCAACTATGGAAGTTCAAAAATAGGCAGAAGTAATCTATAAAAAAGAAGTCACAATAGTGGTCTCCTTTGGTGGAGGGGATGACTGGGATGGATGATGAGTTAAGCTACTGGGTGTTTGTAATTCTTTATCTATTGATCTGAGTAGTGCTTACACAGGTATATTTACTTAGGAAGAATTAACTGAGGTAAGTGCAACTTATGATTTATGCTCATTTTCTATATGGATGCTAAATTTCAAGTTTAAAGAATTATACTTAAAAATAACGTGATACTATTTTTCTATTTAGGAGTACACACAACCAAATGCAGAAGTTTGGGACAGAAGAATGAGAGAAGCAGAATGGCATTCAGCTACTGAAAGCACTGAAATAGCTCTTCTTTATCAGAAGATAACCCTGGGTTACCTGCCAGCCCCGTCTGCACATTTTACGACATTTTGTATTTGAGCAAGTAGAGAGACAGCAGCCAGGCAGGGCAGCTAGACCAGTCTCCAGTGTAGACAGAGTATGTGGCCATATTTTGGCACCATTACAGTTTCCTGAAAACCCCCTGCCCACCCTGGTTAAAGCCTACTTCCCAATAACCTGCTACAATCCCTGAAATACATATCGGTAGGTCAAAATAGCAGTTTTAAAATGTGAGTTTGAGGTTTCCAGTAGAATTTTCTAACTTTGTTGTTTCTTGTATGTGGATAAAAATCTTTGAATAGTCTGTCATTATAAAGACTGTTTCTCTTTTGCAGAGACTTTCTTAATAATTTCTTAAACTTGTGTTTGTGAATATATTGAAGTCAAGCTACATAGTTTCCAAGTTTCAGGCAAAACTTTTTATCTATAAAGACTATCTCCAGAATGCTGCAGCTAACATAAAAACAAAAAATTAAGTTGTCCAAGAAGGATAATTCCTTAATTATTACCACTTATTATTAGCTTAGGTGAGCCAAGAGGAGGGGTGAGCGAATTATTGTCCAGGGACCAAATCCTAGCCAACGCCTGCTTTTTTTTTCTTTTGAGACAGAGTCTTGCTCTGTCGCCCAGGATGGAGTGCAGTGGGGCCATCTCAGTTCACTGCAAACTCCGTTCAAGCAATTCTCCACCTCAGCCTCCTGAGTAACTGGGATTACAGATGTGCATCACTGTGCCCAGTTAATTTTTGTATTTTTTGTAGAGACAGGGTTTCGCCATGTTCATCAGGCTGCTCTCGAACTCCAGGCCTCAAATAATCTGCCCTCCTTGGCCTTCCAAAGTGCTGTGATTACAGGGGTGAGTCACCGTGCCTTGGCCCAATGACTACTTTTGTATATAAAGTTTTATTGGCAAACAACCATTCCCATTCACTTACATATTGCTCCTGGTTATTTTCATGCTACAAGAGCACAGTTGAGTAGTTGTGGCAGAGAAAATTTTCGGACCACAAAATCTAAAATAGTTACTATCTAGTTCTTTATAGAAAATGTTTGCCAACATTTGGCCTAGATTTATATATGATCTTTCTCATCTCAGAGGAAATAACAGTCCTATACAAATAAAACACAGGATAAGTACCTTTTCTTAATGGCAAGATTAATTAGGTTGACGATGCGATAGAGAGCTACCAGAAAGGTCTAGACAGAACAGGCAGCAAAAGGGCACTGTTCATGTGGAGAGCAAGCAAACCTGGTGGTCATTTTTTATTAGAAAGGATTGAGGTTCCTTTGCAGGTTTTTTTAAAAGGCACTGTCAATCAGAAGTATTTCCTAAGGGTATTTCCTCTAATGCCTTAGCTAGCATATTGAACAGGAAAACTAAATGCAATGTATGATTTTTAATAGGATCTTGGATTAAAAAGAAACTGTACAGAATAGTATTGAGATTGATGTGTAAATGTTAATGTGGGCTATAAATTAAATAATATTGATCATGTTAAATATATCAACTCGATCATTGTATTATAGTTTTGTAAGAGAAAGTTATTGTTCTTAGAGGATATTTATTGAAATATCAAGGGCTAAAGTTTCATGATTATCTGCAACTAACATTAAAAGGTATAATCAAGTAGTCAGAGAGACAGAGAGAAAGCAAATGTGGCAAAATGTTAACAATTGGTAAATCTAAGTAAATAACATATGGGTGTTGATTGTACTATTTTTGCAAATTTTCTGTAGGTTTGACATTTTTTTTCAAACTAGACTGTCAGAGGAACATTTTAAAAAATACATATTGAAAGATTTTTGGGGAAAAGATGGAAGAGATAAAACAAAGAAAACTTTTTTTTTTTTTTTTTACTGAGAAGCTAAACTCATCAGCAGCTAATTTATCTAGATATTCCTACACAATTATATTTCCTTCTCTCTTTATGAGGTTTTATCTCAGACCTCTCTGCATCCCTAAAACTCTTCATTTGATTTTCTGCACATAAGAAAAAATTGTGTTGAATATTTTCCCTAGGAAAACATTATACATATTACACATGAGTATACCTAAAATGTGTGTTATAACCATACGCTTCAAATAAACATTTCCTCCCAAAAAACAAACCTCAGTTTCAAAATATTTTGCAGAATTTGTCACCTTTATGCTACAAAATAGAAGATAAACCAGGTTCAGAGGATCTCAAACACATATCCGTCATTGCTTCTCGGAAATATGGCGCCATGTAACCTTGCGAGATTGACGTAGTCACAGATGACAGTAGAGAATTACCAAGGGACCTGCAGCTCTGCTTGGCATCATAATATATGTTGTTGGTAACTGTTGACAGATATTCCGTGTGGCATTTAGATATGAATCTTGAAGTGTATTTGAGAGCCTGCAGCTCTGAGAAAAAGAAGAGGACTTTTCCCTAAGTTCTTCAAAGCAATTCCTAAATGTTGATGTGTCTACCAACATATGACGAATGTGTTTCAGCACCTTTGTGGATGCCATTCGTCTGTGAGAGGACAAGGCCAGTGCCCAGGTGACTCACACCCCACTTATCTTGTTACCAGGTAAAATAATACAGGGCCTCTGGTTCCCACATCCACATCTGGTATGAAAAGCCAGGCCCCTCTATCTAGGTTCTAAATTTGAATTCATTTATCTTGTGTGAAGGTATTTTACTTGATTGACTTACAGAGTGGATCCCTGTATGTACTAGTTCTAAGTTTCTTTTTTTTTTTTTTTAACCCCAGGGCTTTTCAGTAGACACCACTTTTCCTTAGAGTTCACAGTTGGAGCAGGGTCGCACAGCAGCATTTATAGAGGAGGTGAAGACAAATTGTTACTGGGGAGGGGAAAGGAACAATGGCAGAAGGGGTTTAAAGTGGAATTGAATGTGTAACAAAAATTCTGTGCTTATCTAATAAGGCTGAAATTGAGAGGTTGCTTGAACATGTCAAGTGAGCCAGTATATCAGAAAGACAAACTCTGTCCTGTCCTGTGTTATGACTGCAACATGGGTAAATGGGGCCACAGAGTCATAACATCAAACTACCACAACAATATATAACCTCAAAGACATGATACTTCTCAGTTATCATTCATGTCCCAAATATGAAATGAGCAATAATCCTAATGATAAATACCATTTTGATGAAGTGGTCAGCAATGGGTATCCTTTCTGGGTCAAAATAATGACAATGATTCCAGGCAATTTATTTATTTTTAAGACAAAAGGATTAATCCTTGATCTTAAATATGAAGTTTGTGAATATTTTTTATACCTCCTAAATTATGTAGGTAAGATCTAAATGCTGATGATATGGATGTAGGTAACCAGTCAGGATTATAAAATTATAAAAGAGGCCATGTAAACTTCAAAATTTTATCTCATGCACCAGTTACACTGCAGGAAGAATAAAACAGTGTTGGTTTTGGGCTCAGAGTTAATTCAAATAAGCCAAAAAATTATGTGGCTTTTCCAAAGTCCACATAGATGTCACAATAGTTGAATACTGACTGCTCTTTTAAAATTCAAAAGAAAAAACTCTAAGTCAGATGGACACTAATTAGGAGAGAATCATAGAATATCATCACCTAAGTTTTCTTGCTTACTTTTCCAGTCATAATAAGTAAGATAAAAAAAAAAATTTCCCATTACCTCTACCCTGCCTCTTTTTGAAAAAGAGCTTCCAAATAGTGAATATTGCTTTATGGGTTTTAAGAACAAGCAATGAGGTTAGAAAATTAGTCTGAAAGTCTTGAGAAAGCAAAAGAGGCAAGATGTAAATGAAGCCCTTATTTTTCTAAAATGAATATTTTGGAACAATTATTACCTCACTCAAATAAATAAATATGAAATATGAAACTGTAAAATCTACATCAAAACCATCTACACCTGAATGCAGGGTTTGTCAGCAGCAGATGAAAGATCAGACCAAAATCTATTTGGAATTGCTTACAATAGATAAATGTCTACTTCAAGCTAATTGTTCTCATAATTGGAGAGGAAATGAGAATTACTGAAAAAAAGAAAACTGCAAAAAGGAGAAGGCTGGATTTTAAGGATGGGCTGACACTGACTTACTTAACAAAATATTCTGTATGTTGTTTACAACCCAAGCTGATAGTGAAGGTTTTATTTTAGTGGCTTGCCACATGAACAACATTGGCCGCAGAATTCACCCACCCACAACATTCATACTCCATGAGGCTATAAACTTCCCAACGGCAGAAATCCTGTCCAATCTAGCCTAAGCCCTGTACATAGTAAGCACTCATGAAATGGTTTAGTGAATTAAAGTGAGAGAGGAGTGAAAGTGTGAATGAATTAAGAAACAAATACCAAGCTGATAGGAAATATGAAGGCTTGAGGAGAATTGCTCACATTAACAAATTTCAGAGCTTTACTCATAAAGAATCAGATTCTCAATCTGTGAACTGTACAGCCATTTGCAACAGGAAGATTAATTGTGCATGGTATTTTTTAAAATACATATGTTTTGTCTAGACTTCAGAAAAACAAAGCTCCGGAAGCTGTGTCTATCATTGCTGTCAGTTCAGAAATTGCCTTGAGCAAAATTGAATGAGAATTTTCACAAACATTCATGAAAAATTGGGTTTGTATGACTAACCTGTCTCACCAGGTCAGATCACTGCCCTTGACATCCAAAGGCAATGCTGTGGGCATCATGCTCTGTAGAGAGGGCTGCTCAGATCAGAGAATGAATGTCTGTCCTTTCCATTTGCTACAGAATTTTTTGTTTGGGGTGTTGCTGTTGTTATTGTTGTTGTTTGGTTGTTTGGTTGGTTGGTTTGGTTTTTTACAGAGCGTTTTTTTCTTTTTGTAACCTTATTATTAATTATGGTGCTGATGTTTTTGTCCAAGGTATCTTAAAATAGTTCCTACAATATTTTTTTGCAGCAATTTGCATTTCTCAGCCTGAGAGTTGTCTGGTATCTTTTTCTTTGCCTGGTGTTTTGTTTTGTTTTTTTTGTCAAAGAAAGCAATCCCACATTCTGGTAAGCTGCTTAAGAAAAATAACTGAATTATCAACATTTTACTTTACAGAATATACAGATAATCAAATATGTTTTTGTATGCAATTTGGAAGAGCACTGCATCCAGGTAAGAAGATTGAGGAACTCAAGCCTGAAGCTCTCACATCTTATGTCTTTCTGACTTTGATTAATAACTTATTCTCTCGGAATCTTTTCCTTCACTTCAAACATTTAGGACTGGTAAGGGGAGAGGAGGTGGGTGGCAGCTAGTTTCCTGCCTTATTTGTTTTCAGGGACTATTGTAGACAACAAGTAAACTGTGAAAGGGTTTCAAAAACAGGAAAAGTCCTTACCAATCTCAGTGGAGTTGGTTTCAGCTGTGAAGCCTCATTTGCTGATTGTCATGTCTTCTCAATGCAAACGCCCATTTCTTTTCCTGTCCTAGACTGTTTGTAGCATCAAAAAGGAAAGCTAGTGCCTACTGCTGCCCATCCTTTGCATTCTTAACCAGTCCAAAGAGCAGAAATTCCCCCAAATACACAGAGTGTCAGGCAGCAAGTTGGTAGCTTCTTTACTGGTCTGTGTTCTTACTTGAAGGGATAAAGTGAGGCCATGGACAGAGGTGGGCTATCTTAGAATGCCCTCAATAAGAGCCAGCATGTAATATTAAAACTCAGGTATGCAACTAAGTTTTGTGACTTTGGGAAAGGTTATTTAAAGCCCATTTGTGACTAAATTTCCTAATCTTAATTCAGAGCCTTTCTTACTTCATTTGGGATGCTATAACAAAATACCATAGACTGGGTGGTTTATAAACAACAGAAACTTATTTCTCACAGTTCTGGAAGCTGGGAAGTCCAAGATCAAGGCACCAGCAGATTCAAAGTCTGAGGGCAGCCTGCTTCCTGGTTCATAAGGTGGCTGTCTTTTTGCTGTAACCTCACATGGCAGAATGGATTAGAGAGGTCTCTGAGGCCTCCTTTATAAGGGCACAAATTCTATTCATGAGGTCTCCACCCTCTTGATCTAATCACCTCCCCAAAGCCCCATCTCCTAATACCACCACATTGGAGATTATGTTTCAACATAAAGATTTTGAAGGGATACAAACATTCCATCTCTAGCAGAACCTTTCTCATGGGGCTGCTGTGGTCATTAAATCAGATAACAAACGCAAAGCACTTAGAAGAGTGTCTGGCTGTAGAGTAAGTGCTCACAGAAGGATGTGAACTTATGATTCACTGTTATTAGCGCCACTTGGGTTGGCTGGCTGATGTCCTGCCCACTGTCTTCATAGGAGAGACTGAGAAATTGTTTTCTGAGACCAGCAACGCTTACGCAGTTCACAGATGGCTGGGTTTCCCAATGCTTATCTGAGGTACTATATGCAATAACTGATGAATGTCTGTTTGCACCTGCTTGCTTTCATAGCCAGGTACATTTAACTTGATTTCTCCCTGGAGTGAGGTCAGGGATTTGCTCACCCACGCATACATGCATTATGCTGAAAATATTCAGAGTCCTCCCAGGCGCCAGGAGCTGTTTCAGCTGCTGATGATATAGTACAATGGCTGAGATTCCTGCCCTTAGGGATTTCGTAATGGAAGAAAGACAATAAACAAATACCTTTTAAATATGACAGATATTGGTAAATGTTACCAGAAAATGAGACAGAGTAAGGAGAATGGAGATTGAAATGGGAGCAGGAGCTGTTTTAGTTTGGGCAGCACAGTCGTCTCTGATAAAGTGATGTTTAAGCAGAGACTTGATTGAAGAAGGTAGGGAGTAGAATGCAGCTGACTGGGAGAAGAGTCTTCCCTGCAAAGGAAGCTCAGGTCCTAAGATGTGTGGGTATGTGGTGTGTTCCAGGCACATCCAAGAGACTAGTACGGATAAAACTCAGTGGGAAAGGGACAGAATAATGGAGATGAGGTCAGGGATCAAGAGGGGTCAGATCACTAAGGGCCTTCAAGTCCATGATAGGGACTCTGGATTTTATTCTGAGTGAGACAAAAAGGCATTGGAGAGTTTCCACTGGAGAAGGGATTGTTGTAAAAGGATCTAGCTTTTCTAGATCTGTTTCAGTTTCTAGAACTGTTGGGAGATCTAGCTGTTGGCAGGAGAGTACAGCAGGGCAGAGGTGAAAGAAGGGAGATCAGGTAGGAGGCAAAAATCCAGGGGAAAGTGATAGTAACTAGAAATATGGTGGTAATTCTGGAAGTAGTGAGAAGTGACGGAATCCTGGATACTCACTGAAGAAAGAGCCAAGAGAATTTGTCAAAGGATTGCATTAGAAAGAAAGAGGAGGGTCAGCAAAATCATCCATTCTAAGATGTCTGTCAGAAATGCTTTTTCTTCAGTGCCATAAAGAAATAGCATTTGAACATTAATTTCTTCAGCAAGGCCATTGTTTTACTTTCTGCAGAAGGGGTACACTCGCCAGCAGTTTTGCCATGAGAGTACACCGAACAAAGGAGACAGGGTCATTTATAATTTGATGCATCCACCTTACTGCTGTGTCCGGTTTCCATTGGCTGGAATGGGACCTCATATTCTGTATTTGTCCTGATGGCTAGCAACTTAGAACTTTTTAAAAGAGGCAAAGGCAGAGGAGAACAAAGGAAGGAGGAAGTAACTTGCGGAATGCTGAGAAAGGTAAAAACACCTTCAAATAAGGAAGAGGAACAGGATGACCTAATGCTTGCTTGGACCAGTATAAGCATGCCAGGGCAAATATTTAGGCTAAGCTGTGAGAGCTAAGAACATAAAGTACATTGATTTCTTTATTATGGCTAGCAGATATTTAAGAATGTTAGCACAGGTCTTTGAATAAATTTTTCTTCTACAAGAAGTTACTATTTATTTCTACTTAGATGGGAAGGAAAGTCTTTGAAGAGGAAACTCTACCTTACTTTTTACATGTCTAAAACAAATATCCCATTAACAGGCTTCTTGGTTGCAAGGGACAGAAAACCAAGTCAAACTAACAAGTTTAAAAAAAGAAGAGAGAGTATGAAACCAAACTGAAAAGAACAGGAGTGATACTGGTTTCAGGACTGTTTTCCAGTCTCTTCCATTTATGTCTCTCTGCGGTCAACTTGTTTCTCTCAGAGTAGTTTTTCCAAATGGCGGTAGAGGGGCATAGCTACAGGTATTTCTGAGCCCAGGTTCTCACCCTTTTCACCTGGAGAGGATAGGAATGTCTTGGTTCTGCCAGGTCTAGAGAATCCTGGAAGGAGAGTCTTTCTGTTACCACAAAGCAGGCCCCCATCAGACATTGAATCTGCTGGTGCCTTGATTTTGGATTTCCCAGCCTCCGGAACTGTGAGAAATAAATTTCTGTTGTTTATAAACCTCCCAGTTTATGGTATTTTTTTTACAGCATCTCAAATGGAATAAGAAAGGCCCTGAATTATATCTATTTAAGACTAGGAGATTAAGTCACAAACGGGTTTTAAAAAACCTTGCCCAAAGTCACAAAATGTAGTTGCATAGCTGGGTTTCAACTATTGCATGCTGGCTCACAAATTTAGATTGTTAATTACAAGTTTAGATTGTTAAACTGCAAATGTTCTTTACCTACAGTTTGAGATACAGTTCTCATTGCCACTTACTGTATACACACACAACAACAACAACAACAACAACAACAACTAAAGTAAAAGCTTTGTAAAACAATACATTGCCCACTAATGAATTGTGATCAGCACTTCAAAAACTACAGCAATGGGCTCTGTTTTGAGGTCCTTTCTTCTGCCATTCATACCTCCACCCTCAATCCTGCCTTTTCAAAAAGGTTCTGAGGTGAATTACACTCAAGTTTCTGTTGACTGAAGGATCTTATTAGACAGCTAACTCTATAAGGAAAGGGATGTCTGGGAGCAGCCACCTAGAGAGAGAAAGGGAAATGTGGAAAAGAGAAAGTGAACAACCAACACCAACTTCACCTACCACACAATTTTGCCTAAGGCTAGCCCTGCCCTTCAAGTTGGAGGATTTCTGCCCCTCTGCAGAACCAAAGGTGAGTCACTGTAGTAAATAGAAAGCCTGAACCCACAGAGGTTTATTAACATTCTGCCAGTCTCATTCAGCCCAGCTCCCTTTGTGCCATTCAGAGGGCAATGTCATTATCACCTGAGGTGCCCTGCTGGGATCGGAAGTTTCAGCTATTTTTTTTAACTTTAGTTATCTAATTGTGGGGTTTTTTTCCTGCTGTTTTTAGCATTACTACTAGACATTTAAAATATTTGTCTTTTTATCCCTTTTATTTGTGCCTTAATGCAGAAAAACACTGTAAAAATATCTGAATAAATGATAAACCTCTGAATAGAATAACTCAGCTTTTATACAACAACCCCTGATTTTCACTCATACCGTCATGTTCCCCAAGGTATTTTAGAAGTTTGGTTCTGCTGGTTCTAGAAAAGAGAAGATTATTTTAGGGTGTTTCAAGAGTAACATAACACACTTTATCTGTATGGCAGCTGTAAATGAAAATATTGGAACAAACTAGTTGTCTTTTATAATTCACCACCTAAAGCCCAACCCAAAAAATCAAATGCAGTTGAATCTGCTTGGACAAGTTTTATGTAGTTGCATTTATGGGTTCTGACCCATTTTCAGCTGATTTTGTAAAACTGTTACAGGACCTCCATAGGCCCTACATCCTGATTCTAGGTACTTTCCTAATGCTTCCCCACCCATTTTTACATTCCCAGGGGCCTTTTTGGAAAACCAGTCCAGTCCAAGATGACCACAGCTCAGGGCTTGCCTCTGAGTTATGATTTACAATTACAGGCACCCTGGGAATCTAGTCCTAAATTTAATTAGTAATTTCCACTGTGAAATGCAAAGCCCCTTGGAAAGTTTCTTTGGAAGCTCTAGAATTAGCCTTAAATTGTTCCTCCTTCTAAAATAGATCTTAGCACGCACAGTGAAAACTAAACATCTTAGTAGCACTAAACTGAGTCAAAGTTTGTGTTCTTGGAAAGAAAGATGCTTATAATATCATAAAAACAGAATTAATGGCCAGGCGCAGTGGCTCACACCTTTAATTCCAGCACTTTGGGAGGCCGAGGCGGGTGGGTCATGAGGTCAAATGATTGAGACCATCCTGGCCAACATGGTGAAACCCCGTCTCTACTAAAAATACAAAAATTAGCCAGGCATGGTAGCGCATGCCTGTAGTCCCAGCTACTTGGGAGGCTGAGGCAGGGGAATTGCTTGAACCTGGGAGGCAGAGGTTGCAGTGAAAGGAAATAAAAAAAATTAAAAAAAAACAGAATTAATATCCCAAATCTAAACCTACTACTTATGAGCTATGTGAGTTCTGGCAAGCCCTCTGGTCATGATAAGCCTCACAATCCTCATCTATAACATGGAAGGTGACAATACCTACTTCATTGCCATGATAGATATTAGCAAAACTGCATACAAGGCATCTGTACATGGTTGTCAGGCCTCTGAGCCCAAGCTAAGCCATCATATCCCCTGTGACCTGCACGTACACATCCAGATGGCTGGTTCCTGCCTTAACTAATGACATTCCACCACAAAAGAAGTGAAAATGGCCTCTTCCTGCCTTAACTGATGACATTGTCTTGTGAAATTCCTTCTCCTGGCTCATCCTGGCTCAAAAGCTCCCCCACTGAGTACCTGGTGACCCCCACTCCTGCCCACCAGAGAACAACCCCCCTTTTTCCTTTACCTACCCAAATCCTATAAAATGGCCCCACCCCATCTCCCTTCACTGACTCTCTTTTCGGACTCAGCCCACCTGCACCCAGGTGATTAAAAGCTTTATTGCTCACACAAAGCCTGTTTGGTGGTCTCTTCGCACGGACGTGCATGAAATTTGGTGCCATGACTCGGATCAGGGGACCTCCCTTGGGAGATCAATCCCCTGTCCTCCTGCTCTTTGCTCCGTGAAAAAGATCCACCTACGACCTCAGGTCTTCAGACCCACCAGCCCAAGGAACATCTCACCAATTTTAAATTGGGTAAGTGGCGTCTTCTTACTCTCTTCTCCAACCTCTCTCACTATCCCTCAACCACTTTCTCCTTTCCACTCTTCAATCTCTCCCTTCTCTTAATTTCAATTCCTTTCATTTTCTGGTGGAGACAAAGGAAACACGTTTTATCCGTGGACCCAAAACTCCAGCGCTGGTCACGGACTGGGAAGGCAGCCTTCCCTCAGTGTTTAATCATTGCAGGGACACCTCTCTGATTATTCACCCACGTTTCACAGGTGTCAGACCACACAGGGATGCCTGCCTTGGTCCTTCACCCTTAGCGGCAAGTCCCGCTTTTCTAGGGGAGGAGCAAGTACCCTAACCCCTTCTCTCCATGTCTCTACCCCTTCTCCACTTTTCTGGGGGGCAAGAAACCCCCAACCCCTTCTCCTTCACCCTTAGTGGCAAGTCCCACTTTTCTGGAGGAGGGGCAAGTACCCCAACCTCGTATCTCTGTGCCCCGATCCCTTATTTCCATGCTCCGACCTCTTATATCTCCGCAACCCAATCCCTTATTTCCACACCCCAACCTCTTATATCTCTGCACCCTGATCCCTTATTTCCATGCCCTGACCTCGTATCTCTGTGCCCAGACCCCTTTCCCACTTTTCTGGAGGGTAAGAACCCCTGAACCGCTTTGCTCCGTGTCTCTACTCTCCCTTTTCTTTAAACTTGCCTCCTTCACTATAGGCAAACTTCCACCCTCCATTCCTCCTTCTTCTCCCTTAGCCTGTGTTCTTAAGAACTTAAAACCTCTTCAACTCTCACCTGACCTAAAATCTAAGCATGTTATTTTCTTCTGCAATGCTGCTTGACCCCAATACAAACTCGACAGTAGTTCCAAATAGCCAGAAAATGGCACTTTCAATTTTTCCATCCTGCAAGATCTAAATAATTCTTGTCATAAAATGGGCAAACGGTCTGAGGTGCCTGACGTCCAGGCATTCTTTTACACATTGGTCCCTCTCTAGTCTCTGTGCCCAGTGCAACTCATCCCAAATCTTCTTTCCCTTCCACCTGTCCCCTCAGTCGCAACCCCAAGTGTCACTGAGTCTTTCTAATCTTCCTTTTCTACAGACCCATCTGACCTCTCCCCTCCTCACCAGGCCGAGCTAGGTCCCAATTCTTCCTCAGCCTCCGCTCCTCCACCCTATAATCCTTTTATCACATCCCCTTTTCACACCTGGTCCAGCTTACAGTTTTGTTCCGTGACTAGCCCTCCCCCACCTGCCCAGCAATTTACTCTTAAAAAGGTGGCTAGAGCTAAAGGCATAGTCAAGGTTAATGCTCCTTTTTCTTTATCCCAAATCAGAAAGCATTTAGGCTCTTTTTCATCAAATATAAAAATCCAGCCCAGTTCATGGCTCATTTGGCAGCAACCCTGAGACGCTTTACAGCCCTAGACCCTAAAAGGTCAAAAGGCCATCTTATTATCAATATACATTTTATTACCCAATCTGCTCCCGACATTAAATAAAAGTCCAAAAATTAAGTTCTGGTCCTCAAACCCCACAACATGATTTAATTAACCTTGCCTTCAAGGTGCACAATAATAGAAAAAAGTTGCAATTCCTTGCCTCCACTGTGAGACAAACCCCAGCCACATCTCCAGCACACAAGAACTTCCAAATGCCTGGACCTCAGCAGCCAGGTGTTCCTCGAGAACCTCCTCCCCCAGGAGCTTGCTACAAGTGTCAGAAATCTGGCCACCAGGCCAGGGAATGCCTGCAGTCCAGGATTCCTCCTAAGCCGCGTCCCATCTGTGTGGGACCCCACTGGAAATCGCACTGTCCAACTCACCTGGCAGCCACTCCCAGAGCCCCTGGAACTCTGGCCCAAGGCTCTTTGACTCCTTCCCAGATCTTCTTGGCTTAGCGGCTGAAGACTGACGCTGCCTGATTGCCTCGGAACCCCCCTGGACCATCACAGACGCCGAGCTTCGGGTAACTCTCACAGTGGAGGGTAAGTCCATCCCCTTCTTAATCAATACGGAGGCTACTCACTCCACATTACCTTATTTTCAAGGGCCTGTTTCCCTTGCTTCCATAACTGTTGTGCGTATTGACGGCCAGGCTTCTAAACCTCTTAAAACTCCCCAACTCTGGTGCCAACTTAGACAATACTCTTTTGAGCACTCCTTTTAGTTATCCCCACCTGCCCAGTTCCCTTATTAGGCCGAGACACTTTAACTAAATTATCTGCTTCCCTGACTATTCCTGGATTACAGCTGCATCTCACTGCTGCCCTTCTTCCCAATCCAAAGCCTCCTTTGCGTCCTCCTCTTGTATTCCCCCACCTTAACCCGCAAGTATAAGATACCTCTACTCCCTCCTTGGTGACCAATCATTCACCCCTTACAATCTCATTAAAACCTAATCACCCTTACCCCGCTCAATGCCAATATCCCATCCCACTGCATGCTTTGAAAGGATTAAAGCCTGCTATCACTTGCCTGCTACAGCATGGCCTTTTAAAGCCTATAAACTCTCCTTACAATTCCCCCATTTTACCTGTCCTAAAACCAGACAAGACTTACAGGTTGGTTCAGGATCTGCACCTTGTCAACCAAATTGTTTTGCCTATCCACCCCGTGGTGCCAAACCCATATACTCTCCTATCCTCAATACCTGCCTCTACAACCCATTATTCTGTTCTGGATCTCAAACATGCTTTCTTTACTATTCCTTTGCACCCTTCATCCCAGCCTCTCTTTGCTTTCACTTAGACTGACCCTGATGCCCATTAGGCTCAGCAAATTACCTGGGCTGTACTGCCACAAGGCTTCAAAGACAGACCCCATTACTTCAGTCAAGCCCAAATTTCATCCTCATCTGTTAGCTATCTCAGCATAATTCTCATAAAAACACACGTGCTCTCTCTGCTGATCATGTCTGATTAATCTCCCAAACCTCAATCCCTTAAAAAACAACAACTCCTTTCCTTCCTAGGCATGGTTAGTCCGGTCAGAATTCTTACACAAAACCAGGACCACACCCTGTAGCCTTTCTGTCCAAACAACTTGACCTTACTATTTTAGCCTAGCCCTCATGTCTGTGTGCAGTGGCTGCCACTGCTTTAATAGTTTTAGAGGCCGTAAAAATCACAAACTATGCTCAACTCACTCTCTACATTTCTCATAACTTCCAAAATCTACTTTCTTCCTTATACCTGATGCATATACTTTCTGCTCCCCGGCTCCTTCAGCTGTACTCACTCCTTATTAAGTCCCACAATTACCATTGTTCCTGGCCCGGACTTCAATCCGGCCTCCCACATTATTCCTGATACCACACCTGACCCCCATGACTGTATCTCTCTGACCCACCTGACATTCATCCCATTTCCCCATATTTCCTTCTTTCCTGTTCCTCACCCTGATCACCCTTGATTTATTGATGGCAGTTCCACCAGGCCTAATCGCCACACACCAGCAAAGGCAGGCTATGCTATAGTACAAGCCACTAGCCCACCTCTTAGGACCTCTCATTTCCTTTCCATCGTGGAAACCTATCCTCAAGGAAATAACTTCTCAGTGTTCCATCTGCTATTCTACTACTCCTCAAGGATTATTCAGGCCCCCTCCCTTCCCTACACATCAAGCTCGAGGATTTGCCCCAGCCCAGGACTGGCAAATTGACTTTACTCGACATGCCCCAAGTCAGAAAACTAAAATATCTCTTAGTCTAGGTAGACACTTACACTGGATAGGTAGAGGCCTTTCCTACAGGGTCTGAGATGGCCACCACAGTCATTTCTTCCCTTCTGTCAGACATAATTCCTCAGTTTAGCCTTCCCACCTCTTTACAGTCTGATAACAGACCAGCCTTTATTAGTCAAATCAGCCAAGCAGTTTTTCAGGCTTTTAGTATTCAATGAAACCTTTATATCCCTTAAGGTCCTCCGTCTTCAGGAAAAGTAGAACGGACTAAAGGTCTTTTAAAAACACACCTCACCAAGCTCAGCCACCAACTTAAAAAGGACTGGACAATACTTTTACCACTTTCCCTTCTCAGAAGTCAGACCTGTCCTCAGAATGCTACAAGGTACAGCCCATTTGAGCTCCTGTATAGACACTCCTTTTTATTAGGCCCCAGTCTCATTCCAGACACCAGACCGACTTACACTGTGCCCCAAAAAAACTTGTCATCCCTACTATCTTCTGTCTAGTCATACTCCTATTCACCATTCTCAACTACTCATACATGCCCTGCTCTTGTTTACACTGCCGGTTTACACTGTTTCTCCAAGCCATCACAGCTGATATCTCGTGGTGCTATCCCCAAACTGCCACTCTAAACTCTTGAAGTAAATAAATAATCTTTATTGGCAGGACTATGCTGAATATCCTTAAGCACTCTCTAATCAGATGCCCTAAGTCCTCCCAATTCTTAGACCTTTTATACCTGTTTTTCTCCTTCTTTTATTCCATTTAGTTTTTCAATTCATCCAAAACCGTATCCAGGCCATCACCAATAATTCTACACAATAAATGTTTCTTCTAACAACCCCACAATATCACCCCTTACCACAAAATTTTCCTTCAGCTTAATCTCTCCCAGTCGAGGTTCCCACACCACCCCTAATCCCGCTCGAAGCAGCCCTGAGAAACATCGCCCACTATCTCTCCATACCACCCCCAAAAATTTTCACCGTCTAACACTTTACCACTATTTCATTTTATTTTTCTTATTAATATAAGAAGACAGGAATGTCAGGCCTCTGAGCCCAAGCTAAGCCATCACATCCCCTGTGACCTGCACATACACATCCAGATGGCCAGTTCCTGCCTTAACTGATGACATTCCACCACAAAAGAAGTGAAAATGGCCTGTTCCTATCTTAACTGATGACACTGATGACATCAGTGAAATTCCTTCTCCTGGCTCATCCTGGCTCAAAAGCTCCCCCACTGAATACCTTGGGACCCCTACTCCTGCCCACCAGAGAACAACCCCCCTTTTTCCTTTACCTACCCAAATCCTATAAAATGGCCCCACCGCATCTCCCTTCGCTGACTCTCTTTTTGGACTCAGCCCACCTGCACCCAGGTAATTAAAAGCTTTGTTGCTCACACAAAGCCTGTTTGGTGGTCTCTTCACAGGGGCGTGCATGAAAATGGTACACTAGGGGAGCAAAAATATCCTTTTATTCTCTACCCATCTTAGGTCTTTAACTGGGGCCCTGTGCAATTAGATTGACAAAAGACAGATTAATAGGAGAAAAACAAATGGAAGTTTGTAACATGTGCATTGCACACATGCATGAGAGATCTCAGTGATGAGTAACTCGAAGGGGTAGTTAGAACTTGGGCTTTTATAGCATCTTAGCAAAAGAATAATAAATTTTAGAGAAGTGACAAGACAAAAGAAAAGGACTTTGAGTGTTTAGGGCAGCAAATTATGGAAAGGTAAATATATAGGAGTAACCAATGGACGATTAGTAAAGCTGATTAGTAAAGTCTTTTAAGTAAATTTCTCTGAGCTGTTAAGGGTTGAGAGTTTATCTCTGGTGATTCACTTTCTGTCCTTGATGAAGAGGGGAGTGGGGACATCTTTACAAATTTATGTCCTGCTCTTAGGCAAATGAGGGAGGACAGAGAGCTTTTCTTGTATCTGCTTCTTCTCACTTATGCTCAGCTCAAAATAATCACTATCTGGAAGTGGCATATTTGGGGTGGCCTATTCTGCCACCAGTCATTACCCTGTAGATGACAGAGTGCAAGGTAGCCTAGTGGCTAAGAGGACAAGGTTCTGAAGCAAGTCCAAGTTTGAGCTTCCTCCACTACTTAATGATAGTAGAGCCTTGAACAATTATTTAACCTCTTTTTACCTCTGTTTCTTCGTCTATATAATGGAGATAATAATAATAAAAGCATCTCCTTTATAGAGCCTTTTAATAAGAATTCAAAACATTTTTAAACATTCAAAACATTTTAAACAAATGTTGTCACATAGTAAACGTTAAATAAATATTAACTCTTAGATACTAATAATGGATAATGAATATCCCTTGATGTCTTCCAGGGATAACTTGAGGGGCTTGAATATTTTCTTCAAGATATAGAAATTGTATTTTTTCTCCCCAAACATGGCATTGAAATGAAAAACATTGAAGGAAAATTTCCTCCACATCTTGTTTATGTGCTTGTTTACTGAACATAAGGCCATTAAAATCATTTAAGTTTATAGAACATTAAAACATATATTAGGCCAAGGGAAATGTTGATGCTGAAAACATTTGCTTTCATTGTGTTGCTGGTTAAATAAAAGGCAAATCTCTCTTGGCCACTGAAATACTGCTTTCTCAGAGAACATGAGGAAGATTTACTACCCAACTGCCCTCAAATGATGCCTCTGCTCAAATCCAGCGTATCCTAGGGGCATAACTGACAGCAGAAACAAACAAACAAACAAACATTCTGGCAGAAGCTGAGGTTAATGTGTGCTCTACCTGGCAATGAATAATTTAAGTAGTCTCCCAATTTGGGGGAGATATGAGAGGAAAAGTTTTATTGTGGGTTTGACAAGGTGTAGTCAAGCATGAGTGACAGCCAGAAATAGTTTCTCCTTTGGCAGTGATGGAAGTGTCCTGGGTTAACTGATTTTAGAACAACTGCGGGGACCTTTTTGTATTTGTGTACTAAATCAGCTTCACTTCCATCAATACAGTATACATTTAGGACTTATAAAATATATTGTGTACTGGCATGTTTTTGAGTTAACAATAAATATTAGAGGAATCAAGCAAAGCTGAGAAGAATAATCTGCTGATAATACAATTTAAACTACTGCTCCTATGTGTTGTCAAATTATATGCTCGCTATTATTAGAAGCACTATTACCATAAGTTGAAAATGACTAGAAGCTGTGTTATAGACCAATATGCTGTTTCAACCTCTGTGTAGATTTGGTAAAAATTGCTTCAATCCTATGTGGAGCCCGTGGAATGGACTACATGATTTTGGAAAGTTTACTCCTGGCCCAAGCAGCCATTGCTCTTTTTACAATGATCAAGTTTGGAACCTAAAGAACAATCTGTGCATGAATGTTAGTCACTGGACTAGGGAAACCCAACTGTGTCCTAAGCCCCATTTACCCTTAGAAAGCTCTTATTATTTCCCACAGCTGCCTCCACACTGGTCTCAAAGACCCTGCCACTTTTTCAAATATTTAGCAGAAGCAACTCTTCAGACCTGTCCTTGTGTACCTAATGATGTAGCTGATACAAAGCTGAGACATTTGAGTAAGATTCTCTCAAAACCTCAGACATAACAGGAAGAAAAAAATACATTCTTATAGTAACATGACAGTAGATATTACTGCTAAATAGGTGTAATATAATATTCACATCTTAAGGACAAATTGAAATGATGTATAAGGAAGTATATTATTTATGAAGTACAAATTATGGCATGAATAGAGGCATAACATTCTAATTTTTGGCATGTTATACACTGTATGCCTTAAATTTCACTATGTGTTACCCATGACTAAAAATATGTGGGGGGTAAGCCCTAGTGATTAAAGAAATATGACTTAGCATGATACACTTATGGTTAGCTCATGAAACTTTGCACTTTTCTTTAAGATGAGAAAGTTTTCACTCCAGATTGTGGTATACAGAAAATACCATTATATGATTATTAATACCACAGGGGAAATGTGGAAATAACTTGAGAAAGAAAGCAGGGTAGGGGGGAGAGAGAAAAAAAAGAAGAAGAAGAAATTAATTCATAAGGCTTCTAGATTTGCTTCATAATTGAGGTATGTTATTAATTGAATTGTAGTTTGCAGTCATCCCTTATTACTGCTTTGGTTCATTTATTTCTGGTTCATTTCCTTGTCATAAATTCTAGAGCCCCAGAGGTACTACAAATGCGTTGCTGAATAGCATCTTGCCACCGTAACCTTTTATTTCACCACTTAAGGAATGTATTTTATGATGCTGGCTTATCTTGGATAACATCAAGTAATTCTGACATAATGCAGGCTCAATAGCACCCATTGAACTTTGTAGAATTCAGACAACTTCTTCCTGCCATTGGACACACCTTCTCCCTAAATCTACCACCTGCTCATTTTCTTTACCACCCCTCCTTGCCTTTCTTTGTCACCAACACTTTCCTCTGACATGCATATTCCTTGGAGACAATGAAACTTACAATGTTCAACCAGAAAGAGAATGCTTCCTTATTTCCTTCTTCTGTTCCTCCTTCCCTTCCCTCTTCCTTCCTTCTATCTATCCTTGCTGCCATGCTCTTCATGCAATAAACAGTGAGAACTTCATGCAACAAACAGTGATATGACAGATACTGTGATATGTCTAATAGATACAGATATAACCATGATACAGTCCCCCAACCATCCAGGATGTTGCACTCTGATGGATATGACAGACACTCCAACATGTTGTTACATGAAAGTGAGAAAATGTGTGAACATGGTGCTGTGGGTGCAGAGACACTGGACACACACCTGGAGAAAAGGGAGAACTGCTTCCCATGGTGTGGGACATTTGAGCCTGTAGAAAAGATGAGGCTAATGTGGAGACCGGAACAAGAGCATGGGAAGATCAACTGTACCAAGGAAACGAACTTCACCCTGTGGACAGAGTTCGGCAAACTAAGGCCCCCAGACCAAATCTGCATTCTGCCACCTATCTCTGTAAATAGTTTTATTGGAACGCAGCCATGCCCATTAGTTCATTATTGTCTATTGCTACTTTCATGCTACAATGGCAGAGGTTAGTTGACACAGAGACCATATGGCCCACAAAGCCTAAATCTTTCCTATCTGGCTTTTTACAGAAAAAAAAAAAAAAAAAATGCCAGCCCCTGCTGAAGAGCAATATTTTCAAACTGTTTTCCCCCACATCATGGCATATGAAGAAAATGATAACACCTGAACCGCAAGTTGAGTGAAACGGAGATTCTGTTGCTGGTCAGAGGCAACTAGACCCAGGACCTGAGCTACCTAGAGCCCTATCTGTAGGGCCTTGGGCTGGGATGAGGGTCAGAATTTCAGTATGTCAGCATCCATCTTTAGCACATTGGTTGGCAAAGAACTCTCTGATAAAATAAGAAGTCACTGGAGAATATTTTAATCAAGAATTTACATATGTAATGTTTTAACTAGAAAAAAAAAAGCACTGGAAAATACAAAAGTAACTTCCTTAGGGAAACCAGAAGTTTAAAGACGTTTAGTTCTAAGCAGCAAATTGACATCGATCAGGCAAAAAAAAAAATCTTTTATTTAACAAATTTTATCTAGAAGATACTCTGCTAGGTTCTGATGGGAAATAAAGACATAGGTCTAATCATGGATCTGGAGTCAACTTGGTAGAGCAGATTGTGTAGCTGAGTTCAAGCTCATACCACTCACCATACCACAGCCAGTAAGTCAAGAGACAAGGTGTTGAGGCTAAGAAAGTTACTTTATTCAAGAGCCAGCTGTTGTAGGAAGTCAGGGACCCCGAACGGAGGGACCGGCTGGAGCCATGGCAGAGGAACATAAATTGTGAAGATTTCATTTTAATATGGACATCTATCAGTTCCCAAATAATACTTTTATAATTTCTTACACCTGTAAGAAATTACAGATTAATCTCTTAATCCTGTTATCTTTGTAAGCTGAGGATGTACGTCACCTCAGGACCACTGTGATAATTGTGTTAACTGTACAAATTGATGGTTAAACATGTGTGTTTGAACAATAGGAAATCATTGCACTTTGAAAAAGAACAGAATAACAGCAATTTTTAGGGAATAAGGGAAGACAACCATGAGGTCTGACTGCCTGCGGGTTTGGGCAAAGAGAGCCAAATTTTTCTTCTTACAGAGAGCCTATAAATGGACGTGCAAGTAGGGAAGATATCGCTAAATTCTTTTTCTAGCAAGGAATATTAATATTAATACCCTGGGAAAGCAATGCATTCCTGAGGGGAGGTCTATAAACAGCCGCTCTGGGAGTGTCTGTCTTATGCTCTTGAGATAAGGACTGAGATACGCCCTGGTCTCCTGCAGAACCCTCAGGCTTATTAGGGTAGGGAAAAACTCTGCCCTGGTAAATTCGTGGTCAGACCAGTTCTCTGCTCTTGAACCCTGTTTTCTGTTGTTTAAGATGTTTATCAAGACAATACATGCAAGTTGAACATAGGCCCTTATCAGTAGTTCTGCTTTGCCTTTGTCCTGTTCCCTCAGAATCATGTGATTTTTGTGCTGATTTTTGGCCTTTGAAGCATGTGATCTTTGTACCTACTCTCTGTTTTACACCCCCTCCCCTTTTGAAACCCTTAATAAAAAACTTGCTGGTTTGAACCTCAGGTGGGCATCATGGTCCTACCGATATGTGATGTCACCCCCGGCGGCCCAGCTGTAAAATTCCTCTCTTTGTACTCTTTCTCTTTATTTCTCAGCTGGCTGACACTTATGGAAAATAGAAAGAACCTATGTTAAAATATTGGGGGCAGATTCCCCCGATACCAGCAAACCAAGAAGATGGCAGATGAGTGTCCTAAAGAGCTGTCTTAACACAAATTTTAGGCTCCTTCTAGGTTAGGGGAAGCAGGGGAAGGGAAGGGGTTGAGGTTAAAAGGTGACCAATGACCAGAGACATCTGGGCAGCAGTAAGGATCCAGGGGGTTGAGAAACTTCTTTGTCCTTGGTCAGGTCACATTGCTCCTATAGATATTTAATGTAACATTGTTACTTGTGTGTACATCCTCCTTATCTCCTTGGGAGCTAGTTTGGGGAAGGGACTATTATTATCCTCACTGCAAACTATAAACTAAATTCCTCCCATAGTTAGCTTAACCTACGTGCAGAAATAAGCAAAAGTAACTAACCAAAAGAGATCACCACAGAGGGTTGGGGGGTAGGAGAAAGATGGAGTTAGTCATGCTAAGCCTCCTTTTCACTGTTATAATTATTCTGGAGAAGAAGTGTGATTAGACACACATGGTGGTATCAGCAAGGGGCCAGATTGCTTCTAAGTATCTTAGTATACGCTTTCCTCATAGGACTGGAAAGAAGGGCACCCTTTGTCTGCCCCTGGTTTACTCTGGAGCAGAGGAGAGCTGGTGGCAGCTGTGGCAGCCTTCTGTGACTGAATGCCCTGGATTGAGATAGAGCCCAGAGTCCTAGAAATGCAGGAGCTGCCTCCTGCTTACAAACAATAGGCGTATAGGACATGACTTCCTCATTGCCAGGCAAAGCTAGCTGCTCCTCTTCCTGATGTGATGCACCACCCATCCTGTTGCCAGAAATTCTGTTATTAGAGGCTCTAGCTTTAAGAATGTCTTATTGAATTGTAAACACCTCTCCCTCCAGAAGTGACTAAGCCTCTTTTATCTAACATCTTATTGAAGCTTCCTTTACTCATGAAAGATTTATTGAGCACTTTCATGATTCCAGGTGTTGGGCTAAGCCCTGGGGACACAGAGACAAATTCAACAGCCCCAGCTTAGTGGAGAAATAGCTTCACCAGGCTCTGTAGGAATAAGACCCAGGACAGCTACAGGAGTTGGGGGGTGGGGGTGATGCATGTGCATGTGTTGGGAGGATGTTGGGGAGATGACAAGGACTTTAGAAGAGGAACAGAGGCAGGTGCAGAAAGATAATGTGACAACTTTTAGCCACTTCACACATTTAGCCTCAGGCTGTCCTTGTAAGACAATTTCTTTTGATAACACAGGAGAAGCGGTACCATCCAAGCCTCATGTGTCTGCATGAAGTATTTACATATTTCTTTTCATTTTATTCTCAGATGGCCACTTGCTAATTTTCCATTTAAAGGACCTGCTCATTTGGAGAGCAAACCAGGAAAGCAACAGACACAAGAAACAGGTGCTTATCAGAACCAACTGATGCACAAAGCTAAACTGGCATTTTGATTGATAGCTGCCATGCTCCTCAGTGACACAATGGCCTTGGAGATACCCTTCTTCCTCCATCAGATGACCTATGACTGTCTTTGATCCTTTTCACCTTTCCCTACTCCTGGTTTCAGGATGATCAAACTAAGCTGGCCCCCAAAAAAATAACTTCTCAAAGGATAATATTCCAGTAAGTTTTTTGAACAACCATTCAGAGACCTCAAAAATAATGTGTCAAATAATCTAGGGCGCACTTTTTTCAAGTCTTTTCAACTTCATCTGTTTTCATTCTTTCTTCACTGTCACGAGGCACGTAAGATGCATTTTGATTGCCAGCCCATTTCTTTGTTGGGAGTAAATCTGGTGTCACATTCCTAGCAGGTGTGGGCCATTAAGACTAGATTGTATTCAGAATTATTTACCTGATAAATGACTTACATCATACCCTAGCAATATAGCCAGTCCTTTATATAATTGCATGGTTACAAAGGGAGCAATTTAAAGTCTTTGCCAGCATGGGAGATCATCCAGTTCAACGACTAAAGTTATTCTATTAATAAGGCAAAGAGTGAAGCTTGGAAATGTCATCTGGTCTTAAGCCTTAGCAGATATGATCACATCTGATTAATCCGATGTGGTACATTGTCCTATGCTCAAATGCTGATAGAAAATTGTGATGGCATTTACTTGTTTTGCAAATTGTTCTTGAGATATTGCTACTCTCTGGGGAAAATTCACTGAACACTCATTTCTCAGAACTTGCTTCTAAAATATTCGAGTCAATTCAACCCATACTCTGGAGGAAACTTCTATGTTATGTGCCGGGTATTGGACTAGCCACTTGGAAGCCAGCGGTGAGCAAAATACTCCTACTTCCTACCTTCAGGAAGTGCAGAAAAAAAGAATGGGAAGTCTGATAGAACTGCTATACAGAGGTTGCTGAATATTCTGTTTGTGTCCCCTCCCCTCTGATCCTCTCTCTACCTTTTCCAACCCTCCCTGCCCCTGAATGCTGACCTATGTCGATATTGCCATGGTTAATTTTATGCATCAACTTAGATAAGAATGGTTGCCAGTTGTTTGGTCAAATACCGTCTAGATGTTGCGATTGGTGAAGGTAGTTTTTTAGATGTGATTAACATTTCAAATAGTAGACTTTTAGCAAAACAGATTACCTTTGATAATGTGGGTGGCTTCATTCAATCAGGTGAAGGCCTAAGGGAAAAGACCAGAATACCCCAAGAAGGAAGGAATTCTGCCTTAAGATTACCTTTAGACTCAACACTGCAACCAGATTGACAGGCTGCAGACTTCAGACTTACCAGTCCCCACAATCACATCAGCCAATTCCTTGAAATCTCTCTCTCTCTCTCTCTCTCTCTCTCTCTCTCTCTATATATATATATATATATATATATATATATATATATATATATACACACACACACACACACATATATATATACACACACACAACACACACACACACACACACACACACACACACACACACCATTGGCTCAGTTTCTCTAAAGAATCCTGAATAACACAGGCCGTATTCATAGGCTCCCTTTTCTCTGGCTTTAGATTTGATCAATAGAAGGTGCAGAAAGGAGCTAAGAGAGGAAGGAGAAGGTCCCCTCTTGTGGGGCCATGGGTTAGCAATGACTGCATCCCTCCTGCTCAAGGCTGTGGCACCTGTCCAATTGTCCTTTCTTATGCTAATGTTATAGGTCTCCCTCTGTGTACTGGTATCCACTCTGTCCTCTTACCCTTCAGTCCCAGGGTAAGTGACAGTTCCTAATATTGTTTATTAGGATGTCTACCATACCTAGTTGATATTCTTTAATCCTGCCTGTGTCTATGTAAATAGTTATTCCACCTAAGTTCTCTTAAATGTGTCCATTTGAATGTGCCAGCTATTTCCCATTGAGACTGTGATTCTGGTTCAAAAACTTTCAGCAAAACACCCTATCTTCTACTTCAATCAAAAATAGTTTGAGAATACATAGGATACTTGGATAGAATGAGTGGATCACTTTTTCACGGTGTCTATGAATTATTTAGGCGGAGGGGTAAATTCTCTTCAGTGTGACCTGAACTTGTTTACAAAGATTTTTTTTTTTATTTTTAGAGCTGAAGGGCAATTGATTAAACATCTAGTTCAGCCCTGATCCAATCCTATTTTCACACTGAAGAAACTAAACGCAAAGAGAGGAAGAGACTGCACAGGATTACACCAGTAGCAATAGAACTGATTCTAGAACCCAGGGGAATTTAAAATTGTTAAGGTGGAATTTTATGACTCAGACCATGATTTTAAAAGTATCTTAGATAAGGAGAATTGTTCTGAACAAACTATAAAACAAATTATTTAAAAGTTATTCTGAAAATTAAAAAGAAAAAGTCCCACAGAAGAGCTCCTGCTCACTGGATAAGCCAGCATTGCACTTTATCCTCAATTTGCTCTAGTTATGGGTATTTACTCTCCAAAGCATTGGTGGAATACATTAGAAGCATATATTTATCTGCATAAACACTTATGACTCTACCTAAATGCAGAGGTCTTTTCTTACTATGATAAATTCTATCGATAGATAATGCAACTATGCCTTTGATGGCAGTCAAGGATTAATGAATTAGTAAAATCACCCAACCGGTTTCCATCTGAGCAAAGATCTGTGCCTTTGCTTGCTTTAATATTGTTTATCAGTATCAGAGGCTATCTTAACATTTGTAATGGCCCCATTTCTGATAAATTGGATAAGCCTATCAAAATAAAAATTTATTTATAAATACAGATCTTAATATATCAATAATAGTTTACATTTGGACAATTATCCCCCATCAGTGTTTTTAGGACTTTGGAGTAAACACATATGAAACTATATCATAGTCAAGAACCAAAAGTAGACTTTGTAGGCTTATAAAAAATGTGTCCAAAGGAACTTAGCAGCTACCCACACTCAATTCTCATAAGCCACTGAACAGCTGACAGGCATCCCTGAGATATTTCTAACTAGCTTGCCTGGATCCAACCCACTGAAGGTGAAGCTGCTGTGCTCCACTTGCTAATCTCCTGAACCTTGCAGCTCTCCCATACTATGGAAGAGAGGTCCTTTTCTGGCTTCCCGCAGGCTCCAGGGGGAAAAAGAGTTCATTTAGGTTTAGAAAGGCTGGGAATCCACCCGAGCCCCAACACCACAGCAGGCTGTCCCCAGCCAAGGGCTCAGTCATCAGTTCAGCATTTAAGTGCTTCTTGGAAAAGGAGCAGAAGCTCTACCTGAGCTGGTAATATTGCCTCTTCTCCTTCCTTCCCACCTCCAGGACCCTACCATTCCCGCCACACACTTTTAAAATATAGATGAAAATTTTGTGATTCTATTTTTAGTTAAACTATATTTTGTCAGCTCCAATGTGGTTTTCTCCCAGACATCAGTGTGGAGGTGCTTGTGATTTATCATCAGAGTCACAGGAGAGCAGGAACATGAGTTTCTGAAGCACACCCTCTTCATCGCAATATTTTTTTTCCTGGGAAGAAAACACACGTTCATTTAACATACGGGAAACAGGCCTTCCCCTTGGCATTTTTATCCTCAGACTCCACAGGAAATCTACCACCATAGGAACATGATTTGCCTGGATTGTGCAAAGCCCAACAGGTGTTCTAGAAGGGCAAAATCCTGTGCAGTTTCAAATGTTGTCAATGAGCCAAGAAGGAAGGGAGGGAAGGAGGGAGGAAGGGAGGGAAGGAGGGAGGAAGAGAGGAAGAAAAGGAGGAAGGAAGCTCACATTTCCATACACTGCATTTATCCAACCTTTATCAGATTAATTGACCTCTAGGTCAGGGTCCACCATATTGAAGGGTGACGGAGTTAACATGTTTTTGTTGTGTGCTGAGTCGTTTACATAGTTTTTAATAAAAATATTAGCTTACCCTTCTTAAGCTCGTACGTCAGGCATTAAGGAAAGCATTTTCTGTGATTTCACTCATTTAATGCTTATAACCATCCAGAAACTATTTTTATTCCTGTTTAAAGAGGGGAAAACTGATGCCATCCTAGGACTTCAGTCAGTGCCTGAGCTGAAATTTGTACATAGAGCACTGCAAAATCTATCCTCTTTAATTTTTAAAATTCCTCACTCACTTAAAGTTTAAGTCTGTTTTAAAACTAGAAAACTGAGATTAGATGTACTTACATAACTTGTCCAAAACTGGGCTTCTATTTAGTGGTGGGCTTTGATGCCTAAAGCCCAAGTTCCATCCACAGCGCCTTCTTACCTCTTGGCTTCTGACTGAAATCAACATGTTTATAGTGTTAACAAAAGACCATGAGATCTGTGAAGGAAAAAGGGAGAGCTTTATTTTCTTAAAACAAAACAATATCTAAAGATAGGGAAGACACAGCCTTTGGTGTAAAATGGAAGTGCACTCTGAAGAGGGGAGAGGATGAACTGGCATTTATGTCTTTCAGGGGCCATCTTAGACGTGTATTTAGCAGGTTTGGAGGAAGTCTATGAATATTTATGGGGGAAGTCAACCCCTGTGGCAGTAGGCAAACATACATAACAGAAATATTGTGCTTATTTTTGGGTGGAGTTTTAACATTAAAGTAAGGTGAAATTTTATGTCAAAATGTGAACTAAAGAGCATAAAGAAGTTTGCACATTCTCCATGAGCTGGCTGAAACTGGGTTGAAGTTCGTGGCTGTTTATCAGGCAAGAATGTTTGTAAGGTCAGTCTCCTATCCAGTTGGAGTTGCTAGTGGGGCCACAAGGAGGGGTGGGGGCAGTTCAGTTGGCTGGAGCTGGGTGGTCCACCCAGGTCAGTTGGGAAACTCCCAGTTGTAGCTGTTTTGAAGGTGTTTTTAAGAACTAGTATTTGTTCAAGTACAGGAAAGAAGACCTTATGGCAGCTGGTAATATAGGGGTACCTGATTAACTCTTCTCCTTGCTGTGGGCATTTGAATCCATTTCTGGTGTGTCTCATTTTAGCCACAGGGTGTTCATTTGGTCTGTCAGCTGGGGTATATTTTAACAATAATAATCTAAACAGTGCTGGGTAGGTGGAGCCTTTGAATCGCAATTTCTCTGCCTAGCCCCTAGCCCACTGCCACTCTTATGCAATAGTGTTCTCAGGAACTGGACTTCACCCTCACCAACACAGCTCTCACATGGCCACCATCTCCCTGCCTGTGTTCCTGCTAGTAGCCACACTGCAGCCTGATTACCAGGATCCAAGAAGGGAAACTTCCATTAGTAATTCAGCATTTTTGCCCTACAGTAAAACTTCAGACATATAGCATTCTTGGCATTTGTTATGCATTCATTCTGCAAACATTTATTAGTATTCCAACATGAACGATGAATGCTGTTTTTAGAGATGTGCATACTTCAGTGAGAGTCCTTATCCACAAAAATCTTAATATTGATATGGACAGGAGGCAGGGAAGTATTGGGTAGAAGAGGGCAGTTCCCCAGCAAAGGCCCCACCCTCAAGCCTGGAAACACATGGCCTTAAATGAGAACAGGCATTCCTGTTTTCATGCCCGAATGTTGCCTTTTGGCCCACCACAGCCCCCAGTCGTGTGCTTGTATAAACCCCAAATCCCAGGCTCCATAAGCAGAAGAGCAGCAAAGCAGCAGAGCAGCAGAGTGGCATGGTAGAGAAGGAGAGAAGAGAAGATGCATCTGAACTTTTAGAGGAGTTCAGCTGGGGATGGTCAGAGAGGAGATCAGCTGCAGGATGGCTGAACTCCAGGGGAAGATCATCTCCCCACTCTATCCCCTCTGTAGCTCCCCATCCCACTGAGAGCCACCTCCATCACTCAATAAAATCCCCATATTCACCATCCTTCAAGTCTGTGTGACCTGATTCTTCCTGGATGCCAGACAAGAATTCAGGGCACACTGGGTGCAGGAACCCAAAAAGGCTGTCACACTGACTCTTCACTGAGCTGTTTAACACTTAAGTTGTCCCCAGACAGCAGGGCTAAAAAAGCATTGTAACACCCCTAGGCACTGCCATAGGGTCAGACCCCAAAAGCACTCGCCTTGGCTCCTACACCTGCTCATCTGCATGCTCCCCTCCCATAAGAGGTTTGAGCACGTGGAGGCCAAATAAATGAGCCACACCCCTGTTGCACATCTCACAAGGGGTTCAGGGAATTCTCCCGTTTCAATATCTATTGTGGAAATAGATATGTCAATCAAACATTTATGAATAAATTCCCTAGGGCCTTTAAGTTAAATTGAGATGCTATTAGTAGACCAAAAAGAAGTACCTATGATTTCTTAGGGAGTCCCAAAGGAGCTAGCAACTGACCTGAGTCTTGAAAGAAAAGTAAGTGTTTGCCAGGCCTAAAAGCTGGCACACCATGCAGAAGCCCTAGCATGAACAAAGGAAAAGTGGGCAAAGAGCACAGTAGATTCTGGAAACTCCACATAGTTCCATGATGGGAATAGAGGTGTAGGAAGAGTGGGAGATTTTGTTATGTAAAAAGTTTTGCACCATATTTTATAGGCCTCTGAGTCCTGAAAGAATCTAAGCTCCTGGTTGCAGCTCAAGCTAAATCCATGGCTAGGCTGGTTTAAGGGCTTGACGTTGGCTCCACTAGATTGAATGCTCAGTTGTCATGTCCACTTCATCTCCCTCAGATCTAAGCTGATGGAATGGGACCAGACTTTCTGTGACCTCCTGTCCTTCCAATATGGTTAGAACATCTCCAGCCAATGTGCTCACAGTCTCCCTGGCTCTGTGCTCCTCTCTCTTCCCTCCTCCCAGCAAAGCTTTGAATCTAAGATAAAACCACCTTCTGCCTTAGTGAATAATTGCAATAATAATGGTATTTGTAAGAGCTTTTTGTCTCTCTCTCCTCTTCTGTCCTGCGGAGGCCTCAGGGGACTGATAAACTCAGCAAATGTTACATGATGTGAAAACTAAATCACACATCCAAAAGCTTCCTAATGCATTTACTTTGGAAGGGAACACTACCCAGAAAGCAGAAATCAAAATGCCAAGAGGTAGAGAAAACAATATTCCAATCATTGCCTTTCTGATATCCAAAGCCAAAGGAAATCCAAGAGGACCAGGAATACCTGAAGTTAACAAAAATCATAATACATTCACAGAAAGCTGATCATCACACAGGTGAGAATATGAACAAGAATAACCGTTTACATTTGCAGAGCAGCATAGGACTCAACTTTTCCCCAAAAGCTTTCATAACTGTCATCTCAGTTGAGACTCACATCTGTCATGTAAAGGATGGATGCTCAGAGAAACTGGGGGCCAGGTGTTTGAATAACTCCCATGGCCATGTGACTCACAGGTGGTAAAGCCTGGAGAGAATCCAGGGCCTCTGTCTATGGTCAGTATTTACATAATAAGCTGAATTTGACTTTTTTTCCTGGAAGAAATTTATATTATTTCACAAATATATGTTAGCATTGATTATGTACCATTCCACATTCTAAATACTTAAAGATATTGACTCATTTAACGTTGATACTAACCCTGGAGGCACAGAGGAACTAAGTAACTTGCCAAAGTTGCCACAGCTGATAAATAATAGGGCCAGGATTTGAACCCCTGATGTCTGATTCCAGAGATAGGGCTCTTAACCATCACATGCTGCTGCTGCCCTAATTTCATTGATACATTCTGTTCATACCTATACATTTAAAACAAAGAAAAATCATTCATCTCTGATCTATATCTACTGACTTTCTAAAGACTGATTGACTTTTTAGAAGCTCACTCTTTAAATTTCTTTGAAGTCAGTGCATATCATTGTTGTAAACTGGGGGTTCTAATATCTGGCACCTGGAGGTCTTCTTAAAGCCCTTTCAGGGGATCCCTGAGATTAAAATCAATTTTATAGTAATAGTAAGACATTATTTGCCCTTTTCACTCTCATTCTGTCACAAGTGTGCAGTGGAGTTTTCAGAGGTTACCTAATGTGTAATATTGCAGTGGATTAAATGCAGAAGCAAGTATAATATAGCCCTTGTCTGTTAAGCCAACATTAACTTGCAATGGTATAAGACAATCCCAGTCTTCTCATTAAATTGTTTTATTTAGAAAAGCAATTATTCTTTATTAAAAATATTCCAACATGTAATGGGCTTATTATTGTCATTTTAAAATAAGTTAAATATTTTAAATTTTCCATTTTTAATTTCTAGTAAGTAATTATCGAAGGCTATAACTCACACAAACAATAGCTATTTGGGGTCCCCAGTGACTTAAAGAGTGCATAGGGAGGGCTCCTGGAACCAAACTTTGAGAATTCTTGTCTTAAACTATTTTAAATCTAGCATAGAACCTAGCAATGATGAGCTCTAAGGTAGAGTCCCAGAGATGCTAAATATTGTAACATATTGGAAGTGACTTCTTCAATGTCATGTCCACTCCTACTCAATTCTTTATTAATAAGTCAGAAAACTAAGGCTCGGATTGAACATTTTAGTTTAAAACTGGTTCTAGAACCCATATTTTCACTGTAAATTAAACTGAATTTTTCTCAAACTTTTGTTGAACAAGCTTGAAGACAGAATGGGAAATTAAAAATAATGATAGATATAATGCCACATATTGATAGTATTTTAGAGTTTTCAAAGTGCTTTCATGCTCATAAACTCTGGGAAATCTTGCACTTGCAATGTGTGATTCGTAGGCAGGGTAGATATCCCCATTTTTATAAATTTAATTTTTATCAAATAAATATGAGTATTTAACTTTGAAAGTTAAATAGTGCTATAAGAGTTACAGCTAAGATCAGTGATCCTCTGTCTCACCTGTGCTTACCCTAGAACTCTTATTCTCTAGGAACAACCACTTTTATGTGCTTGAGTTTTTTCTTGTATTTTGTATTATTTCCAGCTATGTTTCTAAACTAATATGCTTATGCTTCTATTTCTTGAGTACTTTATTTGCTGTTTTTTGACTTTAAATTATGAAAAATAAGAATTAGCACTTGTTTGGCTCCCCTATTGCTTTATAAAAATCGGTCCCAAAACAAAAGCTTAAAACAACAATCAATTATTACCACTTCTCACAGTTGTGTGGTTCAACTAGGTGCAGCTAGACATGTCTAGCTGTCTCAGGGTTCTTTGTGTGGCAGTGGTCAGACAGTGGCTGAGTCTGGAATCTTCTTCAAGACTTCTGCACTCACATATCTAATGTCTGGACTGTGATGACTCAGATGACTGAGTACTGAAACAGCTGAAACCTGTGGGCATATATGTGGTCTTTCTCTGCGTGGTATCTCCAGCACTGTGGTCTCAGGGTAAACAAATTTCTTATATGACAGATGAGACTCTAAAAGCGGGAGTTCCAGGAGAAAAATACATAAGTTGCAAGGCCTTTGCTAGCCTAGCCTCAATAGTCACTTAGTGTCAGCAACAACTAGGTCCGAAGCTTAGTCTAGGTTCACCAGAAGTAAAACTGGACTCCATCTCTTGATGGGAGATTGACAAGGTCACATTAGAAAAGAGCATATGGATGGGAAACACTGATAGGGCCACTTACGGAAAATACAATCTGCCACGGCACTCTTTGTTCAACTTGTACTTCCACACTTCCCTTTCTCCCTCTTCTCAATGTTCAGTGTTTACATCCTTATTACCTTGTAAATATTTTACATATTGTATATTATGCTGAGCCACATAATATGCAATGACAACATCACTTTTCTTTTACATAGTTTTATTTTTCTGGAAGTTAGGGATTGTACCTTCTCTCTCTCTCTTTTTTACTTTATTTTTTGCTTAATTTCTGTGTGTTTCTATCACTAATTCTTTACCAAATCTTCAACAGAACTGTAAAAATCACCACATCAGGAAATCTAACTACTATGTTTTGATATGATTTGTTTGGCCCTGCCAATTCTCATGTTGAAATTTGATGCACATTGTTGGAGGTGGGGCCTGGTGGGAGGTGTTTGGATCATGGGCGTGAATCCCTCACAAATGGCTCAGTGCCATTCTTATGGGAGTGAGTGAGTTCTCACTCTCAGTTCCCTAGGGAGCTGGTTGCTGAAAAGAGTCTGGCACCTCCTCCTCTCTTTCTTGCTTCCTCTCTTGCCACGTGATCTCTGTACATACTGGCTCCCCTTTTCTTTCCTCCATGAGCAGAACCAACCTGAGTTCATCACTAGAATCAAAAGCAATGGAAACATGCTTCTTGTACAGCCTGCAGAACGGTTAACCAAATAAACTTCTTTTCCTTGTAATTTACCGAGCCTCAGATATTCCATTATAGCAACACAAATAGATTGAAACACTAACATATCCACTTTTTTTCTTTCTAGAAATTCTTCCTGAAGGCTTTGTCGTCCTGATCCAATGTGTACCATCTAAGCAGGCTACTCTCTCTCCTTTATAACCAGGTGTCTTTAGAATAACTTCCTTTAGTCATTAGCTTTTTTACTTTCTCTGTGTTGAATCCTCTGTTTAATGGATTTTATTTTTTTCCTCCTTATTAATTTATTTATTGAACAATGGTTCTGTCAGCTTGATGAGAAAAAATGTGTGAAGATGAGGTAAAAATTTTGAAGACCTTACTTATATGAAAATGAATTTATTCCACATTTACACTCACTTATCTAGATATAGAATCCCAGGTTGGAAAGAACTTTTCTTCCACATTTTGAAGACATTATTTCATTATTTTGTAGTTTCAATGCATTGTTGAAAAGTCTAGTGTTAATCTGATCCACAATCTGGTCACACAATCATTTGTGAGTCCCTTCCTTTCCTTAGTTCTATGTGGAAATTACATGATGATGGAAGTTCTTCCTCATTGTGCTGGACATGCAGTGGGCCCTTTTGATATGAAGTCATACTTGATATTATCTCTTGATAGCCACCCCCGACCACCATCATTTTATTTACTGTTTATTTTTAAAAATTCTGCTAGTCAGATATTGCGCCTTCTTTCTTGTTCTTCCAATTTTTTCCTTCTTGCTTTCCACCTCTTTGTGCTTTACCCCTAGTTTCCAGGAGATTTTTAGTTTCCAGAAGATTTTATCAAATTCTGTGTTTCATTTTTCTATTTATCTCTTTGAAATTCATACCATCATGTTCTGTTTTTAATTTTCTAAAAGCTCTTTCTATTTTCAGTACCAATTTATAGCATTCTTTTCTCAATTAATGGAGACAATACTTTCTCAGAAGAATATTATGAATGGGTTTTAAACGACTTTAGTTGTTTTTCTTATCTTTTTTCTCTCTGTTTATTTTGTTTATTTCATATTGGAAGTTTTCTTCAAATATCCAGGATGCTTAGTGTTTCATTTATATTTAATAATGGGGCACTAATAGTTTATTGCTACTCTATTGGTGATTAAGGAGAAATCAGGCTGTTTTGGGTAAACTATCTGAATGATGACATCTGTTGGTCTTTTCTCCTTGGCCAATAAAGAAAAACTGAAAGTTATAAACTTGGTAGGTAGCATTTGGGCACAGAGAAGGGGAGATGAGGTAAGAAACTTAATGACTTTTTTAGACTTTTACATAATCCTTTGGTTTTTAGCACTTTGCTGCTGCCCCTTAGTGTTTTTGGTGCTCCAAGAATACAGTCCCTCCAGTTACATTTCTCCAGAGGAGAAGCCACTCCTCTTTTTCCAGGTGGAAGAGCAGTAGCTAACTGACTACATGGCATGTGGGATGAGGTTGGAAAGATTTGCCTGCTCCTTATACAACTTGGAGCTGATTTTTCTGTTCTTAGCACCACCACTCACCTTCACCTTCCAGAAATTGATCATTCCAGTTCCAGTGGGATGAGAATGTACCTGCATCCTGTTGGTGCCCCATCCACATTTGTTTAGGTTTCAGCTGATTCTACACTGCTAAATTAGAGGCTGCACATTCACATGCTTCTCTTTCTCTAGATATTTGCTTCCATATCAATCCTGCTGTACTTCTTCCATTTTATTTGTCTTTGTGGGCTTATGCTTTATTTATTTATTTATTTATATGTAAGTTGGCCCTCTCTACCCAAAGATTCCACATCAGTGGATGCAACCAACTATGGTTGAAAAATATTTGGAAGAAAATCCACAAAGTTTCACAAGCAAAACTTGAATTTGCCACGCTCTGAGTACTATGTTGAACCCACTTGAATGCAGCAATGTGTAGGCACTGTGTTAGGTATTATAAGTAACCTAGGGGTGATTTAAGTACACAGGAGGATGTGCATAGTTTATAAGGAAATACTACACCATTATATATAAGGGAATTGAGCATCCTCAAATTCTAGTATTCAAGGGGGTCCTGGAATCAATCCCCTATGTATATCGAGGGGCTCAGAGGGTTTAGAAGTTAATGAGGGCATGTGTTTATTCTTCTGGAATATTTAGTTATAAATTCTGTTTCCCCTTCTTTTATCTGATATAAAGAATCATTTTTCCAAAGTCATAAAGATAGTAACCGGTCAAGTAGGTCCCAGAGACTGATATTCTGTTTCATTCAGAATAAGGGCAACATCCATAGTCATATGGAATCACATTCCAGTTACAGATTTTATATTTTGCATTTCTAAGGATCATGTGCAAATTTAATTCTTTCTTGCAGAAATGTACCCCAGGTTGACAAATTATAATACCCCACTTGATATCATCAATACAAAAGGCTTATGTACCTTGAGAAATGATACTAAAGACTTAGCTTTATTTTTTATTTCCATATGTTCCAGAATTAGTTGATGGAAATCTCTCAGCATCATAGTCCAGACTTACCTGTGATGAAAACAATGTGTCAGGCAAGTGCCTATTTCAATTAATTAGTGCTTTCCAGGTACTATGCTACTACTTTAAAAAAATTTTTTTTCAGGGTTTTTTAAGGAAATAGTGTTTCACTCTGTTTCCCAGGCTAGGGTGAAGTGGCATGATGATAGGTTACTGTAGTTTTGAACTCCTGGGCTCCAGCAATCCTCCCATCTCAGACTCCTGAGTAACTAGGACTACAGGCATGTGCACCACACTCAGCTAATTATTTTTTATTTTTTGAAAAGACATGGTCTCACTATGCCGACTAGGCTGGTCAATATTTAGAACTCCTGGCCTCAAGCAATCCTCCTGCCACAGTCTCCCAAAGCACTGGGATTATAAGTATGAACCACCTCACCTGGCCTACTACTTCTTTTGTATTTATTTTGGAAGGGTATTTTTTATCTTTTGCTTTTCTATGCTTGGTTTTTGTTTTTCCCTTGACTTATTCTTCAGATCAAATACATAGTTGTTTTTTAATAAGAAAATAAATTTATTTGGCTCATGGTTCTGGAGGCTGGGAAGTCCGAGAACAGGGCGCCAGCATTTAGTGAGAGTCTTCATGCTGTTTAATGTTTAATACAACTGGAAATAGTTTTAAATTACATCAATTAAATGCCCAGCAGTTCTAAGTAGAGATAAGAATTTGCTTGAATGAAAAAAGTCACAGAGCTTGCACCTAAGTTATACTCTCATGAAACCAGGATGACAGCTAGTCAAACTAATGGGAAGATTTCTTTCAGAAAAGGGTTGCTATTGTTTTTGAGTCTGATAAATACCATTCTGGAAGAGCCAGATGATGTAATATGAAAGGCTATAGACAACACCAGCTTTAAGGGATAGGAAATATAGTATTTACAAAAGATTTTCCTACCAATGACTAGCAATAATCCAGCAGCTGAGTTGTAGCCACATAGCCAATTTGCCGTTGGTTCTATTTAATAATGTTCATTTGATAATATAATTATTTATTTACTAAGCAGAAATTATCTAGCTGAGAAGTGGGAAAGAAAGAGGCACGAAATCAAGCATATTCATGTTTTATTTAACAATGAGGATACATTCTGAGAAATGCATCGTTAGGTAATTTCGTCATTGTGCAATCATTATAGGGTGTATCTACACAAACCTAGATGGTATAGCCTAATACACACCTAGACTAGATGGTACAACCTATTGCTTCTAAGCTGCAAATCTATATAACATGTTACTGAATTTAATATTGCAGGCATTTGGAATACAATGGTATTTGTGTATCTAAACATGTCTAAATATAAAAAAGGTACAGAAAAATACAGTATAAAAGATAAAAAAATGTATACACCTATATGGAGCACTTACCATGAATAAATATTGCAGGACTGGAGTTTCTCTGGTGAGTCAATGAGTGAGTTGTGAATGAATGTGAAGGTGTAGGACATTACTGTCACTACTGTAGACATTATAAACACTGTACACTTAGGTTACACTGAATTTATTTTTAAAATAAAGTAATTGCACTACTCTGTCACTAAGTGATAGAAATTTTTCAGCTCCACTGTCATCTTATGGAACTATTATACATGTGGTCCATTGTTGACCAAAACATTGTTATGGGTTGCATGACTAGATTATCCTCTCTGAATACTGACTTTGTTATTAGTTTTAAAAACTGGTTTTATTGAAGCATACCATACAATAAAGTACACTAGTTCTAAGTGCACAGCTCAGTGAACTTTTCATGCGTGTATGCCTGAGCAACCACTATGCTGTCAAGACAGAGAACCCCAGGAAGTTACCACATGTCCCTTTCCAGTCAATACCTCACTCAGGTGTGATTACTGTTATGACTTATAAATCTGTAACTTAACTTTGTCTACTCTTGAACTTTATGAAAATATAATCATATAGTTTGTACTCTTTTGTTTCTGGCTTCTTTCACTCTCACATTATATCTATGAAATTGATCCATTTTATTACGGGTAGTTGCAGTCTTTCTTCTCGTTGTTTTTTCCTTGTTCCATTATAAGAATATTTCACAATTTATTTTTCCATTCCAATTGATGGAGATTTGGGTTGTTTCCAGTTGGGGCTGTTGTGAATAAATATACTATGAACATTGTTACACATGGATTTTTGTGGGTGTGTGAACTCATCTCTTTTGGGCATATATCTAAGAGTAGAAATGCTGGGTCATAGGTCAAGAGATTGAGACCATCCTGGCCAACATGGTGAAACCCCATCTCTACTAAAAATACAAAAATTAGCCAGGCGTGGTAGCAGGCACCTGTAGTCCCAGCTACTCGGGAGGCTGAGGCAGGAGAATCGCTTGAACCCAGGAGGCGGAGGTTGCAGTGAGCGGAGATCGCGCCACTGCACTCCAGCCTGGCAACAGAGCAAGACTCTGTCTCAAAAAATAATAATAATAAAAATAAAAAAATAAAAGAAATGCTAGGTCATAGGTTATGTATATATTTAGTTTTAATAGATACTGTTATATCATTTTCCAAATGCAATTGCTATGCTCTTCACATCTAACTATTCGTAAATTCCTAAATCAACTGACGTTGCTCCATAAAATTTAAACTGAGACCAATTGACTGAAATGTCTGAATTTAGGGATTATTGTAGAACAAATCTTCCATAAGGTGCCATTCACTCTGACCGCTAACATTACTTCTAATGCTTCCTACGTGACTGGTAGGGCTTTTTCTAAGTTCTGGCACTTTCTATTCCCTCTTAAGCCATTTTCAATTTTGCTGTTAATTCCCTGAAGGATGCTTGAACACTTTCACTTTATGCTTTTTATAGAAGTGCCTTTTGAGACTGACTCACAGTCATCAAATCTAAATCACTCTTTCTTAACAAGCAGTTTCTTATTTACTTGGTCACCAAGGCAAATTTTTAAGTTGATTCAATTACTTGAAAGAATACAGAAGAAATTGTAATGAATTGCCCAAATGAGAGTATGTAACTCAGGTTCACAGAGTCTCATCACTCTCAATAGGATTGTTTAAATATTAAAGGGGAATCATTCTAGCAAAAAGAATTCTGCAAATTAAAGATCTGTTCTATTATCTGAGAGGGATTATCTAGTCCATGTCCAAATCTGTCTTGTCATTTCCATTGCCTTTTTTCTTCACTTTACATGTGAAGTTATAAACCTGAATTTGACTTGGAAGAGGCTGATTCTTTTCATTTTTTATTTAGGTTGGATGGGCTCACGAAGAGAAAGCAATTATCTGGATCAAATTAAAACTTTAAAGCATTATGTAGAAAAAAAATTTTGTTAAAGGTCAACTAGTTTATCTTTTTTAGAAAGCACATTTCATTAATCTGCTCAACATGTCAAAAATGGTCACATGGGTAACACTTCTTAAACCTATATTAATAACTGTAAATATTGAAAGGAAAATCTCATGGCAATATCAAAGTGACACCAAAAAGTGGGCCTGGCTGTATCTTTACAAGGGCCCAACTAACTCAGAAAAGTGTAATATGGCCCAGTTTGTGATGGTAACTTTTAAGTTCAGCAACTTGATTTTGTCAGCACATGGCAAATATGTCCATGTATTAGGATTAATTAATAATAAAGCAAGCTCACAAAAGACTTGTGCACAAATCGGATGTATAATTTATGAATTAAAAATAAGAAGTATAACTCTTTCAATGTCTAGAACACACCGGCACACTGGGAGGGGATATGAGGAGTCTTCTGATATACTAAAAATGTCCTATCATGGTGTTGGGTCCATGGGTGTATCTGTATAAAACATACGAAATTCAGCTGGGCATGATGGCTCATGCCTGTAATCCCAGCACTTTGGGAGGCCAAGGCAGGTGGAGGATCACTTGAGGCCAGGAGTTCAAGACCAGCCTGGCCAACATGGCAAAACCCCGTCTCTACTAAAAATACAAAAAAAATCAGCCAGGCGTGGTGGTGCACACCTGTAATCCCAGCTATTTGGTAGACTGAGATATGAGAATCAATTGAACCCACGAGGTGGAGGTTGCCGTGAGCCAAGATTATGCCACTGCACCCCAGCCTGGGTGACAGAACAAGACTACATCTCAAAAATAAATAACAACAAATAAATCAATAAATAATTTTAGAAATATATAATTAAATACAATATTCACTGTATTAAGTATAAGTGAATATTGTGTATTAAGTATAAGTGAATATCATATATTCACTTAATACAGTGAATATCGTATATTCACTTAATACAGTGAATATCGTATATTCACTTAATACAGTGAATATCGTATATTCACTTAATACAGTGATTATCGTATATTCACTTAATACAGTGATTATCGTATATTCACTTAATACAGTGAATATCGTATATTCACTTAATACAGTGAATATTGTATTTAAGATTTGTACACTTGATGTATGCTATAACTCAATTTAAAAATTATAGATGATGTGCAGAAAAAATATGATTAATTTGTAAGGGCTGGATGTCACTTCATCATGACCCTATATTTATTATTTATTCCTTGCTAAGTTGTTAGTGTTTATTTTCCCATTTGCCACTTTAATATAAAAAAAGTAAGTCATGGAACATCTTTAGGTACATACCTTTTTCCATGGGAGACATTCTTGGAAGTGAAATCACCAGGCCAAACATGCTGAACATTTTTAATGTCTTTCTGACCACATGGCAGCCCCAGAGTCACTCTGAACCCATTCAGGTTCTGGGGACTACCTGTTCATTAATTATTCTTTGCTCAATTAAATTCTGTTAAATTTAATTTGTCTGAAGTTTTGCTTTCAACATTGCCTAAATGACCATATACAGTCCCAATGTTTTATTTTTTTATTTTTTTATTTTTTATTTTTTTGAGACGGAGTCTCACTCTGTCGCCGAGGCTGGAGTGCAGTGGCGTGATCTCAGCTCACTGCAAGCTCCGCCTCCTGGGTTCATGCCATTCTCCTGCCTCAGCCTCCCGAGTAGCTGGGACTACAGGCGCCCGTCACCAAGCCTGGCTAATTTTTTGTATTTTTAGTAGAGACGGGGTTTCACCATGTTAGCCAGGATGGTCTCGATCTCCTGACCTTGTGATCTGCCCATCTCGGCCTCCCAAAGTGCTGGAATTACAGGCGTGAGCCACGCGCCCAGCCAGTCCTAATGTTTAAAATACCAAGTTAACTCATGAGGTTTTTCCTCCAGGATTGACCACTCTTCGAAACTTCCTATTCAATTTTCCAGTGGCAACCTAACTGTGACACTAAAGAATCTTAAGCTTCAGTATCCTTTCCTTTTGCAGGCCCATTTAAAGAGCCTGTGTGACATATGTCCAACTTGTCATCTGTTTTTATAAAATGTGCAGAGTAATATATTTTACCTGTGGTTGTTTAATAAACTTATCACTTTCCACTTTCCACTTCTCCTTCTCAACTGTCATACTTTCTCTTCTGTTGAATACAGTTGGAATGACCAAGGGTCATTAGGATGACCTTGTCAAAACAGAGTTAGTACTGAGAGAAATTTAATGTTTAGTTGGATACATTTTTGTCATTTGCAGTTACTTGCAGATACAGTTAAGGTATTGCTAGCCAGCTTCATTTAGCAGTGACTTCCAGGAATACTCCTAATGTCCTGAGTGCTGACTCCCCCCAATCATTACATAAGGAGGTAAGACCACAGATAACATGTTTTACAGACACCTAGCATCAGATATATTTGGGTAGTGGAGGAGAAACAACTTTTGAAATGTGTAGAGATAGCACACCCACTGGAATGACTAAAATGTAAAAATACATCCAGTTGAACAACTGGATCGGATACATTTCTACTGAGAGTGGAAAATAGCACAGCCACACTGGAGAATGATTTGGCAGGTTCTAGTAAATTTAAAAATACAGCCACCTTATGTTTTACCAATACCACTCCCAGGAATTTAATTAAGAAAAATGAAAATCTCTATCAAGAAAAGTACTTGTACAAAGCACATATAGATGCTTTATTCATAATAGCCCAAAACTGGAAAAATCAAAACGGCCATCAAAAGGAGAATGAAAAAATAAACTATGGCATATTTACACAATGGAAAATTACTCAACAGTAAAAAGAAAGAAAACTGCTGATACACACAAAAGACATGGATGAATCTCAAAAGCAAAAGAAGCCTGACACAAATCCCACACTGTGTGATCCCTTTGATAAGTTATAGAACAGTAAGAGTTAATGTAGAGGGATAAAAATCAAAGGAATTGTTGCTTCTATAGGGGTTATTGACTATAAAGTGGCATAAGGGAAGTTTTTTGAGTGATGCAAATGTCCTATATCTTATTTTTAATAATGGTTTACGGGGTGTATACATTGGTCAAAACCCATCCAAATACACAATATGTGCATTTTATTATCTGCAAAAAAAAGCAATGAAAGACATGTATAAAGCCATCAGGCAGTCTATGGAACAGTCTTCCAATTATCAAAATTTTAAGTGCAGGGTTGGTTTTTGTTGATGTCTGGTCTCAATGAAATTTCTCTTTTACCAGGAAAATCCTTAATTATGCAGTATGTGTAACTATAAATGTATCACACTTTTTTCTTTTCTCATAGAAATTGTACAAATGAGAATTTATCAGAATTCCTGTATTTCTAAGACAAACTCTGTAGAAGTACTACAAATAGGAAGTTCCTCTGTATTTGTGTATAAAGTTGCATGATTTATGCTTCCAGACCTCCATTAATGTTTTTAAGAAATTGAATTGAACATACTAGAGGAAAAAATTAACTGAAAATGATACAGACAGGAGACAAGGAAATACTGGGTAGAAGAGGATGGTTCTCTGGCAAAGGCTCCACCCTCAAGATTGGAGACCCACAGTCCTAAGTGGGAACAGACTTTTCTGTTTTCATGCCCAAAAAGCTGCCTTTTGGCCCACCACACCCCCTATCCTGTATCCATAGAAATCCTGAACCCCAGCCTCCAGAAGCAGATGAGTAGACAAGGAGAAGGCAGATTAACTGTGCCATGGTGGAGCAGAGAAAGAGAGAAGAGGAGAATCTGAACACTGAGAAGAGTTCGGCTATGGACAGTAGGAGAAAAGTTTGGCTGTTTGATGGCCAGAATCCAGGGGAAGATGGTTTTCCCACTCCATCCCCCTTCCAGCTCCCCATACATCCCACTGAGAGCCACCTCCACCACTAAATAAAATCCCACATTTATCCTTCAAGCCCGTGTGTGACCTGATTCCTCCAGGACTCTGGGCAAGAGCTTGGGATACAGAAAGCTGTCATGCTAGCCCTCTGCCCTTGTGAAAAGGCAGAGAATTCACTGAGCTGGTTAATACTTAAGCCATCTGCAGATGGCAAGGCTAAAAGAGCATTGTAACACTGGGGCCACGGGCACCCAGCCCTAGACACTACCACAGGACCGGAGCCCAGTGCACTCACCCTGGCTCCTGCACCCGCCCATCTGTGTGTTCCCCCTCCCACCAGGGGTTTAAGCAGCAGCAACTGAAGAGGCGAGCCACACCCCATCACACATCCTGTGAGGGGGATCAGGGAACCCTCGTGTTTCGACACTATTTCATAGTTTCTAAATGTAGTGATATTTTGATATTTGTCAGCTTTATAAAATGTGAGGTTCGTTGTGATTTATGTTCTTATTCTAGAAAAGTATTTATATTTTTGTGCTATTTTTCATTTATAACTTTATATTACTTTTATTCAATAAAGCACCTCACATTGTCCAAAGCTTTAGATCTCACCAAACCTAAATCGACCTCTGCAACTGCCAGTTTGATATCTCAATGTGGAAATGTAATAGGCATGTCAGACTTTACATGGCCAGCTCAGTACTCTTGCTTTCTCTCCTTCTCCAAAACCTGCCCATTTCCCAGAGTTTCCTTTCTAGGAAAATGGCACAACTAACCCCTAGTTGATCATGCCTCAAACTTGAAGTCATGTTAACTGCTCTGTTTCTCACACACCCACATCCAATCTATCACAAATCCTGTCAGCCCTGCCTTCAAAACTACTCTGAAATGAATCATTTATAACATTGCTACAGCTCCCCCTGTGGCTTAAGCCACCATCCTCTGTGTTCTCAAATATTAAAGTCACCACCTCAACTAATGTCTCAGCTCCTGCCCTTGCTTCACCCCAGCACTTATCATTTTCTGCTTTCACAGTCACACCCGTGACAATACCCAAGTCCTTACATTGACCTATGAGGTCCTGTATAATCTGACCTCTGGCTTCCTTTCTAAATTTACTCATGACTCCTTTGCTCACTCTGCTAAAGCCTGGGGGTCTTCATGCTGTTAGTCAAATATATTGAGCACATTCCTTCCTCTGGGCTTTTGCTTTAGTTTTTCCCTTAGCCTAGAATATTCTCCCTTCTTCCCTTCCTCCCTCCCTCCTATTCGCTCTTCCTTCTTCCCTTCTTCCCTCTCTTCCTCCCTCCTTCCCTCCTTTTCTTCCTTCCTTCTTCCCTTCCTTCCTCCCTCCCTCTTTTCCTCCTTCCCTTCCTCTCTTTCTTTTCTTCCTCCCTTCCTTCCTTTCTCCCTCCTTTCCTTCCTCCTTTCCTTCCTTCTTCTCTTCCTTCCCCCTCCCTTGCTTCCTCCCTTCCTCCCTCCCTTCCTTCCTTCCTCCATTCCTTCTTCCCTGTCTTCCTTCTTTCCCTTCTCCCTTCCTTCCTCCCTCCTTTCCTGTCTTCCTTCCTCCCTCCCTTCCCCAATCCCTTCCTCTCTTCCTTCCTCCCTCTCTCTTCCTTTCTTCTTCCCTTCCTCTCTTCCTTCCTCCCTCCCTTCTTCCCTTCTTTCTTTCCTCCTTTCCTTCCTTCCTTCTTTCCTTTCTTACTCCCTTCTTTCCTCCCTTCCTTTCTCCCTCCCTCCTATTATATAATTTGGGGCTTGGCAAGGAGAAGAACTCTTTGATATTTAGACAAAAATAATCCTTCTTAAAACAGCTATTTTCTCCTATAAATTCTTCCTAAAATCGTAGAAAGAATTTATAGGAGAAAATATGAAACGAAGTTATATGAACTTAAATTATACTAATGTTAGGTTAATTTAAGAAGAATTTATACCTTTAAATAGTGAGTTCTTCCATCTAGCTAAAAAGTACTCCAATCTTCTTTTGTATCTTTCTTAAGCTTTTGTCCTTTTCTTAATATGGAACGTACATATCTCTTTTTATGTGGGTTCATAACTAGTTATGGTTTGGAGGTGTTATAGTAGATGGAATTTTTTTCCATTACAATTGCTTACCAACTGTCACTGGTATAGAGAAGTATTGATTTTTGTGCATTTCTCTTGATTCAGGTGCTTTTCGAACTCTCATTAATTTAAAATTCTTCAGTGGATTCATTTGGATTTTCCAAGACAGTTTCAGATGCATTGACAAAGAAGGTAAGTCATTCTGCCACTATAAGATGTCTTTCTTCACTCTGTTTGCTGTCATTTTCTGCTAATTTTTATGTCTGACTTCAAATTTAGTTGGCCCTCCTTGTTCCCACACCCATATTGAACACGTGTATGCATGTATACACACAGTCATGAAAAACCAATGCCCAAGGCATTTACAACATGACAATGTCAGGACTCTCCTTCATCCTCCACCATGACCAGTCCAGAATTCTTCTAGATGATGTAGTTAATGTGGGAAAAGGGGTTATTCCATTTAAAAGGTATGAGACTGATTATAAATGGTCCATGATAAATGAAACCAGCAATAGTGACCTGGCTTTCTGGTTGTCTGCTTTACACAATTCCAAAGCCTGAATAAACTATGAGCAATTATCTCAAGTATTCTAAGCACAGGCTGTTTAAAAGTATTTAGATGCCATTGTTTCTGTCACAGGTCATAAAGACAAATAAAAATGAAGAAAAAGCCACGATGTTATTTAATATTCTTTTTTTTTTATTATACTTTAAGTTTTAGGGTACATGTGCACATTGTGAAGGTTAGTTACATATGTATACATGTGCCATGCTGGTGCACTGCACCCACTAATTCATCATCTAGCATTAGGTATATCTCCCGATGCTATCCCTCCCCCCTCCCCCCACCCCACAACAGTCCCCAGAGTGTGATATTCCTCTTCCTGTGTCCATGTGATCTCATTGTTCAATTCCCACCTATGAGTGAGAATATGCAGTGTTTGGTTTTTTGTTCTTGCGATAGTTTACTGAGAATGATGATTTCCAATTTCATCCATGTCCCTACAAAGGACATGAACTCATCATTTTTTATGGCTGCATAGTATTCCATGGTGTATATGTGCCACATTTTCTTAATCCAGTCTATCATTGTTGGACATTTGGGTTGGTTCCAAGTCTTTGCTATTGTGAATAATGCCGCAATAAACATACGTGTGCATGTGTCTTTATAGCAGCATGATTTATAGTCCTTTGGGTATATACCCAGTAATGGGATGGCTGGGTCAAATGGTATTTCCAGTTCTAGATCCCTGAGGAATCGCCACACTGACTTCCACAATGGTTGAACTAGTTTACAGTCCCACCAACAGTGTAAAAGTGTTCCTATTTCTCCACATCCTCTCCAGCACCTGTTGTTTCCTGACTTTTTAATGATTGCCATTCTAACTGGTGTGAGATGGTATCTCATTGTGGTTTTGATTTGCATTTCTCTGATGGCCAGTGATGGTCAGCATTTTTTCATGTGTTTTTTGGCTGCATAAATGTCTTCTTTTGAGAAGTGTCTGTTCATGTCCTTTGCCCACTTTTTGATGGGGTTGTTTGTTTTTTTCTTGTAAATTTGTTTGAGTTCATTGTAGATTCTGGATATTAGCCCTTTGTCAGATGAGTAGGTTGCGAAAATTTTCTCCCATTTTGTAGGTTGCCTGTTCACTCTGATGGTAGTTTCTTTTGCTGTGCAGAAGCTCTTTAGTTTAATTAGATCCCATTTGTCAATTTTGTCCTTTGTTGCCATTGCTTTTGGTGTTTTAGACATGAAGTCCTTGCCCATGCCTATGTCCTGAATAGTAATGCCTAGGTTTTCTTCTAGGGTTTTTATGGTTTTAGGTCTAATGTTTAAGTCTTTAATCCATCTTGAATTGATTTTTGTATAAGGTGTAAGGAAGGGATCCAGTTTCAGCTTTCTACATATGGCTAGCCAGTTTTCCCAGCACCATTTATTAAATAGGGAATCCTTTCCCCATTGCTTGTTTTTCTCAGGTTTGTCAAAGATCAGATAGTTGTAGATATGCGGCGTTATTTCTGAGGGCTCTGTTCTGTTCCATTGATCTGTATCTCTGTTTTGGTACCAGTACCATGCTGTTTTGGTTACTGTAGCCTTGTAGTATAGTTTGAAGTCAGGTAGTGTGATGCCTCCAGCTTTGTTCTTTTGGCTTAGGATTGACTTGGCAATGCGGGCTCTATAAAAGAGGATACAAACAAATGTAAGAACATTCCATGCTCATGGGTAGGAAGAATCAATATCGTGAAAATGGCCATACTTTCCAAGGTAATTTACAGATTCAATGCCATCCCCATCAAGCTACCAATGACTTTCTTCACAGAATTGGAAAAAGCTACTTTAAAGTTCATATGTTATTTAATATTCTTAAAATTTTAAACGTTAAAATGCTTGAAATGAGTCATGAAGCAATTAAACAACATAGCTCACTTATTCTCATGTCTTACTCATTCCTAAGCAGTTTGTAATCCCTGCCACGTCAGCTCTAGGAGTTAGCAGGATGGAGCTAATTTTGTTTTCTTAACATCAGGTGCAATATCAATATTCTTCTGGTTGCAAGAAATGCAAAATCCAACTCAACTTGTTTTAAACAAAAAAATAAATATAATGGCTCATTGAACATAAAAGCACAGACATAGGATCCAGCTTTAGGTAAAGCTTAGTCTAGTAGCCCCTCAATATCACCAAGGGCCTGGTCTCTCTGTGTACTCTGCCATAGCGTCTGCTTCACCCCAGCCTGCTCTGTCCCACCCCAATACACCTACTCCATCCTTTAGAAGCTCCAAGTTTCCTTCTGTGGAAGCCAAAACAAGAACCAATCAACACAAAATAAAAATAGTAACAATAAAAGACGCCATATTGGTTCTGGCCCTTGCTTCCTACATTTTTCAAAGAAGAGAAAAAGAGGACTTTCTTCCTTATAGAAGAAAGAGGGAACTTCTTCTTCAGGGCTGCCCCAACAGATTTCTTCTAACATCTAATTCGGTCCACTGGTATGACATGATATCTCTGATCTAGTCACTCTGACTGAAGGAGAGAGATCCATTTATGGACAGTCCAGACTCATCCCTTGAGAGAGCAGTGAGGTCAAAGCCATGCACCCAGTGACTGAGAATGGGGAATGGTGGCCAGAGAAAATGTGGGAGGGGGAATGGATGCTAAGAAGCAAACTGCACATACTCACCAGTGATGGTAGGTGCCAGCTATGGTTTTGTTTAATTCCTGTGTTCTGAAAATCTGTACCTACCCAGTTCACATGGTGTTAAGGCAGAGTCCCTTACAAGGATTAAAGTCTCCAAATTTGTGTTCAACCAGCATGAATTCATAGTTACTGTGATTTCAAACTAACCCGTCAAAATATTATGGTGTGTTTATAGTTTTCAACTCCTGTCTCCCCTCTTCTGGGGAGCTGAAGACAGATGACTTCATAACTATCAAGCCTGTAGATTTCCTCTATCTTAAAGCCTCAGGCTAAAGCACTATCCCTGGATTGCTACAGGCCTTAAAGAGCCTGGGAGGCAGAGGACAAATAATTCAGTGTAAAGTCATCACTTACTACTGAATTCCAAACTCACAGACATAAATAACTACCCTCTCCCCTACTCCTCTAAGAATATCTTTAGTCGTAAATAGGGAATTTGCTTTTAAACAAGAGTGCAGACTTGATCATACTCATGCTTGATTTCTGTCACTACCCCAGAAG